>NC_000005.10:130109807-134909807 GCF_000001405.40 Homo sapiens
ATTGTCCTATGTAGGTTTTATACATCATCTCATGTAGTCTTCACTGTCATCTTGTTTAAACCAAAAGTGACTTGAAAACTCCACAGATCTCCATAAGGGGAAGTGAATTGGAGTTTGGGTATTAAGCAAGGAAAAGAGATGGGATAGAGAATGGAGAGGTTCAAAATTACTAGGAAAAACTATGGCTTATAATTAATTACTAAAGAAAAGGCTTATAAGTACTGGAAATGGTGATGCTGAACAATCTGCAACTACTCTGATAAAGAAAAATGTTGGCAGTTCATGGGTATGAAGAGCAAACCTGGCTGCTTCTGAAATTTTTTCCTGGGATTTATCTAAAAAGTATGCTCTAGAACCTTGTTTTTGTAGTGACTTCAGAAATGAGCTTGGCTTCTACTGAACATGGGTTCTTATATAGTCACCATTGTTTTTTCTCATTTAATTTCCTGACAACAAAATTTGACTAAAGCTTTGCCTTTAGTCAAAATTTCAACCATAAAGAGCTCTGTTTTAGATGCAATGGTTAGCTAAATGTATTAAGAAATAATATATTCCCACCTGATTTTCTTCATTTTACTGTCATGTTCATAATAACACACAGGCAGAGGCAGCTATTGAAAAGTGTTGTTTCTTTAGTATTTGTAATTCATAAGAAATGTGTTCTGACATTTCTCAAAGGAGAGCACAGATAAACCACAGTCTAATCTTTGGCTTTCATTCTGCCCAGAGGGTTTTGTGCTGACAGTATGTGAAGCCCAGACCTCATAAGATCTGTCTTGAGCCTTAGGGAGATAATCTTCATAGTGGATGGATACTTACATGCAGGTTTTTTTTCTAACTTAGATGAAAACTACTTCCAACTCATTTTCATTTTCATATAAAAAGCATAGAGAATATTAATGATGACATATAATACCTTTTTATATTTCATTAACTTGGGGATTAAATCTAAATAAACTGTGCAGCATTATAAGATAACTTAAAACTCTGTATATTATATCCCTGATAAGAGAAATATTTGTAAGATCTTTAGAAATCTTCATGTTTGGGAATGTAAAAATGTTTGAACAGTCTTTTGCTTTTGTTAGGAATTGAATTTTGGCTGTGAATTTTTAATAATTTATTTTTATTAAAATAAATTTATTTTAATAAAAATTGAATTTTTATTGCTAGCTCTTCAACTTTCACCAACATTTAATTTCTTATGTTGGCTGTTACTCATTCACAAACCTCCATGTTTGTATCATTGAAAAAAGGATGTATGATCATATGAAAGAATGCTGCCTGTAGGCTAGGCTCACTGATGAGCACAGCAGCTCAAATCCTATTTGCCAGCCCCATGGCATGAATCCTTCAAATCTGTGTTTCAGTCAAGTACAAATCCCCGTAGTCATGGATCTTCAGGATGAAAACTGATTAACATTAAATCCTCACATGCCAATAATCTGCTATACTGTGTTTTTAACCATATTGCTAGAATTGAAGTATCACCTCTTTAATCAGCCAGTTGTTTAAAATTCTTTTCACATTGATGGTGGATTATCTGAAACTATATATTTTATGACCCTGAATATATATGGCTAATTTTATCCTAAGTCCTCAGATTCATTAAAATCTAGCTGTTGTTAAGTTTGTGAGCACATTATACAATCAGCCCGATTTTAAAAAGCTCTAGGCAACAGAGCTTTGCACTATTCAATATGATTATTTATTTGTGTAACAAAAGATCCCAAATATGACCACCATGTTCTAGAAACATACTGCTTATTTATAGGTTAAGGCAATAATTTCCAATCCTAGCTGAATATTATAATTGCCTAGAGTGTATTTAAAGTATTCTAGTACCAAGGCTTCAGCCTACATCAAATAAATCAAAATAATGAAATAGTAATTTTTAAAAGCTTCCCAGGTGATTCTAATATTCTGCCAAGATTGGGAACCAATGGGTTAAAGTGATTTTTTTTTTCAGCCACCTGGAAATAAAATGCTGACAGAAATATGCAGGTGCAATGAGGTGACTGTGGGTAAAATATAACAGATGCAACTAATTCCACACATTTTATTTTAACACACACATACCGGACTTACTAGAATTCAGGCAGGGTTTTAAGTGGTTGACTCATTTAACCCTCGTATCATGTTTATGAGGAATACACTAACTCATCCCCATTTACAGAAAAGAATTGGATTAAACAGTTTTCTTAAAGTTATACAGTTGATAAGGGGCTGAGCCTCACTTCAGAATCTATGTTCCAGTCCGTTGATTCTCAGACTGTGGTTCCCAAGTCAGCTGCATCTGTGTTTTTGGAAAATCATCACTTCAAACTTACCAGAGAAAAAGGTTTGTAAGTACTATAATTGGAGATATCAAACAACTTGTTGTTCTCATGATAAAGATATGGATATCATAGATCATGGATATCAATAGCACACCTTGCTACTTCTGAATATTTTCCCGGAATTTGTCTAAAATAAATGCTCTAGAAAGTTATTTTTGTAGTGACTTCAGAAATGAACTTTGGTTTCTAGTGGGTTTTAACAAGTTCTCAGCTGGGAACTTGTTAGAAATGCAAATTCTCAGACCGGATTTCCACAGTTTCATAGTCAGTAAACCTGGAGTCTGGCCCGAGAATTTGCATTTCTAAGTTTCAAGTTTCTGCTGCTTCTGCTGGTGGTCTGCTAAGCACATGTGGAGAACCACTACACTGTCTACACCACCTCTCTAAATTAGCCAACGAATTTTACTGTATTGTCCAGCTACACTCCCCTATAGAATAGTCTTTTTAATTATAAGAACAATATAAGTGTAAAAGTCCAAGCCTTGGTGGACATAAATTGTTTCTATTACTCAGAGTCACCTTTGTTTGTTTGGAGAGATATAGACTGGAATGGCTTAAGTTGATGAATCTGTGTGTAAAATGTACAAGCTGCTGCTGAGTTTCCTATTAGGGATTGAAAAAGTGACATTAAACAAGCAAAAAGGCAATGAAAGAAATGAGATTATAGATATAGAGTATCCTCATTTCACTATGCCTTTGACCACAACCCAACTCATTTTCCCTTTTAGATCTTTTATTTCATGCCATTTTCACTCCGTTTCCCTTTGGCTAAATAACTCAGTGATTAACAATATAATGCAGAAAATTACTATTACATAGTCATTTGTAGCTTATATTTAAAAGCAATTAGAAGTCACATTTTAAGATAGTACTATTAATCTTTTGTTTCATGTAGTCTGTGTTGGAATGAGGGGTATATTTGGAATTTTGTGATCATGAGTCATGTTGTAAAAATGATATAATACGTGTGTGTGTGTATATATATTATATATAATGTATCTGAGACAAATAATTTCTGGAAAGAATATGAGACAGAATATCAGCTAACATTTATAACAAGGAAGATAACAAATGATGAATTCATATATTATCCTTCCAGTAATATTTCAGCTGCAAAATCTCAGTTTTTGTGTAAATCATGCATAATGTTCCAATTTATTTTTGTCAGAGCATAGATCTTTAGTTGGCCCTTGTCAAATACAAGTGTATATCTCAATCTCTGTAGGAATGTATTTTAAGTACAGTTCTATGTACTTTGTAATCTCTCCATTTATAAATGTCACAATATGTATTTAAACTCAGAAACAAAGCTATTAAAAGAGCATTTTTAATTCATTCAAAAATTGTGTTTGTGTTATAGACGGGAATACAGAATTTAAAAATATAGACGTAACAGTTAGAAAACACTAATAGAGTTTTATTCTGGGACTTGGCACAGAGTAGGGGTCTGCTGAGTTCCACTCCTATTGCATGATTCCTTTGTCTATTACAAGGCCCAGTCTCTCCATTTGCAATCTTCAGTTTGATACATTCCAGGAGTGGCAGGAAGACAGGTCTACATGAGAGACCACACCATCAGAGTTGTTTCACCAGCCACATTAATCACAAAATGGAATCATTTTTGTAGTGCTATTTTACAGATACATAAAAACCAACTATATTCTACAAAAATATGCTCCATCCAAAAATACTGCTACAAACCAGGCGACTGCTAAAACTTCTATTAGTGGAGGCAATAAGAATTAGATAAATAATTCCTTAAATTATACTCCCCTTTTGTCATTGCCACCATGAGAACTATGTTATGTTTTGGAATGTGGGAAAATGATACTACTTTTCTGCTTTATGCCAAATCATTTTGAGACTCAATTTTTATTCATATTTTTTCTTCATTGTTTCCATAAAGGATTTGTGTGAAATGACTAAGCAAACATGTTTTTATTACATTATTATTACAGGTTTGAAAATCTCACATAATAGTTTATCCAAATGCAGTGATTATTGAGCCTTGTTTTTGTCATTTTAATTGTGGTTCTTGATATTAGCTTATAAGGATAACAAAACAACCAGAAGTCTGGTGAGGTTTTCAACTTGAGAATTATGAAAAAAGTTCATGTGATGGTGGTTGCTATAGATAAGAAGGCATGGAAACTATGTATAATAATGAATAATACAGTGAAAGCCTTTTGGATATTGCTGTTATCCTAGTTTCTGAAAACTCTAAAGCCCCTAAGTGAAGTTAGAAATGTGGAAAAAGTCTACGGCCATACCACCATGAACGCGCCCAATCTCGTCTGATCCTGGAAGCTAAGCAGGGTCGGGCCTGGTTAGTACTTGGATGGGAGAAATGTGGTAAAAATACTTCTAAAATCTCTGCATACTATGAGTAATAGTAGTATACACCTCATGGAGATATTGTGAGGATTAAGTAAGGTAATATATGTAAAGTTCTTAGAACAGCGTCTACTACACACTGTCATGGAACTCTGAAAAATCGGTAATGAATTAACCACCAAAAGAGTCACTTAAAGTTTCTTTATGTGGTATGCCTAAAACAAAAAGCTTTTTCCTCTGAATTCTCCTTGCCATTTTCAAAATATCTGCAAGTAGTGTTCAGAGTGTGTCCCTTCCAAGCTGTCAGTTTAGGACGTCATCTGGCACTCCTAGGCTGCATGACACGATCTTTTTTGTCCCTTTCCTGGTACCTGTTTCTGTTCCTATCTGTTGCCTACAGGACCATCTGTCCTTAGCTGACTCCTGAAGATGCCACTCAACTATTGAACAGTCCTCTCTAAATTTGTCCTAGGTCTTTAACTATTAATGGGATCTATAGCTATCACTTTGGAATGTGCAACAGAGATGGGTTAAAATCCAATTTTAAAAAATTGCTTGCAGGGCATGATTACAACTATGGAAAAATAAGCAAATTGTTCAAAGGTTTTTTTTTTTATTGTAGGTAATTTTATTTCTTTTCTCAAATTTTTATAAATCTTCCACAATGAGATTGAAAGATTACAGTATGAATGATTGCAGAGTATTTTTTTTCATCCCCCTAACACTTCAAAAAGAAAGGTTTATAGTTCTTTTTTCCCCCCATTTTTTTCCTCCATAAATACAGAGAACATAATCATCTTGTGAACAAATAATTATGTTTAATGTTTTAATGGTAATATATTTATATAATTGTAATATTAGACCTGAAAAAGTCACTTCAAAGCAAGGCATAAATTTCACAATTTCACAATTTCCATATAGTGTTTCTCCATCTTGTCAACGTTTTCTAATGTTTTTACTTATGTTTTATGTCTCCAGATTACCATAGCTAGAACTCCCATTTTTTCCTACTTATAATGCTTGCTGAAGATGAATGCTGTGATCATTCTACTAGAGCTAGAATTTGACATTATACTGTCCTCTTTAAATGTATTTATTAAACAAACGATTCAGCCATTCTCTTTGTTTCTGTAGTATCTTATACTTCCACAAGATCTTCTGTCCAAATCTGTTAACATTTTACTAATTTAGGGCCCAATTATTCACTTCTTACTTGGGTTATTGTAGCATTGACTTCTTGTCTGTGAATTTCAGACAACCAAAAACAAAGCGCATGTAATCATGAGTGCTAACTAACGTAGTCTGAGCTCAGCCGGATTACATACTGACACTTACAGCAGAGCTTTTCTTGTGAATGGCAGTGTTCTGTATTCTTCTTCCAGACTAGCAGCGGAGGGGAGCCCACAGTGGCCCACCATCCCTGGAGTCTGACTGAGCTCACGTCGACCTCCTTCTACGATGGCTCAAAGACTCCTCTCCTTGTCTTCAGTTCTCTCACCACACGGATCACACAGGAGGTTCTCCTTTCTTGTCATTTTCATCCTCATTCCATTCTCCATCCCAAAGTGACCAACCTAAGTGCATTATTGCCCCTTTCTTCTCCAGAATCCCTCTGGCAATTTCTTCACTTGCCTCCCAGAATTATTTCTGAAAAATCCTTTCTGGGAAGTTTTAAGATACTTGACCCAAATAGCAACAACAATAACATTTCCAGCAGTAAAAAGAGGACATTTATACTCCCACAGCCTTAGGCAATCATACTAATTATCTTAGAAGAGTTCACAAAAAAACGTGGCAAGGATAGAGTGCTAATTGTAATGTTCACTCTTTGACACAATTAAGCTATAAATAGCATCTTCTGCATCAGAGTAAGCATGGTGCTTTTAAATATGTTATCAAAATAAGTTTGTCATTTTTTATATCCAGTATTCAATTTTTCTGTCATTCTTTTCCTATGGACTATACAATAATTCAGATGAATCAACTATTAGAAAGATTTGTGGGCAGTATTAATGCTGTAACTTTAATAGTCTGAGCAAGAAGCTTAATTGGCACTCACTTTTCTTTATTCCTGATGTAATAGTCTCTGTAGTTGGCTGTGATGAATTATTCCACCGTCGTGGGTGCCAAGTGGAGCGATTCCTGATTCATTAGTCCATTGCTCCTGAAATGGAGAGTTCACTACTTGTATGGATGGATCTTGTGAGATCCCACAGAGCCCATCTGTGTGCTACTCACAGAAATGCGGACCTGAAGGCAGTATCAGCAAGCGAAGGTCAGATGATAAATTGTGGCTCTCCAAGCCAAGCTTATGCAGCAGTGTAGTAAGAGACTTGACAAATTCTCCTGAAGTGAAAAATTGCCTTTCAGCTCTAGCTTTGTCTTTTTTTTTTTTTGAGTAAATAAGTTATTGCAATAGAAAGAGAACTTTTGATTAAGTGTTTAATTATTGCCACTTGTGTAGAAAATGTGGCATCATTTCAAAGGGACCTGGGCTTCTTTTGGGGGAGAGAGTTGAGACTGGAATGCAGAGCATCCTAATTCTTGCAGTGTATCCTTTCAGTACCTACCAATCTCTTGTCACCCAGGTGAAGTTGGATGGGAGCATGCCATGGAGAACACAGAGACTCACTACAGTGGTGTGAGGAGGAGCAATTAGATACCTGTATTTGGACCAGCAGGGTCTGGGAGCCCTACGGGTGGTGCTGGAGCACAAGGAATTGGTGGGAGTGGGAAAGTGATGGTCTTAAATTGACACAAGGATGCAGAGGAGCCCAGAAGATGTGTTGGATGTTACTAATCTCTACACTAAGGAACCATGGGATCATGGAACACTGTTGATAGAAGAAATGTTGGAACTAGAGATTCCAGACCATTTAGTTTATAGCCAGTGAAAATGAAGCCCAAAGAAGTTCCATTTGAGATCTCATGGTCAGGTTGTGGCAGAGCTGAAAATAAAAACCAGTCTTCTGATTCCCAGTCAATGGCTTTCTCTCTGAGCTCTTTGCAGCTTCATTAGAGACATTCTGTCAATAGTTACACCATGTCTACTTTCTGGGTGGCTGTTTTTGTTTCCCTGGTTTTTTTGTTCATAAACAAGCTTAGAGCATAATAAACAAATTTTTTTTATTTTTCCTTCATATTTTCAGTGTGACTACAAAAGTTTGTAAAGATGTTAATTTTTCTAAAATTTCTAAATTTTCTAAAATTTCACCACCAAAAGTTTCTTCAAAACTACAGATGTCCAGCTACTTATCTGGTATCAAACACATCATAAATCTGTTAAATATTGATGCTTCCAGATCATTTTTCTTGATGCTCAGAATAACACTGCTGCATTTCCATTAAATTCTCAGCATTAATGTTTTGCTTTGGATGTTTGTCTCCTCCATATCTCATGTTGAAATGTGATTCTCAATGTTGGAGGTAGGGCCTGGTGGGAGGGGATTGGACCATGGAGGCAGATTCCGTGAATGGCTTAGCACCATCCCTTCGGTTAGTGAGTTAGCACTCTGAGTTCCTGTGAGATCTGGTTGTTTAAAAGAACATGCCACTCCCCCTGCCCCTCTTGCTCCCTGTTTTTCAGGTGACATGCCTGCTCCCTCTTCACTTTCCGCAAGCACTGGTAAGCTTCCTGAGACTCTCACTAGGAGCAGCTGCCAGCACCACACATCTTGTACAGCATGTAGAACTCTGAGCCAATTAAACAGTTTTTCCTTATAAATTACCCAGCCTCATGTATTTCATTTCAGGGAGGTAAGAATGGACTAAGAGAATTAGTAACTAATATTTTAGCTTTGTTTTCAATATTTATAAGTCAGGGCATTTATAATGTTTTAAATGCAGATAAACTTAACAAAACAATCAGAATTTACCCAGTTGTTTTTATCAGTGAAGCAGGTTATTCTAAGTAAGCAACTGATTGCACATCTACAATTACTACATCTCTCTATCTGTCTATATATACACACACACACACATATACACATACATATATATAATGTATATATGTGTGTGTGTGTATATATATATATATACAGACACATATGTGTGTGTATGTGTATGTATTATATAGTGGTGATTCTCATTAACCTTAGGCTATTTTTCTGTATATGCAGAGGATAAACTGGAACATCTGCTGTCAAGTATGATACTTTTCAGTAGTATTTTTGCAAACTATCATCGATTTCCTTTTTCCACATGTAACCTTAAAATGAAGAATTTTGTCTTTTCTTTTAATGGAGGTGAAATTTTCTTCCTTAGATTACCCTCTGTAAAGCACTTTATTAAAGTGCTTTACCTAAGTGTCCATGAAATAGGAATGCTGGGTGCTTTTGTATCCCAGGTGTGTCATTAAGCGAGGCTACAGTAATGATAATTCTGCCAAATTTTCCTCTTTCTTTCACATACTGATAGGAGGAAGGAACATGATGACTAAAAGCTCAATGCTGGCTTTACACACATCAAATCATTTAATATCCTTATGATGAGGAGGGAGCATATAATTTTTTCAAATTGGGACCATTTTAGAATGAAAGGGAACACTGTTAATGACTTAGAGGCAAAGGATATAAACAAACACTATCCTAGGAAGTTGAGGAAATGTGGTCATTCTACCTTAACCCCTAGATGAGGGTATCAAACCCTCTCATTGTACAGGTAGGGGAACTGAGGTGCAGAGAGGATATATAGTAGGCCCGAGGTTGCATTTAGAAAGTAGATATCCAGAACTCCAACTCAGGACTGACTGACTTCAAAGCAGATGCTCCTTCCTCTAGACTGCCTTTCTATGCAGTTCAGCATTTCCTTCCTCTAGACTACCTTTCTGTGCAGTTCAGCATTTCCCAGCCTGTTTCTACAAACATGAAATTTTGTAGCCATGATTGCAGGAATAAGAAGGGTGCCTGCTTGAGGAAGATAGAGATGTGCTAAACATCCTAACTGTTTCTTTGTATGCTTGATTCATTACGCGTGTATTTAGTGTGCTAAACAGCTTTGAGGGGCCTCAGGTCGCAGGGAGGAGCTCCCCATGGCCACTTTTTCCCTCTCCCACTGGCAGCAGCACCTGGTCTGTATTCCAGGCTTCTCCTTGACATATTCAACCTGAGACTCTCAACTGAAGGGTTTATCTTCCCTTCATAGAGGTTCATTGCTTATATTCTTGACTCAGCATTCATGTCATTTCCCAAATTCGAAAACTCCAGGATCAATAATTAATTATTGAGTAATGATTACAAAACTAAAGGAAAGACAGGCTTTTCCCCTAACTTGATAGAATATTTTATTCCTTTTGTTTTCTTTTCTACTTACTATCACTCCTCTTAATATCATTAGACTCAAAGGGAAATTTTAGTCTACGCAAAAAGGCAAATTAAAATAGAAAGCATGTTTTTATACCCATGAAAAAATAAATAAAAGGTAGCCTATCTATTTAAAATTTATTTCATTCGCTAAAAATGTTAAAGGAGTAACATGACATTGTGTCTGCTTCTTTTTCCTTTTGTTCTTTTTAATTCCACATTCACTTGCTATCCTCAGATTACTATACACATTTAAACATTAAATTTAAAAAGCATAAATTAAACTATCAAACCCATCCATATAACCTTAAAGAACACAAATATAAAATTTTAAAAATCTACTAAAAAAGAAAATATAAACTTTCACTTCTCCTCTTCTCACCCACCTGCCCATTTATAGGGAGAGTCTTCCAGCCTTGCTGCTTGGGGTCCCCCACCTCCTCCAGTGCCTCATTATCTCTTGCCTACATAGTTTTAGGGACTTCCTTCAAACATTCCTGCCATTTTTTTTCTTTTATTGCTACCAGGGTCATATTCCTGAAAATTAAACCAGATAATAGCACGACTTGGACAGTTCCTGTAGTGTTCTCTGTAGCCTGTAAGATAACACTCAGGCTTCCCAGAATAATATACGATCAGCTCCTTAGGGAAAACAATCAATCTCTCAAACAGACAGAATGAAAGGTGGCATGCCAATTTCTGAAAGAAAAAAAAAAAAAAAAAAAAAAGACAAAATTATAAGGTCTGTCTTCATTAACACTAGTTGTGAACAGAGCTGACCCTGACCCAAACTACCTGTGACTGCATCCCCCAACTACCACTTACTGGTTGTATGTGTGACCTATGGCAAGTTATTTTACTAACTTCTATTCCTCAATTTCATGAGTGTGAAAAGTGTGTAATAATAATGCCTACCTCATAGATTTGTTGTCAGGATTAACTGAGTTAAGATTAATAAAAGAGCTTGGAACAATGAAAAACAAAAAAGAGAGAGAGAGAAGGAGTGAGGGAGGGAGAAAACATTACTATTTCAGGGACACACCGTAAAAGCTGGTGGTTGCACAGAGCAACCAAATGTTAGAATGTGGCCTGCACACCGCTTTCCATATCCCTGAGTCTAGGTATGTGGGATGGACCACCTTGAAGAAGAGACTCCTTTTTCTAATTTGTACAAAAACTCCTCCACTTGCCAGTGCATGTGCCCACAGGGCTTCCTCCATCTGGGGATCGGCATCTTTTCAATGTGTGCCCTACTGTTCCGTTTGGGCTGGCTGTGGCCCTGACTCTTTCCTGTGATAGACTGTAAATCTCAAGGGTAGGGCTGTGTCTTTATAGTGGTTCCCCAACTTTAATGTGCATATGAGTCAGCTGGGGGAGTCTTGTTAAAATGTAGGTTCTGATTCTATGATTCTGGGTACCGATGCTGCTGATCCATACTTTGAATATCCAGGTTCTAAAATCTAATCGTGTTCTTAGCATATAATAGGGGCTGCATGAATAAATGCTGACTGGATGGGTAAATGGAAGCATGAGAAAGAAGGATAAAGCTGTATTTCATACACACTAGAGACCTAGAAATCCATTTTTCTAATGTATTTAGAGAAATGATGCCAAGTAAAGGTAAAATGTTGAAGAGTTGTGAATTGTATTTTTCCATAGGTAAACATTTTTAAAATTCAGGGCCAGAGTATAAATCTATTAAAGGAGCTTCCTGCACTTCTCCTGGAGCTTCCTTGTAGCTCAAATAATAAAGCATGACCTCCACAGTAGCACAGAAACATAGATACTTGGGGCACATCACATATTAAATAACTACTCTATAATATTTGTGTACTCTGAGATTTATGTAATTTGGGGGGTAATTTAGGGCAGCAATATTGTTTAGTATACTTGAAACCATTCATTTCAATGTTTTCCCTTAAAAAACAAAAACAAAAAGTGTATCCTTCATCATTGGTGATAGAAAAACAATGAGGGCAAGCACATTATTGCTTTATTGAGCCAGGTATGTCTCCAAATTGCTTATCTTTTTTTCAGAAATAGGAAAGTGAGGCTGCTAAGGAGGATGAGGCTGGGCATAATAGAACATGTAATGGGCTGACCACCAGAGACTGGCCCTCCTGATTCATGGCTGAGTGATCCTGGACATGTCCGTCTGGGCTCAGCACCCTCAGCTGCACAGTTCACCAATCCAGCATCTATTTATTGAGTGCTTACTTTGTGTAAAGGCCCTACCCGAGGCAATATGAGTGAGTACACTGAATTAGGTGACCCCATGCTCCATTTGTTAGTCTATAAGTCAGTAATATCTGTGACTTGCCAGAATATACATGAATACATGAATTAATAAGTAAACAATTGATATAATAGCTCAACAAATATATACATATATACATACATACATGCATACATGTGGAAAATCAGCCTGTGATAACAGCAGATTTAGACATCCTTCAATTTGTTCCTATATTTGTTGTTTTCCTGTCTTTATATAATTATTAGAGTAAATTTCTTCTTAGTTGAATTAGACATTTTTTCAGACTTTAAGATAATATTTGGGCAAAATAAGAGATTAATCTAATCTAAGCCAAACTGTTGATTTGTGTGGCTCTTTACTTCTTAATGATGAGTATTATTTCACACTTAGGCTTTCTTTTGATGCCTTTCTGGAAAGGAAAATAAAAGAAAAATAAGTATGCATTTTTGTCCTCTAACAGCCTGTGGCAAGTAGCACAAAGGCGGCACTCAGCTTTCTAACAACACCGTCTTGAAGAAAGTGTTTGTATCACTTTGGAAGGGAGGTGCTCAGACAGTCCCATAGTCAGGGATGCGCAACAGCCAGTGGTTTTGTGCTGTTAGGATAAGGGTAGTGTTGCTTATGGCATTTCCAAAATGAAAGCGGTTTTTGTTTTTTCCAGGTAAACGTAAATATTTTGGTTTGCCTAAATATTTAACAATTAAAAAAGAAAATCTTATCGTCAGCCAGGAATAAGCTTGTTAAAGCCTAAGTGTGTTTTTCTTCGTGTCATTTATAAATGTTCTTTCATAAAACACATATTAGAAGCTATGTATAACATGAGAAAATGACTAAAATAGGGAGTCCATTTCTGGGGTCTGTTTGCTCTCACTTCAGTTGTCCAGAGAGATGATGTTAATTGACCATATGGCAAAGTTTTAGTGATACTAGGTATTTCTCATCTTTACATTTTATATTCTTGAAACAAATATTTTAGAATTCATCCTATTGGCCATTTCTTGAATTAGGAGGTATGACCCCTGCCTCCATAAGGTGCAAGAAAAAAAAAAACGCAAGTTAAATAGAGCCATTAGTTAAAAACATTTCCATCGGATATTTATAAAATAAGAGATTAATTTTATATAGTTGCCACTATGTAAAAAATAAAACTATAGTAATTTGGAAACATTTCTATTGAGCCCCAAATAGGGAGACTGTTTCAGAAAGAGAGTATGTTTTAAATTCACCATTTTCAATCTAATGAATATGCTGATTTTTCAAATAAGCCTGTTAGAATGGCAGTCACCAACCTTTTTGGCACCAGGGCCCAGTTTTATAGAAGATAGTCTTTCCATGGACCAGTAGGGGAGATGGTTTCAGGATGAAACTATTCCACCTCAAGCATTAGATCCTCATAAGGAGCACACAACCTAGATCCCTTGCATGCACAGTTCACAGTAGCGTTCCTTCTCCTATGATAATTTGATGTCACTGCTGATCTGACAGGAGGCAGAGCTCAGGCTGTAATGCTCACCTGCTGCTCAACTCCTGCTGTGCGGCCAGGTTCCTAACACACCTTCCAGTCTGTGGCCTGGGGTTTGAGGACTCCTGTGTTAGACCACATCAGCTTCTGCTCTTACTCTGTTTCTTTTGTGCATTTGTGCATGCACACACACAGAGACACAATCAGTGCCCTAAAATAAAAAAGAAAAAAGAGACAGAGACAGTGATGACAAAATATAAAGAAGTAAACAGTTCTGGCCAGGCGTAGTGGCTCACCCCTATAATCCCAGCACTTTGGGAGGCTGACATGGGCGGATCACGAGGTCAGGAGATCAAGACCATCCTGGCTAACTCGGTGAAACCCCATCTCTACTAAAAATACAAAAAAAATTAGCCGGGTGTGGTGGCGGGGGCCTGTAGTCCCAGCTACTGGGGAGGCTGAGGCAGGAGGCGGAGCTTGCAGTGAGCCGAGATCTCGCCACTGCACTCCAGCCTGGGTGACAGAGCAAGACTCCATCTCAAAAAAAAAAAAAAAAAAAAAAAAAGAAGTAAACAGTTCTAAGAGCAATGGAGGAAAAAGCATAAAATTGACTATATAATATAGGATTAAGAAAAGTTAAATGATAAAATAGAAAACAGAATTTTTTGGATAGCTCTTAAGTGATAACAACAGGATGTGAGCCGTGGTTGCAGGACAGTATCTTAAGGGCCAAAATAGCTCCACATTCTCTAAGCCCACCTTGTCCTGTGAGCTTCAACTTGCATTGTCTGTCTTCCCTCTGTAATCTCTGCCCCTGAATCTTCTTCAGCTATTCTTCTGAGAATGAATCAACAGTAGTTATTTTCATAATGTTGTCTGTAAAATAGGGCAAACTATTTTTGCATCTTGCAAATTTATCTGCACTTCAGTACAAATACCAAAAACATACAGAGCGAACTTTTTTTTTTTTTTTTGAGACAGAGTCTCACTCTGTTGCCCAGGCTGGAGTGCAATGGCGTGATCTCAGCTCACTGCAACCTCCACCTCCTCAGTTCAAGCAATTCTCCTGCTTCAGCATCCCGAGTAGCTGAGATTACAGGCGCCCACCACCACACTTGGTTAATTTTTTTAATTTTTATTAGAGACGGTGTTTCGCCATGTTGCCCAAGGCTGATTTCGAACTCCCCAGCTCAGGCAGTCCACCCGCCTTGGCCTCCCAAAGTGATGGGATTACAGGCGTGAGCCACTGCTCCCAGCACATAGTGAACTTTTATTCCTTAACCATGGCACATGTATTCCTATGTAAAATTGCATGTTTTGCACATGTACCCCAGAACTGAAAGTATAATAATAAAAAAAGAGTTAAAAAAATGCAGCTCTTCAAATTTGGCTCCAAGTGTGATTTCTCTCTCCTTATTCTTAAGGCACCTCTCATATTTTGCTCTCAATGCCAGTAAAAATTCTAGCAGAGGAAATGCTTGTTAAAAACTAGATGTATTGGCCGGGTATGATGGCTCATGCCTGTAATCCCAAGCCTTTGAGAGGCCGATGGGGGAGAATTGCTTGAGCTCGGGAGTTCTCGAACTCCTGCAGAGATTACAGAAGGAAGACAGAAAATGCAAGTTGAATCTCACAGGACAAGGTGGGCTTAGAGAATGTGGAGCTATTTTGGTCCTTAAGACACTGTCCTGCAACCATGGCTCACATCCTGTTGTTATCACTTAAGATTGGACAGATTGAGTCCTCATCTCTCCAAAAATTAAACAAATCAGCTGGGCATGGTGCTATACACCTGTAGTCCCAGCCACTCAGGAGACTGAGGTGGGAGAATTGCTTGAGTTCAAGAAATTGAGGCTGCAGCGAGCTGTGATCATTCCATTGCACTCCAGCCTGGGGAACAGAGTGAGATCCTGTCTCAGATAGATAGATAGATAGATAGATAGATAGATAGATAGACAGACAGACAGACAGATGGATTTAATATTAGTTATACTGCAGTTTTCTTCCTTTTCAACTCATCACTGGAGAACAAGAGTAAGGGTTGGAAATGAAATGCTGAGCTATACATGATAAAATTTCAGCATAGAGATAATGATGAACTCCAAGTTAATACCTAATTAACATAAGAATAACGGAGTCAAAATTTAGTCTCTTGATCCCTATTCTGAACCCAAATCTATACATGACTGTGATGATCACTTGGAAACAGGTTTGTTTGCCTGTACATCTGTTGACTTGATGGTGGCAAAACCGAAAGCAAAAGAGGTAAGTGATCCCAGAAAGCTGCTCTCATAAGAATGGCTACTAAGATTTCCTTGGATAACAAGCCTGAATTTTGTATTTTATGACTCCATCTCTTATGATTGTGCAAACTGGTCTCAGGAGTGCCATCCTTTCCACTCCATAATAAAATGGTCACAGTTCATTAGACCTTTTAAATGAAATGTTGCTTCCCAGCTCTCAATTGAGTGTTTCCTTTACATACTTGCTTGACATACCTGGTATTGGTCATTATAATAATACCTAGGATATGGTTTTTGCAATGCCTTTTTATATACTTTTTTATTGCTCCTTGATGAATGCTATTCTAATTAATAATCACATTTTGAGGTTGCATGAGTACCTATTTCATGTCTGCCCCGGGAGAGTTTTCTTATCAATATGGAGTCCCTAACACATGGTCGGTACTTGATAAGTATGTGTGTATTGATTTCCTGCCGAATGGCCTCTGATGGGCTTATTAACCTTACCTAAGGAAAAAAGACCAATGATTATTGGTTACATAGGCTGAGTTAAAAAAAAAAAGGTAGGTCTTAGGCTGTAACATTAGATAATCTTACTATTCTGCCTCCAAATCTTTGTGCAATATGATGGGCTTGTGTTTACAGTCATTCAGTTAACCAACTCTGAATAAATAAAGACATAATTATACTCATGGTATTAGGTGGAACTTCTTGGTAAGAATAGTGTCCATTTGTCTTTTTTTCTCTGCATTGATAAGATTGGCTTGTAATTTTGTTATGGTAGAGAGAGCAAGAATGAGAAGAAGCAACAGAGAGAGAAAGAGAGAGAGAGAAAGGAAAAAGAGAGAGACAGAAACAGAGAGACCTTGCTCAGTCTATAAACTGAAAAATGCATGTTGATCTTATAATTTTATGTTTTTCTCTAGTAGACTAAATCTTGAATGGTCGAATCATTCTCATTTCATTTTTGGAGCTTTTCTGTCACATAATTTAGTGGTAGCATGACTATATAATATCATATAAACCAAGACACTTTAAGAATAAAAGAGGCGCCTCTATAATTATCCAAGAATGAAAAGCATAAACCCAGACTTTATGGTCACATTGTCATTGTTTTTCTTTCCTTTGGTTCATACCCCATTAGTGAGCCACCTCTGTCTGACTCTGAACAGATGCAGGCAAGGGCCTTGCTGAGTTTCTGGTGCTCATGGCCTGTGTGGCTATGCTAATCCTTTTTGGCTTTGCACCAAGTGAAACATCTTTCAGAGACATGAAAGATATTGGCATCTCCTGGGAAAGGCTGTATCTATTTTCCTCTGATACATATGTGGACACCATTGGGAATCTAATCTGAATCAAACAGCAGCTTTGTTTTCCAAGTGTATATTATCAATATACTGTAATGGACAAAAATGCCGTAACATGACTTAGTGTAGATCATGCCACATTTTTCTCTTGAGCCAATCATCATAGACTTAGCCTTTCTTTCTCAATCTCAATCTGTGAGTAATTATACCAATAATATTTCCAAATTAAGCCCCTATTTCATGCCATGCTCTGTGCCAGACACTTCCCCACATTATTTCTAAGCATTAAAACAACCTGCAAGTGAAGAAGCATATCCTCCTGTAAAATCTGAAGAAAAAGGAAAGGAGAGAGGCTAAGACACTGGCCTAGTTAGTAAATGTAGATTCTGGGTTGCATCCTGGGTCTGTCTGACTCTAAGCCATGTTGTTTCTGCTAAACCCTAATTTCTCTTTAATAATACCATAAACGTTCTAGAACATATCTTGCTCTCAGTTATGATCTGATAGCAGTCATTTGCTGTAAATACATGGATAAAGGCACTTTGTTTTATTTTATTTTCATGTCACTTAGACCATTGTTAAGTCATAAATTAGGAAAACTAAACAGTCACAAAGGTAATAAGAACTCAAACTTAGGTCAATCAGAAATTCCTGATGTTGAAACTGCTATCATACCATCAGCTTCTTAAGGATTAAAACCTGTTTCTGGTGCTTTTTCTCCATGAAGATGAATTAACAAGGTTTTGTTCTATTCTAAAGAATATTATTTTAGAGTGTGGGATGCTTTATTATGATTATGCACTATTAGAGTTCTCAATTCTATAAATATATGCTTTAAAATATAGCAGCAAGGTACAGTTTCAGCACCTTATCAACCAAGTAAGGAAGTATGTACCTAAATTATTACTGCTTCACTGACAATTTGCAACTTTAATTTATTCACAAAGTTTGAAGGAATTATATCCCAACTTTATATTTATGGATATTTTAATACAAAAAGTAATGTTTTGTGCTTGTTCCAAGAAAATCTTTTCATTTCTAACAATGAACACATACTGAGTAATGAAAATAGCAAAATCTCATAGAGAAAAACAAATATATCTCCTTCAAAAATTCTCTCAAGAGATGAACAAGATTAAAAAATATTTTTAGTAGCCAAGATGTGGAAGAAGAAAATGTGGTGTGTGTGTGTGTGTGTGTGTGTGCGCTCACATGCTCAGGCATGCACATCTACGCATATATACATGTTATGATGTATGTGTGTATGTGTAAATAATGAATAGTATACAGCCTTAAAAAATAAGGAAGTCCTGCCATTTGTGCTAACATGGATGGACTTGGAGGACATTATGCTAAGTGAAATAAGCCAGACACAAAAAATAAACACCTAGTGATCCCACTTATATGTAGAATCTAAGTTAAATAATATAGGAGCAAGTAGAATGGTAATTACCAGAGGCTGAGGGGAGAGGGAAATGGGGAGATGCTGGTCAAACAACATAAACTTTATTATGCAAGATAAGTGGAGATCCTTTATGCAGCTTAGTGCCTATAGCTAATAATACTATGTTGCATACCTGAAATTGCTAAGAGTACATCTTATAGTAAGTGTTCTTAACACAAAAAATGATAATAAAAGGAATGGTAGGAAATTTGGGGAGGTCATACATATGTCTGTGGCCTTGTATAAGTCTGTGATGGTGGGGATGGTTTAACAGGTGTAGACTTATTCCCAAACTCATGGAATTGTATACATTAAATATGGACAGCTATTTGCATGTCAATAATACCTTTATAAAGTGGGTTAAAATATTTCTGTAATGAACTTTATTTCTCATCAAAGTAAGATCATGGGCATGTGTATGTTGACAAAAATGTGAGGTTTTTTTTTTTTCCTTTTTTTCAACAGGTCTGCATAGAGAATGCTCAATGTTATGGCTATTGTAGTTAGCCAATACAGTAGGAAATGTGCTCAGGCAAACATTTATCTGCTCAATTCTAGTGATGCACATAGAAACTAGGGTGGACACAGAAAGTCCTATGTGCCAAGTTTCCTCAAGATAATCAGCACCAATTTGTGGATGGTGTACAAGTCTTTGTTGTATTATTCTCCATTACTTAGTATGCCCAAAATATAACATTAATACAAGATAGCATCATCAATTTAGCTTAGATGGAAGGTCTCATTTCCATCTAATGAGCAACATTTGGCCACTCCAAAATGTGGAATTGCTCTAAAAGGATTGGTTTCACAAAGATCTCTACTCATGATGTGCCATGGTGGTAACATGATGTGCCAGAATCTCTACTCATGATATGCCACTAGTTGCACATATGTAAGGTGCAAACTTTTAGGTGAGCAACTGGATCACTTAGCTTTGTTGGAAATACTTCCTCTTCATATGGCACAAATTAATTTATAACACACAAGACATTTATTATCCTGTTTAGCTTTCTAAGTAGCAAGACAGGTAATTTTCCCTTATGTGATTATACTGTGCTATTTATAAAACTAATAAAAATTTTAGGCCTTTATCCTACTTTAGAGACACAATAATATGAATATACATAGCAATTTAGAAAATGAATATTAAATAATTTTAAATTTTGTTATAAAAACATTGTAATGGAAAGAACAATGGACCATCTCTCAGAAGCTCTAATTCTGGCTCTCGCACTGCCCGTTTCTAGTTGTGTGTTCTTGTAGGAAGCTGCAGACTTGAAGTCTCATTCTCCTTATCAGTAAAAGATGGATGAAACCACATTGCCTGAGTGACCATAAGGACCCAACGAAAGAAAGCACATGAAAGTTCTCTAAAAGCCGTCAAGCACTGTATACATATAAACTAGTATTCATAAAATGTAACATTTGACATACTTTTCCTCTGAATCTTAAGTAAAATGAAATTTGCTTTTGATAGGAAAATATCGTTACAATTATTTAAAATAACTAAATTTCACAAATTTTTATGCCAAGAAAATTTGATAGGGAACTAGAAACAGATGAATGTAAGTATCTTAAATCTAATCTAGCTTTTGTAAACTGTTTATTCTATTAGGATGTCAGAGTTTATAGACAAATGGCCAAATATATATTTTTAATTTGCATGATTTAATTTTTAAAGGTACTACTGCCAGTAAATATTCCCCCTTAAGTTCTCTTTCTCTCTCTCCTATTTTTCTTCCCTGACATCAGATGTACACACAATTAAGGCAAGATTTTTTATAGTTTATGCATTTCTGACTTCCAAACTTTTCTGAACCATCCTCTCCTAGAATTTCTTGCCATGTAATCATTTTGAAATCCATATACCTAAATCTATGGTGTATATCTGGAATTCTGATCTCAGGTTCCTTCCCTAGCTTTCACAATCTCTAAGATGCCACAGACATTTTATCTTCAGGTTCTTATTACTTCACTAACCCATTCCTTTTCATCTGCCAGAATTAGGTTTGCAGGAGCCTTTCCTCCAGGCACATCTCCTTCTTGGGAGTCTAAAACTTCTCCTAGTCTTTGACCAAGACTTACAGAAGATGCCCCAACTGTTGATGTTCACTGTCAGCATTACTTCCTGCACTTCACTTGATCATAGACATCAGTCTCTTCTCCAGATAGCCTGAGCTGTTGTAGCTGGTTCTGCAGTCATCATAATTCTGTTCCCTTTTCTCTTTGTCCTTCCTTTCATGTTCCATACTGCCTTTACTCCCTCAGGTCCACAAACCTCCACAGAGGTGTTCATCTTCTTTTAATAAGTACTTCTGTGAACCACTTGTAGCAGAAATTGTTTGTAAGAAATGATACATTCCCTGTATCATGTTTCCTGCTTTCCCTATGTCAGTCTCACAGACAGGTTCTGTTTTCATGATTCTATCTGGGTATGATTCTCCATAACCTCAGGATTCCCTGATCCATTACTAAGGGTGCTTCTCAGAGCTTGCTTTTCATCTCTATTCCTTTTTATCTCCACACATCTTCCTAAGGAATATCATTTACTCTCACCACTTGTATAGCCCAGTGCTTACTCATCATCTACTCACATATTCCCAGAAAGGACTGAACTAAAACAGTTAATATTACATTATAGAATATCTGCCCAATTTTGTTTCTTCAGAGTCTTCTCCACCTTAGGAAATCATTGAATGAGTCAAGTTGGATACTACAGTGTGTTCTTGGATTCTTCTCTTTCTCTCACTTTTCACACTCAATTTCCCCTAAAGTATCTAAAAGGCTAAAAAGCCTTTTCTGTCTAGACACCACTGTTGCCTCTTACTTGGGCCTTCTGCAGTAGCCTCCTGACTCTCTCTGCTGTTTCCACTCAACTTTCCATATAGAAGGAATAGAGCTCTTCTAAAATTGTAAATCAGATCATACCACTCGTCTGCTTAAAACCTTGAAATGCCTTACATTTTCACTTAAACTTAGCATTATTACCAAGCCCAAAGTTAATAATCAATATTTATATCTATTTATTTAATCCTACCATCCTATATGGTAAATACTACTAATATAGTCATTGAATAGACAAGGAAACTGAGGCACAGAAAATGCAGGAAACCTGTCCAAGTTAATCCAGGCAATAACTACTGACTCCAAGATTAAAACCCAGGTAGTTGCTCTCAGAGCCTGTATGGTAAACTATCACAGGTTGCAGTTCAAAGGCCCTATAGAGTTGGTCATTGCCAACCCACCCGTTCAACCTCATGATATCCACTAGAATGTAAGCTTCATAATAATAAGGATGTTGTCTACTTGTTTCACTACTGTGCCCCAGAGCCTGGAACAATGTGTGTATGTGAGAAGCAAACTCTCCTCTTCTTGTGGACTGCACATACTGGTCCCAGAGAACCCAGAGAACACTTCTAAATTGTATCATAGAGAGTGCCTCCTTATCTTTAAGGTCTTACCTAAACTGTGATTCCCTACTCTCAGTGCCTCCCTCCACCCAAAGGCCCCCACTGGCCACCTTATTTAAAGCAAGCCCTATGTGACTATTCTTATAGCATTATTCAATTAATTTCCTTCCTACCATTTAGCCCATTTTGAACTTACTGTTAACTAATATACTCTTTTCCCTTTTGACTTACACCAGAATGTAAGCTCCATAGAGGCATAGACATATTTACTCTTGTAAACCCAGAGTGTCTCATAGCAAGCATTTAAGAAATACTTGAGTGAATCAGCTTTCCACTTTCAACTTTAAGCTCTCTTCAAGATCAGAGATAATCTCTGAAAAAGCATGGTTATTCCTGGTGCATTCATAAATTCAATAAATACTAAGTGATTTATCATGAAACTAAAACTACCGTAGGAACTGGAGATGCCGAACTGAACAAGTTAAACGTGATCATGGACCTCAGAGAGCATAAAGTCTGGAACAAGAAGAAATAATAAGTATAACAAAAACCACAATAACAAATTATTGCAATGTAATATGATGGGCTAAGTTATTATAGAATCACACATTATTCTTGGTACCTTAAGCCACAGTGACAAAATCTCAGTTGATATAAGTAGTTAGACCTTCTGCTTTCTAACAGTATCCTCTCTCTGTTTTAGCAACTGGATCTGATTAGGGTAGCAAGAATGACTTGATTGATACAGATAGCCCAGTGGTTCTCAACAGAGGGCAATTTTGTCTCCCACCCAGGAGATACTTAGCAATGTCTAGAGATATTTAGCAATGTCTAGAGATATTTATTATTGTCATAATTGGGGGACTCCTAGTCAGTAGAAGCCAGAAATGCTGCCAAACATCTTGCAATAACCAGGATGTTTCTCTTCACACACACACAACAAATAATTTTCCACCCCAAACATCAATAGTACCAATGTTGAGAAACCCTGAAGTACCCTAACACTGGCCTCACAATCAGACTTCTGTAATCTTTCACCAAAGACATCATAAAAGCAATAGTTAATATTTTCTAAGCCTCTTCAGTAGGCATAATTCATTCAGAAAGTATTTATTTATTATACTATTATACTATAGGGGCATAAGAAATGCCATGCCTCGTTGGAAATCTGTGTAATATGGGTGGGCATGCTGGAGAGATGTGTCCTGAGATGTTTATGTAAAAGGTTGTATACTAATTTACAAAAAGTTCTCCATCATAGACATAAAAAGGACTCAGAGTCTCAGCACCATGAGAAGGGCAAGAGGCAGAAAATTTTAATGACATTGTTTCCATTACATTCTCAGTCATCTATGAGACAATTGTGTGGATTACTTGTAATGCATTTTTTTCTTCTCCTAGTCAGACTTGGAATTGACCCCTTGGTGTGCATAGATACTCATGACTACCGGGTAGCCATGTGGGATGCATAATTTATACTTTTAGCTTTCATAATCTTGAAATTAGTGAACCATTACAATCTTTTTTATGTCCCTAAAAGCTGGTTTTCAAAAGAGGTTAAGCATCAAGATAAGTTTACAAGGTAAGGCCTGGCGTGGTGGCTCACACCTGTAATCCCAGCACTTTGGGAGGCTAAGGCAGGTGTATCACTTGAGATCAGGAGTTCAAGACAAGCCTGGCCAACATGGTAAAACCCCATCTATACTAAATATACAAAAATTAGCTGGGTGTGGTGCCATGCATCTGTAATCCCAGCTACTTGGGAGGCTGAGGCACGAGAATTGCTTGAACCCAGGAGGCGGAGGTTGCAGTGAGCCAAGATCACACCACTGCACTCCAGCCTGGGCGACAGTGTGAGACTCCGTCTTAAAAAAAAAAAAAAAAAAAAAAAAGAAAAAAAAAAAAAAGGCTGTCAACCTAAGAGAGAGAGCAGCAAAGAAAACTGGTTTATGTTTGCTCCCAAACATACATTCCCTTTATTATGATACCCACTTTCCTCATGTTGCTTAACTCTAATTTTTTATTTTCAGTTATTTCATAAAAACTATACCAGATTATTCTAACAACAGTTATTAAGTATTGTTACTATAATATTAATTGTATTTTCTTGACTTGACTTAACGTATTATTTACATTTTTCCACTAATTTTTTAAGCAACCTGGTGAGATATGTTTGCCTTGTTACTTAAGTGGACAATGAGGCTTACAGAAGTGATGTTGCTTTCTCAGGGTCACAGAGTTTGTAAATGGCAGATTTGGATTCAAACCCAGGTTTGTCTGATTCTGCATGCAGTCCATGCTTCTAATCTTCAAGTTATTACTACACTGGTATGTGTGGTGATTTTTTTGCAAATGGTTGAACAATGTGATTCATTCTATTTTTGGTTTCCATTTGAAAGGTCATACATTTTAAAACTTTAGAAGAGGAGCCTTAGACATCAAAATATATTATAAAAGTAAGATATTTTGGTAGCACACAAAAAAAGTTTAGGATCATTTCTTTGACAATGGCAGGTAATAATCAAAAACATGTAGCATTATTCTGAATCCTGTTGACATTCACCAATTGTAATATCTTATCATGATCTTATATAGCATTCCATATGCATATGTTGAACACATTTACTCTCCTGAGCAGGGACTTTATCTCTTGAGAGGAGAGACTTAGTTTGGTTTAAATATGCTATTCCTAAAAACCATTGATCATCTTGAAATTAGTAATTACTGTTGTTACTGCTACACTGATTATTTAAGATTTTGAGATAGAAGGTTTCAATTTTTTAATGTAGTTTTGTTTTGTGTTTGCATCATTTTTCTACACACAAAGTGTTTAGATGGCAAAGAAAACTGAAGCATAGAATTTTTAAAAATAAAGTTAATAGTTAAATTGCACCATCATCTCTGGTTTTATTTACTTGCACTCTCACGTTTTACTTCCCACCCCCCCCAATTTTTATGCTTCATATGTCTAAAATTGACAAGCTACAAAAAGGTAAACAACAAGAAGTGTATTTTTCTCCAATATCAGAATCTTAAAGCTCACTCCCCAGTCACCCATTTGTGAATCTTATCTTTCGAGACATATTATTTGAATATAGGTACACAGGGTACCCATATACTTTGAATACCTTGTGTACCTATAGTGTCGATATAGATATAGTATAGATACAGATATACACACACATATATACGTGTCTATATTTTTAAACATACATACAGTTGTATATGTGTGGTCCCTTCTTTATGGCTGTATATGAAGGTATATTAAATATATGTGTGTATACATACATACATACATATATGTATACACACACAAACATATATGCATGTCTGTGTATATAATATGTATAAGTTTAATAAGTGTGTGTATATATATATATACACACACACACACCCTGTGCTGTACTTTAGTTTTCTTTCACTCAATCACATCTCTTTAAACTTACTGTACACTAACAAATAGAGATTTACCTCATTTACCTCATTATTTTAAGGACTGCCAAGTGGAGTCACTGAAAAGATACTGAGGTTTATCCTTAGAAAATCAGACTTGGGAAGCATTTTAACCGTTGGAAATAAAATTTTAATTCCTTTCTCTTATATTTTCATTTGTTTAATTTAACTTTAAAGCCCACACCAGTCATGTTCCTTCATTACTTCTCACAGTCTCAAACTCAATTTCCTTTGTTCTTTGTTACCATCATTTTTCTCTGCCTCTCCATATCACAATGAATGGGTTTCCCTGCATGTCAAAACTCACTGAAATAATGTTGAGAAAGCTTTCAGGCTTTACCAGTCATGTTGAACTCATGACTCATATCTCTGGAAATAACTCCGTGTGTCTCAGTGGGGACCATGTCTTGATTATATATTTCCTAATAAAGGCAAAAGAGGTAGAAGATTGTTTTGCTACCCTCACTAATCTTCAGTCTCAAAAGAAATAAGTAAAATCCATTATTATTTTGCGTATATAATTGTTTAGAGACTGTATATAACCAATAAACCAAAATTAAGAATGTTAATTTTCCTTTTGTTTTTCCAAATATTTATTGAAGGCCCTTCATTTCCTAGGCATTATGCCATGTGTTTAAAATTCACTAAGAAAAGTCCCAGACCCTTGTGTTCGTTAAAGCTGTTAAAGAAAACAAGCGAAGTGTTTAAGACAAAGTGTTGAATAATTAAGGTGTACACTGGATACAGTGGAAATCCAGAAGAGGTTATCTACCATAGCTAAATAGGAGTCAGAGTGAGAAAGGCTTCACCAAGGAGGTAATGCTTGATTTTAATTTTAATACGGGAAGATATTAAGCCAGCTAGAGAAGTGGAGTGGTTGCCAGAGGTAGAGAAGTGGGAAAAGGTCCAGGAAGAAGGAATAAGTCACTCCAAGGCAAAAATCAGCATAATGTATTTGGGAAACTGTAAGTAGTTTGGTAAAACTGGGGTGTACTGTGTATGGATGGTTGCAAAGAAACCTAAGGGACAGTCATGAAGGCTGATACTGAGGAGCTTTGAGTAACTGAAGTTTTGAGGCAGGGAGTGATATAAGTGAATTTTAACTCTGGCAGCTGCACAGCAGATGGAGTTGAGAAAGAAGAGAGTGGTCCCATTTCAAAAGCTACTGAAATAGTCCAGGCATGAGCTGATGAGATACAGACCTAAGCACTGGCAGGAATAATGGAAAGAAAATAATAGTTTAAGATTTCTCTAGAAATTAAAAAGACAGGACTTTATTCACTCCTGAGTCATTCAACAAGAAGAAAATCCTATGAAGTAGAGATTTTAATTACCAGTAGATTTGAATCAGAATCTCATGCTTTGTAACACTTGAGCTATAAAATTTTTGATTTTTTAATTTTTGTGTTATTTTATGCACCAGTATTCCTGGTGGGTAAAATATAAAGATTTATTTAAAATATAAAGCATATAATAAATGTTATTGAATTCACCACCCAACCCAAGAACCAGATCATCACCAATAAGTGAGTCTGTTTACTTCTTCCCTATTTTAATCTCGGGTTCTCAAAGCTTAATAAGACTTAAAAGGCCTCATGTGCCTTCAAAATTGTTAGGGGTTTCTTGTCTCCACTGGCTCCAAACAATATCAGATGTTCAAAACTGTTTCCTACCTTTGTTCTTTCTGTATTTTCCCTTACATATAAATCTCTAGTCTTCAGAGAGAGCTAAGAATAAAAAAATCACTCCTCTCAATATATTGTCTTCTACTATTTAAAAATGAGACATAATAGGGATGAAAGAAAATTAGATTTCCTAGATGTTTTGTAGGTTCTGTTTGCACATCTCCGGGAATGAAGATCTTGTATCCTGTCGTTTTCCATGCTATTTAATACAACCAAAATACATCTTCCTACAACTCTTTTCCTTTATCAGTCCTGTGGAACCACACAGAACATGTTCACTTTTTTTCTGACAGCTCATCTGGTATGTGAAGATTATTATGACCTTCTAAGTTTTCTCTTTTCTAACTAAATATTCGAATATTTTCAGTATATCTTCTTGGTTTTCAATCATTTTGCCATCCTGATCCTTTTTCCCTGAAGCACTATATTATATATATTGGTTAAAAGCTTAAATGACACTGGGCATAATATGAATGCGTGAATTTAATTGAGGGTATGTCAGAAATGTTGCACATTAAACATCTAAGAATAGTCTTCTCTTTCATTAAAACATATACTCTCATTTATTTATTAACATGTATCTAGGTCAACTATTTGTTTTCCTACTTTTATTAGAGTCAACAGTAAAAGGATATATTAACTTAAGTCTTAGATATAAAATTTAAGTATTTTTCTCTTAAATATTCCCTATGAAAAAGGCAACAGGACAAACATGATGATCAAGATCCTGGAAATTTGGCTACAGTGTGAGAAGGAAGACAGTTGTTTACAGTAGCAACTGTAACGTCTGGAGGGAGTTTATACCCAATCTAAAGAGTCCAGAATGTTGCCATATGGCAATGTGGACCCAACATTGTTACAACTTCTACCTTCAAGCCAGCTGGAAGTCTGTTTTTGTTTTTTTGGTTTTTTAATGTGAAATTTTTTGATTTGTAAATTTGGTAGCCAATTGAAATAAAGAAGGAAGGAAAAGAGGAGAGAGAGAGAAACTCTGTGTGTTAATATTGTGCTAGCCAAAAAATACAAATACAAAATACAAAAAAAAAATTCAAGAAAAATATTTCTGTAGGACAGACATAGCAATTTTGTAACTCTTGCTTACCAATCCCTGCTACAGATGTTATTTAAGAATAGAAGCTCCTTGGGCAGAAGTGTGGAGCAAAAGAGGCACAGCTGGGCTAAGGAAGCCATTCGAGGGCTGAGCCAGCACCAGGAGCCAGGACAATATCTAGCCAACCAAGGACACATCTCCTCAGGCGTCTAAGGGCAGGCTGTGACCTGAGGTAGGCATAGGCTGTCAGCAAGGTAGGTCATACAGGGTAGGCAGGCTTTGTCCAGAATGCCGGTGGAGCAAGCCTGGAAGGACCACAGGGCCACATGGTTCTGGTGATGGGCATGGCTTAGATGTAGGGAACTCAGAGGCCAGCCAGCTAGGTGGGAAATGTGAAACTGAAGCCAGTTAAATGGCAGGAGGTGGGCTACAGGCAAGAAGGTTAGACAGAAAGCTGATACTAAAAGAATGGCAGACAGCCAAGACTGCTGAATTTTTAGCCTAGAATACATTTCATTCTTTATGCCCAGAAGCAGTATTGGCTCAAGAGCTAAAATGAGGCTGGGAATTGGCAAGGATAATATAAAGATAATAGAGGCCACATAGAGAATAAACCCTTAATCTGATTTAGCAATCAGCAAAAGATTGCTAAAGTGGTGATAAATTATGAGATAAGGATATATTAACTGAAGAGCTCATACTGTTCCAGTAGGTTGGACCCAAATCCCTTTTGTTAAAGTAGAGCAATGATGAGACTATTAAAAATAATATAGTCATGTGTCCCTTAAGTGAATGCATCATTCTGAGAATATGTTCTGAGAAATGCATTTTTGGTGAATTCATCATTGTGTGGTTATCATAGAGTGTATTTATGCAAATATAGATGTTACAACCTACTACATACATAGGCTATATGGTATAGCCTATTGCTCCTAGGGCTATACACCTGTATAGCAAGTTACTGTACTGAATACTCTAGGCAACAGTAAGACAATGGAAAGTGTCTAAACATAGAAAAGTTAATTTGTTGCCCTAAAACATTACAACAATCATATCACTAGGCAATAAAAATGTTTCAGCTGCATCATAATTTTACCAGACCACTGACCATATATGCAGTCCATCATTGACTGAAACATCATCTAAAACATCAATTCAGCCAAGGGTAGAAATTGATTGGCCCAAGGAGGTCCGTTTAGCAAGACACATTGGAATGAACCTTGAAGAGAGAAGTAGAAATTACAGCAGGTGATTATTTTTCCCATCATATGAAGTTCAGAAGTTCAGAGCAAGCAGTGTGGGCTCTGTCACACTTTAGCCGGACATGAAGTCTATGTGAGCTCCAGATTAGAGTATGTATGATAACTTTACATCTTTGTCACTCATAAAAGAGGAGAGCAACACTTTGTTAGAAGATCGAACAAAAGCAATTTTTTGAGAATAGGAGCTGCTTTATTTTAAGTTAAAGTTCTTTTCTTCTGTGCTGCTAATGAGAACATGTGGCTGCCCTCTTGGGATTTTACAACATGAAATCAAAACCATACAGTTCCACTCTGAATATTCTACCTTTAAAATATGGTGAAGAATATTCATAATAATCATTACAGGTGCCATTATAATAGGTATTGATTATTGTGGAGAAATTGGAAACAAAAGCAAATATTTTTAAAGCTTCTACAATATTAGATTGCTTAGTAGTATGATTATAAAACAAATTTTTAGCCAATTATTTTGTTAACAATAGCTTACCTCGAATAATAGATCTTACCTCAAAAGTAGAACTACTTCCTACTACAGCTAAGTTTGGCTATCAAGTCAAGTACACTGACGGAATTTTGAAGCTTTTTAAAAATTCCTATAATGGCTCATGGAATATTGTGATAGCTTTTGGGATTCCTGTGTCTTCACAATCCATGCCATGACTATATGCAAGCAAACATGTCTAAAGGACCTGCAGTTGGTATTGATCTTAGCACTACCAACTGTTGTGTGGGTATTTTCCAGCATGAACAAGTAGAGATAATTGCCAATGATCAGGGAAGCGGAGCCACTCCAAGCTATGTCATCTTCACTGGTAGTGAATGATTGATCAGTGATGCCACAAAGAATCAAATTGCAATGAATCCCTAACAACATGGTTTTTGATGCCAAATATCTGACTGGATGGAGATTTGAGGATACTGTTGTCCAGTCTAATATGAAGCATCAGCCCTTCATAGTGGTGAATAAGCACAACGTCCAAGTAGAATACAAGGGAGAGACAAAAAGCTTCTATCCAGAGGAAGTGTTTTTTATGGTTCTGATAAAGATGAAGGAAATTGCAGAAACCTACCTTGGAAAGACTGTTACCAATGCTGTGGTCACAGTGCCAGCTTACTTTAATGACTCTCAGCATCAGGCTACCAAAGATGCTGGAACAATTGTTAGTCTCAATGTACTTAGAATTATCAGTAAGCCAACTGCTGCTGCTACTGCTTATAGACAAAAAGGTTGGAGCTGAAAGAAACATGCTGATCTTTGACCTGGGAGATGGCACTTTTGATGTGTCAACCCTCATTGTTTAGAATGGAATCTCTGACGTTAGGTCTACAGCCATAGCCACCCACTTGGGTTGAGAAGACTTTGATAACTGAATGGTTAACCATTTTATTACTGAGTTCACACACAAGCACAAGCACAAGAAGGACATCAGTGAGAACAATAGAGCTGTCTGATGCCTCCATACTTCTTGTGAATGTGCTAAGCATATTCTCTCTTCCAGCACCCAGGCCAGTATTGAGATCTATTTTCTCTTTGCAGGAATTGACTTCAATACCTCCATTTTCCATGCCTTATTTGAAGAATTGAATGCTTACCTGTTCCATGGCACTCTAGACTCCGTAGAGAAGGCCCTTGGAAATGCCAAACTAGACAAGTCACAGATCCATGATATTGTCCTGGTTCATGGTTCTATTTGTATTTCCAAGATTTTGTAGCTTCTCCAGACTTCTTTAATGAAAATGAGCTGAATGAGTATCAAGCCTGATGAGGCTGTTGTTTATGGTACAGCTGTCCAGGCAGCCATCCTATCTGGAAGCAAATCTGAAAATGTTCAAGATTTGCTGCTCTTGGATGTCAACTCCTCTTTTTCTTGGTATTGAAACTGCTGGTAGAGTCATGACTGTCCTCATTAAGCATAATCCCACCATTCCTATCAAGCAGACATAGACCTCATTACCTACTTTGACAACCAGCGTGGTGTGCTTATTTAGATTTATCAAGGAGAGAGTGCCATGACCAAGGACAACAACCTGCTTGTCAAGTTTGAACTCACAGTCATTCCTCCTGCATCCCATGGTGTTCCTTTGATTTAAGTCACTTTTGATATTGATGATAATGGCATCCTCAATGTCTCTCTTGTGGCCCAGAGTAAGTAAAGGAGAACAAAGTTATTATCACTAATGACAAGGGCCATTTGAGCAAGGAAGACATTGAATGTATGGTCCAGGAAGCTGAGAAATACAGAGCTGAAGATGAGAAGCAGAAGGACAAGATGTCATCCAAGAATTCAGTTGAAAGCTATGCATTCGATATGAAAGCAGCTGTTGAAGATGAGAAACTTCAAGGCAAGATTAACGTTGAGGACAAACAGAAGATTCTTGATAAGGGTATTAAAATTATCAACTGGCTGGATAAGAATCAGATTCAGAAGAAGGAAGAATTTCAACATCAAAATCTGGAGAAAGTCTGCAACCACATAATTACCAACCTGTACCAGAGTACAGGAGGCACACCAGAAGGAATGCCTGGGGGATTCCCTGATGGTGGAGCTCCCTCTGCTGGAGCTTCCCCAGGGCCCCCATTGAAGAGGCTGACTAAGTCAGCTCAAGTATAGATGTAGCATTGTTCCACAAAGTTAAAACATTGAAGGACTCAAATTTGTAGCAAATTCTGTGGCCATCTTAAAGTTGAGCTGCAGTAGTTAACTACTGGCCAATCTCAATACTCGAATATGGAACATGTGCACAGGGGAGGTACATAACTTTGCACTTTATAAGTACTGTATTATAAGTGGAAAAGGTAATGTCTTAAACAATTGTATTTAAAATTGGCACCAAAAAATTCTATAATAATATGGTTTTCACATAGCCAAACTAGCAGTCAGTATCTACTGAGGAGATGGGGATCTTCAGAGTACTTTGAAACTCACAAGTGTGCATATGCAGTGATTATGTATTTAAAATAAATTGTGACTATTTGGTATCTGTTTCAATTGGTGGAACATTTATTCTCAATCACTCAAACATTTATTCTCCAAAGTAAGAGTCGTGACCTTTTGTTCATAATTTTTCTTTTCCAACTGGAAAACTGAAACCTCGCTTTTTGGAAATGTTGCTTTTAGCTAACAAAGAAATAGAATATTCCAATTTGATTATGTTTTAGGAAATTATTTTAAAGTAAGGCATCAAAATCAATCTCTTTTTAAAGGGTTTTCATTTTTATTATTGTTGTAGGAATTAATTACATAATATCAAAAGATAAATGAGAATATAAATTCAAGATCCTCAAAGCCTTTCCTTTGCAATTGTTTCTAAGCAAAAATTATCCAGACAGTTTCTGTTATTAAATGTGTAGGGAGCTCCTAGGCTATTTGATCAAGTCCCAAATTTCCACTTTCCAAAGACAGAGAATCCATGGTCTTCACCTTAATAGCTGCTTTAGTGAGTGTTCAGTGGGACTGGAAGGGCCAAGGCTCAGAAAATAGGGCAGAGTCAAAATCCCATATGGGTGATCTTGAAGATTTCCCTCAATCAGAACACAGGAGATGGTGGAAAGGAGGAGCGAGCCAGAGGAAAGGGAGCCACTTCTAAAGACACATTAATAATGTATCTGGTACTCATTCTTCATTCTGTCTTCTGTAAGAGTATGGAAGTATGTTATGGCCTTACTTAACACATTGATCTACTGTTAATGCTATCTTTTCACCATAGCGCATTGCTAGCATTTCAGTGTATCTATTCAAAAAAATAAATCCTTAATTACAACAGACAAACTTTTTTGTGTGGATAAAAGCCTAGTGATTGCCTTACCCATAAAGAGCTAGCTAGTTATCTCTCCAGACTATTTGTTTCCTTTGATCATTGTCACAACTTGTCTAATAGAAGTAGTTTGAGTTCATCATTTGAAATAGAAAGGCAATAACCCTCCAGAGTAGGTTGTGATTACAAGACATAATATTGAATTTACTAGGAAAAAGAAGCAGACCATGAGACAAAGGGATTTTTAAAAGCCCACTAAGGGACCAGAGTTCTAAGACAGGCCAAATTAATCTATGCTATTTGAACTGAAATATATGAATTTATACATAGTAAGTGCTACTTTGTATCTGGCTTCTTTCACTCAAAATTAGGTTTGCCAGAGTCATCTGTGTTGTTGCATGGAGCGATGGTTTGCTCATTCTCATGATATATTCATTCATTCTACTGGTTGATATTTGGGCCATTTCTAATTCAGGGTTATTGCTACTATTGGGGCTATTGCATACTATCACTACTATGAAAATTGTTGAACATGTCTTTTGGTGAACATATGTACATTTATTTGACATACCAAGGAGTAGAAATCATACCCATAGGGTATATATATATATGTGTGTGTGTGTGTATATATATATATATATATATATGTGTGTGTGTGTATATATATATATGTGTATATATATATATATATATATGTGTGTATATATATATATATATATATATATATATATATATATGCCAATTCAGCTATATTGGATACTGCCAAACTATTTTCCAAAGTAGTTGAATCAATTGTATACTTTTACTAACTGCATATGAAAGTAAGTATTACTTTATATTCAGGAAAAAGTAAATATTAAACTTCAGAGTGGCAAACTTCAGCTTTACATTGCTGTCTTCTTTTTATTAAGTCGTTCAATCTAGGGTGTCTAGAGATTGATTGTAATGACTTGTGGGTGGCCTTAGATTTCTATGCTTAAAGGGTTTAAGAAGTGTTTCTTCTATAAATATATCTTTCCAAGCAAAAAAAAAAATTCACAAGTATTTCCATGTTTACCAATGACAAAACATCTAATGACTTTTGATATAAATAATAGTACTTTAGAACGCAGAAAAATCTTCCTAAAACTCCAAGTGGAGCAAGATGGCTGACTCCAGTTTCCTGCTACTTATCCCCCACAAAAGGGACTAAATAACAAATATATGGTTATTTGCTGGATACAAAATCAACACACAAAAATCAGTAGCATATCTAAAAACTAATATTACACTGTCAAGTAAAAAAAAATTATTTACAATAGCTGCATAAAAGTAAGGTATCTAGGAATAAACTTAACCAACAAAATAAAAGATATTTACACTAAAAACTATAAACCATTAATGAAAGAAATTGAAGGCACAATTAAGTGGAAAGAAACCCCATGTTCATAGGTTGGAAGAAATAATATTGTTAAAATGTCCATACTACCTAAAGGAAAGTACAGATTCAATATAATTCTTATCAAAATACCAATGAAGCTCTTCAGAGAAATGGAAAAAAAATCTTAATTTTTTTAATGGAACTAAAGACACCAAATAAATAGCCAAAGCAATCGTGAGAAAAAAAGAACAAAGCTGGAGTCATTCCACTGCCTGACTTCAAAATATAGTACAAAGCTATAGTAACCAAACGTATTAGGCCCTTCTCTCAATTGCTATCAAGAAATATCTGAGATGGGGTAATTTATAAAGAAAAAAGGTTTAAGTGGCTCACAGTTCTGCAGGCTGTAAGCCAATTACAAAGAAGCATGATGCTGGCATTTGCTTGGCTTCTGGGGAGGCCTCAGGAAACTTACAATCATGGTGGAAGGAAAAGGGGGAACCAGCACTTCACATGGCTGGTGCAGGAGGAAGAGAGAGGGAAGGGCAGTGCTACACACATTTAAACAACCAGATCTTATGAGAACCCACTCACTATCATGAGAACAGCACCAAGGGGCTGGTGCTAAACCATTAAAGAGAAACCACCCACACAACCCAGTCACCTCCCACCAGCCTCCACCTCCAACACTGGGGATTACAACTGAACATGAGATTTGGGTGGAGACACATATCCAAACCATTCACATCAAAACAACTGGTGCTGGCATAAAAACAGATAAATAAATCAATGGAACATAATAAAGAGGCCAAACATAGTTCACACAGCTATGTCTAACTGATTTTTGACAAAGGTGCCAAGAACACAGTTAGGGAAGAGATAGTATCTTCAATAAATGTTGCTGGGAAAATTTGATATCCACATGCAGAAGAATGAGGCTACACCACTACCTCTCACCATATACAAAATCAACACAAATTCTAGACTTTAAGGAGAATATTAAAGACTTAAATGTAAAACCTGAAATGATGAAACTACAAGAAGGGAAAATGCTTTATGTCATTGGCCTGGGCAAGAATTTTTAAACCAAGACCTCAAATGTGCAGGCAGCAAAAACAAAAACAGACAAATGAGATTACATCAAACTAAAAAGCTTTTGCACAGCAAAGGAAACAACAGAGTAAGGAGACAATGTAGACAATGGGAGAAAAATATTTGCAAACTATACATCTGACAGTGGGTTAATATCCAGAATATGTAAGTAATTTAAACAACTCAACAGCAAAAAAACTAAATTACCCCATTAAAAAATGGACAAATGATATTAATAGACATTTCTAAAAGAAGACATACCAATGGCCAGTGAATACATGAAAAAAAAAGTTCAACATCACTAATCATCAAGGAAATGCAAATCAATACCACAATGAGATACTATCTCATTCCATTTAGAATGGCTATCATTAAAAAGACAAAAGAAAAGTGTTGGCAAAGATATGGAGAAAAGGCAACATTTGCACACTGTTGGTGGTATTGTAAATTAGTATGTCTATTATGGATAACAGTATGGAGATTCCTCAAAAAATTAAAACTAGAACTATCATATGACCCAGCAATCCTACTACTTAATATATATCCAAAGGAAATATAATCAGTATGTTGAAGATATATCTACACTCCCATGTTTATTGTAGCACTATTTATAATAGTCAAGATGTAGAATCAACCTGTGTCCAACAATGGATTAATGGTTAAAGAAAATGTGGTGTATATATAAACAATGTGATATTATCTAGCCATAAAAAAGAATGAAATCCTTCATTTTGCCAGGTGATGGTTGAATCAGGAGGATATTGTGTTAAGTGAAATAAGCAAGCTACAGAAAGACAAATACTGCATGATCTCACTCATACGTGGAAACTAAAAGAAAAGATGTTATCAAACATACCAGAGAGTAGATCAGTGATTACCAGAGACTGGAGAGGGAAGGGAGATGAAGGGGGAGAGGCTGGTTAATAGGCAGAAATTACAATTAGATAGGAAAAATATGTTCTTGTGTTCTATTATACAGTAGAGTTAACCATCACTAGATGGTTAACAGTAAGATATTATACATTATGAAATATCAGAAGATAGGCTTTTTAAAATATTTTCTCCACAAAGAAATGATAAATGCGTTTATCATTAAGGTAATGGATACTAAATACACTGATTTCATCATTATACATACATATTGAAACATCAAATTGTACCCCATGAATATCTACAATTATAGTGTGCTAATTAAAAAAAAAGCATTTTCATTTGTTTTTTGTTTTGTTTTGTTTTGTTTTGTTTTTTGAGACAGAGTTTCATTCTTTTTGCCCAGGCTGGAGTGCAATGGCGCGATCTTGGCTCACTGCAACCTCCACCTCCTGGGTGCAAGTGATTCTCCTGCCTCAGCTTCCCCAGTAGCTGGGATTACAGGTGCCTGCCACCATGCCCAGCTAATTTTTGTATTTTTAGTAGAGACGGGGTTTCACCACGTTGGCCTGGCTAGTCATGAACTCCTGACCTTAAGTGATCCGCCCACCTCGGCCTCCCAAAATGTTGGGATTACAGGCATGAGCCACTGTGCCAGGCCTTCATATGTTTTTATCTCATGGCAGTACTGCTTGCCTTGTTTCCACATGATATATCTGAGATCCAAAGAAGTTAAAAGGTTAAAGCATTTGTATAAATAGCATCGTTCCATATCAGATCTTGGACTATGATCTAGATGTGGAGACTGCCAGCCATGATATCATTCTTCATGGATACAGATGTAGAATTGTGAGCCAAACTCTTTAAAGCATACGTGAGTTGTGATTGTATCAACTGAGCTTTATTTATTCCAGGTAGACAATACCACTGCTAATTTGCATGGTTGCTTTATGTTAATTAATGCATTTGTTTCCTTTTGTAAAAAATTAGAAATTGAGTCATAGAAAGATTAAATGCCTGGCTTAACATTATCAGAAAATGACGTTCCTTTTATGAACTTCCAGTCAAAGAGGTCTCCAACTTCTATAACATCAAGCATTTTAACAGCATATGTGTATTAGGCCATTCTTACATTGCTATAAAGAAATACCTACGACTGGGTAATTTACAAAGAAAATAAATTTAACTGGCTCCTGATTCTGTAGGGTATAGAGGAAGCATGGTGCTCGGCATCTGCTCAGCTTCTGATGAGGCCTCAGGGAGCTTACAATCTGGCAGTAGGCAAAGTGGGAGTTTGCATGTCACATGGAAAAGCAGGAATGAGAGCGAGTAGGGGAATGAGAGCGAGTAGGGGTAAGATAATACACAATTTTATTTTATTTCATTTTTTGCTTTTTACAACTTTGACTTTTAAATTGAGAAGTAATTTTTTAACCTCAAGTTTAAGGGAACATGTGCAGGTTTGTTACACAGGTAAACCCGTGTCATGGGGGGTTGTTGTACAGATTATTTTGTTACCCAAGTATTAACCACAACAACCATGGTTATTTTTCCTGATCCCCTCCCTCCTCCCACCCTCCATACTCCTGAAGGGTGCTGTTTCCCTTTATGTGTATATGTGTTCTCATCACTGTTCCCCGTGTGTGTTGTTTTCTTCTATACGTACGTACATGTGTTCTCATCATCTTGCTCCCACTTATAAGTGAGAACATGTGTTATTTGGTTTTCTGTTCCTGCATTACTTTGCTAAGGATAATGGTCTCTAGCTCCGTTCATGTTCCTGCAAAGTACATGATCCCATTCTTTTTATGGCTGCATAGTATTCCATGGTGTATATGTACCACATTTTCTTTATTAGTCTATCATTTATAGGCACTTAGGATTGATTCCATGTCTTTAGCATTGTTAATAGTGCCGCAGTGAACACATGCATGTGTCTTTATGGTAGAATGATTTGTATTCCTTTGGGTATATACCCAGTAATGGGATTGCTGGGTAGAACGGTAGCTCTGCTTTCAGGTCTCTGATGAATCACCACACTGTTTTCCACAATGGTTAAAGCTAATTTACACTCCCACCAATACTGTGTAATGTTTCTTTTTCTCCTCAACCTGGCCAGCACCTCTCATTTTTTGATGTTTTAATAATAGCCATTCTGACTGGTATGAGATGGTATCTCCTTGTGGTTTTGATTTGCATTTCTCTAATGATCAGTGATGTTGTTGAGCTTTTTTCATATGCTTATTGGCTATATGTATGTCTTCTTTTAAAAAGTGGCTGTTCATGTTCTTTGCCCGCTTTTTAATGGGGTTTTTTGTTTTTTTATTGTAAATTTGTTTAAGTTCCTTATAGATGCTGGATATTAGACCTTTGTCAGATGCATAAATTGAAATTATCTCCTATTCTGTGGGTTGTCCGGTGACTCTGTTGGTAGTTTCCTTTGCTGTGCAGAGTTCTTTAGTTTAATTGTATCCCATTTATCAGTTCTTGCTTTGGTTGCCATTGCTTTTGGCATCTTCATTATGAAATCTTTGCCTGTTCATATGTCCAGAATGGTGTTGCCTAGGTTACCTTCCAAGGTTTTTATAGTTTTGTGTTTTACATTTAAGTATTTAATCCATCTTGAGTTGATTTGTGTATATGTTGTAAGGAAGTGGTCCAGTTTCAATCTTCTTCATATGGCTAGCCAGTTATCCCAGCACCATTTATTGATGTGTCTCTTACCCAATTGCAAAGTTGCTTCCACATTTTCAGGTATCTTTATAGCAAGACCCCACTCCTTGGTACCAATTTTCTGTATTAGGCTGTTCTTGCATTGCTATAAATAAATACCTGAGACTGGGTAATTTATAAAGAAAAGAAATTTAATTGGCTCATGGTTCTGCAGGCTTCACAGGAAGCATAGTACCAGTATCTGCTTCTGAGGAGGCCTCTGTAAACTTATAATTATGGCAGAAGGCAAAGCAGGAGGTTGTACATCACATGGTGAAAGCAGGAGCAAGAGAGAATGGGGGACGGGAGGTGCCACACACTTTAAAAGACCAGATCTTGCATGAACTCGGAGCAAGAGCTCACTGTCACAAAGACAGCACCAAGCCATAAGGGGGTCCGCCCCCATGATCCAAACACCTCCCACTAGGCCCCATCTCCAGCATTGGGGATTGAAATTCAACATGAGATTTGGGCAGGGACAAACATCCAAACTATATCAACATATGGTGGCAACCCATTATGACAGATTATTATATTAAATGAGACTGAGTATCTAAAGAGTGAGAGTTGCATTAATGACTAAAATTCTGGTATAACAAGGGTCAGCTACCTTTCTCAGAACTGGACAGATTTGCCACTGTGCATTTGTTGGTTAAAACACCAGTATCTGTATACAAGTTTCTTTAATGAAATGTAAAATTACAGTAATTTTTAAAATATGAATTATGCTTGAAAATTTTATTCAGCCATTAAAATGATGTTTATAAGCTATTTGAAATAACCAGCTTTAAAAGTAGACTAAGAAATTGCATATGTCTTATGATCACAGCTATGTACAAATACATACAAAAAGACTGAAAGTATGTATATAAAAATAATGATGGCTCTCGTGTGATTTTAGATCAGGGGTGTATTTTGACAACTTTTAAAATATTTTCCAAATTTTGTAAAGTAAGTATTTATTACTTTTTTTCACAAAGAATGAAAAATTATTAGAAAGTTTGACTACTAGTGAGAGAGACAAATGGATAGAATTTTTCAGCAGTAAACAGAAGATACACACTGTATTCCAATAACGGGGAAAAATAAATAGCAAAGTTTTAGGTCTAACAATATCATTAATTGTATGAAAGCAGAAATTCAACAGGTCATATCTTTTAGGACACTAAAATGGCAGTAGAAATTATAAATTGTAATCAACAAGTAATATCTAGCCACACACAAATTTTGTTTCTTTTAATTAATTTATAAAATAAATAAAATACTCAACAAATTACCTTTAAGAGGTCACAATATTTATTACTTTAAAATGAAAAAATGTAAATAGAAATAATATTGTACTGGAGAAATCATTTAAAATATTGATAAGTAGAGGTGTGTTCAACCAACCAGTATTAATTAATAACAACATGAACACATTTGAATATATACTATTGATAAAAATTTTATGATTATATGATATTTAGGCCTGAAGCAGTCTCAAAAGGATTACTTTCCATCATGGTGCTAAGAGTACTGTAAACTTTTATGTTAAGTGTGCTAACTTACAGGATGAATTACTAAGGACATTAGCACCGATGTCCTTACTAATGAAGGACACATTCAAAATAGTACAGGATCTGCTCCCTTGGTTAATACCATGTATTTTCCATCTTTTCTGAATCTCTATGAAGGAATAAAACTTGCAGTTTTATTTGTTTCTTCCTATGAGTTTTATGTAACTTTATGATTTCACAAAATATTTTTATGTGCCCTAGAGAAATAATACAGTATTTCTTAAAAGAAATCATGTGTTTGTGTGGGTCTGCCTGTCCATTCCCTTTAGATCTAGTTGAAACATCATCACACCAAGTTTGTTTCAAAGCATGACAACTAATGCAGGAACATTTTGTAAGCTCATAGTGTCTGAAAAAGAAAATAGGAACTCTGTAGTTCAGCATCATTAAGAACCACATGGATATTTTGTGGGGATTATGGGTGTCATATTTCTGTGATAGGTTATACATTTGGAATGTGCATGCTGATTTGTTGTGATCCACTAAGGTACTGCAGCCCCTTACAGGTACACTTTTAAGTTTTGTAGGTCAGAAAATAAAACTCAAAAATTACACTTTCAAGACTGGTAACTTTGCCAAATGTCATTACTGTGAGGCCCAAAATGCCACTTTTGGTGAGCAAATTGGGGCATGCTTGACACAAGTCCTTTGCCTTCTGATAGTTAGTGTGGGATAGAAGATCCAATGAACAGCATGAACTTCAGAAAGCAAGTACTGACATGCTCAAATCATTCTTTCACACATCCATTCAGCAAATAGTTATTGACTGTGTGCCAGGTGCTAATCTCAGTGCTGGGAACGTGGCTGTTGTGTTAGCCTGTTCTCTTGCTGCTATGAAGATATACCCCAGACTGAGTAATTTATAAAGAAAAGAGGCTTAATTGACTTGCAGTTCAGCACGGCTGGGGAAGCCTCAGGAAACTTACAGTCATGGAAGAAGGAGAAGCAAACACGTCCTCCTTCACATGGTGGCACGAAGAAGTGTCAAGCAAACGGAGAAAGCCCCTTATAAAACTACCAGATCTTATGAGAACTCACTCAGTATCATGAGAACATCATGGGGGTAACCGCCCCCATGATTCAGTTACCTCCTACTGTGTCCCTTCCATGATACATGGGGATTATGAGGTTACAATTCCAGATGAGATTTGAGTGGGAAAACAAACCCAAACCATATTAGCTGTGAACAAAACAGGCAAAATTCATCCCCTCACAATGCTTGCATTCATCAGCATTCATCAGCATTGTCATTGTAGATACATCTGAGAAGTTTTTAATTTCTTTGAGGACATATCTATGCCAGGCACTAGGTGCCCTTGAGCCAGCCCAACATTATTCAAAATTTAATTCGGAGACACCTGCATCAGAATCACTTGGAGACACATTTTAAAAATCAGAATTGGACTCTTTTAAGAAAAAGTCTGAAAATCTGCATTTTTGACAAGCACCCCAGCTGCATCTTCACATGAAAGTTTAAAAGCCACTGTTCCAGCATTAACGTTTAATATTTACTATAAGGAAAAAATAATAGCAGAATAGTTGAAGCCAAAGTAATTTGCAAACCTTGTGACCATAATCAAAATTGTTGACTTTCCATAAAAGCTGTGGTCTTCCCATTCTAACACTATATTCAGTAAGAAACAGCTGCAGACTGACTATTAATGATTTCCAGAACACATATTGAAAAATTAAATAAAAAGTGCTTCACATGTTTTGATCCTCTACTAACTTTCATCATTTCTCTTCTTCCTGTAATTTTTGTAGATATTTTTATGTCGACTTTTTTTCCTTCACCACAGAGTATTTAAAACTTTTCCTATCAGTTTTGTGAGGGTGAGTAAGAGGGCGAGAGTTATTTAAGCTTCTAATCAGTGTTCTCTTGCTAAAATTGGAGGTAAATAAATAATTAAAATTCACATATGGAATACCTATAATTAAAACTATACATACAGCAATAGACACAAGTTTCCTTTGAAAGCAACAGATAAGAGAATCACAGCTGTTGTTAAAAGCTGTTTTGCAAAGAAATATGAAGGAAGCTTGACTGATAATATTTAATGCCCTTGGAACATCTGTAAAATGGCCTTCTTTCAGTTTTTGGTAATTTTTGAAAACTGAAGAAATTATTACAAACCATTTGCTAGCCTAAGCAGCACTAGTTTTATAAAATTCTTACTTCTGTGTACATCATCTCTGTAGCCCCAGTCAAATCAATGGCATGTTACATAAAAGCAACTACTGATAGGCTAAGTGCAGCGGCTCACACCTGTAATCAGTCCCAGCATTTTAGGAGGCTGAGGCGGGCAGATCACTTGAAATCAGGAGTTCGAGACCAGCCTGGCCAAAGTGGTGAAACCCTGCCTCTACTAAAAATACAAAAATTAGCTGGGTGTGGTGGTGCACACCTGTGGTCCTGGCTACTTGGGAGGCTGAGACACGAGAATTGCTTGAGTCTGGAAGGCGGAGGTTGCAGTGAGGCAGTGAGCAGAGATCACACTACTGCACTCTAGCCTGGGGACCTGGGCAACACAGCAAGACTCTAAAATAAAATTTAGAGTCCTATTTTTCTTGCCCCAACCTGGAAAATTACCATTCTTGAGAAAAAAAAAACATACGACATAATTCACCAACTGCTTAAAACTACATAAATTTGTTGCCTTTGTATACCCTTCTCCTAGCCATTCTGACCTCTGATGTTTTCTCAAAACATCATTCTCTCTCAGCCTTTAAGTTTTGCAAGTTGAATCTTACCTGCTTATAAATACCTTCTCCTATTACCTCTCTTCCCATTTTTTTCACCTTTGATCCTTTAAATCTCAGCGTATAATCCCCAATCTGGGAAGCCTTTTTTCATTGCTCCAACAGGTAGTCCCTTTTTAATTTACAGCTCCTTGAAGGCAGGATTCTACTTCAGCATGCATCACACTGTGCTTCCTCCTGATGTCACCTCTGCAAGTGCCACAGCTGGTCTTGATCATCGTGGAGCCCCCATTGTGAGCACTGCTGCCAAGCCTCTGTTGGGTCAAAATGCTAGAGTTTAGAGTTTGCAAACTATTGGTTCTTGGCAAGCTCTTAGTTTTATTTACTTGGTTCATTGTTCATTTAGTTTTTGTTTTTCGTTTTTTTGTTTGTTTTATTTTTTTTCTGTAATCATTACGTAAACATTAGGAAATTGCACATACCATAGAAATTTGGATTTCTGGCTGTTTTTGTTTGTTTGTTTGTTTGTTTGTTTGAGACAGAGTCTCACACTGTTGCCCAGGCTGGATGCAATGCCACAATCTTGGCTCACTGCAACCTCCACCTCTCAGTTTCAAGTGATTCTCCAGCCTCAGCCTTCTGAGTAGCTGGGACTACAGGTGCACGCCACCACACCCAGCTAATTTTCATACTTTTAGTAGAGACAGGGTTTCATCATATTGGTCAGGCTGGTCTTGAACTCCTGACCTCAGGTGATCCACCCACCTCAGCCTCCCAAAGTGCTGGGATTACAGGCATGAGCCACCGCGTCTGGCCCTGGCTGTTTTTAAAAATCACAAGATATGCTAACATCAGTCCCAGTAGACAAGAATTTAAGGAATAGCTCTTCCTTTAACATAAGACAAATAGCTTTTCACTTAATCTCCTTCAACTCTTTGCCCCTGGCCTCTGGAGTATTAGAATGTGTGTGTCCCACTTGCTAATTTAAATTTCACATGTCTTGGAATGGAGGACAAAACATTATGATAGCTAATCCAATATTATCTTAAACTATCTCAGTGAACCATCCCATGATCTTATTTTCTCCCATTCAGAAAGACTCAGTGCCTTCTTAAATGCCATGTTTTTGTGTGTCTATCCATCCAGCGTTGTGATTATTCATTTGCGATTATTCATATGTGTCTAGACATTATTAAATCATTGGGTTGAGAGTGTGTCTTCTTCAATTCTGGTGGTTATGTAGCACATAGTGGATGTTCATTAATAGTAATATGTTAATTAACTTTGACATGGAGGTGTTTATATGTTGTTGCTGTGTGACTCTCAGATGAAATTCTTTTCTATTCAATATTATATTGTAAGAGGAGAAATTAATGTTATTGTTAGGAGTGTGAGATAATTACAATAGAACTACTAAGGGAGTTAAAGATCTTCCTAGGAAGGTAGAGTGTTAGATAGAGACTGGCAAACCCTGTACCACTAAAACTTTAACTTGCATCCAGATCACCTGGGGATTTTGTTAAACTACAGCTTCTGATTCACTAGGTTTGGGGTGGGGCCTGAGAGTCTTCATTTCTAACACACTCTTCGATGATGACCATATTGACACCTCGAACAGCAACTCCAACAGGTTTGAATCTTCAGTAGGAATTTGGTATTGGTTAAGTGGTAGACCGCTACTCCCTGGGACATACTGTAATCTGAAGATGAGGTCTGTAGGAGGCATTTCCTAGAGTTAACCTTGGTTTTAATTCTTCAGTATGCCAAGAAAACTGAATGCTGGATTCTGGATAGATAGCTTGTAATGGGCCAGCAGATTTTCTTTGTATAGTAAACGTGGGACCTTTACATATTTAGGAAGCCCCCATTTGGGGAAAAAATGTGCACATAAAAGAAGGCCCTTTGATTTCAGTTGAAGGGCAAGCCATCTGGCCCTCTTTTTGTGCAGTAATCAGGCTAATAGTGCTAGTGGCTTTGTTGGAGAAAGCATAGAATGGTACTTTAAATCTGTTCAAGGCCCTATTTTTAGAGTCTGGCAGCACAGGAATGAAGTGTTTATTTCATGTTTAATGCAACCTTCCACTTCAAACTAGAAACGTTTCTTTTCCTCTACTGAGTTTCTATCAAGTCTCCCAAGAAACACTGCCAGCTTTGCATATCCCTATCCTCTAAGATGATTAACTGTTTAAAATTGAAAAGCCTTGAAAATGCAAATCCTGCCACAGGCTCCTCGTGGGGTAAAAAGACAACTCAAATAAAATGTTTCCAGATGGTTTAGGCATTATGTTCTTTATATCCTCAAAGCAAGGGAGAGATCCTAAGCTGGACGAGTCGGTAAAGAGTCATATTGAGGAATATTTAGCAGCTTCTTTTTCAGAAGCTGAAGAAGGCCACTGCATAGTTCCTGGAGTGGCATACATTAGTGAGATTCTATTAAGCAGCTGTTCGGCTCTAGTAAGAGCTGCCTCAGTAGAAGGGTAGGATGGCTTATGTAGTCTTGTTTTTTAATCATTGTACATTTGTAATCTATTTTGCAATCTCAAAACATTTTCTTAACCTGACAGTTTAGCATTTGAGAGCAGCTGTATCTGCTAATCCAAATCAATAGATCTTATGGTATGAGGAGTGCAGTTATAGCTTTATTAGTAATACTGAATTTTTACAGAAAGAACTGTCAGATTTCTTATCATAGTATACACTACCTGGAGTAATTTTTTTCCCCTGAGCAATTTAGTTACTTGTTTTTCTGACAGTCACTTAAAGTATATCCTCCACCTTTTAAAGAGAGACGTTCAAGTTACTGCTTATTTCTAACTTGCAGTCACAAAATCCATAAAAATTTGGTTGCTTCAAAATAGAATGAGAGAGGAGTATGGATTTTGAGCAGGTGTCAGGCTGTTTATTTGGTTTCCCCCATTTTGTGCAAGGCATTTCATCATCTAGGCCACCTTAATGCCAAGGTACACTTGTCATCTGTTGAATACACACATTTAGTATTTAAATAGCAATTTGCATTTTCAAAGTGTTTTGTCTACTATTAATTAGCATTTCTTCGCAGCATACCTGTGAGATGGGTCAATATCACCATTTTACAGATCAGAAAAGTGGAATGACAAAGGCTGAGTGATTTGAATGAAGGACTATAACAAGTCAAAGGCAGCCAAGGATGGATTTGTGGCACCAGCCTGGGAGTTCAAACATATCATGCTCTCTGAGCATCAACACCCTTCCACTCAGTGCTCAAAGAGGGCTTAATATTAGTAAAGACATAGATGGTTTTGCTTAAGCAGCAGATAAACAAATTACTGGGGTTTAATTGATTAATACATGGACTAGATTGACTATGGGCAAGCAAGCTACATCTTACAGACAGCTACTGGCTGAAACCATAGGATCAGGCTTTTTGACACCCATCTCTATGACAACAGTATGGAAACTTTTTTAACAGCAAGAAAACACTTTTTATTGAATATCTATTCTGTGTGAAGACTCTCTTAGAATCTACAAATATCATTGTTATGGCAGCTGTAAGGATATACTGTCATTCCTAATTTGTAGATTAAGAAACTGGGGTTAAATTCCTTTTCTAAATCACTTGGCTGGTTTGAGGTGAGGCTTTGATTCAAACACAAGTTTACGAACTACTTACTTGTGGTCCCCAAATGTGCACATGTTGAGGTTAAGTATCAGTCTGGACCAGAGAGCCACACAGAGTTGACTTCTCTCTCCCATTGTTATCAATGACTCAGGTAAATTTACAGACAGCAAGCACATCATGTTTTAAAACCTGTGAAGATTAATAGAATAAATGTTAGTTAAGGGAATAATGATCTACTGTATTTTTAAAAGGCCAAAACAATGAGCCAAATCTGGTGCTCAGATACTCAGGCCATACCTGGAGTGCTGTTATGTGTTTACTTTTGGTTATTATACCTTAATAGGACTGCAATTCAGTAGAAACATATTTAAAGGAGAGAGACTAGGGTGCTAATAGGAACTATTTAGGCTGCATAGCAGCAGACCTAAGTGACCCAAGCTATCTATAACATGAAGACATGTCATATGGAAGAAGGAATAAAACCTGAGTTTGGCAATGTTAGATGTTAGAATTAATACCAGTCGCTAAGATTTAAAGGACCAAAGATTTTCGTTTAGTAGAGAAAAATTTTCTATGGGTCACATCTGTCTAAAAAAGAGTCAACCGAACAGAGAGGCACTGAATCCCAATCATCATGTCACCTGAAAGGGCTCCCGATCCAGACCCCAAAAGAGGGTTCCTGGATTTCGAGCAAGAAAGAATTCGAGGTGAATCCATAGGGTAAAGTGAAAGCAAGTTTATTTAAAAAGTAAAGAAATAACTGAGCAGTGGCATGCGCCACTGGTTGCCCATTTTTATGGTTATTTCTTGACTATATGCTAAACAAGGGGTGGATTATTCATGAGTTTTCCAAGAAAGGGGTGGGAAATTCCCAGAACTGAGGATTTTTCCCCTTTTTAGACCATATAGGGTAACTTCTGGATGTTGCCACGGCATCTATAAATTGCCATGGCATCTATAAGTTGTCATGGCATTTATAAATTGTCATGTGTCTTTTAGCATGCTATTGCATTATAATTGCATTTTAAAAGCAGTGGGGACGACCAGAGGTCACTCTTGTTGCCATCTTGGTTTTGATGGGTTTCGTCCAGCTTCTCTACTGCAACCTGTTTTATCAGCAAGGTCTTTGTTACATGTATGTTGTGCTGATTTCCTATCTCATCCTGTGACTTAGAATGGCTAACTCACTGGGAATGCAGTTCAGCAGGTCTCAGCCTTATTTTATCCAGCCCCTATTCAAGATGGAGTCGCTCTGGTTCACAAACACCTCTGACAATCAAAGTTGTCTGGCTGGTGTGGTGAGTGGCAGGAGCATGCCTTTGAAGCCAGACATGCCAGAGTTTGAATTTCAACTCTACCATTGCACTGCTCTGAATGAAGAACAATGGTAGAGGTGCTGTATCCTGTTCTTAAAGAAGCAAGTAACATCTAGCTATACCCTACGTTAAGTTTCCTAGAGTACTTCTTAGCCAACAAGTGGTACCCGGCAAATACTTAATGTCAATTTCCCAGTTTAAAGAGATCAGATAAAAGGCATTTATCATCAAATGTGGGTCTAGACAAGATGTGTTTTAAAGTGCCCAATATTATGCTCTGGACAGCCTTTGATTCTAAGTCAGGATCAGCCATTAGTCAAGGGAGAATGAATTTTCTAAGTGGTGACCTTTTATAAAGGAAAGTATGGGTGAGCTGAAAACTTATTCTAGAGTTTTTGCAGCAAGTTTCTGAAAAGCATTACTTAAGTATGAACAGACAAAAAGAAAGTTGTCATCAAGGGAATTTCCATTTTTTTTATTTGTTTGTTTATTTATTTATTTTAGAGACAGGATCTCCATCTGTTGGCCAAGCTGGAGTGCAGTGCTATGATCACAGCTCACTGCAGCCTCGACCTCCTAGGGCTCAGGCGATCTTTTCACTTCAGCCTCCCAAGTAGCTGGAACTGCAGGCATGTGCTACCACGTCCTGCTAATTTTTCTATTTTTTGTAGAGACGCAGTTTCACCATGTTGCCCAGTCTGTCTCGAACTGCTGAGTGCAAGCGATCTGCCTGCCTCAGCCTCCCAAAGTGCTGGGATTACAGGCGTGAACCATGGCACCAAGCAGAATTTTGGTTTACTAAAAAACATTAAAACATTTATTTCTTAATTCTGCATTAAGATTTGTCTTTTTTTTTTTTTTTTTTTTTGAGACAGGATCTACTCTGTTGCCCAGGCTAGAGTGCAGTGGCACAATCATGGCTCACTGTAGCCTGGACCTCCCAGGGCTCAGGTGATCCTCCCACCCCAGCCTCCCAACTAGCCAGGACTACAGGCGTGCGCCACCACACTCTGCTATTTTTTCTATTTTTTGTAGTGACAGGGTTTCACCATGTTGCCCAGGCTGGTCTCAAAATCCTGGGCTCAAGGGATCTGCCTATTTTAGCTTCCCAAAGTGCTGGGATTACAGGCTTGAGCCACTGTACCTGGCCGCAATTCTGCATTAAGATTTTTAAAAGCATGTTTTATGTAGTACTTGAATCACTTTAAATTTAGTTTTAAGCACTTTTCTTTTACTTATTGTGCAGCCTCTTCTTACTGCTTTTTTTCATTTTTCCAATTGAGGCTGTATAAATAAGTGAAGTAAAAGTTTGAATGCAATATCTAGTCGTTGCATTTTCTCTGTAATATGCAAATTAAGTCTAATACCTTTAAGCAAATTAGCATATATCAATTATTCTTATCTTAGATACACATGACTAGAGGTATGATTGGTGAGATTAGGATATTGGTAATAATTTAAAGGGCAAGAGCAAGGATCAGCATCAGTGATCACTGTAAATTAGCCAAGAAATGCATCCAAGGCAATCAGTTACTGACAGTACTTACCATGGAACAGTTTCTTGGTAGAAGTGCATACCTAATGTGACAAAGAATATTTCTAACTAAAAATCCCTAATAGTAGCATTTTTTTTTGAAGAAAATCAAAGGCAACACAGTGGTTTGAATGGAGTTTGAAGGTGTCACCCAGGTTACAGAAAAAGAAAGCATATGTTACTGGAGATACTCTGTTTTGAGACTGTTAGCACGATTTAAAGATTATTCCATCTGAGAAGACGATTTCTGTCAAATTTTGCATTCCAGTTTGGATCTAAATCTGGAGCAGATTGAGTATTTGCATTCTATTTTTATTCATAGAAAGATTATGTAAATTGGAACCACAGATTTACCCATTTCAACCAAGCGGAGTTAAATTGAGAACAAGCAAGTTCCTTGTCCATCTGACTCCCAATACTTGCCTTACTTAGAAATCATAACATAGGAAGCTTCTCATCTCCTCACTACCAAATCCTCAGTCCTGCTTTCCTCCTTGCCCACTATCTTTTCAATCCCCCTTACTATAACATGGGATGGCCCTTTCTCCTATCAAAGGCCCATTCATTTTCTGATGCTTTGGACCTCATTTCTTTCTCAGAGACCTATCTCCTTCCCTTTTTAAATCCATCCCTTTGCCCATTACTTCTTTATTTCCTTTGAAATCCACTAAACAGTTTACTGAGCACCTACTCTGTGCTTTCCTGGTGTCCTCGGCATTTGGAGATGCTTTCTGCATCAGAGCCAAAGAATTTTGATTCTTTTATTCTCACAGAGGGGAAGAGTCTTTCTCCCCAATTAAATGCAATGTCCTAACATTAGCCAGAAGGGACCTATGCTGCTTTCAACTCTTTGCCTAACTCTAGGTTTAGGACAGTTCTAATTTAGATGGTGTTACCTACTTGCCAAATGAGGGTTCAGTGGAGGATGAGGGGTGTGTGACCAGTAAAGGGGTTTCACTACAACTACAGATAATCCTTTGGAGGGAATACCAGGGAATGGCTCCAGAAAGTGATGTAAAATACTGATCATTTTTATTTATTTATTTATTTTTTTTTTTTTATTTTTTTTTTTTTGAGACGGAGTCTCACTTTGTCGCCCAGGCTGGAGTGCAGTGGCGCGATCTCGGCTCACTGCAAGCTCCACCTCCCGGGTTCAAGCCATTCTCCTGCCTCAGCCTCCCTGGTAGCTGGGACTACAGGCACCTACCACCACGCCCATCTAATTTTTTGTATTTTTAGTTGAGACTGGGTTTCATCATGTTAGCCAGGATGGTCTCGATCTCCTGACCTCATGATCCACCCGCCTCTGCTTCCTAAAGTGCTGGGATTACAGGCGTGAGCCACCACGACCAGCCGATAGGTAATTGTTTTAATAGCACTTGTTGAATGATTAATCCTTTGACCACTTATTAGAAATGTTACCTTTTAATTTTTTAAACTTCTGGAATGTGTAGTGCTCTTTCTGGATTGTTCGTTCTATTCTACTGATCTATTTATCTATCCTAGTACTATTACCACTCCCTTACATTACTCAAATAAATTGGATGTCCTTCTTTTCAAGATTTTTTTACCAGTTTTGTGCAAACACCATAAGTTTTATGAAAAGCCTATCAAGTTCTAAAGTTTTAAAGGTTAATATACTTTCTGGAATTGCATTCTATTTAAAAAGGGATTATGTTTAGTTAATGTAGACATTAACTTTAAGGAATTATATTCTCATTCAGAATTGTGGTTACATTTTGCAATTTATTCAGAGTTTGCTCTTATGTTAGCATAGCTATTTTACAAGGTATATCAGTCAGTCCTACAACCATTATAAACTTGTTATAATAAAGAATGTTTATTCTATCTTATCACTACTTTAATGTTTGACTTCTTCACTTCAAAAATAGTTGAAAACTTAGAACTGGCCAGGTACAGTGGGTCACACCTGTAATCCTAGCACTCTGGGAGGCTGAGGCTGGTGGATTGCTTGAGTCCAAGAGTTCGAGACTAGCCTGGGAAACATAGTGAAACCCTGTCTCTACTGAAAATATAAAAAATTAGTCAGATGTGGTGGTGTGCACCTGTAATTCAAGCTACTAGGGAGGCTGAGGTGGGAGAATCACCTGAGCCTGGGAGTTTGAGGCTGCAGTGAGCCAAGATTGTGCCATTTCACTGCAGCCTGGGCAACCAGAGTGAGACCCTGTCTCAAAAAAAAAAAAAAAAAAAAGAAAGAAAGAAAGAAAAAGTTAAGACTATCCTTGTATAGTGTTTTAATTTAATTATTTGGTCAATTAATTTTACCCCTCAATAAACCGTTTACCTATTGACATTTTTGTGATATAAAAAAGTCATTCCTCGATTTGTTGGAATATTTATTTTAAAAATGTACACTTAACCAGAGATCCATTTGTGTCTACTGCACATTTAAATAATGTATGATATATAAATATATTTTAATGTTTTCACATAACTGTCCTCTTTTGACCTTCATACAAGCATTGTACATTTGAAAAAGCAATGATTTTTCTCCCCATTTAAAAAAATGAGAAGACTGACATAGACAAATAGTGTGCTTTGCCCACTATCACAAAGCTGGTCGATGGACTCTCAGTACAATGACCTTCCTTATGAAATCAGCTGCTTCCTAATATTCCTTTCTGTAAAGCCATACAGCAAACTCCCTAGATTCCTATATTTATTTATTTATTGACTTATTTAAGAAACGGGGTCTTGTTCTGTCACCCAGGATGGAGTACAGTGGGATGATCATGGCTCACTCCAGCCTGGAACTTCTGGGCTCAAGAGATTCTCCCGCCTCAGTCTCCTGTGTAGCTAGGACTACAGGTGCCTGCCACCACACCTGGCTCATATCTTTTTTTTAAAAATGTTATTTCTCATTATGCTCTCTCCAACTAGAAGCATTGGAGCAGAACTGTGAGGAAGGACACCCTAAGAAGTGAATCTTGAAGGATGGTAGAAAGGCCACATACCAATTGTACTGTGGCTGGCACAATGCAAATGGAATAAATTACATAGCCGCAATCAACTCAGATCTAAACTCAGGTGATGTGAATGTAGCAATATTGTGCTTTCTCTGTGTAATTGCAATTACCTCCAAGTTTATTTGTCACCAAACAAGCACTTTTTCAATCAGTGCAACTTGTGCAAATCAGCACTCTGGGATGTGAATGATTTAATTCACTCATCATGCACTTCGTGATGCCCAGCCCTACCCCACCCATGAAGAAAATAAATAAAGTTTAAGGAGAGATTACATGGAAAGCAGACATGTGGGGCACAAAAGTAATGTCTAAGTTAGTTATCATTCTTAAAAAAAGTTAAACATGAGAAGAGTAGAATAAAGCTATTAGTGAGATACATAGTTTTATTTAACAAAAGAAACACAGTATTGATTAAAATAAGAATGAAATGAAACATATTTTATTAACCAAGAATAAAGCACATTTTATTCTTGGTTAATTTTCCTTCTTTTTAGAGAAATTAATAGACATATATATAGTAATTGTTTGTTTTGGCAAAGAAGACATTTAAGCAGAAAGAGGATGCCTTCACATTTCATTTCTTTACACAAATGACATATGCCAGACCCATGGAATTCACTCCCAACTATTAATGACACTTTCCCTTCAACTTCTGGACCTTTCTTAACTTGAGGTTTCAAAGAGTTGCTCCCATTTCTTCTAAATTATTCTCTGAGGAAAAAAAAATCTATTTTTCTCGAGAAAACCTATTTTTTCTTCCTCATTAAAAGTATGGTCATTTATTAAATTTTGCCATACTGAATTATCTCAATACTAATCACAGTGAGTGAAATGAAAAAATTGTTATTACCTTTGCCAAAATAAACTTAACAGTTTAACTGTGGATGGGGGAGGATTGAAAATAATAACTAAGCTAGCTAACTAACATATAAATGTCTAATTGATAGAGGAATAAATTAGAAAGTAAAGCATTATAGTAAACACCAAACTATGTGATATATTGAGCTCTGTGATACCTTGCAAAGAAGAGTCAGGGTGTCCTGGAGTTGACAGAGGATGCATCTATATGATAGGCATCTAGCAAGATTTAAGGAATGAGTAGCATTCAGATTAACAGAGCTATGCAAGAAGGTGAAAACTCAGGTGATAACAGCGATTTTTCCCATTTGACAGAATTTTCTCTTCAAGTGAACGACTACTTGGAAACCTAATATGTAACAGCTTAAAGCAGAACTGCCGTGATTGAAGGGAGGAGAAAAATGGGCTCCAGAGCCCTGTTAATATGTCCTTCTGGTTTTTCCTGGGCCTCTCTCTGATTTAGAATGTTAAAAACTCTCTATCTGTATTTCATTTGATCTATATCTTCCTTGAGGATTAATATCGATGCCCTATAATAAAGATACTTGTAATAATTCAAACTTGAGCCAGGGTCCAGGTAATAAGAGGGGAAGAAACAACAGGATAATTAGGGAGCAGTTGTAAAAAAGAAATAAAATTGATTGACTAGGACGCGGGAAGAGGAAGAAAGGAGGAGTCTACAACATTGTAGGAGTAAGAAGTCTATATATCAGGAAGGAAAACAGTTGTACAAGGTAGAGAATTGAGATGTCAGGAGAGGAAACTATATTTGTTTCTTTGTTTTAGTATATATATGTTTTATTCAATTTCATTTCCCCCTCTTTCAATATATCACTGTATTGAGATGGCTCTAAAGTAGGAACATAAAGACCAGATTTATTCTGGTTGGATCCATAAGACTCCATCTTTTCTGAAAATCTAGAATCCATTCATAGGCATGTGATGTGCATTGAGTCTCTCTTCTCAGACAGCTCTGCCCTGCACCATTTACAGGATGTCAGGCACTGGAGATAGAATGGTGAAAAAAAGACACAGTCCTATCCTTCAGAAAATTCCCGAGTTTGTTAAGAAGCCAGATGTATCTAGATCAATAAACAAATGTAAAATTATAATTTGATTAAATAGTGAGGAAAAAATGGCACCTAGTACCAGGAGACATATACCAGTCCTGATTTAGTCAGAGAAAGTGTCCATGAGGTAGCTGAGTAAGAGTTAAATAGGAAAAGAAATGGTATTGACAGATGGGAGAACACCCTAAGTAGAAAAAAAAGACATATGCAAAGGCACTAGGAGAGAAAGAAGCCAGTATTGGTGGAGTATAGAGGGTGAAAGGTAGCAGAGAAAGCTGGAGAGGAATGCAAGGACCAGACCATAAGAGCTTTTTATTCTACAGTCATCTATTCCATGGTCAGTGGATGGCATTGACAGAAGGGAGAGTCATATGATTACATCCCGTCTTGGAAAGATGCCTCATGTTGCATCATGGAGAACTGATTGGAGAGTGGCCAGATGAGATGTAGGCAGACCGGTAGCTATTGCAGACAAAGTTCTTGGGATTTTGGACCAGGATGGTTGCCCAGAAGATATGAAGAAGAGAAGCAAGATTCAAGAGATCGGTAAAATAGATTGGAATTAGTAATGAGGCTTAAAGGAGAGCAATGATATAATAATGATTTATAATGATATATTAGGGCTAACTCTTGACATGACATCATTATTGCAAAATCACTTTCCCAATTTGTCTTTTAATTTTATCTTTGTTGCTTTTGATATAGGAAGCTTTTAATGTTAATGTACTATTAAAATCCATTATCGTGTCCTTTATTTTCTTGTTTATAGTTTTGTTTTTGCTTTAAAAGAACTTCTCCATGTTTAGAAAAGGTAAATATTTACCTACATTCTTTTCCCATTAGTTTATGGTATTTTTTTTTCTTATAGGAGAGGGTCCGAGTAGGATTTAGATCTTTTATATATTTGAGATACATGCACATATCTATGTGCACACATATATCTGAACACATATACAGGTATATATGTATATGTATTTACTGTATTTAGTGTAAGATATGAGGTAGGTATGGATCTAAATTTATTTTTTCCTTATAAATGGCTAAGGGCCCTATAAATCATATATGAAATATGATTCTGAGTCATTTGCCTTTTTGTGAAATATTTTCTCAATGAATATGCCATTGAGATTAGCCATACAATATATAAAGAATTGGAGATGGTATTCACGTGAATATTTTGATTACACTGATCTGTTTTAAACAATTCTGTAAACAGTATGTAAAATAAATTTAAATGTCCATTAGTATTAGGAGCAATAGTAGTGAAAACAGAGCCATGAAAACAAATCCAAAACCTAGTGAGATTTGGAGTGTTTAGCTTTGCTTCTTTATAAAATATAGTTATTTAGCTCATTGATTGTACTAATTATAGTTTTATTCCTCAAATCTCAGCAGTTTTGCCTTAGCATCTTATATCTGCTTTATAGAATTAAAAATAATTCATTTATTTTATTTTATCTGTTCAGAGAGAAAAATTTTAAAACTCCATTTAAACCATTTTAAAAGATAACTGTGCAGACTTGAAACCCAAATTGTTCTTTACTCTTTTACCAAAGCTATTATGGTGACAGTGAGTCACTAGGACACTTACTGGGTCTCATGAAATCATTTTATTAAACTTACCCTTTTCCGTTATGTAAATTACTCTTTTTGTGGTGACAACTTTATACATAAGAAAGAAAGGTAAGTTATACTTAGTCTCCAGTAAGGATATATCAATGTAATTAGATCAAAGTGACTCAAGTCCTTGTATCTTCATTTCCGGAAAACTTGACTTTAAAAAGATTAGGCTTTACTTGATTTTTGTTAGCACTATCTTATAAATACCTACTTGTTATTTAGCACTGTGATTACCATCCATTCCCACAGCAGTGTTGTGCCCATGCAGAAGTCCACAGCACTATAATTAGGATATTTTTTCCTAAGAAAAATATTATAATAGACATCTTGCCATGCTTATGTTATTTTAATTGGATGTTTAGCTCTAGGGATCTTCATAATTTATCATAAAGCTTTAATGTTAATAAAATCAGCTGGAAGGAAACACTACTAATCTCCTTGATTGCACCACAAGGAGTAGGATCTTAATTTGAGCCTTTCCTTCTTTTTTTAAGCTAATGGAGAAAGAGTTTTAAGTGGATCATGGGATCTAAGCAATGTAACACAATGCTTCATTAAGTATTGCCCATGATCCACATCAAAGAAAAATTACTAAAGGTGGAGGTAAACAGGCCAGGAAGACTTATTCAAGACTACTACAATAGGGGAGAGAGATTGAACTCAATTCCCACTGAAACAAAAGGAAGGAGAGTTTTTTGGCTTGTTTGTTTTCCTTTTTTTTCCCCTGCTCCTTTTTTATTGTGTAAATTTAAGGTATACAACTGATGTTTTTATATACATACACAAAGCAAAGTGATTACTACCTGGAGAGTTTTTAAGTGCTGGGGTGAGCCAGTGGAAAAGTACTGGAAGACATTAGAGGGGAAGTTGGCTGGTATGATCAGGCCTTCCGTGTTTGCTAATTGGTGTTTATCAAAGTTAGGCTTCTACCCTCCCACAGAGACTAAGAGATGGAGGGCTGTCTTTGTTGATGATTACATTTTGAAAGGATAGCTAATAGTACCTTGAGAAAGCCATTTCTAGATTGTAAAACTGGCAGGCAAGAAGCTGGAAGATTTACATCTCAATAGGGCAGAAAGGAATTTACAACTGCAAGTTTTATAAAGTAAATCTTCTAAGAAAAAGGAGATCTGGAATCTATAGTCAGGAAGAAACCTAAGTTATTTCAAGCTGAGGGAAATGTTAAGGCCATCTTGGCCACGCATTGATGGGTATTGGATTTTACTTGATCTGGAAACTGATCTAAAAGTATAAGCCCTTTCTTACTTTACAATATATAATACAATCTTAAAACTTTTAAGTATTATGTACAACTAAAGGTTACTCATTAGAAAACTAATAAATTAGATATTCAGGTGCAGAAGGGATGTCTTTGAAATGTGCTTTAGAGTGCAAGAGATTTCACTGTTTAAAGTTTACTAAATAATAATAATAGCAACACCTATTGAGTATTTACCCTGTGTCAGATACTAATTTATGCATGTTTCAAATAATGTAGAAAAAAATCTAGGAGCTCTCCTTTTCCTAGAAGAAAATTTAATCCAATATCAGACTGGGAATGGAAGAGCAGGTCTCAAAACCAAACCTGTGACTCCAGAAAGGGAATCCTGGCCTGGAATAGACACACATGCACACACACTGATAGAATAACAGATAAATATGCTGAAGAGGTTCTTTTTTCTTTCCTTTAAGTAGTTGAAAGGTCCCCAAAACCCAGGTCTAACTCCACCACTTTAAAATTTCCTACAGAAGCCCTAGTTTTGTGCTATTTCTTGAATGAAAGACTACCTTGTTTCCATGCAGCTGGCAAACGCCTTCATTGGGCTTTGCTGTCATTCTCATTTACTGTGGTCTCTCAGCAGCACTTCATTTATTTGTGCAGAAATTATTAATGTGATGGAGTGCAGCCTGACTTAGAATCAGTTTAGACTCCTACAGTCGTTTCACATCCCAGTGCCACAAAGCAGGAATGATGATGGCAGTCTTCGCCCTTTCTCCCTGCTTGGATGACTGCATCAATTACGAAAATAGTAAAGAGATGGAGGACTCCCATCAGTCATGCTACAATAGTACTGGCCTATGAGTCACTACTTAAATAAGATATAAAAGCTCTAAGATATGTGCCAAATCTTTTGCAGCACAGATGTGTAAAGTCTTAAGTTACGTTTTATTTTTTAACTTAAAGAAACATTTAGAAGCTTGGGAAATACTGCAGAATTCTGAGAATTGTCTTTTAGACAAAGTTCTTCCAGTAAATATTTTGCTCTCTGTTTTGGTTATCAGCTAGTTTTGGAGGGCATATATTACTTTATTAAAAATTAATTATAAATATATTCTTAAATATTAGGCCTAGGCTACACTCTAGGAGCTGGTCATCTAGAAAGGCATGCTATCAAATAAAGCAGCAAGTACAATATAGAATAATTAGTACAATGAGCACTGGCCAAAATTACACAGCTGTCTATGAATGTGTATAGTTAGTGCTTGTCTCCGTCACTAAATAGTTAGCTCCATGAGGCCAAGGACCATTTTTGTTGTTGTTGTTGCTCTATCTATAGTAACTGATGCATTTTAGAAACTCAGGAAATATTTGTAAATGAATGAATAAATATAGCTGCGAGTAGGAGAGGGAGCCAAACTGTTAGGGAGGATGGAATCAAGAAATGTTTGTTCAGGCAAAATTACTGAAATGATCATATTGTCATAGAGTATAGTATGACATCTTTCTCATGGTTTCCATTTTTTTTGTCAATTAGATTTCACTAACCTTCTTCAGCATCTACTGTATACACGGCAGTGAACTATGTTCTCCTCTGTACCTTATTACTCTGCAACATACTGAGAGCTGAGATCCATTTCATACATAATGAATATAAATTTTTCACTCTTAAATATTGACAATGTGATACCTAATTTCCATTTCTGAGTATATCTGAATATAGACCAAATGACATAAGAAACTCCGTAAAAAACAATTAACACTGAACACTGCACAATGGCCCTCCTATTTGTTGGAAGGTGGTCACATTTTACCTCCTTATACAGCATTCCAAATTTCCCTGAAGATTACTACAGAAGCATAAATGATGATCACTGGAAATTATCATGTAGCCGAAGCTGACACTCACAGAAGTATATGTTATCCTTCAAACAAAAAAATCCTAAGTTTGTCCTAACTTTATCTGACCCATTTTTTAATGCTCTCTAACATTAGTGAATGATATAATGTTTATGCAGAATTAGATAAGCTTATGTTAAGCTTTTCACAAGGCTAAACAGTTGGTTGCTTGAATTTTGGGAGCACAGAAAAAAAAAAAACAGTAATTACAACCAATCCAACCTTTGGCTTTTGCTTTAGCACATTAGTTAAATAAGAATCTACTTGGTATTTGAAAGCGTTCAAAACTGGAATGAAACATATGAATTAGAAAGAAGGTAATTTCCTCTTTTTTATCTGAAAGGGAGGTATGATTTTATGCGTGATCAGTGACATCATACACTCATATTTCCTCTGTGGATACAATACATTCATGAATTGGGTTAATGTCTTCTGAAATTTTGTAGCAACTACCATCTTTCTTTTATTTTTAAATTTTTAAATAAAATATTTTATTTTAGATTCAAGAGGTACGTGTGCATATTAGTTACATGGGTATGTTGTGTACTAGTAGGGACAGGGCTTCTAGTGTACCTGTTACCCAAATAGTGAATACTGTATCCGAAAGATAATTTTTCTACCCTTGCCCCCTTTCCACCTCCCCGATTTTGGAGTCCCTAGTATCTATTATTTCCGTCTTTATATCCATGTGTTCCCATTGTTTAGTTCTCACTTATAAGAAAGAACATGTGGTATTTGGTTTCTTGTTTCTGAGTTAGTTCACTTAGGATAATGGCCTCCAGCTGCACCCAGTGTTGCTGCAAAGGACATGATTTCATTCTTTTTTATAATTGCATAGTATTCCATGGTGTGTATATACCACATTTTCTTTATCCAGTCAACTGTTGATGGACACTTAGGTTGATTCCATGACTTTGCTATTGTTAACAATGCTGTGATTAACATACAGGCACAGGTATCTTTGTATATAATTATTTATTTTCCTTTGGATAGACACCCAGTAGTAGGATTGCTGGGTATAATGGTAGTTCTGTTTTTAGTTCTTTACTATTTTAGTTCCATACTGTTTTCCATGGAGGTTGAACTAATTTACATTCCCACCAACAGTGTATGAGCATTCCATTTTATCTGCATTCATGCCAACATGTTGTTTTTTGACTTTTTAATAATAGCTATTCTGACTGGTGTAAGATGATATCTCATTGTAGTTTTAATTTGCATTTCTCTGATGATTAGTGATGTTGACCATTGTTTCATGTGTTTGTTGGCTGTTTGTATTTCTTCTTTTGAGAAATGTTTGTTCATATCCTTTGCCCAGTTTTAATCAAGTTTTTTTTTTTCTTGTTGAGTCGTTTGAGTAACTATTACTTTACATTTTGTTTTTCAGAGGTCTTGAAAGCCTAGTTTGGAAATGATAACTTCCCTTTTTCTATTGTTAGTTATGCTCTGAACCCATCATTTACAAGGAAATGCAATCACTAGTGAAGGGAGTCGTTATGTTGGTATTACATGAATAAAGGGTGTGTGCGTGTTTGCAAAATGGCAACTTGCAAACGTAATATTCTTCTTTACCTCCTCTTTGTAATAAATAGTGAGTACTTAAAATGTTTAGGGAAAAAATAAATGTAAAATTCTACTTGAAAGTTTACCAAATTTTTAAAAAGTATACAGAGGAAGAGAAATGTATAGATTTTAACAATCATCTAGCGTTATCTTAACTGTATCTCAGGAAATATCTATATAGTCACTCTGAATATGTGTATGTCAGGCTAAATCAGGCAGATAGATGAGCAGTTAAGTTCAGTTATCATTAGATTTTTTTTCTTATTAGAGTGATATTTTAGTTCTAAAAGGGTAGTTTTAATTAAGGCATAAGGGTTTATTTAAACTAACAAATGATTATGTGTCATTATACCATGATAAACAAACCTGATGAACTTAGTGATTTCTTTAAGATTTTTAATCTCTTTGGTATTTGTCCAAGACATCAGGTGTCCAGAATATACTCTGCTGAGAAATCTATATCAATGATTGAGAGTTAATATCTATGAGCTATTTTCCATGTTGTCTGAAAGTGTTTTTAAGTTGTATAGAATATATCTTTCTGAGAAATCTTTATCACATATAAGAGTTGCTATCTGCAAGCTATTTTCTGTGTTGTCTGACAGGTTTTCTAAAAACTAAAATAGCTAAAAAAAATGAAACAGGAAAAATGTGTCAGTTTTAATGGTGCAGATTACCCATATCAGATTGTTACTTGGATTTCAACCAAGACTGAACTAACTAATTAAACAGAAGGAAAACCTTCTTCAAAATCATACAGAGCATTAGTACAGAGCTGAAATTGCAACTTCACTTATCAGGTTGTTTTTGACAGGATGCTTTGTGGTGCAAGTGACAGAACCACAGCTAAACTAACTGGAAAAAAGAAGAAACTATAGTCCTAGGAAGCCAGAAAGTCTGAGTGTGCTTTGGCCTTAGGCATAGCTCAGTGCTGTGTTCAGTGCTCTCAATAGCACTCAGTTTTTCTTATGTCACTTCTCTGCCCTGTCTGGGTGGTGAGGTCTGCTTTTCTTTCTCTAGGATTATAGTGTGCAAAATATCAGCCTGTGGTCAAAGGCAACCATTTTTTTTTCCTTTTACAAGAGAGATCTTGCCCATGAATAAAGCTAATCCGGAAGGAAACATTTATAACGAAGTATATTAATTGGCCAGAGTGTGATATGCATTCACTTTTAGGAAAAGATGAAAGTTGTGTAAAATAAAAACTGAAGAAAAAGAATAGTTTATTATTTAACTCTTTTTTTTCTTTTCTTTTCTTTTCTTTTTTTTTTTTTTGAGACAGTTGAGACAGGGGCTCACTTTGCCACCCAGGCTGGAGTGCAATGGCACCATCTCAACTCACTGCAGCCTCGAACTCCCAGGCTCAAACCATCCTCCCACTTCAGCCTCCCAAGTAGCTGGGACTACAGGTGTGTGCTACCATGCCCAGCTAATTTTTCTATGTTTTGTAGAGATGGGGTTTCGCCATGTTGCCCAGGCTGGTCTCAATATTTTGGACTCAAGCAACCTGCCTGTCTCATCCTCTCAAAGTGCTGGGATTACAGGTGTGAGCCACTGTGCCTGGCCACATGTAACTCTTTTGAAGTGTACAATTCAGTAGTATCAGCTATATTAATGTGCTACGCAATGTTTCTGTAGAACTTTTTAATCTTGCAAAACTGAAACTCCGTGCCTGAACAGCAACTCCCCATTTTCTTCTCACTCCAGTCCCTGGCAACTGCCATTCTATTTTCTATTTCTATAAATTTGACTACTTTAGATATTTCTTATAAGTGGAATCATAGAGTATTTGTCGTTTTGTGACTGGCTTATTTCACTTAGTATAATGTCCTCAAGTTTCATCCATATTGTAGCAAGTGATAGGATTTCAAAAGGAAAAGAAATTTTAAGATTTTTAAAACTTACTTTAAAAGGATATCCACAAACTTAAAATGCTTTCAGAAAACTTATATTTATGACAACCTAAATTTATAACAAACATGGAGAAATTTGATGGGACTGAAAGTAACTTGAAAATGCACTGCTCGCTTATTATCTTTCAAATTCAAATGTATTCAAAATACTGGACTCACCAAGAAAAAAGGCAGCAACAAAAATTACGTCTATAGCCTTTGGACTACACGTTTTCAACACTGCTACTAATACATTTGGGGAGGGATTTCCTTCAAAACAAAAAAGAGAGAGAGACAAGAGACAAAATATTTTATTTTTTGCATCATAATTTTTTAAATTTAACCTTTTGTTTGGAAATAATTATCAATTCACATACAGTTGTAAAAAAAAATACCCAGAGATTCCATGTGTCCTTTATCCAGTTTCTCTCACTGATAACATCTCGCAAAACTATATTCACAACCAGGATATGGATATAATCCACTGATGTTATTCAGATTTTCTTAGTTTTGCAAGTACTCTGTGTATGGGTGTTTGTGTGCATGTATACACACATGGATTTAGTTTCATGCAATTTTATCACGTTGTATAGTGAGTTTAAAGGCAGAGTTTATAGATCAGATGTATCTATTATCAAGGTGTTATTATTTTTAGAAATCTTAGTAGCAAAATGTTCTTATTTTATATGAAAAATATGCATACAGGATATGAAGAAGAGTGTACCTTATTATTCTTATACCAGATCATTGCTTTAAACAATTTATTCAAGCTGTATACGCTCTTTAACATGTTTTCATTCTTTCCATAATTATAGAATGAAATATGTATGTTTATTTTCCCTCAAGTTATTTATTTTCTTTAATATTGAGAATCAGGCTTTTTTTTTTATTTTACCATTATTACCAGAGAAGTAGGGCACATTTTAAGAATCTTACTTTTAATATCTGCAGACAATAATTGAGGGCAAACAATTGTGTTAATTTGAAAATTCACTATTTTACTTAGAATTTTTATATTCACTAGTCTTATAAAGGAAAGATTATTAGTCATTTTCATTAAGGACAATAAGACTCTCCATTTAGTTACATAACTAAATCATCAACAATAAAATGGGTTTAATATTTGCAAAGCAAATTACTGAACCCATAGGTACATATTCACCATTATATTGCACACCACTTAAATGATTTTTTATTTTCTTACATGCCTTCATAATTTTTCTAATTTGCAGAGTCTTCACTTCCTGGTAAAGGAATGCCTCATTCTCCCAAATCCTCCTTAATCTCATATCTAAGAAGAGATACAAACAGATTTTTCCAAGTTAGAGGATCCTTTCTCGTTAAAAAAAAAAAAGTAGTAGCATAATGAAAACAAAATAACTTTCAGATTGAAGTAACTTCTTTACATAAGTAAATTAAGGAGACTTTTTTCCTTCATAGAGAAGACCAAAGATTTTCACAGACAGCTTTACCCATGATAGTATGGCCTCTTATTTCTCTTTCAACAGAGATAATTTAGTTTCTTAGTTCTCAAATTATGATCTGAAGTCAAATGATAGCTATTGTAAACATATTTGAATCATTTTCTAAGGCAAATTTAATCAAGAGCATTTTCATGTACTCATTTATTCAATACCTACATTAATAATAATATAAAAACAAATTTCAACAACTACAAAGATAACAACTACAACAATAACTAATTATATACAATAATAATAACTAAGCAGTTACAATATGCCACATTCTTTTCTACATATTTCAAATACAAATACTCATTTAACACTAACAGCCACCCTATGAGGTATATACTATTTATGGTATTTCTTATTTTACAAATAGTTAAACTGAGGCACAAAAAGTTAAAGGATTTGTCCAAGGTCACATGTTTATTAAGTTTTAGAGCCTGGCTCCATCCATGGCATCTGGCTCCAGAATCTAAGCACTTCGTTGCAATGCACATGCACCCCCCTGAATTACAATGAGACATACATGGAAAAGAGACACACATGGAAAAGATATAATAGTGGGGTGTTAAGTCTCCCACTATTATTGTATGGGAATCTAAGTCTCTCCGTAGGTCTCTAAGAACTTGCTTTATGAATGTGGGTGCTCCTGTATTGGGTGCATATATATTTTGGATAGTTAGCTCTTCTTGTTTCAGTGATCCCATTACCAGTATGTAAAGCCCTTCAGCAAAGTCTCAGCATACAAAATCAATGTGCAAAAATCACAAGCATTTCTATACACCAATAATAGACAATCAGAGAGCCAAATCATCAGTGAACTACCATTCACAATTGCTACTAAGAGAATAAAATACCTAGGAATACAACTTACAAGGGATGCGAAGGACCTCTTCAAGGAGAACTACAAACCACTGCTCAAGGAAATAAGAGAGGACACAAACAAATGGAAAAACATTCCATGCTCATGGATAGGAAGAATCAATATGGTGAAAATGGTCATACTGCCCAAAGTAATTTATAGATTCAATGCTATCCCCATCAAGCTACCATTGACTTTCTTCACAGAATTAGAAAAAACTATGTTAAATTTCATATGGAATCAAAACAGAGCCTGTATAGCCAAGACAATTCTAAGCAAAAGAACAAAGCTGGAGGCATCATGCTACCTGACTTCAAACTATACTACAAGGCTACAGTAATCCAAACAGTATGGTACTGGTACCAAAACAGATATATAGACCAATGGAACAGAATAGAGGCCTCAGAAACAATGCCACACATCTACAACCATCTGATCTTTGACAAACCTGACAAAAACAAGCAACAGGGAAAGGATTCCCTATTTTGTAAATGGTGTTGGGAAAACTGGCTACCCATATGCAGAAAACTGAAACTGGACCCCTTCCTTACACCTTATAAATTAACTGAAGATGGGTTAAAGATTTAAATGTAAGACCTAAAACCATAGAAACCCTAGAAGAAAACCTAGGCCATACCATTCAGGACATAGGCACGGGCAAAGACTTCATAATTAAACACCAAAAGCAATGGCAACAAAAGCCAAAATTGACAAATGGGATCTAATTAAACTAAAGAGCTTCTGCACAGTAAAAGAAACTATCATCAGAGTGAACAGGCAACCTACAGAATGGGAGAAAATTATTGCAATCTATCCAGCTGACAAAGGGCTAATATCCAGAATCCATAGGAACTTAAACAAATTTACAAGAAAAAAACAAGCACCCCATCAAAAAGTGGGCGAAGGATATGAACAGACATTTCTCAAAAGAAGACATTTATGCAGCCAACAAATATATGAAAAAAAAAGCCCATCATCACTGGTCATTAGAGAAATGCAAATCAAAACCACAATGAGATATCATCTCACGTCAGTTAGAATGGTGATCAATAAAAAGTCAGGAAACAACAGAGGCTGGAGAGGATGTGGAGAAATAAGAATGCTTTTACACTATTGGTGGGAGTGTAAATTAGTTCAACCATTGTGGAAGACAGTGTGGTGATTCCTCAAGGTTCTAGAACCATTTGACCCAGCAATCCCATTACTGGGTATATACCCAAAGGATTTTAAATCATTCTACTATAAAGACACATGCACACGTATGTTTATTGCAGTACTATTCACAATAGCAGAGACTTGGAACCAACCCAAATGCCCATCAGTGATAGACTAGATAAAGAAAATGTCACACATATACACCATGGAATACTATGCAGCCATAAAAAAGGATGAGTTCATGTCCTTTGCAGGACATGGATGAAGCTGGAAACCATCATTTTCAGCAAACTGACACAGGAACAGAAAACCAAACATTGCATGTTCTCACTAATAGTGGGAGTTGAACAATGAGAACACATGGACACAGGGAGGGGAACATCACACACCAGGGCCTGTTGAGGAGTGGGATACTAGGGGAGGGATAGCATTAGGATAAATACCTAATGTAGGTGATGGGTTGATGAGTGCAGCAAACCACCATGGCACGTGTATACCTATGTAACATGTATCTGCACATGTATCCCAGAACTTAAAGTATAAAAAACAGATTGAATTTAAATACTTGTTATTTTGATTACCACATCTCTAATAACTTCCTTGTGTTTTTTCTTCATCTTTCAGTTTTAGTCATTTTCTATTGACTTAGTTAACTTTCCTTTCCTACACAATCACACATGTGTATCCTGTCCTTGACTCCCTATACTTCATATGGGGCATATAATAATTTTTCATACATATATATATGAATATATATATATATGAGTGTGTGTATATATATGTGTGTGTGTGTGTATATATATATATATGTTTTGTATTCTTCACTAACTGCTTCTCCAGATTCACTGGGTTTTCTGTCAATTTATTTTTCTGAACAATCCCTTCTTTTTGCCTTCTGACCTGCTGAAATATCTATTGGTTGCCCTTTATGTTCCTGTTTGCACCATGTTTTCTGTTTCCTGATTTTCTCTCTGCTTGGGAATAACAAATCTATTAATAGTTCTCTGAGAAATGAGCTTGAAAGATAGTTCTTTGAGGTACAGCAATGACCTTATTTTCTCCTAACACTTCATTGATATCTTGTTTAGCTATAGAATTCTAGGTTTGAAGCCATTTTCATCATATTTTGAAATGACTATTTGATTACTTTTTGTACTTCCAGTTTTCATTGAGAAGTCTATAGACATGCTGCTTTTTGAGCCTTTTATCACTGTCCTCCCAGGAGGCATCTAACATATCCTCTGCCTCAAGGCTCTAAAATTTCACAGTGGTGTGCTTCATATGGGTCTAATTTCATCGGATTTAGCTTTTATAGAATAAGCCCTTTGAATTTGGAAACTCAAGCCCTTCATCTGTTGCATTTTGTGGAAATTTTCTTGAATTATTTTGTTGATAATTTTTTCCTCTCTGTTCCTCTGCTCACTCATTCTGGAACTACTGTTATTTGGATATTGGATCTCCTGAACTGTTCCTTAATTCCTTAAACTTTTCCCACAAATTTTCTTTTTTTGTCTTTTTGCTTAACTTTCTAGATTTTATTACCTTTATTTTCCAACTCTTCTTTTGCATTTTAAAATTTCTGTTATATTTTAATTTTGGTGCATTTTATATTTTGGTTTTTCTACATATGTACTTGATATGTGTGATTATGTGTGGATAGATGGATATAATAAAACATATAAACATGGATAAATATGGATATAGTTGTGGTCTTTTTTTAGTATTATATGTATATATATGTGTGTGTGTATATATATATATTTATATATATATGTATATATTTATATTTATATATATATATATATATATATATATTTTTTTTTTTTTTTTTCCTGAGACGGAGTCTCACTCTGTCACCCAGGCTGGAGTGCAGTGGCAGGATCTCAGCTCACTGCAAGCTCCGCCTCTCGGGTTCACGCCATTCTTCCTCAGCCTCCCTAGTAGCTGGAACTACAGGCACCCACCACCACGCCTGGCTAATTTTTTGTATTTCTAGTAGAGAGGGGGTTTCACCGTGTTAGCCAGGATGGTCTCCATCTCCTGACCTCGTGATCCGCCCGTCTCGGCCTCCGAAAGTGCTGGGATTACAGGCGTGAGCCACAGCACCCGGCCGTGGTCTGGTTTTATGTTCTCAGTATCTTCCCTCACTTTTCTGAAGATAGTAATTCATTATACATTTTTTTGTCTTCTTCTACCTGAATATTCTCTATTTCTATAGAGATGGCTTCTATCCTTAATAAACTGCTCAAGATTGAGCATAAGGGATGAAAATCTGATGAGAAACGTTGAAAAAGTGACTTGGTTTTGTCAACAATGACAAGGATATCCCTAAATTCAGAGATGATGGAAAATAAATATTGAATTTGTTAACATTACTTTTTTGCTCAGAGAGGGTCAGTTGTCTGGCTGCACAATCTGACTGATTATTTTCACTCAACCAACTTTTACTCCTATTTCTGGAGGTTCCAGTAAGGGTTTCTAAGGTTCAATTTAAGTTTATTCTTGGTTTTGCCCATTGCAAGTCTACAATTCAGTTTTCTACAATTTGCTAGATCTATTACCACTTATCTGTGTGCAGTCAACTTCCACAATTATAGTGTCCTCCACTTTTATTCCCTATGTTTTTGTGTATCCCTTTAAAGATTCACTTTATTACTGTCCTCATTGAGTTCAATAAATAGTAAATGTGGAAATTACTGTTAAATCTACCATTTTTATTCAGAAGTTGACTTGAACTTTTTATCTACCTTCCAAAGGATTTTGTTCTTTTATTGAACATTCCGGGTTGATTTTATCTGGCACACGCAGTAAGACCATTTAATATAGATACTATACTCCTTTTATTTCAATAACAGTTTCTTAAATTGTATCTTTATGTCTTCTGTTTTATTTTTTTTCCAGTCACTCTAAGCATGTTTTTGGCTTTTCTTAGCCTACCCTCCTATCAATATGATTTCTCTCTTGTCTGTCATTAACTCTTTATTTCTATTTCACTTTCCTAATTTCTGCCGTTCTATCCCTTAATAATAGCTTTCCACAGTGCCTATTTTTTTCTGATTTTATTTTCATGCCTGTGATAGAGTTTATTTTTTAATCATTTCTTTATTTCTTTGTTCTTTGAGCTGACATTTCATCTTACTATCATATCCCTGAGCTCTTACATTTCCCTTTGTTGTTTATGAAGATAGAGGCAAATTCTTCATATGTTTTCAAAACCAGGTGCCTAATGTTTTTCTCAATTTCATGGCTTTTTTTCTGGGGGCAAAAGGAAGTGGTAGTTTTTCATCTAATTTTTTTTTTTTATACTTTGTGTCAGTGTTACACTATTTTTCTTTTTTAGATAAATGACTCATCTCTGAAAAAAATTACATTTTTCCTGGACAAGCAATTCAGCATAGATTTATTTTGGTAGGAGTGTTTGCTATAATTCTTGGCTTGCTGATTTCCACAAAGAAAAGACATAGATTTTCTCTGCTGCTTCAGATTAAACGTGCTTCATGAAACTAGGGTTTAAGTGTTTAATTCTTTCTGTACCTGTGTCTTTTCTACTTCTCTGAAACCAAATGTTGCCATCAGGGTTTATTCCGCCTGTCCAGCTCACCTGAGTTCCTGAACTTAGAGTTGTAAATGCAGAGTAAGTTTTATGCCCTACATTTTCAGGCAGTGTATTTTCTTGGTGCTTTCTGAGATCTCTTACCCTTGAACCCTTTGGGCACTGACACTGATCTGCTTAGCCTCTCATTTCCCCCTGTTTCCAAATGATCCTGCCCAACCTCAGAAGCTTTTGGAAATTCTAAACATATTTTGGTGACTAAAGGTATTTTGGTGACTATGTATTATTCCATCTCTTCATTTTTAAAGCTAGAGTTAGAGGTATTTTATTTTTATTCCCTATTGTTTTCTAAATAGCCTCATCAGTGTATAATTTACATTCCACAAAATTTTCTTCATATATATATTACATTTTACTGATATTTGGTAAATTTATACAGTTATACAATCATTACCACAATCTAGTTTTACAAATTTTCCATTGCTCCAAAAGTTACCTTGTGCCTATTAGTAATCAACTCCTGTTTTGTTTTTGTTTTTTGTTTTTTGTTTTTTTAATATTTTAAAGTTTCTCAGTTAAGACTGGGCACGGTGCCTTATGCCTGTAATCCCAGACCTTGGGAGGCTGAGGTGGGAGGATCACTTGAGCCAAAGAGTCCAAGACCAGCCTAGGCAACATAGTGAGACCCATCTCTACAAAAGAAATTGAAAAATTAGCCGGGTGCGGTGGCATGCACCTATAAGTCCTAGCTACTCAGGAGGCTGAGGTGGGAGGATTGCTTGAGCCCAGGAGCACTGCAGTGAGCAGAGATCAGGCCACTGCATTCCAGCCTCGGCGACAGAGTGAGACCCCATCTCAAGAAAACAAAAAACAAAAAAGTTTCTCATTTATATAGCTATGATCATTTCAGAAATGACCTATGCTATGTTTTCATTATTAATAATTCTAAGAAAGGTAATGAAAGTTTAATGCGGTAGAAGAGTAAATAATTCAACATAAAACTACCTCTTGGCATTTATTCTTCTTCTGTTAGGTTTTTTGAGAAGATTTTCCTAGAGGCTCTCAGATAATCTTTCTCAGAGGGTGAGATCATGTGTGATACGCTTAAAGCACTGGGGTCAGTCGGGGCACACTGGTGTTCATTGCTGCTGTGATTTTGTTGTTGTGAAATGATTTTTCTTTGCCGTGTAATGTTCTGGAGGTTCCATGAAATCCACTGATAATTCTTTAAAGGAGAGGAAGCCAGCTTAAACTAAAGGTTCTTAATTATTTCAAGCAAATTAATATAATTTTTAAAATAAATTTTACACATATTTTTCTTAGAACAATTTCGCTATGTTCAAAATGTATCATGATCTATAGAAAAACTGAAAATCATGAGAATTCTAGTTTTAATTTTATTCTCATCATTCTCAATAGACACTTGGGTGAATAACTCTGGGAAAATCTCTCTGATATCTTCTCTCTCTCTCTGTCTCTCTCTCCAGGCCCACATATCCACACATTTATGAACATACATGTCAGAAAAGCATATCTAATTCTATGTGCATATATATGCATACTTTCAAAATAAAGTCCTTCATTAATTGGAGTATAGCAGATAAATATATCTTAAGCAGCAGTTCAGTGAATGTTCACATATTAAATGCACACATATGACCACCACCTGGATAAATAAAAGAACATTACCAGCACTCCAGAAGCTTCCCTCTTCTTGATTCTTGATCATTATTCCAACAGCAAACCATATAGGTTAGCTTTACCTGTTTCTGAATTTCACATAAATGGAATAATACAAAATGTATATGGCTTCTTTCATTTTTTGTGAGATTCATCCATGTTGTTGCAAGTAGTATTTCAAGTATTTAATTGATGTATTGTTTTTCATTACATGAATATACTACATTTATTCTGTTCTTGATGTAAATTTAGGTTATTTTCAGTTTTGGAGTATGAATAATGCAGCTACGAAAATTATTCTATATATATTTAGGTGTATGTATGTATATATATATATGTATTTCTATTGGGCATATATCTAAGAGAGAATTACTGACTCATAGGGAATATGTATGTTCATTTTAGTTGATACGGGTTTTCTCAGTGATAGAACCAAGTTATATTCTCACTAGCAGTGTATGAGAGTTCCAAATTTTCCACTGCCTTCACAATGCACAGTATTATCTATCTGTTTTTTTGTGGATCCATCACGTTATCCCATAGTAATTTTAAGTTGCTTTACCTTGATGATGAATAAAGTAGAGAATGTTTTTATATGTCTATTGAGTATTTGCATACTCTTTTGTGAAGTACTCATTCAGGTTTTCTTTGTCACTTTTCTGCTAGGTTTGTCCTTCCTTTTTTCCTTATTTGTATAAGTTTATTATATGTTCTGGGAATTGGTTCTTTTTCATAAAATCTATTGAATTTTTTTTCTCCTGCTCTGTAATTGCCCTTTATTATTTTCCTAATGGTGTTTTTAAAGAACAAGGTTCTTAACTTTAACATAATGTAATGTATTAGTCTGTTTTAATGGTTAGTGCCTTATGCCCTATTTATAAAATCTTCACATACCCAAAAGTCTTGCAGATATTTTCATGTAAGTTCTAGAAACTTTTTAAAGCCTTTTTCTAAAATAAACCTTTATGTTTACATCAACAGGTCATCCATTGTAGGATGTAGGGGATCCGTTTTTACTTTTTTCCCTTATATGAATATCCTACTGATCTGGCACTAATTACTTAAAAGACCACCCTTTCTCCAAACTGTAAGCTCTATTTTATATTTCTATTACTTTGCTAATTTTTTTCAAGTCTCTTCTTCCTACGTTTTTCACAAATCTCTTTTTATGCTTCTTGCAATATGTCTATCAATGATTTTATTTTTTTCTCCCTTTTTTCCTTAGCCCTGCCAGTTTACTTTTTATCTTTTTTAAGCTTATTTGTCTATTAATTGAGTTTTTTTTTTGAAGAGGCTGTTTTTTTAAATTTATGTACAATTTGTACCTGCTTCTGATGAGTATTCTTAAGTTTGCAATATTTCTTTCTTCTTATTCATCAGTATATTTGCAGACATGGTGCTGCTGGCCTTTTTTCTTCTTTTTCACCTCCTTCTCCTCATCCCCTCTTTTCTTCCTTCTTTTTATTGTTCATAATCACGTATCTCGAGTGGGTATAATGGAGGTGTCTTAATCGACTGGCAGAAAAGGAAGAATCAGCTGGCGGTTTGAACTTTGTCCTCATAACTACATATTTTTTTTCATTTTTGTTTCTGCCTGAACTAGTGAATTTGTTCTAGACTAGCAGAAAGTCTTTTTGTTTCATAAGGATGTCAAGCATGTCTATTTTGGGTATGATACTTTACATCAGGAGTGTAGATCAGTATAGTTTCCGTTTCACCTTATCTTACCAAGAACTTACTCGGTAAAAATAGTATATCAGGATGCTAAATGAAATTTACGACTCCCCTGGCAAATAACTTCTTATTGCCATTCCAAACAACAGGTCATTGGTTTTCCTCCTTAGGGTGAATCCTTATTTTGGAAGACTCATGCTGTGTCCATTCTGTCTCTCTCCTTCTCCGTGATCTGTTATGGGGTTATGGACACAGTCAATTGTTGTTTTATGTATAGCTAGAGGTTCATTTGCAATATTTGAGCCTATGAACCTGACATTTGTGCTCTCACTCATATATAGAAATCAAAAAGTTGATTTCATAGGACTAGAGTGTGGAATGTTGGTTACCAGGGGCTAAGCCAGCTGGAGAGAGGGGTTGGGGAGATTTTTGTCAAATGATACCACATTTCAGTTAGATAGGAGGAATAAATTCAAGTGATCTATTGAATACATGATGACTATAGTTAATAACTATATTATATACTTTAAAATGCTAAAAAAAGATGATAAATGTTCTCACCACAATAATAACTATGTGAGGTAATGAATACATCAATTAGCTAGATTTACTCATCCCACTATATGTATATTCTCTATATATTATATATATATACTTCAAAACATGTGGTACATGATAAGTACATGGAATTTCATCTACCAATTACAAATAATAAAACTATTTTAATTTTAAATAATATAAATATTACAAACCATTTTTGTTATGAAATACCATACCAAAAATGTATTAACATTTTCATTTAGATGCTTTAGTTTATCGCTGGTTTTCTTTTTAGATAAATCTTTTAAAATTAACCCTGATTTTTTTAATTTTACTTTTCAGATGCAACAACTGTTCCATGAAAATTATGAACACAATCGGAAGGGTTACATCCAAGACCTTCACAATAGCAAAATCCATGCAGCCATAACACTTCATCCCAACAAAAGGCCTGCATACCAATACAGGCTGCATAATTACATGCTCAGCCGCAAAATTTCTGAACTTCGCTACCGCACCATCCAGCTCCACAGGGAAAGTGCCCTGATGAGCAAGCTCAGTAACACAGAAGTGAGCAAAGAGGACCAGCAGCTGGGAGTGATACCTTCTTTCAACCACTTCCAGCCTCGGGAGAGAAATGAAGTGATAGAATGGGAGTTCCTGACAGGGAAGCTTCTATACTCAGCAGCTGAGAACCAGCCCCCTCGACAGAGCCTCAGTAGCATTTTAAGAACAGCACTGGATGATACCGTCCTACAGGTGATGGAGATGATCAATGAGAATGCCAAGAGCAGAGGACGGCTCATTGACTTCAAGGAAATTCAGTATGGCTACCGCAGAGTTAACCCCATGCACGGGGTGGAGTACATTTTGGATTTACTCCTTTTATACAAAAGACACAAGGGAAGGAAACTGACTGTGCCAGTGAGACGTCATGCCTATCTTCAGCAGTTGTTCAGCAAGCCTTTCTTCAGAGAGACCGAAGAGCTAGATGTCAACAGTCTTGTGGAGAGTATTAACAGTGAAACTCAGTCATTCTCCTTTATATCTAATTCTTTAAAGATATTATCTTCTTTTCAAGGTGCCAAAGAAATGGGAGGGCACAATGAAAAGAAAGTACACATTCTCGTTCCTCTCATCGGAAGGTATGACATTTTCTTGAGATTCATGGAGAACTTTGAAAACATGTGTCTTATCCCAAAGCAGAATGTAAAGTTGGTCATTATCCTTTTCAGTAGGGATTCTGGCCAAGACTCCAGCAAGCATATTGAGCTGATAAAAGGGTACCAGAACAAGTACCCCAAAGCAGAAATGACCCTGATCCCAATGAAGGGAGAGTTTTCCAGAGGTCTTGGTCTTGAAATGGCTTCTGCCCAGTTTGACAATGACACTTTGCTGCTATTTTGTGATGTTGACTTGATCTTCAGAGAAGATTTTCTCCAACGATGTAGAGACAATACAATTCAGGGACAACAGGTGTACTATCCCATCATCTTTAGCCAGTATGACCCAAAGGTAACAAACGGGGGAAATCCTCCCACTGATGATTACTTCATATTCTCAAAAAAGACTGGATTTTGGAGAGACTATGGATATGGCATCACCTGTATTTACAAAAGTGATCTTCTAGGTGCAGGTGGATTTGATACCTCAATACAAGGCTGGGGACTAGAAGATGTAGATCTCTACAATAAAGTCATTCTATCTGGCTTAAGGCCATTCAGAAGCCAAGAAGTAGGAGTGGTGCATATTTTCCATCCAGTTCATTGTGATCCTAACTTGGACCCTAAGCAGTATAAGATGTGCTTAGGATCCAAGGCAAGTACTTTCGCCTCAACCATGCAACTGGCTGAACTCTGGCTTGAAAAACATTTAGGTGTCAGGTACAATCGAACTCTCTCCTGACAGTCCAGGCAACACATTTTGCCTTTTTTAAGGGGAGTTTACCTCATTGTTGGTTGTTGTTATTTTTATTGTATTATTGTTATTTTATTATTATTATTGTTATAATTTTATTTTGTTGTCCTGGTCTTAAACTACTCTTGGTTGTCTTCCTAAGGGTGTTTGTTGACCTCAAGCAAGAAGAGTCTGCAGTTCACTGATGTTTCAGATTTCTACTGAAGTCAATATGTTATTACTTTTATATAACTTTATTTGAGATTGAGTTAAATCATAGCAATCAAATGACTTTTGAAACGCATTCATCACAAGAGACAGCTTAGAAGAATGTTCTCTTGGGGCTTAAAGATGCAATATCGACTTTTATTTGGTTTCTCAAATTCAATGTGATACAAATATTTACTGGTGAAAGGTACCACAAAAGTGCTTTATGCTTCCTATGGGGAAGGGACTCTGTAACATAAACTTGAGTTTTGTAATTTATACAAGGACTTAAATATATAAACAATAATTTTCTTCATCTTTAGAATTTTTAAAGTAAATGAATACCTATGATTGTATGTTTATTTTTTAAAAAAAGTTTTAAAAATTGAGGAGTTTTGTTCCACAAGCAACCGGTACTGGCTACCCTGGTCTTATGACAATTATGAGCTCCTCACAACTGTCTGCTATAAATGCGAATGAACTTTATTTTCTCAAGGAAATATGATTTAATTAAATATTCATGTACATTTTAGAAGCTTTATGAAACAATGTCCTTCATTTGCTGGCAAGAAGATAAAATATGACAGAACCTGTTTATTTAAAATAAAACACAGGTATAGCAGTATTCTTTTTCAAAAACACTGACAAGGTTTTGTTGTTTCCTTTTATTCACACTTGATATGTTTCTGTTCATATTCACCAAAACATGCTTGCTGAGCAGCTTGAAAAGTTAACAAGGGATTATGGTATGCTGTTTGTTTTATTATACTGGAAAACCTAGCCTTCATAAGTGATTAAACTGAGCAATTTCTTTACTCAATAATTTACCATCTGGGAGAAACATCCTTCCTCAATCTCTTCAGCTTTGGGATCAAGCTGACCCAAGAACAGTTCAAAAATTGCCTTTAATATGGGTTGGTAGGTATCTCAAAAGTCACTGGAGAAATTATTAATATGACATCAATTTTATAATTATTAAAAATACGTCAGGAAATATCTCATTTAGTTTTACATATCATTCTTTCTTTGACCTGGATCAGTGGTGTCCAGTTTCTAGAAAAGCATAATTGGATTAAAGAAGTGTAAGAGAAAATGAACATCCATCCAATGGAGTGTCATTAAGGCATATTATAAAATCTTATTTTGTAAATAGGTAATACATTTGCATGGTTCCAAAATCAAACAAAATTTTTAAATGCCTAAAGCTGTTGGCCTCACTCCCCATCCACCCATATCTGTCACCTGACTACACATGACCATTGTTTGGGCTGTGTGAGTGTTTTGTGCATGTCTTTCTAGAGTTTCTGAAGCACACATTTTACTTTTTTAACCCTCTATACACAAAATGCAGCATATTATACATATTGTTGTGCACTTTGATGTTCTGTTTCTACTTAATGGAAAAATAATTTGCATCAAAATTGATTTGAAAGTGATTGTTGTAAATTGTTGCCATTATTTTTAACTGAATGCCATGAGGCCACATATCATTTGCCTTGGTGATGTATTCCTTACATGTTGACAGCCTCTTTTACTGAAGACATTTTGGGATCCTTAACAAATATCATTGCTTAATATTAGGACAAACAGGATGGCAGTATCCTTGACTATAACTTGTAATCCTAATACTGTCAAATTCATTAGAAAATAATTAATGGCATCTTTAGATGTTAAAATGCTCATCTTGACAGGGCAAACAATTCAAAATTGATCTCTGCTCTAATATTGTCTCTGGCTTTCACAAACCCTCACTCTAATAACTTACTTTCCCATATTACAAGACCTCGCTGTCTTGCAGGTTTTATTTTCCTGAACAGTAAATATATTAGCATTCAGCAAACATAGTCATTTGGGAAGATCTATTACCAAATAATAAGTATTAAGTATTTTGTTAATGAAGAAAGGAAATCAGGGACTGATCTTTAACTCAGACAAATGAAATACGAAGGAGCTTCACAGAGGTAATAAATGTAAAGGCCTAGTTTAAAACATTCCAAGACTTAGAGAGTTATGAAGCAGCTGCCAGGGGATGAAGTGGCATTCTGTATTACATGATGAAAACATGCTGATGAACCAAGGGAATGCAGAGATCTCATTTGAACTTAATCACACATGTATACACTATACTGCTAGTATATGTGCATTTTAAATCTATTATATAATTTTGCATTCAGCCTTCATATAATCTTCTTCAGGCAATGCAGTATTACCTGACTGAAAATATGGGGAGAATGATATAGTAAAATTGAGTGTTTTTCTATCCGTGTAGTATCAATTACCTAAAGCCTTTAAGTTTGAAGGGCAACACACTATGAATGCAACCAAAAAAGCACAATATATGCATGTGAAGTAGTCCATACATTGTAGTGTTACCTTATTTGGATGGCTGTAGATGTTCTGTTTCAATGTCACCCCAAGAATAATTTCATCAGCATTCAATGTCATATTACTGATCATCTGCTGTCCACTCAGCACCACACTATGCATTTTATTTTTAAGTGTAATCCTCAGAACAGCTCTCAGAATATCGGTATTACTTTCTTCATTAAACAGATATGGAAACTGAAGCCACCATGGTTAAGTAACTTGTCCCGGGTTCACACAGTTGGCATGCTGTAGAGGTAAGATTTAAGCAAAAGCCTGTCTGAATGAAGCACCTGTTTTTTCACTCTACCCCATGGTTTCTCAGTTGCTGGAGGGATGTAGAAAACAACGGAGGGGGGAAGGGCCTCCTGACATCATGCACATGTGAGATCCACTAGTCAGCTTGCTCCTGCTGAATACTCTTTCTGGACCGAGCTAAATTTGCAGATATTTGCTCAGTTAAAGCCTCTTCAGGATTTAATCTCAAGCGTCTACCATTTTGCTAGATCCTTCTGTGCACCACTGTGTCAGGGAAGGTTAGGGTTTTTCTGTCTACCTGCTCAAACATCACTGAACTTCAGCAAGGAAAAAAACTTTCCAGAATTTCTGATGCCAACAATATCCCTTCTACATCATCTCAGCCCCTGAGTGTAGAAACTGTTCACACTGATGAACATCACCAAATAATTGCTTGACTGTTTCTGTCACTTTACTCATACAGACTTGGTATAAGCAATGTTGTCAGTGCTGAAATAGTTCTGAATTTAAGAGTTGAGCCCATTATGGCTAGTTAATAGATACGGAACTACAGGAAGGAAACACCCAAATGTGTAGACTGATAGTCCAACCAAGAGAATAAATATTCCCTGGAAAGGTAAATTATGAAGTCGCTCTGTTTTTAGCATATGAAACCTGGAGACCATCTCTAGACAGCAGCCCCATGGCTGCGCTACTCTCATTTCATTTTCAGAGGAGCCCTGTAGAAAGTTCTTTCTTCTAGGAGTAGGGCTTACCAGATGAGGTTCCCTTCTAATGGTTTCAGATTGCTCAGATGAGAGGCTGTGGGCCTGCCTGCCCTGTTGAACCCTCAGCTAGGACTTCCTTGTCCCGGGGACTATATTCTAAGGTAGACCTGGATCTAGAAAGAGATTGCTGTCTCTCTTCCTTTCCTCTTCCACCCCAACAGAAAATATGCTTATGCTGGTAAAATATAAATAACCACAAAATATTTGTAGCTCCATATTGACCTTAATGATAAGGTTTATATGGGGAAATAAAGATTTCAGCATATTTTACATTATATGGCCAAGCTACCTTTATTTCCCTGCTACCTAAGTCACTGCACCTGTGGCCCTACAAGTTACAGGAAACTTGTGTGCCTTATCCTAGCAGTATCTCTATCTAAGAGGTGACTACTGGTAATCTGAAGAATGCCCACTTAATCTCTCATTTGTGCTTAATTATTGATGGCACAATCTCTTCAGGAAGTAGCCTGCGATTGTGGATATTACAGAGTGAATGAGAAAAACGGTGTCCTTAGGGACAATAAAAGAATATGCTATCAGTTCTTAGTACTGTTGACTTGCCTGCCTTCCCCATCCATATTCTTATTAGCTGTGCCTGTGCAGGATATTCATATTATCCTGCCTGTGCTGAGGCCAGGAGCCTCCTAGACATTTGTTTTCAACCAGCGGCAATAGTGGTGCCAGGTTGGAGCCTCCAGATATGCCAGTGTGGTTCTGCCTCTGTCTGCCCCACAGCCTCCTTCACATGCTGGCTGTGCTGCCAAGCTTGCCGAGACAGATGGTGGGAATGATGTGAGGAACCGGCAATGACTCATGCTCCCAGGTGGTGATACAGTCAGCATCTGCATCAAGCAACAAACTACCTGGCACTGGCACAAAGTGCCAGGATATTCTATTGTCGACTTCAATTTGACACCCTGTTGTCCATTTCCCTCTTCCTTTCTGATCTCAAAAGCTGCCAAGGTCTAAGCCATATTTGGGATTTCACTCCCTGCGGGATTTTATTTCGATCAAATTCAATCAGTATATATTGTATTCATAGGTTGGTGTCAATGCTGAGATTCTTCAGTTTTGTTATCCATTATGCATGGTTATACATTTTTGCTATTACTTTACCATCCAACCCCCATCTTTATAGGCTTAATTCTGGAGGATTTGGTAAACATCATATTAGAATGATAAAATTGTATATTAAATGGTCCTGTTGTAAAAAGACTTCCAACAGATAAAAAAAAAAAAAAAAACACAGTAACAACAACAACAACAACAAAGAAACCACAACACTTGCTCATATCTGTAATGTTAACTGATTAGCAAATATTTATTGGAACTTGTTTGGGAGCAATACTCTCAAGTGGAAACTCCGAGGCTGCGAAAACATGCATCACCTGGAAGCAAACCTCTCAATACTATTAGGCCTCCTTCCTTGGGGCTGTTTTCCATCTCTTTCTCAGTTCTCCCGCAGCCACTATCCCTCAGTCTCCCACAAACACGGTTTCTTATTTTGTCCAAGTGGGGGTAAGTGTGTGTACATACCAAATGGAATCTAAGTCCTACAGTCGAATTTCAAATACAGATGTGAATCTACCTCAGTTGTTGCATTTTGATTCTTGCAACAAAGGTTCAAATTGACATTGGTCAAAAATAACTAAGTTAATATAAAAACGAAAAATACCTTCAACCGTAGGGTTTGCCACCACCCCAATACAAAGCTCATATAAAAATGAAAATAAATACCTCCAACCGTAGGATTTGCCACCAGCCCCAATCATTTTTAATATCTAACCTATTAAATGCTCTATCACCACAATGACTCTCAAGCTCTTTTCCCTTTCACTTCCATACCCACCAAAGTGTATCCAACACCTACTTCTAAAAGAAGTATCTTTAATAGTAAATAAGCAAAATGTTAAAGACATGGTACTAAGAAAATGCATTATTTTCTTCTTTTTAACTTGACTCCTAGTTTTCCTACCATTCTAATATGTTGATGACCTACTTTAAAAATATTTTTTTCTTTTTTTCCTGCCATTAAGGTCTTCCCTGTCTCTCTTAGAAACTAGGTGATACAAACTACATGCTGTTTAGACTACAAGTTTTTAGTATGAGTATTGAGAAGTTACTATTATATAATTCATGAGCTTGAAGTACAAGGTTAACATACATTTTTCAACTATTTTTCTTTAGTCATTTTGGCCTATTTCAAGTGTGCTGGAATATACTTCTTCTTTTTAGTTGACTGGAATCCCAGAGGCTTTTCTATAGCCTCTTGAGTTTTTAGACTAGAAACTGAAGGAAGAGAAGTTTGATCCCCTTCAAGTGCTTCCATTTCTCAATTAATCTTTTCAACATTATATTCAGGCTTGTGCTATAATAAAAAAAGGATTGCATGAAAATATTTACTGAAGTAATTATTCATTTATTTAAAGAAAGAGACTTCATGAATAAATATAATGTGTATTTTTAGAAACTATTTTGCCTCTGCAAACTAAATAATTCACAATGAATTATATGTTTATATGTATTTTATAATATATTTCTGATAATTCATTATATTGAATGAGGAATATTAAATAATTATGTTTTAGTTATCACTGTTTTCTCAATATCAATAATGTTCATAATTTTATGTTCTACATAAGACAAACAGATTTCTTTTAAGAAGCCTAAGAGATCAGAAAGGGCATGTGATAAAAATGGAAATAAATTGTTATTGCTCATAATCATCATTCTTTTCATTTACACCTGTTTCCACCCAATGTGCAGTCAATTTAGAGAAAGGTCATTTTGTTTTCAGACACTTCTATTTGTTACTTCATAGAAGAAGCTACTTTAATAAGGGAGGAGAAAAAGCAAAATGCTTTTATTGTTATTATTTTAGTAGTTACTATTCATTAAGTGCTTACCTATTCTGCACTGTTACTCAGAAAAATTATCTTCTTTGAGCTTCTAAAGTAGGTATCATTATCCCTATTTTACAGGTGAGCAAAATAAATTTCAGAGATTCATTTTGCTCTCAAAAATGAAAATGCCTGAATTTGTGCTGGGACTCAACCCTGCTCAAATGTGTTTGGTTCATCTGCTGCAGATGGACCCAGAAAGTCCATCTGTGTCCAGAGCACATACTTTCCCCAATACACAGTAAGACAGATGGAATAGAGTATCTACCCATCTACCTTCAGAGATTCTTTAGGGGGCTCTTTAAGCAAGGCTGGTATGCATTTATATTAGTGTCACGTCATTGATGGGATATTTCTGGCAGCAACATTTTCTTCCTTCCATATTTCTTTTACTGAGCTAACATACACCAAAGCCTTATTTGAGACAAAGTGCCAGTATAACATCTCATTTTGTTCAAACTACTGTCTCAACAGCATCAATCTACAGTAACTAACTGGATTGTCCATAATACTACAATTCATAATTTTGTCACAATAAAACATCCTTAAAAAGATCGTATATTATGAAAATGAGACTCACAGATAGTGGGACATATTTCTGCAAGAAAGACTTCAAAACTCCCCAGACTACATACCTTTTGGAATAAAATCACATGCTTATATGTTTTTTAAATGTATAATTCATTGTGCTTACTTTTCACCTAAATATAAATAAGTTGAACAAACCTATCAGTTTATGCTTCTAAGATGTATGATTCATTGTTTCTACTCTAAAGGCTCCTGTATATTTTCTTGATTTATTAGTTTATTATTTAATGAAGTAACTTTTGACCAAATCATATGGAAAAATGTCAAGTTCATTTTTGAAAAAGCAGATATTATGGGACAATTTATGACAATATTTTTTAAGAAAAAAAAGTTCTAGGCCAGGAGCAGTAGCTCACGCCTGTAATCCCAGCATTTTGGAAGGCCGAGGCAGGCGGATCACCGGAGCTCAGGAGTTCCAGACCAGCCTGGCCAACATGGTGAGATCTGTCTCTACTAAAAATACAAAAATTAGCCGGGCATGGTGGCACGAGCCTGTAATTTCAGCTACTTGGGAGGCTAAGTCACGAGAATAGCTTGAACCCAGGAGGAAGAGGTTGCAGTGAGCCAAGATCGTGCCACTGCACTCCAGCCTGGGTGACAGAGTGAGTCTCTGTCTCAAAACAAACAAACAACAACAACAAAAAATTCTATTGTGAGTCAGTTGCAGGTACTATTCTTTGAGCATCCTTTATTCGACAAGAAATTTGAACTTTACGTTTCTTTACAAAAAAAAAAAAACTGCATAGAAATTGAAGTCCATTAAGAAGAATTTCCTAATAAGAAAATTAGTCCCTTTCTCCTTTTGTGGTTTTATGCATTTTTCTGTATTCTCTTTTTTTCTTGACCTTTTTTTGATACTACTGCCTTTATCTTTATGGAGAAACTTGTTCCTACACCAGCAACTCTAACTTGTAGCTCTTTTATTTTCCTTGTTCTATGTAGCTGTCTCTCCTCCACATGGGCAGAACAGCTGAATTCATTTCTCATTCTAATTGGTTTCTTCAGAATCTTTAGAAATTGAAGATATTATAATAGCATAATATTTGGCTATACATTTAAAATGTTTTTTCCATGGATATTTCATCAAGTTTTTTTTTTTTTTTTTTTTTTGAAACCAAATCTCGCTCTGTAGCCTAGGCTGGAGTGCAGTGGTGCGATCTCGGCTCACTGCAAGCTCTGCCTCCCAGGTTCACGCCGTTCTCCTGCCTCAGCCTCCCGAGTAGCTGGGACTACAGGCGTCTGCCACCACGCCTGGCTAATTTTTTTGTATTTTTTTAGTAGAGACGGGGTTTCACCGTGTTAGCCAGGATGGTCTCGATCTCCTGACCTCGTGATCCACCCGCCTTGGCCTCTCAAAGTGCTGGGATTACAGGCGTGAGCCACCGCGCCTGGCCTCATCAAGTATTTTTTAAACATTGATTTTTTTAACTGTATCTCAAAATAGATCAAAGGGTCCATATAAAGTCAAATAATATTTAAAAATCAATATAGTTTGAAAAACTGGGAATTGCCTTACAAATCATGGGATTCATTTTGTTTCAAAATAATATTTAAGAATATTTAGTCTCCACTGATTTTTGAAGACTCAACTTGTTATTTGAATTAAGATGTTTTAAAATTCCAAAAAGAAGCAGGATTTGGATCATAGATAGTTTCATGATTGATGCTTCTCTTCTTAAAAGTCTCTAAAGCTTTCCAAATTTACTTAGGGTAACATCTAATCTCCTTTCCTTGGTGTATAAAACCTGCTGCACGGGACTTGCTCCTGTCTCCTCTCTGTTCTCTTCTCTCTCACTCCACCTGGTTCATTCTGCTCCCTTCATACCAGCCTCCGTTAAGTGTGCCAACCTGGGTCCCACCTTTGTGCCTCTTCCCAGGTTATTCCCTGAGCTTGGAAAGTTTGTCCTTGAAGTCTTCTCAGTTGGTTCCTTTTTATAATTCAGGTCTTACCACACGTTTTACCTCACCAGAGAGGCTTTTCTGACCACCCAATCTTTAATAGCTTCGTCTGCCACCTCCTCCAAGTTGTTTTCATTTAATTCTCTTTTTATTCTCATCACATAATCGTTACCATTGAAACAGCATCTGGTATATTCTGTTTACAATGAATCTGGAATATTCATTATTTACTTTTAAAATAAACGTCCTTGTCCTTCCTTCCTAAAATAATGTGCTTTATAAGAACAGGGACCCTCACTATCTATCTTGCTCAGTGCTGTGCCCTCAAGTGCTAGAATAGAGCCTTGCTCAGGGATCTCAATGTCAAGAGCATGAACCTGATTGGAGAGGGCATCTCAGACTCAGTTCATTTTTCCTTCTCTCCATTTATGTCTTCTCTACCTCATACCTCCTTTAATCTCTCTTCTCTCTTAATAAGCCATTTTCATTCATTTCAGCCTTATGGATTTGGAGCTTCCTTGCACATTGTGTCATTTATTATTTTACCCTGTTTATTTCTTATACATGCATTAGCAAGTCTTCCATCTTTTGCCATAAGCTGAATATTTGTTAAATACCAGGTAATGCAAGAAAAAGTACCTTCCCCACATATAATAATAACAAAACACAAAAGACCAAGCCCCAGATTAAAAGTATCCTTCAGGATATCAGTAAGGATACTATGACTTATTTCTTTCTTCTCCCTGTTCTGCACAATTATGGCAGATTCTCTTTAAAAGATTTTTCTTCCAAAATGTGAAAATAAACTGTGTCTCTGGATGTCCTTGTATTGGCATCTAATGTTTCCATTTAAATCTCTCCTATGTTTGAAGTTTCAGCACTGTGACAGAAGTTCTGCATTTTTGTGGAATCTGGACAGCTCTGGCATCTATCAGTGACCCTTGTGGTCTCAGGGGTCCACTTTGTCAAAGGGTTTAGAGCAGATTCTGATACTAATTGATCTGCATTAGCAAATCTTACCAGGTACAGAATTCCAATAGGGTCCTTAATACAAAGATAGCAGTTGCCGGTTAATTCACAAAGACATATTCATTGTCCCCATGTTATCATCTTTCCAATATCCAAAGCCTTCTTAGAAGCAAACAGCAAAAAATGGTTGTTTGGTTAAGCACAGGTTTAGAATTAATCAAAATGAATGACTTTAATGCATATTGCCATCAAACTATGTGGCCTGGATAGGCAGAGGAGCCTCTACCAAGATGACTCCAACTAGATGACTGTTTCCCAGCATCAAGGACCTTCTTTACTCACACTTCCATTGCTACAGGAAAATGTAGGCTATTCACCCAATGTGTGTTACTATATTCTGGTTTTAGTCATAAATGAAATTTAAATCATAGTGTTATGTGCATGTATCAGTCATGTTCTAGAGGGTATAATATTCTAACCTATTTCATCTATAGAATTTATTAAACTATGTTTAGTAAAACATCAACTAGGGCAAATTAAAAACTTGCATTCTATGCAAAAGCAATTATGAAAACCTGCATCTTACCAGTGTGCATCAGCGACTAATGGTCAGGCAAAAAAGACAAAAGAGAATTAAAATGATCACATGTCTGCAATGTCTTTATCTCACTCTAGTTACACAGTTTTTTAAAGTCAACTATTTGAACTTTGCAACTAAATGAGAACTAGTACATAAAGGCAGCATCTTCTAAGTAATCAATTGAAAAGTGACTAGCTACAGCTAGTGACTAATGGCTATTGATATATTAAATCCATCACACATGTATATATAAATGAAAGAGAGTTGGGTTATACGAAAGAAAATTGATATGTGACTTTTACCTTACCATTTGCTAGCCTCCAACCAGCTCTGGCTTCTTCAATGTAAGCATGTGAAGAACTATGAAACAGCCCAGACAACTCCGGTCTCCCAAAAGTTGATGAAATGTGTCTTCTTCTTGCTGCCTTTTTACCCTCCATGTTGACCATTATTCTTCTATTACAACAGCATTCTTTCATGATGGGTATATTAAACATGGTTATAGGTTATGTTAGTTTCATCATTACATTAAAATCCATAATGAAATTTGGGGTTGATTCTCTGATATCAGAAGCCACACACATGCATACTTTGTCTTAAAACAAGCTACTTCTATGATTTATTCCCATTAAAGTTTACTAAGAACTACCTAATGCAAGACACTGTTCATGGTTGGGGATGTCAAATTGGCAAAACCTCATCCACAACAATCTCATCCATTTCATAAAAGTGAGAGAAATAATTTTCTGCTTCGCTGGCAGCCACTTGGCCCTTGCTCCCAAATTCTGGTAATGCACAGAATTTGGAGTTTAGCTAAAGTTTTTATGCAATTCTATTTGTTAAATAAATGCTTAATTTTAATCTTGGGTGATATTTTTAAACAAACAGCACTAACTTTAATAAAATATTTTTATTTGAGGAGCATTAAGAAAAAGGATGAAGACAGAAACCTGATTAACAGACTCAAGGAGCTCCAAACCCCAACACACATTGCATTCACTACAAGATAGGATATTTTACCCCATAGACCACTTTCCTGAGTTGTATATCTATCTTTACTAGTCTTGACAGAAAACATGAGGTTTCTGACATAGAAAACAGAATGATTACCTACAAAAAAATCTTGTATTGGTTTCCCACACCCCAATCCCCTACAGGGTGATGTGATGAAAGTCAGATATACCCAGTTTGTGCAAGAAGAGAGAGGTCTGTTCCATAGGAGAGGAATCCCCCGAATTATACATTTCTGAGCTTTCATAGAATGGCTGTCATAGTTGCCCATCCTCCCTTCAGAAGAAAGAGAAATCATATCTTCTAATATAAACAAATTATCTCGGGGAAGAGAAAGAGAATGTCTCCAGAATCACTACCCTTTGTCATCTAAACAAATGGTTCCAGGGGAGAAAAATCTGAATCTCTCCAGGACATATCTGAATTTAATTTTCAAAGGGTTCTTGCCATTCGTTCATGTTTGAACCCAGGTTGCTAGAACTCAGAAAGCTCACATCATGAAGAAATATGAAAATATTTATGAGACATTTCTTCCTGACAGTCTGCTGTTATCCCTCTTCAGATCACCTTTTAGTAATTGAACAGTATGTGGTGTGCTAAGGGAGTGTCCAGAGCATGAAACTGCTTTACTGTCCAGGCTTGAAATCAGCCATACTTTCTGTTAGTTCCTGTTCCAAAATGCTTCATTTTCTGTTAATCTTTGGTTATCAGAGTGAGTATATTTCTCCTTTCCTCACAATTCTCTTACCTGTCAATAACTCATAAAATTAGGTTGAAAACTCTTGTTTATATCAATTCAAAAAACTAAAGGAAGAATTATAATAATTATTTCAAAATTAAAAATCAAGTCTGACTCAATGTTTTTGTCTAGAAAATTCTTAGAAACTTTCTACTAAAAAAAAATAATGCCCACCTGTATATATCAGTTATTCAGTCCCTCTTGTTTCACTTTGCTGTCCATAACCATTCATTGGAATTGTATAGGAAGAAATGTGATATTTTAATGTTAAATATCCATACTTACAAGTTTAAAAATAATAATTTCATCTGAAGTTACAGTGTGGTTATCAAAGGCTTCTTTTCAATTAAAATGGAGTTTTAACATTAGGATTGTATTTGGCTTATCCCTCCAATGAAAGGTTTTCTCCTGACAAAGTGATTAATGTATCCCCTAATGACAAAATAATTTGTCTTTTTTTTTTTATGAACTTGACATCCTTTTCTCATTATTTCTCAACCAGGTCAAAAAGGCAGAAACAGTTCTGCAGAATTTTTTAGGTGGTTGGAAATGTTGACATTTTATCATTGCTTGAGGGAGAATTAAGAATGGACTTAAGAATATCCATTTTTTGTTATTACTGTTATTTCTGTGATGGAGAGTTTGATTTTGGTTGCACACTCTCTCAGAGAACTTATTACATGCTAATATAATAACTTTTATTGCCTTTATAATTTATTATTTTAGTATTTATTTAAATGTTTTACTAATATGTTTCCCTGATCAAAATGCTCAAGTAGAAAGCAAAGTTGATCTTACAAATATATTTCAAGTTTTTGCTAGACTTTCATTTGTTCTGATTAGTTATTGCTGCATAATCTACTACCCCCAAAACTTAATGGCTTAAAACAAACATTTTTTATTGTTCATGATTTTTTGGGTCAGGAATATGGGAAGGGCTCAGCTGATGCCCATGGCATCCTCTGGAATAGCTGAGGCTGGATGATCCACTCCAAGATGGCATCTTCACTCTCTTGTCTAGAGCATTCGTGCTGTTCATCCCCTCTCTCTCTCCACAAGGTGTCGCATCCTTCAGAGCCTCTTCATGTAAGGAGCTTCTCTTAGCTTGGCTGCCCAAGGGTACCTGAGTTTCTTCACTTGGCAGCTTAAGTCGCCAAAGCCAAGTGTCCCAAGAGACAAAGGCAGAGTCTGGAAGCCTTCTTATAATCCAGCTTTGGAATTTGAACATATTCTATTCATGAAGCCAGTCATGGAGGAAAGGGAGTTCCATTCTACCTCTCAATAGGAATTATTGCAAAGAAAGTGTGGTCCATACATTCAACATGCCCAGAAAATGGCTTCATCTCTGCCTCTCCAGAAAACTGGGTAGTAAATCAAGAGAAAGAAAGGCTGATTCTCATCACAGCTTTAAACTTTAATCCAGTATTAGACCCATTTGAAACAAACAAAATGATGTACTTAGCTATAAAGAAAAAAGATCAAGAATTGTTAACTTTTTTCTCAAGAAGAAAGCAGGTGAGCTAATGGAAAGAAGGTTTAAAGGGCACTTTACAAAACACTTTTTATAAAATTGCCTGTTAATCTCTCACAGAAACAAAAAATTCCTGGCATGCTGCAAATGACATGGTGATGTATCAATCAAGACTTTCGATTAGACAAGTGTTAAATCTTCAGGGAACTTAAATCTCAAGTGTTTAATTGGCTGTTTCATCTCTCCAGCAATTTTCAAGAACTCTGAAGAACTTAGCACTTTCACACAAGTAAAACCAGCAGTTTTGTTTATCAGTGGTTCATAAAATAACCTAATAATTTAAAATGAAACCCTCTTTTAAAAAAGAATACATGATTACTATAATACCTGCGTAAAATTTTCCTATAACCAAACAAAATTATGAATCCTCCAACAGGCAACTTACACACGTTTTTTGTAAATCTAACAATTTTTCATCTTGTCATTGTTTCCTTGTTATCTGTATCACCTTCTTCTCTTCCCTGTTTTTCATCCTTTTTGTTTTTTATAATTCATAATAGTGCTGATTTATATGCATTTTAATATTTCTGATGCCCAAACATTTTAATTTTCAAAACAAGATTTTAGAATTTGTTTTCTTTTTCCTTTCCACTGTAGTAAAAACATTAATGATAATAATGTGTTTTTAACATTAAGCTAATCATACTTTATCAAAAAATATTTTTCTTAAGAAATCTTTGATAAATGGATTTAAATAGTCACTTGTTGCTCTGTAGATAATAAATGAAAATCTGTTGCTATATCTTTATTTCTCAATATTCTTCCCTTAGGCAGATGCTGACTTCCCTGTCCTTCATATATATTGATTTGAAGAATGAATATTTTAAATAATTTTAGCCAGCTGTGTGTTCCCTGATTTTTTCCCCACTGTCTTCTGTTAATTCTAGACTCTAAAATAGTTATTCATTCTGTAAATGATTTTGGTGTGTCTACTTTATTTCTCTTATCATTGCACTAATTTCTGGTCAAAGTTGATTAAAATAGGGCCGTTGCCCTTAAGATACTTATAGTCTAGCAAAAAAAAAAAAAAAAGGAAGAAGAACCATTAACTATTACAAAATACGTGAAATACCGCAACAGAAAAGTGTATTATGGGTTCAGTAGAGTCAGAGCAGATTCTTCTTGGAGACAAAAAGAGCAGGCAGGAAACATCTTCTCCAAACAAGGCCAAATAAAGATCTATTTATTCATAGTAAGGACTTTAGAATTTATTCTATTAAAAAGGGTTAAATAGAGAGCAATAAGGATTGTATGCATTTAGAATATTTTTATAATTAAACATTAAAGTCCATGATCTTTATCTTCAATCTTGTAAAAATTTTCCACATAATTTTATAAAATTATCTATGAATGCACATAACTGTAAAAAGTACTCTCCTTTTCTCAAGTCTTTCTACAGAAGATATGTGAATGAGTTTGCCTCCCAAAATACATACTCTTTTAAGAATTAATTCCCAGAAATATTTTACTATAAAATAATTATTACTTCTGACCTGCTTAAAACAGATACATGGGCTATTTTTAACCAATATTGGTAGTTAAAATAAATATGGGTTGGAATAATACTACAAGTAACAATAATAAATATTCATTGAGGCCCATTCATTTTCCAGGCATTCTACTAATTACTTTATAGATATTTTCTCATTTTGTTCTACAATAATCCTATAAAGTAGGTATTATTATTTTCTCTATTTTACAGTACTAACACAGAAACACAAAGATTAAACTACTGGATCCAGGTCTCAAGCCAGGAGGTGGAGGATCAAGGATTCTAATAAAGGTGCAAGGATTCTAGCATGTTAAAAACATTTAAATAAGAGACCCGCAAATTATGGTACCAGAAGTCAATTAATAGGTATTTTCCTATATTGTGATCATTTCTAAGCACATAATACTGATTATTTTGTTATTAGTTTAAATCTTATGACCTGTTTTTGAATTAGCTATATAATCCTGAAAATCTCCAAACATTTTTTTTTGCTCTAATAACCCATGCTAACATGTACCTCCTTTTATTTATTGTGATGTAATTTGCATACACAAAAATGTACAAATTTTGGTGTGCAGCTTAATGAAATTTTACATGTGCATATATAATACATTACCACCACCCAGATCAAGACATGTTCCTTCTCCCCAGTAGTTTCTGTATGCCACTTTCCAGTAAATAACTGTATTAGTCTGTTCTCAGGTGGCTAATAAAGACAGACCTGAGACTGAATAATTTATAAAGGAAAGAGGTTTAATTGTCAAACGCACAGTTCCACGTGGCTGGGGAGGTCTCAGAATCATGGTGGAAAGTGAATGAGGAACAAAGTCACGTTTTACACGGTGGCAGGCAAGAAAGCTTGTGCAGGGGAACTCCCCAATATAAAACTATCGGATCTCATGAAACTTATTCACTATCACAAGAACAGCATGAGGAATACCCACCCCAATGATTCAATTACCTCCTACCAGGTTCCTCCCACAACACATGGGAATTATGGGAGCTAAAATTCAAGTTGAGATTTGGGTGGGGACACAGCCAAACCATATCATTCCATTACTGACAACTCCCAAATCTCATGTCCTGACATTTCAAAACAAATCATGCCTTCCCAACAGTCTCCCCAAAGTCTTAACTCATTTCAGCATTAACTCAAAAGTCCACGGTCCAAAGTCTCATCTGAGACAAGGCAAGTCCCTTCTGCCTATGAGCCTATAAAATCAAAGGCAAGTTAATTACTTCCTAGATACAATGGAGTACAAACATTGATACAATGGAGTACAGCCATTCCAAATGGGATAAATGGGCTAAGACAAAGGGGGTACAGGCCCCATGCAAGTCCAAAATCCAGCAGGGCAGTCAAATCTTAAAGCTCCAAAATGTTCTTTGACTCCATGTCTCGTATCCAGGTCATGCTGATGCAAGAGGAGTGTTCCCGTGGTCTTCAGCATCTCTGACCCTGTGGCTTTGCAGGGTATAGCCCCTCTCCTGGCTGCTTTCATGGCCTGGCATTGATTGTCTGTGGCTTTTCCAGGCACATCATATAAGCTGTCCATGGATCTACCATTCTGGAGTCCAGAGGATGGTGTCCCGCTTCTCACAGCTCCACTAGGCGCTGCCCTAGTGGGGACTCTGTGTTGGAGCTCCAACCCCACATTTCCCTTCTGCATTGCCCCAGCAGAGTTTCTCCATGAGGGCTCCACCCCTGCAGTGTACCACTGCCTGGACATCCAGACATTTCCATACATCCTTTAAAATCTAGAGGGAAATTCTCAAACCTCAATTCTTGACTTCTGTGCACCTGCAGGCCCAACACCATGTGTAAGCCACCAAGGCTTGAGGCTTATACCCTCTGAAGTCATGGCCCAAGCTGTACGTTGGCACCTTTTAGCCACAGCTGGAGCATCAGGGATGCAGGGCACCAAGTACCTAGGCTGCACACAGCAGGCAGGCCCTGGGCCCAGCCCATGAAACCATTTTTTTCTCCTCAGCTTCTAGGCCTATGATGGGAGGGGCTGCTGTGAAGACCTCTGAAATGCCCTGGAGACATTTTCCCCATTGTATTGCCAATTAACATTTGGCTCCTCATTACTTATGCAAATTTCTGTAGAAGACTTGAATTTCTCCTCAGAAAATGGGTTTTTCTTTTCCATCACATTGTCAGACTGCAAATTTTCCAATTTTTTATGTTCTGCATCCTTTTAAACATGAGTTCCAATTCCAAAGCATATCTTGTGAATGCATAAACCTGAATGCTTTTAACAGTAGCCAAGTCACCTTTTCAAAACTTTGCTGCTTAGAAATTTCTTCCACCAGTTGCCCCAAATCATCTCTCTCAAGTTCAAATTTCCATAAATCTCTAGGGCAGGGGCAAAATGCCCCCAGTCTCTTTGCTAAAACATAACAAGAGTTACCTTTGCTTCAGTTCCCAATAAGTTCCTTATCTCCATCTGAGGCCACATCAGCCTGGACTTTATTGTTCATATCACTATCAGCATTTTAGTCAAAGCCACTCAACAGGTCTCTAGGAAGTTCCAAACTTCCCACATCTACCTGTCTTCTTCTGAGCCCTCCAAACTGTTCCAGTCTCTGCCTGTTACCCAGTTCCAAAGTCACTTGACATTTTCAGGTATCTTTAGAGCAGTTCCCCGGTACACCTGGTAACAATTTACTGTATTAATCTGTTCTCACACTGCTAATAAAGACATACCCAACACTGGGTGATTTATAAAGGAAAGAGGTTTAATTGATTCACAGTTCCACATGTTGAGGAGGGCTAACAATCATGGTGGAAGATGAAGGAGGAGCAAAGTCACATCTTACATAGCGGCAGGCAAGGGAGCTTGTGTAGGGGAACTCCCCTTTATAAAACCATCAGATCTTGTGAGATTTATTATTCACTATCACGAGTAAAGCATGGAATTATAATTCAATTGCATCCCACCAGTTCCCTCCTACAACACATCGGAATTATAGGAGCTACAATTCAAGATGAGATCTGCATGGGGACACAGCCAAGCCATATCAATAACCAACTACACCCAGAGGTAACAAACATCCTAAACTCTGTCACCATAAATTAGAATTTTTCTCTTTCTAAATTTCATATAAACAGAATCAAACAGTAGATACATTTTAGGTCTTTGTCCTTTCACTCTACATGTTTTTGTTATTATTTATGTAGTTACATGGAGTAGTATTTTTTATTGCTGTATGATATCTCATTGTATGAATATGACACAATTTTTCATCAATTATATTATAGGTGGACATTTGAGTTGTTTCAGTTTGGTGCTGTCATGAATAAATCTTCTACATTCTTTTTGTGGATGCATGCTCTTGTTTCTCTTGGCCATATAAACCAAGGAGTGGAATTGCTAGAACAAAAAATATGTCTATGTTTAACTTGATTTAGTATGTGCAAAGTCTTATTTAAAGTGGTTTACTATTTTATTTACACTCACCAGCAATGTACGAGAATACTTTTTCTTCACAATCTCTCTGTCACATGCAAATCTTTCTAATTTTAGTTTTTCTGATATTTAATTTTGGTTTTAACTTCCATTTCCCTGAGCTATCATTGGATCATAATGTAACAGTAGATTGGGTAATGCAGAAGGAAAAAGCCCTGGGAATTTTAATTTCTGTTAATGAGTGTCTAAGATCTAAAATTTCTACTTAGTTCTATTTGTTTTTCTCCTGAAGTGTTCCATATTTCCACCAATTATACTTATCTTTTCTTTTAAATTGTATAATATATGTTTATTATTGTATTAAAGTCCTTGCCTGCTAATTTAATAATTTGCTTTATCTGTGAGCCTGCTTCTATTGACTGTTCCTCTTGATTCTAAGTCACATTTTTCTGGTTCTTTGTATGTTTTGTAATGATTTCATTGTATTCTGGGAATTGTGAATAACAGAATGTTGGAGACTAAATATACATGTTTTGTTATTTTCCAGAGAGTGCACACCCTTTCCTGTGCCTAGCAGCTTAGCTGAGGGTTAATCATTCAGACTCCTTCCAGCATATGTTGAGCTGGCACTCAAGTGAAGCTACAAATTATTGATTTTACCTGTGATTAACTTAAACTTTAATTCTCTTTGTGATCAAAGAGATATCAAAGAGATATCACCTCTTTGATACATTAATTATTTGTGCAGGAACAGGATTGGCAGAAGGTTTACATATTTTTAGTTCACCTTTATATTCAACCCTAGCTGGGCTGCAGAATCCAATCGTCTTGACAATGTACTATATGATTTATTTCTGCTCATCAGCCCCTCCTATAAAGTTTTCTGAGCAAAACTAAAGGATAGAGAAAAATTATTGACCCAGTTGTTTGTCCATCTATTTGACTTTTTTCCAGATGCAATCCACCCTGCCAATTTGTGCTGTTGTCAAAAGCCCAGATAATTTTCTCTTTTGCATGTACATTTTCTCCATGTATCCTGACCTATATTCAAACCAGGCATGTTTCTTCAAGTGTGAATGCTGATATGGCTCTGCTTACTTATAAAGATCTTGATTTACTCCAGAATTTACTACCTCCTTGCCAGTTACTACCATCTGCAATATTCAGAAATACAAAGATGAAACTTATTTCTTTATAAAATCAATTATATAGATCATATACTTCAATTTCTGCTAATGATAAAAAAGTTAAACATGCCAATTCAAGTAACTCTGTCATGTGTGTTTAGAATTCAGTCATTTTGGATAACATCCAGTCTAACCCAGATTTCCACCCTCCTCCTTCTCATTCCATCTCCTTGGTTTTATACCCAGCATCTAATGTACCAATTACCATACTGGAGCTAGGAGACAGTTATTACACCACCATACCACAGTATGGCCTTGCTTCTGGCTTTTGTTGAGGAACAGCATCTTACCCAGTCTCTGTCATCCTAAACCAGTAGATTTCGCTAATAATCTACAGGGATCAGATCCTTGTAACCTGTATTCTCTTTGCTCTCCTTGCTTAGCGGTATCTGTTTCTCTCTTAGAACACTGGTCTGATGCTCTCTTTCACTACTGTGAAGTACATAGGACTCTAGGAATCTACTCTGTGAACCATTTGCCTAAACCATTCCCTCAGCCATTGCTTGGGTACTGGTTAGATGCACTTGCTTCTAAGGCACAAGAACCTTCTTAATTCTACACAAAGTGAAGAACAAACAAGTCTGTCACTTCTCAGATTCACCCAAATGTATGTGATATTTCAGCCTGACCCTGGGATCTCAGCCCAGTGGAGAGCAGAACCTAGACATTTCACATTTGTATTAATGTTCTTTTCTACTTCCAGCAGAATTCTGTCTCCTAGATACCACCTCCTCCTCCTGTAATTCAACAAAAGTTTGCCCCGCTCCACACTGGCAGAAAAACTTCTGAAATTCTCATTTGTAGTATTTTTATATTTTATAATTTGTGTTATTAACCCTATATTTATAGATCTCCTGGCTTTGAAATTTCATATGAGAAGTCAATCACATGGAATTCAAGAAACCCTTTTCTCTGGCTCTTGAAATTGAGAGCTGTGGTTTTTAAGAGTGTCATTTCTATTGAGGGTTTAATTAACTTCTTTGTTCTAGCCATATTTCCCTTTCCAATCAATGCATATACAACGCTATGCTCCCTGAATAGTGGGATAGATTAACAGTGTAAAGAAGCATGAGAACACGATTAAAATCTCAATACATAGCCCTAACAATCAGGTTTCTGACAGGAAGGAGATGGCACACTCAGAATGCAAGAATGAAAAATGTTTAAGGAAGGAACTGTTTACCAAATATGGAGATGGTTGAGGTAAGCCCACTATAGGTGATGATGCAAGGGGGAATTATCTCTAGGTAAAGGGTGAAGTGATTGTTTTTTAAAGAAGAGAGAGCAGCTATGCTATTTTAATAATTGTAGGAATGTTCACAAATCACAGGCAGGTCACAATAGCTAGAAATGGGCTTTGTGAACTACTAGCATTGTATTCAGACTTTGAAAGAGCATGAACACAGGGTAAATATTAAGGGATTCATTTTGAGATCCTCAAATTCTCTAAATTTGTTTTTATAAAGCTGATGTGCCCAAGATAGTGGGGTTTTTTTGTTTTTTTGTTTTGTTTTGTTTTGTTTGTTTGTTTGTTTTTTTGAGACAGAGTTTTGTTCTGGGATGGAGTGTAGTGGCGCGATCTGGGCTCACTGCAACCTCTGCCTCCTGAGTTCAAGCGATTCTCCTGCCTCAGCCTCCTGAGTAGCTGGGATTACAGATTTGCACCACTAAGCTCAGCTAATTTTTGTAGTTTTAATAGAGACGGGGTTTCACCATGTTGGTTGGCCAGGATGGTCTCCATCTCTTGACCTCGTGATCCGCCCGCCTTGGCCTCCCAAGATAGTGTCTTCTTTAAAGGCCTCAAGGTGGATGAAGAATGAGGCAATTATTGCCTGTGTTGAGATGTTCTAAATTCCAATGTATTGTGTAGTGAGGCAAAAGTCATGACAAGTTTAATTTAAAAATCTTGCCACTTCTTCTTTTATCAGTCTTTATAAAAATCTATCACTCTGAAGGAGAGAATGGTAAGAAGTGGCTATGGCCTTAGATAGAAGAACATAGCCATTGTCAAACCATATCGTCACAGGGAGGGAACTACGGGACTAAATATTCCCCTAATTATTTTCTGCCACTACCCAGACTGATGCTAGTTCCTGCTATTGGTTGAAACCTGCCAAAGACAGAAGGAAAGAAATATAGTTGTAGCACCTAAATGTCAGCTTGTGGTGGAAAGACCAGGAAGAGAAGAGCAGAATCCTAGAGGAGCAAAGGGAGAATATAGAGCAAGCATAACAACACATTGTTTTCTATCTTCCTTCCCAATTATTATTCATGTTAATTTAAAAACAGTATAATGCTTGCTTTATTATGATACCCATATATATATATACACTTTCATGTATATATATATAGATAGGTGGGGGAAAGAGTTGAGCCAACTGTATATAGTTCAAGAGTCAACTGTATACAAGTACATATGTATGTGTATACAGTTGTATGTGTATACAGTTGACTTGAATTATATGAAGTTGACTACGTATGTGTGTGTGTGTGTGTGTATACAGTTGACTCTTGAACAACACAGGGGTCTAGGGTGCCAACCAGCCACACAGTCAAAAATCGATGAGTAACTTTTGACTCCCCCAAAACGTAATTAACAGACTACTATTGACCAGAAGCCTTATTCATAACATAAAAAAGTCAATTAATACATATTTTATATGTTATATGCATTATAGACCGTATTCTTGTAATACAGTAAGCTAGAGAATGGAAAATGTTATTAAAAAAATCATTAAAAAACCATCTTCTATTCATTAAGTCAAAGTAGATCATCCTAAAGGTCTTTAACCTCATCATCTCCACATTAAGTAGGCTGAGGAGGATAAGAAGGAGGGGTTGGTCTTGCTGTCTCAGAGGTGGCAGAGGCAGGAGAAAATATCCATATAAGTGGAACCATTTAGTTAAAAAACCCACTTTGTTCAAGGCTTAACTGTATATAGATTTTTTCCTATCTATAATTTCTTTCTCAAGCAATTCGTCCTTTTCTTGAGGGAGTAAGTTAGTCAGTAAACTCAATCCATCTTTATTCCAGCTACTTACCAAGTGACCACATAACCTTTTCAATTTCTTCTTTCCTTCATTGTCTCCTAAACAACCACTATTCATTCTTCAAGATGCTATTAGGAACTATCATATGGAATTGTTAAATATTGAATGAGTTAGCAAATAAATGGTGGGGGGGAGACTCTTAAAAGCTATTTTTGTTCTTTCCAATTTGACCCACTTTCCTTCCTATCTGATCGTTGTTTGTTTTCTTAAAGAATCACAGTCCCTTTGGGCTGCTATTATAAAACACCGCAAACTGGGTGACTTATAAACAACAGATTTTTTTCTCTGAGTTCTGGAGGCTGAAAAGTTTAAGATAAAGGTGCTGACAGACTTTGTGTCTAGTTAGGGCCCACTTCCTCGTAGACAGCTGTCTTGCCATTATAACCTCCGTGGGGAAAAAGGTAGGGCAGCTTTTTGGAGTCTCTTTTATAAGGGCACTAATCCCTGCCCTCATGACCTAATTGTCTGCCAAGGACCCCACCTCCTAATACCATTGCCTTGGGAGTTAAGACTGCAACATATGGATTTTGGGAGTCCATAAACATTCAGCCTATTAGCAAGTAACCCTATGCATTAAAATTCTTACAACATTTTATTTCTTTCTTTACTCTTAGGATTTAGCAAAGGGCCTAGTGCATAGTAGGGACTCGGTGAAAGTTTGTAGAATGAATTAATTCTTCACTGTCCTCATGAGGTATATTGTATCCCTAATAAATAATTTATGGATTATAAACTTGTTATGTTGATCCACTGAACAACATATCTATATACAACTATTCATCTTTCCATTCCCAACATCCCAGCTTTCGATTCAATATAAATACCCACTTATTCATTCTCACCATTTAAGTTGTCATCTGAATTCTCCCATTTCTTCGTGGTTTCTCTCCTTTTCTTGAGTGTTTTTTTTTATCTATACAAAAAGTTACTGCAATTTTATGCTTCCCCTCCATTGATCTCTTTGAATGCCATTCCTTTCTTCATACATTTATTTTTCCCTTTTACTGTCCTCAAACAAGATTGTCTCTCATCAGGAGCTTTTTCTTCTAGCCTCCAAATGAACAGTTTAATATTTTATACATAGTTATTGTATACTTTGTTTAACCTTACAATTATATCTCTCCATAATCTTTCTTCTTCCTCTAGACTGTCTCCATCCTACACTGTATTTTATATTCTTTACTTTGAGGCATCTCTAAGAAGATTCTTTAGACAGGGTCTCCCTCTTAGCTCTGTCACACAGGCTGGAGTGCAGTGGTTGCAATCATAGCTCACTGAAGCCTCAAACTCCTGAGCCCAAGTGATCCTCCTGCCTCAGCTTCCCAAGTAGTTGTGGTTACAGAAGCAAGTCACTGTGTCCAGTTCTAAGATGTTTCTTGTAATCTAAATCATGACAGCTGGCATTTACTCTTTCATGTGTCATGTTCTGTCCTAAATGTTTATATGTAAGTTACTTAATTGTCAATACAACTCTACAAGTTGCATACCATGAGTATTCCCATTTTTATAGTTAACAAATGTGAGATCCAGAGAGTCAACAGACCCATGTTATTCAGCTATTAAGTGATTGAGCTGGGTTGCTCTGCCTCTGTGGCTCACATTTTAACTGGTTTTTGGCACTATTTCTATATTTTCTTACTACCCTGGAACTCATATAGTCAGATGGACAAATGATACCAGCCCGTATAACTGTATTTCTATTTTTCCAAAGCCTTATTATTGTCTCAGGTGCTTGTACCTGTTTTATTCTATATTTTTCTGTGTAGTTTGCAGAAAGGTTTCATTTACCAGAAGAAATGGTCTGCATAATCCTTCTAGAAAGCACTGGTATCCTTTGATTCTCCATTCTAACATTTCCTCATATTATTTACAAGTACAAGCTTTCATTGCCTATGTCTTCACTGTGTTTTGGGTGTGTTCTAATAAAATCTAATCTTTATCTTCTCCCAAATGAATGAAAATTACTTTTTTTAAAACATTTTACTTTTCTAGCTAGAGTTATTTTAAGCCTCTGAAATGTCCATGTTTTATTAAAATGATTAATGCATCATAGTATCTTCTGACCTGTCACCATATCACTGAGAGCTTAATATCTAAAATGATAGACATAATTATTAATATTGAACTGCATTTATGAAAAATCCCAAGCTTCTATTAGTAATGTAGCTGACTTTATCCAGAGACGGAAACCAAATAATGTACAATGCAAATATTTGGAGAATAAACTGTTTTATTACTTGTACAAATTAATTAGAAAAACAACTAAAATACAAAATATCTTACTATAGAAATATATGTTAATAGAATTTCCCTAATACTAAGCAGTAATCTCTCCAGGTAGTTTTAGGATTTCTACACTAAAATTGTTATTACATATTACTGCCAACTGAACAATTCCTTCATTTTGATTGTACTATGTGCAAAACGAATCATAAAAAACTCTAACTGGGAGTCTCAATATCTATTTTAGGTAAGTGTAATTAAGTCCTGTTACAGAGCAATAGCTGAACCAGTTGCTCTCTTGTCCAAGGTCCAAATTTTGGGATCTATATATTTGTTTAAACTCATCTCCATGTGACTTATTATTTTACATATAAGATCTAGGCTGGGTCTGATCCATTCCCCCAAGTATGTTTACAAATAGTTGTCATGAAACTCCCCTGTTTTTTAGATCTTATCACTGGACAGCTATTGGGAAGATTCTAACAGCAAGATAAGCAGGCCTTTTAGGCTTTACGATTATGTTACATTTGGGAGTTTAGAATTATCCATATCAGAGGTGTCTATGTTGAATATCTTGAGCCTCTCCAACCCAGAATGAGCTGTCACTTAGGAACTTTCCATCTTAGTTTTTTGTTTAGGTTCCCAATAAATAGTTTGGAGACAAAGATTTCAGGAAAAAGTAGTTTATTGCAGAAGTGAAAGTAATGAGGAGTTGGAAAATAACACAGGAAGAAAAGGCAGATAAATAAAGAATGAGATATTCAGCCACCTATCTCTGGTGACTGGAACAGATTCTGGTAGTTGGACATCAGACAGGAATGACCAGGTTTGAGAAACACGAATGGAGCACTCAGTATTGACTTGTATTAGTCCCTTCTCACAGTGCTATAAAGAACTTCCCCGAGACTGGATAATTTACAAAGGAAAGAGGTTTAATTGACTTCCAGCTCTGCATGGCTGGGAAAGTCCCAGGAAACTTAACAATCATGGTGGAAGGGCAAGCAGGCGACAGGAGAGAAGAGAATGAAAGAGGAACTTCCAACCACTTATAAAACCATCGGATCTCATGAGAACTCATTCACTGTCATAAGAACAGCATCGGAGAAAGCACCCCCATGATCCAATCACCTCCCTCCCTTGACATGTGGGAATTACAGTTCCCTCCCTTGAGACGTGTGGATTACAATTTGAGATGAGATTTGGGTGGGGACATAGAGCCACACCATATCAATACTCTCACAGACACATATTTAAGATTAAAAGAAATGGAGAGTTAAGTAAGTTAAAGTTAAGAAGAAAAGCTGCAATTTAAATAGCTAGAACAATATAGAGGTGAAAATAAATAGTAATTGGAATTGGAAAAGAAATGGAATAATTATAACATTATGTCCTCATTTTTATATGTCAGTTGTTACTTTCAAAGTAAAATTAATTAATTAAATTATTTTCCACTTTTTAGTAGATCATCAGGGATATATCAAACAAGATATTTCAAAGTTCTCCATCAGATCTGATTCATAGTATTGAATATGGGTGGCTTTACCAAATTTTCAGCAGCATACACGTTATAGGAATAATTCTCCATTGTTTGTTATTCACATTATAAGATGTCAAACAGTATCATTTGTTAATTGAATTTTATCAATAACACTTTCAGTATTCTCTCTAAGCAGAAAAATTTTTCATTCCAGATGTGCCAAATTAGTAATTTCTGTATTTTGCAGTAGCCTGGTGCATATTGGGATATTCCCTGCAGAATAAAAACCAGGTTGCTTAATCTTGCATACCCCGCTGTAAATAGAGGCACAATGCTTGGCAGGTCTTTTTGGGTTTTAGATGTTGTATTAGTCAGGGTTCTCTAAAGAGATACGACTAATAGGATATATGTGTATATGAAGGGGAGTATATTAGGAGAATTGACTCACACGATCGCAAGGGGAAGTCCCACAATAGGCTGTCTGCAAGATGAGGCACCAGAAAGCCAGTCCAAGTCCCAAAACTTCCAAAGTAGGGAAACTGATAATGCAGCCTTCGGTCTGTGTCTGAAGGCCCAACAGCCCCTGGCAAATCACTGGTGCAAGTCCAAGAGTCCAAAAGCTGAAGAACTTGGAGTCTGATGTTAGAGGGCAGGAAGCATTCAGCATGGGAGAAAGTTGGAGGCCAGAAGACTCAGCAAGTGTGCTCTTTCCATGCCTGCTTTTATGCTGGCAGCTGATTAGAGGGTGCCCACCCAGATTGAGGGTGGGTCTGCCTCTCCCAGTCCACTGACTCAAATGTTAATCTCCTTTGGCAACATGCTCACAGACACACCCAGGAATAATAATTCGCATCCTTCAATCCAATCAAGTTGACACTCAATGTTAACCATCAAGGATTTTTTTTTTTTTTTGAAATGGATTCTCACTCTGTCACCCAGGCTGGAGTGCAGTGGTGCGATCTTGGCTCACTGCAACCTCCGCCTCCCGGGTTCAAGTGGTTCTCCTGCCTCAGCCTCCTGAGTAGCTGGGATTACAGGCACCCACCACCACTCCTGGCTAATTGTCTTTATTTTTAGTAGAGACAGGGTTTCACCATCTTGGCCAGGCTGGTCTTGAACTTCTGACCTCGTGATCCACCCGCCTCGGCCTCCCAAAGTGCTGGGATTACAGACATGAGCCACCATGCCCGGCCCAGGGATGTATTTACACAACATTTGGAATACTGATCATTAGTGAGTAACTCATAAATAAAAACTCTGTCCTTTAGCCTCATTATTCAAACAAAGTAATATTGCCTAAAATGCCTGTGTCAGTTAAGGACAATATAAGTACTTAAAGAGAATTACATCATAAGCCCTTAGAGTTTTGAAATCAAGCCATGCTCTCTTAGGCATGTAACTATTATATTTCTGAGAAATGGCTCCTAGCATGCTATTGGGCCTTACTCATGACAGAACATCGGATCAGAGTACAAAATATTCATGCTACCTTAGCTGTCCCTCATGAACTAGGCTCTATCTTTTCCATTAAGCTACGAAATTCACCACCAAGGGCAGCATTCAAGGAGGTGATGGTGGAGGGGTGGGGAGTAGTGGGGCATGTAAGATTGGCCTTAAGCTGATCCTAAGGTAAACCACCTGAGGAGGTGATTGATACTCTTAGCACATGTACTCCCACACCTCTCCACACATCTCCCTTAGCAAATACCAATGGACTCATGTCGGGATCTCTGAGACAGAGTTGACTGAAGAAGGTTTGCAGGTGAGTAGGCAAAATATGCTAGTACCAGCCAGAAATGAACTGCTATATAATGTAGTTATCTCAGGGGTATACTTGGAGAGCACTCCTTTGGCTATGTCTTCAGATGATATATCTGGAGGGGCTAGAAAAAAGAAATGGCAAGAAGTATGAATGTGAACTGATTCGTGAATAGTAGCAAAAATTTGGATGGAATGGTCTAATAATCTGAAGAAACAGGACTTGAACACATTTTAAGTATGGTAGTCTCAGAATTGGCCCAGAGCATAAGAATATGTGTGTCCTATATGAATTATTCATCAAGGGCACAGACTGAAGACAATGCTTTCAATAATCAGATGTTCAATATGACACACTCTAGGGATGTTTGCAATCTGCTCTCCCATTACTTCACTGCTTATTTGCTCAAAAGTTAATGAGAAAAATGGCCACAGAAACCAGGCTGGAAGTTATATGTTTGCTCAACAACCTTGTCTTTCCCTCACTAAAGCTGATCTGGCGCACCCACTGCTGAGTGCCTAGTCTATTATCAGGAGCAAAAACTGACCCTTTCTCATGAGGTTAGGGGAGCATGACAGACAGTCATGTCATTATGGATGGGACAAAAATTTGCCCCCACAGGAATAAATATTTATCCCAAATGTGGATTTCTCTTTTTTGGACAATGTGACAGCCCCAAATGCCTTATTTGCCATCATTTTATCCCTTTTACTTTGCCTTTAACAAAGAATGTTTATGGTGAAAAAGTGAGAAAACAGGCTGATTACTTAGGAAATCATTACAACGTGGTGCAACTGTCAATAAATCTTAGGTGTGACACTGGCTGGGTGACAACAACTTGCAAATTTGAAGAGCTATTCTACAGGATGCTTTATGAGCTCCAAATCAACAACATTATCTGGTTTTTCTTTTTTCCAAAGTCAGAATATAGCAACTTAGAGCACAGTACTATTTCTCTTAGGAACACTCTTGAAAAGATTTTGCTTTCATTTTTCTCTAGTTATGCTTTTGGCTGATTAGAATTCTTGGTTTCCAAGGGACAAATGCTTAACAAGGGCACAAAATAATCCATTGACCTGGATGCTGAGGCTGCCAGCTGGCCTTTGGGGCTCCTCATGTTCCAGTACCAATGAGCAAAGGAGACTGATAAAGTATCTGTGGTGACTGATCTTAGAGTGGGTGTGACTGATGTTTCTACAAAAAAGGGGCAGCATAAACTATGTCTAAAACCAGGAGTTTCTCTGAGAGGGGATACCTCCTAGCACTTCCACATCCAGCTGAAAAGGTTCATTAAAGTTTCAAACCAATCAACACAATAAAAATGACCATGGCTCATCCCCCATTGAGAGAAAAGTACAACACTCAATCAAACAAAGCTGAAGAACATGGAAATTATAAATACCAACTATGACCTCACGAACAACAGTAGAAACAACTAGAGCAACCACCCATGGTTGTTAGTTTATGTTTTTGTTATTTGTATTTTATGTATATTAATCTATTTTTCTTGTTCTTCTTTTTCCTTACTATTATTTCATTAAAATGGGTTGGTAGTGGTTACATTTATAATTTTATCCTTAGTTTTCAGAATATTAGAGTAGGGCTATAATTAAATTTCGATGACTAAAAACACTTAGCTAGAGATGTAGTTACTAATGGGATGACGAATGTATTTGGATATTTAGGAAAGTAGTAGCTTTGTAGATGAGTTTTTCTCAATGCAAAAACATTTAAAAGGAGGCAACTTTAAAAGATGAAGCATGCAATCTTAAATAAAGATATAATTTTCTAACATCTTTACTCACCCACTATCACATCACCAAAATACATAAAGCAAAAACATTAGTAGAAAGTCACAACGGTTGTAGGTGAATTTAAATAAACTGTCAGTTATGATTGATGAGGTAGACCAAAATATGTAAGAGTGCATGTAATATAATAAATCATACAGTTGACCTAATCAATATATCTCAAACACAATACCCTGACAACAGAGAACACTTTTTCTTTATATACTCCCATGAAATTCTTCAAGAATTGATTATTTATTAGGCTACCAAGAAAACCTCAGCAAAATCAAAAAAGTGGAAATCATGTAGATCATATCGATTTGCTTTCCAATATAATCGAAATATTTGCTTTTGTTTCACAATCATGTAACTCCCAGTTTTTCTTTTAGAAATCATTTTGCTGTTAAAGCACTTAATAGAGAACTTGGAGAAAAAGAATGGAAATGCTTATGAGGAAATTGCTTCTGGCTTCTACACTGGAAAGAGTAGAGTCAACTTGCTGCATATTTTCCCCCCAGGGAATAAAAATCTTACATTTCTACTCTTACTTAAAACAAACAGAACCATTTACAAATCTTTCATTTTTCTCTTAATAAGCTTTCAGCTCAATTCAGGCCAGTACTAACAAGCAGAACTTTCCCTTGGGAAAGATATCTGAAAAAAAAAAGTTACTTTATTCTATTTTCCTTCCAAATTACTTTACTCATTATAAACCAGGTCTCAGAATATCCTAGACTAAATCAAACAGCCCTCTGTAATAAAGACGGAGCATCCCAGCTACTAAGGTGAAGCAGATAAAAGAAAGAAGAGTTTACTCAAGTTCCCCAAATTTCAATATATTTGAAAAGTTATTGATGACCCTCAATATTCTAGGTTACCCAAGTGGACAGAAAATATCTCTTTATATATTTGATTTCCCCACAAATTGTTCATACTTTATTTCTCTAAACATACTCTTTTTAAAAAATCTAGTAACGTATCTTGTTTCTATGCAATAATACGTAAATGTTTATCATTCAGTACTTATATGCTTATATTGTTGTTTTGTATAATCTCATGACTCAAAGATAGAGCAATGTAATATACAAAAGAAACCATGTATGAATGTGAACTTCAGTGCAAGCATCAGTGTAATAAGCAGCTCAGGAATAGTACCAAATGCCTTAGGAATTTGATCTTTCTGCAAATATTTATTGAGGACATACTAAGTGTCAGGGACCATTCCAGGTGCCAAGGATAAAGCAATGGACACAACAGTGTAGGGGAAGTAACAGAAAAGCAAAACATGCAAGTATGAAATATGTCAGAGTATATTACTTGTATGTGCTATGAAGAAAATAAAGCAGGGGCTAGGTGCGGTGGTTCACACCTGTAATCCCAGCACTTTGGGAGGACAAGGTGGACAGATCACCTTAGGTCATGAGTTCAAGACAAGTCTGGCCAACATGGTGAAACTCTATCTCTACTAAAAATGCAAAAATTAGCCAGGCATGATGGTGGGCTCCTGTAATCCCAGCTACTCCAGAGGCTGAGGCAGGAGAATCGCTTGAATCCGGAAAGCAGAGGTTGCAGTGAGCTGAGATTGCACCATTGCACTCCAGCCTGGTGACAAGAGCAAAACCTCCTCTCTCTCTCTCAAAAAAAAAAAAGAATGACAAAAGAAAGAAAGAAAAAGAAAGAAGAAAGAAAGAAAGAAAGAAAGAAAGAAAGAAAGAAAGAAAGAAAGAAAGAAAGGGAGGGAGGGAGGGAGAGAGGGAGGGAAAGAAGGAAAGAAGGAAGGAAGGAGAGAGAAAGAAAGAAGGAGAGAGAAAGAAAGAAAGAGAAAGAAAGAAAAGAAAGAGAGAAAGAAAGAAAGAGAAAGAAAGAAAGAAAAAAGAAAGAAAGACCAAAAGAAAGCAGGGTAAGGATGATAGGTAGTGCCAAATTGAGTAGAGATTGCTATCTTACCCATGATAGTATGGGAAGGTCTCTAAGAGGGCAACAGTTGAGCAGAGACTTGAGTAAGCAAGAGTTGATTCACAATGATGCACGGGGTAAGAATATCTTTGGCAAAGAGAACAGCAAGTGTAATATCTCAAGGTGGGTGTGTACTTGACGTTGGAGGACCAGCAAAGAGGCACATGTAGTGGTAAAGCAGCAGTGGGTATGGAAAGTGGTAAGAGATGAGGCCTTGGAGGTAGTGAGGTGCCAGGCCATGTAGGGCTTGTGCCAGTTAATGACATTGGCTTTAACTGTTAGAGAGATGGGGAGACTTTGGAGATCATAAGCAAAGCAGTAATATAATCTGACTTAGATTATAAAAGATTACAGAAAATCTCAAATATGTGGGAGCATAGATACTTCAAATTTGGCTGAATGCTGTCACATTCAGTGGAAAAAAATCTATAAAAGACAGAAAAAACAATATAAATAATGTGTGGCCCGTAGCTGCTGAACAGAACTGATAAAAAATATTGAAAAATGTGCAGTAACCAAAGTCCTGATTCTAGGGCTGGAAATCAGAACTACAGAAGTGGAGTTTGTGGTGATGCCCTATTATAGGATGTTCTGGCATGAGTTCCCAAGCGGGACCAATCAGGGGGTTTTACTTCCTAAATCTTCCAATAAAGACATATTCGATCAATCAGCTACATACACGAGCAGATGGAGGACTAATTTAAAAAATAAACTTGGATAGGACATGGAGCCTAATATAGGTGAAATTATTGTGTGTGGTTGATGAAACCCAGGAAAATAAAGGGGCCTTATCTTATTAAAGCTGTCACCTTAGGTCAGGCTGGGGACATCTCTCTGTAACTTTCTCCAGCATCCCCACACTGTATACAACTTGGGAAATAATTTTGTTCTATATTTGCATTCCCACATTTCTACATATATTTTTCTGGTTTTCTATATATTTTGCAATAATGCATTACAGTTATTTACCGATATGTCTCTCTTCCTCACTAACTTGTGAGCAGTTAGATACTAGGTATCATGTCTTTTTCATCTTTGCATCTCACAGTCACTAGGACAGCATTTGGCATGTAGGATTTACCAAGTAAATAGTAATTTAAATATATCTCTGGAAACAAGGAAGCATGTATAACTTTTTCTTGCTCTATCTAATTTTTAAAAAATCATCCTCTTAGTTTCCCACTCCTAATTGGAGAAGAATCTCTCTGTTGGCTTTTCATTTTTGTCATTATGGAGGATTTATAGGTTTGATTTTCCCAACATTTTGAATGTGAGAACTAAGATTTCACAATGAAAGTTAAGCTTTCAATTAACAAAGAAGAAAGAGAAAGGCATCTTGGTCTGCATAAATTTAAAGTCACTTGATTAAAAATGTATATATATATATATGTGTGTATACATATATAATGATATTGAAAAGATAGAACTACAAAATAAATCTATAGCACATCCAATTAATAGTTATATTGTAAGTTTTATTTAGCACTTACTCCATGACAGAACTGTTCTAAGTTCTTTATAGGCTTTTTATTAAACTTCTTCACAATATTATTTTCAATTATATGTGTCAATTAATTTGGATGTAGAGAAGAAATAGATAATTTTCTACCAAAATGGACATAATAATTTCTATTTTCTGGATTGAAAAGGATGGTATGAGAATTTGGAAAGCTAGTCAGACATGTAACTGCCAGCTTTTAACTAGACCCAGAAAAGTGAGTTTTACTCAATTTCTAGTGAACGGATAATAATTCCTAATTCAAACTGTTCTGATAAAGAAAACAATTGAAAGGTTTTCAAATTATTTTACGAAGCAAACAAAAATCAGGCAAGGACATCACACAAACTGAAAACTACTCTTAATTTCATGTATGGAAACATCTGTAGATACCCTAAATTCATGCAAGAGATATCCACAGAATATGAGGAGCAAATGTGTTTAACTGTAGAAATTTAAAGATGGCTCATTATTAGGAAATTTGTTACTATAATTGGCTATATTATCAATGTAAAAATATTGATTATATGGGAAGATTAATAAAAACTGATGAAATACAGTAAGTTTTAACTTAGCAAGTTAAAAGTAGAAGGTAACTGCCTTTATAAATGGTGCTCTGCCAGATATCTACAACAAACACTCTAACTAGACATAAAGCATTTGAAATATTTCCATCAAAGCTAGGTATAAGCAATGAACACGGCTATTGTACCACATCATATTGCCTTGTAGCCACTGCAGCAAGACAAGAGAAAATGATGAGGTAAAAATATTGGTATAAAAATATTTCACTGCTGAAAGTTTTTAAAGTTATTATCTAATCCACATGTCACCAAAGTAAAATATGGAAGCGTGAATATTAATATCCACCTTATACTGTTTTAAAATATACTTGAAGAATTTTTTCCTGTAAAGCTTTTAGCAGAGTCTTACATAAAATAAGTACTCAATTACCTATCATCAACATTATCATCATTATCATCACCATTTACTCCCTGAGCCTGCGAAGTTAAAGGCACAACCAAATCCATGACAATTTGAATACATTTAAAAGGTTTGATCTGCAACTCCTAGTTAAAGGAGGAGATTGAACATATTCCTTATTAAAAGCATAAACTCACAAAGACACGGAGGATGAAAGAAGAGAGAAATAATAAAAATTACTTAAACAATTACTTAAAGATTAAAGTAGGTAAAAAAGTTAAAATTACTTAAATAAGAAACATTTAAGCAAAATAGAAAATTCTCCCAAAATTTGGAGTTATTGGCTCTAAGAACCTCTAGAAGAGATGAGAGGTGTAGAACTGAGTTAAGGAGACTTAGCAGTCTTTTTTAAAGAAGATTTATAGATCCCCTCCCCTTCCCCTCCACCCCTCCATACTCCCCACAAGATGCTGGATAGTTTTTATTTGGGGGGGTAATTTACTTGGGAGATATCACCAGACACCACCACCAGATTCATGGTAAAACCTTAATGTCCAGGGTAAAAAAGAATATAATTTTAACAATTTTTTCCATATGTAAAAAAGGAGTACTACTGTGGAATGCATTTATGTAATTTTTAAGTTAAATTATTGTCTAAGTATTTAAAAGCATTGACAGATGTGGGTATCTATGAATGCAGAAGAAATGGTGAATCTGAAACCACAAATAATATTTTCTTAATTTAATTCTCCCCAGAAATACTACTCATCAGCATGTTGAAGGTTTAGCTGATAATTTCCAGAACAAATTGCATGGGAAAGTTGAATCATTTGTGGGTTTTTTGTATGGTGAGTATTAGAATCCAGATATAGACATCTAGATAATAGCATTTATTGGGAGAGAATTTTTGCATGATTAAAAAATTTATACATGATGCCTATGACAATTGCAGTATTAGGAACTGATTAAATCTTTTTATTTGGGGAGTGTCTAAAATCTCAGTTTCTACTTTTATTATGACTGCTTCTTTTTTAACTTTTAATTTAAGTTCAGGGGTACATGTGCAGGGTTTGAAAAATAGGTAAACTTGTATCGTGGGGGTTTGCTGTACAGATTATTTATACCAGCCATGTATTAAGCCTAGTCCCCACGAGTTACTTTCCTGATCTTCTCCCTCCTCCCACCTTCCACCCTCCAACAGACCCCAGCATGTGTTGTTCCTCTCTATATGTCCATGTGTTCTCATCATTTAGCTCCCACTTATAAGGAAGAAGATGCAATATTTGGGTTTCTGTTCCTGTGTTAGTTTGCTGAGGATAATGGTCTCCAGCTCCATCCATGTCCCTGCAAAGGACATGATCTCATTCCTTCTTATGGCTGCATAGTATTCCATGATGTGCATGTACCACATTTTCTTTATCTAGTCTATCATTGATGGGCATTTAAGTTGATTCCATGTCTTTGCTATTGTGAATACTGCTTCAATAAACATACATGTGCATGTATTTTTATAATAGAATGACTTATAGTCCTTGATTTAACCTTTGTTTTGGAAAGAATCATAAATTTTAATGAAAAACTGGTCAAAATTGGTAAGAGTATCTACAAATATTGTAGCCAACGAATGGTCCTTCTAACACTGTATCTGTTACAGAACTTTTATGTAAATGGACAACATTTTACAATGTTGAATGAACATAGATTAATTAAATCATTCTACAGGATGGAATTGTTCAAAAGCTCAAAGTGAAACCCTTCACATATCATACAAGATTCTCTCAGCTGCAAGGAATAGAAAATTTCCATTTCAATTGGCTTAAAAATAGGAAAAATATTAATGTTACATGCAGAAAGTCCAGAGAAAGAGGTTTCAAAGTTGGTGGCTTTAGTATCTCAATGTCTCATTAAATATCATAGGAATCCTCAATGCCAGTTTCATACTCAGGCTTTAGCAAGATGCCTGATGGATGTAGTGCTGAACACAATTTTTAAAACACTTTAATATCCAGAGGAAGATGAGAGACCTTTCCTGGAACCAATCACTGGAAAGGGGAAATACATTTAAACCAGTGTAGCCTGCCCTGAAAGCTTGAAGTTGGGTCATCTTCCTCTGAGATACATGGAGAGGAGATTTTCTAGAAAAAAAAAAAAAAATCAAAGTTCTATCAAGACAGAAAAAAGGAAATAAATGCTGGGTAAGAACAGACATTGTTGTCTTAGATGTGTTTTCTTGGCTTGAACTGGAGACAGTTTAGTCTTGATTGATGAACTGCAAGCACAATATGTGGTTGGCACTACTAAAATGAGGTTAGGTGGTTTGGTATGAAGTGGTGCTGAATCCTTTTATGGAAATTTTTAAAGAGTGAAAATCAGCTAACTGATGAAGACTGGATCAAAAACATTTGGATGAACATTATTATAGCCTTGAATATTATAGCCATTGAATTCCTTTGAATATTTCTTGGCAAGGACTTCAAAAGAATTTACACCAACATATGCTTTGATTTGCACATTCCTAGTGAGACTGTGACTCAGAAATTTATTTGGCAGAGCACACACTGGTCTTTCTGGAGTTGAAGTTCATTTTCAAAATGAAAGCAATGGTCTCAGCCAAGTTCTACAATTTTGAGATTAAGATCCAATTTTCAAAACAAGGATTTCTTTGATTTTAAATTTCATGAAAATAAATTACCATTTCCCAGTTCATTTTCTCTTAAAAATTTGACAGCGTGAATGAAAAACTGCAAGTGGATGCTGTTAAATTATAAGACTACCTAATACTGCAACTAAATGGGGCAATATTAGAAATCAGAATTCTACAAATATCTTAGCTGCTTCCCTAAACATACAAACCAGTCAGCAAGATTTTATCCGTGTTCATGAGTACCTGTATTTGTGTACTACTGTATTCAACTAAGAAACTGCTTAAAAACAAACATTGCTCTAAGTTAAAGGATCAAAACTAAAATAATTTCTGATTTTCATATTTTGGTGCAATAGAAATATGTTAGATTTCAGATTGCAAATCAAAGTAGTAACATGTCGGTAAGGAAAAATTAAAGAATATTTAAGAATTAAATATTTATATATTTAAAATTACAATGTCTAATGTTACTTATGCTTTCTTTTGCTAAATGTTTACACTGAGATTATATTTATGGTAGCTGGAATTTTTTTCCATATGCTCTGATTTTTGCAATTGAATTATCTGCCTGTAGATATTTTCCTTGTGTCTCTGTTTTAGATCTAAATGAGTTATTTTGTCTTAAAACCAGCCAAAAACTGTATGTAGGACTGTCAAATGATTCTGCCTTGATCTTTTGAGGATTGGCTTTTTAATCCCAGGACTGTGTTGAGGCTACTTCTTTAGTGATTTACAGTTATATTTTGTGATGGAACTACTTTCATTTAGTTCTATTTATTACCGGATTTGATAGTTAATTTTGTCAGTTGTCTGAGCCACAAGATGTGCAGATACTCAGTTAGATGTTATTCTAGGTGTGTTTCTGAGGGTGTTTCTGGATGAAATTAACATTTAAATTGGTAGACTGAGTAAAGCAGGTTGCCCTCCCTTATGTGAATGAGCTCCATCCAATCCATTCAATCCCTTGAAGACCCGAACAGAAAAAAAAAAAAAAAAAAACAAAAAAACCTGAGTAAGAAGGAATTTTCTCCGGCCTGAGTGTCTTGAGCTGGAACGTCAGTTTTTTCCTGCCTTTGGACTCAAACAGAAACATCTGCTCTTCCTGGTTCTCAGGTCTATCAGCTTTTGAACTGGAACCTACCATTGGCCCTCCGCAGTGTCTAGCTTGCTGACTGTAGATCTTGTGATTTGTCAGCCTTCATAATCATATCAGCTAATTCCTCCTAATAAATCTCTTTCTATACATCCCCCCAACACATACACACACATCCTATTGTTTGTGTTTCTGTGGAAAACCTTGATGAATACATACACTGGAAACCAGATTTATTATCCCCTTGCTTTCAGCAAAAATTACATTAGGTAGATGATTGCTTTCATGCTTATTCTCTTGACTTCAACTGGGCCCAACATTTCTGAATAGTCTATTAAAGCATTACTTCTCAAATTTGGGGATCATTGTTAAAATGCAGTTCTGGTATAGTAAATCTGCATTTCTAGCAAGCTGTCAGCTGATACCAATGCTGCTCAATAGTAAGGTGTCTGAGAATTGTGTTTTCACAAACAATTCACTTACCCCTAAACTTTGACAATATATTGAAGATCATTTTCTGGAGCCTTTGTCTACAGAATTGCCTCTTGACATCTCAACACAAAAGTTACCTTAAATGAGACTGTATCTTTCAGAACCATCTATTGCCATCTAATGATAGTTTAGAAGGCAGTGAAGACTTATTAGGAAGGCATACCATACTCATGGAATAACTGTATCATACTTTCAAAGAAAATTATCAAAACTGATTTCTAGCAGTTTCCACAGATATTTATGACTTCTCCAATTCAATTAAGTTAAATATTTTAACATTTTCATTTGCTCCCCTCACTTTATATTCATTTACCACATGTGGCATAATGAAATAAACATAGGCTTTGGAGTGAGACACAACTTCTTTCAAAGTTGTGATTTCAAAGATTTCAAAGTAATCTAAATTCTTTGGACTTCAATTTAATTATCTATCAACTGAAATACACTCCTCATTACCAAGTGAGTCTTCTTTTTATTTGAAGCTCCTATTAAAAGTATAAATCTACAAAGCAGAGGCAAGAGGTTGTAGAAAACTTTAGTTGTTTTTATTTCATCATGGAATTACCAAATCCATGGAAATAAGGAAATGTCTTAGACCCAACCTGACTTAGAGAAGATGTCCTAACAAGTACTCTTTTACTACAGTATAATTCCTTAATTCTTCTTTCACTCATTACTTCACCCTCTCAAACAACATTATAACCACCTAAATCTACATGAGGGGAACATATGGGAGGAAGAAGAAATGGTTCCTTCTGAAACCTTTCCAGAAGATTGTTGCTATTTATGTTTTTTTCTGGGGACTTCTGTTGTATCTGATTCCTGTTGGAATCACAACACTTTATAATTTTCAGCATCTGCTCACAATGTTTGAAAAATTATGGCTTGTTAGATATCCTGATGCCTTAAGTCATATCTCAGAAATCTATTTCAGTACTATTCCTCACTATAATTAATATTGTTTAAAACAATAGAGATGTCTTTGAAATTTAAAAATATAAGAAATATTTTTAAAGAAGAATAAATTAAGGAAACAGATATTTATACAAAGACACAGTGTGTTTTTCTGTCTAGCTAACAAATTCTAACTGTATGTATAATTTTTGTTTTATACATATATAATCTTTGCTATAAAAATGTACAATTGCTTGTAGATCTGTGGTATTATTTCTGAGGGCTCTGTTCTGTTCCATTGGTCTATATCTCCGTTTTGATACCAGTACCATGCTGTTTTGGTTACTGTAGCCTTCTAGTATAGTTTGAAGTCAGGTAGCGTGATGCCTCCAGCTTTTTTCTTTTGGCTTAGGATTGACTTGGCGATGCGGGCTCTTTTTTTGTTCCATATGAACTTTAAAGTAGTTTTTTCCAATTCTGTGAAGAAAGTCATTGGTAGCTTGATGGGTATGGCATTGAATCTATAAATTACCTTGGGCAGTATGGCCATTTTCACGATATTGATTCTTCCTATCCATGAGCATGGAATGTTCTTCCATTTGTTTGTGTCCTCTTTTATTTCGTTGAGCAGTGGTTTGCAGTTCTCCTTGAAGAGGTCCTTCACATCCCTTGTAAGTTGGATTCCTAGGTATTTTATTCTTATTGAAGCAATTGTGAATGATCTTTGACAAACCTGACAAAAACAAGAAATGGGGAAAGAATTCCCTATTTAATAAATGGTGCTGGGAAAACTGGCTAGCCATATGTAGAAAGCTGAAACTGGATCCCTTCTTTACACTTTATACAAAAATTAATTCAAGATGGATTAAAGACTTACATGTTAGACCTAAAACCATAAAAACCCTAGAAGAAAACCTAGGCAATACCATTCAGGACATAGGTATGGCCAAGGACTTCATGTCTAAAACACAAAAAGCAATGGCAACAAAAGACAAAATTGACAAACGGGATCTAATTAAACTAAAGAGCTTCTGCACAGCAAAAGAAACTGTCATCACAGTCAACAGGCAACCTACAGAACAGGAGAAAATTTTTGCAATCTACTCATCTGACAAAGGGCTAATATCCAGAATCTACAATGAACTCAAACAAATTTACAAGAAAAAAGCAAACAAACCCATCAACAAGTGGGCGAAGGATATGAACAGACACTTCCAAAAGAAGACATTTATGCAGCCAACAGACACATGAAAAAATGCTCATCATCACTGGCCATCAGAGAAAGGCAAATCAAAACCACAATGAGATACCATCTCACACCAGTGAGAATGGTGATCATTAAAAAGTCAGGAAACAACAGGTGCTGGAGAGGATGTGGAGAAACAGGAACACTTTTACACTGCTGAAGGAACTGTAAACTAGTTCAACCATTGTGGAAGACAGTGTGGCGATTCTTCAAGGATCTAGAACCAGAAATACCATTTGACCCAGACATCCCATTACTGGGTATATACCCAAAGGATTATAAATCATGCTGCTGTAATGGCACATGCACACATATGTTTATTGCAGCACTATTCACAATAGCAAAGACTTGGAACCAACCCATATGTCCATCAATGATAGACTGGATTAAGAAAATGAGGCACATATACACCATGGAATACTATGCAGCCATAAAAAAGGATGAGTTCATGTCCTTTGTAGGGACATGGATGAAGCTGGAAACCATCATTCTCAGCAAACTATTGCAGGGACAGAAAACCAAACACCGCATGTTCTCACTCATAGGTGGGAATTGGACAATGAGAACACTTGGACATAGGAAGGGGAACATCACACACCGGGGTTTGTCGTGGGGTGGGGGGAGTGGGGAGGGATAGCATTAGGGGATATACCTAATGTAAATGATGAGTTAATGGGTGCAGCACACCAACATGGCACATGTATACATATGTAACAAACCTGCACGTTGTGCACATGTACCCTAGAACTTGAAGTATAATAAAAAAAAATAAGAAAATGTACAATTGCTTCTGTCTGAGTATTCTAGAAAGTAGAGCTGGAGATAAAGATAACATTGGCAATAACTGGGGGGTTGAGGTGGGGCAAATACAAAGCCTAAGGTATTAAGAGCAAGGGAAAATGGGAATGAGGTAAAAGATATAATGTGATACTGATGGCAGGTCACAAGCCAGATTTGTTTACTTGGTCTATAGGGCTTCTATGGAAGAAATACAAAAGGAATTATACTTAGAGTAATCTATAGAAAGTATTATTTAAAGGCAATTTGTCTCTTTAATTCCTTCCTCTTTCCCAATTCCCATTGGTCAAGATTTACCACAAGAGAGGCTAAGTGTTCTCTGGATTGCATCATTCGGCCCTCTATCAACCATTCAAGAGACAAAGACCCATACCCTGCTGTGTGATGTTTAATATAAGTCTGAAAACAGCAGGGTCCAGGTGGAACACTGATGAAACAGAGAAAAAAGGAAACTTTCTTTTCTCCTGCAGCAGGAGGCTGCAGGAAACCTACTACGAACTTTACATTCGAATATCCAGGTACTATAGATTCGGTTTTGCATAGCAATGTGTATAGCAGTCTAGTAACTTATCCAGGGTTTTACTTAAAATCAGGTTTTTAAATAATAAATCTTAATGCCATTTGCTTACCAGTCTTAATATTTTCATTACAACAAATGCATTGATAAAGTATCTACATGATTTCAAGGGGTAATTTTACTTAAAATGTGTTCTGCAGAGAAGTATGGAAATCTACTTTTGGTTTGCAATGTATGGCAAATAAAAGTAGTTTTAAAATCCTTTACATAAGAATGATGAAAGTCCTTTCAAGTATGGAGTTTATTATCTGGCAGGTAGATATTTGTGGAGGTTTATACATCAGCATAGGTAATGTGGTAATGTAGAACACAAAAGCTAACCTTGAGGTTTTGTTTCTGGGGTTTGTTTATTTGTTTGTTTGTTTTTTAAGAAAATGATCAAACAGAATGGCAGATAGGACCACATTAACGAAGCTTTCAACCTATCTAAAGTCTATGTCATTTTAATATTTATAAAACATCTGGCTGAATATATTTTGGATACTATTCGGATTCTTGATGAACTAGCCTCAGAATTTAATAGGCATGTGTGTTTGTGTTTTCAAAAAAAAGGTTTAGATTGAAGGACTGGATTGTCACTGTATTTCAGATAGTGATCACAGTCCACAAGACAGCTCTGAAAAATAAAATAAATGATGTAATGCAGTGAGACAGACAATCAGTATCTATTATGTGATTAAGGAATGAAACTGTTTTCAAGAACAAATCAGAACTTTTTGAAAAATGTATTAGAGATACAAACTTTTATGAAATAAAATATATAGAATTAGAACCGCTGATAGTACTGTCACATACCAGCTGGGAGAATATTTCTGCCAACTTTGGAATATGCTCAAAAATAAATAGCTCTAACTTTAGAAAAAGAAATTTCAGGCCGGGCATGGTGGCTCATGCCTGTAATCCCAGCACTTTGGGAGGCCGAAGCGGATGGATCACGAGGTCACGAGATCGAGACCAGCCTGACCAACATGGTGAAACCCCATCTCTACTAAAAATACAAAAAATTAGCTGGGCGTGGTGGCACGCGCCTGTATTCCCACCTACTCGGGAGGCTGAGGCAGGAGAATTGCTTGAACCTGGGAAGTGGAGGTTGTAGTGGGCCGAGATCGCGCCACTCACTCCAGCCTGGTGACGGAGAGAGACTCCGTCTCAAAAAAAAAAGAAAAAAAAAGAAAAAGAAATTTCAAACATTTGAATTTAGTGTTCATCCTGGGTAGAGCAAATATATGAGCTTTATTCTACCAAGGAGTTTAGAAAATTAATCACATGATCTGCTTCTAACAGAATGGCAGATTTGGTTGAGGAAACTCACAACAGAATGTACTTTTAAGGAAGAGGAAAACTCTGAAATGTAAAGGAACTGGTGAGAAATAAAATAGAAAATGTATGTGAACCTAAATAAACATCATATAAATGCAGACAAAAGAACTAAAATTCAAAACAACAATGGCATGTATGCTAGGTGGGGCATGATTAGAGTTAACAGAGAAAGAAGAAGGATTGTCTTAAGAGTCATGTATTATTCTGAAAAAAGGTTAATAAATTGTTCAATATTATAATTTTTTCATAAAGTTAAAGGATAAAGATAAAAGAAGTATACGATGTACATTTCTAAAACAGTAAAGAGAAAAGTAAAAACAGTAATATGAATAATAGGACAAATAGGAAAAAAAATAACATAAGTGATAAGGTTTGGCTGTGTCTCCACCCAAATCTCATCTTGAATTGTACTCCCATAATTCCCATGTGTTGTGGGAGGGATCTTGACATATTTGACTCCATGTTTAACAATGCTGTGAACTTAGAAGAATTGTTAAAGGAAGCCTAGCAAGTAGGTCAAATGTGTGTGTAGGTGAAAGTGTGATAGTGACCTCAGGTATTAAGACAGCAGCTTGAAAATTGCAAGAACCTAAAGATGAAGTAGGTAAATGGATCATGAGAAGGGACTTTTAAAAGAATGAGGAAGAGCCTTTTTGGTTTGTACTTTTCCCACTAAAACATCAGGAAGAGAAGGTACAAAATGATGACTACGGTTAATGACAATGTATTGTATTCTTGAAAAATGCTAGGAGAGTGGATGTTAATTGTTCTCACCACAAAACTGATAACTAAATGAGGTAATGCACGATATTAGCTAGATTTAATTATTCCACAATGTACATATACTCCAAAACATCACGTTATACATGATAAATACATATAATTTTATCTGTTGATTTAAAAATTACATTAAAAAGAAGTTAGAGAAGTAAAGAAAGATGGGCCTACTTAACACCATTTGTCAGGATGGATCCAAAGTGAAGGAGGAGAAACCAGTTGCTCCCACTGTCAAAGAAGCTGTTATGCATAGGAACCAAAAGGAATTAAATGTGACTTCCTGTGTCAAAGAAAACATTTATGATCATGGGGCAATCAGTGCAGAACTCACATTGACAAGACCTGTATGATCAGGCAGCTTTTCATATGAAAAATATGCCATAAAAATCAACGACTGTCCCTAGATACTAAGAGCTTCTTTCTTAATTTAAAATTTAGAATTTAGTTATTTTACTTGTCCAGCAAGTGTTCTATAGCAGCTTTTATTTTGACTTCGTAGCATGCATAACTGAGTAATTTTGGCAAATACTATTTAATTTAAAGACATAGAAAATGATACATTTTTCTAAAAGCTAGCAATACTACTGTCTTCATTGTGTACTTGGGAGGCAGCTGTTCCTGCCAGTTATAGTCTTGTCTCAGGAAACAGTGATTGATACATTGGAAAATAGCTTTGACAACAGCCTAGAGTAAAGCATGTGAAATTGAATTGCCTCTGTAATTTTCCTTTGTTGTTCATTTATTATGTGTTTTCCAGGAGATGGTAGGGTAGAAAAACGACTATTAGCCAATGATTAATAAAAATTAAAATTTAGTCTATTTTAAAGCGTCAGAATTAAAGTATCCTCAGGGTTTAAGTTAATGTAAAAATGACCAAACATATTGAGCCTTAATACAAAAATAAAATAAGCAATGTAAATATTTATTTTTATTTTTGAGACAGTGTCTCGCTTTGTCACCCAGGCTAGAGTGCAGTGGTGCAATCTCTGCTCACTGCAACCTCTGCCTCCCAGGTTCAAGCGATTCTCATGCTTCAGCCTCCTGAGTAGCTGGAATTACAGGTGCACACCACCACATTCAGCTATTTTTGTATTTTTAGTAGAAATGGGGTTTCACCATGTTAGCCAAGCTGGTCTCGAACTCCTGACCTCATGTGATCCACCTGCCTCGGCCTCCCACAATGCTGAGATTACAGGCAAGTGTCACTGCGTCCGGAAAACAATAAAAATATTTGTATTTCTCTCAAACCACATATATCTGAAGCACAAGTATATTTGTAAAAATATGTTTCTAGTTCACAAGAAAACAAACTTAAGTATCAAATTTAGTATATTTTGACTTGATGTGCAATGTTATAAATGAAAAGAAAAAAATCATGTAAAAATACTCATGAGTTTTAGGAAGGCTTTTCTCATTTTAGTTAAATGTTATTAGCTTGAAAATACTAGAAAAGTAAAAGCTTTCTTTATTTTTTAGCCAGTCATTCATTTTAATCAAGGCAAACATATAAAACATCATAAGTGAAACCTCATAATGAGAAGGAACATCAGAAGTCATCAGAGCAGCTACTCTCTTTTGGGGAGGCAACTGTATTAGTTTCCTAGAGGTGCCATAACAAATTATCACAAACTAGGTGGCTTAACACAACAGAAAATTACTCTTTCACAATCCTGGAGGCTAGAAGTACAAAATCAAGTTGTCAGTGGGGCCACACACCCTCTGAAGCCTCCAGAGAAGAATTCTTCCTTGTCTCTTCCTAGCTTCTGTGGTTGCCAACAACCCTTGGCATTCCTTGGCTTATGACTACATCACTCTTAATTGCTGCCTCTGTCTTCACATGCTCTTCTTTGTGTGTGTCTCTGTGTCTTTTCGTGGCATACTTATAAGGACACCAGACATTGGATTTAGGATCCTACTTCAATATGACCTCATCTTAATTACAAGGTCAAAGACCCTATTTCCAAAATAGGGCCATCCTCTGAGGTTCTGTGTGGACATGAACTTTTGGAGGATATTATTTAACCCAGTACAGAAACTTGAGCTGTTGTAGTTTATTTATTCACTTAAAACTCTATATGTATCTCTTAGTTATGGCAAGTGCCATACTGAGCACAATAATATGTAAAATCCTATATGACTCTGCCATCATGAAGATTGTAGTCATTCAGAATTTTTTTCTGAAATGCAGTTACAAGGTGGTATGATAGAAAAAGCACTGGTTGGCTAGGCACGGTGGCTCACACATGTAATCCCAGCACTTTGGGAGGCCGAGGCGGGTAGATCACGAGGTCAGGAGTTCAAGGCCAGCCTCACCAACATGGTGAAACCCCGTCTCTACTAAAAATACAAAAATTAGACGGGCATGGTGGTGGGCGCCTGTAATCTCAGCTACTCAGGAGGCTGAGGCAGGAGAATTGCTTAAACTGGGGAGGCAGAGGTTGCAGTGAGCCGAGATCGCGCCATTGCACTCCAGCCTGGGCGACAGAGGGAGACTCTATCTCAAAAAAAAAAATAAATCAAACAATAAAAAAAGAAAAGAAAAAAAAAAGAAAAAGCACTGGTTTGGCAGTTGGAATGCCTAATTTATAGATCAGACCCAATACTGATGAGTTCTGGGATATGAGGTAGGCCAAATAACTGCTTTGTAATTTATAAGATGTTATGGATGAAAAATGTGGCCCCAAACTACAGCCATTTCTAACCTATATGCATTTGTACCCAGATTTTGCTGTTTGCCCTTTTAGAGTCCATGGTACCCAGGTATCTTTTGGAGTCCTCAAAGCAATATATCAATTTTGCTCCATGCCCACTTTCTATGAAACTGCCTGTTCAGTCCTATCTTTCCTCTCATCACTCCTTGGAGTCAGCATTACTCAGATGATGGGCTACCACTCTTTACAGACAGCCATTGCCCCCCTGCTGTGTCCCATCTCACCTGTGGCTCCATGGGCATGGTATACTTTACTGCTGACCTCTCAAAGCAATGTGGTAGCCTGTACCGGAGTTGAGAATAGCTTTCTCTCCTTCGAGACATATTCTATTAAAGAGATCTGAAAGCCACATCTCTTTTTCCCACATTGTGTTTTATAGAAAAGGCTTTTGTTTTTACTCACTAACTATTTATGCCCCCTAGGTACAAGACAAGTGTCCAGGGAACTGAGGTTGGCAGATTCATTTAATAAATATCATTCTTTATTTGGACTGCCAGTTCCTGAGTAATCTGCTGTGGTGGTTTTTATCATGGCAAATCAGCCAAGCTAAAACTACTTTTCCCAGAATTCCCTTCCACCCATGGTTCTGGATGTGGGTTGGCCACAGGGAAAGTTGTGAGAGTTATAGAGAGGAGAGAATCAGCAGACATTAGCTCCTAAGGTCGTTGTAAGGTACCAGGTGCCACCATAATTAGCACCCGTTGCCACTGATCTGCTGGCTTATCTCATTGGGATGGGGTGGCAATTTAGCCTCACTAGCTTCACTCTAGTCCCTTGCATGACTTGGCCTCACTAGTTTTATTCTAATCCATGTCAGATATTGTTTTGTTTAAAATTTTAATATTTTACTCACCATAAATTTTTGGATAAATTTTGACTTGATGTATTACATTAAATATTATTTATCTTGATTACTAAGTTATTTGGCACTCCATAAATTTTTGCATCAGCGACTATTGTCTAAAGGACTAGTGTTTCACTCATTTCTCAGCCTTGTATCCAGCTCCTGCTGGATCTCTTCTGGCTTCTCTAAATTCTGGAACAGATGTGCAGCACTGGGACAAAGAGGACCAGTTTCTTCAGAAGGTCTCCCACATGATTGAGGTTGGAGGTGATGAGAGACAGATGTGGGTTAAATATTAACCTTGCAATTCCTGTTTGATATGATGGGTTTCATGTTCTAGTCTGTCCTCGCTTCCCTACTTCTCACTGTGCCTTTCGTTCCAATTGGGCCCTGCGGGCTTAACAGTGCCTTCAGGCCTACAATCAGAAGCAGAAGCAACAGCTTTTCCTAGGCTTCTTTGCCAGATCCCACCATTGTGTCAAGTCTGATCCCTAGTGTAAACTCCACATTCCATGTCTTCATAGAGGTTCCACTTCCCAGCTTGAGACTTAGTTAATGCATCCTCTGAGTGCCTGGTCCCTCTTTCTTCAGATTTTTTTTTCCCTTGGAGGTTCTTTAGTAGTCCCCGAAGATAGAAGTTTTTTTGGTCCCACCCTGCAAACTTGCCAGAATGTACAGAAGTGTTTGAACTTCAGCAGCAAGTAACGCTTGACTTCTTTGCCAGCAGAATTCTGTTTCATTTTACATAAGGATCTGGCAGATTATCTCTGGCTGTTCACCAGATGTGACCAGACATATCTGGTTTTCCCTTTCTCTAACTGTACCTCAGACTACCTAATATTTTATGACCCCTAGAAATATGTTTCCAATTAATATAAAACCTAGGATACGGCCTCCAAAGCTACTCCAGTTAGTATAAAACCTAGGATATGGGCTCCAAAGCTACAGGCATTCTTTTCTCTGGGTGAAAGATCTCTGGTATTCCTCAAAAGTACGTGATTTTCTAGACGTACCATCTGTATCAGTTTCCTGGGGCTGCTATAACAAGGTGCTGCAAACTAGGTGGCTTAAAACAACAGAAATTTATTGTCTCATAATTCTAGGGGCTACAGGTCCGAAGTCAAGGTGTTGGCAGGGTCATCTTCCCTCTGAAATTTGTAGAAAAATCATTCTTTGCCTTTTCCTAGCTTCTTGTGGTTTTCTGGCAATCTTAGGCATTCCTTGGTTTGCAGCTGCATAATTCCAATCTCAGCCTTCACCCTCACATGACATTTTTCCTCTGTGTGTGTGTGTGTGTGTGTGTGTGCATGTGTGTCTGTACATGTGTATGTGTGTCTATGTCTATATGAACATCTTATAAGATCACCAGTCATATTGGATTATTGGATTAGGTGCCCACCCTACTCTCCAATTTGACCTCATTTATGTTAACTAATTACATCTCCCATAATCCTGTTTCAAAATCAGGTCATATTCTGAGACATTAGGGGTCAGAACTTTATCATAACCATTTTATTGGAGGGGCACACTTCAACCATAACACCGCCATTGTTAGCCTCCTTACTAATGTCTTTACCTTACCAATGTCTTATAAATGTGGTGGTAAGTATTAAACAAAATAATCTAAATCAGATTTGATTACAACAGAATATAGTGAGATTACTACTTTCTTCTGCTACTCACTTCCTTACTTCGCTTATCCAACAAATGTTTATTGAGTTTCTATTCTATGATTAACATTCTGCTTGTACTAGGAATACACTAAAGTGGAAAAGAGACAAGGTCACTATCTTTATGGAGCTTACATTCTAATAAGGAGATGGAAACAATAAGCACATACTTTTGTTAGAATTTCGATTAGACTGGATTAAGAAAATGTGGCACACCATGGAATACTATGCAGCCATAAAAAAGGATGAGTTCATGTCCTTTGTAGGGACATGGATGAAGCTGGAAACCGTCATTCTCAGCAAACTACTGCAAGGACAAAAAAACCAAACTCTGCATGTTCTCACTCATAGGTGGGAATTGAACAATGAGAACACATGGACACAGGAAGGGGAACATCACACACCAGGCCGTGTTGTGGGGTGGGGGGAGCGGGGAGGGATAGCATTAGGAGATATACCTAATGTAAATGACGAGTTAATGGGTGCAGCACACCAACATGGCACATGTATACATATGTAACAAACCTGCACATTGTGCACATGTACCCTAAAACTTAAAGTACAATAAATAAAATGAAATTAAAAAAGAATTTCGATTATCTCAAGTGCTATGAAGAAAAATAGACCAGGATAATTGAAGGAAAGTGATGGGTGTTATCAGAAAAAGGATTATCTTTGAGAGATTAAAGAAATGGGCTTGGAGGTGGGAGTATTTATGGGGAGTTTAAGGTACAGAAAGAAGGCCAGGGTGGCTGCAAGGCATGAATGAACAGTGACATGGAAAGCAAACAAAGAGGCAATCATGCCCCAGGAGGCAGAGTTGTGGATGTTATCCTGGGCGTGAATTTAGTCAAAGGCTTTTGAGCATCCGAGTCATGTGGTATAACATATTTTGGCTGCTGTATTGAGAAATGAGTGTTGTAGAACAATAGAGAAGCTGAAACACCTATTTAGGTGCCATTTACAGTAGCAAAGGTGAGAGATAAATGGTAATATGGACCAACGTGATAGCCAGAGTTGTGATGATGGTCAGATTTAGGATGCAGATTTGGGACAGAGGCCTTCATGATTTGCTGATGGATTGGAGTAAGAGAGAAAAAAATATGAACTGTAAGATGCTCTAGTACTTAGAAGTTTAGAAGTAGAAAGAGAACTCCATAAAGGATATTGAGAGGAAGTGGTCTGTGATGCAGGAGAAAAACAGAGAGCAAAAGAGAGAGAGAGATCCAAATGCCAAAGAAAGTATTTCAGAAGAAGGGAGTAATCAAATGGGCAAATACTACTGATAGGTCAAGTAAGATAAGGACAGAAAACTGACAGAGGTTGTTGGTGAGGTGGCATTGAATGGTCTCAGTGGAATTTCAAGAGAAAATGAGTTGAGGTAAAATTGTGAATTAAGACAATTCTTATCACACTCACTATTCCAAGCCACATATTATTGAAACACATACCCCCCATTTTATTTCTAGAAGTTAACTCCTTTCAAACTGTTTCACCAGCTGTTTCTGAGGCTTTCCAGATGGTTAATGGTCATGTTCCCAGAGGCAATTTCCTAAATATTTGGACATTCAGCCTCTTTATTGGTTCTCTGCTAACTAGTTATAAATATTAGTTTTAATAAAACTAGCTGAAATACAATATTTTTCAAAATTTATGTGAGTTTGAATAACACCTCGAAAATGAGATTGGATTCCATTTTTATTTTCCTTTGTTTTTTCAAGATTACTTCACAAATTGGTGTCATGTGCTTCCTTCCAAAAGTATACGCTATTTGGTCATTTCTTTGTTCACAATGCTAGTAAAAATATGTTGACTTTGAGTTCCAATTACATTTTATTTTCATGGCTGTATATATATTCGAAAATTTTGTTTCAGTGCTGAATTTCATTTTCACTCCTGTTAAATTTTGTTTTATAGTTCAGGTTTGTCATTCTAGTCAGTTAAAGCTTTGGGTATATCAATAAGCCACACTTCTCTATTTTGTCCCAAATTCTCAGGAGAAATTTTTACAAATTCTTTGGTAAATTAAGATGAAGTGTTTCAAAAATTTCCCCTGATTTAGATACCCTAGCCACAGTGAGTACATGGTGGTGTTCAGTGATAATGCATTATTTTAAAACAGTTTTAGAGCCAGTCTGTTTAATAGTTCTAGAGTTCTTTTAGGGATCAGCAACCAACATGTTAGCAAGCTAACACTTTTTTAAGTGGTTTCATGAAACATCAGATGTGTTAGTTGCTGATCTTTGAAAGAACTCCACTTTTTTAAAGTGGTTTCATGAAAGTTTTGAACAGATGTCTGGAACTTCTTTATCTTTATATAAATTCAAAAAGTAGCTAATGATTTGTGATTACATCTGCAAATCTTTCCACCACTCTGAAATATGATTTTGGTGGAAGTTCACTTCTCTGTGACTTCACATCATCTGAGCTATAACTTCCTCTTTATAATGTATTCTGGAGCATTTCCAGTTTTAATATGATTCTTTTTATAGACAAAAGAAGGAAACAAAACAGGAACTGAGTGGTACTTTTCCCTGTCCACGCACTTAAATTTTAATGTAGGGAATTTTCTTAGATATGCATTCGTTTATGGTCCGCTTTGCTCACCACATCCCTCCCTTCCCCTTCACCCAAGATAAGTGTCCTGAGTATAGGAAATTTGCTTCATCCCTTGCTGTTTTCTTAGAATCTGGTTCAGTTTCAGCCACCAGTAGGAGCTCAAAAAAATACGTGTTGGAGGAATAGCTTTTTGTAGCCTTTTTGTGGTGCTTTTAAAATTTTTATTTTAGCTTTATGTATATCAATCTATCTAATCGTAGAGAAATTTGACAATAATATCTCCTATTTCCTCTTTGTTGAGAAGAAACCTTGAAACTTTGTACTGTCATTTCTAATAGTTCCATTTCAAAACGTTTACATGTGAATTTTCTCTGTCTTAGTTGATATATTTTGATTTTAATAATTATGTACATGTGATCATAAAAATTAATTCATAAGAACAATTTTTAGATGTTAAACATTTAATAGTTTAATCCTCAGTTTTACTTAATATTTCAAGAGGGCTTTATAAAGCACATACTTAAGTACCATTGCAGAAAAGAAGTTTAGCTGTTCATCATGAAAAATATTTAATCAATTCTAATAGAATAATAAAAACATTTTTATTTCAGATTTCTAAAATTTCAGGAGAAACTGGTGTTTCCAATATCTCTCAACCCCTTTCAAATTCTGTGTTTATAAAACTCTGTGTTTATAATCTATAATAAATATATCAACCACTTTCAAAGGGGTTGATATATTACCTATAAATTATTTGTATATTTTTTATTATATTATTTATATCTTATGATATAATATATAATTATTTGTATTATTTATATTATTTATATAATTTATATATTATGATATAACCAACTCCTTTGAAAGGGATCATATCTATCAACCCCTTTCAAACTCTGTGTTAATAAAATTGTGTTTATAATCTATAATAAATATATCTTGCATCAAGACAATATGCATACATGTATGTGACTGTATCATATATAGAGAGATATATATCTCATATGTAGAGATATATATGAAGCTTTTGCTTATATATGAAGCTTTTATATATAGATACATATGTGAAAGCTATATCTGTATATGAAGCTTTCGTTTCTATATCTATATACATTTTTTGTTTATATAGAGTGATATATATATACCTCTATAGATATCCTTATTAGATGAGATACATATTCTATTTTATACTATTTTATTCTATTGATCTAATTCATTAAAAGATAAAAAGTGATCATTATAGGCCATCAAACAACACAAATATTGATAATTTTCTTAGAACAGTCTCTACTTAAGAAATCACCATTGTAAGAGTTCAATTCAGTTTAGCAGTTACTGATTATGCCTGACCAATGTATCCAGTGCTGGGTTAGACATCGATGAGTTTACAAAAATTGGACGAAATGCGGTTTTAGCACTTGGTACATACCATCAGCTTTATTTTCCTCCTTCTTGTCATCATGGTTTGGTACATAAAGTCCCTAGAATCTAACTCTAACTTCATTATTCCCATTGATATCTTCTGACACTTCACAATTATAGAACTCTGCACCTTATTATCAGATATTCTGACACCTCTGAGATGTGTACCAGTGTTCTTTCATACAAAAATATCCTTACCTCTTTTTGTATAACTAGTATGTTACAGATATTGAAAATAAGTTATCTGGGAGCCTAATCTACTTGTAGTATTTTCTTGGCCTCATTGATCACTGCCTTTAAGGAGATTACTTTATTTTATATCATGGATTCCCAAATGTTGTCGCGCCATAAAGTTTTCACAAGAATGCAATGAAATGAAAAATAAGGACGATATAATAAGTTTTGGATAGAGGTAAATTCATCCAATTTAAGGAAAAGTTCCTTACATTGAGGATATTTTTATTATCTTGTTAGATTTTTAAATTATTAATTTAAAAAATCTGGTAAGTGGTATAAAGTGTATTTTTCTCAACTTTTGTTTTGGATTCAGAGAGTGCATGTGCAAGTCTGTTACATGGGTATATTGAGTGATGCTGAAATTTGGGGTTCAGGTGATCCCATCACACAGGTAATTAGCATAGTACCCAATAGGTACTTTTTCAGCCCATGCTCCCCTCCCTCTTCTCTCTAGTAGTTTCCAAGGTCTATAGCTCCCATCCTTACATTTGTGTGTACTTAATTTTCAGCTGCCATCTATAAGTGAGAATATGTGGTATTTGGTTTTTTGTTCCTGTGTTAGTTTATTTACTTAGGATAATGGCCTCCAGCTCCATCCATGTGGCTAAAAAGAACATGATTCTGTTTCATCTTTATGGCTGCATAGTGTTCCGTGTTGCATATGTTTCACATTTTCTTTATCCAATCCATCATTGATGGGCACCTAGGTTGATTTCATATCTTTGCTATTGTGAATTGCACTGCGATGAACACATGAGTACATATGTCTTTTTGGTAGAATGATTTATATTCCTTTGGGTCTATACAAAGCAATGGGATTGCTGAGCTGAAAGGTAGTTCTGTTTTAAGTTCCTTGAAAAATCTCCAACTGCTTTCCACAGTGACTGAACTAATTTTCATTCCCACCAACAGCGTATAAGCATTCTCTTTTCTCTGCAGCCTTGCCAGCATCTGTTATTTTTCAACTTTTTAATGATCACCATTCTGACCAGCATGAAATGGTATGTTATTGTGGTTTCGATTTTCATTTCTCTGAGGATTAGTGATGATGAGCATTTTTTCATATGTTTATTGGCCACTGTGTATCATATAAAGTGTCTTTAATAAGCTAAAACAAACCAAAAAGCATTTTTTAAAACAAACAATAAAGATCAGTCACCTTAAATTCACTTTACATTTAGAGGGTGGGATGGCTGTGGATATGATTGCTCCATTTATATAGAGTAACATAAAAATCCTGAAATGTCAAAGTTTACCTTTCTGTCAAAAGTCCCCAGTCTCCCATCTTTGACATAAGGTTATCTCCAATATGGGCTATATGTGCTTACTTTTCTCACTAAGATTTAGTTTCAATCTAACCTAGAACCCTAATATGTAGAGGGTCTTTGGCCAAAGTTCTCTGAGGATTGTCATTTTGAGTTTTAATTCTGATATTAATTCATTTCAGATGCTTATTTCATCACCTCTTCTCAGACAACTTTTTGTGAGCCAGATATTCAGTAGTTAGCTGATTTGGAAGTATTTTCAATGATTTAGACATTTTATTCAAAGGAAACTTGAGTGGCACTGGACAAACCCAACAGTGTTTTTCCCATTTCATCCATTTCTTTACATGTGGAAACAGGAATAAGAATAGTGTTTATCTAAGTCCTATCCTTGTTGTACAGATTTTATTTTCTTTACTTATACTCAGACAGCTAAAATGTGCTTATTTTTATGTTATTTATTTATTTATTCATTTATTTATGTATTGGGTAGCATTTGGGTCTCACCATTAGCCCTGGCTGGTCCTGAAATCCTGGGCTCAAGTGATGCTCACACCTCAGCCTCCAATAGTGTTGGGATTACAAGCATGAGCCACGACACCTGGCCTCTCTATTTATTTTTATAATCACTATCTTAGAATTGATATATTATTACTGATTTTAAAATACAAGTATCTCTAAGTTGAATTAATATGGAGGAAAAAACCCTACAAGGATGCACAAGAAACTTCAAAGCCAGTGATTGTGAGGAAGAGGAGTGGGAACCAGCAGATGGAGAACAAAGATGAGAGGGATACCTTTTGCTGTATACTTTTATGTGCAGTTTTTGCTTTAAGAACAGTGTGAGATTATTACATTTTCAAAAGTAAAAAGAGGCAAGGCACAGTGGCTCACGCCTGTAATCCCAGCAATTTTGGTGGCTGAGGCGGGCAGATCACTTGAGGCCAGGAGTTCGAGACCATCCTGGCCAACATGATGAAAACCCATCTCTACTAAAAATACAAAAAATTAGCTGGGTGTGGTGGTATGATCCTGTAATCCCAGCTACCTGGGAGGCTGAGGCAGGAGAATCGCTTGAACCCGAGAGGTGGAGGTTGCAGTGAACCAAGATTGTGCCACTGCACTCCAACCTGGGTGACAGAATGAGACTCCCTCTCAAAAACAAAAAAAGAAAAGAAAAACAGAAGTAAAAATTTAGAACAAACTGATAAATGTAATAGTTTAAAATATCCTTGTCTAAGCTCTTAAAATGTCATAATAAAAGAATTAGATTGGTAATACTGAGGAATTTAGAGTCCAAAGAGTTGATATAAGTTAACATTGGAGGTGTAATCAGACCAGAGTTCTGACCCAAATAATAATAAACATTAACTCCGAAGAAGTGGCCACTCCTGGAAAAGACCTCTAACAAAGCTGTGCCAGCAGACACAGCAATAGGCAACAAAGCTAAAGCCAAAGCTCAGGTTCTGGCCGGAGCCACTCTAGAGGTGGTTTAGATCCACTTAGTAAACCAGAGCAGACCCCCAAGAAACTATCCAAGAGTCAGCAGTCATGGCCATGCATCCAGCTCGCAGAACCAATTGTTTCTAAGATTGATTTATAACATTTAAAGGGGTTTGGATCACAATCCCAAAAGAGACAGTTCCGTCCATAATCCTGAATGTTGAAATCCCGGAAAGATCAAAATCCCTAATGTCTAAAATTCCAAAAATCACAATTCCAAAGGTTAAAATACCAAATGTTGAAATCCTTAAAGCTGAATTCTGGGGAAGGGATTAGTGTGTTTTTGATTGTATACAGTAAAGTTGCATCTTATTAGGCAAAACTATTACCTTGTTATCATCTTTATTTTGGAAATTAAGTACGGTTTAAAGAGATGCATCTGGATGCCAAATTGACAAGGGGTGGACTTGTGGAGTTAATTCTAGGTGTCAATTTGACAATATTAGGGAACACCTAGGAAACCTGTAAAGCATTATTTTGGGTGTGTCTTTGAGAGTGTTTGCAGAGGAGATTAGTAATTGAGTCTGAATAAAGTAGGTGGGAAAGATCTGCCTGCAGCATAGTCAGGCACCATCCAACTGGCCAAGGACCTGAACAGAACAAATACAAAACGTGAACTTGTCTCTCTCTGTGAGCTGGGACAGACTTTTTTTCTGCCACCTTGGACAGAAATTTGATTCCACAAAAGTGCATTGTCACAACATTGACTTTGTGTGTAAGCCTTGTGTGTATACATAAAAACATAGAAACTTCCTCAATAAATGAGGAGATGTCTTTTTTGTACATGTGCATTTGTAAAAGATAAAATTTCTTGGCTTCTAGGGTGGCTGCACATGTGGTGGTGGCCATCACGGTTTTAGATCCATCTTGTGAAAAGGCTTGGGTTGTCTCTTAGCGTATTTCAGAGAATTGCATTATTGAGCTGGTTATACACAATTACCAACCATAATGACATACATTTATATATTTTGCTTTTTCACCTATTTCTTTATGAATATGAATATGGTTTGTCTGCTTATAACTTTATGCCTGTGCTACTGTTATTATACCTGAGTGTTTGTTTGCAAAAATATACACTATTATTTACCTATTTTACCATGTAAAGTGGCCTGTGAAGTGTTCTGTCATGCTTTCATATGTTTCTCAAATAAATATATTTTAGAAATGTAAATAAATATCTTTCAAATTATTTTTATAATTGTATTTTTGGGATATTGATATTTCAGAATTTCAACAATTGAGATTATGGCTTTCAGGACTGTCTTCTGGGATTATGATCAGCTCCCGATTTAAAGATTTTTTTGATGGCAGGATACAAAACATTGATATTCCAAACCAGAGAAAGCTGCCAGGCAGGGCCCACAGAGAGTTGCATCCAGGAACAGGGTAATAGCAAGCTGCAGCTATAGGGGGCAACGTGCATATGTCAAGGGCGGTGAGGTTAGCTAGGTTTTGCAGGATCCCGGTGGATCAGCTAATTTGAATGATTTCACAAGGCTCCAGGGCAGAGGGATTGTCTCTAGTTTTCTGGTACCTACAGCTGGGGCAATTAGGGCAGGTGTATAGTGGCCCAGACTGTGATCACCCATAAAGGAAGTTGTTGGAGTATACACATACCTGTTCAAGAAGGGGAACTGACCTACCTCTAGTCAAGGCCTCAAAACTGGGTCAAGAAAACATTAAAAAACAAAACAAAATGAAACTTTATTATACTTGTTAAAAAGACACATTCCTAAACCCCTCTCCAAACCTCCTGAATTGACTTTCTTGGTCATGAGGCTTGGGAATATGCAGTTTTAACATTTTCTCCAGGTGAATTGAATTTACAGTAAGTTTACAGAGAGCTCAGGTTGGGCTCTGGAGTTAACCTGTCTGGGTTAGTGTCTAGATCCACCAGTTGTAGCCCCTGAGCCCCTCACTTCACTTCTTTAGTTCCCAGATTTCTCACTGTAAAATTGGATAGAATAATAGCACCTACATCCTAAGGTGGTATGAACATTAAATGAAATAACATATAAAGTAGAGTGCTTGCCACATCCAAGTGCTTGTGTTAAGCTTAAAAAACTTTAAATTTCTTTGAAAAACTAGAACTAGGCCAGGCATGGTGGCTGACACCTGTAATCCCAGCACTTTGGGAGGCCAATGCGGGTGAATCACATGAGGTCAGGAGTTCGAGGCCAGCCTGGCCAACATGGTGAAACCTTGTCGCTAATAAAAATACAAAAATTAGCTGGGCATGGTGGTGCATGCCTGTAGTCCCAGCTACCCAGGAGGCTGAGGCAGAATCGCTTGGACCCAGGAGGTGGTGGTTGCAATGAGCTGAGATCGTGCTGATCCAGCCTGGGCAATGGAGCTAGACTCAGTCTCAAAAGAAAAACTAGAATGATAAAAATCCAATATCTTAAAACATTTCCTTTAAAAGGATTGTGCTAGTTGCATGTCATTTAGGAAATACTAATGCAGAATCCAGTCAAGTATATTTCTCAATAATTTTTAATTTTAGGAGTCACTAATCAGGGTAGCCATGAGAAAATTCTTTTTCCATCTAGTCCATCTTCATTTGAAATGAATCATCTTTATTTTTTTGCAGCATTTGTATCTTTCTGAAGTCTTTAAAATTTTGTTGATAGTACATGTTTCATAGCCAAAACAATAATAATAATAATGAAGCAACAAAGAGAGAAAGAAAAAGAAACACTTTTTTAAAACACTTTAATCTTCATTCCATCATTCCTTCAGGAGAGAATTGATTACTACTTGCTTGCAACTTTAGAAGCACACGAAACCTTATTGGCATCTCCAAGATCTGTTTTGTCCTTTCACCTCTTAGCCACATGAAAGCAAAATTGGCTGTAATGTGATATTAGTGGTCTGCAAGAAAATGTGAAATGTCTTTTTTTCAGTTTACAAGAAAATCATATTCCATTCTCAAAAGATAACACTTCCATGACAATTAAAAGGGAACTAATATTTTAAAAAATTAATTTAAAAAATTTTTCCAGTTTTATGGAATCAAATACATATTGACAAAATGGTATATTTTAAGGTGTACTACATGATGTTTTGACATCATCTCCCATTGTTAGTTGTTGGGTGTGGTGAGAACATTAAGATCTACTCTCTTAACAAAAAATTAATTTTAAAATATTAAGATTTATACCTCTTTTCTGTGAGCAAATGGTTTCACAGGCTTCTATCTGTTTTATTACTTTTAACTTACACTTTGAGTTTACTAGAATGTGATTGTTCATACAAAAAGTGAGTTTTATACACTAATTTTATAAAACTCTCACTGAATATGTGAGAATGCCACATTTCTTCCTATCTAATTGGTTAAATGATAAAGGATTTTAAAAATAAGAATCAATTTAGCCATACTATTAAAATCAGGAAAGTGTCTATATTCAGTTATCCTACTCATTGAAATTATAAAAATAAGTAATATTTGCTTTGTTAAATCTTCAGTAACTTCAGATTGTTGATTAAAGTTGAAAGAAACTCTTAACTTTTAATGAGACCATCTTTATTTTCTTATTGGCCACAGTTTATAAAACTTAAATTTTATAGACACTGTAGTTTTAAAGGATTTTTTAAAATATACTTTAAGTTCTGGGATACATGTGCAGAACATGCAGGTTTGTTACATAGGTATACATGTGCCATGGTGGTTTGCTGTACCCATCAACCCATCATCTACATTAGGTATTTCTCCTAATGCTATCCCTCTTCTTCCCTCTACCCCTTGACAGGCCCCAGTGTGTGATGTTCCCATGCCTGCCCCCATATGTTCTCATTGTTCAACTGCCACTTATGAGTGAGAACACGTGGTATTTGTTTTTCTGTTCCTGTGTTAGTTTGCTGAGAATGATGGTTTCCAGCTTCATCCATGTCCCTGCAAAGGACATGAACTCATTCTTTTGTATAGCTGCATAGTATTCCATGGTGTATATGTGCCACATTTTCTTTATCCAGTCCATCATTGATGGGCATTTGGGTTGGTTCAAAGTCTTTGCTATTGTGAATAGTGCTGCATTAAACATACCTGTGCATGTGTCTTTATAGCAGAATGATTTATACTCCTTTGGGTATATACCTAGTAATGGGATTGCTGAGTCAAATGGTATTTCTAGTTCTACATCCTTGAGGAATCGCCTCACTGTCTTCCACAATGGTTGAATTAACTTACACTCCCAACAACAGTGTAAAAGCATTTGTATTTCTCCACATCCTCTCCAGCATCTGTTGTTTCCTAACTTTTTATTGATCGCCATTCTAAATGGCGTGAGATGGTATCTCATTGTGATTTTGATTTGCATTTCTCTAATGACCAGTGATGATAAGCTTTTTTAAATGTGTTTGTTGGCCACATAAATGTCTTCTTTTGAGAAGTGTCTGTTCATATCCTTCACCCACTTTTTGATGGTGTTGTTTTTTTTCTTGTAAATTTCTTTGAATTTCCTGTAGATTTTGGGTATTAGCCCTTTTTCAGATGGATAGATTGCAAACATTTTCTCCCATTTTGTAGGTTGCCTGTTCACTCTGATGATAGTTTCTTTTATGGTGCAGAAGTTCTATAGTTTAATTAGATACCATTTGTCAATTTTGGTTTTTGTTTCCATTGATTTTGGTGTTTTAGTCGTGAAGTCTTTGCCCATGCCTATGTCCTCAATGGTATTGCCTAGGTTTTCTTCTAGGTTTCTATGGTTTTAGGTCTTACATTTAAATATTTAATCCATCTTGAGTTAATTTTTTATAAGGTGTAAAGAAGAGGTCCAGTTTCAGTTTTCTGCATATGGCTCGCCAGTTTTCCCAATACCATTTATTAAATAAGAAATCCTTTCCCCATTTCTTGTTTTTGTCAGGTTTTCAAATGTCAGATGTTTGTAGACATGTGGTGTTATTTCTGAGGCCTCTGTTCTGGTCCATTGGTCTATATATCTGTTTTGGTACCAGTACCATGCTGCTTTGGTTCTGTAGCCTTGTAGTATAGTTTGAAGTCAGGTAGAGCAATGCCTCCAACTTTGTTCTTTTTGCTTAGGATTGTCTTGGCTATAGAGGCTCTTTTTTGGTTCCATATGAAATTTAAAGTAGTTTTTTTCTAGTTCTGTGAAGAAAGTCAATGGCAGCTTGATGGGAATAGCATTGAATCTATAAATTACTTTGGGCAGTATGGCCATTTTCACAATATTGATTTTTCCTATCCATGAGCATGGAATGTTTTTCCATTTGTTTGTGTCCTTTCTTATTTCCTTGAGCAGTGGTTTGTAGTTCTCCTTGAAGGAGTCCTTTACATCCCTTTTAAGTTGTATGTAGCAGTTGTGAATGGGAGTTCACTCATGATTTGGCTCTCTGTTTGTCTGTTATTGGTGTATAGGAATGCTTGTGATTTTTGGACATTGATTTTCTATCCTGAGACTTTGCTGAAGTTGCTTATCAGCTTAAGGAGTTTTTGGGCTGAGACAATGGGGTGTTCTAAATATGCAGTCATATCATCTGCAAACAGAGATGATTTGACTTCTTTTCTTCCTATTTGAATTCCCTTTATTTCTTTCTCTTGCCTGATTGCCCTGGTCAGAACTTCCAATACTATGCTGAATAGGAGTGGTAAGAGAAGGCATCCTTGTCTTGTGCTGGTTTTCAAAGGGAATGCTTTCAGCTTTTGCCGATTCAGTATGATATTGGCTGTGGGTTCGTCATAAATAGCTCTTATTATTTTGAGATACGTTCCATCAATACCTAGTTTTTTGAGTATTTTTGGCATGAAGGGGTGTTGAATTTTCTCGAAGGCCTTTGCTGCATCTATTGAGATAATCACTTGGTTTTTGTCATTGGTTCTGTTTATGTGATGGATTATGTTTATTGATTTGCATATGTTGAACTAGGCTTGCCTCCCAGGGATGAAGATGACTTGATTGTGGTGGATAAGCTTTTTAATGTGCTGCTGGATTCATTTTGCCAGTATTTTATTGAGTATTTTCACATCACTGTTCATCAGGGATATTGGCCTGAATTTTTATGTTGTTGTTGTTGTGTTGTGTCTCTGCCTGGTTTTGGTATCCAGATGATGCTTGCCTCATAAAATGAGTTAGGGAGGAGTCTCTCTTTTTCTATTTTTGGAATAGTTTCAGAAGGAATGGTACCAAACTCCTCTTTGTACCTCTGGTAGAATTCAGCTGTGAATCCATCTGGTCCTGGGCTTCTTTTGGTTGTTAGTCTATAAAGTACTTCTTCAAAATACATGAGTTCATTTCTCATTCCTTCACACTGGACTGCTCTCAGGGATCAGATTTGCTATTAAAAATAAAACAATAGTTGACTGGGCACCGTGGCTCATGCCACCCAGCCTTTTGCAAGGCCAAGGTGGGAAGATCACTTGAGACCAGGAGTTCGAGGCCAGCCTGGACAACATAGCACAACCCCATCTTTACAAAAACCTAAAAAGTAAGCCAGGCATGGCCGTGCATGCCTGTGGTTTTAGCTACTCAGTCAGCTGAGGCAGGAGGATTGCTTGAGCCCAGGAATTCAAGGCTGCAGTGAGCCATGATCACTTCACTGCACTCCAGCCTGGGCAACAGAGTGAGAGTCTGTCTCAAAAAAAAAAATATATATATATATATATATACACATATATATACACACACACACACACACACACACACACACACATATATATATATATATCCTTAATGTATCCCGAACAACAGTTCCTGGTTTTCCAGTAACATGTTCACTGTACATTTTATATTTTCCATCATCCCAAGTGTTTATCCTCAATTCTCACCATCTAATCCCTTTAAGTGTCTAGTTATGCATGCCAATAATCACAATAAGCAGAATATCAAAAATATAGCTACCATGGATTGGTGTACCTGCTGTGTAACAAGGCAACAGCCTGAGTTCTGTTACATAGCTATTATTTTATTTATTCCGCAGAACATTCCCAGGATAAAAATAACATCACTTTCATCTTTTCACATGAGAGAAGGGTGCACAATTAGAGACATTAAATAAATTGCCCAGGACCCCAAAACTCTTAATTGGATGACACAAAATTCAAACTCCAGCCCCTTTAACTCCAAAGTCCATTCTCTCAACCATCAGCTAAGTGCCTTCCCTCTGTTGAGAAAGCATCACACTCTCCAGTCACACACCTATGACAGAAGTAACATTCTCTATTTGTTCTTACTATGGAAAAACTCTCTTCTTTCTGGGCTCAGACTGAGTGGACATGACTTAGCACTCTGCAATGGAAATATAAGTCACGACGTGTGTATTTTTAAATGTATTAGTACACATTTAAAAACACATTAAAAATAAGAAACAGGTGAAATTTTTTTAAATAATATATTTTAACCAACACAATATATTGAAAATATTATCATTTCAGCATGTCACTAGCCCATTTCATGGTCCAAATAGCCACTTGTGGGACAATGCAGGCTTAATATCTTCAAATTAGACTATCCACGGGATCATTTATTTAAATATAAATACTGTCTTATCACAGATATTAAAAAGTCTAAATTATAACATTTAAAATAATAAAAAATCCATTAGTTTTCATAAAGAATATCTAATGAGTATTTCCTATACAATCCTCTAATGAAGATGAGAAATTATCTCTCCAAGTCATTGAGGTACATAATCAGGAGTGGTATCTTGGACTATGAGTTATGAAATCTCATCATATTCTTCTATTTTTTAAATTCTTATTTTAGATTCGGGGGTGTGTGTGCAGGTGTTTTACATGGATATATGTGTATAATGATGAGTTTTGGGCTTCTAGTATACCTATCACCCAAACAGTGAACATTGTACCCAATAGGTTGTTTTTCAAACCTTCCATTCTTCTCCCTTTTAGAGTCCTAGTGTCTGTTGTTTCCAACTTTATGCCCATCTGTACCAGTGTATAGGTCCTGTTTATAAGTGAGAACATTCAGTATTTGATTTTCTGTTTCTAAGTTATTTCACTTAGGATAATGGCCTCCAGCTCCTTCCATATTGCTGAAAAGAATACGATTTCATTCTTTTATATGGATGCATAGTATTTCATGATGTACATATACCACATTTCTTTATCCATTCTTCTGTTGATAAACATTTAAGCTGATTCCATTACCTTGCTAGCATGAATAGTGCTGTAATGGATATGCAAGTACAAGTGTCTTTTCGATATAACAATTCCTTTTACTTTCTTTCAACCCAGTAGTGGTATTGCTGGGTTGAATGGCAATTCTATTTTTTGTGTTTTGAGGAAGCTCCATACTATTTTCCATAGAACTTGTACTAATTTACATTCCCACAAACAATGTATAAGCGTTACATTTTTTTCATATTCACACCAATATATGTTGGTTTTGACTTCTTTTTTAAAAAATTTTATTATTATTATACTTTAAGTTTTAGGGTACATGTGCACAACGTGCAGGTTTGTTACATATGTATACATGTGCCATATTGGTGTGCTGCACCCATTAACTTGTCATTTGGCATTAGGTATATCTCCTAATTCTATCCCTCACCCCTCCCCCGACCCCACAACAGTCTCCGGTGTGTGATGTTCCCCTTCCTGTGTCCTTAATAGCCATTTTGAGTGATAGAAGATGGTATCTTATTGTGGTTTTAATTTGCATTTCTCTGATGATTAGTGGTGTTGAATATTTTTCATGTTTGTTTGCCACTTGTATGTCTTCTTTTGAGAAACATCTGTTCATGTCTTTTGCTTACTTTTTAATTAAGTTATTTGACCATCTTCAGAGTAAGCCACTGTGGGGCCTGAGCAGGGTAGGGTAGTGTCATTGTCATTGGAGGTAACATTGTCATTACTCAGGTTTATAAACCACTGGCTTTTCAACATTTGCAGCTCAAGGCTTCACTGTTTGGTTATCTTTAGAAATAACTTTTTGTGTAATTAGCAGAGTTGACATTGGGCATGAGAGTCTTAAGGAGGGAGTTTGTTTTCAGAAAATATTTTATGTGGAGTAATCTTACAGAAACATCTTATTTTTTTTTAAAGTACAGAAACTCCAGATGGTTTCACCATCTTTAGTTTATTCTTTTGTTATGTGGCACTTATTAACCCCGTCCAAAATGCTGGCTCCAGTAAACCTCGCCAAAGCTTTAAAAGTAAAATGTTTTATGAAATTTTACATTTTTAAATTATGCAAGACTGCTCTAATTTCACAAAGTGTCCTTAATGGCATTTATTATTATGATCTATTGGTTATAACTAATTAAAACTGAATTACATTAAATATAATTACTGTATCACACTTGATTTCTAGTGTCTGCTTGCATATTTTCTTTATTCTCCCATCTCTCCCCTTAATAATCCGTAAAAGTCAGCAATCAACTTCATGTACCTTTATTGCTTAAATTTAAAAAGGCATGTAGGTGGAGCCAACTCATTTTAAAAATTTTAAAATGGACATAAAATATTTTCCCTGCTTTCATGTATTATAAATTTGATACCGAAGGAGTGAATATAAAAGGAAATGCTTTTTAAAAAGGAAAACACACACCTTATTTGTGAAGATTATCCCATTTTACTCTTTATGGCACTCACACTTTGGCTTTGGAGTCCCTCAGCTTTTCCTTACTTCTACTTGTCCCATGGATTTATTTTTGAAATTTAACAAAATAATGCATATAAAGTGCTTGCACATCTCTGATAACACAAACATGTGTCAGATTGATTTATCTCCTTCCTCATTTTTCTTCTCCTTTATCATAATGATCATTATAATTACAATGAATTCTGCCTATTTGCCTAAGAGCTGGTTCGTGAGTATTCCACAGCTAGCTTGCAAGAGCCAACTGTTGAATTTTCAGGAATTTTATGAGCTGATTCTTAAACATAGCCATTATTAGAACTTAAACTATAAACTTACAATTAAATAAATTACATAAAATTTAATAAATACTGAAAACACAATCTGTAATTATTTTAGCACATTTTATATTTTCTATGCTCTTGAGGTTATTTGTATCCTTTGTCTCAGTGTGGTAGAAATACTTTATACTGTTGAGCTACTGTACATCTCTTCTCAACTCTGCATTCAGTGACATCATATTGGTGGCTTGAAACTGCCCATGGTGGAATATTTACAGTGCAGAAATCATCAAATTCCAAAAATTGAGGCTTTTTTCCCCATTGGAGAGTCATTCGTTAAAATTTACCTGGGGCAGAAAATATACAAAATAATCCTGGAGCATCTTGTAATGCCAAAAATAAGGAAGTTCTAAAAAAATTAAAATAAAAATAACCCGCTTTCCAATGATGGGGGTATGTCAAAGTGACACAGGCACCAACTAAAAGAGCTCTCAATGGCCAAAGCTGGAACAATTTGAGCAACACTATAAAGAATTTCATTGGTAGTGTATTATAACCCAAATTATAAAATGAATATTCATAAATCCATACTAATATAAACAAATAAATTGAGATGGGAAAGAATAAGCAAATCTCACGTGGAGAAGAATTCCAAATAAACTATGCAGTCACTCGAAACTGAAGGAGATGAAACAGAATCCCCTATTCCTTAACTATGAGCTTTCTCCTTCCAAAGAAAGCTTACTAAGAAGAAGAAAAAGAATAACTTTAGAAAAACCTGACAAGCACTACCTTAGCCAGGTGATCAAGACCAGCATTTACAGTGGTAAGTCATGTTGATAGTATTCATTATGTGGTATAATGTGTTTAAAATGGCCCTTTACTTCTGTGGTCTTTCTCTCAAATCCAATAACCCAAATCTACTCATGAGAAAAGCTCAGACAAATCCCAACTGAGGGACATTTTCCAAAATACCTAAGCAGTACTCCTCATAACTGTCAAGATCATCAAAAACAAGGAAACTCTGAGAAACTGTCACAACAAAGAGGCAGCTAAGATGTCATGACCACTGAATGTAAAGTGGTATGCTAGATGGGAATCCTGGAGCATGAAGAGAACATTAGCTAAAAATTAAGGAAATCCAGGTAAAGTATGAATTTTAATTAATAATAATGTATTGATATTGATTAATTGTGACAAATGCACCAAACTAATATGTTATTAATAGGGGAAACCGACTCTGAGATATATGGGAACACTCTATATTATCTTTAAAATTTTTCTGTAAATCTAAATTATTATAAAATTGAAAGTTTTTTTTTAAAATTTACTAACACAGAACTGATCAATTTCCACCCTAGATGTCACTTACTGAAGTCCTATTCAATGCTCAGTAACTGTGGGTGGACATCAAGCTGTTTTGCTGGTATTGCACTGGTCCTGGGCCTGTCCCCTAAACATCTCCATGCTAGGATGGGGGTGAAGGTAGGAAACTTGATGAACAAATAAAAAATTGTTAATAATTTATGTTAAAAATTATATATCGACATCACATAGCTTGCATTCTTGTCAAATCATTATTAATCTGTAATATATAACCACAGGATGGCAAATAAGAAACAAGAGTTTTTAATTAATCTATTTCTTCATTCATCAAAGACAGGTTAAAATTCCCTGGCTGTGACCTGCTTTTTATCCAGTATAGCAAGAACAGAGTTCTAAACTCTGTTCCCAGGGATGGAAAACTCAAAACCTTCAGGGTTAGGCCAGCAAATGAGTGGATTGCCTGAGTGAAAAACAGTAAGAGATGGTGGGTGGATTGCCTGGGTCAGAGAGAGTAGACATGATGGAGATTTTCATCAAACTGGAGAGCACAAGCTTGACCTAAAGCAGTTAGTGTTAAGTATTTGTTAAACTGCTATTGCAGCCCAAGAAAAAGTTACCGGTTTGGCAGGAACTTCTGTTCTAAATTGTCAATTAAATCCCAAAGAAATTTCTTTGACAGACTTGAGTGAAATTGAGGTGTTTCATTCAGCTTATAGTTCGTCTCGAGATGTAGACGCTCAGAAATTTTAATACATATTAATGAATTACTTCAATTTATTTTATTTTTAAACTGGATAAATTCTTATTTTTTATTTTTAAATTAAAGAAATTCACTAATATTGATAAGTAATATATGTTTTTACACCAAATAACTGGTAAAAAGGAAACAGGCTGCTTTCTGTGTTTTTGTTGAGGTCTGTCTGTAAATAATATACTTTTAAAAATCAATAAAATTTAGGATATTTTTAGCTTCATATTATTGGAAAATCAATCATATTATTGTTTGTTCTAATCCTGAGCTCCTTTGAGATTAGGTTTTCAAATAATATATTAATATGAGAGTTCTTTTATCAGTAAGTTTAAAAATAGTAAGGAATTTTACTATCTCCTTAAAACCCAAGCACACATCTAGTGATTTTTTCACACAGAAATGCTGTTATTAAAATTAGTCAAGGGCAATGGGTAAGTTCAATATAAGCCATTATTAGAGAGGACTACAGTTATGACTTCTAATGATAGTTTACTACAAAAATATTCATAGAATAAGAAAATTAATTGGCTAGATTCCTTTGAGCTAAAGCAATATTTTCTGTTACAGGAGCTGCAGAGGATATACAGAAAGAATAATTTAAGTCTCATGCAAAAATAAATTCCTCTTAATGCTTATATTGAATTAAATTCTTTGTTTAAGGGAGTACTAAAGCTAAAGTATCGTTCTTTCCTAGCCTCAAGATAATTTTTAAATTTCTCAGCAATTTAACATAGCCATAAAATGCACTAAAAATCAGTGACCTTGTTGCTAAATTCAGTAGATATGGTTCAGTTCTTTTTTTACTTTGCTCACAGTAGTTGTTGATGGTATTGTTCATTTTCCTTCTTAAAAATGCCTAAATCCACAGCTCTTACTTGCTTCCTACCTCTCTTGTTTCTCTCACCAATAAATTTTTTATTTGATGCACAAAGCTTGAACATATTCCTGAGGTACATGTGACATTTTGATTCCTGCATAAAATATATAATGACCAAATCAGAGTAATTGGAATATTCATCACCTCAAACATTTATTATTTCCTTGTGTTGTGGAACATTCCAAATCTTCTCTCCCAGTTACTTTGAAATATACAATAAATTTTTGTTAACTATAGTCACCCTACTGTGACTAGAACTCATTCCTTCTATCTAACTATATTTTTGTGCCTATTAACCAATTTGATTTCATCTCTCCCTCCCCTCTATTATTCCCAGCTGAGAATACCATTCTACTCTGAGAAACACCATTCTACTCTCTACCTCCATGAATCCACTTTGGCTACCACAAGAACATGAGATATTTGTCTTTCAGTGTCTGGCTTATTTGACTTAGCACAATGTCCTCCACTTCCATCTGTGTTGTTGCAAATGACAGGATTTCATTATTTTTTATGGCTGAATAATATTCCATTGTATAGACATACCACATTTTCTTTATCAATTCACCCATTAATGAACACTTGGGTTGGTTCCATATCTTGGCTATTGTAAATAGTGCTGTAGTAAACATGAGATAGCTCTTCAATATACTGATTTCCTTTATTTATGTTTTTGGATATACACCCTGTGGTAGGATTGCTGGACCGTATGGTAGTTCTTTGTTTTTCTTTTTTTTTTTTTTTTGGAGATGGAGTCTTGCTGTGTTGCCCAGACTAGAGTACAGTGGCACAATCTGGGCTCACTGTAACTTCCACCTCCCGGGTTCAAGCAATTATCTGGCCTCAGCCTCTTGAGTAGCTGGGACTACAGGCACCCACTACCACGCCTGGCTAATTTTTGTATTTCTTGTAGAGACAGGGTTTCACCATATTGGCCAGGCTGGTCTCGAACTCCTGACCTTATGATCCACCTGATGCACCCTCCCAAAGTGCTGGCATTACTGGAGTAAGCCACCGTGCCCAGCCAGTAGTTCTATTTTTAGTTTTTTGAGGAACCTCCATATTATCTTCCACAGTGTCTGCACTAATTTACATTCCCATGAGCAGGGTACAAATGTTCAGCTTTCTGGGAATCTTCACTAGTGTCTTTAATTTTTTTATCTTTATGATAACAGACATTTTAACTGGTATAAAATGATATCTCACTGTGGTTTTGATTTGATTTCCCTTGCAATTAGTGATGTTGAGCATTATTTCATATACTTGGCCATTTGTATGTCTTCTTTTGAGGAAGGTCTATTCAGATCCTTTGCCCAATTTTTCTTCCATTCTATAGGTTATCTCTTCATTTTGTTGAGTGTTGTCTTTGCTATGCAGAAGCTTTATAATTTTATTAGTCTCATTTGTCTATTTTTTCTTTTCGTTGCCTATGCTTTTGAAGTCTTAGGCATAAAATCTTTGTCTAGACAAATGTCCTAAATCATTTTCCCTGCATTTTCTTCTAGCAGTTTTTAAAGTTTTGGGTCTTACACTTAAGTCTTTAACCCATTTTGAGTTGACTTTTATATATGGTGAGAGACAGAAATTTAGCTTTATTCTTCTGCATATGGAAATCCAGCTTTCCCAGCATCAGTTACTGAAGAGATTGTCCTTTCCCCAGTCTATGTTCTTGGCACCTTTGTTGAAAATGAATTGGCTATAAATGTGTGGGCTTGTTCCTGGGTTCTCAATTCTGTTCCATTGGTCTATGTGTTTGTTTTTATGCCAGTACTATGCTGTATTGATTACTATTACTATACTATACATTTGTAGTATAATTTGAAATCAGGTAATATGCTTCCACCTTTGTTCTTTTTGTTCAATACTGCTTTGGCTATTTGGGGTTATGTGATTCCATGTGAATTTTAGAATTGTTTTTTGTATTCCTGTGAAGAATGTCATTAATACTTTGATAGTGATTACATTGGATCTGTAGTCCACTTTGGGTAGTATGAACATTTTAACAATATTAATTTTTCCAACCCATGAGCATGGGATATCTTTTCATTTGTGTGCGTGTGTGTGTTCTCTTCAAGTTCCTTAATTAGTGTTTTATAATTTTCATTGTAGACCTTTTTCACTTCTTTGGTTAAGTTTATTCCTGGGTATTTTGGGGTAGCTATCATAAAATGGAATTGCTTCCTTAATTTCTTTTTAAGATGGTTTGCTGTTTGTGTATAGAAATGCTACTGATTTTTGTATGTTGAATTTGTATTCTGTAACTTAGCTGAATTAATATGTCAGGTATAGCAGGGTTTTTTTGATGGAGTCTTTAGTTTTTTCTAAATATAAAATCATGTTGTCTGCAAAAAAGTATAAATTGACTTCTGCCTTTCCAGTAGTGATGCCTATTATTACTTTCTCTTGCCTAATTGATCTGGCTAGGACTTCCAGTTGATCAGGAGTGGTGAAAGTGGGCATTGTGTCCTATTCCAGATCTTAGAAGATAGCCTTTTAATTTTTTTCCCAGTCAGTATATTAGTTTTGAGTTTTTTATACATGGCCCTTAGCATTTTGAGCTTTGTTCCTTCTCTATCCATCTGATTGAGAATTTTTATCATGAAGGAATGTTGAGCTTAAATGAATGCTTTTTTTTACACCTATTAAAATGATCATATGATTTTTTTCTTGATTTTATTGACATGATGCATCATGTTTATTGATTCATACGTGTTGAAACAACCTTGTGTCTCTGGGATGAATCTCTATTAATCATGGTGAATGATCTTTTTATTGTGTTTTTGAATTTGGTTTGCAAGTGTTTTGTTAAGGACATCCAGGTTATTTGGTAGGGCCTTACAAAGGCATGAAATATGGCTTACAAAGCCAGCAATATGGACACTTAGGCATTATTACCTATTGCTGGATTTTTAAATACTATATCATGGTTGAAAACGATTATATTTCTAAACATATTCTCACAGAATTAGAACATGATATCAGTGGACAAGAGGGAAGAATTAACCATAATTAAATAAAGCAGATTTTCTAAGCTTGAAGATACTATGTTTCCAATTAAATTTGGGGAATACATTTGTCCTACATTCATATGCATAAAATTTTTCTATTTTTCAAAATGAAATGTAGTGTAATTTGTTGAAATTAGGCCAGGTGCAGTGGCTCACGCCCATAATCCTAGCACTTTGGGAGGCCAAGGAGGGTGGATCACCTGAGGTCAGGGGTTCAAGACCAGCCTGGCCAACATGGCAAAACCCCGTCTCTACTAAAAATACAGAAATTAGCTGGGCATGATGACATGTGCTTATAATCCCAGCTACTCAGGAGGCTGAGGCAGGAGAATCGCTTGAAGTCAGGAGGCAGAGGTTGCAGTGAGGCGAGATCACACCATTGCACTCCAGCTTGGGTGACAGAGTAAGACTCTGTCTCAATAAATAAATAAATAAATAAATAAATAAATAAATAAATAAATAAAATAAAAATTTGTTGAAATTAGCAGCCAAAGAAAGAAAGCTATTAGCCCACTTGTATATGAGGGCTTCAAGACCCTATTAAAGACTTAATATATCTGGTATTTAAAGTAAAATCCACGACATTCAGATAAAGCTAACCGACTGTGTCATATGCATTTGATTTGAATGAGTAAATAATCAGAAAGTGTTTGACAAGTAGCAATTAACAGGAAACTTTCATTTGAAGGAAAAATGAGAATGGATTTGTAGCTGCCAATAAATTTCTCAGTAAGCTTGAATAATGCTGTTTATTCAATGAGTCTGAATAAATTTTCAAGAACATTTCAAGCATTAACTTGCCTCTTTTATAAGTTTTTTAAATTTGAAAATGTAGTATGGATCTGTCAGAAGTAAAATTGGAATTTTTAACTTTTTCATACTTGATATTATGCAAAACATGCAAGACACTGATGTATGAGAGTTCTCCCCAAGCATTTTCTTTTACTGACAATTCAGAGGGCCTGCTTCTTAGAGTTTGGATATTTACTCCCTGCTTAATACAAGCCTTGGAAAATCTCACTCTAAATAGAAAGGCAAGACACAGAACCTTGCCATGAGTTTGTCACCAGGAGAAAATAAGGCTCTGCTGTCTTCAATATTTCTTACTAATTCTCTTCGTCAGAAGTCATATATTTTTAGAAAATTTAAAAAGAGAAGCAGCAAAGTCTTTATAAGAAAATTATCATCATTCCTTTTGCTCAACTACATAATAGATTGGAATTTAGAATATTCCAACACAGGCCATGATACCCCAATTCTCCAACCACAATGGGGTCTTAAAGAAAGGTACTTTCCTAGACACATCAGTTTAATGAAAACACATTTAGAGAATTGAGGATCTGGAAATAAATCCCTTAATATTTACCATGTGCACATGTGCATTCAAACTCTAAATATGCTACCAGCTGTGTGCAAATCAATTTTTCTGTCCAATGTGGTAGCTATAGTATACCATTTGTAGTTTATGAACATGCCTATCTGTTACCAATCACTGTGTAAAAGCTGTTCTTTCTGCTTTAAAAACCAATCACTTTACCCTTTACCTCTAACTTCATCTAGCAAATTTCCTTTCTCTATGTATTTAGCTCACATATTTTCTGTTGTGAAATAGTCTCTTACCTTGGGGCAAGAGGTGTGAGAGTGTCAGTCAATTTCATCTTCCTCAGTGATATCAGTACTCTCTGCACATAAATCTATATGTGGTTACCATTAGTATATTATAACTGTTTATATTCATGTCTCTCTCCTATATTAGATTCAGAAAATTTCTGTTGTGGAGACGGAATGATACATGTGTTCCTATCCCCAACATCGTGCACAATTCCTATCTTAATATTAGTGTTCAATAGCTTAATATTGGCTTCATGAGTGTTCATGGCCACACACAGCCCCCAGACTTATCTAGTTAAATTGCTCATCAATAAGAAAAAAAAACTCTTTCAAAGCACTCTAACATAAAGGTACCAAATTTTTGCCCAAAGGTATTCAGGTATGGTTATGTTAGCACTTTTTGTGATGGCCCTTACAATTGTTAGAATGCTGTGTCTTTATTTAGCACCCAAGTGGGTATCTGCGTAACTTCAACAATGTCTGAATTCTCCATCCTGAAGAAACAAGTGTATAGACTGGTACTTTTTCATGCCAGTTTTGCCTTATTCTTCTTGTTCTCTTTTTTAAGGTAAAATGTGACTTACCTATTGCAAATATCCCAAACATGAAATAGTTTTAAAACACTTAACATTTCTGGGCAACTGTTTTTATGTATTTTAATGTCTCTTTTGAAATACAACAAAAAAACAGAAAACACTAGATATAAAGTGATCAGCCTAAAGCATGCCAGTTACATAGCATGAATAATTTCAATTTAATAATTCTGTAATAGAGCCAAATGATGAATATTTAACTAATGCTACTTATTGCTTAAAGTGCTATCACATCGAAACTATGCCATCTGTGCCTGTGCTGATGCCCGTTAAATTAAAATGTTGTTGCTTCTTTGGAGCCAAACCCTCCTCTAATCCACAAGCCCTGGCAACTATTGATCATTTTCTCTTCCTATAGATTGCCTATTTTAGAATAGCATGTAAATGGAATTGTACAGAATTTAGCCCTTTGAGTCTGGCTTTTTTCTTTGCATAATGCATCTGAAATTCATCTTTGTTGTTTCTTGTATCAGTAGTTTGTATCATTTTATTGTTGAGTTGCATTCTGTCATATGAATACACCACAGTTAGTTCATTAATTTACAAGCCAAAGGACATTTGGATTATTTCCCATTTATAGTGATTATGAATAAGCTTTATTAACATCCACTCATGGTTTTTCTGTAAACATAAGTTTTGTTTCACTTAGATAAATATCTAGGAATGAGATTGATGGGTTATGTAAGTGTGTATTTAACTTTATAAGAAACTGCCAAGCTGCTTCCACTTGTCCCTCTGTCAGCAATGTTTGACAATTCTAGTTTCTCAGTTTTAAGAATTCAAGTGGCACAGAGCAACCTAACACTGGATATTTATTTTACTAATCTTATTATAGTTATTCTAATATGTATGTAGTGATGTATCATTGATTTTTGACCTATATTTCCCTAATACTAAATATTATGAAGCACCTTTTCTAGTGCTTATCTGTCATTCATATTTTTGTCTATTCCCATGTTTTGCTCATTTTTTGCTTGAGTTGTCTGTTTAATTATTATGGAGTTTCGGTAATTCTTTATATATACTTACTTGTTTTAAATATGTGCTTTGCAAATATTTTCTCACATTTTGTGGCTTGTATATTCAGTTTCCCAAGAATATATTTCTTTTCTTTTCTTTTCTTTTTTTTTTTTTTTTGAGACGGAGTCTCGCTGTTTCGCCCAGGCCGGAGTGCAGTGGCGCGATCTCGGCTCACTGGAAGCTCCTCCTCCCGGGTTCATGCCATTCTCCTGCCTCAGCCTCCCGGGTAACTGGGACTACAGGCGCCCGCCACCGCGACCGGCTAATTTTTTGTATTTTTAGTAGAGACGGGGTTTCACCGTGTTAACCAGGATGGTCTCGATCTCCTGACCTCATGAAGAATATATTTCAAAGAGGAGAAGTTTTTAAGTTTTCATGAAGTCCATTTTATAAATTTATCATTTTTTTCTTTTATAAATTATGCTTTGGGTACCAAATCTAAGAAATAATGTTTCCTTCACTTTTCTCTAGAGGTTATACAGTTCAGTTTTAAATATAGATCAGAAATTCATGGATAGAGGTTCATTATTTTTCTACCTAAAAATTCAATGTCCAGCACCATCCGTTAAAAATTATTTTTGAACATTGAATTGACTTTGTCCTTTATCAAAAGTCAGTTGACCACAAATGTTTGAGTTTTATTTCTGGATTTTTTTTTATTCTGTTCCATTTATCTATGTATCCATTCTTTTGCCAATATCACAGTCTTTATTATTATAGCTTTAGAGTAAGTATTAATATCTAATGATGTCTTTCCTCCACATTTTTTCTTTTTCAAAATTGTTTCTGATATTCCAGATCACTTAGGTTTTTTGTTTTGCAAATTTTAGTATTAGCTTGTCAATTTCTACAGAAAAAAAATCTTGCTGGAATTTTTTGTTGGGATTGCATTACATCTACAGATCAGATTGGGGAGAAATTGACATCTTAACAATATTGAGTCTTCAATATGTGAACATAGTACATCACCTACTTAGTCTTCTTTGTTTATTTTCATCAGTGTTTTGCAAGGTCCAAAGACACATTGTGTGTAAGCTTTGTCCCATTATGAATCAGAAAAGATAGATCACAGTATTCATAGGCTCATAATTAATATAAAATAAGAAAAAAATTTAAAGTGGTCTTATATGGGTTTCTCTATTCAGTGGAAAAAAATTATTTTAAAAATGTTGTGAGCAATAAACTCTCATAATAATGTTAAGCAATGACATTATAAGTGACAATATTACCCTCTGTCCCTTACAAATGGCTTTAAACAATATACTTTGACTACTAAAATATATTTTTATAATATTAAAAGTCTATTACTTCATTTATACATTCTAATTGGATAACTATGAAATTGTCTTTAAAAAATACAGATGTTTAAAAACACTACTTTTGCCTTAAAATGTATCTGGATATTGGCTACAAAATTTTACTCCACATCATAAATATTGTCACAGAATATGGACTTAATTATTGAATTAAACACACATTCGAACTTCTGAATCAAAATTTTACAGGCCGTACTAATGTTTTTTCTTCTTTATTTTTTTCTCTTTTATTTTAGGTTCAGGGGATACATGTGCAGGTTTGTTGCATGGATAAATTGCATGTTGCTGGGGTTTGGTATACAAATTAGTTTTCCACCCACGTAGTGAGCATAGTACTCGACAGGTAGTTTTTCAATCCTCACCCTTCTTCCACCCTCCACCCTTCAGTAAGCGCCAATGTCTATTGTTCCCTTTTTTGTGCCTATGTGTACTCAATGTTTAACTTCACTTAAAAATGAGTGCATGTGGTATTTGGTTTTCTGTTCCTGTGCTAATTCACTTAGGATTATGGCCTCCAGATACACCCATGTTGCTGCAAAGGACATGATTTTATTTCTTTTAAGGCTGTGTAGTATTCCATGGTGTATATTAATCATATCTTCTTTATCTAGTTCACTGTTGATAGGCATCTAGGTTGATTCCATGTCTTTGCTATTATGAAAAGTGAGGCAATGAATGTATGCATGTATGTGTCTTTATGGTAAAATGGTTTATATTCACTCAGGTATATACCTAGCAATGGTTCAGATGGCAGTTCTTTGGATGCAAACTGCTTTCTGCAGTGGCTGAACTAATTTACACTCCCACCAACAATGTATCTGCATTCCATTGCTCCATGACCTTGCCAACATCTGTTATTTTTTTGACTTTTTAACAATAGCCATTCTGACTGGTGTAAGATGGTATCTCACTGTGGTTTTTATTTGCTTTTATCTGATTATTGATGATGTTGAGCATTTTTTCATGTGCTTGTTGGCTGTATGTATATATTTTGAGAAGTGTCTGTTCATTTTCTTTGCCCATTTTCTAATGGGGTTGTCTTCTGCATGTTGATTTGTTTCTTAGAGATTCTGGATATTACACCATTGTCAGATACACAGTTTGCAAATGTTTTCTTTCATTCTTAGGTTGTCTGCTGGCTCTGTTGATTATTTCTTTTGCTGTACAGAAGTTCTTTGGTTTAACTTGGTCTAACATGCCAATTTTTGTTTTTGTTGCAATTGCTTTTAGAGCCTTTGCCATTAAATCATTGCCAAGGCCTATGTCCAGAATGGTATTTCCTAGGTTTTCTTCTGGAGTTTTTATAATTTTAGGTTTCATGTTTAAGTCGTTAATCCATATTGAATTGATTTTTGTATATGGTGAAAGAAAGGTGTTCAATTTCAAATTTCTATAAATGGGTAGCCAGTTCTCCCACCACTACTTATTGAATAGGGAGTGCTTTCCCTATCATTTGTTATTGTCAACTTAGTAAAAGATCGAATTGTTGTAGATGTGCAGCTTTATTTCTGGGTTCTTTAACCCTTCCCATTGGTCCACGTATTTTTATTATTATTATTATTATTATACTTTAAGTTTTAGGGTACATGTGCACATTGTGCAGGTTAGTTACATATGTATACATGTGCCATGCTGGTGCGCTGCACCCACTAACTCGTCATCTAGCATTAGGTATATCTCCCAATGCTATCCCTCCCCCCTCCCCCCACCCCACCACAGTCCCCAGAGTGTGATATTCCCCTTCCTGTGTCCATGTGATCTCATTGTTCAATTCCCACCTATGAGTGAGAATATGTGGTGTTTGGTTTTTTGTCCTTGCGATCGTTTACTGAGAATGATGATTTCCAATTTCATCCATGTCCCTACAAAGGACATGAACTCATCATTTTTTATGGCTGCATAGTACTCCATGGTGTATATGTGCCACATTTTCTTAGTCTAGTCTATCATTGTTGGACATTTGGGTTGGTTCCAAGTCTTTGCTATTGTGAATAATGCCGCAGTAAACATACGTGTGCATGTGTCTTTATAGCAGCATGATTTATAGTCATTTGGGTATACACCCAGTAATGGGATGGCTGGGTCAAATGGTATTTCTAGTTCTAGATCCCTGAGGAATCGCCACACTGACTTCCACAATGGTTGAACTAGTTTACAGTCCCACCAACAGTGTAAAAGTGTTCCTATTTCTCCACATCCTCTCCAGCACCTGTTGTTTCCTGACTTTTTAATGATCGCCATTCTAACTGGTGTGAGATGGTATCTCATTGTGGTTTTGATTTGCATTTCTTTGATGGCCAGTGATGATGAGCATTTTTTCATGTGTTTTTTGGCTGCATAAATATCTTCTTTTGAGAAGTAACTGTTCATGTCCTTCGCCCACTTTTTGATGGGGTTGTTTGTTTTTTTCTTGTCAATTTGTTTGAGTTCATTGTAGATTCTGAATATTAGCCCTTTGTCAGATGAGTAGGTTGCGAAAATTTTCTCCCATTTTGTAGGTTGCCTGTTCACTCTGATGGTAGTTTCTTTTGCTGTGCAGAAGCTCTTTAGTTTAATTAGATCCCATTTGTCAATTTTGGCTTTTGTTGCCATTGCTTTTGGTGTTTTAGACATGAAGTCCTTGCCCATGCCTATGTCCTGAATGGTAATGCCTAGGTTTTCTTCTAGGGTTTTTATGGTTTTAGGTCTAACGTTTAAATCTTTAATCCATCTTGAATTGATTTTTGTATAAGGTGTAAGGAAGGGATCCAGTTTCAGCTTTCTACATATGGCTAGCCAGTTTTCCCAGCACCATTTATTAAATAGGGAATCCTTTCCCCATTGCTTGTTTTTCTCAGGTTTGTCAAAGATCAGATAGTTGTAGATATGTGGTGTTATTTCTGAGGGCTCTGTTCTGTTCCATTGATCTATATCTCTGTTTTGGTACCAGTACCATGCTGTTTTGGTTACTGTAGCCTTGTAGTATAGTTTGAAGTCAGGTAGTGTGATGCCTCCAGCTTTGTTCTTTTGGCTTAGGATTGACTTGGTGATGCAGGCTCTTTTTTGGTTCCATATGAACTTTAAAGTAGTTTTTTCCAATTCTGTGAAGAAAGTCATTGGTAGCTTTACGGGGATGGCATTGAATCTATAAATTACCTTGGGCAGTATGGCCATTTTCACGATATTGATTCTTCCTACCCATGAGCATGGAATGTTCTTCCATTTGTTTGTATCCTCTTTTATTTCCTTGAGCAGTGGTTTGTAGTTCTCCTTGAAGAGGTCCTTCACATCCCTTGTAAGTTGGATTCCTAGGTATTTTATTCTCTTTGAAGCAATTGTGAATGGGAGTTCACTCATGATTTGGCTCTCTGTTTGTCTGTTGTTGGTGTATAAGAATGCTTGTGATTTTTGTACATTGATTTTGTATCCTGAGACTTTGCTGAAGTTGCTTATCAGCTTAAGGAGATTTTGGACTGAAACAATGGGGTTTTCTAGATATACAATCATGTCGTCTGCAAACAGGGACAATTTGACTTCCTCTTTTCCTAATTGAATACTCTTTATTTCCTTCTCCTGCCTAATTGCCCTGGCCAGAACTTCCAACACTATGTTGAATAGGAGTGGTGAGAGAGGGCATCCCTGTCTTGTGCCAGTTTTCAAAGGGAATGCTTCCAGTTTTTGCCCATTCAGTATGATATTGGCTGTGGGTTTGTCATAGATAGCTCTTATTATTTTGAGATATGTCCCATCAATACCTAATTTATTGAGAGTTTTTAGCATGAAGAGTTGTTGAATTTTGTCAAAGGCTTTTTCTGCATCTATTGAGATAATCATGTGGTTTTTGTCTTTGGCTCTGTTTATATGCTGGATTACATTTATTGATTTGTGTATATTGAACCAGCCTTGCATCCCAGGGATGAAGCCCACCTGATCATGGTGGATAAGCTTTTTGATGTGCTGCTGGATTCGTTTTGCCAGTATTTTATTGAGGATTTTTGCATCAATGTTCATCAAGGATATTGGTCTAAAATTCTCTTTTTTGGTTGTGTCTCTGCCCGGCTTTGGTATCAGAATGATGCTGGCCTCATAAAATGAGTTAGGGAGGATTCCCTCTTTTTCTATTGATTGGAATAGTTTCAGAAGGAATGGTACCAGTTCCTCCTTGTACCTCTGGTAGAATTCGGCTGTGAATCCATCTGGTCCCGGACTCTTTTTGGTTTGTAAACTATTGATTATTGCCACAATTTCAGCTCCTGTTATTGGTCTATTCAGAGAGTCAACTTCTTCCTGGTTTAGTCTTGGGAGGGTGTATGTGTCGAGGAATTTATCCATTTCTTCTAGATTTTCTAGTTTATTTGCGTAGAGGTGTTTGTAGTGTTCTCTGATGGTAGTTTGTATTTCTGTGGGATCAGTGGTGATATCCCCTTTATCATTTTTTATTGTGTCTATTTGATTCTTCTCTCTTTTTTTCTTTATTAGTCTTGCTAGCGGTCTATCAATTTTGTTGATCCTTTCAAAAAACCAGCTCCTGGATTCATTGATATTTTGAAGGGTTTTTTGTGTCTCTATTTCCTTCAGTTCTGCTCTGATTTTAGTTATTTCTTGCCTTCTGCTAGCTTTTGAATGTGTTTGCTCTTGCTTTTCTAGTTCTTTTAATTGTGATGTTAGAGTGTCAATTTTGGATCTTTTCCTGCTTTCTCTTGTGGGCATTTAGTGCTATAACTTTCCCTCTACACACTACTTTGAATGCGTCCCAGAGATTCTGGTATGTTGTGTCTTTGTTCTCGTTGGTTTCAAAGAACATCTTCATTTCTGCCTTCATTTCGTTATGTATCCAGTAGTCATTCAGAAACCCATCTCACACAAAATAACCTATTTCTTTCTATCATTTTTCTTTAATTTTATTTTTTGTCAGCCTTTATCTGTTTTAATGCTGTAGGACCTTTATGACTTTTATTATATCTATTAAGCAACTCAGTCCTATTTCCTTGCAGTGGAATATTTTTACCTTCTCCAAAGTTTGCAAAGCTTAATAAAAAAAGAAAAGTGAGTTGTTGTTTTATGTGACCACAATTGATTGCTAATAATAACTGTTATTAATATTGATTCTTATATTTTCATTTGCATATATTTTGTCATTTGCATATATTATCATTTTTAGCGATTCACTACATAAGCAATCAGCAAGTGCTTGACAAAGGAATGAATGAAATGATGAAGGACAACAGTTCAGAATAGCACTGCAATTATTACCTCAATTCTACAGATGGATGAACATCCATAAAGAAAATAAGAACACATGCATGTGTCTTACATGGCTTTCAGTTTAACTTTCATTACTTTATGGTCATATTTTGTAAGGTGCTCAGTGTCTACTGAAAGTTAGTGGATTACTCGAGACTGACGTCATTGTCTCCTGATTTTCAATTCCAGATTTTATTTTGCTTTGTTCTATTTAACCTCAGTAGGCAACATTGTCACTTGGGAAGCTGATTTGGGAAATACAAAGAAAACTTTCTTATTTCATTGGTTCCCCAATTAATAAATATTTACTGATTATTTTCTATTTGAAAATCACTATACTCAGCCCATGGAGAATACAAAATTAAGTAGACATAAAACCCTACTTAATATGTATGTATTTATGAAAATAGAAAATCTAACACTGCAGCCATCAAGGTTTACATAAAATTTCTTAAAAAGACTACATTGCAGAGATAGCCTCTAACAGCGCAGGTGTGGGGTGGCAGAGCAAAGAGGACTGAAAAATAGCATAGGGAATCCTTAGTGAGTTTGCTTGATGATTATGAGTATATATGGGCATATATATATCTTGGTGCACTGGATATTCTGTTCAAACACAGACTTTGTTTCGATATCCTTTGATGGTAGGCTGCTTTTAGAGAAGTGCCTAATGTATTACGTGTGCCCATCAAACTTGTTTATTCCTTCTACCCACTTCCTGTGATGCAAGTATCACAGGAAGAAGGAATAAACAAGTTTGATGGGCACAGGTAATACATTACACACTTATTCACAAAGGCTGGGCAGAGACCTTGGGAAGTGTAGCAAAAACTTCTTAAAATAAAAACATGACAGCTTACATTTGAAGTTAATAAACATCAACTATACCAACCCTGTTCATTCATTTGAGTTCAATGCAGGGAGACTTGACCACTTATCTTAACCTTTTGTACAAAGAAGAAACAACTGGAATATTACCCAAAAATGTTTATATTTGAAATATCATTGAAATTAATTCTGTAGGGAAAATAGTCTGTCAGTGCACTGGCAAGGGCAAGCCCTCTATAAATGGGACTGTCAATACTCTGCCTTCAGCATACATCACTAAGTGTGACATTTGAATTAAACTTCGTAAAAAATTAATAACAGGGTATTCAAAGAGGCTTTGTACTGTGAATCTAAAAAGCTTTCAAGAACACTGCACAATTATAGCCTTTTTATAATTTATATTATCAAACACACTTTAAACTATCCTAAAATATTATTAGCATATTAGTTATTGCTCCAAGCTTGTAAAGGATTGCACCACAGACCTTTTGTATAGCTATTTATCCTTCTACTTTGTTATCCATATACAAGTTGAAAGCCAAAATGCTTTCAAGCATTATCAAATACCCATGCATTTACTTCCCTCAAAAATAAGGCAAAATGGTGAAATAATACAGAAGTGTAATGACAAAATTTAAAAATGGAGGATAGAGTAGTTTCTCATGTGCAAAACCATCTTTAATTAAAACATGTATTTTAAAATAAACTCTTTACTTTTGAATAATTTTAGATTTACAGAAAAGTTGCAAAGATAATGCAGAGAAATCCTTCAGCTAGTTTCTCTTCCTGTTAGCATCTTACATAACCACATTATATTTATCCAAATTAAGAAATTAATATTGGCACATTACTATTGACTAAACTAAAGACATTATATGTATTTCAGCAGTTTTCCAACTAACATGTTTTCTCTGTTCCAGGATCCATTCAGGGGACCACATTGTCCTTCCTTTAATGTCTCTTTAGTCTTCTCTGATTAGTTACAATTCCTCAGATACCATTTTTTTGTTTTTCATAGCCTTAACAGTTTTGAAGAGTCAAGCAGGTTTCCTTGTTTTTTGAGCTGGGCAGTTTGAAGAGTCACCTTTGTAGAAGGTGCCTCAATTTGATTGTCTGGTGTCTTTCTTGTGAATGGACTGGGCTGATGATATTTTGGGGAAGAATACCACAGAGGTGAAGTGTCCTTCTTTTTACACCATATTTTGGGATATGTGATACCGTTGGTGATGCTACACTAGTCACTTGGTTACATTTCTTCAATTCCCTTAGCAAATTTCTGAGAATATGGTAAAAATTACTAAAAAAATAGAAGTTATCGCATGCATTTTTCAATCATAAATTACCCATAAGATAATCCAAAGTATGAGTTATTTTATAAGATGGAATAATAAGAATTCATTGGTTAAATGATTTGATATTTTACCTCATTTTATGTTCTTTTTGTGAAAACATTGTCTAAACTAAAACTGTGATTTAAATAATTGTTTATAGAATTCAGTAAAATTAATAATCTGCAAGATTTTTGACTAATTCTAATATCATACCAAAGACATACTGTGAGCTAACTGGTCTCAATGATAACACATGTAACTAATGATGGCTTTCTTATTTCAGTATCTTGATAGGTAACAACTGTTCATAAACGTTGAATTGCAGCTGTTCAAATATACAGTACCATTCCCTTACCATGTACTAAAACAAAAATCAGTGAGAAGGCTTCCAGAAGCTTTGTAATTGTTGATCTATTTGATAATTAAGATACTAAAGTTCTAAAAATATTACTATAATGCATTTTAGTGCTTCATTAAGTGAATTATTTGTGTGCTGGATGGAAGTAAGAGAATTGGTCAACATATTCTGCTTTGTTCAGGTCACATCTAAAATATCAGGTGTTGGCTTTAGATCATTATGAGAGGAAAAGATAAAGTAATTTTCAAACCTGTTTAATTTACACTCTCCTTTTTCTAAAAACATTCCCACTTTCAAACCATAGGTGAAGATCTGCTGTCAAGTTCATGCAATGTGATCTCAACTAATTGCTTGAGTCAGTAGGCATCAATCCACAGTCTAGACTAAGATAATTTATATGCTTGCTTCATCTCCACCCCCACCACAAAATAATTAGTACACAAAGACTAGTCCATTTATTGGTCACTTCAACAAGGAAGTGATGGAAAGTGGAGTCTGAGTTAACCATATTGGTCCATGAGTAAGAGGACCAGAGAAACCAGTTCTTCAGAGAGAAAGGAGATGGAATCCAATCCACTGCAAGAATCAGAAGTAAGAAAAATACCAGAAGTGAGAAAAAGACAGACAGCACAGATATCTCTCTTCCTGGTGACTTTTACTTCCTCTCAAAAATCTCTGGGGGAACTTGTCTGCCCTTCCCAAGGAGTCTTAGATATATCCCTGAAATTTTTCTAAAACTCTAACCTTTCTTATTTAAATTAATTAGATTTTGTTCTATTATTTGCTACAAAAATGCTGTCTACACAGAGGAAAAAAGCAGACCAATTTATTTATTGAATAAAGAATGGAATGTATATAAATCAGAAGCAAGAAGAGGGAAGAGATTGTGATAAATGTACTCTAATGGCTAAAAGGCTTTCATATGTTGTTTCAGACTTGGAAAAAAAATTGAAACAAGGGATGGAAGTCCTAGTTAGATAAATTCAATCTTAACATAATATAAAAATATGCAAATAATTTTCAAAAAATACAGTAATTTAAAAATGCAAAAGGATTCCTTTTTATCCTCAGATTTGTTCCTCACTAGGAGTCATCCAGAAAAGTCTGCATGCAGCCACCTGCGAGTATTTTACATTGAGTAAGAAGCTTGCCTAGGTGCCCTCTAAGTATGCTGTAATTGTAAGTGATAATAAAATGATTAAACTGTTTTGGTGGGCATTTCTGAAGGATGTTTACTGACGTTGTGGAAGAAATATCATGGTACTGTAAAAATGAGAGACCTATTTTACAAGTAAGAACTGACAAGTAAGAAAAGATTCTTCCTTCTGAAAGCATACCTTCCATTACAGCTGCACAGTGGAAACATATTAATTAGAGCAAAGATTGCTCATACTAAAACACTGAGGCCAGAGAGTCAGAGCTGAAACAGTGGAGTCATTTCTGGTGTCAACAAGTAAATCTTTTGTTCCATAAATCTGTCCTTAAGCAACCTAAGAATTATCTGATATAGTAATAACAGCTATGAAGAATGAAATATTTATAGATCAAGATCTTTGTGAAACCTCTTACCCCTCCCCAGAGGAGAATCTGCAGACTCTTCACTTGGCCATTTTGATTAAGAATTGTCATTAATGTCTTGGTGTAAAATACCTGGATGCTGATATTAAAGTCTATTGGGTATTCTTCATAGCTTGATCTACTTAGTATGTATTATAAAACCTATATAGCTTTTCTTGCATAAAATGGGTTTTATACATCTAATTAAGTCTTCACAGAATTCTAAATCAATGAGCCATTGTAAATTTTGTTTTAAATATTATCTAAGTTTTCTGGACCTTACCTATCTGCTAAATTCAATATGTGGTTTCCAAGGGTGGCCTAATCATGTCAGCATCCTTGTGGGCTTTTGGTTCTGTCTGATGTAAATCAAAAGACAATTCCTAAAAAAATATATGAGTTAAGCCAAATTATTAAACTAATGGGTTACAAGGAGGAGGTTAACACTAAAGATAGCATTTCCAAGGCTATTTCACTTAGAAATGCTGATTTCTTCCTTAGGCAACTCTTCTTTTGAGAACTGGTTCTTGAATGAAATTCTACTGTAGTAGGCTCATTTTTTTGTTTTGTTTTGTTTAATTTGTTCCTGATAATATTAACCCCACTTTCTCCAACTTCCTGATAAAACATGTTACACATCTCATAGACACTTGACTTCACTAAGTTATGACAGATTTGATATGACTGTTAGTAATTTATTGCTTATATATTATAATAGAGGTGTTTTATTCAATTTTCTGAAAAAAATAGATAAGTTTGGTGCTGTAAAAGAGTTAGAGAGTGTCAGTGGCTCCCTAAATCACTGATTCAAAAAATCAGAGAATAAGAGACCATTTTTATGAGTGTGATGCATAGGTATATCACCAGATTACATTTAAACTGACCCAAGAACTCCCACTGATCCTCGTGAGGTCCCTAACTTACAGCCTTAACTTTTCGCCTTTTCACTACTCAAAGTCTCTGTGAATTTCAAAATCCCAGCTAACTGCTTTTCTTTCTAACCCAAATTGTATTGCTTCAGGCACTCTGTGAGAATGCTGAATAACAAAAATTGTGTGTCACAAGAAACAAGTAATTATTTAGTTCCCAACTTGCTCTAGGCTATAGTTCAGGCACAAAGTTTTAGAATAGCCTTTGCAAGGTGCATACAGACTTCAGCTCTCAAAATCTAATAGTGATTGAACTCACACTTACTAACTTTCAATTGATATTGATGCTTTATGTCATCAGTTTTTAAGTATTTGTTTGTAAATATTTATAATTATTGCTTTTTAATAAAAAACCACATTGACCATTTAGTATGTCATTCTTTTTCAGGCTTCTTTTTTTTTTTTTTTTTTTTTTTTTTTTTTTTTTTTGAGACAGAGTCTCACTCAGTCGCCCAGGATGGAATGCAATGGTGTGATCTCGGCTCACTGCAACCTCCGCTTCCTGGGTTCAAGCAATTCTCCTGCCTCAGCTTCCTGTGTAGCTGGGATTACAGGCATGCGCCACCATGTCCGGCTAAATTTGTATTTTTAGTAGAGACGGGGCTTCTCCATGTTAGTCAGGCTGGTCTCAAACTCCTTAGCTCGGGTGATCCACCCACTTTGGCCTCACAAAGTGCTGGGATTACAGGTGTGAGCCACTGTGCCTGGCCCAGGCTTACTTTTTAACACATTTATTTACATAAAAAAATAGTTTGTTTCATAACCTTGACTTGACGTCCTATAATTTACACTATATTTACACTTCTTTCAAAATTTCCATCTTCACAACATGTTGTATTATAGGACAATGTGAATAAGAGAAACCAAGTCTGAATGTCTCCTAAACAGCCTATGAGGAGAGTCTTTAGAGCAGAATACATTTTTCTTTTATATTTTCTCAGAATCTGGTTGAAGTCCTACTACACGGTAGGCTTTTATTAAGAATCTTATTAATGAATATCAAATGAATCATATCTATTGCCATTTTATTTTATACATGTAAATGATCAGAAGTGTCCATTTTTTGTGGATTTTTGAATCTTCTTTCAACTCTCAACTCTTGTTAGAACTGTATCTTAAAATTTGATTGCTCTTACACATTAGGAGTGAAAAAAATAGTAGCATTAACACCAAAATGGAAATGAGTCTTTAACTGGGAAAATGACAAAGCTTTATAATTGTTCTGAAGTGAAACAATGAAAAGAAAGCTGACAGAAGCCAACAAGGAGAGGGCAGATGAAACAAGTATGCCATAGCCTGGACTCCAGCAGTTTCTGTCCAGAAAGCTGCTGAGTCTCTAATTGTGAAAACAAAAGCCAAAATGTCTTCATAGCCTGAAAGAGTGGCCTTTTGTCACCCTGTTTTTAGAACAACTGTGGTAGTTGCTGCTTGTGCAGACTTCCTACTAGTAACCAAAGATTGGTAAGTTCCATGAATATACCTGGATTTTCCAATTTGAATAACTGGCATATCTTGACCATTGGGGCATTATTGCAGCCAGCGCGATCTCTTCTTTAGGCATCGCCACATAAGAAGAGTGGGGTGGCAATATCTTTTACCTAAAATCATTGACACCTTTTTACTACTTTATTAGCTCAATATGTTACCCAGAAATGATTCCACTGGTTTGTATTTGTGGGTATAATACAACTTAACTTACTTTATTAATTATCTTTACTCCCTTCTTGAGTTTTTTGAGTCAGTGATTGTTTTGCAGAATGTTGACAGTTGATTTCTCCAGAAACCCACCAGAAAAACCTGTTGATCAAGAAAGAGTATATTAGACCCACTGAAGCAATGGAGAATGCTGTTTTGACAAAATTTAAGAGGATAAATTAAAAAAGAGAATTTACAGGGTACTGGAGCCTTGACTGGATGATTTTTTTTTCAACTTTTATTTTAGAATCAAGGAAAACATGTGGATTTGTTACAAAGGTATATTGCATGACGCTGTGGTTTGGAGTATAAATGAATCCATCACCCAGGTAGTGAGCATAGTATCAATAACAACAGGTAGTTTTTCAACCCTTTCCCCCCTCCCCCTCCTTCTGTTCTCCAGTGTCTATTGTTCCTATTTTTATGTCTGTGTGTACCCAATGTTTAGCTCCCACTTATAAGTGAGAACATGCAGTATTTGTTTCTCTGTTTCTGCATTAGTTTGCTTAAGATAATGGCTTCCAGCTGCATTCATGTTGCTGCAAAGGACATGATTTCGTTCTAGGCAAGTTTTGGAAGATAGAGTAATCAACTGTCCTGGTTTGCCTGGGGCTAAAGGTTTTCCCAGGATGTGGAACTTATAGTGCTAAAACTTAAGTCTTGAGAAAACCAGGACAGTTTTCCACTCTAGATTGGGAACGGGCAGAGGTTATGAAATAGCATAAGAAATTTGGACTGGTGGTCATTGAAATGAGTTTTGATACCCCAAGCTAATGGTTTTCATAAATAAGCTGGTGAGTGGGCTTAGTTTCATTTGCAGAAGCAGGTGTGTTCTAGAGTAGGGAGCTGTTATTTTTGCTTGCTCTCCATATTGATTTAAATAGGACCAAAAAAGTATGCCTAGTCACCATATTATTAAAATGAGAGTGCGGAAATTATGTTGATTTCCATTCTAAAGATTGAATATAATCTATTTGAATGTGACTAGATTCTGGGTTTAGTTTTGTTACTTAAACATTTTGCAGAAGCCAACATTTTAAATTCTACTTTCAATGTCCTTGCATCTTAAAACCTAAGTTAGTTAATACTACAGTCATCCTCAAAAGAAAAATTATATCTTGGTTGTAGAGATATTCCTATGAATGAATCATTCGTCTAAACTACAATGAAAAGAGAAAATTTTGCTATATACAAAAAACTAAAAATCTCCATTGTGATCTAACCTGCATTATGATGGAAGTAGGAGACAAAAGGGAAAAAAGCAATATGTCTAAATCCCTAATATGTGCAAACATTGCTCTTGAAATACTTGTAAATGAATTATGTTAGGGAGTCATTATTGTGTCTACTTTAAATATGAGGAAACGAAAACTCAGAGAACTAAAGTAATTTACCGAAGTCCACCAGACAGTGAAAGGACAGTTCCTGGATTCTAGAATAGTCCTGTCTGAATCAAAGGCTTTACTATTTCCAAAGCACATCACTGTAATAATGTGATTGGCCACTCTTCCTGCATTCCAACTCTCCCTTCTCTTTATACCACCGCAAAGATAAGCCGAAAAGTTACAGCAGGAACATACATTTAAAACAACCTTATCTAGTTGCTGTCATATGTAAACTAAATCTAAAATTTGCAGGTAAATTTGAACTTATAATCTGGAGATTACCAGAGTAGTATAAGGCTAAGACAAATTTTGATTGTATACAAATAAAAACCTGTAGCTTTTGGATACTCATAAAATAAAGCAATTTATTTTTTCATAAAATCAAAATAGAACTAAACAGCTATGCAACAGTAACCTTTAAGAAGTAAATAGAAAATGTGTTCTACAGCCTTTCTCTTGTTCTAAAGGAAGATGTAGATTTAGATTAGAGTTCCTGAAAAAGAATGGCCAGAATTAGAATGAAATTTAGGAGATAGTGCCAATAAAGTCAAGACAGTGAAGATTCAAGAAGAGTTGCAGTAAGTGAAGAACTCAAAATCATACACTGGTTTTTGTAATAGAGTCTAAAGTTGTGCCATATATCTGAATCTGAAAGAAAGGATATTAGAATGGAGATACAAAATATTTGAAAATGGAGGAGTCATGCAGTTGTAGTTCAGACTTGATGGGTGTACACTCACATCTAGTAGTGTGCTGAAGAGTGAGGGAGTGGAGAGAAATGGCAAAGATTTAGCACATTCTTGATGAGGAATGGGATTACAAACAAGACAAGGATTGTTTCTTAGAATCAAGGATCCCCTTACAACTGACTACAATTTATCTGTCACTTATATGCATGATTGTGTGATTTTCTTTTGCTGTGCTTGATAGTTTGAGCAAAAGACTGGAGGAGGTGTCATGAGATCCTTGGGGTGTCACTTTGCCATCCAGAAACCTCTATAGCCAGTGGCACCTTTTGCCAGAGTTTTGCTAGGGGCTGCTGGGCTCATTCGGCCCACTCGGCCTGACAGGCTGCACTCAGCTTGCTCTACAGGCCCAGATCCCACACCTGCCAAGGGCTAGCCAGGTGCAGAGTGGTGAGGGATGCGTGAGCAGGCGAGCATGGGGTCTGGCCACTGCACACAGCCAGGCATGCAAGCTGCAGTGGCTGGACCAGGAGTACTACAAGCGGCTTCCACTGTGGGCACAGTGGAATGGGGTGGCACCTGGAAGCTTGGAGATTCCAGGAACTGCAGAGTCCCAAAGAGGGTGTCACAGCCCTGGCTTAGGGAGCTCCTAGGTCTGGGGTCCCCAGAGGGCCAAAGCTACTCTCTCCTCATCACCTGCAATGTGTCAAGTGGGGTGGGAAGGGGCATGTTTCAGCTGTTTGTGTTATAGCTCTTTCAGTCCTGCCATTTGGAGGGTCCTGAGCTCTTGTCCTGCGTCCAGCATGAATGAGATACGTGGACAATGTGGACAACTGGAGGGTGCTTTATTGAGTAACAGTACAGCTCCCAGGCGACCAGAAGTAGGTAGCTCCTTTCCACAGGCAGGTCGTCCCAACATCTGTGCAGCCCTCAGCAGAGAGGAAACCCAGAGTGGGTAGCTCCTATCTACAGGCAGGCCGCAGGCTGTCCCAGTGAGTGTACAGTTCTCAGCAGAGAGGAGACACAGAGTGCGTAGCTTCTCTCCGCAGGCAGGTAGTCCCATCATTTGCCTGAGTCTGGCTGAGTCCGGGGGTTTTTATGGGCTTCAGAGGGGATGAAGTGCATGCTGATTGGATTGGTGGCCATGGGCTGGCCCAGAAAAAGCATTCCTAATTTTGCACTCCAGTCTGTGGGACTGGCAGCCTGGCCCCCAGGCTTCAGGCTGTCCCTGGCTTGAAGGTGGAGTTTAACCAGGGACCTGCTCCTTTCGGCCCAGGAGTCCGTCTGTCTCCTGCCGCTGTTCATGGCACCCAGGCGGTTTATGCTGAGGGGTGCCTGCAGGCTCACACCAAGCCGCCCTCAGCCCCCTACTCAGTCTCCCTCCCATACTTGGTGTTCAAAGTCCAGACGGGGCTGAAGAGGCAGGGAGCAGGCATGTCAGTGCCACCCTGAGCATGTGTACACCCAGCCAGGTTGTGACAATGCCTAGACTCGGCCATAACTTTGCTCTGAAATCAGAGCAAGGGTGCTGACAGCAAGGAGAGGCCAGGCAGCAGGAGAAGCACTTCTGAGCCTGTTGGGGGCAGGAGAGCTTCCCAGGCCCGCAGAGCGCAGGGATGCCTGTGTCCGCAGCCACAGATGGGTGGCTGCGGCTGTGTCCAGAAGCACAAGGCTCCTGCCCCAACAACTCACAATGGGATGGGGATCCTGCCTGATCCTGGCTCCTGCTGGCTCTGCAGAGCACGCAGCCCTGGCTACACTTCTCTGCTGTAGCTGGCGCCTTGGCAGTAGCCACCCCAGACGGGCCACTGCTGCCATTAGAGACAGCTTATGGGACTGGGTCAGTTTTGCCTTACGACTATGTACTGTCTAGGAAGGGGCATGTAATAGTAAAGAGTGTTTGGCAAGGAGTGGTTCATCTTATTGGTGTCAGTAAAATATGTAAAACAGAGAGAATAACCAAGAGATTAGGAGAAAATAGAGAAAGGATAGGAATAGTGGTCAACATGATATAAAATGTAGAGTAAAATTTGGGTCACAAGAGAGCTGGAAAGATAGGAAGTGATAAAAATAATGAGATCTTGGAATGTAGGCAAGATATTGGAATAAGGTTTCCTCATATGATGTGATTATGTATTTATTTATTTAATAACCACTTAGTTAAGTACCTAATATGTACCAGATACTTTATTGTTGAAGACACAGTGTTTAACCCCAGAGAAACTGTCCCCCACCTCAAGGAGCTTATTCTGCAGGGTATTCTGTGTAAGAACCAGAATGAGGTAATAACCAGCGTGCAGCTGTATGTGTGAGTAGCTACAATAGTGAGCTTGAGAGTGGACATTGTATATGTTATTCCATACACACAGCAGCAATAGGGAATAGAGGGGAGTTGAGCCAGCATCCAAAATATAAGGTGTATCCAGGACAGGAATATAGAAGGGTGTTGTGCTGTTTAGTCCATTAATGGGATCTCAGATATCTAAAAATGTTAGCGTGAGGCAAAGAAGCAGCAGTGTTAAGCAGCAGTGTTAAGCAAGAAGTCTCAAAAGAAGCAGTAGTGTTAAGCAAGAAGTCTACCCATCTAGTTTCAACCTGACCCCTAGGTAACTAGGGTGTAGAAGGTTGAGAAGCCACTTCTGCAGAAAACTGCAGAGTAAGTAATGTTCAGTGAAGGCAAAGGAGAGCATGAAACATTCAGTGACATGAATAAAAATGGCAGAAAAGGGAAGATAGACAGCATAACTAGAGAAAGACAATGTCCTCTCTCCTCCAAAAATGGAGAGGTGCTGGATTTTTTCCCAGTATATTATGTTTTTGGTATTAAACTATATGAGTATATCTAACTGACTCAGTTATGTGAGTCACAACTGAATTGACAAAAGCTGAATTGTCTTCTCTGCAAGAGAGATTTTTCTTCTTAAATTAAGAAATATGTCGTATATCTCTATCAAAATTTCTGTCAAGCACATTGTTAGCATTTAACAAGTGAAAATACAATTAAAGGGATCTACACTTTTGGAGCCTAGCTTATATTTAAAACTTTGTGCAAAAACATAACTATTTTAGGTATAACAAAATATGCCTTTGACCTTTTGAATATTTTATTATGTCCTTGTCCTTTTCAAAATGACAACCCATTTTTAACTCCAGAAGTTTGCTGGAGCAGAGCTATAATCTTGTGTAATACACCCCACCCTTGTCAGGACAAGCTTAGAAAACATTGTTTCTTCTGACCAGCAAGGCACTATAGTGACCGATTAAAATTAAAATACCATGACAATTTGTCTCTAGTTTAGGCCACCTCCCAAAATAATTTTAGGACAACAAGGAGTTTAATCTACATGGTTTTTACTTTTCTAGGTATTTTTTCTAAAACAAAACTGTTTTGTTAAGGGGTGCTACAGACTGAGTGTTTATTCCCCTCCCTCCAAATTCATGTGTTGAAACCTGGACCCAAATATGATGAAAAGTGAACATGCAGCCTTTGGAAAGTGATTAGGTTGTGAGGGTGGAGCCCTCATGAATGGGATTAGTAACCTTATAAAATAAACTCCAGGCCGGGCACTGTGGCTCAAGCCTGTAATCCCAGCACTTTGGGAGGCTGAGGCGGTGGATCATGAGGTCAGGAGATCGAGACCAGCCTGGCCAATATGGTGAAACCCTGTCTCTACTAAAAATACAAAAATGAGCTGGGCCTGGTGGTGTGCACCTGTAGTCCTAGCTGCTTGGGAGGCTGAGGTAGGAGAATCGCTTGAACCCGGGAGCCGGAGGTTGCAGTGAGCCAAGATCACGCCACTGCACTCCAGCCAGGGTGACAGAGCAAGACTCCATCTCAAAAATAAATAAATAAATAAAATAAAAATAAACTCCAGAGAGTTCATTTATGTGTTCTGTCATGTGAGATTACATTGACAAGGTGGCTTTCTGTGAGCAAGGAAGCAGACCCTCACCTGACCCAAATCTGCCAGTTCCTTGATCATGGACTTCCCAGTCTCCAGAATTGTGAGAAATGAACATCTGTTGTTGATAAGCTACCCAGTCTGTGTTATTCTGTCACTGCAACCTGAATGGACGAAGGGGAAATAAATGCAAGTATAAATGGAAAAACTCTGGAGATTATTTTAAATTAATTACAATCACATTTCTTTTTAATTAATAAAATAGATTCCTTTTTTAAAAGTTGTGTTTAAAATTCATTTTAACTGCAATGAATCTTTGCCATTAATTAGCAGCTGGGCATAGTGGTTAGGAGGACATATCTGGAGACACGCTGCCGTGTGTTACAACCTCAGCTTCATTTTTTTTTTTAACTTGCTGTGTACCTTATTCAACATCCTTATTTGCGGTTTCCTTCCCTGGTAAAACTATTCAACATCTCTATCCCCAGTTTCCCTCGCTATTAAATCATGGTACCAGCCTCCTTGATCTCTTGCGAGGTTTTAATGATTCATTTTTAATAAACCACTCAGCGCATCACTTGGTACCTACTGAGAGCTGTAACAATATTACTGTGCACACATACACACAAGTACGTGTGAATTTGTTATTAATATAGAAAGCAGTTTAAAACTTTAGGAATTGAAAGCACATATCTTTCAAAAAAGTGCGTAATACTATATAAACCGAAGTATACATAAGAAAATAAAGAAAGGAGCCAACTCCTGGCTGCTTAGCATGTGTGAATCATATGTTATATTGTTTAATCCTTGGAGCCATCTTTTAATTACAACTATCTCATTTAAGAAATTAGAAAACTGAGGTCGTTTTAAATATTTTTCGCAAGGTCACATGCTGGGCAGTGGCCTGGATAGAATTCAAATCATCACATGGAAGATAGCAAAATGTACGCTGTTTGCACTTTTGCACATTAACAAGCCTTAGTTGTATAAAATGAGCCATTTACAAATGGTATTTATGGAACCTCAATTAGGTAAAGTATCACAGGGTTTCTTGTTCATTTTTTATTTCATTCCAGCATTTTTACAATACTGAAGATATTCACAAACAGGAAACGTTTATTTCCTATTCTCCCATTAACCTACTAACAGAACTACATTCTTCAGTTTTTCCCTTTTATTTTCCCCTAGATCTGTAGTTCTAGCCAGGTCAGGGCCAGAGGGATATAATGGAAACAGCTTGCTTTCCTGCTTCAGAGTCACCTTCAGGGTGAAGTAGACATATGCTTGCATAAATCACTGGTTGCTAAATAAATTGGATACATTGAAAGAAATTCATCTTACCAAGAGGTAGAGAATATTTCTCTTCCCTGTGAACCTGGGGTTGGTCTTGTGACTAGGTGTGACCAATAGAGTATTAGCAAACATGACATGGGCAGAGGAGTAAAAAGTGCCTGTGGATTGGCTTTTCTCCTCTTTTGGGGCTGAGATGATTTCTGCTACCATGTGACTAAGTCTGGACTAGCCTTCTGAGGGTTGAGAGACCACAGGAAGAGAGATCAGCCATCCTGGCCATCTCAGCTGAAATCCCATGGACCAAGTAAAATATGTGGAAAACAAGACATGAGTCAGCCATTCTAGACCAAGCCAGCACAGAATGGAAGAAATGCCAAGTCGACTCACAGAATTGTAAGAAATAATAATGGTTTGCTGTTTTAGCCACTAAGTTTTGGGCTGGTTTGCCTTCTGCCAAAGGCTTTATGAGAGATACAATAGACATGTACCAGAGACTTTGAAAAGCACTTTGGGGAGTTCAAAGATGAGTAGGCCTTAAAAAGTGTAATTGGAATGTTTGTAACACCAAGAAATGATAAATGCATAAGATGATGGATACCTCATTTACCCTAATGTGATTATTATGCATTATATGCCTGTATCAAAACATTTCATGCACCACATAAATATATACACCTACTATGTACCCATAAAAATTAAAAGAATAGAATTGTTGATAAGATCATAAAAAAGATAGGTCCTTGTCACTATCTTGTCACTAGCTTAAAGCAGGTTATAGTTGAGACAGAAGGTGAAGATACAAATACATTATAAAACATCTCATAAAAACAAATGATCAAATAACATTGCATCCAAATACTAGAAAAGGTATCACAGTAAAAATCCTAAAATTCATTTGGGAGTTAGGGAGCTATGGAAAACCATTCTTCACACCAATATCAAAATCAAAAGAAGGAAAGAAGAATGTTTTCAAAGAATTTTAAAAATAAATTTTGGAGACATAAATAACCTTAGCCTAACTCTCACACTTTGTGGATGAGAAAACAGAAAATTAGGATAGTCATGGCCATGAGGGACCCTCACCCATCTAACCACTTAGATTTCTGCATGTGACAGCATGCCACCCCTCCTGGATCTAATCATAAGCGTTACATCTGATGGCTGCCTTTGGATGAAAAAGGAGATCTTTCTCTTTTTTCCTACTCCTGATTTCTTGAAAGCACAATTAATTCACTCCTTTATTCACTTATTTCTTCTTTACCTTTCATCCTATTCAAATTATTTACCGTGGATTACAAATTTTTACATAATCATCTGGTTCCTGCTCTCCTCAGCAACCTCATTTCTTATTACTCTTTCTGTTGGACATCAGAATAGTTGTATTACACTTGCTGTTTCCTTGGCCTGGTGCACACTCCAGGACCCGAACCTTTGACTGGCTACCCAGAGGATGATTTACCATGAAACTAATGGTCATTAAGATGCAGGACTCCACATATGCACAAACTTATTTCAAGGAATTGTTACATAATATTGAATTTATAATTCTATCCTCTTTTTCCTAAAGAGGACTCTAATAATTGATAAGGAAAGTATCTGACATTATTGCTCCTGCTGACCCCTTGGTGTCCCAGCCTAGGAAAGGCAAGAAGCTACAAGGTCAGTCATGGGCAGGGTCAGCTGTGAACACAGAAATGAAAGGTAGGAGATGTGAGACGGAAATTCAGCCTTTCGGCTGTGTCTTCTTGCTACAGCATTCTGGACACTTACTCTATGCTGTAAATCTACAACTATTTATTTTATTGTTCTGTAATGTTTTCAATTTTGAATAAAAATGTTTGGAGAGCAGTAAGTTTAATAAAACAAAAGCATTTCATTTAAAAAGAATACAGCATTTTTGTTTCTTAAGAATACAAATACTGTATGTTTTAATGTAAAATGTTTATGGACATTTGCCATCCACCAAGGGCACAGGAGTAATAACACCAACAATGTGAAAACCAGAAAACACCAATCAGCTTAAGAAGCTTAGCCATTTTAAAATTTATTAGCTATTTTAGTACTGTGATCAAAGACAATAATTTAACACATATAGCTACAAAACTTAATTTGCATATCACTCTAGAAACAAGACCTTTTATTTAGATTGATTGTTCTTCATCTATGTTAATTTTGCTCATTACAATTTCAGATTTTCTTACGTAAGTGCAAAGAATAAAGTGGTGACTATTAATGCATTAGCAAAAGAAGAATTGCTCAATGATGTTAGTTTTATGTTAATATCATCAGCTGCTGAAATAGAATTTAGTTAATCATAATAATGATTTATTTATGTTTTATTCAATTTATGGAAAAAGTAAAGCTTCTACAAGTTAATTCAGTCAAAAATGACATTATTGAGAAAGATGTTATCAATTCATTCAAAAGTTAAATGAATAAAATAGTATATTGGTACCAATTACATAAATGAAGTTTTTGGTGGTTCAGAGCATCATAGTAAAAAGCAATGTTCTTAGTAAGTGAAAGCACCTATAGAACAGAAAAGTATGTAAAATTGGTTGAGGCACACTCACAATTCACAGTGCACCTAAAACAAACTGAAACGCTTTGCCAATTTACATAGAAGCAAAAAATTAAAATGTACAAGTAACTATATATATATATAATAGTTGCTGTTTAAATATATAAATGCACATGTAATAATTCTAATAATGATTTAATTATATATGCATAGAGAGAAAGAATGAAGGAGAGAAAATGGACTTCAATTTATTTCCAATTTGTTGAATAGAAACAAATACTTCAGCGTAACAGTTGGTTCTCTTTTTGCTACCCATTTTCAGACAGACTTTAGAAATGCTGAGGCTTTGGAGAATAATTTTAACCTAAATGTTCAACAGTAGTATAGATCATTACTGGAAAAGAGTTTGTGTTCCTTTTTTAATCAGATAGAAATTTTAATAAAAGTATTCAAAAAATGGAGTAACAAAAATGCAACCTTTATCAAATTGAATAATTGAAAACAAAGCTTGCAGATAGAAATTGAAATTTATATCTGCAAAAGCAGGGCAAAATAAATAAATTAAACAATGAGAATTCAAATAATGTATAGGTTGAATTTTGAAGTCCTCTACCTGTGCTTTGAAATATCTCCACTTATGAGAAAAATATTTGATTAAACTCCTATCTATAGCTGTATAAATTAATATTGTGTTCTTGAGTAGATTCAAATTTAGAAAACTTATGATTTTTTTAACATCCAAATTTAGCAAAGACATGGAATCAACCTAAGGGCCCATCAATGGTAGAGTGGATAAAGAAAATGTGGTACATATATACCATGGAATACTATGCAGCCATAAAAAAAGGATGAGATCATGTCTTCTGCAGGAATATGGAGGGAGCTGGAGGCCATATCCTCAGCAAACTAAGACTGGAACAGAAAACCAAATGCTGCACATTCTCACTTATAAGTGGGAGCTAAATGATGAGAACACATGGGCACAAAGAGGGGAACAAAAGACACTGGAGCCTACTTGAGGGTGGAGGGTGAGAGGAGAGAGAAGATCAAGAAAAATGAAACTACTGGCTACTAGACCTAGTACTCAAGTGACTAAATAATCTATACAACAAACCCCCATGACATGAGTTTACCCATATAACAAACCTGCCTTGTATCCCTGAACCTAATAACAGTTAAATAAATAAATTTGATGAGACATCTTAAAAATAAATATTTTGGTGAGTTTTTCTTATCTATAATTTCATAAAACTAATTTATCTGGCAACACAATGTTTCAAAAATTACATAAAATTATTTTAATGCCTCCTTTCATTCTCAAAACTGTCCTGGTACAGATGATAAATTTATGGTCACCCTATATATAATGTCGTGGGAGGTTGCCTGATTGCTTCCCCTAGTGTGATGCAGTGATATTCTTCAAGGCACTGGCTTAGATACTGGAAACAGAAAAGTAGTATTAAAACGATCTCTGCCTCCCAGAAGCTCACAGTGCAATGGAATGAAAAATATTTATTAATTAATGTTATGGGTTCCTGGTTGGAGACATACAAAAATCTCCAGAGAGAACTCCAGTGAGAATGGCTAGCATTGATATTGCAAATATTTTGGCAATTTGATTACTGAGTGGAATGTATAGCTTTTAGAAAATTGACCGTCCAGCAATATATTTCTGAAAGAATTTGTTCTGTGGTGTCAAAGAGAAATTGTACCAGAGTTAAACGGGCAAGGAAGACTTTATTCAAAACGATTACAGTGAAAGTCAAGACTATTGTAATAGGAGTGAGAGATCAAATTCAACTTCTACTGGGAAAAAATGCAGGAGAGTTTTTAAGCACTGGGGTGAGCTAGTGGAGAAGTACTACAGGATGTTGAGGGGGAGGTTGGTCCATGTGATTAGGCCATCTGCGTTTTCTAATTGCGCTTATCCAAGTTTGACTCCTACCCTCCCACCGAAACTGAGAGAGAGGGGCACTATCTTATTTTTGGAAAAGGGGCACCTTTTTCAAAGGGGTGGCTCCCAGGTCCTAGAGAAAGACATTCCTCGGGTGTAAAACTGGCAAGAGGCTGGGAGATGTACATCTCAAAAGGGAAATAGAAAGAATCTACAATTGCAAGTTTCCTAAATTAGATGCTCTCAGTAAATGGAGGTCAGGGGTTTATAGTCAGGAATAAATCTGTTTAAAGTTTAGTCAAGCTAAGGGGAATGTTAAGGCCATCTTGGTCAGTGGATTTCTGAGCATCCATGCATATTTGACTCCAAGTTAGAGGAATACAAGGAAAACTCACTTGCCTGGAATCTCTCCCTACTTCTTCTCCTGCTGGTGAAGTTTATTCTTGTCTGGCAGGTTATAATCCTGTTGGAGTGTATATGGCCACCTAAAGACTGATCATAGGTCTTTAAGATTCAGTTTGAATAAATAAATACTTTTAGTGTTGCTATATAGTCAGCTTGGGAATAGGCTCTTCTCCTTGGACAGACAGCTTCCAGGGTTCCTGTATAGGAAATATTTCACTTTTTCACACTTTAGAGCCAATAAAAATGTACTTTTCTGCAAAAATGATGACAATGACAGGATATAACATCTGCTTTATAAGAGACAGCTGCATACAGTAGCTCCACACTAAATTTAATCTAGTCCTTAATTCTTAGCTGTGTTCCTGAGGGAGCATGACTAAAACCATTGCGTTAGCTTGTTCCCAACGATGATGTCCAATAAAGATGCCAAAAATATTTTAGCATTATTTTTATCTTTGACATTTGAAAGCAAACCACACTTACTGGTAAAATTTTGTTTAACATCTTTACTAATTGCCTTCAGTATGTTAAAAATGTAACCCTTTTAACAGTCATCTTTCCTTTTTGAGGTATTTTGTGCTAATTTAAAATACTGAAAAGGAATAAAATGCACAAGAATAAAATGAGGCAATGTGGTATTCAAACCACTCTCCTTTCTTCTCTGGCTGTGTGAATTTGCTCAAGTTTCTTCATCTCTATGAAGTTCAGTTTTCTACCTGATAAAATTGAAATAATAAAAACATCTCCTCTGCATTCTTGTTTTGAAGGTTGAGGATTATGTATGATAAGTTCTTGAAACATAGTAAGTACCTAACAGTATGTTATTATAGATCTGAAAGCTTCATATATACAGTGTGGCTGTAAGAAGGGACTACTATTGTTTCAAAACTGTAAGGCAGTTTTGAATATACCCATGAGGTATTCTGAGCCCAGATGTGGTTAATTGTTTTTCTTATTCTCACTTTCTTGAAAGAAAATTTTTTTTGAAGATTATAGTACCAAACAGAGAGCTAGAGAACAAATGCACTGCTGGATAATTGATTTGGAGGTAACTTTCATTTATGAGTTGTGAGACCAGGCCCCTGGATTCTGGACTCCAAATTCGGTATTTTTTCAAGAGTATCCAAAGAGACAAGGTCCATTCTTTGATGCAGGACCAAGGTAGCACTAATCCTTGGCTAGTTTTTGGAAGGCAATCTCAAAGCTGGATGTGATACAAACAGAATAGGTATTGGGATAACTCCAGAAAAATTTAGTCTTTCATTAATTCTTGCATGCATGCATGCATTTATTCAAAAAATATTTGTTGAGTACCTCCTACCTAGCCAGCACTATAGCAGGTGTCAGGAATAGACAAAAATAATAATAGCTAATTCTTATTATGCCCTGCTGGTACTAGGAAAGAGTTTAAATACTTTATTGCTCTTTTACTCATTTACACCTCAATAACTCCCTGAAGTCTATATTGTCGCTTTCCCCATTTTATAGATAAGAAAATTGAGTGAAAGAGAAGTTAGAAAACATATATGGTAACATAACATCGTGAAGTCAGAACCCAGGCTTTTGAACACCACTTCATAGTGTCTCCTCTAAAATAATAGTGAGCTAAGCAGACATGGTACTTGACCTTGCCTAGTGAAGGAAAAGAAATTAATCAAATAATCACAATAAGTGTATGATTATAAACAATTATAATGGGGCACATCCAAGAGTAGGAACATTACATAGAGAGAACCTGATAAGTGTGAAGGCACAGGAAGAGCATGAGAAACTGAATAAAGGCCAGGGTGGCTGGGACACAGAGATTCACGGGGGAAAACAGTGCAAAGTACCACCAGAGAGGCAAAATGTTTAGATCCTGTATAAGCCTTAACTTTGGGGTCCAGAATACCTGTGTTCCAATCCCAGCTCTGCCACTTTTTTGCTCTGTATTTGCGGCAAAGGACTTAACATCTCCGAGCTTATGTCTTTATTTTTAAAATAAGGATAATAATAAGATCTACCTCACAAAGTTACTGAAGTCAACAGATGAGTTATTTTATGTCTGGCACTTAGCATAGTGCCTGGCACATTATAAAACTAAATAAAGATTAGTTATTATGATGATTATATGAAATTATAAAAATACTTTAAATTTTATAAATTATAAAATATACAATTTCAATTCACTTACTGAATCTGATTCTTTTCTTTAGCCTGAATTAATTCTCTAATTTATAGACTTAATATTTATAGAGCAGGATGTGAGCTAAACTGTTCTGCTTTCTTCAGCAGACCCTAGACGAGAAAAAAATTTTAAAAGATAGTTTAAAGTAACAAATGTGTTAGTTGTTATAATAACCCAACTCCATTACCTTACATATGCACAGACACATGCTCTGGCACAGGCATTTGTGTGTGTGTGTGTGAGTGTGTATGTGTGCACTGTAGTTCAGACAAGCTTTCCATATTCCAGTTGGATCAAGCCGGTAAATCTGACATAGTCCAGGTCCCCAGGTAATTCCCCAGAGTGCAATTATGTTGAAACCCCAAATCACTGGCACTACTGCATCACAGTTGTTAAAACAACCCCAGAAAAGCTACACAAATGAATGAATTTCCAAATTTAGCCTGAGTGATTGCTTAGAGCAGTGACTATCATTCTAAGGAATGCAGGGGGTTAGTGCAAGGTATTGCCGAAGTAGGTGGCGGATTTCCTCCTTACACAAAACTATGATAGTTAGTGGGTTTGTAAAAACTCAGCAGAAATAAAATTCTTCATTTATTTTGTTTCCACGAGTAGAAAACAGGAGAATTTCTCTTTTTCTCTTTGTGATCAAGAGGAAGGTAGCAGTGATACCAGAGTCATCTCACAAAATGCCAAGTGAGTGGAGCTGATCCATTGGCACAGGTGACAGAAGCCTGCTTCATTACCCCCAAGCAACAGGTTTTTGTCAGCGGAAGGAATAGTCAAAGAATTTTCTGTATAGGTTATCACCCTAATAAGCCCACTGTAAAAAACACCTTAGGAAGAATTTATTGATAGTCAGCACAACGCAAGTCTAAACAGAGGCTGCAAACTGAGTGGGTGTGGAAGAGGCTTGAGGAAATAGGCTATTCATAGAGAACAGGGAGGTGCTTGCAAACAGGGAAGTTGGAGATATTCCATAAAAAGATTTTTCCTAGGGCTGTGTCATTTTGAAAAAATTTAAGTGCCTCTTTAAGCAAAAGATTGTTGGTTCCCAATCCCTGCAATAAGCCATCTGGCCTTGGGTGAGGCTATTGCCATATGGATGGTCATTTTATCTGAGGAGCAACCAAGAGCACTATGAAAAAAAAAACATGTAATAATGATCTCTAATTGACTATATAGTCTAATTTTAAAAACTATGGCAAACTCAAAGACTTCAAAGTGCTACAGGGAAAATTTGCACATGGCTGATGCCTTATCTGCCTTCCTACTCTCTACATCTCAGTCTCAGCATGCAGCTGGTCACATCTGCTTGCATGGGTCTTTATGCTGCCAGTCAAGCTGTGTGGAGAACAGGCAGCATGACTGGGTACATGGCCGCAGGTGCATCAGTAACTCCTCTAGGTAGGAACAAATAAAGTTTATGTTTGGAACAACCAACTGGAAACTCAGGAAACCCTCTTTAGTAAACATTGTAAGAAAACTTGGCATAGTTCCAAAGACAGTGTACTGTCATTTACTTTGTTTAAGGAGAAAACTTATTTTCCCAATGTGTTTTCAAAAATTTCTGATCATTATGTTTAGCTATCCAAATAGTCTAAGAAGTCAAACAAATCAGTCCTTTGCTACAGTTACCATCAACGGGATACAAAGAAATGGATATTATTTTAATAGCCAATTGCTTTCCAAAGCTACTTGAGGAATAAATATGACTTAACAGAAAATATTTGATGTTTCACTAAATTAAAGATAATGGATATCCTTGTTTTTATAAAGGGATCTAAGTCTATTGAAGATTTGAGCTGCATTCTTTCTGAAATGTGTGCATACTGATTCATTCAATTTTGAAGTAATTTATCACTTTTACAAATTAAATGACTTTCCTCTGCTTCTCACACAATGAAGTTATGTGTGAAAATTAACTAGGCCAGGCGCGGTGGCTCACGCCTGTAATCCCAGCACTTTGGGAGGCCGAGGCGGGTGGATCACGAGTTCAGGAGATGGAGACCATCCTGGCTAACACGGTGAAACCCCGTGTCTACTAAAAATACAAAAAATTAGCCAGGCGTGGTGGGGGGCGCCTGTAGTCCCAGCTACTCGAGAGGCTGAGGCAGGAGAATGCATGAACCCGGGAGGCGGAGCTTGCAGTGAGACTAGATCACGCCACTGCACTCCAGCCTGGGCGACAGAGCAAGACTCCATCACAAAAAAAAAAAAAGAAAAAAGAAGAAAAAAAAAGAAAATTAACTAATGGGCTGGGCATGGTGGCTCACGCCTGTAATCCCAGCACTTTGGGAGGCCCAGGCAGGTGGATCACGAGGTCAGGAGATTGAGACCATCCTGGCTAATACAGTGAAACCCAATCTCTACTAAAAATACAAAAAATTAGCCGGGCATGGTGGCGGGCGCCTGTAGTCCCAGCTACTCGGGAGGCTGAGGCGGGAGAATGGCCTGAACCCGGGAGGCGGAGCTTGCAGTGAGCCGAGATCATGCCACCGCACTCCAGCCTGGGCGACAGAGCAAGATTCAGTCACCAAAAAAAAAAAAAAAAAATTAACTAATGATTCTGCAATTTAATGCTCTTTCTTGAAAGAACACTCTAGGGAGTTTTATTCTGATATGCTGCTAAAGTTTAGGATATGTTTATTAATTTACAACATCCATATAAATGATTTCTGAAATTAAGAAGGGAAATGCACTCTAATTTGCCAATGTGATTGGCTTTTGTAAAATTCTTTCCAAAAAGTCACTTGAATATCCTTGATATTATACAATGAAATATCTTTATAGACTCTTACCATAACTCAGTGTTCCTGATGATTTTGTCTGTGATTATTAAACATTTTACTATCACAGAAATAGAAAAAAAATTGAAATTCCTATGAAACCACAGAAAACCCCAGATATTAAAAAAAAAAAAACTTGAACAACAACAACAAAAAAACAAATTTGGAGACACTACCCCACCTGATCTCAAAATATATTACAAGGCTATAGTATTCAAAACAAGATACTGGCATAAAAACAGATATATAGATGAATGGAACAGGAAAGACAGCCCATAAATAAATCCATGCATTTACAGCCAATTGATCTTTAACAAAGGTGCCAAGAACACAAACTGAGAAAAGAACAGTCTTTTCAATAAATGAGATTGGGAAAATTGGAAATCCATGTGCAGAAGAATGAAATTAGACCCTTATCTCACACCATACACAAAAACCAACTAAAAATGGATTAAAGACTTAAACATAAGACCTGAACATGTAAAACTACTAGGAGAAAAACAGGAAAAAAATACTTTTTGAAATTTAGTCTAAGCAAAGATTTTTTGAATATGATCCCAAAAGCATAAGTGACAAAAGCAAAAATAGACAAATGGGATTGCAACAAACTTTAAAAAGCTTTTGCACAGCAAAGAAAACAATAGAGGGAAAAGAAAACCTACAGAATGGAAGAAAACATACAGAATGAAAAAATATTAACCACTGATAAGGGGTTAATATCCAAAATATATAAGAGACTTGCTATGGCTTTGATGTTTGTCCTCTAAACCTCATGTTGACATTTAATTCCCAGTGTTGGAGGTGGGGCCTAATGGGAGGTGTTTAGGTCATGAGGTGAATTCCTCATGAACAGATTAATGTCCTCCCATGGGGGTGAGTGAGTTCTCATTCTTTTGCTCCTGAGAGATCTGGCTGTTAGAAAGATCCTGGAACCTTTTCCCTTTCTCTCTCTCCTGCACCTCTGCCCAAACACTCCCCTGTGCCTTCCACTGTAAGTGCAAGTGGCCTAAGATCCACACTAGATGCAGATGTCCAATCTTGAACTTTCTGGCCATCAGAATAGTAAGCCAAATAAACTTTTTTTTCATAAATTACTCAGCCCCAGGTGTTCCTTGATAGCACACAAAATGGACAAGACCAAACTCAAATAACTCAACAGCAAGACAAAAAATTACTCAATCTAAAAAGTGGGCAAAGAACCAAAAACAGATATTTGTCAAAAGAAGACACACAAATGGCTAACAGGTGTATGAAAAAAAAAAGTTCAACGTCACCAAGTATAAGGAAAATGCAAATTAAAAACACAGTGATATCACCTCACACCTGTTATGATGGCTGTTATCAAAAAGATGGAAGATAATAAGTATTGCCAAGGATGTGTAGAAAAGATAACACTCACATACTGTTGGTGGGAAGGTAAAACTAAAAACAGAACTACCATATGATCCAGAAATCCCACTACTGGGGATTTATAAAATAAAAATGAAATCAGCATGTCAAAGAGATATTTACACGCCCATTTTCATTGCAAACATTATTTACAACAGCCAAGATAGGAATCAACCTAAGTTTCCCCCAACAGACATATGTATAAAGAGAAAATGTGACACACACACAGATACACACAGACACACACACACACATACACACAGTGGACTACTATTAAGCCTTTAAAAAGAAGTGAGTCTTGTCATTTGCAGCATGGATGAAACTGGAGGACTTTGTGCTAAGTGAAAAACCAGACACAGAAAGACAAATATTGTATGATCTCACTTGCTTGTGAAATCTAAAAAAGTTGAACTCATAGAAGCAGAGAGTAGAGTGGTGGCTGTCAGAGGCTGGGGGATAGGACAGGTGGAGAATGAGCGCTATTGGTCAAAAAGTACAGTCTCAGACAGGATGAATAAGTTATGAAGATCTATTATATGGCATGATAACTATTGTTAATATAATGTATTGTATACTTGAAAATTGCTAAGAGAGTAGACATTAAATTTCTTACCACTAAAAAAGACAAGTATGTGAAGTAATGGCTATGTAATTTTGTTTGATTTAATAACTTCCCATTGTATGCATATGTCAAAATATCACATTGTACAGTGCAAATACATACAATTTGTATTTGTCAATTATATCTTAATAAAGCTGGGGGAATGTTAATAATGGCAATGATGGTGACAATTGCTGAACAATTGCTTTATGCTAGATACTATTATTTGGTAGTTGATATAGAGTAGTATTTAAGTACATTGGCTTTCAATTCACAGAAACCTCGTTTTCTATTACACCTTTAATGAGTACATTATTCAGCAGAAGTTAGCTTATTCATGACTGTCAGAGAAAGTCTTCTATGACCTCTTGGAACTCAATTTCTCCATATGAGAAATGGAAATAAAACACCTACCACACAGAATTGTTACTATAGCAGATAATTTATATACAGCACTACACAAAGTTTTGAAGAAATAAAATTCATCAAAAATATACTGAATTTATATATCTTTAAACTTTGAAATTAAGGTCAAATACCATCATTTGTGAATAGAGATCAGAAAAAATGGTATTTGGGCTTAAACTGCTTCAAAAAATAACACAACTTCCATTTAAATTTTTTTACATGTGCATGGAATTTGGCAAATACGGAATTTTAAAGTATTAAAATACTTGCTAGAGTTCATTTGTGCCTAAAGATATGCCTCCTGGGTTCAAGCAATTCTCCTGCCTCAGCCTCCCCAGTAGCTGGGATTACAGGCATGTGCCACCATGCCCAGCTAATTTTTTGTATTTTTGGTAGAGATGGGGTAGTTCTCCACCTTGGTAGGCTGGTCTGGAACTCCTAACCTCAGGTGATTCACCCTCCTCCGCCTCCCAAAGTGCTGGGATTACAGGCGTGATCCACCACACCCAGCCAAATTCTTCTTAATCAACATGAGGTGGGACTTCTATCTGTTCTAATTTATGTAGTCAAGTTTTCCTATTTTCTTTCATTAAGACAGAAAGAAAACTAGAAAACATCAGTTTTGATCTTTGGATCACTTTAAGTTTGTGTTGTTTCATCTCAATTCTTTTTTAGAAAATACCCATCTAAAACTACCAGAAGAAATAATACTCCTACTTAAAATTCCTTTTGATATGGTTTGGCTATGTTCCCACCCAAATCTCATCTTGAATTGTAGTAATCCCCATGTGTCAAGGGTGGGGCCAGGTGGAGATAATTGAATCATGGGCGCGGTTTCCCCCATACTATTCTTGTGGTAGTGAATAAGCCTCAAGAGATCTGATGGTTTTATAAATGGGAGTTTCCCTGCACTAGCTCTCTTGCCTGCCACCATGTAAACATGACTTTGCTCCGCATTTGCCTTCTGCCATGACTGTGAGGCCTCCCCAGCCATGTGGAACTGTGAGTCCATTAAACCTCTTTCCTTTATAAATTACTCAGTCTTTATTAGTATGTCTTTCTTAGCCATGTGAGAACAGACTAATACACCTTTTAATGTTTTAATTTCTCTGTGCCATCTCTGAAAACTTTAGCTACTTTATATGCATATACGCACTCATACCCATCATTAAGAGACAAGAAGTTTCTTTGCTTGTGAAGACTCTCTGACAGTCATGTGCTCTAAGAACAATTTCTGTGGTACCCTTGAAATAAACATTCTGGTGAAGTAGAAGAAACTTCAACAAGAGCAGCAAACAGATCAAATTTCAGCAAATGAAACAAGGTTCAAAGTCTAATTACAACTGAATTCAAATTGTACCAGTGGTACCAGTGACATTTCTTTGGCCTGTTCTGAAAGACAGTGGGTGTTTCTAGCACAGATTGTTAGTTTTAATTTGCTCAAATGTGTTTTTATTACCAATTGGTACAGAGGTGGCAAAAGGAAACAGTCTCTGGAGGCAGAACAAATGGGGAAATGTGTTTTGAGTCCCTTTTGGCAGCAGTCAGTTTGATATCCCCAAGGAAATGTTTCTTGACAATAATTATAAGACAAACATCAATATTTGGTTTCTAAATGTTTGACAAAATGGAAACTATTTTTGCCAGGAAAATGGAACCAGTGGATCCCTTCAAACTCAGTATTTAACGGAGGCTTAAGAAAAGGCTATAAAGGAGAAAATATGGAAAGTATGTGATCTTTAACCCAAATAGGCTGTAAAGTCAATCTAACACACACTCTAGATTTATCAAGACCTACATATTCTGTTTTTTTAAGGTTTTTAGAGTTATTTTCATTTGTTTCATTTTTAATCTTTCGTGCCTTTTACTAACGCATTGAGTTTTCTTTGTTCTTTTCCCTTGATTCTAGGTTTTTTTTTCTTTTTTCTTTTGGAAATTATGCATTTAAAAATCTTCTAATGGTTACTAGAGACAATTTTAAATATATTAATTTTGCTATTAAGTTAGCCTAGAATTTTAAAATTTCCGAACAGTTCAATAAAATAAATTTAACACATGGAACTAAAATTACTATTGCCAGGTCTTACTTGGATTCTATTCTTTTTCCAAGTAAATGTTAACGAGAAGAGTAGCAGGAAGAAAAGTAACCATAACAATTGGCAGATATATTTATTTCTCTAGCTTTTAAAGTTTATTTTAAACACACAAGGCAGAAATATAGGCACCAAACAGGCACCACCCAACCAATAAAGAATGTTTTATAAAACTTCAATGGCCTTGTCATCTGTTATTTATTTTTATTCATCTTTGCCCCATTTTCTTTCTTTTTCCTTCTCTATCTACAGTTAATAATAAAAAATAAACAGGATATGCTAAATGAATGTAACTCAAGGTGAAGTTTTTTTCTGTAATCAGAAATTATATAACATTATTCTAGAGAGCTTCTTCATTTGCTTTATCTAATTAATATATAACTGGAAATTTCCACTTCTAAGTCTGATAAGTATTTGGGATCAACAGAAAACTTCAGTTTGAATTTTTATTGCATCAGAAATTAGCAGTTAACCAATAGTCATTTATCTGGGCAATTTATAATTATTTCATTCATTTCACATTAGGAATAATATCTAAGTAATCATAAACCCAAGTTCTCCTGTACCCAAGTTTCTTGACAAGCCTTTAAGCTTTGCTAGTGCTTGTTACCAAAGTGATCTCACAGTTCACCTTTTCTCCTCTCAATGTGGTATAAAATCCAGCCATGGCCCTCCTTTGTTTTTAATACCACATTGGGTGATGGTTCTGTGAGGTAAAGAGAGCCCGAAAAAAACAAATAGAACATTTCAAGATGTCATTATTAATTCCACATGATGAATATTTACTGCAGTTGCTATTTAGATGTCTCAGAGGGTATCCAAATTCATTTGATGTAACATGAGGAAACTAGCAAACAACATCATTAGCCTTGGAAAAAAAACACTGGTTAAAATAACTAAAAACAAACACAAGCCAAAAAAAAGGGGGACAAAAAGGGTAACACTTTCTCACAAACTTGTTTTGGGAATTTCTATAAAACCATTCTGACCATTAGTCAGCATAACAGTGTTTTTCAGATTTTTTGGACCCATATATATTTACTCAATAAAATCATGACTTTATTTGTTTTTTAAAATTGGTACATGATGACAGGTCTGTGTGTCTGGCAGGAACAATATCTTTCTGGTGTCCATGTTCCTTCACCTCTTGTTACTGTCATTTATAATTATCAAGGAAGTACCAGGTAAACAAATGTGACTTTAAAACAATTATAAAGCTTGTGGAATCATACATGGACATTTAAAAAATATGAATTAATTTGTAGGGCCAACAAACTGATAATAATTTTGAGCCACTGCCAAAAAAGGTAAATAAGATTGTTTCCCACCTACTTAAAATTCAATGCAAATGTTGAAAATATTCAGCTTTATTTTCATTCATTTAACTAATAGTTCCTAAATATGTAAAAAGATCTTGTCACTATGCATATCTTGGAACTAGTGAAATAATAACACACAGCTTCCATTTTTGAAAAATTCAATATAAATGTGGGGAATATCAATCTTATTCCATTTTAGTCTAAGTTGAAAATTTGATACCTCACTCTTACAGTCACTTTTATTTGCAAAACATCAATTTTACTTTCTATAGAGCATCACATGTTAAACAAATTTCATCAAATGTCTTTCAAGAAAATAAATACTATGATGGCCTGTCCTTAAACCTACCACCAATAGCTAATTTTAAAAATGTACAGTGAGAATTACTCAAAATTGTATTTAATGATGCTCTGATGAAGATGGCAAACTGAAAATGTGGTATTAGTGTCTCTCTTCATCTCCCATTTTTTTTGAAATCAAAACAACAACAATAAAGATTACTTAACAAAATCCCTTAACAACAACAAAAAAAATGAGAACCAGAAAATTTGCCCTTTGAGGGCCTTCTGGAAAATAGCAAAAAATGATTTGAGATTGACAGGTAAATTTAAAGCAAAGTCAATTATAACAATATACACAATGTGCATCCTCCTGCAGGGATGATAATTGGTCTTCCTAATAAGTCCCTGGAAAAATCCCAAATCTGTAGTCTGTGGGTGGACATGGTGACTGGTCTTCCTGCCATAGTGGGCAAGGAACGCCAATCAAATTCTTGGAGTATAGAGACGTTCAAGGTGGGAGACTGGGCTCAAACTCAAGTGAGAAAGGCAGATGCATTTGATGCCCTTCCCAATGTTAATCATTCTTCTCTTTATCAATCATAAAAACCCAACCTTGAGTATTTGCCCTCCACCTACCTACCAAAAGGAAAGCCCAATTGCATAGAACCCAAATTCATTCCTCTCATTCATAAGGAAGGCTACTGTGAAACAATTTTTTTCACAATTAAGAAGCCCATGCTAGCTGTGTATATGAATCCTTATAATCATTATAATTCTCCCTTTGTAAATCAAGTAATTTGCCTGATAGAGCTTTTATTGAGTCCATGGGATGTGATAAGCACTGATCAAATAATGAGATACACTGAGGTGAACAATCCAGACAAGGTCATTGGCATCATAAAGTTAACTCTCTTACAGAGAATACAAATGGTAAATGAGCAAATAAAGAAAACTATTTAAACAAGCAAGTAAAGAAAAATACAGATTATGGTAAGTGATACAAAAGTTTAAAAGTCAGGTGAGGCGCTAGAAGGTAATAAGAGAGTCCCTTTATAAAGGAAAATCAAAAGACCTCCTGTAACAATGTGAGATTTCAGTAGAAAACTGAAAGAGGAGAATGAGCCAAACATGTGGAAAGTTACAGAAAAGAACATTTCAGGCAGAGGGACAGTCATAAAAAGGGGGCCTGGATACATAGTTGGGAGGAGGGCAGCATCTTTCAGAAAAACAAAGGAAGCCAGTGCGCCTGGAGCATAATGAGAAAGGTGACGATTGATTAAGGTGAGGCAGTGTCCATGTCAAGAAAAGCTTTGAAGAACATAGTAGAGCCTGGATTCTTTTTCTGACTCATGAGATAGCATTAAAGGTTTTACTCAGAAGGATGGCATCATCAGCTTTACTTCTCAAACAATCACTACATTAGCTCTGAGGAAAATAATTGAATAAGGGCAAAGTGGAAGAAGAGAGACCAATAAATGGTCTCTGGTGGTAGTCTAGGCAAGAATGATGTCATCTCAGACTAGGTAGAGGCTTTGGGTATGATTCCTGGGTTTTTGGTTTGAGCAACAGAAGGATGGTGGTGATATTTAGTGAGATAGGAAATATTAGGGAGGAATAGGATTTAGTGGGAGGTAATCAAATTTTACTATCTAATATGATATGTTTGAGATGTGTAATGGTATGTTTGAAGGTGTTAAAGATGTTGTCTTTTTCAGTGAGAGATCAATGTTTGACTATAATAATAAAATATGCTTACATTTTCAACATTTGATAACAATTCAAGGGTAACCAATAAAATTTTAGATATATAATTTATAAATTCCAGGTAACCAGAAGAAGAAAAGAGTTAATAAAATGCCAGAGAAATATAAACAAAAGGGAACGTGTAAGAAAAAAAAATAAAATCCTACTAGAAACATAAAATAAGGTGGTGGGATATATCCAAATGTCTCAATAAATTTAATACCTGCCAGATCACCCATTAACTATATCTTCTTGGAGAGTGCAGGGAATACTCCTGTCACCTAGGGTTTGAGAAATGCGTCGGTGAGAAGAGCACTGCTCTGCAGTGGCTTCTCTGGAGGCCAGAAATGACAGCAAAAAGTACTGCTATAAAAACGGGTTCTCTGAACTGAATAGAATCTATGAGATCCTATATTTCAGGGATCAAATGCAAGCATTAAATGGCCAAAGACAACATGTGCATGGTTACCTTGATGGGCAGCAGACTCAAAGCAGTAATAGAAAACGGTCTGACCCACAGGGATCTTTGGCATTGGCTAATTAATCATGCAGACCCTATGGCTAAAATAAATATATAGCCTAGTAACATTATAGTTGGTATATATCAATAAATGGCCCTAGGTTTGGTGAACAGAAGTTCGACTTGAATTGCTCAATATGGAGTTATGGCCCATTTACATCCCCAGATCCTCTTTACTTAGGCAGTGCTGGGTGTATTTGAGAATTATACTGCCCAAAACTTATGCCCTAAATTTCCTCCAGCTTTCCTCAAAAGAACTTGTGATCATCCAAAAGAATTATTGTTGATGGGAGAAGGGAAAATAATCAGATTTTTCAGAGATTATTGATCACTGGCTCTGAGCAGTGGTTTATGGAGAGCAGCGGGTTAATGGGGTTTTAGCGTGAGTCCATCTCACAGTTGGCTTGGTAATCCCTCAAACTCATGCTGTGATTATTTTCTCAACCCTTCTGGGCATAATTGGAATAGGCATACTCTCAGAGCAAAGTTTAAGTGGAGACCTCTAGAGCTTCCTTTGTCAAAATGATAATTCAAAATCAATACTGCATTTCTTAAGGAATTACAAAGATTAGTGCCACCAAAATGTGCTTGAAAGATATCAGAGTGGTGATGCTACTGCATTCCGATTTAACTAACCTATTTAGCTTGCATAGAAAACAAATGAATTTTGGAGAATAACAGTAGATTACATTAACTTGATCAGATGGTGACTACAATTGCAGCTGTTGATCCAGCTGTTTTTTCCTTACCAACGGAAATCAACAAATCTTCTGTCACCTGATATGTAGTTTTGATCTGTTGAATGTTTTTCCGCCCTCTATATCTTTTAGTAAATACTGCCAAAAGAGGTGATTTAACTGGCAGATTTAGCTTTAAAGTTTTCACTTTCATTATCTTACTTCAGGGCGGTTTCCACTCTCCAGCCTTATGACATAATCTTCATAATTGTTTCTTCATTTCATAGAATATCATGTTGATTGATAATATTATAATATGAATATTTTGCTTATTGGGCCTGGTGAATAGCAAGTATCAACCACTCTAGATACCTTGGCAAGACAAATGCTTATCAAAGGATAAGTAAATCCTACCAAAATTTAGGGACCTGTAATCTTGCTATTAGGGGCTCAGTGGTCTGCAGGAGGCTGAGATATTATTTTTAAGATGAAGCATAAATTACTGGATCTGGCCTATTATACCACTAAGAAAGAAGTACAATACCAAGTGATAGTCTTTGAATATTGGGTATGATAGTCATTGTTTTTTGAAGAACACAAAAGAATGTCATTTTTAAGTGGTCCTGCAATAAGAGAAGGCTCTCCAACAGATCCAGGCTGCCATGCCAGATGCTCTTCCTCTTGAGACATATGTTGCATTAGATCTGATGCTGCTGAAGTATTTATGGCAGATAAGGAGTCTATAGGAAGATTTTGGAAAGTCTCTATAATGGATCACAGCACAGAAATTTATGTAAGTCAGATTCATTCCTTATGACCTCAGTCTTTCTACAAGGGCTCATTGACAAAGTATTAATAAATGAAACAACTGGTTGACAGTCAGTTAAGTTGAGTTGCTGCCACACAATGCAGTCTTAAAAATGATCTATCAAATTTTTACTCCAGAAATACATCAAATGTGATTGTAATAAATGATTCTTTTTTTGTATAGTGCTGAATTATGTTTGTAATCTTTCATTTAGGATATTTGCATCTCTGTTCATGAGATATGTCAGCTTTTAATTTTGCCTTTTTATAATATATTTTTCAAAGTTAAAATTAATTTGGCCTAAAAATACAAGATAAAAAGCGTCCTCTCTTTTTCTATTCTTTGTAAAAGCTTGTGAAAACTAGTGCTATTTCTTCATTAAATGTAAGTAAGATCAGTCTCATGCTGGGAAATATTTAACAGCTGGCTTTTCAAAAATATTATATATATTATACTTTATGTTACACATAACATGCAAATATTATATATGTAGTATATACTGCATGCTCATTGTGAATTTTTACTGCTATTGAGGATGTGTAACACACAACTTACTAATAAAGTGTACGTTCTTTACTGTAAACTCTTTATTGCCAATTGAGTCTCATATAATACTTTAGTGGCTTTCTTTCTTAACTCTTGTGTCCACACTCAGCCTAGAAGAGCAATTTAGCCAATTTGATAAATAGATTTTCATCCTAATCTATTAAATGTCTTCCTTTTGTATTTACTGTTATTAATCATATATGTGATCTACTGATCAACTAATTCTTACCTTCATACAAACTATATTTTTGAAACTGAAGCCTCTTTACATTTAGCAATAAATCAAGCCCTCATATATATTGCTTAATAATTTCTGTGGTGTTAACTCTCCCACCCTGGCTGATTTCATGCTATCAATGTGATATCACTGAAAACAAAATTGAGAAGAGGGACACAGTAGAGCACCAGTATAAGTATTTGCACCCTACAGATACAACAGATGTTAATAACCTCAAGAGCAGCTAATAGTAAAATGTAATAAAAAATAATGAGGAAGTGGCCGGGCGTGGTGGCTCAAGCCTGTAATCACAACACTTCGGGAGGCCGAGGCGGGCAGATCATGAAGTCAGGAGATCAAGACAGTCCTGGCTAACACGGTGAAACCTCGTTTTTACTAAAAATACAAAAAATCAGCTGGGCGCAGTGGCGGACGCCTGTAGCCCAGCTACTCGGGAGGCTGAGGCAGGAGAATGGTGTGAACCCGGGAGGTGGAGCTTGCAGTGAGCCGAGATGGCACCACTGCACTCCAGCCTGGGCGACAGAGCGAGACTTCGTCTCAGAAAAAAAAAAAATAATAATAATAATGAGGAAGTAATGAGTTTGGGATATTGATTTTTTTCAATATGATTTATTTAGTTGTAATTTTAAATGTTTTAATTTTTAATAATGACTGTGTTAAAGAACTAGCTTGCAAAATTTCTGAAATTTTAGCAGTTGTCAGGAACAAGCCATCTCCAGTACACCACCATTGAAGTCATCAGATAATCTATCTGTGCCAAGAGTTTTATTTAAGGTAAAGTATTCAATTATAGATTTATTTCATTTAACAGTTTTAAGACAATAGAGACTTTTTATATCTTCTTGTGTCAATTTTGGTAAGTTGTATTTTCCTAGAAAATTGTCCTTTTCTTCTAAATTTAAACATTTATTGGCATAAAGTTGCCCACTAAAATGTCTCATAAACCTCTTAATTCCTATTACTATTGTCCCTTTTTAATTCTTGTTATTTGCTTTTTGTTAGTCTTTATTTCTTGACCCATCACACCAGGAGTTTATCAATTGTATTAGTTTTTCTCAAAAAAAATTTAGCTATTGATCTATTTTATGTTTATTGCTACTTCATTAACTCTTACTTTGACTCTTTCCCTTCTACTTTTTATAGATTTAAATTTACTGTCATTTTTCTAAGTTCTTGAGATAGAAGCTTAGATAATTGATTTCCACCTAGCTTTTCTAATCATAAATGTTCTATGAAATGATGTATGTATGATAGCTATAGATTTTTCATGAATATTCTTTATATAGTTGAGGAAGATCCCATCAATTCCTAGTTTCCTGAGCATTTTCATGAGGAAATTTAAGATTTCGTATGAAGCACAGCTTTAACTGCATCACATAAATTTTGATATGTAGTGCCTTAATTATCACTTATTCCAAAATATTCCCTAATTTCCTTTGTGATTTCTTTTTTAACCTATGAATATTTCCATTTACAAACTTTGGAGTATTTTCTAATTATCTTGTAGTTATAGATTTCTACACTAATTGTACCATGGTAAGATTACATAGTATATGACATAATCTTTTAAAATTTGGCTAAACAAATGGTTAATTTTAGTAAAGAAATGTGTATCTTGTGATTTTGGTACCACATGCAAAGGTATGTCATTTGGACCAAAAATATTATGTTTTTAATAATACTCATATTGAGATGTGTGTTTGTTTTCTAAATTAAAAAAAAAGATGGCAAAATCTCCCCAAAATAATGTAGATTTGTATATTTTTACTTTTAATCCATCATTTAAAAAATAATTATTAGATGACATTATTAACATGATTCAGGTTAAAATTGTTCCATTTTCCTAGTAAATTTAAACATATTATTATAAAGTATATCTCACAATATCCAGTGTTTGTTTCTGTCTTACATCTCATTTCATAGGTCTGTAAACTTTGAATATTATTTATAAGTTGTATATTTTTCACTTTTATTTATTTTCAGTTTCTGTATGTCCTTTAGATATGCTTTCTAAATAGAACATGGTTGTTGCCATTGATGTTATTATTCTTATAAAGTCTGAAAATATATTATATTTACATTAACTTCATTTACACTTAACATAATCACACACACATCCATCCATTTGTATGTATGTACTCAGTGTATTTCATCATTAAGTATCATAGCTGTAGATTTTTCATAAATATCCTTTATATAGTTGAGGAAGATCCCATCTATTCCTAGTTTCCTGAGCATTTTCATGAGGAATAGATGTTAAATTTTTCTTAAATACTTATTTGCACCTATTGAGATAACCAAAGCATTTTTCTTTTCTATTCTACTAATGTGATAAACTATCATGCTATATTAATATAGTGTATACCACAAAATTGATAGTTCAATGCTAAGTGAGCATTGTATTTATGGAATAAATCCCATTTGGTCATGATGTATTATTCTTTTTGGATATTACTGGATGCTGTGTTATGTTATATCTTGCTGCATAATAAATTCCCAATAACACATTTACTTAAAACATGATTTTATTATCTCACAGTTTTCATTGGTTAGGCATATGAGCATGGATTAACTTGGTTCTCAAATCAGAGTTTTACAGCTGTAAGCAAGGTGCCAAATATGATGGAGTTCTTATTTGGAGCTTAGGGTCTTCCAAGCTCATTCAGGTTGTTTTATGTAGAATTAGGTTTCTTGAGGTTGTATGACTGAAGTATTCATTTTCTTGCTCTCTGTCAGTCAATGACTACTGTCAGATCCTAGAAGCTACTTTTGGGTTCATATCATGTGCAGCTCATAAGCAGTTCACAACATGGATATTTGCATTCTCCCAGGCCAGCAGGAGTGTATAAATATGACTTTCTCCTCTGCAACTAGCTAGAAGAAACTCTCTGTAAAGATCCTGCCTGATTAGATCAGGCTCACCTAGGATAATTTCCCTTTTAGATACATAACATAACATAATCATGAGAGTGGTAACTAATTACAATTATAGCTTCCACCCACAATAAAAGGGATTATATAGGCACATACACCAGATGGTGGGAATCTTGAGGATTATCTCAGAATCCTGCCTACGAGAGATTTTATTTGATTGAATTTTGTTTAAAAATGTGTTTAAGAACAAAGCAAAGAGACAACCTACAGAATGGGGGAATATATTTGCCAACTATGCATCTGACAAAGGTCTAATACCCAGTATATATAAGGAACTTAAACAAATTTACAGAGAAAAACAACCCCATTAAAAAGAAGGCAAAGGACACAAACAGACACTTCTCAAAAGAAGACATACATGTGGCCATCAGCATATGAAAAAAAGGTCAATATCACTGACCATTAGAGAAATGCAAATCAAAACTACAATGAGATACCATCTCTCACCAGTCAGAATGTCTACTATTAACAGATACTGGTGACATTGCAGAGAAGAGGGAACACTTACGCAATGTTGGTGGGAGTGTAAATTAGTTCACTCATTGTGGAAAGCAGTATGGCAATTCCTCAAAGAGCTAAAAGCTGAGGTAACATTCAACCCAACAATCCCATTACTGGGTATATGCCCAGAGGAATATATTAATAAATCATTCTACCATAAAGACACATGCACGCGAATGTTCACTGCAGCACTATTCACAATAGCAAAGGCATGAAATCAACCTAAATGCTCATCGAAGACAGATTGGATAATGAAAATGAGGTACATATACATCATTGAATACTATGCAGCCATAAAAACGAATGAGATAATGTATTTTGCAGGAACGTGGATGGGGCTGCAAGAACAGAAAACCAAATACAGCACGTTCTCACTTAAAAGTGGGAGCTAAATGATTAGAACTTATGAATACAAAGAAGGAAACAACAGACACTGGTGTCTACTTGAGGGTGGAGAGTGAGGAGGAAGAGGAAAAAAGAAGATAACTATTGGGTACTAGGCTTAATATCTGGGTGATGAAATAATTTATACAACAAGCCCTGTGATAGGAGTTTACCTATGTAACAAAATTTCACATGTACTCCTGAAACTAAAGTAAAAGTTATTTTTAAAAATGTATAGAGTAGAATACTGGCTACTAGAGGCTGGATAGGGTGAGGGTGTTGGGGAAGGTTGGTCAAGGAGTACAAAGTTACAATTAGATAGAATGCACAATGTTTCATTGCTGAGTAGAATGATGTAGTTAATAATAATATATTACATATTTCAGAATAGCTAGAAGAGAGGATTTTGAGTGATCTCACCACAAAGAGATGATAAATGTTGGAGGAGATGAATATGCTAATTATCCTAATTTGATCATCACACATTGTAAACCTATATGAAAACATCACACTCTATGCCATAAATATGTATAGTTATTATATATCAACTAACAATAAAATAAACTTAAATAAAAAGAACTAAAAATAAAACTACCATACAATCCAGCAGTCCCACTACTGGGTATATACCCAAAAGAAAAAAAAGATCATTCTATTAGAAAGATGCCTGCACTTGGATGTTTATCATGGCACTATTCACAATAACAAAGATACAAAATCAACCTAAATGTCTGTCAATGGATGAGTTGGTAAACAAAATATAATCTCTATACACCATGGACTGCCACTCAGCTATCATAAGAATGATATCGTGTCTTTTGCAGCAAGATGGATGGAACTGGAGGCCATTAAACTAAGTGAAATAACTCAGAAACAGAAAGTCAAATACCCCATGTTCTCACTTATAAGTAGGAGCCAAACAATGGGTACACATGGACATACAGAGTGGGAAAATAGACACAGGAGACTCAGAAAGGTGGGGTGGGGGTGAGGTTGAAAAATTACCTATTGGGTATCATATTTACTATACATAAAAATATATACTAAAAGCCCAGACCTCACCACTATGCAATATACCCGTGTAACAAAACTGCACATGTACCCCCTACATCTTTAAAACATGTTGATTCTGTGTACCGAAGAGATTTTGGTGAGTAGTTTACAGTTTTATTTTTCCCCTTGTAATGTCTCTATCTAGTTTTGATAGAAAATACTGCTATTCTCATGTGGAGGGTGTTTCCCTCCTCTTCAATTTTCTGGAAGAGTTTGTGTAGAGTTGGAACTATTTCTTTGTTTAGTGTTGGGCATAATTGACCACTGATGCCATCTGCGCATGTGGTTTTCTTTGAGGTTAGGGGTTTTTTTTTTATTATACTTTAAGTTTTAGGGTACATGTGTACAACGTGCAGGTTAGTTACATATGTATACATGTGCCATGTTGGTGTGCTGCACCCAGTAACTCGTCATTTAACATTAGGTATATCTCCAAATGCTATCCCTCCCCCTTCCCCCCACCCCACAACAGGCCCCAGTGTGTGATGTTCCCCTTCCTGTGTCCCTGTGTTCTCATTGTTCAATTCCCATCTATGAGTGAGAACATGTAATGTTTGGTTTTTGGTCCTTGCAATAGTTTGCTGAGAATGATGGTTTCCAGCTTCATCCATGTCCCTACAAAGGACATGAACTCATCCTTTTTTATGGCTGCACAGTATTCCATGGTGTATATGGCCACATTTTCTTAATCCAGTCTATCATTGTTGGACATTTGGGTTGGTTCCAAGTCTTTGCTATTGTGAATAGTGCCACAATAAACCTATGTGTGCATGTGTCTTCATAGCAGCATGATTTATAATCCTTTGGGTATATACCCAGTAATGGGATTGCTGGGTCAAATGATATTTCTAGTTCTAGATCCCTGAGGAATCGCCACACTGACTTCCACAATGGTTGAACTAGTTTACAGTCCCACCAACAGTGTAAAAGTGTTCCTATTTCTCCACATCCTCTCCAGCACCTGTTGTTTCCTGACTTTTTAACGATCACCATTCTAACTGGTGTGAGATGGTATCTCATTGTGGTTTTGATTTGCATTTCTGTGATGGCCAGTGATGACGAGCATTTTTTCATGTGTCTTTTGGCTGCATAAATGTCTTCTTTTGAGAAGAGTCTGTTCATATCCTTCGCCCACTTTTTGATGGGGTTGTTTGTTTTTTTCTTGTAAATTTGTTGGAGTTCATTGCAGAATATACATTCTTCTCAGCACCACACCGCACTTATTCCAAAATTGACCACAGAGTTGGAAGTAAAGCTCTTCTCAGCAAATGTAAAAGAACAGAAATTATAACAAACTGTCTCTCAGACCACAGTGCAACCAAACTAGAACTCAGGATTAAGAAACTCACTCAAAACCGCTCAACTACATGGAAACTGAACAACCTGCTCCTGAATGACTACTGGGTACATAATGAAACGAAGGCAGAAATAAAGATGTTCTTTGCAACCAACGAGAACAAAGACACAACACACCAGAATCTCTGGGACACATTCAAAGCAGTGTGTAGAGGGAAATTTATAGCACTAAATGCCCACAAGAGAAAGCAGGAAAGATCCAAAATTGACACCCTAACATCACCATTAAAAGAACTAGAGAAGCAAGAGCAAACACATTCAAAAGCGAGCAGAAGGCAAGAAATAACTAAGATCAGAGCAGAACTGAAGGAAATAGAGACACAAAAAATCCTTCAAAAAATCAATGAATCCAGGAGCTGGTTTTTTGAAAAGATCAACAAAATTGATAGACCACTAGCAAGACTAATAAAGAAGAAAAGAGAGAAGAATCAAATAGACACAATAAAAAATGATAAAGGGGATATCACCACCGATCCCACAGAAATACAAACTACCATCAGAGAATACTATAAACACCTCTACGCAATAAACTAGAAAATCTAGAAGAAATGGATAAATTCCTTGACACATACACCCTCCCAAGACTAAACCAGGAAGAAGTTGACTCTCTGAATAGACCAATAACAGGATCTGAAATTGAGGCAATAATAGCTTACCAACCAAAAAAAGTCCAGACTCAGATGGATTCATAGCCAAATTCTACCAGAGGTACAAGGAGGAGCTGGTACCATTCCTTCTGAAACTATTCCAATCAATAGAAAAAGAGGGAATCCTCCCTAACTCATTTTATGAGGCCAGCATCATCCTGATACCAAAGCCTGGCAGAGACACAACAAAAAAAGAGAATTTTAGACCAATATCCCTGATGAACATTGATGCAAAAATCCTCAGTAAAACACTGGCAAACCGAATCCAGCAGCACATCAAAAAGCTTATCCACCATGATCAAGTGGGCTTCATCCCTGGGATGCAAGTCTGGTTCAACATACACAAATCAATAAACATAATCCAGCATATAAACAGAACCAACGACAAAAACCATATGATTATCTCAATAGATGCAGAAAAGGCCTTTGACAAAATTCAACAGCGCTTCATGCTAAAAACTCTCAATAAATTAGGCATTGATGGGATGTATCTCAAAATAATAAGAGCTATCTATGACAACCCACAGCCAATATCATACTGAATGGGCAAAAACTGGAAGCATTCCCTTTGAAAACTGTGGTTAGGTTTTTAACTATCAATTTAATTTATTTAATAGGTATAGGGCTGTCTGGTTTATCTATATCTGCTGAAGTAAGCTTCAATAGTTTATATGTCTCAAGAAATTTGTCCAGTACACTTAAGTTTTGGAATTTATTGACATAAAGTTGTACACAATATTCCCGTAGTCTTTATTATTCTTTTAAAAGTTGTAGATTTATAGTGATAGTGTTTCTCATTCTTGCTATTGTTAGATTTTGCCTTTTCTTTTTTTTTCTGATTAGCCCAGGTATATATTTCTTCAAAGAAAAACTTTTGTCTTTATTTTCTTTGTTAGTTCTCTGTTTTCCATTTTATTGATTTCTGGACTGATCTTTATTATTTCATTGTTAATGCATATTTTAGGTTTCATTTATCCTTCTTTTTTTTGTTAATAAAGGTAGAAACTGAAGTTACAGTTTTCATCTCTTTTCATATATGTATTAGTGTTTAGTTGTATAAATTTCACTTTAAGTGCTGTTTTAGGTGCATACCACAAATGTTGATGTGCTCTATTTGTATTTTAAAAATATAAATAGCTGAAAATGTTTCCCATTCTACTTTTGATATCTTATTTGACCTTGGGTTATTGAAAAGTAAGGCTTTTTTTTAGTTTCTGAATATTTGGAGATATCTTTTTGTTACTGGCATCTTAATTCTATTGTGGTCAGTGAACATACTTTGCATGATTTGAATTCTTCAAAGTTTATGGAGACTTGTATTGACCCTGGATGTGAATTATTAGTAAACGTTTCATGTGTTGTTGAAAATAACATGTATTCTATTGTTGGGACAGTAGTGTTTTAGATCAACTATTTCAAGATTGTTGGCAGTGCCATTTAACTTTACTGATTTCCTGCCTATTAATTCTATCACTTATTGAAATAGGATTATTAAGACTTCTGACTTATAAATTTGAATTTGGCTATTTCTCTTTATACTTCTATTAGTTTTGCTTCATATGTTTTGAAGCTCTGTTATTAAATGCATTAATTTATAAAATTATTATTATCTTCATGAATTAACTTCTTTATTATGAAATTACCCTTTTTCCAAGTAATATTTTGCTCTAAAATCTACTTTATCTAATATTAATATAGTCTTTCTAGTCTATTTTGATTATTGTTAGCTTAGCAATAAATATAATTTTCATCCATTTTCGAACATCTTTGTGTCTTTATATTTAAGTGTTTCATGGACATCAGATAGTTGGATGTCATCTTTGTGTCCAATCTGACAATCTTCGCTTTTTAATTGGAGTGATTATAATATTAAAATTTAATATGATTATGGATGTGTTTGGGTTTAAATTCACCATATTGCTATTTGTTTTCTATTTTCTCACCTGTTTTGTTCCTTTTTGTCCTTCTCTGACTTCTTTTGAATTAATTTAATATATTTTTATTATTCCATTTATCTCCATTGTTATCTTATTGGCTATAACTTTTTTGGTATTATATTAGTGGTTACTTTGGGATTATATAGTATACATTATTAGTCATTATCAACTTTCAAATGATATTATGCCATTTCATATATAGTATAAGAACCTTAAAATTGAATGCATTCACTTTTCCTTGCCTGGCTTTTGTGTTACTATTGTCAAATATTTTACTCCTCCATATGTTATAAACCTCACATTGCGTTGTTATTCCTCTTGCTTTATATCTTCAATTATCTGTCAAAAATATTTAAATGATAAGAAAAAATGTATCTTATTTATATCCATACAGTTATTATTTCCAGTGTTCTCTCTTAATTTATGTAGATTGAGATTTCCATCTAATATTATTCTTTTTTCTGTTCCTGAAGGGTATCATTAAACATTTCTTGAAGTGCAAGTCTTCTAATGATTAATTCTTTTGGGTTTTGTACGCTTAAAACATCTTAGTTTTCTTAATTTACTAAAAAAAAAATTGCTGGGAATATTTGTATAGGTTGACAAATTTCCCATCCACCAATACCTTAAAAATATTGCTTACCATCTTCTGGCTTGCATTGTTTTCAGTGAGAAATCTGCAGCCGTCTATGTCTCTCTTCATCTATACATGTTGTATTTTTTCTTCTTGCTGATTTTAAGATGATTTGTCACTAGTTTTAAGCAATTTGATTCAGATATGCCTTGATGTAATTTTATTTGTTTCTTGTGCTTGGGATTATTTGAGTTTTTAGATCTCTGGGGTTTGTAGTTTTCATTACATTTGACATTCTTCAGCCATTATTTCTTCATCTATATGTTTTTTCTCCTATTTCTCTATTCTCGTTTCTTTACATACCCCAGGCATATGTATATTAGATCACATGAAGCTGTCCAACACCTCACTCACACACCGTTCATTTTATTTTCAGTTATTTTTCCCCTATGTTTCATTTTGTAGTTTTTACATTGGTTTTCCAGTTCACTGATCTTTTTTCTTTTCTTTTTTTTTTTTTTTTTTGAGATGGAGTTTCACTCTGTTGCCTAGGCTGGAGGGCAGTGCAGTGGTGAGAGCTCACTGCAACCTCCGCCTCCCAGGCTCAAGCAATTCTCCTGCCTCAGTCTCCCAGGTAGCTGGGACTACAGGCGTGTGCCATCATGCCCAGCTAATTTTTTTATTTTTAGTAGAGACTGGGTTTCACCATATTGACCAGGCTGGTCTGGAACTCTTGACCTCGTGATCCGCCTGCTTCGGCCTCCCAAAGTGCTGGGACTACAGATGTGAGCCACCGTGCCCAGCCTCCAGTTCCCTAATCTTTTGGGAATCAATGTCCAATCTGCCATTAATCATATCTAATGCATTAAAATTTTTTTGACATTATTTTCATTTCTAAAAGTACAATTTGGGTCTTTTTTATATCCATCCTCCCTCTTTTTAACAGGCCAATATTTCCTATAGGTTTTTGAAAATATGGAGTACAATTATAAGCTATTTTGATGTCCTTGTCTACTAATTATATCTATTTCTCGGATAGTGTGTTTTGATAGAATTTTCTCCTTATGATTACATTTTCCTTTTTTCTTTTCATGCCCGGATATTTTTATAGGATAGCAGAAATTGCAATTTTTATCTTGTTTGGTGCTGCATATTTTGTGTTATATGTTTGTATTTTATGTATTTTTTATATGAGATTTATCCGTTTGTCTGGAGGGAGCCCAGTGCTTGTTCCTTCTCCTTTTTTGCAGTGTTTTTTTCTCCTGTCCTCAATTTCCTCATATACGTGTGCTGATCAATCCTCAGCTGAAGACTGAGGGGAAACCTCTGCACATATTCAGAGTCTCTGTTGGAGCAGCCCTGTCTTCTCTGGGATTTTGCCCTATATACTACAGCTGTCTAAGAATCCCTAGACTCCAAGCTCTGTTGCCTCACCTCAGGGAACCAAGATCCTACCAAATTCCCACTTCCTATGAAGTAGCCTTGTTGTCTGAGGTATTACCCAGAGTTCTTTGTCTCATGACCAAGAAAAATAAGGAGCATGGACACCAAAGGTGAGGTTGGAGTGACAGTTTAATAAGCAAAAGAGGAATCACTCTATAGCAGAAAGGGAGCCCAAAAGAGGGTTGCCAGCTATAAGGCTGAGTTTAGGGACTTTATGGACTGGAATGGAGAGGAATAAGCTGACTGGTCTACAGGTCATTTTGGAGAAAGCACAAGTTAGAACGATGTATGATAGTGTAAAGAACCAATTGGAGGCAGAGGTGAAGTCTTGGCCTGGCACCTTGGCCCCGGACCAGTCAGGTATTGAAGTGATGACTCACCCTATGTAAATGAATACTTAGCCCACAGCCAATTATAGAAAGGTAGGCATATGTAAAATAGGTGAAAACTAAGAGACCAATAGGTGAAAAGTAAGAAACTAAGTCATGCCAAGGAGAGACAAATGTGTCCAAAAAGAGGTTGAATTTGTTCATCTCAGTTCACAGGGCAAGCATTTCTATTCAAGGACATGCGCTCTTTCTTTTCTGGGGCCTACTGCTTGATTTTCAGGCTGTTCTTTGTTTGAAGGAATTTTACCAATGACCCACCCTAACTGCCTGCCTGACTGCTTTCTTACTTTCTCCTTTTTCAGCTAGGCATGGCCTCTTTCCAGGCAGTAAACTGTGGTAATTATAGGCCTCAACTTTTTTATGTCTTGCCTCTCAGGAATAATTGTCCTTCATTGCTGGATGTCTAACATATTGAAAAACATTCTCATGTATTTTATGCCAAATGACAAATTTGTCCTCTGTAATTCTATATTGGCTGGAAATTTAAGTCCAGTGTGCTTTTCTTTTGATTTATCCTGTTTTAGGGTATATTGCTCTCTGTAATCAAACTTGATTTTTAAAAACAATTTACATTTTTTTCACCACTTCCTTTCTATTTCTACTCCTACCCATCTGTTATTAGTAGCTCCTCTACCTCTACCACTCCATTACCCATATACATGTTCTACCTTTTCTCTGTATCTCTTTTATCATCTTTCTGTACATATGTATTCTTTTCTTTTTAATCTCTTTAAACTTACTCCTGAAAATTTTCTTCTGACATGTCTTTCAGTGCCTAATTATTTTTCTAATATGTTATTGAACCCATATTTAGAGTTCTTACTTTGGTTTTATATTTCTCAGTTCTAGAATTTAGATTTATTTTGTTTGTCTAGTTTTCTGTTTTTAGGTTTCCAATTTTCTCTTATAAATCTCATTTTCTTTCCATCTCCTTGAACATAGTAAATGTACTTAATTTGAATTATGTGTGTCATACTTTCATTAGCTGTATTCCCTGAGCATTCATTTTTATTGTCTGTTGTTTCTCTTGGTTTATGTTTATGTTATTATATTCCTCATCTTCCACTTTCATTTTGAATGATAGATACTGAATACGAAAAAAAGTTTAGAAATAATTTTAAGCCTTGGATAGTGTTCTTCCTTCAGAGAGGAATTTATTTGCTTCTGCTAGGAGGCTATCAAGGTACCAGCAAGTCAAAATTATAGAGCTGGTATGTTTCCAAAGTCACTCTTACTCCCAAGGTATTATCTTTTGTGATATAACTACAGAGAACAGAGAAATACCAGGTGCCTCTTTCTCTATGTTCTGGAATCTAATATTTTTCCACTAGCACAGGATTGTCAAAATGATCACTCAACTCCTTAGCTTCTCATCCTCTTCTTGATTTAGCAAACAATATCTTGAAAAATGCAATGCCAGGTTGGGGCCTACCTTACTGCGATTCTGCCTTCTTTTGGATCCTGGCCTAAACATCCTTCATAGTCTTATTAGATGTCTAATATAAGTAGATATTTTTAATACTTTTTTCAGATTTATTAATTGTTTCAATGGAAGTGTTGGTCTGGATTGCCTTGCTTCTGATTACTAGAATATAAAATTCCATTGTTATTCTCACGTTTTTACATAAGTACATGCATTTGTTTGATAAAAGTAAAGTCAATCAAAATTAAATGCATTCGGAAATAAGTAAATTTTATTTGATCAGCAGTAAGAATCCACTATAAATTCTGGTTGAAGGTAGAGACATGAAGGCAATATTATTGGAGAAATGGATAGAATTAGAAATTTTTAAAATAATAATTGACTATAAATGTCCATAATTTCAAATGGGGCTAAATTTTCATAACTAATCATTATATTAGTAGATCTTTGTTTGACCTAATAGTAAAAATAAGTTAGTGTGCTAATTAATTGTTCACAGATTTTCTATTACAATGCTAGTAGCAGAGATTTTACTTTGAGCCAGAGTCAAATCCAATGTAGGGGTGGAAAGCTATTTGTGTGTATGTGTGAATGTGTTTGTTTGTGTGTGGTCAGTGTAAACTTAAAGAGATTTGGGTGAAATTAAGTTTGGGAGAATGATCAAAATTAGAAATATATGATATAAGAATTACTTAAAGTTTTATACTGGAAAAAATAAAGTGATTTACTACAAAAATTAATTAGGAAATATCTATGTGAGCTCACTATTTTAGTAAGAAATATATATTTCAGCACTGTCACCAAACAGACCCAGCAGGGAGTGAATACCATCAGTGAACATGGAGAAAAAATAAAATATTTATACCTAGTGCCGATATTTAGACTCTATTTCACTCTAAATTTAAACTTTTATGTGAAGAGTAACTGATTTCATGTCTTTGACCAGGAAAACATTAAAAATAAAAAGTGTATGAAATATTGCTAGAAAGCAAAGATGCTTTTAAAATGTCTGGGGGAGTATTGAAATTAAGGCATTTCCATAAGCTAAACTGTTACCAAGTGAGACTGAAAAAGAGACTAATAATCATGGCCAATAGGCATTAAAAGAATGAAATCATATCCTTTGCAGTAACAGAGATGGAGCTGGAGACCATTTTCCTAAGTGAACTAACTTAGAAACAGAAAATCAAATATCACATGTTCTCACATATAAGTGGGAGCTAAACAATGGATACATATGAACATAAAGATGGAAATAATAGATACTGGGGACTCCAAAAGTGGAGAGGGTGGGAGGGGGCTGAGGTTAAAAATTACCTATTGGGTACAATGTTCAATTAAAAAAAAACTATGTGAAAGAAATGGAGCTAAAAGTCCTATTGATATAGTAAGTGATGTATAATTTTTAGAAATGTTTTAACTCAATGTATGTTAGTTCTAATTTGAATTACCAGTTCATAATCAATATCAAAGAGTTAATAATCTAGATGCTATAACTTTCTGCTATCTGGTTACATTCTTTTTGTTAGATTACCTTTACCATGGAAAAGTATCAAAATAATATCATTACCTTTGTGAGTATCAGAATAATATATATTACTGTACAAAGAAAGTATAAGAATCAATATAGAATAAAACTCATGGAGTTTAAATTTTAAAATAGGTGCAGTTGGAACTCTTTTGTTGAGTTTGTGAGTGCTGAGCTTCTGTATTTTTTATCTTCCGTTTAAGAGGTTTGATGTATTTTTTAAAATACAATAATAAATTCATAATTTTATTTTAAATTAATAAGATCATTTAATTGATTAATCTTAGCATTTAAAAACATATTAATCAAAATGTAGGTCTCCTAAACTGAGCATGAATTAAAGCAGGAGAAAACCCCCCTTTGTATAAATATCCCTGAGACATTCAAGATATCTAGGAATTCTGAATTTTAACATGTCTGACCACGTCTGGCCAACTGTTAAAAGAGTCAAGAGAGGACCATGTGTAAAGGCTTTCTATAGGCAAAAAGAGGCAGGCCAAAATAACTTTCCCATTACAAAGCCTTCGTCATTACAAAGGTGGTAATAATTCTCACTACACCATGGTGGTTTTCAACAGCCTGGGCTAATAGCCACGTGTCTGAGTCCTTATGAAAGAAAGTGATATAAGTAAAAATAATAGGGCTGTGGCAGGCCAGGTCTCACTAACAGCTGAACAGGCAGGCCTCCATGACGACTTTTTTAGCACTGACTGAGTGGTTAAGTTAAACATTAAAAGCTGATAGGGCCAGTGCCCTTATACAAAGGCTGGAATGTAACAAAAGCCCACCAAGGGTTTTGCCAAGGCTTTTCCTGGGCCCTGAAGCGTGACAAGATAATGAGGGAATTCTTAACAGGACCCGTTTAAGATTAAACAAGTTTTATTGGGGGTCTGAAGAAACTCTGCAGACCTCCACAAACAAGTTTTATTGGGGAACTCCCCAAACCTCCATGATTTCGCAGGAGACAAGATAAGGGTAATCACCCCTATCACCTGGACCCATCAAGATTAAGTAAATTTACTGAGGCTCCAGAGCAAGGCCTTAAGGACTCAGACCTTAGTTATAGATTAGAAGAAGTTAATCATTTGTGTCTTTAGATGAATGCACACTTACACTTACAGGTAGACATGTAGCTTAGAAGGTATATAAGCGCTGGAAAACTTTGTAATATTGAGTTGGTCTGGTAATACTTTCTCGGCCTTCTCCTTGTACCCAGTAACAGAAATAAACTCTTCTTTCCCAGTTCATCTGCATCTCGTTATTGGGCCACAAGAATAAGCAGCCTGACCCTTGGTTTGGTCTGAGAACAGGGCCATAACGCAAGAGCACACAAGCAGCAACTCATGTCACATAGAATATACTACAAAGGTATATTCAACTCGCAACACATCAGTGAGTAGCTTTGATGCCATGAGGGCATTGGTGCCTCAGTGGTGATGCCTCAGGTTAGCTCCAGATGGAGCAATAAGTTGCTTAGCAGAAATCCTAGTGCCTAACAGAGTACTTGTAGGCCTGCCAAAACCAAGGTGGCTGAAAGAGTACCTGGAAGATCTGAAGACACAGCTGGGTAAGTGCAGTGGGATAGTTCATGGACAAATGACAAACATGCTCTAGAAACACTTGGGCTGAGCTTGTCAGGGATGAAGATCCTGCAAGATGCGATTTGGAAGAATGGCAGCAGTAACAATAAATGTCACTAATGTTAATGTGACCTAATATACATAAATGCTTTAATATCTGGATAACTTGTATTTCATACTTATTAAAATAAATTCTGAGGGTATAAAATTGTAACATCATTGTTCTAGGGGAAATTCTGGCTATGTTTAAAAATAAAGAATCTTTTAATAATTGAAATTTTAAAACTCTCAAGTATGAATATTTCTACTATGGTAATTTATAATACAAATATAGTTTTTAAATGTTGAAGCATTTGTTGAAATTCATTTTATTGCCATGACCAAACACAAATAAAAATAATTTCATTATAGTTTTATATAAATGAGCTTAGTGGGAATGCAAATTCTCATTAGCTGTGATGAAAAGACACCTATCCTATTAACAAAAGACCATCTTTGAAAATTTGTTAGCCTCTGCTACTTTTTAGACAGCATTCTATGTGCTCAGCTTAAAGCAGTGAACAAGACAGAGAATGTCTGTGCTTCCACAGAGACCTACAATGTCAGGGAGGGAGGGAGAAATATCCAAACAAGAAACAAAAAGGATAACGCATTGGTAGGTATTGTACCTCTACTTTCTTTGGGAGCAATTGTCATATATAAAAACTCTCAAGGACATTGGACATTGCCCCTTTATAATGGTGACCATATAACTTACTGCTTGAACCAGGGCACTTCAGAGAGTAAAAAGTAATGCTTAAAAAATTAAATAATTTGGCTGAGCATGGTGGCTCATGCCTGTAATCCCAGCACTTTGGGAGGCTGAGGTGAGTGGATCACTTGAGGTCAGGAGTTTGAGACCAGCCTGGCCAACATGGTGAAACTCCGTATTTACTAAAAATACAAAAATTAGCCTGGCATGGTGGCATGTTCCTGTAATCCCAACTACTCAGGAGGCTGAGGCAGGAGAATTACTTGAACCGGAAGGTGGAGGTTGCAGTGAGCCAAGATTGTGCCACTGCACTCCAGCGTAGACAACAGAGCAAGATACTGTCACAAAAAAATCAAACAAATGAAGTAATTTAATTTTTAAATATTTATTGACTGATAAATTAGTTTGATTATATTTATTGACCTGCAAAACACTTTTGCTAAAAAATTACATTCAAAAATAACTTTCTTAAAAATAATATACATCTGTACATATTAAAGCAAAATTTTAAAAAATCCCATTCATTATCTAAAATTAAACATAGACTAAGTAAATTACTTATTCTTGGTACATAATCAGTTTTTAAACTTTATTTTCTTCTAATACTTTGTCACTGATATTTTTCTGAAGCACTTAGATTTTTTTCAGCTGGTCTTATTTTTATTTTTCCAAATAACTCCAATAATTTTTAAAGTTATATTTTATACTTAGTAACTTTAAAACAGTTTATAATTCTTCTCTAAAGAAAATATTAATGGAGAAAATATTCTTTCTACATGTGAGGTACTTGGTAATCTCAAAAAATTTTTTTGATGGGCGATATTATCAATTTTTGTTCTTTTCATATTGAAATGTGTAAAATTTTAAACCCATGTATTTTTCCAGTTATTTTCTTCTTTTTTCTCCTTTAGAAGACCTTTCTTTGATAAATATTTTTAAGCTAAACTCATAAAATAAATCCTATTTATTAACTTTTTGAATAGTTTACATTTAGATACAAATTGTAGACCTTCTTAATTTAATTTTATCCTAGTATAGAGTGTAAATTTATCCAATTAAAAATAGCAGTTATGTCAAAAGATTCTTTCAAGTCAAAACATCACAATTACAGGATTTCCAGATTAAGTCTTGTGAACTGTTTGATCTTTCATTTTTCATTCTGTTCAGTTCCACACTTTATCTGGTAGAAATAATTTTAGTATTTTCTGGTTTGTAAGCTTTGACTTCCAAGTCTTGATATAAATTTAAAAAGTGGCTGAAGATTGACTAAAGGAGTCAATAAGAAATTTCCAGGTGTGATAGAATCATTCTATACCTCAGTGGTGTAATGGTTAAATAAATGAATGCTTTTAGGAAAACTCATCAAAATATACATTTAAGATCTTTATATTACACTGAATGTAGATCTTACTATGATAAAAAATCAACTGAAAAAATAAAAAACTCAGAGCTTATGTGAGAAAAGTTAAAAAACAAGATGAAATAAGCTATATAATCCAATATCATTTATATAAACTAAAAATATGTCCACACAAAATAACAATACATGTTTCATAAAACACATACGGGGTGAAAAAACATAACATTCAATGGTATAGAATGGTTGCTGTGGTTGGGTAGGGGAGAGGGGAGCAGGGGAAGGAGTGGTGCAGAGGAAAAGTGAGAATAAACAAGTAAAGTGGAATTTGCTTCCATGGACCTTTCACGTACGTATTCCTTTCAGATACAACTTTCTGACCTAAAATGCAACCTATGCATTTGACGAAGGTCTAATTTCCAGAATCGATAAGGAACTTAAACAAATTTACAAGCAAGAACCAAACAACTCCATTACAAAGTGGGCAAAGAACATGAACAGACACCTTTCAAAAGAAGACATACACATGGTCAATAAGCATATGTAAAAATGCTCAACATCACTACTCACTAGAGAAATGCAAGTCAAAACCACCATGAGATACCATCTCACACCAGTCAGAATGACTCTTATTAAAAAGGCAAAAAATAACAGATGCTGGTGAAGTTGCAGAGAAAAGGGATCACATATACTGCTGGTGGGAATGTAAAGTAGTTCAACCACTGTAGAAAGCAGTGTGTGGATTCTTCAAATAACTTAAAACAGAATTACCATTCAACCCAGACATCCCATAATTGGGCATATACCCAAAGAAATATAAATTATTCCACCGTAAAGACACATATGTGCATATATGTTCATCACAGCACTATTCACAACACCAAAAACATGAAATCAATCTAAATACCTATCAACAGTATACTGAATAAAGAAAATGCAGGCTGGGTGTGGTGGCTCATGCCTGTAATCCCAGTACTTTGGGAGGCCAAAGTGGGTGGATCACGAGGTCAGGAGATTGAGACCATCCTGGCTAACATGGTGAAACCCCATCTCTACTATAAATACAAAAAAAAAAAAAATTAGCCATGCATGGTGGTGGACACCTGTAGCCCCAGCTACTCAGGAGGCTGAGTCAGGAGAATGGTGTGAACCTGGGAGGTGGAGCTTGCAGTGAGCCAAGATCGTGCCACTGCACTCCAGCCTGAGCAATAGAGCGAAACTCTGTCTCAAAAAAAGAAAAAAAGTAAAATATGGTACATATACACCATGGAATGCTATGCAGCCATAAAAAAGCACAAGATCATGTCCTTTGCAGCAACATGGATGGTGCTGGAAGCCATTATCCTAAGCAAATTAATGCAGGAACATAAAACAAATACTGCATCTTCTCACTTGTAATTGGGAGCTAAACAATGAGAACATATGAACATAAAAAGAGCAACAACAGATACCAAGGCCTACTTGAGGGTGGAGGTGGAGGAGGGAGAGGAGCAGAAAAAATATGTACTATGCTTAGTACCTGGGTGACCAAATAATCTGTACAACAAACCCCAGTGACCTACATAACAAACCTTCACATATACCCGTAAATCTAAAATAAAAGTTTAAAAAATTAAAGAAAATATGTTATCAGAATTTTATGAACAGTCTTGTTAAAGGAAATTTTACATATTTACATTGTGAATTTGTTTCTTGGCTAATCCAGTCTACTTGAGAGTAAAATTTCATTAAACTTGGACAATGAAAATTCTTCTCCCTATAGTCAAAAGTAATAATCAATATAATTTGACTCTAAAAATTCTAAAATGCACATGACTAATTTTTTTTAGTATGAAGGAAGAATGAGGGGAAATAGGTCTGTGGCAAAACAAATTAACTCTGATTCTATTTTTCACACATTTTGAATAAGAGATTCACACCTGCCATTTATAGAAGTGTAATTTTCACAGTCCTGAGGGTGAGTATCCACCTTCTTTATGGAAAGTTAAGCTATACAGTTTTGCAAATAGAATATTGCATTTGATTTAAGATTGTTGATTTAAGGTAAATATTTGCACAAGCATCATAGTCCATTTGTTAAGAAAAAATGATAATTCCTTAGGGCCAAGCTCATTTTCAAGATAGTGTTTCAGATACACCCAATCAGAGAATTTGTTGGTTCCAAATTAGATAAGATTGTAGATTTTAATCTATGGAATCAGTATCTAAAGATTAAAAACATGACATCACAAGATGCGAGAATGTTAGAATGTATTATTGAACCAACAATGAACACCATTTGTAGGCTTTTGGCTGTAGTATGTGAGAAAAATTATGCATTCTGTCTTCCTGACATGCTCTCTTCAGGCTTCATAATGTTGTTTTGGTAGCAGTGTAAAGTATTCTTTATTATTTTGTAAATGTGTCCTCAAAATAACAGGTATTATTTTGGTATAATTCTAGTTAAGTAAAACTCTGGCAGAACTGTTAAGTTATAGAGTAAAAGACATTTCTACAGGTTGGTTAAACCCCTACTTATAGCTCCTATATATTACTCTTGTGAATGGCTGCTGATACCAAGCAAAGATTTTAAGGGTTATTAATTTAACTTCTTCTGATGTACTCAACAACACTTTCTAAAAATCACATGCAGTAATTTCCTCCTACTTACTTCAAGCATTAAGTGAACAGATTTGTATAATTTTGTATGCATAATTTTATTTTAATCTATAATGTAGGTGCCATCACTAAGTTCTGCTGAAGAATTGATTACTACAAATATTTTTGTTTTCTTTAATTTGGAATATATATATAAAATCTAGGAATACAAAATGCTGTATAATGGAATCCAAACTTTTCATTTTTTGTATTTATCCTTTAGAATAGTAAAAGTTCATGCATGCCTTTAGGACAATATTAGAGTAAGTTAGTAGAAAGAAATGTAGAATAATGCTATTAGGTTTTCTGTGTTTTTTCACTTTCCCATATAAAATGTGGTTTCCTAAGGTTAGATGGGAAAACGACAGTTGTTTTCTAATAATCTTAATTTCTAGTTCTGCTCTCAATGTCTAGCTCTGCTCTCTACAAACCATTATTTTCATTCTTTTTTATTTAGGTAGTAATTTGATATAATTAATACACTCCCACCCAAGGCACAGAAAAAATAATTATAACAATTCATTCTAACATGTGTTCTCCTTTAATATTGTTTCACAATGAAAATATGGACCTTTGGTAAAAACATAATTTCTCCTCTTCGTTTGAAAATGTAAAAATCATAGGTAGCTTTTGTGATACTAGGTGCTCAAATACTTGTAGTATTTTATGATAGAAACAACTCTGTCAAAGATTGTGTTAATCTTCTTAAGCAACAAGAATTCCTATTGGTCTTTTCCTTACACATTAAATTGAACCAAATAATTTCAAAAGTCTCAAAAGCTGTGAAATTATTATAATAATTGGAAATGTGTCAAAGTGTGGAGTATTTATATGACAATTTCATTTAAGCTTTCAGGGCACTATTGAAACACATTTCAACCTTAAATGGCCATCCAGGCAGAGGCTTTAGAAGTAAATTGTTTACATTGATTCACAATCCCATAAGCCTTTATAGTAAACTATCCTCTTTGAATTTACTACCTTGGTTAATTCAGCAGAAAATTGCTTTCTATTTCTGAGACCCGCTTAGAAGGCTTGAGCAGATTTTTTTTTAAAAAAATTGTTCTGCGATGATGATGAAGGGAGACTTGAGAATCCCTTTGAAAAATAGAATTGACTACAGACCGAACAGCCTGTGTTTATGGATAACTGAGCTTCACACCTCTCACTGAAGGTGAGAAAGTCCTATTGAAGATGACAAAGCCCTTATCACAGTGCCTGGTACAAGGTGGGTACCCAAATGTGTGTCCCTATAAGACAGCAGCAAAGAAACTGTTACTCCTCAAAAACTCTCATCTCCACTGAATGGGTATAGGACATAGAATCTTCCTGTACTTAAGCAACTTTTAAATAGCACTTTATACACTCTCAAAAGATCAATTACATCAGAGTAGCTATGGCTTGTGAAAGTAAAAAAGGGAAGTGAGCAATATCTTAAGAATACCTGGCAGATAAGAAATGCAGCTGTTATGATTGCCTAACTGACCACCTGTTTCCTGTTGAAGGAGCCAGTTGTACTAGTGGAGAGATTTTAAAAGGAATTAAAATACATTCTTCAAATTTACATCAAAATGGATATCATACTATCTACTGTTTCATGATTAAGAACACATACAAAGCCCTTCTTTTATCATGCCTATAGTTCCTGGTGTTCCTGAAAAGTTATAGTGAGACTCAACTATGTACTGAAAGAAAGGAGAGGTAGAAATCATACTCAGCAGCAAATGGGATGCCTGAATCTGAATCCCAGCTCTGCAGTTTACTAACCATGTGACTGTAGAAAATGTTCCAATCTCTCTTATTTTTCTCATCTCTTAAATGGTGATACTAATAATAGTTACATCCTAGGGTGTTGTGAGAACGAAATGAGTTAATATATGCTAAGCATTCAGAACAGCCTGCCAAATAATGAACACTACGTAAGCATTGACTTATTAATATTTTGTTATTACTTTATAAGCACGAATTTTCTGTAATCAGGGAAAGAAAGAGAAAAGCAAAGAAACCTTGATGTTCCAAGCAAGTAAATACTCAAGTTCATCCAGTTGTGTTTCTATCAAATGTGAGGGGTTTAGGAGTAGACTATCTTCTTTATTTTATACCTGATGGAACTTAGGCAAAAGGGAATAACTGGCTTGTATCAGATGATGTCAGTCATTGATTCAGTCACTTTCAGAGCTTTTCTTTTTATTTTTCTTTCCATGATGAGCATTTACTCTTTCAACAGCCAAAGATCATTTCCACGTTCTTCTGGTAATGAAACTGAGCAGGTGTCCCACAGAGCTGATGTTCGTGGTTTCTTTGAATAAACATAGAAGTTGGCCCTCCTAGTTTTAAAACCTGAGAAAGTTGCATTTGTCTTATCTGAGTTCCTTTCCAAGGAAACCAGCCATCAGGCCTCCCAAATAGTAGCAAGGAGCTGAAAGTCACCAGATCACTGCATTTGGACAATCAGATGCCCGACACTTTATCTGTTAAGTTTGCCTAACTGACCACTTGCTTCCCATTGACCAGCTGCTCTTCTTTACCCCTCCCTAATTCCTGTTTTCCCACACATGGTTACATTTCTTCCCTGCTATATCAGCTCCTAATTTTAGTCAGTCAGGGAGATGGATTTGAGACCTCCTGGCCTCTTGGCTGCAGCACTCTATTAAAGGCTTCATCTTTGGCAATACTTGTTTCAGTGATAGGCTTTCTGTGAAGCAAGAAACAGGATCTAGACCGAACATCTGGTGTTTTGGTAACAGTAAGTGAACACAATTTCCTTTGAAAGTTGTCCCTCGCTGACAAGGATGCCAGTTGTATTTCACCAAGCCCGGTAAGGGTCATTGACCTGCGCCTGGCCAGGCAGCCAACGTATTGTTGGATGAATGTTACAAAAGAAGGGCTGCTGATCTTTTATATGGCGCTTAATATATAAATACTGGATAACAGAAGCACACTTTACTCTGAGATCAGTGGGCTGACATCATGTAAACTTAAGGCTGTCTACAAATATGGCATTCCCATTTTTATCTTCCATCTGGGGGAAGCCCAGCAGCAATGGAGGAAATGAGGCCAACACATAAAGTGAAGCAGAGCTAATGGATGAAAGAAGAATTCTGATGGTATCATTTAAGTATCCGGAGTCTTGAGACCTTTCCTACATCTGGATTTCCAACATATGAAAGCTAATAAATTGCTCATTTTTTTGCTTAATCTATTTTCACTTGAAGTTCTGTCAATTGTGATGAACAGAGAGCCAACTAAAACAAAAATACTGCAAATGGAAAAATCCTAAAATGTAGATTTGACAGAATAGAAAAGGGAGTGAAGGGAAGTATGGCTCTTACATTTTACAATAACGCAATAGCAAAGCAGCTGGTAGATCTATAACCTATTATACCTTGGGTCTTGAACCATATATCAACCAAGGGTGGCACTTCATGGGCATGGTAGAGAAACATCATGTTGTTAATGTGTTTATTACCTCTTGTAGCTTCCAGTAACATCCAAATGGAAAGTGCTAAATGTTTAGTCTAAGCCGTTATAAATGAGAGCACATAGAGAAAAATATACATCTTTAGGAAAGGTGGCTGAACTGCAACCAATGACTGGCAAAGATTAGATAATCATAAGGTTTGCAGGATTAAAATTCAATTCCCTTTTATAGACCAAGTTGGATTATCTTTCTAGATTAATTAGTTAATCTAAAATGTCAAACACTGTGAGAAATAAAGTTGGAAGTTAGGATTCAGGGCAATAGGTTGGGGAATGGGAGCATGTGTGATCCTCCGGGCCTCTTACAAACACCTGGTGCTTTGCAAACTCTTACACAACACAAGTATAATTTCATACATTAAAATGTGTGTTTTAAGCCTTGGACCCATTAGTTATTTTTCCTGACCCTCTCCCTCCTTCCTACCTTCTACCCTCCAAAAGGCCCCAGTGTGTGTCATTCCCCTCTATGTGTCCATGTGTTCTCATCTTTTAGCTCCCACTTATAAGTGAGAACATGCAATATTTGAGCTTCTGCTCCTGCATTAGTTTGCTAAGGATAACGGCCACCAGCTACATCCATGTCCCTGCAAAGGACATGATATTTACAACAAACCCCCATGACACAAGTTTACCTATGTAACAAATCTGTACTTGTACCCCTGAACTTAAAATACCCCCATGACACAGATTTGTTACCTATGTAACAAATCTGTACTTGTACCCCTGAACTTAAAATAAAAGTTTAAAAAGTGTGCTTTTTTACTAGACGGAAGCTTGGAGGCAGAGGGAACGTATATCCATCAACATCCCTGCCTTTTTCTATTTTCTATTGCTATTAGACAAACACCAACACAATCTTTTAAGTTGAAAATTAGGAATAAGGACAACACTCGCATGCCAATTACTAAGGGTCAGAAAATACTCAAATGCTGCCTCAATTTGAAATTCTGACTGGTAAAAATTCTGGCCTTGATTACTAGCTAATGCAATTAATAAGAGCCAGCCAATTACAGTTTTATGGAAGTTGAATTGTCAGAGAAATCTAATTTTGGCATCCAGTAGCTTCTGACTGCCCAAAACTTAAGTTAATTTTTCTTTTAGGTTAACATTTATATGGAATGGAAAAGGATGTTTGAGACAAAATAATAAGGTCAGAGATCATTAAAAGGAAACATTATAGATTTGACAACATTAAAATGTGAAACAATGGCATCTCAGAAACGAACACAAATGTAAAAGACAAACTGAAAATATTAGTCACATAAGCCTTAGTATATTTCATAAATCAATATAAATTGATGAATGCACTAATAGAAAAATAGGAAAAAGTGACAAATATTCAATTCAGATCAAAGAAAAACTAGCCATTAAACATTTAATAAAATAAAATGTATTAATAAAATAAATGCATTAATGGGATAGTTTTTTATCTATCAAACTAGCAAAGGATTTAAGGAAATGAGCACCTTTATACACTGTAGTGTGGGGCAGAAAGAAATTCTTTAAACATTTTCATCAAACAACTTGTCAAGAGTTTTTTTTTGAAACTTTAAAGTAGCTATAACTTTTAACCTAGTAAATCTTTTCCTACAAGTTAATGCAATAAATAGCAAATAGAAAGATGGGCAAAAATCTATATACTTAATAAAATATATTTATCTGCATTGTTTACAATCCTTTTAAAATTTTTTTATTATTAAAAAGTTATGAACACATATAGTTGTACATATTTATAGGGTACATGTGAAATTTTGATATAAGCATATCGTGTGTCATGATCAAATCAGGGTAATTGGGGTATCCATTACCTCAAGCATTTATTATTTTTTCTTCCAGTTCTACTCTTTAAGTTACTTTGAAATGACCAATACATTTTTACCTATAACTATGTTAGTATACCACCAAACACTAGATCTTATTTACTAACCATCTCCTCTTTATGCCCTCCTCCCCACCACCCATTTCAGCCTCAGGTAATCATCATTTTACTCTCTGTCTCCATTAGTTCAATTCTTTTTTAGCACTTACATGTTACAGAGAACATGCAATATTTGTGTTTATGTGCCTCTTTTACTTCACTTAACATAATGTCTTCAAGTTCTATCCATATTGTAAAAAATGACAGAAATTCATTATTTTTATGGCTGAATAGTATTTCATCACAAATATGCTCCACATTTTCTTTATCCATTCATCCCTTGGTGGCCACTTAGGTTGATTTCATATCTTGGCTATTACGAATAGTGCTGGAATAAGCATGGGAGTGCAGATAGCTCTTCAATATACTGATTGCCTTTATTTTGGATGTATATCCAGCAGTGGGATTGCTGCTGGATGATATGGTAGTTATATTTTTTGGTTCCTTGAAGCACCTCTGTATTGTTCTCCATAGTGGCTGTAATCTACATTCCCACCAACAGTGTACGAGGGTTTCCCTTTCTCAACATCATCACCAGCATTCATTATTGCTTGTCTTTTTTATAAAAGCCATATTACCTGGGGTAAGATGATATCTTGTTGTAGTTTTAAGTTGCATTTCCCTGATGGTTAGTGATGGTGAGCATTTTTTTTCATATGTCTATTGGCCACTCGTAGGTCTTCTTTTCAGAAATGTCTATTCATAACTTTGGCTCATTTAAAAATTTGATTATTTGTCTTTATCCTATTGAGTTGTTTGAGCACCTTATATATTCTGGCTTTTAATCCTCTGTGAGATGGTGATACAGTTTGGCTCTGTGTCCCCACCCAAATTTTATGTTGAATTATAATCTAGTGTTGGAGGTGGGACCTGGTGGGAGGTGATTGGATCATGGGGGTGGTTCAAATGGCTTAGGACCATCCTCTAGTGTTGTTTCATGATAGAGTTCCCATGAAATCTGATTGCTTAAAAGTAGGTAGCACTTCCCCCTTTGCTTTCTCCTTCCTGCTGCCATGTGAAGACGGCTTGCTTCCCCTTTGCCCTTCTGCCATGATTGTAAGTTTTCTGAGGCCTCCCCAGCCATGCCTCCCATACAGATTGTGGAACTGTGAGTTAATTAAACATTTTTTTAAAATAAATCACCCTGTCTCAGGTAGTTCTTTATAGCAATGTGAGAATGGACTAATACAGAAAATTGGTACCAGTAGTGGGGTATTGCAATAAAGATGCCTGAAAATGTGGAAGCAGCTTTGGATCTGGGTAACGGGCACATGTTGGAACTAGTTTGGAGGGCTCAGAAGAAGAAAGGAAGATGAGATAAAGTTTGGAACTTCCTAGAGACTTGTTGAATAGTTGTGACTGATATGCTGATAGTAATATAGACCATGGAGTCCAGGCTGAGGTGGTCTCAGATGGAGATAAGTAACTTACTGGGGAGTAGAGTGAAAGCCACTCTTGCTATGCCTTAGCAAAGAGACTGGTGGCATTGTGCCCCTGCTGTAGAGATCTGCAGAACTTTGAACTTGAGAGAGATGATTTAAGGTATCTGGCAGAAGAAATTTCTAATCAGCAACGTGTTCAAGATATGGCCTGGCTGCTTATGAAAGCATATGCTCATTTGCATAAACAAAGCAATGACCTAAAACTAGAACTTATTATATTTAAAAGGGAAACAGAGCACAATGTTTAGAGAATTTGCAGCCCAACCATGTGGCAGAAAAGAAAAACCCATTTCTGGGGAGGAATTCAAGACTGTAGAAATTTGCATAAGTAAAGAAGAGCCAAATGTTAATAGTCAAGACAATGGGGAAAATGCCTCCAAGGCATTCCAGAGACCTTCACAGCCTGGAGGCCTAGGAGGGAAAAATGTTTTCATGGGCCAGGTCCAGGACCTGCTGCTCTGTGCAGCCTTGGGACATGGTGTCCTGTGCCCCAGCTGCTCCAGCTCCAACCATGGCTAAAAGAAGCCAGGGTACAGCTCAATCTGTGGCTTCAGAGAGTGCAAGCCCCAATTCTTGGTGGCTTCCATGTGGTGTTAGGCCTTCAGGTGTGCAGAAGGCAAGAGTTAAGCTTTGGAAGCCTCCATCTAGATTTCAGAGAGCGTATGGAAACCTCTGGATGTCCAGGCAGATGTCAGCTGCAGGGGTGAAGCCTTCATGGAAAATCTCTACTAGGGCAGTGCAGAGAGGAATTGTAGGGTTGGAGCCCCCACATAGCATCCCAGCTGGAGCACTGCCTAGTGGAGCTGTGAGAAGCAGGCCACTATCCTGCAGACACCAGAATGGTAGCTCCACTGACAGCTTGCACTGTACACCTGGAAAAGCTGCAGGCATTCAACACCAGCCCATGAAAGCAGCCATGGAGGCAGTATTCTACAGAGCCACAGGGGTGGAGCTGCCAAAGGCCTTAGGAGCCCACGCCTTGCATAGCATGCCCTAGATGTGAGACATGGAGTAAAAATAGACTATTCTGGAGCTTTCAGATTTAATGACAGCCCTGTTGGGTTTCAGACTTGCATGGCACCTGTAGCCAATTGGTTTTGGCCAATTTCTCCCTTTTGGAATAGGTTTATTTACCCAATGCCTGAACCACCATTGTATCTTGGAACTAACTAATTTGTTTTTTATTTTACAGTCTCATAGGCAGAAGGTACTGGTCTCCGCTGGGACTTTGGACTTGGACTTTTGAGTTAATGCTAGAATGAGTTAAGTCTTTGAGGGACTGGGCCAGGTGCAGTGGCTCATGCCTGTAATCCCAGCATTTTGGGAGGCCAAGGTGGGCAGATCATGAGGTCAGGAGATCAAGACCATCCTGGCTAACATGGTGAAACCCCGTTTCTACTAAAAATATAAAAAATTAGCCAGGCATGGTGGCAGGCGCCTGTAGTCCCAGCTACTCGGGAGTCTAAGGCAAGAGAATGGTGTGAACCTGGGAGGCAGAGCTTGCAGTGAGCCAAGATTGTGCCACTGCACTCCAGCCTGGGTGACAGAGTTAGACTCTGTCTCAAAAAAAAAAAAAAAAAGACTTTGGGGAACTGTTGGGAAGTCATGATTGTGTTTTGAAGTATGAGAAGGACATGAGATTTGGGAGGGACCAGGGCACAATGATATGGCTTAGCTCTGTGTCCGCACTCAAATCTCATGTTGCATTATAATCCCCCAATGTTCAAGTGGGGCCTTGTGGAGGGTGATTGGATCATGGGGGTGGTTTCTAATGGTTTAGCACCATTCCTCTAGTACTGTCTCATGATAGAGTTCTCATGAGATCCGGTTGTTTAAAAGTGTGTTGCACTTCCCCCTTTGTGCTCTCTCTCCTGCTGCCATGCGATGACATGCTTGCTTCCCCTTCTGCCATGATTGTAAGTTTCCTGAGACATCCCCAGCCATGCCTTCTATACAGCCTGGGGAACTGAGTCAATTAAACTTCTTTTCTTTATAAATTACCCAGTCTCTGGTAGTTCTTTTTACAGTGTGAGAACAGACTAACACAGATGGGTAGTCTGCAAATATTTTCTCCCATTCTGTGAATAGTCTCTTCACTCTATTGATTGTTTCCTTTGGTGTGCAGAAGATTTCTAGCTTGATGTGATCCCATTTGTCCATTTTTGCTTTGATTATATATGCTTTTCAGGTTTTACTCAAGAAATCTTTGTCTAGACCAATGTCCTGGAGTATCTTCCCAATGTTTTCATAAAACTGACATGAACAGCAACTGAATTGCTGGACTGGTTTAGTCACCAGAAGTGGAAGTCTTCGTGGTGTACCTTTGAAGTATTGTAGTGGAGACAACAAGGAAGAAAGACCCTACAGTGAGCAGAGCTCTGGGCAGCAAGATTGGCAGAACAAAGAACTTACATAAAGTTCAAGGGGTAGGAAAACTTCTTCTACCCACCTGGATATGTTATGGACCAGAAACCACTATTGCCAGTACCTTTTCCTCTGTTTCTAAGTGGAAAACACTTATAATCATTCCTCCCACTATGATTTGGATAAGTTAATCACATTTTATAAGATCCCAAAAAACCAGTTCTGAATCTTATCAGAGATCCTGCATTTGGAATTGGATAAAGGAACGAGATGTTATTGGATAGCAACTAGATGTTTCTGGAGAAAGAAACTAGTTGTTTTCCTTTAGTGAAGGAATATTTCCACTTCCATTTATATAGGGAAGAGCTAATTGGGGCTTTTTTTTTTTTTTTTTTTTTTTTTGAGGCAGAGTCTCACTCTGTTGCTCAGGCTGGAGTGCAGTGGCGTGATCTCGGCTCACTGCAACCTCCACCCTCCCAGGTTCAAGCAATTAACCTGCCTCAACCTCCCAAATAGATGGGACTACAGGTATGCACCACCACACTGGCTAATTTTTGTAGTTTTAGTAGAGATGGGATTCCACCATGTTGGCCAGTCTGGTCTTGAACTCCTGACCTCAAGTGATCCACCTGCCTTGGCCTCCCAAAGTGCTGGGATTACAGGCATGAGCCACTGCGCTTGGCCCTAGTTGAGGAATTTTTGAAATCAGTAGTTTCCCTCTTATCTACAGGGGATATGTTCCAAGACCCCCATTGTATGCCCAAACCACTGATGGTACCCAACCAGATTGCCATCAATTGGAATACATTTCTGTTTACATATTCCACCCACAAACTTAATATCTTTTCCATTTTAACTTAGCACTTATCACGCGGCCATAACTTTTCCAATTTGAAGTGCAACAGCAAAACTAGCACGGATTCCTGTTCCTTCTTCACAATCTCATGGATAGAAGATTTGTTCTTACTGTAGATCTTAGCAACTTCAGCATATGATTTTTTTTTCTTTCCTTATTAACTCAAAACTTCTACATCTCCACTTAAATGGAGCACTTTAGGGATTCTTTTTGCCATATCCAAATTGCCAGGATTACTACTCTCATGCATGGGCCATTATTAAGTAAACTAAGGGTTCCTTGAACATAAGGAGTACCCATACCTCTATGGTCTGAAAGCAAAGTCAGCTAATAAGTGATGCAGGCTGGTAACTTCTACAGTGTGGATACACTGGACAAAGAAATGATTCATGTCCTGGGCTGGGTGAATCAGGATGTGTGAGATTTCATCATGCTACTCAGAACGGTGTGTAATTTAAAACTTAACAATTGGTATTTCTGGAATTTTCTACTTCATATTTTCTAGAATGTAGTTGATCTCAGGTAAGTAAAGCAAACCACGGATAATAGAAAGCAGAACCACAGATAAGAGAGGATATATGGTTCAAAGACTAAATAAAAAGGGAAATTGGAAAGATCATAATCTTAGACAATTTGACATTTCAGATATAAATACGACGCACACACATATAAAGAACATAGAGTCAAAGTGACAAATATTGTCAGTTCTTTCTTATATTACATCATAAATCAGTAGAATTCAGATTTATATTCCAATAGGGATTACAATAAAATTTGACAAGACGAACCTAAAACTTAAAATTAAAAAAAAATGTGAAAATCACCAGAACAAATTTTACTTCATTAAAAAATTAATAGCATTATTGAAATATAATTGACATACAGTAAAGTGCATATATTTAAGTGCATACATTTTGATAAATTTTGACCCTACAGTTAAGACAGTGAACACATACATCATTCCTAGAAGTTTCTTTGCATCCTTTGTAATCCTTCCCTTCCGACTCTCCCTACCACTGGATGGGTATAGATAGATTTGTAAATTAATGTTTTTTGTCTTTCATTATTTTAAAGATGTTGCTCCACTATCTGCAGGTTCTTGTTGTTTTGGATAAGAAATCTGATGCCATCCTCATCTTTATTTCTTTACGTTATATAATGTCTGTTTTTCTCTGCTTTTAAAATGTTGTCTTTATCACTAGCTTTAGGCCATATGATTATGATATGCTTGGTGAAGATTTAAAATTATGCGTCTTTCGACCTTTGGGTTTGTTGAACTTTTTCATACTGTGCACTATAGGGTTTTTTTTTTCTGTTTTTAAAATCAAATTTGTAAGATATTTTAGTCACAACCTCTTTAGCTTTTTTTTTCTGTACCATTTCTCTCCTTTCCTCCTGGGATACTAATCACACATAAGGTAGGCTGCTTGAAGTTGTCACGCTGTTCCCTTATCTTCTCTTCATTATTATTTTTTAGGGTTTTGCTGTTTCATATTCTATAGTTTCTATTTCTATGTGTTCCAGTTTATTGATTATTTCTCCTGCAATATCCAATCAGCCATCAAATCCTTCCAGAGTATTTTTTATTTCTGTACGAATTTTCAGTTTTGGAATTTTGATTTGGAGTATTTTTTAACCTTCTATGTTTCTACTTAACATGCTCAATCTTTCCTCTAGCTTTTCAGTCATGTGAAACACAGCTATAATAAGTATTTTAATGCCTATTAATAATAATGTGTGTGTTAATTCTAGTTTGCTGCTGATTGGTTGCTTTTCCGCCTAATTTGGGGTTGGATTTTCCTGCTTTTTATATGGTTTTTCTATAGAATGCCAGCCATTGTTGATTTTATCTTCTTAGGTGCTGGGGATTTTTTCATTGCGATAAATACGAATGACCTTTGTTCTGAGATGCAGTTAAGTTATTTAGGAAGAGTTCTTATTCCTGAGATTTATTAGGTAGTATCACAGCAGTATGTATACTAGAGTAATTAGAGGTGTCTTAGGTTCCTTGGATTTCCAGCTTTATCATCTCAAATCAGGAAGTCTACCAGGCTGTGTCTGGGTCTTTTCTTCCTGCTCCACTGGCTGGAATACTGAAGGCAGTAAGCTGTGGCAACTGCAGAGCTAAGCTTGTTTATTTCCTATTTTTCAGTGATCATTGTCCTTTTTTCCTGATATCCAATATCTTGAAAACTATAGTTTCATATATTTTACCCTGATTTTCATTGTTTCTGCTAGCAGGGTAAACCTGGTCCTTTTTGTTCTGTCTCAGTTGAAAGTATAAATAAACCAAGATGATTTGGAGCAAAAGATGTGAGAAAATTTGCTCTATAAGAAAATACAGTCATGTATCACTTAATTACAGGGATTCATTCTGAGAGCAGTAGGTTAGCTTACACCAGCGTCATCACAAACACATGAGTAATGCATTGCACTATAGTGTTAGGATGGCCATGATATCACTGGGTGAGAGGAATTTTTTTCAGTTCCATTATAATCTTATGGGACCACTCTCAAACAGACAATTCATTGTTGACCAAAACAATGGTATGCAGTCAGTGCATGACTAATTAAAATACTGGTTATTTGGTGTGAAATTAAACAAATTCTATTGGAAAGAAAATGACCTGTATTTGTATGGAAAATTAGCACTGAGTTATTGTAACTTTTTGACTTAGTTAAGAACCTATAGACTACTTAAAAATGGTATTGGAAACATTGACAAGTATTTGGCAAAACTAGAATTATATACCTTCTTCACTTCAATCACAAACATACAATTCTAATTGGATTAAAGATCTAAAATAGAATATACAAAATCATAAAATTTGTAAAAGAAAATAATTTCAGAACTGTGAGTTATTGAAGCTTTCTATAAACTAAAATTATAAGCCATAAAGCTAGATTAACAAATTTCACTATGTTAAAATTAAAAATGTCTCTGCCATCAAAAAAACTTCACCATTAACAATGTTAAAAGATAAACGACAGATGAGAACAAGTGCACATAAAACAGCCATTGGATTAATATTAAAATACGTAAAGGTTTACCAAATAATAAAAATAATAGGCCAATGGAAAACAGAGCAGAAAATATAAACAACTGTAGCATTTAACAACAGAAAATACATATAACCAAGGACATATGAAGTAGAGTCAAGCATTTTAAAAATACACATTGGTGGCCGGGCGCAGTGGCTCATACCTGTAATTTCAGCACTTTGGGAGGCTGAGGCAGTCGGATCATGAGGTCAGGAGATAGAGACTATCCTGACCAACATGGTGAAACCCTATCTCTACTAAAAATACAAAAATTAGCTGGGCGTGGTGGCGTGTGCCTGTAATCTCAGCTACTTGGGAGGCTGAGGCAGGAGAATCACTTGAACCAGGGAGTTGGAGGTTGCAGTGAGCCAAGATCGCGCCACTGCACTCCAGCCTGACAACAAAGTGAGACTCCATCTCAAAAAATAAAAAAAAAAGAAAGAAAGGAAGAAAGAAAGAAAGAAAGAAAAAGAACGAAAAGAAAGAAAAAATTGGCAAAAATTAGTTTGTTAATATCAAATGTAAAGCTATGGGAAATAAGTAGCCCCCCCCAAATTTAAACATTACATGTCTAATGACCAGTTTTATTTCTTATTATTATACACTCAGATTTAATACCACGGTTAAGAACAAGAGGAATAAACAGAGATTTTCATGGCAATATTGTTTATTATAAAAAATTTGAAAACAAATTATATTTCCATCATTGGGAAAATAACTAAACTACAAATAAATTGCATGCATAGTATAGCATACACTATATAAGGTTAAAAAGTGACACAGAAAAGTCTCCAAAGGGATTATGATGGTGAGAGAAGGCAGTAGGAAGCAATTATCATAATAAAGCATTTAGCATGATGAAGTATCCATCAGAAACACAAACACACACAGCAACACTGTACACTTCTCTAAATAGTTGCTTGTATGAGTACATGTGTATTTAACACATTAAAAAGCCTAAAAATATACCTGTTAAATGATAATCTGGGATAAAAAGAGGTATTACATGTAGTAGTCAAAAAGCATTTAACCTTAACCTATAATATTTCATTTTTTATCAGTGACAATGCATTCTACATTGCTTGTGTAATTCTATAAATATTACTATACAAACCAGTGCTAAAATGAATTATAATATGGGAATAAGCATGCATATGGGGTCTGTATATGCATGCTAGGAGGCCACTTAGTGGAATGTAGTGGGTGCCTCTTATTTTTGTACACAGCATCCCTTTCTCCTTTTCCAGTTAATAGGACAATTAAATTCCTTTTTATAGTTTTATTTTGCATAAACTAATTCAAATTGGGTTTGTGTCATTTGTAACTGAACAAGTCCTTATTTTCTAACACATTTTCCGTTTTGTTGTCATTGTGTTTTAAAAATGTAAAAACAGCACATTACTATGCAACTTCCAGTTTATCTTGAAGAAATGAGTCACCACCCAAGTATGGAGCATGAGCTTTATCTCACGGGATTGGAAAGGCAGACTGGGAAAGGAATGACACTTTGGAAATTTACTTTGAGAAATGTCTGTATTATTAAACAGAATAAGGTTTTCATTTCTGTATTCTTTCAGCAAAGCTACTAATCTGAGCAACGTGGAATTAAAATTGTAGACTAATAAAAGGTAAGATATATAAGAGTAAAGTATATAAGATTCTAACAATAGAGATTTTGATAATGGGTAGTTGCTTCTTATTTCCCTTCTGTCAACAGCCACGCCTCGAGAGCCCAGCTCCGGGACCCTGGCACCAGGGGAAGCTCCCATGACAGATTACTGTGGTCTCTTGCATGCTGCTATAGATTGCAATACTGAGACCATGATAACCTGCCACTCCCCAAAATATTCTTGTCTTGCCTACTTGCTCAAATATTGGAGGATCTGAAGAAATTACGAAGAAGTTTTGATCCTTAGTAATCAGTGAGGATTGTCCAGAAAAATAGAACCAATAGGATGTGCGTATATATATGTAAATGAAAGAGATTTATTTTAAAGAATTGGCTTATGAGATTTTCCAGACTTGGTGTGTCCAAATTCTGATGAGGAAGCCTGGAAGGCTGAAGACTTAGGAAAGAGTTGCAATTTGTGTCCAAAGGCAGTCTGCTGGTGAGCCAGGAAGAACTGATGTTGCAGATGAAATCTAAAGGTAGGTACTCTGTTGTCAGAATTTCCTCTTGCTTGCAGGAGGTCAGGCTTTTGTCTACACGGGCCTGCAACTGATTGAATGGGGCTTGCCCACATTGTAGGGGATACTCTACTCAAAGTTCACCAGTTTAAAGGTAGATCTCATTGAAAACACCTGCACAGAAACAATCATAATGTACAACCACATATCTGGGCACTGTGGCACAGCTGTGTTGACACATAAAATTAACCATCACACTTAGTCTAACATCTTTCAAGCATTTCCAAATCGGTTTTAATTTACTGGTGGACCTATGACTTATATTGAAAATTTTAAATGAAAATAATAAAATTCTTTTGAAAAATAAAGATAATATAGTTATGTACATTAAAACAAAAACTTTATATGACTACCTGATTATGAAAAATGGTATTAATTAAATAATTATTTTTGGTACATATTTGGAATTTTAATCTTTCTTGGCCATATCTCTAATATTATGTCACTGGAGTTCTTTAGCAAAAAAATATATTTTTAGTATGGTCCTACTTTTTCTTTTTCTTGTAACATTCGTTCAGTATTTTTAAAGTTGTATGTCATGGCAAATCAATTTCTGATAATCTCAGAGCAAATTCTACAAACTGGAAAACACAGTCAATTGTAATTCTTTTCATAAAGAAATACATAAATATTTTAACAGAAGTATTGTCATAAGTATAATATTTTTGTCTCCATGTAGACTACCATGTTGACAAATATTTTTAGAAGACATCAAATAATTTGCCACCATTTATGATTGTGTTTAATATTTTGTCAGATGTAAATGCTGCAAGTACGTAGGGCTTCTGAATGTTATTTCATTCAAGTGGAGGATATAAACATATCCAATACAAATAGAAGTTCCAATTTTTTCATAAGTCAAGATATTCCAAGATGCAATTAAATCTCAAATTTTAATTTCATATGCTCTTTGAGCTCTTGTTTAATTTGATTGGTTCCCGTGTGGCTTTTTAAAGTAAAATTTTGTTGTATGGCATACATACTGAAAAGTGAACAAGTCATAAATTATACAGGTTGGTGAAATTTCACTAAGTGATCAACACCAGTGTAACTACCATGTAGATCAAATCAAGAAATAGATTATTATCAGGTTCCCAGAAAGTTCATCCTCATATCTCCTTCACATCAGTGACTATTGCCTAATGCAGTGACTATTTGCATTCATAGTTGTTGGGGGGTTTTTCAGCTCAGAAAAATAATTATTGCCCATTATCCATATTATTAGGATATTATAATAGTGAAGTAGTTCAGTGTGTATGTGTGTGTGTGTGTGTGTGTGTGTGTGTAAAAGAGAGACAGATAAAAGACAGAGAGATATAGTACCTTCAATTTCTTTTGGATTATGTGTTGCTACGTCATTCATTACATGTTGCTATGTCATTCACAGAAACATCAGGAGTAGACAAGACTGCCTGTTACTGTGTAGCACTCGATCCATTTCTGTTTTGATTTGGAGATGATAAATTAAGGAAACTCTTCTTGGTATGTTCATTTGTGAGGATGGTCAGTGTAAGAATTAGATGCCAGTGTATGTGTAGATCCTTCATACAAAGCCTAGAACAACCATTTGGAAAATTCAGTGCCAATTTCTTGCAGAATAATGTAGTGAAGTGGGTTCCCTGGGTGCCTGGCTGTAGGATGGCAGGTGCCTGGAAATGTAACCAAGAGAACAAAGGGAGAGGCAGGAGGTAAAGGTACTGGGTTGGGAAAACCAATAAATTATACCGTTTTTTAATTCCCGTCCTGAATTTAAAACCAATTAAGAAATAAAACATGGAAAAGACACTGATGAGGACCAAATATTGGTTTTAATAATGATAAAGCTAATTGGAGAATTTGGCTTTAGTTTTCATAACAAAGGACCTGCTAAAACTCAACCCAGGGAAACTTTGGGTCTGATAAGCAAATATACTGATCTGGGATGATGACCTTAAATGGGTGGAGAAGAAATAAAAGAAGATTAATCCCCAGTGCTTATAGATGTTTAATAGATGAGGCTTGTTAATTTACAAACATGGTTCAGTGGTGTCAGATCCTTGCCAACCAACAACAAATACTACACTTTCTATATGGAGAGGAATAGGAAAGGGATGAAGAAAGAGGCCTGAACATCACTCTGCAAGAGAAAACAAAACCAGATAAATGAAGGTTCCTTCCTAATGTTAGTCATCACATATAACCTTTTTACAGAGACTAAATGTATATCTAAATGCTGCCTTGTGTTATGATCAAGATAAGTTTAATGTAATGGTTAAAAACTATGGTAATCACATATGTCTGTATATAGAGAAATTTAATCATCCTCAAAATATAAAAATGAATTATTTGGACAAATTAGTCAATACTTTGGTTGGTGGTCTATATGTTATATTGAAGTATAAATTATTCCAGCCTTTCAAATATATAGATAAATTTTGATTAGTAATGTGATGCCAGAATTCCAGGGATTGTCCATTTCACCCATTGATAATGCTAAGCAACTCTAAGGGACTATGCAGAAACTAAAAAGGCAGGAAAAAGTCATTCGAACAACAAAAGTCATTCGAGCAAGAAAACATGACCTTTATTCCAGAGTAGAATTTAGTATACATTATTAAAAGGTTGATATGCGAGCAACTGTGAAAGAAACTAGTGATTATTAAAGCCAGCATGTCCTCATTAAACAAGTTATGTCACAATAACTACATTTTTTTATAACAAGGTTGTAAGATTAGTAGGCTATGGAAGTTCTAAGAAAAAAATAGAAATAATAAGTGCAAGGGTAACAACAGTGGCAGTAATGTTTACTTTAATCTATTAAGTCTAAGAGTTAATAGACTTAATTGATAGACTTAAAACAACTGGAATGCTGCCTGATACATGGTAAGAGCTTAAAAACAAACTATTTTTATGATTGTCATTATTTTTTAAGAAACTTTAGTTGGGTTAAAATATAACACGTATTATTCATAAAAGATTTTGGAAACGTGTTAAATATTGTCTAAATTGATAAGTTGGAACAGATCGGAACAGATTTTATTGTATATAGGTGAATTTGCAACTGGGTCATAATATTGAAAGAATTTAAGATAAAGAAATAAATTCAGTGGCATAATAAAGGTCTACAATTTAGACTCTTCTCACTGAGCATTTTCATTAATGACTTCAGGAAGGCAAAGTTATTAGATAGAAGATAAAATAAAGCTGAAGGGTAGCAAATCAGGAATCCAAGAACTGTTTCTTTCTAGAAAAACAGGCTGAATGGAATAAAATTAATTATAATAGTGAAAATTGAAGAACAGCACACTTAAGTAAAACAAAAACCCAAAAAAGAACTGTCCATGTGCATTAAGCATCAGTATTACTTAGCATCAGTATTAGTGGGGAGAAAATATTTGTCGAAAAGCAAGCTTATTATGAGTCAAAAACTGTAAAATAAATCTTCAATAAAATAAAGCAATTCTGAGCTTCACTAAATTCTAATTTGTTCTATGTGTCAGAGGTATTGAATAAACATCAATTGATAGAAGATGGGGGAAACCATTTTCACTCAAGCTCTAAACTCACCCTGCCCGTTTATTGACCAGGCTGGAGTGCAGTGTCATAACAGCTTTGAATTCCTGGGCTCAAGTGATCCGCCCACCTCAGCCTCCCCAGAATCTAGAACTACAGGCGTATGCCACTAAGCCTGGCTAACTTTTTTTTTTTTTTTTGCTAGTGACAAGGGTATTGTTATGTTGCTCAGGCTTATCTTAAACTCCTGGCCTCAAGTGATCCTCCTGCCTCAACTTCCTAAATAGTTGGGACTAGTGGCATGCGCCATTGCACCCAGTACTAAAGTTAAACTTTCTAAAGATTAATTGAAACTATCCAAAGTGGAATGCCCACGTTTGGGGAGCAGTTTATTCTCAATCTTTAGAGTACTTTGAGCAGTACCTGGAAACCTTGTATAGCCAGAGTTTCATAATCTAAGGTCAGAAATAAATAAAGAGGTTGTTTAGAAAATAAGGATGACTGGAACCTACTCCTTTATATTCTGATCCAAGAAGCCTGAAGTGGGTACAAGCTTCTCATCTGCTTTCTTTTGTATTTACTATTTACTTTTTTTTTCTTTTTACAACACTGTTCCTGTTGATAACCCAGGAGTGGAAATCTGACCTGGATTGTGGATCAGACAAGGCATTCCTAAAGCACTTAACGTGATAGAGATCTGAAACATATGTAAAGAGGGCTTATAAGGGCGTTCCAGGCAGATGGAACAGCATGTGCAAAGCCTCTGTGGTAGGCAAAAAGCATAATATGATGAGTAATTAAAAGACAGCGGGAGTGGCCAGAACAGAATGTGAAAGAGAAAATGGAGAGATGAGACTGGAGAGGTCTATATTACTGACAACACACGGCCTTGTAGTTCATGTTCACAATTTTGACCTTTGTCTAAAAGCAATAGGAAGCCACTGAACAGTGTCAATTAGGAAGGTGACATGACTGGATTATGATTTTGAAAGGCTTGCCCTGTCTGCGGGGTGGTTAATAGATTGGAGAGGGACAAAAGATTATACCAGAAATTCAGATAGATGTCTATCTCAGTGGTCCAGTTAACAGATTAATGATCATTTATTTTGATAAGGTGACAAGGGAGATGAAAAAATTGATGAAAAATTGATGATAAAGTGATGAATTCAAAAGATATTTGCAAATTAATATCAATAGGACTTAATGAAAGGTTGAGGATGGGATTGGAGTAGAAAAAAGTTTCAAGGCCCTGTTCTTTCAGGGAATATTTATGAAACCACTACTATGTGTTGGGTACTGTTGTAGGACTTAGGGGTACACCAGTGAACAAGATGAACAAGGTCCCTGAGTTTGTGAAGCTTACTTATCAGTGGAGAAGACACATAAACACATAAAGAAATAATAAAATAATAAAATAATCACATGTACTTTGAGGAAAATAAAATGCTGTGACGTGATAGAGAGTCGTTGAAGAAATGTTTAAATTAGTGGTAGCTAGAGAGCATCTCAAAGAGTAGTTAAGTGTTAAGCTGAAACCTCAATAACAAGAAGGAACTCATCATACGAAGAAATAGAACTGGAGCCTTCCAGACCAAACCAAAAATAGGCAGTGCAGATGTCCTAATGGAAGAACAAGTCTAATGTCTTTAAGGAAAAAAATAAGGCTACTTTGTTTGGAAAGGAATGAGGAGGGATGCCATGGAAAGAATGACGGTTGGAGAGGCAGGGCTAGATCATGTAGGGCCTGGTAGATCATGATAAACAGTTTCAACTTCATGCAATGCCTATGTAAAAGTATAAAGGCTTTTTTTTGGTTGGTTGTTTGTTTTAATAGGAAGGTCATCAAGATCCTATTGCAGCAATTCAGAAGGGAAGCAATGATAGTGATTTGGACTAGTGAACCATTAGTGGAAAATGGAGAAAATGAATACAATTGGGATTATTTTGAGGGTAAAAAAGGAAGAATTTGTTGTTGGATTAGATGTGGGGGTTCAAGAAGGACAGCCCTCTTTCTCAGTTTTTAGTTGAACAACTGAGAGGATAGTATCATATCCTTAGAGGAGGAAGACTTAGGAGAAAAATGTTTTTCAGACAGGGAAGGAAGAATAAATAATTTCAGATCATCCATGTTGTTTAAGATGTCTATTATACACCCAAGTGTACATAAAACTTTGATCAAGACTAGAGATATTATCTAGTTTGCATATCTAGATAGATGGTGCTGCCTTTTATTGATATAAGAAATCTTGTCTGAAGTGCTACTTAATGAAGTGTGTGGTCCAATGAGATACTAAGCATTAAAAAGGTAAAGTAAGTATACTGCTGAATTCATTAGTAGCAACCTTGCAATGGTGCTATTAGCTTTCCTAAATAAAGAAGGCTGCTGGGTTTTTTTGTTAGTCTGTTTTTTGGAGATGTCAGCAGGTACAGGAAATGGGAAGAATGTGTCTTATTTGTTAATCTCATTTTTTTTCAGTAAACTAGCTTAATTTCAGAATTTCAATTAGGGTCATTCCTCCTCTGCATAATCAATTTCTGATTTGGAGTCTTTATTATTTATTTATCTATATTATAAATAATATAATAAATATTTATTATAATTATAGTAAATGTACAGTGGCATCTCATTATGATTTTAACTTGCATTTTCCTGGAAACTAATGACGTTTGTCATTTTTTTCTGTACTTATTGGCTATTTGTATATATTCCTTGGAGAAATGTCTATTCAAATTTTTGCCCATTTTTAAATTGGGTGGTATTTTTGTTGTTGAATTGTAACAGTTAATTATGTATTCTGGTACTAGATCTTTATTAAATATATGATTTGAAAATATTTTCTCCCATTTGGTGAATTGTCTTTTCACTTTCTTGATAGTGTGGTGGATGCATGAAAGTTTTTAATTTTGATGAAGTTCAGTGTATCTATTTTTCTTTTGTTATTTATGCTTTTGATATCATATCTAAGGATCCTTTGCCAAATCAGATTCATGAAGGTTTACTCCTGCGTTTTATACTGAAACATTTATAGCTTTACATCTTACATTTCGCTCTTTTGATCCATTTTGAATTAACTTTTGTATATGGTGTAAGGAAAGGGCCTAACTTGATTGATTGATTGATTTCGCAAGTGGCTATCCAGTTCCAGCATCATTTGTCAAAAAGACTATTTCCACTTTGGATGGTTTTGGCACACTTGCTAAAAACCAGTTAGCCATATATGAATAGATTTATTTCTGTATTCTCAATTACATTCCATTGATCTATCATAGCCATTATCTTTGTTTTTTGTTTTTTTTTTGTTTTTGTTTTGTCTTTTGTGAGGCGGAGGTGTGCTCTGTCACCTAGGCTGGAGTGCATTGGTACGATCTTGGCTCACTGCAACCTTCGCCTCTGAGGTTCGAGCAATTCTCCTGCCTCAGCCTCCTGAGTAGCTGGGGTTACAGGCACCTGCCACTACGCCTGTTTTGTTTGTTTGTTTGTTTGTTTTTGTTTTTTTAGTAGAGATTCGGTTTCATCATGTTGGTCAGGTTGGTCTTGAACTCCTGACCACAGGTGATCTACCCACCTCGGCCTCCCAAAGTGTTTATACCAATACTACACTGTCTAAACTTTGCTTTGTAGTGAGTTTTGAAATCAGGAAGTGTTAGCCATTCTACTTCTATTCAAAATTGTTTTAGTTATTTGGAATTTTTGAAATTTTAGAGTCAGCTTGTCTTTTTTTTTTTTTTTTTTTTAAGATGGAGTCTCACTCTGTTGCCAGGCTGGAGTGCAGTGGCAAGATCTTGATCACTGCAACCTCCGCCTCCCGGGTTCAAGCTATTCTCCTGCCTCAGCCTCCTGAGTATCTGGGACTACAGGCATGTGCTACCATGCCCAGCTAACGAGGTTTCACCATTTTGGCCAGGATGGTCTTGACCTCTTGACCTCATGATCCGCCTGCCTCAGCCTCCCAAAGTGCTGGGATTATAGGCGTTAGCCACCACGCCCGGCCCAGCTTGTTAATTTTTAAAAGAAGTCATTTTGATACAGATTGCATTAAACTTGAGATCAGTTTGGGGACTGTTCCCTTCTTAACAATATTATGTCTTCCAATCCATGAACATGGGATATTTTTTCAATTATTTAGATCTTCTTTAATTCCTCTCTACACATTTTGTGGTTTTCACAATATAAATTTTTCACAGCTTTGTTAAATTTATCCCTAAGTATTTTAATTCTTTGGATGCTCTTATACACAGAATTATTCTCTTAATGTCATTTTCAGATTATTCATGGCAAATGTATCAGAATCTTTGTATATTGATTTATTTTGTAACCTTGCTGAACTAATTTATTAATTGTAATAATAGTTTTTAGTGCATTCCTTAGGATTTTCTATCTACAACTTCATGTCATCTATGAACCAGGATAATTTTACTTCTTCCTATCCAGTATGAATGCCTTTATATTCATTTATCTTTCCTAATTTCCTTAGCTAGATTTTATAGTACAATATTTAATACAAGTGTCAAGAGCAGGTGTCTTTGTCCTGTTCCTGATATTGTAGGGAAACCATTCAGTCCTTCACAATTAAGTATGAGGTTAGCCAGAGGTTTTTTATAGACCTTCTTTATCAGTTAAAGATGTTTCCTTCAATTTCTAGTTTGTTGAATTTTTAAAAAATCATGAAATAGTATTGGAGTTTTCTGAATCTATGATCATATATTTTTCTGAATCATATGCTCTTCCCTTTTTATTCATTCATATAATGTATTACATTAATATTCAGTTGTTAAACCAATCTTGCATTACTAGAATAATGGTCCTATATGGTCATGATGTAAAATTATTTTTTATATATTGCTGGATTCAGTTAGATAGCATTTTGTAGAAGATTTTTGCATCTTCAGTCATAAGAGATATTGGTCTCTAGTTTTCTTGTGATGTCTTTGCCTAGTTTGGTTACCAGGGTAATACTGGCCTCATAGAATGAGTGGAAAGTATTTCCCCTTCTTCTATTTTAGGGAAGAGTTTGTGAACAATTGGTACTACTTTAAAAATATGCCTGGTGGAATTCAGCTTGAAGCCACCTGATCCTGAGCTTTTGTTTGAGGATAGTTTTTTTTTTTTAATTACTACTTTAATACCTTTACATAATATATCTCCATTCAGGTTGTCTATTTCTTCTCAAGTCAGTTTTGCTAGCATGTGTCTTTCTAAGTTATCTAAGTTATCTAATTGGTTGACATACAGTTATCATAGTATTAATTTATAACCCTTTTTATTTCCTGTAGGTTCAGAATTAATGTCCCCTAATTTGAGTCTTCTTTTTCTTTTTTTCTTTTTTTTTTTTTTTTTCTATCTTTTTCATCAGTCATTTAGCTAAAGATTTGTCAATTTTATTGATCTTTTTAGAAAACCAACTTTTGGTTTATTTTATCTATTGCTTTTTTATTCTCGAATTCATTAATTTCTGCTCTAACTTTTCTTATTTCCTTTCTTCTGCCTGCTTTAGGTTTAGATGGCTCTTCTTTTTCCAGTGTCTTAAAGTAGAAGGTTAAGTTATTTATTTGGCTCTTTCTTCTTTTTTAATATAGGCATCTTCAGCTTTACATTTTCCTCTAAGCAGTGCGTTAGCTGCATACCGTACATTTTTATATGTTGTATCTTTGTTTTAATTCATCTCAAAGTATTTTCTGAGTTCCCTTTTGTTTTTGTCTGTTTTTTAAAAGTCATTTCAACTTTTATTTTAGATTCAGTGGGTGTGTATGCAGGTTTGTTATATAGGTATATTACACGATGCTGAGGTTTGGGGTATGGATAATCCCATCATTCAGATAGAGAGCATAGTACCAAACAGGTAGTTTTTCAGCCCACAGTCCCCTCCTTCTCTCTCCACTCTGGTAGTCCCCAGTGTCAGTTGTTTCTATCTTTACATCTATTTGTACTAAATGCTTAGCTCCCACTTAGAAGTGAGAGCACATGGTATTTGATTTTCTGTTCCTGCATTAATTTGCTTAGCATAATGGTCTCCAACTGCATCCATGTTGCTGCAAAAAACATGATTTCTCTTTTTTTATGGCTGTATAATAGTCCATGGTGTATACATACCACATTTTCTTAATCTAATCCACCATTCTTGGGTACCTAGGTTGATTTCATGTCTTGTTATTGTAACTAGCACTGCAATGAACATACCAAGTGCATGTATCTCTTTTGTAGAATGATTTGTTTTCCTTTGGGTAGATACCCTGTAATGGGATTTCTGGGTTGAATGGTAGTTCTGCTTTAAGTACTTTGAGAAATCTCCAAACTGCTACCCACAGTGGTAGTACCAATTTACACTGCTACCAACTGTGTATAAGTGTTCTCCTTTCTTTGTAGCCTTCCCAGCATCTGTTGTTTTTAGAATTTTTAACAAAGGCCATCCTGACTGGTGTGAGAGGATATTTCATTGTGGTTTTGATTTGCATTTCTCAAATGATTAGTGATGAGCATTTATTTCATATGCTTGTTGGCTGCATTTGTGTCTTTTGATAAGTGTCTGTTCATGTACTTTGTCCATTGTTTAACGGGGTTGTTTTTTCCTTGTTGATTTGTTTAAGTTACTATAGCTTTTGGCTATTAGACTTTTGTTAGATACATAGTTTGTGAATATTTTCTCCCATTCTGTAGGTTGTCTGCTTACTATGTTAACAGTATCTTTTGCTTTGCAGAAGTTATTTAGCTTAATTAGGCCCCAGTTGTCAAGTTTTGTTTTTGTTGCAATTGCTTTTTGTGACTAAGTCACAAATTACTTGCCAAGGCCAGTGTTCAGAATGGTATTTCCTGGTTTTCTTCTAGGATTTCTATAGTTTAAGGTTTGAGTTCCCTTTTATTTTTTGACTTATTGGTTATTTAGGAGCATGTTAATTTGCACATATTTATGAGGTTCTCAAATTTCCTCTTGCTATTGATTTCTAACTCCATTCCATAGCAGTAGGAGAACATACTTTATATTATTTGCATCCTTTGAAATATATTGAGCCTCAATTTATGGCCTAGCATATGGTCTATTCTAGACAATGTTTTTGGTGAACTTGAAAATAATATTTGCTGTTGCTGTTGTGTTCTGTAGATATCTGCTTTTTAAAAAAATTTTGACACATAAAGATTACACATATTTATGGTGTATATAGTAATGTTGCGATACACATATTACATAGTGATGAGATCAGGGTAATTTGCATATCTTTTTCTTTTATCTAGTTGTCTATAGCTGTTATCACTGGCAAACTAGCTAGCCTACATTTTAGCTAGTATCTTGAATCTCTTCCTAATATGCTTTTACTACAACCTGCACTGTTTCTGAGAGTGCCCTTAAGCTTGACTTTCTCCCTGCTCTGTCGCAAATGAAATCAATTTCTTTGACAATAAATTAGGAACTATCTGTTTCATGGCCCACTTTTCCCTCCAGGTGAAATCTGTAAACCAGGACTCTAGAGCTGGAAAAGGGAAAAATAGCAAGCTTTTCTCCAAGTGTCTACCTTTCCCTAGGAAGTGAGTGCTTCTGGAGTGGGGTTAGGGGGCAGCCAGAGGTCCTTTCCTTTACCTCTTCTGGCTGAACAAGGGCAAAGGTGATCGGGGCCTCAGGCTTCTCACATCACTATGCCTTATGTAAAGCTTCCATTCTATGAGTGGAGGCTCTGAGGCAGCATCTCAATGACACCCAGGACTTAGCCTCAGCAACAGGTAGCTGAGGGCAGCATGAGAAATGCTGATGTCCTACTCCTCCCAGGATACATATACAAAAAAATGATTTCTGACTCAGAGCTTTGGGGAGAGGGAGCCCTGTGCTTTTGACTGCAGCAATCTAGAGTGAAGTCTTTACCTTGCTGAGCTGGGAGGGGGTAGTAAGGGAACAGTCTTGCTTCAGATACCACAGATGCTCACCTTTTAAAATAGATTTTCTTTAATTGCTGTTTCTCCATATGCTATTTATCCTTACAACCATTTCCAGAGGCTTTACATGGTTATGTTTTAAAATTGATTTCACCAGTTTCAATAAAGGTGGGTCAGTGAAGCCTCTCACACTGTCATTCTGGCAGTCAACGCCTAATATACGGTTCTAAACACTTTACCTCTGGTATTCAGTGTTTATGATTATAGTTCTATAAGAGTCATTTGAATAAGTGTTACTTGGCCCTCAAAGGGAATAAGAATTCTCTTTTGTCTTAAAAAAAAAAAAAAGAAATGAAATAAAACAAAAAATAAAACAAAATCTGTCTTGGGGGATTTTATGTTACATGAAATTCTGCCTTAACAATTTAATGAAAGGGCCCGGCACAGTGGCTCAAGCCTGTAATCCCAGCACTTTGGGAGGCCGAGGTGGGAGGATCATGAGGTCAGGAGATTGAGACCATCCTGATTAACAAGGTGAAACCCCGTGTCTACTAAAAAAAAATACAAAAAATTAGCCGGGTGTGGTGGTGGGCACCTGTAGTCCCAGCTACTCGGGAGGCTGAGGCAGGAGAATGGCGTGAACCTGGGAGGTGGAGCTTGCAGTGAGCTGAGATCGCGCCACTGTACTCCAGCCTGGGCGACACAGTGAGACTCCGTCTCAAAAAAAAAAAATTAATGAAAAGATATATATCTGCTTTCATTTAGTGTTGGTATGTAGGTTGGTAAGAGGTATGCAAATTGCATACCAAAACAGACCTTTCCTCCCACATTCTAAAACTCCTGCTGAGATTGACTCGTCTTTCTAGATTTTTGTAGTTGGTTCTCACAGTGCTACTGTAGGCAAGTGTCTACTTTAGTCCTTGACCGTAAACGCTAGGGCGTAAATAAAGAATATATTTAGATTGTTGGTAATATATCACCTCTATCAAAAATGTGGCTGAATTGCAAGCTCTTGTTACAGAATGAACAGCAGTCTTTACAAGAAGCAGCAGCACAATATTAACATCATCATAGTCACTGTGTGCTCTACCAAGGAGAATCTCCTTCACACAAAGGGATCATCACTGAATACATGGGGATGACTCTAGCTTCAGAGTGTGTGCAGCACAGTAGAGAGAGCACTGGAGTAGGTTTTCACCCTAAATGTGTTGTTAATTAACTCTGTGACTTTGAGAAAGTTATCCAAACCTCTAGACCTCAGTCTACTCATTTATGGTGTGAGGGGATTGAATGAGATGATCCTGTTCATCTTCAGTAATCTATGACTGCATGTGATATTAGGTGCACTTGTGGGACATAAGAAAATAGAACCAATAATTCCTGCCCACAAATTTTGAAAGATATAATATGATAACCAAGAAAATATTTAAACATATAAGGAATTATGGCAAATGTTAAACAGTATAGAAAATAATTCTCTCATGGTCAAATAAGGATATTTTGTGGATATAAATCACCTATAAATTCTAGGTATCTGTTTAGCTTTCAGTAACTCTAAAGAGCTAAACTGTGGGAGGGCGAGGTCATTTCCCCAAGAGCAAATTGTGAGTTCCACAGAAATCTCAGCAATAGGGGGAAAGATTCATAACAAACTCTAGTATTTCAGAATACATAATAAAAGACATTTAATTACAAAAAATGTAATTTTAATTACAGAATCTATTAAATACAGTGAAAAATCTAGCTGCAGTGCAATACTGACACCTTAGCCAGTAACAGGCTTAAAATGAAACAGCAGAAAAATTGATTTCTACCTGTAACTACCTTTGGTTTCTTTTATTGGCTCAATGATGCAGGTATAACAGAATCAAACAAGTAATTGCTGATGGCTCCCATCAACTCCTGCCTGTATCTCTAAGGTGTCAGAAGTGGAAATAGTTGCTCTTATGGGTAATGGCATATATGGGACCATTTGTCTATTTTGAAAGCTTTATGAATCATTTTCAAATTATTTTCCTTGATACATTGTAGTATCAGCTATTGTAGCCCTCTTCTGCTTTCCTTGTTTAGTTGCACCTCCATGCTCCATGTTCTTACTCATTTTGGATACAACTAAATGTCCCATAGTGAGTCACTTTTCATAATTAGCTAGCTTAAGGGAATAGGTTTTATTTTTAGTGGTTTTCCCTATAATTTATTTTCTGCGTAATAGAGGAAAGAGATTTGAATGTGCTGTAAAATTTGTAGATGCTAAAACTCATTTTAGTTGAGTCATGCAGTTAGAATAATTTTAAGCTAGGATTTGATGTAACTGCTTTTATTGCACCTACACTATGATTTCCTTAACAAAAACGTTTTTTTGAACTATTATTTGCATTATAGTATCCTGTGAGTTCAAAAGCAATTAGGCTATGGCTAAGAGAAATGAGCTAGAAACAATAAATAAAATCTATCTCTTTTAGTCAAAACTTGCCTACAGCTAGATTTTATAATTTGGCATTATATCATACAGGGGAAAAAACAACTTACTTGGGAGTAAAAAAAATTAGCCAAATTAGACATCCACTATTCAGTGGATTTTTTAAAATATTGTTTTAAATAAAATTCAGTGGGTTGAATTCAACTGAGTTAACGTGTTCTCAATATGAAGGCATAGTTTTTGTGTTTGCAGAAATTCAGAGTGTATAGTTCCAATAGTCTGCAAGATTAAATGTCTAAAAGTGGAATTTTACATATTTTATGATTAAGGCCCAGCCTGCCTTTCTGCAGGCAACTGAATCTAGATGTTTTCAAGGAACTCTCATTTTACATCAGTAATTTATTGGCCAAATTTAAATTTTAAGTTTTGCATGCCTTTGTTAAATTTATTTCTACATATTTTATTTTTTCGATGCTACTATAAATATTTTTTGTTAATTCCTGGCTTGATTGTTCACTGAGAAGGTATAAAATGCAATAAGCTTTCGAATATTGATCTTTTATACTGCAACCTTTCTGAACTTATTAGTTCTAATAAATTTTTACAGAATTCCTTAGGATTTTCTATATACCAGATCATGTTATCTGCAAATACAGATAGTTACTGCTTCCTTTCAAATAGGAATGCCTTTAAATTCATTTTCTTGTCGGATTGCTTGGTTAGAACCTTCAGCACAAAGTGACTAGAGTGGACATTCCTGTCTTGTTCCTGATCTTAGGAGGAAAGCACTCAGTCTTTTATCGTCAAGAACGATGTTAGCTCTGGGCTTTTTGTACAGGCTCTTTATCAAGTGAAGAAGTTCCCCACCCCCTATTCCTAACTTGTTGACCATTTCTATCATAAAAGTATGTTAAATTTTGTCCATTGCTATTTTTTTTGCATCTATTGAGACGATGCATTTTTTGTCTTTTGTTCTATTGATAAGGTATATTGCATTATATGATTTTTAGATGTTAATTAAATCCACCTTTGTCATAGTGTGAAATCTTTTAAAATATTGCTGGATTTGCTTTACTAGTATTTTATTGGAAGATTTTTGCATGTATATTCATAGGAGATACTGGTCGATAGTTTAGGGGTTTGTGTGTGTGCACAAATTTTTTTTTTTTTTTTCTGATGGAGTCTCACTCTGTCACCCAGGCTGGAGTGCAGTGGATCCATCTCTGTTCACTGCAACCTCTGCCTCCCTGGTTCAAGCAATTCTCCTGCCTCAGCCTCCCGAGTGGCTGGGATTACAGGAGTGCACCACCATACCCAGCTAATTTTTGTATTTTTGTTAGACACAGGGTTTCACCACGTTGGCCAGGCTGGTCTCAAACTCCTGACCACAAGTGATCCACCCACCTCAGCCTCCCAAAGTGCTGGGATTACAGGCATGAGCCACTACACCTGGCCATGTGTGTGCTGTTTTTGAGTAGTTTTTGTTTCAGGTTACTATTGACTGCATAAAATGAGTTGAAAAGTGTTCCTTTGTCTTCCACATCTTGAAGGGTTTATGAAGGGTTTAATGAATCTTCAAATGATTCATTAAATTTACCAGAGAGGTTACCTGAGCCTGGGCTTTCTTTGTGGGAAGTTTTAATATAATATTATTAATTCAATCTGTTTATTTATTATGTGCTTATTCAAATTATTTTTTCTTCGGTCTATTTTGGTACTGTATGCATTTTTATCAATTTGCCCATTCCATTTAATGTGTTTACTTTGTTGGTATATAATTCTTCACAGTATTTTTCAATAATCTTTCAAATTTCTGTAAAGTAGGTTGTAATGTCTGCTCTATAATTCCTGATTTAATAATTTGAGTGTTCCCTTTCTTTTTCTTGGTCAGTTTTAGCTAAAGATTTGTCAATTTTGTTGATCTTTCTAAACAACTAACTTTTGGGTTTGTTGATTTTCTCTTTTATTTTTCTATACTTTATATCGCTAATTTCTGCTCCAACTTTTAGTATTTCCTTTACTTCTTGCTTTAAGTTTAGCTTACTCGTCTTTTTCCAGTGTCTTAAATGATAGGTTAGTTCATTTAATTTTATATCTTATCTTTTTAAAAAAAATAGATGTCTTGCAGATACAAATTTTGTTCTAAGCACTATTTTACCTGTGTCCCATAAATTTGCTATGTTGTGTCTTCACTTCCTTTTGAATTACTCTTTAAAAATACTTTTAAATATTTTCTAATTTTCTTTGTGATTTCATACTTAACCAGTGGGTCAGGTAGCAGTGTGCGTGTTGTTTAAGTTCCACAAATTTGTGACTTTTCCAAATGTCTTTCTGCTATTGGTTTCTAATTTAAATCTATTGTAGTCAGAGAATATTCACATCCTTTGCATGATTTCAAACCTTTTAAGTTTGTATATATTTGTTTTGTGTTTTATCATATTGTCTCTTCTGCAGAATGTTCCATGTGCACTTGAGAAGAATATATATTCTGCTGTTTTGAGTTAGTGTGTCCTATAGGTGTCTGTTAGATCTCCTTGGCTCATAATCCTGTTCAAGTCTTCTGTTTCCTTGTTGATTTTTCCCTAGTTGTTCTATCCATCTCTGAAAGTGGAGACTGAAGTCTCCAACAATTATTGTTGAACTATGTCTTCCTCCAATTTTTTTAGTATTTGTTTCACACATTTTGGAGCTGTGACATTAGGCACACATCCATACATTTCTAAACAAACTCCTAGCTGTTTATGTTAACATTACATTATCTTTCTATAGACATCATTTAATTATGTTTCAAATTTCTATCTGAAGATATGTATTAGGTACCATGGCTTAGCTTACTTAATCTTCATTTCACCCATCTTCCAGAGTACATTACTCTACTTCAGAGACCAGAAATCTAAAATCTACATTTGTCAGAATTCTTTGCAGCTACAGTTCTGTGGAAATTAAATTTTACATACATAAAATTTGGAAGATAGAGGTACACAGAAGCAGAGCTTCTCTTATTCTTCTTACCGTCTATTTTTGCTGATAAAATCATGAAAGCATAAGGTTTTTCTGCAGCTATTTTCCATTCACTGTTCTGTAGATTTCTGGTTGTCCAAAGGTAGTTTAGGAGGTATAAGCAGAGTTGTTGGAGCTTTAATTCTATCTTCTAGTCCTTAAATCATAATGTGAAGGTGTGTTGAACCCAATAGTTTTAAAGGTGATCTAGTAAACAGCATCTCTCAGTGGGTCATTTCTGCACTGCTTGGAAAGTCATATGTAGAGACTCATTTTAGATCCCATTCCTCCAGCTTTTCCAATCATTTTAAGCACCTAATTACACCCTATTTCCGCTTAACACCTAAAATAGTTTCTATTTCATGCACAGAGACTTTACTCATAAGAGTATTTGGAGCCAGAAGAGGTTACTTGCAACAGAACTACAAAGATGGGAATCTTAGATCCTTTACCTAACTTATTTAGAATTAAAGGCAGTGATGTCCCTATTAAAACAGGAAATAAGAATACTACTAGTCCATGCCACATGATGACAAAACCGCACCTTAAAATTTTAACTTGATGTCATCTGCAACAAAGTAGCTACTGAGAATAAGGCTATGGCAGATGGAGTGATTCCTACAACAGAAAATTTTGGTGGTACTTTTGATGTGTGGTTTGAGAAGCTGAAGGTAACTGCTTGCTCTGTTGACTGAAACCTAGATTTAGAAGCAATTAAGATGCCAGTTTTTTTGTTATGAGTATTAACATATTTAAGAGACAGGAATGTTTAAGATTAACTTTATAATATATACTCCCCTCACTTTATTTGTTCAAATGAACAACTAAGTCCTTATTTGCTTAATATAACCTGTATGAGTGTGAAGAATAGAGTCCTAATTTAAGCCACCACAATGGAGAGCGAAATCCCAGACCTCAGTCAGCAGAGACACAGCAATGCTTAAATAAATTGGAAATCAAATATTCTTGAGAAAGTTCCATGACATCATTCTTCAAGTATATACTTTAAATATTCTTCCTAGTCTTTTCCAAAGAAATCTTTAGCTATTTCCCATGGTTTTTGTACCTTAAAGAAAGAAAAATAATCAAAGATTTTGAGTATTCATGCTCTCAGTCCTTCAAAGTACACAGTCTCTGCAGACACAGTGTTCCACTGTGTCTCTCAGGTATGACTGAGGGCTTATAAGGGTAAGGTGAGAAATGGAGATTTGACGAAACTTTATCCCCTGTGGCTCTCTGGGTCTAGAAACTCATTTTCTTGCTATTTCCCCTGTTTTGAATGGAGAATGGAAAAATACTCTTAGTAACTGGAAGAATTTCGTTAACTTTCAGAGGACCATTATGATAGGAAAAACCAACTAGAAGCCAAATAACTGCCTCTCCCTTCCAAAAGAGTCATTCAAAAGCAATAGCACATCTTGAAGGGAATTAGTGCCACCACTATGTAGTAGATTGCTGGAAGCATAATCAGGTGATGACAACAATTGTAGCTATCAATCCAGGTGCTGTCTCTTTACTGGAGCAAACCAGTTTGTTTTCACCACCACTAGAAGTAGGACACCTATACTGGTTTACCTCAGGTAGTGTCAAATCTCCAGTGCTGTGTAATAAACTCAAGAAAATCTTCATTGTCTTACCATACTACAGATCATCACAAGGATATTTCCAATGTTGATGTCAGAATGCCACATGGACCTGGTGGGCCAGAAGTATTTGCTATCCCAGTTGTCTTAGAAAGATACAAGTGCATTAGAATGTGGAAGGTAACCCAGTGAAAATATAGGTGCCTGCTACCTTGGTGAAATACACAAGCACATTATCAGTATACTCATTTCACAGTGAAACACAGTTGGCTGCACATTCATGACCCACTGGTGTTGGTAGGCATTTCTGGATTTTGGATGCTGCATACATTATATTTAAGGGTGCTGCTCTGACCATTTACTAAGTAACCTATAAGGCAACTGGCTTAGAATGGGGCTCAAAGTAACTAATTTAAGCTGCCAGTCAAGCAGATATGGTATTACATAACACATTTTTATGACCAAGTAGATATAGTCACCGTTGATGTTTCTATGGTAGATTAGGACATTGTATAAAGGACCTGGAAATCTTCAATAAGATAATCACACCCCTATAATTTTGGAACTAAGCCACAGAACTCACCAAATACTATTGTATTTCACCTTTGAAAAAAATAGCTTCTGGCTTGCTAGTTAGCCTCAGAGGTAGAAACACTATGGGGAGTTTTTATTATTTTGGGAGTCATCCTTGGAGGTCTAGCTTAGAGCCAGATCTTTGAGTTCTTTTGATGATATTTTAATATCTTATATTAAACCTCTTTCTGCTTAAGTACTTTGAGTACCTTCGATTCCCTCTACTGACTCTGACTTATTGGGGATGCCATTATTGGGTTATAAGTCATGATTGACATTAGATTAACATGTAAGTGTAGTGAATGCTTATAACGTCATATTGTCTTGGCATCCATTTTAAATATAAATTAGAAAAGATATAGTATTTCACAGCACAACATGGTGGCTACAGTCAGCAATAATTCGCTGTACATTTTAGAATAACTGAGGGAGTACAATTGGAATGTCTTTAACACAAAAGAATGATGAATGCTTGAGGTGACGGACACCCCATTTATCCTGATGTGTTTATTACACATTGTATGCCTGTATCAAAATACATCATGTGCCTCATAAATATATACGTGTTCTGTGTTCCCATAAAAATTAAAAATACATACATACAAACATACATAACTATAAGTTGGGTTTTCTCATACCAAGAACAGGGCTTAGTCACCCTTGATGGTTTCCAGTTCTACACAACACACTCCTCTTCCCTCAGTTCCTCAATATAGTAGATCCATAAACAACTGCTCCCTAGTAACCACTTTGCTAGAAAACAGCTAGGTGCATGCAGCCTGCTTGACTGGCCCCGCTGACCCTCACACCTCACATGGGCTGTGCACAGTGACTACCTCTCAGTCAGCGTGTGACTTCCTGGAACTCATGCCTCCTTGTTTTAAACCCACCAATTAATATTCCCCACAGGAAACCTGTTTGGAAAATGCCCTGGGCCTATTTGTTTGGCGCACAAGTAATTGCAGTTTTTCCCACCACTTTTAATGGCAAAAACTGCAATTACTCGTGCACCAACCTACTAGTAAAGGCATTGGCTCTCTCTCCCTACCTATGCTCCCTGAACTCTGTGTTTGTGGCCTCCAGGTGTGCTGTGACCCCACCCAGGGCCTGTAAGTATTAAAAACTCATAAACCGATACATGGACCATAACATCCAGCATCTACAAGGAATTTAAACAAATTTACAAGAAAAAAAAAAAACCCATTATAAAGTGGGCAAAGGACATGAACAGACACTTCTCAAAAGAAGACATACATGAAACCAAGAAACGTGAAATAAAAGCTCAATATCACTGATTATTAGAGAAATGCAAATCAAAATCCCAATGTGATATCATCTCACACCAGTCAGAATGGTTATTATTGAAAAGTCAACAAACAGATGCTGGCGAGGTTGTGGAGAAAAGGGAATGCTTTTACACTGTTGGTGGGAGTGTAAATTGGTTCAACCATTGTGGAAGACAGTGTGGTGATTCCTCAAAGACGTAAAGGCAGAAATACCATTCTACCAATTTTTGGTATATACCCAAAGGAATGTAAATCATTCTATTATAAAGATGCCTGCATGTGTATGTTCATTGCAGCAGTATTCACAATAGCAAAAACATGAAACCAACATAAATGCCCATCAATGAGAGACTGGATAAAGAAAACGTGGTACATATACATCATAGAATACTATGCAGCCATAACAATGAATGAAATCATGTCCTTTGCCAGGACGTGGATGGAGCTGGAAGCCATTTTCCTCACCAAACTAACTCAGGAACAGAAAACCAAATACATGTTCTCACTTATGAGTGGCAGCTGAATGATGAGAACACATGGACACATGGAGGGGCACAACACACATTGGGGCCTATTGGAGGGTTGGGGGTGGGAGGAAGGAGAACATCAAGAACAGCTAATGGATGCTGGGCTTAATACCTAGGTAATGGGATGATCTGTGCAGGAAACCACCATGGCACACATTTACCTATGTAACACACCTGGACATCCTGCACATGTACCCCTGAACTTAAAAGTTAGAAAAAAAAAAAAAACTCTTAAACTTTTAACATTGTGGTTGTGTCATTGAAGATGTGTCTGCATTCTAGCCCCTGATGGCAAGGCTGCCCTAAGTGACACAGGCACATGGAAGCCCTGCTGGTGCTCTTTGGTCCTGGCCTGTGGTGGCTGCTGAGGGCAATAGCTACCAGCTAAGTTGATAAAGAAACTCAAAGGGTTTCATTCAAAAAGTAAAATATGAGAAGATGTGACCTTTAGGAATTTTTATTCTATATCACATATGACATTGAGAAAATAACCAATTAATTTCATACATAAAAATAGAAATTTTCCTGGAAGATATGTAAAAAAAAATTTATTCTCTAGAAATAAAATAACAACTATTTAAACATGTATAAAACATTACACCATGTCAAAGCACTGGTAGTCTATCGAAGTGTTCTAAAATTGACCTAAATTGGAAGAAGTTAATCCTGTACTATCTGTTCCTATATGTTCCATTAATATAAAAAAGTTATTTTTACTCTTTGATGTTTAGAAAGATAATGGGTGCTGCAAATTAAAGGCACTTGATCTTATAAATAAGATTGAAGAGCTGACTCTACTTGAAGATGTTTGACTATTAGAATAATTTGAAATCTCCTACTTTATACTGCCCTGAAAAAAAGGAGAAAATATAAAATTAAAGGTTACAAATTTCAAGATAAATTTTATTCAGTTTTAAAAAATCTTCCAGGCAAGAATATTAAACTAACAAAATTGGATCATATTGCTTTCAGGGGTCTTTATAAGAGATTTAATAGACAGAATAATCACTCAAATTCTCATTAAGTGGTATCAATAGCTGACATTTTATCATTTATATTGTTTTTCTTCTTCATTTAAAAAATGTTGATAAGATTCCTGAGATTATTCTTTAAGTTGCACACTAAAATTTTTATTAAAATACATTTTAAATAAATAGAAAACTCAGTTATCAGTCTTAGTATGTCAGATGTTACTCAAAGGAAAATAATAAATCTTACAACAAAACTTTTAAAAATACGGACCAAAGTGGTGTAATATACGCTTGATTATTATACCACATATAATTCATCAAAGATATGATTAATCTGCCTATTTTAACATGAGTCACAAAAGTAAAGAACATAAAGATTTCACTGTGTTCAATAAGCATAGGAGCTATATCATCTTCTTGGCCCACTGACAATGCGAGTAGGAATATAAGCTCCAGTTCAGTTTTCATTTGAGAACTGCTTAATTTTAGATGATATTACTTTTACCAATTGCTGTGTAGAATCTCCTAGATTCTATATTCATATTTTTTCCTGTTCCATTCATTTATATAACAAAAATTTATTATTTGAATAAAAATAGATCACCAGAGAAAGAAAGTCTTCATATGTAAATCAATTGGCCAGAAAACTGTCAAAGTATTTTAATACATTCAAATCACCTATGTGGAAAGAACACACTTAAAACAAGCTGTAAAAATTCTAGTATAATTATATTTCTCCATATGCTGCTTTATCCCACATCCATTAGTACAGATACAAAAGCAAGATTCATTCCCAATCTTATTTTTCTTATTTGTATCCCTCTACCCAGAGCAGCAAAACAGATTTCTAAGATGTAATCATGTTTAACCTTTTTCTTTGCCTTCCCCTATTAAAATATCTCTTATTCTTTACATATTTTTTTCTTTTTTGCCTTTGGAAACTCATTCTAAATGATTTTCTTTCAAGATTTATGTTTGCCTCTTTCTTTCTCCTATATATTGAATCCGAAACATTTATTTGATATTTATTATTTGTTATATACTTTCCTGGGCCCAGGGATATCATAATGAGAAATATCGTACAGATTTCTATGTTTTTCATAGACTTAAAAATAATGAATATACAATAATAATATAAATATAATATAATTATAGGATTTAGAGTTAAAAAGTAGGGATTCTCCTTTACCAAACTTCTCTCTAATCCCATCCCATGGACCCTTAACCACTTTTTCAAGTTTAATGTGCACCCTTTCAGACATTATGTGTACATTCATACAAATATATGTGACCTTTTTTAAAAAATAGAAATTTCTACCTAAGTAAAATCATGCTACTTAAATGTCTTTTTATTGTTGACATGGTGACTTAGCAGTCTCTCCATTTCACAGCATCTAGATCTTATTTAACTACTGTATGAGTTTTTACGAAGGTGTCTTAATGCATTTAATAATTCTCCTACTGATTAACATCTAAATTGTTACTAATGTTTTACTAATACAATCAATCCTATAATGAATATCTTTATACATGTGTGTAGATATTTTTATAAAGAAAATGTATATGTAGGTATACATAGATTTTTTATGAAGCATATTCCAAAATTGTACCTCTGTGATCAAAATAATACTTACAACCCTTATTTCAATACATAATTCCAAAACACACTGCACAAATGTATATTGCCATCAATAATTGTATTAAAATTCCTATGCCTAATTCTCACATACCATCCTCACAATAGTCACTTTAATTTTTATGAATCTGAAATATATTGCTGTGTTAATTTGTATTCTCTGATTTCTGGTGAAGTAGAATATCATTTCATATGAATATAGGCTATTTTTACTCCTTTTGCGAATTACTTAGGTATCTTTGTCCATTTGTTTGTCAGTTCCTTTTTGTTTATTGATATGCAGGCATTATTTATGTATGATAAGTATTTAACGTTAGTGTATTTTACATATGACATCTATTATTTAATGTATAATTAATATGATCAAATCCTTTACATTTCTACTATAATAGTTGCTAAGGCTACTACAACAAAGTATCATAAACTGGGTCGCTTAAATAACAGAAACATGTTGTCTCAAAGTTCTAGAGGCTAAAGTCTGAAATCAAGGTGTTGGGAGGGTAAACTCTTTCTGAGAGCTGTGAGGGAAGGATCTGTTTCAGGTCTCTCTCCTTGGCTTGTAGATGGCTGTCTTCATGTTCACATGATATTCTCTCTGTATCTTCATATTATCTTCTCTCTATACATATCTGTGTATATCTGTATCCAAATCTCCATTTTCTATATAGACGCAGGTCATATTGTATTAGAGCTCATCCCAATGACCTCCTTTTAACTTCCATTACCTCTGTAAAGATCCTATCTCCAAATAAAATCATATCCCAGGGTACTGAGGGTCAGGACTTCAACACATGAATTTTGGAGCACAATTCAACCTGTAACATTTCACCCTCTGTATCCTCTAATTTGTGTCCTTCACATGCAAATATATTCATGTCATCCCAATATCCCTGAGAGTCTTAACCAATTCCAGCAGCAACTCTAAGTCCAAAATCTCATCTAAATATCACCTAAAGCAGGTATGCGTGAGATTGGAGGTATGATTCATCTAGAGGAAAAATTCCTTTCTAGTTGTGAACCTGTGAAACCAGACAAGTTAGCTGCTTCCAAAATAAAATGGTGGGACAGCTATAGGATAAACATTCCCATTCCAAAAGGAAGACATAGGAAGGAGGAAAAGGATCACAGGTTCCAAACAAGTCTGAAACCTAACAAGGCAAATTCCATTTAAATTTTAAGGCTTGAAAATAATCCTCTTTTGCTTCCTGTTCTGTCCTACAGGCCCACAGTAGTGGTAACCCCACTTTCCAGGCCCACCATGTTGGCAATCCCACCCTTTCTGCTCTGAGAAGAGGGCCAGTCCCTCTGAATCCAAGGAGATGACCCCACTCTCTGGAACCAAGCAGGAGATGGTCCCATACACAGGTTTGTGCACTCTGAGCTGTGGTAGCAGTGGCAGCCCTGACATGCTCTGAACCACCTTCCAGGTGTTTGTTCTCTTTTCTGGAAGGACAATTCATGTTAGTGTTATTGGCCTATTTCTTTCCGGTAGAATTCTAGAAGTCTGGCAGCCTTCTTCCATTTTATCCCATCTCTGTTCATCTCCGTTTACTCTAGCAGCATTTCTGCTTGTATAAAATTATCAGAAACCTATTGGCCTCCCCATGCAATTCATGGGGTCCAGTCCATTAGATAAGCGGATCATTTACAGATCTTTCCTGGTTAACTCATCTCTATTCCTGGCTTCTGCTGAGATGGTTGATTGGATCTGTGGGTCACATGCCTAATCTCTTCAGTAAGGGATCATCCAACCACACCCTGGATATTCTCTATAGAATGTGTTTTCTCATTTTGTATAACATGTATAGGCTGAGAATTTTTCAAGCCTTCAAGTTCTAGTTCCCTTTTGCTTACCAATTTCTTATACAATTTCTTATTCAATTTAGCTGTCTTCTCATATTTTACTATAAACAGTAAGGAAAAACCAGGCCATACTTTCAACACTTTGCTTAGAAATGTCTACATTCACCTACTTTCTACAAAACACTACAACACAATTCAGCCATGTTCTTTGTCCCTTTATAATAAGGATTGCCTTTCCTCAGGTTTCTCATAACATGTTCATTTCCATCTGAGGCCTCAACAGAAGCACCTTTAATGTTATTATCTTTACCAACAGTCTCCTCAAGACAATGGAGATTTTTTTTCTATAAAGTGCCTCAAAACCCTTCCAGCCTTTATCCATAATTCAAATCCAAAACCACATCCACATTTTTAGGTATTTGTTATAGGATCTGCCATTTAAAAATATTATTATTATTTTTGTATAGACAAGTTCTTACTATGCTTCCTAGGCTGGTCTCAAACTTCTGGTCTCAAGCAATTCTGCCATGGCCTCCCAAAGCGCTGGGGTTAAGCGTGAGCGACTGGACTCAGTCTCCTCCCAGTTCTTCAGTGAAAAAACTCTACAGCTGATACACTTGCACTTCTTTTTTTGCTTATTCAGATATTCTTCTAGGGATGGGGATAAAGAAATTACCAAAGAAATTAAGTTCCTTCCCTCATGAGGCATCATTTCTATTGGGATGAGATAGACAAATGGATGAATAAATAAATAAACATATAATGTCAGCTTATGATACAGGATCTAGACAGTAGAAGTAGGGCAAGGATGAGGGGTGGAGAGGCTGCTATGTAACACAGAGTGTTCAGGAACAACTTTCTCTGATGAAGTGACATTTCAGCATTGACTTGAATGAGGTAATAGAATATATCATAGGATACATGGGGTAAGAAAATTTCGGACAGGGAAACTGGGTGTAAAGGCCCTAAAACAGAAGTATGGTTGGCTTTGTTTAATGAATAGCAGAAAGGGCAGTGTTGGTTAGAGTGCCTTGAGAGAAAGCTGTGGCATGTCTGTATTATGGCATTAATTCTAATGATGGCTTTCTCATGGGATCCACACAGAACCTCATCAGGTGCCATTCTCAGATGTAACTGACATGCTCACAACTATTTTCTCTTCAAGAATTGCTTTTTTTAATCAATATAAACTTCTGTACTTAAAGCTTGCCACCTTGAATTTTATTTTATCTGATATAATTATCATTACAGATTTTATTGTGCTTGCTTATGACATATATTTTTGTATCTTTTTTTCAACATGTTTATATCATTTTATTTAGATTTATTATTTCAAGTAAGATATAGATGGAAGTATTTTTATGAAATTTTAGAGTCCCAGACTTCTTTTTTAAAAAATTTGAGACAGGATCTCACTCTGTTGCCCAGGCTGGAGTGCAGTGGTGTGATCACAGCTCACTGCAACCTCAACCTCCCAGGCTCATTCATGTGATCCTCCCATCTTCACCTCCTGAGTAGCTGGGACTAGAGATGTGCAATCACTTAATATTTGATATTTATTCATATAATTTTGCTATATGGGGCTAAATGCATAATTATTTACTTATTAAAAAGTAAAAATAGGCCGGGCACGGTGGCTCACGCCTGTAATCCCAGCACTTTGGGAGGCCGAGACGGGCGGATCACGAGGTTAGGAAATCGAGACCATCCTGGCTAACACGGTGAAACCCCGTCTCTACTAAAAATACAAAAAAAAAAAAAAAATTAGACGGGAGTGTTGGGGAGCTCCTGTAGTCCCAGCTCCTCGGGAGGCTGAGGCAGGAGAATGGCATGAACCCGGGAGGTGGAGCTTGCAGTGAGCTGAGATCGCGCCACTGCACTCCAGCCTAGGGGACAGAGCGAGACTCCGTCTCAAAAAAAAAAAGTAAAAATAATAAGTTTGCCTTTTTTAATAAACACAGGCATTTAAAATTTGGAGTTTGGGGCAATAGTTTAATACATGCTTCTAAATCCCATTTACATCAGCAAGTAAGTGGTTATGGTAAAATATTTTTAGCAGTTTGTTTTGAAATCTTAGGATATTCTTCAGTTAAACAGAATTAGCAAGAAAAGATTTTCTCCTTGAAAACAGCATAAATATGAAGAAATCTGACATAAAATTAGCATCCTTGATTGTCTTTAATAAGCTAAACTGTGGTACATAATACATATGTGTTTTTTAAAAATTTTTTTAATAGTATAAAGGTTCTTTGTGAAATTTGAATTATTTTTTGTGAAATCCTGAACTACCACTAGAAACCTAACAGCCATTTGAATCATTGGCTTAAAAAGAGTCATCCATAAAATACTGAAGCTAATACCATACATATAATTTGTAATTAGTCTGATGGGGCTAAATATACTAGTTCTCTTTTTGGGGGCTTTCAAACTAATTTTTAAACCACTTAATATATTCTTTTTTAATTTTAAAACTTATTTTTAATTGAAAAATAACAATAATATATTTATGGGGTTGCAGTGGGATGTTTTGATATATGTTTACAATATAGGATGATTAAATCGGACTAACAAATCCATACATTATATACTTATTTTGGGGGGAACATTTAAAATCTAATCTTGTGGCAAATTGGAATATACAATGCATTATTATTTATTATAGTCACCATTTGTGCAATAACTCACTAAAGTTTATTTTTCCTGTTTTACCCTTTGATCAACATCTTCCCTTCTCCCACTTCAGACTCTCCCTAGCCTTTGGTAGTCTTCATTCTAGTCTCTACTTCCTTGAGTTAAAATTGTTTAGATTCCACGTGTAAGTGAGATCCTGCAGTATTTGCCTTCCTGTGCCTGGCTTATCTCACTTCACATGATGTCCTCCATGTTTGTTCATCTTGTTGCAAATGACAGGATTTCCCCCCTTTACAAGGCTGAATAGCAGTTTATTGTGTAATTATAAATCACATTTTCTTTATTTATCTGATGAGGAACTCCTAGGTTGTTTCCATATCTTGGCTATTGTGAAGAATACTGCAATGAACATGGGAGTGCAGATATCGCTTCATCAGCAAGATATTTTAAATTAGACTCAATACCTAGTTTGCTTTCCCAATTTCCTTTAACTGAACACATTAGTTAATATTTTAGAAGATTCAAAGAGGCTTTCCAAGAAATTTAGCTTCATAACACCAACTAAAATAGCTATGTCTTGAGAGATTGAGCAATTAAATCACTTTGATAAGAGCATATGAGGTCTTTTGTATGATTAAATGTATCGAAATCTGGCTCTTTGAAAATAATAAGACTCAGAATTAGAAAAAACTCTATTTTTTTGTGACATCAAAACCATGCAAGATGTGACAAAGCAGAGCTTTAAAACAATCCTGTTGATGCCTAGAGGGTATTTCTTTCTTAATAACAGCCTTAACCAGAGGAAATTTTACACACACACACGTGCACACACACATACGTATTTTAGTTTTCTAAACTCATTGCTTAAATTCAATCTCTACAAAAATAAGAACTTTTTTTTTTTTTTTTTTTGAGGCAGAGTCTTGCTCTGTCGCCCAGGGTGGAATGCAATGGTGCCATCTCAGCTCACTACAACTCTGCCCCCTGGGTTCAAGCGATTCTCCCGCCTCAGCCTCCCGAGTAGCTGGGATTACAGGTGCCTGCCACCATGCCCAGCTAATTTTTGTACTTTTAGTAGAGATAGGGTTTCACCCTATTGTTCAGGCTGGTCTTGAACTGCTGACCTCAGGTGATCCACCCACCTCAGCCTCACAAAGTGCTGGAATTACAGGCATGAGCCACCACACCCAGCCCAAAATAAGAACATTTTAATCTCTTCATGATACACTCTGGCTGGAGATTTAGGCACCTTTAGAGTATAAAGTGATTAGCATTCAGACAATTTTCATTCCCAACAAAAGCTTCTGGACAAATTGATGGGTAAATTGAACAAACTATCAGTTCTGTCTCATTATTAAAGAACAGCATTTTGGCAATTTCTCTGCCAGGGCCTTTGTTTTAATTTTAAAACATGGCTTACAATTTGTGATAGACGGGTCCACTGGATTTTGCAATGCTTTCATCAAGTTCCCTGTGTCTCTTTGAGTCCAGCTGAATCTCATTTGCCTTCCATTTTGGATTATACATTTGGAGCACCATGTAAAGGCTATATAAGCAGTAGCAGAATGATTCCAGAACTGTTCCAACCATTGCTTTCAGCTTTAATTCACCTTTTTAGTCTTCGATTATGTTGACAAGACCAAGATGTGAGTTTGATTATTAATGCTTCTATAAAGTCTTGGTGCTTATGACACCATTAGAGCAAGAGAAATCAGGGCTTTTATCTTAACTAGACATATTATAATTTAAAGTGATTTTAAATTATCTAGTAATAGTGCGATTCCACTTTTAGATCAATCAAAAGATGACACTTCCGCCACAGCAAATAAAAAGAAAAACTTTGTAAATGCTAACATCATGGTTTTGTTCAATGAGAGTTGTATGATTCAAAAGTGCCTGGTATAGAAGTAGGATTAAAGAAAAAAGGATTCCCTTTGGAAAACATTTAGGCAACCAGTATTAAATAATTCTGTATTTTAAAACATCTTACCATTCAATTACCTCCAGGTTTTAGTTTCAGTCACTCTGTTAGGCATATGGTGAAATCATATTGATGGCCACCAGAAGTTCCTGAGAGAATTGTTAAAGACTTTTTTTCTACTTTCAGTGAATAAAATTTTAGGATAAAAGTAATTTTTTTAAAATTACTTTGGGGGGACTATGATGACATTTTAAAGTGTCATTTAGCTAGGCTGTACTAGATTATGCAGAATTCCCTTTTTTATGCATTTCCAATTAGGGTGAAGCACAAAGGAGATTCTTGCAAGATTTGGAAGACCTAGGGAAGGAAGTGACATTTTATGGCTGACCTATGCTGTTGCTGATCTGCTGCATCATTTCAATGGCATAAAGCAGCATCTAGATCTGCGGTTGTTTAGCCTTTTCTGGATTCATCTTCAGTTTTTTGACCCCTGAGCCAGGTAGGTGTTTAGCTCTGAGATAAAGGCCTTTGCAGGATACCCTTTTAACCAAGGTCAGAGGCAACAAGAATGGACATGCATTTCAGTTTATCCTTGTGGGGTTTCTGACATGCTTGCAATCTTCCCTTCCTGATTCCTTGCCTGTGGACTTCAAGCTCCAACATAAGATACAGAGACATAGTTTTCAAAAGACTGCTTAACCAGCCCTCATAATAGTGTAAGTCAATTACCAGTATCAAACACACATATGTATATATACAGGAATGTATACCTATATAAAATATATCTTGCTGGTTCTGCTTCTCTAGTTGAACCCTGAATGGTACAGAATTCTTCACTAAGCACTGGCTCTCATTGAAAGAAATTGAATAGGTTCTATATTTGTTGTGGAATATATTACTATGTTGTGCTCAAAGATGGAGGAATGGTTGTATCTGGAATGGAAATAGAGTGTAAGGGGCTATAAGATTGTAGATGGTAAAAAGTATGGGAAATCAATATACAACATTCTCCTGTTTTGATTTTTAACATTCTATTTGTCTTTCTCATCTTGAGACAACCCAACATACTTGCTAACAAAAGACTTGTATAGTTTACATTTATCTTCACTTATTTTTCTCATATCCAATAACATTCTATTTCTGTAGTTAAAATATCACAGCTTGATAGCCAATAATGTTATTACCTAGTTATATAAACAACTTAACCCCAAAGAAATTAGAAGAATCATCATAATCAATATAATAATTACAGTCAGTGTTTCAGCAATTAAGTGCTGGAAGAAAATGAACCCATGTCTTCACAGCTCTGAGTTAAAATAACTTTGAATCTAGAATTCTATACATAGCCCAACTTTCAATCAAGTACAAGAGAAGAGTGAAATTATTTTCAGTCATAAAGTTTTTCCCCATGCACTCTTTTTGAGAAAATAAGAGCACACTCTGAAAACAAAGGAAATTCAATAAAGAAGATACATGGAATCCAAGAAATAAGACAACTCGACCAAAAGAGCAAATGGAAAGAAATCTGAGGAAGACAGCTGGGCAGTAAACCTGAAAAATAACTAGTCTACAATTGATGGGGGAGTTCTTAGGATTTCAAGAAGAATATCCTTAGAAAAAAAGGATTCTCACTGCAACAAATAATATGATGAGGATGGTGAACAATTTTAGAGATAATATTTATTATTGTCCTATTTATCTTATCTTTTCTCAAGAAGAAACAGAAAAGTCAATACAAACTTCCGGGATAAGGGTACGGAGAGTTGTACAAGAAATTCATAATCAAAATACATAATTTTGAGTAATCTTGAATAATAATTTTGTTCTAGAAAATGGTATCTACAGGAGACAAGTATTATGCTTTTTTGTCTACCTAAAACCTTTTTAACATCTCTTCTAGGCTAGGAGAGTTTTTGTCCCTGGTTTTGTTATCCCTAAGGCAGAAAGTCCACAATCACTTCTCCAGCCTCCCTTCAGTCATGTATGTAACCCAGCCTGTGCCATTCAGATGCACCTTTATGAGACATTAATTCAAAAGTAGATGATGTGAAGAAGCAATTACCATTCTGACATGAGTTCAAATGAGAGAAGAGGCAGAAGTCTAAACATCAAGTGCTCAGAATAAACAGATTTATTCTAGGGACTGTGTCTTTGGGAGGCAGCAGTGAGTCTTCACTGGATTCTGTCTATGTTGTCAATGTTTCTCCTTACATTGTCCCCAGACTTGATTTTCCGTTGTGACATAGAATCTACAAATGCATGTGTTTTTTGTTGCTGTTGTTGTTCAAACTACCTAGCCTGGGTTATGTCGTTTAAAATTTAAAAATTGACTAACAGTAATTGGGACCAACAGTGGTTAGAGAGAGTAGGATTTCAAGAAAATTAGTATTAACAGTGATTATTTGACATTAGTAGAAATCTCACTATCATTTGGGGATGCAGCTCTGGCAACCGATAACTGGAAGAGATAAAATAGTTAATTGAACTATCAAGCAAACTTACCTAGAATCAAGTATAGACTTAAGGCAAGACTTCTGAGACCTTGTAGTCACTGCCTAAGAGTAATAAGGAGGACGTAAGGCTTCTTCTCTTTGTGCTGGAGAGTTCAAATAAACAGATTGACTGGACTGATATCCCAAATCTTTGCTCAAATCATGGTAAAAGGACCAAGGATTTTCTATGACTTTACTATAAAAGCCTCTCATCTATTGCTTTCACAGTGTTGAAATCACTTTAAAAAATCAATTATAATTTTGACTTTGTAAATTACTCCTGGTTTTGGGGGTTCCACTTAACATTTCTTATAGAAAAGGGTTTATGCTGCTGAAAACTTTGAAAATTGATGTCTTAAACTATATTAATTTTAAATAAGCCACATATTTCTCTTTGAGCTCTAGGGCATCAGAAAAGCTTTCCCAGGTTCCCTGTGCATTCATGGCAATGGTTATATCCTCTGCAACGAACTATAACATCCTTTAGAGCTATGTAACAAGTAGGCCAACTAACAAGGGTTAGCAGATAAGCTCAGAATAACTGAGACCTCCAGTCAGAAGCGGGGAGCCATGTTCACTAGAAAGGTCTTTTTCATAGGCCTCCACCCAATGCCCACAAAAAAGCAGGCGGTTGTAAAATTGCCACCTCTGTGATGCAGGTGCACAGGTAGTTTTCAGCTGCTCCCTGGGTCAGGCATCAAACATCAACTGCTTTTCTGGGCACTACTCTCATACAAAATATAAAGACACACTGCTTCGTGGCCAGGTGCGGTGGTGCACGCCTGTAATCCTAGCACTTTGGGAGGCCAAGGCAGGTGGATCACCTGAGGTCAGGAGTTTGCAACCAGCCTGACTAACATGGTGAAACCTCATCTCTACTAAATACAAAAAAAAAAAGAAAGAAAGAAATTAGCCAGGCGTGGTGGTGCATGCCTGTAATCCGAGCTACTCTGGAGGCTGAGAAAGGAGAATCACTTGTACCTGAGAGGCGGAGGTTGCAGTGGGCCAAGATTGCACCATTGCACTCCAGCTTGGGGAACAAGAGCAAAACTCCGTCTCAAAAAAAAAAAAAAAAAAATCCACTGCTTCTAGGCAAGGGTAGAGGCAGAGGCCCTGTGCCCCAGTGGAGGAGCAGAAAAATCACTTGGTCCAGGCTCCTTCATGGACACCAAATAGAAATTGGCTACAACTGGGGAAGGAACAGGAAGCTCTCCTGTCCAAGACCCAACAAATACATAGGCAGAGTCTGACTGCCAAGTAGAGGAGGGGCAGGGGTGCTTAAAAGACCATTTATCCAAGGCCCAGGATCACAAGCCCTGCACAGTATTGAAGCTGAACAAGTAAAACTGAAAACATCTTTGCTGCACCACCATGAGCTCAACAATCTATCAATGAAGAAAGAATGAGAAAATGTCCTCTCTGTGGCACAAACATTCAGAAACTACTGAAAGCTGAGGAAATTGGAAACACTGAGAAAAAATACCCTGGCATCTCAGGCCATATACTGGGTACAAAATAACAGAAGCCGAGAACTGGAGGAATTTGAAGCCAGTGAGGCACAGATAGCTGTGGGACAATACCAAAGACTTTAACATAGATGTGATTAAAATCCACAAATAACAAGACAGAATCAAAAGAACAGCACAGAGGAATATTTGAAGAGGTATTGGCCAAGAATTTCCAAAGTTAGTGAAATAAAAATGGACCATATATTCAAGAAGCTTAGAACTCTCTAGCAGAATAAACAATTTAAAAAGAAAATAAACCAAACCAAACCAAACATCACCTAGATACATTATAGTCAAACTTCTGAACATCAGAAATAAAGAGAGTACCTTGAAGGTATACAGAGAATAAAAGTATTACTAGATACAAAGGAACAAAAGTAAAAATTATAGCATACTTTTCATTAGAAACTATACAAGTCAGAAAAAAAAGAGCAATATCTTTATGTTCTGAGTGAAAAAAACTCATCTAGATTTCAATATGTAGCAAATACATATTTTAATAATGGCAAAGTAAATAATTATTGGAAAAACAAAAGCTGAGAGACTCAATGCAAGCATACCTGCAGTGCAAGAAGTAAATAAATGTCTTCAGGCATAAGAAATAGTATAACAAATGGGAATCTGATCTACACAAAGAATATGAAAGCACTGGAAAAGGTAAAGTTAAAGATAAAAATAAAAGCCATTTTTTTCTTACTTTTAACCACTAAAAGATAATTGACAGTTTAAAGCATAAGGAAAACAATGTATTTGGTGGTTATGTAACATCAGTGGAGTCCATTCTCACACTGCTATAAAGAATACTACCTGAGACAGGGTCATTATAAGGAACGAGGTTTAATTGACTCACAGTTCTGCAGGTTTAACAGGAAGCATGGCTAGGAGGCCTCAGGAAACTTACAATCATGGTGGAAGGGGAAGCAGGCACCTTCTTAACAAGGCGGCAGGAGTGTCAGCGAGAACCAGAAAGTGCCTCATTTAAAACCATCAGCTCTTGTGAGAACTCCCTCACTATCATGAGAACAGCATGGGGAAAACTGCCCCCCAGTCCAATCATATATATATCCAATATATATGATTGGATCATATATGTGTGTGTGTGTGTGTGTGTGTGTGTGTGTGTGTGTGTATGGAGAGAGAGAGAGACATAGATCAGAAGGGATTTATTAGGGGAATTGGTTCATTTGATTATAGAGGCTGAGAAGTCCCATGATAGGCCATACGCAAGCTTGAGAACCAGAAAAGCCAGCCAGCAGTGTGACTCAGTTCAAGTTCAAAGGCCTCAGGACCAAGGAAGTTGATGGTGAATCTCAGTCTAAAGCCAAAGGCCCATGAACCCCAAGGGGAGAGGGTTTTTTGGAGAGGAGGCAGCACAGGTGCAAGTCTCAAAGGGTGGAGGATATGGAATTCTGTTGTCCAAGGGTGGAATAAGGGTGTTCAGGCTCTGGAAGAGACAGTAAGAATTCTCCTTTCCTCTACTTTTTTGTTCCATTCTAGCTGGCTGATCAAATGATACCTGCCCACAGTAAGGGCAGATCTTCTCTACTCTTTCCACTGACTCAAATGCCAATCTCTTTTTGAAACACCATCACAGACACACCTAGGGCAGCTCAATCTTCTAATCTAATGCCAAACCACCTGGCTTATTTTTAACAGAAGAGGGACAGGCTCAGTGCCTATAGAAGCACTGAGAATATTTAGTGCCTTTCCAGCTACCCAAGTATCCCTTAATCCAGTCAAGTTGATACCCCAAATCAGCCATCATGGTTAGTAAGAGGTAAAATGTATTTGCTAGTAGCTCCATCCATGTAATTCCTCAACAATTAATATTCTGAGCCAGAATTTAGATGTTAGATGGGTTTATCAACCAGTCCTCATTTGTCATATGAATGACTACAGTCCTTAATTACTCTTTCTTGAACTTCTTTCTCTGAAAACACAATCACTTGGACATCTTTAATATAGTATGTAATTCTTGATAATTATTGATTCCAAGTTGCTCCATCCTTGATTATGACAGTGCAATGGACTTATAGTTTATATCCCGCTAAAATTCATATATTGAAACCTAATCTCCAATAGTGATGGTATTAGGAGGTGAGGACTTTGGGAGGTGATTAGTCATGAGTATGGAGCCATCATGAATGGGATAAGTTCCCTTATAAAAGAGACCCCACAAAGCTCCCTAGTCCTTTTACTCAGGCCTCTGAGCCCAAGCTAAGCCATCATATCCCCTGTGACCTGCACATATACATCCAGATGGCCTCAAGCAACTGAAGAATCACAAAAGAAGTGAAAATAGCCAGTTCCTGCCTTAACTGATGACATTCCACCATTGCGATTTGTTCCTGCCCCACCCTAACTGATCAATTAACCTTGTGACATTCCTTCTCCTAGACAATGAGTCTCAGAACCTCCCCACTGAGTACCTTGTAACCCCCATCCCCGCTCACAAGAGAATAACCCCCTTTAACTGTGATTTTCCACTACCTACCCAAATCCTATAAAACTGTCCCACCCCATCTCCCTTTGCTGACTCCATTTTCGGACTCAGTCCGCCTGCACCCAGGTGAGTAAAAAGTTTTATTCCTCACACAAAGCCTTTTTGGTGGTCTCTTCACATGGACGCACATGACAGTTTTTGCCATGTGACAATCCAGGCAGGCCCTCATCATACACCAAATTGCCAGCTCCTTGATTTGCAGTTTCCAGCCTCCAGAACTGTGATAAAAAAATTTCTGTCATTTTAAAGCCATCCAGACTATGTTATTTTTGTTATAGCAGCTGAAACAGACTAAGGCAAATGGTGTGCTGATGAATTCAAATATCCCTGTGGCAAAAAACACACATGTATATTAAATGTCATCTTATAAAATGTAAATTGTGCCTAACGGGACTCTGAGACAGAAATGAAAAAGAAGATAATTGCCATGCCTATCATAGCAAATCAATTGACTTTCCCTGTTGTACTTTTTGTCCTGTCTTTACTATATGAGTATAGCTGAAGTAATAGGGGAAACATCATGTTTCTTCCCCATAGTCTACTCTGTCTCCAGAAAATCTGCCTTGAGTTCTGGACTGACAGGACTATTAGAGAGTTTTAGAATCAGTACTTTACCCTCGACTATTTTCCTAATCAGGGCAACTATCCCTTGTTGCCCTTCTGCAAATCCATATTGCTTGTGAGGAAGTCAGAATAAGATCATTAGCATGTTTCCAGGAAGATATGGAGCCCCACATATTTGCCAGCATTAATGCCTAATGCACACATCCCTGGTTTATACTTTCTTCATCATTCTTTTTTTCTTTCTCTCCTCTCCTCTTCTTTTCTCCTCTCTTCCTCTCTCTCTCATCAATTTCATCATCTAGTCCAGCCCAGTGGGTATTCTTTGACCTATCAGGCTGAAGACCCTAACAGATACAAGGAAATTTTACCAATGTTCTATAATCAAGTGATGCATATGCATGAAGCTATGTTTTTGTCCTTGACTGTCTCTTTTTCCTCTGTAGGTGGAAGGATTATAACAAATGATGCATTTTTCATATAGCAAGAACACAGATATTTTTCCTTTTTATTTCTCTCTGCCAAATATACTGCCTCTCTCATAAATGCTGGTGTAATTTTTTTTTGGCAAGTTTATGCTATTCCATGCACTTAGTCACAAACTTTCAAATGCATTTTTGTCACAGAAATGTAGTTCCGCTTTAGAAGGACCATCAGTCCTGTGATCAGGGCCTGGAATCAGAACCCCTTTTGCCTACTCATACTTCTTTCTGGACTTTTTTTAGCAGCTTTATTTCCCAATTATTATTGGTCATGTATTCTACCAAGGGCTTTAGAAACAGTTTTCAAAAATTTGTTTAAACCTTAGATGCCTTAGAAAGTACTTAATATCATTTCCATTTTACAATTGAAATTGAGGCTTGGGTGGGCTAAATAAGTTGCCCAAGATCACACAGTAAATTGTTGTGGGATGAAAAATGGCATTTTCATCACCAAGAATGTATTTATTAAATTTCTAATAATAATCATCAATTTTTAGGGCAACTGTTTCTGAAGCTCTGTTCTACAAGCCCACTGTCTTCCTGGCTGAACATCCCTATGTTTGCTCCTGAGAGAAGATGGAGCTATAGCCATCTCCCAACAAACTAATAAAAATCATGGCATGGAAGAGAGAAGATCATGCCAAGAGATGGGGAGAAATTCAGTTCTGATCATACAATTTGATCCTTGAATTCAACTCTACCTGAATCCAGATTCCCTTGAAATGTTAATTATATGAACAAATTCCCATTACTTGCTCAAGCTAGTTTAAATCATGTTTTCTGTCCCTTGTAATGATACGTTAGTGGAGCCAAACTTTAAATCCAGCTCTGCATAACTTTAAAGTTGATGTAATAATCTCTACATAAAAGTGCCTTTCAATGTTTATTATACTGAGGACAGAGGAAGTTCAAGGGAATCTTCACTAATATCTAGTGACTTATAAGTAAAAGATACTGTAATTTCCTTCTTCTATTAATAATGAGAAAATTGTCTTGTAAGAATTCAAATGCATGCAATGTGACAATTTACTGAGGAAATGCAAAAGTAATAGCTGGCTTTCTCAAAATGATAACTTACATTATATATGAGTTTTTCATTACTAATGCCATTATATATTTTCTGTAGACATGAGGCATATTTTACTTGAAAGTCTCCAGTAAAGAGAGATCTCAATGTTATTATTTCCCTTTTTCCAAAAGCATATCCTCTAATAGGTGACATTTTCCCCTGCTAGCTTGAATTATGTAAATGTTTCTTAATAGAAGTCACATAAACAGCCCATTTGTTTTACTTCTCTTCTTTCTAGTGCCAAATCAATATATTCTAGTGATGGGACAGATAACTCTGTTCTCCTCCTGCCTCCACTCAAAAGGAAATCATTTCACCGATTTAGACTCTTTGAACCTGACCTCATATTTAAGCCATCAGGATGAATTGGAGCCAAAGGAAAAATGACTATCCTGAAAGACATAACCCTTAGCAGGGCTGATGAAAGATTTCTCACTTGGCACATGGGCAATTTGCTACTCCTTGTGCTAGATGAAAACATAGTGTGTGTTAATTTTTGAGTAATACTTATGCTCCCTGGCTCTGAAATGAATAAAATTCTGCAATTGTTTGTCAAGTATCCATTTAAAGACACTCATTCATTAATGCCCTTGGCACAGAAATACTCAATAGCAAATCTTGTGCCCCATGTACTATACCTACCTTAGCCTGACTGCTGGATAGTTCCTCCATATGACTTTTATGACTTCTTTTTTTGTGTGTGTGTGTGTGACAGAGTTTCGTTTTTGTTGCCCAGGCTAGAGTGCAACGGCACCATCTCGGCTCACTGCAACCTCTGCCTTCCGGGTTCAAGTGATTCTCCTGCCTCAGTCTCCCAAGTAGCTGGAATTACAGGTGCCCACCACCACACCTGGCTAATTTTCGTATTTTTAGTAGGGTGGGGTTTCACCATGTTGGCCAGGTTGCTCTCAAACTCCTGACCTCAGGTGATCCGCTGCCTTGGCCTCCCAAAGTGTTGGGATTACAGGCGTGAGCCACCGCGCCCGGCCCATGACTTATCTGAAGTTAGTGCCAGCGATTTACTGAGCAATGGGTAAACATGGGAACAATTAACAATTATGTATAAAACATGGCAGCAACGTAAAGCAGATTTAGTGAGCCTGCAGAAAAAAATCCCAAGACACAGAACTGCTTGATAAAATAGGCTTACCAACTAGCTTTGATTTCATTTGGATTCTTCATTTTTCAGGCTTCCAAATTATTGCCTCATTGCTGCTCTGAGTACCAGTGCTGCCTCCCATAGGCTGGGGGATGCAAAACAGTATTTTTCACATGTAAAGATTCATTTTACTGTGAGGTCCCTTAATTATATCAGTTGTCAACTTAGACCTTTATGAGGTATGAAATTGGGAGGGAGTAGAGGGAAGCTATGGAAACTTTACAGGGTTGGGTAGAGGCCAAGAGGCCAAGACCTGTTTATGCAAAAGACCAATGGGCAGTTAATTGCCTAGAGACCTCTGACTCAATTTTTAAAAATTAATTAATCAATTAATTTATTTATTTATTTAACTTTGCATCCTTGCCTAGGGGAAAAGGAGTATAGCATTCATTCATCAACCTATTTATTGAGAGTCTGTGATTATCAGTCACTCTAAGTGGTAGTAGTAAGGCGGAGGTTTAGGGAGGTAGAGTGGAAAGAACAACATTGAAATATGGTTTTTATCCTGAAGAAAATCATACTGAGTGGAAAATTAAAACATTATTTTTTTAAGTCAATGGCATAGAAATACATTCAGGGGGGCTGAAATTTCAAAGGAGCCTCTCATCATTTCTCCCCATTACTCCAACTCCATCACACACATTTTCACCCACCATGACTTTTCCAGCTTGGATTCATAACAATCGTGTTTTCAGTATGCTCCCTGACTCAATCTCTGTCTTTTTCAGACTCAGAGTTCACCTCCTCCAGGAAGCCTTCCTTGAGACGCCATTGCTCACCTGGCTCTACTTGCTTGACCAGAAGTACTTTAAAGATTATATCTTTACATTTTGTATCTGCAGGACTTGAAATATAATGAACATTCCAGACATAATTGATGAATAAAATAACATCCAATCCCTTCATTTTATAGATTGGTTGATGAAGACCTTGGACTTTTGGCCAAGATTGAACATCTACAGTGGAGATTATTTAGTGCTGTTTTCTATTCACAGGCCTAGCCACTCCAACCTGTCTGTTGTCTTTACATCATAGGACTTTACCCAAGGTGCACTCTATAATACATGCCAGTCCAAATATACATTCTGACAGACAATCTAGCTGCCCACATCTGTCAGATGGCTCTTTCTGTGACAACTGAGGATAAGAATTTTTTTCTTTAAGAATTAGAGCTAAATATTATGAAATATAATCTAGACTTCAAGAAACTTTGACAGTTACCTGTATCACCGTCTGTGGATGAATAAAAATCTCTTTGACATCTAAGACAAAATGGCCATTCACCATCTATCTGAAAATTCTAGTGAGGACAGCCATACTTTCTGAGGCATGTTGAATGGCTAACATTTTAGAATTCTTCCTTACATTGGCTGAAATATGACTGAAGTTTCACAGATTTACCCTTATTCCTCATGATAAAAGTACAGAAGTTTGTTAAGTGTCCTTGGTGACAGGTTGGTCAAGATTGGACCTTCCATAGGATTACTTAGTCTCACATCCCCTCATGGCTACGGATCTCATAAGGATGGGTCTGAACATCAAAAATATCACTGTTTTTATTCAGGTACTGACAGCGCCATATAAATATGGCTTAAAGCATGGCTATAAGAAGAGTGAATATTCTAATGACCTGTCTTGAGTGAAGCTGATGAGACTGTATTTTGAGTCTTACTGTACCTGTTAAGGCTATGCAGCGTATTTAGAGAGAAATGTGGAATTTGTTATATAAAGGTAAGTTTAAATAGGGTGCTAATATCTATGAAGGTCAACTTTGTTAATTCAACACAAATAAAAATCCAAGCCATGGTCATTCAGCACACATAAAGTCTAAGTAATTTCAAATAAAATTACTGCTTGGCTGAATGCTTAAGCAATTTTGGATTGCTGGAGTGAATCAAAGAATACTCATAATGTAAGCTCATTAGATTCACAGAGAGATATGCTGATTTAATTCAAGTGTTCTGCTGTCCATTTAAACTTCACCTTCTTTTCTTACTTTGGATTACTAGATGTTTTTGTTAATCTTATTTGACAAGCTGCATCTAGTCTTATGAATTTAACCTTTTTGTGAATTGTCTTTGCTATTAAAAATTCTGTAACTGTCAATCACTTGAATCATGTGGAGTTATGAAAAATGTCTGATCCTTGAATGTATATCTTTTCTCTCTCCATCTGTAATATCTTACTATGTACAGAATAAATTAGAAACTTATCTGTGATGTTAATATTTCTGATAGCTTAAATATGTCACTTTACATACGATTTATATGTAAAATGATTTCTAAATATGATAAAATGTATCCCAGACTTAATAGAGGTTTAGCTGATATTTTGGCTCAGCTTTTATTTTTTTAATTAATTAATTAATTAATTAATTAATTAATTTGTTTTTGAGACAGAGTCTTGCTCTGTCACCAGGCTGGAGTGCAGTGGCACGATCTCAGCTCACTGCAACCTCCACCTCTTGGGTTCAAGCGATTCCCCTGCCTTAGCCTCCCAAGTAGCTGGGATTACAGGCATGCACCACCACGCCTGGCAAATTTTTTGTATTTTAGTAGAGACGGGGTTTCACCATGTTGGCCAAGACACTCTCGATCTCCTGACCTCGTGATCCACCCACCTCGGACTCTCAAAGTGCTGAGATTACAGGCGTGAGCCACCACGCCCGGCCAGCTTTTATTTTATAGTTTGGTGTTTCTATGGGAGATTTAGGGGGAAACCTTAGTTTCTTCTTTTGTCACATAATGTTTCCCGCCATATAGGAAAAGATAATATTTTAAAAAATTACAAAATTACCCTAAAAAGGAGTTCCCTTTTCTTAAGATACATACAAGTTTTCACTCAGAAAAGTTGAATATTTTATATATATCTCCGGGATTTTAGATTTTTCACTTCATGGACTGCATGATAAATCTCATTAAATCCATTTGAGAAAAGGTCTGTTCCTCTGTTTAAGAATTGTTTGAAGACTTTGCAGGAAATGATAGTGTGGTAGTAGATAAATTCTATCCCCTGCTTCACCTCTAACCACTGCACTCTTAGACCACGGACAACTTATAAAAATAAACTATCACGTTGTATTCAATTATTCAGGCAAGTGGAGGTTGTAAACCACCCTCTCCCTAATTTCTCTGCCTCCAACATATTAAAACTACCACATCTTGGCTCCAAGGATTCATGGACTGTTGAATTTGCCCCTACCAAGCAGAGATGGTGGACAGCATTATGAATAATAGCTGATTTTATTTTAAGTGGGAATAAAGAGAACTATAAAAATCCTTTAACTGTTCCCTCCTACTTATTAGTGTCTCAAAATTTTTGACTCATAACACATAGAAAAATCACAAGATTTGCTTCAAAACAAAAATATTAAAATATTAAAACCCCAAGTGCATGGTTTTCTATAACGTAATTCAGTTATTGTAAACTCTGCTTTGTCTCATAGGAATACAGTTATTCACTAAGAACCTTCAGAAGAAAGGAAAAATAAACATATAAATGTTAAGATTTGTCCCATTTCATACCTCATCTAGCATGGTTTTTTTTCAAATTACTACATACATGGCCCTTTTTTTTGCTAGAACTCTTTCCCCTGGAGACTGAATTGTAGAGATAACACAGAATGGAATGATTTTTATTTTATAATTAAAGACAGCTTCTTGGGTGTTATAATAATGGTAAAATATAGACTGTGTCTAAAGCAAAATACAGCAAACAAATGCAATATTGGGGCTATCTGGGCTTAAAATGCATTTTCTATTGTAATTACCTAACCATTTCAGCAAAAAAGGGAATTTTATTAAGATTTGAGTTAACTCATTTAATCTGGCCATCTATCGTTGTCATTTTAAATATCCATTTCATTTTGAGTATTTGGGCACACATTTTGTTTATAGGTACATGGGAAAATCTAGCACATAATTAATATATTAAACTGGCTGTCTTTATATCACAACATAGTCTATTTAATCTATTATGTTGTTTAACCAAAACCAAACTATAAAAAGCAAGCATGGATATAGTAGATTTTTTCTCAGAAAAAAAGCTTGACTATTATTTTTATGAAATTGCAAAGAATTACAATATTCTTTCACACTGCGTTTCAAGAAAATGAGCAAAGGATATTTATAGACATGTTTTTGATAGATACCCCAGTGACAACGGAAGTCACTTTTAAATTATAAGGTAAAATGTGAAACTAATAGATAAAATTTGACATGTTAAGAGTTGCATCTTCCTCAAATATAAAGATAAGAACCAATGTAGTTTGAAAATAGCAAAAGCGCTTTCACTATCCTATGGACAGATATTTTGGAAAACCTATTACTTTTACCAATTAAATTTAAAACTGCACTGCCTGGTTGTTTCTTTGTTTATATATTTGTATTCCATCTTATTTTAATAAAGTTTTAAGAGGAAAACATCTGTATGATTTACATTAGAATATTTTTCAGGGGGCTTCAGTAGGCTACATGTTAGTAAATCTATCCTAAATACACTTATTTTTCAACAAATATTAATTATTATACAACAGGAACCATGCAAGGTAATGGAAATCCTTTAGTAAATCAAACAGACGTGGTTCTCATTCTGACAGAATAAGAGAGATGAACATAATTGCTAGTAGAAGAATAAACTCTGTAAATTTGGGTAAATGCTATGAAAGACATAAAAAGGAATGGAGAAAAATGTGTGTGAGTAGGTGGAATGAAGCTACATTATATGTGGGAACATCTCTTTGAGAAATGGATATTGAAACTACGAATTGAATAATTAAATGGTGGTAGCCACGTAAAAACTGGAATAAAGTGAATGACAAGCAGAAGAACTCAGTGAAGAAAAATGTGGCAGAAGTATAAAGAGCAATGAAGGTATTGTTATAAGGCTGGAGTAACCCACCAGGGAGAAAGCAAGAAGGATCAGATGCAGGAAGGCACTTGCATTTTTATTCCAAGTGCAACAGAAAGGCTTTCAGCAGAGAAGGGATAAGATCTGCCTCACATTTTAAGATTATGCGTAAGGAAGGATTAGAGGCGGCAAGGGTGGAAGCAGGGAGATCGCTTGAGAGACTGCTGAAGAAGTCCATATGAGGAATGACATGATAGACAAATGTGGTAGCTTTAGACAAGAAAGGAAGATAAATTCATAATATACTTAGAGGAAAATTGACTGAAACTTGAATCATTGAAACTTTCTGACAAATTGGACATCATGGTAAGCAGGAGGCAAGAAAAAACTGGAAGGAAAAATAGCTTCTAGGTTTCTATCTTAAGAAATTGGGTATATGATAGAACATTTACTGCTATGTGGAAAATTGGTATTTGAGAAACAAAAGGTTCTGTTCTGCATGTTGAATTTGGCATTTTCGCGGTATCCAATTAAGCATATTAAGAATTAAATTGGAATTTAGAACCCAGAGGAGAGATTTGGGCTATAAATATACATTTTTTATATTATCAATACATGGGTTTTATTTGGGGCAACCCTTTTTTCTACTGATAATATGATCATATGTTCAGGACTAAGTACAGCCCCAGTCACAATTCAAATCATTGTAATTAGTGGGAAGAAATATTTAGGGACTGATAGGTTTCTTGATACTTTCTCAATAAAACTAGATCATGTCCTTTGTAGGGACATGAGAGGATCTGGAGACCATTATCTTTAGCAAACTAACACAGGAACAGAAAAACAGACATGGCATGTTCTCGCTTTTAAGTGGGAGCTAAATGATGTGAACACATGGACACATAGACGGGAACACCAAGCACTGGGGCCTATCACAAGGTGGAAGGTAGGAGTAGGGAGAGGATCAGGAAAAATAACTAATGGATACTAGGCTTAATATCTGGGTGATGAAATAATCTGTATAACAAACCCCCATGACACACATATACTTGTGTAACAAACCTGCACATCCTGCACATGTACCCATGAACTTAAAAGTTAAAAGAAAAAACTGTATCTGTGGTTACTTAGCATTTTCACAAGAACAAATTTACACAGAGTTATACAGAATAATACAAGACACAGTTTCCACAAAATAGTATAAGACACACACTAATGAAATTTTTCCTTTTACTATAATGGTCAAATCATGCTATCAAGTATGAAGTCTCCATGGATTAGCCTACAAGACAAACTTTCATTACACCATTGCATTTATTTCTATTAGCACTCATCCTTTTGATTTCTGACTACTTGAGTTCAACAACTGATCAGAACTTTTTGAAATTATAAATATTATCATACTTCTTACCATTTTCTCTTGTACTTAGATGACAATTTAATGGATAGAATATCATGTCAATGAAAATACCACTTGTTCCAGGAGATACATTTAAAATAGCAATTACACAATGACAAGAATATTACACAATAAATGCATTTGAGTAACCAACCGAATAGCTGATTAGAATCCCAAATTTTGTTTGAATAGATAATATGTTATCATTATTTAGTTCAAAGAGATTTACTAACGCCCATCATATGATAATTTATTTTATGCACTGGAGAAGTCAGTAGGGATAAAAAAAATTAAAAAAATATTGTCAGCATTCAAAGGCTCAGATGGGAAATTGAAAGGTAGCAAAAAAACCCAGGTAATATCAAATGACAACGGCAATAATAGTAACATGTGTAACTAATAGTAACATGTATAAATAGTAACATGTAATAACATATTAGAAAAATTATTGTTGTGCTTAAGTAAACCAGCCTTGAAAGATAAGTCAGGATTCACCAGGAGAGTAGGGAGAATATCATATGGAGAAAACAGTGTGAGCAAAAATGCAGATGTGACCACAGGAGGAAAGCCGGTCCACGGGCCACCTACTTTCTCTTCCCAAGCTTCATTCTCTCACACTTCTCTTCTTTGGTCACTCGTATGAGCTAGGTATGGTCACATTGAACATGTAATCTAAATTCATGAAGGTGAAACTGGGAAGAGGCTGGTACAGTACTTGGATGTGGGTTGGCACCATATAGTGAAGGAATTGTAGGGTCTCTGGTGCCAGGAACATGGTTCCAGGCCATGTTCCTCTGGTGCCAGGAACATGGGGGAAGCACACATTATCCCAGTGAGCTTGTCTCTTGCCCTGACTTAAGGGTGGTACTGGCTGCAGTTGCCAACACTTTCTCTGCTTATGGGATACATTGGTGTAAATTCAGACTCTCAATCCTCAAGATATTTTTTTCAAGTGCTAATATTGGTTACAGTATTCTCCATAATAGAATGATCAATGATGGTTGCCTCACTAAGACAATGAAGAATGAATAAAATTATTTAAAATAAGTGAGGAGAATGTAGCTTTGCCAGCAGTTTATCTTCATTTTAAAAATAATGCTTAGTTTCCTCTTGTAACTTAATAAAACTAAATGTAACAGGATTTTTTCCCTAATTTTTAGCAAGAATGCAACATTTTTCTCTAAAAGTTTTGATAGTTGATACTGTCTGCGGCCTTCTTTGTGGGAAAACAGTTCAATTAACTGATGTATTGAAAAGTCATTTGCTACAAGAGAAGAACTCTCATTTTGATTCTATCTCATTTTCATAATCCTTTGAAACACCTTAAACATAATGGAAAACAAATAAATATGCCAGACAATTTATCGAGTTACATAGCAGTCCGTCCCCTTTTCTCGCATATATTTATCTTGTCATTTCTGCTTGAATGTTTTATCCTCGGGTGAATGCAGTATTTTCTAATTATTTTGAGGAAAGCTTAACAGAGATAGGAATAATCCATTAAACATGGTCTTGTTCCTGCAGCATTGTTACCTATTGTAGAAATGTAATTCTTGCCATAACTTCAGTTGATAAACATGTTAATAAGAAATTTAACCGAGAAAAATAAAAGCATAAGAAAGAGATATCCCCTTGACACAATAGTGTCCTCTACAAATGATACTTCCTTACAATTTTTCTTCAGTGAAAATTCTAACATGTCTTCACTGATTAAATTTCATGGTCCCCTAATAAACAATCTTATCTTTACTTTGATATGAATAATCACAGAAGCCCAGCCAATGTAATATCTATAAGGATTTTTGTCCTCTCAGTTGGCATTTACTTTTCCAATTGTAAACCAAAAATAAAATTCTAAGCCCCTCAGCTAACTGAATGGAACCCACCTCCTGGCCAAGAAGAACCCAAAACAGAAAAACATTCAGACCCTGACAGGAAGTGGGAGTCGAACATGCCTCATTATACCCTCCTCCCTGTGTTGCTTCCCTTTTAGCCTAACTGCTAACGTGAAGGCCCAGAACTCCTGGCAATAACAGGGAGCACTAGGTTGCCATTCTTTAAAACAAAGCTGCTGAACCATCTATGAGCTCTGTCCTGGCAAAAGGTATTGTGAGAGGCAACACAGTTTACATTTCATTAGGTTTATTCCCACATCCTTGGTGAGATTTGCCCATGATTTCAGACTTTACCTGGGGAAATAAACCCTATTCCTGGTTCACAATGTGATGGATTTTGAGAATTTATAAATCAGGAAAGACTTATAAATGCATTCTATTTTATTTCATGGGCATGTAGCACAGGATAAAGTGGCAAGAATCTTCAACTGCTACATATTTTCCATGATTGTGAGAGCTAAAGCAGAAGGAAAGTTTAATGTTTCTCAAAGAGCAAAGACAAACAGAAAGCAGAAGGCCTGAGGATCAGCATCACATAAACAACAAGCTGAGGAGCAGGGGATCCCCGAGAGAGTCAAGAAACTGAGGGAGGAAAGGTTTATGGGAAGGAAGAAGTGATGAATGGTGTGAAATGTCACCTAGTGGTCAAGCAAGAGGATCTGAAACATTTTCCTTTGTGTTTATGAATTTGAGAATTTGGATGACTTTATAGAGAAATTTAAATAGAAAGATAAATAGCAAATATAGAACTTCTCAGAGGCTCAAATGAGAAAAATTTAGAAGGAAAAGAATACATGTAAAGAGAGAGATTTGTTCTATAAACTTGAGATTGCTTTCTGAGAGGATTAGTTGCATCGTCTTTGTGTGTATATTGGCTGGGGAGGGTTTCGCTAAAAAACCAAAAACCTGCTAGACAAATTCTAAAAGAGCTGTAACACTACTTCATGTCTTTTTGTAATCTACTACTTTAAATTTTTAAAGAAAAATTGTAAGTAATTTTTACATAAGTTTTACTTTATTTTACATAATTAAAAAATACCATAGGCCAGGCACCATGGCTCACGCCTGTACGCCTGTAATCCCAGCACTTTGGGAGGCCGAGACGGGTAGATCAGCAGAGGTCAGGAGTTCAAAACCAGCCTGACCAACAAGGTGAAACCCCATCTCTATTAAAAATACAAACATTAGCCAGGTGTAGTGGCAGGGGCCTGTAGTCCCAGCTACTTGGGAGGCTGAGGCAGGAGAATTGCTTGAACCCGGGAGGTGGAGGTTGCAGTGAGCTGAGATCGCACCACTGCACTCCAGCCTGGGTGACAGAGGAATACTCCGTCTTAAAAATATAAAATACTATAAATAAGCCATCGTATTTTTATTCAACTTTAATGAGTTTATTTTTTAACAAGTTTTTTTCTTACACTGATACTGTTATCCAATTTAATGAAATATTTAATAAAATTTCAGTTTAACACATAACTCTGATTCAATGCTTATGATGATATTAATATAGTAAAAATCCTAAATAATAATGTGTTTTAGCTAGCCATACTTTTTATGTGTAGTGTACTCAGAGTTGCAGACATTGGCAGTTCCAGAAACTCATTTCAGTGTACCAGTTTTTCTTAACACAGATGAATAATAGAATTTCCCCCCTACTCACAACTCCAAAAGCTTTCTACTGTTTAATTCTATTCATGTGTTGTAATCTATAGTTATTCACTCGAATTCTGTTACTTTTGCCTTAAAAAGTGATAAAAAACATAATTCTAAAACATAACCTAGACCTTAAGTGCTGAAGAGTTTCTTGGCTTCCATTATATGCCTTACCTGTATTTCCATATATTAAATTATTTCACAAAGTCAAGGTCCATACATTCTCATGTTAACATCATTGATACATATGGTTTGGAAAAGAGAATACGAGAGGGAACAGCTAAGGTCATCTGTGAATTCATTCAATCTGTTTATGTCTGAGCCCATTGAGATTTATTGAGGAAAATAGTCATGCTCCTTGAAACTAAAGACTAATCTCTGGAGCAAAGAGCCCCAAGTGGTTTGATAGCAAGACTCACCCCTTATTCTCTCGATAGATGTTTGCACAGAATAACATGGGTGAGGAAGCGTAAAAATTGATGGTTTTGAGAAAAATGTACTTTTCTCATGAAAAGTTTTCAACATATTGTGACGTAGAAGGAAGTAGAACAGATAAAGAACTAGATATGTGTTGAGTGAGTACTAGATAGGGATATATGGACAAAATAGAATGCCAAGTATTTACATTTGGACAGTATTACGCTGTAAATAAATATATGCAAAATAAGTTATTATGCAAAATTAAAGATGACAGGTTTCATCAGATACCCAGATTTTAGGTTGAAGGTCATTGTTATCTCCCATTTTTCCAGAGTCACAGAGTGAATTCATCAAAGGGCATTGATTCTTGGGTGATTAGCACAGCCATGGAATTTTTCAAAGATGCTTTATATTAAATTTCTATATGATTTAGGCCACAATTTTGTTCATGTTACTTTCTTAAATTTTATATGCAATATAAATAATACTACCTGTTACTTAATTGTTACTGATGTTTGTCGTTATTTCATCTAACCTAAATATTTATATAAGTGAAAACGAGAAGCTCTATAATATGGGAATTGAATGAAGCCACTACATGGAGAATGATACGCATTCCTCAGAAACCATGTGTAATCAACGAATTTCCAAGTTCCTACAACTTAAGCTTCCTAGAATTTGACTCTGATCACATACTGAAATCCATAATCTTACTGCCACTTCTTTTTTCCCTTAGTTTAAGGAACCAGCATAAAAACACAATTCTATTGCCAATCAAATTTTGGTTTTCTGAAATCCTAGTATAAATAAGATTTTAAAATAAAGCAAAAACAAGAATAATGCATATGGCTTTGTACTTCTCTTCAACAGGCCTGGATTTCCTGAGAAACTTTATAATTTGTCTTCAAAATTTGGGCTCTGCTGCCTATTATAGACTGAAATCTATATACACAGAGTATACAGACTACTTCTTATTGTTGTATCTCCATTTAATAACAATAAATCATTTTGGAAGCTCAAAGTGTTGAGATTTGAGAGAGCTTAACTGTTCACTGAGTATAATGGCAAGATACAATGCTTGGAAAATCGTGTGTGTGTGTGTGTGTGTGTGTGTGTGTGTATTCATCACATACATCATAAGAAAATGAGTATTTAGGCCAGGCACGGTGGCTCGCGCCTGTAATCCCAGCACTTTGGGAGGCCAAGGTGGGCGGATCCCCTGGGGTCAAGAGATTGAGACCATCCTGGTCAACATGGTGAACCCCCATCTCTACTGAAAATACAAAAATTAGCCGGGTGTGGTGGCACACACCTGTAGTCCCAGCTACTCAGGAGGCTGAGGCAGGAGAATTGCTTGAACCTGGGAGGTGGAGGTTGCAGTGAGCCAAGATCATGCCACTGCACTCCAGCCTGGCCACAGGAGCAAGACTCCATCTCAAAAAAAAAAAAAAGTGTTTAAGTGGCATTATCATTAGTGTTCTAATTGCAACAGATTTCTAGCCTTTCAATATTACCTGCTAGCTTTTAGCTTTTGTTCTCTTTTAAGAAAATTCACAGTACAAGACCTGTGGAAAATTTAATTGATTCTCAAATACTCAGTTCTCTTATAATTTCCTGTTCATGTCATTCTCCTGAACATGGACAGTATACTAAGTATAAACAAGGTGATTTCTAAATTTGAAGTAAAGGGCATCACGAGATACTCTTTCACACTGAATGTGGGTATAGAAAACTGGTAGCTGATAAGAACACTGAAGAACTAGGAATTTATCTAGATCTTATTTTAACTGCAGATTCTGGTATAACTCCTCATGATGAGAAATATCTATTTTTACCAATTCCTCAAAATTTTTATCTTTATATTTCTATTCTCTGTATGTCTGAAATAATGGTTTTAAATGAGAAAAATAATTTTTAAAATTTAATCACTCATGTAAAAAGTAGTTTTTCTTGTCTTAGTGATATTCATTGATTTTCTAGATCCTCACTAACTTGCCCAGTAGTCATATGGGTCATTCAACAGATACACTCAACTGCCTTTATTTGAAAGGATCTATAAAAGGAACCCACTGCTCAGAGAAGTGCTCTCTGTATCCAACCTCGAAGTAACATTCCAAAAGAAACCACTGCACAGCATCAATGCTGCCTAGCTACAAAGAAAAGGATCAGGAACTAGGATTTCTACGCTTAAAAGAAACATATTAAGTTGTAGTTTAAGAAAATGTTTCTGCTGTTTTAGTTATGTAGCTATTCCTCTAGACTATCTTTTCATTAGATTTTAGTTTGTTGTTTAGCAGCTGTGTTCTTAGAAAGCTGATAATATGTTGAACATAGTTCAAATTTATTATATACAGCTCCAAAATTCATATTGAAAATTTTGGCCTTTTAAATAATACGATTCTCAAATAAGCTTTACTCATTGTGTTATACCAAATGTTGATACAAGTTATGTGTGTTTGTTGATACAATTATCAGATAATTCAAAACACAGCAATGTTTTTTATTTTTCAGGGAGTAACTTCTCAAGTATATTCCTTAAGTTGTTTAATATTGGAGGAAGAAAAATGAACCCTAAAATTTTCCTAATAGGCAGATTTTACCTTAAAGGTAATCTATTACTTAAAACAATGTGATCAAAAACAGTTGTGTTATTTGAAGTAAGAGTAAAGTTAATAGTGACAACATAATACTATTTTAATTGTAGTTGAGGGCTTTTTTTTGGTTTATTTTCAAAATATTTTCTCATAATGACTCTTCCAGGATATTTTAAGCTATTCCATATAAAAGCACAAATTTCTAGGATACAGTACCAGCTAGTTACTAATAAAGTTTGAATTGTCATCTTTATTTCCCATTGTAACATTCATAAAAATGGACATACATATGCAACATTATTAGAGTTCTACAAATTCAGTTTAGATTTAATTATCTAAAAGATATCAAAGGGATCATCACTAAGCAAATCACAAAGAAGCTGTAGAATCCAAACAAAGAAGAAATAAAATATTTCCACTACCTCTTGGAGAGATATGGTCTTCAGGGATGAAAAACTAACAGTAGCATCCTTTAAATTGGGATCTGGACAATAATTTTAAAACCTAGTAACAAAGCCTAGTAAATAAAAATTCCATCTAAATAATTACTGTATAAATTTTTTAAGACATAATTTAAAGATAATAATGATAAAATATAATACTTAACTGTGTATAAAATCCCAGATTTTTAAAATCAAAATGTAGAGTGAAGTGGCTGAGGCCAAATAAAATCATGCTTGATTCTTCCTTTTATTTAAATAAAATATAAATGGATAAGTTATTCTTTATGTTGTTAATTAGGGAAATCTATTTTTCTTAAAAAAATAAATCCAACCACTAAGCATGAAAAGACAAGAATATTTTCTGAATACTTACAGCAATAAAAACAAAAATAGCTTATAGAGAAAAAAGCCAAAACGCAGTAAAAATCAACAACTAAAACTCAGACAGAATGGTGGAAATGTCCATTACAATTATAAAATAAATGGATTAAATATATAAATATAAAAATATGTAGATTGTACACATATAAATATGTAGAAAAAACACATAAAATTTAGCTTTGATTAAAAATGAAATCTTGGTAGATTTTCACGGGAAAAATACAATTAAAAAGTTAAACATGAAAAATATATAGAAAAAAGCAAAAATTTGAGAGCTTTGTAAAAATACCTTTTCAAGGATAATTGTATTAATTTTTTGCTTTAATCTGAAAATTGTTAATGCAAAAATTAGGAGGGGTCTTTGGTGGAAATAATGATTTTTTTTCATTACAAGTGTTGTACTACAAAATGTAGTGTTATAGACCATATAGTCATAATTTTCTAGGCACATCTAAAACAATTTGTTTTAAAACCACACAACTAAATGGAAATTGAACAACCTGCTCTTGAATAAATACTGGGTAAATAACGAAATTAAGGCAGAAACAAATAAGCTCTTTGAAACCAATGAGAACAAAGACACAATGTACCAGAATCTCTGGGACACAGCTAACGTACTGTTTACAGGGAAATTTATAGCACTAAATGATCACCTGAGAAAGTGGGAAAGATCTAAAGTCAACACCCTAACATCACAAAATAACTAGATAAGCAAGAGCAAACAAATTCCAAAGCTAGCAGAAGACAGGAAATAACTAAGATCAGAGCAGAACTGAAAGAGACAGAGACTCTTTCAAAAAATCTTTCAAAAAAATCAATGAATCCAGGAGCTGGTTTTTTGAAAAGATTAACAAAATCGATAGACTGCTAGCCAGACTAAGAAAGAAGAAAAGAGAGAAGAAACAAATAGATACAGTAAAAAATGATAAAGGGGATATAACCACTGATCCCACAGAAATACAAACTACCATCACAGAATACTATAAACACCTCTGTGTAAGTAAACTAGAAAATCTAAAGGAAATGGATAAATTCCTGGATACATACACTCTCCCAAGAATAAACCAGGAAGAAGTCGAATCCCCAAATAGACCAATAACAAGTTCTGAAATTGAGGGAGTAATTAATAGCCTACCAACCAGAAAAAGCCCAGGACCAGACAGATTCATAGCCAATTCTACCAGAGGTACAAAGAGGAGCTGGTACCATTCTTCCTGAAACTATTCCAAACAATAGAAAAACAGGGACTCCTCCCAATTCATTTTATGAGGCCAGCATTATCCTGATACTAAGACCTGGCAGAAACACAACAAAAAAAGAAAATTTCAGGCCAATATCCCTGATGAACACTGATGCAAAAATCATCCTCAATAAAATACCAGCAAACCGAATCCAGCAGCACATCAAAAGGCTTATCCACCACAAATGAGTCAGCTTCATCCCTGGGATGCCAGGCTGGTTCAGCATACACAAATCAATAAATGTAACCCATCACATAAACAGAACCAATGACAAAAACCACATGATTATCTCAATAGATGCAGAAAAGGCCTTCAATAAAATTCAACACATCTTCATGCCAAAAACACTCAATAAACTAGGTATTGATGAAACGTATCTCAAAATGATAAGCTATTTATGACAAACCCACAGCCAATATCATACTGAATGGGCAAAAGCTGAAAGTATTCCCTTTGAAAACCAGCACAAGACAAGGATGCCCTCTCTTACCACTCCTATTCAACATAGTACTGGACATTCGGGTCAGGGCAATAAGGCAAGGCAAAGAAATAAAGGTATTCAAATAGGAAGAGAGGAAGTCAAATTGTCTCTGTTTGCAGATGACATGATTGCATATTTAAGAAACCCTATCGTCTCAGCCCAAAAACTGCTTAAGCTGATAAGCAACTTCAGCAAAATCTCAGGATAGAAAATCAATGTGCAAAAATCACAAGCATTTCTATACACCAATAACAGACAGAAAGCCAAATCATGAGTGAACTCCTATTCACAATTGCTACAAAGAGTATAAATACCTAGATATCCAACTTACAAGGGATGTGAAGGACCTCTTGAAGGAGAACTACAAACCACTGCTCAAGGAAACAAGAGAGGATACAAACAAATGGAAAAAAATTCCATGCTCATGGGTAGGAAGAATCAATATCGTGAAAATGGCCATACTGCTCAAAATAATTTATAGATTCAATGTAATTTCCATTAAGCTACCATTGACTTTCTTCACAGAATTAAAAAAAAAACTACTTTAAATTTCACATGGAACGGAAAAAGAGCCTGTATAGCCAACACAATCCTAAGCAAAAAGAACAAAGCTGGAGGCATCACGCTACCTGACTTCAAACTATACTGCAAGGCTACAGTAACCAAAACAGCATGGTACTGGTACCAAAACAGATATATAAACCAATGGAATAGAACAAAGGCCTCAGAAATAATGCCACACAGCTACAACCATCTGATCTTTGACAAACCTGACAAAAATAAGCCATGGGGAAAGGATTCCCTATTTAATAAATGATGTTGGGAAAATGGTGAGCCATATGCAGAAAACTGAAACTGGACCCCTTCCTTACACCTTATACAAAAACTAACTCAAGATGGATTAAAGACTTAAACATAAGGCCTAATACCATTAAAACCCAAGAAGAAAACTAGGCAATACCATTCAGGACATAGGCATGGGCAAAGACTTCATGACTAAAACACCAAAAGCAATGGCAACAAAAGCCAAAATAGACAAATAGGATCTAATTAAACTAAACAGCTTCTGCACAGCAAAAGAAACTATCATCAGCGTGAACAGGCATCCTACAGAATGGGAGAAAATTTTTGCAATCTATCCATCTGACAAAGGACTAATATCCAGAATCTACAAAAAACTTTAACAAATTTACAAGAATAAAACAAACAATCCCATCAAAAAGTGGGCAAAGGATATGAACAGACAGTTCTCAAAAGAAGACATTTATGTGGCCAATAAACATATGAAAAAAAGCTCATCACTGGTCATTAGAGAAATGCAAATCAAAACCAGAGTGAGATATCATCTCATGCCAGTTAGAATAGCAATCATTAAAAAGTCAGGAAACAACAGCTGCTGGAGAGGATGTGGAGAAACAGGAACACTTTTACACTGTTTTGGGGAGTGTAAATTAGTTCAACCATTGTAGAAGACAGTGTGGTGATTCCTCAAGGAACTAGAACCAGAAATATCATTTGATCCAGCAATCCCATTACTTGGTATATACCCAAAGGATTATAAATAATTCTACCATAAAGACACACGCACACGTATGTTTACTGTAGCACTATTCACAATAGCAAAGGCTTGGAACCAACCCAACTGCCCATCAATTATAGACTGGATAGAGAAAATGTGGCACATATACACCATGGAATACTATGCAGCCATAAAAAGGATGAGTTCATGTCTTTTGTAGGGACATGGATGAAGCTGTAAACCATCATTCTTAGCAAACTAAGAAAGGAACAGAAAACAAAACACTGCATATTCTCACTCATAAGTGGGAACTGAACAATGAGAACACATGGACACAGGCAGAGGAACATTACATACCAGGGCCTGTCGGGGTGTGGGGTCAAGGGGAGGGATAGCATTAGAAGAAATACCTAACGCAGATGACGGATTAATGGGTGCAGCAAATCACCATGGCACATGTCTATCTATGTAACAAACCTGCATATTCTGCACGTGTCTCCCAGAACTTAAAGTATAATTTTAAAAAAAGAAAAAGAATAATTTGTTTTAAAAGATCTCCTTTGCATTTAAGCATTCTTTTTCACTCTTTCTTCTTCTGTTTCCAAAATAACTTAAAAACATTCTGCCAAAAGAAAATAATCTTTAAAATAAATAACAATAATTGAGTCTAGGAATATGTCCTCAGTTATTGCAACCATTTTACTATGTGAAGGTCAAGAAATCTATCTAACATCCTGTTTATATCGAAGAGTTTATATATTTTTCTCATCAATCTTGTATTTCTATATCTTTCTTATGAAGCATGCAACTTGTATAGGCACATATAGACCATAATACAAAAAATAATATTTTCTATCTTTATCAAGGGAAATGAAATGTTCTCACTAATTACTTCCAGGACATAGCAATCTGACTGAGAATTGAAGATGGCCATGAACATAACTGGAAATTAAGCACATAAGGTCAGAGTTCAAAATTATCATACTACAGTAGAAAAAACAACAGACTACAACTTAGGAGAATTTAGGGAGGTTCTTTTAGGAGAATTTTGGGACAATTTGAGAGGTAAAATCCTTTTACCTCTCAACTTTCCCAGGTCTCGTATTCCAAAATTGCATGATACTATGTAACTCCAAGGTATTGAGCTTAGTCCAAACTTAAGGTTTTTCAGTGGGTGTCACCATAAGGAAATTGTATAAACTTTTGAAGGTATTCTGTCATGTAGTAATAAATATAGCTTAAGAAAGTGCTATAATCATTAATTTACATGGAATTAACAGTTAAAGTACATATTTGTTAATGTAGGGTGAAAAAACACATTATAATATCAATTGTAGTTGAGGTTCAAGGTTATTTTGTGAAAATAATAAAGAATAAAGAATTAAATAGAATAAAAAGTTATTACATATAATAAAGGCTAACAGGGAAAGAGATCTTACAATTGATAATAAAGAAATTAAACCTATTGTAAAAAGCACAGATTGGCAACCTATGGCCCAAAAACCAAATCTAGGCCACTTCCTGTTTTTGAAATAAAGTTTTATGCGAACATAAATACCTTCATTATATATTGTCTATGGCTGATTTTACCCTACAGAAATATAATTGAATAGTTGCCACAGATAATATATGGCCCACAATGCTTAAAATATTTATTATCTAGCCCTTTATTGAAAAAGTTTGTCAACATCTGGTAGAGGAATTTCAAGATGAAAATGCTAACTAATGCCATACTAAAAATACAACCCAAATTAACTAAACTTTAGTTTGGAAAGAGTCTTTGGACTTCATAAAAACTGAGTAAATAAAGCCCTTATGATGTAAAAGATACAAGCATCTTAACATAGTTTTAAAGATCACAAATTTGAATCCCTAATAATCAGTAAAAAAAAAAAAAGGGGGGGTTTTTTTTATAGAATTCACCATATTTCACATTTAGAACAAATTTTTATATCTCACTTGATTTTTATCATTAAAAGTCAATGTTTTACATCATTAATGGTATTCATAATTGAATACACATGGCACACACTTGGGACACTTCTGAAATGTTTCATAACCGTTGATTAAAATAAAAATGTATTCTTTGAATTACAAAGTCTTCACTGGCATTTCTTCTCCCATAGAAAACCCTTCCACTCAGACAGAGGCCTAGTATTTTCAGTGACGAGTCTGGCATACAGCATGTGCCCTATAAGTTAAATAAATAAATTTTTTTTGAAAAAAAAATATGTAAACTTTGTCTTTTGTTACCTATTGGATTATGAAAGGAAGATTTTGGTTGCTGTTCATTTTTCTGTAGACATTTACAGGGAAATGAAAACAGGCCATGTAAATTATATTAATCAAAAGCACACAATTTCCAGAGATTGCCTTTCACTTGAAGATAATGAAACAGCCATGGCTGGTTAGCTTCCGATTTACTTTAAGTTTCTATAGCTGATATTTCCACTTAAATAGATTTGTAAGTCTCTTCCTTAAATATTGAATTTATCCAGAAACAGTCTTTCTTTCCATTGCTTTAAATGAATATTGATTTTTCTTTTAGCTTTAAAAGCCATCAGTTGAGTCTTAAAATGTATCAGTAATTATTATGAGAATTAAATAGTGCAAGTAAAATGACCCACTTTAACTAATCTAGTTGAGCAGCTAATGATCACATTTTTTTTTTTTACATAAAATTGTATTCCTTTCTGTAGTTGGTCCAGTGGCATTTCATCAGGAAGAAATACAGTAAGAAGAGTGCAGCTATCTCCATCCATACAGAGCTGATTATAATATAGAAGTCCTGTAACTGGTCATTTCATTTCAGAAGCTTATTGATACGGCTCAGCTGAATTATGTCTCCCAAATGTCATCTTGAATTATGTCTCCCATAATTCTCATGTGTCATGGGTAGGACCCTGAGGGAGATAACTGAATCATGGGGGCGGGTCTTTCCCATGCTATTCTTGTGATAGTGAATGAGTCTCACAAGATCTGATGGTTTTATAAAAGGGAGTTCCCCTGCACAAGCTCTCTTTGCATGCCCCTATGTAAGATATGACTTTGCTCCTTCTTCACCTTCTACCATGATTGTGAGTACTCCCCAGCATGTAGAACTGTGAGTCAATTAAACCTCTTTTCTTTAAAAATTACCCAGTCTCGGGTATGTCTTTATTAGCAGCATAAGAACAGGCTAAAACAGTAAATCGGTACCACTAGAGTGGGGTGCTGCTGTAAAGATACCCAAAAATGTGGAAGTGACTTTGGAACTGGGTAACAGGCAGAAGCTGGAGCACACTGGAGAGCTCAGAAGAAGACAGGAAGATGTGGGAAAGTTTGGAACTTCCTCGAGACTTGTTGAATGGCTTTGACCAAAATGCTGATAGTGATATAGACAATAAAATCCAAGCTGAGGCAGTCTCAGATGGAGATGAGGAACTTGTTGGGAACAGGAGTAAAGGTTACTTTTGCTATGCAAAGAGACTGTTGGCATTTTGCCCCCACCCTAGAGATCTGTGGAACTTTGAACTTGAGAGAGATGATTTAGGGTATCTGGTGGAAGAAATTTCTAAGGGGCAAAGCAATCAAGAGGTGACAGGCATACAAGTTAGGGAAATTTGCAGCCTGATGATGCAATAGAAAAGAAAAATCCATTTTCTGGGGAGAAATTTAAGCCAGCTGCAGAAATTTGCATAAGTAAGGAGAAGCTGAATGTTAATCACAAAGACAATGGGGAAAATGTCTCCTGGTCATGTCAGAGACCTTCATAGCAGCCCCTCTCATCACAGACCTGGAGTCCTAGGAGGGGAAAATGCTTTCATGGATGAGGACAAGAGCCCCCCTGCTCTATGCAGCCTTGGGACATGGTGCCCTGCATTCCAACTGCTTCAGCCCCAGCTCAGCTAAAAGGGGCCAATGTACAGCTCAGGCCATTACTTCAGAGGGTGCGAGCCCCAAACCTTGGCAGTTTACATGTAGTTTTGGGCCTGTGGGTACGAGAAGTCAAGAATTGAGGATTGGGAACCTCTGCCTAGATTTCAGAGGATGTATGGAAATGCTTGGATGTCCAGGCAGACGATTGCTGCAGGGGTAGGGCCCTCATGGAGAACCTCTGCTAGGGGAGTGTGGAACGGAAATGTGGGGTTGGAGCCCCCAAACAGAGTCCCCACTTGAGCACTTCCTAGTGGAGCCATGAGAAAAGGGCCACCATCCTCCATACCCCAGAATGGTAGATCCACTGACAGCTTGCACCATGCGCCTGGATAAGCCACAAACACTCAATGCCAGCCCATGAAAGCAGTCAGGAGGGGAGCTGTACCCTGCAAAGCCACAGGGGTGGAGCTTCCCAAGGCCATTGGAGCCCACTTCCTTGCATCAGTGTGATCTGGATGTGAGACATGGAGTCAAATGAGGTCATTTTGGAGCTTTAACGTTTAATGACTGCCCTATTGGATTTCAGACTCAAATAGGGCCTGTAGCCTCTTTGTTTTTTCCACTTTCTCCCATTTGGAATGCATTTACCCAATGCCCGTATCGCCATTGTATCTGGGAAATAACTAACTTGCTTGTGATTTTACTGGCTCATAAACAGAAGGGGCTTGCCTTGTCTTAAATGGGACTTTGGACTGTGGACTTTTGTGTTAATGCTGAAATGAGTTAAGAATTTAGAGGACTGTTGGTAAGGCATGATTTGTTTTGAAATGTAAGAACGTGAGATTTGGGAGGGGCCAGGGACAGAATGATATGGTTTGCCTGTGTCCCCACCCAAATCTCATCTTGAATTGTAGCCCCCATAATTCCCATGTGTCATGGGTGGGACCTGGAAAGAGGTAATTGAATCATGGGGGCAGGTCTTTCCCCCTGCTATTCTCATGATAGTGAGTAAGTCTCACGAGATCTGATGGTTATATAAAGGAGAGTTCCCCTGCACACACTCTCTTTGCCTGTCACCATTTAAGATGTGACTTTGTTCCTCCTTCACCTTCTTCCATGATTGTAAGGACTTCCCACATGTGGAACTGTGAGTCAATTAAAACTCTTTTCTTCATAAATTACTTAGTCTCAGGAATGTCTTTATTAGTAACATGAGAACGGACTAATACACTGATAGAAGAAAGGAAGAATGAAGACAGTGGCTTGGCCCCTTAAAAATGATTTACAAATCAAGAGGCAAAAAATCAGGTTATCTGTCTTCTTACCCAAATGTTTTAACATTTGAAAATTTTAAGGAAAAATTAGACAATCCCTGAGGAATATGTCATAATTATTGCCATTTAAATGAAATTAAATATACTGTTAATTTTACCTTTTCATATACTCTGTTACTGATATTTTAAAATACTTACCCCTCTTTTTTCCTGAGAATCAGATTTTCTTGCCTTTTCACTTATTTAGCCATGGAAATTGGTTTAAGTCCATAAAGTATGAGCTGTAAAGGGCTTTTATTCCAAAATCTACATGAGATTCCAACTACAGGTGCAACTATCAGCCTCTCTGATAAGACCATGGAGAAATTTAAAGAGATGGCTCCTATAAGTTCTCAGCTAGACAAAAGAGTTTCTAAGAAGTTGAATGGAATTGTCTCATCGCTCTTTGATTTTTAAGCCCAAAGTAGAAATGAACCTGGATTGAAGGTATACATAGGTGTGGTTTTGTGTAACAGAGTGGTTTATAATCTAATCTGCAAGAATTCCATGCAACTTTTAAAGGATTTGTGCCATCTTGTACTGAAAGGGTAGCAATTGTGTAAAATGAAAAGAGGACTCCTTCCCTAAGCAGTCTGAGGGAACTACTCAAATGCAAATATTTGCCATTTTTCATAGAAGAGCAGTGACTCACAGGATGGGACCAAGATTACAGCAGTCAGGGCCAAAAGCCCTGGAGAACAATTCTCAAGGAGCCAAACTGAGTTCTAATCAACAATATTTCATGCTCTCAGAGCATGGGGAATTGGTCAGCATAATAGATGCAGGCATTTGGTAAATTCAGTATGCAATTATAATTCAAAAAAAGTAAACATTTATTAAGTTAGAAATAAATGAGAACCTCCAAGGCCTAACAAAAAATTTCCATAAACATCTGGAGCAAACACCTTAAATATGGTAACAATGAAAACAGTTTCTTAAAAATAAGGGACAACTCAACGATATATACTACCACCACATCTATTCTATTTTATTGGCAGTCTTAAGTAGTATAAGAGGAAATAAAAAAGGTATTAAGGTTATAAGAGAGGAAAGCAAAATTATTAGAGATAACTTTTATCATTTACATAGAAAATGCAAAAGAATCCATAAATCTTACAAAAGGACTGAATATAAAGTCAGTAGCATTTATATACACCAGAAGCAAATACCTAGAAAACAAAAATAAAGAGAAGAAAAAATTTTCAATAATTTAAATACAGCAGTATTTACAAGAATACAAGAATAATATATCATAAGATATAAAAAATCTCTACAGGTAAATTATAAAACTTTTAGAGCTATTAAAAATAACTGTAAAATGCAGAGAAACCATATTTATAAGGAGAAAAACTTTATATTATAGAAAAATCAATTTTCCCTAAGTGGAACTCCAGATTTAATAAAATTTCAATAGAAATTTCTGTTTTTTTAATGCAACTTGTTCAGATTGTTATAAAATTTATATAAAAGAACAAAACGAGCTAATAAATACCCTGAACTAATCTGAATAAGTGAAGGATGGGTAATTTGTCCTACTAAATACTTTAAATCTGTAATAATCTAAATAGTATGTTACAGCATCAGGGATAGAAAATATAGCTTATCTGATAAATAAAGGTGCTAAAAAGTACCCAAACATTAATGGAACATTGTTATATGACAGAGATAGCATGCCAGATGGCTGGGTGAAGTTGAAATTATTTAATAAATAGATAAGTTGAAATTATTAAATAGACATTAAGAAACATGGTTAGCCAAGTGAATAAAGACAAAATTAAATCTCTACCTCATAGAATATAAAAATAGATTCCAAAAGCATTAAGGACTTAAGCTTCTTAGTAGAAAATATAAGTAAATACCTTTTAGACTTTAGAGTGAGAAAAGTTTCTTAAATAAGTACAAAACACATTGACTATGAGAAAAAAATGATACATTTAGATTAAAACTAACATTAGTTAATCAAAACAATAGATCAAATTGGGAGGCGATATGTGTATTACAGACAAGTGCCAAAGCATTGGTATGGATAATAAAGTGCTTCCATAGGTCAATAAGAAAAGCAAAGTAAAAATTAAACAGAAAATTGTTGAAAGTTATAACTGGCATCAGGCGCGGTGGCTCACGCCTGTAATCCCAGCACTTTGGGAGGCCAAGACGGGCGGATCCTGAGGTGCCAAGCATGGTGGCGGGCGCCTGTAATCCCCGCTACTCGGGAGGCTGAGGCAGGAGAATCACTTGAATCCAGGAGGTGGAGGTTGCAGTGAGCCAAGACCGTGCCATTGCACTCCAGCCTGGGCAACAGAGCCAGACTCCGTCTCAAAAAAGAAAAGAAAAGAAAAGAAAATTATAAATGGTAATTTCAAAAATAAAATCCATGAATGGCAATAAGCATATAATGAAATATTTAAAATTATTAATGGTTGCAAAAATAAAAATCAAAATTGCTGAGATACCGCTTACATTCATTTGTTTAAAAATAAAAAGAAGGGACCTATAATCCCAGTACTTTGGGAGGCCGAGGCAAGCAGATCACTTGAGGTCGGGAGGTGGAGACCAGCCTGACCAACATGGAGAAACGCCGTCTCTACTAAAAATACAAAATTATCTGGGCGTGATGGAGCATGCCTGTAATCCCAGCTACTAGGGAGGCTGAGGCAGGAGAATCGCTTGCACCCGGGAGGCAGAGGTTGCAGGGAGGAGGAGGTTGCAGTGAGCCGAGATCGCGCCATTGCACTGCATTCTGGGCAACAAGAGGAAAACTCCGTCTCAAAAAATAAAAAATAAAAATAAGGAATTAGACAATAATTAAGTATTGAAATGGACGTACAACCGGAGGATATCTTACATATTGTTGAAGGAAATGCAAATTGGTGCATTCACTTAGAAAACCAGTTTGGCATTTTTTCCTAAACTGGAACATTCTATGCCTTGTGGTACAGAAATTTCATCCCTAAATATAAAATCAATATACTGCAATACGGTTTAAAATAAAGTAAAAATATACTTCTTCAGAGAGTATCTAAATGACATAAGAAATTACAAAGGAATGACAAACATAGAATCAGAAAAAAAAGTTTGTTTAGACTGAGGTAGGTAGGGAAATGAAATATAGAATAAATTTTAAAATTATTTTTAAAAAGAGAGAAATACTTTACATTGCCTGACATTTCATCCTCTGCGAGTATGCCTTAGAGAGAACAAGACATTGGAGATTAAAAAAAAGGGGGATTCTCTCATGGATATTGTTCCCCAAGAACCTCCCATGATGTGAGAATCCAGCCAAACTGAATGTGATTGTAGTGTATAAAAATTAGTAATTAGTAGCTTCGTATGCTGTGGCACCTTAGCTCAAAACAAGCACCTTTTCTGAAACTTATCTGGAGAGCCAGACTCTAGTCACTCCCTACCCACCCCCACCACCAAACCCGCGGTTCCCCTCCTGTGGTCCCTGGTTTGTTAGGAACCAGGCTGCACACCAGGAGAGCGACCGGCCAGCATTATCCCCTGAGCTCCACCTCCTGTCAGACCAGAAGCGGCATTAGATTCTCAAAAGAGCATGAACCCTATTGTGAACCGTGCATACAAAGGATCTAGGTTGTGTGCTCCCTATGAGAATCTAATGCTTGATAATCTGAGGTGGAACAGTTTCATCCCAAAACTACCCCCACAACCCTATCTGTGGAAAAATGGTCTTCCGTGAAACCGGTCCCTGGTGCCAAAAAGGCTGGGGACCACTGCTCTAGAGGAAGCACTGAACTTATTGAGTGATGGCATCTCATCCAACAGGACACTTTCCTAAGATATATTTGGTGGTAATATCACTACTCAAAGTTTTCTTATTAAATTATTAACAATTATGTTCACATTATATTCTAACTTTGTGTAAATTAACAATTTTGCATTAAACCTTTCCAGTTTTCTTTACCAAAAAGTATTAAAAACTTGAAGTGAATTATAATTTTATTTATAATAAGCAATTTCTGTAAGTGATTTTTACATATCTGAGTTTTTTACATATGAGTACTGTACACATAGTAGGCACTCAAGACATTCTTGTTGAGAAAAGGAGTAAATAAATGAGAAGGCTAATTTACATACTGATTAAGATTATAAGAACCCAAGACCTGGGTTTGGGTCCTCCTTCCTCTTTTACTAGCATTGTGAATCTGTAAATTTTAGTCTTTTTTATTTGCTGAGTAAAAAAGTGGTTTATAATAGCAATCACCACCGAGGGCTGTCATGATGATGAAATGACACCATGTATGTAAAGTGCTTAACAGTGTGCCTGGCACATGTAAAATGCTCAATAAATTTAAGTTATTACTTTCACCATCATCATTTTATATATATATATATAGAGAGAGAGAGAGAGAGAGAGAGAGAGAGAGAGAGGATGCTCACCTAATCAGACTTTCTCACTACTTGATGATACCTAATTAAGAGAATTTACTGTAATAACTAAAGCTCAGTAAATTTATTGCATTCTTGAAGCCATAAAGACCGAAATGTTACATTAAAACTTTATTATGCACTGAAAGATTTCATCATAGCAATGATCTTTATGTTCCAGAAAAGGTCATATAAACCACACCTTTGATTTTTCTTTTCTAAGCAGGGAATGTTGAATGTAGAATAAATGTTCAGTTTATCCCTTCCTTTCTTCACAAAAAATTAGCCAACTCTTCTAATGAATTGAACAGTGCTAGACCTTTCCAAAATCCTCTCCTTATTGCAAACTTGTTTCAAGTACTTTCTAAAAGCTCCTGATTAGCCTTAGAAGAAGGAAACATACATACAGCATCCTGAATAATAGTGCCAGTTATTGCAACATGGAAATTTTTTTCCTCAGGTTCAGTGTTAAGCAAGAACCAATGTGAAATGTTTGATAGAAAGGGCAGTTCTAGAGTGGCATGATGGCTCCATTCTCTGGTTTACTAAACAAATGACATGTGTGGTGGCTAATGAAGCCATGAGCATCCCTAGCCCTTGCCTCAATGTTTTCCTCTAGACAACCTGCCAAATGGGGCCAGTGTTAAACACTGAAGGTCATAATGCTGTCTACTAAACAATTCTGATTTTTAATATCCTGTAGTTTATTTGAAATTTCCAAAGAAACATATAAACTCAAGCCAGCGTAATTTAACAAGTGATAAGAGTGACAGGAGATAAAATCAGAGGAATGGTCAAGAGCATCATCAGGTAGGGCAGGCTGATAAAAAGATTAAATGATTTTTTAATCCATAGATTATTTTTGAAAAAATAAGATAAAATATATATATTATATACCATGAAACACACAGATGTTAGGCATTCTGTTTGATGATCTTAACAGACATCTACACCCATATGCTAACGATCCCAATGAAGATACAGAACATTTTCTTCACTCCAAAATGTTCCCTCATGCCTTTGTTCAAGAATACTCATGCCTATAGAAATAATTGCTTTGACTTCTATCACCATTAATTAGTTTTGTCTGTTTTTGAGCTCCGTACAAATGGAATCATACATTGTTAACAGGCTGTACTATTTTGTATCTTGCTTCTTTCTCTCAACCTACTGCTTTGAAGATTTATTCCTATTGTTGTATGCATCAAAAATTTTCTTCTTAGTATTACTTAGTATTATTTCATGGTATGAAGGCATCATGAATTGTTTACCCTATCTCCTGTTGAAGGACATTTGGATTGTTTCCAGTTTAATGTTGATATGAATAATACTGCCAGAAATATTATTGTAAAAGTGTCTGTGAGGACATATGTTTCTATTTCCCTTGGATAAATATTAAAAAGTGAAATTTCTAGGTATCAGGGTGATGTAGAATTACATTTAATCCCAGCTACTCGGGAGGCTGAGGCAAAGAACTGCTTGAACCCGGGAGGCAGAGGTTGCAGTGAGCCGAGATAGCGCTACTGCACTCCAGCCTGGGCAACAGAGCAATACTCTGTCTCAAAAAAAAAAAAGGTTCATTTTTCAAAGTGGTTGTTCCATTTTGTACTCCCACCAAAAATGTATGAGAGTTTCTTATTAACATTTTATTTTGTCTTACTAATAATTTTATTTGTCCATCATCTTTTTAATTTTAGTCATTCTAGTGGATTTGAAGTAGTATTTCATTGTGCTTTTTAATTTTCATTCCTTGAATATTAATAATAATAATTGTATTTGAGTACACTTATTAAACATATAAAATAACTTTTCAAGATTTTTTCCATTTTTATTGGGTTATTTGTTGTTCATCATTAATATGTAGTTCTTTGTATATTCTAGACGCATGTTCTTTGTTATATAATGTACTCTGTTTTGTAAGCAGCTTTATTGAGGTATAATTGGCAAACAATAAACTGTACATATTTGCTACATAGAAGTTGATATGTTTGAAGCATGTATGCACTCATGAAACCTTAATGACAAGATAATGAATACATCCTTCACCAAAATATGTCCCTCATGAATTTCACTCAATTCCCAGGCAATCACTACTGATTTGCTTTCAGTCACTACCAGATTAGTTTAATTTTTAACAACTTTATGTACCTGGAATCATACAGTATATTATATTTTGTGTCTGGATTATATTACCAAATATAATTAGATATTCACATATAATATTATATATATCATTTGTTCCTTTCTTTTTATTGGTGAGTAGAATTTCATTACATTAATATACCACAAAGTGTTTATCTATTCATATGTTGATGGACATTAGGTTATTCTTAGGTTTCTGCTATTACAAATAAAGCCCATTCTGCCTCAGCCTCCTGACTAGCTGGGACTACAGGCGCCTGCCACCACGCCTGGCTAATTTTTTGTTTCTTTAACTTTTAAGTTCATGTTTGTTATACGAGTGAACTCATGCCATGAGGGGTTTGTTGTAGAGATTATGTCATCAACCAGGTGTTACACCTAGTACCCATTAGTTATTTTTCCTGATCCTCTCCCTCCTCTTGCCATCCATCCTCAGGTAGGCCCCAATTACTGTTGCTTCTTTCTATGTGTCCATGAGTTCTCATTATTTAGCTTCCCCTTATACGTCAGAACACACAGTATTTGGTTTTCTGTTCCCGCATTAGTTTGCTAAAGATGATGGCCTCCAGCTCCACAAATGCTCCTGCAAAGGACATGATCTCTTTCCTCTTTCTGGCTGCATAGTATTCCATGGTTACATATCACATTTTCTTTATCCAGTCTACCATTGATGGGTATTTGGGTTCATTCCATGTCTGTGCTATTGTGAATAGTGCTGCAAAGAACATACACATGGATGTCTCTTTACAATAGAACAATTTATATTCCTTTGGGTATATATCCACTAATGGGATAGCTGCTTTTAGCTCTTTGAGGAATCGCTATACTACCTTCCATATGGTTGAACTAATTTAAACTCTCATCAACAGTGTATAAATGTTCCTTTTTCTCCACAAACTCATCAGCATCTGTTCTTTTTTTTGACTTTTTAGTAATAGCAATTTTGAATGGTGTGAGATGGTATCCCATTGCAGTTTTGATTTGCATTTCTCTAATGATTAGTAATAATGAGCTTTTTTTCATATGCTTGTTGGATGTAAGTATGTCCTCTTCTGAAAATTGTTTGTTCATATCCTTTGCCCACTTTTCAAAGTGGTTGTTTGTTTCTTGTAAATTTGTTTAAGTTCCTTCTAGATGCTGGATGTTAGACCTTTCTCAGATGCATGGTTTGAAAACATTTTCTCCCATCCTGTAGATTGTCTGTTTACTCTGTTGATAGTTTATTTAGCTGTGCAGAAGCCCTGGAGTTTAATTAGCTCACATTTGTCAATTTTTGTTTTTGTTGCAATTGCTTTTGGCATTTTCATCATAAAATTGCCCATTCTTATATCCAGAATGGTATTGCCTAGGTTTGTTTCCAGGGTTTTTATAGTTTTAGGTTCTACATTTAAGTCTTTAATCCATCTTGAGTTAATTTTTTATATGGCATAAGAAAGGGGTCCAGTTTCAATCTTCTGGATATGGCTAGCCAGTTATCTCAGCACCATTTATTCAAGAGGGAATCCTTCCCCCTTTGCTTGTTTTTGTCAGCTTTGTCAAAGATCAGATGGTTGTAGGTGTGCAGCCTTATTTCTGGGCTCCCTATTCTGTTCCATAGGACTATGTGTCTGTTTTTGTATGAGTAACATACTGTTTTGGTTACTGTAGCCCTATATCAAAGATTGAAGTTGGGTAGCATGATGCCCCCGGCTTTGTTCTTTTTTCTTAGGATTGTCTTGGCTATTCGGGCTCTCTTTTGGTTCTATATGAATTTTAAAATGTTTTTTTTCTGTGAAGAATCTCAATGGTAGTTTAATAGGAATAGCACTGAATCTACAAGTTGTTTTGGGTAGTATGGTTATTTTAACAATATTGATTCTTTCTATTTATGAGCATGGAATATTCTTCCATTTATTTGTGTCACCTCTAATTTCTTTGAGCAGTGGCTTATAGTTTCCTTGTAGAGATCTTTCACCTCCCTAGTTAGCTGTATTCCTAGGTATTTTATTCTTTTTGTGGCAATTGCAAATGGGAGTTTGTTCCTGATTTGGCTCTTGGCTTGACTGTTGTTGGTATATAGGAATGCTAATGATTTTTGTGCATAGATTTTGTATCCTGAGATTTGCTGAAGTTGTTTATCAGCTGAAGGAGCATTTAGGTTGAGACAATGGGGTTTTCTAGACATAGGATCATGTCACTGGCAAACAAGGATAGTTTGAATTCCTTTTTTCCTATTTGGATGGCTTATTTTTCTTTCTCTTGCCTGATTGCCCTGGCCAGGACTTCCTATCACATATTGAATAGGAGTGGTGAGAGAGGGCATCTTTGTCTTGTGCCAGTTTTCAAAGGGAATGCTTCTAGCTTTTACTCATTCAGTATAATGTTGGCTGTGTGTTTGTCGTACATGGTTCTTATTATTTTGAGGCATATTTCTTCAATACCTAGTTTATTGAGAGTTTTTGACATGAAGAATGTTGAATTTTATCAAAAGTTTTTTTCTGCATCTATTGAGGTAATCACGTGGTTTTTGTCTTTAGTTCTGTTTATGTGAAGAATCACATTTATTGATTTGCATATGTTGAACCAACTTTGCATTCCAGGGATGAAGCCTACTTGATCGTGGTGGGTAAGCATTTTGATTTGCTGCTGGATTCAGTTTCCCAGTATTTTATTGAGGATTTTTGCATCAATGTTCACCAAGGATATTGGGATGAAGTTTTCTTTTTTTTGTTATATCTCTGCCAGGTTTCAGTAACAGGGTGATACTGACCTTGTGGAATGAGTTAGGGAGGAGTCCCTCCTTTTCAATTTTTTGGAATAGTTTCAGTAGGAATGGTACCAGTTCTTCTTTGTACATCTGGTAGGATTCAGCTGTGAATCCAGCTGGTCCTGAGCTTTTTTTTGGTTGGAAGGCTATTTATTACTGCTGCAACTTCAGAGCCTGTTATTGGTCTGTTCAGGGATTCAATTTCTTCCTAGTTCAGTCTTGGGAGGGTGTATGTGTCCAGGAATTTATCCATTCCTATTAGGTTTTCTAGCTTATGTGCATAGAGTTTTTCATATTATCTGATGGTTATTTGTATTTTTGTGGGATCATTGGTAATATTTCCTTTGTTGTTTCTAATTGTGTTTATTTGGATCATCTCTCTTTTTTTCTTTGTTAGCACAGACAAGTCATTCTGAAGACATATGCTTAATTTTCTCTTAGGTGACTGCCTGAATGTACAACGACTGGGTCATATATAGTGCTAGGTGTACATTTGATTTTTTAAAGAAACTGCCAAACTCTTTTTCAAAGTGCTTTTACCATTTTATATTCCAACCAGTAGTGAAAGAGAGTTCCAGTCCAACATACTCTTGCTAACACTCTGCATAATCCTTTTAAAATTTTGCCTTTCAAGTGGGCATGCAGTGGTATCTCATTGTGGCCACACATATAATCATACACAAAGTAGGAGAAGGAGACAAGAGAGAATGAAGCAGAAAAAAATATTTTTTAAAAAATTCTAAATTTGATGAAAAGCATTTATCTATTCACACAAAAATCTCAATGAACTCCAACTGGGATAAACACAAAGACATCAACACCTAGACACATCATAATCAAACTGATGAAAGACAAAGATGAACAGAAAATTTTTAAAGCAGTGAATGAAAAACAAATCATAATGTGGAGGGAAACAATATAATTAATACCTAACAACTCATCTAAAGCATGGAGGCCATAAGGCATTGAATTGATACGTTCAAAGTGCTAAAATAAAAAAAAATCTGATTGCCAGGGGTTTTATTCAGAAAAAACCATCTTTGAAACATAATGACATTCCAGAATAAACAAAATTTTCAGAATCCATTGCTAGAAAGGATAGAGGCAGGAGTTTGACTCTTACAGTCTGATTTCACAGCCCATGTCCTTGGTTCTTAGCGCACATTGGTTCTCACTGAGCATTCAATGCCTAATGGTTTTCCCTCAGGGATGAAGTAAACTATCTGACTGTAACTTCTTCAAGTATAGCATTGGAACATAAAAGCCTAATCTTCTCATACTTCTAAAAGATGCTGTGAGCACTTCGCTTTCAAACATGTTTTTTAAGACTCTTCCTCCAAACCCAAACTCAAGCAAATACTTTTAAAACCAGCTGCTTTACATTAGACTGAAGATCCATTGAGCTCTCTGGAAACTGTCTTATGTAATGACCTGTGTTTTTTTAATTAGATCTCAGTTGGGTCACCTATCATTGGAGATTACATAAAATTATTTCAAATACTCTATTCCATATTTTTGTGGAAAGTAAAATGTTCTTCTCATGATATCTGTGAATTTCAGGAGGTTTAAATTCTTAAAACTTTTTCTTGCACTGATGTACTACTGCTTTTGACTTATTTATTTATTCCTATCCACAATGTGTGGCTGTTTTCTTCGCTTGCTACACAGGCCATAGAGCATGAGTATAGGTTTCCCAGGTCTCCACACACCACCAAGGTACACTATTCATTTGTGCATGGCAGGTTTTAATAAAGGTGTGGTATAATAGAAGAGAAATGGTATTTGTGCACTTAAAAATATTTTAGCCATAGCCAACAGGGTTCTGGAGTTATGCACAACAATCTCTGTTCCACAGTCAAGTTGTTAATCATCTCCCTTTCATTTTTCTTGTATTTTCAAAGCTCATCTCCTTTATTACTAGTGTCTTCTTAATTGTGAACAGTGAGAGTATCATTCTGTTTTGCTGTCTCCTTTCAAAGCATGTGCTTGTGTCTGCTTATTCAGGTATTCTCTCAAAGGCCCATATTGTGTAGAAAGAAACAATGCCATTTCCAAGGAGTCAGAAGCAGCAGCTATTATTTGTGATTTTAAAATAGCAATTATTGATGCTACACTTTAAAATGTGGTGCATTTCACTTCCTGTCCATTTGTTATATGCAATAGACAAATATCTTTATATTTGTCATTATTTTTATGTGACCTCCTAGCTTTCATCAGAGTAAGCGTATTTTAGAAAACATGTTTCTGTGGCCAGGTTATGTACCAGGTGCTGGAACATCTAGGTTCATGGCCAGTTAGTATTGCCACTTAAACTGAGTTTCATACCTGTGACCTACAGATAGCAATGGTTCAAAGAAAGTTTGTTTTGTTTCTCAAACATGCAAACTAATGTGATTTATTGAATATGTATTTTAAACATTAAAATGTCATCTAGGTATTAAGTATTGCTATATTTTCCATTCATTCTTTTATTTTAAAATATTTAATGAGTGCATGTAATGCTGCAGTGACCTTATCGGTACTGGGAATGAATACAAAGAAAAGTTCTTACCCTCATGGGCCTTATATTTCTCACATGTTTAGGAGAAAGTTTTTTAGGTAAAATATATGGTTATTATGTTTTCTCCTCTTCTGAGCAAAAACATTGACTACTGAACTTCATTCCTTCTATGAGATTTTATCTAGTCGGTAAATCCTACAGATTTCAGATAAAAGTTGATATAACATTGAAAAAACACCTTATTTAACATTCCAACAATAAGGACATCCACAGAATGCAGGAGACAACAGCACATTGTTTAACTCCACTAGTCCTAGGAAAGAAAGAATGATGACGTGAATTATGTATAGGTTTTTGTCTCTGAGATTTTCCCTTCAAATGTATTCCTTTTAAAGACATTCCATTTATTAATGATCATAGAAATGGAAATTTCAAAGCAGGGAACTAAGATTGTAAAACTGAGAGATACAAATTGCCTTATAACGAATCAGAACCAAATCTTTAAGCCAAAAGATATAAACACTATCTTTATGACTTATATTCCCACGAAATGCCAGCACTACATATTTATTACATTGGGACTTCAAAATTACAGCTTGTGCTAACTTCCCAAATGATCCCAGAAAATCTTCATTCCAGTTTACATTAAGAAAGGATAGTTTATGAATGAGAAGCCAGAGAATATGATTCTGTTCAACCTATGGCACTGATGCTATTATCTCTCACATAAATCAGATGACAGCTTCTTCATTAGCAACCACGGAGTCAATATTTAAAGCTCTTTAATTCTTAGGCCCATGGAGATAACACTAGCCTTCCTATGATCCTTATGATAGTGGAAATAAGATACACATAATTCAGTTGCCACTGCAAGAACCATTAGCAACTAGGCAAATTGTGACATTTGGACTGTTGTTGAAGATAGAAAAGTAAATTCTTCGTGCTTTGGCTTGAGAAAAACTGAATGCAGCAAAGGAAATGAAAACAGAGAAAAAAATAAACATTGCCTATGAAATTAGGAGAAAGCCACACTTCCAAACCATAATCTGTGAAACACTGTTGTCAAAGGGAATTAAAGATAAATAAAGTTAGAGAAGAGCAATCACATGCATCTGCAGATAAAAATCAATATGCAGAATTCTCCAAGAGGTGAAAGCACAATTTAAATATCTGAGTCGTGATTCCTTCCTTGTAACAATAATATCTAAATGTGCCAACAAAATGTAATTCAGGTTACCCTTTATAAGAGGTAAGCAAGTCAGGTCTTAAAAACAACACATGCACACACACACACATACCCCCTCACTGCAATGATCAGACTGTTAGTAAAGTCATATGGTGAGTAAATGGGAAATGGCAATTAGCTCTGCAGCTGAAATTGGTCCACTGAGAAGAAGCAAACATTAAAACACTCCACAAAGTGCCTGTGGTATTCAAGGCTTCCCTGGAAGCCAGGCACACCTCCTGCTGGATCATGGAAGACCATTTTCCCAGAGTGGGGTGTTAATGAAATAGGCTAACTTCTATTAAACCAAAACTTTCTACCTCATGGAATTGAGTACCAGTTGTTCACAGAAACAACCCACCCACTAACACACCCACTCCCTGGAATACAGCCTTATGGATTCAGTCCTGGTAAAATACCACAGCCAAGAGATGTGTGCTTCCTGATTCTGGGCTCACCATTCTTGGATTGAACCAGCAGGCCTCATCTACTGCTTTATGCGTTTGATGTTCTGTTCCAAAGTCAACTTTTAACTACTTCCAAAGTTTCTGTAGCTTCCTGAGGCTGCAGATCCCTCCATCAGAGAACATAGCTCTTTTGGGGGAAAAATTCATAAACAGTATCATTTTGACCACATAATATGAAATTAAATCAGTTTTATTTTCCCATTAACCATTATTGACCACATAATATGAAAATAAATCAGTTTTATTTTCCCCTTAACCCTTTTATCTCATCTATTTACAATGATCTTCATTTCCTCAAGATCCATATTCCCCAATCAAGCTTATTATTCTCTCTGGTTTTCCGCCTTGAACATTGCCCTCATATTTTCCTTTTGGGACCCCCTGCTGGTTTCCTATGGCTGCTGTAACAAATTAACACACATTAATGGCATAAAACAACAGAAATTTATTCTCTCACAGTCCTGGAGGTCAGAGGTCTAAAATCGGTTCCACTGAGTTAAAATCAAGGTGTCATGAGAACCACAAGCCCTCCATAGGCTCTAGAGGAGAATCTTTTCCTTGCCTTTTTCAGCTTCTGATGGTTGCCAACATTCCTTGGTTTGTAGCCACATCACTGCAATATCTGCCTCTGTCTTAAAATAGCCATCTCTGTGTCTGTTTCAAGTCTCCCTCTGCCTCCCTTTTATAAGGATGCATGTGATGGTACTTAGTGTCCACCCAAATAATCCAAGATAATCTCCCTATCTCTAGATTCTTAACTTAATCACATCAGCAAAGACTGTTTTCCTATAACAGTCACAGCTTCTAGGGATTAAGACTTGATACCTTTGGGGCCACCATTCAGTCTACTACAGAGCCTACAGGTCTAAATCTAAGTTCATTGGTCAAATGTCAGGCAAAGTGTTAGTCTTTATCTCTGCTTTAAATCTTATATACTTGATAAATTAACATACTCCAAATTCAATCCAGTATGGTATTCATGGAAGAATTTGCCCATTGTTGAAAAAAATCCTTTCCACCACCAACTCCATGGAAAATTATACCCAGAGATCTAGACTTTCAACAGCCAACATTTTAAACCAGACTTAGTGTGGTCATGCTAGACTTCCTTTTACTTCACATCATGTGCCCTAAGCCTTCACTTAGATTTTTGACTCTATAAATGTCCTGGTCATGCTTATCTACCTAAAGTAACTACTATAATAAAATACATTGTATAAAGCAGCATCTATTCTTAATTAATCTTCTTGGCCTTCTCTTTTAACTCTGTTAAAATTGTGTGCTGACACTACTTACAGCTATATGTAAACTGTCTTTAAGGGATTTTTTCCAATAGCTCATGTCAGTGACTTCCTATTTAAATCTTTATGGTGCTGGCTTTCAAAGGTTTCTTGAACCTGATTTCTTTTGGTGGTAACAATTTAATAGATTCTGGATACAAGTTTAACTTTTGCAATATGTTCTCTTTTTTCTTTTTAATAAGGAATAAATTTGATCTCTAAGACCTTAAGTCCCCTCTTAGTCATCTCCTTTTCTACTTTTGTCACCAGGTAATCCTCCAGTTTGCTCTTGTATCTCTCTGAAGTTAAACTGCCCCCTGACACTAGTTCTTAATTCATGTTAAATACCGTCCTGTTGCCAAACATCTTAGTATCTTGCTAATCAAAGTGTCATCTTTGGGTTGACAAACTTAGTATAACATGGGCATCTGCTAGAAATGAAAAATTTCAGATCTATTGAATTAGATCTACTGAATTAGGACCTGAATCTCAGCAAGATCTCCAGGTGATCTCAATAAAATTTACATTAAAGTCTAAAAAGTGCTTTCCTAACCAACACAATTCTAATGTCACATTTAAATGGACAATCTATAAGTTTAATAATTGTTTTTCTATTTACATTTGTAATAATTTCATTCGGATTTTTTTTTTCTCCATCTCAGTCCAGTTGGCAGTCACCAATTACACCAATCCCCAAATTATTTATCTTAATTTAAGGAAGAAAGACAATAATGGGGTAAAGATACTAGTAGTTTCCTTCTAATACTCCAGAGATTGGGAGGAAAATGATTTTGAAGGATTCCAACTTTCATATTGAATAAGTAAATTAATATAAAATCTATAGCAGATGATGGATTTGTAATAAAAATATGTAAGTACATTAAAAACCAGCTACTTATTGAGACACCATGAACATATACAGCAAATGTCAGTTTAGTAACATATTCACTCATTGTTTTCTCATATTCTTAAATGACTACATCACTGTATCTTCTGTTTTAGTTATTAGCTCCAAAGTATTTTTAAAATAAATTACCAAAGCTTGATTAATAAATGGATATAATTCTCAGTTGCATTAAAATATTGTCTGGGACTTTTCTTTAAAAATGTCTCCAAGGACTTTGTTTACAAATAGACTATAAGAGTCTGTCATCAGTAGAACATTACAAACCATCTTATTCTCAAATAAGTGAACAAGAAAACAAACTCTATATTATTATAACATTTGAGAGAAAGCACCTGTGGTTTGTACCTGATCTTATCTTTTCCCATGCTGTTTAAGTCAACATCAGTTGCTCTAAACAGAATAGAGATGGGAAAAGAGATGGAAACTGCAAGCATTTTTAGAGACCCCACTGAGATTATAATGTTTTATTTCTTCTCCATGCAAAAACTTTGTATGTTCCAGTAGCATTTTTAGTCAGAGTTGGTGAGTCTGAATCAGAAAAAAAAGAGTTGAAAAGAGTTGAAAATATTCTGCAAGACTTGCTTGTAACTCATAAATAATGGGCTAACCATTAACACCTATAAGCATATGTTTGATTTTTTTAAATGGTGACTAAGGCTGAGAAGTTAATCCCACTTTTCTATCTTTATCTTATTTTAAAATTATTTTTACTCCTACATAGTAGGAGGTGAAGTTTTCATGTGACCATCTAGTATTAAATCCTTTAAAAATACACTTTACATTATTTATATTCTATAGAAATAATTTCTAACATTGAGTGTTTACTGTGGGCCAAACACCTTTTAATATATTCTCCTTATAACTTTATGAGTTGTAGGTTATGTCACCGACTTTCTTTTATAAATGATGGAACTGAAGGAGAGAGATTATATCACTTGACAGTAAGTGACTAAGTGGAATTCAATCTCAGGCAGTATAACATATGCTAATTATTTAAAATAAACTCAAATAAAACAGAAGAGTGTAGTAAACAAAAGATCTTCTTAAATTATTTGAAGCAATAAGTCTCCCAGCATTTTCTGAGGGGATGTATGTGTGGGTTAGGGCATGACTTCAGTGTTCTGGCAGGCAGTCAGTAACTCTGCCTTAGCCTTCATGTCCTGTTTATGCAGAGTCTCAAAATCAAAGGTGAGAGGAGAGATAAGGTCTTCTCAGGCCTTTCCTAGGCATGTACACAGTCCTACACATGTGCATAACCTTCTGCATTCTCCGAAATATGTTACAAGTTCCTACAGACTTCTTACTCCCCAGGGTTTTTTTTAAGTTTTTGTTTGTTTGTTTGTTTGTATTTTTAAATTTGTCCAGCATCCTGTTAGCTGTAATGGGTAAACTGTGTCAGGCAGCTGTGATGCTACAGAATGACCACTGACTTTTTTGAGAAATGTCCTGGTGATAGGGCTTTTGCATGGAGTGAGCTCTTAGGTCAAATCAAGACATGAAGAGAATCCCAGAGAACAAAACAACTCAGGTAGCTTCCAGGTAGGTAAAATGCTCATAATTTTCTGAGGATGGGACTTTTGTAAAGTTGTATTCCAGTTCTGCCTCCTAGAGTGGTAGCTAGACTGATGGTTTTCATAGCTATAAGAGTTGCAAGGCTGTTGGTTTTTTAGGCTACCTCAGAGCTGGAAAAGGGGGATGGGAATAAGGAAAGTTAAAATGCTACAAAACTTGCTGTTCTTACCATTCTCAAACTGATTGATCTTTAGGTAGTCACCAAGTTTTCAGCATATTGCTATCTGAACTATTCTCATAGTTTTATCTTGGTACATGCTCTGTCAGATAGTTGGTAAAGTTATTGAGTCAAAATTTTTTACATACTAGCTATTGAAAAATACTACTAATTACCTTCTAAATGTGTCCCCTCATCCTTGAATGTCAACTTTACCAGTAATTATTATATTGCCCTTATTTTTACTTGAATGAAAATTTTATGAGCCAATCATTGAGTACATAAACAAAGGTAAACACCTCATGATAATGGACTAGACCCCTAAGAAAAACTGTGTTGTGAGAAATAACATTTAAAATAACATAATTCAATGATCCTGTGTTTACATTTTGAGCACTTTTTTATCACTCTGATTTTTTAAAGTATATATATATGTATATATATAAATACACATATATATATATACATATATATGACTTTTAGAGTTTCTACTTTCAAAAATAAATTTGTTAAAGCTTAGGTAATTAGCTACTCAAAAAAAACAAGCTGATGCATTCCAACTAGTAAGGCTGATAGAAGTATGGAAATGGTTCTTAAGAGTTTCACCTTTGGATTCAAATATGGCAAACTCCTTAGATTTGAAACCTACCTCAATCACTGCTAGTTGTACAGCAGAAAGCATGTATGGTACTTAACCTCTTTATTTCTCTGTGCGTTCAATGTCAGTAGGGATGATTATAGTGACAAACTCATAGGGTTGATCTGATAAGAACAGAATATATGCAAAGTAATTAGAATAGCGCCTGCCCTATAGTAAACATAAAATAAATGTTCATTTTACTGTTGTTACATGTAACTCCTATGGTATTTGCATTGAAATCACTTTATACCAATAAACTAGATAAGGGATCAACAGACTATATGTTCTGTGGGGAAAATCTGGTCCCAAGCCTGCTTTTGTAAATAAAATTTATTTGGAATATAGCCATTTCCATATGTTTATGAATTGTCTATGACTGCTTTTGTGCTATAAGGTAACTATTAAACAGTTGCAAAAGAGATTAGGCAAATATCAAAGCCTAAAATATTTGCCATCTGGCCTTTAACAAAAAAGTTGCTAATCCTTCAATTATATCACCCAGTAGAATCATAGAAATCATATTGCTGGACTCTGAGCTTCCATTGGGTACTTGTGAGATAAAGGAGCATGGCCAGGAGGGCCAGTATACATTCTTCATTGGAAGTCTTAACATGGCAATACCATCAAGGTGGGGTCCTCAATTCTGAAAACTCATGAGCTTGATTTTTATATGGCATTCAGAATATTCTGAATGATATATTGGGAATAATCACACCAAGTTCTCAAGAGACTGATAATTAAAACAGAATATGAGGAAATTAATTTGTAATAAATATTGGCTAAGTAAAGCAGGTTCTGTTCTTTCTTATATAGCAGCTTACTTGGGAAGATTAACAAAATTAATACAAAAAGTATGAAGAACCCAGAAACCAGGGAAGAAGCTGGAAAAAGTTTTCAAAGATATAACTCTGAACTAAGCAAGTTTTTTTCTCAATCTTTACATTGAGTGGTTATTAATCTTAAGACTGTTAAAGAGGAAAAAATGAAAACTAAAAATCTAAAACAAATACTAGTAAATTGAACAAAACAGTATGCTAAAATAAGAGTTGACCAAGATTAGATACTTCCTTTCCAGGGAATCAAGAAATGTTGAATATTCAGAAAGCTATTTAAGGCACATGACTATATCAAAGAAGAAAATTACAGTTATCTTAATAGATGTCAAAAATGTTTAACAAAATTAACAAAATAGATAGACCGCTAGCCAGACTAGTAAGAACAGAGAGAAGGATCAAACAGACATAATGAAAAAAATGATAAAGGGGATATCATCACTGATCCCAAAGAAATAGAAACTACCATAAGAGAATACTATAAACACCTCTACACAAATACCTAGAAAATCTAGAAGAAACGCGTAAATTCATGGACACATACACCTTCCCAAGAATAAACCAGGAAGAAGTCGAATCTGAATAGACCAATAACAAATCCTGAAATTGAGGCAGTAATTAATAGCCTACTGAACAACAACAACAAAAAGCCCAGGACCAGATGGATTCACAGTGGAATTCTATCAGAGGTACAAAGTGGAGCTGGTATTATTCCTTCTGAAACTATTCTAAACCATTGAAAAAGAGGAACTCCTCCCTAACTCATTTTATGAGGCCAGCATCACCCTGATACCAAAACCTGGCAGAGACACAACAAAAAAGGAAAACTTTAGGCCAGTATCCTTGATGAACATCGATGTAAAAATCCTCAATAAAATACTGGCAAGCCAAATCCAGTAGCACATCAAAAAACTTATCCACCATGATCAACTCAGCTTCATCCCTGGGATGCAAGGCTGGTTCAACATACACAAATCAACAAACATAATCCATCACAGAAACAGAAACAAAAACAAAAACCACATGATTATCTCAATAGATGCAGAGAAGGCCTTTGATAAAATTCAACATCACTTCATGTTAAAAACTCTCAATAAACTAGGTATCAATGGAATATATCTCCAAATAATAAGAGCTATTTATGACAAACATACAGCCAATATCATATTGAATGGGCATAAACTGGAAGCGTTCCTTTTGAAAACCAGTTCAAGACAAGGATGACCTCTCTCACCACTCCTATTCAATATAGTATTGGAAGTTCTGGTCAGGGCAATCAGGCAAGAGAAAGAAATAAAGGTATTCAGATAGGAAGAAAGGAAATCAAATTGTCTCTGTTTTCTGACGACCTGATTCTATATTTAGAAAACCCCATCGTCTCAGCCCCCAAACTCCTTAAGCTGATAAGCAACTTCAGCAAAGTCTCAGGATACAAAATCAACGTACAAAAATCACAATCATCCTTTTACACCAACAATCGACAAATAGAGAGCCAAATCATGAACGAACTCACATTCACAATTGCTACAAAGAGAATAAAATATCTAGGAATATAGCTAACAAGAAATGTGAAGGACCTCTTTAAGGAGAACCAGAAACCACCGCTCAAGGAAATAAGAGAGGAAACAAACAAATGGCAAAATATTCCATCCTCACAGATAGGAAGAATCAGTATCGTGAAAGTGGCCATATTGCCCAAAGTAATTTATAGAATGCCATTCCCATCAAACTACCATTGACTTTCTTCACAGAATTAGGAAAAACTACTTTAAATTTCATATGGAATCAAAGAAGACTCCGTGTAGCCAAGACAATCCTAAGCTAAAAGAACAAAGCTGGAGGCATCACCCTACTGACCTCAAACTCTACTACAAGGCTACAGTAACCAAAACAGCATGATACTGGTACCAAAACAGACATATAGACCAATGGAACAGAACAGAGACCTCAGAAACAACACCACACATCTACAACCATCTGATCTTTGACAAACCTGACAAAAACAAGAAATGGGGAAAGGATTCCCTATTTAATACACGGTGCTGGGAAAACTGGCTAGCCATATGCAGAAAACTGAAACTGGACCCTTTCCTTACACCTTTTACAAAAATTAACTCAAGATGGATTAAAGACTTAAATGTAAAACCCAACCATAAAAACCCTAGAAGAAAACCTAGGCAATACCATGCAGGACATAGGCATGGGGAAAGACTTCATGAGAGCGCCAAAAGCAATTACAACAAAAGCCAAAATTGACATATGGGATCTAATTAAATTAAAGAGCTTCTGCACAGCAAAAGAAACTGTCATCAGAGTGACCAGGCAGCTTATAAAATGTGAGAAAATGTTTGCAATCTACCCATTTGACAAAGGTCAATATCCAGAATTTACAAGGAAATTAAATTTACAAGAAAAAAAAAACCCCATCAAAAAGTGGGCAAAGGATATGCCTTCTCAAAAGAAGACATTAATGTGACCAACAAACTTTTATTAAAAAAAAGCTCAACATCACTAATGATTAGAGAAATGCAAACCAAAACCACAATGAGATACTGGCAAACTGAATCCATGCCAGGCAGAATGGTAATGATTATAAAGTCAAGAAACAATAGATGCTGGAGAGGCTATGCAGAAATCAGAATCCTTTTACCCTGTTAATGGGGATGTAAATTAGTTCAACCATTGTGGAAGACAGTATTGTGATTCCTCAGGGATCTAGAACCATAAATAACATTTGACCCAGCAATCCCATTACTGGGTTTATACCCGAAAGAATATAAATCATTCTACTGTAAAGGCACATGCATGTGTATGTTTATTGCAGCACTATTTACAATAGCAAAGTCATGGAACTAACCCAAATGCCCATCGATGATAGACTGGATAAAGAAAATGTGGTACATATACACCATGGAATACTATGCAGCCATAAAAATGAATGAGCGTATGTCCTTTGCAGGGGCATGGATGAAGCTGGAAGCCATCATCCTCAGCAAAATAACACAGGAACAGAAAACCAAACACTACATGTTCTCACTCATAAGTGTGAGTTGAACAGTGAGAACACATTAACACACAGAGGGGAACAACACACAGCAGGGCTTCTTGGGGGTTGGGGGCGAGGGGAGAGAACTTAAGAGAATGGGTCAATAAGTGCAGCAAACCACCGTGGCAAACGTATACCTATGTAACACACCTGCATGTTCTGCAAATGTATCCTGGAATTTAGAGCAAAAAAAAAAAAAATTAATATCTTCAACTGAAAAAAGAATTCTTGGTAAAGTTATGAAAAAATAATCTTTCTTAAAAAACATTGCATATTCATATTATGCTTATTAATGGTATACCTACAATTATAATTTTAAATTTCAACAGCAAATTAAGGTTGCACAGTATGTTGAAAATTATTTTGGTATTTAATACAATGCAATAGTTTAAAAAAATTGAATTGCACTGTAAATATGTAAAATAGAAAATATATTTTAATTGCCTACCTAGAGAATCCGGTAGAACCAACTGAAAATACACACACACACACACACACACACACACACACACACACGTGTATATATATATATATACACATACATATATATGTATACGTATTAATATTTTTGTATCATTTATCAGTAGCAAATGGGAGAAAATGGTATTTTTAAAGTTATTTGCAATTAAAAAAATATATAAAGTCTCATGAGTAAACTTTTCAAGACATGTATTTAAGATTACTCTTCTCTACTTTCAGCTACATCCAAGACATTTGTTTGACAGTTACCTCTCTATCTATCAGAACCATGTACAGCCAACAACTATGAGAACTACGTTGGCCTGTACTTCTAGCGGAAGCCCTCTGCAGTCTAGAGCTGGATTCTATTGGGGTCAAGCTGTCTCCTTTCTCAGAGATTCTCAAAACTATATCACTCACTGTTTCAATCATTTACCAAAAGTTTAAACACCTTTATCTATCTTTCAGTTTACTACCAACCTCATTGTCCTCTGTATTTCTTTTCCTCTTAATAAAATTCACCATTTTTCACCTTCCTAACAGCCCTTTCTCCTATCTTCTGTAATTCTATACTTCATCCGAGATTTCCTCTGTCTCCTGCTTCACATATGAAGTCATTGCTTCCCCCGAAGCCCTTTTAGGTAAAGGCTGTGTCGTCTCTCACATCCTACCTACTTCTGTTCCTCCCACCCAGTGCCACTTTAAAATAAAAATGGGAAAAAATCCAAACAAAACAACTTGCTTCTTTGAGCTTATATCATACAATTAAAATTTTAATTTCCTTCCTCATCGCTTTACTTGTTGAACTTCAAATGACTCTTTCTAGTTTACTTAAGATATTGAAAACAAGAGAGCAATCTTCTCCTTTGTTACAACTTGTTAACAAATTATAACTTGTCCTCTAAGATGTTTCCCAAGAGTTTTGGTAGCAGATGTGTTGGGTACTGAACTAGGAGTCAGAAGTTCTCCACCCCTTTCAGGAATTGTTTAAGAGACACCCCATCTTGTAGTGTATAGGATGGGGTTGAAACCTTTTTATGATATTACGTACGGTGTGTCTTTAAAGATGAAGCTCTTAGAATAACATGGATTCGATTAATACATAAAATGGGATGGTGTGTTGAACCAAATGTTCTACAAAAAAAACCTTTAGATTTTAAATTCTGTGATGGAATGAGTTTTCAAAATAATCCAAATTTAGGTTCCATTTTAACTGGATAGAACCCTTATTGAGAAGGTACTTTCAGAAGTACAGAAACATTATTGGGCTGTGATGGTTATTGGGCCCACCTTGCACATGGCAGGATGTAACTATGGAGTTCTGGTTGCCTGGACTAAGCAGGTTTGTTGAAAATGTATACACTTGCAGGTTAAAGCTTTAAAAACCTTTTAAAAATATTTTAGCTGTTTCTTCATGACACTTTGAAAACTATTTTTATCCTTCTTGGATCAAGATGGTTTATAAACAATAAAAAATTAACAAGGACTGTATTATAGCATTTTATAGATAGAAAATTGAAACATAAAGCAGTTAAACTATATATTTATCTGAACTCACTGCATAAGAGAAAACATAAGGAGACAAAGAGGACTTAGGCTCTCTAGCTTCTGAGAATACATCCTAATTCTAAAACCACTCTTTCTTCACAGTGATATTGTAGTTATTATCCATTTTCTTGCATTTGTGATTTTCTGTGACAGTGTTATCCTGATGAAATGGTCACACAAAATATACTACATTACATTGTCAGGTCATCATATAATGTAGTCATTTCATCCTCCTAGTATTTAATGAATATAAAACCTCTCCTTCAATTTCTATTTTATTTCTTATCTCTTTATTTTGGGAGATAAATATATTCAAATACACATGCAGAACTATACAAATACAGAGACACGCACATATGTGTGCATTAATGTATATTTATGTGTCTTTAATGATATACGTGTATTTTTACATATTGTTTGTAGTTACATAAACATATCTAATTTTATAAAGATATATTTGTATACATTATACATGTGTATTTATATGCACCTATTAAACAAACAGAAACATCCTCAAAATGTAGATGCACAGATCAGTGATTTCTCACAGAACAAATGCACATATCTACCAGGTAAACAAAAAGAACATTGGTGGTACCTCAAAAGCCCCTCACCTATACCCCTACCCTCCAACTGTCACTCCGTTCTTCCCTCCAAAGGTCTGCCCAGTTTTTTTTTCACATGGTCCTAGAGAAACACTAACTTGTACATTTCCAAAGTAGAGGATATTCCAGGGGCCATATAGCACAGACTCAGTGAATTTTATATTGTTTGGGAACGATGCGTGGGAAGATGGGAAAATAGCTTTTGTTATTCAGTTCATCAACTGAACATTAAAGCATTGGGGTGATGACAGAAGAACCAATGTCAGCCTGCCCTGGAGTGGCCTGTCACTCAGGCTGTAAATCAGCGTCCTTGGCTCTCACTGGCACACACATGTCTCTCCCCATTCTGACCTAGAAGAGCCTCGTTTCCTCTGTTCTGTCACAGTTCCAGGGCAGGAGGAGAGAACAGTTTCCAACCCAAATTAGCTTGTTTGCAACATTTATGCCCAAATTAAAAACAGGCTGCCTGGCTGACTAAAGAGTTCTCATTTTCTTCTCAAGTTTTGATAGAAAATATGTCCTGAAGGGAAAATAAGCAGGGAAAAAGGATTAGAAAACAAAATCATCTAATGATGAAAACTACCTTTTCCATTATTTAGACAGATGGCACTCAGAATAGATCAGATCTCTAACTACCAGTGAGTAACCACCAATCCTTCCACAGGGTGACAGAGAAGCTACACAGAAAATGTTTTATTCTTGAATCAAGGTAAACAGTTTTAGAACACATTAGAAAGTGTGTAGTTGTATACTCATCATGAAGAAATATGTTATGAGGAATTCTGTTGAGATAATTATGGAAATAAGACTTTTAATGGGTGAAATGGAGAGAATTTAGGATTTTCATAAATCAATATTCAACATAATTCTAATTGACACTATTAATAATAAAGGAGATATCACATATGATATGAGTTGCAACTTTTTAGAAGAAACAGTTATGTTCCTAGGCATAAAGTTCAAATTCCAGATTGAAATTAAATGAGTAGTTATCACATAGGGCAGAACTCCCTAATTTTATAGCCTAATGCCAAGGGAAATTTGGTTTATTATGCCATGTTTTAACCAGTTCTGTCAAGCGGCCATATAAATACATAAGTCTTATAATAAGTTATAATTCAAAAAGCATAGATTTTGTTTGATGAGTAATTACTTTTATCCAGGTTACTAATGGCTAGTAAACAAGGATTTTTTAGGGAAATAATATTTTTCATGAAGTACTTTGAGTTAAGGGTTAATTTCTGGCCATGACTAATATAAGCCTGCCTGAGAAAATGAGCTCAGAGTCCTGTTTCTTTAGAAATTACCAAATGAAGATAACAGTAGAATATGCTATTTGTCTTGCTCTCTGAGAAACCTTTGAGCTGTGGGGCTTCTGGTCTAGGGGAGCTCTGGTTGCCATGCAGACCTTGGGCTCACATGCCTAGATCTGTACCTCTGTGTCATGGTGACCCACACTCACTCTGCCACTCATCTGCGGCAACTGCATTCTCCATGTGGGTGAATGTACACTGTGTGACACTAGTGTTTGCAGTGATGGGTAGAGATCAGATAGCCTCATTAACAATGTGTTTAGAAGCCTGCAGCTTTGTACAGCAGTACATTGTAGGACGAGGCTTATTTTGTTGAGGCCATTGCCAATACTTGATGCAAAATAGGAGAAGCTGTTGCTAATTGGTGAGTGTTGCATAATACAGAGGGAGGGATGGTAAACCAATGACATCAGTTCCCCTACTCCAATTCCCCAAAATTACCTCTTTTAATTTCTCCTTGTGTGCCACTGATTGACTTAGGAAAGAAAAAATCAAGAAAATTTTTCCCTTAAGGAAGGCATTTTTATGTGTTGTGGCTCAGATCCTCTTCTAACACTGCTATTTTTGTTAACATGCAAAACGTAGATTCAATAGATGCAAAGTGAATTGTGTTGACTTTTTTTTATTTTATTTATATTGTCTGTGCATGCGTTTTTTTAAATTTAGTTGTCTAGCATACCTTTTTGTTTATATTTTACCAATGTTTGTACTTTACAAACATATCTGAAGGCCCAATGCAGCTATTTTTAAGGATCAGGTGTGAAATGAAAAGTTTCTAGGCTTGGGTCAAAGGAAAATTCTGATAAGGTTAAAGATGAGGGAGGAAAGCCATCTTGTGGATGCTTTCACTGCATCAGTACAACATGGGGTGTAGATGAAGGTTATTTATACGATGAATGTCACCTATTAATATTAATAGGCTTTAAATAAGTTGGTAGCTTAACCTGTTTTCTTCTATTGTGCATCATTTGTGGCAAATTCAAGTGCAGCAATGGTTCCAGCAAAATTGAAAAGACACCTGCACAATTATATGATAAGAAAAGTTGAGAGTTATATTAAAAGGTGATTACCACTAACAAACAAATGGAGCAAAGCTTTCATTTAAAAAAAAAAGAACATTTAACAAAAGGTTCAGGGCACAAGATTCTTAGTAGCATATCTTATTATTCAGAAAAGGAAAACTCACAATATTGGTGAGAAACTAATAATGTCAACATGACAAATTATAGTGAATAAATCCTTGAACAGGATGTAAAAAATAAATAGAAGAGGATCCTCTCTGTCAGAGTACAGTAAGTTAATGTACAACCAGACTCTGTATTTATGGGTTCCACGTTTGTGGATTCAACCAACCACAGATAAAAAAATATTTTTTTCAAATTGCTCTCATACTGAACATATACAGACATTTTTCTTGTCATGATTCCCTAAACAGTATAGGATAACAATTGTTTACATAGGATTTACTTTGTGTTGGGTATTTTAAGTAATCTAGAGATTATTATAATATATGGAAAAATGTGCAAGGTTATATGCAAATACTACATGACTTATGCATCCTCGAATTTTGATATCCACTGGATGTCCTGGAACCAATCCCCCGAGATAGCGAGGGACAACTGTATTGATGACATGTCACATAATGCCAAAGCTCTTTCATGTAAAAACTCAAAAATCACAGCTTCTGTATTCAGTTATGGTTAGTCAACATATTTTAATGATATGTATTTTGTTGAAGCAATGGTAAGATTGGTAAAGGGTGGTAAAATTGAATAAAACATTTTCTGCCACAAAGAGCTGCCTAAAACAAGAAAAGGCCATGATCTACGTAATGTTTTTACTTCTACCCGGAATTCAGATCTCTCAGAGAGACCGTGCTGCCATCTATTCCTACTGTGCTCCAGCAGTAACTGGTTCAATGGCAATTTTTCTTCTCCTGTAAGAAGAGAAAAGGCTTTGTTTTCACAATACACTGCTTTCTTCACAGGGAAGTGATCATGTCAAAATCTCTTAGAAATGACATTTAAAAATTATGGATGATGCCAGAGAAATGGTCAATGTTATTAAACAAAGGTCAATTCATCTGAGATTTAAGGAAAAAAAATGAGACAACCTAGGCAAAGAGCACATAAATCTCCTGATACATTTCCAAAATCTGGTGATTTAGCAGGGTAAGAGTTTTAACAGCGTGTTTGAGTTGAAGAGTAAATTAAAGATGGTCAGATCAAGTGGCAGAAAATCAGTAAGGACACAGCTGAACCCAACAATGCTATCAATCAGCTGGATATAATGGGCATGTACAGACTACTTCATTCAACAACAGCAGGAATACACATTCTTTTCAGGCTCCCATGGGACGTTCATCAAGCTAGGCCATATTCTGGGCGATAAAACATACCTTATCAAATTTAAAATAATAGAAATGATACAATGTCTGCTTTCAGACCTCTATGGAGTTAACTAGTAATCAATAACAGACAACATAAAAATCATAAAATACATGGAGATTAAACAACACACTTCTAAACAATAAATGGGTCAAGGAAGAAATATCAAAAGAAAAATTAAAATATTTTGAACTAAGTAAAAATGAAAACATGACTTATCAAAATTTGTAGAATGCAGAAAAAGCAGTGCTTAAAGGGAAATTTGTGTCATTGAATGCAGATATTAAAAAGAAGCAATATCTGGCCGGGTATGGTGGCTCATGCCTGTAATCCCAGCACTTTGGAAGGCCAAGGCGGGTGGATCACCTGAGGTCAGGAGTTCAAGATCAGCCTGACCAACATGGTGAAACCCCGTCTCTACTAAAAATACAAAAATCAGCTGGGTATGGTGGTGGGCAACTGTAATTCCAGCTACTTGGGAGGCTGAGGCAGGAGAAACACTTGAACCCAGGAGGTGGAGGTTGCAGTGAGTTGAGATCATGCCACTGCACTCCATCTTGGGAGATGGAGTGAGACTCCGTCTCAAAAAAAAAAAAAAAAGGCAGAAATACCTAAAATTAGTCATGTAAGTGTCCACCTTATAAAACTAGAAAAAGAAGAACAAACTAAATCCAAGGTGAGCAGAAAAAAAAGAAATAATACACATTAGAGAATAAATTAATGAAGTTGAAACCAGGAAATCAATAAATAAAGTTGACAAAACCAAAAATTGGCTCTTTGAAAAGATCAATAAATGTGATAAGTTTCTAGCCAGGCTAACTACTTACTGGCTAGAAACTAAAAGCACAAATTACTAATATCAGAAATGACAGAAGGGACATCACTACATAAGTGAAAGTATCATAAAGGAATAACATTAACAACTTTAGGGCCACAAGTTTGATAACTAAAATGACATGGACAAATTCCTGGAAAGATACAATCTGCAAAAACTCACAGAAGAAGAAATAAATGATCTAAATAGATCTACATTATTAAAGAAATTGAATCAAGAATTAATAATCTTCCAAAACAGAAAATATTAGGCCCAGATAGGTTCGCTGGTGAATTCTACCAAATATTTATGGTAGAAATTATATCAATTCTCTTCAATATTTTTCAGAAAATAAAAACATAGGGAATGCTTCCTCATTTATTCTATGAGGACAGAATTTCGCTAACACCATAACCAGACAAAAATTACAAGAAAACTATAGACAATATCTCTCTTGAACATAGATGCAAAAACTCCTCAAAAACTTTGGCAAATCATATCCAACAATGTATACAAAGAATTGTACACCATAACCAATTAGTGTTTATCCCAGGTAGGTGAGGCTGATTCAACATTCAAAAAGAATTAATGTAATTCATCACATCAATAGGCTAAAGAAGAAAAATTGGCTGGCACCGTAGCTCATGCCTGTAATTCCAGCACTTTGGAAGGCCAAGGCGGCAGATCACGAGGTCAGGAGATCGAGACCATCCTGGCTAACACGGTGAAACCCTGCCTGTACCAAAAATACAAAAATTATCTGGGCGTGGTGGCGGGCACCTGTAGTCCCAGCTACCTGGGAGGCTGAGGCAGGAGAATGGCTTGAATCCAGGAGGCAGAGCTTGCAGTGAGCAGAGATGGTGCCACTGCACTCCAGCCTGGGCGACAGAGAAAGACTCTGTTTCAAAACAAAACAAAACAAAACAAAACAAAACAAAACTATTTGACAAAATTCAACACCCACTCATAATTTTTAAAGAAATCTTAATAAACTAGAAATAGAGGGGAGCTTCCTCAACTTGATAAAGAATATTTTTTAGAAACTGACAGCTAACATATTTAATAGTGAGAAACTAGAAACTGTCTCACCAAGACCACGAACAAGGTAAGGATGTTCCCTCTTACCACACCCTTTCAACATTATACTGGAAGTCCTAGATAATGCAATAAAACAAGGAAAGGAAATAAATGGTATATAGATTTAGAAGGAAGAAATAATCTTTTTTAGCGGATAATATGATTGCATATGTCAAAAATTTGAAAAAATGACAAAAATTCTTCTGGAACAAATAAATGGCTATAACAAGACTGCACAATATATAAGGTTCATTTACTAAAAAAAAAGTTGCTTTTCTACATACCAGCAATGAATAAGTAATATTTGACATTAAAAACACATAAAAGAAAAATTACAAAACTCTGTTGAGAAAAATCAAAGAACCAAATAAATGAAGAACTATTCCATACTCATAGGTAGGAAGACTCAATATTGCCAAGTTGTCCTTACTTTCCAATTTGATCTATAGGTTCAGTACAATCCCAGTCAAAATCACCCGAAGTTATTTTGTGGATATTGAAAAACTAATTCTAAAGTTTATATGGACAGGCAAAAGACCCAGAATGACCAACACAATACTGAAGAATTTGTGTTGGAGAATTGACACTAACTGATTTCAAGACTTACTATAAAGATACTGTAATAAAGACTGGGACATTGTTAAAAGAACAGATAAATATATGAGTGAACGAGAATAGAATAGACCCACGTGAATATCATCGACTAATCTTTGACAAAGAAGAACAAGTGATATGGAGAAAAGATAGTTGTTTTAACAAAATGGAACTGGAAAATTTAGATATTCATGTGCAAAAAAAAAAAAAAATGAATCTAGACACGGATCTTAAACCCTTCACAAAAATTAACTTAAAATGGGTCACAGATCTTTATTAGTAATTTCTGAAAGTTAGAGGCAGCCAAGATGTCCTTCAGTAGGTAACCTAATAAATCAACTGTGATACATCCAGACAATGGAATATTATTCAGTGATTTAAAAATGAGCTATCAAGTCATAAAAAAGACATGAAGGAAACTTAAATGCATATTACTAAGTGAAAGAAGCCAATCTGAAAAGGCTACGTACTGTATGATTCCAACTATATGACACTCTGGAAAAGGCAAAACTGTGTCGACAGTAAAAAGATTAGTGGTTGCCAGGACTTGGAGGCTTGGAGTTATGAATATGCAGAGTACAGAGGATTTTTAGGACATTGAAAATACTCTGTATTTTATTATAGTGGTGGATACATGTCTTTTAACATTTGTCTAAGCTCAAAGAATGTATAATACTACGGGTAAATCCTAATGCAAACTATGGACTTTAGGTGATAATGGTATGTCAACATAGGTTCATCAACGGTAATGCATGTACCACTCTGGTGGGGGATGTTGATAATGGAGGAGGCTATGCATGTGTGGGGAAATGGGGTATATGGAGTATCTCTTTACCCTCCTCTCAGTTTTGCTGTGAACCTAAAACTACTCTTTAAAAAATATTTTAAGTGAATTAAAATAGTACCTTCAAAATATGGGAGGCCAGATTTTGAACAAAATATCTGTGAAAGCCAGTAACTTAGCAGACTTTTTTTAATAACATGAGCCAATTGAACAAGTTTTTGCAAACCACTGAAGAAAATGTTTTGACTTCACTTAACAAATTTGTTAGCTCAAAACAAAATAGAATCTTTAGGGGAAAAATGCAGCAAAAGGAAATCTTAAAAGGCTTCCACAGCTTCTTGGGATTGAGAGTGGGAAAGATATCAGCAAGTCTCAAGTCATATAAAAAAACCACCTGGAAAAACTGAAAAACAAATCTAGATGGTGGTTTCCTTCACATTCAACATAAATGTATGGTTAGGTCAGGGATCATTTTTCTTAATCTTATGCTGATACTGACTTTGAGCAAGAGAAAGCACTTTATGAGATGCAGCTAATCACACATTCAGGATAAGATTTCTTGATTTTTACCCTAGATGAGTTCTAGATTTCTGTGAAAGAAGCATTTCTTGCCATTTGTAAGAAAACAGTGGACATTTTTGCTGTGGTTTTCAACCTCTTTCATGTGGGAGGAACAGTTTGCTTACTTATAAAAATCAAGAGCAAGAGCAGAATAAACTCATTTCAGTAGAAAATGAAATCTTTGTGTAGTTGTGTCATGTTTGATTCATAATTGAATGAAATAAACTGATCATTAACTATGTACAGGTTTCATGTGAGAGAGTAACATATTTTTAGTTTAAGTTTCAAAAACAGTGTTTTATATGCATGTATAAGTTAAACAGACATCATTTAAAGATACATATGTTAAAATCACACAATATTAAAATATTTAATATTATTAACCCCGAGGTACGTATGTGAACCTCATCATGTTACCCACAAAGATATTATTTTTACAAAGTCCTATATGAAATTTTGTCTTTGGCCACATTTAATTCATATTTATTTGCTTACTATTTATTAGTATTACTATTTATACTTTGCCAATACATTTTAATGCAATAAATCAATTTACTTTATTTTAAATATAATGGGCATAATTGTAAAAACTAAAATTTCACTTTGGCTTAAGTCAGTTATTTAACAAATTTATTTGTCTTGTGGATTTTCAAGTTTTATGAAAATAGAAAGATTTCATGAAAGTAAGCTAAGTCTCCAATATACAAAGCAAAAACTGAAAGAATTTTTAAATTGACAATTCAACAGTGTTAACTGGGGACTTTAGTACCTCATTCTAAATAATGTGTACACCAAAAAAAGGATATAGAAATAACATCCATCTTTATAGAGCATTCTAGGCAATAAGCGGAATTTATATTCTACTGAAGCACAAATTGAACATTCTACTTGGATAGACTACATGCTACGCCATAAAATAAGTTGCAATAAACAGAGGACTAAAATCAAGCAAAGAATATTTTCCAACCACAACAGAATTAAATTTGAAATCAACAACAGAAGGAAATTTTGGAAGTTTGTGAATGTGTGGATATTAATAACACACTCCTAAATAACCAATACAAAACAGAAGAAATGATAAGATAAATTAGAAAATACTGTAAGATGAATTAAAACAAAATTACAGCATGCTAAAAATATGAGATACAACTAAATCAGTGTTTAGATAGAAATCTGTAGTTTTAAACACTTATATTTAAAGAGAAGGTAGATCTTAAAATAACTTCTACCATATGAAACTGGAAAAAAAAAAGAAGAGCTAACTAAACTCGAAGCAAGTTAAACAGAGGATGTACTAAGGACAAGAGAAGAAATAAATGATACAGATAATATAAAAAGAATAAACTTTTAAAAAATGGTACTTCTAAAGATCAACAAAACTGATAAAACTTCAACTAGATTGACCAAGATTAAAAAAGAGAAAACATGAACCACTAAATTAGAAACAAAAGACAGGAACATCACTAATTATCTTAAAGAAATAATAACATATTAGTAACATGTTACTATGAACAACTATTTGTCAAGAAATTAGATGATTCTGATGAAACGGTCAAATTTATAGAAGGACACAAATAATCTAAACGGACTCAAGAAGAAACAGGAAATCTAAATAGATCTATATAGCAAGTAAAGAGATTAAGTAATTATATATATAACAGCAAAGAAAATTTTAGGACCAGAGGACTTCACTGTTGAATTCTATAAAACACAAAAGACTAATGAATAGCAATCCTTCCAAAACTCTTCGTCCAAACAGAAAAGGAGGCAACATATCTCAAGTCAATTTATTGAAACCAGTATTATTCAAATTCCAAAAACAAAGACATCACAAGAAAGCAAAATACAGATTAATTTCTTATAAATGAAGTGCAAAAATCCTAAATAAATTACTAGCAAACTCAATCCAGCAACACATAAAAACACCATGATCATGTGGGATTGATCTCAGGAATGCAAGACAGCTCAATATACGAAAATCAATCAATGTAATATATCACCTTAATAGAAGCAAAGGATAAAAAACACCTGATTATCTCAAGAGATACAGTATTTTACAAAATTCAATGCCCTTTCATGATTAAAACAACAACATTCAACAAATTAGGAAAAGAAGCGAACTTCCTCAACCTAAAAAAAAGAAATATCTGGAAAAGCTACAGCTAATATCATAATTAGTGGTGAAAGAGTGAATATTTTTCACAAAAGATCAGAAACAGAACAAGCATATTTGCTTTCACTACTGCTATTAAATTTGTTTGTTTGTTTTTTGAGATGGAGTCTCGCTCTGTCTCCCAGGCTGGAGTGCAGTGGCAGGATCTCGGCTCACTGCAAGCTCCACCTCCCGGGTTCACGCCAGTCTCCTGCCTCAGCCTCCCGTGTAGCCGGGACTGCAGGCGCCCACCACCACGCCCAGCTAATTTTTTGTATTTTATTAGAGACAGTGTTTCACCCTGTTAGCCAGGATGGTCTCAATCTCCTGACAGCATGATCCGCCTGCCTCAGCCTCCCAAAGTGCTGGGATTACAAGCGTGAGCCACCTGCCTGGCCTGTTTTTGTTTTTGTTTTTTTTGAGATGGAGTCTTGCTGTGTCACCCAGGCTGGGGTACAGTGGCATGGTCTTGGCTCACTGCAACCTCCGCCTCCCAGGTTCAAGCGATTCTCCTGCCTCAGCCTCCTGAGTAGCTGGGATTACAGGCTAGGCACCACCACACGTGGCTAATTTTTGTATTTTTTGTAGAGATGGGGTTTCGCCATGTTGGTGAGGCTGGTCTCAAACTCCTGACCTCGTGATCCCCCTGCCTCGGCCTCTCAAAGTATTGGGATTACAGGCATGAGCCACTGCGCTGGGCCTGCTGTTAAACTTTTTAACTGGAGAGCCTAATCACAGCAATTGGGTAAGAAAATGAAATAAAGGCATCCATTGTCTTGTATACAGAAAATCCTAAGGAATCCACAAAAATAATTACTAGAGCTAATAAACCCGTTTGCCAAAGTTTCCTGACAATATACAAAAAATAGTGATATTTTTATACACTTGCAATGAAGCATCCAAAAATAAAACTAAAAACACAATTCCATTTATAATGGCATTAAAAGGATAAAAGACTCAGGGATAAATTTAACAAAATAATTGTAAACTGTGTCCACAATTAAGAATTAAGTTTTTTAACTAATTAAGGATTAAGTTTTTAAAATATTGTTGAGTTTTAGGGTACATGTGCACAATGTGCAGGTTAGTTACATATGTATACATGTGCCATGCTGGTGTACTGCACCCATTAACTCGTCATTTAGCATTAGGTATATCTCCTAAAGCTATCCCTCCCCCCTCCCCCCACCCCACAACAGTCCCCAGAGTGTGATGTTCCCCTTCCTGTGTCCATGTGTTCTCATTGTTCAATTCCCACCTATGAGTGAGAACATGTGGTGTTTGGTTTTTTGTTCTTGTGATAGTTAACTGAGAATGATGATTTCCAATTTCATCCATGTCCCTGCAAAGGACATGAACTCATCATTTTTTATGGCTGCATAGTATTCCATGGTGTATATGTGCCACATTTTCTTAATCCAGTCTATCATTGTTGGACATTTGGGTTGGTTCCAAGTCTTTGCTATTGTGAATAGTGCCGCAATAAACATATGTGTGCATGTGTCTTTATAGCAGCATGATTTATAATCCTTTGGGTATATACCCAGTAATGGGATGGCTGAGTCAAATGGTATTTCTAGTTCTAGATCCCTGAGGAATCACCACACTGACTTCCACAAGGGTTGAACTAGTTTACAGTCCCACCAACAGTGTAAAAGTGTTCCTATTTCTGCCTGGGAACAAAGAGAGAGCCCCGTTGCATTGTGGGCTGTTGGCCAGATCTCGCAATAAAATTGGAGGACTCAAACTTCCCAAATTCAAAACTTACGTCAAAGATAGAGTTAATGAAGCATAAAGCATACATAAAGCACAAATGAAAAAGAAAAAAACTAGATAATTTAGATAAACAGAACTTTGTCAAACTTAAAACCCTTTCTGTTTTAAAGGACAATATCAATACAGTTAAAAGACAACACACAGAATGGGACAAAATATTGCAAATTATATATCTGAGAAGAAACTTGTATTGGAATGTATAAATGATTCTTGCAACTTGGCAATACAAAGACAATCAATCCAATTTTAAAATGGTCAGAGAACCTTACTTGACATTTCTTCAAAAGAGATATGCAAATGGTCAATACACACAAGAATGATGCCCAAAATATTACTTGATATAGTTTGGATGTTTGTCCCCTCCAACTATCATGTTGAAATGTAATCCCCAGTGTTGGTAGTGGGATCTGGTGGGAGGTGTTTTTACACTGAAATCAGCTATATTTATTTTGTATCCACTTTTCATGAGCTTGAAAAAGTGTCTGGTTCTTAAATGTTTTCTGACATTCAATTTTGGTCATACATTCAATATTTCTACCTGGGTAGCAACATAACATAATTAGAATAGATTACTTTTTAATGTTTTCAATTGAATACATAATACAGAAAAGTATGTATAAGATATGTCAAGTATAAAGAAACATAATGGAAAACATTCACATGCCCATCCTGTTTTTTAAAAAATATTTATGTAATCTTTAGAGTTCCTTGCATTCTTCCTCATCCTATATTTCATCTACAATTTTTGCAGTATTTTTTCAAGTTTTTGTGTAGTGTTCACATTATTGTTCCCTTCTGTAAATTCATAAAGATAATCTCCTGTATTAACTTTCAAAGATTGTACAATTTTTTGTTTTATGTTTAAATGTTTATGATTTATGTTTAAATCTCCAATTGCCCAAAATAGTTGTTTGTATATTTTATGTAGCATGGGACTTGATCTTATTTTTCCCTACCCAACTAACCATTGTTTTAGTAACATTTATTGAAAATTCCATTTTCCACTTATCTGCAATATCAGCTATTTTCTAAATCACTTCCACGTTCATATTTAATCAGTGAATATGTTTATTCCTATACCAACACTACATTCAATAGTTATATTAATATACTTTATAGAGTTTTTTAAATATCTGATAAAACAAGTCTCCTGCTTACACATAGCTTATTGGTTCACATTCAAGAATTGCATTGCCAATCTCTTTGGCATGTTGACTTCCTTTCTTTTGGATATACACCCAGCAGTGGGATTGCTGGGTCATATGGTACCTCGAATTTTAATTTTCTGAGAAACCCTCATGCTGTTTTCCATAGTGGCTAAACTAATTTATATTTCCACCAACAGTGTACAAGGATTCCCCATTCTCCAGATCTTCATCAGCTTCAATATTGCCTGTCTTTTGGATCTGAGCCATTTTAACTGGGGTGAGATGATATCTTAATGTAGATTTGATTTGTATTTCTCTGATTAATGATGCACTGTTCATATACCTGTTGGTCACTCATATGTCTTTTTTGAGAAAAGTCTATTCAGATCTTTGTCCATTTTAAATCAGATTATTTGATATTTTCCTATTGAGTTGTCTGAACTCCTTATATATTCTATCAATCCATTGTCAGATGACTAGTTTGCAGATATTTTCTCCCATTCTGTGGGTTGTCTCTTGCCTTTAATTGTTTCCTTTACTGTGTAGAGGCTTTTTAAATTTATGTGAGTCCATTTGTCTATTTTTGTTCAGTTAACTATGCTTTTGAGGTGTTACACAAAAAATCTTTGCCCAGTTTCCTGAAGAGTTTCTCCAATGTTTTCTTTTAGTAATTTTATAGTTTCAGGTGTTAGATTTAAGTATTTAATCCATTTTGATTTGATTTTTGTGTACAGCAAGAGATAAGAGTCTAGTTTTATTCTTCTGCATATGGATATCCAGTTTATGCAACAGTATTTATTAAAGAGACTGTCCTTTCCCCGGTGTATGTTCTTGGCACCTTTGTTGAAAATGAATTCTTTGTAGATGTGTGGATTTATTTCTGGGTTCTCTATTCTGTTCCAATAGTCTATGAGTCTGTTATTATGACAGTGACATATTGTTTTGATTACTATAGCTCTGCAGTATATAATTTGAAATCGAGTAATGTGTTTCCTTCAGTTTTGCTATTTTTATTCAAGATGGTTTTGGCTATTCTGGGTCTTTTGTGGTTCCATATAAATTTTAGGATTGTTTTTCCTATTTATTTGAGGAATGTCATTGGTATTTTGATAGGAATTGCACTGAATCGGTAGATTGGTTTGTGTACTATGGACATTTTAACAATATTGTTTCTTCCAATCCATGAACATAGACTATCATTCCATTTGTGTGCGTGTTTTCTTCTTTTCTTTCATAATGTTTTATAGTTTTCTTTGTAGAGCTCTTTCATTTATTTGGTTAAGTTTATTCCTTGGTATTTTATTTACAGCTTTTATAAATGGTATTACTTTCATGATTTCTTTTTCAGATTGTTCACTGTTGGCATATAATATAGAAATGCTCTGAATGTCTGGAGATCTGCCTGGTTGTGCAGCAGAGAAAGACCCCTTGCACCCTTTCTGCACAGAAATGGTAGAGGGCCTCATGTTGCTAGTCCATGTGAATGTGTGCTTCAAATGCCTGGAGATCTGTCTGGGTGTGAAGTGGAGAGGGCTCCACTGCACCATGATCTATGCACAGGAAGGGTGGATGGCTTATGCTGCTGATTTGAGTGAGGGAGTGCTCCAAATGCCTGGAGATCTGCCTGGGTGTGGAGTGAAGAGGACATCACTGCACCACAATCTATGTATAGCAAGAGTGGGACAGCTCAGGCTGCTGTTCCAGGGAAGTGTGCGCTCCTAATGCTTGGAGTTCTGTCTGGGGGTGGAGTGAAGAGGGCCTTGCTACTCTACCGTATCAGGGGAGCAGGCTGAGGTACCCAGCAATGACACATGCAGATCAGTTTCATATCTCCAAGCTGGCCCTGGCTGCAAGTCTCACCTTCGAGGAGAAACTGCAGCCATTGCAGCACTCCTCCTGTCCCAGGCCTGAGATGGGAGAGAGCACAGTTCCAGTGCCTACTGCTGAGGTGCTTTCCACAATTCTGGCTGTGCAGGCCCCTAACCCGCTCTAGAGCAAGTGCTCCCATTTCTGGCCCAAGACAGAATGCCTGCATGGCCATTCTTTGTCTGGGTTGCCAAAGAGCAACTGACTTTTTATGTCCCTTGGATTAACAATGGCACACTGCTCTAAATCCTGGGTCTGGGAAAATGCCTGCACCTTTTCCTGGTGTCTTTTTCTCTCAATGCCTCCAAGCCTCTCACCATCTTATCTCTCCAAGCCTTGAGAGAAACAAAATGCTCTCCATAGGCCTAGGTTGCTCCAGATCCCCAGAAAGAAGGTGAGTCACAGAGGAAGGCTCTCTGCCTCTCTCACATACTGGGACTTCAATCATTTTTATCAGCCAGATGCTGTGATGCGGGTTGTTTGCCTGGGTTCTGTTCCTTGGGATCTGGGGTGTCGTCCACAGTTCTGGTGGATTCTCATTTTCCATCTTGAATTAAAGCTCAAAGTGATCTTTATGCAATATCTTGCTATTTCCAAGTGTCTGAGGCATGCTAAAAACCTCTAATCAGCCATCTTATGGAAAAAAGAAAAAAAAAACTTTCTTTCCTCCTTCCTTGCTTCTTATCACCCTTTGTTAAAAGTGATTTTCTCTGGTAGTGTTTTAATTTCTTGCTTTTTATTTTTAGTGTATCTGTTTTACGTTTTTGATTTGAGATCACCATGAGGCTTGCAAATAACATAACTGGCTACATTATTACTGATTACGACTTAATTCTGATTATAAAAAAACAAACAAAGGGAAAACTAAACAAAAAAATCTATACTTTTCATTCCATGCTCCCCCCACCATTTTTTGACTTTTTGTTGTTTCTATCTTTTTGCACTACCTCTCTCTTAAAAAGTTGTAATTATTTTTGATAGGTTTGTCTTTTAGTCTTCCTACTCAAGATATGAGTGGTTTGCACACCACAGTTACAGTGTTAGAGTATTCTGTATTTGTCTATGTACTTATTGTTAACAGTGAGTTTTGTATCTGTGGATGATTTCTAATTGCTTGTTAACATCCATTTCTTTCAGATTGAAGATGTCCCTTTAGCATTTCTTGTAGAACTGGTCTGGTATTGACAAAATCCCCCAGCTTTTGTTTGTCTGGGAAGGAATTTTTGCCAGGTATAATACTCTAGGATAATTTTTTTTTCCTTCAGCACTTTGAATATGTCATGCTACTCCCTCCTGCCTATAAAGCTCCTCTCTGTCTTCTTCTGCATTATCTTTTAAAATTTCTCCATTAATATCATAATGTATATTCATTTTTAAAAAAATTTAATGGTCACTATTGGTTTTATTGTCTAAAATCAATAACAATTTTATCTTCCTTTTGAAAATCTTAGAACACTGTTGTTCCTGAACTCTTTATCTATTTACATGCTATCTTATTACTGTTTGTGTTTGTTGCAAATTTGCAAATTGGTTTTTATCTCTTAAGGTGTTTTACGTTTTTATTTTATATTTAGATATCAATGTTTATATATATTTTTCAACATATTAACCACTTTCTCAACTCTTCCTTTTATATTGTGTCTCAGATCTCCCATCTGGGAATCTCTTTTCTTCTGACAGAAGTGTAGTTTAAATAGTCTTTTAATGAGAATTTTCTACTGGAACACAATTTTTCTTTGTCTGAAAATTTTTTTTTACACTTACAATATTAAAAGATATTTTTGTTGGATATAGAATTCTGTGTGGACAACTACTTCTCTCAGCATGTTGAAGGTGACATTCCACTGACATTTAGCTTCCAATTGATGTTTTAAATTAACTCATCCTTCATCTCTAGCTACATTTTATACCTTATCTTTGCATTAGAAATTTGAAAGTTTTATTTTTAATGACTTTATTTTTATTTTTCTAGCTTTATATAATTAGGCTTAATTCTGTAGCTTCAAAAATATTCTTAGCTGTTGGCTCCTCAAATATTGCCTCTACTTCATTTTCTCTCTCTTCTCTTTCTAAAACTCCTACTGTGGTATTGGGCAACCTACAGTCCATAACTACTGACAAAGATTCTCTCCTTGAGGCAACTAATCACAATCCTCTGGGCTCTTTTACAAACTAGGCCCCATCCTTAAGAGTCCAATTTTAACAAGAATTCTGTTAAGTCCATTTAGCCAGAATCCCTTATCCGTGACATCTGATCACTCTCATCTGACCAAATTCCTCATACCATACCATCTCCAAGGTCTGATCACACTGGCTTGCCTTAAGCAAGTATCATGCTAGATAGGTTTAGCAGAATCCCCACCCCCAACCTTACCCTGTTGTTTCCACTTAGTAATGACAACTCCCTCCTGCTCACACCTGCACACTCTGCTCCTTGGCTATTAATTCTCATTTTTCTTTGTTGTACTCAGAGTTGAGACCAATCTTTCCACCCTACTGCAAAGCCCCATTTCAGTAGTTTCTTTAATAATGATAGCCCTGAATAAAGCCTGTCATGCCATTTTAACAAGTATCAGAATAATTTTTTCTTTCACACCACCTATGTAGTGTGAATTTTGGTAGCAATGTATGTGAGGAGCAGCTTGTAGTTATGAATTCTGAGAGTTTTTTTTCCTCCTACACTCAGTGCCAGGGTTTGAGACAGGAAATTTTCTTTAAGGGTAAAATTTACATTTAGACTGTATGTGTAGCACTTAGAGGTATCATTTTAATGGTGATGATCTTCCACTAGACACCTCAAATTTAGTGGGCCCTGAGCTTGGCTTTCTAACCCCTGAATTCTAAAATGCTTCAAACTAAAACTCGATTTAAATTTATTTGGTAAATGTTCTTAACAGAAAAAAAATCAGCTTTCATGTTCCATTTACCTTTATCAGCATCTTATTATTGCCTACTTTTTTGACAGTTCTTGGATTTGTATAAAGTGATTATAAAATAAATTTTTTTAGCATTTTTAGTTGCATACAATTGTTAGATCTGTTCAGAGAATATGCTGCTATACTGTTGTCAGGTCATTCATAATAAGATTGTAATTTGGTAAAAGAAAATTGTCTTATTGCCCACATCTTTGATATAGAATGCATTGAAATACCACATATGTTACTTTGTGTAAGTAATACCATATACATTGTTCTCACAATATGTAGACCTGATACTGTCAGTTTGTCGTTGGTCTTGCATCTCAAATTCTATTTTGTTTTTATCAGTGTTTTGGGCATTTTAGTACTCTTCACCAACCCATCCCAAATATTTACTAGTTGTAAGATCTTAGGAAGTTACTTAACTTTGTGCCTTGTTTTATTTGTAAGACAATAATCATAATGCTATATAAGCCACAGAGTTATTCTGAGGATTAAATGAGTTAATATGGTTAAAGTGTTCAGAATAATGCCTGGCACACAGTAATGCTAAATAAATATATAATATTATTATATTTTCAAAAAAGAGGATTTAAACTCCCAAAGCATAACTTTTTAAACCTTGAAGCATAAAAAAAAATAAAAAAATGTAGACTAATAACTTAAAGAATGTTTTTGTCTCCCTTCAGATTCATTATTCATGACTGCTCTTCCCAATAACAAACACAATCAAAAGTTAACTCTTGGAAACTGTCTTATATTTGTTTTTCAACTCTTTCCTGGTAATTAACATAAAGAAATGACATGTTTTGGTATTAGAGATGCTATTGGAAATTATTTCATTATTCAACTTCCAAATGTGGGAACTGCTTTCAGAACACGCATAAGAAATAACCATTAAAGCTTCAAATTTGCTGTGATACTTGAAGTAATGGGAATAACACCCCTTTTAAGGTACCCATTTGTTGTTGCTGGAAAGCTATAATTTATGAAGTTCTATTTCATAATGTACCCAAATTACTCTCCCTCAAAATTCTGTGCATTTTATTTTGTTCTGCACCCTAAATAATGTATCTACTCCATCTTTCTTTCAAAATGAAAATGTACTCTTCCTCCAAAAATGAAAAAAAAATCAAATATTTTTTCAGCATGTAACAAAGTTCCTAGGGAAGAATAGGCATTAAAACGTTAGGTCCTCTTCTTTAACCTTCATCTTTTCAAAACATATCCTTTCACTTATTCCTCTCTCCTTATCCATCTCCCCTTCCTTTCATTTCTCTCTTTTCCTTCCTCCTTTCTTATTCCTGTCACAGCCCTTAGAAAATATATACCACATGTTGGCTGGGCACGGTGGCTCACGCCTGTAATCCCAGCACTTTGGGAGGCTGAGGCAGGAGGATCACGAGGTCAGGAGTTTGAGACCATCCTGGCTAACAAGGTAAAACGCTGTCTCTACTAAAAACACAAAAAATTAGCCAGGCATGGTGGCAGGCACCTGTAGTCCCAGCCACTCGGGAGGCTGAGGCAGGAGAATGGCATGAATCCAGGAGGCGGAACTTGCAGTGAGTGGAGATCGCGCCACTGCACTCCAGCCTGGGTGACAGAGTGAGACTCCGTCTCAAAAAAAAAAAAAAAAAAAAAAAAAGAAAGAAAAAGAAAATATATACCACATGTCTTCAAGTCTTTCTTTCCTTACAACTTCCCTCAAGCCTTCCATTTATGATGTGGTTTCACAACTTTTCATCACTTTGATCATTTCTTTTATCATTTCCATTCTCTAATTGCATCTTACAATGTAGCACGAAGTACTAAAGAAAGCACTAATTCCATTTCCTACATTGCTCTAGCTATCATGCTGCTAACATTATAAACCTTCACTGCGATTTTATGTACCAAATCCAGGTTGGTTTACAATGAGCTTGAGGTTCTTCAAAATTATCATGGGCTTTCTACATTAATTGCTTCTAATTAAGGACTCCAGCAATCAGTGATTGCAAATGTGCAATCACAATTATTCTAATGTCAGGATTTTAAATTTATTTTTATTAGATTGTATCTTAGACTTTCTGCAGTTTATTAGACTTTCTGTAATTAGATGTATCTTAGACTTGTCTATAATTTGAGCCTGTCAAGATGTTTTTCATCTTTATTTGACAATTCATCCCAAGATGTGCCAGCAGAAAATTTGAAAAATCTGTTTTTCATTCTTTTGTCCAAGTTATTGAGCAGGTTTTTCACATATCCTTTTACCATTCCCCCAATACTAACCTATTATGACTCTCCAAACTTTGTTACTATGTGAACGATTACTTTTCATGACTTGATAAAAAGGCTTTATCAAATATCAAAATTTACATATGTGTGGTTCATCTGATCTGCCAATCTGGAAACTACGTTTACAAAACAAATTATTTTAATTTTTCATGACATTCTAAGTCAATTCATCTTCATTCCTAGAAAATGCATTTTTATTTAAAGTTCATAAACCATCTGCACAAAAATCTTTTTCTGGAATTTGCCTAAATGTACTTTAAATGTATTTAACAGTAGTATATGAAATCCCCCTCTTCCGTGTCTGAAAATCTGGGACAACATGTGCTAGTGTTTAGATATCTGGTGGATGTTTTATAACCAATGGATTCCTCAAACCTACTAAAAATGCTTGTGTTCAAATCTGATGAATATATTTTCTTGATACTCCTCTGTAACTAACTTAAATTATCTGAATACAGGTGCTTTGAATTCATTTACAAAGTTGTACTATCTCACTGTTCTATATAGTATCTCATGTTTTAATCATTCCAAAATGTTTGTAATATCTGTTCTATTCCTTCCAATTTGAAGATAATTCTACTAGATGGGGAAGATAGAAGTAAATACAGCTTGTACAGTAGTCCTTTTTCCTTCTCTGCCTTCACCAACTTTATAAAACATTGAGTTGGTCCCTTCTATTTTATTTAATTCACTAATATACTATAAATCATCTTTTGTTTCCTTAGTTTTTTTTCACATGCTATAAAATATTTTCACCACTGGTCTAATGAATTTTAACCTCAAACATTGAATGTTTGCCTCTAACATTGGTGATGCTTTTTAATGATCTGCCTTCTATTTCCTAATTTTAAACCTCAGGTTATCAGCAATTTTCTCATTTGGGCAATTTTTTAAAAATTGTTTGCTTCTTCTTCTCATGTGTGTTTTATAAAACTTTATTTTAAGACTTTAGAGGTTTTTGTCATTAGAAAAAAAAAATAACTTTTCTCATATTTAAAAAAAAAACTGATTTCCTAACACCTAGTATACATGTACCCATATCTGACTGTGTTAATTACTCAATTAACTTTATGGTCAGAATCATCAAAATTCTATGTTTATTTTCTCTCAAACTTTCTATTACTTTTGCATCATTAGCCATTTCTCCTTTAATTCCAGAAATAAGTCCAGATTAACAATAACCCTTGCTCCTTTTTCTAATTTCTAAAATCAATTTTGGTTAAAGATTACCATTAGATGTCCAGATAATTGGCACTTTTTAGTCACTGTTTTGTTTTGCTGCTGTAATTATCCATATTCTCTAAGTGTCTAGAATATCTGTAGCCTATTTATTTCCCCAACATTATTACTTCTTTCTTCTCAGTGTATACTTGCCTGTAGGCTGTCAGCCCCTTCCTCTATGCTTCCCAACAAGTTCTTGAATTGTCGTGCACATATTTTTAACCTCTAGTGCCAATTTATTTTCAATTTTTATATTCAATCCATAAATAGTGCTGCAAAAGTCTCAAGTATACTCATAAAAACTTGAATTTTGTTATTTTAAAAATCAATCTTACTCCATCACATACAATCCATGCAATGAAGTACAAATATATCTATGACATAGGTATTGTAAGTATATATCTATGGCATATATATGACATATGAACATTGTCCTGTTCATCATCTTTAGTTTCTCCCTGATAATTACTAAAGTTTTTTCTACAATTTTTTTATTGCTATTTACAATACAATCTTATCCTATATAGTATGTGGTTGGCCAGTATAAGTCAGGATTGTGTTCTTCTCTTGGATTCATATTTCACTTTAATGCTTTGATGAATTCAATATATTGCCTGCCAAATGGTAATTATAATTTTCTAAAGAGCACCTTGACTCTTGGATGTAGACCACCACTCAATATTTTAGTCATCATCTATGAAATAATCTTTTCTGCAATGTCAAGTATATATTATTTGAGTTATTAGTTCAACACCTATGAAATAGTTTCTGGGGATGAAGTGGTGCCAACACTCACAGGGTTTCTACCCTCATGGTGGGCACACTACTATGAGGGAGACAGTAAATAACTAATCACATACAGTAATTACAGAATGTGACTAGAGCTATAAGAAAATATACAAGAAGATGTTACAGGGAGAAACTGAAAAAGAAGAAATTACATGAGACATGGATATAACTGCAAAAAGTAGACCTCAAGTAGAATAAAATATTTTTTAAAAATTATTGTTCTTCATCCACTCTGTTTCCTTTCCACTGTTTAAAGATGACTAGGGATCCATCAGGTCAGCCCAAAAACTCCTTAACCTGATAAGCAACTTCAGCAAATTTCAGGATACAAAATCAATGCGCAAAACCCACAAACATCCCTATACACCAACAACAGACAAGCAGAGAGCATAATCATGAGTGAACTCCCATTCACAATTGCTACAAAGAGAATATAATACCTAGGAATACAAATTACAAGGGACATGAAGGACCTCTTCAAAGAGAACTACAAACCACTGCTCAAGGAAATAAGAGAGGACACAAACAAATGGAAAAATATTCCATGCTTATGGATAAGAATAATCAATATCATGAAAGTGTCCATATTGCCCAAAGTAATTTATAGATTCAATGCTATTCCCATCAAGTTACCATTGATTTTCTTCACAGAATTAGAAAAAACTACTTTAAATTTCATATGGAACTGAAGAAGAGCCTGTATAGCCAAGACAATCCTAAGCAAAAAGAACAAAGATGGAGGCATCACACTACCTGACTTCAAACTATACTACAAGGATACAGTAACCAAAACACCACGGTACTGGTACCAAAACAGACATATAGACCAATGGAACAGAACAGAGACCTCAGAAATAACACCACATATCTACAACCATCTGATCTTTGACAAACCTGACAAAAACAAGCAATGGGGAAAGGATTCCCTATTTAATAAATGGTGCTGGAAAAACTGGCTAGCTGTAAGCAGAAAACTGAAACGGGATGCCTTCCTTACACATTATACAAAAATTAACCCAAGATGGATTAAAGACTTAAATGTATAATCCAAAACCATAAAAACCTTGAAGAAAACCTAGGAATAACATTCAGGACATAGGTATTGGGAAAGACTTCATGGCTACAACACCAAAAGCAATTGCAACAAAAACCAAAATTGACAAATGGGATCTAATCAAACTAAAGAGCTTCTGCACAGCAAAATAAACTATCATCAGAATGAACAGACACCCTACAGAAGGGGAGAAAATTTTTGCAAGCTACACATCTAACAAAGGGCTAATATCCAGAACCTACAAGGAACTTAAACAAATTTACAAGAAAAAAAAACAAACAACCCTATCAAAAAGTGGGCAAAGGATATGAACAGACACTTCTCAAAAGAAGTCATCTGTGTGGCCAAAAAACATACAAAAATAAGCTTATCATCACTGGTCTTTAGAGAAATGCAATTCAAAACCACAATGAGATACCACCTCACTCCAGTTAGAATGGCGATTATTAAAATGTCAGGAAACAACAGATGACGGAGAGGATGTGAAGAAATAGGAACACTTTTACACTGTTCGTGAGAGTGTAAATTAATTCAACCATTGTGGAAGACAGTGTGGTGATTCCTTAAGGATCTAAAAACAGAAATACCATTTGACCCAGCAATCCTATTACGGGGTATATACCAAAAGGATTATAAATCATTCTACTATAAAGACACATGCACGCATATGTTTATTGCAGCACTATTTACGATAGCAAGACTTGGAACCAACCCAAGTGCCCATCAATGATAGACTGGATAAAGAAAATGTGGCACATATACACCATGGAATATTATGCTATGCAGCCACAAAAAAGAATGAGTTTATGTCCTTTGCAGCAACATGGATGAATCTGGAAACCATCATTCTCAGAAAACTAACACAGAAACAGAAAACCAAACACCACATGTTCTCACTCATAAGTGGGAGTTGAACAATGAGAACACATGGACACAGGGAGGGGAACATCACACACCAGGGCCTGTCAGAGGGCGGGGGTGGTGGGTGGGGGAAAAGGGGAGGGAGAGCATTAGGATAAATACCTATGCATGTGGGGCTTAAAACCTACATGATGTGTTGATAGGTGCAGCAAACCACCATAGCATATGTATATGTAACAAACCTGCACGTTCTGCATATGTATCCCAGTACTTAAAGTAAAATAACAACATAAAAATAATAATAAAGGCCAGGCATGGTGGCTCATGCCTGTAATCCCAGCACTTTGGGAGGCCAACGTAGGCAGATCACCTGAGATCGGGAGTTCAAGACCAGCCTGGCCAACATGGAGAAACCCCGTCTCTACTAAAAATACAAAATTAGCTGGGCATGGTGGTGCATGCCTGTAATCCCAGCTACTCGGGAGGCTGAGGTAGGAGAATTGCTTGAATCCAGGAGGCGGAGGTTGCAGTGAGCTGAGATCATGCCATTGCACTCCAGCCTGGGCAACAAGAGCAAAACTCCGTCTCAAAAAGAAAAAGAAAAATAATAATAATAATAATAATAATAATAATAATAATAATAATAATAATAAAATTTAAAAGACTAGGTATACCTTTTTGTTCCCATATGAGTTAGTTGAAGCCAAAGAGTTTGAAAATTTTAGAAGGGTTCTTGAATACATCAGTAACAAAGACAATAACCACCAGTGATGAAACTACATATATTTCCATATCTACATTAGAGACTCAATAACCATGAAAATTCATTTTTCTCCATGGGGCTGTTAGAAGGAGTCACCCATTTTTAATGTGCACCCATTTGCTCATCTTAAGCTTACATTGGATACTTTTTGATGTTATTTCCTCAGAATACCCAAATTTACTGTCCTGTTCAATGGGTAAAAATTGGCTCAAATAGTGATTTTTTTCCCCTTCTCTTTTTTCTCCATTATGTTATTTCATTCATCAGCCACTTGACACTGACTTTGACACTTTTTTTATTCCTTTAGACTCCTTCTTTTGTAAAATCTCTTCCATCTTGTCCAGTAAAACTTATCATGCTTTTTTAAAAAGTAAAAAATAGATAGGCATTTTTCAAGATCAATAATTATACTCACAGCATTTAGTAATTCTCCTCCCAGTCTAGTGTAGGAAGCTCATAGAAAAACATCTACACTGGCCAGGCGCGGTGGCTCACATCTGTAATCCCAGCACTTTGGGAGGCCGAGGTGGGCATATCACGAGGTCAAGAGATCAAGACCATGTGGCCAACATCGTGAAACCTTGTCTTTACTAAAAATACAAAAATTAGCGGGGCACGGCCCGGCGCAGTGGCTCACGCCTGTAATCCCAACACTTTGGGAGGCCGAGGTGGGCGGATCACGAGGTCATGAGATCGAGACCATCCTGGCTAACACGGTGAAACCCCATCTCTAGTAAAAATCCAAAAAATTAGCCGGGCATGGTGGTGGGCGCCTGTAGTCCCAGCTACTCGGGAGGCTGAGGCAGGAGAATCACTTGAACCCAGGAGGCTGAGGTTGCAGTGAGCCAAGATCGCGCCATTGCACTCTAGCCTGGTGACAGAGGAAGACTCCGTCTCAAAAAAGAAAAGAAAAGAAAAGAAAAACACCTACCCTGATACTTCCATGCATTCAACCGTCCAGAGGACAACCAGTCAAGTGATTGAACAAGGACTAAAATTAAGTCTTAGAATTCCAAGTCAAGTGATCCTTCCAATATAAAACAGAATGAAATGGAAATTTGATAAGTTGCCAGGTTGTCAGAGTTCATACTGAAACTTGATGTTCCCTCATACTCACTTTTATTAGTTTATAGGCAAATTGATCAAGTACAATGGTGATTTCCAAACTTTATAAATTTTATGCAATGTAGGAAGAGTCTCGGGCTAACAAAAAAAAAATGGCATAACATGTAACAATTAAAATAATTAACCAAACATTTAGTAAGTGTTCTAAAATTATTATGATTCAACAAATACTATGTCAATGTATAGTTTCAAGTAGTTGATATGATCATAAATGAAAAGGCTTAATTATCTGTCTTAATGTCAATGCTTTTATATTTCATACTTCTTACAGCTTTTGTTAAATATCCCTGGAGATGGATGGGTAACATGGAATTATGCACTTCAAACATAAAGCCTAATATGGTTTGGCTGGGTCCTCACCCAGAATCTCATCTTGAATTGTAATCCCCACAAGCCCTATGGTCCCCAAGTGTCAAGGGCAGGACCAAAGGTAGAGGTAATTAGAACATGGGGGTGGTTTTCCCCATGCTGTTCTCATCATAGTGAGTGAGTCTCACAAGATCTGATGGTTTTATAAGCATCTGGCATTTCCACTGCTTGCACTACTCCATCCTGTCATCCTGTGAAGAAGGTGCCTGCTTGTCCTGTGCCTTCTGCCATGAGTGTATGTTTCCTGAGGCCTCCCCAGCAAAGTGGAACTGTGAGCCAATTAAATTTATTCCCTTTATAAATTACTTAGTCTCGGTTACTTCTTCATACCACTGTGAGAAGGGAGTAATACAAAGCCACAGTGGTTTTTCCCAATCTATCAATATTATACCCCATATCTAAAATAAAAGTTGAAATTTTAAAAATTAAGTAACAGGTATAAATATTAGGAAAACATTCCTTCAATATTAAACTATTTTATATTTTACCAGTGGAAATGTGAAGTTCTATAGATAATGAGCTAATCATTTCTTTCCTATAATAAGTACTAGGGAAATTCACTCTTTAACTGCTTAGGAGATTTTGCATAAAATCTTGATAGCTATGATATAACTTTGCTCTTATGTATATTATTTTCTCAGGTTATGTTTTCAAATTATTTGGGGGGAATTTTAGTCATAACTTTCAGTAAAATAATAAAGTAGGTTATCTACTATCCATAGATTAATAATAGAAAGTTATAAAGTTTAATGTTTCTCACTATGAAGGAAAAAAATAAACTTAATTAGCACATTAAATTGTTTTTGAAAATTAATTAGCGAACTAATTTGCCAAAGGCTTTCCCATCTTTTCGGAAAATCAGGCATTATGACAGGTGAATATATACCTGTAGAAAACTTGATTTTATTATTTATTTTACATGCTATTATCTCTCCAAATTCCCCCCATTTTAGAATAGCAAAACAGCATATAAAAGTGACTAGTGTTCAACTTAGTGGCATGTCAGGATGCTTAATGGAAAAGACAGAATGACAGGGGCACAATATGCAAGCAAGCTTTCTAGAGGCCTGTATAAGTCCATATTAATGCTGCTGATAAAGACATACCCAAGACTGGGAAGAAAAAGAAGTTTAATTGGACTTACAGTTCCACATGGCTGGGGAGGCCTCAGTTCATGGCAGGAGGTAAAAGGAACTTCTTGTATGGAAGCAGCAAGAGAAAATGAGGAAGCAAAAGTGGAAACCCCTGATAAACCCATCAGATCTCATGAGACTTATTCACTATCATGAGAATACCACAGGAAACACTGGCCCCCATGATTCAGTTATCTCCTCCAGGTCCTTCCCACAACACGTGGGAATTCTGGGAGATATAATTCAAGTTGAGATTTGGGTGAGGACACAGCTAAACCATATCATTCTGCCCCTGGCCCCTCCAAAATCTCATGTCCTCACATTTCAAAAGCAATCATGCCTTCCCAACAGTCCCCCAAAGCCTTAACTCATTTCAACATTAACTCAAAAGTCCACAGTCCAAAGTCTCATCTGAGACAAGGCAAGTCCCTTCTACCTACGAGCCTGTAAAATCAAAAGCAAGCTAGTTACATGCTGGATACGATGAGGGTACAGGTATTGGATAAATACAGCCACTCCAAATAGGAGAAATTAGCCGAAACAAAGGGGTTACAGGGCCCATGCAAGTCCAAAATAAAATGGGGCAGTCAAATTTTAAAGCTCCAAAATTCTCTCCTTTTACTCCAGGCCTCATATCCAAGTCATGCTGATGCAAGAGGTGGGTTCCCATGGTCTTGGCCAGCTCCACCCCTGTGGCTTTGCAGGGTACAGCCTCCCTCCCAGCTGCTTTCACGGGCTGGCATTGAGTGTCTGCAGCTTTTCCAGGTGGAGAGTGTAAGCTGTCGGTGGATCTACCATTCTGGGGTCTGTAGGACGGTGGTCCTCTTCTCACAGCTCCACTAGGCAGTGCCTGAGTAGGGACTCTATGTGGGGGCTCCAACCCCACATTTTTCTTCTGCACTTCCCTAGCAGAGGTTCTGCATGAAGAACCTGCCTCTGCAGCAAACTTTTGCTTGGGTATCCAGGCGTTTCCATACATCTTCTGAAATCTAGGCGGAGGTTCTCAAACCTCAATTCTTGACTTCTGTGTACCCACAGGCTCAACACCATGTGGAAGCTGCCAAGGCGTCGGCCTTCCACCCTCTAAAGCCACAGCCCAAGGTGTATGTTGGCCCCTTTCAGCCACAGCTGGAGCAGCTGGGACATAGGGCACCAAGTCCCTAGGCCACACACAGCACAGGGTCTCTGGGCCTGGCCCACAAAACCACTTTTTCCTCTTGGGCTTCCTGGCTGGTGATTAGAAGGGCTTCTTTGAAAGTCTCTGACATGGTCTGGAGACATTTCCTCATGGTCTTGGGGATTAACATAAGGCTCCTTGCTACTTATGCAAATTTCTGCAGCCAGCTTGAATTTCTCCCCAGAAAATGGGTTTTTCTTTTCACATTGTGAGGTTATAAATTTTCCAAACTTTCATGCTCTACTTCCCTTATAAAACTGAATGCCTTTAACAGTACCCAAGTCACCTCTTGAGTGCTTTGCTGCTTAGAAATTTCTTCCAGCAAATACCCTAAATCATCTTTCTCAAGTTCAAAGTTCCACAAATCTCTATGGCAGGGGCAAAATGCCACCAGTCTCTTTGTTAAAACATAACAAAAGTCACCTTTACTCCAGCTCCCAATGAGTTCCTTATCTCCATGTGAGACCACATCAGCCTGGACCTTATTGTCCATATTCCTATCAGCATTTTGGGCAAAGACATTCAACAAGTCTCTATGAAGTTCCAAACCTTGCCACATTTTTCTGTCTTCTTCTGGACCCTATGAAGTGTTCCAACCTCTGCCTGTTACCAGTTCCAAAGTTGCTTCCACATTTTTGGGTATGTTTTCAGCAACACCCCACTCCCAGTACCAATTAACTGTATTACTCCATTTTCACACTACTGATAAAGACATACCCCAAACTGGGAAGCAAAAGATATTTAATGGACTTACAGTTCCACATGGCTAGGGAGGCCTCAGAATCATGGTGGGAGGCGAAAGGAATTTCTTGCATGGCAGCAGGAAGAGAAAATGAGGAAGAAGCAAAAGTGTAAACCCCTGATAAACCCATCAGATCTTGTGAGACTTATTCACTATCATGAGAATATAAAGGGAAAGACTAGCCCCATGATTCAATTACCTCCCCCTGGGTCCCTCCCATAACACATGGGAATTCTGGGAGATACAATTCAACTTGAGTTTTGGGTGGGGACGCAGCCATATCAAGACCACTATTTGTGAGTATGCACGAACAGCTTGTATAAACTCTCGGACTTATTTTTCTTGCTCTACTTTATTCAGATAAGTTCTACAAAAAGAATATGATTTCTATAGGTCAAAAAGGTCAAAAGCATTAGGATCCATCAGGCTAGTAAGTACACTGAAATATAAGGTTTCTTGAGTACTGACAACTTTTTTCAATATTCAAACAAATGTTAGTAAACAATCACACATGCTTTCTTCGTCCATTTTCATGCTGCTAATAAAGACATACCCAAGACTGGGTAATTTATACAGGAAAGAGGATTAATGGACTCACAGTTCCACATGGCTGGGAAGGCTTCACAACTATGGCAGAAGGCAAGAAGGAGCAAGTTACATCTTACATGGATGGCAGCAGGCAAAGAGAGAGCCTGTGTAGGGAAACTCCCCCTTATAAAAACATCAGATCTCATGAGACTTTTCACTATCATGAGACCAGTATGGGAAATACCTGCCCCCATGATTCAATTACTACCCACAGGGTTCCTCTCACAACACATGGGAATTTTAGGAGCTACAATTCATGAGATTTGGGTGGGGACACAGCCAAACCACATCACATGCAAATTAATCTTCATAATTTTTATGATTTATAATTATATCACTAATAATGCTACATGCTCCTTGTGGATAATTGGAAAATATACTATAGGCAAAATTTAAAAACTTAAATCACTTAATATTACCAACTAGATATATCATTTTAGTGTATATTTGCAATGGACTGAACAATTATATCCCCCAAAAATTCGTAGTTTGGAATCCTATCCCCCAAGGTGATGGTGTGAGGAGATGGGCCTTTATGAAGTCTTTAGAAAATTATATTAGTGCTTTTATAAAAGGAACCCTAGATACATCCATCGTCCCTTCCACCACATGAGGATGCAATGAGAAGGTGCCATTTGTGAACTAGAAAACAGGCCCTCAAGACACTGAATCTGCCTAGGCTTCAATCTTGGACTTTCCATTCCCTAGAACTGTGAGAAATAAATTTATGCTCTTTATGAGCTACACAGTTTATGATATTTTATTATAGCAGCTTGAACAGACTAAGATAATATTTTTTTCTATTTTGTGAAATATAATTTAAAATTGTCACCATAAAGTGTTGTTTTCTTTAACCTCCTCCTTGCTCCTCTTTTTCTCTTTCAGTAAAAATGTCTGTGCTATGTGAAAAGATTAAAAAAATAAATGCAGGTAAGAAAATCATGTTCCATGGTTGATGATAGAACATAAAGCATTTTTTAAGCCACATAATTGTGACAACACTTTCTGAAATGACATTTGATAATTACTCATCAGAAACCTCCTACAAATAGGAGCCAATCAAAAGTCCATGCACTTAGTTTATTGTCTAGTCAAACTTGAGTCAATAAAGTTTTGGAAAACCTTTCTGAAATTAATTGCTCTAAGTCTTTTCTATTTTAAACCCATCAAAATGATGACAGTGGTGATAGTAACTTTACCAGGCAATAAATGTAAACCATGGTTTGTTTATTTTACTTATAAATAATAAATGCCTTCCTTTGTAATATAATTGTCAGTATGGGGCCATTTATTACTAAGCACTGAGATACAAAAGTTTTGTGAGCCAAAAGCAAAACAATCTGTGTGCTCTGCTGGTCAAATTACTTTTGAACATTCAATCGATTTCCTTAAATTTCAGAAAGCTTAATGAGTTATCAGAGTTATCAGAATCATAAAATGAACACATCCATCCAATTGCAAATACAATTTGAAAATAGAACCTTATCTTCACTTCACAAAGCTCATGTCCCTTCCCAGTAACTAATAACCTTACAGCCCTTTCCGTTCTTCAATTGTATTCTGACATCTGACACCAAAAATTAGTTCTGAACTTAATGTCAGTGGAATCTAACATGTAGTTTCTTCTTCTTTTTCTCATATTATATGTGTGAGTTTCATCCAAATTGCTCTACATAGCAGTAACCTATTCAATTTCATTGCTGAGTAGCATTCGCTTATACAAATATGCCACAATGTACACATTAATTCCAGTATGAATATGCTGCTGTAAATATTCTAGTATATGTCATTTGACCCACACATGCACTCATTCTTTTGAATATTTAGTTAAGAGTGAAATTGTTGAATCATAGGTTATGTTATATGCTCAACTTAGTAAATTCTGACAAAAAGTTTTCCAAACTAGTTGTACTAACTTACACCCCCAACAGCAGTACAAGAACGTCTTAGTTGCTTGACATATTTACCAAGATTTTTGTCAGCATTTTAATTTTATTTTTAAAAATACATTGTCAGTATTTTTAAATCTTAGTGATTATCAAGGGTGTATTTCATTTGAATTTTAATTATCATTTCCTGATAACTATCTGGGTTGAGAATGCTTTCACATTTGTTGGCCATTTTGTTGTTTTTGTAAAGTGTCTGCTCGTATATTTTTCTGTTTTCTATTGGGGTGTCAATCTTTTTTCATATTGATCTGGAAAAAGAGATTATTGTGGATTGTATGGTTTGCAAATATCTTCTCCCATTACACACCTTGACTTTTCACTGGTTCAATGGTGGCTCTTTATGAACAGATTTTCCTAACTTTAACGTAGTTCAGTAAATCAGTCATGATTTTTATATGTTTTATGCCTTGTATGTCCTATTTAAGAAATTTTCAGACATCCCCAAATCAAGGTTTTTTGTATATGTTGTGTTCGAGGTGCATTATTATGTCTCTTTTATATTGAGATGTATAACTCACCTGCAATTAACTTTTGTATATAAGTAATGGGTAATATTTAATACTTTTTTCTTTTTGGATGTCTAGTTTATCCAGGCTTTTATTTTTTTTAAGAATTTACTTGATCCACTGCCTAGCAGTACCACCCTTATCATAAATCTAATGTTTATAAATGTGTTAGTTTATAATTAGAATATATTCCATCCTGTTGGACAATCTGACTGTCCTTATAGAAACACCAAAATATTTTTAAATAATGTGGCTTTTCAATAAAACTTGCTATCCAGTAGCATGCATCTCTAATTTTGTTCTCCTTTAAGAATATATTTACTATGCTTAGCTCTTTATATTTCCATATAAATTTTAGAAATTGTATGTTAGTTTTCACCAAAAGACCTGCTAAAATTTTGAATGAGATTGCATTAAATTTATAGATCAACTCTGAGACTTTTTTTTTTTTTTTTACCATATTGAATCTTTCATTTCATGAACAAGGTAGTCTGTCAGGTAAAGCCCAAAAATGTCACCTGGGCTAATTTTCTGGGCCATCACCCTTCCTCCACTGTATACTAAAAATTATTCCGTCATAGGCATTTGTCTTATGGTCAGGACTGAAAATATAAAAATGCTAAAACTGAGCATATTCAGCCTCTGTTCAATATAATTGTGTTTTTAAGAAAACTTACAAGGGCAAACATCAAGTTACAAAATCTGTCATTTCAGTGGGTTAAAGGCTAAGAGAGTTTCAGATTTGCAATAACACAGTAATTTTCCCTGTTTTAATTTTAAATGTGAAAGGTATTTGTATAGTTCAAAATGTTGAACTATAAAAAGCAAACATCGTTATTAGGTAATCAGTTCTGTGATTACACAAAGCTTTTGATCAGGAATTACGGACTCAATTTTTCTACCACCATAAGCAATACAGCGTTAGCATAGTGCCTCTTATCAACTCTGTTATCCATTGAAATGGCAAACACAGACAAAGTCATTGGGGCGAAGCAACTTTGTTTCAAATGAAACATTTTTCTTAACATATTGTTAGCTTTTGATCTTGAAGTGTTATTTCATGCATATATTCAACAAATATTTATTGACTACTTACACCAATTCTAGAAACATGTCATAAAATGAAAACACAGTTACTAGTTTGGCTGAGAAGATAAAATTCACAGATGTGAACTTCATAAACATGAAAAAAAATCATGGTTTTCTTTGATTAAGTCACCTCACATTGGTCTCCTCCTTTTTTATTATTTAGGCTGCTTTATCCACTGCCATGGAAGTATGTTGTAATCATGCTTACCTCTATACTTGTACACAATGCCTCTCATTTCTACTTCCAAAAACAAAAAAATAATCCCACCATCATGTCTGAAATAATGAGTTCGACGAATCCACTTATAAGCATCCTCTATGCTGAGCTTCATTTCCCCATAACCACATACCAGAATGAGCTCATTATATTTACATGTAGCCTTGCCTACATTCTACGATTTCTATGTGGGTGCATAAGAAAGCTCTACAAACCAGAAACGCAGAATTGAATACGGACACTTTTTATCATCTTATTCCAATACTACCTCTCTAATGGTTTTCACCTTCACCATTACTTCTTTTTATCACCGAGTGATATGTATGTAAACAGAAACTGATACAAAAACTAGAGAAAGTCTTGACACCATGCTTTTTTAACTTCTGGTTCTCATTCCTTCCAACATTCAAACTGCATTTTCATTAATGGACACTGGGAGACACCTCGGTCTTTGACATAGACTAGCTAAGGATGATTTCTGTTATTTAAAATCAAATAATTCTACCTACTCTATGTTTCAGATATACTGAACTATAGTGTTTCTCTATGACCACTGTTTTTATACAAATGCATTATAGCACCTATAAAAGAGTTGTATTTTTCTTTGTTCATGATTCTCTATGCATCATAAAATTCTACTGAATTTCTTGAGGAAAATGATTAAGTCTGGTTAATTTCTGTGGCTTCAGCATATGCCACAGAATTCAGCAAATGTTTGTTTAACTGATGAATGAGTGGGTAAATGTATACCCACTCAATTTAAACTATTTTTACTGCAATCTTTCCTGATGTTTTTATAACGTTTTACTCCATGATTTGAGTAAAGAATATGTATCATCTGTTTTCCTCATCAAATAATATCTCGAAACATTTTTTTCTTTCATTGTATTTCCTCTTCTCTCTTTTCACTTCTTGGGCAAATACAAGTAAAAAATATTTCCGTCTTTTACAGGGATTCAAGCAGTGTTATATACAGAGGAAATAAACATAAAGAATTTATCAAATAATTCTTAGATAATTAGATAAGAACCACTGGATTTAAAACTACATAAGTATATAGTCATATTTTAGTTATTTATAAACACTTGAATGGATTCCATAAACTGCCTTGTCTAAGAAAACAGAGCTTATTCATAGGGTTGAGCTAAGATCGATAATCAGCCAAACTCAACAATTATAATCAGCGGAATGAGGGCAAAATATAGGCTTTCTTATAATGTTATTTTTAGTTGGTAGCTATGCTTTTTGCTTTAACTGTGCTTCATGTAAGTTATGCTTAAAACTTAATTTATGGCTTGATAGGTGACATGGTTTGGCTGTTCCCACCCGAATCTCATCTTGAATTCCCACATGTTGTGGGAGCAACTCAATGGGAAGTAATTAATCATGGGGGCAGGTCTTTCCCATGCTGTTCTCATGATAATGAATAAGTGTCATGAGATCTGATGGTACTATAAGGGGAAGTTTCCCTGCACAGGCTCTCTCTCTTTGCCTACTGCCATCCATGTAAGACATGACTTGCTCCTCCTTGCCTTCTGCCATGATTATGAGGCCTCCTCAGCTATGTGAAACTGTAAGTCCATTAAACCTCTCTTTCTTTTGTAAATTGTGCAGTCTCAGGTATATCTTTATCAGCAGCATGAAAACAACTAATACAGTAAATTAGTACCAGTAGACTGGGGCACTGCTAAAAAGATACCTGAAAATGTGGAAGCATCTTTGGAACTGGGTAGCAGGCAGAGGCTGGAACAGTTTGTAGGGCTCAGAAGAAGAAAGAAAAATGTGGGAAAGTTTGGAACTTCCTAGAGACTTGTGGAATGGCTTTGATCAAAATGCTGATAAGAATATGGACAATGAAATATAGGCTGAGGTAGTATCAGATGGAAATGAGGAACTTGTTAAGAACTGGAGCAAAGGTGATTCTTATCATGTTTTAGCAAAGAGACTGGTGGCATTTTGCCCCTTCCCTAGAGATCTGTGGAACTTTGAACTTGAGAGAGATTATTTAGGGTATCTGGTGGAAGAAATTTCTAAGCAGCAAAGCATTCAAGAGGTGACTTGGGTGCTGTTAAAGGCATTCAGTTTTAAAAGGGAAACAGACCATGAAAGTTTGGAAAATTTGCAGTCTGACAATGTGATAGAAAAGAAAATCCCACTTTCTGAGGAGAAATTCAAGCCATGTGCAAAAATTTGCATAAGTAACAAGAAGCCAAATGTTAGTCCCCCAAACAATTGGGAAAATGTCTCCAGGGCATATCAGAGGTCTTCATAGCAGCCTCTCCCATCACAGGCCCAGAGGCCTAGGAGGAAAAAATCGTTTCCTGGACCAGCCACTTGGTCTACGACTATGTGCAGCCTAGGTACTTGATGCCCTGAGTCCCAGCTGCTCTAGCTGTGGCTGAAAGGGGCCAATGCAGAGCTTGAGCTGTGGCTTCAGAGGCTGCAAGCCTCAAGACTTGGCAGCTTCCACATGGTATTGAGCCTGCAAGTGTACAGAAGTCAAGAATTGGGGCTTGGGAATCTCCACCTAGATTTCAGAAGATGTATGTAAATGCCTGGATATCCAGGAAGAAGTTTGCTGCAGGGGCAGGGCCCTCATGGAGAACCTCTGCTAGGGCAATGTGGAAGGGAAATGTGGGATGGGAACCCCACACAGAGTCCCCACTGTGACATGGGGCTCTGGGTGCCGGCTGCTTCAGCTTCAGCTGTGGCTAACATACAGCTCAGACTGTTACTTCACAGGGTGCAAGCCCCAAGCCTTGGCAGTTTACATGTGGTGTTGGGCCTGTGGGTACACAGAAGTCAAGAATTGAGGTTTGAGAACCTCAGCCTAGATTTCAGAGGATGTATGGCGATGCCTTGATGTTCAGACAGAAGATTGCTGCAAGGATAGGGCCCTCATGGAGAACCTCTGCTAGGGGAGTGTAAAAGGGAAACATGGGGTGGGAGCCCCCACACAGAGTCTCCACTTGGGCACTGCCTAGTGGAGCTGTGAGAAGAGGGTCACTGTCCTCCAGACCCCAGAATGGTAGATCCACTGACAGCTTGCACTGTGCATCTGGAAAAGCCACAGACACTCGTCACCAGCTCATAAAACCAGCTGGGAGGGAGGCTGTACCCTGAAAGCAAGAGAGGCAGAGTTGCTCAAGACCATGGGAACCCACCTCTTGCATCGGTGTGACCTGGATGTGAGACATGGAGTCAAAGGAGGTCATTTGGAGCTTTAAGATTTGACTGCCCTGATGGATTTTGGACTTATGGAGGCTGAAGCCCCTATGTTTTGGACAATTTTTCCCATTTGGAATGGCTGTATTTACCCAATACCTGTACCCCACTGTATCTAGGAAGTAACTAACTTGCTTTTGATTTTACAGGCTCATAGGCAGAAGGGACTCCAATGTCTCAGATGAGACTTTGGACTGTGGCCTTTTGAGTTAATGCTGAAATGACTTAAGACTTTGGGAGACTGTTGGGAAGGCATGATTGGTTTTGAAATGTGAGAACATGATATTTGGAAGGGGCCCAGGGCAGATGATATGGTTTGGCTATGTCCCCACACAAATCTCAACTTGAATTCCCACATGTTGTGGGAGGGGCCCAGTGGGAGGTAATTGAATCATGAGAGCAGGTCTTTCCCATGCCATTTTCATGGTAGTGAATAAGTCTCATGACATCTGATGATTGTATAAGAGGGAGTTTCCCTACACAAGCTCTCTCTCTCTTTGCTTGCTGCTGTCAATGTAAGATGTGACTTGCTCCTCCTTGCTTTGTGCCATGATTGTGAGGCCTCCACAGCCACATGAAACTGTAAGTCCATTAAGCCTCTCTTTCTTTTGTAAATTGTGCAGTCTCAGGCATGTCTTTATCAGCAGCCTGAAAATGGACTAATACAATAGGAAACATGAAATTAAGCTGCTCTTGTTCTGGAAAAGGAGGGAGACGGTGAATATACAACAGTGAATTGTCTCAACTAACACAAAAGAAGAGAGCAAAAAGAAAGCGGAGCTTATAAAAGGAGGAACTCAGATAACTGAAATCTGTAAAAAAATAGCAAATTAAAGTCAAGAAATAATTCTCTCTTAAATGGATTAAAAATCACAGGTAATGTGTTCATAAGTAGTCCATGGAGATTTGACCATTGTCAAGAACTGATTATTAATACTAGTTTGAGATAGGAAAGATTCAAAGGGCCCTGAGGTTGCCACTTACAATAAATTGAAATAAATTTCCTATATATTCTTCACAACTTATAAATGAGCATAGTCCTGCAGGCCAAATATGAGAAAACATTAGGTCAGGCATAAAAAAAACCAAATTGCAAGCATGAACAGTTTTCAATAATAACTGAAAACACAATTTAGTAACAATCCTTTGGGCTACTGATGCTTGCTGCCAAATTATGTGTCATTTGCATGGATCTCATTTTTTTATTGGAAGAGCTTTTTTATTGTTGATTTTTACATGGTAGAAGATAGATTTGTGGGTAAAGTTTAATTATTAAAAAAAAGTGTTGGAAAGGGATAAATGCTTAAAAAATAAGCTATCCAATGTGTCATGTGGGCATTATGAATATCTTAAAATGTACATTTGGAAAACCAGGAATAAAAGATTGGGGACAAGCATGATCAAAGGAATTTTACACTGAAATTTCCTATGAGGGCCTTATGTTTTCCTTTGCACTCAATATTCTTCATATATCTGCTATTTACAGCTGTGGGATCTGTGGGATATTATCAATGTTTGTTATTTGACCCTTCTTCTGGTTGCCATATTGTCAGCTATACTATTAACTACTACTACTAAATGACCTTACATGCCCCCAATAAAATATAATAAAAATGAAATATTCTGTCACTTCTCACCTCATTGTCCTTCTTCATCAATGTCTGCCATGATTAATGTGGTTCTTCTGCTTTTCTTTTATCCTGCCTTCACAGTCATGCAACCTGGTTCATCATGTTTCCTTGGGGTTCAACCCAGAATCTGGAACAGAGCACATGAATATAATAAATATGAATCCTCAGATTAAGATGATAAACTCAAGATTTAGATTAGATTAGATTAAGATGATAAGCTCTTCCTTCAGCACAAATTCCTTTAAAATATAAGAAAAGGGAAGATAAACAAAAATAAATAACATTTTATAACACTATTAGAAGAAAAGACAGTGCTGTCTGAGGAACAGAAAATGTGTAGATTACTGGAAAGATAGAAATTTAATAGATCACTTTCAGTTTCGGCAACATGGCTGACTAAGCTAATGTGGAATTCCTTAGAATGAAATGGACCCCTATGTTTCACCATATAAAAAAAGTAACTCAAGATGGATAAGGAATTAAATATAACACCTCAGGCTATAAAAATTCTTGAAACAAACTAGGAAATACCATGTTGAATTGGCCTTGGCAAAGAATTAATGACTAAGTCCCCAAAAGAACTTGCAACAAAAACAAAAACTGACAAGCAGGACCTAAACTAAAGAGTTTCTGCACAGCAAAAGAAACTATCAACAGAGTAAATAGGCAACCTACAGAACAGGAGAAAACATTAGCAAAATATGCATCCAACAAAGGTCTAATATCCAGAATCTATAAGAAACTTAAACAATTTGACAAACAAAAAACAAAGAACCCCATTAAAAAATGGTCAAAGGACATGAACAGACATTTCTCAAAAGAAGACATAAATGTAGCCAACAAATACGTGAAAAAAAGCTACACATCATGAATTATTACAGAAATGCAAATCAAAACCACAATGAGAACCATCTTATACCAGTCAGAAAGGCTATTATTAAAAATTCAAAAAATAACAGATGTTGGTGATGCTGCAGAGATAAAAGAATGCCTATATACCACTGCTGGGAATGTAAGTTAGTTCAGACACTGTGGGAAGCAGTTTGAAGACTTCTCAAAGAACTTAAAACAGAACCACTATTTGGCCCAGCAATCCCATTACTTGGTATATACCAAAAGGAAAATAAATAATTCTACCAAAAAGACACATGCACTCACAAGTTCATTATAGCATTATTCATAATAGCAAAGACATGGAATTAACCTAGATGCTTATCAATGGTGGACTGGATAAAGAAAATGTGGTATATATATACCAGAAAATGCTACACAGCCATAAATAGAAAGAAATCATGTCCTTTGCAGCAATATGCATGCAGCTAGAGGTCATTATCCTAAATGAATTAATGCATAAACAGAAAACAAAATACTGCATGATCTCACTTATAAGTGTAAGTTAGACATTGAGTACACATGGTCATAAAGACAAGAACAATAGAAACTGGTAACTACCAGAGAGAGGAGTGTGGGAGACAAAGGTTGAAAAACTGCCTATCACTACCTATCAGGTACTATGCTCTCTATCTGAGTGATGGGATCATTCATACCACAAACCTCAGTGACATGCAGTTTGCCCACAAACCTGTACATGTCCTCCCTGAACATAAAAGTTGAAATATATATGGTATATATATAGACACAGTCATTAAAATATATGTATTTATAAAATATATAATATATATTATAAAATGTTTATAATATATATTATATATTATATTTACATAAATATATCATTTACAGTTATAACAATACATAAATAAATATGTATTACACATAACATATAATATATATAAATATAGAGAGAGAGACACAGTGGTTAAAATATTTCTAAAAAATTACATATGTCCATCTGGGCATGGTGGCTCACGCCTGTAATCCCAGCACTTTGGAAGGCCGAGGCAGGTGGATCACGAGGTCGAGAGATCAAGACCATCCTGGCCAACATGGTGAAACCCTGTCTACTAAAAATACAAAAATTAGCTGGGTATGGTGGTGTGCACCTGTAGTTCCAGCTACTTGGGAGGCTGAGGAAGGAGAAGCGCTTGAACCCAGGAGGCGGAGGTTGCAGTGACCCGAGATCATGCCATTGCACTCCAGCCTGGGTGACAAGAGCATGACACCATCTCAAAAAAAAAATTATATATGTCCATAGCTCAGATAGCTCAGCTCAAAAAACAAAACAAAAAAAAAAAGAAAGAAAGAATTTCCAAGTGCTAGAATAAAAGAAGACACTGCTAACAGGAGAGTTCATCTTTTTTTCCATGATTATCAAATCAATGCACAGGGATTTTAAGAAAACATTATGAAACAATATAATACAGTGATTGAAAAATCCCTGTTATTCCTGGTCATCAGAAATAAATTCTTTTGGCAGTTTTGGAAATATTCCATTTGATCTTATTCTTTCCTGCATTTGGTAACATTTCTATTTATTTACTAACATACAATAATGCATGATTTATAATCCCAGATATGTAAAATTTGTAAATAGACAAAACCTAGCCTAATTACAAAAACTAAAAACTGATTCCAAAAATAGCTCATGCAATGTACAATTCTTTGCAACCTACTTTTTTCACTTAGTAATTCTTGGATTTCTTCTATATCTGTCCCTATAGAACTACCTGATTATCTTAACTGTTATTTAATATTTGCAGGAAAGATTAGGAATCAACTTTTCATTTAATTTAAAACTCACAATAGATTTCCTGTGCAATACTTTCACTGGCCAAATTAGAGTTAATGTTCTGAAAATTATTCAGCAAATCATTTCTCATTTTCATATAATTACATTTATCACTTCAGTTATCTCTTGTGAAGTTTTCAAGTGAAACAACTTCTCGGAAGGCATATGTAAAAATTTAAATTGTATATACTTTAAAGTTCTTTTTAAAATAAACTTTTTATGAAAGTAAAATATACATACATAAGAGTACGTAAATTGTAATTGTTCAGTGAAGTGAATATTTTTTAACTTTTAAGTTCAGGGTATAAGTGCAGGTGTGCTACATAGGTAAACTTGTGTCATGGAGTTTGTTGTACAGATTATTTCATCACCCAGGTATTAAGCTTAGTACCCCTTAGTTATTTTCCTGATTCTCTTTCTCCTCGCCCCCTCCACCCTCTGAAAGGCCCCAGTGTGTGTTATTCTCCTCCATCTGTCCATATGTTCTTATTATTTAGCTCCCACTTATAAATGAGAACATGAAGTGATTTTTTACCATGTAAACATTATCATGAAAACTGTCATTCCTATAAAGAAATAGAATATTACCAGCACCCTCGGAACTCCTACCCAGTTACCAGAAAGTTAACTATGAAAGTAAAAGCACTCAATTAGTCTTGTCTGCAATCATTTTTAATTTGAACATCTGGGAACAGAAAGCAAAAGGAAGCTTCTGGCTGCATTTCTATTTTGATATACATACATGAATTAATGAATAGCTTTTAAAATTGCCTGGAAGAATTATTCTCAGGGCTCACTATAAAGTAGGAAGAATCACAGTAGCCACAGAGAGAGAGAGAGAGAGAGAGAGAGAGAGAGAAGAGAGAGAGAGAGATTGATGCCAGACCCATGAGGAACAACCTATGATATAACATTTTAGAAGCAAGAATAGGCATGTAGTCTAATAATCTTCAAGCAGTTTTAGTTGATGCACTATCCTTCCAATGAAATTGTATTATATGTGTAGAAGATGAGATACAGCATTCAGTTCAAGAAGGTACATGGACTACATGTACATCTGTCTCTCATTACTTCTGCAATTATCTTAATTCCACAATAAAAGAATTAAAAAGGAAATGAAAGCCACCCATTTGGAAAACTTTTCTTTATCTGCACAATGTGAGAGCTGAACTAGATGTTCTCTAATATCCTATCTTGCTTTAATATTGAATTTTATTATTTTTCTAATGCTATGATTTATATTCATATTGCTATGGAAAATAAGTGGGGATTATTTTTTGTGAATAGGTAAAAGCATTGGTGACAGGGGAAAGGTGTGAGGAAATATTGTGTTGAATCATTTTATGGGCATGGTCAAAAAAATCTTATGAGTAAGTTTTTCACACATTAAAATCAAAATTAAAAGCATTCATATTTACCTGACAATGAAAGTAAAATTTCTAATTTTCAAAGTAGCCTGAATCTATCTATCCATTTATCCATTAATTACCGAAAAAGAAATCTCAGTGTTGACCGTGCAGGGAACTTAACGATACAGATAAGAGAGGTCAATTGGGAGAGTAATGAAGGGAAATGAGTGAGAGAGAGAGAGAAAGGGAGAGACAGAGAGAGAGACAACTTCCCTAAAATATATTTTAAGTATGTGTCAAATGCATTTATTCTAGTTCACAGTAGAAAGTGTCTCACGATCTAAAAATCCTATGTCATTCTCTCTTTTCCCAGTAATCTGTATACTCATTGCTTTATAGGAATTATATAATTTATTCATCATAAGGGCCAATGAAATAGCTTTTGCATTTCATTGTTGAATAAACTAGAGGAGTACCATCGACAAAATGGCAGAATAAAACTTTTCAACATTTGTCCCATTGCAGAAACATAAATTTGAACAATTATCCATGCACAAAAGTTAAGGAATGTAGGTGAGAGATTACAGCACACAAAAAAAGAAAAGACACATTGAAGAGAGCAGAAAGTACACATTGACATTACCTGTGTCACCCCTCCCCCAAGCCCTGGCAGCCATATGGTAAGAAATACTCTCCATGTGGGGGATGGAGAGTAAAGTCAGCACTTCACTTTGCCAGGAACTCCAGCACCAGGCCCACACAAGTGAATCTTGATGTCAGTCTAGCCCCAGTAGACCCAGTCTCCAGGCAAGCTCCTGCAGCCCCAGACTCCAGAGAGCACCCACAAACACAGACTGGAGGCCAGCCCCCATGGATACAGGTTCCAGCCTGCCCAGGCTCCAAGCTGCCCCCTATGGCCCCCATTTAGTAGACCCAGGTTCCAGGCCTGCTCCAGTAAACAGTGGCTATAGCGTGCCAATATAGCCACTGCAGACCCAGGATCCAGGCCTGCCACATCACAAGGCCGGCTCCCAAGTCCCAGACTCCAGACAAGCCTTCATGTTCCCAGGTTCCAGGTCCACTCCAGCAGATCCAAGATTTGGTCCACCTGATAGACTCCAATACTGGTTTAGCCCCTGTGGTCCCAGGCTCCAGTACTGCCCCTGCAGATCTTGGCTCCATGTTGGCCCCTGTGGACTGAGGACCCAGTCTCAACCTCTATGGACTCAGGCTCCAGGTCAGCTCCAATTGACTCAGGATTCAGGCCCAATTCTATAGGCCTAGGTTTCAGACCTACCCCCATGGTTCCAGGCACTAAACCTACCTGCACAAACCCAGGTACTAGGCCAGTGCCTTGTTGGACTCAGGACCAGGACCATCCCTGTGCCAGAGTGACCTTTATAGAGTCAGGTTCAAGTCCTACACCAACACCAGGTCAGTTCCTATGGATCCAGACCTCAGGCCAGCCCCCATAGACACAGGTTCCAGGCTCACCCATGCTGACCCAGCCAGAAGGCCCACCCCACTGGACACCAGAGCCTTCCCAGCCCTAAACCAAGGCTTCAGACATGACTCCACAGACCCAGTGACCAGGCTAACTCCAGTGCATCCAGGCACCAGGACTGCTCACCTGCTAACCCAGATAGCAGGCCAGCCTGCCCAAGGACTTAGTAGCAAGCTTGCCTGCAGATCACATGAGATGGCCCACCAAGAATCACTTCACCAAGCTGACTGGTAAAGAACGTTTCCTGAGAAAGCCAGTCTGTAAAGTGACTACTTTTTCAAATGTGCAGACTTCAATGCAAGGCCACAAAGGTCATGAATAATCAGGGAACATGACACCATCAAAGGAAAAAAAATACGAACAAATAACCCTATAGAAATGAATATCCATGAACATCCTGACAAAGAATTTAGAACTGAATTACTCAACTTAAAGAAGCTCAGTGGCCCCCAAGAGAACACAGACAACTAAATAAAAACAGGAAAATAGTGCACAAATAAAACTAGAAGTTCAACAAAGAGATAGAAAAAATAAAAAGAAACCAAACAAATTCTGCAGCTAAAAATGACTGAACTGAAAATTTCCATAGGGAGCTTCAACAGCAGGCTATATCAAGCAGAAGAAAGAATTAGTGAACTCAAAGACAGATTATTTGAGATTACCCAGGCAGAGAAATAAAAAGAAATAATAATGGAAAAAAGTGAAGAAAGCCAATGGGACTTATGGGACATTATCAATCAAGCCAATACAAATATGGAATTCACAGAAGTATTAGTCAAACAGAAAGGGCAAATATCATATATGAAGTAATAATGACAGAAAACTTCCTAAATTTGGAGAGGAAAATGAATGTTTAGATCTATGAAGTCCAAAGAATCCCAAATAGATTAAATATCAAGAGATTTTTACCAGGACACATTATAATCAAACTCTCAAAAGTCAAAGACAAAGAAAGAATTTTGAAAGCAGCAAGAGAAAAGTCATCAAATACAAGGGAACATTCATAAGACTATCACGGATTACTCAGCAGAAACCCTGAAAGCCAGAAGAGAGTGGAATGATATGTATGAAGTACTGAAATTAGAAAAACAAACAAACAAACAAAAAACTGCCAACAAAGAAAACTACTACAAGAAAACGTAGAAAAAAATTCTTGACATTGGTCTGGGCAATAATATTTTGGATATGACACCAAAAGTACAGGCCACAAAAGCAAAAATAGGCAAATGGGATTGCATCAAATTAAACAGTTCTGCATGACAAAGGAAGCAATCAAAAGTGAAGAGACAACCTACAGAAGGGAAAAAAATGTTTGCAAATAATATATCTGATAAGGGGCTAATATCCAAAATATATAAAGTACCCAAACAACTCAAGAGCAAGAAAACAATCCAATTTAAAAATGAGCAAAGAACCTGAATAAACATTTCTCAAAAGAAGACATACAAGTGGCCAACAGATATATTTAAAAATGTTCAACATACCTAGCCATCAAGGCAATGCAAATTGAAACCACAATGAGATACCACCTCACACCTGTTAGAATGGCTGTTGTCTAAAAGATAAATGATTTTTAAAAAATAGCAAAAATGTGGATAAAAGGAAACCCTGGTACACTGTTCGTGGAAACTTAAATTAGTATATCTATTATGGAAAACAGTATAGAGGGTTGCCAAATAATTAAAAATAGAATTACCATATGATCCAGCAATTCCCTTCCTGTGTATATACCTAAAGGAATTGAAAACAGTATGATGAAGAGATATCTGAACTTCCATGTTTATTGCATCATTATTCATAATATCCAAGATTAGAAATTAACCCAAGTTTCCATCAAGGGATAAATGGATAAAGCAAATGCAGTATATATACACAATAGAACACTCTTTAGTTTTTATTGAAAAAGAAATCTATGTTTGACAACATGAACAAATTTGTTGGACATTATGCTATGTGAAATAACCCAGGCACAGAAAGACAAATACTTCAAAATTGTATTTATACGTGGAATCTAAAAATATCCAACTCACAGAAGCAAAGAGTAGCATGGTGGCTGCAAAGGGCTAGGGAAGGGGATGAGGAGAGTAAGAGATGCTGGTCAAAGGGTACAAAGTTTCAGTTAGACATGATGATAAGTTCTGGAGATCGATTGTACAGTATGGTGACTATAGTTAATAATGTATTGTATACTTGAAAATTGCTAAGAGAGTAGATCTTAAATGCTCTCACCAGAAAAAAATGATAACTATATTAGATGATAGATGTGTTAATTAGTTGGATTTAATCATTTCCCAAAGTATGCATATATCAAAACATCACATTGCATCCTGTAAATGTACAAAAACTTTTATATGTCATTTATACTTTAATAAAACTGAGGGGAAAAGTTAAAAAGAAACTGAGGTATGATTTCCAGGATCATTAGGATGAATGGCAGAGGCAAGGAGAAAATCCATGGATGTACTCCTGTGAAGGTCACATTGTTATCCTCTTTGATACGTTGTCTTTTGCATTCCCAGTCAACAGACCACTCCCTGTGATTACTGAGGAGGGGCAAAATGAGAATATTTTACAGGCACTCTAGGAAATGATACGAAATGTCAATGGAATAATAGTAATTATTTATTTTCACTTATTTATTATTTTGAGATGGAGTCTCACTCTGTTGCCCAGGCTGGAATGCAATGGTGGGATCTTGGCTCACTGCAACCTCCGCCTCCCAAGTTCAAGCGATTCTCCTGCCTCAGCCTCCTGAGTAGCTGGGGTTACAGGCACACACCACCATGCCTGGCTAATTTTTGTATTTTTAGTAGAGACAGGGTTTCACCATGTTGGTCAGGCTGTTCTTGAACTCCTGACCTCGTGATCCACCCGTCTCAGCCTCCCAAAGTCCTGGACCTCCACCTCCTGGGTTCAAGTGATTCTCCTGCCTCAGCCTCCTCAGTATCTGGGGTTACAGGCACATGCCATCACGCCCAGCTAATTTTTGTAGTTTTAGTAGAGACAGGGTTTCATCATGTTGGCCAGGCTGTTCTTGAACTCCTGACCTCGTGTGCCGCCCACCTTGGCCTCCCAAAGTCCTGGGATTACAGGCGTGAGCCACCACGCCCAGCCAATAGCAATTATTTATAATTTAAAGGTAATCCTTCCTGTACTCTATTCTTTAAACATTCCTTTTTAACAAAAATGAATATTTATTTAGAATGAGGGAAATCACAAAAATTACACATTTCAAAAAGCTGACAACACAAACATCATGCCTGAAAAAATAACAAAATATTTTATAAATTGTTGTTATGGATCTTCTGTTGCCATTTATCTACAATACATTTTTAAAGACTTTATATTTTTAGAACAGTTTTAGTTTATAGGAAAATTGAGAAGAAAGTACATAGAAATCCCATTTAGCTCCTACCTCCACACATGCATATAGCCTTCTCCATTATTAATATCCCCCACCTGAGTGGTATATTTGTATAATTGATGAATCTACACTGACACATTATTACCACCTAAAGTCTATAATTTACATAAGAATTTACTCTTGGTGTTATGCATTCTATGGGTTTGTATAATGGTGTGTATCCATTATAGTATCATACAGAATATTTTATTTTATTTAACTTTTTATTTCAATAGGTTTGGGGGTACATATAGTTTTTGTTTACATGGGTAAGTTCCTTAGTGGTAATTTCTGAGATTTTGAGATATTAGTGCACCCGTCACCTGAGCAACACACACTGTATCCAATGTGTAGTCTTTTATCCCTCACACTTTTCCCAACCTTCCCCCCAGGGTCTTCAAAATTTATTATATCATTCTTATGCCTTTGTGTCCTCATAGCTTAGCTACCACTTTTAACTGAAAATATACAATATTTAGTTTTCCATTCCTGAGTTGCTACTTCACTTGGTGTAATGGCCTCCAGCTCCATCCAAGTTGATGAAAAATATATTATTTCTTTTTTATGGCTGAGTAGTATTCTATTGTGTACATATACCAAATTTTCTTTATCCACTAATTGGTTGATGGTCACTTAGATTGGCTCCATATCTCTGCAATTGTTAATTGTGCTGCTATAAATATGCATGTGCAGGTGTCTTTTTCATGTAATGACTTCTTTTCATTTGGGTAGATACCCAGTAGTGAGATTGCTGGATTGAATGGTAGTTCTACTTTTAATTCTTTAAGGAATCTCCATAATGTTTTCCATAGTGGTTGTACCAATTTACATTCCCACTAGCAATGTAAAATTGTTCCGCTTTCAACACATCCATGCCAACATCTATTGTTTTCTGACTTTTAAATTATGGCCATTCTTGCAGAAGTAAGGTGGTATCTCATTGTGGCTTTAATCTCCATTTCCCTGATGATTAGTGAGGTTGAGCATTTTTCATAAGTTTGTTAGCTGTTTGTATGCCTTCTTTGAAAAATGTCTATTTTCAAGTAGACATTTTGAAATGTCTATTTTCAAGTAGACATTTTGAAATGTCTATTTGAAATGTCCTTTGCCCACTTTTTCATTAGATTATTTGCTTGTTTTCTTGCTAATTTGTTTTGAGTTCCTTGTAGCTTCTGGATACTAGTCCTTTGTTGGATGCATAGTTCATGAATATATTTTCCCACTCTGTGGGTTGTCTGTTTATTCTGATGACTATTTCTTTTGCTGTGCATAAGCTTTTTAGTCACACTTGTTTATTTTTGTTTTGTTGCATTTGCTTTTGGGGTCTTAGTCATGAATTCTTTGCCTAAGTCAATGTCTAGAAGAGGTTTTTTTTAATGTATTTTCTGGAATTTTTATGTTTCAGGTCCCAGATTTCAGACTGTTATCCATCTTGAGTTGATTTTTGTATAAGGTAAGAGACAGGGATTCAGTTTCATTTTTCTACACGTGACTTGCAGGTTTTCCCAGTACCATTTATTGAATAGAGTGTCTTCTTCCCTAATTTATGTTTGTGTGCTTTGTCAAAAATCAGTTGGCTGTATTTGGCTTTATTCCTGGGTTCTCTGTTCTGCCTATTTTTATACCAGTACCATTCTGTTTTGATAACAATAGCCCTGTAGGATAATTTGAAGTCAGGTATGTGGGCTCTTTTTTTGGTTCCATATGAATTTTAGGATTGGTTTTTCTAGTTCTGTAAAGAATGATGATGATATTTTGATGGGAATTGCATGGAATCTGCAGATCACTTTGGGCAGTATGGTCATTTTCACAATACTGATTCTTCCCATCCATGAGCATGGGATTTGTTTCCATTTGTTTGTGTCATCTATTATTTCTTTCAGCAGTGTTTTGTAGTTTTCCTTATAGAAATCTTTTACCCCCTTGGTTAAGTACATTTCTACATATTTTAGCTTTCTATAGCTGTGGTAAAAAAGATGGAGTTCTTGATTTGATTCTTGATGGTTGTTGTACAGCAGTGGTACTGATTTATGTGCATTGATTTTTATATCCTGAGGATTTACTGGATTTATCAGATCTAGGAGCTTTTTGGATGAGTCTTTAGGGTTTTCTAGTTGTACAACCATATCACTGGTGAACAGCAACAGTTTGACTTGCCCTTTTCCAATCTGGATGCTCTTTATTTCTTTCTCTTGTCTGATTGCTGTGAATAGGACTTCCAGCACTATGTTGAAGTAGTGAAAGAGGGCATCCTTGTCTTGTTCTTGTTCTCAGGGGGAATGCTTTCAACTTTTCACCATTTGATAAGATGTTGGCTGTGGGTTTGTCACATATGGTTTTCATTACTTTGAAGAAAGTCCCTTCTATACCTATTTTGTTGAGTAATTTTGATCATAAAGATTACTGGATTTTATTGAATGCATTTTCTGTGTCCATTTAGACAATTACATATTTTTAAAATTCTGTTTATGTAGTGCATCACATTCATTGACTTAACATTTGTTAAACTACACCTGCATTCCTGGGATGAAACCCAGTTGATTATGATATTTTACCTTTTTGATGTGCTGTTGGATTCCGTTAGCTAGCATTTTGTTGAAGATTTTTGCATCTATGTTCATCGGGGTTATTGGTCTGTAGTTTTCTTTTTTTTGTTATGTTCTTTCTTGGTTTTGTTATTAAGGTGATACTGGCTTCATAGAGTGATTTAGGAAGGATTCCCTCTTTGTCTATCTTTCAGAATAGTGTCAATAATATTGGTACCATTTCTTCTTTGAATGTCTGGTAGAATTCAGCTGTGAATCCATCTGGTCTGGGAATTTTTTGGTAGGCATTTTTTTTTATTACTGATTCAATCTCACTGCTTGTTAATGTTCTGTTCAGGGTTTCTATTTTTTCCTGATTTAATCTAGGAGGATTGTATATTTCCAGGAATTTATCAATTTCCCCTAAATTTTCTAGTTAGTATGCACAAAGGTGTTCATAGTAGTCTTTAATGATCTTTTGTATTTCTGTGGTATCAGTTGTAATATCTCCAGTTTCACTTCTAGTTGAGTTTATTTGTATCTTCTCTCTTCTTTTCCTGGTTAATCTTACTAATGGTCTATCAATTTTGTTTATCTTTTTGAAGAACTAGATTTTTGTTTCATTTATCTTTTGTATTTTTTTGTTTCAATTAGTTTTGTTTAGTTCTGCTCTGATCTTTATTTTTTTCTTCTTCTTTTGGGTTTGGGTTTAGTCTATCCTTGTTTCTCTAGTTCCTTGAGGGATGACATTAGATTGTCAATTTGCACTCTTTCAGAGTTTTTATGTAGGCTTTTAACATTATAAACTTTCCTCTTAGCACCACTTTTGCTGTATTACAGAGGTTTTGATAAGTTGTCACTATTATCATTCATTTCAAAAAATTTTTAAATTTCATATTGATTTCATTGTTAACTCAAAAATCATTCAAGGGCAGATTATTTAATTTGCATGTGTTTGTAGAATTTTGAGAGTTCCTTTTGGAGTTAATTTCCAGTTTTATTCCACTGTGGTCTGAGAAGATACTTGATATGATTTTGATCGTCTTAAATTTATTGAGACTTGTTTTGTGGCCTATCATATGTTCTGTCTTGGAGAATGTTCCATGTGCTGATAAGAAGAATATGTATTCTGCAGTTTTTTGGGAAGAATGTTCTATAAATATGTTAAGTTCATTTTTTTAGGGTATAGTTTAAGTCCATTGCCTCTTCATTGACGTTCTGTCTTGATGACCCGTCTAGTGCTGTCAGTGGAATATTGAAGTCCCCACTATTATTGTGTTGCTGTCTATCTCATTTCTTGGGTCCAGTAGTAATTCATTTATAAATCTGTGAGCTCCAGTGTTAGGTGCATATAAATTTAGGATTGTAATGTCTTCTTGTTGGACTAATACTTTTATCACTATATAATGTCCTTGTCTATTTTTATTTTTGTTGCTTTAAAATCTGTTTTGCCTTATACAAGAACACTTACTCCTGATACCTTTTAGTTTCCATTTGCATAGAATATCTTTTACCACCCCTTTACCTTAAATTTCTATGAGTCCTTTAGTGTTGGCTGAGTTTCCTAAAGATGGCAGATATTTGGTTGGTGGTTTTTAAAAATCCATTCTGCCATTCTGTATCTTTTAAATGAAGCATTTAGGCCATTTACATTCAACATTAATATTGAGATGTGAGATACTGTTCTATTCATCATGTTAGTTGTTATCTAGATACTTTTTTTCTCTCTCTCTCATTGGGTTATTGTTTTATAGGCCCTGTGAGATTTTTGCTTTAAGGGGGTTCTATTTTGGTGTATTTTGAGTTTTTGTTTGAAGATTTAGAACTTCTTTCAGCATTTCTTGTAGTGCTGGTTTGGTAGTGGCAAATTCCCTCAGTATTTGTTTGTCTGAAAAAGACTTTATCTTCCCTTCATTTATGAATCTTAGTTTTGCTGAATACAAAATTCTTGGCTGACAATTATTTTGTTTAAGGAGGCTAAAGATAGGACCCCAATTCCTACTGGCTTGTAAGGTTTCTGCTGAGAAATCTGCTGTTACTCTGATAGTTTTCCCTTTGTAGGTTACCTGATGCTTTTGTCTCATAGCTCTAAAATTCTTTCCTTCATGTTGACTTTAGATAGCTTGATGACTATGTGCCTTGCTGATGATTTTTTTGCAAGAAATTTCCAAGGGGTTTTTTGAGCTTCTTGTATTTGGATATGTACATTTCTAGCAAAGCCAGGAATGTTTTCCTCAATTATTCCCTCAAATAAGGTGTCTAAACTTTTAGACTTTTTTCTCCCTCAGGAATGCCAATTATTTTTAGGTTTGGCTCTTTTACAGAATCCCATATTCCTTAGTGATTTTGCTCATTTCTATTGATTCTTATTTCTTTATATTTGTCTGATTGGGTTAATTCAAAAGCCTTATCTTTGAGCTCTGAAATTTTTTCTTCTACTTGTTCTAATCTATTGTTGAATCTTTCCACTTCATTTTGTATTTCCCTAAGTGTATCTTTCATTTCCATGTCTGATTTGTTTTTCTTTATGATATCAATTGCAGGGGTCTGGCTCGCAGACCCTGACCCAGTGACAGATGAGAGACATACACTGACACAGATATTCTGCCTGTCGGTCTGGCTAAGGGGCTCTGCCCTAAGTCTGGAGCATCGCCTCAATAAGCCGGTGAAGTTTGCATTATTTAGTACAGATTAAATGACAAAGGCTTTGAGTCAGCACACTTGTGGGTAATTAATCTGGTTGCCCTCTCCCAAGAGAGCCATCCTGCCCACGAATGATCAAAGGTTAGTCTTAGCACCACATGAGTAAACATTATTTAGATAAACTCCCTTACATTCCTTTGCACCTAGTTTAAGCTATTTACTCAAGGTAAGGATTAGGCTGCCTTCAGCCAGATCTATTACTCAAGCTATGCAAACTTCCCGGCCTTCCGAGAAGGTTTGTATCTATATCCTATAACTTCATCTTACAATTTTTCCAACCACACTGACTGATCCCCTACAATGAATCTCTCTGGAAAATTTTTTATTCATATGCTAGATTGCTTTTTAAATTACTGTATGTTGGCTTTCACCCTTCTCTAATATCTCCTTGAATAGCTTAATAATCAGCCTTCTGAGCTGGGCGCACTGGCTCACACCTGTAATCCCAGCACTTTGGGAGGCTGAGGCAGGCGGATCACGAGGTCAGGAGATTGAGACCATCCTGGCTAACATGGTGAAACCCCTTCTTTACTAAAAATACAAAAAATTAGCTGGGCATGGTGGTGAGTGCCTGTAGTCTCAGCTGCTCGGGAGGCTGAGGCAGGAGAATGGCATGAACCCAGGAGGCAGAGCTGGCAGTGAGCTGAGATCGCGCCGCTGTACTCCAGCCTGGGTTACAGAGCAAGACTCCATCTCAAAAAAAAAAAAAAAAAAAAATCAGCCTTCTGAATTCTTTATGTGGTATTTTAAAGGTTTCTTGTTGGTTTGGATCTATTGCTGGGGAGCTAGTGTGATTTTGTGGGGGCTCCTTCTCATTTGGGTAGACTATTTCTTTAAATTGTTCTTAAGTTTATTTTTTATTTTATTTTTTACTTCTATTTTCCCTCTTAAAAGAATCTGACTTTAATGTTTATATATTTTTTGTTTTTTGTTTGTTTGTTTGTTTTTGTTTTGAGATGGTGTCTCATTCTGTCACCCAGGCTGGAGTGCAGTGGTGCGATCTCAGCTCACTGCAAGCTCTGCCTCCTGGGTTCACGCCATTCTCCTGCCTCAGCCTCCTGAGTAGCTGGGACTACAGGCACCCACCACCGTGCCCAGCTAATTTTTTGTATTTTTAGTAGAGACGGGGTTTCACTGTGTTAGCCAGAATGGTCTCGATCTCCTGACCTCATGGTCCGCCCACCTCAGCCTCCCAAAGTGCTGGGATTACAGGAGTGAGCCACCAGGCCTGGCCTAATGTTTATAGTTTTTTATAGCCTAATTTGATTATTGGTGCTTTTAGTAGTGAATACTCTGTTTGAGTTCCTTAGTTATAAAGACTCTTTGTGCACTGGCTTTCCCAGATGCTAGCTGTAGTAGTTATGTACTTGGTGTGTGGGCCAGTTCACTGTCTCCAATGGAGGTGGAATGGCAGGGATCTCTTGAAGTATATCTCATTCTCTCATAATGTACACTTTATTTATTGATTTAATTTTTCCCTTGTATTTTATTTACTAAGTTTATTATTCAGGTTTCAGATCAGTAGGGGCAGTATCCCCGGGTAGGCACCAGTTATAGCTAAAGCAGTTTGGTAGATGTAATACCCAATGCTGGGCAGAGGTCCCAGCCTTGATGAAGGTGGTCAGGGAGCTCTCAATTAGATGTGCAAAGGCTTTATCATGGTGAAGGGTGGGAGCTACCTCAGCTCCCCTGCCAGGCCAGCCGGAAACCTATCCACCTCACAGTCTCATTCCTGACCCAGTGTTCTGGCTATTCAGATCAGTCAGGCACCTCTCTTCATCGGAAGAAAAGGTAATGTTCCAAGTAGGGAGGAACTGTGGCTCTGCCTCTCGTGCAGACCTGAATCTAGGGAATGTTCCTCCTGGGGGGCTGCAATCACCCTGAATTATTCTGGGAAGGTTGTCTATAGGTGCATCCACACTGCATTCCTGTAGAAGAAGCCCCAGCTGTGTCTACAGTGGTATACCAGGAGGGAACAAGGATCCCTTCCTCAAGATCCTTCATGATCATAGAGGCTGCCTGCATATTGGTGTAGAGCTGCAGACCTTCCCCACTGCACCCAGCACCACAATTGTGTCTCTGCTGTAAGAAACTCCCCACCAGTGGAAAGATCCGGGACTCAAGGTTTGCTGTTTAGATTATTTTGTCTCACACGCTATTCCCTTGATGTGGTGCTCTCCCCCTTCTCCTAGGAATGTGACTTCCAAAGAGCCAGACTAAAGTGATTGTTATTGCTTTTCTGGGTCTAGCCACCCAGTGGGGCTACCAGACTCTGGTCTGGTGCTGGGGAATGTCTGCAAGAAATCCAGTGCTGTGACCGGTCTTCAACTTTCCCAGAAGTGGATACCAGCACCAGCTCTGATGGAGGGGGCAGGGGAGTGACATAGACTCTTTTTGAGATTCCTTGGTTATAGATAGGCTTAGTATACAGGCTTTCGCAAATGCTGGTTATACTAAAAGTGAACTTATCATGTGAACAGACTCAGGACTTCTGGTTAGTCAGGATGTTGCAGGCAGTGATGATAGCTGAGGTCATACAGCCATTTTCTTCTTCCTAGGGGCAGTGTTATTCTATCTGGAGGTTCTGTAAAGGCCTGTGTTGGTTAACCTTCAGCCAGAAGGTGATGCTTGCAAAAGAGGACCAGCTACAGTAGTAGCAGTAGGATTAGAGCTTGCGCTAGGTTGCCTAGGGGAAGTATTCTGGTTTCTCAGGTGATGGGCGGGCTATAATGCTCTCAAAATTTTATGCCCTTTGTGTTAAATTACCAGGATGGGTGGAGAAATATCACCAGGTGAGGCCATGGTTAGGTGGGTCTGAGCTCTGACTCACCTTGGGTAGGGCAGGCCATGGCCCCAGTGAGGCACTGTAAGTGGTTCTCAAGCCACTTGGGTAATATTCCAGAGGGGAGTATAACTGCCTCTGCTGCACAGAGAGTTTGCAAAGGGAATGGGGAGTAGCAGGCAGCGGTAAGCCTCGCCCAGCTCCCACGCAGTTCGTGAGGCTGGTCACACTCCTGCAGTGCTCTGTTAAAAGTGCTGGGTTTAGATCCAGGCAGTCTGTGCACAGAACTCAAACCTTCCCCAGGCCATAAGCTTCCCTGCAGAGATAGCAATCACAGCTTTCAAGCATGACCCATCTGCCCACAATGCTCGGTGTCCAGCTCCTGCACTTGTGTCTGAAGCGCACTTCCTACTCCCCCCACCAGGTTGTGTTCAGAGGAGTTCATCCCCACTTGGGATTATGGGATTATATCACAAAATTCAGTTGGAAGCTTCTTTCACACTATGACCCCTCCCTCCCTTGAGCTGGAAGGAGTCCCAGGGTGAGTTGCTCTGCTCCCTAAATCCGTTCCTGCTCTGGGTACAGTTAAGGTCTTCTCCCATGGCCTGAAGCTTCAGAATCCCCACTGAACATATGTGCTTGCAGGCAGGCTCTCCCCACCTCACACTCTAAGAACTTCCTGTTTTTCACCTGTCTCATGGAGTAAGCTGCAGCCTGCCATTTCTTTTATACGGTCTGTGGATTCTTTTGGTTTTCCTGTTAAGCTCCTGTGTTGGTTCTTGGAAAAAATATTCACAGTGTGAATCTCTACCCACTATTCTGTCCTTCCAAATGGGAGAGGCACACTAACACTGTCTCCAATCTGCCATCTTTAAAAAGAACTTTATAATGGTATTTTAACTACCCTAAAAATCCTCTGTGCTCATTATATTCATCCCTCCCTCTCCCTACACCCTGGCAACCACTGATCTTTTTACTGTCTCCATAGTTTTGCCTTTTCCAAAATGTCATATAGTTAATATGCAGCCTTCCACATTGGTTTCTTTCACTTAGAAATATACATTTAAATTTCCTCCATGTTTTTTCATGGCTTAATCGCTCAACTTTTTAGCACTGAATAATATTCTGTTGTCTGAATGTATCATAGTTGATTTATCCATTCATCTACCAAGGGACGTCTTGAAGATTTCCAATTTTTGCCAATTACAGATAAAGCTGCTATAAACATCTGTGCACAGGTTTTTTGTGTGGACATAAGTTTTCAAGTCCTTTAGGTAAGTATCAAAGAGTGTGAATTCTGGATTATATAATAAGAGCATATTTAGTTTTGTAAGAGTCTGTCATGTGATATGGAACATCTTTTCATATGTGAACATTCAATTTGAAAAGCTAAAAAGGTTGGGAAATTTTTCAAAATTAAAAACTATTAGCAATGAATGATGCTCAAATAGTGAATATTTCTATATCAATTGCATTGTACTTTAATATTTATTCAAAATAAAGATAGATCCAATACATTTTTATAATTAATCTATATTACAGTTTATAACACCTTTATAGTGCATAATCTTTATATTTATAAAGCTTGTTACCTAAATGTAATTTTAATAATCATAGGGATGTAAAATGATACAACCTGTTTGGAAAACAGTTTGGAAGGTACCCTAGAGAAATGAAAGCATATGTTTATACAAAGACTTGTACATAAGCGTTCATAGCAGCTATATTTGTAATAATCAAAAGTGCATGAAATTCAAATGTTCATAAACATTTAAATGGATAAACAAACTGTGGCATATCCAGATACACTATTCAGTAATTAAAACTAATGAGCTATTAATATATGCTACAAACTGGGATGGATTTCCAAATAATTATGCTCAGTGAAAGAAGCCTGACACACACTGTCCCCCACCAAGAAAAGAGTACCCACTGTATGACTCTATTTATACAAATTCTAGGGAGTGCAATTTAAGGTACAGTGACAGAAAGCAAATCAGTGTTTGCCTAGGGATAGGAATGAGAGTAAGAGAAGATTACAGAGGTGTACAAGGAAACTTTTAGGGATGACGGATATGTTCGTTATCTTGATTATGGTGGTGATGTCACAGATCTATGCAGATGTCACAACTTATTAGATTGTACACTTTAAGTATTCTGTCAATTATTCTACTTAAAAAAAAAAACCTTTCCCAAACCACATTATCTATATTCCTTTTGTCTTTCTGGAGCATAATCTGAATATCTGAAACAAATATGTTATTTTCCTTCGCTTAATATTATTCTAGACAGTCTCAATGTACATATCACAAGGAGTAAATATTGCTTTGTGTAAAGAATAAGAACACTTTAATATGCTAAACAATTTTAATCTTTATTACATTATCTATCAACTAATCTTAACACAGATTCTGCCCGATTCTTAACATGCAATTTATAGACCAGATGGATATGGAAAACAAGTATAATATTTTCCATGGAAATTTAACCCATTCTAATGACTCACTATGGAGAACAGGTGAGACAAGATGTCTCGTCATCCAAGATGCTCTGACCTCATACAACAGCTGCCTTTTTGATAAACTAGTTGGCCTTTCTACTGTTTCTTATCAAAGAGCAGCAATGTCCTTCAGTCCTCCTCCTGAGCTCATTTCAAGTGCAACTGAATAGAAAGTAATGATGTTGAGAAAACAGGACTCCAAGAAGGTCATTCCAGTTCTACCACGAATTGGCAGTCTCTTGGTGAAAGTCCTTTAATATTTATGAGTCTTGTTTTCCATATATTATGGTAAAATAAGGATAATCATACCTACTCCATACAACTTTACTGGTTTGAGTTCAATGAAGGTACAGAAATATTAAAGTCTTTTTTCAGAGTTCATTCTCTTTCCTACAACACTACAAAGTGCTAGGCCATGCTGTACTATTTCTGGTAAACTTACCATGGGTCTATTATTACTCTCTTGCATTATAACTTATTTTCTCCCTTCACAAGTAATTGTTTCACACGTTTAGATACTATATTCTCTGTAATTTTTCCTTTAAAAACAACATATACTTCCAGAAGCCCCTACTAGCACTGCTGTACAGTTGTATTAAAGTCTAAGACCCAGAAAGCCTATAATTCTGCTCCTATTTTTCAGTTTCCCAGGTTTTCCCTTGGATGCCTTGGTGCTATTCAAGTACAACATATCATGCATACTTTTTAAAACCAAAGTATTATTCTTTATACCACTAGGTCAGTTCATTAAACATAATTTCCAATTACCCACACTTAGCACCTCAGCACTAAGTATTGCACTATGCCCAAACAAGAGCCTCAATAAATAACTATTGGTTTTGTGCACTCGCTCTCCCTGTTGAGTATCTCAGCATGGCTCAAAACACCACATAACTTTGGATGTAGCTAAAATGATGTCTACGGAAAGCTAAGAGTGAAAATCAAGAATGTCAATGACCACAGGTTATGTTTATGGGACAGTCTCCATCAATGCTGAAATGTTGTGGCAGACTAGGTATTTTACAGAGCTTGTGGGTACAGTTGCATAGTGTTATAATCCCAGATAATGTTTACCAACTACAACTGAGTATTAAGCAGGTGACCCTCGTCATCATAGAGTCCCAATAGTGATCACAGAGTAAATGATAAATAGACGAGTTTGAGAGCAAAATTGAGAGATTTGGAGAGGTTTTCAGCTACAGCAATGGAAAAGAGGAAACTGAAGAGAGAGGGTAAGTTTCTTAGAACACAGTAGGCTGGGCGCAGTGGCTTATGCCTGTAATCCCTGCACTTTGGGAGGCCAAGGCAGGCGGATCATGAGGTCAGGAGATTGAGACCATCCTGGCTAACACGGTGAAACCCCGTCTCTACTAAAAACACAAAAAATTAGCTGGGCGTGGTGGCGGGCACCTGTAGTCTCAGCTACTTGGGAGGCTGAGGCAGGAGAATGGTGTGAACCTGGGAGGCAGAGCTTGAAGTGAGCCGAGATCGCGCCACTGCACTCCAGCCTGGGCGACAGAACGAGGCTCCATCTCAAAAAAAAAAAAAAAAAAAAAAAGAACACAGTAACAGCAGGAACATAGTTGAGGACTCTGTTAATCTGGCAGGCTGCATAAATTTGCTAGCCCAAATGATTTTAAGGCTATTTGTAAAGCTGGCTTTAATGTACCTTAATAGGGATTCATTAAGGAAATGGCTTGTTACTATTCATGTGTTTAATGATGATGGCATATTTCCTTAACTAAACACACAATTGATTGCTTTAAATATACAGCTCTCCAAGGCTATTTCTATACTTTGTTGCATAAGATAAGCTTACTTAATAGAAATGTTTCTATTCACTGGGAAGAGATGTCATTTAACCACCTCTGGTTTAAAAATAAAAAGAGAGAGCACACACTAAGTGTAAAAACAATGATTTTCTTATTAAAACTATGATTTTTTTTGGTGTCTTTATATTTCATTTTGGTTACTTAATTGACACATGTCAATGCATAAAATGAATTATGGACAAGGGAAATGTTCAGAGATTTATGGCTAACATATTTTTTCTACATTGTAATTTTCTCCTTCTTGCCTTTATTATTGTGACTATCTCTATTAGCATGACCATCTTAGTTTAATTATTTTTATTATGCTACTGTGAAAGCAGTTTAGTGATGGTTTTAGTCCTGGTGACTCCATCAATAAGCCTGCAATAAGTAGTGCACATTTAGCATATTAACATCCTTGATGTATCTGGAATGTATCTGGAACTATCTCCCACATCCCATATTTGCTTGTTCAAGAAAAGTCAATGCCAAAGAAAGGCACTGTCATGGAGTAAAAGAAACCTAGGTTAAGATTAAAAAGATATCGATTCTACTTCTGCTATCTGAATAAGCTTGAGAAATCATTAAATACTATAGAAGCCTAAGGTTCCCTACCAGTAATGCAGAGATAACACTTTCACTATCTCACAGAGTTGTTGTGAGAATAAGATACATTCATTTCACCAAGTACTTATTCTCCTATGCTTACCATAAAGTCTGGCATTCAGTATGGCATAGAAGATATATAATATAAATAAAAAGATGTATTATGGCATCATATTAGACCACTACTTTCCTCTAGGCATAAATTATGTCACCTAGGGATCTGGTAGTCATATTAATTCTTTCTGGTAGTAAAGGACATTCAAGTTTGCGAATCTACAGCTCCTTTGTTGTCCCTATAGGACAAAAGAAGGTTGAAAGATAAAATAAGGAAGAAAACACCAGACAAGTATAAACAAAGCAAAACAAAACAAAAAACTGATGTAGCAACATTAACATAAAGAAAGCTCATTTTATTTATTTATTATCACTTTTTTATCATGTTGTACACCTTAAGTCTAGACAATAAAAAAATTACATATGTATATATATGTGATTACATATGTATGTAATCATATATATTACTACAATCAAACAAATTGATTGATCATTTTCCATAGTTATCCTTTTTTGTGATAAGAGCTCCTAAAATCGACTCTCCTAGCAAATTTTCAGTAGACACTACAATATTTTAACAATACTCCTTGCACTATACATTATGTCACTAGATTTATTCGTTCTACCTAACTGTAAAATTGTACCTTATTTCTCTCCATTTCCTTTCCCTTTTTGCCACTGTTAACCACCATTCTACTCTCTGTTTCTATTTATTTCACTTTTTGGTTTTTTTAGATTCCACATATAAGTGAGATCAGACAGTATTTTTCTCTCTGTGGCTGGCTTATTTCACTTAGCATAAAGTCCTCCCATTCCATCCATGCTTTTGCAAATGGCAGGATTTTCTTCTTTTTTTAAGACTGAATAATAATTCTTTTTTATATACACCACATTTTCTTTATCCATTCATCTGTTGATGAACACTTAGGTTGTTTCCATATCTTGGCCATTATGAGTAATGCACATTAAAAGGCAAAAATGCAACTAGAAATTAAGTATCACCATAAAATTTTAGAAGGTATAATTCAATCTTCTAAAGATATGATCATGTTAAATTGATCAAGACATACAAAACAGATATAAGGAGAAATAAACAAATCCACCATTTGATATTTGCTGAGAAATTTTAAATACATTTATCTTGGTCATTGATAGATGAAGGAGACAAAATAATCAGTAAGTACACAGAAGATTTGAAAATAGCTAGACAGGTGTATGGAACTACGTGCTGAAAAATTAGAAAATAAAGATTATTTTCAAGTACATATGGAACATATAGAAAAATTGCCTAAATATTAAGTAATGGCTGGGTACGGTGGCTCACGCCTGTAACCTCAGCACTTTGGGAGGCTGAGGCAGGCGGATCGTGAGGTCAGGAGTTCGTGACCAGCCTGACTGACATGGTGAAACCTCGTCTCTACTAAAAATACAAAAATTAGCCAGGCGTGGTGGCGCATGCCTGTAGTCCCAGCTACCCGGGAGGCTGAGGCAGGAGAAGTGCCGGGAGGCGGAGGTTGTAGTGAGCCGAGATGGCGGCACTTCACTCTAGCCTGGGTGACACAGCGAGGCTCCATCTCAAAAAAGGAAAAACAAATGAAGTCATAAGTGAAGTGATGCTTTCAAAGAAGCTGTATTATTGATTGCATTGTTTTGCAACAACAAATTAAGATATAAATTGATAACAAAATGAGTTATCCTACACATACTTTGAAAGGTAAAGTGCCAAATAAGTCCTATGTCAAAGAAAAACCATAAAATACATTTAAGTTTAAAAGAATCTTTAAAATATGTGAGAATGTCAGTATTATATTGAGTATATATTATATGTCAGGCAGTGCTCTAGGACAGGTGACCAAAATAGAGAAGCTTCCTGCTGTCATGAAAGTTTACATTTTTCTGGGGAGGGGTAAACAATAAATTAGATGCCAGAAGTAGTCAATATTAAGCAGATAAATAAAACTTGAAAAATAGACAGGGAGTGCTAGGGGAGAGTAAGAGAAAAAAATGTTCAATTTTAAATGGAATGGTTAGAGAAAATACCACTGAGAAGATAATACTGAAGCAAAGACTTACAGAAGAAGGAGCCAGCCATGCAGAAGTGTTTAAGGGAACAGCCAGTGTTTGAAATACGCGTGTGTGGGGGTGTATCTGTAGATTTTATTTCTGATTTAAATCAGATTCTCCTAAATGCAGGATAAAACTGCAATAAAGAAAGTTAATTCCTACAACATATCATATTCATTTAATTTGAAAATATTTTATAGACATAAGTCATTCACCTTTCTTCTCTTTAGCAGTCTATGGATGATTTAGCTTATTAAAATGGAATTTTTATGCATTTCCTATGATGCCATTTCATCACTTTGCTATTTCTAAAATAGAATATTCCATTTACTGTACATTTGGGCTAATATTGACTAGGGATATAAAGTAGCAATTGCCTGGCCAGTTGCCAAGGTAAAAACATATTTATAAAAGCAATTCAGGGATGTACTTGATGTTAAGGGTTTTAACAATTTTTCATTACTACCATTATCTTCTTAATACAAATTGTAAGAGACAAGTAAACTGCCTCTTTTGCATTTCATGAATGCTCTGCCTATGCAATCTTGCAAGTTCTAAGTAATTCTACCCTTGGAAAAAAATGCCACGTACAAAGATACAGTTCTCCAAAATTGGCTACTTTGATCCTTAATCTACTAGATTTTTAACACTCCAGACAGAATTTTAATATCCACTAGTCTCTGTTTAAATATTGCAATGAAATTCAAGGTTATATATAAAATGTAAATGAATGCTGGTGGTTTAGAAGAAAATTGTATAGGGTTGGTGTCTGTGTTAAAAGCAGCTTTTTAAATCAACAGATTTGCCAATGTATGATTATTGCTACTTGAAAACAAATTAAGACTGTAGATTTTGGCATCAGATAACTGAATCCTGAAACTACCACTAATAAGGGTTGTTATCTTACACAAGTTATTTGACTTCTCTTAAATTTGGCTTATTCCTCTGTAAAATTGGCATAATAGTAACTACTATCAAACATAATTGTGAAGGGCAGAGAAAGATGATGGACTAGAAGCCTACACCATTCATTCCCCCTGCAGGAACACTAAATTTTAGCAACTACACTCAAAAAGCACCATTACAAGAACTAAAAATCAGGAGAGTAATCACAGTACCTGGTTTTAACTTCATGTCATTGAAAGAGTCATTGGAGAGGGCAGGAAAGACAGTCTTAAAGCACAGCTGCCACCCAACCCCCATCTCCTGGCAGAGGCAATGCCAGTGGAGATTCTCTGTGCTTGGGACAGGGAGAGCACAGCATTTGTGAGGCTTTACATTGAACTCAGTGCTGTCCTGTCCCAGTGAAAAGCAGAACTAGGCTGTATTCCACTGACATCCAACCACAGAAGGAGCATTTGGGCCAGCCCTAGACAGAGAGGAATTGCTCATCCAAGCAATTGGAGCTTGACTTCCTGCAAGCCTCGCCATTGTGGGCCAGAGTGCTTTGGGACCCTAAGTGAACTTGAGGGGCAGTCTAGGCCACAAGGACTGCAATTCCTTGGCAAGCCCTAGTGCTGGACACACAGCCAGTGGACTGGGGTGACATGTGACCTATGGAGACCCCAGCTGAGGCAGCAAAGGTGTGCCTGTCCACCCTACCCCCTAACCCTCCAACCCCTCACAGCAGTTGCTCAGTGGGGAGAAATTTTTGCACTTGGGAGATGGATAGGCAGTGACTGGGGGATTTTATATTGAATTAAGTGCTGCCCTGTCACAGCAAAGACCTGGCAGAATTTATCAACTGCTGAATAAAGAGTCCCTTGGCTCTGAATAACCAACAGTGATACCCAGGTAATATGTCATGGGCATTGGGCTCTGAGACATACTGGCTTCAGGTATGACCCAGAACATTCCAAGCTGTGGTGGCTATGGTGAAAGATTCCTATTTGAGAAAAGCAGTGGGAAAAGTGAAGGGGGCTCTGTCTTGTACCTTAGGTACCAGCTCAGCAACAGTGGGGTAGAGCACAGTGGGATACAGCAGACTCTTGGGGTTTTTTATTCCGGATCTAGGCTCTTGGTCAGCATTTTTAGATCTTCCCTGGCCCAAAGGGTGAGTCCCCAGCCTGGAAGCATTCATCACAAGCTATCTTCAGACAGACTTGGTCTTTAAGTAAACATTGGTGGTGACCTGGCAGAACCCCCCATGGGCTGGTAGTGGTGACGGCCACAGGGAGAAGTTCTTCTGCATGCAGAAAGGGGAAGGAAAAGTGCAAAGGACTTTGTCTTGTGGTTCAAGTGCCAGCTTAGCTCCAGTAGACTAGAACACTAGGTAAATTTCTGAGGTTTTAGATTTTAATCTCCAGCTTCTAGAAAGCATCTCTAGACCCACCCAGGGCCTAGGGAAACTTGCTGCCATGAAGGGAGAAACACAAACCTGACCCACCCAAGGCCTAGAGAAACTTGACGCCACGAAGGGAGAAACACAAACCTGGCTGGTTGTACCACTTGTTTATCATAGAGCCCTAGGGCCTTGAATGAACTTAGGTGGTAGTCAGGTAGTGGTTACAGTGGGCCTTCAGTGAGACACTGTTGTGCTGGCTTCAGGACTGACCCAGCATAGTCACAGTAGTCGTGGCCAAGGGATACTAGTGTCACCCACCCCCAGCTCTAGGCAGCTCAGCACAGAGAGACTCCATTTCTTAGGAGAAAGTAAAGGAAGAGAACAAGAGTCTCTGCTTGGTAATCCAGAGAATTCTTCCAGATCTTATCCAAGAACACCAACGTAGTACCTTTATGAGTCTACAAGAACTGCATTATTGGGTTCAGGGCCCAAGTTCCTGTGAATACCTGGAAAGCCTTCCCAAGAAGAATGGGCGTGAATAAGCTCAAACCCAGAGTTTTATTGTAATCTCCCAAGGTTACAATAAAGGCCTAACTCTTCAATCCCCAGATGTAGACAAACATCTACAAGCATTAAGGTCATCCACAAAAACATGGCCTCACCAAATGAATAAAGCATCAGGGACCAGTCCTGGAGAAACACAGATATGTGGCCTTTCAGACAGAGAATTCAAAATAGCTCTCAAGGGGAAATTCAAAACACAGAGGAGGAATTCAGAATTCTATCAGATAATGTTTTTAAAATAGATTGAAATAATGAAAAAGAATCAAGTAGAAATTCTGGAGGTGGAAAATGCAATTGACATGCTGAAGAATGCATTAGAGTCTCTTCATAGCAGAATTGATCAAGCAGAAGAGAGAATTAGTGAGCTTAAAGATAGGCTATTTGAAAATATACAGTCAGAGGAGACAAAGGAAAAAGAAGAAAGAAAGAATGAAGCATGCCTACAAGACCTGGAAAATAGCCTCAGAAGGGTAAATCTCAGTTATTGAACCTAAAGAGGAGGTAGAGAATGAGATAGGGGTAGAAAGTTTATTCAAAGGGATAACAGAACTTCCCAAACCAAAAAAATGCATCAATATCCAAGTACAAGAAGGTTATAGAACCCCTGGCAGATTTAACCCAAAGAAGACTATTTTAAGACATTGAATATTAAAAACCCCAAAGGTGAAGGATAGACAAAGGATCTTAAAAGCAGCAAGAGAAAATAAGCAAATAACACAATGGAGCTCCAATACACCTGGCAGCAGACTTTTCAATGGAAACCTTACAGGTCAGGAGAGAGTGGCATAATATATTTAAAGTGCTAAAAGAAAAAAAATTTACCATAGAATAGTGTCTTCAGCAAAAATATCCTTTCAGAAAAGCATGAAGGAGTAAAAAGACTTTTCTAGACAAACAAAAGCTGAGGAATTTTATCAACACTAAACCTGTCCTATGAGAAATGCTAAAAGGAGTTCTTCAATATGAAAGAAAAGGTCATAAATGAGTAATAGACCAATTATCTGGAGGTACAAAATTCACTGGTAATTGCACACAGAAATACACAGAATATTATAACATGGTAATTGTGCTGTGTAAATACTGTTATTGTAAGTAGAAAGACTAAACAGTGATCTAATCAAAAGTAAGTACAGTAACTTTTCTATATATATAGTATAATAAGACATACAGAGAAACAAAAAAATTAAAAAGCAGGGGGACAAAATTAAAGTGTAGAATTTTTATTAGTTTTTTCTTTTTCTTTTTTATTAGTTTATTTCTATCACTTTTTATTAGTTTTCTATTTGTTTATGCAATCAGTGTTAAGTTGTCATCAGTTTAAAATAACAGGTTATAAGATAGTATTTGGAAGCTTCATGGTAAACTAAAATTGAAAAACGTACAATGGGTACACAAAAAAATTAAAAGCAACAAATTAAATAATACCACCAGAAAAAAACACCTTCACTAAAAGGAAGACAGAAAGGAAGGAAAGAAGGAAGACAAGACCAGAAAACCAATAACAGAATGGCAGGAGTAATGCCTTACTTAGCAATAATAACAATGTCTGTTAATGAGCTAAGCTGTCCAATCAAGGACACAGGCTGGGCACAGTGGCTCATGCCTGTAATCCCAGCACTTTGGGAGGCTGAGATGGGCGGATTACATGAGGTCAGGAGTTAGAGACCAGCCTGGACAACATGATGAAATCCCGTCTCTACTAAAAATACAAAAATTAGCTGGGCGTGGTGGCAGGTGCCTGTAATCCCAGCTACTTGGGAGGCTGAGGCAGGAGAATCACTTGATCCCAGGAGGCAGAGGTTGCAGTGAGCCGAGATTGCACCACTGCACTCCAGGCTGGGAGACAGTGACACTCCATCTTTAGGGAAAAAAAGAAAGACATAGAGTGGCTGAATGGATTAAAAAAGCAAGACCCAGTTATCTGTTGACTACAAGAAACACACTTCATCTATAAAGAAACAGACTGAAAATAAAGGGATGGAAAAAGATATTGCATGTCCGTGGAAACCAAAAAAGAGCAAGAGTTACTACAGTCATATCAGACAAAATTGATTTCAAAACAAAACTATATGAAGAGACAAATAAAGTCACTATAAAATGATAAAGGAGTTAATTCAGCAAAAGGATATGATAATTTAAGTATCTATGCACCCAACATTAGAGCACCTAGATATATAAAGCAAATATTATTAGAGCTAAAGAAAGAGAAAGATCTTAATCCAATAATGGCTGAACACTTTAACACCCCACTTTCAGCATTAGACAGATCTTCTAGACAGAAAATCAACAAAGAAATGTCAGACATAATCTGCACAATAAACCAAATGGGCCTAATAGATATTTACAAAGCATTTCATCTGACAGTGGCAGAATATAGATTTTTCTCCTCACCTCATAAGTCATTCTCCAAGACAGAACCATGTATTTATTTATTTATTTATTTATTTATTTATTCATTTATTTACTTATTTATTTAACTTCAGACAGGGTCTTGCTCTTTTACCCAGGCTGGAGTGCAGTGGCATGATTACAGCTCACTGCAGCATCAACTTCCCAAGTTCCAACAATCCTCCCACCTTAGCCTCCCAAGAAGCTGAGCAACTGGGACCACAGGCACACACCACCATGCCCAGCTAATTTTTGTATTTTTGGTAGTCATGGTTTCACCATGTTGCCAGACTGGTTTCAAACTCCTGAGTGCAAGCAATCCACCTGCCTTAGCCACCCAAAGTACTGTAATTATAGGCATGAGCTATCACACCCAGTCAAAGATAGACTACATGTTAGGTTACAAAACAAGCTTTAAAACATTGAAAAACATCAAAGTGATATCAAGCAACTTCTCTGACCACACTGGAATAAAACTAGACATCAATACCAAGAGGAATTTTGGAAACTATACAAACACATAGAAATTAAACAATATGCTCCTGAATGTCCAGTGGGCCAATGAAGAAATTAAAAAGGAAATTGAAATTTGTTTTAGAGACAAATGGTAATAGAAACACAACATACCAAAATCTATAGGACACAAAGAAAGTAGTATGAGGAGGGAAGTTTATAGTTATAAGTGCCTGCATCCAAAAAGAAGAAAAACTCAAAATAAGTAACCTAATTATGCATCTCAAAGAACTACAAAAGCAAGAGCAAGGCAAACCCAAAATTAGTAGAAGAAATAATAAAGGTCATAGCAGAAATAAATACATTAGAAATGAAGAAAACAATAAAAAGATGAATGAAACAAACAGCTGGCTTTTTGAAATGATGAATAAAATGGACAAACCTTTAGTCAAACTAGGAAAAAACAAAGACCCAAGTAAATAAAATCAGAGATGAAAAGGGAGTTATTACAACTGATACTGTAGAAATTTAAAGGATCATTAGTGGCTACTGTCAGCAACAGTATACCAACAAATTAGAAACTCTACAGAAAATGGCTCAATTCCGAGACACATAACACATAATCAATTAACCTACCAAGACTGAACCAGGAATAAATCCAAAACCTGAACAGACCAATAATAATGAGACCAAAGCTATAATGAAAATTCTCCTAGTAAAGAAAAGCCCAGAGGCCAGGTACAGTGGTTCATGCCTGTAATCCCAGCACTCTGGGAGGCCAAGGTGGGCGGATCATGAGGTCAGGAGATCAAGACCATCCTGGCAAACATGGTGAAACCCCATCTCTACTAAAAAAATAAAAATAAAAATAAATTAGCCAGGCATGGTGGCACATGTCTGTAATCCCAGCTACTCGGGAGGCTAAGGCAGAAGAATCTCTTGAACCTGGGAGGTGGAGGTGGCAGTGAGCTGAGATCACGCCACTGCACTGCAGCCTGGGCGACAGAGCAAGACTCTGTCTCAAAAAAAAAAAAAAAGAAATGCCCAGAAACTAATCACTTCACGCCTTAATTCTACCAAACATTTCAAGAAGAACTAATACTAATTCTACTTAAACTATTCCAAAAACTAAAGGAAGCAAGAATAGTCCTAAATTCATTCTATGAGGCCAGTATTACCTTAATACCAAAACCAGAAAATGATACAAGAAACTACAGGCCAATATCCCTGATGAATATTGATGCGAAAATCTTCAGCAAAATACTACCAAACCAAATTTAATAATACATTAAAAAGATTAGTTATTGTGACCAAGTGGGATTTATTCCATGGATGCAAGGATGGTTCAACATACATAAATCCATAAATGTGATACATCATATCAACAGAATGAAGTCCAAACCATATGATTATTTAAATTGATCCTGAAAATCATTTGATAAAATTCAACACATCAAAGGAATATACCTCAAGATAATAAAAGCCACATACAACAGACCTACAGCTAGTATCCTACTGAATGAAGAATAACTGAAAGCCTTCCCTCTAAGATCTGCAACATGACAGAGATGCCCACTTTTACCACCATTATTCAACATAGTTCTGGAAGTCCTAGCTAGAGCAAAAAGACAAGAGAAAGAAATAAAGGATATACAAATTGGAAAGCAAGAATTCGAATTATCCTTGTTTGCAGATGATATGATCTTACATTTGGAAAACCCTAAAGCCTCCACACACACACACACACAAAACACTATTAGAATTGATAAACAAATTCAGCAAAGTTGCAGAATACAAAATCAACATACAAAAATCTGAATCATTTCTATATGCAGTGAATAACCTTTAAAAGAAATAAAAAAGTAATCCCACTTACAATAGCCACAATTAAAATTAAATACTCAGGAATTAACCAAATAAGTGAAAGATCTCTATAATGCCAACTAAAAAATACTGATAAAAGAAATTGACAAGGACACCAAAAAATGGAATGATATTTCATGTTCATGGATTGGAAGAAACAATACTGTGAAAATGTCCATACTACCCAAAGCAATCTACAGATTCAATGCAAACCATATCAAAACACCAATGACATTCTTCACAGAAATACAAAAAAAATTCTAAAATTTAAGACAGAATAGGCAACACTATCCCGAGCAAAAAGAACAAAACTGGAGGAATCACATTACCTAACTTCAAATTATACTACAGAACTGTAGTAACCAAAACAGCATGGTACTGGCATAAAAACATACATATAGAACAATGGAAGAGAATAGAGAACCCAGAACTAAATCCATACACCTACAGTAAACTAATTTTTGACACAGGTCCGAAGAACATACATTGTAGAAGGAACAAATGCTGCTGGGAAAACAGGATATCCATATGCCAAAAAATGAAACTTAACCCCTATTTCTCACTATGTACAAAAATCAAATCAAAATCAATTAAAGACTTAAATCTAAGACCTCAAACTATGAAAGTACTATAAGAAAACTTTGAGGAAACTCTCCAGGACATTGATCTGCACAAAATTTTTTTGTGCAATACCCCACAAACAAAGGCAACCAAAGCAAAAGTGGGCAAATGTGGTCATATAAAGTTAAAAAGCTACACAGCAAAGGAAACAGTCAAGAAAGTGAAGAGATAACACACAGAATGGGAAAAAATATTTGCAAACCACCCATCTGACAACAGATTAATAACTAGAGTATATAAGGAGTTCAAATAACTGTACAGGAAACAAATCTGAAAATCTGATTAAAAATGAGCAAAAGATCTGAATAGACATTTCTCAAATGAAGGCATACAAATGGCAAACAGAAATATGAAAAGGTGCTCAACATCACAGATCATCAGAGAAATACAAACCAAAACTACAGTGAGTTATCATCTCACCCCAGTTAAAATGGCTTTTATTCAAAAGATAGGCAACAAATGCTGGTGTGGAAAAAAGTGAACCCTCATACACTGTTGGTGGGAATATGAATTAGTGCAACCACCATGGAGAAAAGTTTGGAGGTTCCTTAAAAAACAAAAAACATAGAGCTACCATACGATCCAGTGGTATGGTTATATTCCCAGAAGAAATAAAATCAGTATATAAAAGAGATATCTGCACTATCATGTTTATTGCAGCACTGTTCACAATAGCCAAGGTTTAGAAGCAATCTAAATGTCCATCAACAAATGAATAGATAAAAAAAAATGTGGTCATATACACAATGGAGTACTATTCAGCTATTAAAAAAGAAGAGATCCTGTCATTTGCAATAACATGGTTGAAACTGGGGATAGTTATGTTAAGTGAAATAAGCCAGGCACAGGAAGACAAACTTCACATATACTCACTAATTTGCAGGTGTTCAAATTAAAACAATTGAACTCATGGAGAAGAGAATAGAAGGACGGTTACCAGAGGCTGGGAAGGGAAGTAGGGGCTGGTTAGAGAAGTGATTATGGTTAACATGTACAGTTACATGTTACAAAATAGTTACAAAGTATGAATAAGATCGAGTATTTGATAGCACAACAGGGTGGATACAGTCAATAGTAATTTAATTGTACATTTTATCATAACTAAAAGAGTATAATTGGATTGTTTTTTATACTGAGGATAAATGCTTGAGGGGTTGCATACTCCATTTTCTATTACACCATTATTACTTATTGCATGCCTGTATCAAAGTATCTCATGTGTACCCCATAAATATATACACCAACTATGTACCCACAAAAATAAAAAATATATAATTGTGAGAATTAAACATGAAAATATATAAATATACTTAACACATCATATTGTAAGTATTTAATAAATGTTAGTGTAACATATGTTTAATGGAATGGACTTAATAAAGTGCAAATACAAAAGAACTCCTGTATTAGGATTCTCGAGAGAAACAGAACTAAAAGAATGTGTGTGTGTGTGTGTGTGTGTGTGTGTCTGTGTGTTGGCTTACATGATTAGGGAGGCTGACAAGTCCCAAAATCTGCAGTTGGCAAGTGGAAACCACGGAGAACAAGTCTAGTTCCAGTCTGGAGGCCCAAGAAGCAGGAGAGCTAGTGGTGTAAGTTTCAGTTTTAGTCCATGTCTGAAAGTGAGGGAAGACCAATGCTCCAGCTTGAAGACAGTCAGGTAGAAAAAACAAATTCTCCTACATTCAGCCTTTTTGTTCTATTCAGCCTTTCAACCAATCGAATGAAGCCCACCCACATTGGGGAAGGCAATCTGCTTTGCTCAGTCTACCTGATTCAAATGTTAATCTCATCCAGAAATTCTCTCAGACACACCCATAATAATGTTTAACCAAATATCTGGGCATCCCATTGCCCAGGCAAGTCATCACACACTATTAGTCAACAAAACTCCTTTCTTTATTGCCCTCATACCCGCAATGACATCTCTTTCCTACATTTGGAACATCTTGGATAGAACCCATAGATTTTATTCATTTTAGATTTCAAACATAAATCAAAATATTACTCATCTTCAGTTAAATATTTGCCCTCTTTCCTGCTTATGACTGAGCAGGAAGTAGCAGAGAAAAGAGAGCCTGAGGCCTCTTCCACATTGGCATGCTCCTCCTGGTGTCTACTACATCTGACTCCTTCAAACTTGAGGTGGGGACTGGAGAGGAATGGTTACATGATTTTATTTTACTTAGTTTGTACTGTTTATAGTTCCCTCTTGGCTCTTCAACATCCTCTGTTTTACCAGGCATCCAACAAGCCATAATGGAAAATATCAATGTATTTAAATACAGTAAAAATTAAAGATATGTACACCTCCCAAAACAGCAGACACTTTATTTAAAAAGCAAATGACAAACAAAAATATTTTAAAATGCAACAGGAAATATTTTTAAAGCTATTTTTAAAAATCAAAGAAAAAGGCAAATATTTTATTTAAAAAATAAAATATAGTAAAAAAGGATGGCCAGTCCCTAAAGACATAGAAATGTCCAATAAATATCCTAGTTTTTAAGAAGAAATTCAGAGTTACTTACTAGCTATGAAAACATTGATTAGTGCCTTGTATTGTGCAAATTTTAGGCCATTTTTTATTTATAAAAATTGAAAAGCTATATTGATTTCATATTTATTTTGTATAGTAGTACTTAGCACACACCTGATACATAGCAAATGTTAACTAAATGGTAAGTATTGCTATATAAAAATGTTAAATAAGGCAAATAATTAAATGAACATAAGCTTTTTTTCAACTAAATTGAAAAAATAAAAGTATATTAATATAAACATTCGATAGCAATTCTTTGAATCAGTAATTTGTACAGATTCTTGGTCATAGAGCAAATGTTTATAAATTTTATGCTGAGCATTTGACAAGTTCTAAAATGTTCATATCCATTAAGTATGTGGGTGCAAATGGAATAGGTAGGATGGGAAAGTGGGGCTGAGAGAGAAGTAATGAAGGGGACAATGTTTCTTGAGTATACTATTTTGTATTGTTGTGACTCTTATATCCATGGTAATGACTCACATACCCATCAATCAATCAAATCAATCAAACCAGATGTGTATGTGGTGGTTAAGAATGGTAGAGTAAGATAAAATAAAGAGTAACAACCGAATCTAACTCTATTAAAAATTAATAATAGACCCACACTTAAGAAGGTATAGAAGGGAAAAGAGCTATGTAATTTTGGAAAACATCATTTTAACTAAAACTGTACAGTTTTGAGAAATTGTAAAGTTTTTTTATTAAAAAATACAACACACAAATATTTGTGCTATTTAGTAAATTTGTTTCTAACACAGTTATGAATTAACATTTCAATTCTGAATCAACTGTATGTGTATACTAGGATTGAGTAAATGAGTAAGTATATTATGAATAATGAGGGATGGGTTTCTCACTGTCAGAAAAAGGAGTCACAAATAAGGAAAAGGGGAAGGCTAAAATAAACCCAGTGATACTGTGTTGCAACTGGAGCTATTGTTTTGAACTCATGGTCCAAAAGTATCAAAAATTGTTATTTTGTAAATACTAGCCTCAAGATTAATTAGAATTCATCTCTTCCTGTTCGAAAATATAAATATGCTTCTGTATACCGCTGCTTTGATTACTTTCCATTACTGCCTCACGTATCCTCTGGAAGTTGACAGTTCCCTGACTGACCTAGTGCTTGCAACTCTGGTAGCCTAATATTAACAGGTATATGACACTGTGGAGAAGTTATTCAGAAGTAGGAACCTGAAAGAAGTACAAGGTCTTCATGATTCTGCTTATTATGAAGTTCTTTATTACAATAGTAAAATGCACATGTGAATATACAATGTATTTATAAAACATAAACAAATAAATCAATATAAACAAATAAGATTTAGAAATGTATTCATCTAAGTCTACTTATCAGTTAGCCTTACTTCTCCTTAAATTCAATGGCTAACTAGCACTCATGTAAATTCAAATTTTTCCTCAAAGAAAAGCTTGACTTCTCTTGCTCATATTTGGATATCCAAAAGTTTCTTCTTAATTTTAGTATGCTATTCTCACTTCACTCTTCAGAGCAGATATTTTCACTTGCAGAGCTAGAAAAAACTCTAGCAGTCAATTCTTTCAACCAACCTCATTATTCTTCAGCTGGTATTAGCTGCTTTGCTTCTAACTCAGCTTTAACAAAGACCCTAATTGGGTACTTCAGCCTATTATTCCTTGTTCCAAGAAATCTCTCAATAAATGTAATGGCTCCGTGAGAGAATATATTATATCATATTTTATTTATGCTTCCACTTCTTGCACAGTGTTTGGCCAAGAGAGAATGGTCAATGTTAACTGAATGATTTAAACAAATGAATAAATGAATGAAGAAATCAAATAATATCCCCATACTTTTTATACCTGCTCTCTGATCTTTATTTCAGGGCTCAGAAATGGAAGAGAAATAGGACTCTATTTTAAAAAAAGGCTTTTGGTTCATTTTCTCCCACTTAAGGAGAAAAAATGGTTTTTCGACAATAATTTTGTGTAACCCAATTAGCCTCTTAAGTGCTTTATCATTGTTCCACTAATATTTTATTCATCCAATGCTAAAATTCTGAAATGTTGATAACTGTCATAAGAGAAGTTTGTGTGTGGCCAGGCGCGATGGCTCACGCCTGTAATCTCAGCACTTTGTGAGGCCGAGGCGAGCGGATCACGAAGTCAGGAAATCGAGACCATCCTGGCTAACACGGTGAAACCCCGTCTCTACTAAAAATACAAAAAAATTAGCCAGGTATGGTGGTATGCGCCTATAGTCCCAGCTACTCGGGAAGCTGAGGCCGGAGAATGGCGTGAACCCGAGAGGCGGAGCTTGCAGTGAACTGAGATCGCACCACTGCACTCCAGCTTGGGCGACAGAGCAAGACTCCGTCTCAAAAAAAAAAAAAAAAAAAAAAAAAAAAAAAAAAAAAAAAATCAGTTTGTGTGTATGGCCAATCGTTTCCCCCCAATAGCTGAAAATACAATTTATAAACTAAAATGTTTTAAACAATGTTATAAAATGGAGTCAATTCAAACATTTACTATCATGAGTATTTCTTATTTTGCCCTTAGTATTTGTATACATTTTCTTTTGCTGCCATAACAAATTGCCACTGACTTAGTGATTTAAAATAACATAAATTCATTACCATACACGTCTGTATATTAGAAGTCAGACCCAGATTTTAATGGACGAAAGTTAGGGCTGCATTCCTTTCTGGAGGCTCTAGGAGGAATCCACTTCCTTGTCTTTTCAAGCTTCTAGAGACCACACCCATTCCTTGGCTAATAGCCTCCTCCATCTTCAAAACCAGCAATATTGTATCTCCCTTATCTTTGGTCACATCTCTCTGACCACAGCTGGAAAAAGCTCTTAGCGTTTAAGGACAAGTGTAATTAAATTAGGATCACCTGTGTAAGCCAGGCCACTCTTCCCAGTTCATGCTTCATAACCTTAATCACGTCTGCAAAGTCTCTTTTAGGACACATATTTAAAGGCTCTGAGGCCCAGGAGGTGGACATATTTGGGGTGCCATTATTCTGCCTACCAAAATATTTATTAGAAATTTTAGAGAACTATTGATAGAGAGAAGAGACAGAGATCGCAGAGCTCTAACCTTGAAGAATAAAGGAGGATGTAGTTTTCAGGAAATAATCTTTGATTCATTTATAATTTCATCCTGGACACTTTTTCCTATAGGACCTCTTCTTTTTATGGCTAACCTATCTTCTTGTCATCGTAAAGCTTGTGAGATTTAATCCTAGTCTCCCAGGTGCAGTTCATTTCTTCCCGTGTTGTCTCACTAACACATTCTGGTTCATAAACCCAGGATCAGGATAAAAATAATAGTGTCAATTTCATTGTTTCCCAGATTTATTTTGAACTCTCAGTTGTGTGCAATTTACAATTTTACATAGACTCTAAGGTACCATGAATGAGAAAGCACTTTAAACAGCATAAATCTTTATAGAAATGTAATATTAATATTATTATACCTAAGCCTAACAGGAAATTGAATATAGACTCATATACTTAATATAGATATACTTATGGCTGCTATTCTGAAAGGCATTTTCTCATGGATTATACTGCACAAAGTCTCTGTAAATGCCACTAAAATAAGTCATAAGAAAATTACTGCATACTTCATATAAAAGCTATTGATATATTATATTCTTTTATTTACATTAGACTTTCTATGTACCATAATCAGGTGACCTACCATGAGGAATTTTGCAGCATATTCTTTATTTATTTATTTATTTATTTATTTATTTATTTATTTTTATTATACCTTAAGTTCTGGGATACATGTGCAGAACGTGCAGGTTTGTTACAAAGGTATACATGTGCCATGGTGGTTTGCTACACCCATCAACCCGTCATCTACATTAGGTATTTTTCTTAATGCTATCCCTCCCCTAGCCCCCCAACTCCCGACAGGCCCCGGTGTGTGATGTTCCCCTCCCAGTGTCCATGTGTTCTCATTGTTCAACTCCCACTTATGAGTGAGAACATGCGGTGTTTGGTTTTCTGTTCCTGTGTTAGTTTGCTGAGAATGATGGTTTTCAGCTTCATCCATGTCCTCCCCACAAATGACATCAACTCATCCTTTTTTATGGCTGCTATTCTGAAGGTATTTTCTCATGGATTGTACTGGACATAGTCTCTGTGAATGCCACTAAAATAAGTCATAAGAAAGTTACTGCATACTTCATATGAAAACTACTGACATATTATATTCTTTTATTTACATTATACTTTCTATGTACCATAATCAGCAAGAGCTTCATGGCCTATATTATAATCCAATTAGCTCATTCATTTTTATGTTTTGAAAGGATCTGAAATCACATTCTACTATGTTCTTTCTCTCTCCTTTGCAGAGTGTTTTGGTTGTTGCCATGTCTGAATGCAGTAATCTCCAGGATTAGGGGAGTTAGATTGGAGGAAGCTGCACATTTGTGCAATAGTCAAACAAGGTATAGATTAGTTTAGCCTGATTGTTGTGGAAATTCACAAGTCAATATTTGATAGGTAATTTATATTAGGGATTTGTTACAGATTGAATTTACTCATGTGCTTTTGATAGGTACTTGTCATTTGTTATTTCCAATCAACAGTGGTAAGGACGACAAGAAAAAGAGGAACTATTTATAAAACTTTTCTTTCCCTCACCATTCTGGAGCCAGTAGTGTTCTTTGCTTACCCCTTCTGTTTATTTTCACTTTGATTTATTGGGCTGAGCTCAGAATTTCAACCGCAGCCTTAAAGGCTAATATAAAACCTAAATGTAACACCACAGAATTGACAGCAGAAACGGCAAAAAATAAAAAGAAGAATGAAAAATAGAGAAGTCAATTTATTAGAATGTCTTATATTTACCCACTTTACTTCCTAAAATAACTACCTTACTTTTCTGGAAAGAAATTGTGCCTATTTATTTTGGTTTGGTAGACTATCTGCATGTGTGACTTTCACTATATTTTTCCTTCAGGAATGACAAGTGATGCCATATTGAAGAGGAATTGTTCTGTGTGCCCAATTAATTATTTCAGTAAAATTTCTTCACGAACAGCATCACTTACACTGACTGCTTATGAAGCCATTAAGTCCTGGCTCGGAGACACTGTTGGATGTCATAGAGAAGTAGCATATCAATCTTTCTTTTCATTGGCCTTGAAACAGTCCTTAGGGAACCATATGAACTCCAGTATATTTTTCAAGGATTTTCTTGGATTTGATTAACAAAAGAGCATAAAACTGAGATATATTATTTGGCAGTGAAGAAACATTTCTTTTAAAATGCAAAATTCAAAGTTGAAGTGTCACAGAATGGGCACCAGGAAGTTGTTTGTTGATAGAACACTTCAAAATTTTTTTTCTCACTTATGCCGAGTTGAAAAATTGAAATCTGCAAAGGGAATAGTTAGGAGAATGGAGATTTGAGTTCTTGAGCTGGTTCACTGTGTTCACTAGTGATTAGTGGAAAAGTAGTAGCTTCAAAGCAGCAGCCTAATATTGCTGCTTTACCTGCATACACAGTTCTTGGAGATTTCTTTTTGTTATTAACTAAGCCAAGAAAATAATGTTGTTTTTATTTCCTCTAGTAAAAGTCCCAAGTTTTATTCTCTAACTATGCCATAGGTAAGACATCTTTTCACAATGAAATGGACACAAAAAAGAAGCCTGACTGATGAGGACAAACTTTTTGTCATTTCAATAGATTGTCAATTCCTGGTATATATAGGACCTATAAACAGCACCTCCACAATCCAGATGACATAATGGCTTGGGATGAAATTATTGCAATCATACAATTAATTGCTATACTTCATAACCTGCCATGGAAATACAATAAACTCATTACTGTGTTTTACACATTCTTTTGTGGTGTTGTTTTTGGGGGGTTTTCTTTGAGACAAGGCCTGGCTTTGTCGCCCAGGCTGGAGTGCAGTCACGCGATACCGGCTCACTGCAATCTCTGCCTCTAGGGCTCAAGTGACTCTTTTGCCTCTCAATACCAAGTTTTAAAAGTTAATGAATACTTAATGTGTGTTAGTTTTTAGAAAAAGTTGTTTACTCAGAGGTTGCAATACTACATTTCATTTTGCTTCCAAAATGTAGCTACAGTCTCAACAAATTATTTTGCTAATTGTTTAGATTCAGGTCTAAAAATGCCTCCAGTTAAGAAACTTTCAAACTCACATGCTTTCCAGACATGTCCAGGGGATATAATTCCCCATGAGCTGTTTTCCCATTTGTTCCACAGTATGAGACAGAAGGCTTACCCAGAAAAGGTAGAAGTGCTACAAACCATGGTGAATTTAGTAATAGAAAATGACATGGAAATATAAAATGGCATAAGACTGTAATAAGTGATAAGTGAAACTTAATTAAATGTAAAATTTAGTAGCAATGAAGTATGCTGCTTCTAGCAACAAATCACATTGAAATGGAGCAGATGTCACCCATTCTGCTCAAGTACATGGAAATACAGACAAAACATATTTTAAAATAAGTAGAAATTGAGACCCCAGACCTTAATGACCTGCATTCATTAAGTATGCAGTTATGTAGGTTCAGGTATCATGAAGAGAAGTGTCCATAAAGTTTCCCAGGGCCATAAAAGCAGAAGTAGTTTCACCCTGCTCCACAGTGATGTTTTCAAATCACAGTTCACAGGGGATTCCCAAAGAATAGACAACTCTTGTGGCAGTTGAGCTCATATTAAAATAGTATACATTATGCAAGAAAATGAAACACACCGAGGAAGAATCAACAGATGTAAGAAGCCAAAAGCTAGCATCCCAAGAAGTGGAAAAAGGCAGAAAACCTCAAGGAGGTTGTGAAATAGATATGTTTCAAATGTTTAAAGAAGTAAAGGAGCTGAAAACACAATTTTTAAAATTATAGTACCCTTTAAAAAGGCACTATACAAGAGAAAATATAATATTTATTAAAATAACTAAATAGAAGTTTTTGAAACTAAAAATGTAAATATTGAAATTCAAAAATGTAATTGATTAAATAAGCAACAAACTAAACACAACTGAAGAGATAATAAGGAAGTGGAAGATAAACATAAGGAAATTACATAGAGGAAACAGAATGAAATTAAAAGACATGAAAGACGGCTGGGCGCGGTGGCTCACGCCTGTAATCCCAGCATTTTGGAAGGCTGAGGCGGGTGGATCACGAGGTCAAGAGATCGAGACCATCCTGGCTAACACTGTAAAACCCCGTCTCTACTAAAAATACAAAATAATTAGCCGGGTGTGGTGGCGGGTGCCTGTAGTCCCAGCTACTTGGGAGGCTGAGGCAGGAGAATCACTTGAACCAAGGAGGCAGAGGTTGCAGTGAGCCGAGATCATGCCACTGCACTCCAGCCTGGGCGACAGAGCAAGACTCCATCTCAAAAAAAAAAAAAAAGACATGAAAGACAAAATTAGTAATTTAGCACAGTGGAAACCCTCCTACCTTGTTATTTTGGGGAAAAGTTTTATGTTATGTGAGATAAAATTGAGGATGCAAATGGCAGCAATTATCCTTCAATGTTTATATACCAAAATACTAAAAGCTACCCCACATATATAAGGATGTTTATTGTATCACTTCATAATAGCAAAAAAATCAGAACATAAACATTTATCAACTGAGAAATATGGTTGGTCCTACTACTTCATGGGTTCCGTATCAGTGAAGTCAATCATTTGCAAGTTAAAAGTATACATATTTTTAATCACATCTGTACTGAACAAACTTTTCTTTCTTGCCATTATTCCCTAAAAAATAAAATTTAACAGCTGTTTACATTATATTAAGTACTACAGGTAATATAGGGATGATTTAAAATATACAGGAGGATGTGCATAGGTTATATGCAAATACTATGCCAATTGTATCACTGACTCAAGCATCAGTCAAAGGTCGGTTGAGGAAGTCCTGGAACCAGTCTCCCAAGGGATGATTGTACATAAATAAATTAGAATGCATATTGGATATATTACATTAATTAAAATATATTTCAGAAAATGTGTATGTGTGATACCAAATATCACCTTCATGCAAGATTTAGTTTAACTCTAAAAGGGAACTAATATGGAAAAACACAGGATAATTTTTAGTTGTTAATTCGAAAATACTTTTTAATTTAATAATTGGTTTAAAATTAGAAGAGCCTTTTGGAAATAACCTATTGGAGGCAATTATTTATCCAAGGTACAAAATAAAATCAGACCCTTCAGAGTTTCATTTGGTGGAAAGAAGGGGAAGGCTAGGAAATAACAGCAGTGATGGAGTGCATGGCGAATGCATGGCTAATTCTCAGATGCTAATACCTGAGAGTTCCCTCCTCTTACAAAGCTAGAAGGAGCCAATAATCTAAGGATGGAGGGGGCATTGCTGACTGGGTGAGGGCAAAAAGAAGTAACCGAAAAGATGCTATATTTCCAGATGAAACAAATGTGAGTCATAAAACAGTTCTTCAACTCCTATGTGAGAACCCTGGGCACCTTATCTGGAACTGTAGCAACAAAGGCAGTTATTTTCTAAAGCTGCTAGTCAAGGTTGTGGGCTCTTGAGGTGAAAATTAAGCACATGGTTTTCTGAATCTTAACAAATCCTCCTCCTTCTGGAGACTAATCATTGTTAATTTCCTCATTCCTCTATTAAAGGAATGATGCCATAATTATAAAGGGAGGGGACTACATGCCTGCATGGAAACAGATCTGTGTTTATGGATTTTGAGGCCTAGTCACTCTGTTTCTAGCAGAGAACTAAAAAAGACTGCAGCTGAGAATTCTTAGAGTTGAAAAATAGTGGTAATTGTCACAAATTACCACATGCAATTGCCAGCTATACTCCTAAACAATGGCCCCACTTTAGGAATATAACAAAAAAATTCTTGTAGCTTTCCTTTGGAAAATGTAAGTGTTGCCCTTTAATACTGTCTTGAAAGTCGCTGGATTTCAACCTTATTATGCACTGTTAATCTTACTGGTATCTAAAACAGAAGTTCCATCATTTCCCAAACAGACTTTGTGTTAATGTCAAGACTCAGTGGGATATACCTCAATTCTTTTTGAAATTTTATTTTAATTAACAAATTAAAATTACATATATTTATTGTGCACATGATGTCTTAATATATGTATACATTGTAGAATGGCTCAAGCAAGCTAATTAACACGTGAATTATGTCGCATCCTTATTTTGTGTGGTGAAGACCCTTTCAAATCTACTCACAATTTTCAGTAATAAAATAAATTGTTATTAATTATAGTCATCATGTTGTACAATAGATCTCTTGGACTTTTTCTTCCTGTCTAACCGAAATGTTATATACTGTGACCAACATCTCTCCAAAACTCCCCCATAGCCCCAGCCCCTGGTAAAACACCATTCTACTTTCTAGTTTTGAGTTCATTTTTTTAGATTTTATGTATAAATAGGATCATGTTCTAGCTTGATCTTTCTGTGCCTAGCTCATTTCACCTAACATGTCCTCCAGGTTTGTTGCAAATAATAGGATAGCATTCGTTTTTAAGGCTGAATAGTATTCCATTGTGTATATTATACCACATTTCATCCATTTATCCACTGACAGACACTTAGGTTGATTCTAATGCTACAATGAATGTGGATGTGCCGATATCTCTTTGATATGCCAATTTAATTTCCTTTAGAAATATACCAACAGTGGGCTTATTGGATCATATAATAATTCTGTTTTTAATTTTTTAGGAACCTCCATACTGCTTTCTATAGTGACTTTGCTAATTTACATTTTCCCCACAACCTTACCAACATTTGTCCTTTGTGTTTTTTATAGTATCCATTCTAACAAGTGTGAGGTAAGTACCTCATTGTGATTTTAATTTGCATTTTCCAGATGATTAGTGAGGTTGATGATTTTTTTCAAGCACTTGTTGGCCATTTGTATGTCTTCTTTTGAGACACGTCCATCCAGGTCCTTTGCCCATCTGTTAACCAGGTAGTTTTTTTTTTCCTTGCTATTAACTTGAGTTTCCTATACATTTTAGATATTAATCCTTTATCAGGTATATGGTTTACAGATATGTTCTCTTATTCTGTATGTTATCTTTTCACACTATTAATTGGTTTCCCCTTGCTGTGCAAAAACTTTTTACTTTAAAGCAATCTCATTTGTCTATTTTTTATTTTGTTTCCTGTGTTTTGGGGATCATAGCCAAAAAATCATTGCCCAGACAAAATGTCATGGAGCTTTTCTCCTACACACTCTTAAAGTAGTTTTACAGATCCAGGTCTTAATTCTAAGTCTTCAAATTATTTTGAATTGACTTTTGTATATGACATGAGATAAGAGTCTAATTTTATTCTTCTGCCTTTAGACATCCAGTTTTCCCAAACCATTTATTGAAGAGACTGTCCTTTCCCCATTGTGTGTTCTTGGCACCTTTGTCAAAAATCAATTGGCCATAAATGCCTGGATTTATTTCTGGGCTCTCTATTTGCCTATTTGTAATTTTTTATGCCAGTTTTACGCTGTTTGGCTTACTATAGCTCTGTAATATATTTTGAAGTCAGCTAGCATGATACCTCCAAGTTTGTTCTTTTTGCTCAAGATTGCTTTGGCTATTTGGGGTCTTTTGTGGTTCTACACAAATTTTAAGATTGTTTTTTCTATTTCTGTGAAAAATGGCATTGTAATTTTGATGGAGATTACACCAAATCTATAGATCACTTTGGGTCATATTGATATTTTAACAGTATTATTTCTTCTAATCTATAAACACATAACATCTTTTACTTATTTTTATCATCTTCAATTTCTTTTATCAATGTTTTATAGTTTTTATTGCACAGGTATTTCACTTCCATAGTTAAATTTATTCCAAAGTATTTTATTTTTGTACATATTATAAATTGGATTTTTAATTGACTTCTTTTTTGGATTTTTTGATTACTGCATAGAAATGCTACTAATTTTTCTTGGCTGGTTTTGCATCCTGCGACTTTACTGAATTCATGTAGTAGTTCTAAAAATTTTTTGATGGTGTCTGAAGGATTATATATATAAAACCCTATAGACACACATACAAATATGATCATGTCATCTGCAGAGAACAATTTAACTTCTTCTTTTCCAATTTAAATCTTCTGTATTTCTTTCTCTTTAATAAGTTATCAGGTTAGAATTTCTAGTACTATATTGAATAGAGTGGCAAGAGCAGGAATCTTGTTCCTGATCTTAGAGGAAAAGCTTTCCATTTTTCACCACCGAGTATGTTATTAGCTATGGGTTTGTTATACATGGCCTTTATTATGTTGAGACGCATTCATTCTATAGCTAATTTGTTAAGAATTTTTATCATGAAGGGATGTTAAATTTTATACAATGCTTTTTCTGCATCTATTGAGATGATCATATGGTTTTTGTCCATCATTCAGTTAATGTGTTATACGACATTAATTTTGTATGTTTGACCATTCTTGCATTCTCGGGATAAATCCCACTTGATCATGGTGAACAAACCTTTTAATGTGCTGTTGAATTCAGTTTGCTAGTATTTTGTTGGGAAGTTTTACATCTACATTCATCAAAGATATTATCCTATGATTTTCTTTTCTTGTAATATGTTTGTCTGGCTTTGGTATCAAGGTGATGCTAGCCTCATAAAATGAGTTTGAAAGTATTTTCTCTTATCCATTTGTTTGGAAGAGTTAGAGAACGATAGTCTTAGTTCTTCTTCAAATGTCTGATAGAATTTAGCAATGAAGCCATCAGGTCCTGGATTTTCCTTGTTGGGAGATCTTTTATTACTGATTTAATTTTCTTATTATTGGTCTGACAAAATTTTCTGTCTCTTCATGATTCAGTCTTAATAAGTTATATTTGTCTAGGAATTTATCAATTTCATATAGGTTATTCAATTTGTGGTATATAATTGTTCATATGAGTCTCTCATAATTTATTTGTATTTCTATGGTATTAGTTATAATGTGCCCTCTTTTATTTCTGGTTTATCTATTTGAGTCTTCTCTTTTTTTTTTTTAGTTACCTAAAGTCTTATCAGTTTTATTTTTTCAAAACCTCAACTCTTAATTTTGTTTATCTTTGCTGTTGTTTTTCTGCCCTGATATTTATTATTTCCTTCCTTTTACCAACTTTGGGCTTACCCTGTTATTTTTCTAGTTTTTTAATGTGTAACATTATATATTTTTTTAGATCTGTGCATAGCTCAATTCTGGGTATTCTCCATACCCTTACACACAGGATAAAGCTACTAGTCTTCAACATACGCATTTTTACTAGGAATCATTTTTCCTGGTCAATCTTGAATGTAGAATTTTTATACTGCAAGTCATTTTGGCTCAGGGAAAGTTTCTAAGTATTTTGTTCAAAAAAAAGTTCTGAATATTTTTCAAAGGGTTTATAAAAAAGTAAAAATTTCAGATGAAGTAATAAATCTATGTGTGTTAATAAGGACTGATGAACAAAATAAGAAATGTTTCAGTCAGAATCAACTTAAGTGGAGTCCTTGGAGGTATGAGCATTTCCATCAATTCACTGAACATGCAGAATTAACTATTTAGTTATTAGAAGATTTTTTTAATTCCCCCAAAAGGGCTGGAGTGGATGTTATGTTTCACTGTGGTTGAGTCCAGGGTCCTGCTACTGATGTACAGAAGAATGTTAAGAGTATTACTTTACTTCCTGGCATTTTTCAATCATCCAAAGTTGAAAATTGATTAAAACTAATATTTTCCTTGAAAACATACATTACATCTTATGTCAACTTCCCTTAAATGAATACCTTAAAATACAAACAAGCAAAGAGGAACTCTTCTATTCAAAGAAGAAAGTATTTAGAATAATTCAAACATCAGTTCATTTAAATTAACAAACGTGAAGTTGTTGGAGATATGAGCATCCTCCAATCCTCAAATCACTGAGAGAGGTAATTATTATTTCCATTTTACGAATAAGGAAACTGATGTATAGAATTTATGTGGCTTCTCTGAAGTCACAGAGGTAACAAGCAGTGGAGGCACGATTCAAACCCAGTATTTCGGGACGTTCCAGTGACTAGCAATTAGGAATTATTCCAGGGAGGAAGGCAGTGCAACACACAGGGCTCTCGCTGACTGTTCTCAAACCCAAGCTACACAACTTGCTTTCTGTGTAATCTTGGTAATTTATTTGATTTTCTAACTCTAGAAATCCCCTAAATACAAATGAAGAGGATAATAATATTTAATTATGTATTTGTGTTGTTTTAAAGTTGTATGAGAAAATTCATGTAAATTGCCTAGCACCATATATAGCACATCCCAAATGCTCAATGGATTATCTATCTCATTGTGCACAGAATTAGACATTATCATATGGAGGAAGATTTCTGAGTTTGTCTGAGGAAATACTGGTGTACAGGGTAAAGGAGGCTACAGATATAAAGCTTCTTCTTGAGAATTTGGTCAACGTAAATTCTAATCAATGATGTAACATATATTACTGAATGTTTGACATTTTTTCAATTAACTTGCAAGGACTTGGAGGATATCAAAAGGAAAGACATTACATCTATCTTCAAGAAAACCTCTCGTGGTCTGGTTGTAATAAAGGCAAATAATAAATATAAAATTCTAAATGAAAGAAGTAAAAGCTGTTCATAAAGGAATACACAAAGTCTTAAAGGAGCTAAGAAAAGGCATCAACCTAAAGCTTGAAAAATCACACATGACTTTTAAGAGTCTACATGTCATTTGATATATCTTAAAAGGAATCCAGGGTTAGAGAGAGGATCAAGATGAAGCTGAAGACTTAAGGAAGGGTCATATATTGAAGAATAATAAGTAGCAACCTAAAGATTCAATTTTATCCTCTGAATAATAAGCATTCAATGAAGTATTTTAAGCATGAGATGAACACAGCTACATGCACACTTAGAAAGTCCTTCCAAGAATGGATATTAGCTATTAATAGACTGAAGATACACTATATTGAGTGGATTAAGTTTGGCTGCACTTAACAGAAATCACAAAATAGCAGTGGCTAAGTGCAAAGGTGGGCAGATACAAGATAATGTCTTGGCTTCACCATCACCATCATGAAGGACCTGTCATCTTTCTCTGTCATCCTTTCAGTGTTTGGCTAAAATTCTCAAGTTCAGCCCCAGATGATAACTGAGGTTGTACTGAATATTCCAAAATGGAACAGAATCTGTTATACAGATTATACAAAACATAGAAAGAACTATTGAGTAGTTAACTAGCTGTATGCCTGGGTAACACTGATAAATGCTGTTAAAATAATTCAGAAAAGTTCTAATGAGAACTGGCACTGGGCAGTAGCTGTGAAAGTACAAAGAAGGGATTGAATTCCAGAGATACTAAAAATGTTAGTGGAGATTTTTTTCAACATTAGCAATTTGCTAAGTGATTGTGATTTTGGCTTTTGCTTTTAAGTGGAAATACCAAAATTGCATAAGGGAAGAAAATTTTCCATTTTGTACATGATGAATTTGAAGCCTATAGGGGCATTTAAATATATATCTACACCTATATCTCTTCTTTATTTAGCCTATCAGAAAAGAGGTAAATGGATGGGAGCATATACAAATACATGGAATAAGGGAGATATAAAGACATGTTACTATAAGTATAGTTCAGAGTGAACAGTCAGTGGAAGGCAGGCAGCATAGTATAAAAAATACTGTTATGAAGATACTAAAATTTTTTGTTTTGAATAAAACCCGGCTAAAAAGGTGTTTAAAATATCAGAAAGGACCGAATGGCTTAAAGATAATTGCTATTGCTATATACTTGTCCCAATCTAAGGAAGAATCTGTATTTATCAAATATCAACTATGTGTCACCTGCTGTAGTAGTGCTCTGCATAAATTGTCACAAAATGGCAATAATAACTAAAATGTATTTCATGTTAGTAAGCACCATCAAAGAGCTTTATGTGATACAATTTATTTAATCTGGACACTAACTCTATGAGATACCATTATCTACAACTTTTAGGTGAGAATATTGAAGTGTAGAATGATTAAGTAGATTGCTTAGGTTTGTAGTTAATAGGAGAAGTAACAGGAACCCAAACTGACACAGTCTGCCTCCAAAGTTTGCATTTCCAAGTAATTCACTACACATTATTACCACAGCTATCAGAAGCATTTTATTATTATGCAAAATTTACAGATGAGAAAATTATGGCTTACAGATGTATCAACATTAGTAATTTTGATTTTGTCTGTAAAGCAGATAGTCATATAGAACACTTCGGGTCTTTCTATTATATTTACAATGCAGAGGTGGCCCCAAAACTGTATAACAAATAAATATTTTGGTTTTGGATCTGAATCATTTCTCATACCAAATACTCAGATGATACAATATCTGTTTAATTTTGCTTAGTTTTCAAAGACTTGATCTTAAATCAATATGTACATGAATCAAACATTTCCAATTTGCATTTGTTCTTCTTATTCTTAATGTGTTGGTGAACATAGGAATGTGATTTATGTCTGAAATTATACTTTTCAACAGAGTAGGAATGTTTTAAAACAGTTTTTAACAATTGTGAATGGGAGTTTGCTCATGATTTGGCTCTCTATTATTGGTGTATAGGAATGCTTGTGATTTTTGCACATTGATTTTGTATCCCGAGACTTTGCTAAAGTTGCTTATTAGCTTAAGGAGTTTTTCGGCTGAGACAATGGGGTTTTGAACAGACACTTTTCAAAAGAAGACATTTATGTGGCCAAAAAACATACGAAAAAAAGCTCATCATCACTGGTCATTAGAGAAATGCAAATCAAAACCACAATGAGATACCATCTCACGCCAGTTAGAATGGCAATCATTAAAAAGTTAGGAAACAACAGATGCTGGAGAGGATGTGGAGAAATAGGAACACTTTTACACTGTTGGTAGGAGTATAAATTAGTTCAACCATTGTGGAAGACAGTGTGGCAATTCCTCGAGGATCTAGAACTAGAAATACCATTTGACCCAGCAATCCCATTACTGGATATATACCCAAAAGATTATAAATCATGCTACTATAAAGACACATGCACATGTGTGTTTATTGCAGCACTATTCACAATAGCAAAGACTTGGAATCAACCCAAATGCCTATCAATGATAGGCTGGATAAAGAAAATGTGGCACATATATACCATGTAATACTATGCAGCCATAAAAAAGAATTAGTGTATGTCCTTTGCAGAGACATCGATGAAGCTAGAAACCATCATTCTCAGCAAACTAACACAGGAACAGAAAACCAAACACTGCATGTTCTCACTCATAAGTGGGAGTTGAACAATGAGAACATATGGGCACAGGGAAGGGAACACCACACACCAGGGCCTGTCAGGAGGTGGGGGGCAAGGGGAGGGATGGCATCAAGAGAAATAACTAATGTAGATGACGGGTTGATGGGTGTAGCAAACCACCATGGCACACGTATACCTATGTAACAAACCTGCACGTTCTGCACATGTATTCCAGAACTTAAAAAATATATATAAAAAATCTCAAAAAACAAACAAAAAAAAGTTTTTAAGGCCAAACTGTGATCCTCTCCCAGACAGCAACATGGCCTACTTATGTAAAATGATAGTTTTTATTGCTTATATCCCATACTTTAACACTGATATTGAACACATCAAATGTTAATGTGTGACCTGATACCAATAATGATTTACTTAGCACTTAAACTGCTTATATTGGATGGCAACTGAAAAGTACAAGAACAGCTGGAGTCAGAAAAGGGAAAAAGAGTAAAATACAGGAATTAAGTCTTCAACTGGGAAATAGTTCCCATTTTCACCTGTGCGTTCAAAATAAAAGAAACTTTTCACTTATAAGTTGGAACTAAAAATTGAGCACACATGGCCATAAACATGAGAACAATAGACACCGCAGACTACTAGAGAGGGGAGGGAGAGGTGGGGGTTGAAGAACTACTTATTGGGCACTATGCTCACTACTTGGGTGATGGGAACTGCATCCCAAACCTCAGCACTGCACAATATACCCATGTAACAAACCTGTAAATGCATCTCCTGTATCTAAAATACAAGTTGAAGCTCTTTTTTAAAAAAGAAAAAATATGAAAGAACCAAACAGAAAAATTGTATTTCTGAATCCTGTTTTATAATTTCATCACATATTTTTGGTATACTTCTACTTAGAATCGCCAACCTGCTACAAAGGCAAAGAGTGACACAATTTTTATATAAGTTAAGTGAAAATGCAGATTAATATGTAGAGAGTAAATTATACAATTAATCATATTAATAATTGCTTGTAGAGTTGCAGATTAACACCATTTTTCCTACAATAAACCTATTTATCTCTGAAAAAGTAATAACCTATATCATATTTTATTATAAAATAATATATTCTTGTTACAATAAATGAAATAGAGTTACATACAAATAAAACCCTAATCATCTGAACACTCATTTTTCTCCTTCTATATATAAAGTTAGTAGCTTAGAATATATTCTCCATGTACTTACAAACAATACAAGCATTATGGTATGCACTTGTTTTGAGGGTTTTTGTATTTTATAAAGACATAAAATTAAGTATAAATATTACAACTTTAAAAACTGAATTATCACTTATCATTGCATGAATATATTTTTATTTTAATAAATATTAGCCAGTTGGTTACAAAAATGCATGTAACAATCTCGTTTCCACTTTCCACCACCAAGTATGAATGTACTGTTTTCTTCCCACTCCTGTCAGGAATAGTTGAAATCTTTCTGTATAGTTTTTGCCATTTCCTTTTAACTACTAGTCAATGTGATCCTCTTATATTTTTAATGGATATTTGAAAGTTCTCTTCTTGGATATCTTATCTTTGTTAATTGTTCTATTAGATTGATTGTCTAGTTTTGCATCATTTTAAGAACCCTTTGGTGATAATAGACATTAAGCGTTTCTCATTTCACACACTCATATATGCAATATGTATGTATACATACACACAAATCTATGATTTGTCTATTGCTTTCTTTTGTGGAATTTTTGCAACAAAAATTTTTAAATAGTCATATATTTCTCTTAATTTTTGTTATGGCTTTGCAATTCACAATCTTGGTTAAAACTAATTTAAATTCCCACCAGCAGTGTATAAGTGTTCCCTTTTCTCTGTAACTTTGCCAATATCTGTTTTTTTTTCTTTTATTGACTCTTGAATAGTCACCATTATGACTGATATGAGATGGTATCTCATTGTGGTTTTGATTTGCATTCCTCTAAGGATTAGTAATAAGGAGCATTTTTCCACATGTTTCTTGTCCACTTATATGTCTTCTTTGGAGACATATCTGTTCATGGCCTTTGCTCATTTTTAATTGGATTATTCATTTTTTGATTGTTGATTATTAAAAAACCCTTGTATTATAGATCCTGGGAAATAGATCTTTGTCAGATGCATAGTTTGCAAATATTTTCTCCCATTCTGTGGGTTTTCTGTTTACTCTGTTGATAATTTGTTTTACTATGCAGAAGCTCTTTAATTTAATTAGGTCACGCTTGTCAATTTTTGTTATCATTGCAATTGTTTTTAGAGACTAAGCCATAAATGCTTTACCAAAGCCGATGTCAAGAAGGTTATTTCCTAGGTTTTCTTCTAAGGTTTGTATAATCTGAGATTATAAATTTAAAGTATTAGTACATCTTAATTATTGTATAAGAGTCCAGTTGTATTATTCTACATATGGCTAGCCAGCTATCTCAGCACCATTTACAGAATAAGGAGTCTCTTCCCATGGTTTATTTTGTCAACATTGTCAAAGATCAAATGGCTGTCGGTGTGTGGCTTTATTTCTGGGTTCTCTATTTCGTTCCATTGGACTATGGTCTGTTTTTATACCAGTACCATCCTGTATTGGTTACTGTAGCCTTATGGCATAGTTTAAAGTTGGGTAATATGATGTCTCTGGTGTTGTTCTTTTTGCTTAGGATTGCTTTGGCTATTCAGGTTCTTTTCTGGTTCCATGTTAATTTTAGAATCATTTTTTCAAATTCTGTGAAAAAAGTGACCTTGGCATTTTAATAGAAATGGCAATGAATCTGTAAATTGCTTTGGGCAGTATGGCTATTTTAAAGATATTGATTCTTCCAATCCATGAGCATGGATTACTTTCCCATTTATTTGCATTATCTGTTATTTCTTTCAGCAGTATTTTGTAACTCTCATTGTAGAGATTGTTCACCTCCTTGGTTAGACGTATTCCTAGGTACTTCATTTTTTTGTGGCTATTATAAATGTGGTTGTGCTCTTGATTTGGCTATCAACTGTAATGATATTTATGTATAGACAAGCTACTGATTTTTGTACATTGACATTGTATACTGAAACTTTACTGATGTCATCTATCAGGTCTAAGAGAATTTTGGTGGAGTCTTTAGGGTTTTCTAGATATAAAATCATATCACCAGTGAATAAAGATAGTTTGACTTCTTCTTTTCCTATTTGGGCACCTTTTATTTCTTTCTCTTGCCTGAGTGCTCTGGCTAGGACTTCCAGTACTAGCAATGAGTGTGGGCATACTTGTCTTGTTCCAGTTCTCAAGGGGAATGCTTCCAGCTTTTGTCCATTCACTATCATGTTGGCTGTGGATTTGTCACAGACACCTCTTATTATTTTGAGATTTCTGCCTTCAATGCCTAGTCTGTTGAGAGTTTTTATCATGAAGGGATGTTGGATTTTATCAAAGGCTTTTTCTGTACCTATCGAAATAATCATATAGTTTTTGTTATTGATTCTGTTTATGTAATGAATCATATTTATTGATTTGCATATGTTGAACCAACCTTGCATTCCAGGCATAAAGCCTACTTAATCATGGTGAATTATCTTTTTGATGTGCTTCTGAATTTGGTTTTCTAGTATCATGTTGAGGATTTTCGTGTCTATGTTCATCAGGGACACTGGCCTGTAGTTTCCCTTTTTCATTGCATCTCTGCCATACTTTGGTATCTGGGTGATGCTGGCTTCATAAAATTAGTTAGGAAGGAACCCCTCCCTCCTTGATTTTTTGGAAGAGTTTCAGTAAGATTTGCACCAGTTCTTTGTGCATCTGGTAGAATTTGACTATGAATATATATGATCCAAGACTTTTTTGGTTGGAAAGTTTTTTAATTCCTTACTCAATTTAGGAACATGTTATTTATCTGTTTGGGTTTTCACTTTCTTCCTGGTACAGTCTTGGTAGGTTGTGTGTCCCGGAAATTATCAGTTTTCTCTAGATTTTCTAATTTCTGTTCATAGAGGTATTCATAATCGTCTCTGAGTTTCTTTTGTATTTCTGTGGGGTCCATTGTAATGTCATATTTGTCATTTCTGATTGTGTTTATTTGGATCTTCTCTCTTTTTTCTTTGCTAATCTAGCTAGTGATCTATCAATCTTGTTTACCCTTTCAAATAACAAACTCTTGGTTTCTTTGATCATTTTAGTGATTTTTGCATCTCAATTTCATTCAGCTCTTCTCCAATTTATTTCTTCTCTGAATTGTTCTTTTATTCTAATTCCTCTAGGTGTGATGTTAGATTGTTAATTTGAGATCTTTCTAATTTCTTAATGGAGGTATTTGGCACTACAAACTTTCCTCTTAGCTCTGCCTTAGCTGCATTCCAAAGACTTCACTAAGTTGTCTCTATTTTTATTAATTTCAAAGAAATTTTTTATTTCTGCCTTAATTTTATTTTTTACTCGAGTTATTTCAGAGCAAGTTGTTTAATTTCCATATTTTGTGTAGTTTTGATACATCATCTTAGCATTAATTTCTATTTTTATTGTGCTATGTCCAAGAGTGTGCTTGTACAATTTCAATTTTTTTAAATTTATTGAGACTTGCTTTATGATTGAGTATGTGGCCAATCTTCAAATATATTCCATGTGCTGATGAGAAGAATGTATATTCTGTGGTTATTGGTACTATTCTGTAGATGTCTTTTGGGTCCAGTTTGTCAAATATCAAATGTAAGGCGATAATTTCTTTGTTTTCTGCCTCAATTAGGCGACTAATGCTGTCAGTGGGATGTTGATGTTCCCCACTACATTTATATGGCTGTCTAAATCTTTTCTTAAGTCTAGAAGAACTTGTTTTATGAATCTGATGCTCCACTGTTGGGTGCATATATATTTAGGATAGTTAAGTCTTGTCAAATTGAACTATTTATCATTATACAGTGCCTTTTTCTATCCTTCCTGATTGTTGTTGGTCTAAAGTCTGCTTTATCTGATATAAGAATAACAGCTCCTGCTCTTGGTTTTCCATTTGTATGGTAGTTCTTTCTCCATCCCTTTACTTTGAGCCTACTAGTGTTATTACATGTGAGATGGATCTCTTGAAGACAACAGATGATCGAATTTTGTCTATTTCTCCAACTTGCCACGTTGCCCACTCTATGCCTTTTTTTTTTTTTTTTTTTTGAGACAGAGTCTGGCTCTGTTGCCCAGGCTGGAGTGCAGTGGCACAATCTTGGCTCACTGCAAGCTCTGCCTCCCAGGCTCATGCCATTCTCCTTCCTCAGCCTCCTGTGTAGCTGAGACTACAGGTGCCCACCACCACGCCTGGCTAATTTTTTGTATTTTTAGTAGCCACAGGGTTTCACCATGTTAGCCAGGATGGTCTCGATCTCCTGACCTCAGGTGATCCGCCCGCCTCGGCCTCCCAAAGTGCTGGGATTACAGGTGTGAGCCACTGCGCCCAGCCCACTCTATGCCTTTTAATGGAGCATTTATATTGCTTTCATTTAGGATTAGTATTGATATGTGAGATTTCGATCCTGTTATCATATTGTTAGCTGGTTTTTTTATAGAGTTGATTGTGTAATTGCTTTATATTATCTGTGGGCTATGTGCTTAAGTGTGTCTTGTGGTAGCAGGTATTGATCTTTTGTTTCCATGTTTAACACACCCTTAAAAACCTCTTATAAGGCTGGCCTGGTGGTAACAAATTACCTTAGTGTTTGCTTATTGAAGAAGGATTTTGTTTCTCCTTTTCTCATGAAGTTTAGTTTGGCAGGATATAAAATTCTTGGTAGAAATTTCTTTTCTTTGAGGATGCTGAAAGCAGGTCCCCAATCTCTTCTGGCTCTAAAGGTTTCTGCTGACTAGTCCACCGCTAGCCTAATGGAGTTCCATTTATAATTGACCTAACCTTTCTCTCTAGCTGCCTTTAAGATTTTTTCTATTGCATTGACCTCGGTATGACTATGTACCTTGGGAATGGTCACCTTGTATAGTATCTCATGGGTGTTCTACATATTTCTTGAATTTGCATATTGACCTCTAGCAAGACTAGGGAAATTTTCATGGACTATATCCTCAAAAGTGTTTTCCAACTTGTTGGCTGTCTCTCTGGACTACAGATAAGTTGTAGATTTGGTCTCCTTACATAATGCCATATTTCTCAGAGGTTTGGTTCATTTTTTAAAAATTCTCTTTACCTTTGTCTGGCTGAGTTGATTTGAAGAACCTGTCTTTGAGCTCTGAGAGTTTTTCCTTGGCTTGTTTATCCTGCTGTTAATGCTTCTGACTGCATTATGAAATTCCTGCAGTGAATTTTGTACTTCTAGAAGTTCGGGTTGGTTCTTTCTTAAAATGGCTATTTTGTCTTTCAGCTCTTGGATTATTTTACTGGATTCCTTGGATTCTTTGCATTGGGTTTCAACTTTCTCCTGGATCTTAATAAGCATTCTTGCCATCTAGACTCTGAACTCTATACCTGACATTTCAGTTATTTCAATATGCTTAAGAACCATTGCTGAGGTCCAGCGTGCTCATTTGGATATAAGGTCTTGCATTCATTATTAATATTACCTAAGTTAGACAACTCAACCAACTCATAGAGCCCCTAACCTTTCTGTCATTGTTCCTTTATGAACAACGGATTGTTGCCATTGTTCATAAAATATCCTCACCACACAAAAATGCAGGCATGCAGGCATATACACTTACTTTGTCACTAATATCACATTATTTTGGAATAAAATTTATATTATCAGACCCTAAAGATTTCCAAATAAGAAAACTAATATCTTATAATCCCTAAAATAATAGCCAGTGTTACATTTGATAATTATTTTGAAACTTAAAAATAAGAATAATATATAACCTTTATCTTCTTGTTCTCTTTTGTTTTCACTTCTTCATTCTCATGCCAATCTCACTTATTTTCTCAGATACTCCCTGCCTGTTTGCATTGATTATCATAAGACTGTATGTGTAGGACAAAGTAATCAAAGAATTGGGTGAAAGTGGTCTTGTTTTTAAACATAAATTTGCTGCAATTTTTTCCAATTGACACATTGTTTGACCAAAACAGCAAATCAATTTGGGTGAAACTGATTATTCAGTCACAGTGTTGCTTTTACAAAGCATCAACTTATCTACCAGAAAACAAAAGCATTGTTACTTTTCACCCCAGAGCTATATACTCCCTAGAAAGTATGACTTCATCTTGAAGGCATGCCACCTCTGCAGCCTTAATGAGATCTGTGGAAATTGAAATGATGGGTACACAATCCTTCATAGGCAGCAGAAGACAAGTTTTCCAAACCTAAACCCTGTGATGTAGCCATTAATATCGAGGTTTTTTTTTTTTTCCTCATGGAACATGGTAATATTTTCTATCTAAAGAAGTTTATATAAGAAACTCAAAATCAACATTTCTAAATGTTTCTATTGTGTTCAAGAATTGCTCTAAACACTTTATATTTATTAACTCATTTAGCATTCACAGGAAACCTATGAGGCATCTGTATCTGAATATATGATTATTATCATCACTAGTCACACTTTATAAATAAAGGATTTATAAAATAATCATCTAGCAAGTAATTTGAATGAGGGGTCAAAACTAGGCAGTCTGTCTTGAGTGTTTGTGTTTCATCACTATCTTATACCACTTATAAAGACAATAAGAACTAAAAGACTTATTGACGTTTAAGTTTTTCTAAATACTTCCTTTGCATTAACTTTTAATGTGTGCAATCAAATCAAAGTTTCTAATAAGAACAATAATAACGACAGCAGCAACAACCAAACCCCACATCAGAAATAGCTGGTGACTTCATAAGAAAAGGAGAAAAGAAAAAAATATGCATGCCTAGATTGTGTATTTTAATATCTTTTTTTAGGCCACAGCAAGCAGGAAGATTAATATTTCTGTGCTTTGCATCATAAATTATACCACTTGATACATTACCATTTTTTCTGATGATGATTTTGAAATAATGATTTTTAAAATTCATACAGTGAATAAATGCCATTTTGCTGATTAAAAAGAAATGACAGAGGAAAGCTACTTTCTCTCCTTTACTGATTCTCATTGAATTAGTATGTATTGAATACACACTCTTCTTCTTGTCTTACACTGTAGGTGTTGTCTTTATAGCTAAGAAAAAGGTCCCTGTTATAATGGAGTTTGCATTCTAGTGGGAGAGGGAGATAGAAAAGAAGTAGTTAGGCAATATAGTGTAAGATAGTGATAAGCACTAGAAAGGAAAGAAAGCAGGACAAAGGGATAGTGAATCCAGGAGGGAGGACTCTGGGCAAATGACACTGAAGTAAAAACTCAAATTATGAGTAGTAACACATATAGTCTGAGCAGAAGAGCAAGCGTAAATAAATGCTCTGAGGTGGGGACTAATCTAACATGTCCAGAGCAGTTCGGAGAGCAGTGCAATGGCAGAAAAATGAGGGAGGGGAGTAGTGGTAGATGTCGAGGTCAGAGAGATAGGCAGGGACCAGATGGGTGGCAACTTGTGAGATATGATATAGATATGAGTTTCATCCTATGTGTATCACGGAAGAGTTGCAATCAGGACCATGATTTGATTTGTTTTGAATATGGCTACTGTGTAAAGACAAAACTATAGCAGGCAGTGGGAGAGGGCAGAACAATCAGCAGGCCACTGCAGACATCCAGGCTAGAGATGATGTTGTTTGCACAAGAACGCTAGTAATGGAGGTGGGGAGAAGTGGAGATTCACAATCTATATTAGGGTAGAGAAAACAGGACTTGCTGAGGGATTAAAGGTGGAGTGGGAAGGAAAACAAAAGATCAAGGATGATCCAACTGCTTTCTCCCATCTGTGTGGAAGAAAAAAGAACAACTTGAATGAATAGCAAAACAGCCTGAATTCAGATTACAATTATTACAGAATTTTAAAATTAAGTAAATTTGGAGCATCATACTGTTTTCATTTCCCATGAAGTTTTTATTTCCAAATGGGTTTTCAAAAAGATTTCTATTGATTTCCTTCTTTACCATTCAATTATTTCAATTTATTCTCCTTGCATAAGAAGGAACCTCTGGGCAATGAAACCCACTAATATTAATTTTTCACTAGCCTATGTGGTTATTTTTCTGGCTAAAGTAATTTTTAAAACATTTGCAAACTGAACAATCTCAGTAATCTTTAATGCATTTTACTTCTAGTTTTTCTTTAGCAAGGTGCCTTGCATAATCAAATTTTCGAAAGGCTATTGTGTTTGGCTTGTTAATACTCACAACATTTTGAGCGGTTTTGAGTGAGATTCTTAATCCTGAGTTCTAGTTTGATTGCACTGTGGTCTGAGAGACAGTTTGTTACAATTTCTGTTATTTTACATTTGCTGAGGAGTGCTTTACTTCCAACTATGTGGTCAATTTTGGAATAAGTGAGATGTGGTGCTGAGAAGAATGTGTAGTCTGTTGATTTGGTGTGGAGAGTTCTGTAGATGTCTATTAGGTCTGCTTGGTGCAGTGCTGAGTTCAATTCCTGGATATCCTTGTTAACTTTCTGTCTCGTTGATCTGTCTAATGTTGACAGTGGCGTATCAAATTCTCCCATTATTATTCTGTGGGAAACTGAACAACCTGCTCCTGAATGACTACTAGGTACATAACAAAATGAAGGCAGAAATAAAGATGTTCCTTGAAACCAATGAGAACAAAAACACAACATACCAGAATCTATGGGACATATTTAAAGCAGTGTGTAGAGGGAAATTTATAGCACTACATGCCCACAAGAGAAAGCAGGAAAGATCTAAAATTGATACCCTAACATCACAATTAAAAGAACTAGAGAAGCAAGAGCAAACACATTCAAAAGCTAGCAGAAGGCAAGAAATAACTAAGATCAGAGAAGAACTGAAGGAGATAGAGATACAAAAAATTCCAATTTATTCTCCTTGCATAAGAAGGAACCTCTAGGCAATTAAATCCTTCAAAAAATCAATGAATCCAGTAGCTGGTTTTTGAAAAGATAAACAAAATTGACAGACCGCTAGCAAGACTAATAAAGAAGAAAAGAGAAGAATCAAATAGACGCAATAAAAAATGACAAAGAGAATATCACCACCCATCCCACAGAAACACAAACTACCATCAGAAAATACTATAAACACCACTACGCAAATAAACTAGAAAATCTAGAAGAAATGGATAAATTCCTGGACACATACACCCTCCCAAGACTAAACCAGGAAGAAGTCGAATCCCTGAATAGACCAACAACAGGCTCTGAAATTGAGGGCAATAATAGCCTATCAACCAAAAAAAGTCCAGGACCAGATGGATTCACAGCCGAATTCTACCAGAGGTACAAGGAGGAGCTGGTACCATTTCTTCTGAAACTATTCCAATCTATAGAAAAAGAGGGAAGCCTCCCTAACTCATTTTATGAGGCCAGCATCATCCTGATACCAAAGCCTGGCAGAGACACAACAAAAAAAGAGAATTTTAGACCAATATCCCTGATGAACATCGATGCAAAAATCCTCAATAAAATGCTGGCAAACCAAATCCAGCAGCACATCAGAAAGCTTATCCACCATGATCAAGTAGGTTTCATCCCTGGGATGCAAGGCTGGTTCAACATATACAAATAAATAAACGTAATCCATCACATAAGCAGAACCAAAGACAAAAACCACATGATTATCTCAATAGATGCAGAAAAGGCCTTTGACAAAATTCAACAGCCCTTCATGCTAAAAACTCTCAATAAATTAGGTATTGATGGGACGTATCTCAGAATAATAAGAGCTATTTATGACAAACCCACAGCCAATATCATACTGAATAGGCAAAAACTGGAAGCATTCCCTTTGAAAACTGGCACAAGACAGGGATGCCCTCTCTCACCACTCCTATTCAACATAGTGTTGGAAGTTCTGGCCAGGGCAATCAGGCAGGAGAAAGAAATAAATGGTATTCAATTAAGAAAACAGGAATATCCCTGTTTGCAGATGACATGATTGTATACTTAGAAAACCCCATCATCTCAGCCCAAAATCTCCTTAAGCTGATAAGCAACTTCAGCAAAGCCTCAGGAGAGAAAATCGATATGCAAAAATCACAAGCATTCCTATACACCAATAACAGACGAACAGAGAGCCAAATCATGAGTGAACTCCCATTCACACTTGCTACAAAGAGAATAAAATACCTAGGAATCCAACTTACAAGGGACATGAAGGACCTTTTCAAGGAGAACTACAAACCACTGCTCAATGAAATAAAGGAGGACACAAACAAATGGAAGAACATTCCATGCTCATGGATAGGAAGAATCAGTATCGTGAAAATGGCCATACTGCCCAAGGTAATTTATAGATTCAATGCCATCCCCATCAAGCTACCAATGACTTTCTTCACAGAATTGGAAAAAACTACTTTAAAGTTCATATGGAACCAAAAAAGAGCCCGCATTGCCAAGACAATCCTAAGCCAAAAGAACAAAGCTGGAGGCATCACACTACCTGACTTCACACTATACTACAAGGCTACAGTAACCAAAACAGCTTGGTACTGGTACCAAAACAGAGAGATAGACCAATGGAACAGAATAGAGTCCTTGGAAATAATACCACACATCTACAACCATCTGATCTTTGACAAACCTGACAAAAACAAGAAATGGGGAAAGGATTCCCTATTTAATAAATGGTGCTGGGAAAACTGGCTAGCCATATGTAGAAAGCTGAAACTGGATCCCTTCCTTACAACTTACACAATAATTAATTCAAGATGGATTAAAGACTTACACGTTAGACCTAAAACAATAAAAACCCCAGAAGAAAACCTAGGCAGTACCATTCAGGCCCTAGGCATGAGCAAGAACTTCATGACAAAAACACCAAAAGCAATGGCAACAAAAGCCAAAATTGACAAATGGGATCTAATTAAACTAAAGAACTTCTGCAAAGCAAAAGAGACTAACATCGGAGTGAACAGGCAACCTACAGAATGGGAGAAAAATTTTACAATCTACCCATCTGACAAAGGGCTAATATCCAGAATCTACAAAGAACTTAAACAAATTTACAAGAAAAAATCAAACAACCCCATCAAAAAGTGGGTGAAGGATATGAACAGACACTTCTCAAAAGAAGACATTTATGCAGCCAACAGACATGAAAAAATGCTCATCATCACTGGCCATCAGAGAAATGCAAATCAAAACCACAATGAGATACCATCTCACACCAGTTGGAATGGCAATCATTAAAAAGTCAGGAAACAACAGGTGCTGGAGAGGATGTGGAGAAATAGGATCACTTTTACACTGTTGAAGGAACTGTAAACTAGTTCAACCATTGTGGAAAAGAGTGTGGTGACTCCTCAAGGATCTAGAACTAGAAATACCATTTGACCCAGCCATCCCATTACTGGGTATATACCCAAAGGATTATAAGTCATGCTGCTATAAAGACACATGCACACGTATGTTCATTGCGGCACTATTCTCAATAGCAAAGACTTGGAGCCAACCCAAATGTCCATCAGTGATAGATTGGATTAAGAAAATGTGGCACATATATACCATGGAATATTATGCAACCATAAAAAAGGATGAGTTAATGTCCTTTGTAGGGACATGGATGAAGCTGGAAACCATCATTCTCAGCAAACTATCACAAGGACAAAAAACCAAACACCACATGTTCTCACTCATAGGTGGGAACTGAACAATGAGAACACTTGGACACATGAAGGGGAACATCACACACCAGGACCTGTCGTGGGGTGGGGGGAGGGGGGAGGGATAGCCTTAGGAGATACACCTACTATAAATGATGAGTTAATGGGTGCAGCACACCAGCATGGCACATGTATACATATGTAACAAACCTGCACGTTGTGCACATGTACCCTCGAACTTAAAGTATAATAATAAAAAAAAGAAAGTGCAAAAGAAAATCATACCAAAAAAAAATACATTTTGAGTCATCTTGATTTATCGCTCTTGATCTTCAAAAGAAATGCTCAAGTGGAGAAAAATACATAGTTTCTTATCATTCAGAATAGTGAAATTCCTAAAGGTAGGAAAAATTAGGGAATATGATTGCCTTCAGCCCTGCCCTCAGAAGTAAACTTGTGACTCACCTGTAATGGAAAGGTCATATAATATGGAATATGTGGCAGCTGAATGAATGTGTGGCAACAAGAACCTGAGGCTGTTCTTGGATCTACAATGTCCTATTTATTCTATGCCCAACGCTTGGAGTTTGACATTTTTAACTGTACAGTTGAGCTGAACTAAGAGGAGAAAGCCAAAAGAGCATTTTGGTTTAAGCATAAGGACTTTTGAAACAATTTCAGCAATCATCTCAAAGCATAGAAATGGTTCCAATATTAATGCAATCACATTCTCTTGCTGTGGCCAACAGTCTCTGCATATTGAATGGGTTTTTACTGCTCGTCTCAAGTGAACCAGGGAATTATGCATTATGTTCCTGTTCTTCAAACAAGAAAGTCTCCTCAGCTACTCCTCAAACTCTTCCTCTCTGCAGGTGAAGGCGCTAGATTGGATTTTCTAGGAAGTAAGATAGATTTTTCTAAGTGGCTCAACCCTATAGCAACAAACAAGCCTGCTACAGCTTCACATGGTGCCTCAATACTCCTTTCAGCTGGTGGAAACTGCATTCCAAAACCAGATGAAGATTATTTACCTTAGTCTCCAACTGTTTGATCTGGAGCTTGGCCAATCACTCCTCGCCATCAGCTTTCCTCAAGCTTACTGACCTCACTGTAAGTCTCAAGTCTTTGTGATGTTTGCTTTACCTGCCATGTTTTATAATTTCAGCCAAGATTTGCAAAAATAAAAAAAAAATTATATTTATTAGGTAAGAATAACGCTTCTAAACTGAATGAATTTTTCCCAAAAAATTTGTCTCAATTAAGGCTTTCTTGATGAAGAAAATCATAGTTCTATGGGTCTAAATTACTCAGAGACTGTGAAAGATCAGGATGAGAATAGGAGAAATGAGCAAAGGGAAGCATGAAGAAAAGTAAAAGGAAGAGGAAGAACAAGCATAAAGGAACAAAGATGAAGTGGGGGAAGCTCCATGTGCTGTGTGTGAATGTGTGTGGCATGGGTGAGTGCTCAGGGACATCGGCACCAAAGAGTAAGTCATTTCTATTTTCTCAACATTTAAAATATAGACTATATACCTGATGTGCACTTGAGTGGCATTAATTGATAGTGATTTACTTTATTAAAAGTATCATATTCACCATTATGCTTTCAATTCAGTTATAAAGTTGCACTGAATGACCTGTTCATTTGGATTCATTTATGTTCAAGAGGAGGAATGAAATAGAATAAAATATAAATAAATGTATTTTCACAATTGTCATTAATTATTTTAAACTACGCAAAAATATTTTCCTTATGTCTCACTTTAGGAAAAATTCTAAATGAAAATTTAACCTCATATATTAGAGAGGAAAAATGTTTTGTCATTTAAAAATAATTAATATACTCTTTTTAAAGTAGGATAGGAAACAAGATTCTCAACACATAATGTGACTGCTCAATTTTAAACTCATATCTGCCAAGGATATTTTCTTGGTCATGTTCTCCTCTCTGAGTTCACTCTAAGCAATGCCCTTCAGTTTCACAACTTTAACTCTCACTTTGTAATGGGTAATTTAAATTTCCTCTCTAGGCCCTGAGCTCTAAATATAAACCTAGAACTGCAGCATCCCTCTTACCTAAAATCAATGTTTTAAATTTCTTCAATATTCATCTACTAGACCGGGAGTGATAGCTCACGCCTGTAATCCCAGCACTTTGGGAGGCCAAGGCGGGCGGATCCCGAGATCAGCAGATGGAGACCATCCTGGCTAACATGGTGAAACCCCGTCTCTACTAAAAATACAAAAAACAAAATTAGCCAGGTGTGGTGGTGGGCGCCTGTAGTCCCAGCTACTCTGGAGGCTGAGGCAGGAGAATAGCGTGAACCCGGGAGGCGGAGCTTGCAGTGACCCGAGACCTGCACTCCAGGCTGGGCAACAGAGCGAGACTCCATCTCAGAAAAAAAACTAGACAATATGACAGCACCACCCTTCTGTTAAAAAATAAACTTGTAATGAATCATTATTATGAAAGATTGTTCAGTCTAAACTCCCCATTTGATTCGTCAAAACTGTTCAAAGTTTTGGTCTCAGACTGTCTTTGTAATTTCCTTCCACCACTATCTTTCCTGTACATCATATTCCACACAATCTGAGGTTGCTATTTGTCATGGACATCTTGCAGTTTCTCTCTGTATGCCTGATCATCTTTACTCCATAGGGCAGCCATGGACATGTTCCCTTCAGATCTCTTTAAGAAAACCTGCTATAGGGAGCAGAGTTAACTGAAAGCCTGCAGCAGCCAGTCCTGTGAATGCTGAGACCACATTTTCCTGGGGCTACTGTTAACCAGTGACTCAGCATAGTAGAATTATGAGTGCTAGCCCATTTCTGCCCTGTGCAATATGTCTCAAATAGGCAACTTTGATTCATGGAACCCCCATGATCCTGCCTGAGACTTTCTGAGAACAATGCTACAGCCTAGAGCTCTTCCTATCTAATTCTTCCCTCTCTCCTTTTAAAAAGAACAGACATGCATCATGTTCTGAGGCTTTCTTTATCTACTCTTACACCTTCACCCTTTATTCTTCATAAGTGTCTCCCCTAATAAATGTCTAGTACACATAGTCCCATGTTGGTGTCTGCTTCTCAGAAGACCCAAGGTGACAAACACTTCTCATCTCTGTGTGTCTACTTCTACTCATCCTGCAAGATTGAATTCAAATACAATTCATCAGCAATTCTCCAATTAATTATCTGAGAGCAGCTCTTTTTCTCCTCTGATATATCCTTTCATTCCTCTTTTTATGGTATTTTATTCCTTTAAAAATGTATGAATATGGGATGTTTGGACCCACAGTGGCAGTGGCTGCTGTGCATGCCAACCTATGCATGGTGGCAGCTGGGGATCCCAAGGTTGGGCCTCTCCCGCAGGTGCTGACCTAGCTGGGTTGTGAGTGGACAGTGGCCTCAGTGGCCAGCCAGCCAGGTTGAGGCTCTGGAGAACAGAGCAGAGCCTGGGCCCAGGCCTGAGCCAGGGAAGGATGGGTGCCCAACAGCCCCTGGCCCACCTGGTGGGTAGGGCAGCAACAGTGGCCTCCTTAGATGAAGAGAGCTTTGCACTGTACTTAACCTCTAATGCAGAATTTGATGCTGTGATAGGATATTTAGAGGATATTATCAAAGATGACAAGTTCTAGTTATTAGAGAAATTTCATGGACAAGTACTACTGAGAGTTTGCAGATGCAGAAGAAAATAAACTCAACTTCATGCCTATTTTTAATGAATATATTTCTTTGGTAGGAAAGTATATAGAACAGCTGCTGGAGAGGATTCCTGGATTTAACATGGCAGTTTTCACAGCAACATTACAGCACCATAAGGATGAAGTGGCTGGTGACATATTCAACACGCTGCTCGCATTTATAGATTTTTCTGGCTTTTAAAGAAATATTTCTGGACTACAAAGTGGAAAAAACAGGCCAGGGACTGGACTTAAGCAGTGGTTTAGTGGTGACTTTGCCGTGCAAATCATCTTCTATGCCAGCTTCCCAGAACAATCTGCTGCACTAAGTTCCTGCCTCCAGGCAATGAATGGGAGCATTCTGGACGTCACTGGCCCAGTAGGCCAATAGGCTCAGCTAATTATCACAGAAGAATACATCTTAAATAGACTGACTCTGTTCTGCAACTCTTCATTCATGTTAAGTATTGATGGGTCAAAACCAAAATGATCTGACACTCCTAGACCTGTCTCTCCTGAAACACTTTTCTGTATTTTATAACCTTAGTACTCTTCCCCAAGTGCTCAGTAACCCTAGTATTCCTCCCCTCCCCAACTAGACACCTCTTTCAGGTGCTCTGAGTCAGATTCCTCTGAAGCAAGCCCATGTCAAGCATTCCACCTAGCGGGGCCCTTCCCCCAGTATATGTGTTGGTATGTCAACACATCTACCATCACCAACTCTTCTTGTCCCGGCAGGCTCTGCATGAATCTCTTTGTGCACTCACAGTTCTTTTTAGTATGAGTCAGAGTTTCGGTCCTTCAGCCTCAATGGGGCTTTTGAGTATTTGGGAGTACTTATCTAGGGTGTTCCTCAAGCCAGCTGCCTGCCTTGAGATTTCCGAATCTCCCATGTTCACAGCTTGTCTTGGCTGTAGGCATCAACAGAAACAGTGAAACTGTATCAGGACTGTTTCTGGAAGTCTTTTTGAACCATTATTTTTGAAAAAAATATAGATGAATATGCAGGCTAACCTAGTAAATATAATCTTGAAATTTCCATGATTACCCACTTAAAGATCAAAGTATCCTATGCCATGTGCTTTTTAGTTGTTAATGCTATGAAGAAAAAAATGCTTTCTATATTGGTGTTCAATTATATCTTATTGAGCACCAATGAATGTATACTGTGTGCTGGAAGCAGACCAACAGATATTCTGTTATTATAGCATGTTAAGTGTGTTTATGCATGGTTGTGGAAAATATTTTCCATATAAACCAGTTTGTTAGATTTTTCTGTTGGGGTAGGTAGGGACTCCGTGATTTCTTCTTCCTGTCAAAATCTTTCCTATCAAGATGGTGTTTCAGTAGCCTAGCTCAACATGAGTAGGAGATAGTAAACAGCTTTACTGATCATCTGTCTGCTTTGGTTTAGTACAATGTTTGGTAGAATATTATTTATCAGAAATCACATATGTCACATCTGTATAAGAAGAAGAAACATAGTTGTTCAAGCCCCAATGTGTAACTTTGATTTTTTAAAGTAAAAATAAGAATCTGTATTGAATTTGGATATTCTGGTTTTAAAGGATAAGTTACAAGCTATATATTTTTCTGTACTGATGTGTTGTTTATTTATACTTTGGTACCATGAGTAGAAAAAAATATGAATATGTTTTATGTTGAAAACTAACATAAAACCATTGTCTGCAATAATTTAAAGACAATTATCCTTATCAAAAGAGAGTAAACATATAGGCCAAGATTTGAAAAATGATTGGTGAGCTTAACTTCAAAAACCTGGGTAAGCATAAAACTAATTTGAATATCATAATGATTCCTTCATGTCTGACAGTCTCCTGAATGATATGTAGTTGTATGATTACCCATAAAATATCTTTAGTCTTCAAGGAAAATTGACATTCCAGGAATTAGTAACAAATCAATCCTGTAGATTCCCATTCTCCTTGCTCATCAGTGTAGTCATGGAACTACATGTACTCTACTTTGAGATTAATAGTACAGGACTATCATCTTTTTGGACACCAAGATTCATATGAGGATCTTCTTCTCTTCATCGTTTTATCTTTCTTTCACCTCCCTTTCTTTCTTCCCTATTGCAGCCTATCACTCTACCCTTCTCTCCTTTTCCTTCTTCCATTCCTATATTTTACTTTCATCACTTTAACGTAAAATGTAATACAGCATAAAAAGAACGCTAACGGGAGAATGACTAGGTGCCATCAGAGGACAGAAGATTATTTCTGAAGACAGGATTGAGGAGGTACATCGTGAGCTCCGTTTTTAAGAAAGATTAAAGGCCAGGTGCAGTAGCTCACACCTGTAATCCCAGCACTTTGGTAGGCTGAGGCAGGCAGATTACCTGAGGTCGGGAGTTCGAGACCAGCCTGACCAACATGGAGAAACCCCGTCTCTACTTAAAAAAATAAAAATAAAAAAAAATTAGCTGCATGTGGTGGTGCATGCCTGTAATCCCAGCTACTCAGGAGGCTGAGGCAGGAGAATTGCTTGAACCCGGGAGGCAGAGGTTGTGGTGAGCCAACATTGTGCCATTGCACTCCAGCCTGGGCAAGAAGAGCAAAACTCTGTCAAAAGAAAAGAAAAGAAAAGAAAGGAAAGAGAGAAAGAGAGAGAGAGGAAAATTTCTAGGCAAAAGTAACAACATTTGCAGTAATAGAAATAAAGAAAAGGGGACATATTACTTGCTGGTACTGGTGAAGATTTTAAGATTTTATATGTGTTAATAGATACATATTAAATCTACATAGATAATATAATACATAAGACAATAAAGTTTATGTTGCAAAGAATAGGGAAATACATCTTTTATGTCATAATAGTACATTTGAAAATTTTCCTGATAGTAATACTGAACTGATGGAGGGTTTAGGCTGGAGATAAATAATAAGATTTAGATTTAGGAAAGATAATTTTGCTGGTGATTTAATGATGGACTAGGGGAGAGGGCTTGAGTAATACCTGGCATAATACAGATAGTGCACCAATATGTATTTTAATACATAACTACATTTGCAAATAAATAGACATGCAGTCTATTCATAAAGGAATTTATTGGCATCCACTGATATGCTTAGCTCTGTAGCATTCTCAAATTATTACAAAATATTTACTTGGATATTACCTTAGCTTGGAAATTAGTTCATACATTCAAATAATATGAAATGTGGACCATCTCCATAACAGTGGTTTTAAAAAGGTAATACTTAGGGAGTGTGAATCAAGTAAGAATGTTGTCATAGGTCAATGTTAGAAAGGAATCCTGGTAACTCACAAGAAAAAGTCTGTTTATGATTGAGGCTAGCCTTGGACTGCAAAGAACTATTTAAAGGGAAATTTGGAGGATTTATTTATATTACCACAAAATTGGAGGAAAAAGCAGCAACATTATTAGTAAAGAATCCTCAAACATGCCTCCTGAAGCCCTCCTATGCCAGCACTCTCCTAGATGACTCATGTTGTCAAAAATATTATGCATTTCAGAACATCTGAAACTTCTGGTAGGACTGTGATCTCAAGCATGGCTGTAAGGGCCTCTCCTTAAGATGTGGGTGCTGCCTCATGGTGCCATGTTGGTAGCCAGTGATGGTTTTTTTAATTATTATTATACTTTAAGTTTTAGGGTACATGTGCATGATGTGCTGGTTAGTTACATATGTATACATGTGCCATGCTGGTGTGCTGCACCCATTAACTCATCATTTAGCATTAGGTATATCTCCTAAAGCTATCCCTCCCCACTCCCCCCACCCCACAACAGTCCCCAGAGTGTGATGTTCCCCTTCCTGTGTCCATGTGTTCTCATTGTTCAATTCCCACCTATGAGTGAGAATATGTGGTGTTTGGTTTTTTGTTCTTGTGATAGTTTACTGAGAATGATGATTTCCAATTTCATCCATGTCCCTACAAAGGACATGAACTCATCATTTTTTATGGCTGCATAGTATTCCATGGTATATATGTGCCACATTTTCTTAATCCAGTCTATCATTGTTGGACATTTTGGTTGGTTCCAAGTCTTTGCTATTGTGAATAGTGCCGCAATAAACATACGTGTGCATGTGTCTTTATAGCAGCATGATTTATGATGGTTAACATTCATTTCATTTGTCACCCAATAAGAATTCATCAGCTTCCTTGGTAAGTAGATACTTAGAAAACATATTTTTATTTGAGCTTCACAGTAACTCTACGAAATATCTATTATTACTCCCATTTTATAGGTGTTTACATAGTAGCTCAAAAGATGTTAAATAGTTTGCCAGTTATCACAGAGCTAGAGACATGTGGAGTACACAATAAAACCCCGGATTGACCAACTCCGATGCCTTTCTTTTAGAGCATTCTAGAATGCTATCAATCTAAACAAATGTTCATAACTCAATGTCATAGTTCTATAGATAAGTGTAAACATCAAACCTCAGGTGTGAAAGATAGGTACCTCCTATAGATAGGGTAGGGGATGAATGCATGAGCTGGATCTCACCATCCAAGATCTAAAACATTAAATTAATAAAACTTATAACAATCTGTCCTACATTCCTACTTTGACTCTCCATCATTTTCTGACACACACCCAAAACACAGACACACACGCAGTCCAATAAGGCATGATTTGAAACTAATAATTTTTAAAAGGTAACCTTATAAGAAGACCCAGTAGCCTATTCCAATATGTAGGAAGACTTTCAGAAAAGCATATGGAAATTTGATGAACTGGTTAAACATATCCTGCCTTCTGCAAAGTAAGGAAAAATAATACTTTGCTTTTAAAAAGCACGATGACAGATTAATGCTTTACAGATGACTAGAAGGTAAATACTACTTTAAGACTAACTTTGAAGCTGAGAGGCTATTATTTAGAAACTCAAAAGAGTAGTACAAAGGCAATATGAATATTTGCAAACTCAAATAGGAAAATTTATTTTCCAAAAATGTCATTTTAATTGACAAGAACATGAGATGTCACAAATAAAACCCATAGATCTGGATAAGTTCAGCAACTGGATATTAAAAATACAGAAATCAGCAGCAACATGATTAACTGATTATAAGTAAATGGTTTTACTGGTATCAGAGTTATACTATTAAAATGTACTGAAATAGTCATACTTGCTGTTTGCTTTTGTTTCCCACTGATAGCAATTAAATAAGAATTATTTAATAATTTATTCAATCTGTATTTATTACATGCTTATCAGGCACTGTTCTGGTTTGGCACCGTGGGTAAAGCAATGAACATGAGAGAATACTCACTGCCCTTTGTGGCTTATGTTCTAGTAAGAAGAGGCAGAAAAACGTTTTCTATCAATATACAGGATAGGTAAGGACAAGTGCTATGAAGCAAGGAGGAGAGAGACTTGCCAGGGTGGGTGTCTCTTTATATAAGGTAGACAAGGTGAGCCTCTCTGATATGGTGAAAGTTGAACAAAGGCCTGAACTACATGAAGAAGTAAGTCATGCAAATATCAGGGGAGAATGTTGCAAGCAGAAAGAAGAGCAAGCACAATGGCTCTGAGTCCTTAGTGAATTCAAGAAGCATTAAGGGAGTCAAGTATAGCTAGAACACAATACATAAGGGGGCATGGAGTTAGAAAAGTAGTGGGTTCAGATCACATAGAACCTTGTTAGCCATTACAGGAGATGTGACTTGACTTTTACTCTGAGTAAGATAGACAGTCATCAAGGGCTTTGAGAAAGGGGTGCATAGCATCTGACTTATGATTCAAAAGTATCTCTGGCTACTATGGTATGGAAAATAGATTATAGAGGAACTGAGAGACTAGGGAAGAGGCCATTTTCAGTAACCCATATTACAGCTATAATGCCCTGGTTTAGGCTAAGAGTCAAGGTGGTGAAATGTGCTTGAATTCTGGATAGAGTCTAAGGGCAGGGCCAATAAGATTTGCCAGTGGATTCAGTGTTAGGAATAAGTAACAGAAAGAAAAATAAAAGGATCACACTAAGAATTTTGGCCTGAAAAACAGTTAAATGGAAGTGTTTCTATTTCCTAATATGGAAAAGACCATGTTGAAGCTAGAAAATTCAGTGTTCAATGTTGGGCACTTTAAGTTTTAGTCATGTATTAGACATCCAAGCAGAGATGTTAAGTAGAGAGTTGGATATGTGAGTTGGGGGTTCAGGGGAGAAGTCTAGACTGGAAATACGAATTTGGAAGTAATCAACAAAATGTCATTGAAAAGCAAGATATTAGATGAGGTCATAAAGAAAGTAAATGTAATACATACTTCCATGTTTAAGTTGATGTTTAGTTATCAGAAATATGGGTTACTGTTTCATATAAGGTGATACTCTGGCTATATATTCAAAGTTACTAGTATTTACTAATTGGTTTTAATAATATTCTCAGTAAACATGACTTTTTATTTTCAAGTGATTTTATTTTTAGTTTTCCTAGCTTATGGAATGATTTTTAAGCTCTTTTATGATAGGGCAATGTCTTAATTATTTTGCATCTTCCCATAATGCTTAGTAAAACATTTGACGTGAGTTTCAATAAATGTGCTGAATTCAAAAATATATAGATGTGAAAAAATCAAAATGAAGACTCCAGATTATTTATTATGATATACCTACAGCTTGGTGCTCTAATAAACATGCAAATGTAAAAATATGATTTCACCTGCACTCTAGGAGTTTCACATTTGTTATTCCCCCTCACATATTCTATTTAAAAACAGAATTCCATTTTGTGATAGAATTACAGCTGCTGGTGTTCCTGGGACACTGAACTGCTGTCAATGCTATAATAGTATAATAATTTATCGATATTTATAGTAACACTATAGGAAAAATTGTATTATGACTATTTTATCACTTTAAATAAAAGAAAACAAATTATGCATGCAAGATTGAAGACTAACAAGTTACAGAACTTGGATTCAAACCCATGTCACAATTTGACTTAAGAAACCAGGATTTTATTTTTATTCTACCATCACTCTTATCTGAGAAGTCTCTAACAATCACAAACTAATAGCTGTATGAGACTGAAATATGATAGAAAGCATGTTTTTGAAAAAAATCAAGAAAGAGAGCAAGAAAAAAAAGAAATCCAACCATACAGACAATGTAGAATATTGTCTCGATTCTTACAAGCATGGAAAGAGAAGCAAGATAAAGAATTATCCCCTTGTTATGTTTGCATAGATATGCTTCAAATTTATAATAACCAGATTTAGAAAGCCATGTTGAGTCTTTGCTCTTATAGCTCTCATTCCAGATACTGACTTAACATTTGCCAAGTACGTACTATGTACCATCTCCAGTGCTAGAAGCTGAAAGCAAGAAGATAAATAACACATGGCCCCTAGTAGGCAAGGAAGTTTGCAGTTTATTGAAAGAGATAAATGAATAAACAAAAGTTATAATAAACTGAGTAAATGCTTATGTAGGAGGTTTACATAGTTACTTGATTACATAGTAGCAGCAACTAACACACTTCCTTGAGAATGTGATGCCTGAGCTGAATCTTGAAGGATGAAGTGTTAACCAGGCAGGGAGGGTACTCCTGGAACAGGGATGGTACAACCAAATGTCTGTTCAACGAACTGCAAGCAGCTTACTTTGGCTGATCAGATAAGGGTTAGGGAGGGTGAGGGTGACTGGTGATAAATTTTCAGGGATGAGACTGGAGAGGTAAGTAGGTGACAGATCATAAAATTCTTTCTAATTCATAGCAAGAAATTTGAACATTGGCCTTGAAGAATTTCTAGCTTGAGAATGACATGATAAGATTCATAGTTTAGGAAGCCAATTGGCTGAAGTGTATAGAATTTACTTGAAGAATGGATAAGGCTATTCATCCACAGGAGGAAAAATTATTGCTTGTTGCAGTAATCAAGGTGAGCAAACATGATGCTCTGCACCAAGGGAGATGGAGAGACACATATAGCTTAGAAAATTTAGAATTGATTAGAATTATTGACTGGATAGATATGAGAGGAAGGATAAGCCCAATTTTCTAAGCTTTGAGAAAAGACTGTACCATGATCGAAATTGGCAAATAAGTTAGAAGAACTGGTAGGAGAAGGGTAGTTGAATAATGATGAGTTTGGTTTTTGAAGTGTTGATATTGAGAAGCACAAGAGGCTTGTTTGTGCAGAGCAGTAGCAAATGTATATAATAAGTCTTAATCTCAGAAGAGAGATCTGAGTAGCTGATATAAACTTGAGAGTCACAATTGAAACAATGGGTATAGATGAGACCAACTCTTAGAGAGCAAAGAAGAGTAGAGAAGGATAATGAAGGGTAGCATAATAGAAGTGAAGAAAAGGAGGGGACAGGAAGGAAGGTGAAAAAAAAGGGAACAGAAGGAGAAGGATAGAGTATTGGGAAATCCTAATATTTAAGAGGCATGTCAGAGGCCTGAGAAGGAGTTTTAGAAGGATACATTTGACAGTTCAAAGGAAAATGGGAAAATGTGTTGTGAGAAAATCTAGAGAGGAAATTACTTCAAAAAACAAGGCTGGGTGTGGTGCTCACACCTGTAATCCCAGCACTTTGGGAGGCTGAGGCGGGCAGATCGTTTGAGGTCAGGAGTTTGAAACAAGCCTGGCCAACATGGTGAAACCCTGTCTCTACTAAAAATACAAAAATTAGCCGGGTGTGGTGGCACACGCCTGTAATCCTAGCTACTGCGGAGGCTGAGGCTGAAGAATTGCTTGAACCCGAGAGGCAGAGATTGTAGTGAGCTGAGATGGCACCACTGCAGTCCAGCCTGGGTGACAGAGTGAGACTCCATGTAAAGAAAAAAAAAAAAAAAACAGGCACACAAAGACAAATGCCATGTAATTTCACTCATGTGGAATCTTAAAAAGCTGATCTCATAAAAGAAAAGAATAGAATGGTGGTTACCAGGAGTTTGGGTGGTTAGTGGAGAGAGAAGATGGGGAGAAGTTGGTCAAAGGACACACAATCACAGGAGGAGTTTTTAAAATGCCTACAATAGGCAAACATATAGAAACAAAAACTAAGCAAGTGGTTACCTGGGGCCAGGAGTAAGAGGAAAGGAGAGGAGGGGAGGTGAGAAATGGAGAATGACTACTAATGATTGTGGAGTTCCTGTATTGGACGATGAAAATGTACTAAAATTGGCTGTGGTGGTGGTAAAATTGGCACAACTCTGTGAACATGTTAAAAACTAATGAATTGTACATTTTAAATGGATGACTTGTATGATATGTGAGTTATATCTCAATAAAGCTGTTAAAGGATTAAGACGAAAGTTAAAGCTGCATCATACAAAGATATATTAGTAACTCTCTCATTCTCATCTATCCCATAGAGCTGATAATATGTGAGATTTACTCTGTAATAAATTATAAATGCAATAAAATCCACAGGAAAGGGGGCAAATAGAGGAGCATTGACTACAAAGATGGTTGTGGCTGAATTTAATAAGCCTCTGAAACAATTTCAAAATTGCAAATTTAAAGTTTGAAACAAATTTATATTGAATAGAGCATAGAGGTTATTCCTCCAGTTCTGGGAGTTTCCACTTCTAGCAGAACATCTTCCCATCCTGACACTGCTCTTTGCTTTCAGGTTGGCAACATTTCAAACCTGTCCATTTTCACTTAGACATGTCCCAAAATTTAGACGGCATTCTTACATTGGAAGCAGGCCGACACATGAACCTACAGTTACATGGGCACAAACATTTAAGGGCATCTTAATTTCTTCTTCTTGATCTCAGGTTTTCAAAGATCTTTCTATATTCTTTTTGTTTTTTCAGTGCTAAGGTGACAAATTGTCCCAAAATTTAGCACTTAAAGTCCAACTTAGTCTGAAGCAAACCAGGAAGGTTGTTCACACTAGCAGAATACTATAGTCTAGTACTATATACCATGCCTAAAAGATCTACACTTCACTCAATTGAAGGAGCAGAAAATTAATACACATAAAAGTAAACCTCAGTAAACCTCATAAAAAAAAGTCAAGGAAAAAAATGAACAGAAAAGCAGAATTTCAAAATAAAATGATGAGAACCAATCACACAATCAAGCTAGAACTAATTATGCCAAGTGCTTGTATAAGAAGTAAGAAAAGCAAGGTTGTTTTCAGGGAAATTTTTCCATATGCGAAAAATAACAAAGCAGACACATGATCCACCACAGTGTTTAGACTAATCTTTCATTGGTAGTATACACTATGTTTTTGTTATTCTTTTACAGCTACTGGTGTGTCTTATATGATGACTTTAATTCTCATGTTAAATGGTTATTATAGCTTTATCATTCCCTTCAAATCTGTCAATTGCTTTGTATTCGTTTTATTAGTTTTTCCTGTGGTATATTCCAGGTGCGATATCAGAGAACAAATGGTGGTATGTGATGTTCCTTAGGTCAACAGCTGCTGTGGATGAGGCAGCAAAATAATTACAGCTAAATATAAACAGCTCTCTTTCCTCAGAGGCTATGGATACTGTAATGGAGACTACCATATCTCCATTAAAATAGCTAACAAATCAGGAATAAATAGATTTTTTCTAAGTATTCATAACCTTTCAAGACCTGCCTAAAAATTTCAAACTAACATTATGAGCAACAAAATTTTTTCCAAAATCATATTCAATTTTCAATGAGTAGAAAATATCTCCCAATCAGTATATATCAATAATTATATTTCTAATTTGTTTAAACATATAGAATAACCTATAATTCCATGATTCCCTAATTTGCCTGAATAAATGGGCTTCCTTCGTTAAATATTAGGCTCCCCGCCAAGTTTCTTTTCTTCAGCAGCTTGAATTACTGCCCAAACTTAATTTATCCCCCTCAGTTACAAATATCTAGAGTCATCAACCAAAATGTAGTCTCCCATTAATACAACTAATTAAACAAATATACACCAGGCCGGGCGCAGTGGCTCATGCCTGTAATCCCAGCACTTTGGGAGGCAGAGGTGGGCGGATCATGAGGTCAGGAGATCGAGACCATCCTGGCTAACACTGTGAAACCCCATCTCTACTAAAAATACAAAAAATTACTTAGGCATGGTGGCAGGTGCCTGTAGTCCCAGCTACTTGAGAGGCTGAGGCAGGAGAATGGCGTGAACCTGGGAGGCAGAGGTTGCAGTGAGCCGAGATCACACCACCACACTCCAGCCTGGGCGACAGAGCGAGATTCTGTCTCAAAAAAAAAAAAAAAATATACACACACACACACACACACACACACACACACACACACACACACCCCAAAGTTATAGGACAAAAACCATTTGAAGTGAAATTGCATTTCTATTTCAAGACTTCCCAAAAAACTAAAATGTCGTTATTTTCATTTCCCTTTTCCTTGTGTTAAATCTAAACAAATGTGATCTCATGTGGTCAGGTTTTAATTTACCTTTTGCTCTAAAGTCTTTATCCTTCATTTATGTCCTTGCTCACAGTGGGTTACAGAGAAGTGGCTAAACAATGAAAATGTTATACTTGGAACAATTGTTTCAAAGATAATTTCCATATATTAATTTATTTACCATTTACCAAAACATATTTTAGGTACTGAGAATACATTGGTAAATAAAAATAGCCAAATCTTTATCTCATTTTACTTACATTTTTATGCACTCAGGGGTTGAGGGGTAAACATTAGAAATAAACAAATAAATAGTACAGACTACAGATAAGTGATCTGAACAAAATAAATTTGAATCTGTGGTCAGGAGAGGATGAAGACTACTAGATTGGTCAGTTAGAAAATCTGAGACCTGAAATGCTAGAAGGAACCAACCATGCTTCAAGTGGTATAGTTAGAGAATTCCAGCTAGAGGAACAAGTAAACCATTTCTAAGTTTAGAACCTTTATGTATTTTAGAAATAGGAAAAAGAAGATAAGGATAGCTACAACACATTAAGTGAGGACAAGAGGATAAGAGTTGAGAGAGATTAGAGGTTGAGATATTCAGGGATCAAATTATTTTAGTATTCAATCATACATTAAATAGTTTACACTGTATTCTAAGAGTCATGCAAAGTGATTGCTGGCCAGGCAGGAGAGGGGTCTAAGGAGAAGAATAACAGGAATTCATTCAGATTTATAGTGATCACTCCCAGTTTCTGCTTGGAGAGTGAACCATAGATGGTGTGAGAAACACATTCACTAGTCCAAACACAAAGAATGGACTCAGAGACAAGAACAGGAGAAGCAAGACTTTTAATGGCTGTCTTGCAAGATCGGGTGTATGGTAGGCAGGCACACCTGGGGCAGTTAACAGCAGGTAATTTATCTCCTAGCACACAATTCTCTCCCCCAGTTCCTCATTGGTTGAGTACTATGGAGTTACAATTTTCCTAAGTTACAAGTTGCCTAAGTTTCATTATCCCCCTTATAAGGTTATACCCTGGTCCCCTTCCCCACTTAAATTTCGATTTCTTAATAATGAAACTTTCTTCCCTTTTATGGGCTGACCCCTCCTCTACATTCTGTTCACTTATGGTTAACTTCTAGGTGCATGAGTCATGTGGTTTGCCACATCTGCAGGCTGGCTGCCAGTACTTAGATTTATCATGCCTTGAAACTGGACCATTTAAAATGTTTTCTCACAAATTCCTTCCTCTTTTCTATCTACTTCTTTGGTCTCATTTTCATCTAAACCCTTTTGGTCCTCGAATCACTCTAGAAGTTGTTTATTTTCTCCCCATAAGAGAGTGAGTTTAATTTGGTTTCTAATAGTAGCAGGCTATTTTTCTGGTAAGACATGGGCATTTGTTTATTAACAGCTATTTTAATTAATTTCTGTGCTAGTCTGCTCACACAGGGATAATGCAACACCCCACTGCTGTTAAGACTCCTGCCACAATTATGAGAGATGTAAGGATTGAAGCTACCATGCCTTTCTGTTTTCCAAATCATCCTTCGAGCCAACCAGTAAATGGATCTTAAATTCCAGCATTTTCTGCCAGTCTGTTGGCTAGAGTTGTCAGTCCTTGTAAAGTTTCATGATGGTCCCATCTGAGGCAGTATTTTTGGGAACGAAAGTACAACATTTCCCACCCAGCATGACATATACAACCCCTTTTTCTGCTAGTATTATGTCTAGTTGAAGCCTGTTTTCCCAGACCATTTGAGTGGTGGCATCTAACTGGCTAGCCAACCCCTTGAGGGCATCCAGAGTATAGCTGATGAATCTCTGTTGATTACAATAGATGTAGTTAATCCAATCCACATTTTTATTAATAGTTGACCACCAGAAGAGTGCTGACTCAAACCCAGCAGTTATTTGGTTTGGGGCCTTAAATTTATTAGGCACCCCCACAGGGACTCCTATCAAGTCAACTTATAAATTGGGATCAAAAGAATTTGTCAAATCTCTCCAGTTTTAGTGGCCAAGTGCATTTTCAGGCATTTTATGGAATGCCAGGGTGAAGGCAATCACCAGCTGGACTAAAGCACAAATCTCAGTCCAGTTGGATGGTAAGAGGTTATAGAGGTTCCTCTTCCCACAATACCACCAGACATCCATCCGGGGTATATGGAGGCTGAGTAATTGCCACTGCCTAACTTACCAGTGATGTTTAGGATGTGGGTACAACTCAATAGTTCTCCCATGGGCTTACTGAACTCTGCCCCCTTCCTTGAGAGGCAAGAGGAGTGGTTCATATTCCCTATAGAGAATGAGGGAATTGCTATGGGATCTGACCTTTGCAATACAGGAAAGAGCAATGACAGACTCTTACAAGTCTCATTTCCCCATGCATCATTGTCCTGGTATAGAGCCAACATGCAATGCATTTCTTCAGGATTGGTATCCCATCCTAAGGAAAATGGAACCACCTGTGCTTGAGGTTTTCCCACAGCACATGCATAGCAGTTACTCTTGTTGAGGGCTTGTACGGAAAATTTGATCCATTTGACTATACCCTGTACTCTCTCTCAGTTTCTGAGGTTTGCCTTAAATCCTTTACCTCAATTATTTCTACCCTTTTAGGGTCATTATTCGGTGAACTAAAGTGTTTATTGGAGTCAGGGGTTGGAGTAGTCCCAGGCAAATGGGAGGTTGAGTTCTTGATTAGTTTGAGAACAAATCACCCTAGGGTGTCTTTCCCTGTGATGTTTGCCCCTAATCCCTAATCCATATACCCAAGACACTACTTTTGGTTCTTGGTCTAGAACAGCTGGATTGTCAGTGATGATGAGTATAGGATTGCATTCTAAATTCTGGCAGTTATTTGGTGGGAAGCCCTTGGATAGATGTAGTTTATTCTTTAATGGTCTCCAGCTAGGAGTTGCCCACCCCATATTTACTGTCCAACCCTGAAATTGGGTAGTCCACCACACATCATCCCAGCTGGGCAAGCTGATGCCCTGCTGTAACCTGTGTCTGGTTCAGGGCAAAGATATTTATATGCCTGTGAGAGCTGTCTCTGATTTTCCAAATTCCCACAAGGTAAGACGTGGCAGGCATCAAATCTTATAGTCTAGGGTGCTACCATCTTGGTTACATTAATTACCAATCTGATTGGGTAGAGAGGAGTCCCCTGCCAGTTTCCATTTTAACCTTCTGCTCTGTATAGTAGCCCATCCCAGCCATATTAACTTCCAGAAATGAGGCCAGCCCATATTTTCTTTTTAGATTTTTCTGAGTTAACTTTAAGGGTTCCTGGGTGACCCGTGCACTTTTCACTGGTCTTTCTCTCTCCCTTCTGGGGTCTCTTTTACCAGTCATTTGACTCCAGTATAGTGAGTCCACCCCCATTCAGCTGTTCTCATGGCTGTCTCAGTGGTCAAAAGCACTTGATAGGGACCATCCCTGCTTGGGTGGAGCTTATCTTCTTTCCAAGTCTTAACCAGTACCAAGTCACCAAGCTGGAAGTGGTAACCATGAACTCAAGAGGCAGACTTGAATTAGAAGTCCTTTTAACCTAAGGGATGACAGGGTGGAGGAAATGGCCAGTAAATAATTTCTTAAGAATTGATCCTTGGTTTCCATAGTAGGGAGATCTGTAGCTCTGCCTAAATATGGGAGCCCATATAATAACTTGTAGGGGGCAATCCCATCTTTTCTTGGAGCTGTCCTAATGCTAAGGAGTGCTATTTGGAGACATGTGGTACAAGGCATTTTAGTTTCTAAGATTAGTTTGGTGATATGCTTTTTGAAAGTTTGATTCATTCTTTCTACCTTTCCAGAGGAAGGAGGATGCCAAGGGGGTGCGATAATCCCATCTAATTTGTAAACCTTCCATAATTCCCCTTAACACCCTTGAGGTAAAGTGGCTCCCATTGTCTGAATCAATATTTTCTGCCAGGCCAAATCTAGGTACAATCTACTCTAATATTATTTTGACATTCCTGGTGGTGGCCGTTGGAAGGGGAAAGCCTTCCATCCAGCCGGAAAGGTGATCTACGATCACCAGTAAATACTTTAGTCTTACTATTTTGGGCATTTCTCTGAAATCTACTTGAATGCTTTGAAATAGTCTTAGTCCGGGAGGTCTTCCTCCCATGGCCTGTTTTCTAGCCAACATTTTGTTTAAGCTTTGACAAATTACACAACTTCCACATACTTGTTTAGTGAGGGTCTAAATCCCTATACACACATAATTCCTAAGTATTGCATCACACAGAGCCTGGGGTCCCCAGTGACTCCCTTTGTGTAATATAGACATTAGTTCTCTCATCAGGGGTTTTATCATTTCTCTCCCAGCAGGAAGTACCCATTTCCCATCTTCAGTTTGAGTGACCCCTATCTTGTCTAATTCTTCCTTCTCCTCTTTGGTAAACTGGGGTCTTAATACTACCTTAGAGATGTCTGGGATCAGGCTAAATAGTCTAATTTCTTCCTCCAGGGAAGCTTGCTTAGCAGCTTCATCTGCAAGCCTGTTTCCTATAGCTTCTACAGTATTCCCTATCTGATGATCATTTACATGAACTATGGCTACCTCTGCTGGAAGTAGGAGGCTTTCTAAAACCTGTTTGACCAGTTCCCCATGTACCAATTCTTTTCACCTGCTATTTATTAGGCCCTGCTCTGTCCAGATTTTTCCAAAAGTGTGTAATACCCCATGAGCATATTTAGAATCAGTATATATAGTGCCTTCTTGGTCTTCGAGGAGGTTTAGGGCCTGGTTAAGAGCATGTAATTCACAGGTTTGAGCCAACCAGCCATTAGGTAATCTACCTTTCTCACATAAGGAGTGTTTATTTTCATCAATGACAGTATAACGACTATGTCTCCTGCCATCTATTACTCAGGATGACCCATCCACAAACAGCACAACATGTAGTGGAGCTTCTCTAAAGTCTGGTCTAACTTTGGTTTGGTATTCTATGATATTTAAGCAGTTATGGTCTGATGTCTCTTTGTTCTCCTCTCCTTTCTATAGGAAACTGGCTAGATTCAGGCAAGTGTCTGTTATGACCAAATCATCTTATTCTACTAATATGGCTTCATATTTTAGAATCTGAGAATCCATTAACCATGTCCTGGCCTTTTAATTTAATATATTCCTGACCTGGTGTGGGGTGCTTACTATTAGGGCCCCACCAAAGGTTAGCTTTTGACTCTCCTCTACCAGCAGGGCTGTGGCAGCTACTGCTTTCATACATTTGGGCCACCTGCAAGAGACAGAATCAAGAAGCTTGGAGACAAAAGCAACAGGTTGCCTCTTCCCTCCCAAGGTTTGAGTGAGCAACCCAAGGGCCACACCCTGGTCTACTGTTACAAACAGATGGAATGGTTTCTCTAAAGGTGGGAAAGCCAGGACCGGGGCAGTAATGAGGGCCTGCTTTAGCTCCTTCACTGCCTGAATTTCCTCTGGGGACCATTACAAGGGATTGGGTTCCTCCTCTAGTAACTTGAGATACAGAATCTTTGTCTTTTGAGCATATGAGTCATCCATAACCTATAGTAATGAGTTAAACCAAAAAAATTTCAGAGTTCTCTCTTTGTCTTAGGCAAAGGCAGACCCATTATTTCCAATAATCTCTCTGGGTTTATTCTCCACTTCCCTTCATTAATCAGGTGTCCTAAATATTTAACTTCTTTTTCTACAAACTGCATTTTGTTCTTAGAGACTCACAATCCCCTTTCTCCTAGGAAATTAAGCAAGTTTGTGGTGGTTTCTGATACCCTGGCCCTCTTCTCCCCAGAAATTAAAAGATAATCTACAATATTGCAACAACTGGGTTCCCCTGGAAGTTTGGGATTCCTCCAGGACGTTTTCTAAGATTTGAACAAATTTGAAACCTTGTGGCAGCACAGTCCAGCAGTACTATTGTTTTCTCCCAGTTATAGGATTTTCCCATTCAAAGGCAAAGAGGTCCCTACTCCTGAAGTCTAGGGGACATGCCCAGAATACATCTTTAAGATCCACCACACGGAACCACTTATGTTCATAGGGTATCTTCCTAAGGAAAGTGTAGGGGTTAGGCATCACAGGGTGGCGGGTCTGAATAATTTGATTTATAGTCCTTAGATCTTGCACCAATCTATACAACCCTGGGGCTTTTGACTGGGAGAATTGGAGTATTGTATGGTGACATGCAGGGTTCTAATAATCCATCTTTAATCAATTCCTCTATTACTGGTTGGAGACATTTTCTCCCTTCAAGAGATATGGGATATTGTTTTCTGCAAACGACTTCTTCTGCTTGTTTTAGTTCAATCTGTAAGGGTGTGATTGTTAACCCTCCCCTGTTGCCTTCCCTAAGCCACACAAGGGGATTAATTTTTCTTTCCCCCTCCTCTGTTAGGAGGCCCATCATTACTTTTATTTTTCCTTCCTCTATTCCTAATTCTACACCCAATCTCACAATCAGGTCTTGACCCAGGAGGTTAGGTCCTGCTTCAGGAACATATAAGAGGGACTCCTCAATTTGTTCTGGTCCCAATCTAATTAACATTTTCTTGAATATCAGAACCTGAAATCCCTCCTTTTTATTCAAGATACTGTCAATGTTTTGTTAGAGAGTTCTGTACCCCTTAGTTGGTGAATTAGGGGAGAGCAAGCCACCTCAGTATCAACCAAAAATGTCACTTCTTCTCCTCTGGCTCCCACCTTCAAATTTATCAAGGGTTCCTGGTGGGACCTACTCAGAAGGAACCCCTGACCCCCCCAGTCTTCATCAATGGTTATGAGGGGAATCACCTTTTCTTCTTTTTTCCATTCAGGACATTCTGTCTTAAAATGCCCTGGCTTTCCACACTTGTAACATCCATTCATAGTTTTAGGAGCTTTTCTCTGCATTTCTCTTCTTTCTCTGTGTCTCTTTTCCCTTGTCTCCTTCAAGGGGAATCTTGATCTAACATTTTTCTGACTACCTCTTCCACAGTGGAAACCATGATTTTTTCTTTTTGTTTCCGTTTCTCTTCCTCTCTCCTTATAAAGACCTTCCTAGTTTCCCTCAGTAATTCCTCAATCGGTTTCTCATTCCATCCATCAGTCTTTTGTAATTTTTTTTTGTAATGTCAGGCCAGGTCTTAGTTACAAAGTTAACCATCAAAAGGTCTTGCCCTACTGGGTACTCTGGATCTAATCCAGAGTATTTTCTCATCTGATCTCTGAGCCTCTGCAGGAATGCAGAGGGAGTCTCCTCTTTTTCTTGTTGAATCTCAAATGCCTCTGAGATATTTTGTGTCCTAGGAGTGGACTCTTTGATCCCTTTAATTATTAGTTCCCAGAGGTCCTGCATTTGGGCCTGGTCCCTGGGATCATTATTATCTCATTTGGGATTGACATTTGGAAATTTTTGTTTGGCGGCAAGACTCCTTGCATGAAAGATGTTGCCTCACGCAAATGGTCATGGACACTCTCCCAATCATTCCCCTTTCTTCTCCTGTGAACAGGATATTCAATGATAGACATCATTTCAGCCCAGGTGTAAAAGCTGAGTCCTAGGAATTGGTCCAGCTGGTCTGCTAAACCAAGGGATCTTCTAGGAGTGGTTTCATTTCCTTTTTGAAATTCCTCACTTCAGTACTTGTAAGAGGAGCATTTACAAAGCTGATCTCTCCCTGTCCCATGGGAACTTCCCTAAGAGGGAACACGCTAGATGCCTGCTGTATGGAAGGAATAGGGAAGTTCTCAATATTCTTCTTAAACTGTTCTAATTCTTTTCTTAAATTTGCATAAAAATTTAAAGGAGCAGTTGTTTCAACTCTCCCATGGTCTCCAGGTCTTTCTTCCTTTAACCCTCCTGCTGCCCCTTGATCTTCCTTTCCCCTATTTTGTGAGATGTATAGAGGAGACAAGCATGATAGGGGATCCCAGGGCTTTACACTGGGCAAGGGCTTTTACTAGGCTCTTTTTCTTCTTCTTTGAGGGGAAACATGGGGGCTAATTCCTTGATCCAGCGGAAAGCATAACCTATCTCTTCTTGTGAGGATGGGGTTTTATCATTCATATAGACAAAGCTCGGCACACCCAATTCTCATCTGAGCCAAACCTAGGCCAAAAGACTGAGGGCTTATGAATGGGGCCTTTGGGCCAGATAAAACACCAATACTTTATGATTTTTTGCTTTTCCTTGTCCCTGGTTCGTGGGTTGTCCCTCCAACCCTGCAGCATTCTCCCCAAAGGACTATTCAGGGAATATCAAAGTTTCTTTGCCTCCCTCTTTGTCCCCTAGGCTAGAATTTCTGTTTCCAATCTTTGGTCAGTCTCTGTGTCTGAGCATTTTCTGGTGTACTCAACTCCCACCCACACCCCGACTGGAGGTCTCTTGCACACCCCGAGAATCACTTCATCTATCTCTGGCAGTTTTCCCCATGGGAGAATGGAATCACGGATTGGGACACCACACTCGCTTCATATCTAGGATACATCTCAGTCACACACACTCAAACTCCAAAAATGTCCAACTCACCAAGGCAGCACTTATAGTCCAATTTTCCTACCTTTTCTCTTGCACAAGTTTGCCTCGTTCCTGCAGTGCCTGCATTTCTCCCCGTGTCACCTCTGCTGCCTCTAAATAACAGTCTTGGGTTTGTCTAGGTCTCTGCAGAGATCCAGGATGCCTGAACAGAGTGGGCCACCTAAATCAGGTGGGACGTTTCTCCCCTCTGTGCTGGAGTCCCACTACACACAGGCACAGAGATCCCAGGTGGTCCCCCAAGTTTGTGAGAAACACATTCACCCAACCAAACCCAAGGAATGGACTCTGAGACATGAAGAACAGTGGAAGCGAGACTTTTAATGGTGGTCTTGCAAGATCAGGTGTCTGGTAGGCAAGCACACCTGGGGCAGTTACAGTAGGTAATTTATCTCCTAACATGCAAGTCCCTCCCCCAGTTCCTCATTGGTCAAATACTAGGGGGTTACAATCTTCCAGAATGTCACCTAAGTTTCATTATCCCCCTTATCAGGTTATACCCTAGCCCCCTTCCCCACTTAAGTTTCAATTTCCCAGTAATGAAACTTTCTTCCCTTTTATGGGCGGACCCCTCCTCTACATTGTGTTCACTTATTGTGACCTTCTAGGTGCATGAGTCATGCAGTTAGTCACATCCGCAGGCTGGCTGCCAGTACTTAGATTTATCATGCCTTGAAAACGGACCATTTAAAATGTTTTCTCACAGAGGAGCAAAAGGGACAGCAAGGAGACAGTTGGGAAGATGTATTAATAGCCCAGGCAAAAAGAACTGTGGCTAGAACTAAGCAAAAACTGAGAACCAATCAAACTCGATTTTTTTTTTTGAAGGCTAAATCTATAAGATTTGCTGATGAATTGGGTATCGGTGATGATTAAAAAAGAGAATCAAGGATTACTCTTGACTCTGCTTGAGCAACTGGGTGGAGAGCTGGCTTATCAACAGAAATAGGAAAGTTGGATGGAGAAGAGAATCAGGCTTTCTTCTTAGGGCATTTCAGTGTGGCTGCCTAGGAAATGTCTAAGTGGATGTATCAAGTGAGCAGTTGGGCTACATTATTTCTCACTTCAGTGAGGAAGTCTGAACTACTGTTATAAAAAGAGAAGCTAAGAGAAGAAAATGTTTCAAGTTGGAAGGAGTAAACAACTTCATGGAATTCTGTTCAAAGAAGCCTGAGCACAGAGAAATAAGCACTATATTTGGAAATTCGATTATCCTGACAAAAGGATTTTCAATGGGTGGTGGGGATGGAATCCTAACGGGAGTGGACTGAGGCAGCAATAGAGGTTGCTGAAAAGGAGATTGTGATGGATGTGGTTTTAATTTGCAGTTTCCTGATGCTGACTGCCTTTTCAAGTGCTATTGATGATGTGTATATTTGTGTGTGTGTGTGTGTGTGTGAAGGGTTATTCAAATCTTTCAGTCATTTTGAGGGTTTTTTTTTTAATTGACTTATAGGACTTCTTTACATATTCTAGATACAATTCTTTTTGGCAAAATACAGTTTTTGCAAATATTTTTTCCATTCTGTGTCTTGCCTCTTTATTTCATGAATGTTGTTCTTTGCAAAAAATATGTATATTAATTTTGATGAAGCCCAAATTTATCCATTTTTTTCCTTTCATAAATAGTGCTTTTTATTAGAACTGCTGAGAAATCTAGCCTACCCTTACCTTTCATGAAAAAGTTCTTCTGACTTCTACAAACATTATGGTCCTGATTTCAGCTTTTATATACAACATATAATCCATCCAAGTCTGCTAAATGTGTCTACTTTTTTATCTATCGCTTATTTATCTGCTTCTGATTGTCTGTGTGTTCTTTATAATTATGCCTCTGCTACCTATATTTCAAAGCATTAAGATTGCCTTATTTTCAAACTTTCTATGTATAATGTAGAAAATGTATTGCCACACTTTCATTTTATCCATTCAGAGGATGAATCTTTTGATAAATTTGACCTTTTTACATATATATTAATAGTGTGATAGTGGTACTTTTTATATAATTTTATGTTTTATGTACTTTTTATTCATTTTTTCTCCTTTCCTGATTTCTACTGAATAGATTTGAATTATTTTCTGTCTGTTTAACACTTTTTAAATAGGAGGCGGAGTTCAGACACCAGACCAAAATGATGACTAGCTAAAACAGGTCCAGGTGGAAGCAGATTTCTATAAAACATGCCCACTGGTATGCCATGTCAGTTTACCATTGCCATGGCAACACTGGGCGGTTATTGTCCCTTTCCATGGCAATGACCTTGACAACCTGGAAGTTGACACCCTTTTCCTAAAATTTTCTGCATAAACCACCTATTAATTTGCATATAATTAGAAGTGGGTATAAATATTGAGTTCAAAACCACCTCTGAGCTGCTATTCTGGGCACACTGTCTATGGGGTAGCCCTGCTCCACAAAGAGTTATGCATCTGCTGCTGCTGTACAGTGCCGCTTCATTCAAAATTGCTGTTTTATACCAGTGACCTGCCCTAGAATTCTTTCTTAAGTGAAGTCACGAACGCTCCCAAGCTAATCCCCAATTTTGGAGCTTGCCTGTCCTGTATCATTTATATATACTAATTTCCTTTATGCTGGCTGTCTTTAACATCCTGTATCACTTATATATACTAATTTCCCTTATGCTGGCTGTCTTTAACATAAATGTATAATCATATATACTAACTCACATCAATGTATTAAAATTATTAATATCTTCTCCCTAACAAGATAAGTACTTTCCTCACTCTCATTTTTTAGCTGAAAAGCCTCACATATTTTATTACTCATAATTTCTTATAGTATCTCCAGGTTTCTTTCTCTTGCAGCATCAAAACTTTTCAAAAGAGTTTTCAATGTGGATTTTTATATACCTATAAATATTTTTATTATTTACAAACATTTGAGTAAAATATGGCCAAATATAAAATTCTAAGTTCACATTCTTTTATATTAAAATATCATTAAAATACTTAAAGTAGCAAATATGTATGATGAACAAATCTAGAGATCTAATGTACAACATGAAGACTATAGGTACTAAAATTATACTGTGTATGGGATTTATTCTAAATGAGTACATTTTAGATGCTGTTGCCACAAAACAAAAATAAAGTTGATAACTATGTGAGATAATGAATATGTTAATTTGCTTCACTATAGTAATCATTTTACTGTCTATATGTATCCTATCATAATATCATGTTTTATACCTTAAATATACACAATAAAATGTATTGAAAATAAATAAATAAAATCACACTTTGTTATTTTATTTTCATTAAAGAATTACACACATACAAAATGGTGCAAAATCATAAAGGTACAGCTCAATGAATTAGCTCAAATGAAATACACTCATGTTAGATGAAAAAATAGAACATTTCTAACATCTGCAAATCCCTGGTCATAGCTCCTCCAATCACCACTCCTTCAACCTCCTGAAATGTATCCACTATCCTACTTCTAATATAACAGATTAGACTTGTGTGTGTGTGTGTGTGTGTGTGTGTGTGTTTTGTAATGAATAGAATCATATTGAGGTAGAAGACTAAGAGAACTTGTTTTCTGGTCACAACCCTGCTGACCAAAACAGGATCTTGTCCACACAGGATAAAGTGAAGAAACTGGCAGGAACCATAAGATAACAATCAGGGTGATCCCTAGCTGCCCTCATTGCTCAGTGGCATAGGACAATACCACCAGTTCCATGACAGCTTATAAATACCATGCAACAATCCTGAAGTTACCACCCTTTACCATGGTAACAATCTGGAAGTTACCGCCCCTTTCCTTAAAAGTTCTAAGTACATTTTGGGAGGCTGAGGTGGGCAGATCAGGAGGTCAAGAGATTGAGACCATCCTGGCCAATATGGTGAAACCCCGTCTCTACTAACAATACAAAAATTAGCTGAGCATGGTGGCACGCACCTGTAGCCCCAGCTACTAGGGAGCCTGAGGCAGGAGAATCACTTGAACCCGGGAGGCAGAGGTTGCAGTGAGTCAAGATTGTGCCACAGCACTCCAGCCTGGCAGCAGAGTGAGACTCCATCTCAAAACAAGCAAACAAACAAAAGTTCTAAGTAATCTACCCCTCAATACCTTAATATCCATTGACCCACCTTTTAATTTGCATGCAATTGAAAGTGGGTTTACGTGAGTATAAATACGGTTGCCAAAAGACTACACATGGCTAACTCTGGGCCCACTACCTATGAGTTAGCCCTGCTTCAGAAAGAGCGGGACCATTCAATAAAATGTTGCCATCTAACACCACTAGCTTGCCCTTGAATTCTTTCCTAGATGAAGCCAAGAATCCTCTTTGAAGCCCCAGTTTGGGGCTCACCTGTGTTGCATCATCTGGCAGCAATAAAAGGATGAAGATGGCAAGCGAGAGGCAGTGACAAACACAGCAGTATGACAGCAGAGACAGCAGCAATCGTAGTCTTTTGGCAACTGTATTTATAAGATGGATCTCCACCATTCTGCAGCCCCCTTATGATTAAGGAGGAGTATCTAATCTCCAAGGGAAGAATGAGGTAGGAGACCCACAGGACTTGTTTTCTTGTCACAAATATGCTGATCAAAACAGGATCTGGTCCAGACAGGATAAAGTGAAAAAACTGGCAGAAACCAGCAAATGGGGATGAAAGCAATCCCTGGCTGCCCTCATTACTCATTAGCATAAGACACTCCTATCAGTGCCATGACAGTTTACACATGCAATGGCAATGACCCAGAAGTTACTTTTCCTAAAAAATTCTAAATAACCTACCCCTCAATTTGCATTGACCCACCCCTTAATTTGCCTGTAAGTGAAAGTGGATTTACATGAGTATAAATGCAGTTACCAAAAGCCCATACATTGCCAACTCCGGGCACGTTGCCTGAGGAGTTAGCCCTGCCCAGCAAGAAATAACCACTCAATAAAAATTTGCTGTCGAATACTACTTGCTCACCCTTAATTTTTTTCCTTGGTGCATTAGTCCATTCTCACATTGCTATAAAGAAACTCTTCAGACCAGGTAATTTATAAAGAAAAGAGGTTTAATTGGCTCACAGTTCTGCAGTCTGTATGGGAAGCATGATGGCATCTGCTTGGCTTCACGGGAGGCCCACAGAAACTTACAATCATGCCAAAGGTGAAGGGGGATTAGGCACATCACATGGCCAGAGCAGGAGCAAGAGAGACAGGGGGAGATGCTACACAGTTTTAAATGACCAGATCTCAAGAGAACTCACTCACTATTGGAAGGATAGTACCAAGGGATGGTACTAAACCATTCCTGAGAAAACCACCCCCATTAACCAATCACTTCCCACCAATCCTACTTCCAGCATTGGGGATTACAATTCAATATGAGATTTGGGAAGGGACAACATCCAAACTATATCACTGGATGAAACCAAAAACACTGCAGGATAAGCCCCAATTTGGGGGCTTTTAAAATTGTGAAATTATATATGATTAACTCATGTTCATTTATAAAATCATAAATTACGCAGCACACTTTTGGTAGATTACAATTCCTCTTTCAAATATGCTGCTGGGTTTTGTTACTATGCATTTTCTTTCTCCTGGTTGTCACTTACTGATGTCTTGGCCATAAGGAAGGTAAAATGAGAAAGTGGATCAACTAAAGGTCAGATGAGTCTTGGATCTCAAATAGAAATTTCAAAGAGAAGGTACAGAATACAGCAATGATTAGTAATCCACCTCTCAATTAGATTTAATTTCAAAAAGAAAGTTTCAGAGAATACAACCTAAATTATTTTACTACCAGTATTTTCCTAGTCACACTGTAGGTTGGCTTAAGTTAAACATGGTAAGTAAATAATTATTTCTTTTGGTAGACCATTCACTTGGTAAGCAAAGAAATAAAAATTTGCCCCATGACAATTGCATTAACTTCCAATTTGGGGACAATTATATATCAACATTGCATACAGCATATCTTTCAGTAATTACCCATACTGATGATCTTCTATTTTATTGTCCCAGAGACCACTAGTTGCTAACTGAATTTTTCTTCTGCTCCTTCCCTAGGATTAGAACACATTTTCTTTTCCTGCTGCAACTGCCTTATGGTAAAGCAGCTAGGTTGTTTTCCATGTGGGTCTCTGCCCCTGCAACTCCTCACTGGTCAGGACCTGCTGACCTGGGGCCACAGCACAGTCACACTACCCACACCTGAGCACTCCGGCAGGTGGCAGCTCTGCATTTCTCTGAGACAGAGCTCCTAGAGGTAACAGACCAGCCTGTCATTTTTGCCACTGCTGAAACACGTCTCGCCACCTGCCCAGTCTCTTTTTCCTGTGAGCCCCTGAACCCCTGCTTTTCACCAGGCAGGGCCCCTGGCTCAGGCCTGTAGTGCAGCTGCCCCATCTCTGGCTGAACATTCCCATTAGTACAGCTCTAGATTTTACTGTGGTGGAGATCCCAGAGACAACTCTAAGTCCTTCTACCACTGACACTGTAGCAGTACCACCCTCGCTGCACTCCGTCTGGGAAACAAAGACTCTGATTGCTTTGCTGGCACTTCCAGTACTCTGTAGCTGCCATACAGAGAGGAGTCCGGTTTTTCTTCCCTGTGAGCCCCTGCCGCCCCTGCTCTTCACCAGGCAGGGCCGTCAGCTCAGGTACACAGTGCAGTTGCCGCATACCTAGCTAAACATTACCACTGGCAGTGGCTCTGTGTCTCCCTGGGATGGAGACCCAGGATGGCGGCCCCCACCTTTGCTGCAACCAAGCTGAGAAAGGAAGAACCTGGGTGCTTTACTCGTACTTCCAGCAAGCCATGGCTGCCTTACAGAGAAGATGTTAGAGTAGGTAGCTAGGCAGACATGAGAAGGGCAGGAGAGGGTACCTCCAAGGAATTTCAGGCAGCCATCAGGTGATGATCAGGTGCTTGTTAAACTGTCTCTCTATAATAATAATTGGTTACAGCTGGCACCAAGGAACGGTCATTTCAATAGATAGAAAACACCTGAAGCTGGTGATTAGTAGCTTCCCAATAAGATCTCAGGAGTTGGGTGAGTGGGCTCAAGCATGTGCACTAAGAGGCAAAATGGAGGAGCTTAACTGGTGTATGACCTTCCTCTAGGAACACTCAACTGGTAAGGGAAAATCTCCTCAAATGAGTATACACACAACTTCAGTAACCACATTGCACATGTGGCCCCTCCTAGGTGCTGGCAGGCTGCTGCACAGGTGAACAGCCCACCCCATGGGAAGAATCAGGGGAGAAGAGACGCAACCATGCCTATGTATAAAACCCTAAGTCAAAGGCCAAATATCATGCTTTGATCTCTCAAGTCACCCACTTGGTCCTCTTCCAAGTGTACTTTACTCCCTTTTGTTCTTGCTCTAAAACTTTTTAATAAACTTTCACTCCTGCTCTAAAACTTGCCTCTGTCTCTCACTCTGCCTTATGACCCTTGGATGAATTCTTTCCTTCAAGGAGGCAAGAATCAAGTTGCTGCAGACCCATATAGAATCCTCACTGCTAACAAAGAGGCCAGATTGTATTTCCTGTAATCCCTCCACCACCGCTGCTCTTCACCATGCAGGGCCCCCTGGCTTAGGCCCACAGTACAGTTGCCACACTGGGCTTATCATTCTAATAAGAATAGGCAGCAGCTCTGCATTTCTCTGTGGTGGAGCCCCAAGAGACAAGTAAAAGGCCTTCTGCCATTGCCACTGCCAAGGTCCCTTCCCCTGCAACCCCCAAGCTTGAGGAAACAAAAAGCTTGAACTCTCTCAGGAATGTAATGCACAGCAAGGGAGTCCAAGCTAAGATCTGTAGCCAGCATTCACATGGGAGAGGAGCACACACTCTCAGAGCACTGAGAGGGATCATGGCTGCAATCATGAGGAAATACAGAAGAGTGACATGGCTAAGATCCTACCTACTGACCATTATGCTTAAGTGACATCAACTGGATCACAGCCCAAACTTCAACACCAAAAATTACTTTGCTAATATACCCTCCTGTGAAACCAGGTACAAAAATTCAGCCACAAATAAAGACCTTGCACAAAGCCTCAGCCTCTGAAAACATCCAGAAACTAAGTCAACTGACTATACTCAAATTACACCACAGTTAAAGGAACATCAGCTCACACAGATTAGAAAGAACCAGCACAAGATCTCTAGCAAATTTTAAAGCCAGAGTCTCTCCTTACCTCCAAAGGGCAGCACTATCTCCCCAGCAATGGTTCTTAACCAGACTGAAATAGGTGAAATGACAGACACAGAATTCAGGATCTGAATGACCACAAAGATGATCAAGTTTCAAGAAAAGTTGAAACCAATTAGAATGAATCTAAGGAATTCAGTAAAATGATTCAAAAGAAGAAAGATGAAATAGCCACTTAAAGAAAGAAACAAACTAAGCTGATAGAGCTGAAAAACTTGCTACAAGAATTTCATAACACAATCAGAAGTATTAACAGCACAATAGATCAAGCTGAGGAAAGAACCTCAGAGCTCAAAGAACAGTTATTCCAATTAACTCAGTCAGACAAACATAAAGAAAAAAATGTAAAAATTATCACCTCTGAGAAATATGGGATTGTTTAGAGACAAAATCTATGACTCACTGGCATTCCTGAAAGAGAGAGGAGATCAAACAACTAGAAAAAATAATATTTGAGTCTATTGTTCATAAAAATTTTCCCAATCTTGCTAGAAATGTCAATATGCAAATTCAGGAACTTCAGAGAACCTCTGCAATACATAGTATAAGACAAACATCCCCAGCACACATAGTCTTCAGATTATTCAAGGTCGATGTGAAAGAAAAATTATGGAAAGTGGCTAGAGAAAATGGGCAGGTCACCTACAAAGGGAACTCCACAGGGCTAACAACAGTGGACCTTTCAGCAAAAACCCTGCAAGCCAGAAGAGATTTGGGGCCTATATTCAGTATTCTTCAAGAAAAGAAATTTCAACCAAAAATTTCATATCTGACCAAACTAAGCTTCATAAGCAAAGGAGAAATAAATTTTTTTAAGACAAGTAAGTACAAAGTAAATTTGTTATCATCAGACCTTCCTTACATGTCCTTAAGGAAGTGTTATACATGGAAACAAAACACATTGAATGTAAATGAGCTAACCACCCCACTTAAAAGGCAGAGTGAAAAACTGAATAAAGAACCAAGACTCAACTGTATGCTGTCTTCAAGAGACCCATTTCACATGGAAAGATATCCACAGGCTTGAAGTAAAGGGATGGAGAAAGATTAAGCAAATGGAAAACAGAAAAAGGCAGGGATTGCCCTTCTTATTTCAGACAAAACAAACATTAAACCAACAATGATCAAAAAGGACAAAGAAGGACATTAAATAATGATAAAGGGGTCAATTCAACAAGAATACCTAACTATCCTAAATATATATTCACTGAACACAGGCACACCCAGATTTATAAAGCAACTTCTTAGAAATCTATGAAGAGAATTAGATAACCACACAATGATAGTAGGAGCCCTCAACATCCCACTGACAATTTTGGACAAATCATCAAGGCAGAATACTAACAAAGATATCTGGAACCTAAACTTAATGCTGATCAAATGGACCTAACAGACATCTACAGAACACTACCCCCAACAAGAACAGAAAATACATTCTTCTCATTTGCACATGGTACATACTTTAAAATTGACCACACACTTGACCATAACGCAATTCTCAGCAAATCCAAAAAAACAAAAATGATACCAATCGCACTCTTGGACCACAGCATGATACAAATGAAAATTAATACCAACAAGAGCTTTCAAAACCATAAAAATATGGAAATTAACAACTTGTTCCTAAATGACTTTGGGTAAAGAATAAAATTAAGGCAAAAATAAAAAAAATCTTTAAAACTAATGAAAATAAAGGCACAACATACCAGAATCTCTGGGAGACAGCTAAAGCACAGTAAAGAAGAAAGTTTATAGCACTAAATGCTTACATTAAAAAGTTAGAAAGGTCTCCAATTAATAACCTAACATTACACCTAGCAGAACCAGAAAAACAGGAGCAATCTAATCCCAAAGCTAGCAAAAGAAAAAATAATAACCAAAATCAGAGGTGAACTGAATGGAATAAAGATGAGAAAAATCATACAAAAGATCAACAAAACTAAAAATTGGTTCTTGGAAAGAATAAATAAGATAGATAGATAGATCGACTGCTAACTAAACAAAGAAAAAAATGGAGAAGATCCAAATAAACACAATTAGAAATGAAAAGGCAATATTACCACTGACCACATACAAATACAAAAAACACTCAGGGACTACTACAAACACCTCTATGCACACAATCTAGAAAACCTAAAAGAAATGGATAAACTTTTAGAAACATACAACCTCCCAAGATTGAACCAGGAAGAAATTGAAACTCTGAACAGATCAATAACAAATTCCAAAATTGAATCAGTAATAAGAAACCTACCAAAAAAAATGCTCTAGACTATATAGATTCACAGCCAAATTTTACCAAATATATAAAGGAGAGCTTGTACCAATCCTACCAAAAGTATTGTAAATAATTGAGGAGGAGGGATTCCTACCTAACTCATTCTATGAGGCCAGCATCATTCTGATACCAAAACCTGGCAGAGACACAACATGAAAGGAAAACTTCAGGGCAATATCCCTGATTAACATAGATTCAAAAATCCTCAATAAAATACTAGCAATCTGAATCCAGCATCACATCAAATAGCTAGTCCACCATGATAAAGTAGGCTTTGTCCCTAGGATGCAAGTTTGGTTCAACACAAACAAATCAATGAATGTGATTCATCACATAAATAAAACTAAAGAAACAAAACACATTATCATTTCAGTAGATGCAGAAAAGGCTTTCAATAAAATTCAACATCACTTCATGTTAAAAATTCTCAACAAACTAGGCATCAAAGGAACATATCTCAAAATAATGAGAGGTATCTATGAAAGACTCACAGCCAACATCACACTAAATGAGCAAAAGTTGGAAGATTCCCCTTGAGAACTAGAACAGGATAAGGATACTCACTCTCACCACTGCTATTCAACATAGTACTTGAAGTCCTAGCAGAACAAGCAGTCAAGAGAAAAAATAAAATGCATACAAATAGGATGAAAGGAAATCAAACTATCCCTCTTCACAAAAGATATGATTCTGTACCTAAAAGCCCTCATAGTCTCTGCCCAAAGGTTCTTAGTTCTGTTAAACAACTTCAGCAAAGTTTCAGGATACAAAATCAATGTTCAAAAATCAGTAGCATTTCCGTACACCAATAATGTCAATAACCTCTAAGCTGAGAGCCAAATCAAGAACGCAATCCCATTCACAATGGCCACAAAAGGAATAAAATACCTAGGAACAGAGCTAGCCAAGGAGGTGAATGATCTCTACAATGAGAATTACAAAATACTACTTACAAAAATCAGACATGACACAAACAAATGAAAAAACATTCTATGTTCATGGATAGGAAGAATCAATATTGTTAAAATGGACATACTGCAGAAAGCAATTTATAGATATTTACAGGTTCAATGCTATACCTATCAAACTACCAATGACATTTTCCACAGAATTAGAAAAAAATATTCTAAAATTCAGTTAGAACCAAAAAAGGGCCTGAATAGCTAAAGCAACCCTAAGCAAAAGGAACTATACTAAAAGGCTACAGTAATCAAAACAGCATGGTACTTGGTATAAAAACAAACACAGACCAATGGAAGAGATTAGAGAACCCAGAAATAAAGCAAGCCACACACCTACCATTATCTGATCTTTGACAAACTGGACAATAACAAGCATTGGGGAAAGGACTCCCTATTCAATAAATGGTGCTGGGATAACTGATTAGCCATATGCAGAAGAATAAAACTGGATCCCTATCTTATACTATATACAAAAATCAACTCAAGATAGATCAAAGTCTTAAATGTGAAACCTAAAATTATAAAAACCCTAGAAGAAAACCTAGGAAATACCATTCTGGACATCAGGCCTGACAAAAATTTCATGACAAAGACTCTAAAAGCAATTGCAACAAAACAAAAATAGGCAAGTGAGACCTAATTAAACTAAAGAGCTTCTGCACAGCAAAAACAAACTATCAATAGAGTAAACGACAATCTACAGAATGGGAGAAAACATTTGCAAACTATTCATGCACCCAACAAAGTTCTAATATCTAGAATGTATAAGGAGCTTAAACAAATCCACAATTAACAAACAACCCACCCCATTTTTTAAAAATGGGCAAAGGATATGAACAAACACTTCTCAAAGGAAGACACACATGCAGCCAACAAGCATATGAAAAAATGCTCAATATCACTAATCACTAGGGAAATGCAAATCAAAACCATAATGAAATACCATCTCACACCACTCAGAATGGCTATTATTAAAAGTCAAAAAATAACAGATGCTGGCAAGGTTGCAGAGAAAAGGAAACTCTTACACACTGCTGGTGGGAATGTAAATTAGACACTGTGGAAAGCAGTCTGAAGATTTATCAAAGAACTTGTAACAGAACTTCGATTTGACCCAGTAATCCCATTACTGTGTATATGCCCAAAGGAATATAAATCATTCTATCACACAGACACATGCACACATATGTTCATTGCAGCACTGTTTACAATGACAATGAATGACATGGAATCAACTTAGATGCTTATCAATGGGTGAACTGGATAAAGAAAATGTGGTACAGATATACCATGGAGTACTATGTATTCATAAAGAAAAATGAGATCATGACTTTTGCAGCAACATGAGTGGAGCTGGAAGACGTTATCCTAAGCGAATTAATGCAGGAACAGAAAACCAAACACCCAAATGCCACATGTTCTCACTTATAAATTTGAGCTAACTATTGAGTACACATGGTCACAAAGAAGGGAACAATAGACACTTGGGTCTACTTGAGGATGGAGGGTGGGAGGAGGCTGAGGATTGAAAAACTGTCTCTCAGATATTATGATGACTACCTGGGTGACAACATTATTTGTACACCAAAACCCCATGACACACAATTTATCCATGCAACCCACCTACACATGTATCCCTTGAATGCAAAATACAAGTTGGAAAGAAAAAAAATGTTTTAAGAACTCTTTTTTAAAAACATTATGCACCTGCATTTAAACCTGTATTTCCCAGCTTTCTTTAGAAATAGTAGTAGCCAATGAGATAAAAGCAGATAGTTAATTGTAAGCAGGTATTTAGAGAAATGTTCTTTAGAGTTGGCTCACTATATTTGAAATGTGTCCCTTTACGTTTACCCTTCCTTCTTCATGCCTCAAAGAAGAAAACCTCTGTCATCATGGTTCCTTGAGGCTATTTTGGGAGATGAAAAAGGGCAAACAAAAGAGAAGTTGGGTAACCATACCATACTAGTATATTCTGGGGCTGCTAACAATAACTGCATGCAATTTGATTCTCATAACTTTCATTCAGAGCTCTCTACATTAATTATAACCTCCCATCTCTGTATATTTACAAAAATAACTCACAAGGTAAAATTTAAGTTTTGAAATATAAAAACAAAAAATGTAAGTTATTATTCTAAACATAGCTATAATTTTGTGATTTAATACGAAGTACTAAAGTATAATAGTCCATTTATAATATAACAGCACAAAAAGATTCATTGTCTTCTTCATGGAATATATCTATATCTTTAGATGTGTGTGTGTGTGTGTGTGTGTGTGCGCGCGCGCGCGCGCGTGCGCACGCGCATGCACGTTCAGGTTCAGGTTTCTAAATTATTTTTGACTATGTTCCAGTGGACACTTGTGACCTACTTGCAAACAAAAGCACAAGAAAACACTTTCACCTCTAGTTTGCAATATTATCAATATTTTGGCTCCTGCTTAGTTTTTAGATACTTTGTGCTAATATTTCCCAAAGTTACATCTCATGATTCATCATAGTTTAGATAATGTTTAAAAAAATGAACTATTAATATTTAAACTAGTGCAGCAATCAATTTTAATGAGAAAGTTTCCATTTGCCTTTAAATTCTGTCAATTAATTATTTCAAAAAATTTGATTATTTTTATAATCCTTCACAGTAGAATTGTGAACTACATAATTCTTTTTTTTTTTTTTTTTTTTTTCCAGATGGAGTCTCGCTCTGTCGCCCAGGCTGGAGTGCAGTGGCACGATCTCAGCTCACTGCAAGCTCTGCCTCCCAGGTTCACGCCGTTCTCCTGCCTCAGCCTCTGGAGTAGCTGGGATTACAGGTGCCCGACATCACACCCGGCTAATTTTTTGTATTTTTAGTAGAGACGGGGTTTCACCATGTTAGCCAGGATGGTCTTGATCTCCTGACCTCGTGATCCACCTGTCTCGGCCTCCGAAAGTGCTGGGATTCCAGGCGGGAGCCACCGCGCCCGGCCATCTTATAACTCTGAATTATCAGAAAGTGAAGCTTCAGTAATTTGCATCCTTTAATTGTAACAGGAATAATTTAGATAAAGTGGATACTATAGTTTACATTTGCTAAGCCTGTGTAGTAAGAACCTGCTTTAAAAAATAAACCTTTTTTCAGGGAGTATGTAAAGAGATAAAGAACACATTTTATACCTGTAATTTTCAGATAAGATCCAAAGAGGTCAGACATCTATCTAATGTTACAGGTAAATAAAAAACTTGGAAATACAGTTCATATTCCCTAACATGGGTATGTTTTTTCCACAATTTTCCTCTATGTTTTTACTCCTATAATGACTTCAGATTAGTGAGAGAATCTATATACTTAACTCTCTTCAAATGTTAAAACAAATATAGTACTTGAACATTTTCATTTCAGCTTAACATGAAATTGGATAAAACTCAAACAATTGTGAGAGCTATAAATACACACCAACACAACATATGGATACGTTTTATCCCTGAGGATGTAGCACACAGAAAATGAATTTTTACAATATATATTAGAAACGTAAAGAAATGGAAAAATACTAATATCTGAGCTGTTTAACATACCTTTATAAAATAGCTTACATTTAAAACATTGATGAAACTAAGGCTTGGTGAAAAGGTGGAGCAACTGGAAGTCTCTGTTAATACGCTTGGAAAATGTTGCAACCACTTGGAAATGATTTGGTAGTTTTATAAAGTTACATGTAAACCTATCACATGACTCAGCCATTTCACCCCTAGAAATGTGAAAGATTATATCCATACAAATACCTGTACATGTTTCTAGCAACTTTACTTTTAATAGTAAGACCTAGAAACAACCCAAATATTCAACAGGTGAATGGATAAACCAATTGTTCTATATTCATACAATGGAAGTATACTCAAAAGTTAAGAACAATGAATTGTTGATGTGTGCAACAACATGGATGAATCTCAAAATAATTATGCTTCATGAAAAGAGCCAAAGAATAATACAAACTATATGGTTTCATTTTATATGAAATTCCAGAAAATGCAAATGAATCTTTAGTGACAGAAAGCAGATCAGTGGCTGCCTGGAGATAGAAGGGGGTGAGTATCAGTGAAACATTTGAGAATGAAAGGTATGTCCTCTGTGTCTGTGTGTGTGTGTGTGTGTGTGTGAGAGAGAGAGAGAGAGAGAGAGACATGGAGTCTTGCTGTTGTTACCCAGGCTGGAGTACAATGGCAGGATCTCAGCTCACTGCAACCTCCACCTCCCGGGTTCAAGTGATTCTCTTGCCTCAGCCTGCTGAGTAGCTGGGATTACAGGCGTGCACCACCACACCTGGCTAATTTTTGTACTTTTAGTACAGACGGTGTTTCACCATGTTGGCCAGGCTGGTCTCGAACTCCTGACCTCACAATCCACCCACCTCAGCCTCGCAAAGTGCCAGGATTACAGACGTGAGCCACTGTGCCTGGCCTCATTTTCTTAAATGCAGTGATGGTGTCACAGGTCTATACATATATCAAAAATTATAAATTGTATAACTCAAATTTTAGCAGTTTATTATAGGTTGTCAATTACACTTAAATAATCTGTTAAAATAAATGAATTCTACCAGAGGTACAAGGAGGAGCTGGTACCATTCCTTCTGAAACTATTCCAATCAAGAGAAAAAGAGGGAATCCTCCCTAACTCATTTTATGAGGCCAGCATCATCCTGATACCAAAGCCTGGCAGAGACACAACAAAAAAAAGAGAATATTAGACCAATATCCCTGATGAACATCGATGCAAAAATCCTCAATAAAATACTAGCAAACCGAATCCAGCAGCACATCAAAAAGCTTATCCACCATGATCAAGTGGGCTTCATCCCTGGGATGCAAGGCTGGTTCAACATACGAAAATCAATAAACGTAATCCGGCATAAAAACAGAACCAAAGACAAAAACCACATGATTATCTCAATAGATGCAGAAAAGGCCTTTGACAAAATTCAACAGCCCTTCATGATAAAAACTCTCAATAAATTAGGTATTGATGGGACGTATCTCAAAATAATAAGAGCTATTTATGACAAACCCACAGCCAATATCATACTGAATGGGCAAAAACTGGAAGCATTCCCTTTGAGAACTGGCACAAGACAGGGATGCCCTCTCTCACCACTCCTATTCAACATAGTGTTGGAAGTTCTGGCCAGGGCAATCAGGCAGGAGAAAGAAATAAAGGGTATTCAATTAGGAAAAGAGGAACTCAAATTGTCCCTGTTTGCAGATGACATGATTGTATACTTAGAAAACCTCATAGTCTCAGCCGAAAATCTCCTTAAGCTGATAAGCAACTTCAGCAAAGTCTCAGGATACAAAATCAATGTGCAAAAATCACAAGCATTCTTATACACCAATAACAGACAAACAGAGAGCCAAATCATGAGTGAAATCCCATTCACACTTGCTACAAAGAGAATAAAATACCTAGGAATCCAACTTACAAGGGACGTGAAGGACCTCTTCAAGGAGAACTACAAACCACTGCTTAACGAAATAAAAGAGGACACAAACAAATGGAAGAACATTCCATGCTCATGGATAGGAAGAATCAATATCATAAAAATGGCCATACTGCCCAAGGTAATGTATAGATTCAATGCCATCCCCATCAAGCTACCAATGACTTTCTTTGCAGAATTGGAAAAAACTACTTTAAAGTTCATATGGAACCAAAAAAGAGCCCACATTGCCAAGACAATTCTAAGCCAAAAGAACAAAGCTGGAGGCATCACACTACCTGACTTCAAACTATACTACAAGGCTACAGTAACCAAAACAGCATGGTACTGGTACCAAAACAGTTATAGACTGATGGAACAGAATAGAGCTCTCAGAAATAATACCACACATGTACAACCATCTGATCTTTGACAAACCTGACAAAAACAAGAAATGGGGAAAGGATTCCCTATTTAATGAATGGTGCTGGGAAAACTGGCTAGCCATATGTAGAAAGCTGAGGCTGGATCCCTTCCTTACGCCTTATACAAAAATTAATTCAAGATGGATTAAATACTTAAATGTTAGACCTAAAACCATAGAAACCCTGGAAGAAAACCTAGGCAATACCATTCAGGACATAGGCATGGGCAAGGACTTCATGTCTAAAACACAAAAAGCAATGGCAACAAAAGCCAAAATTGACAAATGGGATCTAATTAAACTAAAGAGCTTCTGCACAGCAAAAGAAACTACCATCAGAGTGAACAGGCAACCTACAAAATGGGAGAAAATTTTTGCAATCTACTCATCTGACAAGGGCTAATATTCAGAATCTACAAAGAACTCAAACAAATTTACAAGAAAAAAAAAACCATCAAAAAGTGGGCGAAGGATATGAACAGACTCTTCTCAGAAGAAGACATTTATGCAGCCAACAGACATGAAAAAATGCTCATCATCACTGGCCATCAGAGAAATGCAAATCAAAACCACAATGAGATACCATCTGACACCAGTTAGAATGGCGATTATTAAGAAGTCAGGAAACAACAGGTGCTGGAGAGGATGTGGAGAAATAGGAACAATTTTACACTGTTGGTGGGACTGTAAACTAGTTCAACCATTGTGGAAGACAGTGTGGTGATACCTCAAGGATCTAGAACTAGAAATATCATTTGACCCAGCCATCCCATTACTGGGTATATATCCAAAGGATTATAAATCATGCTGCTATAAAGACACATGCACACGTATATTTATAGCGGTGCTATTCACAATAGGAAAGACTTGGAACCAACCCAAATGTCCATCAATGATTAAGAATGAATTAAGAAAATGTGGCACATATACCCCATGGAATACTATGCAACCATAAAAAAGGATGAGTTCATGTCCTTTGTAGGGACACGGATGAAGCTGGAAACCATCATTCTCAGCAAACTATCGCAAGGACAGAAAACCAAACACCGCATGTTCTCACTCATAGGTGGGAACTGAACAATCAGAACACTTGGACTCAGGAAAGGGAACATCACACACTGGGGCCTGTTGTGAGGTGGGGGGAGTGGGGAGGGATAGCATTAGGAGATATACCCAATGTAAATGACAAGTTAATGGGTGCAGCACACCAACATGGCACATGTATACATATGTAACAAACCTGCACGTTGTGCACATGTACCCTAGAACTTAAAGTATAATAAAAAATAATAATAATAATAAAAGCCAAAATATAAAAACAGCAAAGTTTCAACACTTAAATAAAAGTATCTTTCTGGTTTAGAATTTTAAAAAATAAACATACAAAGTACAATAACAAAAGTAAAAGCTAGAAATTTTGACTATATTATTTTTAATTGTTGAACAGAAGTCACAATAAACTAAGGCAAAGACTGAGAAAATATAAAGCTTGTTTCTAAATTAACTTCTACAGTTATTTTGAAAAAAATAGCTAGATTTCATCATTCCACAACATATATATAGTTTAAAACATCTTGGTGTACATAATAAATACATACAATTTTACATGTCAAGTAAAACTAAATTTGAGCACTCCAGCCTGGGTGACACAGCTAGACTCCATCTCCAAAAAAAAAGTATAAATAATTAAAACTTCATTTGAAAATAGAAACAGGATATGAGTAGGCAATTCACAGAACAGGAATCAAAGTGATTAATAAAATGCTGAAAAGATGCTCACCCTTACTGGTAACTAAGGCAATGGAAATTAAAATGATAATGAGTTACTATTTTTACATAAGTAACTGAAAAAATGTTAAAATGCTGATAAAATAAAATATTGGCAAAGATGTGTAACAACAAGAAACTTTGCTGGTGCTTGTTTAAATTTGTTTACCTGTTTTCAAGTTATTGATATATCTTTTAAATTGGAAGATGTACATTCTTTATAAGGCAGCAAGTCCACTACTAGGTATGTATCCTAGGAAAATTCTACCATAAGTGCACAGAAGACATGCATTACATTGTCCTTTGCAGCATTTGCAATATTGAAGGCTGTAAACAGCCTAATTGTTCATCAAACAGGAATAGATAAACCTTTCTTAAAATGTATTACTACAGTAGTTTAAAAAAGCAGTTTTCAACCAGGGGTGATTTTGTCCTTTAAGGATCATTTGGCAGTGTCTGGGGACATTTTTGGTTGTCACACCTGGGAGTGAGGATGCTCCATTGCCATGGTTACCAGTAAGGAAAGAACGAGCATCTTTTAAAGGATCTTTTCAGTGGGTAGTGGCTAGGGATGCTGCTAAACATCCTACAGTGCACAGGACTGCCTCCTTCACAACAAAGAATTATCTGACCTAAAATATCAATAATTCCAAGGATGAGAAATTGATTTAAATGAAACTATATTTCTATGTATCAACATGATTGTATCACAAAAGAAAAATATAAATAATATTATATATGAGTTTCAAAAATAAGCAAATTGGTACTGTATATAATGTATAGCCATATATTGATTATAACTTTTAAAACATGAATGGAAATAATATACGAACACTAGTACTGGCTTATTTTGGGAACACTGGAGAATAAAATAGTGTTGGTGGCATTTAGCTATTTAGATTTTCTAAAATAAATAACATATCTGCAGCAAATAAGACAAAATATCTAGTTTAGTTAAATATGGATGGTGAGTCCTTGAAACATTATTATAAAATTGTTTGTATCTTTAATATCTTTTTTTTTCTTTGAGGCAGAGTTTTGCTCTCGTTGCCCAGGCTGGAGTGCAGTGGCGCTATCTTGGCTTACAGCAACCTCCGCCTTCTGGGTGCAAGCAATTCTCCTGCCTCAGCCTGCCAAGTAGCTGGGATTACAGGAGCATGCCACCACACCCGGCTAATTTTTGTATTTTTTTTAATTTTTTTTTATTAAAGTTTTAGGGTACACGTGCACATTGTGCAGGTTAGTTACATATGTATACATGTGCCATGCTGGTGCGCTGCACCCACCAACTCGTCATCTAGCATCAGGTATATCTCCCAATGCTATCCCTCCCCCCTCCCCCCACCCCACAACAGTCCCCAGAGTGTGATATTCCCCTTCCTGTGTCCATGTGATTTCATTGTTCAATTCCCACCTATGAGTGAGAACATGCGGTGTTTGGTTTTTTGTTCTTGTGATAGTTTACTGAGAATGATGACTTCCAATTTCATCCATGTCCCTACAAAGGACATGAACTCATCAAATCATGCTGCTATAATTTTTGTATTTTTAGTAGAGACGGGGTTTCACCATGTTGGCCAGTCTGGTCTTGAACTCCAGACCTCAAGTGGTTCGCCTGCCTCGGCCTCCCAAGTGCTGGGTTTACAGGTATACTATCATTTTTACTGTTAAAAAATAAAGACCTAGTTACTGAATTCCTGAATTTTTTTTAAAGAAGCAACTCTAAAAAAGCACCATAAAATGGAAACTAGAGCTTAAAGAATAAGGAAAATAACTTCTAATACTTAATCAGTAAAATCATAACATAAAGCCAAAGTCATATTTTAGAACCATGTAAATAAAATTAACTTTTGTTAAACTCAATCAAAAAAGGAGAAAAGATAAATTAATATTAGCTGTAAAAGGGAAATATAATGCTAACAAGATAGAGGGATATTACAGTAACAAAGTCACCCACCACAAAAATAAAAAGCAGAGAATATAAACAATTAACAAAGGAGAAAATAAGAATGCAATAATAATAACTTCATAATGCAGCAAGAATAATGTCAATAACTATAATATGCATTCAATAAACAATTGAAAATGTATACAAAGCAATTAAATATTAAGTAGTCATTTTAAAAGATGTTATAATGTTTAAGGACAGTTTTTTAATACAGGGAAATTATTTATAATATTAAAAATTTTAAATAGTAAATACAGCATGATCTTAAGTATATAAATAATTGAAAACAAAAGGTTAAAGAGCAAATATGTCTAAATGCTAACTATATTTACCTGCAAGTGATAGGACCATGAGCTCTTTGTTCTCCCTCTTGCTTTTTTATAAGTTTTGTACATTCAATGATTTACTATATTCAAAACAAACTTAAAGCTATATTATCAGCCCTGCCTGTGCCATAAAGTCTTAATATGACTCTTAATTTTAACATTATTTTTATCTTGAATTGTATAAAAGCATTAGACTAATGATAGCATATTATTTGGGGGGAGGACTCGTATGATTCAAACTCATCAAGTGTGATTCAGATGTTCACCTTGTGAAATGATAGGCACCCTCATGTCCCCAAATTAGCAACAAAATACATGATATGTTCACTATAAAACATAAGTGTATGTAACAGAAAATTCTCTTCCAGGGCAGAGAATCACTTGTATTGAGGAGCAGGAAATGGGCTCTGATACTCTCTGGGACCAGCCTAAAAACTCTTTCACTGAAACTAAGACTCCTACTCAATGACTCAAACAGCTGTGATGAACTGTGTAATCACAGCTGGAGACCACTGGCATAACAACCAGTGATGCTACAGAAGCTATTTTGAAACAACAGCAAACTGCTGTTCTATGAGCATTAAGGCTGTGCCTATTTCATACTGAAGTTCCATAATCCTGAGAAATAGAATTGAGCAACAAACAAAAATAATGCTACTTTAAGGCAAATGCAGTGTGACTCACTAAAAAGAATGTTACATATTTATGATTCCTTATTCTGCAAAAGTGTCCATCACTAAAAACCAGGTATTATTAAAAGATAAAGATTTTCCCAATTTATCAGGACTATCACAATCAGTCACTTGGTATGAATGTGTCCATTGATTCAAAATCATCCAACTATTTTCTCTTCAGAAATTATCCTCCCCTTGATTTTTGGCCTCATCTTATCTGGCTTCTTTTATCTTATCCTCAAACTATATTAGTTTCCTTCACCATACCCTATCATTCAAGCAGTCTATTAACATGTGTATTACTCCCCCAGTAAAAAGCATATCTCTGTTCCTTTCCTCTCCTATTCTCTCTTCTCCCCTCCCCTCCTTTGCTACCCCTCTTTTCTCTTCTTGTTGTTTCAATTACATTCATACATGGCCTAATGATGGGGATATGTTCTGACAAATGCATCATTAGGCTATTTCGTTGTTGTGAGAACATCATAGAGTGTACTTACACAAACCTAGATGGCACAGCCTCCTACACACCTAGGCTATACGGTATAGCCCATTGTACTAGGCTACAAACCTGTACAGCATGTTACTATGCTGAATACTGCAGGCAATTGTAACACAATGGTAAGTATTTGTGTATCTAAGCATAGAAGATGTACAGTAAAAACACAGTATTATATATGATGGATCACCATCATGTGTGCCACAATGGACCACTATCTTATATGTAGTCCATTGTTGACTAAAATGTTTTTATGTGGTGCTTGACTGTATTATCTTACAAATATCTACTGGACATGTACAATATTCCAAACATTTTAAGTGCTTTATATGCACTATCAATTTCATCCTCTGATTTGATCCTCTAAACAATCTTATAAGGTAATAATTTTTTCTTCCCTTTTAAGTGAAGACACTGAGGCAGACAGCATTTAACTTACTTATCCAGGGTTACAAAAGTGCTAAGTGATACAGTTAACTAAGACACAAAACTATGGAGGAGAAACCTGTTTCTCATGAAGGTATACATTTTTTTCCACCTGATTGTATTATTCTGATGCCCAAGGTCCTAATTAGTACATTTTCTGTTTATTAAAAAAAAACTGTAGAAGAATGCTTGTTTTGATATTTTTGATCCTTTTATTTCCCATCTATTATGATACTACATGCTTACACCACAGTTCCAAAATCAAGATCCTTAAGCTGGTTCAACAGGGTCTCTTCAGTTTATAACTTCATCTGATGCATCATCTCTATGTTCTTTATCATAGAGGCAGGAACAATTTTTCACAATCACTATAGGGATTTAGAATTAATCAGCCTAACCCATACTCCTCTCCATCAAATAAGCAAAGCTACAAGGTTGACATCAACTACTTATGACCCATAAATTATATATTCTAACTTGTCCTTCCAAACTTGCAGAAGTTACTCATTTTCTTAAGTTCAATTTCCAAATGTTAGTTAATCTGACTTTTATCAGCAGTATGACTGTGCTAAACATGAAGGGAAGGAAAGCAAGACACTGAAGAGACAATTTCTGTCTGTATATCATTTTTCCTCCCCAAAACTTGGTATTGTGTGTCTTTGTCACTTTAGCCATCCTGGTGAGTGTGATTTTGTATAATATTGAGGTTTAAACTTGTATTTGGCTAATAACTGATGAGGTTGAACACTTTTCATGTGTTTACTGCTATTTGAATATGTCCTTTTATAAAATGTTCAAAACGTTTGCCCATTGGATTGTTTGACATCAATCTGAGTAATTTTTACATATTCTGGATATGGCACATATATTTTGGATATGATAAAAAATTCAAACCTTTCTCCCACCCTGTGATTTGCCTTTCACCCTCTTAAGCATATCTTTGATACCATTAAGCTCATAAAAATTGAGGTTCTTAATTTTAATGTAATTCACGTTATTTTTCCTACCTGCCTAGTTCTTTCTGTGTCCTATTTTTAAACAATTGATCTCAAAGGCATTCTGTTTCCTTCCAAATATGTTATTTTACCTTTTATATTTAAATAAATAATCCATCTGAAATTGATTGATGTGTTTATTATAAACAAATGGTTAAAAATTATTTTTCTCCATATATTTATTGAGTTGACTCAAGAAAACTTAATACAAAGATTCTCCTTCCCCCACAGCACTACAATGCCACATCTGTAATAAGTCGAGTGACCATATAAGTCTGACTTTGTCTCTAGACCCTCACTTCTGTAGTATTCTAGTCCAAGATACATAACCCCAACCTAATCATAAAAAAACAGATACACCCAAAGGAATATTAATCGTTCTATCATAAAAACACATGCACAAGAATGTTCATTGCATCACTTTTCACAATAGCAAAGACATGGAATCAACCTAAATGCCCTTCAATGATAGACTGGATAAAGAAAATGTGGTACATATATATCACAGAATACTCTGCAGCCATAAAAATGAATGAGATCACGACCTTTGCTAGAACATGGATGGATCTGGAGGTAATTATCCTTAGCAAGCTATCACAGGAACAGAAAACCAAATATCACATGTTCTCACTTACAAAGGGGTGCTAAATGATGAGAACACATGAACACATAGAGGGGAACAACAAACACAGGCCTAGAAGAGGGACAAGGGTGGGAGGAGGGAGAGGATCAGGAAAAATAACTAAGGAGTACTAGCCTCAATACCTGGGTGATGAAATAATCTGTACAACCAACCCTCATGACAGGAGTTTACCTATATAACAAACCTGCACATATACCCATAAACTTAAAATAAAAGGTAAAAAATAAATGAAAAAAAATCAGACAAAAATTAAGGGACATTCCACAAAATAGCTGACCACTATTCTTGAAAAGTGTCAAGGTCATAAAAACAAGGAAAGACTCGGAAACTGTCACAAGTTGAAGGAGAGTAAGGACACCTAACAACTAAATACCATGTAGGATCCTAGATTGGATCATGAAACAGAGGAAGGACATTGATGGAAAAGACTGTTCAAGTCTGAATTAAGTTTGTAGTTTAGTTAATGATATACTACTGATATTAATTTCTTGGTTTAGATTATTGTGTTGTGGTTTTGCAAGATGTTAACGTTAGCTAGGCTGAATGAAGAATACACAGAATACTCTGTACTATTTTTTTAGATTTTTCAGTAAGTCTAAAAATGAGTAATAAAATGTAGTAAATTTTATTTTCCTACCCCTCAAAATTCCTCAGAATTATATGCCCAACTTATGTTTTGATTATTTTGGTTGCTGTTGATGCATTTCTGGAATATCTCATGGTTTCTTTTTTCTCGTAATAAAAACAATAGTTCCACTATCCCCAAATTTATCCAGAATTTCTTCCCTATGGTCAAAAGTTTGGAAACCCATTTCCTCTCTTTTACAGAAAAAGGAATATGTGCAGATTGTGGCAGTAAGTCTGGGCCTATAGCATAACTTAGATCTTTAGTAGGTAATATTTCTAGAGGTTGTAAATTCTATTTACTTCTGGTATGAGTAAATATCTAGAGAATGCCTGTTTTTGTATTTTTTATTAATCTTATTCTTTTAATCTGAAAGTTTCTGTTTTCCTTCACCTTTTGGAAATTTGAAATTCTAACATTTTAATATTGTATATTCTGAGGTTTAATATGAATTTGTCTTATCAAGCTAAATTCATTGTCAATCATTATTCCATTTCTACTAACTTTTTCTTGTTTCCCTGTGTTCTCTTTTCATTACATCCTATTCTTTTATACTACAGTACATTCTAGACTCTTCTAACTCCTGAATAACTATTTTCCTTTTAGAGTTTGTTTTTTATTTTGGTCTTTTTAATTTTCATTGATTATTCTCCTTTCTGGTTATTCTTGATTGTTTTTTCATATTATTAACAAACCATAACAGTATTAGTCTATACAATGAATATGGATTTTCTCCTGTTATTTTTTGAATAAAGCTGGGTCCCTGGAAGGCTTCACCACTGGAAGGTCACCTTAGGGAGCATATGCCTGTAGTACAATGCCAGACTGAGCACTTCCTGAATTGCAGAATGAGGAAAGCTTTTCTCTGGAAACACAAATATTCACATTATAAGCCTTAAATTAAAGAAGAATCCTCAGGTTTTCCATCCAAAAATAAAACTCATTCTACCAGGGAGTCTAGTGATAGGGGTATGGGAATGGAATTGTAGTAAGAGAAAGGAGAGGAGGGAAAGGAGAAGGTGTAGAAACTGATTAACTGTCATTCAGAAAGAACTTCAGCAAATGTCGGCTGTTTATTCCTCTTCCTAATCCTGGACCTATACTCATAACTAGGACTCTTCTTAAAAAGAATCGCTTTCACCCCTGCCATGGCTCTAGCTTCCACTGCTTTGCTGTGCCTATAAACCTACTTTAATTCACTTTTCTTCTTCCACAAATATATTAAAATTGCTTCAATGATTACTTCCTCCCAATCTCTCTGCTATTAAAGGTTCATTCTCTCTTTTTTTGGATTTGTATAAAGCCTCTTCAAAGAAGTCACAGAAGAGTGGAGAAAAATGTTTGTGTGGCCACTCTACCATATTAAACATGAATTTTTAAAAAATGCATTTTAAATCCAGTTCCCAACTTCCATATGTATATATTATGTTCAAAGTATTAGAGGTTAAAGCAATAAATAGTATAAATAAGTTGATTATAGTTCATTGCGGAAGCACAAAACATCCAGAACTCTGAAAAAAGAATATGAAAATATAAAGCATTAAGAAAATAAATCATATAAACAAACATGAATCATAAATAGTAAAACCTTGAGATGACAAGGCAGGTTTTTAACTTTTATTTTTTAAGATATGCTATGCATATCTTTTCAGAATGTATTGAGCTGGCTACAAACTGCTACACACTGATCATAAGGCAATTTCAATTCTTTGTTATATCATGCTTGAAAGGGGCCACTACAAACAGAGAACACATAGGCCAGGGGTGAGCAGAAACTGAGTAGTCCCTGAACCAGGGAGTTAATACCTTCTATCCTCTTTTATTTCTCATTTACCACTTAGCTTGTTGAAAGGGGATAAATGAGCGAAAGTTGTGCCGGCTTAGAGATATTTGTGTGCCATTTTTCTTGGTCCTGACAACGTCACAAACCCCGGTCTTTACCTTGAGATATTGTTACTTATAACAATACAACACTTATATATCCATATATTAAATACCTGGGTAATGGTGAGTATCTGCCACTTAATTTGGCAGTTTAGGTGGCAGAAGTTCCTCATTTAAAGATAGTTAATTGGATGAGATGTGATGAGAAGCTTTTCAAAATTCCATTCAAGGATGAATCTCAGGTGATAAATAATGAAAGGATTAATTTTGTATTTAAACACACACAGATAAGAAATGGAATTCAGAATAATGTAGTTTAGAATAGATTGCCTGTTCATTAATGAGAATTTGTGCTTTAATAATTCTCACTGAAATATACATTAAAAATTTAGTCTCTGAATCAGCATTAGTTATTTACATAAATAACTTAACCAAAGATGTACTGAAATGTATATTAGTCCATTAAAAATTCTTTATGAAGAAAATGGTATTTAATGGCTTTGTGAGTCTTGTTAATGTTCCCATCCTGTGACTGACCTGCAGTTTCTACCAAACCAAGACTCACAGTGATCACCGGGTACCACAGCAAATATAATCTCAAACTTTATATTTTTTATGACCATCTAAATGTTTGAACACTGACTAAATTTTGAATTTCTATTCTATTTGTTGTAAATAATTATCATCATAACCCATTTAAGTTCTGATGATTTGGCAAGGCATGAAGAAAGAAAAGCAAAAAAGAATAAAACTTTCAGTGTTAACTTTTAAAAAGCAAAATGAAACTACTACTTCAAATTTTAAGGGAAGACATCAGTTTTTATCCAGCATCAACTCTCTATTACAATATGGAGAATTATGCAGTAACATATCAATAAAAATATTAATACTTTATATCAATTCATAGTTTACTTAATATCATTACTCGTTTTTAAGCTTCACAATAAACCTATGGGGTAAGTTTAAATATATCCATTTCAGACATGAGGACAGAGTATAAATGACAATAAGAATCATATCCGTGTTTCAAAACCAGGGAATTTTTACCAGTTGCTATGGTTTAAATATTTGTCCCCTCCAAAATGCGTGTTGAAACTTAATCTCCAATGTGGTAGTACTGAAAGGTGTGCTATTAAGAGGTAATTGGGTCATGAAGGCTCTTTCCTCATGAATGGATTAATCCATTCATGGATTAATGGCGTAATAAATTAATAGGCTACCATGGGAGTGTCATTAGTGGCTTTATAAGAGGAGAAAGAGAAACCTGGCCAGGCGTGGTGGCTCACGCCTGTAATCCCAGCACTTTGGGAGGCCGAGGCGGGTGGATCAGGAGGTCAGGAGATCTAACATGGTGAAACCCCGACTCTACTAAAAAACACAAAAAATTACCCGGGCGTGGTGGCGGGCGCCTGTAGTCCCAGCTACTCAGGAGGCTGAGGCAGGAGAATGGCGTGAACCTGGGAGGTGGAGCTTGCAGTGAGCCGAGATCACGCCACTGCACTCCAGCCTGGGCGATAGAGCGAGCGAGACTCCGTCTCAAAAAAAAAAAAAAAAGAGAGAGAAACCTAAGCCAGTGTGCTCAGCCCCCTCACCATACAATGCTCTGCACTGCCTCAGGAGCTCTAGAGAATCTCTACCAGCAAGAAGGCTCTCGCAAGACGCAGGCCCTCAACTTTGAACTTCTCAGCCTTCATAACTATAAGAAATCAATTCCTTTCCCTTTTCTTTATAAATTACCCAGTTTTAGGTGATATAAAAAAGAGAAAACAGACTAAAACACCAATTAACAGTCAAATAATTCTCCATTATGCTAAAGTTATCTTTATATTGCCCATCATAACCTGACATAAATCATCCCAAATATATTTATTTTTTACTTTCCATCTAAATATTTGATATAACTTTAGACAAACTTTTTATAATACATGCAATCCTGATGTGGTAAACAGAGCATAAGCTTTGTATCATATGTTAACATGGTTTGTGCTGCCCACAGTTAATTGTCATTCAAAATACTCCTGCATAAATTATGCCAAACTCAGGCCATTGTTTGTGGCTTTCATCCTTTCACTTCAAATTGGTAATACTTCAACAACTCCTCTCCACAACTTTCCCTGTTTATCTGTAAATGCCTTTCTGGCACTACCATTTTGCTTGTCCTATCAAGATATAGTCCCAAAAACTAAATGTATCAAAGGGTCATATATAAAATATTATCTGTTTTGGCATGTTTTTTTCTCCTCATCTTTGTGAAACTTGAACTTGGGAATTTGGTTCCAGATAATTTGCACTATTCTACTCAAGCAGGCTCTCTCTAAATAGCAGCAAAGATAGCACTGGACAATTCTAGGAAAACAATGTCTTTTTAATAACTCTTGAACTCTCAGAAAGAGAGCTACTTTCACTTTTCCATGCAGCCAAATAATTCCAGGATGAAAATCTCTGCTTGGCTTTATCTGGATTGTGCCCACCTCTGGACTGAATACATGGAAATACACCACTCTCATTGAAGCTGTTATCTCATGATAACTTCTGTGGCAGGGAGGTGTGATTGTCTAACTAGGCGGAAGAGGAGTAGCTCCAGTAAGGAATAGTGGAATTCTTACTACAAAGAGGGCAAATGAAGACTGAATAGGCAAAAGCATTTATTTACTCTATTTGCAAATATTTTTTAAGGACAAATGAGTGTCATCCTCTCTATGTAGCCTTCCCCATTTGTTCCCCTGAGATATCTATGAAACATGTTTATGTAAACATTTATCACAGCATAAGGTGGCTAAGGCAGGAGAATCGCTTGAATCCAGGAGGTAGAGGTTGCAGTGAGCCAAGATTGCGCCACTGCCCTGTAGCCTGGGTAACAGAGAGAGACCCTGTTTAAAAAAGAAAAAAAAAAAAATCACAGCATAGTGTACCATTTTGTGTACTGATCTGTTTCCTCTGTAGACCATAATTCCTTGAGGACTGGGCCTCTATCTTAGCCATTTCTGTATGCTCAATGCATACATAGTATTGAGCACAGAGTAAATCATGAAATTGTTCCTTATATTAGTGTATGAAAAGCTTAAGTTCTTTGTCTTTTTTCACACTTGTGCATGTTCAAAATAGCATACACATGAACAATGACTTTAGCTCTGCAAAAAAAATTATTTGCAGAAATATGATTTAAATATAATGGTTTTGGCTTTAGCAATAGATGGTATGAAAACCGTGTCTGTATCTTTTATAGAATAGCTCCTGATGATGCAGTGCATTATGTTGATCAATATCCCTATTTAAAAACTTATTTGAAAGTATATTTAAAATCTGACAGTGAAAATTACTCTTCATATTCATTGTTCACACTAAATACATCTCTCCTTATCATCTGCTATATTTTCTTTTGTTAGATAATGAGAATTCAGTAATGTCTGCTTCCATTTTGCCTTGACTATAAAGCAACTAATAGATAAAATTAAAGCCTAATTGCCTTAGCCGAATTTAGGCTATTTTTCTGGTATAATTGTTTTCTAATCTAGTTCTCCAGTTAAATCATGAATAAAAATCACCAAGGGCACTTGTTTAAAATACATGTTTCTAGGCTCTACTCCCTGAGATTCTGATACTATCAATTATTAGCTTTTGTATTTTGAACTTTTGACTGGTTTGGAAATTGGTAAGTAAATATGCATGTTTTAATTCTTAAAAGGGTATAGGAACAAAACATATTTCCAAACAGAGGGATAAAGAACTTATAAAGAACATTACTGGGTCCTGCTTCATGTACCACCCAACTTGGTAAGACACTCCAACATGGGTTATCAGACACCCTATACAGGAGCGATCCTATTGGCATCAGGTTGGTGCCCCTCAAGGTCAGAGATCCCAGAGGAAGGAGCAGGCACCAATCTAGGCTGTTCTCCAGCGTCCTTGAGTGATATCTGCAGGTGCTAGAGTGAGCCAGATGAATAGGGCCTGAAGTGAAAGCCCAACAAACCACAGCAGCCCTACAGAAGAGGTACCTGATCATTGAAAGAAAAACAAACAGAAACCAACAACAACAGCAACACAACAAAAAAGTTCCTGCAAAAAACCCATCCAAGAGTCAGCAGCCTCAAAGATCAAAACTAGACAAACTCATGTAGATGAGAAAGAATGAACAAAAAAAGGCTGAAAACCCAAAAGGTCGGAGTGTCTCTTCTCCTCCAAGTGATCACAATGCCTCTCCAGCAAGGCCGCAGAACTGGATGGAGGATGAGATGAATGAACTGACAGAAGTCAGCTTAAGAAGGTGGGTAATAACAAACTCCGCTGAGCTAAAGGAGCATGTTCTAACCCAATGCAAAGATACTAGGAACCTTGATAAAAGTGAGAGGAGCTGCTAACTAGAATACCCAGTTTAGGGAGAAATATAAATGACCTGACGGAGCTGAAAAACACAGCACAGGAACTTCGTGAAGCATACACAACTATCAACAGCCGAATCAACCAAGTGGAAGAAAGGATATCAGAGTTTGAAGACCACCTTGCTGAAATAAGGCATGCAGACAATTTTATAGAAAAAAGAATGAAAAGGAACAAATATAGCCTCCAAGAAATATGAGACTATGTGAAAACACCAAACCTATGATTGATTGGAGTACCTGAAGGGGACAGGGAGAATGGAAACAAGCCGGAAAACACACTTCAGGATATTATCCAGGAGAACTTCCCAAATCTAGCAAGGCAGGCCAACATGCAAATTCAGGAAATACACAGAACACCACTAAGATACTCCATGAGAAGATCAACCCCAAGACACATAATCATCAGATTCTCCAAGGTTGAAATGAAGGAAAAAAAATGTTAAGGGCAGCCAGAGAGAAAGGCCAGGTCACCTACAAAGGGAAGCACATCTGCCTAATAGCAGACCTCTCAACAGAAACCCTACAAGCCAGGAGAGAGTGGAGGCCAATATTCAACATTCTTTAAAAAAAGAATTTTCAACAGAGAATTTCATATCCAGCCAAACTAAGCTACATAAGTGAGGAGAAATAAAATCCTTTACAGACAAGCAAATGCCAAGGGATTTTGTCACCACAAGGCCTGCCTTGCAAGAGCTCCTAAAGGTATCTCTAAATATGGAAAGGAAAAACTGGTACCAGCCACTGCAACAACACACCAAAATATAAAGACCAATGATACTATAAAGAAACTGCATCAAGTAGGGTGCAAAATAAACAGAGAGCATCAGGATGACAGGATCAAATTCACACATAACAATATTAACCTTAAATATAAATGGGCTAAATGACCCAATTAAAAGACACAGACTAGCAAACTGGATAAAGAGTCAAGACCCATTGGTCTGCTGTATTCAGAAGACCCATCTCACGTGGAAAGACACACACACATAGGTTCAAAATAAAGGGATAGAGGAAAATTTACCAAGCAAATGGAAAGCAAAACAAAGCAGGGGTGGCAATCCTAGTCTCTGACAAAACAGACTTTAACCAATAAAGATCAAAAAAGACAAAGAAGGGCATTAAATAATGGTAAAGGGATCAATTCAACAAGAAGAGCTAACTATCCTAAATATATATGCACCTGATATAGAAGCACCCAGATTTACTGAACAAGTTCTTAGAGACCTACAAAGAGACTTAGACTCCCACACAATAATAGTGGGAGACTTTAACACCTCACTATTAATATTAGATTAAGGAGACAGAAAATTAACAATGATATTCAGGACTTGAACTCAGGTCTGGATCAAGTGGACCTAACAGATATCTACAGAACTCCCCATCCCAAATCAACAGAATATACATTCTTCTCAGTGCCACACAGCACTTATTCTAAAATTAACCACATAATTGGAAGTACAATACTCCCCAGCAAATACAAAAGAACTGAAATCATAACAAACAGTCTTTCAGACCACAGTGCAATCAAATTACAATTCAGGATTAATAAATACTCAAAACCACACGATTACATGGAAATTGAACAACCTGCTCCTGAATGACTCCTGGGTCAATAATGAAATTAAGGCAGAAATCAAGAAGTTCTTTGAAACCAATGAGAACAAAGGAACAACATACCAGAATCTCTGGGGCACAGCTAACACAGTATTAAGAGAAAAAATTATAACACTAAATGCCCACATCAGAAAGCTAGACAGATTTCAACTCAACACGCTAACATCACAATTAAAAGAGCTACAGAAGAAAGTGTAAACGAATCCAAAAGCTAACAGAAAACACTAAGATCTAACTAAAACACTGCTCTGACTAAGATCAGAGCAGAATCAAAGGAGATAGAGACACAAAAAACCCTCCAAAAAATCAACGAATCCAGGAGCTGGCTTTTTGAAAAAAATTAACAAAATAGGCCACTAGCTAGATTAATAAGGAATAAAAGAGAAAAGAATCAAATAGACACAATAAAAAATGATAAAGGTGATATCACCACTGACCCCACAGAAATACAAACTATCACCAGAGAATAGTATAAACACCTCTATGCAAATAAACTACAAAATCTAGATGAAATGGATAAATTCCTGGACACACACACCCTCCCAAGACTAAACCAGGAAAAAGCCAAATCCCTGCATAGACCAATAACAAGTTCTGAAATTGAAGAAGTAATTAATAGCCTACCAACCAAAAAAGCCAAGGACCAGATGGATTCACTGCCGAAGCCTATCAGAGGTACAAAGAGGACCTGGTACCATTCCTTCTGAAACTATTCCAAACAATTAAAAGGAGAGACTCCTCCCCAACACATGTTATGAGGCCAGCATCATCCTGATACCAAAACCTGGCAGAGAAACAACAAAAAGAGAAAACTTCAGGCCATATCCCTGATGAACATCGATGCAAAAATCCTCAATGAAGTATTGACAAACCAAATCCAGCAGCACATCAAAAAACTTATCCACCATGATAAAATCAGCTTCATCCTTGGGATGAAGGCTGGCTCATGCAAATCAATAAACATAACCCATCACATAAGCAGAACCAAAGACAAAAACCACATGATTATCTCAATAGATGCAGAAAAGGCCTTTAATAAAATTTATCATCCCTTCTTCTTAAAAACCCTCAATAAACTAGGTATTGATGGAACATATATCAAAATAATAAGAGCTATTTATGACAAATCCATAACCAGTATCATGTTGAATGGGCAAAACCTGGAAGCATTCCCTTTGAAAACCAGTACAAGACATGGATGCCCTCTCTCACAACTCCTATTCAACATAGTATTGGAAGTTCAGCCCAGGGCAATCAGGCAAAAGAAAGAAGTAAAGGTATTCAAATAAGAAGGGAGGAAGTAAATTTGCCTCTATTTGCAAACGACATGATTCTATATTTAGAAAACCCCACCACCTCAGCCCCAAAACTCCTTAAGCTAATAAGCAATTTCAGCAAAGTCTCAGGATAAAAAATCAATGTGCAAAAATCACAGGCATTCCTTTACACCAATAACAGACAAGCAGAGAGCCAAATCATGAATGGACTCCCATTTACAATTGCTACAAAGAGAATAAAATACCTAGGAATTCAGCTAACAAGGAATGTGAAGGACCTCTTCAAGGAGAACTACAAACCACTGCTCAAGGAAATGAGAGGACACAAACAAATGGCAAAATATTCCATCCTCATGGATAAGAAGAATCAATATTGTGAAAATGGCCATATTGCCCAAAGTAATTTATAGATTCAGTGTTATTCCCATCAAGCTACCATTGACATTCTTCACACAATTAAAAAAAAAAACTACTTGAAATTTCATATGGAATCAAAGAATACCCTGTATAGCCAAGACAATCCTAAGCAAAAAGAACAAAGCTGGAGGCATCACGCCACCTGACTTCAAACTATATTAGAAAACCAAATACTGCATGCTCTCACTCATAAGTGGGAGTTGAACAATGAGAACACATGGACACAGGGAAGGGAACAACACACACCGGGGCCCGTTGGGGGGTGGCAGGGAGACGGGAGGGAACCTAGATGACTGGTCATTAGGTGTAGCAAGCCACCATGGCACATGTATACCTATGTAACAAACCTGCACGTTCTGCACATGTATTCCAGAACTTAAAATTAAAAAAAAAAAAAAGAACATTACTCAGCCAATCTAAAAGAAGACAAGAAAAGAGAGATGAAGAAAAACAGGCCTCCACTGGGTAATGGGAGAGACAGAACTCTGGGCATCTGAAAAAGTTCTCCCTAGAGTATTTTTTTTCAGGTTAATTGAGATGTAATTGGTATATAAAAAACTACTTTGTTAAGAAGGTACATCTCATGTTAACTGTTCTTACCTTTTAGATTATCCAGCTTAATATTGATCAGTGCATGCATGTGAGAAAACTACTAGAGGTTAAGGAAATAATTACTTGAAAGGCATGGAAGTAACAGTGCCTTCATTCCAAAGGATAAGGAGGAAGAATTTTAGCAAATTTTATTAGTGAGTATAAATGAAAAAATCAAAAGCAAAATAATAGCAAACCAACTCCAACAATGTATGAGAATGATAATACACCACAAATATCATTCCAGCAAATACAGAAAAAAATTGATAAACTTTAACACCCATCCATGAAAGAAATTCTTAATAAAATAAGCATAAAAGGGAATATTTACTTTGAAAAAAGGTACTTAGAAACTATTACCGTAAACATTATACTAAATGAGATAGTTAGAAATATTCCGCTTAAAGGGAGAAATAAGATAAAAAATTTCATAGTTTTCTGGTTTATCTTTGTTTTTGTTTTACAAAAGTGTATCTGTATATTTTCCCTCTTTTTATGCACAAAAGGTAGCATTCAATTTATACTCTCTGCATTTTGTTTTTCTTACTTCACAATACATCCTGGAAATCATGTTAGTTCATAGAGTTTTCTCACTCTTTTTTATAGCTTCATAATAACCTATTTTGTAGAAGTACCAAATGTGTGGGCATTTAGTTTGTTTCTATCTAATATTTTACAAGTACTACACTGTATAGTGTATACTACACTGTATAGTCTTTATGTATTTTCATATTGTTGAAGCTATAACTTAAATGTAAATCCCTAAAAGTGAAGTCAAAAGATAAATGTACATTTAGGACTTTTTCATTTTTGCCTATTTCTTCTCCATAGCAGTTGAAACATTTTACATTCCCACGAGCATTGTATGAGGCTATTTTTTTCACACATATTTGCCAACAGAATGTGCTGTCAAGTTCTTAAATTTTTTTCATCTAATGGGTGAAAAACAATATACCAGTGTTTTAGTTTTTATTTCTGTTGTTAGAATTGCAAATTACTGTTATGTTTGCAATTAATTGCACAGTCATACGTGTATGGAGGATTTTGATATTTTGGGGTGCATTGTCTATGTCCTTTTCCTCATTTTTAAAATAGATTTATGGTCAGAGTTTTGCGGAGAAAGCCCTTTTTTCTACTGATTAAGCCCTTTTCCCTTAATCTTAACAGTTTTTTATATACTAAATATAAGTTCAAATTTGTTATTTGTTCTTTCTTTAGTGATTTTTTCTTGTCATACAAAAGGTTTTAATTTTTATGATGTTTATCTTTGGGTTGACTGAATCTAGATTTAGAATTCGTTAGTGAGATTTCCTACATCCAGGTTATAGTAATTTAGCTGTCAACAATACCGACATGGTTTCAGTTATAAAGTTTTTAAGTCTGATCTATCTGGACTTCCTTCTGTATGTGATATTAGGTAAGATCCAACTTCTTTTTTTAATAAATAGCTATATAAGAAAGAGAAACCACAAATTATTGAAATTTCTTAATTACAGAGTGTGGGAACAAGGAGTAAAAATAAGCATAATGAGTTATATCTTTCTGACTATGTCTTTATAAATACCTTTGGAACTATTAATGTTTTATATGTTTAAAAGTATAATTATATTAATAAGAATAAGGAAAAAATACAAAATATTTATACAAATAGGAACAAATGACTATAAGTATATACCAAAATAATATAACCTCATAAAAGTGAAAATTAAAGACACAAATTCAATTAAATATACAATACTAGATGCTATATTCTTAGACTGAAGGCCAAAGGGAGGATAAAGAAATCTTGAACTTGACTTAATAGGTTTTGTTAGTAAGTTTTTTTTTTTTTTTGCTGGACAGGATATAGCAAATCTGTAAATGCTGTAGGATTGAGTAAATGACACACATTTGCTCTCAGGTCTTAGTTTTTAAGTACCATTTCACACTAAAAGTAACCAGAGCTTATTAGAGAAATGGATTATTATAGGGCTGAGGCAAGGCAAAATGTGAACTCTCAGTAAGTGATGGAGCTATCCTAAAACAATGTAGGAACTGGCTTAAAGACATTTCCACTGACCACATGAAGGAAAATTTGAACATTAAAATGTATAATGACAGTAATGCATAGCATAGTGAATTTTAAAACTTGACACATATACTGACTTTAAATATAAGCAAACAAAGTACAGTGAGAAAAGGAAAAGCTCTACTTTACAGCAGTATGTAGAACAAACAGTTTTCTTTTTTAATTTTTTAATCATCATTTTGCAGCCATCATTATAACAACTGATTCAGAAAAGGATCGTGAATGAAAGTTAAATAATTATGTGAAAGTTTGTGAGGCAACAGGTCATTTAAAAATCTCAAAACACCCCTCTCACAGTTTACATTTTCATTATGAAGGGGAAAGCATACTCTTATCATGGGAATATTAGATAACACAAATTAAAATATATTATAAAAACAAATCAGAAACTAAAGCTATAAACTTGAAAAACATCCATGTCATAAAAGAAAAAGAAAGGTAGAGGTAGTGTTCCAGGCTTTAGGAGACTAAACAGAGATGAAGAAAACACGCTTTGTGTAACTCTGGAGCAGACTTTAGATCAAGAAAAAAAATTATAAAGTATGGTATAATAACAATAAGGAAAATTTGAATATGGAATATATATTAGATACTAATAGTATATCAATATTTAATTTCCTCAAATTGACAATTTTATTTTTGTTATTTAAGAGAATTCCATTTTCTTAGGAGTAGCCTGCTGAAGATTTAAGAATGAGAAGTCATACTATGTGAAACATACTGTCAAGTAGTTTGGCAAAAAAAAATTTTTAAGAATGAAAATTTTATACATTTATGTATGTATTTACACACACATAGTACTACATGCATATACATATGTGTGTATATATATTTATACATATATAAGACTTTATTACATTCTTTAACTTATATGTTAAATTTGTTCAAAGTAAATCTCAAATAAAAGTAAGAAATTTTAAAGTAAGAGATAAGATAAACAATTTCATAGTGTTCTGGGGTTTTTTTGAGTTTTAAAATTTTAAAATATTATGAACAGAATGGGGATGCCCACTATTGCCACATCTGCTTAATATTTTTCTTGAAGTCTTAGCTAGTGAAATCAAACAATAAAAATACTTAAACTGTAAGAATTTAAAAGAGGGAAATAAAATTCTCATCTTTTACAAAGATATAATTATCTTTGTGGATAATGTAAAAGAATATACTAAAAATTACGATGTTTTATCAATATTACTGGATGTTACATTTTTATAAATCAGCAACAATTCAAAAATATTATTTTTAAAAGCACCATTTACAATAGCAGCAAAGTTGCAAAATACTTAAGATTAAATCTAACAAACATGTGCAAGACCAGTATGTGTAAAACTATTAAAATTTTCTAGAAAGAAATCAAAGGATATTAAATGAATGGAGGGCTATCATATGTTTATGAATGGGAAGTCTTTTGAATGGGAAGTCTTTTAAATATATCTTTTCTTTTGCTAATTTGACCTACAGAGTCAAAGTAATTCTGTTAAAAAGCTCATGAGTTGTTTTTTTTTTTTTTTTCTTGGAAATGAGGAAGACAATTCTGTCAGCTATATGAAAAAATAAAGGCCAGTAATAGCAAGACACTACTAAAGAAGAATGAAGAAGGTGAAAAAAAGCAGGAGGGGAAGGAAGTAGATAAATGGGAGGAGGAGGAGGAGGAAGAAGAACAAAACCAAGACTAACAAGAAGAACAAGAAGGTGGAGGAAGAGGAGGAACTTGCCCTAATATCTATTAAGACTTATGAAGATATGATAAATTTGACATTTGATATAGCTGGCATGACAGATCAGTGGAGAATGCAGAAAATATTCAATAAGTGAAGCTTGCAAAAATGGTTATCCACTTGGAAAAAGAGGAAATTGGAGCCATACCTCACATCATGCACAAAATCAAATCCAGAAGGAATGTGAAATTAAAAGTAAAATAAAACAAAAGAAACACTTAAACTTTTATTAAAATATATAGTGGAATTTCTTTCTGAATTTAAAGTAGGAAATAACAGTTTAAGTGGGACACTTAAAAGCAATAATTCTAAAAGAAAAAATTGTTTATTTTTTCCATATTAAAGTTAAAATATTTTGTGTTTGCAAAAGTAATTTAAAGGATGGGTAAAATCAAACTTTATACTTTAATATGTTTAACAAATATAACTAACAAAAAATTAGGATTAAAAAAATGAAAATAGAGGACACTCAACTATGCATGGTTACCAGCCTCCTACTCTGGGCAGTGACTCCAAGCCAAACCCAAGTCTGAACTGGGGCTCTGAGGCCACTGGAGGACACCCAGCTCTGCAGTCCCCACAGTCTGAATGTTGAACCAGGACAGTGGAACTCCACTGCCTCAATCAAATCTTGAATGTTCCAAAAGCAGAGTTGAAGGCATCAAGATGGCCGACCACAAGCAGCTGGCACTCACCTCCTTTACAAAGAAGGACCAAAACAGTGAGTATATAGCCACACATCAAATATAGCATCTAAGAGAGAATACTGGAATATAACAAGTAAGTGACAGACCACTGTGAAGCACAGGAGAGAGAAGTGAAGCAGCCATCCCAGTCACAATTGGCTCAGAGATAGGAGGGACGTCTCATCTTGGGGAAAAGGCAACCAAGCAATCCCTAATAGTATACTATCATAACATGGACACCTGTAATCCTAGCCACAGAAGAGTCCCTTAGCTCTCCCAGGCCCTGAGCCTAGTATAGGGAGATGCCTGGAGTCCAGGTGACTGCATTGTTCCAGAGAAGAAATTCATGCTTGGTCCATCTCATCCTGTGAAACCCAAGCTACTGCAACATTGTGCAATTTTTAGAGATTAGTCCCTACCATACTACATCCTGCCCTGGGACCCAATAGTCCCTCCATCTCCACATACCTGGATCCCTGCTGACATTCCCCTACATTCACCTGGAGGGCTTCAGTGTTGTGATGCCAGCTGGATGCAGCTGTGTGGCTGGATCCCCAGTACTCTAGACCACTCAGTGTCCTATACCCCAGGGAACAGGGGTCCAGCAAACCAGGCAGAGTGGCCACAAAGCAAAGGGCCCTAAAGCATGCACTCCTCAGAGCCTTGGAGCCTCCTGCCTGCGGCCACTGCCACTGACAGCAAACCTGCCCTCTCTAGCAATGGGGCTGCCATGCACCTCTGTATGACTTGAGAAGCCCTGAGGACCAGCCTATGTGTACCATCCAAGGAGCTGAAAGGTGGATCCGCCATGCCTACTGCTGACACTGGCATTCATAAATCCTCTCCAGGAGCCTGGAGAGTAGCCAGCCTTCCCAGCAACTGCCAGCACCCATATGCACCATCTAGCAGCCTGAGGATTGGCCTGCTCCACATGCCATTGCCAGCACTCACAAGTCTCCCTGGGGGCCCGAGAACTGGCCCACTGAGGCCCCATATCACTACTATGTGATATGCAGTGCCTGCATATGCTGCTGATGGGTCTGAAGACTGGCATGTCTATGGCCGCTATCACCAGTGCCCATGCATGCCACTCAGAGGCCCAAGGACAAGCCCTCCAGGTGTCCCTATCCCCAGCAAACCTTTGCCAGAGCCTCCACTAACAACCACAGCCTAAGCCACTGAGAAACCTGCAGGCACTACTAATGTTGATTACAGCCAAAGAAATAATATGGAGACTACCTGACTGTTTCTCACCCAGAATCAAAGCCAAAGCACCCTACCCAACCAATTCTATAGATACATCCACAAGAAAGTCTTTTTCAACAAAAGTCAATACATAAAAGTGTAAGAAGCAACTGATATACCAAATACATAGATATCAACATAAAGACACAAGAAACATGAAAAAGCAGAGAAACATGATATCTCCAAAGGAACACAATAATTCTCAAGTAATGGATGCCAAAGAAAATAAAATTACAAAATGCCTGAAAAAGAATTCTAAGCATGATCTTAAGGAAACTCAGCAAGATACAAAAGAACACAGGAAATACAAAAATCTGCATAAAAAATTGAACCAAGAGATAGATATCATTAAAAAAGAGCCAAACATAAATCCTAGAACTAAAAAAGACAGTGAATGAAGTAAAAAATACAACCAATGGCTTCAACAATAGATTAGATCAGGCAGAAGAATTTTTGGGCTTGAAGACAGATCTTTTGAAATAACCCAATCAGACAAAAAAAAAAAAGAATTTAAAAAGTCACCATGATATATAGGACACTATAAAGTGAACAAGTATTCAAATTTTCGTAATACCAGAAGAAGAAGAGATGGGAAAAAACACTGAGGTACTCACAGACAGTGCTAACATGCCAAAGAAATCATATGGAGACTACATTACTGTGCCCACCCAGTATCAAACCCAAAGCACCTTACCCGATCAACTCTATAGATACATCTACAAGAAAAAGTCTTTCCCAACAAAAGCCATTCCATAAAATTGAAAGATGCAAATGATACACCAATTATGCAGATAACAACCTAAGGACACATGAAAAAGTAAGGAAACATGACACTCCATGTTTCCCTACTTAATGAAATCATAGCTGAAAAATTCCCAAGTTTTGTAAGAGATATAAACATCTGGCTATAGGAGGTCAAAACTCCCAAAATTTCCATCCAAAAAGGTCTTTTCTTAGGCACATTATAGTCAAACCATCAAAGTCAAAGACAGAGAATTCAAAACAGCAAGAGAAAAGTATCAAGTCAGATCCAAGGAAATCCTCAGCAAACTAACAGAAAATTTATCATCAGAAACCCTACATGCCAGGAGAGAATGACATAATCAAAGTGCTGAAGGAAAAAGTTGCCAAACAAGAATACTATGCCTAGTAAAGTTATCCTTCAGAGATTATAGAGAAATAAAGTTTTTCATTATTTCTCAGATAAGCAAAATCTGAGGGAATTCATCACCATTAGGGGACCCTACAAGAAAAACTTAAGGGAGTTTTACATATAGAAGCAAAAGCACAACTACTATCATGAAAACGTATTAAAGTTTAAAACTCACTGGTAGATCAGATACACAAATAAGAAAGAGAAGGGATTCAAATGTTATCTCTATAGAAAACCACAAAATCATAAAGAGGAAGAAGGTGTAGGTAAAACAATCAGAAAACAATTAACAAATGACAGAAATCAGTTCTCACCTTTCAGTAGAATCTTCAAATGTAAATGGCTTCAGTTCCAAATTAAAAGATATAGAACTGACTGAATTTTTTTTTTTTTTTTTTTCAGATGGAGTCTCGCTCTGTCACCCAGGCTGGAGTGCAGTGGTGCAATCTCGGCTCACTGCAAGCTCCGCCTCCCGGGTTCATGCCATTCTCCTGTCTCAGCCTCCCTAGCAGCTTGGACTACAGGCGCCTGCCACCACGCCTGGCTAATTTTTTGTATTTTTAGTAGAGAAGGGGTTTCACCATGTTAGCCAGGATGGTCTTGATCTGCTGACCTCGTGATCTGCCCGCCTCGGCATCCCAAAGTGCTGGGATTACAGGCGTGAGCCACCACGCCCAGCTGAAAAAATTTTTTTAAAAATTATATGCTGCCTGGAAGAAACTCAGTTCACTTGTAGACACATAGACTGAAAGAGAAGGGATAATAAAAAAAATTATACAAATGGAAAACAAAAGCATGCAGAGGTGGGTATACTTGTATCAGGCAAAATAGACTTAAAGAACATAGAAAAAGACAAAGAAAGTTATTATGTAATGATAAAGGGATCAAGTAAGCAAAAAGACATAAGAATTGTAAATATATATGTAACCAACACTTGAACACCCTGTAAAGCAAACATTATTTGATCTACAAAGAGAGATACATCCCAATACAATAATAGTTGGAGGAATCAACATCTTACATTCAGCATTAGACAGATCATCTACACATAAGATTAACACAGAAACATCAGACTTAATCTGCACTATAGAGCAAGTGGACCTAACAGGCACTTATGGAGCACTTCATCCAACAGGTGCAGAATACATATTCTTCTTAACATCACATAGAATATTCTCCAGTATAGAAAATATATTAGGTCACAAAAAAAGTGTCAACAAATTTTTTAAAACCAAAATTATATCAGGTATCTTATCAAAACACAACTGAATAAAACTAGAAATTAATTAGAACCTTGAAAATAATGTGGAGGTGGCTGGCAAGATGGACAAATAGGAACAGCTCTGGTCTGCAGCTCCCAGCGAGACCAACATAGAAGGTGAGTGATTTCTGCATTTCCAGATGAGGTACCTGGCTCATCTCATTGGGACTGATTAGACAGTGGGTGCAGCCCATGGAGGGCGAGCCAAAGTAGGGTGAGGCGTTACCTCACCCGGGAAGCGCAAGGGGTCAAGGAACTCCCTCCCCAGCCAAGGAAAGCCACGAGGGACTGTGCCATGAGGAAGAGTGCACTCCAGCCCAGATACTATGCTTTTCCCACAGTATTCGCAACCCATAGACCAGGAGATTCCCTCGGGTGCCTATGCCAACAGGGCCCTGGGTTTCAAGCACAAAACTGGGAGACAACTCTGACAAAAACAAGCAATGGGGAAAGGATTCCCTATTTAATAAATGGTGTTGGGAAAACTGGCTAGCCATATGGAGAAAACTGAAATGATCCCTTCCTTATACCTTATACAAAAATAAACTCAAGATGGATTAAAGACTTAAATATAAGACCTAAATCCATAAAAACCCTAGAAGAAAACCTAGGCAATACCATTCAGGATATAGGCATGGGCAAAGACTTCATGACTAAAACACCAAAAGCAATGGCAACAAAAACAAAAACTGACAAATGGGATCTACTTAAACTAAAGAGCTTCTGCACACACACAAAAAAAACTATCAGCAGAGTGAACAGGCAACCTACAGAATGGGAGAAAATTTTTGCAAATCTATCCATCTGACAAAGGGCTAATATCCAGAATATAGAAGGAACTTAAACAAATTTACAAGAAAAAAATAAACAAACCCATCAAAAAGTGGGTGAAGTATATAAACAGACACTTCTCAAAAGAAGACATCTATGCGGCCAACAAATATATGAAAAAAAGCTCATCATCACTAGTCGTTAGAGAAATGCAAATCAAAACCAAAATGAGATACCATCTCATGTCAGTTAGAATGATGATCATTAAAATGTCAGGAAACAACAGATGCTGGAGAGGATGTGGAGAAACAGGAATGCTATTACACTGTTGGTGGGAGTGTAAATTAGTTCAACCATTGTGGAAGACAGTGTGGTAATTCCTCAAGGATATAGAACCAGAAATACCACTTGTCCCAGCAATCCCATTACTGGGTATATACCCAAAGAATTGTAAATCATTCTACTATAAAGACACATGCACACGTATGTTTATTACAACATTATTCACAATAGCAAAGACTTGGAACCAACCCAAATGCCCATCAATGATAGATTGGATAAAGTAAATGTGGCACATATACACCATGGAATACTATGCAGCCATAAAAATGGTGAGTTCATGTCCTTTGCAGGGACATGGATGAAGCTGGAAACCATCATTCTCAGCAAACTAACACAGGAACAGAAAACGAACCCCTGCATGTTCTCACTCATAAGTGGGAGCTGAACAATGAGAACACATGGACACAGGGAGGAGAACATCACACACTGGGGCCTGTCAGGGCGTGGGGGCTAGGGGAGGGATAGCATTAGGACAAATACCTAATGTAGATGAAGGGTGATGGGTGCAGCAAACCACCATGGCATGTGTATACCTCTGTAACAAACCTGCATGTTCTGCAGATGTATCCCAGAACTTAAAGTATAATAAAAAAGAAAGAAAATAATGCAAACAAATGGAAATTAAATGACATGCTCAAAATGGCCACTGAGTCAATAAAAAAATTAAGTAGGTAATGTGGCTTGAATATTTGTCCCCTTCAAATATCATGTTGAAATGTTATTCCCAATGTTGAAAATGGGGCCTGGTGGGAGGTGATTGGATCATGGGGACAGATACCTCAAGAATGGTTTAGCACTATCCCCTTGGTGTTAAGTCAGTTCTCAGTTAGTTCACATAGGATTTGATTGTTTAAAAGACTCTAAGACATCCACCTTCTCTCTCTTGCTCCTGCTCTCGTCATATGACATGCTGCTTTTGCTTTGCCTTCTACCATGAATAAGAGCTCCCTGAGGTCTCACCAGAAGCCAAAGGGATGTCATCACCATGCTTCCTTTGCAGCCTGCAGAACTGTGAGCCAATTAAACTTATTTTCTTCATAAATTACCCATCCTTGGGTATTTATAGCAATGTAAGAATGGCCTAACACAGAAGGATAACCCAAAAACTTCTCAAAACGAATGGAAATGTAAACAACATACCAAAACCTATGGCATACCACAAAAGCAGTGCTAAAAGGAAAACTTACAGCAATAAGCACCTACCTGGCATAAAGTAGAAAGATTTATAATAAGCAATGTAAAAATGTACCTCAAGAAACTAGAAAAGCAAGAACAAATCAAACCCAAAATTAATGTAAGAAAAAACATAATAAGTATCAGAGAAGAAGTAAATAATATAGTCTTTAAAAATACAAAGAATCAACAAAATGATAACTTGGTTTTTTGAAAGATAAACAATATCAATGAACCACTAGTTAGGCTAACCAGGAAAAAAAGAAAGAATATCAAAATAAATAAAATGACCAATGAAAAAGGAAACATTACATCACATAGCACAAAAATATTTTATGGTTAAGGCTTTAGAAGCATAGGCAACAAAAGCAAAAATTACAAATGAGATTACATCAAGCTAAAAAGCTTCTACACATCAAAGGAAACAATTATCAGAGTAAAGAGACAACCTGTAAAATGGGATAAAATATTTGCAAATATCTAGAATATACAAGGAACTGAACTCAAATGCAAAAAAAAAACAACTAATAATCCCATTAAAAACTGGTCACAGGATCTAAATAGAAACTTTTCAAAAGAAGATATACAAATGTCCAACAAATATATGAAAAAATGTTCAATATCACTGATAATCAGGGAAATGCAAATCAAAATCTCAATGCAATATCATCTCACCCCAGTTAGAATGACGTGATGGTTAATACTGAATGTCAATTTGATTGGATTGAAGGATACAAAGTTTTAATCCTGGGTGTGTCTTCGTGGGTGTGGCCAAAGGAGATTAACATTTGAGTCAGTGGGCTGGGAAAGGCAGACCACCCTTAATCTGGGTGGGCACAATCTAATCAGCTGCCAGCTCAGCTAGAATATAAGCAGGCAGAAAAATGTGAAAAGCGAGACTGGCCTAGCCTCCCAGCCTATATCTTTCTACCGTGCTGGATGCTTCCTGCCCTCAAACATTTGACTCTAAATTCTTCAGCTTTGGAACACGGACTGGCTTTCCTTGCTCCTCAGCCTGCAGATGGCCTATTGTGAGACTTTATGATTGTGTGAGTTAATACTTAATAAACTCCCATATATATACACGGAATATATATACACGGAATATATACACGGAATATATATACACGGAATATATACACGGAATATATATACACGGAATATATATACACGGAATATATATACACGGAATACATATACACGGAATATATACACGGAATACATATACACGGAATATATACACGGAATAAATATACACGGAATATATACACGGAATACATATACACGGAATATATACACGGAATAAATATACACGGAATATATACACGGAATACATATACACGGAATATATATACACGGAATACATATACGGAATATATATACACGGAATACATATACGGAATATATATATGCGGAATACATATACGGAATATATATATACGGAATATATATATACGGAATATATATACGGAATATATATACAGAATATATATACATGGAATATATATATACGGAATATATATACACGGAATATATATACACGGAATATATATGCACGGAATATATACACGGAATATATATACACGGAATATATATACACGGAATATATACACGGAATATATATACACGGAATATATACACGGAATATATATACACGGAATATATATACGGAATATACATACACAGAATATATATACGGAATATACATACACGGAATATACATACACGGAATATACATACACGGAATATATATACACGGAATATATACACGGAATATATATACGGAATATATACACACGGAATATATACATACGGAATATATACATACGGAATATATACATACGGAATATATACATACGGAATATATACATATGGAATATATATATGGAATATATATGGAATATATACATATGGAATATATATGGAATATATATGGAATATATATGTATATGGAATATGTATATGGAATATATATGTATATGGAATATATATGGAATATGTATATGGAATATATATGGAATATGTATATGGAATATATATGGAATATATATGGAATATATATGTATATGGAATATATATGGAATATATATATGGAATATATATGTATATGGAATATATATGGAATATATATATGGAATATATATGTATATGGAATATATATGGAATATATATATGGAATATATATGTATATGGAATATATATATGGAATATATATGTATATGGAATATATATATGGTGGAATATATATATATAGCCAATAGCCACTAGTTCTGTCCCTCTAGAGAACTCTGACAAATACAAATGGCTATTAGCTAAAAGACAAAAAATAAATGCTGAGAAGGATGCATAGAAAAGGGAACGCTTAGACACTTTTGATAGGAATGTAAATTATTATAGACACTATGGAAAACAGGTGGCAGTTTCTCAAAATACTAAAAATAGAACTACCATACAATCTAGCAACCTAACTACTAGACATTTACTCAAAGGAAATGAAATTAGTATATCAAAGGGATATCTGCACCCCCATGTTTATTACAGTACTGGTCACAATAGCTATGCTATAGGATCAACCTAAATATCCATCAAAAGATGAACAGATAAAGAAAATAAGCTATATATTTACAATGAAATACTAGCCATAAAAAAGAATAAACTACTGTAATTCAAAGCAACATGGATGAGCCTTGAGGGACATTACGTTACAGGAAATAAGTCAGAAACAGAAATATAAATACTGCATTTTCTCACTCATATGTGGGAATGTAAAAAATAACCTATGGAAGTAGAGCACGGAATTGTGGGTATTAGGGGCAGGCAAGGATGGTGGGGAGCAGAAGATGAGATGAGGTTGGTTAATAGATAGAAAATTACAGCTAGACAGAAGGAATGAGTTATCATGTCCTGCAGCACTGTAGGTTGAATATGGTTAACCATAATTTATAATATATTTTCAAATGCTAGAAGAAAGGAATTGGAATGTTCACAACAAAAAGAAATTATATATTTTTGAGGTGATGGATATGCTAATTAACCTGATTTGATGATCACACATTGGACACATGTATTGAAATGTTACTCTCTATCCCAAAAATATATACAGTTATTACATGTCAACTAAAAATAAAAGGAAAAAAAAGCAAGAGTCCATTTGATGAATCTGAAGAAAATGGTAACTTGGTGTGGCCAAAGCTCTCTAGGTAAGGCCACCTATAAACGACTGGCAGAGGAGATGACAAATTTGTTAGTAGATTGGCTATTTGTTTTTTGAAAGCTTGCAAACAAATCGTACACAGTTGATTTAAGATGTCTAATTTTGGGAGTAGTATTTTAGTAATTAAACTGTGTGGAGATAGAGGAGCCTACAGGATGAACAAGCAAACCCCAAATAAGTAAATCTTGTTCTCACTTCCATCTAATGGACCCAAGCATTATGATTGGAATGGGAACAACTGGGTCTATTCCCACAACAACGGTGTACCTCTCCACAAACTGCTATCCCAGAGCTGACTAAAAATTCAAATTGGACGTATTTTCATTTGCCTATTCCAAAAAAGGCACTTTATGGTCAGCACATTTTTAGAGACATTAAAAGCTAAAGAGCCAAGACTGAAGCTTCATCCTGTTTCTGACTTACTGTCTGTTCTTTTCCAATCTGTTTTAGATGACAGTTACATTGTGTGTAACAGCACTGTGGGGAAAAAGTGTTGCCTCCCACCGCATCTCCATGTTCTGATTTTTAATTTCTTTGAAATTTTTTCTGGGTTTTATCCTTCTGATGATATACTTTTTCATTGAGAATGTTTACATACTTATACCTTAACATAATAACTTTACAACAACTAAGAACTAAATTTAAGATTAAATTTATAATCCAAATTTAAAAATGAAATTTAATTTCACTCACCTTAAAATAATGACTATCCTTTATTTTGCCCTCACTGTACTAAGCTTATGTCTAAGTCAGTTTGCGCTGCTATAATAAATGCTATGGACTCGGTGGCTTAAACAACAAACATTTAATTTTCACAGTTCTGGAGGCCAGGAAATTCAAGATTGAAGTGCCATCTGATTCAGTTCCTAGTGAGGGCTCTCCTCCTGGTTTGTAGATGGCCATTTTCTTTGCTTTATCTTCACATGGTACAAAGAGAAATATCATCTCTCTCCTGTCTCTTCTTATAAAGACACAAATTCTGTTCATGAAGTCTCTGCCCTCATTACCTAATTACTTCTCAAAGGACCTATCCCCAAATACTATCACACTGGAAACTGGGCACCAATATACGAATTTTTTTTTTTTTTCAAGACAGTCTTGCTGTGTTACCCAGGCTGGAGTGCAATGGCACGATCTCAGCTCAGTGCAACTTCTACCTCCTGGTGTTAAGCGATTCTCCTGCCTCAGCCTTCTGAGTAGCTTGGATTACAGGCGCCCGCTACCACGCCTGGCTAATTTTTGTATTTTTTAGTAGAGACGGGGTTTCATCATGTTGGCCAGGCTCGGTCTTGAACTCCTGACCTCAAGTGATCCACCTGCCTCGGCCTCCCAAAGTGTTGGGATTACAGGCATGAGCCAGAGCGCCTGGCCCCAATATATGAATTTTTAGTGAACGCAGGCATTTAGTCCACAGCTGCCTGTTTTACCATAATTGACTCATTTTCATCTTTACTGACCTGAATTTTACATATGGAGAAACCAAATCTTAGGAACATTAAAACAACTCACCCACAAGTTGTGCTCATCTTCTGTTTGTATTAGATTTATTAGTGAAAAGTCCATGTGAATATGTAGCAAAAGCTTTTGCAGAGGGTAAACAAACACCACATTCCATTATAGAAAAAAAAACAAAAACTTTTAACAACAACAAAAAAATGAGAAATTCAGAATAGGAATTTACAATATTTCCCTTTAAGAAATAAAGGACATTTGAGTCCAATGAAAATTTTAAATTATGATAGTTCAGTGCCACAGAAGAAATAAATAAATCATGCTTATTTGAAAGAAAAAGAATATAGAAGGCCTACAAAAAGTCTTTTTTGAAAATGGGTAAAATGCATAATCATCTATTTTGAAGAAGAAAAAACACATGCTCAACAAACATAGAAACAGGTGTGCAACCTTAATAGAAGTCAGGGAAATGCAAATAGAAGCCACAATGTGATACCCATTAAAATAGTATTGAGAAATATGAACAATAATTAAGTTTCAAAAAAAAAGATGTGGTGTAACAGTCTTTATACAACTATTGAAATATAAATTAATACAAATTTTTTGGAAAGTAGTTTGATCTTCTTTGTAAAACTCAATATTCGCATATTCTGTGATTCAGTCATTCCAGTTTTAGATATATATCCAAAATAAAATTGCATGTATATATTCCAGGAGACATAGAGAAGAATGTTCAATGCAACACCATTTGTAAGAGAAAAATCTAGAAATAACCAAAGTGCCTATCAATAGAAGATTAGATAAGTAAATTATAATATATTCACACCCTGGAATACTATGCAACAGTAAAAAATACTAACTCTGCATGTACAATATGAATAAATCTTAAAAATTTTTACATAGTACCATATTTTCTGATTTTTTGGAATAATAAATATGAAATTTAAAGTTATTTAATATTTTGGACATCTGGTGTTTGTATGTATTTGCTCTTTTACTTGACAAAAACAGAAAACGACATGTAATATTTGGTTATTACACATTTGCCCGGCTGGTAAACGTAGGATGTAGCAAAACATAGACTTCTTAGGGAAGCAAAAGATACCAAAGTAATACAACCGCCATAAAATAAACCACATCCTTCACTTGAGGAGTAAGTCTCCATCAGAAAATAAGTATTTTTTAGAAGACTAATGCCTTGTTCTGTCTGCAGTCTACTAAATTTTATGTTCCCATAAGGGTGCTATTTTAGCAAATAATTGTGAATCAAATTAGCACGTCATGGCTTTTATGAAAAAAATCTGGTCAACAGAATTATAAATCCCTAAGTAAGATCATCAGAATATTTTTCCATTTCAATTATCTTTTTACTTTTAATGCATTGTAAATGTGAATAGAGAAAATTAAAATATCCTTTCTTGAACTAAAAATGTCCTATCATAGTGGTTCTCAAACTTTAGTGTGCATCAGAACCACCTGTTAAAAAAGCAAATTACACAACCCCAAACCCAGAGTTTCTGATTCAGGAGGTCTGGTATGGAGTCTACAAATTTGCATTTCTAACAAATTTCCAGGCAATGCTGATGCTGTTGGTCTAAAGACCACAGTTTAAGAATCAATGCCCATCAGTTTTTGCATTCCCATACCACCATGGAGAGGACATGTTTGACTGAAAGTCTTGTAACCAGGGTTCTGCTCGCTGGCTGTGCTCAGGTGATCATGTCCACAGTTTCATCATCTATATAAACAAGGGGTTGAGTCCAATTGTCTCTAAGCTCGTTTCAATTCTAAAATTTTACGAGCCATTTCTCTTTCAAGATTCAGTCCCAAAGTCCGTGAATTTGCTTATCTCTTGATATTAGTTGACATATCATTTGCCAATACAAGTTCATAGAAATTTCATCAACATCTAATAGACTTGTGAAAATCAATATCCAGGAGAAAATGTTATATCAAAAATGTCTTTATTGTTTTTCTATAAATTCTTGATCAAAAGAAGTGTTACATATTTGCAAAAATATACTTCAGGTACTTATCAAAGTCCAATTGCAAAATTTTAGGGAGCTAGTCAATGCATTATTTATGATGTCAGAGTTCACCCTGTCTAAAAATGTGTTAAGTAACTTTACCTTGATTCTGACAGAAATTATCAACATGGAATTTCCTCCTAGATATTGACACGAGTAATAATGAACCCAGGTTCAAGAAGTTTTCTAGACCTCAGAGATGAGCAGCTGACTTGCAAAGGCAAGATAAGGTGCTATTTAGCTCTTCTAATGAACACAAGAGTGTATATAACCTGAAGACTGCAATCTAGGGTCACCTTTTGTATCCTGACTCCTCCCCACTCTCCACTCACCACACGCCATCCCCCCCGCCCCCCACACCTCATTTGTGTCCATTAGTATAAATGAATCTGAAGGCATGGGTGTCTTCCATGTGGGATAAAGTCACTCTGGAGAAAAGAAAATGTACAATTAAACTAATACACATAGGATGTTTTTGCAAACAGTTTATAGTCTCTAGTAAATACGCTCCCTAAGAGTCTATTAACATCTTTATATTTATAGACATTATCAAGAGAAGATAAATTGTTGGGCCTCCACAGAGATGTGATAAATGGTAGCATAGGCAACGATGAGAATGCAAGCCAGAATTTTGCTATTTATTTCAGGCTTTACTGCTTAGAAGTTCCAGCCTGCAATATTATTAATATCCTTTGGTGATTAAAAGGGTCTCCAGGGGACTAAAGATGATTTGAAGCAAGAGAGTTCAGAATACTGATTCTTCTTTAACCATATTTCTTGTTCCCTCCTTATTTTTGGTAATAGGTTTGATAAACTCATAGCAGAATGTTAACATGAAACATTGTCTATGATTCTGATGCTTCTTATAGATACAATTCCAAAATAACTAGGATAGAAAATATTTTGTCCAATTGGTGGTAATTCTATCCACATGAGCAGTGAAAAATAATTTTAAATGAAGAATAGGTTTAATATCTGTATGTATGATTTATAAAGCCTCAAATTATTTTTTCTCCAGATGGGTAGTCTACTGATTATTGTTTATATTTGCTTTCCATTTTAGACCTGATTTAACTCAGCACCCTAGAAAAAGGAAAAACATTTTTCTGGCTTCTGGCATTATCCATGAAATTAAGAAGTTGGAAATGTATTTCCCCGTGCATTTTATCCAAGATCAGTTTAGATCAGAGGGGTGTGTGCTCGAGTATACGTGTGTTTGTGTGTGAGTGTATGTGTGTGTGTCTTTGCAGAGGGGTATGTGTGAGCATGTGTGTGTGTGTGTGTGTGTGTGTGTGTGTGTGTGTGTGTATGTGTGTCTTTGCAGGAGGACTGACCTTCCCCTGATGTAGATCAAACCACCACTGAGGAAGCATCTGTAGCCTTCTGTAGCTCATGAAGGATACCAGCTACTGTTGATCAGTAATGAATATGACTCAAAAGGAATTTAGTGTATATGGCAAGTGTCACACTAACGACCATGAAAACAAAATTATTTCATGTCTATTATGCAAACAGAGTGTCCTATCTTACCCAAATAAGTATGAGGAAGAGAAGAAAATCTGCAAAAATGAAGGTTCCAATGATCACTTGTTTCCAATAATGTGTTTTATATTTGTTATATTCATTGATCATGTACTTGAATGGGACACACATGAATTTTATCAACTGGCATGCACTACTGAGCTTGTAAACCTGCACTGCAGTATTAGGTAATTTTATCACAGGTCCCTGATGCACATGCAGAAATACATGGAAATCTAGGTACAAGATTAAGTTGGGCAATACCCTATAGAAAATAATTAAAAGCTTGAGCAAGATTTTATTTACTTTTTAAATTTTTAATTTCTAATTTTTATGGATATTTAACAGTTGAACATATTTACAGGGTACATCTGATATTTTGATATAAGCATACAATGGGGAATGATCAAATTAGCATAATTGGGTTATTCATCATCTCAAGCATTTATCATTACTTTGTTGAGCAAGGTTTTAAAAGAGGTAGTCTTGCCAGTGCAAACACAGACCTACCACATACACATGCATCTGTGGATACTGATTACTTGTACTCAGTACTTTTAAAATATCAATTTCTTGGGTCTGTACTTAGGAACACTTGCCATGGCCTGAAGAAAACACCAACAAGAAAAATCTCTCTCCTGTAGAACTATGGTGCAGTTAATTTCCACTCATATTTTGTGAGGTAAGCTGTACAGATATCATTTGCCAAGTCTTATGGTTGTTTAAGAATTTGAGTTTCAAAGATTTACATAACTTGCTCAAGGTAATGAAACAGGTGTTAAGACCCAAAAAGCAGTTTTCTGACTCTAATTCCACATTCATTTTTCAGTCTACCTATCAGAACTCTGACATACATCCCATCAATTTATAGCACTCTTTTCCACTTATATCATCATCATCAATCAGAGTGCCCTAGCACTTTCTTCACTGACATCATTGTGACTTGTGAGAAGACTCCATACAAGAGTTTTTCTATTATTTGCCTTTGGTTTACTTTCTATCACCACCACTAATTACATAAAGATATGTTCTTTTAATTTACAAAACTTGATTCACAAGATTTTCTCACTTAATTATCCAGAAAGATAATTTTTACTTTGTGTATGGCATTCCAGCTTTACAAAAAACTTAAATTTAATTTTTATTAGATTATGAGTAAATATCATGAAACTGGCTATATATAACTGAATTACTTATAATTACTTACTATCACAGTTTGTAAAGCTTTCAACATTTCCTTCAAAGCACTCCTTAACAGTCATGTCTTTCTCATTTTGTAAAATCCTTCTTTTGGTTCTAACGTCTGGAATTCCAACCCTTTTTATTATCCTATACATGCACTGCAAAGTGCTGATGTGTTATATGAGAGCTATCTAAAATCTCAGGCTCTTACAATATTAGCAAATTTGGGTTTGGACCCTAGATCACCACCATCTGGATCTGAAATATTGTTTAAGCGCTTGCTTTAAAGCAATTTTAAATCATTAATTTTAAAAATAGTTAATAAACTTCCATTTTTTTCACATACATGTTTGAATCACTCTTAATTTACATACCTGTTTTGAACACAAGATGATAATGTTTGTTTTCGTGACCACTGGGCTGCCATTTTGATATAGAACCATATACTACTAGGGTGAAGAGCATTTCAAAATTACTACTCCATTTTTGCACTTTATGATGAGTCATTAAAGCCAGATGATAATTTCATTTAAAATGGATTCCAGAAAACTGCCATTCAAATTCCACTTCAGTCAAAGCTACACTGTTAGTAGTTGAACAGAAGAGATTAAAAAAAAAAAGAAGAAGAAAAGAAATAGAAACATCTCACTTTACAGATTTCACTTTGGAAAAGTAGAACACCTCACTCAACTCTTTCTATACCCAGGGACTAGCACTTCCTGCTGAGTCACTTCTCCTCCATCTATGGAAACACAAGCAGCACCACAGGCATTTGTCAATCAAGAGCTAATCTGATCTGACATGGCTCAGCCATTGAGACCTGAGATTCTCTAAAGGGGAAGAAAGGTGACAGTTGTGAATAAATATAGAATCATTTCAGGCATGTAAGCCTTCTCAGGAGCCTCATCTTTCATGGTGAATGGGCAGCACTGATGTCATTACTTTTTAATTACTCCCTGGGTAGACAGGTGTCACCTGTCAGCCTGGAATATCTCTGGAGATTACACACTTCATGGGCTCTCTCCTGACAGTCTCATCTTGCAGAAGTATTCTTGTACTTTAATAGATTCTTAATATTTCAACTACATTCTCTTTACTTCACCTTAAACTAATTACTTATTTCTATTTAGTACTTGTGCTGTTAAACTCATTCCCTATGTGCTTGCCTTCTGTCACTCCCTTCTCTGTAAAGGTTTTTCATTTCAGATTGCCATCTGCGTGTGTGATTTTTACAATGGCCCATATACTCGCTGATAACATGCTGGTTATAGATTATTCAGACCTATATAAGACTCAGAGTTAACATAATCTATGAAAATTATGATTTAGAAAAGATAAAATTTTCCTGTCCATAATATGAAGGAAATATTACAAGTAATAGATAATATCTGCACTCAGTTTCATACTGAAGTTTGGGGACAGAAATCCAAGAAATCAGCAATGAACCAATGTTATAATGACCAGCATTGAATAATATCTCAATTATTTCTTTTTTCAAAGTCTAACATCCTAAGTTTCAAGTGTCAATTGGATTCCATTTAATGGGGACATACAAAGGACACATATTTATATTCACTATTTTCTTCTGATTATGTAAATGTTACTAAAAACATAATCATACAACCAAAAGGGAAGAGAAAAGCACCACTAAATAACTGATATCAATGATACCTATACAACACAGTGGAAGAGGCCACCACATAGAATGTTCTTGGAAGGGGCTTCAGACTAAAAGGAAACAATCTGTTTGGCAGAATTCTGAAGAGGGTTCAATAAGAGAAGCAAGTATTATGATTGTTAGAAATAAGTGTGCTTGAAGATGAAGGTATTATTGTCTTAAATCTATATACATAAAAATCATAGAAATCCCTCCCCATAGATATGACTACTTCTCCAAAGAAATGCACAATGTGTTTACCATCTAGAGCCTTACTACCTAACCAATTTTTTAAAAAGCCAAAAAGCAGCTTCTTCTCAGTTAACACTAAATAGACTATCTGAAGATAGTTACAGAAATGTGACTGTTATTAACCAAGAGCAAAACCTTCCTCTTTCTAAGTACCCAATCAGTCAACATCTGATTTGTTCTCCAATATGATTGGAAAATTATTAATTACCAGATATTAGAGGAGAGCCTGTAGTTAAAAAAAAGAAATGCCATGATAGACACAAAACATCTGGCTTCAGAGGAAGCAGAAATGTTTCAAGGAACAGAAAATAATTTTAAATATATTTAATTATTACCCTCAGAAAGATTCAAGGAAATATTGTATCTATAAAAATACCAAGATTTTTTTAAAAGAAACACCTTAGAAAAATAAGGAATTTTTCAAAATATAATACATGGTAATAAAATTAAAAATGCATCAACAGGCCAGGCATGGTGGCTCACGCCTGTAATCCCAGCACTTTGGGAGGCCGAGGTGGGTGGATCATGAGGTCAGGAGTTTGAGACCAGCCTAGCTAACATGGTGAAACTCCGTCTCTACTAAAAAAATACAAAAAAAAAATTAGCCAGGCGTGGTGGCGGGCGCCTGTAGTCCTAGCTACTTGGGAGGCTCAGGGAGGAGAATGGTGTGAACCTGGGAGGAGGAGCTTGCAGTGAGCTGAGATCATGCCACTGCATTCCAGCCTGGACGACAGAGCAAGACTCTGTCTCAAAAAAAAAAATGTATCAATAGAAGTATGGAAAGTAAACTCAAGGAAATATGGTAGAACAAAAGACAAAAAGAATAAGAAAGAAAATGCAATATACAAGGTAAACATTTTGTTTTCAATCTAGGAGATGCAATTTTATATTATGTAATTTCTCCAGAAAGGGTTAAAAACAAAACTGACTGGATAAAACTGGGAAATATATGCTTTTTAAGAGTTAAATTGAATCACCACATCTTCAAGGTAGTTAAAGCAATTATTCAAACTTTCTACATCTTTACTGATTTTTCCTTGTTCTATCAATGACTAAGAACATTAGAATCTCCTGCTATGATTATTGATTAGTCTATTTCTCCTTGTAGGTGTGTAATTCTAGACTAATTAATTTGGTATATGCAAACATATTTTTATATCTTCTTAAAGAAATAAAACGTTGTATAAAGAATCAACTTTTTAGGAGCCCAGATAGCCAAAGCAATCCTAAGCAAAAAGAAAAATTTATAGGCATCACATTTTCCAACTTCAACTTATGCTAACAAGGCTATTGTAACCAAAACAGCATGGTACTAGTATAAAAGTAGATAAATCGCCCAATGGAACAGAATAGAGAACCCAGAAACAGGCCAAATAATTAAAACCAATTGATCTTTGAAAAAGCATGCAAAAACATAAACTTGGGAAATGATACCCTATTCAATAACGGTGGGTAATAACAAACTCCTCTGAGCAAAGGAGCATGTTCTAACCCAAATCAAGGAGGCTAAGAACCTTGAAAAGAGGTTATAGGTATTGCTAACTAGAATAACCAGTTTAGAGGAGAACATAAATGACCTGATGGAGCTGAAAAACACAGCACGAGAACTTCGTGAAGCATACACAAGTATCAATAGCCGAATTGATCAAGCAGAAGAAAGGATATCAGAGATTGAAGATAAACTTAATGAAATAAAGCAAGAAGACAAGATTAGAGAAAAAACAATAAAAAGGAATGAACAAAGCCTCCCAGAAATATGGGACTATGTGGAAAGGCCAAACCTACATTTGATTGGTGTACCTGAAAGTGACGGGGAGAATGGAACCAAGTTGGAAAACACTTTTCAGGATATTATCCAGGAGAACTTCCCCAACCTAGCAAGACAGGCCAATGTTCAAATTCAGGAAATACAGAGATCACCACAAAGTGTCCCTCGAGAAGAGCAACCCCAAGACACATAATCATTAGATTCACCAAGGTTGAAATGAGGAAAATTGTTAAGGGCAGCCAGACAGAAAGGTCAAGTTACCCACGAAGGGAAGCCCATCAGACTAATAACGGATCTCTCAGCAGAAACCCTACAAGCCAGAAGAGAGTGGGGGCCAATATTCAATATTTTTTTTTTGAGACATAATCTCACTCTGTCGCCCAGGCTGGAGTGCAGTGGCACGATCTTGGCTCACTGCAAGCTCCACCTCCTGGGTTCATGCCATTCTCCCATCTCAGCCTCCCGAGTAGCTGAGACTACAGGTGCCCACCACCATGCCCAGCTAATTTTGTTTTTGTATTTTTAGTAGAGACAGGGTTTCACCTTGTTAGCCAGGACAGTCAACATTCTTAAAGAAAATAATTTTCAACCCAGAATTTCACATCCAGCCAAACTAAGCTTCATAAGTGAAGGAGAAATAAAGTCCTTTACAGACCAGCAAATGCTGAGAGATTTTGTCACCACCAGGCCTGCCTTACAAGAGTTCCGGAAGGAAGCACTAAACATGGAAAAGAAAAACCGGTACCAGACACTGCAAAAACATAACAATTTGTAAAGACCATCGACACTATTAAGAAACTGCATCAACTAACAGGCAAAATAACCAGCTAGAATTATAATGACAGGATCAAATTCACACATAAGAACATTAACCTTAAATGTAAATGGGCTAAACGCTCCAATTAAAAGACACAGACTGGCAAATTGAATAAAGAGTCAAGACCCATTGGTGTGCTGTATTCAGGAGATCTATCTCATATGCAAAGACACACATAGGCTCAAAATAAAGGGTTGGCAGAAGAGTTACCAAGCAAATGGAAAGCAAACAAAAAAAAAAGCAGGTGTCGGAAACCTAGTCTCTAATAAAACAGACTTTAAACCAACAAAGATCAAAAGAGACAAAGAAGGGCATTACATAATGGTAAAGGGAAAAATGCAACAAAAAGAGCTAACTATCCTAAATATATAGGTACTCAATACAGGAGCAACCAGATTCATAAAGCAAGTTCTTAGAGACTTACAAACAGACTTAGACTCCCACACAATAATAGTGGGAGGCTTTAACACCCCACTGTCAATATTAGACGGATTAATGAGACAGAAAATTAACAAGGATATCCAGGCCTTGAACTCAGCTCTGGACCAAGCAGATCTAATAGACATCTACAGAACTCTCCACCCCAAATCAACAGAATATACATTCTTTTCAGCAGCACATCACACTTATTCTAAAATTGGCAACATAATTCGAAGTAAAACACTCATCAGCAAATGCAAAAGAATGGAAATCATAACAAACAGTCTCTCAGACCACAGTGCAATCAAATTAGAACTCAGGTTTAAGAAACTCACTCAAAACTGCACAACTCCATGGAAACTAAACAACCTGCTCCTGAATGATTACTGGGTAAGTAACGAAATGAAGGCAGAAATAAAGATGTTCTTTGAAACCAATGAGAACAAAGACACAATGTACCAGAATCTCTAGGACACATTTAAAGCAGTGTACAGAGGGAAATTTGTAGCACTAAATGCCCAATAGAGAAAGTAGGAAAGATCTAAAATCAACACCATAACATCACAATTAAAAGAACTAGAGAAGCAAGAGCAAACAAATTCAAAAGCTAGCACAATACAAGAAATAACTATGATCAGAGCAGAACTAAAGGAGATAGACACACGAAAAACCCTTCAAAAAATCAAGGAATCCAGGAGCTGGTTTTTTGAAAAGATCAACAAAGTAGACTGCTAGCCAGACTAATAAAGAAGAAAAGAGAGAAGAATCAAAAAGACATAATAAAACATGATAAAGGGGATATCACCACCAATCCCACAGGAATACAAACTACCATCAGAGAATACTAAAAACATCTCTACTCAAATAAACTAGAAAAACGTAGAAGAAATAGATAAATTCCTGGACACATACACCCTCCCAAGACTAAACAAGGAAGAAGTCGAATCCCTGAATAGACCAATAACAAGTTCTAAAACTGAGGCAGTAATTAATAGACTACCAACCAAAAAGAGTCCAGGACCAGGCAGATTCACAGTCAAATTCTACCAGAGGTACAAAGAGGAGCTAGTACCATTCCTTCTGAAACTATTCCACATAATAGAAATTGAGGGAATCCTCCCTAACTCATTTTATGAGGCCAGCATCATCCTGATACCAAAACCTAGCACAGACACAACAAATAAAGAAAATTTGAGGCCAATATCCCTGATGAACATTGATGCAAAAATCCTCAATAAAATGCTAGCAAACTGAATCCAGCAGCACATCAAAAAGCTTATCCACCACAACCAAGTCAGCTTCATCCCTGGGATGCAAGGCTGGTTCAACATATGCAAATCAATAAACATAATTCATCACATAAACAGAACCAATGACAAAAACCACATGATTATCTCAATAGATGCAGAAAAGGCCTTTGACATGACAACCCATCATGCTAAAAACTCTTAATAACTAGGTATTGATGGAATGTATCTCAAAATAATAAGAGCTACTCATGACAAACCCACAGCCAATATCATACTGAATGGGCAAAAACTGGAAGGATTCCCTCTGAAAACTGGCAAAAGACAGGGATGCCCTCTCTCACCACTCCTATTCAACATAGTGTTGGAAGTTCTGGCCAGGGCAATCAGGCAGGAGAAAGAAATAAAGGGTACTCAATTAGGAAAAGAGGAAGTCAAATTGTCTCTGTTTGTAGACGACATGACTGAAAAATTAGAAAACCCCATTGTCTAAGCCCAATATCTCCTTAAGCTGATAAGCAACTTCAGCAAAGTCTCAGGATACAAAATCAATATGCAAAAATCACAAGCATACCTATACAGAAATAACAGGTAAACAGAGAGCCAAATCATGAGTGAAGCCCCATTCACATTTGCTTCAAAGGGAATAAAATATCTAGGAATCCAACTTACAAGGACTGTGAAGGACCTCTTCAAGGGGAACTACAAACCACTGCTCAAGGAAATAAGAGAGGACACAAACAAATGGAAGAACATTCCATGCTCGTGGATAGGAAGAATCAATATCGTGAAAATGGCCATACTGCCCAAAGTAATTCATACACTCAATGCTATCCCCATCAAGTTACCAATGACTTTCTTCACAGAATTGGAAAAAGCTACACTGAATTTCATATAGAACCAAAAAAGTGCCCACATAGACAAGAAAATCCTAAGCAAAATGAACAAAGCTGGAGGCGTCATGCTACCTGACTTCAAACTACATTACAAGGCTACAGCAACAAAACCAGCAAAACAGATATATAAACCAATGGAACAGAACAGAGGCCTCAGAAATAACACCACACATCTACAACCATCTGATCTTTGACAAGCCTGACAAAAATAAGCAATGGGGAAAAGATTCCCTATTTAATAAATGGTGCTGGGAAAACTGGCTAGCCATGTGCAGAAAGCTGAAACTGAATCCTTTCCTTATACTTTATATAAAAATTAATTCAAGACGGATTAAAGACTTAAATGGTAGACCAAAAACCATAAAAACTCTAGAAGAAAACCTAGGCAATACTACTGAGGACATAGGCATGGGCAAAGACTTCATGACTAAAACACCAAAAGCAATGGCAACAAAAGCCAAAACTGGCAAATGGGATCTAATTAAACTAAAGAGCTTCTGCACAGCAAAAGAAACTACCATCAGAATGAACAGGCAACCTACAGAATGGGAGAAAATTTTTGCAATCTATCCACGTGACAAAGGGCTAATATCCAGAATCTACAATGAACTTAAGCAAATTTACAAGAAAAAAACAAACAACCCCATCAAAAAGTGGGTGAAGATATGAACAGACACTTCTCAAAAGAAGACATTCATGCAGCCAACAAACATATGAAAAAATGCTCATCATCACTGGTCATCAGAGAAATGCAAATCAAAACCATAATAAGAAACCATCTTATGCCAGTTAGAATGGCAATCATTAAAAAGTTAGGAAACAACAGATGCTGAAGAAAAAGGAATGCTTTTACAGTGTTGGCGGAAGTGTAAATTAGTTCAGCCATTGTGGAAGACAGTGTGGCGATTCCTCAAGGATCTAGAACAAGAAATATCATTTGACCCAGCAATCCCATTACTGGGTATATACCCAAAGGATTATAAAACATTCTACTATAAAGACACATGCACATGTGTGTTTACTGCAGCACTGTTCATAATAGCAAAGACTTGGAACCAACCCAAATGCCCATCAATGATAGACTGGATAAAAAAATGTGGCACATATACAACATGGAATACTATGCAGCCATAAAAAAGGGTGAGTTCATGTCCTTTGCAGGGACACAGATGAAGCTGGAAACCATCATTCTCAGCAAACTAACACAGGAACAGAAAACCAAACACTGCATGTTCTCACTTGTAAGTGGGAGTTGAACAATGAGAACACATGGACACAGGGAGAGGAACATCACACACCAGGGCTTTTCGGGGATTGAGGGGTTGGGGGAGGGATAGCATTAGGGGAAATACCTAATGTAGATGACGAGTTGATGGATGCAGGAAACCACCATGGCACATGTATACCTATGTAACAAACCTGCACGTTCTGCACATGTACCCCAGAACTTAAAGTATAACAAATAAATACATACATACATACATACATACATACATACATACATACGATAAAACAAAAAGTTCTCACTCCAGTTTAAAGAAACTTAATTTCTGATTAAAGGGTATAGTAAATGTATGGATGTTAGTCAGCAGATCCATGCTACTAATAACAACAATGGCTTTAGCTCTATATCATTTATATTAAACATTGTTATAACAAAAATAAAATAATATAAAATAATTTTGTTAAGTAAAAAAAGAAAAATAATTCAAAGCAGCTTTTAAGTTTTGCTTTTTAAATTCATAAAGAAATTCTTTTTCTGAAACTTGCTTTTCTATCAGTATTTTATGAGTGCTCTGCTAGGTGATATAGTTTACAAGGAAAGACTATTAAATTTGAGATGTACTTCATTTGTCATGAAGAAAAAAATTATAATACTTCTTATCTAAAAGTTTAATGTATTCATATAAAGTAAAAACTCTTAAAATTAACTTACTTTTCATTTAGATGAGACTACTAAAATTTTAAAGTGGTATATCATTTTAAAAAATAAGATTAATGCACAGGTTAAATGATCCAGAAAATGCTTGCTTAAACCCTATATTTGTAACTTTAAAGTAAAATTTAATTATATTTCATCTTTCAAGTATAACTAAGGTGTTATTTTGGCATAATTTCGGAAAAGAAATATTTTACATTAGAATGATTTTATATCAATGCCCATAGAATAGTTTCTTTACCTGACTCCAGAACATTGATGATACTTTTCTAAATATTTTAAAGGTTCTATTTGTGATGGAAGAAATCAAAATCCAGTTTTATCTAAAACATAAATTTCAAAATTTTAATACTTTAACATTAGAAGTTTAAAGTAACATTTTGTAATCTTTAGACATCTTAACATTAAATTAAATGAATTTATAACACAGGAAAAAACAAATAGTATAATTACTTTATATTTTTCCCCTCTAAACAATCAGGCAGCGAGCTGTTTTATTACAGCTATCTCTAAAATGCTATAGCTTTTACTGTTTATTTTTATGGATAAATTTCAGGAAGGTTTATTGAAAACAGATAATAAAATAGCAAACTCATTTCTGTTCATTGGTTGCTACAAACTATCCAAAAAAATGTCAATAGGAAAAATAGATTTGATTTTTTTTAAGTCTTATTGAGTGTTCTGGTGACTGGAGGACACATTTACCGCAATGGTAGACACTTTAGAAGCCAAATGTCAAAACTACTGATGTGACTTGAATTCCACTTTATAATATAAAACTGGATACAGCCAGATTTCTCACACCTGGAATAACTGCCTCAATTCCTCTGGAAAAGAAAAGAATTTCTGAGAATGGGAAATAGATTGCTACGTGGTTAGCACAGAAGATAATTTACTTCAAGTATAACCTGAATCCAGAGTGGTTCGGGACAGGGCAAAAAGCATACATTTTGGAGAAAATATTTATAATGTTAATTTATATCCCGCATTCAATTATGAAATCAATCAGGATGTTTCTGGTCATATATTTTACTGACACTAATTAGTGATTGTTACAACTGCTACAATATAAATTGAGGAAACAGCTGATGAATTCCTCAAAATTTTTAGTTATTTTTATTCTACAAGTGTGTTATGTTTGATAAGTGGGGGATTCCTAAGAGGCTTCATGGTATGTGCCTGATTTCCATAAAACCAAGCACAAGCATACAAAACTTTTATAGGCTCCTCAAAATAGTTCAGCTTCATCTATAATGCAGGAATGATACGATAATATTTACTACATAAAGTGAAGATTAAATGAAATAAAGAGTTCCTGGCATAAAATCTCAATAGCTGTTAGCTAGGTTTTGTTCTTCATTCTTGCAAGAATTTGAGCACATGAAGCCGGTACCACAGTATCTCAATGCCCAGCACAGTACCCTATGTTAACAGGCCTTTGATTAATACTTTGCATTACTTAATAATATAGGAAAATAGTATGAAGTAAACAACCCACCATAAGACAGTACATTTTCACTATTAGTTATTAATAGGACACAATAAACATTCCTTAGCTAAATAAACAGGAATCTTTAAAGAAGTGAAATGAGAAATAAATTCATTCATTACCCTACCTAATAAATTTATAAATAGCAATAATGTATAAGATCAACCTAATATATTACAAGTTTCTAATATTTTAAGTGAATATATACATTCCTGTTTTGTGTTTATAGATTCTGGACTTGTTTCTGAGGGATAAAAATGCTCCTGTAAAACAGATGGCATACATTTGGAGTTATGGACCCTAAATTCTATGACAAATTATTGCACAAGTAAATATAACTGTAAAAAGCAAGCACTGATTTATTCAGGGACAATTTCTTCTAGTGTGCGTATACATACAACTAGAATATTTGGTGCTCCCTAACCTAGACATCAGTTTTCACAGGTGGTTTTTAGGGCTTCTCATAAGCTCTGCTTTCACACACATGCGCACACAACACCCACACACACACACACACACGTGAACAGGGAGAGCATTCTTCCCAATATGTGTACAAATTTAGGATTTCCAGTGGATCTGTTTCAAGCCTTGTCTTCCCCTCTAATGAAATGCATTGATCTCTGCATTCTCCAGGAAGCTAATTTACTACCAAATGGGAATAAGCCTGTAAAAAGATGGAAGAGAATGAAAGAAAGGGGAAAAAAAAGCATTAAAAAGAAAGCATTTCATAAATGCAGTAGTTCTCAGGAGGGCAAACTACCATTTGCAATCCCTAATAAATGTGTATTTCATACTGTGCTTAATGTAGTTGACACCCTCATATATTTTCTCCCAGTGATTAATTCTTCAAGCCTCCATTTTATCCAGATAATTTTCTACAATCTCTATTTTAACCCCACCATATAGCATATCCTACTGTTAAACCATCATAGGGAGAACAATTGGCATCTAGTTAAATATTCAAAGTTATCCATTAATATCCAAACAAACTTCATCTCTGTAACAGCTCTGCACATCTCTCATCAAGCCCAGTCTTAAAGTGTCCATCTTCCTAGGTCTTCCTCTGTCTTCCTGCAACTCAGAATGTAATTCTGCATAATCTCAACCTCTCCTGATGGAACATTCATTATCTTGAGCTAACTATAACCAGTGTTCCTTGGGGACATGACCTTCCTTTCAACTCTCTCAAGTGGGGCCTGCTTTTCCTCATACTCTACAGTTTTAAGGATGTAAAGCTAGGGTAGTTGTATGCCTTGGCCTACTTGCAAGTCTAAACCATTTCTCCTCCTACACACTTCAGAAACTTCATCCGTTTGATGCTTATTGCGTAAGTATTTGTCACCAGCTAACACTACTTACCCCTGGTTATCCTCTTCAGTGAGGACTTTAGAACCTTGCTTATTCTTGCTCTCCACCCTATCTTTCATTTCTACTTGGTAAATTCAATATTCCAAGGATGACCCCTCCAACATCTAATCTCTGTCCTTTAATTTCTTCTCAATTAATGCTATTTTCCTACTCATTCCACTATAATCTCTCTCCTCAAACTTGCAAGACCCACTCTTCACTCAGCTCAATTAATAACTTCAATACTTCTAAGAGTAAATAGAAAATATCAAATAGGAGCTTTCTTCTCTTCCAACCAACAGATGTATCATCCATTCTACATCTGATGCCCATTCTCTCTGCCTTTCGTTTCATAATAAAACAAGTACTTTGAATGTATTCCTACTCTTCTCTTCTTAACAGCCTAATTTCCACAGTTGTCTCTTCTATCCCTGCCTCATACATTTCTCTGCTCTATTGTAGTATCCTCAGTATGTAGCCATAATATCTTTCCTCCAGCTGTGAAACACTTTTTCTGCCTCTTTTCCATGGCAAAAATTCTTAAGAGTCTATGGTCACTTTCTCCAAATCTTCTCCATTTTTTTCTAAACCCATCTCAACTGGATTTTTATCCCTTCATTTCATGATCATCAAGGACTTCCTTGTTGCCAAAATCATATTGGTCATTTTTCTCTTCTAATCTTCATTGAATTTCTAAGCAACTTTCAACACAGATGTTCACTTATATTTTCTTGAGTTTGTGTTTGGGGCATCCAGGATTCTGAGAAACTACTTTCTCCTGGATTTTTCCTATGCAGTTTCTCTTTCTTAGTCTTTTTGTTCATTATCATTATTTTGCCTCAAACTAACTTTTTTTTAATTCAACTTTTATTTCCGATTCAGAGGGTACATATACAGGATTTTTACATGGGTGTATTGTGTGATGCTGAGGTTTGGAGTACAAATGATCCCACTGAGGTAGCAGGGTGGGACTTGACTCCAGAGGCAGGGCTTGGACAACTGGACCAGATTGAGGACTGGCTACAACAGGGCAAGGGCAGAAGCAGCTTTCCATCAGACATGTCCACCAGTGTGCCATGTCAGTTCACCATTGCTATGGCAACACCCAGGAGTTACCACCCTTTTCCATAGCAATGACCTGATAACCCAAAAATTATTACCCTTTCCCTAGTAATTTCTGCATAAATAGCCCCTTAATCTGCATGTAGTTAAAAGTGGGTATAAATACGACTGCTAATCTGCCCTGAGATGCTGCTCTCTGCCTAGGGGGTAGCCCTGCTTTGCTAGAGCAGTCACAGAGCTGTAACACTGCCTCTCCAATAAAGCTGTTAAGTTTGCCCTTGAATTCTCTCCTGGGGAAAGCCAAGAACCCTCTCAGGCTAAGCCCCACATTGGGGCTTGCCTGTCCTGCATCACCAACACTCAGGTGGTGGGCATAGTACTCAATAGTTAGTTTTTCAGCCCTTGCCTCCCCCACTCCCTCCCTGCTCTAGTAGTCGCTAGTATCTACTGTTGCTATATTTACGTTCATGAGTATTCAGTGTTTGGCTCCAACCTATAAGTCAGAACATGTGGTATTTGGTTTTCTGTTCCTGTGTTAATTCACTTAAGATAATGGCCTGTAGCTGCATCCATGTTGCTGCAAATAACATAATTTTGTTTTAATGGCTGCATAGTATTTCATGGTGTAAATGTGCCACATTTTCTTTATGCAATCCACTGTTGATGGGCACCTAGGTTGATTCCATGTCTTTGTTATTGTGAATAGTGTGGCAATGAATATGCAAGGGCATGTGTCTTTTTGGTAGAACAAGGAATCATTTTATTCTCTCTAACACCTTCTGCATTTAATCCATCAGCAAATCCTATGGGGTCCACTTCTAAAATACTTCCCAGATTTGTCCACTTCTATGTCCAAAGCTATCATCATAATCTATCCCAAATCACCTCTTTTCCAGGTCTCTATAATAGCTGCCTAGTTGATCTTCCTCGTTTTATTTTCACCCTCCACCTCATCCTTGATACAATTCATTCTCTTCACAAAAAAGGGATCTTTAAGCTTTTAATCAATACATTCTTTTTTTAACCCTTTAAATATTTTCTCTAATATTTAAAATAAAATTCAGACTTTATACCTTGGCCTGAATGACACTATGTTCTTCTTGCCTATCTCTCTAACCTCAAATCATACCATCACAAGCTTCACGTATCATGCTGTAGCCACTCCAAGCTCATTCCTATCTCAAGGCCTTTATACTCACTGTACTGACAGTGCTTTTCTTCTGTACCCATAGAATGGTTCACCATTTGTGTAGGTCAGTTTTCCCGGGAAGCTAACTCTGAGATGGAGATTTGTGTGCACATGGTATATTGGGTGGTACTTGGGGCCAATATCTGTAGGAGAAGTAAAAGAAGCAGGATTATACAGAGAGAGAAGTTGAACTGCAACACAGTCACAACGAAGGCCTCAATCAAGCCTATGAAGAGCTCTGGGGTGAAGATATACCTGAAGCAGGGCAAGGTGGCTTAGTCTTTATGCTCCCATATAAACCAGTCATTCAATACAGGCTGAAATTTGAAGGGAGACAGTTCTTTTCAGCCATGAACATTCTATAAGGGCTGTCAGCAGCAGGCAAGATGCCCAGAAGCTAGAAGATGAATGCTTCAGTCCTAATAGAAGGAGCTGGGGGAATGGAGATGATGTGCTACAGCAACCATTACACCTATAAAGGCTTTCCTCTCCTCCTAAGAGAGGCCATCATGACCATTCTAAATTTGAAAACCCCCATATCTTATCTTCATCTAAAATTACCTTACCTATATGCTTATTATATACTTTCTGACTATACAAGTACATACACATTAGAAAAACAGAGGTCTCGGCTATCTTGTTCACTGTCATTGCCTCAGTACCTAGGAAGTGTCTAGAAGGCAAATCAATAATTTATATGAATGGATGATTTCTTGAATGAATAAGTTCAGTCTCTCAGGCAGGCACAAGCTTTAATGTGCTATATACATCCTTCCCCATATAGGTAAGAACCCAAAATTAAGTGCACAAAACTCTTAAGAGACTGATTTAGATGAGGTGGTTTTGGTGTAATGAAAAAGTCCTGAATTGGGACAGAAAATTCAAGGCTCCCTACTACTAAGCAAATAAACATCTAACCTGGCTCAAGTTATACCACCCAGGTGAACCTCTATATGATCATTTTTAAAAAATATTCCTGGTTGCGCATGATGGCTCAAGCCTGTAATCTCAGCATTTTAGGAGGTTGAGGTGGGTGGATCACTTGAGGTCAGGAGTTCAAGACCAGCCTGGCCAACATGGTGAAACCCCGTCTCTACTAAAAATACAAAAATTAGCCAGGCATGGTGATCCATGCCTGTAATCCCAGCTACTCAGGAGCCTGAGGCAGGAGAATCACTTGAACCCAGGAGGCAGAGGTTACAGAGAGCCAAAATTGCACCACTGCACTCCAACCTGGGTACATACTGAAATGAAGGCAGACATAAAGATGTTCTTTGAAACCAATGAGAACAAAGACACAACATACCAGAATCTCTGGGACACATCTAAAGAAGTGTGTAGAGGGAAATGTATAGCACTAACTGCCCACAAGAGAAAGCAGGAAAGATCTAAAATTGACACCCTAACATCACAATTAAAAGAACTAGAGGAGCAAGAGCAAACACATTCAAAAGCTAGCAGAAGGCAAGAAATAAATAAGATCAGAGGAGAACTGAAGGAGATAGAGACACAAAAAACCCATCAAAAATCAATGAATCCAGGAGCTGATTTTTGAAATGATCAACAAAATTGGTAGACCGCTAGCAAGACTAATAAAGAAGAAAAGAGAGAAGCATCAAATAGACGCAATAAAAAATGATAAAGGGGATATCACCACCGATCCCATAGAAATACAAACTACCATCAGAGAATACTATAAACACCTCTACGCAAATACACTAGAAAATCTAGAAGAAATGGATAAATTCCTCAACACATAAACCCTCCCAAGACTAAACCAGGAAGGAGTTGAATCCCTGAATAGACCAGTAACAGGCTCTGAAACTGAGGCAAAATTAATAGTCTACCAACCAAAAAAAGTCCAGGATCAGACAGATTCACAGCCGAATTCTACCAGAGGTACAAGGAGGAGCTGATACCATTCTTTTGGAAACTATTCCAATCAATAGAAAAAGAGGGAATCCTCCCTAACTCATTTTATGAGGCCAGCATCATCCTGATACCAAAGCCTGGCAGAGACACAACAAAAAAAGAGAATTTTAGACCAATATCCCTGATGAACATGGATGCAAAAATCCTCAATAAAATACTGGCAAACTGAATCCAGCAGCACATCAAAAAGCTTATCCACTCTGATCAAGTCAGCTTCATCCCTGGGATGCAAGGCTGGCTCAACATACACAAATCAATAAACGTAATCCAGCATATAAACAGAACCAAAGACAAAAACCACAAGATTATCTCAATAGATTCAGAAAAGGCCTGTGACAAAACTCAACAGCCCTTCATGTTAAAAATTCTCAATAAATTAGGTATTGATGGGATGTATCTCAAAATAATAAGAGCTATTTATGACAAATCCACAGACAATATCAAACTGAATGGGCAAAAACTGGAAGCATTCCCTTTGAAAACTGGCACAAGACAGGGATGCCCTCTCTCACCACTCCTATTCAACATAGTGTTGGAAGTTCTGGACAGGGCAATCAGGCAGGAGAAAGTAATAAAGGGTATCCAATTAGGAAAAGAGGAAGTCAAATTCTCCCTGTTTGCAGATTACATGATTTTATATCAAGAAAACCCCATTGTCTCACCCAAAATCTCCTTAAGCTGATAAGCAACTTCAGCAAAGTCTCAGGATACAAAATCATTGTGCAAAAATCACAAGCATTCTTACACACCAACAACAGGCAAACAGAGAGCCAAATCATGAGTGAACTCCCATTCACCATTGCTTCAAAGAGAATAAAATACCTAGAAATCCAACTTACAACGGATGTGAAGGACTTCTTCAAGGAGAACTACAAACCTCTGCTCAACGAAATAAAAGAGGACACAAACAAATGGAAGAACATTCCATGCTCATGGATAAGAAGAATCAATATTGTGAAAATGGCCATACTGCCCAAAGTAATTTGTAGATTCAATGCCATCCCCATCAAGCTACCAATGACTTTCTTCACAGAATTGGAAGAAACTATTTCAAAGTTCATATGCAACCAAAAAAGGGCCTGCATTGCCAAGACAATCCTACGCCAAAAGAACAAAGCTGGAGGAATCACGCTACCTGACTTCAAACTATACTACAAGGCTACAGTAACCAAAACAGCATGGTACTGGTGCCAAAACAGATATATAGACCAAGGGAACAGAACAGAGCCCTCACAAATAATACCACACATCTACAACCATCTGATTTTTGACAAACCTGAAAAACACAAGAAATGGGGAAAGGATTCCCTATTTAATAAATGGTGCTGGGAAAACTGGCAAGCCATATGTAGAAAGCTGAAACTGGATCCCTTCCTTACACCTTATACAAAAATTAATTCAAGATGGATTAAACACTTAAATGTTAGACCTAAAACCATAAAAACCCTAGAAGAAAACCTAGCCAATACCTTTCAGGACATAGGCATGTGCAAGGACTTCATGTCTAAAACACCAAAAGCAATGGCAATAAAAGCCAAAGTTGACAAATGGGATCTAATTAAACTAAAGAGCTTCTGCACAGCAAAAGAAACTACCATCAGAGTGAACAGGCAACCTACAGAATGGGAGAAAATTTTTGCAATCTACTCATCTGACAAAGGGCTAATATCCAGAATCTACAAAGAATTCAAACAAATTTGCAAGAAAATAACAAACAACCCCATCAAAAAGTGGGCGAAGGATATGAACAGACACTTCTCAAAGGAAGACATTTATGAAGCCAAAAGACACATGAAAAAATGCTCAGCATCACTGGCCATCAGAGAAATGCTAATCAAAACACAGTGAGATACCATCTCACACCAGTTAGAATGGCGATCATTAAAAAGTCAGGAAACAACAGGTGCTAGAGAGGATGTGGAGAAATAGGAACAATTTTACACTGTTGGTGGAACTGTAAACTAGTTCAACCATTGTGGAAGGCAGTATGGCAATTCCTCAAGGATCTAGAACTAGCAATACCATTTGACCCAGCCTTCCCATGACTGGGTATATACCCAAAGGAGTATAAATCATGCTGCTATGAAGACACATGCACACGTATGTTTATTGCGGCATTATTCACAATAGCAAAGACTTGGAACCAACCCAAGTGTCCCTCAATGATAGACTGGATTAAGAAAATGTGGCACATACACACCATGGAATACTATGCAGCCATGAAAAATGATGAGTTCATGTCCTTTGTAGGGACATGGATGAAGCTGGAAACCATCATTCTCAGCAAACTGTCGCAAGGACAAAAAACCAAACACCGCATGTTCTCACTCATAGGTGGGAATTGAACAATGAGAACACATGGACACAGGAAGGGGAACATCACACACCGGTGCCTGTTGTGGGGTGGGGGGAGCGGGGAGGGATAGCATTAGGAAATATACCTAATGTAAATGACAAGTTAATGGGTGCAGCACACAAAACATGGTGCATGTATACATATGTAACAAACCTGCACATTGTGCACATGTACCCTAGAATTTAAAGTATTAAAAAAAGTAAAAAATAAAAAATAAAAATGGGCAAAAAAAGAAAAATATCAGAAATTGTTCCCTTCGATATATCATAAAAATCATTATAAGATGGATAGTGTATATTTTTAAAACATAGCTAATTTAAATGTCTGTTTGTAAGCATGATGCTATTATAACTATGGTGTTAAATACATCTCTGTAAGGAGTTGTAGGAATGTCCCTGAACATGGAGATACCGTAGTCCAAATTAACATGATTGGTTGAACAAAAGTATGAAATTTACTCCTTCCCAAATGCAACTAAAACTACAGTAAGGGATTTTAAAAAGGGATTTTTTTTTAAGTTAACCCACAGGAAGAGTAAGAACAGAAAAACAGACAACACCCAAAATATTGGCAGTTAGAAAGGAGATGGATAAATGGTAAACAACTTAGCAGAGTACAGAGCTGAATACTAGGCAAATAAGGGTGAAAACTGAGAACAACCTAATTTTCACTGCGGGTATTAAAAGGCTTAGAAACTGGCAGTTCCAAATACCTCTGAAATGTAGCTCAAAGAGAATGCTAAATAACACTGATATGATGAAAACTGTATGAAAATCCTATTTCTAATCCCCATTACTATCATATGTTTCTGAGCAACTAATTCTACCCTACCCATAATAATTCAGAAGTGGATAGAATAAAATAACAGGATATCTAGCCTGGGGAATACAAGGCAAAGTTAAGGGTATTGGTAAAGTTACAAAAATAGGTGAGTTAAGTGACCTTATGCAGATAGTATACTGAGATACCCTACTTCCTTCTCTTACTCACTTCCCATAATTCTGGCAAACAGAACTTTAACTTCTGAAGAGAAAATAAGCCTTATACTTAAGAAAGCCAATCAGCCAGAATAAAATATCTAAAGATACTGGATATTGGAGTGCCTCAGCAAAAACTTACCTAATCCCTCTACCAAAATAGGCTAAAGTCGAAAAGTTAACCCATTTGTTCAGAAGTTTTGATCAGCTTTTAAAACTCTAAATAGTAGATATAAAAATAAGTCAACAAAAAGGAAGATAAGGGCAAGTTGGTGGACATAGAGAGCTATGTAGTTAAAAAATTAAACTTCAGAAGTCTTAGATGATTAGCATGAACTGAGAGACTCAATAATGAAAAGATGTCAATAATCCCCAAATCAATCCATAGAGTCAACATAATCCTAATCAAAATCCAAGTAGAAATTTAAATAAAAATTGACAAGCCAATTCAAAACTCTATATGGAAATGAAATGGGTAAAATAAATAGCAAAGATAACCCTAAAGAAGGAGAATAAAACTTAAAATATCAAGATTATCACATATCAAGACTTATTGCCAGTAATCATGACAGCATAGTATTAAACAAGGATTGATAAATAGACCAACAAAACAGAATAAAGTGCTAAATAAAAAACTGAAATACAGATACACGCATGGAGCCATTCTACATGCAGTGTCATTCCAATGCAGTGTAGAAAGAACGGTCTTTTCTCCAAATTTCAGATATATGATTGACAACCATATGGAAAGATAATAAATTTAGACCTCTCTAATCATACCATACATATCTATTCTGGCAATAAACCCTGAGGAAAAAAATAAAAAGCGACTACATGAAGCTTCTAGAGACTGAAGAAAAGCCAGCAGATTTTGAAGATTGAATCAAAGAAAAAAAGGCTGTCATCCAGCAAATTCTCATTTTTACAGTACTAGATTGAGGACAGGGCACAGTCCCAGAGTAGCATGGAACTGCTAAAACTCTGATAGAGAAAGCAATATTTTTTGTGGTGTGAACATTCACAGGACAGTGTCTAGGGCAACCACAGCCTATGGAAAGTAAGAGGGGAATCCCCAAAAATGAAAGAACCTGAGAAGACAAGCTGTAGTACCTTATATAAACTCTGTGTAAGTCTTAAGTTGACCCTTGAACCTTGAATACAGAAGGGGGAATGTAAGCAACTCAGTGAAGGATAAAAGAACTGAACTGAGATGTGAGCTGGCATCCACTAAAGATAAAAAATTGTTTGCAGTCTGAGTCTAATCAAGTTAGTTGCTAAAACAGCACTCAGGTGTTAGCCAGCTGTTTCCAAAGTCAGCTGAACTGTGAGATCTTCTTGGCCCTTTTGTTATTGTATCATCATGCAGATCATCTTATGATGAGAGTGGCAGCACAGAAGCATTTGCAACTTTGGGTAGAATGTGATATACAAGCATCATGACCACTATGACAAAAAGAAGAACAATTAATAATCCTTGTAAAATACTTCAGAACTGGGGACCCCAATTGTACAACTTAGATCAAAATAATAAATCCCATAGGCCATAAGGATTGACCAACCTTAGACAGCCAAATAGCTTTTTCCTTAAGATGATGTATAGTCTATTTTACTTTGCCTGTTTTATTCATCCAAATACAGCAATAAATATTCACAATGGCAAAGACACCACCATGACTAGCCAGCCAGAAATCTAGAGCTACTCATGACAACAAGACGAGAATGAGCTGTAGTCCATCTAAGATCATTAATATCCGGTGTTATCAATAACTTCAGCCAGAGTTTGTGATAAGCATCCTCACTGATCTGAATTGAGGGATATTTTTTGCTTTGGTTTTCTAAGATGGATCAATCCTTTTTTCTCTAGTGTTCTTTTTGTTGATAATCTCTACATGTATCCTTGTTAATAGGTAGTCTGTTAGGAAGTGGGCCACCCACTTTTTGTTCTGTAGGTCCATAAATTTATTTGTGGATCTGGATCTGTCTTGTTTTGTTCTGGAAATATTTAAGAATGTTCTTCTAGGTTTTGTAGTTCAGGTAAATGATGATTTTCCATTCTAATTCCTGTTTTCTAATTTAAGTTTTAATTATTGACAGAATGAGAAGAAAGGTCTGCTGTTACACTGGTGCTTTCTTTAACTACCAAATGTCATCAGAGGTATCTTTTAGACTAGCACCCCCCATCCAAAAAACAAACAAACAAACAAACTGCTATGGTTTCCTTTTATCCTCTCTCTCTCTTTTACCCATAAAGTATCAGGTCAAAAGCTGTGGAGATTGTGATTTGTCTTCCCAGGCTGGTTGCTACAGAGATGATGGTTAGAGTTCTGTTTTCATACATGGCCTTGCCATTGTCTGTTTTGATATCAATCTCTCACATTGCTTACATTATTTTTCTCCTGGTAAATCACAATGAAATTAATGAAATAAATTGGCTGAATTTTGTAACATATAAATATTTTGGAAAATGTTACATTATATAAATCATTTCTTAACTAGAAGGATTATCACTTATGAATAAATAAATCATTCCATCATTTTTTATAGCTGCATAGTATTCCATGGTGTATATGTGCCATATTTTCTTAATCCAGTCTATCATTGTTGGACATTTGGGTTGGTTCCAAGTCTCTGCTATTGTGAATAATGCCACAATAAACATACATGTGCATGTGTCTTTATAGCAGCATGATTTATAGTCATTTGGGTATATACCCAGTAATGGGATGGCTGGGTCAAATGGTATTTCTAGTTCTAGATCCCTGAGGAATCGCCACACTGAATTCCACAATGGTTGAACTAGTTTACAGTCCCACCAACAGTGTAAAAGTGTTCCTATTTCTCCACATCCTCTCCAGCAAAAAATGATGAGTTCATGTCCTTTGTAGGGACATGGATGAAATTGGAAATCATCATTCTCAGTAAACTATCACAAGAACAAAAAACCAAACACCGCATATTCTCACTCATAGGTGGGAACTGAACAGTGAGATCACATGGACACATGAAGGGGAATATCACACTCTGGGGACTGTGGTGGGGTTGGGGGAGGGGGGAGGGATAGCATTGGGAGATATACCTAAGGCTAGATGACAAGTTAGTGGGTGCAGCGCACCAGCATGGCACATGTATACATATGTAACTAACCTGCACAATGTGCACATGTACCCTAAAACTTAAAGTATAATAAAAAAATAAAAAATAAAAAAAAAATAAATCATTCCATAAATTGAGGTCTTATGAGTTCAGTCCTGTGACCTATTTTTTAATTAATTTTTTATTTTTTATTTTTGTGGGTACAGATTAGGTGTATATATTTTGGGGTTACATGAGATATTTTATACAGGCATGCAATGTGTAACAATGACATCATAAATGTGGTATGTATCACCTCAAGCATTTATCCTTTGTGTTACAAACAATCAAATTATGCTCTTAGTTATTTTAAAATGTATGACATAATTATTTTTTACTATAGTCACCCTGCTGTTCTAGCAAATACTAGGTCTTATACATTCTTTGTACTTTTTGTACCCACTAACCATCCTCATTTCCCTCTACCCATCCCCAGCTACTCTTCCTAGTCTCTAGTAACCATCCTTCTCCCTACGTCCATGAGTTCAATTGTTTAATTTTTAGATCCCACAGATAAGTGAGAGCATGTGATATTTGTCTTTCCATGCCTGGCTTATTTCACTTAACATAAAGACTTCCAGTTCCATCTATGTTGTGGCAAATGACAGGATCCTCATTTGTTTTTATGACTAAATAGTACTCCATTGTGTATATGTACCACATTTTCTTTACCCACTCATCTGTTGATGGACATTTGGATTGCTTCCAAATCTTGGCTATTGTGTATACTGCTGCAATAAACATAGGAGTGCAGATATCCCTTTGATATATTGATTTCCTTTTTTTCTTTTTTTTTTTTTTTTGAGACGGAGTCTCGCTCTATTGCCAGGCTAGAGTGCAGTGGCGCGATCTTGGCTCACTGCAACCTCCGCCTCCTGGGTTCAAGTGATTGTCCTGCCTCAGCCTCCCGAGTAGCTGGGACTATAGGCACGTGTCACCACACCCAGCTAATTTTTGTATTTTTAGTAGAGACGGGGTTTCACCATGTTAGCCAGGATGGTCTCAATCTCTTGACCTCATGATCTGCCTGCCTTGGCCTCCCAAACTGCTGGGATTACAGGCGTCAGCCACTGCACCTGGCCTACTGATTTCCTTTCTTTGTGGTGTATACCCAGCAGTGGGATAGCTGGATCATATGGTAGCTCTATTTTTAGCTTTTCAGGAACCTCCAAACTGTTCTCCATATTGGTTGTACTAACTTACGTTCCCACCAATGGTGTAAGAGGGTTCTCTTTTCTCCACATCTTTTCCAGCATTTCTTATTGCCTGTCATTTGGATAAAATCCATTTTAATTGGCATGATTTTTGATGTAGCCACTTATAGCTATAAACTTCTCTCTTAATACTACTTTCACTGTATCCCACAGGTTGTGGTAAGTTGTGTTTCCATTATCATTTATTTCAAGAATTTCTTCAATTTCCTTCTCAATTTCTTTTTTTTTTTTTTTGGTGTTTTTTTATTTTATTTTTTATTTTATTATTAAACTTTAAGTTTTAGGGTATATGTGCACAATGTGCAGGTTAGTTACATGTGTATACATGTGCCATGCTGGTGTGCTGCACCCATTAACTCGTCATTTAGCATTAGGTATATCTCCTAATGCTATCCCTCCCCCCTCCCCCCACCCCACAACAGTCCCCAGAGTGTGATGTTCCCCTTCCTGTGTCCATGTGTTCTCATTGTTCAATTCCCACCTATGAGTGAGAATATGCGGTGTTCAGTTTTTTGTTCTTGTGATAGTTTACTGAGAATGATGATTTCCAATTTCATCCATGTCCCTACAAAAGACATGAACTCATCCTTTTTTATGGCTGCATAGTATTCCATGGTGTATATGTGCCACATTTTCTTAATCCAGTCTATCATTGTTGGACATTTGGGTTGGTTCCAAGTCTTTGCTATTGTGAATAGTGCCGCAATAAACATACATGTGCATGTGTCTTTATAGCAGCATGATTTATAGTCCTTTGGGTATATACCCAGTAATGGGATGGCTGGGTCAAATGATATTTCTAGTTCTAGATCCCTGAGGAATCGCCACACTGACTTCCACAAGGTTTGAACTAGTTTACAGTCCCACCAACAGTGTAAAAATGTTCCTATTTCTCCACATCCTCTCCAGCACCTGTTGTTTCCTGACTTTTTAATGACTGCCATTCTAACTGGTGTGAGATGGTATCTCATTGTGGTTTTGATTTGCATTTCTCTGATGGCCAGTGATGCTGAGCATTTTTTCATGTGTTTTTTTGGCTGCATAAATGTCTTCTTTTGAGAAGTGTCTGTTCATGTCCTTCGCCCACTTTTTGATGGGGTTATTTGTTTTTTTCTTGTAAATTTGTTTGAGTTCATTGTAGATTCTGGATATTAGCCCTTTGTCAGGTGAGTAGGTTGCGAAAATTTTCTCCCATTTTGTAGGTTGCCTGTTCACTCTGATGGTAGTTTCTTTTGCTGTGCAGAAGCTCTTTAGTTTAATTAGATCCCATTTGTCAATTTTGGCTTTTGTTGCCATGCTTTTGGTGTTTTAGACATGAAGTCCTTGCCCATGCCTATGTCCTCAATGGTAATGCCTAGGTTTTCTTCTAGGGTTTTTATGGTTTTAGGTCTAATGTTTAAGTGTTTAATCCATCTTGAATTAATTTTTGTATAATGTGTAAGGAAGGGATCCAGTTTCAGCTTTCTACATATGGCTAGCCAGTTTTCCCAGCACCATTTATTAAATAGGGAATCCTTTCCCCATTGCTTGTTTAATTTCTTAATTGACCCACTGGTCCTTCAGGAACATACTGTTTAATTTCCATGTGCTTGTATAGTTTCCAAAATTCCTCTTGGTATTGATTTCTAGCTTTTTCAGAAAACTAAAAATCTTCTGGTCAGAGATAATGCTTGATATTATTTCAATATGTTTGATGTTTTAAGACTTGTGAGCCAACGTATCATCAGTCCTTGAGAATTATCCATGTGCTGAGGAAAAGAAGGTGTATTTTGCAACCAACTGATGAAATACTCTTTGAGTATCTATTAGATTCATTTAATCTACAGTGCAGATTAAGTCTGATGTTTCTTCATTGATTTTCTCTCTGGAAGATCTGTCCAATGCTGAAAATGGGAACTTAAAGTCTCTAGTTATTATTACATCGGGCTCTATCTCTTTCTATAGTACTAATATTTGCTTTATATATCTGGGTGCTCCCGTGTTGGGTCCATATATATTTATAATAGTTACATCTTCTTAGCCGGGCACTGTGTCTCATGCCTGTAATCCTAGCACTTCGGGAGGCTGATGCAGGTGGATCACGAGGTCAGGAGATCAACACCATCCTGGCTAACACAGTGAAACCCCATCTCTAATAAAAATAAGAAAATTAGCTGGGCGTGGTGGCAGGCACCTATAGTCCCAGATACTCGGGAGCCTGAGGCAGGATAATGGTGTGAACCCGGGAGGCAGAGCTTGCAGTGAGCCGAGATCGCGCCACTGCACTCCAGCCTGGGAGACAGTGAGACTCTGTCTCAAAAAAAAAAAAAAGTTACATCTTCTTGATGATGAATTGATAATTTAATCATTATATAATAACTTTGTCTTTTCTTATAGTTTCTGTCTTAAAATCTCTTTTGTCTATGTATAGTGACTTCTACTTTTTGTTTTACATTGGCATAGAATATCTTTTTCCATTTCTTTATTTTCAGTCTATGTATGTTTTTATAGGTGAAGTGTGTTTCTTGTAGGCAACATATTATTAGGTCTTATTTTTTTAACCATTCAGCCACTATATGTCCTTTTATTGGAGAGTTTTGTCCATTTACATTTAATGTTATTATTGATAGGTAAGGTCCTACTTCTGCCATTTTGTTATCTGTTTTCTGGTGTTTTTGTGGTCTTTTCTTCCTTGTTTCTTTCCATCCTGTCTTCCTTTTAGCAAAGGTTATTTTCTCTGGTGATATTATTTAATTTCTTGCTTTTTATTTTTTGTGTATTCATTGTATGTTTTTCTATTTGAGGTTACCATGAGGCTTGCAAATACTATCTTATAATCCATTATTTTAGGCTGATAAAAACTTAACACTGTTTGCATAAACAAACTAACAAGTAAAAAGAAAACCAATACAAACTCTACACTTTAACTTGTCTGCCCATTTTTTGGCTTTTCATTTTTTCAATTTATATATCACTGTACTGTCTATGTCTTGAAAAATTGTTGTGGTTATTATTTTTGATCAATTCATCATTTAGTCTTTCTACTTAAGATGACAGTAGTTTATACCCACACTTACAGTGTTATAATATTCTGTGTTTTTCTGTATACTTACTATTGCCAGTAAGTTTTGTACATTCTGATGATGTGTTATTGCTTATTTATGTCCTTTTCTTTCTGATTGAAATACTTCCTTTAGCATTTCTTGTAGGATAGGTTTGTTATTGGTGAAATCCTTCAGATTTTGTTTGTCTGGGAAAGTCTTTATTTTTCCTTCATATTTGAAGACTATTTTCACCAGATATACTATTCTAGGATAAAAGGTTTTTTTCCTTCAGCACTTTAAATGTTCCATGCCACTGTCTTCTGGCCTTCCAGATTTCCACTAAAATGTCTGCTGCCAGACATAGTGGAGACCCATTGTATTTTGTTTCTTTTCTCTTGCTGCTTTTAAGATCCTTTCTTTATCCTTAATCTTTGAAAGTTTGATTCTTTAATTCCTTGAGATAGTTTTTTCTGGGTTAAATCTGCTTGGTGTTCTATAACCTTCTCTTACTTGAATATTGATAGCTTTCTCTAGGTCTGAGAAGTTCTCTGATATTATCCATTTGAATAGACTTTCTACCCCTCTCTTTCTTGACCTCCTATTTAAGGTCAATAATTCTTAGATTTGCCATTTTGAGGCTATTTTCTAGATCCTATAGACATGCTTCATTCCTTTTATTCTTTTTTCTTTTTTCTTCTCTTAGTGTATATTTTCAAATAATTTGTCTTTAAGCTCACTAATTCTCTCTTCTGCTTGATCTATTCTGCTATCTGACTCTGATGCATTCTTCAGTATGCCAATTACATTTTTCAACTCCAGAATTTCTACCTGACTCTTTTAATTATTTCAATCTCTTCGTTAAACTTACCTGATATGATTCTGAATTCTCTCTCTGCATTATCTTGAATTTCTTTGAATTTCCTCAAAATAGCAATTTTGAATTCTCTGTCTGAAAGGTCACATATCTCTGTTTCTCTGGTATTGGTTCCTGGTCCCTTATTTAGTTCATTTGGTGAGGTCATGTTTTCCTGGATGGTCTTCATACATGCTGAAGCTTATTGGTGTCTGGGCATTGAAAAGTTAAATATTTATTGTAGTCTTTGCATCTGGGCTTGTTTGCACCTGTTCTTCTTGAGAAGCTTTTCCAGATATTTGGAAAAACTTAGGTGTTGTGCTCTAAGCTATATCTGTAATATGGGGTATCCTGATCCCAGCAATGCTGTAGTTCTTACATACACATAGAGGTACCACCTTGGTGGTCTTGGATAAGATCTGGAAGATATCTATGAATTACTAGGAAGAGACTCTTTTTCTCTTCCCTTGCTTTTTCCCAAAGAGAGTCAGTCTCTCTCTCTTTCCTGAGCCACCTGGGGCTGGGAGTGGGATAACAAAGCAACCATGTGACCACCACCACTGAGCTGTGCTGGTTCAAACCTGAAGCCAGTACAGCACTGGGTCTTGCTGTACTGGCCCCCTGTAACCACTACCTGGTTACTGCCTATGTTCACTCAAGGTCCTCATGGTCCACAATCAGCACGTGGTGAAGCCAGACAGCCTTGTGTCCTTCCCTTCAAGGCAGCAAGTTCCCCCAGGCCCTGAGCAGGACCAGAGATTCTTTCTAGAAGCTAAAGACTGGAGTCAAAAACCTTAAAAGTCTAGCTGGTGCTCTCCACTACTGTGGCTAAGCTGGGAATCAAACCACAAGACACAGTCATTCCCACTCTTCCTTTCCTTTCCATATGCAGAGGAGCTTCACCCAATGACTACCAACACCACAGGGCCATGGGGAGCACTGCCAGTCTAGCTCCAGTGTTCCCTTAAGGCCCAAGCACTCTTCAGTCAACTTGTGGTAAATGCTGCCAAGCCTGGGGCCTCTGGCCCAGGGAAGGTCCAGAAATGCCATCCAAGAGCCAAGGCCTGGAATCAGGGACCCCAAGAACTTGCTTGATGTTCTACCCCAATTTGGACAAGCTAGTACCTATGGTACAAGACAAAGTCCCTTTTACTTTTCCCTCTGTTTTTTTCAAGCAGAAAGAGCCTTTCACAATAGCCATTGAGAGGTGAAGCCCGCTGGGCTCCTGGGTCGGGTGGGGACTTGGAGAACTTTTCTGTCTAGCTAAAGGATTGTAAACACACCAATCAGCACTATGTGTCTAGCTAAAGGCTTGTAAGCACACCAATCAGCACTCTATAAAAAGAGACCAATCAGCACTCTGTAAAATGGACCAATCAGCACTCTATAAAATGGACCAATCAGCAGGACATGAGTGGGGCCAAATGAGGGAATAAAAGCTGGCCACCCGAGCCAGCAGCAGCAACCCACTTGGGTCCCCTTCCACGCTGTGGAAGCTTTGTTCTTTCACTCTTCACAATAAATCTTGCTGCTGCTCACTCTTTGGGTCCAAACTACCTTTTTGAGCTCTAACACTCACTGGAAAGGTCTGCGGCTTCACTCCTGAAGTCAGCGAGACCACGAACCCACTGGGAGGAACAAACAACTCTGGACGCACCACCTTTAAGAGCTGTAATACTCACTGCAAAGGTCTGTGGTTTCACTTCTAAAGTCAAGTGAGACCACAAACCCACTGGAAGGAAAAACTCCAGACACATCTGAACATCGAAGGAACAAACTCTGGACACACCATCTTTAAGAACTAAAACACTCACTGCAAGGGTCCATGGCTTCATTCTTGAAGTCAGCGAGACCAAGAACCCACCAGAAGGAACCAATTCTGGACACATTTTGGCAACCATGAAGGGACTATCGCCTATCGCCAAGTGGTGAGTACCATCAGACCCCTTTTGCTTGCTATTCTGTCCTATTTTTCATTAGAATTCGGGGGCTAAATACCGGGCACCTGTAAGCCAGTTAAAAGCTAATAGCGCAGCCACTGGACTAAAGACATGGGTGTCAGGCTTTCTGGGAAAGGGCTCTCTAACAACTCCTGACTCTTTGGAGTTGGGAGCGTTGGTTTGCCTGGAACCAGCTTCCACTTTTCCTGTACTTCTGAGCTGAGCCAAGGGTCAAGACAGAGGAAAGCCATTCAGCTCCAGGGATCTGACAATAAGTTGGTTGACCTTGCGGCCATGAGCGGAACTCTCAAAGTCACGTCGCCCAAGCGAGACTAGCCCATCTATCCTATCTATCCTGACCCTTGCCTCCTGGGTCCTAATGTCTGTCAGACAAACTTCCTCTCGCCTCTCTTCTCTGAGGCTAGTCCCACTTTTAAAAACCACTCCCTGTCTCTGGTGCTTTTCTAGTTTCTCCTATAGGAATGATTTCTAGTATAAACTCCAGGGCTATTTTCCCTTCTTTAGGCACCCAGGCTCACCAATCAGAAAGACATAATTTTTGCCAAAAGCCCCATCGTAGGGGGGACAATCTGTAATTTTAGGATCCCTTCTCAGACCAGCAGGCCTAACAAAAGCTATTCCTGAAGCTAGGATATGGGGAGCCTCAGAAATTGTATCCTTCCTATTCATATAAGTGAAGACAAAAGGCATCACTCTTCCAACTCTGGAGATCCTTTCCCTCCCTCAGGGTATGGCCCTCCACTTCATTTTTGGGGCATAACATCTTTATAGGACACAAGTAAAGTCCCAATACTAACAGGAGAATGCTTAGGACTCTAACAGGTTTTCGAGAATGCCTCGGTAAGGGCCACTAAATCCGATTTTTCTCGGTCCTCTTTGTGGTCTAGGAGGACAGGCAAGGGTGCAGGTTTTCGAGAATGCATCAGTAAGGACCACTAAATCCGACCTTCCTCAGTCCTCCTTGTGGTCTAGGAGGAAATCTAGTGTTTCTGTTGCTGCACCGGTGAGTGCAACTATTCCGATCAGCAGAGTCCAGGGACCATTGTGGGTTCTTGGGCAAGAGGTGTTTCTGCTGCTGCGTCGTTGAGTGCAACTATTCCAATCAGCAGGGTCCAGGGACCGTTGCAGGTTCTTGGGCAGGGGAAGAAATAAACCAACCAAAACCAAGGGTGGTTTTGTCTTTCAGATGGGAAACACTCAGGCATCAACAGGCTAACCCTTGAAATGCATCCTAAGCCATTGGGACCAATTTGATCCATAAACCCTGAAAAAGAGGCAGCTCATTTTTTTCTGCACTATGGCTTGGCCCCAATATTCTCTCTCTGATGAGGAAAAATGGCCACCTGAGGAAAGTATGAATTACAATACTATCCTGCAACTTGACCTTTTCTGTAAGAGGGAAGGCAAATGGAGTGAAATACCTTATGTCCAAGCTTTCTTTTCATTGAAGGAGAATACACAACAATGCAAAGCTTGCAATTTATATCTCACAGGAGGACCTCTCAGCTTACCCCCATATCCTAGCCTCCCTATAGCTCCCCTTCCCATTAATGATAAGCCTCCTCTAATCTCCCCCGCCAGAAGGAAATAAGCAAAGAAATCTCCAAGGGACCACAAAAACCCCCAGGCTATTGGTTATGTCCCCTTCAAGCTGTAGGGGGAGGGGAATTTGGCCCAACCCGGGTACATGTCCCCTTCTCCTCTCTGATTTAAAGCAGATCAAGGCAGACCTGGGGAAGTTTTCAGATGATCCTGATAGGTACACAGATGTCCTACAGGGTCTAGGGAAAACCTTTGATCTCACTTGGAGAGATGTCATGCTATTGTTAGATCAAACCCTGGCCTTTAATGAAAAGAATGCGGCTTTAGCTGCATCCTGAGAGTTTGGAGTTACATGGAATCTTAGTGAAATAAATGACAGAATGACAGCTGAAGAAAGAGACACATTCCCTACTGGTCAGCAAGCCATCCCCAGTATGGATCCCCACTGGGACCTCGACTCAGATCACGGGAACTAGAGTCATAAACATCTGTTGACCTGCGTTCTAGAAGGAATAAGAAGAATTAGGAAAAAGCCCATGAATTACTCAATGATGTCTACCATAACACAGGGAAAGGAAGAAAATCCTTCTGCCTTCCTCAAGCAGCTATGGGAAGCCTTAAGAAAACACACTCCCTGTCACCTGACTCACTCAAGGGCCAATAGATCCTAAAAGATATTTATTACCCAATCAGCTGCAGATATCAGGAGAAAGCTCCAAAAGTGAGCCCTGGGCCCTGAACAAAATCTGGAGGAATTATTAAACCTGGCAACCTCGGTGTTCTCTAATTGGGACCAACCAAGAAGAACAGGCCGAAAAGGAAAAGTGAGATCAGAGAAAGGCTGCAGCCTTAGTCATGGCCCTCAGACAAACAAACCTTGGTGGTTCAAAGATGACAGAAAATGGAGCAGGCCAGTCACCCAGTAGGGCTTGTTACCAGTGTGGTTTGCAAGAACACCTTAAAAAAGATTGTCCAACAAGAAACAAGCTGCCCCCTCGCCCATGTCCGCTATGCTGAGGCAATCACTGGAAGGCACACTGCCCCAGAGGATAAAGGTTCTCTGGGCCAAAAGCCCCCAACCAGATGATTCAACAACAGGACTGAGGGTGCCAGCTCATGTCATCACCCTCACTGAGCCCCAGGTATGTTTAACCATTGAGGGCCAGGAAATTGACTTCCTTCTGGACACTGGCACAGCTTTCTCAGTGTTAATCTCCTGTCCTGGTCAGCTGTCCTCAAGGTCCATTACCATCCGAGGAATCCTGGGATGGCCTGTAACCAGGTATTTTTCCCACCTCCTCAGTTGTAACTGGGAGACTTTGCTCTTTTCACATGCCTTTCTTGTTATGCCTGAAAGTCCCACACCCTTATTAGGGAGGGATATGTTAGCCAGAGCTGGAGCTATTATCTACATGAATATGGGGAACAAGTTACCCATTTGTTGTCCCCTACTTGAGGAGGGAATCAACCCTGAAATCTGGGCATTGGAAAGAATAAACTCAAGCTCCAGCCTTAAGCCTTCCCACGGCACAAAACGTTTATTTATACATCACAGAGAGAGCAGGGATAGCTTTTGGACTCCTTACTCCAACTCGTGGGACAACCCCACAACCAGTGGCCTACCTAAGTAAATAAAATGGTGTAGTAGCAAAAGGCTGTCCTCACTGTTTAAGGGTCGTTGCGGCAGTGGCCTTCTTAGTGTCAGAGGCTATCAAAATAATACAAGGAAAGGATCTCACTGTCTGGACTAGTCATGATATAAATGGCATACTAGGTGCCAAGGAAGTTTATGGCTAACAGACAACTGCCTGCTTAGATACCAGGCACTACTCCTTGAGGAACCAGTGCTTCAAATACGTATGTGCATGGCCCTCAACCCTGCCACTTTTCTCCCAGAGGATGAGGAACCAATCAGGCATGACTGCCAACAAATTATAGTCCAGACTTATGCTGCCTGAGATGATCTCTTAGGAGTCCCCTTAGCTGATCCTGACCTTAACCTATATACCGATAGAAGTTCATTTGCAGAGAATGGGATACAAAGGGCAGGTTATGCCATAGTTAGTGATGTAACCATACTTGAAAATAAGCCTCTTCCCCCAGGGACCAGAGCCCAGTTAGCAGAACTAGTGGCACTTACCCAAGCATTAGAACTGGGAAAGGGAAAAAGAATAAATGCGTATACAGATAGCAAGTATGCTTATCTAATCCTACATGCCCATGCTGCAATATGGAAAGAAACGGAGTTCCTAACCTCTGGGGGAACCCCCATTAAATTATGGGGTTATTGCATGCTGTGCAAAAACCCAAGGAGGTGGCAATCTTACACTGTCAAAGCCATCAGAAAGGTGAAGGATAAAAGGTAAAAGGAGGCCGAGTGTGGTGGCCCATGCCTGTAATCCCAGCACTTTGGGAGGTGAGGTGGGCAGATTGCAAGGTCAGGAGTTCGAGACCAGCCTGGCCAACATGGTGAAACTCCATCTCTACTAAAAATAACAACAACAACAAAAAATTAGCTGGGCGTGGTGGTGTGCACCTGTAATCCCAGCTACTCAGGAGGCTGAGGCAGGAGAATCACTTGAACCAGGGAGGAGGAAGTTGCAGTGAGCCGAGACTGTGCCACTGCACTCTAGCCTGGGGGACAGGGCAAGACTCTGTCTCAAAAAAAAATGAAAAGAAAAGGAAAGAAAAGGCAAAAGGAAATCATCAGGCAAATGCTGAAGCCAAAATTGCTGCCAGGTGGAACCCCTCATTAGAAATACCTACAGAAGGACCTTTGGTATGGAACAACCCCCTCCAAGAGATTAAGCCCCAGTATTCTCTGACTGAAACAGAATGGGGACTTTCACAGGGTCATAGTTTTCTCCCCTTGGGGTGGTTAATGACAGAAGAAGTAAAGGTACTTATACCCGAAGCCAGCCAGTGGAAAATACTTAAAACCCTCCACCAAACTTTTCAGATGGGTATTGAAAACACTCAACAAATGGCCAAATCCCTATTTACAGGGCCAAATCTCCTCTGGACCATCCGACATGTAGTCAAAGCCTGTGAGGTGTGCCAAAGGAATAATCCCTTGGTCCATCATAAGGCCCCTTTGGGGGAACAAAGGATAGGTCACTATCCTGGAGAGGACTGGCAATTAGACTTCACTCATATGCCTAAGTCAAAGGGATTTCAATACTTGTTGGTCTGTGTTGATACCTTTACAAATTGGATAGAAGCTTTCCCCTGCAAGATAGAGAAGGCTCAGGAAGTGAATAAAGTTCTAATTCATGAAACAATTCCTAGATTTGGGCTTCCCCAAAGCTTACAGAGTGACAATGATCCGGCTTTTAAAGCCATGATAACTCAGGGAATTTTCCAGGGCGCTAAGGATACAATATCACCTTCACTGTGCCTGGAGGCCACAATCCTCAGGGAAGGTCGAGAAGGCAACTGAAACACTGAAGAGGCACTTAAGGAAACTAACACAAGAAACTCATCTCCCATGGCCTACTCTTTTGCCCATGGCCTTGTTGAGAATCTGAAATTCTCCTCACAAAATGGGGCTCAGTCCATATGAAATGTTGTATGGATGACGTTTTCTCACAAATGAACTCCTAGTTGATCAGGAAATGGCCAACTTGGTCAAAGATATAACTTCTTTGGCAAAATATCAACAAAACCTTAAAAATCTACCTGAAGGATGTCACAGAGAAAAGGGAACAGAGTCATTTCAACCAGGAGATCTAGTGTTGGTCAAATCTCTCCCCTCTACCTCCCCATCTATGGACTCTTTGTGGGAAAGACCATACTCAGTAATCCTCTCTACCCCCACTGCAGTTAAGGTGGCAGGAGTGGAATCTTGTATTCACCACACCCGAGTTAAATTTTGGATACCCCCTGAGGAACCTGCAGTACCATCAGCTCAGGAGTCCCAAGATCAGCCAGACCAGCCTCAGTACACCTGCAAACCATTGGAGGACTTGCATCTCCTATTTCAGAAGGAAACATCCCAGACTAAAAAGGCTCCTACCACTGATCCTGAAGAAAAACCCCTTCCTCCTTAAAAAAGATAAGTGAAAACCTACATAATCTTTATCTTTAATGGAATCCTTTTATTATTTCATCATATTATTAAGTAGCATACTAACCATACTCTTTGTGATAGGACTATACACTGTAGCTCCTTCCAAGATGAAAATCCTAATCACATCAACCTTCCTTCTATCTTCCTTCCTTCTGACAGCAACTTACTCCAACCTTTAACTCAGACTGGATAAGATGATCTCGTCTTCCAGGGACCCTCTTTACCTTCCTATTTACTCTTTGCCTATCTATCCCTCCTGCTTCCTTGGATACCTCATGCAATCACCCCTCCCCTTCCACTAGCTCCTAATTATCTCTATAAGACTCTCAACTTAACCCACACTCTGTTAAACCAGTCCAGTCCTTACCTGGCAAATGACTGTTGGCTTTGTATTTCTCTATCGAATTCTGCTTATGTTGCCACTCCCTTTCCTGCAAAAAACTGGGTCTTTACCAACTTAACCTACCACCCTCATTATGAAGGAAAAGACCCTTTCCGACTTCTAAATATGCAATCATTAGCCAACTCCCCCATCTCTGATAGGACCAAGAATACCCTTACAGGATGTGCAATCCAACTTTTATGTTCTTACATTTCCAACCTCACCTATTACACAAGCAACGAAAAGCCCATACACGGCCCTGTAACTATGAATACCATCTTAACTTTCCAAGCCCCTTTATGCATCCAACGCAACCTGTTATCTGGCCTGTCCCTGGGGCACCTACTACCGCATCAGTATAATTACACCCTACAATTTCAAGCCCCAACTGATCATAGTAACTTCTGAGTCACCCAAACAGCTCCATTCAGATGGCTTGTCCACTTCTCAAGGCCCCCAAAAATTATCACCTCCTCCCTGCTTAACAAACAGTCCAGGTTTTGTAATGGTAAACATACTCCCTGCATGACCGTTCATCCCTGGACTCCCTGAAGCAGCATCCCACCACTAGTGAACGCCTTCTCATCCCTTCTTTCAATCACTCTCTCGAATGGTTCCTAGTAGACACAAAACGTTTTTTTCTCCAATGGGAAAATAGAACACAGGGAGCCACTCAGTTTGCTCCAAATACCCCTTTCCAACCACTCACCGGAGCTACCTTGGCAAGCACTCTAGGAGTATGGGAAGATGAAAACAACAAACTCACACACCTTTTTAACATACACAATCCGTTCTGTCTACTCAGCCAAGGTATATCCTTCTTATGTGGAACGTTGACCTATATCTGCCTCCCCACTAATTGGACAGGCACCTGCACCTTAGTCTTTCTAAGTCCCAACATTAACATTGTCCCAGGAAATCAGACCCTATCAGTACCCCTCAAAGCTCAAGTCCATCAGCACAGAGCCATACAACTAAAACCCCTACTTATAGGGTTAGGAATGGCTACTGCTATAGGAACCGGAATAGTCAGTTTATCTACTTCATTATCCTACTACCACACACTCTCAAAGGATTTCTCAGACAGTTTGCAAGAAATAACAAAATCTATCCTTACTCTACAATCCCAAATAGACTCTTTGGCACCAGTGACTACCCAAAACCTCCGAGGCCTAGACCTCCTCACTGCTGAGAAAGGACAACTCTGCACCTTCTTAGGGGAAGTATGTTCTTTCTACACTAACCAGTCAGGGACAGTAGGAGATACTGACCGGCATTTACAGGACAAGGCTTCTGAAATCAGACAAAGCCTTTCAAACTCTTATACCAACCTCTGGAATTGGGCAACATGGCTTCTCCCCTTTCTAGGTCCCATGGCAGCCATCTTGCTATTACTCACCTTTGGGCCCTGTATTTTTAACCTCCTTGTCAAATTTGTTTCCTCTAGGATCGAGGCCATCAAGCTACAGATGATCTTACAAATGGAACCCCAAATGAGCTTAACTAATGACTTCTACCAAGGACCCCTGGACTGACTTGCTGGCCCTTTCACTGGCCTAGAGAGTTCCCCTCTGGAGAACACTACAACTGTAGGGCCCCTTCTTTACCCCTATCCAGCAGGAAGTAGCTAGAATGGTCATCACCCAATTCCCAACAGCAGCTGGGGTCTCCTGTTTAGAGGAGGGATGGAGAGGTGAAGCCGGCTGGGATTCTGGGTTGGGTGAGGACTTGGAAAACTTTTCTTTCTAGCTAAAGGATTGTAAACACACCAATCAGCGCTCTGTGTCTAGCTAAAGGTTTGTAAACGCACCAATCAGCACTCTGAAAAATGGACCAATCAGTGCTCTATAAAATGGACCAATCAGTAGGGCATGGGTGGGGCCAAATAAGGGAATAAAAGCTGGCCACCTGAGCCAGCAGCAGCAACCTGCTCGGGTCCCCTTCCACAGTGTGGAAGCTTTGTTCTTTCGCTCTTCACAATAAATCTTGCTACTGCTCACTCTTTGGGTCCGCACTACCTTTATGAGCTGTGACACTCACTGCAAAGGTCTGCAGCTTCACTCCTGAAGTCAGAGACCATGAACCCACTGGGAGGAACAAACAACTCTGAACACACCACCTTTAAGAGCTGTAACACTCACTGCGAAGGTCTGTGGCTTCACTGCTGAAGTCAAGTGAGACCACGAACCCACCAGAAGGAAGAAACTCCGGACACATCTGAACATCTGAAGGAATAAACTCCAGACACACCATCTTTAAGAACTGTAACACTCACCGCGAGGGTCCACTGCTTCATTCTTGAAGTCAGCGAGACCAAGAACCCACCAAAAGGAACCAATTCTGGACACGCCACCACAGCTGAGAATGTGCTGGGTCCAACTTAAAGCCAGCACATCTAAGAGTCTCATCCAAGGCTCATGACATACCACTTGGGTATGGCTGCTGGTTATTCATGGCCCAATTATTCTTTAGTCAGCAGGTGATGCATTCTGCCAAGACTTGGTTCTTCCCTTCAAGGCAGCAGGTTCCCTTCTGGTCCAGGGTGTGTCTAGAAATGCTGTTTGTGAGCTAGGGACTGGAATGGGGCCTCGAGACACTGACTCTTGCCCTCTCTTACTGTGGTTGAGCTGTTATCCAAGATGCAAAACAAAGTCCTTTTTACTCTTTCCTCTCCTCTCCTCTCCTCAAACAGAAGAAAGGGGTATCTTTTGGAGACACCAGCTGTGCAGCCTGGGGCTTGGCGAGAGATAACACAAGCACTCCTTTAGCTGCCCCGGCTGGTGTCTCTGTAGGTCACTGGTTCTGAGACCAGCTCAGCACTAGAACCTGCAATCCTTGTGGCCTAGACTGCCTTTCAAGTTTATTTCAAGCCTGAGAGCACTTCAGCCCATGGTGCCAAGGCTTGCTGCAACTCAACTTCCAACCACTGGAAAGGGTGATTCCTCTCTCTCTAGGGCTAGTCTAAATGCTCCCTTCATGGGCAGACATCAGCTGAGGTTAGCCCAGCTCTGCCTTCCACTGTGACAGGGCAGCACGCACTAGGTTCTATGCAAAGTCTCACTGCCCAGACCAGCTCGGTTGTGGAAACCCCAACCCAGTGGCACTAGAAGAATAAAGACACAGACACAGAAATAGAGTGCAAAGTGGGGTCAGGGGGCTAACAGCCTTCAGAGCTGAGAGCCTTGAACAGAGTTTGACCCACCTATTTATTGACAGTAAACCATGATAAACATCATTTCTGCAGTTTATAAATTAACTAAAAGTATTCTTATGGAGAATAAAGGGACAGGCTCTGGCTTGTTATCTGCAGCAGGAACATCTCCTTAAGGCAAAGATCGCTCATGCCATTGTTTCTGGTTTAGGAATGCCTTGAGCGGTTTTTCTGTCCTGGGTGGGCCAGGTGTTCCTTGCCCTCATTCCAGTAAACCAGCAACCTCCAGCGTGTGCGTCATAGCTATCACAAGCATGTCACAGTGCTGCAGAGATCTTGTTTATGGCCAGTTTCTCATGGCCTGTTTATAGCCAGGCTTGGGGCCTATTCCCAGCATCTCATGATTTCTGCACTCTCCCTCTCTCAAGCGCACAGGTTTCTCTGCACCATGTGGCCACTGTGGGGCAAATGGGAAAGGACTGGCATCAGCAATTCAAGACTGACTTTCTTACCATCTTCAGTTCCTCTTTCAGTGATATGAAGTTAAAATCAGGTACTGTGAGTGCTCACCTGATTTTTGGTTCTTATGGAGATGCTTTTTTTTTATATAGGTAGTTGTTAAATTTGTTCTTTTTGCAGATGAGACAATTGATGGAGCCTTCTATTCTGCCATCTTCCCCTGCCCCTCACATAACTCATTTTTACAACACATGAATGCAACTGATAAAACTGAACCACTGAATGTACAAAGTTGAAGATCCAAATTTGGATTCAATAAAGTACAGAAACCCTGAAAATTCAATCTAAGTAGCACAGCAAATGCTGTACCTCTGCTGTAATGCTGTCATGTGACATATATTTTTCAATTTAAATTGTGTATTCTTAACAAAAGGATCTTAATGAAAAAAAGCCACCTGAAGACATTTCATTTTTTGACTGAGTATACCTAATTCAGTATTTCCACAGTGTGTTCTTTAGAATACTATTGCTTCATGGTATAAATAGGTGTTACAAGAAAATAAGAAGGATAAGGAGACATTGAGATCAAAAAAGTTTATAAAAAAGTTTGTTAATCATGAACAATCATTTAGTTTTGCTTTTTTCTTTATAGATTTCTTAAAGCAGTTCCATTATTTCAAGTGGGGAACATGTAGTTTTACTTCTTAGTATATAATCCATAAAAAGTCATTAAAACACAATGACTAATAAAATTATCAGACAGGTCAATTGTTAATAAAGGATGAAATGGCTGCAAAGAAGCAATGAATAATTGCTTAAATTGTGTGTACAGTTTAAGAAATAAAGCCATAAGGAAAACAAAACCGGAGCTCTCAGATTCTCTCCCTGAAATTGTTGAATTCTGTGAAGACTTCTTCCAGCCTCAGGGAAATAAATCACTGTGGCCAATTTTCTATCTTATTAGACTGGCATTTTCTGACATTTTTAGTCTGATTATGCTGAAATTCATGCATAAAGGATTGATCATGTGCTCCTTCCTTTGAAAACTTGTGGAAATACTAAATATATGTTTACACTAGATAACATTTAGAAAAAAGCTTTTTGAATTTCAGAATTAAAGTAGCTAAAGAAAAGTGGAAAATCTTACACTCAGAAGATGACCTAGAGCAGGTAAAAAAAAAAAAAAAAAAGTAAGAGTTTGGGTAGAAAATCAAACATTGAAGAACAGTTAAAAAAAAAAAACACTGAAAACAGGAAATGAATATTACTATGGGACTCTTAAAAGAAATTTCTCATGGAAAATTGTTCAGATTTTATTCATGACACTTTCTATGCTGCTGAAGCTTCACCCCTAAGGAAAAGAAATTATGCCTAGGTGTTAAGGGAAAGGGGCATAAAACTTTTATCAGGAAGTGGAAAAGAATTAAAAGTTGAACTAAGCTGATGCAAGCATACTCTTCTCTAGGGTAAATGTCCTCTCCCTTCTCTCCCTTGCATCATTCCACCTGCTCTGTCCTTTTTTTGAAAAATATTCTGTTGATGCTAACCCATGAAGCCAACTTCATGAGTTTGCCTCTAGGTTAAGCATAAAAATAAAGACTAAAGGGAAAATTTAGGGCTCACATGCATGCCTTTGCAGCTAGCCAAGGTAGGAGTCCAGGTTTGCAATCAAAGTTTTAGCTTTAATAAGACTTTGAGGAACTCAGGTAGGTGCTAATGCTCATAGGAGGAAGCAGCATTCAGGTTTTTAGAAATCCTAACTTTATCCCTTTAGGGAAAAAAAATGCATCATTAATAAACCACGAATATTTTTGGCCAAATTACAAAGAATCTTGTTGGGGTTGGGAAAACACACACACACATACACACACACACACAAACAGCAATCCACCTGGTAATATAAAGCCACCAATGAATTTTTTTTTTTTTTTGAGACAGAGTCTTGCTCTGTTGCCCAGGCTGGAGTGCAGTGGTGCCAACTCGGCTCACTGCAAGCTCTGCCTCCCGGGTTCACGCCATTCTCCTGCCTCAGCCTCCCAAGTAGCTGGGACTACAGGTGCCCGCCACCACGCCTGGCTAATTGTTTTGTATTTTTATTAGAGACAGGGTTTCACCGTGTTAGCCAGGATGGTCTCGATCTCCTGACCTCGTGATCTGCCCACCTCGGCCTCCCAAAGTGCTGGGATTACAGGCGTGAGCCACCGCATCCGGCCAAGCCACCAGTGAATTTTTAAAAATACCTGGATTGTTGGATACGTTTTTAATTTGGATTAAAAAGGTTTACTGCCTATAGTCTGCTCAATTTTAAACTCTAGATTTGTGAGTCCAAAATAATTTATGTATTTGATATAACATCTAAGGATATCTGAAGAAAATTGAAAGGTTTTGTGGACTTCATATTATCAAAGCAAAAATGGCAATATTTATGTCATGGACAAGCAAAGAAAACTTTAAGGCTATTGCCAATTGGGGAGGGAGACTAGAATATACTGAACTCAACTCCACTGAAGGAAAGAGCAGGAGGATTTTTAAATGCTTGGAGGAGCAGAGACCACAGGTCATCTAATTAGCTAATTGGCTTTACACAAAGGAGAAATAAACTTTCCCCTATCTTTTTGAAGGGAAGTAGCTTTACAACTTGGATCAAGGCACCCACTAAACTTTGTTCCTACACTTCCACAGAAACTAGAAGGTAGAGGCTCTATTTTCATTGACAATGGATCTCAAAGGAATGTCTCTGAGGCTTTTGAGAAGAGTGCTGGGTGGTATGAAACTGACAAGAGACTTTAAAAAATAAAAAAGATTTACATCTCAAAGAGGTAGACAAATATTTTAAAATTACAAGTTTTCTAGAGTAAATGCTCTAAGAAAAAGGAAGTTAATAGAACTAAAGGCAGAAAGAAGCTAGTCTAAAATTTAGTTAAGCTGAAAGGAATGTTAAGGTCGCCTTCATCAATTCCCCCTTTTGATCCAGGGAAACTAAGTTCATCCATATAGTGTATTTCAGCAGATTTCTGTTGTGGAAAGACTAGTTGCACCATCTGCTGAGACTCGGCAGTAGAAAATATCTGATGGATAATGCAAGCAATGAGGCATTTAGTGTGAGGAATTCCTATAGAAAAGTTTAAAAAGCAAAGGCTCTTGGTAGGAGCAGACTTTCAGTTCGGTTTCTGAGATGAGTGGGCAGTCAGGTGAGATTCCTGGACGTCGAGCTTGAAGAATAGTTAGATGATGGGATGAAGATGGCAGTGAAAATCCAACGGATTTCACACTTTGCAGTCTGAATGTTTTCGGTGATGGCGTAGAATCAGAGAGGCTTTAATAAGATTGTCACCATTATGGTTGTTTCCATAATGGAATGTTTCCAGTATGGAAGATGCAGGAGTTCTAATGAACTTCCTAAGTGGCCTACACAGCAGCAGTTCCAGGCAGAAAGTTTTCTCATACAGGATCTTCTGTGATATAAACTTCAAGTCATCTAGCTTCAGCTTAGAGGCTTCTTCAGATCTTGCTGGAAAAGGCCAGTTATGAAACAACCTAGAGTCCCAATAAGAATCTCGGCAGTCAGGTTTTAGTTCTCAATGATGCCAAGTCAGGAGAGTGGGAGAAAAATTGGAAACACTACTTTGGAGGAGGTAACCAGATATTGAAGGAAACTTCGAAAATTTAAAATTTGGTAAGGATGGACAATTGTGCCAAATGACAGAAGTATAATTTACAGGTAGTAACAAAGCTATGCAATTTACAGAGCAGAGAAAAATACCTCAAAGACAATAAGTAGGACCAGGATCTGATAACTCAAGGTGTGCTATTGAAATATAAGTTTCTAAGCTTTTATTTTAAGTTCAGGGGTACATGTGCAGGTTTGTTACGTAGGTAAACTTTTGTGATGAGGGTTTGTCATACAGATTATTTCATCACCCAGGTATTAAGCCTAGTACCTGTTAGTTATTTTTCCTGACCCTCTCCCTCCTCTTAACCTCTGCCCTTTGATAAGCCCCAGTGTGTGTTGTTCCCCTCTATGTGTCCATGTATTCTCATAATTTAGCTCCCACTTATAAGGTAGAACATGTGGTATTTGGTTTTCTCTTCCTGCATTAGTTTGCTAAGGATAATGGCCTCCAGCTCCATCCATGTCCCTGCAAAGGATGTTATCTCATTCACCTTTTTTGATCAAAGATCATCAAAGTAAGATTATTCTCAATCACAAAATAAGTCTGTTTGCATTAAATATGGCTTCACTACTTATTTAGGTGCAGCAAGAATGGTAATTGACCACATAGACTTTTTTGAGATTGCTTTGCTGGAAGTTTTCATAAAGAGTCTCTAACTGGACTTTTAAAATCCTCTTGGCTAGGAAGACAAGCCAGTTACTCACTACAATATTTGACCTGCAGTACCTACAAATTTGGGTGAATACTATTCTTTAGGTCCCTAAAATATTCTAAGATTCCTGGGTCTGCCAGGAAGTGACCCTCCTTACTCATCTGTAAGCTGGGAATTCTGTAAGTCAGGTACCTGTCAAGTTTTCCCAAGCAGGCTTTGTGAACACTGGCTCCATAAAGTCAACCTTAGTTCGTTAAAACTGTCTGGTAATATCTGATTTTATGGATCATTCTCAGATATGACATTCCAGTTGAAGCCTTCGTTATATAACTAATGTTTCTAATTATGTTGTGTTACAAACAGGGCAGATTCTTATTGAACCTGATGCAGGAGAACCCCAAAATTGGAGCTTAGCCATGGAGGATTCTTGGCTCTGCTCAGCAAAGAATTGAAGGGTAAGCTGACAGTGAAAGAAAGCAAGCTTATTAGAGCAATAGGGTATAGCAAAATGGCTGTTTCATAGACAAAGTAGGGCTATCCTAGAGGCAGAGTGGTCCAGAGTAGCACTCACAGATTGCTGAATAGCTATATTTATACCACTTTTAATTATGTACTAATTAAGGGGGAGGTTATTCATAAACTTTCTGGAAAGGAGGTGAGAGTTCCTGGAACCATATAGGGGAGCTTCTGGGTCATTCCATGGCATCATTTGTAAACTGTCATGGCACTGGTGGGAGTGTCTTATGAAAATGCATTACAATTCCTAGTCCTAGCTGATTTGGGATAGTTGCTTATTTTCATGGCAATATAATTATTTGCATAGGTTTGAGGTAGGAGATCAGCAGGACTTGTTTTCATGACCCTCTTGATCAAAACATTCTGTTTGCTCAGTTGCTTTTACAAGTGTTTTTAAATGGTTGTTTTTACATTTTTTCAAAAAAACTAGAATTACAACTGATAACACTATACTGCTATTTAATATGAGGTAAAACAGCACCAGAACATATGGAATGAGAAGACATTGACAAATTTCCAGAAACCTCGTACAATTTCTGGAATATTTATATTTATTATGTTTTGTCTATACAAATATAACTTAGGAAAGGTGAAACATCTCTTCTTATTTGACAGTGCTTTCCATTCAATTCAACATGTCAAATACACCTAATTATTTTTGCACCTGTCTTTTTACAAGATGAAAGATCCTTTGTGATTTTCCAGGGGGCTTTCAAAATCCATCTGGGATTAAGAAGATTTCATTCAATATTTTATTTCGGAAAGATAAAAATATCAAAAGTTGTCAGGAGGTTTGAATATTTGGTTAAAAAGGATTATGAGTCACTGAGAAATAATACTGGCTACCTATTTAATCAAAGTGATAACAAAAAGTTTCAAAAGTAAACATAGAATGTAATGTAACTGTAAAAACATTTAGCCCTTTCAAAAGTGGTAAGTCTTGGCCCTCTTGGGTAGTCAAGAACATAATAATCTCAACATAAAGCACAGGAAATTTTTCTGATAAAACATAGAATCTGTACCTTACCTTACTCAAAAGGTAAAGAAAAATCTTCTACAACTTATTAAGAGCAGATCAATAATCAAAGAAAAGTTTGTTATTTTAACAGAGAGAAAAGTAAATTCTCCTTTTGCTTTAGTATACTATTGATATTAAAGCTCATTTGAGAAAAACCTTATAAATAAATCCATCAAGTTCTTCTTAGCCAATATTTTTCTCAGGTCCACTTAATCATCTGGGAATATCACGAGCATGCTAAAATGTTAGGCTTTCAGAATCACAACATTAAAATTCACAGTTTAATATAGCTATATTCTTCCAAAAGCAAAGACTATAGCAGTTAATGACCTCTTCCATTTATCATTCGGATCACATTGTTACATTCCATTTGCTAGGCAAGAATTCCCTTCCACCCTGACCAAAGCCATATTCTGCCAGTTTTAACTTCTAAGTTAAACTTCTCAGTCAGGTGAGTATAATTATTTGATCAAGGATACTGACTTCTCCTTCCTTCTATTGCTTTTGGAAATGTAATCACTTGTTTGCGCTAATTGAGGATGCCATATGCCATTGCATGACATTTTTAATTACTCCCTTCTTCAAGAAAGTTTGCTTCTCTTGGTTTTCTGTTCTCCTTTATTGTCCTAGATAGGCATCCAAATAAGAAACCCCAATGTGATTCTGAACACTTCACTCTCTTTTATTCTTTATATTTTGTTTGTGCTATCTCTCAAATTCTCACTCTAATATGTTCTTATCTTTAACAGAGTATTTAAGAGTGTGAGCTTTGAGATCAAGCAATCAAAATTTAAATTCTAGATTGTTTATTAGCTATATGATCTTGAGAAATAATGATAATAGGATTAGGAATAGGAACAAGAACAAGGCTATGGCCAAGCACTTTTCTAAGTACTTTACATGTATCACTCATTTAATTATCACAAAAACCTATCAAATAAGTCCTATTATTACTGCTGTTTTGTAGATGAGAAAACTGAAAACACAGAGATTAAGTAACTCATCCAAAGTCACACAGATGGTAAATATTCAGCCAGAATTCACACCCAGACATTCTGACTGAAGTTTTCATGCTTTTAATCACTTCTTTTTGGTCTCTCTAGGTTTCAGCTTGATATCTTTAATTTGGTAAACAATAAATATTAGCATTATTATTAACACAAGTGCATGGCTTTATCAGGCTTTCATCATTTCTTACTTGGACTATTGCATTAGTCATTACATCTGTCTCATTGCATATCCCTAGGTTAATCTATCTTGCATTGTTACCAAGAATATCTTTTAAAAATAAAAGAAAGAACTAACCATGTTATTCACCTGTTTTAAATTTTTTATTGATTTTATTTATCTACCAAATAATATTTAAATACAGCATATCATTTAAGAGCCTTAACAGTTTGGATTCAAAATAATTAATTTCCTTGTTCCATATTTTATAATTTCTCTTTCTTGCTTATTCCACAGTTGTCTAATCTCCAGCCACACAGAAAGCTAACTGGTCCAAATGGTCTGTGGAGCTTTCATTTTAGCATAAGCTAGATCAATATGTTATAGCATTATGTTTAAGAATTATTAATCTCCAAATTTGCTGCTACCCTCCTAGCAGCACTCCAACAGTTCCCAGGTTTTCTTCTGTACTTTCCAGAAGTGGGAAGAAGGAACTTAGGACCTAGTGGAAACATAAGTTTCAATAGTCATCTCACTATGGTAGATTACGGATCAGGTATCACCCAGGACCAACTTGGTTTCAGTTGATAAGCATTAAGCAATAGTGTTTCTGGGTAAAATCTGTTATTAGTGCGTGGATGCCAGGTTAGGGATGAGGAAGCCAGGCCCTTAGAGAGGACAGTGTCCTGGTCCCACGCAATAGATCTGATACCCATAGAGAGGCAGAAAGCAGAAGCTGGAGCAACTTTTCCACAAGAGACTTGGGGCCTGAGTCCTGCAGCTCTGGAACTTGGGAACCAAGTTGAACAATAGCTTGGGAGCAGGCATTCTCCCAATTCAGAATAAAATGCAGAACAGCTCCAGGGGCAGAGGGAAGGCAATGGGATAGCACATTACTCAGCAAGTGGGGAGGGGAAGCACTGACAGAAAATTCCTCAGGCAAGTGGAGGGGGGCTCATGAAAAGACTGTATGAGGCTGCTAGTTTGGAGCAGACATGAGATACTCCAGAGATCCCAGGAACAACAGGGAAGGCAGTGTGACTATTGGGTAGCTGTGATACAGTGATAAGTGCTCTCCAGCTGGACTCATGGGGTGAAATGGGCAGGTGGGGCACAACCCAATGAAGCATAAATAATAATGTCCCTCTTTTCACCTATAGGAGGGATTACAAATACACCTAAGTATATTGCTTGTCATTTGTTTTGTGATACACTCTACAACTGATCTGGCTAGACCAGTATGTTATAGCATTATGTTTAAGAATTATTAATTTCCAAATTTGCTGCTACCCTCCTAGCAGTACTCCAACAGTTCCCAAGTTTTCCTCTGTACTTTCCACAAGTGGGAAGGAGAAGGGACTTAAGACTCAGTAGTAAAATGAGTTTAAATCTTGGGTGCTGAAGAGTGACTCTCAGGATTGAAAACTGATTACTAAAATCAGTCTTGATTTATGGCAGATTGCATTTGTCCACTGAATGCTAAAACATACTAACATCTGCAATAGTCAAATTCCAGGTCTCACAATTAGAACTTCATATGTGTTTTGCCTTTCCCACAGATGATTCACACTCTCACTCTATCCTCCAAATGGGCCTCAGTCACTCATCATCCAGTGATGATTCACTCTGCTCCTGTTTATACTTAAACACATCATACAGCAACTATTTTCATATATGTCATGGTTTCCTTGAGTGACATATGTTTCTGTAACGTTACTGGAACACAAACCTATGCAGAAACTCTCAAATTCACGAAGTGACCTAGAGCTCTGGTCAGGAGCCTAGAGCTCAGGTCAGGAGCCTGGTCAGGAGCCTGCCAGGTCAGGAGCCTGGCATTGGGCTCAGAATCTATTCTAGGCATAAAGGAGTCCTTAATAGGTAGTGTAAATAACTTCCTATTTCCTTTGTGTTTTTGTTTGGTAATAGTGAAACACTGGAATTTTGTGGATGTAGCAGTGTTCATGTAAGAAGAGGCCCAATAAGAAGATATTTTAAAATTCTAATCAGCCTCCTCCCTTCATCTCAGCCTAAGGCCCTCTGGCCTACAATTCCCTTTCTTAAGACCTCATTGAATTTGATTTCATTTAATTAACAAAGAAAAAAGCAGATATCTCATTCTTTATCTCCCTGCAGTCTTACTTATGACATTTAATCTAGTATTACATGTTTCTGAAAGCAAATTATTATTAGAGTGTTCATTATTGCTGTAATCCCTTACCTAAAAACATTCTGTTTATTTTGTTTCCCTGAACTGTCACCAAAGACGTCAACATTAATACTGTATTTTTCATAATTTTTGACACAAGCCATAGACACTTGTGCATCTTCTTTGAGGAGACTCTAATTCTGAATGTATGGCATATGTTCCAATGAAATAGAAAAAGGAAGGCTGGGTGCAGTGGCTCACGCCTGTAATCCCAGCACTTTGGGAGGCCGAGGTGGGCAGATCACAAGGTCAAGAGATCGAGGCCATCCTGGCCAACATGATGAAACCCTGTCTCTACTAAAAATACAAAACTTAGCCAGGCATGGTGGCATGCACCTGTAGTCCCAGATACTCAGGAGGCTGAGGCAGGAGAATTGCTTGAACCTGGGAGGCAGAGGTTGCAGTGAGCAACAGAGCGAGACTCCATCTCAAAAAAAAAAAAAAAAAAGAAAAGTAAAGTAAACTAGCAAAGATGGCATCTACAAGGTAAAGTCTTTCAATTGAAAAGGAAAGATATATAAAATTATTTCAATAATTTATGTCTTCAAAAACAGTATATTTTAAATAGTAAAAACAAATAGAAACCACATAGCCAAATTAAAAGATTCTTGCATCCCAGCATTTGATTTACAGTTGAATTATAAGTTAAAATGTTCTATGGTTTCAGACTGCAGTATGCAAGGAAAGAAAAACATGATATGTAGATACACATACGACAGTTTTCCAAATTGTAAAATGGAGGTAAAAATCTATTTGCATCCCCAGATTTCATTTCACAAAGATTTTATATGAATAACTTCTCAAGTGATTTCATTAGATTAGAAAAGAAATTCTGTTTGTTGCAAAGAAAGCAATCTTTCTCTTCATATAATAACTAGTCTGGTTTCACTGATGGCTTAACACACAGTCAAATCACTGCTCTGTGAAGCCAAGCATGATCTTCATAAGGGTCAGGAGGCAATGCACATAATGGTAGTCATAAATAGCTAATTATGGCTGCATGAAATTAAACAGTACCTAAAGCATTTAAGTTATAACCTCAAGTATATTGCATACATTTAAGAAGGACAATATGGTCTAGAAATACCCATAGGAAAGATATGTTTTTAATCTCATTAGGAAAAAAGAATTTTACTTGCAAGTTTCTAGCTTGCTGCTATATTGCTCCAATGAATAAGCAAATCACTTTAAACAATACCTAAATCATATGGCATACTGTTTATATTGGTCAAGGTTCTTTAGATAAATGGAACCAATAAGATATATAGAGATACAAAGAAGTAAATTTTTTAAGTGGGATTGGTTTATGCAAACACAGCTTAGAAGTTCCACGACCTGCCATCTGCAAGCTGGAGGCCCAGCCCGGGAAAGCTAGTGGTATACTACCAGTCCAAACTCAAAAGCCCATGAACTGGGGCCAATGGCATAAGCCCTGGTCCAAGCCCAAAGGCCCCAAAACCAGAAGCACTGATGTCTGAGGCAGAAGATGGATGTCCCAGCTCAAGTAGAGAGCAAATTCCCCCTTTCTTCACCTTTTTGCTGTATTCAAGCTTTCAGTGGATTAGATGCTTATGCACATCAACAAGGGCAGATCTTTACTTAGTCTATGGATTCAAAGGCTAATCTCTTCCAGAAACACCCTCATAGGCATACCCAGAATTATGTTTACCAGCTATCTGGGAATCCTTGAGCCCAATCAAGCTGACACACAAAATTAACTATCACAGTGTTTTCCTATGAATGAATAGAAAAGGAAACTGAAGGATAAAGATGGCCTTGGGTGCCACAGCAGTCAGAAGCCTCTTAGCCATGGCAGTGCTGTAAGGGTAAGGGCTGCTTTGGATAGGGTTGAGCAGCTAAGCGTAGGAGGACAACGAATCCAGTCTCCAAGGGAGCCTGATAAAGCCCCACCCTCACCCCAGCAATGACCGCCTTTAGTGCACAGCCCCTCTGCTGAGGAAGACCCTTCACCCAATGCCTTAGGAACCAGTCAGGTAGCAATACAAAGGCACGGCCCAATCCTCAACTAATCTAGACTAAACTCTCTGTACACATAGAGGCCTGGAAGTACTAATAATTCCAAGCATAAGGGCTATTGTGGTCATAATAAACCACCGCATTTACAAAAATGACAAGACTGTAGCTCCATGAGAGGGAATTTGGGGCTCTTTTATTCAGCTGAATTCTCGGTTCTAGAACAGTGCCTCACACAGTATAGGTGCTCAATGAGTATTTGATGAATAAATCTCTACTTCCTACATAATAACCAGTCTGGTCATACCGATAGACTTTATACAATGTCTGCTGTATAAACAGTGTGTTCAGTCTGTGTATATCAAATATCTCAGACACAATGATCAACAGCAATTTCAGACACATGGACATATTAGGCATATGTTTATTTTATTAGTTATTTTTAAATTGATCTTAAAATTTCTACAGTGCATAATACGGTTTCACATATTCTGAACCTAAGGTACTGCATAAAAGTGCATAAACTTATATGTACTTTTTTCTAAAATCATGTTAAGAACACTTAACATGAGATCTACCCTGTTAACAAATTTTCAAGTATACAATACAGTGTTGCTGACTGTGTTAACAACATAGACACAATGTTGTACAGCAAATCTCTAGAACTTAATGACTTGCATACTGAAACTTTATACCTGCTGAATAGCAATGCCCCAACACTGCCTCCTCCCCAGATGCTGGCAATCACTGTTTTACTCTTTGCTTCTATCTAGTGGATTATTTTAGATACCTCATGTAAGTGGAATTATGCATTACTTGTCCATGACGGGCTAATTTCACTTAACATAGTATCCTCAAGGTTCATCCATGTTGTCTTATATGGCACTATTTCCTTCTTTATTAAGGCAACTTTCAGTCATGATAGAACATGCTTATATCTCCCAAAGCCTGCATCTTCCCATGAGAAACTTCATCAATTTCTTAAAAGTTTATTCAGTAGATTTAAATGGTTTAATTATATTTACAATTAAATATAATAAAATAATGTTAAATTTTATAACTAACTAATGCATTCTGCTAGAACGGCATATGGCACATAGGATATAGCTTCAATAGTAATCACAGGCACCAATTATTTCGTGTTCATATATCCCAGATCCTGGGCTAAAAAAATTTTTATGCACTTTTAAAATTTTAATTCTGACAACAGTTCTGTGAAGAAAATATGATTAGTCCCATTTTATATATGAAGAAACTGAAGCTTAAGAAAACTATACATTCGAGAAAGTAAAGTTTTTACATAGTATTATACAAAATACATGCAATATGCTCCCCTCCAATCACTCATTAGGCAGGGGAGGAGTGCAAAGACCAGCACTGCTCAACTTAGCAGGTCTGAATTATTTTTAATAGCTTCAACGTGAGGTAAGAAACGGGCTAGAATGTAAGTCAAATGAATCACAATTCATTTTTCTATTAATATATCAGAGTTGTCAACCAGAACATGTCTGTTATCCTCACTATAATCACCAAATATTATCACAGTATTTCTCACTGTGTCAATAATTTCTTCATCAAGTCTTGCTTTAAAACCTGCATGTTGTGCACATGTACCCCAAAACTTAAAGTATAATAAAAAAAAAGAAAAAGAAAACACAACATCACCTGAAACCCTAAAAAAAAACAATTAAAAAAAAACAAGTTTTGCTAGTTTAAAGTATTGCTTTAAAAAACAAAAAATAAAAATAAAAACCTCACCAGTTTGTTGAGTTTGGACATATGCATACTACCATCAGTACCATCAGTACAACCAAGGTACTAAACATATCCATCACCTGCTAAAACTAATTTGTGTGTGTATGTGTGTGTGTATGTGCACATGTGTGCATGTGTGTGTGTCTGTTGGGGTAGTTTTGGGTTTTGGCTTTGGGGTTTTTTTAACTAAGAACATATTAAATGTGTGCAATTTTTTGTATGTCAGTTATACCTTGACAAGCTAAAAATGATAAAAATAAATAAATAAAATGTCAGTTGAACTCTACAATGTGCTAAGTGACACTGTTCATTTACCTTCTGATATAAACTCTTTATCTTGGCATGGGCTGCTAGCAATCAGTTCATGTTCCAGCAGGGTCTGCAAGCCATCCATTGAGCAGCACTCTACCAGACCCAGGGGGTTTGAACAAATAGCTAACATCTCAGTCTAAGCAGTGCCCAAGTTGGACACAAAAATATGAATGTTTGTGTGAAATGTTCAGGTATCTTTAATTCCTTAGCTGTCTTCTTTCAATCAATCAAAAAAACTAACATCTATTCAGTATACATAACATAAAGCATTATAATAGAACATGGAGGGAATTTTAAAAATCAGGGTCCCTGCCCGCTTCCATGTTTGCCATCTGAATGGAGAGAAAAATGAATGCAAATAAAATTAATACTATTTGGGCATTAAAGATAAAGACCAAACAAGTGATGTAGACCAACACAACAGCCGAGTGAGGGATCTATAGGGTGAGCTGCAAGGCTTCATGGTAGAGAGAAAATGTAAGCAGGTCCTGTAATGATGAAACACTCCATATGGTCTGAGAAGAGTGCAGAGGCAGAAAATATCAGCACATTCCTAGGAAAATGAGGGAAAGTAATCAAGTGAAGTGAAGAATTTAAGGGCACAGAAAGAAGTAGACTAAGAAGGTAGACATTCCCTCAGGGACATGAGGGACAGAGGCTTAGTAAGCATATTGGATTTCTTGAAGGAAAGCCTTTTATTGCTGAAGTCTGACTGTCTCAGTAAGTAAGCAGACATTTGGTTAGGGATGCTGTTTTTCATTTTCAGTATACAGGGGTGCATTTTTTTTTTTGCATAATACTGACTTTGCATAAATTGTGATGAACACCCTGCAGGTTTAGTTTTAGTTCAGGTTTATATATTAAGGATGGGATATTTTATGTACTTATAACCAACTTCTAAAAAGTCCTACCCTCATAAATAATATGTCTATTCATATCATCTAGAAGGTATCTGATCCTGGGTTTAAGCTTAAGTCTAAATGAACTTGCCTCAGAAACCTTTAGTATGGAGTATCCTGGGACACATTCCAGGAAAAAACAGTTTCCAATATATTCTCCAAAATTTTGTGGTGGATTTAAATTTAGAAACTCCCATGACTATATACATTTGTTACAGGAAAGAAAATATAACACAAGTTATTAAGGGCAAATATTTCTTTAAGATTGAATATATATTTTACTCTTTGGTGAGATCTTTTCTCAATTTTATTTTTTATAAATTAATTTTTGTATTTATTTTTACTAAATGCTAAATATATTAATCCACATATTCAAACTAGCAAAAGACAACAGTTGAATGTGAGGTGCTTCTTTCCATTTCAATGTTCAAATGCCTGTCCTTGTCTTAATTCATAAGAGACACATTCAGGTAATACCTGTACTGTCAATTATACCTGTATCTCCATGCAATTCATATAGTATAAGAAAAGCCTGTAGTTCTCCATATTTAAACCTTTGTAAGTGACTTACAATCATTTATTGAAAGATTTAATGACCTATACTATTTCATGGAAGTGGGGAAAACACCTGCCAGAAAATTCTATACACATATCTATAATTTCACTTTTAGTACGTGATTAGGTGATATCAAGATTTGCTCACAAAAATAATAACTATGTGAGGTAATGCATATGTTAATTAGGTAGATTCAGTCATTCCGTAATGTATATATGCTTCAAAACATTGTGTTATACATGGTAAATACATGCAATTTTATCCATCAATTAAAAATAAAGGACTGGATATATTTGCATTTTAGCTTAGAATATAAATTGACAATTGCCTAACATATTCCAATGAGTCTGCACACCTTTTCCACTAGCATTGTTTTCATATTAGTGGCTTCTCATTCCCAGATATACCCTTGCACAATTAGGATTAACTCCAAATTTAAGCCTGAAGAATATGTTCAGGAGCACTACATACACTCAAGTAGGACAGGAAGCCTGTGAGAAGCCCTCATCTGATGTAATCACACAAAGTAGGGTAGAGACACCTGGCCAGAGTCACAGGTAGCATGATAATGAGGAGTCTGAAGGAATGATCTGGCAGTGGGTTGGGGAGGAGGAAGCTTTTCAGAAGAAACCACAAAGGGAGAAAAGAAAACTGGATAACAAACTGAAAACCAGGAATCTGAATACGGAAAGGAGAGATGGCTTACCAGTTTTTACCAAGTTTAAGGAGCTGATGGGATCAGGTAAAACTCAGAACTGTTGGAGTCAAGCAGGTGAGTTTGCTCCTTGGAGGAGGCCTGGCCTTTGAATGGGTCCTGATAGCCAGGATCTATTACAATGGCCACCAAATAAAGCTCTTTGTGCAGTTAAATCCATGCCTCCGTGAGGTTTTCTGTTTTCATGTGCATGCACATGTGTATTCTCTCTTTAAAAAAGGACCTGCTGTCTAAATTTCCATATATTTCAGCACTGTTCCATTAGTGGACTTCAGATACAGAAAAAAGGATTCAATCATTTCCTTGAGGTCAAAGTGTGGAAGGACAGATTTTCTAATGTAGAGTTCTGAGTAAAAGCTTCCATAGAACACATGATACTACCTTCCTTTCTATCTTTTTGCTGTCGATTATGAGTTTCACTTTGCTGCAGAGAAATTTTTTCATTAGCAGTTGCTTACTTGTAAGATGGAATAACACATTTGATAGCATTCTCTGTGCCCTATCATTAATTTATTTTGTTCACTGTGGTTGCAAAGATTAAAACCAAGTCCCTTGATACATTCGTAGACTCATAGAATTCAATTTGAATTCAGCATTAATTATTGTGCCATTAAGCATGTTCTCTTTTCTTGACACCACATGATATTAAGTCCCCTTAAACTTTTGGTTGTTCTTAGTAATTTACATTGTTTGAAAATAATATGAAGTGACATAGCAAGCAGAAGTCAAATCTACAGCTGATTTAACTCAATGTATTCCAAATCACAATTCATTCTCCTATTAATACATCAGTTGTCAACTAAAATGTGTCTGTTAAGCTTATTATAGTAGCAGAACTTGTATCATAGTGTTTGTCACAAAACTTCATAGAAAATAATTTTTGACATGCTTGAGTCTCATTGCTTGTGAGAGAGATCTTGCATTGTGTGAAAATAAAGCTAGATACCCTAGAAATCCTACTGTAGAGAAGTTGAAATAACAATATGATAACAAATTATTTGTTCTTAGGATGATAAAGAAAAATAAGCATAGTAGAGCATATAAATGGTTTTCTAATGTTTAACCAGAGTCTAGTATTTTTTTGTGTGTTCCATAAATCACCCAATCTTTAAATTCAGAACATTTATATGACGCATTCATTTGTAGATGTTTTTTGTGAAGGTCAATTCTGACTTAGTATTTATGGCATGTGTTTATGCATTTGTCTAGGAAATTGGTAATGGAGACAAGTTATTTTATCTTCGTCTTTTGTGAGGAGCAGCACTCAAATAGGTGATATTGGCTCTTATATTTAGAGAATATAAATGTATGCATGTCCACACCTGAGTTTGAGAACAAGCAAATAATGGTGGCAACATAATATGAACAGTACCCACTTAAGTGACTTCTTTTTCATTCCCATTCAGAAAGGAAAAGCAGAAGTTACAGAAAACATTTTGTTTGTTCCTTCTCAAATAAAGCAAATTATTGCTCCTTTTAAAATGACCTTCCATTTTCTAGGTGTATAAAACCATAACTGTCACAGCTAAGATGTATCAAACACATTAAGTATAGAATTAAATGTGAAGCAGTCAGTGTTCCATACATGAGGCTGAAAAAGGTGTTTCAGATATTTATAATTCCCACCATGACAAAGAAATGAAGAGATGCTGCAGCAAATGCGAAGAGATTGTTACTCAGACTGGTTTACCTGAGCCACCTGTACTAAATATAAGTTATACCATACTACAGGTGTTTACAGTCATTAATCAAATGAATACATTATATACCTTAATATATTTCCTTATGAGCACAATTGACAACATAATTTATCTAAGATATCACATTTGAATCCAATGATTAAAATGTTGGCATAGTTTCACATACATTTCCATTACAATGAATTAAACAAATCACAGAAGAAGATTCTATCAAAATGTACAATTATTCTACTTTAGGCACTGTTAAGTTTAAAATAGAAGACATCTTTGTGATGCTTCATGTTATATAGCTTCTAAGGCTGATTTTTAAAAGATCTAGTAAATACTTTGAATTGTATTCACGTCTCAAGCTGATCACTATTTATGAGAGTCCTGTAAGCAGTGGTCTTTATAAAAGAGAAGAAAACAGAAAGAAAAGCAAAAATTGCTTTTATGTGATCCCTGGATGCTTTCACATTCAGAGCCTGGAGCAATTAAATGAAACCATAATTTGTTAGAACTATAAAGAAAGAGAAAATGGCCTGATGAGAATTTTGGGCAGTCTTAGCTTTAACATCTTCCCCAATGTCAGGGCAGTAGGATCTATCTGAGATGGCCAGTGGGATGAAAGGTATGTTCAGACCGGATGCTCGGTATAACAACTGGATAAAACCTATCAAGGTGTCTATACTGGTCTGTGTGGGTGAGCTAGAAGTGTATTCAATACACTCAGTGTATCTGTACTGACGATGTGTCCCCCATCATCAGCTTGAATAATCCCTGAGTCCATGTTGTTACATGATTATTGGATGCTTGGGTAGTCATTGGCTGAAGTTTTACCTGCAATCATGACCTGAAAAATCTGGGAGAAAAATCTCTAAGTGTGGAATGTCTACAGATAATTTTAAAGGTGGTAATACAACATTTCCTTGAGGAAAGCCTCACCAGAGCACAGCCCTGAATGCCTGACTCTGCAGAAAAGAGAATTCTAAGCTCAACGGACCCTAGATTTTACCTAAAATAGTACTTATTTTGAACCCAGATGAAGACAGGAAAAGGGAGTAGCAGCAGTTTACTCTCTAACTTTATCGTCGGATGAAATATGTTGCCATTTTGTTTTGAAAGTTCCAAAACAAAGACATTGATTCTTGTCAAGGTTTCTCTCATTTGCTCCCTCCAGGCTGCAAGTTGTTCAGAAGCTGGGTGAAAGATCAAGGTGCCACAAACTTTCCTCATCCTTGTCCTTGAGAAAGACACCTTTCTACTTGAAACAATGCAATGGATCCTGTGTCTCTACTGAACTTCAAAGACCTTGAAGGTGAAATGTGTTTCTGGCCCTTCAAAGGTTTGTATGACCTGCCTGTTGGATGGTGTTGATGTTGGTTAGTGCAGTTATCATCTGGCAGTAGAATTCACAGCCCTAAGTGGCATAGCATTATCTTTTTTGGCCAGGTAGTAATGCAGTTGGTAGAGGAATAATCACATACATTGCCTCTTTTTTAACTTGTCTAGGCATTCAGCTACATAAACTATTCCTCATCACCTGGTCCTAAACGACAAATTGGCTGGAGAAAATGTAAGTGAGCACCGAAGAAATTTATCTCAAATTCCTGCAGGGAACTGAATTTGTGGCTCAACTGAAATAGGTAACCACTTCTACTTAATAGGTTATAAAGAGATATCAAATGGCATTGTGATGTATGTTCTTTAGTATGACCTTTGGCAGGCTACAGTGGCTTCTGAGGGATTTGAACCCACAATTAATGGTATTGCTTTCTTGTGAATCTTTCTGTTAACATTCTCTGTAAATCATAAGAATCAAGGGATTGATTTCTTAGCTAATAGGTTTTTTGTGTGTACTTATCTCACCAATTACAGTAGGGCCATTAAACAAACAATGACTTTTGGAGGAAAATATAAGGGTGGGAATATTTGAATGCCAAATATTTAATAATAATAATATGTAGACTGAATCTGACCTTCAGCTAGGCCTACTGTGGTATCTGTCATTTGGTATTTAGGCATGTAATTTAGATTTAATTAAAGCAATTTCAACTAGTATATATTAGAAAAGGTTGTTATTCTCCCCAAGTGGTTGTCTGATCCTACTTTATTAGAAAATATTCATTCAAATTAACATAAACAGAACTGGAGAATAAAAACCTTAGGTAAAGATAAAGTCTTCATTTGAAACACAATTTTAATAGATAATAAGGCCTTTCACAGAATAATCACAAAGTTATATATAGAATTATTGAATAACATTTATTAGAGTTGCTTCCTACATCCTCTTGCAGATTTTTCAGAGCTACAGGTTAGAGTTTAAAATGTCTCAAACTTCTGAAATTAAACATATCAGCATTTCAATAGAAAATGCCCTTTTTGTTCATAATTAATCTAAAATCAGCCATAGTCATTTTTTAATACTTCAAAGTTTCTAAGAGGTTACATAAATTATTATGCTATAAATATAGTATTTATATTTTTATTATATATACTATTAATATACTTATACTATTAATATAATTATACTAATAGTATATTTAATATATATAATATATACTTATATAATTATATTATATAATTATATTAATAGTATATTTATAATATAATAATGTAGGTAACCTCTTGGAAATATATAGTATATTTTTATGCTATACCTATTTAACCTCTTGGAAATATGTAGTATATTTATTGTAAATAGAAACATCCTTACCCATTCACCTTTACAATAGCTTTGCTAAATATTTTACAAAACATAACTCCTGCCCTTCAAGAAACTAGAAACATAAAATTTCATGCAAGTATTTACCCACACTCAAATTAAAAGGAGGAGAAGAAAGAAAAAAGCAAAAGTTTGTGCTATTTTAGAAAATAAAAGGCAAATAATATGATCATTTTAAGATAGCCACTATTCAATATTTTGTAATATTATTTCTCCTTGTAGAAATGTGAAAGAAACAAAAACAGATATGAGAATTGGTTAGAGGTCAGAAAAGAAACTGTAGGCCTTAGATGAAGAATAAAATGAATATTGAAAAGAAATAAGAATGGATAAATCAAGCTAATTAACATATGAATTACCTCACATAATTTCTTGTGGTAAGAACACTTAAAATCTACTCTCATCACTGGCCATCGGAAAAATGCAAATCAAAACCACAATGAGATACCATCTCACACCAGTTAGAATGGCAATCATTAAAAAGTCAGGAAACAACAGGTGCTGGAGAGGATGTGGAGAAATAGGAAACTTTTACACTGTCAGTGGGACTGTAAACTAGTTCAACCATTGTGGAAGTCAGTGTGGTGATTCCTCAGGGATCTAGAACTAGAAATACCATTTGACCCAGCCATCCCATTACTGGGTATATACCCAAAGGATTATAAATCATGCTGCTATAAAGACACATGCACACGTATGTTTATTGCGGCATTATTCACAATAGCAAAGACTTGGAACCAACCCAAATGTACAACAATGATAGACTGGATTAAGAAAATGTGGCACATATACACCATGGAATACTATGCAGCCATAAAAAATGATGAGTTCATGTCCTTTGTAGGGACATGGATGAAGCTGGAAACCATCATTCTCAGCAAACTATCACAAGGACAAAAAACCAAACACCGCATGTTCTCACTCATAGGTGGGAATTGAACAATGAGAACACATGGACACAGGAAGGGGAACATCACACACAGGGGCCTGTTGTGGGGTGGGGGAGCGGGGAGGGATAGCATTAGGAGATATACCTAATGTTAAATGACGAGTTAATGGGCACAGCACACCAACGTGGCACAAGTATATATATGTAACAAACCTACACGTTGTGCACATGTACCCTAAAACTTAAAGTATAATAAAAAAAATCTACTCTTAACAATTTTCAAGAATATATACATTGCTATTGCTACTAACTATAGTTATGTTGTACAATAGATCTCTTGAGCTTATTCCTCCTGTCTAACTGAAATTTTGTGTCCTTTGACCAACAACATCTCCCTAAACTCATTAACTTCCAGCTCTCAGTTCCTGGTAATCACGATGCTACTCTCTGCCTCTATGAGTTCAACTTTTTTAGATTTCACATATAAATGAGATCATGTGGTATTTACCCTCTGTGGCTGGATTATTTCATTTAACATAATGTGCTCCAGGTTCATTCATGTTGTTGCAAATGACAGGATTTACTTCTTTTCAAAGCTGAACAGTATTCTATTGTGTACACAGACCACATTTTCTTCATCCATTCATCTCTTGATGGACACTTAGCAATTCCACAATGTATACATATTTCAAAACATTATGTTGAACAGGATAAATGTATAAAACTTTTATTTAGTAATTGTAAGTGTAAATAAATAACAGAGTTTTGAAAAAAAGAAAGATTTATATATCCTAAGAATTTAAAATGCAACAACTTTGTTCTTTTTGCTTATGATTACCTTGGCTATTCAGGCTGTTTTTTGGTTCCATATGAATTTTAAAATATTTTTTCTACTTCTGTGAAGAATGTCATGCTAGTTTAATGGGAATAGCATTGACTCTATAAATTGCGTTGGCAGTATGGCCATATTGATTCTTCCTATCCATGAGCATGCAATGTTTTTCCATTTGTTTGTCCCATCTCTGATTTCTTTGAGCAGTGGTTTGTAGTTATACTTGAAGAAGTCTGTTACTTCCCTTGTTAGCTGTATTTCTAGGTATTTTATTCTTTTTGTGGCAATTGTGAATGGGAGTTCATTTGTGATTTGGCTCTTGGCTTGCCTGTAGTTGGTGTATATGAAAGCTATCGACTTTTGCACATCGATTTTGTATCCTGAGATTTTGCCAAAGTTGCTTATCAGCTTAAGAAGATTTTGGGCTGAGATGATGGGGTGTTCTAAATATAGGATCATTTTATCTGCAAACAAAGAAAGTTTGACTTTCTCTCTTCCTATTTGAATTTCCTTTATTTCTTTTTCTTATCTGATTGCCCTGGCCAGACCTTCCAACACTATGTTGAATAGGAGTGGTGAGAGAAGGCAACCTCGCCTTGTGCCAGTTTGCAAGGGGAATGCTTCCAGCTTTTCCCCATTCAGTATGATTTTGGCTATGGGTTTGTCATATATGGCTCTTATTATTTTAGGGTATGTTCCTTCAATACTTAGTTTATTAAGAGCTTTTACCATGAAGGACATTGAATTTTATTGAAGGCCTTTTCCGCGTCTACTGAGATAATCACGTGGTTTTTGTCTTTAGTTCTGTCTATGTGATGAATTACGTTAACATGATGCATCATGCTACCCAACTTCAAACTGTACTACTGGACTACAGTAATCAAAACAGCACGGTACTGGCATGGCCCAAAAACAGACACATAGACCAATGGAACAGAACAGAGAACCCAGAAATAAGGCCACACACCTACAACCACCTGATCATCAACAAACCTGACACACAAGCAATGGAGAAAGGATTCCTCATTTAGTAAATGGTGCAAGGAGAAGTGATGAGCCATATGCAGAAAATTAAAATCAGACCCCTTCCTTACACCATATACAAAAATCAACTCAAAATGGATTAAAGAATTAAATGTAAAATCCAAAACTATAAAAACTCCGGAAGAAAAACTAGGCAATACCATTCAGGACATTGGCACAGGCAAACATTTCATGACGAAGACACCAAAAGCAATTGCAACAAAAGCAAAAATTGACAAATGGGGTCTAAAGAGCTTCTGCACAGCAACAGAAACTGTAAACAACATAAACAGACAACCTATGTAATGAGAAAGTATTTCGCAATCTATCCATCTGACAAAGGTCTAATATCCAGCATCTATTAAGAACTTAAACATATTTACAAGAAAAAAAAACCCCATTAAAAAGTGGGCAATGGACATGAACAGACACTTCTCAAAAGAAGACACACATGCAGCCAACAATCATATGAAAAAAGCTCAGCATCACTGCATTAGAGAAATGCAAATCAAAATCACAATGAGGTACCATCTAACACAAGTTAGAATGGCTATTACTAAAAAGTCAAAAAACAACAGATTCTGATGGCATTGTGGAGAAAAAGAAACACTTTTACACTGTTGGTGGGAGTGTAAATTAGCTCAATCATTGTGGAAGACAGCGTGGCAATTCCTTAAAGACCTAGAAGCCTTAAATACCATTTGACCCAGCAATCCTATTACTGGGATATACCCAAAGTAATATAAATCATTTTATTATAAAGACATATGCACACGTATGTTCATTGCAGCACTATTTACAATAGCAAAGACATGGAATCAACCTAAATGTCCATCAGTGATAGGCTGGATAAAGAAAATGTGGTACATATACACCATGGAATACTATGCAGCCATAAAAAGGAGTGAGAGCATGTCTTTTGCAGGATGGAGCTGGAGGCCATTATCCTTAGCAAACTAATGCAGGAACAGAAAACCAAATACTGAATGTTCTCACTTGTAGGTGGGAGCTAAATAATAACACATGGACACATATTTGGGAACAACACACATTGGGGTCTGTCAAAGGGCTGGGGTAGGGAGAAGGGAGAGGATCAGGAAGAATGAATAACTAATGGATGCTTGGCTTAATACCTGGGTGATGAGATGACCTGTGCATCAAACCACCATAGCACATGTTTACCTATGTAACAAATCCATACATCCTGCACATGTACCCCTGAACTTAAAATACAAGTTGGAAGTTAAAAAAATAAAATAAAATACAACAAATTTATATGCCAGTAAAATTAATTTACTAACGCTAAAAAAGCAATAGAAAAGTAAATGAAGAAACAGATGAAAAGAAAGAGAAAAGCAAACATTTCCAATTTTAAAAAGCAGTTGTAAGACATTCTTATGGTGATACTTCCAATCTTCCTGACTCATTGCCCAGTTTAAAATTCAGGTAAAATTCAAGTAAGTGGACTTATGCTTGTTTGAATATTGAAGGGAGGAAATTACGAACAACTAGAGATTAGATAATTCAGGAATTGTGACCAGAAATAACTGCAGTGCTGACATGATTATGCAAGTGGTGAAATCCTTTTACAGGAGGTAAAAAATGTGCTTAATATTTGCAAAGAATGGAGATGTTTCTCAGGGTCTAGCTGGAGTATAACACTGCAAAAATAAAAAAGATGGCTTACACTTTGACAAATTTTGAACAGATTAAATTCAAACATAGGAAAATTTCATTCAAATACTATATCAACTGAATTTAATTATTAATAAGCTTATCACAAGGCATTCCCTGGAAAATCTGCTTCTGCTCTAATCTTAGTATCAACTTTTTGAAAAATGTGTTGCGGCCAAGTAAATATGAAAATGCTCCCTACTTCATGGGGAAATTTATGATAAAGGGCCCTCTTTTATTTTGTTTCTACCAAATAATGAGTGCAGTGATTTAAAAAATTGAACAGTATGGGAAGGTTTACAATGATAAACCTCATCCACTGTCCCAGTGTTCCTGAACCCACATCTGCTCACAACAGGCAACCATTTTAATGATCTCTGTTAGTTCTTCTAGTGTGGCTACCTTCATGTCTGTAAATAATATTCTTATGCTGCTTTTATATTCATCAATGTTATATAATATATACTATATTTCTGCTATGAAATATAATATTTACCTCAACTACTTGCACTCCACCATCCTTCCAGTACTGTTACATTTTTTTTAATTTCTTCAATTTGTCACCATTGTATCTTTAAACCATATGATTAAAACGCTACTTCTTCTATTAACTGTAGATAATATCTCTTGTTTTCTGTTTTGTTTCGTTATATAATAAGGTAGCTTTTATAATTAGGTAGCTTTTAAATATTAGCTACCTAATATTCAAAAGTATGATAAAATACTTTTGAATACACCCATTTGTAAAATATACCCATTTGTAAAATGATGATTCTTTCTGCTAAGACTTTTTTTGTATGCCCTTAGCTGTCAGATGCCAGAGCCAGTCAGCAGATAATTACGGTTTAATTCCTAAGTTAGCACTCTGAGCCTCCTAAATAATACATGTACTTCATAATGGGGTTACTTTCTCCAAAACAAGCCTGAGCCTTTTATGTCCCATGACTAAGTTTATCTCAAGGGTCCATAGCCACCCATGAGTGCGTACATCATCTACATTTTGGCAACTGCGTTTTCAGACTTCCTTATGCTCCAGCTCCAGCTCCAGCCAGGACTGGTTTCTCTCTGTGCCTGCTCCCCAATGGTCACCTTCGAGCTTATAATTATATTTTCTTCTGGGTTGGATGCACTGTTTTCTGCACTCTATATTCTCCTCTTTCTAGTTTGCAGCCATGTCTTGTTGTGCACATTCTCTAACAGCTCCTTCAGAAAGAGTACAAGGGAAATTATTTTTCTAAAACTTATATGTCCTAAAATATCTATGAATATAAATCTCTGATAAAAAATATGTCCTCCCAGAAGCTCCATGACAGTATCTGAGCAGAGATTTCTTGGCTATGACCCCAAAAGCACACAACAAAAGCAAAAACAGACATATGGGATTGCATCAAACTAAAGTGTTTCTGCACAGCAAAGGACACAACTAATAAGAGTGAAGAGACAACCCAAAGACTGGGAGAAAATATTTGCAAATCATACTTCAGATAAGGAGCCAATATCCAAAACATATAGGCAACTCAAATAACTCATTAGCAAGAAAACAAATAACCCTGTTTAAAAAAAATGGACAAAAGACTTGAATAAACATTTCTCAAGAGAAGACATACAAATGGCCAACAGGTGCATGAAAAAAGTGCTCAACATTTCTAATCATCAGTGAAATACAAATTAAAATCACAGTGAAATATCACCTTATACTTGTTAGACTGGCTATTGTCAAAAAGATGAAAGATAACAAATGTTAGTAAGGATGTGAAAAAATGGAACTCTTGTACACTGTTAGTGGGAATGTAAATTAGTACAGCCATTATGGAAAACAGTACAGCAGTTATTCAAAAAACTAAAAATAGAATTATCATATGATCCAGCAATCCCACTATTGGGTATATACCAAAAAAATTGAAAGAAAAAGAAAAGAAAGAAGTTATAGTGAGGGGCATCATAGAAACTTACCATGAAACAGTTAAAAAATCAGAACAGGACAACAGCAATAAAAGTAGCTACCATGGTAGTGGTAATAATGACAATAATAATAACAACGGCTAACACATGCAGTGCTTACAATGGGCTAATGTCACTTTGCACATTTTACTCATTTAATATTGACAACTTTATGATCTACTCATTTCCCAGATGAGGAAACTGAGGCACTGAGAGATAAGACAATTTTCTCCAATTACATAGGTAGTTAAGTGGCAGAGTCATAATTCATACTTGTTTCACATGATTCACTTCAGCTCCAGGGCCTGTGCTCTTAATCATTACAATTACAGGTGCAAAAGATGTGGTGGCAACTAGCTGTTGTAGACCAAGGACAAAACACTATCCTGTTCTCCCTCAGATAAGACTCAGATCTCTTACATGGTCCAGTGGAGGAGGACAGGAATCTGAAACAATGAATGACACTGAACTTCTAACAACCCTGAGTATATGGGACTAAGAGCTACGTTGTGTTTTATTTAGAAAAATAATGATCATTTCTTATATCTTACAAGTCATTGAGAAATCCATGCCTGTTGCAAATTTCTCTGTACCGTCTCTGTCATTATGATTACTTTACTCACTATTAAAATATCACCTATACTAAATAATACACTCTCCCAGGTTTTCTTATTTCTCCTCTTAAGCACAAGCTTGGCTTATTGAAGTGTGAAGAGAGACAGTCCTACAAGATACTTCAACATAGGGAGAAGAGTTAACCTTGGAAAAGCACAAACACACACACACACACACACAAAATAGTGTGAATAGTCTTGATTTGTGGGAACAACTACAAGGGAAACTTAAGCATTCCATATTTCTTTGTGATGCTAAAGCAAAAAAGGAAAATTGGAAATAGCGATATCCATCGTTAAAAAGTTTTTAAAACAAAACAATTAGTCATGCAATAAAACAACTACCAGTGACTGTAGGATTTCCAAGAGTTTATATTGCTGCATCTTAAAAATTGAATAATAACGATTTAATGGTTTTTTTAAAAGCTAGAAACCACATGGATATTTATCTGATCTTAAAATGAGGAAAAACATTTTAAACATTACATCAAATACAAAACAACAAAAGTAAAAATAAAACTGCATCTTCACTATAATCAAAACATCTGTATGGCCAAAAATAACTATAAACAAAGGTGAAAAGGCAAATAAAAAAACTGTGAGAAAATATTTATAATACATAATGCACAAAGAATTAATATCCTTAATATAGAAGGAACTATTAAAAATCATAAAAAATTAGCTCGGAGCCCATAAAGAAAACTGAATAAAAGATGTGAACAGGCAAATGGCAAAATAAAAAAAAAATTTAACTATATGAACAATAAATATATTAAAACCTATTCAACATATCTGGCATTAAAGAGAGTTATAGCATAAAGCAATAAGATAACATTTCTAAATTTGTCAAATTGGTATAATGTTTAAAAGTGAAAAGATCCAGGGTTAGTGGAAGTGCAATAGAATAAACACCTAGTAAAAATGTTAATTGGTACATATTTCCTGGGACAAAATTTGGAAATATAAATCAAGAACCTTAAAATTGTTTTACACTTTAAATCAGGGATATAAAAATTAAATGTTAAGGTGTTAATTGCACCACTATTTTTTATAACAGGAAAATATGAAAAACAAACTAGGTGCAAAATTGTGAGAATTCTTACATTTAAAAATGATAAACCATATAATAACATACCATGAAGCTTCATGTGGTTTGAATGTGTCCCTCAAAGTTCACGTGTTGGAAATTTAATGCAATAATGTTGACAAGTGAGACCTTTAACAGGTGATTTGGTCATAAAGGCTCTGTCCCCATGAATGGATTAAAGCCATTATAATAGGAATGGATTAGTTATAGCAGGAGTGGATTCCTGATAAAAATATGAGTTAATCTCCCTTTCCTTGACTCTCTTTTGCCCTTCTGCCTTTCACCATGGGTTGACACAGCAAGAAGGCCCTTGCCAGACATGGGCTCCTCAACATTGGACTTCCCAGTCCAGAACTATAAGAAATAAATCTCTGTTCTTTCCTAAATCACCAAGTCTCAGGTATTTTGTTACAGCAGCACAAAATGAACTAAGACAAAGTTATAAAAGTAATTTTTGAAAAGTTTACTTTCTGATACAAAAAAATGTGTATGTCATAACATGGAATATAAAGCAAAATATCGTGAGGCATTAAATTAGGCATAGTTATTCCAGTGAGAAGAGGAAAGTCTATGTAAAAGAAGTGGTAGCTGACTTAACATTGAAGCATTGAAGCATGAACAAGATTTTTTTTTTTTTTTTTTGAGGTGGAGTCTCGCTCTGTCGCCCAGGCTGGAGTGCAATGGCGCGATCTCGGCTCACTGCAAGCTCCGCCTCCCGGATGAACAAGATTTTAATGAACAAAGAAGGTAGAAAGAACATACCAGCATGTAGACACAGCATAAACCAAGATGTGAAAACTTGAAGAAACTATTCAGAGAACTATGACCAGACCACTGGAGCTCAAACACAGGAGACATGAAAATGCACCAGATCAGGCTGATACATGATTTACCTCAAGTGCTTTGATGAAGAGAAAGCATTTGAGACTTTATTGTAAAAGCAATGAAGTTTCTCATTAAAGATCGCCAAATGAGCACACACTTTATTTTCTCCTCCCTCCTAAGATCCTGTTAAAGAGTATAAAACAATTTTAAAGATAAACAAGAGACAGCTTATCACAAAGAGGGTCAACACATTTCTAGAAGGCTTCAAAGCAAGTAAAAAAGTATTTAATGTCGGAAGAGAAGAGAGAAATCTGCAGTCCAGAATAAACCTAAGCAGGTTTGTAGTGGAGGAGGTTGTGGACTTAGAGGCTGCATGAATGGGGTATAGAAAGAGTGAGAGTAGTACTATTAACAAAAAACTTGAAGCTCTACATACTGAACAGTTAACATACTTTACCCTATTTTTTTTTTTGCACTCCTACCCACAAAATGGCTAGCAGCCAGGTTTTTAACTATCCAAAGAAATAATAATGATAACAATAAATATAAGAAACTAAAGCAATTACAATAAATAGGTGATGATAAATAATAGATAATATAGATTAATGATAGATAGATAGATAGATAGAATCAAAGCAGTAAAAATTTAGGTTGGCCTCTAAGTAATTTGTATGAGTTGTATTGGGAGGAGCAAGATATTAAGCATGGATATTTGTGCACATGTTTAGGCATGTGGAAGCCTTCAGTTCCCAAACCATTTTAGAGCAAAGCCTGTTGACAACCACAAGCCTTGCCCATTTATCCAGATGACCCAGACAGCCTCTAAACTCCCTCATTAATGGAACATCAGACATTTCAAGAAAGCCTGCAACATTTAAAATATATATATATATATACATATACATATATAAATAAAACCAGTGTCAGAGAAAACATTCAGGCAAAATGAGAGAATTTATATATTTGGTGCATAAAACTGGAGTAAAATAAGATAAAAAGGGAATAATGAAAACATGATAATTCTTCTCAATTAGAAGTAATGATTTCCAAAATTTAAAAATTCAATAAAAACAAATGATTAAGTGGAAGATATTTCTCAGCATGTGAAGGAAACATTTAAAGAAACCAAAAATGTAGAGAAACATAGCATCATGAGAAACAGAGCATCACTATTCAACTGTTAGGAAATCGAAAGGCAAGAAGTAGAAAAATATAGGGGAGTAAATTATCAAACGATTAATATAAGAAAATATTTCAGAGTCACAATATTTACATTGTAAGGGCCCATTAAGCAATGTCATCAATAAAGCAACCAGTATCCAATTAGCATCAGCACCCAAAATATACTAAGTACACAATCAATACCTATTAAGGAGACCAGCAAAAATTAATGCAAAAAAATAACGGAGTAAGATCTTCGGAACCTAAGACAAAATCTATAACTTGTATCCCGTCCAACTATCAATTAATTAAGCTTGACTGTTCAATAAGTTTGTTTTCAGAAATTCAAGTATTTAGAGATTTTGTTGTTCATGTATTTTTTATGAATAAAAACTTGAGGAATGTTTACTACCTGAAAATGAGAGAAAAAATGAAAATACGAAGTGAAATGGTGGCAATAGCCCAGAAGGCAAAAAAAGAGATGCTTTTTATATTTTGTTATAGATTCTTGATTTTATAAACATCAAAATAATTCACTAACAACTTTCTGCAAGGATTATAATACTAACAGCACAAAGTATAAATTATTTAGAATACAAAAATAAAATAATTAACCCATATTACATAGGGCATTGTAAAGAATGCTATGCTGCCTAGCTGGTCTAATGACAAATAGCTTCTCAGATGTTGTTATGATTGAAGAAAGGTCCATTATCCATGGTAATTACAACATCCGATGGCAATCCTTGAATTAATGCATTTATATGTAGACTTATGTTACTAATTAATTTTACTACCCATTATAAATACTATTAAAATACTTTCATTCTGATATACAAATGTTTTATTTTTTTAAAAAATGGGTGCTGCTGTACTGGTATGTACTAGTTAAATACCAGCCTTGAATGGGTTCAAATTTGAAGAGAAAGTGAAATTCATATTATATATATATATACACATATATGTATATATGTGTGTGTGTGTGTGTGTGTGTGTATGTGTATGTGTATATATATCTGCATGAAGAAGAATGAAATGGAATCAAATAGTTGGTAGCCCAAGAAGGAAGCTGGAAGACATTTGGGGAATAATAAACTTACTTCTCTCAATAAGAATTAAACTAAAGAGCTTCTGCTCAGCAAAAGAAACTGTTATCAGAGTGAACAGGCAACCTACATAGAATGGGAGAAAAATTTTGCAATCTATCCATCTAACAAAGGGCTAATATCCAGAATCTACAAGGAACTTAAACAAATTTACAAGAAAAAAACAAACAACCACATCAAAAAGTGGGTGAAGGACATGAACAGACACTTCTCAAAAGAAGATATTTATGCAGCCAACAAATATATGAAAAAAAGCTCATCATCACTGGTCATTAGAGAAATGCAAATCAAAACCACAATGAGGTACCATCTCACACCAGTTAGAATGGCAATCATTAAAAAGTCAGGAAACAACAGATGCTGGAGAAGATGTGGAGAAATACGAACACCTTTACACTGTTGGTGGGAGTGTAAATTAGTTCAACCATTGCGGAAGACAATGTGGCTATTCCTCAAAAATCTAGAGACAGAAAAACCATTTGACCCAGCAATCCCATTACCGGGTATATACCCAAATGATTATAAATCATTCTACTATAAAGACACATGCACATGTATGTTTATTGCAGCACTATTCACAATAGCAAAGATTTGGAACCAACCCAAATGCCCATCAATGATAGACTGGATAGAGAAAATGTGGCATATAAACACCATGCAATACTATGCAGCCATAAAAAAAGAATGAGTTCATGTCCTTTGCAGGGACGTGGATGAAGCTGGAAACCATCATCCACAGCAAACTAACACAGGAATAGAAAACCAAACACGGCATGTTCTCACTCATAAGTGGAAGTTGAACAATGAGAACATACGGACACAAGGAGGGGAACAGCACACACCAGGGCCTGTCAGCGGGTGGGAGGCAGGGGGAGGGATAGCATTAGGAGAAATACCTAATGTAGATGATGGGTTGATGGGTGCAGCAAATCACCATGGCACATGTATACCTATGTAACAAATCTGCACGTTCTACACATGTATCCCAGAACTTAAAGTATAATTAAAAAAAAGTATTGAGGGAAAATAAAGCCCTAACTAAATGGAAGGCTATTCCATATTCACGGACTGAGAGGCTTTATGTTATGAAAATGTTAATTCTGTACAAGTTGATCCATAGAATAAATACAATCCAATTAAAAAACGAAAACAGGAATGACCGAAGTTCATGATACAAAAATTAAGTAAGTCACAAAGGTAAGTTTTAAATGAAAATAATCTATTTAACGTTGATGCTAGAAACATGCTTCTTTGAAGAACACAAAGCTAATGGTATCAGAATCTAGGAAAGGAAATGTAACTGGAGCAAATTACCAATATAAAGTAAGACATTAATATAAATACTGATTATTTGAGCTCATATTTTAAAGTAAATCTTTGTTATGACCTTCTTATGAATGAATTATTATGGTTACAGAGGAGAATGTAAATTGTATCAACCATAACTATATATATGCCAGGTAAAGCTGACAGAAGTTGAGGATGCAATTAGGAAGGAGAGATAGGAGAGAATAAGAGTGTGAGGAATATGTTTCGGTGTGCATACAATTGATGAAACTATAAAGAGAGGTATAAGTGTGTTATTCAAAGTTATAAAATGGAAGAATGAAAAATAATATTAGAACTCTTAAATATTGGATTGAAAGATAACGTTCAATTTCAGTTAATTTTCATTTTTCATAGTGAAAAAGAAATAAGTACTAACTCAAATTGATAAGCCAAGAACTAGTGATACTATATTTATATTACTTAGGGGTACAGAAGCAAGTGCATGCACACACACACACACACACACACACACACACACACACACATACCCAAACTAAAAAAAGGAATGAGAGTAGTCACCTCTAGAGGACTACAGCTCAGAAAAGGTATAAAGCAGAATATTGTAAGTATAAAATAGGTGGATCTATTATTTTATAAAAATCTTTTAATTGTTTAAACACATAAAGACAAAGGAAATCCATTATAAGAGATTTGGAAGACAAGTTGCATACCTAAACTTTGCTGGGAAAGGAGGCATTATGAAAGATGGATTAGGGAATTGGACATTTTAATAAGTACAAACATTTTAAAAGGGAGGTAGCAGAACTAATTTTATCCCCAGTTTCTCAATAAGGAAACTGAGGCTTAGAGAGTTTAAGTGACTGGCCAAAGATTCACTAATAGGACATAGAAAATGTGAAAGTAGAGCCTTGATCTCACAAATTGTATATGTTTTATATCCTTTGAGATTCACCCTTATTTTAATCCCTTGATATATTCATATAAAAGTTAGAGCAACATGTTCCAAATCCCTTTTAACATTTTTTCTTGGTACTTATTTTTTTTTTCAAAATGTAAACTTTAAAAAAATTCATTCTGCCCTTGAAATGATTCAATTAAAGCCAACCACATAAATCTACCTAGTGACAGAAACAGTACAATGTGATAGGATAGTGTTTTTCTGCTACACGTAATTGATATTCCCCTGACTCTGGTAAATTTTTATATCCCATTGCCTTAAGACAAAATAATGATAGCTTAGATGTCTATTTAATAAAACATGGAATTTCTCAAAGCAAAACCCAACTGCATGGTTTGTGCAAGAAATATCACCTCAAATAAACCAATTCAGATGCCTAAAAATAAAAATATAGGCTAAGAGATACCAGGCAAATGAAAACAATAAGAAATCAGAAGGCATTTCCTGACATCAAACAGACTCAAATTCAGACCAAAAAGCATTAAATGTTAAAAAAAGACAGTTTATAATGCTAAAAGGCATGGTTCACAATAAAGATATAATATTTGTGAAAATCTATACACTAGAAACACAGGAACCACTTTCATAAAACAAAACTTACCAGAAAGGAAAGGGGAGGAGACACATTGTCATGACAATCTCAATCTGAAACAGATCAAGTGGGGAAAAAATAGGTAAGAATATAGATCTATAGGTCCTATAGAAGACTACATATATTAATAAGGTAGGTATTGTAATATATATTATACTCTATGACCCCAAAATGAGAATAACCCTTCTTCTCCAACACAAACAGAATGTTCATAATTATTGACCAAATATCAAGCCACAGAATAGCCACAGTAAGTTTCATAAAATAAAATTAATAAAAAAAATTCTTGGATGACAAATAAAACAAAAAAAAATAAATTCAGAAAAATTCTGAATATTTATAAGAAGAAACTTCCTACAAAATAATTCTTGAGTTAACGTGGAAATGCAAACTGAAATTTCTGTTTCCGAAAAAATAATGATAATGTAAATATAATATATCAGATCTATGGGATGAAATTAAAGCTATGAATTTATAAACCTTAAACGTTAAAAAAGAAATGACCACTGAAACAGAAGAAATTAAAACAATCAAGAGCCTACATAACTTATACCAAAAATGTAAATATCTATATAAAATAGATAATTATTTAGGACAACACAATTTACAAAAATTGACTGCAATAGAGATAGAACCTTGAACAAACCAATTTCTGTAGAAGAAAATAAAGATATCAAATTTCTATCTCACATGAAAAGCACAAGGCCTAGATGCTTTCACAAGGAAATATAACCAAGTTTTTAAGGAACAGAGGACAGAAAATAAAGGAAAACTTCCAAATTTCTTGTATGAAATATGAATAATGTTGATACCTAAACTTGATTAAAATATCACACACATGCACAAATATACACACACAGAAATCAGTCTCTCATATGAATATCAAAGCAAAAATCATAAATAAAATAAGGGCAAACAACATACTACATTTACATAGATGACAATGCATAGTGAAAACATGGGATATATTTTAAGAACACAAAGATGTTTCAATAATAGGGATCCATTAACATAATAAAGCATATTCAGGTATCTGGGAGAAAAATCAGATAATTATCTCAACAGATGCTTATAGACAGCTGACAAAATTCAACAATTCTACTTTTATTCCTTACAGAAACAATAATAAAGAATTGATGGATACTTACTTGTCCTGTGGAAAGAAAAATAATATGCACACACTCACACACATATACACACATACACAATAGGCCTCTATTCTATTAAAAGGGACCTCTGGGGAAGAAAAAAACCTAGTTAAATCCCTTTGCAAACAAGTTATCCTCTTGATAAACACACTAGTGGTATTTACTAGCAGAAAGGGAGGGAGGGAGGAAGGGAGGGAGAGAAAAAGGGAGGGAGGGAGAGAGGAGGGAGAGAGAGAGGAAGGAAGGAGAAAGGAAGGAAGGGAAGGAAGGAAGGAAGGGAGGGACGGAGGGAAGGAGGGAAGGAAAGGAAGGGGATGGTAGTACTGATAGGGATAGAAGTGGAGGTAGAAAATGAGATGGGGATGGAGATAGATAGAGATGGAAGTACAGATGAGAGAGATAGGAATAGAGACCTCAAACCTAATGCTTGTATTTTACTTATTGGGGAAACAAAAGAGTCATTCCTCTAAAGGAAAAAACAAAGTACGCCTGCCCACCATCTCCATCTCTACTTAGAACTGTATTAAAGGCATTAAGCAATGCAATTAAATGAGAAAAAAAACAGAGGAAAAAGGATTATAAATGAAAAAGTAAGATGATCTCTTTGAAGAAAATATAACAGAACTCAGAGGATCAATGATAAAATTACCCAAATAGTGAAATTACTAAGTTAGAATATTTATATACAAAAATTAAAAGCCTGCATTTATACAATAATCAGAAGTTATATATATATATAATTGAAGAAAAAACTCCATTTGCAATATAAGCAAAAAATTTTAGTAATAATTTTAACGAGAATTACGTGATATTTTTATGAAGAAAACTAGAAGACATTTCTGAAAGATACAAACCTTCATTAGGAAGGTTCAGCATCATAAAATGGCAATTTTCTGCAAGTTTTCATATAAATTTAATATAACCTAAATAAAAAATATGAAGTATTTTTCCCAGACCTAGACATGTTTATTATAATTTTCTATTCAAAAGTAAATGTGAGAATATGTAGGTGAACTCTAGAATTAATTTTACAAGATATTAAAACATACTAGAAAGTATCTACAATTAAAACAGTATGATACTCATATATGAATAAATGATAGACCAGTGAAAAAATCCAGACTTTTAAATAAATGGTGTGGAGGACACCAAACAGCCATTTGGAAAAAAATAAAAATGGATGCATACTTCACACCAAACACTTCAAATGAACAGAGCTCTAATAGTAAAAAGCTGAAAACATGTAAGTCTTGGAAGAAAATGTATCTGATTTTACTTATAATGTGAGTATGGGGAAACCCAGTTGCAGTTTAAAAGATTGATTAATGTGACTTTTTAAACAACATTTTTCTTTTTTTAACTTTTAAGTTCAGAGGTACATGTGCAGTTTTGTTACATAGGTAGATGTGTGTCATGGGTGTTTATTGTACAGATTATTTTATCACCCAGGTATTAAGCCTAGTATCCATTAGTTATTTTTCCTGATCCTCTCCCTTCTCCCACACTTCACCCTCCGGTAGGCCCCAGTGTGCATTGTTTCTCTCTATGTGTCCACGTGTTCTTATCATTTAGCTCCCCCTTGAAAGTGAGAACACACGGTATTTGGTTTTCTGTTCCTGCGTTAGTAAGGATAATGGCTTCCAGCTCCATCTATGTCCCTCCAAAGGGCATGATCTCATTTCTTTTTTATTCCATGATGTATATGTACCGCATGTTCTTTATCCAGTCTATCATTGATGGGCATTGAGGTTGATTCCATGTTTTTGCTATTGTGAATAGTGCTGCAATGAACATATGCGTGCATGTGTCTTTATGATAAAACGATTTATATTTCTTTCGGTATATACCCAGTAATGGGATTGCTGGGTCAAATGGTATTTCTGTCTCTAGATTTTCGAGGAATCGCCACACTGTCTTCCACAATGGATGGAATAATTTATGCTCCCACCAATAGTGTAAAAGCATCTCTTTTTCTCCACAACCTTACTGGCATCTATCAGTTTTTGACTTTTTAATAACGGCCATTCTGACTGGTGTAAGATGGCATCTCACTGTGGTTTTCATTTGCATCTCTCTAATGATCAGTGATGGTAAGCTTTTCTTCATATGATTGTTGGCCACATGTATATCTTCTTATAAGAAGTGTCTGTTCATGTTCTTTGCCCACTTTTTAATGGGGTTGGCTTTTTTCTTGTACATCTGTTTAAGTTCCTAATAGATGCTGGATAATTAGACCTTTTTCAGATGGCACAAAAACAGACACATAGACCAATAGAACAGAATAGAGAACCGAGAAATCAGACCACACACCTACAACCATCTGATCTTTGACAAACCTGACAAAAACAAGCAATGGGAAAAGGATTCCCTATTTAATAAATGGTGCTGGGAGAAATGGCTAGCCCCATGAAGAAAATTAAAACTGGACCCCTTCCTTACACCATGTACAAAAATCAACTCAAGTTGCATTAAAGACTGAAATGTAAAACCAAAACTATAAAAACCCTAGAAGAAAATCTAGGCAATACTATTCAGAACATAAGCAAGGGCAAAGATTTCATGACAAAGACACCAAAATCAATTGTAGCAAAAGCAAAATTGACAAATGGGATCAAATTAAACTAACAAGCTTCTGCATGGAAAAAGAAGCAATCAAAAGAGTAAACAAACAACCTACAGAATAGGAGAAAATTGTTGCAATCTATGCATCTAACATTTTTCATTATAAAGAAAACAAGATAAGTTAAAAAGCAAATGTCCAACTGGGAGAAAATGTTTCTAAATATATCACTTATAAAGAACTAATATTTCTAATACATGTAGAACTCTTAAAAATAGAGGAGGAAAGACAAAAACTCAATAGGAAAAAAAAGCATGAGAAGTTAATTATAGTTATACACAAATAGACTTTAATATATAAAAAATAATTTATGCATAATATAAAATAAATTCACATTTAATCTCCAGTAAAGCCATTTCTCACCTATCAAATTAACAAAAATTCAAGACCTTGATATACATTTTCCTTGGTGAGATAGTGAGAAAACAGCACTTTCTTACATTGCTAGGGGAGTAAAACAATGTGTGATCCTTACACAGGTGAACTTGGCAATATATAATAAAGCTACATGTGTATATTTTGATCTCATAATTGTGACTTTATCCTGAATACACACTTTTAATAATATATAACTATATAGGCACGTATTTATTAATTTTAATGTTATTTGTCAGAAATACATTGAAAACAAACTAAATGCCTAAACATAGGGGCCCGTTTGAAAAACTATGGTACATGGAATACCATTTAGCTATATAAAAGAATATCATGGTGATTTTAAGTAACAACATACTGTGTACATGAAAATTGCTGAGAGATTTTAGTGTTCCCACCACAAAAAAGCATATGAAATAATGCATATATTAAATAGCTTGATTTAGCCATTCTAAAATGTATACATTTATCAAAACATCATGTTGTATACCACAAATATGTACAACATTTACTTGTCAATTGAAAAGATATATGTATAAAATTACATTCAAAAGATCTCAAAGAACAGATACAATGTAATTTCTAGGATATATTTTTATGAAAAAATACAAGATTAAAAAATCAGATTTTTCTCATACCTCCTGTGTAAGAAAGATGTAAATATATATTATATATGAGATATATATTTTACATAACTGTATATAAAACATATATGTATATCTTTATGTGTGTATGCATATTTTTGAAAAAAAATACAGACACAATAAACCAGAAACTAATGAAATTAACTGCATACAGAAAGTAGGTGTAGTAGTGGTAGGAACATAGTACAAATCACAGGAAAGGAAGTAGTAATTCTTTGAATATGTTATTTTTAATTTTTATCTTTAAGCCATATTAATAGTTTATATATTCAAAAATAGCATTAAACCAATTATGATAAAAGAAATTTAAAACTGAGGTCAGGCGTGGTGGCTCAATTCTGTAATCCCAGCACTTTGGGAGGCTGAAGCAGAAAGATTGCTTGAGTCCAGGAGTTCAAGACCAGCCTGGGCAACATAGTGAGACCCTGTCTCTATAAAAAAAAAATATTCAAGCAAGGTGGTGCATGACTATAGTCCTAGATACTGGGTAAGCTGAGGCAGGAGGATTGTTTAAGCCCAGGAGTTTGAGGTTACGGTAAGGTATGATTGTGCCACTGCGCTCCAGACTGGGTGAAAAAGCAAGACTCAACTCTTTAAAAAAAAAAAACAAAAAAAAAACACTTTTTTAAACTGAATACTAAAAAATGAACTTCACCATATATCAACTTGATAATATACCCATAAAGAAAAAAGTATTAATCCAAGTAAATTTTAATACTGTACTCTGTGTGTTGTTATTGTACAAGCTGCAGAAAATTATTGAACCATACTTAGTGGATGTTATGGTCTGAATGTGTATGACCCCCCAAAAAAATCATATGTTGAAATTCTAACCCCCAAGGTGATGGTATTAGGAGATGGGACCTTTAGAAGGTGATTCTATCATAAGGGTGGGGCCCTCAAGATTAGGATTAGTGAGAGACCACAGAGAGCTAGTTCTTCCCTTCCACCTGTAAGGATGCAGTGAAAAGGTATCCATGAGCCAGAGAGCAAGACTTCATCAGACTTTTAATCTGCCTTGATCTCGGACTTTCCAGCCTCCACAACTGTGAGAAATAAATTTCTATTGTTTATAACCTACCCTATTTATGGTATTTTGTTTTAGCAGCCCAAAAAAAAAAAAAAAAACTAAGAGGTAGGCTTGTTGGCAGGGTTTAATTAATCTACTATTTATGGACTCATATGTGTGCTGTAGGATAATATTTTATGTATGTGTTTGTAGTATTAAATATAATTGTAGATAAGTTTTTTAGGGAATGAGAGGTCTCACTGTAGAAAGATAAAGATTCAAAAATGGAATGGATGCAAGAAGGGAAGCTCTTTGGAATTAGATTGTAATTACACTTTACAGTATGAATTTATGATTTTTAAAAATATATATTTTCTAGCTCTCTCAACTGAAATAATCTAGAAGCATTGGCACTTCAACAGCAATAAACACACCCAATGCTCAGCTCTTGGTTTCTAAACACAATTCCTCATCAGAACCCCTTAGAGAAATAGCCAATACTAGATCTGAGATAGGAAACCTTCAAAGTAAGCCTGGAATCTCTTATTGTGCCAGAAAGTGAGGACGTCCTAAAAAACTGAGGTGGAGATTTCCAGAGGACACAGGAACTTGCTTGTAAGAGCTCCCACTAGACAAAGTGAACATCGAATAATAAGAATTATTATTACAGTAATAAATGATGAGGAATTTTTAAAATCTATGAGTCCTTTGTAATACTATAAAAATTGGAAGGTAAAGTTCTTTAAGAAGGATACAAACTAATACATGGAGAGAAATGATAAATTATATAAACACCATCATGCAACCACAATATGATCATTGATTCAGGAAAATATCATTAATGAATGCTCAAACCACTGAATAGAAGTTTGTTAGGAAACAGATATTTATGCAGTCTCAAAAGATCACTGCATAGATTAGTCTATAAAGAAAAAAGTTACCTTATAAAGGAAAACAGTGGTAAACATACCTTACCCAAGTGATCAAAACTAACACCAGCAATAATAGACAAACTGACAACATATGCCTTTTGATAGGATGCACTGTGAAGAACATATATTCCCTATTTGGTATTCTTGACAAAAGTATTTAACCTGAATCTATCTAATTATGAGAAAACAATCAGACAAATCCAACTTATGGAAAGTTTAAAAACGAAAGAAATGAGAAAGCAGGGTGTGGTGGCTCGCACCTGTGGTCCCAGCAACTCAGGAGGCTGAGGTAGGAGGATTTCTTGAGCCCAGGAGCTTGGGGCTGCAGTGAGCTATGATCGCACAGATGCAGTCCAGCCTTGGTGACAGAGCAAGGCTCTATCTCTAAAAAAAAAGAAAAATGGAAAAAAAATGGAACTAGTCTGTCCTCTTTAAAATAGAGTCATGAAAAACATAATCAAAGCAGGGGAAGCACCCTAGATTAACTTTAAAATATAAAGTATGTTGCTAATAGATACTGTTGTATCAATGTTCAATTTCTTTCATGAATTTTGGTTATATAAGAACAGGTCAGCTGGGCACAGTGGCTCACTCCTGTAATTCCAGCACTTTGAGAGGCTGAGGTGAGCAGATCACTTGAGCTCAGGAGTTTGAGATCAACCTGGGCTACACAGTGAAACCCTGTCTCTACAAAAACACAAAAATTAGCCGGGCAGTGGAATGCACCTGTAATCACAGCTATTCTGGAGGCTGAGGTGAGGGGATCGCTTGGGCCTGGGAGGTCAAGGCTGCAGTGAGCCAAGATACTGCACTCCAGCCTGGGTGACAGAGTGAGAACCCGTCTCAAAATGAAAAGAAAAGAAAAGAAAAGTTCTTATTCTTAGGACATAGTTAAGAGTGAATCATCATGGCATCTGTAATTAATTTTTGAATAATTCTATGAATGTATATATGTATAAAGAGAAAGAAAGAAAGCAAATATGAAAAATGTTAACAATCATCAAATCCAGGTGAAAGGTAGGTAGGTGTTTTTGTATTACGTCTTCAATCTTTCCATAGGTTTGAAATTATTCAATATAAGTTTGGAGACAAAATTTTCCAATGTTTTTACATTGTAGATCTTCATAACCTGCCTGGCTAACGAGCCTAAGTTTCCTTGTCTCTTTTGTTGTGACAGTTATTACGTGATTCACACTGAACTAACTGGAAATGTTCACAGAACATAACTAATGGAAGAAGCAACACAGTGCAATGGAAAGAATACTGACTGGGAAAGAGAATCTAATCCAAGCGCTGCTGTCAATATATTTCATGAGTTTAGGAAAATTAGCTCTCATCTCTGAGAATCTATGGCTCTATCTGTATAATAGAGAGTTTCTCAAGTTGTATTTTTAAGTATTTTTCAAACCCTTACTACACTCCTACTGTAATAATGAATCTTCAAGCTTGAACAGCACTCATAGTTTGCAGGAAATCAGTTCACATGCATTATCTCCCCATAAAGAGTTGGCTAATGCACAACATTTTGTCCATATCATGCTGGTTTCTAAAAATTATTAAGTGATTCATGGAAAGGAAGAGGAGGTTTGAGTGTCAAGAGGACAGAGTCCAAATATATTAGTTTATAATTTGTATTTAATTTGAAATGTTACTGCCTGATTCATTTATTCTACTATCAATTTATTCTGCAAAATGTGGAGTTCTTCAAGTCAGAAAATGCTGGAAGGAACAAAGTACACTTTTAGATACCTTCATGAAGTCACCATCCCTTATTATGGTGTTATATCAGGAAAGCTAACTGATGCCTAGGTATGTTTCTAAGGGAGGGTAGAATAGATACTTCTACATAACTTCAAGAAGACAAAGGCTGGGCGCGGTGGCTCACGCCTGTAATCCCAGCAGTTTGGGAGGCCAAGGCAGGTGGATCACTGTAAGCTAGGGGTTTGAGACCAGCCTACCCAACATGGTGAAACCCATTTTCTACTAAAAATACAAAATTAGCCAGGCGTGGTGGCAGGCGCCTGTAATCCCAGCTACTCAAGAGGATGAGGCAGGAGAATCACTTGAACTTGGGAGGCGGAGGTTGCAGTGAACCAAGATCGCGCCACTGCACTCCAGCCTGGATAACAAAGCAAGACTTCATCTGGAAAAAAAAAAAATACAAGGAATACACTTTTGCCTACCCCACTGACCCTCAATTATTCCTCTAGTTTTCTGTGAACATCTGAAATCCCACAAAAGAAGCATTTATTTGTCATTACTGCTTTTGTTACTTTATCTTCATCACGATGCTGATATTAAGAGAAATTATAACTCCATCAGTTTAATCACCAATAATATTAAACTACAGGCCATTTCTTGAGAAAGGTTGGAGTTGGAGAGGGAAAAAGACTCTGGAGGCATTTGGAGAGATTGGGGAAAATAAGGCAAGGGAGAAAGAGCCCAAGAGAAGATGATGGAAGCAGTGTATGCAAACTATTCATAGTCCTGTTTGTCCTAAGTCCCCTCCCATGTGCATAAAAACCTAAAGAGATGCCTGGAAAAAAAAAAGCTAATCTGAGCAAGAAGCCAAGTGAAGTTCTTTCACTAACTTGGATCACCTAAAATTGCAGATTACTACGATGAAATGTATAGGTCGTTTCATTTTTCATTCCAGATGATGCAGCCTAGGATTAGTCAGACCTGTTCTAACATTGTTAGAAATAAACTCCACAAATAACCCTGAAGCACCTAACAGCACCAAGTACTATGTTAGATCTGGGTTAAAAATGTCTCCAAGTGGCATAATCTATTACCCTGTGCTCTAAATATTCTACTAAAATGTATTGGGCTCCTGGGGTCAAATGAGGCCTTTTTGAAGTACCTTCTCTTTTTATTTTTAAGAGACAGGATCTCACTCTCTCGCCAAGGCTAGAGTGTAGTGGTGATATCTGAGCTCACTGTAGCTTCAAATTCCTAGGCTTAAGCGATCATGCCACTTCAGTCTCCCAAAGTGCTGGGGATACAAGTGTGAGCCAATGCTCCTGGGCCTCTAAGTACCTTTTATTTCCGATCTGTGGCCAAGTAACCAGGTCTTCAAGAGACCACTCACAGGAAAGAGGGACTGATGTGACATGGTATGGATTCTAGCAGCTCCTCTTGACTAAACAAATCATTTATTGATACAGCTTTAAAAAGCGTTTCAGTGTGAGCCATGCTTCACTGATGTGTCGCAACCCTGGACTGAAATTATAAATGGATTCCATGTCAGGATTCTCTGTGCAGAGAAGTGCTCCCAGAACCCAAACATGCCAACAGCTAACACCCTGCACCAGCTCTCTGTTAGAAATGGTCTCGTTCTGTGTGGGTTGGTGAGCCTGCAAACTTGAATCTCGTTCATTCAACCTCCCCCTCTGCTTTGGCAGATGTGATTGATCCTCACAGGCATCTCAGAAACAAGGAGTCAATGGCGGAAAGCTGCTGCTGAAAGTGACACATAGTTGGACAGCTGATTATATTGGACCTAAGTGATAACAATTATAGCCTCTCTACCTCTCAGACTTTTTAATGGGTTTCAGAAAACCAGACAATTCTAAATGTCTACGGAAGCCTCTCATCTGAAAGCTACAAGAGATACGGAAAGTATATGTCCACATGGAAAGTATATTGCCAGTGATTCAGTGAACTCAACATGGAATTAAATAAGAGAAGTACTTTGGGGCTAATACTAACACGGGCACAAAACTTAGACAAAAAGAGAAAAGGGGAGATAGCTCTAATTCTTATTCACTTGAGTATGTACCACCAGACTCCTACAAGGTCAATTAGGAATAAACGGAGGAAGAATTCTTAATATCTTTACAGCTTACTGTGATTTTATCATCTGTAGAAGTACTGATGTCTACAAACAAACCCATTTTGTGAGTCTTGATCAAAAAATTGTAATAAATTAATTTGTTTTACATCATGTTTTTATAAATGAGCTCCTGTATTTTGCCAGTTTACTGCCAGCCTTTTAGTTTTCTTTTTGTAAAATCGCAAGTACATGTTTGGCACAAGCTCTGTTCTTCTAAATAAATGGTATATTAAACAATAGATTCTGAGATTTATTGGAGATTGATTAAGATGTTATTCTATCCATTTACATTATTCCTCTTGAACTAAATTATTTACTTTATTCTTCTGAAACTAAATTAATTCCCTGAATCAGAGAATGTAACTATTTCTTAATACTTAATGTAACTATTAATGCTCTCCATCAGCATGTACAGAAAAGTGAATGTAAGAAAATGTAAGTTATTTTAAACCTTCTCTGCTAGTCTAAGAGAAAATAAAAGACTGATAAAAGCAATCATCAAGGTGCCAGGTTAAAATGGTAGAATGAAAATTCACACCTAAAGTCACTCCTTCTCAAAGTAGAACCAAAGGAGATCTCCTCAATAATAAAATAATCTTTCAAAGATAGGAGAAAAATAGCTACTACTTTGTTAAACTATAAAACAGATAATTGAATGACCACTGATTAAGCAGATTTAATACAGCTAAATCCCTAAGGCTGTAATGGGGAAAAGCTGGGAAACAACTTTATTTATTCTGCAGAATCTTCAAAATCCTGAAGTGGGTATGGCACGGTGGCTCACATCTACAATCCCAGCACTTTAGGAGACCACGGCAGAAGGATCTCTTGAAGCCAGGAGTTTGAGACCAGCCTGGGCAACACACTGAGACTCAATCTTTACAAAAAAAATTAAAATAAAGATTAGCAAGGTGTGTTGGTGCACAGCGGTAGCTCCAGCTGCTCAGGAGGCTTGCTTGAGCTCAGGAGTTTGAAGCTGCAGTGAGCTATGATCATGCTACTGTACTCCAGCCTGGGCAACAAAGTGAGATTCTGTTAAAAAAAAAAAAAAAAAAAAAAAAAAACAACAACAACAACAAAAAACAAACGTGCTAGCAGCACTGGGGACTTGGGGACTTCTGGTAATTCTGGAACTGACAGTGAAGGGGACACTTGATGGATACAAAAATAAAGGGAGTATCGTAAAAGTTGTTTGAGAATCATTTAAAACTCTAGATATCCTCCCACTTCATGGAGTGACTTTATCTCCCTTACCCCAAAAGAATTGTGAAAGATTACTCTTCAGTAAAGTTTAAATGGAGGATCTCTGGACCAGGGATACTAAGCACAGCTGTGGGTCTGGGTAATTTACTAAAAACAGCATCACTAAGTGGAGTATAAATAGGGCATGCTGAATGCTGAGACCACCAGCCCTCTCCGTCCACTCACCTCCAAGAATTATGGCAGCCAAATCTCCACCCTCTAGGCTCGGGATGACAAGACTGTTCTCTGGGACATCTGATCAGACAAAAGGAAATACATAAAGATACCAACATTTGGAGCTTGGCACTAGCGGTCTGTCTAGACCACCCTACTGTGAACTCAAAACCTCCAAGCCCCATGCCCATACTCAGAGCACTCAGTCAGATATTTAAACCTTCACTCTATCAGCAGAGAAAAGAAAATCTCTAGATATCTGAGGACAGCTTCTCATCTGAGGAAACACATCAATCTAAACAAATACTGAGAAAAAGTAAGCCACTCAGAGGACTGAGTGCAGAGAGAAGAAAACTTGAGGAAAACAACCAGTACTGATATACTCCCTGCAGTCAAAGATGACATGGCATCCATGTCAGGAAACAATGAGAAAGGAACATTCAAAGAACAGAAAACCAGTTCTTAGAAATTGAAAACACTAAGGCAGAAATGAAAAACAACAACTGGCGGGTTGGAAGGTTAATTTGAGGAAGTTTCATAGAAGATAGAGCAAAATAAACCAAAGAGATAAAAAGGAGGAGGGAAACGTTTGAGCAATCCAAGGAGGTCCGACATCCAAATAAAATAGCAGTTCAGAAAGAACGAGCTGAGGAAACAGGAGAAAATCATCCACCAAATAATTCAAGATAATTTCCCAGCATTAAAGGGTAAACTGAAAGGGCCCACTGAGTGCCAAACACAATGGAGGAAAATAAACCCACACTAAAACACATTAAGAAATTTCAAAACCTTACTCAAAAACAGATCATAAAACCCTCATTAGAGAAAGAAAAAAAAAGGCCTCACAAATCAAATTTTTTTCTAGAATAACAAAGAAAATTGAGCAACAGCTTCAAAACTTAGAAGAAAAATTATTTCCCAAGTAGAATTCCATGCTTAATCAAACTATCCACCCAATAGGAGGGTTGAATCAAGATATTTTCAAACATGAACAAACAAAAACAATGATATTTTCTCCCATACACTGTTTTGTGCTCCACCAAAGTGAAACAGATGAAGAAAGAAGTTCACATAGGACAACAGCAGAAGACAAAGGAATCCCAAGTGTCTGTTTGCTGAGAACCAGGCAAGGAGATGCATTAGTTAAGGTACAGGATAGCTTTGCAACAAACTGGCTTCCCAAATACAGTGGCTTAAAGCAGGGAGAAATTTATTTCTCCCTCATGTAACACCACCAAATTGAGCAATCCTGGTTGGTGGGACATCTGTGCTTCACCTGATCATTGAGGGACCCAAGTCCCTTCTGTCTTGTTGTTCATCCAGACTGTTGCACTCTTCTGTACATTCAAAGCTTAAGGAAATATCTATGCTCCAGGTTGCGGGGAAGGAAAATCAGAAATTCAAAGCAATTAAAGTACAAGTTTATACACATTCCTTCCACTCTTAAACCACCAGTGATAACTTAGTTACATGACCACACCTACAAGAAGAGAGGCTATGAAATATAGTTTCCAGCTATATAGCCATGTATTCAGCCTAAATCCTACTATATGGAAGAAAGGAAAAATCAAATTTTGTGATATTTTATGATTTCTGCTATATAGAGCAATCAGTCCAAATTGAATTATATTTTTAAAATGTGTGAAAAAAGAACAGTACAGATCCCTGTATCCACGGACATCCTTCTTTCCAAAGTGAATAGAAAGGTATGGTGAAAATCAATAGAAATGAGTCCTTTTAATAGGATTTACAGTAATTGTATTGTATGGCAAGTATCAAGTGATGAAACAACATAGAATTGTACTCCTAACAAGGAGGAGACATAACAGCCTGGGTATCTCTCCCTCAATTAGTATCTTGGCAAGAGTTTTTGAACCCTTATGAGTGCAATGCAAAAGAAAATATAGATATTCTCAAGAGAAATTTTCTAAGTATACACACATTTATATTTGCATATCTGTAAGAATATAAGAACCTGGTAACAATGGTTGCTTATCAAAAGGAGAACTACTACTTGGGAGGCTGAGGTGGGACTATCACTTGAGCCCAGGAGGTCGAGGCCACAGTGAGCCATAACCATGCCACTACACTCCAGCCTGGGTGACAGACCAAGATCTTGTCTCTTAAAAAAAGGAAAAGAAGAAAACTAGTAATATTTTCACTGGTAACCTTTCTGTGTTCCTTTTGAATTGTATATGTTAACATTTCTATCACATCCAAGAAGAGAAAAAAATAAAATGCATTTCCTAAAACATACATATAAAAGTGCATACACCTTCTGAACCAGCAATTCCAATTCTAGGAAGTTATTCTACAGATACACTAGTACAACATTTTTATAGCTTAAAAAAAGAGACAATCTAAATATTCACCAACAGGTTAATTATACACATCTATACTATGGAATACAATGCAGCCTCAAAAAAGAATATAAATTTCTTGGAAGTTAACTAAAACCAAAACAATTAATTGTGAATAATAACTATAGGAATGATTAATTAGATGCAATCTTTGCCTCTGATCACAATGTGATTTCAAAAAAGATTAAAATATTACTTTGAAGAAGAAAAAGATAGACTCTAAGACTGAAAATGCATTGACATGACATTAAACTTAAATGGCATATGAATCCATAATTGTTTGCCTTTATCTGTGAAGCAAAATCTGCTTGAAATCACACTTTTGTTTAAAATAGTAATGGCAATCATATTGTTGACTCAGAAAAGTATTATGGTACGTCAGAAAGAACACCCAATTTGGTGTTTCTGACTTGGATTGGCGCTTAGCTCTTTCACTTCCCATCTTGCCGCCAGCACTGCAACAGACACAAAAGGTCCAAAACGTGGTGCTCACTGATGTTGGGCTGGGAAGCAGGATGAGGGAAGGTGAAGCACGACAGTCCCAGGAGGCAATGGGCCAAGTCAACATGGAAATTCAGTGTGGAGGACAAGACAGAACTGAGATAACCAAAAGTTGGGATGCAGAGTCAGAAATGATACAGGATGATAAACCTGAGTCTTGAAAGAAACTAAGTGTCTGGGAAAAGGTGTTTTCAACAGGCTCTCTGGGCATAGGCAGGCCTGCTGTTCTTGGGTAAAATGTTTCCACGGTGCTGATTGGCGTTTGACAAAGGCATTTAACCTCTAGGAGCCTAGGTTTCCTATCTGTGATCTATAAATAACAACACATAACTGGAAAAGATGTAGGTAAAAGGATTCTTACAAATGTAAGACAGGATATTTTATTTACTACTTCAGGACAACTGCACTGCACTGGAACAAGAGTCATATTTCTGTTAGCAGGACTCAACCTATCTCCATGTGCACAAAACGACTGTAAAAAACAGTCTACAGCTGATTTTCAGCATTTCACTGAGGTGTCATATTTCCTAAGGCTGTGCTTCATGATGCTCTAAAGCTTTTCTAACCTCTGTCCTATTTTGAGAGTCCCCTGGGGTTTATTCCTATAATAACTTCATTGCTTGTAATTTGACTTTCCTGTCTCAAGCCATTAACTTTACAAGACTAAGCCAGATAATGTGTGATAGGTGAAACATTCTAGGATTCTCTTGTAGAAACCTCTGTGCAATTAGAGGTAAAGAATGATTCTTCAAAATTGTCTTGTGGTATGGACAGCTATAAAATTATTCCACAATTTAGTCAGCAAATCAGTTCATTAGCTCATGCTCTTCCTGCATTATACCAACGTATATGGTAGCCTTTTGCATTCATAATGTCTATTCATTAAATGACTGTAGGTCATCACATTTTGTTCCTAGCAGTATGCAGATGATCTCAAATAAAATCATATAACTAAATGGCTGTAGTGGGTTACAAACAGATTATTAAAATCCTAACCTAAATCACTATATTTTGATTAGGCATCTGTTAACAGATGTATAACACAGTAAGAAATACATAGGCTGGACAAATATATAGCACCTTAGGATGTGCGCTCATATGAATTGCTGTGATCTGAAAAAAAAATGAACATATTAAATTTATAGAAATTTAGGTCAGTAAAAAGCAAGCATTTTATAGTGCTATAAATTCAGGAGCAAAACACAGAGATTTGTCATTGTAGCGAAGATGGTTAACTGCTTCCCAATTCTCACTCTCCCGTTATGGTCATTTTTATCTGGGCAGTTTGCCACTCAGCTAAAAGCCTGTACTCCCCAGTCTCCCTTACTATGTAGCAATTCCTTGCCTCAAATCCTCTATAAAATGTAATCAGGAATGAATAAATACATATAAAAATTATATGTAAACTTACTTCTGTGTTAAACCAATCTGGGAAGATGGTGAGTCTCGCTTTTCAGCTAATATCCTCCCTAACATGACCTTTGCAGCGTGGGGTGAGGGGATTTGGAAAAATAGTTGCTTGTTTACCCTAATCATATATGTTTGGGTCCATTTCTTATCATTAACCACAACCAAAAAGAAGAAAAAGAGCCAACAGGCTGGGCGCAGTAGCTCACGCCTGTAATCCCAGCACTTTGGACAGCCAAAGCGGGTGGATCACGAGGTCAGGAGATCAAGACCATCCTGGCCAACATGGTGTAAACCCCGTCTCTACTAAAAATACAAAAATTAGCCAAGCGTGGTGGTGCATGCCTGTAGTCCCAGCTACTCAGGAGGCTGACGCAGGAGAATCGCTTGAACCCAGGAGCCAGAAGCTGCAGTGAGCTGAGATCACGGCACTGCACTCCAGCCTGGGCAACAGAGCGAGACTCTGTCTCAAGAAAACTATAAAGAAAAAGAAAAAGAGCAAACAAATCTGGAACCAGGCATATGACTGTAATGAAGGTCTTCTGCTGCTATATCAAACTTATAAAGCAAAAGACACCCATGCTCTTCTGATACAAGGGAGAAGGAATTAAGAAAGTTTATCGGTTTTACAAATGATTGAGGTTCAGAAAATGGTATCTTCTCCTGCCAATTCTGATCTAGGATCTTAATGCAGACATCAAAGTGCTTTTGTTCATCTTGATTCTCCAAATCTTGGTTCCTCAAATCTTAGATCAATGTTTGCCCTTGGCTCCATCCTATAGGTATCCTCACTAGGAATTAAAAGTACCCCAATTCCCACTTCAGGACTCCTGTAATTCTAATAAAACTCTAACTTGGTGTGCGGCTATACAAAGTTATAAATTTGGAGTTTGACTGTCCTTGAATAAGTGAAATTGCTTTGTTTCATAAAACTATATTTTATAATATTATAATTTTAGTCAAAGAATTTGATCTAAGTATCAATGTAGGTCTCAAACTTAACGTTATCAAAATACTATCCTCATTTTTATAAATGAAGCAACTGAAAGATTTAGTGCATTTCATTGGCTAAAACAAGCTACAAGTTCAATCTCAACATCACTAGTATAGAAAAATATATTCTACTTTACCCACAGTGTGGGGGGAACGCTATGAAGTAATGTGCAAAAGATGTGGATGTATACTTCTCTTAGGAAACAATGACAGGGGGTAGGGGAGTATCAGGTGAAGAATGAGAATAATAATCACTCTTCTATAGTGTATTGGAAGAAATGGACGTTTTGATAAAGGTTTATTTTTACAATTAATGCCTGACATGGATGAAGTTTACACTGAATTGTTGCACACTCTAAAATTCCTTTAAGTGATTACATTTCCTAAAGTAGCCAAGTGTAATTCAAACCACAAATGTCTTTTAGGGTAGAACTGATAAAGATGACAAAGAATGTGATTGATGAAAATTGGCTGCCAACAATGTTTTTAAAAGGGAACTCATTTCAAAAAGCAGATAAATATTTACTGCCTTTTTTAAAAAAAAAAAAAGATAAAATGAGTGAAGTTGGCTGAATACCAAAGAGTTTTAAAATGTCAGTTAAGCAGCATCACTAAGTACACACACACACACACGTTTGTATCTAATGAATATTTTTTCATGTTGTGCTATATAGTTATTAATAAAGTATATGACACTTTACCAAGTAATTCATATAAGATACCAAACAAACAAAAAAAACATGATTCCTTCATGATGTTTTAAGAAGTCAATTAAACAGGGAAAAAGCAAAGAGGTTTTACAAATTTTATTTTTATTTTTGTTACTGGTCAATATTATGTGGATAAGTTCACAGGAACACTTCAATTTTGAAAGTTGCTTTTTATTTCAAAATAAACTGTTATATGTGTGACACTATGAAAGTTTCAAATGTAGAGGTCATTTTTAAAATAATATCTGATTTCAGTTGACAAGTAGCATACCTGCTTCTATAGCCACAGCTGCATGATGAACTGTGGTTGAGTAAATGTATTTATTATCAAACTGTCAAAAAAAATCTGAATTTAATTTATTATTCATTCTTGCTGGGAAAAAAAATCTGGGTGTCTCCTCTGGAATGAACTAGATCTTGATTTATAACTATTTGTTTAGAATACAGTAATACCAGAAAAAAATGCCAAGTATGTCCTCAAAATTTGAGCAAAAAAATTTTTAGTTAAAAAATAAAATCCAAATGTGCTCTCTTTTTCATTGCTACGGAAGGTAACACATACATTAATATAAGGAAACAAATGTTAAATTGCTTTTGGTTCCTCATTTGTATCATTGCTTTCTTTGTTTGCTTATTCACAAAATCACAATCTCAACATGTTCTTTATCTTATGGAGATCTAACAGTGAAAAATAGAGACTTAATAACCCCCAACATCAGGATCTATCTTAGTTATTATCATTTACTTATTATTTTGATATAATTGATATATTTACTTATTATTTTGATATATTATATAATATAATAATAAAATATAAGATTATAATATATATTATATTAATTATATATAACAAATATATAAATTAAATATAATTATAATATAATATATATTTTGATATGTTTACTTATTATTTTGATATAATTGCTTTTAGTCTTTATGCATATCTTTATGGAGTAGTTATTGTACATACAATAAGCTATCATTACTTCTGAAATGTAAATTTATTATCCAATATTTCCTTGTGCTATTAAATTTTTGTAAGTCAGATTTTAATGATACATAATTGTCAATTAGACATATTTACTAAATCCTTTATATTCACCCTTTACTTATAAAGCATATTAGGCTACACCCATTTTAAATCATTACATATGATACTGCTGTGCACATATGTACATATGTAATGGATTTAAGCATTTCAGATTATTTTATTCAGGTAGATTCAAAAAACAAAATTATTGGGCCAAATAATAAAGCAATTTTAGACATTTTGTTCAAATTCCCAAATTACTTTCCAAAAAAGCTTGTAAAAGATCATTCTCCCTAGCTTTACATTTGACTAATAACTTCACTTGCACCTCACCAGCATTTAGCTTGGTCTTATTTTAACGGAGACCTTGTTGATATAAAAGATGAAAAATGGCTTCTTATTACTGATTAATAAGTAATAAATGAAATAATTAGTAATTATTTCATTAGTAGTGAGGTTAATTTATTTTAATGATTATTTGTGTATGGAGAATGTTCAATCTCTGATTGTCAAATTTCCAAATAAGACAGATGCAAGTTAAAATATTCTACGTCCCATTTCATCTGGTGCCTTTTCATCTGGTGTTGTCTCATTTCCTTCCATTTCATGAAAATTTGATAATTTAAATACTTACCATATACCACTATTACTCTTAGACGTGGGTAATTGGAGGCAGGTCTTCTACTGGCTCTTCCCTACTGAACCTCTCTACGAGGCAAGGAGTCCATGGAGCAAAGAGACATGCCACCTGAAGCCTGTGCCCCCAGCCACCACAATCCAGGTGCCCCATATCTGGAATTCCTTATGTAAATGACTCCAAGTCTATTCCAGGGGCTACATGGGCCTCTTCCATGGGTCCTTCCTTTGTAGGTTTGGGGGCCTTCATTTGTAGGTTTGCCCTATAATATACATGGAATAGATCCAACATGGACTCTTCTAAACCCCACATATTGAGTATGAACTCACATACATAATACCCAGAACTTTTATTTTATATTCAGCAAGGTTCAGAGCCAAGTTAGTAAGTACAAGGGTTATATAATCGGTTTGAATTTGAAGTCTAGTTATGCCACTTAGTTTTGTGATTTTTAAGTAAGCAATTTAATGTCTCAAACAACCTAGAATGTAATACTTTGCAGTGTAGGAACAAGATTAAAGAAAAGGAATGGCTTCCAGGAATATTCTTATAGTGCACTGTACAAACTCATCCCGCATAATGACATGAAGGAGGTCATATTCCAATATGAAAATGTTCTACAGTGCCTAGCCCTGAGAGTATGGAAGTGGCTTGAAATGCATAAAGCCAAAATGTAATGTGTAAAGCATTGTTTCAATTATCAGATGTGTAAAATTGTAAAAGCAGAATTTTTTTCTCATTGACTCCTAGTCAAAATGGAAGTTCTCTACCTTTAGGAATGTACTGAAACTTTCAAAACATATCATTTCAAATGCAATATACATTTTTTTCTTTTTTGGTACAAACCATGCAAAATCAGATTTATCAGATGTCCTATGATTATAAACCACACATCTATAACAGTATTAAAAAACATGTCAGGAGTAATGTCAGCAAGATGCCATAATAGAAAAACTCCCAGCATCACTCCCCTCACAAAAATACAGCTAGAAACTATTGAAAGACCAGAACACCACCCCAAATACACCAGAACTCAGGGGAGAAGCAGAGAAACCATGCGGGCCCACAAAATCAAGAGAAACCTCAACCAGTAAAAGAAACAGTCATTTCAGACCATTCCCTCTTTTCCCTCAAGATGGTATAACACCACTCACAGAGAATTGCCCTAAACCCTCAGGTGCTGAAGTAAGAGGGGGGAATTGGAATTGGACATTAAACCCACTCCAGTCCCACACCACAGGAACCACTAGGAGTTCCAGGAGTGCTGAGCTACTTGAAGTAAACTGGGAACAAAGAATGGGGCACTGCTCACAGCAGCTGGCATGAAGAGCTTTATGGCTATTCAGTACTCCAATCAGCAACAATGTCATATTGAAGAGACTGGCCAGTGCCATTGCACCATAGAAGGAAAAAAACTAAAGGAAGTCCTGAATCCATAACTAGATTTTCCACCCAAATGCTCCTATAGAGGTTGAAATTAAATCCAGTGCTTGCTAAATCTTCCACTGGACTGGGAAACAATGACAAGGCACCAAAATAGTTATGGAGCAGCATTTAAGCTCTGTACTCACTATAAGTTTTTCTCAGACTGTGAAAAAAAGTGGAAGGGCAGCAATTTAGTCCCAGAGCAACATTCATATTCCAGTGTTCACTGTAAGTCTTCTACAGAATAAACACAACAAAAGGGCAAATAGTTTCAGTACAGTGTTTTAGTTCCAGTGTCCACCTCAGAATGGGAAGCAGCAACAGCCAGTATTTAAGTTCCAGTACTAAGAAGTAAAGACCTAGTACAAAGGTTATAGTTAACAATGATACATTTTATATTTCAAAATAGCTAGAAGAGAAGAATTATAATGTTTCCAACACAAAGAAATGATAAATGTTTGAGGTGATGGATATCCTAATTACCCCAATTTGATCATTACACATTATATACAGGTATCAAAGTATCATGTGTGCCCCTCAACAAAGAAGATCTCAACCCTTTAGTTAATAGAATGAGCCAAATAACGAAATTAATGAAACATATTTTTTGGAAAAAAAAGAAGTAAAGGTCTAACACCACCAGAGAACACATGCAAAAACTAGAAGATGCAGTTGTCTCCTCAAATATGCAGGCATCAACATAAAGATGCAAGGGCTGTGCAAACTCAGGGAAATATGACACGACCAAAACAAAAAACAAAAAAAGCCTCCAGCAACGGACCCCCCAAAATTAAAGATCTATGGAATTTCTGACAGAGAATTCAGAATAATTCTCTTAAAGAAGTTCAGGAAATCACAAGAAAATATAGATAGAAAACTAAATGAAATTTGGAAAACAATCCAGGAATAAAATTTAAAACTTGACAAAGAGAAACAATTAAAAAAAGAAATTGTAGCATTAAAAAATACAGTAACTAAACTGAAAGACATATTAGAAAGCTTCCACAGCAGACATGATCAAATAGAAGAAAACTTAGTGAGCTTGGAGACATAACATATGAAATTACCCACTCAAGGGAGCAGAAAGGAAAAAGAATTAAAAAGATTGAAGAAGGTCTATGAGAATTATGGCACACCACCCAATTAACTAATCTTCATATAACTGGAATTCCCACAGGAGACAAGAGATTTAAAAAAAAAAAAGCATAGAAAGTTTATTTAAGTAAATAATGGCTGAAAAATTCCCAAATCTGGAAAAAAATGACAGCATCCAGGCACAGAAAGCCCAGATGTCACCACTCAAAGTTTACCCAAAAGAAATTCCCTTTCTTTTTGAATTTCAATCAATTGAATCAATTTGAATTGAATTTCAATCAATATAGCAAAAATCAAAAGGAAAGAAAGAGAACTCAAAACAGGAAGAGGAAATAAACATATCACATGAAATGAAGCCCAATATGGCTTTTGGTGGATTTATCAGCAGAAATGCAGTAGGCCAGGAGAGAGTGGGATGCTATATTTAAAGTGCGAAAGAAAAAAAAAATGCCAAACAACCATATTGTATCCAGCAAAGCTATCCTTCAAATGTGAGGAAGAGAAAAAGACTTGCCCAGACAAACAAAAGCTGAAGGAATTCACTAACACAGACCTGTCTTTCAAGAAATGCTAATGTCAGACCTGTCTTCAATCCAAAAGAAATGGACACTAATGTCCAACAAGAAAACACAAAGTATAAAACTCACTAGTAAAAGTAAGAAAACAAATTTAGAATACTCTAATATGGTAATTTAATACATAACTATTAAAAAGATAATACAACAAATGGTTAAAAGATAGGCAGATAAAAAAGATGTAAATTGAAACATCAAAAAGTAAGGTGGTGGGAAGAAAATGTTAAATTGTGGAGTTTCTTTTCAATACGATTGTGGTCAAGTCATTATCACTTTAAAATAACCTATTTTAACTGTAAGGTTTTTTGTAAGCCTTATGGAAACCAAAAAGCAAAAACCTATCACAAGTACACTAAAAATAAATAGCATAGAGTCAAAACATGCTACTAGTGGAAATCACTTAACCACACAGGAAGACAGTAAGACAGGAAAAAATAAATTATCTATAAAATAATCAAAAAACAAGTAACAAAATGGTAGTAGTAAACACTCACCTATCAATAACCTTGAATGTAACTGGATTTAATTATTCAATTAAAAGACATAGAGTAGATAAACGGATTTTTGTTTGTTTGTTTGTTTGAGACGGAGTCTTGCTCTGTCACCCAGGCTGGAGTGCAGTGGCAGGATCTCGGCTCACTGCAAGATCCGCTCCCGGATGCACGTTATTCTCCTGCCTCAGCCTCCTGAGTAGCTGGGACTACAGGTGCCCGCCACCAGGCCCAGCTAACTTTTCATGTTTTTAGTAGAGACAGGGTTTCATCGTGTTAGCCAGGATGGTCTTGATCTCCTGACCTCAAGATCCGCCCACCTCAGCTTCCCAAAGTGCTGGGTGGCTTGAGCCACTGCGCCCAGTCATAAATGGATTTTTTTAAAGACCCAACTATATTCTGTGTATAAGAAAATCACTTCGCCTATAAAGACACAGATAGAATGAAAGTAAGGAATGGAAAATGATATATCATGCAGGTGGAAACCAGAAAAGAGTAGGAGTAGCTATATATATACTTATATCAGATAAAATAGACTTTTAAGGAAACAACAGTTAAAAAAAAATCTTTCTTTTAGAAATAAGCAAGCAAAGAAAAAAAGGCAAAGAAGGCCATTATATGATAAAGGGGTCAATAGAGCAAGAGGATATAACAAATGTAAACACGTATGATCCCATCATACACTCAGAGCACTCAAATATTTATTTTTTAAAACACTAATAGACCTAGAGGGAGATATTGACTGAAACACAGTAACAGTAGGAGAGTTCAACACTCCACGTTCAGCAATGGTCAGATTATATAGACAGAAAAGCAACAAAGAAACATAAGAGTTAAACTGTACTCTAGACCAAATAGCCTTAACAGATATTTACAGAATGTTTCATCTTACTCCTGCAGAATGCACATTTTCCTCAACAGTACGTGGAACATTCCCCAGGATAGATCATATGTTAGGTGACAAAGCAAGGCTTAAAGAATTTTTTAAAATCAAAATTATGTCAACTATCTTCTCCAACTACATGGAATAAAACTAGAAATCAATAACAGAAGACATATTGAAAAATGTACAAATCTGTGAAAATTACACAACATGCTCCTGAATAATGAATATATCAATGAATAAATTTTATAAATGAAAATGGAAACACAATATACCAAAACCTATGACATACAGCAAAAGCATTTCTAAAAGGAAAGTTTAGAGCAGTAAATACCTACACCAAAAAAGTAGAAAGACTTCAAATAATCTAATGATGCACCTCAAGGATCTAGAAAAGCAAGAAAAAAACCCCAAAATTTGTAGAAGAAAAGAAATAATACAGATCAGAGTGGAAATAAATAAAATTGAGACCAAAAAAACACAAAAGACCAACAAAAGAAAAAGTTGGTTTTGTGACAAGATAAACAAAATCCACAAACCTTTAGGTAGACAAACTAAAAATAAATAAATAAATAAAAATAAAAGACGTCTCAAATAAAATTACAGACAAAAAGAGGAGACTCTATAACTGATACCACAAAAATACAAATGACCATTAGGGATAATTATGAGTAACTGTATGCCACCAAAGTGGAAAACCTAGAAGAAACAGATAAATTCCTGGACACATACAACCTACCAAGATTTACTCATGAAGAAATACCTGAACAAAATAATAAGTATTGAGATTGAAACAGTAATAAAAAGCTCCAATCAAAGAAACGCCCAGGATCTGACAGCATCACTACTGAATTCTACCAAACATTTAAAGAATTAATACCAATTCTACTCAAACTTTTTCAAAAACTTGAAGAAGGGAATACTTCCAAACTCATTCTACCAGGCAAGCATTACCCTGGTACCAAAACCAGACAAGGACACAACAACAAAAAAAAAACTACAGGCCAATGTTCCTAATGAACACAGATGCAAACATCCTCAACCAAAATACTAGCAAACTAAAATCATTAATACATTAGAAAGATCATTCACCGTGATCAAATGGATTCATCCCAGGGATGCAAGGATGGTTCAACATATACAGTTCAATCAATGAGATACATCCCATTAACAAAATTAAGGACAAAAGTCAACTGATCATTTCAACAGATGCTAAAAAGTATTCAATAAAATTTAATATCCCTTCCTAGTAAAAACTCTCAACAAACTGGATATAGAGGGAATACACCTCAAAACAATAAAGTCCATGTATACCTCCTAATGCTATAGTCTGCTGGAGTGGAGGCAGATGTTTGTAGTAAAGGTTGCAGGCCACAATTGGTCTGAGGCAAGGCAAGAAAAAGGCAAGTGGAAGCTTTAAAATCCTTTCTTGGTATTCAATTAGGAAAAGAGGAAGTCAAATTGTCCCTGTTTGCAGATGACATGATTGTATATTTAGAAAACCCCATGGTCTCAGCCCAAAATCTCCTTAAGCTGATAAGCAACTTCAGCAAAGTCTCAGGAGACAAAATCAATGTGCAAAAATCACAAGCATTCCTATACACCAACAACAGGCAAACAGAGAGCCAAATCATGAGTGAACTCCCATTCACACTTGCTACAAAGAGAATAAAATACCTAGGAATCCAATCTACAAGGGAAGTGAAGGACCTCTTCAAGGAGAACTACAAACCACTACTCAATGAAATAAAAGAGGATACCAAAAAAATGGAAGAACATTCCATGCTCATGGATAGGAAGAATCAATATTGTGAAAATGGCCATACTGCCCAAGGTAATGTACAGATTCAATGCCATCCCCATCAAGCTACCAATGACTTTCTTCACAGAATTGGAAAAAACTACTTTAAAGTTCACATGGAACCAAAAAAGAGCCCACATTGCCAAGACAATCCTAAGCCAAAAGAATAAAGCTGGAGGCATCACGCTACCTGACTTCATACTATACTACAAGGCTACATTAACCAAAACAGCATGGTACTAGTACCAAAACAGAGACATAGACCAATGGAACAGAATAGAGCCTTTGGAAATAATACTACACATCTACAACTATCTAATCTTTGACAAACCTAACAAAAACAAGAAATGGGAAAAGGATTCCCTATTTAATAAATGGTGCTGGGAAAACTGGCCAGCCATATGTAGAAAGCTGAAACTGGATCCCTTCCTTACATCTTATACAAAAATTAATTCAAGATGGATTAAAGACTTACATGTTAGACCTAAAACCATAAAAATCCTAGAAGAAAACCTAGACAATACCATTCAGGACATAGGCATGGGCAAGAACTTCATGACTAAAACACCAAAAGCAATGGCAACAAAAGCCAAAATTGACAAATGGGATCTAATTAAACTAAAGAGCTTCTGCAGAGCAAAAGAGACTACCATCAGAGTGAACAGGAAACCTACAGAATGGGAGAAAATTTTTAGAATCTACTCATCTGACAAATGGCTAATATCCAGAATCTGCAAAGAACTGAAACAAATTTACATGAAAAAATCAAACAACCCCATCAAAAAGTGGGCAAAGGATATGAACAGGCACTTCTCAAAAGAAGACATTTATGCAGCCAACAGACATGAAAAAATGCTCATCATCACTGGCCATCAGAGAAATGCAAATCAAAACCACAATGAGATACCATCTCACACCAGTTAGAATGGCAATCATTAAAAAGTCAGGAAACTAGGTGCTGGAGAGGATATGGAGAAATAGGAACACCACTTTTACACTGTTGGTGGGACTGTAAACTAGTTCAACCACTGTGGAAGACAGTGTGGCAATTCCTCAAGGATCTACAACTAGAAATAACCATTTAACCCAGCCATCCCACTACTGGACATATACCCAAAGGATTATAAATCATGCTGCTATAAAGACACATGCACACGTATGTTTATTGTGGTACTATTCACAATAGCAAAGACTTGGAACCAAGCCAAATGTCCAACAATGATAGACTGGATTAAGAAAATGTGGCACATATACACCATGGAATACTATGCAGCCATAAAAAAGGATGAGTTCATGTCCTTTGTAGGGACATGGATGAAGCTGGAAACCATCATTTTCAGCAAACTATCGCAAGGACAAAAAACCAAACACCACATGTTCTCACTCATAGGTGGGAATTGAACAATGAGAACACCTGGACACAGGAAGGGGAACATCACACACCGGTGCCTGTTGTGGGGTGGGGGGAAGGGGGAGGGGTACCATTAGGAGATATACCTAATGTAAATGACGAGTTAACAGGTACAGCACACCAATATGGCATATGTATACATATGTAACAAACCTGCACATTGTGCACATGTACCCTAGAACTTAAAGTATAATAAAAAATAAATAAATAAATAAATAAATAAAAATAAAACCCTTTCTCTGCTCAAACTTTAGCATGTATGAGAATCACTTGGAAAGCTTGTTTAAACACAGATTATTGGGCCCTACCCTGAGTTTCTTATTCAGTATGTCTGGGATAAGCCAATAGTTTACAGTTCCAGTAAGATCCCAGGTGATGCTGATGCTCCTGATCTGAGGACATCATTGGAGATCCACTGTTGTTCCCTCATTCTCTCATTTACCACTTCTGCCTTGTTGTGCCCCAGGCTACTACAAACCAACTATCCTGTGCAAACCAGTTCACAGACAGTCTTCTGTCTTCCAGGAGATTTCTCCCTTGTTAGTTTCATGAATCCATAGTTTCCTTTTGCTTCTATAATTTCTCCAAAGTTTATGTTGAGGCATAGAGCCTGCAATTCGTGTTATTTCACCATCTTGGCAAAACCAGAATCCATACCTCTTTAACTGCCTCCTGCCTCCTTGGTTTAATATTTACCCAAAACCTTGGTAATGAGTCACAGGTTTTTCCATATTAAAATGAAATAATATAGAAAAACCTTGTTAAATTGACTATTCTTGTTCTATTAGGTAACAACATAAAGTACACCAATACTGCGAAGTTGTCAACTAAAATCATGTCCAATAATATTTGCCTCTATTTCACTGAGTTCCCTCTGGAAAACCCATTAAAATAAAAGGCCAGCTTGATGTAGAAGGAAGTGGTAAAAGATTGTGAAAAGAAAGCAGGGAAAAGTTTCTAAAAATCAGGGGTTGTGATCCCAAAGCTATAGTTATATGAATTCTAGACCAAGATTTTTCAAATTGTTCAGTTTTCCTTACTTTGGAAATAAAAGTCTTCAGAATCTTGATTATTCAGCAAGATTTTAATTATATATGTAGAGTTTTTAATCTATTGCCATTTATATAAATAACATGTATAATAACTTGTAATAAAATAAAATAATAGTTTATGGCCGATGACTCATCATAAGGAGGGAAATAAAACATTTTTAAATAAAAGAAAAAAGGAATAATAGAAGAAAGAAAAAAATATTTATTAAGTACACTCTACAGTGAGATTGAGATTTTTTTCAAAGGCAAATTATTCCTCTTTACCTGAATCACAAAAAACAATTATACACTTTTTGTCTGTAAGTGCCTATATTTATACTCTTTGCTTTCAGATGGGGTCCTTTAATTGCCCTAAGCACATCTGCAATAGGATGAAGGCAAACTTGTGGATTTGTACTTAAAATAAGAGAAACTAAAGTAAGAAGTTGTTTTAAACTACGAGAAGAAATAAAGCGTACACTCATATGGTATACTTGCAATTACTGATGCAATTTTCCTCTTCTAACCTCTCTCTTCCTACCCCACTATTCCAACATACTGAGGAAGAGAGCACACTCTGATAAAGCCGTGCCCTAGCCAATGTAAAAGATGTGAAATCAACAATGAGGCTTTTACTCTTCAAATTAGGAATAGGTGGGGATAATTTCACAGCTCCTCAGAGGCAGCTCTCAGGAGAACCACAAACACAGAACTCAGTGCCTGAGCCTTGCTGCCTCCAAAGGAAGCCAAGACCCTGTTCTCCCTGAAGAATAGCTATGAAAGATGAGTGCAAAATCACAGTGCTTTAGACTATTTAACAATTTCCTGGTAGCAGAAAATAATTCATAGGCATCTGTAGAGTAACATGAGGTATAACGATTCAATTGCATTTTGATTATGAAGAAATCTACTATGCTGGAATCTGCAGAAATATGAGTCAGTACGTATTGTTTTTGCAGTATTGTTGGCGCTCATAGTTCCTAAGGGAGAGCATTGTTTAAGCTACTCCTTTGCTCATCATGTAAATTATTTCACCTCAGTAGTTCAAGAAAAATGCTAAATTGCTAATTCCTTGATGCAGTTTCAGTAAAAGTTGAATCGTCCCCCTCTGGTTTTGACTGTGATGAAAGTTTTGTTATATACGTCAGAATTGTTTGTCAAGATGTTTCATTGATCAGGAAATGCCTTTGTCTATCCAAAAAGCCTAATGAAAGAGTCTCACAGTGAGCAGCTCTCCTTTTGACAGCATGAGTTTTTACTAGGTATATGGATGCAATCCTCAGCCACAATAGAAAAAAAGACAACTTTAGGAGTGCAGTGAAGTTTGGAAAGCATAAGGATGCCAGAGGAAATCAATGGTATATGTCACTTGCTTCACAACTTTCTATACTCGCCTTCAAATTACAGGGTTCTGTGTCCTTGGAAAGCAGAATTCTTTGTGGACTCATTTCAGAGTTTTCTCTGAATATGAATGCTCCAGTTCCCTATACTGTCACCAAGAGAGATTGACTAGGATGAACCTTCACCTGTATAGTTTGTAAAAACAACAACAAAAATCTCTTCAATATTAACATATACACCAAATAGTACAATGCCTGCACTTAAGATACTACCATTCATTAATCTACAATGTTCTTAATGCTCATGAACAATTTGGAACACAAATAACCTGCCCATTGAGAGAGCAACTGTATATTTTTTTTTCCCAAGGCAGAACATCTGTGAGTAAGGGGGTTAGAATTGGTCCAGAACCTACTCCTCTGCTCCTTTCTGCTGGATAGTCGAAAAGAAGCTGTCTGAAGAAAACCCAGAGAAAAACAATAACAATAGTGATATTCCCTCTGGGCAACACAATCGCATGTTAGTGGAGGATTTCTGAATACACAGTACCTTAATACAAAAGAATTAGAAGTCTTGTGAGAAATCAGTGGGGAAGATAATTTGTGGGTGGGAACAGAGAGTAGAGAGTTGAATTTAGGAGTCGAGGTTGTGCCAGTGGAATGATTGGGGTTATCATCCCACAAAAACCAATGACATACTTGAGCTAGTTCCTTCCGTTCTCTGAGAATTATGTTCCTTGTCTATGGAATGAGGACTGACAAAATTTTCTTTAAGATTTATTGAAGTTTGAATATGGTATGTAAGGAATCTTCTTTTTAAAAACACAACAAAAGATCACTGCAATCACACAGGTTGCCATTTTCTTTCCTACCTTGGTTTTAGGTTATACAGTTGAGGCAACATTTTCGTTAAGAAATCAGACCTCAGAATATGGCCCACCTGTGTTTGAATACTGGTACTTCCACCTACCAGCTGCGTGATCCAGGGAAAGTTGTCTAACAGGTCTAAGCCTCAGTTTCCCCACCTTAAAAATAGAGAGGGCAAGAACTGGCATTGTTGTGAACATTAAATGTTAATCATGTGGTGACCTGCAAAGTACCATGAACATGTGGATATTCATACAGAACATTCCACAAAATCATTGTTTTTTTATCACTACATTTTGCTCTTAGGAATGCTTTTACTCTTAAAGGGGACCAAAGACATTAGCCCAGTCATTTTTACCTTCGGCTTATGCAACAATCCATCCTTTTAAATCTTTTCAGAAGCCTGTAAAATTACCCATTTCAATTTATGTGATTGTTAGTTATAATTACCGATTGTGTCCCATAACCTTTCTCTCCTACCATTGCTTTAGATCTTCATTTCTATCACCTTCACATTTACATTTAAATAAACATAGAGAATCCTATTGACTCTGCCCATTTTGGTGAAACTAGAGAGATCTTTGCTTTTTCAGGCATTCTCCATTTTAAAAATAACTATTATTCAGCAAGCTTTTAATCACTTATTTTCAGGTTTCCAAGATTCTTCATATGCTGCCTAATTTTTCAAAAATTTGAAAAAGAGAAGAAACATTTCTGTAAAAAATAGTTCTTTCACGTAAAAAGAGTAGAAGAAAAATGTCAGAGATAAGGGGAGGGAAAGAATGAAAAGTCTGTGAGCAAGATGTCTGTCTCGTATGTTTGTGAGTCAGAGGAAGAATTGGGAAAAAAAAAAACCTATGGGGAGAGAGAAGGAAACAGATTGGGAGACTAATTTAAAGCAGAATCAACTAAAAGGAAGTTGAAGATTTGAAAAAATAAGACAGCAGCATCAAGAAGAGAAAGTCTGTTGAAAAGAGAAGCAATAAGAAAAACTTGTAGCAATTCATGTATATGACAAATTCAACCCACGTTTAAATAAAAATGCAAAGATTTCAAAAACACCAAAGAAGGATTTAATGAAAGGTTCTCATCACCCACAAATAATAAAGATTTTTTCCCTAACCTTTATTTTATTTATTTATGTTTTTGGACAAAGTGCATTTACTCTCAAATTTCTAAGCCTTATGTTGCTCTCTTGTACCATTTTCTCATTCATTTTACAATTATTCTTAAGGCCAAATAAGTTTTGACATGCAAATTTATGTTCTGTTCTTAAGTATGTTTCCCTCTTCCATCCCAAGAAGGTAGTTGGACTGCCATTCAAATTATCTATAAAAATTATCTAAAGTAGTACACTGAGAAAATATGCTTAGGCTTCTGGGTCTATGTATGTGATATCCTAGACGCCCCCCCAGATGTCATACTCACTGAAAGAAATTAAAGTTCTAGAAAGTAAATATTAATGCATATCAGTTCTTCCCTCAGCTGGCAAGAAACTAATCAATAATCAGAAGCCAAAAAATAAAGTGAAAGAACATTGCATAGGGATAGGTAAGTGTTCACCAACCCACCTGACTTTCACCTGGAGGCATCTGCTGAGCCTGGTGTCCCTGAGTATCTGTTCTGATGTTATGACAGGAACAGTGAGCCAAAGATTAATCCTAGCTCCTACAAGATGCAGAATCGAACAGAAGACTCCATATGCAGTTGGCACTCCAGAAGGCTATATCCCCAGTGCAAGGGTGAACTGGATATAAAAGCACATCAGAGAGGAAATCTGTTTGTCTTGATGGACAGAAAGAACAAAAAGAAATCCCCCTTATAAAGAGAACAGAATCACTGAGCCTCCAAAAGGTTTATAACTCAAGTGCTAAAGGGACTATTAGTAACAAAATAATATATTGGCTGTTATTTTTTAATATCCATTATCTTGACAAAATAAAGGAACCTATGTCCAGATTGTAGCAAAGAGAGGAATACTGAAAGAAAATGTATTTCTTTTATTGAACTTGGAAGAGACTGAATTCAGCAGCAGTATTCCTGTGTGGACAGAACAAAAGGATACAGACAAGAAATGTCCACTTTTGGGGCACCGAAAGGAATTTAATTAATAGCCTCACAAAGACAGAGATTGCAGGTAATTACTCAAGGCCCAACAGACACAGGGATCACTGAAGGAGTCCATGTAATTATTGAAGGAAAAAAAAATGTCCTTTCATGTTCTCTTTGCAGGATGCATGGCACCTGAGCACCATAGAGTCCTCATTCTCTCCTATTCTAACTACCCTAACTCTGATTTAAATAGCATCTCTGAAGTATCTACTCTGAAGCCAGCACTGAGATAAGCAAAGGTAACACAGAAATGAATGAGATATGCTCTGAACCCAGGAGGAGTATAGTCTGGGAGGAGAATGAATGAAGACTGATGCATTAGTTAAGTAACAGAAAAAATGATATGCAACAGATGTCTAGAATGGCAAAGTATGGTGGGAAAACAGGAGGCAGAAAATTAGCTTTGATGGAGACAGACAGTAGTTGTTTCTCAGCTGAATCAGAGGAAGGGGGCCCGAAGAAAAGGAGTAGAAGAGCTTATTTAGTGAGTAAGAATAAAAGAATGGTATTCCAGGAAGGAGTCATGGCATGGGAACAGGAACAAAGACGTGAAAGGACTTTGTGTGTTTACGTAAAGATAAAATGTGCTATAGGGTAAATCATCAGCCAAGTAGCAGCAGGAGCAGCTAGTTTCCCATGCAAGAAGCTGCCGGGCCAGGGGAAGTGGACTCCTCTGGTCAAGTTCTCCTCCACAGCAAGGAGAAAGATGAACCATTGCTGACTTAGGTATAGCAGTGAATCCCTGGGTATTTCTAGATACATTCGCCTGGGAAAACGCTATTAGCTACTAATTTGGGAAACATATGGAGTGGTAATTGGGGTTTGTGATGTGGGAGTACTGAGAAATTCACTTGCTGATAACACAAACACAGAGAGGACACAGGTGATGTCAGACTTATTATAGAAGGTTTTAAATTTGCATATGTATATAAAATGAGTTCTTTTACATCCCAAGAATCTATTAGAGGCCACAAAATGAAGACATGATGCATTCACTCATTTATCCAGAATTTTTAATCACTTACTGTGTATCAATTATAAGTCTAGTGCTGAAGGCATAGCAGTGAGGACAAGATCAATGCTCACATGGCATCCAATTCTACTAGAATCATCAAAAATTGATGAGTCTTGATGTAATTAGCTGCAGCAATTAAACAGATATGGTTCAAATGACATTGCAAACATGATGTGCATCAAGATAACCTGGATAGTTTTTTTTTAACAGAGCCTAGCTCCAGTCACTATCCATCTTGTGCTTTTTAAGAAGTTTCTCCGGGGAACTTTGATATGTAGTCAGGTTCAAGAAACAGTCACATAGATCATTGCTTCTCAAACCATCTGTGGTGAAAGTCCAAGGTGTTTTTTTTTCATGTTTGTCTTTTTTTAATTTCTGATCTATAGTAGACCAATATATTATAAAATACAATAAGAAGTTATGAGAGATTCTGCTTGGATATCTCAGTAAAGTCAAATTGCTCCAAAAGTTCCTAATTGTTTACCCTCAATTCCTGTACCTCCCTAATTGTGGTGGGCAGGTATCAGTTTGCATAGCAGCTCCAGAACATTTTGAGTAGTACTGGTCTAAATTACAAGTGGTTTTGAAATTCATAAAGGAACGTCAATGTTGTTTTGTGACCCAGGAAGACAGCACAAAGAAGGTAGAGGTAAGAGGGAGAAAAACCACTCAAGGAAGAATAGCATTCACAAAGACACAGAGAAAACCCTACTTCTTAGGGTAGTTGTCATCAACTATGCAGTAAATGTTTGTGTATGGTATTATCTTAGCAACTATAGAAATTAAACAAGTGAATCCTCATTTCTGAGAGACTGGTTGTCTAAGTCAGTGAAACAACTAAACACAGCTCATGTTGGTACAAAGTAATTTTTATATTTACAAAATATTACAGACATGTACCCATATATACATTCAGATATGCATATCTTTAATATTTTATATTTTATATAGATGAAGAGAACACATATATTATACATACCTGTGTACACACATACATGTTCACTTGTGTGTCTTTTCCAGTGTATTGTATCCAGGACTAATTACTATTGATTTTACACAACCATTCCAATACCCTCTTCTACAGGATTCTTTGTAGACAGTAAGGAGTGAGATATAGGAAAGGTAGTTTAGAAGTGGTCTATAGTAAACCTTTATTTGTTTATTTGTTTTAGCATAGTGATTTATCTTACCTAAAGGGATGTTCACCTCAAAAAAATCCCTTTGTAAGTCATTTGGCATTGTATAAACATCTCAGTGGCCCATGCCATAAAACAACACATCAAGGATGTATTTTATTACTTCATTCAGCAAGCAGCTTAAATATTAATTCTGTTTACTGTAGGAACTTAAAAAAACAATTCAGCTGCAGCCAAAGGTCACAGTAAGAGGCAGTGAGATGTCAACTGAGGGACTCACTGCTGTCTCTACTCCCCATCCCAAACTCTCCTCATTTATCCTGAAAAATGGGCAACCCGAAATGTAAATGCAGATGTAGTGTTCTTCCTATAGGTCACCTGATGACATCCCCAAAACTACCTTGTTGTAAATTTAGAATTTCTACTGATTAAAGTCAAACCCCATAGAGAATACTCCAAATAGGGAAAATTTAGATAAGAAAGATTAGTTTAACTCTTCTAGGAAGTAAAATTTTTATTCCTTTTTTTAGATTTCATTTACCCTATTTTGTGAATGAAAGGCAAAAATTCTTCCATGTCAATAAAAAAATGATTTGAATCTAAATTCTCTGATACTGCAATAGATATGCAACAATCTCTTAAATATTTTCCTCTTGGTTATAGAAAGATGTTCATTTCAAAATCTTCAAATGTGTTACTTTTATCTGTAAACAATTTATATCATAGTATTCAAACAGGGTTTAGCATTCTTAGAATTACATAACAGAAAACAGTGCTATGCAACTTCAATGATAATATTTTAGATGCCCTTATGGGGAATTTGTGAATAGTTAAGTGGGAGGTCTATATTTCTTACAGAAGTAAAGGAGGTCTGGAGAAGAAAATAATTAGCAATAATACAAGCACTGTTTGTCGGATATGGAGACAAAAGCATGACAGAGAGATTCACTCAGTTTGCAAAATCAAGGAAAACAGGCAGGAAATGCTTCACTACCTGTCTGTTTCTTTCTGTGTGAAAGTAGTGAGAAAATGTATTTTTTTCTGAAAGATTATTTTAAAAACCTGAAGTGTCACTTGTAGCAAGTTTCCAGCTGAGGTAGATGGTCTTATCTGTCTTTTACTAAATTAGGAAGCAGTGATTTTTTTTTCATAAGCCTTTTCTCATATGTAACAGCTAAACTTAAACCTTTGTTAAGCAAAAGTTAAGGAAGCTTCTTGACTTTATTATATTGTTTTGTTCTACTCCTGCATTGCTTCATTGCTTTGAGAAGACTGAATTTTCATTCATTCTTTTACCATTATAAGTGTCTCATGGGTAGAGATTCGTTTCTGAAAGCCATAAAAAATTCATCCGATTCATAATGGAAGAACTGGTTGTGAATTACATTACCAGAGCTGTTCTTGATATGACTGTCCATTAAAATAAAACAGAATAGTTAAGAAACTCCCATTAAATCATAAAATAAATTTTTAAAGTTACCAATCTGAAGGACTGACTTTATTACTGTGTCAATCGATATGCCTAAGCAATAGGTCTATTCTTCTAAATCCTGAATAAATAACCCATTATAAAATTGTGATAAAATGGGTTTCAGCCACAAAGAGTAGCCACTAAGTAATACCCAAAACCAATTGAATGCATGAAAGGTTTAAATTTAAAAATTTAAGAACACTGAACAAAACATTTTATACTTTCTTCTACAAAATAAGCTGAAAAGTCGTCTCTAAAGTCTCCACACATCATGTCACAAACCATAGTATTATTACAGATAAAAATGGCAATAGAAGGATCCTTCAAACATCCAACAAATTAAAAATTATTTTTACTTTGTTCTGAATGGAATCTTAGATATGGAGCTTTATTTACACTGAATCCTAAGGAAGCTTCCAAAGGAACTGACCACAGAAGCTCCAAATTTCTACCTGAGAAGGGTTTAGTGGTCAATATGTGGTTGGAAGAGGTCTTTGAAGTTGAGCTTGCAAAGTACTCTACATAAGATCAAGAGTTCATGACTTGTCCACATCAAAGGGGAGGGAATGAATGATGGAGGGGAGAGGAGTCAGAAAAATAGAGGTGATACAGAAGGAAACTGAAAACAAAGCAGGAAAGGGAGCAGTAACAGTCTCCACACATTCCCGCTTTGGTTCCACACAAATTATGTGGAGATATACTTTCAGCATTAATCATTAAGGAGAAACTGGTCTAGTTAACCTTATTAAACTCCTTATTAAACCTCTTAAAAATAACTGCCTCCCACCTGCAAAGAAGAAATCATCAGACCCAGTGGACCTGTCCTGGACTTGAATTCTGTTTCTCCACTGATTAATTGCACGACTTGGAGCAAGTTTTTTAGTCTCTCTCAGATTTTTTTCTTCATCTTTAATTGGAGATATTAATGATCAGCCCCTAGAATGCTGCCTGGAACATAATAAGCACTCAATAAATTAATGGATGATGGAATGAATGCTTACCTTGCATAGGTGATACAAGACCAAAATAAGAGACTGTATGCAAAAGGTCTGACATCCAGTAGGGATGCAAAGGTTAATTTTCTTCACATTTCACTCCTCCCACCATCATCACAATCTCCCTCCTATTCCTTAATAAATCAAAGAAAAATAAGCCAATTGTTTAAGGCAAATCTCTACTTGGTTATTTTCTAAATCCCAGAGAAGCTGCAAATGGGGGAGATAAGAAGAGAAGAGACAGCGATAGGAAATCAAGAGGTTCCTTCCTTTTCCTCCTTAAGTATCTTCCAGTAAAAGTGAGGCATAGTGGCTCATACCTATAATCCCAGCATTTTGGGAGGCTGAGGAGGGAGGGTCACTTGAGGCCAGGAGTTCAAGACTAGCCTGGGCAACATAGCGAGACCCCATCTCTACAAAAAAGTTAAATTTGCCAGGTGCAGTGGTGCATACCAGTTTAGTCCTAGCTACTGGGGAAGCTGAGGCAGGAGTTTGAGGCTGCAGTGAGCTAGGATCATACCACTGTACTCTAAACTGGGTGACAAAGCAAGACCCTATCTAAAAACAAAAAAGAAGTGAGCAAGTGTAGCCACAGGCAGAGCTGTCATCAGAAGTTTCCTCAGAGCATAGCTTGCCCAATCTCTGGTGATCTCTTTTGCCCAACATTGACCAGAGGTTTGGATCCAGGCTCTAGCCATACCAAGGCACAGGTAGGCATGTGCAATGACCCGTGATGAGCCTATGACTTTGCTGGTAGGGCCTGGACATGGGTGGCAGTGGTCAACTCCTAGCCCTAGCCTTTCTTTCTCCAGTCTTTCTCAAGGGTAATACCTCATAGGACCTTCAGACCCTAAAAAGTGCATTCACAGATGACTCATGCCTCACCACAACACTTAAAATCACAGGAATATTCCTGGCCCCATGTGACATTGAGGCAGACAGAGTCAGCTGGGAAAGCATAACTGCACCCTGGTATGATCCCTGAGGCTCGGCCCTGATACATATTGGACTTGCTGAGGTCCTGAAAACCCTGTTTTGAAATGCACCATTACGTATTAGAGTATTTTGGCATTATCACCAGCTTTGTCCTTTTTACTGCAGCAAAATTGAGTAAACCAGGAATAAAGACTATTTTAATGCATTGGTAACTCATGTTCTTCACAACAGGAGGGATACATTTAGGTCATCAGAACCATAATGCCTTTATGAAAGATACTGTCACCTAACAACGGTACAAAGCAAAAACGGACAAAAGACATTATTTGTCTTCTTTGCCCTTATTAAATTCACCGCCTATGAAGTTAGAACTCAAAAAGAAAATCAGCATTAAAGCTTCTTCGTGTCTTTGTAACACCCATGAGCAGCATATGCTATCATATTGGCTACAAGCATAGAGCAAAATAATACAAATAGAAGAAAAATACTTCTTTACTGGAATAGGAAGAGAGCAAAGCCTATGGAGAGAAAAATAGCCTTCCCAATCTTTGAGGCAACTCTTCAGCAATGAATTAATAGCACAAAACTGGGCTAGGCGAGGTGGCTTATGCCTGTAATCCCAGCACTTTGGAAGGCCAAAGCCGGCAGATCACTTGAGGTCAGGAGTTCGAGACCAGCCTGGCCAACACGGTGAAACCCTGTTTCTACTGAAAAATTACAACTGGGTGGGGTGGTGTGCACCTGTAGTCCCAGATACTTGGGAGGCTGAAGCAGGAGAATCACTTGAACCTGTGAGGCAGACACTGCAGTGAGCCGAGTTTGTACCACTGCACTCCTAGGTGGATGACAGAGTGAGACTCCGTCCCCCGACCAAAAAAAAAAAAAAAAAAATAGCATGAGACTGTGGAAAAGAGAGGAAAATGTACCTTCTTAATTTCTAATCCTACTTTCCTCTTTTTGTCAAACAGTTCTCTTCTTCCATGATGTTTGTAAGTGGTTTACTGTGCCAAATGACTGCAGAAAAGCCTTTATATAGGAGGTGAGATGCTCATATCCTCAGAATCATTTAATGTAGGCTTACTGAAAAGGGAGATGTAAAATATGTATTCCTTAAGCTTGTCTTTCAGGCCAGCATTGTAGCCACCAAAGAGCTTTCACATCGGACAGGCTTCCATTCTAATCAGAAATCTTTCCCTTACTAGTCGTATGACCTTGGAAAATTTACTTAAACTTTCTGACCCTTGATTCTCCTTCTGTAAAAGAGATATGGGGAAAAAATAGTGGTGTGTGGGTTTAAATGTAATCATATATATCTGAGGCTATAGTGATAATATTTTATGTTTCTGCATAGTTAGAGCTTTCTGAGCAAATTAAAACAACTGCTGGAGGTTAACTTATGACTAATTTACATACCTAGAGAACTCCAGAGAGAGACAGACACAGGAACAATCTGCATTGTAAAGCTGGAGACCCTCATGTGATCCCTTTCCTCTAGAGAGATTTATTTATATTCCAAGGGACTAGGTGAGAATTCAGGATCCTTCCCATTATGTTGCCAAGGAGACCCTCTCAGGAGGGGAGGAGGATGGCATAGATAATCCACATTCATTTTTTTAGGATTCCTCACCCAAAATATAGACTCCTAGGTGTAGGGTTTTAATCTATCTGGCTATCATTACTTGCTGTGAATAAATAATAATAGCATTCCCCTTAATAACTGGAATAAGACAAGGATGTCCACTGTCACCACTCCTATTCAATACAGTGCTGGAAGTCCAAGCTAGAGTAATCAGGCAAGAGAAAGAAATAAAAGGTATCCAAATTGAAAAAGAAGAAGTCAAATTATCTCTGTCCACTAATAATATGACCTCATACATAGAAAACCCTGAAGACTCCTCCAAAAGACTCCTAGATTTGGTAAATGACTTCAGTACAGTTTCAGGATACAAAATCAGCATACAAAAATCAGTAGTATTTCTATACACCAATAATGATCAAGCTTGAAAACTCAATCACATTTACAATAACCACCAAAAAAAAAAATACCTAGAAGGTATTTTAAACAAAAATGTGAAAGATCTTGTTAATGAACCACAGTGGGGTCCACTCGTCTGGTGCAGTAAGGCCAAACATCCACACTGAGGTTTGCAGCACAAGAAAGGAGGGTGTTTATTTGTAAAGTGCCAAGCAAGGAGAATCAGGCAGCTCACTTAAAACCTGAACTCCTCAGTAGCTTGTGAGCAAGGGTATTTAAAGGCAGGGGGAAATTTCAGGAAAGCCAAAGTTACAGGCAAAAGTATAAATTAATACAGGGTGTACATGGAGGTTACACATTAATTTGGCCTACAAAGGAGGGTTATCTTGAAGCAGGGGCTCACAGGTCATTCATAGGAAAATTACAGATGTTCTAATTTACAATTGGTTATAGAAAAGAAACTTTGTTTAAAAATTTGGGGTCAATAGAAAATAATGTTAGCTCTGGCTTGTGAGAATGACTTCCTTCAGGCCCTCAGGAAGAACTGTGGAACAAAGAACAACAGTCAGAGTTCAGTCCTCAGTTCCCCCTTATCTGAGGTCTATGTGCCAGAAAACTTGTTTAGTGGGGGTCTGGATTTCTGAAAAAAAAAAAAAAAAAAAAAAAAAAACTCAGGAACATACATTAAGATGTTGCTTTTAGTTTCTATAGGAGACCAAGCATCCCATGACTCTAATTTTTTTGGCTATTGTTTTAATCCGCTATTACTTTCTCGCCTATTAAGTTGCTCATTTACATCTCAGGGCTAGCTAGCTTTCTCGAACTTCACTCAAAGAAACAAGATTTTCCTTTCTTTCCATGCTTGGTGGGGCTGCATGCCCCTAAGAGGGGTCTCTGCTCCATCTCAATGTCCACAAAGAGAAGTACAAAACACTAATGAAAGAAATCATAAATGACACAAATAAATGGAAAAACATCCCATGCTCATGGATTGGAAGAACCAATATCATGAAAATGACCATACTACCCAAAGCAATCTATAGATTCAACACAATTCCTATTACAAAACCAATGTCATTTACAAAAAGGTCAATAGGAAAAAAAAGTCAGTGTTAATAAAAAAAACAAATAATCCCATTTATAAAGTGTACAAAGTACATAAACAGACATTTTTCAAAAGAAGACACATAAGCGGCCAACAAACATATGAAAAATGCTCAACATCACTAATATCAGAGAAATGTAAATCAAAACCACGATGAAATACCATCTTATACTAGTCAGAATGATTATTATTAAAAAGACAAAAAACAAAAGATATTGGTGAGGATGTGGAGAAAAAGAACACTTAAATGCTGTTGGGAGGAACATAAATTAGTACATCCTCTATGGAAACAGTATGGCAATTTCTCAAATAACTAAAAATAGAACTGTCATTCAACCCAGCAATCCCAATACTAGGTACCTACCCCAAGGAAAAGAAATCATTATATAAAAAAGTCACCTGCATTCATGTTTATCACAGCACTATTGACAATAGCAAAGTCATGGAATCAACCTAAGTGTCCATATCATCGGACTACTGGATAAAGAAAACATGGTCAATACACACCATAGAATACTACTCTGCCATGAAAAATAATGAAATCATGTCTTTTGCAGCAACATGGATAGAAGTGGAGGCCATTATCTTAAGTGAAACAACTTAGAAATAGAAAGTCAAATACTGCAGGTTCTCACTTGTAAGTGAAACACATGAACATACAGAGTAGAACAAAAGACATAGGAGAACCCAAAAATGGGAGGGTGTGAGGGGGAGAGGGATGAGAAATTACCTTTTGGGTACAATTTACACTTTTCAGATGATGTTTACACTAAAAGCCAAGACCACCCCTATGCAATATGTCTCTGCAACAAAAATGCACTTGTACCACCTAAATCTATAAAAATAAAATAAATAATAATATGCTCTGTTTCAGAAACTTCATGTGTACACTCAGGATAATATCAGTAAATATAAATATTTTTTAAATGTCATAAAATATCACTTATCTAAAAGAGTATCTGACATCTATAGATACTTAATAAATGGTAGTTTTCTTCAAGTTGATTTTTTAAACAAAATTTCAATCATAGAAACTCATCTTGAAATGCGTACTTAGTGTTCTTTCCTAGTCAATATTTCATTATCACATTTAAAGGTGAGTCTCACATTAATAAAATCTGACAGTCACATAGCCATATCTGAAACACATAAATCAGGAACAATTGTTCCTATTACAAACCGACTTTTCATTTCCTAATAGAAAGTTGACATGAGTAAAGGGCACTCTTTCGAGTTAATAAAATTTCATCTTTTACTTAAAATGGCCAACATAAAATATCCCCTTTCTGATATCCAAATTTGTAATGTGTTTGACGATTATTAACTACAGAAACTCCAAGGGACAATAGAAACATTAAAGACTACATGTACTGATTGTTATACTAGTGGTGTTGGTAGTAGTAATAATCAAGTACTAGTAATAATCATTATGGCAATAACAATAATAATTAACATTCAGTAAGCACCTAATAAATGTCAGACACTATGCTAGTTTACATGTTTTATTTCATACTCACAAGCTTCTCAGTTACATGTCCTCTATTTACAAATGAAAAAAAATGAGTTTTAATGAGGCCAAATAATCTGTCCAATTTATACAGACATTAAATAGTAGAGACCTTAATACAGACCTCTCTGAGGCTCAGACCATACACATAATCACTATGCACTCTTTTCCTCTCGCTCCCTCTAGAGGATAATCCAGGTAGGAATTTAGGTAGTCTTGGGACAAAAGAGGCTGCTAGAGTGTGTAGGCATATGACTTTGGCTTCTAGCATTACCCAGATATCATCTTTGAAACTAAACAGCCATAGAAAGACTTGTAATTACTGTAAATTATCAGAAAGGAAAAGGAATCACACACAGTCACAGAGGAATTTCTTATAATATTTCTAATATAAAATTATCCAGATAATGAGTTAATTACGTGAGTACATGCATGTGCTCAGATACACACATAAACATACATCTTCATATGCTTTTACACAGAGGTACACACACACACACACACACACACACACACATCTTTAACATTCAGTCCTCCAAGGAAAAAGACTTTTCATGCCCATAAACAGAAGCAGAGTTAGCATATCTCAGAATCTACTTCAGTTTTTTTTTTCTTTCCCTTTATAGTTCTATGCATCTGTCTAGGAATGCCTGCCCCCACCCTGGTATTTGTCATCTATAGGAATAATTTTAGTTGCTAAGGGGAAACATCTTATTTCAAGCATTGGTCCAGCTCATCTGATGCTTTCAGATAGTGAAGTGTGTAAGCTCTTCTGCCTTTCTTGGCTAGATGTGGGATCAGCCTGCAGCAGTAGATGGGAGCAGGATAGAAATTAATTCCTCTCCAGATAAAATCATTGTAAGCCAAAATGACTTTATCAGACAATTTTCCAAATTATAGATAAATGAGAATAAATCAAGGATTATGTTTAAAGAAAGGAGTTTATGTAAAGGCTAAAAGATAGAAGAATAGAAGAAAAAGCAAGGTGTTGAAAGAAACTGGAAGATAAATTAGCCTACCTGAGTATCTTACCTAGAATCACACTTATCAAATCCCACTTTAATTACAGTATGCTCAATCAAAGATAGCAGAGAAATAGTCAGAAAGGAGTGTAGGGATTGTAGGAAAGCTTCCCTTCTTCCCTCTCTGAAGTTTCACTGGAATGAACTGATAATAGACAGATTACCAGGAGAAAAGACATAAATGGAACCGTATAAAATATGAGACTCAAAGAAGGGCCAGATGGTTGAGGCTTAAATGTCCTCTATGTAGGGGAGAGGGAAACTGGGATGGTGGGGCTGTAGAAAATTTTAGAGGGTTAGTAAATTATTTTAGAGGGAATGAATGAGCCTGAAAACAAGACAATGGTTTGTAAATTATTTTCTCTGAATGCTGAATGAGACCAAGGACAAACTATAGTTTGTGTATAGGTTACAGGAAGGTGAGGAACAGGAAATTCACCGTGAACAGAAGTGGTCTTAGTAGGCAGATAAAAGTCTCCCGGGTAATCTCTTGAAGCTGCCATCAGAAGAATAGTTGAAGAAAAGTCAGACTGGGTGTGGTAACAACTTTTAGTCTTTTCTCCATGGTTAAACTTTCTGGGTTTTTTTTTTTTTAATCTTTTTTTTTTTTTTTTTTTTTTTTTTGAGATGGAGTCTCGCTCTGTGGCCCAGGCTGGAGTGCGGTGGCGCAATCTCGGCTCACTGCAACCTCCGCCTCCTGGGTTCAAGCGATTCTCCTGCCTCAGCCTCCCGAGTGGCTGGGATTACAGGCACGTGCTGCCAGGCCCAGCTAATTTTTGTATTTTTAGTAGAGATGGGGTTTCACCATATTGGCCAGGATGGTCTCGATCTCCTGACCTCATGATCCGCCCACCTCGGCCTCCCAAAGTGCTGGGATTACAGATGTGAGCTACCGTGCCCTGCCAACTTTCTGGATTATTTAATGAGATTCCTAGGGAGGGAGCTTAAGACAATTGCATTTTTTTTTTTTTAAGCAAGAAGTTTCCCCAGTCAGATAAAGAAATTCCAGAGAGACAACCCTGTGCTTGGGGAGGAGAAATAAGAGAACATTAGAAAGACCTTAGTGCTGAGGAAGCTTCTGAGGTCTTCCAGTTTCCCTTAATTTGAAAGAAGTCAGCATGCCAAATCACTACACTTTGGGGTATTGTTCTCCAAACCCCACAGGAGCTAAGGACCTTTTCATTAGAGACACATCTAAACTGATGCTTTGAGGGTAAAGACTTCTAAGTTAGTGAAATATTAAGAAAAAGCTCTTTTGGCACTAATTTGTTAGTGCAGAGTAGTAAAGACTTATAATCCAACACATAATATAAAAAGCAATCTGATCACCTGCCTTATGTATATAAAAATGCATTTGTGAACAGAATCTTCTTACCAGTAAATGGGGGAAGGTATGAGTCCAAGAACTGATTGTTTCCCAATTCTAGTTCAATTTGGAAAATCCAGTTCTCTGACCAATCTTGATAACTGCTTATTTGTATTTCACTCAACTTTTCTCAGCACTGTCTCATATAAATATCTCTGACCTCTGGAAAAACATAAATACCAACTGGAGAGAACCATTCATGTTTATCTCCAATGCATGCCTAATATCTGACCTATTAGCTTGGTCCTATAACTAAAATTCCAGGAGAGCAAAGTAAGTTCTTCCCTTCAGCAGATTTTCATAAGAATTGTTATAAGAGCCTAGCTACTAATCATGAAGTGCCTATTGTGGCTGGAGAGTTTATATAGTTTCCTTCAAATCTTGTCACAACCTGATAAGGTACTATGATTCATTATCATGGCAAGGAAACTGAAACAAAGTTAACTGTCCAAGGTTATATTAGAATGGATGAATTGATATTTGAAACCAAATGCTCCTCATTTCATTCAAGCCTGTGTTAGTCCATTCTCACACTGCTATAAAGAAATACTTAAAACTGGGTAATTCATAAAGGAAAGAGTTTTAATTGACTCGCAGTTCTACATGGCTGAGGAGGCCTCAGAAAACTTAAAACCATGGCAGAATGGGAAGCAGGCACCTTCTTCACAAGATGGCAGGAGAGAGAAAAGTGCAAGCAGGGGAAATGCCAGATGCTTATAAAACTGATACAGGAGAGAGAAAGAAATTATCTAGGCAGATAGTGAGGGCAAAAGAGTCCTTGGCAGAACTTCCCTTCTAGCAAAAAGCGGTCCAAGAAATTACTTCTTTTCAAACAAAGAGAAGCCTGGAAGATCGAGCTGCAAACATAGTTGAGGAAGCTGGAAGCTTGCATGGGGGGATGCCAGCAGCCGCACCGATAAAAAGGGCTACCTGGGGCCAGGCATGTCCATGATGGGGGCTCCACCTTCCCTTTTTTGTTAACACATGCACAGTAAGAAAGAAATAAGCAATATGGAGTAACTCAGGCAGAGGACCTACCTGCATAATAAAAGATTGGGGTGGGGGCTGCCAGAAAGATTCACACCCTATGCAGATGGCACACCTGATCCTAACCAGTTCTTTACACCCTATGTAGATCAGATACTGCTTCTCCACTAGCTCATCTATAAAACTCTTGTGTTTCACTGTGCATTGGCAACCCATTTTTCCAGGACCCCTCTCTGTAGCAGAGAGCTATTCTCTTTCTTTTGCCTATTAAAATTCTGCTCTAAACCTCACCATTTGTGTGTGTCCACGTCCTTGATCTCTGTGGCCATGAGACCAAGAACCTCTGGTGTCACCCCAGACAATGAAGCTGCTTCAAAATCATGAGATCTTGTCAGAACTCACTCACTATCATGAGAACAGCATAAGGGAAACTGCCCCCATTATTCAATCACCTCCCTCCCTCAACACATGGGGATCATAGGTCCCTCCCTTGACATGTGGGGATTACAATTCGAGATGAAATTTGGGTGGGGACACAGAGCAAAACCATGTCAAAGTTCCTTGGAAACTTGTAATCTTAAATGCGGCAAAAATGTTCCTCTAAGTAATAAACAACACCTAGAGCCTCTAGGTTTTCTAAATGAGTGTGTTTTCAGAACGGAAAACCCCAAGCACCTGGGAAAGGAAATCATTCCAAAATAACTTTAAGGGCTTCATGTTTATTTAAATAGCAGGATGCTTCAGTAAAAGAAGCTAAAGCTGCCAAGCAGAGTCAGATTTTCTCCAAAACTTCAAGGTGAAGACAAATAAAGTTCACAGCATCATTACAGATAATGAAAATGATCAACAATTTCCTGCCTCCACTGTCTCTTGTTAATATTTTGTCATGCAGATTGCCCTAATTTGATTTCAGGATTTTTCGTCTTGTTGTTGCCAAGAATTACAAATACAATGAGATATATTATAAAGTGGTATTCTGGGTCTTTTATTGTCATTATAATTCTCATTTAGTTTTGGAAATTAGATTTGACTTTACCCGGTAAGAGCAGAGCTCTTCTCCATATTTTCACGTACTGTGTGCCAGTCAGAAATCCCCTGGCGTGTCACCTCTTATTCATCAGCTTTGCAAAGCTGCCCTGGAGGAAGAGACACGGCAAGCAGAGAAACACCTGTAAAATTCATTAAAATCTCTTCTGAGAATGGTGTTTCTTATGGACTGAGCCACATTTACTAGGTGACAAACACACCCTTCTGGGCATTCAATTTATTGGTAAAATTTGCTCAATTGTTCAGTAGTCTCCCTATAACCCTCACTAACTGCAATCCTACACATGTCCTTTTATTTAAAGCAGGCAAAGTCAGAATTAGCTGAATAGTCCTGTCCTAAGGAAAGGAGCAGTGTTGAATACCTGAAAAGCAATAAGGCATCCCCAAAAGATACATAACCTGCTTTTGAGCCAGGCACCCTAATTTGAACTTGAGCTCTGTCTTGAATTCACTAGATGTTAGGGAAACTACTAAGCCTCCATTTAATTTCTACCTATCAAATGGAACTCATAGGGTGCTTGTGAGTATAAAATGAGATAATGTCTTTAAAGCAAACTTGTCCACATGAGGCCCAGGACGGCTTTGAATGTGGCCCAATACAAACTGGTAAACTTTCTTAAAACATGAGATATTTTTGCGATTTTTTTTAGCTCACTAGCTATCGTTAGTGCTAGTGTATTTTACGTGTGGCCCAAGACAATTCTTCCAGTGTGCCCCAGGGAAGCCAAAAGATTGGACACCCTTGCTTTAAAGTATTTAGTATAATGTTTGGTGTTTAGCACAAATTTAAATAAATGTATGTTTGTATCTGTATTTAAAATTCAAAATCATTGGCAAAGTGAAAAAGAATGGTTTTGCCAAAACTAAGGATTTTACGGCTTGGTAAGTTTGTTAAACACAGGTTTAAACACAGCAAAACAGATTTTGTTACTAAAGATGTCCTAAAGCTTTTATTATGTTAATATGCATTGGGAACCTGCTGGAAGGAGCTGTAATAAAAAAAAAAAAATTGAGCTTCACCGATGACAATCAGTCAGCTGAAGAGAGACACCCAAATGTCAAATCAACATTCAGAAAAACTGTCACATAGTGGGATTCAAGGGAGGCCAAGCACAATTTCACCTCAATCTGAAAGAAAAAACACCAAAGGCAAGCAAAGTGGGCCCCTGAGGAAGGAGAGCAGACTCAGAGAAAAAGTATTCTAGGGCAAATTACCTAAATGGAAGTTGTTACCTAGCCCTGCACACTCCCCAGCCCCTTTGGGAAACAGCTGGTACCAAGATGGGTGACAGAGAAACCAAGATGGAGAAATATCTGGGGTGTGCCCTGGGGCTCACTTTTCTCAGAAAGGAAAACAACCTTCTAAATCTACTAAGGATGCTGCTGGGAGGACTAAATGAGATATAGTGTGTTTTAAAATACCAAATGGTTCGACATTGTTATATTGAATGTAAGCTGGGACTACTTAGCAAGAAGCAGATAAAGATGAAGTCAATATTTACTCCAAAAACTACTGAAATAATGAAATGGGACTTTGTTACTTGAAGTATGGCCTGCATTTTTACAAGATATCTGGGTAACTCAGATACGCCTTAAAGTTTGAGATTAATAAGTGGACACAGTGGAAACCTAGCAGAAGCCAACCATAAGAAAATGAAACTAAAAATAAAATAAAACATAAAAACTCCAAAACCCATCCATGTAGAATTTTTTAAACTTTCTCTTTAGTTACTCTTTGTGGTGTTATGATATATAGATAGATTGCTTTTCATCCACAGTTCCTGGCTCATAACTGCCATAGTCCTAGTTGCAAACTTTTGTTATAATGTTGAGTGTGTTAGGCCTCAGGAAACAGAATCTCTCTCCTGCCTTCCTTTCACCGGCCCCAAGGCAGGACTCTAATGTTCCCCCACCTTTCTGACTGTGGGTCTTGGGATCCTTTCCAGAGAAGGTCCGACCCTATACACTAAAGGAAGAAATGATGGAATCTTGAAGCTTCCATAAAAACCCAAGGGGACTGTGTTCCAGAAGCTTCCAGATAGCTGAACATGTGGAGATTCCTGGAGGGTGGTGTACCCAGGGAGGAAATGGAAGCTCCGTGCCCCTTCCCCTATACCTCACCATATGCATCTCTTCATCTGTATCCTTTGCAATGTCTTTCTTAGTAAATCAGTAAATATAAGAGTTTCTCTGGGTTCTGTGAGCCACTTCAGTAAACCAATTGAACCAAAAAGAGAGGGTCGTGGGAACCCCAACTTAAAGCTAGTCAGTCAGAAGTTCCAGAGGCCTGGACTTGTGCCTGAAGGGAAGGAGGGAGCAGTCTTGGAGACTGAGCCCTCCACCTGAGGGATCCGACACTGTCTCCAGGTAGAGACTGTTGAAATTGAATTACAGGACACCCACCTGGTGTTCACTGCTTGGTGGTGGGGAAAAACACGCACACATTTAGTCACAGAAGTCTTCTGTGTTGATCGTTGTGGTGGTATGAGAGTAAAGGAAAAGCACAGTTTGACAGATTTTCCCAACATACTCTTGTGTCAAAAAGGAAATGCAAATATAAATTTCAGAATATTTAGAAAATAATGATTAAGCACCATGTAGTCAGATCATCTGAAATAAAGCTAAATGCTCAAGGGAAAAATCTAACATGTTTAAAATCTATTTTTAAAAATATGAAAAAAATTAAAAATTAAGCATTTTCCTATAGAAAAATTCTTAGAGATTCAGATTCTGTTTGGTTATCAGCTAGAACCTTAGGAATAGAGGATAACTGCAAAGGTCTGTTGAACTTGGGTTTATAATGAGTGTCCATCAGATGACTCTGGGTCTCCAAAAGAGCTATACCCTCTGTATAATGTTGAATGAAAAATAAATTTTATCCTGAAAGGTGGAGAGCAAGAAAAATTTCCTGTCTCAACCTAGTCATTGGATAAAACAACAACAAAAGATAATAAAAATGTGAAACATACAAGTTAGAAATAATACAAAATATATCAATAATCATGAATAAAAGGGAATACCTGTCCTTCTAACATGCAAAGAATGTTGGATCAGATTGTTTATAAAATATCCAAATATATGCTTGCTGCTTAAAAATCACATGTCTAAAACATTAAGACCACAAAGGATAAATAAATATCTTGATAACAGGAGGTAGTTTTACAGCTTAGAGGAAGATGCCCAAAGAAGTAAGGTTCCTGCCCTCCTACGGAGACTGGGAGATAGGACACTGTGTTTCCATGGCTACATTTCATAGGGATGCCTTCCAGGTTCCTAAGAAAGACATTACTGGTTTGTAAATTGGCAAGAAGCTTTCTTAAAAAAATTGTATCTCAAAAGGGCCTGATAAAGAACTTACAAGATTTTTAAAATAAATGCTCCAGGAAAAGGGAAATTAGGGGCCCAGAGTCAGGAAGAGGCCTGTAAAGTTTACTCAAGCTGAGGGGAACCTGGAGGCCACCTTGATCAAAGGTAAAAAAGCGACAGCTAGAGCAAACAAAGTAATTAAAGATACAAAAATCTTTAAATTACAGAATTAACAAATCTAATGTAATGGACATATACAAAATATTGTAAAGACCAATTAGAGAATAAACCTTTTCAAACATTCTCAACAAAATAATAAAAATTCTTTTTTTTCTAGGCCATAATGCAAGTCTCAAAACACATCAAAGAAATGGTAAAATACAGAACAGATTCTCTAGTCACACGTAATTAACTTACATATCAATAACCAAATGACAGTTAGATAAATGCAAACACAGTTAGAAGAGAGGCTTTTGGATGCCCTCGCCACAAAGAAATGATAAATGCATATGAATTTATGATAAATGCAGGTGATGGATATGAAATACTCTGATTTTGTCATTATATAACATATATATGTATCAGAACATCAGACTGTGCCCCATAAAGATGAAGAATTATAATGTAAATGAAGAATTTTGTGAGCTTTGTCTTTCTAAATTCACCGGCATCATTCTATCTCTAATTTAATCTTTGAGTGTAACAAATGTTAACATTTAAGTACTCAGATTTATCTAAGAAAATGTTGGTCAAAGTGTATAGTTTCCATGAATAAGTTCTGCAGATCCAACATACAGCATGGTGTCTACAGTTAACAATAATGTATTGTATACTTAAAATTTCCTGAGAGGGTAGATCTTAAATGTTCTCACCACAAAAAGGAAAGAAAGAAACAACTATGTGAGTTAGCTTGATTGTAGTGATTATTTCTCAATGTATACATATATCAAAACTTTAAGTTGTAGCCCTTAAATGTACATAAATCTTATTTGTCAATTATACCTCAATAAAGTTGAAAATTGAGATTCATCTATCTAATTTTATTTTGGGCACATATTACAATACTATTGATTTCCAAATGGCTTGATGTGCTCTGTGCTATTGCACTAATAATAATTCCTCCTGGCTGAAGGAGTACAGGGAAATCTGTGGTCACATGGACAGACTGGCAAAGAACTTTACCTGTTGCAAATAGTATTGAATTTAGTCCAGACTAACTGACCTATTTACTTCATAGATCACTACAGAGGCATAGTTCTTTGTCTCCACTAATGTACTATAAACTAGGAAGAAGGCAGAGTGAGATGTTGAAAGCTCTTTAACAAAAGAGGACTTGTTTTTTAAAGATTTTGTTCTGCCCCGTTAGCTCTCTTTAGCGCAGCTTAATTTCTGACTAAGATATAGTATATTACCAGATGCCATGCTTTAAGAACTGCTGTATCTTTTTTTTCCTTTGGCAAGAAAGGCTGTGTCACAGGATCACTTGGGTTGCCATTTTTCTAATGAGAGAATTACATGTACTTAGGCCAGCAACTTATTTTGGGATCCTAACAACGACAGAGTGTGAAACATGCCTTCTAAGTGTCTTCACATGTTTTCATACATGTAACTACAGCTCAAACAATCGTTGCAGCTTTAGGAACAAACTCTCAAACAGGATATTGCTTAGCATTCAATCAGTTGACTCAAATTCTTGTGCTGACAATCTGGCACCATTCTTAAAGCATTTTTTTCTACCTCTCAAAAAATTTTCTGAGCAGCTGTCATCATACTGCACCACACATTGGGACACTCTAGATTTTGGAAGATTTTTTGCCACTTTTACTACTTGGCAAAAAAATGAAATAGGAAAGAAGGATGAGCAGACATCCACATATGAACTATAAATGCCGGGCCACTCCACTTGCTAGCTTTTCTCATGAGCAACTATATAACAGATGGAGAAGACTCTTCATCTTCACAGCATTATTGTAAATTTCCAAAATTAAATACATTCATCCTGACTAATCTAAACATACCATTTTTGCCAATTGTAGTGATTTGTTTGACCTTGTATCTTCAGAAGTTCACGGGCTTGAAGAGAAGAGGACATTAGGGCAAAACAAATTTGATTCCTTTGAACTCCTTTATTTATTAATGAAAAATTGTTTTCCTTTAACACACAAAATGAATTAAAACCAAAGTGAACATTTCTTTATATTAAAAATACAATGTTATGAAATTGCTAATTTGCCAATGGATTCTGAACAGAAGAGCACAGATTAAAGGTAAAAGCAAAAGGATGTGGTGCCAAAATGTTTTGAATGTTTTTTTCCAAAGCACATAATCTTTCTTTTTTCTTTGTCAGTACTAAGAATTTGTATCCACATCCAAGCTTTCCAATATCCACCTTAGAATTGCCTTAAATACTATTTAGAATGACATTTTTATTTTTGTTTTCTCTAGTATCAGTGACTGTAGGTCAGGGCTTATTAGATGAGTGGAAAAAGGTGAAACCATACAAAATATAACTATGGGAATGAAGATGTCAGTCTTTGATAAAGTAAGAACCAATTTGGCATACAGTTACCCCTTTCTAATGCCATTATTTAATAAATAGAAAATATTACTAGAAGATTTTGAAAGCTTATAGTAAATAGCCACTGGCAAAACACTGCAAAACTAAGCAATAAGGAAACACAGTCTTGACAACTAGCTCAATCATGGTTCTTCTCATATCTTTGGAATGATGGAACAAATATAAGCAAAAGAAATAACCATACAGGTCAAATATTTTCCAAAATGATCTAAGTCATTGTAATGTTTTTCCTTAAAAGCCTGGCTATATATTTTGATGTCCCAAGCAAACATTTAAAAGAGGACTTGTATTTGTTTTTTTATTTCTCTGTAACAAATTACCACCTAGTGCCCAGTGACTAAACCAGGAGTGTTGCTCAGAGAAAAGCATGCCACTGCCCCCAACTCCAGATCCAGAGTCATGGCCCAGAGATTTTGCCCAGGGGGAGAAGAAGGCCATAAACTAGAGAGCTCTGAAGTTCTCCACAAAGGAACTGACTTTATTATAGAATATGAACAAGTTCAATCCTAAGGGTGCTATCAAAAACAGTGGTTTTGGTAGAAAGCAATGAAGAGCAGGCTGGTAGCTTCGTTATAGATAGAAACTAACCTATAGGCCAGCTAATTTACTGAGGGACCCCAGAAAAAGGAAAGCTAAGAAAAGCTTTCCTGGAATTAGAAGGGGCTTCAAACACTATCCCTGAAAAGGAGCCAGAATATAACTAGATCAGTCTGTGGAGTAATTTATATTCCAGGACATTGTTAAAGACAATAGAGCAATCAACCAGCAATTAGTGGGGGTTAACAGGTGGTATGGTCAGAAGAGGCAGTCAAAGAGAGCCCTACCATAACACTGTGACATGCCCAAGGCTACACCCTTTGAGGAGCAAGATCAGAGGCTTCATCTTGCAGAGGGGAAATAGACTCAAATAATCCAACCAGTCACTAAACAAATAAACAAGTAAACAACAGTAACAACCTTCACAGAAGAAAGAGGTGGACCAGTAGCAACCAACCAGAGTTGCTACAATATATCATCAAAAATGTCCAATTTTCGACAAAAATTATGATACATGCAAAGAAACAGGAAAATGTGACCACTACACGGGGAAAATAGCAAGCAATGGAAACTGTCTATGACAGCAACGCAATCACAGATTTAATTGACAAAGACTTCAAAGTAGCCATTATAAATGTGTTCAAAGACCTAAAGGAAGTCAAGATTTAAAAAGTAAAGAAATATATGAAGACAATGCCTGACCAAATAGATAATGTCAATATAGAGACAGAAATTATAAAAAGAACCAAATGGAAATTTTGGCGATGAAAAATACAATAACTGAAATGAAAAATTCACTAGAGGGACTCAACAGTAGACTTGAACTGGTAGAAGAATTAGCAAACTTCAAGATAGATTAGTAAAGATTCTGTAATCCAGGGGAGGAGCCAAGATGGCCAAATAGGAACAGCTCCGGTCTACAGCTCCCAGCGTGAGCAATGCAGAAGACAGGTGATTTCTGCATTTCCATCTGAGGTACCGGCTGCATCTCACTAGGGAGTGCCAGACAGTGGGTGCAGGACAGTGGGTGCGCGCACCGTGTGCAAGCCAAAGCAGGGCGAGGCATTGCCTCACCTGGGAAGCGCAAGGGGCCAGGGAGTTCCCTTTCCGAGTCAAAGAAAGGGGTGACTGACACACCTGGAAAATCGGGTCACTCCCACCCGAATATTGCGCTTTTCAGACCGGCTTAAAAAACGGCGCACCACGAGACTATATCCCACACCTGGCTCGGAGGGTCCTACACCCACGGAATCTCGCTGATTGCTAGCACAGCAGTCTGAGATCAAACTGCAAGGCGGCAGCCAGGCTGGGGGAGGGGCGCCCGCCATTGCCCAGGCTTGCTTAGGTAAACAAAGCAGGCAGGAAGCTCGAACTGGGTGGAGCCCACCACAGCTCAAGGAGGCCTGCCTGCCACTGTAGGCCCCACCTCTGGGGGCAGGTCACAGACAAACAAAAAGACAGCAGTAACCTCTGCAGACTTAAATGTCCCTGTCTGACAGCTTTGAAGAGAGCAGTGGTTCTCCCAGCACGCAGCTGGAGATCTGAGAACTGGCAGATTGCCTCCTCAAGTGGGTCCCTGACCCCTGACCCCCGAGCAGCCTAACTGGGAGGCACCCCCCAGCAGGGGCACACTGACACCTCACACGGCAGGGTACTCCAACAGACCTGCAGCTGAGGGTGCTGTCTGTTAGAAGGAAAACTAACAAAGAGAAAGGACATCCACACCGAAAACCCATCTGTACATCACGATCATCAAAGACCAAAAGTAGATAAAACCACAAAGATGGGGAAAAAACAGAGCAGAAAAACTGGAAACTCTAAAACGCAGAGCATCTCTCCTCCTCCAAAGGAACGCAGTTCTTCACCAGCAACGGAAGAAAGCTGGATGGAGAATGACTTTGAAGAGCTGAGAGAAGAAGGCTTCAGACGATCAAATTACTCTGAGCTATGGGAGGACATTCAAACCAAAGGCAAAGAAGTTGAAAACTTTGAAAACAATTTAGAAGAATGTATAACTAGAATAACCAATACAGAGAAGTGCTTAAAGGAGCTGATGGAGCTGAAAACCAAGGCTCGAGAACTACGTGAAGAATGAAGAAGCCTCAGGAGCCGATGCGATCAACTGGAAGAAAGGGTATCAGCAATGGAAGATGAAATGAATGAAATGAAGCGAGAAGGGAAGTTTAGAGAAAAAAGAATAAAAAGAAATGAGCAAAGCCTCCAAGAAATATGGGACTATGTGAAAAGACCAAATCTATGTCTGATTGGTGTACCTGAAAGTGATGGGGAGAATGGAACCAAGTTGGAAAACACTCTGCAGGATATTATCCAGGAGAACTTCCCCAATCTAGCAAGGCAGGCCAACGTTCACATTCAGGAAATACAGAGAACACCACAAAGATACTCCTCGAGAAGAGCAACTCCAAGACACATAATTGTCAGATTCACCAAAGTTGAAATGAAGGAAAAAATGTTAAGGGCAGCCAGAGAGAAAGGTCAGGTTACCCTCAAAGGGAAGCCCATCAGACTAACAGCGGATCTCTCGGCAGAAACCCTACAAGCCAGAAGAGAGTGGGGGCCAATATTCAACATTCTTAAAGAAAAGAATTTTCAACCCAGAATTTCATATCCAGCCAAACTAAGCTTCATAAGTGAAGGAGAAATAAAATACTTTACAGACAAGCAAATGCTGAGAGATTTTGTCACCACCAGGCCTGCCCTAAAAGAGCTCCTGAAGGAAGCGCTAAACATGGAAAGGAACAACCGGTACCAGCCGCTGCAAAATCATGACAAAATGTAAAGACCATCGAGACTAGGAAGAAACTGCATCAACTAATGAGCAAAATCACCAGCTAACATCATAATGACAGGATCAAATTCACACATAACAATATTAACTTTAAATGTCAATGGACTAAATTCTCCAATTAAAAGACACAGACTGGCAAATTGGATAAAGAGTCAAGATCCATCAGTGTGCTGTATTCAGGAAACCCATCTCACGTGCAGAGACACACATAGGCTCAAAATAAAAGGATGGAGGAAGATCTACCAAGCAAATGGAAAACAAAAAAAGGCAGGGGTTGCAATCCTAGTCTCTGATAAAACAGACTTTAAACCAACAAAGATCAAAAGAGACAAAAAAGGCCATTACATAATGGTAAAGGGATCAATTCAACAAGAAGAGCTAACTATAATAAATATATATGCACCCAATACAGGAGCACCCAGATTCATAAAGCAAGTCCTGAGTAACCTGCAAAGAGACTTAGACTCCCACACATTAATAATGGGAGACTTTAACACCCCACTGTCAACATTAGACAGATCAACGAGACAGAAAGTCAACAAGGATAACCAGGAATTGAACTCAGCTCTGCACCAAGCAGACCTAATAGACATCTACAGAACTCTCCACCCCAAATCAACAGAATATACATTTTTTTCAGCACCACACCACACCTATTCCAAAACTGACCACATAGTTGGAAGTAAAGCTCTCCTCAGCAAATGTAAAAGAACAGAAATTATAACAAACTATCTCTCAGACCACAGTGCAATCAAACTAGAACTCAGGATTAAGAATCCCACTCAAAGCCGCTCAACTACATGGAAACTGAACAACCTGCTCCTGAATGACTACTGGGTACATAACGAAATGAAGGCAGAGATAAAGATGTTCTTTGAAACCAACGAGAACAAAGACACAACATACCAGAACCTCTGGGACACATTCAAAGCAGTGTGTAGAGGGAAATTTATAGCACTATATGCCCACAAGAGAAAGCAGGAAAGATCCAAAATTGACACCCTAACATCACAATTAAAAGAACTAGAAAAGCAAGCGCAAACACATTCAAAAGCTAGCAGAAGGCAAGAAATAACTAAAATCAGAGCAGAACTGAAGGAAATAGAGACACAAAAAAACCTTCAAAAAATCAATGAATCCAGGAGCTGGTTTTTTGAAAGGATCAACAAAATTGATAGACCGCTAGCAAGACTAATAAAGAAAAAAAGAGAGAAGAATCAAATAGACACAATAAAAAATGATAAAGGGGATATCACCACCGATCTCACAGAAATACAAACTACCATCAGAGAATACTACAAACACCTCTACGCAAATAAACTAGAAAATCTAGAAGAAATGGATAAATTCCTCGACACATACACTCTCCCAAGACTAAACCAGGAAGAAGTTGAATCTCTGAATAGACCAATAACAGGAGCTGAAATTGTGGCAATAATCAATAGTTTACCAACCAAAAAGAGTCCAGGACCAGATGGATTCACAGCTGAATTCTACCAGAGGTACAAGGAGGAACTGGTACCATTCCTTCTGAAACTATTCCAATCAATAGAAAAAGAGGGAATCCTCCCTAACTCATTTTATGAGGCCAGCATCATTCTGATACCAAAGCCGGGCAGAGACACAACCAAAACAGAGAATTTTAGACCAATATCCTTGATGAACATTGATGCAAAAATCCTCAATAAAATACTGGCAAACCGAATCCAGCAGCACATCAAAAAGCTTATCCACCATGATCAAGTGGGCTTCATCCCTGGGATGCAAGGCTGGTTCAATATACACAAATCAATAAATGTAATCCAGCATATAAACAGAGCCAAAGACAAAAACCACATGATTATCTCAATAGATGCAGAAAAAGCCTTTGACAAAATTCAACAACCCTTCATGCTAAAAACTCTCCATAAATTAGGTATTGATGGGACATATTTCAAAATAATAAGAGCTATCTATGACAAACCCACAGCCAATATCATATTGAATGGGCAAAAACTGGAAGCATTCCCTTTGAAAACTGGCACAAGACAGGGATGCCCTCTCTCACCACTCCTATTCAACATAGTGTTGGAAGTTCTGGCCAGGGCAATTAGGCAGGAGAAGGAAATAAAGGGTATTCAATTAGGAAAAGAGGAAGTCAAATTGTCCCTGTTTGCAGACCACATGATTGTATATATAGAAAACCCCATTGTCTCAGCCCAAAATCTCCTTAAGCTGATAAGCAACTTCAGCAAAGTCTCAGGATACAAAATCAATGTACAAAAATCACAAGCATTCTTATACACCAACAAAAGACAAACAGAGAGCCAAATCATGAGTGAACTCCCATTCACAATTGCTTCAAAGAGAATAAAATACCTAGGAATCCAACTTACAAGGGATGTGAAGGACCTCTTCAAGGAGAACTACAAACCACTGCTCAAGGAAATAAAAGAGGATACAAACAAGTGGAAGAACATGCCATGCTCATGGGTAGGAAGAATCAATATCGTGAAAATGGCCATACTGCCCAAGGTAATTTACAGATTCAATGCCATCCCCATCAAGCTACCAATGACTTTCTTCACAGAATTGGAAAAAACTACTTTCAAGTTCATATGGAACCAAAAAAGAGCCCGCATTGCCAAGTCAATCCTAAGCCAAAAGAACAAAGCTGGAGGCATCACGCTACCTGACTTCAAACTATACTACAAGGCTACAGTAACCAAAACAGCATGGTACTGGTACCAAAACAGAGATATAGATCAATGGAACAGAACAGAGCCCTCAGAAATAACGCCGCATACCTACAACTATCTGATCTTTGACAAACCTGAGAAAAACAAGCAATGGGGAAAGGATTCCCTATTTAATAAATGGTGCTGGGAAAACTGGCTAGCCATATGTAGAAAGCTGAAACTGGATCCCTTCCTTACACCTTATACAAAAATCAATTCAAGATGGATTAAAGATTTAAACGTTAGACCTAAAACCATAAAAACCCTAGAAGAAAACCTAGGCATTACCATTCAGGACATAGGCATGGGCAAGGACTTCATGTCCAAAACACCAAAAGCAATGGCAACAAAAGCCAAAATTGACAAATGGGATCTAATTAAACTAAAGAGCTTCTGCACAGCAAAAGAAACTACCATCAGAGTGAACAGGCAACCTACAACATGGGAGAAAATTTTCGCAACCTACTCATCTGACAAAGGGCTAATATCCAGAATCTACAATTAACTCAAACAAATTTACAAGAAAAAAACAAACAACCCCATCAAAAAGTGGGTGAAGGACATGAACAGACACTTCTCAAAAGAAGACATTTATGCAGCCAAAAAACACATGAAAAAATGCTCAGTATCACTGGCCATCAGAGAAATGCAAATCAAAACCACCGTGAGATATCATCTCACACCAGTTAGAATGGCAATCATTAAAAAGTCAGGAAACAACAGGTGCTGGAGAGGATGTGGAGAAATAGGAACACTTTTACACTGTTGGTGGGACTGTAAACTGGTTCAACCATTGTGGAAGTCAGTGTGGCGATTCCTCAGGGATCTAGAACTAGAAATACCATTTGACCCAGCCATCCCATTACTGGGTATATACCCAAATGACTATAAATCATGCTGCTATAAAGACACATGCACACGTATGTTTATTGCGGCATTATTCACAATAGCAAAGACTTGGAACCAACCCAAATGTCCAACAATGATAGACTGGATTAAGAAAATGTGGCACATATACACCATGGAATACTATGCAGCCATAAAAAATGATGAGTTCATGTCCTTTGTAGGGACATGGATGAAATTGGAAATCATCATTATCAGTAAACTATCGCAAGAACAAAAAACCAAACACCACATATTCTCACTCATAGGTGGGAACTGAACATTGAGATCACATGGACACAGGAAGGGGAATATCATACTCTGGGGACTGTGGTGGGGTGGGGGAAGGGGGGAGGGATACCATTGGGAGATATACCTAATGCTAGATGACGAGTTAGTGGGTGCAGTGCACCAGCATGGCACATGTATACATATGTAACTAACCTGTACAAGGTGCACATGTACCCTAAAACTTAAAGTATAATAATTAAAAAAATAAATAAATAAATAAATAAATAAAAGAAAAAAAAAAGATTCTGTAATCCAAAAAACAGAGAGGAAAGAAAATGAAGAAAAATAAACAGAGCCTAAGAAAAATGCTTACCATTGAACTCATCAATGTATACATAACTGAGTATCATAGGAGAGAAGAGAGAGAAAAAAGAAAAAAATACTTGAAGAAGAACTGGCTAGAAATGTCCCAAATATAATGAAAAGCATTAATTTACATATTCAAAAAGTTCAATGAAATTCAAGTAAAATTAACACAAAGAGATCAACACAGACAATTCATAGTAAAATGTAGAAAGCCAAAGACAAGAAGAAAATCTTGAAAGCATCGAGAGAAAAAAATGATTTATCACTTACAATGGGACTCCAATAAAATCAGTAGCTGACTTATCACAAAAATGAACTTTTTTCTGAGAGTAACATTTAAAGTGTTCAAAGAAAAAAAACTATCGACCAAGAATCATAAATCCAGTAAATGTACATTTCAAAAATAAGGCAAAATAAAAAGACATTCTAGAACAATAGAAACAGAGAATTTGTGTTGTTAGCAGACACAAGACATTGTGTTCTTGCCTTACAAGAAGTACTAAAGGAAGTTTTTCAAGCTGAAAGCAAATTACCCCCAAAGAGTAAGTCAAACACCCAGAAAAAAAAGTAAATGTAACTACATAGCTGTCAAAGACAGAATAAATGCATATTTCTTCTTCTTTCATCTCCTAACTGATTTTAAAAGCAATTTTCTTCAACAACATGTATATAGTTGTATTGTTGGGCCTATAATGTGTAGAAATATTATATATTTGCCAATAACAACAAAAAGAAGATAGGACAAAAGCTTAATTGGACTAAGGAAATGATACCAGGTAATAACTTAAAACCACAGGAACAAATGAAGAAAACCAAAAGAGGTAAATATGATAATTAATACAACAAATATCATAAATACATACTTGCTTTCCTATCTTCTCTCAGCTTCCTCAAAATACATAAAATTATACAAAGCAAAAATTGTAACAATGTATTGTTGGGTTTGAAACATATAGATGCAGTATTTATGACAATGATAGCACAAAAGGGGGAAAATAAAATAGAAGTACATAGAATTAATATTTCTTTTTTTATTATTATTATACTTTAAGTTTTAGGGTACATGTGCACAATGTGCAGGTTAGTTACATATGTATACATGTGCCATGCTGGTGTGCTGCACTCATTAACTCGTCATTTAGCATTAGTTATATCTCCTAATGCTATCCCTCTCCCCTTCCCCCACCCCACAACAGTCCCCAGAGTGTGATGTTCCCCTTCCTGTGTCCATGTGTTATTTCTATATCACACCGGAATTAAATTAATGGAAATCTGAAGTCAATTCTGGCAAGTTAAGATATATATGGTAAGCCCTGCAGCAACAAATGAGAAAAAAATTAAAAAATATTTTGAGGAGAATTGGCTGGGGGTGGTAACTCACATCTGTAATTCTAGCACTTTGGAAGGCCAAAGCGGGCAGATCACTTGAGGTCAGGAGTCCAAGACCAGCCTAGCCAACATGGTGACACCTTCATCTCTACTAAAAATAAAAAATTAGCCATGCATGGTGGCACAGGCCTGTAGTCCCAGCTACTCAGGAGGCTGAGGCAGGAAAATTGCTTGAACCAAGGAGGCAGAAGTTGCAGTGAGCTGAGATTGCACCACTGCACAACAGCCTGGACAGCAGAGAGATACTCCATCTCAGTAAAAGAAAAAAATATTATGGAAAATTACTAAAGAAATTAAAATGTTACATTTTAAAATATTCACAGAAAGCAGTAAAGGAGGAATGAACAAAAAACACATGAGATATATAGAAAACAAAAAGTAAAATTGCAAACACAAACCTAGCTTTATCAATGAGAACATTCATGTGCATAGGTTAAATAATCCAATCAGAAAGCAAAGATTAACTGTATTAAAAATAGCAAGATCCAACTATGTGCTGTGTCAAAGATTGCTGGGTCCAACCCGCAGACCCTGGCCAAACGACAGATGAACAAATGCACTCAGACACAGTTATCCAGTGAACAAGCGGGCTAGGGGACTGGGCCACCCACAGACACTGAGGAGGGTGCTGTAAAGAGTCAGCAGCCACAGCTCTGACCAGCTGGTTCTATGGGCATTTATTTAGCACAGATTTAATGACAAAGGCTTTGAGTCAACACACTTGTGGATAATTAACATGGTCACCCTCCCTGGAGAGAGCAGTCCTGCACATGAATGATAAAAGGTCAGTCTTAGGACAACATGAGTAAACAAGCTATTTAGATAAACTCCTCTACATTCCCTTGTTATTTGCTTTTCACTATTAGCTCAAGGTAAGAGGATCAGGCTGTCTTCGGCCATAACCCCTTCCTAAAGCTTTTGCAAAACCTTCTGGCCTTCCAAGAAGGTTTGCGTTTTTCCTAAAATTTTCTCTTATTATTTCTCCCACCACCCTGACTGAACTCCTACACAAGATGCATACTATGAATTCAAAGATACAAACAGATTAAAAGGATGGAAAAAGATATATCATGCAAACAGAAACCATAGCAAAGTTAGAGTGGCTATACTAATATTAGATGAAATAGATTTTAAAACAAAAAAAAAGTTACTAGATACAAAGACAGATATATCATAAAGAGTAAGTCCATCAGGAAGATATAACAACTATAAACAGATATGTACCTAATAACTGAGCACCAAAATACATGAAGCAAAAACTTACAGAAATGTAGAGAGAAAGAAGCAATTCAACAGTTCTAGTTGGAGACTTCAATATTTCACTTTAAATAATGTATAGAAAAAAAATCACAGGAGATAAACAAGGAAATGAAGACTTCAACAACACTATAAACCAACTGAACCTAACAGACATCTATAGACCATTCCACTCAGTAACAACAGAATATACATTCTTTTCAAGTGCACATGGAACATTATCCAAAATAGATCACATGCTAACTCTTAAAACAAATCTTGATAATATTATCCAACCTCAATGGAATAAAATTAGGGAACAATAGTAGAAATGCATAAAAATTAAACTACACACTCTTAAATAATGGGTCAGAGAAGAAATCACAAGGGAATTAGATAATACTTTGAGACAAATGAAAATGAAAACACAGAATACCAAAATTTATAGGATGCAGCTCTAAAACAGTGCTGAGAGAGAAAATTTCAGTTGCAAATGTCTGTAATTTTCAGTTGCAAATGTATTTATTATTAAAAAATAATAAAGATTTCAAATCAGTAGCATAACATGCCACCTTAAGACACTGGCCATTGGGGTGCAAACTATAACTCAAATGGCAGAATAATAAAGATTATACATAGATAAAAGAAATAGCAATTTTTAAAAAATACCAGCCTATTATATAGCAATTTTTAAAAAATAGAAAATTTTAGCAAAACCAAGAATTGCTTATTTGAAAAGATCGACTAAACTGATAAATCATTAGCCAGACTGACCAAGAGAGAAGGCTTAAATTACTAAAATCAGGAAGATAATAAAGGACATTATTACCAACCTTTCAGATATAAAAATGATTACAAATGAATGCTATGAAAAATGTTTGCCCATAAATTAGATGAAATGGAAAAATTCCTAGAAAGACATAAACTACCAAAATTGACTCAAGAAAAAATAGATCATCTGAATGGTTCTACAACAAATAAAAAAATTATATTAGTAAACAAAAAACTATCCACAAAGGAAAGCCCAAGCCCAGGTGACCTCACTGGTGAATTCTGCCAAATAGTTAAAGAATACTAATTATTCACAAAAAATAAAAATGGAGCAAATACTTCCCAGCTCATTCACTGGTCCTGTAATGACCCAAATCAGACAAAGACATGAGAAGAAAACAAAACTACAAGCCAATATCTCTTGAGAACATAGGGGCAAAACTCTTCCACAAAAATCTAGCAACCAAATGCAGAAACATATAAAAAGGACTATATACCATGACCATATTGGACTTATCCCAGCTAATATTATACTTAATAGTGAAGACTGAATGTTCTTCCTCTATGATCAGAAATAAGACAAGGATGTCTACTTTACCACTTCTACTCTACATTGTACTAAAGTCAGGACAATTAGGCAAGAAAATAAAATGAATGGCATCCAGGTTGGAAAGGAAGAAATAATACTCTATAAGCAGATGACCTGATCTTGTATATAAAAAATCCTAAGTAATCTTCTAAGAATTATTACAGCTAATAAACAAGTTCAACTAAGTTGCAGTACAAAATATTAGCATAAAAATGTCTACTGTAATTTTACACATTATTTATAATCAACAAAATTAAGAAAATTCTGTTTACAATAGCATCAAAAAGAATTGAATATGTAGGCATAAATTTAATTAAAGAAGTACAAAATTTATACTCTAAAAAGTACAAACTTTTGTTGAAAGAAATTAAAGAAGATCTAAATAAATAGAAAGACATCCCATACTCATGGACCAGAAGACTTAATATTGTTCAAATGGTTATACTACCCCACTTTATCACAGATGCAATGCAATCCTGATCAGAATTTTCCAATTGTATCCACAGTAAACATGTATTACAAGGTAGTGTCAAATAATCAATGGAAACAACAACAATAACAACAACAAAAACCTTCTCTGGTCAAAGAGATTTGGGAACAATAACCAAAATTAAACAATTTTATTTAATGCAAGACTTTTCAGTAATTTTTAATATGCTCATGAGCACTCTGGCTTAGCATTTTCTCAGCTTATTTAAATGCAGAAGTGTTTTACGGAAGGACAATGTATTAACATATAAGGGCCATTAGTGTTCTCCAACACACATTGTGGGAAAATGCTATGCTAAGAGATATTAATTCACTCTGTTGGTCTACCTCCTCTTTTCTCCCTAGGTAATACAGTGAGACAATCAGTTAAAGAGTCAGAAAATCAAGCCCGTGTACATAAGCACACATATCTTCATCTTTTAACCCGAAAACTGCATTGAGCATATTTATTTATAATTACCTCTCAACAGCATTACTGAAAAGCTTTGCACAAACTCCCCATCTGAAGCACACAAGCTCCTTTTTAAACATGGTGCAAAAAGGTGTTCATCAGCTTAGAAAGGACATGTGCAGATACCAGTGAATGATGAATGGCCTCTCTTATTAGCTCAAGGTTCACAGCACTTGCAAATTGCCTAACAGCTCCCAAGGAAGTAATTAATACTCCCACAAAAAGGATACATCAATGTAATTAGCAAAATTCAGATCTCTACAGGTCAAAGAACCTGGGTAATTCTGTGAATAAAGAGCAAGGGCACAAAAAGAGATTTAAGGGAACATTTATATTGAGAAAGACTTCTAAAATACTTTTACTAAATAGGCAAAATTAAATTACAGTGTTCAGAGATACAGGCTTGAGTGAAAAATATTTAAAGGAATGTAAGAAAATCATTATCATAAAAAAGATTATCAGAATAGTAGTTGCCTTTATGAAAGAAATACGGGATAGGCAAAGTGGAAAGCTTCTGGAGTTGCGGGCAAAGCTCTATTTCTTGACCTTCATTATACTTCACCTTTCAACAACTTACCATGCTATGATAATTCTTTATGTTATATGTAATAAATCACGTGCCACATTCATCATCTGATAAGTAATATTCTGAATCTATTATCATTTAAAACATTTTTATAAAAGAGTATGCATCAAAGGGTGTGTATCTCCTCATTCCATTTCTGCAGAAAACTGGCCTTCTGAAAAGTGGGGTAGACCTCAGCACTCTTTCTCCTGATATTCAACACCTTCCCATGTTAGCACATTAAGGCCCATAATATTTCCAAGTTAACCAGAAGACATGTGCCTATATCCTTCTGATGACACTGCTTTCTCTCCTTTGTCATTCATATAAATAGCCAGATAAAGTATGCATGTGGTATGCAACTGTTTTTTTTTTAAATCATTCTAAATGATTCTTCATGGAAGCCATCAAAATTTAGTACAAGGTTATTCATTTTTTTCAATGCAATAAGACATTCATAATAGGCTCTTCATGAGTTATGCAATTCAATTTTACCTTGTACAGTAATTAAATTGAATTTCTGACACTGAATAATTAAGTACTGGGATGTAGATGGACAAGTGGTTCAAAATTTGACTGGAATAATGTAATATATCACAAACAATGAAAAATGTGCTGCAAAATATTAAAAATAAAGATATTTTATTATGGCCAATACAATACAAATATGACTTAATCTAAATATTATCATACATACTTGAAAATTCCTAAATTCAAATACAACTGAATATGGGGCTTGGATCATTTAAGAACCTAAGAGAAATAAATAAAATTTGCCGAACTATGAAACACTTAATTTACCTATCTTCTTGCTAATTCTTAGACATATGTGATGTGATTGATTGCCAACATGATTACATATTCACCATCCAAATTCAAACTAACTCCTCTATTTTTTCCCGTAAGTGTGCAGAAAAAATTCTGAAAACGTGAAAGTCATTCCTTGGAAACTTTTTAATAATCAGTGGAACTCTAAAAATGAAAAGTAAATTGAGAAGAGCAAAATACTAAACTTTTAAGTTTACATTATATATTAGCTATAGAAGTTAAACTTTGAGTCATCTGCAAACAAGAGGCAAAAGACAGACAGCTACATGGGGAGAAAAAGGAAAGAGTTACCTAAAGGAGCATAGTATGGAGCATGGAACACTGTGCTAGTGGATGATCTAAGCAAGGCACTTTGCTCCAGAATAGGACCACATTGCCTAACTACAGGAGTCCTCCTTCACACTGTAACTGATGTAACTGGTATATTTTGGAAGACACTGTATATAAATCAAAATGTTAACATATGTTCTCAGAAGCAAAACTAGGGCCATGTCCTGGAAGGCAAATTTGGAGAAGATGACACTGGGTTACTTAGTTTGGGAAACAGCAGCATAGAAGGTACAGACAGGAGGTTGCAAAAGCAAACTTTCCCCTTTTTGCCTATATCATGAGGTAATATTTGCCTTCCTTTTGCCCCTTCTTGCCTCCATAAGGGCACTCTTAGATAGGAAAATCTGCTGTTATAGGGTTAGTTCCATAAAGTATTATTGGCTGTTACTCCCAGAAGACCATTTGCAAGTTCTAAGGTCCAGAGTGTTAAGCAACAAATAAATCTTCACAACTCAATGGTTAACAATCATATATAGAAAAGAAAATGCAACTACACAGACATCTGCTTTTTGCTTGACAGAGTGGCTTGCAGGAGACCAATGCTTCCATTAAGAACAATTAGAAAAACTGGACAAAATACAAAAAGAAACTCTATTTGAAACAATCAGAGAGATAATGAATCAACCAGGACTTGAGAGTCTACATTGCAGAAAGAGGAGAAGCAAACTGATATAAACATAATTTTCTTCATGCCACTTTTTCTTTCAGAGCATTTGCCAATTCTCAGAAACATGCATCAGAATTAGAAAACAAGAAGCAGCAAAGAAGTTATTAGAGTTTTAATTAAATTCGTAGGGATACAGACAAAGGATTTAAGATTTGGGGCTGCTAAGGAAGCCAGGATGTGAGGAAATAAGGAACACCAGAAAGAAGAAAAACACAGAAAATTATAACCAATGCTGAACACCAGTTATCACTCAACGTATATGCTGATTAGGCTACATAATACAAAAGGCTATTCAGAAGGTTTGGCTGTGTCTCCCCTCAAATCTCAACCTGAACTGTATCTCCCAGAACTCCCACATGTTATGGGAGGGACCGGGGGAAGTAACTGAATCATGGGGGCCGGTCTTTCCTGTGCTATTCTCATGATAGTGAATAAGTCTCACGAGATCCGTTGGGCTTATCAGGGGTTTCCACTTTTGCTTCTTCCTCATTTTTCTCTTGCCGCCACTATGTAAGAAGTGCTTTTCACCTCCTGCCATGATTCTGAGGCCTCCCCAGCCATGTAGAACTGTAAATCCAATTAAACCTCTTTTTATTCCCAGTCTCAGGTATGTCTTTATCAGCAGCATGAAAACGGACTAATACAGTAAATTGGTACCAGTAGAGTGGGGTGGAACTGAAAAGATACCTAAAAATGTGGAAGTGACTTTGGAACTGGGTAACAGGCAGAGGTTGGAATCATTTGGAGGGCTCAGAAGAAGACGGGAAAATGTGGGAAAGTTTGGAACCTCCTAGAGACGTGTTGAATGACTTTGACAAAAATGCTGATAGTGATATGAATAATAAGGTCCAAGCACAGGTGGTCTCCGATGGAGATGAGGAACTTGTTGGAAACTGGAACAAAGGTGACTCTTGTTATGTTTTAGCAGAGACTGGCAGCATTTTGCCCCTGCCCTAGGGATCTGTGGAACTTTGAAGTTGAAAGAGACAATTTAGGGTATCTGGAAGAAGAAATTTCTAAGTAGCAAAGCATTCAAAAGGTGACTTGGGTGCTGTTAAAAGCATTCCATTTTAAAAGGGAAACAGAGCATAAAGTTCAGAAAATTTGCAGCCTGACAATGCAGTAGAAAAGAAAAACTCATTTTTTGAGGAGAAATTCAAGCCAGCTGCAGAAGTTTGAGTAAGTAGCAAGGAGCCTAATATTAATCCCCAAGACCATGGGGAAAATGTCTCCAGGCCATGTCAGAGACCTTCACAGCAGCCCCTCCCATCACAGGCCTGGAGGCCCAGGAGGAAAAAGTGGTTTCATGGGCCAGGCACAGGGTTCCATGCTGTGTGCAGCCTAGGGACTTGGTGCTCTGTGTCCCAGCAGCTCCAGCCATGGCTGAAAGGGGCCAACATAGAGCTCAGGCTGTGGCCTCAGAGGGTGAAAGCCCCAAGTCTTGGCAGCTTCCACATGGTATTGAGCCTGCAGGTGCACAGAAGTCAAGAATTGAGGTTTGGGAACCCCTTCCTAGATGTCAGAAGGTGTATGGAAATGCCTCGATGCCCAGGCAAAAGTTTGCTGCAGGGGCAGGGCCCTCATGGAAAACTTCTGCTAGGGCACTGCAGAAAGGAAATGTGAGGTCGGAGCCACCACACAGAGTCCCTACTGGTGCACTACCTAATGGAGCTATGAGAAGAAGGCCACCATCCTCCAGACCCCAGAATGATGGATCAACCAACAGCTTGCACCTTGTGCCTGGAAAAGCCACAGACACTCAAGGCCAGCCCATGAAAGCAGCCATGAGGGAGAACATACCCTGCAAAGCCACAGGGGTGGAGCTGCCCAAGACCATGGGGAACCCACCTCGTGCATCAGCATGACCCAGATGTGAGATCTGGGTCTCACAGGAGATTATTTTGGAGCTTTAAAATTTGACTGCCCCGCTGGATTTCGGACTTGCATGGGCCCTGTAACTCCTTTCTTTTGGCCAATTTCTCCTATTCAGAATGGCTGTATTTACCCAATACCTGTACCCTTATTGTATCTAGGAAGTAACTAGCTTGCTTTTGACTTTACAGGCTTATAGGCAGAAGGGACATTCCTTGTCTTGGATGAGACTTTGGACTGTGGACTTTTGGGTTAATGCCGAAATGAGTTAACACTTTTCACTGTTAGGAAGGCATGATTGGTTTTGCAATGTGAGTACATGAGATTTGGATTCCCACATATTGTGGGAGGGACCCAGGGGAATTAATTGAGTCATGGGGGCTGGTCTTTCCTGTGCTATTCTCATGACAATAAGAATTGTGAGAATAAGTCTCACAAGATCTGATGGGTTTATTAGGGGTTTCTGCTTTTGCTTCTTCCTCATTTTTCTCTTCCTGCTGCCAGGTAAGAAGTGCCTTTCACCTCCCGCCATGATCCTGAGGCATCCCCAGCCATGTGAAACTTTAAGTCCAATTAAACCTCTTTTTGTTCCCAGTTTCAGTACATCTTTATCAGCAGCATGAAAACTTACTAATGTGGCTATCAACCAGAACGAATAAACAGCTAAAAACTACGATGGAGGTTTTGACATTCTCAGGGTATTGGAGATAAAAAATTGCAGTTCAGGGCTTATTGAGGAAAAGATGCCTGGAAAATACCTTAGGCTCTTAGTTGGAATATTGAAGGGCTTCATCCTAGGAGTCAAAGAAGAAAAAGGAATTTCATACAAAAATTGCAAAAAAAAAATATTAAGTTGGCTCAAGTTCTCATTGAGTTAAGATAATCTATCCCTCTGCTACCAGCAGAAGTTGGAAGAATCTTCTCAGTGCGATAAAAAAAAAAATCACCCAGAGCCTCTAAAATTCAAGAAGCAAGACTAAGAAAAAAAACTGAAAATAGAACTAGATACACAGTTGACCCAAATATTGAAGTTATTTGCCATTGACTTTAAGATAATTGTGATTATTAATGTATTCAAAAAAATAAATGACATGATAGTTTCAAATGGAAATTGCAGAGCAGAAAAATATAATAACTAAAATTTTAAAAATCAATAACAAGTTTAACAGAAGACAGAACTGAAGAGACTTTGCAATCTCGAAGATAGGTCAGTAGAAAATATAAAAACTGAAGCATAAAATTTAAAACTGATAAAAAATCAAGCATGAAAGACATATGGAACATAATACAAACTTTTAAATCTCATAAACTGGAATCTAGATGGGAGAAAGAGAGAGAATGCTGCAAAAGCATGTATGAAGAGACACAGGCTGTTATTTTTCCTAAACTGCTAATAGATGTCAAGTTACAGATTGAAGAATCAGTATGATCTCACACATAAGATCATATAACAACAACAACAAAATGCACTTAGCAACATCATAATAAAACTACTGAATACCAGAAATAGTCAATATTCAAATCAGCCACTGAATAAAAGACATATTTTCTTCAATAGAAATGATGGCAGCTACAGGATAGTGGCATGATTTCTCTACAGTACTGAAAGAGAATAAACTGCCACAATAATATCCTTTAAAAGGGAAGCCAAAATAAAGACATTTCTTGACAGAAAAAAAGAGAATTTGTCAAGATAAGTGTATAAATGCACTTTAAAAATACTGAAGGGACTTTTTTCAGCAGAAGAATAACAGAAAATGGTCCTGATCCAATATAAAATGTTAAATTATAGAAAAGACAAACATAAGAGGCAAAAATATGCATAAATCTTAGTGAATACTGATCATACAAAATAGTAATAATTTTGGTGATAATTAAAGTATATATAACTAAAATTCAAGATAATAATTTTTTTGCTTTTGAGACAGAGTCTCACTCTGTCACCCAGGCTGGAGTGCAGTGGCATGATCTTGGCTCACTGTAACCTCTACCTTCTGGGTTCAAACAATTCTCCTACCTCTGCCTCCCGAGTGATTGGGATTGCAGGTGTGTACCACCATGCCCAGATAATTTTGTATTTTTAGTAGAGACAGGGTTTCACCATGTTGGCCAGGCTGGTCTCAAACTCCTGACCTCAGGTGATCCGCCCTCCTTAGCCTCCAAAAGTGCTGGGATTACAGGCATGAGCCACCACGCCCAGCCCCAAAAAAGTAATTTTAAAAGTCAGTACAGGTAAATGGTGACAGAAGGATTTGAGGTTTTAGCATTATCTAGGAAGTGGTAAAAGTATTCATTTACATTAAACTCTAAATAAAGTTCAGGATTCATCTTGTAACCTCTAAAGTAAAAAAAGAAAAAGAATAAAATCAAAGCAAAAGAAAGTAGTAACAGAATGAATAATGGGGTGGGGGGAATGGAAATAAAAATAATATGTAATAAAAGCAAAGTTTATAAAGAGTGAAAAAGAAGAACATATAAAAGTGGAACAGATAGAAACCAAACTGTTGGACAGTAGACATATGCCCCAAAATACCAGTAATTGCCTCAATTGTAAATGATCTAGATTAGATGTTCTGATTAAAAGACACAGATTTTCAGACCACACTAGAAACAATTGTGTGTTACTTTAAAACATGAACAAAAAAGCTGAAAACTAAAGAGGCAGAAATAAATATATGCAACACAAACACTAACTTAAAAAAAAAAAAGCTCTTGTAGCACTTCTAAAAATACAGAAGCAAAAGACATTTCTAGAGCCTAAAAACATGTCAAAATGACAAAAGGGTCAAAATACCAGGAAAATATAACAATTCTAAATTTCAAAACATGTGAAGCAAATTGTACCACAGTAAAATTTCATAGAACTAAAAGCAAAAAATGGACAAATACACACACTTAATAGAAAATTTTAACACAATTCTCTCACAAAGCAATAGAACAAAAAAAAAGTCTGTGAAGATAAAATCAGTCTGAATAATGGGATTAACAAACTTGACCTAATTAACATATATGAAACACTACATTGACAACAGAATACACATTCTTTTCAACTGCATTTTAAAAGCTTACCATTATTGACAATGTGCTGGACCACAGGGAAAAGGTCATAATAATTTTAAATAGTTGAAATAATTTAAAATATTTTTCTGACCACCATGAAATTAAACTTTAATTAATAACAAAAAAAACCCTAAAAATCTTCTAAATATGTCTGCAAACATACTTCAAAGTACTTCTGGAACACACTTCTAAATTATCATTAAGTCAAAGGAGAAACCATAATAAAAATTATAAAATATTATGAACTGACTGATGAGAAAAACATGTCATATTACTTTGTTGGTCTGCTTACAAGAAAAAAAATTATACCACCAAATGTATAAGGAGAAAAAGCCTTAAAAACATTGATTTAAGTAGCCATCTCAAGGAGTTTGAAACGAAATGTGACTATTACTCAAATAAATTAAAAGAAAGGAAATAATGATAAGAGCAGAAATGAATAAAATGGAAAATAAATGTAAACAGAAAAAAATCAGCAAAGCCACAGGTTGTGTTTTGGAAAAGACTAATAATTGATAAACTACTAGTACATTATTATTGTTTAAAAGAAAGAGAACATACAAATTACCAGTATCAGGAATAAAAAAGAAGACATTACTAGAGATGCTGCAAATATTAAAAAGGCCATAAAAATATTCTGCAAAACTTTATCTACCAAGTATAAAAATTCACACAAAAATGGGCAAATTGCTTAACTATTACAATTTAGCAAACCCTACACAAGAAGATACAGAAAACCCAAATTGTCCTATATATATTTATTGCAGATAAAAAAAAACCTTTTTACAATGAAACCTCTACTAATGGTGGCTAAAATTCACCAGCAAAATTTTCCAAATGTTTAAAAATAATAACACCAATCTTAACAGAAGCTCTTCAGGGAACAAAAAAGAAAAAACGACTTCCTGACTCATTACATGAGATGAGGGTAATCTTGTACAAAAACCTGGCAAGAACATTATAATAAAGGAAAGGCAAAGATCATGTATTTTGAGAACACAAGTGTGAAAATTTAAAAGGAAAAAAGGACATCGAACTTGAAAAATAAAAATAATAGCATATCACAACTAAGCATGGTTTATTCTAAAAATGGTTTGGCTTGATATGAAAAAAAATCAGCCAATGCAATTTATCACACTAAGGTAACAAAAAAAAAACTCATATGATCAATTTAACAGATATTAAAAAGGCATTTATAAAATTTCACACCCATTTATACTAAAAGGATTTTAAACCTCTTCACAAACAGTAAAATGTGAATTTTGTTAAGCTAACAAAGGGTATCAACATAAAGTCTACAAGGAACAATAATGGCGAAATATTAAAAAGTTTTCTCTCTAAACATGGAAATAAGATCAAGATGCTTGATATTATTAAAAATCATGTGGAGCAATAAAGGCTATATATGTAAAGCTCACAGCTAGCATTATACTCAATAGTGAAAGTCTTTTCTTTAAAATCTGGAACAAGACAAGGATGCTCACTTTTACCACTTCTTTTCAACATGGTATTGGAAGCCCTTACCAGAGCAATTAGGCTACAGACATAAATAAAAGGCATCCAAATTGAAAAGGAAGAAGTGAAATTATCACTGCTGACAACATGATCTTGTATATAGAAAACTCTAACGACTCCACCAAAGAATTGTTAGAACTAATAAGCAAATACAGTAAAGTTGCAGAATACAAGATCAACACACAGAAATCAGTAGCTTTTCTGAATACTAACAACAAACTATATAAAAAGATATCAAGAAAATAATCCCATTTACAGTAGCTACCAAAAAACACAAGATACTTAGGAATAAATTTAACCAAGGAGATGAAAGACTTGTACATGAAAAACTATTAAATATTCATGAAAACAAGAAGACAACCCAATTTAAAAATGGGTATAAGACCTGAGTAGACATTTTTCAAAAGAAAACATATACATGACCAACAGATACATGAAACAATTATCAATGTCACTAATCATTAGGGAATGCAAATTAAAACCATAATAAGATACCACTTCACACCTGTCAGAATGGCTGTTATCAAAAATATGAATGGTAAGTGTTGATGAGGATGTGGAGAAATGGGAACCCTGTACACTATTGGTGGGAATGTAAATTAGGACAGCCATTGTGGAAAACTGTAAGGAGGTTCTGCAAAAAGTTAAAAATAGAATTATCATATGATCCAGCAATTCCACTTCTGGGTATCTACCAAAAGATTTAAAATCAGTGTGACAAAGAGATGTTGGCACTCTTATTCTCATTACAGCATTATTCACAATAGCCACCTAAGTGCCCACCATCAGATAAATGGATAAAGCCTGAAACTCTTTGTGTGTGTGTGTGTGTGTGTGTGTGTGTGTGAGTGTGTGTGTGTGTGTGTGTGTGTTTATTATACTTTAAGTTTTAGGGTACATGTGCACAATGTGCAGGTTAGTTACACATGTATACATGTGCCATGCTGGTGTGCTGCACCCATTAACTCGTCATTTAGCATTAGGTATATCTCCTAATGCTATCCCTCCCCCTTCCCCTCACCCCACAACAGTCCCCAGAGTGTGATGTTCCCCTTCCTGCGTCCATGTGTTCTCATTGTTCAATTCCCACCTATGAGTGAGAACATGTGGTGTTTGGTTTTTTGTCCTTGCAATAGTTTACTGAGAATGATGGTTTCCAGCTTGATCCATGTCCCTACAAAGGACATGAACTCATCCTTTTTTATGGCTGCATGGTATTCCATGGTGTATATGTGCCACATTTTCTTAATCCAGTCTATCATTGTTGGACATTTGGGTTGGTTCCAAGTCTTTGCTATTGTGAATAGTGCCGCAATAAACATACGTGTGCATGTGTCTTTATAGCAGCATGATTTATAGTCCTTTGGGTATATACCCAGTAATGGGATGGCTGGGTCAAATGGTATTTCTAGTTCTAGATCCCTGAGGAATCGCCACACTGACTTCCACAATGGTTGAACTAGTTTACAGTCCCACCAACAGTGTAAAAGTGTTCCTATTTCTCCACATCCTCTCCAGCACCTGTTGTTTCCTGACTTTTTCATGATTGCCATTCTAACTGGTGTGAGATGGTATCTCATTGTGGTTTTGATTTGCATTTCTCTGATGGCCAGTGATGATGAGCATTTTTTCATGTGTATTTTGGCTGCATAAATGTCTTCTTTTCAGAAGTGTCTGTTCATATCCTTTGCCCACTTTTTGATGGGGTTGTTTGTTTTTTTCTCGTAAATTTGTTTGAGTTAATTGTAGATTCTGGATATTAGCCCTTTGTCAGATGAGTAGGTTGCGAAAATTTTCTCCCATTTTGTAGGTTGCCTGTTCACTCTGATGGTAGTTTCTTTTTTTTTTTTTTTTTTTTTTTCTTTTTTTTTTGAGACGGAGTCTCGCTGTCGCCCAGGCTGGAGTGCAGTGGCGCAATCTCGGCTCACTGCAGGCTCCGCCCCCTGGGGTTCACGCCATTCTCCTGCCTCAGCCTCCCGAGTAGCTGGGACTACAGGCGCCCGCCACCTCGCCCGGCTAATTTTTTTTGTATTTTTAGTAGAGACGGGGTTTCACCGTGTTAGCCAGGATGGTCTCGATCTCCTGACCTCGTGATCCGCCCGCCTCGGCCTCCCAAAGTGCTGGGATTACAGGCGTGAGCCACCGCGCCCGGCCTGATGGTAGTTTCTTTTGCTGTGCAGAAGCTCTTTAGTTTAATTAGAACCCATTTGTCAATTTTGTCTTTTGTTGCCATTGCTTTTGGTGTTTTAGACATGAAGTCCTTGCCCATGCCTATGTCCTGAATGGTAATGCCTAGGTTTTCTTCTAGGGTTTTTATGGTTTTAGGTCTAACGTTTAAGTCTTTAATCCATCTTGAATTAATTTTTGTATAAGGTGTAAGGAAGGGATCCAGTTTCAGCTTTCTACATATGGCTAGCCAGTTTTCCCAGCACCATTTATTAAATAGGGAATCCTTTCCCCATTGCTTGTTTTTCTCAGGTTTGTCAAAGATCAGATAGTTGTAGATATGTGGCGTTATTTCTGAGGACTCTGTTCTGTTCCATTGATCTATATCTCTGTTTTGGTACCCGTACCATGCTGTTTTGGTTACTGTAGCCTTGTAGTATAGTTTGAAGTCAGGTAGTGTGATGCCTCCGGCTTTGTTCTTTTGGCTTAGGATTGATTTGGCGATGTGGGCTCTTTTTTGGTTCCATATGAACTTGAAAGTAGTTTTTTCCAATTCTGTGAAGAAAGTCATTGGTTGCTTGATGGGGATGGCATTGAATCTAAAAATTACCTTGGGCAGTATGGCCATTTTCACGATATTGATTCTTCCTACCCATGAGCATGGAATGTTCTTCCATTTGTTTGTATCCTCTTTTATTTCCTTGAGCAGTGGTTTGTAGTTCTCCTTGAAGAGGTCCTTCACATCCCCTGTAATTTGGATTCCTAAGTATTTTATTCTCTTTGAAGCAATTGTGAATGGGAGTTCACTCATGATTTGGCTCTCTGTTTGTCTGTTATTTGTGTATAAGAATGCTTGTGATTTTTGTACATTGATTTTGTATCCTGAGACTTTGCTGAAGTTGCTTATCAGCTTAAGGAGATTTTGGGCTGAGACAATGGGGTTTTCTAGATATACAATCATGTCGTCTGCAAACAGGGACAATTTGACTTCCTCTTTTCCTAATTGAATACCCTTTATTTTCTTCTCCTGCCTAATTGCCCTGGCCAGAACTTCCAACACTATGTTGAATAGGAGTGGTAAGAGAGGGCATCCCTGTCTCGTGCCAGTTTTCAAAGGGAATGCTTCCAGTTTTTGCCCATTTAGTACTCTTAAAAAGACGGAAAATTCTCTTTCATTTGTGGCAACGTGGATGGAACTAAGGAAGATTTTTCCAGATGAAATAAGCCAGGCACAAAAAGACAAATGCTACATGTTTTCACTTAGATGTGGAATTTAAAACACTGGATATTAGAAGCAATGTAGAATGGTAGTTACAGGGTTGGGGTTGATGGGGAGATGTTAGTCAACAGTTAGAAAGTTTTGGTGGAGGAATAAGTGAGTTTTTCTGAGATCTATTGCACAGCATGGCGAATATAGTTAATAATATTTTATTGTACATTTCAAAATTGCTAAGACAGTACATTTCAAATGTTCTCATCACAAAAAAAGATAAGCATTTGAGGAAATTGATATGTTACCTTAATTATTCCACATTGTGTCCATAAATCATATCACTTTGTGCCCTATAAATATATAATTATAAATTGTCAAGTTATAATAAAATTTTTTAAGTACTAGAGGTACTAAGTTATGACATGTACCAGAAAAAAAATGAAACAGAAGGGTTTGAAAAGAAGTAACCATGTCATAATTCACAAATTATAGGATTCTCTATGTAGAAAATCTAAATAGAATTTACAATCTGAAATTAATAAGTGAACTCAGCAAGCATGCTGGATACAAAGCTGATATAAAACATTAGTTTTTGAACAATTAAAAACAATTAGAAAATAAAAATGTAAAAGATATACTTTAATAGCATTAAAAGCTTTAAATATCTAGAAATAAATTTAACAGCAAATATACAAACCCTTTGCATAAAAAAACATAAAATATTACTGAAAGAAATCAGTGAAGACCTAAATAGATAGAAGACTGTGAATGACCATGTATCAGAAACTTCAACATGGTAAATGTGTCAATTCTCCTAGGTGGTAATTTTGTATACATGATAATTCTAAGCTTTAAATAGAATTATATAAAGCAAAAATAGTCAAACAATCTTTGAAAAGAACATGCCCTATGTTGAACATTATTTTTATTTTACCTGGCATTATTTTATTATTATTATTATTATTATTATTATTATTATTATTTACAACAATGGAGAGTTTAATTTCTTGCCTTCTGATAAGATCTGAAGGAACTGGTAGGACCAATTCAGATGTTCTAATCTAGAGATCTACTTTAGTCAGAATCTGCTAACTCAATTGAGGAAACATTCAAAGTGCAAGCAAATGGACAAATAAAACCTTTAAAGTTTCATGAAACAACCATGGTCCTTCCAGGCAGTTATAAATTTGTTTGGATTTTGGCTCTGCCAGTTAAAGACTGCACAAATTCAGCAAGTAAGTTAATCTTCGAGGGTCTCAATTTCCTCAACAGTAAAACTGAGATTTATTATTCCTCCCTAGAAAAGTTGTGAGGAAAAAAGATAAAACGTTTTAAAATGTAGCTCTCTGACAAATAGAAAACATTCAATGTTACTTTTTTTTAAAAAAATTGTATTATTTCAAAATTTTTTTTATTATTATACTTTAAGTTTTAGGGTACATGTGCACAACGTGCAGGTTTGTTACATATGTATACATGTGCCATGTCTTCCTACTTCAGGTCAATGTGCTGACTTTGTAGTTGTTGAAAATTATCAATTAAATATCAGTTAGTTGAGTCCAGGTTGAGTGGCAAGTGAACTAATAGTTCCAGGTTGGACAGAAAAAGTAAAACTATGTCAAATTTGCTTCCTTTTATTGTAAATTCTTCCACGTGGTTTTTAAATGTTTAAGGAAAGAGAAATCTGTGTGCTTTAAAAATTTATCTATTTTGCTTTGGGGTCTGAGTTTATAGGTACATCTTTAAGATCTCAGGTGCTGGGCTTGAGCCTTAAGAGGTTATGAAACCTTGAACCAACATGCAAAAAGTTTGGATTTTAATGCCATCATCAATTAATTGATAATGGCCACCTGGAGCATGTATAGAAAAGGATTCTGAAGCTGAGTCTGAGCTTACCAGAAAAAGAAGCAACATCTGCTATGGGTGTGGGAGGTGGGAATGGTAGCAAGAATGCATGTTTATTTCTGACAAACCTATCCTACGCCATGGTATATTGCATTTCAGAGTATGATAAATCCTCTTCACATAAAAAATGTTCTTCAAGCTTCCACATGATAGAAAAGTTGTACTTTGAATGTGCATAAATAACAAAATATATAATGACCAGAATTTATGTTTAAAATTACTTTTATTTTATTAAAATAAATTCACATGCATTTGGATAATACTTTATATTTTTCTATTTTATGGTATACTATTTATTCAAACTGCTGTCAATCTTTGTTACTTATATGGATTTAAGTCCACTTGCAATAACAGTTATACCCTATGAGTTCTATACCCCTTACGTTGTAAAAATTCCTCCATGCAATATATTTTTAAATTAAGACAAGCTGTGGATTTTTAAATGGATAAAAATATTGAGATGAATTTGTTTGCTGTTGCTTCTCTAGTTCTTTTAATTTTGATGTTAGGGCATCAATTTTAGATCTTTCCTGCTTTCTCTTGTGGGCATTTAGTGCTATAAATTTCCCTCTACACACTGCTTTAAATGTGTCCCAGAGATTCTGGTATGTTGTATCTTCGTTCTCATTGGTTTCAAAGAACCACTACTACTGGGTAGTATACCCAAAAGATTACCCACTACTGGGTATATACCCAAAGGATTATAAATTATTCTACTATAAAGACACATGCACATGTATGTTTATTGCAGCACTATTCACAATAGCAAAGACTTGGAACCAATCCAAATGTCCATCAATGATAGATTGGATAAAGAAAATGTGGCACATATACACCATGGAATACTATGCAGCCATAAAAAAGGATGAGTTCATGTCCTTTGCAGGGACATGGATGAAGATGGAAACCATCATTCTCAGCAAACTAACACAGGAACAGAAAACCAAACACTGCATGTTCTCACTTGTAAGTGAGCAATGAGAACACATGGACATAGGGAGGGGAACATCACACACTGGGGCCTGTCAGGGGATGGAGGGATAGGGGAGGGATAACATTAGGAGAAATACCTAATGTAGGTGACAGGTTGATTGATGGGTGCAGCAAACCACCATGGCACGTGTATACCTATGTAACAAAATTGCACGTTCTGCACATGTACCCCAGAACTTAAAGTATGATAAAATATGTATATATATTGAGATGATTATAAAAAAGAGTCCATGGCATTACTCTATATAATAGTTACTATACAGGATATATGTACACAAAGCTTATTCATTAAACAATATCTTCATTATGTTTGCTTCAGAATGAAGGAGAGAGTCTCATGTGATAGAAAATGAACAAAATGGTTGGGCAAAGTGGCTCATACATGTAATCCCAGCACTTTGGGAGGCCAAAGCAGGAGGATCACTCGAGTACAGGAATCTGAGACCAGCCTGGGCAACATAGCAAAACTACATGGTGAACACCTGTAGTCCCAGTTACTCAAGAGGCTTGAGCCAAGAGGATCACTTGAGCCCAGGACTTGGAGGTTGCAGTGAACTATGATCACATTGCTGCACTCCAGCCTGGATGACAGAGTGAGACACTATCAAAAAGAAAGGAAGAAAAAAGAAGAAAGGAAAGAATGAGGTCAGAATCAATATCATTAGGAATGTATAATTGATTGCGTAGTCCAAGTATCCAAAGTTCCTACCTTCTTTCTTTTCACCAAACATAAATGGCTCCTTCCCATTTATCCCAGAGTATTCACACCCTGAAAGTATTAATACTGAGAGACCAGACTTTCAGAAATTTAATGGGGCAAACTATATAAAATCATACAAAATCAGTGGCACAAATCAAAAGAGGTCCCAAATGCCAGCCTATAGAATCATGCTGTTGAGACAGCCAAGTATAAAAGGATCACCGGAGAACCTCCAACCTGCCTGTACACTGAGAGGAATGCGCACTGGGTTGGAGCCTCGGGAAGTTCACACTATTTGCAGAGGGGAGGAGCCTGGCCTCTCCTGTTCTGGGAGGGAAACTGGAATTCAATTTGTGAGGCAGGAAGCCTATACTAGCATGGCTCTCTCCCTGCTGAGAGGACCCTGTTTCCCTTTTCTTCCTTTTTGCCCAATAAATTCCATTTTTCTCACCCTTCAAAGTGTCAGCAAGCCTAATCTCTCATGGCCATGTGACAAGAACCCGGCTTTTAGCTGAACAAAGGAGAAAGTCCTACAACACTGTCACCAGCTCATCTGTATCTCCAAAAGTAAGTGCCAGAAAATAAAGCAAATTAAATCAGTAAGGACAGTTGATTCTTCTTTCAGTGTCATGATTTATGAATATCAAATTTTATATGATCTTGGCTCCATGGTAAGATGAAGAATATAACACATTTATTTTATTTTAGTAGTTTTTTGTGTTAACACATCAGCACATTTTTAGTTACTTACATGTATCTATGAAATATGTTTTTCCTGTTATTTTGCAATTTGAGGCAGAATTTTTTAAAACATTCCTCAATATCACCACTCCTTGCACACCAGCCTATCTTGAACTTAAACAGAGAACAGAATGCTGCCAAAACTAATGAACTATGGCTGTGGAGAATAATTCTTCAAGAGACATTACCCACTGAACATTTCAGTAGTTTATGTTAAGCATCCACAAATCCTCTGGTTGTTAGGAGGGAAAAATAAGTTCCTGTCTTTGGGCTTATTTCCTTAAAATCCTTGTATTTTTTTCCTGTATAAGAAGGCCCATTTTTTTCAGTGAAAGACCAGGTTTAGCACAGTAGCCCAGCAGATTCATGGGATCATTTTACAGACAAGAGCATCTATAATTCATGGGAACAGTATTTGACCTGCTAGAATTCTTTGTACCCTTATTCAGCTATAATTTTATTTTACCACATCTTATTTTAATATCAGCTTAGACTATAACCTCCCTATTTAGTTTTTCTGTTACTGTTTTAAATTCAGCACTACAGTTTCTAGACCTCAGAGCAGAGCTTTTGATTTTAGGATTATAATCCAGGAATTTTTCTTAAAGTAATGAATTATTTATAAAGCTAAAACACCTTGGAGTTGAGTAAGTTAACACTCCTGAGAACTCCCAGGTATACTGACTGCCTAACTAGATGCAAGGCGTAGTGCGAGTTGCAAAGGATGTACGTATGAGTATAATATGGTCCCTGCCCTCAGAAGCCTTCTGTATGTTTATTAAATTGTATCATTATGTTCAGCAATGACTCCCTGAGCATTTACTATGAATGGGGCATTTTACATGATTGCATGAGACACTCAATCCTTGCCTGCAGTATGATTAACATATTTTTTCCAAATAGTTTGAAATTTCTAGTGAAGCAGTAACACACTCTATAGACTATTACAAGTGTTTGTGGTTCTAAATGAGTACATTAATGTACACTCTTGTCTCATCTTCTCAACTGAAAAGTTTTCTATGGAAATGACCCTGTGATAGGTATTTTTTGTATTTTCAATACCAAGCCCAATCTAGACAGATATTCCTTAAATGTAGACCTAAGGCACCTACATGACAACTATGAGAAATAGCCATGGAAAAGCATTCTTTTTCAAAAATGTGTGTGAAGTGCTACTATAGAGATGTTATCTGGTCCCAAGGAAGAATAAGGGAGGAATAACCCATCTGGAAACAGTTTAATAAATGCCAATTGAACAAATGAATAAATACACTAAAATGAAGTTGCTTGAAATTTAGAAGTTTAAATGATTACTGCTCGTTATAACTTATGAAAATAGTTGGGATATTCATGTGCCATTGTTTTTGGGAGTTACAAATATTATTTTTATCTAAACTCAAACAATTTCTTATTAGTTGTATTTTGTTTCTCTTCAACCACAACAATGATCATTTGTCCCAAAACCAGAGAAAGCATAACATGATCCTTGCAACAAGACACGGTCCCCTTGAGACATCTTTTTGATTTGGATCTTGAAGAATTTTTGTATTGATGAAGTGTCTCGAACAGAAGTGTTTAGAGAATACTAATCAGTCATCCATGGAGCCAACAGAGGGTGTCAACAAACAGTGTCAATATTCCAGTAAATATATATTGTCTACTATGTGCCAGGTACTCTAGTAAACACTAGTGAAAAATGGACAGTAACACATTGGTTCTGGTCTCAAGGAGCTCAGAGTGAATGACATGTGAATGAGCAGGGAAAGAACAAACTTAAAATTGGGGTCATGGTTTGCTTTGCTGTCATGCAATCATACTACTCTTTACTTTAAGCCAGCGGTTCCCAACGTACAGATCCTGGACCAGCAGCATCAGCAACACCTGAAAACTTGTTAAAATGCAGATTCTTAGGTCCAAGCCCAGACTCACTGGATCATAAACTTGAGGCAGGGGCCCCAGCAATCTGGGTTTTAACAAGTCCTCTAGATGATACTAATGCAGCCTAAAGTTCAAGCACCACAATCTAGGCCAACTCCAGTACATTACTTGTCCTCTCCCGTTCAGGCACCAATGCTACGACTGTAACTAAAATTATATCTTCCTGCTCATTCTTTTATGTAAATTAATAAAGTCATGAAATAATTATGTATATTAAACAGGAACCCAAAATATAACAATTTTTGTTCACTTAAATGTATATATTTATTTCTGCCAATTTATGGTCCTGGTAAAGTTTCAGTGGTAGCCTTTGTTTTCTTTTCTTCACCTTCTGTAATTCCAGCCAAAGCGCTTGATATTAATTTAAAATGGAACAGAAAGTGGCTTTAAAATCCTCTGAAATCTCATGCATATTCTTGCTTATAAACTTAATTTTAGTCTAAAAAATTATGACCATTGTGCAAAACACAGCTTGATAAATGTCAACGTGAAGAACAGGCAGACAGAGAGAGTAGTGTTGACTAAATTTAAGACTTTTTTTCCTCTAGAGTAAGGACTATTCTGTGATGTCATCCTATTTCCTAATCAGTAGCAGTAGCAGCAGCAGCAGCAGCATCTCTGGTTACTCAGACTACTTTAAAGAAGAAAACTGGCCCTCTGTGCAAACTAATAAGAATTCTGTTTAGTCTTTGAAGTGTCTTAGGGTGATTTAGGAAATGAATGAACCTATTGTCATTAGGTCAACCTCATGTGTCTGTCTGGAATAAATGTCTGTCTCTCTTAGAGGAGAGAGGCAAGAGGCAAGATAGAACCTCTGTACAATTGCAGATTTCCAAGTCACAGTCATGTTGGTGAAACTAACAAGACAAATTCTTCTGTGATTCCTTTGAGGAAGAATTGGAGGGAATGCTAGAGATAAACTAAACAGGAGATGCCTCCATGGAACCTCATCACTTCCACCCAGGATTTCAGAAGTCTGTGATGAGGTGAAGACTCTGAGATTGCAAACTTTGCCTTTTCTTTATAGTCTTCTTCCTTGACATGAATTTATCAGCCATGTGGAACTCTTGACCAGAGAGATATGAACACATTAAACTAGTCTATATAAGACTATGTAAGAATTTTGTACTCCAAATATATATAAGCAAGCTAAACTTAAACACATATTTTATTACAACTCTCCTATTTAGAAATTCTTTAAGTTCTTATGTTGTGGTCCTTCCTGGCTTCCCTCACCCTTTTTGTTTTTTTTTTTTTGTTTTTTTGTTTTTTTTTGAGACAGAGTCTCACTCTGTCACCAAGGCTGGAGTGCAGTGGCGCGATCTTGGCTCACTGCAAGCTCCGCCTCCCGGGTTCAAGCCATTCTCCTGCCTCAGCCTCCCGAGTAGCTGGGACTACAGGCGCCCGCCACCACGCCTGGCTAATTTTTTGTATTTTTAGTAGAGACAGGGTTTCACTGTGTTAGCCAGGATGGTCTCAATCTCCTGACCTCGTGATCCGCCCACCTCAGCCTGCCAAAGTGCTGGGATTACAGGCGTGAGCCACCACACCCGGCCAGCTTCCCCCTTTTTTAAATCACTTATCTTTTTACTAAGTCCCTCCACATCTAGTCCAAGAATTAAGTATTTTGTAGGATACACCTGTGGCAGACCTGAGTTGTTGCCTACTCAATAGGTGACCCTTCTTCCCTACAAAGAGATCACAATTAACTAGTGGTCTCAGGAGAGAGAGGCCCCACCCATAATTCATGAGGATGAATAATAATAACTCTATGGTAGCCATGGAAATTTTACTTGATTTTGCCAGTTAGTAGTCTGGAATTGGCACAAGACCAATTCTGACTAAGGAGATGTAACAGAGAGTTTAAGAAGAGGTTCCTTCTGGGAAAACAAGAGCTGTCTTTTTTGTTGGGATATTTGTGTGAGGACATCCCCATGAGATGACAAGGGCAAGAACAAAAAGGCAATAGCTTAGAGTGGAAAAATGGAAGGAGAGTATAGCCTGGGAAGCTTGGTAGCATCTTTGTGCAACTGAACTGATAACCTCAATCATCCACGTTCAAGCTTCTTGTTTGTGGAAATACCTCTATTTGGTAAAGACATCACTGGTTACATTTCCAGCTATATGTAGTCTAACATGTCTCTGGCAGCATAAAGTATGTATCACTATTTCAAAGCCAACTTCCTTTTAAGTCCAAAAGCAACAGCCACATTCCCAGGTAATATGGCCTGGGCAACACCTTTCCACTAATCAGAAAAAGTGTAGTATGAGCCTCATCTTCGCATCCAAAAATGATTCTATATTAAAAGAGTGTAGGTATTCATTAATTACTAGTTAAAAACTAATTTTCATTTTACCACTGCCCAATCAGAGTTTTCCAACTTTTCAACATGGTAAACTACCACATCACTTCATATATAGGTTAGGTTTGTTTTACTCTATATTCTTAGAAATTATCTAAATTTTGTTTTCTGGCTCTTTGGCTGTACATTTTGTTTAAACAATTTTATTACAATCTCAAAAATATCTTTTTCTTTAGCTCTTCCCTTCATTTCTTTTTCTTTCTTTTTTCCATTTTTATTTTCCTCGGTTCTTCCCAAATCTCTTTTAGAGAATATTTCTTTAAAATTATCTTCTCTTTGTTCCCTAAAGTGTTCTTGTTTCCCTGTGGTTAGTTTCTCTTTTTGTGTGTGTGTGAGTACATAGTCGGTGTATAAACTCATGGGGTACATTAGATATTTTGGTACAGGCATGCAATGCATAATAATCACATCATGGAAAATTGGGTATTCATCCCCTCAAGCATTTATCTTTTGTGTTACAAGCAATCTATACTCTTTTAGTTATTTTTAAATGAACAATTAAGTTATTATTGACTGTAACTTCCCCTGTTGTAGTATCATGTACTAGGTCTTATTCTGTCTTTCTAGTTTTTTGGTACCCATTAACCATCTCCTCCTCTCCCCTGCCTCACATCTACTACCTTGCACCCTCTAGTAACCATTCTTCTATTCTCTATCTCTTTGAGTTCAATTTTTTTTATTTTTAGATCACACAAATAAGTGAAAACATGTGAAGTTCGTCTTGCTGTTCCTGGCTTATTTCACTTAACATAATGACCTCCAGTTTCATCCATAATGACCTCCATGTCAGTTGTTGCAATAACAGAATCTCATTCTTTTTCATGGCTGAATAGTACTCCATTGTGTATAAGTAGCACATTTCCTTTATCCATTCACCTGTTGATGGACACTTAGGTTGCTTCCAAATCCTGGCTACTGTGAACAGTGCTGCAACAAACATAGGAGTGCATATATCTCTTTAATAGACTGATTTCCTTTCTTTCCAGTATATTCGCAGAGTGGGACTGCTGGATTGCATGGTACCTCTATTTTTAGTTTTTTGAGGAACCTTCAAACTGTTCTCCATAGTGGTTGTACTAATTTACATTCCCACTAGCAGTGTACGAGGGTTCCCTTTTCTTGTGGTTATTTTTTTTTAACTTAAAGAATTGGTTCTTCTTTACCCTCATGACTCCAAGTATACTTTTTTTTTTTTTTTTTTTTTTGAGACAGAGTCTCAACTCTGTCCCTAGGCTGGAGTGCAGTGGCGTAATCTCGGCTCACTGCAACCTCTGCCTCCCAGGTTCAAGCAATTCTCCTGCCTGAGTAGCTGGGACTACAGGCACATGCCACCATGACCAGCTTGTTTTTGTATTTTTAGTACAGTTGGGATTTCACCATGTTGGCCAGGATGGTCTCGATCTCTTGACGTCATAATCTGCCTGCCTTGGCCTCTCAAAGTGCTGGCATTACAGGCATGAGCCACCAGGCCCAGCCAGACATTTTTATTTAAGAAAGAGGAACTACAAGGCTGAGACTAGTTAGTATGGGTTTCTCCTGTTGCTTAATAAGATATTTTTTACTCACCCTTACTCTTTACCCAACAGTAGAATTATAACAAGTTCTAACCATTTAAGTGTCCATTAGAACACTAGATTCAGAGTTTTGGCTGTCAGCAGGCAGGCCCTTTGAAAGCCTAAAGGAACACAGCTTTATTCTGGAGCACTAAGTCCTAGCAGCCTGAGATCTACACAGATAGTTACATAATTCTATTTATTTATTTATTTATTTATTTATTTATTTGTTGAGATGGAGTCTCGTTCTGTCACCCAGGCTGGAGTGCAGTGGCATAATCTCGGCTCACTGCAAAATCCACCTCCTAGGTTCAAGCTATTCTCCTGCCTCAGCCTCCCCAGTAGCTGGGATTACAAGCACGTGCCACCATGCCCAGCTAATTTTTTGTATTTTTAGTAGAGAAGGGGTTTCACCGTGTTAGCCGGGATGATCTTGATCTCCTAACCTCATGATCCGCCCACCTTGGCCTCCCAAAGTGCTGGAATTACAGGTGTGAGACACCGCACCCGGCCAATTCTATTTCTTTAGAGTAGAATTCATTCTCCTTTGCCTGAGGCTTAACACTGCTCCAATCATTCTGCACATGAGATTGGGGAGGCAGCTGGAGCAAGGACAAAATTGTTCCCCTATGGATCTTCAGGTCTTCTCCCACTCAAACATATACACACACCACGGTCTTAGCCTCACATCTCACTTCTACTGCTTCTGACCCCAGAATCTCTTCAGTATTCCACCTTGTAGATTGGCACATGTTTTCTCCAACTCTTCACGGTGTACTATGGACTGTGATTCCATCACAATTTTTCATCAGACAACAGGAATCTCTCATTCATTCATTTTCTACCCTCAAGAAATTGGTTGAAATCTCTCAGTTCCTGGTACATCCCCCTCCATTTCTTCTTACTATGCTATGAGCTTACTCTTTCTTTCACTTCTAACTCTCTTTTAGTGGGACCTCAGGCATAACAGAGGTATGCCTATCATCATTCCACAATTTCTACCATAATTCTGTTAAAAAAAAAAACACTCTTTTCCTATCCTCTTACCTTACTTTCTCACTGGCAGTCTCCCCCAGATCCCCTGCTCTAGCCCTGCTCTGTGGACTCCTCTATTGCCATATTCTGCTGTATTCTCCTGATTCTTTATTTCAAAGTCAAAATAATGACTCTTGCAATATTAAAGCCTTCTTCTAAGGGTGGGTTGGCGGATTCAGAGGAGGCAACTAAGAATTGAGCATCAAAGCCAGAATACTCTTTAGCAGTCAGGGAAAAGAGTAATGCTGATAACACTCATCAATCACTACTTTTCACTGTGTCATGTCTATTTTCTTTTCTGCCTTCTTTCACTAGTTTATAGGATCCTTGAAAGAGTACTGTTTTGTACACTATTATGAGCCTAGAACATTGAAGGTACTCTGTATATTGAAAGAGAAGAATGAAGTATAGTAGTATTACTGTCTACCTAATACAACGAGAAAATTAAGCATTTGAAAGGAAAAGCAATTGGTATGAAGTCACATAGATTATACATGGCAGATCCAGGGCATTGATTAGCTGGGCGGGACATAGAAAGTTCTCAAGACACATACTGTTTGTAGATTTTTATTGCATAGACCAGACTGCCACTGCTGTAAGTCAAAGATTTCAGTGTATCATGATATCGCCTCTTACTTACAATGTTAAGCTTTTCAGGCAAGACAATAGAAGGACCAAGCCTACTATGCTATGTGTTGGACTAGAAAGTTGACTAGTCAGGCAACTGAAAAGATCTATAGCTTTATTCTGAAGGCCTGAAACAATATCCAAGAAATCCAGAGTGCATTCAGCTAGATTACGTCTGGAAAGTTAATATGGCAGAACTCTGGAGCCTTCAGCTTACAGCCAAGTGGAAGCAATCTTGTTCCTCCTATGTAATAGACAACTTTCTTGTTTCTGCCTTCCCTGAACTCTCAAGAGGCTGCAAGTTGGGAGTGAAAGAGTAAGACTTTCTGGAATATCCCCACTATGGAGCATCCCAGTGGCAATCACCACCATGTTGTGCTGTCTTACAGGTATAGTGAGGAGGTAGGGAATAGTTACAAACTTAATGATACCAGCCATTCTGTCAACAGTTGCCGTGACCTCTCTGCTTAAATTTCATGAAACAGTATACTCTCTCAAACTGAAAAACAATGTGATGTCCTTGTTTTACAGAGAAGTCACAACTCTGTTAAGCAAATTTAACATAGATCAGATAAAGTCATTGATTTATGATTAGAAACACAGATAGGTAATGTTAATTAGATGTGTCTACACTGGAATATTGTAGCCTTTCCATTTAAAAATTATTTTTAAATAAGTTAATTTCTTTTTCAGTGAAATCATTAGTTCACCAAATTTAATTTTTATTGTTTTGATTTTTGGCTACAGTTAACCACAATGTATGGTAGAACACTTATTCAAGTAATATTTCTGAATATCTACCTTGTCCCATTCATATATAAATATAAATACAAGTACTCTATGATTGGGGAGGACTGTGCCTGCTTTCTCTAGCTAAAAGAATTAATATAGGGTGATTCCCTTAGATAAAGGTCAAATCATTTAAGTTAAATTGCTCTGGAGATTTAGATTTAAGTATGCCTGAAATGTGTCATATAAACAGGATTTTGCATATTGTCATGTCACCTTATGTTTTGCAATATTTTCTTTTCACCTTTTGTTTATTAACCAAAACCATTTATGTCCCATTAGAGAGAAAAAAAATTCTGATTTATTCCTAACCTCTTTTATTCACTAAATTATTTCCAGCCAATGCCACATAGCAATGGTTAAACCACAAAGAACTAACAATCAAAATAAATCTACATAGTCAAAAAACAAACAATAATTCATTCACCATGAGAGTTGAGTAGCTTTCAAATGTGAAAAATAAAGCTGCTTCTTAAATTAGGACAGATTGGATTGAACTCTTCTACAAATACACCATTTGTAATATCCTGAAGATTAGTGAATTTTCCCAGTAATCCTCTGCAAATAAAAACAACTAATAGCCAAGAAAGAAGAGATTTTTTTCTATTCCTGTTCTAGGCAATACTGGTCCTCCACAATAATAAGGAAAGAACAGCAAATGAAACAGCAAACAGCTAGAGTTGTTCCAGTTCCCTGCAAAGCTAGCCAGGGGCCCCAGCAAAGTGAGCTTCAGCCATTCTCTAGTCCAAGGCTCTTAGAAGATGCCACTGTGTGGCACAGAGGAAACAATGCAGAAAGGAAACAACTACATGATATATTACTTACAGAGACTTCAAGCAAAATCAGTGGGTCAAGAGAAGGTTAGAACTCTTAAAAATTTATCTTGATTGGCTTTAGGGTACAGTCAACTCTTCTTTATGAAACACAAGTTCTTCCACTCATGGGCTCACCACGTTATTTTTGGCACAAACCTCTCTCAAATTTCTCCCTATATCTTTTCAATGGGAACTGATGGAACTAATTCTGCCTTTCACTACTATTTATATTATTTATAAATAATTTCTCATTTTAAGCTCATTACTATAATATATATCCCACCAGGAGTAGTACATTCTAAGATTCCATCTTTATTGACTTGACTAAACTCCTACTGTGATCTTGGAAGACCTTAATTTCATGATTGCAAGAAAACAAAGAATTCTATCATCCTGACTATATTCATTAATTTCTTGTTCTCTCTTCCTCTCTCTCTGTCTCTCTCACTCTCTGTATAAGTTTTAATTAACCTATATATTTTCTCTTAAATTTAACAACTAACCCTAAGTTCCTTCCCTTAAAAAAAAGTTTAAGCAAGAAAAGGAAAAATATAATTTATTATGTCTCAAGTATATTCTCCATTGATACAACAAATTTCATTAAGAGTGGGTGAGATGCAGTTATAATGGCTATTATCAAAAAAGACAAAAATAACAAATGCTATTGAAGATGCAAAAAGGAACTCACACACTGTTTTTGGGAACGTAAATTAATACAGCCATTATGGCAACCAGTATGGAAGTTTCTCAAAAAACTAAAAATAGAGCTATCATACCATCCAGCAACCCCACTTCTGGGTGTTTATTCCAGGGAAAGGAAATCAGTGTTATCAAAGAGACACCTGTACCTCCATATTTATTGCAGCACTATTCACAACAGCCAAGATATGGAATCAACCTAAGTGTCCATCAATAGATGAATGAATAAAGGACATGTGGTACATATGAGCAATGAAATACTAATTCAGCCATAAAAAGAATGAAATCCTGTCATTTGCTGCAATGTAGATGGAACAGGAGGAAATAAGCCAGGCACAGAAATACAAATATTGCATATTCTCATTATTATGTGGGAGCTTAAAAAAATGTATATCTTGTGGAGGTAGAGGAAGTTGAATGACAGATACCAGAGACTGGGAATGTGAGGGTCAGGAGGTGAAGAAACGTTGGTTAACACGTAAACACACACTTACATGGAAGGAATAAGTGCTAGTGGGGTTTTTTTGGTTTTTTGTTTTTTTGTTTTTTTGAGACGGAGTCTCACTTTGTCACCCAGGCTGGAATGCAGTGGCGCGATCTCAGCTCACTGCAAGCTCTGCCTTCCAAGTTTATGCCATTCTCCTGCCTCAGCCTCCTGAGTATCCAGGACTACAGGCACCCGCCACCACGCCCGGCTAATTTTTTTGTATTTTTAGTAGAGACGGGGTTTCACTGTGTTAGCCAGGATGGTCTCAATCTCCTGACTTGGTGATCTGCCCACCTCGGCCTCCCAAAGTGCTGGGATTACAGGTGTGAGCCAGTGCGCTGGGCCTATTGGTTGATAGCAGAGTAAAGTGATTATAGTTAAAAACAATATATTGTGTATTTATAGAATATTTCTAAAATAACTATTAATAACTAATGGAAGAGATCTGAAATATTTCCAACGCAAAGAAACAATAACTGCTTGGGGTGATGAATATCCTAGATACCCTAACTTGAACATTACACACTGTACCCATGTATCAAAATACCACATGTACCACATCAATATGTACAAATATTATGTGTTAATTTTTTCAAGTTAAAAAAGAGTGGAAATGGAAATAAATTTTAAATAAAATAACTAGATACAGATAATGGTGTCCTGATTCTTGATAGGGGTAAAAATATAGCCTAAATCTTGGGATTAAATTGACAGTATAATCAAACCTGAAGAATGATTCCCTGTGAGTTGTACCTGGAGGTACAATGGTAGAAACACAGAATTTCAATATGAAAAAGAGAGTGGTGGTTGGAGACATAGTTCTTGTTTCTGCTGAGATGAGTAGATTTATGGTTGGGAAAATATCACTTAAGGGTGTGAGAGCAAAGCTGATGAAGCTTAGGAAATGAAAAAAAGCAGCACATACTATGAGTCTGCTGAAGGAGAAGTACGGGAGTCTGTATTTCTGCAAAGCAGAGGCTAGTTTTCCAACACTGATCATAACACATCTATAGCTACTTTTTGGAATAACTCAATTGCAGGCATGCTTATGAATGAAATCTGTTATTTAGAGAACAACATGGAGAAGTTAAATGGCCATATTTGTATTCTTACGGGGTGGGAAGTTGTGTTATTTTATCTGGCCTGTTTATAGTGAATAGATTAAAAAAATTAAGTCACAGGGACTGGAAAATTTCCTAGCAAAAAAAGGGCTCAGGATGAGCGAATTTCTTTCACTCTATTAAAAGTTTTCTGTTTTCTGTTTTTCTTTCTTCCTATTTTTTTTAAGAGACGCTGTGCCAGTCCTGAGTAATACACAATTGAAAGCAAATATAGAATCAGCTAAATTCAATCAAAGTATGGATGTCTCATACATGTTAAAATAAGGTAATCACTATAAAATAGTCAATCGTTTCTTCCACTTTCCATCTTGACAGACTCCTTTGGATATATGTAAATTACTGATTCCTTCTGGTTTTTTGCCATCGGGACTGTCTGAGTGTTTATTTTTTGGAAGGCAGGTGTAAATAAAGCTAAGTTACTTTACAGTAAAGCAGCAAAGTAAGGTTATAAACCAGAAGTTTAATTCTCCTTTTCCAGATGCCACCCTAGACATAGAAGTTACAAAAAGAAACATACCTTTTAGAGTCTGCCAAAGGGATCAGCTGAGGAGAAATTACCAAACTAGAATAGTAATCAACTATTCTAAAATACTCTTTCTGACCAGGGTATGGGAAAGGTAGTGGGAGACTGTGGGGGGAGGTGGGGGATTTGATAGCACAACAGGGTGACTATAGTCAATAATAATTTAATTGTACATTTTAAAATAACTAAAAGAGTATAATTGGATTGTTTGTAACACAAACAATAAAGGCTTGAGGGGATGGATACCCCATTTTACATGAGGTAATTATTACACATCATATGCCTGTATCAAAACATCTCATGCACCCCAAAAATATATACAACTACTATGTACCCACAAAAATTAAAATTAAAAAATTAAAAATTAAATAAAAGAGTCTTTCTGAATATCAAAGAAAAGTTGAGTGCATTATAATTTTGTCTGAATTTTTCTCTCTCTCTTGTTTTTAGGGGGAGAAGGGGAGGTAGAGGTAAGTCTGATAATGTGGCCTGCATATAAAGTGTTTTTCCTTAGTCTGAGGTAGGATCAATTGTGAGGTTTATTTTCTCTTATATTACTCTTCTCATTTTCTTGACCTACTATTCTTGCTCCATAATCTTCTAACATAAAGCCTATCTGCCTAAATATATAATTTTCAAACTAAATAGAAAATGTGACAGAAAATCTTTTGAAAATTCTCTTAAGTTTACATCTCTAAATTAATCCTCAAAAGAATTAAATATTCAAATCTTACTCATTTCTGAAGGTATACGGCTTTTCTCTGCTTTAATCAGGTAATGTACCATTTATAAATTAATGATTCATTAATTGCTTATTGAATTAATGGATTTGAAATATGATTTATAATTTATTAGAAATTGAAAATAATATTGAAATGTGGAAATCATCATCTCTGCTAGTACTCTTAAAATATACCCATAGTAACTGCACTGCCAAGGCATATAAAAAACCAGGTTTGCAGCCAGGGACGGTGGCTCACGCCTGTAATCCCAGCACTTTGGAAGGCTGAGGTGGGCGGATCATGAGGTCAGGAGTTCGAGACCAGCCCATCTGAGACCAGCCTGGCCAACATGGTGAAACTCCATCTCTACTAAAAATACAAAAATTAGCCAGGCATGGTAGCACACACCTGTAATCCCAGCTACTCAGGAGGCTAAGGCAGGAGAATCGTTTCAACTAGGGAGGTGGAGGTTGTAGTGAGCTGAGATCACACCACTGCACTCCAGCCTGGGCAACAGAGCAAGACTCTATCTCAGGGAAAAAAAAAAAAAGAAAGAAAAGAAAAGAAGAAAGAAAGAAAAGAAATAAAGGAAAGAAAGAAAGAAGAAAGAAAGAAAGAAAGAAAGAAAGAAAGAAAGAAAGAAAGAAAGAAAGGAAAGAAAGAAAGAAAGAAAGAAAGAAAGAAAGAAAGAAAGAAAGAAAGAGAAAGAAAGAAAGAAGAAAAAAAAGAAAAGAGAAAAGAAAAGAGTTTGCTCTGGGCAATGATTTAGGCCTAATAAGCTCTGATTATGGATATTAGTGAGTACAAAATAGATAATGTACCATGTGAAATATAAAAAACTGTCAGATACGGCACAATAATGCAAAAAATAAAAAGCAAATTCTTACACTTATGCTAAAGCCTCTAGATTCCTCTATCAGTCATTAGTAGCAACTTCTCAGGGCTTTATTCTGGGATATTAAGGTCCCAGTCTCAGTGTTCTCTACATGTTCTGTCAACAAATAATCTTGGTGTCTGTCTCTTTGAACTAAGGAACCATCTTAACTAACTCACTTCTTAGGAAAGAACACCAGACTAGCCAGGTGAAAAAAAGGTAAATGCATTTTTTTATACTCATTTTGTTGTAGTATAAAAGATCTGAGATTTAGACCCAAATGGATGTGGGTTCCACTCCCAGTATCTGCCACTTACCACCAATGTGGTACTGAGAAAGTCTACTAACTCTATGAATCCCAGTTTTCTCATCTATAAAATAAGGTTGGTATAGGATTGCTTTGAGGATTAATTAAGGTAAAGTATACCTGGCACCTGTGTAGTAAATCCTCAAGTAATGATAGCTCCCTCTTCTCCTTCCATTCCATTAACATTTTCAGCCTCCAGTTAAAAAGGATACTTGGTCTTTAAGGATATGATTATGTTCTTCTTATTCATCTGAAAGCATTTGACAGATAAGAGGTGCTCGATAAACATGAGTTCCTTGTCAAACCTCCATGTGCCTCACCAGACTGCAGGCATTCACTGTGGCATAACCTCTCTCATCTATTACCTGATTCCATCCATAGATTCCTGTCTGTGAAGCAGACTGATTCTGACTTCCTCATTCCTCACTCCAGGAGCGGTGAGTCAGGCTGAGATAATTGTGGACTGCAATAGCCAAATTGGTTTAAACAGCACCCACTTCAGGTAGATGAACATGAATGTGTACCAGTGAAGATATACGTATTAAGGAGGATGAAATTTTAGAAATTATACCCCCTTGTTTGTTGATTCATTCTCATTTCAACCAAAACTAGAAAGTGATGATTATAGTTGTGGGTGCAGGTAGGACTCATTTAAAAATAATATTTTTTAAATTTTTCGAGGCCAAACTTGAGTGAATTTGTGTGCTATACTTTCAACAGTAATAAAGCTAAGATTAGCAGAAACAAAAATAAATTTGCATCTCTTATTCATAAAATTTATATGATATGTAATCCTATAAAGTCAAGCATCACCAGCCTCACATGTTCTGCTTTATTTGTGTTATTCATCAGTGGATATGTGAATAAGAGTCTATTTTAAGACACTGTTTGTAATAACATTTTTAACAAGATAATACTTCTGAAAATATTAAACCAATGTATTTTTCATTCATCATAAATCCACTTCCTCATGACTCTTCACCCATTAAGTAATATTCATTACTTCAGGGTTTTGTTGAATATTTCCTATAACAAATAAGTCATTATTCAACTTTAAGCTTCAAAATTAAATTATTCCTGCTTCATGCTAGATGGCGGTCTTAAGAACCAAGCTTTGCTGGGAGGAATATGTTTTCTAAATTCCAAAATCTTTTTATATTGCAGAAGTAAAATGTGGATGTCAGAGCTTAAATTTTTACTCTGAGCGTCGGCACACAGAGAAGGAAGGCTATCAAGGAAGGCTCAGACAGACAGGAATAGAAAGGAAACCTGCTATATGGGGAGGACTTCCAGAACTCTGGGAAAGATCAAATTAGGGTAGCATTACTTGGGTCCCTGAGATGGAGTTAGGTGTTCTCACCACCCTGGAGCAAAGATTCAAGAAAGGGTAATGAGAAGGTAAGAAATGGCATGCATAGGAGAATATACTTCTTCCCATTTAGAACTATAGCTGAAGAATGTCTCAGAGCCATTGGGCAAAGCAGAGCAGCCACAGTAACGTGGCATGTTAACAACACCCCTGCCTCCATGTGGCACCCACACCCTTGCCTCCATGCGGCACAGCAGAGATTTAGACCTAAAGAGTTATCAGGAGTTGGGAGTGGGGGACATTTACCAGGTAGCTAAGAATTAAGAAGCAACTTTTTTTCCAGAGGGTTGAGGGGAAAAGAAATGGAGTGGAAAGCAGTTAGAGAGCAGATAGAAGGTGCACTGAGTCTCAGAGGTGAGCCATTCAAGAAGACACCAAACTGCCACACTCCAATCCAAAGTCAGTGAGAACCTACATGAGGTCCAGACACCTCTCTTGCCATCACAATATTACCTGAACTTTGCCTTGTATAAAAAGGCACTCAAGGAGAAGGGAAGAAATGGAATGAAGGGAAGGACTAGGCATCTCCCCCCTTCCCACCAAATTATTTTACACTGAAGAAGACTGAGTAATCTTATATGGGCTATTTTGTGTTGAGTGCTGTTTGGTGTTTGCTACTGAGTGGAAATGGGAGTTGTTGATAAGTCATATAAATTAATTTATGTACATCTGAGTTATACCCTTTGCTAACCTTTGGAGGACCAATCAAGAGAATCTGGTCTGCCCCAAGCTCATGGCTTAAACTGTATGAATTAGACATTAGAAACACCATTTGCCCACTCATTTACAAGTTGATATATACACATTTTCAAAAATAGAACATAGTCTTCCATTAACTCTATAAAATGCTATCAAGTGTTGCTCTATATCCGTTATGTGCATGTACATGCATGTGTGTGCGTGTGCGTGTGTGTGTGTGTGTGTGTGTGTGTATGTGTTTGTGTTGCAGCTCTTGTGTTTAAGGGCTTCAATAGCAGAGGCGTGAATCAAATTCATCATTTATTTTGTCCAAAAGAGAGTAAAGGTATGAATATGCAGAGATCCTAATCAGCCTAACATCTGGAGCTGCAAAGTAACAAGCTACATTAGGATTAATTTATATTGTACAATAAAAGAGCTCCAAAAAAAGAACCCTTTGAAGAGATGAATCTGGCAAATCATAACTTATATCTAGCTATTTCAAATCAATGCTATTAATTGAAAATGAAGATTTGTTTTGAATTCAGTAGATCTCGACTATAATGTATTGAGCATTCTCAAAAGTAACCCATCAAAAACAGTGATTTAAATTTAGTTATCCTAGAAATAGACCATAAGATAAAGATTTGAGTGAGTGTAAGTGGTTTATTAGGGAGTTGATCCCAATAGACCAACAATGGAGTGGTAAAGAGAGACAGGAAATGGAAGGAAATTAATACAGAGTAAGATAGTATGCAGGAGATCATTGTCGGTGACTGAGTCTCAATTCCACTGGGAACCTCTGAGTGAACAGATCCCTCCTCAGCCCTTGATCACCAAAAGGATGAGGAAGCCAGTATTTATTCTCCAACTACCATGCTTCGTGAGCTGAGGGCCACTGCTGTGAGCATCAGCTCCCCATGACTTCTGATGTGTCCCATGCAGGGACCAAGCATACTAAGGAAAGCATTAAAGCACAGCAAAAAACACGTGCAGTAGAAAGCCATCAGTCGGCACATGGACAAGACAGCCAACAATGTTAATTAGGCATTTGGGAAACTTAAAAGTAGAAAAGAATGAATCAGGCATTTTTAGAAGCAGGAAAAAATGTCTGTGGTACTGAATGAAAATTAACCCTTGAAGTCACTATCATTCTGGTAAAGTCTATACAAAATGTAACCTTGTAATTATATGACCTCCTCAGTGAAAATGTGTGTAGCTTGTAGATTTGCACTACCATCTTGACTAATTATTCCTTGACATTCCATTCAACTAAGTATATCCAAATTTTAAAAATTGACTGCTGGAATCCAAAGTACACTGAGAAAGCTAAAATTCTTCTCTGCATATGCCTAAAAAGATGAGGTTCAAGGTAGCCCAGTTATATTTAAGAAATGAGAAGAAAGCAAATTTTAAAACTCACAGTTGCCTGAGATTTATAGTGCTAATTGGGCAACAATGGATTGCATGTCTTTAGAACTAAAGTTCAAATTGTGATTAATGATTTAAAAACATACCTCTGCCTTTGAATTATTTAAATTAAATATACAACTTTGGTTAAGCATCAGTTTTATAAGGCTTCTTAATTTATCTCTACGGGCAATCTATTTGCAATGAAAAGTTCTTGGGAAAATCTTGAAAGGGAAAAGAGCATGTGTGTGATTCTTTGTTTTTTGTTTGTTTACCCAAAAGAAAAATTAGTTTCAGCACTTACCTCTGGTTATGACATTATCTCCATTATCTCTGGGGTCATAATAGGTATGCTTAATGTATTTCAAACCTAGAGCAAAAGTAGTTCTAGAATTTGCAAAAGGAAATATTTTTGATGATGCCAGTGGTAAGAGTAGGAGACAAAATCTGAGAGATATCCAAGGAACATGCCCTCATGCTCTTCCCGGTAGACTGACCCAGATACTTAGGAGACATTGGCAACCAATACAGAAGACTAAGCATTATTAAGCCCTTAGGAAATAGATGAGTTCTAGCCACTCTCCTAAAATTACATGCACGAGTTCTTGTATGAAAAAGTAGCACTTACTAGAAAAGGAAAATTTAGATAAAAGTCTGCATCAAGTTCCTTACTCACATATGTGGCACTAATGTTCCCTTATGATAATCAGTTCAAAAACTTCGATTAATAAATATCTGAAAACATTACATACATCTTTAAATACAGATACTTTTAAAATGTTTGAGTATTTTTTTACAAACCTGCATTATTTAGAAAAATAATGCAGGTTTGTAAATAAATAAATAAATAAACTATAAAAATAAAATAAACTAGCAAGTACATTTCTAAAACTGCCTTGAATATTGCTGTATCTCTTCAATACAGGGAATTTAGCAGCATATAAAACAATGCATAAGCCCTAAGGAAATTAGTATGCAAATCATTGGAAAGAGGCCAGAAAGATTTTCTCATTGAAAGAAGCCTGTAAGGGAACTTTATGGTACAGAAAGCATAACCATGACTCCTGCCACTGCCCTCAAGTAACAAACATATCCAAAAGCAATTGTCTATTTAAAATAAAAACATTTAAAATTCATAGGGATTATTTTTACAGTAAAAGAACTAATGCTTGAACTAGCAAGTTATTTAGCCTGCTTAAAAAGAAACCTGCTTACTAGTGATTATTAATTATTAAAATCAAATGATGCCAAACTACACATGAAAATCAATGTTTATTTGGAAGAAATTTGAGTAAAAACTCCCAGCAACTTCTAAGCTAGTAAAAAGGCCATTTATCAACTTTTAATTCAAAAGTACACCTAAATTGCATGCTACTATTTACTAATTAACTGTCAAGTGACAACAGCCCATTTATTCTAATTTTTAGGTTTTTGGTAAATAATTTCTATACCATTAGACTAAACTATTATGTATCTTTTAAAAAGAAAAAGGAGGAAGGAGAAAGAGGAGAAGGAAGAAGAGGAGGGAATGGAGTAGGAGAGGAAGAAAGTAGTTAGCACAGTATTTTAAAGTGGTAAAAATCCAAAAGTGTTACTTTTACCTAAGCAAGTCTTGCTCACATTTCTATGATAATAAAGAGTGACATATGGAAAAACATAGATGCAATATTGAATTCCATTTTTTGTGGAATACAGGTGCTGTTATTTTTTTTTTTCAACTTTGAGTAGGTAAGGGAAATCCACTAGTCTTCAAGGTTGTAACTCTGGGATGCCTTGAGCAAAACTATTGTATCTGGAATTACCATAGCAAACTTATGTTAACTAGAGCTCCACACAAATGTTTAATTATTTCCTCTTAGTGCAATGTTTTTGTCTCTGACTGAACTTTTTGTATTTATATTTATTTGCAAAATTTCCACCTTTAAAAATGAGCAGTTAATAATACTTCTCAGTTTTGTGGATTATTTTATATCCTTCAGATCTGTAATAATGGTTTGGAAGATACTATGAGTCTTCTCCACAAAAATCAGTCTCAACATAAGAGACTGAGAACATATATATTCATTCATTGCTGATATATATTTGTCTAAATTAAGCTTTATAATGAAGTGCTAAATGTGAAAGGAAGTGTCCCTGTCTATAATAATCTTTAATTATATTAGGAAGACATATAATGAACAAGTAAACAAACAAAACAAGAACACAATTATACATGATATGACAATATTATGAGGGATGATGTGGTAGAAATTACGAAGTTGTATCTGAGCTAAAACTTGAACATTAAAAAGAAAGCTACCACTCAAAGAACAAAGAAGGAAAGAACAAAAAAAATGGCAAAAAAAATCCAAAATTGATAAAAAAGCAAATGAAAATCATGACCAATTTTATTACCATGAACTTAAAGAAATTAATGAAACAAGAAGTCTGACAAATCACTTTAAATACAAAAGGAAATAAAACAGGAACTGATAGAGCTGAAGAAAAGAGTGGAGGAGTAAGATGAATTGAAGCTTTCATTGGAAAGAGTAACTTTGAAAATACAGTGAGATTAATGAAGAATTTACTGAGAAAAGTTAACAAAATAAAATTCAAATTAAGAGTTCTCAGTTATTAGAGAGAGTGTGATAGATATGGAAGAGTCAATACATATATAACTGGAATATCCCAAGAAAGTAACTGAATTAATAGAATCCAAAAACTTAAAAGTCAAAGATATAAATCAATGAAACTTCCCAGAAATAACATAATAATTGGATCTACAGGTTAAAAGTTTTATTTTACCCCAGAAAAATCAACACAAAACAATCAATGTATATGAGTAAAATTATTGGACTTCAAAAATGAAGAAAGCACTTTTTGGATGTTCAGGAAACAAAATCACAAAACCAAATTATTGAGAACAAAAAAAAAATCAAGCAGAAGTTTTAGACTGATCCACAGTAACATTCAAAACTAGATGACATGGTATCTATCCAGAGGAAAAGAAGTTATTATACAAAAAAGATACTTGCACACACATTTGTGGCAGCACAATTTACAATTGCAAAAACATGGAAACAACACAAATGCCCATCAATCAATGAGTGGATAAAGAAATGGTGGTGCGTGTGTGAGTGTGTGTGTGTATCTCTGTGTATGTGTGTATCTCTCTGTGTGTGTGTGTGTGTGTGTGTGTGTATATATATATATATATATATATGTATATGAGATGTAATACTACTCAGCCATAAAATGGCATTCACAGTGACCTGGATGAGATTGGAGACTATTATTCTAAGTGAAGTAACTCAGGAATGGAAAACCAAACATCATATGTTCTCATCATAAGTGGGAGCTAAGCTATGAGGATGCAAAGGCATAAGAATGGCACAATGGGCTTTGGAGATTCAGGGGGAAAGGGTGGGAAGGGAGTAAGGGATAAAATACTACAAATAGGGTGCAGGGTATACTGCTCGGGTAATGGGTGCACCAAAATCTCACAATCACCACTAAAGTACTTACTCATGTAACCAAATACTACCTGTTCCCCAATAACCTATGGAAATTTTAAAAAAATGTAAACAAACAAACAAACAAAACTAGATGACATGGAAAAACATCTCCAAGTCCCTGAAGAAAAAAAGCAGGGGCCAAGAATTTTATATCAAGCCAAACTGTCTTTTATGTATAAGTGTAACATTCAAGAATTCAAGAAATATAATTCTATGAAACTTTCTTGAAACTATTAGCAGGTTATCCTCCCCTGTGAAGAGTACTAGATGAAGACTGCCATGTTTTGTCTTTATGGCTTCTCAATTTTGTTGTTCTGCTCTAACCACCTTTTATTATTATTTTATTACCACTCAATTGCAAAGAGTGAAGTCACTCTTACCGCTTTCTGACTGAGGATCCTTTCATGTCTCTGTTAACTAAAATATAAATATAGAAACTGTGGCAAAATACATTTATTTAACTGTATGACCATGAATAAAACAATTGTGGAGATTGTTGTTACAGAACAAAACAAACTTTTTACCATTATTATTATTTACAAATACTGTAACAAATGTTTGAAAAAGAGAAGATTGATGCATGGCAAATGAGTTGATATCTTTTATAGAAATGCCAATTGATTTTATGTTGATCAATCAAGTAATTCAGCATACCAGTAAAGACAGAGTAACTAGGTTAAGTTGCAAAATCAATCTCCAAATGTCAGTGGCTTAACACAACAGTTTTGTTTCACACTCAAGTTAAATGCCCATCATGGGCGAGCTGTGGCTTTTCTCTACATTATCTTTACTCCAACACAGATTGACAGAGAACCACAATCTGAAACACAACAGATTTAATGGCAGAGGAAAAGGACCTCATACCAGTATTGTCACTTCTCTTCACAACTCAATGGCTAGAATTCAACACAGGGTCTCATTGAAACACAAGGCTATCAGGAAAGGATATCTTATTATGTGTCCAGAATGAGAGAACTGAAATACATGGCCAACAGCCACTAGTTGTTATCATATCAAGATATAACTATATTTAAGTAAATTAGAAGTAACACCAAAACGGCCAAGAAAAAATAATGAGGTAAAATTGGGAACAGGGGGAGAGAGGAAGAAAATCAGGGAGATGAAGGGAAGGCGAAGTATATTTATAGAGGGAAGTTGGTGAATATTGCTTAATAAAACAGAGAACTGAGTATACAATAGGTCTATGCTGTCCAATCAAGTAGCCATTAGTCACATGTATTTAAATCTAAATTAATTAAAATGAAATAAGTTTTAAATTCAGTTCCTCAGTCACACTAGCCACATTCTAAGTGCTCAATAGCAACATGTGTTCAGTGGCTATTGCATTGAATAGCACAGGTATAAAGCATTTTGATCACCTTAGAAAGTTCTTTTCAGCAGTACTTTCATAGCACTGCTATCAATACTTGCTGTTACAAATTTTTTAAAATAAAAGGAAACAATTATTACACTTTTAAATTATAAAAATGAAAATAAAAATACACAAGAGCTACCAAAACACAACCAGATAGTAAAACATAAAAATTTTTAACAGAAATTACAATGTAAAATATAATAAAGTTAAGAATCAACATATATATCATACAAATATATTTGACTATAAAATTCAACATACTCAGATAAGGTTATTCATAGAACCTCAATTATCTGTAAACATGAGAAATAAAAATTGGCTATATTTTTAATGCTTATCATGAGCCAGGCAACTAACATAAGCATGTAGCATATATTATTTCATGTAGTTATCATTATGAGCCAACGAGGTAGGTAGTATTAATGTATTTGTTACATATATAATAAAACCAAGACACTATATTATTAAATAATTTACAAAGATTACAAAGCTTAAAAGTAGCAGAGACTAACTGTGAAGCCAGCCAGTCTGATTCCAGACCTTGTCCTCTTGACGCATTTACCAAAATTGGCCATGAACTTGAATATAAAGCAACAAATTTTATGATCAAAATAGTTCAGAGTATGTTCCCTGACCACAGTAGAATTAAGCAAGAAATCAGAAAAGACAACTAGAAAATTCCTAACTGACCGAAAATTTTAAAATACACTGTAAATAATGTATTGGTCAAAGAATAACTTTGAAGCCAAAATTTTAAAATATTTAAACTGAATTATTAAAAAGAGACCACAAATCAAAACTTGTATGATTTTTTGAGGTCAGGAGTTCAAGACCAGCCTGGCCAACTTGATAAAACCCCAACTCTATTAAAAATACAAAAATGGCCGGGCACGATGGCTCATGCCTAGAATCCCAGCACTTCGGGAGGCTGAGGTGGGTGGATTACCTGAGGTCAAGAGTTCAAGACCAGCCTAGCCAACATGGTGAAACCCTGTCTTTACTAAAAATACAAAAATTAGCCTAGCGTGGTGGCAGGCACCTGTAATCTGAGCTACTCGGGAGGCTGACACAGGAGAATCGCTTGAACCTGGGAGGCAGAGGTTGCAGTCACATGAGATCACACACTGCAATCCAGCCTCGGTGACAAGAGCAAGACTCCACTTAAACAAAACAAAAATTAGCCAGGCATGGTGGCATGCACCTGTTGTCCCAGCTACTCAGGAGGCTGAGATAGGAGAATCACTTGAACTCGGAAGGCAGAGGCTGCAGTGAGCCAAGATTGTGCCACTGCACTCCAGCTGGGCAACAGAGTGAGACTATGTCTCAAAAAAAAACAACCTTGTGTGATTCACCTAAAGCTGTGTTTAGGAGGAAATGGGAAGCCTTAAATGCAAATTTCAGAAATGAAGAAATATGAAAAATCAATTATCTAAGCTTCCACTCAATAAGTTTAAAAAATAACTGTATATCAAACATTGAAAATGTAAAGGAAAGAATAACAAAAGAGAGCTGAAATCAACAAAAGAGAAAGTCAAACTTACAGTAGAAAAAAACCAACAAAACCAGAAACTGGTTTTTTAAAATCAATTATAAAATTGGTAAACCCAGAGGGTGGAGCCAAGATGGCCGAATAGGAACAGCTCCAGTCTAGAGCTCCCAGCGTGAGCGATGCAGAAGATGGGTGATTTCTGCATTTCCAACTGAGGTACCGGGTTCATCTCACTTGGGAGTGCCGGACAGTGGGTGCAGCGCACCGTGCATGAGCCAAAGCAGGGTGAGGCATCACCTTACCTGGGAAGTGCAAGGGGTCAGGGAATTCCCTTTCCTAGTCAAAGGAAGGGATTACAAACGGCACCTGGAAAATCGGGTCACCCCCACCCTAATACTGCCCTTTTCCAACAGGATTATCAAACGGCACACCAGGAGATTATACCCCACACATGGCTCGGAGGGTCCTATGCCCACGGAGCCTCACTCATTGCTAGCACAGCAGACTGAGATCAAACTGCAAGGCGGCAGCCAGGCTAAGGGAGGGGCGCCCACCATTGCTCAGGCTTGAGTAGGTAAACAAAGCAGCGGAGAAGCTCGAACTGGGTGGAGCCCACCACAGCTCAAGGAGGCCTGCCTGCCTCTGTAGGCTCCACCTCTGGGCGCAGGGCACAGAAAAACAAAAGACAGCAATAACCTCTGCAGACTTAAATGTCCCTGGCTGACAGCTTTGAAGAGAGTAGTGGTTCTCCCAGCACGCAGCTGGAGATCTGAGAACGGACAGACTGCCTCAAGTGGGTCCCTGACCCCCGAGTAGCCTAACTGGTAGGCACCCCCCAGTAGGGACGGACTGACACCTCACACAGCTGGGTACTCCTCTGAGACAAAACTTCCAGAGGAATGATCAGGCAGCAGCATTTGCGGCTCACCAATATCCACTGTTCTGCAGCCACCAATGCTGATACCCAGGCAAACAGGGTCTGGAGTGGACCTCCAGTAAACTCCAAAAGACCTGCAGCTGAGGGTCCTGACTGTTAGAAGGAAAACTAACAAACAGAAAGGACATCCACACCAAAAACCCATCTGTACCTCACCATGATCAAAGACCAAAGGTAGATAAAACCACAAAGATGGGGAAAAAAAAGAGCAGAAAAACCGGAAACCCTAAAAATAAGAGTGCCTCTCCTCCTCCAAAGGAATGCAGCTCATCACCAGCAATGGAACAAAGCTGGATGGAGAATGACTTTGAGGAATTGAGAGAGGAAGGCTTCAGAAGATCAAACTACTCTGAGCTAAAGGAGGAAGTTCGAACCAATGGCAAAGAAGTTAAAAACTTTGAAAAAAAATTAGATGAATGGCTAACTAGAATAACCAATGCAGAGAAGTCCTGAAAAGACCTGATGGAGCTGAAAACCAAGGCACGAGAACTACGTGAAGAAAGCAGAAGCCTCAGTAACCGATGCAATCAACTGGAAGAAACGGTATCAGCGATGGAAGACAAAATGAATGAAATGAAGCACAAAGAGAAATTTAGAGAAAAAAGAATAAAAAGAAATTAACCAAGTCTCCAAGAAATATGGGACTATGTGAAAAGACCAAATCTACATCTAAATGGTGTACCTGAAAGTGACGGGGAGAATGAAACCAAGTTGGAAAACACTCTGCAGTATATTATCCAGGAGAACTTCCCCAGTCTAGCAAGCCAGGCCAACATTCAGATTCGGGAAATACAGAGAACGCCACAAAGATACTCCTCGAGAAGACCAACTCCAAGACACATAATTGTCAGATTCACCGAAGTTGAAATGAAGGAAAAAATGTTAAGGGCAGCCAGAGAGAAAGGCCGGGTTACCCACAAAGGGAAGCCCATCAGACTAACAGCGGATCTCTCGGCAGAAACTCTACAAGCCAGAAGAGAGTGGGGGCCAATATTCAACATTCTTAAAGAAAAGAATTTTCAACCCAGAATTTCATATCCAGCCAAACTAAGGTTCATAAGTGAAGGAGAAATAAAATACTTTACAGAGAAGCAAATGCTGAGAGATTTTGTCATCACAAGGCCTGCCCTAAAAGAGCTACTGAAGGAAGCACTAAACATGGAAAGGAACAACCAGTACCAGCCACTGCAAAAACATGCCAAATTGTAAAGACCATCGAGGCTAGGAAGCAACTGCATCAACTAACGAGCAAAATAACCAGCTAACATCATGACAGGATCAAATTCACACATAACAATACTAACCTTAAATGTAAATGGGCTAAATGCTCCAATTAAAAGACACAGACTTGCAAATTGGATAAAGAGTCAAGACCCACCAGTGTGCTGTATTCAGGAAACCCATCTCACGTGCAGAGACACACATAGGCTCAAAATAAAGGGATGGAGGAAGATCTACTAAGCAAATGGAAAACAAAAAAAGGCAGGGGTTGCATTCCTAGTCTCTCATAAAACAGAGTTTAAACCAACAAAGATCAAAAGAGACAAAGAAGGCCGTTACATAAAACAGAGTTTAAACCAACAAAGATCAAAAGAAACAAAGAAGGCCGTAAAGGGATCAATTCAACAAGAAGAGCTAACTATCCTAAATATATATGCACCCAATACAGGAGCACCCAGATACATAAACCAAGTCCTGAGTGACCTACAAAGAGACTTAGACTCCCACACAATAATAATGGGAGACTTTAACACCCCACTGTCAACATTAGACAGATCAATGAGACAGAAAGTTAAAAAGGATACCCAGGAACTAAACTCAGCTCTGCACCAAGCAGACCTAACAGACATCTACAGAACTCTCCACCCCAAATCAACAGAATATACATTCTTTTCAGCACCGCACCACACCTATTCCAAAACTGACCACATACTTGGAAGTAAAGCTCTCCTCAGCAAATGTAAGAGAACAGAAATTATAACAAACTGTCTCTCAGACCACAGTGCAATCAAACTAGAACTCATGATAAAGAAACTCACTCAAAACCACTCAACTACATGGAAACTGGACAACCTGCTCCTGAATGACTACTGGGTACATAACGAAATAATGGCAGAAATAAAGATGTTCTTTGAAACCAACAAGAACAAAGACACAACATACCAGAATCTCTGGGACACATTCAAAGCAGTGTGTAGAGGGAAATTTATAGCACTAAATGCCCATGAGAGAAAGCAGGAAAGATCTAAAATTGACACCCTAACATCACAATTAAAAGAACTAGAGGAGCAAGAGCAAACACATTCAAAAGCTAGCAGAAGGCAAGAAATAACTAAAATCAGAGCAGAACTGTAGGAAATAGAGACACAAAAAACCCTTCAAAAAATCAATGAATCCAGGAGCTGGTTTTTTGAAAAGATCAACAAAATTGATAGACCGCTAGCAAGGCTAACAAAGAAAAAAAGAGAGAAGAATCAAAGAGATGCAATAAAAAATGACAAAGGGGATATCACCACCAATCCCACAGAAATACAAACTACCATCAGAGAATACTATAAACACTTCTACGCAAATAAACTAGGAAATCTAGAAGAAATGGATAAATTCCTCGACAAATACACTCTCCCAAGACTAAACCAGGAAGAAGTTGAATCGCTGAATAGACCAATAACAGGCTCTGAAATTGAGGCAATAATTAATAGCTTACCAACCAAAAAAAGTCCAGGATGAGATGGATTCAGAGCCGAATTCTACCGGAGGTACAAGGAGGAGCTGGTACCATTCCTTCAGAAACTATTCCAATCAATAGAAAAAGAGGGAATCCTCACTAACTCATTTTATGAGGCCAGCATCATCCTTATACCAAAGCCTGGCAGAGACACAACAAAAAAAAAGAATTTTAGATCAATATCCTCGATGAACATTGATGCAAAAAGCCTCAATAAAATACTGGCAAACTGAATCCAGCAACACATCAAGAAGCTTATCCATCATGATCAAGTGGGCTTCATCCCTCGGATGCAAGGCTGGTTCAACATATGAAAATCAATGCACGTAATCCAGCATATAAACAGAACCAAAGACAAAAACCACGTGATTATCTCAATAGATGCAGAAAAGGCCTTTGACAAAATTCAACAACCGTTTATGCTAAAAACTCTCAATAATTTAGGTATTCATGGGACATATCTCAAAATAATAAGAGCTATCTGTGACAAACCCACAGCCAATATCATACTGCATGGGCAAAAACTGGAAGCATTCCCTTTGAAAACTGGCACAAGACAGGGATGCCCTCTCTCACCACTCCTATTCAACATAGTGTTGGAAGTCCTGGCCAGGGCAATTAGGCAGGAGAAGGAAATAAAGCGTATTCAATTGGGAAAAGAGGAAGTCAAATTGTCCCTGTTTGCAGATGACATGATTGTATAGCTAGAAAACCCCATCATCTCAGCCCAAAATCTCCTTAAGCTGATAAGCAACTTCAGCAAAGTCTCAGGACAAAAAATCAATGTGCAAAAATCACAAGCATTCTTATACACAAATAACAGACAAACAGAGAGCCAAATCATGAGTGAACTCCCATTCACAATTGCTTCAAAGAGAATAAAATACCTAGGAATCCAACTTACAAGGGATGTGAAGGACCTCTTCAAGGAGAACTACAAACCACTGCTCAAGGAAATAAAAGAGGATACAAACAAATGGAAGAACATTCCATGCTCATGGGTAGGAAGAATCAATATCATGAAAATGGCCATACTGCCCAAGATAATTTATAGATTCAATGCCATCCCCATCAAGCAACCAATGACTTTCTTCACAGAATTGGAAAAAACTACTTTAAAGTTCATATGGAACCAAAAAAGAGCCCACATTGCCAAGTCAATCCTAAGCCAAAAGAACAAAGCTGGAGGCATCATGCTACCTGACTTCAAACTATATTACAAGGCTACAGTAAACAAAACAGCATGATACCGGTACCAAAACACAGATGTAGACCAATGGAACAGAATAGAGCCCTCACAAATAATGCCACATAACTACAACTATCTGATCTTTGACAAACCTGACAAAAACAAGAAATGGGGAAAGGATTCTCTATTTAATAAATGGTCCTGGGAAAACTGGCTAGCCATATGTAGAAATCTGAAACTGGATCCCTTCCTTACACCTTATACAAAAATTAATTCAAGATGGATTAAAGACTTGCAGGTTAGACCTAAAACCATAAAAACCCTAGAAGAAAACCTAGACAATACCATTCAGGACATAGGCATGGGCAAGGACTTCATGTCCAAAACACCAAAAGCAATGGCAACAAAAGCCAAAATTGACAAATGGGATCTAATTAAACTAAAGAGCTTCTGCACAGCAAAAGAAACTACCATCAGAGTGAACAGGCAACCTACAGAACGGGAGAAAATTTTTGCAATCTACTCATCTGACAAAGGGCTAATATCTAGAATCTAAAAAGAACTCAAACAAATTTACAAGGAAAAAAGAAACAACCCCATCAAAAAGTGGGTGAAGGATATGAACAGACACTTCTCAAAAGAAGACATTTATGCAGCCAAAAGACACATGAAAAAATGCTCATCATTCCACTGGCCATCAGAGAAATGCAAATCAAAACCACAATGAGATACCATCTCACATCAGTTACAATGGCGATCATTAAAAAGTCAGGAAACAACAGGTGCTGGAGAGGACGCGGAGAAATAGGAACACTTTTACACTGTTGGTGGGACTGTAAACTAGTTCAACCATTGTGGAAGACAGTGTGGCGATTCCTCAGGGATCTAGAACTAGAAATACCATTTGACCCAGCCATCCCATTACTGGGTATATACCCAAAGGACTATAAATCATGCTGCTATAAAGACACATGCACATGTAAGTTTGCTGCACCACTATTCACAATAGCAAAGACTTGGAACCAACCCAAATGTCCAACAATGACAGACTGGATTAAGAAAATGTGGCACATATACACCATGGAATGCTATGCAGCCATAAAAAATGATGAGTTCATGTCCTTTGTAGGGACATGGATGAAACTGGAAACCATCATTCTCAGCAAACTATCACGAGGATAAAAAACCACACACCACATGTTCTCACTCATAGGTGGGAATTGAACAATGAGAACACTTGGACACAGGAAGGGGAATATCACACACTGGGGCCTGTTGTGGGGTGGGGGGAGGGGGGAAGGATAGCATTAGGAGATATACCTAATGTAAATGATGAGTTAATGGGTGCAGCACACCTACATGGCACATGTATACATATGTAACAAACCTGCACGTTGTGCACATATACCCTAAAACTTAAAGTATAATAATTTTAAAAAGTTAAAAAAAAAAATACAAAAGTAGCCGGGTGTGGTGGCATGTGCATGTTGTCCCAGCTACTCTGGAGGCTGAGGCAGGAGAATTGCTTGAACCCAGGAGGCGGAGGTTGTAGTGAGCTGAGATCACACCACTGCCCTCCAGGCCAGGTGATGGAGCAAGACTCTGTCTCAAAAAAAGAAAAACAAAAGTCTCCCAGTGACCAGGCGCAGTGGCTCATGTCTGTAATCCCAACACTTTGGGAGGTGGGCACCTGTAATCCCAGCCATCTGGGAAGCTGGGGCACAAGAATCACTTGAACCCAGGAGGCAGAGGTTGCAGTGAGCTGAGATCACACCACTGCACTCCAGCCTGGGTGACAGAGCGAGACCCTGACTCAAAAAAATAAAAAAAAAAGTCTCCCAAAGGTCTCCCAGTAAAGAAAACCCCAGCACCTCATGGTTTCACTAATGAACTCTATCAAACCTTTAAAGAAGAATTAATACTAATCCTACTCAAAATATTCTGAAATATTCAGGAGGAGAGAATATATCCAAGCTCATTCTATGAGGCCAGCATTACTCCAATACCAAAATCAGACAAAGACACATTAAGACAAAAAAAGTAAACTACAGTCCAACATCTCTGATGAATACTGATGCAAAAATCCTCAGCAAAATACTAGCAAACTGAACTCAACAATACATTAGAAAGATCATTCATCATGATCAAATGGGATTTATTCCTGGGATGCAAGAATGATTCACCATATGCAGATCAATCAATGTGACACATCATATCAACAGAATGAAGGATAAAAACCATATGATTATTTCAAGTGATGGTGAAAAGAAATTTGATAAAATTTAACATCCCTTTATGATAAAAAAGTGGGTATAGAAGGAACATACCTTAACATAACAAAAGCCATATATGACACACCCACAGCTAGTATCATACTGAGTGGAAAAAACTGAAAGCCTCTTCTCTAAGACCTGGAACATGACAAGGATGCCCACTATCACCACTGTTATTCAACATAGTACTAGAAGTCCTAGCTAAAGCCATCAGACAAAAGAAAGGAATAAAGGGCATCCAAATTGGAAAAGAAGAATTAAAATTATTCTTGTTTGCAGATGATATATTATATATAGAAAAGCCTAAATACTCCACCAAAAAACAATGAGAACTGATAAACCAATTCAGTAAAGTTGCAGAATACAAAATCAACATACAAAAATTAGTAGCATTTTTATGTGCCAACAGTGAACAATATGAAAAAGAAATTTTAGAAAGTAATCCCATTTGTAATAGTCACAAATAAAATTAAATAGCTAGGAATTAATTTAACCAAAGAAGTAAAAGATCTCTATAATGAAAACTATAAAACACTGTTGAAAACAAACAGAAGAGGGAAAGAAAAATATTCCATATTCATGGATTAGAGGAATACATATTGCTTAAATGTCTATACTACCCAAAGCAATCTACAGATTCAATTTAACCTCTATCAAAATACCAATTACATTCTTCACAGAAATAGAAAAAACAATCCTAAAATTTATGTGGAACTGCAAAAGACCCAGAATACCCTGAGCTATCATAAGCAAAAAGAAAAAAACTGGAGGAGTCACATTACTTGACTTCAAATTATTCTACAGAACCATAGCAACCAAAACAGCACGGTACTGGCATAAAATCAGGCACACAGACCAATGGAACAGAATAGAGAACCCAGAAATAAATCCACACACCTACAGTGAACTCGTTTTCAACAAAGAGGCCAAGAATATACAGTAGGGAAAAGATATTCTCTTCAATAAATGATGATGGGGAAACTGAATATTCATATGCAGGAGAATGAAACTAGACCCCTATCTCTCATCATATAAAAATCAAATAAAAATAGATTAAAGACTTAAACCTACGACCTCAAACTATGAAATAACTACAAGAAAACATTAGGGAAACTCTCCAGGACATTGTTGTGGACAAATATTTCTTGAGTAATACCCTACAAGCACAGGCAACCAAGACAAAAATGGACAAATGGGAGCACAACGAGTTCAAAAGCTTCACACAATGAGGGACATAATCAACAAAGTGAACAAACAACCCACAAATAGGAGAAAATATTTGCAAACTACTCATCTGACAAGAGATTAAAAAACAGAATGTATAAGAAGCTCAAACAACTCTACAGGAAAAAATGTAATAACCCAATCAAAAAATGGGCAAAAGATTTGAATAGGCATTTCTCAAAAGAAGACATACGAATAGGAAACAGGCATATGAAAAGGCGCTCAACATCATTGATCATCAGAGAAATGCAAACCAAAACTACAATGAGATATCATCTCATGCTGGTTAAAACGGCTTATATCCAAGAGACAGGCAATAAGAAATGATGATGAAGATGTAGATAAACGGGAATCTTCACACACTGTTTTTGGAAATGTAAATTAGTACAACCACTATGGAGAACAGTTTGAAGTTTCCTCAGAAAAACTAAAAATTGAGCTACCATATGATCCAGTAATCCCATGGCTGGGTATATATTGAAAAGATAGAAAATCAGTATATCAAAGTGGTATCTGCACTCCCATGTTTGTTGCAGCACTGTTCACAATAGTCAAGATTTAGAAGCAATCTAAGTGTTCACCAACAAGTGAGTGAATAAACAAAAGGTGGTGCTTATACACAATGGAGTACTATTCAGTCAAAAAAGAATGAGATCCAGCCATTTGCAACAACATGGATGGTAATGGAGATCATTACATTAAGTGAAATAAGCCAGGCACAGAAAGATAAACATCACATGTTCTCATTTGTTCATGGGATCTAAAAATCAAAACAATTGAATTCATGGAAATAGAGTAGAAGGATGGTTACCAGAGGCCAGAAAGGATACTAAGGGGCTGGGTGGGTGGAGTGGGTATGGTTAAGGGGTACAAAAAATAGTTCAAAAATAAGACCTACTATTTAATAGCACAACCATGACTATAGTCAATAAAAACAGTACATGTTTAATAGCTAAAAGATTGTAATTGAATTGTTTGTAACGTAAAGGATAAATGGATGGATACTCCATTCTCCATGATATGATTATTTCATATTGCATGCCTCTATCAAAACATCTCATGTACGCCATAAATATACACATGTACGATGTACCCACAAAAATTAAAAATTAAAAAAAATTTCAAAGAATCCTTGAAGAAAACCTAGGAAACACCATTCTGAACATCAGTCTTGGGAAAGAATTTATGACTAAGTCTTCAAAAGTAATTGCGGCAGAAACCAAAGTTTACAAGTGAGCCTTAATTAAACTAAGGGGCTTCTTCATAGCAAAAGAAACTATCAACAGCATAAATGGACAACCTACAGAATGGCAGAAAACATTAACAAACCATACATCCAACAAAGGTCAAATATCCAGAATCTACAAGGAACTTAATTCAACAGGCAAAAACCAAATAACCACATTGAAAAGTGGGCAAAAGACACGAACAGACACTTCTCAAAAGAAGACATCCAAGCAACCAACATATTTTTTAAAAAAAGATTTAACACCACTAATCATCAGAGACATGCCAATCAAAACCACAATGAGGTACCATCTCACACTAGTCAGAATGGCTATTACTAAAAAGACAAGAAATAACAGATGTTGGCAAGGATGCAGAGAAAAGAGAACACTTATACACCATTGAGGGGAATACAAGGTAGTTTAACCCCTACAGAAAACAGTATGGAGATTTCTCAAAGAACTAAAAACAGAACTGCCATTCATCCCACCAATCCCACCACTGGGTATTTATCCAAAGGAAAAGAAATTGTTTTGTCAAGAAGACACCTGGGCTCATATGTTTACTGCAGCACTATTTACAATAGCAAAGTCATGGAATCAACTTAAGTCTCCACAAATGGTTGATTAGATAAAGAAAATGTGCTACATATATCCCATGGAATACCATGCAACCAGAAAACAGAATAAAACCATGTCTTCACAGCAACACAGATGGAGCTGGAGGCCATTATCCTGAATAAAACAACTGAGAAACAGAAAGTATTGAAGCATCTTACAATCATATTTTGAGCAAAAACAAGACATACTCAAATGAGAATATACTGTATGATCCCAAAATATATAAAGAATATCTTCAAATCAACATGAAAAAGGAAGACAATTCACTAGAAAAAATGACCAGAAGACTTGTGTAGGCAATACATAAAAGAGGATATCCAAATGGTCATCAGAGAAATGCAAATTAAATGCATCAGAAGGGTAAAAATTAAAATGATAGAAAATACCAAATGTTGGCTTTGGTAAGGAGGAATTGGTATTCTCATACATGGACTGATGGGAGTATAAGTTGGTACAACTACTGTTCAGATGCATCTACCAAAGGTAATGTATGTATGTACAGCCTGCACCCTACAACTTCATTCTGTGGTATATACACTCTAGACATATATATGTAGGGTCAACAAAAGATACAAACCAGAATATGCATAACAGCACTATTTGTAATACCATCAATCTGGAAATGTTCATAATACCAAAATGTCCACCATCAAAAGAATAGATATATTAATTATAGTATTACATATAATGACATATCATACAATGAGAATGAATTAGTTACACTTACCCATAATATAAATGAATCTCAAAACATAGCATGAATAAAATAAGTAAGGCACTAAAGAGTACATATCATATAAATCTATTTACAAAAAGGCAAAAGAAGGTGAAACTAATCTATGGTATTAGAAGTCAGAATAAAATTATCCTTGATGGCAGGGAAAGAGGATTGGATAGTAACTTAAAGGGGCATAAGGGCACTTCTGGGTTTTGGGCAACGTTTTGATTTTTAATCTAGATGCTAGTTCCATCTGTATAAAATAAAACTTGTGAAGATTTATTAAAATGTACATTTATGAATTTTGCAATTTTCATTATTTTATCCTTCAATAAATGGTCTACATAAAAATACAAGGAGATAACTAAAAACTACAGTATTGGGAAGGAGGAAATTTATTCTAAAGGATTCTTAAGTCTTTTGATTTTAAAGAAGGTTATATTACCAACCAATATTATACTAAGTCAAGATTGCATGTTATATTTGCTAAAGCTGAACATCAAATCAATAACATTAAATCAAAAGATTACTAAACAAACTTACACTACAACATGACCAGGGTCACCATATCTCCTCTTGTGCCCCAAGTCAATGCAACTTTGAACATTTCTCCCATATTATTTCCTCCCTAGCAAAAACAACTTCATCCTCATACATATATCACTACATCACATTGTACTTTGTAATTCAATTTTACTTGTCAATTACATTTAAATCAATCTAGGAAAATATTTAAACTTTATCCCTCACTTTTGCATGCTGATATCTGAGGATATGTCATGATCTTTGGGAATAAGATAATCATGTGGGAAAAGTGCTATTTTTTTCACTATCAACAGAACTACTAAGTGACTATTGAATGAGTGGGGTAGCATATACAGCATGCACACCCTGGACAAAGGGATGATTCACATCCAGAACAGAACAGGGTGGGACAACATGAAATTTCATCACATTACTCAGAATGGTATGCAACGTCAAACTTATGAATTGCTTATTTCTGGGACTTTCCATTTAATATATCTAGACCATGGTGGACCACAGGTAACTGAAACCATGGAAAGCGGAACTGTAGATAAAAGGAGACTACTGTATTTCAGTTAAAATGACAATTCCTAAACCAGCATAGCACAGAACACAGGACCTTAACTAGCATTCTAAACTTTAAGTAAAATTTTAGAGGAAAAAAAATATATGGTTACAAGGATGGGTCATCTCTACTATTACACTCATCACCATTGAAAGTTTCTTATAAGATGGTTTTATAATTTTCAGATTTGCAAAAAAAGAGGTAAAATTTCTACAAATATAATTACATAAATTTTCCTACCATAGTGTCAGGTATTAAGCTAGATATTTAATGTAATTCTCATATGTAAGTTAATTCTCCCAAAGACTGAAAATTAGGAATCATTATAATAGTCTTAAAGATACAGAAACTGAGGTTCAGTGGATTTAAATTAGTTTCTCAAGGTCAAACATCTGGTAATTAGCAGACTGAGGACTCAAACCCAAGGTCTGTTTGTATCCAATATCTTCACCTTTGTAAACTATATTATGTAACTGCCTATAGTCCCTCAGCAAAGACACACACATGATTCATTTTAGAAATTAATACATCAGTGGCTTATTAGTGACAGGAAGGCTGAAATATAGAAAGTGATGGAAGAAACAATCCTGTGTCCTTCAAATAACTGCCTAGGTATGCAGAAAGCTGGTCCCTGTAAGGGGTTAAAATATAAAGCCTAGGTAAAGTAAATTAAAAGGGGCTGTATGAATCTACTGCAGTTAGATTTGGAGAAAGATGCATTTATTATTCTGTACACCTTGGCATGTGTGATTGATGTCAATTTGAGGCTTTATAGAGTAAAAAGTGCTGACAAACAAGTGAATCACTTTATTAATGTGCTATAAAAGGATAAATGAGGCTTGAGAAACTTTGTTTGCCCTAGACTCAGCACATTGGAAAGGCTGGCAAAGGTAAACGCCTCCTTAGGATGATCCATTGCAACTCCTTCTCAGTTTTTCATATGCAATCTTTCCCTTAGATTTCTTAGAGTTATTTATTCTCTATATGCACAACTTCAAAATACTTGGTCTTACTCTGACCCATCTCAAAATACTTGACTATCGCATTCATTTATCTAGTCCACAAACCTTCCACTAATCTCTTATCTAAAGTCTGCTCTCCTAAGAGAAGGACTCGTCAGGTGTCTTTCTCAGGATTCTAGTTTCTTCAAATATTTGAGAAATGTACATCTCTTAGGAGGAACAAATCAATGCTGTCACAGTGGGATTTATGAGCCCACCCCACTCTCCAACACCATGCTCCTGTGAAGCTTCTTTGCAGCACTAGAAATTCATTCCTAGATGTCTTAGAGATTTTATTCTTCAAGAGATCTTTCTCAAAACACAAATATCTAAAATGATTATTAAATAAAATGTATCTGGGAAGAGCTAAGAAAAAGAGCAAAACCGTAGTAGGAGTTCTAGAATGCAAAAGCTACCTACACATTTTCCTAGACTAACAACAAATGTCCTCCCTAAGCCTCTAAAGTGCTTGTCTGTAAATCTGTCCAAATTTCTCAGGTTCCAGATCGGCCTTTCTTTTTTAAAAAAAGTAAACTTGTTCCTTTAGGCCAGGAGAAATTGTACCCATTAATAGGAGATGTTCCAGAGAGAGGTAGGTATACATTTAAGACACACATGGAAAAATAAACCGTAAAAACCCCATCCCACTATGCTATCTAGGACCTCAGGACATTACCATACAAATTAGAAAAAGGCACCCTTTCTGGATGGAGTGCTCATGACTCAGCAAAAAAAAGAAACAGCTGAATTTCAGCCCCTACCCTCATCCTTACTAGGAGCAATTGTGCAGGATGCACAGAAACTGCCCAACCATATGAGAGGTTCTCTAGGACTACTGTCTCAGTTTGCAAAAGGTTGTTCACAGGCTCGACTGTGCTTCTTCAAATTGTCTTAATTAAAAGAAAATTCTAATATTTCAAGTTAAATTTTAGTGCAAATATCTGAAAAGTCGACACTTGTTTGATATTTCCCCAAGATGTATCTTGAAATTCACTGAGGAAATTGATGTCTTTTATCACTATATAAGCATTTTGGTTTCATCTGCCCTCTGCTGTGTACTTCGTACCCTTCATACCAATACACATACACATACACACAGACCTAGACACACCCATGTCCCTCACCAGCCACACCCATACCTATACACACAGACACACACAACCAGGCAAACACACACTCACCCATACACCTATACACGTTCACCCAACCACACACAATCATACATACAAACAACCACATGCACCCAAAAACACACCACAAATACCCACACCCATACATACCCACACTCAGTCACACACACACACACATGCTTATCCATACAACCATAAACATATACACACACACACCCTACACACACACAGAAATGCACACTTATATAGCCATATACAAATTCTTTCTCCAATCACTGATGCCTTCTCTTACTAACACTGCACAATCACACACCAAACTCTTCATTGACCATGTTTCCTGATTGAACATGTTTTCTGATTTCTCCAAGACTATCCTCATGTCTGAGATACATCTCACTTTAACACATCTCAAAATACTTGGCTAATTATCACATTCATTTATCTACCCCACAAACCTTCCACTAACCCATTATCCAAAGTCTGCATGGTATTCTGGTTTTTAAACTTTGTTTATGAATCAGATTTTATTTGTTCAACCAAATAATTTAGAATGCCTTTGGAAATATTTGTAAATAGCAAATATTTCTGGATCTGAAAATGTTCCAAAAATGAAACATTGACCAATCAATTTCACCTAAGCATTGACCAGCCTATACGTTTACAAATTGTATCCCTATTCAAAATAACATAGAGACTGCTGAGGTTTGAAGGCAGCTTATGTGATACTCTCTTCCCTGTCAGATACAAGCTAACTGAAAGCAAAAATGTTAGGCAGAGGAGATTAAAAATATCAGATTTATTATAGATTAAACTAGATTGGAATAGATGGCTTTGGAGAAAAAAAGATGTTCCTAAAACTCCCTTGTCCAGAATTAGATACTTACCCTTCAGTCACTATCAGCACTGGACAATGGAAGTCCTTTCCCCATATAACCAAGAGCACATCAGATCTCTCTACAGAGAGAAGAATCACAAAGACAAAAGGGAAATAATATGCCAAGCATGCTCTGTTTCTTGTCCCAAACTCACCAATGAGGTTAGTCCATTCTTCTCTCATGAGGAAAAGGAAGGAGCACAGAGGAGAAAGATGTCCTACCTGGCAAGAGACATCAGAAGAATGGAATAAGTATTTACCCCAACACTTCTCAGCTTTTCTTTCATCTCTACCTTTTAGGCTCAACCAATATTTTAGGAATAACCAGGTATGGAGACATCGCCCTCCAGAGAGATCAGCAGTCTATCAAAATTTTCTGCTCTCACCATTTGTTTTTTATCCCCGGACCACAATTTCAGCAGTATAAAGTTTTCTCCCAGAAGACACTAAAATACGCTAAAACCATATACTAACTAAATTAATCCCAGAACTACTTAGGAATTAATACTAAAAATTTATTCTCTATTCTATTTCTTAGGCCAAATTATTTTTCAGTCTTGTCCAACATAGTATTTATTGCTGTTTTCCAGTAAAATAAAAAGGCATCATAAAGATATTTTGGTAATAATACAATAAATTGAGATGCCCAAATTTAAATATGAATCTTTTGAAATCAAATTATCAAAACTCAAATATAAAGAGAACATTTTGAAACAAGAGAAAAGTGACTAATACAAGAGAACCTCCATAAGGTTATTAGTGGGTTTCTCAGCAGAACCTTGGCATTTCAAGAGAGAGTAGGATGATATATTCAAAGTACTGAAAGGAAAAAGTGCCAACTGAGCATATTATAAGTGACAAAGCTGTCCTTGAGAAATGAAGGAGAGACAGAGATTTTCACAGACAAACAAAGGCTGAAAGAGTTCATCACCACTAAGACCTGCCTTGCAAGGAATGCAAAAGGGGGTTCTCTTCAAGTTGAAATGAAAGAACACTAATTAATAACATGAAAACATATAAAAGTATATAACCCACTAATAAATGTAAATACATAGTCAAATTCAGAGTACTCTAATACAGTAATGGTGATGCACAACAGATTTTTAAAATCTAGTGTAAAAGTTGAAAGACAAAGTATTAACAATAATCATAGCTACAATAATTTGTTAATGGATGCACAATATAAAACGATGTAAATTGTGACAGCAATGACATAAAATGTGGGAAGAGGGGAAGTAAAAGTGTAGAGTTTTTGTACACAGTTAAGTTGTTATCAGCATGAAATAGACTGGTATAAGATTGTGTAAGCTTCATGGTAACCACAAAGACAAAACTTCTAGTAGATACACAAAGGATAAAGAAAACGAAATCAAAGCATACCACTACAAAACTCATCAAATGACAAAGGAAGACAACAAAAATGGAAGAAGAGGAACAGAAGAAGTAGTAACCATTGAGAAAAAAAATAAACAAAATTGCAATAAGAAGTTCTTACCTACCAATAATTACTTTAAATGTAAATGGATTAAATTTTTCACTCGAAAGGCATAGTGGCTAAATGGATTTAAAAAAAAAAAAAGACCAAATATATGCTGCCTACACTAGATTCACTTTAGCTTTAAGGACACACATAGGCTGAGAGTAAAGAGATGGAAAATGATTATATATATATATATATATATATATATATAAATGTATATATATATAATGATTATATATATAAATGTATATATATAATGATTATATATATAAATGTATATATATAATGATTATATATATAAATGTATATATAATGATTATATATATATAAATGTGTATATATATAATGATTATATATATATTTTAATGTTGGACCACATGCATTGGATATAAATTGGAACATATAAATATATGAAGCACATATTAACACTGAAACATATAAATATATACATTGGAACATATAACTATATAAAGTAAATATTATATTGTATATATAACATTGGAGCATATAAATATATAAAGCATTGGAAATATAAATATGCAAATCAACATTGGACTATATAAAGCAAATATTAACAGAACTGAAGGGAGAAATTGGTAGCAATATACTGATAGCAGAAGACTCCAATATCCACTTTCAACAATGGATAGATCATCCAGACAGAAAATTAATATGGAAACATTGGATTTGAATAACCTATAAACCAAGTGAATCTAATAGACATATAGAACATTTCACCAAACAGCAACGGAATAAACATTCTTCTCAAGTGCACATGGAAAATTTTCCAAGATAGATCATATTTACATAGTCATAAGCCACAAAACAAGTCTTAACAAACTTAAGAAGACTGAAATCATATCAAGTATCCTTTTGGACCCCAATAGTATGAAATCAATAATGGGAGGGAAAATTAAAATTCACAAAAATATAAAAATTTTAAATCACACTCTTGAACAATTTGCATTGATATATACTAACAATGAACTATCTGAAAAAGTAATTAAGATGACTATTCCATTTATAATAGCTTCAAAAAGAATAAAATATTAGGAGTAAACTGAACCAGGGGTCCACTTTCAGTTCACTGAAAACTACAAAACATTGATGAAACAAATTTAAGAAGACACAAATAAATGGAAAGATTTCCTGGGTTCACAGGTTGGAAGAATAAATGTTGTTAAAATGGCCCTACTACCCAATGTGCTCTACTGATTCAATGTAATCCCTATCAATAGAAAAAAATCCTAACATTTATATGAGACCACAAAAGTCCCCAACAGCAAAAGCAATCGTGAGCAAAAAGAACAAAGCTACAGGTATCACACTTCCTGATTTTTAAATATATTACAAAGCTATAGTAAACAAAACAGTAGGATACTGGCATAAAAATAGACATATACACCAATAAAACAGAATACAGAGAACTGAAGTAAATCTATACATATATGGTCAGCTGATCTTTGATAAAAGTGCCAAGAACATACAATGGGGAAAGGACAGTGTCTTCAGTAAATGGTGCTGGAAAACTGGATATATACATGTGATAGATACTGAGTGATCTCCCTTATATATGGAGTCTAAAAGCAGAGAGTAGAATGGTGGTTGCCAGAGGCTGGTGGGTTGGGGGAACTGGGGAGACGTTGGTCAAAGGAGATAAAATTTCCATTATACAAAATGAATACATCTGGAGATCTAATGTATAGCATGGTGACCACAGTTAATAATACTGCATTGTATACTTAAAATGAGCTAAGAGAGTAGATCTTAAGTGTTCTCACTACAAAAAAAAGTTAATTACGTAAGATGATAAATATGTTCATTAGCTTGATTGTGGTAATCATTTCCCAATGTGTACACACATCAAAACACCATGTTTTGCACCTTAAAAATATACAGTTGTTATTTGTAAATTATGCCTCAATAAGGCTGGGGGAAATAAATCAGGGGTGAGGCCATAAGCAATGAACAGGAAATATCCCATTTGACTGGCATTAGAAGAAGATAGTGTCACCTGACAATGGTTTAAATTTGCCACTCTCACTTCCAGGCTGTAGTAATTTCTGATGCTAGACCCTCAAATTCTCCCTCTACCTGGGCCAAAGCAACTAGTAACTTTCCAGACAGTGGTTGATCTGTCAGCCTGGGCCCCAGAGTGAGGAAAATGTGGAGCAGAAATGCCAGCCAGGACAAAATAAACACACAGTAACAACATGAAATAAATATTTGTTACTACATTTTAATCCACTGAGATTTGGAAGTTAACATTATTGAAACAACCTAGGTCATGCTGGTTGCGCAATCTCTCATTCTCCAATTATCTTCCTCCTCCTATGTTCCCTCATAAAAGGTGCTCCCAGGCATGCAGGCCTATCATCTTTATTACATTTTTCCCTCCTCCCCATGTCTCTCATCAATCACTAGATTCTATTGATAAATCTTCCAAATTGGTTCTGACAACACTGCGCTGTCTTTTTCATTTCCAAAGTAACTTTCACCATGGTTCTCATCATCTATCACCAATAATGAAGCTATATTTATATCTGGTCTCTAATCTTCAATCACTTATTGTGCAGCCAACATATCCACCTTACTTCAGCACATTTAACATGCATCGTACACAATGGACATTAAGTCATTCAACTACTTGGAACTTTCAGTGTTTTGTTACTGCTAATTAAAAATTCAAAATTTTTAGTTAGAGAATCAAGGCTTTCTATACCATATTCCCAAACTAACTGCTCAGCTATAATTAGTACTCAAATTTATATCTTTTATATATCAGGGGGCTTTTCAATGGAGGCTCTTGAGCTTTTGGAAGAATGTGAATATTGATCACAATCAGTTTTTTAAAAGACTCCACAAATTCAAAGCTCTATAAATGTGCCTACATATTACATGTGAAACTGATAGTATCCAACCATCCATAGAAAAGGCTTCAAAGCTGTGTCCTTTAAGACTCAGACAAAATAAGAAGATGATTCTCCTTGTTAAATCATGACACAAAGCAGCTATAGCAAAGCTCAAACTTAGGAAGTTAATGTTCTATCTTGACATATCTCAACCTCACTGATTTTCTTCACAAGAACTGTCAGTATTTTAAAATATCTTCACTCTGTTTATCAGATTTTCTAGAACTATAACAGTGGCAACTCATTATCAGAGGTGGAGAACTCAGACCTTTCTCTCATTAATCAGTCAACTCAACATGTATTTCATAAGCACATAACACACGCAAGGGACCATGTCTTTTCATATTTGTATCCAAAGCAAGTAGCATCTTGCAAAGAATGACCGTATTAGTCTGTTCTCATGCTGCTGATAAAGACATACCTGAGACTAGGCAATTTACAAAGGAATTAGGCTTAATGGAGAACTCATACCTACACATGACTGGAGAAGCCTCACAATCAAGGCAGAAGGCAAGGAGGAGCAAGTCACATTTTGGATGGATGGCAGCAAGGCAAAAAGAGCTTGTGCATAGAAACTCCCATTTTTAAAACCATCAGATCTCATGAGACTCATTCACTGTCATGAGAACAGCGCAGGAAAATCTGCCCCCATAATTCAATCACTTCCCACTGGGTTCCTCCCATGACATGTGGGAATTGTGGGAGTTAGAATTCAAGATGAGATTTGGTTGGGGACACAGCTAAACCATATCAATGACCAATAAATAAATTCTGATTAATTGCTAAGCTCTGGGTAACACAAGTTGAATTACTCATAGGCCCTACACACAGAGACTCAAATATTTGGGAGAAACAGTAAAAACTACCCACAATGCAAGTCAAAATGGAAATACAAGCATTAAAAATGGAAATACAAGCATTATAAGAGCCTGGAACAAAAAATATATATATATTCTAATTGTGAGAATCCAGGAAAGTTTAAAAGAGAATGTTGCATTTGAGCAATGCCTTCAATATTTTTTTAACTGTAAAAAAATATAGAGAAAGCATTGCAAGTTGAGAGATCAGTATAGCCATATAAGGAAATCTGGAATTATCTAACATTATTAGGAAATAGAAAATATGACAGAATACTAGGTCAGAATACACACAGTGGAGTAGTGGGAGAATTGGCTGAAGAGGTAACCTGAGGTGCTAGCATAAACTGCTTTGAATGCCAAACACTTTTGAATTTAATTTTTTAAGCAACTGAACACAGAGCATAGGATAGTAAAAATAGTCTAATATATTTTAGGGAGATAGTTCTGATGGCAGTATCCATTATTGATAATATTTTGAAAGTTATCTCACAGGAGGCTAAATTTTCCTAATGACAATATGTTCACTGTTCATTCTTTCAAGGGCACCTGAATATTTTTCAGAACATTTTGCTCTCCTAGAATGTATCTGGATGGCATTGTAAGGGTGAGCACTTAAGTGCATTTTAATCACATAGTCCTATGTTGCATGCAATTTGGTTCACTTTGTGTAAAATATTTTATGAGAGTTGATAAGAGGCAGATAATCTCACCTCTATTCAACAGGTCTGAATCATTTAAAATGATTAAGGATTAAGAAGTCATTCAATTGTTTCAGTGGATTAAATAGTTCAAGGATGATAGTTACTGCTTTATCAACAGTTTTCCCATTAATCTGTTGTTCCTATGCTCAGCAATGTTCTCTCAAGGCCAAAACCATCTCTTTTGGGTTGGTGAATATAAGCGCCCTCCATTTTTGGCAGCTTTGATCTCAAGCTTCACTGTGATGAGCCCAGCTGTTCACAAAGCTATTTTCATGCTTGCCAGCTTAATATCCTGCAGCACAGCAGTGCAGTGAAGTGAAGAAGGTCCCTTTCTGATTACAGGTATGCAACAAGAGTTAATTATTAGAAATGCTTTCTGATAATACTCAACTGAAATAACAATCTCAAATGATGAAATTTATGAGCAAAAGCTACATTTCTTTCAACATATCTGCAGACAGAGAACAGAGAGTGGTAGCAGGGAAGAATAATTTCTTGTAGTTTCCTAGAGGTGGATATCATAAATCACAGGAAACATTAATTATCCTCTAGCTCCATGAGAATATGGGTCAAGACTCCACAAAGATACAATGAACCAAAAGCCTCAAACCTCATCAGTTTTTTCCGCTTTTATGACTTTTCTAAAAGGTAAGTACAATGTCAAAAAGAATACACCATTTTATAAAAACCACATATGATCTGATTGAGAAAGCTGCATAAAACAATTCAAAATCTCTCAATCAATGTGACATTTAACTTAGCAGATATGGTAGAGAAGAGTAATTAATTGCTTAATCATTTGCAAAAGGACATGTACTTGGATGGAAGAATTTTTGGCAACATTTAAGTAAAAGACACATTAAAAATGGCTGTTCCAATGCCTTTTCCTCTCAAGGAGCAAGACTGCCATTTTAACACCACATTTACTTATTATGATCACATCTAATTCTGCTCTTGTATATGTAAACAAAAGCATTTCTTAGCCTTACTATTTTTAGATTCATGGAAATTTCTTTAGAAAGGACATTTTCAAATAACTTTCAAAAGTTCACCATTATCATAAAGATAACATCTGACTATTAGGTACATAGTAGCCTTACCTGCTTCCATTACTACCATAGACACGCTTTGCCCAGTATTGATTTAATTGATTAAATTCTCAGTGATAGGGACAATGAAGTCCAGGCTGAGGTGGTCTCAGATGGAGATGAGGAACTTGTTGGGAATTGGAGCAAAGGTCTCTCTTGCTATGCTTTAGCAAAGAGACTGGTGGCATTTTGACCCTGCCATAGAGAACTGTGGAACTTTGAACTCAAGAAAGAAGATATAGGGTAATCTGGCAGAAGAAATTTCTTAGTGACAAAGCACAGAGCATTCAAAAGGAAGCAAAGCATAAACGTTTGAAAAATTTGCAGCCTGATGATGCAATATGAAAGAAAAGCCCATTTTCTGGGGAGAAATTCCAGCTGGCTGCAGAAATTTGTATAACTAACAAGGAGTGAAATATTAATCAGCAAGACAGTAAGGAAAATGTCTCCAGGGCATGTCAGAGACCTTCACAGCAGCCCCTCCCATCACAAGCCAGGAGGCCCAGGAGGGAAAATGGTTTTGTGGGCCAGACCCAGGGCCCCACTGCTCTATGCAGCCTCGGGACACAGTGCCCTGTGTTCCATGTGCTTCAACTCCAGCCATGGCTAAAAGGGGCCAAGGTACAGCTTGGGCCATTGCTTCAGAGAGCGAAAGCCCCAAGCCTTGGCAGCTTTCATGTGGTCTTCTGTGGGTGCACAGAAGTCGAGAATTGAGGTTTGGGAACCTCTGCCTAGATTTCAGAGGATGTATGGAAATTCCTGGATGTCCAGGCAGATGTTTGCTGCAGGGGTGGAACCCTCATGGAGAACCTCTGCTACAGCAGTGCAGAAGGGAAATGTGGGGTTGGAGCCCCCACAAGAGTCCCCACTGGGGACTCTCACTAGACCACTCACAGACCACTCACTAGAGGGTCTGTGAAAAGAGGGTCACCATCCTCCAGACCCCAGAATGGTACATCCATCAACAGCTTGCACCTTGCAACTGGAAAAGCCACAGGCACTCAATGCCAGCCTGTGAAAACAGCCAGGAGTGGGGCTGTACCCTACAAAGCCACAGGGACAGAGCTGCCCAAGGTTGTGGGAGCCTACCTCTTGCATCAGTGTGACCGGGATGTAAGACATGGAATCAAAAGAGATCATTTTGGAACTTTAAGTTTTACTGACTGCCCTGTTGGATTTCAGACTTGCAGGGGGCTTGTAGCCCCTTTGTTTGGGCTACTTTCTCCCATTTGGAATGGTCATATTTACCCAATGCCTGTACACCCATTGTATCTAGGAAGTAACTAACTTGCTTTTGATTTTACAGGCTCATACATGAAAGGTTCTTGTCTTTTCTCAGATGAGACTTTGGACTTGGACTTTTTGGTTAATGCTGAAATGAGTTAAGACTTTGGGGACTGTTGGAAGGGCATGATTGTGTTTTGAAATGTGAGGACATGAGATTTGGGAGGGGCCAGGGATGGAATGACATGGTTTGGTTCTGTGTCCCCACCCAAATCTCACCTTGAATTGTAATGATTCCCATGTGTCAAGGGCAGGACCAGGTTGAGGTAACTGGACCTTGGGGGCAGTTTCCCTCCTGCTGTTCTCATGATAATGAGTAAGCCTCATGAGATCTGATGGTTTTATAAGTGTCTGGCATTTCCCCTGTTGGCTCTCATTCTCTCTTCTGCTGCCCTGTGTACAGGCACATTCCACCATGATTGTACGTTTCCTAAGGCCCCCCAGTCATGAAAAACTGTGAGTCAATTAAACCTCTTTTCTCTAAAAATTACCTAGTCTTAGGTATTTCTTCATAGCAGTGTAAGAATGAACTAATATATAACCAACATCAGATGTCTCTACCACTCAATTCTAAAAAATGTTTAAGGTACAAATAATGCCAGTTTTTAAAACAATTTTTGAGATAATAGAAAAATACAAAAAAACTCCCAACTTATTTTACAGGGCCACCATAAAGGAAATTATAAGAAAGGAAATCCTATGGCCAAGTTCATTTCTAAATGTAAACGCAAAATACATATAACTTTTTTCTTTTTGAGACAGAGTCTCACACTGTCACCCAGGCTGGAGTGCAGTGTCATGAACATGGCTCATTGCAGCCTTGACCTCCTAGGCTCAAGCAGTCCTCCCACTTCAACCTCCCAAGTAGCTGGGACTAGGCACACACCACCATGCCTGGTTAATTTTTTAATTAATTAATTTTTTTTTTTTTGGTAGAGATGGAGTCTCACCGTGTTGCTCAAGCTGATCTCAAACTCCTGGGCTCAAGTAATCCTCCTTCCTCAGCCTCCTAAAGTGCTTAGATTAGAGTCATGAGCCACTGCACCAGGCAAAGCATAAAAATTGAATCCAGAAATAAATGAAGAGATCAATGCCTGACTGTACCTGACATACTTTGTTGCTCTTTCAGGTCCACCCTGCAAAGAAGCTTCAAGGAGCCAATATCCTGAAGACATGCAACCCACAAGGGATGATTTCCCCAGGTACTTGTACTATATATCTGTAGCCATGATGAATCTACAGTAGTCAGAACCTACATTCACTGCAAAGCCTTTAGAGATCCCCATATAAACCAAACAAATACTCTCTGCCTATCAAATTGCAATCTAAAATTTCCCAAGAATTTCCAGATATTCAGAAGAAAACTCAAAAGCCTAGTGGGGGTTGCAGGGGTGAGAACTGCTAAACCTAAATTACAATAAAATTAGTATCATAATCTCTTAGACTTAGTAGAGAAAAACAGAAAAAAACTTTAAATAAATATAATTAACATCCTCAGAGAGACTTTCTTATCCATTATAAAAGAAATATGCTTCTCTGAAATAAATTATTTTGGGGCTTAGAGATTAAACATAATATATATGTATATATAACATATAATTTTAATACATATTTAATATATATTCAGTTTATTTATATATCTAAAACATTAAATGTATGTAGATGCATACACATACATATATGTTCATAATAAATGCTGAAATTTTAAAATGCACACAAAATAACAACCTGGAAATAAGAAGAGACCCAGATAAAATATGAATTAGTGAGATGGAAGATTAAACAAAATGATTATCAAAGAAGAAGTGCAAAATGGCAAAGAAATGGAAAATATGTACAAAAGTTGACTGGCATAGATATATACAAATATGCTTATTGTATCATTGTTTTAATAGTGAAACATTGAAAATATTCTAGATGTTATTTACTTATTGAATTCTTAAATAATTTATGGTGCATCCATATTTATTATCTATTACATATAACATTAAAATATGGCGCATCCATATTTATTAACTATTACATACATAACAATAGTTGCATTCCATTGTAACAATTTTAAGTAAGCAGTGGCTTAAACAAATGGCTAGAATTACGTCAAATTGAGGCAGTATAGATAGTCAAGGAAGTGACCATGTTCTCGGGATGCAGCAACCATCATGACCATACAGTCAACACAACAAGCCTCAACATGTGCATTGTAACTGAGTATTCAAGCAAAGCTATCTTCAGTAGATTTCCCCTGTAGAGAACATGCACACTTTGATTTTACCTGTCCTCAAACTGACCCTTTACTCATTTTAATAGTAAAAAACACACCCCTGGATGGATATTTAAGATGCTAATGAGACGTGAAACATATGAACAAACATGTAACAGCTACTGCACGTGTGCAACAAGAAGACCACCCAGAATATGCTTACTAGTAACACTTCTTTCCACTTCCTTATGAATAATCATGTAAGACTGCCATAAAAGGAGTCACCCAGGTGCCAGTCTTTGCTGTCTCATCCTTATGAACAGCACACCCTGAATCCTCTCTCTTCTCTCAGGGTGTAGTGTCTATTCTGCACCTAACTTCCAAATATTATTTTTATTTTGCAATAAATTACTCTATGCTGTATCTCCTTTGCTGTGTGTCTTTGCTTTGTGTGTTGTGTCTTTGCTGTGTGTCTCTTGTTTAAATTCTCTTAAACCAAAGAAGACAAGAATGAAGGTATCACATCAGCTGTCAACAAAATGGCTATGTATGCAAAGGACACATAAACCTGTTGATTTTGTTTGTTTCATCTGGGCACATTGCTGCTTTCAATAAAACTGGGATTCTCTTAGAAAGAAGAGATTACTGGATATTAAGTAGGCTTCTAACGGTCACTACAGACTGTAAAAAGAATAAGTTATTTGAAATAATATGATATACCAGTGTCACAGAAATATACACATAATATCATTCTATGTAAAATGAAAAAATCAAACTATATTTTTTATTTTAGGTGAGTTTCTGTGTATGTAGTCATGAAAATGAAAACACAAAGGTATTTGCATTACACTGAGATTTGGAAAAAAATAAGCAGAGGAAAAAAAATAAAAGAATACTCTGTAAAATATCAAAAGCTGATCATATCTGAGTGAAAAGAGCATGAATTGTTTTTAATTTTTCCTTGTGCTTTTGTGTATTTCTTCCTTTTTTCCTACACTATACATGTTTATTTTGGTAATCAGGATAAATGCAGCAAATGAATATGTATAAAACATGGCGGCTAAGAGGCAGTCAGAATAATTTCAGAGAACAAAATACTCTGGTGGAAAATCTGTTTATTTCTTTCGGGATTTTTCCATTCTTTTTTTTTCCTTTGGGTTTCATTTATTTGTTTTTTGTTTTATTGATTTGCAACATCAAAACTATTTCATAACCAGGTATGATTGAAAGTACTTATGAATGGGAGATACAAACTTAAAGATACCTGTTTACTTCCTGTTTTGTTTAATGAATTTACATTGATTGTCAGTGTGCCAGCTTGATTATCATCTCCGCAGGCACAGGAAGACAGCATTCTTTCTGGAAAAAGCCAACATATTACCTAAAGTGAATATTTGAATATTTTTTACAGCTGTTTTAAATTAATACTTAAAATCACAGATGTTAGTCTGAACTCTCTCTCTCTCTCTCTCTCTCTCTCTCCATATAATTTTAATTACCAAAGAAGCAGAGGCAGGGTCCTGGGATAGAAGATGAATTTAATCAACCCATTTCCTCCCAAGGCTCACCTTCTAAAATGTATCATTTTTTCCTTGGCCCTTTCATTTCCAGTGCTGCTACTTTGCTCTTCAGCTTACTGACAACTCATTCCTCAATAAATCACAGATGAGAAAGTATATGAACTGAGGCCATGGGGAGTATATCAAACATGTGATGCTCTGGAGCTGCCATCTAATTCTTACCAGCTCCTTCAGGTGATTTACCTCAAAGCAGTGAATTTAAAAGAATTTGATCTGTGATAATGCCAATTTATGTTTATCTCACTGGACTGCTATGAGAAAATAGCTGAAATGTTTACATTGAAATAATTTTGTAATATTAAAGAGCATGAGGCAAAAAGAAAAAAATCCTTTTTTTCTAATACTAGTATTTGTCTGCAAGATGCAGGAGTCAAACCATACTTCTAGAATATGCAAAAGTTACTAGATAATATTTGTAATTCTCTTAGGCTATGTCACATTTTTGAAGCATTTCCTAGTTTCTGGGTTATCAACTTTCACAATCTAAATGACCATCAGTTGAAATATATATTATTGATTCAGGAAAATTACTTCACTTCCAATGAGAAGGAACTCCTTCTTTCTGTTAATTAGGACCTTGCATAAAACGTTAACTCTCAAAAGAGGCATCCAAATTCAAGCAGCAAGTTGTAGGATCAAGAATATTGGTAAAGGATAGGAATGAAGTAGCTAAAAATTTAGTCCACCAACTTTTCTGACATCCCTTCTTTAGAAGGTATAAATGAAGTATTTTTCAACATTTCTTTGAAGAAGGAGTTTCCATGGTCATGAACTTAAAGGAAAGCATCAACATGTCTGCCACGCTTCACACCTCAAGGAGGCCAAAAGCAATAAAATAAAGATTTGTATATTGTTCTAGATATGCTATGATAATCCCTCTCTCTTTTTTCATTCTTATTGGAGAGCCAATACAACTCTCATTTTACCAAATTACAAGAGCTAATTAATCACATAATGCACTACATGAGGGCTTTTTGAAAATATAAGTAATATAAGCTTTAATTAGTTTATCCTAAAACTATCCATATTATAAAATGAAATTATGTGATCAAAGTGTGGTTCCCTCCATTGAAAGAAAAATAATTACCTGTTGCAAAAGTCAGGAAGCATCACCTTCAGATAGTGCATAAGGATCTTTTTTTTCTTAAGTCATATATATTGAGTCTTGGTGTTTAGGGTAACATATCTCTCAGACAGGGCCATTCTGTAAAGAAGAAAAATCAAGTAAGCAAAGTTGTCATTCCGGCCTCTAGCCAAACATTCCATCTTGTGTCCTTTCCTCCAATTGTGTGTGGATATTCACTTTCTCCTCTCTTCAACAAAAGCTGATCCTAAGGTCAGATAATGTGTCAGGGTATCATTGAAGTCTCAAAATGAACTTAATTACATAGTTAAATTCTTCCAGTTGCATTTGCATTTTAATTATTATCTTTAAATTTTTTCCAAATATAGCTATGAATTTTAAGCATTAATTTTATTCAACAGTAACTCTACACAGCCAACACTTCCTGAATCGAGGTAAGCAAGAAGAATGTCAGAGAAAAAGAGACATGAATTTTAGATACTATACATTATTGAATTACTGTTTATCCCAAAACAAATTATACATATTTTTGATATTTCACTTTCTTCTCAATGAAATAGGATAGTTCTTTCACAGACTTTTGTAATAAATGATCAATATGTTAGAAAATTCAGGAACCGCAGAAAATGTTGTATCCCTCCCACGTTAATGTTTTCTTTTGTATCCCTCCATATCAATCTTTTCTTCCATTTTATTACATTTCTCCTCTCTAGCTAAGGATCTGCTTTCCACTCTTATAATTATTTTTTATTTACTTTTTATTGATACATAATAAATGTACATATTTTGGGGGTACATGTAATAATTTGATACACTCATATAATGTGAAAAGATCAAATCAGGGTATTGGGATACCCATCACCTTAAAAATTTATTTCTTCTTTATGCTGGAAACATTTGCATTATTCTCTTCTAGCTATTTTGAAAAGTTCAATAGCTTAATGTTAACTATGGTCACTTTATTGATTTATTGAACACTAATAATGGGTACAAATATACGGTTAGAATTAAGTTTTCTTTAATAAATGAAATGTTAAACTTTTGCACCCAAATTGCAGACAGTACTCCTACACAAAGAAAAATAAGAGAACTAAACTGCACTGAGGAAAAATACACCTACATTATTACAACATCTTTAACGATTCTTTTAAATATAATTCTTCATTAACTCAGTGCCTAGACAGCGTATTTTTGTTCTTCTCTGCTTTATATAGGTACTCTGTCAAATCTCTGAATTCTTTTTCTGTCTTATTAAAAATGTTAAAGGAAAATGTCATGTAGAAAATAACATGCTCATAAAAGCAAATGTTAACATTAGATTTGGAGGAAGACAATGCTGTCAAGTTTCAAGTTCTCTCATCACTGATTGTTAAAGATTTAAAATAAAAATTCTTGATATGTAAAGAAAATGCTAAGGTGAGAATGTATAGTTTTATTTCCACTCCTCTTGACTTCAGTAATGTAGAAATGAGGTGTTTATTTTACCAAGAATCTTTAAAAAAAATGGTGGGTGGGGTACAGGAACTTTTGAAACAAAAACAAGGACAGTAATGAGAAAAAAGTCCATGTTATTATACTTTCATTATGTATGTATGTATGTGTGTAATTTAAATGTTAAAACAAGCACAGGCAATATGGTGTAGGGATTAAAAGCAGATTCTAAGATCAGCCAGGTTAGATTGCAATCCAATTCCCTCACTTCCCACCTATGTCATATTGAGTAAATTATTTAATGTCTGTAGGGTTCAGGTTTTTTAATCTGTAAAACAGATATACTAGTAGGCATTAACTCAAACAGTAATGTGTCAGTAGGCATTTAGCCTTGATTAATAGTTTCATTAGTTATCTTCTAGAAAAAGAATCCTGGAATATAATATAATAATTTAAGTATATCAAATACAACAGGGCAGATGTTTTGAATCCTTAACAACAATGAAAGGGTTTCTAATACCTTTATTATCTCAAGCCTCACAAAAGAGGCAACCAGGTTACTTTCCCTCAAATCTCACAGAGGAAACAGAAGCCATCAGAAATAAATTTCATCATTTTTCTACCCCCAAATTTAAAAACCTTCCTGCATTAATACCCATATTCCCATATTCTATTCTGTTTCAACAAAAGATATGACCATACATCTGTCCAAGGCCAGTCACTCCACTTCTGCTCTCAATTAAATTCCCTCATGCATTCTATAACGCCCATGCAATGTCAATCATCCATCTCTCTCCTGTATGATAAATCTCTTCACTTCTATGTATCATTTCAATCAGGACACAAACATGCTTTAGTACCTTTTATATTAAACCAAAGTAAACAGAAAACACTGATGCTACTTTTTACTACTCTATTTCTTTTTTTTTTTTTTTTTTTGCATTTTAAGTTTATGGTAAAGCTAAAAAGACAAGTAATGATTAACAAGAATTAAATGTAGTTGCTGCATGTAGAGAAGAGGAAAGGAGACACAGGAAGGGTTTCAAAAGTGATGGGGATGTTCAGTTCTTAAAGCTGACTTACTACCCTATTTCTGTGCCACCATTCATAGCTAAACCTCTCAAAAATGTCACCTGCTTTCCAATAGAATACTATTCAGCCTTAAAAAAAAAAGAGGGAAATTCTGTCATTTGTGACAACATGGATTAAACTGAAGAACATGCTGCTAAATGAAATAAGCCAGGAACGGAAAGACAAATACCTAATGTTTTTACTGACATGTGACATCTAAAACAATTGAACTCAGAAGCAGAGAGTTGTGGTAATAGAAGCTGGGGTGGGGGAAATGGGAAGATCATGGCCAAAGCGTACAAAATCAGACAGGAGTAATAAGGTATTTTTTTAATTCTTTTGCACAAATGGTTAACATGGCTAATAATAGTGTATTGCACATTTTAAAATTACTGAGAGTAAATTTAAAATGTTTTCCTCACAAAAAATAAGTATTTGAAGTCATGGATATATTAATTAGCTTAATGTAATTATTAATATTTCACATTTTATTCTTAAATCATAACATCACTTTGTACTCCATAAATATACACAACTATAAATTGTTGATTTAAAATAAAATATTTTTTAAATGTCACCTGCTTTCCTTTTGCTTCCTCACTTCCACTTTACTAATTTGAGCCAGTGCAATCTGGTGTCTCACCCCACTAATGCACTGATGCTGCCGTTGTCAAGGTCACTGCTGAGTTTCGTGTTGCCAAATTCAGTGGGCACTTCCTTCACTCATCTACTCCACCCTTCAGAATCATTTAATATGATCGACTATTCCCTCTGTCTTGAAATAGTATCACCTCTTCCCTTCACAGATATTGTGTTTTTGTTTTTCTTCTACCTCAGCTTCCTTTGCACTTTCTCTAATAACTGACCTCTAAGGGTAAGGGAATCTCAGAGCTACATTCTACTCTTTTTTATCTGTACAACCTACATCCAAGGTTCCTTTACCCATCCCCAAGGCTGAAATTATCCTACATTACTTAAGCTAACACATCCCAAATTCATATTAAGCCCAGAGCTCTGCTCAGAGCTCCAGACTCATATCCAAGAGTATATGTGAAGTCCCTAGTTGAATATTTCAGATATTTCTCAATTTTAATAAATCCAAAATGTAACCCTTAATATATCCTCCCATGGCAATTCCAGACTCATATCCAAGAGAATATATGAAATCCCTAGTTGAATATTTCAGATATTTCTCAATTTTAATAAATCCAAAATGTAACCCTTAATATATCCTCCCTTGGCAACCCAGTCTTCCTACTTTCTCCATCAAATAATTGGCACCATCATCATCCAAATATCTCAAGCCAAGAAAATGTAATGACTGCCCTTAATTGCTCCCCTTCCCTTGGCCCCTATTTCCCACAAATCAGCAAGTTCTGTTGATTCTATCCCTTAAATATCTCTGTACTTCATATCAATGAAAATTATTAGGAGAGAGCTTTCACTGTGTCAATTCAATCTTAAAGCTGTTTGGCTTTTCAGTTGAAAATGATGGAGAAAAGACTTTTTATTGTATTCTCATTCCTGTGAAACCCACTAAAGACAACAAAAAGAATGCAAGGAGAAAAATCTTCATCACCAATTAAATTATAAAACTGGGGCATATTTGCAATACTGTAAAATCTAGACCAAAACAAGGTGGGACGTTAAGAAAAGACACATACAGGCTTAAGTCTTGAACAAAGAAACACTGGTCTAAAAGAAAATAATTCTGTCCTAAGTCAGCAATAAGATCTAGGAGGATGGGTGGGCCAGAAAAGTAATAGGGACTATAAACAGAACCACAGGAAAGAGAATGGATAATCATGATGATATGTGATTTCTCTGGTCTACAACCTAGACTATTCATGGATGGGTAAAATTGAGGAGAGACCACCAGATCTCAGCAGCAGAGCTGTGACATAAAGGACTTTAATATGTCATAAAGTGCTAAGACATTGAAAGCTGAGCTCCCAAGAGTCCTGAGGCAGAGGAAATAACAAGCTTTTTAAAAGGGTTTTTAAGATGAGAAACATAAATCAAACCTACAGCGTCCCAACGCACATCACATATATCTCTGCCCAGTTATCCAACTATATCCTTCAAATAATTAGACCCGTTAAAAGCAGAACAAAAAAATTTAAAATATGAATAGACACACACAAATGTAGGAAGCTGTCTTAGTTCATTTAGGCTGCTATAACAAAATACCTTTGGTAATTTATAAACAACAGAAATAGATTGCTCACAGGCCTGGAGTCTGGGAAGTCCAAAATCAAGGTACCAGCAGGTTCAGTGTCTCATGAGAGTTCATTTCTCATAGCTGGCAACTTCTTGCTCTGTCCTCACATGGCAGAAGGGGCAAACAAGCTTCCTCTGGCCTCTTTCACAAGGGCACCAATCTCATTCATGAGGACTCTACCCTATGATCTAATCACCTCCTAAAGGCTCTACCTTGCATTAGCCTCCAACGTATGAATATTAGGGGAACACAAACACTCAGACCATAACAGGAGAGAAAATTAAAATCAGGCAGATGAAGAAAATACATTGCAAGAAAATTCCCCAAAAGACTAGCAGTTCAAACAAATAATTCTTCATGGTCTCAAATGAATTTCAGATAATATTATTTGCACTGAAAAGAAGAGCTCACAAAAGAGACAAATAGCTCAAGGAAGAGTCAATAAGACAGCAGAAGAGGAAAGATGAGCTAGTTAAGTGCAGAAATAAAAGGAAAAAAACACAAAGAAAAAATATATATTAAACACAACTAGAAATATGTATAGCAATGTGACTATAGTTAACAATACTGGATTGTATACTTCAAATTTGGTTAAGAGAGTAGAGCTTAAGTGTCCTCACCACAAAACAAACTAAAAATAGAGTGACTTAAATCACATTTAAGTACATTTTGACAGCCTAGAAAAATTATAAATATAAATAAACATATAGGAATAGTTATAGGAAAGATGGTAGATCAAATGCCACACACAGAGATCCATCATACGTATAATTAATACTCATGAAAGCAGAATTTATAATGAATGGAACTGAACATACCATGCAAAGACACCAAAAAGTTTTTATTTCAAAATACAGAAAAAATTTAATCTGAATATCTAAAGAACACTCTATTTCCCAAGTGTCTCAGAAATATTTTATTTTATTTTATTTTATTTTATTGAGACAGAGTCTCATTCTGTCACCCAGGCTGGAGTGCAGTGGCGTGATCTCCACTCACTGCAACCTCCGTGTCCCTGATTCAAGTGATCCTCCTGCCTCAGCCTCCTCAGTAGCTGGGATTACAGGCACCTGCTACCATGTCAGGCTAATTTTTGCATTTTTTAGTAGAGACGGAGTTTTGACATGTTAGCAAGGCTGGTCTCGAACTCCTGACTTCAGGCGATCCAACCTCCTCGGCCTCCCAAAATGCTGGGATTACAGGCATAAGCCACCTTGCCCGGACAGGAAAAAAAAATACTTTTTAAATGATAGGCACCAAGATATAACTGGGTAAACTTAAATGAAGAAAAAGCTGTGTTGAAGAAAAAAGTATGGCCACCCCCAAGAAAAAGGAAGCCACATAGAGAGGAAGAAGTCAGGTTACCTTAGATTTCTCTGTAGCTACTCCCCATGCCAGGAGTCATGAAAACATGTAAGCAAGATTATAAAAAAACAAAGTCAGGAGGAGCCAAGATGGCTGAATAGGAACAGCTCCGGTCTACAGCTCCCAGCGGGAGCAAAGCAGAAGACGGGTGATTTCTGCAATTCCATCTGAGGTACCGGGTTCATCTCACTAGGGAGTGCCAGACAGTGGACACACGTCAGTGGGTGCGTGCACCGCGCGCGAGCCGAAGCAGGGCGAGGCATTGCCTCACTTGGGAAGCACAAGGGGTCAGGGAGTTCCCTTTCTGAGTCAAAGAAAGGGGTGACAGACGGCACCTGGAAAATCGGGTCACTCCCACCCAAATACTGCGCTTTCCCGACGGGCTTAAAACACGGCGCACCACGAGATTATATCCCGCACCTGGCTCGGAGGGTCCTACGCCCACGGAGTCTCGCTGATTGCTAGCACAGCAGTCTGAGATCAAACTGCAAGGCGGCAGCAAGGCTGGGGGAGGGGCGCCTGCCATTGCCCAGGTTTGCTTAGGTAAACAAAGCAGGCAGGAAGCTCGAACTGGGTGGAGCCCACCACAGCTCAAGGAGGCCTGCCTGCCTCTGTAGGCTCCACCTCTGGGGGCAGGTCACAGACAAACAAAAAGACAGCAGTAACCTCTACAGACTTAAATGTCTCTGTCTCACAGCTTTGAAGAGAGCAGTGGTTCTCCCAGCACGCAGCTGGAGATCTGAGAACCGGCAGACTGCCTCCTCAAGTGGGTCCCTGACCCCTGACCCCCGAGCAGCCTAACTGGGAGGCACCCCCCAGCAGGGGCAGACTGGCACCTCACACGGCCCGGTGCTCCAACAGACCTGCAGCTGAGAGTCCTGTCTGTTAGAAGGAAAACTAACAAACAGAAAGGACATCCACACCAAAAACCCATCGTTACCTCACCCAACAAAGACTAAAGTAGATAAAACCACAAAGATGGGGAAAAAACAGAGCAGAAAAACTGGAAACTCTAAAAAGCAGAGTGCCTCTCCTCCTCCAAAGGAACGCAGTTCCTCACCAGCAACGAAACAAAGCTGGACGGAGAATCACTTTGACGAGCTGAGAGTAGAAGGCTTCAGATGATCAAATTACTCCGAGCTACGGGAGGACATTCAAACCAAAGGCAAAGAAGTTGAAAACTTTGAAAAAAATTTAGAAGAACGTATAACTAGAATAACCAATAGAGAGAAGTGCTTAAAGGAGCTGATGGAGCTAAAAACCAAGGCTCGAGAACTACGTGAAGAATGCAGAAGCCTCAGGAGCCGATGCGATCAACTGGAAGAAAGGGTATCAGCGATGGAAGATGAAATGAATGCAATGAAGCCAGAAGGGACATTTAGAGAAAAAAGAATAAAAAGAAACGAGCAAAGCCTCCAAGAAATATGGGACTATGTGAAAAGACCAAATCTACGTTTGATTGGTGTACCTGAAAGTGACAGGGAGAATGGAACCAAGTTGGAAAACACTCTGCAGGATATTATCCAGGAGAACTTCCCCAATCTAGCAAGGCAGGCCAACGTTCACATTCAGGAAATACAGAGAACACCACAAAGATACTCCTCGAGAAGAGCAACTCCAAGACACATAATTGTCAGATTCACCAAAGTTGAAATGAAGGAAAAAATGTTAAGTGCAGCCAGAGAGAAAGGTTGGGTTACCCACAAAGGGAAGCCCATCAGACTAACAGCAGATTTCTCGGCAGAAACTCTACAAGCCAGAAGAGACTGGGAGCCAATATTCAACATTCTTAAAGAAAAGAATTTTCAACCCAGAATTTCATATCCAGCCAAACTAAGCTTCATAAGTGAAGGAGAAATAAAATACTTTACAGACAAGCAAATGCTGAGAGATTTTTGTCACCACCAGGCCTGCCCTAAAAGAGCTCCTGAAGGAAGCACTAAACATGGAAAGAAACAACCAGTACCAGCCGCTGCAAAATCATGACAAAATGTAAAGACCATCGAGACTAGGAAGAAACTGCATCAACTAATGAGCAAAATAACCAGCTAACATCATAATGACAGGATCAAATTCACACATAACAATATTAACTTTAAATGTCAATGGACTAAATGCTCCAATTAAAAGACACAGACTGGCAAATTGGATAAAGAGTCAAGACCCATCAGTGTGCTGTATTCAGGAAACCCATCTCACATGCAGAGACACACATAGGCTCAAAATAAAAGGATGGAGGAATATCTACCAAGAAAATGGAAAACAAAAAATGGCAGGGGTTGCAATCCTAGTCTCTGATAAAACAGACTTTAAACCAACAAAGATCAAAAGAGACAAAGAAGGCCATTACATTATGGTAAAGGGATCAATTCAACAAAAAGAGCTAAGGATAATAAATATACATGCACCCAATACAGGAGCACCCAGATTCATAAAGCAAGTCCTGAGTGACATACAAAGAGACTTAGACTCCCACACAATAATAATGGGAGACTTTAACACCCCACTGTCAACATTAGACAGATCAATGAGACAGAAAGTCAACAAGGATACCCAGGAATTGAACTCAGCTCTGCACCAAGCAGACCTAATAGACATCTACAGAACTTTCCACCCCAAATCAACAAAATATACATTTTTTTCAGCACCACACCACACCTATTCCAAAACTGACCACATACTTGGAAGTAAAGCTCTCCTCAGCAAATGTAAAAGAACAGAAATTATAACAAACTGTCTCTCAGACCACAGGGCAATCAAACTAGAACTCAGGATTAAGAATCTCACTGAAAACCACTCAACTACATGGAAACTGAACAACCTGCTCCTGAATGACTACTGGGTACATAACGAAATGAAGGCAGAAATAAAGATGTTCTTTGAAACCAATGAGAACAAAGACACAACATACCAGAATCTCTGGGACGCATTCAAAGCAGTGTGTAGAGGGAAATTTAGAGCACCAAATTCCCACAAGAGAAAACAGGAAAGATCTAAAATTGACACCCTAACATCACAATTAAAAGAACTAGAAAAGCAAGAGCAAACACATTCAAAAGCTAGCAGAAGGCAAGAAATAACTAAAATCAGAGCAGAACTGAAGGAAATAGAGACACAAAAAACCCTTCAAAAAATTAATGAATCTAGGAGCTGGTTTTTTGAAAGGATCAACAAAATTGATAGACCGCTAGCAAGACTAATAAAGAAAAAAAGAGAGAAGAATCAAATAGACACAATAAAAAATGATAAAGGGGATATCACCACTGATCTCACAGAAATACAAACTACCATCAGAGAAGACTACAAACACCTCTACGCAAATAAACTAGAAAATCTAGAAGAAATGGATAAATTCCTCGACATACACACTCTCCCAAGAATAGACGAGGAAGAAGTTGAATATCTGAATAGACCAATAACAGGATCTGAAATTGTGGCAATAATCAATAGCTTAGCAACCAAAAAGAGTCCAGGACCAGATGGATTCACAGCCGAATTCTACCAGAGGTACAAGGAGGAACTGGTACCATTCCTTCTGAAACTATTCCAATCAATAGAAAAAGAGGGAATCCTCCCTAACTCATGTTATGAGGCCAGAATCATCCTGATACCAAAGCAGGGCAGAGACACAACCAAAAAAGAGAATTTTAGACCAATATCCTTGATGAACATTGATGCAAAAATCCTCAATAAAATACTAGCAAACCGAATCCAGCAGCACATCAAAAAGCTTATACACCATGATCAAGTGGGCTTCATCCCTGGGATGCAAGGCTGGTTCAATATACGCAAATCAATAAATGTAATACAGCATATAAACAGAACCAAAGATAAAAACCACATGATTATCTCAATAGATGCAGAAAAGGCCTTTGACAAAATTCAACAATGCTTCATGCTAAAAACTCTCAATAAATTAGGTATTGATGGCATGCATTTCAAAATAATAAGAGCTATCTATGACAAACCCACAGCCAATATCATACTGAATGGGCAAAAACTGGAAGCATTCCCTTTGAAAACGGGCACAAGACAGGGATGCCCTCTCTCACCACTCCTATTCAACATAGTGTTGGAAGTTCTGGCCAGGGCAATTGGGCAGGAGAAGGAAATAAAGGGTATTCAATTAGGAAAAGAGGAAGTCAAATTGTCCCTCTTTGCAGACGACATGATTGTATATCTAGAAAACCCCATGATCTCAGCCCAAAATCTCCCTAAGCTGATAAGCAACTTCAGCAAAGTCTCAGGATACAAAATCAATGTACAAAAATCACAAGTATTCTTATAAACCAACAACAGACAAACAGAGACCCAAATCATGAGTGAACTCCCATTCACAATTGCTTCAAAGAGAATAAAATACCTAGGAATCCAACTTACAAGGGATGTGAAGGACCTCTTCAAGGAGAACTACAACCACTGCTCAAGGCAATAAAAGAGGATACAAACAAATGGAAGAACATTCCATGCTCATGGGTAGGAAGAATCAATATCATGAAAATGGCCATACTGCCCAAGGTAATTTACAGATTCAATGCCATCCCCATCGAGCTACCAATGACTTTCTTCACAGAATTGGAAAAAACTACTTTCAAGTTTATATGGAATCAAAAAAGAGCCCACATTGCCAAGTCAATCCTAAGCCAAAAGAACAAAGCTGGAGGCATCACGCTACCTGACTTCAAACTATACTACAAGGCTACAGTAACCAACAGAGCATGGTACTGGTACCAAAACAGAGATATAGATCAATGGAACAGAACAGAGCCCTCAGAAATAATGCCACATATCTACAACTATCCGATCTTTGACAAACCTGAGAAAAACAAGCTATGGGGAAAGGATTCCCTATTTAATAAACGGTGCTGGGAAAACTGGCTAGCCATATGTAGAAAGCTGAAACTGGATCCCTTCCTTACACCTTATACAAAAATTAATTCAAGATGGATTAAAGACTTAAACGTTAGACCTAAAATCATAAAAACCCTAGAAGAAAACCTAGGCAGTACCATTCAGGACATAGGCATGGACAAGGACTTCATGTCTAAAACACCAAAAGCAATGGCAACAAAAGCCAAAATTGACAAATGGGATCTAATTAAACTAAAGAGCTTCTGCACAGCAAAAGAAACTACCATCAGAGTGAACAGGCAACCTACAAAATGGGAGAAAATTTTCACAACCTACTCATCTGACAAAGGGCTAATATCCAGAATCTACAATTAACTCAAACAAATTTACGAGAAAAAAGCAATCAACCCCATCAAAAAGTGGGCAAAGGACATGAACAGACACTTCTCAAAAGAAGACATTTATGCAGCCAAAAAACACATGAAAAAATGCTCAGCATCACTGGCCATCAGAGAAATGCAAATCAAAACCACAATGAGATACCATCTCACACCAGTTAGAATGGCAATCATTAAAAAGTCAGGAAACAACAGGTGCTGGAGAGGATGTGGAGAAATAGGAACACTTTTACACTGTTGGTGGGACTGTAAACTAGTTCAACCATTGTGGAAGTCAGTGTGGTGATTCCTCAGGGATCTAGAACTAGAAATACCACTTGACCCAGTCATCCCATGACTGGGTATATACCCAAAGGACTATAAATCATGCTGCTATAAAGACACATGCACACGTATGTTTATTGCGGCACTATTCACAATAACAAAGACTTGGAACCAACCCAAATGTCCAACAATGATAGACTGGATTAAGAAAATGTGGCACATATACACCATGGAATACTATGCAGCCATAAAAAATGATGAGTTCATGTCCTTTGTAGGGACATGGATGAAATTGGAAATCATCATTCTCAGTAAACTATCGCAAGAACAAAAAACCAAACACCACATATTCTCACTCATAGGTGGGAATTGAACAATGAGAACACATGGACACAGGGAGGGGAACGTCACACTCTGGGGACTGTTGTGGGTTGGGGGAGGGGGGAGGGATAGCACTGGGAGACATACCTAATGCTAGATGACGAGTTAGTGGGTGCAGTGCACCAGCATGGCACATGTACACATATGTAACTAACCTGCACATTGTGCACATGTACCCTAAAACTTAAAGTATAATAATAATAAATAAAAATAAATAAATAAATAAAGTCACCCAATCATTTAACCCAACCAAGGTACCCTTCAAGTATAACAGCAATAGACATACGTTACCAAAAATAGGAAATTCATGAGAATAAGACTGACATCAGATTCCTTATTGGCAATGCTGAATCCAAGACAAAGAAGTGATAACTAAAAAGTTATCGGGAATGATAATTGACATTGAGTAATTCTAAATGAGATTAGTAAAATATAAGTAGAAGTATAAGTCAGCTTTTACCAGGTAATGTTGTGCTACAAACCACCCCAAACATCTGGGTACCTTACAAAAACAAGCTTTTTCTTACTCAGTTTCATGTTATCTACAGATTGCTCTAAATTGTCCTTTCATTGAAAGATCTTTGAGATATAATATTAAATAGACAAAAAAGCTATGAAGAAATACGTATATTATAATAAGAAACTATGTATAACGTACTATATTCAAAATGCAATTTGTAGACCAGTGCTACTAGTTGATCATGAGGTAAGTACAGAGAATTGAGAGTAAGCACTCAGAAACCTTAAATAAGTAAAAATAAAACTTAGAAAACTTTATTGGCATTGCCACAACCATTTTACTATATTTTACAAAATTATTGGTCTCCATCTCATTGGAATGTTTTAACTGGTCATTCACTACAGATAGCTTGAGAAGTACTGATACCTAATTGTCTACAAAAATACAAGATACACACTAATATTTACAAATATAAAATATCTCTAGAAATATTTGTAAGAAGCTGGTAAATAGTGCTTGCTTCCATCTTCCTATTATTCACCCCCACACCAAGCTTCCCAGAAATGAGACTATAACTTTGAGTTCTTGACTTCTAGACTTTTACTCTGTGTGTGTGTGTGTATGTGTGTATGTGTCTATCTCTGTGTGTTTGTGTTGCTGTTGTTGAGTGGGAGATGGGAAAGGAAGTATTTGTTAAAAACCTCTCCAGATTTCGAGCCTGAAATAGAAAATTGACATTGAGCGACCCTGCAGAAAAATTCACATGAAGTCCCTTTTTTTTTTTTTCTTTTGAGACAGAGTCTCACTGTGTTGCCCAGGCTGGAGTGCAGTGGTGACATCTCGGCTCACTGCAAGCTCCGCCTCCCAGGTTCACGCCATTCTCCTGCCTCAGCCTCCCGAGTAGCTGGGACTACAGGCGCCTGCCACCAGGCCCAGCTAATTATTTGTATTTTAGTAGAGATGGGGTTTCACCATGTTAGCCAGGATGGTCTCAATCTCCTGACCTCATGATCTGCCCGCCTAGGCCTCCCAAAGTGCTGGGATTACAGGCGTGAGCCACTGTGCTGGGCCACAAAGTCCCTTTTTAAGAGAAGGAGCTGTTTTGTCTGAGAGAGAAAGAGGTAGATATTGTGCAGTGTCTGAGGAAGGGCAAGGCTTCAGCCCAGACTGTGGCAACCCTCCTTAACTGGGAAGTGGAGAGATGAAGGTAGCAACTTGTGTTCCCCTGGGTCATGGCAGGAACTCTGATGGTGACAGATGCATGAATGTATGCATGGGCTGCAAACTGTAAATCATGGTCTTGTGCACTCCAGTGACATTCTATAGCTGAAGCTGAGAACATGGTCTCCCTGCAGCTTGTGCCAGCACATGGTGATGGACCAGGCATTGAATAACACAAGAAGCCAGGGCATCATGGCCAGCAGAAACAGAAGATCATGCCCCTTTGCCTTTTTTCTTAAACTGAGTACACTCTGGAACTTCTTTCTATATAATGGAGGAGTGATGCCTCAAATTTTTCTGATGTTAAAGACATAGCCAAACTTGGCGTGTGAGTATATTAAGATTTAGTTTCATTTAGACAAATGTAAAATATGACATCTTACACTGTTAGTGTCATGAAAAGATGGACAAAATTTATATGTTAGACATAATAGAAAATTAAATTATTTAATCCTCAAGCTCTATGAGATAATCATTATCATTATCCCTATTTTATAGATTAGCAAACTGATGCTTAGAGAAATTTGCCCAAAATTTGCTGCTAGATTCTAATGAAGCTAGTACAATCTATTAATTGTCAGATCTGTTGATAATTTTGGGGAAATTAGCACAGTAGAGAGAAAATAAATGGAGTTCAGGGTCAGAAAAAATGGCTTATAAATATTAAATTCTGCTGATACTACTAAATACCTAGTACTTAGCAAACATCTGTATTAGTCCATCTGCACACAGCTAAAAGGACATACCCAAGACTGGGTAATTTATAAAGGAAAGAGGTTTAATTGACTCACAGTTCCACAGGGCTTGGGAGGCCTCAGGAAACTTACAAGCATGATGGAAGGGGAAGCAAACACATCCTTCTTCACATGGTGGCAGCAAGGAGAAGTGCTGAGCATAAGGGGGAAAAGCCCCTTATAAAACCACTGGGTCTCATGAGAACTCACTCACTATCATGAGAACAGAAGCATGGAAGTAACCACCCCATGATTCTATAACTTCCCACCGGGTCTCTCCCATGACATGTAGGGATTATGGGAACTACAATCCAAGATGAGATTTTAGTGGGCACACAGCCAAACCATATCATTCCACCCCTGGCCCCTCCCAAGTCTTATGTCCTCACATTGGAAACACAATCATGCCTTCCCAACAGTCCTCCAAAGTCTTAGCTTATTTCGCCATTAACCCAAAAGTCCAAGTATCATCTGAGAGAAGGCAAGTCCCTTCCACCTATGAGCCTGTAAAATTAAAAGCAACTTAGTTATTTTCTAGATACGATAGGGGTACAGGAATTGGATAAATATACTTCTTCCAAATGGGAGAAACAAAGAGGCTACAGTCTTATGCAAGTCCAAAATCCAATACAGCAGTCATTAAACCTTAAAGTTCCAAAATGATCTCCCTTGACTCCATGTCTCACGTCCAGGTCACACTGATGTAAGAGGTGGGCCCTCATGGCCTTGGGCATCTCTGCCCCTGTAGCTTTGAAGGGTACAGCCCCCCTCCTGCCTGCTTTCATATACTGGCCTTGAGTGTCTGCAGTTTTTCCAGGTGCATGATGCAAGCTGTCAGTGGATCGACCATTCTGAGGTCTGGAAGGCAGTGGCCCTCTTCTCACAGCTCCTCTAGACAATGCCTCAGTGGGGACTGAGTGAGGGCTCTGATCCCACAATTCCCTCCTGCACTGCCCTAGCAGAGGCTCTCCATGTGGACTCCACTCCTGCAGCAAACTTTTGCCTGGACATTCAGGCATTTCCATAAATCCTCTGAAATGTAGGTAGAGGTTCCCAAACCTCAATTCTTGAGTTCTGTGCACACCCAGAACCAACACCACGTGGAAGCTGCCAAGGCTTGAGGTTTGCACCCTATGAAGCAATGGTGTGAGCTGTATATTGGTTCCTCTTAGCCATGGCTGGAGCTGGAGCAGCTGGGATGCAGGGCACCACATCCTGAGGTTGCATAGAGCAGAGGGTCCCTGGGCCTGGCTTATGAAACAATTTTTTCCTCATAGGCCTCCAGGCCTGTGATAGGAGGGACTGCCATGAAGGTCTCTGACATGCCCTGGAGACATTTTCCCCATTGTCTTGGTGATTAACATTTGGCTCCTCATTACTTATGCAAATTTCTGCAGTTGGCTTGAATTTCTCCCCAGAAAATGGGGTTTTCTTTTCTATCATATTGTCAGGCTGCAAATTTTTCAAACTTTTATACTCTGCTTCCTCTTGAATCCTTTGCTGCTTGGAAATTTCTTCTGCCAGATACCCTAAATTATCTCTCTCAAGTTCAAAGTTCCACAGATCTCTAGGGCAGGAGCAAAATGCTGCCAGTATCTTTGCATAGCAAGAGTCACCTTTACTCTAGTTCTCAACAAGTTCTTCATCTCTGAGACCACCTCAGCCTGGATTTCATTGTCCATATCACTATCAGCATTTTGGTCAAAGCCATCCAACAAGTCTCTAGGAAGTTCCAAGCTTTCTCACATTTTCTTCTTCTGAGCCCTCCAAACTGTTTCAACCTCTGCCTGTTACCCAGTTCTAAAGTCACTTCCACACCTTTGGGTATCCTTATAGCAGCACCCATTCTACTGGTACCAATTTACTGTATTAGTCCATTCTCACTCTGCCATAAGGACATACTTGAGACTGGGTAATTCATAAAGGAAAGAAGTTTAATTGATTCACAGTTCTGCAGGGTTGGGGAAGCCTCAGGGAATTTACAGTCATGGTGGAAGGGGAAGCAAACACATTCTTCTTTACATGGTGGCATCAAGGAAAAGTACTGAGCAAAAGGGGGAAAAGTTCCTTATAAAACCATGCGATCTCTTGAGAATTCAATCACTATCTGAGAACAGCAGCATGGGGGTCAACACCCCCCGTGATTTAATTAACTCCCACGGGGTCCCTCCCATGACACGTGGGGATTATGAGAACTACAATTCAAGATGAGATTTGGGTGGGGACACAGTCAAACCATATCAACATCTAAAATATTAATTTCCAATTTTCTTTCCATTCCTCCCTTTTTTGTTGATATATAAACCTAGAAAAAATCAATAAAAATTCACATTTATTTGGAGGTCACAATAAAAATGCACATATATTTTTGTGATAACATGTACTGCAAATGGGATTTGGAAATGAGAGGAAAAGATGTCTTAAATATCACTCACTTAGGAAAATTAAACTTTACCTTACCTTTTATCTGTGAGCAATTCCCAGTCAGCCTTGAATGCATTAACCTTCAACTAAGAACACTTGTCAAAGTTTCTGGCTCTTTGAAGGCATGTATCTAGTGGCTGCAGGTAATTTTCTTGTGATTCAGAAACAGCGAAAACCAAGGGAAATAACATGGGCTTTGGAGTTAAACAAAATAGAGCCTCGGTCCTGGTTTCTCTACATACTTGCCATATAACTGCAAAAAAAAAAAATTCACCTTTCAGAGCTTCAGTTGTTTTACTCTATTGTCTTCATAGAATTGTGGGAGAATAAAGTGAGTTAAAACATCTAAAGCATCCTGTGGAACACTCAGGGCACTGCAAGTGCTCAATAGCTCAGTAAGAGGTTCTTATTTCATTTTAGTTTGTGCTTCTCTGTCAGATAGAGATGATGCTTTCTTATAACTCAAAGGAAAATAGTTGAGAGGTACTTTTAAAGGGCTATTGGTGTTGCAGAAAAAGATTTCTTGATTAATTAATATAACCATTTTCTTATGAATCATCCATTGCATTAGGTAACTCACATTTTTATTCCTGTAAGGCGCCTTTGTGTGCTTCAGTTCAATAGCTATTTCCTGGGCATTTACTGGCCCTATACTAGGTTCTAGGGATTTTAAATAACTAGAAGTCACCCTTCTCTCAAGGACAGGATTTCTAAGTAATAAGGAACTCAGCCTGATCATAAATTTCATGAGGATACAAGAGGTCTTACCTTTGTAACTCCTACGGCACCTGAACTGAGCTTATATTTACTGCAATGTTGCTGAATTTAACTAAATTTCTTCCAGGGTTCTATTTCCCCATAACTTAAGTTCAAATTTATTCTACAATATCATATAATCCTTAATAGTCCTATTTAGTTTATAAAGATGTCTGGAACAGTTCCAGAGATGTTTTTCTTATTTTTCTTGTTTAAGCTTCTGCCATGTTTGTAGTTTTTAATGTGCTATCCATGACTCTACAAATTCTATAATTTGTTAAATCCTTTCTTTCGTATTCTAGAGAATTCATCTTTGCATAGCCTAATATTAACAATCAAAGAGGTAAGGTTAAAAACAGGAGGAGGTAGAAGAAGATGGTGAGAATCATAATAAGGAGATACAGAAAACAACTTCTTGGAAGAACTATTAGTGAAGACATAATTATTATGCATTAACAGCTGACAGCTAGCGTTAGTCCAAGGAAGCCATCTGTATTCTCTAAGTACTTCAAAACTGTAATATTCATTTGTAAATTTGTGACAGCTCTTTAGATAATGTATAATAATTTTGCAGCAATCCATTATCTGACTGAATGTGCTTTAATTTGAGGTATAATATATTTGGAATAATTTTTCCAATTCCTAAATGTACTTTCCTTCAAATATATGACATACATTTAAAGTGTCATTTAAAAGATTAAAATGAGTCCAAAATTTCCTCCTTTCCTTATTTGGTTCTTCTCTGTTCTATCTATAGGCCTCTGAACAGTGTCTCTGGCTTGATCAATTGAACCTATGTAATTGTCTTGAAAAATACATTTAGTCCTCAGGAAGGAACATCTACCATCATCCTGCCCAAGCTAAGGCTACCTGAATGTGCTGAGAAATTCTGATGAGGAAATGCTGCAGACCTGGACTAATAATTAAGGAAAAGTTACTGATGAAAGACCATGATAGACAATACAGTGAGACAGCCTATTGCATGTACTCCACAATAAATTCTCAAGGTTTTTCAAAGAATCCATATACAGCTAAAATTGGTTTGGGGTTTTTTATAAGATAACCCCAGCCAGCCTGCTCAAGGGCATGTTGTCCAGAGTGACTTCTTATTAGCTGCCAGATAATCAATTTACCCCACTTTCACTCCAAAAAAATGCAGATACTAACTCCACTGATCCCAGAATTCCTATGGTTTGTTTTGTTTTGTTTTGTTTTTCTTTACCCACATTCCTATAAATCCTGTTCCTCGATGACAGTACAGTGATCCCTGCCATGGAAGATTTGTTCTAGGACCCCCCATGGATACCAAAATTCACAGAGGCTCAAGTTCCTTACATAAAATGGTGTAGTATTTGCATATAACTTACACACATCCTCCTGGATACTTTAAATCTTCTCTCTAGATTACTTATGATACCTAATATGATGAAAGTGCTATAAAATAGTTGTTATACTATATTATTTAGGGAATAATAACAAGGAAAAATGTACATGTTCTAAACAAATAATCCTTTTCCAAATATTTTTGATCCACAGTTAAATCCACAGACACAGAACCCACAGATACAGGGGGCTGACTGTACACCAGCTATCTCCTTTAAATGTGAATAAGCTATTTTTCTTGCAGGCAACTAACTAAAATGCCTAAGCTGTTCTTCAACAGTCCAACACAAGTAAGTAGCCCAATTGTAAGGGTAAGTCCAAGAAGATTTTCTCAAAAACAATAAAATAATTTAGAATCACATAATTAATGGCAAAAATAAACAGAATGGACTCCTGAAAACTACAGAGCAAGTTAATAAGGACTCATCATTTCACTTTCTGGTTCTACTTGGCCTTTTCATTGAAAACAAATTCCACCAGAAAGGAAAATGAAAACTAGTATCAAGAAAGCAGAATGAGGTCATCATAAGAGGACACCCAGTAAGAAGGATCTTCTTATGTTCAACTAAACAATCACTCACAAGACTATCATAGGCCCCACTTGGCCTTAGCTGACTCTAAAAGACATAGGACAGGAGCCACAGTTTGCCAGCATGGAAGTGTAGCATCAGGATTCTTCAAGTGAAGTCCTTGCAGCAGTTTATGCAATGGTCTACACAGACATACAGCAGCTGTTCTCTTTGCTCCCTCACCTCACCCCCGTAAAAGAAAAATTGCACTGGAAATCTGTTAAAAATGGCGAGGAAGACTCCATTCGAGACTATTGCAATATGGACAGAGACTGAACTAAACTCCTCTGGAATAAAAGGCAGAATTTTTAAATGCTGTGATGAGCTAATGGAAAAGTACAGGAGGACTTTAGTGGGGAGGTTGGTCAATGTGATTAGGCTATCTCTGTTTACTAATTGCCCCTTATCAGAGTTAGTCTCCTATCTCTCCACAAACACTGGGAGAAAGGAGTCCTATCTTTCAAAGGGATGGCTCCTAAACCCTTAGGAAATTCATTTTTAGGTTGTAGAAGATATAAATTTCAAAGGGGCAGAGTGCAAGCTTTCTGAAGTTAATGCTCTAAGAAGAAGGCGATCATTAGAGAAATGCAAATAATTATACACTCAGGAGCCTATCATCAGGAAGAACATGAAAAGTTCAGTCACAATGAGGGGAATGTTAAGGCTGTCTTGGTCACCCCCAGGTAACAGCGCAGGTGCAAGGAGGCATGAAACACATCAGCTAAAATGCCTCCTGCCCCACAGGAGCCTGTATCTCTAGAAATAGTTCCATAGGTCCCACAGAGACATGTCCAACTACAGGAATCACCACAATCATAGAAGGCCAGAATTATGACTTCCCATCAGACCAGACAAAATTTACCAATCAAAGGTCTTTTTATAACTTTTAAGTTCAAAGGCACATGTGCAGGTTTGTTATATAGGTAAACTTGTGTCATGGGGGGTTGTTGTACAGATTATTTCCTCACTCAGGTATTAAGACCAGCACCCATTAGTTATTTTTCCTGGTTCTCTCCCTCCTCCCACCCTTCATGTTCCATTAGGCCCCAGTGTGTGTCACCTCCTTCCATGTGTCCATGTGTTCCCATCATTTAATTTCCACTTATAAGTGAGAAGATGTGGTATGTGGTTTTCTGTTCCTGTATTAGTTTGCTGAGGATAATGGCCTCCAGCTCCATCTATGTCCCTGCAAAGGACATTATCTCATTTCTTTTTGTGGCTGCATAGTAACATGTGCCACATTTTCTTTATCCAGTCTATCATTGATGGGCATTTAGGTTGATTCCATGTTTTTGCTATGTGAATAGTGCTGCAGTGAACATATGCATGCATGTGTCTTTATAATAGAACAATTTATATTCCTTTGGGTATATACCCAGTAATGGGATTGCTGGATCAAATGGTACTTCTATGCTTTGGTCTTTGAGGAATCACCACACTGTCTCTCACAATGGTTGAACTAATTTACACCCCCACCAACAGTGTATAAGCATTCCTTTTTCTCCACAACCTCACCAGCATCTGTTATTTTTTGACTTTTTAATAATAGTCACTCTGACTAGTGTGAGACACTATCTCATTGTGGTTTTGATTTGCATTTCTCTAATGATCAGTGATGTTGAGCTTTTGTCATATGATTATTGGCCACATATATGTCTTCTTTTGAGAAGTGTCTGTTCATGTCATTTGCCCGCTTTTTAATGGGGTTGCTTGTTTCTTGTAAATTTAAGTTCCTTATAGATGCTGGATATTACACCTTTGTCAGATACATAGTTTGAAAAAATGATCTTCTATTCTATAGGTTGTCTGCTCACTCTGTTGACAGTTTCCTTTGCTGTGCAGTGGCTCTTTAATTTAATTAGGACCCATTTGTCAATTTTTGCTTTTCTCACAATTGCTTTTAGCATCTTTATCAAGAAATATTTGCCCATTGCCTATGTCCTGAATGGTATTGCCTAGGTTGCCTTCTAGGGTTTTTATAGTTTTGGGTTTTACATTTAAGTCTCTAATCCATCTTATGTTAATTTTTGCACACGGTATAAGGAAGGTGTCCAGTTTCAATCTTCTACATATGACTAGCCAGTTATCCCAGCACCAGCACCATTTATTGAATAGGAAATCATTTCCCCATTGCTTGTTTTTTTCAGGTTTGTCAAAAATCACATAGTTGTAGATGTGCAGCCTCATTTCTGGGTCTCTATTCTGTTCTATTGGTCTATTTGTCTGATTTTGTACAATTACCATGCTGTTTTGGTTACTGTAGACCTGTAGTATAGTTTGAAGTTGGGTAGCATTATGCCTCCAGCTTTGTTCTTTTTGCTTAAGATTGCCTTGGCTATTCGGGCTCTTTTTTGGTTCCATATAAATTGTAAAATAGTTTGTTCTAGTTCTGTGAAGAATCCCAATAGTAGTTTAATAGGAAGCACTGAATCTATAAATTACTTTGGGCAGTATGGCCATTTTAACAATATTGATTCTTCCTATCCATGAGCATGGAATGTTTTTCCATTTGTTTATGTTATCTCTGATTTCTTTGAGCAGTGTTTTATAGTTCTCCTTGTAGATATCATTCATCTCCCCTGTTAGCTGTATTCCTAGGTATTTTATTCTTTTTGTGGCAATTGTGAACAGGATTGAGTTCCTGGTTTGGGTCTCTTCTTTTCTGTTGTTAGTGTATAGGAATGCTAGTGATTTGCACATTGATTTTGTATCCTGAGGCTTTGCTCAAGTTGTTTATCAGCTTAAGAAGCTTTGGGGCTGAGACTATGGGGTTTTCTAGATATAGGATTATATTGTCTGCAAACAGTGATAGTTTGACTTACTCTCCTCCTATTTGGATGCCTCAATGCTCATTTTTACCACAAGCAATGCTTCCTAATAACAGAGTTGATATTTTATATTTGCTGGGTTTTCAGGAGTATATAAAAAAATATGTTTATCTGGGAATAAAATTCCCATGCAGAAGGGGAACAGTTATCTTTCACTCTGGTTTGTTTGTTGGTTTAAGACAGAGTCTCTCTCTGTCTCCCAGGCTGGAGTACAGTGCCACCATCTTGGCTCACTGCAACCTCCACCTCCTGGATTCAAGTGATTCTCCCACCTCAGCCTCCCGAATGGCTTGGATTACAGGTGCACGTCACCACAGTGGGCTAAGTTTTGTATTTTTAGTAGAGATGGGTTTTCGCCATGTTGGCCTGGCCAGTCTCAAACTCTTGGCCTTAGGTGATCTGCCCGCCTTGGCCTCCCAAAGTGCTGGGATTCCAGGAATAAGCCACCACTTCTGGCTCTTTTATTCTCTATAGGTATAGTGAAAATGTTGTATTTTACCTCTTTGCTTTTTCTCCAGAAGCCCTCTCTCTAGTCTTCCAAAAACATGCACATCCATGGGAACACATGCACACACAAATACACACACTCATGCCTGCACATCCAATCTGTCATATTTTCCTCCACCACTCAAAATTGTCTAAAAATCCTTCTTAGTAAAAGCTTTCTTTCTACAATTTCACTATTTTGCAATTCTACTAAGTTAAATGAGTATATGATACATGTTACTGATTTTGAACTTGTACTTAGTTCTCTCAGTGTTCTGATTTTCTATTTCCCATCCTTTCCTTATAATTCATTTCTCCTACCCTGGAAAGCAATCTTCTATGGACATATATACTTGTGTATTGATTATAGACTTTGTCCATTTGATCTGTATTTATCCAGTTATTGCCCACTTGGTCAGTCCCTCTTCTATGTGCTAAGTAAATACGTGTCCTTTCTGTTGTGGAGGCTGGCTGTTTGAATATAATGAACCTAATTTCTTTCTAAAATTGTTTGATAAAAATTGTTATAAAAGATTTATGCCTGGGTAATAAAATAGAAAATGAAAACTGGAAACTAAGGAAAAATGTACCCAAATGTGTTAAACATAAGGATTAAAATAATTGCTATAATTATACCACAGATTTAATTCTGAGTCTCCTAGAATGCAGCTGGAAAAAAAATATATAGTGTCACAATGTATATTAAAAGAAAAAAGCAAAACAGTTTTTTCTGAGAAAACAAAGTTTTGGTTTTATTTTGAGGTGGTTTTTTGTTAGTAAATCCTAAAATAAATTTCTTTCCAGAAGCATTATATAGGTAATTCTGTTGCAAAAGTTAACTGTTAACATATATTTTCTAATATAGCAACGGAAGTAGACATAGGTACCATTCAGTTGTTTCTTAAAACAATTTTGAATAATAAGTTGAGCAATATATAAATGTACAAGTTAGCAAATTGTGGTGATTCTATAAAGGCCTAAATGAGTATGGTACTCATATATAGTTATTTCATTTCTACATAGAGCCTAGAATAGGACCAAAAGCACCAGGAGGAGACAAATGGTATCTCTCCTTCAAAATCCTTCCCCAAATGAAATTCATCTCAGCCAAATGAAGAGTAGGTGATGCAAAGTCATCTATATGTTTCGATAATCTGATGAGTACAGTGGAGTTGCTTACTGATGCCTGAGAAGAGATCTGTATATTCTAGAAACCAAGAGAACAGGTGGTAGAGTTTACATTTTGCTAATTAAAAAAAATTAGCTAATGTTATCTCATAGAACATCTATATGAAGGTGCAGCTCAGAAGTAATTCCACACATGAACAAGATTTTCCTTTGGAAAAATTCTTGGCCTCGATTGAGCACTTGATCAACAAAGTTTCTGAATGAACTCCCAAAGACCAGCCTCATGGATCATGGGAGTTTATTTAACCAAGAAATGTTTTGATATAGGGTGCTTCTACTCATGACCCCATAGACTGGGGCAAACTCTGGTTGTTCCCCTTTTAACACCTGCAAGCCAGAATTAATTAGCTACAAAATGTACTCTCTGATCAGAAAACTAGTTTCCTTGCAAGGTAGAGTTATCCATTAGTGACTTTTCATTTATTGAAGAACACATGCCATAGGAAATATTATTTGTTTAGTTTTCTTTTTAAAAAAATTTATGTTGTAGAATTCTTTATGGCAGTAGTTGAATGGCAAAGGCCAATTATCTTTTGATTTTGTTACTGTCTCATGATAGTGATCAATATTGCCAGTATATAGGAGCATATGTCTCCTGTTCTATAAGGATTGGGGGCATAAGTTCAGTTCATCTAAGAAGACTATCAAACAGTAAAGTTATAAAATAAAATTAAAGGACAAGGGTAGTGCTGATTGTCATTCTTCTTTGCCCTACTCCTTGTGGTGTTATAAAAGCACACATTTTACAATGTGCAGCAAAAATCAAGAATATATATCAAGGCCACAAATCTTGTCTTTTTAGCAGTGCCAAAGTGGGTGAAAAAAAATTACCCTATACTGTTACATGAGCTACTCATTTGGAATACAAATAAATCATTTTGCATTAAAACATAGATTGCAGTCACTCAGAAGCAAAGCTGGTTTTGTCTGTTGGACTTGGGAAAAATAAATCAAGAATAATATGGAAAAAAAAGATCTAGATTAGTCACAGCTGATCTCTTCTATAGTGAATTTAATTTACTCAGCAGTGTAATTCTCGGAAAGCCTTGGGAAACGGTTATTTTCATCAAACTGCATTTCTGTATTTTACTAGGTTAGTTACCTAACTTTAAAAGGTTAATAAAAATTATGATCTCTTAGGTAAAACTGAGGAAAATACACACAGGATTTAAGAGGCTTGCCCATACAAAAGAAGAGGCATTTTCACTTTCACTTTTGTCAATGCTTCTATTAGACAGGGACGTTTTATCTGTTTGCTATGCTCATATCCCAATCTCTAGATTTTTGAAAGCCCTATTATGCAGTGATTATTCTGCATTAAGTCAGTGTTCTCCATGAATCAGAACTCCTACCGTTCTACTGTTTCTTCCCTTCCCCATTACCCCATCATGACTAACTTTAACAAACAGGAGAGAGATGGATTGAGAAAGCATTCAGTAACTTACTTATTCACCTGTTTGTCCCACAGATATTTGTTGAATGCATACCACATACGAGACACTGCTATTTGCTAGGGATAAAGCAAGAATAAGACAGATATGTGTCTTTGTCTGTATGGAGCTTAGAAGGTAGTGAAATAAAAGAACAAATCCTAAAACAAAACTATCAGGGTGGTGAGTGCACCATATAGCATAATTTCAGGTGCTTGGGGAAGAGGGAGCAGGGACCATGGAAGGGCTTCTTAAAGAAGGTGACATTTAGGCTGATCTAAGACTGGAATAATGAGAAGGAATTATTAAATCATCTTATTCTGTAATCTACATGTATGCAAAGATAACTTATATATGAAAAAATTCAAATGTTTCTATCCGTCAGTTTATGCTTCCAAGTGTCCCATCCCACAAAGATGACTCAGCATAAACAATAAAGGAATGGTGTCAACAGCTGGCTTCTTATTCAGAGGTTTTGCTCTCCTGGGAGCATTGAATATTTGAAACTTTTTGTTTACCTTTAATATTACCCTCAGCTCTTTATCTTTAAAAAAAAAAAAGCCTAAAGTGTTGCTTGTGATTACTGAGAATTTTCGTTTGTTTGTTTCACCGCTTTCCTGTAACTTCTACCTTCACTTTTGAGCAGCAGTTCTTAATCTAGATTATCGTTCAAGGAACTCATAACTTTGATGGGAAAAAATTGCATCTTTACCACCTTCATCTTTACTTCACTAACCTCTAACCTCTAAATAAATGTAACATTTCCTTCATCATGAAAACAGGCAACAAACCATGGAAGCATTAGCAGTGCTTATGACTTCATCATCAATAAAAACCAAAGATATTTTCCTATCACAGTAGAGCTATTACATATACTTCAAATATTTTTTTCACCAATACTTAAAAATTACAGTGGCTATTAGAACTGCCACTAGATGATATGCAATTGTGATCTTTCTACTTACAGCCACTCAGGATACATGGCTAGCCAACTACTTGGCATCTAGACGTCATTCCATCACCAAAATGGTGGCAATCTTATGTTGGTGGTCCAGGCATCTACTCCGCTTTCTGATATTTTCTATCTACAATTGTTTATTCATCAAGACATGGACAGATGTAAGTCATCTTCGTTACTGTTTCAAGTTTCCCAAAACTGGACAATTCCAATGAGATTGCTTAAATTACTGTAAGATGTACCCTTTTGTAAAGTGACATAGGAGTGTGTCAACAACCTTCACCCTGACCTACCTCTTAATAAATTTTAACTGTAATTTGCCTATATTTAAATTGTCTTGATCTATTCAGCTGCTGTAACAAAAATGCCATAAATTAGATGGCTTATACACAATAGAAATTTGTTGCTCATAGTTCTGAAGGCTGGAAAGTTCAAAATCAAGACACCACCAGAATCAATGTCTAATGAAGGTTTACTTTCTCCTTCATAGGATACATCTCACTGAATCCTCAAATGGTGGAAGGGGCTAGCTATCTCTCTGGGGTCTCTTTTATAAAGGCACGAATCCCATTCATGAAGGTGGAGACCTAATGACCTAATCAACTCCCCAATGCCCCAACTTCTAATACTATAACATTGAAGATTAAATGAATTTGGAGGAGACACAAACATTCAAACCACAGCATAAATGTGCTGTCATATTATATAATGTTAATGAAAATTCATTTTTTATATTTTTATAATTAGACTATCATGAATTTCCTTTGTAATTTTACATGCATTCTTTTTATTTTATACACTTAGAAACATTTCTTCCTTCTGGGAAGCAATGTATAGGTCTCATACCAAATTGCCAATGGAACTACAAAGTTAAGAATCTCTGCTTTAGAGTAATGCTCTCCTGATTGGTTACTTTGAAATTATATGTTGAATTATAATGCTTAAAGGAGCCTTTATGGAGCTTCCAGAAGGACAGTATTGGCCTTGTACTGGTAAAACTTGTATACTTAGGTAAAGAACATAGTAAAGGTGGCCTCTTCTAATTTATATTTGATCATATTTCTGCTTTCATGCAGATAAACAATTATCAACCTGGTTTGGGGAGGTGCCTACATTTTTGTTGAAGTATAACACACATACAGAAACGTGCACAAATTGTACATTTATGTACACAAATCATAAAATATAAATAATCACAAAATAAACATGCCATATAACTACCATCCAAGTTAAGAAATAGAACATTCTAACACCCCAAAATTCCCCTTCATGCACCTTCCCAATCACTACTCTCCCTCAAAGGCTACCACTCTCTTGACTTCTAAAACTATAAATTAGTTTTGCCTATAGTGAACTTTATATAAATAAAAATAGCCATAAGATTCAGCAATGTTTATGTGCGTAGCTATAGACTAGTCATTATTGGTGCTATATGGTATTTCATAGTATAAATATACAACATTTTACTTTTAAATGAACATACCATCTGTTTTATTATGGATGGACAATTGGATTGTTTCCATTTGGTGGCCATTACAAATAATGTTTCTGTGAACATTATCATCATGTCTTCTGGAGTACATGAGAATGACTAATAAGTATGCAAATATTCAATTTTAGTAGATAAGTCAAACAGTTTTCTAAAGCAACTGTACCAATTTGCATGCCATCAACAATGTATGAAAGTTACAGTAGTTCCACACCTTCACCAGTATGTAGTATTATCAATCTTATTTTTAGCTATTCTGAGGTATAGTGGCATCTAATTGCTGTTTTAATAACATGTAATATAAAAGACATAAGACAGAAGTTAACATACCAATTCTCCAAAAAACATGTTTCAATTTCTAACAGCCCTCATGGGCAAAAGTTTTTTATTAAATACACGATGCTTATGTAAAAAAAAAGACAAATTTTCTCTTACATTTTGTGTCATTGAAAAAAAGGAGAGTCTAAATTACTGGATTTTTATCTACTATTCTCTGTAAGAACTTAATGATAATGAATACCCGCATGATGCCTGATCCCCCGGATCTCACAGTCAGGAAAGAGATGCAGTCAACGAACAGGCGTTAACAAGGCAGTCTGATAAGCACTTATGGACGCATATAGGGTGGCACTGATCCTGTCTCAGGAGGTCTGGAAATTGAGTCTAAGTTTAGACATAAAGAAAAAGTAAGCTCCAGATGGGTGCACAAGTGAGGATAAGGTAATTAACGACAAAGGGAACAGCTTATAAAAAGGTCTAAGCGCATGGCTGAAGCCCAAAGTGAATGACAGTAAGAAGTATCTGAAGATAAGACTAGAGAGCTTGCCAGGGGCTGGATTACTGGGGCATCTGTAAGCCACATAAGGAATATGAACTTTATTATTCGGGGTGCTACAAGAAGATTTCTTGAAAACAAGTTATGTGACCAGATTTGCAATTTACAAAGAGTTTTCTGGCTACAATATGTAGAATACATTGCTGTGACAAGCAGATAGACCCAGAAGTGGGGGTGCTAATTTGGAGGCTGCGGCAACAATGTGGGAGAGACATGATAGGGTCATTTAGGGATATCTATTAGTAGAGTGGCAGTATGAATGGGATCTTAGGGAGTAGGTCCAAGATTAAGGGATGACTTCAAGATAAAATCAACAGAACGTAATGATGGAGTCAAAATTTGATGGAAAAAGAATAAGAAGCCAAGAATGACCCACAAGGGATTTCAAAAAGATGGCAGCCTGTCATCCCCTCCTCCCCCACCATCATGACCACCAATTCCCTGAGACACTAACATAAATGAAATAAATAAGATGGAATGTGAATATATCTCAAGTGCAGCTGAGGTCAAAAGTTTTAGAAAACTGGCATGGGGGGTTGGCATGCACAGTGGGAGAGACTCTGTGAGGTTGCTTAGGCTCATGGGCACAGGCACCTAACTTATCCATTATTTCTGCAACCACATCATGCTGGATGTTGCTAGATCCCTCAGTGCCACAGCCTAGCATAAAAAATGGCCCAGTGAGTGACAGAATTGTAGGTGCCTTTAAGTAGGTGATGACATATGTTTATCACAGCACAATTCACAATTGCAAAACATGAAATCAACCTAAGTGCCCATAAATCAAAGAGTGGATAAAGAAAATGTGGTATATATGCCATGGAATACTCTTCAGCCACAAAAAAAAAGAATAAAATAATGTGTTTTGCAGCAACCTGAATGGAACTGGAGGCATTATTTTGTTTGTTTGTTTGTTTGTTTTTTCTTTTAAGTTCTGGGATACATGTGCAGAATGTGCAGGTTTGTTACACAGGTATACATGTGCCATGGTGGTTTGTTGCACCTATCAACCCATCATCTAGGTTCTAAGCCCCACATGCATTAGGTATTTGTTCTAATGCTCTCCCTCCCCTTGCCCCCCACTCCCCAACAGGCTCCAGTGTATGTTGTTCCCCTCCCTGTGTCCATGTGTTCACATTGTTCAACTCCCACTTATGAGTGAGAACATGTGGTATTTGGTCTTCTATTCCTGTGTAGTTTGCTGAGGATGATGGCTTCCAGCTTCACCCATGTCCTTGCAAAGGACATAATCTCATTCTTTTGTATGGCTGCATAGTATTCCATGGTGTACATATGCCACATTTTCTCTATCCAGTCTATCATTGACGGGAATTTGGGTTGGTTCCAAGTCTTTGCTATTGTAAATAGTGTTGCAATAAACATACGTATGCATGTGTCTTTATAGTAGAATGATTTATAATCCTTTGGGTATATACCCAGTAATGGGATTGCTGGGTCAAATGGTATTTCCTTGGTTCTAGATCCTTGAGGAATCACCACAATGTCTTCCATAATGGTTGAACTAATTTACACTCCCACCAACAATGTAAAAGCGTTCCTATTTCTCTACAGCCTTGCCAGCATCTATTGTTTCCTGACTTTTTAATAATTGCCATGCTAACTGGCATGAGACGGTATCTCATTGTGGTTTTGACTTGCATTTTTCTAATGATCAGTGATGATGAGCTTTTATTCATATATTTGTTGGCTGTGTAAATGTCTTCATTTGATAAGTGTCCATTCATATCCTTCGCCCACTTTTTGAGGGGGTTGTTTGTCTCTTATTGTAAATTTAAGTTCCTTGTAGATTCTAGATATTAGACCTTTGTCAGACAGGTAGATTGCAAAAATTTCTCCCATTCTGTAGGTTGCCTGTTCACTCTGATGATAGTTTCTTTTGCTGTGCAGAAGCTCTTTAGTTTAATTAGATCCCATTTGTCAATTTTTGCTTTTGTTGCAATTGCTTTTCGTGTTTTATCATGAAGTCTTTGCCCATGTCTATGTCCTGAATGGTATTGCCTAGGTTTTCTTCTAGGGTTTTGATGGTTTTGGGTTTTACACTTAAGTCTTTGATCCATCTTGAGTTAATTTTTATAAGGTATATGGAAGGGGTCCAGTTTCTGTTTTCTGCATATGGCTAGCCAGTTTTCCTAAGACCATTTATTAAATAGGGAATCCTTTCCCTATTTCTTGTTTTTGTCAGGTTTGTCAAAGATCAGATGGTTGTATGTTGTGGGAAGTCAGGGACCCCAAACGGAGGGACCAGCTGAAGCCATGGCAGAAGAACATGGATTGTGAAGATTTCATGGACATTTATTAGTTCCCCAAATTAATACTTTTATAATTTCTTATGCCTGTCTTTACTGCAATCTCTAAACATAAACTGTGAAGAGTCCATGGACACTTATCACTTCCCCAATCAATACCCTTGTGATTTCTTATGCCTGTCTTTACTTTAATCTCTTAATACTGTCATCTCGTAAGTCGGGGAGGATGTATGTCACCTCAGGACCCTGTGATAATTGCGTTACCTGCCCAAATTGTAGAGCATGTGTGTTTGAACAATATGAAATCTGGGCACCTTGAAAAAAGAACTGGATAACAGCAATTGTTCAGGGAATAAGAGAGGTAACCTTAAACTCTAACCGCCGGTGAGCCAGGTGGAACAGAGCCATATTTCTCTTCTTTCAAAAGCAAATGGGAGAAATATCACTGAATTCTTTTTCTCAGCAAGGAACATCCCTGGGAAAGAGAATACGCGCCTGGGGGTGGGTCTATAGATGGCCCCCTTGGGTGTGGCTGTCTTCTATGGTTGAAACTATAGGGATGAAATAAACCCCAGTCTCCCATAGTGCTCCCAGGCTTATTAGGAAGAGGAAATTCCCACCTAATAAATTTTGGTCAGACCGGTTGCTCTCAAAACCCTGTCTCCTGATAAGATGTTATCAATGACAATGGTGCCCGAAACTTCATTAGCAATTTTAATTTCACCCCGGTCCTGTGGTCCTGTGATCTCGCCCTGCCTCCATTTGCCTTGTGATATTCTATTACCTTGTGAAGTATATGATCTCTGTGACCCACACCTATTTGCACACTCCCTCCCCTTTTGAAAGTCCCTAATAAAAACTTGCTGGTTTTGTGGCTTGTGGGGCATCACGGAACCTACCAACATGTGATGTCTCCCCCAGATGCCCAGCTTTAAAATTTCTCTCTTTTGTATTCTGTCCCTTTATTTCTCAAACCGGCCAACACTTAGGGAAAATAGAAAAAAACCCATATGACTATCGGGGCAGGCTCCCTGATAGTTGTAGATGTGTGGTGTTATTTCTAAGGTTTCTTTTCTGTTCCATTGGACTATATATCTGTTTTGGTACAAGTACCATGCTGTTTTGGTTACTGTAGCCTTGTAGTATAGTTTGAAGTCAGGTAGTGTGATGTCTCCAGCTTTGTTCTTTTTGCTTAGGATTGTCTCAGCTATATGGACTCTTTTGGTTCCATATGAAATTTAAGGTAGTTTTTTCTAATTCTGTGAGGAAACTCAATGGCAGCTTGATGGGAATAGCATTGAATTTATAAATTACTTTGGGCAATATGGCCATTTTCACAATATTGATTCTTCCTATCCATGAGCATGGAATGTTTTTCCATTTGTTTGTATCCTCTTTTATTTCGTTGAGCAGTGGTTTGTAGTTCTCCTTGAAAAGGTCCTTCACATCCCTTGTAAGTTGGATTCCTAGGTATTTTATTCTCTTTGTCGTAATTGTGAATGGGAGTTCACTCATGATTTGGCTCTCTGTTTGTCTGTCCTTGGTATATAAGAATGCTTGTGATTTTTGCACATCGATTTTGTATCCTGAGACTTTGCTGAAGTTGCTTATCAGCTTAAGGAGTTTTGGGGCTGAGACAATAGGGTTTTCTAAATATAAAATCATGTCATCTGCAAACGGAGGCAGTTTGACTTCCTCTCTTCCTATTTGAATACCCTTTTCTTTCTCTTGCCTGATTGCCCTGTGGCGGCCATTATTCTAAGTGAAGTAACTCAGGAAGCAAAAACCAAATACCATTTATAAGTGGGAGCTACACTATGGGCATGCAAAGACATACAGAATGCTATCTGAGACACTGGAGACTCAGAAGAGGGGAGGGTGAGAAGGGAAGGAAGGATGAAAAACTACCTATTGGGTACAATGTACACTAGCCAGGTAATGGGTACAATAAAATTCTAGACTTCACCACTATACAATTCATCCTTGGAACTGAAAACAACTTGTACCCCTAAAGCTACTGAAATTTTTTAAAAGTAAGCAGTGAGGTAGAATGAAGCAGTCACCTCCCTCCTGTGCCAAAAACCAACCTAAATGCAGACATCTCAATGGATTACAGTGAGGTTTTTTGACAACTACAAGGAAAGGTCTTTCTCCTCCCGCCCTCACCCCCCAACTTTCACTTTAAGATATGTAAATTCCCTGAAAATTAGATACAATTTCAGAAAAAGAGGGAAAATACCTAAATCGACTAAGATATCATTTCTGTCAGCCACTAGACTGGTTGTTTAAATGAGAAACTAATTTGTTATGGCACAATGAAGAGTTACTTTTACTACATACTAAATAAAGAAAGTAAGATTTGCATTTCTACACTTTTGGGTGATATTTCTCCAAAATGCTTGCCCACCCATTTGTAGAGTGGATTAGAGATTCTCTAGGCAGGTGTGAGTGAAGGACAACAGGAAAGAAAGTGGGAGAACCTATCAAGAGAGCATAGTTCAATGACAGTCCACAGAATCTAGACTTAATAATAAAGAAAATGAAAATGGAGAGAAGCTAACATGTATAGAAGAATCAGGCAGCCCAAGGAGCTCTTAGAATTCACCATAAGACTAAGGATCAGGAGCAATGGCACTGAATGACAGGTACTGAAAGTGGGTGGTAGGGTTAGAGAGCATAATGTTTATACTGTGGGAATTAAAACCTTGAACTTTGCACAGATATCATAAATTTTAATCCAAGCTCTACCATTTTCTTGCTGTATGATCTTGAATATTTAACCACTCAGCGCCTCACTTTCTCTCTCAGTAAAATGGGGATCAAAATAGTACCTACTTCACAGAGTTGATTTCAAAATTAAATAAAACAATAAATATAAAAATTACAGCTCAGTGCCCTAGTGCAGAGTAAGTGCTTAATCTGTGTTAGGTATTATGGTTGTAAAACAATTACTGTTATGGGATTCAGGGTGACACAGGGTCCACAATGTGAATAAGGAAGTGTATGGCTGATGTGGAAAGACAGTTTAAGGCTTTAAAATTAAAGAAGTCACATCTCACTGTATGCAATTAAAAGTGGCCATGCAGCAGACTGAATGCTTTGCTGCTTAGCTATTTCTTTCACCAGATACCCTAGTTCATTGCTCAGAAGTTCTACATTCCATAAAATCCTAGGACATGGACACAATTCCACCAAGTTCTTTACAACGGTATAGGAAAGATGACATTTATTCCTGTTTCTAATACACTGTGCTTCATTTCCATCTGAGATCTTATCAGAATGACCTTTATTGTCCATATTTCTACCAACATTCTGGCCGGGACTACTTAAGGAATCTCTAAGAAGATTCCAACTTACTCCACTGCTCCTCTTCCAGAAAAGAAGAATGTCTCTTCTTCTTCTGAGCCCTCACTAGAATCACTCTTAATGCTCTATTCACTACAATACAGGTTTTCTCTAGCCTGCTTCTCCAAATTCTTCCAGCCTCTACCCATTACCCAGCTCCAAAGCCACTTCCACATTTTCAGGTATTTGTTATACCACAGCCTCACTTTCCTGTACCTTTTTTTTTTTTTTAGCCAGGGCCTCTCACTGTGTCACCCAGGCTGGAGTGCAGTGGAGTAATCTCGGCTCACTGCAATCTCCACCAACTAGGTTCAAGTAATTCTCCCACCCCAGCCTCCCAAGTAGCTGGGACTATAGGCACATGCCACCACACCCAGCTAATTTTTGTATTTTTGGTAGAAATGGGGTTTCACCATGTTGGTCAGGCTGGTATTGAAGTCCTGACCTCAAGTGATCCACCTGCCTCAGCCTCCCAAAGTACTGGGATTACAGACATGAGCCACCATGTCCGGCCCCAGTTTTCTGTCTTACTCTGTTTTCTGCTGCTGTAACAGGATACCACATACTGAATAATTTATAAAGAACAGAAGTTTATTGGGCTCATAGCTCTGGAGGCTAAGAAGTCCAAAAGCATGCCATTAGCATCTGGTGAGGATCATCCCATAGAAGAAGGCATCACACAGCAAGTGTGAGAGACAGAGAGAGGAAATAAGGTCAAATTCATCCTTCTATCATGAGCCCACTCCCACAGTAATGGCATTGATTCATTTGTGATGGTAGGGCCCTCATAACATAATCACCTCTTAAAGTTTCCACCTCCCAACATTGCTGCATTGGGGATTAAGGTTCCAGCACATGAACTGTGGAGTGCATATTCAAACCACAGTAAATGGGGCCCTGTAAACTCTGAAGTCATTTGGCACAATGGCATAAATTGAGGCAGAGAGGAATTTTGTAAGTGGGATGCCCAAAGTGTTTTAGCCAACAGACAGTAGCCATATAATCAGCAATAATCATGTGGAAGAGTATGAACATCAAAGAGGTAGATTTTTTTTTTCATGCAGGTGGAAAAATGAGGATTCAGAAATGACATTGGAAGCTAAAATGTGTGAACTTCACCAGGAAGATGAGATTGGTTTATGATGGTTTGACTTGGGAATTTTCAACTTAATGATGGTGCAAAAGCAATACTCATTCAATAGAAACTGTATTTTGAGTACTCCCACAACCATTCACTTGAGAAAGATACAAGAGGAAAGGTCCTCAAGAACTAGGTTTAAGTTGAAGCAATAATGGGACAAAGCATTCCAGAAAGTAGAAGACACAGTGGTAAGCTTTGTTTACTATGGACAAGAGCCTCAGAGGGCCCCTGGAAAGGTTTTCAAGGGAAAAAATAAGCAGGAGAAATGGTAATTATTGAGGAAGACCTGAGCAGTGGCATTCATCAGAAGCATTCTGCAGGGACCAAACAGGATCCTACAGGTGACAAGATCTTTTTAAATGAATTGGTTAGACTTTTCTGTACTGTTGGGGCTGAAAAGACAAAAATGAATACATCAGATTCACACTTTTTAATATTTAATTAGAGGAAATTTGAAATGTTAATTAACAAATCAGCATGCAGATGATCCTTGACTTATAATTGGGTTACATCACCAAAAAAACCCATTGTAAGTTGAAAATACCAAAAAAGTTGAAAATGCATTTAACACATCTAACCTACTAAACATCATATCTTAGCCTAGCCTTCCTTAAACATTCTCAGAACACTTGCATTAGCCTACGGTTGGTCAAAATCATCATCTGAAACAAAGGATATTTTATAATAAAATTTTGAAGAACTCATGTAATTTGTTGAATACTGTGCTAAAAAATGAAAAAACAGAATGGTTGTGAGGGTACTTAAAATACAGTTTCTATTGAACGAGTATTGCTTTCACACCATCAAGTTGAAAATTCTCAAGTCAAACCATCATAAGTCATAGACCATCTCTATGCAATAATACTTGTTCAAAACTCCCACTCTACAACATCTCAATAAAACCCTAGAAACTTTCCTAATTAAATAATTCTATTGTTATACCTCAAAAGCACCAGAAATTACCTAGGTATATCCTATTAATGACAAGCATTAAATACTTTGCTTGCTGAATCCCTAGAGCTGTAAGGCAATGATTGTTTTTAGAAAATCACTTTAGATGTCTCACTTCCTTCCATTTAAAAAATTTGGTGTTTAGACTGCCTTTGAGCATACCTCACATCTGTTGAGAGGTCTTTGTGTTGTCCAGGACATAGACTCATCTTGGTGTCCTAGACATCCTTTAAGGAAACTGAAGAAATCTGTCTGTCTGAAAGAGAAGTTGCCAAAGCCAACTTCAACTGTGGCTTAGCCTCAAATTCAAATTCAAAGAGTTTTCCAAACAGTAGAGTTGATGTTGCCAAGGCCAAACACTGAGTGTAAAATAAAAGAAAAATCCATAATGAGGGATACAAATGAAGATAAAATCATTGTGTCAGGAAAAATAAATAAGACAGTTATGGAGAGGAGTTGTGATAGGATCTGTTTCCTATTCAGATTCATTATTTTGCTGTCTCCAGTCAAACAACACAAAGGTGAGAGATCTTTAAGCCTTGTGTAGCAGAGACAAATTTTTTAAAAAGTAAGAAGCAGTGCAGACATCTGTCTGCCAGGACAAGCAACTTCAGACCAGGGGAAACTCTCTTCAGCTCATTCAGACATTTGGAATAAATTACTGGCTGCCAGCTGGAAATAACTTCTTGGGAAGGATTTCCTGAGACACTAATATTATGCTCAGAAATTCAATGGCACTGAACAAAGAGAATACTGTTGTGGGGTTCTACCATGACTCTGGTGCACCTGGGCACTCTACTGGGATGCCAAGGCCCTTCCAGCCACCATTTGATGTTGCAGGGGTCTACCTCAGTGAGCATAATGAACTATTGCATTTGCACTTGGTTTAGAAGACACAAGGGGTTATCCATTAATAAACAACCTTACCATTGGCTGATCATGATTCACACTAAATCCAGAAGAATTTATAAAACAGTTATCTAATTCAGATTCCAGCCCATCTTCCAACTTCTTAAAAATGTACATGGATATGGATGTTCTGGAGTGGGATCATTCTTGCTATTCATTCAAAACTCAGGCCCTCAACTGGTACAAGTTCCTCGCTCTAGACTATAAGCCTTGCACATGACCACCACCTTCTCTAATGTCTGGTGAAACAAACACTTCCCAAAAGGGGATTCTCTCTCTCACTCCCTTCCGGTCCTGGCAGAGAGTTGTACCAAATTCACAGCATTTTTCATGTGAAAAAGTGTTTTACAAAACAATAACAAAAGATAGGTTTCGTATCTACATATATGTATATTTATATATGTATGTTTGTACACTTGCACACATATACATATATCTTTATATAATTCCACTAATTTGAAGGAAGACATGGTATGTAGTTAATATGGATTATTTGTGGGAAAAGGAGGGATGGGACAGCAAATTTCTGTGGGGGAAAAAGTAAGAGAGTCAAAACAAATAGTTTTTTTAGTGTATAAAAAAAATTGTTAATCATTATCATGTGACTCATGCATGTAAATTATTCTATACCCATCAAATGGACCTTATCTTCAATGTCTTGGATGCAGACTTGCAAGATGCCCCTACACTTCCTTGAATTAATGCAGCAATATGCTTTTGTTTATCTAGGGCCTTCTTTGATCCGTGATGTCTACTGAGTTTCATAAACGGCTTTAGTTATCTAATGCTACTTGGATGAGGATGTGGATGAAGCCAAAGGATCTTCAGGAACTGGCTTTTTTCCTGCTAGAAAACTCTATGTTCCATGCATACCTCCCAGATATGTAGCAGGAATGACCCTCTCCTGGAAGCACCTTGGCATCTTTAGGAGTTGTTTCTCTCAGGGTTCCTTCATAGTCTTCCAAGTACCGTACAAATATTTATCTAATTACACCAGCACTTCCAAAACTGTTTGGATCCCACTGTTCCTCTTCATCAACCAATGAAACATAACCTCACTTTAGAAAAACCTTATGTAATGTATTCCAATGGGATGAACCTGAGGAAAGCTGCCTTACCTTCCTTAGCCAAATGTAACTGATGATACCCACTCCCTAAAATTAAACACAACACTAAAAGCTACCACTTCTCGCTCCTTGGCAATGGGTATCCTGAGCTCAAGTCATGGTGTCCCCAATCTTATTCCTTTCATTCAGTTCAGAATAACCCATATTTATCAGGTACACAAAAAGATTTTGAAATACCAATATATGTTTTCTTGATTCATAGATTAATGAAAATTCATCCTCTAAATAATGATCTTAAATTTTTATAGCATTACAATTCTATTCAGTGCTTCACATCTTTTGTACAATCTATGTCCCATTTATGGAGAGAGGAGGCCTTTCTCCTCTTGTTTAAATTAAGTTCTAGCCCCACCTTCATTCCCCACTTCTGGGTTGGGCAAATAAGAAGCTGTTTCCTTCTCCTCCTTCTATTTGTAGCTTCATGCTGGTACTTGGGTAATATATCAGGGGAGTAGATACACACTGCTCCTCAGTGTGCCTGTAGCAAAATTGGCTGACTACCTAGGAGAGGCTCACATTGTTCACAATGAACACACCTATTTCTAACTGGTCTGTAGAAATTTGAGCACACTATCTCAGATGTGTGCCTAATTAACTCACTCCCTCAGTTCCCTTTGGAAATTCCAATTCACAATATGCCCAAGATACAGAGTGATCTCTGACTTTAAAAATTATAGTATATTAGAATCCACTGTCCAATATTGCTTAGCACAACCCTACCTAGTGTAGCCTATGGCTCCACACGTCTCTTGGGAAATATCCTGATAATTCTGGATCATAATTCCAAGCAAAAGGTCCCAGATAGTTTTAGCAAGGCTTAATCTAACAGTACAGTGCCCTGAAGATACTGGCCTTAGAACCAAGCTCACTTTCCAAATGCCCCTAATTTTTCTGCAACCTTTTCAACATTAAACTATGATTCCCCAGGCACATGCAGTGCTCCATTAAATGTATATTTTTCTTATAATGGTTACAGAAATAAGCCCTTATTGCTGAAGAAAGCACTCTGAACTCGCTTAGGGACGTTTCTCTCCTAACGCCTCAAAAAATTCAGTTCTCACTCTCCAGTTTTTTTCACAGGATACTCATATTTCAACTTGACTCCACACATCTTCTACATTGACCACTAGGCCTTGAGCTCTGTCAAGGGACCCCATCTCTTCTACTCAATTCTGGATTTTTGCCAATTTTTAGGAGCCTCAGCCTTTTCTGGTTCTACTCAATCTAATTGTAATAACAGGAAAACTGTGGAAGGCCCTGCTGCTGTCAGTTTGCTGACAGAGCTTGGCTATATTTGACTTTCAACATTGGATTCATCCTTATTCACTTCTCCGTACAAGTTCCCTGGGCCATTTGTCTACTACCTTAAGTAGAACTTTTTTTTCTAATTTCAAAAAATTAGAAGTCTTTTATCTCACTTTGCTGGATAGTGAAAATATTGGCATGCATTTCCTAAAATTCACACAACTTTTTTTAACTTTTGCCAAACAGATGGTTGAAAAAGGGTACCCCACGGTTGTTATATTTTGTATTTTCATGATTATGAGTGAGAACAAGCACGATTTTTCCTGGCTGTTATGTTTATTTTTCAGTAAATGAATATATATCCATAGCCTTTGCCCATATTTCTATTGAGTTGTCGTATTTCTTACTTTGAATTAGTGTATTGATTGTTGGCAAGGATACAGAAAAACTAGAACAGGTACACACTGATTGTGAAAATATAAATTGCCCCATGTGCTTTGGAAAGCAATTTAGCTATACCTTCTAAACTTAAACATGAGTGTCTACCATGAGCCAGCAGTTCTATTCTTGGAATCTATCTTGAAGAAAAATCTCCTCATGTTCTTAAGGAGATACATAATGGATATTCATTACAGTAGTCTTTGGATAGCAAAACTATGGAAATGAATAAATTTCCAATTAATCAAAAAACATAGTTAAATAAATTATTTGTTCCACATTTGAAGACAAAAAATTGATATCTAGAATATATAAAGATAAAATAATTCATTAGATTATCTTTGAAAAAATCATAATCCTATACATAAAACTAAATCCCTCTTTTATTACCACTCCAAATCCTAGGTCTCTTTGAAGAGGCAACCACTATGTACCACGTTTGTAGCCTTTTTTCCACTTTTCTACTGGTTTTCTTTCTTTCTCTTTTCTGGTTGTCTGTTTGAGCTGCTATAACAAAACATCATAGACTAAGTGGCTTATAAACAACACAAATGTATTTCTCACAGTTCTGAAAGCTGGGAAGTCCAAGATCAAGACAGATTTGATGTCTGCCAAGGGCCTACTTCCTGGACTGCCTTCTCATTGTAACTTCTCATGGTGAAAAAGGCAAGCTATCTGTCTGCAATTCCTTTAATAAGGCCACTAATCCCACTCACAAGGACTCCTCTGCCCTCATTACCCAATCACGTTCCAAAGGCTCTACCTTCTATTACCTTCACCTTGTGGATTTTGAGAGGACACAAACATTCAGGCCATACCACTTCTCAACTTATAGAAATTTTATATACTCTTAATATGAATCCAATTTTAGTTTATATACATTGCAAACATTTTCTCCTATTGTGTTGCTTATTATGAAGAAGCTTCTAATTTTGACATCAAATTTATATTTATCAATCTTAATCACTCTTGTGCCTTGATTAATATGGCTTATGCTATTCTAAGTCATAATCATAGTCATATGTTTTCTATCATTACTTTTATACTTCAGGATTTTGATATAAAAATCCTTATCACACATAGAATTTCTGTGAATAGCATCTACTAGACATATAACCTGACTTCTTTCCTAATGAATAACCAATTTCCACAAAACTACTTGTTGAATACTTTGTATTTTCTCCACTGATTTGAAATGCCAACTTTGCCATACAAATATGCCTGGGACATTTCTGCTGTTTTATCCTATCACCCTAATCCATTACATTTCTAAAAAAAAAAAAAACAACATCTCAAAACAAGCAGGAAAACATTGGCTAAAATTCAAAGCCCATTTGTTTCAAACACAATCTTAAATTAGTATTAGAATAATCTCTTATTCTGCATCATTCATAGTAGTTTCACTTCACTGAACTCAAACTGACACAATAGTTTTAATTAGGGTGTACTTCCTGGGATAATCCAGTTGTACAATGTATATTAGACTCTATCATGAGAAACATAAGGAGCCAATGACACTGGAGCACATAGTAAAAAGAGCAGCAGAATAAGGGAGACCGATTAATAAGAAGCTGTTGTTTCTGTTCTACAGATGAGAAAGCTAAGGTACAGGGAAGTTATGTAACTTGCCCAAAGTCATATAGTAAGAAGGTGGCAGAGCATATATTTAGACATTAGCAGTTGGAGTCCAGAACTTATGTACTTAACCACTACTAACATGACTTCCAAATGGAATGAAATTAAACATTTGTGAGTCCAGATTCATATTTTAGATGTCCCTAAATATTATTCAAAACACGTCTGTTTACCTATATTTTCCTACTTAGCTTTATAGGAACAACCAAGCAATTTCTGCATGACTACAATTTTAAATGTCATAGAACTTTATGTATTACCCAAATTATTATGAGACATAGATAATAGAACAAATTAATAATGAAGAAAATTATTCCACTTCCAATATTAAGCAGATTATCCACTTACAATGATGTTACAATTACAAAGTAATATTTTTATGTAATGATTAGCACATATCTAATACCTATGGAATAATAACCTTGTCTTATGACAACTGAGATACTGAAGCTACATGTTAGAAAATATGTATTTAGTTATTAGCATGGTTCCTATCAAATTCTTGGTAACTGGGATATAGTAGCCGTGATCATTACAAATAAAGTCACTCTAAAAGATAAGCAAAGTAAGCATGGCATATGCTGTTCTTAAAGACAAAAACTGTAAAAGAAAACTAAAGTTGAAAAGCATTAGCCTTTCTTGAATCATACTTAGTTTTGGAATGTTCTCAAGGTTCTAAAACATCTACAGCAAAGAAGAGCAGAAGCAAAACAATATATAATTAGATTCTGTGTGATTGGATAGTAAAAAGATATAAATGTCTTTCAACTGTAAATTCCTAAAGGGGAAAGAATGCAGCTGAAGAAAGTTTCAGAAAAATATAGTTCTGGTATCAGACTATGTCCTATAATCTTTGTTTTAACCTCCATTTATAACAGAGAGAATTATGGAAACATTTTTAATATAATCAATATGATCAGGTTCAATGGACTCTGGAATAAGGAAAGGGTTTTCATAATACTAAGAAACTATTTTAGTACCCCAAATAACTTCCTAGATTTGCACAAATCAAAATAAGCCTATAAGTCTCTAGTGTACTTAGGCAATCGTGATTCCATAATGAAGGGATCTGAAGCATCAGGTGGCCAATGCTTAATGTACAATCCTTTTGTTTTTTGAGATGGAGTCTCGTTTGTCACACAGGCTGGAGTGCAGTGGGGCAATCTTGGCTTACTGCAAACTCTGCCTCCCCGGCTCAAGCAATTTTTGTGCTTCAGCCTCCTTAGTAGCTGGAATTACAGGTACACATCACCACCCCAGCTAATTTTTGTATTTTTAGTAGAGACAGGGTTTCACCATGTTGGCCAGTCTCGAACTCCTGACCTCAAGTGATCTGCCCACCTCGGCCTCCCAAATGCTAGGATTATAGGCATGAGCCACTGTGCCTAGCCTTAATGTACAATCCTTGAGTACTGCAATGATCAGAAAATGAAGTGTAGTCATCAGAACTGTCTTTTAAACATAAGAAAAGATCGGAAGATAGTCAAAATCTTCAAGTAATTTGAAAACATGGTAAAAATGTGAATGCTTTGGGTGGTGGGAGCAACCAACACCTTCTCAACCATGCCAATGATTCTTCATTGAATAAGAATTCTGTTGGTTTCCATGAAAAATATAAATACTAATATTCCCATTTTATTAATGAAGGACCTAAAAGCTCAAATGACCTACTTAAGGTCAGGCAATGAGTCAAAACTAGAAATAGATACTATGTCTGCTGGCACTACTCCTTAAATGAGGAAACAAAAATATCATTTTGAGTTCATTGAAACTTTACTGCTATAAAATTGAAAAAAAAAATCAAAGAGTATGATTTCAAAAAAAGACAATATATATTTTATAGTATGTATAGATTTGTCTTTTGCCATTTTAACTTCAAGGAATATGGCCTTAATTTAGGTTGGAAAGTTTTTCTGAAAGCAGCAGCAACAATTTTCCACCTGGGCAAGTAAATATGCCACGGAGTCACCATTCATCTCAGTCATTCTTTTCCACAGTAAGTGGACATGAAAGAACTAAATGAACATTAAACAAAGCTTGCCATATTCAGTAAATCTCCCCAGGACCTTGAAGACAGATTGAAATAAAGTACTGTCCAGATTCATTTTCTGCATTAACCAACATAAAATAATTAAATAGCAAAACTCCAGGAGGCCCATAGGCCATTATTAACAGATCTGTAGAAATGGAGAGGAAAATATTTGGTAGTGGAGACAGGACTTAACTGCAGGGTAAATTACTTGTGAGTACTGGAGGAGAATCTTTCAAACAGCCCTTCATTCAGCTCAAAAGTTTATTCTTCTTTGTAAAAATAGAATGGTGTGGTGGGTGAGTCCATCCTGCTCCAGAAGTACAAAAGGGAGCATTTTGTCATAGTTGGGCATCAGCAGTCATAACTGTAGCATTGCACAATCTGAGCAAGAACTAATGGAAATAGAAATAAGCAGAGCTGTAGATGTAAACCTGATAAAGATTCTGTGCTTGAATGCTGAACTTTAAGGAATTACTAGTATAAAGAGAAAAAATTCTTCCAATGACCATATCAGCCCTGATGAGAGTGACCAACTGTGACAAACACAAAATTAGGGTACATCTTGGCTCACAGCAATGCCAACACCACCATATTTGTGCTGTTCCACTACTCTGCTGCCCATGATTGGTGAAAATAGAGGTTAAAAACACTAGAAAAAAGTCGGATGAGTCCATGCCTTTCTCCTGAGAATCTGGAGTTCAAACAGAAAGACATGGGGCCCCATGGGGACATGGGCCAACTCATAAAAAGAGCAGCACCCTAACATTGGTTCCATGTACTTCAGTTACTATAGTCCCAGACCCAGCCTTTGCCTCTGCCTCTGAAAACCATAATTCCTTGGTTTGGGGCATGGCCTTTTTTTTTTTTTTTTTTTTTTGGTTTGTGTAGCTACCTCCATTTTCGGCTTGAATTACCCAGAGTCATTTTTTTCTATTGGTTGCAATAAAGCAAGCCTTGCCCAATATAGCTCTACAGTATAAATGTCATGGAATGACGTGAGATATGATTGGGTGTGAGCCACAGAAACAACTGAGCAAATGATGCTAAATGAAATGCCCCACTCCAACCGCAAAGTCCCAAATAGAAGTAGGGAACAAACATTAGTCTTGCTCACTCCTAATTAGGAGATAATTGATAATGAACCAAAAGGCACATAGAAGGTACATTTATATGTAGTTTTTTTGTGTTTGTGCTTAAGTTAATGATTTACAAATTTTATGTACTTTATACTAGAGTTTTGGTCTAGTTCCTCTCGAAGAGTTAATGAAATTTATCCTTCAATGCTTAGAGAGTCCAGATCAAAATGATGCCTAAAACAGATATTGCTATTTGGAGTGTCTATAGTCATGCAGATAATACAGATGTAAAATAAATTAGGTGAGTCTAATGATGAGGACCATGGGGGAGAAAACACAATGAAATGAGATTATGCATTTATTTTAAAACACTCTGAACTGATGGTGATCCTCTTTAATACAAGTGATATGTGGACCCCAAGAGGGCAATGATCTAGTGAATATATATTTGCAAGATAGTTTTCTTAGACATGTGCACCAGTTCAATGTATATTATGCTGGCAAAATACATTTTCAAAACTTACCTTAAGTTTTGAAGGTAAGTTACAAGGATATCAGCCATTCTGTGCAATCATGCTTTCCATAAGTTTTATGGTAAAGCTGACTATTTCATTGCAAGACACAGAATAAAAGTGGAATCGGACTCTTGGAATCCATTAGGAAAATAGTATCAGCACTGTGAAACTGGAACTCATCAAAATTTGTATTTAAGAAATGTCTAGGGTTTTTTCTTAGAGCTTTTATATATTTGTTTTCAATTAACTTTTCCATATAATTGCTGATATATATGCAATATAACTATAGAGGCTTGCTACTTCCCTATGGTTTATATTCTGCAATATACATAGAATTAATTGTCTTGGGTCCTAATTTTGTTTAACTCATATCCTGAATTATTGACATTGCTAAAGTGCAGTTATTGTTCATTTTGGAGAATCTTAGCTAAAAATGTTTCATTATGATAAAGCTTTAATACATAATGTACATAATGATTTTTAATAACCTCAATAAGACCAGAAAAGATTAGAAAAGATCTATAACTGTTTAATTCAACCAAATGGAGATATTATGTTTTGTTTATTGCTCAAATTTTATTTCTTGACAAGATGATTAAAAAATAACTTTTATCTTGCTAATTGTTTAGTGAAATAAATAATATTTCATTTTTTCGGAAAACCTTGTATAATACTAAAGAACAACATTACAAACCATATTTATAAAAACCAAAATGTTGTAACAGTCTGTGAAATGTGGGATGTGATAGGCATATTGTTCAGTTGATGAACTCAACAATGGAAATGCATTTGATAACAGGCATAGTTATTGTTCAAAGATTAATGAAGAAAGTTAAAAATAAAGCCCCACACATTCCTTTCTTCTGATATTTTAATGTAAAAAAGGAGAGAACACAGTTGGGACACTATTGTGTACTTTTTTACCCAAAGATGATGCAGTCATTACTCACAACATTTAACAAATCAAAATTTTAATAATTTACATAATAACCATATTCAGATTTTTCAAAGACCTTTCACATACATCTCATATTGGATACTAAGAAATAAACAATGACTTTCAATAAGTAGTATTTCCACTTTAAAATGAGGAATTTGAAGTTTAAATTATTTAATGTTCTTACCCAAGACTGTGACCAGTAAGTCTTGGGTAAGAACTTATACCCAACTTATACCAGCTGGGATTTATACCTTTCTTTTCTGGCTCTAAAATTCTGTTTTCTTCACTATGTCACATATAGTGTTGCCACAGACAAAAACTTTTTTTTTAACTATCCTTTTGTAATTTCCTTCAAAATCAAGTTATGAGCCGTGAAAGAAGCCTATCTCATTACTATATACCAAAGGTCTCAGATTTTTGTGACAAGTAACTATTTTTCATTTCCAAGAAAACTTCACATTATAAAGATAGGTACACTATTAGTGACAAAAAAATTCCACAGTTGTAGGGAAAGGTAACTCACTCTTTTCATCTAGTGATCCAGTCATTATTTCAATGAGTATTTTTTTTTTTGCCTACTCTGAACACAATATTGCATATAATGGTGAGAATTTAGTAGTGAACAAGACAAAACTATCTCACTGAGCTTACAATGAGTGCAATGGCAAAGTGGAACAAAAATAAGCAATTAAATAAATTCTGATAAGTAATCTGAAGAGGTAATACTGCTTCTAGATGATAATATTGGAAATGTTTTCAAACTATGGAAAGAATAACTGTGCTGTCATCCCAGCCATATAAAATATAAGAAAAGAACAGAGTGTCGAGTCACATAGACATTGAAGCTGCACTCTTTGGACTTCAATATCCTGATTCTTAGCTGGGTGACTTTGGAGAAGTTGCTTAATTTTACAAAACCTCCATGTCTTCTCATGGGGATACCTCAAAAGCATAACCAGGTGGAAAATGCATTGAGAGGAGATCAATGCATTCAAAAAGATCCATAAAATTCATCTGTGGGAAGTGGGGAAGAACCAGCAAGCCTGGAGTTGCCTGGTCCTCCAGTCATCCTAGAATGTAGTTGCTTAGCCAACAGAAGTTGAGAGTGGAAGTTCTGTCCTCTCTCACAGAAAGATAACGCAAAGTGTTACAGAGGAACGACAAAAAGAAACGGAAAAAAGACTCACTGAATGTCAGAGAGAGTTGGGGAAATTTGGCAACCGCTGAGCCATAAAAGTTTCAAGAGATTAAGGAGAAAGATATTTAAGGACATTCTACTCTGTTTAATTAGCTGTATTCCTGTTAATATTCATCTCTGAGAGATCTAAGTAAAACTTGAGTGTTGTGTTTAATTACATTTGTTGGCTGGACAATGTTTATTTGGAAGTTACACAATGTAGAAACTGAACCACATCGGATCATACAAGTTGGTGATACACCCGGGTTGATGTTATAAGATGATTAGCATAGTGCTTCTCACAAAATAAGCACTCAAAAATTAAATGGTATTGTCATTATTCACAATGTATTTCAAATTTACGAAACTTAGAAACTCCTATTTTTATTATTTTTGTCAGAAGACAGAAGAAACTATCTGCACAAATTCTAAGAAAAGCTACAACACATGAACATCAAAGCTCTTTGCTTTCTATAGCTGAAACAAAGAGAAAAAATAAGTAGATTGTGCAGGTTTAATTGTCTAATACAACAAAATAAGTGTGTAGAAGAATAAATGTATTTACCTGGTTCTGAGTGCTGAAAGAAATTAGTCATAAGTCCTCCTTTACATAAGGACTAAACAACATAATGCATAATATCCTTGACAAAAGTTCTACTTGCAAAAAAGTGCAGAGATGCTTCACATACAGCTATTTATCATACCTCTCCCTTTGAAAGCTTTGAGAGCATAATAGGTTTTCTGAAAAGGCAATTCCTCTGGAATATAACTTTCTGGTGATTTGCCTCATCACTGAGATAGATCCTGGGGACATTTTGACCAGTGAGCCTAAACCAGACCTACTGATTCAGAATCTCCAAGGTTGAGGCCCAGTATTACATATTTTTAGAGTTCCCAAGATGACTCTAACTACCAAACAGTATCGGTGAGACTGCTAGTGGCTCCCCTCAGATCCATTCTCTCCTTTGCACTTATAGGAATAGAACCCTTGATTTCTGCTGCACACCTGGCTACCCAGAATAAGAACTAAATTTCTCAGCCCTGTATTTTGTTGCACATCACCATGTGACTAAATTTTATGCAACAGACTGTAATAAGGAGTGATGCCTACCCCCTCTGAACTTGTTGTTACAGGAGAAGCCATGCCAGTTCATCCCTCCCTCATCCTACTGCTGCTTGACTGATGGTATAAAACCTGGAGCTCTGTCATTTACCGTGAAGAAGGAAATAATAAGCAAGGAAAACAGAGAGAAAATTATGAATGGCACCTGGTCTCTGGATAAGATCATCCAGATTCTCATGGACATCCCTGGATTGTAAAAGTAGAATCACATTCTTCACATAAAGAGGATGCTTCTCTGGTCTGCCGGAACAATACTGGCCATTTTATCTAAAATCTGTACATAACCTTAGAAAGAGGAATGTTATCACCCATACCTGACTTAGAATTTTAAATACAAGAATATCCTCTATTAGAAAATTCTTACTGTCTATTTGAACTCCCATAGTATATCTTTATGAAAGTTGTGTAAGTGTCTTAAAAGGTTCAGATCAAGGTTGAGATTAGGTGACTTGACCCCAGACTATGTATTTCTATTAAACCAAATGGAATAGAAAGCCAAAATGCAATAAATGTCAAGAGAAATTTTAAACCACATTTGAGTAGTTTACTATTCAGTAAAGAGATTAAAATTTAAAATTAGTGTCTCTCTCTCTCTCTCCTGCTCTCTCTCTCTCCCTCCCTCCCTCTTGTCTCCTTTCCTCCCCTCTGTTTCTGTGTATTAATGCATCACTCCTATAATTTATAAAGAAAAAAAGCCAACACTTATGGAATATATTTGAAAGGATACTTGGAAAATCTTGTCTCACCAGCCTAGGTGAAATCTTGGCTATTTTCTACAGGACAATACCGTCTTCATCTGGAAATGGATGGATTTAATATGAGAAAATGATGCCTCAAAATATGGCCATTCCATTTCTAAGAGTTAATTTATATTAGTTACACATGGAAGGGGAAAAGTTTGGGTTATTTTTCAAAATTTTTTAAGTCCTGAGAAATTTGACATGTTTTTTACTTTCTAATGCTTCTATGAGTAAAAGAGGTATCCCAAACTAGAAACAAAAAGTCATCACTGGATGTCACCATTGTCAATTCTTTTAGGTATGAATGAGGGAGACTGGATAGCAGTGAAGACTGGACCTCAATATATTTGTTTCTAGCACTAACATTCATGATTCCATGATTCAGCTGAAAGTATAAATTCGAATATGTTTCTTTTAAACTCAAAACAGATGAACAAAAGTAGTCTCATGACATCCCACCAGCCATCATTAAGCTGAATCTTGCACATGGGAAGAACAGGTAGTTGCTTAGCTTCCAAGCCCATCTTCACAAAAGTAGGAGTTGAACTGATGCACGGGAATTGAACTCATTGTAATTCTTAGGTAGGACAAAAAATGGACCTCTCCAGCCTGTGGAAGGTCAGGCATACAACACACAAGATAGTGCCTACAAAGACTTGATATTCACAATGAAAACCAAGTTAATTTTCAAGCCTCATGGCAGTGTCCCCTTAGTATTATTTTTGGTCAGATGTCCTCTAACATAAACCTAAAATTATTTTATAAATTGCTTTTTTGTGAACTTACAAAGAAATAATTTTATTCTAGGTATCAAAGATGTGTATGTGATTTAGCTTACATATTTGAGGAAAACATAGACACTTCATTCAAGGCCTTTCCTTTTTCCTTTTATATTGAAATTTTAACTTTACTTATGAACTCTCAAAAGCTACATTTAATTATTTCTGGTTTTTTGGATTTTTTTTGGCCACTCAACGTTCTCTTTGGCAGGTGGAAATGAAAAAATCTATATCCTATTAAATACTTAAATAGCTAACAAATCGGTGTGGAGAGAGGTGAAATGAAAGAGAGAGCCCAGTTCCAGGGACTCTGCCATGTAAGTTTCCTACTCCCAGAATAAGGACAAAATAGGAAATGCATTTGAAATTGACTGTCAAGGTTCAGAAAGTGTGGTGGAGACAGATGTAGTGTAACTCATTTAATATTTACTCAACAGGACAAGTCAAATAATAATTTTTCTGATTAAATTGTAATTTGAAAAATCATTAAAAATAATTTACCGTTAATACCAACTACAGAGAGCTTTTATTTTTTCCATGAAACATTGTCAATTGCCTTGGCATTGGCAGCTCTCACTGTGCAAAAAAAGAAAGGAAAAGAAAAGAAAAAAGTAGTCTTGGAAATGGAGTACCTGTAAAGCCAATCCCAGAGCTATTGGAAATAACTGGGGTTTCACAGGGGAGAGAAGAGAAAGTGAAGGGGGAATAGCGCTTTATAAAACCAAGTCAAGCTCACTAAGCTTGACTCCAACAACTCATAAAACAGTTGCCCAACTGATCATTTGATCTACTTCTCTAAAATCTATTAATTATTTCTCAGACTCACTTTCCATTCCTACTTTCTCTAGATGTCCAGCTTTAGCATTTGCACACTTGAAATGTTTCTTACAATGTCTCTTGGGTAGTCTCTTACAAAAAGAGTAAAGTTAATCCAGAATGTTTAACCTAATTTCTTTGAGCAACTAGAAGCAAACAGAATTACTTTACTGTGCTGGGTTTGTAATGCCTAGAAAAAGATAGCTAAGCCAAAACCTGACATTTAATTAGTGAAAAATGTCACTTTAAGGAAAATTAAACACAGCCCATGGAGTACTGACCCAGAACCTAGGCAAACGGACTTCTACCCTGATTTTGCCACTCCTTCATTACTACTCAGCAAAAATCACTTTATTTATTTAGGCTTAAGCCTCCTCATCTTGGGAAGAAATACTTACTAAAACAAGTATTTCTTAAAGTTGCTTCTACTATAAAATTCTACAAAATAAAAGTAGTTTATTGATTATTAGAAGTGCTTGTGTGTTTATCAAATAGCTTGATTTTGATACCTCATCAATAAAATTAATCCTAGTACCTTACACTAAAAAGAGCACTTGGATATTCAAATGTTGTAGTGTGGACATTCTTTGCCACCTCCTCAGTGGGAATCAGGGGTTCACCCCAACCTTTTTCATGACTCTAACATCTAAATGTTCTTGAACATAGGGTCTTGTAAACTTCTTCCGAAAAATAAATATTTTGATGAATGGGCTTGACCTTCCCAAGATCCCAGCATATTTCAAAATTTCAAAATAAATAAACATTAATACATTACCTCATTATGAAAGTAATGTTTGCTCTGAGAAATTCAGAAAAACAAAAAACTAGCAAGTGAGAACAGTTTTTTCACAATTTTATGACTCAGAGATCCTATTTGCTATTGTTTACCCCCTCACAATCTTGTAGATGTGTACAAATTAGTTGTGATTTCTGGTTATATTAGTCTGTTTTCACATTGCTATAAAGATACTACCCAAGACTAGGTAATTTATAAAGGAAAGAGTTTTAATTGACTCATAGTTCTGCGTAACTGGGGAGGCCTCAGGAAACTTATAATCATGGCAAAAGGCAAAGCAGGCACCTTCTTCACAAGGCAGCAGGGGAGAGAAGAGAAAGTGAAGGGGGAACAGCACTTTATAAAACCATCAAATCTCATGAGAACTCACTCCCTATCATTAGAACAGGATTGGGGAAACCACCCCCATGATCCAATCACCTCCCACCAAGTCCCTCCCTTGATATGTGGGGATTACAATTCAAGATGAGATTTGGGTGGGGACACAGAGCAAAACCATAGCATTCCACCCATGGCCCCTCCCAAATGCCATGTCCTCACATTTCAAAACACAATCATACCCTCCCAACAGTCTCCCAAAGTTTTTACTTATTCCAGCATTAATCCAAAAGTTCAAGTCCAATGTCTCATCTCAGACAAACCAAGTCCCTTCTGCCTAGGAGCTTGTAAAATCAAAAGCAAGTTAGTTACTTCCAAGAAACAATGGAGGTACAGGCATTGAATAAATGCTCCCATTTCAAATGGGAGAAATTGGCCAGAATAAAGGGGCCATCCAAGTCCAAAATCCAGCAGGGCAGTCATTAAATCTTAAAGCTCCAAAATAATCTCCTTTGACACCATGTCTCACATCTAGGGCACACTGATGCAAAGGGTAGGCTGCCATGGCCTTGGGCAGCTCTATCTCTGTGACTTTGCAGGGTTCAGCCCCTGCAGCTGCTTTCATGAGCTGGCATTGAGTACCTGTGACTTTTCCAGGCATACAGTGCAATCTGTCAGTGGATCTGCTATTCTGGGGTCTGGAGGATGGTGGCCCTCCTCTCACAGCTCTTCTAGGCAGTGCCCCACCAAGGATTCTGTGTGGGGACTTCAACCCCACATTTCCCTTCTGCACTGCACTAGCAGAGGTTCTCCATGAGGACTCTGCCCCTGCAGCAGACTTCTGCCTGGACATCCAGGCATTTCCACACATCCTCCAAAATCTAGGTGGAGGCTCCCAAAACTCAATTCTTGAACTCTGCATCCACAGGCCAAACACCACATGGAAGCCACCAAGTCTTGGGTTTGCACCTTCTGAAGCAGTAGCCTGAGCTGCACCCTGGCTACTTTTAGCCATGGCTAAAGCTGGAGTGGCTGGGACACAGGGCACCAAGTCCCGAGGCTGCACACAGCACATGTGCCCAAGGTCCTGCCCCCATTTTTTCCTCCTAGACCTCCAAGTCTGTGATGAGAGGGGCTGCCATGAAGGTCTCTGACATGCCCTGGAAACATTTTCCCCATTGTTTTGGTGATTAACATTCAGCTCCTCATTATTTATGCAAATTTCTGTAGCTGGCTTGGATTTCTCCCGAGAAAATGAGGTTTTCTTTTCTACTGCATAGTCAGGCTGCACATTTTCCAAACGTTTATGTTCTGCTTCCCTTTTAAACATAAGTTTCAATTCCAGATCATCTCTCTCTGAAGTTCAAAGTTTCATAGATTTCTAGAGCAGGGGCAAAATGCCACCAGTCTCTTTGCTAAAACATAGCAAGAGTGACCTTTGCTCCAGTTCCCAAGAAGTTTCTTATCTTCATCTGAGACCCACCTCAACCTGGACTTCATTGTCCATATCACTATCAACATCTTGGTCAAAACCATTAACAAGTCTCTGGGAAGTTCCAAACTTTGCCACATCTTCCTGTCTTCTTCTGGACCCTCCAGACTGTTCCAACCTCTGCCTGTTACCCAGTTCCAAAGTTGCTTCCACATTTTCAGGTTATCTTTATAGCAGCACCCCAATCTCTGTGGTACCAATTTACTGTATTAGTCCATTTCCACAATGCTATAAAGATACTACCTGAGACTGTGTAATTTATAAACAAAGGAGGTTTAATTGACTCACAGTTCCACATGGCTGGGGAAGCCTCAGAAAACTTATAATCATGGCAGAAGGGGAAGCAGGAACATCTTACATGGCAGCAGACAAGAGAAAACATGTGAAGAAGGAACTGTCAAACACTTATAAAACCATCTTGTGAGAACTCACTCTTTATCATGAGAACAGCAATGGGGAAATATGCCCCCATGATCCAATCACCTCTCCCCACGTTCCTCCCTTGACATGTGGGGATTATGATTCAAGGTGAGATTTTGGTGAGGACACAGAGCCAAACCATATCACTGGTAAACTCAAAATGTTATAATACTGATTATAAACATCACATTTCTTTATTGTAAGAATAATATAGACATATTGTATATGGCTTAAAAAGCAAGGGGGAAATTCAAAGAAAAAAATAAAAACATCTAAAACCTTATTTAAGAAGATAAACAATTGTCTGCAGAGGAACAGGAAAAGCTCTAGAAAGGGGGTTCATTCTGATCATGTTTAGCCATTGGCATCCTGATCCCATGCATTGATTACTGTGTGGGAGGAGGGATCATGATCATCATGATGGGCCCACAGATGAGACAGTTCAGCTATGCAGACCTAGCTTCCAGATGTTTGTAGAACACGAGTCATATTTAAGCATTTATTTTAAAAATTCATGTCTCCTGTTTGTACTTAAGCCCTATCTTCACTTTCACACAGCTGAATATTTGTAATTATCTTCTATGTTTGGCATTCAGCTGCAAAACAATAAAAACACAGGATACACATAAAAAGATGACAGGCATTGGACACACTGGCCTATTTTTAACTATTGTATGTCTGTATGCATATAGTTTACAAAGCGTGTATTATACTCCATATAATGACCCAACATGGGGTGTTGGAGCTGAGGCTCCTAAAAGGGCTGTAACGTCAGCTCTACTAACTAATACCATTTGCAATCTTTAGGAAGATGATGTAAATAAAGTTCCTAACTGATGGATAATTTGTCCTCTCAGTAGTCATGTCCACATCTGTGTCAGACTTTGACTACCACTTGTTTCAGCAATTCTACAACCACCCACACATTTGGCACCTCCATAGAAGAACTGATGGACCTTAGTATAGATTTGCACTCATGGCAAATATTTTTTACAACAACACAGCAAGGCTACACAGCCAAATCGACAAGGCATAGAACACAGCAGACAGAGTCTGGTTACATTCACATGCAGGCTTCCTATGCTCTCCCAGAAAGGGCCACACAGAGCTCACTGCCCCTCCAACAGTGAAATACAGCAACATATGTATAATGTTTCTGCCAGTAAAGCCACTGTAGGACTCAGATCTCAAGGTTTTTATATGGGACTGGTCATATAGGCACTCTCTGCATAGCCACAACTACTAAAATTCTAGACTCCCAGATTGAAAGCAGGTAGGTGGTCATCCTAAATCTTATTATCTAGGCAGACTGGTAGAGAGGCCTTACCAGCACCATGAACATTTCAAGGTCAAGTTTCCAGATGCCAGTTCTGCCTTTTGCTGGCAGTTTTACTTGACCTCTTTTAGATTCCATTTTCTCACTCATTAATTGGGTGATATAACAAGGAATATAGTTGTGAGACCCCAGTCCTCATGGAGTACGTAGTACAATGCCCAACACATAGCATCTTATGCTAGCCATTATCATTACAGAGTTGAACAAAATTATATTAAATATTACTTTTAATAAATCAATGTTACAAAACATTTAATATGAGTTTTAAAGATACTGAGAAGAAATGTGCAAGCTCCTTTGGTAATAAAAATAGGTATTATGTTGATTTATGCAACTCTATTTGTCTGCAGGTTTAGTGGGGTTTTTTTTGGAAGAAGGTACTTTATTTAACAAAGGCCCTATAACTGTATCCCCACTATTTGAAGGGTATAAACATTATGAGCAAGTATTGGAAAAGAGCAACATAGGTAAGTGACTTAAATGATCCTCACATTTTCAAGAGATTTCATTTGAATCATGGTGTGAAGGTTTGCTTTTCCTAATACTGGGAAAGTAAAAGCAGCAGAATAAAAATGAGCTGAGTAGTTCTGCAAGGTCAGACTGCACCCCTGTACTCATTGGTGTCATAAATGAGAAAACATGTCTTTTGCTTATTGAATATTTTAATGTGTCAGTTAATTGGCTTTATGCTTTTATTTCATTTAACCCTCACAACAACCATGTGAATTAGGTATCATTATCTGTACAGATGAGAGAACTGTGACCCAGGAAATCTAGATAGCATGTCTAAGGTAGCCCCAGTAAGAACAGGTCTAGGAATTCAAACTTGGAAATGTCCAGCTGTGGCCAGGACTCTTCACCACTTTGTCATACTGCTTATCTGGACCTAAAAGAGCTTTGCATGTCCAAAAGTTCACCCATGCTAATCACTCTTTCATGTCGCCTTTACTTGACTCAAAACATTCAAACTGCTGGACAAAGAGGAAAGCAGATTCTTATTAACCCAGAATGTAAGAGTTATTCAAAGGTTATTTAATTATTATTCTGCTTTTCAATTGACTTCCCCCAAAATAACTTCATACAGATGTGAGATTTTTTAATGCCCTTGCTGCAGCTAGTTTTATATAAAAAGATTTGAGGTGATCTATTAGGAAGCAAAAATTTTAAACAAACAAAAGATATAAAACACATGCATTTGGGAACCCAGAAAGACCATTTTATCTAGACTTCCTTTTTCTAGAGAAAGTACATTCTTTGCATTGTTCTCTCCAGAAATTTTGCCTTGATGCTATATTCAAGGTGCACAAAACACACACACACACACACACACACACACACACACATAGTTTAAAAACAAAGAATGCAGGAAATTCAAAGCAGCATAGTCAAAAGCCCCAGGGAACTTTCAGTAAGCCAATGCATTCCATGACTACATTTCTGGGTTTTAACAGGAGAAAATGCACAGGACCTAAACCCCTGAGATCAGTGTCTCCATTTCAAGGTCACTTGTGTAATGCAGAAAAACATCACCCTGTTTTAAACAGTGAAGAAGGAAAAGCAGGACTCAGCATGTCGGGTGTGGAATAGCAGCAACCAAAGAATCTGTTTTCCAAAAATTAAAAACAGGAGCATTAACCATGCAGAGAAGTTACAATCTCATATAACTACAACAGTACATCTGGTCTGTGACCTCAAGAAGCTAAACTAATTTCTGACTTAAGGGAAGTATTGACATATTTCTCAAGCTCTGCACTACACATAGGAACCCATGGGAGCTGAACCATGGAAAATGTTCCAGAAGCTACTAGTTTTAAATAAAAGCATCCTAAGAGGCTCCAGGGAGATTTTGGAACTTTTTTTCAAGTGATTAAGTGCTATCAATGTCACATCACAGAAAAATTTTGGGGAAAAAGCCTCTAACATGGTCTTCCCCATTACTGTGTTGCTCACTTTTGATTTCTCTTTAGATTATCACCAAAGAATAGTTTTCTAATTAGTGAGAGAGTGCAGGGCTCAAGAAGAAATTCTAAAATGTTTGGACCACGTATTAGTTCATTTTCACACTGATGATAAAGACACCCAAAACTGGGAACAAAAAGAGGTTCAATTGGACTTACAGTTCCACATGGCTGGGGAGGCCTCAGAACCATGGTGGGAGGCAAAAGGCACCTCTTATGTGGCGGCAGCAAGAGAAGAATGAGGAAGAAGCAAAGTGGAAACCCCTGATAAACCCATCAGATCTCATGAGACTTATTCACTATCATGAGAATAGCACAGGAAAGACCAGCCCCCATGATTCAATTACCTCCCCCTGGGTCCCTCCCACAAAAGGTGAGAATTCTGGGAGATACAATTCAAGTTGAGATTTGGGTGGGGCACAGCCAAACCATATCAGGCCAAGAGAAAAAATAGATGATCAGATAGATATATAAATAGAAATATAGACATAAATATAGCTAACACATTCTTCATTACAGTTGAAGGTAAAGACATCCTTCATGTAATATTTATTTCCCTTCAGAGAAAAGTATATTTAATTTTTAACTCCATAGAGCTGCTACAATCGTTTTTTAACCCATGCCCAAAGTCAAGAACTGTACTTATCTATGGCCTTAGGCAACCAGCCACTGCCAGATGTGTATAAATGTCCAGACACATAGGAAAACAGGGCCAAAATGGAGAAGCCTTCAGATGAGAGCCAAGAGAGGGGCAATCTCATAGGCTTTAACATCTTCCTTCTACCATGAATGGATTTGATGTTTCTTGGTGATCATAGGGTGACTATAAGTTCTGGGGTGCTCTAGACCTGTTATCCTGGCCCCCTATTACTCTCAAAAGTACTCCAGTTCAGATATAGTGTCTTAACCATAGCAATGCTTCAGAAATTGCTATAATGACATATATTATATCTACAGAGGAATATGACTATATATGCCCACTATTGCCATCTACAAAGCCTTTCTAAACAAAGATTTGAAACCAGGTAGTGCCTGACTTACCATAGAAGTCCAGTGGCATTTTAAGTAACTTCAATAAGAACTGACTCTAGGCCGGGCACAGTGGCTCATGCCTATAATCTCAGCACTTTGGGAGGCCAAGGCAGGTGGATCACCTGAGGTCAGGAGTTCAAGACCAGCCTGGCCAACCTGGTGAAACTCCATCTCTACTAAAAATACAAGAACTAGTCGGGCGTGGTGGCATGCACCTGTAGTCCCAGCTACTCAGGAGGCTGAGGCATGAAAATTGCTTGAACCTGTGAGGTGGAGGTTGTAGTGAGCTGAGACTGCACCACTGCACTCCAGCCTGGGTGACAGAGCGAGACTCCATCTCAAAAAAAAAAAAAAACAAAAAAACTGACTCTCTTATAGCTTGCCAAGAGGTTCTGGTTTAATGGTATTATTTATTTGTCTTACGAGTTTTGTTAGTCTAATTCCTTCTGGATCACAGTAGTTGTAGACCACAGAAATTTCTGCTGTTCAGAAACTGTCATAAAGCAGCACTGATGTTTACTTACTGCCCATCAATGCTTCTCATGTCAATCTTAAAAGAACCAGTAATTATACTGACTAGTGTGTTAGTTATTCAAAAGAAACAAATATGGTTTCACTTTAGTTCTTCTGTTTTCTCTTTTGAAGTTGTAGTCAACATATCAGGATTTTTTTTATTAACACTATAATTCTCATTACATTATTTTAACAGTTTTCAAAGTAACATAAGTAATAGGGCATATAAGAAAAATATTCAGCCTTCTTAAGGCAGAAGAATAAAAGTAGCTAAGATTTGTTGCGTGCTTATTAAATCCTAGGAACTGTTCTAAGTCATTTATGCATTAACACTCCTCCTTGGGGGACGACATCAGCAATATGGCACAATAGGAAGCTCCAAACCATTCTTTCCCCCTACAGACAATGATTCAACAACAACACATGGACCAGACCCCTTTGTGAGAAATCCAGAAACTAGGTCAGAGGCTCCTGCACCCTGGGGAAGCATGAAACCAGTCACATTGACCAACAGGAAAATTTGTGGCACTCACTCAACAGAGCCCATATCCCCAGCATAGCCCAGAGTGATCCTGAGGTAATTCTCAACTCCCAGCTTCTTCCTGAGGGAGGGAAAGAGAAGACTGGAACATAGGCCTAATATTCAGACATTTTGTGGGGCTACCCAAGGGACTGGTTTCTGTCTTACATGAATATGAGCATGGACAAGAAACAGCACCAAGTTGGGACCCACTAAGAACAAAGGTGATGGTAAGAATTGTAACAAACTCACCTGCCATCCTCCCCTACCCCCAGTTCAGCACAGCACAAGTGGGAGAAAACTCCTAACTCCTGACTTCCTGCTGGGGAGGAAAAAGAGTTGCTGTCTCTATCCGACATTTCCAGCTTTTCAGAGGGCTGCCTGCGGGTCTGGCTTCTGTTTCATCCGTTTTGGGTACTTGTGGGTTGCAGCATATTTTAGATGCCTGGGAATCACTAAGAACAAAAAACAGCCGAGTAGCTTACTGCTGCTCCAAGGACCTATGGTGCAGAGGACAGAGGCTGATGCAACTTGGCAGCTTCTCCCCTCAGGGGGAAAGGAGGGAGTGGAACATGTGTCCAATGTTCCAGCTTCTCCAGCATCTGCCTGAGTAATGAATTTCTGCCTAACCTGACTAAGAATGCTATTGGGACCCTGACAGGGTGCCACTAAGAATAAAACCTGGGTGGCCAATGGCAGCTCCAGAGAACCTGTAGTACTCCAGACAAACACCAGAGGGAGGACGAGATAATGAGCTTCAGAAAAAAGAAAACTGGTCATTAAGAATTTACATGCATAAGTCTGGAGAAGACACATTACCAAAAAATCTTTGAGAAGTCACCAGAATCACTAGCCAGTCGGATTTGTGAAGGTCCCCGTATGAAGCCAGTAAATACTGGGGGAGGTAGTTCTTTTTTCAAATGTGTGCATCCAAACACAAAGTAACAAGGCATCTAAAGACACAGGGAAACACGGCCTAACCAAAGGAATAAAATAAATCTCTAGAAACCGACTTTAATGAAACCCAGGTATATGAATTATCAAGGAATTCAAAATGATCTTCATAAGGATGCCCCATGAGCTCAGGAAAACAGCAAAGAGATAGAAAACACTACAAAGTAACAAACATAAAAAATTTGGAGCTGAAGAACAAAATAACTGACTTTAAAAATTCACTAGAGTGATTTGAAGCAGAAGAAAGCAGGAGAAAGAATCAGTGAACTCAAAGACAAGTCATTTAAAATTATCCTATCAGAGGAACACAAAGAAAAATGAATGAAGAAGAGGGAAGAAAGCCAAGGACTATGAGTCACTAGCAAGCACACCAATATATACATTATAGGGTCTCAGAAGGAAAAGAGAGAAAGAAAGAAGTAGAAGAAATAATGGCCCAAAACTTCCCAAATCTAAGAAAGAAAATGGACATATAGATTCACAAAGGCCAACAGAGTCCATCATGGATGAACCCAAAGAAGATCACACTAAGACACATTATAATCAAACTGTCAAAAGTCAAAGACAAAGAGAAAATTTTGAAGGCAGCAAGAGATGCTTGAACTCCCATGTTCATTGTGGCATTATGCACAGTAAGCAAGAGATGGAAACAATCTAATTGTCCACTGACAATTGATGAATGGATAAAGAAAAGATGGTATAAATATATAATGGAATAGTATTTAGCCTTTTAGAAAGAAGAAAATACTGTCATATGGTACAGCATGGATAAACCTTGAGGATGTTATGCTAAGTGAAATAAGCCAGTCACAGAAACTGGGACAAGACAGGGATGCCCTCTCTCACCACTCCTATTCAACATAGTGTTGGAAGTTCTGGCCAGGGCAATTAGGCAGGAGAAGGAAATAAAGGGTATTCAATTAGGAAAAGAGGAAGTCAAATTGTCCCTGTTTGCAGACGACATGATTGTATATCTAGAAAACCCCATTGTCTCAGCCCAAAATCTCCTTAAGCTGATAAGCAACTTCAGCAAAGTCTCAGGATACAAAATCAATGTACAAAAATCACAAGCATTCTTGTACACCAATAACAGACAAACAGAGAGCCAAATCATGAGTGAACTCCCATTCACAATTGCTTCAAAGAGAATAAAATACCTAGGAATCCAACTTACAAGGGATGTGAAGGACCTCTTCAAGGAGAACTACAAACCACTGCTCAATGAAATAAAAGAGGATACAAACAAATGGAAGAATGTTCCATGCTCATGGGTAGGAAGAATCAATATCGTGAAAATGGCCATACTGCCCAAGGTAATTTATAGATTCAATGCCATCCCCATCAAGCTACCAATGACTTTCTTCACAGAATTGGAAAAAACTACTTTCAAGTTCATATGGAACCAAAAAAGAGCCCGCATCGCCAAGTCAATCCTAAGCCAAAAGAACAAAGCCGGAGGCATCACGCTACCTGACTTCAAACTATACTACAAGGCTACAGTAACCAAAACAGCATGGTACTGGTACCAAAACAGAGATACAGATCAATGGAACAGAACAGAGCCCTCAGAAATAACACTGCATATCTACAACTATCTGATCTTTGATAAACCTGAGAAAAACAAGCTATGGGGAAAGGATTCCCTATTTAATAAACGGTGCTGGGAAAACTGGCTAGCCATATGTAGAAAGCTGAAACTGGATCCCTTCCTTACACCTTATACAAAAATTAATTCAAGATGGATTAAAGACTTACATGTTAGACCTAAAACCATAAAAACCCTAGAAGAAAACCTAGGCATTACCATTCAGGACATAGGCATGGGCAAGGACTTCATGTCTAAAACACCAAAAGCAATGGCAACAAAAGCCAAAATTGACAAATGGGATCTAATTAAACTAAAGAGCTTCTGCACAGCAAAAGAAACTACCACCAGCGTGAACAGGCAACCTACAAAATGGGAGAAAATTTTCGCAACCTACTCATCTGACAAAGGGCTAATATCCAGAATCTACAATGAACTCAAACAAATTTATGAGAAAAAAACAAACAACCCCATCAAAAAGTGGGCAAAGGATATGAACAGACACTTCTCAAAAGAAGACATTTATGCAGCCAAAAAACACATGAAAAAATGCTCAGCATCACTGGCCATCAGAGAAATGCAAATCAAAACCACAATGAGATACCATCTCACACCAGTTAGAATGGCAATCATGAAAAAGTCAGGAAACAACAGGTGCTGGAGAGGATGTGGAGAAATAGGAACACTTTTACACTGTTGGCGGGACTGTAAACTAGTTCAACCATTGTGGAAGTCAGTGTGGTGATTCCTCAGGGATCTAGAACTAGAAATACCATTTGACCCAGTCATCCCATGACTGGGTATATACCCAAAGGACTATAAATCATGCTGCTATAAAGACACATGCACACGTATGTTTATGTGGCACTATTCACAATAGCAAAGACTTGGAACCAACCCAAATGTCCAACAATGATAGACTGGATTAAGAAAATGTGGCACATATACACCATGGAATACTATGCAGCCATAAAAAATGATGAGTTCATGTCCTTTGTAGGGACATGGATGAAATTGGAAATCATCATTATCAGTAAACTATCTCAAGGACAAAAAACCAAACACCACATGTTCTCACTCATAGATAGGAATTGAACAATGAGAACACATGGACACAGGAAGGGCAACATCACACTCTGGGGACTGTTGTGGGGTGGGGGGAGGGGGGAAGGATAGCATTAGGAGATATACCTAATGCTAAATGACGAGTTTATGGGTGCAGGACACCAGCATGGCACATGTATACATATGTAACTAACCTGCACATCGTGCACATGTACCCTAAAACTTAAAGTATAATAATAATAAAAAAAAGAAAGAAAATGAGGTTCTTCTGCCTTCCTGTGACCAACTTTCTCTGTTGCCAGTTAATGCTGGAGCATGAATTATTAATCTATTCACCAATTTTCTCTATTATGAGCTGAGTATGATTAAATACACTCACTTTTTGATGCTATTTTGAAAAAAATCTAACAGGTGAAATAGATTTGAGAGTGCAGAACAGAGTTGCCAGAGAAAGCTGCAAAGGAACTCTTAAGTTGGCGCTGATGCTGAGTGAAGTTTGAGTGGGAGGAGAAGACAGAGAACAGAGAAGGGAATGAAGGGTGGAATTAGCTTGGTCTGGGGTGGAGGCAGCAGGGGGACAAAGCATATGCCTTTCTTCTTGAGCACTGAAGTTCTTGGGAATTAGGCTGCAGCAAGCATTGCCAGTCCCATCTGGCCCACAGCTGCTTCTGGTAATCATCCAGGTTTATCTCCTGCCAGACCAACAGAATTCCTGATGAGTAGTTGAGCTCAATAGCTCAGTTCCACTTCAAGCTCTGAATCTGGGGTATGCCAATGAATAGCATCTGAACTCCATGAGAACCATGGAACTCACTTAGGGCCCAAGCACCCTCTATAACATCTGCATCATATCTCCTAGGAAAGTTTTAGAATAAATTAATATATTTGTATTCCAAAAACCAGAATAGATTTCTTAGAAGTATCATGCCAGGTATGTTCCAATTATTTCTCATCCCATGTACCAAGCATCCCTATGTTTCTTTGGCAGTTCCAACACTCACCACCCAGTGGTGGACCACGAACTGGGACCCAAAAATCATTCCCAGCCAGCTTCTAGACTCAGTTTTGTGAAACAAGTTGATCCCTGGTTTTTCAACCACAAAACATATGTTAAAACTTTATTTTATTCCCTGAAACATATTACCAAGTGAAATGAAGCAATGCATATAGTATTTCTAAGGGATAGGTCATTTAAAAAACATTGCAAATAGTTTACAAAAAAAGTAGGGTGTAAAAAACTTACACCCTACTTACTAAGTAATAAGAGTTACCACCCACACCACTTCCAATATTACTAAACTTACATGAATACAAACATCTTCCTAGAGTAGATGCACTATTACTCACTGAAGCTGATTTATAATAAAATAAAACATAAGGGAAAGAACGCTGAAAGAGTCTTGAGTACTATTTTTGGTCCTGCTACAAACTCCTTATACTAATTACCTTGAACATGTTACCCTAACTTCTCTGAACCCTATTTCCCTCATCTATAAGTGTTAAAAGGAAACTAAAAACACATATGGGTCATTTCCAGGTCTGAAATGTCTAGATTATTGGATCTAGATTGCTTAATTCCCTGGAAACACGTTGTGTGGATCAACTGGGAACACAAAATCATTTCAGGGACTATAGGAAATCACTATATAAGTATCATTACAAGGTTAAATACACCTATTCTATTAATCTGTGGCTTGTTTTTCACTAAATCTCCATTTTAATTTGACATTAGTTCTAATCCCAACCTGCTAAACTATAATGAGAAACCCACGTCCTTGGTAGCTAATCTCCAAATATGGCCCCTAAATGAGCCCTATCTTGCACTGTACACATCTTTATGTAGTCCCCTCCCCTCTCTCCCTGTTTAACCAACAGAATGCATCTGAAATGATGTTCAGGGACTTCCAGGTCCAGGATATAAGAATCTTTGCACCTTACTCCTTGGAACACTTGCTCTGGGGGAAGCTAGCTGTCATGTAAGAAGTCTGACTATCCTCAGATCACCATGCTATAAGGAAGCACAAGCTAGCTATGTAAAGAGGACACATGGAAAGAGAAAGATGCCTGACAAGCCCCCATCAGTTCCAGTCATTCCAAATGAGGCTCCACACATGTAAATAAAGAAGCTTCCTTGCCTATCAGCCCACTCGAGCCTTCAGATGACTGACTCCAGGCCCAATAGCCATCGGACTATAACCACAAGAAGACTCAGACGAGAATCACTCAACTGAGCCCAAGCAACCAAGATAACTATGAGATAATAATAAATGTATTTTAACATAACTATAATAATAAGTGGATGTTTTGAAGTAATTTTTCTTTATGGAGAATAGATCATTCAAACAATATCCCAAGACCCCAAAATTCTACTTCCTTTTAAATATTCTTAGAAAAACCTGTGACTACATAAAAGGAAGGTTGTAAAGTGATCTTTATTGCAACATTTTTTGCAATGGCAAAAAAACTGGGGAGAAATGTTCATCAGTAAGAGAATAAATAAATCATTATGGTATATCTTTATTGGGAATACTAATAAACAGCAGTTAGGAATAGTGAGGTGCAAACATGGACAAATATCCAAAGTTACATCATTCAGTAAAAAAAAAATACAAATTGATATTTATTATTTAAATATTTTTGTTTAAAAATGTATTTTTATGTTCCTGTGTCTGGACCATAAGAAAGAGTGAGAGAGAAGGTATAGTACCTTGTGTGGTAATAAATGCTAAGATGAAAAATCAATCATGGAAGGGAACAGGATTTTCTGGGGGTATACACTTTTTTAATAGGCAGATGATATGGTTTGGCTGTGTCTCCACAAAAATTTCATCTTGAATTCCCACATGTTGTGGGAAAGACCCAGTGGGAGGTAATTGAATCATGGGAGCAGGTCTTTCCCATGCTGTTCTCATTATAGTGAACAAGTATCACAAGATCTGATGGTTTTATAAGGCAGAGTTTTCCTGCACAAGCTCTCTTTTTACCTGCCGCCATCCACATAAGATGTGACTTGTTCCTCCTTGCCTTCCACCATGATTGTGAGGCCTCCCCAGCCACGTGGAACTGTAAGTCCAGTAAACCTCCTTCTTTTGTAAAATTGCCCAGTCTCAGGTATTTCTTTATCAGCAGTGTGAAAATGGAATAATACAGTAAATTGGTACCAGTAGAATGGGATGCTGCTGAAAAGGTACCCAAAAATGTGGAAGCAAATTTGGAACTGGGTAACAGGCAGAGGCTGGAACAGTTTGGAGGACTCAGAAGAAGACAGGAAAATGTGGGAAAGTTTGGAACTCCCTATCGACTTGTTGAATGGCTTTGACCAAAATGCTGATAATGATATGAACAATGAAATCCAGGCTGAAGTGGTCTCAGATGGAGATGAGAAACTTGTTAGGAACTGGAGCAAAGTTGACTCTTGTTATGTTTTAGCAAAAAGACTGGCAGCATTTTGCCCCTGCCCTAGAGATTTGTGGAATTTTGAACTTGAGAGAGATGATTTAGGCTATCTGGTGAAAGAAATTTCTAAGCAGCAAAGCATTCAAGAGGTGACTTGGGTGCTGTTAAAGGCATTCAGTTTAATAAGGGAAGCAGAATCTAAAAGTTTGGAAAATTTGCAGCCTGACAATGAGATAGAAAAGAAAATCCCATTTTCTGAGGAGAAATTCAAGGCGGCTATAGAAATTTGCATAAGTAACAAGAAGCCCAATGTTAATCCCCAAGACAATGAGGAAAATGTCTCCAGGACATGTCAGAGGTCTTAATGGCAGCCTCACATGCCTGGAGGCCTAGGAGGAAAAAGTGGTTTCGTGGGCCGGTCCCAGGGTCTCCGTGCTGTGTGCAACCAAGGGACTTGGTGCCCTGAGTCCCAGCCGCTCCAGCTGTGGCTGAAAGGGGCCAACACAGAACTCAGGTCATGGCTTCAGAGGGTGCAAGCCACAAGCCTTGGCATCTTCCATGTGGTGCTGAGCCTGCAGGTGCACAGAAGTCAAGAATTGAGGTTTGGGAACCTCCGCCTAGATTTCAGATGTATGGAAATGCCTGGATGTCCAGGCAGATGTTTGCTGTAGGGGTAGGGTCCTCATGAAGAATCTCTGCTAGGGAAGTGCAGAAGGAAAATGTGGGGTGGAAGCCCCCACACAGAATCCCTACTGAGGCACTGCCTAGTAGAGCTGTGAGAAGAGGGCCACTGCCCTCCAGACCCCAGAATGATAGATCCACCAACAGCTTGCACCATGCACCTGGAAAAGCCACAGACACTCAACACCAGCCTGTGAAAGCAGCTGGTGAAAGCAGCCCATGAAAGGCTGTACCCTGCAAAGCCACAGGGGTGGAGCTGCCCAACACCATGGGAACCCACCTCTTGCATCAGTGTGACCTGGATGTGAGACATGGAGTCAAATGACATCATTTTGGAGCTTTAAGATTTGACTGCCCCACTGGATTTTGGATTTGCATGGGCCCTGTAGCCCCTTTGTGTTGGCCAATTTCTCCCATTTGGAATGGCTGTATTTACCCAATGCCTGTACCCTCACTGTACCTAGGAAGTAACTAACCTGCTTATGATTTTGTAGGCTCATAGGTGAAAGGGACTTGCCTTGTCTTGAATGAGAGTTTGGACTGTGGGCTTTTGAGTTAATGTTGAAATAAGTTAAGACTTCAGGGGACTATTGGGAAGGCATGATTGGTTTTGAAATGTGAGGATATAAGATTTGGGAGGGGCCAGGGGCAGAATGATATGGTTTGGCTGTGTCCTCACACAAATCTCATCTTGAATTCCCATATGTTGTGGGAGGGATCCGGTGGGAGGGAATTGAATCATGGGGGCAAGTCTTTCCCATGCTGTTCTAATGATAGTGGGTAAGTCTCATGAGATCTGATGGCTTTAAAGGCAGGGTTTCCCTGCACAAGCTCTCTTTTTGCCTGCCACCATCCATCTAAGATGTGATCAGCTCCTGCTGGCCTTCCACCACGATTGTGAGGCCTCCCCAGCCACGTGGAACTGTAAGTCCAATAACTGTAAGTCTTTCTTTTGTAAAATTGCCCAGTCTTGGGTATGTCTTTATCAGCAGCATGAAAACGGATTAATGCAGCAGAGAAGTCTGAATAAGAAAGCTACATTTGAGCAAAAGCCTGAAGGAGGTAAAGAAATTAGCCATGAGAGACATCTGAGCAAAAAGTGTTCAAGGCAGAGAAAGCAGGTTCCACCGTTCTTCCACCCTAGCTGGGCACTGATTTTACTTAGTAAGTTTGAAATCTTCTTCTCTAAATTTGTCATGTATTTAAAAATAAAAATTAATATAAAATACCATTTTAAAAACTGAGTAATATTTCTGAAGATGCTAAGAGATCTTCTGAAGTGCTGATGCAGGAATATAAATCACCAGCCTCAAGACTGCATACAAAATGTATACTCTCAAAAATCTATGAGTGATTTTAAAATTCTCATTAAAGAAAATAATCTAAATATCTAGGTGACCAAGTCCTCCAATATAAAGTTACTTAAGCATAGGCATATTCACTATTACTTCTCTATAATAGGCAACCATCTATGGTCGTTCTTGTTTCCAAGAAAAGATCTTCACCAGAGTATATCACACATCACACTATTCTGAATCGAATATTCAGTTGCAAATAGGTAGTTTCCAGGCAGAAAGGACATTGCCTAAAAGCTGTCCATATTACAAACAGTTTATCTTACTTCCACTTTCTTCCTTTTCTTTGCAAGAAGAATGCACATCACTTCCTTTTTAGGAATGCCCATCACTTTTTTTTCAATCTTGAGATCTAGATCTCTAGTTCAAAGAATTTGTAAGAAAAAACTCAGTTCATATATCTAAATCTGTCCTGGAAATGACATGCTGGGATAATAATTTATGAAGGAAGCAATTTTTAAATTTCACCTGGCTTTTGGCACAGCCTTCTCACTTTTCAAGGGTTTCCTTATTGACTAGGGTGTTAAATGGGATTTCTAGCTGCTTCAAAGTGTAAGACACTATTGCGCCCTTCTAAATTCCACAGTGATGCCCTGGCAGCAGCATTAAAGCGAAACGCTGCTGCATCACATTCACATGTGAGTCCCCTTACAGTACTCCTCTGCCTTCTGGAGGAAAACTCAGCATTGGCCCAGTGAGAAGCCAAAGAGCCCTGGGATTCATACATGTATTCCTTGGGGTTCTAGAGTTCCCATACGAATTTTTAAATTCCAAAAAGAATTACATAGGCACATTGTAGAGCATCTGGATGACCACCATATTACCCAGTATTGCCCCACAATATTGCCTTTGTTTGCATTTTTGGTCTCTTTAGCATCTAATAATATTACTTTAATTATCACGAGATAGTGAGAGAGATGCATAGTTATGGTAGATCTCATTTGTAAGCACAGCCTTTATTAAAAATCAAATGGCATAAACTTTAAACAGATTATATTGAAAGCAAAAGTAATAAACACTCAAAGCTTATCACTTCCTAATTATTTTACTATTATATATACTCTTCAGATTATTTATGTCTAATATATCTGTATGGTAGAAACACATGGAATGGTGTGCTACTGCTCATTTTTTTCCCATTCTTTATTCAGTGACATCACACTGGTAGCTTGAAATCAGCAAACATTACAAATCAGGATTTGACTTATTGCTTCTTGATTGTCTAGACCTAAGAAAGTGGTTGAAACAGGTTAACAATGGAGATTAAATTTCAAAGTGTATCTTAAATTTTTTTAAAAATTAAAAAATATTCCTCCAGTATTCAAAGACTATTAGCTGATTCAACAAATAAGTTGCTCACAGTATTGATTTTTTTAAAAGTGAACTTCCAACATACATCTTTATCATTTCACTTTGATGTTACATTAATGTAAACAAAAATACCACTCAATATTCAGATAGGAACTACACTTCTTCATCAATTGCATAGATTGATTATATAAGACAAAAGAACTCCTCCGAAATAAAAAAAAAACCCATTCTGTGAGAATCAATTAGCTATATGAAATTTACAATAAAGATTATGTGTGCTACACATCCTTTATATTATCAAATTTTGGTTTTTGTCAAAGAGCTAGTAGTTAAATATTTGCCACCACACCACTGGACATATGTACATTAAAATAATGCATTGATATAAACTAAAGACCAAAAGACAACATGTGAATATAGATTTTGCTATACTAATTCAGGAGAAAATAAAACTGGAAAAGAACTGAGTCATCATGTGATTTTAACAGAAATGCTAAAGCCAAACGTTTTTTAACTGTAGCAATAGTACCATATTCAGGCTGAAAGCAGAAATTTAATTTTCTTAAAACAATATCATACACCAAATGAATATTATTAAATATCTCAGTTTATTGGATTTTTATATATTTAATATTGAAATTTGCTTTGAATTTCATAGTTCTATAAGAACTATAATCATTCATCTACTCATTCATTCCCCAGTGAATGAACTGATATAGTTAATACATGCCAGACACTAATTTAGGTGCTGGGTTATATCAGTGAACCAAATAAAAGAGTTTATTTCTATTTTGTTTATATTTAAGTATTATTCTAATACAGATTATAGTTTAACATTGGATATTTACATTTTTTCTCAGAAAAAGACTGTACATTACTCAAATTTGACAAAAAAAAATTAAAGCCTTTTTCAGAAGGCAGTCTACAGCCTGTTCACTGCAGAGAGGGCTGAAAAGTGACAAAGCATAAAACTCAGTCAAAAGTAATGGCTAAGGATGGTGAAGTCTGGCCTTTGCTACAATTTTCCTTTAATGTGTACGTTTATTTGTAGATCACTGTCTTAGTCCATTTATGCTGCTATAACAAAATACCACAGACTAAGTAATTTGTAAAGAAATGAAATCTATTTCTCACGATTCTGAAGGCTGGGAAGTAAAAGATCAAGGTCTGGCCTCTGGCAAGGGCTGCTCTCTACTTTAAGATGGTGCATTAAACGCTGTGTCCTCTAACCGGGAGGAATACTTTGTCCTCAAATGGCAGAGGACAGACAGGCAAGAGGGCCAAACTGCCTCTGTCAAGCCCTTTTATAACAACATTAATCTATTCCTGAGGGTAGATCCCTCATCTCCTAAACACCTCCCAAAAGGCCCCACTTCCCAACACGATTGCATTGGATTACGTTTTCAACACATGAGTTTTAGAGGACACACTCAGACCATAGTAATGATCAAAAATAGACTACCCTCAGCATTTATGATTTCTGAAGTAATTTCATTGATGACTAAACCCTTTCACCTGAAGGATTTTTCCCATTTTGAAAGGACCGGGTTTTAACAGTAATTTAAAGTAGCTAGATGTGGCTGGGCATGGTGGCTCACCTGTAAGCCCAGGACTCTGGGAGGCCAAGGCCAGTGGATCACCTGAGGTCAGGAGTTCGAGACGAGCCTGGTCAACATGGCAAAACCCCATCTCTACTAAAAATACAAAAATTAGCCAGGTGTGGTGGCATGCACCTGTAGTCCCAGCTACTCAGGAGGCTGGGGCAGAAGAATCACTTGAACCCAGCAGGTGAAGGTTGCAGTGAGCTGAGATGACACCACTGCACTCCAGCCTGGGCAATGGAGTGAGACTCTGTCTCAAAAAAAAAAAAACAGTAGCTAGATGTATTAATCAGGGTTCTCCAGAGAAACAGAACCAACATGATAAACAAACATAGATAGATGGATGGATAGATAGATAGACAGATTTTAAGAAATTGGCTCATGTGACTGTGGACATTTGACAAGTCAAAGGTAGGCCAGCAGGCTGGAGACCCAGGGAAGAGTTGCAGTTTGAGTTCAGAGGCAGTCTGATGGCAACTGCCTCTTGCTCAAGGGAGGTCAGTCTGGCTTATGAAGGTCTTCAGCTGACAGGATGAGGCCCACCCACATTATGTAGGGTAATCTACTGTGCTCAAAAGCCATTGCTTTAAATGTTAGTCTCACTCAAAAACACCTTCAGAAACATCCAGAATAACATTTGACCAAATATCTGGGAACCATGCGTCAACCAAGTTGACACAAAAAATTAAGCAACATGAGTAAATTCAGCATTTACTGCTTAGTCAATAATTTTCAAAATACATATGAAAATATTTACAATGTTATTATTACCTTTATTCTGACATAAGGAATCACTTCTGGAAAACTATTGTAAATTGAATTCAACCCTGACAAATAACCATGAATTGGATTCCACTGTACTTAAATTTCTTTTAGGTTTTCCTCTTATTAAATTAATTTGAGCTGTAACAAAAATTGAAAGTAAATTAAACTGAAGCTATTAAAGAGTAATTTATACACAAAAGGAAAAATGAAAGTATTGAATTTGGGAAGGAACATAAAGAAATAAAAGTAAGTTGATGCACTATCAGAGTTGTCATTTTAAGTTCTTTCAATAAAAATAAGGGCACAATGGTAATTTAAACACACACAGAGACACAAGACAGGAAGAGCTAAAGAATAAGAGAGCCAAATTCTGCCAGCATGTCAAAGGAAGGAATTGATAGGGAGGATCAGAAAACTGCAGAACAGAAATGAAGTCTAACTGTGAGTAATGAAAGAACTACAAAGGTTCTCAGTATAAAGAAGCAGCCAGAAAGAAAGGCACCCCATAGATTGCCTTAAGAACATTTGGCCTCTGCAGCAATAAATGTGCTGAGGTTTAGGGCCGAAGAGACAATAAAGACAGAGTCAGAGGGCAGTCAATGTGTGTAAATCAGTGACCAATGCATTTTCTGATGCCTTGTTCCCTATGGCTCCAGGCCTCAACTAGAACCACATGCCATTTCCACTGAAAGCCAACTTGGCAAACAGCATGTCACTCTCTACCTTCATTTAAAAATATCCAGCTGAGACGAATTATCACTAGAGCTTAAATTAAATAGCCCAATCATGACCAAATATAAACCTTCCATTTTTTATTGTACAAGAGGACATTTAATTTTTCCTTTAAAATGAAATAGCTATGATCAATATAGTGGGCACTGATTGGTGCTTCCCCAATTCCCCAGGACCGCTTCTGCCATCCCCACATACCCTTCCTCGGGCTTTGATGTGCTTTTACCTCCAAAGTTCTCTATGCAGGACTGTCTTCCACTAGGTGCTCTTGAGTCCTGGCACAGCTTGGGCTGCAATAGCAGGGAGCCAGAAGCACCTAGAAGTTTACCTCTGTACCTCCCTACCTTCCTCCTCTAGCGCAGGACTGGCAGGGAAATATGGAAGCCCATCTCCTCCCCTCAGGTCAAGACAATTCTGAGATGCATCTTCTACTCAGCAATGCCGCTGCAGGAATTCACTACACCCTCCCCAGGACTTTGCCTGAAACTAGCCCCTTACTTGGCTTCTGCCTTGCTCTGTCCTACCTCCCTCACACCCTTAACAGTTTCTCCTAGAAACACTTCCCAGTAAATCACTTGCACAGACAATCCTTGTCTTAGACAATCAGTGAAAGATGATTCTACAGTTTATATTCTTTAGGGCTTTAAGGTTCTGTCCAAACAATACATGCAAAACAAGATAAACAACTCCAAGACTTTGTTATAATGAGCCCTTGATTCTGTAGCCAAAGTCATAAACAGTGAGTTAGGGGCATCTCAAGTCCATAAAGTCACCAGTAATGTCATGAATGATGTCACTAGTGGCCTGAGATTTTTATGATGGAAAGTAATACAATGTTCCAGGGAGACCATGGACTTTGGAGCCAAACAGGCTTGCATGCAGTACTGACACAACAAATTACTAGTTACGTTCTCATTGGAAGCCTTAGATTCCAATTCTATAAAATAGTTAGATTCTGAATCTACAAAATTGCGATGCTGACCTTAAAGAGTTTGTAGCAGTAAATGAGTAAATATTTAACGTATCTAATACATAGTAAACACAAATTAGTATTTCATTTTGCTTTCTAAAGGGAATGATTTTGTCACAAGGAAACCAGAACTTATGGAAACATCTGTTTCCCTACAGTGAAAAGCCTTAAGCTAGAGCCCCAATTAATTATGTCATTAGCCACCAGTTTACATTTGGAAGAGGGTTACATAGCAATTGGGTTTTTTTTTCTGCTTGTTTACAGATAACCTTAAGGTTATCTTGAATTATTGAAGCTTGTTTCATTCATTCATTAATCCACGTTCACTGAGTGGTTATAGCCCAGGCACTGGGACATACAGAGGTAAAATAGACAGACACAATGCCAATAAACAAGCAAACAAGTAAGTAAAATAATTAGAGATGGTGATAAATAGCATGAGGGAAATAAACAGGGTAATGAGATGAAGTAACTGCACAAGGGAGGCTCACGACATTAAACAGCAGTCAGGAAATACCTCTCTAAGAGAGTGATATTTGAGCTGAGGGAAACAGGAGCCAGTGCTGTGAAGATCCAGGAAAGAATCTTCCAGGCAGAGGGAACAGCAGTCTAAGATGGGAGAGACCTTGGCACCAGTAGAAGTAAAGTGATCGGAATTCAGAAGATTATGTTAGAAGATGAAAATAGAGAAATGATCAGGAATAAGACCATACAGTTCCTCATGGCTATATTGAACGGTCTGACTCAATGGAGTACAGCCATGAGAAGAATTTTTGTTTCTTTCCAACCTTTATTCTTCAATGAATTATATCAAGTCTCCTTTGCCTTCCCTTTAAAGACATTTCAGACAGAATGGAAAACTCCATAGTCAATTTCAGTTATAAAACAAACCAGTCTAGTAACATTAAAAACAGTTTAAAACTTAACCCTCAAGTGCAGTTTAATGCTCTAATCTTTCCCTGCTGGGACTGGCCAGCACTTGGAGAGTGACAGTGTCAGCTCTTCCACTTCTCTCCCTCCTCCCCCTCCCTTTTCTGGGTTGCCCCTTCTCCATGGTTTGGAACTTTAGTGAATACAGGAGGAAAGGGGAGAATGCCTCTGACTTCCCTGGTGCTGCTGCTCATGCTCCTTGATGGTTGATGCTTTCTATGTCACAGATGTTCAAGGTCCCACTATCACACATGTAAGAGTATGTGCAGACTCTTCAGGAAGCCCCACAGAGAACACTCAGTTCTTTGATGTAGACAATCTACTCAGAGAGACCTCACCCAATCCACCCTGACTTCCCACCCCTCAGACATATAATCCATGATCTTTTGCTTCCAGCAACATGGCTGAAGCCCGGTTACCTTTCACAGTGCCCAACTAGTCCGTGAGAGAATCGTCCTTTACCTACTAAACACTGGAGCTGTGACTTCCCTAATGCTCAACTCTCTTTCCCCTAGTCTCACATTTTCCACATCCTGATTTCAAACCCACCGCATAAGCAAACATCCAACTTTCAATTCAGTGCCACTCACACCTCCTTCTTCAGACCCTCCCAGTCTCTGTGCTCTGTGAGTAGATCTCTTGGAGTGTCACTCCTTCATTTGGCTTAAATCAAAATAACCTACTCTCTTTTTGCCCAAAAAAAAGAAAGGAGAATCTACAGCACTCTCTCACAGACTGATAACTCAGTTTTCTCAAAGATCCTTTTATTTTCTTTATCTAGATGGATCATAGACAGGTAAAGAGGTATGTCAGGTGTGATAATGAAACTGAAGCTGTCTTTTCTTCCCAGTGCTATGGGGATGTGACTGATGGCACTCTTTGCAATGTGGAACTACAGAGCAGCTTTTTCATTTTGATTGAATACAATACAAAGCTTTTTGCTTTGAATACAATCTATGTGATGTATCTATTATTAATAAATGCTTGGAGATTATCTGCAGAACTTGACAGTGAAATTCAGATATATTAAAGCATAAATGTGTTCATTTATTCATCAGAATGTATTTATTTATTCATTAGTGTGATTTTTATTCTTAGAATGTGAACACATTTTTATCTCCTCTTCTAATTAATCTCTTAATTACTCAAGCCTGACCACTAATGAACAGCTGTGATTGCTAATATACTCTCCAACAAGAGATGGTCGTACGTTTTCCCAACCAATCATCCAAAAATATGTTTTCATCTCTCTCCCCCATTCTGTTAGAAATAATTTCTTCTAATAAATGCAGACACCTGGGAAGAGGTATAATAGGTTCTTTTCTTTTTTTAGTTGAGCTTCTTGTTTTTGTTTATAATGAAGGAGAAAATTAGATAAGCTGGATGCCTTAGTTACATAATGCCCCGCCTTTCTTAATTAACCACAGCTAATGTGCACAAGGTGACAATAAGAAAAATTAAACGAAAGAGGAAAAAAAAGTACTCTCAATGTTTTTAAGATCATAAAAGCAAAAGAGAACAACACATCGGGAAGTCACAGAAACACAATAAACCTTTATCTCTGACAATTAGTGATGATAGATGATTAAACAAAACCATAAATGCATAAATCAGCATGTCGTCCTGTAGCTAATGTGCCATGTGTCATGTTCTCAGTACATGGAGCAAGCCAGTTCTGAGGAATCTGAGGCTTCAATGAGTTCTAAAGAAAGTAAAATTCAGAAATGTTTTGCATGGCATTATTAGCCATAGGATATTGGTACCCAAGTATCCATTCCACATGTCTATGTAAGCACAGATCTAAGCAGTAAAACACAGTAGCCTAAGTTGGACAACGAGTTTGGGCATTCTTCCCTTTCCTTAAGCCCGCAGGTGCAGCAGATCAGGTACATGAAGCAAACACCCTTGTTCTCAGAGGCTCACCCCACACGTAGTCTTTGATACCATTAAAAGTCTTTGAAGTCACTGGGCTGCAGTCACACAAGCTGAAATCACCTTACATCATGTAGCTATATAAGATAGTTCTTCTCACCAAGACCGAAAAGAAACAGATGAAAACTTTTGAAATATAATGCATATTACCTTTCATAGAAAATTTCTATGAAAAATAAACCTCTAAAACAGAAAAACATGAACATTACATGTATCTGGTTTTTCTTCATTTGCTTTAGTGTTTCTTATTCCAAAACATTTTTTAAAACCGTGTGTGTGTGTGTGTGTACAGCTATCCCTCAGTGTCCATGGGGAATTGGTTCCAGGACCTCCTGCAGATACCAAAATCCAAGGATGCTGAAGTTGTTTATATAAAATGGTGTAGTATTTACATATTAACCTATACACGTTCTCCTGTATACTTTAAATCATCTCTGGATTACTTATAATACCTAATACAATGAAAATGCTATGTAAATAGTTGTTATACTGAATTTTTTATTTGTATCACTTTTATTGTTTTGGAGTAGGTTTTTTTTCAGAATACTATTTATCTGAGGTTGATTGAATCCACAGGTGCAGAATCCACAGATACAAAGGGACTTGCATGTGTGTGTGTGTGTGTGTGTGTGTGTAGACAGAGAGAGAAGAATAGATGGACAAAATTACAAACATTAGCCAAATTTTTTGCAGTTTCTTTAGATGCTGAATTTGGAAAATCTGAACGGTCTGTGAATCCATAAATTTCTGTTATTGTAATAATATCAGAACACATCAGCAGTAACATAAGAACCATTGCTTTGATCTCAGTCTCTAACTAGGAGTGTCCATTAACCAGTTTCCTGGGTCATATAAAGAAAATGGCATGAGTTTCATTTTTAGTGACCTAAACATGCCATTCTCTCTTTCTCCTGGCCTTTGCATATGTGGTTCCCTCTGATTTGAATATTTTTTCCACCTCTTGGCCTAACTCCTACTCATCTTTTAGGTGGCAGTTTTAAAAAATCACTGCCTCTATAACTCTTTTGTTGAATGTCATGTACCTTTTGTCATCCAGCTCCACTCTTCTATACTCTCTTATGTAATGCTTGCACTGAGAACCTACAAATCACATTTTCCAGACTCGTTTACCAGCCAGCTCTTTAGATCTGTCAATAGGAGGCAATAGAAGGGATTGGAAGCCAGAAGGAGTGCAGAAGGGCTTTATTCTGTTTTTGCTTTGGTTTGTTTTCTTGGGATTTTTGCCATTGTTGCCTGTATTGCTAGAGCAGTGGCAATTCACCTCAGCATCAACAGTTGGCTCTGGCCTCCAGTGACCTCCAACACTGATGAAATCAAGACCATTACACTCCTTCACAAATACCAGCAGAATTCAGATATGCAAAGTTTTTTTTGTTTTGTTTTGTTTTGTTTTGTTTTTGTTTTTTGTTTTTTTCTTTTGAAACAGAGTCTCGCTCTGTTGCCCAGGCTGGAGTGCGGTGGAGCAATCTTGGCTCACTGCAAGCTCTGCCTCCCGGGTTCACGCCATTCTCCTGCCTCAGCCTCCGAGTAGCTGGTACTACAGGCGCCCGCCACCTCGCCTGGCTAATTTTTTGTATTTTTAGTAGAGACGGGGTTTCACCGTATTAGCCAGGATGGTCTCGATCTCCTGACCTCGTGATCCGCCCGCCTCGGTCTCCCAAAGAGCTGGGATTACAGGCATGAGCCACTGCGCCCGGCCGAGATATGCAAAGTTCTGAGACCAAACTCTGCAGGACTCCTCATTCAAAAATCCTAGGTTATAGTATCCTTTTGTTCCTCGGACTCAGAGGTAGCAGCTGGTTCCTGTAATTGTTTTATATGACTGATTTCCATGCTTTGATTTTGATTTGTCAACCCTCCAATACTTATGCATTCAATTCTTAGTGGTAAACTCATGGTGTAGAAATTCCTAGTCAATTCTTTTTCCCAACTGAACCCAAATGATACAGCAATTGGCACTATGAGTGAGATCAGAAAACAGATCCTCAAAAATAAAATCCTAGGACTTTTGTCATTCCATTAGCCTTGAATGTTGTGCTGAATTCCCTGTCAATTAAAAATGGGTACTGATCATCTGTCATACAGTGGTATCATATTTTATTAAGTTGTAATCTGTAAGAGAATGAAATGAGGTGCCTTAAAGCAAATGTCCTGGAAAAAAGGGGGCTCCTGTATTTGACTTTTATGGCAGTAGTGGGGACTACAAAACTGTGGGGTGAAATAAATTTATTTATTTATTTATTTATTTATTTATGCCTCCTGGAAAGCTTACAAAAAGCAATAAACAAGGATTTTTTTAAATCTAAGTTCAAGAAAATGAAAACTTCTACGGCAGGCCAAGAGAATCTTTTGCTTCTTAAAGATTATAGACAGTGCTTAAAATCAGACACAAAATTTAATTATGCAGGTTGAAAATTATAACAGAAATTGATTCACAGACTCACATTCTCCTTTGTGAAAGGTAGGGCACTAATGTGAAAAAAGCAGAACTCAGATTCTTGAAATGAGGACATCTGGGTAGACTTAGACGAAAGTGAGAATATTGATCCCTGGGTCATTCTGAGTCTCTTCTAAGAAGACTCATCATCTCTTGCTTGGAGACACTGTAATAACCCATCTGAAGCAGATGCTTTGCTAGAGGCATCTTATTAATAGGATGCCTTATTACGTCTACACATATAAGTAAAGTCTAATGATCCTAGGGGATAGTGCAATGTCTGAGAAGGTAGGAGACCACTTTTACTCCAAGATAATTGCAAATGTGGGAATGGATGTTAAGAGTGTTAGACCGGAGGATGGAATATAACTTTGAGTGGGACCTAATTTATTAATATGAATATACTTACCAGTGATTATGTATTTGTTTTTGGTCTTGTTGTTGTTGTTGTTGTTTCTGAGACAGAGTTTCACTCTTGTTGCCCAGACTGGAGTGCAATGGCGTGATCTCGGCTCACTGCCACCTCCACCTCCCGGGTTCAAGTGATTCTCCTGCCTCGGCCTCCCAAGTAGCTGGGATTACAAGTGTGTGACACCACACCTGGCTAATTTTTGTATTTTTAGTAGAGACGGGGTTTCATGATGTTGGCCAGGCTGGTCTCGAACTCCTGAGCTCAGGCAATCCGTCCCCCTTGTGCTGGGATCCCCCCAAAGTGCTGGGATTACAGGCGTGAGCCACCACTCCCAGCCAAGATTATGTATTTAATGTGAGATTGAGATGCCAAAAATTTCTTAGAATATAAAGAAATAAAAGCTAAATGCCTAGACAGATAGGAATGTTAGAGTGGATTCATTACACACTACCATCCACATACCTTCTTGCTATTGCCTACCCGCAATAAGACCCAGAGGACATGCTTTTCACCAAAGAATTGAGAAGCACAATAAACATAGTTCCTAACATCTACTTCACTGACTTTGCAAGGATCAATAAAGTAACATTGCCTGGAGGTTTTAAGATTGGAGCATAAACTATGCTCTTTTTTGTTTGTAGGGATTGTTTCGTCTTCCTCTTTATATTGTTAAGATGCAAGAGAGGACTGTTATTACAGCATCTGCCTCTCTCATCTTCTCTGTCTCCCCTCTCCTTCTTCCTCTTTTATTCTTAATCTCTTGCCCAAAAATAGAGATACTCCCTTGTATCTGTGAGTACACCCAAGTGAAAATCTATATTGTAGTCAAATGATATGCTAAAATCTTGAATAAAGACTACTAAACATCCTGAATAAAATTTGTTTAATGAAGCTAGGAACTATCATGCTGTCACTGAATTTTCTGTTTTAAGTATATTTTATCCCTTTTAACCTCAGCATAAGCAGTTTTAATAATGAAGTACTTATATTTAAAAACTAAGCTCTGACTGAAATTAAAGTCACCCAAAGAACAAGGTAGAGGTTGGAGGTATTCTAAGCAGAAAGAACCGGGCACGTAAAGGCTCCTGGGGCAGAAAGGAACTCGGTGTCCTCAAGAGCATTAAGAAAAGCAGGTGTCTGGAGCTTGCAGCAAGGATGTAAGTGAAGCAAGATAAATTCTCTGAGGTAAGCAGGAGTCACATCATGCAGTGCTTTGCAGGCCCAGTTAAAGATTTTATTTTCATTTCAAGTTAGAGAAATTTTTGAGTTTATGTTTCTAAAATATCATTGTAACTGTTATGAGAGAAATGGATTGCTAGGGAACTTGACCTAAGAATAAAATAAATAAAAATAGATTCATTCTTTTATTCAACAAATATTTATCAAGCATTCAAAAATCTTCTTGAAGCTTATATTCTACTGACGGGAGTCAAAAAATACACAAGAAAAAAAGTGACATGTTAAGTAGTATGCTAAATGGGATAAGTGATTTTAAAACAAAAAAATAGAGAAATGGGAAAGGGACTGTTGAAAGAGTGCAAATTTTAGTTAGGGTAGCAAGAAAAGGCTTCACTGAAAATGAAACATTTACATGAAGACAAGAAGGAGTCTGAAAAGCAAATCAGGCAGCTTACTGAGGAAAGTGCATTCCAGGAAAAGGAAACAGCAAGGTCAAGGCAGATAGAATGGGGTGAATGGGGGGAGAATAGTCAATAAGTTCTCAAAAGTAAGAGAAGGAGATCATGGAGGCCTTGCAGGACATCTTAAGAACTTTGACTTTTGGCCAGGCACAGTGGCTCACACCTGTAATCCCAGCACTTTGGGAGGCCAAGGCAGGTGAATCACTCAAGGTCAGGAGTTGGAGACCAGCCTGGCCAACATGGTGAAACCCCATCTCTACTAAAAATACAAAAATTAGCCTGACATGGTGGCATCCTGTAATTTCAGCTACTCAGGAGGCTGAGGCAGGAAGATCACTTGAACCCTGGATGCAGAGGTTGCAGTGAGCCGAGATAATGCCACTGCACTCCAGACTGGGTGACAGACTGTCTGGAAAAAAAAAAAAAAAAAGAACTTTGACTCTGAGTGACATAAAAAGCCAGGAAATGTTGGTAAGGAAAGAAGTGACATGACTGACTCATGTTTTTGCAAGAGCTTTCTGGTCTCTGTGTTAACAAACCTATAACTGGATAGGAGAAATAAGACCAGCTGGGAAGCTGCCACAACAATCCAAAAGACAAATGATGGTGGCTTGGGGACAAGACAGTGGAATAAATGAGGAATGCTTTGAGTCCAGTTACAATTTGAAAGTAGAGCCAACATCACTTGTTGTCGGATCAGATGAAGAGGTGAGAGAAAAAGAAGAGCTTAAGGCTACTTCTAAGAATTTTGACCTAAACAACAAGCAAAACAAAGATGCTGTTTGCTAAAATTAAATGAAAACTCAGTTTGGGAAGGAAGGTGAAGAGTTCCATATTAAACAAGTTAAGTCTGACATCCATGTAGCAATGATAAGTAGGTAGTTGTTATGAGTCTAGATTTCAGAAAAGCACAAGATTTTAGAGATATAATTTGAGGAACTATTAGTGTATGTATTAATAGTTCTTGTTTAAATCCATGATATGAAGTAAGATGACATTGGGAATGAATGTTAGGTAAGAAAAATAAAAGAAACAAGGACTCAATCCTAAGTCTCTTCAATACTTACATATTAGAAAGTAGCAAAAGAAATGAAAAAGGAGAAGAAAAGTACATAGGATAAAAACTTGAAGAAAAAGCAAGGTGTTTGAGCTCAGAGAATGGACGGACTGCCTCCTCAAGTGGGTCCCTGACCCACGTGTAGCCTAACTGGGAGACATCTCCCAGTAGGGGCCAACTGACACCTCATGCAGGCGGGTGCCCCTCTGGGACGAAGCTTCTAGAGGAAGGATCAGGCAGTGATATTTGCTGTTCTGCAATATTTGCTCTTCTGCAGCCTCTGCTGGTGATACCCAGGCAAACAGTGTCTGGAGTAGACCTCCAGCCATCTCCAACAGACCTGCAGCTGAGGGACCTGACTGTTAGAAGGAAAACTAACAAACAGAAAAAAATAGCATCAACATCAACAAAAAGGACATCCACAACAAAATCCCATCGGTAAGTCACCAACATCAAAGAACAAAGGTAGATGAAACCACAAAGATGGGGAGAAACCAGAGCAGAAAAGCTGAAAATTCTAAACACCAGAGTGCCACTTCTCCTCCAAAGGATTGCAGCTCCTCGCCAGCAACAGAACAAAGCTGGATGGAGAATGACTTTTACAAGCTGATGAAGTAGGCTTCGGAAGGTCGGTAATAACAAAGTTCTCTGAGCCAAAGAAGGATGTTCGAACCCATCACAAGGAAGCTAAAAACCTTGAAAAAAGATTAGATGAATGGCTAACTAGAATAAACAGTGCAGAGAAGACCTTAAATGACCTGATAGAGCTGAAAACCACGGCATGAGAACTACGTGACACATGCACAAGCTTCAATAGCCAATTCAATCAAGTGGAAAAAAGGGTATCAGTGATTGAAGATCAAATGAATGAAATGAAGCAAGAAGAGAACAATAGAGAAAAAAAGAGTAAGAAGAAATGAGAAGAAACATGGGACTATGTGAAAAGACCAAATCTCTGTTTGATTGGTGTTCCTGAAAGTGACAGGGAGAATGGAACCAAGTTGGACAACACTCTTCAGGATATTATCCAAGATCAGGATATTATCCAGAAGAACTCCCCCAACTTAGCAAGGCAAGCCAACATTCAAATTCAGAAAATACAGAGAATGCCACAAAGATAGACCTCAAGAAGAGCAATCCCAAGACACATACTTGTCAAATTCACCAAGGTTGAAATGAAGGAAAAAAATGTTAAGGGCAGCCAGAGAGAAAGCTTGCCTTACCCACAAAGTGAAGCCCATCAGACTAACAGCAGATCTCTCAGCAGAAACTCTCCAAGCCAGAATAGAGTAGGGGCTAATATTCAACATTCTTAAAGAAAAGAATTTTCAACCCAGAATTTCATATCCAGCCAAACTAAGCTTCATAAGTGAAAGAGAAATAAAATCCTTTACAGACAAGCAAATGCTGAGAGATTTTGTCACCACCAGGCCTGCCTTACAAGAGCTACTGAAGGAAGCACTAAACATGGAAAGGAACAACGGGTACCAGCCACTGCAAAAACATGCCAAATTGTCAAGACCATCGATGCTAGGAAGAAACTGCATCAACTAACAGGCAAAATAACCAGCTAATATCATAATGACAGGATCAAATTCACAAATGACAATATTAACCGTAAATGTAAATGGGCTAAATGCTCCAATTAAAAGACACAGACTGGCACATTGGATAAAGAAAGAGTCAAGACCCATCAGTGTGCTGCATTCAGGAGACCCATCTCACATGCAGAGACACACATAGGCTCAAAATAAAGGGATGGAGGAAGTTCTACTAAGCAAATGAAAAGCAAAAAAAAGCAGGGGTTACAATCCTAGTCTCTGATAAAACAGACTTTAAACCAACAAAGATCAAAAGAGACAAAGAAACAAAGAAGGCCATTACATAATGGTAAAATTAGAATGGCGATCATTAAAAAGTCAAGAAACAACAGATGCTGGAGAGGATATGGAGATCCTTTTACACTGTTGGTGGGAATGCTTTTACACTGTTGGTGGGACTGTAAACTAGTTCAACCATTGTGGAAGACAGTGTGGCAATTCCTCAAGGATCTAGAAATAGAAATACCATTTGACCCAGCCATCCCATTACTGGGTATATACCCAAAGGATTATAAATCATGCTACTATAAAGACACATGCACATGTATGTTTACTGTGGCACTATTCACAATAGCAAAGACTTGGAACCAACCCAAATGTCCATCAATGATAGACTGGATTAAGAAAATGTGGCACATAAACAACATGGAATACTATGCGGCCATAAAAAAAGATGAGTTCATGTCCTTTGCAGGGACATGGATGAAGCCAGAAATCATCATTCTGAGCAAATTATCACAAGGACAGAAAACCAAACTCCCCATGTTCTCACTCATAGGTGGGAATTGAACAACGAGAACACATGGACATAGGGCGGGGAACACCACACACCAGGGCCTGTCATGGGGTGGGGGACTGGGGGAGGGATAGCATTAGGAGAAATACCTAATGTAAATGACAAATTAATGGGTGCAGCAAACCAACATGGCACATGTATACCTATGTAACGAACCTGCACATTGTGCACATGTACCCTAGAACTTAAACTATAATAATAAAAAAAATTCCACTAAGTTCCAGAAAAAAAATGAAGGAAAAATAAATACTTTTTCAGACAACAAAATATGGAGTTTGTTGCCAGTAGACCTGCCTTGCAATAAATGTCAAAAGAAATTCTTTAGAGAGATGAAAACTGATAAAGACAAGAAACTTAGATTTACATAAAGCAAACAAGAGCATAGGAGAAGAATAAGTAGAGGTAAAACACTTTTATTTTTCTTATTCTTGATTGATCTAAAGGATAATTATTTGTTCAAAATAACAATAGCAGTGATGTATTTGATTATGTCTGTGTGTGTGATTATGTATGTTTATGTGTAAGTAAAATGAATAATAGCAATGATATAAGAGAGGGATCAAGATTATTTTGTTATTGTTAAGTACTCACACTATCCCTAAAGCAGTACAGTGCTATCTGAAAGTAGACTTGGATTAGTTGGAAATGCATATTGCAAACTCCAGCGCAACCATATAAGGAAATATACATACATATATATATATATCTGATATGCTAATAGAGGAGAGAAAACTGAATCATATAAAATGTTCAATTAAATCCACAAAAAGGTGAAATAAAGGCGAATATCCTGGAAATGAAAGAAAAATAAAACACAACAACTAAAAATGAAAAATTCAATGAATGAGCCAATCAAAGAATAGAAATAACAGAGGAAACAAAAAAGTAAAAGGATGGGAAAAGAGATATCATGCAAACAATAACCAAAGAAAGTGAGCAAATTTGACAAACCTGACAAAAACAAGGAATGGGGAGAGGATTCCCTATTTAATAAATGGTGCTGGGAAAACTGGCTAGCCACATAGAGAAAGCTGAAACTGGATCCCTTCCTACACCATATACAAAAATTAACTCAAGATTGATTAAAGACTTAAATGTAAGACCTAACACCATAAAAACCCTAGAAGAAAACCTAGGCAATACCATTCAGCACATAGGCATGGGCAAAGACTTCATGAATAAAACACCAAAAGCAATGGCAACAAAAGCCAAAACAGACAAATAGGATCGAATTAAACTAAAGAGCTTCTGTGCAGCAAAATAAACTATCATCAGAGTAAACAGGCAATCTACAGAACGGGAGAAAATTTTTGCAATTTACCCATCTGACAAAGAGCTAATATCCAGAATCTACCAAGAACTTAAACAGAAGATGGCCGAACAGGAACAGCTCCGGTCTACAGCTCCCAGCATGAGTGACGCAGAAGACGGGTGATTTCTGCATTTCCAGCTGAGGTACCGAGTTCATGTCATTAGGGAGTGCCAGACAGTGGGTGCAGCCCACCATGCACGAGCCGAACCAGGGCGAGGCACTGCCTCACTCGGGAAGTGCAAGGGGTCAGGGAGTTCCCTTTCTGAGTCAAAGAAAGGGGTGACAGACGGCACCTGGAAAATCGGGTCACTCCACCCTAATACTGCGATTTTCCGAAGGGCTTAAAAAATGGCGCACCAGGAGATTATCTCCCGCACCTGGCTCAGAGAGTCCTACGCCCACGGAGTCTTGCTGATTGCTAGCACAGCAGTCTGAGATCAAACTGCAAGGCGGCAGCAAGGCTGGGGGAGGGGCGCCCGCCATTGCCCAGGCTTGCTTAGGTAAACAAAGCAGCCTGGAAGCTCGTACTGGGTGGAGCCCACGACGCTCAAGGAGGCCTGCCTGCCTCTGTAGGCTCCACCTCTGGGGGCAGGGCACAGACAAACAAAAAGACAGCAGTAACCTCTGCAGACTTAAATGTCCCTGTCTGACAGCTTTGAAGAGAGCAGTGGTTCTCCCAGCACGCAGCTGGAGAACTGAGAACGGGCAGACTGCTTCCTCAAATGGGTCCCTGATCCCTGACCCCCAAGCAGCCTAACTGGGAGGCACCCCCCAGTAGGGGCAGACTGACACCTCACACGGCCGGGTACTCCTCTGAGACAAAACTTCCAGAGGAATGATCAGACAGCAGCATTTGCGGTTCACGAAAATCCGCTGTTCTGCATCCACTGCTGCTGATACCCAGGCAAACAGGGTCTGGAGTGGACCTCTAGCAAACTCCAACAGACCTGCAGCTGAGGGTCCTGTCAGTTAGAAGGAAAACTAACAAACAGAAAGGACATCCACACCAAAAACCCATCGTTACCTCACCCAAAAAAGACCAAAAGTAGATAAAACCACAAAGATGGGGAAAAAACAGAGCAGAAAAACTGGAAACTCTAAAAAGCAGAGTGCCTCTCCTCCTCCAAAGGAATGCAGTTCCTCACCAGCAACGAAACAAAGCTGGACGGAGAATCACTTTGACGAGCTGAGAGTAGAAGGCTTCAGATGATCAAATTACTCCGAGCTACGGGAGGACATTCAAACCAAAGGCAAAGAAGTTGAAAACTTTGAAAAAAATTTAGAAGAACGTATAACTAGAATAACCAATAGAGAGAAGTGCTTAAAGGAGCTGATGGAGCTGAAAGCCAAGGCTCAAGAACTACCCGAAGAATGCAGAAGCCTCAGGAGCCGATGCGATCAACTGGAAGAAAGGGTATGAGTGATGGAAGATGAAATGAATGAAATGAAGCGAGAAGGGAAGTTTAGAGAAAAAAGGAATAAAAAGAAACGAACAAAGCCTCCAAGAAATATGGGACCATGTGAAAAGACCAAATCTACGTCTGATTGGTGTACCTGAAAGTGACGGGGAGAATGGAACCAAGTTGGAAAACACTCTGCAGGATATTATCCAGGAGAACTTCCCCAATCTAGCAAGGCAGGCCAATATTCAGATTCAGGAAATACAGAGAACGCCACAAAGATACTCCTCGAGAAGAGCAACTCCAAGACACATAATTGTCAGATTCACCAAAGTTGAAATGGAGGAAAAAATATTAAGGGCAGCCAGAGAGAAAGGCCGGGTTACCCACAAAGGGAAGCCCATCAGACTAACAGCGGATCTCTCGGCAGAAACTCTACAAGCCAGAAGAGAGTGGGGGCCAATATTCAACATTCTTAAAGAAAAGAATTTTCAACCCAGAATTTCATATCCAGCCAAACTAAGCTTCATAAGTGAAGGAGAAATAAAATACTTTACAGACAAGAAAATGCTGAGAGATTTTGTCACCACCAGGCCTGCCTAAAAGAGCGTCTGAAGGAAGCACTAAACATGGAAAGGAAAAACAAGTACCAGCCACTGCAAAATCATGCCAAATTGTAAAGACCATCAAGGCTAGGAAGAAACTGCATCAACTAACGAGCAAAATAACCAGCTAACATCACAATGACAGGATCAAATTCACACAAAACAATATTAACTTTAAATGTAAATGGACTAAATGCTTCAATTAAAAGACACAGACTGGCAAATTGGATAAAAAGTCAAGATCCATCAGTGTGCTGTATTCAGGAAACCCATCTCACATGCAGAGACACACATAGGCTCAAAATAAAAGGATGGAGGAAGATCTACCAAGAAAATGGAAAACAAAAAAAGGCAGGGGTTGCAATCCTAGTCTCTGATAAAACAGACTTTAAACCAACAAAGATCAAAAGAGACAAAGAAGGCCATTACATAATGGTAAAGGGATCAATTCAACAAGAAGAGCTAAGGATAATAAATATACATGCACCCAATACAGGAGCACCCAGATTCATAAAGCAAGTCCTGAGTGACATACAAAGAGACTTAGACTCCCACACAATAATAATGGGAGACTTTAACACCCCACTGTCAACATTAGATAGATCAACGAGATAGAAAGTTAACAAGGATACTCAGGAATTGAACTCAGCGCTGCACCAAGCAGACCTAATAGACATCTACAGAATTCTCCACCCCAAATCAGCAGAATATACATTTTTTTCAGCACCACACCACACCTATCCCAAAATTGACCACATACTTGGAAGTAAAGCTCTCCTCAGCAAATGTAAAAGAATAGAAATTATAACAAACTGTCTCTCAGACCACAGTGCAATCAAACTAGAACTCAGTATTAAGGAACCCACTCAAAACCGCTCAACTACATGGAAACTGAACAACCTGCTCCTGAATGACTACTGGGTACATAACGAAATGAAGGCAGAAATAAAGATGTTCTTTGAAACCAATGAGAACAAAGACACAACATACCAGAATCTCTGGGACACATTCAAAGCAGTGTGTAGAGGGAAATTTATAGCACTAAATGCCCACAAGAGAAAGCAGGAAGATCCAAAATTGACACCCTAACATCACAATTAAAAGAACTAGAAAAGCAAGAGCAAACACATTCAAAAGCTAGCAGAAGGCAAGAAATAACTAAAATCAGAGCAGAACTGAAGGAAATAGAGACACAAAAAACCCTTCAAAAAATTGATGAATCCAGGAGCTGGTTTTTTGAAAGGATCAACAAAATTGATAGACTGCTAGCAAGACTAATAAAGAAGAAAAGAGAGAAGAATCAAATAGACACAATAAAAAATCATAAAGGGGATATCACCACCAATCCCACAGAAATACAAACTACTATCAGAGAAGACTACAAACACCTCTATGCAAACAAATTAGAAAATCTAGAAGAAATGGATAAATTCCTCGACACATACACCCTCCCAAGTCTAAACCAGGAAGAAGTTGAATCTCTGAACAGACCAATAACAGGCTCTGAAATTGTGGCAATACTCAGTAGCTTACCAACCAGAAAGAGTCCAGGATCAGATGGATTCACAGACGAATTCTACCAGAGGTACAAGGAGGAGCTGGTACCATTCCTTCTGAAACTATTCCAATCAATAGAAAAAGAGGGAATCCTCACTAACTCATTTTATGAGGCCAGCATCATCCTGATACCAAAGCCGGGCAGAGACACAACCAAAAAAGAGAATTTTAGACCAATATCCTTGATGAACATTGATGCAAAAATCCTCAATAAAATACTGGCAAACCGAATCCAGCAGCACATCAAAAAGCTTATCCAACATGATCAAGTGGGCTTCATCCCCGGGATGCAAGGCAGGTTCAATATACGCAAATCAATAAATGTAATCCAGCATATAAACAGAACCAAAGACAAAAACCACATGATTATCTCAATAGATGCAGAAAAGGCCTTTGACAAAATTCAACAACCCTTCATGCTAAAAACTCTCAATAAATTAGGAATTGATGGGACGTATCTCAAAATAATAAGAGCTATCTGTGACAAACCCACAGCCAATATCATACTGAATGGGCAAAAACTGGAAGCATTCCCTTTGAAAACGGGCACAAGACAGGGATGCCCTCTCTCACCACTCCTATTCAACATAGTGTTGGAAGTCCTGGCCAGGGCAATCAGGCAGGAGAAGGAAATAAAGGGCATTCAATTAGGAAAAGAGGAAGTCAAATTGTCCCTGTTTGCAGATGACATGATTGTATAGCTAGAAAACCCCATTGTCTCAGCCCAAAATCTCCTTAAGCTGATAAGGAACTTCAGCAAAGTCTCAGGATACAAAATCAATGTACAAAAATCACAAGCATTCTTATACACGAATAACAGGCAAACAGAGAGCCAAATCATGAGTGAACTCCCATTCACAATTGCTTCAAAAAGAATAAAATACCTAGGAATCCAACTTACAAGGGACTTGAAGGACCTCTTCAAGGAGAACTACAAACCACTGCTCAATGAAATAAAAGAGGATACAAACAAATGGAAGAACATTTTATGCTCATGGGTAGGAAGAATCAATATCATGAAAATGGCCATACCGCCCAAGGTAATTTATAGATTCAATGCCATCCCCATCAAGCTACCAATGACTTTCTTCACATAATTGGAAAAAACTACTTTCAAGTTCATATGGTACCAAAAAAGAGCCCAGATCGCCAAGTCAATCCTAAGCCAAAAGAACAAAGCTGGAGGCATCACGCTACCTGACTTCAAACCAAACAGCATGGTACTGTTACCAAAACAGAGATATAGACCAATGGAACAGAACAGGGCCCTCAGAAATAACGCCGCATATCTACAACTATCTGATCTTTGACAAACCTGAGAAAAACAAGAAATGGGGAAAGGATTCCCTATTTAATAAACGGTGCTGGGAAAACTGGCTAGCCATATGTAGAAAGCTGAAACTGGATCCCTTCCTTACACCTTATACAAAAACTAATTCAAGATGGATTAAAGACTTAAACATTAGACCTAAAACCATAAAAACCCTAGAAGAAAACCCAGGCATTACCATTCAGGACATAGGCACGGGCAAGGACTTCATGCTAAAACACCAAAAGCAATGGCAACAAAAGCCAAAATTGACAAATGGGATCTAATTAAACTAAAGAGCTTCTGCACAGCAAAAGAAACTACCACCAGTGTGAACAGGCAACCTACAAAATGGGAGAAAATTTTCACAACCTACTCATCTGACAAAGGGCTAATATCCAGAATCTACAATGAACTCAAACAAATTTACAAGAAAAAGACAATCAACACCGTCAAAAAGTGGGTGAAGAACATGAACAGACACTTCTCAAAAGAAGACATTTATGCAGCCAAAAGACACATGAAAAAATGCTCATCATCACTGGCGATCAGACAAATGCAAATCAAAACCGCAATGAGATACCATCTCACACCAGTTAGAATGGCAATCATTAAAAAGTCAGGAAACAACAGGTGCTGGAGAGGATGTGGAGAAACAGGAACACTTTTACACTGTTGGTAGGACTGTAAACTAGTTCAACCATTGTGGAAGTCAGTGTGGTGATTCCTCAGGGATCTAGAACTAGAAATACCATTTGACTGAGCCATCCCATTACTGGGTATATACCCAAAGGTCTATAAATCATGCTGCTATAAAGACACTTGCACACGTATGTTTATTGCGGCACTATTCACAATAGCAAAGACTTGGAACCAACTCAAATGCCCAACAATGATAGACTGGATTAAGAAAATGTGGCACATATACACCATGGAATACTATGCAGCCATAAAAAATGACGAGTTCATGTCCTTTGTAGGGACATGGATGAAACTGGAAATCCTCATTCTCAGTAAACTACCTGAAGAACAAAAAACCAAACACCACATATTCTCACTCATAGGTGGGAATTGAACAATGAGAACACATGGACACAAGAAGGGGAACATCACACTCTGGGGACTGTTGTGGGGTGGGCGGATGGGGGAGGGATAGCATTAGGAGATATACCTAATGCTAAATGACGAGTTAATGGGTGCAGCACACCAGCATAGCACATGTATAATATGTAACTAACCTCCACATTGTGCACATGTACCCTAAAACTTAAAGTATAATAATAATAAAATAAAATAAAATAAAGAACTTAAACAAATTTACAAGAATAAAGCAACCCCATCAAAAAAGGGGAAAAGGATATGAACAGACACTTCTCAAAAGATGACATTTATGCAGCCATCAGACATATGAAAAAATGCTCATCATCACTGGTCATCAGAGAAATGCAAATCAAAACCACAGTGAGATACCATCTCACGCCAGTTAGAATGGCGATCATTAAAATGTCAGGAAACAACAGATGCCGGAGAGGATGTGGAGAAATAGGAACACTTTTACACCGTTGGGGGAGTGTAAACTAGTTCAACCATTGTGGAAGTCAGTGTGTTGATTCCTCAAGGATCTAGAACTAGAAATACCATTTGACCCAGCCATCCCATTACTGCATATATACCCAAAAGGATTATAAATCATGCTACTATAAAGACGCATGCACATATGTGTTTATTGCAGCACTATTCACAATAGCAAAGACTTGGAACCCACTAAAATGTCTATCAGTGATAGACTGGATTAAGAAAATATGGCACATATACACCATGGAATAATATGCAGCCATAAAAAAGGATGAGTTCATGTCCTTTGCAGGGACATGGATGAAGCTGGAAACCATCATTCCCAGCAAACTATCACAAGGACCGAAAACCAACGACCACGTTTTCACTCATAGGTGGGAATTGAACAATGAGAACACATGGACACAGGGCAGGGAACATCACATACCAGGGGCCTGTCGGAGGGTGGGGGACTGGGGGAGGGATAGCACCAGGAGAAATACCTAATGTAAATGACAAGTTGATGGGTGCAGCAAACCAACATGGCACATGTATACCTATGTAACAAACCTGCACGTTGTGCACATGTACCCTAGAACTTAAAGTATAATAAAAAAAGAAAGAAAGTGACTGGATGTAGCCATGTAGACTTAAGAACAAAAAAAAAAACAGGGAGAGAGAAGGCTGATTATAAAATTTACATGTAAAGACAAGGAAATTAGAATAGCCCAAACAATTTAAAAAAAAAAAAAAACTTTGAGGATTCAGACTAGTAGACAACACAATGTGTTATTGGATAAATAATAGACACATAGATTAAAAGAACAGAATAGAGAATTCAAAAATAGATCTACACAAATATGAACAAAATAGGCTTTTGATAAATGTGCAAAAGAATTCAGTGGAGACAGTATAGTCCTTTCAGCAAATGATCCTGGGACAACTGAACATCTGTATGGAAAAGCAGAATTAAACCTCAACCCATACCTCACAACTTGTTCAACAATTAACCCAAAGTGTATCATAGGCCCAAATGTAAAATATAAAACTTTATACACAAGAAAATTTTCTTGACCTTGGGTTAAAAAACAGTTCTTAGATTTGACATCAAAGCATGACTTTTTTTAAGGACAAATTGGGCTTTATCAAATTTTAAAACTTTTCTCTCTGCCAAAAAAAAAAAATTTAAGAGAATGAAAAGACAAGCTGAAAGTTAGGAGAAAATATTCACAAATAACATATTCAACAAGGGACTTCTATATAAAATATATTAAAATCTCTCAAATCTTAGCCAAAGAAAAACAGCTACAATATAAAATGGGCAAAAGATTTTAACAAACACCTCACCAAGGAAGATAAATTGATAGCAAATAACTACATGGAAAGATGCTCAACATTATTAGTCATTAATGAAATACAAATTAAAATCGCAATGAAATATCACTATAAACCTAACAGAATGTTTAAAATTTAAAAGATGGAAGGGTTCTCCTAATGCTATCCCTCCACCCTCCCCCCACCCCACAACAGTCCCCAGAGTGTGATGTTCCCCTTCCTGTGTCCATGTGTTCTCATTGTTCAATTCCCATCTATGAGTGAGAACATGTGGTGTTTGGTTTTTTGTTCTTGCGATAGTTTACTGAGAATGATGATTTCCAATTTCATCCATGTCCCTACAAAGGACATGAACTCATCATTTTTTATGGCTGCATAGTATTCCATGGTGTATATGTGCCACATTTTCTTAATCCAGTCTATCATTGTTGGACATTTGAGTTGGGTTCCAAGTCTTTGCTATTGTGAATAGTGCCACAATAAACATACGTGTGCATGTGTCTTTATAGCAGCATGATTTATAGTCCTTTGGGTATATACCCAGTAATGGGATGGCTGGGTCAAATGGTATTTCTAGTTCTAGATCCCTGAGGAATCGCCACACTGACTTCCACAATGGTTGAACTAGTTTACAGTCCCACCAACAGTGTAAAAGTGTTCCTGTTTCTCCACATCCTCTCCAGTACCTGTTGTTTCCTGACTTTTTAATGATTGCCATTCTAACTGGTGTGAGATGGTATCTCATTGTGGTTTTGATTTGCATTTCTCTGATGGCCAGTGATGATGAGCATTTTTTCATGTGTCTTTTGGCTGCATAAATACCTAATGCTAAATGACGAGTTAATGGGTGCAGCGCACCAGCATGGCACATTTATACATATGTAACTAACCTGCACATTGTGCACATGTACCCTAAAACTTAAAATATAATAATAATAAAAAAAAGGAAAAGAAAACAAAAAAGTAAAAAAATAAAAGATGGAAGGGTTAGAGAAGGGGAGGAGAAAAAGAAGAAAGAAAAAATAAGAGGAAGAGATACTGACAATACCAAGTATTAGCAAGAAAGTAGAGCAACTCAAAATTTCATATACTGCTAATGGGAATGCAAAATGATACAATAACTCTGCACAACAGATTGACAGGATTAGTTTTAAAATATATGAATATAAATGTGTTTTTGAAAAAGGCTAGAAACAGGATGATAGCTAGAGGAGGATGTGGAGTCAAAAAGAGAGTTTTCTTAAAGATAAAGTTGTATCTGCATGTTTGCAGGTCAATAAGAGAAGTCCACTTGAGGGGGAAAACTTATTAGTGAGGGAGGGAGAGCAAAGAATTGCTAGAGACATTTCTTCAACTACACAAGAAAAGAAGGGACCTCGGCAGAATGGAGATGTTGGCATTTGCTGGGAACGTGAATGGTTCATTAGAGCAAATAGGAAAGAAAGCAGAGTATATGAGGACAGATACAAAGAAGTGAGTAGATGTTGTGGGTAGCTTGTCCAAATTCTCTTCTGATTGCTTCTATTTTCTCAGGGAAATAAAAAGCTGAGAGTGGTGCTGGGGGAGGAGGTTTTATATGAAATTATTATCTAGGAGTATGGGAGAGTGAAGAGACTAGGGAAATATAGTATAGATGGGTTTAAGAAATATTTAGTGACTCAATAATGGTACAAGCCTCTGGAAACTAATTCCTATCTAGCAGTAAGATGCGGCTTTAGCTCTAAAAAGAAAACCTCAAAAAAATAATATTAGGTGGGACCAAAACTGTATTTAATTGTAATTAACTCTTAAATAAAAAAGGAATTTTGACATCAGAAACTGCAGAAGTAATCATCCAAGGTAAGAAATAGCCAGATGTAGCCTTATGGAAATATTTAAATACACAAAGTAATATAAACGGAAATATCAACACCGCAAAGAAACCTGCAGTTGATTATTTATTACTAAAAAATGGAAACCAATCATGAGGCATAAAATGTGACACAGGATTGCAAATGAAAATATATTAAAGTCAAATTATTATTTGGAGGAACTTATTTAAACCCAACCACATTCAGAGTCAAAGTTCACTATGTCTATAATTTGGCTCTTTTAATTTTAGAGATGAGAACTTAAGAAGTATATACAGAACTAATTAACATAGGTGTCTCTGGTATGAGCATCAAAAATAATACAATTTAAGATCACCAGGAATATTCTGGACATGGTAGAAAAGAGAGTAATGCCTCATTATTATTTCAAGGACATTCCACTTAGAGCCCACAGAAAAAGAAAGAGAATTAGTAGCTGCCAAACAGCATGCAGTCCACAATTACCACCTTCAAAAGCCAACTGTTTTTACGGTATCCAGAAACCATCCCCAAAGTAAAAGGTTTAGAGGAGGGATTTGAAAGATGCCTGAAATGAAGCTCCTAATATGGTTAGGGAAAGATAGCCAAAATGTCTTAGTGAAGCATCCAAACTTATTATTTCCAAATTGTCCTTATAAGTTATAACACCACATAAGAAAATATACTTCTATACTTCTATACTTCCAAAAGCATTGCAACTAAATGAATAAATGATCTATGGAAGCCATGCTCTGAAAATTACATTAGAATAATTTAGAAAATGACAGCAGGATGATTATGTTGCCTGCTAGTTGCCTTTTTCTAGGTACAGAAAAGTCAAGTAATTAATACAAGAAAGAAAAGTATGCCAAAAAAGCACTTGCCTTCCGTTTTGGACAGGGAGCTAAAAATGGGGGAGGGGATAGAACTTTTAGTATCAGCACCACAGAATATGATAGGATCTTATTTAATCTTATAAAAGTGAAATCATTAATGGGATCAAATAGTCTGCCAAGCAATTCATTCTTAATATTATTTTTACAGTTAATTATTTATTTTGTTTCTCATGGTAATCAACATGGCCTTATATTGTATGTATTCCACTATATTCAACCTGGTAGGCAGTGTCGACCAAGTGTTTTAAGCAAGAGGTGATATTGCCATAACTTTCTAAGTAGTATAACATAAAGTCCTAGGCACTGACGTATTTGGCACTATACTGTGTCACTAAAATCCAAGCATTTAATGGCAACAAACAAGGAAGAATGTCAGGCAAGAATATAAAGTAATAAAGGCATTCCATGCTAAATAATAGAGAACATCCTGCAATTGTTCCTTTGGTTTTGCTGATGAATAAAACTGATGGTAAAGTTCTTGTACTGAATAACATGCCACAGAGATTTCTTTATCTATGATTGAGGAGGGTTGAGGAAGAGCGCAGTGAATTAGCCTCATTCTTACTCTGTAATTAAGAAAAACAATGATTTTTTTTATTATTTTTCCCTGATTTCAAAGCCTTCTATTTTAATTGATGTTCACTGGATATTGCCTCAGCAATTAACAGACCATGTTTACATCTCTTTTTTCTTGCGTATTTGACTTAAAATGCTTTACTTGCATTTCAAAGCCATCTATAGACACACACACGCCCACACACGCACATGCACACACACATACACACACACAAAACTCAGCTACCTAAAAGTATGGCTGAACATTCAGAGATTATTTATTTATCAAACCAATTTGATTTAAAGGCCATTTATCTTTATCTTCTCTTTCTTTCACTTTACAAGTTTTTGTAGTAAAAAGATCATAAGGTTAATGGATTTCATCTTTTAAGAGAAACAAATGCTGCAAAAATCTTTTCTCCTTCAGCATTGTCCTATGCTTCCTCACATTTGCATAACAAATTTTTACTGATGTTGAATTCTGCCTCCAAAAACTCTGACTGAAAAAGTCAATAGGTTTGGGATACACTGATGGGCAAGGAAAAATTCTTTTAATATTCACCAACAGCTAATAAGATCTTCCTAGGACCATAGCATGGTATCTTCCCAACCTCACCTCACCTCCAAAAAGTACATAAAGTAAAGGGGAGATAAATATATAAATATGCGCTTTTAAAAGTGTAATTGGTAAAAACTAACATGCAGTAATCTCCATAGATTTTGTTGTAAACAATCATCTACATTATTTGGACACAGATTTTCCCATAGAAACAATAGTATAAATGGTGTTTCAGATGCAAGGAAAAGCTCATATGATTCTTTTCAACATAAAATAAATATTCAAATAGTTCATTATTTTATGTAAACACATGACATTAGCTAAGATACTTCAGTTGTGCATAATATAAACAAACTTAGGCTTTCAAAAGCATAGAAAGAAAATTTATTACAAGGATATAGGGATGTTTTGTGCAACCCCAAGACATGTGAATATAGCTGAGTCCCATGGAGAGCCACCATGGCTTTCTCTCTAACACCAGGTCCTACTTATCTCAGTAAACCCGTTTCATTCTTTTGTCTCATTCTGCAGATGGCTTTTCTGAAACTCATTACACATGGCAGATTATAGCTGCTTCACACCTCTTTAGTATATACTTTGCAAGTTGCAACCACTTTCATATACAGACCTGATGCTCTTAATTCCAACTTTTCAGGTGAAAAAAAAAACTTTTTTTTTTGAGATGGAGTCTCGCTCTGTCACCCAGTCTAGAGTGCAGTGGCGCGATCTCCGTTCACTGCAACCTTTGCCTCCTGGGTTCAAGCGATTCTCCTGCCTCAGCCTCCCAAGTACCTGGGATTACAGGTGCATGCCAGCACGCCCAGCTAATTTTTGTGTTTTTAGTAGAGACAGGGTTTCACTATGTTGGCCAGGCTGGTCTCAAACTCCTGACCTCAGGTGATCTGCGCGCCTTAGCCTCCCAAAGTGCTGGGATTACAGGCATGAGCCAACACATCCGGCTACAGAAAATTATTAATTATCTGACATGGATCATGTTTTTCACCTCATAACTTGAGAGGGCAGGTCATAAAGTATTAATTCATTAACTGAAAGATACATATTGATGAGCCAGTATGCACTAAACACTATTCTAAACATTCAGCTAGAAAAGAAAAGAAATATGCTAGCTTTCAAGGAACTTACAAAAGTGGAAAGCCACTTCACTCCCCATAAGCAGAGGGGATTCTACAACAAATATCCAACCCAGGAGTAGTCTTGGTCCCCATGGGCTAGAAACTCTCTTCCTGCATACAGAGGCACCTGGAAACGTGGCTGGAGGAAACTCCTTTCACCCCATCAAGGAGCACCATTAAGGACTAGTAGGAGATCCAGCAGCATGAGATAAACCAAGCAGACAAAAATATCACCACAAGACCTATGTCACCGAATCACAGCGTAAAAAAGTAATCAAGGGCCTTTGTACTAAATCTAAACAGACTTGCTGCCTGCTAAAATAAAAAATTAAAGTAAAACTCATTGTCTCCTAAAATGACAAAGAAAATGTCAAGGATACAATTTAAGAATCACGTGTCATATCAAAAAGCAAGAAAATCTCAATTTGTATGAGAAAAGACAAACTACTGATACCAACACTGAGATGAATCAGTGTCTGATAAAGATTTTAAAGCAACCGTCATAAAAATGACTGAATAAGGAATTACAAATTATCTTAAAATAAATGAAAAATAAAAATAACAGTAAAAAATGAAAATTATTATTTAAAGAACCAAATAAAAATTATGAAACTGGAAAATACAATAATAGAGGGTTGTTTTTTGTTTTTTGTTTTTTGTTTTTGAGACAGAGTCTCGCTCTCTCTCCCAGTCTGGAGTGCAGTGGCGCAATCTTGGCTCACTGCAAGCTCCGCCCTGCCTCAGCCTCCCAAGTAGCTGGGACTACAGGTGCCCGCCAACATGCCCAGCTAATTTTTTTGTATTTTTAGTACAGATGGGGTTTCACTATGTTAGCCAGGATGGTCTCGATCTCCTGACCTCATGATCTACCCGCCTAACAGAGGTTTTTTTAAAACTCACCAGATGGGCTCAATAGTAGAGTAGGGGTAACAGAGGATAGGGCCAATAAACTTAAGAACAAATCAATAGAATTTACCCAATAAGAACAAAGAAAAAATAGACTGAAAAAGAAATGAGTCCCAAGAACCTACAAGACTATCAAAAGATCCAATATTCACATTCTTTGAATTCCAGAAAAAGAGGAGAAAGAGAATAGAATTGAAAGAGTATTCAGAGAAATAATGGCTGAAAACTCTCCAAATGCGGTGAAAGATCCAAATGCGGTGAAAGATATAAACACAAATTCAAAAAGCTAAGTGAATCCCAAGTAGGATAAACCCAAAGAAATCCACTCCAAGTCATTTCTAAAAACTCAACTATATGAGTATTCTAAATACGCCAATTAAAAGGCAGAGATTGGCAGACTGGATGAGAAAACAAAACCCAACCACATGCTATTTACAAGAAACATACTTCCAATTCAACAACATAGGTAAGTTGGAAGTAAAATACTTCTGGTTGCAAAATGGCAGTGTAGAAACAAACTGGCTTCACTCTCCCCTAAAGAAAACCAAAAACAAATATACAGCACCAAGATTTTCACCAGCAACATCCCAGAACACAAATATGAGAAATGAGAGCGTTCTCAAGGCCACAGAAAAGTGAAAAAACTGAGAAGTTGTTAAGAGAATCAGACTTCCATATCCACAACACATACCCCACATTCTGCCCAGCACCAAGCACATAGAAAATCTGCCCCCAACTCATGGTTTTTATGCTGGAAAAGGTGAGACTGAGGTAGTCAATCAGTACCCCTACCATCTTGGGTGCCATGACAGAAGACCTTTTTTGCCTTAACACATAGGAAGCATTGTGACTGCCTGATGGGAGAAATATCCCTAAGGACAGGAAAAGACAAAGTGGGAATACAGGGCTATCATCCCTGGCCCTGGAAACTGCTCTACCAGTTGACCTAAGGAGATGCCAAATCAGAATAGCCATTCATCAGCCCAATACTGTAGGAGATACATTCCACAGATCCCCTGGGCACAAACAGCTTTGATACATTAGTGGGATAATGCCTTTGGGACCTTCCCAATTCAAGACAGGCAGTGTTCCAATTATTTAATAAAGCCAAGATGAACCTGGACCTAAGGTGCCACCTAGAGCCAAAAAGGAGGCAGCAACCTAGCAGTAAAAATTTCCTAAGCAAATTTATCCAATAAAACCAAAACAAAACAGAGAAGACTGCAATAATAATCCTTCAATGCAAAGACATAGGTATATACACACAAGAAACAACAGAAAACAGGAAACTATGACTTCACCAAAAGGACAAAGCAAAAATCAAGTGACTGACTCTAACAAGATGGCAACTTGTGAACTCTCTGACAAAGAATTCAAAATAGAAATTTTAAGGAAACTCGGTGATCTCCAAGATAACAGAGAAAAGCAATTCAGAAATTTATCAGAAAAATTTAAAAGAGATTGCAATAATAGAAAAAGTCAAACAGAAATCTTGGAACTGAAAAAGACAGATGCTTAACTCATTACAGGCGCTGAACAGCAAAATAGAACAAGCAGAGGAAAGAATCAGTGAGCTTGAAGATCAGCTATTAGAAAATACACAGTCAGAGGAGGAAAAAAGAATGAAAAGGAACAAAGACTGCCTAAAAGATATAGAAAAGTACCTCAAAAGACCAAATCTAAGAAATATTGATGTCCAAGAGGGAACTGAGCAAGACCAAGAGGTAGAAAGCTTATTCAAAGAGATAATAACAGAAAACCTTCCAAACCTTGGGAAACATATAAATATCTAGGTACAGAAAGGCCTGAGGACACCAGATTCAGCCCAAATAAGACTACCCTAAGAAATATAATAGTCAAACTCTCAGAGGCCAAGGACAAAGAAAGGATCCTAATAACATAAAATGAAGCTCCAATACATCTGGCAACAGACTTCTCAACAAAAACCATACAAGCCAGGAAGGAATAAAATGACATATTCAAAATATTTAAAGAAAAAAAGCTGCCATCCAGTAATACTGTGTCCAGCAAAATTCTCCTTCAACTATGAGAGATAAAGTCTTTCCCAGACAAACAAAAGATGAGAGAAAGTCACCAGACCCATCTTAAAAGAAATGCTAAAGGCAGTTTTTCAATCTAAAAGAAAATAACCAGTAATGTGCAAAAATAAAATTTTTCAAGGTATAAAACCCATTGGTAAAATTAAATACACAGACAAACCCAGAATACTCTATAACTGTAATGATGGTATGCAATCCACATATAACACTAGTATGAGGCCCAAAAGACAAACCTATCAAACAAAACAATAGCTAAAGCAACTGGCTAAGAGTAGACAATGTAAAAATTGAGACAACTAAAAGTCAAAATGTGGGGGGATGGAGTTAAAGTGTAGAATATTTTGTCTTTTACCTTTGTTTATGTCTATCTTTATATTTTTGATCTAAGATAAGTTGTCATCTCTTTAAAATAACTTGTTATATCTATAAGTGTTTTCTGTAAGCATTTCTGTATAGTAACCATAGGGCAAAAATCTATAGTAGAATCACTAAAAATAAAAAACAACAAATTAAAACATACTACCAGAGAAAATCACTTAAACATAAAGCAAGAAAAAAGGAAAGAGTCTCAAAACAAGCAGAAAATAAGCAATAAATGGCAGTAATAACTCATTACTTATTAATAGTGACAATGAATATAAATTGTCTCAATTCTCCAATTAAAAGGCAGAGTGGATGAATGGATAAAGAAACAAAATGCAACTATATGCTGCCTTCAAGAAACCCACTTCACTTATAAAGACACACATAGACTGGAAGTGAAGAGGTGGAAAAAGATATTCCACATGTACCTGCAAACTAAAAAGAACAGCAGTGTCAATATTTACACCAGATAAAATAGATTGCCAATGTAAGTTTGTAAAAAGAGACAAAGTCATTATGTAACGATAAAGGGGTCAATTCAGCAAGAGGATATAACAAATATATATGCACCCAACACCAGTTTCCAAATATATAAAGCAAACATTAATAAATCTAAAAGGAGAGATATACTACAATAAAAATAATTGCAATATATTACAGTATGTTATACTATTCTAGTTGGAGACTTTAATACCCCACTGACAGGAACAGATCATCTAGATACAAAATCAACAAATAAACAGCTGAGTTAAACTACACGCTAGATCTAATAGGCCTAACTGACATTTACAGAACATTCCATCCAACTGCTGAAGAATACACATTCTTTCCTCAGCACATGAAACATTCTCCAGAATGGGCCATATGTTAGGCCACAAAACAAATCTGAACAAATTCAGAAAATAGAAATTATATCAAGTCTCTCTTCTCACAAAAATGTGATAAAACTAGAAATCAATAAGAAAAACTTTGGAAACTACACAAACAAATAGAAATTAATATGCTTCTGAATAATCAATGAGTTAACAAAGAAATTAAGGAAGTTTTAAAGTGTCTTGAAGCAAACAAAAATAGAAATATAACACATCAAAATGTATGAGATATGCAAAAGCAACACTAAGAGAGAAGTTTATAACAATAAACATCTGTATCAAAAAAGTAGAAAGACTTCAAATAAATAACCTAATGATGAAAATCAAGGAACTAAGAAAAGCAAGAATAAACCAAACCCAAAATTAGTAGAAAGAAAGCAGTGATAAAGATTAGAACAGAAATATATGAAATCAAGATTTTTAAAAAACTTTTATTTTAAGTTCAGGGGTACAAGTATAGGTTTGTTACATAGGTAAACTTGTATCATGGAGGTCTGTTATACAGATTATTTCATCATCCAGGTATTAAACCTACTACCCATTATTTATGTTTTTATGCCCAACAAAAGGCCCCGGTGGGTGTTGTTCTTCTCTAGGCATCCATGTGTTCTCATCATTTAGCTCCCGTTTATAATTGAGAACATGCAGTATTTGGTTTTCTGTTCCTGCATTAGTTTGCTAAGGATAATGGCCTCCAGCTCCATCCATGTCCCTGCAAAAGATGTAATTTCATTCTGTTTTCTGGCTGCATAGTATTCCATGGTGTATATGTGCCACGTTTGCTTTATTCAGTCTATCACTGATAGGCATTTAGGCTCATCCCATGTCTTTGTTATTGTGAATAGTGCTGCAATGAACATACGTGTGCATGTGTCTTTAGGATAGAATAATTTATATTCCTTTCGGTATATACCCAGCAATGGGTTTGCTAGGTCAAATGATATTTCTGTCTTTAGGTTTTTGAGGAATTGCCACACTGTCTTCCACAATAGCTGAACTAAGATTTTTTTAAAATACAAGAGATAAATGAAATGAAATGTTGATTTTTGAAAAAAATTTTAAAATGACAATCTTTAGCTAGTCTAAGGAAAAAAGAGAGATGACGCAAATAAATAAAATCAGAAATGAAAAAGGAGATGTAACAACTGATACCACAAAATACATAGAATTATTATACACCATTATGAACAACTATATGCCAACAAATTGGAAACCAAGAAGAAATAGATAAATTACTGGACACATACAACCTACCAAGACTGAACCATGAAGAAATAGAAAGCCTCAACAAACAAATAATGAATAACAAGATCAAAGCCATAATAAAAAGTCTCTCATCAAAGAAAAGCTCAGGAACTAACAGCTTCACTGCCGAATTTTACCAATTATTTAGAGAACTAATACCAATCCTACTTAAAACTCCAAAAAAAATTACAATAAAGAGTAGGAAATACTTCCAAACTCATTCTAGAAGACCAGCATTATCATATAACAAATCTGATAAGGAAAAAACAAAAAAAGAAAACTACAGGTCAATATCCTTGATAAACATATGTGCAAAAATTCTCAACAAAATGCTACGAAACTTAATCCAACAACACAACAAAAAGATAACACACCATGATCAAGTGAGATTTATCCCATGGATGCAAGGATGGTTTGACATATGCAAATCACTAAATGTGATATATCCCATCAATAGAATAAAGGACACAACCTATATGATAATTTCAATTGATGCAGAAAAAGGACAATTTTATAAAATTCAACATTATTTCATGATAAAAATCCTCAATAAATTAGGCATGGAAGGAACACACTTTACATAATAAGTGCCATATATGACAAACCCACAGCTGACATCATGCCAAATGGACAAATGCTGAAAGTCTTTTCCTCTAAGAAATGGAACAAGATAAGGATGCCCACTATCACCACTCTAATGCATCATAGTCTTAAAAGTTCCAGCCAGAGCAATTAGGCAAGAGAAAGAAATAAAGGGCATCCAAATTGGAAAAGAGGAAGTCAAACTGTCCCTCTCTACAGATGATATGAGTTTATATCTAGAAAATCCTAAAGACTCCACCAGACAAATCTTAGAACTGATCAATAAACTCAGTAAAGTTGCAGGATACAAAATCAACATATAAAAATTAGTAGCATTTATTAAATATATGCACCAAGAGTAACTATCTGAAAAAAGAAATTAAGAAAGTAATCCCATTTACAATAGCTACAAAAAATACAAAATATGTAGAAATCAATCTAAAGAAAGATCTATACAAGAAAAACTATAAAACTGATGAAATAAATTGAAGAGAACAAAAAAAAATGAAAAGATATTTCATGCCCATGGAGTGGAAGAATTAACATTGTTAACATGTTCATACAACCCAAAGCAATCAACAGATTCAATGCAATCCCTATCAAAATACCAATGACATTCTTCACAAAAATAGAAAAAAAGTTTAAAATGTATATGGAATCACAAAAGACCCCAAATAGCCAAAGCAATCCTACTCAAAAAGAAAAATGCTGGAGGCATCATACTATCTGACTTCAAAATTTACTACAAAAGTGTAGCAACCAAAACAGCATGATACTGGCATAAAAATAGATATATAAGCCAATAGAACAGAATAGAGAGCTCATTTATTAATCCATGCATTTAGAGCCAACTCATCTTTGACAAAGGCACCAAGAACATACAATGGGGAAAAGACAATCTTTTCAATAAGCAGTGATGGGAAAACGGAATAACTACAGGCACAAGAATGAAACTAGACTCCTATCTCTCCATACACAAAAATCAAATTAAAATGGATTAAAGACTTAAATCTAAGTCCTGAAACTATGAACTTACTAGAAGAAAAACACTGGGGAAATGCTCCAGGATATTGATCTGGGCAAACATGTTTCAAGTAAGACCTCAAAAGCACGGGAAACCAAAGCAAAAGTAGACAAATGGGATTACATCAAGCTAAAAAGCTTCTGATTGCACAGGAAATGATCAACAAAGTGAAGAGACAACATGCAGAGTTGGAGAAAATATTTGTAAACTATTCATCTGACAAGAAATTAATAACCAGGATATATAAGGAGCTCGAACAACTCAATAGGAAAAAAGTGATTAATCTAATTAAATATTGGGCAAACAAACAGATTAGATATTTCTCCAAAGAAGACACACAAATGGCCAACAACTGTATGACAAAATGCTTAACATTATTAATCATCAGAGAAATTCAAATCAAAACCATAATGAGGTAAAATCTCACCCCAGTTAAAATGGCTTTTATCCAAAAGACAGGCAATAACAGATGCTGGCAAGGATGTAGAAAAAGGGAAACGCTCATATGCTGTTGGTGGGAATGTAAATTAGTACAGCAACTATGGAGAAGAGCATGGAGATTCCTTAAAAAACTAACCACTACCAGGTATATATCCAAAAGAAAGGAAATCAATATATTGAAGGGATATCTGCACTCCCTTATTTATTGCAACACTATTGACAATAGCCAAGACACGGAATCAATCTAAGTGCCTATCAACAGATGAATGAATAAAGAAAATGCAGTATATACAAACAATGGAGTATTATTCAGTCATTAAAAAGAATGAAATCCTGTTATTTGCAACAACATGGATAGAACTGAAGGTCATTATGTGAAATAAGCCAAGCAAAAAGAGACAAATGTTGCATGTTCTCATTGATATATGTGGGAGCTAAGAAAGTGGATCTCATGAAGATAGAATAGATTGGTGATTAACAGAGGCTGGGAATGGTAGAGGGAAGGGAGGGATGAATGGGGAAATATATATAAATGTATTTATTACCATTAAACCATACATTTAAGAATAAGCATTCTACTATAAAGACACATGCACATGTACGTTTATCGTGGCACTGTTCACAATAGCAAAGACTTGGAACCAACCCAAATGCCCATCGATGATAGACTGGATAAAGCAAATGTGGCACATATACATCACGGAATACTATGCAGCCATAAAAAAGGATGAGTTCATGTCCTTTGCAGGGACATGGATGAAGCTGGAAACCATCATTCTCAGCAAACTAACACAACAACAAAAACCAAGCTCCACATGTTCTCACTCATAAGTGGGAGCTGAACAATGAGAACACATGGACACGGGGGTGGGGGTATCACACACTGAGGCCTGTTGGTGGGTGAGGGGCTGGGGGAGGGATAGCATTAGGAGAAATACCTAATGTAGATGACAGGTTGGTGGGTACAGCAAGCCACCATGCATGTGTATACCTATGTAACAAACCTGCACATTCTGCACATGTACCCCAGAACTTAAAGTATAATAAAAAAAATTCTCAATAACATACTGGCAAACCAAATCCAGCAGCCTATCAAAAAACTTATCCAACATGATCAAGTCAGCTTCATCCCCAGGATGCAAGCCTGGTTCAACATATGCAAATCAGTAAATGTAATTCATCACATAAACAGAACTAAAGACAAAAAAAAAAGAATGGCAAAGATCATAAACGTATAGGTGTTTTTTACCTCAATTTTTAAAATGTAAAATTTTTTTTAAAAGTAAAAGAATGGAAAAAAGATATACTATGCAAAATTGATCAAAAAGGCCGGGCGCGGTGGCTCACGCCTGTAATCCCAGCACTTTGGGACGCCGAGGCGGGTGGATCACGAGGTCAGGAGATCGAGACCATCCTGGCTAACACGGTGAAACCCCGTCTCTACTAAAAATACAAAAAATTAGCCGGGCGTGGTAGTGGGCGCCTGTAGTCCCAGCTACTCGCGAGGCTGAGGCAGGAGAATGGCGTGAACCCGGGAGGCGGAGCTTGCAGTGAGCCGAGATCGCGCCACTGCACTCCAGCCTGGGCGACAGAGCGAGACTCCGTCTCAAAAAAAAAAAAAATTGATCAAAAAATAGAGAGCAAGACAATCTTAAAATATACAAATAGTGTAAATGATGATTTTAGATTATAATAAGTAATGTGAAGACAATAAAATGGTGTTATGTGATGGAAAGTGACTGAAACTCGGGGTATGCTTCTTTGGATTGAATTGGAAGACACTTCTCCAGAGGTAGCATCTAAGGTTATTTCTGAATGATATGAAGGAGCCAGTTATGCAAAGATCTGAGCACAGTATGGAAAAGGAAAAGGAACTTGAGTGCATAGAGACAAGGCAGGAATGAGCTTGAAGTGTTACCAGAACAGCAAGAAGGCCATTGTATCTGGCAGTACTGTGATCTAACAGGGGATAGGATCAAGGAGGTAGGCAGAGGCCAGATAATGTAGGGCATTGTCAAACTTGGATTTACTTCTGAGCACAATGTGAAGCTTCTGGAGGCTATTAAGCTAAGGAGCAGCATGATTTAATTCATATATTTCTAAAGAACACTCAAGCTGCTGTGGGGAGTACAGGCATAGCATGACAAAAATGGAAACCAGGGAGACCAAAGTTCTCATAGTTCTCTTGTTCTCAGAAAGCCTTAAAGGCACACATGATAAAAGAGGCAGGACTAAGGAAAGGTGTGAGAACAGTAGGTGGAAGTAAGAGGAAATTGAAAAGAGTGTAGACAGGCAATGGGTAAGGAATTGGGGATGATTGAAATAATGGAAGTAATATTAGGGAATTAAAGAAGAGTATGGGACAGAGGATACCCCACAAAACTAAAGATCACAGTTTGTCCTGGAAGTCCATCTCTATAGATTTTGGAATGCAGTCTACAACAAGAAAAGCTCTGGGTATCATCAGGAAATATACTGAGCCAAATACAGAACAAAATTCTATCCTTATTAAAAACTCATAGATAAGTCACACCAGAAATACCATGTGACTTTCCGTTTAACGAACCTCAAAACAAACAAAACAATGAGGCTGGAGAAGGTCCAAAGACACAAAATTAAAATGATAAAAGATATCTATTTGAACACAAACTAAAATAACTAAGTTTCTCTCTTATGAAAATATTAAGACTGTAGAGCAATGGAGATAAATATCCCCCAAAACATGGATCAGGTATTATCTCTTCAATGTACTCCAAAGTATTAGAACAAGCACTCTCTTAAAACTTAAAAAGTAGCCTGGGCCTGGTGGCTCATGCCTGTAATCCCAACACTTTGGAAGGCCAAGGCAGGAAGATGGTTTGAGCCCAGGAGTTCAAGACCAGCCTGGGCAACACAGTGAGACCCTATCTCAGAAAAAACTTAGCCATGCATGGTGGCATGACTGTAGTCCTGGCTACTCAAGAGGCTGAGATAAGAGAATTGCTTGAGCCCAGGAGGTCGAAGTGGCAGTGAGCTGTGACTGCACAACTGCCCTCCAGCAGCGTGAGTCATAGTGAGACTCTGCCTCAAAATAATAATAATAATAATTTTACAATAAATACTTTACGTGGGGGGAAGAATATGAAAGTGTCTCCCCATTTAATCACAAAATATGAATTCAAAAGGATGTGGAATAAAAAATTAACAAACCAAAGAATACTCTGCTGGTTTGGAGTTTCAGAAAGAATTCTCAGAAATAATGATAAAAAACAAAATTCTATTAAAATAGGGAGAGAAGAGTGGAATGGCTCTTTCAACACCATGATAACAAATTTTCTTTTATAGTGTTTGAGCACAGTACACCTTTAGGAAAAGTTCAAAAATTTTTGAACCATCATTAATTTTCAAACAATTGTTATATGACATACGGACATGGCAATGACAAAGCACAATGTTCCCTCAGTGCTGCCATGAACACTTAAATCACCAATTGCCAACATAGCCAGAAAATTGGTAGAAGAACTATACAGTTTTACAGACTCATCAGTTACTTTGTCATGTGCCTTAGTAAATAAGGTAACTTCCAGACTGAGAGGCTGAGCACTAGAGCTCATAAATGTTTATTAAAAATCAATATATGATTTTTAAAAATAGATAAATCCTTGAACTTCCAGTTAAATATGAAGAATTGAACATACTTTGTTTCTACTGTCTCTCTTGAAATTCATTAAAATGATGGAGAAAAGATTTAAAGCTCGTAAGAATAAAGTAAGTCCAAGAAGCAATAACACAGACTAAATTTTGGAAGCTAGGAAGAGGATTAGGGAACAAGAAAAGTCCCAAATCAAAGAAACTGGAAGCTAGCTTTTTTTGGACCTTAGAATCCAAGAGATTCTCAGAAATTGGAGTCATCATAGCATGCAATTGAATTTGATACAGGAGGACTGTTAAAGAATTTGTATAACATGTTATTGAAAACACAGATTCCCTCCTCCATTCCCACAGATAACTTAGAGATTAAATCAGGGAGACTGTATCTATATAAAACCCAGGCAAGTTGAAAAACAGAAGGATTAAGTGAATGTCTGTATACTGAACAATAAGATGCATGGGTCCTCTCTCCTATTTGTCTCCAAGAACACCAGCAGACTTTAAATATCTTAGATAAGAAGTTAAAAGAATCATCTCTGAATTAACTGACCAGCACAAGTTAGGGAAAAATAAAACTACAATAATAATTGAAATTCCATTCCTGAAAGACCCAAGCCAAATAACCCTTCGGTGAGGGCCACCAATCAGCAACCTACATCTCTGCCACAAACATATACACACTTAAATTGACACACAACACTTCCAAACAGCTTTCTAGTGCCTCGCTCTTCAATGTGAACAGGTAGACAAGCAACATCAGATATTTTAGAAAAGCCTCCTACATGAAACAAAGACCAAAATGAACTGGAAAGTCAGAAACAGATGTCTTAAAGGGAGCCTGATATTTTACTTATTGTCTTTAAAGATGAAGAAAAAAATACTATATATATGAAAAAAAGAATGGCAAATTTTAAAGAAACACTCAAAGATCAAGAAAAAACTCTTGGGAATTAAAAATAAGATAGAAGAAATGTCAAGAAGAATTAGAAGAAGTGGTTAAAGAAATCTCCAGAAAGTAGAGCAAATAAAAAAATAGAAAATGGGAAGGAGAAAAAAAGAAAATTTAACAATGAGTCCAGGATGTCTACCATCCAAGTAACAAGAGTTCCAGAAAGAGAGACAGGAAATAAAGGAGAGGAAAGGAAATAAAGGAAATTATCAAATAAATCATGCACAAAATGTTTCAGAATTGATAAAGTTAAATTTCCAAATTGGGAGTGGTTAACACAATAGACAGAAAAAGACTCACGCTGAAACAAAAGTGTATCATCATGAAATTTCTCCACATAAGAGATAAAAATACATACACTAGAAACTTTCAGAGAGATAAATAAAGCAGGCAACAAAGAAAGGATAAGGCATCATAATGGCATTAAACTTCTAACTGGAATAAAGTATGCAATAGAGAAATACCTTCAATATCCTGAGGGAAAATTACTTCCAACCTCAAAGAACTCTAAGATAAAAATAAAGATACTTTTAGATATATAAATCATCAAAAATCTATTTTCCATGTGTTCTTTTTCAAGATCCTGAAGGAGATACTTATCCAAATTAGAGACTAACCCACTGTATTAGTGTTCTATTGCTGCTATAACAAGTTACCACAAACTTAGTGGTATAAAACAACTTATTATTTTACAGCTCTGCAAGTCAGAAGTCCTAAAATCAATGTGTTAGCAGCCAGCAACCTTGCATTCCTGCTAGAGGATCTACAGAAAATCTTTTTTCTTGCCATTTCCAGCTTCTAGAGGTTGTTCTCACTCCTAGGTCCATGGCCCTTTCATCTGTCTTCAAAGCCAACAGCATAACATCTTTGAATATCTCTGACTCTGATACTGACTCTCCTGCCTCACTCTTTCACTTATAAGGACTCATGTAATTACATTGGCCCCACACAGATAATCCAGAATAATATCCTCAAGATCATTAATCAGTGGACAGCAGCGATCAGAGGCTCCCAACGAAAAAAAAACAAAATAAACATGTGAATCCTTCACCAGCAATCAAGGTATCCAGGTTCTCTCACCAGAACTGACTAGGTGGCTGGCGTAATCCACGGAGAGGAAGAGCAGTGTGGTGTGGCAGCCCACCTAAGAGCCACACAGAGCAGAGGAGCCCCCACCTCCCAACCAAGGGAGGCAGTGAGTGAGCGTGCTACCCAGCCAGGGAAACCATGCTATTTCCACAGAACTGTGTAACCCAGATCGAAAGATCCCACTCCCAAACCCATACCACCAGGGCCTTGTTTCCCAACCCCAGAGCTGCACAGTTCTCAACAGCCTCTCAGCTAGAATCTGCTTAAGCCCACTGAGCTCCTGGGGAAAGGGGCAACCAGTACTACAGCTGTGGCTGCCTGCTGTCTAAGCCATTTCAGCTCACTGGGGGAGGGGCAGCAGCCAGCACTGGGACTCACAACTGCCTAACACCCTAACCTCCCTGGGTGGGGGAAAGGCGGCATCCATCTCTGTAGGTCCAGGCCACACTTTTCCTCTGCTGGAGCCAGGGAGTCTGGATGGCTTGGTCCCAAGACATGTCCTCCACAGCCCAATATACCAGCTGTGGCAGACTGCACTCAGAGTGCCTCTTCAGGCCTCATCCTGACTCATCCTTCCTCACTGGGTCGGGCCTCCCTGCAGGAACTCCAGTAACTCCAACCAGATGCTCAGGGACAGAACCCAGATCTCACTGGCCCTGAGTCCCTAGGGGAAGGGGTGGCCATAGTCTCTGTGGACCAGCAGACTTAGCCTTTCCTCCTGGTAGTTCTGAGGAATCCAGGCAGCCCAAATGAGTGGGTTACCCCAAGTGATGCTCACCTCCTCCACCAAGGGACAGTTAATGTACTTTGTTAAAAGAGTCCAGTTCCCAGACGGGCACGGTAGCTCATGCCTGTAATCCCAGCACTTTGGGAGGCCGAGGTGGGCGGATCACCAGGTCAGGAGATCAAGACCATCCTGGCTAACACAGTGAAACCCCATCTCTACTAAAAATACAAAAACAAAAAAATTTAGTCAGGCATGGTGGCAAGCACCCTTAGTCCCAGCTACTCAGGAGGCTGAGGCAGGAGAATGGCATGAACACAAGAGGCAGAGCTTGCAGTGAGCTGAGATGGTGCCACTGCACTCCAGCCTGGGCGACAGAGCAAGACTCCATCTGAAAAAATGGGGGGGCCTGCTCCAAGATGGTCAAATAGGAACAGCTCGAGTCTGCAGCTCCCAGTGTGACTGACTCAGAAGACAGGAGATTACTGTATTTCCAACTGAGCCTCCACTGGTAATACCCAGGCAAACAGGATCTGGAGTGGACCTCCAGCAAACTCCAACAGACCTGCAGCTGAGGAACCTGACTGTTAGAAGGAAAACTAACAAACAGAAAAAAATAGCATCAACATCAACAAAAAGGACATCCACACCAAAACCCCAACTGTAGGTCACCAACATCAAAGACCAAAGGTAGATAAAACCACAAAGATGGGGAGAAACCAGAGCAGAAAAGCTGAAAATTCTAAAAGCCAGAGCGCCTCTTCTTCAAAGGATCACAGCTCCTCGCCAGCAACGGAACAAAGCTGGACAGAGAATGACTTTGATGAGTTGACAGAAGTAGGCTTCAGAAGGTCGGTAATAACAAACTTCTCCAAGCTAACGGAGGATGTTCAAACCCATCGCAAGGAAGCTAAAAACCTTGATAAAAGATTAGACAAATGGCTAACTAGAATAAACAGTGTAGAGAAGACCTTAAATGACCCGATGGAGCTGAAAACCATGGCATGAGAACTACGCAATGCATGCACAAGTTTCAACAGCCAATTCAATCAAGTGGAAGAAAGGGTATCAGTGATTGAAAATCAAATCAATGAAATAAACTGAAAACAGAAGTTTAGAGAAAAAAAGAGTAAAAAGAAACAAACAAAGACTCCAAGAAATATGGGACTATGTGAAAAGACCAAACCTACATTTGACTGGTGTACCTAAAAGCGACGAGGAGAATGGAACCAAGTTGGAAAACACTCCTCAGGATATTATCCAGGAGAACTTCCCGAACCTAGCAAGGCAGGCCAACATTCTAATTCAGGAAATACCGAGAACACCTTTACAGACAAGCAAATGCTGAGAGATTTTGTCACCACCAGGCCTGCCTTACAAGAGCTCCTGAAGGAAGCAATAAAGATGGAAAGGAACAACTAGTACCACTGCAAAAACATGCCACTGCATGTTTCACGTAGCCACTACAAAAACATGCCAAATTGTAAAGACTATCGATGCTAGGAAGAAACTGCATCAACTAATGGGCAAAATAACTAGCTAACATCATAATGTCAGGATCAAATTCACAAATAACAATATTAACCTTAAATGTAAATGGGCTAAATGCTCCAATTAAAAGACACAGACTGGCAAACTGGATAAAGAGTCAAGACTCATCACTGTGCTATATTCAGGAGAACCATCTCACGTGCAGAGACACACATAGGCTCAAAATAAAGGCATGGAGGAAGATCTCTCAAGCAAATGGAAAGCAAAAAAAAGCAGGAGTTGCAATCCTAGTCTCTGATAAAACAGACTTTAAACCAACAAAGATCAAAAAAGACAAAGAAGGCCATTACATAATGGTAAAGGGATCAATTCAACAAGAAGAGCTAACTATCGTAATATATATGCACCCAATACAGGAGCACCCAGATTCATAAAACAAGTCCTTAGAGACCTACAAAGAGACTTAGACTCCCACACAATATTAATGGGAGACTTTAACACCCCATTCTCAATATTAGACCGATCAACAAGACAGAAGGTTAACAAGGATATCCAGGACTTGAACTCAGCTCTGCACCAAGCTGACATAATAGACATCTACAGAAATCTCCACCCCAAATCAACAGAATATACATTCTTCTCAGCAACACATCACACTTATTCCAAAATTGACCACATAGTTGGAACTAAAGCACTCCTCAGCAAATGTAAAAGAACAGAAATCACAACAAACTGTCAGACCACACTGCAATCAAATTAGAACTCAGGATTAAGAAAATCATTCAAAACCGCACAACTACATGGAAACTGAACAACCTGCTCCTGAATGACTAGTGGGTACATAATGAAATGAAGGCAGAAATAAAGATGTTCTTTGAAAACAATGAGAACAAAGACACAACATACAAGAATCTCTGAGACACATTTAAAGCAGTGTGTAGAGGGAAATGTATAGCACTAAAAGCCCACAAGAGAAAGCAAGAAAGATCTAAAATTGACACCCTAACATCACAATTAAAAGAACTAGAGAAGCAAGAGCAAACAAATTCAAACGCTAGCACAAGGCAAGAAAACCAAGATCAGAGCAGAACTGAAGGAGATAGAGACACAAAAAACCCTTCAAAAAATCAACGAATCCAAGAGCTGGTTTTTTGAAAGGATCAACAAAATAGATAGACCGCTAGCAAGACTAATAAAGAAGAAAAGAGAGAAGAATCAAATAGACACAATAAAAAATGATAAAAGGGATCTCACCACCAAACCCACAGAAATACAAACTACCATCAGAGAATACTATAAACACCTCCTTGCAAATACACTAGAAGATCTAGAAGAAATGGATAAATTCCTTGACACATACACTCTCCCAAGACTAAACCAGGAAGAAGTTGAATCTCTGAATAGACCAATAACAGGCTCTGAAATTGAGGCAATGATCAGTAGCCTACCAACCAAAAAAAGTCCAGGAACAGATGGATTCATAGCCAAATTCTACCAGAGGTACAAAGAGGAGTTGGTACCATTCCTTCTGAAACTATTCCAGTGAATAGAAAAAGAAGAAATCCTCCCTAACTCATTTTCTGAGGCCAGCATCATCCTGATACCAAAGCCTGGCAGAGAGACAACAAAAAAAGAGAATTGTAGACCAATATCCCTGATGAACATTGATGCAAAAATCCTCAATAAAATACTGGCAAACCGAATCCAGCAGCACATCAAAAAGCTTATCAACCATGATCATGTCAGCTTCATCCCTGGGATGCAAGGCTGGTTCAACATATACAAATCAATAAACGTGATCCATCATATAAACAGAACCAATGACAAAAACCACTTGACTATCTATATAGATGCAGAAAAGGCCTTCGGCAAATTTCAACAGCGCTTCACGCTAGAAACTCTCAATAAACTAGGTATTGATGAAACGTATCTCAAAATAATAAGAGCTATTTATGACAAACCCACAGCCAATATCATACTGAATGGACAAAAACTGGAAGCATTCCCTTTGAAATCTGGCACAAGACAGGGATGCCCTCTCTCACCACTCCTATTCAACATAGTGTTGGAAGTTCTGGCAAGGGCAATCAGGCGAGAGAAAGAAATAAAGGGTATTCAATTAGGAAAAGAGGAACTCAAATTGTCCCTGTTTGCAGATGACATGATTGTATATTTAGAAAACCCCATCATCTCAGCCCCAAATCTCCTTAAGCTGATAAGCAACTTCAGCAAAGTCTCAGGATACAAAATCAATGTGCAAAAATCACAAGTATTCCTATACACCAAGAACAGACAAACAGAGAGCCAAATCATGAGTGAACTCCCATTCACACTTGCTACAAAGAGAATAAAATACCTAGGAATCCAACTTACAAGAGATGTGAAGGACTTCTTCAAGGAGAACTACAAACCACTGCTCAATGAAATAAAGGAGGACACAAACAAATGGAAGAACATTCCATGCTCATGGATAGGAACAATCAATATTGTGAAAATGGCCATATTGCCCCAAGCAACTTATAGATTCAATGCCATCCCCATCAAGCTACCAATGACTTTCTTCACAGAATTGGAAAAAACTACTTTAACTTTCATATGGAACCAAAAAAGAGCCCACATTGCCAAGACAATCCTAAGGAAAAAGAACAAAGCTGGAGGCATCACACCACCTCCAAGGCTACAGTAACCAAAACAGCATGGTACTGGTACCAAAACAGAGAAATAGACCAATGGAACAGCACAGGGGCCTCAGAAATAACACCACACGTCTACAACCATCGGATCTTTGACAAACCTGACAAAAGCAAGAAATGGGGAAAGGATTCCCTATTTAATAAATGGTGCTGGGAAAACTGGCTAGCCAGATGTAGAAAGCTGAAACTGGATCCCTTCCTTACACCTTATACAAAAATTAATTCAAGATTGATTAAAGACTTAAATGTTAGACCTAAAACCATAAAAAAAAAAACCTAGAAGAAAACCTAGACAATACCATTCAGGACATAGGCATGGGCAAGGACTTCATGAATAAAACACCAAAAGCAATAGCAACAAAAGCCAAAATAGACAAATGGGATTTAATTAAACTGAAGAGCTTCTGCACAGCAAAACAAACCACTATCAGAGTGAACAGGGACCCTACAGAATGGGAGAAAATTTTTGCAATATACTCATCTGACAAAGGGCTAATATCCAGAATCTACAAAGAACTTAGACAAATTTACAAGAAAAAAACAACCCCATCAAAAAGTGGGCAAAGGATATGAACAGACACTTCTCAAAACATGACATTTATGCAGCCAACAGACATATGAAAAAATGCTCATCATCACTGGTCATCAGAGAAATGCAAATCAAAACCACAATGAGATACCATCTCACACCAGTTAGAATGGCGATCATTAAAAAGTCAGGAAACAAAAGATGCTGGAGAGGATGTGGAGAAATAGGAACACTTTTACACTGTTGGTGGGACTGTAAAGTAGTTCAACCATTGTGGAAGACAGTGTGGTGATTCCTCAAGAATCTAGAACTAGAAATAACATTTAACCCAGTGATCCCATTACTGGGTATATACCCAAAGGATTATAAATTGCTACTATAAAGACACATGCACACATATGTTTATTGCGGCACTATTCACAATAGCAAAGACTTGGAACCAACTCAAATGTCCATCAATGATAGACTGGATTAAGAAAATGTGGTACATATACACCACTGAATACTATGCAGCCATAAAAAAGGATGAGTTCATGTCCTTTGCAGGGACATGGATGAAGCTGGAAACCATCGCTCTGAGCAAACTATCACAAGGACAGAAAACCAAACACCACATGTTCTCACTCATAGGTGGGAACTGAACAATGAGAACACGTGGACACAGGGCGGGGAACATCACACACCAGGGCCTGTCAGGGGGTGGGGGGTAGGGGGAGGGATAGCATTAGGAGAAATATCTAATGTAAATGACAGTTAATGGGTGCAGCAAACCAACATGGCACATGTATTCCTATGTAACAAACCTGCACGTTGTGCACATCTACCCTAGAACTTAAAGTATAATAATAATAAAAAAAAGAGTCCTGTTCCCTGTGCCACCCAACTAGGTGAGACCCTCCTACAGGAGTTGTCAGACTCCCTATAGAGGAGTGATCCTACTGGTATCATGTTTGTGCTCATTGAGGTCAGAAATCCCAGAAGAAGGAGCAGGGACCCATCTTTGCTGTTCTCCAGCTTCCTTGAATGGCATCTTCAGGCGCGGGAGTGAATCAGATGAATAGGGCCTGAAGTGACCCTCCAGCAAACCACAGCAGCCCTACAGAAGACGGACCCAACCTTTGAAAGAAAAACAGAAAGCAGAAACAACAAGAACAAAAAAAAGCCCACACAAAACATCCAAGGGTCAGCAGCCTCAAAGATCGAAACTAGACAAACCCATGAAGATGAGAAAGAATCAACGAAGCAAACACTGAAAATCCAAAAAGCCAGAGTGCCTTTTCTCCCCAAAATTGATTGCAACATCTCTCCAGCAAGGGCACAGAACTGAACGGAGAATGAGATGGATGAATTGACAGAAGTAGGATTCAGAAAATGGGTAATAAAAAAACTACACTGAGCTAAAGGAGCATGTTCTAACCCAATGCAAAGAAGCTAAGAACCTTGATAAAACGTTAGAGGCACTGCTAACTAGAATAACCAGTTTAGAGAGGAAAATAAATGACCTGATGGAGCTGAAAAACACAGCACAAGAACCTCATGAAGCATACACAAGTATCAAGAGCTAAATCGACCAAGCAGAAGAAAGGATATCAGAGTTTGAAGACCACCTTGCTGAAATAAGGCATCCAGACAAGATTAGAGAAAAAAAGAATGAAAAGAAATGAACAAAGCGTTCAAGAAATATGGGACTTCACAAAAAGACCAAACTTACAATTGATTGGAGTACCTGAAGGAGATGAGGAGAATGGAAACAAGCTGGAAAATACACTTCAGGATATTATCCCCAAACTAGAAAGACAGGCCAACATGCAAATTCAGGAAATATAGAGAACACTACTAAGATATTCCATGAGAAGATCTACCCCAAGACACATAATCATCAGATTCTCCAAGGTCAAAATGAAGAAAAAAATGTTAAGGGCAGCCAGAGAGAAAGGCTAGGTTACCTGCAAAGGGAAGCCCATCACACTAACAGCAGACCTCTCAGCAGAAACTCTACAAGTCAGAAGAGATTGGGGGACCAATATTCAACATTCTTAAAGAAAAGAATTTTCAACCCAGAATTTCATATTCAGCCAAACTATGCCTCATAAGTGAAGAAGAAATAAACTCCTTTCCAGACAAGCAAACTCTGAGGGATTTCATTACCACCAGACCTGCCTTGCAAGAGCTCCTAAAAGAAGCACTAAATATGGAAAGGAAAAATCTGTACCAGCCACTGCAAAAACATACCAAAATATAAAGACCAGTGACACTCTGTAGAAACTGCATCAACTACTGTGCAAAATAACCAGATGGCATCATGAGGACAGGATCAAATTCAAACAAAACAATATTAACCTTAAATGTAAATGGGCTAAATGCCCCAATTAAAAGACACAGACTGGCAAATTGGATAAAGAGTCAAGACCCATCAGTGTGCTATATTCAGCAGACCCATCTCAGGTTCAAAGACACACATAGGCTCAAAATAAACGGATGGAGAAAAATTTGCCAAGGAAATGGAAAGCAAAACAAGGCAGGGGTTGCAATCCTAGTCTCTGACAAAACAGATTTTAAATCAACAAAGATCAAAAAAGACGAAGAAAGGCAATACATAATGGTAAAGGGAAAAATTCAACGAGAAGAGCTAACTATTCTAAATGCATATGAACCCGATACAGGAGCACCCAGATTCATTAAACAAGTTCTTAGAGACTTACCAAGAGACTTAGACTCCCACACAATAATAGTGGGAGACTTTAACAACCCTCTGTCAATATTAGACAGGTCAGCAAGGCAGGATTAACTGACAATCAGACAGTTAATCCTAAATTAACAAGGATATTCAAGACTTGAACTCAGCTCTAGATCAAGTGGACCTAATAGACAACTACAGAACTCTCCACCCCAAATCAACAGAATATATATTCCTCTCAATGCCACATGGCACTTATTCTAAAATCAACCACACAATTGGAAGTAAAACACTCCTCAGTAAATGCAAAACAACTGAAATCATAACAAACAATCTATCAAACCATAGTGCAATCAATTTAGAACTCAAGATTAAGAAACTCACTCAAAACCACACAACTACGTGGAAATTGAACAACCTGCTCCTGAATGACTCCTGGGTAAATAAAGAAATTAAGGCAGAAATCAAGAAGTTCTTTGAAATCAATGAGAACAAAGAGACAACGTACCAGAAACTCTGGGACACAGCTAAAGCAATGTTAAGATAGAAATTTATAGTACTAAATACCCACATCAGCAAGCTAGAAAGATCTCAAATCAACACCCTAACATCACAATTGAAAGAGCTAGAGAGACAAGAGGAAACTATTCCAAAAGCTAGCAGAAGACAAGAAATAACTAAGATCAGACCAGAATTGAACGAGATAGAGACATGAAAACCCCTTCAACAAATCAATGAATCCAGGAGCTGGTTTTTTGAAAACATTAACAAAATAGATAAACTGCTAACTAAACTAATAAAGAAGAAAAGAGAGAAGAATCAAATAGATACAATAAAAAATGATAAAGGGTATATCACCACTGATCCCACAGACATACAAACTACCATCAGAAAATACAATAAACACCTCTATGCAAATAAACTAGAAAATCTAGAAGAAACTGATAAGTTCCTGGAAACATACACCCTCCCAAGACTAAACCAGGAAGAAGTCGAATCCCTGAATAGAATAATAACAAGTTCTGAATTTGAGCCAGTAATTAATAGCCTACCAACCAAAAAAGCCCAGGGACAGACAGATACACAGCCAAATTCTACCAGAGATACAAAGAGGAGCTGGTACCATTCCTTCTGAAACTATTCCAAACAATTAAAAAGGAGCGACTCCACCCTAACTGATTTTATGAAGCCAGCATCATCCTGATACCTAAAATGGGAAGAGACACAACAAAAAAAGAAAACTTCAGGCCAATATCCCTAATGAACATAGATATGAAAATCCTCAATAAAATACTAGCAAACCGAATCCATCAGCACATCAAAAAGCTTATCCACCATGATTAAGTCAGTTTCATCCCTGGGATGCAAGCCTGGTTGAACATATGCAAATCAATAAATGTAATCCATCACATAAACAGAATCAAAGACAAAAAAACACGTTTATCTCAATAGATGCAGTAAAGGCCTTTGGTATAACTCAACATCCCTTCATGATAAAAACTCAATAAACTAGCTGTTGATGGAACATATCTCAAAATAATAAGAGCTATTTATGACAAACCCACAGCCAATATCATATTGAATGGGGAAAAGATGGAAGCATTCCCTTTGAAAACTGGCACAAGACAAGGATGCCCTCTCTTACCACTCCTATTCAATATAGTATTGGAAGTTCTGGCCAGGACAATCAGGCAAGAGAAAGAAATAAAGGGTATTCAAATAGGAAGAGAGGAAATCAAATTGTCTCTGTTTGCAGATAACATGATTTTTTATTTACAAAACCCCATCATCTCAGCCCAAAAACTCCTTAAACTGATAAGCAATTTCAGCAAAGTCTCAGGATACAAAATCAATGTGCAAAAATCACAAGCATTTCTATACACCAACAACAGACAAGCAGAAAGCCAAATCAGGAATGAATTCCCATTCACAATAACTACAAAGAAAATAAAATACGTAGGGATACAGCTACCAAGGGATGTGAAAGACCTCTTCAGGGAGAACTGTAAACCACTGCTCAAGGAAATAAAAGAGGACACAAACAAATGGAAAAACATTCCATCCTCATGGACAGGAAGAATCAATATCATGAAAATGGCCATACTGCCCAAAGTAATTTATAGATTCAATGCTATTCCCATCAAACTGCCATTGACATTCTTCACAGAATTAGAAAAAAACTAATTTAAATTTCATATGGAATCAAAGGAGACCTTGTATAGCCAAGACAATCCTAAGCAAAAAGAACAAAGCTGGAAGCATCATGCTACCTGACTTCAAACTATACTACAAAGCTACAGTAACCAAAAGAGCATGGTACTGGTACCAAAAACAGACATATAGACAAATGTAACAGAACAGACACCTCAGAAATAACACTACACATTTACAACCATCTGATCTTCAACAAACCTGACAAAAACAGGCAATGGAGAAAGGACTTCCTATTCAAAAAATGGTGCTGGGAAAATGGGCTAGCCATATGCAGAAAACTAAAACTGGACCCCCTCCTTACACCTTATGCAAAAATTAACTCAAGATGGAATAAAGACTTAAATGTAAAACCCAAAACCATAAAAATCCTAGAAGAAGACCTAGGCAATACCATTCATGACATAGGCATGGGCAAACACTTCATGACAGAAATGCCAAAAGCAATTGTGGCAAAAGCCAAAATTGATGAATGGGATCTAATTAAACTAAAGAGCTTCTGCACAGAAAAATAAACTATCATCAGAGTGAATAGGCAATCTACAGAATGGGAGAAAATTTTTGCAATCTACCCATCTGACAAGGTCTAATATCCAGAATGTACAAAGAACTTAAATTTACAAGAAAAAAAAAACACACAACCACATCAAAAAGTGGGCAAAGAATATGAACAGACACTTCTCAAAAGAAGATGTTTACACAGCCAACAAATATATGAAAAACAGCTCAATATCACTGGTCGTTAGAGAAATTAAAACCACAATGAAATCCCATCTCACACCAGTCAGAATGGTGACTATTAAAAAGCCAAAAAACAATAGATGCTGGTGAGGCTGTAGAGAAATAGAAATGCTTTTACACTGTTGGTGGGAATGTAAATTAGTTCAACCATTGTGGAAGACAGTATGGCAATTCCTCAAGGATCTAGAACCAGAAATACCATTTGACTCAGCAATCTCATTACTGGATATATACCCAAAGGAATAGAAATTATTCTACTATAAAGACACATGCACACATGTGTTTATTGCAATACTATTTACAATAGCAAAGTCATGGAACCAACCCAAATGCCCATCAATGACAGATTGGATAAAGAAAATGTGGTACATATACACCGTGGAATACTACGCAGGCATAAACAGGAATGAGATCATGTCCTTTGCAGGGACATGGATGAAGCTGGAAGCCATCATCCTCAGTAAACTGACACAGGAACAGAAAACCAAACGCTGCATATTCTCACTCATAAGTGGGAGTTGAACAATGAGAACACATGGACACAGGGAGGGGAACAACACATACTAGGCCCTGTTTGGGGGTGGGGGATGAGGGGAGGGATCTTAGAGGATGGGTCAATAGGTGCAGCAAACCACTGTGGCACACGTATACCTATGTAACAAACCTGCACATTCTGCACATGTATCCTGGAACTTAAAATAATTTTTTAAAAAAGTAAGCAGTGAAGCACAGACTAGAAATCATGTCTTCTGATTTGACTTACACATTTCTCTCCAGATTGAAATACGTAACTAGTATAACCTGTCCCATTATGGACACTAATCAGTGTGCAATCATTGAGATTCATTTGAAGATATTACAATTCCATTTAATTTAGCCATTGTTAAAATTAAGTTGCTTAAGAGGCTCATATACATATTTCTTAGTCATTTTGGAGTAGAAATAATTCTTTTAGTGTTGTTATTGGTGCTGCAGCTGCTGTAGGTTAATCTTATTACAGCTATTATCTTTTGATTTCATTTTGAATTTTCTTCTTTTATATAGATTTTTACCACTAAGAAAAAATAAATTCAGTTTAAAAAAAGATCTTTAATCATATCTTCAAAGTCCCTTTTGCTATGTAAGGTGCGTATATACAGATTTTGGGGATTAGGACATGAACATCTTTTGCAGGGCCATTATTCTGCCTATTATACCCAAGAAAAAAAAGAAGTTCACTTAGCCCAAGAAACAGAGCTCCCAATTTAAAAAAGAAAAAAAAAAGGAGGGTGGGATCTCAGAATGATGCTATAATGAAAAATCAACCAGTTCCTATTAGAGCAAGAGAATGGAGAGCACAAAGAGAAATGTTCTCATGAAAAAGTTGGAATTAATAGACTGCTTAATGTGTTTGAGAGTTTGAAAAGAGATTTATAGTTCTAAGGAAGAATTTGGGTATGAAAAAATGATAGGCAAAAAAATGAAATTTTAAAACAAGTAAATCATTAATACTTGAGAAGACAAAAGGATATACAAGAAAGGAAATGCAATCATAACAAACTACATGGTTCAGATGAAAATAATATTTATATAGTTATCATAACAAACTCTGAACCATGATCTAATTAAAACTAATGATGTAACTATTTTTAAAGATAGTGGGAGTGGACTGGGCATGGTGGTTCATGCCTGCAATCCCAGCACTTTGGAAAGCCAAGATGGACTGATCACTAGAGCCCAGGAGTTCAAGACCAACCTGGGCAACATAGGGAGACCCTATCTCCTAAAAAAAATACAAAAATTAGATGGGCATGGTGGCATGCACCTTTAGTCCCAGCTACTGGGGAGGCTGAGGCTGCAGTAAGCAGTGATCACACCACTGCACTCCAGCCTGGGCAACAGAGCAAGACCATGTCTGAAAAAAAAAAAAAAGACAGTGGGAGAGAGGAGATTATAAGAGGGCTAAAATATCATTTTCAATAGAAGAAATCAAAACACAATGTGTAAAAGTAAAAAATCAAGACATAGTGTATAAATCTATTGTTTTTGAAGTACTAGAGATTAAAAAAATAACTAAAAGATTAAAAGTGGTTGTCTCTAAAAAACAGAAACTGCAGGTGGGAATAAGTGCAACAAAGGAGAGTTGCCCTTCCTTTTACCTCTTTAGAACTATTTGACCTTTTAAACTTTGTATATCTGTAACTTGATAAAAGTAAAATGAAAAAGTACATGTCTACTAAGAGGATTTGTTGTATTAAAATAGGATATTATATATGCCTTTGCATCTTTATTCAGAGATGAGAGTGAAACTTCAGAGAGAAAAAAGATGTGAAAGTTGTTTTTCCACATTTGTCTGATGAAATAAGAGGATGCCTCACTTAGGTTTTATTTTTGTTTTGTTTTATTTTGGCTTTAAGAGAATTTATTTGGTTTCCAAACTTTTTCACAGAGTTGAAAACATTTAATTCAAATTCTTCACAACAATGAATAAAATATCTACTATTCACTTCCCAGCTCCAGTGTCACCTCCTCTGAAAGGCCTTCCCTGGCCTTAGATGGATATCTAAGGTAATATCACTCAACAGATACAATCAAGTCACCTTGCTTTATTTGCCTCATAGCACTGACCATTGTCTGACACTTTCTTGTTTATTCCTTGTTTTATTATCTGTCAACATGTGCCTCCTTCCTCTAATACAGGGGTCCCCAACCCCCAGGCCACAGACCAGTAAAAGTCTGTGGCCTGTTAGGAAACAGGCTGCATGACAGGAGGTGAGCAGCAGGTGAGTGTTACCGCCTGAGCTCTGCCTCCTGTCAGATCAGCAGTAGGTATTAGATTCTAATGAGAGTGTGAACCCTATTGGGAACTGTGCATCTGAGGGATCTAGGTTGCATGCTCCTCATGAGAATCTAACTGATGCCTGATGATCTCAGGTGGAACATCTTCATCCTGAAACCATCCCCCCTTCATCTGCGGAAAAATTTTCTTCCCCAAAACCGGTCCCTTGTGCCAAAAAGGTTGGGGACTGCTTCTGTAGAATGTAAATTACAATAGAGCAAGCTGGTCTGCTGGTCCACTGACCCATCCCCCGCATCTATAAGAGTGCTGGTCCTTAATAGGGCTCAATCCGTATTTAACAATTCATATATAATTATGTGACTTAATTCTTTCCCCTACCTCCTTTTCCAATTATTTCTAAAAGCATATACTTGAAAAATGTATTCATTTTAAATCTACTTTAGAGACTAGACCACATTTAATGGGAAGAGCATGGGAAATCCTATTGCCTGGTTTGGAATTCTGACTCCTGTTTTTAGCTGTGTTGGCTGGGTAAGTTACTTAATCATCCTAGGACTTGGTTACCTCAGCTGTAAAATGGTGTTATTTATAATAGCTATGTCATACAGTTGTTTGTGGATCATTCACTTCATTTTCTTAAATTGACAGATAAATCATTTTTTATTTAAGAGAAAGGTAAGTTATTCCTTCTCTCTCATCCTGTACATCACTCTGAGCAAGGCCAAGATCACACAGAGTTAAGAAAATGGCTTGGCAAATGCTGAGCAGCTTCAGGGAACAGAAGTACAGCAAACTTTTTAAAAAATGTTTAAAGCTCAGAAAATATTTTTTATATTTTCTGAGCTTTAAACATTCACATAATCTAGGTGCAATGTGGTCCAGGAAAAGTTTCTCAAACAAGTGTATCTTAAACAAGAGCTCAGGTGAGAAGTGGGTCAACCTAACCTGAGAGTTTATGCAATATATGAATCATGAAAAGGGGAAATCCAAAAAGCAGGAAAGAAAAAACAAAGGACCTAGAAAAGGGAATATTATATCAGAATACGAATAGTGAGCCTCAAAGATATCAACACAAGACAGGCAAACAAGAAATGCAGGCAAAGAAATGACAGCAGAGACTTACAGGAAAGCAATAATGACTTTATTAATTTTCTAATCTGTAAGCTATCAGAGACACTAAGGAAAACAAATGAGCTAAATTACATTAAATAAAGCTATAATAATTTGCAGCATGTCACCCTCAGTTGAAGAGGGTACTGTAAGGATAAGGAAGAGTTCACCTAGCTCTTCACTGTCATCCCCATAGCGTGACTTGTTCTTGAGGGTAAAAGACAACAGGTGGTAGCTCTGATTTTTAAAAAAATGTCTTGGGAATTTCCATAATATCCCATGGCAGGGACAAAGGAATGCTTTGAACTGGGAAACAAATAACTAGAACCAATGAATTTTTTCAGAAGAAAGTATCTAATTTCCTGCAGATATCCCCAGAGTCTGCCTCAAGAGAAGGACATTACCTTCTGTGCCCTTCATAGGGAGTATCACTGCAAATAACTAAATAATCTCCATTGGCAGAGCATGATCTACAGATGTATGTCTTAAGGAGACAACAGAGTTAACATATTTTCAGCAATCCAAGATATCACAGACTCAGGGATTCCCCAAAGGTGATTGTTTAGCTGAGATAACATTACTTCTCATTTGTTTGTAGGCCACAGGCCAGAGTAATGGGGCAGGGGAGGGGGGAATGCTGAGTGTTACTTGAATTGCTTCTGTTGGACCAGGAAAAATTGCATTCATTTTGCCATCAATAGAGTGGCTGGAACTTTAATGGGTTTTTAAGAGTTAGGCTCTTATTCAGTGCCTGCTGAGGCTGCTGCTCTTAAAATAAGACTATGCTGAACATTTTGTCAGAGTAGCAGTTGTCTGTGCAATGAGCGTGAAGCAGGAGGACACAAGATGTTTTAGGGAGCTTGGCATTTACTCATTACGTAAACTTTTATAGAACATTTGTTTTTTGCAAGGTGTTACGCAACATACTTGGGAAGTGAAGTAAATAAATAAACTTATTTACATCCAGTCCAGTGGGGAAAGCAGACAAGAAACAGACAATTAGAGTTGGTAAGTGCTAAGAGAAGGTTAGTGCCAGGTTCTAATGAGGTTGTTATTCATCTGACCCTTGCCACAGAGACCCAAAGACTCCATCTAGGTCATATACCACTGACCACAGAGGGTACAAGGCAACTCAGCAACTCAGATGAGACTTATTAGCACCAACAAACAAACAAAAAAAGAAAACTCAAAATGTATCTCCTACTGATACTGGCTCAAGAACATCAGCACTGAATATTTAATATATACATTATATCAGTAATAGAAATTGGTAAGATGGAACTCTTGCTTGGGCCTATTTTCAGGCAGTGATACAAGAAAAAGACAGCTAATGATAAATGGTATTACACAGAAAAGAGGACAATACACTGATGACAGTGGCCTCCCCTCCTATTACCTCCCCCAGCCTCCCTCTACCCCATGCCAACAGCTTCCACTGGTATAACAGAAAATCAAAGGGAATTTTTACATAATGTATTTCAACTCTTTCCCTGACACTTTGCTATTAGGAACACTGCAAAGTGTCAATTGGGTCAGCTAGAAGTAAATTGTACTATGAAGTTGTATTTTTTGAGATTTTCCTGTTTGGGTATTTATTATGTCCTTCTGCTTTATTTAGTGTTTGTGTTTTGTAGACATGCCTGAGAGTCCAATGTGACAAATTTTGAAGACAAGTTCTGAGATGGAAAAGGAGGTTTCTAGGCCTAGATCTATGGACAATTCTGATAAAGATAGTGATAAATGATTATAATTTTCCAAGTATTTTGCTGTTCTAGTGCAATAAGAGACACTGATTTTTTTTTAAAAAATCAATCTTTCCAACAAAAGCTGCTTATTAATTAGTTTTACATGGCCTGGTGGTAATCCAAGTTGCTATTACATTGTGGGTGGTTTGAGGCAAAGAACTTAAAACGGCAGTGATAGCTCCAGCAAAATTGAAATAAACACTGAACCATAAGTGACAGCTATTTAACAAGTAGAGATTCTGATCTTTTTTATTTTTAATTTTTGTGGGTACACAGCAGGTGTATATATTTACAGAGTGCATGAGATACTTTGATATGGGCATGCAATGCATAATAATCACCATGGGAAATGGGGTATCCATCTGATCATTTTAAATGGCAATGGGAATCCTAGAACAGAGTAAAGCTTTCAGTAAAAAGGCCCAGGAAGCAAACTATTTAGTAATAGAACTTATTTCCTAGAAAAGGAAAAGCTACACAGTTGATGAGAACATATTAAGACTAGCATGTAAAATTATAGCACAGTATTAGGGCAAAATGAGTATGAGAAACAGTACAAGTCGATAACATATTAATGACATACAACATGATGCTCAAGAGGTTTTGAGTAATAAATTTTTTAAAAACTGCTTCTCGGTTGGGCTCAGTGGCTCACACCTGTAATCCCAGGACATTGGGAGGCCGAGGCTAGCAGATCACTTGAGGCCAGGAATTCGAGACCAGCCTGGCCAACATGGTGAAACTCCATCTCTACGAAAAATACAAAAATTAGCCAGGCTTGGAGTCATGTGCCTGTGGTCTCATCTACTCAGGAGGCTGAGGCATAAGAATCGCTTGAACCTGGGAGCTGGAGGTTGCAGCAAGCCGAGATAGGGCCACTGCACTCCAGCCTGGGCAATGGAGCGAGACTCCATCTCAAATAAATAAATTAAATTAATAAATAAAACTGCTTCTCTGTCAAAGTTGGTGAATCAACATATTTCACCAATAAATTAATGCCATAGCATTTACAAGGTTTGTATATAATCATGAATGTGAGAAAATATTATCTGCTGCAAAAAGTTGCCCTGAGGGCAATAAAAATATTCTGGAATTAGTGGTGGTACTTGCACAACCTTATAAATATACTGAAAATCAACGAACTGTACATTTTTAAATGGTGAATTTTATGGTATGTGAATTATACCTCAATAAAAACAAAAGCTGCCCAAAACAAAGAAAGGCCAAAATAAATGATGACAAAAGACAACTAAAATGCCCTCCCTCAGTCACTCACCCTGTACTCTCATAGTGTTCACTTTCTCTAATATGGCCCTCATCAGGGTTGTCCCATGTTATAGTTAGCTTTGTAGTTCTCCAACTAAGTTTTAATTAGCTCAAGGACAATTAACACTAAGACATATTTATTTTGGCCAAATATTAACCACTTAATCACTTTCTAGTTTTGCCTGAGGCTTTGTAATATCCTCACTGTAGTAGAGTTGTTGAAACTTCAGGTAACAAGAATTTCGCCCAGCCCAACATATGCCCCATCAGAGGCATATAAAGTTTTAGCATGCATTTTTCTAGCCAAGGTCAGCTCTTTGGTCATAGAGAGTGACCAAATAGACCTAGTTTACTTTGCATCACCGTGATGGTTAATTTTATGTGTCAACTTAACTAGGCCATGGAATACCCAGATAGTTGATTAAATATTATTTTGGATGTGTCTGTGAGGATGTTTCTGGATGAGATTAACATTTGAATTGATAGACTAAGTAAAGTAGATTGCCCTCCCCAGTGTGGATAGGCTTCATTCAATCCATTGAAAGCCTGAATAGAATAAAAGGGCTGAGTAAGATAGAATTCTCTTTTGTCTGCCAGACTGTCTTTGAGTTGTAACACTGGTCTTCTCCTGCCTTCAGACTCAGACTACAACTCACAACATTGGCTCTCCTGGCTATCAGATCTTTGGACTTGGACTGAAACTATTCCATTGGCTCTCCTGGATCTCCAGCTAGCCAGCTGCAGATCTCAGGACTTCTCAGCCTCCATATGATTCTGTTTCTTTGGAGAACCCTGACTAATAGTCACCCAGGGAGACTGAACTGGTCTCTAGAAGAGTGATATTTGTATAGATCAAGTCAACTTGATGGCTGTGGAGTACAGAGAGTGACTGAAGAACCCAGAGAAGGCTATATCTTTGTTTTCTTCTTATTCCTCTTATCTAAATCTGGAGAGAGCCCCAAACTGATGTGATTCCAACAAACATTTTAGTCTTTCAAGCCATTGACCTATTCTGAGTACATATGCCACCTCAGTTTATTCCTGGGGTTATCCAAATTAATGGGACATAACACTTGGGTACTCAGTGGACACCAGTGGATATATTGCTGGGAACCAAAAGCACAGTAATAATGGCTGAAGGCAAGTTTTCCTTGTAGAGAATGCATCTGTTTCTCTCCATACTCTTACAGCCTTCAGTTCCCAAAGGAAGGTTTAATCCCATCATCAAAGTTAAAGATAAAGGCCTAATATGTCTGCTCTTCCCTAAATATCCTGATACAGCCAGTGTTGTTAAAACAAATTCCAATTTTAAAAAAGAGATAGCATAGCACAAAATATGAGATTGGAGACTATCTCAGAACATTGAGAGAATGTTGTCAGCAAGAAGACATACATCAACATCCTATTTGATGGTATAAATGAAACAACTTGTCAGATAAGTGTGGCTTTCTCACTGCCAAAATCCTCCTATAACTTACTAGTATCTCTGCAGCTCTAACCTTTGACATCTGCCTTTTAACACCATTAAGGCTGAGATTTTCCTGTGTCACAATTGGGTTTAGGGAGCAGCCCTAGGCCAGAAAGGCACAAACTTGCAGTTCTTACCCAATGCAGTAGTCTTTCAAGGGTGTATTTTTCTCAATTTCTGTCTGTCTTTGGGCATGTTCCAGTGCTTTCAGTTAAGCTGTCTTTCATAATATTGTCCAGATTTTTTAAACTGTGGAAGCCGTTGCTCCAGCTTCTCAAGTCACTATTCCTAGAAGTCCCATTTTTATTTGAGTTTAGAATTCATTTGGGAGAATTCAGCTGTTAAATGTGTCTCTTAATTCTCAACAATGACCCCAGTACTACACAAGTATCTTCATGAGAGGAAGAGGATAGCAGCAGGAAGCAAAGAGCAGGTAAGAGGGAGACACTTCAGCAACTTTCTCTAAAAGAGAGACTGAAGTATTCTTACATAATAACATCCTTTACATAAAAAATATGCAACTGTGTCAAAACAGTCTAAGTCCGAGAATTAATAACAAGGCTCTTAAACTTTTTTCACTTTCTATGCCACCTTCATATCTACTACATCTTTTAAATAGTTATTTCTCTTTTGCTAGATAAAGTATTTCTCAAGCAGAGCTTGAGGGTGCTATATGGCCTGTCTTAGTCTTTGTAGAAAGCATTTTTGCCACTTGAAAAAGCTCAGAATATTCTGTCCAAGATGCCCCACTAATATAGCTTACTCCCCCTCCTTAGCCTAGTTGATCATGATAGAGGAATGGTTCTCAGACCATTTCATCTGATAAAATCCAATGACAAAAACAACAGAAGAAGGGGGGAAAGACTGTGTGTCCTACATTCAGGCTGCCTGTGTTCAAAATCGGTAGCATCTCTTTTTAGCTGGATGACCTTACAGAAATCACTAAAACTCCCTAAGCCTCAGCTGCTCCAATTATAAACTGGAGAAAAAAACCTAGTACCTATCTCACAGAAGTATACTGAGGTTTAAATGAAACTATCTAATTCACCTAGTGCAAGTCTTGATGGTACAAAATAATTGATCAATAAGCAGTAGCTATTATTAAGGAAAAGAAAAATTCAAAGAAGGTTACCAGTAGCCTGTTTCAGAGAATCAAAAATCTGAAAAGGCTAAAAGAAAGCACATGGATTTGGAGCTATCATGAGAGGTACCAGAGGAAAGAGGGCATCTGGTTCATTTATATAATTGCCTGTAGTCCCTCACTGCTACCTACCTCCGATGGATGTTTTCTGCTCTGATCTCCAAGAACGCTCACAATATCTTCACAGTCTCACCGGGATTCAGCATCTAGTTTGGGAAACAATGACCTAGAAAATAAAATCAAAGACATAGCAGCTTCAGTATTGGAAGCATTTCCCAAAGTCTAAAGTTTTACTTTTTTCCAATGTCATCTTTTTCATATTAACACTAACGAAACCTTGGCAGACTAATCTTTTATCAGGGCATTTCATAGATCCTTTCTTGTTATGCTAATACAATATAACATGTCAGTGTTTCCATAAGCTACAATACCCGACTGAAGCATTTTATAGATAATTGAACATATTTTTGGAATGCAAATATTTTAAAGATATTTTCACAGGTCTAATTAAGAAGTTCTAACAAACTATACATTTTACAGCTAAAATTTCACATACATAGAAAAGAAAATTAAATAATTTAGCAAACAAATGGCACATTCCATTTTTTAAAAGTAATTTGCATTGTCAGGGCCCTGTCTTCATCCTTTGGTATAGAGAACAATCCAAAGAAATAATATTTCATAGAGTAAGTTCTGAATGCTCCCTTTCTTTCTCTAAATATGTTTACGGCAATGTCTGGAGATTTTGCAGAATGTGAACCAAACCAAAGACAAAGATGACTTCTAGAACACTGAGCACCTCATGACAAAATTGTTAACCTAATTCTAATTCCTCAGAAGCTCATGAACATATGGAGATCCATGATTTCAGTATAGCATTATCCCAAACCACCCAAAGCCAGCAAAAAGCCTTCAAAACACACAAATTAATATCAAGAGCTAAACATTACATTTGAACAATAAAAGGGGCTGTATAACTTTATAATGTTGCTGTGTCATATTATAAAAGTTCCTAGCAAAATAAGTTTCTGTGTTACATATACATTCTCCCAATTCCATTAATTTCCTCCGTTTTTGCTATAAACCTCAAAGATTTTCAAATAAAATAAAAGAAACTACATAAACTTTGGTACATTTTAAATTTGCTGTTTAATACTTATATAATGTGGGCTATGTGCCAGGACAACAGGGCCTTAAGTAGCTGCTGCATATTTTTAACCCCTCTGAAAGAAAATGTATCTAGGTGATGAATATCCTCCAGATAAAATCTAATTTTTTCATGCGTTAGTTTTCAACCCCAAGGCAGAGAAGTTCCCAGAAAGCACATTTTCCTGTCAATAATTCCTTAAAACCTGTTTTGGTACAATTTGGCCCCTCCCTCCATGCAGCAGATCATAACATCAATTATTTTCCAATTCCCTCTTGCCAAATATCTTGGCTCTCACTACTCCATACAGCATGAGAGGTTCTTTCATGACTTTTGAGGAGGAAATAAATCATTTACTTAAATCTCAAATATATTTAAATTAAATTAAAATTTCCTGTTAAAGTTATAGAATGGCATGTGTTTTGTCTCCAGTTCATAGCCAGGGAGTACTTGAATTTCCCATATAGGAAACTAGCAAAATGTCCCTTCATCTTAAAAACTCTTCAAAGAACAAGCCCATGAAAAAACAGAGGACTACATTCTGTAGCTGAAGAGGCAAACTTGGAGTTGTCTCTCACATCAATGCACATGCTCAGCTCTGTCCACATTCACAAGAAGCTGCTAAGTCAATTTCTTTGAGGGCAAGGATCAGGTCTGCTTTGCCCATCACTGTAGGCACCACCGCAAGTCCAGAGCATATTATAGTGTCAGGGATGCATTTCATGAGTGAAGGAGCAAAATACTTATTAAAATCCTCAAAGTTCAAAGTTTAGTCAGTTTTTGGTTCAGCCTACAATTCCAGTAAGGTGTCTTCAACATCCCCAAATTGTAAAAGAAAGAAAAACACACTGACGGACATGGTTACAAATTTAAGGAAAAGTTCCTGCACATAGGTTCCAAGGCTTGTGCTGGAAGTCTACATTTTTTTTTTTTTTTTTTTTTGAGACAGAGTCTCGCTCTGTCACCCAGGCTGGAGTGCAGTGGCGCGACCTTGGCTCACTGCAAGCTCTGCCTCCCGGGTTCAAGCCGTTCTCCTGCCTCAGCCTCCAAGTAGCTGGGACTACAAGTGCCCGCCACCACGCCCGGCTAATATTTTGTATTTTTAGTAGAGATAGGGTTTCACCGTGTTAGCCAGGATGGTCTCGATCTCCCGACCTCGTGATCCACCCACCTCGGCCTCCCAAAGTGCTGGGATTACAGGCATGAGCCACCGCGCCTGGCCGGAAGTAGATTTTTATTGAGGTGGTGGTGGTGGTTTTTCTCTTTTTCTCCCAGTGGATTTTTTTAACAGATGAGGTTTTACTACGTCGCCCAAGCTGATCTTGAGCTCCTGAGCTCAAGCAATCTGCCTGCCCTGGCTTCCCAAAGTGCTGGGATTACAGGAATGAGCCACCATGCCCAGCCCTCCCAATGTATTTCTGCACCCTCATATTGCATTGCATCACAGGCACCCATGAGTTGCATCTCTTCCCCTGACTTAACCCATCTACTTTTCTTAAAAAGCAGCTTCTACTTACTCTGCCCTACAAATACAAAAGCCAGTTAAAAACAAAATACTCGAAATAGCCAAAAATATATATATAGAGAGAAAAGAAAAACAAAGTTGGAGGTCTCATACTTTCTGATTTCAAAACCTGTTATAAAGCAACAGTAATCAAAACAGTATGATACTGTCATAAAGACAGACATATATACCAATGGAATTTAAGAGATATCCCTGAAATGAAATCTCACATATATGGTCAAATGATCTTCAATAACAGTGCCAAGACCACTCAATGGGGAAAGGACAGTCTCTTGAACAAATTATGTTGGAAAAACATTATACTATAGAAAAATTAACTCAAAATGAATTAAAAACCTAAAAAGATGGCCTAAAACCCTCTAAAAATTATTTTTAAAGAAAGTCTTTATGGCATTAGATTTGACAATGACAAAATGACAATGACAATGACAAAAGCAAAAATAGACAAATGGGATGACAATAAACTTAAAAGCTTCTATGCACCAATGAACACAATCAACAGAGTGAAAAGACAACCTACAGAATGGGAAAACATATTTGCAAATCATGTAGCTGATAAGAGATTAATATCCAGAATACATAAAGAGCTCCTACAACTCAACAACATAAGCCACAAAATAAAAACCCAATTTAAAAATGTGCGAAGATCTTGAACAGACAGTTCACTGAAGAAGGTATATAAACAGTCAACATTTATATGAAAAAATGTTTAACATCATTAATCACTAGAAAAATGAAAATAACAACTATAATAAGATATAACTTCATACCCATTAGGATAACTACAGTGAAAAAAAAAAACAGAAAATAAGTGTTAGCAAGCACTGTTGGTGGAAATGTAAATTAATATAGTCACTAAGAAAAGTAGTATGGTGCCGGGGGTGGTGGCTCACACCTGTAATCCCAGCACTTTGGAAAGCTGAGACAGGTGGATCACTTGAGGCCAGGATTTGAAGACCAGCCTGGCCAACATGGTGAAACCCAATCTCTACTAAAATACAAAAATTAGCCACGCACGGTGGCACACACCTGTATTCCCAGCTACTTGGGAGGCTGAGGCACGAGACTTGAACTTGGGAGGCAGAGGTTGCAGCGAGCTGAGATCATGCCACTGCACTCCAGCCTGTGTGACAGAGCAAGACTTCATCTCAAAAACAAACAAAAAGGAAAAGAAAAGCAAAGCAGGATGACCTAGAGGAACTAGAAAAACAGGAAAAAAAACTAACCCCGGAAAAAACTAACCCCAAATCTAGCAGAAGAAAATAAATAACTAAAATCAAAGCAGAACTGAATGAAATTGCAACCCCAAAATTGATACATAGAATCAACAAAACCAAAAGTTACTTTTCTAAAAGGATAAACAAGATCAATAGACTGCTAGCTAGATTAACAAAGAAAAAAAGAGAGAATATCCAAAATCACAATCAGAAATGATAATTGTGACATTACAACTGATGCACAGAAGTACAAAAGATCTTCAGAGACTACAATGAACACCTCTAAGCACACAAACTATAAAATTTAAAGGAAATGGATAAATTCCTGGAAACATCCAACCTCCAAAGTTTGAATGAGGAAGAAATTGAATCCCTGAACAGACCAATACCAAGTTCACAAATTGAATCAATAATGAAAAACCTACCAAAAAGCCCTGGACAGACTGAATTAACAGCTGAATTCTACCAGGCATACAAAGAAGAGCTAGTAACAATTCTACTGAAATTATTCCAAAAAAATTAAGGAGGAAGGACTTCTCCCTAACTCTCTATGAAACGAGCATCACCCTGATTCCAAAACCTGGCAAAGGCACAACAAAAAAAGAAAACTATAGGCCAATATCCCTGATGAACATAGATGCAAAAATCCTCAAAAAAATACTATCAAACCAAATCCTGCAGCAAATCAAAAAATTAATTCACCATGATCAAGTGGATTTCATTCCTGGGATGCCAGGTTGGTTCAACACATGCAAATCAATAAATGTGATTCACCATATAAACAAAATTAAAAACAAAAACCACATGATTATCTTGAAAGACATGAAAAAGGCTTTCAATAAAATCCAGCATTCTTTCATAATAAAAAACCTCAACAAATGAGGCATCAAAGGAATATACCTCAAAATAATATAAACCATCTATGACAAATCCACAGCCAACATTGTACTGAATGGGCAAAAGCAAAAGCTGGAAGCATTCCCCTTAAGAACTAGAACAACACAATACAAGGATGCCCATTCTCACCATTCCTATTCAACATAGTACTGGAAGTTCTAGCCAGAGTAATCAGGCAAGAGAAAGAAATAAAAGGCATCCAAATAGGAAAAGAATTCAAACTATTGCTCGTTGCTGATGATATGATTCTGATTCTATACCTAGAGAACCCTAAAGACTCCATCAAAAGGATCCTGGAACTTTACTTCAGTAAAGTTTCAGGATACAAAATCAATGTACAAAAATCAGTAGCATTTCTATATACCAATAATGTTCAAGCTGAGAGGGAAATCAAGAATGTAATTCCATTTACAATAGCCACATAAAGAATAAAATATCTAGGAATACATCTAACCAAAGAGGTGACAGGTCTCTACGAGGAAAACTCCAAAACACTACTTAAAGAAATCAGAAATGACACAAACAAATGGAAAGGAAAAACATTCCATGCTCATGGATAGGAAGGATCAATATTTTTTAAATGGCTATATTGCCTAAAGTAATCTACAGATTCAACACTATTCCTATCAAACTACCAATGCCATTTTACACAGAATTACAAAAAAACTATTCTAAAATTTATAGAGATAAGTAAATTCAGTAAAGTCTCAGGATACAAAATCAATGTACACAAATCACTAGCACTGCTTTACACCAACAATGACCAAGCTGAGAATCAAATCAATAATTCAATCCCTTTTACCACTGAAAAAAAAAATCAAATACTTAGGAATATACTTAACCAAGGAGGTGAAAGATCTCTACAAGGAACACTACAAAACAATGCTGAAAGAAATCACAGATGACACAAACAAATGGAAACACATCCCATGCTCATGGATGGGAAGAATCAACATTGTGAAAATGACTATACAGCCAAAAACAATCTCCAAATTCATTGTAATTCCCATCAAAAAAACCATTATCATTCTTCACAGAACTAGGTAAAACAATCCTAAAATTCATATGGAACTGATAAAGAACCTGCATAGCCAAAGCAATACTAAGCAAAAGGAACAAAACTGGAGGCGTCACATTACCCAACTTGAAATTACACTGTAAGGCTAAAGTTACCAAAGCAGCATGGTATAAAAATAAGCACATAGACCAATAGAACAGAATAGAGAACCCAGAAATAAAGCCAAATACAGCAAACTGATCTTCAACAAAGCATACAAAAACATAAATTTGGCAAAGGACACCCTATTCAATAAATGGTGCTGGGAAAACTGGAAAGCCACACGTAGAAGAATAAAACTGAATCCCCGGCCAGGTTCAGTGGCTCATGCCTGTAATTGCAGCACTTTGGGAGGCTGAGGCAGGTAGATCACAAGGTCAAGAGATCGAGACCATCCTGGCAAACATTGTGAAACCCTGTCTTTACTAAAAATACAACAAAAACGCCTGTAGTCCCAGCTACTCTGGAGGCTGAGGCAGGAGAATCGCTTGAACCAGGATGCAAAGATTGCAGTGAGCCAAGATCACACCACTGCACTCCAACCTGGTGACAGAGCAAGACTCTGTCTAAAAAAAAAACAAAAAACTGAATACCCATCTCTTACCTTATATAAAAATCAACTCAGGATGGATCAAAGACTTACATTTAAGTCCTGAAGCCATAAAAATTCTAGAATATAACATTGGCAAAACTCTTCTGGACACTGGCATAAGCAAAGAATTCATGACTAAGATCCCAAAAGCACATGCAAATAAGAGTGTAGTTTCATTCTTCTGCATTTAGATATCCAGGTTTCCAAGCACCATTTATTGAAGAGACTGTCTTTCCTCCAGGGTATGTTCTTGGTATCTTTGTTGAAAATGAGTTCACCATAGGTGAGTGAATTTGTTCCTGGGTACTCTGTCCTGTTTCAATTGTCTATGTGTGTGTGTGTTTCATGCCAGTTTCTTGCTGCTTTGGTTACTATAGCTGTGTAGTATAATTTGAAGTCGGGTAATGTGATTTCTCCAGTTTTATTCTTTTTGCTTAGTATAGCATTGTCTATTGCGGGTCTTTTGTGGTTCCATATGAATTTTAGGATTGTTTATTTCTATTTCTGTGAGGAATGTCATTTGTATTTTGATAGAAATTGCACTGAATCTGTAGATTGCTTTGGGTACTATGCACATTTTAACAATATTGATTCTCCCAATCCATGAACATAGAATATCTCTCCTTGTTTTTGTCTCCTCTTTAATTTCTTTCATCAGTGTTTTATAGTTTTCCTGTAGAAATCTTTCACTTCTTTGGTTAAGTTATTCCCTAGATACATAGTTTTATTTCTGGCTATTGTAAAAAAAATTACTTATTTTTTTTTCAGATTGTTCACTGTCAGCATATAGAAATGCTACTAATCTTTGTATGTTGATTTTGTGTCCTGCAACTTTACTTAATTTGTTTATCAGTTGTAATCATTTTTGGTAGAGTCTTTAGGTTTTTCCATATATAAGATCATGTCATTTGCAAACAAGGATAATTTCACTTCTTCCTTTGCAAACTGCATGTCTTTTATTTCTTTCTCTTGCCTGATTGCTCTAGCTAGGACTTCCAGTATTCTATTGAATAACAGTGGTAACTGTGGGCTTTCTTGTCTGTTCCAGATCTTAGAGGAAAAGTTTTCAAGTTTTCCCTAATTCACTATGATACTAGCTGTGGGCCTATCATATACAGCTTATATTATATTGAGGTAAATTCCTAAAGACCCTTTCTGAAATCACTCTCTAGAATTAATTCTTGCCTAAGTTGTTGCTGATAAAAAAGAAAGCATAGGACCCTTTGGAGGAAGGAAAGTTACTTCTCGCTATATCCCTTTTGTTTAAATGTTGTACTCTGTGTAAGATAATAAATGCTATCAACCTGAAACTATGTTTTATAGCAAACATGGCAGCTCTGCTACTGAAAAAAAAGTTGAATTTTTTAAAGATGCTCCTGTTAGATTTATTATAACTACAGGTAGCAGTAAGTGATTTAGAGACACCCATCAATAAAACCAAAGAGTTTGGGAAACCATGTTAAACAAATCTTACATCCTATATGCCAAAAAGCAGTAAAAGATGAAAGAGAAAATACAAACTCAGCATCAATGAAGTTATTAACTACACTTTAGTTTTATATTCTCATGAAAGATGGGAGAGAAAAGCTGTCACTCGTATAAAGAAAATAAAATCAATGAATATTATTTTAACATTTTACTAAGCTACTTCAGCCTAAAAAAGAAATTAATTCCTGAAATTTGTCATTCTAGGGCATCTGAAACAACTTTATCTTATTAGTGCCAGTCAAATAGCCTTAGAAGATATGACAGTAGGTGAAACATGATTATGATGAAACTTCGAATTTCAGATATTATTTATTATCCAGAATTATGTGACTCAACCAAACAGAATATATATGAGGGAGAAAATGTAAGATTCCATCAAGTTCAAAGATCTTTTAGATGTAGACAGGAAACTATTTATATTTCTTATAAGTAAAAGAATACAAAGTCCAATTCAATGATATAGACACCTGGGTGGGAGATGTGTAGTACCTTAATTAGATTCAACTGATATAAACTCCAAATCCCTGTGATTGGAACTCAGTATGTTACAAGAAAGGGGTCCGGATCCAGACCCCAAAAGAGGGTTCTTGGATCTCACACAAGAAAGAATTCAAGGTGAGTCCACAGTGCAAAGCAGAAGCAAGTTTATTAAGGAAGCAGGCTGGGCACAGTGGCTCACACCTGTAATCCCAGCACTTTGGAAAGCTGAGGCAGGCGGATCACCTGAGGTTAGGAGTTCAAGACCAGCCTGGCCAACATGGTGAAACCCAATCTCTACTAAAAATACAAAATTTGCCAGGCATGGTGGCACATGCCTGTAGTCCCAGCTACCCAGGAGGCTGAGGCAGTAGAATCGCTGGAACTCAGGAGGCGGAGGTTGCAGTGAGCCGAGATCATGCCACTGCACTCCAGCCTGGGCGACAGACGGAGACTCAATCTCAAAAAAAAAAAAAAAAAAAAAGAAAGTGGTGGAAGTACAGATAATCCATAGATAGAGTAGGGAGTTCTCGAAAGTAAGAGAAGGAACGTGTCCATCCTAGGTAAAATACTTGTTTCTATATAGGATAAAAAGAGATCATGGAGAGATGTACTCTGCTACAAGGGTTTGTGATAAAGAATTAATTTTCTTAATTACTATATTTGCAAGAATCAATATTATTATATTTAAATCAAAATTAGGAATGCTTCTGTTCTCAAGATATCAGGATATCAGGATACTCCCAAGTCTGGGTCTGTTTAGTAAAATTATCAATCTGTTCCCTTAACATTAAGATCTAGAAGCCAGGAATATCTACCTCTCTGGGAAAGCAGCCCAGCAAGTCCCAGCCTCATTTTCCTAGCCCTCATTCAAGATGAAGTTGCTCTGGTTCAAATGCCGCTGACAAGTAGACATGAGCTGTGAGATCACTCCATGTAAGGGTCAATGATTTTGCCATTGTGGCAGTCTTGGTTGGCCAACAAAAACTCAGTCGAGTCTGAATTTAAATCTCAGGTTGTCATCCAAACTTAGATGAGAAGATATCTTCAATTGCTTGAGGTGAAATAATTGTTTCCTTACTGAATAAGCACATTATAACCTTGAATTATAATTAGAGTTAAGAATAGAAATATTTAAGAAAATCATATTGGGATTCTCCACGAATCTCTCATATTTCTGCACAGCTTGCTAGCAGAGGTTTCTGCTAAACTATCTTTTCAAACATGTTTGTAAAATGAACAGCCTAGTTGTAAAACTAATAGAGATAGTATCTTCCTCCAAAGCAAAGGGCAGGCAGGCTCACTGGCCATTATTTTTTAAAACTTGGACTCCCTAAGATCAGGGTTCCTCTTTGTAACACAACCCACTTTACATGTAAGTGACACCTGGCCCTCTTTGCATCACATTGGGAACTGGAGCTCATGGAACAGTAGATTTGGGATCTCAGTAAAGAGATATCTAAATGCCTACTTAACAAATCATGCTAAATTAACAACTGCTAATAATAACATTTAAAGACTTTCATTCCACGCAGTGTCACATAGCTTGACAACCTTGAATTACTATATTTAATAGCAACATAGTAAATTATATTAGGAAAGAATTAATAAACACACATATATCACACAAAATAAGGATCCAGAGGCCAATTTACTTCTCTGATTGCCTTAACAAGAGTGATTCCTATAAATTCCTAAGCTCTGAAATATATATGTTGACCAAACAAAGAAATTTCAGTAGCAATATGGCTGATAAATTAGGGAGATGATCAAGAAAAATGCCAACTTTAACTGTACACACATAAACAAACCATCTTAGGAAAAAATATTCTGTTGAAGAAGTTTTTCCTAAGTGGTGAGGTACATAGCCTTTTCTGAAATGATGCTGCAATTAAGGCTTTGTGCCTTGTCAAAGGAAGTTTAGTCAGCAAATGAGTAAAACTGGAAAAATGACTGAATGTTAAAATGAAGTTCAGTACTACAAATACTTGATCCTGATTTGAATGAATGATGGAAGGTATACAAGGCTGTGCAGGGTACTACTGGGGAACATCTAAATTCTAACCTGCTAGATTAACCTTTATAGTTACCATGTTTGTCTACAGCAAATGTGGGCCCTTATTGTCACTTCACCCTTATCTGTAATCTTCCCTGTGTTTCTTATCTCTACTGATTTTCTTAAACTACTTGCATACCAATCATTCTTAGACTACTGCTTCTCTATCTGTATAGGAAAAGCAAACTCTTTTCCTCTATATTCGCACCAATACTTTTGACCACCAAATGAGTGGTGGCTTTTCCCATACCAATTCAACTGTGACACTATTTACCTGGAGTTAGCCTCAGATCCCAAAGGCTAGACAGCTCAGTCCCAGAAGACTGTCTGGCCTCTCATTTCAGATACTAATTGCAAGTTCAGGTTGTCACTTGTGCTTCTGACCAACTAGCTATAAATCAGAGATTCCCACCTCCTCAAGTATGATAATTTGCTAGAATGGCTCACAGAACTTGGGAAACAGTTTACTTACTAAATCACTGGTACATTATAAAATGATAAAACTCAAGAACAGGTGATGAAAAAGATGCATAGGGGAAGGTATAGGGAAAGGGTGCAGAGCTTCCATGTCCTCTCCAAGTGCTCTATCCTCCCAGCACCTCCATGTGTTCACCAACCCAGAAGCTCTCCAACCCCATACTGGATAGATATTTATGGAGGCTTCATTACATAGGCATGATTTATTAAAGTATTGGCCTTTGGTGATTTGCCCAGCCTCCAGGCCCTCTTCCCTCATCAGGAGATAGAGGGAAGGGCTGAAAATTCCAATCCTCCAATTACAAGGTTGGCTCCCTTGGCAACCAGCCCCCACCCCTAAGGCAATCCAGGAGACCCCAGCCATTAGTCACATTAGCATACAAAATGACATGTCACCTCAGAGATTCCAAGGGTTTTAACAGTTGTGTGCCAGGAAACTGGGCAGAAACCACATACATATTTCTTATCTTATCAAACTACCCCTTGAAGTACTCTATTTGTCCCAAGACCTCTAGAAGTGTAATTTTCTGTGGTCTAGAAGCATTCATATTATCAGTTCATTATTAGTGATCTGTGTATACCTGAACTCCACTTTTCTGTCTTGGGCAAAAGATTTTCAAACAAGAAAGTCTATCATGGAGCATAGTCATTTATCAGAAGAGATGGTACTATATTTATTGCCGACAGACTAAAAATCATGAAAACCTTTATTTGCATCCTTTCATGGTGTTAGAAAATGTATACCATCAGCCTCTTCTCTAAGTTGCTTCTTACCCTGTAATATTTGTGACCAGAAACCTCAAGAAACTCCAACAATATATGCTCTCCTGCCCTTTTCTTTTCTTTTTTTTTTTTAACTTTTATTTTAGGTTTTTTATTTTAGAAACATGTGAAGGTTTCTTACATAGGTAAACTCATGTCATGGGGGTGTGTTGTACAGATTATTACACCACCCAGGTATTAAGCCCAGTACCCAATAGTTTTCTTTCTAACTTCTCTCTCTCCTCCCACCCTCCACCCTCAAGTAGGCCCCAGTGTCTGTTGTTTCATTCTTTGTGTTCATAAGTTCTCATCATTTAGCTCCCACTTATAAGTGAGAACATGTGGTATTTGGTTTTCTGTTCCTGCATTAGTTTGCTAAAGATAATGGCCTCCAGTTCCATCCATATTCCTGCAAAAGACATGATCTCACTCTTTTTTATGGCTGCATACTATTCCATGGTGTGTATGTACCATATTTTCTTTATCCAATCTGCCACTAATGGACATTTAGGTTGATTCCATTTCTTTGCTATTGTGAATAATGCTGCAATGAACATTCACATGCATGTGTCTTTTTTGGTAGAATGATTTACATTCCTTTAGGTATATACCCAGTAATGGGATTGCTGGATCAAATGGTAGTTCTGCTTTTAGCTCTTTGAGGAATCACCATACTACTTTCTACAATGGTTGAATTAATTTAGACTCCCACCAACAGTGTACAACTGTTTTCTCCCCAACCTTGCTAGCATCTGTTATTTTTTGACTTTTAATAGCATTTCTGACTGGTGTGAGATAGTGTCTCATTGTGATTTTGATATGCATTTCTCTAATGATCAGTGATTGAACTTTTTTTTCATATGATTCTTGGCCCTATGTATGTCTTCTTTTGAAAAGTGTCCATTTATGTCCTTTGCCCACTTTTTTATGGGGTTGTTTTTCTCTTGTAAATTTAGGTTCCTTATAGATTCTGGATATTAGACCTTTGTTAGATGCATAATTTGCAAATATTTACTCCCATTCTGTAAGTTGTCTGTTTACTCTGTTGATAGTTTCTTTTGCTGTGCAGAAGTTCTTAAGTTTAATTAGATCTCATTTGTCAATTTTTGTTTTTCTTGTGATTCCTTTTGGTGTCTTTGTCATGAAATATTTGCCCATTCCTATGTCCAGGATGGTATTGCCTAGGTTGTCTTCCAGGGTTTTTATAATTTGGGGTTTTACATTTAAGTCTTTAATCCACGCTGGGTTACTTTTTGTATAGGGTGTAAGAAAGGGGTCCAGCTCCAGTCTGCATATGGCTAGTCAGTTATCCCAGCACCATTGGTTAAATAGGGAGTCTTTTCCCCATTGCTTGTTTTTCTCAGCTTTGTCAAAGATCAGATGGTCATACATGTGTGGCCTGATTTCTGAGCTCTCTATTCTGTTTCATTGGCCTATGATATGGTTTGGCTGTGTGTCCCCACCCAAATCTTATATCAAATTGTAATCCCCAAGTGTCAAGGGAGGGATGAGATGGGAGGTGATTGGATCATGGGGGTGGTCTCCTCCATGCTGTTCTCATGATACTGAGGAGGTTCTCACAAGATCTGGTTGTTTGACAAGTGTCTGGCATTTCCCCTGCTCTCTCTCTCTCTCTCCTGCTGTCATGTAAGACACACCTTGCTTACTCTTTGCCCTCTGTCATGTTTGTAAGTTTCCTGAGGCCTCCCCAGCCATGCAGAACTGTGAGTCAATTAAACCTCCTTTCTTTGTAAATTACCCAGTCTCAAGTAGTTTCTTTAGAGCAGTGTGAAAATGGACAAATACAGAGAATTGGTACTGAGATAGTGGGGTGCTGCTATAAAGATAAACTGAAAATGTGGAAGCGACTTTGGAACTGAGTAATGGGCAGAGGTTGGAACAGTTTGGAGGGTTCAGAAGAAGACAGGAAGATGTGGGAAAGTTTGGAACTTCCTGGAGACTTCTTGAATGGTTTTGACCAAAATACTGATAATGATATGGACAATGAAGTCCAAGCTGAGGTGGTCTCAGATGAAGATGAGGAACTTATGGGGAACTGGGGCAAAGGTCACCCTTGTTATACTTTAGCAAAAAGACTGGCAGCATTTTGTCCCGGCCTTAGAGATATGTGTAACTTTGAACTTGAGATAAATGATTTAGGGTATCTGGGGGAAGAAATGTCTAAGCAGCAAAGTATTCAAGAGGTGACCTGGCTTATTCTGAAAACATCCAGTTATATGCATTCACAAAGAGATGGTTTGAAATTGGAACTTACGTTTAAAAGGGAAGCAGAGCATAAGGGATTGGAAAATTTGCAACCTGACTATGTGGTAGAAAAGAAAAACCCATTTTCTCAGGAGTAATTCAAGCTGGCTGCAGAAATTTACATAAGTAACAAGGAGCTGAATGGTAATAGCCAAGACAATGGGGAAAATGTCTCTAGGACATGTCACAGAACTTCACAGCAGCCCCTCCCATCACAGACTCATAGGTCTAGGAGGAAAAAGTGGCTTCATGGGCCGGGCCCAGGGCCTGCTGCTCTGTGCAGCTTTGGGACTTGATGCCCTGAGTCCCAGCCACTCCAGCTCCAGCTGTGGCTGAAAAGGGCCAAGGTACAGCTCAGGCCATTGCTGCAGAAGGCGCAAGCCCCAAGCCTTGGCAGCTTCCATGTGGTGTTGGGCCTGCATGTGTGCAGAAGACAAGAGTTGAGGTTTGGGAGCTTCTGCTTGGATTTCAGAGGATTTATGGGAAAGCCTGGATGTCCAGACAGAAATCTGCTGCAGGGGTGGAACCCTCATGGAGAACCTCTGCTAGGGCAGTGCAGAAAGGAAATATGGGGTTGGAGCACCCAAAAAGAGTCCCCACTGGGGAACTGCCTAGTGGAGTTGTGAGAAGAGGGCCAGCATCCTCCAGACCCCAGAAAGACAGATCCACCAACAGCTTGCACCATGCATGTGGAAAAGCCTCAGGCACTCAATGCCAGCCCATGAAAGCAGCCACAGGGGCTACACTCTGCAGAGACACAGGGGCAGAGCTACTCAAGGCCATGGGTGTGCTAGATGTGAGACACAGAGTCAAAGGAAATTTTGGAGCTTCAAGATTTAATGACTGGGCTGGGTGCGGTGGCTCACACCTATAATCCCAGCACTTTGGGAGGCCGAGGCGGGTGGATCACCTGAGGTCAGAAGTTCAAGACCAGCCTGACCAACATGGTGAAACCCCGTCTCTACTAAAAATACAACAATTTAGCCAGGCATGGTGGTGCATGCCTGTAATCTCAGCTACTTGGGAGGCTGAGGCAGGAGAATCGCTTGAACCCAGGAGGCAGAGGTTGCAGTGAGCCGACATTGCACTGTTGCACTCCAGCCTGGGCAACAAGAGCAAAACTCCATCTCAAAAAAAAAAACCAAAAAACAAAAAAAACGATTTAATGACTGCTCAGCCAGCTTCTGAATTTGCATGGGGCCTGTAGTCCCTTTGTTTTTGGCCAGTTTCTTTTATTTGGAATGGGAACATTTACCCAAAACCTGTACCCCCATTGTATCTTGGAAGTAACTAACTTGTTTTTTTTATTTTACAGGCTCATAGGCAGAAGGGACTTGCCTTGTCTCAGATGAGACTTTGAACTTGGACTTTTGGGTTAATGCTGGAATGAGTTAAGACTTTGGGGGACTATTGGGAAGGCACAATTGGTTTTGAAATGTGAAAATAACATAAGATTTGGGAGGGGCCAGGAGTAGAATGATATGGTTTAGCTCTGTGTTCCCACCCAAATCTCCTCTTGAATTGTAATCCCCACATGTCAAGGGAGGAACCCGGTGGGAGGAACTAGATCATGGGGGCAGTTTCCCCCATGCTGTTCTCCTGATAGTGAGGGAGTTCTCACACGTTCTGGTTGTTTGATAAGTGTCTGGCATTTCCCCTGCTTTCTCTTACTCTCCTGCTGCCATGAAAGACATGCCTTGCTTACCTTCCACCTTCTACCGTGACTGTAAGTTTCCTGAGGCCTTCCCAGCCATGTAGAACTGTGAGTCAATTAAACTTCTTTTCTTTATAAATTACCCAGTCTCAATTAGTTTCTTTATAGCAGTCTGACAATGGACTAATACAGTCTATGTGTCTGTTTATGTACCAGTATCATACTGTTTTGGTTACTGTAACCCCATAATATAGTTTAAAGTCAGGTAATATGATGCCTCCAGCTTTGTTCTTTTTGCTTGGGATTGCCTTGGTTATTTGAGCTTTGCTTTGGCTCCATATGAATTTTTAAATAGTCTTTTCTAGTTCTGTGAAGAATGTCATTGTTAGTTTGATAGGAATAGCACTGAATCTGTAAATTGCTTTGGGCAGTATGGCCATTTTAATAATATTGATTCTTCCTATCCATGAGCATGAAATGTTTTTCCATTCATTTGTGCCTTCTCTCATTTCTTTGGGAGATTTTTCACCTCATTGTTTAGCTATATTCCTAGGTATTTTATACTTTTGTAGCAATTGTGAATGAGATTGCCTTTCTGATTTGGCTCTCAGCTTGGCTGTTGGTGTATAGGAATGCTAGTGATTTTTCTACATTGATTTTTGCACCCTGAAACTTTGCTGAAGTTGTTTATCAGCTTAAGGAGCTTTTGGGTCAAGACTATTGGGTTTTCTACCTATAGAATCATGTCTGCAAACAGAGATAGTTTTACTTTCTCTCTTCCTATTTGGATACCCCTTATTTCTTTTTCTTGCCTGATTGCCCTGGCTAGGACTTCCAATACTATATTGAATAGGAATGGTGACAGAGGGCATCCTTGTCTTGTACTGGTTTTCAAGAGGAATTCTTTCAGCTTTTGCCCATTCAGTATAATGTTGGCTGTGAGGTTTTCATGGATGGTTCTTATTAGAGGTATTCTCCTTCAATACCTAGTTTGTTGAGAATTTTTAACATGAAATTGTGTTGAATTTTATCAAAAGCCTTTTCTGCATCTATTGAGATAATAACTGAGATAATCATGTGGTTTTTGTCTTTAGTTTTGTTTATTTGATGAATCATACTTATTGATTTGCATATGGTGAATCAACATTGCACCTCATAGAGGAAGCCTACTTGATAATGGTGGGTTAGTTTTTTGATGTGCTGCTGGATTTGGTTTGCAAGTATTTTGTTGAAGATTTTTGCATTGATGTTCATCAAAGATATTGGCCTGAGGTTTTCTTTTTTGTTGTTGTTTCTCTGCCAGACTTTGGTATCAGGATGATGCTGGCCTCATAGAATGAGTTGGGGAGGAGTACCTCCTCCTCAATATTTTGGAATCGTTTCTGTATTGGTAGAATTCAGCTGTGAATACATCAGGTCCTGGGTTTTGTGGGGTTTTTTTTTGTTTTTTGTTGTTGTTGTTTTGTTTTTTGTTTTTATTTATTTTTTTGGTTGGTATGCTATTTATTACTGATTCAATTTTGGAGCTCATTACTGGTCTGTTCAGGAAACCAGTTTTTTCCTGATTCAGACTTGTGAGGGTGTACGTGTCCAGGAGTTTATCCATCTCTTCCAGGTTTTCTAATTTGTATGCATTGAGGTATTTGTAGTAGTTTCTGATGGTTGTTTTTTATTTCTGTGAGGTCAGTGGTAACATTCTTTTCATCAACATTCTTTTCATCATTTCTAATTGTATCTATTTGGATCTTCTCTTTTTTCTACTTTATTTGTCTAGCTAGTGGCCTATCTTATTATTTTTTATTATTATTATTATACTTCAAGTTTTAGGGTACATGTGAACAATGTGCAGGTTTGTTACATATGTATACATGTGCCATGTTGGTGTGCTGCACCCATTAACTCGTCTTTTAGCGTTAGGTATATCTCCTAATGCTATCCCTCCCCTCTCTCCCCACCCCACAACAGGCCCCGGTGTGTGATGTTCCCCTTCCTGTGTCCATGTGTTCTCATTGTTCAATTCCCACCTATGAGTGAGAATATGCGGTGTTTGGTTTTTTGTCCTTGTGATAGTTTGCTGAGAATGATGGTTTCCAGCTTCAACCATGTCCCTATAAAGGACATGAACTCATCATTTTTTATGGCTGCATAGTATTCCTTGGTGTATATATGCCACATTTTCTTAATCCAGTCTATCATTGTTGGACATTTGGGTTGATTCCAAGTCTTTGCTATTGTGAATAGTGCCGCAATAAACATATGTGTGCATGTGTCTTTATAGCAGCATGATTTATAGTCCTTTGGGTATATACCCAGTAATGGGATGGCTGGGTCGGATGGCTGGGTCAAATGGTATTTCTAGTTCTAGATCCCTGAGGAATCGCCACACTGACTTCCACAATGGTTGAACTAGTTTACAGTCCCACCAACAGTGCAAAAGTGTTCCTATTTCTCCACATCCTCTCCAGCACCTGTTGTTTCCTGACTTTTTAATGATGGCCATTCTAACTGGTGTGAGATGGTATCTCATTGTGGTTTTGATTTGCATTTCTCTTATTATTTCTTTCAAAAAACCAACTCCTGGATTCATTGATCTTTTGAATAGATTTTGTGTCTCAATTTCTCTCAGTTCAGCTATGATTTTGGTTATTTCTTGTCTTCTGCTAGTTTTGAGGCTGATTTATTCTGGCTTCTCTAGTTCTTTTAGTTATGATGTTAGGTTATTAATTTGAAATCTTTCTAACTTTTTGATGGGGGCATTTAGTGCTATGAATTTCCCTCTTAACACTGCCTTAGCTGTGTCCCAGAGATACTGGTATGTTGTATCTATGTTCTCATTAGTTTCAAAGAACTTCTTGATTTGTACCTTAATTTCATTATTTGCACACAAGTCATTCAGGAGGATGTTGTTTAATCTCCATGCAATTGCCTGATTTTGAGCTATTTTCTTAGTCTTGACTTCTATTTTTATTGCACTGTGGTCGAGAGTGTGTTTGGCATGATTTTGGTTCTTCTGCATTTGCTATCTCCTGCTCTTTTCTATAGCCTGACCCTCTTGATTTCTTACACACAAGCTTTTCACAATTAGGAAGTCAGAACTTTCCATCTGTAAAGTGACTGATCAGTTCAAGAAATATCCTATCTTTGTCTCATTCTTTTATAATCCCCAGGCTTCAAGAAAATTCTTATCTCCAATCCCAAGCCTCTTTCCAGATTCATTGGCACCATCTGCTTTCACAAGGCATGGAAATGTCAATAAATTTTTGGTAAGATGTCTTTTCATGGCTGCCACTGTGGTCTCAATTGTTATTAAATTTATTCCTGCTGGCTTTTGGCTTTTACCCACAATAAGTTAACTTATTTTCCATTGTCATTACACAACAGTTTCTTCTGGGGGAAAAAAAGGAATACATTGATTTCATGAACTTGCCATTTTACATAAGTAGTCTAAAGGTGCCCCACAGGATTATCAGATGAGAGGGCTTAATTTGGCTCTCTAATGTTTATTTTGTCAAAATCACATAGCTAGTTAATGACAAAGCAAGTACTATAAACCATCTGATTTATTTTACAGTTTAGTTAACTTGTAATTACACAGGAAATCATTCTGTTGCCTAACTCCTATGACTGGCAGTCTTTTCTAAAAATGTCTGATTGTTTTCTAATTGCTTTTATTTGATTTTTATGAGGCTTATATTTTTCCAAAGGTTCTGGCTCCAAGTATTATAGAAAAGGGAGTTACTTACCAATCTCCCTTCTTCACCATTTATTGAACCTGACTCTTTCTGATCAAGAACCTGCTATGAATATGACAGAAACTTTCCCTCAAGAATATCCTGGCAGTCCAAAGGGAAGAGAGATGGGCAATCGCCTTTGCAGGATGATAATGAAGTAAAAGAAGCATGAACAAATGCAGAAAAATAAAAGCAGATGAAAGAATTACTAATTGCTTGCATGGAGAAGAGAGATGTAGATTCTAATGATATCTATGCTAAGTCTTGAAGAATGCACAGGAATTTGCTGAACGATTATGGAGAAGAACATTTCAAACACAGGGAATAGCAAGTTCATAAGCAGCAAGACATAAAAAAGCAAAGTGTGTTTATTTAAATGAAGTGGTTGGATACTTCAAGAAGATGGAATACAAAGAGAAATACTCCAGAATATATTCAATATCTAACAAAAATATCATGGACAAGAAATTAATGCTAGCAAGCTTAGGCCATATTGTATAAAGCTGCGTTGGCTATACTAAGAAATAGCAACAAATAAAAGTGGAAAATAAATATTCTTATATGCTCACCTTGTATTATCTTTTTCTCTCTCTCTTACTCCCCTAAGCATAAAAATGTCTTACCATAGTCTCAGGTTTGCCCTAGCTACCATAAAGATGACTAATCTAGTGTAAATTAGCAGGGATTGGACAGAAGAGTGAGAAAAAAATTAAGTGCCTCTTTCTAGGAATGCACTAAAATATGAATCACTTTTGAAGTGTGGGCATTATTTCTGCTTAATAGTTTTGAACCAAGAAATTATTCCAAAGAAAAGGTAAAGAGGGTAACAGTAAAGGGGAGATTTTTTTAAAAAAAATTAAATGAGAGGGAGAAGTGAAGGTATGCTTCAATGACATTTTCAACTCTTGTTCACTTTATATTTCTGACAAAAAGATGAGTTAAGTTCAGGAAGGAATAGTTAGATAATCTGAATGAGTTCTGTTTTCCAGTATTTACATTCTTCACTAAATACTGAAGAATGGAGGCAAGATGAGGAAAAAAGTGGTGTAATATTTGGCAGGAGGACTCCTCTAATAAAGATAATAGACTTTGTGTCTCTGCAGAGTTTCATCCCCGCTGGCTATGACAAGCTGGTAAATCATCACACAAGTAATGGGCCTTAAAGACTGGAGGAAATGCAGCACCTGGATTTTGAAATCCAGAAATTACTTCCCAGAAAAATGCCCAGTCTTCTCATCATTTTTCTGGTTGAGCTGTATTTTTGTCCTGGACATAAACTGAAAAAGAAACTACCACCATCTTGTGCACCACAGATGTCAGGCCCAGTAGATTTGATTTGTTCCTATGATTTGATTATTTGTGTCTTCACTTTTGCCTGTTCGGATGATCACTCACAATGCAACACTCATACTAAAAGAATGAATAGCATAGGTCCTAATATATTTAAAAGCATATGCCAGAGCCAAATGATAAACAAAATAATGGGCCATCATTCCTGATAACTCCTTTGAAGATAAGACAGGATGAAAAACCATCTGAATGAAACTGAATTTCACCATGGGTCAAGAAGTTGGGGTGTAATATATCTAAAGAGAAGTTCTACATAGGGACAGTACACACACATAGCAGCTACTCAGTAAATATTTGTTGAGTGATAGGGACTGGATTTCTCATCCAGCTCACTAAATTTTAATCGGACTTAATCAGGCTTAGTGTGTCAGAGTGTGAGTAATTCAGACTGCATCTTCACTCTTTGGAACCAAAGCCCATTTCTCTGATAGTTTGCAGAGCCATGTGGGAGGGAAGATAACTCAGCAAACCCTCTGTGGTATGGTAATAATGCCCCCATAAAAATGTTTACATCCTAAGGCCTAAAAATCTATGAATGTTACCTTACATGGCAAAAGGGTCTTTGTGTATGATTACGTTTAAAAATCTTGAGATTGGGAGATTATTCTATATTATCTGGTGGGCACAGATAATCACAAGGGTCCTTACAAGAGGGGAGCAGAGGTGAAAAGAAGAGACAAGTGTGACAATGGAAGCAGAGGTGGATGTGATGCACTTGGAGATGAAGGAATGAGCCAGGAACCAAGGAATGCAGATGGTCTTCTAGAAGCTCGAAAAGGAAAGGAGGCAGTTTCTTCCTTAGAGTTTCCAGAAAGCAACACAGCTCTGTTTGATTTTCACCTGTAAAACCCATCTTGGACTTCTGACCTCCAGTACTGTGAAATAATAAATGTGAGTTGTTTCAAGCCAGTAGAGTGTGTGGCAATTTGTCTGGCAGCAATAGAAAAATAATACATCCTCTTTTATCTTCTCCAGCTACAGACGAAAGCCTCAACGGTAAGATCCACCTATGCCTGAGGCTGGAAGAAAACAGATCAGAATATGGCCAATGCAGAATAAGTGGAAAGGCTCGGAATGTAAATGGCTTGGAATTTTCTAGGAACAAACAGCAGCTGAAGTGGCAGGAGCATGATGAGCAAAGAAAAGAGGAAATGCTCAAGATGAAGTAGAGAGTTGGGCAGGGCAGTGCAGGTGAGGCCTTGAAAACTACAGTAAGTAGTTTAGATTTTAGTCTTAGTACAATGAGAAAAACCATTTAAGTATGTTTTGAGCAGTGAGTGATGTGATATGATTTTTTTTTAAGAGACAGGGTCTTACTCTGTCACCCAGGCTTGAGTACAGTAGCACAATCATACCTCACTGCAGCCTTGAGCTCCTAAGCTCAAGCGATACTCCTGCCTCCACCTCCAGAGTAGCCAGGAATACTGGTGGGTACCACCACACCCAGCTAATGGTTTGCATTTTTAAGAGATCACTCTGGCTGCAGAGTGAAAAGCAAACTGTAGAGGGGAAATGAAAGCATAAAGCCATGGGGAGGCTATGAATTAGCCAAAGAATGAGATGGTGGTGGCTTGGGCTAAAGTATGATGAAGGGAGTGAAAAGTGAGAATAAATTCTGGAGATGGAACCTACAAGACTTGATGAGACATAAGTTATATGGGAATGAGAGAAATTAAAGATGCAGCTGGGAGATTGGTTGAGGCATTTACTGACACTGGGAAGATTTAGAGAGGACAGTTTAGGAGTGGTAGGGAATAAAGACTTCATTTGTAGACATGTTAAAATTAAAAAGTACATGAGAGATTTGAGTGGAGATATGAAATAGGAAGCTGGATATGCAAGTGTGGACATGCAAAACTGGAATTTGGAGAAATGGACAATTTAAATGCTATCTTTTTTCTGATCATTCATAAAAGTCTTATTTAAATAAAGCACTAAGTTTTACTCATTAAAATCTGCATCTGTTTCTGCCTTAAATACCTTTTATCTATCTATCTAAATTTCTACCAAATTTTAAACTCCTTCAGTGAAGTAAAAAAATGTTTCATACATCTCTGGAACTTTTTATAATTATTTTCACAAAGTAGGGACACATTTGTTCGAATTCACCTAAATACAAACTACATCCCATTTTTTAAGAAGCGATAGAGAGGAACCCAATTTAACATTTCTAATTATGTAAAAACAGTCACAGTTGGTCACTTTTATTTCAACATATTTTTCTACCTTATTTATGGGCCTTCTTGAAAAAGATTAAACAATGTAATTCTCACTCAATGACTTAAGGAAAATTAAGACCAAATTCATCCATCCAAATGTTTTCACTTTTTATTCTTTCCTTGAGCTAGGCTAGACTACTCTGATAATAGGAAATTGTATAAAATTCTGAGCTCTTCTACCAAATGTCTATGTAATCCAACAAACAAACTGATATGTCTGTGTGTAACATCTACAGATTCTGTGATGTTATTGAAGGTGGTGAATTGTCAGCTGGCCTTTCCTTTGGAAACAATAGAGGTCAGCAATTTTTCAGTTCTGAAGTCTCAGCCAAATTGTATTTGTCCTTTTAAGTACAAGATGAGAAGGTACAGCATAATCCTCTTTGCTACAGTTCTCATTAATTTAATGTGGGGCTATGGAGAAGTACAGAACAGCACTTCCTCATTGGTGTCTCAATTGCAGTTATGAAGCCAAAAAAGCTAGGATTTTGAAGTAAAAGAATTTATATTCTCAATGACATAGCATTATGCTAGAAAATATGTTTCCATATCCTATTCAGGAAATAGCTAGGTACGAACAGTTTCTCACTGTGCTCCAATCTACTGAGCAATAATTTTCTCTAAATAAAAAAAGGAAAACTGCTGTCAGAGTAGGGTGGGGTTTTTTTAACCAAGAGGGAAATAAAAGAGTAAGTAAGGAAGAAAGTAGTCATTCTGCCAGTTTTGCCCACTGGGTTCTAATCCAAAAGCCATACCTTTAAATCTGCTTCTTAATTTGTGAGTTCAACTATTAAAACAAACAAAATAATATTTTCTAAATAGAAGTCAAGCAACAATATTATTTTATTTCCTACCATAATGAGGTTTCACCTGGAAGAGGGGAAAAAAACTCTCTATCCAGTATATTGACTTCTCCATTGTTACTTTTATAAAAAGTATTTTTCTTTTTTAGTAATTGAATGCTTAAATGGTACAGAAAATTATTCTAATTATATTAGCAAATGTTTAGTATTACATACCCTTCAAGTGGGTGCTAAATAAATGCTAGGTTCAAAAACTATTTTTAATGAATAACAGCAAAGATTTATTGACACACATACATTTTCAGGAACATTAAAACTGATACTTTTCAAAAAGCATCTCCTTGGATTTAATCTCACATATGGGAATTTAGCCCAATATAATAAAAGAAAGAAAAATGTATGTATATATACACCAAAATGTGTAATGTTGTAATATTTTTGACCTAGAGGATAAAAAAAATTTTTATTATACTTTAAGTTCTGGGGTACATGTGCAGAACGTGCCGGTTTGTTACACAGGTATACATGTGCCATGGTGATTTGCTGCACCCATCAACCCGTCATCTACATTAGGTATTTCTTCTAATGCTATCCCTCCCCTAGCTCCCCACCCCCCAACAGGTCCTGGTGTGTGATGTTCCCCTCCCTGTGTCTATGTGTTCTCATTGTTCAACTCCCACTATGAGTGAGAACATGCAGTGTTTGGTTTTCTGTTCTTGTGTTAGTTTGTTGAGAATGATTGTTTCCAGCTTCATCCACGTCCCTGCAAAGGACATGAACTCAGAGGATAAAAAAATTAATGTATAAATGACCAGCAGTAGTTGACAGGCTTAGCAGATTATAACGAGTTGACACAGTTAATTAAAAAGATAATAAAGAATGAAGTTTTGTGCCAAATGTATATAAAATAACGCTAATGTTAAATTGTAGAAAACAAAACATTTTATATACTAGAGACTATGGTCTGAATATGTACCGCAAAATTTATATGCTGAAACTTAATTTTCAATGTGATAATATTAGAGGTGGGACCTTTAGGAGGTGATTAAGTCATGACGGTGGAGCCCTCGGGACTGGGTTTAACACTGCTATAAAAGAGGTGCAAAGGAGTTAACCCCCCTTCCCTTTCACCCTGTCATCGCTTCTGCCATGTGAGGACACAGCATTTACGGCACCATCTTAAAAGCAGAGACCAGGGCCCTCACCAGACACCAAACCTGCTGACATTTTAATCTGGGGCTCCCCAACCTCTAAAATTGTAAGAAATAAATTTCCATTATTTATCAATTATCCAGTCTTGGGTGTTTTGTTACAGCACCACAAACACACTAAGATTCTAGATTAACAAATATTTTCAACACATTCTATGGGAGCCCACGCCTCCAATTTCCTATCTAACAGGATATGAGTTTAGTTAAGGGCAACACTGTGTCCAGCTGCTTAGGATGAAGCATGATTGGTCCAGAGCAGCTGTCACTGAGCCATTTATCCTTTGCTACTATTATTTCCCCATCTATGTGACCCAGTTCTAGTCAATGGGAAGTGATATATAAAGGGAAGTTTTCTAAAGACAGGAAATCCTTCTGAGAAAGTGTTTTCCTCCCTGATAAAACAAAAATCCCTTCTGTTACCCATGTCTTTCGATCCCTAATTGGAATTCCAGTGCTATGGTGTGAGGTTTGGAACTGTGGGAACCATCGTAAAATGAGGCAACAAACACAGGAACCAAAAGACAACATGCTAAAGGTGATGGAACAGAAGTAAAAAAGAGTGTGGGTCCTTGATTATATTATTGAACCTCTGCACCACACCGAGAAGGGCAATCTCTGCACTTTTAAGCAAATAATAAATGTGGTTAATCCACCATTAGTTAGGTTTTCAGGTAATTGCAGTCAAACACATATTATCTAATAAATACTCAAATGTACATGAAGACTGGTAAGGATCAGAAAAATTAAAGTAGATGCTTTAAGGTAGCAGAAATATAGCTCATTTTTTTCCTTTCAGAAAATACGGAAAGTATGGGTAGCATGGGAAATTAAAACTATTTGTTCTTCCCAACTCTCCATACATTACTATTAAGAACATTTTTGGCATAGACCCTTTCAAGTACGTATCTAGCAAGGGAACTTAAGTACCACCTGGTTTCCCCTCATTTCAGGAATCAGCCCCAAACTTGAAGGCATAGAGACTGTAAGTTTCCCCACATTGTACAGAGAGTCTAAAATGATTTTGGCAGACATCCCCTCCAAGGTTTACAATAGGTGGAGGAAAATCTCAAGAGGCTAACAGCTCCTTTTAATGTCTGTCCATTAACATTTTTCAGCCTCACTCACATTCCCATCTTTGAAATTTCCTAGAGCCTCCAATTCCTCAGTTTTTCCAGGACTTGTTTCTTGGCTTCTACCTTTTCCAAAACACCTTGCAGGCTGATGTTTCAACCTTCTGACGTGCTAAGTTAGTTACCTGTTGTTTGTTCTTATCTCCCCATTCGTCCTTGGAAACTTACTTTTTAAATCTCTTTTCTATCATTTTAGTGGGTTGTGGGGTGGTAACAGGGATAAATGTATGTGTTTCATGATGTACACAAGGCATTTCATACATTTTCATGGAACTTACTATTGATTGACAAATGGCCTTTCAAAAGGGTTTTACCATTTACCCATGATGAGCTGGCTTTAGGGACCTTAAAATCAAATGTTAACAGAGTAGAAAATCTAATCAAGAATACAAAAAAGGCCAGGCGCGGTTTCTCACACCTGTTCGGAGGCCGAGGTGGGCGGATCATTTGAGGTCAGGAGTTCGAGGCCAGTGTGACCAACATGGAGAAACCCTGTCTCTACTAAAAATACAAAATTAGCTGTGTGTTGTGGTGCATGCCTGTAATCCCCACTACTTGGGAGGATGAGGCAGGAGAATCACTTGAACCTGGGAGGCAGAGGTTGCAGTGAGCCGAGATCACACCGCTGCACTCCAGCCTGGGCAACAAAAGCAAAACTCCATCTCAAAAAAAAAAAAAAAAAATCACTAAAGAGACTTTAGGAGGATAAACTATTAAAAGTCTCCCTTGCTTAGAACACATACTTTCTACCATACTGTCTCCTGTTTGTGGCATTTAAATAATGAAACGATAAACTAATACAGAGATCTGTTAGTCTACTTTGCATTGCTATCAGAGAATACTTGAAGCTGGGTAATTTATAAAGAAAAGAGGTTTAGGCTGGGCAGGGTGGCTCACGCCTGTAATCCCAGCATTTTGGGAGGCTGAGGCGGGTGGATCACCTGAGGTCAGGAGTTCGAGACCAGCCTGGCCAACATGGTGAAACCCCGTCTCTATCAAAAATACAAAAAATTAGCCAGGCATGGTGGCAGGCACCTGTAATCCCAGCTATTCAGGAGGCTGAGGCAAGAGAATCACTTGAACCCGGGAGGCGGAGGTTGCAGTGAGCCGAGATCACACCATTGCACTCCAGCCTGGGCAACGAGAGTGAAACTCCATCTAAGAAACAGAAAGAAAAGAAAAGACAAAAGAAAAGAGAAAGGAAAGGAAAGGAGGAAGGAAGGAAAGAAGGAAGGAAGGAAGGAAGGACGGAAGGAAGGAAGGAAGGAAGGAAGGAAGGAAGGAAGGAAGGAAGGAAGAAGGAAGGAAGGCAGGAAGGAAGGCAGGCAGGCAGGCAAAAGAAAAGAAAAGAGAAAGAAAGAAAGAAAGAAAGAAAAGAGATTTATTTGGTTCATGGTTCTGCAAGCTATACAAGAAGCATGGCGACAGTATCTGATTCTGGTGAGGCCTCAGAAAACTTACAGTCATGGCAGAAGGCAAGCGAGGAGCAGTTGTGTCACATGGTGACAGAGTGAACAAGAGAGAGTGGCAAAGGTGCCATGTTATTTAAACAACCAGCTCCCACATGAACTAATACAACAAGAACTTACTTATTACCACAGGGCAGGCACCAAGCCATTCATGAGGAATCCACTCCCATAACCCAAATACCTCCCGTTAGGCCCCACTTCCAACATTGGGGATCACATTTCAACATGAGATTTGGAGTGAACAAATATCTAAACTATATCAAGAGATAAATAATATTCCCAAAGGAAATCAGATAAAACAGGTAAAAGAATCTCCAAGGGTAAAATCTAAATACACACAAGATAATAAATGGAAAAAAATGCTTTATTGTCCAAAAGTAACTAGACATGACCACAAAAGCAGTATCTATCTCAGACCATTTCTTTCTTTACCACTAAGGAGACTGGAGAGATGTTTTTAGTGGAAATAGATACAGGAGTGAGAAAGGCTGGTCCCAAACTTCTGGTGGTAAACAAAGGACAAGCAAATAAAGACATCCATTCACTCATTCAACAAATATTTATTCAACAACTATCTTATTTATGACAGACACTGTGCTTGACTTTAGGACTACCAGTGTGAACAAAAGGGATATGGTCTGCACCCTTGTCTGGAAAGTCTCTGCTCTCTGCTTTGGTCTGGAGTTCATAGTTCAGGAAGGATGAAAGATAATGAAAAAAACATAAATAATTATTTTGTCTACATTTGCCATAATCCTATTAGAGATAATAGTATGAAGCCGGCATGAGATGCAATAGAGGACCCAGCCTAGACTATGGACTAGAGAAAATATCATGTAAGATGTCACATTTAACCAGTGATTCTCAAAATGTGATTCCTACATTAAAATTTGAGAACCACTAATGTACACTGCAACTTGAAGGGTATGGAGGAGTCAACAGGGAAAGAGGAGGTGAAGAGCCGAGACAGAAGGTGTAAAAGGGATAGGAAAACTTCCATGGGATTTCAGAGGATTAACAGACTAGTTGGTGCGTGCAGAGATCAAGAAAGTTATGTCAATTTCTTCCCATTTTTTTCTTAATTTTAGTTCTTCTATTTGCCCTGTGTAGACCACCAAAACTAGCTTTTCCTTCATGCTAAGGTCAGGGAGTGATCTAACACAATTCTCAAATTTTATATGCATCAGAGTCACTTGTATATCTTCTTAGACCACAGATTCCTGGAGTTTATGATCCTGTAGATTTAAGTAGGGTCTGATAAGTTGCATTTGTAACAATTCCCTGGCTGGGCACAGTGGCTCACCTGTAATCCCAACACTTTGGGAGGCTGAGGTGGGTGGGTTGCTTGAGCCCAGGAGTTTGAGATCAGCCTGGGCAACATGGCAAAATCCTGTCTCTACAAGAAATACAAAAATTAGCCAAGTATGGTAATACTAGTAATACTGCTAGTTAAGGAACCATGCTTTGATAATCACTGCTGTAGCATGTGTTTCTAAAACTGAAATTCTGATTAAGAAGTCTGTGGTGAAGCCCAAGAATCTATATTTTAAACAATGGCTACGGTGATCCTTTTGATAAAGCAAAACTGGAAAACAAAGTTCTAGTTATAATTTCGCTTCTGGAGCCTCTCCTATAAAAACCTCTGCTGTTTGTTATTTTTCCTTCTATATTTAAATTACAAATTACTAATTTATCTACCCATGATGCATTCTCTTCACATTCAACAACAAGTAGAAGCCATTTAACTAAACCCTTGGGTTTTGCGTTTTACTTACTGTATTTTTCATTTCCATTAGTTTTATTCTTTTTCACATTTGCTTGGTCAGGGATTATACTTGGTGAGATTGTCATTAACATCTTTTTCCTTTACACTTATCATACATACTTATTTTATATTCTATTTTCAGTAATTCCAGTATCTGAGGTCTTCAAGGTTCTAATTCTGAAATTGGTTGTTTCTGGGTAACTCTTATTTATACTTGCTTGTTCCTCCACATGTTTGGTAGTTGGTGTGTGTGTGTGTTTGTGTGTGTAGGTGTGTGTGTGCACACATGTGTGTTTGTCTATGTGTGTGTCTGAGAGACAGAGGGAGAAAGAGTTCATTCTTATTGAGAGTTATCTTGTTAGATATCGTTGAAGCCTCAGTTGAAGGTGTGATCCTCTAAAACAGGATTTGTGTTTGTATAACCAGGTTAAACTAAACACTTGGCTTGGGGTTTTCCTGGGCCACATAGGTAAAGTGAATTCTGGTCCCCAATAAGTGTGAGGATCAGCTTACAGTTACAAATTCTCATGAAAGAAGTTTTGCTTATATTTGGGCCATGGCCAAGACAAGCAAGATTCCTTACTATCACCCTTTGTGGAAATTTTTTTCTGGCTCTCTATTTCGCTAAAGATGTCACTTTTCAGAAATCCTGATTTCTCCTCTAGTCTCTGATAAATCCACTGATCTCTCTGTGTTCCTATCCTTGACCTATTAAAACTAAAGCCTCCAGGCCACTAGAAATCTGCAGATTAGCCCAGGGCAGCTGCTGGCTTCAGTGCTGACCAAACGTGAGGATTTATACTTATCATTTTGAACTCAGAATTTCCTTTTCATCCTTGCCAACCCAGCTATGCACCTAAAAATATGTATGTGTGTGTATGAGAGTGGTGCATTTATAAAGCTTTGGGGTATTTATGAACTATCTAGTCTACAACATTGCTGGAAATGGAAGCTCCCCTCACTATATTTTTATATTTTATCCTGAGGCAGAACCCTTTTGATCTCTGAGCCAAGGAAAGAATAACCTTTATCCTCCTCTATCTCTGGCTATGCTTGTAGAAAAAAATTATCAAAATATTCATCTTTGGTACTCTTATTTCAATTTTTTTCCATCTCCTGGCATCTTCTTTTCTTACTCATTCTCCCTTCCACTCTCTCTTCTCTCTAAGCACATGGGTCCTCCCCCTCACAGCAGGACTCTACTGAAGTTCTAGGAGTAACTGTCACTTTCTGTCATCAAAGTTCTACTTCTCCTTGAGTCCTCTTGAAACTTCAAGTTATTGCCCAACTTGCTTAATCATCCAGGTTATTAATGCTCCCAAGAGTACTTTATATATGTAAAGTATATTTCCTACATATTCACAGCACCCCCAGTTGATAGAATTCCAGGCAACTTTTTAAAAGTAAAGGTAACACTAAAGAAATAGCTATTTTCCAGCCAGTGATTTCTCCCCATATTCCATTTAGAAACACAGAGAGGAATCTATTGCCCATGTAAGACCAGCACATACTCATAGCTAATGTGAAAGTTGACAGTCTTTAAGAGTGCACATTTAAATTACAGAAAATGTCAAGAAGAGTTAACAAGAATAAAAATTGAAAGCCACAGAATAAGTTGTAACATATGGCACATTTGTTTAATGTCTTTGTTAATGAAACCAAAAATGTAAGCAGCAAATTAATTACCATGTGCCAATGATACAAAATTAAGATGTGGCATCAGTGGCATGAGGAAAGAATACAGAGGTTCAAAGTTAAAAATATGGGCAGAAAAAGAAAATGGGCTTTCGGATGAGTACAAACAAGCTACCACATCATACGAAACATAACGACCCTTTATAAAAGAAAACCTTAGAACCAAGAGGCAGATAATGGGAGGGGAAAGACAAAAGTGGTCTTAAAGCAGCCATTTGCAATGTGAATGAACTAGAACCAAAGTAACAAAAATGAAAGCCTCTAACAATGACATTGCAGTGTCGATAAAGCACCAAATCACAACGTACCATTATTTTGGACTTTATAATATTTAAGCAGCAAAAGCAGCAACATAATGTAGAGGGAAATTTTCAGAGAAAGCTCTGACCCTACACTTCAGTGAAGGTTTATTTACAGAAGCACAGCTTTCTGAGTGGTTTAGTTTTGTTTTATTCTTATCTTAGAGAACACCCAACAAAGAAAGCAAACACCTTTGAGACTAGGCACTTTGCCCACAGGGAAAACAAAAATCAAGCCTTGCTGCGTGAACCCCAGTACCTTCCTGACCTGACTGGGGCTTTCCTTGCCTCATAATGACAGACAACCCAGTGGGAAAAGCAATACAAAAGCTCTATTCACCTTCACATGCCAATACCTGGGTCTAAGCGGGGTACTTACTGGCCTACCCTGTCACTCACAAAGTTTTCCCCTTCTATCTATCCAAAACTCCCTTTCCCTGTATAGAAAAGCAGGAACCTCTCTCCCACTACCCCACACTCCCAACCTCCAGTCTTTCTCAACTGTAGATCCTCATTTGACCCACAGAAAACAAAAATAATTTGAATGATTCTTTTCTCAGTTCTCCCAAGGAGAGTACTAACTAATAACATTCCAAAAGCATAAGAGAGAAATTAACTCATTACATACAATGACTGCTGTTGGACATTAGAGCTACATTCTCAAGGTTCTCGTGTCTTTTTTGTATTATTTGTTCTTCTGCATGATTCCTAATTTCCAGGACAATCACCAAGAAACAAGCCTAGCCTTGGCTCCTGCAGCCCACACATTGTTTCCCCAGTTACTCACACCAGCTCCACCTCCCCACACCTGGCCTTGTAAAGTCAGAATCACTCTGAGGGATAAGCATACAGCCAAACTAGAGTATTCAAGCAGCTTAAAGCTATCCTACAGAACAGAACTAAATGTTTTTTGTTTTTTGTTTTTTTCATTCAAATGTCAAGAAGTCTTTGAGGACTGACTGGGATTCTGAAATGAAGACAAGTCTCTTCCTTGGGTAGCATGCCAACTGGTTGTGCAGCAGCACAGTGGTACAGGGAAAAGATCATGGGCTTTAGAGTCAGCCAGAACTCGTCTTACTCTACAGCTTTGCCTCTTGCTTTTTATGTGACTCTGGACACTTCCTATAATTTTACAAATCTTAGTTTCCTCTTCAAAAAAACATGGAAATATTAATCCTATCTCACTAGTTTGTTTTGAATAAAAAATAAAATGGAATTATACACAGCAGCAATAGTATTGCACACATCATACACAAAAGAAGTATTACACAAATCAATATGTAGCAGACAGAGCAGAAATAGTAGTGTACATAAAAATGAGTGCTAGCTCCATGCTTTCTAGAGAAACAAAGCATGCCCACCTGGGAGAGGTGTGCAACAGTGCAAAGCAATTACTGGTAAGTGTCCAGTGATAAATGATGTAGTCAGCAAATATGTTATTCTAAGTACAATTATGGATCTAGGAAGTACATTCTATTGTTGATAAGAACCAAATGATAAATGGTCTACTTAGCAATATTCTTTCAGAGGAAGAAAAGAGAAACTCAATGTGGCCTGGAATGGACTAGAAAAGTAGTTGTGGGAAAGACCAGAGCTTGAAGGGTAGGCATTATTTGTTCTGTTTCTGATTTTGTTTTATTTTTATTTTATTTTTTAATCAACATGCCATGAAATTTAACTTTTTTCAGTGTACAGTTCTATGAATTTTAACTCAGGTATAGATTTGTATAAACATCACCACAATCAGGACACTGAATAGTTCCATCACCCCAAAACATCCACATTCCTGCTTCTCTAACTCCTGGAAATCACTGATATGTTTTCTATCACTACAGCTTTTCAAGGTTACCATATAAATGAAATCATACAGCATGTAACCTTTTGAGACTGGCTTCTATTTCATAGTGTAATGCCTTTGATTCATCTGTCTTATTGCAGGTACCAGCATATCATCCCATTCTACCGCTGAGACGTATTGCATTCTATACCTTCTATGGACATACCACAATTCTATGGACATACCACAATTTGGCTATCTATTCACCCAATGAAGTCCTTTAGGTCATTTTCAGGTTTTGGCTATTATAAGTAGAGTAGCCATAAACATTTGTGTGCAGGTTTTGTATGGACTAGGCACTTGGCTTGCATTGTTGTTTACCTCCCTTGGGCAGGCATGTTATTTTCTTTAGGAAGAATGGAACTAGCATTTATTATTATGTAAAATACTATTTTGTTATATATACTATGTATTGTTGTGTATTGTTTTCATGTCTCTGGACAAATACCTAGGAGTGGGACTGCCAGGTCATATGGTAAGTTACTGTTTAACTTCATAAGAAACTGCCCAACTGTTTTCCAGATTGGTTGTACCATTTTACATTCCCACCAGCAATGCATGAGATTTCCAGTTGTTCTGTTAAGTCAGCACTTAGTACTGTCAGTATAGATTTAACTTTAGCCATTTTAACAGCTGTGTAGTGGTACTGTACCATGGTTTTAATTTGCATTTCCCTAATGTTTAGTGATGTTGAACATCTTTGCATGTGCTTGTTCACCACATGGATACCCTCTTTGGAGCATATTTTTATCTTTTAAAATTTTTCTTTTATGACTTTTATTTTCTTTCCTAATTATAAAACTAATTTTGTTTGTTTTTTGAGACAGGATCTCTCTCTCTGTCACCCAGGCTGGAATGCAGTAGTGCAATCACGGCTCACTGCAGCCTCAACCTCCTGGTTCAAGGGATTCTCCATGAGCCACTGAATACAGCCCCTAATTATAAAACTAATGATTTTAAAGGGGATGTTTAAAATATAGAACATTTTTCAATACAAAAAGAATTCTGTCATTTCTATTGCCATCTTCTGTCCCAGCCAGTGACAAAACAAAATGAATAATTTGGTGTGTTTCTTCCCAACTTCTGTAATGTATCATTGCAAATGTAAATATGGGCCTAGATTTGTGATGGAGTGTTTTTCAGCAAAATCAGAATTATATAGTAAATACAGTTTTGATGCATGAAAGTAGTAAATTCATCACTATATATATCTTTTTGGAATACAGCAAATTTTCAAGTTCAGAAAAGAAGGAATATATAAAGAATCAGGTATCAAATGACAACTTACTTTCAAAACAGGTAATTCCATTTTACTCCTAGTAATGTAATGGTGTCCCTGTATATTACTCAAATAACAAATTATGCTACAATAACAAATAAATCCTGAAATCTCAGCAACTCCATGTAATAAAAGTTTCCTTCTCACTCATATCACAGACACTGTAATATGTACTGCTCTCCTTTAACAGTGACTCAGGGACAAGTTATGTTTCCATTTTGCAATACGCTATCTTACACTTTTTCTTTTTCAGCTGCCTGGAGGAGCAAAGGAAAGGTTTATAATACTCTAACTGCTTTCAATCAGAAATGGCACATTATTTCTTCCCACTTTCCCATTGGTGAGAATAAATCCTGTGACTCACATATAGGTGCCTGGGGTTGAAATGCGGAGGAGCACACAGCAATCAGGGTGCACAAACCCGTCTGCCACTGCCTGAAATGATGGTAGAGGCGTAATATCTGACTAATTCTAATGGTGACAGAGGCATTCCAGAGAGACAAAGTTCATTCTAGCAAAGAAATATGTATATAGTTTTATTAAGCAATGATTAAAATTTTGCGTCCACTTAAAAGACATTCCCATGAAGGAGATAAATGCAAGTTATTTAAAATTCTAATTTAAAACATATTTTTTAAAAGCCGAATTATCTTAGGTCAGACGTATCACAGTATTTTCATCTTTTGTTGTATGATTGATTTTTGCAAACTCTCTTTCATTTTAGTTGCAGCTCCCTTAAGAATAATAGACTTCTGTTGTCCTCATGGCTATCCCAACCACAAGCATTCCCTTCCAATTGTATATACACATATAATCACATGACCTTGTCTAGCCAACATTAAGAATTTGCCATTCCTTCATGCCCTATTTCCTTCAGCCACAATAGTGGTTAAGTACCAACCAGTTGTTAGTATTCTTTAACTGATTTAAGAATTAATCTCATCAGATTTTGAATGTTCACAACACAAATGGCTGTGATGGATATGCTAATTATCTTGATTTGATCATTGTACATAGTAGACACATATAAAAACATCACTCTGTATCCCATGAATATGTACAATTATTGCTGAATTAGTCCTCACACTGCTACAAAAAACTACCTGAGATTGGGTAATTTATAAAGGAAAGAGGTTTAATTGACTCACAGTTCAGCAAGGCTAGGGAGGCCTCAGGAAACTTACAGTCATGGCAGAAGGGGAAGCAAACACATCCTTCTTCACATGGTGGCAGGAGAGAGAAGTGCTGAGCAAAGTGGGAAAAGCCCCTTATAAAACCATCAGATCTCATGAGAATTCACTGACTATCAGGAGAACAGCATGGGGGAAACTGCCCCCATGATCCAATCATTTTCCACCAGGTCCCTCCTATGACACATAGGGATTCTGGGAACTACAATTCAAGATGAGATTTGGGTGGGGATACACCAAACTATATCATTCTGTCCCTGGCCACTCCCAAATCTCATGACCTCACATTTCAAAGCACAATCATGCCTTCCCAACAGTCCCCCAAAGTCTTAACTCAACCCAGCATTAACTCAAACATCCAATTCCAAACTCTCATCTGAGACAAGGCAAGTACCATCTGCTTATGAACCAGTAAAATCAAACACAAGTTAGTTACTTCCTAGATACAATGAATGGGGGTACAGGCATTGGGTAAATACACCCGTTCCAAATGGGAGAAGTTGACCAAAACAAAGGGGCTGCAGGTCCTATGCAAACCCAAAATCCAACAGGGCAGTCATTAAACCTTAAAGTTCCAAAATGATCTCTTTTGACTCCATGTCTCACATCCATGTCACACTGATGCAAGTGGTAGCCTCCCACAGCCTTGGACAGCTCTGCCCCTGTGGTTTTGCAGGGTTCAGCCTCCATCCCGGTTGCTTTCATGGATGGGTGTAGAGTGTGAGTTTTCCAGGCACGCAGTGCAAGCTGTCAATGGATCTACCATTCTGGGGTCTAGAGGATGGTGGCCCTTTTCTCACTGCCCTAGCTACACTAGGCAGTGCCCCAATAAGGACTCTGTGTGGGGGTTCCACTCCCACATTTCCCTTCCACACTGCCCTAGCAGAGGTTTTCCATGAGGACTCTGCCCCTGCAGCAAGCTTCTGCCTGAACATCCAGGCATTTCTATACATCCTCTGAAATCCAGGCGGAGGTTCCCAACCCTCAATTCTTGACCTCTGTGCTTTCACAGGCTCAACACTACATGGAAGCCACCATGTGTTTGGGTTTGCACCCTCTGAAGCAATGGCCCAAGCTGTACCTTGGCCCCTTTTAGCCACAGCTGGATCTGAAGGAGCTGGGATGCAGGGCACCATGTCTCAAGGCTACACAGAGCAGGGGGTGCCTGGGTCTGGTCTATAAAACCATTTTCTCCTCTGGGCATGCGATGAGAGGGGCTGCTGTAAAGGTTTCTGACATGCCTTGGAGACATTTTCCCCATTGTCTTGGTGATTAACATTCAGCTCCCAACTACTTATGCAAATTTCTGCAGCCAGCTTGAATTCCTCCCCAGAAAATGGGTTTTTCTTTTCTACTACATCATCAGGCTGCAAATTTTCCAAACCTTTATGCTCTGCTTCCTCTTGAATGCTTTGCCATTTAGAAATTTCTTTTACCAGATATCCTAAATCATCTCCCTCAAGTTCAAAGTTCCACAGATCTCTAGGGCAGGGGTAAAATGCCACCAGTCTCTTTGCTAAAGCATAGCAAGAGTGGCATTTACTCCAGTTCCCAACAAGTTCCTCATTTCCATCTGAGAGCACCTTAGCCTGTACTTCATTGTCCATATCACTATCAGAATTTTGGTCAAGGACATTCAACAAGTCTCTAGGAAGTTTCAAACTTTCCCACATCTTCCTGTCTTCTGAGCCCTCAAAGTCTCCAGGAAGTTCCAGACTTTCTCATATTTTTCTGTCTTCTTTTGAGTCCTCCAAACTGTTCAAAGCAATAGTGGCAGGAGGCAGACAAATGCCTAGGCAGATAGGGACAGATCCCCAGTGAAAATCCACCTATAAGCCAAAGACTGTTTAAAGCCTGAAACCCTAGCTATAAGTCAAATCCACAGACTGGATTGAGAACCTGTCTTCCCGTTTGACACACTCCTCTGACTGATCCCCACCCTTCACCTATTTTACATATACCTACCCTTTCCTAATTGGTTTTCTACACTGCCATGACCATATTTGAGTTGTGCCTTTGCTTTAGTCTTTTGCTTTAGCCTTGCATACTCACAAACCAGTCAGCACATACTCCCATAGTCTAAGCCCACAAAAGCCCTGGACTCAGCCACACTGGGAGAAAAACCACCTGACTGTGGGGGTGAGGGACAACCCCCATGTCCACTCTCCACTAGAGCTGTTCCGTCACTCAATAAAATTCTTCTCCGCTCCCATCACCCTTCAATTGACAGTGTATCCTCATTCTTCTTGGATGCAGGACAAGAGCTCAGGAACCACTGAACACAGGTACAAGCTATAACAGAGGCAGGCTGGGGCATGCCCAGCCCAGCTACAGGCTGAGCCAGCGCACAAGCCAAACTTAGCCCAGGTCAGGCAAGTGGGCAGGGTGCCTCCTGCAGCAGGTAGCGGGTCTGAGTGAGTCCCAGTGAGGGGCGTCACCAGCCAGAGGTCCCTGGCTGGCAAATTGACTGAGAAAAATCCTACATCAAAACCTCTGCCTGTTACCCAGTTCCAAAGTCACTTCCACATTTTCAGGTATCCTGATAGCAGCAGTCCACTACCTTGGTACCAATTTACTGTATTAGTCTGTTCTTATGCTGCTATAAAGAACTGCCCAAGACTGGGTAATTTATAAAGAAAAGAGGTTTAATTGATTCACAGTTCTGCATGGCTAGGGAGGCCTCAGGAAACTTACAGTCATGGTGGAAGGTGAAGCGGGAACCTTCTTCACAAGTCGGCAGGAGGTAGGGAGTGCCAAGCAAAGGGGGAAGAGCCCCTTATAAAACCATCAGATCTCATGAGAACTCACTCACTATCATGAGAACAGCATGGAGGAAACTGCCCCCATGATCCAATCACTTTCCACTGGGTCCCTCTCACAACATGTAGGGATTATGGGAACTACAATTCAAGATGAGATTTGGGTGGGACACAGCCAAAGCATATCATTTGTCAACTAAAAATAAAAGGGGAAATTTAAACGGCGCCTAGAGCAGGCAGACAGGAGCCTTCTACACATGGTGCCAATTAGACAGAGTGTTTCTCCTTGTAAAAAGAAAGAGGAATTGGTGAAGGTGTGGGTCAGAAATGTTAATTAAATGAGACTTTCTTTCTACAAATGTGAATAGTTCATGTATTGCTATCTTCTAAGTAAAAGACAAAAGACAGGAAGGACTGACCTTTAACTTCCTTTACAGTGTCATATTCCTAAAGAAAACCCATGAAAGTGATATCACCAAAAACAGTGGAGTAGGAACACCAGGGCTTTTTCCCTCCACAAAAGCAATTCATGAGCTGGCAAAAACTGAAATAACTTTACACAATTCTGGAATCAACCAAAAACTTTCAACAACCAGCTGAAGACTGGGTGAAAAAATAAGCTGCTGCTTTGTGGTAAGAGAGTGTCCTAGCATGTTAAATTGCCCACTTGCCATCCCTCACATCTCATGTTGGCAGTAGCCATTCGTGTAGCAGCCCACACTCCTGGCACAGACTCCTAGTACCAGGTGGAGTAACTCAGAACTTGTTCTTAAAGAAATATGATTGCCCATTTTGTCCTGTGTAGTGGCCCCCTAAGGAACTGGCAAAGTGGCTTGCCTTTGTTTAGCCACCTCAGAGTGTTCTCAAGGATGAGTGGCTTTCTGGGTAACATTTGCCAAAAGCATTGAAGGCAAAAGTACTGGCCACAGCAGACTGGAGCAAGGTACAACACTTGGGCCAAGCAATAGACAGACTATAAAGAGAAATCTGAAGTAAGTTCAGAAAAGAGATGTAATGGAAAAAACAAATTGGCCTTCTTGGGCATATTTTATTATCAGGATTTATGGATTATCAGACTTTACTTAGTTGTAATCTAAAATGTGGTGGCCTCCCAATAAATGGTTGTTTAAATGATTGATTAGTGGATCCGTAGATGGATGGAATAAAAATGGTCTACATCCACTGTTTCTTATTTATTAAAAGTTAACTTTTTATCCTTTTCCATATTTTTGTGTTTAATTCATATTTCTATAATAAGACCATAAGACCCTCTTATACTACTTTTAGAATATTAAAACAATCAATAATAGCATTATACATATATATCATTTTTAAACTGTTATGATTTAAAAATCATATTATTTAAGTTATGAAAACATAACTTATTAAAGTTATGATTTCATACTGAAAATATTAATGTCACTGAAATAGTTTAATTATATCAGATTTTTCAGACATTTAAACATAAACTGAATTCACTTGGTATCAATCCAATGCAACTGTTTTTAAACAAACAATAAAACCACTTATGAAGACCTGTTCCTATTCTCCAGATTCCTTATATTCTATTAGACATTATTATCCAGATAGCTTGTTCTTTCTACCAAACTGGATATTGTCCTTTTTTTCAAGTTTTTAATTGATACATAATAATTGTATATATTTAGGGGGTATATAGTTTTATTTAGTTTTGTTTTTTGAGATGAGGTCTTGCTCTGTTGCCCAGGCTAGAGTGCAGTGTTACAATCATAGCTCACTGTAGCCTCAAACTCCTGGACTCAAGCTATCCGCATGCTTCAGCCTCCTAAGTAACTGGAACAACAGGCACATGCCACCATGCCTGGATAATTTATTTTTATTTTTATTTTTTCACAGAGTGGGTCTCACCATGTTGCCCAGGCTGGTCTCAAACTCCTGGCCTAAAGCAATCCTGTCACCTCAGCCTCCCAAAGTAATGGGATTACGAATGTGAGCCACTGCGCACAGCAGTACATAGTGATGTTGTGACACATGTAATGTATAGTGATCAAATCAGGGTAATTAGCATATCTATCATCTCCAAAATTTATCATTTCTTTGTGTTGGCAACATTCAATATCCTCCTAGCTATTTGAAACTATATAATATATTATTGTTAACTATTGTCATCCTACATCTATACAACACTATAACTTATTCCTCCTATCTAGCTATAATTTATATCCTTTAACAAGACTCTCTATTTCCTCCTTCTCCATGCCTTTCCCAGCCTCTAGTATTTTCTGTTTGACCTTTTACTTCTATGAGATCAAAACTTTTTTAGCTTCCATACTGAGTGAAGACATGCAGTATTTAACTTTCTGTTACTAGCTTATTTCACCTAACATAATGTCCTTTATTTCCATCCATGTTGCCATGAATGACAAAATTTCACTCTTTTTATGGTTGAATAGTGTTCCATCGTGTGTGTATGCATTCGTTCATCTGTTGTTGGACACCTAGGTTGATTTCATATCTTGGCTATTCCAAATAGTGCTGTAATAAACATGGAGTGCAGATGTCTCTTTGATATACTGATTTCCTTTCCTTTGGGTAAATGCCCAGAACTAGGATTTCTGGATCATATGGTAGTTCTATTTTTAGTTTTTTTGAGGAACCGCCATACTGTCCTGAAATCTTGGACCATGGCAGAGTGTCACATAGGATGAGTTCAAAGTTTTCATGTGGATTAAACTGGCATGTACTAGATTTTTGAAACACTCAAAGCAATCAGAATGCTGTGAATCTTCCCAAGATGTTGTAAAGGGTCAAAATAATGAGACTAGAAAGAAAACGCATCAAGGCAGGAATAAGGAAAGAAAAATTAAAACTACTCTAGTCCCTCATGCACACTCAGTTCAGACTGTTCAATAAACCAGTTTTATAAGTCTAAATATAAATGTATTTACTCTAGGAAAAATAGATTATTAGTATGATTATCCAATGAATTGCCATGTAGTACATCTCCTCTTTAGTATTTATCCCACTGGCAACCAGCTTATGATAGAATATAACAAATAAGCAAATAAACTGCCCCTAACCTAGCTATGTTGGCATTATCTTCATTTTTACTTTTAGAAGTCAAATCTAGTGTAGTTCAAATCACGTTTCTCACACCTCACTTTTTCCTCCCCCTCTCTTGGGACTTCAAATTCATCTTCAGGCTTCCCATTTTTATCTTCAAAGACAACCTGAACCCTTCAATCTCTTACCTTTGCTCTCCCCAGTACATGTTAACCTGCTGCACCTTTAAATGTGTTGCCTACTGTTAAATAAATGTAAGAAACATCCTACCACTCAAATTTACCTCCTTATAAGCTCTTCAGAAATCTTTCTTCTAATGGAAATGTTACTACTGTCCATTTTATCTCCTCCAAGTTTGACAATCAAACACATTACAAAATGCAAAAAGAAAAGGCAAAACTTGTACAGCTAGTAATTTGATCTTTTTCTAAATGTGTATATTACAAATTTTACATAAATACTTGCTTAATCAAATAATTTGCTTCCTGGGAAGTGACCTGGTCTTTTACTAGAGGGTTGTAAGTGGCAAAGGAGCCCATAATTGGGACAAGACACCAGGAAATACCAAACCAGGGCCATGTGCCAGGAATACGAGAGCAGCACTTACTCTAAGAGCACACAGACAGCCATAGATCTTGTCGTTGGGCAGAAATCTGAGAAGTGAAGGTACAGGTTTTTCTTAAGAGATTTCAATCATCTGAAGGGTTTTCCAAACAAAATTACATGGTGTACCTATAAATTTTCTAAATTCTCTGTCCCCATTCCCAGAAATGGGAGAGAAGTTGATGGGAAGGCAGAGAGAGAAACTGAACTCTCACTGCTACTATCAATTCTGTGCAGGCCTGAAACAATAAACTTGTCTCCCTAACAGTTCAGAAATCTAGTTGAAAAATGAGCACTTGTAAAGGGAAAGCACCCTGAAATGTTAGGAAGAACTTGCAGTTTTAGAGCCAGAAAGATGTGAATTCCAGTTCTGTCTCCATCCTTCCTTTGATATATGTTCCTTGGCAAGTTGTTAATTTCTCAGAGACTATAATATCTCCCTGGCAGGACTGTGGTAAATAATAAACAAAATACTCTCTGTAAAACATTTAGGTCTATGCCTGGCACACAATAGGTACTGGACAAATGGGGATATCTTGAGTGTCTCTGAATGACCTTTTGAGAGTTCCCCCCTCTGGGCCTAAGTTTTGTTATCTATAAAATGGGTATATTAATATCCCATCACTATGTTGTTACAGGTAATAAACTAGACAATCTGAATGCAATAACTAGTATGATAAAGAGTGTATAAAAGTATTAAGTAAACATCATTTATTTTCCTTGTTAAATCAATTTTTTCAAAATGGTTTTTGATTAATGTGAATTGAGTAGTGAAACTGGAGCTAATGACAGACCAAAAATTGTATAGGAGACAGGCAATTCATCCTCCGACAACTGGGTAACCAGGAGAAAAGACCCAACATTGCAGATCTTTGACACTTGGGAGTCTAAAGCTTACTTTTCTTCCCACAAAAGTTCCAACTAATGGAGAAGTCCTACAAAGAATGGATGGCCAAACAGGAATCACAGTGTCTGCTGTATTAATGGCTGGGCCAGCACCTAATAACTTCCAACACACAGGGCCCAACTGTCAACTGTGAGGAAGAATAAATTTTAAGCCTTGGGACAAAATAATGGTCCTGACTCCTCCCAAATCTTGGTCCAAACTATGGGGAATGCAGTCTGTAGAGCACACCAAATCCACTTACCCAGCCAGCTTCAAGGAAGACAGCATCCTGCCGCATGGGTGATCACCTGGAGAACATTGCAGCTAGAGAGTTGAACTAAGAGGCCAGAGATGGCCAGGCGCGGTGGCTCATAACCGTAATACCAGCACTTTGGGAGGCTGAGGCGGGCAGATCATGAGGTCAGGAGATCGAGACCGTCCTGGCTAACACGGTGAAACCCCATCTCTCCGAAAAATACAAAAAAATTAGCCGGGCGTGGTGGCGGGCGCCTGTAGTCCCAGCTACTCAGGATGCTGAGGCAGGAGAATAGCATGAACCCAAGAGGTGGAGCTTGCAGTGAGCCGAGATCACACCACTGCACTCCAGCCTGGGCAAGTGACAGAGGAGACTCCGTCTCAAAAAAAAAAAAAAAAGAGGCCAGAGATGTGAGCAGGCCCACGGCACCTCAGGTTAAAGAGAGGCAGGTACAGCGCCTCAGGTCAAAGAGAGGCAGGACAGAGCCAGTTTCCCCAGCAAAAGGCATATTGATCACACTCACTAGTAAAATTGCCTGATCAATTAGCTCCACCCCTCCTCCTCCCTGGGGAGAATTGAGCACTGAGGTAGAGAGGAGCAGAAGAGACTCAAACACTCTCCACTCCTGGGAAAAGAAAGCTTGAGGAGAAGATTCCTAGTTGCATAAGGAAGAGGATAAGTGTCCCCTCCTTCCCCTCCCCAGGTCAAAGCTAAAACAAAGGCCAGGCGCAGTGGCTCACACCTATAATCCCAGCACTTTGGGAGGCCGAGGAGGGCAGATCACCTGAGGTCAGGAGTTCGAGACCAGTCTGGTCAACATGGTGAAACCCCGTCTCTGCTAAAAACACAAAAATTAGCAGGGCATGGTGGCGCATGCCTCTAATCCCAGCTACTTGGGAGGCTGAGGCAGGATAATCACTTGAACCTGGGAGGCGGAGGTTGCAGTGAGCCGAGATCAGGCCAATGCACTCCAGCCTGGGCAGCAAAGCAAAGCAGTAATTTGGGAATTAGGCAGATTGAAGAGGGGTCACAAATAGCACCAGAACTAGAGGTTGATTGGGAAGCCACCAAGATGTTTAAGGAAGCTACTGCATGTAGCCAGAGGCAAGGAGATTGCCAGGAGGCTTTGACAGAAGAGCAGGTCAGGGTGGGCCTTCTGCCAAGGCAGGAAGCAGGTCCTTAATATGAGAAACCCAGAGTCTCAGGTAGATAGAGCAAATAAAAGTGTGCCACCAAAGAGGCTTATGAATACAAAATGGGGAAATTAGCACTAAACAAAGGGTCAAGATATCTGGGCAGTCATTGCAGCCATTCTGACTGTACTGCTAACTAGCCATTGACCTCTAAACGTATCATTTTTCATCTCTGGACATCAGTTCCCTCAAATATAAAAATAAGTATCTTCCTTCTCCAACAATAAATGATCATAGAAAAGGAGATGTGCATTGTTTGGTGATGCATTCAATCTGTCCTGTGTCACCTGGATGCAGAAGACATGGGAACTATTGTCTTCTCAACAATGACAATGGAGCACATATTGAACAGAGGATATCTGTTCAAACACCACCCCAAAGTCCCAGAAATGCTGGGTGTGTTCTGCAGCAGGATATGAAAAGTGAAATAAGAAACTTTAAACTATATAAGCAGGCTCGCCTTCTTTTTCATATTTTTCTAGGAAATCAGTGAAACAAGAGAACAGCTCCAAGGACAGAACTTGTATTTGAAAATAATGATAGATGATACATTCTGAACAATTACTTATATGATTTTTTTTCTCTGTCTTCGTTTTCTCTCTCCCAAGCCCACACTTATAAAATATTGCAGTAAAGAAAAGGTCTTCCACTACAAAAAGTGCTTCAGGAAAGAGAGGACATTGTCATTTTTTTCAGGCCCTAAAAATATTGTGTATTGTAGAACTCAGATCCTGGAAAGGAGATTCTAACTTATCTATAAAGCTGAAATCTCCTCTGAAGGAGATTATATACCGCAGGATAGAGCCATATCTTTTCCTTTCTCTGGTAGAGAAAGAAGGCTTCATATTTGAATCTCTAAATTGTACCATTCTGAAAATCCACAAATAAAGAAATGCTTAGGAAAAAAGTGGGCTCCTGCTGACTAATTCTGAAATTGTAAGATTGTTCTCATTTTCATTTCCAGCAACCAAAAGAAGGAACACTTCTGGCCACATTCTCTCTCTATTTAAAGGATATGTGGCCAGTCTATGGGAACACCATGGTGGTAACTATGTGATTCTGAGTACTATGACTAACATACTTCTGAAAGCACAGATTTTTGGGGGCTTTTAGAAGATCCTGACAACATTTTAATATTTTATGGAGATATTAAAAGGGATTTCTCTCTTTCTGTATCACTGTAAAAGGAAGAAACAATTTAAAGCAACCTGGCACTCTTAGGAGCATATAATTCTTGATGGCAGCTCTTGCCTCTGCAGTTGTTTATATTTCACAATGAGGATTATGTCATTACCCTACAGGTAGCCCCATCCAAATACAATCTTATTACTAAAAGATTCTAGAATTTAATGGCTATCCCACAATAGACTGCTTTTCAGACATCAGTAGGATTTTCCAAATATCAAGGATATAATTTGCTGCATTGAAGTTGAATGAACTGCAAATTTTATTTACAGGTTTTTCATATACAGATATTTCTTGCCTGATCAGAGACTGATGTAGAGCTTCTGAAGCTGCCCAAAATATATCCCATTTGATGTTTCCTAAAGTTCTTTTAAGAGAACCTGAGCTCTTCCTGTTCTCTATCATGGCGGATCAAGGTGAAAAGGAGAACCCCATGCAGAAACTTCACATCTGCAAGCTCTGCCTCAACATCTGTGTGGAGGAGAGTGGAGACAGACTAACCCGAGCAGCCAAGGCATTGGAGCAGCTCACAGGGCAGAGTCCTGTGTTTTCCAGAGCTAGATACAATCAGATCCTCTGGCATGCAGAGAAATGAAAAGATTGCTGTCCACTGCACAGTTCAAGGATCCAAGGCAGAAGAAATCCTGGAGAAGGATCTAAAGGTGCAGAAGTATGAGTTAAGAAAAAATAACTTCTCAGATACTAGAAACTTTGGTTTTGGGATCCAGGAACACATCGATTTGGGTATCATATATGACCCAAGCATTGGTATCTACGGCCTGGACTTCTCTGTGGTGCTGGGTAGGCCAGGTTTCAGCATCACAGACAAGAAGCACAGGACAGGCTGCACTGGGGCCAAACACAGACTCAGCAAAGAGGAGATGATGCGTTGCTTCCAGCATAAGTATGATGGGATCATCCTTCCTGACAAATAAACCCGTTTCCATCAAAAAGGCCAATAAAAAGTTTTTGGTGGAAAAAAAAGAGAACCAGAAAGCTCAGCCTTCCTTAGACTTTATTTGCTGGGCACAGAAAATCATGCGCAGCCTTGCCAACCTTCTAAGGAATCAGAGAAAGCCTCATCCCACTGACTCATGACATTTAGAAATAATCTGCCAATGTAGACCTGGTTTCCGGTTTGAGGCCTGAGTCCACTATCATGGTCTTGCATCTGCTGTATTGACTCAGACTATGTAACCACAGTTCAGCCTCGACTTCCCTACTAGAACCTTCAGTTCCTTACCTGGGGGTGATGAGAGGATGGGCAAAGGGGAGTGCTCCCTAGGTTCTCATTCTCCATCTGTCCACTGGGTCCTGTTGCAAGGGGGTAAACCCTGGGAATCCCATTGTCTTTGCCCTCCAGACTCCTGATGTTGCTCCCTAACACTGACCTGTTGATCATCCTCCCTAACAGGGATTAATTCTCATGGACAACTCCAAACTCCCACTTGAGGCAAGAGGCAAAATTGCTATAGATTAGTGCCTTTTGGAGATTTAATTACTAGTTTTTCCAGATATTTTCCTGAAGATGATAAAGAGTCAAAATAGCTGAGCAAGGTGGCTCATGCCTGCAATATCAGCACTTTGGGAGGCTGAGGTGGGAAGATCACTTGAGCCCAGGAAGTCAAGGCTGCAGTGAGCCATGATCACACCACTGCACTACAGCCTGGGCAATACAGCAGGACACTGTCTCAAAAACAAAAAACAAACAAACCAAAAAAAAAAAAAGAGTGGCAGAGTGGCTAAATAGATTGTTTTGCTTTAATTCTCCTTCTTGACAAAGTTCGTTGATGAGTGAATGACTGAAGTTAAAAGTTCACAGGGAAGCAAAAGGAAAAACGAATGAAGTAATCTGGGTAATCAACTGCTGAATAATTTAGAAAAGATATTACATGCTGACAAAATGGGAAGTCTGAGCATATCACTTGTTTGCCTTTTGCTGCAATTAAACTTGTGGTATAATGCCAAATCAAGTGTTGTAAGATTTGAGAATGATACATTTAATTCCATGTGCTTAAACCTTTCTTTTTTTTTTTTTTTTGAGACGGAGTCTTGCTCTGTCCACCCAGGCTGGAATGCAGTGGCACAATCTCAGCTCACTGGAACCTCTGCCTCCCAGGTTCAAGCAATTCTCCTGCCTCAGTCTCCCAAATAGCTGAGATTACAGGCACGCGCCACCATGCCCGGCTAATTTTTGTATTTTTTCCTAGAGATGTGGTTTCACCATGTTGGCCAAGGTGGTCTCAAACTCCTGACCTTGTGATCTGCCCACCTCGGCCTCCCAAAGTGCTGGGATTACAGGCATGAGCCACGGCACCCAGCCAAAATTTTTAAAAATATGAACGGAAGAATAAAGTTACCCATTCAATTAGATTTATCAAAGACATTATGCCTTCAAACTGAATAACAAAAAAATAATTGCACGTTATTTTATCATAATTTGAAATTAAAATGGACATCTATGCCAGAATACTAAATAGTACATTTGTTTCAATGTCATTACATTTTTTTGAATATTATTTTTGCAGAGTAAAAGGATAAGGCAAAGTGTAGTTATTTCAACTGTTATGGTGCCCTCCTCTCAGAGCCATGGCTATACAGGAAGTTATTATTCTATTCTCCCTATTTTGTGTGTGTTTAAAAATTTACATAATAAAGGAAAAAGTTTTTAAATTTCTTGTGAGACACAGATGAGTCAGACCTCTTCACTTTAATTCTCAACAGATGCAGCCTTCCATCTCTCTCTAAAAGCATTCAGTTTCCTGGAACATTTAACATCACCTTCAAAGAATGCTAAGAGCTCTGAACTGCTCTTTCTGTGTCTTATCCCCTCATTCTCTCTAACACCCTGCGTCTTCCACTGACAGCCTGGGATGGCAAACAGACTCTACAATCATCGTGTCTGTGGTCTCAGTTCAACTTTTTACCAGTCTATATGGCGAAATGGCTGCTTGCCACATCCAGCTGTAAGAAAAGGCAGGCCCTTCTCCATCGTTGTTTAGCCACTAGAGAAAAAAATGCAGAGATGGTGCTTGCAGGCTTAAAGGGGTTTCAGGGAAGTCTCTTTTATCAGCTGAGCTACACAATGATCCCACAAAAAGAGCCAGGTTTTATATCAACCTCTTCTTTTGATCTTCTGTGACCTAGAGACTCACATAACAATAGTGTGCTCTGGCCCCAGACTCTCCAGATTGAATGAACCCTTTCTTTTCTCTTAGTTCCCACTTTGTCTTACTTTTCTTTTTTAACAGCTTTATTGAGATATAATTTATATATCATACAATGCACCCATTTAAAGTGACTAATCCAATGGTTCCTAATATGTTCACAGAGTTGTGCAACCATCACCACAATCAAGTCACTGATTCCCTTCTACTTTGTAAGTATCTCCCTTTACATTATAAGAGATTCTCCCTTTGAATTATAAATCCCAGAGTGCACGATGCCCCCTCCCTGTGTCTATGCCTCCCCTATAGCATCTAGCTCCAGATGTCAATATCAGTCATTCTAGATGCTTGTAGTATTATCACTCCCCACTTCTGCCCTTGTTCTACCTCTCTATCCTATGTTCAAATTTATAGAAAAAAGACAAATGTAGGCAGAAGAAAAATAATGTAAATACCATCATCAAACTGCTAATCAAAAAACTCTCTTCTTCTAGCCATGTCCCAATTATTAAGGTTTTGTTCTAAAAATAAAAATTAAAAAAACACTAAACAATTTTGGCTAATATCGTAAAATATGTGTTTCTGCAATGAGGCTGATATGACAGATATCACAAACCAAATATCTTATGCAGCTGTACCAAGTAAGAGCCCTACCAGAACTTGTTTCTGACTCTTGGATCCCTCAGTCCAGTCAAGGACATAAAAGAGATTGGAGACACTGGTAGGTTGAGAATATGGTGACAAGATCTCTTTGGAGAGGGCTCTCCTCTCCTCATCTCTAATACTTTAGAGGATGGGTTAAGGTATGCTGCCTTCTATCGCCAAACCTAGTTGGGGAGTCTCAGGGAACCCCTGCAACAGCTTGGAAATGTGCTCCCTGCTATTGGAGACATGAAAGACTGGTGCCTGACTTGGCCTGATGAAGCTCAAGTGGTCTGGGGACTAGGAAGTCTGGAAGCTCATTAACTGCTTGGATGGAGAAGCCAAGAGACCACTACGGCATCAGGACCGAGCCGAATGATGCTTTGTGTTTCACAACAGGTGTGTGTCAGGAAGGAGAGAGTGTCAGGGAGAGGTTATCCTCCTTCGCAGTCAACAGGACTATTTACAGGAAGGAAGAGCAGAAAGAGGCTGAGGTGTGTGGTGGATGCCCAGGAAGCAATCCATCTAAGTCCAGGGAGCTGCATAAGAGAAGCACCCAAGAGAGAAGCGTCGGCTTCATCATCTCCAGACCCACCCTGGAGCATCAGCTTTAACCATCCATATGTCCAGAGAAGCCGAAGCTTCCTAGCCAAGCAGTGCCCTCCCCTATACCTCTGCTCTCTCCTACCCTTAACACTGGCAGTTCCAAAATAGCAGTTTCTGAGATAGGAAGGAGGTGAGATGAGAGAGAGCCAGGAACTCACCCTGTCCCTACAGCAGGGAGCAGCCTGGAGCAGGTACAATCTGGGAAACAGGAGAAGAGGCGACCAAGGTCAGATCTTTGTTATCCCATGGTCAGGACATTCTAATTACTGAATTGTGAGTGTGTTCATGTCCTAAAGTGACTATAGGATTGTCACATGAGACTGAGTAGAGAGACTGTGGGACTGGATGAGTCTCAAGATGGACAACCGGGACGTTGCAGGAAAGGCTAACCGGTGGTTTGGGGTTTCTCCCCCTAAATCTGGAAAAATGAACATGAACATCCTTCACCAGGAACAGCTCATCGCTCAGAAGAAAGGGGAAATTGGATCCAAAATGCAACAGAAAGCCAAGCAGAATGAGGTGGCCAGCCCACAGCCCCCATATCCCGGCGAAATCACAAATGCACACAACTCTTCCTCCGTTTCAAACAAGTTTGCCAACGACGGTAGCTTCTTGCAGCAGTTTCTGAAGTTGCAGATGGCACAGACGAGCACAGATGCCCCTCACCCCCAACGCCAGGGCGCCCAGTGCCCCTCCCGGCACGCCTACCTCCTGCGCCGGGAAGAGGTCCCTCCTCATCAGCAGGCGGATAGGCCTAGGGCTGGCCAACCCGCCAGGCCGGTGAAGAGCTACTCTACTCGCACGCCAAGCAGCTGCCTGTGGCGCACCGCCCGAGTGTCTTCCAGTCCCACGACGAGGGTGAGGAGGAGGACTAGAAGCAGTGGCTGGAGATCAAAGTTTCACCCCCAGAGGGAGTCGAGACTCGGAAAGTGATAGAGAAATTGGCCCCTTTGTGGCAGAAGCAGGCCCCGAGTTAGAAAAAGTGATTACGGAGGACTACAAGGATAACCTGGCGTTTCCATTTTTGCACGGTAAGAATAGCAGGCAATTCCTCTACCACAGAAAGGAAGTGGCTGAGATAAGAAAGGAAGAGCAGAAGTCGCAGGCAGCCTCTCAGAAAGTTTCACCCCCAGAGGACGAAGAGGTCAAGAACCTTGCAGAAAAGTTGGCCGAGTTCATAGCGCGCGGGGATCCCGAGATGGAAACCATCGCCCTCCAGAAAAACCGCGAAAACCAGGCGTTCAGCTTTCTGTACGAGCCAGCCCAACAGCCAAGCGTCCAACTGCTACTGACAGAAGCTGGAGGAGTTCCAGAAAGCCAAGGCCGGCTCCACAGGCACCCGACCCCGGCCTGAAGCGCAGGTCTCCTCCTGAGGCCCGACAACCACCTGCCCCGCCTCGTCCTCGCCTGTGTCCCCCCCGTCATCCCCGCTCCAGGCGCCCCCGGGGAGCCAGCCTCCGCAGCCACCGTCAAGAGGAAGCCGAAGAGCCGGTGGAGGCCTGAAGAGAACAAAGTAGAGCTCTCACCTGCTGAGCTGGTGCAGAGGGACGTGGATGCCTCTCCCTCACCTCTGTCAGTTCAGGACCTCAAGGGGCTCGGCTATGAGAACGGGAAGTCCGTGGGTCTAGCGGGCCTCACGGAGCTATCGTGCTCCCAGAAGCAGCAGCTGAAGGACCAGCAGGAGATGCATCAGATGTACGACATGATCATGCAGCACAAGTGGGCCATGCAGGATATGCAGCTGCTGTGGGAGAAGGCGGTGCAGCAGCACCAGCACGGCTACCACAGCGACGAGGAGGTGAGCAGCGAGCTGCGCACCTGGGAGCACCAGCTGCAGCGCATGGAGATGAACAAGACGAGGGAATGGGCCGAGCAGCTGACGAAGATGAGCCGAGGCAAGCACTTCATCGGAGACTTCCTACCTCCAGACAAGCTGGAGAAGTTTATGGAGACTTTCAAGGCCCTGAAGGAGGGTCGCGAGCCTGACTACTCGGAGTACAAGGAGTTCAAGCTCACCGAGGAGAACGTGCTGATGAAGATGGGCTGGAAGGAGGGTGAGGGCCTCAGCGAGCCAGGGCATCAAGAACCCGGTCAACAAGGGCACCACCGCAGTGGCTGGTGCCGGCTTCGGCATTGACCCGCCAGCCGCTGTCTCCAAGGAAGACGGCGAGAACTAGGCCTTCCTCAAGAGGATGATGCCGGCCTACCGCTTCCGGCCCAACCCCCCGGAACAACCCCAGACGGTCTTACTACTGAGTGTTCTGGAAACACGTACTTTCTGAATGACCAACCGTCCCTGGACTGTAGCATGTTCCGACCTGTATTTCTGCCCACCCCTCCCGTTGTCACGAGTGCCGTGCTGTGTCATAAAGTCCCAGTGCTCATCCAAAAAAAAAAAAAAAATAGAATGAGTAGAGAAATCATGGGACTTCTAGAGTTTTCCTCCAGGGAGAGGAAATTATCATCACCAAATGAAGTTTAAACACACAGTGGTAAGATTATTTTTATTTAAGCTGTGTGGTTATCACCACACTTGTTCAGCATACCAGTTGTATAGATATTGTAAGAATGATTACATGTTTTCAGTCTTCTTAATGATAAATATCACTGTGTTGGACATTTATTATGTACAAGGCAGTATGGTAAACACATATTGTACCAATCAACATCCCAGAAAAAAAAAAAAAAAAACAAGGAGACATGGTTAAATTGGGATTTTCTTAAGAAAGTTTAATAAAGGGATTATTTGCAAAGATGTGGCAGGTTGTAGAGATGATGCTCTGCCCTGGAGCTAGTAATGGCAGGGCTGTTACCTGTCCTTAAGCCTGAAGGGAAGAGGGTAGGGAGTAGTTTTCCAGAACACAGAAGGAGAGTCTCCTAGAAAGCTTCTGGGGAGGAATAGTGACAGCCTAAGGCAATGCTGCAGGGCAAGCATTCAGAATAAATCCCCAGCCTCACTCTCAGCCCTCCCTCTCATCTTCTGTCTGGGCACCCTATTGGCTAAACCAAAAAAAAAAAAGCAAAGGACAAGGGAGCCTCTAGTGGTCCATGCAGGTCAGCCTCCTTGGGAGGGAGACCAAGGAGTAGCAGGTGGACAGTGGATCTGAAGGAAAAAATGACAATATCTAGTATAAATACATATCATTTAATTTGCACAAGAACACTCATTATTCACATTCTGCAGATGAGGAAATTGAGGTCTAGAGACTAAGTAACTAGTTCAAGGTCAGATAGTTAAGTTAAGGAGTCAAATTAGCATCTAGCTCTCTCCAGAGCCTATATTCAAAATCATTGGTGTACTTTCAATGTCTTATCCTCTAAACATAGAGTCTTTATAAATATTACTATTTTAACTGTCAGTTAAATCATGTTTGCACTGATGTGGTGACCAAGGAAATATTGGCCACAGAACAGAATAGCTAGCAAGTCTTTGGAACAACATAGTTGTTTAGCTGGGCTTTTTTTTTTTTTTTTTTTTTTTTTTTTGAGACGGAGTCTCACTCTGTCGCCCAGGCCGGACTGCGTACTGCAGTGGCGCAATCTCGGCTCACTGCAAGCTCCGCTTCCCGGGTTCACGCCATTCTCCTGCCTCAGCCTCCCGAGTAGCTGGGACTACAGGCGCCCGCCACCACGCCCGGCTAATTTTTTGTATTTTTAGTAGAGACGGGGTTTCACCTTGTTAGCCAGGATGGTCTCGATCTCCTGACCTCATGATCCACCCGCCTCGGCCTCCCAAAGTGCTGGGATTACAGGCGTGAGCCACCGCGCCCGGCCTTTTTTTAATTTTTAACCAAAGTGCTCAAATCTGGGAAAAATCTCACAGATGAACTGGAAAGGGAGAGTGATCATTAGAACCTAATTTAGGAATAAATCCTTGGAATTTTTCAATCTTTCTTTGGTAAATGTTTCTTATGTGCTCCCCCATCTGACAAAGCCTATAGATGTAGATTGAGCATTATTTTTCTTTAGAAAGAAAGCACTTTAAACTTCCAGGTGCTGGAATTAGATATGCTGGATATCACATCAAACCAGATGGCAGCAAAGGTGGCATGATCAGCACAAATGTAAAACATGCAGTTTAATTCTTACAAAAAAAATCCTTCCTGCCAGGTGATTCAAAACCAGCCATGACATGAAACTTTTTTTTTTTTTGAGAAGACAGAGTTCCTTTAATCAGGGAATCAATATCCATAATTTTCATTCAAAATGGTATTATGTTAAAGCAGGTTTTAATTCAAAAACTCTTCTGTATACTTATTTATATGTACATGTTTTTATACTAAGTAAAATTTTTCCTCATATTTTTATAATGCTACACACACAAACTACATGTGCTGTACATTTAAATTTTTACATACATAAATTTATTATAACATAAAAAGTAAAAGTGATGAATATTGTTTAAAACAACTAATATACTATTTTTAATTTGGGGGTTACATAGAGTCTCAAATATTTAATTGTGATTTTAAAAGATCTAGTAAAGACTTCTAAAGCTAAAACACAATTTGAATTTAAAAAAGAATGATTATTCTTACACAATTATAAATATTTGCAGTAAATATTTTCATCACAATGCTGTTTTGACCCCATTTTTCAAGTATTAGAATATATTCCTTTGATCAAGTGAAGAAAACTGAATCATTATAAATGACTAGCTGAAAGTAAATCCTGTTCTTGTGTTTATTTAGCAGATTAAAGATTTGTCCTAGGGAAGATGGCTGGCTTCAGTTCCAAACATAAAAGTCAGGTGTGTGCACACCAACACATATGTACTTATACTGTAGCTCCACAGCCCTGAAATGTTATTGCCAGATGTTTTTCTATGCATTTTTAGTGATACATTGATTTCCTTAAAAGAATAATTTGGTATCATCCAGGTGTGCCAATAAGATTAAGACACTGCTGTTCTAGAAGGAGGCCAACAGTATTTCTTTAATGTAGCTCTTACATGGAAGCAAACATTAGGCATGCAAAAGAACAATCTCTACCTCCTCCCCACTTTATCACACCTAGGTGTCCTAGTTCTGGAAGTCAGAATTCTGAAATGGATCTATGAGGCTAAAACCCAAATGTCAGCAGAGCTGTGTTTCTTCTTGTTATTTTAGGGGAGTAAATCTATTTCAATGTTTTTTTCCAGTTTTTCTGTATTCCTTGGCTCAAGGCCTCTTCCTTGAGCCCCTCTGCCTTCTTTCTCTGTTGTCACATCACCTTCTCTGTCTGTGATACTTCCACTTCCCTCTTACAAAGACCCTTGTGATTACATTGGGTTTGGCTCATCCAGATAATCCAGAATAACCTCCTTATCTCAAGAGTTTCAACTTAATCACACCTGCAAAGTCTTCTCTTGCCACCTAAGGAAATATATTCCCAGGCTTGAGGGATTAAGATTTGGACATCTTTGGTGGGCCATTATTGTGTCTACCACGGGGTAAATTTAAAAAGTATTTGGGAGGATTCGTTAATTTATGAAGATGGTGTGGGATGAGTGAGGGAGACAGTAAATTCTCCCAGGTATATAATTTACTTAATTTTAAGAATAGTGGTGGTCATCCACTAAGGTGAAGCATATTAGAAAAAAATCATTCAGCTGTGAAGATTATAATGTTGGGGCATGTAAACTGTATGTGACAACTACAAAACATTTAAGATTACATATGTGGCTTCTGTTTTGTGGCTCATATTAGATTTCTGCTGGTCAGAGCTACTATAAAAAGTCCTATTTCAAATACACTTGGCCTGTGAAAATTCAAAGCCTCTTCATGAACTCTTCGAATTCCCAAATATTACATAATCATGGGACTTTCTCCAAATATCTGCTCTATACACAACATAAAATTTGTGCTCTGTATTAGCCCAAATCTCTCTATTTTGCTCTATATTAGCACAACATAAAATTCAGAACCTTTATCCATTATTTAAAGAAAAAGATATGTATGTGTAGAAACATTATTGGCGATATCTGAGTCATAGAATCACACCATAAGATCTGCCTTCTCTTTTGCTACCCATTTTTCTCCCTTAATTCTTTGTTCATTCTTTCTTCTTTCTTTTCAGAAACAAAACAATTTCTCTCTTTTTCTCCTGCTTAGTAGTTCAGTAAGCGTCTTATTTTGTTGGAGCATGCTTTTGAGATTTGTCTCTCTTCCTGCAATCAGGCAGTTTTCTCCTAAGATAAGGTCTAGTGAATAAAATTTTCTTCATCTTTTACACTTGCAATCAAAGATGTAAGTCACTGGAGTGATTTCTTAGTGTACTCACAGCTCTGATTTTAGTGAGAGGTGTAGAGTCACATCTATTTACTCCTCTCTGCTATTACAAAATGTGGTAACCCCTAGTGGGACTTTGGGGAGCACAGTGTAAAAACCATTGTTCTGTTCTCCTGGCTCCAGAGACACCCTACTATCCTAATTTTTCATTTCTGACAAGTCCTCCTCAGTGAAGGTTGAAGGCTTCTCAACTTCCAAATATCTCTAAAATGCTGGCTTCCTGTTGCTCTCCTCAATCTTCCTTGTGTGTTTTCATCCAACAGTGTTTCAACTCTGCTCCCTAAAGGCTACATTCATTCAACAGTGTTTCAACTCTGCTCTCTAAAGTCTACCTCCATTCAAATGTAAACCTCCAACACAATTCCCATAAAGGCTTAAGGTTCAAATAGCAGCACACTTGCTAGGTATTTCCTGTTGGCTTGAGTTTCCACAGGCACCTCAACTTCTTAATAAAGACAATTTCAGAAGAGCATCTCAGTTTTGAACCTGGCATGCCAATCCTGGGGTCTGACTTGAGTGCTGAAATTGCCTTATCTGGTTTAGATGCAGTGTTACTGAATTGATTACCGAGTCTGGGAAATCCCGTGAAGTCCCACTGCAAGCTGGAGACCCAGGAAAGCCAGCAGTGTAGTTCAAAGGCCTGAGAACGAGAGCTAATACTGTACATTCTAGTCTGAGTCTGGAGGAGCACTGAAGCAGAAGATTTATGTCTCAACTCCAGCAGTCAGGCAGAGAGATTGGATACTAAACTTATACTGAATTATAATGTAGCATATTTATATCTATTTTTTTAATTCCTCCAGGCATCAATTAACTTGTGTCCTGGAGAAAAATTACAGTGAAAACCACAGGATACCCTTCAGTAACACATAAAAAAAATTAATGGGTTTAAAACAGTACAAATAACCTAGATTTCAAGATCTAGAGAAAACAAGTAATTTGCATACATGTGGTTCCTTGCAAGCAAAAATTGAGACAATTAAGAAAAATAACTGAATATGAAAAAATTAAGTTCTACACAGCTACAATCTAATTTCCAACAGTATATCAAAGGAATAATTAAGACATGCTTCTTATTTTTAGAAATGTTTTAAAGGGTAAGCTCATCTGGGGCTCATAAGAACATTTTCTTAATTTTTAATGAAACAAATACAAATATCTAAACACTGAAGAACATTGTGCCAAAGGCTTGAGTTTGCAGTATTAGTAAAAATTTGTGCATACCCTTCTAAGCAACAAGAAAAGACATTGCACATTATTACAGAGTGCCTGTCTTCCAATCTGCTTAAAAGGCTTCTCAGACCTTACAAAGTGTTGGCTTTTAAGTGCATAAAACTTGGAGAGGGGCTTGAAATCACAGACAGATAAGAATAAATTTCCTAAAGATGGATTTATCCATGTCTCCTATTTCATAAATTTGACCAGTCAGAGATTCACCTGGCCAGTGGCCAGCTGTTCCAGCCATCCACGATGAGGCTCCAGGCATGCAAGGGAAGAAGCCATCTTGAATGTCCAGTGAAAATTGCTGAGATAAGCACAATCAGTGTACAGAACTGTGAAACAGTAATTAAATGTTTTGATTCACCACACTTTTTGCTAGTTTGTTACATAGCAGTAGATAACTGAAACACTGTATATAGCCTATCTTTGGAAGAGTATATACAACTTTCAATCCCATCTAATTATTCTTTACCAACAACCATGAAAGATATAGTTTGAGGGAACATATTTGGAAAGATTTAAATAAGGCATGACATTTCTCCATTCAACATTTAAAGAATTTGAAAGATAGCCTACTGACAAGTTATCAGTTGGCCCAACAGGACACCCAAATGAATTAGATGGGCAAAAAGTCAACATGTACATTCCTCTTAATATTTATGATAATAAGGTAACTGAAGATGCTTCCTTCGACAAAATCATAAGGAACCATCAGATCTCCAACTGAGAAATATTGATCGGTAATTGGAGTTTGGCTCCATCAAACCTAGTACAAAAAGCAAACAAGATCTGCTGATCAAATTCACCTCTCCAAAATAGAAGCTGTTTTTTATATGAAAAGAGATCCAGTTAATTATCTCATCTTCTAGCCAAGTAGTTGACAGGGAAACCACTGGGCTGATGGTCTGATTTTGGTCTTGTTGTATTTGCTAGTGAAAAGAGTTCATTAAGTGGATGGGAATTTTGAGTTACCTCAACAACTATCATTGCTCAGCAAAAAAAATGAATTAGAATATTACCTAACATCAATTCTAAAGAAGCCACTCTGTAAAACCATAGGATCTTACTTCTGTAACTGTTTCTTCTGTGGCTTAGTTCTGGTGTTTGGGGAGTAGGAAGGATAACTCTTAAAGATCCCCCCAAGAATGGTGTTACATAAGTGTTTAAGGAGCTGTGAACTTTCAGTGCTGCACAGAAAACTGAAGAAGTACCCAATTATTTTTAAAATTGGAGGGTTGTCAGTGGGATTAGTACTATTAGTGCTCAACATCACTAATTTCTGTTGTCTCCTCAAGGACTCAGTTTTAGAAAGGCATGCAAAAATAACTAATTTGGATTCCTTGACCATGGTAGGGGTTCTCTATGCATGAAATCCTTAATTTGTAGAATTATAGGGATGTTTGGGGTCTGTTATATTTAGTAGGCTATTATTTGCCTTGTAGGCTAGCATGGATTTTTTAGTAACAAACTAACATTTTCAAATAATGTGAGATTTAACTAAGGAAAGTGAGTGTATTCCAACTAACTTGAATGTTACACTGGTTTCATCACACTGAAGTATTTCATTACATACTGACCTGTCAGAAGTAACAGTATGCAGAGAATTTACAAAATTTATACCATTAAATTTAAGACATTTCTGTTTTACTTTCAACCAAGAGCCCTAAGGACTAAAGCATCATCTGATATTAATTTTCTATTGGTTTCAGAATCTGCCACAGAAATGATAGGTTAAAACACTGGGAAAACATCATAGGCCAGCACAGTTAGGCTCACTATCAAGGCTCTACTTCATTTATTTGAGATAAACATGACAATGTATTTTTCCTCTGTCTTTTCTATGCAAAAGGAAATCAATTTTCTTTACAAAATTGGGAATGTGCTGTACCAAAATAAAAGATGTAAGTATATATGGAAATTGAGTATGTAACACCAAGATGGCATTTCAAACTAATGAAGGAAATGGACAGTTATTTTCTTTTTCTTTTTTCTTTTTAATGTTTTTAATTGACAAAAATGTATGTATTTGTGATATACATAATGTTTTGATATATGTATACATTGTAGAATGGTTAAATCAAGCTAATTAGATTTGTTCTTTAAATGGTTGTTTCAAACAGCTAGCTGTTAAGAAAAAAAAAAGCAAAGCTAGACCTACCACTCAATAAATTCTAGACAAATTAAATATTTAAATATTAAATTATGAAATTTAAAAAGACTCAAGGAAAATACGGAAGACTTTTTTTTTATTTAATTTTTCATAGGGGAGGAAGATGGCTGAACAGAAGCTCCCACCAATTGTCCTCCCAACAGGAACACCAAATTGAACAACTATCCACACAAAAAAAAGCATCTTCATGAGAAGCAAAATCAGGTGAGCAATCACAGTATCTGGTTCTAACTTCATATTACTGAAAGAGGCATTGACGAGGGTAGGAAAGACAGTCTTGAATCACCAGTGCCACCCCTCTTCCATCCCTCAGGAGTTGCCTCCTTGTACAAGAGAGAATCTGTGTGCTTGGGGGAGAGAGAGTGCAGTGATTGTGCGACTTTGCATTGGAACTCAGCACTGCCCTATCACTGTGGAAAGCAACACTGTGCAGAACTCAGTTGGCACTCACAGAGGGAACATTTAGACCAGCCCATGCCAGAGGGGAATTACCCATCCCAGAGGTTGAAACCTGTGTTCCATTCCTGGGCAAATGCTAATGTTATGCTGGGCTTGCAGCCGTTAAACTTAGGGGCACGTGACCTAGTGAGCCACCAGCCAGACTAGCCAAGGAAGTGCTTGCACCACCTCTCCCCCAACCCTAGCCAGCACACCTCGCAGCTCCAGGAGGAGATCCTTCCTTGCACTTGAGAACAGGAGAGGGAAGAGTACAGAGGACTTTACCTTGCAACTTGGGTACCTGTGCAGCCTCAGTAGGATAGGGCACCAGGCAGAGTCCCAAGGCCCCCATCCTAGGCCCTAGCTCCCAGACATTTCTAGACACATCCTGGGCCAGAAGGGAATCCACTGCCTTGAAGGGAAGGATCTAGTCTTTGCAGGTTTCATTTCCTGCTGACTACAGAGCCCTTGGTCAAAGCAAATGCAACAAAACCAAAAATAAATAAATGGAACCTAATTAAACTAAAAAGTTTTGCACAGCAAAAGAAATAATCAGCAGAGTAAACAGACAACCCAGAGTGGGAGAAAATATTCACAAACTATGCATCTGACAAAGGACTAATATCCAGAATCTACATAGAACTCAAACAAATCAGCAAGAAATAAACAAATAATCTCATCAAAAAGTGGGCAAAGGACATAAATAGACAATTCTCGAAATAAAATACACCAACAGCCAACAAACATATGGGAAAAAATGCTCAACATCACTAATTATAAGGGAAATGCAAATTAAAACCACAATGCAGTATCACCATATTCCTGCAAGAATGGTCATAATTTAAAAATCAAGAAATAATAGATGTTGGTGTGGATGTGGTAAAAAGGAAACACTTTTACACTGCTAGTGGGAATGTAAACTAGTACAACCACTATGGAAACTATGGTGATAAAGAACTAAAAATAGAGCTACCAATCATCCAGCAATCCCACTACTGAGTACCCAGAGGAAAATGATTACATGAAAAAGACACTGCACTTACCTGTTTATAGCAGCACAATTCACACTTATAAAAATATGGAACCAACTTAAATGCCCATCAACCAACGAGTGGATAAAGAAAATGTGGTACATATACACCTTGGGATACTATTCAGCCATAAAACTGAATGAAATAATAGCCTTTGTAGCAACCTGGATGGAGCTGGAGGCCATTTTCTAACTGAAGTAACTCAGGAATGGAAAACCAAATATCATATGTTCTAACTTATAAGTGGAAGCTAAGCTATGAGAATGCAAAGGCATAAGAATGATATAATGGACTTTAGGGACTCGGGGAGAAGGGTTGGGGTTGGTGAGGCATAAAAAACTACATATTGGCTACAGTGTACACTATTTGGATGACAGGTACACCAAAATCTCAGAAATCACCACTAAAGAACTTATCCTAAGATAAGATACTATAACTAAAAACCACCTATATGCCCAAAACTTGAAAGTTTTAAAAAAGAGCCCTTGGTCACTGAATAATCAGCAATGGTAGGCAGTAATCATCATGGGCTGGAGTAAGACTCAAAGATGTGCTGGCTTCAGGTGTGACCCAGCACATTCCCAGCTGCGGTGGCTCAGGGAGAGACTCTTTTTGCTTTCGGAAAGAAACAGTAAGAGTGAAGGAAACTTTGTCTTGAGCTTAGGTACCAGCTTGGCCACAGTGAGGTAGAACAACAAGCAGCCTCTTGGGGCTCCCAATTCTAAGCTGTGACTCTTGGACAAGATTTCTGGACCTGCCCTGGGACAGAGGGGAGCACAATCCCCTTGAAGGGAGAGACACAGGCCTGGCAGCATTGACCGCAAGCTGACAGAAGAACCCTTGGGCCATGAGTGAACCATCAGCAATAGCCAGGGAGTACTCACCACAGGACTGGGGTGGTGATGGCCATGGAGAGAGATTCCTCTGGTTATGGAAAGGGGAGGGAAGAGTGAGAAGAACTTTGTCTTGCAGTATGGGTGCCAGCACAGCTTCAGTAGAAGAGAGCACCAGGTAGATTCCTAAGGTTTCCAACTCCAGGCCCTTGTCACAGACGTCATCACTGGACCTGCCCAGAGATAGGGGGAGCTTGCTGTCCTGAATGGAAGCACGCAAGCCTGGCTAGATTTGCCACCTACTGGTTGTAGAGTCTTAGGGCTTTTAGCAAACATAGGCAGTAGCCAGGCAGTGGATACCATGGGCACTGGGCAAGACCCACTGCTTTGCTGGTTTCACATCTGACCCAGTTCAGTCCCAATTGTGGTGGCTACAGTTGTGCTTGTGTCACCCCTCCTCCAGCTCCAGACAGCTTAGCACAGGAAAGAGATTCTGTTTGTTTAGGAGAAAGTAAGGGAAGAGAAGAGTCTCTGCCTGGTAAATCAGAGAATTCATCCAGATCTTATCCAAGACCACCAAGGCTCTTCCTCTAAAAGTCTGCAAGAGCTACAGTATTACTGGGCTTGGGGTGCCCCCTAATGCAGATATGGCTGTAGTGACCAAAAACTTAGATCATAACACCCAAATCCCTTCAAATACCTGGAAAGCCTTCCAAAGAATGACAGGTACAAACAAGGCCAGACTGTGAAGACTACAATAAATACCTAATTTTCAATTCCAAGAAACTGGTGAATATTCACGAGCATGAAGGCCATCCAGGAAAACATGACCTCACCAAACATAAGTCACCGGGGATCGATCATGGAAAGACAGAGATATGTGCCTTTCAGACAAAGAACTCAAAATAGCTGTTTTGAGAAACCTCAGTGAAATTCAAGATAACACAAAGAAGAAATTCACAATCCTATCAGATAAATTTAACAAAGAGATTGGAATAAATTAAAATAATCAAGCAGAAATTTCATAATTGAAAAGTGCAATTGACATACTGAAGAATGCATCAGAGTCTCTTAACAACAGAATTGATCAAGCAGAACTAGTGAGCTTGAAGACAGACTATTTGAAAATGCAGTCAGAGAAGACAAAAGAAAAAAGAATAAAAAACAATGAAGCACACCTATAAGATCTGGCAAATAGCCTTAAAAAGGGCAAAGATAAGAGTTATTGGCCTTAAAAAGAAGGTAGAGAAAGAGATAGGGGTAGAAAGCTGATTCAAAGGGTTAACAACAAGACTTCCCAAACCTAGAGAAAGATATTAATATTCAAGTACAAGGAGGTTATAGAACACCAAGCAGAGTCAACCTAAATAAGACTACCTCAAGGCATCATATAATCAAACTCTCAAAAGTCAAGGATAAAGAAAGGATGCTAAAAGCAGCAAGAGAAAAGAAACAACAAACAATGGAGCCCCAGTACATCTGGCAGCCGACTTTTCGGTGGAACCTTTACAGGCCGAGAGAAGGTGAGTGGAATGACATATTTAAAGTGCTGAAGGAAAACACTTTTATCCTAGAATAGTATATCCAGTGAAAATCTCCTTCCTTCAAACATGAAGGAGAAATAAAGACTTTCCCTGACAAACAAAAGCTTAAGGATTTAATCATCAGACCTGTCCCACAAGAAATCTTAAAGGGGGGCCGGGCGTGGTGGCAGGTGCTTGTAGTCCCAGCTACTCAGGAGGCTGAGGCAGGAGAATGGCATGAACCCGGGAGGCGGAGCTTGCAGTGAGCCCAGATCGCGCCACTGCACTCCAGCCTGGGCGACAGAGCGAAACTCTGTCTCAAAAAAAAAAAAAAAAAAAAAGAAAGAAAGAAATCTTAAAGGGAGTTCTTCAATCTGAAAGAAAAGGACGTTAATGGCAATAGGAAATCATCAAAAGATAGAAAAGTCACTGGTAATATTAAGCACACAGAAAAACACTAATGTTATAACACTAATTGCAGTGTATAAACTACTAATATCTTGGATAGAAAGACTAAAAGATAAACTGATCAAAATAATAACTACAACAGCTTCAACTTTTCAATACATGGACAGTATAATAAGATATGAATAGAAATAATAAAAAGTTAAAAAGCTGCGGGACAAAGTTGAAGTGTAGAGTTTTTACTTATTAGTTTTCTCCTTGCTTGTTTGCAGGTTTGCTTGTTTGTTTTTGCAGTTTTCAGTTGTTATCAGTTTAAAATAATGAGTTGCAGATTATTATTTGCCAGCCACAGGGTAACCTCAAATAGAAACATACAACAAATATACAAAAAAGGGCAAGAAATTAAAATATGCCACCTGAGAAAATCACCTTCACTGAAAGGAAGACAGGAAGGAAAGAAGGAAGAGAAGACCACAAAACAACCAGAAAACAAATTTTAAAAGGCAAGTATACATCCTTACTTATCAATAATAAGATTGAATATAACTAAACTAAACTCTCCAATAAAAAGACATAGAGTGGGCACCGGTGGGAGGTAGGCGCGGGGCTCGGAGTGCGGCAGGCGGGCGGACCGGCGGAGGCAGTATCGCACCGGCGGCGACGGAGGGCTCAGGGGTAGTCGGTTGGGTGGGGGCCCGCTGAACTGACAAGCGGCATTTCAGCTCCTTTCTTCCACCAGTCGGAACCCCAGAGCAGGGACCCGCCCAGCCGGTGTCACCATGACCAAGGCAGTAGCAAGGGGGGGAACCTCCGCGACAAGCTGGACTGCAACGAACTGGACCTGTGTCTCAGCGACCTGAATGAAGTCCCAGTGAAGGAGCTGGCTGCCCTTCCAGAGGCCACCATCCTGTGGAGTCCTGCCCAACTTATGTGGCTTCCATAAAATGGCAACAGTCCAGGCTCCTTGCCTCAATTTTAGAGTATTAACTCCCTAATTGCTAGTAAGCAAGGAGGTGGATCTCTGCAAACCTACACTGTCTATGACTGCTGTAGTTGTACTTGGTGTGACTAAATACCTCAAAGGCAACCTGTTTTTGCGGGTTTTGAAGTGTCAGCTTCATAAGACACTGAGGTTTAGAATTGTTTGATTCTAGACCATAACTGAAGGGAATAAATGGAAACAGAGGAAATGAAGGGAAACAAGTAGCTTCACGGACCTGAAAAGTGGTGTATCACCCAATGACTAGCACAAACAAGGATCGCACTATCCATTCTCTTGTCTGCTAGATTAAGCATTGTCTTGCCTCCTTTGCTTCATCTTTTCACAACAGCTGGATGGAGGGATCAGAAATGACTGTGTCATGGTGCTCATTCACTGAAAACTCCCAGTTGCAAGCTCCTTGCCTCCCCCGGAGGGAGCAAGAACCTGTCATAGTTCAGAGACAGAGAGGGCAGGGTCCAGCCTTTTAGCCCTAGTGACCTGTTTGGATGGGACTGACACTCATGACTGTCCTGATATTGGAAGAAAGGACTTTGTTAATCTTCTCCCCTATAGCTCTGCTGTGTAGGTCTACACCTTACTCAGAATCACTACACATTCCTTTAGTCTTCCTCCAAGCTCCAGAGCCACTGGTACAAATGCTTTATTGAAACTAAATACATAATACATATAATGAGATCAAGACAACATAGAAGTCCTCATAGTCGTCATATCCCATTACTTGGCCAGTTGAGGCAGCTCAGTGGCTGAGCCCAGTCAAGCCAACCCACAGCTTCATTCACAACTTCAAGATTTGATGCTAATTCTTTTGGATTTCTACAGTTATTAAATATATGTCTGAGAAAAAAAAGACATAGAGTGGCTGAAGAGATTTTTTTAACACCCAACAATCTATTGCCCACAGGAAAAACACTTCACCTACAAAGACACAGATAGACTGAAAATTAAGAGATGGAAAAAGATATTTCATGCAAGTGGAAACCAAAAAAGAGGAGGAGTATCTACACTTACTTTAGACAAAAATAAATCTCAAAACAAATCTATAAAAGAGACAAAGAAGGTGATACTATAATGACAAAGGGGTCAATCAGCAAGAACATATAACAATTATAAATATATATGCACCTAACATTAGAGCACCCAGATATATAAAGAAAATATTACTGGAGCTAAAAATAGAGGAAGAACCCAATACAATAATTAGCTGCAGACTTTCAGCATTGGGCAGATCATCCAGACAGAAAATCGACAAAGAAACTTCAGACTTAATCTGCACTATAGACCAAATGGAATTAATAGATATTTACAGAATATTTTATCCAATGACTGAAGAATACAAATTGTACTCCTCAGCACATGAATCACCCTCAAGAATAAACTCTGTATTAGGCCACAAAACAACTCTTTAAAAAATTTAAAAAAAATAATAATATCGAGTATCTTCCCTGACCACAATGGAATAAAACTAAAAATCAATAACAAGAGGAATTTTGGAAACTATACAAACACATGGAAATTAAACAATATGTCCCTGAATGACCAGTGGGTCAATTAAGAAGTTGGGGGAAATTTAAGAATTTCTTAAATCAAATAATAATGGAAACACAACATACCAAAATCTACAAGATACAGCAAAAGCAGGGCTAAGAGGAAAGTTTACAGCTATAAACATCCACATCCAAAGAGTAAAAAAAAAAAAATTCAAATAAGCAACCTAATGATGCATCTTAAAGAACTAGAAAAGCAAGAGCAAACCAAACTCAAAGTTAGTAGAAGAAAAGAAATAATAAATATCAGAGCAGAAATAAATTGAAATGAAAAAAATACAAAAGGTCAACGAAAGGAGTTGGCTTTTTGAAAAGATAAACAAAATTGACAAACCTTTAGCCAGACAAACTAAGAAAAAAAAAGACCCAAATAAAGAAAATCAGGGATTAAAAAAGGAGACATTATAACCAGTATGCAGAAATCCAGAAGATCATTAGAGGCTACTATGAATAACTATATGCCAATAAATTGGAAAACCTCAGCAAAAATGATGAATTTCTAGACACATGCAATCTACCAAAATTGAACCATGAAGAAATCCAAAACAAGAACATACCAATAACAAACGACAAGATCAAAGCTATATTAAAAACCTCCCAACAAAGAAAAGCCCAGGTCCCAATTGCATTGCTACTGAGTTTTATCAAACATTTAAAGAAGAACTAATATCAATCCTACTCAAACTAATCCAAAAAATACAGGAGGAGGAAATACTTGAAAACTTATTGTCTAAAGTCAGTATTACCCTGATACCAAAATCAGACAAAGACACATCAAAAAAAAAAAAGAAAACTACAGGCCAGTATGTCTGACGAACATTGATGCAAAAATCCTCAAAAAAATCCAAGCACACCAAATTCAACAACATATTAAAATGATTGTTTGTCATTACCAGGTGGGGCTTATACCTGGGATGCAAAGATGGTTCAACATATGCAAATCAATCAATGTGATACATCAGATCAACAGGATGAAGGACAAAAACCATATGATCATTTACATTGATGCTGAAAAACATTTAGCATTTGATAAAATTCAACATCCCTTCATGATAAAAACCCTCAAAAAACTGAGTAGAAAAGAAACATACCTTAATACAATCAAAGCCATATATATCATACTGAATGGGGGAAAAACTGAAAGCCTTTCCTCTAGATCTAGAACATGACAAGGATGTCCACTTTCACCACTGTCATTCAACATAGTACTGGAAGTCCTAGGTAAAGCAATTAGACAAGAGAAAGAAGGGCATCCAAATTGCAAAGGAAGAAGTCAAATTATCCTTGTTTGCAGATGACAGGATCTTATATTTGGAAAAAACTAAAGACTCCACCAAAAATCTCTTAGAACTGACAACAAATTCAGTAAAGTTGTGGAATACAAAATCAACATACAAAAATCAGTAGCATTTCTATATGCTAACAGTGAACAATCTGAAAAAAGAAATTGAGGAATTAATCCCATTTTTAAAATAGCTACAAATAAAATTAAGCACCTAGGAGTCAATTTAACCAAATAAGTTAAATATCTCCACAATGAAAACTATAAAATATTGATGAAAGAAATTGAAGAGGACATAAAAAATTGTTCATGAATTGGAAAAATCAATATTTTTAAAATGTCCATCCTACTCAAAGCAATCTACAGATTCAATGCAATCGCTATCAAAATACCAATGATAGTCTTCACAGAAATAGAAAAAACAATCCTAAAATGCAGATGGAACCAAAAAAGACCTAGCATGGCTAATGCTATCCTGAGTAAAAAGAACAAAACTGGAAGGATCACATGACCTGATTTCAAATTACATTACAATGCTATAGTAACCAAAACAGCATGCTAATCACATAAAAACAAACATATAGACGAATAGAACAGAGAGCCCAAAAACAAATCCATACATCTACAGTGAACTCATTTTTAACAAAGGTGCCAAGAACATTCATTGGCAGAAAGAGAATCTCTTCAATAAATAATGCTGGGAAAACTGCATATCCATATGCAGAAGACTGAAACTAAAACCTCTGTCTCATAATATACAAAACTCAAATCAAAATAGATTAAAGACTTAAGTCTAAGACTTCAAACTATGAAACTGCTAAAGGAAAACTTGGGGGCCTGGCACAGTGGCTCACACCTGTAATCCCAGCACATTAGGAGGCCAACGCAGGCGGATCACTTGAGGTCGGGAGTTCAAGACCAATCTGACCAACATGGCAAAACTCAATCTCTGCTAAAAATACAGAAGTTAGCCAAGCATAGTGGCACATGCCTGTAATCCCAGCTACTCAGGAGGCTGAGGCACAAGAATCACTTGAACCTGGGAGGCAGATGTTGCAGTGAGCTGAGATCATGCCACTGCACTCCAGCCTGGGCAACAAAGTGAGACTCTGGCAAGAAAAAAAAAAGGCCACCAGGTTATATTAGAGCAAGAAAAGAGAAAAAAGAAAACATTGGAAAAACTCTTCAGGACATTGGGGTGGACAAAGATTACTTGAGCAATACCTCACAAGCACAGGCAACCAAAGCAAAATAGACAAATGGAATCACAACAAATTAAAAAGCTTCCTCACAGCAAAGGATAAAATCAACTAAGTGAAGAGATGACCCACAGAATGTGATAAAATCTTTGCACACTATCCATCTGAGAAGGGATTAATAATCAGAATGTATAAGGAGCTCAAACAACTCTATAGGAAGAAATCTAATAATCTGACTTGAAAATGGGCAAATAACTGAGTAGCCATTTCTCAGAAGAAGACATATAAAGGGCAAACAAGCATATGGAAAGGTACTCAACACCACTGATTGTCAGAAAAATGTAAATCAAAACTACAATGAGATCATTTCACCCAAGTTAAAATGGCTTTTATCCAAAAGATAGGTGATAACAAATGCTGATGAAGATGTGGAGAAAAGGGAACCCTCATACACACTGTTGGTAGGAATGTAAATTGGCACAACCACTATGGAGAACAGATTGGAGGGTCCTCAAAAAACTAAAAATGGAACTACCATATGCTATTTCACTGCTAGGTATATACCCAAAAGAAAGGAAATCGGTGTATCAAAGAGATATCTTCACTCCCTTGTTTACTGCTGCACTATTCACAATAGTCAAGATTTGGAAACAACCTATTTGTCCATAAACAGATGAATGGATAGGAAAAATGTAGAACATATATACAATGAAGTACTATTCAGTCATAAAAAGAATGAGATCCTGTCATTTACGACACCATGGATGGAACCACAGGTCATTATGTTAAGTGAAATAAACCAAGCACAAAAAGAGAAACTTTATATGATCTCACTTATTTGTAGGAACTAAAAATTCAAACATCTGAACTTACAGAGATAGAAAATAGAATGACGGTTACCAGAGGCTGGGAATCGTGGTGGGGGAGGAGTGGGGATGGTTAATGGGTACAAAAATATAATTAGATAGAATGAATAAGATCTAGTATTTGATAGTGCAACAGGGTGCTTACAGTCAACGATAATTTATTGTACATTTTTAAATAACTGAAAGATTATAACTGGATTCTTTGTAACCAAAGAAATCATAATTGTTTCAGGTGATGGATATCTTATTTATCTTGATGTTATTATGCATTGTATGCCTGTATCAAAATATCTCATGTACCTCAGAAATATACACACCTATGTATATATGTAAAATAAAAAATTAAAATATCTAAAAAAGCAAAATAAATTAAAAAACTATTTTCACATAGAGCTAAGGTTTTTCTAATCAAAGCTCAAAACCAGAAAGGAAAAAATTCTACTAAATAAAAACATTTTTATTAATTTTTTTTATTTCCATAGGTTATTGGGGAACAGGTTGTGTTTACTTACATGAGTAAGTTCTTTAGTGGTGATTTGTGAGATTTTGGTACAACCATCACCTGAGCAGTATACACTGCACCCAATTTGTGGTTTTTTATTCCTCACCCCCTTCCCCCTCTTTCCCACTGAGTCCCCAAAGTCCATTGTATCTTTCTTATGCCTTTGCATCCTCATAGCTTAGCTCCCACATATGAGTGAGTACTATGATGTTTATTTTTCCATTCCTTACTTACTTCACTTAGAATAACAGTCTCCAGTCTCATCCAGGTCGCTGCGAATGCCATTAATTCATTTCTTTTCATGGCTGGGTAGTATTCCTTTGTGTGTGTGTGTGTGTGTGTGTGTGTGTGTGTGTGTGTGTGTGTGTGTGTGTGTATGAAACTGTGACATATATATGTGACATATATAGGTATATACCCAAAATATATATAGGTATATACTCATATATATGTGATATATATATATTTGTGACATATATATGTCACAGTTTCTTTATACACCCATTGATTAGTGGGCATTTGGGTTGGTTCCACGTTTTTGTAATTGCAAATTGTGCTGCTATAAACATGCATGTGCAAATGTCTTTTTCATATAATGACTTTTTTTCCTCTGGGTAGATACCCAGTAGTGGCATTGTTGTATCAAATGGATATATTTTTACTTCTTTAAGGAATCTCCACATTGTTTTCCATAGTGATTGTACTACTTTACATTCCCACCAGCAGTGTAGAAGTGTTCCCTGTTCATCACATCCACGCCAACATCTATTTTTTTTATTTTTTTATTATGGCCATTCTTGGAGTAGTAAGGTGGTATCTCACTGTGGTTTTGATTTGCATTTCCATGATCATTAGTGATGTTGAGCATTTTCTCATATGTTTGTTGGCCATTTGTATATCTTGTTTTGAGAATTGTTTATTCATGTTCTTAGCCCACTTTTTGATGGGATTGTTTGGTTTTTTCTTGTTAATTTGTTTGAGTTCATCATAGATTCTGGATATTAGTTATTTGTCAGATAGATTGTAAAGATTTTCTCCCACTCTGTGGGTTGTCTGTTTACTCAGCTGACTGTTCCTTTTGCTCTGCAAAAGCTCTTTAGTTTAATTAAGTCCCAGCTATTTATCTTTGTTTTTATTGCATTTGCTATGGGTTCCTGGTCATGAAATCCTTGCCTAAGCCAATGTCTAGATGGGTTTTTCCAATGTTATCTTCTAGAATTTTTACAGTTTGAGGTCTTAGATTTAAGTCCTTGATCCATCTTGAGTTGATTTTTGTACAAGGTGAGAGATGAGAATCCAATTTCATTCTCCTACATGTGGCTTGCCAATTATCCCACCCCCATTTGTTGAATAGGGTGTCTTTTTCCCCACTTTGTATTTTTGTTTGCTTTGTCAAAGATCAGTTGGCTGTAAGTATTTGGGTTTATTTCTGAGTTCTCTATTCTGTTCCATTGTTCTATGTGCCTATTTTTATGCAGGTACCATGCTGTTTTGGTGACTATGGCCTTAGAGTATAGTTTGAAATCAGGTAATGTGATGCCTCCAGTTCTGCTTTAGCTAGTCCAGATTTTCTTTAGCTATGAGACTCTTTTTTAGTTCCATATGAATTTTAGGGTTTTTTTTCTAATTCTGTGAAGAATGAAGGTGATATTTTGATGGGAATTGCTTGAAAATTGCAAAATTGTAAAAGGGGTTGAGTTCTTGATTTGGTTGCTGTTGGTGTATAGAAGAGCTACTGATTTATGTACATTAATTCTGTATCCAGAAACTTTGCTGAATTTTTTTTTATCAGTTCTAGGGGCTTTCTGGAGGAGTCTTTAGGGTTTTCTAGGTAAACAATCATATCATCAGCAAACAGCGACAGTTTGACTTCCTCTATACCGATTTGGATGCCCTTTATTTGTTTCTCTTTCCTGATTGCTCAGGCTAGAATTTCCAATACTGTGTTGAAGAAGAGTGGTAAGAGTGAACATCCTTGTCTTGTTCCAGTTCTCAGAGGAAATTCTTTCAACTTTTCCCTATTCGGTATTATGTTGGCTGTGGGTTTGTCATAGACAGCTTTTATTACATTGAGGTATGTCCCTTGTATGCAGATTTTGCTGAGAATTTTACTCATGATGGGATGATGGATTTTGTCGAATGCTTTTTCTGCTTCTATTGAAATGGTCATGTGATTTTTTTTTTATTCAGTTTATGTGGTGTATCACATTTATTGACTTGCATATGTTAAACCATCCCTGTGTCCCTGGTGTGAAACCCACTTGATCATGGTGGATTATCTTTTTGATATGTTATTGGATTTGGTGAGCTAGCATTTTATTAAGGATTTTAGCATCTATGTTCATCAGGGAAATTGGTCTGTAGTTTTATTTTTTGGTTATGTTTTTTCCTGGTTTTGGTATTAGGGTTATACTAGCTTCATAGAATGATTTAGGTAGGGTTCCCTCTGTCTTTATCTTTGGCATAGTGTCAATAGGATTGGTACCAATTCTTCTTTGAATGTCTGGTAGAATTCTGCTGTTAATCCATCTGGGTCTGGACTTTTTTATGTTGGTAATTTTTTTATTACCATTTAATCTCACTGCTTGTTATTGGTCTGTTCAGAGAATCTGATTCTTCCTGACTTAAGCTACGACAGTTGTATCTTTCCAGGAATTATCCATCTCCTCTAGGATTTCTAGTTTATGCACATAAGGGTTGAATGATGTTTTGTATTTCTGTGGTGTCAGTTGTAATATCTCTCATTTCATTTCTAACTGAGCTTATTTGAAGTTTCTCTCTTTTCTTGGTTAATCTTGCTAATGGTCTATCAATTTTATTTATCTTTTCAAAGAACCAGCTTTTTGTTTCACTTTTGTATTTTTGTTCGTTTGTTTCAATTTCATTTAGTTCTGCTCTGATCTTAGTTATTTCCTTTATTCCGCTGGGTTTGGGTTTGGTTTGTTCTTGTTTCTTTAGTTCCTTGAGGTATGACTTTAGATTGTCTGTGCTCCTTCAGACTTTTTGATGAAGGTGTTTCGGGCTATGAACTTACCCCTTAGTACCACCTTTTCTGTATCACAGAGGTTTTGATAGGTTGTGTCGCCATGGTCATTCAATTCAAAGAATTTTTTAATTTCCCTCCTGATTTTGTTTTTGACCCAATGATCAGAAGCAGGTTACTTAATTTCCATGTATTTGCATGGTTTTGAAGGTTCCTTTTGTAGTTGATTCTCAGTTTTATTCCACTGTGGTCTGACAGAGTGCTTGATATAATTTTAATTTTCTCAAATTTATTGAGGCTTGTTTTGCAGCCTCTCATATGATCTACCTTGGAGAAAGTTCCATGTGCTGTTGAATAGAACGTATATTCTGCAGTTGTTCAGTAGAATGTTCTGTAAATATCTGTTAAGTCCATTTATTCCAGGGTATAGTTTAAATCCACTGTTTCTTTGTTGACTTTGTGTCTTGATGACCTGTCTAGTGGTGTCAGTGTAGTATTGAAGTCCCCCACTATTATTGTGTTGCCATCTATCTCATTTTTAGGTCTATTATTAATTGTTTTATACATTTGGGAGTGCCAGTGTTAGGTGCATATATATTAAGGGTTGTGATATTTTCCTGTTGGACAAGGCCTTTTATCATTACATAATGACCCTTTGTCTTTTTTAACTGTTGTTGCTTTAAACTTTGTTTTGTCTGATAAAAGAATAGCTACTCCTGCTCGTTTTTGGTGTCCATTTGCATGGAATGTCTTTTTCCATCCCTTTTTCTTAAGTTTATGTGAGTCCTTATGTGTTAGATGTGTCTCTTGAAGGAAGCAGATGGTTGGTTGGTGAATTCTTTTCCATTCTGCAATATGTGTCTTTTAAGTGGAGCATTTAGGCCATTTACATTCAACACTGGTATTGAGATGTGAAGTACCGTTCCATTCATCATGCTATTTGTTGCCCATATACCTTGGTTTCTTGTTTTGGGGGGGTTCTATTAATTGTATTTTTGTTTTATAGGTCCTGTGAGATTTATGCTTTAAAGAAGATCTGTTTTGGTGTGTTTCCAGGATTTGTTTTAAGATTTAGAGTTCCTTTTAGGAGTTCTTGTAGTGCTGGCTTGGTAGTGGCGAATTCTCTCAGCATTTGTTTGTCTAAGAAAGACTATATCTTTCCTTCGTTTATGAAGCTTAGTTTCACTTGGTACAAAATTCTTGGCTGAGAATTGTTTCATTCGAGGAGGCTGAAGATAGGGCCCCAATTCCTTCTAACTAGTAAGATTTTTGCTGAGAAATCTGCTGTTAAACTGATAGGTTTTCCTTTATAGGTTATTGGGTGTTTTTGCCTGACAGCTCTTAAGATTCTTTTTTTCATCTTACCTTTAGATAACCTGATGACAATGTGCCTAGGTGATGATCTTTTTGTGATGAATTTCCAGATGTTGAGCTCCCTGTATTTGGATGTCTAGTTCTCTAGCTAGGCCAGGGAAACTTTCCTCAATTATTCCCCGAATGTATTTTCCAAACTTTTAGATTTCTCATCTTTCTCAGGAACACTGATTATTCTTAGGTTTGGTCATTTAAAATATTCCCAGATTTCTTGGAGGTCTTGTTCATATTTTCTTATTCTTTTTCCTTTGTCTTTGTTGAATTGGGTTACTTTGAAAACCTTGTCTTCAAGCTCTGAAGTTCTTTCTTCTGCTTATTCATTTCTATTGCTGAGACTTTCCAGAGCATTTTGCATTTCTGTAAGTGCGTCCATTGTTTCCTGAAATTTTGATTGTTTTTTATTTATGCTATCTATTTCATTAACTATTTCTCCCTTCACTTCTTGTATCGTTTTTTGGATTTCCTTACATTGGGCTTCCCCTTTCTCTGGTGCCTTCCTGATTTGCTTAATAACTAACCTTCTGAATTTTTTTTCAGGTAGAGCAGGGATTTCTTCTTGGTTTGGATCCATTGCTGGTGAGCTAGTGTCATTTTTGGGTGGTGGTAAAGAACCCTGTTTTGTCATATTACCAGAGCTGATTTTCTGGCTCCTTCTCATTTGGGTAGGCTTTGTCAGGGGGAAGGTCTAGGGCTCAAGGTTCCTTTCGTCCCACAGGGTGTTTCCTTGATGTAGTGCTCTTCCCCTTTTTCTAGAGATCTGGCTTCCTGAGAGCCAAGCTGTAGAGATTGTTATCTCTCTACTGGATCTAGCCTCCCAGCAAGTCTACCAGGCTCTGGGCTGGTACTGGGGGTTGTCTGCACAGAGTCCTGTGATGTGAAACACCTGTGGGTCTCTCAGCCATGGATCCTGGCACTTGCTCCAGGTGGATGTGGCAGGGGGTATAATGGACTCTGTGAGGGTCCTTAGTTTTGATTAGTGGACTATTTTTGTGCTGGTTGGCCTCCTGCCAGGAGGTGGCACTTTCAAGAGAGCATCAGCTGTGGTAGTACAGGAGGAAGGGGCAGTGGGCAGGGCCCTAGAACTCCCAAGAGTATATGCCCTTTGTCTTCAATTACCAGGGTGGTGAGGGAAGGACCATTAGGTGGCAACAGGACTAGGCGTGTCTGAGCTCAGACTCTACTGGGTGGGTCTTGCTGCAGTTGCTGTGGAGGATGGAGGTGTGGTTCCTAAGTCAATAGAGTTATGTTCTTAGGAGGATTATGACTGCCTCTGCAGTGTCATGCGGGTTGTCAGGGAAGTGGGGGAAAAGCTGGCAGTCACAGGCCTCACCCAACCCAGCTCCCAAGCAACCCAAAGGGCCAGTCTCACTCCCACCATGCCCACCCCCACAACAGCACCAAGTCTGTTTCCAGGTAGTGGGCAAACAGGAAGTTACCCCAGGCTACCCACCTCCCAGCTGCAAAAGTAAGTAGGGCATTCCTTCTTCCCCTGCCTGTGGAGTCTGTACGCCAGATTCACCCCCTCCCCAGAGTTCTGGCCAGGAGACTTCTCGATTGGTTCAAATTGTTACAAAGTTCAGCTGGAGGTTTCCTTCTCCCTGTGGCCTTTTCCCAGTGCCTCTGGCAGCCCTCCTCAAGGACACCTGTGAGGCGAGGCAGAAAGGGCCTTCTAGGGGATCCAGCAAGCCCGCAGGGATTTTCCTGCTGCTTCCTGTACCCCTGTATTTCTCTCAGTTCTCTAAACTGACCCAGCTCCAAGTAAGGTAAGAATCTTCTCCTGTCATCTAGACCTTCAGGGTTCCCCAGTGGGGGTGTGTGTTTGGGGGCAGACGATCTCCCTTTCCCACTTCCACAGTTTGGGCACTCACAGTATTTGGGGTGTTTCCTGGGTCCTTTAGGAGCAGTCGGCTTCCTTCAGAGGCTCTGTAGGTTCTCTTGGCTTTCCTAACGTATTCCTGCAATCGTTCTGAAGCAAAAGTTCATGATGTGAGCCTCCACACACTGTTTTGTCCGTTCAAGTGGCTGCAATCTAGTCCTGCCTCCTGTTTGCCATAATCTCCAGCTGTATCTCAAAACTTTTTATATAGTGTTATAAAGAGTTTTTAATGGTCAAAAAAACTTAATCAAAGTTGAAAGACAAATGACATATTGAGAAAAAAATCTTCAACCAATAAAGGATACATTTCTTCAATATATAAAGTGATTTCATAAATCTATAACGAAAAACACCAAGGACCCAATTTTTAACATGGGTGAAAGATATGAGCAAACCTTTGTCTCTCTCTCTCTCACTCTCTCTCTGTCTGTCTCTCACACACACATGTGCGTGCACACGCATGCATATGTATAAATATGCATAATTAAAGATATATAAATTAAAATAAGAGTAATACACCTTTTAACCTATCTGACAAAGACTTAACATTTTCTAATACACACTGTTAGTGAAGGAATAAACAAATAGCCATTCATATATTGTTGATTAGAGTATAAATTATTACAGACATCTTAGAAGTCAATTTGTTACTATCAAATTTGCAAATACAATTGATTCTCATTCTCAGTACTTATGATCTGTAAAGTCTCCAGAAACATTGAATTGGCAAATATTAAATCATTGCTCCTAGCAGAAATACTGAATAAATCGCCCCTAGGGCTAGATTTCTGCTAGTGTCTGGTCACCACCATTTTATCAACTCACTGGTCAATATACAGCCTTCTTTTACATGTGTTTCTGTTTAAAGCACCTTATTGAATATACATTGTTGACTCATTAACACTGAACTCATGGCCAACAGGAGTGGAACTCATGCCTGAACTAAGTTTATCTAATGCATCTATTTTCTCCACAAGGCACATCAGAGACTTCCTATGACTGGGAACACTAGGCCACACTCTACCACTATGCTTGGGGCCACTTTAAACAGTAAAATCACCTCCAAAACACAAAAATGAGGAAAACATGGCACTAAATAGACCCTGAAAAGGACTCTTGTTTCCAGTATAAGAGCTGGAACAAGAAGGTAGAGCAAGCCCAGCTGCAAACAAGCACATCGAGCAACTCAAATATGTTGCTGCTCTGTGCATATCCACAGATGACCATGAGAGCACAGCAAGTATTGGCTTGTATCCATTAATTTATGGTAAATTTCTGTTAGAACATCCACACTTTAAGACTACAAAGTGGGACCAAGGGCCCAGGGTGGGGAGCTCACTTTCCATTCTTCTGCACTGTTTGGATTAAAAGAATAATCTAATGGGAACTGAATTGTTGACATGGCATTTGCGCAACACAACAACTCTATTCTCTCCTTGGCTGAAAAGAGAACTAAGAACAGAACTTTCCCATGATTAAAAGATTGCAAAGAAGGGGAGAAAGCAGAAAATTTGAGTAAGCAGGAAATGAAGGAGGAAAATCAAGAGTTTGCAGAAGCCAGGTGAATTAACTGCGTCATGTGATGCTGCTAAGTCAAATAAAATACAGAGTGAAAATTAACCACAGGATTTAGCAATGTGGAAGTTACAGATGCCTTTATTGAGATCAGTTTTAGTGGAGTGATGGAAACAAGAAAACCTGGATTGTAGTAAGATTAAGGGAGAATGGAAGGAGAACTGGAAATAATAAAAATAGGCAATGCTTTCAATTTGCCAAGAAAAGCAAAGAAATGGTGTGGCAGTAACAGGGAAAGTGAAATCAAGAAAAGAGTTTTATTCAGATGTGAGGAATAATATGTTTATAAGCCGATGAGAATGATCCATAAAGAGAAAAATAAAAATTGTGTGAGAGTAGGCAGAATGTCTAGAACAACTAAATGAAGACCAGTGACACAATAAACAATAAACAAGTAACTACCAAGCCTTAAAACAATTTGATGTCTAATTTTTGCTTGTTCTTCTCCTAGCACAGTCCTTTAGGAAGACCACAGAATTGAGGAGACAGGATCATTACCTCGAATCTGAGGAATATGAAACTGTTTCCTGATGGAGCAAGAGCACAGTCCAACAGAAAAAACTAGAAATATATTCTGTAACAAGCTTAATAAGATGCAAACAAGGACATTAAAAATATGTTAGGCTCTTTCCAATTACGATGAGATACACGAATTTACCTGAGTAGGTACGATTTATTGTAAGGACAAGAGAAAGAAGATGAGACAGAAAACATTTTCAAACGGTACACAGCTGGACTGTTGGAAAACTGAATTTTTTTTTAAGATCACAGAAGTTGTAGTGTCTTATCCATCCATTCTCATCCTCTGCTTAGTACTTCCACTACGGCACACCTGTGGCAGCTTATCTCCTGTCTGTTTCCCCTATACTGTGTCTACTTCCCCTGCCATGGTTAATATCCTCTCTCCAGTCTCCTTCTTGCTATCACATGAGGCATCCTTATTCCTTTCCTTCTGGGAGTTCCCTTTACCCAGCCCCTTGAATGCATGTGTGTGTCTATAAGTGTGTGCCATTCAGACTTTTAAAGTGCAATTGAGTAATCCTTACATGACTCCTTTTATCAAGCCCTTGAACCTGCTTGCCTCAGTAACCATGGCAAGTCCAGATGGCTGCCTTAGGATCAGATGTAAACCTTGGAGAAACCAGCTGTGGCCAGTATGTCAAGTTTAAGCAGACAAATGAAGGTGACCTGTGGGTAAGAAAATGTATATGGACTGTTCTTTAAGTAAGGTTGGGGGTATGACAGCTTGGGATTGTTGGAGAGAGTTAGACACTAACAATGTCACATGGAGAATTACTGCTAGGAAGAGCAGGGGAAAGAAAGCAGTCAAAATTCTCCTTAGGCTGACTCTGGCACACTGCCTAAGAGTTAGCCCTGCTCTGGAAGGAACAGAAAAAAAAAAAAGAAAAAAGAAAGTCTCCTTCACTATAACAAGCAATGGAAGACTCACATTTATTAATAGAGAAAATAGTTGTATATAATACTCTCTTTTAAAAGTAGAATGATTTCATAAGTCTCATGAAGGCCTGCTTTGTACAAATTGGTGGTAACAAGCTCTAGACTGCTATTTTTTTAAATCATTTTGTGTGTATGCATTTTTCATAAGCAATCTGAATTTTGGAAATTTGGAGGATATATATACATGTCGCAATAGTGGTGGTTCACAGTTCATCAAGAATACATCTGCTAAGTATGCTTGAACCCTTTTCAGATTTTAAGGCCCCTGGAACCAGCCCCAGGGAGTAGATCCAAGGTGGCGTATCCTCAGGAAGAGAAAAAATAATACTCCAATCTGCCCTTTGGAGAAAAGAGAAAGCTAAGAAAGAGGCTGGAGACAAAAAAGTTACAACAGAGGTAGAAAAAAAAATTAGAGAATCTAGAGAGAGAAACAATGATAAAAATGTAGGGCAAGATAAGAAAATAAAATGAAAGGGGCAGAAACTGAAAAAGAGAGTACATTAATAACCTATTCAGAAAATATTTAAAATCCTGATAATAGCTCATGAGGGGAAAGCATTTGCATAGACCTCTTAGTAAAGTATGAAGTAAAATAATTTTTGTAAGGAAAATTTGGAAGCACCGGTCAAAAATTTAAATTATATTTGCATATATCCAAAACTTTCAGAACTCTCCATGAGTGAAGATTAGAATGGGTTGCAAATGTGGAAAAAGTAGAATGTGTGATTTAAACAGTACAGAACTTTCTGTCTTTCTCATCTACTGGTCTGGAGGTAAGAAAGCCAAGACTGCCCTGGTGGTTCTGGCCCATGATGTCCTGAAAGATCTAGGTCATTATCAGCTCTTCCCTAAGATACAACTCTCATGCTTATGGTCCAAGGAACTACTCACATTTCAGGCAGCAGGACAGAGGAACAAATGAAGAAAAGAGGAGCAGCGTGCACGTGCCATTTGTCTCTGAAAAAAAATGTTTCTCGAAATTGGTACAAAATACTTCCGTTAGCAATCCACTGTCCATAATTTAGTTATGTGGCCATAAAAAGAAACAAAGCAGGCTGGGAAATGAAGTCTTCATTCTGGACAACTATATGCCCCACTAAAAGTTCTAAAAGAGTAGAAAAGGGGGAAAAATATTAGGAACAGCCAGCTATCTCTGCCTCAAGCTGTTTCCTACAGAATTATACATACCAAGTGCCAACATTCATGTTCAAGCATATTTACTATGTGGGATAGGGAATGTTTGCTTCCTATTCTGTGTGCTCCTGCAATGTTTGTGTATGATAAAATAAATACTTATTACTTCCACAGTTTTTAAAATAAATCAATTAAGTAAATAATTTTAAAATAAATAATACTTTATTAATAAATCATTTTATTTTTATTCTTAATACTTATTGAAAATTTTTAAATTTAGTAGTCTAATGCTCTCTGGAATTTTAGTGATCAGGCATCATGAACTTTTTGCTCAGTCTTCTTTGTGGGGATTGTCCAATCTTATTCATGCTACTAGATTACATTTATATCATTAACCCACTCAGAAGACTGAATGGATGGACTTAGAAATAATAATGATATAGCTGTAAAATTAATTTACTTCATTTTAGCAAGTTCAAGTGCTTTAAATTTAATGTATAAACTAAATTCTAAAATACAAGAAATAAAAATAGTTTAGCTTTAAACCTACTTTCTGCTTAAAATAGTTGTAGTGGCATGAAGATACAAATATACCATTAATTTGAACTAAGAATCTCTTTGGGAAACAGAACTCAAAAACATTTGTAGCAATCCTTCAAGTCATGACTTTATGTAGCTTTGTAACGAGCTTTGTTTTCTATCCAAGTAAATGAAACCATTACAGCTGACCCTTGAACAACAGGGATTTGAACTGCATGGGTCCACTTATGCATGAATTTTTAAAATAAATATATTGGAAAAATTTTTGGAGATGTGTGACAATTTGAAAAAACTTGCAGATGAACCATGTAGTCAAAAGTATCAAAAAAAAAAGTTAAGTATGTTGTGAATGCATAAAATATATGTAAATAGTAGTCTATTTTATCATTTACTACCATAAAATGTATACAAATGTATTACAGAAAGTTAAAATTTATCAAAACTAATGCACAGAAACATTTACATACCATACATGGCACCATTCGTTGTAGTGAGAAATGTAAACAAATGTAAAGCTGCAGTATTCAATCATAACTGCATAAAATTAACTATAGTACATACTACATATACTACTGTAATAATTTTGTAGCCATCTTCAGTTGCTGCTACGGTGAGTTCAAGTGTCGTGAGGATCCGCTTAAAGTGCAGTGTGACACTGATATCTCCAAATGAGCAGTTTGTCTCTCTGGTAAATTGCTGTCACAGTAAAAAGCGATCTCTTGTGGTTCTCACATATTTTTCATCATGTTTAGTGCAATACTGTAAACGTTGAATAACACCATCAAACCCATACAAAGTGCTACTAGTGATGCTGGAAGTGGTCCCAAGAAACAGAGAAAAGTCATGACATTACAAGAAAAGGTTGAATCGCTTGATGTGTATTGTAGATTGAGGTCTGCAGCTGCAGTTGCCCACCATTTCAGACAAAGGAGTCAACTTGTAAGCAGATGACATAAACTTATGGGATCAATAAAAGCAGTATAGTACTGGAAATGTATTTTTATCTTCCTTATGATTTTCTTTTCTCTAGTTTACTTTATTCTAAGAATACAGTATATAATACATGTAACATAAAAATATGTGTTAATTGACTGTTTCTGTTGTTGGTAAAACTGCTAGTCAACGGTAGGCTATTAGTAGTTAAGTTTTGGGGGAGTCAAAAGTTATACGCAGATTTTCAACTGTGTGGGAGTTAGCACCCATAACCCTCCCCTCCATCCGCCATTGTTCAAGAGCAGACTGTAATAGCTAAATTCATATGAATTAAGAACATACTAATCAACACTTCACAAAAATTACTTACTGAGGTGAAGCAGAATAGTTGTTATGCCAACCATTATTTAATCTTTCTGATTTAGGTGCTGAATGTAATTAAATAATACCAGTAGTTGGCATTTCATATCATCTTCCTTTGTTCTCCATCAAAGCACTTTATAAATATTTATTTCTATAATATCATTATAACTTAAAGTAGTTTATTATTCCTTCTTATTTAGAAAGATGAGGAAACAGGCCCCAAGAGACAGCAAGTTTTCAAATGTTGTATTGCTTTTTATTCATATCTGGGATAACAATTCCCAGAGCTAGTGACCAAGGTGACTTAATTTACTTTCAAAGACTTCCAATGAAGGAATAGCTTCGAAATTAGAAGGATCTGGCAAAAAGTTCATGATTCTGCAGTCCCCTTATAGCCATTAGTATCACATGCCTATTGTTCTCTGTGAAGAGGCATTTCCAAAGAAGGGTCTTTATTACTATGAAGTTATCCCATGGTCCCAGTCATCCTCACTTTGGGGGTTTTAGTAAAATTTCCATTTTAATTATTTTTTATGCATAACTCTCACATACAAAACTTTTCCTTTTGAGGATAAATACATTAATATATCACTTGATGGATAATTATTTTTACATTTTGTTATACATGTAAAACAAAGAAAGCAGAATAACACTACTTAAGGTAAAGAAGAAAAGTCATTCTCTGCATTTGTCTTGATTGTTTCATAGAGCTTTCATGAAGTACACCGATGTCACCAATCTCTAACATAAATAGTAATGCTTTCCACGCTTAACAAGGGACATAAGTTTTCCCAAAACAGTCAGTGCTTTGGCTGACCTAGAGAGAAAAATTATATACTTCCTGGTATAAAAAAGATATAAAAACAGATCTTTAGAGGGATCTACATACAGTCTTATCAGAACATTATTATCTACAGCAGAACTGCTATGAGATGGGCACATCCTGATCCCTGAAGAATAATCTCCTAAAGAACGTGTTACAAAACAATGACTTCTGCTGAGAAATTCAATAGCATGCCCTCTGGGATTCACATTTTTTAAATGTGCTCTAGCAAGTTGGAAAAAAGCCTTACAAATCATTGAATACCTTCAACCATAACAAAATAAAAACAGGACATGATTTAGTGTATCAAATGTATGAACTGTTATTAGAAATGAGATAAAAATTATAATAGAAATTACTGTATTTTCCTTTCTTAACAACAACATGCATGTAGCCTAAGTAATACACAAATGTCATAAATTTGAAATCTGCAGTTATAGACAAGCATTAAAAATTGATGAACCCAAAGCTATTGAAATAAAAAAAAATTTAAAGAAAAATATATGGAGATGAAAGGCCCCAACTTCTTGTTGAATTTTCAGCTTGATACTTCGGAAAAAAATTAAAATAGTTTGATTAAACCTTAATAGATTCTTACAAGGTTATATCACTAAGTATTTTTTGTTTTGCTTTTTTTGTCTTATAAGTGAACAGATTAGGTTCTTCTTATTTTAAGAGTAAATTTCAAGTCCCAACTTAATAAATAATAAATGTTTGTTAAATGGTGGAAAAGTAAAGATCAAAGAAGTGAAGTAACTTGTCCAAAGTCAGCTAGTTAAAAGGCAGAAAATTCCACATTTGAGCACAGCTCTATATGAAGTTATTTCTGTTTTTAATCCACTATATGAAACTGCTGACAAGGTTTACTTTTCTCAGCAAATAAGTCTGAAGAAATAGCAAAGTCTCCATTTCTCATTTATTGCTGCTCTGTTTCCACCTCCATATTTCTACCCCACAAAGTCAGCCCTTCTTTTCTTTCTTTAGTGGGAATACACATTTTGAAACTGAAAAGAGATGGTATGTGGGGATGTACGGAGAACTTGTTGGAGTCTCTGTTGTGGACAACGCTTTATGTGGTTTCAAGCTTCACATACAAAAAAAAAGAAGGAAAGTGGCAGCACCCAAAAAAGGTATGAAAACATCCAGAAGAAATTTTAAAATAATTTCTATGATAAATTCTTTTTGAAAACTATCTTCAAGACTATTAAGATAATATAAAGAGGTACAAATAAAAATGAGATATTAAATGCAACCCTAAAAAGTATTTAATTCACCCAAAAAGTGGCAGAAGAGGAGGAAGAGAGAAATAAAAAGCAGATGGGACAAATAGAAACCAAACTTGTCAACAATTGTGTTAAATGTAAAAGTTCTAATTATAACAATTAAAAGACAGAGACTGTCAGACTGGATAAAAATTCAAGACCCAATTATGTTTTTTATAGTAAGCACAATATCTTTTTTTTTGGAATTTTTTTTATTATACTTTAAGTTTTAGGGTACGTGTGCACAGCATGCAGTTTAGTTACATATGTATACATGTGCCATGTTGGTGGGCTACACCCAGTAACTCGTCATTTAACATTAGGTATATCTCCTAATACTATCCCTCCCCACCTCCCGACCCCACAACAGGCCCTGGTGTGTGATGGTCCCCTTCCTGTGTCCACGGGTTCTCTTTGTTCAATTCCCACCTATGAGTGAGAACATGCGGTGTTTGGTTTTTTGTCCTTGCGATAGTTTGCTGAGAATGATGGTTTCCAGCTTCATCCATGTCCCTACAAAGGACATGAACTCATCATTTTTTATGGCTGCATAGTATTCCATGGTGTATATGTGCCACATTTTCTTAATCCAGTCTATCATTGTTGGACATTTGGCTTTGTTCCAACTCTTTGCTATTGTGAATAGTGCCACAATAAACATATGGGTGCATGTGTCTTCATAGCAGCATGTTTTCTAATCCTTTGGGTATATACCCAGTAATGGGATGGCTGGATCAAATGGTATTTCTAGTTCTAGATCCCTGAGGAATCGCCACACTGACTTCCACAATGGTTGAACTAGTTTACATTCCCACCAACAGTGTAAAAGTGTTCCTATTTCTCCACATCCTCTCCAGCACCTGTTGTTTCCTGACTTTTTAATGATCTCAATTCTAACTGGTGTGAGATGGTATCTCATTGTGGTTTTGATTTGCATTTCTCTGAAGGCCAGTGATGATGAGCATTTTTTCATGTGTCTTTTGGCTGCATAAATGTCTTCTTTTGAGAAGTGTCTGTTCATATCCTTCGCCCACTTTTTGATGGGGTTGTTTGTTTTTTTCTTGTAAATTTGTTTGAGTTCATTGTAGATTCTGGATATTAGCCCTTTGTCAGATGAATAGATTGCAAAAATTTTCTCCCATTCTGTAGGTTGCCTGTTCACTCTGATGGCAGTTTCTTTTTCTGTGCAGAAGCTCTTTAACTAGATGCCATTTGTCAATTTTTTGGCTTTTGTTGCCATTGCTTTTGGTGTTTTAGACATGAAGTCCTTGCCCATGCCTATGTCCTGAATGGTATTGCCTAGGTTTTCTTCTAGGGTTTTTATGGTTTTACATCTAACATTGAAGTCTTTAACCCATCTTGAATTAATTTTTGTATAAGGTGTAAGGAAGGGATCCAGTTTCAGCTTTCTACATATGGCTAGTCAGTTTTCCCAGCACCATTTATTAAATAGGGAATCCTTTCCCCATTTCCTGTTTTTGTCAGGTTTGTCAAAGATCAGATAGTTGTAGATATGCAGCATTATTTCTGAGGGCTCTCTTCTGTTCCATTGGTCTTTATCTCTGTTTTGGTACCAGTACCATGCTGTTTTGGTTACTGTAGGCTGGTAGTACAGTTTGAAGTCAGGTAGCGTGATGCCTCCAGCTTTGTTCTTTTGGCTTAGGATTGACTTGGCAATGTGGGCTCTTTTTTGGTTCCATATGAACTTTAAAATAGTTTTTTCCAGATCTGTGAAGAAAGTCATTGGTAGCTTGATGGGGATGGCATTGAATGTATAAATTGCCTTGGGCAGTATGGCCATTTTCACAGTATTGATTCTTCCTACCCATGAGCATGGAATGTTCTTCCATTTGTTTGTATCCTCTTTTATTTCATTGAGCAGTGGTTTGTAGTTCTCTTTAAAGAGGTCCTTCACGTCCCTTGTAAGTTGGATTCCTAGGTATTTTATTCTCTTTGAAGCAATTGTGAATGGGATTTCACTCATGATTTGGCTGTCTGTTTGTCTGTTCTTGGTGTATAAGAATGCTTGTTATTTTTGCGCATTGATTTTGTATCCTGAGACTTTGCTGAAGTTGCTTATCAGCTTAAGGAGATTTTGGGCTGAGACAATGGGATTTTCTAGATATACAGTCATGTCATCTGCAAACAGGGACAATTTGACTTCCTCTTTTCCTAATTGAATACCCTTTATTTCCTTCTCCTACCTGATTGCCCTGACCAGAACTTCCAACACTATGTTGAATAGGAGTGGTGAGAGAGGGCATCCCTGTCTTGTGCCCGTTTTCAAAGGGAATGCTTCCAGTTTTTATCCATTCAGTATGATATTGGCTGTGGGTTTGTCATAGATAGCTCTTACTATTTTGAGATACGTCCCACCAATACCTAATTTATTGAGAGTTTTTAGCATGAACGGTTGTTGAATTTTGTCAAAGGCCTTTTCTGCATCTATTGAGATAATCATGTGGTTTTTGTCTTTGGTTCTGTTTATATGCTGGATTACGTTTATTGATTTGTGTATGTTGAACCAGCCTTGCATCCCAGGGATGAAGCCGACTTGATCATGGTGGATAAGCTTTTTGATGTGCTGCTGGATTAGGTTTGCCAGTATTCTATTGAGGATTTTTGCATTGATGTTCATCAGGGATATTGGTCTGAAATTCTCTTTTTTTCTTGTATCTCTGTCAGGCTTTGGTATCAGGAGGTTGCTAGCCTCATAAAATGAGTTAGGGAGGATTCCCTCTTTTTCTATTGATTGGAATAGTTTCAGAAGGAATGGTACCAGCTCCTCCTTGTACCTCTGGTAGAATTCGGCTGTGAATGTATCTGGTCCTGGACTTTTTTTGGTTGGTAAGCTATTAATTATTGCCTCAATTTCAGAGGCTCTAATTGGTCTATTCAGAGATTCAATTTCTTCCCGGTTTAGTCTTGGGAGGGTGTATGTGTCCAGAAATTTATCCACTTCTTCTAGACTTTCTAGTTTATTTGCATAGAGGTATTTATAGTATTCTCTGATGGTAGTTTGTATTTCTGTGGGATCGGTGGTGATATCCCTTTATCACTTTTTATTGCCTCTATTTGATCCTTCTCTCTTTTCTTCTTTATTAGTCTTGCTAGCGGTCTATCAATTTTGTTGATCTTTTCAAAAAACCAGCTCCTGGATTCATTGATTTTTTGAAGGGTTTTTTGTGTCTCTATTTCCTTCAGTTCTGCTCTGATCTTAGTTATTTCTTGCCTTCTGCTAGCTTTTGAATGTGTTTGATCTTGCTTCTCTAGTTCTTTTAATTGTGATGTTAGGGTGTCAATTTTAGATCTTTCCTGCTTTCTGTTGTGGGCATTTAGTGCTATAAATTCCCCTCTACACACTGCTTTAAATGTGTCCCAGAGATTCTGGTGTGTTGTGTCTTTGTTCTCGTTGGTTTCAAAGAACATCTTTATTTCTGCCTTCATTTCGTTATGTACCCAGTAGTCATTCAGGAGCAGGTTGTTCAGTTTCCATGTAGTTGAGTGGTTTTGAGTGAGTTTCTTAATCCTGAGTTCTAGTTTGATTGCACTGTGGTCTGAGAGACAGTTTGTTATAATTTCTATTCTTTTCCATTTGCTGAGGAGTGCTTTACTTCCAACTATGTGGTCAATTTTGGAATAGGTGTGGTGTGGTGCTGAAAAGAATGTATATTCTGTTGATTTGGGGTGGAGAGTTCTGTAGATGTCTATTAGGTCCGCTTGGTGCAGAGCTGAGTTCAATTCCTGGATATCCTTGTTAACTTTCTGTCTTGTCGATCTGTCTAATGTTGACAGTGGGGTGTTAAAGTCTCCCATTATTATTGTGTGGGAATCTAAGTCTCTTTTTAGGTCTCTAAGGACTTGCTTTATGAATCTGGGTACTTCTGTATTGGGTGCATATATATTTAGGATAGTTAGCTCTTCTTGTTGAATTGATCCCTTTACCATTATGTAATGGCCTTCTTTGTCTCTTTTGATCTTTGTTGGTTTAAAGTCTGTTTTATCAGAGACTAGGATTGCAACCCCTGCCTTTTTTTCTTTTCATTTGCTTGGTAGATCTTCCTCCATCCCTTTATTTTGAGCCTATGTGTGTCTCTGCACATGAGATGGGTTTCCTGAATACAGCACACTGATGGATCTTGACTCTTTATCCAGTTTGCCAGTCTGTGTCTTTTAATTGGAGCATTTAGCCCATTTACATTTAAGGTTAATATTGTTATGTGTGAATTTGATCCTGTCATTGTGATGTTAGCGGGTTATTTTGCTTGTTAGTTGATGCAGTTTCTTCCTAGCCTCAATGGTCTTTACAATTTGGCATGTTTTTGCAGTGGCTGGTACCGGTTGTTCCTTTCCATGTTTAGTGCTTCCTTCAGGAGCTCTTTTAGGGCAGGCCTGGTGGTGACAAAATCTCTCAGCATTTGCTTGTGTGTAAAGTATTTTATTTCTCCTTCACTTATGAAGCTTAGTTTGGCTGGATATGAAATTCTGGGTTGAAAATTCTTTTCTTTAAGAATGTTGAATATTGGCCCCCACTCTCTTCTGGCTTGTAGAGTTTCTGCCGAGAGATCAGCTGTTAGTCTGATGGGATTCCCTTTATGTGTTACCCGACCTTTCTCTCTGGCTGCCCTTAACATTTTTTCCTTCATTTCAACTTTGGTGAATCTGACAATTATGTGTCTTGGAGTTGCTCTTCTCGAGGAGTATCTTTGTGGTATTCTATGTATTTCCTGAATCCGAATGTTGGCCTGCCTTGCTAGATTGGGGAAGTTTTCCTGGATAATATCCTACAGAGTGTTTTCCAACTTGGTTCCATTCTCCCCGTCACTTTCAGGTACACCAATCAGACATAGATTTGGTCTTTTCCATAGTCCCATATTTCTTGGAGGCTTTGTTCGTTTCTTTTTATTCTTTTTTCTCTAAACTTCTCTTCTCTCTTCATTTCATTCATTTGATCTTCCATCGCTGATACCCTTTCTTCCAGTTGATTGCATCAGCTACTGAGGCTTGTGCATTCGACACGTAGTTCTCGTGCCATGGTTTTCAGCTCCATCAGGTCCTTTAAGGACTTCTCTGTCTCTGTTATTCTAGTTAGCCATTCGTCTTAATTTTTTTTGAAGGTTTTTAACTCTCTGCCATTGGTTAGAACTTCCTTCTTTAGCTCTGAGTAGTTTGATTGTCTGAAGTCTTCTTCTCTCAACTTGTCAAAGTCATTCTCCGCCCAGCTTTGTTCCATTGCTGGTGAGGAGCTGCATTCCTTTGGAGGAGGAGAAGCACTCTGATTTTTAGAGTTTCCAGTTTTTCTGCTCTGTTTTTTCCCCATCTTTGCGGTTTTATCTACCTTTGATCTTTGATGATGGTGACGTACAGATGGGGTTTTGGTGTGGATGTCCTTTCTGTTTGTTAGTTTTCTTTCTGACAGCCGGGACCCTCAGCTGCAGGTCTGTTGGAGTTTGCTGGAGGTCCACTCCAGACGCTGTTTGCCTGGGTATCAGCAGCAGAGGCTGCAGAAGAGCAGATATTGGTGAACAGCAGATGTTGCTGCCTGATCATTCCTCTGGAAGTTTTGTTTCAGAGGAGTACCTGGCCGTGTGAGGTGTCAGTCTGCCCCTACTAGGGGGTGTCTCCCAGTAGGCTACTCAGGAGTCAGGGACCCACTTGAGGCAGCAGTCTGTCCGTTCTCAGATCTCCAGCTGCATGCTGGGAGAACCACTACTCTCTTCAAAGCTGTCAGACAGGGACATTTAAGTCTGCAGAGGATTCTGCTGCCTTTTGTTTGGCTATGCCCTGCCCCCAGAGGTGGAGTCTACAGAGGCAGGCCTCCTTGAGCTGTGGTGGGCTCCACGCAGTTCGAGCCTCCCAGCCACTTTGTTTACCTACTCAAGCCTCAGCAATTGTGGGCGCCTCTCCCCCAGCCTGGCTGCCGCCTTACAGTTTGATCTCAGACTGCTGTGCTAGCAATGAGTGAGGCTCCGTGGGAATAGGACCCTCCAAGCCAGGCACAGGATATAATCTTCTGGTGTGCCGTTTTCTAAGACCGTTGGAAAAGCGCAGTATTAGGGTGGGAGTGACCCGATTTTCCAGGTGCTGTATGTCACCCCTTTCTTTGACTAGGAAAGGGAATTCCCTGACCCCTTGCGCTTCCTGGGTGAGGCGATGCCTCACCCTGCTTCGACTCATGTTCAGTGCACTGCACCCACTGTCCTGCACCCACTTTTTGACACTCCCCAGTGAGATGAACCTGGTACCTCAGTTGGAAATGCAGAAATCACTTGTCTTCTGCATCACTCATGCTGGGAGCTGTAGATTGGAGCTGTTCCTGTTCGGCCATCTTGGCTCCACCCCACAATTTCAAAATAAAGATATACATAGGTTGAAATTTTAAAAGGAAAAAAACTATTTGCCCTCCCATGACTATGCATAATAAAGCTAATGTGGCCATATAAATAAGAAGTAAGGATCCAGGTGGGTATTTAAAGTAAATATTATCAGAGACAGAAAGACCTAACAAAAGGGCGAATTAATCAAAGTAATGCAAAAATACTAAATGTGCTTGTATTTAATATTAAAGCTCCCAAAAATATAAGGCAAAAAAATGGTAAAACTAAAGGAAACCATAGACAAGTTCTCGTTCATAGTTGGAAAATTTAATGTCTCTCTCCTATTAATAGAAAGAACCAGTGAACCAAAAAGAAATCAGTAAAGATACAGAATATCAGAACAATATTACCAATTAAATTGCCCTAACTTTTATGGAACACTGCATCCAAGAAGAACAGAATGCACATGAAACAGTCACCAAAATAGACCGTGTAATGGGCCACATAACAGGCCTCAGTAAATTTAAAAGGTTTGAAATTATACAGAATATGTCCTCTGATTACAATGGTATTAAATTAGAAATCAATAAGAAACCTAGAAAATCTCCCAAATGTTTGAAACTTAAAATACACTAATAAATAACACATGGCTCAAAAATAAAGCACAAAAGAAATTAGAAAATATTTTGAACTCACTGAAAACAGAACATGTTAAAATTTTTATGATACAGCAAAACTACTTCTTGGAGGGAAATTTATAGCTTTAAATGTCTATGCTTTTTAAAAGAGTAAAGATATAGGCCGGACGCGCTGGCTCACATCTATAATCCCAGCACTTTGGGAGGCCGAGGCAGGTGGATCACGAGGTCAGGAATTCAAGACCAGCCTGGCCAAGATGGTGAAACCCCATCTCTACTAAAAATACAAAAAATTAGCTGGGTGTGGTGGTGGGTGCCTGTAATCCCAGCTACTTGGGAGGCTGAGGCAGGAGAATCGCTTGAACCTGGGAGGCAGAAGTGGCAGTGAGCGGAGATTGTGCCACTGCACTCCAGCCTGGGTGACAGAGTGAGACTCTGTCTCAAAAAAAAAAAATGAAGATATAAAATCAGTTTCTTCTGATTCTAATTTAAGTAAGAAGGTTTGGTGTTTGGTGAGGGCCTGTTATCTGCTTCCAATATGGCAACTGGTTGCTGCATCCTGTGGAGGGGGCATACTTTGTCTACTCACATAGCAAAAGGGACAGAAGGGCCAAAAAAAAGGGCATAGGTAGTTCTCTCAAGCCCTTTAATAAGGGTAATAATCCATTCATGAGAGCTCATGACTTAATCACTTCCCCCAAAGACTCCACCTCTTAATACTATTGCATTAGGGATTGAGTTTCAACATAAATTTTGAAGAGACACAAAACATTCAAACCATTGCGGCATCTAAGTAAAGCCTATAGATAATATTATACGTAACACTAAAGTAATAATTTTTTTCCTTAGATCAAAACAAGGCAAGGATCTCTGCTCTCGACCCATCTATTCAATATTGAACTAGAGGTCCCAGATGGTGCAATAAGGTAAGGAAAAAAAAAAAACAGGCAGAAAGATTCAAAAGATAGATATAAACTGTCTTTATTCTCAGATGACATGGTTGTGTTTGACAAAAATTATAAATAATTTACAAGAATACAGCTAAAAGTAATAAACAAATTTAGTAATGTGGCACAACATAAAGTCACTATCCAAAAATAACTACATTTATTTACCTATATACTAGTAATTAACCATTTGAAAATGAAATGAAATTTTAAGCTGGGCACCAGTAGCTCATGCCTGTAATCCCAGCACTTTGGGAGGCCGAAGTGAGTGGGTCACTTGAGGTCAGGAGTTTGAGACCAGCCTGGCCAACATAATGAAACCCCATCTCTACTAAAAATAAAAAAATTAGCCAGGTATGATGGTGCATGCCTGTACTCCCAGCTACTAGGGAGGCTGAGGCAGGAGAAACCTTTAACCCAGGAGGCAGAGGTTACAGTGAGCCAAGATCAAACCACTGTACTCCAACCTGGATGCAGTGAGATTCCCTCTCAAAATAAATAAATTAAATTTTAAACTTTACAAAAGCATCAACTATTTAGAAATATACTTAGCTATAAAACGTTACTGACAGAAACTAGAGAAAACCTAAATAAATGAATAAATACTATGTTCATGAAGCAGAAGACTCAATATTAATGTCAGTTCTCCCCAAACTTATCTTCAGATTCAATGAAATAACAATTAAAATCTATAGAAGTTTTTTTAATTGGTGAGATAATTTTAAAATTTATCTGAAGAGACAAAGGATGAAAATAGCTAAAATTCCCTTTAGTGGGAAAAAAAGAAGAAAAATGGAGAACTTATGCTACCTGACTTTAAGACTTCTTATAAAGCAACTGTAATCAAGAGGAAAATAGCACTGGAAAAAGGAGATAAATGGAACTGAATAGATAGTACAGAAATAGAGCCTTGGTTTTAGTAAGAGCAGTATAGCTAATAATAAAGAGGGGTAAAGGAACCCCTCTTTAATAAATGGTACGGAACAACTGAATTTCCCTTTGGAATAAAATAATTTTGATACCTACTTCACACCATACTCCAAATCAAAGATTGATAATGGACTCATATACAAACACTACAACAATAAAGCTATTAGAAGAAAATATAGGAGAAAAACTTTAAAAGCTTGGGTTAGGCGCAGGTTTCTTGGCAAGTGCACAGAAATTACAAATCATAATAGAAAAAGAATTTATTTTTATAATTTATCTAAATTATATCTAAAACCTAAGAAGTTTTGCTCTTCACAAAACTTCGTCAAGAAATAAATATAAAGCCATGTCTGTGCGATACAATATTCATAATACATAAAACTGACAAAGTATTTATAGCAGAATATACAAAGAACATCTGTATCACCTAACAAAAAGACAAACAACCCAATTTAAAAATTAAAACACTTAAACACATCACAAAAAAAGATATGTAAATGTTGTGTGGCCAATAATTTGTAGAAAAAGTGTTCAATATCATTTGTCATCAGAGAAATTCAAGTTAAAACCATAATGAGATATCACTTCATGCTCATCAGATTGGCTAAAATGAAAAAAAAAGTGCCAAATGTTGAAAAGGACATGGAGCAACTGGAACTCTCATTCATTGCTAGTGAAGTATAAAATGCTACAACAACTTTAAAAAATCACTTGCCGTTTTCTTAAAATGTTAAACATAAATTTACCCGATGATCCAGGACTCATATTTTCCTTCTAACTGTTCCACTCCTATTTACCCAAGAGAAATGAAAGCATATATGCACAAAATCACTTGTACATGAATGTTCACAGCAGCTTTATTAATAATAGCCAAAAACTGGAAACAACCCAGATGATCGTCACCAAGTAAATGTACAAGGCAAGGATCCCTGCTCTCGACCCGTCTATTCAATATTGAACTAGAGGTCCCAGATAGTGCAATAAGGTAAGAAAAAAAAACAGGCAGAAAGATTCAAAAGATAGATATAAACTGTCTTTATTTTCAGATGACATGGTTGTGTTTGACAAAAATTCTAAAGAATTTACAAGAATACTACTAAAAGTAATAAACAAATTTAGTAATGTGGCAGAACATACAACAACTATGGTACACTCATATAATGGGATACTTCTTAGCAATGAAATGGCATGAATTACTGACATGCATTAAAACATGGATAAGCCAGGTGCAGTTGTTCATACCTGTAATCCCAGCATTTTGGGAGGCTGAGGCAGGTGGATTACTTGAGGCCAGGAATTCGAGACCAGCCTGGCCAACATGGTGAAACCCTGTCTTTCCTAAAAATACAAACATTACCCAGATGTGGTGGCACATGCCTGTAATCTCAGCTACTTGGGAGGCTGAAGCACGAGAATCACTTGAACCCAGGAGGTAGGTGGAGGTTGCAGTGAGCTGAGATCATGCCACTGCACTCAAGGCTGGGTAACAGAGCAAGAATTTATCTCAAAAAATAAAAAAGGAAACATTATGAAATTATTATGCTTAATGAAATAAGCAAACACACAAAAAAAGTATATCTGTATGATTCCAGCTAGAGTATATGAATTCTAGAATAAGCAAAACTAATCTTCGGGGATATAAATCAGTTTTTGCTCCTGGGGAGGTTGACTGGGAAAGGTAAAAGGAATTTTCCAAGATGGAAATGTTCTGTTTATTGATATGCATTCATCAAAGAGGATTAAATGGTACATGTAACATCTGAGCATTTCATTTTATATTATCTTTATCTCAGTTGAAAATGGGGAAAAAAACTATTTTCAGGAATAAATTAACCATGAACTCCAAGCCTTTTTCTGCTACCATTCTGATTTTTTTATATGCAGCACTATATTTTAGCCCATATTACCTGAGAAGAAAAAAAGACTATTTCCTTATGAATATTGTATAATGCAGCTAATATTCAGATGTGTTTTCATACACATCTAAATGCAACTATAACACTAAGACTATTTTGCAGTAAACAGTTCCAAAAACTGAAGGTTTCAATTGAAAAATTTGTAGGTTTCAATTCAAATTTTCAATTGAAAAATTGAAAGCTATGCCTTTCTTAACTGACATGACTCTTTCCTGCAATCACAAAAAAGAAGGCTAATATAATGTGATAAATTGAAAACATTATACAACAAACTATACATAATAAAAAGGTATTTTAGTAATAATATTTTAAATCTCCTAATGTATACAATTCAATTCAATGCAATAATTCTTTGATTTCAAATAGGTTCATAGCCACATCCAGGCAAATTAATCAGGTGACATTTTATTGGCCTGATATCTTAATGGCTCTGGTTTAGTACAACAGCAACAAACACTGCTGGAACGGTTCTTCAGGATCTATTAAAATCAGGAAAGACAAATTCAGTTAATTGGCATGCCAGCATTAATTTGCCCAAAAGGCCTATTACTTCCTCAATTTTTGTCTTAGTCTTGGCCTCATGTCTTTCTGTCCCAAGATATTTTCAGAGCAAAGCTCCTACAGAATTAAAGAGCTAGAATTCTTTTGTTCTACATCAGGCATACTCAGGAATGCCATCAACTGGTTAGATGGCTAATGATCAGGTTGCACCCTTATCATAGCTTGGTCTATGATCAAGCAATCAACAGAACCATGACCTGTATAGAATGCAATCCCATGTTTTGAGAAAAGTGGTAAGAAATGATCTTAAAGGCAAATTAAGTATCACCCTTTTATTCATCTTGCTCATATCAGTTTCAAAAGGATACCAAGCCCCCAAAAGACAATTATTCTTACATTGTAACATCAATGTCTCAATGTATTTTAGTATAATAAGCATGTGTTAACTAAGATTCACTAAAAGTAAGAGATGATTTTTATAAGAGATGTTGATAAGGTGCTATTCTCTGAATCCTATGTTCCAAGGGCCATTTACTATAGAACATAAAAGATTCAAGAAATGAATTGTTATGCCCTGAATATTTTGTCTCTCTCCAAAATTTGTGTGTTGAAACCTAATGATCAACGTGATGGTCTTAAAAGGTGGGGCCTTTGGGAGGTGATTAGGTCATGAAGACTGAGTCTTCTTGAATGGGATTAGTGCCCTTACCTGAGAGGACTCAGGCTATTATCAAAAAGACCAAATATAACAAATGTTAGGAAGTTTGTGGAAAAAGAAAACCCTTGTATACTGTTGGTGGAAATGTAAATTAGTACAGCCATTATGGAAAACATTAAGAAAGTTCCCCAAAAAAATTAAAAATAGAACTCCTATATTATCCAGCAATTCCACTTCTGGCTATGCATCCAAAGGAAATTAAACCAGGATATCAAAGAGATATCTGCACTCTCACATTCACTGCAGCATTATTCAAAATTGCCAAGATTTGGACTCAACCTAAATGTTCATGAATGGATAAATGGATAAAGAAAATGTGATAGATATATATACAAAGGAATACTATTCAGCCTTTAAAAAGAAGGGAAACCTGTAATTTGTTATAATATAGATAGACCTGAAACAGTTATGCTAAGTGAAATAAGCCAGGCACAGAAAGACAAACACTGCGTGATCTCACTTTTGTGTGGAATCTAAAAAAGTCAAACTCATGAAAGCAGAGAGTAAAACAGTGGTTGCCAGGAGCTGGAGAAGGGGGTGTGGAATGGGGAAATGTTGATTGAAGGGCACAAAGTTTCAGTTAGGAGGAATTAAGTTCTGGAGATCTATTATACAGCACAGTGACTGTAGTTAATAATAATGTACACTTGAAAATTGCTAAGTGTAGATTTTAAATGTTCTCACAACAAAAAAATGATAAGCATGTGAGGTGATTCATATGTTAATAGCTTGGTTTAACCATTCCACAATGTATACATATATGAAAACACCACATTGTATACCATAAATACATATGGTAAATCATGAGCTCAGGAGATTGAGACTATCCTGGCTAAGACGGTGAAACCCTGTCTCTACTAAAAAATACAAAAAATTAGCCAGGTGTGGTGGTGGATGCCTGTAGTCCCAGCTACTTGGGAGGCTGAGGCAGGAGAATGGCGTGAACAGGAGGCAGAGCTTGCAGTGAGCTCAGATTGCGCCACTGCACTCCAGCCTGGGTGACAGAGTGAGACTCTGTCTCAAAAAAAAAAAAGAGGCCTCAGAGAGCTGCCTTGCCCTTTCTACCATGTGAGGACACAGCAAAAAGTCATCAGTCTGCAACCCAGAAGAGGGCCTTCACCAGAACCCAGTCATGACGGCACCTTGATCTTGAACTTCCCAACCTCTAAGACTAGGAGAAATAATTTTTTGTTGTTTATAAGCCACCCAGACTATGGTATTTTGTAATAGCAGCCCAAATGGACTAAGACAAAATGTAATGTACTAGGCCCACTTTCCTTATTTATTACCAGTGGAGGTTTTGTTCATTGAAAGAGTCATGCTTAAGAATATGCACAGAAAATAACTGTTTGATCCTTCTAATTAACATAATCTCAGTCACTGTTATCCCAACTGCACCAGTGTCACTAGTTTGTCTCTAAACTGGCTATGAGACCTCACATAGACCATACACCTGCTTTAAGCATCTTGCTCCTAGGTTGTCCTAAATTGCACCATTTCTAGATATTGAACATCAAGCAAGTATTTAATTTGCATTAACTACCAAGCAGCTCATTTTATAAAAGGGCAAAAATTTTAAGTGCCCAGAATGAAGTTTTCAGAAAATAAAGTTTTCATTCTGCATAATAGTTGGGCAATTTACTTATTTATGATAATCCAGATTGCCTTAGAAATATTTTTTCTTCCCCAAGTACACACAAACCTTAGACAGTGCACAGTGACCTAGACAGGCACAATCAAGGTCATGATGTTGCAACAAGTAGAAACCTAGGATGCCAAGGCATTCACCTCACACACTCTCATTGATTCATTTATTCACCCAGCTGTCATTTATTGAACATTTGCAATGAGCTCGGAGTTTTTTGCTTTTTGTCCATGTGCCTCATGTTCAATTGCACATCCACAAAGGGAATTGCCTGCATGATTCACAGTAGCCTCTTTTCCTTCCTATATTTGCTTAAGAGTTTTAATTCCTGTAAGTGAAAAACTACCACCAGTTCCAAAGTCTTCTCTGTTTCAACTATGAAGTCCAGTGAAATGCAAGACAAATAGGAGGCTCATACTTTAGTTAAACATCTGAACATTCTGCAGATGAGCATGCACATGAAGCAATACTCTCCCCTCTGCTATCCCATTGTAAACTCCTAAGTGTAACATGAAGCTACACACAGAGGTGTCATTGCTGTTCTGTTTTATCACAGTACATTTTGGAATGTTTATTGACTAACAAATTGTTATATCGAACAATAAAATAATTTTGCTAAAAACTATTTGCAAGAAAGTGGGAAGTCAATCCACAGGATGGCAGAAAATATTTCTAAATCATAGAGCTGATAAGAGACTTGTATTAAGAATATATAAAAAATATTTACAACTCAATAATAAAAAAAACCTAAAAAAAACCTAATGTTAAAATGATCAAATGATTTGAATAGACAGTTTTCCAAAAAAGATACATAAATAGCCAATAAGCACATGAAAAGATACTCAACATCATTTGCCATTAAGAAATGCAAATCAAAACCATGAGACACTACTCCACACCCACAAGGATGGCAATAATGTTTTTAAACTGGCAAATAACAAATGTTAGCAAGGATGTGGAGAACTTGGAACACTCATATGTTGCTGGTAGGAATGTGAAATGATGCAGCTACCGGAAAACAGTCTGGCTACTCCTCAGAAAGTTAAACATAGAGTTGCCATATGATCCAGCAACTTCACGTCTAGATGGATCCCAAAGAGAAATGAAAACATATGTCTTTATGAAAACTTGTACATGAGTATTCGTAGCAGCATTATTCATAATAGCCAAAAGAAGAAAAAATCCAAATTAGAACTCAGGATTAAGAAACTCACTCAAAATCACACAACTACATGGAAATTAACCAAGTGAATGACTCCTGGGTAAATAATGAAATGAAGGCAGAAGTCAAAAAGTTCTTTGAAACCAATGAGAACAAAGAGACAACGTACCAGAATTCCTAGGATGCAGCTAAAGCAATGTTAAGAGGGAAATTTACAGCACTAAATGCCCACATCAGAAAGCTAGAAAGATCTCAAATAGACACCCTAACATCACTACTAAAAGAACTAGAGAAGCAAGAGCAAATAAATCCAAAAGCTAGCAGAAGACAAGAAATAACTAAGACCAGAGCAGAATTGAAAGAGAGAAAGACACAAACAAAAAACCTTCAAAAAAATCAATGAATACAGGAGCTGGTTTTTTTGAAAAAAAAAATAATAAAATAGACCACAAGCTAGACTAATAAAGTAGAAGAGAAGAATCAAATAGACACAATAAAAAATGATAAAGGGGATATCACCACTGACACCACAGAAATACCAACTACCATCAGAGAATACTATAAACACCTCTGTGCAAATAACTAGAAAATCTAGAAGAAATGGATAAATTCCTGGACACATACACCCTCCCAAAACTAAACCAGGAAGAAGCTGAATCCTTGAATAGACCAATAATGATTTCTGAAATTGAGGCATTAATCAATAGCCTACCAACCAAAAAAAGCCCAGGACCAAATGGATACATAGCCAAATTTACCAGAGGCACAAAGAGGAGCTGGTACCCTTCTGAAACTATTCTGAACACGTGAAAATGAGGGACTCCTTCCTAACTCATTTTATGAGGCCAACATCATCCTGATACCAAAACTTGCAGAAAAAAAAAAGAAGAAGAAGAAAACTTCAGGCCAATATTCCTGATGAACATTGATGCAAAAATCCTCAAAAAAATACTGGCAAACTGAATCCAGCAGCACATCAAAAAGCTTATCCACCACAATCAAGTCGGCTTCATCCCTGGGATGCAAGGCTGCTTTAACATAGGCAAATCAGTAAACATAATCCATCACATAAACAGGACCAATGACAAAAACCACACATGATTATCTCAGATGCAGAAAAGGGCCTTCAATAAAATTCAACATCCCTTCCTGTTAATTCTCGATGAACTAGGTATTGATGGAACATATCTCAAAATAATAAGAACTATGACACCCACAGCCAATATCATAACTGAATGGGCAAAAGCTGGAAGCATTCCCTTTGCAAATGGGCACAAGACAAGGATGCCCTCTCTCACCACTCCTATTCAACAAGTATTGGAAGTTCTAGCCAGGGCAATCAGGCAAGAGAAAGAAATAAATGGTATTCAAATAGGAAGAGAGGAAATCAAATTGTCTCTGTTTGCAGGCGACATGATCCTATATTTAGAAAACCCCATCATCTCAGCCCAAAAGCTCCTTAAGCTGATCAGCAACTTCAGCAAAATCTCAGGATATAAAATCAATGTACAAAAAGCAAGCATTCCTATATACCCACAATAGACAAGCATACAGCCAAATAATGAATGAACTCACATTCACAATTGCTACAAAGAGAATAAACCTAGCAATACAGCTAACAAGGGACATGAAGGACCTCTTCAAGGAGAATTACAAACCACTGCTCAAGGAAATAAGACACAAACAAATTAAGGAGCATTCCATCCTCATGGATAGGGAGAATCAATATCATGAAAATGGCCCTACTGCCTGAATTAGTCCATTTTCATGCTGCTGATAAAGACATACCCGAGACTGGGAAGAAAAAGAAGTTTAATTGAGCTTACATTTCCACATGGCTGGGGAGGCCTCCGAATCATACAGTACAATACATGAGGCCTTGAATCAAACAATTCAAGTTGAGATTTGGGTGGTGGCACAGACAAACCATATCATTCCACCCCTGGCCCCTCCAAATCTTATGTCTTCACATTTCAAAACCAATCATCCCTTCCCAACAGTCCCATTTCAGCATTAACCCAAGAGTCCACAGTCCAAAGTCTCATCTGAGACAAGGCAAGCTGCTTCTGCCTATGAGCCTGTAAAATCAAAAGCAAGCTAGTTACTTCCTAGATACAATGGGGGTACAGGTATTGGGAAAATACAGCCATTCCAAATGGGAGAAATTGGCCAAAGCAAAGAGGCTACAGGGCCCAAGCAAGTCCAAAATCCAGCGGGGCCATCAAATTTTTAAGCTTCAAAGCAATCTCCTTTGACTTCAGGTCTCACATCCAAGTCACACTGATGCAAAAGGTGGGTTCCCATGGTCTTGGGCAGCTCCACTCCTGTGGCTTTGCAGGGTATAGTCTCCCTCCTGGCTGATTTCCCTGGCTGGCATTGAGTGTCTGTGACTTTTCCAGGTGCACAATGCAAGCTGTCAGTGGATCTACAATTCTGGGGTCTGGAGAAAGGTGGCCCTCTACTCACAGCTCCACTAGGCAAAGTCCCAGTAGAGACTCTGTGTGGGGGTTCTGATCCCACATTTTCCTCCTCCATTTCCCTAACAGAGGTTCTCCATGATGACCCTGCCCCTGCAGCAAAATTTTGCCTGGGAATCCAGGCGTTTCCATACATCTTCTGAAATCTAGGCAGAGGTTCCCAAACCTCAGTTCTTGACTTCTGTGCACCTGCAGGCTCAACACCACATAGAAGCTGCCAAGGCTTGGGTCTTGCACCCTCTGAAGCCACAGCCTGAGCTGTAGATTGTCGCCTTTCAACCACAGCTGGAGCAGCTGGGACACAAGGCACCAAGACCCTAGGCTGCACACAGCAGAGGGACCCTGGGCCCAGCCCACTAAACTGCTTTTTCCTCCTAGACCTCCAGGCCTGTGATGGGAGGGGCTGCTGTGAAGGTCTTTGACATGGCCTGGAGATGATTTCCCATGGTCTTGGGGATTAACATTAGGCTCCTCGTCACTTATGCAAATTTCTGCAGCTGGCTTGAATTTCTCCCCAGAAAATGGGTTTTTCTTTTCTATCACATTGTCAGGCTGCAAATTTTCCAAACTCTTATTCTCTGTTTCCCTTTTAAAACTAAATGCTTTTAACAGCACCCAAGTCACTTCTTGAGTGCTTTGCTGCTTAGGATTTTTTTCCATCGGATACCCTAAATCATCTCTCTCAAGTTTAAAATTCCACAAATCTCTAGGGCAGGAGCAAAATGCCACCAGTCTCTTTGCTAAAATATAACAAGAGTCACTTTTGCTCCAGTTCACAAAAAGTTCCTCATGTCCATCTGAGACCACCTCAGCCCGGACTTTATTGTCCATATTACTATCAGCATTTTGGGCAAAGCCATTCAACAAGTCTCTAGGAAGTTCCAAACTTTCCCACATTTTCCTGTCTTCTTCTGATCCCTCCAAACTGTTCCAACCTCTGCCTATTACCCAGTTCCAAAGTCGCTTCCACATTTTCAGGTAGCTTTTCAGCAGTGCCCTACTCTACTGGTAACAATTTACTGTATTAGTCTGTTTTCACACTGCTGATAAAGGCATTCCCAAGACTGGGAAGAAAAAGAAGTTTAATTGGACTTACACCTCCACATGGCTGGGGAGGCCTCAGAATCATGGGGGGAGGCAAAAGACACTTCTGACATGGTGGTGGCAAGAGAAAAAGGGGGAAGAAGCAAAAGTGGAAACCCCTGATAAACCCATTAGCTCTCATGAGACTTATTTACTATCACAAGAATAGCATGGGAAAGACTGGCCCCCATGATTCAATTACCTCCCCCCCCCGGTCCCTCCTACAACACTTGGGAATTCTGGGAGATACAATTCAAGTTGAGATTTGAGTCAAGGCACAGCCAAACCATATCACTGCCCAAAGTAATGTATAGATTCAGTGCTATTCCCATCAAACTACCACTGAGATTCTTCACAGAATTAGAAAAAAATACTTTAAAATGTATATGGAACCAAAAAAGAGCCCATAGAGCCAAGTCAATCCTAAGCAAAAATAACAAAGCTGGAGGCATCATGCTACCTGACTTCAAACTACACTATGAGGCTACAGTAAACAAAACAGCGTGGTACTGGTACCAAAACAGACATATAGACCAACAGAACAGAATAGAGACCTCAGAAATAACAACACACATCTGCAACCATCTGATCTTTGACATACCTGACAGAAACATGCAATGGGGAAAGGATTTCCTATTTAATAAATGATGGTGGGAAAACTGGCTAACCATATACAGAAAATTGAAACTGGACCCCTTCCTTACACCTTATACAAAAATTAACTCAAGATGGATTAAAGACTTAAATGTAAAACCCAAAACCGTAAAAACCCTAGAAGAAAATCTAGGCAATACAATTCAGGACATAGACATGGGCAAAGATTTTGTGATGAAAACACCAAAAGCAATTGCAACAAAAGCAAAAATTGACAAATGAGATCTAATTAAACTAAAGAGCTTCTGCACAGCAAAAGAAACTATCATCAGAGTGAACAGGCAAACTACAAAATGGGAGAAAATTATTGCAATTGATCCATCTAAATTTATAAGGAACTTAAACACATTTACAAGAATTAAACAACCCCATCAAAAGGTGGGTGAAGGATACCAACAGACACTTCTCAAAAGAAGACATTTATATGGCCAAGAAACATATGAAAAAAGGTCAACATCGCTGATCATTAGAGAAATGCAAATCAAAACAACAATGAGGTACCATCTTACGCCAGTCAGAATGGTGATTATTACAAAGTCAAGAAGCAACAGATGCTGGCGAGGCTGTGGAGAAATAGGAATGCTTTTACACTTTTGGAGGGAATGTAAATTAGTTCAACCATTGTAGAAGACAGTGTGGTGATTCCTCAAGGATCTAGAACCAGAAATACCATTTGACCCAGCAATCCCATTACTGGGTATATACCCAAAGGAATAGAAATCATTCTACTATAAAGATACATGCAAGGGCCAGGCATGGTGGCCCACGCCTGTAATCCCAACACTTTGGGAGGCTGAGGATGGCAGATCACCTGAGGTCAGGAGTTCAAGACCAGCCTGGCCAACATGATGAAACCCCCATCTCTACTAAAAGTACAGAGTTACCAGGGCGAGGTGGCATGCAACTGTAGTCCCAGCTTCTCAGGAGGCTGAGGCAGGAAAATTGATTGAACTTGGGAGGTGGAGGTTGCAGTGAGCCAAGATTGTGCCACTGCACTCCAGCCTGGGTGACAGAGATAGACTGCATCTCCAAAAATAAAATAAAGATACCTATACACATATGTTTATTGCAGCACTATTTACAATAGCAAAGACATGGAATCAACCCAAATGCCCATCAATGATAAACTGGATAAAGAAATTGTGGTGCATATACATCATGGAATACTATACAGCCATAAAAAGGAATGAGATCATGGCCTTTGCAGGTACATGGATGAAGCTGGAAGCCATCATCCTCAGCAAACTAACACAGGAACCAAAAACCAAATACTGTATGTTCTCACTCTTAAATGATAGTTGAAAAATGAGAACACATAAACACAGGAAGGGAAACCACACACATTGGGGTGTGTCGGGGGTGGAGAGGCAAGGACAAATAGCTAATGCATGCAGGGCTTAATAACTAGGTGGCAGGTTGATAGGTGCAGCAAACCACCATTGCACACGTTTACCTATGTAACAAACCTGCATGTTCTGAACATGTGTCCCAGAACTTAAAGTAAAATAAAATTTAAATTTTAAAAATGTTAACCCTCTTTACTGATGACCTAAACATTAAAGATGACATAAACAGAATAAGTGTTCTTGATATACTTATGTATTTAATAATTTTCTCAGCTGACATTTGTTTCTAATGTCATGTGCACTGGCTGAATTATGTTTTCCAAAAATTCATATCTACCCAGATGCTCTAAATGTGTGAAGTTATTTGGAAATAGGGTCTTCCTAGATGTAATCCAGTTAATGTGAGGTCATGCTGGATCAAAGCCCTCAATTCAATATGACTAACGTTACATTGTTATCTTACACAAAGAGGGCAATCTGGACATAGAGACATAGATGTGCAGGGGATATGGCCATTTGGAGATGGAGACAGAGATTGGAGTGTTGCACCTACTAGCTATGGAAACCCAAAGACTACAGGCAACCACTATAAGCTAGAAGATACCATCAGGATTCTTCTCCAGAGACTTCAGAGGAAACATGGCCCTGCCAATACTTTAATCTTAGACTTCTAGCCTCCAGATCTATGAAAGAATACATTTCTAGGTTTTTTCAAAGCCACCCACTTTGTAGTAATTTGCTACAGGAGCCCTTGAAAATTAATATACTGTGTAACCTAAGAAATGTATCTTTTTCAAGTAGGTTATACTACTGTCAACACTTTCATTAAAAATTACCTGCAATTATAGGCCAATAACAGGCTCTGAAATTGAGGCAATAATTAATAGCCTACCAACCAAAAAAAGGCCAGGACCAGAGGGATTCACAGCCAAATTCTACCAGAGGTACAAGGAGGAGCTGGTACCATTCCTTCTGAAACTATTCCAATCGATAGAAAAAGAGGGAATCCTCCCTAGCTCATTTTATGAGGCCAGCATCATCCTGATACCAAAGCCTGGCAGAGAGACAACAAAAAAAGAGAATTGTAGACCAATATCCCTGATGAACATCGATGCAAAAATCCTCAGTAAAATACTGGCAAACCAAATCCAGCAGCACATCAAAAAGCTTATGCACCATGATCAAGTGGGCTTCATTGCTGGGATGCAAGCCTGGTTCAACATATATAAATCAATAAACATTATCCATCATATAAACAGAACCAAAGACAAAAACCACATGATTATCTCAATAGATGCAGAAAAGGCCTTCAACAAAATTCCACAGCCCTTCATGCTAAAAACTCTCAATAAATTAGGTATTGATGGGACATATCTCAAAATAATAAGAGCTATTTATGACAAACCCACAGCCAATATCATACTGAATGGGCAAAAACTGGAAGCATTCCCTTTGAAAACAGGCACAAGACAAGGATGCCCTCTCTCACTACTCCTATTCAACATAGTGTTGGAAGTTCTGGTCAGGGCAATCAGGCAGGAGAAAGAAATAAAGGGTATTCAATTAGGAAATGAGGAACTCAAATTGTCCCTGTTTGCAGATGACATGATTGTATATTTAGAAAACCCCATCATCTCAGCCCCAAATCTCCTTAAGCTGATAAGCAACTTCAGCAAAGTCTCAGGATACAAAATCAATGTGCAAAAATCACAAGCATTTCTATACACCAATAACAGACAAACAGAGAGCCAAATCATGAGTGAACTCCCATTCACAATTGCTTCAAAGAGAATAAAATACCTAGGAATCCCACTTACAAGGAAGGCGAAGGACCTCTTCAAGGACCAAGAGTTCTCCTCTTCAAGGAGAACTACAAATCACTGCTAAACGAAACAAAAGAGGACACAAACAAATGGAAGAACATTCCATGCTCATGGATAGAAGAATCAATATCCTGAAAATGGCCATACTGCCCAAGGTAATTTATAGATGCAATGCCATCCCCATCAAGCTACCAATGACTTTCTTCACAGAATTGGAAAAAACTACTTTAAAGTTCATATGGAATCAAAAAAGAGCCCACATTGCCAAGATAATCCTAAGCAAAAAGAACAAGCTGGAGACATCACACTACCTGACTTCAAACTATGCTACAAGGCTATAGTAACCAAAACAGCATGGTACTGGTACCAAAACAGAGATAGAGACCAATGGAACAGAACAGAGCCCTCAGAAATAATACCACACTTATAAAACCATCTGATCTTTGACAAACCTGACAAAAACAAGAAATGGGGAAAGGATTCCCTATTTAATAAATGGTGCTGGGAAAACAGGTTAGCCATATGTAGAAAGCTGAAACTGGATCCCTTCCTTACACTTTATACGAAAATTAATTCAAGATAGATTAAAGACTTACATGTTAGACCTAAAGCCACAAAAACCCTAGAAGAACACCTAGGCAATACCATTCAGGACATGGGCATGGGCAAGGACTTCATGTCTAAAACACCAAAAGCAATGGCAACAAAAGCCAAAATTGACAAATGGGATCTAATTAAACTAAAGAGCTTCTGCACGGCAAAAGAAACCGCCATCAGAGTAAACAGGCAACCTACAGAATGGGAGAAAATTTTTGCAATCTACTCATCTGACAAAGGGCTAATATCCAGAATCTGCAAAGAACTTAAACAAATTTAAAAGAAAAAATCAAACAACCCCATCAAAAAGTGGGCGAAGGATATGAACAGACACTTCTCAAAAGAAGACATTTATGCAGCCAAAAGACACATGAAAAAATGCTCATTATCATTGGCCATCAGAGAAATGCAAATCAAAACCACAATGAGATACCATCTCACACCAGTTAGAATGGCGATCCTTAAAAAGTCAAGAAACAACAGGTGCTGGAGAGGATGTGGAGAAATAGGAATGCTTTTCAACTGTTGGTGGGACTGTAAACTAGTTCAACTATTGTGGAAGTCAGTGTGGCGATTCCTCAAGGTTCTAGAACTAGAAATACCATTTGACCCAGCCATCCCATTACTGGGTATATATGCAAAGGATTATAAAACATGCTGCTATAAAGACACATGCACACATATGTTTATTGTGGCACTATTCAGAATAGCAAAGACTTGGAACCAACCCAAATGTCCAACAATGATAGACTGGATTAAGAAAATGTAGCACATATACACCATGGAATACTATGCAGCCATAAAAAATGATGAGTTCATGTCCTTTGTAGGGACATGGATGAAGCTGGAAACCATCATTCTCAGCAAACTATCACAAGGACAGAAAACCAAACACCGCATGTTCTCACTCATAGGTGGGAATTGAACAATGAGAACACTTGGACACAGGAAGGGGAACATCACACACCAGGGCTTGTTGTGGGGTGGGGACAGGAGGGAGGGATAGCATTAGGAGATATACTTAATGTAAATGATGAGTTAATGGGTGCAGCACACCAACATGGCACATGTATACATATGTAACAAACCTGCACGTTGTGCACGTGTACCCTAGAACTTAAAGTATAATGATAATTTAAAAAAAAAACAGGCAAATGACAAAAAAAAATTACCTGCAATTTTTATAAAGTTGAATTATGCAGTTAAGAGATTTGAAATTTCTGACACCTTTGATTAACTCATGGCCAGACACTGTGGCTCATGCATCTAATCCCAGTGCTTTGGGAGACTGAGGGCAGGAGGATCACTTGACGCCAGGAGTTCAAGACCAGCCTAGGCAACATAGCAAGATCCTGTTTCTACAAAATAATAATAATAATAATTAGCCAAATGTGGTGACATGCGCCTGTAGTTCTAGCTATTCCAGAAGCTGAGGTGGAAAGATCGCTTGAGCCCAGGAGCTTGAAGCTGCTGAGAACTGTGATTGCACCACTGCACCCCAGCCTACACAACAGAGCAAGACCCTGTCTTTTTTAATGGTTTTAATTTATTCCTCTCTTTAGATCAAATTTTTAACTGAGAAAATATGCTCTCTACAGGTGCTGATTTACCCAGTAAACTCAAACAAATTTTTCGAAAAGAAAGATATTGTCAATTCTAAATTTTTCCTTTTGAAATGTATAAATGTTTCAGGCAAATATTTTTATAAGTCTTGTCCTCTTTGTATCATTCAGGATAATTTTCTTCAAAAAATATTTTTACAAGCCAAAACTCATCTAATAAGATCCTAATTATGATTACGTTGAACATTTTACCAAATGTAGATATTACAATTATAGGCTTTCTCAATTTAATTTGAATAGTGCACAAAATAATAATTTGCTGAATTAAAAATAAAAGCTCCTAGATGTCAGCAAAAATGGCAAGTAAGGAATTCTGAAATCTCCTCTTTCATATAACCTGCACATTGTGCACATGTAGCTAAAACTTAAAGTATAATAATAATAAATAAATAAATTTTAAAAAAAAATGGGAACAAATGGGGGAAAAAAACCAGAGCTATGAAAATTAACCAAAAGCTTGCAGCAATCTGAGAAGTGCTCATTCAGGAAAAAAAGACTGAATCTCAATATGAATAATAAGCTTTGTGATGTTTCACCTTACTGTAATACCCTCACTTGCTGTCTTGAAAATAACCACACACATTTCTACCACCAGAGGAAACATAGAAGATCTCATTAATTTACAAAGAATTGTACATTTTAGTCTATCTGGTGGTTGCCTGGAAAACTAGCTCAATGGGTTTGAATTTACCTCACTAATTTGGAACTCATCCAGTGCTAAACACACTATAGAGGGCATTGGTTGAAAACATTTACAGACAGTTCTAAATTAAGATGGTTCAATAGAATTTTTTTTCCTTCATGATGGTGCAAAAGCAATACACATTCAGTAGAAACTCTACTTTGATCTCCTATACAACCATTCTTTTTTTCACTTTCAGTACAGTATTCAATAAATTACATGAGATATTCACACTGTATTACAAAGTAGGCTTTGTGTTAGATGATTTTGCCCAACCACAAGCTAATATAAGTGTTCTAAACATATTTAAAGTAGCCTAGGCTAAGCTATGACATTCAGTAGGTTAGGTGTATTAAATACATTTTTTGACATGATATTTTCAACTTACAATGGGTTTGTCAGAGCATAAACCCATCATAAATTGAGAAGCATCTGAACAAAGCAAATGTTTTAGTCACATCTGCCTGAGGCAATGATAAACAGTCAGGGCAAGCAATAGACTAATCAAAAAGCTTGAAGTAAAAGGCTTGAGAATGTGATGCTTCGGGGAATAAGGGCTTTGGAAAGCTTTGACATATTCCTGGAAATCTAGAAGGTCACACATATGTCAAGGATTGTACATATGCTCAAGAAAGACCTAAGAAGGTCCAAGCCGGCCGGGCGCGGTGGCTCACGCCTGTAATCCCAGCACTTTGGGAGGCCGAGGCGGGCGGATCACGAGGTCAGCAGATCGAGACCATCCCGGCTAAAACGGTGAAACCCCGTCTCTACTAAAAATACAAAAAATTAGCTGGGCATAGTGGCGGGCGCCTGTAGTCCCAGCTACTTGGGAGGCTGAGGCAGGAGAATGGCGTGAACCCGGGAGGCGGAGCTTGCAGTGAGCCGAGATCCCGCCACTGCACTCCAGCCTGGGCGACAGAGCGAGACTCCGTCTCAAAAAAAAAAAAAAAAAAAAAAAAGAAGGTCCAAGCCTTTTACCTATCCTGACTTCAAAACAGAAGTGTCAACTGCCTGGCAGAGTGCTATAGATTTGTCCCAAAGCATATATGAAACAACTCTGGAAAGACTAGGTTTTTTTGTTCTAGAAATTTAAGGTAATCTCTCTCAAATTATTCACTCACCACTAAGTTAACAGAACAAAGACTCAGTGACCACCCATAACAAAGAATATACACTTTAAAATATTAGTTTGGAAAATTCACTAAACAAACAAAAACAGTCTTTCAACAACAACAAATCATAAGGAAAAGAGACAATCAGATATGCAGAGATACTGCATTATAGGATTCAAAATGTCCACTTCTCAGCAAGAGAATAACCCATATACAGAATGAAAATAACTCATAGAAATTGTCCCCAAGGAAGCCCAGACATAGAACTTGCTAGAGAAAGACCTTAAAATTGACTATTTTAAATATATTCAAAGAGCTAAAGGACTCCCATGTCTAGAAATAAAGGAAGCACAGAATGATGTCCAAAACAAAAGAGAATATAAATAAATAGATGAAAATTATGTTTTAAAAAGAACCAATTAAATATTCTGTAATTGAAAAGTGCAATAAATAAAATGAAAATTTTACTAGACAGGCTCAGCAGCAGATTTTATCAGGCAAGAGAAAGAATCTGTGAATTCAGGAATAGATTAGTAGAGATGATCCAGTCTGAGGAATAGAAAGAAAAATAAATAAAATTGAACAGCACCTAAGGGACCAATGGAGTAAAAATCAAGCATACAAAAATATGCATTATGGGAGTCCTAAAGAGAGAGGAAAGAGAGAAAGGAGCAATGAGATTGAAGAAATAATGGCCAAAACCTTTACAAATTGGAGAAAATACATGAATCTACAAATCCAAGTAGCTCAACAAAGTTCATGTAGAATAAATCCAAAGAGACTCATGCTCAGATACTTTATAATCAAACTGTTGAAAACCAAAGACAAAGAGGAAAATCTTTAAAGCAGCAAGAGAAAAGCAATCTGTCACATACAAAGTATCCACAATGAGATTATCATCAGGTTTCTCAGTAGAAATCTTACAGGCCTGAAAGTAGTGGGATGATATAGTCAACATGCTGAAAGAAAAAAAATGCTGTCAACCTAGAATACTATATCTGGCAAAGCAGTCCTTCATGAATGAGGGAAAAATTAAGACTTTCCCAGTTAAACAAAAACTCAGAAAATTCATTACCACTAGACCTGTCCTATAAGTAATGCTAAAGAAAGTCTTTTAAGTTAAAATGAAAGAACACTAAACAGTAACTTAAAGCCATATGGAACTATAAAGTTCTCTGGTAAAGGTAAGTACATGAAAAAATATACAAACCAATATTATTGTAATTTTGGTTTGTAATTCTACTTCCTATTCTCCTACAGCATTTCAATGACAAAAACATTAAAATTGTAGATCTATGTTAATGGGTATTCAACATATAAAAATGCAATGTATTAGTCTGTTCTCATGCTGCTAATAAAAATATACCCAAGACTGGGTAACTTATAAAGGAAAGAGGTTTAATTAACTCACAGTTCCACATGGCTTTGGAAGCCTCACAATCACAATGAAAGGCAAATGGGAGCAAAGTCATGTCTTACATGGCAACAGGCAAGAGAACATGTTCAGGGGAACTCCCCTTTATAAAACCATCAGATCTCATGAGACTTATTCACTATCATGAGAACAGCACAAGAAACCCTGCCCTCATGATTCCATTACCTCCCACTGAGTCCCTCCCATGCCACATAGGGATTATTACAATCCACCTAGGGATTAGTACAATTCTGGGTGGGGACACAGAGTCAAACTATATCATGGAGTTCAAGACCATCCTGGCTAACATGGTGAAACCCCGTCTCTACTAAAAATACAAAAAAAAAAAAATTAGCTGGGCATGGTGGCAGACACCTGTAGTCCCAGCTACTCAGAAAGGCTGAGGCAGGAGAATGGCATGAACCTGGGAGGCGGAGCTTGCAGTGAGCTGAGATCGTGCCACTGCACTCCAGCCTGGGCAACAGAGTGAGACTCCATCTCAAAAAAAAAAAAAACTGGGAGGGCTATAAAACAGTAGATTTTCTTCATGTGGTTGAAATTAAGTTGGTATCAGTTTGATATTGACTGTTATAACTTTAGAATAATATGTGTAATCCTTATGAAAACCATGAAAAAATCTGTAGAATTTACAAAAAAGGAAATGAGAATGAAATCTAACATGTCACTATAAAACATCAAGTAAACTCAAAAGAAAGCAGTAATAGGGGAAATGAGAAGCAAAAAAGCTACAAGATATGCAGAAAACAAATAACAAAATAGCAATAGTAAAGTCATTCTCTATCAGTAATTACTTTAAATATAAATGAACTAAACTCCCCAATCAAAAGACATAGACTGGCAGAATGAATTTTAAATTAAAAAAAAAAAAACAGGGTCCATCTAGATGGTTTCTATAAGACACTCATTTTAAATCTACGTACATACATGGGTTGAAAGTAAAAGAATGGAAAAAGATATTCCATATGATTAGTAACGGAAAGAGATCTGGTGTGGCTATATTAATCTCAAACAAAATAAACTTTAAGTTGAAAACTGTTACAAAGGTAAAGAAGAAAATTATGTGATGATAAATTGGTCAATTCACCAAGAAGATATAACAATTACAGTCACGTGTCACTCAACAAAGGGGATACATCCTAAGAAATGCATCATTAGAGGATTTCATCCTGTGAACGGCATTCAAAGTGTAACTGTACTTACACAAACCTAGAAAGTATAGCCTACTACATACCTAAGCTATATGGTACGGCCCATTGCTCCTAGGCTGCCAATATATACAGCATATTATTGTACTCAATACTGCAGGCAATTGTAACACAATGGTAAGTATTTGTGTATCTAAACATAGAAAAGGTCAAGTAAAAAATGCTGTATTATAACCTTATGGGGCCACCGCCATAGATTCAGTAGATTGTTGACCAAAACATTGTTATGCAGCACATGACAGTATAACCATATAGGCACCAAACATCAGACCCCATAAATATGTGAAGAATGGAAAAAATTGAAGGGAGAAAAAGACAGCTCTAAAATAATAGGAGGAGACTTCAATTCCTTACTTTTAATAGTGGATAGAATAACAAGAAAGAAGATCAGTAAGGAAACAGAGGACTTAAATTTGAACACTATAGACTAATTGGACCTACCAGATATATATATAGAAAATTCCATCCAACAGCAGAATATGCATTTTATCAAGAGCACATGGAACATTCTCCAGTATAGACCATGTTAGACCACAAAACAAATCTTAAAATATTTTAAAAGATGGAAATCATACAACATATCTCTTCTGATCATAATGAAATGAAACAAAATCCACGGCAGGAAAAAAAAACTTAAAAAATCATATATATGTGGAAATTAACACATTGTTAAACAACCAATGGGTCTGTCTTAGTCCATTTATGTAGCTGTATCAAAAATACATACCATAGGCTGTGTAGCCTACACAACAAATACCCCTGTAGGCTGGGGAGTTCAATATCAAGACATCAGTATACTCAGTGTCTGGTAAGGGCCCACTTCCTGTTTAATAGATGGCCACCTCCTTGCTTCTCATAGTAAAAGACTTAAAGACCGAAGAATAATCCTCTTGCAATAGATGCTCTGCCTTCCAGGTCCATTGGAGTGGCAACCTCACCCTCACTACTTGAAAGGAGGGCCCTGCAGTGGCTCTCTGCCTGAGCCCCATCCCCAAAACAGTTATCTGCCAGAGCCCCACAGCTCTCCTGGTCTGGGGTCCCACACCCGTGGCTCCAGGCAGCCTCATCCTTTGAAACCTAGGTTGAAGCAACCATGCCACTGGGCCTGTGCACTGTGGCCTATGATGGGAATGGCAGCCTTGATGATCTCTGAATCACCTGCAGGGTCATTTTTCCATTGTCTTAAAGAATAGCATCTGACTTGTGTTGAGATGGCTTATTTATAATAATTTCCTTATCAAACAGTCACTTGGACACTCTGTTAGTGTTCTAATTTTTTGCAATATGATTAGGTGGAGGATTTTCCAAGTCTTTGAGTTCTGCTTTCTTTTTCCTTAAAAATTCTGTCTTTAAGTCATTTATTTCTTCTTGAATTTTACAAAAGTAGTCATGAAAAGCCAAGCCCCACCTTTAACCCTTTGCTTAGAAATATCTTGAGCTAAATATCCAATTTTATTGCTCACAAGTTCTACCTTCCACAAAACGCCAAGAGACAAACATAATTCTGCCAAATTCTTTGTCACATTATATCAAGTATTACTTTTCCTCCAGTTTCCAATGACATGTTCCTTATTTCCATCAAGACCTAATCTGAATGGCCTTTACCGTCCATGTTTCTACCAACGTTCAGTTTATCATACTTAGGGATTTGTTGGGAAGGACAATTTATGCATGTAGTCTTTTTTGACCCCTCACTCATCTGCAAAATAATGGGCCTTGGGCCTGGAATATTTCCTTATCAAGAGATAAAGGGTCCATTCATTCTGTCATAGGCATATTGCCTTGTGTGGGAATATCTTTCCCTGTTTCAAGCTCAATGTACACTCCTTTGTTTTGCTGAAGTACGTACATCAATGGCCCTAAAGCATGCCTACAGCTTTCAGTATTTCAGACAGCACAGGGGAGGAGAGGGGTCCTTCTACTGTAGCACAAGAAAGGTATACGTAGGCCAATTGCCCTGTGTCGGCTACTGGGGTGACCCACTAGCCATGACAGACCAGTGCATACTATGAGAGCTGATCTTCCTCTGTCTTTTCTCTGTGTGAGTGAAGTATTGTTCCATCCAGTAATTTATTGTGTTGTGTTTTCCTTGGTGACTCTGATACCAAGTTGCAGTGGGCAGAAGTGTTGGGACTTCTATTCCTGGTGGCTGGTATTTTGATGACTTTTGCCATCCTCCATGTAATTGGAGTCCTTCCTTGGCTTTGGTAATCAGTGCCCAGTGCTCTGACAGTATTCTGTAAGAAGATTGAGGCTTTCCTTCCAGCTCTTCTCTTTTCTTTCTGCACTCTAACTAGAATCACCCTTAACATCCATATTGCTAAAATGCTCCTTAAAAACTCTTCCACCCTCTACTGTTACCCAATTCCAAAGCCGCCTCCACATTTTTAGGTATTTATTACAGCAGCACCCTACTTCTTAATATTACTCTTTGTCTTAGTCCATTCAACTGCTATAACAAAAACCGCACCATATTGAGTGGTTTATACAGCAAATGTTTATTTCTCACAGTTCTGGAGACTGAGGAGTCCAAGATAAAGGAGCTGGCATATTTGAGTCTAGTGAGGGCTTGCTTCCTGGATAATAGAAAACCATCCTTTTTCTGTGTCCTCAAATGGCAGAAAAAGGCAAAAGAATTATCTAGGGTCACAGGAGTTGGAGGCTGCATAGCACACTATTTTTTGACAAGGGCACCAAGAAGATAAAATGGAGAAAGGACAGCCTCCTCAATAATTGCTGTTGGGAAACTGGATATCCACATGTAAAATAATAAAAATGGGCCATTATCTTTCACTATATACAAAAAAAACTTAAAATTTGTTAAAGAGATAGATGTATAACCTGAAACTATAAAACTCCTACAAGAAAACAGAGGGAAGAATCTCCTGGGCCTTGGTCTTGGCAATATATTTTTTGGATAGGACAACCAAAAGCAGAGGCAACAAAACCAAAATTGAACAAATGGGGTCCATATCAAACTAAAAACTCTCCATAGTAAAGGAAAAGAACCAGTAAAATAAAAAGGTAGCCTATGAATTGGAAGAAAATATTTGCAAACCATATACCTGGTAAGAAGTCAACATCCAAAATATATAAGGAACTCAAAAAACTCAATAGCAAAAAAGAAAATTATAATTCAATCAAAATATGGGGAAAAGACCTGAATAGACATATCTCCAAAGAAGACATAAAAATGGCCAATAAGCATATGAAAATGTGCAAATGTGCTCAATGTCACTAATCATCAGGGGAATGCAAATCAAAACCACCAGATATGACCTCATACCTGTTAAGATGGATGTTATCAAAAAGACAAGAGACAGTAAGTGTTGGTGAGGATATTTTTTTAAAGTGAACCCCGGTACACTGTTGTTGGAAATGTAAATTAGTAAAGCCTCTATAAAAAATAAGGCCGAGGCGGGCAGAGCACTTGAGTTCAGGGATTTGAGACCAGCCTGGCCAACATAGTGAAACCCCATCTCTACTAAAAATACAAAAATTAGCCAGGTGTAATGGCGCATGCCTGTAATCCCAGTTACTCAGGAGGCTGAGGCAGGAGAATTGCTTGAACCTGGGAGGCGGAGGTTGCAGTGAGCCAAGATTGTGCCACTGCACTCCAGTCTAGGCAACAGAATAAAGGTTCCTCAAAGACTAAAAATAGAACTACCATATGACCCAGCAATCCCTCTTCTGGGTATATAACTAAAGGAAATGAAATCAGCACTTCACAGAGATATCTGTGCTCCCACATTCATTGCAGCATTGTTCACAATCACCAAGATATAGGAAAGACCTAGGTGTCCATCAACAGATAACTGGATAAAGAAATTGTGAGATATAAATATATATAAATATTCTTACATTGTATGTTCATATATGTGACTATTATTCAGTCTTTAAAAAGGAGATTCTACCATACACAGAGTGAAAAGTATTATATGGTCTCTTTTATATGCAGCATCTATAAAGAAGTCAAACACATAGAAACAGAGAGTATAATGGTGGCTACCAGAAGCAGGTGGGGAGGGAAGGAAAATTGAGGAGAGATTGCTCAGATGGTGCAAAATTGCAATTATGTAGGATAATTCTAGAGGTCTAATTTACAGCATGAGGTCCATAGTTAATAATAATGAATTGTATACTGAAATTTACTAAGAGAGTAGATTTTAGGTGATCTTACCACACATACACACACAAAAATGTAACTGTATGAGATGATGAGTAGGTCAATTGGCGTGACACTTAACTATGTATACGTATATCAGAACATCATGTTCTATACCTTAAATATATATAGTAAGAATAAAATTTAAAGATAAAAATTGTTTTAATGGTTTAAAGGGAAATAAAAAGGATTATAAGAAAGCAGTATGAACAATTATACACCAACAAATTAGGTAACCTAGATGAAATGGCCAAATTCTAGGGAGTTATGTCACAACATGGTGGAGTAGGAAGCTTTGGATCCTCTTTACCCCAAAAAACACACCAATTTTTTTTAAGAAACAGGGGCTCACTATGTCACCCAGGCTGGTCTCAAACTCCTGGGCTCAAGTGATCCTTCCACCTCAGTTTCCTGAGTAGCTGGGACTACAGGATGTGTCACCATGTCCAGTTAATTTTGTTTATTTTTTTGTAGAGACAAGGTCTCACTATGCTGCCCAGGCTGGTCTCAAACTCCTGGACTTCAGCTGTCCTCCCACCTCAGCTTCTCAAAATGCTGGATCACTGGCACAGGCAACAAATGAAAAATAGATAAGTTGGACTTCATGAGAATGTTTACATTATATGCATCAAACGATAGTATCAGCAGAGTAGAAAGGGCAACCCACATAATGGAAGAATATATTTGCAAATCGTATATCTGATAAGATAATTAATATCTGTAATATATGGAGAACTCCTACAACTCAACAACAAAAAACCAAAAACATTTGCAAATAGGTAAAGGATGTAAAATAAGCAAAGGGCTTGAATAGATATTTCTCCATATACAAATGGCCAAAAAGCACATGAAAAGAAGTTCAACATCACTAATCATCAGAGAAATGCAAATCAAAACTATTATGAGATACCACCTTATACCCATTAGGATAACTACTATCAAAACACAGAAAAGATGCCAGGCACCAGGGCTCACACCTGTAATCCCAGCATTTTGGGAGGCTGAAGCAGGCGGATCACTTAAGGTCAGCAGTTCCAGACTAGCCTAGCCAACATGGTGAAACCCTGTCTTTCTTCCAAAAATATAAAAAAACATTTAGCTGCATGTGGTGGCCCGTGCCTGCAATCTCAGCTACCGGAAGGCTGAGGCAGGAGAATCGCTTGAACCTGGGAGGTGGAGGCTGCAGTGAGCCAAGATCATGCCACTGCACTCCAGCCTGGGTGACAGAGCAAGACTCTGTCTCAAAAAAAATAAAATAAAATAACAGAAAATAGTACGTATTGGCAAGGATATGGAGAAATTAGAACACTTATACACTGTTACTGGGAATGCAAAATGGTACAGCCACTGTAGGAAAAAAGTATGGTGGTTCCACAAGCAATTAAAAATAGAACTACAATATGATCTATCAATTTTCAAAGAATTAAAAGCAGGGCCTCAAACAGATATTTGCATACTCATATTCACAGCAACATTATTCACAATAGCCTAAATGTAGAAGCAACCCAGATGTCTATCAGTGGATGAATGGATAAGAAAACTGTGGTGTGTGTACATATAATGGATTATTATTGAGCCTTAAAAAGGAAGGAAATTTTGACACATGCTACAACATGGATGAACCTTGAGGACCTTATGTTGAGTGCAATAAACCAGTCACAAAAAGACAAATACTGCATGACTCCACTTATATGACGTACTTAGAGTAGCCAAAATCTTAGAGACAGAAAGTAGAAGGGTGGTTGCCAAGAACTAGGCTGAAGGAATGGGAAGTTATTGTTAATGGGTATAGAATTCAGTTTTAGGAGATGAAAAGAGTTATGAAGATGGATGGTGGTGATGGTTGCACAACATTACGAATGCATTTAATATCACTGAACTATACATTTAAAAGTGGTTAAGATAATAAATTAGGTATTATATATATTTTACCACAATTGAAAAAAATTTAAAATGACCATATGATCTAGCCATTCCATTTCTGAGTATATGCGCAAAGTAATCGAAAGCAGGGTCTCAAACAGTTATTTGCACACCCATGTTCATAGCAGCCTTATTCACAAAAGCCAAAAGGTGGAAGCAATCCAAGTGTCCATTGATAGATCCGTGGGCAACAAACTGTGGTGTGTACATAGAATGAAATATTATTCGGTCTTAAAAAGGCAGGAAATTTTGACATGTGCTACAATATGAATGAATCTTGAAGATATTATGCTGACTGAAAGAATCCAGTCACAAAAGGACAAATATATTATTCCACTCTTATGAGGTAATCAAATTAGAGCAGACAAATTCATAGGGACAGAGGTAGAAGGATGATTTTCAGGGGCTAGGGGTGAAAAAGAGAATGGTGAATTATTGTTTAATGGATACAAAGTTCCAGTTTAGGAAGCTTTTTAAAAAGTTCTGGAGATGGATGGTGGTGATGGTTGCACAACAATGTGAATGTCCTTACTGCCACTGAACTGTACACTTACAAATGATTAAAATGGTAAACTTATGGTATTTTATCACAGTTTTTTAAAATCAGTCATATTCTTGGGTGCTACAACAAAGATATGAAACATAATCATCTGCTGAGTCTTCCAGTATCCCCACTCCAGCATGCCAACTTCCCTGAGTCTCCTAATCCCTTCCTCTGTCATCTGCCACAGAAGTCATGGCATTTCATCTTTGTTCAGCATGGGCCCATGTTCAGCATGGGCCATCGCTTTTTCCATGTATCCTAATGGCAAGTTTTCACCATCTCTGAGGACTTTGCAAGGAAAGCAAACTTTGATCTTGGGAGAGTACTTCCAAATCAATAAACTCTTTCTTATCCAATTTTATGTTCTGTTCCCTTGATCAAGCACCTGTCAAATCCAGGCCTATATATGTTCCCCAGTTCTTCCTGGTACATGTTACCTAGGTCTTGCAGCTCCTTTGAGATATGTCCATTTCCTCCTTTATCAGTCCCAGCACATCCCTAGCTGAGGTGTACTGAGAGTTGAGTTAAAGATTCAGTGGCTAGAAAGGCAGGTAGGGGCAGATCCTGACAGGGGCAGATCTTCTTTGTCTTTCAAAGGAGAAGACTTCACATTGTTTTCTAACACAGGGGGGTGTTAGCTTTTACTAGAAATGGGTGGACCTCTTCTGTAGATTCAAAAGGTTCAAAAGTGTCTGGGGAGTCGAAATCTTTGAGAACAGTCATGCAAATATCTCCATCCTACAGTTCAGGTTCTGAGGTCTTCCAAAACAGAGGCCTGACCTTGGCATAACATACCTGCCTTGATGGGGCATTTAATCTTCTTTGAAGTTCAGCAATCAGACTATTACTAAGTCCCAGCTTGGCCCTCAGCTTTGTTTGCTTTGCCTTTGTAGGAGATGAGAGCTTTTTGTCTGCACCTGAAGAGGCACCCTGTCTTTCACACCTGGCTTTCAAGTGTGTATTACTTACACTCAGTGGTTCCTTTTCTTCCTGAAGAGCATCTGTGGTTCTTAGCAATAAGCAAGCAATCAATTTTTCCTTATATCTGCAAAATTTATCTAAAACTCTTAAATACTTGATACAGTGCATCTGCAAGTGCATTCCCTTCTGACAAACCTTCCCAATTCACCACTGATGAGTTGTAGCAAGTACCATGGGCTGTCTGTGCTCCACTCACCACCAATATGGGGTCCTCTTTACCAGACAGGCAGTGAGTCATCCAGTTTCAAAACCCCATCTGGTTTTTCAGACAACTCTTGCTAGCAACCACCACAAGTTAGGTTTTCTAGAAGTAGATGCTGAGATAGAGTTTGGGGTATAAGATGTTTAGAAGGGATAAATACCTGTGAAGGAAGGGTTGAGAGACCAAATGAGGCAGAAGTTGAACTGTGATGCAGGCCTGACAAAGGCTTGGTCAACATGGTAAAGATCTCTGGAGCAAATATTACCAGTCAGAATGCAGCACTGATATGGTTCGGATTTGTGGTCCCTGCCCAAATCTCATGTCAAATTGTAATCCCCAGTGTTGGAGGGGCCTGGTGGGAGATCACAGGGGCAGATTTTCCCCTTGCTGTTCTTGTGGTGTTGAGTGAGTTATCACAAGATCTGCTTGTTTAAAAGTGCAAAGTACCCCTGCTTCTCTCTCTTCCTTCTTCTCCAGCCATGTAAGACATGCCTGCTTCCCCTTCCCCTTCTGTCATGATTGTGAGTTTCCTGAGGCCTCCCCAGGCATGCTTCCTGTACAGCTTGCAGAGCTGTGGTCAATTAAACCTTTTTTCTTAAAAATTACTCAGTTTCAGCCATTTCTTTATAGCAGTGCGAGAACAGACTAATACAGAAAATTGTTACTGGGAGTGAGGCATTGCTATAAAGATAACTGAAAATGTGGAAGCAGCTTTGGAACTGGGTAATGGGCAGAGGTTGGAACAGTTTGGAGAGCTCAGAAGAAGACAGGAAGATGAGGGAAAGTTTGGAACTTCCTAGAGACTTGCTAAATTGTTGTGACCAAAAGTGCTGATAGTGATATGGACAATGAAGTCCAGGCTGAGGGGGTCTCAGATGAAGATGAGGAACTTATTGGGAACTGGAGCAAAAGTCACTTTTGTTATGCATTAGCAAAGAGACTGGCAGCATTGTACCCTACCCTAGGGATCCATGGAATATTGAACTTGAGAGTGATGATTGAAGGTATCTGGCAAAAGAAATTTCTAAGCAGCAAAGCATTCAGGAAGTAGCCTGGCTGCTTCTAACAGCATTTGGTCATATGCATGAGCAAAGAGATGATCTGAAACTAGAACTAATATTTAAAAGAAAAACATAGCATAAAAGTTTAGAAAATTTGCAGCCTGACCATGTGGTAGAAAAGAAAAACCCACCTTCTGGAGAAAAATTCAAGCCAGCTGCAAAAATTTGCATAAAGAGGAGCTGAATGTTAATAGCCAAGACACTGGGGAAAATGCCTCAAAGGTATTTCAGAGACCTTCCTGGCAGCCCCTACCATCACAGGCCCAGAGGCCTAGGAGGGAAGAATGGTTTTGTGGACTGAGTCCAGGGCCCTGCTGCCCTGAGTTAGGGTCCTAACCTCAGGACACTGCTCCCTGCATCCCAGTTGCTCCAGCTCCAGCTATGGCTAAAAGGGTCCCAAATATGTCTCAGGCCACTGTTCCAGAGGATGCAAACTATCAGCTTTGGCTGCTTCCACATGGTGTTAAACCTGCAGGTGTGCAGAGGGCAAGAGTTGAGGTTTGTGAGCCTCCACCTAGATTTCAGAGGATGTATGGAAATGCATGTCCAGGCAGAAGTCTGCTGCAGGAGCAAAGCTCTCATGGAGAACCTCTACTAGGGCAATGTGCAGGGGAAATGTGTGGTTGGAGACCCCACTCAGAGTCCCCACTGGAGCACTGCCTAGTGGAACTGCAAGAAGAGGGTCACCGTCCTCCAGACCCCAGAATTGTAGATCCGTGAGAAGCTTTCTCTGTGCACCTGGAAAAGCTACAGGGACTCAACACCAGCCATGATTGTGAGTTTCCTGGGGCTTCCCAAGCCATGCTTCCTTTATAGTCTGTGAAGCTGTGAGTCAATTAAACCCCTTTTCTTATAAGTAAACTGGTTTCTGGTATTTCTTTACAGCAGTATGAAAACAAACTAATACAGGGACCTCCCCCATTAGGGTGAAATGGCCAGGACTTTATTCCCCCACCTCAGTCAGTCACCAGACACAGGCTGGCTTGGAAAAGATATGACCTTCGACAATGCAGTTCACTGCAGCTCAAGCAAATCCCAAAGAAGCTGACAGCTGGAGGTTTCTGTTGACTGCACTCCACCAGCTAGAAAGCAAATCCTTCCTGAAAGGTAGATTTTGGCAATGTATATCCATGTCCACCACCACAAGTATTAATTTTTTAAATTTTATTAAAAAATGAAAAGCCTGAGACAAATACTAAACTACACTGGATGCAAGACAGCATATTGAAATTGTGAATCTTCCAGAAAAACTTGGACATGTGGTCACCATAGTTCTAAATAAACCAATTTCTGGTTCTAGGTCCTCTACCCTGTCCCTCACCATGCAGAAGAAGCTGGACTTATGCAAACATGCTTTATATCCTTTCCAGCCTTGCCAGATATATGGGAGGACACCTGACCCAAAAGAATGTTAAACCAAAAATTGCCAACAAAATACAATGTGTCCTGGGAGTCCTGGGACAAGAATTGAGATCAGCTCATCAATTTCTCTTCCTCAGGAATTTTAACCAAGGAAATAACAAAGGAAAGGTGAGGTCAACAAAATGAAGCAGAAGTGAGATGATCTAATGTAGAAATTGAGCAAGAAAACCACGACAGACCATGTTCAAACAGAAATTACGAGGGAAACAAAACTATGAGTAAGCAGAAGTTAGGAGGAAGATTTAAAAAATTAGAGCAGAGGATCAAGGAGATATTTCTTATCAAAATAGAAGCAGATGGGCAAAGGCTAAATGAGTCAAATTAAGGGCAGGACACTCCTATTGCTTTGACTGTAGACCCAACTTCCCATTCCTGTTCTTCCAGAGGCCCAGCTGCTTATTTCTAAGTGTGCATGAATCTTTCACCTCCAAGTATATTGATTCCCTCATCAAAAAGGTTACAAACTAGTGCTTCCCAAGCTTCTGTTGCAAAGTAATTCTCTGGCATTTGCATTAAAACCAAAGATCTCTGTTCAACCTCTCCATTTTTATTTAGAATAAATTTATGGTGTCATGAGGAAGTTTCATCTTGCTAATATTGCCAAATTCTATACTCTTATTTCTCATTCCCAAAACAGAAAATAACTCCAACTCTTTCAAAAGAGCTCATTTAGTGGCAATTCTTCCTATTTCATCTGTTACGGCTAGTGAGTTCTGCGCTTACTGAAGCATCTCCTGACCCTAGAGACAATTGCAACCATGGCAAGAATACCAACAATGTTATGCTAGATCCCACGGCAAAAGGGTAACAAAATTGGATTTTATGACTCTTTATCATTGAATCACCCTCAACAACACCAATTCTGGGAAGTTCTGATAATACATTTCTGACTGCCTGACCTCATAATGTACAATAGATTCCCTTTCTAGTAAAAGGACCCAGCACCAGATTTCCCTATTTGAATTATATTTCTACACTGTCCTTACAAAAATATCATTCTCGGCCGGGCGCGGTGGCTCACATCTGTAATCCCAGCACTTTGGGAGGCCGAGGTGAGCAAATCATGAGGTCAGGAGATCGAGACTATCCTGGCTAACATGGTGAAATCCCGTCTTTACTAAAAATACAAAAAAAATTAGCCAGGCGTGGTGGTGGGCGTGACTCGGGAGGCTGAGACAGGAGAATGGCGTGAACCCAGGAGGCAGAGCTTGCAGTGAGCCGAGATCGCGCCACTGCACTCCAGCCTGGGCAACTGAGCAAGACTCCATCTCAAAAAAAAAAAAAAAAAAATATATATATATATATATATATATATATTCTCAACTATTTCAGGTCTAAGGAGCCATCTACTGTTTTAAGAACAAACTGCAATTAATGATCATTTCTCAAACCATAAAAGGCCCAATCAACTAAATTACATTCTCTCTCTCTCTGTCTCTCTTTCTCTGTCTTCCCCTTCCTTGGCCCCCTGCCTTGTTGTGGTGGTAGTGGTGATGGTGATAATAATGGCTCTTTGTTCTCAAGAAATTATGCTGTGCCAAATTCAAGACAGTGTTTTTATTGTGGTTGTGTACATACGAAAAATGCCTTATAGTTGTTTATTGAATTTTGAATTTTTTATACACAAGAGTCATTCCCTGTTGGAAATGAGAAGCAAGTTTTCTCTTTGTTGCTTTTAACTGAAGAATATATTATAAGCTCTTTCTCTAGATACATTCTGAAACTGTAAAAAACACTTTCAAAATAAAGGTCAGCCATGTCGTCTGTGCAATGTTAATTGCTAAGTGCTGAACTAGCACTGTAGTCAGTCTTTGAAGTGGAGCCTGGCTGGGTTGACAGCCTAGGGTGGCTGCCCCATGCTTTCAGAGCAACACAGGATGTTGCTTGGTCTCTTCAGAAAGAGGCTGCCAGGAAATGAAGTTTCACATGAGAAACTTGCTGCTCTAATGCATTTCAGGCTATTCTTTTCCATTTGAAAGCCTAGGTGCAATGAGTGAAGAAATCTTTTCTTAAAAACTCCAAATAGGTCTTGAAGTACATGCATGTTCACTGAGGTAGTGATTTCCTCTCCTTCTAGTATCTTGTGCCCATATACAAGAAAAAGAATATGTGTAGTTAGTAAATTTTTAAAAATCATCTCATGTTTATTCCTGATGGAAGATTGAAAAAGCTAAGGAAAGAAGAGATGCCTTGGGCTCATGTTAAATGCACTCTGGAAGAACAAAATGTAAAACCACTGATTTTCAATTAAAAGATAATGATTCCAGTGGGTGGTTGCAGTTAAGATGAAGTAAGATGCACCCTGCCTCATTCAATGAAGCAACTAAAAACCCTGCACAGAAGGCAGGGAGCAGTTATCTAGGGACTCTAAAAAGTAAATAATAGCAGACTGGTTTGAGAGACAAAACAGAACTCAATGTAAGATCAATCCACTGGTGAGTTTTGTCCTCCTCTCCCGCTATTTTCTGGCCTTAGATTCAAAAGCATCCCAAAACCCAGAACTCCACAGTAGGTGCAAATAGAAAGAGCTGCAAGAGAAGTCCTCTCATTCTGGTCCAAAAAGCAGAAAAGGGAGCCTTTAAGGATCAGAGTGAAGAAAATCCCTTGGGGTGTTCTTTTCTGTTCTCTCTTATTGCTGCCCCCAGGCAATCCCCTGGAGCAACAGACATAGAGGCAGTGGCAGCTGTGCAAGCACCTGAAACTCTAAGGGAAGAGAGCTCTTCTCTCTGGCCAGGACTTGGGTCCCAAAAGCATGGGGGAAATATATGTTGCTTTTTTTTTTTCCCCCATCTTCCCATGCCTTGGCTGTGGAAGCAGAGACAGTCACAAGAAGTGAACATAGGAGCAGAAAAACTACATAATTTTCCCAGCCACAACCCTACACTACTTACGCCTGTAATTTCAGGACTTTGGGAGGCCAAGGCTGGTGGATCACCTGAGGTCAATAGTTGGAGACCAGCCTGGCCAACATGGTGAAACCCCGTCTCTACTAAAAATACAAAAATTGGTCAGGTGTGGTGGCGTGCACCTGTAATCCCAGCTACTTGGGGAGGTTAAGGCAAGAGAATCACTTGAATCCAGGAAGTGGAGGTTGCAGTGAGCCGAGATCACGCCACTACACTCCAGCCTGGGCAACAGAGTGAGACGCGAAAGAAAGAGAGAGAACAGATTATTGGCGAACATGTATGCAACTCCGCCATGTAACTATGTTAACTAATTTTAATGTACTTGATTTAACAGTTTCTAGGGGGAGTGATTATAGATTTGTCCTCTGAGTAATTCTTCTATATTTTTGCCTTATGTATTTTTTTTTTTTTTTTTTGAGACAGAATCTCGCTTTGTCGCCCAGGCTGGAGTGCAGTGGCGCAATCTCAGCTCACTGCAAGCTCCGCCTCCCGGGTTCATGCCGTTCTCCTGCCTCAGCCTCCCGAGTAGCTGGGACTACAGGCGCCCGCCACTACGCCCGGCTAATTTTTTTTTTGTATTTTTAGTACAGATGGCGTTTCACCGTGTTAGCCAGGATGGTCTCGATCTCCTGACCTCGTGATCCACCCGCCTTGGCCTCCCAAAGTGCTGGGATTACAGGCGTGAGCCACCGCGCCTGGCCTGCCTTATGTATGTTAAGATTATATTTCTAGGCACATATAGGTTGTGTAATTGCTACATCATCCAGGTAAAATATTATTTTTTCATTATATTTTGACCCTTTTTACCTCTGCAAAGTTTGCTCCAGTTTGGATATTTGAAAGGACTCACCAGACTTCCCAGAATACAGATGGCTCCTGACTTACAATGGTTCAACTTAATATTTTTTTTTACTTTATGGATGGTGTGAAAGTGATACACTTTCAGTAGAAACTGTACTTTGAGTACCCATACTGTTTCTTACTTTAAATACAGTATTTAATAAGTTACATGAGATTTTTAACACTTTCTTACAAAAAGGCTTCATATTAGATTATTTTGCCCAACTGTAGGTGTTAGTAAGTTTCTTTCTTTCAATACAGTATTCTGTTTCTTACTTTCAATACAGTGTTTAATGTTACATGAGATTTTTAACACTTTCTTATAAAATAGGCTTCATATTAGATTATTTTGCCCAACTGTAGGCATTAGTAAGTGTTCTGAGTACATTTAAGGTAGGCTAGACTAAGCTATGATGTTTGGTAGGTTAGGTATAGTAAATGCATTTTCAACATAGAATATTTTAAACTTAAAATAGGTTTATTGGGACATAACCCTATCATAAATTGAGGAGCATCTATATATGCCTGTAGGCCTTTTAAAGACAAAGAACACAGTGTAGCAAGAGAAAGTGATTGCAGGCAAGCTCCTCAGGGCCCAACTTTAACCACCAAGATGTGTGCAAGGAATTTTAGTTTCAGAAGAACTCAAAGAGAAGTTTTCAGTAGGGGGGCTTTAAGTCCTTCTGGCCACAATCAAACCAGCTTGTCACACCAGTTAAGCCAGCTGGAATTCATTGGTAAAGAAACTGACCTTGAGAGTCGCTACAGGAGTTTTGGACCTTAAACGACACATCACAAATTCCACTGCCCTTATCTTGACCAAAAGTCAAAAACCAGACAGCCAATCATCCCCAGAGATAAACATGATGGTTTTCCTTTCCAGCTGTAAATTAATTCTATCTCCACAATCTCTGATACAGATTTTGCCTGAAAGTCTGTTTGGTGTGAAATTAATATTGCTCTACCACGTTAGTCGTAGTTTGTTTTTTCCAAGTATGCCTTTTTTCATTTCTTCACTCTCAAACTTTCTGTGTCATTACAGTTGTGCCTCTTATAAATGGCATATAGCTAGATATCATATAAATCAGTCTCAGTTTCTGTTCTTTAACTGATAAATCCAATCTGTGAATATCACTATATTAGAATATTCCTATCAATATTTTTCTGGTTTGTATCCAGCATTGTTGTCTTTGCTCCTTTTTCTTCTTTCTGCCTTATATCACTTTAATAGAGGGTTTTTTCCTTTGTCTCTCTCCTTGCCATTTTTACACTTTTCTGCTTTAAAAATTGCATATACTCTTTCTATTTAGTTGCTGATATTCCTAAAGTTTACTTACATACTTCATTTAACAAAGCATACCATCTATCAAAAACTATAAAGACCTAAGAAATCAAGAGACCTCTCCTCTCACATGTAATTGTTATAGACAATTTGTATTTTAGTTCCACTTTATTTTCAAATCCTCCAAAATTAATCATTATTATTGTTATTTAGAGTCAATACTTATTAGTACTAGGTTAGACCATATTAGTTTTTTTCTGAGATGGAGTCTTGCTCTGTTGCCCAAGCTGGAGTGCAGTGGTGCAATCTTGGCTCATTGCAACCTCTGCCACCAGGGTCAAGTGATTCTCCTGCCTCAGCCTCCCAAGTAGCTGGGACTACAGGAAGCCCCCATCACACCTGGCTAATTTTTGTATTTTTAGTAGAGACAGGGTCTCACCATGCTGACCAAACTGGTCTCGAACTCCTGACCTCAAGTGATCCATCCTCCTCGGCCTCCCAAAGTGCTGGGATTACAGGCGTAAGCCACTGCGCCTGGCCTAATTGCTATTTTTATATTTGTTTTTTTTTATTATACTTTAAGTTTTAGGGTACATGTGCACATTGTGCAGGTTAGTTACATATGTATACATGTGCCATGCTGGTGCGCTGCACCCACTAACTCGTCATCTAGCATTAGGTATATCTCCCAATGCTATCCCTCCCCCCTCCCCCCACCCCACCACAGTCCCCAGAGTGTGATATTCCCCTTCCTGTGTCCATGTGATCTCATTGTTCAATTCCCACCTATGAGTGAGAATATGCGGTGTTTGGTTTTTTGTTCTTGCGATAGTTTACTGAGAATGATGGTTTCCAATTTCATCCATGTCCCTACAAAGGACATGAACTCATCATTTTTTATGGCTGCATAGTATTCCATGGTGTATATGTGCCACATTTTCTTAATCCAGTCTATCATTGTTGGACATTTGGGTTGGTTCCAAGTCTTTGCTATTGTGAATAATGCCGCAATAAACATACGTGTGCATGTGTCTTTATAGCAGCATGATTTATAGTCATTTGGGTATATACCCAGTAATGGGATGGCTGGGTCAAATGGTATTTCCAGTTCAAGATCCCTGAGGAATCGCCACACTGACTTCCACAATGGTTGAACTAGTTTACAGTCCCACCAACAGTGTAAAAGTGTTCCTATTTCTCCACATCCTCTCCAGCACCTGTTGTTTCCTGACTTTTTAATGATCACCATTCTAACTGGTGTGAGATGGTATCTCATTGTGGTTTTGATTTGCATTTCTCTGATGGCCAGTGATGATGAGCATTTTTTCATGTGTCTTTTGGCTGCATAAATGTCTTCTTTTGAGAAGTGTCTGTTCATGTCCTTCGCCCACTTTTTGATGGGGTTGTTTGTTTTTTTCTTGTAAATTTGTTTGAGTTCATTGTAGATTCTGGATATTAGCCCTTTGTCAGATGAGTAGGTTGCGAAAATTTTCTCCCATGTTGTAGGTTGCCTGTTCACTCTGATGGTAGTTTCTTTTGCTGTGCAGAAGCTCTTTAGTTTAATTAGATCCCATTTGTCCATTTTGGCTTTTGTTGCCATTGCTTTTGGTGTTTTGGACATGAAGTCCTTGCCCACGCATCGTCTCAGCCCAAAATCTCCTTAAGCTGATAAGCAACTTCAGCAAAGTCTCAGGATACAAAATCAATGTACAAAAATCACAAGCATTCTTATACACCAACAACAGACAAACAGAGAGCCAAATCATGAGTAAACTCCCATTCACAATTGCTTCAAAGAGAATAAAATACCTAGGAATCCAACTTACAAGGGATGTGAAGGACCTCTTCAAGGAGAACTACAAACCACTGCTCAAGGAAATAAAAGAGGATACAAACAAATGGAGGAACATTCCATGCTCATGGGTAGGAAGAATCAATATCGTGAAAATGGCCATACTGCCCAAGGTAATTTACAGATTCAATGCCATCCCCATCAAGCTACCAATGACTTTCTTCACAGAATTGGAAAAAACTACTTTAAAGCTATTTTTATATTTCAAAATTAGCCAAATATCAACAATTTTAAGTGACTCCACTTAATATTTACTTTGCATTTTACATCCCACTCCTTCCTTCTGTACTCAGTGCCCCACTTAAGAGTTATTTTTTGTTAGGGTCAGTGAATGTATTATTTTTTGTTAGAGTCAGTGAGCAGTAAAGCCTTTCAGATTTCATCTAAAAATAGCTTTATTTTCACTTTATTCTTAGATGATATTTTAGATAGGTTAACAGTTATCTCCCTTCAGTCTTTTGAAGATATTATTTCATTGCTGTCTAGCCTCTACTGTTGCTGAGTATTGATAGGCTGTCAAATTGCCATTACTTTATAAATAATGTGTCGTTTCTCTCTCATTGCTTTTAAGATTTTTCATTTTGTCATTGGTGTTCTGCAGTTTCTCTGATACATCAAAGCATGAGTTTATTTTTTATTTTACACAGAATTAGTTGTGTTTATTCAAGAAAAGTTTCATATCTTTCATCAATTTTGAGAAATTGTCAGTCATTATTACTTTGAATAATGCTTCTTCCTTATTCTTTCTATCACCTCTTTCTGGATCTTCTCACTCTACGCTCACATTTCTCATTCTTTTTTTTTCCCCTTCAACCCTAAATGCTATATTCTATTTAGTTTCCTTAGCTGTCTCTGATGCTACATCTAATCTGCTCTTTAATCCAAATTATTGCATTTTTAATTTCTATGACTATATATTTTTATTTCTAGAAGATCTAGCTAAGGCAAGGCATGGTGGCTCACGCCTGTAATCCCAGAATTTTGGGAGGCCAAGGTGGGTGGATTGCTTGAGTCCAAGAGTTCAAGACCAGCCTGGCCAACATGGCGAAATCCCATCTCTACTAAAAATACAAAAATTAGCTGGGTGTGGTGGTGTGCACCTGTAGTCCTAGCTACTCAAGGGGCTGAGGCATGAGGATCACCGGAGCCTTTTGAGATTGAGGGTGCTGTAAGCTGTGATCACACCACTGCACTTCAGCCTTGGGTAACAGAATGAGACCCTATTCCCATTTCCCCCAAAAAAGATCTATCTAGTTATTTTTCACAATATTTATTTTCTATTTTTCACAATATTTATTTTCTTACCCTTTGCTTCAATTTATTTGTATACCAATAATCATATAAAACATGCTTATTTATTTCATGTGGTATGTTAGTCCAATTGCATCGCTATAAAGGAATACCTGAGACGGGGCAATTTATAAAGAAAGAGGTTTATTTGGCGCACGGTCCTTCAGGCCATACAATAAGCATGGCACCTGCATCTGCTCGGCTTCTGGTGAGGTCTCAGGAAATTTTTAGCCATGGCAGAAGGAAAAAGGAGCTGGCATGTCACATGGTGGAAGAGGGAGCAAGAGAGAGAGGAGGAGGTGCCAGGCTCTTTTAAACAACAAGCTCTCACATAAACTAATAGAGTGAGAACTCACTCATTACCATGGGGAGGGCACCAAGCCATTCATGAGGGATCCACCCCCATAAACCAAACACCTCCCATTAGGCCCCACTTCCAACGTTGGGGATCACATTTCAACATGAGATTTGAAGGGGACAAATATCCAAACTATCTCATGTGGTTTGTAATTTTTGACTGAGAATTCAACTATAAACTTTTTAAAATAAAAGCTTTATGTATCTTTCGTAAAAATATTTCCTCAAAAGTGTTTTACAACCATTTCTTCCAGATGCTCCAGAGAGTTCACTAATCTAGGATTGTTTTTATATTAATTTGTTGGCTCAGGTCTCCCACACCACATAAGAACTATAAATTCTGACTAAACCTGGGCATAGTATAGAAATAAGGCTCAGAATTATCACAGGAGTCTTTTTTCTATACAGATCCCGAACCAGATAAAAGCTTTCTTGCAGCTTTATTGAAATACTGGGCAGCTTTTCTTCTCCCTTTTCCAAGAGAGACTGATATTTCTAAGTCCTTGTTTTATGGAGAGATCTAAGGGTTAGGCCCCAGCTTTGTGAGGTTCTAACAACACATCTTCTGTCCAGGAGGGTGTGATAAAATTGTAGCCTCTCATTTCCAAAGCCTGTATTTGGGTCCTCCAACCACATGGGTAGCCAGAGAGACAGCTCCTGCACTTTTCATTCCAACTATCTTTTCCCTATTCATTTCCTTGGGAATTATATTTATTTGTTTTTAGCTTTGCTATGGATTTAATTTTTTATTGTAGTTTTTCAAACATTTCTATGTGATTGTAGTGAGTCCATGCTAGTATAATCAGCCAATTTAGTCCTACAGCTGTCTTCCTATCTGCTAGTTTGAATTTTTTACAATGTCAAACATCACCTATACCAACCCCTTACATTTATAGGCTCAGCAATTGAAGCTCAAAAAAGTTAAGTGTCTTGCCAAATCATACCAAAATTTAGTAACAGAAACCAAATAAACCTACACATCTAGGTTTTTTTCCTCATCCTACAAATTTAGTACTTATTGTCATGTAGATTAAAAGACCAAGTTTCTATCCAGATGTTTCAAGGTAATATATTGAAGAAGTTGAGCACGTTGGGAAGCTATATTAATTTATACATATCACTAGCATGCCAAGTAACATATTATCTCTGTAGGGCAACTGACCGCACCTTGAAAATGAAAATAGATAATGAGGCTTGGTTTGTAACCAACTTTTCAATAATTTTGATTTTCTTAACACTAAATATGAGATCCTTTGTTTAATTTTTTTCAACTTCTATTATCACTTTCAGTTTCTATTTAGTGTGAAAGCTAAGAAGAAAAAAAGACAACCCTTTTTCATCAAGCATAATCATTCTATGAAATAAAATGCTCTCATAGAATATCATGTTAATTTTGCTTAAACCTACAAATAGGTTTTAGAACATCTGTTCACCATAATTAGGTTGACTGAATATCAAAATTACCAAATTTCTTTCCATTCTTTTATTCTATACCCATGAATGTACTAAGGCTTTCAGGACAAAAATGCGAGAGAGGGGTGGTTTTTTGTTGTTGCTGTTTTTATACTTTACACTTTTATTTTTTTACCCAGACAGAATATATAAAGTCATACATTGGTGGTGACTCTTCATTCATTCATTTGATAACTCTGTATTACATTTTCTACTATATATCATTTGTTTTATAATCTGCCAATGTTAGAAATCACTTTCGTCTTTAGTCACAATTAGATGGACACTTCAGACTCTAAGAGCCGGAAACAGGTATACCATCCCTTTATATCCTCTCCGACACAATGCCAAAAAAATACTCAAATGTTTGCTTGCCCTCTGCTATAGGTAGGACTGCTTACTGCCAGAGTTCTCTGGGTCCCCAACCTAGAAGAGCTCAACTGGTTATAAAAACAATGAGAGAGATTTGCTTAAAATCTTAGTCAAGCCATGTGGTCACAACCAGGTAAAGGGCTTCAGGGACACAAGGCATTTTGGCAATGTTAATTTTTGTTAGGTTAGGTTAGGTTAATGTTATGTCTCCTTGGGCAGACATGATGAGTCTATGTTCTAATCCTATTACAACATTTAGTAAAAGTTTAATGGTTATATCCTATCACAAATTTGTTACCTAATTTGAGGCACTAATGGATAGGGCTCTTTTATTTTCTTATTTTTCAATAGATCAAAGTCAAGCCAGTACAACATACAAAAAAAAATGCTAGGATTCAGCAAGATTTATATTTCTCCATTTTAGTGTTGTTTATCTTCTGGGAAAGGGACACACAAACCTTGGTTTAATAAGTTACAATAATAGGCAAATTAAAAATAATAAACAACAGTCACAGTCTGTTAATTATACCTGCTTCAGGGAAAACAGTAGAATTATTTCATGAGTGACTAAAAATCTTTAAGCTCTTATGAAGGATTTGACAAAAGATTCTCATAACCAGGGTAATCATAATTTATCATCACAACCAGGGGGCTGTGGGAGTGAAGGGAGTTTGTGCTGGGAACACTGGCATAAACTAGGACTATTCTGATCAAACCAGGACATAATCACTTTACTGTGCATTAAAACAAATAACTGGGGTTACGATAGAGGCCCTGCCCTCACAAAATTCAAAGGCATAGGTCATTAGATGTCACCATGGTGCAATATGGTAAGTAATAAGATAAAGGAATTGTAGAGAAGGGGCTAAGGACCCAAAAACCCTGTGTTGGGGGTCAGGGGTAATAAAAGAAAACCATGTGTCATCCAATAGTTCCAGAACCCTGTTTATTATCAGAATCACTTAGGGAACTTATTGGAGAATACAGATTCCTGCCTGCCCCCATCCCCTGCCAGAGTCTCATTTAATGGGGGAATGGTATCCCAGGGAGAGGAAATAGCATATACAGAGAGTCTGAGGGAAATGAACACCTATCCAATTCTGGGACTTGAAGGCATCAATTATAGTCTCAAAGCCTCGTTTACTCTTCATATTTATGTCCTAATAGCATACACAACCATAATGTGGATACTCTGGATGTTACTAATATTAACAGGCAAGTGATTAAACGCTAGACTAGTAGTCAAATGATAATTCTTATTCTGAATTGTCCATAGACTACTGCTTTTATGTTAAGGATTTTATTTTCTTTTCCTTTAAAGCAGGCCTGTTGACTTACAAATTCCAGTCTGACATGTAAAAAGCTTTGAACTTATCAATCCAGTTCTCATAACAAGAAAAAAGCTGAACAAACTGAAAACTAACAACTCTTCTTTGATCCGAGAATTGAGCAAACAGGTCAAACTGCTGCTTGGAAAAGAGGAGAGACAGACAGGCATATACAGAGAATCACAGCTTAGCAGGAGCAAAAGCCTGCAGCTGGAGCCAATATCACCAGGAACACTTTAAACTAAAACTGACAAATTGCTCGAGACTCAACTGTAGACTAGCTTGAGAGTTAAAACTCCAAGGGAACCCAGGCTTAGGGAGAGCCCAACACATGAGAAGGGGAAAAGTATCCATTTTTAAATATGCCCAGAGCTCTCTGTTCTCCTTAACAAGGTCTACCCTCAAAGAAAATTTACCAGAGCCTGACTGGGGTTTTACCAGAGCCTAGCCAACCTGGGAGAAGGGAAATAACATCCAGCCCTCTCCAGCCTTTCATGTGAGTTGGTTTAATGAACCAACTCAGGTTCGTTAAAAGACTGAGGCCTAATCACAGGCCTATAGAATGCCTTCCCCTCACAACCTTACCACCACATTAATAGGGCTCCTCTATAAAACAGAGGATTACCACTAAAAAACACTGCATGCCTCAGCTTCTGTATAAAGAGTCTCTAGGAAAACCCAAAGACAAGAGGGAACACAAAAACAGGGACACCAGAGGAAATTGTAGCCCCTGACACCATAGCCACAGCAAACAATAAATACAGCCTAACTCTGTCTTGCTCTGTTACCCAGGCTGGACTTCAGTGGCTCAATCATAGCTCACTGCAGCCTCCAACTCCTGGGCTCTCAAGCAAGCCTCCCACTTCAGCTCCCAAGTAGCTGGGACTACAAGTGAGCACCACCATGCCTGGCTAATTGTTTTTAATTTTTTGTAAACATGGGGTCTCATTATATTGTCTAGACTGGTCTTGAACTCCTGGCCTCAAGTGATCCTCCCACTGCAGCCTCCCAAAGCACTGGGAGTACAGGCATGAGCCACTGCACCCAGCCTGTTTTTCTTATTCTTAGTTGATCTAACAGTTAACCGTTTATTCAAAATAATAGCAGCAACAATGCATTCAATGACTATAGCTTACAGATAAGTGAAATGAATAGCAGCAAAAAAATTATGAAGGACAGTAGAGAGGAATTGGTATACTCTATCATAAAGTACTTGCACTATTCATGGAGCAGTACAGTATTATTTGAAAGTGGAATTGGATTAGTTGTAAACATACACCGCAAACTGTAGGGCAACCGCTAAAAAAAGTATTAAAGAAGTATAATTGATATGCTAAAACAAGAGAGAAAATAAAATCATATAAAATGTTCAATTAAAACCAGAGAAGGCAGAAAAAGAGTGAAAGGGGGAAAAAAAGAAACAAAGAACAAGGAAATAGAGAACAGTTAAAATGTGGTCAGAGATTAATCCAACTATATCAAAAATCACTTCACATTTGAGTGGTCTAAATATACTACTTGAAAGAGAGACTGGCAAAGTGGATGGGAAAAGACCCAACTACAGATTGTCTACAGGAGCAGACCTGTAATAAACAATTAAAGTAAATCACTTCTCCATCAGTTGATTTCCTACCTGGTTTAAATAATATCTGTTGGTATTCACCTGAAAAAAAGGTCTAACATTAAAAATATATAAAATTCCAAAATTAATGCATAAAAATAATATCGTTTTTGTTTTTGGAACAAAAAGAGAAACATACTAAATATAAACATATTAAATTTATGATAAATCCAATGCAATCAAAAATAAGAAAAAGATGAATAGTTGCTATGTGGAGTTGCGATAATTCAGACCAGTTGGCAAGATGGGTTTGAATATCCCTATGCTATTTTTCAAAGATTACAACTCCTTTATAAGTCTTTATAATGTAAAAGAGTTTGTAATTCTCTATTTAAATAATCCAACAAAAGGTATTCACTAAAATGTCACATGAAAGGATGATTAAGGCAAATTTTTTCCTGTTAACGCCACTCCAAAAAAGGACTGATATTATAAGAGGGGAAAATTGATTAAAAAAAATGTTTATTTGCAAAAGTCTGTACTGTTGTCCAAGAGCGTGACTTTTAATTCTCTGCCACTGACTTATCTGGTGATTTACTGATTTGATACGTACATTAGCAGAAACTGAATTTTCATATTCTAGCACCCAAACCACATCTACTTTTCCCAAGCCAAAAGGACAGCATCACAGATTTCGTAAATCAAACAGATGGAATGCTACCCAGGAGAACATAGCCACATGAGCACATAAGCACAAGGAGTTTGGCAATAACATATGACAAAGCAAAGTTAAAAAAAAAAAAAGAGAGAGAAAGAGAGAGAAATCATCCAGCACACATTCACTATTTGTCTAAAACAAGTTTTCTATATCCTTTTAGTACAGAATCAATACAGAGTCATATGAAATCTCTAGCAGCAAATATCATGCTGGGTTTCAAGCAAATACTGCATCATGAGATCTGAACTGATAATGTCAGACTCATCCTTCCTGGGGAAAAAAAAAATGAAAAGTTCCCAAAAGTTGTATCCATCAGCTGAGTTAAGAATTGGCCTTTGCCTTCTTTCTTCTTCATTCCTCCGCCTCAATTCATTCCTTTTAGGAATATGTGGGTCATAAAATTTGTGTTAATAACTTCAAGCTGAAAGAAACTGATCTGTGATTCAGACCTATATTATAATTACGGTAGTTTAAGGCATAAATAAATCCCAATCTACATGATGAAAGTGCATATATTCATTCTTTCTAGAGCTAAGGAATAGGAATGCATGTGGTGGCTGTCCCTACCCTTTCAGATTTTACTGTGTAAAATTTTACTGCTTTAATTCATCCAGATTTTTATGATCACTCATTTCAGGCTTTGGCATACCATGAAAGTTACACATAATTCCCTGAACAGTAGTGTAAGTCCAGCCTGATTCCCACACATTAGTGGACTAGGATACTTCTGTGGGAGGCTGCTGATCTAAGTGTTAGAGAAAAACATGTAAGTAATTAATTTCAATAAAGTGTTAAAAGTTCAAGGACATTATAATCAAAACCAACAGACTTTCCTATCCCAGCCCACTAAGGAACTTTGGTATGTCTCTTCCCCCACCACCACTCAACCCTATTGTGCAGAAATAAGTCATCAGTGAGCACAGGAAACTAAGGAATCTGACAGGGATTCAAAATCCATGGAAGCAGGGGGGCTGTGAGAGAACTGGAGGGTGAGAAGAATGGGAAAATAACTAGCTTTAAAAGTGGTCCTGTGAATTTTGAATTGGATCTCCATTAATTATCTTTGAGAGGCATAAGTAAAGGTTTGAATTAATTTTAATTACATACTTTTGACTGATGAACTCTTTCTTTCTTCCCTTTTTTTTTTTCTTTTAGATAGGATCTGACTCTGTCACCCAAGCTGGAGTGCAGTGGGGCAATTATGGCTCACAGTAGCCTCAATCTCCCAGGCTCAAGTGACCCTTCCACCACAGCCTGCCAAGTAGCTGGGACCACAGGCGTGTGTCACCACACCTAGCTAATTTTTTTTATTTTTTGTAGAGATGGGGGTCCCACCAAGTTGCCGAGGCTGATCTCAAACTCCTGGGTTCAAGTGATCCTCCCACCTCAGCCTCCCAAAGTGCTGAAATTACAGGCATGAGCCACCATGCCCAGCCTGATCAACTCTTTCTTTGAATGTGGCAGCATGCTGAGACTGGGCAACATGGAGCCTTTGGAATTTACTCACATTACAAGAGAAATGTATTTGGACATTGTCTAGGACATGGTAAAGAGAAAGGGTGGAGAGGAAAAGTCAAGAGGTATAGGCCAGGGTTTAACCATGAGCAGTAGTAGCTCTCAGTCACCAGGTTTCTTTTTCTCACTTTCTCTCTACAAAACCTCATATTTTAGTGGATATGTTCTGGGGACACTATCAGGCTAGGAAGAAGCAAAGCCACCTAGAAGGAAGGATAGTGGCCCTGTTAAGTGTAGGAGGGACTAACTGTGCATATTTGATTGTCCTAATATATCTCAACCAAAGCATGTGTAAGCCTGGCACAATACAGTCAGATTTTGTTCTTCTTATGAAAAAATAACCATTCTCTGTAAACTACCAGAAACTTTACCTGGCCTCATAGGAGAGATAAGAAGAAGCTAAAGTTCTGTGCCTAGAGGAAGCAAAAACTACTAAAATAGGATCCTGGGCATCAGTCTCAGCTGCATTTAATGGTACCAGGAAACTGAAATAATCCTCTTTCTTCTTTCTTTGACAAGTTTTAGCAGCCCTACACCTTTCTGAAATTTGCCCTTCCCACTTTTTTAGAAATGTATTTATCATGTGCAATATAATGTTTTAGAGTATATATACATTGTGGAATAGTTAAATCTAACTAATTAACAACTGCATTACTTCACATAGTTATCATTTTCATGATGAGAATGCTTAACATCCAATATTTTTGCATTTTTCGAGAATGCAATATATGTTCATTAACTATAGTCACTATGCTGTACAACAGATCTCTTGAATGTATTCCTTCTATCTAATTATATTAATATATCCTTTAACATCTCCCCATCCTCCACTCCACTTAAGCACGACAGCCTTGGGTAACCACCATTCTGCTCTCTAGTACTATGAGTCCAACTTTTTTAGATTCTACATATGAGTGAGATCATGTGGTATTTGTCTTTCTATGTCTGGCTTATTTCACTTCGTGTAATGTTCTGTGGGTTCATACATGTTGTCACAAATGACAGAATTTTCTTCTTTTTATAGTGGAATAGTATTTCAGAGTATGTATATACCACATTTTCTTTCTCCATTTATCTGTTGATGAACAAAAGTTGATTCTCTACCTTGGCTATTGTGAATAGTGCGGCCATAAACATGGAAGTGTTGATACTCTTCAACGTACTGACTTTATTGCCTTAGTCATTTCTTTGAATAAGCTTTCTACCCCTTGCTCTTGCTCAACTCCTTCTTGAGTACCAATAATTCTTAGATTTGCTCTTTTGAGGTGAATTTCTATATCTCACAGGCAATCTTCATTCCTTTTCATTCTATTTTCTCCTCTGACTGCATTTTCAAATAGTTCACTTATTCTTTCTTCTATTTGATCCATTCCGTTAGTTTTTTAAATTATTTCAACCCCTTTGTTAAATTTCTCCAATAAAATTCTGAATTGTTTTTCTGTGTTATCCTGGAGATCACTGAGTTTCCTTAAAACTATTTGAATGCTTAGTCATAGAGTTCAAATATTGCCATCTCTTTAGATTCAGTCGTGGGTACCTTGCTTTGTCTGTTTGAGGAAGTCATGGTTCCTTATTTGCTGCTGTTTCTTGTGGATATACATCTATGTATTTGCATTGAATGATTAGTTATTTATTCCAGTCTTCTCTATATGGCTCATGTTGGGGTATATTGGGGATTTTTTGTTTTGTTTGTTTGTTTTAACATATTTGCTTAGAGTCTTTATATTTTACCTCGTGATTTGTTTTATTTTATTATTTATTTATTTATTTATTTATTTCTGCTAGGTCGCTGCTTCTTTTTCAGCACTAGATAGCACATTAAACCCAAGTTTGCCTCAGTTCTAGTATACAATCAGAATGCTGCCCATCCAAAATGGGGGAGATTGCAAATTGGTTATCCCAGTAGTGTAGGAAGGCTGGCTAAGGGTCTCTGCCCAGGCAACCTGTGAAATGAACCTCCTACAACATGTTGCTGCTAACAGTCACTCTGATTTGTCATCTCCTTTGGCCAAGTTACAGAGCAGAGTTTCTACAGCTGGGGTTGGTAGCCCCACTCCCTACTTTGTCTCTGGCTGTCCTCAGGGATATTTCTCCCTTCAGGCACTCCCACTGATTCCCATGGATTGAGACAGGAGAAGATCTCCTGCCAAGGAACCCAGGTGGTGAGGGAGCTCATTGTTCATCTCAATCTTACTTTGTCCAACGTAGAAACCACGAGTCAGGAAAAATTTTTCCGAGTGCTGGTGCCAGGTAGGTTGGGGAGACAGGCACTGCAGATACGGAACTCCAATTCTCTTACCATCTGCTCAGTTTTTTTACCTCTCGGTGGCCCCAGGAACTGTTTCCTCATATTAAATTCTGGGCTATTGCTGGTGATACACTCAGCTATGTATATTTGTTTTGGTTTTCTCAGGGGCAGTGAATCCAGCTTGCTTCTATGCCATCATTATAGAATCAGGAGCTCTTTATTTCATGTCCTTTAGATAGATAGACATTGCTCCCCAGTAGCAAGATTTCTGGATCTTATCATAATTTTATTTTTAATATTTTGAGGAATCACCATATTGTTTTCCATAGCTGCTGCACCTTTTTACGTTCCTACCAACAGTGTGGAGGGGTTCCATTTTCTCCACATCCTTGCCAAAACTTGTTATCTTTTGTCTTTTTTATCATAGCCATTCTAACAGGAATTAGGTGATATCTCATTGTGGCTTCAACTTGCATTTCCCTGATGATTAGTTATGTTGAGCATTTTTTCATGTACCTGTTGGCCATTTGTGTATCTTCTTTTGAGAAATGTCTTTTCAGGTCTTTTGCCCATTTTTAAATCAACTTACCTGTTTTCTTGCTATAGAGTTTGAGATTTTTATATATTTTGAATATTAACTCCTTGGCAGATTTATCATTTACAAATATTTTCTCCCATTCTCCCTGCTGATTCTTTACTGTGCAGAAGCTTTTTAGCTTGACGTAATCCCATTTGTCTGTTTTTGCTTTGGTTGCTTATGTTTATGCAGTAATACCCGAAAAATCATTACCCAGATCAATGTCATGGAGTTTTTCCCCTATGTTTTCTTCTAGTATCATTGTTTCAGGTCTTAGCTTTTAACCCTTTAATTCATTTTGAGTTTATTTTTTATATAGTGTGAGATACTGGTCCAATATCATTCTTCTACATGTGGACATGTAGTTTTCCCAACACCATTTAATGAAGAGACTGTCCTTTCACATCATGTGTTTTTCCCCATTGTGTGTTCTTGACACCTTTGTAACTCAGGGAAGTGGGCATGCTGGAGTGGATATAATGAAGGTAATTGGAAGATCCACCAGATGATTATGTTAAATATCTTTATTGCTAGCACATAAGAATATGATTAATTTTTGACTGTGGTAAAATATGCATGACATAAATTTTAACATTTTAATCCTTTGTAAGTGTAAAGTTCAGTGGCAGTAAGTAAATTCACATAGTTGTGCCACCATCATTACCCATCTGCAGAACTTTTTTATCTTCCCAATCTGAAACTGTGTACCTATTAAAAAAATAACTCACTAGTCTCTTTCCCATCCTCATTCTCTGAGAACCCTCCTTCTACCTCTGTCTCTATGAATTGGACTGCTCTAATTTGATTACCTCATGAGAGTAGAATGATATAATATTTGTCCTTTGTGACTAGATTATTTCAATCTTCATAATATCTTCAAGATTCATCCACGTTGTAGCATGTGTCAGAATTTCTGTCCTTTTTAAGGCTGAATAATATTTCATTGTATGTAATATCACATTTTGTTGCCCATTTATCTTGGGGTTTCTTTGTTTTGTTCTTTTTTTGACATATTTGCTTAGAGAGTCTTTATACTGATGGACAGTCAGATTGCTTTTGCCTTTTGGCTTTTGTGAATAATGCTGCTATGAACACGAGTATACAAATATCTGTTTGAGACCCTGCTTTAAATTCTTTTTGGTATATACTCAGAAATGAAATTGCTGTATCATATGGTAATTCCATTGTTTAATTTTTCTTTAAATCTTTAATCATGATAAAATGTAATGTAACGGGGGTGGAGCCAAGATGGCCGAATAGGAACAACTCCAGTCTACAGCTCCCAGCGTGAGTGACACAGAAGACGGGTGATTTCTGCATTTCCAACTGAGGAACCAGGTTGATCTCACTGGGGAGTGTTGGACAGTGGGTGCAGGACAGTGGGTGCAGCACACCGTGTGTGAGCCAAAGCAGGGTGAGCCATCGCCTCACCCGGGAAGTGCTAGGGGTCAGGGAATTCCCTTTCCTAGTCAAAGAAAGGGATGACAGACAGCACCTGGAAAATCAGGTCACTCCCACCCTAATACTGCGCTTTACCAACAGGCTTCACAAACGGCACACCAGGAGATTATATCCTGCACATGGCTCAGAGGGTCCTACGCCCACGGAGCCTCACTCATTGCTAGCACAGCAGTCTGAGATCAAACTGCAAGGCAGCAGCCAGGCTGCGGGAGGGGCGCCCGCCATTGCCAAGGCTTGAGTATGTAAACAAAGCAGCCTGGAAGCTCAAACTAGGTGGAGCCCACCACAGCTCAAGGAGGCCTGCCTGCCTCTGTAGGCTCCACCTCTGGGGGCAGGGCACAGACAAACAAAAGGCAGCAGTAACCTCTGCAGACTTAAATGTCCCTGTCTGACAGGTCTGAAGAGAGTAGTGGTTCTCCCAGCATGCAGCTGGAGATCTGAGAGCGGGCAGACTGCCTCCTCAAGTGGGTCCCTGAACCCCGAGTAGCCTAACTGGTAGGCACCCCCCAAGTAGGGGCAGAATGACACCTCACACAGCCAGGTACTCCTCTGAGACAAAATTTCCAGAGGAATGATCAGGCAGCATCATTTGCGGTTCACCAATATCTGCTGTTCTGCAGCCACCGCTGCTGATACCCAGGCAAACAGAGTCTGGAGTGTACCTCCAGCAAACTCCAACAGACCTGCAACTGAGGGTCCTGTTAGAAGGAAAACTAACAAACAGAAAGGACATGCACACCAAAAACCCATCTGTACGTCACCATCACCAAAGACCAAAGGTAGATAAAACCACAAAGATGGGGAAAAAACAGAGCAGAAAAACTGGAAACTCTAAAAATCAGAGTGCTTCTCCTCCTCCAAAGGAATGCAGCTCCTCACCAGCAATGGAACAAAGTTGGATGGAAAATGACTTTGACAAGTTGAGAGAAGACGGCTTCAGAAGATCAAACTACTCCGAGCTAAAGAAGGAAGTTCGAACCAATGGCAAAGAAGTTAAAAACCTTGAAAAAAAATTAGACGAATAGCTAACTAGAATAACCAATGCAGAGAAGTCCTTTAAGGACCTGATGGAGCTGAAAACCACAGCACAAGAACTATGTGATGAATGCACAAGCCTCAGTAGCCAATGAGGTCAACTGGAAGAAAGGGTATCAGCGATGGAAGATGAAATGAATGAAATGAAGCGAGAAGGGAAGTTTAGAGAAAAAATAATAAAAAGAAACAAACAAAGCCTCCAAGAAATATGGGACTATGTGAAAAGACCAAATCTACGTCTGATTGGTGTACCTGAAAGTGATGTGGAGAATGGAACCAAGTTGGAAAACACTCTGTAGGATATTATCCAGGAGAACTTCCCCAATCTAGCAAGGCAGGCCAACATTCAAATTCAGGAAACACAGATAACGCCAAAAAGATACTCCTCAAGAAGAGCAACTCCAAGACACATAATTGTCAGAGTCACCAAAGTTGAAATGAAGGAAAAAATGTTAAGGGCAGCCAGAGAGAAAGGTCGGGTTACCCACAAAGGGAAGCCCATCAGACTAACAGCTGATCTCTCGGCAGAAACTCTACAAGCCAGAAGAGAGTGGGGGCCAATATTCAACATTCTTAAAGAAAAGAATTTTCAACCCAGAATTTCATATCCGGCCAAACTAAGCTTCATAAGTGAAGGAGAAATAAAATACTTTACAGACAAGCAAATGCTGAGAGATTTCGTCACCACCAGGCCTGCCCTAAAAGAGCTCCTGAAGGAAGCACTAAACATGGAAAGGAACAAACGGTACCAGCCACTGCAAAAACATGCCAAATTGTAAAGACCATCGAGGCTAGGAAGAAACTGCATCAACTAATGAGCAAAATAACCAGCTAACATCATAATGACAGGATCAAATTCACACATAAAAATATTAACTTTAAATGTAAATGGACTAAATGCTCCAATTAAAAGACACAGACTGGCAAATTGGATAAAGAGTCAAGACCCATCAGTGTGCTGTATTCAGGAAACCCATCTCACATGCAGAGACACACATAGGCTCAAAATAAAGGGATGGAGGAAGATCTACCAAGCAAATGGAAAAGAAAAAAAGGCAGGGGTTGCAATCCTAGTCTCTGATAAAACAGACTTTAAACCAACAAAGATCAAAAGAGACAAAGAAGGCCATTACATAATGGTAAAGGGATCGATTCAACAAGAAGAGCTAACCTAAATATACATGCACCCAATACAGGAGCACCCAGATTCATAAAGCAAGTCCTTAGAGACCTACAAAGAGACTTAGACTCCCACACAATAATAATGGGAGAATTTAACACCCCACTGTCAACATTAGACAGATCAACAAGACAGAGAGTCAACAAGGATACCCAGGAATTGAACTCAGCTCTGCACCAAGCGGACCTAATAGACATCTACAGAACTCTCCACACCAAATCAACAGAATATACATTCTTTTCAGCACCACACCACACCTATTCCAAAATTGACCACATAGTTGGAAGTAAAGCACTCCTCAGCAAATGTAAAAGAACAGAAATTATAACAAACTGTCTCTCAGACCACAGTGCAATCAAACTAGAACTCAGGATTAAGAAACTCACTCAAAACTGCTCAACTACAAGGAAACTGAACAACCTGCTCCTGAATGACTACTGGGTACATAATGAAATGAAGGCAGAGATAAAGATGTTCTTTGAAACCAACGAGAACAAAGACACAACATACCAGAATCTCTGGGACACATTCAAAGTAGTGTGTAGAGGGAAATTTATAGCACTAAATGCCCACAACAGAAAGCAGGAAAGATCTAAAATTGACACCCTAACATCACAATTAAAAGAACTAGACAAGCAAGAGCAAACACATTCAAAAGCACGCAGAAGGCAAGAAATAACTAAGATTAGAGCAGAACTGAAGGAAATAAAGACACAAAAAATCCTTCAAAAAATCAATGAATCCAGGAGCTGGTTTTTTGAAAAGATCAACAAAATTGATAGACTGCTAGCAAGACTAACAAAGAAGAAAAGAAAGAAGAATCAAATAGACGCAATAAAAAATGATACAGGGGATACCACCACCGATCCCACAGAAATACAAACTACCATTAGAGAATACTATAAACACTTCTATGCAAATAAAATAGAAAATCTAGAAGAAGTGGATAAATTCCTTGACACATACACCCTCCCAAGATTAAACCAGGAAGAAGTTGAATCTCCGAATAGACCAATAACAGGCTCTGAAATTGAGGCAATAATTAATAGCTTACCAACCAAAAAAAGTCCAGGTTCAGATGGATTCACAGCCGAATTCTACCAGAGGTACAAGGAGGAGCTGGTACCATTCCTTCTGAAACTATTCCAATCAATACAAAAAGAGGGAATCCTCCCTAACTCATTTTATGAGGCCAGCATCATCCTGATATCAAACCCTGGCAGAGATACAACAAAAAAAAAAAGTGAATTTTAGACCAATATCCTTGATGAACATTGATGCAAAAATCCTCAATAAAATACTGGCAAACTGAATCCGCACCACATCAAAAAGCTTATCCACCATGAACAAGTGGGCTTCATCCCTGGGATGCAAGGCTGGTTCAACGTACACAAATCAGTAAACGTAATCCAGCATATAAACAGAACCAAAGACAAAAACCACATGACTATCTCAATAGATGCAGAAAAGGCCTTTGACAAAATTCAACAATGCTTCATGCTAAAAACTCTCAATAAATTAGGTATTGATGGGATGTATCTCAAAATAATAAGAGCTATCTGTGACAAACCCACAGCCAATATCATACTGAATGGACAAAAACTGGAAGCATTCCCTTTGAAAACTGGCACAAGACAGGGATGCCCTCTCTCACCACTCCTATTCAACATAGTGTTGGAAGTTCTGGCCAGGGCAATCCGGCAGGAGAAGGAAATAAAGGGCATTCAATCAGGAAAAGAGGAACTCAAATTGTCCCTGTTTGCAGATGACATGATTGTATATCTAGAAAACCCCATCATCTCAGCCCAAAATCTCCTTAAGCTGATAAGCAACTTCAGCAAAGTCTCAGGATACAAAATCAATGTGCAAAAATCACAAGCATTCCTATACACCAAGAACAGACAAACAGAGAGCCAAATCATGAGTGAACTCCCATTCACAATTGCTTCAAAGAGAATAAAAGACCTAGGAATCCAACTTACAAGGGACTTGAAGGACCTCCTCAAGGAGAACTACAAACCACTTCTCAATGAAATGAAAGAGGACACAAACAAATGGAAGAACATTCCATGCTCATGGGTAGGAAGAATCAATATCGTGAAAATAGCCATACTGCCCAAGGTAATTTATAGATTCAATGCCATCCCCATCAAGCTACCAATGATTTTCTTCACAGAATTGGAAAAAACTACTTTAAAGTTCATATGGAACCAAAAAAGAGCCCACATTGCCAAGTCAATCCTAAGCCAAAAGAACAAAGCTGGAGGCATCACGCTACCTGACTTCAAACTATACTACAAGGCTACAGTAACCAAGACAGCATGGTACTGGTACCAAAACAGACATATAGACAAATGAACAGAACAGAGCCCTCAGAATTAATGCCGCACATCTACAACTATCTGATCTTTGACAAACCTGACAAAAACAAGCAATGGGGAAAGGATTCCCTATTTAATAAATGGTACTGGGAAAACTGGCTGGCCATAGAAAGCTGAAACTGGATCCCTTCCTTACACCTTATACAAAAATTAATTCAAGATGGATTAAAGACTTACATGTTAGACCTAAAACCATAAAAACCCTAGAAGAAAACCTAGGCAATACCATTCAGGACATAGGCACGGGCAAGGACTTCATGTCTAAAACACCAAAAGCAATGGCAACAAAAGCCAAAATTGACAAATGGGATCTAATTAAACTAAAGAGCTTCTGCACAGCAAAAGAAACCACCATCAGAGTGAACAGGCAATCTACAGAATGGGAGAAAATTTTTGCAACCTACTCATCTGACAAAGGGCTAATATCCAGAATCTACAATGAATTCAAACAAATTTACAAGAAAAAAACAAACAACCCCATCAAAAAGTGGGCAAAGGATATGAACAGACACTTCTCAAAAGAAGACATTTATGCAGCCAAAAGACCCATGAAAAAATGCTCATCATCACTGGCCATCAGAGAAATGCAAATCAAAACCACAATGAGATACCATCTCACACCAGTCAGAATGGTGATCATTAAAAAGTCAGGAAACAACAGGTGCTGGAGAGGATGTGGAGAAATAGGAACACTTTTACACTGTTGGTGGGACTGTAAACTAGTTCAACCATTGTGGAAGTCAGTGTGGCGATTCCTCAGGGATCTTGAACTAGAAATACCATTTGACCCAGCCATCCCATTACTGGGTATATACCCAAAGGATTATAAATCATGCTGTTATAAGGACACATGCACATGTATGTTTATTGAGGCACTATTCACAATAGCAAAGACTTGGAACCAACCCAGATGTCCAACAACAATAGACTGGATTAAGAAAATGTGGCACATATACACCATGGAATACTATGCAGCCATAAAAAATGATGATTTCATGTCCTTTGTAGGGACATGGGTGAAGCTGGAAACCATCATTCTCAGCAAACTATCCCAAGGACAAAAAACCAAACACTGCATGTTCTCATTCATAGGTGGGAATTGAACAATGAGAACACATGGACACAGGAAGGGGAACATCACACCCCGGGGACTGTTGTGGGGTGTGGGGAGGGGGGAGGGGTGTGGGGAGGGGGGAGGGATAGCATTAGGAGATATACCTAATGCTAAATGACGAGTTAATGGGTGCAGCACACCGACATGGCACATGTATACATATGTAACAAACCTGCACGTTGTGCACATGTACCCTAAAACTTAAAGTATAATAATAATAAAATTTTAAAAATGTAATGTAACACGTAATTGACCATCTTAACCATTTTTAAGTTCACAGTTCAATAATTTAAATACATTCATAATGTGCAACCATCACTATCATCCATCTTCATAACTCTCCTTGTCTTGTAAAACTAAAACCCCATACTCATTAACAATAACTCCCATTCCTCTTCTGCCCCAGCTCCTGGAAATCATCCTTCTACTTTCTCTGTCTCTGATTTTGACTACCTTAAGTTCATCATGTAAGTGGAATGATACAGCATTTTTCCATTTGTGACTGATTTATTTCACTTAATATGTCCTCAAAGTTCCTCCATGTTGTAGCAAATGTCAGAATTTCCTTCCTTTTTCAGGCTGAATAATATTCCATGTATATATCACATTTTGCTTCTCTGTTCATCCACTGATGGATACTTAAGTTGCTTCCATCTTTTAGCTGAATGTTTGTTATGAAGTGAGTGTACAAATTATCTGTTTGAGGCCGTACTTTCAGTTCTTTTGAGTATACACCCAGAAGTGAAATTGCTGGATCATGTAGTCATTTGAGTTTTAATTTCTTGAGAAACCACCAAGCTGTCTCTACAGTGGCTGTATCAATTTATATTTCAACCAGCAGTGCACCTGAGTTCCAATTTGCTTAATCTGTGGCCTCAGCCTCCCAAGTAGCTGGGACCACAGGCACATGCCACCATATCTGGCTAATTTTTTTTCATTCGTAAAGATGGGGTCTCCCTATGTTATCTAGGCTTGTCTCAAACTCCTGGGCTTAAGCAATCCTCCCACCTTGGCCACCCAAAATGCTGGGGTTCAGGCATGAGCCACAGTGCCCAGCCTTAAACTTTTTTAATGGATTAGTCTCTTATATCATGTAGAAAACACAAAGTGGAGTAACAAACTGTTGTTACAATAATACTAGCTTTTATAATTGCCCATGTCCTTGGCTTTTAAGTTTGAATATCATGTGTCTTAGTGTGGTTCTCTAGTAAATTTTTCATTTTAGTTACTGTAATTTTCATCACCAGAATTTCTTTTGGTTTCTTTTTAGACGTTTTCTCTTTATTTATATTTCTATTTTGTTCATACATCATTTTCCTGACTTTCTCCACATATTCCTTAATTCTTTGAACATTCTTTAAGACAAATATTTTAAAGTATTTCTCTAGTAGATTTGCCAAATCAAGTCTTTTTATTGGTCAGTTTCTGTTTATTTTTTTCTTTCCTTTGAGTGAGCCATATTTTCCTGTTTCTTTGTACGCCATGTGACTTTTTGGTTGAAAACTGGACATTTGAATCTAATATTGTGGTAATTCTGGAAATTATACTGTATCTTTTCCCCAGGGCTTGCTGCCTTTTGTTGTTTTTATTATTGTTGTAGGCTATCTCTGTGCCAAGGATTAAACTTGTGAGGTATAAACTTCACTGAGGTGCAAACTTAAGGTCTTCTCAATTCTTTTCTGAGCCTGCACCTTTCTCTGGGCACGTGCAGTCACTTTCTAATTCTCTCTGTATATGCAATTGCTTTTTAATGTCCTAGTCTTTAATGTGTAGCTCCCGAACAAAGAAAAAAAATAAGCAGGGAAAAGGTACCAGCCCTTTAAATTCCCTGGAAGTTGCTTCAGCCAGAGAGGGAGAGGCTTGCAACAATGTGGGGTGAGAGGAATGCAACCACAATGACTGCCTGCCTCTTTATCTGCACCTGTCTGATCAGAAGCAGCAATCAGCAATCAGAGCACAGATCCCCAACATGTGGAGCACGGGGTCCTTTTTGCCCACTCTGGCTCTTGCAAGTTGTGTGCAGGTTCCTTCAGAAACACATGCATGCCTGCCTGCCATGTAGCTGAGGGGTAGAGAATGAGTAGTTGCAACCTTACTAAGCCAAAATTGACACAAATTAACTACAATTTACTATTTAAGCCTTCCCCAGAAAGTTGCAAGCCTTCAATAGACTTCAGACTTCCGAAATAGTTGCATCAGATGATTCTGCCAGTACAATTGTTGGTAGGTAGAGAGACAGATTCCTGGTGCATCCTACTCAGCCATCTTCCCAGAACCCTCAGATTTCATGTATTTTCTGTTACATTTCCAGTTGTTGCCAAAATTCTTTTTTAATTTTACTTTTATGTTCTGGGAGACATGTGCAGAATGTGCAGGTTTTTTACATAGGTATACATGTGCCATGGTGGTTGGCTGCACCTATCAACCCATCATGTAAGTTTTAAGCCCTGCATGCATTAAGTATCTGTCCTAATGCTCTCCCTCCCCTTGCCCCCCACCCCTGACAGGCCCCGGTGTGTGATGTTCCCCTCCCTGTGTCCATGTGTTCTCATTGTTCAACTCCCACTTATGAGTGAGAACATGCAGTGTTTGGTTTTCTGTTCCTGTGTTAGTTTGGTGAGAATGATGGCTTCCAGCTTCATCCATGTCCCTGCAAAGGACATGAACTCAACCTTTTTTAGGGCTGCATAATATTCCGTGGTATATATGTGCCACATTTTCTTTATCCAGTCTATCATTGACGGGCATTTGAGTTGGTTCCAAGTCTTTGCTATTGTAAATACTGTTGCAGTAAACATACGTGTGCATGTGTATTTATAGTAGAATGATTTATACTCCTTTGGGTATATACCCAGTAATGGGATTGCCGGGTCAAATGGTATTTCTGGTTCTAGATCCTTGAGGAATCACCACACTGTCTTCCACAATGGTTGAACTAATTTACACTCCCACCAACAGTGTAAACACATTCCTATTTCTCCACAGCCTCACCAGCATCTGTGATTTCCTGACTTTTTAATAATCACCATTCTGACTGGCATGAGATGGCATCTCATTGTGTTTTTTATTTGCATTTCTCTAATGACCAGTGATGATGAGCTTTTTTTCATGTTTATTGGCCGCATAAATGTCTTCTTTTGAGAAGTATCTGTTCATATCCTTTGCCCACTTTTTGATGGGGTTATTTTTCTCTTGTAAATTTGTTTAAGTTCCTTGTAGAATCTGGATATTATCCCTTTATCAGAGGGATAGATTGCAAAATTTTTCTCCCATTCTGTAGGTTGCCTGTTCTTTTTATTTTTATTTTGTTTTAATTTTTTTTTGAGACAGGGTCTCACTCTGTTGCCCAGGCTAGAGTGCAGTGGTGTGAAAGCAGCTCACTGCAGCCTCAACCTCCTGGTGATCCTCCCACCTCAGCCTCCCAAGTAGCTGGGACTACAGGCACACACCGCTACACTTGGCTAATTTTTCAAATTTCTTTAGAGACAAAGTCTCACCATGTTTCCCAGGCTGGTCTTGAACTCCTGAGCTCAGCCGATCGTCCCACCTCAGCCTCTGAAAGTGCTGGGATTACAATTGTGAGCCACTGTGCCCAGCCCTTAATATATTTTTATTTTAGAAAGCAAAAATGAAAACTTAATTTTAATATTCATTTCCATTTTGCTTTTAGGAAAAAAAAGCTAACAGATTTTACAGAACCTTTTAAATTTTTTCTTAAAAAGAAATGAAAAGCACACTACATTACCATTCATGTTCTTTCTACTTTTAAACTTTGTCAGACTTTGATGTTTTAAACCTTTCATAAGCAAAAGTGAGTCATAGCACTATAATCAAGTTAATACCTGACTCCTTCTTGATATCAAGGGGTTTCTCTTGTGCAATTAGCTTCACCTGAAGTGGAGTCAGTAGGTGGGAATGGAGGTGTACAGCTCTTTGTTCACTCTGATTAACAAGTTCCACTTCCCAACAGTTTCTTGAGAAACCCAGTAAATTATCAAGACCAGTCAAAGTTCTAGTCCATTCACATCAACATTAGTGGAATTCCTGCGCTCTAACCAAAAGAAACATATCAAATGATCTACAAGCATTTAAGGAAAGAGCCTCTACTGTCAACCACTCTTTTAAAGACCAACAGGATCAAGTGAAATGACAAAGCCAGCTCTTAGTCTCAGACATCATCAAATGGGGCTAGACATACAAATAGTACTTAATGGTTGATCCTCCCTCTCTCTCCTTTCCTGCTTCTGTCACTCTCCCGCCTACCATCTTTCTCAATCTGTGTAAGTTTCCTATGGCTACTGTAACAAGTTACCACAAAGTTAGTGGCTTAAAACAACACAAATGTACTATGTTACAGAAGATCAAAGTGGGTCTCACTGGTCTATAATCAATGTGTCATCAAGGCTGCATTCCTCCCAGAGCCTCTGTGGAGAATCTGTTTCCTTGCCTTTTCCCACTTCCAGATGTCATCTGGATTCTTTGGCTTGCAGCCTTTTCTGCATCTTTGAATAAATGATCACAACACTTTGACCACTGCTTTCATCATCACATCTCCTTCTCTGACTCTGACAGACTCCTTGAACTCTCTCTTCTATTTTCAAGGACCCTTGTGATTACATTGGGCCCACCCAGATATCCAGAATAATCTCCCCATTATTAGCAACTGTAATTTCATCTACAACTATAATATCCTTTTCCATGTAATTTAACATGGTCACAGGTTCCGGAAATTAGCATGTAGACATATTTGAGGGGCCATTATTCTTCCTACCACATCATCTTTCTCCCTCTTAAGCCATTACAAGGCAAAAGTACTTTTTCAGGTCAAAAATAAGTCTAGGATTATGAAAATGTTCTAAAATTACATAGTGGTAAGAATGGCACAACCTTGTGAAAATCCTAAAAAAAAAAAAACACACAAAAAACCCACTGGGTTGTATACTTTAAAAGGGTAAATTTTATGTTGTGTGAATTATATTTCAATAGCATATATCTCAAAAAATACATTTTAAGTTGACTAAGTTCTATCCATCTTGCTGTTTGCTGTTCTATTGCTTTACCTATAGCAAGAACTAATACTCACAGTTACTCCTTCTCTAACTTCATCCAATTCAACTCTCTCCTGAGTTGGAATAAGATTATTGAATCCAAAAGTATCAAATTCTAGAAAGATTAAAGAAGAAGCAGATAAGCAATAATATAGTGTGTCTTGGAACTCCAGGGAGGTTTCAGCTAACTGACGCTTTCAGACCCAGGATCAAACTCAGTCATGCTCTAGCAGACCTTCTCATTGGGCTCTACGTAATTTAGAATAATCCCCAAGTAAATGAAACACATATTTGAAAATGTCTTGGGAAGGTATATGGAAAAGTTTGAATGGTACATGGTAGTAAATATACTGAAGGAGGAAAAAGATACAGTTACCTATCAGCTGCAGCCATACCCCAAAATAAGCAAGTGAAAGTCCTATGTAGCCAGGAAGAATCTCAGGTGGGTTTAATGACACCAAATCATCAAGAAGATACAAGGAGGAAGAGAAGGAGAGGGAGAGGGAGGAGGAGGAGAAAAGGAGCCCAGGAGTTCTTTATCTGAGACCACAGACTTAAATCACATAGACTCAACTGGTAGGCTTTATTCTGACAACAGAACCTGAGCATAGATGGGAATGTTGATGCAAGTATCCCAGGGATGGCGGGGAGGGAGAGATAAATATGATGTAGATAAGAGGTTTAGAAAACTTATTGCTATACACCTCAAAAATCTATACGTAGAATATGTGTGGTAATTTGGAGCAAGCTCTCCCAGCTTCATGTGTCTGGCATCAACTTGGTTAGAAGGAAGAAAATATTACAAATATGTAGGGAGCATAACAACAGAGAAGGTGCAGTGACAGACAACACTGAAAACTGAACCCTTGGACTGCCATCCATGTTGGGGTATCCACAGTAAAACAACCAACCAGTTACCCTGGCTGTCTCCCTTATCTGTCTACTCACCTTAGGGAAAATTCAAAACTGATGTTGAGGAAAATGGTATTTGTATCTATTAAAACTACTTTTATTCACTCTGAAAAGTGCCTTTATTCTTCAGAAAATCTCATAACATTTATTAATCCTCCCACACTGCTGTCATAAAAGACAAGCCTGAGACGAGCTTTTTTTTTTTTTTTTTTTTTTGCTTTGAGTTTGCATTTCAAAGAATATGATGATGGAAAGGAGATTTTAAGAATTTACAATGAACTCGGTAAGTTATTTACTGCTGAACTTTTCCTTCACTCTCACCAAGGGAGCACATTTATTATGTTTTCTCTGTGCATTTACATTTCTGAGAAGCCTCCAGAAATGGAAGTGGAGAATTAGTATATTTACTCTGCAGCCAGGAAGACTCTTCATTTTTCAAAAGCTCATAATACCAATGGAATACTTGAGTCAAATGTATTTCTTGGCTAGAGGTTGTGTCAGTCTAGCTTGATTTTTCAAACTGTGATCAATCCATTTCCACATTGCTCCTTCAGCTGGAGCAATTGCTCATTGTACTTTGCCCCTGAAATCTCCGAAAACATAGGTTACAAATTTTCTAGTTTTAGATGGGGTGGGAAAACTCTTTGATGTTTTTGAGGTGAAAATTACCCATCAAAGAAGTGGAGTTAAGTATATACTCCAGAAAAAAATTATATCCTAGTAAAAAATTATATCCTTTTTAGAAAAACAAAAACCAAAGTTCCTGTAATTTAATGAACACATTTTATTTATTTCAAACTAATTTTATCCCAGTCTCTCATAAATCCAAGGAAATGTTAAGACAATCAAACCAAAATTATCAGTAGGTTTATCACCCAAGTTGTGACTTACCCAAAACAAATTAGGAAACCCCAAATTGCTTCTGCATACAATATTTCTGCCCTATTCCACCTCCCCACCCAAAAAGAAAAGCTCACACACATGGTGTCAATTTGTTAGTCTTTCTGGATTGTAATAAAGCTTCATACAGTAAAATCCTATTATGGGATAACTTGCTGTCCTACAGATTTGAGGGACAACATGAAATATATAAGTCATTTCTTTCCCAAACACAAGTAGTTGGGTTTTAATGCAATTAGCCTAAGCTGTAAACTGTCAGGAAAATAAAATAATAATCAGTTTCTCAAATAGGTTATCCAAAAGCAGGATTTCTCAACCTTGGCACTATTAACATTTGGGGCCAGATAATGCTACATTGTGGGGGCTGTCCCGTGCATGGTGGGATGTTTAGCAGCATCCTTGGCTCCCACCCACTAGATGCCAATAAAACCTCCTCAAGTTGTGATAACCAAAAATGCATTCAGACATTACTATAAATCCTCCAAAGAGCAAAATCACCCTCTGTTCAGAAGCAGTGATCTAAAGTAATTCAAATATTAGGTCATTGATTAGGATCATCAACCCTACTGCTCTTCTTCCTTTGCCTACATGAATAACTGGAAGTACATTTTCTCATAGAGTAGTTTAAGTGTTAAAGTATATTTTTGCAAAATGGGTTCCTAGACCTACGCAGAGCCCAATTCCACACCCAATGGCAATTTCACAGGGCAAACACCTTCTAGATTGACGGTAAAATTGCTTTGCTCGGCCGGGCACAGTAGCTCCCGCCCATAATCCCAGCACTTTGGGAGGCCAAGGCCTGTGGATCACAAGGTCAGGCATTCCAGACCAGCCTGGCCAACATAGTGAAACCCCGTCTCTACTAAAAATACAAAAAATTAGCCAGGCATGGTGGCGGGTGCCTGTAATCCCAGCTGCTCAGGAGGCTGAGGCAGGAGAATTGCTTGAACCCGGGAGGCAGAGGTTGCAGTGAGCTGAGAATGCGCCACCGCGCTCCAGCATGAGCGACAATGCAAGACTCCATCTCAAAAAAAAAAAAATTGCTTTGCCTACAAATTGTTCAGTAATTCTTTCCTTTTCTCATGTAAGCCCACCTTTTCTATCAGGACAATTAACAAGCCTTTCTCCCTGTGATGCCTTTCAGAACCTTGGGCACCTCTTGCAAATCTCACCCCATACTGTTTCTTGGGCCAACACTGGTTGCCTTACTTTGTAAGCTGTACAGTTCCCCTCAGTTGATTAATATTCAAATTTTCTTGGGAGACAGTTTTTCAGTAAAGGGTCTATTAGACACATCATGTGTTACAGTTTAGAGTTTTCTTTTGGTTAGTTTGGTGCTTTTGTAAAATATCTGTATCCTTTTCATTCATGATATACATGTATATATATGTTATCAACCTAATAAAACAACAGAGAGAGTGGCTCTAAAATTAGCTTATTCAGGAATAAATGACAAATTGCAATCCAGGAATACACATGCCATGGTGAACCATGGAGGGAGCACAGACCTCTAAGGAGGCAAAGGACGGCAACGGTTTTCAAAGGCAAAATGAGGAAGGTTAGGTACATTATTTTGAAATAATTATCTTTGGCTACAGGGATCAATAACAAGGGTGGCATCAGTTCAAGGCTGACTAGACAGTTGTTGGGCAGATGCACTTCCAGAAGTAGTCGTTGTATAAAGTTGCAGTGGCCTTTGTGCAAGGTTGTGATTTTCAGAGAGTCTTTCTAATAGTTTTCATCATAGGAATGTGTGTGTGAGAGCCCCTCCTTTATGGCCTTCTGACTTCATTTTGTTAGGGTTTGGCATAAGTGACTTCATTTTGATTCTAACGACTTTCATTGTGTGCGTGTGTGTGTGTGTGTGAATATATATCCTGAGATTGCAAAAAGATGTTTTTCTCAGATCTCCCTAAGCCTTTTTTTAACCTTTTTAGCTATTCCTTTCTTTTTTTCTTACAAATAACTGCAATCTATACTAGTACTTTTTCTGAATTTCAGTTTTGCTATGATTATTTTTTTGTTTTCCCTTTCACTAGAATTGTCAGAGGTGTGTAAACCAGAGCAACTCCATCTTGAATAGGGGCTGGGTAAAAAAGGCTGAAATGTACTGGACTGCATCCCTGTCTCTACTGAAAATACAAAAATTAGCTGGCATGGTGGTGGGTCCCTGTAATCCCAGCTACTCAGGAGGCTGAGGCATGAGAATCACTTGAACCCGGGAGGCAGAGGTTTCAGTGAGCCTGTTTCCCACCCCTCTGTTTCAAGCTCAGTGTATGCTCCTTGGCTCTGCTTAAGCATGTGTGTCAATGGCTCTCAAGCATACCCCCATCTTTCAGTGTTTCAGAGTCCACAGGGGCGAAAAAGGGGTCATTCTACTGTGACACAAGAGAGCTGTATGTAGGGCAACTGCCCTCTGTCAGCTGCCAGGGGACCTGTTAGCCATGGGAAGCAATATATACTATTGGAGCTGATCTTGCTCAATGTCTTCTCTGTGTGAGTAAAAGCACTGTCCCATCCAGTGCTTGACTGTGTTGTTTTCCTTGGTGATTCCAATGCCAAGTTGGACTTCTCTTCCTGGTGGTTGACACGGTGATGATCTTTGCTATCCTTCATGTAGTTGGTGTCCTCCCTGGCATTAGTAACTAGTGCATGGTGTTGTGCTCTGTACAAAATGAAAGAAGGAATCCTGGGGTGTGATTCAGCTGAAAGAATATGTCCAACATGGATGATCTAGAACTTCAAGGTTTATCTTCAAACAAACATACAGGTGTAGGGAAATAGGGCTTAAAGGAACCCTAGCAGCAGAGCTGTTATCAAACCTGGTCAGAAGAGATGAGGGAAGAAGGGTACTAGAACCCAAAAGGAGAAAGAGTTCAATAGAGAAGGCCAGCTTGAGAGATGCAAGGATCTTAATTGAAGGAAACAGCCCTTGTAGTGAAGAAGCCAGGAGAATATCAGCCTAACCTCAAACTTTTTCTCCCATCCCCAGATGGGTGTTCTTCACACCCTACTGGAAGCCAGAGAGCCTAGGAACCCTGTTTAATTAATCATACTACAGATCAGCCTCCTAGGCTGATCCACAAGATGAATCTCTAGGAGAAAACAGAAGACATTGGTATATATATATATGATATATATATCAGATATATATCATATATATCTGATATATATATCATATATGTATCTATATATATATCATTTATATATATATCCTAGTTGGCCTCCTTGCTTTTAACCTTCTTCCACCCCCACCTCTTTACAGCAATCAGAATGATTCTTCAAAATTAAATTTACTACCCTGATTAAAATGGACTGCCCTTCAGCCTGTCTCATTCCACTTAGAATTCCATAATGAACAATTTTCGTATCTTGCCCTTCAAGATTCTCTCTAAATAATTTGGATCCCACGCATCACTCCACCTCACCTAGTTTCACTTTTCCCTTTGCTCGCTATGCTCTAGTCATATTCATCTGTCAGTTTCTAGAAAATGCCAACATTTCCACCCTTAAATTAAGCCTTTATACTTGCTGATGCATCTTCTTGGGAAGCTCTTCCTTAACTTTTCATGCATCTAGCTTTCCTATGGCCATCAAGTTTCTGCATAAATATGTCACCTCCTCAGAAAAGACTTCCATGATCGCCCAATTGCAATGCTTGGTTATTTCACTAATAACACAGTGGAATGTGCAATTATGTTATTTATTCACTTTTCTACTTGTCTATTGTTTGTCTTGCCTATTAGAACATAAGATCCAGCCAGGCGTAGTGGCTCATGCCTGTAATCCCAGCACTTTGGGAGGCCGAGGTGGACAGATCACCTGAGGTCAGGAATTCAAGACCAGCCTGACCAACATGGCAAAACCCTGTCTCTACTAAAAATAAAAAATTAGCTGGGCGTAGTGGTGCACACCTGTAATCCCAGCTACTCAGGAGGCTGAGGCCGGAGAATCGCTTGAACCTGGGAGGCAGAGGTTGCAGTGAGCCGAGATCGTGCCATTGCACTCCAGCCTGGGCAACAAGAGTAAAACTCCATCTCAAAAAAAAAAACAAACAACAAAAAAAACGTAAGATCCACAAATCTAAGGAATCTTCCTAACTTGTTCACCAGTGCATCCCCAGTTACTACCATAGTGCATAAAGTAGGTATTCAGAAACCATTTGTTAAAGGAATGAGTGATTTCTAGTCAAAAGGGTCATCTTTAGTAACCCACCTTCATCTTTAATCAATCATTTATTGATGTTACTAATTTCTTAACGAGGTGCCTCTGTCACCATTGTGGTACTGATATTAAGTAGTCATCTGTTTAAAACTAACAAAGATTCATTAGAAGTCATGGTGCCCTGGAAATTCTCAAAGACTGGAAAATGTAATACAGTTCTACAGGGGGTGTTTTTTGAGGGAAAGACTGAGTAAACCTAAGACTTCTGCTTGAGCATTAAAGAAGAAATAGAAGCAAGTCTCAGAAACATTGATCTTCAGTGAACCTCCTAAGAAAAAGAACAGAGGAATATTCTCAGGCTCAGAATACCTACCTGAGAACACAGAAATAGTGTATATATTCTTTGGTTATTGTGAAAGCCCAGCCTCACACTAAACCACAATCACATTGTCAGGAAAAGGCTTTTATCATTCCTCTGACTCACAAAAAAAAAAAAAGCGTGCAAAGGGGAAAAGGAAGTCTTCTTTCTACTGCAGTATAGAAAACCAATTATAGAAAGTTGTGTAATTAGAGCTTCTACAGAGTCAACTTGTTTGGCCAACAATCACATAGATCCTAAGCAGTGGATGGTGATGAAAATTTGGCCAAGGGGAAATATCTTAACCATGTACACAACTAACTGATTAGTAGTAGAATGAAGGTCTTCAGACAAATTCTCCATTTCACTTTTTAACCACATCACAATAAAACAATCTTAAAATAAAATGAATAACTTCTTAATATTTCATCATGCTTACTCCATACAAATGTACAAGCCTACATGGTACATATTGTCAATAAAGAGGATACAGAGTTGGCCGGGTGTGGTGGCTCATGCCTATATTCCCAGCACTTTGGGAGGCCAAGGCGGGTAGATCACCTAAAGTCAGGAGTTTGAGATCAGCCTGGCCAACATGGTGAAACACCGTCTCTACTAAAAATACAAAATTAGCCAGGCATGGTGGCAGGTGCCTGTAATCCCAGCTACTTGGGAGGCTGAGGCAGAGAATCACTTGAACCCAGGAGGCAGAAGTTGCAGTGAGCTGAGATTGCACCACTGCACTCCTGCCTGGGCAAAAAGAGTGAAACTCCGTCTTAAAAAAAAAAAAAGGATACAGAATAAATCAGTTTTCCTCTCACTTCCATTACGTATAGAAAGTTATTTAATAGACCCTTTAAGTATTCTGTTGACTTGTTTGTGTGCCAATCTGGGCAGATAAACTCTTAGCTCCGAACCCCAAGGTAATCCTAATTATGCCAAGCCTTTGAATACCTCTAAGAATGTGGCATCCCATACTGCAGCTGACAGTTCTAATGATAACCATCCAATACAGGTCAGTGAATATTTTTCAAAGCCTCTTGACCCAGTGCAGAGGAATGCTTAGTGCCTTCAAGGCAGAGGCATTTCCCAAAAGTCTGGAAAGAAAACTGGAAACCTTTGGTTTTCCATTTATTCCAGACAATGAAAGCAAATCCTGAAATCTTTTTATCTCTCTGCAAATGTCTACAATATTCACAACATATTCAGAGACTTGAGATTCATAAGGATGTAGGACTACATATACCCTTTGGGCACTCCAACAGAAATTTCCTGACTAACTTTCCCAGCCTCGAATTTCTTCCAGAGGGAGAGATGATCTCTTCTTCCTGACTTGATTACAGTCCAGTGTAAGCATTTGGGAAGAACATAATGCCATTCCTAAAGTTTTCAGTGGTCAAAAGTCAGCTTGTCCCAGCTCTTCATTCATTCTCCATTTACTAAATCATTAATTCAGTTGGCTAGTCAGCAGGCACTTACTGAGAGCTGCTTTATCTGAATGAGGTTAGGGATATAGAAAATAATGGGCAGCCTCCATTTAAATAGGAGAATTATAAACATCACACATGCAGCAAGGCCATAGAGAAGCATAGACATTGCTGTTGGTGCAGCCAATAGAGAGATCGCTACAAATGGAGTAGACAAGGAAGATTTTATTGAAGAAAAAAAAAAGATACCAGGGCTTAGCTTGGACAGGTGATAAATGCATGGATACAGAGAAAAAACAAAACAGATAAATAAAGTATGGAAGTGTACTAAGGCATGAATGCACTGCTAAACCTACTGCAGAGGGTCCTGATAAGGGTGTAATGGAAGACAGCATTGGAAATGTGTGCTAGAACCAGACTGTCGAAATCCTTGAATGCCAATTTGGGCTTAATCTTCTAAATAACAGAGAAGTTCTAATGTTCTTGAGTAGAAGAATAATAGAATTATAACATATTAGAACTAAGGTTCTCAAAAATATTAAAAATAAAAAATAGAACTAACCACATGATTAAGCAATCCCATTTCTGGCTATATATCCAAAGAAATGAAATCAGTATGTGGAAGAGATATATGTACTCCCATATTTATTGCAGCATTATTTACAGCAGCCAAAATATGGAATCAATCTGTGTCCATTACCAGATGAATGGATTTTAAAAAATGTGCTATATATGTACACAATTGAATAGTATTCAGCCTTACAAAAGAAGAAAATCATGTCACTTATAACAACATGGATGAACCTGGAGGACAATATGCTAAGTGAAATAAGCCAGGCACAGAAAAACAAATACTGCATGAACTCACTTATATGTAAAATCTAAAAAAGTTGAACTCATAGAAGCAGTGTGGGATGGTGTACCAGGGGCTGCAGGGAGGAGGGGAGTGGGGAGATGTTAGTCAAAGGATACAAAATTTCAATTAGATAGGAAGAATAAGTTCACGAAATCTATTGTACAACTTGGTGACTGTAGTTAATAACAAGTATTGTAGTCTTGGAAATTGCTAAAACATATTTTAACTGTTCTCATCACAAAAAAAAAAGGTGATAAGTATGTGAGGTAATGCATATGTTAATTAGCTCAATTCAGTCATTCCACAAATTATACATATTTCAAAACAACATGTTGTGCATGATAAATATATACAATTTTTTGTCAGTTAAAATCTTTTAAACAAAAAAATCAACTGGAATTGCACAATATTAAACGTAATAATATCTTTGAACTGGAAATGCCTTTAGAGATCTAAGTAGCACCTTTCAAAGACGAATATGGAAATAATGCCTGGCTAGATTAGAAGACAGAGAGTCTAGGGGTGAGAAGCTAAGTGACAGATGATAAGGGTTTAAACTTAGAGTGATGACTTCAGAAGTCAAGAGGAAGAGTCTAATATGGGAGATGTTATGAAGTACGAACTGACAGACTGATCACGATGTAAAAGGAAGAGAGAGGAATCTACAGTAACATCAGTTTCAACCCTTGGTGAACACAGCGATGATAGTACTCACCATTTTAAAAAAAAAAAAAGTCTTTTTGTGAGTAGGGGTGTAATGATGACAGTTTATGGTCAAGTTCAGCTGAGGTGAACAGAGGATCCAAGTGCATTTCCACCAAGTGGTTGGAGATTTATGACTAGGATTCAGAAGTGTTCAAAGCTAAGGATGTGGATTTGGAAGTCATTTGTATAGAGGAAGTTTCTGCCAATATTGAAACTATGGTCCTACAACAGCTTCTGGCTTCTGAGAAGTCACAGATATTGTGTCTCTTTTATGTGGACACACAAGAAAATCATGCCCTATGTTTTTGTTATCCCAAGAGAGAGAAGAGTAGGCTGAGCATACTCCACAACTAGTATTTTTCATCAAAGAACACAATAAATATAATAAAGTCGATCTGTGTAATGTAAAACAATAAGGACTTCTTCTTATTTGTCTTTGCATTTCCCATGGCTTGCACATAGTAATTGGTTCCCAAAATACTTGTTGATTGAATTCAGATGAAAGCTAGCTTTTAAGATAATTAACATAACTAAAATAGTTATTGAGAACAGTTTACAATGCTCAGTTTTTATCCTATGTAAGTACTGTTGGGAAATAGTAGAAAGCCCAAAGAAACTGGAAAAGGTTGGGTTGTGTATTTCTCAAAATGGAAGGAAAAAGATGAAAATTCTTCCTTTTGTACCCTAATTAATCATTAGCAAAAATTTTGAAACCAAAATATCAACTTTTAATCATTATCATCATTGTTAATCTTCCCAAGCAGTACTTAGATTTGTGCCATAAAATTTAACATCTGCTTATATATTCTTTTCTTTATCCTCAAAATTATAGAAACAAAATTTTAGAACTGGAAAAACCTCACTGCATGATAAAAATTTAGGATGCTAATAGTTGTTCAACATCCGGTATATCTTAGCTCCTGGCCTGAAACTGCACATTTGTGAAGTCTATATTCCTTGCTTGTTTGAAATCTTCCAGGTTAGCAGAATGTTCAGTACATGGTTTTACTGAAGCCTCAAACTCCTGGGCTCAAGCAGTCCTCCCACCTCAGCCTCCTGAATAGCTGAGACTACAGGCACATGCCACCATGCCAGACTATTTTATTTTTTATTTTTTGTAGGGACAGGGGTCTTTCCATATTGCCCAGGCTGATCTCAAACTCCTGCTCTCAAGCAATCATCCCACCTCAGCCCCCAAAAGCACCAGGATTACAGGCATGGGCCACCACACCTAGCCCAATACAATGATATTTAACAAGCACTTTTTGATTTGTACACAGGTCTGCCAAGCAAGAATTTTATTTTATTTTATTTTATTTTATTTTTATTTTTAGACAGAGTCTCACTCTGTCACCCAGGCTGAAATGCAGTGGCACCGTCTTGGCTCATTGTAACCTCCACCTCTCAAGTTCAAACAATTCTCATGCCTCAGCCTCCCCAGTAGCTGGGATTACAGGTGCGCGACCACGCCAACCTAACTTTTGTATTTTTAATAAAGATAGCATTTCACCATGTTGGCCAGGCAAAAGTGATCTGCCTGCCTTGGTCTCCCAAAGTGATGGCATTACAGGTGTGAGCCACCATGCCTGGCCTGCCAAGCAAGACTTTAAACATACAAATGCCTTCCCTCAAAAAACAAAAAAACAAAAACTATATCTTGCTCAAATTAAGAGCTACAAAGCTTTTTTTGACATTAATCAAGTGATAGAAAAATAATGGTGTCAGTGAAGGTCCTAGGCTTTATGGAATAAGGTAGCAAGGTAAATGCTATCTTTTTTTTTTTTATGAGACGGAGTCTCGCTCTGTCGCCCAGGCTGGAGTGCAGTGGTGCAGTCTTGGCTCACTGCAACCTCCGCCACCCGGGTTCAAGCAATTCTCCTGCCTAAGCCTCCCAAGTAGCTGGGACTACAGGCGCGCACTACCACACCTGGCTAATTTTTGTATTTTTAGTAGAGATGGGGTTTCACCATGTTGGCTAGGATGGTCTCGATCTCCTAACCTCGTGATTTGCCCGCCTCTGCCTCCCAAAGTGCTGGGATTACAGGCGTGAGCCACCACACCTGGCCGTAAATGTTATCTTTCAAATAAAGCAAATAGTAAGTGAGTAAGCTTAAAACTAGTCATTTGGGCATTTTGCCCACGTATCCTCATTTATTATACATATTTTTGCATTTTTTTAGTTTACCAGTGTCCTCCCAGAGACCTACCTATAGATTAGTCTAGAAGTCAGACTATAGGGGTAGTTTCAACAAGATGTCTTGATCCCTGTGTAAGGGACATGTGTAAACCTTGTATACATCTCTTTGTAATTTCACTTCTACATTTAAGGAGTGAACAGACCAGCATCAGCATCAAGTTCCTGGTTTCCCAGAAGGATACTTCTGAGTCACAACAGCAAAACCAGCAGTTGTCCCAAGCACAAGGCTAGGATTCTCTCACCTTCCTCAGAGGAATCCATCAGACAAAATGAAAGGCAGTTATATAAACATTCAGAGTAAACATTCAATTGTCCTTCTGATTATGTTGAACACACACACACATACACACATGCACACACAAAGTGGTCAGAGGGCATGGAAGCTTTTCAGGAAAGACTTGTAAATTTAACAAGCACAACTTCAAACAAAGCGTTTCATATTAGACTGCAGAATCCAGTGAAGAATCTGCAGGATTAGTGTTAATTTAATAAATAGTGCTGCTCTGCCCCTCTGTGGGAATACTGAGAAGTGCATGAGAAGATGCACAGAATTCAGAATCAACTAATACAGATACCATTAGTTAGAGAAAGAGGCTAAGTACAAATAAAATCCAGAGGCTTCTCTTCTAATACGAAATCCATGCCAAATATTTATATTTTCTGAGTATAGTGTCACTAGATGCAAAACGATAAGATATAAATGACTTGGAACGTGATTTGCAAATGTCAGTTTTAAATTCATCTACTTTTAAAGTTGAATTCAATGTATCTATATACTTATTTTCTATTTCTTCCACGTGAAATGTCACTCGGTGGTGTATAAAACATGGTTACAAGTTTAAAAGTGAAACACAGGGATAACAGTGATAATTAACATTGATTGAGTGATTGCTATATATCAGGCACCAGGCAAATATTAATTCTTTTAATCTTCATACACAACACTCTGAGGGAGACAGGAAACCTCATGGTATACAGGACACCTCAAAGACCTTTAGGTAAATACATAAGCCCAAGACCACTTCTCAAGTGAGAGTCAGAATCCAAGTCCAAGTATCCTACCTCCCAGTGCAGCATTTATTTCACTTACACAAAGATGTTTGGTTCACAGCCCTGAAGAGAAACCATTTACCAGACTAACCTTGATTAAGAAATGTCTATCAAAACTGAATAAACAGAAAGTATTGCAACTGCATCTGACAATTACATGTTTTCTTCCTACTGTTTTTAATATTGAAAGAAAAAGATGCTGACAAAATTATGAAAAAAAAGCATGACAATTATTTATTCCATTATATATTAAGCAGGCTCACTTTAAAATAAGTTGATTAGCATTAAAGTCTTATCTGAAGGCCCACAATGAACTTGAAATGATTCTACTTTCCCGAAGTTTATATATTTTCCCCCATGATCAAACATAATTAAATCCTGTTTCTAAAATCTAGACATCCATATGAGAGTTCCCAAGGAGTTCCTATGGCTTGGTCTTCACAAGGCATCTACTTTCTGCCTGGTTCCTATTTGTTTGCTTATTTATTTGTTTTTGGATTTTGTTTTGTTTAGTTTTTTTTTTTTGCTTTGGTTTTTGTTTTGTCTAGTGTTTTTGTTTTTGTTTGGTTTTGTTTCTTTTGTCACTATGGAGCTATAACACCAACCATCATTTAGATTTGTAACCTTCAATCTTGTGAAAACGTTTTGAAAACTCCAGGCTAAATTTTTATTTCTTCAGTAAGCTCCTGGAAATCAAGATACTTTATATTTTCAAAAATAAAATTCCTACCCCCAAACTGACTGTGCTCATGGCAGTTTACAACTACTACCAGGAATGAACAAATAAAAGGACTAGGATCAAGTTAACACCGACTTGATAGAACACAGTTTCAAACTTACAAGTGGGTTACAAAAAGTTAATTGGCAAGTCAAATGAATGGAAATTGTGATGGGTTTTCCCATTCATTTACTTATTTTTTTTCTATTTACATTATGGCTTACAAAATAATAAATAATTTTTTTTTTGAGACAGAGTTTTGCTGTTGTTGCCAGGCTGGAGTGCAATGGCACAATCTGGGCTCACCACAACCTCCACCTCCCAGCTTCAAGCGGTTCTCCTGCCTCAGCCTCCCTAGTAGCTGAGATTACAGGCATGTGCCACCATGCCCGGCTAATTTTGTATTTTTAGTACAGACAGGATTTCTCCATGTTGGTGAGGTTGGTCTCAAACTCCCAACCCCAGGTGATCCGCCCGCCTCGGCATCCCAAAGTGCTGGGATTACAGGCATCAGCCACCACGCCCAGCAATAATAAATAAATTTGCAAAAGCTTTTTTTTTTTCTTTCCCATACTGGGTCTTACTCTGTTACCCATGCTGGAGTGCAGTGGCAGGATCTCGACCCACTGCAGCCTCAACCACCTGTGCTCAAGCAATCCTCTCGCCTCAGCCTCCCGAGTAGAGATTGCAGGCACCTGCCACCACGCCCAGCTAATTTTTGTATTTTTAGCAGAGACGAGATTTCGCCATATTTGCCAGGTTGCTCTCGAACTCCTGACCTCAAGTGACCCACACGCCTCAGCCTCCCAGAGTGCTGGGATTACGGGAGCCACCGCGTCTGGCTAATTTTTTATTTTTTTTTTGGAGATGGGTTCTCATTATGTTGCCCAGGCTGGTCTCCAACCCCTTGGCCTCAAGCGATCCACCCACCTCGGCTTCCCAAAGTGCTAAGATTACAGGCCTGACCACCGCGCCCCGCTGGGTTTTCGCATTTAAAAGCTAATAGTAATAGCATTTACTTTTAGTAAAGCTTGTTGTTGTCATAAAATGTTTAATCATTAGACCCCTGCAAGATAGGCGCCTCCCCCGGGCCCCACACCTTGAGGTCCTGCTCTGAACCTGCTCCTGCTCACCCCTCTGCCTGTGCCTGGAGCTAGGAAATCACAGGGACGTGGGACACGCCCACCCAGAGTCGGCCACTTCTACAGGTACCTGCGCTGCCTAGCGTGCAGGGCGCCTAAGCAGGGAGGTGTCTGGTAGAGAGATGGAAGAAGCATGGTCAAGAGAGTTGCAGTGTCCGCACGCTGTGCACGAGCCCCCTCGCTATGAGGTGCTGGGCAGAGCTGCCACTGGAACAGAAGGAAAAAGGGGGTGGCCCGTGGACTTAGAGCTGCATTGGGAGCCAGCCCTCCCTGCAGAGCCACATTCTGACAGAAATCCCCTATGAGTCTGAAAAATCTGAACCTAGCCTTCCAGATCCTTACTAAGGTATATGAGCAAGGAAGGAAGCCAGAACAGAATGTTTTAATCAAATGTTAGCTAGATTTTTTAAAAAGAAAGGATCAAACAAAACTTGGCAAAATACAGAACCAGGCAACACACATTAGAAGCACTGTTAATAGCTAATATATGAAAATCTGTTCAACCTGGGGAAAATGGAATACAAATTAGTCAATAGGAAGCCCTTGGCCAGGCACGGTGGCTCACGCCTGTAATCCCAGCACTTTAGGAGGCTGCAGCAGGCTGATCTCTTGAGCTCAGGAGTTCGAGACCAGCCTGGGCAATATGGTGAGGCCCTGTCTCTACTAAATATGCAAAAACAAAACAAAACAAAAAAGCCGGGCATGGTGGTGCACACCTGTGGTCCCAGCTACTTGGGAGGCTGAGGTGGGAGGATCACCTGAGCCTGGGGGGCGGAGGTTGCAGTTAGCAAGATCACTGCTACTGCACTCCAGCCTAGGTGACAGAGTGAGACTCCATCTCAAAAAAAAAAAAAAAAAAGAAAGAAAGAAAAATCACAATGAGATACCACCTCACACCCACTAGAATGGCTGGAACTGAGAAGACAGACAATAACAAGTGTTCGTGAGGACACAGAGAAATTGAAACCCTCATATCTTGCTGATGAGAATGTAAAATGGTATAGCCACTATGGAAAATTTGACAGTTTCTCAAAAAATTTATATAGAGTTACTATGTACTACAATTCCACTCCTAGAGAAATAGAAACATATATCCACAAAAAAACTTATCCACAAATATTCATAGCAGCATTTTCATAGCAGCCAAAAAGTGGGAACAACCCAGATGTCCATTAACTGATGAATAGATAAACAAAATATGATATATCCTTTCAATGGAATATTATTCAGTCCTAAAAAGGAATGAAGTACTGATATAAGCTACAACATGGATGAACCTTGAAAATGTATGCTAAGTGAAAGAAGCTGGAAACAAAAGACCTTATGCTGTATGATTCTGCTTATGTGAAATGTCCAAAGTAGGCAACCCTGTAGAGACAGAAAGTAGATTAGTATTGCTTAGTGCTAGGAGACTAGCAGTTGGGAGAAAGTAGAGTGACTGCTAAGGGGTACATGGTTTCTTTTTGGAGTAAAGAAAGTATTCTAAAATTCGAGTGTGGCAATGATGGCACATCTCTGTGAACATACTAAAGACCAATGAATTGTATACTTTAAGCAGGTGGATTTTATGGTATGTGAATTATATTTCAAGAAAGCTATAATTTTTTAAAATGCATTATTGGTAATGGTACTGGACAACTGATTTCTCATATACCCATGGAAATACACAGCCTTTCAAGAGGGCAGTTTCTCTTTGAAAAGGTAAAATATACATATGCTTTGATATAGAAATTACAATTCTAGATAGCTCTCCTATTTGCACATATCTACACATAATTACAAAAATGTGTATAAAGATGGTAGTTGCAGGATGTTGTAATAGTTAAATATAGAAATCAACCCAAAGGCTCATCAGTAGGAGAGTGATTAAATAGATTATGGTACTTTCATGCTATTGTTAAAGAATGAAATTTTGTGTCTTGTTTTGAAAAATAAATATATGTAACAAACCTGCATATGTACCTCCTAAATCTAAAAGTTGAAATTATTTTTTAAAAATAATTTTAAAATTAAAAAATAAAATAAATATTTTAGAGACACAAAATTTTTAAACTTGGTTCAACTGGCAAGAAGAAAAGGCTATCTACAATTCTGAGTCTAGATATTTTCCATTGCCTGGGAAGATAATTTACATAATGTATATATCAATGTATTATTTATAAGATGACTGAGATCATATTAATGGGTAAATTATCACAAAGTTAGTGAAAATTTTTAATCTCCTGAACAAATACAATTCCATGGAGCAAATTACAATTTCCTACAAAAAGTCTACTCTGTATTTACTTAAGTTTATAGGTTATAACCTTTAATAGCTGCTATCACACATTGAAATTTCAAAGAAACAGGCCAGGTGTGGTGACTCATGCCTATAATCTCAGCACTTTAGGAGTACTAAGTGGGAGGATCACTTGAGCCGGGGAATTTGAGACCAGCTAGGGCAACATAGTGAGACCTCATCTCTACAAGGTCTACTTTTTAAAATAATAGTTTTAAAAAATTAGCCAGGCATGGTGGTGCACATGTCTGGTCCTAGCTACTAAGGAGGCTGAGGCAGGAAAATCGTTTGAGTCTAAGAGGTTAAAGCTGCGGTGAGTGGTGATTGTACCCTGCACTGCAGTTTGGGCAACAGGGTGAGGTCCCATCTCAAAAAATGAAAAATGAAAAAACTAAATTAAACTACTAACCTTAAAGAATTTTTGGATGCAAATCTTGTCCATTATGTTCTTAGGATCACCAAATATAAGCATACTTTATCTTCCTTCATTTCCTTCCTTTTGGAAATTAACTTGATAAACAGCTTCATCCTTTTATTTTCTTCAAGATTTCTTATTATATACCATTGAGACTTGAAAACTATGGTTCTCTTTACTCTCATTTTAACCAAAGGTGAACTTTTGTTTATAATTTTTTATTTCCACCTAATGTGGTATCATGCAACAATTTTTTTTTTGAGACAGAGTCTCGCTCTGTTGCCCAGGCTGGAGTGCAGTGGCACAATCTAGGCTCACGGCAACCTCCACCTCCCGGGTTCAAGCAATTCTCCTCCCTCAGCCTCCCAAGTAGCTGGGATTACAGGTGCGTGCAACCACTCCTGATTAATTTTTGTATTTTTAGTAGAAATGGGGTTTTGCCATGTTGGCAAGGCTGGTCTCGAACTCCTGACCTCAGGTGATCTGCTCGCCTTGGCCTCCGAAAGTGCTGGGATTACAGGCATGAGCCACCATGCCCGGCCTCATGCAACAATTTATTTAAATTCTAACTAATCAGTATCTTCAAAACACAGTATTAAGTGAAAAACATGTGTGTGCTTAGATCTATGGAAGGGAAAGAAATTAAGAAGATACATAACTGGATTACATTTTTACTCATATATACCCAAATTGTTTGACTTTTTATAATGTATATTAACTCACAAATTTTTTATATAATCTAAATAAGTAAATACGATGTAGCTGAATAGATTATCCTGAGAGCAGCGTTCCATGTGACTCAGGAAGAATAAGCAAAAGGACTCACTCACCCTGTCTGGAAATGACTGTCTTTTAACTCTCCAGATTTTTCATATTTTTAATGATAATACTTCCTCACCCAAATAAATATTCATCTGTAGAAATTAATGCAGTTAAAAAGAAAAGATGACATGGACAACTAAGGAAGAATGGTGCAATTTTTTTGGAGAAAAGTGTAATGGTGTAAAAGGGTATGTATTGATGAAGTTGAGCTCCCTCTCTCTTTTTCTGGTTTTCCCAAAAGCTCCCCCTTCTCTTCTGAGCCAGAGACTACCTAACATTCCAAGTTCCACCACAGGCAATAAGATTCTCATAAGTAGTGAAGGGTGTGCATGTCTTTTTATAAGACACTTATAGAGTAGTTACAATCAACACTTTCCTCCTAACTTTAAAATAATAAATTTTATTCACTGGATGTCACAAAAACTGACATCCCACCCTTAGCCTAACTCTACAGCATTCAGCTAAGCAAGTTTGCATACACAATCTAAAAAGAGACTAACGTTCCTAAAAGCCTTGCATTCCAAGAAAAGCCATGAATGCTAGAACATTCTAGCTTCCTTTAACAAAACAGAGGCACATCTTATATTTTTTCTAAATCAAAACTGACTCAAATGTCGTCTAACTAGAATTGTGGATTGCCATTTTTGTAAGCTATAAATAGTTTGTTCTTTCGATTTAGTGAGCGAGTATTTCTGAAAGCTAGACTCCCTTGCAAACAATGCAAGAGGTGGTGGGGAGGGGGAGATACACACAATATACTTTTACATAATAAGCAATATTCTTTTTTATATATATACTTTAAGTTCTCGGGTACATGTGCACAACGTGCAGGTTTGTTACATAGATATACATGTGCCATGTTGGTTTGCTGCACCCATCAACTCGTCATTTACATTAGGTATTTCTCCTAATGTTATCCCTCCCCCAGCCCCCCACCCTGCAACAGGCCCTGGTGTGTGATGTTCCCCGCCCTCTGTACATTTGTTATTGTTCAACTCCCACTTATGAGTGAGAACATGCAGTGTTTGGTATTCTGTCCCTGTGATATTTTGCTGAGAATGATGGTTTCCAGCTTCATCCATGTCCCTGCAAAGGACATGAACTCATCCTTTTTTAGGGCTGCATAGTATTCGATGGAGTATATGTGCCACATTTTCTTTATCTAGTCTATTATTGATGGACATTTGGGTTGGTTCCAAGTCTTTACTATTGTGAATAGTGCCATAATAAACATATGTGTGCATGTGTCTTTATGGTGGCATGATTTATAATCCCTTGGGTATATACCTCATAATGGGTAAAACGGTATTTCTAGTTTTAGATCCTTGAGGAATCGCCACACTGTCTTCCACAATGGTTGAACTAATTTACACTCCCAACAGTGTAAAAGTGTTCCTATTTCTCCACATCCTCTCCAGCATCTGTTGTTTCCACACCATTCTAACTGTCATGAGATGGAACTTAATTGTGGTTTTGATTTGCATTTCTCTGATGACTAGTGATGATGAGCACTTTTTCATATGTCTGTTGGCTGCAAAAATGTCTTCTTTTGAGAAGTGTCTGTTCATATCCTTTGCCCACTTTTTGATGGGATTGTTTTTTTCTTGTAAATATGTTTAAGTTCTTTGTAGATTCTGGATATTAGCCCTATGTCAGATGGGTAGATTGCAAAAATTTTCTCCCATTCTGTAGGTTGCCTGTTCACACTGATGATAGTTTATTTTGTTGTGCAGAAGCTCTTTAGTTTAATTAGATCCCATTTGCCTATTTTGGCTTTTGTTGCCATTGCTCTTGGTATTTTAGTCATGAAGTCTTTGCCCATGCCTGTGTCCTGAATGGTATTGCCTAGGTTTTCTTCTAGGGTTTTCATGGTTTTTAGGTCTTACATTTAAGTCTTTAATCCATCTTGAGTTAATTGTTGTATAAGGTGTAAGGAAGGGATCCAGTTATAGCTTTCTACGTATGGCTACCCAGTTTTCCTGGTACCATTTATTAAATAGGGAATCCTTTCCCCATTGCTTGTTTTTGTCAGGTTTGTCAAAGATCAGATGGTTGTAGATGTGTGGTTTTATTTCTGAGGCCTCTGTTCTGTTCCATTGGTCTGTATATCTGTTTTCGTACCAGTACCATGCTCTTTTCGTTACTGTAGCCTTGTAGAATAGTTGGAAGTCAGGTAGCATGATGCCTCCAACTTTGTTCTTTTTGCTAAGGATTGTCTTGGCTATGCGGGGTCTTTGTTGGTTCCATATGAAACTTAAAGTAGTTTTTCCCAATTCTGTGAAGAAAGTCAGTGGTATCTTGATGGGGATAGCATTGAATCTATACATTACCTTGGGCAATATGGCCATTTTCACATTATTGATTCCTCCTATCCATGAGCATGGAATGTTCTTCCATTTGTTTGTGTCCTCTTTTATTTCATTGAGCAGTGGTTTGTAGTTATCCTTGAAAAGGTCCTTCACATCCCTTGTAAGTTGGATTCCTGGGTATTTTATTCTCTTTGTAGTAATTGTGAATGGGAGTTCACTAATGATTTTGCTCTCTGTTTGTCAGATCTTGATGTATAGGAATGCTTGTGATTTTTGCAGATTGATTTTGAGACTTTGCAGATTATCCTGAGACTTTGCAGAAGTTGCTTATCAGCTTAAGGAGATTTGGGGCTGAGGCAATCGGGTTTTCTAAATATATAATCATGTCACCTGCAAACAGGGACAATTTGACTTCCTCTTTTCCTAATTGAATACCCTTTATTTCTTTCTCTTGCCTGATTGCCCTGGCCAGAACTTCCAATCCTATGTTGAATAGGAGTGGTGAGAGAGGGCATCCTTGTCTTGTGCCGGTTTTCAAAGGGAAGGCTTCCAGTTTTTGCCCATTCTGTATGATATTGGCTATGGGTTTGTCATAAATACCTTATTATTTTGAGATACATTCCATCAATACCTAGTTTATTGAGAGTTTTTAGCATGAAGGGCTGTTGAATTTTGTCAAAGGCCTTTTCTGCATCTATTGAGATAATCAAGTGGTTTTTGTCCTTGGTTCTGTTTATGTGATGGATTATGTTAATTAATTTGTGTATGTTGAATCAGACTTGCATCACAGGGATGAAGCCGACTTCATCATGGTGGATAAGCTTTTTGATGTGCTGCTGGATTCGGATTGCCAGTATTTTATTGAGGATTTTCACATCACTGTTCATCGGGCATATTGGTCTAAAATTCTCTTTTTTCGTTGTGTCTCTTCCAGGCTTTGGTATCAGGATGATGCTTACCTCGTAAAATGAGTTAGGGAGGATTCCCTCTTTTTGTATTGATTGGAAGAGTTTCAGAAGGAATGGTACCAGCTCCTCTTTGTAGCTCTGGTAGAATTCAGCTGTGAATTCATCTGGTCCTGGACTTGTTTTGGGTGGTGGGCTATCAATTATTGCCTCAATTTCAGAACCTGTTATTGGTCTATTCAGAGATTCAACTTCTTCCTGGTATAGTCTTGGAAGGGTGTATGTGTCCAGGAATTTATCCATTTCTTCTAGATATCCTAGTTTATTTGCATAGAGGTGTTAATAGTATTCTCTGATGGTAGTTTGTATTTCTGTGGGATCGGTGGTGATATCATCTTTATCATTTTTTATTGCATCTATTTGATTCTTCTCTCTCTTCATTAGTCTTGCTAGCAGTCTATCAATTTTGTTGATCTTTTAAAAAAACCAGCTCCTGGATTCATTGATTTTTTGAAGGGTTTTTTGAGTCTCTATTTCCTTCAGTTCTGCTCTAATCTTAGTTATTTCTTGCCTTCTGCTCGCTTTTTAATTTGTTTGTTCTTGCTTCTCTAGTTCTTTTAATTGCAATGTTAAGGTGTTGATTTCCGATCTTTCCTGCTTTCTCTTGTGGGCATTTAGTGCTATAAATTTCCCTCTTCACACTGCTTTGAATGTGTCCCAGAGATTCTGGTATGTTGTGTCTTTTTTCTCATCATTTTCAAAGAACATCTTTATTTCTGCCTTCCTCTCGTTATGTACCCAGTAGTCATTCGGGAGCAGGTTGTTCAGTTTCCATGTTGTTGTGCAGTTTTGAGTGAGTTTCTTAATCCTGCATTCTAATTTGATTGCACTGTAGTCTGAGAGACAGTTTGTTGTCATTTCTGTTCTTTTACATTTGCTGAGGAGTGTTTTACTTCCAGTTATGTGGTCAATTTTAGAATAAGTGTGATGGTGCTGAGAAGAATGTATATTCTGTTGATTTGGGGTGGAGAGTTCTATAGATGTCTATTAGGTCCACTTGGTCCATAGCTGAGTTCAAGTCCTGAATACCCTTGTTAAATTTCTGTCTCGATCTAATATTGACAATGGGATGTTAAAGTCTCCCATTATTATTGTGTGGGAGTCTAAGTCTCTTTGTAGTCTCTAAGGGCTTGCTTTATGAATCTGGGTGCTCCTGTATTGGGTGCATATATATTTAGGATAGTTAGCTCTTCTTGTTGAATTGATCCCTTTACCATTATGTAATGGCCTTCTTTGTCTCTTTTGATCTTTGTTGGTTTAAAGTCTGTTTTATCAGAGACTAGGATTGCAACCCCTGCTTTTTTTTGCTTTCCATTTGCTTGGTAAATATTCCTCCATCCCTTCATTTTGAGCCTATGTGGGTCTTTGCATGTGAGATGGGTCTCCTGAATACAGCACACTGATGGGTCTTGACTCTTTATCCAGTTTGCCAGTCTGTATCTTTTAATTGGAACATTTAGCCCATTTACATTTAAGGTTAATATTTTTATGTGTGAATTTGATCCTGTCATTATGGTGCTAGCTGTTTATTTTGCCCATTAATTGATGCAGTTTCTTCATAGTGTCGATGGTCTTGACAATTTGGCATGTTTTTGCAGTGGCTGGTACCGGTTGTTCCTTTCCATGTTTAGTGCTTCCTTCAGGAGCTCTTCTAAAGGCAGGCCTGGTGGTGACAAAATCTCTCAGCATTTGCTTGTCTGTAAAGGATTTTATTTCTCCTTCACTTATGAAGCTTAGTTTGGCTGGATATGAAATTCTGGGTTGAAAATTCTTTTCTTGACCAGGCACAATGGCTCACGCCTGTAATTCCAGCACTTTGGGAGGCCGAGGCAGGCGGATCACAAGGTCAGGAGATCGAGACCATCCTGGCTTACACAGTGAAACCCCATCTCTACTAAAAATACAAAAAAAAAAAAAAATTAGCCGGGCCTGGTGGCAGGTGCCTGTAGTCCCAGCTACTTGTGTGAGGCAGAGAATGGCGTGAACCCTGGAGGTGGAGCTTGCAGTGAGTCGAGACCGTGCCACTGCACTCAGCCTGGGCAACAGAGCAAGACTCCATCTCAAAAAAAAAAAAAAAAGAAAGAAAGAAAAGAAAATCTTTTCTTTAAGAATGTTGGAATATTGGCCCCCACTCTCTTCTGACTTGTAGGGTTTCTGCAGAGAGATCTACTGTTAAGCCTGATGGGCTATCCTTTGTGGGTAAGCCAACCTTTCTCTCTGGCTGCTCTTAACATTTTTTCCTTCATTTCAACCTTGGTGAATTTGACAATTATGTGTCCTGGGGGCTCTTCTTGAAGAGTATCTTTGTGGTGTTCTCTGTATTTCCTGAATTATAATGTTGGCCTGACTTGCTGGGTTGGGGAATTTCTCCTAGATAATATCCTGAAGAGTGTTTTCTTACTTGGTTCCATTCTCCCCATCAGTTTCAGGTACACCAATCAAACGTAAATTTGGTCTTTTCACATAGTCCCATATTTCTTGGAGGCTTTGTTTGTTTCTTTTCACTCTTTTTTCTCTAATCTTGTCTTCTCACTTTATTTCATTACTTTGATCTTCAGTCACTGATATTCTTTCTCCTGTTTGATCGATTCGGCTATTGATGCTTATGTATGCTTCACGAAGTTCTCATACTGTGGTTTTCAGCTCCATCAGGTCATTTAAGGTCTTCTCTACACTGGTTATTTTAGTTAGCCATTCGTCTAACCTTTTTTCAAGGTTTTTAGCTACCTTGCAATGGGTTCAAACATCCTCCTTTAGCTCGGAGAACTTTGTTATTACCAACCTTCTGAAGCCTACTTCTGTCAACTCATCAAACTCATTCTCTGTCCAGTTTTCTTCCCTTGCTGGTGAGGAGTTGTGTTCCTTTGGAGGAGAAGAGGCATTTTGGTTTTTGGAATTTTCAGCCTTTCTGCCCTGGTTTCTCCCCATGTTTGTGGTTTTATCTACCTTTGGTCTTTGATGTTGGTGACCAACGGATGGGGTTTTGGTGTGGATGTCCTTTTTGTTGATGTTGATGCTATTCCTTTCTGTATGTTAGTTTTCCTTCTAGCAGAGAGGCCCCTCACCTGCAGGTCTGTTGGAGGTTGCCGGAGGTCCACTCCAGACGCTGTTTGCCTGGGTATCACCAGCAGAGGCTGCAGAACAGCAAATATTGCTGCCTGATCCTTCCTCTGGAAGCTTCGTCCCAGAGGGGCACCCACCTCTATGAGGTGTCTGTTGGCCCCTACTGGGAGGTGTCTCCCAGTCAGGCTACACTGGGGTCAGGGACCCACTTGAGGAGGCAGTCTTTCCATTATCAGATCTCAAACACCATGCTGGTCCTCTTCATAGCTGTCGGACAGGGATGTTTAAGTCTGCAGAAACTGTCTGCTGCCTTTTGTTCAGATACGTCCTGCTCCCAGAGGTGAAATCTAGAGAGGCTGTAGGCCTTGCTGAGCTGCAGTGGGCTCCGCCCAGTTTAAGCTTCCCTGCCGCTTTGTTTATACTGTGAGCATAGAACTGCCTACTCAAGCCTCAGCAATGGCAGACGCCCCTCCCCCTGCCAAGTTCCCGCTTCCCAGGACAATCTCAGACTGCTGTGCTAGCAGCGAGCAAGGCTCCTTGGGCGTGGGACCTGCCAAGCCAGGCACAGGAGGGAATCTCCTGGTCTGCTGGTTGTGAAGACCATGAAAAATTTGCAGTATTTGGGCAGAAGTGTACGGTTCCTCCAGGTACCGTCACTCATGGCTTCCCTTGGCTAGTAAAGGGAAATCCCCAGACCACTTGCACTTCCCAGGTGAGGCAATGCCCCACCCTGCTTTGGCTCACCCTCCATGGGCTGCACTCACTGTCCAACCAGTCCCAGTGAGATGAACCAGGTACCTGTTGCGGGAAGTCAGGGACCCCGAATGGAGGGACCGGCTGGAGCCACGGCAGAGGAACATAAATTGTGAAGATTTCATTTTAATATGGACATATATCAGTTCCCAAGTAATACTTTTATAATTTATTATGCCTGTCTTTACTTCAATCTCTGAACATAAATTGTGAAGATTTCATTTTAATATGGATATTTATCAATTCCCAAATAATACTTTTATAATTTCTTATACCTGTCTTTACTTTAATCTTTTAATCCCATTATCTTTGTAAGCTGAGAATGTATGTCATCTCAGGACCACTATTGTGTTAACTGTACAAACTGATCGTAAAACATGTGTGTTTGAACAATATGAAATCAGTGCACCTTGAAAAAGAACAAAATAACAGCGATTTTAGGGAACAAGGAAAGACAACAATAAGGTCTGACTGCCTGCAGTGTCAGGCGGAATAGAGCCATATTTTTCTCTTGCAGAGAGCCTATAAATGGATGTGCAAGTAGGGAAGATATCACTAAATTCTTTTCCTAGACAGGAATATTAATAATTAATACCCTGGGAAACGAATGCATTCCTGGAGGAAGGTCTATAAACAGCCACTCTGGGAGTGTCTGTCTTATGTGGTTGAGATAAGGACTGAAATACACCCTGGTCTCCTGCAGTACCCTCAGGCTTATTAGGGTGGGGAAAAAACCCCACCCTGGTAAATTTGAGGTCAGACCAGTTCTCTGCTCTTGAACCCTGTCCTCTGTTGTTTAAGATGTTTATCAAGACAATACATGCACAGCTGAACATAGACCCTTATCAGTAGTTCTGAATTTGCCCCCATACTGTTTGCTCAGAAGAATATGATATTTGTTCTCCTTTTTGCCCTTTGAAGCATGTGATCTTGTGACCTACTTCCTGTTCTTTCATCCCCTCTCCTTTTGAAATCCTTAATAAAACTTGCTGGCTTTAAGGCTCAGGTGGGCATCACGGTCCTACCGATATGTGATGTCACCCCTGAAGGCCCAGCTGTAAAATTCCTCTCTTTGTACTCTTTCTCTTTATTTCTCAGCCGGCTAACCCTTATGGAAAATAGAAAGAACCTATGTTGAAATATTGGGGGCAGGTTCCCCCGATAGGTACCTCATTTGGAAATGCAGAAATCACCCGTCTTCTGCATCAATCTCACTGGGAGCTGTAGTCTAGAGCTATTCCTATTCAGCCTTCTTGGAAGCGACATCCCCTGAAGAATGATCATAATATTCTTACATGTAGGACTTTCTGCCCAAAACCTGCTTATTAGACAGGAAGCAATGTTTTTTTTGTTGTTTTTTTTTTTTTTTTTTTTTTTGGCCTAGAATCTCACTCTGTCTCCCAGGCTGGAATGCAGTGGTGCAATCTCTGCTCACTGCAACCTCCACCTCCCAGGCTCAAGTGATTCTCCTACCTCAGCCTCCCTAGTAGCAGGGATTACAGGCACCCACCACCAAACCCGGCTAATTTTTGTATTTTTACTAGAAACGGGGTTTCGCCCTATTGGCCAGGCTGGTTTTGAACTCCTGACCTCAAATGATCCACCTGCCTAGGCCTCCCAAAGTGCTTGGATTACAGGCATGAGCCACTGCATCTGGCCACAGGAAGCATTGTCTATTCCCTAAGGTGATATAACACATTGGTAGAATAAGTGGTGAGAATATCAAAATAAATCTATTTTGAATAAATGGTCAAATATACTAGGCTCATCAAAAAGCTTATCCACCACAATCAAGTAGGCTGTATCCCTGGGATGCAAGGCTGGTTCAACAATAAATGTGATTCATCACATAAACAGAAGTAAAGACAAAAACCACAATTATCTCAATGGATGCAGAAAAGGCCTTTAATAAAAGTCAACATCCCTTCATGTTAAAAACAATTCTCAATAAACTAGGTATTAAAGGAACACACCTCAAAATAATAAGAGCCATATACAACAAACCCACAGCCAACATCATACTGAATGGGCAAAAGCTGGAAGCATTCACCTTGAAGCTGGCACAAGGCAAGGATGCCCTCTCTCACCACTCCTATTCAACATAGCATTGGAAGTCCTGGCTGGGGCAATCAGGCAAGAGAAAGAAATAAAGGCATCCAAATAAGAAGAGAGGAAGTCAAGCTATCCTCGTTTGCAGATGACATGATCGTATATCTAGAAAACCCCATAGTCTCAGCCCAAAACCTCCTCAAGCTGATAAACAACTTCAGCAAAGTCTCAGGATGCAAAAATCAATGTGCAAAAATCACTAGCATTCCTATATACAAACAACAGTCAAACCAAGAGCCAAATCATGAATGAACTCCCATTCACAATTGCTACAAAAAGAATAAAATACCTAGGAATACAGCTAACTAGGGAAGTGAAAGATCTCTACAAGCAGAACTACAAACCACTGCTCAAAGAAATCAGTGATGACACAAACAAATGGAAAAAATGTCATGCTCATGGATAGGAAGAATCAATATTGTTAAAATAGCCATATTACCTAAAGCAACTTATAGATTCGATGCTATTCCTATTAAACTACCACTGATATTCTTCACAGAAAAACCATTTCAAAATTCATATGGAACTAAAAAAGGGTCCAAATAGCCAAGGCAATCCTAAGCAAAAAGAACAAAGCTGGAGGCATCATGCTACCCAACTTTAAACTATATTACACACTATAGTAACCAAAACAGCATGGTACTGGTACAAAAACGGACACATGGACCAATGGAACAGAACAAAGAGCCCAGAAATAAGACCACCCACCTACAACTATTAGATCTTCAACAAAGTTGACAAAAACAAGCAATTAGGAAAGGATTCCCTATTCAATAAATGGTGCTGGGATAACTGGCTATCCATATACAGAAGATAGAAACTGAACCATTTCCTTACACCTTGATGTGGTTTGGCTGTGTCCCCACCTAAATCTTATCTTGAATTGTAACTCCCACAATTCCCACGTGTGTGGAAGGGACCCAGTCGGAGGTAATTGAATCATGAGGGCGGATCTTTCCCGTGCTGTTTTCGTGATCGTGAATAAGTCTCATGAGAGCTGATGGTTTTAAAAATGGGAGTTTCCGTCTCTTCTCTTGGCTGCCGCCATGTGAGACATGGCTTTCACCTTCTGCCATGATTGTGAGGCCTCCCCAGCCATGTAGAACTATAAGTCCATTAAACATCTTTCTTATGTCAATTGCCCAGTCTTGGGTATGTCTTTATTAGCAGTGTGAAAATGAAATAATACAGTAAATTGTTACCACTATGGTGGAGCATTGCTGAAAAGAGACCTGAAACTGTGGAAGCAACTTTGGAACTGGGTAACAGGCAGAGGTTGGAACAGCTTGGAGGGCTCAGAAGAAGACAGAAAAATGTGGCAAAGTTTGGAACTTCCTAGAGACTTCCAATACTGTGTTGAATAGGAGTGGTGAGAGAGGGCAGCCTTGCCTTTTGCCAGCTTTCAAGGCGAATGCTTCCAGCTTTTGCCCATTCAGTATGATGTTGGCTGTGGGTTTGTTGTATATGGCTCTTATAATTTTGAGGTGTGTTCCTTTAATACCTTTGCCCAAATGGCTTTGCCCAAAATGCCGACAATGATATGGACAATAAAGTCCAGGCTAAGATGGTCTCAGATGGAAATGAGGAAATTTTTGCGAAGTGGAGCAAAGGCGACACTTGTTACGTTTTAGGAAAGAGACTGGTGGCATTTTTCTCCTGCCCTAGAGATTTGTGGGACTTTCAACTTGAGGGAAATGATTTAGGGTATCTGGCAGAAGAAATTTCTAAGCAGCAAAGCATTCAAGAAGTGACTTGGGTGCTGTTAAAGGCATTCAGTTTTATAAGGGAAGCAGAGCATAAAAGTTCAGAAAATTTGTAGCCTGATAATGTGATAGATAAGAAAATCCCATTTTCTGAGGAGAAATTAAAGCTGGCTGCAGAAATTGGCATAAGTAGCAAGAAGACAAATGTTCATCCCCAAGACAACGGGGAAAATATCTCCAGGGCATGTCAGAGGTCTTCACAGCAGCCCTTCCCATCACAGGCCTGGAGGCCTAGGAGTTAAAAATGGTTTCTGTGGGCCAGGACTAGGGTCCCTCTGCTGAGTGCAGTATAGGGACTTGGTGCCCTGTGTCCCAGCCACTCCAGCCATGGCTGAAAGGGGCCAACATAGAGCTTGGGCTGTGGCTTCAGAGGTGCAAACCCCAAACCTTCACAGATTGCATGTGGCGTTGAGCCTGCGGGTACACAGAAGGCAAGAATTGAGGTTTGGTAACCACCACCTAGATTTCAGAGGCTGTATAGAAATGCCTGAAAGTCCCATTCACAATTGCTTCAAAGAGAATAAAATACCTAGGAATCCAACTTACAAGGGATGTGAAGGACCTCTTCAAGGACCTCTTCAAGGAGAACTACAAACAACTGCTCAACGAAATAAAAGAGGCCACAAACAAATGGAAGAACATTCCATTCTCATGGATAGGAAGAATCAATATCGTGAAAATGGCCATACTGCCCAAGGTAATGTATAGATTCAATGCCATCCCCATCAAGCTACCAATGACTTTCTTCACAGAATTGGAAAAAACTACTTCAAAATTCATATGGAACCAAAAAAGACCCCGCATTGCCAAGACAATCCTAAGCAAAAAGAACAAAGCGGGCAACCCACTCAGGTCCTTTTCCACATGGTGGAAGCTTTGTTCTTTCACTCTTTGCAATAAATTTTGCTGCTGCTCACTCTTTAAAAAAAAAAAAAAAAAAAAAAAAAAGCTGGAGGCATCATGCTATCTGACTTCAAACTATACTACAAGGCTTCAGTAACCAAAACAGCATGGTAGTGTTCTACCAATAGAACAGAACAGAGCCCTCAGAAATAATACCACACATCTTCAACCATCTGATCTTTGACAAACCTGACAAAAACAAGAAATGGGGAAAGGAGTCCCTATTTAATAAATTGTGCTGGGAAAACTGGCTAGCCATATGTAGAAAGCTGAAACTGGATGCCTTCCTTACACCTTATACAAAAATTAACTCAAGATGGATTAAAGACTTAAATGTTAGACCTAAAACCATAAAAACCCTAGAAGAAAACCTAGGCAATACCATTCAGGACATAGGCATGGGCAAGGACTTCATGACTAAAACACCAAAAGCAATGGCAACAAAAGCCAAAATTGATAAATGGGATCTAATTAAACTAAAGAGCTTCTGCACAGCAAAAGAAACCACCATCAGAGTGAACAGGCAACCTACAGAATGGGAGAAAATTTTTGCAATCTATCCATCTGACAAAGAGCTAATATCCAGAATCTACAAGGAACTTAAACAAAAAAAAACTAGTTCAACCATTGTGGAAGACAGTGTGGCAATTCCTCAAGGATCTAGAACTAGAAATACCATTTGACCCAGTGATCCCATTACTGGGTATGTACCCAAAGGATTATAAATCATGCTACCATAAAGACACATGCACATATATGTTTATTACTGCACTATTCACAATAGGAAAGACTTGAAACCAACCCAAATGTCCATCAATGATAGACTGGATTAAGAAAATGTGGCACATATACACCATGGAATACTATGCAGCCATAAAAAATGATGAGTTCATGTCCTTTGTAGGGACATGGATCAAGCTGGAAACCATCATTCTGAGCAAACTATAGCAAGGACAGAAAACCAAACACCACAAGTTCTCAGTCATATGTGGGAGCTGAACAATGAGAACACTTGAACACAGAGTGGGGAACATCACACACCAGGGCCTGTCATGGGGTGGGGGTAGGGGGGAGGGATAGCATTAGGAGATATACCTAATGTAAATGACGAGTTAACGGGTGCAGCACACCAACATGGCACATGTATACATATGTAACAAACCTGCACGTTGTGCACATGTACCCTAGAACTTAAAGTATAATAAAAAAAAATAAAAATAAACTAAAGAATTTCCACACAGCAAAGGAAACTATCAACAGAGTAAACAGACAACCTACAGAATGGGAGAAAATTTTTCCAAACTATGCATTCAACAAAGGTCTAATATCCAGTGTCTATAAGGAACTTAAATTTACAAGGAAAAATTAAAAACCTCATTAAAAAGTGGGCAAAGGACATGAGCACACTTTTCAAAAGAAGACATTCAAGCAGCTAACAATCATATGACAAAAAGCTCAACATCACTGATCATTAAAGTAAGGCAAGTCAAAACCACAATGAGATACCATCTCATACCAGTCACAATGGCTACTATTAAAAAGTCAAAAAATAACAGATTATGTCAAGGCTGTGGAGAGAAAGGAACATTATACACTGTTGATGGGAGTGTAAATTAGTTCAACTATTGTGGAAGACACTGTGGCGATTTCTCAACGATCTAAAGACAAAACTTCCATTCGACCCAGTAATCCCATTATGGGCATATACCTAAAGGAATATAAATCATTCTATTGTAAAAACACATGCGTGCATATGTTCATTGTAGCACTGTTCATGATAGCAAAGACACAGAATCAATCTAAATGCCCATCAATGATAGACTGAATAAAGAAAATATGGTATATATACACCATAAATACTATGCAGCCATAAAAAAGAACAAGATCATGTCCTTTACAGGGACATGGATGGAGCTGAAGGGCATTATCCCGAGCAAACAAACAGAGGAACAGAAAACCAAATACTGCATGTTCTCACTTATAAGTGGGAGCTAAATGATGAGAACACATGGACACATAAATGGGAACAACACACATTGGGGCTTATTGAAGGGTGGGAGGAGAGAGAGAATCAGGAAAAATAACAAATGGGTACTAGGCTTAATACATGGGTGATGAAATAATCTGTACAACAAACCCCCCTGACACAAGTTTACCTATGTAACAAAACTGCACATGTACCCCTGAACTTAAAAGTTAAAAGAGAGATTGAAAAAAAAGTGTATATGTATATATACACATATATATACATACATATACATATATACACAAATACACACACACACACACACACACACACACACACACACACACATATATATATATATATATATATATATAAAATGCTATTCAAAAGTACTTTTTTTTTTTTTTTTGAGACAGAGTCTCACTGTCGCCCAGGCTGGAGTGCAGTGGCATGATCCCGGCTCACTGCAGGCTCCGCCCCCTGGGGTTCACGCCATTCTCCTGCCTCAGCCTCCCACATAGCTAGGACTAGAGGTGCCCACCACCTCGCCCGGCTAATTTTTTGTATTTTTAGTAGAGAAGGGGTTTCACCGTGTTAGCCAGGATGGTCTCGATCTCCTGACCTCGTGATCCGCCCGCCTCGGCCTCCCAAAGTGCTGGGATTACAGGCGTGAGCCACCATGCCCGGCCCAAAAGTACATTTTTTTAAACATGCTAGGCTGGGCGTGGCTAACGTCTGTAATCTCAGTACTTTGGGAGGCCAAGGTGGTTGAATTGCTTGAGCCCAGGAGTTCAAAACCAGCCTGGGCAACATGGTGAAACCCCATCTCTACTAAAAAGACCAAAAAATTAGCTGGGCATGGTGGCACGTGCTTGTGTTCCCAGCTACCTGGGAGGCTGAGGTAGGAAGTTTCACTAGAGCCCAGAAGGCTGAGGCTGTTTTGAGCTGTGATCAGGCCACTGCACTCCAGCCTGGATGAGAGAGACTCTGTCTGAAAGAAAAAAAAAAAATGTGCTGGGTGGTACATGCTGTATAATCAGCAAAAGATGCACGGGAACACACTTGCAAAGCTTACTAAAATGACTGGCAAAAGTACTGAGTCATAAGCAATATTCAGGGAGAGAAAGAAGCTCTCTTGCTCCAACATTGTCATATATCCCCTAAAGAGAAAAGGAAAAAGTGAACATGTCCAGCTGGCTACTTGTGCAGTCTCCAGTGAGCCTTAGAAAATTAGGTGGCCATTCTGCATATCTCCTGGTACATCCTTCTGGGTCCTGCAGACTTGCCAGCTAGTCCTGCACACCTGCCTTCCTGAGGTTTTCCCTCTATTTAATTTCTCACTAATACCTTATAAAATGCTACATTTATTGACTTCCTCTCTGCAGAAAAACAGAGATTAATTCCAACATCCTATCAAATCCATGAGTTTCTTTAATGTGTCACCTAAATCAAATTTAATGAGTCCCCAAAGTGCATGACTGATATTTATGAATAGCAGTCACCAAATGTATAATTGTGTCATGTAAGTGGCCTACTATAGCTTCTAACTGTATGCTGCACTTAAGAAAAGCATACACATCAAAAGTTTTCTGGAAAATTAATGCTCGTACAAGCTGTGAATAAAGTAAGGCCTTCTTTGCTCTACTTGAGCCATATCTTTATGAATTCCTAACTAATTCTCCCAATTTGCAGTTCCCAATTTGAAGCAGCAATTCTCTTCCCTCATTAGTCATTCAGAGAAACGAATGCAGTCCACAAAACCTCCCAGGATGAGTCCCTTCAGCCAGAGACTGACAATTTAGAAAAGCAAAATTACTGTGAACAAGTGAAAAGACACCTATGCCCTACAAATCCCCTTGAGATAAGAAGAAAGATTCTCTCTCAAGGCATAGATACCCTCTCCTCCATGATAAGGGCACCAGCAAGCATGGAGCAGAGCATTAGAAGACTATACTCCCATAAAAGGAGACAGGCATTCTCTTCTTATTCCCCTCCCACAAGATCAGCCCCAAAAATGTTGAGAAGGAAGACTGAGAAATTCCTGATGAGGGAAATGCTTTGAAATGGTATGTGCAGGGTATGGTGGCTTTGGCCTGGGACAAAGGGCAGTCCAGCAAGAAAGTACAGAAGAGGAGGGGAAACGTTGGAGCTCTGTTTTGGCTTCTCCTTCCTGGCTATCTTGAAACAAATAGTGCCTATTCTCATGCCTGAAGTGACTCAGATCCACTGGTGTGCTGGAGCTGGTATAGTGACCCTCAGTAGCCAATTGTTAAATTTTCAGGAATTTTGCAAGCTAGTTGTTAAGACAGGCATTATTAAAAATTAAATTATATAGTTATTATTGGCCAGGTGCAGTGGCTCACACCTGTAATCCCAGCACTTTGGGAGGCCGAGGCAGGCAGATCACTTGAGGTCAAGAGTTTGAGACCAACCTGGCCAACACGGTGAAATCCCATCTCTACTAGAAATCAGAAATTAGCCAGGCATGGTGGCACACACCTGTAATCCCAGCTACTCAGGAGGCTGAGGCAGGAGAATCACTTGAACCTGGGAGGCAGAGGTTGCAGGGAGCTGAAGTCACGCCACTGCACTCCAGCGTGGGCAACAGAGAGAGAAGCTGTCTCAAAAAAAAAAAAAAGTTATTATTAAATGTCATATTACATACAAAGGTATTTGTGTTTCTAGCACCATTATTCACAATAGCCAAAAGGTGGAAGCAATCAAGTGTCGGTGGACAGGTGAATGGATAAGCAAAATGTGGTATATACATACAATGCAATATTATTTAATCGAAAAATTAAGGAAATTCTGATACATGCTCTAACATGGATGAACCTTGAGAACATTATACAAAGTGAAAAAAGACAGTCACAAAAATACAAATACTGTATGATTCCACTTATATGAGATACCTAGAGTAGTCAAATTCATAGAGGCAGAAAGTAGAGAGTAGTTGCTACGGGGTAGGGGAAGGAGAAAAATAGGCAGTTAGTGTTTGTTTTTGTTTTTGTTTTTGATTTTTTTATTATACTTTAAGTTTTAGGGTACATGTGCACAACGTGCAGGTTTGTTACATATGTATACATGTGCCATGTTGGTGTGCTGCACCCATTAACTCATCATTTAACATTAGGTATATCTCCTAATGCTATCCCTCCCCCCTCCCCCCACCACACAACAGGCCCCGGTGTGTGATGTTCCCCTTCCTGTGTCCATGTGTTCTCATTGTTCAATTCCCACCTATGAGTGAGAACATGCAGTGTTTGGTTTTTGGTCCTTGCGATAGTGTGCTGAGAATGATGGTTTCCAGCTTCATCTATGTCCCTACAAAGGACATGAACTCATCATTTTTTATGGCTGCATAGTATTCCATGTGTCATATGTGCCACATTTTCTTAATCCAGTCTATCATTGTTGGGCATTTGAGTTGGTTCCAAGTCTTTGCTATTCTGAATAGTGCTGCAATAAACATACATGTGCATGTGTCTTTATAACAGCATGATTTATAATCCTTTGGGTATATACCCAATCATGGGATTGCTGGGTCAAATGGTATTTCTAGTTCAAGATCCCTGAGGAATCGCCGCACTGACTTCCACAATGGTTGAACTAGTTTACAGTCCCACCAACAGTGTAAAAGTGTTCCTATTTCTCCACATCCTCTCCAGCACCTGTTGTTTCCTGACTTTTTAATGGTCGCCATTCTGACTGGTGTGAGATGGTATCTCATTGTGGTTTTGATTTGCATTTCTCTGATGGCCAGTGATGCTGAGCATTTTTTCATGTGTCTTTTGGCTGCATAAATGTCTTCTTTTGAGAAGTGTCTGTTCATATCCTTTGCCCACTTTTTGATGGGGTTGTTTGTTTTTTTCTTGTAGATTTGTTTGAGTTCATTGTAGATTCTGGATATTAGCCCTTTGTCAGATGAGTAGATTGCAAAAATTTTCTCCCATTCTGTAGGTTGTCTGTTCACTCTGATGGTGGTTTCTTTTACTGTGCAGAAGCTCTTTAGTTTAATTAGATCCCATTTGTCAATTTTGGCTTTTGTTGCCATTGCTTTTGGTGTTTTAGACATGAAGTCCTTGCCCATGCCTATGTCCTGAATGGTATTGCCTAGGTTTTCTTCTAGGGTTTTTACGTTTTTAGGTCTAACATGTAAGTCTTTAATCCATCTTGAATTAATTTTTGTATAAGGTGTAAGGAAGGGATCCAGTTTCAGCTTTCCACATGGCTAGCCAGTTTTCCCAGAACCACTTATTAAATAGGGAATCCTTTCCCCATTTCTTGTTTTTGTCAGGTTTGTCGAAGATCAGATGGTTATAGATGTGTGGTATTATTTCTGAGGGCTCTGCTCTTTTCTATTGGTCTATATCTCTATTTGGTACCAGTACCATGCTGTTTTGGTTACTGTAGCCTTGTGGTATAGTTTGAAATCAGGTAGCATGATGCCTCCAGTTTTGTTCTTTTGGCTTAGGATTGACTTGGCAATGCAGGCTCTTTTTTGGTTCCATATGAACTTTAAAGTAGTTTTTTCCAGTTCTGTGAAGAAAGTCATTGGTAGCTTGATGGGGATGGCATTGAATCTATACATTACCTTGGGCAGTATGGCTATTTTCACAATATTGATTCCTCCTATCCATGAGCATGGAATGTTCTTCCATTTGTTTGTATCCTCTTTTATTTCTTCGAGCAGTGGTTTGTAGTTCTCCTTGAAGAGGTCCTTCACGTCCCTTGTAAGTTGGATTCCTAGGTCTTTTATTCTCTTTGAAGCAATTGTGAATGGGAGTTCACTCATGATTTGGCTCTCTGTTTGTCTGTTCTTGGTGTATAGGAATGCTTGTGATTTTTGCACATTGATTTTGTATCCTGAGACTTTGCTGAAGTTGCCTATCAGCTTAAGGAGATTTTGGGCTGAGAGGATGGGATTTTCTAGATATACAATCATGTCATCTGCAAACAGGGACAATTTGAGTTCCTCTTTTCCTGATTGAATACCCTTTATTTCCTTCTCCTGCCTGATTGCTCTGGCCAGAACTTCCAACACTATGTTGAATAGGAGTGGTGAGAGAGGGCATCCCTGTCTTGTGCCTGTTTTCAAAGGGAATGCTTCCAGTTTTTGCCCATTCAGTATGATATTGGCTATGGGTTTGTCATAGATAGCTCTTATTATTTTGAGATACGTCCCATCAATACCTAATTTATTGAGAGTTTTTAGCATGAAGCGTTGTTGACTTTTGTCAAAGGCCTTTTCTGCATCTATTGAGATAATCATATGGTTTTTGTCATTGGTTCTGTTTATATGCTGGATTACTTTTATTGATTTTCTTATGTTGAACCAGCCTTGCATCGCAGGCATGAAGCCCACTTGATCATGGTGGATAAGCTTCCTGATATGCTGCTGGATTTGGTTTGCCAGTATTTTACTGAGGATTTTTGCATCGATGTTCATCAGGGATATTGGTCTAAAATTCTCTTTTTTTTGTTGTGTCTCTGCCAGGCTTTGGTATCAGGATGATGCTGGCCTCCTAAAATGAGTTAGGGAGGATTCCCTCTTTTTCTATTGATTGGAATAGTTTCAGAAGGAATGGTACCATCTCCTCCTTGTACCTCTGGTAGAATTCGGCTGTGAATCCACCTGGTCCTGGACTTTTTTTGGTTGGTAAGCTATTAATTATTGCCTCAATTTCAGAGCCTGTTATTCGTCTATTCAGAGATTCAACTTCTTCCTGATTTAGTCTTAGGAGGGTGTATGTGTTGAGGAATTTATCCATTTCTTCTAGATTTTCTAGTGTATTTGCGTAGAAGTGTATATAGTATTCTCTGATGGTAGTTTGTATTTCTATGGGATTGGTGGTGAGATCCCCTTTATCATTTTTTATTGTGTGTATTTGATTCTTCTCTCCTTCCTTCTTTATTAGTCTTGCTAGCGGTCTATCAATTTTGTTGATCTTTTCAAAAAACCAGCTCCTGGATTCATTGATTTTTTGAAGGGTTTTTTGTGTCTCTATTTCCTTCAGTTCTGCTCTGATCTTAGTTATTTCTTGCCTTCTGCTCGCTTTTGAATGTGTTTGATCTTGCTTCTCTGGTTCTTTTAATTGTGATGTTAGGGTGTCAATTTTAGATCTTTCCTGCTTTCTGTTGTGGGTATTTAGTGCTATAAATTTCCCTCTACACACTGCTTTGAATGTGTCCCAGAGATTCTGGTATGTTGTGTTTTTGTTCTCATTGGTTTCAAAGAACATCTTTATTTCTGCCTTCATTTCGTTATGTACCCAGTAGTCATTCAGGAGCAGGTTGTTCAGTTTCCATGTAGTTGAGCGGTTTTGAGTGAGTTTCTTAATCCTGAGTTCTAGTTTGGTTGCACTGTGGTCTGAGAGACAGTTTCTTATAATTTCTGTTCTTTTACATTTGCTTAGGAGTGCTTTACTACTAACTAAGTGGTCAATTTTGGAATAAGTGAGATGTGGTGCTGAGAAGAATGTATATTCTGTTGATTTGGGATGGAGAGTTCTGTAGATATCTATTAGGTCCACCTGGTGCAGCGCTGAGTTCAATTCCTGGATATCCTTGTTAACTTTCTGTCTCATTGATCTAATGTTGACAGTGGGGTGTTAAAGTCTCCCATTATTATTGTGTGGGAGTCTAAGTCTCTTTCTAGGTCTCTAAGGACTTGCTTTATGAATCTGAGTGCTCCTGTATTGGGTGCATATATATTTAGGATAGTTAGCTCTTCTTGTTGAATTGATCCCTTTACCATTATGTAATGGCCTTCTTTGTCTCTTTTGATCTCTGTTGGTTTAAACTCTGTTTTATCAGAGACTAGGATTGCAATCCCTGCCTTTTTTTATTTTCCATTTGCTTGGTAGATCTTCCTTCATCCCTTTATTTTGAGCCTATGTGTGTCTCTGCATGTGAGATGGGTTTCCTGAATACAGCACACTGATGGGTCTTGACTCTTTATCCAATTTGCCAGTCTGCATCTTTTAATTGGAACATTTAGCCCATTTACATTTAAGGTTAATATTTTTATGTGTGAATTTGATCCTGTCATTATGATGTTAGCTGGTTATTTTGCTCATTAGTTGATGCAGTTTCTTCCTAGCCTCAATGGTCTTTACAATTTGGCATGTTTTTGCAGTGGCTGTTACTGGTTGCTCCTTTCCATGTTTAGTGCTTCCTTCAGGAGCTCCTTTAGGGCAGGCCTGGTGGTGACAAAATCTCTCAGCATTTGCTTGTGTGTAAAGTATTTTATTTCTCCTTCACTTATGAAGCTTAGTTTGGCTGGATATGAAATTCTGGGTTGAAAATTCTTTTCTTTAAGAATGTTGAATATTGGCCCCCACTTTCTTCTGGCTTGTAGAGTTTCTGCCGAGAGATCAGCTGTTAGTCTGATGGGCTTCCCTTTGTGGGTAACCCGACCTTTCTCTCTGGCTGCCCTTAACATTTTTTCCTTCATTTCAACTTTGGTGAGTCTAACAATTATGTGTCTTGGAGTTGCTCTTCTCAAGGAGTATTTTTGTGGCATTCTCTGCATTTTCTGAATTTGAATGTTGGCCTGCCTTGCTAGATTGGGGAAGTTCTCCTGGATAATATCCTGCAGAGTGTTTTCCAACTTGGTTCCATTCTCCCCGTCACTTTCAGATACACCAATCAGATGTAGATTTGGTCTTTTCACATAGTCCCACATTTCTTGGAGGCTTTTTTTGTTTCTGCTTTTCTCTAAACTTCTCTTCTCACTTCATTTCATTCATTTCATCTTCCACCACTGATACCCTTTCTTCCAGTTGATCGAGTTGGCAACTGAGGCTTGTGCATTTATCACGTAGTTCTTATGCCTTGGTTTTCAGCTCCATCAGGTCCTTTAAGGACTTCTCTGCATTGGTTATTCTAGTTAGCCATTCGTCTAATTTTTTTTCTAGGTGTTTAACTTCTTTGCCATGGGTTTGAACTTCCTCCATTAGCTCAGTGTAGTTTGATCGTCTGAAGCCTTCTTCTCTCAACTCATCAAAGTCATTCTCCATCCAGCTTTGTTCCGTTGCTGGTGAGGAGCTGCATTCCTTTGGAGGAAGAGAGGCACTCTGATTTTTAGAGTTTCCTGTTTTTCTGCTCTGTTTTTTCCCCATCTTTGTGGTTTTATCTACCTTTGGTCTTTGATGATGGTGAAGTACAGATGGGGTTTTGGTGTGGATGTCCTTTCTGTTTGTTAGTTTTCCTTCTAACAGTCAGGACCCTCAGCTGCAGGTCTGTTGGAGTTTGCTGGAGGTCCACTCCAGACCCTGTTTGCCTGGGTATAAGCAGCGGAGGCTCCAGAACAGCAGATATTGGTGAACAGCAGATGCTGCCTGATCGTTCCTCTGGAAGTTTTGTCTCAGAGGAGTACCGGCCGTGTGAGGTGTCAGTCTGCCCCTACTGGGGGTTGCCTCCCAGTTAGGCTACTCGGGGGTCAGGGACCCACTTGAGGAGGCATTCTGTCCATTCTCAGATGTCCGGCTGTGTGCTGGGAGAACCACTACTCTCTTCAAGGCTGTCAGACAGGGACATTTAAGTCTGCAGAGGTTACTGCTGTCTTTTTGTTTGTCTGTGCCCTGCCCCCAGAGGTGGAGTCTACAGAGGCAGGCAGGCCTCCTTGAGCTGTGGTGGGCTCCACCCAGTTCAAGCTTCTGGGCTGCTTTGTTTACCTACTCAAGACTCGGCAATGGCGGGTGCCCCTCCCCCAGCCTGGCTGCCGCCTTGCAGTTTGATCTCAGACTGCTGTGCTAGCAATGAGCAAGGCTCTGTGGGCGTAGGACCCTCCTAGCCATGTGTGGGATATAATCTCCTGGTGTGCCATTTGCTAAGACCGTTGCAAAAGCACAGTATTAGGGTGGGAGTGACCTGATTTTCCAGGTGCCATCTGTCATCCCTTTCTCCTGACCCCTTGTGCTTCCCGGGTGAGGCAATGCCTCGCCCTGCTTCGGCTCATGCTCAGTGCGCTGCACCCACTGTCCTGCACCCACTTTCCGACACTCCCCAGTGAGATGAACCCAGTACCTCAGTTGGAAGTGCAGAAATCTCCCATCTTCTGCGTTGGTCACACTGGGAGCTGTAGACTGAATGGCAGTTAATGTTTAATGGGTACAGAGTTTCAGTTTTGCAAGATGAAAAAGTTCTGGAGCTCTGTTTCACAGCAATGTGAATATACTTTAAACTATAGAACTATAGAATTGTATACTAATAAATGGTTAAGATGATAAATTTTATACTGTGTGTATGTTACAACAATTTAAAGTTTTCTTAAAATTAAAAAATAAAAAGGAAATAAAATCTAAATTCCTGGTTTTGGTAATACATAATTAAGTGAGATATTACCGGCTGCGTGCAGTAGCTCACACCTTTGAGCTGAGGCGGGCAGATCACTTGAGTCCAGGAGTTTGAGACCAGCCTGGGCAACTTGGCAAAACCCCATCTCAACAAAAAATACAAGAAATTAGCTGGACATGGTGGAGCACACCTGTAGTTCTAGCTACTCAGGAGGATGAGGCAGCAGGATTGCCTGAGCCCCAGAGGTGGAGGGTGCAATGAGCCATGCATGATGACACCACTGCACCCCAGCCTGGATGACAAAGCATATTCAGACCCTGTCTCAAAAAAAAAAAAAAAGTTACCATTGTGGAAAGCTGGAGAATGGGTACTTACCATTGTGGGAAGCTGGAGAATGGGTACTATGAATGTTGTCGGAATCAAAACAGGATCACTAATGTTAAGAAAACCCCGACAAATAGAACCAAGGAAGGCCATGAAGAGATGTTCTCATGCTTGTATGCTTGATAACAAATCTACAACAAAAAACACAACCTTGCACAAAGGCCATCACAACCTTACATAAAAAAAATTTTCTGCAATAATATCCTGCCCAGCAACTGCCTGTCCAACCTCAAACTAGTGTCACCCTTGGTATTTATCTTTTTAACCAAGGATAATTATTTCAAAACAATTATGAAATCCTCCTCATTTTTTCCTTTAAAAACCTTTGTCTTCCTTTACTGGCCCCCCAAAATATGCAAGTAATTTACTATGGCATGTGCATGACCATTTTAATGCTCTATTCCCAAATAAATTTCTTTCAGAGAGCATCTTTCTGTTTGTTATTTAGGTTGACAGTGCACAGAATCTCCCTGTGCTGTGCTGTAACTTCTTATGAGTGTATAATTAGTTCCAAAGTAAAAGTTCTTTAAAGTGATAAATACTCAAACATAATCACTTTCTAATTATTTTACTACAACTTTGCTATTATCTACATTCTTGACGTTATTTCTATCTATTGTGTTTGCATGGTGGATATATTGTGTAATGGTGTGCTACTGTACATCTCCTCTCAACTTCGCTTTCAGTTGGCAGGTTGAAATCAGCCACAGTGGGAGTATGTATACCGCAGAAATCAGTAGACACTACAAGTCTGATCTTCCTCCTATGTAGCAGCCAGTTGTTAAGACTTTACCTGTGGCCCAGGTGCCCTCATGATTAAAATCAGGTTAGCACTGAAGTTCTTCCTTGTGAGGGGATGAGAAATAAGTGGGGACTAACTGATCTTTGGCAGTTGCTTAGAACGTTTAGAATTGAGGAATTACAATCTATAGATTCGAAGTCAATCAAAATCCAAGCAAGTTATTTTGTGGTTATCAACAAACTGATTCTGATGTTTATATGGAGACAAGAAAGACCCAGAATAGCCAACATGATATTGAAGAAGAAAAGTCAGCAGGCTAACAGTATCCAACTTCATTCAGGATTTACTATAAAGCTACATTAGTCAAGATAGTGTGCTATTGGAGAAAGAATAGACAGATCCATGGAATGGAGTGGAGAGCCCAGAAAAAGATTCACATAAATATAGTCAGCTGGTATTTTTTTCTTTGCTCACCTCTTCTACCTCTTCAACTGATCTTTGACAAAGAAGTAAAGGCAATACAACAAAGAAAAGAAATTATTTTCAACAAATGGTGCTGTAACAACTGGACATCCACATGCAAAAAAAACAAAAAAAGAGTTTACACTCAGACCTTTCATCACTCACAAAAAATAACTCAAATTGGATTACAGATGAAAATGTAAAACACAAAACTATATAACCTCTGGAATATAACACAAGAGAAAATCTAGATGACTTTGGGTTTGATAATGACATTTTAGCTACAACATCAAAGGCACAATCCTTGAAAGAAATAATTGATAAGCTGGACTTCATTAAAATTAAAAATTTCTACTCTGTGAAAGACACTGTGAAGAGAATATAATGACAAACCACAGACTGGGAAAAATATTTGTAAAAGACATATCTGACAAGGGATTGTTATCCAGAATATACAGAGAACTCTTAAAACTCAACAAGAAAACAAACAACCCAATTAAAAATGGGCAAAAGGGCCAGGTGCAGTGGCTCCCACCTGTAATCCCAGCACTTTGTGAGGCCGAGACGGGCGGATCACCTGAGGTCAAGAGTTCGAGACCAGCCTGGCCAACATGGTGAAACACCATCTCTACTAAAAATACAAAAATTAGCCAGGTGTACTGGTGCGTGCCTGTAATCCCAGCTACTCAGGAGGCTGAGGCAGGAGAATCGCTTGAACCCAGGAGGCGTAGTTTGCAGTAAGCTGAGATCATGTCACTGCACTCCAGCCTCGGCGACAGAGCGAGATTCCATCTCAAAAAAAAAAAGAAAAAGAAAAGAAAATGGGCAAAAGGGCCAGGCGCAGTGGCTCATGCCTGTAATCCCAGCACTTTGGGAGGCCGAGGCAGGCGGATCACCTGAGGTCAGGAGTTCAAGACCAGCCTGGCCAACATGGTGAAACACTGTCTCTACTAAAAATACAAAAATTAACTGAGCGTGGTGGCAGGCGCCTGTAACTCTAGCTACTCAGGAGGCTGAGGCAGGAGAAATGCTTGAACCTGGGAGGTGGAGGTTGCAGTGAGCCGAGATTGCGCCACTGCATTGCAGCCTGGGTGACAGAGGGACACTCCATCTCAAAAAAAAAAAAAAAAAAAAAAAAAAGCCACTAACTATGAGAATGGCCAAAAATCAAAACACCTACACCACCAAATGCTGGTGAGGATGAGGAGCATCAGGAACTCTCATTCATTGCTGCTGAGAATACAAAATGGTACAGCCCCTTTGGAGGACAACTTGGCAGTTTCTTACAAAACTAAACCTACTTTTACAAAAAACAATGCAGCAATCATGCTCCTAGGTGCTTACTTAAATCATTTGAAAACTTATGCCCACAGAAAAACCTGCACATAGATTTTTATAGCAGCTTTATTCATAATTGACAAAATCTGGAAGCAAACCAAGATGTCCTTCAGGAGGTGAATGAATAAATAAAATGTGATACATCCAGACAATGGAATATTATTCAGTGCTAAAAAGAAATGAGCATCAAAACACAAAAAGACCTGGAAGAATTTTAAATGCATATTGCTAAGTGAAAGAAGCCAACTGAAAAGGGTATATCATTTTTAACTCCAGTTACTTGACATTCTGGAAAAGGCAAAACTATGTATGGAGACAGTAAAAAGATGAGTGGTTGCCAAGAGTTAGTGGGGAGGAAGGAATGAAAAAGTAGAGCCTAGAGGATTTTTAGGACAGTGAAACTGTTCTGTATGATACTATAACATGTCATTATATTTTGTCAAAACCCATACAACACCAGCAGTAAACTGTAACATTAAACTATGGACTTTGGGTGGTAATGATGTGTCAATGTAGCTTCATGGATTATAAGAAAGTACCAATTTGGTGCAGAATGTTGATAGTGGTGGAGGATGTACATAAAGTCCAGGAGAGGTATGTAGGAACTGTCTGTACTTTCCAGTCAATTTTGCTGTGAATCTAAAACTGCTCTAAAAAATAAAGGTTATTTTTTAAAAATTCATATAGAAATGCCAGTCAAGTAATCTTTAAAGGCTATATTTTAAAATTCATATAGAAATGCAAGTCAAGTAATCTTTAAAGGTTATTTTTTAAAATTCATATAGAAATGCAAGTAATCTTTAAAAAGAACAACGTTGGAGGACTCACACTTCTCAGTTTCAAAACTTAAGACTACAGGAATTAAGACATTGTGGTATGGACATAAGTATAAACACACAGGTCAACAAAATAGAAAGGAGATTCCACAATTAAAGCCTCGCATTTATAAAGTCAGTTGATTTTGACAAGGGTGCCAAGACAATAGGGAAAAAATAGTCTTTTCAAATGATACTGAAACAACTGGACAGCCACATGCAAAACAATGAAGTCAAACCTCAAGCAACATACAAAGACTTAACTCATAATGGATCAAAGATGTACATTTAAGACTTAAGATTATAAAAGGTTTTGAAGAAAATATAGGTATAAAACTCTGTGATCTTAAACTCTGTGATTAAGCAATGGTTTCTTAGATATGATACCAAAAGCTGGTGAGATTGTAAAGTGGCTCAGCCACTTTGGGAAGGTTTAGCAGTTCCTCAAAACGTTAAATGCAGAGTAACCATATGACCAATTGAGTAACCATAAAAGCAAGTCCACTCCTAGGCATACAACTAAGAGAAATGAAAACATATATCCACACAAAAAATTGCCCACGAATGTTCATAGCATCATACATAATAGCTGAATGTGAAACAACCCAAAAGTCCCTCAACTGATGAATAGATAAACAAAATGTGGCATATCTAAACAACAGAATATTATTTAGCAAGAAAAAAGAATGAAGTTACTGATATCACATCATGGATGCTAAATGAAAGAAGCCAGTCACAAAAGACCATATATCCTGCATTATTTCATTTATATAAAATATTCAGGATAGACAAATCCATTAAAACAGAACCATCATTCTCAGCAAACTAACACAGGAACAGAAAACCAGACACCACATGTTCTCACTGATAAGTGGGAGTTGAACAATGAGAACATATGGGCACAGGGAGGGGAACATCACACACTGGGTTGAGGGCAAGGGGAGGGATGGCATTAGGAAAAATACCTAATGTAGATGATGGGTTGATGGATGCAGAAATCACCATGGCACATGTATACCTACGTAACAAACCTGCATGTTCTGCACATGTATCCCGGAACTTGAAGTATAATAAAAAAAATTTTTTTTAAAACAGAAAACAGATTAGTGATTGCCTAGGGCTGGGGATAGGTGGGTTTGAGAGGAAATGGGGAGTGACTCTCTATGGGTAAGTTGCAGAAATCTCTAAACTTCATTTTATCCCTAAATACTTAGTCACGCATCCCCTAAGAATAAAGACATTCTCCTATAAAACCACAACCAATTATCTACCCAGGAAAATTAACAAATAAATAATGTCATCTAATACACAATTTATATTCAAATATCCCTAACTGTCCCAGAAATGTCTTTTATTAGCTTGTATAGCTGTTTTTTAATCCAAGATTTGATCATTATTAGTACATTGCATTACATTAAGTCTCTTTTGCCTCTTTTAATCTAGAACAGTTCTCACACCTTTTGGTAGTAGTGTTTGTTGTTTATGAGGTTGGTATTGGTGGTGATACTGATATTTCTCATGATATTGACTTTTTGTTTTAAGAGTTCAGCCCAATGTTCTTATAAAATGCCCCACATTCTGGATTTGAAGGTTTATTAATATCTGACTGTTTCCCCATTACTAGATTCAGATTAAACATTCCTGGCAAGAATAATACCTAGATGATGTTGTGTATTTTATTGTACCACCATTAGTGATGCTGTTTTTGTTAACATATTTAATGTGCTATCAGACCTCTTCATCATAAATGAAGTATATCTTTCCCCTTTGCAATTAATAAATTACTTGGAAGTGATACTTTGAGACCATGTCCCCCCAATTTTTCACCCAATGGTATTAGCATGCATTGATAGTCCTTGCCTGAATCAATTTTTATGTTGTGAGTTGAAAAATAGTTATTTTTTGCAAATCAAAACCACAATGAGATATCATCTCACTCCAGTTAGAATGGCGATCAATAAAAAGTCAGGAAACAACAGATGCTGTAGAGGATGTGGAGAAATAGGAATGCTTTTACAGTGTTGGTAGGAGTGTAAATTAGTTCAACCATTGTGGAAGACAGTGTGGCGATTCCTCAAGGATCTAGAACTAGAAATACCATTTGACCAAGTGATCCCATTACTGGGTATATGCCCAAAGGATTATAAATCATGCTAATATAAAGACACATGCACACGTATGTTTATTGTGGCACTATTCACAATAGCAAAGACTTGGAACCAACCCAAATGTCCATCAATGATAGACTGGATTAAGAAAATGCAGCACATATACACCATGGAATACTATGCAGCCATAAAAAAAGAATGGGTTCATGTCTTTTGCAGGGACATGGATGAAGCTGGAAACCATCATCCTCAGCAAACTATCACAAGGACAGAAAACCAAACACCACATGGTCTCACTCATAGGTGGGAATTGAACAATGATGGACAGAGGGCAGGGAACATCACACACCGGGGCCTGTCGGAGGGGGGTCTGGGGGAGGGATAGCATTAGGAGAAATACCTAATGCAAATGATGGTTGATGGGTGCAGCAAACCAACATGGCACATGTATACCTATGTAACAAACCTGCACATTGTGCACATGTACCCTTGAACTTAAAGTATAATTTTAAAAAAAAGAAGAGAAAAATAGTTATTTTTTTTCATTTGATCATTTCTTCTATGTTTACTAGTTGGAACTTTATTTTTTAAAAAAAGCATTTCTCTCTTTCATACCAATATAGATTTACAGATTTATGTCTTTGTGTATTATGACCATTATTAATTTCTTTCTCTTTTTGAGACAGGGTCTCACTCTGTCACCCAGTCTAGAGTGCAGTGGTCCGATTTCGGCTCACTACAACCTCCGCCTCTTGGGCTCAAGCCATCCTCCGGCCTCAGCTCCCCAAGTAGCTGGGATTACAGGCGTATGCCAGCACGCCTGGCTAATTTTTGTATTTTTAGTACAGACAGGGTTTTACCATGTTACCCAGGCTGGTGTCAAACTCCTGAGGTCAAGCAATCCACCCACTTCAGCTTCCCAAAGTGCTGGGATTAAAAGCCACTGTGCCCAGGCCATTATTAATCATTATTATGCTCATGTTGTCCCGAATTTGGCCAAAGGGAACCCCTTCAACCTAACTCCTATGTCTTTTTGACATAACCTCTCAGTCTTTGAGCACTTCCACTTCCCAGGCTACAACCACAGCAAGACACTCCATACTCACCTTGAACTTTCCCTGCCCCACACCTGCAATCAGCCATTTCTTTCACAGAAACCTGATGCCTTCTAGTAGAGAACGGTATTTAAAAACCAAGAGCTGAGTGTTATGTAGCATTTATTGTGACTAGGCCTTGACAGTAAAGAGAGCTAGATTTTCTTTTTTCAAAAAAAGTCATCAGCATAGACATACTTCTGAACTTTACAGGGGTTCTTTATCAACTTTTCCATCCCACGTGTTTATCTCCCTTCTTCCATAATGAAAACCTTGATTCCCATTCAAACCAATATCTTTACTCATACTATACAGACAAAAAATAATTTCACCATTACAACAACAACAAGTTTATGAGATAAAATTCAAAATTTCTTTGCATTTGTTCCTTGTCCTTAGAATTTGTCCTAGTAAGGATACAGGGTCAGTGTGCTGTGTTCAGAAGAAACTTGGATTATATTTTCTGTGTGTTTATGTTTTTAATATTTATCCACTGTTTACTTCATTTGGTTCTCTTCGTGTTTGATTTTAGGGTCTGCTTTTCTATCTTCTTTATTTACTTTTAGATTATTAACTCCTGGATATTTCCAGTCTTTCTTCATCCCTATCCATAATAGAAGGCTCATGCCTGTAGTCCAAGCACTTTGGGAGGCTGAGGCAAGCAGATCACTTGAGGTCAGGAGTTCAAGACCAGCCTGGCCAACATGGTGAAACCCTGTCTCTACTAAAAATACAAAAATTAGCCAGGCATGGTGGCACACACCTGTAATCCCAGCTACTCAGGAGGCTGAGGCACAAGAATCACTTGAACCTGAGAGGTGGAGGCTGCAATGAGCCAAGGTCATGCCACTGCACTCCAGCCTGGGCGACAGAGTGAGCCTCTGTCTCAAAAATAATAATAATAATAGTAATAATAATAATAATAATAAGAGAAGGTGCTAGTTTTGCCTGGCAATTTTTCTTTTTAAAGTTCTAAGGATGGTCCCAAAGTACCATTTAGGATCTCTTCGGATCTTCTAATATACAATTATAAAGAAAGAGGGAGAGAAATAAATGCAAGAGGTGCATGGAAGGAAGTTAATAAGGTATGAGAGAGTTCCCTTTCCATTTAAAGAGAGAGGCACAGGCATAGCTGTAGTATATAAGACAAGTAATTAAGAAAGGATCTTCAAGCAACCAAAAATAGCTTCCACACAAGAGAAAAGGACACTTCAGCTGAAAAGGGAGGCTCAGTAGGTTGGGAATTTGAGGTAGTCTGAGTCAGCCAAATTCTCCAACTTAGCTCATTCTAAATATTTAGATACTGCTCTTTCTTGATCAACATCCTGGCTTCCTCATAAGAGACTATATATAAGTCCATGAATTAAACCAATAAAATTTGGCAACCCTGAGGATCAAACACTGTGTCTGGCCTACAGTTGCTTCAGTTCTTCAGCTGCAAGAGCCTATGTCTTGCTAAATCTCTTACAGATCTTTGTAGCAGAGCCACAGAAGTTCCCTGGGTTTCTCTGATAACTTGAGCTAATAATTTAGAAATCTTGCCTTTTTTTTTTCTCCCCCAGGCTGTAGTACAATGGCCCCAACTCAGCTGACTGCAACCTCTGCCGCCCAGGTTCAAGTGATTCTCGTGCCTCAGCCTCCCGAGTAGCTGGGACTACAGGCACCCACTATCAAACCCAGCTAATTTTTGTATTTTTAGTAGAAACTGGGTTTCGCTATATTGGCCAGGCTGTCTCGAACTCCTGACCTCAAGTGATCCACCCACCTCGGCCTCCCAAAGTGCTGGGATTACAGGTGTGAGACACGGCACCCAGCCTTGTTATTACTTTTTAAGATGTTCAGCAATATTAGAAGCAGTCACAACACCTGCACAACCCTCAAATTCCATGCCTACCCTTTATGTGATCCTATGGCAATAGGATTTGGAAACCCAAAGCCTTGCCTTCAATTGGCATGTCACTGCAGGTGATCAAATAAATGATTTAATTAGCTATTTTGAGCCAAGTGTGATGGCATGGGCCTATCATCCCAACTACTTGGGAGGCTGAGTTGGAAGGGTCACTTGAGCCTGGGAGTTCAAGGCTGCAGTGAGCTATAATCCCCACTGCACTCCAGCCTGGGTGACAGAGGGAGACCTTGTCGCAAAAAAAAAAAAAAAAAAAAAAAAAAAACATATTTTGTTACTATTTGCCAAGGGCTGTGAAAATCCAATTCCTTAATGTTAGCTGGGTTCTCCTTGCCTCCATCCCAAACCAGGCCAATTAACCAACCCCAAGCTCTCCACCTACCCTTTCCCTATTGCCTGCAATCGCTTCTGCTAAGAATTTCTCCATCGGCTAATTTCTTGAAACTAATGAATGGCTCACAGATAAACTGGGAAAATAGGCAGGAATAAAGAGAAGCTATGCAGATAACTTCACAAACAAAAATAGAACCAGAGGCCAGGCATGGTGGCTCACACCTGTAATCCCAGCATTTTGGGAGGCCGAGGCAGGTGGATCACCTGAGATCAGGAGTTCGAGACCAGCCTGACCAACATGGAGAAACCCCATCTCTACTAAAAATACAAAATTAGCTGGGCATGGTGGCACATGCCTGTAATCCCAGCTACTCAGGAGGTTGAGGCAAGAGAATCACTTGAACCTGGGAGGCGGAGGTTGCAGTGAGCCAATATCGCACCATTGCACTCCAGTGTGGGCAACAAGAGCGAAACTCTGTCTCAAAACAAACAAACAAACAAAAACCAAAACATAGAACCAGAGAGCCAGTCTACTGGTATGCTGCTACCACTGCCACTGAACACAGGAACTGCAGTTTGCACTGTTGTCATCCCTGGTATTCAACATTGGATCCAAGGGTTGGCAACACAGACACTGTTGTGCTTGCCAACTTGATGCTGCTGCCACTGACACCAGAAAGAAATCTCCATTGTCCTTGTTTCTTTGTGTCATTAGTTTCAAATTCAAAATCCCAGATGAGTGCATCTGATTGGCAGAGCCTAGGTCAAGGGCCTACATCCTAGCTGGCAGAGGAGCTAGAATACTAGGTGTCTGTTCATTTCAGCTTCTCCTTTCGGAGGCAATGAATCCCTCAAATAGGAAGGGAGTTCAAAAGCTGGATGTTGATAATTACAAATGTCCATTACACATATGCTCTGTGCAAATGCCGCAGGATATAACATGTACACAGAGTTGTTTTTAGCAATACTTTTTTTTTTTTTTTGAGATGAGCTCTAGTTCTGTCACCAGGCTGGAGTCCAGTGGTGCCATCTCGGCTCGCTGCAACCTCTGCCTCCCGGGTTCAAGAGATTCTCCTGCCTCAGCCTCCCAAGTAGCTGGGATTATAGGCACGCATCTCCACACTCAGCTAGTTTTTATATTTTTAGTAGAGACAGGGTTTCACCATGTTGGCCAGCATGGTCTCGATCTCATGACCTCGTGATCTGCCCACGTCGGCCTCCCAAAGTGCTGGGATTACAGGCGTAAGCCACTGTGCCCGGCCAGCAATACTATTTTTAATACATATAACACAGTGCCTGTCTCATAGTGAGCATTAAACAAATAGCAACTCTTATTAATGTTATCATAATACTTTCATAATTACTATCATAATACTATCATAATCATGGTCATCACTATTACAAAACGTCAACCTACAGGGATCAATGAAAAAGGATTAAATAAGGTAACAAAAGTCTCAGGTAAACTGTAGGGACCAATGACAAAGAGGACTAGATGGCCCCTCCGGATCCCATGGCACTACATAACACCCTCCAGAAATTAAGTACCACCCCAGGGATGGGAGGGGAAAAACTCCAAATTGACTAAAAGTAAGTACCTTTCACCATAATGGATCAGAGACTCAAAACAGAAAAGTTGTTACAGAAAAACAAAAAGAGATATATTTATTACACATTTGAATGGCAGGCTGATATTTGTAACCACTATACCAATTTTCAGTTGTACTGTACTGGTCAAGCAAGATGCCTATTGGACCCTTTCAGGAAAGCTTCAGAGGACTTGCCACACGCCCTGTCCCTTTCTGTAAGTTTTTTTTTCTTTTTTTCTTTTCTTTTTTCTTTTTTTTTGAGACGGAGCCTCCCTCTGTCGCCCAGGCTGAAGTGCAATGGCACAATCTTGGCTCACTGCAACCTCTGCCTCCTGGGTTCAAGCGATTCTCCTGCGTCAGCCTCCAAAGTAGCTGGGATTACAGGCACCCAGCGTCATGCCTGGCTAATTTTTTTTGTTTTATTTTGTTTTTGTAGAGACAGGGTTTCACAGTGTTGGCCAGGCTGGTCTTAAACTCCTGACCTCAGGTGATCCGCCCGCCTCGGCCCTCCCAAAGTGCTGGGATTACAGGCATAAGCCACCGCGCCTGGTCCCTTTATATAAGCCTTTAAGAGGTCTGTACACACTGGCCACCATACCAGATTGCCTCACCGCAGTGAACACTGATCAGTCATTTGCAGGCTATCTATAGCTTATGAGGTGTTCTGGCCCCTGAGGTTTATGCCTCAGGAGCCCCTGTCCTCTCTTAGAAAGTATGAACTCAAGTCACACAAAGACACGGAAACAATTAGTCTTAATGGCAGGAGAGAAAGTAGCTGAGTCAACAGCATAATGGTGGTAGGGTAGACTCTTTAATGGCTCTATCTTCCTCCCATCCTAGTATGCATGCCCCTTTGCAATGTGACGTTTCTCCTTCTCACGTGCAAACATGAGGTCTATTTCTCAAAACCTTTCAACCTAGGCTGGCCTTTTAACTTGCTGTGACCAACAGAATGTGGTGGAAGTGATATTATGCAAGTTCTGAAGCCTAGGCCTCAAGAGATATTCCAGTATTTCTTTGACCTCTTGGATTGCTGCTCTGAGAATAGTAATCTGTGTAGAAGCTTAAGGTGAAAGACAACATGGAAACTGAGACAGAATAGGGACAGGGTTTGGCTTTAGCTCACCCCAAGAGCATCCTTTCATGATTCCCACTGATCACAAAATCCACACCACTACTTCACTGACACTATTTCCGCTAATAGTCGTATACAGAAAATAGCCAGTCTATATTGTTCTTTTGTGCACTCCTAATGTTTAACCATGCCTTTTACTTAAAGAATTCCAGAAACTGGTTTAGATCTAAAATCGAACAAAGGTTGCAGAGTGTCTCACCTGGGAAAGGAATGCTGAACAATAATTGATGTACAGCCTCGTTGCCGCTGGCCAGACCACCAGGTGGCCCATTACTCAATATAAGCACTGCAACTAGATATGGGAACCTGTATACCCTGCCCCTACATGTTCTGCCCAGCCCAGCCTTCATACCCTACCCCTGATGTCAATTCCCACACTTTGCCTGATAAAAAAAAAATTCCCTACAGGCTTTTTTCAGAGTCAGCTGGAGGATCCTTGCGCCTCTGTTGTTTCCCTTGTTTTCTCTCTCTTTTTTTTTTTTTTTTTTTTTTTTTTTGAGATGGAGTTTCGCTCTTGTTGCCCAGGCTGGAGTGCAATGGTGCAATCTCAGCTCACCGCAACCTCCGCCTTCTGGGTTCAAGCAATTCTCCTGCCTCAGCCTCCTGAGTAGCTGGGAAGCTGGGATTACAGGCATGCGCCACCACGCCAGGCTAATTATGTATTTTTAGCAGGGGGTTTCTCCATTTTGGTCAGGCTGGTCTTGAACTCCCGACCTCAGGTGATCCACCCACCTCGGCCTCCCAAAGTGCTGGAATTACAGGCGTGAGCCACCGCGCCCAGCCTTTCCCTTGTTTTCAAGCACAAGCCCAGAAAAAAAAGGCTTGTCTGGGAAATCTGCTTGTTCCCCTGTTAATTTCCATTACATGGGGAGCCAAAGAGCCTGTGGTGTGTAACTAAACCATGCCAACTGTCCCAGCTAAATCCGTCCCCCTGCAACCCCCTAGCTGAATGTAGCTGCATGAGTGAGCCCAGGTGAAATAAGTAGAACTGCCCAAATGACCCACAAAATCATAAGGAATAATAAATGGTAATTAATTTAAACTAAGTTTGGGATTGTTTATTACTGTGTGACCTCAATGTAAGGAAACAAGAGACTGAGGGGCCCTAGAGAGAGGACTCCAGAGACCCCAGCTGACTACAAGTACCAACCATGATACATCTGAGTGGGGTCATCTTGGACTTTCTAACCCTCAACAGAACACAGCGGCATGAATAAGATCAGGCAAAACAGCACAGAAACCACCTAGTTGGTCTATAGAATCTTGAGGAATAATAAATAGTGACTTCTCTCTCTCGCTCCCATATTTTGTCTATTGGCAAATTGTGCTGGCTCTATTTTCAAAATACACGCTGAATAGGATCACTACTCATCAGCTCTAACGCTACCTACTGGACCAAGCCATCATCTATAATGTGGGTTATAAAATGGTCTCCTAACAAGTCTTTTTGGAATGATTAAAACATCTTCTATCTTGATTGTGGTCAAATTCATCAAGCTGTACACTTTTTATGGGTAGATTTTATTGTATTAATAACTAATGCTTCAAAAGTCCTGACTTAAAAAAGTAACATGAAACCACTCAAGCTTTCAAGTCATTTTCAAAGCACAATAAATCCATGTTAAACCAACTGCATATTTTTTAAGACAAGTGCAAAATAACCTTTGGTATGAAATAAAGGGGCAAAACCAGCTATAGAAACATCAAATTTTACTCTAAATAAGCAAATGCATGTACAAGTCACACTCTTTCTGAGAAGCTGATAGAACATAATTATAATAAACATAGGGAGAAAACTTAATAAGCTGATATAGGCAGAAATCTCTTTATTAAATGATCCTGTATATCATAGGAAGCAATTCAAGGAGCAGCTACTATCATCAGCCAGTGCTCTCAGTTTGCTTTACGGTTGAATGAAAAGGCTGATATGCAGACTTTGAATAAGTTGTTGACATATTTGCAATACATATTTGAAAGAGAAGGACTTAACCAACTTTTGTTCTCTTTAACTAAAGAGCTTTTGACCAGGCATGGTGGTTCACGCCTGTAATCCCAGCACTTTGGAAGGCTGAGGGGGGAGGATCACTTGAGTCCGGTAGTTGGAGACCAGCCTGAGCAACAAAGCAAAATCCCATCTCCATAAAAAATAGAAAAACAGCCAGGTGAAGCTACTCAGGAGGCTGAGGTAGGAGGATTACTTGAGCCCGGGAGGTCAAGGCTGCAGTGAAAGGTCATTGTGCCATTGCACTCCAGCCCGGGTAACAGAGTGAGACCGTGTCTCAAAAAAAAATGAAAAAGAGTGAGGAAGGCTTTTGAAAATTTACTTATTATTTTGCAAGCCATAATGTAAATAGAAAAAAAATGTAATCAGTATGATAAAGCACCAGAAATGAGTGCAGCAAAGAAGGAGCTTTGCTTGGAATTACAGTTGCACCCACTATTCACAGAAATAGGGGATGGTCAACAAAATGCCTCCTGGTCTTGACTCAGTGTTGGAGAAACGAGTAAATATAGCCAAATTGCAACTACCTAATCAGTCCTTTCAGCACCTTGGCAAGGTCTAAGAATGCCTGGCTGCTTTTCCAGTCACGAACACTGGCTATCAGTGATGGGGGATATACTGTGACCTACCTGTCAGTATCAACTCTAGATTTATTCCTTTCTAGTTTAATTCTGGGCAGCAAGATACCCAACCCGTCTTATATCTTGGGATGACCAATAATACCTAAGCAGAAGGTCTTGAAGGACCTCCGTAAAAGCTCTTTTTAAAAGGGCCATAATGCTGACATGACTTTTTGCCATTTTGCTTCCCTCTCTTTCTTTTTGATGGGGGAATCTGAGAGCTGGAGCTGCATCAATCCATGCATCATGAAGTGACCTTGAGGATATAAAGGATGGTAGAGAAGAAAGATAGGAGCCTGAATTCTTGCTGATACACGAAGGTGACAAAAGAGCCCTGGGCCGGGCGCGGTGGCTCACGCCTGTAGTCCCAGCACTTTGGGAGGCCGAGGCGGGCGGATCACGAGGTCAGGAGATCGAGACCATCCTGGCTAACACGGTGAAACCCCGTCTCTACTAAAAATACAAAAAATTAGCCGGGCGTGGTGGCGGGCGCCTGTAGTCCCAGCTACTCGGGAGGCTGAGGCAGGAGAATGGCGTGAACCCGGGAGGCGGAGCTTGCAGTGAGCCGAGATCGCACCACTGCACTCCAGCCTGGGCGACAGAGCGAGACTCCGTCTCAAAAAAAAAAAAAAAAAAAAAAAAGAGCCCTGGATTGCCACCTTAGGGGGTTCTATAACTAGAAAGAAAAAAATAAGCCTTATTATCCCATCTAAATCTGCTTTTTTTGTTTTTGTTATTATGTAGGCTAATTCTAACCTACATAAATGAAAAATACGCTTTTTTTTTTTTTTTGGTAGACAGGGTCTCGCTCTACCACGCAGGTTGGAGTGCAGTGGCATGATCTTGGCTCAGTGCAACCTCTGCCTCCCAGGATAAAGCAGTCCTCCCACCTCAGTCTCCCAGCACCTCAGCCTCCCAAGCAGCTGGAACTACAGGTGCACGCCACCATACCAGCTAATTTTTTTTTCTATTTTTTGTAGAGACGAGGTTTAGTCATGTTGCCCAGGCTGGTCTTGAACTCCTGGGCTCAAGTGATCTTCCCACCTTGGTCTCCCAAACTGTTGAGGTTACAGGCGTGAGCCCACACCTGGCAAGAATACACATATATTAAAATAAAGATTAAAGATCACTCTGATTTTCTCAGTGGCTTACTCAAGGAAATTATTTCAATGATAAACTAAGTTCCTCAAATGACCTGAACTTATCACTTCAGTTCTAAAATATAACATTTAATATTAAAGATAAGAGTCAATTCTCACATAGCCTCCTCAGATCAGTTCAATCAAGATGTGGTATTGGCTGGGTGCATGGCCCACACCTGTAATCCCAGCACTTTGGGAGGCCGAGGTGAGCAGATCACCTGAGGTCAGGAGTTTGAGACTAGCCTGGCCAACATGGTGAAACCCTGTCTCTACTAAAAATGAAAAAAAAAAAAAAAAAAAATTAGCTGGGAGTGGTGGTGCATGCCTGTAACCTCAGCTACTTGGGAAGCTGAGCCACAAGAATCACCTGAACCTGGGAGGCAGAGGTTGCAGTGAGCCAAAATCACATCACTGCACTCCAGCCTGGGCAGCAGAGACTCTGGCTCAAAAAAAAAAAAAAAGTGGTGCTATGGTCCCCACAGGAACTGGCTTACACTCTACTTAAAAGCCCAATTGTTATCTCCAAGTTCTAACCCCTCTTTACCCAGGCAATCTCAACCTCTGAGCTATTTCTAAGAGCAGAACAATCAAATAGGCTGCTATGATTGTTAAAATCCCAAGCCACCTCATATAAAGAAGTTTCATCACTCCTGAATCATAGGTCTTGTATTAATTACAATAAATACTCCTAAGTATTATTACCCAAACCCTGAAATCTCAGTGGCTTAACAAATAAAATTCAATGTGGGTCAGGAGTGTGGCAAATACTCCCCGATGCAGTCATTTGGAGACTCAAGCTCATTCCATCAAACATCTCAATCTCCTCTGTTGAATCCTTTCTGCATCTTGTCAACTAAAGAAAAGAAAAAGCAAAGAAGAGTGCATGGGAGATATTTCAGGGTCTTGGAAATGACATACATCAGTTCCTCACACATTTCATTAACCAGACAATAGGTATATGGCCCCACACAGCTGAAAGGATGCAGGGAAATGCAGTCTAGCTGTATGCTAAAAAAGAAAAAAAAATTAAGACAACAGGGTATTTTGGTTAGCATTGCTGTTACAAATTACCCCAAAACTTGGTGACTTTATTATCACTCCATTTCTGTGGATCAGGAATTTGGGAGATTCGACAGGTGTTTGTACTGTGGGGTCTTTCTCATGAGGTTGCAGTCAGATGCTAATCAGGACTGCAGTCATCTTGAAGGCTCAACTGGGGCTGGGGAGGGTCTGCTTCCAAGATGGTTTATTTGCATAGCTGACATATTGCTGGCTGTTGGCAGGCCTGAGTTCCTCTCAACATAACGCCTTTCCAGTGGGCTGCTTGAGGGTCCCTGGCCATAGCAGCTGGCTTTCCCAAGTAACTTAGTCTGTTCTGGCTGCTAGGAAAGAATACCATAGCAGCCTGGGCAACATGGTGAAAACCCATCTCTACAAAAAACACAAAAATTACCCAGTGTGATGGTATGAACCTGTAGTTCCAGGTACTCAGGTGGGAGGATCACCTGAGCCCAGGGAGGTCGAGGCTGCAGGGAGCCATGATCATGGCACTGCACTCCAGCCTGGGTGACAGAGTAAGAAAAACCCTGTTTCGGGGGAAAAAAAAAGAATACTATAGACTTGGGTGGCTCATAAACAACAGCAATTTATTTCTCACAGTTCTAGAGGATGGGAAGTCTAAGATCAAGGCACTGGCAGATTCAGTATCTGGTGAGCCCACTTCCTGGTTTGTAAGGACTTTATTCTCATTGGGTTCCCACATGGTGAAAGGGGCAGGAGCTCTCCAAAGTCTCTTTCATAAGGGCACTCATCCCACTTATAAAAGCTCTGGCCTCATCATTTAATCTCCTAACAAAGACCCCACCTCCTAATACCATCACATTGGAGGTTAGAATTTCAACATACGAATTTTGGGAAACATAAATATTCAGTCAATAGCAGTGAGCAATCCAAGAGACTACAGTGTAAGTCATAATGCCTTTTGTGATGCAGCCTCAGAAATCACACTATCATTTGTACCATACTGTTTATTACGGACCAGTTCAGATTCGATGAGAAACACAAGGGTGCAAATACCAGAAGTGAAGATCCTTGTGGGCTATCCTGGAGACTGGCTACCACATGAGGTTTGGTGAATATATGCCACAAGACAGTTTTGGGCAGAGAGGTCACAGACAGAACCAGCAAGACAACTTGGTGGTTGTCTATCTGATTTATTAACACCAGCTTAACTAAATCAGTGGGAAAGACAATATGCATGATAAAAGCCCAGCCAACCCTCTTATACATAATACAAATGCATCTCATTATTTCATTCTTTACTGTGGCACAAATCCCTCCAAAACTCCTCCCTACACCTTCCCTCAACATAAAATAAAAAGTCATAAAAGTACTAGGAAAGGCCGGGCGCAGTGGCTCACGCCTGTAATCCCAACATTTTGGGAGGCCGAGGCGGGTGGATCACCTGAGGTCAGGAGTTCGAAACCAGCCTGACGAACAAGGAGAAACCCCGTCTCTACTAAAAATACAAAATGGTGGCACATGCCTGTAATCCCAGCTACTCAGGAGGCTGAGGCAGGAGAACTGCTTGAACCTGGGAGGCAGAGGTCACAGTGAGTTGAGACTGCACCATTGCACTCCAGCCTGGGCAACAAGAGCGAGACTCAGCCTCAAAAAAAAAGTACTAGGAAAAAAAGAATAATATTTTAAAATCCTCTTAGGGTGGGAAAGGCTTATGAAATAAATTTAAGATGGATGTATTAACCATATAAACATTTTAAACACCATAAACAAAGTAAGGAGACAAATGACAAATTGGGAAAAAATTATGTGTTGCACATAAAAAGCCAATTTCCCTCCTCTCCCCACCTCCAAAAAAAAAAAAAAAAACTATTTTAAAAAATCACTAACAGGAAATAAAATTTTAAGAAAAACAACTCAATTAAATGTGTCAAAACCCTACAGCAATCTTTTTAGAGATTAAAAATGGAAGGATGGGCACAGTGGCTCACACCTGTAATCACACCTGTAATCCCAGAACTTTGGGAGGCCAAGGTGGGTGATCACCTGAGGTCAGGAGTTCGAGACCAGCCTGGCCAACATGGTGAAACCCCATCTCTACTAAAAATACAAAAATTAGCTAGGCATGGTGGTGTGCGCCTGTAGTCCCAGCTACTTGGGAGGCCAAGGCAGAATTGCTTGAACCTGGGAGGCAGAAATTGCAGTGAGCCAAGATCGTGCCACTGTATTCCAGCTTGGATGACAGGATGACTATCTCACAAAAAAAAAAAAAAGGAAAAAACCTGTAAGTATGAAGAGAATGAGAGAAGAAACAAAAAAAAATTATTAAATTTTGGAAGCTGGAAAGTGCCTACACAAAGGAAAGCAAAGAAGCAAAGCTATTAACCTTGTATTAAATAGAACCTTAGAGGCCGGGAGTGGTGGCTCACACCTGTTAATCTCAGCACTTTGGGAGGCCAAGGCAGGCGGATCACCTGAGCTCAGGAGTTCGAGACCAGCCTAGCCAACATAGTGAAACCCCATCTCTACCAAAAATACAAAAATTAGCCGGGCATGGTGGCACACGCCAGTAATCCCAGCTACTCGGGAGGCTGGGTGAGGCAGAATCACTTGAACCTGGGAGGTGGAGATTGCATTGAGCTGAGATCGCACCACTGCACTGCAGCCTGGGCAAAACAGCGAGACACTGTCTCAAAAAAAAAAAAAATTTAAAAAAACAGAACCTTAGAAAGGCCAGGGTACATGGTGAGACTAAAAACAAAAGGTTGGTTGTCGGTCTACATGAAAACCCAGACCCTGACAAGTTCCCTTTCCTACTCTATATGACGTAGCCAGATTCGTGCACAACTTAAATACGTTTATTAATGTGTGCATACACATTTAGAACAGTGGGGTTTCAATTGGAAAAATGAATTCTAGGTAAAATGTTTTCAAGTCTTTATAATATTCAGATGGGGTTTAAACAGCAAGGAAATACCAATGTATGGCTTTACATGGTCATCAAAGATTGTGTGACAAACCTACTTTCATCCCTTCCAAATTACGCCCAGAGTCCAGGGGCAATGTGGGCTGAACATAAAGCACTGTTTCTAAACCCAAAATGGTCAATTTCCTATGTTCTTAGAAAATGTGAGAATTAGCTTAAAAATCTAAGTTGGACCTATTTTAGCCTGGAAAGATATTTCGAAGTTAAAGCTAAATTTATAAACTCTCATTATTTGTCTTCAAAGACTAGTAACACCATTAAAACAATGCGATGTTCATATGTTGAGTCCTCCTTGGGAAGAAAAAGCAAGAAACATCCAAAATTATAAACCCACCTTCACATATTCCAACAAATATGTTTTTAAAATAACAAATCAAACGCAACACTCAGAGAGACTATAAGCCATGCAACAATGTCTTTTATTATGTATGCGGTTTTAAAATTATTTCTTGAATCTCTCCATACACAGGCAAAAATAAGTGTGTTACTTAACATACTGGAAATTGCCTAACTTAATCATTGCCTAAAGAAGAGAAAATTATCCCCAAAACGTGCTTAACCAGGAGGCCAATGCATTTGCCGACCTCCAAGAACATGGAGATGAACGTGATAGACAGACTGTCCACCATCTGAACCTTCATTCACCACCATTCGATAACCCTTATTCAGGCCCAGATCAGCAGCACATTTCTTGCCAACAATCATTAAGTGTCCAAGAAGCTGGAAAAGGAAAAAAAGTTTCTTAGGCACAGGCAATTTATTACTTCTTGCCATTAAATAACAAACTGTCAAGCTGAAATATCAAATCTTAAAACTCTCATTGAAACACAACCCTTTGAGCAAATATTTGGAAACTCTTAATCCCAACAGAGCATAATCTACAACTGGAGACTCATTAAGATTAGGTATTTATCATTACTAATTTCAAGAAACAAATTAGAAATAAAATCTGCTGTTCAATTAAACTTTTTTTTTTAAGAGATGGGGTCTTGCTCTGTCACTCAGACTGGAGTGCAGTGGCACGATCTCAGCTCACTGCAGCCTCGACCTCCCAGGTTGAAGTGATCCTCCTGCCTCACCCACCCAAGGAGCTGGGACTACAAGCACATGCCACCACACCCGGCTAATTTTTGTATTTTTTTGTTGAGATGGGGCTTCTCCAATGTTGTCCAGGCTGGTCTCGAACTCCTGCGCTTGGGCAATCTGCCCACCTTAACTTCCAAAGTGCTGGGATTACAGGCACAAGGCACTATGCCCAACCAAAAAAAAAACTTAATTATATTCCAAGTGCTGTTTTAAGTTTTCTTAATAAAGCAAGACATCTTGCTTTCTTTATGACTTCCTTATGACCATTATGGATTTTCCTTTGAACACTACCAGATCTATTGCATTGTCGGGACTTGCAGGATCCTGTGGCAAATACCTAGTCTCGCTCTGTGTCATCCTGTTTGTTTTTTGGTTCTATCTACAGTCAATTTGTCTCTATTTACACATGGAGTCTATTTGTATGTTGCCAGCTTTCTTCCCTAATAAAAGTTAAAGGGGAGAAGGTTGCCAAGAGAAAAGAACTTTAACTCCCATTTCACTGCTTATGCTTTCCCATTATGAGAGAAAAAAGTTGGGAGGGTTAACTTCAACATTCTAAAAAGCTCTCAGGAAAGGGAACTCCTTTAATTCCTTTGGCAAGAAAAGAGGGAAGGGAGAGAGTCTTACATTTCTATTCCCATTACCTTATTAAGCCCCAGGACAGTGGACTCTGCTTACCTTACTCATGCAGTAAGGTCCATTGTACAGATGGACAATGGACAAAAATTGTAAGTTGGGGAAATTATGATTTTTCAACTTTACAATGGTGTGGCGATATGCATTCAGGAGAAACCATACTTCGAATTCTGATCCTTTTCCAGACTGGTGATATGCAGTAAAATACTCTTACATGAGATATTCAACACTCTGTTACAGAATAGGCTCTGTATTAGATGATTTTGCCCAACTGTAGGTTAACGTTAAGTGTTCCGAGCAAGCTTAAGTTAGACTAGGCTAGGCTATAATGTTCAGTAAGTTAGGTGTCTTACACGCATTTTCAACAGACATACAATATTTTCAACTTATGATGGGTTTATCAGCATGTAAGCCCATCTTAAGTTGATGAGCATCTATATAAAATTTTGTACAGCAGATACCTATATTGGTCACAACATTTAATTATGAATTAGCACGGTTTTAAAGCTGGTTCAGTAAACGTTTCCTGGCCAACAACTGTCTTCTAAGTAAAAGAGATGACCTTAAAACACTAATTTAGAATGTTAACTGAGTAAAAATTAACATTTTATTGTCCTTACAGAAAAGAGCTGCATTTGAGTAAGAAGCTCTGACCTTAAAATGCCATGACTGTCTAATTATACTAAATGTTAAAAATTTGTATTCTGGGGCTGGGCGTGGTGGCTGACACCTGTAATCCCAGCACTTTGGAAGGCTGAGGCGGGTGGATCACGTGAGGTTGGGAGTTCGAGACTAACCTGACCAACATGGAGAAACCCCATCTCTACTAAAAATACAAATAAGCCAGGCGTGATGGCATGCCTGTAATCCCAGCTACTCAGGAGGGCAGGGGAATCGCTTGTACCCAGGAGGCAGAGGTTGCGGTGAGCCGAGATCGTGCCATTGCACTCCAGCCTGGGCAACAAGAACGAAACTCCGTCTCAAAAAAAAAAAAAAAAGAAAAAAATGTATTCTGAGGGTTTAATGTTATTGCATATAAGACGGTATTTTACCATTAAGTACTCGCTCTAATCTTTGAACTCTGTGATTTGTACAAATATATTGAATTAAAAATTAATGCCTTGAAGTTTCTAAGTTTCAGAAATAATGTCTCACTTTAAAAAGGTATCCCCAAGTAAATACAACTGACCCTTGCACAACATGGGTTTGACCCGTGCAGGTCTACTCATATGCAAATTTTCTTCTGCCTCTGCCACCCCTGAGACAGCTACAGCTAGACCAACCCCTCGTCTTCCTCAGCCTACTCAACATGAAGATGACAGGGATGAAGACCTTTATGATTCACTCGACTTAATAAATAGTAAATATATTTTCTCTTCCTTATGATTTTCTTAATAACCTTTTCTCTAGCTTACTTTAAGAATATAATAGGCCAGGAACGGTGGCTCACGCGTGTAATCCCAGCACTTTGGGAGGCCGAGGCGGGCGGATCACGAGGTCAGGAAATCGAAACTATCCTGACTAACATGGTGAAAGCCGTCTCTACTAAAAATACAAAAAATTAGCCAGCCTTGGTGGCGGGCGCCTGTTGTCCCACTACTCGGGAGGCTGAGGCAGGAGAATGGTGTGAACCAGGGAGGTGGAGCTTGCAGTGAGCCGAGTGCCACTGCACTGCAGCCTGGGCGACAGAGCAAGACTCTGTCTCAAAAAAAAAAAAAAAAGGTAATAGCAAGTGTTGATAAGGATACGGAGAAGCTGGAACGCTCATTCATTGCTGGTGGGATACAAAATGATGCAGTAACTTTGGAAAACAGCTGGGCAGTTGAAGTCCTAATGGTTTTTCTGGTTTTTCCTTAGTAATGACCTTAGGAAGATGAAAATGTGACAGCACTTTAAGGACAAAATTAATCTCACAATTTAAAAAGCAAGAAAATAAATCATGTTAGAAATGTACTTACACTTTCATCATCATCTTCTGCCACAGAAATCTGGGATATATGTTTCTTGGGTATCACCAGAAAATGTGTTGGTGCTTGAGGGGAAATGTCATGGAAAGCAAGGCACTAGGGAAAAGAGAAATAAATAAATAAATCAAACTTTTAGTATATTGGTAGGATAAAACTTATTTCAACAAGTATTTACTGAGCAGTAACTACATGGAGGGCACTAGATGCTAAGAAAACAGAAGTGTACACATTACGAATGGTGCCGTGGTCCTTTCCATGGAAGTCTTTTTTTTTTTGAGATGGAATCTCACTCTGTCACCCAGGCTGTAGTGCAATGGCATGATCTCAGCTCACTGCAACCTCCGCCTCCTGGGTTCAAGTGATTCTCTTGCCTCGGCCTCCCAAGTAGCTGGGATTACAGGCACGTGCCATCATGCCCAGCTAATTTTTGTGTTTTTGTAGAGACGGGGTTTCACCATGTTGTCCAGGCTGGTCTCGAACTCCTGACCTCAGGTGATCCACCTGCCTCGGCCTCCCAGAGTGCTGGGATTACAGGCGTGAGCTACTGCACCCGGACTCCATGGAAGTCTTATGGGAAGACCAACTTTAAAAGTATAATCACCAAAGGTCATACATGTTACAAAGGAAAAATATGAATGATCATTACAGGAAAAGCCTGATTTAGATTAAGTGTTTAAGAACAACTCTGAGGCAGTGACATTTAAACTGGGAGCCAATGAATGCATAAAAATTGGCCATGCTAATCCTTGCCTGCCTCTCCAGATCTCCTGCAGGTCTTCACATGGAACTGGCCTTCTGAGCTCTCTGCCCTCAGAGCTTTTTCAATGATCCTCTCCCCCTCCAAACCCCAACTTCCGTCTAATTTAAACTGCTAGTCATTCCGCCATTCCATTCCCAGCACATACATGATTTCTGGGAGAAAAAAGAAAAAACAGAAAAAAACCTCTGATTGCCCTCCCCGTCCCATTACTCCCAGGTCAGAGTCCTAGTTGTGCAATTTCCTGGTTTTTTTTTTTTCTTTATGATAGCAATCAGTTTTGTAACTACATATTTGTCTGATACTTGATTAATATCTATTCTCACTTTACTCAACTATTTAAGAAATATACCTATCCTTTTGTGTAAAGCTGAAGAGTATATATATGATATTCTTTAGCATTTAGACTAATTATTTAAAACAGTGTCTGTAAATACACATATGACATGAATATTTTCGAATCTCTTGCTCACTGCTGAAGTGAAAGCTGTTTTAATAAAACCCATCCACACTTATTTGTCTCAGGAGTAATTCTACTGGGTACTCCCTACAAAATGCTGATTCATTTAGAATGCTTCCTGCCGTTCTACAGTTGGACTTCGGTGGTTCAAATGTAAATTTTTCAAGAACCATTTCTCAAAGGCAACTGCGAACTTTAAAAAGAAATATTTTTTCTAAAACCAAAGAATTTCCCCTGAGTAGAGACAAAGTATTTTTTTTTTTAATTTACCTAGAGGAACCTAATTAAATTTTTGATAACGTTTTGAATCTAACCGACATTAGTAGAATAAATGTTTTTCTTAGATTTTATATTTCCTAAATTTAACAAAACTGTTTACAAAATTTGTTCTATCTAAATCAGCCAATCTGCCCAGCTTTATCTGAGATCCAATCCCAAAAATACAACTGGCCACTAAATAATTTACACAAGATATCTCAAAGTCACATCAACTGGGATTTCACCTACAAGAAGTCAACAAAAACTACAGTCTTAGTCTCTTGGCATAAAATTACTTCCTGTTGAATACAAAAAGAATCATTCAGCTGTTTGTAAGTCCAAAATGTTCAGCGGGAGAGGTCAACGGAAAGCAAATCCCAGACGCGGGCCCACTTCTTATCTCAGGAGATCGCCTCGCTAGCCCAGGGTAGGCCTTGGGGTGGAGATAGGGATAGGGGTAGGGGTGAGGGTGGCAAGCCGCACCCCGCGGAGGAAGCCGGCAGGCCCAGACGGCCCGCGCACCTCCCAGCGCCCCTGGGGCCCTCGAGCACAATGCCTTGCTGAGCAGCGCCCAGGAACGCCGGGCCCTGGCAGGCCGGCTGTGCGCGGGAGATCGCGGAGATTGGGCCTGAGTCAGGGCGCGATCGGGTTTCTCTCTGTCAGGCAGAGCGCTGGCGAGATTTCGAGATTCCTGATACAGGCAAGGTCCGAGGCAGCCGGGGAACCGGCGGGCTTCCACGCGGGGGCCCCAGTGCGCCCCGACACGCGCCCAGGCCCCGCGGTGCGGCACTCAGGGCGCCCGGCGGCCTGGCCCGCGCCCGGGGCAGATAACGAGTAACCGGAGCGCCGGCACGCGCCGGCAGGCCGCCTCGGAGTGCCCGGGCCCTGTCCGCTGGCTGGGGGCCCGCTGGACCAGGGCAGCCAGGTCCCCTCCCGTCGCCGCTACACTCGCGACCCCTCCTCTCCCTCCGCGAGAAACCCGAGGATCCGCGGACGATACCCACCTCAGCAGGCGAGAGAGGTGGTGCCCAGTACCTACCCGGTCATCCTCAAAAATGATTTTGGCTGGTATTTCCTTGCGGATGATCTTCCCAAAGATCGTGTCGCCACCAGGCCGAGCGACCTGAGCCTTGGCAATCTCATCTGCCATCTCGGCCTCTCTCCCGCGCGGCGGCCAGAGGAGAGGCTCGGAAGAAGGGAGGAACCCGCAGAGCGTGCGGCGCGAGAGGGCGCAGCCAAGCCTGCGCAGGTGCCCCGGCTCTGGCGCCCCACCTAATCTTGCGCGTGCGCACTGGCGACCTGGGCTGCGAGTGCGGCCAGCGCGCTAGAGCGCCTCAGGGACCTCCGGCTTGGGGAAGTTCCTGGTCTTGAGCTCCAAGGAGATTCCTAAGTCGTTTTTCTATCCTCCTTTCTTGTCTCCTGGGGAATGCAGTTACTGGTATAAACCCTTCGTCTGCCTATGGATGCTTGTAGGGAAAGTTGGATACTGTAACTGACAAGATTTGATAATTTAAGTGGTGCTGGCTGCAACTTAGCACTTAGATTATTTAAGGTCTTGCTGCTGCAGCAGATTTTAAGTCCTCTCTTCAACAGAGTTTTTTTCTCTCTCTACCAGTGGTTCTCAATCTTGACTACACATTAAGATCACTTGGGGAGCTTTTAAAAATCCCCGTGAACCTGGCTGCAGCCCAGATCCATTAAATAAGAATCTTTGGAGATGAGCCCCAGGCATCAGTAGTTTGTAAACCTCCCTAGACTGCTCTGCAAAGAATTTTTCCCAGCAGCAATCAACATAATGTATTAATAAAATGACCCACTTTAAAAAAAAAAACCTTCCTTAATCCCACATCCCCCTCCGTATCTTTGCTCGTTTTATAAAGAAGTTTTCTACATACCATGTCTGCTTTCTTATCTTTCATTTTTGAGTCCATTTCCCTCTTGTCAAGGTCACTAAGGACATCCATTTATAAAATCCTATAGACAATTACAGTTATCATACCAGACCTCTAAGTGTACGTATTAAGAAAAAGTATACCTCCTCAATGCCTTTTTTTTTTTTAGATAGATTCTTGCTCTGTCGCCCAGGCTCGACTGCAGTGGCACAATCTCGGCTCATTGCAACCTCTGCCTCCCGAGTTCGAGTGATTCTCATGCCTCAGCCTCCCAAGTAGCTAGGACTACAGGCGCGCACCACCACACCTGGCTAATTTTTGTATTTTTAGTAGAGACAGGGTTTCCCCATGCTGGCCAGGCTGTTCTCAAACTTCTGACCTCAGGTGTTCCACCCGCCTCAGCCTCCCAAAGTGCTGGGATTACAGATGTGAGCTCAGCTGCCTTTTATGATTACATTACTACCCTTGTCTTGGCAAAATTATTGAATGTGGTTGCCTTTAATCTCAAAAGTGTCCATTTGGTACTTTTGCTATCAAAGACATTACTGGGACAATTCGTAAAATCTAAATAATGCCTATAAATTAGATAATAGTTTTGAAGTCATGTTAATTTCCTTTCATAACCACAGAAAAATTGTCAAAATCAGTTGATCTGGGGTGGGGCCCTACAAGTTAGGTTTCTAACTTTCCAGGTGATACAGTTGCTGCTGGCCCGGGAACCATACTTTAAGAACTACTGATACAAGGGAATGTCTTTGTAGGAAAAACCCACTGAAGTATTTAAGGCTATGGGTATCATGTCCGCAACTTACTTTCAAATAGTTCAGAGAAAAAGTGTCTGTCTATAGGTAATTAGAGAAATAGAAAAGGATAAAGCAATTACAATAAAATGTTAACATTTGGAGAATCTGACTGAAAGGCATATGCAAATTCTATGTATTATTCTTGCAACTTTTATGTGTCTGAAATTGTCAAAATAAAAAAATGTGTGCTGGTTTGGATAATAAATAACATGGTCAGCTTTCATTCCATCTGAAGGCTTTACCATCTATAGAGTAGTGACTCTCAAGTATTTGTCTCTTGACCTACCTCTTCCCTTAATTCCAGACTGGTCTGTGACATACATTACAGCCTATTGACCACCTCCACTTAGATGGCTACCAGGCACTGCAATTTTATTTTGACTCCCTCCACAACAAACAAACCAAAACCTCCTTTTGCAGGATTCTGTATCTGCTGTACCACCATTCACCCAGTCACTCCAGCCAAAAAGCCTTGAAATCATCCTTAAACCTTCTCTCTGTACTTTCAACACACATCACCAAGGATCTAATCACTTATCTCCTCTATCTCCACTACTCTAATCCAAGCTACTAACATCTCTTTCCTGGAGTACTTTGAAAGGCTCCTAGTTGGATAACCTATCTGCTTCCATTGTAGTTAATTTGCCACACAGCACCCAAAATGATCTTTATAAAATATAAATCATAATGTCACTCTCCTGCTGGTAATATGCTAGTGTATAACATCACAGAATAAAATCCAACATCCTTACCTTGGCTTATAGGGCCCTGTGTGATCAGGCCCATTGCTGCTGCTTCTACCTCATTTCTTTCCATTTCAACCTTATTGACTGGCATCACGCAAACTCAGTGTGCTAGGCAGAAGATGCCCATGTCCTAATCCCTGGAGCCTGTGAATATGTTACTTTACATGGTAAGTGGGATTTTGTAGATGTGATTAAGTTAAGGATCTTGGAATAGGGAGGTTCCTGCATTATCTAGGTGGGCCCAAAGTAATCACAACAGCCCTTGTAAGTGAAAGAGAGACACAGAAGAGTGAGAGTAAGAGAAGGAGATGTGACCACAGAGGCAGAGGTGAGAGTCTGAGATTTGAAAATGCTCGGCCGGGTGTGGTGACTCACGACTGTAATCCCAGCACTTTGGGAGGCCGAGGTGGGCTATCATGAGGTCAGGCGTTTGAGACCAGCCTGGCCAACATGGTGAAACCCTGTCTCTACTAAAAATACCAAAAATAGTTGGGCATGGTGGCAGGAGCCTGTAATCCCAGCTACTCGGGAGGCTGAGGCAGGAGAATCGTTTGAACCTGTGAGGCGGAGGTTGCAGTGAGCCGAGATCATGCCATTGCAGCCTTGGCAACAGGGTAAGACTCTGTCTCGAAAAAAAAAAAAAAGCTCCATTATTGGCTTTGAAAATGGAAGGAGTTGGGCCAGGTGCGGTGGCTCACGCCTGTAATCCCAGCACTTTGGGAGGCCAAGGCAGGCGGATCACGAGGTCAGGAGATTGAGACCATCCTGGCTAACATGGTCAAACCCCGTCTTTACTAAAAATATAAAAAATTCGCTGGGCGTGGTGGCAGGCGCCTGTAGTCCCAGATAATCAGGAGGCCGAGGCAGGAGAACGGCGTGAACACGGGAGGCGGAGCTTGCAGTGAGCTGAGATCAGGGAGGCGGAGCTTGCAGTGAGCTGAGATCATGCCACTGCACTCCAGCCTGGGCGACAGTAGGAGACTCCTTCTCAAAAAAAAAAAAAAAAAAAAAAAAAAAAGGAAAAGAAAATGGAAGGAGCCAAAAACAGGTAGCATTTTGTAAGTCAGAAGTCCAAATTGAGTTTCACTGAGCTAAAATCAAGTGTTGGCAAGGGTGCATTCCTTCTGGATGCTCTAGGGAAGAAATCATTTCCTCACCGTTTCCAATTTCTAGAGGAGGCTTGCTTGGTTTGTGGCCCCTTCCTCCATCTTCCTCCATCTTCAAAGCCAGCAGCAGAACATCTTCAAACTTCTCCCTGACTCTGCTTCCTTCTTTCACTTATAAGGATCCTTGTGATTACACTGAGTCCAGCACACAATCCAGGATAATCTTCCCATCTCAAAATACTTAATTTAATGACATCTTCAAAGCCTCTTGTCATATATAACATAGTCAGAGGTTCCGGAATCTCAACAGTTATCTTCTGGAGGCCATTATTCTGCCTACTACATAGCTCTGTGAACTTACATGATGAACATGCTGGAATTTCCTGTTCAGTTCTGCGACTTATACTTTGAGATGCAAACTTTAAAAAGACAATGAAATTTCAGAACCTTCCAAATTTATTAAGCCAAGGGGGCAAAGTTAAGCCTTGAAAACTGAGTCATGTAATACAGCTGTTTTTCTTCTCTGGTGCATGACTATTGTTGCTTCCCGACCTTTGTGTTGAGATGTTATACATTAATCAGACTCCCTATTCTTCGTTTCAAACCTGGACTACATAATATTAGAGCTGTAGACCCTTGTGATTGTTACTTTTTTACGATAGAATATTAAGCAACCACCTTAGAGTGTAATCAATACTAGCCAATCAGATCTTAAATCTGGATGTTATCCATTGTTTGGAAAATGTTGTAATTCTGTTTGGCATCTCCATTTTGTCTTATATAAACCATCTTCAATTTTCCTTACGCTGGAAGCACTGATCAGCATTCTTTGGTGTCTACATGTTCCCATATGACTGCCCTTACACTTTACAGTTGAATAAACCTTTTTAACTGGATCCTTAGCCTTTTGATTATTTTGGGGTGACAAGACAAACCAGGCCATGTTCCCAGAACAACTAGAATAGTGAAGAGCCCACCTCATATGTGGAACAGTTAAAGGAGACATGCAGATTTATTTAAGAAAAGAGGAGCCACAGAACTGAACTGATTCTGTCATTATAGAACTGTTTTAAAGTATCAGCAGATGAGGGACTTTGGTTAACTGAATTCAGGACAGTAGCTAGCAAGAAATCATCACAATAAGTTATGAATTTTCAGGAAGCTGCACTATGAGTCTACACTGAAAATGGGGGAGCGGGGACGGGGTATCTTTTAAATCACCGTCAGCATTCAGAAAACACAATGCAAGGTCCAAGATCATCTAGTTTATTGTTTCTCAGATAAAAGACAATATCCAGTATACTTGGTTTAATCGCTTCATTACGTTAAATGTTCTGCAAATCGAATGCATCTTAATTTTAAAAAATCGATTATCTTGTTATTCTCAGAATGACTTGCAATAATTCCTTAGAATAACATAGATCACAGAGAAAGAAAAGGGCCTTGGAAATCCATTGGTCCAGATCTTTCATTTTTAATAAGAAGTCAATTTTACCTAAAAGTTAACCTGAAAGGCTACACGGGTAGGGAAGGAGAACAATTATGCAATAGGAACAATAGGAAAAGGTTGTGGCGCGTTAGTAACGTGACTACAGAGTTTTTTCTTGATGCTTGCAAGGTCATAAGTTGAAACGCACTTAAATACTTATGATTGTTTCTAATTATGATGCTGCTGATTAATTACCCATTTCTGACCTCTTTATCAGCAAAACCAAGGAGTAGAGAGAGCTGAATAGGCAAAATGTAAAGGGTAAAACTAGGCTTTACGGTCAGGCATAGCGGATTTGCATCCCAGATCTCCATTTACTAAATGTGCGAACTTCAGCGAGTAATTTAACCTCACCTTCTATGGAAATAAATGAGAGAATATACGCATAAAATTTTTAGGAGTCAGTGTTCCAATCAATGCCCGCTGCAGCTGTTAGGACTTGGCTTTTATTTATGCACATTTCCAAAGAGATAGTCGCAACTGGGAAACGTTAAAATAAAGGTTCTTTTACAGACGATCCTATACCCTAAACAGGAGGTAACAAAACGCGGGTGCCGACGCCATCCACTATATACAAACCTAGTCCGCCTAGCAGACGATCCCTGCGCCGGAAGTGACTGTGCCCCTAACTAACATGGCGTCCAGGTGATTTCCGTTCTCTTCTGGCCAGTAATTGGGCTCTGCGGCTCCTCGCGATTTTACCAGTTCCCATCCGTTTAGCAAACGCCTTTAGCAAACGCCCGTTTAGCAAACGCCTCCTCCGTCCTTTGGAGGAGGGCGGGGCTAAAAGGGAGATGCTGCCTAGTGATTCGTTGTGGCGCATTAGTAACGCGACTACAGGGGGCTGGAAACAGTTCAGTCTTTGATTGGTTGCTGAGAGGCGGGGCTACTCGACTGCTCTGGAGGTAGCGGCCGCGGTGAGGAGAGCCATGGGACGGGCAGTCAAGGTGACAGGGCCCGGGAAGGGGTGGGTACGATGCCGTCGGGGAGGGTATGTTCGCGTCCTTGAGAAAACTGTCTGGAGTCTCTGGAGGCTGGGGCTCCTGACCCTTTATGGAGGATGTGGCTGTTACCCCAGAGAAGCCAGATGACCAACTCCTAGGGGCAGTTGAGGGTTTGTGCACGTGCGGAGGAGAGCGGGAGGCACCAGTGTGGTTCCTACTTCTTGGTACTAACTTGGTACTCAGTGTTTATCCATGATACAAATCTGCGACTTGAGTTCTGCCCTCGTTTCATCTTCAGACCGAGTATTTGTCTGAGGGACCCATTTCATATCCCTGGGAAGTATAGGAGACGCCAAAGGCTGACCTGAGCAACAGCAGTTCAATGAGGTGAAAGTTTATTCAGATAAACAGAAGGTGCACAGAAGTCTAGCAGCCAAGGAAACCGAACCCCAGCAAAGTTACTTGTCAAAAGTAACAGCAAGACAGAGCAGGGACTGGTGAGACCTGAGCTCACTGAATGAGCTTGGGATGTGATGGCTGTGCTCGGATTATACCTCTCTGAGTACCTACCTGGTCTCAGATTCATTTCTCACGCCCAAGCATGATGCACGTTCCTGCCCGGCGCACAATTCTCATTGGCAGCCATCCTTTAACGTTTAACATCAGCATGGCCAATTGGGATCTGTAGTTGTCACTGGCTGAAACATAAACATGAGGAAATAGCCTGCTATAATATGGTGAAGAAAAGCAGTGTTTATGTCTAGTCAATAATATGGGAACCACCAAGCAGCCTTCATGTACTTTTGTACATAATGTCACAGCACCAATAGAAACAGAATTGCTCAGGGTTATTCATTCAAAAATTTATTTGAATGTCCATAATAGCTATTATTATAGCCAACAACCAACATTTAGCCTATATTGTCTAAGCATAGTGGATGCAACAATAAGCTGAACATCCTTGCCTTCATAAAGAAATCTAGCAGGTGGGGAGACCTTAAACAGTTATTTAATTACAGTTGTAATAAATGCTTTGATTTGAAACTGCAGTGTTTTGTGAGCATATAACTAGGATTTCACATACGATCTCTCAAGGGGCTGGGTGCAGAGGCTCACACCTGTAATCCCAGCACTTTGGGAGACCGAGGCGAGAGGATCACATGAGGTCGAGAGTTCGAGACCAGCCTAGGCAACATGGTGAAACCCTATCTCTACTAAAGATACAAAAATTAGCTGGGCATAGGGGCGGGTGCCTGTAATCCCGCTACTCGGGAGGCTGAGGCACAAGAGTTTCTCGAACCTGGGAGGTGGAGGTTGCAGTGAGCCGAGACTGCGCCACTACACTCTAGCCTGGGTGACAGAGCAAGACTTCATCTCAAAAAATAAGTAAATAAATAAATAATCTCTCAAGGAAGTTCAGACCTGACGTTTGATTAGAAATTAGCTAGAGAAGAGAAAAAAGCATTCTAGAAAAGGCAACTAGCACATGGAAAGTCCTTGAAGTGGGGATTTGGTTGGAAAACTTGGATACAAATGGAATTAAGTAGGATTCATTCCAAAAACACTTTTGGTAGAGCCTACAATATATAGAAGGCACTTATGCTACATGTGGGAAGATACAAAGGTGACCAGTCCAACAAGGGTGACAACAAGATCCTACGTCCAAAAAAAAATAGGAAAGTGAAACCTAGCACAGAAATTATAACCCTTAAAATTAATCCATTATTCAAGAAAATTGAGGCAAAAAGGCTGTTACTTGTCCAAGCTTACATTAAGTGACAATCTCAGATTCAAACTCATCTGACTATAAAGAATCCACTTTTCATCTACACTGCCTGAATTGTCCAATCAGTATAAGTAAATGAGGAAGAGAATACAGTCTGTGACCTGGCTTTCTGCATTTTAATAAAAGTTTATCTGCTCCAAGGTAATGTTAACTCCAATAGTGCTATGGCAATAATGATAACATTTTCTTACACTAGTCCTCTTAAATTAGGGATGCTAATTTGTTGTACTAATGTTGTACTTTAAATAGCATGTAAAACCATTATGTTTACTTACTTCTCATTTTTTTAATCCCATGCAACATGTCTTCTCTGCTCTTGCAATATTAAAATCCCTGGGATTCTACGATGCTTGCAAAGCCCGTATTTTTACCAAGGCAATCCAGGCTTTTACTATCAAGCACCTCAGAGTTATTCCAGCCTCTACACATTACTCAATTCCAAAGCCACTTCCACATTTTTAGATACAGGCATACCTAGGTGATGCTGCAGGTTTGGTTCAAGCCCACGGCGACGAAGTGTATATTGCAGTAAAGCGAGTAATACAAGTTTTTTGGTCCCAGTGCATATAAAAGTTATGTTTACACTATAATGTAGTCTATTAAGTGTGCAGTAGCATTATGTCTTTAGAAAGTACATATGTTGGCTGGGAAAGGTGGCTCACGCCTGTAATCCCAGCACTTTGGGAGGCCCAGGTGGGCGGATCACAAGGTCAAGAGTTCGAGACCCATCTGGCCAACGCAGTGAAACCCCGTCTCTACTAAAAATACAAAAATTAGCTAGGCTTGGTGGCACTTGTCTGTAATCCCAGCTACGCTACTCAGGAGGCTGAGGCAGCAGAATCCCTTGAACCCAGGAGGCAGAGGCTGCAGTGAGCCGAGATCGCACCATTGCACTCCAGCCTGGGCAACAAGAGCAAAACTCCATCTCAAAAAATAAAAAATAAGGAAGTACATACCTTAAATAAAAAAATACTTTTTTGCTATAAAATGCTAACAATTATTTGAGCTTTCAGAAAGTTGTAATCTTTTTGCTGATGAAAGATCTTGCCTCGATGTTGATGGCTGCTAATTGATCAGATTGGTGGTTGCTAAAGGTTAAGATGACTGTGACAATTTCTTAAAATAGGACTACAGTAAAGTTGACCACATTGATTGACTCTTTCACACACAAAAGATTTATCTGTAGCATGCAATGCTGTTTGATAGCATTTTACCCACAGTAGAGCATCTTTCAAATTGGATTCAATCCTCTCAACCCCAGCCACTACTTTATCAACTGAGTTCATATAATATTCTAAATCCTTTGTTGTTATTTCAACAATGTTTACAGCATCTTCACCAGGGGTGAAGTGATGTGAGTGATGATCTTCATAAACTCAAGAATCCACTTTCTTTGCTCATTCATGAGAAGCAACTCCTCATGCATTTAAGTTTTATCGAGATTGCAGCAATTCAGTCACATCTTAAGGCTCCACTTCTTATCCTAGTTTCACTTGCACTTTCCACGTATCTGCAGTTAATTCCTCCACTGAAGTCTTGAACCCCTCGAAGTCATCCATGAGTGTTCAAATAAGTTTCTTCCAAATGCCTGTTATTGTTGCTATTTTGGCCTCCTCTCTTGAATTCTCTGAATGGCATCTGGAATGGTGAATCCTTCCCAGGAGGTTTTCAATTTACTTTGCCTAAATTCATCAGAGGAATCACTGTCTATGGCAGCTATAGCCTTATGAGTCTTTTAAATAAGACTTAGAAGTCTGGCTCACACCTCTAATCCCAGCACTATGGGAGGCTGAGGTGGGCAGATTGCTTGAGTCAGGAGTTCAAGACCAGCCTGGGCAACATGGCAAAACCTGTCTCTACAAAAAGTACAAAAATTAGCTCAATGTGTGGCATGCGCCTGTGCTCCCAGCAACTTTGGAGGCTGAGGTGGGAGGATCGCTTGAGCCCAGAAGATCGAGACTTCAGTAAGCCATGATCGTACCACTGCACTCGAGCCTGGGTGACAGAACAAGGCCCTGTCTCAAAAAAAAAGGACTTAAAAGCCAAAATTACTACTTGGCCTTGACCTGCGGGGCTGCAAAATGGATGTTGTATTGGCAGTCATGAAAACAATATTAATTTCCTTTTACATCTCCATCAGAGCTCTTGGGTGATGAGGTGTGTTGTCAGTGAGCAGTAATATTTTGAAAGGAATCTTTTTTTTTCTGAGCAGATCTCAACAGTGGGCTTAAAATATCCGCGAACCATGCTTTAAACAGATGCACTTTGTTGATTTGTAGAGCACAGGTAGAGTAGACTTAGCATAATTCTTAAGGGTCCTAGGATTTTGGAATGACAAATTATTGGCTTCAACTCAAAGTCACCAGCTTCAATCTCTTTTTTTTTTTTTTTTTTGGTGATGGAGTTTCGCTATTGTTGGCCAGGGCAGAGTGCAGTGGCGCAATCTCGGCTCACCACAACCCCTGCCTCCCAGGTTCAAGCAATTCCCCTGCCTCAGCCTCCCGAGTAGCTGGGATTGCAGGCATGCACCACCATGCCCGGCTAATTTTGTATTTTTAGTAGAGATGGGGTTTCTCCATGTTGGTCAGGCTGGTCTCAAACTCCTGACCTCAGGTGATCTGCCTGCCTTGACCTCCCAAAGTGCTAGGATTACAGGCATGAGCAACATGAGCAACCACGCTCGGCCTTTTTTGGGTGTGTTTGTTTGTTTTGTTTTGTTTTGTTTTGTTTTGAGACAGGGTCTCACTCTGTCACCCAGCCTGCAGTGCAGTGGTGTCATCTTGGCTCGCCGCAACCTCTGCCTCCCAAGCTCAAGAGATCCTCCCACCTCAGCCTCCCGAGTAGCTAGGACTACAAGCACCCTCCACCACGCCTGGCTAATTTTTTTATTTTTTGTAGATACAGGGTTTGGCCATGTTGCCCAGGCTGGTTTTGTTTTGTTTTGTTTTGTTTTGTTTGAGATGGAATCTCGATGTCACCCAGGCTGGAGTGCAGTGGCACCATCTCGGCTCACTGCAACCTCCACCTCCCAGGTTCAAGCAATTCTCCTGCCTCAACCTCCCAAGTAGCTGGGATTACAGGTGCCCACCACCACACCAGCTAATTTTTTGTATTTTTTAGTAGAGACAGGGTTTCACCATGTTGGCCAGGCTGGTCTTGAACTCCTGTGCTCAAGCGATCCACCCACCTCAGCTTCCCAAAGGGCTGAGATTACAGGCGTGAGCCACTGCATCAGCCTGCGTTAGCTTATTAAGAGCTAATTAAGCTCTTATTAATAAGGATATTTCACATTTTACTTCCCCGTTCATGAGTTCATGGACATTTAGGTTATTTCTACTTTTTCACTATTATGAATAATACTACCATGAACATTAGCATACATGTTTTTGTGTGAACATGTTTTCATTTGTCTTGAGTATATACCTAGTAGTAGAATTTCTGGGTCATAAGATAACTGTAGGTTTAACTTTTTTTAGCAACTGCCAAACTGTTTCCCAAAGCAACTGTACCATTTTAAATGCCAAACAATGTATAAGAGTTCCTATTTTTCCATGTCCTTGTCAACTCTTTTTATTGACTGTCTTTTTTACAGTAGCCATTCTACTGGGATGAAATGGTATCTCATTGAGGTTTAGATTTGTGTTTCCAGATGGCACATGACATTGAACATCTTTTTATGGCTTATTGGCCATTTATGGGTTTTTTTTTTTTTGGAAGAAATATCTATTCAAATTCTTTGACTTTTTATTTTTCTTAATTTTATTTTAGATTCAGAGAGTACATATGCAGGTTTATTACATGGGTAAATTACATAATGGTGAGGTTTGGGCTTCTAGTGAACCCATCACCCAAATAATGAATATTGTACCCAATAGGTAATTTTTCCACCCTCAACCCCTTCCTATCCTCCTCCCTTTTGGCGTCTCCCTTTTGGCGTTCTATCCACAAAGGCGTACCCTTTGCTTAGCACCTACTTATAAGTCAAAATATGCAGTATTTGATTTTCTGTTTCTGAGTTATTTCATTTAGGATAATGGTCTCCAGCAGCTGCTGCAAAGGACATGATTTCATTCTTTTTTAGTATTCTATGATGTATATATACACCACATTTTCTCATTTGTGTCCTATAAAGCAAACAGCTGCCCTCACAGTTCTACTAGCACCTAGTACTTTAACATCTTTGATGTTATTATTGCTATAAAAATTACCCACAGCTGAGCCCTTTAAGTACATTATATGATTGTCTTTTTTCCCATTTCTTCATCTTTAAATTAATAACTGCCTTTTAAAAATTATTACTTTTTAAAAATATCCTTTAATAGATATCCTAGATATCTGTTCCCAAATTCTAGGCAAAACCAGTCTACCAGTTTCATTTTTCCTTGCAATAACTTTCCTGGAGCAATTCAGTCTTTTGCTATAGTCCTGCCTAGTTGCTTTCTAGTCTGGCTGCACAAATGTTGACTAGCATTTGTCCTTCCCCATGGTCTTTGCCTCTCCCATGTTAGACTACCTGTCTCCTGGGTTCCCATGTCTTTTCCTTTTGTGATTCATTTCCTTATTTTGGTGGAGGATATTCTTCTGTAGCTTTCCAATAAAGTGTGTATGACAGATAAGAGACTTTGCATTTCTGAAAATATGTATTTGCCCTTGTCTTTGAGTGATAGTTTGAGTATCTATGGTGTTCTAAAGCAGACATTTTTTCAAAACTTGAATATGTTATTCCATTGTCTTCTTACAGTGGTGCTATTTAGAAATCAGGTACCATTCTGATTTTTTCCATCCTTTACATGTGAAATGTTGATTCTCTGAGATTGTTCTCATTATCAGCATTGCACTGAACTTAACATCATGCTGTGCTGTGTTATGAGTTTTATGTTGGGCACTTGGTGGAACCCTTTCTATCTTGTAATTCGTGTGCCTTACTTGGTGAAATTTTTTTTCTTCCCTTTTACCCAAATATTAAGTGAAAATTTTAAAATTTCTTCCCTCCCTTTTCTCTTTTCTCTCTTGTTGGCCCTTCTGCTAATCTAGCTGTTGGGCCTTCTCCCTTAATTTTCTTATCTTTCCTCTCCTCAATTTCTGTTTCTGAACTTTTATTCTACATTCTGGGCAATTTTTCTCAACTTAATCCTTACTTTCACCTGTTTGATAGCCAAGAGCTTTTGGGAGTTTTTGGAATGTTCCTTTTTAAATTTACTGTAGCTTTTCATTGATGTTATTCCATCTCTGCGATAACATGTTTCTGAGGAAGTTTTTTATGGCAGCTTGGTTTTTATTTTTAAATTTTTTTGCTCTGTTTCTTATTTCTGTTTTCATGTCTGCCTTTGATGTTATAGGTTTTCTAATATACGTAAAACACTTAAAATGGTGTCTAGCACACAGTATGCTTAGTAAATGTTAGACAGTATTTGCAGAACAGACTGGAGGACAGGAGGGTGTGGTGGCAAAGTGACAAACCTTTGTAAGTAGTCTAAGAGATGGGGAGTGCCTGAACATAAGTGATTTTGTTGAGAGAGGATAAAAGAAAGATTACAGAGACATTTCTAAAGTTTCCACGACAAGAGTAAGGTATAATAAAAGGATGACCTACTGATTTCTGGCTTCAGAAACTTGGTGGCCTCCAATAAGTAAAATAGAGAAGAGTGGAGGAAGAGCAATATTGAGAGAACAATATTGAGTACCTTTTTGGACTTGAGAAGTGTGAAGTGACCTCAGCATATCACTAAAGCCTCTTCACAATCTGTCTTTTACCAAAATGCCAGGCTCTTTTCTCTCTTTTTATTTTTTTCAATACAGACTCAGAATATTCATAAGTCTCAACATTTCACTTATCTTTTATGAAATAGCAATTAAAAGGGCCAGACGTAGTGGCTCACACCTGTAATCCCAGCACTTTGGGAGGCCAAGTCAGCGGACCACGAGGTCAGGAGTTTGAAACCAGCCCAGCCAACATGGTGAAACCCCGTGTCTACTAAAGATAACAAAAAATTAGCTGGGCGTGGTGGCACACGCCTGTAATCTCAGCTACTTGGGAGGCTGAGGCAGGAGAATCGCTTGAACTCGGGAGGTGGAGGTTGCAGTGAGCCGAGATTGTGTCATTGCACTCCAGCCTGGGTGACAAGGTGAGACTCCGTCTCAAAAAAAAAAAAAAAAAAAAAAAGGGAATAGCAATTAAATTTGTCTAAATTGTTTAAAACATCTTCCTTCTGTGGCCTCTTTTAAGATGCAATAAATTCATAATTTTGCATATGTGTGTGTATGATATTGAGCAGATTAAAACTTCAATAGGTTAAGAAAAATGAGAACAGATACATACCAGACTGGTAAAGTAGCAGACTGGTTTTTAGCATGAGGATTATTAACTTTTTAACCATCCTTATATTGTTTTATTTATTTCAAAGAACTTTGTATTATTTTTGTAAATAAGGCTAAAAATGTTTTTAATGTAGAGATAAATAATCAAAGGAAAGTTATTTTGGCAAGTCCTGGTTTTCACCAACTATTTTTAAAAATAGTCTATGAAACAAACAGAAAAGGAATACTGTTTAATCCTTATAATACGATTTGTGTGAAATGTGAAATGTTTTCCTTTTGAGGTCTGAATTCTGATTTTCTTTTTCTTTTTCTTTTCTTTTTTTTTTTTTTTTTCTTTTTTTTTTTTTGAGACAGGGTCTTGCTCTGTCACCCAGGCTGGAGTGTAGTAGTGCAGTCAGAGCTCATTGTAGCCTCAACTTCCTAGACTCAAGCAATCCTCCCACTTCAGCCGCCCAAGTAGCTAGGACCACAGGTGCACACCACCATGGCCTGACTAATTTTAAAAAAATATTTTGGCCGGGTGCAGTGGCTCACTCATGTAATCCTAGCACTTTGGGAGGCCAAGGCGGGTGGATCACCTGAGGTCAGGAGCTCAAGACCAGCCTGGACAACATGGTGAAACCTTGTCTCTACTAAAAATACAAAAATTAGCCAGGCTTGGTGGCAGGTGCCTGTAATCCCAGCTACTCGGGAGGCTGAGGCAGGAGAATTGCTTGAACCCAGGAGGCGGAGGTTGTGGTGAGCCAAGATCACACCACTGCACTCCAGCCTGGGTGACAGAGTGAGACTGCAAGTCAAAAAAAAATTTTTTTTTTGTAGAGATGGGGGTCTCACCATATCGCCCAGGGTCTCGAACTCCTGGGCTAAAGCGATCCTGCTACCTCAACTTCCCAAAGTGCTGGGATTACAGGCATGAGCCACTGTGCCCAACCTTGAATTCTGATTTTCTTAACAGGTTTTACAGCTCTTTAAAACACTGCACAGGACCAGACAACAAGTTTTTAAAAATGATGCCAGAGCATTAGAAGGTAAGTATGTTCTTTACCCCTTTGGAGCCAGTCTACTTTTTAGATAACTACTAATCTCTCTGAGAAACCCTGTGTGGTCAAGACCCATTTTAGGGAATGACCTTCACTACCTCTCTCTGATATCTTTTATAAAGATTAGCTTATATTACACTTATTTGAGAAATATCTACTTAAAGAAAAATTTTTAAAGATCAAGTCTTCATAAAGAGTTGGTCAAAAAAAAAGGCGAGGGACCAGAATTTCAGTGTTTATCATTGCTTGCCTTATATTCAAGCCATTGAACTTTCTGTTACATAATCAAATTTTCACAGTCTCTAGGACCAGATATTACCATGTTGTTAATGTCTTATATCAGTCTAAAAGAGCAGCTGTGAAAGAGAATCCATCCCAAATGATTCTAAATTCAGTATCTCCCTGTTTTAAGTAGTTTCTATCTTATCTGGAAGTCACAGGCTCTGAAACTTAGGTTCTGTGTTATTCATGTTCAGTTCCACTCCTCATACATTTATGAACCTCCTTAAGAGTGCACCTAGGTAAAGTGTCCCCACTGTTTCCAGGGATTTAAGTTTTTGTAACTCATCAAAAATAATTTCTGAACAAATAAGATATATGTATTGTATTATATGTACTTTACATGAATTCCTGATTTAATTCTTGTAACATTTCTGTAAGATAGTTGCTATTATAATTCCTATTTTTACAAATGAGAAAATTGACAAAATGTGAAAATATCTGTCCCACATCATACTGAGTAAAAGGTGGACCTGGGATTTAGTCTAAGCAGTCTGATTCAAAAGTCCAAACTCTAAACCACCTTACGTATTGAAATATATGCAACATAGGCTGGGCTCAGTGGCTCACTCCTGTAATCCCAGCACTTTGGGAGGCAGAGGCAGGCAAATTACTTGAGGTCAGGAGTTAGAGACCAGCCTGGCCAACATGGTGAAACCCCACCTCTACTAAAAATACAAAAATTAGCCGGGCATGGTGGCACACACCTGTAATCCCTTGAGGGAGGAGAATTGCTTGAACCCAGAGGCGGAGGTTGCAGTGAGCCGAGATCATGCCACTGCACTCCAGCCTGGGCGACAAAGCAAGACTCCATCTGAAAAAAAAAAAAAAAAAAAAAAAAAAAATATATATATATATACACACACACACACATATATATAACATATATGTTATATATATATTAACATATATATGTATATATAATATATACATATATATTATATATACATATATATGTTTATATATATATAACATATATATGTATATATATATAAAACATATATATGTATATATATATAACATATATATGTATATATACACACACACAACATAGAAGGAAGTTTTTATGGTAATTATCAACATGGAATATTTTTGTTGCTTTAAATTTTTCAAGTGGAATAGTTATAAGAACAGCTAACAATTTGTTGCATATTTGCTAAGCACTTTATACGGATTGTTCCATTAAACGCTCACAGCAGCACAATAAGACCAGTGAGATTCTACCAAAGTATGCTGCTATAATGATATCAAATTCTCAGTGGTATATGTAAACAAAAGTTTTATTTGTCACTCACTTTATATGTCAGCCAAGACACTTAAAATTTTACATATATGTACACATATATCCTGTTTGCTGCCAATCTCTGTGTATGTGTGTATGTAGTTTAACATACTTGTATGTATTGAATTTTACCATCTTAAAAAAGCATTTTAATAGAAATCCTTAGATTTGTAAAAATAAAACATTAAATTAGATTTATTATAATTCAGTAGCTATAGGTATACAAATGAATTTGAGAGTAAAAATCAGTGGAAGAAAAAATATTAGAGTGCCAAAGGTTTATAGTAGGTTTACCTACAAACTTGTCACCCTGTCAAAAGCTCTCCAAGAGACTTCATTAATAAATTTCTTATTCTTATGCTTTGTTTTTCATGAGGGCAATTTCTATAGTAGAGAAGTAGCCATTCATAGTGAATAATGTGTCAATTATTGAGATAGGAATTATAGATTACAAAAGCGAATAACTATATGTATTTTTCTCTTTGTAGCAGCCAGAATAAAGATAAATGAAGAATTCAAAAATAATAAAAGTGAAACTTCTTCTAAGAAAATAGAAGAGGTACAGTAATTTTTTCAATTATAGTAAAACTTATACAATTATCTTGTCAAAGAGGAAATGATGAAGATAGAGGGGTTATGTAAAATAAAAACCATTACTTGATAGTTAAGGCCATCACAACTGTAGATAACCTTCACTTATTTGGTATGGCTCACCTCCTCAGGCTCATCTGCCGACACCAAAATACAGCAAGGTACCCCATCAACAGAACATGGAAATAGCCATGATCAAAGCCAGAACAGCTGAACAAACCCAGAAACCTACAGAAATTCTATCTTCACTTAAAGCAAGTGACTGGAACTAAAGAGAATGAGTGTTGTAGTAACTCAGAACTACAGAGGAAACTTCTACTCTTAACTGAACTAAGCGGTTAGATATTTATTTTTAATCCCATCTTGGCAATGACAAACAGCCGCAGTATGAACTATTCTTGCTTTGCTTTCTGTATTTGCATTTTGGTCACTTGCTCTAGTTGAAGACACTGTACAGACACTACTTTCTCAGCTCCCTAATACTCCTAGTAGAAGTTTATTGAAAAAAATGCACAATTTTTCTTTTCCTATATATTATGTATTCTGGCATATACATATTATCTCTGTCCTCAGCTTCCTATGTCTAACTATATAAAGGTAAGGAAAGGACCCTTAGGAAGAAAACAAAACAAAAAAATGGAAAATAATTTGCAAGATAGTTATGGTTCCAAGAATTGATTTGGTTCCAAGAATTGATATGGTTCCAAGAATTGATTCCTTTAAAAAGAATCCTTTTTAAAGGAAGGTACAAACTAGAGAAATTTTCTATGTTCATAGAATTTCCAGATGTTTAAAAAAAACTGATAAAAAATGCATTTATATTTAGTGGAGAAAATGCTATTTTTGAAATAGTAAATACCTTTAATAATGGAGCTCATGAGACAAAATGAGATAGCCTAAGTATTCCCTCTCTATAAAATAAACAAAAAGGGAAAGATTTTGCTGAAACATGATAGGGCAAATAGGGAATATGTAATTTTTATTCATGGCAGAAATTAAAATGACCATATAATCAACTCATGACTTGAAGGGAAGTTAAAAGGTATATGAGGAAGTTTGTACTGTTTGCTATTCAGTAGACTAATTCATAACATATGATAATTTTTTAATTTTGAAATTATGATTAAAGACTTTTAAATTGAGGTCTGTTTATATCAAGTAAACTGGGAAAATGAACTACAATCTCCCAAATTCATTTTACTTACAGAGCATTAATTTAACATTAAGCAATCTAGAAATTCCATATTTGTTATATACAAATGTATATTTTGTACTTTCTGCAACTGAAAAATATTAAGATTTTAGTAATTTTAAAATAATTGCTTTGTTATTAGAGGGTTGATACAGTCTTGGCACTAAAAGGAATCTCAGGCATCCTCTCTAGACCAGCAGTTCTCAAACGTGGTCATCTCAAAGAACCTTTACACTCTTACAAATTGAGGACCCCAAAAAGCTTTGTTTATATCATTATTTACCATATTAGAAATGTAAACTGAGAATTTTTAAAAATATATATTGATTAATTCATTTTAAAATAACAATTTTATTATATGTTAAAAAGTAACATGATATTTATGAAAAATAACTATTTTTAAAAATGTAGTGAGAAGAGTGGTATTGGTTTTTTTGTTTTTGTTTTGTTTTTGTTTTTGTTTTGAGATGGAGTTTCGCTCTTGTTGCCCAGGCTGGAGTGCAGTGGCATGATCCCAGGTCACTGCAACCTCCACCTCTGGGTTCAAGCAATTCTCATGCCTCATCCTCCTGAGTAGCTGGGATTACAGGTGCATGCTACCACACCCAGCTAATTTTTGTATTTTTAGTAGACGGGTTTCACCATGTTGGCCAGGCTAGTCTTGAACTCCTGACCTCAGGTGATCCACCCACCTCAGCCTCCCAAAGTGCTGGGATTACAGGCGTGAGCCACTGTGCCCAGCCCCCTGCAATATGTTTTTTAGGTTGAAGTATATGAAGAAAATTCAGCCTTACACAGATTTGTAGTTGGAAAAGAGTAAAACAATTAGATAATTGTGATTTTTTCTTTTCTTTATTTTTTTGGGTAGAGAGGAGGTCTTGCTTTGTTGCCCAGGCTGGTTTCAAACTCCTGGCTTCAAGCGACCCTCCTGCCTTAGCCTCCCAAAGTTCTGGGATTACAGGCATAAGCCACGTAATTGTGAATATTTTTTAATACTACGCCTTGACATGAGGTAATTTCTTTTTTTTTGAGACGGAGTCTCACTCTGTCACCCAGTTAAAGGTTAGTTCCAATGTGCAACTCTGTTATCTGTCAGACAAATGGAATTTTTTTTGGCGGGGGGGGGGTTCCAGGATTCATGCAGACCACCTCCTCCTCATCTTCTCTGGACCCGCCTAATCCCTTATTCCTCAACTAGCCTTGTTTCCAGCCTTATATCTAGGACTTGACTCAGTTTATGTACCTCCAGTGGCTGAGGAGACCCATTATTTTCTCCTTCTCTGCCCTGCTAAGCCCCTTCCCAGGTGTCAGGAGATGAGGCTTTGCTCTCCCACAGCTCTCTCCATGGCAGTTAATTCCAGCTCCCTCCTTTTGATGCTCAGACCAAAAACCTTGGTGCTTTCTTGACTGCTATTCTTCTCTCACACTTATATCCAATCTGATAGCAAATCCTGTTGACTTAAATATCAAAATATTAATATATACAGAACTCAACTACTTCTTATCCTCCCTGTAATTATCTCCGAGTCCAAGCCACCATCATCTCTCTTGTTATAACAGCCTCTTAATGGGCCTCCTGCTTCTAGCCGCACTCCCTACAGCCTATTCTCAGTACTTTTAAAAACAGAATAAACCTTAAAAAAAGAAAAAAAAAGGCATATCTCAGCACTCTACTACTCACAACCCCATGACTCTTCATCTCATTCAAGAAAAATCTAAAGTGCTTAACATGACCTACAAGACTGTCATCTGACCTTTGTTACCTTGCCACCTCAACTTGAACCACATCCCCCTCATTCTTCCAATCTCAGCCCCTTCTTTGAGGGTCCTTGAATTTACCAAAAAGTTTCCTCACTTAGGGTTTTTATGCTGTTGCCTCTTCTTGGGATATTCTCTTCCATGCCCTCAAAGCTTCGTTTAGGTAGACCAGTGAACTTTAATTGATATTTCCCTGTGAATGGATTTTTTACCCATGCATGATTTTGTAACATCACGCAGTGATGATTTAGAAAATGCAGGTTCATTAAATACTACAGATCTTCCAGATATTGACATAGTTCATTACATATTTTTAAATTATATCTATCAATACTAATATCCATCTCATCAGAAAAATCTTTAAGGCTGGGCATGGTGGCTCACACCTGTAATCCCAACACTTTTGGAGGCTGAAGTGGGAGGGTCACTTGAGCCCAGGAGTTCAAGGCTGCAGTGAGTTATGATTACACCACTGCACTCCAGCCTGGGTGACAAAGCAAGACCTTGTCTCAAAAACAAAGCAAGAAAAAAATATTTAAGTATTGTGAAGCTATCAAGCTTACCCTGGCAGATACAAGTTCTCCAGAATTCTGATATTTGCTTGAAAGCTTCAGTTTTGTCATTGTCAGCAAATACTGTCAGTTGTTTTCTTTGAAGTGACACACTCTACTTTTCTAAGAAAATAAGAAAATATCTGCCAAATAGCTAAGTCTAAATAATCTTAATTTGTCAGTGGTTCTGTAAAGGTAAAAAATGGTATTTTGATGGAGAAAGCTCTACTGCTGACAACTCAAACCATGCAGAAGGCTGTAGTGTTTTGAAAGTAATTTTGACCTCACAGATCCCTGAAAGGGTCTCAGGGTCTCTCAAGTACATATTATTTGATGAGGTCTGAAACTCAAAGAGAGTAGGTGATTAACCCAAGGCCATACACTTAATGACACAGCCAAAGTTGGAGTTCAAGTGTTCTGAACATCTAATTCTATAAAAGAAAGATTCAACTGCCCTCCCAAAAATGTGCATTTTAAACACACTTAAAAATACACATTGTAACAAAAAATACTCTAAATCTGTTTTGGAAGAAAATATAGAATTGATAGATAAAAGTTAAAACTATATGCATATCTGAGCTTTCTATACTAGTTGGAATGGTTATAAAAAGTTAAAAGCAGTACCGTAGTCCCCCTTTATCATTGGGGAATACATTTTAAGATCCTCAGTGGATGCCTCAAATCTCTGATAGTACCAAATCCTATATACTATGTTTTTATTATATATACTTTCCTATGATAAAGTTTAATTTATAAATTAGACACAGTACTCTTGTGCTTTGGAGCCATTATTAAGTAAAATAAGAGTTACTTGAATATAAGCACTGCAGTGTGGCAACAGTCAATCTTGATAACCGAGATGGCTACTAAGTGACCACAGGTGGACAGTGTATACAATATGGATATGCTGGACAAATAAATGATTCACATCCCAGACAGGCTGGAGCAGATGGCATGAGATTTCATCATGCTACTCAGAGTGACATGTGATTAAAAACTTATACATTATTTATTTTGGGAATTTTCTATTTAATATTTTCAGACCACAGTTGACCACGGATAACTGAAACTGCAGATAAGGAGAAACTACTGTATTACTTGAAAAGAAATTATAGTAAAACTATCGTTTTCAAAAACAGTACATTCATATGAAACACCTAAAGGACTTACTCTATTTGTTTGGTTTTCTTAACAGCTAATGAAAATAGGTTCTGATGTTGAATTATTACTCAGAACATCTGTTATACAAGGTATTCACACAGACCACAATACACTGAGTAAGTAAAATTAAAGAAAAATGGTTTCTAACTGCAATGTGTTTTAAAATATTGAATAATTATAGCACATGTAATGCTGAGTGATAAAACAGCTTGATTTTGCCAGACAATATGGTATATAGCATATATATTTTACAAGGTTATAGTCTATAAGACTGAATTATGAAACTTTGTTTTGCCACATTTGTTTCAATTTTTATTTTTTATTTTTATCTTCTTATATTTCAACACTAATTATGAAGACAGTACAACTATATATTTTTATCATATTTATTTACAGTTCTTAATTTTTCTGGCATCATTTATCACTTACCTAGACTATTTCTTTACCTTTTACTCTATAATGAGTTTTGTTTTTTGTTTTTTTGTTTTTGTTTTTTTTTTGGGTTTTTTGAGATGGAGTCTCACTCTGTCGCCCAGGCTGGAGTGCAGTAGTGCGATCTTGGCTCGCTGCAACCTCCACCTCCTGGGTTCAAGCATTTCTCATGCCTCAGCCTCCCAACTAGCTAGGACTACAGGCACACACCACCCATGCCCAGCTAATTTTTGTATTTTTAATAGAAACAGGGTTTTACTTTGTTGGCCAGGCTGGTCTCAAACTCCTGACCTCAGGTGATCCACCTGCTTCAGCCCCCCAAAGTGCTGGTATTACATGCATGAGCCATTGCACCTGGCCTATAATTAGTTATTTTAATTCAGAAGATTTAGGATTATAGGAAATGGAAATATAGTTGAGGATCCTCCATCATATCTCGAGACTCCAGATGGTGCTTCAGCAAAATCTCATTTCACATAATATTTTGTTTTTATTCTCTAAAGTATCTTTGGGGACAGTAACAACAAAAAGATGACATTCAAAATTGTTGGCCAGGTGCAGTGGCTCATTCCTGTAATCCCAGCACTTTGGGAGGCCAAGGCAGGAGTCTAGATTGAGCCCAGGAGTTCAAGACCAGCCTGGGCAACATGAAAAAACCCCGCCTCTACAAAAAATACAAAAGTTATCAGGATGCAGTGGTGCACACCTGTAATTCCAGCTAGTAGGGAGGCTGAGGTGGGAGGATCACTTCAGCCCAGGAGGTTGAGGCCTTAATGAGCCGCGAGTATGCCACTGTACTCCAGCCTGGGCGACAGAGTAAGACCCTGCCTCAAAAAATATATATATTGAAAGGCTTTGTTTTTTAAGCAGACTATGGAAGTATAACATACAAACAAAAAAGTACTCAATTTGTAATTGTATAGCTCAGTGAATTTTCATAAAATGAAATACCCATGTAACCAACATGTAAAACAAGCCACATGTAAAAAAAAAAAAAAAAAAAAATTGGCCTTTCTGATGGATATGTGGTGGTATCACATTGTGATTTTAATTTATATTTCTCTGGTAACTAATGAATGATGAGGACCTTTTCAGTTGTTTAGTGGACATTTGGATATTCTTTTTTATGAAGTGCCTGTTTGAGTCTTTTGTCCATTTTTCTAAGGGGTTGTCTGCCTTTTTATTGTTGATCTAAAGGATTTCTTTGTATGTTCTGAATATAGAAATTTGGTGGGTATATGTATTACAAGAATCTTCTACTTTGTGGCTTTCCTTTTCACTTTGGTAATGTTATCTTTCTGTGAGAAGTTCTTAATGTAGTCATATTTATGGATTTCTTAATAATTAGTGCTTTTTAATTCTATTAAAGAAATCTTTGACTAGCTCAAGCAAGATCGTGAAGAGATTCTCCTGTGCTTTCTTCCAAAAGCTTTATTGTAGGCTGGGTGCAGTGGCTCACACCTGTAATCCCTGCACTTTGGGAGGCCGAGGCGGGTGGATCACTTGAGGTCAGGAGTTCAAGACGAGCCTGGGCAACATGGTGAAACCCCATTTTCACTAAAAATACAAAAACTAGCCAGGCATGGTGGCGCATGCCTGTAATTCCAGCTACTCAGGAAGTAAGGGAGGAGAATCACTTGAATGTGGGAGGCAGAGGCTGCAGTGAGCCAAGATCATGCCACCACACTCCAGCCTGGGCAACAGAGTGAGACTCCATCTCAAAAACAAAAACAAAGGCCAGGCGTGGTGGCTCAACGCCTGTAATCCCAGCACTTTGGGAGGCCGAGGCGGGCGGATCACGAGGTCAGGAGATCGAGACCATCCTGGCTAACACAGTGAAACCCCATCTCTACTAAAAATACAAAAAATTAGCCAGGCATGGTGGTGGGCACCTATGGTCCCAGCTATTCTGGAGGCTGAGGCAGGAGAATGGCATGAACCCGGGAGGCGGAGCTTGCAGTGAGTCAAGATCGAGCCACTGCCCTGCAGCCTGGGCAACAGAGCAAGACTCCGTCTCCCAAAAAAAAAAAAAAAAAAAAAAAAAAAGCTATATTGTTTGATCTTTTCCATTTGGTTGTTTATATCAACTAGAGTTGGTTTGTATATGGTATGAGATGGGAGGGTCAAGATTTATTTTTTTACATGTGACTATCCAGTTGATCCAGCAACACTTATTGAAAAGACCACTCTTCCCCCTACTACTCTACAGGATCACCTTTGTCATAAAATCTAAGAACTATATATGTGTGCATCTGTTTCTGGACTTTATAATCTCTTCAATCTGTTTTTCTGTCCTGCATCATATACCTTCATGTCTTGATTTTTACAGCCTTATAATAGATCTTCCTACCTGGTAGTATAAGTCCAAAGGGCTTTTAAAGTTACTTTTAATTAATGGGGACTTATCAGAAATTATTAGATCTTGGGCTGGGCACTGTGGTTCACACCTGTAATCCCAGCACTTTGGGAGGCTGAGGTGGGCAAATCACCTGAGCTCAGGAGTTTGAGACTAGCCAGGGCAACATAGTAAAACCCTGTCTCTACCAGAAATACGAAAAATTCACCAGGCATGGTAATGTGCACCCATGGCCCCAGCTACTAGGGAGGCTGAGGTGGGAGGATCACTTGAGCCTGAGAGGCGGATATTGCAATGACCCGAGATCGCACCACTGCACCTCAGCCTGGGTGACAGAGCCAGACCCTGTCTCACAAAAAAAAAAAAAAGAAAAGAAAAAAAAAGAAATTATTAGATCTGAGTTATGGTTTTTTCGTTTTGTTTTGTTTAGTTTAGATGGAGTCTTGCTCTGTCTCCTACGCTGGAGTGCAGTGGTGTGATCTCGTCTCACTGCAACCTCTGCCTCCCGGGTTCAAGCAATTCTCCTGCCTCAGCCTCCTGGGTAGCTGATATTACAAGCGTGTACCGCCACACCCAGCTAATTTTTGTATTTTTAGTAGAGACGGAGTTTCACCATGTTGGTCAGGCTGGTTTCAAACTCTTGATCTTGTGATCCGCCTGCCTTGGCCTCCCAAAGTGCTGGGATTACAGGCATGAGCCACCGTGCCCTTTTTTTTTTTTTTCTTTGAAACGGATTTTCGCTCTCGTCACCTAGGCTGGTGTACAGTGGCATGATTTCCGCTCACTGCAACCTCCACCTCCCAGGTTCAAGTGATTCTCCTGCCTCAGCCCCTCAAGTAGCTGGGATTACAGGAGCTTGCCACCACGCCCAGCTAATTTTTGTATTTTTAGTAGAGACAAGGTTTCACCATGTTGGCCAGGCTGGTCTGGAACTCCTGACCTCAGGTGATCCACCTGCCTCAGCCTCCCAAAATGCTGGGTTTACAGGTGTGAGCCACTGCACCTGGCTGATCTAAGTTATGTTTATAAGGGCAGAAAACATAGTTAATCCTAAACTTAAGATGTGTAGTCATCAGCTTTTATCTTAATAATGATCTTTAGAGTTTCTGTGTAGTATAGCCAACATTTTATACAGGTAATCACAGATATATATTATTTTTATCATATGAATAAAGTTTTAGGTTATTTTAAATAACTAAATTTAGTATCTATTTCAAATGCCTTGTTTTAGATATAACACTATTGAATATTATTTAGATTTCTTTTTATCCTTTGGTTTTATGTATACTTTAATTTTCCCACAGAATTAAATATTTTGACTCTTTTATGAGTATTAATACATATTGCCTTAATAATAGCCTCATTCTTTCTGTGTGTGTGTGTATATATATGTATACACACATATATATACATATATATATGTATAGGTCCAAAATGTAAGAAATTTGATTCCTTAATCTCTCTTTCTAAAAGTTACTTTAAGCAAAATTCCTTCAAATATTTTAGCAGTGTCTATACTGTCACGTAGAAATGACAAGAATAAAAATTCTGCTTCTTGTTTAGAAAATGGAAAGTTGTGATTATGTGTTTCTAAAAAATATAATGTCTCAAAATGAAAAATAATAGAAATTGAAAGTAATAAAATGAAACTTCATTTGGAAGAGTAATCACCTTGTATGCGTGAATTCTAAATCAATCTCTCTTTTTCTTCCATTCAAATAATATCTACAGTGGAAATTAAATTTTGAATCCCAGCAGGAACTCTTTATCTTAAATAATTTCTCATTTTTAATTTTTTTTAAAAATCACTTCCAGACATCTCTTAAAAGGAGACACACAAATGGCCAACAAGTATATGAAAAAATACGCAACATCACTTATCAGGGAAATGAAAATTAAAACCACAATGAAATATCATCTCACCCCAGAGAGAATGACTATTGTCAAAAAGACAGAAAATAACAAATGCTGACAAGGATGTGGAGAAAGGAGAACTCTTATACACTGTTGGTGGGAATGTAAATTAGGATAGCCATTATAGAAAACAGTATAGAGGTTCCTCAAAAACTAAACATAGAACTATTGCATGATCTAGTAATTCCTCTACTGAGTATGTATCCAAAGGAAAGGAAATCACTGTATCCAAGAAATAGCTGCATTCTCATGTTTATCTTGGCACTATTCACAATAACCAAGATACGGAATCAACCTAAGAATCCAGTGACAGTTGATTAAAAAAAATGTGGTGCATACACACACACACACACACACACACACACACACACACACACACACACACAATGCAATATTATTCAGCCATAAAAACAAGGAAATCTTGTCATTTGTGACAACATACATGAACCTGGAAGACATTATGTTAAGTGAAATAAGCCAGGCACAGAACGACAAATATTGCATGTTCTCACTCATGTGGAACCTAAAAAAGTTCAACTTATAGAAACAGAGTGCAGATAGTGGTTACTAGAGGCCAGGAAGGGTCAGAGGGGGATAGCTAGAGGTTGGTTAATGGGTCCAAAATTACAATTAGCTAGGAGGAATAAGTTCTAGTGTTCTATAGCACTGTAGGGTAACTATAATTAACAATTTATTGTATGTTTTCAAATAGCTAGAAGAGCAAATTTTGAATATTCCTAACACAAAGAAATGATCAATAAGGTCATAGATATGCTAATTACCCTGATTTGATCATCACACATATACATGCATTGAACTATCACTGTACCCCTTAAATATGCATATATAGTATGTATCAATTAAAAATAATAAAAGGAAAACATTTACTTCCTTTATCCTTGCCGGTGAATTCAAGGTTCTTTATTACAAGCATAATTTTATCATTTGAAATAATTCCTTATTTTTAAAATCTTTAAAAAATATTTTGGAAACTATTTTTCTTTCCAAATATTTTCTGCTCTATTTTTTGTATTATCTCAGGTGCCTGAATTTGTACAAATCATAATTTTTTATTCATATCATTCATCATTGGTCTAGCATAGCCTTTAACTATGAGTTAGAAAAATACTCAGGTTATTCATTATTCTATACTTGCTGTTTTATTATTAACATTTGTCAAAACCCTCTTTCTAATGTGGATATTAGTCGCCTGGTTTCAGTGTTGGCCTTTGACAAACATATATATTTTCATTCGTACAAATTTATGATAAAGATGGTCCCAAGAAAACCCAGGACTTCGGGTCATTATTTTTTACGGTACTTAGTTTTTTAATAGGATCCATATTTTTTAACTTCCTCTCTGGCATATATGTAAGAAAAAATAGGGATGTACTTCTAAACGAACGATACAGTTAAAAAAACAAAAAGCTCCAAGAAGCTGTTCTTTAGATGTATTTTAAACTTCTGCCTTTTGGTTTATTTAGATTTGTCATTGTCTAAAACTATCTTATGGTTTGTGTTCTAAGACATGTTAATGTGACTCAACAAACATTGAATCGCTGTTATGCTAGACGCCAGGGATAGAACAATGGGCAAGACAGATCTGGTTCCTATCCAGTGGAACTTAGAGTGCTGTGTAAAAGACAGGCAATTAAATGTACAGCTACAGTTCTTGGAATGCCAGGATAGGAGGCAGAGACTGCTGAGACACATAAGCAGAGCTACAGATCCAAACTTGATGAGTTAGGGACAGGTTCTGGGAAGAAAACACTTTTGTGTTACAGTTTCCCTAATTTGAAGTCATCATTTATATAATATACATAATGTGCTTGAAATATTTAGAAGTATTTCTGGAACTTCAGTGTGAAATATTTTAATGTCCTTTAAATTATTTGGATTCCAAATATCTCTGTGATTGTCACACTATTATAAACTATGCTATCCATAATAATTTATTTTAAAATCTTTACCTAAATTTGTACTTTGGTCCAAAATTGAGATAAAGACTTTATTTCAAGGAATTGCTTTTTGGCCGGGTGCGGTGGGTCACGCCTATAATCCCAGCACTTGGTGGGAGGCTGAGGCACGTGGATCAACTGAGGTCAGAAGTTCAAGACCAGCCTGATCAACATGGAGAAACCTCATCTCTACTAAAAATACAAAATTAGCCGGGCATGGTGGCACATGCTTGTAGTCCCAGCTACTCAGGAGGCTGAGGCAGGAGAATCGCTTGAACCCGGGAGGCGGAGGTTGCAGTGAGCCGAGATTGCGCCATTGCACTCCAGCCTGGGCAACAAGAGCAAAACTCCGTCTCAAAAAAAAAAAGAAATTGCTTTTTATTGATATATCTAATATGACCAGAGTAGATAAGGCGTTTCAGGGGCCTGAAGTACAGGAAATAAACCATGATCTCAATGCAGTTCCTTTTTAAAGATCTGGCAACATCAACAAACTAAGGCTGTTATAGTACTCAGTATCTAATGTGGAAAGCAAAGTCAGGGATTTTACAATCTATAAGACAAAATTATAATAAAAACAGTATATAGCATATAAATATAGTTGGAGTGCATTTGACCTAATTAAAGTGTTAACAGTTAATGAATACAGAAGAATTCAGTTGTAAAATATCTTTTGATGCCAAAGATTATCCAATAAGGTGAATTGGGTAAAGAAGTAAAATAGTGGATATTTGACAGGTTTTCTGGGAATTTACTACTCTTCAAATAACGCTGCTTTGTTTCAAGACTTCCAATCTGCCTGAATTCTAAATCCCTAAGACAGAACCTAGAGAATTTAAGTTCCTCTGTTTCCTTTGTAGCTCAGGCACAGGCGTTTGATTAGGTGAAGCACACTCACTTGTATTCAGCACAGAATCTGTTTTGCTGGCAGGAGTAGCATCAGTGGTTTCAGGATCAAGTTCCTCATGGAGAAGAGAAGTAGCATTGGTATGGTGGCAAGAGCAGACATAGTAAGGTTGAGTTTCTGGCAACATCCGAAGTGTAGCATCTTGTGTTCCATGAGGGTAAAAATGGCAGCATTTTTTTCTGGCACCCCACGAGAGAGCAGCAGTTTTTATCATTAGCCTATTTCTGTGGTATGGCTTTGGTCATTGTTTCTGGAAGCTTAGTCTCAAGCCTGCCTGGTTCTGGACAATTTGAAACAACCTGTTTAATGCCTTTCCAGCTTCTAAGCAGCCAGAGGCTGCTTCTGTGACTAGTAACAAAGACCAACAGTTAAAGCTTTTATAGTCCACTTCCTGGTGATATGAGTTAGGCAAAATAAAATTGGCCGGGATCGCTGGCTCACACCTGTTATCCCGGCACTTTGGGAGGCTGAGGTGGGCAGATCACCTGAGGTCAGGAGTTTGAGACCAGCCCCCTGGCCAACATGGTGAAACCCCGTCTCTACTGAAAAATATAAAAATTAGCCAGGCATGGTGGTGGGCGCCTGTAATCCCAGCTACTCGGGAGGCTGAGGCAGGAGAATTGCTTGAACATGGGAGGCAGAGGTTGCAGTGAGCCGAGATCACAGCCACTGCACTCCAGCCTGGGCGACAGACAGAGCAAGGTTCTGTCTCAAAAAATAATAATAATGATAAATAAAATTGAAAAAGAGGTTGAATGCAGATTAAGCTAGCCCACAAAGCAGAGATAGAAAAAAGTATTACTTTGCTAAAAGGCACAATTCTGTCTACAGCCTAGAGTCTAATTGATTAAGAGTCCCATAATTTAGAGCCTTGGAGAGTTAAAAATGCTAATTGTTCTTATCCACTAAAACTAAAGCCAGTACAAGCAGGGAAATTCTGAGCTGTAACATGAAATAAGATCGATGCCTCAAGACTTTCTCATTCTTCCAGACAAAGATTAGATATATGATTCATTTACTGACTGGAACTTACTATTCTTCATTGCTTTAAGAAGTGGCCCCTAAGGTAAGGGTTAAGGAGATGGGCAGAACGTAGAGGCTGCTACCAAAGGATGACAGTCTTCATCCTTATTTTTCTGTGGCTACTTGTGCATGGAAATGACTGGAAACCAATTTGAAGCTTATAAAGTTTTTGAGTGAATTGTATTGCCAAGAAACTCCAGGCCTGGCTAGCTCTTTTCACCTCTTAAGGCCACCCCTGGGCCCCTAAACTCCTATCACCAGGAAGTAGACTATGAAAGCTTTTAAAGCCCCAAAGAAGGGCATCTTCCCCAGTATCTCCACCTTAGAACAATGAGGCTCAGCAGGACCTAATGGAAACACTAGCACTGTAACCAAACATCCTTGATTTCAGTCTAGATGAGACCTGAGGGGACAGGTAGTGAGTGGATGTATGCTACAGATGGAAAGAAGGATTTATATGCATTTTGCATAGCCAAAGGGGTTGTGCTTGTTGCCTCTCCAGTATCTATTCTCCTGTTCTTTTTTTTTTTTTTTTTTGGAGATAGAGTGTCCTTCTGTCGCTCAGGCTGGAGTGCAGTGGCACGATCTTGGCTCACTGCAACCTCAGCCTCCCGGGTTCAAGCGATTCTCATGCCTCACACCTCCTGAATAGCTGGGACTACCGCTCGGGCAATCCAACCACCTCGGCCTCCTAAAGTACTAGGAGTATAGGTGTGAACCACCGTGCTTGGCTTCTCCTGTTCTTTTTTACTAACTGAGAAATTGTGTTCAGGGTGCAATGTACCAAGCAAAAAAAAAGTTATTTTCCAGACCATGTGACACCTTTCTGGTCTATATAAACCGTGTCTATTCGGTGTTACTTCCAAGAAAGTCATTGTTTTCCTGTTTAAAAGGAGCAGGCTGAGCTGGCACTCTCCTTTTGCCCTTTTCTCTCTTCTTCCCATCTGGAGTGCAGATGTGATATGACAAGCAGCAGTGAAGACAAAACCACTCATGGAAGGTAGCAGAACAGGAAGAGAGAAAGAGCCTGGGTCCTTAGTATCACTAAGGACAAGCACTAGCCCAGAACTGCCTTAATCTGTATTTCTTTTTTTTTTTTTCCGAGATGGAGTCTAGCTCTGTCGCCCAGGCTGAAGTACAGTGGCACGATCTCGGCTCACTGCAACCTCTGCCTTTGGGTTCAAGCGATTCTCCTGCCTCAGCCTCCCTGGTAGCTGGTGCCTGCCACCACGCCCAGCTAATTTTTGTATTTTTAGTAGAGACAGGGTTTCACTGTGTTGGCCAGGCTGGTCTCGAACTCCTGACTTTGTGATCCGCCCACCTCGGCCTCCCAAAGTGCTGTGATTACAAGCATGAGCCACCATGCCTGTCCTTTAATCTGTATTTATTGATAATGTGAGAAAAATTAAATCTCTTACTTATTTAAACCAGCTTTTGGACTTTGGTTATTCAGAACTGAACATACTCTAAAGTGATATGGGTATATTTAACCATTTATTTTTCCATTCTCCCATAAAAGTCTTGTTCCACTTTTGTAACACATGACATTATACTATAATTTGTTGTTTATCTAGCTATCTTTTCCATTAGATTGTGAGTTTCTGGAAGCTGAAGAGACTATTATATATTCACCTTCATATCTTAATTTCTTGATGTAATGTCTAGCATGAAATAGGCACATATAGGTTTGATAAGTGAAACAAATTATTGCCATTGTTAACAAGTTAAAATGCACACTACAATTTATTCTCTGATGAAATCTCCATAGGTTTGGTAAAAGCAAGTGAGATATAAACAATGGTTAAATAATACTTATTTAACTGGTTTTCATTTCAGTAAGCCAAATTTATCATCTGGCTAATAAGAGCACTATTCTTAGTCAGACCAGTTCTTTCTTAATTAAGTGAAATATTCAGTTTGCCTTTTGGGTTGAATTTGTTTTAGTGTTGTCTTCTGTCTTTTTTTTTTTTTTTTTTTTTTGAGAGAGAGAGTCTGTCTCCCAGGCTGGAGTGCAGTAGCATAATTATTGCTCACTGTAATCTCAAACTCCTGGGCTCAAGCAATCCTCCTGCCTCAGCCTCTTGAGTAGCTAGGAATACAGGTGTGCACCACCATGCCTAGCTAATTTTTAAACAATTTTTTGTAGAGACAGAGTCTCGCTGTGTTTCCCAAGCTGGTCTCAAACTCCTGGCCTCAAGCAATCTTCCCACCTCAGCTTCCCAAAGTGCCAGAATTACAGGCATGAGCCGCTGCATCTGGCCACTGTGTGTGTGTGTGTGTGTGTGTGTGTGTGTGTGTGTGTAAATATATATATTTTTAAAACCTTTTTATTTTGAAATAATTCAGATTTACAAAAAAAGTGCAAAAGTTGAAGGGTATGAGAATTTCCTTTACCCAGATTCTACAAATGCTAACATTTTACCATATTTGCCTTATTGTGTTTCCCTCATTTTTTTTTCCTGAACTTTCTGAGAGTAAGTTGCAGACATAATGCCTATTTACCCCAAATGAACATTTTTAGAATTATGACAGCCCATTTGGGTCTAGATCTCCTGGAGAAATACCTTAGAGTATATTTTTTTAAGATACTTCAGTGTGTATTTCCTAAATATACAAGGACATTCTCTAATGTAACTGCAATATAATGACCAAAACCAGGGTATTAATATTGATGCAATGCTATCATTTAATCTTTCCATTTGTCCTAATAATGTATTTTATGGCAAAAGGAAAAAAAATTCCCTGTGGACCAGTATCCTATTGGGGATCACACATTGCATGTAGTCATCATGTCTCTTTAGGTATCCTTAATCTAGAGCAGTCCTTCAGTCTTTCTTCGTCTTTCATGTCCATGATGTTTTGAAAAGTATAGGCAGGTTATTTTGTAGAAGGTCGTGCAAGCATTTTTTGATTGATAGCTCATCTAGGTTCAGCTCTTCTGGAGAAAAGAAGAAGAAATCAATGTATCTCCTCAAAAATTTGGAATTTTTTTTTTTTGAGGTGGACTGCCACTGTGTCCCCCAGGCTGGAGTGCAGTGGCACCATCTCGGCTCACTCACTGCAACCTCCGCCTCCCATGTTCAAGCGATTCTTGTGCCTCATTCTCCTGAGTAGCTGGGATTACAGGCATGCACCACCACACCCAGCTGATTTTTTTTTTTTTTTTCAGTAGAGATGGGGTTTCACCATGTTAGTCAGGCTAGTTTCCAACTCTAGACCTCAAATGATCATCCCTCCTTAGCCTCCCAAAGTTCTAGGATTACAGCCGTGAGTCACCACACCCGGCCAAAAATTTGTATCTTAAGAGCTTTATCTTAACTCCAGCAAGATGTCTTACCTAGGACTCAACAGGTTTTTGTTGTTGTTTTATGATATTTCTCAATGTGGGCACTATTGGCATTTTTGACAGGACAGTTCTTCACTATGCCAGACTGTTCCACCCATTACAGAAGGTTTAGCATCCCTGGCTCCTGCCCACTAAATTCCAGTAGCATTCTCCAGTTGATATGACCACACAAAACACCCTCTTTTAAGAACAATTGTTATTTAAAATTTAGAATCTTTAAATTAGGAGACCAGTCTTGCTTTTCATATAGTAGATAGTATAAGCAAAATTTCCAGTTGTTTTCATTATCAGTAATTGGTAATTAAATGACCAATAATAGAAGTTTTAGCTGAATTCTCTTCAGTTATTTGATTTGCTATATTTAATGATAAAGGGTTAAGTGGATCATATATGTTTTTATATAATCTGAAATGAGAATGCTATTAATTCTAATTAGAGTCAAGGATGCCACCTTAGATATCAACTGAAATAAAATATCCCTGGAAGATTTATCTTAAAACTGGATATTTTACTATTTTAAATTTTAGGGGGAAATGAGTGTCCTTGCATTTAATTCTAATTTTAGTGATGTTAATTATTCTCTTTTTTTTTTTTCTTTCAGAACTGGTCCCTAGGAAAGACCTTCTTGTAGAAAATGTGCCATATTGTGATGCACCAACTCAGAAGCAATGAGTTTTCTAGAATACAACAAGTCTTTGTACTTTTTAACTTTAAAATCTACAACTCTGGCAAAAGTCCTGGAAATGCAGACATTTTCCCTGAACTGGCATATTGAAAATGAATGAATTACAGAATAGCTTCATATTTAAATTTCATGTTAAAAGGTCATTACTGAGAACTAAAGAACATAATTAAGTATTTCTAAAGGAAATTAGATAAGAAAACATTTCATTTTCATTGAAAATCAAATTTCATAAAGCAAAGTAAATGCTTAGGGAGATATATTCAATCTTTGACCTTGATGAGTATTTGATCTTACCATAGCTATTTGAGAATGTGGTGCTTTTACAAATTGGTGAGTTTTCCTGCCATGTGAAATGCAATTATTACATTTAAATTGTTAGATTAAAATGATATTTAGTCCTGAAAAATATTAAATTGGTCAAAAAAATCACAGTGTATGCCAGCTCTCTACAGAAAGTGGCCTTTGTTTTCTAAAGCACTGGGATTATTTCTGTAGCTAATATATAATTGTACAGTTTCTTTTTAGAGATAGAGAGTATCTCTGTGTTCTTATGAAGACATTTTTTATCAGTTTTCTGAAAATAGATGAATAAAATATTATAGTCACCTAGGGTCACTATGGAATAAAGAAATCCTAGTTTAAAGAGGAAATAGTGGCCCTTGATCAAACTATTTAATATGGCCTTAGTAGAATTAGCTGTATTTAGACAAAGTTAGACTTTAGTGTGAAATGTAATCGGTGGCTACATTCTCATCGTTTTAATTAATGAAACTTAAATGGCTTCTCTTCTTCCACATGTCCTGTCCTTGACAAGATGGGCAGTATCACAAAAGGTCCTGGCATTCTACCATCTAACACTAGGAACTGTAAAATACTGTTTAATATTCTTCTTGTTTCTCTTTTATCTGTGTATCTTTGCCATTCTATTTTCTCAGTGAATAGTATGTTTTCTCCCATTCACTGATAAATTCTCTCATTTGATGATGATACAGGGTTTTTAATTTTTGCAAGATTCTCAATGCAAGCATTGTTATGTATCTAGAAATTATACCTAGAGAAAAATGAAAGTCGTTTCAAATTTGAAATTTGCCCTTTTAAGAGAATGCTGAATGTCATCGCAGTATATAATCACTATATAAATGTGCTGACTTACAGTTATTTTAGTGTCTATATGACATATTTTGAGGAAAGTTGGCTGACGTTATTTAAATTTAATATATATTCTATATTTTAGTGTTATTGAATATTTTATCACTGAGCTTTTTTCTTTAACCTGAATTCCCTGTTCCATTTTTCATTCATATTAATTTAAATAACTCCAGATTTCTTTCTTATAGTCATTATTAGTAGCAGATGAGATTAATAATTCACATGTTTATTAAAGATAGTGGCTTAGAAATTTTAAGATATATTGATATAGGCCCGGGCGCTGTGGCTCACACCTGTAATCCCGCACTTTGGGAGGCTGAGGCGGGCAGATCACAAGGTCAGGAGTTCGAGACCAGCCTGGCCAATGTGGTGAAACCCCATCTCTACTAAAAACACAAAAATTAGCCAGGTATGGTGGCGGGCGCCTGTAGTCCCAGCTACTCGGGAGGCTGAGGCAGGAAAATCACTTGAACCCGGGAGGTGGAGGTTGCAGTGAACTGAGATTGTGCCACTGCACTCCAGCCTGGGGGACAGAGTGAGACTCTGTCTCAAAAAAAAAAAAGAAAAAAAAAGGAAAAAGGAAAAAAAAAAGATATATTGATACAGATAGGTAGATATGATATTGTACTTTCATGCCATAAGACTACACAATAAAGTTCCTGAAAGTTCCTGGCTGGGCGCAGTGGCTCACGCCTGTAATCCCAGCACTTTGGGAGGCCGAGGCAGGCAGATCACCTGAGGTCAGGAGTTCTAGACCAGCCTGACCAACATGGGGAAACCCTGTCTCTACTAAAAAAAATACAGAATTAGCCAGGTGTGGTGGCACATGTCTGTAATCCCAGCTACTCGGGAGACTGAGGCAGGAGAATTGCTTGAACCCAGGAGACGGAGGTTGCAGTGAGCCGAGATCGCACCATTGCACTCCAGCCTAGGCAACAAGAGTGAAACTCCGTCTCAAAAATAAATAAATAAATAAAGTTCCTGTGAAGTATATAAACATGTCAACAACAGGCTTGACTGTCACAAAATTCTGAAAGATGTCGCACTCTATTCTTATATAGCATATGCTAATTTATTTATTTATTTTTTGAGATTGAGTTCTGCTGTGTCACCCAGGTTGGAGTGCAGTGGCATGGTCATGGTCCACTAAAGCCTTGACCCCTGGGGCTCAGCAGTTATGCCAACTAAGCCTCCCAAATAGCTGAGACTAGAGGTATGCGCCACCACACCTAGCTATTTTTTTTATTTTTAGTAAGGACAAGGTCTCATTATGTTGGCCAGGCTGGTCTCAAATTCCTGAGCTCAGTTGATCCTCCCACCTCAGCCTCCCAAAGTGCTGGGATTACAGGTGTAAGCCACTGCACCCTGCCTATTCTTATAATCATATATTTATATTTCAAATGGATTTTAACTGGTTATTTAATAGTTTAATTAGATAAAGTAATTCATGGCTGGGTGTGGTGGCTCACGCCTGTAATCCCAGCACTTTGGCAGGCTGAGGCAGGTGGATTACCTGAGGTCGGAAGTTCGAGACCAGCCCAACCAACGTGGAGAAACCCCATCTCTATTAAAAATGCAAAATTAGCAGGACATGGTGATACACACCTGTAATCCCAGCTAGTCAGGAGGCTGAGGCAGGAGAATTACTTGAGCCAGGGAAGCAGAGGTTGTGGTGAGCTAAGATTGTGCCACTGCACTCCAGCCTGAGAGAACAAGACTCCGTCTCAAAAAAAGAAAAAAAGAAAACTTTTTTACACATGGGTATCTCACCATGTTGCCCAGGCTGGAGTGCAGTAGCTATTCATAGGCACAGTCATAGCACACTGCAGCCTAGAATTTCTGACCTCAAGCAATCATCCTGCCTCAGCCTCCTAAGTAGCTAGGACTACAGGTGCATACCACCATAACCAGCTTTAATTAAATGTTTTTTATTTGGTTATTTTTTTTAAGTTTTCTGTATTCACACAAGGGGTTGCCCAAATATAATTTTGCTTTGACTATTGAGATCTAGTGAAAGTGGGGTATATGAATTCTAATTGCAAATATCCAGGCTCAGAGGCCCAGCAGGACTTTCTAACACAATCTTTTAGCGGAAGTTAGAAATGGTATATAGCAGGAGAGTCAGATTTGAGAAGCATATGTAGATTCGAAGCTGGGGGAATATGGCAGGTAGTTTGTACAACATCTAATTCAGAACATTAAAATTAAGATTTTAGTCAAACTGTGTTTAAGTTAGTTCTTATTTTCCTGTAGATGCATCTCACAGCATCAGTACAATACCAAAAAAGCACACAAGAATAAGAATATGTGGAATTTCTATACCTATTGACAAAGCACATAATTTAACCATAAACACAAAGCCATAGGTCAACAAAGAAATGAAGATTCCAGTTCTGAAGGTGAGTTTTCTGAAGCCAAAGTGGATACATGCAAAATTAATATAGTTTTACTGTATATCAGTTGTCACCAATCAGAAATGGAAAACAGATCCTATTTATAATTGCAAACAAAACTGTAAAATAGACTTTTTAAAGTCTGGGAATAGACTTCTAAAATAAGCTATAACACTTAAAAAGGAGAGATATACTATGTTCCTAGATAGGACAATTGAAAATTCTGGAGATGACAGTTTTTCAAAAATCTATTGAGGCCAGGTGCAGTGGCCCATGCCTGTAGTTCCAGTACTTTGGGAGGCCTAGGTGGGTGGATCACCTGAGGTTGGGAGTTTGAGACCAGCCTGACCAACATGGAGAAACCCCGTCTCTACTAAAAATACAAAATTAGCCAGGCGTGGTGGTGCATGCCTGTAATCCCAGCTACTCGGGAGGCTGAGGCGTGAGAATCGCTTGAACCCGGTAGGCAGATGTTGCAGTGAGCCGAGATCGCACCATTGCACTCCAGCCTAGGCAACAAGAGCGAAACTCCATCTCAAAAATAGAAAAAACATTTATCGAAATCCCAACAAGTTGACAAATATATCCACATAAAAATATAAAACTTCTGTATTCTGTGAAAGCTACTATAAATAAAGTTTAGAGAAAGTTATTTGCCACCTATGTCATGATTGAAATAGTTAATTGATCCTGTGAATCAGTTAGCAAAACATAACTCAATGGAAAGATAGGCAAATGATACAAATAAGAAATTCACAAAAGAAGAAATACTAAGTCTCTAGTGATGAGAGAAATGTAAATTAAAATGAAACATGTTTGTTCATCAAGTTGTCACAAGTTAGACAATCATATCCAATATTTTTAAAGGTTGTAAGACTATAAGGAAATAGCCACTGTCATATCATTTTTAAAGGAATATAAATTATAGGGCCTTTTGTTTCTTTGGGTTTTTTTTTTTTAGAGACAAGATCTCTCCGTGTTGTCTAGGCTGGACTCAAACTTCTGGACTCAAGCAATCCTCGCAACATCATTAATAGCTGAGAGTAGAGACTTGAGCCACCACACCTGACTATAGGGCCTTTTTGAAAGGAAAATTGACATCATCAAAATTTTAAATATATTCAGTCTATTTCTCAAAAACTCAAAGAATACTAATAAATGTGTACTCAGGTATATGTACAGAAATTGCTGTAACATTATAATTTTAAACAATTTAAAACAGACTGAGTTTCCAAAGTTAGGGTACAATGAAAGAAAAGGTGGCTTATTTATACTCTGGAATATTTTCCAAGAGTTGAAAAGGATGAGGATACACACACACACACACACACACACACACACACACACACACACACACAGTTTGGGTATCCCTAATCCAGAAATTCAAATGCTCCAAAGTCCAAAACTTTCTGACCCACCAACATGACTGATGCTCAAAGGAAATGGCCACTGGAAGATTTCAGATTTTCAGATTTGGAGTGCTCAACCAGTAAGTATATAATGCAAATAATCCAAAATACAAAAAAAAAAAAAAAGAAATCTGAAACACTTCTGATCCCAAGCATTTCAGAAAACGGATGTTCATTTGTGTGTGTGTGTGTGTGTAAGCAGGTGTTGCTAGAAATTCACTTATATACAAGAAAACTTTTTGTGTACATATTTGCATATATATGTACAAATGGGTAGAAACGATACATGATTAATCTTAATCGGGAAGGAAAAGAGATTTAGGGAAGGAAGCAGTAAGTGAGAACTTTTATTCTATTTACTCCTGCACGTTTAAATATTGTTTACAGTGAGTATATCAACATGTAAGTGTTAAAAGACAATAAGCTACTAGTGATTTTTAATATAAAATTAACTATAAAATATTTTAAATATTAGCAAATAATATAGCACACTCATGAACCTAATTCCCACATTTGATAGTTGTTACATTTTGCCATGTTTGTTTAAAGGTCTAAGTCATAAAATCTTATAAAGCTAAACCCCACCCTTCTCTTTCTCCTCTCTCTCCAGGATAATTACTGTTTTATAGTTTGTGGATATCATTCCCTTACTTGTGTTTATACTTTTACCAAGTGTGTATGTATTCAAAAAACAGTTGTTTTGTGATTTTAAAATGTAAATGAATGGCGTTATGCTCCATGTATTCTGCAACTTTTCATCATACATTAGGTTTTGGCGATTTAGCCATAATTTGGCATGAATTCAGGTCTTTTAAGTTTTATTCCATTGTAAGAATAAACAAGTTTGTTCATTCATGTCTCCATTGATGAGTGATAGTATTGTCTCCAGTTTTTTTATGTTGCAAACCAATTTGCAAAAAACTCTGGCACATAGATTTTTACACCCAAGAAAAAGTTTACCTGGACATACACCAAGGAGCAGAACTGTTGAGTCCTAGCGTATGTGCATATTCAGCTTTTCCAGAAATTTCTAAATTGCTCTTTAAAATAGTTGTACCAGTTTACATTCCAATCGACAGTGTGTGAAAGGTCCCATTTCCCCACATCCTCACTGTTATGTATGATTTTTCTCATTGTCAAACTAATGGATATAAAATGGTATATTGTTTTAATTTGCATTTCTTAATTACTGGGGAGGCAGATCATCTTGTCATATGTTTATTGGCCATTATGGTTTCCCATTATGAATGTGTGTCTCTATCTTTTGTCCTCTTTTCTCTGTTGGGTTGTCTGGCTTTTTCTAACCAATCCTTTATATATTCTGGATACTAGTCCTTTGTTAATTATCTTTTTCCAATATGTGGCTTGTCTTTTAGTTTATGATAAACTTGACTGGGCTAAGGGATGCCCATATAGCTGGTAAATATTATTTCTGTGGTGTCTGTGAGGGTGTTTCTAGAAGAGATTAGCATTTCACTTGGTAGTCTCAGTAAAGAATGTCACTCTCACCAATGTGGGTGGGCATCATCCAAGTTTTTGAAGTCCAGACTAGAATCAAACGGATGAGGAAGGTCAAATTTGCTCTCTCTGCTTGAACTAAGACATCTATCTACTGATATCACTGCTCCTGGTTCTCAGGCTTTCAGGCTAAGACCAGGACTTACACTGTCAGCTCCCAGTTCTCAGGCCTTTGGACTCAAGCTAAATTATGCCACCAGTTTTCCTGGTTCTTCAACTTGCACATGGAAGACTGTTAAACTTCTTAGCGTCTATAACTGTGTGAGCCAATAGCTTTAATGGATTTCCTCTATCAGTCAATACATAGGTATAAATATACATATATCCTATTGATTCTCTTTCTCTGGAGACCTTGACTAATAACTATGTTGAAAACAGAGTAGGTTTGTTAAGACAGAGGAGTTCTGGACATGTCTTGATTGAGATGTTTATCAGATATCGAAGTGGAGATGTTAAAAGGACATTGGATATAACATCTGGAGTTCAGTACGTGATCTGAGCTGGAGATATAAATTTCAGATTTATTAGCATAGATAAAATACTTAAAATCATGACATTGGGTGATATCATCAACAATCTATTATAGATAAGAAGAAAGGTCAAAAATTAGGTCCTGGGGTGCTCTGATGTTAACAGATTAAGGGAACAAGGAGCAACAAACACAAGAGACAGAAAAGGTAAGGTAAGGATGAATGAAAGATAGGATTAAAACGAGGAGAATATAGAGCAAAAGTTGGCAAACTATAGCTCACAGAGACCAAATCTGACTTGCTGCCTTTTATTTGTTTACATATTGTCTATGGCTGTTTTCACACTGTAGTCAGTACAGGCAGAGCTGAGTAATTGCAAAAGAGATTATAAGGTCCTCAAAGTTTAGAGTTGCTATCTGGCCCTTTACAGAAAAAGTTGGCTAATCTCTGGTATAGAGTCCTGGAAACCAAGTTTCATTGAAGAGGAAATGATACCCTTTGCCAAATGCTACTGAGAGGCCAAGTAAGATTTAGATTAAAACTTGCCTGTTGGATTTAGCAACATGGAGGTAACTGATGACTTTGGCAAGACAGTTTCAGTGAAACAACTGGAGAGACTCTGAAGGCTCATGTTGATTTTCCCCCAAATTAATCTCTACATTGACTGTAATTGCAATTAAAATTCCAGTAAGATTTAAGGAACTAGTAAAACTCAAAAATGTATGAGGAATAATAAAGGTCCATAAATAGCTAAATCAGTCATAACAAAGATTAAAATTAGGTCTCCATATCCAAAAAAACTTTAATCCATACCTCATACCATACCCAAAAATTAAATAAAAATCAATATTTAGAACTAAATGTAAAACCTATGTGAACCCCCAAAATTTGAGACAGGTCTCAGTTAATTTAAAAAGTTTATTTTGCCAAGGTTGAGGATGCATGCTCATGACACAGCCTCAGGAAGTCCTGATGCTATGTGCCCAAGGTAGTCAGGACAAAACTTGGTTTTATACATTTTAGGGAGACATGAGACATCAATCCATGAGAGACAAAGGCAGCATTCTTTTGAGTTTCTGATTAGCCTTTCCAAAAGAGGCAATCAGATATGCATTTATCTGAGTGAGCAGAGGGATGACTTTGAATAGGATGGGAGGCAGGTTTGCCCTAAGCAGTTCCCAGCTTGAATTTTCGCTTTAGCTTAGTGATTTTGGAGGCCTAAGATATTTTCCTTTCACACCTAAAACTACAAAACTGCTTGAAGTAAACGAGAAAAATCTTTGTGACCTTTTTTAGGAAAAGATTTTTTAGATACAATGCTAAAAGCATAATATATTTTTAAAAAACTGAACTTCATAAAAATCTTTTGCTCTGTAAAAGTAACTATTAAGAGAATGAAAATGCAAGCCACAGACTTTGAGAAAATATTTATAAATTGTGTATCTGATAACTTTTACCCACAATATATAAAGAACTTTCAATAATAAGAAAACAACCCAATTTTAAAAATAGATAAATATTTGAACAGACACTTCCTCCAAAAAGATACTTAAGTGGAAAATAAGCATATGAAAAGTTGTTCAACATCATTAGTCACTGGAAATTAAAAATTACAATGAAATACTACTATATACCTATTAGAATGGCCAATATTAGAATGGCTGACCATACCAAATGTTGGCAAGTCTTATGCCTCAGCCTCCTTAGTAGCTGGGATTACAGGCATATGTCACCACACCTGGCTAATTTTTGTATTTTTAGTAGAGATGGGTTTCACCATATTGTCCAGACTCATCTCAAACTCCTGACCTCAAGTGATCCATCTGCCTCGGCCTCCCAAAGTGCTCAGATTACACGCATGAGCCACCACGCCCGGCCTGGAATTTTCATAAATTGGTGATGGGAATGTAAAATAGCAGAACAACTTTGGAAAACTGTTCACCTTCTTTCCTTTTTTTTTTTTTTCTTCTGAGACAGAGTCTTGCTTTGTCACCCAGGCTGGAGTGCAGTGGCACAATCTCAGGTCACTGCAACCTCCACCTTCCGGGTTTAAGCAATTCTCCTAACTCAGCCTCTTGAGTAGTTGGGATTACAGGTGCATGCCACCACACCAGGCTAATTTTTATTTTTATTTTTATTTTTTGTATTTTTAGTAGAGACAGAGTTTCGCCATGTTGGCCAGGCTGGTCTCAAACTCCTGACCTCATGATCTGCCCACCTTGGCCTCCTAAAGTGCTGGGATTACAGGCGTAAGTCACCGTGCCCGGCTGTTCAGTTTCTTAAAAAGTTAAACACATACCTCACATATAATCCAAATTTTCTACTCCTAGTATTTACCTAAGAAAAATGAAATAATTTTCTATACAAAGATTTATTTATAGTAGCTTTATTTGAAATGGCCAGAAACTGGAAACAACCCAAATATCATCAACAGATGAAGGGATAAATTGTGATATATCCATACAAATCCAAACCATGGAATACTTCTGAGGAATAAAAAGAAACGGCAGTAGCTACATGCAATGTCATGGATGAATCTCAAGATATTTATCCTGAGTGAAAGAAACCAGACCAAAAAAGAAAGGTGTATGTATATTGTATGACTCCCATTTATATGAAATTTTAGAAACTACAAACTAATTCATAGTGTTACTGGCAGGTGCCCTGGATTCTTGCAATCCCCCAGTATAGAAATCAAGAGAGATCACCAAACATAGCAGCAAAGGAAACTTTATTCAGCTTGTGCACAAGAAGCCAGCACCATGAAAGCAAAAGGAATGGGCTGCCTCCTGAGGGTAGCGTGTGGATTAGTTTTAATGAGTCTCTCTCTAGGGAAGGGTTGGGTCAGGGCATGTATGGGAGGGTTTTTTCTAGCACTTGCACAGTGGCTCTACATGCTTCTTCATACATCCTATGTAGCATTAGCATTTTAAATCTTCATGCCCTGGGTGTGATTGTTAGCACTGAAATGAGGAAGGGGTAACTGTAGGTTGGAGATGATGTCTAACTGCACATGCAGAGCCCTGGGGAAGTCCCTAGCTCCCTGAGGGAGGAAGTTGTTTTTAACAGTTTCTTAGGCGTTTTGTTACTAATTGGCTGAGAGGTAAGCTAGCACTTAAGCTTAAGGGGCTTTTGTTCTTTTCCTCCAGACCACATTAAAACGGAACCAACCCGCCTATCTGTCTCAACAGTGACAGAAAGCAGAACAGTGGTTTCCAAGAGATGAGGGCAGGGGGACAGGTGGGTGAGAGGAATTAAAAATGAGCATGAGGAAATTTGGAGAGGATGTTATAGTTTGGATATTTGCTACCCTCAAATCTCATGTTGAAATGTAATCCCATTGTTGGAGGTGGGGACTGGTAGGAGGTGTTTGGATCACAGGCATGGATCCCTCATGCATGGCTTAGCACCATCACCTTGGTGATGAGTGTGTTCTCGCTCTGGTAGTTCATGAGAGACCTAGTTGTTTAAAACAGCTTGGCACGTCTCCCCATCTCTGTTGCTCCTGCTCTTGCCCTGTGATAAGCCGGCTCCCTCTTCATCTTCTTTCATGAGGCCTCATCAGAAGTGGAGCAGATGCTGGTGTCATGCTTGCACAGCCTGCAGAATGGTGAGCCAATTAAACCTCTTTTCTTTATGAATTACCCAGCCTCAGGTATTCCCTTATAGCAACACAAACAGACTGATACAGAGGTGCTGGAGGCAATTTATTTTAACATATTTGTCAATCTCCTTAAATTTAGTTCCACCTTGCTTTTAACCACTTCCTTCTGTTAGTCATTAACTTTTCACTTTACACTAAATGCTTACTAAAATATAATTACACATTCAACATTTTCTTTGTTCACCACTGCTTCTTGAATCCTTCTTCCTTTTTGAATTCAATTTCCTCCTTCTTGAAGTACATTCTTAATAGTTCTTTCAGTGAAACTGTCCCTAAAAATATTTATCTTCACCCTTACTCCTGAATAATAGTTTGGTATAGAATTCCACATAGGCTTTATTTTCCTTTAACACTTCACAGATAATATTGCATTATCTTTTACCCTCTCATTTTGCTGCTGAAAAGTCTATTATCTCTTTGCAAATCCTTTTGGCTAATCCACCTTTTCTTTATGATTGCTTGTAAGATTTTTGTCTTTTCTTTGGTATTCTAGGTAGAGGTTTTATTTTTATTTATCCCACTCAACACTTGGTCTACTTCATCTTACTGAGGATTTATGTTGTGCATCAATTCTAGAAATTTCTCATCCATTTTCAAATACTACCTCACAAAAACTCTCTAGTCTTTTTTTGTGTGTGTGAGATGGATTCTCACTCTGTTGCCCAGGCTGGAGTGCAGAGGCGGGATCTCAGCTCACTGCAACCTCTGCCTCCCAGTTCAAGTGATTCCCCTGCCTCAGCCTCCTGAGTAGCTGGGACTACAGGTGTGCACCATCACGCCCAGCTAATTTGTGTATTTTTAGTAGAGATGAGGTTTTGCCATGTAGGCTAGGCCATCTTGAATTCCTGATCTCAAGTGATCCGCCCTCCTCGGCCTCCCAAAGTGCTGGGATTACAGATGTGAGCCACCGCGCCCTGCCATCTCTATTCTTTCATACAAGAATTCTTGTTAGACACCTCTCATTGTGCTTCATTCTGGTTAATTTACTTAATTTCACAAATTTGGTACCTGCTGTAATTCACTACTCTCCTCAGTTGTGTCTAATCAGCTGTTTATCCACCCCATGTATTTCTCATTTAATTTCATAAATCTCATTTAATTTTATTTTTTAATTGCTACATTATTAGAAATAAGTTGTTAGGAAAATTCATTGTTCCTTTTTCGCAGTGATTTGTTTAATTTTGGTTCCTCATTTATTTCACCATTTAAAGATTCTAATTTTATACTTTCTTTCAGAATGTCCTAACCTATCAAGTACTACATGGTCAATACTCCTCTTTGTTCACCTCACATTCTTTCCTCATGTGTCTTGTCATTTTTTATTGTGGGTACATCTTGAATGGCAATTGTTAATTCTATGAAGATACATTGAGTTGTGGATTGTGGGAACGTCCCTCCAAATAGATTTTGTGCATGCCTTTGCTAGGCACCCTGAGGGTATCTTGGAGATTTCCATACCACACAAATCATTTAAAATTAAATTGCCTGGTGCAGTGGCTCATGCCTGTAATCCCAGAACTTTTGGAGGACGAGGCAGGAGGATTGCTTGAGCCCAGGATTTCAAGACCAGCCTGGGCAACATGGCAAAACCCCATGTCTACAAAAAAAATTTAAAAATGAGCCGGGCTCGGTGGCACGTGACTGTAATCTCCGCTACTGGGGGGCTGAGGTGGGAGGATCATTTGAGCCCAGGGAGGTGGAGGCTGCAGTGAGCCATGATGGCACCACTGGACTTCACAGTGAGCCATGATGGCACCACTGGACTTCAGCCTGGGTGACAGAGTGAGACCCTAGCTCAAAAAAATAAATAAAAAGTAAAGTAAAATAAATTTATTTAATTAAATTTAAATAATTTAAATCACCACATGTGTGGCAGGGTTTTTTTCTGTTTTTTTGTTTTTTTGTTTTGAGACGGAGTGTCACTCTGTCACCCAGGCTGGAGTGCAGTGGCGCGATCTTGGCTCACTGCAACCTCTGCCTCTTGGGTTCAAGCGATTCTCCTGTCTCAGCCTCCTGAGTAGCTGGGACTACAGGAGCCTGCCACCACGCCCAGCTAATTTTTGTATTTTTAGCAGAGACGGGGTTTTACTGTATTGGTCAGGCTGGTCTCGAACTCCTGACCTCAGGTGATCCATCCGCCTTGGCCTCCCAAAGTGCTGGGATTACAGGCGTGAGCTACTGTGCCCTCCATGGTGTGGCAATTTTTATCTCTCACCAGTGATTTTTTTCCCCTACCCAAAGTCCCTGGAACCTTGCTGTCCTTAGGCTTATGGGTAGAGTTTCTCATTCCCCTTTCATGGCACTTACAGGTCCTAGCTTTACACCAAGCCAAAAACTTAGTTCTACTCTCTGCTACACTCACCACTTACGGATATGTGTAGCTGTTAGGGTTTATTTCTAAGTTCCCTAATTACCTCCAGGACTACATCAGTGTCAGTGTACAGTTACACACCACTTTGGCTTTCAGATCTCTTTTCTTTCTGGCATATGGGGATTTCCTTTCTTGTGAGTTCAGCCATGTAGTACGTGCCAGAATACAAAGAAATAACAAAAGATTAGTGGGGTCATGTTAAAAGGACACGGAGGTCAGATTGAAGGAAGACTTGCTGATCAAACAAGGGACAATTTATGCATCAAAAATAATAATGACCATGATAGACCAGCACATTGTATAAAAAAAAATAATAATCCGGCTGGGCATGGTGGCTCACACCTATAATCCCAGCACTTTGGAAGGCCAAGGTGGGTGGATCACCTGAGGTCAGGAGTTCAAGACCAGCCTGACCAATATGGTGAAACCCCGTCTCTACTAAAAATGCAAAATTAGCCAGGCATGGTGGTACATGCCTGTAATCCCAGCTACTACACGGGAGGCTGAGGCAGGAGAATCACTTGAACCCAGGAGGCAGAGGTTGCAGTGGGCCGAGCTCGTGCCATTGCACTCCAGCCTGGGCAACAAGAGCGAAACTCCCATCTCAAAAAAATATAATAATAATAATCCATTAGTTCATAAAGATAGAGAGAGAGGGAAAAGGGGGGAAAGCTCTTTTTTGTTCTCCAACTTTTAACTTTACTCTAGCTTTGAAGTTTTTCAAAATAAAATATTGGAGGAAATTAAAATTAAATCTCATACATAATTTTGTTGTGGGTAGGGTTCTATTAACTTAGTCTACATGTTGCCAAACTCAGAATTCCAGATACCAATTATTTTTTTCTTTTTATTTTCTTTATTATTGTTATTATTATTTTGAGACAGGGCATTGCTCTATCACTCAGGGTGGAGTGCAGTGGCACAGTCGTGGCTCACTGCGGCCTTAACCTCCTGGGCTCAAGTGATCCTCCTGCCTCAGCCTCCCAAGTAGCTGGGACTACAGGTGCACACCACCACACCTGGGTAATTTTTCTTTTAGTTTTGTAGAGACAGGGTCTCACTATGTTGCCTAGTCTGGTCTTGAACTCCTGACCTCAAGTGATTCTCCCACTTCAGCCTCCTAAAGTTCTGGGATTACAGGCATGAACCACTGCACCCAGCCTGGATACTGATTCTTTTTGAAGAAAGCAAGTTTCTAATATGTCTTTCTGGCAATTCATTGTTAATATCTCTAGTCTTCTGAGGATAAGAAATCTTACTCAATGAAACCTGATTTGGGCCTTTAGGGCTTTTTTTTCTGCTATAATCTTTTCCCCAATTTCGACTGAATGCAATCTCTCCATTTATTCAACCAAGATTAACTGAATACTTGACCAGGGTCAGTCTCAAAGATAGGTGCTAGTGATTCAAAGACAAGACAGTTTAGGGTGGAAGACCAGCAAGGAAGTAGGCAATTGCAATGAAACTAGTGCTAATTAGCAACTAAATACAGTGTTTTAAAAATATAAAAATAATGTATTAGAACAAGCTTTGTAAAATATAATAAAAACACAGTATGATGTATTTTTAGTGTCTTAAAGAAATAACCAGGTATGAAATAAATCACACCTAACACCATTTTAAAAAATGTCAGTTGGAGATCAGTGTGGTGACATGTGCCTGTAGTCCTAGCTACTCAGGAGGCTGATTCCTTGAGCCCAGGGAGTTCAAGTCCACAGTGAGCTGTGATCACATCTGAGAATAGTCACTGCATTCCAGCCTGGGCAACACAGTGAGACCATATCTCCAGAAGAAAAAAAATTAAAAATATATAAATTGGAAAGAGAAACACAGGATTTTGTTTGTGAGGGAGGAGTACTTTGAGGGATGTTAGGCTTCCTGCCACAAACTGCTCTATGTAGCCTTTTTTTTCCCCTCTTATCTTTTACTCTGGCAATGGAACAGTAAAAAATCTACTATTTTAGATAGGATTCCCAGAGAAACAGACTGATGTAGAGATTTATACACAGGAGCTTTAAATTAGGGAGTCCTCTCAGGAAGGGAGGGAAGCAAGATTGGAGGAAGTAGTTGAATTTCAGTGCAGCTGCAGTGGGGGCCTGGAGCTGAAATAGCCTTCAGAATTGTTCTGAATTGAGGCAAGGGGACCAGGCTTTTGTTCCCTGGCATTGAGGGCAGGCCTGCCCCAGGGAAGAGACGTAACCTTGGTGAGACCATTCCCATCAGTGGGGCAACTCTTAGAAAGAGCCATAGCTGTCAGCTTCTGCAGCCAACACTCTCAGGAGCTAGGGAAATAAATGCCTGTTTCTGAAGGGGACATCTGGATAGTGCACAGAATTCACTATACCAAATAAGGCTTTTCCATAATTAGCTCAAATTGCTGAAGCAGGAGAAGCAAAACTGTAAAGCTGAGTGTTTCTCTTCTGGTCAGTAAGGACCTCAGGGACAGTCTGTTACCTACTCAAACCAAAAGAAAAATGACAAATCCATTCAAAAAGAACTAATTCCAAGCTGAGATTCAAGGTGAGTTCATTAAATAAATGTCAGTTTAGCATCACCCGGAGAAAAGTCCACCAAAGAGGGAGAAGGAGACTGAATTCTAGTCACAGCTGTGTCGCTGAAAATAGGTCTCTGAACAAAGCATTGATCATTCCTGGGCTTCTGTTTCTTTTCCTGTAAAATGAGAAGTCTGGACTAGATGATGCATTAGTTAGAATTATTTTAATTGCAAGTAACAGATACTCGTTTTAGCTAGCGTTAAAAAGAAAAGAGAGAGAGAAAAGAATGGAGGAATTGGTTTAAAGAATAAACCTGTGTCTTGTAGACCTACGTGTTGGAGCTGGGCTGACAGAACCATCTGGAATGCTATGAGCAGTCTAGGGATGCCCTTCACCCCTTACCTCTGCTCTTTTGTCATTCTTCACTATTGCTGCAGTCCACCTTAGTCTGTTTTTTAGTTTACATGATGAAAACAGCTACTGACAGTCGCTCCTGAGTTTTCAACTCCTCTGCTCAGTAGAGCAGCCACACTCAAGCTAAAATCTCTTTATCTGAATTCTGTGTTGTCTGAGAACAGAGTTCATTGGCCTTGTTTAAATCAAGAGAACGACCTCTCATTCAAAAACCTGTGTCTAGAAAAGGAACTCAGTGGAGAAGTTTCCAGAAAAGATTTAGAGGAATGTTTGGCAACCAAGATGTTCACTGTGTTATCTATACAATCCTCTATTTTATTAAAGAATTAACTACTTAAGTAATAAGATTTAATTACTTTCTCACTGCTCTTGAAGTGATGCTTTAAACTGTCTTTTAAAAATTATGATGGTTAATTAAGATATATAAATTGCTATTGGAAATGTGACAATAAATGAGGGAAGCTGAAGTAGAAAACTCTCAGCAAAATTCATTTATAAATTCGCTTTTCTGTTTAGACCCGTAACAAAACTGATAGTGTTCACCTGGTAATAACACATCAAGAAGTACACAAAGAACATTTTCAGAGGAGGAAAATGCTCAGTGTTTAAACCACTTGGTAGTTTTTCCTGACTCCTGATTGGTTTATGGCTTAGGCCAATTTCTGACATTCCCTTAAAATAAAAGTCATAGTCTAGGCCCAGCACAGTAGCTCACGCCTGTAATCCCAGCACCTCACGCCTGTAATCCCAGCACTTTGGGAGGCAGAGGTGAGTGGACCACTTGAGCTCAGGAGTTTGAGACCAGCCTGGGCAGTATAGAGAGACCTGTCTCTGCAAAACAAAATACAAAAAATATTAGCCGGGCATGGTGGTGTGTGCCTGTAGTCCCAGATACTTGGGAGGCGGAGATGGAAGGATTGCCTGAGCCCAGGAGGTCCAGGCTGCAATGAGCTGTGGTCACACCACTGCACTCTAGCCTGGACAACAGAATGAGAACCTGTCTCAAAAAAAAAAAAAAAAAAAAACATTATAGACTATAACTAAAAGTGTAACTGTCATAAGGGTTTGTGAAAAGATTGACAGAAAGAGGCCATTGACACAGGGTGAGGATACAGGGATACAGTTTCCTTTAATTTAGCTAGAGGACACAGCTCATCTACACACAGAGCAATGGATGTCACAGTGTTTCCAATCCTGGGTGCAAACATCCCTAACCTTCAGGTCCCCACAAAGATGTCAAGCTGCCAATAAAATGACCTGGGTGTGGGGGATTGTCCAGTCAACTCCTTCAAGAAATCTATTCCCTTCCATCCATAAAGGGAAGTTTATACTACATTAATCCTTCCAAACCATCCTGAAGACTCTCACCACACGACTACCTGAGGAAGGCTTCACTGGAGAAGTTGATATTGATTCACTCAGTCTTACCATAGATACTTAAAAAAGAGCCAAGGTAGCTTAGACTGGGTGAATCAATATCAATTCCATTGAATAATCATCAAGCAGGATCAGGCCAGGGGGCTGCCTGAGATCTATTCTTGTACCAGATTTTCACTGATGCAAGGAAATAGACAAATGCATAATTATTTGATAATTTTGGTGGCAGACTACAGCAGGACTTTGACCAAATCTAGTCTTCCACCTGTTTTTGTAAATAAAGTTTGATTGGAATATAAGTATGCCCATTATTTTCATATTGTCTATGGCTACTTTCTTTGGCTACTTTCTTGCTACAGCAACACGGTTGAGTAGTTGTGACAGAGACTATATGGCCCACAAAGCCTAAATTATTTACTATCTATCTCTTTACATAAAAAGTCTGCTGATCCCTGGTCTAGAAACAAAGAAATTAATTTTCCTATGCTATCTGTATTGGCAATTTAGAGCATTCCAAATTTGGCACATAATTATACATAATTCTGCTTTTAAAGGCTTATGTTTTCTGAAAGTGCCTCTCATATAGGCTTGTCTCAAAAGCATGATTTAGAAAAGTTATCTTTTCAACAAACAGTACTGAGTGAATAGGACATCAACATGGGAAAAAATATTGGACCATGTCTCACAAAAATCCATTTTGAATGGTATGTAGATCTAAACATAAAAGAGAAAACAATAAAACTTTTAAAGGAAAACATGGGAAAATATCTTCATGACTTTGGGGTAGGCAAAGAGTTCCCATCTATGACACAAAAAAGCATTAACTATAAGGGAAAAAATTGATCAGTTGAACTACATTAAACTTAATAACCTCTGTTTGCCAAAGACACCAATAAGAAAATGAATAGGCAAGCTCTAGAATGGAAAAAGATATTTGTGATACATATATCTGATTTGTGTCCAGAATATGTAAATACTTCCAACAAATAACATACAAAGACATACATTAGAAAAATGAGGCTGGGCACAGTGGCTTACACCTGTAATCTCAGCACTTTGAGAGGCCGAGGCGGGTGGATTGCTTAAGCTGAGGAGTTGGAGACCAGCCTGGGCAACATGGCGAAACCCTGTCCCTACAAAAATTGCAAAAATTAGCCAAGGCAGGGTGGTGCATGCCTGTAGTCCCAGCTACTTGGGAGGCTGAGGTAGGAGGATCACTTGAGTCGGGGAGGTCAAGGCTGCAATGAGACATGAATCATACCACTGCACTCCAGGCTGGGCAAAAGGAAGACCCTGTCTCAAAAAAAAAAAAAAAAAAAAGAGGAAGAAGAAGGAAAGAAAAAGAAAAATGAGCATAAGACTTGAGTAGACACCTCACAGAAGGGGATATCTAATTGGCCAATAAACCCATGAGAAGGTGTTCAATGATATTAATCATCATGAGAATGGAAAATAAAACTACAATGCAATATCACTACATGCCCCCCAAAATGACTAAAATAACAAATAATACCAAGGGTTAGCAAGGATATGGAGCACTTGGAATTTTCACATGCTGCTGATAGGAATACAAATTGGTACAACTTTGGAACTATGTTTGCTAGTATATACTAAAGCTGGACATATACATATCCTATGACTCAGCACTTGCACTCTGAGGTATGGAATGATGTCCACTGAAAGACATGCACAAAAATGTTCACAACGTTACTATTTGTATTAGCCCAAACGAAACAACTCACATGACTAATACGTAGAAAGAGTAAATGATATATTCATACCATGAGATACTATACAGCAATGAGAATGAAAGTTTGAAAACAGGTAAAATTGATATATAATGTTATAAATCAAGATAGCGGTTATCCTTGTTGTTGGGGAGGAAATCACCTGATGGGGACAGGAGGGGGATCCCCTTCTGGGATGCTGATAATGTTCTGGTTTTTCATCTGGGTGCTGGTTAGATATAGATGTTCAGTTTATGAAAATTTGTTGGTTGTGTGCTTATGATTTGTGTGCTTTTTGTATATTTGTTACACTTTAATTAAAATGTTTATATTTTTAAAAGGCTAAAGCCAATCTATGTCTTAGAAGCCAAGATAGTGGATAAATTTGAAAAAAGACAGATAATGATTACGAAAAAGAACAAGGAATTACTAGGGTGCTAGCAATAGTCTATATTTTGATCTAAGTGGAGGTTATGCAATTGTGAGCATTCACTGAGCTCATACACTTGTGATTTGTCTGCTTTTATTTGTTATAAGAAAATGTTGTACTAAAAATGTTATGCTATGAGAAAATTTTTATTTTAAAATAAAATGTAATTTATGTTAGGTTGTTATACCTTGTGATCTTGACATAGTGACTTCAACATATTACATAGTTGGGGAAAAGCATTTTTGTTATTGATAATGGTATAGATTGCACAAGTAAGTGATAAGCCTACAATCCTCTAATATTTAAAGATTTAAAAATCATCAATAACCATTTAAGTCATGGCAGCTTATATATAAGCCCACATTTGTTGCTTATTCTCAATGTACCTCAATATCCTTTTCAGAATAATAAAATTCTGACCCTTTAAACTCAAAATAAAGTCTGGCCATTTTTTCTAGGAACTGTAAGGCTTTAATACTTCCCTCTATGATAGTGAACAAGTAAGATTGAAAAACACAATTCAATGAGATGAGTCATTAACTATTGTACTCAGAACTTGGGCTGCTATAACATCACTTACAAAAACATCATGTTGTGGCTTTGATACACAATGCAGAAAAAGAGGCGAGGCATGGTGGCCCATTCCTATAATCCCAACGCTTTGGGAGGAAGAGACAGCCAAATCGCTTGAGCTCAGGAGTTCAAGACCAGCCTGAGAAACATGGCAAAACCCCATCTTTACTACAAATTTAAAAATTAGCTGGGTGTGGTGGAATGTGCCTGTAGTCCTGGCTAGTTAGGAGGCTAAGATGGGAGAATCACTTGAGCCCAGGGGGCAGAGGTTGCAGTGAGCCATGATTGCACCACTGCACTCCAGCCTGGGCAACAGAGCAAGAACCTGTCTCAAACAAACAAACAAAAAAAGTTGTGGGTTGCCACAGCAACTGTAATATAGATATCTTTTGGAATAAGATTTTGATTACTTCTGCTTGTAATCACTCTAATTCCTCTATATTTCATGCCAATATGTTTGATCAGGGATTACTGAGAAACACTGAATTTTTATACATGTAGGTTGTCAGCGCATAATGCTGTGGTCATATGCTTACATTTAATTATGCCATTGTTTTAAGAATAACCCTGTTTTAAAAATACTTTTGACCTTTATCTCAGATTTTTGTTTGTTTGTTTGTTTTTGAGATGGAGGCTCTGTCCCCCAGGCTGGAGTGCCGTGGCACCATCTCGGCTCACTGCAACCTCCGTCTCCCGGTTCAAGCGATTCTCCTGCCTCAGCCTCCCGAGTAGCTGGGACTACAGGCGTCTGCCACCAGGCCCGGCTAATTTTTTGTGTTTTTAGTAGAGAAGGGGTTTCACCGTGTTAGCCAGGATGGTCTCGATCTCCTGACCTCGTGATCCGCCCACCTCAGCTTCCCAAAGTGCTAGGATTACAGGCATGAGCCAGCGCTCCTGGCCAGAAAATATTTCTAAGCAAGCAGCATATAACACTTATTTTCATCTGCAGCATCATAGTTAGCTAAGTGACTTTAGGGTACCTTGATAGAATATTCCATTATAGATGTAGAAAACAAGCTAGAATGACAGAAGATAGTACATTGTTTGCGATCACAAAATAAATCAAGGCAGAACTGTTACTGGAATTGTACTCAGGATGAGCCATTCACCAGGTATTGTTTTCCTGACAAGTATGCTATGATGCTATGGCCTGATTACTAGAGCACAGTTCAGTAGAATGTGCGTGTGTCTATGCACATTTGACCACATTTCCAAGTCCTACATACTCTTCTGTGTGTCTGCCAAACCAAAACGTCTATAGGAGTACCTCACCAGAAACCTTTTTTTTTTTTTTTTTTGAGATGGAGTTTCACCCTGCCGCCTAGGCTAAAGTGCGGTGGCGCGATCTTGGCTCACTGCAGCCTCCACCTCCTGGGTTCAAGCAATTATCCTGCCTCAGCCTCTCAAGTAGCTGGGACTACAGGCACCCACCACCACACTCGGCTAATATTTTGTATTATTAATAGAGATGGGGTTTCACCATGTTGACCAGGCTGGTCTCAAACTCCTGACCTCATGCGAGCCACCCGCCTTGGCCTCCCAGAGTGCTAAGATTACAGACGCCCAGCCTCACCAGAGACTTTAAATCAAACTTGTCCAACCCGCAGCCCACGGCCACATGCAGCACAGGATGACTTTGAATACCGCCCAACACAAATTCATAAACTTTCATAAAACATTATGAGATTTTTTTGCGATTTTTTTTTTTTAGCTCATCAGCTATCATTAGTGTTAGCGTATTTTACGTGTGGCTCAAGACAATTCTTATTCTTCCAATGTGGCCCAGGGAAGCCAAAAGATTGGACACCCCTGCTTTAAATGTTCTGCTCATCTATTCTGCCTTCCAGTCAAATCAAAATTCATCAACACCCTTCTGTATGCAAAGCAGCACAGCATTAGCTACTATACAAAATACCAAAAAAAAAGTGAGAAATGTGACCCCACCCTCAGAATTCACAATGTAATATTCTCTTGTGTGAGCACATTACCAGTGAAAAAAAAAACAAAACAAAATAAGTGGCTCTAGAATACCCATTCTTTTTTTTCCAAAAAGTTAAGCTTTCTTGCACTACTTCTATTTCAGGATGGAGAAGCTTCATGCCTAACAGAGTATCTGACTTATTTGTTTCATTTTTTTTCTCCTCAACAAACGATTTCTAACACTTACTTACAAAATTGAATTCTTCTTTCTCATTTTTTCACCTTCATTTACAGCAGTTTTTCCTCTCCCTTTTCCCACTTCCCATTAGCTCTTTTCCATAGGTGAATTGCACAAATTTAATATTTTGTTAATTGTTAAATGTTGGTATTGAGAAGAATATAGCAAGTTACCATTGATTCATATGTATACCTGAAGTCAGAAATCATTTAAATATGAAGAATATTTAGTCAATATAATTTTAGCATAATTAAACAATTAGCAATGTGAATAAGAAATCACTCCCAAACCTTTCAGACAGCTCTGACTCATCATTACATAATGCTCACATGGGTGAGTGTTTCAGAAATTGTTTGAATTCATAAGAAAGAGCAGCTAAGTGTTTCTACTTTAATATATCTGTGATGACAAGAAATTTTCACTCAAATTTTACTAATTTGGGATGGAATCTCATAATGCAAAGATGAAATGGATTTTTCACAAGCACACAGGAAGTCAGTAAGGAGTTCTTGGCCATCCAAAAGTCTCTAAGTCCTGAGATAGATTTTTATATACTGGTTAAAAGCATAGGCTTTTGCTACAAGACTGCCTGGGCTGACCCCCAGCTTCCTCTGTCCCTCAGTTTCCTCATCTATAAAGGGAGAATGAATAATAGTCCCTACCTGAAATTAATTAATATATTTGAACTACTTAGAACAGCACCTGGCACATTATAAGCACTGAACATGTTAGCTATTCTTTGCATTATTTGATAATGACATTGAACCAAAGAAACTAAGACTTTACTAAATGAAATTTTAAACAAACATAAAATGAATGGAGGTGGAGACTCTCCCATGCTGCTGCACTTGCTTTTGTATTTCTACTGCATGTATGTTGTCAGCTGAGTTCCCTACAATCTTGTTTTGGCCTCAGATGGCACACTATCTGCTCCTTATGCAGTTGTTTTATCTCAGCGTCTTCTTTAACAGTGAGATATGCATTGGTGTGGACACAGAAGAGGATGTGAGTGGAGGGCATGGCACCCTTCACTTCTCAATACCATTCCCAGTGATTCCCATAGAAAGACAGACACAATGACAATATCATTTGCTACCTTAATCCTGCCACTTACTCCAGCCTTTGCTTCTGACTCTGCTCCTGCTGCCAAGCTTTCAGCTTTGTCCTAGATTCAAGTCTCCAGCCCTCTCACCCTGAAAGGTATAATAAATGCTGACTGGCTTCTTAGCTAATGTAATTAAATCATTGGCACCCCATCCATTTTCTTAAAATAGCAGATTACTTTCTCCCCTACTTCCAAGCACTGTTTCTTAGCTAATTTGACTCATCATCATCCTATCCATTTACTTAAAAATAGAAAATTGTTTTCTCCCCTTTTTTCACTTCCTTTCCAATCCTATATGGAACTCAAGTGACTATAAAACATAATTGTTTCTTTCTTTCCTCTAGTCCCACCAGACATTTTAATCTAATATGGAGCATCTTCAGACCATCAGGAATGCCCCTTATCTGGCTTTCCCCTAAAAATACCTGGAGCGTGTTTTCAGTCGTCTGGCCCTTGACCTTCGCTTTTGGGATAAGGCATGTTTCTGCAGGATGAGTACTGGGAAGATGTCTGGGGGGGCACAGCTGCCAAGTTTGAAGCTGTCTTATCATTGATTCAACAAACACTGTTGCTTTCTTGTGATCAATATCACAACTCAGATCAAAAAATGCGATTTTCTACATAAAATAAAAACTCCACCCAAATTACTTGTTACCATATATGAACTATTTCTGTTCTGTTTTAAAGCCTATTTCAGTTCTGTTTATTTACTAGATCCTAATTCCTCTCACCCAGTAAAGGACATTGCTCCAATAGTTCCTGCTCCCTAGCCCAGTTTTTAACCCTTCACTAAATCATTTCCATCAGCCTACTACAATGCCATTATTTGTAGCATCTTTAATAAAATGAACAAAAAACCCTTTTTGACTACTTTCCCCTCTATCTACTGCCCAATTTTTTAATAGCTAAACTTCTTAATAGCCATCTGTAAATTCTGTCCTCAACTTTTCCTTTACCACTCTGTCTTGAACTGGCCCCAATAAGGCTTTTGCCCACATGACTCCACCAAAACTATTATCAAAGCCAGCAAGTGTCCTCCATGTTGATCATTCCAAGGGTCAATCCTGAGTCCTCATCTTACCTGACCAGCAGCATTTTATGACACGGATCATTCCCTCCTCCTGGTTGCACCCTCTACACTTGGTTGCCAGGACAGCATACCCTCTTGGTTTTCTTCTGTTTCTTCTCAGTATCTGGCTGATTTGGCCTTTACTGTCTAACCTCTCAGTGTTGGAATGCCCAGGCTCTGTCCTGAGCCTGTTTTTCTTCTCTCTCCACACTCACTTTCTTAAAAATCTCATCTGTTTCCTGGGCCATAAATGCCACCTCTAATCTGAAAACTCATAAATGTATTTCTCCAACTCAAGCCTCTCTCTTGAACTCCTGACTCACATATCTAACTATCTAGTCAACATCTCCACTCGAATATCTACTGGGTATCTCAAACTGAATAGATCTCATAGAGAATTCCAGATCTTACTTTTCTAACCTACCTCATCTGCAGCCTTCATGGTAACTGCATCCTTTCATCTGCTCAGGTCAAAAGTCTTAGAGTTAGCTATGAATCTTCTCTCTCTGCCACATCTCACATCCAGTCTGTCAAGAGTTCCTGTTGGGTTCTCCCTTCAAATATATGCAGTATCTGACCACCCACCACTTCCTTGGTTACTGCCCTGTTCTGAACCACCATCCTTTCTCACCTGGCCTAACCCAATAACCTCCTCCCTATCTCTCTTCCTCTAACTTAAACTCCATAGTCCATTCTCAAAACAGCAGCCAGAGTGAGCTTCATAAATGTAAGACAGCTGCTATCATTCATCTGTTCAAAGTCCTGCAATAACTTCCCATTTTACTCAGAACGAAAGTCAAAATTCTTACAAGAGGCTCAACATTGCCTCTTTTAAGAGTGAAGCGTGCTGAATGGCCACAGAGAAAAGGGTGACCGCAGCAGATGCAGGAGCCAAAGCAGAAGGTCAGGCAAGGGAGTAGGACAAGGCAGCAGGACAAGCAGAAGCAGCATCTGGGTAGAGTGAAGGCATCAGGCCAGCAGCAGCCCATGTGGGGGTGCCCAGCAGGGGACCTAGAGGCAGAAGCAGCAGACTGGAAGACAGGGAATGGGGGGTCCACATGAAGCAGCTATGGTGGGCATGGCAGGCAGAGAGGGTAAGCAGTGGCCGCCGTGTGAACAGTGGCTTAGGTGGAGCCCTGAGCCAAGCTCAGAGGATAGCAGCAGCCTGGTTGAAATCGAAGTGGTGGCCCAGAGCCAGGGGAAGCCCAGAGCAAAGCAAAGGAACATTACACACAGTGGCTTCTCTTGATTCATGACACTATGTAACAACCTCTAAAAACCCTGGAGAGGTGTCCATAGGAGAGAACCTTGAAAGAAGTCTAGAGTGGTACAGTTATTTGTGTGAGAGCTTTCAAACTAACGGGATTTCAGGCCTAAATATTAAGGTGATTTTATGCGTACCTACAAGCCAGGGAGTTATAGGGACATTCAGAGCTACATACTTGTTTATGACTGTCCTAAAAGAAACTGTCTCATACAGTAGCAAGGTCAAGATTTCTGAAAAACAAACACAGAGGCTAATCCTGTGGGTGATTGAATTACAAGGCAATTTGAATTTACAACCCCACAGGATCACTTTTGTTCAAGTACAACACTGATTGGGAAGAAGTGGGACTTTGGAAATTGGCATGAGGAGTCTATAGAAAGATTTGAATGAAGCTTGGTCATTGACCTCTATGTTCCGCCAAGGCTCCTTTGCTTGCCCTACTTCCCTGCCTGAGAAAGTCAGTCTCCCCTTGCATGAAGAACCTGGAAGAGTGACTTTGTAAGAGACAAATCCTCCTCAGGACCTATCCCTACTATCTCTCATTGTTTCTAGACCTACAACCAGATTTAAATCACAGCAGGCCTCAGGAGGTCAGTTACCAAGTGTGACCTATGAGAAGGAACTAAACACACCAAAAAAAAAGGTAAGATCTTACCAATTGTGATTGATAAAAATGTGTGGAGCATGTTTGGCATCCCAAGAGTGTTGGATCAGGGTGGAAGGAATTTAAAATAGGATCAGGCCGAATTTATTGTTATGGGTACATGAAGCAGAGATTCTTGATTTGATGTGTTAGCTCAAGAAACTGAAAGTGGCTTTAACCATTTCCATGGCTGTTCACTGAAACCTGGAACCGAAGGATAATTGGTCCTGGGGTAGCAAGGATCAACTGGCCCTGTTTAATTGCCAAAGACAGGATGGGTATGGTTGACACAATTGGTGGCGAAGCGAAGTAGTAACCAGAAACGATTGTCTTGCAGAGATCTTTGGTGTTAGCTAATTGCTCATGGTTGTCTCAAGTCTGAATTAGGTGGACAGTCTACTGAAGTCTCACTTTAGTATAGCAATTTAGTATCATTTGTATGTAGTATGATTTGAATAAGCAGGAAAGCTCTAGGTTTGATAAGCAGAAGTCTGCCTTTAATTACACAATAGTCTTGGCCCCTTAACAAATTCCTACACTTGAACCAATTCACAAATTTAGAGACCCTTGAATAAAGAGGAGGCCAAGTTCCTGAAGGAATAATCCTGATACATAGCCAAAAGTTTATGTCATAAATCTCCCTCCTCACCTTCCCTAAAGGGGCCTGCAGTCATTCATTTACCAGGGTGATATGCATTGGGGAAAGTGGAATAGCCAAACTTTGTAGAGATTACAGAACACTGGCTTTAAACTGGCACTAATTCCTAGAGGACCAAAGCACCGCTATGGTCCACCAGCCAGAGTAGGGGCTTATGAATGAAGATCAGGTGATTATTGAAGTTTTGGCTGTGATTGGCTTCACAGCAAGTTCAGTAGGTTGTTGAACTCACCCTGTGGTTATTTATCCAATTCTGGCATGTTTAGTTGGAATAGACTTACTCAGCAGCTACCAGTACCCCTGCATTGGTTTCCTTACTCTTGGAGTGAAGGTTATTATAGTAGAAAGGCCAAATGAAAGCTACCACAACTGCCTCTACTTACCAAATAAATGCTCTCACTGGTTTGCTTCCCTGATCAGACCCTAACTCATACAATTACTAAGTAAGACTATTTTAGAGCTTATCTGAGTTACTAATATGATTCTAGCTACATATAGTTAGGCATAAATATAAAATAAAGAAGACCAATGACCTGGTCAGTTCAGCAGCTGGCCAGTCCAGAGGGAACACCATCACATCATTAATATTCATGACATTTTAAAAGAAATTACAAGGCTGGGTGATGACTCACGCCTGTAATCTTAGCACTTTGGGAGGCCAAAGTGGGAGGATCGCTTGAACCCAGGAGTTCAAGTTTACAGTGAGCTATGATTATGCCAATGCACTCCAGCAGCCTGGGAGACAGAGTAAAACCCTGTCTCTAAAATAATACTATAATAATTACAAGATGCAGTCTTATAAGGAAGAAAGACTTTACATCTGTTAAATTTAAATTATGTATTTGGTTGGCGAGGTACAGTGGCTCACGCCTGTAATCTCAGCACTTTGGGAGACTGAGGCAGGTGGATCACTTGAGGTCAGGAGTTCTAGACCACCCTGGCCAACGTGGTGAAACCCCGTCTCTACTAAAATACAAACTAATAAATAAATAAATTCTGTATTTGGTAGATCATGATTCAATGTCAGATTGAGTGGATTTGTTTTATAAAACTAAAATTGAACATTAATTTATAGAATTTTATTTTATTTTTGACACATTTAATCATCCTTTGGCAACATTTCTTACCAAGTATAAAAACGAAAAGTTCTGTTTATTTGCATTATTGAAATCCAGTGGCTTTCAAATATGGGATAGTTCAATAACTTCCAGAATTCTAGAATTGGAGGTGATATAAAGAAGTTTAAAAAAGGAAATTTGGCCAGGTGCAGTGGCTCACGCCTGTAATCTGAGCACTTTGGGAGGCCAAGGTGGGCAGATCTCTTGAGTGCAGGAGTTTGAGACCTGCCTGGGCAACATGGCAAAATCCTGTCTCTACAAAAAAATACAAAAATCATCCGGAGGCTGGGCGTACTGGCTCATGCCTGTAATCCCAGCACTTTGGGAGGCCAAGGCAGGCAGATCACTTGAGATTAGGAGTTAGAGACCAGCGTGGCCCTGTCCATGGTTAGTAGAGACCTTGGCGAAACTCCATCTCTACTAAAAATACAAAAAATAGCCAGGCATGGTGGTGTGCACCTGTAATCCCAGCTACTTGAGAGGCTGAGACATGAGAATCGCTTGAACCTGGGAGGTGGAGGTTGCAGTGAGCTGAGATTGCACCACTGCACTCCAGCCTGGGAGACAGAGCAAGACCCTGTTTAAAAAAAAAAAATTATCCAGGTGTGGTGGTAGGTACCTGTAGTCCCAGCTACTCAGGAGGCTGTGGTAGGAGGATAGCTTGAGCCCAGGAAGTTGAGGCTACAGTGAGCTGTGATTGTGCCACTGCACTCCAGCCTGAACAACAGAGCAAGACCTTGTCTCAAGAAAGAAAGAGAGACAGAGAGAGAGAGAAAATGAAGAGTAAACACAGAGCAACTCTGGTCCTGATGGCTTTCAATTTCCCATGAAGTCCATTGGAATTCTGGCTTCAGTCTTTGACTTCTGTGAGATTTATATCCTTTATGTGAGTTACTCAAGGCTCTGTTCCCTGCAATAAAAGACACATGACTCTAAAAGTAATTAAAATTACATTATTTTTTCCTATAGTGCAAATACCAGCAGCTTTAGCTCCTTACCGTCTTTTAGGGTGTATATCCTCATCATGGACAGAATGTTTGTGTCCCCCTCAAATCACATGTTGAGGCCCTAATTCCCAGTGTGGCTCTATTTGGTAAGGGGCCGCTGAGGAAGTGATTGAGGTTATGTGACCATAAGGATGGGTTTATAAGAAGAAACAACAGAGAGTTTGCTAACTTGCTCCCTTGAGCACATGCACCAAGGAAGGCCATGTGAGGACACAGCAAGAAGGCAGCTGTCTGCAAGCCAGGAAGACAGCTCTCACCAGAAACTAAATTGGCTAGAATCTTGATCTTGGACTTCTAGCTTCTAGAACTCTGAGAAAATTAATTTCTGCTGTTTAAGCCATCCAGTGTGTGGTATTTTGTTGGGGCAGCTGGAGCAGACTAATACAATCCTGAGGTTCTTTCAGAAGTATATCCTGAAGTTTCTGAAGTCCCAGAATGCTACTGTGTGGAGCAAAATCAACTCATTCTCATGGAGAGAACCAGGCTCTCATTCCTAGAAATTTAAAAAACTACATAGACTTATAATTACCTTATGGGGTGTGTGTGTGTGTGTGTATGTGTGTTTTTAGAGATCGGGTTCTTGCTATGTTGTCCAGACTGATCTCAAACTCATGGACTTAAGTGATCCTCCCACCCCAGCCTCCCAAAGTTCTAGGATTACAGGCATGAGCCGCTGCACCCAGCCTATTTTTCTTTTATTTAATATAAACTGAACATTAATTAACCCTATACAATTTCTTCCTGTAGCCTGTAATTTAATTTACTATGTAATTTTATTTTTGTTATTATTATTATTATTATTTTAATTGAGAAGGGAGTCTCACTGTGTTGCCTGAAATGGTCTTGAGCTCTTGGGCTCAAGCAATTCTCCCGCCTCAGCCTCCCAAGTAGCTGAGACTATGGGCAGGTGCCAATGCACCTGGCTAATTTACTCAGTAATTGTTTTTTTAGCAATTTAAGAAAACTTGGAGCTCTGACCTAAAGTAGGTTGTTTGTTTGTTTTTAAATAAAGAAGAGAGAAAGGCCGGGCATAGTGGTTCATGCCTATAATCCCAGCACTTTGGGAGGCCAAGGTGAGTGGATCTCCTGAGCCCAGGAGTTTGAGACCAGCCTAGGCAACATGGGGAAACCCCATCTCTATTAAGAATACAAAAATTAGCCACGCATGGTGGCACGAGCCTGTAGTCCCAGCTACTCAGGGAGCTGAGGTGGGAAGATCACTTGAGCCTGGCATATAGAGGTTGCAGTGAGTCAAGATTACGCCACTGCACTCCAGCCTGGGTGAGAGAGCAAGACCTTGTCTCAAAAAAAGAAAAAAGAAAACTGTAACAGGTATCTATCTATGTACACAGAGCCAAGATTTAACACTATCATTTTACCATGTTTTCTTTGAATATCCTTTCTTTTCATTTAAGAAATAAAACCTTTCCAATATCATTTATAAGCATGGTATTGATTTTATTTAATGATCTAGTACCCAGAAGCACTAGAAGGTTGCTGAGCATCCTACTTGTTCTAATGACAATTCTGTCGCCTCCTTTTAATTTCGCATAATTTCCTTTGGGCTTGTCCTATTGCTGAATCTAAGGCTTCCAGTACAATGTTCACTGGAAAGCATTAAGGGCAGGCATCTTTGTCCTGTACTTGTCTTCAAAGGAAATTTTTCTACTGTTTCACCACTCATAATGATGTTTGTTGCAGTTTACTGGATACCTATTTCAATTATTAACCAATTTTTGAAAATGTAAACCACTTAAGTATTTCAAACAGGAAAGTTAGCTCGGGGAATTAATTACAAAATTATTGAAAAGGCGAAGGGGCAAAAAAGTGAAAAATGGTGTCACTCCAAGCCCAGGAAGTCTGTGCTTCTGAGCAGCTGCAGCACAGCTATTTCTGCTGCTAGAGGCTGCTGCAGAAGAAAACAAATGGATTCTCTCCCTTTGCCACCTTTTAAATCCCCACCATTGTCTCCTACTGACAGAATTGAACCAAACCACAGCAAGGGAACATGGGAAATGTAGTTGTCAGCCTTCCAGCCCTCCAGTGATAGAGAAGAGAAAATGCAAATGCAGGAAAGAAACCGAAAACTAAAAGTCAAATAAATTTCACAGTATTCTCCTTCACATTAGGGAGTTTCTGTCTATTCGTAGTCTTCCAAGGGGTTTATCGTTTGTTTACGTTTTCTGCACCTATTGAGACGTTAATATAGCTTTGCTTTTTAAATCTCTTAACGAGAATAATGAATTATATTACAGATTTTCTCATTGTTAAACCTGTTTTGCATTTCTGCTATAAAGCCTACTTGATCATGATACATCTATAAACATACATACACACACATGTATGTATATGTTTTCTATATGTGTATTTACATGCTTGATTTTATTTCCTAACATTTTGTTTAGGGATTTTACGTAAATGTTTATCAGCAGTATTGACCTTTAGTTTTTCTTTCTCCTTGCTGTCTTTGTGTAATTTTGTATCAAAGTTATACCAGTTATACCAGTTTGTGTCTTCTCCCTCCTTTTTAATTCTCTGGAAGATTAATTGTTATTTGAAGTTTGGCTTTTTAAAAATCTCCTATAAAACACTAAACCTAGTACTTTAAATGAGGACTTGTTTTAGATTAATGATTGTATTTTCATTCATATTTTTCTTTTTGAATCTGTTTCTGGAATTAATATTTTTCTAGAACATTATCTTTTTTTAAGATTTTCAAATTCAGTGGCATAAAACTATTAGAAGTATTTTAAAATAAATTTTAATATCCCAACTCTATCAGATCATTTTTGTTGCATAACAAATCATGCAAAAGCAACAAAAAAAACATGTATTGTTTGTTATGATTCTGTGAGTTGGCTGAATGGTTTCTTTCGGTCTGGGCCAGTTTGGTTGGGACTGAATGGTCTAATCTAACACGACCTTTCTCATATCTCTGGTGTTTGGCCGGCTGGTTAATCTAAAGAGGCCTATCTGAAATTATCTTGTCTTTTACTTGTGAGTTTAATCAGTTCACATTAATTGTGATTTCTGATGTATTTTAATTTATTACTACCAGTCTTACCTTTGCTTTTTGTTTCTTCCTTTTTGCCTTCTGTTGAAATCATTAACTTTTCTTCACCCTTTCTCTATTTTAGAATTGTTATACTTTTTTTTCTTTTTTCTTTTTTCTTTTTTTTGGAAATGGAGTCTCACTCTGTCGCCCAGGCTGGAGTGTGGTGGCACGATCTCCACTCACTGCAACCTCCACCTCCCAGGTTCAAGCGATTCTCCTGCCTCAGCCTCCCAAGCAGCTGGGATTACAGGTGCGCACCATGACCCCTGGCTAACTTGTATTTTTAGTAGAGACAGGGTTTCACCACGTTGGCCAGGCTGGTCTCAAACTCCTGACTTCAAGTGATCCACCCGCCTTGGCCTCCCAAAGTGCTGGGATTGCAGGTGTGAGCCACCACGCCCACCCTAGAATTACTGTACATTTGTTACCTATTTTTTTTTTCTTTTGAGACAGGGTCTTACTCCAGTAGCCCAGGCTGGAGGGCAGTGGCTTGATCTCGGCTTACTGCAGCCTTGACTTCCCGAACTCAGGTGATCCTCCCACCTCAGCCTCCCTAGTAGCTGGGACTACAGGCGTTCACCACTGTGTCCTGCTAATTTTTGTGTTTTTTGTGGAGACGGGGTTTCTCCATGTTGCCCAGGCTGGTCTTGAACTCCTGAGCTCAAGTGATCTGCCCATGTCGGCCTCCCCAAAGTGCTAGGATTACAGGTTTGAACCACCACACCCTGCCTATACCTATTCTTTTAGTGGTTACCTTAAAATGTTATCCTGGGCACAGTGGCTCACGCCTGTAATCCCAGCACTTTGGGAGGCTGAGGCGGGTGGATTACCTAAGATCAGGGATTTGAGACCAGCCTGACCAACATGATGAAACCCCATCTCTACTAAAAATACCAAACATTAGCCAGGTGTGTTGGCGGGCGCCTGTAATCCCAGGTACTTGGGAGGCTGAGGCAGGAGAATTGCTTAAACACAGGAGGCGGAGGTTGCAGTGAGCCGAGATCATGCCACTGCACTCCAGCCTGGGAAACAAAAACAAGACTCGGTCTCAAAAAAAAAAAAAAAAAAAAACAAAACAGAAATATTATCCCGTCTTTAAAATAGCTCAAGTTTAAAATGTGTTTACCCTCTTTTTGACTAATCCTCATCATGCTTTTTCTGCCTAATTCCCATCATCTTCCATATTATTGTTCTCTGATATTTTAATTTATTTTTAATTATTTTATGTTTTGACTAGGCTGCACACAGTAAAAAAAAAAAGAAAAAAATTTTTTGAAAGCTACAAAAAGGTGTACAGTGGAAAGGCTTCTTCCCATCTCTGTCCCTTGCTTCCAAGATCACCTTCTCAGAGGCAACCATTAGTACCAGCTCCTTGAATATCCCACCAAAGGTAATGTGTGCATATACAAACACATACGGGTCTGTATATATTTTTTCCTTTCTCGTATAAGGGATAGCATAAGACCCACACTGTTCTACATGTTGTTTTTCCATCTAAAAATATTTCTTGGAGATTATTTCCTATCAGTACATATATAACTATAATTCTTTATAATTTATATAAATATTTATGATAATACAATAGTTTTAAAATTCTTAAAATGGCCATTGTATGCATGTAGCATAATATATTTAATCAGTCACCTACTATGGATATTTATGTTGTTTAATGTCTTTGCTACTAAAAACAATTTTTTTGTTTTGGGACAGATTCTCACTGTCACCCAGGCAGGAGTGCAGTGATGCGATCTTGGCTCACCGCAACCTCCGCCTCCTGGGTTCAAGTGATTCTCCTGCCTCAGTCTCCCAAGCAGCTGGGATTATAGGCATGTGCCACCACACCCAGCTAATTTTTGTATTTTTAGTAGAGATGGGGTTTCACCCTGTTGGCCAAGCTGGTCTCGAACTGACCTCAGGTGATCCTCCCTGCCCCTGGCCTCCCAAAGTGCTGGGATTACAGGTGTAAGCTGCCATGCCGGCCTAAAAACAATATTTTAGTGAATATATTTGTATAGACCTCATTCTGCACACTATATGTATATTTGTAGTATAAATTCCTTAAAGGGCCTGCATCAAAGGGCATGTATGTTTTAATTTCAATCAATTCTCCAAATTTCTTTCATTATCGTCTTATATTCTGCCTCATTAAAACTTCCCATGTACCCCTCTCCATACTTTTTCTGCTTTTATTGGTGGATGTTGATACTCAGGGCAACCTTGAAAGCCTCATGTTGAAGAGGACAAAGTCACCATCAACCTATAGGTCCCTAAATGACTTCATGGATCAGACCTCCATCCCTACCTTTTCCTCTTTCCTTACCTGCTCTTACCACTAGGAAATCTGGCACTAGATTATTATATGTGCAAGAAAAAAAAATTCTGTTGTATTAAGTAAATGAAATGACGAAGTTTATTTGATGCAGCAACTAGCATTTCCCTATCTAGTCACCTTACAAACTCACTGAATAAATTTTTACAAATAATTGTTTTAAAAAAGATTTCTCTATATCCTTGCCAATGATTAGAAACATTTGTTGTTTGCAAATCAGATAGGTAAAGAATTCATCTTATTGAAGTTTTAAGTTGCATTTCTCTTATCTTATTAGGGTTTTCTGGATAAACAGAATCAATAGGAGATAGATAGATAGATAAATACATAGATAGATAGATAGGCCGGGCGCAGTGGCTCACTCCTGTAATCCCAGCACTTTGGGAGGCCCAGGCAGGTGGATCACAAGGTCAGGAGTTCAAGATCAGCCTGGCCAAGATGGTGAAACCCTGTCTGTATTAAAAATACAAAAATTAGCTGGGTGCAGTGGCGGGCGCCTGTAATCCCAGCTACTCGGGAGGCTGAGGCAGGAGAATTGCTTGAACCTGGGCGGCAGAGGTTGCAGTGTGCCAAGATCGTGCCACTGCACTCCAGCCTGGGTGACAGAGTGAGACTCTGTCTCAAAAAAAAAAAAGAAAAAAAAAGAAAAATAGATAGATAGATAAAGAGAAGATTTGTTATGGGAATTGGCTCATGCAATAATTATGGAGGCCAAAAAGTTCTTGCCTTCTAGAAGCTAAAGAACCAGAAAAGCTGGTGGTCCAATGTCCAAGGGCAGCAGAAGATGGATATTCTAGTTTAGAAGAAATAATTTGTCTTTTCTCTACCTTTTTGTTCCAATGGGCCCCTCAGCAGATTGCATGCTTGGTGAGGGCAAATTTTTTTTTTTTTTTTTTGAGACAGTCTCACTCTGTCGCCCGGCTATAGTGCAGTGGCACGATCTCGACTCACTGCAACCTCTGCCACCCAGGTTCAAGTGATTCTCCTGCCTCAGCCTCCTGAGCAGCTGGGATTACAGGCACCCGCCACCACACCTGGCTAAATTTTTTGTAGTTTTAGTAGAGAAGCGGTTTCACCTTGTTGGCCATGCTGTTCTCAAACTCCTGACCTCGTGATCTGCCTGCCTCAGCCTCCCAAAGTGCTGGGATTACAGGCGTGAGCCACCGCGCCTGGCCAGTGAGGGCAAATAGTCTTCACTCAGTTTACTGATTCAAATGCTCAGTTTACTGATTCAAATGCTAATCTCTTCCAGAAATACTCTCACAGACACATCCAGACATTTTTTTTTTTTTTTTGAGATAGAGTCTCGCTCTGTAGCCAGGCTGGAGTGCAGTGGCATGATCTCGGCTCACTGCAACCTCTGCCTCCTGGGTTCAAGTGATTCTCCTGCCTCAGCCTCCCGAGTAGCTGAGACTACAGGTGTACACCACCACACCCAGCTAATTTTTGTATTTTTAGTAGAGACGGGGTTTCACCATGTTGGCCAGGATGGTCTCGATCTCTTGACCTTGTGATCCACCCACCTCAGCCTCCAAAAATGCTGGGATTACAGGTGTGAGCCACTGTGCCTGGCCTATTTTTGTTTGTTTTTGTTTTTTTTAGACAGAGTCTCACTGTGTCACTCAGGCTGGAGTGCAATGGCATGGTCTCGGCTCACTGCAATCTCCACCTCCCGAGTTCAAGCAATTCTCCTGCCTCAACCTCCCGAGTAGCTGGGACTACAGGCACGTGCCACCACACCCGGCTAATTTTTGTATATTTAGTAGAAATGGGGTTTCACTATGTTGGCCGGGCTGCTCTCGAACTCCTGACCTGGTGGATCCGCCTGCCTCAGCGTCCCAAAGTGCTGGGATTACAGGTGTGAGCCACCGCACCCGGCCCCATCCAGAAATAATTTTACCAGCTATCTGGCGTCCCTTAGGCCAGTCATGTTAACACATATAACTAACCATCACACTTATTATGACTTAAGTTAAAAACCGTTTTTTATATGTGTTCATATATTAAGAACCATTGTTATTTCCTTCTTTGTGAACTGTCACTTCACATCGTATGTCCTTTCCTTTATAGAATTGTTAGCTTTTTTTCTTGTGTTTATCATATTAATTGCAAGTATTTTTTCTCAGATTGTCATTTGTCTTTTAACTTTGCTTATGGGTCTGTTTGGCTTTTTTCCCTTCAGGAATTTTTGCATAATTTGATGTGTAATAAGTTTAGCAATAGCTTCTTTTATAGTTTCTGCATTTTTTGTCAGATTTAGAAGGGCCTTCATCACTTCACGATTTTTAATAAATATTCTTCCATATTTTCTTGAAGTATTTTCATAGTTTAATTTTTTACATTTAAATCTTCGATCCACTTAGGTTTTATTTTAGTTTGGGGTTTGAGGTAGATAGAGGTTAAGTTTACTTATTATTATTATTATTTTTTTGAGACGGAGTCTTGCTCTGTCGCCCAGGCTGGAGTGCAGTGGCATGATCTTGGCTCACTGCAGTCTCCGCTTCCTAGGTTCAAGTTGATTCTCATGCCTCAGCCTCCCGAGTAGCTGGGACTACAGGAGTGCACCATCAAGGCCAGCTAAGTTTGTATTTTTAGTAGAGATGGGGTTTCACCATGTTGCCCAGGCTGGTCTTGAACTCCTGACTTCAAGTGATCTGCCCACCTCGGCCTCTCATGCTGAGATTATAGGCGTGAACCATCACACTCAACCGATTAAATTTACTTCTTTCCCTAATAGCTACCAGTTGTTCTAATGTACTAATTGCTTAATCTGTCTTTTCCACAAGACTTAAGTCTGACCTTTACTATAAACTAAATTTCAATATATGTTACTACAATTTCTGTACTTTCTATTATTTCACTTATTTGTCTGTTTTTCTACCTGCCCAAACCACATTACCCTAATTATCTTTATAAAATGTTTTAATAGCTTATAGACAGAGTTCCCATTCATTACTCCTCTATTTCATATTTTTTCCCAACTATTCTGGCTTATTTTTCCACATAAACTTTAAAATAAGCTCATCTAGTTCTCAAAAAATAAAATTGTTTGTGGGAGACAGCAGGGATCACCTCATTTTAAACCAAATTTAGTCATTTTATTGTTGTTTAATTAAGTCAATATTTAAAAATCCTTTGATCATCATTGTTTTTTGCATCCCACTCTTCCTTAATTCATTTCTCTTTCTATTAAGAAAGTTCTTTCTGAAAAAGTCTAAGAGGCAGACTGCCTCAATCAGCTTGTCTGAAATCTTTTTACTTCTCTTTCACTCTTGAATGATAGATTCACTTGATACAGAATTCTATGCTGATGTTTGTTTTCCCCCTTCGGCACCTTGAAATAATTATTCTTTGTTTTCTGATTTCTGTAGTTGCTACTGATGTATCTGTTTTCAGTGAAATTGTTCTTCTGGGTTGCCTTTCTGATTTTTCTTTATATCTGAGGTATTTTGCAACGTCCATATTTTCTCAAGGTTTCCTTAAGAGTTTCTTTCTTTTTTAGGAATTTTGTAGTATCACTGTGATGTGTTTGGACATACATACATCACATTTTTTTTGCTTTCATTTTATTTTTATTTATCTTTGAGACAGGGTTTCACACTGTCACCAGGCTGGAGTGCAGTGGCACGAGCATAGCTTACTGCAGCCTCAAATTCCTGGGCTCAGGCAATCCTCCTGCTCAGCCTCCTGAATAGCTAGGACTATGTAGGATTGTAGGCGCTCACCACCATGGCCCAGCTAATATTTTTCTTTTTTGTAGACACAGAGTCTCGCTATATTGCCCAGGCTTCTTCCAAACTCCTAGCCTCAAGTGATGATCCTCCTGCCTTGGCCCCCCAAAGCACTGGAATTACAGGTGTGAGCCATTGCACATTGCCTTATTTTACTTGTATTTATTCTTTTCTATTCTCAGTGTGTTCCTCTATTTGGGAATTTACTTCTTTCATAATCTTTGGAAAATTATCAGCCATTATGTTTTATATATAGGCTGTCTTGCATTCTTACTACTCTTTGTGAACCACTATCAGACATATATTGGGCCTATCAGTTTATTCTTCATGTTTCAGAACCTCTCAATAGTATTTTTCATCCTTTCCCACTGCATGATGCATCTAAATAAATTCTCGGGGGTGAGGGCAAGGGGAGGGAGAGCACTAGGACGAATACCTAATGCATGTGGGGCTTAAAACCTAGATGACGGGGGCGGGGCACCGTGGCTCATGCCTGTAATCCCAGCACTTTGGGAGACCGAGGCGGATGGATCGCGAGGTCAGGAGATCGAGACCATCCCGGCTAACACGGTGAAAACCCGTCTCTACTAAAACTACGAAAACAAAAAATTAGCCGGGCGTGGTGGCGGGCGCCTGTAGTACCAGCTACTCAGGAGGCTGAGGCAGGAGAATGGTGTGAACCCGGGAGGCAGAGCTTACAGTGAGCCAAGATCGTGCCACTGCACTCCAGCCTGAGCGACAAAGCCAGACTCGTCTAAAAAAAAAAAAAAAAAAAGTGATGGGTTGTTGGGTGCAGCAAAGCCCATGGTACATATATACCTATATAACAAACCTGCACAATCTGCACATGTATCCCGGAACTTAAAGTAAAAAAATAATAATAAAAAAGAAAAGAAAAGAAAACCTTAAAAAATATTATTTTTCTCTAGCTTCCATTTTACTATTTTTTTTTCTTCAGGTGTGTATAATCTGTACTCTAATAAGTAGCTCATTGAATTTTTCAATTCAAATAACATTTTTTAATTTCTAGAAATTTTATGTTTTTCAAAATCAAAATTGTCTGTTGTCTTTCATACGCATTATCCTATAATTTTGATTCTTGTCTTTTCTTTAATCTTTTTATCTTTAAAAATTATTATTACACCGGGCACGGCTGTAGTCCCAGCACTTTGGGAGGCTGAGGCGGGTGGATCACGAGGTCAGGAGTTTGAGACCAGCCTGACCAACATGGTGAAACCCCGTCTCTACTTAAAATACAAAAATTAGCTGGGCATGGTGGCGCTCGCCTGTAATCCCAGCTACTCAGGAGGCTGAGGCAGGAGAACCGCTTCTACCCAGGAGACAGACGGAGGTTGAAGTGAGCCGAGATTGCACCACTGCACTCCAGCCTGGGCGACAGAGACAGACTCTGTCTCAAAAAAAAATAAAATAAAAATAAGAAAGAAAGAAAGAAATATATATATATTAAAAACATTATTATTTTTTCAAAATTTTTAAAATCTTTTTAATAACTTGAAAGATAATTATTTTTCAGAAACATTTTCTGACTGGGCGTGGCAGCTTATGCATGTAATTCCAGCTACTCAGGAGGCTAAGATGGGAGTATCACTTGAGCCCAGGATGTCAAGGCTGCAGGGAGCCATGATCACACCACTGCACTCCAGCCGGGGCAACAGAGCGAGACCTTGTATCAAAAAAGAAAAAAAGAAATATTTTTCTATAACTCAAGGCCTTAAGGTTGCTTATCCTCCTGTTTATTGTGTTTGGAGGGACTGTAATCTAATTTTATATGTTTTGTTGTTTTTTTATTGTGTATTTTGAGTGACTTTGCCATTTTTTATTGTGAACCTAGCTTCAGTGTAAAATTCATGGACCACTGTTGAAAGAACAACCTTATAGAGCAGTTTTGTGTTTGCTTCTGCCAGGCACCCTAGGTATTTTTCACTGGGGTCCTGCATCAGTTTTAATATTAATGCCTCAGCTTGGACTTCCCTCACCATAGGGGTAGAATAAATTCAGATTCCTCATCTGGAAGAAGCTTAACTTTAAGTCTGGTTTCTCATTTGGGGAAGGGGATCTCTATCCCAAACAGAGTCCAGCTTAGAGCGAGCTTCCTTGACTCTTATCTGACAGTTTTTCTATTCCTCTTTCCTAGAGGGGAACTCCTTCATTAGATCATTGCTTTCTTAAGGAAGTATCAGTTTTATATCCCTGCTTTAGAAGGGTCAAGACTATATTTTATGTTCTCCTTTGATTGTTAAACCCCACCCTCTGGCTATTGGGGTGAACATTTGTATCCAGTAATCTATCTTAGTATCAGTTCATACACTTTCCACTCTAGAAATCAGTTATCAGCAATTTCTGGCACCAGGGAATTTTCTGTCTTTCTTATAGGCTCAGTTACAGACTTTAACTATTTCTCCATGTTTTATGCAACAGTTTTCTAAATTTAAAAATTCATGAATTTTTGTTATGTTTTGTCTTAGCTCAGAATCTAAACTACATTTCCATTCTAGTCATTCATTCATAAATATAGCAGTATTGGGTTTCTCTCCTAACATTTCTCTGTATGTTTATTTTTGTTTGGCTACCTGTCAAACTACATTTAATATCTACTGTCCATTTGTTTTAGAACCTTATAAAAGATATCAGAAAAGTGCATTTATAATATTAAGGTGAAACCAAACATAACTCTTAGCCTTCTGCTTTGAGCTTCAGGTAGATTTTATTCAGAACTTAAGCAAGTTTCTTTGTTAAACAAACAAACAAACAAAACACAAACGCGTCGGGGTATATTAAGCAAGTTTCTCCAAGAGTAAACATCCTTGCATTGTGAGATCATCACAGAATAAGTGACCTACACCTTTGTTCACCATGATTTGATGTTGCAGCCTCTGGTTTATAAAGTTTTGAGTAGCAATTCCCCAGTTTTAATAAAATCATGGTAAAAATATATGTTATATTCCCAATTGCTTTTAAACATAAAAGGGCTTATGGTGAATTTGTCCCAAAGCTTAGTTCTGGAAAACAGTGTGCTCATATCAGTGATTTTGGAAACACTCTTTTGTCAGAAAATGAAAAATATATGCCATAATCTAATTCATTTTTGGTTTCATTGCTGGGGACCAGTGTTTATCGATGATACATTTCTGGTGTATGGTGGATAACTTTAGTTTCCTGAATTTCCTTCAGATGGTTTTATGGGTTTTGTTTTTGTTTTTGTTTTTGTTTTTGTTTTTGTTTTTGTTTTTTGAGACGGAGTCTTGCTCTGTCGCCCAGGCTGGAGTGCAGTGGCGCGATCTCGGCTCACTGCAAGCTCCGCCTCCTGGGTTCACGCCATTCTCCTGCCTCAGCCTCCTGAGTAGCTGGGACTACAGGCGTCCACCACCACGCCCAGCTAGTTTTTTGTATTTTTAGTAGAGAAGGGGTTTCACCATGTTAGCCAGGATGGTCTCGATCTCCTGACCTCGGCCTCCCAAAGTGCTGGGATTACAGGCGTGAGCCACCACGCCCAGCGGTTTTATGTTTTTTTCATGGTTATAAAGTCATGGCCTTATTTTGCTTGGTGCTTTCTTTATAAGCTGTCATAATAATTTATTAAACACTGAACCTATCCGGGCATTATTCTAAAGTAAGCTTGTTTTTCCTTATGCTATACCTCAGGCCTCAAAGTTATATATTTTTACCTTTCTTTTTTCTATTAATTATCATCACTATTTCTTTAGACTTCATCACATCCCACAGGATTTAAGGTTGCTAATATGACCTTAACTTTGTATAAAAGTCAACAAGTTACAATTGCCCTTTTACTCTTAATTCATGTTTAGGTCATTTTCTCTGATCTCAGAAAGTGAATTGTCTTTCCCCTTTATTGAGCACACCCCCTTTGCCTACACCCCTTGATTCACCCCCTTCTCACCTCCCAGACTTTCTTCCATTATTGATTTCTTCTCTTTTATCTTCAATCTCTTCATATACACAAACACTCAAACTCTCATAATTCCTGCATCTTCTTCAAGCGTTTCTTCAAATGTCATCTTCTCAGTGAAGTCTACCTTGACCACCACCTTATTTAAAATTTTAACCCCTGTCCACTTCCTAGTCCTTTTGCCTGCCTTTTTCCTCTTTCTTTAATCTCTGGTACTATATATATTATGCAATCTTCTATATAATAGATTACATATATGCAAGATTGTATATATAAAAATCTTTTATTTTTCACTATCTTGCCACTTGACAAATGGTAAAAATTCAATAAGCATTTGTTGAATGAATGAATAATAGTATTGCTATTCATTTGCCCCACCTAATGAAAGCCTGGTATCTTATCAGATATCTGAATTTTATTTTGGCTTGATACTCTTCCAGGCATACATCACACAACTATTATTTACTTGCCGGTATGCATTTGTTTCATCTAAGTTATTATTTCCACAGCGAAATCTAAAGGACGGGTAGTAGTTGTCCTTTACCAAACCAAAACATGAGAAAATGTTCAGAAAACAGAACTGAATTCTGGATTCTTTTTTCCTTCTGCTTCAGTACTACCTTCTTACAAGTGGTGACGTTTGTAGTAAATTGAACAAAAGCGAGTCCTTTCATCTCTGACATTCTGCTTGCTTATTATAATCAGAATAAGTGGCCTTCTGAAGTCAACAGCTGAGAATCATAAGAAGTCATTTGTTTATATATTCTCTCTAGAAAAAGTTTTCATGTTTGCAAGAAGGTTATCCATTTCTTCTTAAAATTTTATGACTCCTTTTTTTCATGCAATCTTTTTATTCATCAAATGGGTCTGGTGTCATTTTAGCTGAATTAAATAGTTCAAAATTATATAATTAAAAAATTCATTTCTATCACATCTGTCCACAAGTTCTGGCAGCCACCACCTATACGACAGGAGCTACTTAATATGTATGCTCTTGTTTGATCATTTTTTAACGTAACCAAAAATTTCAGGCAGCCAGGATTCAAAGGTTAGGTGGCTATGTTGGTCTAAGAACCTCTTACTGGATGCTGGCCAACACTCCAAGATTCTTTCTAGTTGCAGTAGTCTTCATTTTTCTAGGGTAAGTAATGGTGCCTGAACTATACACTGAGAAAAGCCTCCCAGAAGGTTCAAGGGAGGTGGTGTATCAGTCATACTGGTCATGTCAACATTGTGAACAAAGGGCACAGGGCACTGATTTTTGGTTAGGAAATTATCTAAGCCTAGTTCTTACAATCATGCAAATTACTAGTAAAGGATCCCAGAACTGTTGAGAACTTCCTGGAGCAATAAGCACTTACTCATCCTTAGTCCTTTTAGGGACAGTGGACCTCTAAAATGAAATCTTTGAGTAATCTTATGACTCATTTTTTGTATTTTTCTTTCCTTTTGAATTTCACTGCAGTCCTAATGGAACAAATAAGTCCATTTGTGCAGATGAGTTCAGCAAGCATAGTCCCTCTCACACAGGCAGCCTCATGGGTATGCAATATGTGCAGTTGCACAGGACCCTGCACTAGGCTTAATGTTTTGCTATTGCCAAGTTGATATTCTTAATAATTTTTGGCCGGGCGCGGTGGCTCACGCCTGTAATCCCAGCACTTTGGGAGGCCAAGGTGGGTGGATCACGAGGTCAGGAGCTCGAGACCATCCTGGCTAAAGTGTGAAACTGTGAAACCCCATCTCTACTAAAAATACAAAAAATTAGCCGGGCGTGGTGGTGGGCACCTGTAGTCCCAGCTACTCGGGAGGCTAAGGCAGGAGAAAGGCATGAACCCGGAAGGTGGAGGTTGCTGTGAGCCGAGATCGCGCCACTGCACTCCAGCCTGGGTGACAGAGCGAGACTCCGTCTCAAAAAAAATAAAGTAAAATAATTTTTAAACAAGCAGCCCTGCATTTTTCATTTTGCACAGGGCCCTACAAATTATGTAGCCAATCCTGGTCTCAGAATTTGGTCATTCCTAAAACAATGATTATTGGTGAAAATAGAGAAGTTCTGTTTTCAATACAAATTTAAAGTTGCTTGTAAAGTAACTTCTGATTTAGCCCAGCAGACTCATAATCTCAGTCTGTGAGAAAGCGGATGAATTGTCTGAGCTGAAATTCCTGCTGCCCAGGCTCATATCTGCAGTTTATACCTTTAAGGGAGCCATAGTTAGATCCCAGCAACAGCAATGGAACCCAGAAGACAATAGAATGGCTGTCAAATTAGAATTCAGTAAACTCTCACTTTTTTCAGTGAAGATCCTGAAGTTGAAAGCAAAAGAATGGAAAAACTTTGACCATGCAAATACTAATCATAAGAAAGCTGATGTAGCTTTAATAATTTCAGGCTTTAAAACAAAAAGTAGTACTAGAGATAGAAAACCATTCCACAATGATAAAATACCCAGGTCCAATTCACCAGAAAGACAGAATAATTCTAAATTTGTATGGACTTCATAAAGTGGCCCCAACATCTAAAAAGCAAAAATAAATGTAACTACAAATACGATTAGACAAAATTATAATCATAGTGGGTGATATGAATCTACTTTTTTCAATACTGATAGAATAAGAAGACCCAAAATACCAGAAAAGATAAAGAAGATTTGAACAATATGGTTAGCAAACTTGACTTAATGGACATATGGGGAACACTGTAACTTCAACTGCAGAAAACATGTTCAATTTTAAGCACACAAAAAACATCTTCAGGCCGGGCACAGTGGCTCACACCTGTAATCCCAGCGCTTTGGGAAGCCAAGGTAGGTGGATCACTTGAGGCCAGGAGTTCGAGACCAGCCTAGCCAACAGGGTGAAACCCTGTCTCTACAAAAAATAGAAAAATTAGCTGGGCATGGTGGCACATGCCTGTACTCCCAGCTACTCGGGAGGTTGAGGCAAGAGAATCGCTTGAACCCGGGAGGCAGAAGTTGCAGTGAGCTGAGATCATGCCACAGTACCGCAGCCTGGGCAACAGAGTGAGACCCTATCTCAAAATAAAAAAAAGAGGGGCTGCTGAGGAATATGCTCCAAGACCTGTTGGGTTAGGTCACAGCAACAAGGCCCACCAGCCCTCAAAAATTAAAAATATGCAGATCACTCTGAAGGGGGGTGGATTCACTGCAAAAACAAACAAACTTGAAAATGTGTATTTTTTATGGCTGAAGTTGGGGGACTCAGAATTACTGCGGGAAAATTACTGGGGGGAATCATGATAAGGGACAGCAGGAGCTGTTCCTGAAGTATACAAAGAAAATGTAATGGCAAAGCTAAGATAGTGGTTACCAGTGGCTGCTCAGAATTGCAGCTGGCCTTATGGGAGCAAATCCACAAACCAACCAATAGACTGGTGGGAAAACCCAGAATGGAATCAGAAAATAATTATGAAAACAGGAAAGAAAAGACAAAGATAATGTCTGGGAGCTGGTCCCCAACTTCTCCCAAGGAGGAGGCAACAAACATTCTTGAATTTTCTAGATACCAGCTCTTACAAGTGGTTATTTTCGGGTTTTGGTGTGTTTGCTTTCTAATTTATTTATTTTTAGTCTGTGCTGTGCCTACTGTTCTTTTGTCAGTCACCATAATTGATACTGTTCTGGGTACTGACATACTGATTGGGTTTATTCAATGTAACCCTTGTTGGTGATTGCTATAACAATTGACCAGGTTCATAGTCAAGAACAGCCTGTTCTTACCAAGATTGTACATTGAAACAATGTGTCATACCAAGAAGAAGAAAAAAAAATACTTAGTCTTCTCACATAATGTTTAACATACCAGTTGTCACACACTGCTGTCCCCTGGTCTAGTTAAAGGGTTCTGAAGGCTGATAGAAGTTAACAGTGTTTGGTGGCTTACCATGGTTCACTGGGACTTAAACAGGTGAGTAATTAATGTTATTCTCATAATGTAATGGTGCCTAAATTCTCCTGCATATTAGAATCACCTGGAGAGCTTCTTTAAAAATCCCAGTGTCAGATGAATTTTCTTAATCATATTACTTGAAGTTACTTGAGCCTTTACCTTCTTTTTTCTTCCTGTTTCTACTTTTATTAAAAGTAACATTCCTTGAACATCAGAATTTATGACATTTATGTTTTATCTTTAACCATAAACTTGACTTTTATTTTAGTCTATTGTTTTAGTCTATATAGTCTATTTTACAGTCTATGACAGCTAAATGAATTCAATACTTCACATTTTGTCCTTTTGCTGCAGTTTCTCCATCTCTCACTTGGCTGAAAGTAAATCCTCAAGTAGTTTGTTCAAGAAGAACTCACAGGGGTTATATTGCCTGAATTCTTTCATATTGAGAATTGTACTTCTATTACTTTTATACCTGAAAAACAATTTAACTGGACATAAAATTGTTGAGTCATGCTTTCTTTCCCTGAGGACTTTGGGTTCCTTGAGGATATTATTTTATTGACTTCTAGTCAGGGCTATAAAAAAATCAGGCTGGGTGTGGTGGCTCACGCCTGCAATCCCAGCGCTTTGGGAGGCTGCAGCAGGCAGATTACCTGAGGTCAGGAGTTCAAGACCAGCCTGGCCAACATGGTGAAACCCCTTCTCTACTAAAAATATAAAAATTAGCTGGGAGTGGTGGTGGGCACCTGTAATCCCAGCTACTCAGAAGGCTGAGGCAAGAGAATTGTTTGAATCCAGAAGGCAGAGGTTGCAGTGAGCCAAGATCACCATTGCACTCCAGCCTGGGTGACAAGAGTGAAGCTCTGTCCCAAAAAAATAAAATAAAATAAAAAGAAGAAATCACAGACACAATTTTTGTGACTTAAATTTTTGCCAGGTTTTTTTGGTTTTTGACATTCAATAACTTTTTTGCTAGGATATGTTTCATGTAGGTTGGTCCATAATAGAGTTAGGTTACCTTTTATCTGGATAAATAATTTTTCTTGATTTACGTCTTTAAATACGTATGATGGTTCTTTTTCAGGGTGGGTGAGGGTCCATGTTTGTGAGGACACCAATTATGCATATGTTGGATCTCTTTTCTTATCTTCCATACCTATATTTTTCACTCAAATCCTTTTTTTTTTTTTTTTTTGAGACAGAGTTTGGAGTGCAATGGCGTGATCTCAGCTCACCACAATCTCTGCCTCCGGGGTTCAAGAGATTCTCCTACCTCAGCCTCCTGAGTAGCTGGGACTACAGGCATGTGCCACCATGCCTGGCTAATTTTTGTATTTTTAGTAGAGATAGGGTTTCTCCATGTTGGCCAGTCTGGTCTCAAACTCCCAACCTCAGGTGGTCTGCCTGCCTCAGTCCCCCAAAGTGCTGGGATTACAAGCGTGCGCCCCCATGCCCAGTGCACCAATCCTCTTAAATACTTGCTTTAATTCCATTTCATTTTGTAGATTTTCCTCAATCTTTTGTTCTATGTCTCTTGCTAGGTTTTTAGTAGTACCTTTTATTGAGACAAATAGTATTTAGTATTTTTGCAAAAACACTAAACAAAATATTAGCAAATCAAATCCAACAATGTATTTTAAAAAGGTAATATCCTACAACCAATAGTTTAATATTAGAAAATGTATGTATATAATTTGTCACATCAACAGATTAAAATAGAAATGCTGTATGATCATATTAAAAATGTAAAACAGCCGGGCGAGGTGGCTCATGCCTGTAATCTTAGCACTTTGGGAGGCCGAGGCGAGTGGATCACGAGGTCAGGAGTTCAAGACCAGTTTGGCCATCATGGGGAAACCCTGTCTCTACTAAAAATACAAAAAACTTAGCTGGGCATGGTGGTGGGCGCCTGTGATCCCAGCTACTTGGGAGGCTGAGGCAAGAGAATCACTTGAACCCGGGAGGTGGAAGCTGCAGTGAGCTGAGAATGCACCACCGCACTCCACCCTTGATGACGCAGCAAGACTCCGTCTCAGAAAAAAAAAATGTAAAACAATTATTTATTTATTTATTTGTATAGATAGAGTTTCACTCTCACTCAGGCTGGAGTGCAGTGGCGGGATCATAGCTCATTGTAACCTGGAACTCCTGGGCTCAAGTGATACTCTCGCCTCAGCCTCATAAGTAGCTGGGATTATAAGCACAACAAGCCCAGCTAATTTTTAATTTTCTTTTTGTAGAGACAGGTCCTTTCTTTGTTTTCCCAGCCTGGTCTTGAAATCCAGGCTCCAAGTGATCTTCCTGCCTTGGCCTCCCAAAGTCTGGGGATTACAGCCATGAGCCACCATGCCCAGCCATAAAACAAGTATTTTACAAAATTTGATAGCTATTCATAATTTTAAAAATTATTTACAATTTTTTAAATAATTAAAAAATTTTAGTACATTAGAAATAGATGGAAACTTCCTTAACTTGATTAAGAGTATCTATACTAGAAAATCTAAAGAAACATCCTTCTAAATGGGAAAATATTAAAAGCATTCCTTTTTTTTATTTTTTTATTATTATTTTTTGAGATGGAGTCTCACTCTGTTGCCCAGGTTGGAATACAGTGGCGCGATCCCAGCTCACTACAACCTCTGCCTCCCAGGTTCAAGCGATTCTCCTGCCTCAGCCTCCTGAGTAGCTGGGACTGCAGGCGCATGCCACCATGCTTGGCTAATTTTTGTATTTTTAGTAGAGACGGGGTTTCACCGTGTTGGTCAGGCTGGTCTCAGACTCCTGACCTTGTGATCCGCCCATCTGGCCTCCCAAAGTGCTGGGATCATAGGCATGAGCCACCATGCCCGGCAGAAGCATTCCCTTTTAAAACAGGAATGAGATGAAGATTCCCCTGTCATTTTTTCTGTTTAATCTTCATTGGTGGTCCTAACAAGTACAGAGGCATAAGGATTGGCAAGGAGGAAATAAAACTGTATTTGTGGTTGATATGATTCTTTACCTAGAAAACCCCAAATAATCTTCAAATTAACAAGATATCTGATGTGAAACAAAAGTCAATTGCATTACTACATATTAGCAACAAACAACTAGAAAACATAAAGAGAATAAACTGTTTACAGTAATATCAGAGAATATCAACTATCTAGGAATAAATCTAACAGAAGTTAGCCAAGACCTCTTTACGGAAAATTATTATAAAACGTTGTTAAGAAACACGAAAAAGTTCTGAATAAATGGAGAGCTGTACCTGTGTTAATGTGTAGGAAGACTTATTATTATGAATGTATCAATTGTCCCCAAATTTATCAAAATACCCAATGTAATTCCAATTAAAATTCCTACAAGAGCTTTAATGGAACTTGATAAGATTACTCTAAAATATATATATTGAAGATTAATAAGTGTCCATGAATAGCCAGGTTACATCTTTTTTTTTTTTTTTTTTTTTGATACAGACTCTTGCTCTGTTGCCCAGGCTGGAGTGCAGTGGTGCAGTCTTGGCTCACTGCAACCTCTGCCTCCTGGGTTCAAGTGATTCTCCTGCCTCAGCCTCCCGAGTAGCTGGGACTACAGGCATACACCACCACGCCTGGCTGTTTTTTGTATTTTTAGTAGAGATTGGGTTTCACCATGTTAACTAGGCTGATCACAAACTCCTGACCTCAGGCAATCTGCCCACCTCAGCCTTCCAAAGCTCTGGGATTACAGGCGTGAGCCACCACGACCGGCCAGGTTATTTCTAAAGAAGTATCAGGGAGAGAGGATTTGTCCCAGTAACTATTAATATTTATTATGAAACTAAAATTAATAAGATGGTGTGGGATTGGTGCAGCAAAAAATAAATTAACCAATGAAACAGAATGGATATCTTAGAAACTGACCCACACATAAATGTTTGATATATGATAAAGATGCCATGTCAGAAAAATGAGGAAAGGAGGATCTGTTTAATAAATATAGCAGGAAGAAACTGGATTCCTACCTGGCACTATATACAAAATCTCCTCCATTTGATTTGATGACTTTACTGTCAAAAACAAAAGTTAAAAACTCTTTGTAATTAACATCTCCTAGACAATATTAAAATTGAGAACTTTTGTTCGACAGCTTTATTGATCAGAAAAATGCAAATAAGGACTGCAGAGATTAGCTGGGTGTGGTGGTGCATGCCTGTAGTCCTAGGTACTCAGGAGGCTGAGGCGGGAGGATCACTTGAATCCAGGAGTTCGAGGTTGCAGTGAGCTATGATTGTACCACTGCACTCCAGTCTGGACAACAGAGTGAGATGCTGTCTCTAAAAAAAAAGAGCATAGGGAGATATCATTTTACGTTTATTCAAAAGGCAGCAACTTAAGGAGTCTGTGCTAAGTGTTGGGAAGGCTGTGGATCCATTGCTTATGAAAATGAAAGTTGGTTCTGGGGCATAATGGGTACTAAACAACAACAAAAACAGAAAATGCAAATTGGCAAATTGTGTCATTATCACTCCAAATTGAATATTCATATACCCTATGAGTCAACAATTCTACTGTTAGGTATACATCAAGAGAAACTCTTGCACATATACAACAGGCACCAGGTAAAAGGACAATCATAGCTCCACTTTTTACAAAAGCAAAAACTTGGAAACAACCCAGATGCATGCCCATCTACAGGAGAGTGGATAAATAATCTGTGGTACATTTCAACAGAAAATATTATACAACAATCAAAATAAGTAATTTACAGAGACAGCAACAATGTGAACTTATATTGACACATGTTAGTTGAAAAGAATAGGTTCTACACTATTACATAGAGGAAACAACAATTTCAGAATGAGCTATCAAGCCACAGAAATACATGGAGGAAACTTAAATACATATTGCTAAGTGAAATAGGTAAATCTGAAAATCATATTGTTATTCCAAATATATGACATTCTGGAAAAGGCAAAACTGTGGAGACAGTAAAAAGATCAATGGTTGCCAGGGACTGTGGAGCCAGGGTAGGGGGAGGTGGGAAGGTGAAAAAGAAATGAATAGGTGGAGCATAGGAGATTTTCAGGGCTGTGAAACCATTCTGGATGATACTATGTCATTACACATTTGTCAAAACCCACAAAACATATAATAAAAAGAGTGAACCCTCATGTAAAAACTATGAACTTTAGTTAACAAAACTATAGCTTGGGCCAGGCGTGGTGGCTCTATCTGTAATCTCAGCACTTTGGGAGGTTGAGGTAGGAGGATTGCTTGAGCTCAGGAGTTAGAGCCCAGCCTGGTAAACAGAGCAAGATCCCAGGGTCTCTTAAAAAATACTATGGTAATATTGGCTCAGCAATTACAACAAATATACCACATGAATCCAGCATGTCAACAAAAGGGGGAATTGGAGGGACGGACAGAGAGGGAAGTAGGGTTATATGAGAACTCTCTGTACTTTCCACTCTGTCAACCTAAAACTGCTTTTAAAAATTTCATTAATTTTAAATTTTTTAAATGTATTTTAAAAGAATATATAGATACAATAAAACTATATAAAAACAAAGCTAAGAAATGATTAGCAATAACAAATAAATGACTTAACATTTTGTGTATCTGTTTTATTCAATTACAATTTATCTGTTAACAGAATATGAAAGTAGAACTGAAATGCTTTTGTAGTGCGCAAAAGAATATGTTGGGCAGGTCTTGACTGGAGTAGAAGGGCATAATAATCCTCTTTGAATTCTTTCTCTTCTACACCAAGAAATCACTGTGGAGATAATTCTTTTTACTAAAGGTAATCATTTTCAAGAAAACTTTCATCTTTTCCCCATTTAGAAAATTCCCTGATATCAGCTTGTCAAACAGCCAAAATGTTAACATCAAGTAAGTTAATTTCCTTTCTCTTTTAAGTCATCAGCCTCTTCTAACAGGTTCTTATATTTTTATCTTTGCATTTAACATGCTTTTTAGTAAGATAGAATATGCAATTTTATATTGTGAGAGAAAGCAAAACTAAAAAAAGAAAAAAAATTGTCTGGAAAACAGTACATGAATAGCAGACTGCCACATGGAAATAACATTGCCCAGGTTGAATCCCATATGTGTGCAATTACTCTTCTAAGGAGATAACTCCAGCTAGTATAAAACTGTTCCAATTAATAAAAAATAAACCAGGGGCTGGGTATGGTGGCTTGTGCCTGTAATTGCGGAATTTTGGGATTCCGAAGAGGGTGGATCACTTGAGCCCAGGAATTCGGGACCAGCCTAGACACATAGTGAGACCTCGTCTCTACAAAAAAATAAAAATTAACTGAGCATGGTGGCACACGCCTCTGATCCTAGCTACTTGGGAGGCTGAGTTGGCAGGAGGATCGCTTGAGCCTAGGAGGTCAAGGCTGAAGTGAGCCATGATTGTGCCACTGCACTACAGCCTGAGCAACAGAGCAAGACCCTGTCTCAAAAAAGTAAGAAGAAAAAAAGAGAGAAAGAAAAAGAGAATGAGTGGAAGGAAGGAAGGAAGGAAGGAAGGAAGGAAGGAAGGAAGGAAGGAAGGAATCATGTAGGTACTATAATTTCAGGTTCTCACATACTATCCTTTATGAATGAAGGTTACAAGAAGCTTATCAAGGATAATTAATTAAAGTAAAGCAAGACTATTTTAAAGTTCAAAGGTTTTGTATGATACATTAAGCATATGTTCATATATTTGAACTTTACTCTTAAAGCAACATCTACTCTTAAAGCAACATCATTAGTACCTTTTGTCCTCCTGCCTGGCTCATTATCATATTCTAAATAAAGTCAAACTCCTTATCGGCCAGTTGCGGTGGCTCACGCCTGTAATCCCAGCACTTTGGGAGGCCGAGGCGGGTGGATTGCCTGAGGTCAGGAGTTCAAGACCAGGCTGGCCTACATGGTGAAACCCCGTCTCTACTAAAAATACAAAAAAAATTAGCCGGGCGTGGTGGCGTGTGCCTATAATCCCAGCTACTCGGGAGGCTGAGCAGGGGAATTGCTTGAACCAGGGAGGTGGAGGTTGCAGTGAGCTGAGACCACGTCACTGCACTCCAGCCTGGGTGACAGAGCGAGACTTCGTCTCAAAAACAACAACAACAAAAAACTCCTTATCATGATCTAGTGCCTCTTTTTGCAGGTCCAGCATCATCTGGGCCCACATGCACCCTTCCTCTAGCCCTGAACTCATTCTCTAGTTCCCTAAAGGCATCAGCCTCTCATATCTTCCTGATTTTATACATGTTATTCTTCTACGCACAGAGAATTTCAACTTTCCCTCCATTCTCGGGTAATTCCTCTCAAGCATCTGCTCTTTTAGGAATCCTTTCTGGACCCACACAGGTTAAGTCAAATTTCCTCCACTAGATCTATCTCTGTGATAATACTTCTAAACTGCGCAACTTCCTCTTCGCACAAGGGTAATGCTGGAGCCGGAAGCTGTGGTGGCAGTTTCTTGATTCAGCAGCTTCCTGACTAGAGATAGAGCCAGAGCAGAAGATGGGCAGAGTCTGCATGTGGCTGCAGGACCTCTGTCAGAGAATGAAACACTCATCGCATGGTAAGGCTGGTCTGAGAGCAAGGTCAAGATAAAGAGCCATATCCTAAAAAAAAAGAGAAGCAGCCAAAAGCTGTTTGGGTGTACGGGAGGTGAGCTTGGGAATACCTCAGTGGCGAAGGGATGTCAGAGGTAGTATGAGGTGAAAAGAGCTGTTGGAATACATAACAGTGCTAAATTGCTGGATTGTCTTCCACCATTCTTCATCACCATCCCAACAGCTTAAGGATAGAGATTTCTATCACGAAATCCCTACTACCTACTATAGCCACTCAATAGGTGGACAGCAAAAATCTGTTGCATTGAATTGATCCTATTAACTCTCCCTTAAAGACCATTCTTTAGAACTTCTTACAGGCCTGGCACAGTGACTCATGCCTGTAATCCCAGCACTTTGGGAGGCCGAGGCGGGTTGATCACCTGAGGTCAGGAGTTTGAGACCAGCCTGACCAACTTGGCGAAACCCTATCTCTATTAAAAATACAAAAATTAGCTGGGCATGGTGGCACATGCCTGTAATCCCAGCTACTCAAGAGGCTGAGGCAGGAGAATCGCTTGAACCCAGGAGGCGGAGGTTGTAGTGAGCTGAGATTGCACCATTGCACTCCAGCCTGGGCAACAAGAGTGAAACTCTGTCTAAAAATAAAAAAAAATTAAAAAAAGAACTTCTTACAAAGGATACTTTTCTAGGAAACTTTTCTTCCTCACTATGAAGGATTGTCTTTTGACAAATACTTGCGTTAGGTTTTTTTGGGAATCTCTCATAGTCACTTTCAGTGTTCCACCTTGCATTATGCATGTTCGGATGTGTCCTATATTTTCTGAGTCCACTTTAGGAGAAACACCACTGTCTGAATCATCTCTGAAGATTTCACAGGGCTTTCTGTTCAGTGGAAACACCACAGATTTTTTCTTCTTTTTATTATACTTTAAGTTCTAGGGTACATGTGCACAACGTGCGGGTTTGTTACATAGGTATACATGTGCCACGTTGGTTTGCTGCACCCATCAACTCGTCATTTACATTAGGTATTTCTCCTAATGCTATCCCTTCCCCAGCCCCGCACCTCCCCCCAGCAGGCCCTGGGGCACACCACAGATTTTTTCACATGTGTATAGAAATAATAAGTCTTGGTTGGGCACGGTGGCTCACTCTTGTAATCCCAGCACTTTGGGAGCCTGACGCGGGTGGATCACTTGAGGTTAGGAGTTCAAGACCAGCCTGGCCAACATGGCGAAACTCCATCTCTACTAAAAATAAAAAAATTAGCTGGCCCTGGTAGCCAGCGCCTGTAATCCCAGCCACTCGGGAGGCTGAGGCAGGAGAACTGCTTGACCCCAGGAGGCGGAGGTTGCAGTGAGCTGAGATGGCGCCACTGCACTCCAGCCTAGGCAACAGAGTGAGACTCCATCTCGAAAAAAAAAAAAGAGAGACAGAAAGAAAAAGAAAGAAAAGAAAAGAAATAGTAAGTCTTTAGGTGGCTGCTGTGCATTGCTCCTATTACCCACCATTTCTGATTTGCTTTAGTCTTCATTCTTGCATAATGGGTAGGTTAACTTAGAAAGAAAAAAGCTTATGTAGAACCAAAAGTCTAGTCCAATGTTTTTAAAGGAAAAGCAAATGACATGAATATATAATCATCTACTGAAGTTACTTTAAAAAGCAATGAAGCCAACATGCTTTCTACAGTGCAAGATAGATTTTTGTTTTAACCTAGTTATCATGGTTGCCAAGTATTACTTTAACTATGTAGCTTCGATTTGTCATATGTTTTGGAAATGAAATTAGAAATCTGTGTACCACTTACACCCTGATCCTCTGATTGAAGTGTGACTCATTATAACCAAGAACTGATGGGTAAAAAAAAAAATCTTCTAAGTTTGCTGTGTGCCAGAATGGGAAATATGTGTATGTGTGTGCTCATATATTTATAATTATCGCTTATCATTTATTTATGTTTATTTTAGAATTGACAAAGAGTAAAGGAGAATTTGCTGAAATACTTATTTAAAGTCTAGTACTAAGCTGTCGGGTACCATAGTCACTAGCTACACATTGCTACTGAGCACCTGAAACATGGCTATTCTGAATTGAGATGTGCTGTAAGTATAAAAAATTCTGAATTTGAAGTCTTAGTTTAAAAAATGTAAAATATATCATTAATACATTTTATATTAATTGCATGTTGAAATGACAATATTTTAAATAAATTATATTATTAAAATTACATTTTTTTAATGTAGTGACTTGAAAATTTAAAATTACATATGTGGCTTGAGTTATATTTCTGTAGGACAGCATTGGTCTATTGTATGCCATAATTTAGTTACTTTTACTATAAAAAGATTGCGAGAGAGCCGGGCGCAGTGGCTCATGCCCGTAATCCCAGCACTTTGGGAGGCCCAGGCCAGATCACGAGGTTAAGAGTTCAAGAGCAGCCTGGCCAACATGATGAAACCCCATCTCTACTAAGAATACAAAAATTAGCAGGGCGTGGTGGCATGTGCCTGTAATCCCAGCTACTCGGGAGGCTGAGGCAAGAGAATTGCTTGAACCCAGGAGGCAGAGGCTGCAGTGAGCCGAGATCATGCCACCGCACTCCAGCCTGGGTGACAGAGCAAGACTCCGTCTCAGAAAAAAAAAGATTGCAAGGAAGTTGTGAAAAGAATTCCACTATAATAATGGAGGCAACTTATTGATAGTCTACTATGCTGCAGGCATTGAGATTTTATATGAATTATTAAATTTAATTCTTGCCAAATCTTATTAGGTAATTATGCAAGCATTATTATATTTTATGATGAGTAGACTGGGACTCAAATATGTTAAGAAAATTGCCCAAAAGCCCAAGATCAGATAATCTGCAAAACAAACCCATATCCGCCTGACACTAGAGACCATTCTCTTTTTACTAAGGGACTTTGTCTTTCCACTGTCTTTCGTCTTCAGAGAATGGCACCATATGCTACCAGAAATTCTATTACCACCCACAAATGAGAGGACTACCAGCTTGTTACTTCAAAATAATGTCACATTTGCTTTTTTGCCCAAGTGGAAATAACACAGTAAGTCCCCATTTGCTAAATTATCAGGAATTCCAGTCTTTTCCCATGGTTTCCCTCCCCTGTATAATCATAAACAAAAATCCCAGGCTTGTTTGCTAATGCCTGAGAATTGATGCCTTTGTCTTTATGGCTTGACAATGGAGTGGAAACTCAGATACACTCTTGAGGCTAGAGGGTCACCTCAAAGATAGTCTAGAGAAGAGTTGGGTCTGTGACAGTGGCTGTGTTTTCTATTGCTGTGTGACAAATTAATATAAACTTAGTGGGCTGAAACAACATCCATTTATTAGTTCATACTCTCTGTTGGTCAGAAGTTCAGCACAGCATGGCCAGGTTCTCTGCTCACGGTATCAGGCTGAAATCAAGGTGTTTGCAAGTCAGAGTTCTCATCTGGAGGCCTGGGGGAGAATCTGCTCCCAAGCTCTTTCTGTTGTTGGTAGAATTCAGTTCCTTGAGGGTATAGGACTGAGGTTCTGTTTCCTTACTAGCTGTCAGCCAAGGGCCACTTTCTGCTCCTAGAGCCTACTTGCATTCTTTGCCATGTGGGCCCACCCCCATCTTCAAGTCAGCAACAAGCATCACGTTCTTTTCATTCTTTGAATCTTTCTGACTTCTCTTTCTGCCATCAGCCAGAGAAAACTCTTCACTTTCAAAGGCTCATGTAATTAGACCAGGCCCACTCAGATAATCTCCTTATGTTAAGGTCAACTATGACACACAACCTAACATAATCATAGGAATGCTATCTCATCCTATTCATAGGTTCTGGAGATTAGGACCCAGAGTACTGGGGTAAAGGGGTGGTGCATTTTTAGCAATCTGTCCATCACAGTCCTGGGGATTATGTAGGGCATGTACACCAACACAGTGACAGTGGCAGGGAACATAGCATCAGAACACTCCCAGCTACCCAGCCCAGCTAGTGGTGGGGTCAAAAGCAAGAGCTGAATCACTATGAGGCAGTAACACTTGCTGGGGGAGGAGTGTAGATGGGTGTGAAGAATCCTGGTTTGCCATCGTCCAACTTCACTTCCAATTTTTACTCACCATGAACTTTCTTTTTTAAAAAAATTATTATTATTTTAGTAGAGAAGTGTTTTCACCATGTTGGCCAGGCCGGTCTCAAACTCCTGATCTCAAGTGATCTGTCTGCCTCGGCCTCCCAAAATGCTGGGATTAGAGGTATGAGCCACCGTGCCCGGCCTCATGATGAACTTTCTTTATGAAAGCAACATGTATATCTCTGTGCTAGGAGGAAGTGGCAAGATTTCTGTTCCACTTGCTAATTTTTTTTTTTTTTTTTGAGACAGAGTCTTGCTCTGTCACCCAGGCTGGAGTGCAGTGGCACGATCTTGGCTCACTGCAACCTCTGCCTCCCAGGTTCAAGCGATTCTCCTGCCTCAGCTTCCCAAGTAGCCAGGACTACAGGTGCGCACCACCATGCCTGGCTAATTTTTTGTATTTTAGTAGAGATGAGTTTTCACCATGTTGTCCAGGCTGGTTTCAAAGTCCTGAGCTCAGGCAATCCACCTGCCTTGGTCTCCCAGTGTTTTAGGATTACAGGGGTAAGCCACCGCGCTCGGCCCCACCTGCTAAATTTAAGGGCACCAAATCTCCCGGTGCTTTGAGACCATCTAACAAGATATTCCGTTTCTCCTCTTCCTGGATTCCTGGTGAACCAAAGAGATGGGAGACCCCCTGGTGCTTGCTGAATGGCTTCCTAACACACACTGGTGCTAGTTCTGCTCGTTCTTCCGTGCTAAGGGGCTTCCTCAAGATACGGGGAGAAGTATCCTCTCCTCTGCAGCCCTGGTGCTGAGTCTTAATTGCCAGCAGAGTCCACTCCCTCTTGTTATCTGCCTTTTGGACTTCATCTTTCCCCACTCTTGTATGCCAGCCTGCCAATACTCAACTCAAGATCCATTGTGGTTCTTGCTTTCCCTGGGAACACACCTTTAAGATGTCAGTTTCTGAACTTTTGCTCACTAAGCTTTGTGCTTCCTAAATTAGTGCCACATCCCCTTTCTCTTTATTGTTTTTTTTTCTGTGTGAAATCTACCACAAGCTTTATCACCATTATTGTTTACTTGTTAAGTCTCTTTTAGCTGACTCATATTTTTAACTTTAACAAACATATAAAGGAAACTTGTATTACTACCATATATGTAAAATTGGTATTACTTGCCATATATAGATGTTAGCTGTTTAAAAAAAAGAAAAAGGAGTTCTTGGTTACTTAGTCTGTAACTTGACATAGCAGAGTGACCCCAAAGGCTCCCTTCCTCTTATCTTGTTGTCCCCAGAGGCATTTTGTTACAATTCCTAACTTTTTTTTTTGAGGTGAGGGGCTGCAATGCAATTGGATCACAGGCTATGTATTGAAGCTAGCCAAGCTGCATGTACCCTAATTTACCTCTCTCCATCCTTCCACTTCCCATCCCCAGTGAAGTGTATCACCTAAAATCATCTCCCACACCACGAGAGGTGTGCAATACATAGTTTGGGAAACACTGATCTGACTACCTTCTTCACAGAGACCCACCTCGAATTCCTTTCCCTTTGAAAAAACTTTTCTAACTAATTCAGACCTCAGTGATCCCCTCAACCACATTCATAAAGCTACTGTGTCTATTTATTCAAATGTTGATGTGTGACATTTCATTAAAGACAAAGACCATGCTTTATACTGAATTTTTCCACAGCACTCGGTATGCTACCTGGCAAACAGCAGGCATTCAATGAATATTTGTGGTTTGATGAGCAGCAAGGGTCAGCCACAGGTAAGAGTGTAAAGCAAAGTTTGACTTAGCTTGCCTTCCTATCTTTGGCTGCTTCAGTCACAGAAAGGGCCACTGTCCATGATTATTCTGACAGTTGGTTATTTTCTCCTTTCTCAATAAATTCCACAATTCCTGATTTTTCTCAATCTTCCCAAATCACAATTCATGTGCCATATGTCTCATTACCTTATTGACTAATTAGCTAAGATATCTGGGGTTTGCCATTAGATTTTATGATGCTTGCCTGTACCTTATAATTTTTTTGGTATCTTCTATCACACTAAAAACAGACCATGTATACATAATATACACTCAATAGATATACTGTATGTTGTATACATAAACAAATACATGTTGAATAATTTGTTTCTTGGAGTATGCCTGTTATATCTTTAGGAAAAAAATACTAAATTCCAAAAGTAATTTATATAACATTGGTCAAGTGGATTTACTAAGTTTGCTATTAGTTAATGTTCACAGCACAAGTATAGAAAGCTTTGTAGTTCTGACTCAGAAAAATAACAATTAAATCTTCCCTCTGCCTTTCCTCTTTCTTTTGATTCACTTGACTCATTCAGATGTTCCTATAAAGAAGCAATTTAAGTCTCTATAGCTTTACACAGAACTGGTGGTTTCTTCTCTTGTATCCCAAGCAGTTAGTACATACATCTAGTTAGGAATGATCATCTAATTTATCAGCAGACCTAGACACAACTGAGAATGAAAGAAGACACAAATAACTCTTAAGCCAGGACAAGAGATTCCTGATAAATCAGGAAATATGGTCATACTACTTTGAATGTAGTTATCTATTAAATGTGTCTCTTGTCATTCAACTGTAAAGCTGTGTTAAGTTTGAGCCTTATTTCTCTTAGCTTCCTTTGTTGCCTGGAATTGTGTCTGGCACGTTGTGGTGGCAGAAGAAATGTTAGTGCCCCTTTAAAAATGTTCATTTATTTAAACATTATACTATATTGATGTAGAACTCATACCATCCCATTTGGGGCCTTTTATGAGCCATTTTCTCAGTATTACAAATGTAGAACAATGAGCTTAATTATATGCTTGTGTAATGATAATAACTAGCTTTTACCAGCACAGCCTGTTCCAAGGCTAAGGCTAACGATTTTACTTGAGTTCTCTTATATATTTCTCACAACAGACCTCACAGGTAGGTAATATTATTGGTCTTATTAAACTAGAAGAAAAGATAGGTTTAGAAAAAACTTTGTTTAGAGTCACCTAACTAATTATGCAGCAGAATTTGGATTTGAACTCCAGACTCTGACTCCGTACACCATGTCTCCTAAATGTTAGAAAGAACTGCTATAAAATTTTGGAAAAGAGGATTTAAAAAACATTAATAGTGGCTGGGCACGGTGGCTCCCGCCTGTAATCCCAGCGCTTTGGGAGGCTGGGGCGGGCGGATCACCTGAGGTCAGGAGTTCAAGACCAGCCTGGCCGACATGGTGAAACCCTGTCTCTACTAAAAATACAAAAATTAGCCAGGCGTGGTGGTGGGCGCCTGTAATCCCAGCTACTCAGGAGGCTGAAGGAGGAGAGAATCACTTGAACTCAGGAGAGGAAGATTGCAGTGAGCCAAGATTGCACCACTGCACTCCAGCCTGTGTGACAGAGCGAGACGCTCTCTCAAAAAAAAAAAAAAAAAAAAATTAATAGGCCGAGTGCAGTGGCTCACACCTGTAATCTCAGTACTTTGGGAGGCCGAGGCAGGCGGATCCCCTGAGGTCAGGAGTTCGAGACCAGCCTGGCCAACATGGCAAAACCCTGTGTCAACTAAAAATAGAAAAATTAGCCGGGCGTGGTGGCAGGTGCCTGTAATCCCACCTACTTGGGAAGCTGAGGCAGGAGAATCATTTGAACCTGGGAGGCAGAGGTTGCAGTGAGCCAAGATAGTGCTATTGCACTCCAGCCTGGAAAACAAGAGCAAGACTCCATCTCAAAAACAAAACAAAAACAAAAATTAATAGTATACTTTTAGGGAAAATCCATTTGCTTTAAAAATTTTAAGGAAAATTTATTTAAGTAAAAGATTGCAGAATCAGGCCAATGTGGCTGTTATATGAGCTCAAGGCTATTTAGCAGTTGGTTAGAACAACATGTTCCTTCCTGTTGTTTTTGGTGTAATGTTTCCACTTGTTATGGACTAATAGGAATGCAAAACAGTTTCTTCTGGACTATAATAGTTGCATTTACTTTTATCGGTATTTTCACTGTATATTATGTGAATAAATTATGAAGAGTGTCTATTTTTTACCCTTGTCCTTCTTTTGGAATAAGATTTTACTTGGTAACAATTTTAAGGACAGTGCACAGATACATCATAATGACTCTAGAAAAATTTTATTTGGTATTATTGTAATTACAAACTACAGATTAACATTGATGAAACACATTGTCAATTTTTTTATAAACAAAAGTCTATTTAATTTTATAAAAAATCAAATTGTAACATGTAATCTGTAGCTTTAAATTGTTTTAAATCATAAAGGATAAATTAAATGTGTAAAGAGACTGCTATGAATATAACATTGAGCAAATAATTATGCACACATACTCTACAAAAAGTATCATCCAGACCAGACACCGTGGCTTACACCTGTAATCCCAGCACTTTGTGAGGCGAGGAGGGCGGATTGTGTGAGCCTGGGAGTTTCAGACCAGCCTGGGCAACATAGTGAGACCCTGTCTACCAAAAACACAAAAATTAGCTAGGTGTAGTAGTGTGCGTTTGTAGTCCTAGCTCCTTGGGAGGCTGAGGTGGGAGGATCACTTGAGCCCGGAAGACAGAGGTTGCAGAGAGCCGAGATAGCACAGATTAGGCCACTGCACTCCAGCCTGGGTGACAAAGTGAGACCCTGTCTCAAAAAAAAAAAAAAAAAGTGTCATTCAACTGAATGGCATTGTGTCCTTAATTGACTTTTTTTTTTTTTTTAACTGATGAGAAGGGTGCATGAATAGCTATAGCAACTGAAATTAGATCATGGTATTCAATCACGTAATGTTTTGTTACAAAATATGAAAAATCTGAAAATAAATGTTTACATAATGAATACTACCCTTTATAGGTAAATGATAGAAAATTTACTACTTAAGGCATTCACACAAGGTTACTACATTTGTAATTCAAAGGGAGGCTTACAAGCACATATATCAAGTTCGGGAATTTTCTGGTTTTTTTTTTTTGTTCTAGGAAATTTTTAGAATTAATAGTCTTTATGTAACCTTCCTCTACTCTATCATGTTATTCTCATTCAGTGAAATAGGATTGTAGCGTATCATTGGTCAAAAAACTGCATTAAAAGTCAAGTAAATGGTCATCACTGTACTCACAGTAACTGGAAAATCAAAATGCTTATGGTATGATGTAGATAAAGATCTTATGGTTAACTGAAACAGAAACCAAGAGAAAATTTAAAATAAAAAAAATTGGTCATTTTTTGTTGCTTTAGTTTTTTTTAATCTCAGGGAATTTTTAAATTTTTCATTTATTCTAGGGACTTGGGATACATCAGTTGAACAAAACAGACAAAAATCCCAGCTTCTACTAGGGAAGGCAGACACTAAAAGCTAAACATATCAGATAAATACAGGCATACCTCAGTATCCGAGGGGGATTGGCTCTAGGACCACGACCAGTACCAAAATCCTCTCAGGTCTCTAATATAAAATGATATAGTATTTGCACATAACCCACATATATCCTCCTGTATAAATTATCTATAGATTACTTATAATACAATGTAAGTGCTATGTAAATAGCTGTTATATTGTATTGGTTTTTATTTGTATTTTTAAATTGTTGTGTTTTTTTTCCCAAATATTTTCCATCTGTGGTTGGTTGAATCCAGAAACGCAGAAGCCATGGATGCGGAGGGCTGACTCTGAATTATAAAGATTGTTACAAGGTGGGAAGTGTCATGGGATGAAAGGAAAAATAGTAAGGTAGGAAAGATGGAGAATTTTTTTTTTTTTTGGAACACGTGTCACTCTGTCCAGCCCAAGCTGGAGTGCAGTGGCCTGATGATGGCTCACTGTAACGTAACTCCTGGCCTCAGCCTCCAGAGTACCTGGAACTATAGGTACACGCCAACACACCAGGGTAATTTTTTTTTTTTTTTTTTGTAGAGACAGGGTCTCGCTATGTTGCCCACTCTGTTCTATTTTGAAGGTACAACCAACAAGCTTTCTTGACAGATTGAAAGTGAAAATGAGAGTATGAGAGGAGTTATGGATGATATAAAGTTTTTGGCCTGAGTAACTAGAAATCCTCGCCATCAACCTAGAATGGGGAAGACCATACATTACTTACAGGTTCGAGAGCTTACTTCAGTGGCATTACGCTATCCTTTTGAACTTACGATAAAGTTTTGTAGGCATTTTGGTGGACTGCTGGCTGCTAGATAGGGCACTCATGTTTCTGATTTCTGAGATATGTAAAATACACACCCAAAGGAATCACAGAAGTCTAGTACATGTGTAATTTTCACGCATTTCAAACCAGGTGGTTTAGCCAGCCTTAAACCAGTTAATGACTGATTGAACGATTCTGACTTTTACATGAAAAAGCAGTGGTCAGAGGATGGGCTCTCAACCGCTACTGAGAGACCCCTCATCCCACAACCGCTCAGCACCCACCCACCCACCCTCGCCTGTGCGCGTCCACCGCCCCACAACGTGCGCAGACGTCGCTCCTCCGCACGGATGTCCGCGGCCCGGGCCGGGGTGGGAAGGGGCTCCCCCACGCTCCCGCCCAGGTTTGGTCGCCATCTTTCGGAGCGTCCTTTCCCGCGAGTGCTGCAGTCCCGGATCTCAGGCGTCCGTTAGCTACAGAGGCCAATTCCTAACCCGCGCGGCTCGAATCCCGGGGGTCCCATCGCCTGCCGGCCGATTCGCCCATGCCGGAGGTACGGCGGGGGCGGGGCCTGGCGGGGGGCGGGGCCAGCACTGCGGTCGCTGCAGCTGCGCAACGGCGCCCGCCCCTCCGGCCGCTCTAGGGGCGCGCGCCGCCTCTCGCTCCGCCCAACCCGCGCGCGAGCCTGGGCGGGGAGGGGGAGCCAGGAAGCTGCGAGCGCGCTGGGGAGCGCAGCTGCAGGCGTTGGGGCGGCAGGAGCCGCGGAGCCGGCGCTGAGAGGGGCTGCGGCCGGAGCGGGCGGCTGAGACAAAGGCGACGGTGAGTGCAATGCCAGCCCCAGTCGCGCGTCGGCCGCCACGCCTCGCCCTCTCGGTCCCTTGGGCGGGGTCCCGAAGCCCCGAACCCTCGTCCCTGAGGGCTCTGGGGTGAGCGCGGCCCGGCCTTGCCAGCCGCGCGCTGCGGGCTGTGGGCTGAGCCTGCGTCTTCCATTTCAGGTTTGGGCGAGGTCCTCATGCCCTAGGACCCTGCCTTTGGTTTTTCTTCTGTTTCCTCTGAGGAATGGTTACACGCTCAGTTCAGAATTCACGGCAGGCGGACAGCTGAGGCAGCCAACTGACCGCCTGATGTAAAATGGAAAGGCAGACCCCCCCCCTCCCCCCAACTTTTCACGTCTGGAAGTCGGGAGGGTGGTGCGAGGGGCGGGCGGGGAGGGCCCGGGGTCTCTAGGTGAGGGTTTCGGGGAGCAAAGACACCTGGCTCCGGAGCTCCGACTCTTCGCCTGAGGCGCCCGACGCGTTCAGTCCGCGGGTCCTGCCGCGGTTCGCCCCGGGCCCCGGGCTTGAAAGCCCTTGGCTACCTCGTCGCGGGAGCTGAGCTACTCTTACAGGTTGTTTTACCCAGTGCTTGCAGCTTTAAGTTGCGATTTTAGGCAACGGGTGTGGTAGGTAGCGGCTCCTTGATGCCGCATTAACAGCTGAAAAAGCGCCCCGATCCGCTGACTTCACTATGTGTAAGAAACAACATTGGGGATTCCTCTTTAGCTTGCAATTATTTTAAATGATAAGCTTTTTTAGGGGAATTTTGGGGGGTGATGTGCAGTTTACAAAATCTAAATGTTTCGTTGAAGGGCCTGGCTTATAGTACGTGCTCAGTAAAGTATTTGTTGAATGAATGAATCTTGAAATATCAGACAAAGCTTATCTCACATCTAGTAAAATTTAGGCACATACTCCTTGATTATGATTAAGGAAAGAATGTCGGCAAACAGTATGTATTTTTGATATACGTTTTTTAGTTTTTGTCCCACATAACATACTGTTGATGAACAGTCCGTTCTTACTCTCAATATTATGAACATAGAAAATATATATCAAATTTGGATTTTCTCTTTTGGTTTGAGAGAAGTTGGTATACATTTTCTGTTTCTTAAAAACAGGCCTTATTTCTAATCTTTAAAAATAATGGAGAAGATAAAGAGGGAGTGGGATTGTATTTTGAAACCCAGCTTTCTGTTTCATTATGAATAAAGGAGTTTATGTGTTTTTGAGAAGGGACTGTGGTATGGTCTTGCTGCTTTTTGAGCAAGGGAGAACTCTAAATTTAGGGGGGGAAAAGCTAATGTTGCACTAATATAATAAAATGTCACCATTTACTCAACAGATATTCATTAAGCACCTGTTTATGGGCACAGGCAAAATCCGCAATTATCCTTTTCTTAAACTTGAATGCAAAGTTATTTCCTTATTATTGATGTCGCAAGTGGTGACTGTCTTAAACCCCTAGTGGCTATTTCAGTTGGGAAAGATGGCAGGTGAACTGCAGGAAGTGTAAATTCATAACAGCCTTTAAAGGTTAATAAGTAACTTTGTACAGCTAAAATTATTGGGTTAAGCTTTTATATTGTCAGTTTAATAGAATCTGTCTACATTTTAAAATGAAGGGAGGAAGACATTTAATAAGCTAGTGTTTTTATTATCTCCCTGGTCCCTATTAGGAGACTTTGGTACAGTGTATTGAAGGGTAATGTACTTCTGGTCCTGTTTTCTGTAAATAATCTTTGTAATAACATTTTCTGTTTTTAAAAATCCCCAGAGATAAACAGTAGATTCCTTTTCTATAAGAAATGTTTTAAAATAAAGCTTCATTTCAGGAATTTTATTTTGTCCTTGTGTTCACCACTTACAAATAAATGCATATAAACTTGATAGTGCTAAAAAGGGAAGGATTATTAGTAATAATTTGTGGTTCCATATGTGGACTTATCTTTTAGTATTGCAACTGTGATAAAACTACTAATTTAAAAGGATGAGATTTGTAGTTTTGCATTTATTCTGAACATAAGGTTGCGTTGCCTATTTTAATCTATTTATATATGTTTAAAAAGCAGTAATATTTTATTTATTTCAGGAATCCAGACTAATGTGATCCAAAGTCTGTCTTGATTATTATGAAATAATGTAGATATTAATTTTTTTATAGTTAGCTTTTTTGTATTTAAGTGGGCTGTTTTGACTGTTAATGCTTATAATACTTAATACATTGTTAAAGATAATGTTTACATTCAAATAGAAGTTTCAGATTTTGGACTTACCGGCTATTAGCTTTTTTTTTTCTTTTTTTTTTTTTTTTCGAGACGAAGTCTCGCTCTGTCACCCAGGCTAGAGTGCAGCGGTGTGATCTCGGCTTACTGCAACCTCCGCCTTTGGGGCTCGAGCTATTCTCATGCCTCAGCCTCCCATGTAGCTGGGATTACAGACATGCGCCACTATGCCCTATTTTTTGTATTTTCAAAAAGAGACGGGGTTTCTCTGTGTTGGCCAGGCTGGTCTCGAACTCCTGGTCTCAAGTGATCTGCCCGCCTCGGCCTCCCAAAGTGTGCTGTTAGCTTTTTATTGTTGTTTCTAGAAAAAATAAGGAAAGTAATTCTTCAAATTTTAGTGATAGAGAATTGTGATACTTTTTCTTTAAATGTGTATTTCTCGGAAGAAGTTACCTGACAATGTACCACTGATAGTCTGGTGTTGATGACAAACCTACTTGTAAATGGTAATAGTGATGATAAAGAACAAGTAAATAAGGTGTGATGTGTTAAGTAAAAGTGTTTGGCTTTTTTTTTTTTTTTTTTTTTTCGGATAAGCACATCATCAGAATTCTTGACAATCAGCAGCTGCGTTAAAATATATTTTTCCAAGAAATCAGAACTCATAATTTTTTTTTTTTTTTTTTGAAACGGAGTCTTGCTCTGTTGCCAGGCTGGAGTGCAGTGGCGCGATCTCGGCTCACTGCAACCTCCACCTCCCTGGTTCAAGCAATTCTCCTGCCTCAGCCTCCCAAGTAGCTGGGACTACAGGTGTGTGCCACCACACCCGGCTAATTTTTGTATTTTTAGTAGAGACAGGGTTTCACCGTGTTGGCCATCCATGATGGTCTCGGTCTCTTGACCTCGTGATCTGCCCTCCTTGGCCTCCCAAAGTGCTGGGATTACAGGCGTGAGCCACCACGCCAGGCCATAATTTTTTTTTTTGTACCTTAAAAATACTAGTGTTTTCAAAGTATTGTTCCTTCCTTGGAGTAGTTCATAATGTTTTGAGGCTAAATAAATTTCAGGATTATCTTGTGTTATAATTGCTGGAATATTTGAAATGTTGGTGTTTTCTTCATCAGGGTATGTGTGTCTGTTGGGGAGAGGGTAGTTCATTTTTTTGTAAGACCTTTTAGAATGATTTAGAAAGCATTTCTTTTTCCTCAGATGTGATTAATAAAGTGATTAATAATGATACTAACATGGCATATTGCAGCTGTGCTCATATTTGCCTGTGTAGATCATGAGAGTTTTAATTTAAAAAAGTTTATTTAAATACTTCATAACTAATTTCTCACATTATTTTCTGGGATAGGTTGCTGTTATGTTTTAAAGTCCCAGTTGTCTTTTTTAAAATTATGAAAGGGTTTATTTAGGTTCCTCATCTGCTTTAAAATGAGTCTGGGATAGTTTGTTAAGGTTTTATAAGATTTTTGTCAAAATTAAAAATGCGTGTTGGTTTTGATCTGCTGTATTGTTCTTATTCTCAATTTTCATGAAAAATATTTTAACATTTTATTGAATATTTAATGTTAGTAATGTTTTAGTCAGTCTCAGGGGGACATTATAGTTTTCCTGTGTCGTCTTGAGAGGAACTTGAGAGAAGTACATGTACATGCTTATTCTTTTTTTTTTTTTTTTTTTTTTTTTTTGAGACGGAGTCTTGCTTTGCCCCCAGGCTGGAGTGCAATGGCGCAATCTCGGCTCACTGCAACCTCTGTCTCCTGGGTTCAAGTGATTCTCCTGCCTCAGCCTCCTGAGTAGCTGGGATTACAGGTGTCTGCCACCATGCCTGACTAATTTCTATATTTTTAGTAAAGACAGGGTTTCTCCATGGTCATCAGGCTGATCTCAAACTCTTGACCTCAGGTGATCCACCCACCTTGGCCTCCCAAAGTGCTAGGATTACAGGCGTGAGCCACCGTGCCCGGTCAAGCTTATTCTTAATATTTACTTGCTAGTTAGGTGAGGGCATTTTTTTCTTATGTTTTTCATACTACCTGGGAAAACTTGGAATTTAACTTTTCTTTTTTTTTTTCTGAGACGGAGTTTCACTCTTGTTGCCCAGGGTGGAGTGAAATGGTACAATCTTGGCTCACTGCAACCTCCACCTCCCCGGTTCAAACAATTCTCCTGCCTCAGCCTCCCGAGTAGCTGGGATTACAGGCATGCACCACCATGCTCGGCTAATTTTGTATTTTTAGTAGAGACGGGGTTTCTCCATGTTGGTGAGGCTGGTCTCGAACTCCCGACTTCAGGTGATCTGCCTGCCTTAGCCTCCCAAAGTGCTGAGATTGGAAGCATGAGCCACCACACCCGGATTGCTTTTTTTTTTTTTTTTTTTTTGAGACAGAGTCTGTCGCCAGGCTGGAGTGCAGTGGTCCCATCTCGGCTTACTGCAACCTCTGCCTCCTGAGTTCAAGCAACTGTCCTCCCTCAGCCTCTCGAGTAGCAGGGACTACAGGCGTGTGCCACCATGCCTGGCTAATTTTTGTATTTTTAGTAGAGCCGGGGTTTCACCTTGTTGGCCAGGATGGTCTCGATCGCTTGACCTCGTGATCCGCCCACCTTGGCCTTCCAAAGTGCTGGTATTACAAGCGTGAGCCACCGTGCCAGGCGAGGAATTTAGCTTTTAAATTATTAGTTTTATGCATCCTGCTACCTTGGTTCAAAGCTTAAGTATACTTGTATCTTTCTATAATACTAACAAATAATGAGTAGTGCAGGATTTAGCTGAGACTGCTTTGGGCCCTCATCCAAAGGGAGTTCCTGAATTGAAATGCCAAGAAGACTTGGTAATAAGTTGTCTTAATCCTGACACTGTAAAATACCTGTTAATGTATTTTAGTCAAATAGATTATGGTAAAACATACTCCCTCTTTTTCCTAGAAAGTATTAGGTTAATTTCATATTAAATCTAGGTACCTTTGAAATAACTAAATTATGAGCCCTGATATATCTGTTTTCTTGCTTACCCACTTAGAAACTCATGCTGTGATTTCATATTTAATCTGTATGATCGAATTTTTTTATCTTGTACTAAAACATAAAATTATTGGCCGGGCGTGGTGGCTCATTCCTGTAATCCCAGCACTTTGGGTGGCTGAGGTGGGTGGATCACCTAAGGTCAGGAGTTCGAGACCAGCCTGGCCTATGAAACCTTGTCTTTACTAAAAATACAAAAATTAGCCAAGCATGGTGGCACATGCCTGTAATCCCAGCTACTTGGGAGGCTGAGGCAGGAGAATCATGTGAACCCGGGAGACAGAGGCTGCAGTGAGCCGAGATTGCGCCACTGCACTCCTGCCTGGGCAACAGAGCGAGACTCCATCTCAAAAAAAACAAAACAGGCAGGGTGCCCTGGCTCACGCCTGTAATCCTAGCACTTTGGGAGGCCGAGGTGGGTGGATCATCTGAGTTCGGGAATTTGAGACCAACCTGGCCAACATGGTGAAACCCCATCTCTACTAAAAATACAAGAGTTAGCCGGGCGCGGTGGCTCAGGCCTGTAATCCCAGCCACTTGGGAGTCTGAGGCAGGAGAATTACTTGAACCCAGGAGGCAGAGGTTGCAGTGAGCTGGGATGGCACCACTCTACTCCAGCCTGGGCGATGGAGCAAGAGTATCTCAAAAAAACAAAAAAACAAACAAAAAAAAACAACTGGCCGGGCATGGTGGCACATGCCTGTAATCCCAGCACTTTGGGAGGCTGAGGCGGGCAGATCATGAGGTCAGGAGATCAAGACCATCCTGGCTAACACGGTGAAACCCCATCTCTACTAAAAGATACAAAAAATTATCCGGGCGTGGTGGCAGGCACCTGTAGTCCCAGATACTAGGGAGGCTGAGGCAGGAGAATGGCATGGACCCGGGAGGCAGAGCTTGCAGTGAGCTGAGATCACGCCATTGCACTCCAGCCTGGGCGAAAGAGTGAGACTCCGTCTCAAAGAAAAAAATAAAAAAATAAAAACAACAACATAAAATTATTTTTGTTTCATTTGACTTAATAAAACTTTCACTTTTTGTTTAGTAAAGCAAAAATGAATTTTGAGTACATTCAACATTGTGTATGTTTTACACCGTATATATAGAGGGAATTTATGGGTATCTGTGGAACTGAAAGGTTTAATGGGTGGAACTTGGTAAGGTTTAAGCAAAATACAACTTTCACTGTGCCTTCAAAACTCTCCCTGTAGACTAAGTCTTTCTCTGCTTCTAGATGAGCTTTTAGCGTGATCAGATAGCTTTTTAAGTCACTTTTAGGTAACAAAAAGTCTTCTGGTCACTTGTCAATAATAGTTTTATTTTAGTCATTAAAAGGTACAGTATAGTAGTGTTCAAACTCTTGTAGATTTCAGAACTTTTCTTTGGCTCAAAACTGCTTTGAACCTAGAAGCTTGTTTTGGAGGAAGAGTCGTACTTAGTTGGCTTCTCTTTTTACTTTGCCAGGTCTTCTTCAGTATGGTATTCCTACCACTTCAGGATGCAGCTTAGGATTACAGAGAAAAGATATAGGGGGGAAGGTGGGGGAAGGTATAGTTTTATTGTGGCTTATCTGATTGTGATCTGGCATTTTTGCCTTCTGAGTTGGCGAGGTTGTGCAAAGCTGACTCTTTCTTCAGGAGTGCTGGAAGTGGTTGAGGATTCTATGTCTAGGAAGCTCCAGCTATAATTCCTGTGATACAGTTCTCCAGCTCCAATTTAGCCTTCCAGTTTCCTTTATCTTGCAGGTTCACTTTGCCCAGGGTGAGATTTTTCTTTAGTCTTTAAGGTAGTTCTATAACATTTTAACCAGAACTGCCCATGCTTTATTGAGGATATTTCATAGACACAATTTCATTAATTCCACTGGGGTCTCAGCATCCTGTCTTTCCAACTCCTTCCATAAAATGCAGTAGACCCTCCAAATCATCAGATTTCACATCTGAGGATTTAGCCAGCCAAGGATAAAAAGTATTTAAAAAGAAAAAACAGAACAAAAAGGGTAAAAAGCTACAGTATAACAATTATACATGGCATTTATATTTTATTAGGTATACATAGTCTAGAGATGATTTAAAGTATACAGGTGGATGTGCCTAGGTTATATGCAAATACTGTGCCATTTTATGTATGTAAGGGACTTCAGCATCTGGGGATTTGGGCCAGGGTGGGGCAGGGTTCCTGGAACCAATCACCCATGGATACCGAGGGATGGCTGTAAACGTTTCTTCAACAGTACTTCTGTATGTCTGCGATCTGTAATCCATTGCTGCCATCACCTCTTTGCTGTCCCAAGACCACCTCCTTCCATGTCCTCACTGGAGTATTTACCCTGCCTTAAATTTGTGGTCCACTATTATAATTTTGCCTTTTCATACACATTCAACTCCCTTGCGGCATTCTTCTGTTGTAATTCACCTGGCCAAACCCTTACCCCCACACCCTTTGTGTCCAGTTCTCCATCTGTTCCAGCATACATCTGGGAAGTTGAGCATGCTTTGAGGAAAACACACCCAAGCTGACCTGGCTCTCCCTTTAAATTCATGACCACTGACCTAAGGAGGGCCCTTTGTGTTGCTGGTTGTTTTTGTTTTGTTTTGTTTTGTTTTCGCTTTTTGAGATGGAGTCTCACTGTGTCACTCAGGCTAGAGTGCAGTGGCGCGATCTTGGCTCACTGCAACTTCTGCCTCCCAGGTTCAAGTGATTCTCCTGCCTCAGCCTCCCGAGTAGCTGGAATTACAGGCGCCCATCACCATGCCCGGCTGATTTTTGTATTTTTTTTTAATAGAGACAGGGTTTCACCACGTTGGACAGGCTGGTCTCGAACTCTCACTCCTGACCTCAAGTGATCCACCTGCCTTAGCCTCCCAAAATACTGAGATTACAAGCGTGAGCCACTGCACCTGGCCTAATCCTTCTGTAATCCTAGTACGTTTCCTGATTTAATCACCACAGATTACTTTTAATACCTCTCGTCAAACCTCTAGCCTCCCTTTTTTCCTCTTCATTTTCAGCTCATGACCTTGTTTCCTGTATGTTAAAAATGAAAGCGATCAGAATAAAACTTTTATACGTCTCCTTGTATCTTTACCCATACTTTGCCTTTCCTACTATTCTGTCATCATGGTCTCCACTCGTGCTCCTTTCTCCTTTTAAGGACATTGCATTGCTTCAGTATTCATCTCATTCTCCTGCATTCTAATGAGCTGCATCATTTCCCCATTTCTACTGGATTATCCCTATCAGCATATAGATGTATTGAAATATCTCCCATCTTTAAAAAAACACCTTTCCAAATGCCACATCTTCCTTTAGTTACTCCTCTCCAAAAAGGTAAATATTTGTTGTCATCCGCGCTCCCTGTCTTGTTTGGATCCACTACAATCTGCTTTTTTTCTCTTTCATTCTACCATAACAGCTCTTTTTGAGATTATTGAGTGACTTTGTTGGTGGTAAATTCCCTAGTTCTCAAGCCTAATCTCAGTGGATGTAGAAGCAATAGCAGCATTTGATGTGGTTGATAACATCATGTTTGAAATCTTCCCTTTGTTTCTGGCATATTACTGCCTGTTTTCAGTTTCTTTTGTTGGTTCCTTTTCATTGCCCCAACTTCTAAAAAATGAGGCAGTGTTTCAGGGACATATGTTTAGACCTCTTCTATATTTATATTTAGTTTTAGTCCCCTGTGATCTCATTCTGTCTAGCTAGAATTATATACATATATATATATTTTACATTTTTTTATAATTTTTTTTTTTTTTTGAGATAGAGTCTTGCTCTGTTGCCCAGGCTGGAGTGCAGTGGCGTGATCTTGGCTCACTGCAACCTCCGCCTCCTGGGTTCAAGTGATTCTCCTGTCTCAGCCTCCCGAGTACCTGGGACTACAGGCGCCCATCACCACGCCCGGCTTATTTTTGTATTTTTAGTAGAGATTGGGTTTCACCATGATGGCCAGGCTGGTCTCAAACTCTTGACTTCAAGTGATCTGCCCAGCTTGGCCTCCCAAAGTGCTGGGATTATAGGCATGAGCCACTGCGCCCAGCCTTATTTTTTTTTTTAATTAAAAAACTTTTTCTTGGCCAGGCGCGGTGGCTCATGCCTGTAATCCCAGCACTTTGGGAGGCTGAGGCAGGCAGATCACGAGGTCAGGAGATCGAGACCATCCTGGCTAACATGGTGAAACCCCGTCTCTACTAAAAATACAAAAAAAAATTAGCCAGGCGTGGCGGCTGGTGCTTGTAGTCCCAGCGACTAGGGAGGCTGAGGCAGGAGAATGGTGTGAACCCAGGAGGCGGAGCTTGCAGTGAGCCAAGATCGCACCACTGCACTCCAGCCTGGCGACAGAGACTCCGTCTCAAAAAAAAAAAAAAAAGTTTTTTTTTCTTGAGGCAGGGCCTTGCTCATCCTCCAGGCTGGAGTACAGTGGCGTGATCTTAGCTCACTGTGGCCTTGACCTCCCGGGCTCAGGTGATCCTCCTACCTTAGTCTTCCAAGTAGCTGGGACCACAGGTATGTGCCACCACATCCGGCTAGTTTTTTGTATTTTTATAGAGATGGGTTTTCATCATGTTGCCCAGGCTGGTCTTGGGCTCAAGTGATCTGCCTGCCTGGGCCCCCCAAAGTGCTGGGACTACAGGCGTGAGCTACTGCGCCCAGCCTAGAATTATATATTTCAAACTAAAAATGTTATCTTTAGTCTGGATCTGTTTCCTACCTCCAGACTTCTGTATCCATTTGCGTACTCCGCATTTTTAAGTAGATTTCTAATAGGCATCCCAGATTTAATGTCACAACTGAACTCCTTGTCCTCCCTCTTCTCCATCACCCCTCCACCCCAGTAATTGTCCCCATTCCCGTCTTCCTCATCCTATTAAATGTCAACTCCATCTTTCAGTTTCTTTGGCCAAAAACCTAGTAGACATTCTTGACTCTCTTCTTTCTCATACTCCCACATGTGATTCAAATAATTAGCATGAAAACATGTCCCTTATCTATCTTAAAAACTGCCATAAGAATAAATGTAACCACAATTTGCTCTCTTCATCTGCTGCCACCTCTGTAAGCAACCATCGTCTCTTGCATGTATTATTTTAGTAGTCTCTACATGCTGCTTCTGCTGTTTTCTGTTCTCAAACCAGCAACAAGGGCGATCTTTTGAAAATGAAAGTCTGATTATTTTACTCCTGTGTTCAAACCCTTAGTGGCTTTCCATATCGTTTATAAAAACCAGAATACTTAATACCTAAGTATTCAAGAAGTCTTGACCCTTCATCGTCTGTACGTCCTGCTTGTCTGATTTCATGTCTTACCAGTTTCTCCTTGGCTTCTTCCACTCTGGCCACATATAGACCTCCCTGAGGTCTTGAACTTGCCAAGCATAGTGTTGCTTTAGTGCTAGTAGGAATAGAGCTTCGTTTTATTCACTGCAGAATCCCCAGTATTCAGAACAGTGGAGAGCACATAATGGGGACTCAACATTTCCTGAATGAATGACTGTTAATCTTGTCACTCATGTCTTTGGTTACAGCTTATATGAATGTTTCTATAACTAAAAGTATTTGAATTTCACCTAAAACCATGTAGTCCTGTAAGAATTAAGTAGAAACAAATTTAGATGCAAGAGTATGAAGTAAGTTTCAAATCAATTTTTGTGTATGTAAAGTGAAAATACACAGTAAAATGGTAAGGGACAGAGGAGGTAGGAAAGGAAAGGAGATAAACTGATGGAATAAAGAAAAGGAAAACCTGATTTGGTAGTAGGGTGACAGCACCTTAAAAAAACCTATTTTGGGCTTGCGCTATTTTTTTTTAAAGTGATGTTTCTTCAATTCTGAGTGTTGGTGATTTACATGGACTTAGACCCTTCAATTTGGACTATATTGTAATCTTTTTTTTTTTTTTTTGAGACTGAGTCTCGCTCTTTAGCCCAGGCTAGAGTGCGGTGGTGTGATCTCGGCTCACTGCAAACTCCGTCTCCCGGATTCAAGCAATTCTTGTGCCTCAGCCTCCCAAGTAGCTGGGATTACAGGAGTCCACCACCAGGCCAGGCTAATTTTGTTTTTAGTAGGGACCAGGTTTCACCATATTGGCCAGGCTGGTCTCAAACTCCTGACCTCAAGTGATCCACCCACCTGGGCCTTCCAAAGTGCTGGGATTACAGGTGTGAGCCACTGCACCTGGCCGTATAATTTTCTTTTTATCAGGGATGTAGGCTCAAATGAGATTGGGTGCCAAAACTTCATTATTTTTCTTTTCTTTTCTTTTCTTTTCTTGCTAGTTTTTGCTAAACTTCTTTTGTTAAAGAAAGGCAGTTACTGTTACTGAGATAGCTCGATGGTATCCTGTGCATTTTTTTTTGAAAGCTCAAATAGAAGTCTCACAGTTTTAGGGAGGGATTTTTTTTAGTCTACAAAAAGTTATTAGTATGCCTGTCCTCTTAGTACTGTACTGCCTAGTTACTCTCCTTTCAAAAAAAAAAGCGTATATTTATTATATTTCCATGGTAAACTAGCAGCTACAATAATGTACACAACTCTATTGAGTAGTATTTATTAAATGCATATACATATTTGTGTTCCTAAAAATGCTTGTACATACTAAAACTGCAATTTTACTGATAGTTGGGAAATGAAAGTGCAAAAGAAATTAATGACTTGTGAAGTTCTGGTATTTCATTATGTCAAGACAAGATTTTTTTTTTTTTTCCTGAGCTGTAGATCTCATTTGCTGTTGGTTGATTAAGAAAAAAATCTTGGCCAGGTGCGATAGGCTAAGTCTGTAGTCCCAGCACTTTGGGAGGCTGAGGTGAGTGGATTGCTTGAGCTCAGGAGTTCGAGACCAGTCTGGGCAACGAGGCGAAACCCCATCTACAAAAAAAAAAAAAAAATAGAAAAATTAGCCAGGCCTGTACACCCATAGTCCCTCCTACTCAGGAGGCTGAGGTGGGCGGATTGCTTGAGCCTAGAAGGTTGAGGCTGCAGTGAGCCGAGATCTCACCACTGCAGTCTACCCTGGGTGACAGAATGAGACCCTGTTTCAAAAAAAAAAAAAATCTTTTAGATAAGTTGTTAAAATAGGTGGCTTAGAAGTTGGTGAATTAAAGAGATAATGTTTGTGTGCAAGTATAAATTATTCTCGATAAACCAGTGTAAACATTTTCCCATTTTTGTATAATATGCAATAATTTATGTCTTTATTGACTTGTATTGTGGGACTTTCATATCGCCACAATGTGTGTGTGGGTGTGTATATATATCTTTACAGTTTTTGTAATATGCAGATACAATTTAGACTCTCATATAAACATGACCATTAGAATTTTTTTTTTTTTTTTTGAGATGGAGACTTGCTCTGTCACCCAGGTGGGAATGTAGTGGTGCAATTTTGGTTCACTGCAATCTCTGCCTCCTGGCTTCAAGCAATTCTCCTGCTTCAGCCTCCCTAGTAGCTGGGATTACAGGCATGCACCATCATGCCCAGCTAATTTTTTTATTTTTTTTTGTATTTTTAGTAGAGGTGGGGTTTCACCATGTTGGCCAGGCTGGTCTTGAACTCCTGACCTCAGATGATCCGCCCACCTCGGCCTCCCAAACTGCTGGGATTACAGGCGTGAGCCACCGCACTTGGCGACCATTATAATTTTTAAAAAGCCTGTTTACATACCAAATAAAATCATCATGTTGGATGACACACTAGAAGTGTTTCTTTACAATTTTGAAATAATCTATTTTATAGACTAGGTAGTTTTCATTAGAATTTGACATTGACCTAGTTGAATTCATATGTTAGCATTTCACACATAACCATCTTGGATTAATGAGATCCTTGTTTCTGAGCTGGTGTGTAGTCCTACCACTCAGTTTATTTCAGCTGTATTCATAGTTTGATGCCCGCCATCCTACTTTAACTTCATAATGTTCTGTTTAGATTATTAAGTAATCAAAGTGGTCATATTGAGAAAACTGAATACAATTAATAGGTGTGACCCCAGTCTCATAAGGGGTCATTAAAATAATGCATGACATTATGCCTTCATTTATTCCATTCAGTACATTTATCAAACTACTATGTGAAGTTGTTTCTCAACCCATTCAGAATAAGATATAAACTGTACTCACCCAGAAAATACAAACTCAACAGTCTGTACATAATTTGGCCCTAACAGCCTATTATCTCACCTTTGCTCACTACACTCTGGCCAAGTTAGTCTGTTCAGTTTCTCAAACATGCCATTCTTGGCCTTGGCTTAGAGCTTTTACACTGGTTGTTTCCTTTGTTTGAAATGGTGTTTTCCCAGATGTTTTTTAGCCTGGCCCTTTACCTTTCCAATCTCAGCTTAAATATCACCTCCTGCTTCCTCACCACTCAGTTAAAAATAGGTCCTCCCCATCACTGTTTTAATTTCTTCATGCCATTTGTGAGTCCTTGAAATTATGTGTTTTTTAAAATTAATTTTTATGACAGTAGGGACTTCCTTTGTCTTATTCCTTGCTGTCTACAATGCCCGAAACAATACTGGCACCAAAAGGTGTTCAGTAAAAAAAAGTGTTGAGAGGATAAAGCCAGGTACCAATTTCATCTATTCCCCCCACTTTTTTTTTGAAATGGAGTCTTGCTCTGTCTCCCAGGCTGGAGTTCAGTGGCATGATCAGGACTCACTGCAGCCTTTGGTCCTATCAATTCTTGTGCCTCAGCCACCCAAGTAGCTGGGATTCCAGGTGTGTGCCACCACGCTAGCCAATTTTTTATTTTTAGTAGAGATGGGGTTTCTCCTTGTTGGCTAGGCTAGTTGAGAATGTGATCCACATTTGGGAGATCCCGCCTGGGCCTCCCAAAGTGCTGGGATTACAGATGTGTGCCACTGCGCCTGGCCTATTCTTCCTTGTGAGTGATTTTAGTGTATTAATAATTTAAAATGTCAAAAGCCTATTTCTCCTAACCTAGAAAAGAAACTGGATTATTCCGATAAAAGCCTGTTTTAGAAAAGGATGAGAAAATTTAGGAACTGTTGTGATGATTCTTAGATCAGAGTAGTTAAGTGGAGCCAGTGTTGTGCTGGAACTGGTTAGCTGATTGTGCCTCTCTCTCCAGCTCCATGTGTGACATCATGTTAGTAGCTTGAAACTGGCCATGGTGGGACATTTACAGCATGGCAGACTGCAGAAGCTACAAATCAGGGGCCCTTTTCTCAAAGAGGTGGTCAAATATTTATCAGCAGACCACTGGCAGTGGGACCATATGAAATTGTTGTTTTTATAGACAAAAAAAATGCTTGAATATTGGCAGTTCCTTTCCTTTCCTCTCCCCTCCCCTCCCCCCTCCCCTCCCCTCCCCCTCCCCTCCCCTCTCCTCTCCCCTCTCCTCTCTTCTCCCCTCCCTTCTTTTTTTTTTTTAAAGACAGAGTCTGTTTGTTGCCCAGGCTAGAGTGCAGTGGCTTGGTCTTGGCTCACTGCAACCTCTGCCTCCTAGGTTCAAGTGATTCTCCTGCCTCAGCCTCCCGAGTAGGTGAGACTACAGGTGTGCACCACCACGCCCGACTAATTTTTGTATTTTTAGTAGAAACAGGGTTTCATCATGTTGGCCAGACTGGTCTTGAACTCCCAACCTCAAGTGATGCGCATGCCTCGATCTCCCAAAGCTCTGGGATTACAGGCGTAAGCCACCACACCTGGTGAATATTGGCAATTTCTTATGGTTTAGTCTAGTAGAATTACTTATTTTGGTTTAAAGAAATTTCTTTATGGTGGTCAGTGGAGTTATATCAGTGCTTTTACCTTCTTTTTCAAAGTTATGTTCTCTTTACATCTGATGATTACTTCTAGATTCATTTATTGCATAAAATGTGCTATTTATATGTTTGTATATTGTTTAACTGTGTATCTAATAGTTCATTCCAAAGCAGGCACAAAAGATCTTCAGATCCTCTGACAGAGTGTTCTTGGTTTTACTGCTTATGCTAAATAAGATTATTGAAAGGCGTTACTTTTCTGGTCAAGAAAGCAGAACTGATTCAGTTTGTTATATAGCATTTTCTCAGCCCTCCCCCCCCCCCTTTCAGAATAATTTACATAAATACTCCTGAGTTCAATTTTTTTTAACTTTTTTTTCTGCTTTTACTTATTACCCTTTAAGTGCTTGCTTACTTTCTCTGATAATTTACTTTCTTCTACTCTGTGATTTCTTTTACAAATCAATGAAATGGTGTTGTCTTGTTTTCTCAAGTTTTTTCCTGTTACCTTTCCTGTGGTCACCTGGACATTCCAGTCCGTTTTCCACACTCTCCCTCTACCTTCTCCCCCAGTTCTTTAAAGAGACACAAAGTTACAGGCAGCATTTTCTGACTGGAGAAAAATTATTGTTTAAAAATTGAACTCTGAGACTGGGCACAGTGGTTGGCTCACGCTTGTAATCCCGGCACTTTGGGAGGCTGAGGTGGGCGATTGCTTGAGTACAGGAGTTCGAGATCAGCCCAGGCAACAGGGTGAAACCCTATCTCTATAAAAAATACAAAAATTAGCTGGGCATGAGTGTGTTTATGACCCCAGCTCCTTGGGGGCTGAGGTGGGAGGTTGCTTGAGCCTAGGATGTCAAGGCTTCAGTGAGCTGAGCTCACACCACTGCACTCCAGCCTGGATGACAGAGCAAGACCCTGTCTCAAAGAAAAATTGAACTTAGTTGGCTCGGGAGTTTATTGGCATTTTTTGAGCAACAGTTGCTTTGTTAATTCTGAATAACTGGATTTGAACTGGTGCTACTGAATTAAAATATGGGGTCTACATTTCTTACCCTTTAACTGAAATTATTCTCTTTTATGCACACACACAAACTGTATTTAATGTAGAACATCAGAAAGTATATACAAGCTAAGGAAAAAGTTTTAATCCTACCACCCTAAAATATAATAACTAGTCAGTGGTCATGTTTTGATGAACATCCTTCCAGATACCTCAATATGAATATATGTTTTTTCACAAAATCTTACATAGACTCTGACATTTCACTTTAACGAATATTATCATAAAAGTATTACTTTTTATTACTTCAGTTTGAAAGGGTCATATTGGAAAGTGAAAATTCTGTTTGACGAGGATAAAGCTGTAGGTAAAGTTGTGATTAAAAACAATGGTGTTTATAGAGAGTAGAATGTGGTAAGTCAACTGGAGAAAAGAATTACTTTCAGCAGTAATTTTTTTCTTAAGAGCCCTCTTACCATTGCACAATAGCCTGATTGTTTTATACTAGCTGATGAAAACCATTCAGGATTCTATGTACAGCAGAATTATTTTAATAATAGCCCTAGGGTAAAATATGAGCCTGTAGATAAGTTTATATTTTTTAGTCTGTCCAAGTCCGACTGATCCTTTAATAGTAAAATAATTTTGGAAGAAAACTGTGTTTTATTGAAGGCCTTCATCTATCTGTAGTATGACAATTTTATTAGATATTGCTACCCTTTTTATGTGTGAGAATGAGGAGTGAAATAGTTCTTGGAAAAATTTTAGCATGTAAGAATTCTTATGTTAATGTTTCCTTTGATTTTTGTTTTATGAATGTGAAAAATCCTTGTGGAAGAATTGCTCATATATATTGGTATATTGCATTCTTTGGAAATCACCAGTTCCAAATTTGTCAAGTGGTTGTTTGGGTCGTTAAATAGCAATTGTAAAAGCAAATCAAAGATCCTTTAAGGATTTTTCCTTGATCACAGTGATATCCATTACCTGGGGTAGAGTAGACCGCTGATGTCTTGCCTTCATTTTTATTGTTCTTAACCTCGTCCTTTCTGTGTTGTATCACTGCTTGCTCACAAGCTCCTCCAGTCTTTTTCTCTTCAGTAGCTTTTTCTCTTACCCCCTTGTGCTACTTCCTGAATGGTGTATATGTTGCTGAAAACATTTCTCATGTGGTAAAGAAGAGTAAAGAGCAATGTAGTTGATGTGGCCTTTTCTACTGAGAAATGATGCATTTGTGGTCTACAGAAGAGACTTGACAGCCCCTAAAGAAGTGTTTTTTATCTACATTACATGTTTGTGAGTGGATATGCAAGTGCCTCTGTTGGAAGGTAAAGTGAATCTTGAAACAAATTCTAGAAAAGTGTTTAGAATTATTCCATACATTTTGCTGTTGAAAAAATAGTATTTAAAGAAAGTTTCATCTCACAGTGAATTTTTAGCCTCCTCTTTTAAGATTTATTTTGTGAACAGTGACCTTGTTTTTGTAAACTCTACTCTGAAGAAGTTTAGAAATTAGTCACACAGTAAGTGGCAGAACAAGTATTCAAAGTCTTGCCTGATTTTCCATAGTCATTTAGCTTGGAAAGCATTGTAAAGTGGCAGAAAGAATATGGACTTTGAAATTTAGACACACCTCGATTTGATCTCTAACTTTGCTGCATATTTGCTGCGTGGCAAGTTCTTACCGTTGGTGATTTTCATTTTCCTTTTCAGTTAAGTGAGAGTAATACATTTGTTAGGATTAAATGAAGTAATGCACATAAAGCATTTGGCTTGTAGAATAAGATGTTAATAAATGTTTAATTTCCTTTCAACAATACCATATCGTTTTAAAATGTCTTGGGAGCCACTTGGACATTTCACTTGAAAGTTAAGTGCCATCAGGAAACTAGAAACATGTATAACCCAGGTAGTGATCTTTCAGGGAAATTTTAATTTCCCTGTCTAAGGAGGAGAGTAGTTTTTCGGACTGTTTTAAAAATATGTGACTTAAAGGAAAGTTTTAAGGTTAAAAGCTGAAATAGAACTGAGTTAGGATGAGTTAATTATTGCTGACCAAAATTGTAAGAAAGTCCATTTCTACATTTCCTGAGAAATCGAAACATTTGTGTTATATACATAGAGAAGTCACTTTTAAAGGCTAAGAACTGACCATTTGAAAAGTTTATGATTAAGATATGGGGAGAAAGTGTTCATTTTTAAAGTAATAAACAATAGCAAGTTTCTCTTATCAGATTTAAGGTTTAAGGAATGGTGCTTGTTCAGACCTGAGTACAGTGATGACACAGGTACTAAATATGTTGTTGGAGGTAGTATAAATCTGGAACCTGTTTCAAAAGCGCTTTGGCATATTTGTGTGTATTTCCACTTCTGAGAGATTATTCTAAGGAAGTAACCTTTTTTTTTCTTCTTTGGGGGGAGAGGAGGTTATTTTCCTTCCTTAATGACACCCTAATTGAGATAATTCACATAAAAAATCACCTTTTTAAAATTATTATTATTGAGATGGAATCTTGCTCTGTCACCTAGGCTGGAGTGCAGTGGCGCGATCTCGGCTCACTGCAAGCTCCGCCTCCCGGGTTCATGCCATTCTCCTGCCTCAGCCTCCCGAGTAGCTGGGACTACAGGTGCCCGCCACCATGCCTGGCTAATGTTTTTGTATTTTTAGTAGAGACGGGGTTTCACCATATTAGCCAGGATGGTCTTGATCTCCTGACCTCGTGATGCGCCTGCCTTGGCCTCCCAAAGTCCTGGGATTACAAGTGTGAGCCACTGCACCTGGCCCTTTTTTTTTTTTTTTAAGATGGAGGTTCACTCTTGTTGCCCAGGCTGGAGTGCAGTGGTGCAGTCTCGGCTCACCGCAGCCTCCACCTCCCGGGTTCAAGCGATTCTCCTGCCTCAGCCTCCCGAGTAGATGGGATTACAGGCATGTGCCACCATGCCTGGCTAATTTTGTATTTTTAGTAGAGATGGGGTTTCTCCATGTTGTTCAGGCTGGTCTCGAACTCCTGACCTCAGGTGATCTGCCCGCCTTGGCCTCCCAAAGTGCTGGGATTACAGGCATGAGCCACTGCGCCTGGCCAAAATCACCTTTTTTACATAAGTCAGTGTTGTACAACCGTTGCTACTAATTTTATATTTTCATCACCCCAAAACAAAATGAGTAGTCATTTCTGTTCTTCCCTCCCCACATCCTCTGATAGCCGTTTACATATTTTCTCTTTCTAGATTTGCCTCTTTGGACATTTAATGTAAGTGGAATCATGCGATATGTGACCTTTTGTGTCTGGCTTTTTTCATTTAGCATAATGTTTCAAGATTTATTCATATAGCATGTATCAGTACATCATTCTCTTTTTTTTTTTTGAGATGGAGTTTCGCTCTTGTTATCCAGGCTGGAGTGCAGTGGTGTGATCTCGGCCCACTGCAACCTCTGCCTCCTGGGTTCAAGTGATTCTCCTGCCTCAGCCTCCCAAGTAACTGGGATTGCAGGCCTGTGCCACCATGCCTGGCTAATTTTGTATTTTTAATGGAGACGAGGTTTCTCCATGTTGTTCAGGCTGGTCTTGAACTCCCGACCTCAGGTGATCCGCCCATCTCGGCCTGCCAAAGTGCTGGGATTACAGGTGTGAGCCACTGCGCCAGGCCCATCATTCTCTTTTATGGCTGAATATTATTCTGTTGAATGCTTATACAGTATTTTATTTGTCCATTTATCAGTGAATGGACGTTGGGTTGTTTGCACATTTCAGTTATGAATAATGCTGCTATAAATATGAACATTCATGTACAAGTTTTTGCATGGATTTGTTTTAATTTATCTTGGGTATATATACCTAGGAGTAGAGTTGCTGGGTTGTATGGTAACTCTGTGTTTAATATTTTGCAGAACTGCTAGTCTGTTTTCTAAAGTGGCTGCATAGTTTTACGTTTCCATCAGCCGTGTAGGAAATATGTGGCCTTTTGTAATTGGCTTCTTTCACTTAGCATAATATGTTCAAGGTTTATCCATGTTGTGGTATGTATCAGTACTTCATTCCTTTTAATGGCTGAATAATGTCCCATTGCATGGATATAACACATTTATCCTTCAGAAAGCTTTTTATCCAAAAGTATTCAGTGAAGCATTAGTTATAATTTTAAAAAATTGAAAATTACCTTAATTTTTAACAAAAAAGAGTCGTTAAATTAGGTACATCTGCATATATCTTTTATTAGTAATTCATTGTAAAGGATTTCAAAGGAAAACAATTGTTAGAGTGCTAAAGTAGGATACAAAATTGTACGTGTACAACTGTTCAGTGTACCTGGTTTTGGGGGATGGTTATTAATTTCTTTATTTTTAATTTTCTTAGTCTCCTCTGTTGCCCAGGATGGAGTGCAGTAGTGTGATCATACTTGGTGTAACCTCGAACTCCAGGGCTCAAGTAAGCCTCGCACCTCAGCCTCCTGAGTAGTTAGGACTACAGGCACATGTCATCATGCCCAGCTAATTTAAAAATTTTTTTTGGTAGAGATAGGGTCTTGCTCTGTTGCCCAGGTTGGTTGTGAACTCCTGGGCTCAAGCAATCCTGTGCCTTAGCCTCCTAAAGCACTGTGATTACAGATGTAAGCTACTGGGCCCAGCCCCCAATTTAAAAATGTTTCTATATTTTCCACACTTTTTACAATGATCATATATTCCTTTTATAATCAAAGTAAAAGAATAGTTTTTTTAAATGATAATAGAGGTTGCCTATGGTGGTGTGCGCTTTAGTCCCAGCTACATGGGAGGCTGAGGTGAGAGGATTGCTTGAGCCAAAGGACTTGAGTCTAGCCTGGACAACATAATGAGACCCTATCTCTAAAAAAACAAAACCCAGACCAGGCACAGTGGCTCATTCCTGTAATCCCAGCACTTTGGGAGGACAAGGTGGGAGGATTGCTTGAGCCCTGGAGTTTGAGACCAGCTTGGACAACATAAAAAAACCCTGTCTCTGAAAAAAAAAAAAAATTGCCTGGTGAGGTGGTATACACCTTTGTCCCAGCAACTCAGGAGGCTGAGACAGGAAGATCTCTGGAGCCTGGAAGGTTGAGGCTGTAGTGAGCTCGGGTTGTGCTCCAGCCTGGGTGACAGAGTGAGACCCTGTTGCTCCCCCCGCCCCAAAATAAAACCCAAAACCGTAAAACCAACAGTAGCTGTATCTTTGTATGTTACTGATATAAATTTATTCAGCCAAGAAAAGCAGGATCATCAGTGTAAGGAGTGTTAATATTCTATATTGATTCATGATTAGCATATATTATAAATAAAATAATTTCTGACTATGGCTAAGAGAACTTTTAATTTTTCACATGGACCTAAGCATTTCAATTTATAATAGCAGTGTAGAATAATTCTTGTGTATTTGACTTCTGAAATGAGGGAGAGGAAAAATACAGGCAATGCATATTTTAAGCATAATGAACAGTATTGTTTCTTTCAGAGCTCCTTGCAAGAAACAAACTCTATTCTAGGATTTTTAGGCAGAAAGATATCTTATGGTAGGCAATTTGGTACTTACAAAATCATTGCATGGTCTGGAAGAGCTGGAATCAGAGGGTTATCACTAGATTAATATATTCAAGAACATAAGCCCATAGCTGTGACTGAGAGGTCAGGAAACAAACTGGTAAGTAGTCATAGGAACACTGAATCTGGTACCACAGCTTCTTCCAGTTGCCTTTATATCTGGTGAGTAGAGTTAGGCTATCACAATTGTTTCTAAACCTTCTTTGTGTCATTGCTCACCACTTAAATCAGCAACAGAAAGATAGCTTCCATTATCACTTCTGCTTTACAAATCTCATAAGAGGCTGTCTAACTAGCAGAACCTTGTTTGCATTTCCAATACTAACTGTAAAGGAAAGTCTGGGAAATGTAGCTTTTTTTTTTTTTTTTTGGTTGGGGGGACAGGGTCTCACTGTGTCACCCATGCTGGAGTGCAGTGACATGATCTTGGCTCACTGCAGCCTCAACCTCCTGGGCTCAAGCAATCCTCCTGGGCCCAAGCAGTCCTCCCCGGCTCAAGAGGTCCTCCTTAGTAGCTGGGACTATAGGTGCTCATCACCACACCCAGCTAATTAAAAAAATTGTTTTTTGTGGAGATGGGATCTCACTGTATTGCCCAGTCTGGTCTTGAACTCCTGGGCTTAAGTGATCCTCCTGCCTTGGCCTCTCAAAATGCTGGGATTATAGGCATGAGCAAATGCACCTGGCCAGTTTTTTTTTTTTTTTTTTTTTTTAAATAAAGCATTCCTGCCCTTGACGTACAAGAAGGCACGTATAGGGAGTGGTGAGAGGGAATGAATGCCAACTATTTCATGACTAGCCTTCAGAAGCCTCTGTTTACTAGGTAATAAGGCTTTATACTCAGCGTACAGTTGACCCTTGAACAACATGGGTTTGAACCGTGCAATTCCACTTACATGTAGGCTTTCTTTAGCCTCTGCCACCCCTGAGACAGCGAGACCAACCCCTCCTTTTCCTCCTTCTCTTCAGTCTACTCAACTTGAAGATGATAAGGATGAAGACTTTATGATGATCTACTCCACTTAATGAATAGTAATTATATTTTCTCTTCTTTATGATTTTCTTAACATTTTCTTTTCTCTAGCTTAATTTATTGTAATAATACAATATATAATACATATACTAGATACATGTTAATGGACTGTTTCTGTTAATGTAAGGCTCCTGGTCAGCAGTAGGCTATTAACTTTTGGGAGTCAAAAGTTACTTGCAGATTTTTGATGGAGTGAGGGGCTGACAGGTTGCCGGGACCATAATCCCTGTGTAGTTCATGGGTCAACTGTATTTTATTTACTATTTTATTCTATTTTATTTTTTTAGATGGAGTTTTGCTCTGTCGCCCAGGCTGGAGTGCAGTGGCGCAATCTTGGCTGACTGCAACCTCTGCCTCCTGGGTTCAAGCGATTCTCGTGCCTCAGTCTCCCAAGTAGCTGGGATTATAGGGGCCCGCCACCATGCCCAGCTAATTTTTGTATTTTTAGTAGAGACTGGGTTTCACCATGTTGGCCATGCTGGTCTCAAACTCCTGACCTCAGGTAATCCACCCGCCTTGGCCTCCCAAAGTGCTGGGATTACAGGCGTGAGTCACCTCGCCCGGCCTTGGGTCAGCTGTATTTTAAAGGTGGTAAGGTTAACAATATTCAACTTAGATTTGATTTGTTCAGAAATTTTTCTTTTCTTTTAATCTGAACCATTGATGTTCTATTTTCATAATGTGTCAGTTGTAGTGTTTCATTGGAAGTAAATGGATGTTTGTAGAATTTTTTTTCTTTTTCTTTTTTTTTTTTGAGACAGGATCTCACTCTGATGCCCAGGCGAGTGCAGTGGCACGATCATGTCTCACTGCAGCCTCAACTTCCTGCGGTCAGGTGATTCTCCCACCTCAGCCTCCCAAGTCGGTGGGACTATAGGTGTGTGCCACCATGCCCAGCTTTTTTTTCTTTTTTTTTGCATTTTTTTGTAGAGATGGGGCTCCGCCATGTTGCCCAGGCTGGTCTCGAACTACTAGGTTCCAGTGATCCGCCCTCTTCGGCCTCCCAAAGTGTTGGAATTACAGGTGTGAAGCACCATATCCTACCGAAATTTTCTTTGTAGTGTGTTTCTCTTTGGATTGAATAGGTAAAATATTGCCAATAGATGTAAAAGTCTCCATACTTTTTTCCCTAATAGTTGGGCTTTTATAGAATTGAATTAATATGTAATTTTTTTTCTTTTATTATTTGATTATTTTACCTCCATTTATTATTTTGTCAAAAATGGGAGAAGTGGCCGGGCGTGGTGGCTCACACCCATAATCCCAGCACTTTGAGAAACGGAGGCAGGTGGATCGCATGAGCCCAGGAGTTTGAGACCGGCCTGGGCAAAATAGTGAGACTCTATCTCTATCAAAAAAGTAAATAAATAAATTAGCTTGGCATGGTGGTCCCAGCTACTTAGAAGGATTGCTTAAGCCCCGGAGGTTGAGGCTACAGTGGGTCATGATCATCCCACTACACTCCAGCCTGGGTGACAGAGGGAGACCCTGCCTCAAAAAAAAAAAAAATTGTGGTAATGTTTAAAAATAGTATGTGAACTAGTAAATGCAACTTTTCCTCTTATAATGTGGAATCAAGATGTTACACTTTTTAGTTCCTGATAAAATAAAGTTTTGAGAATGCTAGAAGATACTTAAGTGTAATTTTTTTATCTGAAGATATTTCTACCTCCCAAGTTTCATGAAATATCAGCCTATTGAGTAGTTTCAGTATGGTGAGTGTCTCATTAAAAAGCCATATGCTAAATAACTTCCAAATACTGTAATTTCGATTCCTTTTTTTTTAGAGAGAGCCTCACTCTATGGTCCAGGCTGAAGTGCAGTGGTGCAGTCATACCTCACTACAGCCCCAAACCCCTGGCTTCAGATGATCCTTCTGCCTCAGTATCTGAGATAGCTGGGAATATAGGTTTGAGCCACTGGGCCTGGTAGATTCTTCACTAAGTATTTGAGAGCAAATTAGGGATTTTTAGCTTCTGGTACCATTTGTTGCTTGCAACAGAAAGTTAGGTTGACCTGGAAACTTAACTGCTTTAGAGATACCTACTGACTACTTTGGCAAGGACCTGGAAACTTAACTGCTTTAGAGATGCTATTGACTACTTTGGAGGAGCAAGGAATGAGGCTTTGGTATAGACATTTTCAGGCACTGAAATTTAAGGGTTGTTGTTGTTCCTTCTACCCCCACCACTTTTCAAATTGATTACTTTTCTTTGATCAGTATTATTTATTAATAGTATTCTGTGTCAGCAAGTTAGGGTAATTGTTAAATGTTTTGGCTCCTGTATTCTATACATTTTTTTTGTAAAAACTGCTTAATACATTTTAGAGCTGACATTAATGTTTTTCATCATAAGTTTAAAAGGTTGCAAAAGATTTAGTTTCTGGTGTATTGTCTGTTGTATATGTTTTTACATAATGTATTGACTAAGATCTTGACCTTAAAGTGATTTTGGTTATTCACTTTAATGGGAAGTACTGCTATAAAATCTAATTGCTGGTCCTCATAGTCAAACCAGCCAAATGGAGTATGTTTTCTCATCAGAAGTGGTTTTATTTTTAATTCTAAGAAACACATCGGTACCTGCACTCAGTGACTTTCACTTTCTACTTCTAAGACAGGTTGATAAAGCAAGGAGTCATGTCAAGAGTTTGTAGCATAGGCCGGGTGCAGTGGCTCACGCCTGTAATCCCAGCACTTTGGGAGGCCGAGGCGGGTGAATCACGAGGTCAGGAGATCGAGACCATCCTGGCGAACATGGTGAAACCCTGTCTCTACTAAAAAATACAAAAAATTAGCTGGGCGTGGTGGCACGCGCCTGTAGTCCCAGCTACTCTGGAGGCTGAGGCAGGAGAATGGCATGAACCCAGGAGGCAGAGCTTGCAGTGAGCTGAGATCGCACCACTGCACTCCAGCCTGGGTGACAGAGCGAGACTCTGTCTCAAAAAAAAAAAAAAGAGTTTGTAGCATAAGGCATCATTTCTTTCAGTATTTCTTGTTTTGCTCACATGAGACTTTTCCCCAGTCTCTCCCAATTGTCCTTTTGGTGCATTGGAGATTTCTTGAGGTAAGGAACATGTTAAAACTTGAGATGAATAAGAGAAATGACTTTTTTTTTTTCCTTCTTAGAAACAGGGACTCGCTCTGTCACCTAAGCTGTAGTAGAGTGGCACAGTCATAACTCACTACTGCAGCCTCAAACTCCTGGGCTCAAGTAGTCCTTTTGCCTCAGCCTTTTGAGTAGCTAGGATCACAGGTGCGTGCCACCATTCTTGGCTAATTATTTTATTTTACTTTTGTAGAGACAGGGTCTCACTATGTTGCCCAGGCTGGTCTTCACCTCCTGGCCTAAAGTGATCCTCCTGCCTCCACCTCCCAAAGTGCTACGATTATAGGTGTGAGCTACTGTGTCTGGCCTTGACTTTCTTTTATAACATAGAAGAGCTATTGTGAAAGGAAAGATGGAAGAGACAAGGAATCGTGCTTGGATACGTCAATTTTAGAAGAGCACAAAAGGCAGTTGGTGATCTGAAAATTGATTTCCTTAAAATTGTCTAGACCTGTGTACCCCCTGGAAAGTATCAAACCTTATACTGGGTTGAGGACTCTTGAGTTAAGGGAACAGCTTATCTTCTGCCTTAATTGGTATCGTGTATTTATCTTTTGAAGTAAATTATTTCACTTTTTAATTTTACCTTGAAAGTTTTGAGAAACTGTATAACTGGCTGCTTCTTTTTTCTTTCTTTTTTTTTTTTTGTTTTTTTTTTTTTTGAGACAGGGTATGGCTCTGTCGCCCAGGCTGGAGTGCAGTGGCGCGGGGTCAATGGCAGCCTCCACCTCCCAGGGCTCAAATGATCCTCCCATCTCAGACTCCTGAGTAGCAGAGACTACAGGCTGGCACCAGGCTGGCTGGTTAATTTTTGTATTTTTAGTAGAGACGGGATTTGGCCATGTTGCCCAGGCTGATCTCAAACTCCTGGGCTCAAGTGATCTGCACACCTCGTCCTCCCAGAGTGGTAGGATTATAGGCATGAGCCACCATGCCTGGCCATAACTGACTTTTATGATGAAACCAGCGTAGTTTTTATAGTACTTTACAGGCCAGCGAACATAGTAATTAGAACCTCATGGAAGTGATTGCCAAAATATAAAAATTAGAAAAAAAGAAAACTGTATCTTTGTCTTTTACTCCATACCAAGGTAAATTCTTGATTTTTCCCAGAGTTCAAGATAAAAAAGGAAAACCTTAAAAATACTAGGAGAAAACATCGGTCAATATAAAAACTCTTGGGTATGGGGAGGGCTTTCACAAGAAGCCTTATAGAGAAATATTTATAAGTGTGCCTGATTTGTAAGTAAGATTGTTCTGTGGTCTGTAGTTGTTGTTTTTTAATTATTTCTTAATGCTATTTGGTTAGCCATGTCAAATTGTCATATCTTAATCACTTATAAAATGTTTATATAATGAAGGTGAATTATTATGGTCCATGAATTTATGTATATGATTTTTTTTTTAAAAAAGGACTTATTCAGAATGGTGGTTCCCTACCCTGGCAGTACACTAAAATAGTCTGGTGGTACCCTTAACAAAACACAGGTTCCTGGGAACCACTCCTAGGAATTGATTAATTTGTCTGATGTGGGGCTTTGGCATTAATATTGCTTTAGAAGCTCACCAGTTTATTTTACTATCCACTCGGAATTGAAAACTACGTTTTTGAAGGATTTGTTTTCACTTTGATCTTTATTTTGTTTAGTTACTCTTTTTTTTCTCCTTCCCTTGAACTCAGTTTGGTACATTAAAAGACTAAATATAATATTATAGAGTCCAGCATGCTCCTTTTTCTCATTAAAGAAGTAAATCTCCAAATTATTGTTTTATAGCCATAACTTTTTTAAAAATATGAATTCTTCTTTAGAAATAGTTTTCAAAATACATGTAAGATCAAGACTGCCATTTACATCTAAGTAATCTTGCAAGTTTTATATTACCTTTTCCCTCTGCTCTTTAAATACAAATAACCCTTCAAAAATACTGATATAACAAACACCACCCGGGACTCATCAGCCTTTCTGATGGTTTCTTTGGTAAGTTAAGGGTTTATTTGGCACTTCATAATAGACAAGGTTGTACATATGTAGAAGTGGGGAGAAATTAGTTAGGAAACCAGTCTGTTATGTTCTCTTGGAATTAACTCTTGATTATTAAGCATCTTAAAAATGAGTATCTTTGGCTGGGTGTGGTGGCTCACACCTGTAATCCCAGCACATTGGGAGGCAGAGGTGGACGGATCACGAGGTCAAGAGATTGAGACCATCCTGGCTAACATGGTGAAACCCCATCTCTACTAAATAAAAAATTAGCTAGGCATGGTGGCGCATGCCTGTTGTCTCAACTACTCGGGAGGCTGAGGCAGGAGAATCGCTTGAGCCTGGGAGGCGGAGGTTGCAGTGATCCGAGATTGTACCACTGCACTCCAGCCTGGTGACAGAGTAAGACTCTGTCTCACCAAAAAAAAAAAAAAAAAAAAAAAAAGATAATAATAATATCTTCCCAGCTGGACACAGTGGCTCACATCTGTAATCCCAGCACTTTGGGAGGCTGAGGCGGGTGGATCACCTGAAGTCAGGAGTTAGAGACTAGCCTGGCCAACATGGTGAAAACCCATCTCTACTAAAAATACAAAAATTAGCCTGGTATGGTGGCACATGCCTGTAATCCCAGCCACTTGGGAGGCTGAGGCAGGAGAATTGCTTCAACCCAGGAAGCGGAGGTTGCAGTGAGCCGAGACTGCACTCCAGCCCGGGTGACAGAGTGAGACTCCATCTCAAAAAAAAAAAAAAAACAAAAAACAAAAAACTTGGTAATTTAAAAGTACACAGTTAGGGCTGGGTGTGGTGGCTTGTGCCTGTAATCCCAGCACTTTGGGAGGCTGAGGTTGGCAGATCTCAAGTGATAGTTCAAGACCAGTCTGAGAAATATGGCAAAACCCCATCTCTACCAAAAAAATAAAAATAATAATAAAATAAAAATCAGCCTGGCATGGTGGCATACACCTGTAGTCCCAGCTCCTTGGGAGCCTGAGGTGGGAGGATCGCTTGAGCACAGGAGATTGAGGCTGCAGTGAGCTGAGATTGCACCCACTCAGCCTGGGTGACAGTGCGAGACCCTGTCTCAAAAAAAAAAAAAAAAAAAAAAAAAAAACAGAAACAAACTATAATACAGCAAAAGAACATAGTTGTTCATTTGAATGTTGAATGAATGAACAGATAGAGATATTTTGATAATACTACTTGCACATTTGTCAGATTTTAATAATCTAAAAATGAATAATGCTCTGATCTGAATATTTGCGTCTCTCTTCCCCACCCCTCAAATTCATATGTTGAAATTCTAACCCGCAACGTGATGGTAATAGGAGGTGAGGCCTTTGAGAGATGATTAGGCCCTCATGAATGGGATTAGTGCTCTTGTAAAAGAGACCCCAGAGAGTTAGCTCTACCCTTCTACCATGTGAAGATACAGTGAGAAGGTACCGTCTAAGAGAAAGTGGGCCCTCAGCCGGGCACGGTGGCTCACGTCTGTAATCCCAGCACTTTGGGAGGCCAAGGCAGGCAGATCACCTGAGGTCAGGAGTTCAGGACTAGCCTGCCCAACATGGTGAAACCCTGTTTCTACTAAAAATACAAAAATTAGCTGGACGTGGTGGCGGGTGCCTGTAATCCCGGTTACCGGGGCGGCTGAGGCAGGAGAATCGCTTGAACCCGGGAGGCGGAGGTTGCAGTGAGTGGAGATCAGGCCACTGCACTCTAGCCTGGGTGACGAGAGCAAAACTCCGTCTCAAAAAAAAAAAAAAAAAAAGTGGGCCCTCACCAGACTCTGAATCCACCAGTGCCTTGATCTTGGACTTCCCAGCTTCCACAACTATGAGAAACAAATTTTCATTGTGTATAGGCTACCTAGTTTATGGTATTTTGTTATAGCAGCCTGAACAGGCTAAGACAAGTAAGAACTTACTTTTCTTATGTTCTTTATTTTTCTGTAAAGTATTACCTTCTCCCCTTCCCAATGAACAGTTTGTCAACAGTCATTTTACTTTTAGGCCCTGGTGTGCCAGGTCCTGACTGAAATACAGACTGATCGCTCTGCCATAGAGTGACGCAACTTACTGCGTGTCTTAACTCCTTATAAAGGCAACTGGGACAAATTCGATATGTATTGGCTGCTTTAAGATAAGCTAGTTGGCATTTCAGGACCCCCTGTATTTACTGGAAGTAATGTCACACTGAGCCACTCTTCTGGTGAAAATGTACAGCTGGTAGAAGAAATTGTGTGTTAATGATATTGTCAATGCAGGAGGGCCACTACATACAAGGATGCAGAGTCAAGTATACACTGTTTGAAAAGTACGCACAATATTGAGAAAGACCAGAAAACATTATCTTTAAGCGGATAGGCTGAATTAAATTGGGAATTCCTGGCTTCACAGAGTATATCCAATCTGATATACTCTGTGATCCAAATCTGGATCACACAAAAATATAATAATTTTATTTGACATAATATAGAAAATTAATACAAGATAAAGAGGACAAATTACTCATCAGTTTGGGAACTGTGACTTACTTTGCCTTGAAGGAAAGGTATGTTGTCCCTTTTCTGGGATCAAATAAAACCATTCAATTATTGAATAAATACTGCGCACTAGCTATTTGCCAGACACTCAGATACTAGGGATTTAGTTTCGAATGAAAGAGACAAAAGTTCTTGTGTTTATGGAGCCCTACATTCTAGTTGATGTAGACAAGCAACAAATGAGTGAAATATATAGAATGCCAGATAACTTAAAAAAGTACTATGAGGAAAAATAAAGCATGGGAGGGAGATGGTGACTACTAGGGTAGGGAACAGGAGATTGCAGTTATAAATAGGATGGCAAAGAAAGAGTTCAGTGAAAGGATAATAAAAAGCCAGTACATGGCCGGGCGTGGTGGCTCACGCCTGTAATTCCAGCCCTTTGGGAGGCTGAGGCGGGCAGATCACTTGAGGTCAGGAGTTCGAGACCAGCCTGGCCAACATGGCAGAACTCCGTCTCTACTAAAAATAGAAAAATTAGGCTGGGTGCAGTGGTTCACACCTGTAGTCCCAGCACTTTGGGAGGCCGAGGTGGGCGGGTCATGAGGTCAGGAGATCAAGACCATCCTGGCTAACATGGTGAAACCCTGTCTATACTAGAAATACAAAAAATTAGCCAGGCGTGATGGCATGCACCTGTAGTCCCAGCTACTCGGGAGGCTGAAGCAGGACAATCGCTTGAACCTGGGAGGCGGAGGTTGCAGTGAGCCGAGATCATGCCACTGCGCTCCATTCTGGGTGGCAGAGTGAGACTAAGTCTCAAAAAAAAAAAATAGGCATGGAGGTGGGCACCTGTAATCCTAGCTACTTGGGAGACTGAGGCATGAGAATCACTTGAACCCAGGAGGTGGAGGTTGCAGTAAGCTGAGTTGATGCCATTGCACTCCAGCCTGGGTGACAGATTGAGACTTTGAAAAAAAAAAAACCAAACCAAAACAAAAAACCAAAACAACAAAAAAAGATAGCTATTACAGCATCATCGTGATAAAGATAAGTATTGGCAGTGACCTTAATGTCTATCTGTAGAGGATTGGTTAAATATATTATGGTGCATCCATATAATGGAATATTGTACTGCAAATGAAAAACAAGTTCTACATATACAGAATGGTCTCCAAGACACATGTGAAGTGGTTAACAAAAGGTTCAGAATGTGTAGAGTATGCTACCATTTAAATGCGTCACATACATAAGTATATATAGTATTTTTATAAATGCATGGAATCTTACTGGAAAAACATAGAATAAACTAGTAATAATGTTTCTCTCTGGAGCGGGGAACAGGATGATTTGTGGACAGAAGAGTGAGGGTGAAACACTTTTTTTTTTTTTTTTGAGACAGAGTCTTGCTCTGTCACCCAGGCTGGAGTGCAGTGGCACGATCTCGGCTCACTGCAAGCTCCACCTCCCGGGTTCACGCCATTCTCCTGCCTCAGCCTCCCAAGTAGCTGGGACTACAGGCGCCCGCCACCGTGCCCGGCTAAGTTTTTGTATTTTGTTTAGTAGAGATGGTGTTTCACCGTGTTAGCCAGGGTGGTCTCGACCTCCTGACCTCATGATCTGCCTGCCTCAGCCTCCCAAAGTGCTGGGATTACAGGCGTGAGCCACCGCACCCGGCCAACACATTTCTTTTTATCCAGTTTTACTATGGGTATGTACTATCTGGTCAAAATATGTACAATATAAAATACGAACACGACTGTCCTGTAACACATGGGAAAACAGACACACTTTTATTAAACTTGGTGGCCTAGATAACTGTCTAGCCTAGATACTGAATAAGTGGGATATTTAATAGAAACGTGGATTCCGTTTTGATGAGCTGGAGACCATGTAGACAGTGACCACACTGAAGCAAGGCCAAAATCCTGTTTTGATTGGGTAATGGATTATAGTGAACATGATTATAACACTTAGATTTGTGTGACTTTTTTTGCTCTCCTCATCAAATGGAGGCTGTATTCATTTCCTGGGTTTGCCACAACAAGGTATCACAAACTAGGTGGCTTAAGACAACAGAAATGTGTTGTCTCACAGTTCTGAAGGTTAGAAGTCCAAAATCAGGGTGTCAACAGCGCTGTGTTCCCCATGAAACCTGGAGGGGAAACCTTTCTTGCTTTACCTTAGCTTCAGATGGTTTGCTGGCAGTCGTTGGCTTGCAGCTGCTTTACTCCAGTCTCTTGCCTTTGTCATCACATGGCCTTCTCCTTCTGTGTCTCTGTTTTCATACTGTTGGCTTCTTAAAAGGACAACAATCATATTGGATTAGGGGCCCACTCTACTCCAGTATGATCTCATTTTAACTAGTAACATCTGCAACGTAAGGTCACATTCAGAGGTACTGGGGGGGTTAGGATTTCAACATATCTTTTTGGGAGAGGAGTGGGCAAATTCAACCCATAACAGAGGCTTTACAGTTTGATTATGTTGCTTCTCTATAGTAGTCTTTCATATATGAAAATGTGTTTTGTAAAGTTGTATGGAAACATAATGTTTTGCAAGTTCTTTTTCTTTCTTTCTTTCTTTTTTTTATTGAAGATTATTATAAAAGATTTCCTTGTGGGGAGAAAAGACCACTCCACCTCTCTTAATAACTCCAACCTAAGATTGCAGCATATTTATTAAAACTAAAATTTTGATGAAAGTAGAATGTTTTCTCTAAGTTGTAAAATAAAAGTATGGAGATATAAATAGTAGTGAGTTAAAGATGACAGTAACTAATTTAGACATTTTTTGTGCTTTTTATAAAAGTCATAGGAAAAGGATGACTTCAGATTAAATACTTTATATTCTTTTTTTTTTTTTTTTGCATTTTTGTTCTTTCTCGTGCAAAAATGGCTTCTTTCCAGATCACTTTGACCTGAAGATACAATAAAATATGACAGCAGAGAGAATGAGGCTGTTATTTAGTTCCATTCTTCTCCATTGTTTTTCTTGTACCCATAACTGTTATAATTACATAAGGCGTTAAGAAACCTTTAACTCTTTCTCATCTTTCCCTCTTTCTCATGTATACATGAGAAAACAAATATTTGTTAGTGTACAAAGTCTTTTTAAAAGTTACTGCATCCTGGCCGGGTGCGGTGGCTCACCCCTGTAATCCCAGCACTTTGGGAGGCCGAGGCGGGTGGATCACGAGGTCAGGAGATCGAGACCATCCTGGCTAACATGATGAAACCTCGTCTCTACTAAAAATACAAAAAAACTAGCTGGGCGTGGTGGCGGGTGCCTGTAGTCCCAGCTACTTGGGAGGCTGAGGCAGGAGAATGGCGTGAACCCGGGAGGCGGAGCTTGCAGTGAGTCAAGATTGTGCCACTGCACTCCAGCCTGGGTGACAGAGCAAGACTCCATTTCAAAAATAAATAAATAAATAAGTAAATAAAAATTAAAAATTATAAAAATTATAAAAGTTACCACATCCTAAAAAAGCCTTTTTGATGTCATTTTACCCTTTGAGAAATAATCGATCGACAAATCAGCATCTTGGTTTCTTTTGGCTTTTCACACAGGGTCAAATAAAAACTAGGAGACTCTCCCTATTTCCAATCTTAATGACAGTTTTTCATTTTTTTCTTTAAAAAGTTAATACACGAAAACGTAATGTATTTAGCTATTTTTATGAGTAGTTTCACTGAGTTATTTGTAAAATAGGCAGTTAAATCTAATTTTTTAGGAAGTTATGCTTCCTGTTAGAGTGGGTTAGAGTAATGTGCTTTCATTCAGCTGCTGTCTAGTCATCTTTAAATTTTTTTTTTTTTTTGAGTTTTACTCTTGTTGCCCAGGCTGGAGTGCAATGGAAAAATCTCGGCTCAGCGCAACCTCTGCCTCCTGGGTTCAAGCGGTTCTCCTGCCTCAGCCTCCTGAGTAGTTGGGATTACAGGCAGGCACCACCATGCCTGGCTAATTTTTATTTTTTTTTTAAGTAGAGATGGGGTTTCTCCATGTTGGTGAGTCTGGTCTTGAACTCCCGAACTCAGGTGATCCGATCTCAGGTGATCCACCCGCCTTGGCCTCCCAATGTGCTCGGATTACAGGCATGAGCCACCGCGCCCGGCATCTTTAAAATATTTTATGAATTTAGGTACCATAGAATCTTAGAATTGATTTGAACTGTGGATATTATTTAGTATGACGTCACAAATATAGGAATTCTTTTAGGGTCCCTGATACTTAACCTCTAGTGACTGTGAATTCACCACTTTCTAGGCATCCCAGTATCTTTTTGGGGGCAGTTAGACTTGTAGATAGTTCTTTCTTTTTTTTAAACCAAAAATTGCCTTCCTGAAACTTCTGCATAGTGGCTTTGTTACCACCATCTTTGGTACCCCATAACAAGTTGGCTTCCTCTTTCCCATGCTATGCTAAGACCTACAAATCTTTGAAGGCTGTCATATCTTCCCCTTGTGCTTTTTGCTAAGCTAAATCTGACACCCAGAATTGAATGCCATTTTGCCACATTTCTGAATCTGAAATTCTGGGACTAAGTTTCTCCCATTATTTGGAGGTGCAGCCAGGATTAATAACCTCTGTAATATAAATGCCCTGAAAGGAAGGTACAAGGTATATTGGAAGAGGGCCTGAATAGACTTGGGGGATTGGGGAATGATTCCTGAAGGAAATGATAGCCATATCAAGTTCTGAAGAGTATGCCAGACAGAAAGAAGTGAACAGTAAGTGTGATGTCCTGTAGGCAACAGAAAGAAATTGAGAATGGTTGGATGGCACAGTCATGGGGTATCAAATGGAAGAGGTAGTAAATGAGGTTGAAGAGAAATGTGGGGACCAAATGGTAAAGGCCCTGAGAAGTCATACGAGGAGACTTTCCTGAGGATAATAGTCATTAAAGGGGGTTTTACGTCAGGAATAACATGATCAGACATTCATTTTAGAAGTATCATTCTAGCCAAAATGGGGAACAAATTGGAGGGACTAAGAGTGGTTACCAGGGGTCAGTTAGCAGCTATTATGGTATTCGTTGAGAGATGATGGTGGTGCCTAGAACTCTACTGGTGACTTAGTGTTGGGGAGAAACAGATTGGACAAATAGAACATGGCCGTTTGGCTGTGGGGGATGAGATGGAAAGGCAAAAGTTAAGGATAACATGCTTGTTTCTGGCTTCGTAAACTGGGTAGATGAGAGGGAATTTAATGAAAATAAATTGAATAGGATTGGGGTGGGTAATGGTAAGAAAGAAGCAGAGTTGAGTTAAGAAGCAGGGTTCAGTAAAGTTTGAAGCAGAGGTAGCACATCCTGTGGAGCTGCACTACATGCAGCTGGGTGTGAGGCTAAATTAAAAGACAACTAGGCTGGAGAGCTTTGGGCTGGAGACAGCTGTGGGCTGGAAATGTAGATTTGGCGATCAGCATTGATGCTAATCGAACTCAGGGGAGTGATTGAAATAACCTAGGGGAGCATTTGTAGAGTGAAAGATGAGGGCATAGGACAAAACCCTTAAGAACTATTAATGTAATGTTAGTTTTTGAGCCTTTGGTATTTTGACTGGATTGTCTGAGAACCAGCAAAAAGGAGGGAATCAGGGCTGTTCTGATATAGGTATTTAGTAGAAACCCACCTAAATTATTTGATTCGAAGAGTAAAGTTCTCAAATGGTCTATCCTACCCAGCCTGTCACAGTATCTGACATTTATGCTGTTAGTTTCTCTACTTTGGCTTAAGGTGTTGTCTCTCTTGGAGTTTCCTGTTAAAGTGTTGTTATCCTTAGAGAACTAGAATATTAATCCCATTGTTGGTGATCGTGGTAGTGTTTTTAGGGTCACTAGCTTTTATTCTGGAATTCAGTGAAAGGATGGATGGGAATTTGAGAAAAATAAGATTTGAAAAACATGCCATTACTGAGGAGTTTAGGACCACAGAACCTGGACTTGCAGCATTGAGGTTGCCAAGCACCTGGATAAGGGGAGTGAGAACAAGTGAGAGCAAGAGAGAGGTTGGAAAAGGGGGACAGTGAGTTGGATAAGAAAGAGAAAATGTCACTAAAAAGGGAATAAGAGAACAAAGAACTAAATAAAGGAAAAATCTTGACAGTATTTTAGTTATAAATTAGGGTGACCATATAATTTATCATCGAAACTGGAACATATCAAGATAGAGAATGGCCATTAATAATTATGTTGTAGGCCTGGCGCAGTGGCTCACGCCTGTAATCCCAGCACTTTGGGAGGCCGAGGCGGGCGGATCATGAGGTCAGGAGATTGAGACCATCCTGGCTTACACATTGAAACCTGTCTCTACTAAAAATACAAAAAATTAGCCAGGCGTGGTGGCGGGTGCCTGTAGTCCCAGCTCCTCGGGAGGCTGAGGCAGGAGAATGGCGTGAACCTGGGAGGTGGAGCTTGCTGTGAGCCGAGATCGCGCCACTGCACTCCAGCCTGGGTGACAGAGCGAGACTCCGTCTCAAAAAAAAAAAAAAAAAATTATGTTTAAAAATTGGCATAAATTGTGACTATCACAAGCAAAGAAGGATGAATGGTCATTCTAGTTATAATGTGCATATTGCATAATAAAATAGTTTCCGTTTTTTAGCTATGATATGTCAAGCATTGTAATAAGTAAACACTTTATACATCTTACTACATTCTTACAATAATTCTCTGAGGTGGCATTGTCTTCGTTTTATAGTTAGTGAAACCAAATCTCAGGGAGGTAACCTCCCAACAATTCTCTGTGGCAGTCAGAATTGGAAACTATATTTATTTGACCATACACAAAATACACATAAACTCTTAAATACTGTATTGTACACTACCGTTGCTGTGGGTGTGTATATGTGTTTTAAAATGTCCTCTGAGACTGGCAAGGGTAGGGGGAAGAAGGAGAGAGGAGAGATGGGGTTAAAGGACACAAAATTACAACTAGATAGGAGGAATACGTTCTAGTGTTCTATGGCCCGGGAGGATGACTATAGTTAATAACATATAGCTTCAAATAGCTAAAAGGAGAATTATTGAATGTTCCCAACACAAAGAAATGATAAATGTTTGAAATGGTGGGTATGCCAATTACCCCGACCACTATACATTTTATTTACTGAAACATCACTATGTACCCCATAAATATGTAGAATTATATTTCAATTAAAAAATTTTAAAAGGGCTGGGTGCGGTGGCTCATGTCTGTAATCCCAGCACTTTGGGAGGCCGAGGCAGGCAGATCACGAGGTCAGGAGTTCGAGACCAGCCTGATCAACATGGTGATACCCTGTCTCTACTAAAAATATAAAAATTAGCCGGGCGTGGTGGCGCGTGCCTGTAATTCCAGCTACTCGGGAGGCTGAGGCAGGAGAATCACTTGAACCTGGGAGATGGAGGTTGCAGTGAGCCAAGATCACGCCACTGCACTCTAGTTTGGGAGACAGAGCAAGACTCCGTCTCAAAAAAAAAAAAAAATTAAAAAAGTTAAAAGTCCTCTGACTAAAAAACAACTCTGACTTGCTAATTGCTAGCATAATGTATCATCATAATATTAAGCCCCCTTCCCTTTCTGATACCCCTATTTTTTGAGGCATGGAGAGAGGGGAATAACCTGTCTGAAATCAGTACACTTAGTAAGTGGCAGAGCCAGATTTCAAACCCTGAAGACAGTTTGATAGCAGCACCTCCTTTTTCTTTTTTTATCTTATTTTATTTTATTTTGTTTTTGAGACAGGGTCTTACTCTCTTGCCCAGACTGCAATGCGGTGACGAGATCTTGGCTCACTGCAACCTCTGCCTCCCCGGCTCAAGCGATTCTCCTGCCTCAGCCTCCTAAGTAGCTGGGATTACAGGCACGCGCCACTACTGCCCGGCTAAGTTTTGGTTGCTTTTTTTTTTTGAGACGGAGTTTTGCTTTTGTTGCCCAGGCTGGAGTGCAATGGTGCGATGTCAGCTCACTGCAACCTCCGCCTCCCGGGTTCAAGAGATTCTCCTGCCTCAGCCTCCCCAGTAGCTGGGATTATAGGCATGCACCACCACGCCTGGCTATTTTTGTATTTTTAGTAGAAACAGGGTTTCTCCATGTTGGTGAGGCTGGTCACGAACTCCCGACCTCGGGTGATCCGCCTGCCTCGGCCTCCCAAAGTGCCAGGATTACAGGTGTGAGCCACCGTGCCCAGCCTAATTTTTGTGTTTTTAATAGAGACGGGGGTTTCACCATGTTGGCCGGGCTGGTCTTGAACTCCTGACCTCAAGTGATCCACCCACCTCAGCCTCCCGAAGTTCTGGGATTACAGGCCTGAGCCACCGTGTCCAACCAGCACCTCTTTTCTTAACTGCTATTCTATACTGCCTCCTTCAGCCATATTCTTTGTCTGGACATGTTTTCATTTCTCTTAGGAGTGGGTTTGTTGGGGAGCATGGTAAATGTATATATACCTTTATAAGAAAGTTGCGAAATTATTTACAAAGTGGTTGTATCATTATGACTTACCAGGAGTAGTCCGTTTTTGTTGCCTCATGACTCTTTTTTTTTTTTTTAAGACAAGCAGATTCTGAAATTCCAGCAATTAGAAATAGCTTCTTTCCCCTTTAACGTTTTTGCCTCATTTACACCTACCCTCACCTGTACCCACTTCTGTAACTCAACTACATCTTACACTTTTATGGTCTTGGAATGTTAACAGCACCAGCAAATAATAGCAAGAATCAAACAAAAATGTGTTGAGTCTTAGTGTCGCCACTGGCTACATTATTGCCCAGATGACTTTTCACTTAAACTGTTTAAGTGAATGATTATATGCATTTCTTTACAGTGTATTCACAGAGGAAATAAATGACAGTGATTTATTGCAGTGCTAATAGACATTGTACTAATTAAGTGATTTTAAGTCAAGTTTCTTTACCTTTCTGGGCCTGTAAAGTGAGGAAATTGAACTAGATTTCTTACAGGTCTATATTTGTCCCTGACAGATCTGTATTTCTTTGAGAAGAAGAAAGGAATTGGTATTTGACATTAAATGATCATGCATAAAAATGGGACATATATTTAAGTACTTATTTTTCATTCAATGTCAGAGTGATTTAATAGGGTCAAGGCCTGATAATTTAAGCTACTGTTTCTTGAGGAAAAGTGGAAAGTACTCAAAATGTTACTGGAAGACCTATGCCTTTGGCTTCTTGTAGTTTATCAGCTGAAATTTAAGACTTTTGAATTGTAGTGGATTGGGCACTTAAAAATCGATTTTATTTTTAACTTATAAGAAGATCTGAGGTTTGGAAGGAATCTTAAATAAAGTTTGTCTAAATCATCTATCAGTAGGACTTTTGAATCATGATCCTAACATCCTGACCTCTGATAACAGATACCCTAAGGCAGGACATTCCACTTTTAGGCAGCAGTGACAACAGAAAGATGTACTAATAGGTAGAACATACAGCCTGTACTCATTCATTGGAGTTGTGCCATTTGGGATGATGCAAAACTAGCATAATTTTTCTTTGTGACTGCCCTAAAAGTATTTAGACACAGCATGGATAACTTAATTTCTTTAAAAATGCATTCTTGTCTTCATAGCAATATGATGGAACTGAGACTGATTATCTTGGAGACTAGAAATCTCTGCATAGAGATGGAGTGTACACTTTGGCTTCTGTCTAAAATAATTTTCTTTTTTTTTTTTGGGACAGTCTTGCTCTCTTGCCCAGGCTGGAGTGCAGTGGCATGATCACAGCTCACTGCAACCTTGACCTTCCCGGCCCAAGGAATCCTTGCACCTCAGCCTTCCAAGTAGCTGGGACCACAGGCATGCACCACCATGCCAGGCTAATTTATTATTATTTTTAATTTTTAAATTTTGTATTTTTTGTAGAAATGGGGTCTCTCTACATTGCCCAGGCTTGTCTTGAACTCCTGGGCCCAAACAATCCTCCCGCCCTGGCCTCCCAAAGTGCTGGCATTACAGGCATGAGACACTGTACCCGGCCTAAAATAAAACTTAATGGTTAAATTTAGCTAAGGAAATAATTCATTTTTCTCCGTCTCTTCAGTATAAATGACAGGTAGATAGGGATAGAGGTGGCATTTAATATGATACAAAAAGCACCAAGGCATACCAGTGCTTAGCAGTTAGATTGGATCTGTTTTCATGACTTTTTCATGAATTCTAAGCAGAATATGAAGTCCATTTTAGTAACGGTATCCACATGACACTCATTGAATGATTATAGTAAAATGTCTTTTTGGTCAACAATGAAATGACAGTATTTTAAATCTAATTTCTACCAAATTTAATGGAGGACTGAGGTACTCTGGACTATAATTGAATTAACAATGTTGAAATCCACCACATTTCCTTTTTCCCATGCCAAATTATATTATACTAGGTTAGTTAGAGTACTGTTTTTGGCATATGCTTTCTTTGTGATTAGTAATCGTGTTTCTGATCCTTAGCATTGAGATATACTTTTGGAAGAGCTATTTTCTGAAGAGAAAGATTGTGGCCATAATTTTCAAATTTAATGCATTAAAAGGATCTTGCTTTTCATTTTAACCAGGCTTGCTACCAGTTATTAATATTTAAACATAAAATTAAATGCATATATTTCAAGTGTTCAGCTTGATAAATTTTGGCATGTGTATATTCCTGTGAAATCATAACCACACTGAAGATACTGGAAATATACCCCAAAAGTTTCTTCTCAGCCCTTTGTAGGCCCTCCTTTTGCCCACCCACCCACATTCCTAGGAGATTAGCTGATCTGCTTTTCCACCACTAGAGATTAGTTTCTATTTTCTAGAATTTTGTATAAATTATACAGTATATACTCTTTGTGTGGCTTCTTTGACTCAGCATAATTATTTTGAGATTAATCCATGTTGATGGGTGTATAAAATCATTCTTTTTTATTGAGAGTAGTGTATACCACAGGTTTATCCATTCTCCAGTTGATGAATTGTTTCCAGTTTTTGTCTCTATGTTAAAAGAAAAACTTTAGACAATGTAAATGTGGCAGAATTTATTTGAGCAAAGAATGGTACATGAATTGGGCAGCACTCAGAACCAGAAAAGGTTCAGAGAGCTCTGCTGTGCAACCTGGGCAGTAAGTATAGACAGAAAAGAGAAGCAAGTACGTATATAGATTGATTAGTTAACAGTTCCTCCTTTGCCTTATTTGAACATGGTCTGATCAGTTGGCAGCTTGTGATTGGCTGAAGCTTGGCTGCTTGTGATTTGCTGAGATTCATCTGTTTATTGTCTTCTTTTGAGAAATGTCTGTTGGGTCCTTTGCCCGTTTTTTGATTAAGTTGTTTTCTTGCTATTCAGTTTGAGTTCCTTATATATTTTGGATATTAGCCCTTTATCAGATAAATGGTTTTTAAATATTTTCTCTCAATCTGTGGATTGTCTCTTCAATCCATTAATTGTTTCCTTTGCTGTGCAGAAGCTTTTTAGTTGATGCAGTCCTGTTTTATTTTTGCCTTTGTTGCCTGTATATTTGGGGTTATATCTAAAAAAACTAAAAATTGCTCAGACCAATGTCATGTAACTATTTTCCTATGTTTTCTTCTAGTAGTTTGACAGTTTCAGGTCTTACATTTAAGTTTTTAATCCATTCTGAGTTGATTTTTGTGTATGGTGTGAGATAATGGTCCACTTTTATTCTTTTCCTTGTGGATATCCAGTTTTCCTAGCACCATTTACAGTAGTTTCACCTTATCTGTGGTTTTGCATTCTGCAGTTTGAGTTAATCTTGGTCAACCATGATCTGAAAATAGTGTATGGAAAATTCCACAAAATAAACAATTCTTACGTTTTAAATTATGTGTCATCCTGAGTAGTGTGATGAAATCTTGTGCCGTCCTGCCTTGTCCTGCCTGGGAAATCATCCTTTGTCCAGCATATCCATGCTGTATATGCTACCTGCTCATTAGTCACTTAATAGCTGTCTAGTTTATCAGATTGAATAAACATAGTATATCTAGGGTTCCTATCTGCAGGGGGTCTTGGAACGTATCCCTCACAGATAAGGGGAGACTGCTGTATTGAAGAGACTGTCCTTTCTCTGTTTTGTGTTCTTGGTAACTTTGTTGAAAGCCAGTTGACCATAATTTGTAGGTTTATTTCTGGGCTTTCTATCCTGTTCTGTTGGTCAGTATTTCCGTTTTTATGCCAGTATGTTCTGTATTGATTACTATAGTTTGTAGTAGATTTTGAAGCTAGGTAGTGTGATGCCTCCAGCTTTGTTTTGCTCAAGATTGCTTTGTCTGTTTGACGTCTTTTGTGGTTTTATATGAATTTTAGGATTATTTTTTCTATTTCTGTGAAAAACAGCATTGGAATTTTGATAGAGATTGCATTGAATCTGTAAATTGCTTTGGGTATTGTAGGCATTTTAACAACATTAAAGATTCCAATCCCTGAACATGGGATACCATTATATTTATTTGTATTGTCTACAGTTTCTTTCATCAGTGTTTTATAGTTTTCAGCCTACAGATCTTTCACCTCCTTGGTTAAATTTAATCCTAAATATATATACTTTTTGGAGGCTATTGTGAATAGAATTGATTTCTTAATTTTTTTTCCAGATTATTAGTTGTTAGTGTAAAGAAATGCTACTGATTTTTGTCTGTTGATTTTGTACCCTGCAACTTTACTTCGTTTATCAGTTCTAACAGTTTTTTGGTGGAGGCTTTAGGGTTTTCTACACATAAGATCATGTCATCAGCAAACAGATACAATTTCTCTTCTTCCTTTTTTTTTAATTTTTTTATTATTATTATACTTTAAGTTTTAGGGTACATGTGCACATTGTGCAGGTTAGTTACATATGTATACATGTGCCATGCTGGTATGCTGCACCCACTAACTCGTCATCTAGCATTAGGTATATCTTCCAGTGCTATCCCTCCCCCCTCCCCCCACCCGACAACAGTCCCCAGAGTGTGATGTTCCCCTTCCTGTGTCCATGTGATCTCATTGTTCAGTTCCCACCTATGAGTGAGAATATGCGGTGTTTGGTTTTTTGTTCTTGCGATAGTTTACTGAGAATGATGGTTTCCAATTTCATCCATGTCCCTACAAAGGACATGAACTCATCATTTTTTATGGCTGCATAGTATTCCGTGGTGTATATGTGCCACATTTTCTTAATCCAGTCTATCATTGTTGGACATTTGGCTTGGTTCCAAGTCTTTGCTATTGTGAATAATGCCGCAGTAAACATACGTGTGCATGTGTCTTTATAGCAGCATGATTTATAATCCTTTGGGTATATACCCAGTAATGGGACGGCTGGGTCAAATGGTATTTCTAGTTCTAGATCCCTGAGGAATTGCCACACTGACTTCCACAATGGTTGAACTAGTTTACAGTCCCACCAACAGTGTAAAAGTGTTCCTATTTCTCCACATCCTCTCCAGCACCTGTTGTTTCCTGACTTTTTAATGATTACCATTCTAACTGGTGTGAGATGGTATGTCATTGTGGTTTTGATTTGCATTTCTCTGATGGCCAGTGATGATGAGCATTTTTTCATGTGTCTTTTGGCTGCATGAATGTCTTCTTTTGAAAAGTGTCTGCTCATATCCTTCGCCCACTTTTTGATGGGGTTGTTTGTTTTTTGCTTGTAAATTTGTTTGAGTTCCCTGTAGATTCTGGATATTAGCCCTTTGTCAGATGAGTAGGTTGCGAAAATTTTCTCCCATTGTGTAGGTTGCCTGTTCACTCTGATGGTAGTTTCTTTTGCTGTGCAGAAGCTCTTTAGTTTAATTAGAGGTCAAACGTTTAAGTCTTTAATCCATCTTGAATTGATTTTTGTATAAGGTGTAAGGAAGGGATCCAGTTTCAGCTTTCTACATAAGGCTAGCCAGTTTTCCCAGCACCATTTATTAAATAGGGAATCCTTTCCCCATTGCTTGTTTTTCTCAGGTTTGTCAAAGATCAGATAGTTGTAGATATGCGGCGTTATTTCTGAGGGCTCTGTTGTGTTCCATTGATCTATATCTCTGTTTTGGTACCAGTACCATGCTGTTTTGGTTACTGTAGCCTTGTAGTATAGTTTGAAGTCAGGTAGTGTGATGCCTCCAGCTTTGTTCTTTTGGCTTAGGATTGACTTGGTGATGCAGGCTCTTTTTTGGTTCCATATGAACTTGAAAGTAGTTTTTTCCAATTCTGTGAAGAAAGGCATTGGTAGCTTGATGGGGATGGCATTGAATCTGTAAATTACCTTGGGCAGTATGGCCATTTTCACGATATTGATTCTTCCTACCCATGAGCATGGAGTGTTCTTCCATTTGTTTGTATCCTCTTTTATTTCCTTGAGCAGTGGTTTGTAGTTCTCCTTGAAGAGGTCCTTCACATCCCTTGTAAGTTGGATTCCTAGGTATTTTATTCTCTTTGAAGCAATTGTGAATGGGAGTTCACTCATGATTTGGCTCTCTGTTTGTCTGTTGTTGGTGTATAAGAATGCTTGTGATTTTTGTACATTGATTTTGTATCCTGAGACTTTGTTGAAGTTGCTTATCAGCTTAGGGAGATTTTGGGCTGAGATGATGGGGTTTTCTAGCTATACAATCATGTCATCTGCAAACAGGGACAATTTGACTTCCTCTTTTCCTAATTGAATACCCTTTATTTCCTTCTCCTGCCTAATTGCCCTGGCCAGAACTTCCAACACTATGTTGAATAGGAGTGGTGAGAGAGGGCATCCCTGTCTTGTGCCAGTTTTCAAAGGGAATGCTTCCAGTTTTTGCCCATTCAGTATGATATTGGCTGTGGGTTTGTCATAGATAGCTCTTATTCTTTTGAAATACATCCCATCAATACCTAATTTATTGAGAGTTTTTAGCAAGAAGTGTTATTGAATTTTGTCAAAGGCCTTTTCTGCATCTATTGAGATAATCATGTGGTTTTTGTCTTTGGCTCTCTTTATATGCTGGATTACATTTATTGATTTGCGTATATTGAACCAGCCTTGCATCCCAGGGATGAAGCCCACTTGATCATGGTGGATAAGCTTTTTGATGTGCTGCTGGATTCGTTTTGCCAGTATTTTATTGAGGATTTTTGCATCAATATTCATCAAGGATATTGGTCTAAAATTCTCTTTTTTGGTTGTGTCTCTGCGCGGCGTTGGTATCAGAATGATGCTGGCCTCATAAAATGAGTTAGGGAGGATTCCCTCTTTTTCTATTGATTGGAATAGTTTCAGAAGGAATGGTACCAGTTCCTCCTTGTACCTCTGGTAGAATTCGGCTGTGAATCCATCTGGTCCTGGACTCTTTTTGTTTGGTAAGCTATTGATTATTGCCACAATTTCAGCTCCTGTTATTGGTCTATTCAGAGATTCAACTTCTTCCTGGTTTAGTCTTGGGAGAGTGTATGTGTCCAGGAATTTATCCATTTCTTCTAGATTTTCTAGTTTATTTGCGTAGAGGTGTTTGTAGTATTCTCTGATGGTAGTTTGTATTTCTGTGGGATCGGTGGTGATATCCCCATTATCATTTTTTATTGGGTCTATTTGATTCTTCTCTCTTTTTTTCTTTATTAGTCTTGCTAGCGGTCTATCAATTTTGTTGATCCTTTCAAAAAACCAGCTCCTGGATTCATTAATTTTTTGAAGGGTTTTTTGTGTCTCTATTTCCTTCAGTTCTGCTCTGATCTTAGTTATTTCTTGCCTTCTTCTAGCTTTTGAATGTGTTTGCTCTTGCTTGTCTAGTTCTTTTAATTGTGATGTTAGGGTGTCAATTTTGGATCTTTCCTGCTTTCTGTTGTGGGCATTTAGTGCTATAAATTTCCTTCTACACACTGCTTTGAATGTGTCCCAGAGATTCTGGTATGTTGTGTCTTTGTTCTCGTTGGTTTCAAAGAACATCTTTATTTCTGCCTTCATTTTGTTATGTACCCAGTAGTCATTCAGGAGCAGGTTGTTCAGTTTCCATGTAGTTGAGCGGTTTTGAGTGAGATTCTTAATCCTGAGTTCTAGTTTGATTGCACTGTGGTCTGAGAGATAGTTTGTTATAATTTCTGTTCTTTTACATTTGCTGAGGAGAGCTTTACTTCCTAGTATGTGGTCCATTTTGGAATAGGTGTGGTGTGGTGCTGAAAAAAATGTATATTCTGTTGATTTGGGGTGGAGAGTTCTGTAGATGTCTATTAGGTCTGCTTGGTGCAGAGCTGAGTTCAATTCCTGGATATCCTTGTTGACTTTCTGTCTCATTGATCTGTCTAATGTTGACAGTGGGGTGTTAAAATCTCCCATTATTAATGTGTGGGAGTCTAAGTCTCTTTGTAGGTCACTCAGGACTTGCTTTATGAATCTGGGTGCTCCTGTATTGGGTGCATATATATTTAGGATAGTTAGCTCTTCTTGTTGAATTGATCCCTTTACCATTATGTAATGGCCTTGTCTCTTTTGATTTTTGATGGTTTAAAGTCTGTTTTATCAGAGACTAGGATTGCAACCCCTGCCTTTTTTTGTTTTCCATTTGTTTGGTAGAGCTTCCTCCATCCTTTTATTTTGAGCGTATGTGTGTCTCTGCACGTGAGATGGGTTTCCTGAATACAGCACACTGATGGGTCTTGACTCTTTATCCAATTTGCCAGTCTGTCTTTTAATTGGAGCATTTAGTCCATTTACATTTAAAGTTAATATTGTTATGTGTGAATTTGATCCTGTCATTATGATGTTAGCTGGTTATTTTGCTCGTTAGTTGATGCAGTTTCTTCCTAGTCTGGATGGTCTTTACATTTTGGCATGATTTTGCAGCGGCTGGTACCAGTTTTTCCTTTCCATGTTTAGTGCTTCCTTCAGGAGCTCTTTTAGGGCAGGCCTGGTGGTGACAAAAATCTCTCAGCATTTGCTTGTCTGTAAAGGATTTTATTTCTCCTTCACTTATGAAGCTTAGTTTGGCTGGATATGCAATTCTGGGTTGAAAATTCTTTTCTTTAAGAATGTTGAATATTGGCCCACACTCTCTTCTGGCTTGTAGGGTTTCTGCCGAGAGATCCGCTGTTAGTCTGATGGGCTTCCCTTTGTGGGTAACCCGACTTTTCTCTCTGGCTGCCCTTAATATTTTTTCCTTGATTTCAACTTTGGTGAATCTGACAATTATGTGTCTTGGAGTTGCTCTTCTCAAGGAGTATCTTTGTGGCGTTCTCTGTATTTCCTGAATCTGAACGTTGGCCTGCCTTGCTAGATTGGGGAAGTTCTCCTGGATAATATCCTGCAGAGTGTTTTCCAACTTGGTTCCATTCTCCCCATCACTTTCAGGTATACCAATCAGACGTAGATTTGGTCTTTTCACATAGTCCCATATTTCTTGAAGACTTTGCTCGTTTCTTTTTATTCTTTTTTCTCTGAACTTCCCTTCTCACTTCATTTCATTCATCTCATCTTCCATCGCTGATACCCTTTCTTCCAGTTGATCACATCGGCTCCTGAGGCTTCTGCATTCTTCCCGTAGTTCTTGAGCTTTGGTTTTCAGCTCCATCAGCTCCTTTAAGCACTTCTCTGTATTGGTTATTCTAGTTATACATTCTTCTAAATTTTTTTTCAAAGTTTTCAACTTCTTTGCCTTTGGTTTGAATGTCCTCCAGTAGCTCAGAGTAATTTGATCGTCTGAAGCCTTCTTCACTCAGCTCGTCAAAGTCATTCCCTGTCCAGCTTTGTTCTGTTGCTGGTGAGGAACTGCATTCCTTTGGAGGAGGAGAGGCGCTCTGCTTTTTAGAGTTTCCAGTTTTTCCGTTCTGTTTTTTCCCCATCTTTGTGGTTTTATCTACTTTTGGTCTTTGATGATGGTGATGTACAGATGGGTTTTTGGTGTGGATGTCCTTTTTGTTTGTTAGTTTTCCTTCTAACAGACAGGACCCTCAGCTGCCGGTCTGTTGGAGTACCTTGCTGTGTGAGGTGTCAGTGTGCCCCTGCTGGGGGGTGCCTCCCAGTTAGGCTTCTCGGGGGTTAGGGGTCAGGGACCCACTTGAGGAGGCAGTCTGCCCGTTCTCAGGTCTCCAGCTGCGTGCTGGGAGTGCCAGTGCTCTCTTCAAAGCTGTCAGACAGGGACATTTAAGTCTGCAGAGGTTACTGCTTTTTGTTTGTCTGTGCCCTGCCCCAAGAGGTGGAGCCTACAGAGGCAGGCAGGCCTCCTTGAGCTGTGGTGGGCTCCACCCAGTTTGAGCTTCCAGGCTGCTTTGTTTACCTAAGCAAGCCTGGGCAATGGTGGGTGCCCCTCCCCCAGCCTGGCTGCTGCCTTGCAGTTTGATCTCAGTCTGCTGTGCTAGCAATCAGCGATACTCCGTGGGCGTAGGACCCTCCGAGCCAGGCGCGGGATATAATCTCGTGGTGCGCTGTTTTTTAAGCCCCTCGGAAAAGCACAGTATTTGGGTGGGAGTGACCCGATTTTCCAGGTGCCGTCCGTCACCCCTTTCTTTGACTAGGAAAGGGAACTCCCTGACCCCTTGCACTTCCCGAGTGAGGCAATGCCTCGCCCTACTTTGGCTTGCAAACGGTGTGCGCACCCACTGACCTGCGCCCACGATCTGGCTCTCCCTAGTGAGATGAACCCAGTACCTCAGATGGAAATGCAGAAATCACCCGTCTTCTGTGTCGCTCACGCTGGGATCTGTAGACGGGAGCTGTTCCTATTCGGCCATCTTGGCTCCTCCTCCCTTTTCTTTTTCTTTTCTTTTCTTTTTTTTTTTTAGACGGAGTCTTGCTCTGTCACCCAGGCTGTAGTGCAGTGGCGTGATCTTGGCTCACTGAAAGCTCTGCCTCCCGGGTTCACACCATTCTGCTGCCTCAGCCTCCCTTGTAGCTGGGACTACAGGTGCCTGCCACGACGCCCGGCTGATTTTTTGTATTTTTAGTGGAGGCGGGGTTTTGCCATGTTAGCCAGGATGGTCTCCATCTCCTGACCTCGTGATCTGCCTGCCTCGGCCTCCCAAAGTGCTGGGATTACAGGCATGAGCCACCGCGCCTGGCCCCTCTCTTCTTCCTTTTCTGTTTGGATGCCTTTTATTTCTGAGGCTTATCTTTCATTCTGTTAACAGTGTCTTGCAAATAGCAGAAATTAGTATTTGAATGAAATTATTACTTTGTCTTTTTTAAGTGGATTGTGCTTTTGTGTTTTAGTTTACTAATCTTTGCCCAAGATAAGGCCACAAAGATTTTATGGAAGTTTTATGGTTTTACCTTTAGGTCTGTGATTGATTTTGAGTTAATTTTGGCATGCGGTATGAATATTCAGTTGTTCCAGCTTCATTTGTTGAGAAAGCTATCCTTTCTCTGCTGGATTGCCTTTGTACCCTTATGGAAAATAAGTTGACTACATGTGTGTAGTTGTATTTCTGGACTCTCAGTTTTGTTTTATTGACCTGTTAAGTCTCTCTGCCTACTAGTACAGTGTTTTTGTAGCTTTATAATAAACCTTGAATTCTGGTTGTATAAGGCTTCCAAAATTTTTGCCCTTTTTAAAAGCCGTTTTGATTGATCTAGCTCTTTGCCATTTCCATATGATTTTATTTAATTAATTTATTTTATTTATTTTGAGGCAGAGTCTCACTCTGTCACCCTGGCCGTAGTGCAGTGGCATGATCTTGGCTCACTGCAACCTCTGTCTCCTGGGTTCAAGCGATCCTCCTGCCTCGGCCTTCCGAGTAGCTGGGATTACAGGTGTGCACCACCATGCCCGACTAAACTGTAGGATTTTAGAATAAACATGCCAGTTTATTCTACAAAAAGGTCAGCTGGGATTCTTATTAGAATTGTGTTGACTATATTGATCAAATTGGGGAGAATTGACATGTTAACATCATTGACTTCATTGATCTATGAACATAATATTATTCTCTATTTGTTTTTGCACATAATTTGATAATTTCTTCATAATTCATACTTTTACACTACAAATGAAATTATTTTTTAAATGATTGTCCTTTTTTTTTTTTTTTGGAGACAGGATCTGGCTCTGTTGCCGGGGTTGGAGTTCAGTGGCACAATCATAGCTCACTGTAACCTCGAACTCTTGGGCTCAAGTAATCCTCCCACCACAGCCTCCTGAGTAGCTAGGACTACAGGCATGCTCCACCATGCCTGGTTAACTTAAAACATTTTTTTTGTTGTTGTTGAGACAGGGTCTCCCTGTGTTTCCCAGGCTGGTCTTAAAATCCTGGCCTCAAGCAATCATCCCACCCTGGCCTCCCAGAGTGCTGGGATTATACATATGAGCCACCGTGCCTGGCTTCTGATTATTCTTTGTACAAGTGTTCTATAGAAATAGAATTGATTTTTGAGTATTAATCTTGGTTTTTGAGTATTGATCCTGCAACCTTCCTAGACTTATTTATTCTATTAATAGTAGTCTTGGTTTTCCTAATTTCGTTATCAGAGTTAGCATAGCCTCTTAGTTCACTGTCAGTTTAGAGTTGAAGAAATGTGTAAGTTTATAAAATTAATATCAATGTCTTGCCAGGAATGAGATTAAGCAACCCCAATGGTTTTCATTTTTCCTTTAATGAAATTCATTTTTCCTTTAATGAAGTACCAGTATTCTTCATAATATGGAACCTTGACACTTCAAGCTACCATTATTTAAGGTGTTAAATTTATAGGCAATTTCAGCAAAGTAATTGATTATGAAGGATGAATTGCTGTTTGTTTTTATGACTGGAATTCTAAGAATCTGTTCAAGTTATGTGTTTTGGAGGAAGAGCCAGTTGCCTTGGTGATGGCTTTGGGAGACAAGGAAGAGTATGTGGGACTTTATGTTTGTGGCTTGAGCGGAATATATGGATTATGGTGTGATTTGTTGAGATGACGAAGACTGAGGAAGCAGTGTATCTAGTATTGTCAATTCAGGTTGGACACGTTAGATTTTAGGCGTGTTTTGTCTACTGTGTTAAGGCTTATAGGTTTATTTGGACGCTTTTAGATGAACTATATCTTAGGTTAAAAACAGACCTGAGGTCACACAGCTAGTCATTTGCAGAATTTGAACTTCAGCTTCTGACTCTTAAGTCCATGTTTGTTATCCCCTTATGCTATATTATATCCTCAAGGCAGAGAAACATGCTTGGCTGTGACAATACTAAAATGTTCCCTGGGAGCTATTAGAAATACGTAGCAGAGTTTGCAAGCTCAGATGTCTGCAGGGTACAGACAAGTAATTGTGAGCCAGGTTGTAACATAAAGGAGAGTGGCGACTTCTGTGGAGAACTGCAGAGTCCCATCCACAGGGTTAGTTAGCTGCTAATCAGCTCCAGAAGATTGTTTCCATATGGGAATGTGGGGCCAGTATTGCCAGATATTCTGATTTTTCAAGAGAGGTCCAAAATCTGGATTTTCATGTAAAGTCCTGATTTATAAATGTAGGCAGTTATCCTTTAACCATGCAGACCAACCTAGTGTGGGTCCACCAAAGGTATCTGTCTGCTGGATTCTGCCCGGTGGGTAGATATAATGTGGAAGCAACAATAAATTTATATGGTGGGAAAAGTGTGTTAACTGTGTATAATAAGCACGTTATGGTGTTGAAATGCAGGTTGCTTAGGTTAAACATGGTGCTTAGTGAGCCTAGTGTTTGAGTTCAGTCTTTATATGGATCAGTTAATTATAGATGGGGGAGGGGGAATTGCTCTCTGTAGCTTTTTGCCTCCTAATTGCATGCTTTCATTTGCAGATAGGGCCAGATTTGAGTGTGTGAATTTTTGAGTGAAACCTGGAACCCAAATGAGAAGAAATCTGCAAGGAATAACTACTGACAGTGAATCTGCGGTCATCTGTATGCATAATATGGAATGTTCTTAACCCAGAAGTAGCTGAATGTGTTACTCCATTGCTGAGGAGTGGTAAGTCTGATAATCTCCACTGATAATTAAATAACCTAAACCCTTTCCATAAAAAGAGGATGACTACTTCTACATTCTTAGCATTTGCTGACATTAATTTTTATATTACAGAGGAGGACAGCAGTGCAGTTTAAGGGAATTCTTTATCCCTAACATCATGTTTAATGTCTGATTTCAGAGTTTGGCTTGCTTCTTCCAGTTAGGCACATCCTTTCCTTTGCCTAGGCATTTTTCTCTATTATTTGTTCTTCAGTCCGAGGCCTGAAATACTGTATTTGAAATATTCAGCCAGCGCTGAAATGATGGTCATGATAGTTACCAGCATCCATTTTAATCTTAGTTGTGGTAGGTCTCATTCTCTTTGGGAGTGATTGTTTTAGGAATGGACATGAGAAACAGTTTTGTCCAATGAGAGACAAAAGGGACATCTGCAAGAGGCTTTTGGGGAAATCTTTCTTGCTTTTGTGAAAAGGAAGAAAATAGATGGTCCCTCTTCTCCGCAGAGCTGATATTACGTAGATGTGATGTGTGGAAGTGCTGGAGCCATCTTTTTAGTAGCCTGAAGGTGGTGCCTTATGTGAAGGAGGGAGAACCAAGGGAACTGGAGAAAAGTAGAACTAGAGTTCCATTTACCATGCCTATAGCCTCTCTATCTGAATTTTCTTATTGTTTAAGCAGTTTTGCCTTGAGATTTCCTGTTATTTGCTATAGAAATTATCTAGATTTATTTGGTTTCTTCCTTTTTTGATTACTCAAAGCCATGTTTTTTAGTGTCGCACACATTTCTACTTGATCATGTTCTTTGTAGCCCCTTACAAGCTTTATGAAGTCAAGGGGTATGTTTATATTCCTATTGTATCTGACTCTAATACTTCTTAATGATGTCATCAATACATGTTTGCTTAACTGAATTACTTGATAAGTATTTGAAAAACCAATCCGTAGAATCTAATAATTACAGAGATTTTTTTTTTTAAATTCACATCCTTTTCTTTACCCACACTGCTTCCCTCTAGGATTATGAGTGAAGTTTGTTTTTTCTTTAAGACTTCCAGTATGTAACACATGTTCAAGTGGTTAGTTCTACTCCAGACAATGTTGCCTTTTGTTTTTGTCCAACTTTACCGTCAGAACCAGGTTCTCTCCTTTATGTTTGAGTATTGGCTTTCAATCTAATAAATGGAATTTCACTTTCTTCTTCATTATAAAAACAGAATAGTTTGCCTTCTATTTTCTGTGATAATTATAGGAATGAGGGACGTCAATAGTAAGAAGCATAATTCAGGAATAATTTGTATTTGGCTTTGGAATGCACATTCACAGAAAGATTCCCTAAAGTGTGCATCCCCACTCTGTTCTTAGGACTGTGTGTTTTGGGGGAGGTGGAGGGAAGTTTGGCGGTGATGTAGTAAGAGGGATCTTGGGCCATAGGATGGATGATCTAGTTGCTTATGTTTTAAAGCTCTGTGAAACAAATCATTTTTTTTTTTTGACCTGGCTCTAGATATAAATGTTTCTTTCTATCTTTTCTTTTAAATCTTGTTATTATAATCTTGAAAAAGTATGGAATGAGAACCTCTTTTTCTTCTTGAAAATCTGTGGTGTTACTTTCAGTTATGGTAAAAGGAAAAAGATAAAACCTGTGTTATGATTTTACCAGGTAATCTGGTAGTATATTTTGAATCCTTCAAAAAGAGATTTACATTCAGGGAAGAATTCACTTTTTTTTTTTCTTGATCGATTCTGATGAAAATCTGGGAGAATACCTTTTTTTCCTACTTCTTTTTTTGAGACAGGGTCTCACTCTGTTGCCCAGGCTGGAGTGTGATCTTGGCTCTTTGCCTAGGCCTATGTGTTTGAGCCCAAGATGCCAGGAACCTCTGCCTCCTGGGCTCAAGCGATCCTCCTGTCTCAGCCTCCCAAGTAGCTGGGACTACAGGTGTGCACCACCATGCCCAGCCAATTTATATTTTTTGTAGAGACAGGGTTTCACCATGTTGTCCAGGCTGGTCTTGAACTCCTGGGCTCAAGAGGTCTACCTGCGTTGGCCTCCCAAAGTGCGGGAACTGAAGGTGTGAGCCACCATGCCCAACCAGGAGAATAACTTTTTAAGAAGATAGAGAAAGTTGTATGATGCACTTTACCCATCAATTTAAATGCAGTAGTACCATTATTTAGTAATACAGGAAATTTAAATCATTAAGGTCAACTTTAATGTGCTGTATTTCATATATATTTTGTAGGAATGGAACATGTTTCCTACCTAAGACAGTCATGGCAGGCATGCACCTTAAGCTAGATCAAGCAGAGTGAATCTTAGGATATTTGCTAGGAATGCTGAGATGAAGGCACTTATTTTTATGAATTTCAACCTGAAAACATAGTTATTGAATTCCTGGCAGCTATCTTTTGACCATGAAAGGAAATTTAGTTGATTAAGAAGCCAACACTGAGTGAGTAGAGCAGAGAAAAGCCATGCCCTAGTTACTCCATTTGAGCTGCTGGATCAACCCTTCCCTGAAGCTGCTGTACCTCTAGACTTACAGTTGCATGAGCCACTAAATTTCATGTTTAATCCAATTGGCTTTGGATTTTGTCTTACATTTTTGTGAAAACTTTCTAGCTGATACATCTTTCTCAACCCTCAATTATACATCTGCATAATGAGAACTCAAGGGACTTAATAAAACTTGAATTGTGAGTTAGGTAAGGATGCCTCTGACACAGATGTGCAGGTTGGCAGATAATGCATTCTTTTTTTTCTTTTTTCTTTTTGAGACAGAGTCTCACTCTGTTGCACCGGCTGGAGTGCAGTGGCACAATCTCGGCTCATTGCAACCTCCGCCTCCAGGGTTCAAGCGATTCTCCTGCTTCAGCCTCCTGAGTAGCCGGGATTACAGGTGCCCGCCACCACTCCTGGCCAAGTTTTTTTGTATTTTTAGTAGAGACGGGGTTTCACCATGTTGACCAGGCTGGTTTCGAACTCCAGACCTCAAATGATCCACCTGCTTTAGCCTCCCAAAGTGCTGGGATGAGTTGGGGGTGTAAGGTAGGAGAAAGGTCGATATGACTTTTCCCCCCACCCTCAGTGCCTCACTTCATTCTGGTTTTCCAAGCCTGTAGTTCACCACTAATTTTGAGTTCTTGTATGGAATGGAATTCGAAACCACTTACTTCAGCTGCAGTTGTTTTCTTACCCTAGGGCCATAGAAAGTAGTTTGGAGTATAGTTTCTGCCTCTGTGAAGAAATTTTCTTGGTCTTCTCAACAAGGATAAATTTATATTGATATCTAATATAGTTAGGCTGTTGTACCCCCATAGACAGAGCTTGCACTCTGTATACTGGCTTCCTTTGCCCCTTAGCAAGCACCACTACTCTTTCCTTTGACATGCAGTATTGTTTCTCAAAAAGTAGATCTCTTATAGCAGAATCACCCAGGACCCAAAAGAATACTTAGAAACTGACCATCGTAATTCAGTATCTGAAAAATATTGTTCTCTTCCAGTCTGTAACATCCCGATAAAATTTTTAAAAGGATTTTTAAAGATTAGTTGAATCTAAAATTTATAAGGAAAAAAATAAGGAAGATTATCCAGAAAAATTCTTTAAAAGAATGAGCATTTAGGCCAGGCACGGTGGCTCACGCCTGTAATCCCAGCACTTTGGGAGGCCGAGGCAGGCGGATCACGAGGTCAGGAGATTGAGACCATCCTGGCTAAAGCAGTGAAACCCCGTCTCTACTAAAAATACAAAAAATTAGCTGGGCGTGGTGGCGGGTGCCTGTAGTTCCAGCTACTCGGGAGGCCAAGGCAGAAGAATGGCGTGAACCCGGGAGGCAGAAGTTGCAGTGAGCGGAGATCGCGCCACTGCACTCCAGCCTGGGGGACAGAGCAAGACTCCGTCTTAAAGAAAAAAAAAAAAAAAAAAAAAAAAAAAGAACATTTAAAAAAGGAACTAGGCTGGGCGTGGTGGCTAACACCTGTAACCCGAACACTTTGGGAGGCCAAGGCAGGTGGATCACTTGAGGTTAGGGGTTTGAGACCAGCCTGGCCAACATAATGAAACCCTGTCTCTACTAAAAATAGAAAAAAAAAAATTAAGTCAGGCGTGGTGGTGCATGCCTGTAATCCCAGCTACTCAGGAGGCTGAGGCAGGAGAATAGCTTGAATCTGGGAGGTGGAGGTTGCATTGAGCTGAGATTGTGCCACTGTACTCCAGCCTGCGTGACAGAGCGAGACTCTGTCTCAAAAAATAAGTAAATAAGATTAAAAAAAAAAAAGAATTAGTTCTTCTAGATATTAAAAATGTATTCTGGCCGGGTGGCAGTGGCTTATGCCTGTAATCCCAGCACTTTGGGAGGCCGAGGAGGGTGGATCATTTGAGGTCAGGAGTTTGAGACCAGCCTGGTCAACATGGTGAAACCCCATATCTGCTAAAAATACAAAAATTAGCCAGGCATGGTGGCGCATGCTTGTAATCTCAGCTACTTGGGAGGCTGAGGCAGGAGAATCACTTGAACCCGGAGGCGGAGGATGCAGTGAGCTGAGATTGCGCCACTGCACTCCAGCCTGGGCGACAGAGCGAGACTCTGTCTCAAAAAAAAATGTATTCTAAAATTACAGCAATTAATACATTATAATTCTGGTAGATAGATCAGTGGTACAGAATAAAAAGAGTCCCAAATTCATATGGAAATTTAGAATATGATGAAAGCACGTATCGGATCAGTGGAGAAAATTATTTTTTTTCTTTCTGGCAATATTATAGCTGGGTAGCCATCAGAAAAAATCAGATCCTTATCTTCAGAGGAAGAAAATGAATTTTTCCTCTTTATATTCTTGGAGTTAGGGAAGCCTTCTTAGAAAACGTGTTTTGAAAGAAATGTAGGTATTCTAATGCCTTATTAGAGGGAGTATAAGTTGGCACATTCCTTTAGGAGATTGGAAAACATCTGCCAAATTTAAAATGCCTACTGAACATTTAAATGTACATGCTCTTTAATACATCAGTTTCACTTCTTGGAATTTATCTTATGGTTAAATTCTGTAGCTTTTGGGTTTAGTTCATCGTATTCTCACTTGTGTGAATATACAGGGTTAGTTTTTGCAGTACTGTAATAGTGAAGTATTAGAAACAACTCAACTTCCGTCTGTGAAAGATGACCTATATCAGTATGATACAAATGCAGCCTTTAAAACTTAAAAGAGGCAGTTTTTTAAAAGTTACTGATATTAGCTGGGTGTAGTGGCACATGCTGATAGTCCTAGTTATTTGGGAGGCTGATAGGGAAGGATTGTTTGAACTCAGGAGTTCAAATCCAGCCTGGGTAACATAGATCTCATCTCTTTAAAATGGTACTGATATTGCCTGATTTCTAAGATAAAGTGTTAAGTGAAAAAGGTGCCCGTGATGTATAATGCTACATAAAAATATTTCAAAAAAGAATATACATATATGCTGGTATATTCATAAAGTATCTGTGAAAGGCTACACAAGAAGCTAATATTAGGGGCTGTATTGAGGGAAGACAACTGGGTGGGTAGGATAATGGTGGGAAACTTAATTCTATCTTCCCCCCCGCCAAAATCATCAAGCGTCGTACTGGGTAAAAGGAAAAAAGGGATTCACCTAATTTTCATCTTTTTCAATTTGTTAGAATCTCCAAGGGTGAGGTCACCCCCAATCTACATTAGAAATGTTTTTTTTGTTTTGTTTTTTGTTTTGAGACGGAGTCTCGCTGTGTCGCCCAGGCTGGAGTGCGGTGACGCGATGTCGGCTCACTGCAAGCTCCGCCTCCCGGGTTCATGCCATTCTCCTACCTCAGCCTCCCAAGTAGCTGGGACTACAGGCACCCGCCACCACGCCTGGCTAATTTTTTGTATTTTTAGTAGAGACGGGGTTTCACCGTGTTAGCCAGGATGGTCTCGATCTCCTGACCTCGTGATTCACCTGCCTCGGGCTCCCAAAGTGCTGGGATTACAGGCATGAGCCACCACGCCTGGCAGAAAAAAATTTTTTTTATAGTAGTGGTAAAAGACACATAAAATTTATCATCTTATCCATTTCTGAGTGTACAGTTGAGTAGTGTTAAGTATGTTCACATTGCTGTGCAGCCAATCTCTAGAACTTTTTCACTTTGCAAAACTGAAACTCTGTACCCATTAGATAACAAATTTTCATTTCTCCCTATTGCCATCCCCCAGTACCCACATACTTTATGATTCTATGAATTTGACTACTTTAGATTCCTCATGTAAATGGAATCATACAGTATTTATGTTTTTGTGACTGGCTTATTTCACTTAGTATAGTGTTCGTAAGGCTCATCCATTTTATAGCATGACAGGATTTCCTTCCTTTTTATTTTTATTTTTTATTTTTAAAAGAGATTAGATCTTGCTTTATTGCCCAGGCTGGACTTGAAGTCGTGGGCTCAAGTAGTACTCTGGCATCAGTCTTGTAAGTAGCTGGAAGTACAGGCATGTGCCACTGCCCTTCCTTTTTAAGGCTCGATAATATTCCATTGTATGTTTGTTTATCTGTTCTTCTGTTGGTGGACATTTGGGTTGCTTCTACCTCTTGGCTGTTGTGCTACCTCTTGGCTAGTATGAATGTGGGTGGGCAAATATGTCTTCAGGGCTCTGCCTTCAGTTTTTCCAAATATATCCCAGAAGTAGATAGTATTTCTGTTTTTAATATTTTGGGGACCTGTCATAATGTGTTCTCTATAGCAGTTGCACCATTTTACGGTATCACCAACAGTGCACAAAGATTTCCTCTTCACATCCATGTCAGCATTTATTTTCTGTGTGTGGTTTTTGTTTTGTTTTGTTTTCTTTCATAGTAGCCATCCTAAGGGGTGTGAGGTGATCCCAAATATTTTTTTTTCTTCTTTCTTTTGAGACAGGCTTTCACTCTGTTGCCCAGGCTCGAGTATAATGGACAATCGTGACTCACTGCACCCTCAACCTTCTGGGCTGAAGCAGTCCTTCCACATTAGCCCTCCAGGTAGCTGGGACCACAGGCATGTGCCACCACACCTGGCTTTTTTTTTTTTTTTAGTAGAGACAGTGTCTCTCTATGTTGCCCAGTGTCATCTCAAACTCCTGGGCTCGAGCAATCCTTCCACCTTGGCATTCAAGTGTTGGGATTACAGGCATGAGCCACTGTGCCCGACCCCCAATCTATATTTTTAACAAGTATTTTAATTATATATTTCTTCTATATTTAAAAAGCTTATGAAGTTATGAAGTACATTTAAGTTAATGATTTCAGTTTTATTACTAAAAAATACAACTAGTAGCCACTTTTTAGAATTGTATCTGAATGTGCTTTGTTTCTGTAACTTGAAGTGCATGTTTTATAATGAGATCCTCAAGGGATTGTACCTCTCTCTCTCTGGTTTTTTTTTTTTTTTTTTTTTTTTTTGTATTTAAATGTGAGTCACCTAGGGAACAGACTAGGATATGTGTACTTAACCCTAGGTAATTTTGCTAACCTTAATTCTTTTCTCTGACACAGTTAAAATTCTAAGGTTCTGCATGTTAGAATTCCAGTAGTGTACCAACATCTAAAATAATGTGTTTTAATGAAAAACTCTGTGTCATTTTACTTTACATGAGAGGATTTGATCTGTTTGTTTACTTTTAATTGAAAATAGGTTTATCTTTATGGTCTTGACAGTTGTGTGTTAACTTTTCTCACAAGATGAATTTAATCATAAATTGTTCAAGAGCAAGATCAGTTGTTAAGAATTTTATCCAGAGACAAAAGTACATGAGATTCTAGTAAAAAATGGAAAGGAATGTAAATTGTCTTTAAATTTTTTCCTGCTTTTTCAAGAAAATTTTAGGGGTGTGAGTGTTCTACAACAAAATTAATAGCTTATAAAGTATTTTACATTTTGAGTAAATTACTTGCAGTTCTTGTTTTTCTGACTTGAAGTTTCTGAAATTATTCTGAAATTGTTATTGCAGAGTACCTATTTTTTCTTCCAAGTATTTATTCTTTAGAAGTATTATTTCTAAAATCACATCACTGTATGAATATCCAGCTGTAGCCTGTGACTACATTATGAGTATTAGAAGTCATTTTTTAATAACTTTTGCCAGACCTGAAGGTTCATTACTGTGCAGCTCTCTCCTTCATGGCTGTTTTTATTTGGATATTTAAGGGTGAGCTGCTGTCTTCATTATATTTGGTGTGTGACTTGGTAGAGAAGGGCACAAGTAGTGGTATGGCTTGGGAAGGGTGGGAGTTTAATCCTCATTGTGAGTTTTGAGAAAAGATAATGAAATCCTTTATATCCCTTTCCGTAGACCTGCATTTCAAAGACTTACATTTTAATAAGAATTAGTTGTGCAGCTGCAACCCTGGCAACAAGGCCTAGGAGAAAAGAATTGGGGCAGCATTCCAGAAATCAGGGCAGGCACTGGTCTCATGTGGGACTGAGCTAATGAAACATAAAAATATAAAGCATGTAGTAAAAATAAGACCAATACTTTCTTTGGCATGGTAGATACTGACATTTTTCCACACATTTTTTTTAAAAAGTCCAAAAGCTCATAAGCTGCACATTCAATAAGAGTAGCTATATTATCTTCTCCTTTAGTATAAAAAAATACCCCAGATACTCTTGGAAGTTAATATTTCTGTGAATTATATCCAAAATGTAATTGTTCTTGGCCCACTCTTGGTGAAGTCCAGACGTTTTCAAAACATGGGGTACGAAATTTGTCAGATAAAGTTTAGAAACAAGGTTTTAGGTTTTAAACTTTAAAAATCAAATGCTCATATCAGTTTTAATGTAAATTTCTCATAGTTACTGGACTCTTTAGATGCCCTTAAATAATAAAATTTGTTAAATATATTCTCTGAATACTGTGACAATGGCTACATAATCTATTATCTAACCATAATTTAATTATTACCTGGTTGTTACGTGTTTAGGTTGTGTTGGAGTTTTCCCTCTTATAATAAGAAATATTGCAAGAAAACATTTTTGTGTGTATAGGTATTTTGCTTTCTTTTGGACTAGTCAGGATTACTTTTGGATTTCCAGAAGTGATAATGATGCATTAAATGTGAAAATTTTGAATACTTTCTAAAAGCACTACCAATCTACACAGCTACTATAGTGTGTATGCAGTTGCTAGTTTCTCTGCTTCTTTATCAACATTGAATATTTGAATAGATATGAAATGGTAGTTGAATTTTTTAATTTTTCACTTTTTAAATTAGAAACTTGGAATATTTTAAAAGCAGCTTACCAGCTTCCCCTTTGTGGATTTTAAAATTTGCGTCCTTTTCCCATTTATCTATTGGAGATCCATTAAGTGGTTTTTTTTTTTTTTGAAGTAGTAGTCCTAAGAATCTCTCAAAATTGAGTGTGGTAAACTTCCTATTCATTCTGTACACTCATAGCAAATGGTATAATATGTGCCAGGCTCTATTTTAGCCTGAACAAAACAGCTGATGTAGTTGCAAACTCCTAGAGCTAAAGGGACTCTTAAATATCATGTTCATTTTTTACCCAAGGAAACTGAGGTCCCATCTCATGTTATATGATCAGTAATTAACCTTAGAGAATGGTGGCTGAACTGGAATTAAAGTTCTGTCAGCAATGTTGCCTCCCTACTATTCCATATATCTCTTCTTTCCTCTTCCTAATATGATAATCAGATTTCCCTTTCACTACATACTGCTTCTTCTATTGTATTTGTAGATTCCCATTGGTTTAAGCAAATCAGCCTAATCCTAGTCTTGGTTCAAGGAACCTGTTGGCTCATGCCATTACTTTGGTCACAATAATTGGTTCAGGAGTGACCAAGTCAGCAAAAATTGATCCAGTTAGAGGGTAGTCTTGAATTTTCATTACTGTTAACGTCTGAGTATTTTAAAATTTTCTTAATGTTTTTACGTTTTAATCTGAGTTAGTAATATATTTAGTTTACAAACGAGATTTTTTTTTTTTTTTTGAGACGGAGTCTCGCTCTGTCCCCCAGGCTGGAGTGCAGTGGCGCAATCTCAGCTCACTGCAAGCTCTGCCTCCCGGGTTCACACCATTCTCCTGCCTCAGCCTCCAGAGTAGCTGGGACTAAGGGCGCCTGCCACTGCGCCTGCTAATTTTTTGTATTTTTAATAGAGACGGGGTTTCACTGTGTTAGCCAGGATGGTCTCGATCTCCTGACCTCGTGACCAAATGAGATTTTTAAAACCATCTTTTTGTCATTAATTTCTAGTTTTATCCCATTATTGTAAGATAATGCAATGTGTATGGTTATTGATCTTGTGTTTTGGGCCATGCTTTTTGGGCTATTATATGACCTATCTGTGTATATGCTATGTGCTTATGCAAATAATATGTATTCTCTGATTTTATTGCTTGGATCTTCAATATATCTGCTTATACTGTTTTTGATCAGTTGAGTGTTAATATTTCCAACTGCAATTGATTTTAGCTTTTTCTCCCTCCATTTTCTACAGTTGTTTCTGACATATATTGAGACTTTGTTTGATGTGGATGTGTTCATGATGATTATGTGGTTTTGTTCTACTATTTTTATAAATATGTAATATCTCACTTTGTCCTTCTTGATATTTTTTACCTTAAATTTTGTTATATTTATTTTTTATTATGTTTATTTTTTTAGGGAGACAGAATCTGCCTATGTTGGCTAGGCTGGTCTTGAACTCCTGGACTCAATCATTCTGCCTTGGCCTCCCAAAGTGCTGGAATACAGGCATGAGACCATGGTTGGCCTGCCTTAAATTTTATTAAGATTGCTATGTTAGCTTTGTTGTGGTTCATATTTGTTTGGTTTATCCTTTCTTAAGTATTACTCATATTGCTCTGTCATTTTTTAACCTGGCATAAAAAATGTTTTATACTAATTTGTCTTTAAATTGGCAAGTTCAACTCATTTACATTATTGTAATTACTGTTCTAATTGGGTTTAATTTTCATCCCTTTCCCTTTTGACTAACTCCATTCCTGCTTTTCATTGGGTAAGTTGAAATTTTTTCTATTTTTGTTCTTATGATGATTGCCCTTTAGACCCATTCCTCAGTTTACTTCTGTATATTTCTTACTTTTAAAATGGCTTTTTCTTCCCCTAAATATGACAGATACTCTAGCATTCTCATACGTTCTTTTAATGTGTCTCCTGACTCCCCATCCCCAGTGAGTATATTGCTGGTATTTTAGATCACTTTTTATGGCTACTAAGGCATTTGACTACTTTTACTTTCTTTATCTCTTGGAGTGCTTTCTTTATCTCTTGGAGTACCTCCTATATTTCTTTTTCTTTTGAGTATTCTTCCAAATGTGCAGTTAGTGGGCTTTATGTGACCCTCTGAGGCTTTGTATGTTGAAAATATTTTTGTCTTAACATCATATTGGAATGATGTTTTGGATGTAAAATTCTAAGTTTAAAGTTACTTTAATTCAAAACTTTTAAAATACAGGTCAAGAGTCCCTTTCCTGGTATTCTAAAACCAAATAATCAAAGGGTTTTTCATAATTTATTTGACTACAACACACAAACCAAACTGGTATGAGGCTACTTACGGATTTTATTCATCTCATTTAGTGTTAATGTTTATAGATTTTGCTTCAAGATATTAATGAGTTAAATTATGGGTTAGTGCCTTAGATGCTGTTGTGGATGTTACATAATATGTGATATACATACAAACACCATATTATCTTTATATACTCTGAAAAATCATTGTTTTGGTCTGTTTTGTGCTGCTATAACAAGATACCACAGACTGGGTAATTTATAATGAACCAGAAGTGTATTGGCTCATGGTTTGGGAGGCTGGGAAGTCCAAGATCAACGGGCCAACATGTTGCTGTGGCAGAAGGCAGAAGGGAGAGAGAGAACATGAGTGAGAAGATAGAACTCCCCTTTTTATAATGAACCCATTGAAATGGGGCACATAGTCTTAAATATGATGACAGCATTAATCTTTTGGGGATTTGGTTTCCAATGCATGTTTTTTTGGGGGATACATTCAAACCATAGCAATTCTGAATTCTGAAAAAACCCCTGCTGCAAGGATTATGGATAAAGGATTGTGGATTTACACTACCCCATCCTGTGTCCAGTGTCACTTTTTGTGATATCTAATATTAATCTTATTCTTTTACTTTTGGCATTACTGTGTTCTTTTTTTTCCAGCCTTTGAGATTTTTTTCTTTGATAATCTTAAATTTTCTAGGAATGGGCTCTTCTGTTATTTGGCTGTTTGAGGCTTTACATTCTTCACTTCTTTTATCTTTAATTCTGGGAAGTTATTATTTCTTGAAATGTTTATTCTTCCCTAGAAATGTTTCATTTCCCTCCCTCTTTCTGGAACTCTGTTACCTGGATATTGTCTGTTTTACATATTCAGTATTTCTACTTGATCCTTTTTCATGGTTTCCTGTTTTGGCTTCATATACTTATATCTTCCATTGACTTTCTAGGGACACATTCTTGGATCATTCATTCCAGTAATACTGCTTCAGATGGCATAAGTTGTTTAGTGAGTCATCCTTCTTTCACAGTAGTTTATGTTATAGATGTGTCTATTTGTCTGTGTCCCTTGCGGGGTATTAGTCACTTAGTCTAATAATATCTGTTAGGGAATTTATGTCCAGGTGAGTTTAAGGAAAGGAAGGACTTGGGACCCAGGTCAAATAGCCGCCACCTGGCACCATTGAAGTGCTGTCAAGTTCTGTTGGCTGCTACTGCATCAGGCAAATTCTGATTGGGATTTGTTTTTACACTCATATAAATAAATAATACTGGATACTGGAAAGAGGTTATCTCCTTAGATTATAACTCACTACCAGCCCTGTAGCTCCCCTGCCCCTTGTACAAGGTGGGGGCACAGAGAGGGGCGGGAAGAGTGAATGCCAAGAGGATGGCTTATTAGTCTGTGTCTGCTTTCCTGAGCTTTCCTCTCTAAGGCTTCTGTGCCACCCTGATTTTAAACTGCTGACAAAGACATCTAGGCTGTTGCTGCCAATTTCTGTGGCTAAGGGGCAATCAAGGGGGAGGGAAAGGCAAAATCTTAAAGAGCTTTTAGCATATCTCTCTTTTAAGTCCTACCTCTGCTTCCCTTTGCTTCAGGCTCCAGGTTACCAGTTTCCTTTCAGAAAAGTTAAGTACAGCTTTTGGTATCACCAGCAGTTTTTGTTCCCTTTTGTTGTTGCTGCCATTATTGTTCTTGGAATCCAGATTTACTTCTGTTTTTTTCTTCCCTACGGTTGATTTTGTTGGAAGGGACCAGAAGTCCATGACAGTTGTTCCTCTTGGTAAGAATTGGATGACTTCATTTGATCCAAGAAAGATAGTTAAACAAGATTTCCTCGAAGCACATAAAAATCTTTAATTGAAGAGTATAGGCATACAAAATATACACAAGCTATATGAAAATAATCATAAGAATTAAGAGTTCCAGGCTGGGCGCGGTAGCTCACACCTGTAATCCTAGCACTGTGGGAGGCCTAGGTGGGCGGATCCCCTGAGGTCAGGAGTTCAAGACCAACCTGGCCCACATGGTGAAACCCCATCTCTACTAAAAATACAAAAATTAACTGGGCATGGTGGTGGGCCCCTGTAATCCCAGCTACTTGGGAGGCTGAGGCAGGAGAATTGCTTGAACTCGGGAGGCAGAGGTTGTAGTGAGCTGAGATTGTGCCATTGCCCTCCAGCCTGGGCAACAAGAGTGAAACTCCATCTCAAAAAAAAAAAAAAAAAAAAAAAAAAAAAAAAAAAAAAAAAAAGAAGAAGCGCTCCAGTTATCTATCACTGTATAACAAACTACCTCAAAATTCAGTGGCTTAACCAACAATTATTCTATTATATCTCTCAATCATGAAGGTCAGGAATTTGGGCAAGTCTTGGCAATTCTTCTCTTAAATGTAGCATCATCAGCTAATGGTATTCAGCTAATAGGTGGGCAGGACTGGAGGATTCTAAGCAGCTTTATTTACACGTCCGGTGATTTGGCTAGGAAGGCTGGAAGGCTAAGCTCAGTTGGGCCTATGTCTGCGCCATGGTCTTTCCAGCATGACGGTTTTAGGGTAGTTGGAATCTGAGCAGAAGCTATAAAGCTTTTTATGACGTTCTAAGATCCAAGCCTTGTTCTGTAGTCAAACAAGTCTTACTAAGGTCACCTGAATTTAATGTAGAGGAATTTGGAGGAATAACCAAGAATAACTAATACCACACAAGGTTATTAGAGTTTTTTTTTCTGTTCCTGATTGTTGCTTTTAGGAGAATGTCATTAGTTCTTGGCTTCTTAGGGAATCTTTTCCTTATCCCTCCCATCTGAAGGGGATTCCCTGTAGTAGAGGGATATCATGTACTTCTTTTTCAGTTCACTTTTATAATAATATTTTTCCCCATGACAGTGGTTCCCAACTGGGGGAATCACTCTCCAGGGGCATTTGGCAGTGTCTGGAGACATTTTTGGTTGTCACAACAGGTGGAAAGGGGTACTGTTCGTGTCTAGTGGATAGAGGCCAAGGATGCTGCTAAATATCCCACAATGCACAGGACAGTGCCTGCAAGAAAGTACTATCTGGGCTGGGTGCAGTGGCTCATTCCTGTAATTCCAGTAATCCCAGCACTTTGGGAAGCCAAAGCAAGAGGAGCACTTGAGTCCAGGAGTTCGAGACTAGCCTGGGAAACATATAGACCCTGCCTTTACAAAAAAAAAAAAAAAAAAAATTTAAGTAGCTTGGCTTGGTGGTGCATGCCTGTAGTCATAGCTACTCTAGAGGCTGAGGCGAGAGAATTGTTTGAGCCCAGGAGGTCGAGGCTGCAGGGAGCCGTGATTGCACCATTGCCCTGCAGCCTGGGTAACAGAGCGAGACCCTCTCTCAAAAAAAATAAAATTATCTAAATGAAAATGTCAGTAGCACTGAGGTTGAGAAATCCTGCTTTAGAGCAATCCTGGAAAGTTGGTATAATTCTCATAAATGAAAACTTTGATTCAGAGAGGCTATTGAATGTCACTTATCTAATCAGTTGTGAAATCTATTTTGAACACAGGTTTTGCCAATGTCAAATTCACGGAAATTCTACGTACTATATATTTTTTATGTTGGAATTAATGTATTAAGTATTTATTTGTAAATACTGAGACAAGTTACCAAGTCAAATGCAACAGAGAATGTTAATTCACATTCTACCTCAATAATGCTTATAAGAATCAACATAATTATAATTTAAAATAACATTGAAATAGATTAAACTAACATTTCCCTATATTCTTAAAAAAGAATAGAGAGAAAATGCTCTGTCTTAAATTACTGTGTCTGAGCTGTGGGTTCATCATTTCCAAAGTAAGGATAATACCGCTTAGGATTACAAAAATTAAATGAGATTATATTTGTCAAAGTATATAGTGAAATATATGATTAACATTCAATTTTTTTTCCACATCATGGCTTTATAATCTAGTTGGACTTTTCTTTATAATCTAGGGAAATTTTCTATCTGTGATTTTTTAAAATGTAGAACATACAAAAAGAACAGAGAATCCAAGAATACTGAATCTCTTATTTGACCCACTGTGATTTGTGTAGGTTTATGGACCAGAAAGGAGAAATAGTTCATGTTCTTTGACAACTGGTTAGTATTTTCTGTTTATGAAATCTTCCACATCATAACATCATTATCAAAGCTTTCTATTATTACAGGCTCTTTTTTGAGTATGAAAATAAAGATCATTTCAAATACCACATTTAAAAACATTTTTCTCCAATATTGTTCACGATTCTGACTGTACAGGGTTATACAAAAACCTTGAACATTTATTTATTTATTTTTTATTGTTATACTTTAAGTTTTAGGGTACATGTGCACAACGTGCAAGTTTGTTACATATGTATACATGTGCTGTGTTGGTGTGCTGCACCCATTAACTTATAATTTAGCATTAGGTATATCTCCTAATGCTATCCCTCCCCACTCCCCCCACTCCACAACAGTCCCCGGTGTGTGATGTTCCCCTTCCTGTGTCCATGTGTTCTCATTGTTCAATTCCCACCTATGAGTGAGAACATGCGGTGTTTGGTTTTTTGTCCTTGCGATAGTTTGCTGAGAATGATGGTTTCCAGCTTCATCCATGTCCCTACAAAGGACATGAACTCCTCCTGTTTTATGGCTGCATAGTATTCCACGGTGTATATGTGCCACATTTTCTTAATCCAGTCTATCATTGTTGGACATTTGGCTTGGTTCCAAGTCTTTGCTATTGTGAATAGTGCCACAATAAACATACATGTGCATGTGCCTTTATAGCAGCATGATTTATAATCCTTTGGGTATATACCCAGTAATGGGATGGCTGGATCAAATGGTATTTCTAGTTCTAGATCCCTGAGGAATTGCCACACCAACTTCCACAATGGTTGAACTAGTTTACAGTCCCACCAACAGTGTAAAAGTGTTCCTATTTCTCCACATCCTCTCCAGCACCTGTTGTTTCCTGACTTTTTAATGATCACCATTCTAACTGGTGTGAGATGGTATGTCATTGTGGTTTTGATTTGCATTTTTCTGATGGCCAGTGATGATGAGCATTTTTTCATGTGTTTTTTGGCTGCATAAATGTCTTCTTTTGAAAAGTGTCTGTTCATATCCTTTGCCCACTTTTTGATGGGGTTGTTTGTTTTTTTCTTGTAAATTTGTTTGACTTCATTGTAGATTCTGGATATTAGCCCTGTGTCAGATGAGTAGGTTGCAAAAATTTTCTCCCATTCTGTAGGTTGCCTGTTCACTCTGATGGTGGTTTCTTTTGCTGTGCAGAAGCTCTTTAGTTTAATTAGATCCCATTTATCAATTTTGGCTTTTGTTGCCATTGCTTTTGGTGTTTTAGACATGAAGTCCTTGCCCGTGCCTATACCTGAATGGTATTGCCTAGGTTTTCTTCTAGGGTTTTTATGGTTTTAGGTCTAACCTGTAAGTCTTTAATCCATCTTGAATTAATTTTTGTATAAGGTGTAAGGAAGGGATTCAGTTTCAGCTTTCTACGTATGGGTAGCCAGTTTTGCCAGCACCATTTATTAAATAGGGAATCCTTTCCCCATTTCTTCTTTTTGTCAGGTTTGTCAAAGATCAGAGAGTTGTAGATGTGCGGCATTATTTCTGAGGGCTCTGCTCTGTTCCATTGGTCTATATCTCTGTTTTGGTACCAGTACCATGCTGTTTGGTTACTGTAGCCTTGTAGTATAGTTTGAAGTCAGGTAGCATGATGCCTCCAGCTTTGTTCTTTTGGCTTAGGATTGACTTGGCGATGCAGGCTCTCTTTTGGTTCCATATGAACTTGAAAGTAGTTTTTTCCAATTCTGTGAAGAAAGGCATTGGTAGATTGATGGGGATGGCATTGAATCTATATATTACCTTGGGCAGTATGGCCATTTTCATGATACTGATTTTTCCTACCCATGAGCATGGAATGTTCTTCCATTTGTTTGTATCCTCTTTTATTTCATTGAGCAATGGTTTGTAGTTCTCCTTGAAGAGGTCCTTCACATCCCTTGTAAGTTGGATTCCTAGGTATTTTATTCTCTTTGAAGCAATTGTGAATGGGTGTTCACTCATGATTTGGCTCTCTGTCTGTTATTGATGTATAAGAATGCTTGTGATTTTTGCACATTGATTTTGTATCGTGAGACTTTGCTGAAGTTGCTTATCAGCTTAAGGAGATTTTGGGCTGAGATGATGGGGTTTTCTAGATATACAATCATGTCATCTGCAAACAGGGACAATTTGACTTCCTCTTTTCCTGATTGAATACCCTTTATTCCCTTCTCCTGCCTGATTGCCCTTGCCAGAACTTCCAACACTATGTTGAATAGGAGTGTTGAGAGAGGGCATCCCTGTCTTGTGCCAGTTTTCAAAGGGAATGCTTCCAGTTTTTATCCATTCAGTATGATATTGGCTGTGGGTTTGTCATAGATAGCTCTTATTATTTTGAGATATGTCCCATCAACACCTAATTTATTGAGAGTTTTTAGCATGAAGGGTTGTTGAATTTTGTCAAAGGTCTTTTCTGCATCTGTTGAGATAATCATGTGGTTTTTGTCTTTGGTTCTTTTTGTATGCTGGATTACGTTTATTGATTTGCATATGTTGAACCAGCCTTGCATCCCAGGGAGGAAGCCCACTTGATCATGGTTGATAAGCTTTTTGATGTGTTGCTGGATTTGGTTTGCCAGTATTTTATTGAGAATTTTTGCATCAATGTTCATCAAGGATATTGGTCTAAAATTCTCTTTTTTGGTTGTGTCTCTGCCCGGCTTTGGTATCAGGATGATGCTGGCCTCCCTAAAATGAGTTAGGGAGGATTCCCTCTTTTTCTATTGATTGGAATAGTTTCAGAAGGAATGGTAACAGTTCCTCCTTGTACCTCTGGTAGAATTTGGCTGTGAATCTATGTGGTCCTGGACTTTTTTTGGTTGGTAGGCTATTAATTGTTGCCTCAATTTCAGATCCTGTTATTGTTCTATTCAGAGATTCAACTTCTTCCTGGTTTAGTCTTGGGAGAGTGTATGTGTCAAGGAATTTATCCATTTCTTCTAGATTTTCTAGTTTATTTGCGTAGAGGTGTTTATAGTATTCTCTGATGGTAGTTTGTATTTCTGTGGGATGGGTGGTGATATCCCCTTTATCATTTTTTATTGGGTCTATTTGATTCTTCTCTCTTTTCTTCTTTATTAGTCTTGCTAGCGGTCTATCAATTTTGTTGATCTTTTCAAAAACACCAACTCCTGGATTCATTGATTTTTTGAAGGCTTTTTTGTGTCTTTGTTTCCTTCAGTTCTGCTCTGATCTTAGTTATTTCTTGCCTTCTTCTAGCTTTTGAATGTGTTTGCTCTTGCTTCTCTAGTTCTTTTAATTGTGATGTTAGGGTGTCAATTTTAGATCTTTCCTGCTTTCTCTTGTGGGCATTTAGTGCTATAAATTTCCCTCTACACACTGCTTTGAATGTGTCCCAGAGATTCTGGTATGTTGTGTCTTTGTTCTTGTTGGTTTCAAAGAACACCTTTATTTCTGCCTTCATTTCATTATGTACCCAGTAGTTATTCAGGAACAGGTTGTTCAGTTTCCATGTAGTTGAGTGATTTTGAGTGAGTTTCTTAATCCTGAGTTCTAGTTTGATTGCACTGTGGTCTGAGAGACAGTTTGTTATGATTTCTGTTCTTTTCCATTTGCTGAGGAGTGCTTTACTTCCAAGTATGTGGTCAATTTTGGAATAGGTGTGGTGTGGTGCTGAGAAGAATGTATATTCTGTTGATTTGGGGTGGAGAGTTCTGTAGATGTCTATTAGGTCGGCTTGGTGCAGAGCTGAGTTCAATTCCTGGATATCCTTGTTAACTTTCTGTCTCATTGATCTGTCTAATGTTGACAGTAGGATGTTAAAGTCTCCCGTTATTATCGTGTGGGAATCTAAGTCTCTTTGTAGGTCACTTAAGGACTTGCTTTATGAATCTGGGTGCTCCTGTATTGGATGCACATGTATTTAGGATAGTTAGCTCTTCTTGTTGAATTGATCCCTTTACCATTATGTAATGACCTTCTTTGTCTCTTTTGATCTTTGCTGGTTTAAAGTCTGTTTTATCAGAGACTAAGATTGCAACCCCTGCCTTTTTTTGTTTTCCATTTGCTTGGTAGATCTTCCTCCATCCCTTTATTTTGAGCCTGTGTGTTTCTCTGCACATGAGATGGGTCTCCTGAATACAGCACACTGACGGGTCTTGACTCTTTATCCAATTTGCCAGTCTGTGCCTTTTAATTGGAGCATTTAGCCCATTTACATTTAAGGTTAGTATTGTTACGTGTGAGTTTGATCCTGTCGTTATGATGTTAGCTGGTTATTTTGCTCGTTAGTTGATGCAGTTTCTTCCTAGCCTTGATGATCTTTACAATTTGGCATGTTTTTGCAGTGGCTGGTACCAGTTGTTCCTTTCCATGTTTAGTGCTTCCTTCAGGAGCTCTTTTAGGGCAGGCCTGGTGGTGACAAAATCTCTCAGCATTTGCTTGTCTGTAAAGGATTTTATTTCTCCTTCACTTATGAAGCTTAGTTTGGCTGGATATGAAATGCTGAGTTGAAAATTCTTAATTCTTTAAGAATGTTGAATATTGTCCCCCACTCTCTTCTGGCTTATAGAGTTTCTGCCGAGAGATCTGCTGTTAGTCTGATGGGCTTCCCTTTGCGGGTAACCCAACCTTTCTCTCTGGCTGCCCTTAACATTTTTTCCTTCATTTCAACTTTGATGAATCTGACAATTACGTGTCTTGGAGTTGCTCTTCTCGAGGAGTATCTTTGTGGTGTTCTCTGTATTTCCTGAATTTGAATGTTGGCTTGCCTTGCTAGATTGGGGAAGTTCTCCTGGATAATATCCTGCATAGTGTTTTCCAACTTGGTTCCATTCTCCCCGTCACTTTCAGGTACACCATTGAGACGTATATTTGGTCTTTTCACATAGTCCCATATTTCTTGGAGGCTTTGTTCGTTTCTTTTTATTCTTTTTTCTCTAAACTTCTCCTCAAGCTTCATTTCATTCATTTCATCTTCCATCACTGATACCCTTTCTTCCAGTTGATCGCATCGGTTACTGAGGCTTGTGCATTCGTCACATAGTCCTTGTGCTGTGGTTTTCAGCTCCATCAGGTCCTTTAACGACTTCTCTGAGTTGATTATTGTAGTTATCCATTCATCTAATTTTTTTCAAAGTTTTTAACTTCCTTGCCATTCGTTCGAACTTCCTCCGTTAGCACAGAGTAGTTTGATCTTCTGAAGCCTTCCTCTGTCAGCTCGTCAGTCATTCTCTGTCCAGCTTTGTTCCGTTGCTGGTGAGGAGCTGCGTTCCTTTGGAGGAGGAGAGGCGGTCTGATTTTTAGCGTTTCCGGTTTTTCTGCTCTGTTTTTTCCGCATCTTTGTGGTTTTATCTACTTTTGGTCTTTGATGATGGTGACGTACAGATGGGTTTTTGGTGTGGATGTCCTTTCTGTTTGTTAGTTTTCCTTCTAACAGTCAGGACCCTCAACTGCAGGTCTTTTGGAGTTTACTGGAGGTCCACTCCAGACCCTGTTTGCCTGGGTATCACCAGCGGTGGCTGCAGAACAGCGGATATTATTGAACCGCAAATGCTGCTGCCTGATCGTTCGTCTGGAAGTTTTGTCTCAGAGGAGTACCCGGCCACATGAGGTGTCAAGTCTGCCCCTACTGGGGGGTGCCTCCCAGTTAGGCTGCTCGTGGGTCAGGGACCTACTTGAGGAGGCAGTCTGCCCGTTCTCAGATTTGAAGCTGCATGCTGGGAAAACCACTACTCTCTTCAAAGCTGTCAGACAGAGACATTTAAGTCTGCAGAGGTTATTGCTGTCTTTTGTTTGTCTGTGCCCTGCCCCCAGAGGTGGAGTCTACAGAGGCAGGCAGGCCTTCTTGAGCTGTGGTGGGCTCCACCCAGTTCGAGCTTCCAGGCTGCTTTGTTTACCTACTCAAGCCTGAGCAATGGCGGGCACCCCTCCCCCAGCCTCGCTGCTACTTTGCAGTTTGATCTCAGACTGCTGTGCTAGCAATGAGCGAGGCTCCGTGAGGGTAGGACCCTCTGAGCCATGTGTGGGATATAATCTCCTGGTGTGCCGTTTGTGAAGCCCGTTGGAAAAGCACAGCATTAGGGTGGGAGTTACCCGATTTTCCAGGTGCTGTCTGTCACCCTTTTCTTTGACTAGGAAAGGGAATTCCCTGACCCCTTGCACTTCCGGGGTGAGGCGATGCCTCGCCCTGCTTCCGCTCACGCACAGTGCGCTGCACCCACTGTCCGGCACTCCCCAGTGAGATGAACCCGGTATCTCAGTTGGAAATGCAGAAATCACCCATCTTCTGCGTCGCTCACGCTGGGAGTTGCAGACTGGAGCTGTTCCTATTTGGCCATCTTGGCTCCACCCCCTTCATGAACATTTTTTAAAAAGTTATTATTTAGTAACTGTGTTATATATGAACAAGTAATCACCACCAGTTTGTAAAAGACAACCACAGTTATTTTTGTACTGGCCAGTAGGCACCTCTTGTTAACACCAGCACATGGCAGTCCTGTGGTCTGATTCATCCCAAACCCTTCGTAGCATGTCATCAGTGATAGCTGGAGTGATAGCCATGATGAATGCCATCAGTTCCTCAAGTCTACATGGCGGTCCCAACTCTAGTTTTGTATTGTTTTGTTTATATAGCCTCACTAGAAATATAATGGCCTGATAGATGGGAATCTAGGCGGCTAGTGTTTCGTAGGCAGTTCAGAGTTTTGAGCAGAATGCCTGTCTACTACCATGATAGGTATTCATTAAAGAATCTCTGCAACTGTGATAGAAATGAGGTAGAGCCCCATCCTGTTGGCAAATGAAGTTGTAGAGTTGTTGAGACTTCATTTTCTAAGCAATATATGTTTACTCATTTAATCCTCACATAAATCTTTGAGAAAATACTACCATAAGCTCCATTTTGTAGAGCAGCAAACTAGAACATACAAAGATTAAGTAACTTGCCCAAGATCCTAGAGATACTGAGCGGAGGGATCCAGAATTCAAACTTAGGCTGTGTAGTTTCAGAGTCTTACGTTCTAAACCAGTACACCATACTGCCGATCCAAATATGTACCTACATACCAGTGTGCAGTATGAACATATAATATCCATGTGGTACAGGAATCTCAAGCCAAGGAATTAAATTAAAATGTACACTGCAACTTGTGAGCCTGACCTTGTGAATTTCGAAGCAGTAGCAAATGTGAACTGCTCTTTAAGAATGCTTGTTCAGGCCGGGCGTGGTGGCTCACACCTGTAAACCCAGCACTTTGGGAGACCGAGGCGGGTGGATCATGAGGTCAGAAGATCGAGACCATACTGGCCAACATGGTGAAACCCCGTCTCTACTAAAAATAGAAATAAATTAGCTGGGCGTAGTGGTGCACGTCTGTGGTCTCAGCTACTCGGCAGACTGAGGCAGGAGAATTGCCTGAACCCAGGAGGTGGAGGTTGCAGTGAGCTGAGATCGCACCACTGCACTCCAGCGTGGTGACAGAGTGAGACTCTGTCTGAAAAAAAAAAAAAAAAAAAAAAAAAAGAATGCTTTTTCAAACAGAGAGACCTGGACTTGCACAGGAAAAACAGTTTCTATGGTAAGATAATGATAAGGAAACAGTCCAACATGAGAGAGAGTCAGACAAAAAGGGTAATTAGAAGATTATGAATTGACTTAACAGAATAATCAGAAAAACATATCTATTTAAAATGTCTAAATAAACGACTAAGACACTATAGTAGGTCAATTTGTAAAAGAGCCAAATAGAACTTATTAAAATGAAAATTATCATTTGGCCAAGCGCGGTTGCTCATACCTGTAATCCCAGGACTTTGGGAGGCTAAGGCGGGCAGATCATCTCAGGTCAGGAGTTTGAGACCAGCCTGGCCAACATAGTGGAACCCCATCTCTACTAAAAATACAAAAATTAACTGGGCGTGGTGGTGGGCGCCTGTTGTAGTCCCAGCTACTTGTGAGGCTGAGGCAGGAGAATTGCTTGAACCCAGGAGGTGGAGGTTGCAGTGAGCCAAGATTGTACCACTGCACTCTAGCCTGAATGACAGAGCAAGACCCCATCTCAAAAAAAAAAAAAAGAGAGAGAAAATTATGATCATTGAACTAAAAGAGTCATGGAGAAAATTAATAGGTGGGTTAAATAGCAGAATAGAAACAGGTAAAAGTCCTAAATATATAAAAATGAATCTGAAACTAGAGATTCTGTGAAATCAGAGCCAAGTACGAAGACAATCTTCAAAACACCTATCACAAAAAAAGAATTTTGTATTCAAATGACCAAGAATTAGATTGATAGTCTACTTTTCATCAGCAACAATAGAGGTCTTCTGCAAAGAACTGAAGGAAAAGCACTGTCAACCAAGAATTCTATACTTCGCTAAACTGTCGTGCAAGAATAAAGGAAAAAATACAGTAGTCCCATTTTATTCGTGGTTTTGCTTTCTTTGGTTTCAGTTTTTGGCCAACTGTGGTCCAAAAATATTAAATGGAAATTTTTAGAAATAATTCATAACTCTTAAATTGCAGCCATTTTGAGTAGCATGATGAAATTTTGAACCGTCATGCTGTGTCTCATCTGGAACATGTATCATCCCTTTGTGCAGTGTATCTACTCTATATGCTACCCGTCGGTTAATGTGTAGGCAGAAACATAATTTATGTAGAGTTTGGTAATATTTATGGTTTCAGGCATACACTGAGGGCCTTGGAGCATTATCTTTCATGGTTAAGAGGGAACTACTGTATAGATATTCTTTTAACAGCGTATCTGGGTGAAGGATACATGGGAGATTTCTGTTCTGTATTAGTAACTCGGCTGTAAGTTTGAAATTATTCCAAAATTACAATTAAAAACTGCAGTCTTAGACAAACAACTGAGAAGCTTACCACCTTCTCAGTTAACCATTAAAGAGCACATATTACTGAAAAATTGTTTGAGTATCTTTTTTTTTTTTTCCAAGACAGAGTGTCACTCTGTCATCCAGGCTGGAGTGCAGTGGCATGATCTTAGTCCATTGCAGCCTCCAGGTGCAAGCGATTCTTGTGCCTCAGCCTCCCAAATAGCTGGAATTACAGGCATGTACCACCATGTCTGGTTAATTTTTGTCTTTTTAGTAGAGTCGGGTTTGACCATGTTGGCCAGGCTGGTCTCGAACTCCTGATCTCAAGTGATCTGCCTGCCGTAGCCTCCCAAAGTGCTGGTATTACAGGCACGAACCACCATGCGTGGCCTGAGTATGTACTTTCTGAAGAAGGAAGTTGAACTTCAAAGGAAGGATTGAGAGGCAAGAAGCAATAATCAAATCAATTGGCAAATTTGGAAAAATATTAATCATCAGCATCATTGTGTACTTACTGTATACTAAGTGTTTTGTTTAATTTTCACAATAGTCCCATGGTATAGGTACTATTATTTTCCTGGACAACATTTTCCAGTTTGAAAGAGGTCATTCAGACCCCAGTACAATGATGAAAAAGGACCAAACCAAGTAACATCTCTGTGGCATTTGAGAATTCCAAGAGTTAAGGAAAAAAATGTTTAACTCTTCTAGAAGGGAAATACATCACACACAAAGGAAGGAAAATTGGAATGTCATCAGACTTCTCACAACCCTGGAAGTTAGCAGATACTGAAATAGTGTCTTTAAAATCCTGAGGGAAAGATTTTTGTCTTGGTATTCTATATTCAACTAAACGATCAATCAAATATCAAATGTAAGGAATTAAAACATTTTCATTCTGTGTCCCACTTCTTAGGAAGCCAGGGGAGTATGTGTATGATTTTACAACATAAGTGAGAAGGATGAGAAGAGGAAGACATGATTCACAGAAACAGAACATACCAACTTAGAGCAGTTAGGATTGAAGCAAGAGGCTAGGAAGAAACCAAAAGAATATTTGAATCAGTACATCTATTAATATGTTCAGGTATTTGGAAATTACAGGTGTTTTACAGATCTGATATAGGTACATAAAAAAACTAAGCAATTAAAAAAGCTTAGCAGTTATTCAGAGAAAACAAAAGATTATTTAAGAAAAGATAGGACGGCTGAGGTAGGAGAATCGTTTGAACCCAGGAGGTGGAGGTTGCAGTGAGCTGAGATTGTTCCACTGAACTCCAGCCTGGGCAACAGAGCAAGACTCTTGTCTCAATAAAAAAAAAAAAAGATAGCTAATTATACCAAGTAGTCTAAAAATTGATAATTTGAGAAGTAGCAATGGGCATCTTACTTACAATTATAAAAGTTAATACCACGCTGGGCACGGTGGCTCATGCCTGTAATCCCAGCCCTTTGGGAGGCTGAGGTGGGCAGATCAGGAGGTCAGGAGATCGAGACCATCCTGGCCAACATGGTGATACCCCATCTCTACCAAAAATACAAAAATTAGCTGGGTGTCGTGGTGCATGCCTGTAATCCCAGCTACTCGGGAGGCTGAGGCAGGATAATCACTTGAACTGGGGGGGTGGAGGTTGCAGTGAGTTGAGATTGTGCCACTGCACTCCAGCCTGGTGACAGAGTAAGACTCCTTCTCAAAAAAAAAAAAAAAAGGTAAATACCAGAAGAAGCAGCTTGGTAAGTTAAAAACAGTTCCCACTAAGAGATGGAGAGGCACAGGTCAGAGATTTGCCATTTTTAATAGTCTTTTTTTTTTTTTTTTTTTAAGATAGGGTCTCACTTTGTCACTGGGCTGGAGTGCAGTGGCGCCGATCTCAGCCCACTGCAACCTCCGCCTCTCAGGTTCAAGTGATTCTCCTGCCTCTGCCTCCCGAGTAGCTGGGATACAGGCGCCCGCCACTATGCCCAGCTAACTTTTTGTATTTTTAGTAGAGATGGGATTTCACCATATTGGCCAGGCTGGTCTTGAACTCCTGACCTTGTGATTTGCCCGCCTCAGCCTCCCAAAGTGCTGGGATTGCAGGTGTGAGCCACTGCACCTGGTTAATAGTCTTTTATTATTCATTGATTCTTTTTTATTTTTTTTTTGAGATAGATTCTCGCTCTATTACTCAGGTTGGAGTGCAGTGGCACAATCTTGGCTCACTGCAACCTCCGCCTACTGGGTTCAAGTGATTCTTGTGCCTCAGCTTCCCAAGTAGCTGGGACTACAGGCATGTGCCGCCACACCTGGCGAATGTTTGTATTTTTAGTAGGAACGGGGTTTCATTGTGTTGGCCAGGCTGGTCTTAAACTCCTGACCTCAGGTGATCCACCCACTTCAGCTTTCCAATGTGTATATTCACTGATTTTTAAAAAGTCTATGTGCTCATATTATTTTGAATAACAGTAAAGATTTGCTTAAATGTAAGAAGGCATTTTACAGGATGGTTTTATTCAGAAAACTGTACGTAGTAGGACAGAATTTTAGTATGCATTGCTTGATAAACAGTGTATAATGGTCCCACCCACCGAGAAGAGTAACATAGAAATAGATGGGAGGAAAAAGACAGTATATACAAGTTTGCCTATATTGGTTTGAGGTGCCAGGAGACTGCAAGAGATGCTTATTAGCAGGTGGATATAAATGTCTAGTAGACTCAAGAGAGAAGTCAGAATGAAAATACACATTTCAGTCCATCATCTATAATACACTGAAAACCTGCTGTGTTTGTGTCACAGCATCATTATTTCTAACTCTAGGGAGCTAAGGAAGAGTTTAGGGAATATGGATAAAGAGATGGAAAAGGCCCAGGCACGGTGGCTCATGCCTGTAATTCCAGCACCGTGGGAGGCCAGGGCAGGCGGATCTCCTGAGGTCAGGAGTTCAAGACCAGCCTGACCAACATGGAGAAACCCCATCTCTACTAAAAATACAAAATTAGCCAGGTGTGGTGGTGCATGCCTATAATCCTAGCTACTCAGGAAGGCTGAGGCAGGAGAATTGCTGGAACCCAGGAGGCGGAGGTTGTGGTGAGCTGAGATCGCACCATTGCATTCCAGCCTGGGCAACAAGAGCTAAACTCTGTCTCAAAAAAAAAAAAAAGAGAGAGAGAGATGGAAGAGGCAGAGAGAGAAATAAAGAAGAAGAGTGGGAGGAGAAAGAGGAAGATTATTAAAGAGAGGGAAAGATGAACATGGCAGTTACTCTTACACAAGTGGGAGAAGAAATGTGGATATTAAAGAATGGAAGAGTAGTTTTCAACATATTTTACTTTCCTCTTTATATTGCACACTCTTTCATGTTTGAGCCAATATAATATTCTCTCTTATGTCCCCTACCATAATAATGGATACATTTTTTATGTTAAATACTTCAGATTTAAGTGGGAAAAGGAAGATGTTAGAAAAAGCCTGAGTAGGTTGATGTCAAGATGGCTGAGTAGGAACAGCTCCAGTCTGCAGCTCCCAGCATGAGCGACGCAGAAGAAGGGTGATTTCTGCATTTCCAACTGAGGTACCGGGTTCATCTCACTGGGGCTTGTCAGACAGTGGGTGCAGCCCACGGAGCAGGGCGGGGCATCGCCTCACCTGGGAAGCGCAGGGGATCGGGGAATTCCCTTTCCTAGCAAAGGGAAGCCGTGACAGATGGTACCTGGAAAATTGGGACACTCCCACCCTAATACTGCGCTTTCCAACAGCCTTAGCAAAAGGCACACCAGGAGATTATATCCTGCGCCTGACTAAGAGGGTCCCATGCCCACGGAGCCTCGCTCACTGCTAGAACAGCAGTCTGAGATCGAACTGCAAGGTGGCAGCAAGGCTGGGGGAGTGGCATCCACCATTGTTGAGGCTTGAGTAGGTAAAAAGAGCGGCCAGGAAGCTCGAACTGGGTGGAGCCCACCACAGCTCAAGGAGGCCTGCCTGCCTCTGTAGACTCCACCTATGGGGGCAGGGCATAGCTGAACAAAAGGCAGCAGAAACTTCTGCACACTTAAACGTCCCTGTCTGACAGCTCTGAAGAGAGTAGTGGTTCTCCCAGCACGGAGTTTCAGATCTGAGAATGGACAGAATGCCTCCTCAAGTGGGTCCCTGACCCCCGAGTAGCCTAACTGGGAGACACATCCCAGTAGGGGCTGACTGACACCTCATACAGCCAGGTGCCCCTCTGAGACAAAGCTTCCAGAAGAAGGATCAGACAGCAACATTTGCCATTATGCAATATTTGCTGTTCTGCAGCCTCTGCTGGTGATAACCAGGCAAACGATCTGGAGTGGACCTCCAGCAAACTCCAACAGACCTGCAGCTGAGGGTCCTGACTGTTAGAAGGAAAACTAACAAACAGAAAGGACATCCACACCAAAACCCCATCTGTACGTCACCATATCAAAGACCAAAGGTAGATAAAACCACAAATATGGGGAGAAACTAGAGCAGAAAATCTGAAAATTCTAAAAATCAGAGCACCTCTTCTCTTCCAAAGGAATGCAACTCCTTGCCAGCAACGGAACAAAGCTGGACAGAGAATGACTTTGGCAAGTTGAGAGAAGAAGGCTTCAGATGATCGGTAATAATAAACTTCTCCGAGCTAAAGGAGAATGTTCGAACCTATCGCAAAGAAGCTAAAAACCTTGAAAAAAGATGAGACGAATGGCTAACTAGAAAAACAGTGTAGAGAAGTCCTTACATGACCTGATGGAGCTGAAAACCATGGCACAAGAACTACGTGACTCATGCACAAGCTTCAGTAGCTGATTTTATCAAGTAGAAGAAAGGGTATCAGTGATTGAAGATCAAATGAATGAAATGAAGTGAGAAGTTTAGAGAAAAAAGGGTAAAAAGAAATGAACAAAGCCTCCAAGAAATATGGGTCTATGTGAAAAGACCAAATCTACATCTGATTGGTGTACCTGAAAGTGACGGGGAGAATGGAACCAAGCTGGAAAACACTCTGCAGGGTATTATTCAGGAGAACTTCCCCAACCTAGCAAGGCAGGCCAACATTCAAATTCAGGAAATACAGAGAATGCCACAAAGATACTCCTCAAGAAGAGCATCTCCAAGACACATAATTGTCAGATTCACCAAGGTTGAAATGAAGGAAAAAATGTTAAGGGCAGCCAGAGAGAAAGGTCGGGTTACCCACAAAGGGAAGCCCATCAGACTAACAGCAGATCTCTTGGCAGAAACTCTATAAGCCAGAAGAGAGTGGGGGCCAATATTCAACATTCTTAAAGAAAAGAATTTTCAACCCAGAATTTCATATCCAGCCAAACTAAGCTTCATAAGTGAAGGAGAAATAAAATCCTTTACAGACAAGCAAATGCTGAGAGATTTTGTCACCACCAGGCCTCCCTTACAAGAGCTCCTGAAGGAAGCACTCAACATGGAAAGGAGCAACTGGTACCACCAGCCACTGCAAAAACATGCCAAATTATAAAGACTATCAATGCTAGGAAGAAACTGCATCAACTAACGAGCAAAATAACCAGCTAACATCATAATGACAGGATCGAATTCACACATAAAAATGTTTACCTTAAATGTAAATGGGCTAAATGTTCCAATTAAAAGACACAGACTGGCAAATTGGATAAAGAGTCAAGACCCGTCAGTGTGCTGTATTCAGGAGACCCATCTCAAGTGCAGAGACACACATAGGCTCAAAATAAAGGGATGGAGGAAGATCTACCAAGCAAATGGAAAACAAAAAAAAGGAGGGGTTGCAATCCTAGTCTCTGATAAAACAGACTTTAAACCAACAAAGATCAAAAGAGACAAAGAAGGTCATTGCGTAATGGTAAAGGGATCAATTCAACAAAAAGAGCTAACTGTCCTAAATATATGTGCATCTAATACAGGAGTACCCAGATTCATAAAGCAAGTCCTTAGAGACCTACAAAGAGACTTAGATTCCCACACAATAATAATGGCAGACTTTAACACCCGACTGTCAGCATTAGACAGATCAATGAGACAGAAAGTTGACAAGGATATCCAGGAATTGAACTCAGCTCTGCACCAAGCCAACCTAATAGACATCTACAGAACTCTCCACCCCAAATCAACAGAATATACATTCTTCTCAGCACCACATCACACTTACTCCAAAACTGACCACATAGTTGGAAGTAAAGCACTCCTCAGCAAATGTAAAAGAACAGAAATTATAACAAACTGTCTCTCAGACCACAGTGCAATCAAACTAGAACTCAGGATTAAGAAACTCACTCAAAATCACTCAACTACATGGAAACTGAACAACCTGCTCCTGAATGACTAGTGGGTAAATAATGAAATGAAGGCAGAAATAAAGATGTTCTTTGAAACCAGCGAGAACAAAGACACAACAAATCTCCGGGACACATTTAAAGCAGTGTGTAGAGGGAAATTTATAGCACTAAATGCCCACAAGAGAAAGCAGGAAAGATCTAAAATTGACACCCTAACATCACAATTAAAAGAACTAGAGAAGCAAGAGCAAACACATTCAAAAGCTAGAAGAAGGCAAGAAATAACTAAGATCAGAGCTGAACTGAAGGAGATAGAGACACAAAAAAGCCTTCAAAAAATCAATGAATCCAGGAGTTGGTGTTTTTGAAAAGATCAACAAAATTGATAGACCGCTAGCAAGACTAATAAAGAAGAAAAGAGAGAAGAATCAAATAGATGCAATAAAAAATGATAAAGGGGATCTCACCACCCATCCCACAGAAATACAGACTACCATCAGAAAATACTATAAACACCTCTATGCAAATAAACTAGAAAATCTAGAAGAAATGGATAAATTACTCGACACATACACTCTCCCAAGACTAAACCAGGAAGAAGTTGAATCCCTGAATAGACCAATAACAGGCTCTGAAATTGAGGCAATAATCAATAGCCTACCAACCAAAAAAAGTCCAGGACCACATAGATTCACAGCCGAATTCTACCAGAGGTACAAAGAGGAGCTGGTACCATTCCTTCTGAAACTACTCCAATCAATAGAAAAAGAGGGAATCTTCCCCAATTCATTTTATGAGGTCAACATCATCCTGATACTAAAGCCTGGCAGAGACACAACAAAAAAAGAGAATTTTAGACCAATATCCCTGATGAACATCAATGCAAAAATCCTCAATAAAATACTGGCAAACCAAATCCAGCAGCACCTCAAAAAGCTTATGTACCACGATCAAGTGGGCTTTATCCCTGGGATGCAAGGCTGGTTCAACATATGCAAATCAATAAACGTAATCCATCATATAAACAGAACCAAAGACAAAAACATGATTATCTCAATAGATGCAGAAAAGGCCTTTGACAAAATTCAACAACGCTTCATGCTAAAAACTTAACAAACTAGGTATTGATGGGACGTATCTCAAAATAATAAGAGTTATCTATGACACACCCACAGCCAGTATCATACTGAATGGGCAAAAACTGGAAGCATTCCCTTTGAAAACTGGCACAAGACAGGGATGTCCTCTCTCAACACTCCTATTCAACATAGTGTTGGAAGTTCTGGCAAGGGCAATCAGGCAGGAGAAGGGAATAAAGGGCATTCAATTAGGAAAAGAGGAAGTCAAATTGTCCCTGTTTGCAGATGACATGATTGTATATCTAGAAAACCCCATCATCTCAGCCCAAAATCTCCTTAAGCTGATAAGCAACTTCAGCAATGTCTCACGATACAAAATCAATGTGCAAAAATCACAAGCATTCTTATACATCAATAACAGACAGAGAGCCAAATCATGAGTGAACTCCCATTCACACTTGGTACAAAGAGAATAAAATACCTAGGAATCCAACTTACAAGGAATGTGAAGGACCTCTTCAAGGAGAACTACAAACCATTGCTCAATGAAATAAAAGGGGATACAAACAAATGGAAGAACATTCCATGCTCATGGATAGGAGGAATCAATATCATGAAAATGGCCGTACTGCCCAAGGTAATGTATAGATTCAATGCCATCCCCATCAATCTACCAATGACTTTCTTCACAGAATTGGAAAAAACTACTTTAAAGTTCATATGGAACCGAAAAAGAGCCTGCATTGCCTAGTCAATCCTAAGCCAAAAGAACAAAGGTGGAGGCATCACACTATCTGACTTCAAACTATACTACAAGGCTACAGTAACCAAAACAGCATGGTACTGGTACCAAAACAAAGATATAGACCAATGGAATAGAAGAGCCCCCGGAAATAATACCACACATCTACACCCATCTGATCTTTGAGAAACCTGACAAAAACAAGAAATGGGGAAAGGATTCCCTGTTTAATAAATGGTGCTGGGAAAACTGGCTAGCCACATGTAGAAAGCTGAAACTGGATCCCTTCCCTACACCCTATACAAAAATTAATTCAAGATGGATTAAAGACTTAAATGTTAGACCTAAAACCATAAAAACCCTAGAAGAAAACCTAGGTAATACCATTCAGGACATAGGCATGGGCAAGGACTTCATGACTAAAACACCAAAAGCAATGGCAACAAAAGCCAAAATTGACAAATGGGATCTAATCTAACTTTGCAGCCATAAAAAAGGATGAGTTCATATCCTTTGTAGCGACATGGATGAAGCTGGAAACCATCATTCTGAACAAACTATCGCAAGGACAGAAAACCAGACACCGCATGTTCTCACTCATAGGTGGGAATTGAACAATGAGAACACTTGGACACAGGGGAACATCACACACTGGGGCCTGTTGTGGGGTGGGGGGAGGGAGAAGGGATAGCATTAGGAGATATACCTAATGTAAATGATGAGTTAACGAGTGCAGCACACCAACATGGCACATGTATACATATGTAAGAAACCTGCACGTTGTGCTCATGTACACTAGTACTTAAAGTATAATAATAATAAAAATTTCTAGTCAACAGCATGCTGTTAGTACTTAAACTTTTCGAGAATCAACAGTTATATATTGGTTTTCGACTGTGCAGGGAATTGGTGCCCCTAACTGCCATGTCGTTCAAGGGTCAACTGTATATGAGTATGTGTTTTGAGCATGATCCAAAGTAGGCAAAATCCATTGGGAACAACCCATTGTAATGAAGTCACATGATGGAAATTTTATGCAGGTATTAAAATAATGAATATGAAGACTAAGGGAAAAATGTACATAGTGTTAAATAGAGCAGGAGATAAAATTAGGAATAATTCAAATGCATATGCAGTTATTTTTAAGGTATGTGCACAAAAGGACAAATAAAAAATTTAATATACTATTATTCTAGGAAGGTAGGGTTAATGGGTGATTTTCTTAATCTTTTTGCTTTTTTCTAAATGTTTAATGAAACTTGTATAATAAATAGAATTTGTGAAAACAAAAAACTTGATTTAGAACTAATCAAGAATAAGGAGAACATAAATTATTTGTAGAATATCCTGATTAATGTCAACATCATAGATTACAGAGTAATTGAGTTTAAAGTAGATATATTTAAAAAAATCAAATATATTTGTTTAATGTGTACAAGGGCCTTGTGGTAAATCAACTTGACCTAAGATACATTTCCTTCTATGTAGCAAATGAGCAATAATTTGGTAATTTTAAACATTTCAACAAGAAACGTATAATTTAGACATTTTTAAAAAAAGATTAAAATAGCCTTCCTACTCGCTCATGTATACAATTAAATTCCTTGGCAGTTTCTGTGGTATAATTCATAATGATTTTCATATATTATTAAATTTATAAAAATACAAAAAAAAAGAAAAAGCCTGAGTAAACTGTGAAATATTACCTAATCACACCCTACAAAATATTAATGTCAAAATTGAATTACAGAAGTAAAACTTAACAGAACTATAATGGGATGATTGATTCATAATCCTGAGATAAAGAAATGTTTCTTAAGTAAGATAAAACCACTAATCTGTTATGAAAATTGACATTTGACTACATAAGGCTTTAACGCCCTGATATGAACGGTATAAACAAAGTTAAAAGTGATACAACAAAATTTATTTTGTGTGTGTGTGTGTGTGTGTGTGTGTGTGTATATATATATGTATATATAATTTGACTTACGTATAAATATATAATTCTTAGAATAAATGCAGTCCCAATCAGAATCACAGGAGGCTTTTTTTTGGGTAGAAATTAACAAGCTGATTCTAAAATATGTATGAAAATGCAAAGGACCTAGAAAACTAAAAGCAATTTTGAAAAAGAGTATAATTGGAAGACAAATGACTACCTTGCTTCTAAGTCTTATTATAATGGTACTGGCATTGGATTGACAAATAGACAAGTGCAATACAATAATCAGCTTAGAAGTAGACTGAATGTTACTCAATTATTTTATTTTATTTTATTTTATTTTTAGAGAGGGTCTCACTCTGTCGCTCAGGCTGGAGTACAGTGTTACAGTCATGGCTCACTGCAGCCTCAACCTCCCAGGCTCAAGTGATCCTCCTGCCTCAGCCCCTCCAAGTAACTGGGACTACAGGTGTGTGCAACCATGCCCAGCTAATTTTTGTAGTTTTTGTAGAGACGGGACTTTGCTGCCCAGTTGCCCAGGCTGGTCTTGAACTCCTGAGCTCCAGCAATCCACCCTCCTTGGTCTCCCAGAGTGCTGAGATTATAGGCGTGAACCACCAAGCTCAGCCCTGATTTTCCTTTTTTTTTTCCTGAGACGGAGTCTCGCTCTGTTGCCCAGGCTGGAGTGCAGTGGCATGATCTTGGCTCACTGCAAGCTTTGCCTCCCGGGTTCACGCCATTCTCTTGCCTCAGCCTCTGGAGTAGCTGGGACTACAGGTGCCTGCCACCACGCCCAGCAAATTTTTTGTATTTTTAGCAGAGACGGGGTTTCACCATGTTAGCCAGGATGGTCTCGATCTCCTGACCTTGTGATCCGCCCGCCTTGGCCTCCCAAAGTGTTGGGATTACAGGCGTGAGCCACCGTGCCCGGCCTCAGCCCTGATTTTCAATAAAGGTGCTAAATTAATCTGATAAGAAAAGGATATCTTCAGCAAATGAGCTAGAACAACTGGATATCCATATTTTTTTAAAAAATAGCCTTTATACTGTCAAAAACTAAAATTTAATTAAAAACAGATTATAGGTATAAAAATAAAAGCTAAAAAGTCTAGAAAAAGAAACAGATTATCTTTGCAACTTTGGGATATGTGAAAGAATTTTTAGAACCCAAAAAGCACAAATCATAAGAGATAAAACTTATGCATAAGACATTATCAAAGTTAAAAACTTTAACTCTTCGAAAGATGTTGTTCGGTAGACAAAGACCAGGACAAAATATTCACTATGCATATATTGGAGAAAGGATTGACCTAGAATATATGAAGAACATAGTAAGATGACTGAATTTAAAAATGGGCAAAAGGTTGGAACATATTTACCCAAAGAAAATACATGAATGGCCAAGAAGCACATGAAAAGACTTAATATCACCAGTTATCAGAAAAGTGCAAATTTAAACCACAGCAAGATACTACTGTACACCCACTAGGATGACTAGAATTAAAAAGATTGATAGTACAAAGAGTTGGTAGGATAAGGAATAACTGGAACTCTCAATGCAAAGTGGTAAAACTGGTTTAGAAAACTGGTGGGTAGTTTCTTAATAAAGTTAAAATCATACTTAGTATATAACAGCTTTATTTTTAATAGCCAAAAAGCTGGAAAAACATTAATATCCATCAAAAGATGGGTGGGTAAACAGATTGTATAATATCCATATAATGGAAATCTACTTAGCAATAAAAAATAATTTACTAATAGAGACAACATAGGTAAATCTTAAAAACATGCTGAATGAAAGAAGCCAGATGTGAAAAAGAGTGCATGCTGTATAATTATATTTACATGAAACTATAGGAAAGTCTAATCTGTAATCAGTCATTTTAAATATAAGGAAAAAATTAACCCTCATATTTTGATAATTATATGTGCATCCCTACCTCAGTCTTTTATAACTGAGTTCAGGGAACAATGGTTTGGACTTCGATTAACCACAGAGAAGTAGCTGTGTGATAAATACATAGTTTGAAAGATCATCTTAAAATAAGTTAATTTTTTTCAAAACGGTGTTGTACCACACGTGAGTATCAACTGTTTCAGCTAGTTTGAGACGGATTTAGTGCTGCTACAGCTATGAATAAGGTTTATTGATATTTATATTTGGTCATTGATTAATGTTTGCATTTCTGACAGAAACCTCTTTGGCATCTGATGGAACTTCAGACCCCCTTCCCCAGTAATTTTACCAGTTCTTCCAAAGTTTCTAGCAAGGGTGTTCACTCGTACTTAATTCTGTGTTTTGCATTTCCACTTCTGATCTTCCTCAATTCATTATTATCAACTGCTCATTGTTAGTTTTTTTTTGAGACAGGGTCTCACTCTGGTGCCCAGGCTTTACTGCAGTGGCGCGTCTTGGTGTACTGCAGCCTCGACTTCCTGGGCTCTAGTGATCCTCCAAACTCAGCCTTCCAAGTAGCTGATACCACAAGTGCTTGCCACCACACCCAGCTAATTTTTAAAATGTTTTTGTAGTTACGGAATTCTGTCATGTTGTCTAGGTTGGTCTCGAACTCCTGGTCTCAAGCAATCCTTGTGCCTCAGCATCCCAGAATGCTGGGATTACAGGCGTGAATCAACAAGCCTGGCCCAGTATTTATTAATAATTTTTTTTTTTTTTTGGAGACACGGTCTTGTTCTGTTGCCCGGGCTGGAGTGCAGTGGTATGATCCCAGCTCACTGCAATCTCCACCTCCTTAGGTCAAGCAAGTCTTGTGCCTCAGCCACCTGAGTAGCTGGGATTACAGGTGCATGCCACCATGCCCAGCTAATTTTTGTATTTTTAGTAGGGATGGGGTTCTGCTGCATTGGCCATGCTGGTCTTGAACTCCTGGCCTCATGTAATCCTCCCACTTTAGCCTCCCAAAGTGCTAGGATTACAGGTCTGAGCCATCATGCCCGGCCTACTTTTTAAATTGACATTTCATTTAAATTTTTGTCATTTAAGGCTGGGCATGGTGGCTCATGCCCGTAATCCCAGCATTTAGGGAGGCCGAGGCCAGCGGATCACTTGAGGTCAGGCGTTTGAGACCAGCCTAGCCAACATGGTGAAACCCCATCTCTACTAAAAAAAATACAAAAATTAGCTGGGCGTGGTGGTGGGCGCCTATAGTCACAGCATGTACTCAGGAGGCTGAGGCATGAGAATTGTTTGAACCTGGGAGGCTGAAGTTGCAGTGAGCTGAGATTGTGCCACTGCACTCTGGCCTCGGTGACAGAGCAAAACTCTGTCTAAAAAAAAAAAAAATTATCGTTTAAAAATACATACAAATTGCATAGTGGCCAGGCATTGTGGCTCATGCCTCTAATCCCAGCATTTTGGGAGAAGGAGGCAGGCAGATTACTTGAGCCCAGGAGTTTGAGACCAGCCTGGGCAACATAGTGAGACCTTGTCTCTACAAAAAATTTAAAAATTAACTGGACATGATGGCACACACCCGTAGTCCCAGCTACTTGGAAGATTAAGGGTAGGATGGTTTGAGTCTGGGAGGCAGAGGTTGCGGTGAGCTGAGATTGCGACACTGCACTCTAGCCTGGGCAGCAAAGCAAGACCCTGTCTCAAAAAAAATAAAATAAAATAAAATTGCATAGTGGATACATGTATTATTTAACAAATAATTATAAAGCAAATACCTGTGTAGCTACCACCCAGGTCAAGAAGTGGAACACTGTCAGCATTCCAGGAGCCCATAAGCACCTCTTCCTATTTGTAATCCTTGCCCTCAGGCCTAGAGGTAACCATTCTCCTGACTTTAATTATAAGTTTCCTTGCTTTAATTTTATATGTATGTATGCATCTCTAAACAAAATAGTTTAAATTGTTTTTGAAATTCACAGAAATCATTGCATGTATATTGTGTCATGTTTCTTATCTCGCCATGTGAGAATCATCTGTGTTGCCTGAAGCTGTCATTCATTTTGTTTTGTGTAAAACCATAATTCACCTTTTTTCATTTTCTTCATTTTTTTCTAGATAGATTTTAGGCTGTTTCTTCAAAGTTTGCAGCAAATTACCTGTTTTTGCTATAGCAGAATAATGCTATTTTGCCATTTTAATTCTCGTAACAAAAAAGCATCTTATATCAATACAAGGTGAGCATCCAAATCCAAAAATCTGAAATCTGAAATGCTCCAAAGTCCAAAACGTAAAAAAAAATTTAAAATTTAAATTAAATTAAATTGTTTTGTAGAGATGAGGTCTTGCTATGTTGCCTAGGCTAGTCTCGAACTCTTGGCTTCACACAATCCTCATGCTTCAGCTGCGCCAAATGTTGGGACTACAGGTGTGAGCCACTGTGCCCAGCCAGAATTTTTTGAATACTGACATGGTCCAAGGAAATGTTCACTGGAGCATTTTGGATTTCAAATTTTTCAGATTTAGGGTGTTCAGTAGGATAAGTATAAAGCAAGTATTTCAAACTACAAGAAAATCTGAAATCTACATTACTTCTGGTCCCAAGCATTTAGGAAAAGGGATATTCAACCTGTATGCTCTTTATAATATATACTGTACTTTCATATATATTAGCTAACTTAATCCTCATTTCAGACCTGTGAAATGGCAATGCAGTATTTCATTTTATAACTAAGAAAACTGAGGGTAAGCCTGGGCAACATAGTGAGACCCTGTCTCTATAAAAAGTTCAAAAGTTAGCCAAATGTGGTGGCATGTACCTGTAGTCCCAGCTACTTCGGAGGCTGAGGTGGGAGGATCATTTGAACCCGAGAGGTCAAGGCTGCAGTGAGCCAGGATTGCTCCACTCCACTGCAGCCTGGGCAACAGAGCTGAAACTCTGTCTCAAAAAAAAGAAAGAGAGAGAGAAAGAGAAGAGAGAGAAGAGAGGGAGAGAGGGAGGGAGGGAACAGAGTGATAGAGCTTGTCACTTGCCTGAACTAACATTTCTAAAAAATTAGTGCTATAACTGTCACAGATCTTTTATTTCAAAGTCCAAATTCTGAATTTTTTAAGTTTCACACAAACTGAGCGTACTTAATACCTGAACTGAGTTAAGATATTTTAGATTAAAAAAAAAAACCTAGTTACCTGACATGCCCCACTGTCTAGTTTTTCACATCAAAACATTATTATTTTTCTTTGGAAGTTGACCTAAAAAGCATTTGTATTAAATTGCGGGTAGGATGTTGGAGTTTAACTTCATTAAGTTGTCAGCAGCAAAACTTCATGCAGGTAGGAGGCTGGTATCTGTAGCATTTGATTTAGGTGGCAAAAAGGAGGAGGGGAACTGATAGTGGATAATATTTTGAGTACAGAATACTATTGCACTTTTCTACTCATGTCAGTCTCATTTGTAAGCAAATTTAAGGAAGCTCACTAGCTAAGTCGCCTTGGATAAGCTATTTAATGACCAAGTTCCATGATGTTCTCTTTAAAAGTCCCTTCCCTTTCTAAAATCTTATGTCTTATGAATCTATGAGGTTGTTAAAATACTCTCTTGTGCTGTAGACCAGTCTGACCCCTTAGTTATGTGTGGAATTTGCTGAGCTGTATTTAAAGCCAAGTTTATATGTTGATGTTATTGTAAAATGACTCTCCTTCTGTTATCTAAAGATTTCAAAAAGTATAGGTTTTTAAAATGGTCATGTTTTAAGCAGCTTTCAGCTCAAGAAGTGAAAGTAACTATTAGTATAGTTATTAGTGGCAGTGTTGAAGTTTCTTGTGAAGAATTCAATACTTCCTTGAAGGTGTTTATATGTAAATATGTTTTACATATATATACTTTAGAAACCTGTTCTAAAAAAAGGAAATTTGTTTAGAAAAGCAAGAAGATAGAAGATGTATTGATATCACATTCCAAAGCATGTCTGAAACATTTTAAGATCCATATATTTACTTAAATAAAAATCCATGGAATTGCAAACATCTTCTTGGTTTGAAAATATATTTTAGCAGATCCATTATCTAAATGGAAATATGTAGCAATAGAAGTTATTGTACTTTAGGCCAGGTGCGGTGGCTCATGTCTATAATGCCAGCACTTTGGGAGGCTGAAGTGTGAGCTCAGCAGTTTGAGCTCAGCCTGGGCAAAACAGTGAGACCCTGTCTCTACACAAAATAAAAAATTAGCAAAGTGTGGCAGCACACATCTGTAGTCCCAGCTACTTGGGAGGCTAAGGCAGGAGGATCACCTGAGCTCAGAAAGTCAAGGCTGCAGTGATCTGTGATCATGCCACTGCATTCCAGCCTGGGCAACACAGTGAGACCCTATCTGAAAAAAAATTTTTTTTTTAATTTCACAAAGGCTTCTTAATGGGCAAGATTTTTGATCCAGGGTGAAATTAAACTTATTAAATAGCAGCACTGAAATAATGTTCATGAGACTGTATATTTAAGCCTTTTCTCTTATATTCCTGCTAAGAGGATTGGATGGAGGAAATAAGTGATACTATTCTTTGAGCTTATAAAACTTCACAGTATTTACCCAATTCATTGGCCAAAGACTGCCACTTCCTTGATTTAGAGTTTGGGTAAGATAAGGAATGTTCATCTCTGCTTAAATAAACATTCCAGGTTCTGAATTTTAATTAATGGCAAAAATGTAAACTTTTCTTTCTTTTGATATTCCTTGGATGTATGCTTAAATCTTAACATGTTATTTTCCTGTATGTTAGAGGACTTGTCCTCTGGACTGTAGAATCAGGGTCCTGAATTCATGCCTTGTTATACTACCCAGATTTGTGACACTGAGGGTGTGTGCCTTAACTTTACATTACATCTTTATCTGTACAGCTACAAAAATCACCGTCACTTCTGTCTTTCCAGGTTTAGAGTCGTGGCTTTGGAAAAAGCAAAAGGGAGGAATTTAATTTCACTTAATGTTCAGGACTCTGTGATCCTGTAATGTGGTTGTTACTGATCTATAGTTGGCAAAGCTTATAAATGTGTGAGGTCTCTTTCCAGAATTTACAAATAAGTGATTTATATTTCGCCATTTGGGACAAAAATGTTAACATCTCTTTGAACACAGTCAAATTGATACATCTTTAGTCTTTGATCTTTTCATTTCAAGGAAGGCTCATTTTCTTCATTCTACCACTCTACTTTTTAAACTTTATATCCATTTTTCTTGCAAACATTGTCTACACTTGTTGACTCTGCTGCTTTCCTTTCACTCACTTAACCTCCTGTAATCTGATGTCTACCCACACTACTTTACTGAAACTGCTGTTGCCAGCGCCACACTGTGTTTGCTGCACAGTCTAAGGAATAGTCCTCAGTCTTTCCTATCTCAGTGGCAGTTAATACTGCCACCCACTTTCTCCTTGAAACAGGCTCCAGTGACACCACATTTAACGGATTTTCCTCTTCTAATTCTGGTAACACCCAAACCTCCTTAGTAGACTTCTCTTTTTCTACCTATGATTTAAATGCTGTTCTTACTCAGAGGACTCTGTTGAGCACACTTTGCTTGTCATGATACCGTTTTGCCTAGAGATCATTCATTGCTTTAGTCATAATCTGATGATTGCAAAACTTCTCCTTGGCTTCAGATTTATATATCAAACTGTCTATTGGACATCTTAACTTGACTATTGTAGTAGTCTGCAAGTGATATAAACCCACTTCATCATAACTTCAGGCTAAAGAGGGAGATATGTTGCCTTACAAAACCAAACGTCTGGTGCACAGGTGAAACTGATCTTAGGGATGCCTAGAATCAGAGATTGATGTCATCTTGACTTCCCACTTCTCTTTTGCCGCTGCTTGTCAGCATTATTACCTCAAAACCATCTTCCACATGAGGTATAGGATATTATTGACTAAGGACATCCTTAAAGTCAACAGCTTGGCAGTCAGAAATAAAAAATAGGTTTAACTCTTTGTCCAACTGCAGATAGAACATTGCCTGACAAGGATTCTGATAGACTCAGCTTGGTTTGCCACAGTGGGATGTAGAGTATTTTGACTAACATGCGTTCTAGTAATGATGGTAGGAGTGGTGGGAGTGGTAGGGATCTAATAGCTCGATTCACAGAAGAAAGCCAACTTAACCTCTACCCATTTTTCATGTACAGCTCTAATTCCAGTGGATAAGGTAATAAGTTTGTTTATGGTTTTTGATGAACTGCACCTGCTTGATTATCTCCTTAGAATTCATTGCTGTGTCAATTACTGTCTGAGTTGTCTGTGAGAATAAAGGACTCAACTGAAGAAACCTATATGAAAATGGTGATCATTATTTCTTCTTGGAATTAGAAACTTGTATGTGGCAGTCATAATGTTCTAATTAGTGATTTTTAAAAATTAACTCATTAAAATAATCCATACTTTTATAATCATAAAATAGGATGCCCCACGAAGGCAAAGATTTCTGTCTGCTTTTACTACTACACCTAGAACTTGACACTTAAAAAGTTGCTCAAAAAATAATTTGTTGAATCAATATCAGTTTGTTAAAATCTTGATTTTTTTTCAGTGTTTACTTTTTTTGGTAATATTTATTTTAAGAAATAAAAGCTTTCAAGGATAAGTAAAGTTTAACTTTTTTTTACTTTTTCTTTTTTTTCCCTAGACTATCTGTTATAGTCCCTGGGTCAAGACAACAATTTTTATACCTTCGTCGTGGTTCAGAAAGGAGTCTCTGTAGAACCAGAAGCAAAGAAAGGAAACAATCCAAATTTTTCTTTATTAAATCGACTGTGTAAGATACTTGACTTCCAGGAACAAAAACACGGTGAAATAATAAAATTTCATCTTGGCATCACTGGACATCATCGTATTGAGGAGCGTATTTTTGGAACTTCCCGAGTTGAGATTTGGAACCTTCATTGGTGCTCATTTACTGTGGACTGTAAGCATGAGTGAATTCTGGTTGTGTTTCAACTGCTGTATTGCAGAACAGCCTCAGCCTGTAAGTATGAAGTATGTGGACACATCAGGTGGGGTGCTTATTAAACTTTCCACTGGTTCTCAAACTGAGGATTGGGATCCTAGCAGTAATTGCAAAGCAGTTGTAGAGAATACCACAGAGAATAGTTCAGTGGAACTCCGAACATATGTTTAAAAAGAAATAATGTTTTTAAAGTAAATACTGTATGTCAAGAACTCTCCTAGACCATTCATCGTACATGACTGAGAGGAGGTGTTCTTCTGTCAAATAGCTTCTGGAGGAATAGTGAGAGAAAAAGGAGATAGTAACCTGAGGTAAAACAGATAAATCAGCCTTGGAAGTCAGTGGGTGGAAGATGTGACAGCCATATTGCCATCATATTCCTCTCAGCTTACCATCTCATTTTCCTCAGAGCAACCCTCTGAGGAAGATATCATTGTCTTTATTTTTCAGTTGAAACAGGTTCAGTTTTTTGCCCAAAGTCATATAGCTTGTCAGTGGTCTTGACTGACTTCTTGGTATATGCCTTGTTTTTGTGCCCTCTAATATATGCACATATTGTTACCTCTACCAAAATCCTGCCCTCCAGCCTCCAAATTCTGTTTTTTATTAAGACGGAGTTTCACTCTTATTGCCCAGGCTGGAGTGCAATGGCGTGATCTCGGCTCACTGCAACTTCCGCCTCCTGGGTTCAAGTGATTCTCCTGCCTCAGCCTCTTGAGTAGCTGGGATTATAGGCATGTGCCACCACGCCTGGCTAATTTTGTACTTTTAGTAGAGACAGGGTTTCACCATGTTGGTCAGGCTGGTCTCGAACTCCTGACCTCAGGTGATCCACCCGCCTCTGCCTCCCAAAATGCTGGGATTACAGGCGTGAGCCACTGCACCTGGCCTCCTTTTCATTTTTTAAGGTGCCTAAATAAAATGTTACTTACATAAAAATTGCCCCAGCTTTCCCCTGAATGAGATAATACTCATCTGTATTCCCACAGCTCTTTAGTTCATTTTTCTATTATAGCATGGAACCTTTTGCATAGTAAATAACTATTCTACAGTCTCTCCCACAACATTTTGAATTATTTATGGGTCTTCACCATGTTAACTTGGTATCTTCAGGATCAAATATAATATCTTGGAGAGTGTAGGTATACATGATTGATTGTTGGCTGGCTGAACAAATGAATTGATATTTTATTTATATTTGTAACAACGTAAGAGGAAAAATAAGGACTAAATTTTAAAAATATAATTGTACACGTAACTCCCAATCTCAAGTGATTCACCTGCCTCGGCCTCCCAAAGTGCTGGGATTACAGGCATGAGCCACTGTGCCCTACCATATTGTTTTAATTGCTCTACTTACTTAATATGTTTTGCTGTGTCATAGGGGAAATTTTTTCTTAGCTCTTCTTTTCTAACTCTATTGGTGATGTCTTTTTTAAAAGCTGGATTGTGGTTACATGTTTTCTTATTATATTTTTCTTTATTTTTTTTCTTGTTTGAGATATTTCATAATACATATGTAAATCTTAGAGTTTGTTTGTTTGTTTTTTTTTTTGGATTGCATTGAATTTATTTTATTTTATTTATTTATTTATTTTTTTGAGATGGAGTCTCATTCTGTTGCCCAGGCTGGAGTGCAGTGACGTGATATATAATAAAGGGTATATAATAAAGTGAATTCTCTTCAATATATGATAAATGTATACTCACCAATAGCTAAAATAGGAAGACACAGATTAGGTATTTAAATGGCAGGAGCATAAGCCTCTGGAGTTATGAGACATCAGAAATACATTTTCTGCTACACAGAGGATTTGCAACTTGAGTTTCTCTCATACTGAAACGGGAAAAGTTCCCTTGTCCCCCTAGAAGCCATGCGATGGGGGTGTGGCTCGCTTCTTCAGTGCCCTGCTGCTCAAACCTCTAGGGGAGCATACAGACGGGGAGCTGTGGGGTTCTGACCCCACGACAATGTCTAGGGATGAATCTTTATAGCTGAAGTGCCAGAAGGCGTGTGTTACAGGGTGCTTTTTTAGTTTGCCTTGTGTTAACCAGCTCAGTTAGACCCTCTACCTTGTCACAGGGACAGAAGGCTTTCTGTATCCTGGGTTCTTGCTTTGGTGTGCTAGAAGAATTGGATCACACGTGGGCTTGGAGAAGGAGTGCAAAGTTTTATTGAGTGGAAGTAGCTCTCTGTCGATGAGGGAGCCAGAATGGAGATGGTTTTCCCCTGGAGTTGGGCTGCTAGGTGGCCCCAGCTCTCCTTTAACTGCCCCGGCCAAACTCCGCCTCATCCAGCCAGTTGATGGCCTGCTGGCATGCTGGTGTCTGTTGGTGTGCTCTTGTGCAGGCGTGTTCCCTCGACGTCTTTTCACCGTCTAACCGCTTGTGTCTTCTTCCGCTGATGTGCTCCTCTCGACGTTTGGCTGTCTATGTGTCTGCCTGCTAGGGTCTTGGGTTTTTATAGGCCCAGGATGGGGGCACGGCGGGCCAGGGTGGTCTTGGAAAATGCAACATTTGGGCCCAAAAGCAGGAGTGCCTGTCCTCACCTATGTTTGTCCGTGGGGGTGGAGCCCTAGCCATGGACCTGCCTTTCTCTACCCAGCACTTCCCTGTTCCCACTCCCATATCATTTAAAGGGACCACACTCTTCCCTTCCCAGCACTCCCGTATCAGTACAACATTTACATATGTTAGTTGTTTGTTATTGTTTAATGAATACATACTTATGTGAAGTATTCCATAAAAATTCCATGGACATCTGATTTCTTACCTTTTTGATTCCTGAGAAAAATTACATAAAACTTAATGGGGCTTTGTGGTCACCATAATGGAGGAATAGCTTGCTTGTTGGCATCAGGAAACAGATGTAAAGAATCACTAATAATTTTTGTTTCTTTACATTATACAAAGACATATCCTTGGTATTCTAAACAATATCAAGACTGCCTTATCTTAAAGCTGCTTGATCATCTGCTAAAGTTTTCTAAAATATTTACTGAAATAAAGTGCTGCATGCCGACTCTCCCACTTGTTCCCTATCACCCCCTGCTTTTGCACATTCCATGTGTGAAAAAGGAACAACCCAATATTGGGAAGAAAATAGAATGTATTTTTCTGAGTATAGTAGAATAATCATTTTTCTCCTCCTACTCCTTCATTTTAATATAGTACAATGCAGGGTATAATAGAGCCCCAATGTTTTGAGCCGTGGTATTCCAAAACTTAGTAACTTAGTAATGCTGTAGTTGCTGTTGCTAGATATAGCTAAGGTTGTAGATTTTTAACTGGATGGTTGCTGCCCTGCAATTTAATTTTTTAAAAAGATTTGTTAGGGCTGGGCGCAGTGGCTAACACCTGTAATCCTAGCACTTTGAGAGGCCAAGGCAGGGGGATTGCCTGAGCTCAGGAGTTCGAGACCAGCCTGAGCAACATGGTGAAACCCTGTCTCTACTAAAAAAAAAAATTAGCCGGTGTGATGTTATGTGCCTGAAGTCCTAGCTACTCCGGAGGCTGAGGCAGGAGAACTGCTTGAACCCGCAAGGTGGAGGTTGCAGTGAGCTGAGATTGCGCCGCTGTGCTCCAGCCTGGCGACAGGGCAAGACTCTATCTAAAAAAAAAAAAAGATTTATTAGCTGTTGACAGAACTATAGTGAATTCTTCACCAACTTATTGAGCATCAGAATACTGGTCAGCTTCTAAGGTAGCTTTAAAAAACAAGGAACCCTGATTTACAGAAAAAAAAAAAAAAGCCACTTTTCTATTCATATTATTTGCCTTCCCATCTAATGGTTTCCCACATAGCACTGATTTTTTGTAATGCTGCTTGTATCTGGAATGTGTTAATTTGTTTTTGTTTGTTTTGAGACGGAGTTTTGCTCTTGTCGCCTAGGCTGGAGTGCAATGGTGCGATCTTGGCTCACTGCAACCTCTGCCTCCCGGGTTTAAGCAATTCTCCTGCCTCAGCGTCCTGAGTAGCTGGAATTACAGGCACCCTCCACCATGCCCAGCTAATTTTTGTAGTTTCAGTAGAGATGGGGTTTCTCCATGTTAGCCAGGCTGGTCTCGAACTCCTGACCTCAAGTGATCCACCCTCCTCGACCTCCCAAAGTGCTGGGATTATAGCTGTGAGCCACCGCGCCCGGCCTTTTTTTTTTCTCTTACTCTTTTTTTTTTTTTTTTTTGAGAAGGAGTCTCGCTGTGTCTCCCAAGCTGGAGTGCAGTGGTGCGATCTTGGCTCACTGCAACCTCCGCCTCCTAGGTTCAGACAATTCTCCTGCCTCAGCCTCCCGAGTAGCTGGGACTACAGGCATGTGCCACCACACCCGGTTAATTTTTATATTTTAGTAGAGATGGAGTTTCACCTTGTTGGCCAGGCAGATGTCGAACTCCTGACCTCAAATGATCCTCCTGCCTCAGCCTTCCAAAGTGCTGGGAATTGCAGGCATGAGCCACCACACCTGGCCTTGGAATGTGTTATTTTGGACATGTACGCACTTACAGTACATTTGTAACAATAACACTCTGGTATTTCTACAATGAGCCAGGTAGTGGTGAGATAACAGTGAATACAACAGATGTCATCTCTACCATCATCTTGTCTCACTTTAGTGGAGGACATATTTACTGTACAAATAAGTATGTATGGTATCAGGTGGTGATAAGTGCACCGTGGAAAAAGAAAGCAAGAAAAAAGAGGATGACGTTGGAGAAATGGGGATATGAATTTAAATAGTGTGTTCAGGGAAGGCCTCTCAGATTAAGTGCTGTATAGGCACAAGTTTAAGGGAGTAAAATACACAAATACTTGGGGCAAAGCACTTAGAGTGAGTAGTAAGTGCAAGGTTGGGTGTGTGAGTGGAACATCAGAGAAGGCAGAGTGGCTGTGAGGCATGGGGCCAGTGGTGGGAATGAGGTCTAAGAGGTAACCAAGGGCCAGTTCATGTTTGGTCTTCCAGGTCATGAAAAGACTGGTTTTTATTCTTTGTGAAATAGGAAATCATTGAATGGTTTAGAGCAAAAAGCCAAAGTATGTGGAAGAACATACCTATTTTTTCTAGTGGTTTGACTTACTGTATGCTCAGACAGAGAGCACTGACAAACCATACTGCACACTGTAGCCCAGTGAGCCACTTCACTCCTTCATGCACATTTAGCCTCCTCAGCTGTCTGGAGTTGAGTATGGAATATGCTCTGCAATAAGGTTGCTTATTCCCTTTGTGGCTTTTCTTTCTGCCATTTGTTGTTGTTCTGATGTATAGTTTTAACCTATAATAGTCAGGGTGGGGGCATGAGGATATGTGCAAGTGATGGTGCTGGAGTTGCCACAGTGAAACAGAGGAAGTGCAGTGTGCTCAGTGTTTAGATGGTTCAAGGTTACTTCAAGGGAAGTGGTTGAGGAAACGGAGTGGGGATGGATCAGTTAGACAGCTAAGGATTGCTATAAGACCTTAGACATTTTAGAAAACATCAAAGTTAGGCCAGGTGCAGTGGCTTATGCCTGTAATCCCAGCACTTTGGGAGGCCGAGGCGGGCTGATTACCTGAGGTCAGGAGTTCGAGACCAGCCTGGCCAACATGGTGAAACCCTGTCTCTACTAAAAATACAAAAAATAGCTGGGCGTGGTGTCGCATGCCTGTAATCCCAGCTACTCGGGAGGCTGAGGCAGGAGAATTGTTTGAGACTGGGAGGCGAGGGTTGCAGTGAGCCGAGATCGTGCCACTGCACTCCAGCCTGGACTGGGCCACAGAGTGAGACTCTGTCTCAAAAAAAAAAAAGAAAACATCAAAGTTACTACTGCAGCCTCAGAGGATGAACCAACAATTCCCATGAAAGGTGGCTAGAGGGAACTCTAGCTGAGGGCACTCCATGAGGGGATTTATGTAAAACAGAAAAGTGATTGGTCAAATATGATGGATCTCCATAGCTACTATGCAATAATAACCTCGTATGGCACAGATTTGTATAGAACTTCCATTTTCAGGAACCACATTTTATACCCTAAATTAGGTATGAGTATAGTAAAAGTGTCAATTTTTTTCCTTCTTCTGAAAACACAAATGTGCATGTTCCTGATTTAATTTCACACATCACATTATAAAACCATAGTCATCTCAAAATGCTTAAACTAAATGGATTTACTTAATAAAAGAAGAAAATTAGCCTTATCAGGGCCTGGCGTGGTGGCTCACACCTGTATCCCCAGCACTTTGGGAGGCCAAGGCGGGCGGATCACGAGGTCAGAAGATCGAGACCATCCTGGCTAATGTGGTGAAACCCCGTCTCTACTAAAAATACAAAAAATTAGCCGGGTGTGGTGGCGGGTGCCTGTAGTCCCAGCTACTCGGGAGGCTGAGGCAGGAGAATGGTGTGAACCCGGGAAGCGGAGCTTGCAGTGAGTGGAGATTGCGCCACTGCACTCCAGCCTGGAGACAGAGCGAGATTCTGTTAAAAAATAAAGAGAAGAATATTAGCCTTATCAGTTGAGAAATGAAAACCCTACGTTTTAGAAAAACATCATAGAAGACTGATTCAAATGTTTTAACTGTACTACTAAACCTAGAAATTCTAAAGACTAGTATACTGGAACTACCTCCCCTGCCTTAGGACTGACTATTGCTATTTTCTTGTAGATAGTCACTTTGTAATGTAGTGGATGGTATTCACTGTATATTGTACCTCTTCAGCTCCTTTAATATAACTGTGGAGATAGTTTGAATTTGTCTATATGTACTTGAAAACAAACTAGAAAGGCTCTTTTCAAAACTGTGGAACAGACAGGTTCTGGTGTTCCAGTACTGTTGTCTGTGCCCTTAACCAATTAGGAACTGTTGGTAAGCTAGTGTCCATAGCATTCGGCGTGAGTTCAAGATGGGGAAAAGGGATAAGAAGGCAGTAGAAAGCTATTTATGTTTTGAAATTATAATGCTTTTATAAGTTTGTAAATGTCAGAGAAGAAATTTTGCTTTAATGTTTTTCGGTTGAGAATGGAGTTGATCTTTATTCAGTTCAGATTGGAGGGTTTTTTTTGTTTGTTTTTTTGTTTTTTTTACTACATACCTCAAGATGAAGCAAGCCATTTCTTTGTAAACCATGTGGTTGTTGCAATTTTTAGTTACTTAAAATGTGACATCAGCAAAAGTAATAATCTTTAAAAGAAAAATTAAATCTTCTTTCAAACTGTAATATATTTGGTACAAAAATTATAAAACAGGCCAGGTGCAGTGACTTGCACCTATAATCCCAACACTTTGGGAGGCTGAGGCGGGAGCATTGCTAGAGCCTAGGAGTTCGAGATCAGCCTGGGGTGTAACATAGTAGGACCTTGTCTCTACAAAAAATTTTAAAAATTAGCTGTGTGTGGTAGTGTGTGCCTGTAGGCCCAGCTACTCGGGAGGCTGAGGTAGGAGGATTGCTTGAGCTGGGAGGTTGAAGCTGTAGTGAGCCAGGATCGCATCCCTGCACTCCAGCCTGGGCAACAGAGTGAAACCCTGTTTCAAAAAACAAATTTTTTATATATATATATAATTTTATATGCTTATATATATAACAGGTCAAAATATACAATCAAATATATATGTGTGTGTGTGTATATCATATACATATGTGTGTATATATATATCATGTAATGATATATATATGTGTGTGTATATATATCATGTAATGATGCACAACAACAAACAGATATAAGCTCCTACCCAATACAGATGATCTGTTGGTGGACATTTGAGTAGTTTCTAGTTTTAAGTTTTTTTTCTGTTACAAACTGCTGTAAATTCTTGTACATATCTCAGTATATACATGACTTTGAGTATACTTGTTTCTGTAGCATATATATCTAAAAGTGGAAATACTGAATTGTGGGGTGTGGGCATGATCAGTTTCACAAGATAGTGCCAAATTATTTTGCAAAGGGATAACTGCTCCCACATTAATGTGGTATAGTTTCACTTTCACAACATCTTCATTAATGCTTGTTTTTTCACTTTTTAATTTTTGTCAGTCTGATGGGTAAGGTGGGATTTCATGGTATTGTTCTTTTCCGATTGCTAGTGAGGTTAAGCGAAGCACTTCTTCATGTGCTTGTTGCTCGGTATGGTTTCCTCTTGTGTGAAAGACATGCCTGTTCATGTCTTTTGTACATTTTTAAAATTTCTTATTTATTCATAGACTTCCCTCTTACGTTCTGAATACAAATTCTTTGTTGGTTATGTGTGATTTAACAAAGTACCTTTTTTGGCTTATATTTTTGTGCTTAAGAATTTTTTCTTACCTCTCATTCATAAGGATAATTCACCCAAATTTCCCTATAAAAGTGGAATAATTTTGCCTTTTAGAAGCCTGGAGTTGATTCTGTGGATTTTTGGAGAAGGGATTTAATTATATTTATTTTCCATGTGGGGAACCCTCTGTCCCACAGCGACTTCATAAGAAGTCTTTCCTGGACAGGCACGGTGGCTCACACCTGTAATCCCAGCACTTTGGGAGGCCGAGGAGGGTTGATCACGAGGTCAGGAGATCGAGACTGTCCTGGCTAACACGGTGAAACCCTGTCTCTACTAAAAATACAAAAAAATAGCTGGGCGTGGTGGCGGACGCCTGTGGTCCCAGCTACTCAGGAGGCTGAGGCAGGAGAATGGCGTGAACCTGGGAGGCGGAGCTTGCAATGAGCCGAGATTGCGCCACTGCACTCCAGCCTGGGCAATAGAGTGAGACTCCATCTCAAAAAAAAAAAAAAAAAAAAAGAAGTCTTTCCCCTCCCCACTGGTATGCAGTGTACATTATCAGGCTTCCCTACATGCATGAGTCAGACTCTAGATTCTGTTTGACCATTTGTTCATCCTGGTGCCAATACACGATGATACACAATGTCTTCTAGAGTTTGCATTAATACTGTTTTGATATCTGGGAGGGCAGATCCCTTTGTCTTTGTTCACCTTTTGTCGTGTTTTGGCCAGTCTTAGTCCTTGACTATTACAGATCAGTTTTAAAATTAGTTTGTCAGGTTTTCCATAAGGCCTGTTGGGATTTGGATTAGACCTGTATTGAATATAATTCCCATTTGTGAAACTGGTGTATCTTTATTTTTAAGCTATTTCCATAAAAGCTTTTTAAAACTTATATTTTTAAACATATTCAGAAGTAGACAGTAGTATAATGAGCCCTGTGTACCCATCTCTCAGCTTCAACAACTTTAATTCTTGTCTAATCTTCACCTCATTCCATCCACTTTATCCTTTGCTCTATTATTTTGAAGCCAAATCTGAGACATTATATCATTTTGTCCATAAATATTTCAGTATCCCTAAAAGATAAGGACTCTTATTTAACATAACCACAATACCATTATAATACCAAAAATTAATAATTTGAAAGGATTTATTTTACATATAAATGTACAGTATAAAAGTTATGAAACAAATATATTATGAAGCACATATTACTCGTTAAGAAATAGGACATTGCCAGCACCCCAGAAGCCTCCTTGTGTCCTTTCCAATTACACACGTGCCTGTTCCAACACCTGGAGGAACTGCTGTCCTGATTTTTATGGTAATCACTTCCTTGTTGTGTTTTACGATTTTACCATCTATGTATGTATCCCTAAACAGTATAATTTAGTTTGCCTGTTTTAACTTTAAATGGAGTCATTACTGGTTGTAATCTTTTGCGTTTTCTTCTTTCATCCAATGGTATATTTATAAGATTGATTCATATTGATGCAGATAGCTAATTTTTATGTTCATTTTTCTTTAATGTTTTCTTGTTTGGCTGTACCATAATAGATTTTTCCATTACAGTTCTTTTGATAAACCTAGTACGCGACTATTATGCACAATGCTCTTTTGTGCATTTGTGTATGTGTAGCCTGGTAACATGTGCCCAAGTTTTTCTAGGGTATATACCTAGGAGTGACATTACTGGGTCTAACAGCTGAGGAAGTTACCTTTACCAAGCAAAAGCAAATTCTTTTAGACTTGATGTTACCATCTTACATTCCCACCAGCTGTTTGAGTGTTCCATTGTGCCATATCCTCTTCAACACGTGGTATTTTCAGACTTCAAAATTTTTATCATTGGGGGAAGAATGTAGTAACAGTTTTTTGAAGGTTAGCCTTGTATTGTTTTGCATTTTAATATGAGAGTGAACAGTAACTCTGACTTATTAATAGGTTGTGAGCTTCAGGATTATGCACAAATTAGAGATTTATTGAAGTAGTAACCCCAGTTCCACACTTCCACACCCTTTGTCATCAGCATATTCCATTTCTATTACAGTGTAAGACTAATTATTTCAGAGTACAGAAAAAGACACATTTAGATAAACTGAAGCAGATTAAAGTGACTTTATAAGACAACATCTTTGTTTTTATGTTTAATTTCAAGTATGGTTAAGCACTAATTTAATTCAGTGCTTTCTGCTTATTCTGTTTCTAGTAACTCTTACAGAAACAAGTGTAGTCAGTAGCCAACATACATCCATGTCAGCCTATATATGACTTACTAGGAGGGCTTAGTTTTTTAAAAGAGATGAAAAATAAAGAGAAGGTCTAGTATTTTCCTCCCACATTCCAACAGATCATTTTATGTGCCCCCTTTGGGTGAGCACATTCCATGTTGTAGACCATTGATCATAGTAGTCAGAGCATGGAGCTCTGGAGTTCAGAAAAATTATTTTATTATTGTTGTTATGACAAAAATAATTACCATGTAAAGGAAAAGAAAAGAAACTCAGCGAAAAAATTTATGAACAAAAGAGAAAAGAAACTTATGGTTAAATAATTTTTAAAATAAATATGGCAAATGAGCATCAATTATTTTTTTTTCTATATGCCCATTGGAAAATATCATCTTGCCTCATCTAATAGGCAACGTTAAGTGGAGTCACTATGTGTTCCTCTTAACTGGAAGATTTCTTTCATTCAGTGTGAATACTGAAACATTTATTTTACCTTTTTTTTTTTTTTCTCCCCAGCAGAGACAGGGTCTTGCTTTGTTGCCCAGGCTGGTCTCAGGCTTCTGGCCACAAGTGATCTTCCTGCCTCAGCCTCCCAAAGTGCTGGGATTACAGGCATGAGCGACTTAGCCTGGTCAAACATTTCTTTAGTTGTTTGAAAGTCATCTGACTATATCTGTGAAATTATGTTTATTTAGAAAACATAGCCTTTAATTACAAATTCTGTTATTGTGTAAATGATGTGCAAATCTCCATCTTTTCATGAGGTGGCTAATGATTAAAATGGCCAAAGAGTTGCTTCTAAAACACCAATAGCATGAATTTTTTTTTTAAACTGACTTTTGGGGTTTATAAGCCTAGACACAACAAGAATGAAGAGGATTAAGCCTTTGTCTGTCTAGAGTTAGTGAGGATTGGGTTCTGATTCTCACGTGGCCTTGATGTATACAAATAGGAAAGAAAGGAATACTGGTAAGGAACTCAAAATTGCATTATTTTTCAAATCAGTAGTAGGGTGAGACTAGGTAGTGCATTGTTGTAGAAAAATAAAATGTTTTTGCTGATATGTATCTGTGACTAAAGGGAAGTTAGAACTTAAGTAATTATCTGGGATTTAATAATATAATGGTATTTTAATAACTATCTGGGGCTGGTATTTATGATGTTTATAATATATTGAACAGTTTTAGAAGCACTTTTTAAGAATCTGTTCATCTGTGATGTAAACAGATGGTATAAACCATTCAGTTTTCATCCTCTCAAACTTGTTCATATTGAGTAGGAAATATTACAGATATATTTTATTAGCAGTTCTCATGCAAGACAAATTCTAGGTCAGTTCTCAGTTCTCGGGGTACCCTAAAGTTTGGTCTGATCTCTTATCACCTTTGCACATAGTAAAAATTCTTCTGGTTCTTAGATATTTCTGGTATTTATGTTCCATCTACTTTTGTCTATTGAACTTTCTTATAGTTTCTTGAAAAGGTGTTATGCTTACATTCTTGTTTTAGCAGATGGGATATTGTTTGTTTTATATGTGATTTTGTTTTCTTTTGTGAAATGAAAATAATTTTCATCCAATCTTAATTTTAGATCTTAGAGACATCATAGGCAAACGTAGTCAAATGCATGTGGGCATGCGTGCATGCGGATTTGGAAAACTATAATAAGAAGTTAATTAGTAAACTAAGTTAAGATCAGTGAATTAGTGGCAGAGCCTTTTGCATTTTAAGACCAGTTTTCTTTCTAGTATATTTCAGTAAATTTTATCCAAATAGAAATGAACACCCATGTTGGATATAAAGTTGAATTGTGAGACTATGCAGATACAGCACTAGGTGATAAGTTACAGTGAAACAAGCAGTGTTTCAGTATTTCAGAAAGCGTTTCTTGCTACCAAGTGTTAATTATTATCTGCCATTTTTACAGACTTAGTTCAAATGCTTTCATATATATTAACTTAATGAGAAACATGTCTATCATTTTAATTTATTCGTTTCCCCCCCTTATTCCCCATCACTGTTTGTTTTGTTTTGGTTTTGGTTTTATTTGTTCTTGCAGTGTCTACCTGGGTAACAGTTGGGTGATGTCTTCATTGGGATCTTAACATGAACAAATACTTATGCATGTACCTGTTATGTACTTATGCATATATTCAAAAGTCATTAAGATACTGGTGATAGTGTTAGCTGTCTGTGGATCATTTGGGATAAGTAAACAGAATCTCCTCTACATTAAGCAAAAAAAGATATTACTCAATGCCATTTTTTTGGCCTACCTTATGACAGATAAAATTTTTAAGAAACCTAAGGCAAATGTGCTTTCAGGAGTACTTAGCTATAGGAAGTGATCATATTTTTAAGAACTCCAAGGTTCTTAAAAACCAAACAAGTTTTTCCCCTTTTCATGTGAGGGCTGGTTCTCTATTAGAGTTGGTCAGAAAGGCTGGGCGCGGTGGTGGCTCACGCCTGTAATCCCAGCACTTTGGGAGGCTGAGGTGGGTGGATCACGACGTCAGGAGATAAAGACCATCCTGGCTAACACAGTGAAACCCCGTCTCTACTAAAAATAAAAAAAAATTAGCTGGGTGTGGTGGCACGCACCTGTAGTCCCAGCTACTCGGGAGGCACTGAGGCAGAATTGCTTGAACCTGGGAGGCGGAGGTTGCAGTGAGCCGAGATCACGCCACTGCACTCCTGCCTGGGTGACAGAGTGAAACTCTGTCTCAAAAAAAAAAAAAATGTCAGACAGATCCGGATTTGAATTCCAGAGCTGGTACTTATTTATTTACTGTTTGACCTTGGGCAGATTAATTGAATCCCTGCAAATGAGAATAATGACACCTGTCTCATAGGATTCAAGATAGGTAGTGAATTAAAATATATTAAGATAATTTATGTAAAGTGCTTAGCAGAGTGCATGGCATAAGTGAATGCTCTTATTATGGATGTTGAGTTGATAAATTGCAATTTGCTCTCATTTTAAGTAATGGGCTTTTAAAATTTTGCTTTTATCCCCATTGGTTATATTCAAGTACATTTCTTTTTGAAATGAACATGACCATCAAACCTTAAAGAGCTGGTCTCTTACCAGCAATATTTTGTTCTCATTTGATTTGACGTTAGTTACCACAAAGAGAGATATAGTTATCTCAACATAAGAGAGGATGTTGGACTGGGTTTATATGTATATTTTCTTCTTTCCTGAAACCCTACTTCACAAGACATTAAAGGAGTTTAAATAACAAAAAGATAAAACCTACAAAGAAAAAGAGAGTGAAGAGGAGAGAGAACCGTGGATCAGATATAATAAAAAAATAGATGGGATGGTAGAGTGGGAACCTATTTAGCTGAGTGAGCCACTGCCTAACTGCGTACAGAGGGGGATACTGATAAGCAAGCCAGCCAGCCAGCATTCTTCACCTGCCTTCATCTTAGAATGCCTGCAGCTAGATTCGAACTCTTCTGTCTGGACTTCAGCAGGTCCTTTTCTAGAGAGCCTACTGCCATCACAGAAGGGACCTGCTGATAACCTGCAATTGTGGTTTCCCCAAGCAAAAAGTGAGCTCACCATCTGATCACTGTTCATTGAATTTACAGTTGAACATGACCCGTGCACACTAAGCCTCGTTTGGATGGCCTGTGTTCATTAGACAACAGAAAAGCTAAAAGGAATGAACTGAATAAAAGAACTCGGAAGAAATAGATGATACAGGCAATAGGAAAGAACTAAAAAACAAAACAGAAAACATGAATAGGTCTCAGATGATAAGACACTGGATTCACTAAACAAGAACAACATGCCTACAAAGGAAGCGAGAGAGAGAAGGAACAAATCGATAACAAGAAACGATGCTTGGAAATAATATGATAGCTGAAATAAAGTAGTGCATGAGAAGGCTGGAAGATGTAGTTCATTCTTCCAGCAAGTAAAAGAAAAATATAAAGAAATGTAAAGTAGAAGGGAAAATTAAGAAAGTTAGATGATCAACCCAGGAAGTACAAAATCTGCCTAAAGTTACAAAAAAGAGGACAAAAGGCATTGGAGGATAATAAATTATCAAAGTAATACTACAGGAAAATTTCCCTAGTAAATTATCAAAGTAATACTAGGGGAAAATTTCCCTGAACTACAAAACAAAACAAAACAAAAAACAGTAGTCTCTTGGTTGAATGAAAAAGAACCCATACTACTGAGTGAAATTTCAGACTATCTGGACAAGTCACTTAGCTATTTAATCGGTTATACCACGAGATACTTATGGAGGGTATTAGAACAATTAATGATAGTTTCATTAAAAGGTAAGCAAACAACTTTGGGAGGCCAAGGCAGGTGGATCACGAGGTGAGTTCAAGACCAGCCTGGCCAAGACGGTGAAACCCCATTTCTACTAAAATTAGCTGGGTGCGGTTGCAGGTGCCTGTAATCCCAGCTACTTGGGAGGCTGAGGCAGGAGAATCACCTGAACCCGGGTGGCAGAGGTTGCAGGGAGGCGAGATCGTGCCACTGCACTCCAGCCTGGGCAACAGAGTGAGACTGTCTCAAAAAAAAAAAAAAAAAAAAAAGTTAAGCAGACATTGTGTGTAAAATTTGTGACAGAATTTTTTTTTTTAAGCTAAGCAAGCCAGAAGCAATTCCAGTGCAAAGTGTGGTGTAAGAAAAATTAATTATAGTACAGTACTTGGCTCAATTGTAAACACTCTTCACATAGAGTTAATATAAACACTTGATTTTTGTATTTCAATTTTATATAGTAAATGTTTGGGGGGAATTATATGACTTGCTTTGAAACACAGTTGTTCACACAGTGATGTGAAGGAAACAACAGTGGACAAGGAAGACTCCCAGATCTGATTTTAGTTAGCTGTGGGACTTTGGCAAGTAATATCTTCCTAGGTACATTGTACATTGTATACATACAGTGTATAGAAACAATCCCAGATGGACCCATAGTGACAGAAATTTCTAGTGAAAAGTTTTTAACACCAATGATATTAACAATATCATTAATACTTGAAAGCTAGTTCAGATTAGTTTCTCCCCTCCTTTTTTTTTTTTTTTTTAACCTATTTTGTGCTTCAGTTTTCATACTTGGAATATGTGACTTAAACCAGATACTAATTTTAAATAGAAGGAGAAAAAAACTGTTTTCACTTCAGGTTTCTCACTGAGAGATGAGAACAACTAGTTCCTTCAATTTTGCTTTTAGCAATTTGGCCCTTGAAAAGGTCACTATAGATTTGCTTAGAGATTCTTTTTAAAAACATTTGGGGGTCTCCTGCAAACTTCTCATCTGTCAAAAGCTGCAAAATACATACTGAGTAGGAAAAGGTTAGTTACCTACTAAACCCTAAAGGACAGATACCGACAGCACCACACTTAAGATTGAATTGTAAATGCATTACCAGCAACTCACCTATTTATTTATGAATATTTCCAACACAAAATATCTTTCCTTTCTGTACTTTGACTTAGATAATTCTCTGCTTATAATACTAGCTGGTTTTGGTTTCTCTGTGGTGATCTATGGTGTGACTCTCATCTCCTCTGGAGAGAGCTCCTTATATAAGCTCTGTCACCTGAGGGCCACTGCTGGCATTCCAGTGAGTGAGCTAAGCTCTAGAAGCCAGACAAGTAGAATTATTTTTCCCACCGTAGAAGATACAGTACAAGTTCATGTATAGAAGAAGTTTATTATTTTCTCAAGTTTTGACCTAAGTATGAGAATTTGGAATCCAAAGTAGGCTATTCAGTTATTGAAGAGCAGATATTTTTCCAGTCTCTGCAGTATCTAAAACCTTGTTTCTCTTTCATTTGTCCCTTAACATATTAGAGATTTTTTTGTCATATTCTTAGAAACTAGACTTCCACAGGCAGTTTTATCAACTCAGATTACCACCCATGGGAAGGCTGAATTCAGCTTCTTTAACATGAATATCCAGGACCTGGACACTGTTAAGACTCCCATCTTGGCCAGGCATGGTGGCTCATGCCTGTAATCTCAGCACTTTAGGAGGCCAAGGTGGGTGGATTAGTTGAGGTCAGGAGTTCGAGACCAGCCTGACCAACATGGTGAAACCCATCTTTACTAAAAATACAAAAAATTAGATGGGCATGGTGGTGCATGCCTGTAATTCCAGCTACTCGGGAGGCTGAGACACGAGAATCGCTTGAACCCAGGAGGCGGAGGTTGCAGTGAGCTGAGATTGCACCACCGCACTCCAACCTGGGTGACGAATGACTCTTGTCTCAAAAAAAAAAACAAAAAACCTTTATTCAATAGAGAGTACAAAGGTGAACAAATGAGGACTTCTGAGCAGTGGCTGAGACAAGAAGTGAGAGTTTGCCAGAGGATCCCAGATTTGAAGGGAAGGTAAAATGTCATATACTGCTATAGAAGGTACTAGCAAATGAGTTCATGGCTTTAAAGTTCTTGGAACTGTGCCTGGTATCTTATAAGTACTCTTTATTACCCACTTTTACTTTTTAAATATTCAGCTGTTAATCTTTATTTTTTAATTTACCTTTGAGGTTCAGGGGGTACATGTGTAGGTTTATTATATAGGTAAACTGAGTCACAGATTACCTGCTGTACAGATAATTTCATCACCCAGGTAATAGGCATAGTAACCATTAGGTCGTTTTTTGATCCTCTCCCTCCTCCCACCCTCTACTCTCAGATGGGTCCTGGTATCTGTTGTTGCCTTCTTTGTGACCATGTGTACTCAATGTAGCTCCCACTTACAAGTGAGAACATGTGGTATTATGTTCCTGTGTTAGTCTGCTTAGGATGATGGCCTCCAGCTCCATCCATGTTGCTCCAAAGGACATGGTCTAGTTCTTTTTTATGGTTGTGTGGTATTCCATGGTGTATATGTACCACGTTTTCTTTATCCAGTCTACCACTGATGGGCATTTAGGTTGATGCCATGACTTTGCGATTGTGAATAGTGCTGTGATGAACATATGTGTACATGTGTCTTTATGGTAGAATGATTTATATTACTTTGGGTATATACTCAGTAAGGGGGTCCTGGGTCAAATGATACTTCTGTTTTTCACTTCTTTGAGAAATTGCCATACTGCTTTCCACAATGGCTAAACTAATTTACATTCCCACCAGCAGTATATAAGTGTTCCCTTTTCTCTGCAGCCTCACCAGCATCTATTATTATTTGACTATATGTAATTTTTTTTTTTTTTTTTGAGACAGAGTCTCTCTCTGTTGCCCAGGCTGGAGTGATGTGATCTTGACTCACTGCAACGTCTGCCTCCCGGGTTCAAACGATTATTGTGTCTCAGCCTCTCGAGTAGTTGGGACTACAGGGGTGTGCCACCACACCTGGCTAATTTTTTGTATTTTTGTAGAGATGGTGTTTCGCCATGTTGCCCAGGCTGGTCTCGAACTCCTGAGCTCAGGCAGTCCGCCCGCCTCAGCCTCCCAAAGTGCTAGGCTTACAGGCGTGAGCCACCACGCCTGGCCTGACTTTTTAATAATAGTCATTCAGCTGTTAATCTTTAGAGCCAGTGTTTTCTATTAACCATTAAGCCATCAATATCACTTGGAATCTTGTTAGATATGCAAATTGAAGCTCCACTCCAAACTTGCTCAATCTGAAAATCTTCTGTGACTAGAGCTCAGAAACCTGTATTTTAACAAACCTTCCAGGGATTCTGATGTACACTGTAGCTTGAGAACCACTGCTTTACAGGTTCTACCCAATATAAAAACTAAAACAGTGTTACCAGTTAAAACCTCTCTAGAGCACACAGCATTTCTATGAAAGAGAGAAAATTAAATCAGCAGATAAGTATTTTTTATGCAGAAATGTAGACTTCATTAGAATTGGCATTACATTGTTTACATCTTCCAAATATAATAGGTTCTTGAGAAATATTTGGCGATAATATTAGATAAGACAAACAATTTTTAGAGAACTGAGCTGACATTGTTTCTTTAAAAAAGCCTTTTATTCATTCAACAGTCATTTATTGTCTACTGTGTGTCAGGCACAGCTACTGTTACAGAACTCTTAGTAGTGTAGGAAAATCAAACTGTAAGCAAGTAAGTTACAATACAATGTTTTAAGTACTATAATTGAATATGAGCCATGTGCTGTGAATGTTCAGAACAGGAAATATCCAACAGCCTCAACTCGGAATGTTTATGTTTGAGCTGGGTCTCAAAGAATGAGTAGGGAGAGACTTGGGGCAAGGGTGTTTCATATAGTTTGTTGACATTACTACCATAAAAGGTATTTTCATTTTTTGTGTCAATGAATATCCACTAGGAAGATCATTTTCATCAAAAAATGTCAAATCCATTTTTTATATTATTACAACTTTTGTTAGCCTTTTTTTCCATACTGTGAACTAGATTGATTAACTTGGAAGCAGCTCACGCACCCAGGGAATCACTGTCACTGGCATCATAGAAAAAAAATACCCACTTGTTTTAGAAATGCCTGGTTCCTAATTACACTGTCAATATTTCAAAAAACTAATGTAGCTTATTTCAGAGGTTCCCAAACTTCTCTTAACGGTTCTGTAATTTTTTTCATGGTGCCTCTAGGCCAAGAGAAATACCGTACAGACTTGTTTATTAACTAATTTGGTACAAACAACTTAGTAAAGATTTATGTCCCAACAACTTATTTGCCTTTAAAAAATAAGATATAAATTGAAAAATATTTTTATTTAATTCTTAAATAACCAGTTACATACTTATGGTGTGTTTGTGCCTGTTGGGATTATACAACTTCTCAAACTGTGGAATCAGACTGAACACCACCACCTTCTTTTCTAGTTCCATACTGACTTTTGCATAGTGCTTGGGTTTTTTTCACAGTAACCACTGAAAACTCAGCTTCACAAAGATATGCTGTTAAAAAGAATGTATGTTCTAATGTTGAAGTTACAAATTATCTGAAGCTGGTAGTTCACTCAGTGTCAAACACACATTGAGCCTCACTGTGTTTCCCTCAAATAGAAAACCCTGGCACCCCTGGGTTTTGCTGGGATGCCCCAAGACACAATTTGGAAATAGTGGGCTTGTTAGATTTAATTCATAGATTTAGGGATTTAGTTACACAACTCAACTGACTTTCTCTAGGTCATAAAGTTGAGTCAGCATAGCTTTCAACCTTTCATTTACTTTGGCCACATTTGCATAAATGATTGCTATTTTATACCCTGAAAGTTCCAGCTTTTTTCACTGTCCCAGATGGCAAGTATTTTCATTTTCTTTATTCACTCTGTATCTGCTTCTAGAACTACCTCAGGCTGTACCATCTTTTACTCTTACTGTAGGCCTTCTGCTAACCTGATGGGACCTGGCCTTCATTTGCTTCTCAGTGACATGTGTTTGCACACTAAGCTGCCCAGAGAATAGTCTTTGGGAAAGTTTTAACTTTTAAGTGATGATGTAATTACTGTTTTCTAGAAGCTACAGTTGATCCATATGCCAGAAATGTGAGGGAGGTAGATATAGTATGGTTATATACATATTGTTTAGATAAGGATGCAAATAAGGTTCTCACAGTAGCAAATCCTTTGAAATTAACCTGCTTCTCGCCTCCTTGGATATACTCCAAATTGTTTAGTTCATTATCTTTAATAATTATGATGTAATTATGTAAAAAGTTATGGGAAGAGACATTTTGCCTAATGTCCCCTCCACACTAACATAGCAGTTCATTTGGGTCTCTAGTCCTTCACCTTATGCAGAATAAAAGTTAATATTTTAAGGATGCAAGGATTATTCAGATGGTTGACGGTCTTAACAAAGTTTCCTATAAAGAATTTGTTTCCAGGAAACACGGTGACTCTGCTAACGACAACTGTTAATACGTATCAGAGCAGAGTGCACCATTTCCTGTTTTTCTTTGCGGAGGTCTGACTCTGGAATTCCCCTTGTTTGCCCATGACTATTCTTTTTTTTTCTTTTGAAACAGAGTCTCACTCTGGCACCCAGGCTGGAGTGCAGTGGTGTGATCTCGGCTCACTGCAACCTCTCCCCGCCAACCCCCCACCCCAGGTTCAAGTGATTCTTCTGCCTCAGCCTCTCAAGTAGCTGGGATTACAGGTGCCTGCCACCATGCCCAGCTAATTTTTTTTTCTTAAAGAAAATATTTAATTTTCCATAGTTATTGGGGCTACAGGTGGTGTTTGGTTACATGAGTAAGTTCTTTAGTGGTGATTTGTGGATTTTGGTGTACTCATCACCCGAGCAGTGTACACTGCACCATATTTGTAGTCTTTTATAAAACCCTTGCCCCCCTCCCACTCTTCCAGAGCCCCAAGTCCATTTGATCATTCTTATGGCCTAATTTTTGTATTTTTAGTGGAGACAGGGTTTCGCCATGTTGGCCAGGCTGGTCTTGAACTCCTGACCTCAAGTGATCCACCTGCCTCAGCCTCCTGAAGTGCTGGGATTATAGGCATGAGTCACCATGCCCAGCCACCCGTGACTATTATACAGTACCCCAAACAAGTGTGCCATTCTTTAAATGTCCACATTGTGCCTTAAAATACTGCATTTTTATAGTTTAGAATATTTATTTATATTTAAATCCAGGTTTTTGATAGAGTGTTGTAGGAAAGAGTGTAAAGAACACTTCCACCTGTGTCTAGATCCACCTTTCCTGCCTTCTCAGGAACCTTGTAAGGTTGACAATCCATTTTCTTTTTCCTTCTTTTTCTGTACCTCTTTTACTGGATCTTTCCCATTAGAAATTGAGCATAATGAATTCTCTGCCATCTTACAGGGGAAAAATTCAATCTGTTCTCATCTCCTTTTCTCCTTTCAGCCACTGACCTGTCTTCTTCCTGTCCAGAAGGCCAGACTTTTCTCCAGAGTTGTCTCTGTTCTCTTTCTCCATTTTCCACTTCTTAGACCCACCTCAGTCCCCTGCAGCGTGTCTTCTCCTCCTATTACTCCACTGACATAGCACTCACTAAGGTGCCCATTGACTTGATATTGCTGAATCCATTGCACGTATTTGTCTTTAATTGACCTCTCACCACCTTTCAGCTCTGCTCCCTCTTGACACTTGTACACACTGCTGATTTTCCTACTGACTTTCAGGCTGTTTCTTTTTGGCCTTCTTTGATGGCTTCTTCTCTGCCCAACCACAGAAATTTAGTTTGTCTAGGAAATCTCATTAACTTGGCTTTGTTAATGCTGGTGATTCTCAGTCTCTTATCTCCAGTTTGGATTCTCTCAGAACCCAGTGAATTGCACACTCTCTGCTGAAATCTGAAGTCTGTGCATATTTCTTAACTCCTCCCTCTCACTGTTACCAAATCCAGCCTGCAACCAAGTGCTGTTTTTTTTTGTTTTTTTTTTTGTTTTTTTGAGAGAAGTCTCGCTCTTGTCCCCCAGGCCTGAGTGCAATGGCTCGATCTCGGCTCACTGCAACCTCCGCCTCCTGGGTTCAAACGATTCTCCTGTCTCTGCCTCCCAAGTAGCTGGGATTAAGGCACCTGCTACCACGCCTGGCTAATTTTTGTATTTTTGGTAGAGACGGGGTTTCACTGTGTTGGCCAGGCTGGTCTCGAACTCTTGACCTCAGGTGATCCACCCGCCTCGGCCTCCCAAAGTGCTGGGATTACAGGCGTGAGCCACCACATCCGGCCCAAATGCTGTTGATTTTATCCACTGACTACTTCTTGAATCTATCCACTTCTATCTGTGTTATTAGTTGAATCCACATAATCCCTTTTCACCAACATTAATAACTTATTTTGACCTCTTCTAACATGTTTTCCACCTATAGCTATTGTGGAATAGTCTTCTCAAGCTATTTAATCATGTTATTCCTCTGCTTTAAAACACTTTCAATTATTTCCCATTGTTCTTGGGAGGATCACACACTTCAGTCCTTTACAAACTCTATGTGATCTGGTTCTTGCTTATCTTACTATTTTCATCTTAGGTGTTTACCTTTACTATGCTCGCACAACACAGTTGCTCCTTTCAGTTTCTGGACAGCTGAGTTCCCTCAGCCTTGGGGAGCGAAGGACTGAAAGCTTCTTTCATATCTCACAAACTGTTAGATTAGATGCCATGAAGAAACCTTCCAATACTAAGGTGTGACTCCCAGCTCAGTATAGTTCAAGCTGAAAAATACTCACTATTATTTTCACATTCATATATATTAGTTATCTAATAACACAGTATGATAGAAGTAAGCTGAAGTCTTCCCATCCTTTGCTTTTCAGTGTCAGAGTAGCTTCTTGGGAACTAGTTTTGTTATCAGCTTTTGAATATTCTCAGTAATCATGTTTGCTGAATTATTGTTTGTGAGTATGTGTTAATACCCTTCTTTCACAAGCATATCTATTCATTCTTTTTGGGTGAGATGGGTGGTGGCCTGAGCACACTATGGTTTCTGTTCTCCCCCAACACAGTCCTGCAGTAACTCAACAGAATAAATCACTTAATATGGAGGTATAGACCAAGTGGAGCCTTTTGGCAAGCTCTAAACACACCCTTCTGGAGGAAATGATGCAGAATGAGAACTGTTAGGAGTTGCTTCTGCAGGTTCACAGGACAAGGGTTGATCAAGACTCCTCCTAGTGGTCTGGAAGTAGGTACCAGGAAGTATTCTCTGGTACCACCTCCTCCCCTGCTTGAGAGAGCCAAGTGGCTCTCTCTGCATATCAGAAGCAGTTATCTTGACATGTTTACTGCAAACGCCTGGGGAAGAGTCTGGTGTCCTGCAGATGCCACTGTCCTGTGGAACTGTGACAAGAACCTAGAAGCTTCCCTCTCTACCTGTCAGTTAAGTGGCTCACTGGGGAAGAAATCCCAATAATTTGTCCTGCCCACATGCTGAGAAAATTCGTATCCTGTGATGGTAAAGATTACATTTCTGGACCTGCCCAAATAGCTTCCTAATAAGGAAATTTAGTGGAAATGTAATAATATATTATTAAGAAGAGAAAAAGGCACAAAACTGTTAACATCTTTTTTCCCTACTTTATTCCTAAAAAAGATAAGTTAGCATTGTTTAAGGCTAATTCATAGAATTATGCTTTATCATTCCAAACAAAAATAGTATGAAGAGAAGTATGTTGAATGGGGTGGTTGGAAATAGACAAACTGAGTCTGTGAAAAAGATGGGGAACAGAGGAAAAGACCAGTGCATTGCTGGCATGCAGCACTCCAGATCAAAGGATGGTTGTGGGTGTCAAGTCTGCCATTAGGGGCAGGGAGTCTTTGTATGAGGCACCTCTAAGATCATCAGAGGGAGCAGTATGCGAGAAAAAGATAGCAGGAAACCAGTGCATTGTGCTAGGAAATAGAAAAATTAAAACACATAGACAAAAGCCTCTTTTGACTTTATGATACCATTTTAACCTGCAAGTTTTATGATTCTGTGGAACAGGGCCCCAAAAGACAGACAGTTTCTTACCAACTTTCAAAAAAAGGCTTGAAGTAAAACTAAAGTTGTTCAAATAAAGAAATGAGAGTTCTTTGTTCCCTAGTGTTATAGACTTATAATTTATATAGTTAAGTGTTTTTAGGGAAAAGAGTGAAAAACTATAATAATACAACTTTTTCAGAGATTAAAAAATGTTGCAATGACATGTCATAACAGCCTCTGAAAAATAACCATAATGGAAAAAATGAAATTATGTGGCTACTACTGAAAAAATCTAGAGCTGGGGTCAGCAGACTACTACTTTTACAGGCTAAATCTAGCCTGTCACCTGTTTTTGTAAATAAATTTTTACCATAACACAGCTATACTCATTTAATTTCATGTGCTCTGCAGCTGCTTTCATGCTACAATAGCAGAGTTGAGTCAAAGCTACAGTGGAGATTGTATTTGGCCTGCAAGGTTATAATATTTACTATCTAGCTTGGACCTCTGAAGAGGATAAAGCAGAGTTACTTTTCAATGCAGTGAAATTATAAAGAGAAATAAAGGATGAAAATATAAGAAACTTGGAAGATTATAGACACACACATGTTCAAATGTCCACATAGGCAGGAACTCCAGAAATAGCAAAATGAACACATGGAGCAATTATCAAGGAACTAACAGAATAAAACTTTTCTAAGATACAGAAAACCTGTGTTCAGATAACCGTGTGCCACGCAGAATTACTGGAAGGAAAACCCAACAAACTTGGAGATGGTCTAATGTCATTGCTGAATTCTAAGGATGAATAACATAAATATTTCAAAGGAAAAGCGTCAGGGTTTTTTGTGGTTGTTGTTTCTATCTATGACAATATAAACGAGAGGACAGTAAAACAATGTATATGGACTTCTAAAATATATGCATGGGCTCGCCACTTTTGTGGTTTTGTAGAAAGTCATGTTTTCACCCTGAGGAGCTGTCATATGGGACTCTCGTGATAAAATTTTAGGGTTTATCAGGATCATGCCAGCGTTTCAGTAGATAAGGACATAAAAGTGTTATGTTCAAAGGCAGCTAATCCAGCAAGTTTGTAACTCTGCTTGGTTTTGAGGGAAGCTGCAATTTCAGGAGAAGTATACTATTGACAGTAAACTGGGATAAGCAGAGCCCCATAGTAGGACACTAACCCAACGTGGCCAGTGGTCTCTCCCAATAACATTATCATATCTAAGGGATCATGGAAAACAGGACAGATCTAAGATAATCTTCATATCTGGAAAACTCTTAGATAATCAGTGAAACACAGCAGTACAGTCAGGAAATATCTCTAAGGGGTAGATGAGCATATTGGTCAGAACAGGGACACCAGCTGGTGGCTAAAGTTACTGGAAAATGGGGCTCAGCACCCCATGAGAAGTGCTTTTCAAAAATTAGGAAGAGTCAGCCAGGCGTAGTGGTGCGTGCCTGTAATCCCAGCTACTTGGGAGCTGAGGTGCGAGGATTGCTTGAGCCCAGTTAAAAGACCAGCCTGGGTAACATAGCAAGACTCCATCTCAAAAAAAAAAAAAAAAAAAAAATTAAGAAGAGTGAGTAAGACCCAGCCTAGTTAGTCAACAGGTTTAGTTCCCAGCTAGAACAGACCAGAGAAGAGTGAATGGACTAGGACCAAATCTGTCACCCTCTCACCCTCCCACCTCCACCCCCTCCAGCTGAAATGACAGATTCATTTTAGCATAGAAAGGTAATTGGGTATAATCTGAATAATAACCATCAAAATATAATACATCTGTTAATGATGAAAGCCAGAAAGTAATGTTTAAAATCAGACAGTGTATTCAAACCACTGTGTTCTTTGCCAACAATAATAGTGACTGAGGGTAATTTTACATTTGTCTCGTTTTTTAAAAAGAATAAAACTTAAGCAGTTATTAAATATGTGGATGACCAAAGCTAGACCAAATAATCTATTAAGCTCTAAATAATAACCTGTTATTTTGCTTTACTAATCATTTTTGTGCATATATTTGTCTTGGGGATTTCATCATAAGAAGTAATTGTGGCAGTCTAAGAGCTAGGCATTTTTGTGTTCTTGGCAAATTTATTAAACAGTCATAGTATAAAAATCCATCAGAATAAGTTGCTCATAAGATCACTTTCTCAACACATTTGTTCCCCATATTTTAGAAAAGGCGACGGCGGATTGACAGAAGTATGATTGGAGAGCCCACAAACTTTGTGCATACAGCTCATGTTGGATCAGGAGACCTGTTCAGTGGAATGAATTCAGTAAGTATGTTGGTGGGACATGCAGGTAGGGCATTGGGGCATAGTCATATGAAACCTGTGTGACAGGCACAAGCATTTTTAATAGCATTATGCTAAATGAATTTGTGTACAGTGAATGTAAATACATAATATGAGCATAGAAGAGAGAAGCAAACTACTGATGAAAAATTAATCTCTTTGAATTTCCTGGATTAGGTATTTGTTTCTGTTTCTTGTACGCAACTCTTCATAGCTGCCTTTGTCCCGAATAAATACTTTGAAACTTGAAAGGATTTGAGTTCAGAATGGAGGTTAATATCCTATTGATTCTCTTGCTCCCACCAAAGAGACTTGGATATCAGCCTTTTTAATAATAATCTCTTTTTGTTCTTTTAAGTTCAGTTAGTTGCCTTTTGCACACATTTTTATTGCTTTACTTTATAAACCAGTGGTCTCCAACCTTTTTGGCACCAGGGACCAGTTTCGTGGAAGACAGTTTTTCCATGGGGGAAATGGTTTTGGGATGAAACTGTTCTACCACAGTTCATCAGGCATTAGATTCTCATAAGGAGTCCACAACCAAATCCTTGCATGTGCAGTTCGCAATAGGGTTTGTGCTCCTATGAGAATCCCATGCCATCACTGATGTGACAGGAGGCAGAGCTCAGGCGGTGATGCTCACTTGCAGCTGCTCACCTCCTGTTGTGCAGCCCGGTTCCTAACAGGCCACTTCTGGTTTTGGGACCCCTGTTATAAACTATTCATCTTTACCTGGTAATATTAGAATGTTGGTGATTTATTTACTCTAAGTTCTCATGCACTAAGCATAGGATTAGAATTTTCACATATCCCTTTAGGGCAAGGCAGTAAAAATTTGTCACATTTGCCAGTAGGATGTGAAGAACCAGAAATAAGATTTATTCGCTGTCTTTTAATAGAGGTTTCAGTGAGTTTCAGAATAGGCTTTAGATCTACTCAGCTGACCTTTTAGTCCTTAATTTTTGTTGAAGAGAAAACCAGAATGCATTATAATAGAAGCAGCACCAAATGCGGGTTCTTATCAGAGTTGTTCCTCACATTTGCCTTAAAGCAGGCCACTGAGTTTCAACAGACTGACTCTTTTCCCCATGCCTAAAGTAAACAAGTATAAATGATCCCTAAAGTGTTCAAAACCAGAAAGGATTTTATAAACATAAAATTATGATCCACTGTATACCAACTTACTAGACAGCATTAACAAAAGACTTAACAGGGACTTTAAAAATAGGTAGATGGGTATCCTGGATACAGCAACGACGTTTGTCACTGCAGTTACTAGGTAAGCAAAGGAATGACATTTGAACCTTGCCGGAAAGGAAACAGCTTGTTTGTTTTAAATCCGTAGGAAAAGTACTTTGTTTCACTTGACTGCTTTGTGGAAATGCAAGAGGTATCATGTTGCTGTCAAAACAGTCAGTAGTTTTGTTTCCTGCATCAACATAGAGTGAAAAGACTAAATGAGGCCCTATTACTTTTATTAATATGGTTACTATAATAAAGAGAATGGGTAGTTTCAAATTTGTTATATATGATGAATTTTAATTTCTCTCTCATCAACAGATGTTGTCTCTGCCACCTCAGATTTTTAAAAAATCCAACTATAAGGCCAGGCACGGTGGCTCACGCCTGTAATCCCAGTACTTTGGGAGGCTGAGGCAGGTGGATCATCTGAGCTCAGGATTTCAAGACCAGCCTGAGCAATGTAGTGAAACCCTGTCTCTACCAAAAATACAAAAAAATTAGCTGAGTGAAGTAATGTGCACCTGTGGTTCCAGCTGTTTGGGAGGCTGAGCGGGGAGGACTGCTTGAACCTGGGAGGGGGGAGGTTGCAGTGAGCTGAGATCATGCCTCTGAACTCCAGCCTGGGTGACAGAGTGAAACCCCATCTTAAAAAAATAAATCCAACCGTATAGGAGGAATTAAATTTTAGTTCGTGGCATTTAAAATCTTATGTACATTTCGGAATTTCCTTTAAGATTCCTCCTTGAATGAAAAACCTGTCATTGGCTTACTATTTTTTTGCTTCTCATAGTTTAGGTAGAACTTTAGGACTGTACTTTGCAGGGCTTGCACACCTGCCTCTTAATCTTAGATGCAGGATTGAGATGGGACTTTAGCTGTGGTAGAGTTTCTACCTTGCTGTCTCCAGGCAGCCTTCTCTGCTACTGAAGTGGACTTTTTATGAAGTATTTCAGCCCTTTAGAGCTAAATGTGCTTCCCAAATGTGTTCTATAGTTATTTCGTATTTGAGTTTGCTATCTCTAAAGCAATATTCAGCATCCATCCCACTGTCACAGAGCACTGTGTTCTTGCTGCTAGGAATGGTGTTGTTCAATTAGTAACTTTTTTTTTTGAGACAGAGTCTCGCTCTGTCACCCAGGCTGGAGTGCAGTGGTGCAATCTCAGCTCACTGCAACGTCTGCCTCCTAGGTTCAAGCAATCCTGTCTCAGCCTCCTGAGTAACTGGGATTACAGGCTCCTGCCACCATGCCTGGCTAATTTTTTGTATTTTTAGTAGAGCGGGGTTTCACCATGTTGGCGAGGCTGGTCTCAAACTCCGGACCTCCGGTGATCCACCCACCTCGGCCTCCCAAAGTGTTGGGATTACAGCCATGAGCCACCACGCCTGGCTGAGTAACTTTTCTTGAAAGTATCATTGATAGTACTGATTTGATGAGCCTGACTCTGTGAGAAAAATTATGTTCTCCTATGCAATGCAATAATAAATAAGAAGAAACCATAAATAGACATGCTGTTTATTCAAATAAAAGAACTGAGCAGCTAGTATTAGGAATGTGGCTTGACGCATATGAAACAGGCTTGCCTAAACTATATTATTGAATGGTTAGATGACTTGTAATTTCTTTTTTCTTCTAAATATATTATTCTTCTACCTTTACTTAGTGTAAAAGACTCTTTTCTACTACCCTCTTTCCAGAAAAGATTTCCGTTACCCGTTCAGTAATACAACCTTGCGTTAAAATATTGTATATTCACAGTCACAATAATACATTGTCTCAACACTGAAAGATTACTTATTAAAGTTACTTAATAAAGGTTACTTAAGATAAACCAAATCTTTTAAATTGAAGAATTGACTTTTGGAGAAAAATACTTTTTTTTTCTTAGAATCTGCTTGGCATTATTGAATGCACAATGTAAAAACAAACAAAGATTTTGTGTTTGGTTGGTTTTGGGCTTTTTTGATGCAGAGTCTCATTCTGTTGCCCAGGCTGGAGTGCTTACTGCAGCCTTGACCGCCTAGGCTCAATCGATCATCCTGCCTCAGCCTCCCCCAGTAGCTGGGACTACAGGCCTGCACCACCATGCCCAGCTAGTTTTTGTATTTTTTTTGTAGAGATGGGGTTTCGCTATGTTTTCCAGGCTGGTCTCAAACTCCTGGGCTCAAGTTATCTGCCTACTTCGAACTCCCATAGTGTTGGGATTACAGCTGTGAGCCACTGTACCTGGTCATAAAGATGTTTTTTAAGCCAGGCCTAAAATATCTATAAAAGCTAACATGCCATGTTAAGTGGAAAATTACTTGGTATCAGGTTTGTGCCACATAACTTAATGTTAGTTACCATAAAGGGGAAGATGACGAATTTGAACTGGTATCATATGACAGGCCCTAGCCTCTTCACACTGCATTAACTGAGCAAGTTTATGTTTAAAAAACAAACAAACAAAAATATAGATTTCTTCTTACACTCTTACCTGAAGGTAGTCATTTTATTAATCTGACTATTATAGCAATACCTTATAATGTGATGTCATACGAATAAGATGTTCCATGTAAGTAAATTTCCAGGTTAGTAAAAATGTCCCCATTTAAGAGCAAAACACATTTTCTCATTAAGACTCTCTTGATCTAAATAAGCTATGCATTTTCTGTTTTGCCATTATGTTCTTTTACAGTATATATTGAAACCTGACTTACTCAAAAAATGAGTTAGACAAGTCTTACTTTAAATATATTGACTCAGAATCACCAGTGGAAAGCACCTCACCCTTCATGCCTTATGTTACAGTAGGTGCTCAGTAAGTATTTGATAAGCAGGTGACTGATAAATAGATGATGCCCCGGTTCCTTCCAAATTGTGGAAGTGTGCAGGGCCCTTTGAGCTGATTCCATGAAATAAATACTCGACCACATTGCTAGTGCTCTCTCTCCACTAGTTAGGCCATCACCTCCAAAATCATATTGCTTGTGTTCCTTCTTCTAGCAGTCTAGCCTGACTCTCCAATTCTCTGCTTCCAGACTGCTTCTAATTTATATGAACTAAGACTGGAATAATAATGATATGCTAAAAGTACTTCACAGTTTGCAAATGACTTTATGTGCCTTTGTTTCAGCAAAAAGAAAATATCCCAATTTTCATATATCTTGCACTCTATCAGGAAACAGCCCTGCAATGTGGTCGGGAGAGATTACCATCTTAACCCTTTTACAGATAAGAAGCCTGATACTCAGAGAGGATAAATAGTTTACCCAGTTACAATATTAATAAATAAACTGGGACTATATCTGTCTTTGGATTCTTTGATTCTTTTTTATCAGGCTATATTAACATGGTACATTTTTTGACACAGACTTTTAAGATTTATCTTTGGTTGGTCCAATTTTATTCATGCTTATTTTCTTGGTTTTGATTCTTTACTAAGTAATTGAGGTGATTATATATGTGAGATATCTGTAAATTAAGATACTTGAGGTTGAGAAACAAAGTGGAGTTGATCGGCCGGGTGCGGTGGCTCATGCCTGTAATCGCAGCACTTTGGGAGGCCGAAGCAGTCGGATCACTTGAGGTCAGGAGTTCAAGACCAGCCTGGCCAACATGGTGAAACCTAAAAATAGAAAAATTAGCTGAGTGTGGTGATGTGTGCCTGTAATCCCAGCTACTAGGGAGGCTGAGGCAGGAGAATCATTTGAACCTGGGAGGTGGAGGTTGCAGTGAGCTGAGATGACGCCAGTGCACTCCAGCCTGGGCAACAGAGCGAGACTGTCTTAAAAAAAAAGAAAGTGGAGTTGATCTATATATTTTTGACCATTTTTCAAATGTTACCAAGTGCCTTGTGAATTACAAAACTGACTTTTGTAATTTGGAAATAGAGAAAATAGGGGTTTTTGCAAAAAATGTTTCAGTTGCTAGCCTCCCTGTTTGTCCTTATAACTAGAAAATTGTTTGTCTATAAAAAAATTTTTGTCTATAAAAGTACCCTTCTGAAAAAAGCAGCCCAAATAAAATTCTGGGAAAAGAATTACTTAGTTGCACCGGACCTACTTCCTGACTTCCATTTTGTTTTGTTGTATTTTTGTCTTGTTTTAGGTTAGCTCCATTCAGAACCAAATGCAGTCCAAGGGAGGTTATGGAGGTGGAATGCCTGCCAATGTCCAGATGCAGCTCGTGGATACGAAGGCGGGATAGCCCTGGTCCTTTCTCCAGTGAGTACTCAGAGCTGGGGTCTGGACCTGACGGCCAGACATGGCCAGGCCAATAATAGTAAATATATGTATATATATATAATTTTTTAATGGTGAACTTATTGGGAAAGGCAAAATTACTCAGCTAAGTGTAGTTTCTGCACTTGGAATGTAAGTTTTAGGTTCTTTTCCTTATTAAGAACTTTAAATACTTTAAAACATCTGGTTGGGGAGGATTCTGATGACAAGATGCTTCTTATGTGTCCTTTAAACAAGAGTGAAATCATTATTTTGAGTATTGAGGCCGAGCATGGTGGCTCACACCTGTAATCCCAGCACTTTGGGAGGCCTAGGTGGGCTGATCACCTGAGGCCAGGAATTGGAGACTAGCCTGGCCAACATGGTGAAACCCCATCTCTACTAAAAATACAAAAATTAGCTGGGCATGGTGGCGCATGCCTGTAATCGCAGCTACTCAGGAGGCTGAGGCACGAGAATTGCTTGAACCTGGGAGGCAGGGGTTGCAGTCAGCTGAGAATGCGCCACTGCGCTCCAGCCTGGGTGACAGAGCAAGACCCTGTCTCAAAAAAGTACTGATACTAAAGATAATCTCTTGGGTAGTAATTTTACAGTTAAGACTTCATTGTTTATAAACTTTTCAAATTAATTAAAAAGACTACTTTGAAAAAGGATAAACCCTGAAAATGTAGAAATAATTTCAAGTTTTTTTTTGTTTTATAGGGTTATTGTGAATTTCTATATTTTCTCTGTCCACTATTCTGTAATTTTTTTTTGTCCTGTGATTGCTTTTATTTTGAATTACAAAAAAGAAGTGTGATGGCACCTTGTCCACCCTGTCGTGATTATTCCAGTGAGATGTTACTGTTCTGCTCTGAAGAAGATACTGTCAGACGAATCCTGCATTTCCTTCAGCTGGCATGCATGCCTTTGGACTCATGGACAGAGTTCTTTGGATTGTCACTGAATTTTCAATGTTTAATCAGTATGGATCTGATCTTCGCATGATCTTTTTTGTGAATGCTAACACCATTTTGCAGTTTTTTTTTTCTATTTTAAACATTTTTCTTTTCACTGCCGACCCCCTGCCTTACGATTTTATTGGAAAGCAAGGACCTGCTATTATTTGTTAATTTGCCATCATTTATGTATATTTTGGAAGGTATGAGACCCACAAGCACAATGATCATTTTTATTTGTTTGTTTGTTTGAAACTTCAGCAGAATAGATATCTGCATGCTTTATGAAGTTGTTGCTTCGGTAAGAGCCCATGGGATGCCAGAAATTAACATTTCTTTGCTGCCATGGGCTGATGATGCTGCTATTAGATAAAGTTTAGCTGTGGCACCAAGTCACATCATTTTCATAGAAAAAGATTACTTGTAGCTTATTTTAGAAGTATGACCTTTTGGTCTGTTTGATTGATTGATTAGAATTGCAATAAAAGAAAAGCTTGCATTCATAAGGCATTCATTCTGTTGTAAATGTTCAATATATTTATTTTGAGAGCAAGGACCTGTGGTTGTAAACAGGTGTGGTTACAGGTGTGGTTATGTATCTGAGTGTTGCGGTCATACTCTCCTCCAGTCCAATCCTGAGCATCTTCATCTTATTAATTAGCTGTTCGTTTCTTTGTGCACTCATTCTTTTATTTTTACTTCTTTTTAATGTTATGGTATCCAGTTGTTTCCAGTAGCAGTTTCTTGAACTTCTGGCCTGTACTACTAACTGCAGACCTCCAGAGTCACTGGCCTTTCTGTGCTCTACATATTATTTTAGGGGCCACATCAGTTGCCAAGAGCAACATACATACCGACCTGGCTGAATTATTGCCAGTGAAAACAACCTGTACGAAGCCTTTGCTCAGGTTCTAAAATATGTTTGTCCTTGCACGAATTTTGTATATTTCAAATATTTCTGTAAAGGTTTCTTCTTTTCTGTTAGAGTGTGGTGTTAAGCCAGAGTCAGTGGTTTGTGTTCTCATTAAAATGTTTGTTTAAATCCTATGTCCAATTCAAGCCTATCTAACTACATTTGGTAGGATTAACATTTCATATAACAAATGGGGCTTAATTAAAAACTTTAACTTGGAATAAAGGAACAGGGATCACTTTATCTTCTGCCTTCATTTACCTTAGTCCAAGATTCTTGCAAAACAGGCAACTGAACAAACATTAGGTTTATGTAGGTAAAATGTGAAAGCATTTCTCCTCCACTTTTTAAAATTTAATTTACCCAGTACAGCGGGGCACCAGATTACTTGATCTTTGTATTTTGCAGTTTTGAGCCTTTGTGTCAATCCCAAGCACAGAGAGGATCTGCCAAGGAAAAACATTTGCATCTTCGGAGTAGACATTTTGCAGTTTGTTTAATAACAACTTCTAAAGTAAGTTGAATTCATCCATTGTCACTGATTCACCAAGTGGATGTTGCATTGTGGAATTTGCCTGAGTACTGTTGTCATTCTGCTCAGCCAGGCACGGTCAGTTTCTTGGCCAGGGACATTGCTATGTGCTGTGTGCAAGCTCTTTAGAAGAGAGATTGGATTTTCTTGGCATTATCAGCACTCATGCTATTTAGTCTACTTCTATTTTGACTGACTCTTTAAATTAGTACAATTTTTCTACTTGTCATATAACTCCTGGAACAATAGTACGGGAAGCCGTGATCCTTTTCCCTGACTCATGATTTTAGTCTTTTTCCAAATCGCTGTTTTTTTTTTTTTTTTTTTTTTTTTTGCTGCTCCAACGACCAGCATGTGTTGGAGCAGATCTCCATGGTAAGCCAAAAGTGGACTTGTCAGCCTATAACTACTCTGCAGCTGCCACTAACTCTACAGGCACAGTAACTACACTTTATACAGGAGCACATGCCAAAGTGCCTGGGAGGTGCCAATAAAATCAAGAAATAAGAAAACTACAAAAAAAGATACGGTATTAACCTTGGACATAATTTTTTTTAGGGAGGCAGCTTTCCCACTTTTATAAAGGGGGTTGTAAATCTCAAGAGGTCATTTGTTCCCCATAGCAGCATATCTCATTTTTAAATTGAAGCGAATTAAATAGGATTTTACTACTCAACATTCATTATACTGTTAATCTTTGCTGAAATATATGCTAACAAATGTTAAGCAAGGGAAACTGAAGACTTAGTCATGTGGATTGTTAGCAGTGATCTGCATTCTGTAAAAGAGGTACTTTCCCATGATGTAGGCATGAAGTGGTGCCAGTAAGCGTAGAGCGGAAATGTTGACTTTAGTTAACATTGGGTTTAGCATTTCCAGTGCAGCATTATCAGTGGGCCTTTAAAAATACTTCGTAAGTACATTAGCTTTCACTTTGTTGTTAAATTATAGCAGACTCATTATAGAGAACAAGTTTGCCTTGATTTTGTTTAAAATGACTTCTGCTAAGCACCCAGAAGATAAAATTGACATATTTTTATAATATAAGCATACTTTTTTTGTACATTGTGTTCATTCTTGAATAAAATGAGTTCTGTGTTGGCTTGTAGATACTAAAAAGAAAGTATTGATTTTGATTCAATAAATGTTTTCTTTCAATCCTGGTTGGCCTTTCCTTTAAATTTTGTTTAGTTTTTCTTTTCTTTCAAGGAAGGAATTATTTACCAGAATTCAGTTAGAGCACCTTTTTTGCATTCTTATATTTTCAGTCATGATTCCTATCATGCAAAAAACAACTTAAAACTTTTTGATTTAAAAGAGAATTTAAATTTCTATCATTGTAATCTTTAACTTCACAGTTCACCTCTTAATTTAACAAATACCTAGTCAGAATGAAAATTAAATGGATAGAAATAGGACTAATAAAACATTTATGCCTGGTGCAGTGACTCACAACTGTAATCCCAGCTCTTTTGGAGATGGAGGTGGGTGGATAGTTTGAGACCAGCCTGGACAACATGGTGAAACCCTTTCTGTAAGTTTTTATTGCCTATCAACCACATGATTTTTAACAGAGGTATCAGATATCTACACAGCTTTCCATGATGAAGCATCTTGTCCTTATAGTATATGTAGGACTTAATTAAAATGAAATTAAATTAAGAATTCTCCTCATACTTAGCCACATTTCAGGTGCTTAGCAGTGTCATGTAGTGATCAGCTGCTGTATTAGGAAGTTATAGACTATTTCCACCATCACAGTTTGGGGAGTTAGTTTGTAGTTTGCCTCTAAAATGGTTTATGACACTGGTTCCCATAGGGAGTGATTTTGCTCCCCATGGAGACATTAGAGCAATGTCAGGAGACAGTTTTGGTCATCACAGCTTGAGGAGGGGGTGGTGCAGGCTCTGGGGAGTGGAAAGTAGGGATGCTGGTAAATATGCTGTGATGTACAGGACAGCCCCCACCACAAAGATTGATTGGGTCCAAAATGTCCGTGCCACAGCTAAAACCTGTTTTAAGACAAAGAAGATCTCTACGTCTGCATACTCACCAGGTGTAACCTGTTAGGGACTCTTCGTTGCATTAGATCATGTGCACAGGTAAGTGAGGTGTTCTGCTGGTCGAATACTGAGAATAGGTGAGTTAGGTTTTGTTTTATGAGAATTGCCACAAAACATTCTAAAAACAGAAAAGACAAATATTAGGAAAGACTATTTCAAAACTTCTGGTAACTTTTGTCCTTATCCCATATCCAAAGATTCTAAAAAGAAATTGGCTTAAAATGAAGTTCTTTGCAAAATAAAATTCTGACAATCCCAACTATGAAAAAGTATCTGAAGAAACTGATGTTGGTAGACCAAGAGCAATTACATTGTGAGCTTATGTTTTTAAAGGATATGCATAAAATGTTGAAGGAGGGGCACATAACCACAAAAAGAAATATCTATAAAATAATAGAGTATCAGAGTCTAGAAATTGCTAATATTTATGAAGACGCAAACATCTACAAAATTGATAAAGACGAAGGAAATTCTGTGCCCTCGGCTTAAAGTACACTATACACAAACTTAAAAGAAGTCATTGAAACTTTACCTTCTACTTGTCTCCATCTAGAATGGTCCAGTAAGAATGAAACCATTAAATTACTCATCTTCATCTGACTTTTTATGTTGTAGCACCTTAACTTTTGGTTTTCATAGTGTTTCTCAGACTATGAGGGTTTGCCTTTGATACCTTGTCCCAGGATTCCTTGAGCCCTGGAGTTCAAGGTTACAGTGAGCTTGACTTACGATGGTGCCTCTGCACTTCAGCCTGGGTGACAGAGCAAGACCCTGAATCTTTGAAAAAATAAAAGTGTTTTTCAATGAGCTGCTCCATCTATGCAGGAAGGAAAAAAAAAACTTTATTGTAGATATATGCAACCTCTAGGCTCATTTTGACCCCTACCTCATCTTTTTAATGCCCATCATCTTAATGTTGTATCTGGTTTGCCTTTGATGCCTAGAAGAAGAAAAAAATCTTTGCATTTACTAAAGAAAACAGTTACTCCCTGAGTAAGATCAAGTGTTTGATCTGGGACCTTATAAGGAAGTTCTCAAAGAATGGTGATCTTGGTATTGAAGAAAGCTGATTTTCATCTCATTAGAAGGTAATCTTTGCAGAAAAGTAAAGCCGGTGCTTCATTCTAACCCCCAGATTTTCTATTTTGTAAATCCAAGCTATGGAGTTCATTAGAGCTTTTACAACTCACTAGAACTCATGAGTTCAGTAGCTTTAGACAGTTAAATGCAGCTGAGAACCTGCCTTGGGGGCCCAGAAAGAATTCCTAGGCTTATGGGAATGTTTTTTGTTTTGTTTTTCTCCCTTAAAGGAGCAGCAAGCAAGTAACACACTTCTTTCAAAATCTTCAGAGCCTCACCTAGTTACCTATTTCTTAACCATTGCTTTAAGTTATATAAACATATTCATCCTTTTTATGTCTGTGTCTTTCAAATAAATATGTAAGCTGGCAGAGTCCTTTGCCTTAGACACCACGCCTTCCCCCAGAGCCTCCGCTGCTGCTGTGCTCTCCCGCAGGGCTTCATCTGCTGGGCGCTGCTTCCTTAGGGAGTATGTAAAACATTTCAGCTGCTGTTTCTGGGTTTCTGCAAAAAACTGTTTTTACTTTTCAGAAATACTGCAAAGGAAGTAAAAACCACTCTGCTTCTGTCTTTTGGCAAAACCACCCAGATTCCAAATGGGGTAATTTTAAGTTCAATCTCTTTCCAATGTCCATAATGTCCATTGTGTCCTATTATCATTTTTCACAAGTGTATGTAGGTTTTGCTCACCTGATTTTCTCTGGATAGGTACAGCGTAAGTGTACCTAATAAGGGACTCGACTGTCCCTCTCTAAATGCAGCCACATCCAATCTGTGCACAATGGAATTAAGGCCACAGACCATCTAAGCCAATAGCATAGAAGGATCTGTTACTCCTAAAACCAGAAACAGAAACAAGCAGTCCTTTGTCCCTTCTTCCCTCTTTTCAATCTGATATTCCTATAGGAAACTAGTATGATCAGATAGACATTTTAGAAAAGTATCAGCTGGGCATGGTGACGCATGTCTGTAGTCCCAGCTACTTTGGAGGGTGAGGCAGATGGATCACTTGAGCCCAGGACTTGGGTCCATCCTGGGCAACATAGCAAGACCCTATCTCTTTTAAAAAAAGAATCTAAGGGTTGGACACAGTGGTTCACGCCTGTCATCCCAACACTTTGGGAGGCCGAGGTGGGCAAATCACAAGGTCAGGAGTTCGAGACCAGCCTGGCCAACATGGTGAAACCCCATCTCTACTAAAAATACAAAAATTAGCCAGGCTTGGTGGTGCACATCTGTAATCCCAGGTACTCAGGAGGCTGAGGCAGGAGAATCGCTTCAACTCAGGAGGCGGAGGTTGCAGTGAGCCAAGATCGTGCCACTACACTCCAGCCTGGGCGACACAGTGACACTCCGTCTCAACAACAACAAAAGAATCTAGGAAATATTCATTCTACTGTGAAGGACACAGTAGAGGGTCAGGCAGTCCAATCTGTGATTAACGGGAGTTTTACAAAAAGCAAGGAAAATGCTCTTCAGAGGAAAAAGATTTTAAAAAAAAGTCTCTTGAAATTTCAAAAAATTTGTTTTTACATTTATACTTTCTCACTTCACAGCCCTCAAGGACGTTTTGTTCTGAAGACTCTCATATTCAGCTCTGGGAAATAATTATTTCTCTGATTATCCCTTCAACTTTTGAAGATTACCAGATTTCTCAACAGCAATACTGTGGTCTGGAATAAAAGGGGGCACTTCCCTCAGACTTTGGAGAAGACATTATTTTGAACTAGAATTCTGTCTACAGCCATACTCTCAATGAAGTAAGATGGCAGAATAAAGATGATTACACTAGCAATGAATGGCTTTACTTTCCACACACCCATCCTGAAAACACTCTGCAAGAATAGAGAACAAATCCAGTAATAAAATTAAATCTCAGGATTTCTAGGTCTGAAGCCAACCTAGAAGGCATTCTATCCAAATTAGAACAAACAATGAGAGATTTTTAGAACAACTGTTTACAAGAAGCATGATTAAATGGATACCATTCAATAGCAGGAAGATACCATGCATTCAAAACATTTTTTATCGAGCATTATGTGCCCAGGTACTGTTTAGACACTGAGGATACAGCAGTGAACAAATTTCTTAAGCCTCCAAGAGTTTTTATTCTAGTGGGGGGATGCAGAAAGACATTAAGCCAAATAAAGTGAATTATGTAACAGATTAGAAAATGGTAAGTGCTCTGGATAAATAACTGGGGATGTAGGAGAGGAATTGTAGTTTAAAATATCACCGTGCTGAGACAGTGACATTGAAGCTGAGATGTTAGTAATATAGTTAACACATTGTGTTAGGCCTTCTTGCATTGCTATAAAGAAATACCCAAGGCTGGGTGATTTATAAAGAAAAGAGGTTTAATTGCCTCACGCTTCTGCAGGCTTTATAGGAAGCATGGTGCTAGCACCTGCTCAGCTTCTGGGGCATCACATGGCCAGAGCATGAGCAAGAGAGAGAGTTGTGGGGGAGGTGCCACACACTTTTGTTTTTTTTTTGAGATGGAGTCTTGCTCTGCTGCCCAGGCTGGAGTGCAGTGGTGCAATCTCAGCTCACTGCAACCTTCGCTTCTTGAGTTCAAACGATTTTCCTGCCTCAGCACCTGAATAGCTGGAACTATAGGCACGTGCCACCACACCTGGCTAACTTTTGTATTTTTAGTAGAGGCGGGGTTTCACCATGTTGGCCAGGCTGGTCTCCAACTCCTGACCTCAGGTGATCCACCTGCCTCGGCCTCCCAAAGTGCAGGGATTACAGGCATGACCACCGCACCTGGTCAGGTGCCACACACTTTTAAATGACCAGATCTCACAAGAACTCATTATTGCAAAGACAGCACCAAGCCATGAGGGATCTGCCCCAATGACCCAAACACCTCCCATCAAGCCCCACCTCCATCATTGGGAATTACAATTCAACATGAGATTTGGGTGGGGACAAATATCCAAACTGTGTCATACATTTTACCATCAACAAACAAAAAGGAAAGACAATTCTAGATAGGTTTGTCTAAACCAAAAACAGGTCCAAAGATATAACATGATTTTGAGCAATTACTGCGTGTACTCCAAGTGCCTAGAACAGGATGGGCCATGCAGAAGGCACTCAGTAAATATGTTCTGTAAAATTTAAGAAAGGAAATGTCATCTGAGAGGGATGACTTTAGAGACAAATATTGCATTTCATTTAGCGCTCATCACATATCTTGTTTGTACAGTGCATTATAAATATATTTAAACACCTTTTAAGTGAAAGCATAAAATACTATAGCCACAGAACAAAATGTAAATTTTAGAAAACAAAATTCAGAAGATGGTATAGGGTTAAAGGAATGGAGGGGAATATAACTGTCAATCTCCTTTATATACATATTCAGAACTCATGAACTCTCTATACATGTTATGTTTAAAATTATCATTTGAAGTTCTAACAGATGAGATATTTAGATGTAAAAATATAACAAAAACTGGAAGGAGGAGGACAAGGATTCTGTTACAAGCCCCATCTTTTGGTGCATAAAATCATTTGCATAATTCAAAGTTGATGAATCAAGAAATGAAGTTATACTTACGTTATTTAAAGGAAGTAACCCTCAGAAGACTTCAAAAGACAAATGGCTACAAGTGGTTATCCTTAGGAAGTGGGAATGGGGTTTGGGAAGTGGATAAGGAGACTTTTAATTTCATGCCATACTATACTATTTGCATTTCACTCCCTTTATCCTACTAATTTTATTCAGTAATATAAAACAAAATAACAATATGTTTTAAACAAGAAGGATTAGGGGGGTGACATTCAGCAAGATGGCAGATTAGGAAGCTCCAGGCTCGTTTCCCCATGGAAGCACTGTATAGACAATATTCAGACCAAAATATCTTGTAAAAACTCTAGAAACCAGCTAAGAAGCTGCGGCAACCAAGTGAATGTCTAAACAAGAACAAGACATACGCAAAGTTATAGGAAATTTCATGAAATTTTGGTCACTTTTATTCCACCGCTTCCCTGGTGCAGCATGGTATTGTCAAAGGAAACTGCCTCAGTCCCAGTTTCTCCCTTGGGACTAAAGGAAAAAGGTGGAGCTTGCTTGTAACTTTCTAGCTTGTCTGAGGGCTGCTTAAGGGACTAGTTTCTGTCTTTCCTGACTCAGAGTACTGATAGGAACAGTGACATACTTTGGACACATGGTTAGAGGCTGCAAAGCCGAGGGGGAGTGCTCTGGAGAACTAGAATAGCAGGCAGCTCCCAGATCCATGGATGCTTTGGGGCAATAGATGACAAGAAGAGGAATGCAAGTGACACCTAAGTACAATACAAGTAAACACAAGTAATACAAAAATAACACACACACATGGTCCCAGGGAAGACACAGCCCCAGAAGAGACTTGAGAAGACTTGAGCCTTTAAGCTAGGCTGATTAGTGAAGATATTCCCCTGCACAAAGCCAGCTGGTAAAGACTGGGAGAGGCGGATGTTTCTTCAAATAACCACATCTCAAAAAGAGATCACAAGGTGTACACAGAAACAATGAAACACAGTCTATTCAAAGGTACAAAATAAATCTCCAGAAATCAGTCCTAAAGAACACAGACCTCTGACTTACTTGACAAAGTATGTAAACAACTGTCGGGCTGGGTGTGGTGGCTCACACCTGTAATCCCAGCACTTCGGGAGGCTGAGGCTGGTGTATCACTTGAGGCCAGGAGTTCAAGGCAGCCTGGCCAATGTGGTGAAACCCTCTCTCTACTAAAAAATACAAAAATTAGTTGGGCATGGTGGCACGTGACTGTAGTCTCAGCTACTTAGGAGGCTGAGGCAGAAGAATTGCTTGAACCTGGGAGGCAGAGGTTGCAGTAAGCCAAGATTGCGCCACTGCACTCCGGCCTGGGTGACAGAATGAGACTCTGTCTCAAAACAAAACAAAAACACCACAAGTATCTTAAATATGTGCTCAGTAAGCTAAAATAGAACACAACTTAATAAAATTAGGAAAACAATTTATGAGCAAAATGAGAATATTAACAGATAATTTTTTTTTTTTTGAGACAGAGTTTCTGTCGCCCAGGCTGGAGTGCACTGGCGCGATCTCAGCTCACTGCAAGCTCCGCCTCCTGGGTTCAAGCAATTCTCCTGCCTCAGCCTCCCGAGTAGCTGGGATTACAGGCATGTGCCACCGTGCCCAGCTAATTTTTTTTTTGTATTTTTAGTAGAGATGGGGTTTTACCATGTTGGCCAGGATGGTCTCGATCTCTTGACCTCATGATCCCCACCTCGGCCTCCCAAAGTGCTGGGATTACAGGCATGAGCCACCATGCCTGGCTGAGAAATTTTTTTAAAAGCCAGATTCTGGAGCTGAAAAATGCAATTGTTGAATTGAAAAATTCTCTAGAAGACTCGAAGCAGAAGGAATCAGCAAACTTGAAGACATGACATTTGAAGGTGCTGAATCAGGTACAAAAAGAATGAAGAAAAGTGAAGAGTTTCTAAGGGACTTAAGGGACACTATCAAGCCAACCAATATATACATTAAAAGGGTCTCAAACGGAAGAAAGAGAGAAAGGGGAAAAGACCTTATGTGAAAAATATAATGTCTGTAAATTTCCCAGCTTTGAGGAATGAAATGGAAATATAAATATGAGAGGCTCAATTAACAAGTAGGAGACCTACACTGAGAAACATTATAATCAAAAAGCAAAGACAAAGAAGAAATCTTGAAAGCAGCAAGTAAAATGCAATGCAAAATCCTGAACAAAATGCTAGTAAATAGATTTCAACAGCACATTAGAAGGATTACACACCATGACCAAGTGGGATTTATTCCTGGAATACAAGAATGGTTCAATATAGGAAAATCATTCAATATAAAGATACCACCATTTGCAGAATGAAAGAAAAACCCGCATAATCATTTCACGTGATGCAAAAAAAAAAAATCTGACAAAGTTCAACACCCTTTCACAATAAAAACATTCAAACTAGGAGAAGAAAATTACCTCAATGTAATAAATGCCACATATGAAAAGCCCACAGCAGACATCATACTCAATGGTGAAAGACTGTGAGCTTTTCCTCTATGATCAGGAACAAGACATGGTTGTCTACTTTCATGAGTTCTACTGAACAAAATACTGGAAGTCTTAGCCAGAGCAATTAGGCAAGAAAAAGAAATAAAAGGCATCCAGACTAGAAAAGAAGTTGTAAAATGATCTCTCTTCACAGGCAACATAATCTTATATGTAGAAAAATCCTAATTATTCCATTAGTCCTGACAACACCAAAAGCCTGTTAGAACTAATAAACAAATTCAGCAAGGTTGTAAGGTATAAAAATCAACAGGCAAAAAATTAGTTGTGTCATAACAATAAAAAACCTGAAAAGGAAATTAAGAAAACAATTGTTTGCATTAGCATCAGAAATTTAAAAAAAAATACCTAGGAGTACATTTAACCAAGGAGGCAAAAGACATGTATACTGAAAACTAACAGAATGTTACTGAAAGAAACTAAAGATGACATCAGTACATGAAAACACATACTGTGTTCTTGGATCGGAAGACTTACTGTTGTTAAACTGTTGATACTACACAAAGCAATCCACAGACTTAATGCAATTGGTATCAAAATCCTAATGGTGGCTGGGTGTGGCAGCTCATGCCTGTAATCTCAGAATTTGGGGAGGCCAAGGTGGGAGTATCGCATGAGGCCAGCAGTTTGAGACCAGCCTCAGCAACAAAGCGAGATCCCATCTCTACAAACAAAAATAAAAAATATTTAAAAAATCTTAATGGCATTTTTTGCAGGAAAAAACCAACCCATCCTAAAATGCATATGGAATCTCAAGGGACCCTCAAGAGTGAAAATAATCTTGATAAAGAAGAATGTTGGAAGAAAAAAGATTGTAAGTTTCATCCTTTGTAATTTTAAAACTTATTATAAATCTACAGTAATCAAAACAGTGTGGTACTGGTATAAAGACAAACATATAAACTAATATACAGAATAGAGAGTCCAGATATAAATCCTCCCATGTGTGGTCAAATGATGTTTGTCAAGGGTGCAAGGACCACTCCATGGAGAAAGGACAGTTTTGTTTCTTTACCCCCACAAATGGTGCTGGGATTAGATATCCACATGCAAAAGAATGAAGTCTAATTTTTACCTTATACCATATGTAAAAATTAAAACGGATTAAAGACCTAAACATTAGATTGAAAACTATAGAACTCCTAGAAGACAACATAGAGGGAACAATTTCTTGACATTGGATTTAGCAATGATTTCTTGGATATGATACTGAAAACACTGGAAACCAAAGTAAAAATACACAAGTTGGACTACCTCAAAATTTAAAACTTATGTGCATCAAAGAACATAATTAATAGAGTGAAAAGGCAACCTATGGAATGTGAAAATATATTTGCAAATCATATGTCTGATGAGGAGTTAATATCCAGAATACATAAAGAATTCCTACAAGTCAACAACAAAAAACAATCTGATTTAAAAATGGGCAAAGGACTTGAATAGACATTTCTTTGAAGATATATAGTTGGCAAATAAGCACATGAAAAGAGGCTCAACATCATTAATCATTAGGAAAATGCAAATCAAAATCATGAGATACCACCTTACACCAATGAGGATAGTTACTATGCAAACAAAACAACATTACAAGTGGTGTTGAGGTGTGGAGAAATTGGAACCCTTGTGCACTATTGGTGGGAATCCAAAATAATGCAACTGCTATGGAAAACAATAAGGAGTTTCCTCAAAGAATTAAAAATAGTACTACCATATGATTCAGCAATCTCACTTCTGGGTATATAACCAAAATAATTGAGCATAGGGTCTCAAAGAGATATCTGTACACCCATGTTCACAGCAGCATTATTCTCAATAACTAAGAAGTGGAAGCAACCCAAGTGTCCTTGACAGATGAATGGATAAACAAAATGTCGTTCATACATCCAATAAAATATTCAGCCTTAAAAAGAAAGGAAATTTTGACACATGCTACAACATGGATAAACCTTGAGGACAGTATTTCCAGTGAAATAAGCCACAAAGAGACAAGTATGATTCCACTTATATGAGGTATTTAGAGTAGTCACATTCACAGACACAGAAAGTAGAATGATGGTTGCCAAGGGAGAGGGGCAGTGGGGATTGTGGAGTTGTTTAATGGGTATAGAGTTTCAGTTTTGCAAGGTAAAAATGTTTTGGAGATTGGCTGCAAAACGTGAATGTCCTTAATGCTACTGAACTGTATACTTAAAAACGGTTAAGACAAGTACATTTTGTTATGTGCATTTTACCACATTTTAATGCCAAAAAACTCCCAAGCCCAAAAAACAAACCAAGAAAGACTAACACATGTACTGTTGTGGTGGGTTGTAGCCAGAGAGGGAGGTGAAAACCAGTGGGCAGTGATGGAGGGTTGCAGTGATGGAGGGTTGCAACTCCCATGAGAGAAACATGTTTGAGGCATTTATACACATTGAATAAACCCAAATACCAAATGATCTCTCACGTATATGTAATCCATAAAATCTCCTAGGACACTAGAGATAAAGCTGCTAGTCAGCACTGAGATTGTACAAGTGCAAAATGTAAGGAGAAACTTGACCTTGTGCTTGAACTCCTGCTTGTCAAGTTCTTCATTTCTCTGAAACCCTAGAGCTATAACATGCTAAAGCACTAACAAGCTTTAAAAGTAGTTATTTTTCTATCATTACCAAAAATACACAATTTGCATTTAAATTCTATTTGAGCTCATGGCTTCCTTGAGGATCAAAGAAATAGACCAGATGAGGCCAAAGAGCTCTTTCTGTTCCAGGAAGGACAGGACGGGGAAGGTAGAGTTGTGGTCCTGCCTGGGCCTGAGTAGACTCACTTACTACTTGGAGCAGACACTGAATGTGCTTTCTGGCCTTGGACCTCCCCAAAGCCCACAAGGTGTCTGCTGTGGCCTGGACCTTGGGGTAGGTACTGCTGCTAGATTGTTACTGGCATTTGGTAACTGCCTATTTTTAGTACTTATTTTCAAATTAAAAAATGTTTGAAGCCTTTCATTCTGAACCCTGTCCAGCCTACACTATTTGGTTTAAATAATACAACATCTTCCTAAGTTTCTAGGGCACAGAACACAGTGTTGGGTCTGGGCTCCTAATGAGCAAAAGATTTGAGGCTGCAGGCATTTTCCCCTCCAGCCAGGTGACAGCCAGGAAGACGGTCCCTGTAAGTCTAGCAGAGTAGCTTAGACTCCTCTTTTCTGCATCTGCCTCTCTGAGACCTATGTAAATGGCTGTCCCCTTTGAGACAACAGAGATAAGCACTGGCAGCAGGTAACTTACCAGACTTAACCCCAGTTCGTCATTCTGTCCTGTAAGAGTTCCTATGTTTCCCTGTCTTATAACAATTCCCCAAATCCATTTCTTTGGGCAACTATTGCTTCCCCAATCTGTGGGGTTCTGGTGGGCCTGCCAGTCACAGTAACCAGTTCTCTCCTCCCCACAGGTGTGTGCATGAGGGCAGGCTAGGGTGAGGCCTTCCCTGGAATTTCCAGCTTGTAGAGCGGGGTCAGTTCCTGTATGACCCCAGACACTTCACATAACTATAGCCCAGCACGTGAAGAAAACCTGCTGGTAATGGGGAAGGATAAGGCCAACAGACAGCTGAAATGACAAGTGGAGAGCAGGAAGGAGAGCTCAAGTGCCCTGGAGGTGTTGCATCCTGACCCTTGGGTGTTCCAGGGAATACCCAGTTATTAGCTCTTTGGCTTTGAGCAAGATATGTATCATCTCCAACCATCTGTTTCATAATCTATGAAACTGGGAGAGTAAAAGCTCTTTTCTAGGATGGTTGTGAGAATTAGATCACATAAGCAAAGCCCATGCCCATCACAGGACTTGTGTTTACTCAGCTCCTCCTGTGCCGGAACTTGCTGAGCTCCCCTCTCTCCTCCCTTGTTAGGCTGGGGCTGTAAAATAGAAATCTGGAACTAATAAAAGTCTAATGGCCAGGTGTGGTGGCTCACACCTGTAATCCCAGCACTTTGGGAGGCTGAGGCGGGTGGATCACGAGGTCAGGAGATCAAGACCATCCTGGCCAACATGGTGAAACCTCGTCTCTACTAAAAATACAAAAATTAGCTGGGCATGGTGGCGGGTGCCTGTAGTCCCAGCTGGTCAGGCGGCTGAGGCGGGAGAATCGCTTGAACCCGGGAGGCAGAGTTTGCAGTGAGCAAAGATTGTGCCACTGCACTCCAGCCTGGGTGACAGTGCGAGACTCCGTCTCAAAAAAAAAAAAAAAAAAAAGTCTACTGAATAAACCGATAATTGAACCTATTCTGGAAGTTCTACTTTGTGTTTTTTTCTTAAGAAGGAAAATGGAGATGGTAATTATGTGAGCATTTTTACCACCTGTTTCATCAGAAGCCTATGTTGCTGATTTTCTCTTTCACTAGTCCTTACAAATCCCCCATTTTATGAAACACCAAGGGCCTGAGGAACTTTCACAAGAGCAGCCTTCAGCTAGACTGAAGTGCCTGCCTGCCTTCAGATTATTCATTATGTCAGAGAGCTGCAAGAGGTGACTGGCAGACAAGAGAGAAAACTCTCTACTCAGTTCACAAACTGCCAAGCAGAAAGACGAGTGTGCCAATGTAAGGCAGGTCAAAGAACTGCCCTGCATTCTGGATTCTGAGTCAAGGAGATCACTAAGAGGTTTGTTTAATCCTAGACCATGCTGTGTTTGCCTCTCATTGACTTCCTGGCTTGGCTGCAATGGGTTGTCCCCTTCCTTAGCGCCTGGCAGGCTAGGAAAGTCCAATGTCCATGTCACAGGGTTTGGCACGTGGTGTTTTCCACATGCGATGCTACATCAAGATTTGTGTCTGAGGTTTCAGTTGAAATTATCAAATGGCTTTTCTCAAGCCATTCATGATCTGCTCATCCACTATTAAGTCCCTGCTATATGCGATGCACAGCAAGTATGCTCTGTATAAAACACCAGTCATCATCTTAGTGCCCTCAAGCAAACAAGGACCCCGTGTGTTATGGTTTATAGAGCCATGCAGAATTCCTGCTGCCTGAGGAACAAAAACAGCCCAGTCTTGAGGTCTTGAGTAGTTGCTGAAAAATCTGAGCTTTTAACATGGTCTCTTTTAGGGTCTCCAATTCTTATTATGGTCAGGCTCTCACACACCTGCTTTTTAACAAGATCTCACTAAAGGCAACAATTTTTGCTGGCATAGCGTGTTGGGCACAGGTGGTCTCAATTATTGTTTATCCCAAGTACGCATGTAAATGTGAAAAGAGAAAAGTACATCGGGCAATTGAGTCTGACTTTCATTTTTCAGCTGTGTGTCCAAGTCTACTGTAAGGCAATTCTTAATGTACACTTGATTTCCATAATGTTTCCCTTCTATTTTCCCACCTGCTGTTGGCTTTGAACAACCTTACCTGAGCTGAGAATGGCTGCTTCTCTGGCAAGAAGTTTCTAGAATGTGTTTGCTGGGCCAAAGCTTGGACACCTGATCTCTTCAGAGATCTTGTGGATAGACTGATAGAGAAGAAAGAAAATAACTCATGCAGCAATGTATAAAACAGACGAAGAGGTGTTACAATGATCAAAAGGGACAAAGTAAAACATACAGAAGTCTAACTGATTCTGCATCATTGTGAATCAAATTACATACTAACATGAATTTTACAGAGATCCAAAGCCTTTTTGAGCTAAAGCCAAAGAACCAGGAGATCTTTATTTTTTTAACTGCAGTAAAATATACACAACATAAAATTTACCATGTTAACCATTGTTTTTCCTTTTTGAGACTCTGTTGCCCTGGCTGGCATGCAGTGGTGGGATCATAGCTTACTGCAGCCTCTAACTCCAGGGCTCAAGCGATTCTCCCACTTCAGCCAACCAAGTAGCTGGGACTACAGGTGCCCATCACCATGCTCAGTTAATTTTTAAAAGTTTTTATTTGTATAGACAGGAGTCTTGCTCTGTTGCCAGGCGGGTCTTCAACTCCTGGGCTCAAGCAATTCTCTTGCCTCAGCCTCCCAAAGTGCTGGGATTATAGGCATAAGCCATCATGCCTGGTCTTTTTTTTTTTTTTTTTTGAGACCGATTCTCCCTCTGTCTTCCAGGCTAGAGCACAGTAGCGTGATCTTGGCTCACTGCAACCTCTGCCTCCCACGTTCAAGTAAACCTCATACCTCAGCCTCCTGAGTAGCTGGGACTACAGGCGCACGCCACCATGCCCAGCCAAGTTTTGTATTTTCAGTAGAGACAGGATTTCACCATGTTGCCCAGGCTGGTCTTGAACTCTCGGCCTCAAGTGATTCACCCACCTTGGCCTTCCAAAGTACCAGGATTACAAGTGTGAGCCATCAAGCCCAGAAGTCTTAACCATTTTTAAGAGTACGATATCAGTAGTGTTAAGTACTTTCACATGTTGTACAACCACATTCGCATTGCTGTTGAACATTTTCATCTTGCAAAACTATACTAATTAAATAACTCCCCATTTCTCCCTACGCCTGGCAACCACCATTCTACTTTATCTATGAATTTGACTGCTCTAAGTACCTCATAAATTCATATACATGTTCTCATGTATCCATATATATGTGGAATCATACAATATTTGTCTTTCAGTGACTGGCTTATTTTACTTGGCATGTTTGTTCTCAAGGTTCATCTATTTTGTCTTTATTAAAATACCAATGACATTCTTCACAGAAATAGAAAAAAAAAATCCTAAAATTTATATGGAACCACAAAAGACTCAGCACAGCCAAGCTTATCCTAAGCAAAAAGAACAAAACAGAAGGAATCACATTACCTGACTTCAAATTATACTATGGAGGTATAGTAACCAAAAGAACATGGTTCTGGCATAAAAACAGACAAAGACCAATGGAACAGAATAGAGAACACAGAAAGAAGTCCATGCACCTAGAGTGAATTCATTTTCAACAAAGGTGCCAAGAACATACACTGAAGACAGTCTCTTCAATAAATGGTGCTGGGAAAACTGGATTTCCATATTCAGAAGAATGAAATTAGACACCTCTCACCATATAAAAAAATCAAATCAAAATGGATTAAGGATTTAAAACTAAGACCTCAAACTATGAAACGACTACAAGAAAACATTGAGGAAAGTCTCCAGGACATTGGTCTAGGCAAAAATTTCATGAGCAACACCCTACAAGCACAGGCAACCAAAGCAAAAATGGACAAATGGGGCCGGGTGTGGTGGCTCACACCTGTAATCCCAACACTTTGGGAGGCTGAGGTGGGTGGATCACAAGGTCAAGAGATCAAAACCATCCTAGCCAACATGGTGAAACCTTGTCTCTAATAAAAATACAAAAATTAGCTGGGCATGGTGGCGCACACCTGTAGTTCCAGCTACTCTGGAGGCTGAGGCAGGAGAATCACTTGAACCTAGGAGGTGGAGCCTGCAGTGAGCCGAGATCGCGCCACTGCACTCCAGCCTGGCAACCGAGTGAGATTCTGTCTCAATAAAATAAAATAAAATAAAATGGACAAATGGAATCACAACAAGTTAAAAATCTTCTGGGCCGGGCACGGTGGCTCACGCCTGTAATCCCAGCACTTTGGGAGGCCGAGGCGGGTGGATCACGAGGTCAGGAGATTGAGACCATCCTGGCTAACACGGCGAAACCCCGTCTCTACTGAAAAATACAAAAAATTATCCAGGTGTGGTGGCGGGCGCCTGTAGTCCCAGCTACTTGGGAGGCTGATGCAGGAGAATGGCGTGAACCTGGGAGGTGGAGCTTGCAGTGAGCCAAGATCATGCCACTGCACTCCAGCCTGGGCAACAGAGCAAGACTCCATCTCAAAAAAAAAAAAAAATCTTCTGCACTGCAAAGGAAACAATCAGGAAACAATCAACAAAGTGAAGACACAACCCACAAAATGGGAGAAAATATTTGCAAACTACCCATCTGACAAGGGATTAATAACCAGAATATATAGAAGCTCAAACAACTCCATAGGAAAAAATCTAATACAATAAAAAAAATGGGCAAATGGTTTGAATAGAAATTTCTCAAAAGACATACAAATGGCAACAAATCAAAACTACAATGAGAAATCATCTCACCCTCAGTTAAAATGGCTTATATCCAAAAGACAGGCAATAACAAATGCCAAAAATGTGGAGGAAAGGCAACCCTTGTACAATGTTGGTGGGAATGTAAATTAGTGCAACCACTATGGAGAACTATTGGAGGTTCCTCAAAAAACTAAAAATAGAGCTACCATCCAACAGTAGGATCCAACAATCCTACTGCTGGGTATATATACCCAAAACAAAGGAAAGATATCTGCACTCCCATGTTTGTTACAGCACTGCTCATAAAAGCTAAGATTTGGAAGCAACCTAAGTGTCCATCAACAGATGAATGGATAAAGAAAACGTAGCACAGGCCAGGCGCGGTGGCTCATGCCTGTAATCCCAGCACTTCGGGAGGCTGAGGCAGGCAGACAGCTTGAGCTCAGGAGTTTGAGACTAGCCTGGGCAACATGACAAAAACCTTGTCTCTACTAAAAATACAAAAATTAGCTGGGCGTAGTGGCACATGCCTGTGGTCCCAGCTACTCGGGGGACTGAGGTGGGAGGATCACTTGAGCCCAGGAGGTGGAGGTTGCAGTGAGCCAAGACCACGCCACTGCATTCCATCCTGGGTGACAGAGACCCTGCCTCAAAAAAAAAAAAAAAAAAAAAATTGAGTGGCACATATACACAATGGAATACTATTCAGCTATAAAAAAGAATGTGATCCTGCGTGTCATTTGCAACAACATGGTTGGAACTGGAGATCATTACGTTAAGTGAAATAAGTCAGGCACAGAAAGACAAACATCACACGTTCTCACGTGTGTGATCTAAAAATCAAAACAATTGAATTCATGGACATAGAGAGTAGAAGGGTGGTTACCAGAGGTACAAAAACATAGTTAGAATGAGTAAGACTTACTATTTGACAGCACAATAGGGTAACTACAGTCAGTAATATACATTTTTAAATAAAAGTGTGTAATTGGATTGCTTGTAATATAAAAGATAAACGTTTGAGGGAATGGATGCCCCATTCTCCCTCTGATTATTTCATGTTGCATGCCTGTATCAAAACATCTCATGTACCCCATAAATATATATACCTATGTACCCACAAAAGTTAAAAATTAAAAAAATTGGCTGGGTGCAGTGGCTCACACCTGTAATCCCAGCACTTTGGGAGGCCCAGGTGGGCAGATCACCTGAGGTCAGGAGCTCGAGACCAGCCTGGCCAACATGGTGAAACCCCGTCTCTACTAAAAATACAAAAATTAGCTGGGCATGGTGGCACATGCCTGTAATTCCAGCTACTCAGGGAGGCTGAGGCAGAAGAATCAGTTGAATGTGGGAGGCGGAGGTTGCAATGAGCTGAGATCGTGCCACCGCACTCCAGCCTGGGTGACAGAACGAGATTCCATCTCAAAAAAAAAAAATTAAAAATTAAAACAATTGGCTGGGCATGGTGGCTCACGCCTGTAATCCCAGCACTTTGGGAGGCCGAGGTGGGCGGATCACCTGAGGTTGGGAGTTCAAGACTAGCCTGGCCAACATGGAGAAACCCTGTCTCTACTAAAAATACAAAAATCAGCCGAGCATGGTGGTGCATGCCTGTAATCCCAGCTACTCGGGAGGCTCAGGAGAATCACTTGAAACCAGGAGGCGGAGGTTGCAGTGAGCCAAGATCACACCACTGCACTCCAGCCTGGGCAACAAGAGCGAAACTCCGTCTCAAAAAAAAAAAAAAAAAAAAAAAAGAAAAAGAAAAAAAATTAAAACAATTGTAAAAAGGTTCATCCATTTTGCAGCATGTCAGAATTTCTTTCCTTTTCAAGGTTAATAATGTTTCATTCATTGTATGCATCCAGCATTTTATCCATTCATCCACTGATGGGCACTTGGGTTGCTTCCACCTTAGCCATTGCTGATAATATTGCTATGAACAAGGGTGTACAAATATCTCTTTGAGACCCTACTCTCAATTCTTTTGCACATATATACATATATATATATACACATATATGTATATATACACACACACATATATATACACATATATGTATATATACACACACACACATATATATGTACCCAGAAGTGGAACTGCTGGATCATATGGTAATTCCATGTTTAATATTTTGAGGAACTTACATATTATTTTCCAAAGCAGTTGCATTACTTACATTCCCATCAAGAGTGTACATGACTTCTAATATCTCTACATGCTCTCTAACAATTGTTATTTTCAATTTTTTTGACAGTAACCATCCTCATGGGTGTGAGGTGGTATTTTGTTGTGATTTTGACTTGTGGATTAGTGACACTGAACCACTTTTCATGTGCTTGTTGGCCAACTGTTATCTTCTTTGGAGAAATATCTATTCAAATCTTTTACCTTTTTTTTAAAGACAGGGTATCATTCTGTCACCCAGGCTGGAGTGCAGTGGCAAAATCAGGGCTCACTGCAGCCTCATCTCTTGGGCTGAAGCGATCCTCCCACCTCAGCCTCCTGAGTAGCTGGGATTACAGGTATCTGCCACCACGCCTGGCTAATCTTTAAATTTTTTGTGGAGACAGGGTCTCACCATGATGCCCAGGCTGGTCGTGAACTCTTGGGCTCAAGTAATCTTCCTGCCTTAGCCTACCAAAGTGCTGGGATTCTAGTGTGAGCCACAGTGCTCGGCCATTTTTGCTGCCCCCAACCCCTTTTTGGCAGAGTCTCCCTCTGTCACCCAGGCTGAAGTGCAGTGGTGTGATTACGGCTCACTGCAGCCTCAACCTCCCAGGATCAAGTGACGCTCCTGAATGGCCTCCAAAGTAGCTGAGACTGCAGGCACGCGCCTCCATGCCCGGCTAATTTTTAAAATGTTCTGTAGAGATGGGGTCTCTCTATGTTGCCCAGGCTAGTCTCAAACTCCTGAACTCAAGATATCCTCCTGCCTTGGCCTCCCAAAGTATTGGGATTACAGGCATTGCTCGACCTTCTGCCCATTTTAAATTGGGTTTTCTGTTGTTGACAGAGAGATTTTATTTGATAATAATTTAAATAATATTACTTTTAATATTGATAATTTAAAGAAATATTTTTGAAATATGTATTTTAAATGTTATATAAAATGCATTTCAAGTATTCCAGTGTAAAATATACACTGTGCTCTCCCAATCAGAATGGAATGGACTTTATTTGAACCCCTACAGATAACAATATTGTCATTAAAAATTAGGAAACTGAAATTTAGAAAGGATGAGCACCTTATCCAACAGGACACTGAATTTTTCAGTACTACCTTCAGAGATCACTGAACTGTAGCCTGTTTTTGTCTAGGCTTAACTAGGGAAGAAGCCACTTTCGATCTCACGCAAATGGTTAACAGAATCTATTTCCTGTGGCTGGGGAGCTGAGGGCTCTGGCTTCTTGCTGACTATTGGCTGCAGTCCTCCCTTAGCTCCTAGAGGCCTCCTGCAGTTCATGTCCCCATGTGCCTCCTCAACATGTGCACTTCATTAAGCCAAGGAGAGCCTAGAGCTAGTTTGCTAGCAAGATGGAGTCTTATACAGTGTAACATAATCGTGCAGCTACATTACACCACCTTTGCCATTTTCTATTGCTGTGAAGCAACTCACAGGTCTCAATCATAACCAAGGGGATGATACAGTAGAAAATGGCAAAGGGCATGACTACTAGGACACCAGGGTGGCAGACTGTATTTTTCAAAAACAGCCACAGCAATATTCTCTGACATGGTCTTCTAGAACCTTGTTACTTTTTATCAACAATTTCCTCTGCTTCCCTGTCACTGAACCTGGGTGACACACTGTGATACAGCTTGCCTGGCTCTCTCTTTTGCGATACTTGCCCTTGAAACTCAACCTCCATGATCTGAGGCAGGCCAAAACAGCCCATATGGAGAGATCACATGGAGAGGTTCACGTGGTCAGGAATAGAGGCCTCAAACAACAGCCAGCATTAACTCTCAGCTATGAGCTTTCAAATAATTCCTGTCCTGAGCCTGAATCTTTCAGCTAAGGCCTTAATCACTGTGGAGCACAGAAAAGCCAGCTTTTCTAAACCCTGTGCAAATTCCTGAACAATAAACAAGCATAATAAATGGTTGTTTCATGCCACTAAATTTTGGGTTGATTTGTTACACAGCCATAGTAATTGGGACATGTTAATAGAATAAAGGAGCAAGAACCCACAATTATTTCAATACATGCAGAAAAAGCATTTGATAGAGTCTGACATTTATTAATAATTAAAAAGTTCCAGCAAATTATAAATCGAAGGGAACTTTCTTAATCTGACAAAGAGTTAATACATAAAACTTACTGCACACAGTGTATTTATTGTTGACAGTTTTTCTCTATCATCACTTCTATTCATTATATTGGAAGTTCTGGGTAACTGAAAAAATAAAAGGCATAAGAATTAGAAAGGAAGAAATAGAACTGCCTTTAGCTGCAGATTACATGTCTATATAGAAAATCTGAGATTATTATTATTATTAGGATTCAGTGAGTTTGGTAAGACTGTTGGACACTGGAACAACATTAAAAAATCAATTTTATTTCTATTTGACAAAAAATAATCAAAGTCTGGGCACAGTGGCTCGTAAGTGTAATCCCAACACTTTGGAAAGCCAAGGCAGGAGAATCACTTGAGCCTAGGAGTTCAAGACCAGCTTGGGCAAAATTAGTAGACCCCGTCTCTACAAAAACATTAAAAAATTAGCTGGGTCCATGTGGTGTGCACTTGTAGTCCCTTCTACCTTGGAGGAGGTCGAGGCTATAGTCAGCTGTGATTGCACCACTGCACTCCAGCCTGGGCAACAGAGCAAGAAACCATCTCTTAAAAGAGAGAATAATTAACAACTGAAAATTTAGAAGCTACTATTTATAATAGCATCAAACATACTGCTTAAAAATAAATCTTACATAAAAAGTATGAAACTCTTAAACCAAAACAATAAAACAGAGCAATAGAAAATCTAAGTGGAGAAATATACTACATTCATAGATCAGAAGACTAAATTTCAAGATGTTACTCTCCTTCAAAATGATATATAGATTCAAGAAAATCACAATGAAAATTGCAATTGTATGCATATGTGTAAGTGTACTTGTGTGTAAGTTGGTAAGCTGGTTCTAAAATTTTTTGGAAATACAATGATACAAGACATCAAAAAAGGAGAACAGGGTTAGAGAACTTTCTCATTAAGATATTGATATGTGTAATACTAGAGTAATTAAGAGTGTGGTATTGGAAAATGGAGAAATAAACAGGCTAATGAAACAGAATACAGACCCCAGAAATAAACTCAAGTATACTGGACACTCAAGTATATATGGACACTTGATTTACAGCAAAGATGGCAGTGAAGTGCACTAGACAAAATGTCTTTTCAATAAATGGTGCAGGAACAATCTGTAGGTAGAGGAATGAAACCTGACTCCTACCTCATACTACACATAAACATCTATTCCAGATCTGTTTTAGAGCTAAATTTAAAAGGCAAAACATTTAAAATGTAACACAGAATATAATCATGAACTTAGAGTAAGGACTTCTTAAGCAGAACACAAAGGCTGGGTGCAGTGGCTCACGCCTGTAATTCCAACACTTTGGGAGGCTGAGGTGGGTGGATTACTTGAGGTCAGGAGTTTGAGACTAGCCTGGCCAACATGGTGAAACCCTGTCTCTACTAAAAATACAAAAATTAGACGGGAGTGGTGGTGGACATCTATAAATCCAGCTACTCGGGAAGCTGAGGCAGGAGAATCACTTGAACCCAGGAGGCAGAGGCTGCAGTGAGCTGAGATGGCGCCACTGCACTCTAGCCTAGGCTACAGAACAAGGCTCCATTTCAAAAAAAAAAAAGTCAGTAGAAAATGATTTAATAAAAACCCTGCAACACAAAAAGCACTAACTATAAAGGAAAAGAATAATACATTTCTCTAGTTTAAAGTTAAGAACTTCTCAAGAGACACCATTAAGTGTATGACAAAGCAAGTCAGAGAGGGACAAGCTATTTGCCACAGGTATAGCTGACAAAGGAGTCAGATCCAGAATATATAAAGAACACCTCGAAATCGATTTAGAAAAGAATACTTACAAAGGCATTTCATAAAAGAGGAAATGGCCTATAGTAATATGAAAAAGGTGCTCAACCCCACTAATAACTAGGGAAATGCAAACTAAAACCACAATACCATTACATACCAACCAAAATGGCCAAAGTGAAAGAAGAACGCTGAAAATACCAACTGGTCAGAACAGATGAGAACTTGCCAGGGAGTCTTTGTAATACACAGTTGTTCAATATATATTGTTAGACTTCTGATTTTTTTTTTTTAGTGCATATTTTGTACAGGTATGTTTTTCATTCCCATTCAGAGTTGGACCATTTGTATTTTCTGGTAGGTTTCTCTTGTGGTCCCTGAAAAAATCCAATGCTTACTGAGTATTGCAAATCCTATGCCCACATTTACAAACAATATACATATTAGAGTATTGCTAATACCATACTATCATTCACTGTTATCCAAAGATTATCCAACTAGAACCTAAAATTCTATGACATTTCCTGGTTTGGAAATGCTTCAATTTTGTCAAATATTTCACTATTGGCTGCAGAAACATCTGCAATGACGACTAAGAAATTACCTTGCTCTCTCTTTAAAAGGAGACTTCCAAGAGTCATATTGTAGCGTGGCGCCACCTGGTGGTTCCACTGTATCCAACGTATTTTTTTTCTTCTACCATCTCTTCCCCCTTTCAGCCCTTTTCTTGTTTCTCCTCTTCCCAGGTTCATCTGCCACTACATTCCACATTAGACAGCAGCACAGTTAACACTTCGCCATGGCCAATTCCGAACCTATGCAGAGTTTTACAGAATGAGATAAAGCACTTCTCTGTATGTTTATTAGATAATTTTTTCTTTTATGAAGTGCTTCATTAAGGTTTTTGCCCATTTTTCTATTGGGTGTTCCTTTTCTTTGGTATACAGAAGTACTTTACATACCTGGACACCTGTCCTTTGACGGTTATATGAATTAATATATTTCCCAACTCTACAGGCTTTTTGTTTTTGTAAATGGTGTTTTTTGGTGAATGCATTCTAGTATAGTCAAATATATCAATCACTTCATTTAGAGTTACATTTTCTTTTACCTTATTTAAGGAATCCTGGCCAGGCGCCTGTAATCCCAGCACTTTGGGAGGCCGAAGTGGGCAGACCACTTGAGGTCAGGAGTTCAAGAACAGCCTGGCCAACACGGTCAAACCCTGTCGCTACTAAAAAAAATACATACAAAAATCAGTCGGGCGCAGTGGTGCGCACCTGTAATCCCAAGCTGCTTGGGAGGCTGAGGCAGGAGAATCGCTTGAACCTGGAAGGCGGAGGTTGCAGTGAGCCAAGACAGTGCCACTGCACTCCAGCTTGGGTGACAGAGTGAGACTCTGTCTCAAAAAAAAAAAAAAAGAAAAAGAAAAAAGAAATCCTTATTACTTCTGAAATTTTGTTATACAACTTTGTTATTTCTTCTGTAAGTGTTTGGTAGAACTTACCAGTAAAGTCATCCAAGACTGAAGTTTTCTCTGTGGAAAAGCTTTTAAAGAGGATTTAATTTCTTTAATAGAGGACTATGAAGTTTTCCATCTTGTTATAGTTTTGTTAAGCTGTGTTTTCTATGAATTTGTATATTTCATGTACATTTTACTTACTCAAAGTGTCTTAATATCTCTCTAATTTCTTTGTAATTATAGTAATTCTGGCTGAGGTGGGTGGGTCACAAGGTCAGGAGATCAAGACCATCCTGGCTAACACGGTGAAACTCTGTCTCTACTAAAAATACAAAAAGTTAGCCGGGTGTGGTAGCATGCGCCTGTAGTCCCAATTACTCAGGAGGCTGAGGCAGGAGAATTGCTTGAACCTGGGAGGCAGAGGTTGCAGTGAGCCAAGATCACGCAACTGCACTCCAGCCTGGGTGAGAGAGCGAGACTCCTTCTCAAAAAAAAAAAAAAAAAAAAAAAAAAAAAAAAAAAAAAAATATATATATATATATACACACACACACACATATATGTACATAAATATATATTTATATATACGTATATATACATGTATATATACGTATACATATACACATATATATGTATACGTATATATACATGTATATATACGTATATATAAATATATATTTTATATATAAATAAAAAATATATTTTATTTATATATACACATATATAAGTATACATAAATAAAAAATATATATAAATTAAAAAATATATATATATAAATAAAATAATTCTTTGGTTGGGTACAGTGGCTCATGCCTGTAACGCCAGCACTTGGGGAGGCCAAGGTGGGAGGATTGCTTGAGCTCAGGAATTCAAGACCAGCCCAGGGAATATAGTGATATCTCATTTCTCTTTAAAAAAATAAAATAAATAAGTAGCCGGGCACACCTGTAATCTCAGCTACTCAGAAGACCGAGGTGGGAGATCACTTGAGGTTGAGGCTGCAATGAGCTATGACTGTACCACTGCACCCCAGCCTGGGCAACAGAACAAGATCCTGTCCCCACCCCCGCCCACCAAATAATAATTCTTTTCCATCTCCAACACTGGTTAGTTCTGCCATTTTTTCCCTTGATCATTTTCACCAAGGGTTTACCAATTATTTTTTCAAAAAGCAATTCTCGTGCCTCAGCCTCCCGAGTAGCTGGGACTACAGACACTCGCCACCACGCCTGGGTAATCATATCCAAAAGGTTCTGATATTCTTATTTTCATTTCAATTCGGTTCAAAATACTTTCCATTTTCCACTGGATTTGGAGCTACATTTCTTCCAAATTTCATAATTTTTATTTAGTTCTTCTGTAATCAGACTGCCTTCTCTATATGATTTAAGCCCTCTGAAATTTATTAGTAAGTTTCTTTATGGCCTAACATTTATTCAACTTTGATAAATGATCCATGTTCATCTGTAAATAACATATATTTTGCAGTTATTGATACAGTGTTCTATACAGGCCCATTAGATTAAGTTTGTTCACTATGTTGTTCCAATCACTATTTCCTTACTGATTTGGTGGGAAGGGGTGTGTGTGTGTGTGTGTGTGTGTGTGTGTGTGTGTGTGTGTGTGTGCTTCTATCATTTCCTGAGACAGCTGTGTTAAAATCTTATATATAGACTTCTACTTTTGGTCAAGATGGAATACCTGTCACTCTATCCTCCTGCCTGAAGCAACTAAAAAACTGAACAACGTAGGTAAAACAATGTCACTTAAGACACGGGCCATCAGGCACTGAAGAACAGTAACTGCTGACCGAACATGAAACAAAAGAGGTAAGCCCTGCCGCTGCCCCAGAATTTATTTCCTGAACAACATTTCTAGGCCATAATGCAAGGGAGGGGAAACCCAGACCAGAGTCCACCAATTTTTCCAGATTTTAAGAGACAGAGGCAAGAGTCAGGGAGGCTAAAGGGCTACAGTTCAATCTTTCATAAACTCTCCCAAGAATAGACAAAGAGGAAACAACTTCCAGCTCTTTCCACGAGGACATTTTTACATTAACACCAAAATCTGACAAGGGTATGAAAAGAAAGGAAAATTATACACCACCTCTCTCTTGAATACAGATGCTAAAATTCTAAATGAAATATTGCAGCCGGGCGCAGTGGCTCACTCCTGTAATCTCAGCACTTTAGGAGGCTGAGGTGGGCGGATCACGAGGTCAGGAGATCGAGACCATCCGGGCGAACGCGGTGAAATCCTGTCTCTACTAAAAACACAAAAAAATTAGCTGGGCGTGGTGGCAGGAGCCTGTAGTCCCAGCTACTCGGGAGGCTGAGGCAGGAGAATGGTGTGAACCCAGGAGGCGGAGCTTGCAGTGAGCCAAGATCACGCCACTGCACTCCAGCCTGGGCAACAGAGCGAGACTCTGTCTCAAATGAAAAAAAAAAAAAAGAAAGAAATATTGCAAAATAAATCCAGAGATACACAGAAATAACATGACTAAGTAGGAAGTTTATTCTAACAAAACGAATGGTGAGGTAGGAGGGCAGGAGTAGACACGGAGGAATTAACACTATGAAATATATTATTAATTCACTAGACTAACAGGTAAGAGAAAAATAATTTGATCATCTCAATAAATTCAAGAAAAGCATTTGACATAATTCAACAGCATATACTTTCTTAGCAAGGTATAAATAAAACTTCCTTAAACTCATAAATACCACCAAAATCCTACAGCAATCACTATGCTCAACGGTGACATCCGAATGCGTTCTCGCTGAGATCAGGAACAAAGAAAGGAATTCCATTCTGACCACTTTTTGAGACAGGGTCTCACTCTGTCACCCAGGCTGGAATGCAGTAGTGTGATCAAAGCTCACCTCCTAGGCTCAAGTGATCCTTCTACCAACTAAGCCTTTTAAGTAGCTGGGACCACAGCTGTGCACTGGCACACCCAGCTAATTTTTTGTAGAGATGGGGTTTCACCATGTTGTCCAGGATGGTCTCGAACTCCCGGGCTCAAGCAATCCTCCCACCTCGGCCTCCCAAGGTGCTGGGATTACAGGTGTGAGCCACTGGATCTGGCCCACTCTGACCACTTCTATTCAACACTATACTGGGCATTTTGGCCAGTGCAGTAAGACAAGAAAAGAAACCAGCACTTTGGGAGGCCGAGGCGGGCGGATCACGAGGTCAGGAGATCGAGACCACCCTGGCTAACACGGTGAAACTCTGTCTCTACTTAAAAAAAAAAAAATACGAAAAATTAGCCAGGCGCAGTGGTGGGTGCCTGTAGTCCCAGCTACTCGGGAGGCTGAGGCAGGAGAATGGCGTGAACCTGGGAGGCAGAGCTTGCAGTGAGCCGAGATAGCACCACGCAGTCCGGCCTGGGCAAAAGAGCGAGACTCCGTCTCAATAACAACAACAACAACAACAACAAAAGACAAGAAAAGAAAATACAAAATGACTAGAAATAAATAAGTTATTATGAACAGATATGAGTATGCAGAAAATTCCAAGAGAATCCACAAATTGTTAGCATTAATAAATGAACTGAGCAAGAGAGCTAGATATAAGGTCATTATAAAAATCAATAGTTCAATACTGTAGCAACAAATAGTAAACAATTACAGACCTGAATAGACTTCACAAAATGGTCCAAATGGTCAATAAGTATTTGAAAAGATGCCTAGCATTATTAGTCACTATTAAAATTTAAACCACAAGATACCAGTATATACTTACCAGAATGTCTGAAATGAGAAAAATAATAGGCTGACCAGGCTTCTCCAGAGGCACCTTCTGGGAGAGCCAGTTCTTCTCTTCGTCTATCAAGTGCTTCTTGGGGGTGGAAGAAGTTAAAGGAAGTGTATTTCTGGACCAACACATCCTTAACTGCAGGGACTGGATTTCTGACATCAGACATATATAGTAACTTGCATTTGTTTCCTAGAGTTGCTGTAACAGATTACAACAAATCGGGTGGCTTTAAGACAACAGAAATTCATCATCTCACCATTTTGGAGGCCAGAAATCCAAAATCAAGATGTTGGCAAGGCACCATTTCCTCTAGAGGCTCTAGGAGAGAATACCTTCCTTGTCTCTTCTAGCTCCTGGAAGCTGTCAACATTACTCGACTTGTGGCTACATCCCTCTCTGCCATCTTCATGTTGCCTTCTTCTGGTATCTTCCTTTGTTTCTCTTACAAGGGCACTTGTGATGGCATTCAGGCCCCACTCATAATCTCATCTCTAAAATGCTTAATTACATCTGCAGAGACCCTTTTTCCAAATAAAGTAATATTTACAAGTTCTCCAGGGATTAGAGCTTGATATTTTGGGGTAGCCGTTTTTCAATTATACTTATTTTCTACTTAAAAAAAATTTCATTTCACCAGTGCCATCTGATACAAATATAAATATGTGTATTTTTTCTTTTCTTTTTTTTTTTTTTTGAGACAGTTTTGCTCGCTGCCCAGGCTGGAGTGCAATGGTGCAGTCTTGGCTCACTGCAACCTCCGCCTCCTGAGTTCAAGAGATTCTCCTACCTCAGCCTCCAAAGTAGCTGGGATTACACGACCCCGCCACCATGCCCCGCTAGTTTTTGTATTTTTAGTAGAAACGGGGTTTCACCATGTTGGCCAGGCTGGTCCTGAACTCCTGACCTCGTGATCCGCCTGCCTCGGCCTCCCAAAGTGCTGGGATAACAGGCGTGAGCCACCATGCCCGGTGAAGAAATATATTTTCTAAATAAAGAAACTAGTGAGACTGTGGAGAGATGGTCAGGGGGACAGAATGGCCTGGGAAAACCTGGTGAAGAGGGGGTGAACTGGAAGAAGGTAGAAGTCTTAGCTATAATGGGAGTAACATTCTCTGGGTACCGAGGGAAAACTGTGAGGAGATTTTAAAAAAGGAGCTAAAGTAGAATTTCCTTCTACTTTGCCAGGGTCCTGGGATCTAATCCCATAAAAGTGGCTGTATTTACATATACTGCCCAAAAGAGGGGGCAATAGGCATGCTTTCGTAGACCCAGCTGGCTGCCCATTTGAAATCTATTCTTTCCTTCTTCACTGAAGAGTCCTAAATTTGTTAGGAACATCAATTGCTCAGATAAAATAGATAATTTCCAAGGCACCCTTGGAGCTACCAGTCATGCAACAGAGGTCTAACTAATGGGATGTAAGTACAAACATGCAAGTGGAGCTTCTGGAAACTACTGTTTTGTTCTCTTTGCGTAGAAAGAGACACATATTTGCACCTTTTCCTTACCTAAGCCTATCCTTTTCACCCCTACTTTTGCCATCCTTGACAGCATCGTGGAGGAGTTACAGTATCAGCCCCGGACAGTTTTGTCTGTAGACTTTTCTACTGTAAGAAGAAAAAGAAACAGACAACAATAACAAAAAGACAAGCCCCAATTGAGTTTAAGCCACTGTTAACTTGGTATGCCATCAAACACAATTTTTTAAACCTAAACAATAGCTATGGTGTTTCACAGATTTGACATAACCAACAACAAATGGACCACTCCAATTTTTCTGGATAGTTAAAAAATAAGGCCTTCACACCAACACAGGTCCCAGACTGGCACTCTCGAATGACTAAGTTTGTAATTATTTCATCAGTTCCATACATTTATAATTAAGTACAGAGAAGATTAATGTAGATTCTTTATTGATTCCACCAATGTATTAGTAGATATGATAATAATAAATGGTATTTTTACATTCTCTTAACCAAAAATATAACAAATATTTACACTCAGTAAAAATACAAAAAGCATACAGAGGCACTGTCTTTCTAAAAGACATAAGTTTAAGAGGTATCAAAAAATAGGAGACAAACATTGCTTGTTACAGGATACCTTACAATCAATGAATTGTGCAGTAGAATTGCTATCTGATTATTACAGATGTGCAGTTTTGTTTCTGTCTTTTGCTGATTAGCTTACATGTCTCAATTTTAAAAGATCAAGTTCAACTGCATTCTGTGTATCAAAAATAAAGAAGCATTAAAAATGCACAACAAAAGTCAAAGATGAACCAGGATTCAAGTTTAAATTTGAACATGTACTGTGACACTTTTGACACTTTTCTGAAGATTTATCCCGTTTTTCTAGCCTTTAAGGTAATGCTGAAGGAATACATATACTTTAATATCACCTTTTTTAGAAACTTAAAATTGAATCAAAATAATCAGTTTTAAGGAAGCTTTTTCTCCTCCTTCCTTTTTTGTAGAGGAAAGAACACTTGATAAAAATTAGATTTGTTCTTAAAAACACCCATGATTACCATCACATTTTCAGCCTGGGAGAGATTCTCAAGGAGGTGATATAGATCGCAATGATGTGATTTATCACCCTCAAGAAAATTCACTAAAGGCTTTTTCTCCCCAAAGATCATATTGAAAGTAATCATTTGGAGTAAATTAGAATTATTAACTTTAATAAGCTTTTATGGAATCATGTACTGGATTTACTAATTCTCAAAATCTTTCACTATAAAGATATTTTGTTGAAACTTACTATTTGGCAAAAGTTTGCACTGAGCGTTAACTGCTTCAACAGTCTTGGCAGATTGAGAGTTGTGGCAGGAAGAGAGGGCACTAGTCTCTTCATTAAGATTATAAATTTATAAAACAAAAACAAATGGAGATCTGGAATTGGAGTAAATGCAGCTTAAGACTTCTCTTGTTCTAGTCATATGACAAACTAAGAGAAGGCAGGAATGTACCCTTAGTTAAAATATAAAAATCAAAACCTCATGATTTTTTAAGGGATACATACATAACAAACTACAAAGCATTTGGCTTTGGCTCCTGATCAATGTGATCAGCTGATCTGAACACTCACAGTTAAAGCTAGATAGATAAAACAAAGGCAGCTGTAAGGTGCAAGTCCAAAACCATAGGCCTCAACACTCTGTGCAAGATATTTACACTATTAAGGACAAAGACAGGTAAGGCTTCCATTTGGTTTGAAAGACCTGCTAAATAAAGACATTATGAAAACAGCACATTTTTCTGGGGAAATGAATATAAAATGGTGAGAGTAGACATCTGAATTTGATAAAAAAAGTGGGTATAGCAAAAATATATTTCACATTGTTTTGCTGTGGCCATGAAAACAAAATTATGCAAATCAGTGAAGGAAAAAATGTATAATCATAGGACCACTGTTTATAGGCCAAATCACTGAAGTGTAACTTTCAAACTAGGATTTTTGGTTCAGGTTATTTCCCATTTCAAAGGACCAAGAAAGCTATGGAACCACCAAGCCTCATTCTATCATACCTGCGATTAATTTCTAAGGCTTAAGTTTCAGATTAATGTTTCTTTACCACAGGAATTTTTGAAATGCTATTATTCCTAAAATAAAGAGACAATCATGTTGATGGGAAAGATGAACTACTACCATTTACCACTTACAACTGATTCATGATTTTAAAATGAAGGGGGATATGCAGGAAGACAGACAGCAGAGACAGCTAGGGAAAGACAACACATTTCTATAAAGGAGGCCACAAACCAACTAAATCCTATGTGGACACATACGGACAGCCATTCAGAAGTAAACCCCTTTTGGCTCCAAGTTGATCTGGGTAGTGCACGTTAATGGCTTTGGCTTTTTTTTTTTTTTTTTTTTTGGTAATTACAGAAGTTTATTAAAATTTCACTTGCTTTTACATTAAAAAAACTGAAAAAATTAAACTTAATATATATAAAATATATTTAATTTGCAAAAATGTGAAAAATCTGCCTCATCCAGTAAACAGTCACTGAAATTTTAATTAAGAGTGCCATACCCATGAGGCTGGAAAAGTATGTCCTCTCAAGGGCTAAAAACTGAGAACCAAGAGACAATCATTTCTGTAACTCCAGCTCCTCTTTCTCCCACAAAATGTTACTGCAGCCAGCTGAGAGCTGCAGGGTATGTCAGGTCAGACACAACCTGGTGCTATGAGATGTGGGGGAGGCATGCTGCAGAACACTGCATAAAGTCAAATTCGTCTTCATTATTACAACACCCATGATAAGAATTTCTTTAAAAAAAGTATTCCATACTTGAGTTATGAGAGATTTTAGTTTTGGGTTTCTATAGACCAGAACTCTCTAGAACCCAGTCTCTATTTGTTGGATCTATACTTTCAGTTACAATTCGATGCAGCATAACTTTCACTTAAGGAAGAATTTGTATACATGTCATTTAACATCAAAATTTCATTCTGTGGAAATTAGGGTTCCCACCCTCCTCCCCAAACTACTCCCTCCCATTTCCCAAAGGACTGACAAGAAACCCTGTGGCAGCTTCATTTGGCCTTCCACACCATGACCAGCAGGTTCCTAACACCTCAACTGCAAAGGGCTTCCTATTTCTCTCAAACTGAGACCTACATTGCATTGGTGCTACAGATCAAGTCACATCTCTGTGTAGATCAAGCATATCACCTCTGTAAAGATGACTTCTGTTTGGTCAGACCAGAGACAATTTTATGACCTCAAACATGAATATCAGCTAACAAGAGCTCTCAAATACAAACAAAACCACAACAATTCAAATAATAAGTTATTTTTCAAATATACAAGAATATCCTTGGTATTGGCAGACAATTTCAATTTGTCCTTCAGCCCAAGCTATGGCTTGGAAATAATAATGCCATTATCTTTAAAATAGCTTGTTAAAGAAAAATCTATAGCAATATACACAAGGATCACTCTGAGTTTACATTTTTTCTGTAACTGTGGTCCCAAGGCAGTTCCGGCGTGCAAAGTGGAGACTGGTATCCAGGCATAGCATCCATTGCTCAGGAAACTATTTATCTGCAGAAATTAAATGAAAGGAAGCATAACTCAGGTCTATTTCATTGCTCGGAGTAGAGGGAATAAAACCTCTGGACTGGTTGTAGCAATGAGCTGTTCGTTAGCAATGGCCTGCAGAATCATGAGGTGGTTCTTGCCCATTCCTCCACGACTTTCAGTGGTTTTCAAATAGGTCATCCAAAGGCTAGACTGCTGAAACTTGTTCATTTTCTGAAAATAAAAAATATATAATTAACTGGCAGATCAGCATATTAATGAGATCCTAATAATCTAGTTATCTATTTAGAAAATCAATGTCAACAAAGAAATCCTCTCAAACATTGCATCGAGGCCCAGATTTTATTATAATAATACCTATGATTTCTGATCACATTGAAGGTTGACAATAAACTGGAATTTCATGGTTTTTAATCATTTTATTACTCTTGTTTAAAAGCATAAATTTTCATTTATTTTCAATAAAACAATCATTTCTCAAACTATTGGCACAGGTACAAAGTCAGTCAAGACTTTTGCTAATAAAAGGAACTATATCAATAGAATCATTTCAGATAATTTGGCATTTGAAACACAGTTTCAAGTTTCCATGCATTAAGGTAAAATACAATTCCATTAATGTTAAAAGTATCCCATTAGATTGAGCCACTGTTTCATCAAAGATAAGAATATTCCATTTGAGCCACAGGGTACTAGGCACACAGAAATAGGCAGCTTGCCCATTTCATTTAAAAAATACACCATCAGTGCGGGGTACAGTGGCTCACACCCATAACCCCAACTTTGTGGGAGACTGAGGCTGGCAGATTGCTTGAGTCCAGGAGTTCAAGACCAGCCTGGGCAACATGGTAAAATGCTGTCTCAAATACAAAAAATTAGCTGGGTGTGGTGGTGTGTGCCTGTAGTCCCACCTACTTGGGAGGCTGAGGAGGGAGAATTACCTGAGACCAGGAAGTTGAGGCTGCAGTGAGCCACGATCATGCCACTGCACTCCAGCCTGAGTGACACAGCAAGACCTTGTCTCAACAAACAAACAACCCACACCATTGGCTGGGTGTGGTGGCTCACACCTATAATCCCAACACTTTCGGAGGCTGGGGTGGGAGGACTGCTTCAGGCCAGGAGTTCAAAACCAGCCTGGTCAATATAGTGAGACCCTGTCTCTACAAAGGAAAAATTTAACAATGAGCCAGGCATGCTGGTGTGCACCTGTAGTCCCAGCTACTTGGGAGGCTGAGTTGGGAGGACTGCTTGAGCCCAGGAGTCTGAGGCTGTAGTGAGTCATTATTGTGCCACTGCACTCTAAGCTTGGGCAACAGAGTTAGACCCTATCTTGAAAAATAAAACAAAACCAAAACACTCCCCCATACTATATTTAGGAACTTTTTTTTTTTTTTTGGAGACAGAGTTTTGTTCTTGTTGTCCAGGCTGGAGTGCAATGGTGCGATCTTGGCTCACTGCAATCTCTGCCTCCCAGGTTCAAGCAATTCTCCTGCCTCAGCCTCCCGAGTAGCTGGGATTACAGGCATGCGCCATAATGCCTGGCTGATTTTGTATTTTTTTAGTAGAGACGGGGTTTCTCCATGTTGGACAGGCTGGTCAGGAACTCCCGACCTCAGGTGATTCGCCCGCCTCAGCCTCCCAAAGTGCTGGGATTACAGGTGTGAGCCACTGCACCCTGCCGGCAGGAACTTCTTACTTTTTAACAGAGATTCAAGGCATTTAAAGAAACAATTACTAATTACCATAAAATACCAAAGTAAAGACCATTTAATGTGTTCAGCAATTCATTTAAGAGCCTTTAAGAGAGCTTGTCAACATACCATCTGCTTCGCTATCTGCATCAGTCACATCTCCTAGTTTAGGATGGAATGGCTGCAAATTATGCCTCTGAGGCTGAGTTACAATCTTCGATGGAACACAGGCCACGAGGTTGCTACTGAGAGAAGCTGGTGGCAGTCTAGAGAGGCTGTTATGCATCATCTTTGACCTCTGCACTGCCACACTATAATCTGGAGGTTTTAGGTGTGTGTGGGGTCCTTCCTTTAGGTCCGCTAAAGAAATCCCCAAATATCCTGGAGGAGTGGGAGGTGGCTCCCTATACCTATCGTCCTTCTTGGGTGAGGTGACACAGTACACTGGCATGAAAAATAAGCAATGAAAATGTTAATGAAAAAGAAATGGAAAAAAAAAGAAACCACCCCACAAACTTATTACAATGACAAAATACAACTTAAAAATAGACAAAATGAATAAACTTGAATGATGGCAGATCAAAAACATTTTTTAAAAGTTTAATAAACAAACCTCTTTTTAAAATACATAAACAACTATATTAAGTCCTGTAAACATTAAATAGAACGAGAGAGTTGAAGGAGATGACACTGATGACAAGCTTCCTTCTGCAATTCAGCCCCCATATCACAGAAGTACATGACAACTCCTGAAGTCACACCAGCCCTAAAGATATCAGAAACATTTAAAAGTTCACCCTACACACCGATTCTCTGTAAACTGGGAGACTTTACATAGAAATGACATTTGGGCCATCTGTTTAAGGGCTGTTTCACCTTCTCTCTGAGACATGAACCAATGTTTTCTGGCACTCCTGGGCAGATTAGTTCTCAGTCCTAGCATATAAACTTTAACTTTGCTGGTACGGAGGAACTAATTCCTTCAAGAACTTTACTTCTGGCCAGGTGCGGTGGTTCACGCCTGTAATCCCAGCACTTTGGAGGCCGAAGTGGGTGGATCACCTGAGGTGAGAAGTTTGAGACCAGCCTGGCCAACATGAAGCCCCATCTCTACTAAAAATAAAAAAATTAGCTGGGCATGGTGGCAGGCACCTGTAATCCCAGCTACTTGGGAGGCTGAGAGAGGAGAATTGCTTGAACCTGGCAGGCGAAGGTTGCAGTGAGCCGAGGTCATGCCACTGCACTCCAGCCTGGGCAATACAGCAAGAGTCCATCTCAAAAAAAAAAAAAAAAGTTGGAAAAAAATGAATGAGCTAAAAACCCAACCTATAATGCAATTTGACAAGTAACTATAAAATCAGCACATTTCACCTTCACATTTTTAGTAGTTAAATGCGACACCATGACTGTTGCATAAATTTAACAGTTGATTATGATATTAATTCAAAGTAGAGTCATTCCATATAAGTAGAAAAGCAGTTTTATATCCACGTATTTATATAGTTTAGGAAAGAAATTTTTAAAAAGTATTTGATGGCCAAATACTAAAAAAAAAAGTTTACTAAGAAAGCTTGGAATGGAATTCACAAACAGGAGTTGGCACACTCATGATGTACACCAAGAGAGTATACTGAAAAATGTTCTGGACTTCCTGATTGCATTTTCTCTCACTGTTACGACCTAAAATCAATAGCAGATTCAATGTTTCTACCACGTATGCATACCAATTGTGGTCCAAACAATTTATGAGGTGATAAAGAGAATAATCCCTTTACTACTATTGCACACTAATGCGATGATATTCCTCAATAAAACCAAAAAGAACTTAAAAACAAAAGACAAACAAACTTGTCCCTCTAATTAAATACCTTCACATCAGACTTTTCATTTTAATGGGGTTGAATAGCTGCTCCAAAGTCTTTGAGAAACCATGAATTTTTGGGAAATAACTTGTTTGTTTGTGAAGGAAAGAAAGGTTGTTAGAGAATGAATTTTTGCGACGATAAAATCCAGGGCCAAGATATCCCAATGCCATTTTTTGACTACTTAATCTCTAAATGCCACAGACAACAAAAACACAACTTACCAATCAAGCCCTTTTCTGTACTTGAAGTGACAGTTTTATAAACTGGGTCAGTGGCATCCTTGGGGTCCAAGCCTTCAGATGACTCAGCTGGGGTGCTCTCCAATACTCTCTGTTTAACTGTCCCATAGTTTGGTTCATACGTGTCAGACAGAGAACTGGAGGAGGTCCAACTCTTTCTCTCTAGGCTTCCTTTACACTGCCCACAAGTTCTAGAGCAGCTTTTAGAACAGGAATAGGGCTCAGAGTCAGTGGGTTCAACTTCAGCAATGGGGTCATCCAAATGGGTATGTCTGTAAGAGTTCAAAAAATCCCAGCTTTTTGGGTTTGGAAGGCTTTGGAAGTTGTCATGGGAGCTGCTTGAACACGAAGTCCAACTTCCACGACCACTGTCAGCTGCTTCTATAATGATATGCTCTTGAGAAATCTCTTCATTGCTCACAGACGATGAGACAGCTAAACACTTGATTAGAGATGGCTTCAAGAGTGTCCACCTAAAATTGGAGATAACGTACAATTAGAAGGCTTGCCAGAAAAACTATCTTCTCTCTGTTTCAAGTTATTATTGCCTGTGAGAAACTACAGAGCACGTACCACAAGTGTTCATGCCAAATAACATCGTGAGGAAAACAATATTATCATCATTCATCACTATATTCCTTGTAAGTATTTAGTTAACACTCAGAAGACACAGTAAAGAAACTCTAATGCTTAGCAAAATTTCCTTAGAATTTTTCTTTTTAAATTTTAAAATGTTAGATATTTTTTTTTTTTTCGAGACAGGGTGTCACTCTGTTGCCCAGACCAGAGTGCAGTGGTTATTTACAGGCACGATCATGATGCACTGCAGCTTTTAACTCCTGGGCTCAAGTGATCCTCCCGCCTCAGCCTCCCCAGCAGCTGGGATGGACCAGAGGTATGCCTGGCAAGTATTTTTCTTGAACTGATTTTAAATGAAAATGTAAAGATGAGAGTTGAAATGAATAAGGTTAAGTATACATATTCATTTTTGGTCATCACAATATTAGACTACTGCGTCCATGCATACAGAATTAAGAGTTCCCAACTTGAAGAATCATGTTTTATTTTTCAACGTACCTCTGAGGTTAGCCCAGTACAGTGCCAAGTAAACAGCAACTTCCCCAATTACCCATGAAATGAATAATTTATAGCAGGGGTCCCCAAACTAAAGCTCATGGGCCAAATTTAGCCAACAGCCTATTTTTGTATGGTCTGGAGCAAAGAATAGTTCTGTTTTTTAACCTTTTAAAAGGTTAAAAAAGAAAAGAAAACAAAACCAAACCAGAAGAATTTGTGACAGAGACTATATGTAGATTGCAGAGGCGAAAATATTTACTACCCAGCCCTTCACAAAAAAAAGTTTGTAAACCCCTCATTTACAGTATAGTGCAGGGGGTAGCAAACTACAGCCCAGGGCCAAATCTGGTGGTCTCTTTGCTCGTTTTTGTAAATAAAGTTTTGGCTGGGCGTGGTGGCTCACGCCTGTAATCCCAGCACTTTGGGAGGCCGAGGCGGGCGGATCACGAGGTCAGGAGATCGAGACCATCCTGGCTAACATGGTGAAACCCTGTCTCTACTAAAAATACAAAAAATTAGCCGGGCGTGGTGGTGGGCGCCTGTAGTCCCAGCTACTCGGGAGGCTGAGGCAGGAGAACAGCGTGAACCCAGGAGGCGGAGCTTGCAGTGAGCCGAGATCGCGCCAGTGCACTCCAGCCTGGGCAACAAGAGTGACACTCTGTCTCACAGAGCGAGACTCCGCCTTAAAAAAAAAAAAAAGTTTTACTGGGACACAGTCATGCCATTTGTTTATGTGTTGTCTATGGCTATTCTGGTGTAATAGCAGAGTAGTTGTGACAGAGGCCTTATGGCCTGTGAAGTCTAAAATGTTTACTATGTAACTTTTATAGAAAACATTTGCTGACCTCTGGTGTAGAGATCCTAGTTTAGAAATCTTTATAAATGTGGTAATAATTTATCTTAAATTTTTCATATTAAAGTAGACCAGATTTCACAATATTTATCAGTTAGAATAAACTTTCTCAAAGATTTCCACGTTGCTTGATTCTAAATAGAAATTTAGAGTTGATTTTTTTTTTTAATTAACCTTTGCTAGGTGATTATTCTTACTCCCCAAATTACACTTTCAGAGGACAGAGATCAAGGGCTAGTCCTACTCTCCCAACCTGTCTACAATGTGCACAGCACTCGAGGCACTTTCCAAAACACAACCTTTTTGATTAACCTATAGCCAGAATTTCAAAAATTATCTCCCCTATATAAGTAGCAGATGCACTTTGAGTTCTGACTGGAAAGATACATAATGATAAAAAGTTACTTGAATTTAGTAACACTTTAAAAATGAACACCCATACATCTTTCAACATAGTGCTTATTTACATATTCAGAATAGAGAATATGTGCTTGGCCCACATATTCTTTTATGGATAACTCTGCAATTACCCCATGGGAGGTCCAAGGTCAAGGTGGGGAGCACTCCTTGCAGTGGCCACTTGGCTTGGGTTTTGTGTTATGAACACAGACAATGATGCTTACCCAGGGCCATGTTGACTATGATCTCCTATCCCTGAAGCGTGCTCTGTCTTTTCCAATGCCCCAGTGGATTCAGGGACTGCCAGGGCCTGAGAGGAACACCGTTCATCCTGTAGAGCTGCAGACATGGAGTCAACAGAACAATTGCTCACGATGCTGGACCGTGAAGAAATCTCACTATGGCTGGAGTCAGACAAGTTGTCAGATTTAGCTGATGGAATAAGTGTGTAACCTGAACAAGAAAAGAGCACTGATCAAACTACAAAAAAAGGGAACATATGGTGGGGGTAGTAGGGGAAAGGATGAAAAAAAAAAACCCCACAAAAATAACAGAAGACAAAGTAGAAGCAATTTTAGTTTCCATCTATGTAGATATAATGGTGCCAATTTTCTCCACACATTCCCCTACATAACCATTTGCCTACTATCCACACCACACCAATACAACTACACATTCAAGAAAAAGACAGTCAAAGTCCAGTGTTACTCAGAAAACTAGTTTAAAGGTATATCTTTCTCAGGCTCTCCCACAGCTATAATCATTTAATAAAATAAGAAGATTACAAATATTAATAAGTACATGTCTTTAGGGTTTCTCAACTTCTTTTTAACCCAACGCTCCTTCCTTTGATTAATATGAATATTTCTTGACCTGATCTGAATCCCAAATACCATCTTGAAGTAAGGGTAGGGGTGGGAGTCCAGGACTCAAGGGAAAGAACTACATTTTTGCTTTATCAAACTATATATACTTACCCCATATATTCTGCATATCCCACCTAAGAAGTCTTGTCTTGAGTTGAGAGTCACTGTTTTAGATTATTTTTATTTTTTAGACACAGGGTCCTGCTCTGTTGCCAGGCTATAGTGCAATGGCACGATCATAGCTCACTGCAGCTTCGAACTCCTGGGCTCAAGTGGTCCTCTTGCCTCAGCCCCAAGTAGCTGGGACTACGGTCTGCACCACCACACCCAGTTATTTTTAAACTTTTTGCAGAAATGAGGTCTCATTATGTTGCCGAGGCTGGTCTTCAACTCCTGGCCTCAAGCGATCCTCCCGCCTCAGCCTACCAAATTGCTGGGATTACAGGTATGAGCCACCATGCCCAGCCTGTTTCAGTTTTTTAAATTGTTTTAGGTTTAAACTTAGTGTCATACTTAGTTTCCTTTTTCTTCACCAACCTTGCAGAATATTAAACAGCTGAGTGGATACATGTTTAATAATGTGTTATAGAAAAAAACAGCATCTACATGTTCTATGTTGTTCTGTGACTTACTGCACAGCAGACAACTAGAGAGATGTTCTTCTGTATTCTAGGGACGCACTGAGGTGAAGGACCCAAAAACAAATCTGCAACAGAATGGCTAATGTACATAATAATCTATTTTGATAACTGGAAGAAACCAAATTTTTGTTTAGAAATAAAAGAAAAAGAAAATGCCCTAGTAATCCCAACAAGGGACGGGTCTCAAAGAAGTAAAAAATATCTTCTTGCTCACAGAGGAAAGTAGGGTTTAGTAGATATGTGACCTTTGGACCAATACCTAGAAATGTCATTAGGAAGAATTACAGGCTTTGGGTATGTTACTGGAATTCTCAGGGCCTCATCTTCATGCAGAAAGAGGATGACAACATCCTTAGTTCCAAGTCTTTCTCTGTTTATGGATCTTGGAGTTATTCACATATAACTCAAGTCATTTAAGGAATAATTTGTTGCACAGTAATCTTATTAAGTCGTTTCGTTAACTATTTCAAAGAGAAAAAGGCCTAGAAAATGTGTGATTTATATTTGGCCTACGTGGACAGGAACAGGGTAAGCCAAGACAAGCCAGTCTTCTGACGTCTATCATACATCTCTGAACTTGGGATCACTGCTATTTGTCAATGTCCATGAGCTGATTAGTCAATTTTTAAGAGGACCAAGAAAGTGGATGTAATAAGTAAATTAAAAATAAATAAAAACCTTCTTCTTGAAAAGAAAAAGTCATTGCTCTACACAATAATCTTGCTTCATTGTTTAAAAAATAATTTCATTCTTATGTCTATTTGATCAGTATTTCTCAAATATAATAATACTAAGAACCACCTGGCAAGCCAATTAAAATAAACATTCCAGATCCCATTTCTGGCAATTCAAGTTTATGAAGTCTGGGGTGGGACACAGTAATTGCATTTTTTAACAAGTTTCCCAGATGATTCTGATATTGCTATGTTAGACTAGTCCCTTCTCCCCCAATCAAAGATACGTAAAAAGTAGAAGATAAAAAAGCCTCCTCTACATATTTCACTCACAGATCCAGCTAACAGTAGGAAATAAAGTCAACTACAGAAAACAAGAGTATAAAATTTACTAACTCAATACATCAGTAAAATAACTTATGTACAAATGAGGCATTTTCAAGTGTTTATAAATAGTATTTTACTAAGTTGTCTGCCTAAGCTTTGACAAATGGTTTAATTTAAGCCATGTATACATTAATAACTGAAAACAAACTTAACACTAAAATTAAATAAGGAACTTCATCAGAGTGTCTTCCTCCTTTTAGACTTGAATCGCGTATAGAAGCAGTTTAAAGTGTTACTGTTGCCTTGGCTATTTGAATTGAAGATGGCACTCCCTTTCTCATCTTTGATGTTGCTTCCAACATCCTTCACTTTCTCACAGCTTTCTGTAGCTTGATTGTGATCTGTGTCCTCTTTTTGGCTGTTGACTAGTCTCTCCCTTGAAAGCATTCTTTCCCTAAGTCTTCTAAACGGGGATGTCATTCTTTTTCTGGTTGTGTTCTCACAACTTGTCCTGTCTCTATTCTCCTCAGTGGCCTTCTCAGTACTGTCTGTTCTTTTGGCTGTGCTCCTGGTAATCTGAAGGATTTTCTTTTGCAAGTAAGCCCCACCTATTCCGGGGCAGCTCTGGCCACTGATCTTGCTGCTGTGATCAGATATGATACTGCCAACTGGAGGGAGAGATGCAAAAACCCTGACATGGTCAATCACAATTAGCCTTGTTTACATAATATTTCACTATTTAAAAATTCTAACATCTTGATAATATCTGAAAAATTGAAATCTAGCAACATATTTTTTAATGCATGGAAAAAAATCTACTTATATATAAAACATATACACATCAGTTATTGCAAGACAGAATGCAGGAGAAAGATTACCTTTATCAGCACAAGCTGGTGATAAAAATAAAAACAAAAACAAAAACAAAAAAACTGTTGAAAGGAAGCCAAGCTGGTAAAATCATAAGGAAAAATATGACAAAAATATCAGGTAACTAGAATTATTTCTGTAAAGTAACTATGTAGGTCTAGAATTGTAAGGTAGATTTTACTATGAAGAAGCTTAGTAAAAACCAAATAAGACATATAAATAGTACATACAATAGGTATATTTATAACGTTCATTTTCTGATCCTGTTGTAGATCCAAGGTGGAGAGTGCTTTTCTTAAACACTAGGGTAGATAATGTTTAAGGTCTTTTGACTTCTTTTTTAAAGTTCTTGTTTAAACTATCCTCATGCAAAACATGAAGACAGGTTTATTTTCTTAATCATAAGAAAACAAAGAACAGATCTCCAAGTTTAATAAGAACCAGGAACAGATCCTAATAATTTACTCTGAGCATAATGACAGTTTTGTTCAATCATAGGTTACTGGCAAAAACCTGTCTACAAAAATAGAAGGATCATACTTGGTTGGGGTTTTGATAGTACACATGCAAGAACAAGCTGAAACAGTTTTGAAGAGAAGAATTTCTTCAGGCTTCTAAGAATTCTAAACATTACTACGAGAAGCTCACAAACCTATAAACATGGTGTTCAATTGTTGGCTACAATTTTCTCACAAAGGGAGAAAATACTTCTCTATTCGAGTGTTGAGTGTAGATTTTGTTGGGAATAAGAGCAATGGAGGAATTCCTGTTTCTAATACCACTTTCCAGAAGTCACATTCAGGCATAAAATACCAAATCAGCTATAATGGGATGGACCACTGAGCAGCCTCTAACAGGGGTAAGGAGTGTAAAGGTGTTCCTGAACGAGCATTAGGAGCATATGGATACTGTTCATTTGGACCATCTGTCTGACTGGAGGCACTGCGGCTTATCCTACATCGCAAGATCTGGTAAGGGGCGCATTGGATAGGACCATACAGACAAGGAAAGTGATGACATAGGTCTGTGTGCCACACAAAATTACATATGAGCTACAACAGGATCAAAATCTGTGTTTTATAAATACACCTACTATACAAACTGTTTTTATCTCCTGTTTCATTTTTATTAAGCTTTCTTTAGTAAAATCTGAATGAAAAAAATCTAACCAGTCTCAGCTATGTGAGGATGAAAAAAGCAAGTGAGTAATGGAGCTATGGTGTCCTGAGGTGGCCGCAGAGAAAGAAAAGAGACATTCCAATTCACTAAACACTTACCACACATGAGGCTTTATAAATATTATTTCATTTAAACCACATAAGAGGCTGTTAAAATAGATGGTCTTTTTCTTTTCCTCTTTTTTTTTTGAGATGGAGTTTTGCTCTTGTCACCCAGGTTAGGCAACAATTCTGCATCCAATTCTTTCTTCGTTTCCATAGCCACCAAACTAGTTGGGGTGCAATAGCATGATCTTGGCTCACTGCAACCTCCGCCTCCTTGGTTCAAGTGATTCTCCTGCCTCGGCCTCCTGAGTAGCTGGGACTACAGGCATGTGCCACTACCCCTGGCTAATTTTTTTGTATTTTTAATAGAGATGGGTTTCACCATCTTGGCCAGGCTAGTGTTGAACTCCTGACCTCAGGCGATCCGCCTGCTTTGGCCTAGATGGTCTTTTTCCCATCTTACAGAGAGGAAACCTGACCGTATAAATAAATTACTTGTAGTAACACAGCTACAGTGGAGGACAGAATCACGGTTCAAACTCAGGTCTGACATCACTGTACATAATTGCCACATAGGTGGCAAAAATAAGAAAGAGCTCTGCAGAGTGAGATGAAACTTAGAGCCTGGAAGCTGAAGCAAGCTCTGGAAGCTTCTCTCTCCTGTTAGAATTATTATAATAAGCTTGTCTTCCCTCTGACCATGTACCATCCTCTGGTGTGATTATTTAAATATGTAATTCTTTTACATCTGTGAAGAAGATGCCAGGACTAAATCCCCTTTCTTTCCAGGGTACACACAGAGTGTGAAGGGTCAATATAAGAAATACACACCATATTTAGAATGCTACATGTGCAGCTAACATGAAATGGCATCTGCTGCACACTGCCCAGGCTAGCCAAGAAAAGAAATGCTCCAGTCTGAATTATGAAAACACGTAAATGAACAAGAATTTCAGTTTTTTACCTCATGAGATTCTGTATAAGTAAAAAATCCACAAGAGTACAGGTTATTTTAAATCCTAATTTTAAAAAAGGTAATACTCTGTTACTAAAAAAGGAAAAGCATATTTGTTTTCCTAATTTTTGTTTTCCTAAATCTTATAGTTGGTTAAAAACAGTTTCTTTCTTTTTTTTGAGACAGGGTCTTGCTGTGTTGCCCAGGTTGAAGTACAGTGGCATGATCACAGCTCACTGCAACCTCTGCCTCCCAGGCTCAAGCGATCCTCTCACCTCAGTCTCCCGGGTAGCTGGGACTACAGGCACACCACCATGCCTAAGTTTTAAATTGTTTGTAGAGTTGGGGTCTCATCATGTTGCCCTGGCTGGTCTCCAACTCCTGGGCTCAAGTGATCCACCCGCCTCAGCTTCCCAAAATGCTGGTATTATAAGCATGAGCCACTGTGCCTGGCCTAAAAAGAATCTCTTACAGAAACTTTTACTTGTAAACACTTCATAGAAATGTCCAAATATAGGAAACTGGAATGATAACACCAAGAATTTGCACCAAAACTATGGCTTCTGCCTTTATTCTTATCCATGCTTGCTGTCTGTTGAAGTTTAGGACCACACTTTGAATACTGGAGTCCTAGTTACATGACACATAATATCTAAAAAGCATCTGAATAATGCAATACAAAACATCAAAGTTCAAAAAGCATTAGGAGTTATGCTTTTCTTAATGATTTATAATTATTGCTATAGATTGAAAAGCAAAATATGTGCTATAAAGTATTGTTTAGTTTAACAAGAACTAGTTTGAAATGTTTTGTCTTACCTTTGTGAGGGGAGCCTTGAGGAGATGCAGGAGGACTAGAATGTAAAGATGACGCCACAGAAATAGTGTCTTCTGTATGCTTCTTACCACTTATTTCTTCAGTTGTTCCTAAAACTTTCTGAGGTAAACTTGTATCTAAAAATAAAACCAAAGATGCAAATAAGCATCGTTTCACAATTAAAATGTCTATAGTTGCCTAAATCACTACATAACTAACACTATGATGCACAATGGCTAGTGTAGTCAACTGAAATGTGTAAATGACAAACAGGGACTAAATGACTGGGTAATGGCATACAGAGATTCTCACCTCTAGGTTATTCATTCAAATTCAGCTGGTCAGCATGGACCAGATTATATTAGTTTGTCTGCACTTTGTGGTATAAGGGAAATCAATTTAACAGTCTGAGTGCTATGCCCCACCTCCCACAATTGACACAGTGATTTGAAATCTTCAAAAAGAAGGCATGGATTCAAACTCTTCCCTCCCCTCTAGAGGTGGCCTCTCCAAGTCGGGGCGACGCATGTGGCAGGGGCAGTGTGGGGATGTTGGCACTGTCACTACCTGTGGTGCATCTGTGCTGTGGGTATACGGGAAGAGGCTGCAGGGCTGCCAGTCCAGCCCTTTTCAAGAGCACTAAATTCACACTACAGGAGAGAAGTAAACAACAGAAAAAATCATGAATGTATAGAAAAATAGTATGCAGCACAGTGGAACGATTCCTTACAGTCCTATCATTACCCTTGTCCAATGTCTGGTCTGTTTAGTGTACCTCAAACTTAGCAATGCTTTCAATATATTGACGTTTTTACATTCATCTTCTCTAAGAAATGTCAGAGAGCTATAGACACTGTTCTTAAAACATAAAGTAAGTGGCCAGGTATGGTGGCTCACGCCTGTAATCCCAGCACTTTGGGAGGCTGAGGTGGGTGGATCACCTGAAGTCAGGAGTTCGAGACCAGCCTGGCCACCATGGTGAAACCCCATCTCTACTAAAAATACAAAAACTAGCCAGGTGTGGTGGCATGCACCTGTAATCCCAGCTACTCAGGAGGCTGAGGCATAAGAATTGCTTGAACCTGGGAAACGGAGGTTTCAGTGAGCCAAGATCGCACCACTGCACTCCAGCCTGGGCGACAGAGGGAGACTCTGTCTCAAAAAAAAAAAAAAAAAAAAAAAAGAAAGAAAGGAAGCTACATAGTATAAGTAATGCTTCCTCTCAAGTGGTGATATTCAAGTAAAAAAACCAGAGCTAACTTTGTCCCTCTCTCACTCCTACCAACAAATTTATCAACTTCACCAATTCTGCACCCAATTCTCTCTTCATTTCCATAGCCACCAAACTAGTCCAGGCCCTGGGCAACTTCCAGTTAACTGTTAGACCAGCTTTCCATCTGAGCTCTCTATCTCCAGTCCTGCTGTGATCCTCACTACAGTCCTTCTCAAACATAATTTGAACCGTAACCTTCTCTTGTTCAAATCTCTTCAATGGCTTCTCAATGTTAACTTTTTCCTTTGGCATGGCACATTGTAATTTCAGCATACCTGTCTTCATTCTCTGCATCTTGGAAGCTGTTTAGTACAGTGGTTAAAGGCAAAGATTTAAAGCCAGTCAGCCTTCCTTTAGCCTCTATGCTTCCTTTGTAGAATGAGGGTAAAATACCACTTATCTTGTGGCATTACTATGAAGACTGATATATAAAATTAGTAAAGCACAATTTGAACCATGCCTGGCACCAGTAAGTGCTCTCCAAGTGTCAGCTTTAATTATTATTGTCTGTCAACACTGCATGCAATTTCCACTCAGCGTCAGCAAAGTGCTTGTAGTTTCTTGCACATACCAAGCTGTTTCCTCAGCCTGAAGCAACTTCTCTGGAACTTTTGCCTAATTATCTTCTTCGTCACCAATCTTTTAGGCTGCTTAGATGTTATTTCCAAAAAGCCTTCTTCTGAAGCCCTATCTTACCTCTGTCTAAGTTAAAAGCTCTTGTTTTGTTCTTTTATATGTTCTGCATATACCCCTGGCATAAGAAGAAGACACATTATATTGAAGTTACCTGTGTGAGTGTCTACATCACCAGACTGAAAATCTGGTCAAGGAGGGGGAATTTCTTATTCAACTTTGTATCTCAAACAATAACAAATTAAATGAACAAAGTTCTACTAAACATATACTACATATAATGTACAGCCTAAGTAATCATGCTAGGAACCAAATCTAATCTAGGTTCTCATCTAAAAGGCTAAAATAGTGATACTGTCAAAACAACAAATAAAAGTAATATGAATAATGACTATATGGCCTAACAGAAAAAAAAAGTGTGGTCTATATTTTATAAAAGTTATATTCTCTTGTTTCCCAACCACGTTTTCAGAAGGGGTCTTTAAAGACAAAAAACAACGTATAGTCATTTTTGGAATAAGCAACTTCATTTCCACAGTTTTTGTAGGTTGCATCTGTATTGGATATTTCATTAAATACACCTCTGAATGCAGTAAGCCCTTGGTACCCAAAATGTATTGCTGTAAATTTTCTATTGATCGACAGATTTCAGTATTATAGGAAATTCAATGTTGGCATTTAAAACACGTATGCTGTCAGCAAACATCTATAGGCAAAATGAAATCAACATTTTTGATTCATAAAGTGACGATTATATTACACAACCTACAACAGCTTATCTCCTGAACATCTGTAATTATTTTTCACTCTAACTCCCCTGGAAATTTCAGGTAAACGGATGTAATATTAATGGTGAATACTCACTCAGTGCAGGGTCTTTTGTTTGTCCCTTCTTCCTGATGGGGTGCAAATTAACAGCTGGCACCTGAAGCACCTGGCTTACTCTGTGGGGTTGATGCAAGTGGGCTTTAGTTGTTTGGCCAGCTGACCTCATAGGCACTGGAGACATTTCAGATGATTTGGCTGATCTTTTCTCACTTAAATTCTTGGTCACTAACAGGAGAGAGTAAGAAATAAGTAACTGCACGTTTTTAGGCAAGGTTATCACCACTGGCAATAATAAATGGTTACTTTAAAACCATCTATTTTTAGCACAAAAGATAAAATAGATTAATTTTTCTTAGCAGGAATTTCAGTTAAGTACTATAAGATGTTATCTCTATTGTTTGGTGAGTCAGATAAAAAATGTTATCTCTAAAACTATTGTAGAATAAGTTGTTAATTTTATCTCCTAAATAAATCTTTTTATTTTTTATTTTTTGAGATGAAGTTTCGCTCTGTCGCCCGGGCTGAAGTGCAATGGTGCAATCTTGGCTTACTGCAACCTCCACCTCCCAGGTTCAATGGAGTCTACTCTCTCAGCCTCCTGAGTAGCTGGGATTACAGGCACCTGCCACAAAACCTGGCTTTTTTTTTTGTTTTTTTTAAGACAGAGCTTTGCTTTTGTTGCCCAGGCTGGAGTGCAATGGTGCAATCTTGGCTCCCAGGTTCAAGTGTTCAAGTGATTCTCCTGCCTCAGCCTCCCGAGTAGCTGGGATTACAGGCATGCACCACCATACCCAGCTAATTCTGTATTTTTAGTAGACAGGGGTTTCTCCATGTTGGTCAGTCTGGTCTCGAACTCCCGACCTCAGGTGATCCACCCACCTCAGCCTCCCAAAGTGCTGGGATTACAGGCGTGAGCCACTGCGCCTGGCCTATTTTTGTATTTTTAGTAGAGATGGAGTTTCACCACGTTGCCCAGGCTGGTCTCGAACTCTTGACCTCAGGTGATCCACATGCCCCAGCTACCCAAAGTGGTGTGATTACAGGTGTGAGCTACCTCATCCAGCCCTAAATAATTCTTGAATCCATGTTAATTAGCTCCATCATCACTCTGCTGAGGGTCAAGTTAACATTCTCTCACCTTTACTACTGAAATACTTTTCTCACTGTATCAATTCTAGCATGCCTTCAAGGCATTCTTCATAGAATAGAAGAGTGACTCTGCCAAAATGAGTATTTGATCATATCATTTCCCTTCTCCTTCTGCACAAACCTTAACTTGCCCCTGCTTTTAGAATGAAGACCCAAATCCTTAAAACAAGGCCTATATGACCCTGCATGATTTAGCATCAGCCTGCTCCCTTGACTTGACTTGCTTACCTTTCCTCTCACCAGTCCTATACTCTCATTAGGCTTTATCTTCTCTGTTCCTTTCATTAGGCTTTAACCTACTTGAGAGTAAGGACTATGCATTTTGTTCGTTATTACATCCTTATGTGCCAGTAACTGACTGAAAACAGATGCTTAATGGGTATTTGTTGAATAAATAAGTGAAATTATCTCAACAGCTGTAACACAAGAAAACCAGAGACAGTGCTTTTATAAATCCATAGGTTTTCTGAATATGAATGTGAGAATAAAAAACTGAGAACCCTTACTTATAAAAGCTGCCTCCTTCATATAAAACCAATACTATAGTCCAAGGGGAAGACATTCTTCCATCAGGGAGTACTTTTAATCCTTAGGTTATCCAGGGTGGTTTCAATGCAGGTGCAGCCTCAGTACTTCATGAAGTATTTGTTTTAAACATCAAGATAAAAGCAAAAATAGATGTCTAAACTGTCTCAACACAGCTATAATAGCTATTATGCTTTTATTAAGACAGACTAGACAATATTTGGGGTGATAAGAATCAGAGAATGTCTTAGAAAGTTCAAATACAGGGACCCCAAGAGAAAATTGCAATGGCTCACCAACTAATTGAATCCAAGAGGTTATCATCTTTGGTTAGAGCCATGAAATACTTTCATCCTTCTCTCATTGATTGGTAAATGCTAATCAATGACATCTTATTTTAATAATTGCTACAGTACAAAGAAAAAAACCTGAGACTACTTCAAAAATAAGTTTACAGATGAATGACAAAAACCACATATATTCTAATTAATTGGGAAGAATCAAATTCTATAATGCTCAGAAATCAACTATTGTTTGGGCTTCGGATAGTGACTATTTAAACATTTAAAAATCAATTATGCATTATAAAGATGCTCAAACCAAATTAAAGGAACATGCATTTAACTAAATGTTCAAATCCAGTTTAAGAAAGAAAGGCCTAAAGATTTTCTCATTTTATTAAATATGTAGCATGGGACATCATTTAGTGCTATGAGAAAAGACAGACACAAGTCTGGGGTGGGTGTAAGAAGAGGAAGCCATGAGGGTGTATATAAACTGTGTTTCATAACCATAAGATGATTAAGTCTACATCAAATTACCTGGGAAAAAATAACTTTGATGATGACTCAAAGCAGGGCCAGAAAGCTTTAATAAATATGTACATGGCTTTGAACTTTAAAGCATGAATAAATGTTAAAGGTTCTATATACTCTTTCAGCTTTTACCTTTAACATGTACCATTTAACATGTGGCAGCCAGAATGTAGAAAGCTCTCAATAACTGTTAGCTTTTAAAAATGTCTTTTTCCAAATTTAATAACTTCGACGTACAAAGAATCACAGAAATAAAATGTACTCCCAACCCTTGCCCAAGTTTTACATTTGAGAAAACAGGGACTAAAGATGAAGAAAACCTTACTCAAATGTAATAAATGAAACTCAAATTCTGCCTCTATCCTTTCGTAGGTATTCTTTCCATCATACTCCAAATCTTTTCTTATATGCAGAAGCATTCAAGATATTGTTTTGATTATAGCACTTATTAAAAGGCTCCTTACCCTTATTTAAAAATTGTCAAAACTGAATTTTTAAAAATCAGTATTTGGTTCTATTTCCACTTCCTGTTTTCTATTCTTTCTTTTGACATACTTTAAAAAATTACTATGCAAATACCATATCATTTATCAATCTTAGGGTCAATCCATGATGACTACTACCCCTTGTCAACTAGGAACTTTGAAATAAAATTCTATTTCAATTTTTATGGGCAAATTTAACTCACTCTCTGTGTGTGTGTGTGTGTGTGTGTGTATTTATTTTTTAGAGACTGAGTCTCACTTTGTAAATTTAACCCACTGCGTGTGTCTGTGTGTGCGCGCGTATTTATTTTTGAGAGACTGAGTCTCACTTTGTTGCCCAGGGTGGAGAGCACTGGCATGGTCCTAGCTCACTGCAGCTTCAAACTCTTGGGCTCAAGTGACCTGCCTGCCTCAGCCTCCCAAGTTGCTAGCACTACCACTTGGATAATTTTAATTTTTTTTTGTAGAGATGGGGTCTCTTTGAGTTGCCAAGGCTGGCCTCAAGTGATCCTCCTGCCTAGGTTTCTAGGTGTGACCCACCACGCCTGGCCTTAACCTACAATTTAAGATGTACAATTATTTTGTTATAACAGTATATATTTCATTATCTTTGATTTCTGCTCTTAGAATTCATAATTTCCTTGATCCAAATATATATGCATTCTCTTGCTTGTATTTAATTAAAAAAAATCCATATTGAGAACACGATCTTTTCCATCACATTTTCTAGAGATTACTAATATTGGAATGTGTCTGATTTTTTTTTGTTTTACCTTACTACTGGCACCTGTAAGCTACCTATTATCACTGGTGTTTTAATCAAATTTCTTATATTTTCTAGTTGGTAAATATTATCCATGAAATAAAAAGAGGTAAAAATTCCACTTATGTTTACTCTTTAGGGATGAATATAAAAATGTTCTCAAACAGAAAGCCTCCTCTATAATGATCCAGTTTTTAAAAGAATTAAAAAGCTTTTTAAAGATCTACTTATCCCTCTATTTTTTGGATAGTGTAGCCATCAGGAATGGATGGGATTCAGTCTGTGATTAATTGGATCACATGATGCTTAAGGTATGCCAGCAATCTTTTGTGAGTGAAAGTTAATTTTCTTGGGACTTAGGTATAATTCTAGAGAAATAAGTTTTTATTTTGTTGTGCTCTTTAGCGTCACATAAATGAAAACTTGTACTCACAGGTACCATATGCAGGCTCCCACTGTAATGACATCATCTGGAACTTCTCCTCATCTGTCTCTACATCGAGACTGGAAAGATACTGCTTCACCTTCCTTGCCATTTGGGCATCCTCATATAGCTTCTTGGCATTAAGCAGAGAGCTGCGGCGTGCCCTTTTTTTGTGAGCACCTCCCTGAACATCCAGCATGTTTGAATTTGTGCTTCCTTGACTCAGTGACCTATAAGAAGATGAAAATCACAATAAGGGGCTATAGAGATGAGAACTAAGCATAGCAGATTGAAGATTAAAAGATTTTGTTCTGTTAATGCTATTGCATGCTGATGTAAATGAGTTAAAAGATGAAGAGCATTAATGCAAAGTAATTTGGCACATATGGTGACGTTCTGAATTAAGAACAGGATTTGGCAAAGTACAGAATTCAAAAGAATAGGATAACAATGGCCCCCTGAGTGGCATATTCCATCAGGCCTGTGTTTGTGCCTATGCAACCTATGGCACAACAGTAACAAGAAAAAGCATTCCTCTGGTCCTGGAGGCCACCCACGCTTTGAAGATATGGCAAGAGTCTGGACCACGACAAGTCCATCCTCAGCCGAATCTCTGAACCAGGGTTCTTTAGCAATGAGGGTTCTAAAGTAGTTTTGCTTGTTGTTCTGCTTTGGACATGCTATTGCCACTACCATTATAGCAGGCCCACTGTGAGCATGTTAACCAATTTTACTAGTAACCATTATTTTGGCCAAAACTCAAACAGAACTACCAATAACACGTTAGCTGAAAATTTACAGCATTTATATGCAATTCAATACAGTCGGACATCAGAATGCAGTAAAAACTCAATGCTTCCCTCAAATATGGAATGGTTAGGCAATATTTGGGTTCTAGAACTGAGGATCTGGGACATCACTTTTGTAATGCCTGTGAATGTGACAGAATTGCAAGCTGGGTGGAAATAACCACAATTCAAACAAACTACAGCTTCACCCGACTCTACTCTTTTTGGCAAACATCCTACAACGACTGCACATCTAGAACCAATGGAAAACAGCAACTGCAATGATGTTTGTCCTTTCTAACAAGGCTAACAAATACAAAATTCTTATATAATTTTTATTTAGATGGTATTTTATTTTGCCATTCCAAAATAATAAGGTTATCTATGGATTTTCTAAATTAAGCTCCATTTTTATATAAAAGTATTCTAAATACAAAGACCACAGTGCTCATATATCTACTTTAAAATAGACACTAAAATCCTAATGCTTTCATTGTAAATTAAGTGAAATATAGTTGAAAAAGTGTTATGGCATTTTTTTCTTTCACATTTTAAGATCTTTCCAATAGGGGTATATCTTACACTGAATGGCAACTTTCAATTGCTATTGGCCAGGCAGAAACTATGACAAGACATTATTTACATCTGCAGAGACCTCAAAACTTGCAGAATGGCTTGAAAGAAAATCCAAAGCCATTAGTGAATTAGTCTTTTAACCTCCAGGGACCAAATGATTATAAGGAAGTAGTAAATCTGACAAGTTCAAGAACATTCCCAAAGCAAGTGACAAGAGAAAACTAATTCTAATTATTTCCAAAGCTAGCCTGAGAGCCCAGCACCAGCAGCTTTTGGTTCTTTTGTGGTTTTTCAAAGAAATGGTGCATTACCAACACACTGGATGGCACAGAGGGCAATACTGTATGGGGAAGGAGGGTTCTGGAAAACAAAATCCAGAAGCTAATGACTCTAAAAGAAAACGTTTCAGAAGATTCATATTTTGAATATAAAGAAATTTTAGGAAAACCTAAACCAATTTACTTTGCTTATATTTTCCTTTTTATGTGAATAAAAATATTGATTTTTAAAAATTCAGTTTTCACACTGTGATAAAAATCCATAGCCAAGTCCATAAGAGCTCCTTCAATAAGCATAAAGTAGAAATTCTCAGTGGTAACAGGATACTGCAGTGATTTTCCTTAGTAGTAGATAAAATAACAATATGTCCAACAATTGACGTTGTCTTGAATTCAAAGAAATGCAGTAAAATCAAGTTGCAGCTATTTAGGAGCAAATTTTAACACAAATATTTAATGATTTTTATCTTAGTTAATATAAAAAAGTAGGTGTTGACAAATCTAGGAGACACAAAATTCTAACAAATAAAAACACTGTGATAAACGTCGATAAAATGTTTTCTAAACTACTTTGAAAACAGAAAATTGCTGATATAAAATAAATATACCTAATGTTTGTAAGCATCATACAGTGTAACCCTAAAGCTGAATGAACGTGAAACATGTTAACATAAGTCATTCAAACACACCCAATGCCCACTAAAAGATATTGTCCAAGTATTCTTCTTTATAATAGTAATGCCAGGTATCAATTTCTATTTTCAGTGAGAAGAGCCAAAAGAGACCAAGACATAAATTTGCGATCCAGAAGAAAACACATGGGAAACACACAGAGAAGGGAGAAAGAAAATAGAAGGAAAGTCAAGTTCACCAAGCATTAACAGAAAATAAGACCACAAATGAGGCAAGACTCGAATAAAGAAGGTGGCTCACAAAAAATTCTTCTTACATGTAATAAAAGCTTCTAACTTCATGGTTCACTACAAGTCTTAAAATAACAAAATTCTTCTTATGCAATCCCTTCATCCACAAAAGTCATCTCTTTCTTCATCTAAAAATGAAAGGACTAGATAGATGATATATAAGATCTTTAACATTCTATGATTCTAAATAGACACTTAGCTATGTAGAAGTAGAGACCTAACTCTATAACAAATAGTGTCAGTTGCTGATTCTATCACAACTTTAAAGATAAGGGAATCTTCAATTAAAGCTGGTAAAAATTTCAAATAAAATTCAGTCAATGCTACAAGTAAGTGGCATTAGTGGGTCTGAGGAAATAAAATCATCTTCTAGTTCAATTTTATAGTACAGCTTGGATAAGGGCTGCCTCTTTTTAGAAAACTGATGGAAAATGCAACCTTCACAAACATCTTTCATTCATTTTTATATATTTATATGATATATTTACTTTTATAAAATGTGGCATTTGAATAAAAGAAAGTGGTGTGAACTCTAGAACTAGACTACCTAGTTTTGGATCCACCATTAATGAACTAAAACTTTAGGCAACTCAACCTTTCCCATCCATACTATGGAAAGAAAAGTATCTCCTTTATAGGGTAGTAGTAGAATTAAGTAAGATAATTCGTTTAGAGTGCTTAGAACAATGTATGGCACATAGCAAGCACACAACAAATATTCACTATCATTATCATCATCTAACTGACCTAGCTAAATCAAAATCTAAAAAGGACTTATAGGGCATCAATAGTGGAAAAATAAAGGAAAAATAGCTAGTTCTATCACTACTTTCACCTTGTTAGCAGAAGGCATTTGTCAGGAATGTAGGCTGACAGGGTTAATAGAATTCATGCTATTTTATGTGCGTGCATTAATGAAAAGGATGCAATATATGTTAAGAGTCGCACAACCTTCATTCCAGTTGCGTTCATCTCTACACTTACCCCAGACTCCGCCACCTCTTCTTCCTGTAAGCAAGAGCCACAAACATTGAAGCATGTGTTTGAATAGGAAAGCACAGAAAAAAGACAACAGTTGAGAGTCAGAGAAACTATGCAGACAGAAAAGAACAGAAACATTTTATCAGGAAAAAATTACAGCTTAACAGTAAAATGACTTTAAATGGAAGGCAGGAGGGTAAGATGAGTATATACTGAAGGTCAAAAAAGCTCCAAAATACTTTATAAAAATATGCTTTAGACCAATTATATTTTAAATACCTAATTCATCAGGAAGCTTATATAAATAAGAAGCTTAAGGAAAAACATTTACTTACTATAATATAAATTTTGAATTCAAAGTTTTTAAGGGAAAAGACCTTAAAGGAATAGAATTTCTGAACATCTTGCTGGCAAGATTTTTGGGCCACTCATTTAAGTGACAGAATGAAATTACAAGGGACATAAAAACATAAAATTTCATTTTTAAGTGCAGAAATTTCTGACAAGATGTCTTGTAAGAAATGTTGACCAGCAAATCCAACTTAAAATGTAAGAAAAAACATATCATTAAAATCTTCATAATACTATATATCTTTACATTCCTGTTTGATTGACTAAAGATTCTATTTTTTAAGTCTGCAAATTGATTACTGTTAAAAGGGGTTACTTTGTCCAAACTAGATACTCATACACCACCAAAATGGACATTGTTTGCTTAAAGAAAGGTATTACATTTTAGCACTGGCTGACAAAACTGATTCAGGAAAAATTCAGTCCAATCTTTAAAAAAGATGTTTTTTATTTTCCCCCAATACCTTATTGTATTCAATCCAGGCCATTCCCAAGAAAACAGCCATGTTTATTAATTTCCTCATCAGTTTTTCTCCTTTGCTCATTACTGAAGTATGGCTAGTACTTAGTATATTATAAACTGGTCTGGCAGGGTCACAAATTCATCATGTCTTCAGGAATCAGGATGTTAACATGTGTAAGTAAATAGAGGTCCACATAAGCCAATAGAGAGTGTTAGGGTCATTGTACAAGGACATACAACAAAAAACCAAACAAACCCTTCTTTGCTTTGGTACCTAGTTCTTACTATTTTCTGCTTCCACACTGTTAAGCAATGACATCATTCATTACATGTAGTGATTTTCAAGGTGCAGAAGTGGGATGTGCAGGAAAGAGGAGATCTGGCACACTCTCCCTTCCTTCCATGCTTTGTGGATCTCTAAACCAGAGAAACCATCAGATCAACTACTTGCAAAAACAAAGACACCTAGGCCGGGTGCAGTGGCTCACGCCTGTAATCCCAGCACTTTGGCAGGCTGAGGCATGTGAATTGCTTGAGTCCAGGAGTTCAAGACCAGCCTGGGCAACATGGTGAAACCCTATCTCTACTGGAAAAAAAAAAAAAAAATTAGCTGGACATGGTGGCATGCACCTGTAGCCCCAGTTACTTGGGAGGCTGAGGTGGGAGGATCACCTGAACCCGGGAGGTTGAGGCTGCAGTGAGCCAAGACACCACCACTGCACTTCGGCCTGGGCAACCAGAGTGAGAGACCCTGTCTCAAAAACAAAGATCCCTAAACAACAATTTAAAGAAAACAAATAAAAAAAAACCCAGTGTATCACTGGTTCTATTGGGTTACGAAAATTCCAACTCTGGCTTTTAAAATATTGTGTTGGTGTAAAAGTAATGGCAAAAATCACAAATACTTTTGCACCAACCTAATACCAAGTATTTTTGTTTCCTTAGCACAGTATATTTTTTTAAGCCATAGAAATTGTGTCGGCCCCTGTACATGATTTCATTTTTAATGTCCCTGTGAACTGAAGCTATACACATAGGCCCAAAAGGAAATCAGATCAAAAATTAAAACCACAATGTCTTATTTACACCCTGAAAATTATAAAAATTACTAGGAATAGGCCAGGCGCGGTGGCTCACGCCTATAATCCCAGCACTTTGGGAGGCCGAGGCGGGCGGATCACGAGGTCAGGAGATCGAGACCACGGTGAAACCTTGTCTCTACTAAAAATACAAAAAATTAGCCGGGCGTAGTGGCAGGCGCCTGTTGTTCCAGCTACTCAGGAGGCTGAGGCAGGAGAATGGCGTGAACCCGGGAGGCGGAGCTTGCAGTGAGCCGAGATTGCGCCTCTGCACTCCAGCCTGGGCGACAGAGCGAGACTCCGTCTCAAAAAAAAAAAAAAATTACTAGGAATACTTAACAACATACTTTGTTTCAATTTTATGTAAGCTGAGGAAGCCTTTGTTATTACATTAAAAATGAACCTTAAAAAGCATTCTTAAAATATCAGGTTAATACAGAACACAATAAAATTTTTCATTTTTAGTAAAGTATGATTAAATTTGCACTTTCTAAATTCTGTTCATTTGTATGTAATAAAAACTTATATACAAATGAAACACAGTATAATTTGAGAAAAAGAAAAATGGTTTACAGGAATGAAGTATGAATTAAACAGAAACAGAACATTAAAAATATTCAGTAAAAATAAAAGACATAGACTAATACTTTACAAATTAGCTTAGAAACGAGATGAAAACAAGATGAATATCAGCAATTTTATTGTATTTGTTTGCTGATTTTTTTTTTTTTTTTTAGTAGAGACAGGGTTTCACCTTGTTAGCTAGGATGGTCTCGATCTCCTGACCTTGTGATCCGCCTGCCTCGGCCTCCCAAAGTGCTGGGATTACAGGCGTGAGCCACTGCGCCCGGCCTGCTGATGTTTTAAAGAACAATAATACAGAACTATCCACATACAAATATTTGCAAATTATGTAAAAACTGCTCTGAGCTTCATTCAGTTTCTTAATATGTATAACGAAGGCTAATATCACCTACCTGTTATGGTTATTAATGATAAATGATTACATGAAACGGACACATATAAAGCACTTTGTACAGCACACATGGTAGAATAAATATGATCAATAAATGATAAATATTTTAATTATTACATCACCCTTGATACCACTCTAACACTTTTACATATTTCAATGTCCTACCTCTGTCGAAACATCATAGCTGGGTCCATGTTAGCAGAAGTCATTCGAACAACTTGGCGGATTTCCTTGGAAATCATTCTTAACTTCTCAAAGTTTACTAAACCATCTACTTTGGAGTCATTTCCTATAGAATGAAAATAAATGTTTAAGTTCAAAATTAAATTATCTACATAAAAGTAGCAAAAGTCAAGCTGGTAATCTTGAGGGGCACAAAGAAGGACCTTCTTTATCACAGTGCCAATTTTGCTTTTAAGAACTGGTATACCCATACATGGTTCAACCCTGCTCTTAGGGAATGAGCCACTAGGAACTGTGTTCCATATAGGAGTGATGGTTATGAATAAAGTCAAATGATAAACTGTGCATGGCTTCTAAAACCAGTTTCATGGGCTCGGGGCACAATGGCTCCCACTTGTAATCCCAGCACTTTGGAAGGCCGAGGCAGGAGGATTGCCTGAGCTCAGGAGTTTGAGGCTGCAATGAGCCATGACTGTGCCACTACACTTCAGCCTGGGCAACAGAGTGAGATCTCAACTCAAAAAAATCCACAAAAAAACAAAACAAAACAAAAATCCCAAACAAAGGGCAACCTGTTTATAGCATTGTTTTTTCACACTTGTCTATAACATAGCATGACCCCATTTATCCCCCGAGGTAGACCCTGAGGTCTGTCAAAGTCCAAGGCCCTGAAGGCAAGACTGAGGAACATACGGTAAACAGCACGTATAGATTGGACACATGAATTGTTCAGGGTCTCAACACAAGCTGGAAACAAAGTAATCATGACGAATACTCTCAAGTTATATAAACATATTTCAAGGAACATGTCAGAAAAACATATCTGAAGCCTGTAACATTTCCTTATGAAAACTGAGTGATAATGAAAGAAGAGGCAGTAAGACTACATAATTAGAACAACACTTCTGGTGAGATCAGAAAAGCTGGACAAAAGTACAAAAAAATGCAGAGAAGCAAGTTTTGCATTTCCCAGTGCTTGCCCCTAGGTGTATCTGATTTCAGAAAGGGATAATGAGCTGAAAAACCGAGTACAGACACCCTGTCTTTTGAGGTAAAAGGAAAAGCAACTTAAGTCCTTGTAAACCTCCAATGCTTGGTTGAAACTCTGAAGAGCTATATCCTGAGACCAAGGATAAACTGAATGTAGACTGGGATAAAAGTCTTTTGTTAAATTACATCAAAACGGATTAAAGTGATTTTGGAATTCTAGCACCCCTAACTGCCTGCCAGAAGCAAACTTTAATCCTCTCTGGAGATATGGAACATCATTCAAAAAGCGAGATTATTTCTGTAATCTCACTTTTCAATAATAACCAGGCACATCAGGAGAAAACATAACATGACAGAAATGAAAGAGTAAAAAGGAGAAAACAGATTAAGACCCAAAGGGGATCCAGATTATGGAATTATTAGAGGCAGACTTTGAAATAACGATGTTGAATATGTTCAAAGACAAGAAAAAACAATGAGAACTCTGGAAAAGAACATTAAACTAAAAAAAGAAAAAGGAAGCTGTAAAACAAACAAAAATAATAACTGGAATTAGGACATCAGTAATGAACTTACCAGAAATGAGACATAGTTGGAGAGAGAATAAAAGATAAAATTACTGAGAATTTTCCCAAACTGATGAAAAGTACAAAACCATAGGTTTCAAGGTGTCCTACAGACACCAATCGGAATAAGAAACAAAAACAAAACCCCACACTTAGTCATATTAAGCAAAACTAGAAAGAAATTAAGAAAAAACAAAATCTTAACAGCCAGTATCAAACAAAGGCAGATTACAGTTAAAGCAACAGCAAATAAAACTGTAAGCTAACTTCTCAACATTAACAGTGGAAGGCACAGAACAATGGAATGTCATTTCAAAGTGTTTGAAGAAGATAGCTGCCAACCAAAAATCCTCTGAAAATGAAGTAAAGGCATTTTCAGATAAACAAAAATTAAGAGATATTCATCACCAGCAAACCTGCACTTAAGGAGAATACTAAACAGTGTTCTATAAGGCCGAAAAACTATGCCCAGCAATACGGAAGCTCTGAAATGCAAGAATGAATAAAAAATAGTAGTAACAACAACAAAAGTAAATATACAGGCAAGGTTAAATACTGACTTTATTAAGCAACAATATCTTGTGTTAAAAGCACAGCAACAACTGCATGAAAATCAGGAGATGAGCAAATGGAATTGTTTTTTATTTTTGAGACAGAGTCTCGCTCTGTCGCCCAGGCTGGAGTGCAGTGGCGCCATCTAGGCTCACTGTAAGCTCCGCCTCCCGGGCTCCTGCCATTCTCCTGCCTCAGCCTCCCAAGTAGCTGGAACTACAGGCGGCCGCCACCACCCCCGGCTAATCTTTTGTTATTTTTAGTAGAGATGGGTTTCACCATGTTAGCCAGGATGGTCTTGATCTCCCAACCTCATGATCCACCTGCCTAGGCCTTCCAAAGTTCTGGGATTACAGGCGTGAGCCACCGCGTCCAGCTGAGCAAATGGAATTTAAGTGGTCTAAGTTCCTTGCATTATCTGACACAGAAAAAAGTACTAATAAATATTAAACTAATTAACAAATATGTATGGTATGACATCTAATTCAACACTAGAAAAATGGTAAAATAGTGTATAGTTACCAAATTAATAGAATAGGAAATATACCATACACAAAAATCAATTCAGGTAGACTTTAGATAAACCATGTGGTAAAACATCAATAAATAATGTTTTCATACCTTCATGTAGAAATGTCATATCTTTCTTGACAACAGGGAAGAGTGGAATAATTGGAGGCTGCATACTTTGACTACTAAGAATATTTCTATACTTTGCCATGTTTCTAGATGGATCAAAAATGTCTTGTAGATCTTGAAGATGTTTCTCGTATTTGCTTGGTAACTTTTCCCAAGTTCCTCTGAGTCTTGCTACAGATGCCAGGTTCAAGCCACTGCCAAAGATGAGAATAGAAACATTAAAAAGAAACTTGGGGAAAGGGGTGGACTCAGGTCAGCATATACACCATTTTCTCTAATAAAAGTAAAAATAAGCAGGGACATATTTTAACACATTGAAATAAACAAGAGAAAAACTGAGAAAAAAATAAATAAGAGACTCCCTGATCTTACAAGAACTTCTTTCAAACTATAATGCTTGCCTATAGTTCTATACCTACATAGCATTTATTTTACAGTTTCATTTAAGTGACAGAATAATTCCATAAAATATACATTTAAATTAAAAAAAACTTCAAGCATCACAATGTTGCTTGTTTTACTTAGAAATAACTTTATGGAGACATTACCTATTTTAAAGCGGTTTAAGTAATGCTGAGAACAACTGTTAAATAATAACTGGAGCTAATTCTGCACCTTAGGAAGCCTTTTTTTTCCTGCGATTTTGTTCACTCACATCCCTGATTCCAATACATCCATATTCCTAGGTTCTAATCCTGTTCACTAAGCCTCCAGATATTCAATGTCTCCCTTCCACAGGATTTTAAATAGGCTCAGATATTCCCTAACTTGAAAACATAATTCATGCCAGTTAGGCTGCAAGTCTTTATGAATCCTTTACCTCTACAGTACCATCACATAGGTAGGTTGCCAAATGAATAGTGTATATACAATGCCTCAATTTTCTTATCAGCAAATCCTGTTTCTCAGCCATCTGACTTTTACCAACACCACTGTAAAATGTTCTCCTGATTTCTGACTTTAAGGCATGGAGTTAGGTATCTTTGTTCCCTTTTGCTTCTCAGAAATTTCCCCAAACCACTGTAAGAAGGATGAGTAACCAATACAAATTTCATATCCACCAAAACTAAGATAACAAACTCCTCAACACACTAGAAAGGTTGTCAAAAAATAGTCGAGGTCAAACAGGAGTAAGCAAAGCTGATGACAAATAATGTCTGCAGCTGAAGATACCAATGAAAGCTGACAAACAGTTCTCCAAAGCAGAACTCTTTCTGCCCTGAGGTTAAAAACAACAATCCTTTATTTTATTTATTTATTTGAGACACAGTCTTGCTCTGTTGCCCAGGCTGGAGTGCGGTGGTGCGATCTCAGCTCACTGCAACCTCTGCCTCCCAGGGTCAAGTGATTCTTGTGCATCAACCTCCTGAGTAGCTGGGATTACAGGAATTACAGGTGTGTACCACAATGCCTGGCTAATTTTTATATTTTTAGTACAGACAGGGTTTCACCATGTTGGCCAGGCTGGTCTTGAATTCCTGAGCTCAAGTAATCTGCCTGCCTTGGCTTCCCAAAGTGCTGAGATTACAGGCATGAGCCACCATGCCAAGCCAACAATCCTTTATTTGGCATAGCACACAGTGATACACTTTGGTACAAATCTGTTTGAGACAGGAGAGAAGGGAGACACTCTGAGTTGTAAGCAGCCCTAATGCTGCCACAATCTCCATTTACTAAGAAAAAGTAAAGGATAAAACAATTCACATACAAGGCTAACTCCTGCTACCGTGGAATACTGCTGCATGGATCCACTTATATGCAGATTTTTTTCAATAAATTCAGTCACCCCTCCGTATCTGAGTGTTCCACATTCACAACCAAATGTGGATCAAAAATACAGTTTCCTTGGATGTGAAACCTGCTAATGCTGACTTTATGTATCCACAAGTTCCTCAGGGTCAACTGCAGGACTTGAGTATGTGAGGATTTTGCTATCTGTGAGGAGCCATGGAACGAATGCCCCACAGATACTGAGGGACAATGGTATCATTTAATATGAAGCACCAGCAGATGAAAATAGACAAAATAGAGAAATAGTTATTAATAAATGGAATGAGAGATGTAAAGTTATCATCAGTTGAAGAAAATTAGATTGTTTAACTCAAAACTCCCAAAATATTAACTGAAAATTATTAGAAGCATGAAGAATGCAGTAAGGTACTAGGTACAACACTGATATTCATATGCATTAGAATACTTAGGCAGAAACCATTAGAAAACTTAAGGATCCCATTCATAATATAAGGATCCCATTCACAACAGCAATAAAAGATATTAAACATTCAAACAAATGTTCAAGATTTACATGAACACCACTATAAAAACTGATATGGTTTGGTTCTGTGTCCCCACCCAAATTTCACGTGGAATTGTAATCCCCACATGTCAGGGGAAGGACGCAGTGGGAGGTGACTGGGTCATGGAGGCAGATTTCCCCTACGCTGTTCTCATGATAATCAGTGAGTTCTCAAGAGATCTGATGGTTTAAAAGTGTGGCACTTCCCCCCTCACTCTCTCTCTCTCTGCTGCCATGTAAGACACGCCATGTTTGCCCTTCGCCTTCCACTATGATAGTAAGTTTCCTAAGGCCTCCCCAGACATGGGGAACTGTGAGTTAATTAAACCTCTTTTCTTTATAAATTACACAGTCTCAGGTATTTCTATACAGCAGTGTGAAAACAGACTAATAAAACAACTCCACAGAGGAAATAAAAGAAAACTGAAACAAGTGGAATAAGTGTTCTTGGATGGCAAGAGCCATTGTTACAAAGCTATCAAATGTCCACTAAAGTAATCTAGGTATTTAATGTAATCTCAATGAAAACATCAACAGAACTTTTTCTTTTCTTTTTTGAGACAGAGTCTTGCTCTGTCACCCAGGCTGGAGTGCAGTGGCATGATCTTGGCTTACTGCAACCTCCACCTCCTGGGTTCAAGTGATTCTCCTGCCTCAGCCTCCTGAGTAGCTGGGATTACAAGCATGTGCCACCATACCTGGCTAATTTTTTTGTATTTTTAGTAGAGATGGGGTTTCACCATGTTGGTCAGGCTGGTCTAGAACTCCTGAACTTGTGATCCACCTGCATTGGCCTCCAAAGTGCCAGGATCACAGGCGTGAGCCACCGCGCCCAGACATCAACAAAACTTTTTAAAAGAACTACATAAATTGATTCTAAAGTTGATATGAAACAAATAAACATGCCAGAAATAGCCAAAGAAAAGTATGAAGAGAGTCATAAGGGGTTTGACTAGCCCTATCAGACCTTAAAACCTATTTTACCACTTCAGCAACTAAAACAGTAAATGAATAGACAAATCAATGAAGCAATGAGTGCAGACATAAACCCAAATATGTGTTAGATTTCAGTACATAATAGATGGCATTGCATATTTTAGAAAAAAAGATTGATTAATGATGTTGGGTGAAGAAGTCATTTGGAACAAAGAAAGATATATTTCTTTATCTCACTGTTTACATAAAAATGAATTCAAGATTAATAAAAAATGTTGTCTAGGGTGTTCTAAGAGCTCTCATTGTATTAGCTCATTGAATACTCTTAACCTTATTAGGTAGGAACTACCAGGATTTCCCATTTGACAAATGAGGAAACTTAGTTCACATAGACAACAAGTGCCAACACTGGATTCAAACCTAGGCAATTCTTTGTTCTTAACTAACCACAAAATGCAGAAACTCCAGCAGGAAAAAAAATAATACATCTACATAAAAATAAAAAAATTTCTACATGGCAAAAGTAAACACCACACACTGTTTTAAATAGCCAAAGTCTGGAAATTTAGAAATATCCATAATGTGCACTCCACAATACAAAGGAGTACTTCATAGTTGTTTAAAAAATATGAGACAACTTTATAAGAACTGATTTTAAATAATCTCCAAGATAAATTAAAAAAATTAGCCAAGGTGGTTTTAAATATATATTTATATGCTTGCTATATGGATAGAGTATTTCTTGAATGAAAAAAGGTAACAGTATCTCTGGGGAGAGGAATTTGGGTGGATTAGGGACTGGGTGAGACAAAGTTACTTTCGCTGTGTACTCTTTATCTTTAAAATTTTTTCCATGTACATGTCATGTCTATTCAAAAAGTTAAAATTATTTTATAATTATAAAAAGTTGTTAATTATAGCCAGAACAGAATGATTCACCTTTGCCATCTCTGCTGAAAAGAGTATATTCTTTGATCTACCTGAACATGAAGTACAAGAATACAAAACAATTATCTTAAAAAGAATACAAAAGAAACAAAGCAATGATCTTTACATGAGCTATGAAAATGTGCAGAACAAATATTCTTTGTAACAAAACAAATCTTTTAACCAAACAAAGCCTCTTAACCAAATCTCAGCCCTTTCCTATCCACTCCCTTCTTTGGGCTACTGTCCATCACATCTTCTCTCAAATCACTCTCTTTCATTGGCTTTGATGACACTATCATAACTGTGCTACTCTGTTTCTTGTACTGATCCTCCATCTCTTTGGCTAGACTCTTTTTCCTTACCCTCACACTGAGTCATCATACTAAGGTATGGTTTTTAGACCTCTACCACTTTCTTTCTACCCTCTTTTTTATACAGAGATCTATTCTCTCAGTGTCAATCAATTTTCTTCATAGTGGACTCTAAAACTGAGCCCGTAATTTTCAAATTCTTTACTTGATGCTTCCTTTACAAACAGGTTCCATTTCTAGCCTTCCAAGTGTTTATCAGTGGCATCTTTATTCCTCTGTTTTAGACTTAGCTGTTTAAAAACTGTGATATAGGTGGTATTTTACAGATAAGAAAACCTATCTTCAGTTTTCCACTGACACATTGCTACTATATGGGAGAGGCAGGATTCAAATACAGGTGCAGCTGATTCTAAAGACCACTCTGTTAATCTCTATTCAATACTCCTAGAGTGTTCAGTTCAGTTGTAGACACTGGTTAATTTAATAAAGGCACATCCTATTACCATGACAGGGTCATGAATAAAGAGTCCCTATAAAGATTCTACTTTTTAATCTTAATCTACATGAGGAGTAGAAACAAATCATTATGAATTCTGTGGGGGATGTGTATAGGTAGGATTAGTTCAAGTGGAATTATGCTGCGATTTATAAGCACATCATGGCCTTAAAAATGGAGCTAACTACAACTCCTCTCCCTTTTAAAATTAAACTTGTTTTAAGAAGAATCCCTTTGTTGATCTACAGTGTGCTAAATAAAGATCAGAAAATAAATTACCTACAATTAACTTTTCATAATAAGTGGGAAGAAGGGAGTGGGAGAGCTCACGTAATTATCTACACTTCCTGGGCTTATGAATGTCAAAACATTTTTATTATTCTAACAGCCTAACTTGCTTGAGGAACACCACATCCAGTGAACCTCATGTAGTGCCTGGCAAACAGGAAGAGCTTACCAAATGGTTGCCATTATTATCAATGTTGTTGTTTCAAAATAGCAACTTTAGGTCAAAGTACTGATACCATACTGTGATTTTTCAGAGTCAAATCATAGTGAGGCAGGTACTTAAAAAAGCACAGTACAGAAGTCTAATGATAAAGACCAGCCACTGGGCACATATCCAAAGATGATATAATCACTCAAGGCGGGGGGTTGGAGATGAAGGGAGAGAAAGAAAAATTAGAAGGCAATCACCCACTTTCATTTACAAAAAAGAAGTAAAAGAAAGATGGAAGAAACAAAAATAGAAAAAGCCAATACCACCAAAATGGAAAATACATTAAATCTAACAACACTTCAATAAAGGCATATTAATTGAACATTTCTTTTCATAGGCATTGAATACCTAAGTAGAAAATCAGCTGCATGTAATGACAAAACCATACAGACATTTGTACCTATTTGTACCAACTTACCTTATTATTGCAAACATGGAATTGAAGTTCTTACATTCTCGACAATGAAGTGCAATTTTAATAAAATGCTTAATAATCTTCATTCGTTTGAGCTGATTTGCTTCAGTTAAAATTTCTGAGGCAACCCAGAATGTCTCTTGGTTTACAATGTCCTCAAACCTCTTCAAATGAGTATTTCCTGTTTTGGAATTTAACTTAAAAAGGTCATCGATGTACTCAGTCGGTTCAATATTACGAAACAAATCAAAGTCCCTCATTGACAGCTGGGTGGCCACCTCAATGGTACTGAGCTGCAGCATGGATAGCTGGCTTTCCTTAACTAGTTCTTGAGCATCTTCATCTGAACATAAGGTTTCTGTTTCCATGTTATTTTTTAAGTAATACCTAAATGGAAAAATTTTTTTAAATAAATGTATTCATAAATATGATTAAATAAGAGCACTTTTCCTTTTTGTCGTTGTAAAATATCATTTTACTGTTAATAACTTTTAGCCAAAAATATTAATTTACAGATAAAATGAAAAGTTAACATTTTAAATGAAAAGATTTTTGAGAAGTCTGTCTCTTATTCTACCAACTGGCATCTATTAAAGAGTAAAAATAATGTTGTTATGTCATGAACTTAATTATTTTATGAAACTATCTGTCAGATACTATTTTAGGTACTGGCCTTGCCCTCGTAAAGCTTTTATCTTACTGTTTTATCTGACAGAGGATTGGTACTATGTAAATATTTGTTTATGAATAGCATGAATTCTAATTAAGGCAAAATAAATTCCTGAATCAAGACGGTTAAAAATCTCTATTCAGAAGTTACTCCACTCACTTCCTTTTTAAATAAATTTCCAAGTGAAGCAAGAGGAATGAAATCTACAGAGGAGGGGAAACACTTCCACTAATGGTTTCTCCCTTGTTAAATACAAAACCTCATTCCAGCAAGTGGCACTTATCAGTTACCACACATTAAGACCTATATTTTGCTTTCTTCTCTTAAATCAACAATTCTACAGCACTTAAAAGTAAGAGACAGGAAACATCTTGTGCAGGGATGTTACTAAGGAAACGAGGTAATGTATCACCTGCTTTTACTTCGTTCTTTTCTAATAATCCAACTTGATTTAAGCCTAAGTTTGTATCCATCTATCCATCTATTTTTTACTGTCAAGAAACTCTTTTTTCTGCTTTTAGACTGTTCATATGCCTAAGACAATGCCATAAATAATAGTGCTGAAACTCATTATGCTATATATAATAATGTTTAACATTATAAGGTATGGTATACTTAGTAACTCATTTAATCCTTACAACATTCCCATGAGGTATATTCTACTATTACTATCCTCATTTTATGGGTGAGGAAATTCAGGTAGAGAAGCTACATATGACTTGCTCAAGGTCACATAGCCAGAGCTGGGATTTGAATGTGGGCAATCTGAATCCAGGGTCTATGCTCTTAACCACTATGTACAGCCAGCAAAACAGAGTTAACTCATTCTCATTTCACAGCAACCATGGCATGCAGTCACTGTAAGCTTTCTAGGGATCTTGTTCTACATATGAAACTGGGTTACCAAAAAGATTATTCTCAGAGTGGTTGAGTGTGGTAGCTCACACTCGTAATGCCAGCACTTTGGGAGGCTGAGGCAGGCAGATCACTTGAGGTAAGGAGTTTGAGACCAGCCTGGCCAACACGGTGAAACCTCGTCTCTACTAAAAATACAAAAATTCGCCAGGCATGGTGGCATGTGCCTGTAGTCCCAGCTACTCAGAAGGCTGAGGCAGGAGAACCGCTTGAACCTGGGAGGTGGAGGTTGCAGTGAGCTGAGATCGCGCCACTGCACTCCAGCCTGGGCGACAGAGGGAGACTCCATCTCAAAAAAAAAAAAAAAAACCAGAGTAAGGAACAAATGTACTACAGAAATAATCTAGTTTATTAAATAATTTTCAGAACACATTTTAAAATTTTTAAAATTTTCCTGCATATTCATTAAAGGAAAACTACTTAGAAAAAGAACTGTGAAAACCATGGCTTCTTTTGCCAAAGTACATACTGGCCATATTAAAAACAAATTTATAAATTAGTAGATACAGTCATTCAGATATATATGAAGATTTGTATCATTCAGCTTCCTCTATAAAAAAACAGGAACTAGATTATATCAGTGGTTCTAAGAGTTTATTTTAGCAGGAGTGACAAGATATTTTATCAAGCGTCTTCTGGAGTGAATTTAGGAGCACTAAAACATGATAATGTTTCTACTTACAATAGCTGTTTTAACAGGAAATCTTCAAAAGCACATCTACAAATAAGCACATCCACTAATAAGCTTATTCACCTTCCATTGAGTTGAATTCTATCAGCTAATTTGGAGAACTGATCTGGAAGTCTTCTCTGTTTTATGACACCCTCAGGAGTAACAGAAACTTCACAGAGAGAATATGTGTCGGATGCACCGGTCAAACCAAATTCATGAACAGCATGAAAAACTACTTCTTTAGCTGTGGTGTCTTTACTGATGATAATGTAGCAACTTTGCTGATCCACTTTGAAAACTCTTATAACTTGATCAGGGATATCTACATAAATAGAAAGATATGCTTTGTTATTTTTTAAAAAAATCACTTTTAAACCCTTCAAAAAGCAACGTGAAACACAGTGATCCCTCTGAACACTGAAATATACATTTCTATTTCACAATATTAACAGAAGTCACTGTTGCATTTATTGATAAATATATCCTTTTTTTTTTTTCAGATAACAAATCATTGATAGAAAAACCCAAAAACAAAACTTGGGCTCATACTATATATATGGTTTGGAAGCCAGAATTTTTTCATTTAATATCTTATAAAACATTTTAATGCCATTATATTCTTCTACAAAACTATTTTTAATGAAGACATAGTACTCCATGATATGTATTTTATATATTTCAATTATCCAAACCCCTAATGACATTTAGATTGCTTACCACTTTCTATTATTATAAATGACATTATGATATGCCCCGTTACCCCCTGTCAAAAGTAAGTAAGCCTCTGCAGGCAATCTACTTCCTCCGTGAAAATTCTCAAAAACAGAATTGCTGAATTAGAAGGCACGCATACTTTTAAGGTTTTTGAAATATACTGCCAAACTGTTCTCCAGAGACGTTATAATATTTTATAATCCTAGAGTGTAAGGGAACAAATTTGGTCACATCCTTACAAAAATTGTATATTAATGTTTTGTTTTGCTTTCCCATTTCATAAGCCCTATTCTTTTCCTCCCTCCAAAAAAATATCATTATTTTTTCATTTCTTTGGTTACTGGTAAGACTCAGTAACTGATAATGGTTTAATGAACCATTATGTCTTTTTAAAAATATTTTTTGGTATCCCTTATGTTTTTTTCCTGCTGTATTGTAGTAGATAACAACACTTAGTCCAACTATGAAGTGGAAAATGTTAGTTTCCATATTTTATTTATTTGTAACACAAGAACATTTTAAATGTTCACCTGGTGAAATCTTAGTCTTTGCCCTTGTGATTTCTGCTATTAGTAGAAAAATTCTAATTTGAGACAATGTTTATATGATAAGCACATGTAAATAATAATATTCCACCCCCCCTTGTTCTATCTTATTTCTTTTTGTCATTATAGAACTCTGGACCAATGTTCAACATGATAAGCTAATATTTAATATAATTAAATTTAAGTGAAAAGTGACTTTATAGCATGAACAAATGCTAAAAATTTTCCCTATGACAATAAATTACTGTTGCAAAAGTTTCCTTTTTAAAAAAATTAGGAATACAGGCTGGGTATGACTCACACCTGTAATCCCAGGACTTTGGGAGGCCAAGGCTGGAAGATCACTTGAGCCCAGGAGTTCGAGACCAGCCTGGATATATAGCAAGACCCCATCTCTACAAAAAATTTTTAAAAATTAGCTGGGTGTGGTGGCACATTCTTGTAGTTCCAGCTACTCGGGAGGTGGAAGTGGGAGCATCACTTGAGCCTGGGAGGTTGAAGCTGCAGTGAGCTGAGATCATGCCACTGCACTCCACTCTGGGCAACAGAGTAAGACCCAGTCTCAAAAAAGAAAAAAAGAATTAGGGAATATATATTACTGTGGCTTTTTTGTATGTGTGTGATGACTGCAGTGGGGGCAGGATGGAAGATTTTGGGGGCTCAAGTAATTATACTGTTTGTCCAGCATCACCTTCTTAGCATTATGGACACTGTTAGCCTTTAGAGGAAAACAAAACAAAACAAAACAAATTACAAATTTATCTCAAAATGTCCTGAGGTATAATCCCTGGTTAAAAGGGAGAAATGGAACAGATACAGATATGGCAGGAAATATTTTCATAAAATAAATTTTTTGGTCCTCTTGAGACTGAGGACCAAAAAAAAAAAAAAAAAAAGACTTGCTCTGAGGACTGAAAGATTCAACTGAATATACATGAATATAATTCCAGGGACAAGGAGTCTTAGCCAACATATGTTGAATGTTCTGGGTCCTCTCAAGTTGAAAGTAGAATACTTCATCTACTCTGGTTCCTTCTGTAAGAAGGATGCATCAAACTCTCTTTCCTCAATGTATTAAGAAATCTGAGTCATCAAATGCATCTTGTTCAGATTTCATTCTGATGAGCCAATACTTAGTGGGCTGCTGACATCATCAGGTTTTTAAACCTACAAGACTTAAGGTCAGACTGTTTCAAGATCCATCAAAATCAGACATACTTCTTGAAAGGTTTGGCTGTGTCCCCAACCAAATCTCATCTTGAATTGTAACTCCCACAATTCCCACATGTCATGGGAGGGAGCCAGTGGGAGGTAACTGAATCATGGGGGTGAGTCTTTCTCATGCTGTTCTCACAATAGTGAACAAGTCTCACGAGATCTGATGGTTTTAAACAGAGGAGTTCCCCTGCACAAACTCTCTTTGCCTGCTGTCATCCAAGATGTGACTTGCTCCTCCTTGCTTTCTGCCATGATTGTGAGGCTTCCCCAGCCACGTGGAACTGCGAGTGCATTAAACCTCTTTCCTTTGTAAATTGTCCAGTCTTGGGTATGTCTTTATCAGCAGCATGAAAACGGACTAATATACCTCTCTACCCTGTGCTAGAAGATTATTGCAAACAAATGGAAATTTCAATTTGCCAAGAGAAATATACTGAACAAATGGGTTTCCACTATCTTTTTAAGTCCATAAAAAAGGAACCAACAATATACTGTTATTACCTGTACTGTTGCTACCCTCTTCATAAAAGTAGGTCCTAGCTGTCCTGGGCTCCAGAATTGAATCATTTTACTAGATCTTTGGGGGCTGAGCCTTAGCCAGTGGTACTGACTGACCTTGAGGGAATGGGGAGATGTTCTGATACCTTTTATTACTTTCTTCAGAGAAATTTATTCACAAAGACAGGGTGGGAATTTGTACACATTTCATGTTCTCTTCCCTTGCTGCCAATATACTGTAACATCTTCTGGGAAGGAGCACACAATTGTATATCTTGCTGCATAGTGTTACAAAGTCATACGTTGTTAAAGTGATTTGTCCATGTGAAGGACAAATTGTTATATGATCACATAAGATTGATTCAGGTATCACACATGGGTGCCTTTAGAACAGATTCATAAATGGGATTATCTAAAGGGTATCCCTTAATCCAAACTCTGATGAATCTGCCAAGGTAACAAATGTCAACTTGGAAAAGCAATGGAGAGCCATCAGAGGAAAATCTTTCTCTGCGTTAATATTAATGACAGTGTAAACCTCTATTTTAGAATTATTACGTATATATTACATACTATTCTTTACAAACATGTTTCTTGTTAGTAGGAAAACCACATACATGCCAAGCACAATATTTGGCATGCAGCAGACACTCAAATGTTAATCGCTTAGATGAATGGTCAATATGTTCGAATAAAGTTGAATCAAAAGGGAAAAAATGATCCAATCATTTCAAATTTTAGGCACAAATCTAAAATGCAGACAAAAATACAGTACAATTTTAAAGGCAAAACAGACATTTAAAAAGAATCTTGGAAGCCAGGGGCGGTAGTTCATGCTTATAATTCTAGCACTTTAGGGGGCTGAGGTGGGCAGACCACTTGAGCCCAGGAGATCAAAACCAGCCTGGGGAACATGGAGAAGCCCGCCTCCACAAAAATTACAAATATTATCTGGGCGTGGTGGTGTGTGCCTATAGGCCCAGCTACTCGGGAGTTTGAGGTGGGAGGATCACTTGGGCCCAGGAAGTAGAGGCTGCAGTGAGCCGAGATCATACTACTGCAGTCCAGCCTGGGTGACAGAGTGAGGCTCTGTCAAAAAAAAAAATCTTGGGGTCGGGCGCAGTGGCTTATGCCAGTAATTCCAGCACTTTGGGAGGCCGAGGTGGGCGGATCACGAGGTCAGGAGAATGAGACCATCCTGGCTAACACCGTGAAACCCCATCTCTACTAAAAAAAAATACAAAAAAATTAGCTGGGCGTGGTGGCGGGCACCTATAATCCCAGCTACTCGGGAGGCTGAGGCAGGAGAATGGCATGAACCCGGGAGGCGTAGCTTGCAGTGAGCCAAGATCGCGCCACTGCACTCCAGCCTGGGTGACAAAGCGAGACTCCATCTCAAAAAAAAAAAAAAAAAAAAAAATCTTGGAGGATCAAGGTTTGTATTTCATATGTAGAAATCTTATGTAATAGGTAAATAAATTAAATAGAAACCTGATATCTAGACTTTCAATCAGAGATGAAGTTTCTAGAGAGCTAATTTATAAATCTTACAGCGGTAAAATTAAAAAATGAATACTTGAAGGATGTATGTACTGACCCTGAGATTACACTAAAAATGGGAGAACTTTTAGGTATTTAAGATGATCTTTAAAAAAAAAGACTGACTTTTCATTCTGCTTTAAATTGTTAATTGTTGAATAAATATTTATGAAGTGCCTGTTATGTGTCAACAGGGTTCCAGGTGATGAAGCTACAGTGCTAAGTGAGACAGATTAAGCCTCCACTCTCAGGGAATTTACTTACATTCAAGTGAGTAAACACGAGCTCGACGAAAGACAAGACATTGAGTAAGGAAGAGAATTCATACAGCAAAAAGCGCCACACAAAAAAACAAAGGGTAGTGGTATATTAAGGATTGAAAAAATTGTTCTGCAAAGAGCCAGATAGTAAACATTTTAAGTTTTGCAGGTCAAATGGCAAAACACATATTTTTTAGGCACTTATATAATGAGAAAACAAATTCTCACAAAATAGTTTTTCAAAACTCAAAATATAATAATGCATACATAAAACAGGTAAAGATACGTGAACACAAAGATTAGGCAATACTGTAAATGTCTACTAATGGGGACTGCTTAAAAAAATTCTGTTAGCTGTTTAAAAATTTGTGGTAGAACAACACACCTTGAAACAGAAAAGTATTCAAAGGTATATTGCTAAAGTGAAACAGTTAAGTGGAAGAAAAGTAAAACATCTCATTTGGGGTGAAAGCAACAGCAGACACATTTTATGTGCAATGAAATTTCTGGAAGGATATACAAGTAAATAATAACTAAATTCTGAGGAGTGGAAACTTTTATATTCTATCTTATTCTGGCAGTTTAATTTTTTTAAAGCTATGACTGTGTTCCTTTATAATTAAAAACTAATAATAAAAAATTTTCAATGAAGAAAAAATTAAGTTTACTATATGAAATAAATCAATTAAGGGTTTGGGCTATTAAGTGAAAAGAAGTAAGCTGTAAGTTCTACATGCAGATATAGAAAAAAATTCCTTTTCAAATTTCTCTTAGCCACACTCCTAATTTTTTTTAGGACTCATTTTGTATTGAGTCAGAAATCCCAAAGAACATTTCAGAAGTTACAGAATAGCATGTATACTGATTCCATCCAAACTTAAAAACATATATATATTCAAAAAAATGACTAAAAAGACACATGCCAGTTAATACTGGCTACCTTCTAAGTGGAAAGAAAAGTTGTGCTTACTACTTCATTCAATTCTGTATCATTGGACTTTTAAAAAATAACAAAATAATACATACAAACAAGGGCAATAGAATACTACAGTCTTTAAGATACTTACAATAAAAACCAACAGCTGTATGCAGCAAAAATAAAGCAAAATCAAAGTAAGCAATCAAAAACAAACTTACAGTTCTGTAGCTTTGCCCCCACTTTCATTTTGATCTAGTAATAACTTTGAAAATGAAGGATAAATATAGGTAAGCTCAAGACCAATAAACATTAATCAAACTTGGCTGTTACACATGTCCTATAATATACATATGTGATGTACATGGCTCATTTAAATTTTTGTGTTGTATAAATTACATAAGAAGCTGAATTTGGAATTAACTGGGAATTGATGTTTTTTTCAATCCAAATATAAATAATATCCATCACTAGATAAAAAGCCTTTCACAAAATTACACATTTGGGGGTTTAAAAATATAAGTTAAATACCTATCATATATGTGTTCACATTACTGGTATAAGCACATGTTGCAGACTGAGACATATCAGATGTTCTCTGAACAGATTTTAAAAAGGCATCTTTATCTTTAGTCCTTTAAACATGTTCTCAAGGAGAGAATTATGTAATCAACTTGAAATCAAGTTAAGTAACACACCTTTTCTTTATAGGTCTGAATTTCAGCTCCATGGGGACTTAGTTTCTAAAACTTAATAATTTCAACCTCTTCTCTTTGTTCCTCCAGCTAAATCTCCAACTTACTTCTCTCTTGCCTCCTCCTACAACCCTATCCCTTATTCCCTCAGCCCCACATCCTACATATACCTATGGCAAACATACAGCCATATAAATTATTAAAACTACAAATCATAAGATCCCTAATACTTGTCTCATGAAAGCATATATTTAATTTGTGCTTTGGAAGTGTGAAGACACTTTATTTTTGAATGTTCTACGTAGTGTGAAAAGCACTGCTGTAAAACACACACACAGAGACAAAGAAATAAATTCCCATCCTGCCACATAGCAAACAATAGGAGAGACTGACTCTGTGGCAGAGGGAGGTGGGTTTCCCAGATGAGGTAACACTGGAGTTCAGCACTGACAAATAAAAAAGCTTACTGGACATGCAAGGAGAGGGCCATGGGTGGCAAACATGGGCAAAGAAAGGGCATTCTGAAAGTTCATTCCATACTCAGGAAGGAGGGTTGAAGTAATAGTGGGGAGAGAATGACAGAACAAGAGGCTAGAAAGGGGGTTCAGGTCAGCAACACTTCTTCTTCACCCTGGTAGTGACATTTCTTTTACGTGCCAAGAACTGAATCCAGTTTGCAGTTTTCTTACCTCTGTGATATCTTAGTGCTTCCTTTACCCTTTCCGGTAAATAGTTTAATTAACTTTATACTTTGGTAACAATCTTCACATTAACTTCGGATCAAATAACTGGAGTGTCTTCTGTCTCATGAATGACATTTCACTAATATAAAAATCACTACAAATGTCTTAGGAAAGTAATGACTCATTAAATCTTTGTTCTAAAAAGAACACTGGTAGCCATGTAGAGAGTGTGATGTGCCAGAACAGGTTACTGGGTTTAATAATCGCTCTAGTGGTTAAGTGGCAACTGAAATATAAAGGAAGAAACCATGTGCAGAATGACCTTCACTAAACTGTTATTAGGTTATGTCCTGAGGTTTTTATTTAAGTTGCTATAATAAAACATGAACTTTACTACTGTACTTATATTTCCTTCTAATACCGAGATGGAACTAAGTTTCCTCCCTTTCTACACTAGCTGCTAGGAACTTTAGAGTCAAAATTGAAGGTGAATCAGAACTATGCTTATCTTTGTAGAAGCATTTTTTCTCCCACCTTTCCTTGGACCCAATTATATGTTTCAGTGCTTAATTGTATATGCCTTTTATTGAAAACCATCTCAAATCCGTTAAGTGATGGATATATAATTATTCAAAGTCGAAAGTTTTCTTCTTTGTAACAAAACTTTAGATTATATAACTGTGACAATTTTTGCCTCAAGACATGAATAGACGCAAAAAAAAAATAACTTGACATCCCACACTGGAAGTCCAAACAACAATGAAAATTATGCTATAACGCTCTGATAACAATACATGACAAATACAACTTCAGCTTCAAGTGTCTGAGGAAAAATCTGCTTTTACAAAATTACTAACACTTTTCTGTGTATTATAGAAAAAGGTAAGTGAGGCCACTTAGATTAAAATAATCTCCCTTATTCTTTTCCACACCCTGGGTAAGATATATCTTGCCTGAGAAGTGTCTCTGTTTTCATTCTACTGCTTAGATTAGGATTACTAAAAGATACCTAATTCTGTGGTTAGAGGTAGTCTCTTTTTTCTTTTCTTTTTTTTTTTTTTTGAGACGGAGTCTTGCTCTGTCGCCCAGGCTGGAGTGCAGTGGTCCGATCTCGGCTCACTGCAAGCTCTGCCTCCCGGGTTCACGCCATTCTCCTGCCTCAGCCTCCCAAGTAGCTGGGACTACAGGCACCCACCATCACGTCTGGCTAATTTTTTGTATTTTTAGTAGAGATGGTGTTTCACCATGTTAGCCAGGATGGTCTCAATCTCCTGACCTCATGATCCGCCCGCCTCGGCCTCCCAAAGTGCTGGGATTACAGGCGTGAGCCACTGCGCCTGGCCAGAGGTAGTCTCTTTTTTATGTACTTCTGTTTCACTTTAGAGGAAGTACCATTCAAATTAACAGAACAAGTCAATCTCCCTTTAGTTTTTTGCATCAAGTCATAATCTAGAGTTAAGAGGGCTGCAAGTAACTCTAGCACTTGCTGCACAAGGCTTAACCATCTATTTGTTCATTTGGTACCAATACGGCAATATAAAATCACATATGAAAATTACCTGAAGGATTGGAAAAATCCAACATACTGGTGGTAGGCTGCAGGAGATCAGGGCTGCTGGATGAGAGTGTTCCAGGGATGGGCATTATAGCCAGACTATGCCTACAGTGCCTTGTTCCCACAATGCTGTCATCTTGTGATTGGCTTAGGCCTCCATCACTTCAAAAGAATGTCATATATCACTTTAAAGTATTTGAGAGTACTTAAGTAGTAAACGTTTCTGTTCCCTGTGCACTAAGGCATAAAAGAACCAATTCAAAGAGGTGATTTAAACAACTGAAATACTACAGCAATTTTTAAAAGACAATTGTAATGATGAAAATGGCACTAAAATTTTTAACAATTACATTAAAATAAAATCTAACTTATACATCTAAGTAATTCTACTACATCCTAATTAAATTGTCTTATTTAGTGTCTACCAGTTTGGGTGAAGAAACTGAACCTGAGTATTTAGGGAACCCTTCAAATTTGCCAGTTTTAGTGGACACTAATACATGTATCCAAATATGCACAGCCACACCATAGCAAGGTGTTCTCTTTCTCTTTCCCTTTCTCCAGAAAATCTTGGTGATCCTCTAGGAAAAAGAGTCTACATTCAAACCAAAAACTATGGCAGGTAATAGATAACAATGGGGCCAAGGTCAAGTGACAAAGTAAGAGTGGTCTTTAAACACTGGACCAGAAAAAAAATAGAATTATGAAAATTACAGTCTCTAAAGTTCATTCTAAGGGTACATTATTTCTTATTTAATCTCTCAAGTCTAATTATTTAAGCAAACAAAATATTCTTCCTTTAAAATATTTTAGAAATGTGACATAGGCAACTTCTAAATCCACCTAGAGAAAAAATAAAAACAAAGAAACAAACACTGTCACTTAGGTTTTAGATACCCCCAAATTTTAGCTTACTTTTAAGCAAAACAGTCCTATAAAAACATAAGATAGCAGTGAAAAAAATTTCCATCAACATCAATAACCAAAAACTACTTCTAAGGGTTGTACTTACATTAAAACCAATGCTCTGTTACTATTAATTCTTGTCTATATTTTATCAAATGCAGCATTCTGCCTAGTACTTGCTATACATACCAACAGAAGTATCACAGAATACTTACCTATTATCATGAAAAAGATTAAAGTATAGTATTATAAATGAATAATATGAAATACATTTAAATTACACTAGATGTAAAATATAGGATTTTACGTAGATTAGAAAACTATGCAAGATGGAGAGTTAGACTGTTAAATAAACTGCTAAAGGACTGTTAATAGTCAGACATGAAAGAGAAGGCCAGGATATGACAGAGCTGAAGAGTCAGAGAAAAGCAAAGAGACATGGAAGAAAGCAAAGATTAGTGTTTCAAGGGCAAGCTTTGATGTCAGACAGACCTGAGCTACTAGCTGCTTGACTTCAGGCAAATTTCGTTCTCTTTATAAACTTTGGTTTTCTCATCTGTAAATGTGAGCAACACTATCTCCCCCAGGAATACTGAAAAATCAGGTAATATAGGCGAATGTTGTGGTGTAAAGGAAAACAGGACTTTAATTCTTAAGAATGGACTTACTTTTACAAAAATTAAAATGAGAATAGGGCGGGGCACATTGGCTCACCCCTGCAATCCCAGCACTTTGGGTGGCAGAGGTGGGTGAATCACCTGAGTCAGGAGTTTAAGACCAGCCTGGCCAACATGGCGAAACCCCGTCTCTACTAAAAATACTAAAATTAGCCAGAAGTCGGGTGGCTCGTGCCTGTAATCCCACCTACTCTGGAGGCTGAGGCAGGAGAATCGCTTGAACCCAGGAGGCAGAGGTTGCAGAGAGCAGCCTGGGTGACAGAGCAAGACTCCGTATCAAAACAATAAATAAATAAAAATAAAATGAGAATTGTACAAACACAGAAGGGAGAATTATTTATTTTACTCAGTTTATATTAAAAAGTAGAGGCAGGTCCGAGTAAAGGTACTAGAGAAACAGGAAGTGCTTTCCTGGGGAGAGAAGGCAGTCTAATTTGACAGATAAAGCAAAGGAGATATCTCATTTGATAAATAATTTGCATTTACTCTAAATTGACTCCTTATAATTTGGTTTGTATTCCTAAAGGTTAGAGTTAAATGTTCTAAGGTTAGGTAAGAGAAAATAAGAGGAAAAAGGGCTTTCAAAGGTATTTAAAGTATACAGAAAATAAAGATTTTTTAAAAAAACAGTCTTTCTTTAATTGACTTTTGAAAACAAACACATCAATTTTTGGACACAGAGGGTGCGACAACAATCCAAGGAAGCAAACCATTAAAGAGGTTGTCCAGTCCTACTAATAATTAAGTAGAAGCAACTTTAACAATGTTAAAAAGTTACAATTTTCTATTAAAGGGAATTAACTGCATCAACTGCAGCAAGCTGAATCACTATACAAATTAAGATGTACAGAAAATACGAAAAGTCCTTATATCTCTTGCTGATGCTATTTAACATCGCTTCTGCTTTTGAATGCTCAATAGAGAAAACACTGTATAGCTATAAATATGTAAAGCTGGTTACAAATTCGTAGTAATTAAAGTGTGAGGTGCATAAATGAAAACTATACTGCTATGTACAATCCATGCTATGCCATGAATGAAACAGTATTTAGTTGGCAAAATATCCATGCTTATTTGAAAGCTGAGTTGATAAAGCCCATTTGGCAAGTAATTGTATCATTCTTACCAAAACAGTCTCCTGAGAAGGTGATGCAGTAACAGAAGAAAAATCGTTTAAAAATATTCCTCAATACTTCCCCAACACTAAATTTACTTAGGATAAAAGTACTTGGTTTCATATTATGAAACTAAAAAGGCTACATAAATATCGCCAATATGTAAATAAAATAGAATCCCAATATTTAAAAAGCAAACAAAAATACGTTGACAAGAAATGGGGAGGAAAAATATAATTCCAGTTAAGCAAGCAAGGCAGTTTATTTCTGGGATTGTTACAATGAATAACACAGAGATGTTACTTAGGCAACTGTGATTTTAAAAACAAAATAAAAGCTATGTGATTTTTAAAAAAGAAAAACAGATTTCCTGAAATGTGAAGAATTCTTAGGTCAATAAAAACCATACTTCCGTCTTAACTTACAGATGTAATTCAAACTAGTAACATTTTTCACTTTAATTTTTAGGAACATTCTTTTAAAATTATATCATGGTTTGTTTGGGATTTTGGAATTATCTATTCTTATCTCAAGTATTTGTTCTTTCCTTACATTCTTTCTTTTCTATGACAACTCATCCTCTACTCTTACAGAACTGAGTGCTGCTAAAGGCAGAGAACAAGTTTCTGTTCTTGGTGCCTCTTCCAAAGAGGTCTGGCACACAGGAGATGCTCAGAAATTGTGAAACTGAACTCATTAAACATTTTTTTCAATTAAAAAATAACAAATGTTCAAGAAGAAAACTTGTAAAATACAGAAAGAAAGCAGAGAAGGAAGGGAAAAATTACCTATGAAACTATGCCTTCCAAAAACCACAATCAACATTTTGATATTTTTCCTTCTAGTCATTTTTCTGATGTGTAGTAGAATTTATTTAACCAATCCTTGTAGTTGGACATTTAGGGTGCTCCAACTTTTAGTGTAGATAAAACAACTTGGAGCATCTATATATAAATCTTCATCTAATTACTATTAGAAACAGAACTACTGAATCAAATAATTTTGTCATTTTAAAATATTTATTGGCTAGTGCGGTAGCTCAAACCTGTAATCCCAGCACTCTGTGAGGCTGAGGCGCGTGGATCACCTGAGGTCAGGAGTTCCAAGTCAGGAGTTCCAGACCAGCCTGGCCAACATGGTGAAACCCTGTCGCTACTAAAAATAAAATTTATTTATTTATTTATTTATTATTTTTTTGAGTCGGAGTTTCACTCTGTCACCCAGGCTGCAGTGCAGTGGCACGAGCTTGGCTCGCCACAACCTCCATCTCCCTGGGTTCAAGTGATTCTCCTGCCTCAGCCTCCCGAGTAACTGGGATTACAGGCATGTGCCACCATGCCCAGCTAATTTTTGTAGTTCTCTTGCCTCAGCCTCCCAAGCAGCTGGGATTACAGGTGTACGCCACCATGTCCAGCTAGTTTTTTTATTTTTGGTAGAGATGGACTTTCACAATGTTGGTCAGGCTGGTCTCAACCTCCTGGCCTCAAGTGATCTGTCCACCTCGGCCTCCCAAAGTGCTGGGATAACAGGCGTGAGGCACCGTGCCCAGCCAGAATTTTGCCACTTTTAAAGCTTTTAATAGAAAGGCATCACTTTATATTAGCACACCAGTCTAAACTTTTATAAACTTATAACATTTTCAATTCTGTCCCTGACCATTCTTTTTGTCAATCTGTGAGGAAACAAATGGTATCCAGTATTAAACTGTATATCCTGGATCAATATCAATATAGATCATCTGAGTCATGTTTTCTGCCTATTTTTCCATTGAAGTTTTAGTGATTTTTTTTTCCTATTTGATTTCTGAGAGCTCTTTATATATAAAGGGTAGTATACCTTTGTGTAGCAGAAGGAATTGTCTGAATTCACTTCAGATGACTGTCAAGAAATATAAGATACATTCTCCGAAATGCAAAAAGGCCAGTCTGATAGGTAAGACAGCTCTCCCAACAAAATAGGCTCCAGAAACCTTTGACTTCCAAGATAAACTATTTTTTCTGTATTTATGTGGCTGAAATAATTAGCATTTTACTCCTTGGAAACATGTTTGGAAGGGACAGACAGGTTAATATAAACTTCTGCAGTGCAGCATTTTATTCATATTTATATTCATAACCAAGCATTTTCTTGTTGGCACAAAGCAAGAGACCCAATAATCCCTTCTGAGTTTAAGCAAAACTATTTTTACCAGATAGTCCTCTTTTTTGGGTACCAATATAAAGTTATAATGCTTGAAAATACTCAACTGACTGTTCCTGGCGACCTCAGTTTTACACCTCTTGCTGTAACCAAAGACAGAATTCAGGTACAGTAACTAATTCCCACACCCTCACCAAAGGATAATGTGGAGATGAGATACTGATTTAGCTGCCTAAAACTTGAGTACAGCTGGTGAGAATGTGATAGTAACAAGTTGAAGAGAGTTGTAATTACAGTCTTGTCTGTCTTTAGATGATACATGTCACAACTGTGTCGCTGGTCAAAATGAGACGCAGTTAATGGAAGAAAGATCTATTCCAGACAAAACCCATTAAGGCTTCTGGAAGTGGAACTCAGGGCATTACCCCCTGAGGAATTCTCCTCATGCATTCTTTTCTGCCTTCTGGATCCTCGGTTTTGTCCCTTTTTCACAGTGACTTCCAGTCATCCCCAACCATCCCTGACCTCTTCAGTGTGGGCTGGCCCCTCTAACATTCTCCTTACTCGATCCCCATTTGTGAGACCATGCCTTTTCTTACAGTGTTTGCTACAGTACACTTGACATTCAAAATTTTGGTATTTTAAAGTAATGATTTTTATAAGCCACTCACCTCAAGGATAGAATGAGTAATGAACTTTTAGAAAAAACTCAGGGTATTTTAATCCTCTGAGTTCCAAATTAAATGAGGAGAAAATGTGTTTCCCTGACTGGAAATAAGAACTCAGGAAGATGAGGATATCTGATTGGAAAAACTTCGAGATTTTTAATTATTGAAAAAATATTTAAAAATAGCTATCATTAAAGATGAGAGTTGACACAATTCCAAGTTGCCTCCCAATTGTTCTCTCTGCTATCACTGCTATATTATGCTGTATCCACAACCCCAAATCACTAACACAGCCATCAGAGAGGTCTTCCTAAAAGAACAGATCTTATCAAATCCCATGTCTTCTTATGGCTCCCTGTCATGACATGATGAAGTCTATTATCTTTAGCATAATATTCAAGGTCCCTCATAACCTACTTCTCTTGCTCTGGCTCTAGTTACATATACAGAAACACAATCTATTCAAACCTAACAAGTTTGTTCCTGCCTCCACTTATCAACCTGTAACATGAGAACTTTGCAATTTGCTTAGATTATCAACTCTTGGAGGATAAGAACCTTGATCTATTTATCTTCCTGTCTCTGGCTTAGTATATAATAAATGTGTACAGAGTAAGGGTTCCTGATGTGAATTTCTCAGAGGTAAGGACCATCCCTTTTTGTTCCTATAACTATAATCTGGCACAATTACCAGGAACTTTCAGGAGGCAAGTAAGTATTTTCTTTTAATGTATTTTTTGAACTTGCTTTATTTCATTCACTGATTATTCACTGTCTTAACTTATTCAATAAATATAAACTGAGTGCCTACTATGTGCTAAGTATTGTACTGCTCTTGATTAGAACTTTTGTAATTGCTTCAGGAAGCTGCTAATGTAATATATACTAGAGTCATCGCCAATCATGACACTTTAGTGGACTAATTCCATCAGTATTTTACAGACCTTAATTTACATTTAAAATCTTCAAGTATTACTAAGTTTTGGTGATATCCCATTTTGGAAATAGAAATAGGTCTGATTAAAAAGTTCAACTTTAGAATTCAAGAAGGAATAAATGGTGCTGCAAAGGAAAAATGATTAAAAAAAAAAAACTGGTGAATAAGTCCCAAGATTTAAGGTGTACAATTTGTAGAGATCAGGAGACTAAAAGTGGACCAAAAATATTTAAAAATGGATTTCATAAAATAAAATGGACAGTCTTTCCCAAAATTCAAAATAATGCTATTATATAATCTGAAAGTAGTAACTTCATGAAAGTGATAGGGAGAAGTTCAAATGTATTCTTATTTGAGTACTGTTTGAAGACTTTATGATACATTAGTTATATAACAAAGCAAAACTTACCCAAGCCTCCCCCCACCCCAAATAAAAACTTTACAGTGAAGATGAAAATTCCTGCATAGCTAAGATCGGCATTACCTACCTAAATAGCTTTGGAGGCAAGATACTAAATCGTGTTTTATCCAAAATCTTCCTGATTTTGTTTCTTCCACCTGAAACAGTATTTGCTTTAACTTTCTTACTTCCTTTCTCCTGTGATGTCTGTTCAATATCTCCTGGCACATGCTGGATAGAATGGCGATTACTTTTTTTTTCAGCAATTTTGGGAATATGAGGAACACCAGATTTCTCTTGTTCAGTCCTAAAAAGTAACTCTTTGAACACTGTGGAAATAAAACAAATGCGTCATTTTATTTCTTCTCTTCAGAAAATTTTTATACCAACAACAAATTTTAAGGATAAACACAGTGACTTTCCATTATTTGAACTTTCTCAGTCTCATTCAACTAAACACTGTCAAGTATTTACCCGTCCTTTAGCAGCTATATCTTCTTCTTTCTTTAGTTTTTATACCTGATTATACTTCTGATGTTGCCCAACACTAATAAAAGGAAAGTCAGTGGGGGGAAAGGGAAAGGAAGTGGGCAGGCTGCAGGCAAGTTTGAAAAAAAACAGAGGTTCCTATTTAGGTAATAAGTAACATAACTGCTAATCAACTAATTTTATAGAAACAGATACTTAGGTTCTATTTTATGTTATTTCTTATAATACAGCTGACCCTTGAACAACACCAGTTTGAACTATGTGGGTCCATTTATACTTGAATTTTTTTCAACCAAACGTGGATTGAAAATACAGTATTCTTGGGATGCAAAAACCTGCGTATGGCTCTGAAGAACCAACTGTGGGTCTTGAATATGCACAAATTTGGGTGTACATGGGGTGGAGGTCCTGTAACCAACCCTATGCATATACCGAGGGATAACTACATATGTCACTTGAGATGAGACCTCACTACTGTAGTCAGGTTCAGATTGTAAAATTTAGATGAGAAAAGCTTTGCTGGACTTTATTTTTACTTTTACCAAAAGCAGTAATTTTGGTTATTGATTGATTGACTGATTTTGAGACAGAGTCTCACTCTGTCGCCCAGGCTGGAGTGCAGTGGCACAATCTCAGCTCACTGCAACCTCCATCTCCCGGGTTCAAGCGATTCTCTTGCCTCGGCTTCCAGAGTAGCTAGGATTACAGGCATGTATCACCACACCCGGCTAATTTTTGTATCTTCAGTAGAAATACGGTTTCCCCATGTTGGCCAGACTGGTCTCGAACTCCTGACCTCAGGTGATTCGCCCACCTCGGCCTCCCAAAGTGCTGGGATTACAGGCATGAGCCACCATGCCCGGCCTAATTTTGGTAATTTTAATTTGGTAATATATATCGATTCCTCACGGTCACATTTATGAGGCTATGTCATTCAGTAAAGCTGCTAAAAAAATATCCACTTCAGTGGTCTGAAGTAAAAACAAGTAACAACCAATCATATCTTAGATACTGCTTTTTTTTTTTTTTAATTTTGAGACAGAGTTTCGCTCTTGTTGTCCAGGCTGGAGTGCAATGGCGCAATCTTGGCTCACCACAACCTTCACCTCCTGGGTTCAAGAGGTTATCCTGCCTCCCAAGTAGCTGGGATTACAGACATGCATCACCACACCAGGCTAATTTTGTATTTTTAGTAGAGATGGGGTTTCTCCATGTTGGTCAGGCTGGTCTCGAAGTCCCAACTTCAGGTGATCCACCTGCCTCGGCCTCCCAAAGTGCTGGGATTACAGGCGTGAGCCACCATGCCTGGCCCTTTTTTTTTCCTTTTTTTGAGAAAGGGTCTCACTCTGTTGCCCAGGCTGGAGTTCAGTGGTGTGATCAGGGCTCACTGCAGCCTGGACCTCCCTAAGCTCAGGTGATCCTCCCACCTCAGCCTCTTGGAGCAGTTGGGATTACAGGAGTGTGCCACCATGCTGGGTTAATTTTTGTATTTTTTTGTAGAGATGGGGTTTCGACATGTTGCCCAGGAATGACCTCGAACTTCTAGGCTCAAGAGATCTGCCCGTCTCAGCCTTCCAAAGTGCTGGGATTACAGGCGTTAAGCCACCGTGCCCGGCCTCAGATATCTTTCTATCAAGTCTAACTAAGTCTGGTGAATTATTTCATCCTTAATGAGGGTGCAGGTACATTTGGGAAATTACCTGTTTAGCAATCTATTTGCCTACACCAAATTTTTGCCTTGTGAGGATGGCTACATCTCCTTGGGATAAAGCAAAGATAAATCTGTATAAGGTTAAATATCTAGAAATGATGAGTCATGGTGCCTGAAGAAGTCTGAATTACAGAGAAACAGTGGTTGCATATTCTTAGAATAGACTTAAATGGCTTCAGCTGCATGAGCTGTGGAAGCAAACACTCAGCTTATCATTACATACAGCTTTGAGCAGTATATGCTGCACCTTTTTTTATTTTTTAAGTTGTAAATTGTGTAAATATGCCCACTGAAAAATCCAATCACAGAGAATTTTTTTGGAAAACGACAGAAAAGGAAAGTAAGAGTTTCCCACAAAATCAAAGAACTTACAAGTAAGATAGAAATGGATAAAGCCTTAAGAATGGATTAAAATACTTACAACTTGGTATTCACTTGTAAATCTGGACTGATTTGAGGGTTTCAACAGAAGGATGATACCACATTACCAAAGCACAGCGCAAGTTTATGAAAAGCACATTTTTCTGCTATCAAAATGATGGAGACTTTTTAGAAGTTACCTTCCATAAAGTCTGCATGATTAAAATAAAATATTTAACAAATTTCACTTGATTTTAAGCCATATGGTAATATATACACACACGTGTGTGTATGTGTGTGTGTGTATACATGTATATATGTACATTTATATATGCATTTTTTGGAAACAGGGTCAGGTCTCACTCTGTCATCCAGGCTGGAGACCATAGCTCACTGCAGCCTTGACTTTATGGGCTCATCTGATCCTCCCACTTCTGCCTCCTGGGTAGCTGGGATGACAGGCATGTGCTACTGCACCCAGCTCATTTTTTCTATTTTTGTAGAGATGTGGTCTCACTATGTTTCCTAGGCTAGTCTTGAACTCCTGGGCTCAAATGATCCTTCTGCCTCGCCCTCCCAAAGTGATGGGATTACAGGGGTGAGCCACCACGACTGGCCAATACTTTTTAAATCTAAAATTCAGACATTCATTCAAAAAATGTCAACCTGTAAATATAGGTCAGGCACTTCACTTGATGTTTGTATATTACTACTGTTGTGGAACTTACAGTCAGTCTAAGACGCATAAAACATAACCAGAGGAACTACTTAAAACAGTAGGAAAGGGCAATCTTCCTTAAGCAAGTCATCTTGTAAAAAGAAATCAGAAAGATGAGAAGATTTTAACTAGGCAAAGGATGAGTAATCTTAGGTAGAGAAAATCTCAAGTTCAAAGTCCCTGTGGTAGAAGGAAAGTTCAAGAAAATTAAAATGACTAGAGAACAAGCTAGAGATGAGGCCAGTTAATGCTATGCTAAAGTATTGAAATTTTCTGTTAGAGCAAAAGGAAAACTTTGAAGGGGCGATTTCCTTAGTAGTGTGTATATAAGGTAACTGAATTATTTTTTAAAATTGTTAAATTTGGCTGGGTGTGGTGGCTCATGCCTGTAATCCTAGCACTTTGGGAGGCTGAGGAGGGTGGATCACCTGAGGTCAGGAGTTCGGGACCAGCTTGGCCAAAATGGTGAAACTCCATCTCTACTGAAAATACAAAAATGAGCGGGGCACGGTGGCGCATGCCTGTAATCCCAGTTACTCCAGAGGCTGAGACAGTAGAATCGCTTGAACCTGGGAGGCGGAGGTTGCAGTGAGCCGAGATCGAGCCACTGCACTCCAACCTGGGCAACAGAGTAAGACTCTGTCTCAAAAAAAAAAAAAAAAATGTTAAATTTCTCCACTGGACATGAGTATGTAATTATAAGCAAAAATTTGTGGAGCTTGTAGCTTGTTTTAAAGAAGAGAAATGATTGCGTTAAATTAAAAAAAATAGGGACAAAAATGAAAGGATAGTGAGTACACATAACTACAATGCTATTAAACAGCAATATCAGACATTGTACATGAATCAAAAGTAAAAGTGCCAAAGAATCTATAAAAGCTTAATAAAACTGACTACATAAAAATTAAAAATGTCTCTTCCCACATATGTATATATGCGTTCACAAACACACGAAACAAAAGTCAAAACACAAACCACTTAGGGAAAATACTTTCAACTTTTCAACTCTTTAAAAAGAGTTGAAAGATACTATTTTAATTTATAAAGTGGTCAAACAAGTCAATAAAAGATGAGTAACAATATAAAAAGGGGCAGATGAAGTCAAGACTTTACAGAGGCCGGGCGTGGTGGCTCACACCTGTAATCCCAGCACTCTGGGAGGCCGAGGCAGGTGGATCATGAGGTCAGGAGATTGAGACCATCCTGGCTAACACAGTGAAACCCCGTCTCTACTAAAGAATACAAAAAATTAGCATGGTGGCAGGCACCTGTAGTCCCAGCTACTCGGGAAGCTGAGGCAGGAGAATGGCATGAACCCAGGAGGCGGAGCTTGCAGCGAGTGGAGATCGTGCTACTGCACTCCAGCCTGGGCAACAGAGCGAGACTCCATCTCAAAAAAAAAAAAAAAAAGACTTTATAGAAAAGAAATGCCAAAACACACAAAAAAGGTGCTCAACCTTACTTGTTATTAAATAATGTATATCAAAATTTAAAAGACTGATTATACCCACTGCAGAGGCTTTTTTTTTTTTTTTTTTTTTTTGAGACAGAGTCTTGCTCTGTTGCCAGGCTGGAGTGCAGTGGTGCGATCTTGGCTCACTGCAACCTCCGCCCCCAAGGTTCAAGTGATTCTCCTGCCTCAGCCTCCCGAGTAGCTGGGACTACAGGTGCATGCCACCACACCCAGCTAATTTTTGTATTTTTAGTAGAGACAGAGTTAGCTAGGATGGTCTCAATCTCTTGACCTCATGATCTGCCTGCCTGGGCCTCCCAAAGCGCTGGGATTACAGGCGTGAGCCACTGTGCCTGGCCAAGACATTCTTATACACTGATGAATGAAGCATAGATCGTGATAAACTTTCAGAAAGTAAAACCCTGCAGTGTCTGTCAAAAGTAATTCCACTTTGAGAAATGTATCATATAGGTGGATCTATATGAGCATAAAAGTACAAAGAATTTTTATTATATCTCTGTTAATAGCAAAAACTATAAACAATCTAAAATATCTATCAATATGACATTAACTCAACAGATTATGGTAATAATAGAATTCTATGTAATAATAAAAATTATATAACAAGTAGGTCTGTATGAACTGATGTGAAAAAGCACAGAATATTGTACACAGTATGGTTCCATTGTATATCTATTTTTAGTATTTTAGTTTTCAAAATATATGCACTTACTACTTTTATTAAAACTTAAAAAGACAAGTTATCTGAAAAATGGGATTTTTGGGTTTAGAGACAGAGTCTTGCTCGTTGCCCAGGATGGAGTGCAGGGACACAATCACAGCTCATTATAGTCTTGAACTCCTGGGTTCAAGTGATCTTCCTGCTTCAGCCTCCCAAGTAGCTGGGACTACAGGTGCATGCTACCATGCCCAGCTAAATTTTAGTGTTTTGTAGAGACCAGGTCTCACTATGTTGCCCAGGCTGGTCTTGGAACTCCTAGCCTCAAGTGATCCTCCCGCCTCAGCCTCCTAAATTGCTAGGATTACAGGCATGAGCCACCATGCTTGGCTAGAAGTGGGATTTTTAAAGATTTTAGAAAGCTGTGGAAGCCAAGAGGAATAAGTTAAAATTCCAGGATAGGAAGAGAGTAAACTGAGACTGCCAGCTGTTTTCTTCTCTGGGTGCATTTGCTAAATCTAAACATGAGGTGTGGGTCAGGTAGAGGGACTCTTCGAGGAGAGAGAGAACTTTAGATGGCTGTGAGCACTTGCATGAAAACTAGAATTCAATGAAGCCTAAAAGCAGTGTCACTTTTCTCCACAGGACAACTGCTATTAGTAGGAGTTCCCTTTTCTCATTCCTCAAGCCAGGCTTCTCCTGGATCTCTGTCTGTACCACAGTACTCACATCCAGGTTTTAGGTTGCCTTGAGTCCAACCTAGGGCATACTAGAATTAAAATAATAGTGAATTCATTGCTGGTAGTGGTACTTTGAATTATGGTATTCTTCTGCGAATTGCCTGTTGCTATTTGCTTTTCAGAGTTCTCAGCTAAGTGGGTCATGATTCTGTCCAGGTTTACTATTAAGTTCAGTGAGAGATGAAGGGTGGTGTGTGTTTACTCCATCTTATCTGGAAATGGAACACTTAATTTGATTTTTATCTTCATGGACATAAAAGATAGCAAACTTAAAATCTGTGTCTGATATTCTGGAGCAACTGTGCTTCTGTTTCTGTTGGTTCTGGCTCATACTGACTTTTAAGAGTGCCTCATAATCTTTGCTTGACTCTGTTTTTAAAAAATTATTTTTAGAAATAACAAGTTGCTGTTAGTATCCTCTAAAGAACATATTTATTTTCTTTTGTCAGGCACCTATAATCTAAGTCCAGGGCCAAAACTGTAAGTTTTTCTTGGTCACCTAGATGGTCAGTTAGGTACAGCGCACATCCACTTCAGAGAGAGGTTTTCAAAGTCTCAATCCTAACAAAGGTTGTAATGCTACTATTTTATCCTTTGGTGGGCACTAAACTACAAACCTGTAAGTTTATCAAGGAGCTCCTCTCAGTTTTATTCTACGGATGGGAAAATGGCCCTGGAAAAAGAGACATCACTTTGGGATATGGTCCCAGGAGTGGGAAAAGGCTTTGACACATCCAGAGTTTTTCACTATCTTTTTGGATTGTTATGTTTGTTTATAGTTTTTCATATTTAGTCTAGCTCTTTTAAGTTGTCTTCAGTCAATACTGGAAGTAGAAAGTTGACACAAGTTTTGTTTAATACATTTTCCTCAGCTCATAGTGAGGCCTTTGAAATACGAGAGTCACATCCTTCTTTTACTCTGGGATATTCTCTGCTATTATTTCCTAAACATCTTCTTCCTTACATTTTCTTTTAGATATCCTGGAATAGAGCTTAATTTTACTTTGTCTTTTTGTTCCATAGTATGGGAGATTTTTCTCAACTTTATTATCTATTCTTTCAAACAAATGTTTTTGTCTGTAAGAGTTACTTCTTTCTCAATGATTGTTGTTTATTCTTTCCTAATATCCTGTTCTTGTTTCAAGGGATAAATTTTTTTTTTTTTTTTTTTTTGAGATAGAGTCTCGCTCTGTCCCCCAGGCGGGAGTGCAGTGGCGCAATCTCGGCTCACTGCAAGCTCTGCCTCTCAAGGGATAAATTTTTAAATTGCTCTGTGCAGCGTCCTAGAAATGTTTTTCTTCTCTCCTTTAAATATTTTCTCCAGAATCTATAAGATCACTCATTAGGTCTCTACCACACCCTCTCAATGATCCTGATTCTCCTTATGCTTGGTGATCCCTGATCGTCAGTTTTAAGTAATAAAAGGACTGAGAATGGTTTGTTCTAGTATTGTGTCCAGAGTTGGTTCCTTCCGGTGGGTTCCTGGTCTCGCTGACTTCAAGAATGAAGATGCAGACCTTCACGGTTGAGTGTTACAGCTCTTAAAGATGGTGTGTCTGGAGTTTGTTCCTTCAGATGTGTCCGGAGTTTCTTCCTTCCGGTGGGTTCATGGTCTTGCTGACTTCAAGAATGAAGCCGCGGACCTTCGCGGCGAGTGTTACAGCTCTTAAAGGTGGTGCAGACCCAAAGAGTGAGCAGCAGCAAGATTTATTGTGAAGAATGAAAGAACAAAGCTTCCAGAGGGTGGAAGGGGACCCTGGCAGCTTGCCCCTGCTGGCTGGGGTGGCCAGCTTTTATTCCCTTATTTGTCCCTGCCCACATCCTGCTGATTGGTCCATTTTACAGAGTGCTTGATTGGTCCATTTTACAGAGTGCTAATTGGTCCATTTTACAGAGTGCTGATTGGTGCATTTACAATCCTTTAGCTAGACACAGAGCACTGATTGGTGCGTTTTTACAGAGTGCTGATTGTGCATTTACAATCCTTTAGCTAGACACAGAGTGCTGATTGGTGCATTTACAATCCTTTACCTAGACCCAGAGCGCTGATTGGTGTGTTTTTACAGAGTGCTGATTGGTGCGTTTACAATCTCTAGCTAGACAGAAATGTTCTCCGAGTCCCTACTTGACCCAGGAAGTCCAGCTGGCTTCACCTCTCAGTATCACTGAACCAATGTCTTCTGGTCACAGGTTTCCTTTTTGTAGGTGTCCTCACTGTAAGTTTGATACAGGACAACCTAACTGCTCAACTCTATTTCATGGTAATGCCAGAGTTATTAGGGCTTTATTAGGGGCATCACCACATCTAGAGTAAAATGCTCCATTTCTACAAATATTTTACAAATATTCCTTTGTAATTTAATAGATAAATTAAAATTCCAGAATAGAAAGAGAGTAAACTGAGATTGCCAGCTGTTTTCTTCTCTGGGTGCATTTTCTAAATCTAAACATGAGGTATTTAGCTTTCTCCTTGGTGTTTTGCTTTCCTCCTAGGGTAAGGAAGAAAGAGGTGACTGCTATGTTCCCCCTTTGCAGCTCCATGTAACTTCTACCCTCTGCTATATCCAACCTAGGGTTCTGTTGGCCAACTGTTTTCCCACTACTCAAAGGGTTCTGAGGGTATGGCTTCTGTCTTTTGCATCCTTCAGATCTACTTTTCTGTGTCCCAGAGTTCATGGGGGTTCACACTATCTCTGTATTTTTATTCAGAATATTTAATACCAGTTAGTAATCTTTATGTGACGGGTACAAAAGGTTTAAAGGTATTAGATACTTAGAAGAAACCTAGGAAATAGTGCTAGAGAAACTGAAGCTTGGAAAGACTAAATAATTTGCTCAAAGTAAGAGAGCAAGTCCTGCTTTCTTATTTTTCGAAACTGGAAATCTCTTTCATTTAACCTAAAAGTTGGCATTTCTAGATATTAGTCGAAACTCCAGGAAATCAAAAAATTCTGAAGGCTTACTTACTTATTCTATGCTAAAGTAATATAATACTAAATTGCCAATTGACAGTTTACCAGATTTAACATGATGTAATTCAGTCAAAGGGACTCAAAAAGAGGAAAAACCCCACGTTTCATTTTTCATTATGACTAAGCACAATATAAAAAGCCAAAGTGAAAAAAATAAAACTCACACTTCCCTTCCGTAGGCATAGCTTTTAAAGCCAACTCTTACTTCTCAAATTGTAACCTAAAAAACCTAGAGAGATTTGTTTTCCTCCCTACTTCATAAGGACTCTTAAAGTTTCTTTGTTATTTCAATTGCTGTATGATTTTTACTGTTACTCTTTTCAGAATTTCTGAAAAATCCTAAAGTGTCTAAGGCAATCAAATCACATTAAATCTTTCCTAAAAGTTTAAAAAAACACACAGTAGATTTGGTTAAAAGTATGAGCTTAGTCACTGGTTTTATTTAAATATAAACATGATAAAAACACAACAGAGGCACTGTAATCATTTTTCCACACAAAGGTAGAGTATGCTCTTATTAGAAATCTGTAATTCACTAAGTACTTAAGTCAATGCTTTACTCAGTTTATTTCCATAAAACAGCTAATCTGGCATTCATATTACTTCAGAAAGCTGGCTTAAAGATTAGAAGTAGACTAATTTGCACACTAGCTGGGGGAAAAAATGCCTGATTATGACTTCTTAGTTTTATTCCGGACATTCTATATTTCATTCAGTATCCCTCCAGCAGAGTACATAATACACGCTCCATAGGAATTTCATAAATAACTGAAGGTAGCTGTACACCTATTTTAAAACTTACTATCAAAATAATTAAAAACATAATGAAAAATGAAAATTCTAGAATACATAATAGTTCAAAACTAAAGATTCTGAAACTAGCTGAAGAGCTTAGACAAAAACATGTTTATATTTTACTATCTTTTCTTCCACTGTAATGACTTTTCTATTACCAAATTAAGAAGAAAGAGTTCAGGCAATTTTTACAACAAAACTCACCAAAAATGTTGGTCTTCACAGTAAGTGCAAGATGAGTATTATTCCTCAAAATTTCAACGGCTTTCATAAATGTAATATTCTCAAAGTTTTGTCCATTTACTTCCATAATCTTAAAAGTATTTAAAAAATACAAATTAATACAGAACAGTATTAGTTACTCCTACAACCTTAAAAGTTTAATAGTGAATAAATAAAATGAAACTTGAATAAAATGTACTCCTATGTGAACAACAGTTATCTCTGTGAGAAGCTGGACTACTGTTTTTCTTTTTCTCTATATTGTTGTATTTTCCAAATTCTTTACTATAAACTTTTTTTTTTTTGACAGTTAATGCCCTCTGGGATCATACTGAGGAAATTTAAAAAATACCCACACCAGATGGTTTACAAAGGAAAACATTTAATCATGGCAGATCAGCTCATAAAAATTATTGCCTGCAAATGTATATACAAATTTGTCAAATATTCTCAATGTAAATTTACTGAATTTCAAAGAGAGGTAATTCTTTTAAAGGGAGTACTCTAAATATATTTAATATGATTTTCTGCCACTGATTGAATCAGGCAGCCAAACAGCAAGAAGCACAACTGAAATGGGTTCTTCTTCCAGGTAAACACTGCTGACCCTTCACAAGAGGGCTTCCCCAATTTGGCTATACCTCAGAATCATAGAAGCAGTTTATTTCAAGAAGTACTGATTCTAAGGGAAAAGGATAAAAAGATATAATGAGCAAAAACTAGTCAGAACAGAGAGCAGATCTAGGGGATCAACATAAAAATTTCTAAAGGATAAGAAAAAGAGTGAAAAAATATTAGGGAAAGAAAAAAAAATTCCATAGAAGTAAAATTCCCAGAGTTGAAAAAAGACTTGCATCTATGCACTAAAATGTCTCATCTAGTACCATGCAAAAATAATAAAAAGAGATCTATTTTTAAAAACATATCCCAATGAAATTTCTTTGTTCCAAGAAGAAAGAATAAAGAATCTATAAACATCATTGTGGGAAGATAACCCAAAGGTACCTACAAAAGAAGCGCAAAGAGTTTGGACTTCTCTTGGGCAACATTAAGTTGATGTGATAACTTTCTGTGACTTTAGTATTCTGAGGGAAAAGTCACTGTGGGAAAAAAATGTTACGCTCTATTGAACACAAGTATCTTCAGGAAGGCAAGAACATATAATACTGTATCACCCATCTGTTCCTTAAAAAAGTACTAAAAGAAGTACCAAAGACAACTGTGAAATGAGTTGAAATAATGGGGATATACAGTGCAAATGAAATAAAAGTGATCAATGAAATCAGTTAAGCAGGTGTAAATGTCTAAATGCTTGTTTAAAAGCTTATGAAACTTAACTCAAACATCAAAAGCCTTCTTGAAACAGAAGATACATAATGTTAAAAAGTAACAATAATGTAGATCTAAAATCTCAGATCATTTCAACAGTAGTTGGGAAGATTGAAGGAAGAAGTAAAAGCATGATAAATTTCATTCTCAAGAATGATTTCACGTGTGTGTGTGTGTGTGAATTAGATTATTAAATGTGTCTGTGATACAAATAACTGAACAATAAATATACTGATTACAGGATTCTAGCTATTAGACATTCCTAATGAGTAGTCTGGGGTCAGGCCCAGAAAACTCTATTGTGGAAGCTGTCCTGGGAATTGTAGGCTGTTTAGCAGCATCCTCGGCCTCTGTCCACCAACATGCCAGTAATAATCCCCAAGTCATAATAATAAAAAATATCTGCAGACATTGCCACTAGTTGAGAACCACTGTTCTAGAGTGTAGAACCTTTCATAATATGAATGAGCTCATAATTTTTAAAAAATGATAACATGGCTCCGTTAAAATAAAGCCACATTCTAAAATGAAAGAACAAAATTTTAAATGGGGAGAAAGCAAGTTTCCTAAATGATTCTGATGATCAGGCAGATTTGGGAAACCACCCTTTGAAGTACATGAGAATCATCTAGAGCAGGGGTCCCCAACCACCAGGACACAGACCCATGGCCTGTTAGGAACTGGGCCACACAGCAGGAGGTGAGCAGTGGGCCAGTGAGCATTACCGCCTGACCTCCACCTCCTGTTAAATCAGCAGTGACATTAGATTCTCATAGGAGTGTGAACCCTGTTGAGAACTGCAAATGCAAGGGATCTAGGGCACTCCTTATGAAAATTTAATGTCTGAATGCCTGATGACCTGAGGTGGATCAGTTTCATCCAAAAACCATCTCCATCACCCCAGCCCCAACTCCCTGGTCCGTGGAAAAACTGTCTTCCATAAAACTGGTCCCTGGTGCCAAAAAGGTTGGGGACCACTGATCTAGAGAGCTTTGTTAAAAATACAGATGTTCAGACATCATTGCTTAAGAATGTGGGCAATATGACTAACAGGATTGAGAGAAGCCTGAGAATTACATTTTTTATGTAACAAAGTTGCCAGCAGATCACATTTGGAATAGGCTGCTCTATACTTACCTAATGCCTATACCAAAAAATAAAAATCACCATCAAATTCCTAAGAGTGTCTTTTTTCCTAGTCCCCCATTTGGCTCACTTTGCTTATGGATATAGTTATGTTACCATATGAACATAATTTAATGATTACCATAACCTTCAGTAATCTGCAGCCACTTACATTTGAGAGTACTATGAGGTAGAAGTGCTGTCTTCTTCAAAACCTGCAAGGGTGCTAATTCATATATTGATCGTTCTGGAGTATTCTCAAGTTGCCAGCTTATACAGTTTCCTAATCCATGAAGGATAGGCAGGCCCATTCAAAGGAGGTCATGTTGATAGAGCTCAGTAGACCATGTTATTTCTGGCCATACTACACCAAATTTTCCATTAAAAGTAATAAATATATGACAAATACTTTTAAAAATAAACCATATGCAGATACTACCTCTAAAAAAAGGCTCAGAAAAATATTTCCTTAAACTGATCATGCTTTCTGGAAGATGAGAACAAAAGCAGCAGGCATAATACTTTTAAGAAGGCTTGAATATAAGTGGTTGGTTATTTCCTTACCTGATCACCACGTTTCAGTCCTGAATCAGCAGCTTTGCTACCAGGTTCTACTCCTTCAACAAAAATACCAAATCCCTTCTCACTCCCTCCATTAAGGCTGAATTGTAGAGGGGACTCGCGGGAAGCCTTTTGCAGCACAACCTGTCTCCACTTAGCCTTTGCAGCACAGGCAATATTCAATAACCGGAGATGACCATTCATCTTCTGTTAAGCAGAAAAGGATAAATGTATATAAATGTATCTATTCCTATAGGTTTTTAAAAAGTCAACGAAAATTATTAGAATTAGAGTTATAAATATACATGTATAAGCTGAGGTAAACAAAATTGAAGAAGGGGGCACTCCCACGCCAAAGCACTCTCAACAAGATTTCTAAATATGATTATAAGACTTTTAAATTATCATAGGTAGATTTCCAAGTGATGTCTCATTTACAGAGACATGACAAAAAATTACCTATCATTTATTTATTTATTTATTTATTTATTTATTTATTTTTTTGAGACGGAGCCTCGCTCTGTCGCCCAGGCTGGAGCACAGTGGCGCGATCTCGACTCACTGCAGGCTCCACCTCCCGGGTTCATGCCATTCTCCTGCCTCAGCCTCCCGAGTAGCTGGGACTACAGGCGCCCGCCACCATGCCCGGCTAATTTTTTGTATTTTTGGTAGAGACAGGGTTTCACCATGTTAGCCACGATGGTCTTGATCTCTTGACCTCGTGATCCGCCTGTCTCGGCCTCCCAAAGTGCTGGGATTACAGGCATGAGCCACCGCGCCCGACCTACTTATCATTTCTTAAACTTTTCCTAATACACACTCTACTCCCACCTTGCTTATCTCCTGGCTGTTATATAAAACCAGAATCTTTTAAAACCTTTATTCAAAACCTTGAACAACTTGAACCACCTTTTTAAATATTGTCCAATGTTCAAAGAAACATTCAAGTTTTCATCTCGTCCAGAAAAGACTTCCTTCTTGTATTATTTTAGCTCTTCCTTAAACTCAGTAATAGTCTACCAGTTCTAATTCCAGTTTCAATTATCTCAAATAGTGTTAATATGTGCAAATCTCATGTCCATAACAAAAAGCTAAAGTTTTTTTTTTTTAAAGCAGACACCAAGTCTTACATCTGTTCTGATCCTACATTGATGTCTTTGAGTATAAAGTAGAATGCAATGAATACCTGATGGCTAACTGATTACTGGAAAAAAAAATCCCATGACTTTTTTTCCCACATTCTGATGTCCCTTGAATATTTACAAAGCCAACACAGGATGACTCAAATGATAGTGGAGTACCTCTATAACCTTTTAATCAAGTTCCCAGTGTTGTTCACTCTCCCCATTTTGTATAGAGCACATGTGCTGCCGAGAAGTCAATAGGAACCAAGGGGTAATGAAAGGGACCAAATTTGCCAATTTTTCCCACTTCATTCAACTCAATCCACTTATGCTCTGTAAGTAATTAATTACAGCTCTTGAGCATTTGCTATGTCACAGGTTTTGTGTACAGACTGTTATGCCTCTCAGCTCATTATAATCCTTACAACAATCTCAATGAACTAGGAACTACTATCTTTACAAATAACACAACTAAGGCATAAGATCAGGCAATGTCTGAGTTTACAAATCTAGCAAATGGTGGAGCTTGAGCTGTACTCCTAAAACACTATGCTGCATTACTACTTATTTCCTAAAATTTCAAGTTGCTTGAAGGAGGCAACCAAGTCACAGCTCAAAGTTTTATATCTGACAGGGAGTTTAAAATGAATTCACGAACAGCTACTGTGGACTTGGAGGGAATTATCTTAGGTGCTGTACATTTAGAACAGATGAATCCTATATAGAAAGGAAACCTAGAAAGTCAATATAGATTTGATATTTAGGATATGCACTGATAGTGAAACAGAGTTTCAATAGGTGAGGAAAAGAAAATTCTAGCATGGTCTGGATGCAGAACTGGAAAATAAAATAGTCTGATTTGGCTATAATCTAGGGTACACAGGAAAAAGGGCAAAAAGGTAGGCAAGGGACCTGAATATATGGGTGAGGAACTGCTTTGGTAGGAAGTATAGATTACTGACAAAGAAAATAATAGTCATCACATGTGTGTTTTAAAAGCAATCTTTTGGCCACACAGAATGAACTAGAAGAGAAACTAGAACTAGGGTCAGTGAGCAGATTATAATAGATCAGATATATTAAGTCCTAAACTAGGGAGTAAAAAAGAAATGGCTGAGAGAGACCATAAGAAAATATGTGAACATACATGTGTATGACTAAATCAGTGACCTAGGTGACTTTAGCAACTGACTGGAAATCCTGGCCAGGGAATTCAAGAAAAAGAGACTGAGGGTACACATATAACACCAGGTTTATAAGCCTGAGTAACTAAGAGATAAGAATGTCAATACAGAAATGGAAGATTTGGGCCAGGCGCCGTGGCTCAGACGCCTGTAATCTCAGCACTCTGGAAGGCCGAGGCGGGCGGATCACGAGGTCAGGAGTTTGAGACCAGCCTGGGCAATCTGGTGAAACCCTGTCTCTGCTAAAAATACAAAACCTAGCTGGGCGTGGTGGTGCGCGTCTGAAGTCCCATCTACTCAGGAGGTTGAGGTAGGAGAGAATTGCTTGAACCTGGAAAGCGGAGGTCGCAGTGAGCCAAGATTGCACCACTGCACTCCAGCCTGGGCGACAGCGAGACTCCGTCTCAAAAAAAAAACAAATAAATACAATAAATAAATAAATAAATATAAATAAAAAATAAATGGAAGAGTCAGGAAGGAGTGTAAATGTTGTTTTAATTGAGGTGGCAGAGAATAAATGAACAAAAGTCTAGAATACAGATTCGGAAGTTCTAAGAATGGACATTTAAGACACAGGAAAGAATGAAAGCTATTGCTGTTCTGAGTTTGCTAGTGTTGAGGGGGGACCACTACACTCTGAAGAATAGAAATTATTTTGAGCCTTACTGTATCTTCCAGATTTTTTTCAAATTCCTCTAGAAATCGAGTCATAGCAGGGTCACCTTCAAAATCATTAAAATGATTATTTACCCATAATAATACAATCCGTGTCACCTGTGGAAACATAAAAGAGGCAGCATATGGTTATAAGAGGCATTCCTTCTGCACAAGTGGATTCCAAAAGCATGTCTAAAACTCATGAAGAACTGACAACCCTCTTGTTCCCTCCCTTGTGTAAAAAAGGCTCATTCTAACAGAAAGGCATGGTTTAATTTGAGCTTTTGCTTCCCTGTGCACAGAAGTAACAGAGCCAGGACACTGTCCACTCAGTGAGAAGACACAAGCCTGTTTGTTAAGATAAAAGAAGTACACAGAATGTCTATTTCAGGTAGCACCTTAAAATGCAAACTTCATGTCATAAAGCAGGCAATCCTATCAATCAAAAATCCATACCGAAAGCGTTTCCATGGTCAAGAACATGTTTAACCAAAACGGTAACAAAAACAAATCTGAGTCTGGTGCAGTGGCTCACACCTGCAATGCCAGCAACTCAGGTGGCTGAAGCAAGGAGGATCCCTTGAGTCCAGGAGTTTGAGACCAGCCTGGGCATAGCAAAACCCTGTCTCTATAAAAATTAAAAAACAAAACAAAAACCCTTACAAATCTGAAACTTCTTTCATTATAAACACTGTAAATTTTCAAACTGCAGAATCGTTTACTTTGCTTCAGAAAAGTTAAAAATTAACGAATGTAAGCTGATTTGAATAACATGCCTAACAATGTAAGAAATGAGTCATTTTTTTTAAATCGTGGTAGAATCCACATAAAATTCATCATTTTAATGATTTTAAAGTTCATAATTTAGTACCTTAACAATACTGTGTAACCATCACCACTGTCTAGTTCTGAGTTCTGGAACATTTTCATCACTCCAAAAGTAAACCTCAAACTCATTAAGCTTTCACTTCCCATTCTGCCCTCTCTCCAGCCCCTGGCGGCCACTAGTCTGCTTTTCTGTCTATTTGTCTGTTCTGGCTATTCCACATAAATAGAATCATACAATACCTAGCCTTTTGTGATTGGCTTCTTTTACTTAGCTTAATGTTTTCAAGGTTCATCATGGTGTAGTAAGTATTAGTACTTCTTTTCTTCTTATGGCTGAATAATATTTTATTGTACGGCTATACCACATTTTGTTTATCCATGATGGGCATTTGGGTCATTTCTTCCTTTTGGCTATTGTCAATAGTGCTGCTACGAATATTTACGTCAAGTTTTCGTTTGCACACCTGTTTTTAATTCTCTGGGTATTTACCTAGGATTAGAATTGCTGGGCTATATGGTAACCCTATGTTTAACTTTTTGAAGAACTGCTCAAACTGTTTTTTCCACAGAGGTAATACCATTTTACATTCCCACCATCAATGTGTGTAGGGTGGGGGTGGGGAGGAGGGTTCAATGTCTCCATACCGTTGGCAATGTTTGTTACTTTTTCTTTTTTCCCCCTTTTTAAAAGCCATCCTAGTGGGTGTAAAGTGGTATCTCATTGAGGTTATGACTGCATATCTCTATGATTAATGATGCTGAACATCTTTGTCATGTGCCTGTTGGCCATTTACATATCTTCTTTGGAGAAATGTCTATACAAGTCCTTGGTCCATGTTTAAACTGTGCTGTCTTTTCGTTGTTGAGTTGTAAAAGTTCTTTATGTATTTTGGATATTAAACCTTTATCAGATATATAATTTTCTCTTATTCTGTGCATTGTCTTAACTTTCTGGACAGTGTCCTTTGATGCAAAAATAATTTTAATTTTGATGAGGTCCAATTATCTCTTTTTTCTTTTGTTGCTTGTGCTTGGGTATCATATTTTCATATTTGAGAAACCAACGCCAAATCCAAGGCCATGATAATCTACCCCTATCTTTAAGGCATTATAGTTTTAGCTCTTCTGTCTCTGACCCATTTTGGGTACATTTTTGTTTATAGTATAAGGTGGTAATCCATTTTCATTCTTTTGCATATGGATAATTATCACTAAATCATATTCTTGTTCATTTCCAAAGCATGCCTTTATTTTCTTGGCAACCAAGGTAAATATATTTAATTCTAAGAAAAAGGGTGAGAGGTGTGCAAGCCTGTAGTTTTAGATGTTAGTCTCCTAAATAAAAGAATTCTGCAGTTTACCTGCAACTAGTTTATTTCCTTTAAAATATAACTCAAAAAGACACACCAGACAATTATGATCCTACTTTTATTTTCTTGAAACAACTTATTTCTTACCAATTTGTGGAAGTATTACTAGTCTTTCCATTAAATGTGCAAACATATCCCATGAAATAAGCTAATTTATTTAAAATAGTGAACAACATTTAATACAAAAAAATACTCAAAAGGTAGATTTAAATAAGTCACAGGAGAGACATATTAAGGTTTGATAAATTGTTTTCAAATGATTGTGAAGTCTGTAACTCAAGAAAATAAAAATATTCCCATTTTGAAGCTTAAAAGCAATCTGCCCTCTTAAAAAAATGTATTTGATGAATATTCTTTCTAAAATATTAAATCCGTTTTAAAATGTTTTATTGATCTCCAGAAACAATCAAGTATTTCAGTAAAATTCTAAAATACTCTCATGTAACTATTATGTTTCCTGAACCTATAGCTATACCAGAGCTTTATTTCAGTTTTTGCCTTTTAAGGCTCTCGTCCACTTTTAGCATGCTATTCTGTCATAAAAGTAAGCAGAGAATGTTTATACTGATGGTTCAGGTTCATTAATTTTTTTAGGTGTACTGAATCTTATTATCATAATAAACAGGTAATCTATCAACTATAAAAGTTTCATGAATAAAATTTTGGGTTAAAATCACTTTCATGCCCCTTATAAAACCAACCTTATCTCTTAAGCTGTCGATCTTAAACCATTCCAATAGTTTGATCCCAACATCCAAAGGACTTTCAAGAAATGTCCTGTAAGTTAATAGAAAATCTTCTATATAAGTTGGATCCACGATGGAATGTTCTTCTATTAAATGCATTATGAGACGCTCAGGTGTTGCCTAAAAATCCAAGGATAGGAAGGATTAGAAAATAAACAAATGACCCAAGAACCAAAGAACTATTGTTGATTACTCCGCTTTGTAGCTACTCCATTAGACAAATCGTCAAAGTACAGTTTCGCCTTTAAATCCTTAGCGCTGGGAGAATTGGAATGCAAACTTAATTGTAATCCACCAGCACCCAGAGGTTGAGAGACAGAAAAGGCAGAGAAATAAATAGCCAACAGCACTCACTCAGCTGAAGCTGTTTTCACTGGCATTTCATCATAGCAGGACCTTTGAACTTCACTAACTTAGCCCTGGTGTGGGCTGTTACTGCCACTTCTCCTACAACCAGGGCATGTATTTATTGTCTCAAGGCAACAAAAGAGGTGAAAGTTAAACTAAAGAAAGAAAGAAAAAGAAAGGAATGAAAGGGAAGAAAGAAAAAAGAAAGCTTTTCTCCAAATTTAATCCACCTCAAAAATCTTTTCTGACCAGGCTGTAGGAAGAACACACCAGTTCAAGAGAGCCTGTTTCATTATTGTTACTTCCCAGAATAAATATTTCCTTTTCTACAGTTCCTCTCATACAGTTTCCTCTCCATGCTAGGTCACCATATTGAGAGGAACCAGAAGTTCTACAGACAGTTTTGAAATTAATTCAGAGTTTTAAATGCTTGTTTCCAACTTTATAAAAGAATATAAACAGGCTGGGCGTGGTGTGGCTCATGCCTGTAATCCCAGCACTTTGGGAGGCCAAGGAGAGCAGAACACCTGAGGTCCACAGTTCAAGACCAGCCTGGCCAACATGGTGAAACCCCGTCTCTACTAAAAATACAAAAATTGGCTGGGTGTGGTGGCCGGCGCCTATAATCCCAGCTACTCAGGAGGGTGAGGCAGCAGAATTGCTTGAACCCGGGAGGTGGAGGTTGCAGAGAGCGGAGATCATGCCACTGCACTCCAGCTGGGGCGACAAGAGCGAGACTTTGTCTCAAAAAAAAAAAAAAAAAAAAAAGAATATAAACAAAAATTTCCATACTGCTCTTCTTTGAGCTTCTGAACCAATGTTTATTACCCTTTGTAGCTTTTTCAAAGGTTGGTACAAGAACAAATACAGAAACAAACAAGATGTTAAGCCTGATATAAAAACTGTTATCCATAACACCCAACCTTCAATTTGTTGCAGTCATCCAAACAATTTCATTGTTTAGAATAACTGTGTGGTAAACATACATTAATACTAACAATGTTCTTTATCTAAGAATCTATTAAAAATAAAAAGGTACTTTATTTATTAAAAGGTACTTTATTTTTATTTATTTATTTTTGAGACGGAGTCTGGCTCTGTCGCCCAGGCTGGAGTGCCGCTGCGCGATCTCAGCTCACTGCAACTTCCGCCTCCTGGGTTCAAGCAATTCTCCTGCCTCAGCCTCCTGAGTAGCTGCAATTACAGGCATGCACCACTATGCCCAGCTAATTTTTGTATTTTTAGTAGAGACGGGGTTTCACCATGTTGGTCAGGCTGGTCTCGAACTCTTGACCTCGTGATCCATCCTCCATGGCCTCCCAAAGTACTGGGATTACAGGCGTGAGCCACTGTGCCTGGCCCTATTTTATTAATTAAAAATAAGGTACGAAAATCGTTTCTCTAGAAGGAACTCAGAAACAACCTCCTTAAGAGATAAGAAAATCATAGGTCATTCCTATTCTCCTATCCTCCAAAACATTCTAAGCCTAAGAGTACCAAATTGTTTTATTACTCAGGCCAATCCTGGTTTAGGGTCATTTAGGTTCACTTAATTCCATTTCCTAGAATAGCTGAGTGAGGGATGGGAACTGTTCAACATGTTAGGCCATTATTCTGACTGGCAAAATCACAGAGGCAGGGTCCCTATAGAGACTAGGTCATGCATTCTAAATTTTATTTAAAGATGAGCCCTTACCTCTTTAGACTAAAATCTATCTTACCTCAAAATGCCCTTGATCCCAGCCACACAAATTTCCTGCTTTTTCTTAAATATATTATGCAATTTTATATAGCACATGCATATGTCTCTGTCTGGCCACCCTTCCTCCCTATATCTTCTTGCTATTTCTTCTAGCCTAATTTAGATCCCTCTTTTTATGTCTCTCTTGCTCTTCCATCTTAAGATTTATCAAGTCATGCTGAAACTATCGCCTTGTCTTTCTCAAAAGACTGTGAGTTCACTGATAGCAGAATCTAAGTATATATTAGTATCTCCCAGATCTCACACAGGGCCTGGCATAGAGTACCATAAAGTCAGTGTTGTTGAATAAATGAAGAAATGAACTGAATGAAGAAATGAATGAAATGAAAAGTAGTAACTGCTTTCTGTGTGATTATGTGTAAACAGAAAGTCAAGGCCAGGTGCGGTGGCTCACACCTGTAATCCCAGCACTTCTGGAGCCCACCTTGGCCTCCCAAAGTGCTGGGATTACATGTCTGAGGCACCATGCTTGGCCTTGACCTGAGGATCACTTGAGGTCAGGAGTTAGAGATCAGCCCGGCCAAATGGCCAAAATGGCAAAACCCCACCTCTACTAAAAATACAAAAACAAACAAACAAACAAACAAAAAAAGCTGTGAGTGATGGCATGCACCTGTAGTCACAGCTACCTAGGAGGCTGAGGCACAAGAGTTGCCTGAACCCAGGAGGCAGAGGTTGCAGTGAGCCAAGATCGTGCCACTGCACTCCAGCCTGGGTGACAGAGTGAGACTTTGTCTCCAAAAAAAAAAAAAAAATCAAATGATCAATCCTTCTATGAGCAAAAGATGGTTATGATTTGCAATTAAATCTCAATGTGAAGATTGTAGTACAGTAAAAATAACATATTTTCAATATTTATGTCACAAAAGCAACCCATCAGCATGCAATCAGAATCTGGAAACATTTTAAGGTGTGTATAAACTCACGGCAAATTTATGTTCAAGTATTTTTGATGTTCTGAACTTTCACTTAAAAAAATCAACACAGTGTTTAAAATCTATTGTAAAATATATTAGAAGGTGGGATGCTGGGAGACAGGGTGCACAGAGGTAGCAAGCAGAAGAGATGGCTGGTGTTGTTATACTGGCATGGTAGAAACTGCTTACAATGAGCAAATAATATACAGAGTATAACAAGAGGCATTGTTGGAGAAGGTATTTACAAATATAGAAGGGAATAGACTAGGGAAAACTGTGGTGCTGGTACTGGAACTGGAGGTACAGGTAGTAGTGGAATTGTAACTCATGGTTGTTTAATATATATATAAAGTTATAGATGTGTATGTGTTTATAACAAATACATACATATATTTCCTAGCTCTGATGAAAGACTCTAAAAGCAATGACACTTCAGTAACAATGAATAAAGATTCAGGGTCTTCTTGAGAAATGGCTAATTCCAGAGCTGGTACAGTTAAGTTCACGATGAGCCTTATTATTTGCCAGATTATACGGATGTGCTCAAATGATGGGGATATGTCAAAAAATACAGGTGTCAGTTTAAGAGTCCCACTACCTAAAACCTGGGACAATTTGAGGATCAGAATAAGAATGATGGTAACATAAGTTTATACCAATATAAATAAATTAATGAAGACAAGACAGTTCATTCCTTCAATACAATGAGTTAATAAATGCATGAGAAATTATTTTTAAAATCACCATTTCAGACAAGAATAGTAATGGAAGTAAAAAGTGCCGAATAGAAGTTTGTATTCAGTGCATACTATACATAAACTAAAAGTCTGAGGATAGTATTTTGATACTGTCAGAACATCTCTCCACCAAATATTTATCAGTTACAAAGGGTAAAATGATGACTTTACACTGAAGAAACTGGGCAGACAGACACCAACATGATCAGTAATCATGGCTAACTTCACCATTGGTAGGACAACAGGTTGACATTGTGTGCCCTCTGAGTTTTGTGAACTCCTGCCAGGAAAGCATGACTTGAATCTATCTGGTCATGAGGAAATACTGGAAAGATCCAGGTGGAGGGTAATACTACAGGATGTATGATCTGTATTCTTTAAAACTGCTAAGGATATTAACAACAGTGAAGGACTGAGGAACTGGTACAGACTGAAGTGACATGACAACTAAATGCAACTGTGTTCTTGGACAACACTCTAGACCAGAAGTAAGTTATTATTGGGATAGCTGGTGAAAATCTAAATAGGGTTTCTGGACTGAATCTGTTTTTGTTTGTTTGTTTTTGAGACGGAGTCTCACTCTGTCGCCCAGGCTGGAGTGCAATGGTGTGATCTCGGCTCACTGCAACCTCCGCCTCCTGGGTCCAGGCAATTCTCCTGCTTCAGCCTCCCGAGTAGCTGGGATTGATTACAGGCGGCCACCACCATGCCTAGCTAATTTTTGTATTTTTAGTAGAAATAGGGTTTCACCATGTTGGCCAGGCTGGTCTCGAACTCCTGACCTCAAATGATCTGTCTACCTTGGCCTCCCAAAGTGCTGGGATTACAGGCATGAGCCACCATGCCCGGCCCTGAATGGTTTTATTTTAGCAATGTTCACTTCCTAACTTGAAGGATTCTATGGTGTTTATGTCAGAGAGTGTCCTTGTTTTTAGGAAATACACAATAAGATATTTAGGAGTGATGAGGCATCACATTTGCAGACTGCTCTCAAATCGTTCAGAAAAAAGACTAATAGAGCAAATGCAGTGAAAATATTAACAGTTGAGGAATCAGTGACAGATCTCTCTACTGTTCTTGCAACTTTTCTATAAAGTTTGAAATTATTTAGAAATAAATTACTAAAACACATGAGTCCTCACAAAAAGATAAAAATGAATTAAAATGAAAAAGTATATGTGTAAGCCTATGGCATTCCACCAGTATGTTAATCATTTCTACACACAAAGCTTACACTCATCTGTTTAGGAAAAGAAAGATCTCTGAGGAATAGCCTGACTCTAAGGGAAGAAGAAGTATGACATCAGACTTCAAATTATCTCTCTGATTTAACTCCCTCATATTATTAAGTAAACTGCTTCATCTGCAATTAATAGTGGCAATAATTTCGCCAAGACTAGCTTGAAAAGAGAAACAGTTATGTGTTTATTTCCCCTCTTTCAACTATAATTGTTCAGTTTATATCCAAGTCTTTAAAGAGAAAAGGAGGTGAGAAGGCAAGTATTAGGAGAGGGCAGAACTTACAGAAGGGAAAACAGTATGGGGGTTAATACTCAGACTCTACAATTGTGCTAAGGCTTTTGATTTACCTCATTTAGCCCTAATAAAGTCTTGAATTACCTCCATATCCAGATAAGAAAAGTGAGGTTCAGAGAAGTCAATGCATATTTCAGTGCCACAGAGATCCAGAAGCACTCTGCATCTTAATCTAGGATTACTTATGCTTTTATGACTGGTCCTTAAATTTTCTGTTTTGTTTCTAAATATTGCAGTCTTTGATGAAACTGACTCCCGCTCTCAGTGGCATACAATATTAAGTTTGAAAAGGAAAACTCTGACCAGTATATTCTAAAATAATACCCTACCTACTCTGATATTAAATGGCAATAAGTCATCCTTCATCATTAAAATGTGTAAAAACCATCTTAGAGATCAGGCATGGTGGCTCAAACCTGTAATCCCAGCACTTTGGGAGGCCGAGGTGGGAGGATCACAGGGTCAGGAGTTCAAGACCAGCCTGGCCAAGATGGTGAAACCTCGCCTCTACTAAAAGTACAAAAATTAGCCAGGCATGGTGGTGCATGCCTGTAATCTCAGCTACTCAGGAGGCTGAGGCAGGAGAATCGCTTGAACCTGGGAGGCGGAGGTTGCAGTGAGCTGAGATTGTGCTATTGCACTCCAGCCTGGGCAACAGAGTGAGACTCCATCACAAAAAAAAAAAAAATTTTAGAGAAAGACAAAGAGTCAACATTTAAGTTAGATGCCAAAGTGTTAATGAATTATCTTGCATTACTTAAAAAATGGTTTAAAACAAGATGAAAGCTTTGATGATAGAATAAAATCAGTGACTAGAAAAATAAGTAAAAACACCCACCTTGATCACAATGTGTCCTTTCCTGGTTCCACTCCGGTCTAGTTCCCGATGCTCATGTACCATAACAATTTCTCCCTCTTCCTCAACTTTATGGGTATTTTTTTCCACATGGTTTAAAATTCTCCAATAATCTTGCTGGGCTATGCAGACAAACTGTCCAAGAACAACATGGGGACAGTTAATGAACCTATAGTACATAAATATATCACTATGTACCAATGCAGAGCACAAAGGTAAGAAATCTAGCGGCATTAGTTCTTTTTCACTTAATTCCTTTAATCTTTAACAAAAATCAAGGTGAAACAATTCACGTATGAAGAGACTAAAGAAGTCTAATCTGTTTGAATTTTGCTCTTTAAAAGGAGAAGTGAACTTCCACTTCTCTCAAAACTGACACTATGTAAAGAACATATGAAGCAGGAGTAAGTTAGAAACAAACAACTCAGAAGTTCCTATTTCTTTCCTTTTTTTTTTTTAAATAAAGGACTCTGAGCTGGCTAATATCAAATAGAAATGTAACAAACCAGCATTTATTTGGTATAATCTCTTTTGAAAACTTATAGCTTGTTAAATGCCACAAATATTTGAGGCAGATACAAAATCTACTTTCCTTTATTAACTGTGAGCTATTGAAACTCCTAATTCTCAAATAAAGCTATTTTCTTTTGAGGAAGACAAAACAGGCTCAGCTACTTTAAACCAACAGACAAGAAGACTTGACCAAAGAGATAATCTTACCTGACAATCATCTACTTTAGTCCTGACAATTCCATGCATGTACTGCTTATCCAGAGTGGGAGTAATTCCAAAACTATTTCCCATAAACAAATTTTCAACTTTTCCATCTGGATGACTGATTTCCACAGTGCCGTTTAAAATAACATACCATGAGTCAAGCTATAGAGAAAAACAAAGGTTTTATGAATCTTTTTAAAAAAGGTAGTTACATGTTAACTTTGAAAAAGAATCTATCAATATATATAACTTGAATAAAAAGGAAAAAGGAGGATCTGGTTATATTACCAAACACTCTGTAACACCCTATGCTTTGAGTCTATGCAAACTACTAAAGTTTATTTTTACTCTTTCTTCTTTTAGTCACCAAACAAGAACTGTCATAACTGACCAGATTCTGAGACAAAATAGTGTAATGTTCAAGAGCACAAACTCTTGGAATATTAATCCATACCATGCCACCAACTAGCTGAATGACTTTGGGTAAATTATTTAACCTCTCTGGGCCTCAGTTTCTCTACTGCTACAATGGTCATATGGAAAGTATCTATCATAGAACTATTATGTTAATTAAATGAGTTAACACATACACTGTGCTTAGAATAGTGCCTGGCAAAAAGCAAACATTTAAGAAAAAAAATAGATAGCTAATGATTATTTCAGAAAGACTAGTTAAAAGCCTGAATTTTAAGGCATATCTAACAAAAGATTCAAAATTTCTCCTACGTTAAGAAAATAATGCCTTCATTTATATGGAAATATTTAATGCTCTAAGAAGTTATTTATTTATTTATTTGAGAGATGGGGTCTTGCTCTGTTGCCCAAGCTGGAGTGCAGTGGTATGATTATAGCTCACTGTAGCTTCAAAGTCTTGCACTCAAGTGATCCTCCTGCCTCAGCCTTCTGAATAGCTGGGACTACAGGTGTCCACCACCATGCTTGGTCAATTTATTTTTTAATAGAGACAGGTCTTGCTATGTTCCCCAGGCTGGTCTTGAATTCCTGGTGATCCTTCCACCTAGGCCTCTTGAGGTGCTGGGACTACAAGCATGAGCCACTGCACCTGGCCCAAAGAAGATGTATTTTAAAGATCTACTATATATCAGTGAAAGACCACTTATTCTCCTTTAATATCAAACCCTCTTATAAGCCTGAACCTTCAATAGTTTTAATGTGATTTAAGGGAAATCAAGATGGTTAGTTCTGAAGGGTAATCAATGGCAATAAGGTATTTTTTTTCAAAAGTATACCTTTATTATTTTAAAAATAAGATATACTCACTACACAACTTGTGGATTAAGCTACTGGAAGACAGGGAGTGTATCTGGCTTTTTCACCACTATATCCCCGTATCTAGAACAGTACCTGGCACAAAGTAGGCATACAACAAATTTTTGCTGATACAACTGGAAATTAAGAGAATGCAAAAACTTGTATAAAATAGAAGTTACTTAAAATCCCACTCCATTCAGTTGTTTAAAGCTTATTTCTCTCTTATGTATATATTTTATATTATTGAAATATTTAGAATATCCTGTTTAAAAAAATTAATACTATATTCATTTGTTCATCAAACTTTTGGGGGGAGTCCATCCTCTATGACAGATGTTTTCTAGGATACGGGGAGAAAATATGTAAACAGAGCCTAGAGACAGGGATCCTCAAAGATATTCTATCAAATAATTTTAAAAATAATTTGGATACCTATATATTATAACCTACAGCTATATAATAATTTACTTAACCATCGCTTATCACTGGATGTTTTGGTTATGTCCAATTTTTACTTATATATATAATATATGTAATATTATATATTATATATATAGTATGAAATTATGTAATTATATATAACTTACTTATAGATTATATAAGTATATAATTTATATTATAAATGTACTGCAATGAACACCTTTTGAAATAACTCTTTGAGTTCTACACGTCTCCTCAGGTTAGACACTCAGAAGTGGAATAACAGGCTAGCAGCTGTGAATACTTGGAGGACCATGTTAAGAATTTTAAAATAATTATCTGGAAATGCTGTACCAATTTACATTTCCACTAGAAGACAATGTTCATTTACTGATATCTCAGCATTAATCAAATGAGTACATTTGATAGGAAAAATAATGAAGCACTTCCTGATGGCAATAATACCTTCCAATCCCTTTGCATCCTTCCTCCACCCATCCACAAGCTGTCATCCGAGCATTTTTGAACATAGAATTGTCACCTAAACGCTTCAACTGTCAGCAGTTCCCTAGGATGCACTGGTACCAACACATGTTCCTCATTCTTTTTCTTTTAAATGTATAATAGAAATAAGGAATAAGAAAAATTCTTGATAAACATTTTAAACAATAATGATATAATTATACAAATAGAAAAATATTCAAGAATCTTTTAAATCTATTTCATCTATTTAAATTTAATGTAATCTGAGAAGTAAAAACATTTGGTTCATTGAATATTATTTATGGAGCACTGACTTTGTGCAGAGTCTACTGCGAATAAATTTAAAATTAGGGCAAAGCAAAAACAAAAACTTACCTCTTCAGAAATTGTAACTAACTCAAACTTGGCATTTATTTAAGAAATCTGTATAAATTTCAAAAATCAGTACTCAAAAATCAGGACAAATTTATGGAAATTAAGTTATTTTAAAAGTTAGTATCCATAATAAATGTATGTAATTTATTTATTGACCTACCTCTTGCCCATCTTCAAGAATAATAGCTCCAGCCTGCTCTACCACTTCAAAAATCATCACTGAGCAGAGTTCTCTCCTTACAGACATGGTCATGTTTGCAAATGCAGGGAGCTGGTGCATAAACTCCAGCAATTGTTCTATAAGAAAACAGAAATTCTGGTATAAAGACCATCGAGGACTATACCTTAAAAATACAACGAAATCTAGAATTCAATTCCCAATTTCACAATCAACTTATAAATTTATGTTGCTAAAGTAGAGAAACTAAGGTACTATTTGACCGTTGATTTTTAAAATCAATTATTTGATTAATATGTATATTCAGACTCACATATAAACCTGGGCATATTGGAAGATAACAGAATTCACAACCTCCAGAGAGAACAAGGACCATACAGGTTCAGATGAAAGCGGAGCGTTTATCTAATATTCCTAGCCACTCCATGGGTTTAGTTATGGCCTTTGATCTAATAGGTTAGTGAAAAAGTCTTTTGTCTAGTTCTTACTAAACAAAAGTATTTAAAAATGCCATTAATAAAATCCAAAAAGTAATTAAAACAGGGATAATAAATGTGAATTCTAGCTCAAGATTTGTCTAACTAACTAGGTAACTCTCTTTAACTAACAAATGTTTATGAGTGCCTCAGGCCACTCCCTGGTATGGATATATGTGTAAGGAAGGTATAAATATAAGAAACACATATAAGCAGTCAGCAAAGAGATTAAGAATAACTATAAGGTGCTATATATCCATAGGACATAGGAATTAGCTATATTTCAATTTTTAAAAAGTTTTATGAAAATAGTATAGTATACAATTCTTTATCAGTAAAATTGCACTTTCAGTTTCTGTCGAGATAACGTTCATAACATAAATCCACACTGCAGGTTATTTAACTGTATTATATCTTTAGAATGGCAAGGAATGTTCAAATACATTGATCTTTACTCACATAAATGATTTTTAATAGTAGCAGCATCTTCTAATTGGAAGGGTAGCTATTATAAAAATGCAATCTAAGAAAAAAATCTTAATTAAATCCTAACAATATATGTTTGACACTAAGTGATCTTTGCATCTTAAAGATAACATTAACATCTTTAGTATCATTCAACTTCCCAACTAAAGTATGGTAACTAGTTCTGTAAAATATTACATAAAAAAATTTATAATGTTTTAAGAGTACACATGGTCAGGCGTGGTGGCTCACACCTGTAATCCCAGCACTTAGGGAGGCCGAGGTGGGCGGATCACAAGGTCAGGAGATCGAGACCATCCTGGCTAACACGTTGAAACCCCATTGCTACTAAAAATACAAAAAATTAGCCAGGCGTGGTGGCGGGCGCCTGTAGTCCCAGCTACTCAGGAGGCTGAGGCAGGAGAATGGCGTGAACCCGGGAGGCGGAGCTTGCAGTGAGCCAAGATTGCGCCACTGCACTCCAGCCTGGGCGACAGAGTGAGACACCGTCTCAAAAAAAAAAATAAGAGTACACACAAAACATACATATATTTAAGCTAGGGAAATAAAAATATAAGGTTTTAAAAAATCTGCAAGTTTTTCAAAAAGCAAATTCACAGACACTGAACATTGTACTATGCTTGTGCTTTAAATGTCTTATAGACATGAAGGGAAAAATCAGTTTAATGCAATCAAAGCTTTTATTTTATATATTGTGGCAGCCAACCTCAAAGATGGCTCACAGTGATCCCTGCCTCCTGATAGTCATGTCCTTGTACAGACCCATTCTATACTGTATCAGAGTTACCTGGTATAACAAACAGAATTTAGCAGAAGTGATGATGCATTACTCTTGAATACAGATAATAAAAAACTGTGGCATTTGCCTTATTCTCCTTTGGATTACTTACTTAGGGGGAAGCCTAAGTTCCCCTTAAGTATGTTGTAAGGACAATTAAGCAGCCTATCAGAGGCCCACATGAGGAACTGAAGGTCATGCACCAAAGGCCATTTGAATAGCTATCTTGGACACAGATTCTACAGCTCAGCCCAGGGAAGACCTGGATGGCTGCAGCCCTGTGTCAATTCTGACAACAACCTCATGGGAGATACCAAGCCAGAACCACTCAGCTAAGGTGCTCCTAAATTTGACTCACAAAAACTCTAAGATAATGGCTTAACACAACACACATTTATTAAGTTTTAGAATAATTTGTTATGCAGAAATAGGTAACCATATAAATTAAGTTACAAATTCTTATTGTGAACACATATATTTCTTACCAATGTCATCATCAGTTTTGTCTGCAGGTTCTTTTTCAAGACATTCTCGAACAAGATCTCGCCCCTGCAATGGATCTGTTCGATCAATCTCTTCATCTTCCTCTTCGTCATCCTCAGAATCAACAGGTCCTTCTGGAAGACGTGTCAAATCTACATCTCCTACCTCACTCTCCGTAGCCTATGAAAAGAAATCTTGATCACTTACCATTTCATGTAAAAAATATTATAAGTCACAGTCTGAATTAATCAAAACTACCCATCCCTACAAAATATAAAAGACTTGGGCAACGCTGGATGCTGCATCAAGAATACAATAAAATGATACTTATTTATAAAAGGTTCTTTCTGCCCCAAATTTAGAGGCTCATCTTTCCACAGTGTGACAACTAGGTGATAAATCAGAATCAGTAAATGTAAAATGGTCAGGAGACTCAAACATCACTAAATGTATTAATATCTGTTTTCCACCCAACACTTGTATTTCCTAAAAGTACTAAGTTTACTAAAACATGAAGTACAGGAAAGAAAAAGTTTACCAACAATCACCTTATGAGTACCTATTAGTCTATGCTGGGTATTGTGAAGAAGATACTGTTCTTTCATCACAGAGACTTAGGCTTAGTAGGGTAGGTAATCATATAAATTAAGAACAGAAGTTTAAAGTAAGGTAAAGAACAGTACTAAAATGCACTAAAATAGACCCATCGTAAAGGACTGAACAAATACTCTTCATTTCCCAATACTTTACTGTAGGATCTAAAAGTGTGCAAAGAGCTGTGATTTTTGAACTCTATAAAATGACCTTATACTTACAACTACAATTTGGAAACATATTAGTCTTACATATTTTAAAGAAACTATAAAATTTTTAAAAACCATATATTAAAAAGTCATTCATAGAAAATAATGAAAATGTCTTTTAGAAGATAAAATGGTACTAAGTAGATTCTTAAAAAATATTTCTAAATATTATACTCACTTGAGTCATCTTGTTAATGAAAAAGCATGGGTATTAAAGGCATTATAGAAAAAATGAGTGAACACACAAGAATTCCCTAATAAGTAGAAAGCACTCAAATATGAATATTAGTGAAGACTACAGAATCTTAATTCATTAAGTATCTCATGTTTTGAACATTTACCCTTTTTTACTGCCAAAAAGATCATCTTTTTTTTTTTTTTTTCTTTTTTTTGAGACAGGTTCTCCCACTGTCACCCAGACTGGAGTGTAGTGGTGTGCACTGCAGATCTCGGCTCACTGCAACCTTGTCCTCCTGGACTCAAGAAATCCTCTCTCCTGAACGCCCTGAATACCTGGGAACACAGGTATGCACCACCCTACCCAACTAATTTTTTAAATATTTGTAGAGACTCGGGGGAGGTTGCTATGCTGCCCAGGCTAGTCTTGAACTCCTGGGCTCATGTGATCCACCCACCTTGGCCTCCCAAAATGCTGGGATTACAGGGTGAGCCACCATGCCCAGCTGATCTTCCTTCTTTTGAGGACTACCTTTCCTCTCCATCTTAAACCCAGAGATTACAGTGGGAAACAGTGCCCTGTTCCCTAGCTATGTAAACTAAGTTAGAAAGAGCTTTTCTCTAGATTTCTGTACACAATTAGATCTGGAAGCAGAGCATCCTTTCTTAACTGGTTGCTAAATTGGAAGAATATGAGAGTAGGCAGCCTATAGCCTCATGGAAACGCCTTCCTGTGGCAGAAGAAAATGAAACCAATAGGCAGGGAAATAGGAAAGGGAATGGGGAGGAGGACACTGAACAAGAGAGTCAAACAAAGACTCAGAGCAACAAAGCAACAGAAACAGAGCATGCAGGGCAGAGAAAGAAAGAGCACAGCATGTGCTGCAAAGAGCATTTGTGACAGAAAGTGTCACAAAGCAAGCAAGCAAGGAAAAATAAGCAAGCCGTACGGAGCCAAAAGACCAGAAACAGGCAGACGGGGCAGACGTACCTGCAAGCATCCAGGTACCCTGAGGCTAGAGTTGCCTCTGCTTTCTCTGGTGGTCAATAAACTAACCTTTTGGCTTTACATTTTTTTTCTTCTTTTTTTTTTTTTTAAAGACAGGGTTTCACTCTGTCACCCAAGTTGTGCAGTGGTATGATCACAGCTCACTGTAGCCTCAGCCTCCCTAGTAGCTAGGACCACAGGCACTGGCCTTTTGGCTTTTGTTAATTCAAGTTAAGGCTCTGACACCTACAACTAGAAGAGTCTGGATCTGTTTCCTAAGACCATGTCTTATACTTCCTTTGGATTTCTGCACAGCTTTAAGTAATAGTCATTTAACAATCTAGACTAAATACTCAAATTGTGATCTTTAAATTAGACAAGCTAGTTCTTAAGGGTCTGCGATTGTCTGAATGTTTGTACCTCCTCAAAATTCTTATTTTGAGTGATGGAATTATGAAGTGGGGCCTTTGGGAAGTGATTAGGTCATGAGAACTCTCACGAATGGGATTAGTATATAAGAAGCCTGAGGGAGCTCATTCTCCCCTTCTACTCTGTGAAGCTACAGTTAGAAGGTACCTCTAACAATCAGAAAGAGGTCTTTTACCAGACACCAAATCTGCTTGCTGGTGCCTTGATCTTTAAACTTTCCAGCCTCAAGAATAGTGAGAAATAAATTTCTGGTGTTTATAAGCTACCCCCCAGTCTACAGTATTTTGTTACAGCAGCCTGAATGGACTAAGACAGGATCATATAGGGGCAACTGTATCTCATGACTGACTAGTACGCTCTGAGTTGTTTACTGGCTATGAAATTACAGGGTTTAAACGGAGTATATTTCTGAATAATACATAGAACCACAAACTTGTTTGCAGGTTATAATCCTTTTTTAAAGACAAGTAGTTTTAAATTTAAATATGTGTACATGCTAAAAAGACTTTCCAAAAACCTTATTTATATACACTGATTTAATCTAAGAAACGACTGGGAAAAAACCTAAAGCAGTATTTTCTACACAATTTAATTTCTCAATATGCAGGAGAGCTCACTCCTAGTATATCCCTTTTCTATTTTATCAATTTTTAAGTGTAATCTGCATTAAAAATTCAGGTTTTTAAATCACTCTGTCTTCATCTTAATCTAAGGTTTTCATCCCCTGACCCAGATTATTTCAATCTGGTCTCATTCCCATATTTTAGATTATGTTGGATAAAAAGATAGATGGCTCACAACATAAAAAGGCAAGATGGAATTTAGTTATATGGACAGTAGAGAAGGCTAATTATCATCTGCATGAGAAGCAAAGACAATTAAGGAGATAGCTCTTTAGGAAGAATGGAAGTCATGGGTTGGGACTGAGAGAAGGCTACTAAAAGAACTTTTTTAGGAACCTTTTAATACCAACTGCAAAGGAAAGAATATAATCTACCCTTACAATTTGTCTTTCTAAGCCAGGCACAATGGCTCCTGCCTGTAATCTCAGCACTTTGGGAGGCTGAGGCATGCAGATCGCTTGAGCCTAGGAGTTTGAGGCCAGCCTGGGCAACACGGAGAAACCCTGTCTCTACAAAAAAATACAAAAATTAGCCGGGTGTGGTGGCATTAGCCGGGTGTGGTGGCACATGCCTGCACTCCCAGCTACTCAGGAGGCTGAGGTGGGAGGATTGCTTAAGCCTTGGAGGCAGAGGCTGCAGTGAGCCGAGATCTTGCTGCTGCACTCCAGCCTGGGTGACAGTGTGAGAACGTGTCTCAAAAACCAAAACCAAAACCCCCCAAAAACCACAACTACCTTTCTTATACCTCTACTTTTTACATAGTAGTATAAAAAGAATAAAATTAGTTAAGAAAATACATTAAACTATTAAAATATTAAGAGTATACATGAGCATAAGGTGATAAAACAGGAATTAAGAATAAAAAATAAGACTGTTCAAAAACATGCTAAGAAATTTAAAGGGATTTTTTTAAACTTAAAATGAATTTTTAAAAATGTAAAGACCAACTCCTTGATTAAACAAAGGAAAGTCAGGTCCTTAAGAGAAAGGTAGATATGATTATGACCACAGGACAAGAAGTCACTGCATGATACTTCTGAAGATGCAGTTCCTGGGCAGAAAGTTTAATTCTATAATAATTAGGTAAGAATTTTTTTCAACGTAATATCCACAATGTTCAGCATACAATAAAAACTTACTACATAAGTGAAGCAGGGAAATGTGACCTATAAACAGGAAACAAACCACTATAAAGAGACTCGATAATGATAGAGATAATGAAAGTAAGAGACAAGAACTTTCAACATTTACTACAAATAAGTTCAAGAATTTAGAAGAAAAACAATTAGAGGAAAAATGGATAATCTCAGTAAGGAGATATAAACTGTAAGAAGAATAAATTTGAAGAAAGGGCAACAAAAGCTACCCAATCTGAAGTAGAGATGAGAAAAAAGCCAAAAAAAAATTAATAAAGCCTTAGAGACTCATATCATAATACCACGAGTGGAAATATGTGGGTCAAAAGACACTCCGTATTCGTGAAGGTAGGGTACACAGAAGACTCATCCCCAGCCTTTCAATTAATTTATCCTAGCACCTGGGACATATCAGACCCTTAATTATGATAAATGAGTTAAGTCCAGGAAAAATATATATATTGGTGATAGGATTAAGACAGCATGAAACTTTTTTCTTTTCCTGACATATGAATGTGTCTCTGTATACATAAATATAATTTGGTGAGGCAGACAGTCTGAGGTGATTTTCTGATGACTCGGCCTTCCCCAAATAAACCACCAGAGGATATCCTTTTCCTGTTTCCATCTAGATAAACATGAAGCTACAATGAAGAGAACTATAGGTTGGAACTAAGAGTTATACAAACTTACAAAAACCACATTTTCAAATTTAGGGCAAGTGTTAAGCCTTAGACTTTCAGTGCCTCTCTTTTCTGTATTCCCATCTTTAGTATTTCATTTAACCTTTTCATGGACCATTTAGTTCTTAGGTCTTCCTGGTCAGGGTTAGAACTCTATGAAGTTAATCTTTCAGTCCAGGTTGACCCATTTCATAACCTCTACAACACGGCAGGCAGGCAAAATCAAGTCTCTTTTGCCCTGGATAATAAAGTTTTAGTTAGCAGAGATCTGCATTTTCCTTGAAGCCAATATTGGTTTCTACTTTCAAATATAATTCAGTGCAAAAAAAGAATTTCTAGAGTACTTCCTAAATGCCAACACTGTGCCTGACTCACCATGGGATACAAATTTAAGACATCAACTCTGCACTCCATAAATTTACTCTGGTGATGAAAAATGTCAAGTTTACAAGTAACTACCAAAAAAAGCAGAGAGAAAAAGTGACATGTCCGAGAGAAAAACTGCTGAGGGATTCCAAGGAAGGAGACATTTCTTCTTGTTGGAAAGACATGGGAGATAACATGAAAATGTCATCTTCATGAAGCTACGGGTAGAAGAGCATGATTAAAACACAAGACTAGGAAAAGGCAGACATGTTCAGGGAATAACGTACATATGTGATGGGGCAGAATCTAGAATGTGTAAGTGGGGGAACAGTAAAATATAAAACTACATTGTAGTTAGAGGTAAAAGGCTTGGAATTTAAAATTAAGAGTGTAATTTAGATAACAGTGAAGAATTAAAGCTTTTTAAATACAAGAGTAATTAAAAATCAGAGCAATTTATTTCAAGTGGGAGTTTAAAAATGATAGTCAAAAGATGATAACAGATTTTGACTAGGACTCAGATGATATCCTTTTTTTTTTTTTTTTTTTTTTTTTTTTTTTTTTTTTTTTTTTTTTTTTTTTTTTTTTCTGTGACGGAGTCTTTCTCTGTCACCCAGGCTGGAGTGCAGTGGTGCGATCTTGGCTCACTGCACCTCTGCCTCCTGGGTTCAAGCGATTCTCTTGCCTCAGCCTCCTGAGTAGCTGGTGCATGCGCCACCGCACGTGGCTACTTTTTTTTGTATTTTTAGTAGAGATGGGGTTTTGCTATGTTAGCCAGGCTGGTCTCAAACTCCTGACCTCAAGTGATCCACCGAACCCAGCCTCAGATGATATTCTTAACAGAAATATTAAAGAAAGGTGTAAGAGAACATGTGGTGACTTGAGTTGACAAAAGAACATACTGGTGAAAACGTGGCACCAGAGTTCTGAAGAGATTGGCACTCCGAGCTGTGCATTAGGAAATCATGTTGCCATAGAGGTGGTAACTGAAGTCTTGGGATTTTTAAGAACACGCTTACTGCCTATATAGAAACTGAAAAGGTAGGTGGTGGATAAATGTGTGTCTGGAGTTGTTTAAGAATGAGTTAACAAAAAGACAACATGCTTTTGTTCAAGAGTCAATATTTCACAGTTTTCCAGCTCATGGAAAAGACTGAAATAAATAGAAAAAGGAATCTAGAAAGAAGTACTCCTTATTCTCTTGAATACTCTTTGAAGATGCAGAAAATATTCTATCTAAGAACACTCTTACACCTTAATGTATACTTTAAAATTTTAATCTATGCTGATTAGAAACACATTCACACTGGAATCATTGATTTGCCTTTTTTTCCCTCCACACTATAGTACATGCTATATTTTGAAGTTTCTTTGAGGGCCAAGGGCTTTTATTTTTAGACCAGAAGACATGAAAACTCTCAAGAAGGAAATGCATAGAAGTGTAGCCACACATTTGGCCATATAAAACAGTGTAAACAGTTTTCCTGTTAAGAACTGCTGTCAGGAAAACCAAATCCCGCATGTTCTTACTTATAAGTGGGCGCTAACAATTGGGTACACATGGACCTAAAGATAGGAACACCAGACACTGGGGTCTATTAGGGCAGGGAGAGAGGGGCAAGGGCTGAAAAACCACCGAATGGGTATTATGCTCACTATCTGGGTGATGGGATCATTCGAACCCCAAACACTCAGCACCACGCAATATACTATGTAAGAAATCTGCACATGTACCCCCCTGCATCTAAAATAAAAGTTGAAATTATTTTTAAAAATTGGGGAGACATCCATTTTTCTGGATAAGAAGACTCCACGTTAGAAAAAAATGCCCAAATTAATCTATATATAGTCTTCTGCCCCACAAAAAAAGCTGGATTTCACTTGAAACGTTTCTAAATTTCTAGAAGAATAAAAGCAGAAACACTAAAAAAAAATTGCTGTTAGGATATCTTCCCCTCAACTGTCCAAATTAAAAATACTTCTATCATTTCACAAGGCTTTTCTTATGGTGTTAAAGGCTAGGTGTTCACTTAAAAAATCTCTCAAATGCTAAAATTCAAATAACTAGACAAATCACTTCAGCTATCCCAGGCTAAGATACATACATTGGCAATGTACACCTGTAACTAAGGGGTATATTCATAGCTCCAAAAGGGAATCTAAAGGCAGCCTAAGGTGAAAGGAAAGATCAAGGGTCCAGTACTGATATTTAATTCTTCTCCTTGTTTATTCCCGAGGATCTGATTGGAAACATTCGCGCATGTACACACACACACACACACACACACACACACACACACACACACAAAATTTAGTTAGACATTTCTCTTACCCATGGATTAAAATTATAGAAATCTTGTACTTTGGAGGGTATATCTTATCAATCTATTATAATTCTGTGTTTATTCCTTTTACTCTCCTTTAAATATTTTCCAATTTTTTTTTCAACTTTTAACTATACAATCTATTTACGTCCTCCTTAATATTTGTTAAATAAATAAAAATGTTCGTTTAAGAAACATAATAAAAACTACCCACAAACCCACCACTAGTAGAAAAACACTGTTACTAACTGGTGTTCTTGAACTCGGATTTACATTCTGTATCTACAAGTATAACATATTTAAGTATACAGGTATATATATTTATTTAACGAAATATAAATAAAATGTTAAAAATACCTACTTATCTCATAGATATGATATATAAGATTTTATACATATGAGATATAAAAAATATATAAGTATGTAGGTGTATATTTTTATGATTTTGATTTTTTTCCTTTTGTGTTTATCTTTATTGGCTTCTTTTTATTTTGGCGTTTATGCTGTTTCTATCTTTTGGCTATGGTCCTAAAGTTAACTGTTATGTCAGAGTTTGAAATTTTTTTTTTTTTTGGAGACGGAGTTTCACTCTTGTTGCCCAGGCTGGAGTGCAATGGCGTGATCTTGGGTCACCGCAACCTCCGCCTCCTGGGTTCAAGTGATTCTCCTGCCTCAGCCTCCTGAGTAGCTGGGATTACAGGCATGCTCCATCACCCCAGCTAATTTTTTATTTTTAGTAGAGAGAGGGTTTCTCCATGTTGATCAGGCTGGTCTTGAACTCCCGACCTCAGGTGATCCGCCCACCTCTGCCTCCCAAAGTGCTGGGACTGCAGGCTTGAGCCACTGTGCCCAGCAGCAGAGTTTGAAAATTTTTATCTTCTTTGACTACTCTTAAAAAATTTTATCTTAGGTTTTATATATTTGATGTTAACATTATTATAAGTTTCTTCTTTAAATTTCTTCATTCCTATTTTGGTTCTAGAGTTTTATCTTATTTATTTTATCTTTATTCCTTTTATCTTTTCATGCTCTCTAAATTCATTCCCACTTTTATTGGTTAATTTATAAGTTTCATTGCATCATATTTTTTTAAACTATATGATTCCATTTATATGACCTTCTGGAAAAGGCAAAACTATAAGGTCAGAAAAGAGATTGGTGGTTGCCAGGGCATAGGATAGGGGTCAGGAGAAGGTACTTGACTGCAAAGGGTCATATGGATACTTTCTGAGGTGATGGAAATATTCTACATATTGATATAGGCTATGCCATGGTCCTGCAATAGAACACCTCCAACCAACACCAGCAGGTGTACTCCAGTCTCATCCTCAGGTTGTCCAGCTAAAAGGGGAGTAATCTGCAGGTGCTAATATAAGTGCAATGCTCCTATAGGAGCTCCTGTAGTATCTTTGCAAAGATGTAGGGACCAACTGTGTACAGTCCATCTTCTAGTTCACAATAAAGCATTGGTCTTTCCAAGTGACCTTGAATCTTAATCTGTGCACTATCCTGGCTTAGAGATGTGGATATCCCAGTGATACCAGGTTCTTATAGTTTTTCTTGTCTTTTCTTCTTTTTTGAGACAGAGTCTTGCTCTGTCGGCCAGGCTGGAGTGCAGTGGCATGCTCTTGGCTTGCTGCAACCTCCGCCTCCTGGGCTCAAGCAATTCTCCTTACTCAGCCTCCCAAGTAGCTGAGATTACAGATGTGTGCCACCACGCCCAGCTAATTTTTGAATTTTTCGTAGAGACAGGGTTTCACCATGTTGGTCATGCTGGTCTTGAACTCCTAACCTCAGGTAATCCGCCCGCCTAGGCCTCCCATCCTATAGTTTTTCAACACTAAACCTCTGTGTATAGTCTTAGAAAAGTCCAGATATTCTCACATGTCCTGAGAGAAATCTACAGCCACATCCCTGAATTTCACTGATCCAGGGTCAATCTTCCTCAGTGTTTTCTTCTGGAAAAACACAGTCTACTTTGATTTTTAGGTGTGCAACAATTCTTCTTTCACAAGATAATTCTTTTGGGGAGGGGCAGAAAGCATGAAGCCCAATAGGTACACAAGTACTAAGTGGTGCCAGAGCTATTGTATTAACTTGTTTCATCTCTCTTTTAATTCTTTGTTCTCTCTACTATAAAATGGAGAACAGGGAAAAATTCCTTGTTCTGTATACTGTAAAAAGCAAACAGGGAGATATAGATGACCACAGCAATTACCTTTGTTGAGAAAAGCCACATATAAACCAAAAAATGGGTATTGTCTTTGTTCCATTTTGCATCTGCCTACAAACTTCCCTGAATAGAAGAAGGCTATTTTCCTAAAATATCTCAATCTGGGTAACTTTGTAGAACCAGTCTAAAATGCTTTCCTCAGACAATGATACTATTTCTACAATTCTTAGTATATGGTAGCCACTAGCCGTATGTGGTTATTAGGCACTTAAAACATGGCTAGTCCAAATTGAGATGTGCTGTAACTTTAAATTAAACTCTGTTTTTTGATGACTTAATATGCAAAAGTAATGTAAGGTAACTCATGCATAATGTTAAAACATTAAATACATGTTGTAATTATAGTATTTGGTTATACTGCACTAAATAAAATATATTACTAAAATGAATTTTACCTGTTTCCTTTTATATTTTTTAATGTGGCTACTAGAAAATTTAAAATTAAATACGTGGCTCACATTAAATTTCTATTTGACAGTTCTGAAATAGGTAATATATTTGAATTCCTTAACAAACCAACCCTCAATATCATGCATCCTCTTGTTATTTTATTTAAACTGTTTTATGTTCTATACTCATGATCTCTGACAAAATCAACCACTGGGCTCCACACCCAGGGAACTGCTCCTTACAACTTGCATTAAAGAAGACATCATAGAAGTTCCACTATCTGGATCCTGAAATACTTATTACCCTGGCTTGAACCTAACTTGGGTTCAATCTCAGCAGGATCATGTGAGGATTCTCTCAGTTTATGGGTCTTCCTAGAACCTTCTCCCCAATATTACAATGATCACTGAAAAGCTCAGTAGGTTTGAAATTGTTCCTCTTGGGTTTTAGAAAATGGAAAAGTCCATCAATATTCTCACTAATTTGCTATTTAATTCACGCTAGACTACAACAGAGGCTTTATGGTAGAAAAGCAGCTCTAATTTTCTTCATGACTTCTAACTACAGAAGACATATACAGTCAATTATAACAAAAATCAGCCTTTTTATAAGTTTAAGTTCAGTTATTCCAAGAACTAATTTTTTAACCAAAACAAGCATTAGATATTAATATGGATTCACCTGGATAAATGAAAGAGAACACTAGATTCATACTCTGCTGAACCATACTTAATCATTCTCAAAAGACAGATCACGTCTTTAATCATGCTTACAAATTTGACACAGTATATAAAGCTTATTTTTCTAAAGACCTTACGCTTGAATTTCATACTCTAAAAGATATGTTAACCATCTAAGGCACAATCACAGAATATCTGGCAAATAAAAAAACCATATACGCAGCATACAAATTCCTAAGGTATTACCTGATAGATATCAGATAAACTGCTGCTTCCAGAGTCACTGGCAATGCTACAACCAGACTGACTAGAAGACACATGAGTCACCTGTGGATGAGGGTTTTCTGTGAGATGCATCTTGGTAAGATCAGCTGGAAGCTGAAAAAAAAAATAATTTAAGTTATTCTAAATGTCAAGCTTTACCTTTTTAAGCGGTTTCGACATGTTCAACAAATTTTTATGTACATTACTGTGCAATCTCTTTTTTAACCCAAGTTCTCTACTTTCAGCAAAAAGATCTTTTGAAATAAGAACCATATGGTACTCTCTGAAACTATTAGACAATCCTACAATGGTAAGCTCACTGAACAGTTTTCAAAAGCCATTACTAATGATATTTCAGAGGAAAAACTTGGCCCTTCTATCCTCCCAAATAAAAATATCAGACCTGTCCATTTAAGGGTAGGAATGTTACCCTACACACACACACACACACACACACACACACACACACACACACACACACACACTCTCTCTCTCTCTCACACACACACTCACTCTCCCTCCCTCCCTCCTAATAAAAAATGGTGACTGATACAAGAATAAAACAGCAATATCTTGGAATCAAGTTCAGCTACTGGCAGCAAGACTTAAGACCAGTAACAAGTTGATTACATTAAATATTCCAAAAATTCTGTGAGCATCTTTACACTTAATATTGAATTAGCTTCTAGTTGGCCCCTGAGAGATTTCTTAGTAATCAACATGATTTAATGAATGTCTGTACTAGGCACAGGTATACAAGAAACACAAAAAGTAAATGACTCCACCACCTCATCTTTAATATGGTCGCATTCTTACCAGGTATGCAGGCTGTACAATATATTTCATGCCGTAAAAGAGACATCTCACAAAATACAAGCTACAGAAATTAAGACAATAAACAAACCACTGCATTCCAGAGTAGTAAAAGTTTTGCATAAGAAGTATGCTAATTTATTTTCCAAATGATTTCTCTGCAACTTGCTATTCAGGGCTATCAAAATCAATTTAATTTTTAAAATAGGGTTCCTCATTGCTTTACTAATGAAAAACATTAAAGAAACACACACATAGTGTATATTAAATGTATTCTGAGGGAATGACTGAGTCTGAATTATGTTATCTCAAGAGGAGTTAATGTAATTATAAAAATTACACATAAAGTACATCACGAACTTCCCCTGCTGATAATGGTATGTTAGATAATTCAGACGAATCCTAGTACTAAGACAAACAGAAAACCTGAAGTACATACATACATACACACACACACAGTATCTGGCCTCTGACGTTACTTTTTCTCCTAAGAATATTTTCTGATTCCTAAAGAAAAGGCTAAAAGGCCAAGAAGTACCTGTGACAGCCACTGGCTAAAGGGACAAAAGTTAAATTCCAAGGCCTAGGATGGAAGGGCCATCTTTGCACTGGGACCCTGGAGAGTAAATTAGACTCTAGAGTAAATGTCACCCAAAAGTAAACTGATGCTAATTTTAGAATGACCTCAATGCCTGATGCTAAAATAAGGTTATACAGGATTACTAGCATTTCCAATCAACTGTTGGAAGCAAACACAAATCCTCACTATAGGAAGAAAGTCATCCTAGGTCTCAATTAAAAAAATTTTTTTTCACATATACAACATCCATTGCTCAGCCCAATAAAACCAGGCACATATGACGAGACAGGATGGCACTGATAAAAAGTATGGAATAAACTCCAGAAACTAACAAAGAAGTTTCAAATAATAGGGTTACCAGACACAGTCTCTAAAATAACTGTCTTTAATATATACCAGGGGTTGGCAAACATCTTCGTTAAGAGCCAAAGAATATATATTTTAGGTTTCACAGGCCACATACAGTTTCTGTTGTATGCTTTTTTTTTTTTTTTTTTTTTTTTTTACATCTTTTTAACAACTCCTTAAAAATGTAAAAATCATTCTTAGCTCACAGGTCATATAGCTCACTGGTCAGAATTGGTCCAGTTAGTGATCTATCATATATATAGAGAAAAATACAAGACTAACAATATCAGCAAAGAAAGAAAAATAATTAAATGAAAAATCTAGAACTAAAATATACAATTATGGAAATTAAAAAGCCAACAAGTGGGCTTAATTAAAGATTTGACAGAGCTAAGAAGAGAATTTGAAAAGTAAAGACTAGTCTGAAAAATATCCAGAATGAAGCATGGAGAGGAAAAAAGGTGAAGGTGGGAGAGAAGGGGTAAGAGCCACAGGAGATTCAGTGAGAGAATGTGACATCTGAAAAACCAGAGCCTGAGAAGAGCAAGTACACAGAAGCAAGATGATAGCTAAGCATTTTCCAAAAGTGACAAAAGATCTAAAGTCACAGATCAAGGAGGTTTAAAAACTCCCAGCAAGATAAAAAAACAAACAAACAAACAAAAAACCCACCCCAAAACAAACAATCCCCCCATACCTATGCACACCAGGGTACATGTGGCAGGGGGTGAGGTGGAGTATCAAGAGAAAAGTTTTAAAGTAGCCAGGAAAAAAAACCAGAGTGATTAGATTACTTTGGCAGAAGCAATTAAACTGACAGCTGGCTTCTCAACATAAATTCTGGAAGCCAGAAGACAATTGAGTGATATCTCCAAGAGCTAAAATTCTATACCTAGCAAAAACAGTCCTCAAAAAAGGGAAAAAATAATTTTCAAATAAAGAAAACTGAAGGAAATAATTCCTTAGCAGTCCTACAATGAATAAAATCCACTGGGAGAAGAAAAATGACTCCAGATGGAAGCTTTCAGGAACAAGAAAGAAGAAAAACCAAGGAAAATGGGAAATGTGTGGGTAAATCTACATGAATGCTTACTATATAAAATAGTAACATTAATATCCCATGAAGTTTAAAATACAGTAATTAAAATACAACTACAGAATGTAAGTCTGGAGAAGGGTAAATGAAGCTATTAGAGTGCTCTCAGTTCCTTGCACTGTCCATGAAGCTGTAGTAGCAGACTTGATAGGTGAAGAATGTGTTTTGTAATTTCTGATTTAAGAAAAGCATAGTAAAAAAGTGTATAACTATAAAGCTAACAGAGGGGAAAATATTAAATAATCAAAGAATGGAAAAATATAGACCATGCAAACACAACCAAAAGAAAGCTGATATAGCTTATAGATGGGAGAGGGAGAGGGAGAGGAGGAGAGAGAGGGAGAGGGAGGGGGGAGAGAGAGATTGAGAGAGAGAGAGAGAGAGAGAGAGAGAGAGAGACTTGCTCTGTCACCTACGCTGGAGTGCAGCGGCGCAATCTCGGCTCACTGCAACCTCTGCCTCCTGGGTTTGAGTGTTCCTTTTGCCTCAGCCTCCTGAATAGCTGGGATTACAGATGTATACCACCATGCCCAGCTAATTTCTGTATTTTTAGTACAGAAGGGGTTTCACCACATTGGCCAGGCTGGTCTCCAGCTCTTGACCTCATGTAATCTGCCTGCCTCAGCCTCCCAAAGTGCTGGGATTACAGGCGTAAGCCACCTTGCCTGGCCAAGGTGATGGATATATTAATTACCTTGATTTGTTTCACAATGTGAACATGTATCAAAACATCACACTGTACCCCATAAATACATGCAATTATTATTTGTGAATTACAAATAAATTAAAATTAAAAAAATTTATAAGGCAAAAATGTCATCTACAATTATGCCATAAATTTTTAATACAGATTTCAGTAGCAGTCTGAATAAGCAAAATACACGAAAACAGAACAAGTAAAGATATAAAAGATACGAACATAATTAACAAACGACCTAAAGAGTATAGACATAGAATAATGGAACCAAAAACTCCAGAATGCATTTTCTTTTAGGGCACAAATAAAAACATTTGTAAAAATTTACAATTAAGGCAAGTCTCAACAAATTACAAAAGACTGAAACCAGGGAATATTCAGCAATAACACGCAAATAAGGTAGAAATACATAACAAAAAGATAAATAGAAAACTATCATGTTAGAAAATTGTAAACAATCCTCTATTGAAATAGCCCATAAATCCATGAAGTCACATTGGAAATTAGAAAATATTAAAACAGAAAATTAAGATGCTATATATGAAAACCTGTGGGATAAGTTAAAGTCATGCTTAGAGGCCATTTATAGCTCTACTATGTATATCAGAAAAGGCAGCAAAAAATTTAACAAAGTCATAATTGCTTACAATACAGAATATTGATGAGGGTATGATACAGTTCAAAGACCTTCCTCCCACTTAGTTTCTATCATTTAGATATGAAAAAAAAAAACCTCATCTGGGAATGAAGTAGTTGGAAAGGCAAACACTGAAAATAGTTTCAAAATGTGTGGTGTTTGGTTGGGGTGTCAGGGGTAGGAGATAGTATATATTGCAAATTCCTACAGAGGTAAGAAGACCAAGGAGAAGAATGTCATTCATAAAAGTAACACAATGAACCAAAGCCAGAAGTCTCCCAAGTGGCTTCATAGTACTGACAATGTACTGAGCAATCTTCACCCTCACTAAACCCTAAAAAGGAAGTGTTATTATTATCTCTATTTTACTGATGAGGAAACAGAGGAAGTACGATTAAGCAACTTATCCCAGATCATACACTCAAGTAAGCAGTAGAGTTGGGAATCAAACCCAGGTCTGACTCTAGCATTTTTCTGTTATATTCTACTTTGTGCCAGGAACTCTGCTGATGACATAAAAATGAAAACATATGGGCCCTGCCTTCAAGGAGCTCAGTCTAATACTGGACAGTGGAGACAGATTTATAAGCAAATAGCATCTGTTTTCTACTTCATGAAGAAAACTTCATACAGGAATTCCCTCAACCTCCTTACACAATGGGAATAATGATGCTGACTGCAATGAACATTTGAGTGCCCACCATTTGTACCAAACATACACTTCTACATGCCTTTCACATAATTATCTAACCTAACATTCAAACAACAAGATGAGGTAATACTATGATTATACCCAGTTTATAGAGTAGGAAACCTAATCTTAGAGATGTTATAAAGGTTTCCCAGGGTCACATGGCTAGGAAACTGGGGTCCTGGGATCTGAAACCCAGGCAGCCTGACTAAATCCGTTACTCTTTCCTACTAAGTTGTTTCCTGATACTTGGTTGGGAGTTCACAACACCCAGTAGTTTATCTTTTCTTTGTATCAAATGAAGCAAAAAGGAAAGGCTTTTCCTCCAAGAGAAGTTCTTGGTTCCCTAAATCTTCTCCACTATCTCTCAGCTTACCTGCCCTTTCTCTTTCTCTTCCTGATCTACCTGGACTCAACAGCTGATCTTTCATCAGCAAACTCAATTCATTTACCCCATTGTCCTTCCAGCCCACCAGGTCTGACAAAACTTCCCATTTTCCACAGCATCCTTCATCCATTTCCTATATCTGAACTTCTGTGCTCTGCTGGAGATCACATGTCCACAAGGCCTACTGTTAGTTTTATTTGAAGCAGCAAGAAAGTTTTTTAGCTAACAACTTGAATACAGACATTATGAAGTTACAAAGTCTGCTGAATACTTTGTATATATAGAGGGGGGTGGGGAAAGAGAGGTATTGAGAAAAGGCTAGAGGTAGAATATAATCAGCAATGCCAAGCTAGGCATTTTGAATTTGGTTCCTATAGACAATATAGAGCTACTATAGGTTTCTGGGAAGGGCAGTGATATAAGAGCTACTATATTTCTCAGTTAGACTAGATTTTGTTACAACAATAGGGGGCCCTCAGATCACTAAGGCTTACCCTAGTGAAGTGTACAGGCAACTTTTGGGGCAACTGCCTTAGTATACAGAGACTCAGATATCCAAACTGTTTAGGTATTTTTGGCTCTGCCATCTCAACATAAGGCCACTTAGGTCACAACAGCAGGAAAAAAACAAAACAACAACAACAACAAAAAAAAACAGCTGGAAGAGAATGTTAACCTTGCAAGTAATCAGGGAAATAAAAACTAAAACAAATACCTTTTCCCCATCAAATTGGCAAAAAACAAGTATGATAATACAAAATGCAGGAAAAATTATGGAGGAAAACAATATTCTCATAAACTGCTAATGGGAGTATGAACTGGTATAAACATTTTGGACAACAATTTGAGGAGTAGCCACTTTGGGGAGCAAATGTAAGGCTACATTTAAAATGTATATACCTTATGACTCAATATTCCTCTTAGGGTACCTACTGTTAAGATCACTCTGGAAGCACAGAAGGTGAAATAGAAGAAAATGATACACACAAGAGATAGGAGACACTAGTTGAAGCACAAGACAATGGAGGCCTTACAAAATTAAAAGTAAGCCACCAGAATTATAAGATGCTTCTAGGGGCCAGGCGCGATGGCTCACGCCTGTAATCCCAGCACTTTGGGAGGCCGAGGCGGGCGGATCACAAGGTCAGGAGATCGAGACCATCCTGGCTAACACGGTGAAACCCTGTCTCTACTAAAAATACAAAAAATTAGCCGGGCATGGTGGCGGGTGCCTGTAGTCCCAGCTACTCGGGAGGCTGAGGCAGGAGAATGGCATGAACCTGGGAGGCAGAGCTTGCAGTGAGCCGAAACTGCGCCACTGCACTCCAGCCTGGGGGACAGAGTGAGACTCCGTGTCAAAAAATAATAATAATTATTATTATATATAATTATATATAATATAATATATAAATTTATAATTTATATTATATGTAATATAAATTTATATATTATATATCATATAAAATATATATTATATAATATATACTATATATAATATAAAATATATATTACATATAAATTTATATTATATTATAATTATATATATTATATATAAATAAAATAAAATAATATATTTATATATCATATATATAAATAAAATAAAATAATATATTTATATTATATATATATAAATAAAATAAAATAATATATTTATATTATATATATATATATATATATATATACACACACACACACATATATATATATGGCAGTATGGAGCCTGTTTTATGGAATTTACCATTTCCCAAAAGCCCCAAAGGAGAACCTTGGGTATATACACCAAGAGATCACAGCACTGTGCCTGAGGTATGTGAAACTACAAGAGAAACATGGAACATTCCTAACTCATTATTTTTACCAAAAGTTGAGAGTTGGAAGGATGTTTCTAAATGATGTAACTAATAAGTATTAAAAAGTTTTTCAATTCTAAGACAAAGTAATCTCCCCACTTTAATATTTTTGAAACCACAGAGAAGCTTTCAATCAATATTCATTTTTTAATGGTGAGTTTACTAAAAGTAAATTACTACAATTTAGGAGAAAATCAGTATAAGAATGCTTGGCAAGTCTGAGAACAGGCAAGGAAATCAGGGCAGTGACAGTGAATGAGGAGGAGTGTAGTAGGAGATAAGTGGAGGAGGGAGCATAAACTGTTTGGTAGGTCATGGTGAGGACTTGGACTTTGAAGAAAGTCTGTCAAGGAGGAAGTGATCAGCTGTGTCAAGTGCTGCAGATAGGTACAGTAAGATAAGGGCAAAGAAATGACCTGCAGCTTTAGCTGTGGATAAATCAATCAGTGACCAGTGACTGGAGGAGCACCTCAAAGAAGGAAATAGAACCCAAAGTGGTAATGCTTCCTCCACCCAGTAAACAGTCACCTCAAACAAGCAACTCTAACAGATCAGGAAGATGAGCTCCCAACTAAGAACCACTTAAGTCAACCTCCTGAAAGAAACCCAAAAAACTCAATTTGATTTCTCTCTAGAGAGACCACGGAAAAAAAAAAAAAAAGAGTTGCAATTAAAAAACAACAACAGGCAGGGCACTGTGGCTCATGCCTGTAATCCCAGCACTTTGGGAGGCTGAGGTGGGTGGATCATTTGAGGTCAGGAGTTTAAGACCAGCCTGGCCAACATGGTGAAACTCCACCTCCACTAAAAACACAAAAATTAGCCGGGAGTGGTGGCAGATGCCTGTAGTCTCAGCTACTCAGGAGGCTGAAACAGGAGACTCGCTTTGACCCGGGAGGTGGAGGTTGCAGTGAGCGGAGATTGCACCACTGCACTCCAGCCTGGGCGACAGAGCGAGACTCTGTCAAAAAAAAAAAATAATAATCTCACAACTGAAGACGAAAGAGAATTTTCAGCTTGCGAGAGTACTACTCCAAAAGTGTCAATAGGGGAACAAAACATTAGGCAATCCAGGGCAAAACTTCATGGCATCAAGGATTAAAAAAAATAAATAAAACAAAGGCTGGACACAGTGGCTCATGCCTGTAATCCCAGCACTTTGGGAGGCCAAGGCATGAGGACTGCTTGAGTCCAGGAGTTTGAGACCAGCTTGGGCAAGATGGAGAGACCTTGTCTCTACAAAAAAATTAGAAAATTGGCCAGGGATGTGGTGTGCATCTGTGGTCCCAGCTGTGTGGGAGGATCCCTTGAGCCCAGGAGTTCAAGGCTGCAGTGAGCCATGATTACACCACTGCACTCCAGCCTGGGCAACAGAGCAGGGCCTTGTCTCCCTCTTTTTTTTTTTTTTTTTTTTTTTGAGACAGGGTCTCACCCTGTCCACCCAGGCTAGAGTGTAGTGTCACGATTTCAGCTCACTGCAACCTCTGCCTCCCGGATTCAAGCGATTCTCCCACCTCAACCTCCCGAGTAGCTGGGACTACAGATATGTGGCACCACACCTGGCTAATTTTTATATTTTTAATAGACACGGGGTTTCACCATGTTGGCCAAGCTTGAGGACCACATCTCTTAAGAAAAAAAAAAAAAGTAAAATAACAAAAACATAACTAACTACTAATAAAAGTAATTAACAAAGGAAAAAAAAAGCATGAGCTCAGACTTCTCATCAGCAACACTGGAGGCCAGAAGACAGTGTAGTAACTTTTTCAAACTGCTAAAGAAAAAAGACTTTGGATTTATTATTTTATATTGAACTAAACAATTATCTTAAGAGTAAATATAAAGGAAGGCATTTATGATTCATTCTTCCCCAACCCCCAGTAGAACCATGCTAATACGACTATTTATTTTAGCAAGAAAATTAATGAATTCAGAAGTAGTAAAATGCAAGTACATAGTAGCATAGGCAAAAATACATGAACAAAAATAAAACCAGTAAAATGTACTGGAAAATGAAAAGAAGTATAACAAAATTCTAAGTTTTATGTGTTTAATTGCAATCCAGAGTCAAAATTTCATCAACAGTAACATGAGGGAAGGGGGATGGAGACATGTACTCTTACAAATACTTGATTTACACAGTAGAGTACCAATCCAGAATCCTGCTCATATAATGTTTGCTGGCATTTCATGAAACCTTAGAAGCTGATTTTGAAATTTTGACTCTTCCATATTTGTTAAATCTGGGATCAAAAGTTGGCTATCAGCATTCCAAAGGCTATTTTATTTTGCTGGTTACCTTAAAAAACAACCCCTATATCTCATTCTTAATTTTCTTTAAAGTTTTTTTTACACGGTCTCACTCACTTCCTTTCTACAAGTGGTTTAAACCTTTGTAGTATAGTGCAGCTATCAAGCATCAGCAATGCTTGGGCCATATAGGTGTCATTTTCACTAAAAAGGCCATTTAAGCCTTAGCCAGATAATAGCACAAATACATTGTGTACCTAGGCTTCTTTTCATCTATTTACATTTCAATCAGCTGTTTGCCAAATGGACAGTGAATTTAAATGTCTTTCCAGAAGCTGCCTTTAAGAAAGACATGCAGTGAGCTAGGCCAGATAAAACAGAAAAACACCACGATGCTATCATAGGATTTCTTCCTTAGTCACCATCAACAGGACAACCTTGAAACAAAGACATGATTTCAGACCATACTAAGAAGTGCCTCTATTGTGCCTGTCTGTATGCAAGAGAACCATAAAAAATCTTAATAAATGTTACAATTTAAATGTTTTGAAAAAACACTGTTTTATAATACATACATGAGACAGGAAAGATAACTTGAGTGGCATCAAATTACAGACTATATAAATAGCCACTGTGTATAATAAAACTCACTGAATTAGAGTATATATTTTCCTACAACCTAGCCTGGAAGGTTGTATAGCACTTTGCTTTTTTGTGAGTTATTATGTTTATTTAAAAATGACAAGTATGATAGATGACCTTAAATAGTCTCCAGCTGCTAATGGTTTACTATCTTGAAAATACTTAGAATCATTATTTAAATATTTTCATATAATTGATTTTCATGAGTATTTTCTTCATATTATTTCACTGCTCAAGAATTATCAACTAATCTTTGTAAAATAGCACAATTCAATTGTAAAATAGCACAATTCAATCATAATTTATGACAGCATCATATTAATGAAAAATGTCATATAATCTGGCAATTAGACTAACATACCTAAATATATCAACCATTTAAGAAAATGAAGCAAGTTAGAGTATGATCACTGATAAGTACAGCAATAGCCATAATCAAAAAATAATTCAGTCTGAAGAGAGTACATCTCAAATGCACTGCATTTTAAGTCTACAGATTTAAAACGCACCTTTCAAATCTCTTAGAGGTCACGTTAGAATGTTTTAGATATTTAAATTAAAAAAAAATGGCAATGAGAAAGACTACTTTGTAGTTCTTATTTTTAAAGTTTAGAAAAGAGCGCAATAAAGCTCATTTACAGTTCAAAATAAAATTTAATAACTGGATTAAATCAATTGCTAAGAAAATAACAATTACTTACTTTGGAGGCCCATGGCTGAAGACAATTGGCATAACAGCGAACAAGAAAAGCCATTTCCTAGGCTGGAAAGGGTAGTTTCCTTTTCAAACCAGAGCTACAGTGATGAGTACGGTGATAAAATTCTGTTAAGTTTCTTTTTACAAATCATACACCACTGCAGTGTTTATATAAAGGCAGCCTCTCCAAACCCCTTTTAAAACTGAAATCAGGAGCTTTCAGTATTGTTCTAAATTAAAACGTTCACTTTAACAAGCAAATCACAGTAAATGAAGATGTTTACAATTCTGGCTCAGAATATACAGACATATACATGCGGCCTCAGGCACCTGGCACAGACATGCAGAGTGGTAGCACAACAGTTAATACGGTATCAGTCAAAGCAAATCAGGCAACATGCACCAAATCTGTGTTCCTGGATTCCGTGAAACCTTTCCTCTCTGTAATATAGCTTTGTCTTTTCTTCAACTTATTTCATTCTGTAGAACAAGCACTGCAGTGATTCTTCTGCATCAAAAGCAAACATTGTATCCTGAAGATTAAAGTTTCTTCTTTATATTCTTAACCTCCAGAGGTTTAAAAAAAAAAAAAGTTGAGCAAATGGCAGTTAGATGATATATGCCGTAACAGGTTTGTCCTGTAGAATGTCTAAGAATCTCCAAAATTGTAATTATTTTCTCTATTCACATGCACTGTTTACAGCTCTGCAGCACTGTTCCTTATTCTAATGTATCAGTAAAACAGCACTGTTGATTTAAGTCTAGCTTTTCTGGTTAAACATTTTTATATAATATGGTACAAAACCATTATATCTTCTGCTAAAGCAAGACTGAATGTTAGTGTCTTAATTTCTACTGTCCTTGCCTGTTTCAAAGCAGCTCCCTAAGGAGAAGCTCCTATTGATTCTATGCTCTGCAGTAAGATGAAATATCTAATAAGAAGGAAAGAGAGTGGGAGGAGAATAGAGCTAAAAGGATGACATCACCTGTACAGAAAGCCTCCAGAAACTGCATTAGATCAATTGGCTACTGTATCTGCAGATGTAGCCCCAAGAGCAATTTATTGAAAACATACACACACACACACACACACACACACACACACACACACACACACCCCATCCTCCTTTCCATGAGACACGTCAGCAAGCTAAATTCTTTAAGAAAAAAATTGGCTTGAGCACCCTTTCTACTTCACAGTTTTAAAAATCCATTTTGATTTTTAATTCTGTACATTGATACACAGCTATATTTGGGAAGCCATATTTCCTATTATTATTCAAATGTAATACAGTATTGTCCTCCCAAGGTAAAATTATAAGCTCTGATAAGATACCATTGCATTCCAAATAAACAAGGCAGCCTAGGTTCTCAGATGTCACATGTATTTGTTAACAAGGGGTTTCTGCTTGCAAAATTTGCTATTTATCAAATAACTGTTCTGAAAGATATAACCTTCAGGATCACTCTAAATTAACATTAAGAATATACAAACTAGTACTAAGATTTGTAGGTAGATAGTAAATTTAAATGGAAACAATAGAATTTCATTTTGCAAAGGGAAGCTGGAAAAAAATCAGATGTACACCAATAGTTGCAGCATGCACCTACTTCTTTGAGAAAGAATAATCTACACAACATGGTACTTTCCTGTAGCCCAATGCTGAATTCCTAGAAAAAGACAAGAAGCCAGCAAAACTCACTCAGAAGAAATCAAAGAAAAGGATTAAACCTGCTTCCAGAGTGAGTGTGGACTAAAAAAAATTGCCCCATTTTTCTATAGAAATTACAGAAAAAGATTTTAATTTTGCCACACCCTCTTCCATCTGAAACACAATACCACTAGTACCCATCCTTGTTCTTCATGCTTCTGCTACAAGGCATTAGATACTCCAACTAAGCTTGCAATGGTTGCTCCTAGTGGCCAAAGAAAGACAGTTCCCAATAGTAAAATATAGTTAGTTATACCTCCAGGCGGCAAAATTATGAGAAAAACAATCACTGAACAAATCAAAGCAATATAATTATTTTGCTTTATTTACCTAACACTTTTATTTTGGGGAAAATGGGGTGTGCAACATAAGAGGAGATGTTACCTGGGAGACAGGTCTTTTAACAAAGGACTCCACTGACTGCAGAAGAAACATCTTGTTGTTAAGCACAAAAAAAATAAGTTCTTCAATATCTTTGAGAAAAGTCTGAGTCACTTTCTGAACAACACTATGCTGCCAATCTGAATTACACTGCTACTTATAAAACTAGAATTTAAGTTAAACTAAGTATAATTTTGAACAAAGACAAGTTATGCTTTCAAAATATGTAATTATTTAGATTTTCATAAAGCTTTTAAGAATGTTTTTCTGCCAAAATTCCAAAAGACACAATACCAAAATACACAATACCCGCATTTAAATATAAAATTAAATCTCACAAATGCAAACAAGCATGACTAGTTTTCTAAACATAAAACATGCAATATTTATACAGGTTGGTTTTCAAGCACCAATGTGTTTTTTTTTTTTTCAGTTTAATTTAAATCAATCATACGTGAGTTGGAATTCCACTTGATACTTAATATTGTACATTAATTAAAATCTAATGTTAATCATTCTTTAAAACAGAAAAATGATAGTAGGTACTTTGTATGTACATGAAGACAAACTTTCACTTAAGATAAAATTTCTAAAAGATGAGTATTTTACACATAAATATCAGTAGCAAGATTCAAGAATACCAAGAATTTCAACACCAGACAGTAATTATATTCATGTATAGTACCAACAGAATATATTATAGCCGAATCAAAAAGCAAAATTTTAATGCACACCTTTCCCCCTTTTTATAAATCATGCTGATCAACACACAAAGAAGGACCTCAAGCTGGGCAAGGGAGACAGCCATCTCTTAGCTGCTTTAAAAAACTGCTGCCCAGTGTGAGAAATGCAATCCACTAGTGCCATATGTTAGACCTACTGTAGTAAACACCAACTCAGTAAAGGAACAAAATTCTCTTTTCCTTTAGTTTGGCTTGTAAGTGAAGATGACATCATCCTTTTCCTTTTCTACCAATCATCTCATAGTATCTTCGATTCCAGGGAACTGTATAGTGAACCTATCATGCTAAATCTCCCTGTGTAACAATACTAAGAAAAGAAACAGGCCAAATTCCATACTCAACACGGGGATCCACCAGCATTCTGAGGAAATAATGACTTCACCTTTTAACTACTGAATGAAGAAATAAACATCCTTTGAAGAGAATAGTAATTTATCAAATAACTAAAATAAATGACTAGGTGAATAACCTATTTTTCCCTTGCATCACTTTTAGAATTTTATCACGATCTCATCTCATTATCTTATCAATTCAAATGAATTAAGTGCAGCAAAGGAGAATGTCCTGATCTACCTATTGTCTAGGAATCACTACAGGACAGCCACTTATGAACACGTTTCCCCTGCATATGAAATGCCATGATGCTAACCCTTATTAATGAAATCTTTAGCTTTAGAAAGGTCTTTTGCACTACTATAAAATAGAGCAATGTATGTTGACTTTGCAAAGATTCAAATCATGACAAAATACTTTTATAAAAGTGTAAATGCCATGTAGTTATTAAAATTTATGTTAACTGTGTATATTATTTATAAACAAAAATACAAACTGAAATACTTAAAATCATATTGTTTAGAAAGCCAAAGATAAGGTTCTGATAGTTACTAAACTAACTGTAAACACATCTTTTATGTTAATATGTGACAACACTGAAAAGAAGGACAGAGAAAGGTTACCATAGATGAAGGTAAGCCATAAGAGGATAAACATTCTAGGCATTATGAAAAACAAACAAAACTAATGATAACAAAAACTGGATTTATACTAACCCAGGCATTTTATTTACTTATTATATTTTTAAATGGAATTTATTCCCAATCTGCAATGAAATATTATAATCATAATTTAGAGAAGTCAAACGCCAAAGAAGTTAAAGAACAAAAGAAAAATTCTGTAGTTTTACAAAATAAAGAGGATATTCATTTCTGTATTTTAGTTATATTTGGTTTTTGAAATATAAACTTAAATTGTACTGATTTACATAGTGAAAACACTTTAAGTCTTTTGGAAAATAAATGAATAAATGACTGAAATGATCATAGGTAACATACAAGCCCTTTCAAAGGATCATAACAATCTTTTCCACCCGTTTTCCCCCATGTTTAACATGAACATCTGAAATGCATCTTTGCAGTTATCAGACACAGTTAACTCTAATTACTGGTGCCCCTTAGGACTTCTGCTTTCAAACTGCATACCTATTCCTCAGCCTTCATGAAGGAGGGGAGGCAAGAGTACCAACGCTCTTTTATTCTCTTGTAAGAAACAGTGTGCTTCAGCATACTGTCATATATATCCACTAACTGATCACCCCCATTTTTGTTGAAAATCTGTCACAGCCACCAGCTGGACACACATGCACTATGAAATATGATCCACCCTTAGGGAGTAATAGAGGAAGAAAAACCAAGAAGGAGAGAGAAACCGTCATCATCAACCAAGGTGATGTAAGCTTCTATAATTAGAATCAGTGAAATTGAAAGAACAATAAAAGGCACCACTATGCTTCTGCTTTCCGTCTACACTGCGTATCAAGCATCTTCATACCTGCACAAAAGGATACATTTTGTATATAGTTACTCAAGTATATGCAAACCTAAAGTTTCAAACAGCGTATTAATTTTCTTCAAAAAGAGAGTAACATATATAAATGATAAAAAATGAACTCTCATTTAAAACTATCTGTGAATTCCTGGGTTCCTTTATATCCCTTGTTCATAAAGATGACCATTACGTCCCTTCTCTACTTTTAAATACTACATTTTCTAGCACTGTAAAAGCCACATACACAAGATAGCACACTTAATAAACACATACCAAATCAAACTAAAAGGTAATAACGTTAGGTCAGCATTAATTTGTTTGCTATGTCTGAGTAGTTGTTATTCCCCTTCCAACTGGAACACTGTCATAATCAGTCTTAGACCACTGGTATACATTAGTATCTGAGTTGCTTTAAACAATTATCAAAAGCTCCTTCTTTAGCAATTACTCCATAAAATATTTCAAGTATGATAAAAAGTCTTCCTAATTCTGGTTCCCTGGGCAAATCTGTCTGAATTAGTGTCACACCATTAAGGGAGGAAGAACTGCCCCAGACAACCAGAGGGGCATGCCCTGCTCTGGTCCTCTCAGTACTCAAGCATTTTATACATAGTGAATAATAAAGACAATTTTAAAATGCCTATTGAGAAGTTACCAATATTCATGTAGAAACTTAAAATAATTTTCATACCTTTAACCCAGTAATTTCTGTAACTCAATCCTAAGGAAATAATCAGTCATGTACAGATTTTTCCCTAAAAGTTGTTTGTAATAGGAGAAAAATTGGAAGCCACGTGAGAATACTTCGTTACACTCATACAGCATTATATTAATATTGAAAGTAATGTTTTGGAAAAAATTTAACTGCATGAGAAACACAAACACAAGGATACATAACTAAACATTCAGCATCATCTAAATTAATTAAAATATTTAAATTAATCAAAAGATATATACAGTCAGCCCTCTGTGTCCATGGGTTCTGTACCTGCAGATTGAAGAAACTGCAGACAGAAAATATTTTGGGAAAATCCCATTAAAAATAACAGTAGAGGCTGGGGGTGGTGGTGATTACATCTGTAATCCCAACAGTTTGGGAGGCCGAGGCAGGCTATTGCTGGAGCCCACGAGTTCAAGACCAACCTGAAAAACATGATGAAACTCCGTCTCTACAAAAAAAAACAAAGTTAGCTGGGTGTGGAGGCATGTGCCTATAATCCCAGCTACTCAGGAGGCTGAGGTGAGAGGATCCCTTGAGTTGGGAGGTCAAAGCTGCAATGAGCTGTGATCATTCCACTGCATTCTAGTCTAGTTGACAGCGAGACCGTCTCAAATAAAACCTAAAAAACCAAAAACAAAAAACCACTACAACAATAAAAAAAACTACAAATTTCAGTATAGCAACTATCTACACTGCATTTACACTGTATTAGGTATTATAAGTAATCTAGAAATGATTCAAAATACAGTCATGCATTGCTTAACAACTGGGGTACATTCTGAGGAATGTGTCATTAGGCAATTTCATCCTTGGGCAAACATCACTGAGTGTAGCTACAGAAACCTAGACGGTATAGCCTACTATACACCTAGGCTACATGGTACAGCCTATGGTTCCCAGGCTATGAACCTGCTCAGCATGTTACTCTACTGAATAATGCAGGCAACTGTAACACAATGGTAAGTATTTGTGTATCTAAACACAGAAAACGTACAGTAAAAACAGGCAGCAAAATCTGATGTCATTTATGTGGTCTGTCATTACGCAACACATGACTGTATATGGAAGGATGTGCATAGATTACACAAAAATACTACACCATTTTATAAAAGGGACTCGAACATCCTCGAATTTTAGTATCTGCAGGGGGTCCTGAAACCAAGCCCCCATGGATACTGAGGGACCATGGTACATTAAAAAAATTTTAAGTGACAGTAGCTATCTCCAGTTTTGAGGATGACAGCAAATTCATTTCCTTCTTCATACTCTTCTATATATTTTACATTTCTACAATAAGCATTTCTTCACAAAATTAAAACAAAATCTGCTCTAACTTGGCATTTGTCCTAGTTTTAGTTGTATCACTTCTATGCTTTTTGTCTATTTGTGGACTCAATACCTTCTAACTAGGTACAAAAACCTATCAAGAATTCCATATTATTTCCTAGAAGATAAAGGAGGAGTATTCTCCTAAAGGATGTTAGATACTCGTAAACAAAAACAGAAAGTCTTCTTTTGTTTTTAAGGTAGAAAGAATCACAAAGAATATACACCTGTTCAGAGTATTTGGGGCTGTAAATAAAGAGAGAAGAGAAGCAATATTGAAAAGCTGAAGATTCTTAGAGGTGGGGATCCAAACTTCTCAGTAGTAGTGTGATCAGCATTCACTGTCTTATATACAAATAAGATTATCAAAGATCCCATTTGCAAACTTCCTGAGTTTAGAAGTAACAAAAGTCTGTTTATTCATTCATTATTTCATTCTGAAAGTACTTATGAAATACCATATTAAAAACAATCAGGATTTATCAAGCCCACAAATACAAAATAAAGTTCACAATGTTAACAAGCTTCTTCATCAAACAGTGACTTTCACTTAAACAGTTCAAATTCTAAATTCTCCTAATGATTGATCCAACAATAGTGCTTACACCTCCTTTAGTTTGACTTGAATAAATATTTAAACTTTTTGTTTACTGGTGCTCCATGAAGAGAACTAAGCAATCACATGTTTGTACCAAAGTCCTCTAGTTTCTCATGAGGAGGTGGGGGCATGGACCTATTTCTTACTACAGGAATGGCTTGATGAATAAGACACACATACACACACACTCCATAAAAGCGAAACACACTTGCAATAATACCTTAAGAGGTCACACCCATGGTCAAGTAAAAGCATCCAGCCATTTTTCAGTATATCACCACAAAGTTGGTAAGTGATGTGGTGTCCTAATAATCACCTCTTATTGAGCTGCATTGACAAATGTACATTAACTCTCTAATATGCTCTGGATCTAAACAAAACATGGAGCACTGAAAGAGAATGGAGAACGTGATATAATCAGAGAAGTAGCAATGAGAAAGAACCGCCTGCTACATTAGTAATGTGTGAGCCTAAAATGAAAAAGTAGATTCTAGCGTGTCACATCATCCTACCACCCACTATACAATCCCAGAACAAAAGACTAGATGGAAAGAAAATACATAAAGATGTCACAGCAAAGGGAATCCCTTCAAATTAAAAACCCCAATCCATAATGCTGCCATGGAAATCATTCTTTCCAGATGTTCTTTTAGGAAGAGCTGGCTGGCTCCATGTCTGTGCAGACGCTATGCTGAAGAAAGAGAGGAAGACTAGCACCTTATTTTGTCCCTGAGAATATAAAAAGCATCCTAAGCAACACAGAGAACAAGAAATAAAAAAAATTATGAGGTAGTCTACTAAGGAACTTGAGATCTAGTTAATAACACAACAAACATATAACCAACACTCATACAGGCACACTGCTATTTAAAAATACAGCAGCTTGCTGGGTGCAGAAGCTCATGTCTATGATCCCAGTGTTTTGGGAGGCTGCAGTGATTAGACTGCGTGAGCCCAGGAGTTAAGACTAGCCTGGGAAACAGCAAGACACTGTCTCTACAAAAAATAAAAATACTTAGTCAAGTGTGGTGGCACATGCCTGTAGTCCTAGCTACTCAGGAGGCTAAGGCAGGTCGTTAGAGCCCAGGAGTTTGAGCTTATGGTGAACTATGATCGCATAACTGCATTTCACAGCTTGGGCAACAGAGCGAGACCCTGTCTCAAAAGCAACAACGACAAAAATATACAGTAGCAAAAGGAAGGAGAAATCAAGGAGAAGGACTATAATTTCTTAACTAAAGTATGCAAACACCAACAAAGTTTTTTAAACCTTTGAACAATGTCCAGATTCATATTTGGCTCAATCACATTTCTATAAAAATGAGCACAAATGAGACCTGACATTCTAGAGAATAAAGTTAAATAAAGGCACACTTGGTGCTTGACCTTGGTGAAACCAAGATGTTTCATGTTTATTGGTCCTGGTTTAATTTTACCATTTAACTCTACATATGTACCAATATTAAAAATTCAATTCACAGGCTGGGCGTGGTGGCTTATGCCTGTAATTCCAGCACTTTGGGAGGCCAAGATCGCACCATTGCACTCCAGCCCGGGCGACAGTGCAAGACTCCGTCTCAAAAAAAATTCAATTCACTACATTTCAAAATGTTTACCGTTATATGCTATTTAAAATGAAACAACGAACATTATATAAAAAATACAGGCATTTAAAACATTCTTAAGTAAACTGTTAATTCCATTTTTTGTTATCTCAGAACACTGCAGAATAATATGGGCACACTTCATGCAAGTACTATCCTATGGGACCAATGAAGAGAAGTGCACTCTATGAACAGGAAATGTCAGGAAAGCCTTCTCTAAAGAGGTCATGGATGAATGGACTCTTGGGAGCTGAACATGACTTTGTCAGAAGAGCATGACAGAAGCCCATTCTGGATAAAAGCAGCAAGTGGCAAGATTCAAAGTGACTCATCAAAGGGTAGAACTATATTAAGTGAAGAAGCCAATAAGAGCCTTCCAGGGAAAGAGAACAGGACCAAAGTTAGGGACCTCCAAACATAATGGGGCCAGAAAGCTGAAAGATAAACTGGAGCTAAATAAGAAAAGGATTTATATGCCATATACTCTCAAGATTCTTAATTTTTCTTTTTACTTTTTTTTTTTCTTTTTTTTGTAGAGACAGGGTCTTGCTTTGTTGCACAGCTTGGTTTCAAACTCCTGGCTTCAGGTGATTCTTCCATCTTGGCCTCTCAAAGTGCTAGAATTAGGCATGAGCCACTGCATTTGGCCTCAAAACTTTTAAAAATCACACATAGCATTGGGGAAAAGAATGAGTTACATTTCTAACATAGGTAATGTATTTAAAAACTAATACATGTGTTACTGGCAAAATATTTTGTATTCATTATGAAATATACACAAAATCCCTAGAAACTTTAAAGGGTAAGATAATAGTATTTTCTTCCCATGTCCTGGAGATTGTTTTGGGCTAAACGAATGGCCTTGCTAACTACTATCAGATAGGCCTACAAGTGATTAATTCCAAAATCAGATTCATCATTTCTTGGCAGACATTCTCCATCTCATTTGATTGGCTTCTAGCTACACATTCTATAAAGTGACTCATCCAGTGACTTTCATACACATTTTGTAACTACTTTTATCTTTCAAGATTGGACAAAGAAATTACTTGTTCAAAGTGAGTGATTCTGAGGGTAAATTTTAATTGTCTGATTGTTCTAACTTCAAGCTAACTTGGTTTAACTTTTCTTACCTTTATTCTCCCTTTGTTCTGATTCTTTAGCTTACTTGTTTATATTTACTTTAATATATTTACATATTTTGGTAAGCACTTTTTATATCCAGGTATGGAATAAATAATTTGTAAGCAATAGGAACAAAGGTTTTTTGAATATTCACAATAACAACAACAGCAATAGGATGCTACTAACATTACTATTTTTCAGAGCACCAGACACTAGGCAGAGCCCTTTTTTATATATTATCTCATTTAATCCTTTTACAAATCTATAAGTTATCTATCAAGACAGACATACAAAGGTCATACAACTTGCCCAAAGTTACACAGGACACTAAGCAAGCTGACAGAACAGGCACTCTTATTTTCTTTGGCAGGCAATATACTCTAAGGTTACAATTATGATGGTTGACATTTTCTAGGAGCATCCATTCTGATGAGAGAGATATTTAAATAAACAATTACACTGCAATATAGAATAATTGTAATTATACTCAGCATAATGAGTGCTTACAGGCACATAAACAAGATATTATGGGAGTGCAGATATGTGCTTAATCCTTCCCAAGAAAGAAATCAGAGTCCTCCATGACATGATGTGAAAGTAGGTCTTGAGACTTTTGTTAAGAGGACAAAGAATAAAAGTACATCTTAAGTAAAAGGAATTGTATATACAAGAGATGTACATAAACACATGGTTTCTTCAAGGGTCAGCAAATTTGTTCAGTATGGCCAAAAAATAGGAAATACATAGAAAACAGGTAAAAGAGAAAGTTGGAGAACTGAACAAAGTCCAGATCTGTGCTGTCCAACTAGGGACATGTGGTTATTTACTTGTACATTGTGATCAATAGCTCAATACTATGGCTAGCTAGCTGCTATCAATTTCGATGGCACAGACATAAAATATTTCCATCATAACAGAAAATTCAATTAAACAGGACTGGTCTAGACTATGAAGGTACTTATATGCTAGATTACTGGAATTTTTCTGTAACTGATGGTAGGCCATAAACAGATTTAAGAGTTTAAAACAAGTGACATTGTTAGAGCTTCACTTACAACTCACAGAAGCAAAATAAATGGACTAGTTAGTGGCAAGGGTATAGGGGAGGATGTAGAAAGCAGGGCTAGCGATAGGGCAACAAGTTCAGAGAGAAGATAAAAAATTTTAAATCAAATAAACTGATTAAGTAGATATCTTCTGATAAAGAAATTAAATAATACTTTTCACGTTTTCTAATTTTTCAAAATCTCTTAAAATGAAAAAATACTGCGTTTACAGTGAAAGGTGGCTGGGAGAATTTGAGAGATGCTATTACAACAGTCCTATAAAGAAAAAAGTGAACACTAAAGAAACGACATGGGCAAATTAAGTGAAAAGCACAAATTCTGAAACATGTGAAAGGAAGAATCTATAGATATTATTGAGTGATTAGACTGTGAATACACACACATTCTAAAAATTTCAACAACCACCCCCTAAGACAGGCAAACCCGGTATTACAATATCGTCATTTTTAGAGGTGAAGCACCGAAGATTTAGATGAACTGTCCTCATCATTCAGTTAGTGAAGCAAGAATTCAAGATAGATGGCTCATCTAAATACTGGAGTTTTTATACTTGGCTTGATTACTTATCCTGCTCACTAAATATTGCTCTTGATCACCTTTCTGCTATCTAAATACCAAAGTCATCTGCCTCAAAGATCAAAGCTCTGAAATTTCTGAAACTATATGAAGACATTTAAATTTGTTGCAAACTTTAAAAATATTTGAATATTTTACAAAAGAATATGAATATACAAGTGACTAATAAGTACATGAAAAGAGGCTCAACACCGTAAGTCATCAGGGATACATAAAATCAAAATGAGATACCACTACCTATTAAAAATTTTAAAAATAATAATAATAAAATCTGACAATACCAAGTGTTGGTGAGGATGTGGAAACTGTCATTTTCAAAGAACACAAATTATGTAAAATGCAACAGCCACACTAAATAACAATTTTGGTAGTTTCTTATAAAGTTAAGCATACATTTGCCATATGACCAGTCACCCACTCCTGGGTATTAACCTAAGAGAAATGGAAGTATAAGTATCAGCAAAGATTTGTACATAAATGTTTACAGTAGCTTTATTTGCAATTGCCCAAAACTGGAACAATCCAAATATTCATAAACAGGCAAACAGAAACAAATTGTGGTACATTCATACAATGAAATAATACCCACAAGAGAGGGGAAAAAATATAATTGATGCACACGACAGGGAAAGGTCTCAAAATCATTATAATGTGTGAAAGAAGCCCACCCCCCCAAAAAAAATCCACAATATATGATGCCATTTACATAAAATTCTAGAAACTAAGACTAATCCACAGTGACAGAAAGCAGATAAATGGTTGCTTGAGGATGGGTATTTAGAAAAGATGAATTACAATGGGAGACGACAAAACTTTAGGGTGATGGAAGTAATCATAATCTTGAATACGGTGATGGTTTCAAAGGTTTATTATACATATGTCAAAATTGATCAAAATCAAAATTTCATTTAAAAAAAATTTTTTTTTGAGACGGAGTCTCACTCTATAGCCCAGGCTGGAGTGCAGCGGCATGACCTTGGCTCACTGCAACCTCCACCTTCCGGGTTCAAGTGATTCTCCTGCCTCAGCCTCCCAAGTAGCTGGGATTACAGGCAAGCGCCACCATGTCTGGCTAATTTTTGTATTTTCAGGAGAGACGGGGTTTCACCATGTTAGCCAGACTGGTCTTGAACTCCTGACCTCAAGTGATCCGCCTGCCTCGGCCCCCAAAGTGCTGGGATTTCAGGCATGAGCCACCACGCCTGGCCCAAACTGTGCACTTTAAATATGAGTAGTACATTACCTTTAATAATATCTCAATAAAGTGATAAGAAATTGTATCAAAAAAATTGTTGCAAACTCAGAGCAACACTCAACGGAGCTTCAAAAATGTTATTACCATTACAGAAGTGCTTATTCTACATTAAAAAAAGTCACATTAAGATTAGGATTCATGTTTATACAAAGCAATGTACAACAAAACTATAAAAATATTTCATATGAATAAATCATCTTTTTCAGTCATTCTAAGAATTTAGTTAAAAAATAACTAAAATACAGGCAAAATCTTTAATACAAACCCTTGTACAAGTTGGGTACTAAAGAATAATTATGATAAACAACAGTTAACATCTTTAATTTTTTTTACCCTTCAGCACTCTAGAAAGAAAAAGTAGATGATGGTTTACACATTAAGGAAAAAAAAAACAAACTCAAATTTCCACTGCTGTCTAAAAGAAGAAATGATTCCTCCTGATCTTTTTCTCTCTGAATTGCTGACAATAGAACAAAAGACATAAAGAACCCTATAAAGGCCATTAAACCAATTCTCTACTTGCTGCTCTCATAAACATGATTAAGATTTTTGCTACATAGCATCCTTACCTAGACCAACTGCCAATATTGCAGGACACTGGCCAGATGTACAGGTGTTACATAATTGGTAGCATTAATTAAAAATAAATGAAACCTTCAATACCATATTTTCTAAGTTAACTGAAATATATCCTTTTTAGGAAAAAATAACTCCATTAATTCAAGAAACAGCACATGTACCTAACATGACCAAAAAGCTTCTCTAACCCGGTCTCATAGTTAATAAATCAGTTTTGTCTAAAATGAATCAATTTCTCCTTTTCATGATTTGTCAAACTCTTGACAGTACTTAGTAGGATCACCATGTAACACTAGGTATACATGCAAAAATGCCACTATACTTAGCGTTATCAAACAAACAGAATCCCTAAGGAGTATGCCTATTGCTCTTTCTGATCCCAGGAAATCAGTATATCTAGAAGATGACAACTCTCAGTACAGAGGAGGGCTAAAAGCAAATGACTCATGAGCATGATCCACAGCTAATAGAGAAAATATGAAATCTGTCTAGGATTCATGACAGGACACCAAAAAAATCTGGGAAAAGAAGATACTGAAGTTGAGACTAGAATGAGCAAGCAGTCAAAACACACTCTAGCTCACACTAGGAAAACTAAATATTACAGTTAAAGATTCTTTCATTTATTAATTCTACCTCTTGACATTTTTTCTATAGAAATGAAAATGTGGGCATACATTGTACTTAGCACCTTAATTTTTAAAAAATAAGGAAAAGGCCGGGCGCTGTGGCTCATGCCTGTAATCCCAGCACTTTGGGATGCCGAGGTGTGCAGATCACAAGGCAGGAGATCGAGACCATCCTGGCTAACATGGTGAAAACCAGTCTCTACTAAAAATACAAAAAATTAGCTGGGCGTGGTGGCGGGCGCCTGTAGTCCCAGCTACTAGGGAGGCTGAGGCAGGAGAAGCGCGTGAACCCAGGAGGCAGAGGTTGCAGTAAGCTGAGATCGTGCCACTGCACTCCAGCCTGGGCAAGAGAGCGACACTCCATCTCAAAAAAAAAAAATAAATAAATAATGAAGAACTGGAAAGAATGTAACTTATCAAATATCAAGAACTGAATAAATTATAGCATATTATTATAATGGAGTACTGTGCAGTCATTAGGAATAATGGGAAAAACATTTAACAACATTCAAAGATGTTTAGTTTATATATTTGTTTTTAAAAGTTAACAAAAATTTACATATTTAAGTTTTCAATAGTTAGCAAAAACCTTACAGATTTATCTGTATGTTGAAAAGCTTTATCCAAGAATTGCAAAATATCATCAAATAGTTATATAACTGTGTAATAGGAACAATCTGTTTCTAATTTTTCAAAAAAAGACACATATTACTTACACAGTAAAGCAAAATATGTCACCTTAATTAGTGATGGGAAATTTACAATACAAAAACAGAAATTGTTAAATAGTGAGAACAGGAAATAAACCTTGTTGTGGCTCTGGATATGATAAATTTTAGGACTATTTCATATTCTTGTATTGAATCAATGCAATTAGGCAAATGTGACAAACATTAGAGCTGCCTTAATTCTAACACTTATTCCAGTACAAACAACTCTCGAAATAATCTTTCTTACTCCTAACACCTAACATGGAATGAATAAATATCTGTTTATGACAACTGAAAAAACTAAACACATCCTTGGGAATTTCACTATATTCAACCATCCTTTTTATTATTATTTTTAACAAATGCAAACAAGAGGAAATGCTCTGTACTAATTGTTTTAATATTCTAGAAATCGTGAGTACTTTGGAAACTGGTAACTATGAAACCTCTCCCCTCAAAAATACACCTGATTTTTTTAGATTACCCTTATTTCTTGATTCAGCTACTTTTCAGTCTAAAAAGAAGCTATTCACAATTAAAGACTTTTGAAGACACAGCTTACTTTTTTTTTTTTTTTTTGGCAACAGAGTTTTGCTCTTGTCGACCAGGCTGGAATGCAGTGGTGTGATACTGGCTCACTACAACCTCTGCCTCCTGGGTTCAAGCAATTCTCCTGCCTCAGTCTCCCAAATAACTGTGACTACAGGCATGCACTACCACACCTGGCTAATTTTTGTATTTTTAGTAGAGATGGGGGTTTCACCATATTGGCCAGGCTGGTCTTGAACTCCTGACCTTGTGATCCGCCCGCCTAGGTCTCCCAAAGTGCTGATATTACAGGCATGACCCACTGCACCCAGCCTAATAACTTTTTTCACTATTTAAACAACAACAAAAAAGCAAAACCAGAACTCCCACTGGTAAGAGCATTCCTAACCAATTCAACCAAACAGAAGCATTTAAAAAGATTATATATTTACCTGCCCCAAATTTTCACATACAGAGCCCAGCATGTTGATATTACCAAAGATACATGTAAATTAAAGATACTAGATATGAAAATTAAGGAAGATTCATGAAGTGTTCCTAAATATACTCACAGAAAGATAGCTGTTAACCTCCACATCATCAGTAATGGTTTGGCGCTCTCCTTTATAGTTAATTTTCCGAAATCTTCTTCGGGATTGTCTGGCAGGAATTTCTCTTTGTAGAATACTATCTTCATTATCTTTGGCATTCTCTACCTGAAACACATGTTCATATTCCTGATGAAATATCAAATTTTTCCATATTATTGACAATCTATGGAGTCTTAACAGACTCATAAGGAAGCTTCATTTACTTCTTACAAGAAACTGCCTCAAGAAAACAGTCTGTATAGCACAACGCTCATGAGTTAAAGATTAGAGGTGATGTTATTATAAAGATCTGGAGACCACAGTTTCCGTCCAGGAAACAGTCTCTCTTGTGCACATAAACATACATCCTCTAAGTAAAGTCACTTACCAGAAATGAAGGCTGTTAACTACACCTACACATTCAATAATTACAACTTGAGTTCCTCTAATTACAAACTGCCTGATTATACACATATTTTACTTAGCAAACAATCCTGGTTATGGTTTTAGTTAATTGTTAAAAAGTAAAACAAGAAAACTTTATGCAATATTCTTTAATTTTCAACTTAATGCATGACAACAGCCACAAGTAAGGCTGGCATCTTCTAAGTAAGAAAATAAAATGGAAAATTAACATTTGTTAGGAGTTTAAAATAGGCCAGCATGCATATATATTAAGTAGTTAGTTCACACAACAGCCCTGTAAGCAGGTATTACTGTCTCTACTTTGTAGACAAAGAAAAACCCAAAGATATTAGTGACATTCCAGTCTCACAACAGTGATACTTATTAAAGGTGAGTTGGCAACCTGGCAACAGAGCAAGACCCCATTTCTACAGGGGGAAAAAAATAAGCCAGGCATGGTGGTGTGCACCTGTAGTACCAGCTACTTAGGAGGCTGAGGTGGGAGGATCAACTGAGCCCAGGAGTTCAAAGCTGCTGTTAGCTATGACTGCACAACTGCACTCCAGCCTGGGCGACAGGACAAAAACCCTGTCTCAAAAAATTAAAAAAAAAATTTTTTTTAAGGTGAGGAGGAATATAGACCTATCTAGCTCAACAGCTTATGCCACTGATACAAGACTGCACTGCCTGTCCAATCACAGAACAAACCATAATTTTTTAAATTAACTATTTTTATAAAGGTATATTGATATGCTCTAAAAATCTACCTTTATAACTAAGCTCACATCTAATAAATAATAAATGGTGGTTTTAGTTTTCCCCCATAACTACTCTTTCTGCTAATGTCAGAGTTCTTGATATTACCAAAAATTTCCTAGGCACCCACCCAAACACAGTGGTGCCCCCTTATCTGAGGGGGATACATTCCATGATCCCCACTAGATGCCTGAAACTGCAGACAGTACCAAATTCTATATATGTCATGTATTTTTCTGTATTTACATACCTATGATAAAGTTCAATTTATAAATTAGGCACAGAAGAGATTAATAATAAAATATAATAATATACTGCAATAAAAGTTATGTGGGGGTGAGGGGGCGCAGTGGCGAGTGCCTGTAGTCCCTGCTACCAGGGATGCTGGGGCGAGAGTATCACTTGAGCCCAGGAGTTAACGTCCAGCCTGGGCAACACGGCAAGACCCTGTCTCTTAAAAAAAAAAAAGTTATGTGAATATGGTCTCTCTCTTTTTTTTAACTTTTATTTTAAGTTCAGCAGTACAAGCACAGGTTTATTACGCAGGTAAACTTGTGTCATGGGATTTGTTATACAGATTATTTTAGCACTCAGGTATTAAGCCTAGTGCCTATTAGTTAATTTTCCTGATCCTCTCCCTCCTCCCACCCTCCACCAAAATGCCCCAGTGTGTGTTGTTCCCCTCTATGTGTCCATGTGTTCTCATCATTTAGCTCCTCTCTCTTTCCACAGTACGACAGTCCTAAAAATGTGGAAAGCGAAACTGCAGATATGGGGGTGTGGGAGACTACTGTATCATATCAACATTCTCAGCACCCCTGCTTGTCTTCCAAATCTTTGGTTCAATTCTCTCTCAGATTGTCAGTTCTCTATAAATCTCTCCCATAATGCTCTTTCATTCCCATTACCACCTCCCCTTAATTTAAGTCTTAATCACCTCAGTCCCAAACCACAGCAATAGGTGATCCTGCTGCTTTAGGCATGTTCCTCTCCAATTCTATCCTGCAGGGTCAAACAAATCACCTAGATAATCACCATTACTCAGGTTTCCTGTTCAAAATGCCACAACGGACCTCTAATGTTTACACCAAATAAATTTTAAACTCTTACATTTGATATTCAAAGCCATTATAAACTCCATCCCCAAAATACTTTTATCACCTTATCTTACATGTACAATCCTGGAAAAGCTGCTCCCTTATTTGCTTTCCCACAAAAATTCTAATTAGATACACAAAATTTCCTAATGATTTCTAAGAGTTGATGTCTAATCTGCTTTGTTCAGGTGTGAATTCAAGAATAAGTAGCAGCCAACTCAATGTGACTATTCATGTGCCCCTATGTATAAATAACTTATAATCTGCCAAGTAACTTATTTCTTCAATTTGTGTTATCATACCCATTCTGTCTTCACATGCTATCATTTAGACACTACCTATCTCAAAGGCCATCTCTTCCATAATTACCAAAGACATTCCTCTCCTCAGACCTCGATTGGCTTATTGTGTATACACACCTAGACTTCTCAAAAATGGGACATGTTCTCTACTGCCTTCAGACCTTTACATATGCAGCTGTCACTTCTGGCTAAAAGCCCATTCCCTCTTTGCCAGCATATTGGCCTCCTACTTACATCTTATGACCTAGTTCAACCAATCCCTCCTCTACTCCAGAAAAGTATTACTCCTTCTATAGCACTAAGTATACCAACCTCACTAATAAGATAACAAGTTCTCTAAGGCAGGAACCGTATTATGTAATATTATATTCATCTTTGTTCACCTAATATTCAAGACATTTGCCAAAATAGGTGTTTAATTAAATTTTCCCTTTTGCCTCAAATATATTAGGTCCTTGGAATTATGTATAAAGTCCTCAAAAGGTATACACAAGGCCATATACCAGAAACTGCAGCTTATCTCATTTAAGGTTCACAATAACCCTATTACATAGCTACTTTTCCTATTGTAATAGATGGTACAGTGTCTCATAAAAGTTAATTCACAGGCTGGGCAGGGTGGCTCACGCCTGTAATCCCAGCACTTTGGGAGGCTGAGGCGGGTGAATCATGAGGTCAGGAGTTCAAGACCAGCCTGGCCAAGATGGCGAAACCCCATCTCTACTAAAAACTACAAAAATTAGCCAGGCGCGGTGGCAGGCGCTGTAATCCCAGCTACTCGGGAGGCTGAGGCAGAAGAACTACTTCAAACCGGGCGGCAGAGGTTGCAGTGAGCAGAGATCGTGTCACTGCACTCTAGTCTGGGCGACAGAGTGAGACTCCATCTCAAAAAAAAAAAAAAAAAAAGTTAATTCACACAAGTAGGTGAATCAGGACTCAAAACCCAAGTGTGACTAAAAAGTCCAACTTCATATTGCTCTATCCCAAAAGATAAAAGAGATTATCTACTTTAGACAAAAGTCCAATATTACATGATTCTTAGGTCTTTTACTATCTACCACTTATTGAGCAATGCAGAGATTTAAACAATAAAGGCTTTACAGAGTAAAAATGGAAGTAAAATAAATTTAAGAAAAGGCTTTCTAAGTTTCAAAATCTTGGGAAAAGTACCAAATGCAAAGAAAAATCTAATCATGATTTTTATTCCAGGAATATAAAGAGTTAAATGCCCTTAACAAAGTTCCCACTGAATATAACTGAATTGTGGTATTTAAAACATTAAAGCCTGCATTAAAAACAATGTAAGATTTAAAAAAAATAAAACCACAAACACAACTGAAATGGCACAAAAGGTACAGAATCCAAATGCCAAGAATGATGTGAAAGCAAGAATACTTGAACTTGGGAAACCAATAAAGTCCTTGATCTACCAGACAGTTTCTGTCAAACTCTGAAGAAAAGATTTTTCACTCTGATGTTTGTAGGGAGTGAAATAGACAAGAGATGAAACAAGAGACTCTACCAAAGTTGAGGAATCTAATAGAAACCTACTCATAAAGCTCATCCCAAACAGCTACACCCTCATTACAAGGGTAAGCAAGATACAAGCAGAAGGGGACAGGAAGAAAACTTGCCTGGCACTGGGATAAGAGGAGGGGGAGCAACTGAACAAAAATTGCCTTCCCCTGAGAATTCAAAACCACAAGGCATCCTTCATCCAGATCTGTAGTTTGAATTCACAATACCTCAAGCATGCAAGTAAACTAAAAGAGATTCAGCACTATTAATAAACAATAGCAGAAATAACAAATGCAAAACTTCCTTACAAAAATGCAACTTTTTTTTTTTTTTTTGAGATGGCGTTTTTCTTGTGTCACCCAGGCTGGAGTGCAATGGCGCAATCTTGGCCCACTGCAACCTTCACCTCCCAGGTTCAAGTGATTCTCCTGCCTCAGCCTCCCAAGTAGCTGGGATTACAGGCATGCACCACCACGCCTGGCTACTTTTGGTATTTTTAGTAGAGATGGGGTTTCACCATGTTGGCCAGGCTGATCTCGAACTCCTGATCTCAGGTGATCCACCTGCCTCAGCCTCTCAAAGTGCTCACATTACAGGCGTGAGCCACCACACCAGGCCAACAAAAATGCAACTTTAACATAAACCTCAAAGTATTACTGTACCTAAAGTTCCAAGACATATGAACTCATAGACAAATATAAAAAAATCCCAACTACATCAACATCATGTAAGAAGCAAGACATAATTAAAAATGAGCCCCTAAAAAAGTGGAATGACACCTGCAAATACTCCAATATACTGAAAGTATTAGAGAATAGAAAGTCAAAATTTAAAAACTTTCAAACAAAAGAAAATTTGAAAATGAGCCAGAGATGATAAACAGTAACCAAGCAGTTGAAGCTTGACCAGGACAAGAAAGCCCTAAGTGCCCTCCTCCCAACTGCCAGGCTAGCAAACAGTGAGGAACAACCAATAGCAATCTACATTTGGAGGAGAGATGAGAACATGAAGAGACCCTGCTGAAGCACAAGAGCACAGAGAAGGCCTAAAACTGAGTGGAGCAGGAACACTGAGAATAATCTTCCAGCAAACTCAAGGACAAAGTAACACTAAACAAATTTGAAACCACTGGTGCACCATAACAGCAAGAGAATCCAAACCTAGCTCAACTCCAGTAGAAATGTGTTCATCTCTAGGCTTAAAAGCTATAGCCCTATAACCTAATGCCCAACATTAAATCCAAAATTATAACTCACATAAAAAAGGAAAGGTAAAACAAAACAAAAAACAAAAACCAAGAGACAAAGCAATCAACAGAGCAGTCTACAAGAATTAGAGTGGATCCAGATGCTGGAACTACCAGAGAGAGAACTTCAATCAACTATGATTAAACATGTTATAGGTTCACTGGAAAAGGTATAGACAACACACACAGATTGATAATTTTAGCAGACAAAATAAAAATATAAAATAAAAATGAAAATGTTAGAAACAAAAGACGTAGTAATAGAGATGAGGAATGTCTCTGACATGCTCATTGGCAGACTCAACACAACTGAGTTAAGATCAAGGAAATTAAACATAGGACAATAAAATTACCAAAGAGAAAGAGGAAAAGAGTTAAATAAGAAAAATGAAGGAACTGAATGGTATATTAAGATGCAACTAAAAAGGGAGTTAGTAAACTGGGAAGATAAATCCAGAAGACTTACTCAACATACAGCACAAAGTCATCATGAAGAGGTAAAAAATAAGAAAGCTAAGAGGAAAGGTTGAAAAAAAAAATGTCAAGAAGATGATAGAACAAGACAATATTTAAGGAAAAAAAGAATTTTTGATGCCCAAAGCAGTCCAAAAAATCCAAAAGAGGATAATGAAAAACTACGATACCAAATTACAGAGAAAATATAAACAGAAGACTTTTAATGCAGCCAGAAAGAAAAAAGAGATCAGGAAGGCAATTAATGTCTGACTCCTCAAAATACGATGAATGTAAAAAAATAGAATGTATTAATTGTGTTAATAAAAATAATTCTCCTCCTAAAGTTGTATTAATGGCAAAACAATCCTCCAAGAATGAAGAAAAATAAAGTTATTTTCAGACAAAAAAGAAAAAATACCTGAGAGACTTAACAGAAGATCTTCAGGAAAGAATTTTTAATGGGTGTACTTTAAACATAATACAAGTGTTACTATTAGGACGGTCTCATATATAAGAAAGAACTAAAAGCAAAAAATATTAAATACGTGGTTAAATAGGAATAAATAATGATTTACAGAATACATAAAGCTAAAATACTGGACAATAGGAATTACATCTGGATACTAGCATTAAATTCTTATCAGTTTAGCTACTTATTAGCCTCAGGTGTTTTTAAATAGGTTTTCTTTTTTTGAGACATAATCTCACCCTGTTGCCCAGGCTGGAGTGCAGTGGCACAATCTTGGCTCGCTGCAACCTCCACCTCCCGGGTTCAAGTGATTCTCCAGCCTCAGCCTCCCAAGTAGCTGGGATTAGAGGCGCCTACCACACCTGGCTAATTTTTGTATTTTCAGTAGAGACGGGGTTTCACCATGTTGGCCAGGCTGGTCTCGCACTCCTGATCTCAGGTGATCCACCCGCCTTGGCCTCCCGAAGTGCTGGGATTACAGGAGGGAGCCACTGTGCCTGGCCTAAGTAGGAATTTAAAAATAGTCAGAATTAGCACTAAAAGAAGAGACCAAACACCATTTCTACAAGAATATGGTGGGGAGGAGAGGAAGGAAAAAAGAACTTAAAATAAAGGAGGGAAAATAAAAAAAAGAGGGGAAAAAACAAGAACAAATAAAAAGCACATAATGTGGTGAAAGTAAATTCAAACCTATCAGCAATCACAATGAATACAAATAGAAAAGTCTTTCCAGGTAAAAAAGAATCTCATGTCAAATATAGAAAAAGAAGAAACAGACCCCAAGTATTAAGGTTCACAGAATCCTGATATTTTTGAGAGAAGCCCAATAATTTTAAATATTTCTCTGCTTCCTAGTGAAGGAAATCCCAATCTAATAAATTTCTTGGTATCCACATCTGCTATAAATCATTAACTTAACGAAGGTTTGTTATCCTTTTAGAGGGGAAATGGTACCTACTCATTATCATCAAAATCTGAGCTCTATAACCACTAGGAATGCTTTAACTACTTGGATATCGCTGCTTCTAAACTTTTGCAATGAACAACCCTAGGAAACACATTTTTTTTCTTAAGGTGAAATAATTTGGTAAATACTTTTAAGAAAAAAATAGTCGTGTCAATGCTGACATTTCCTACTGACATTTTAGACTGGAGTTTTTCTTAACATCTTTAATTTTACACAACTCTTATGCTAAAATAAAAATCTTGATTACTAATGACATTTATTTATGCATCTATTAGTTATATTAACTATAATTATAAATTTCAATTATTTCCAATTAAATGTATCATACAGAATTTTTCATAATATACACATAAATATTACCTATACATATATAATTGCTTTAAATTAACAAAATCAACATTACCACTAACATCCTGGTTACATCATCTTGGATACTAATATTTATATATGTATAGATTTATGTATATGTGTTATGTTAAATTAATTATAATTAGTTACATATAACGTGCGTCTATATACACACATATACAGCCATGTGCACTTAACGATAAGGATACGTTCTGAGAAACTAGTTGTTAGGCAATTTCGTCATTGTGTGAACATCATAGAGTGCACTTACACATAGACAGTATAGCCTACTACTTATCTAGGCTATATAGTATGGCCTATTGGTCGTAAGCTACCAACCTGTAAAGCATGTTACTGTACTGAACACCATAGGCAATTATAACACAATGTTAAGTATCTGTGTATCGAAACACAGAAAAGGTACAGTAAAAATACAGTATTATAATTTTATGGAACCATTGTCATACATGTGATCAGTCATAACCAGCAGTGCAGGACTGTATGGAAAACTGTAAAAAGACCACTAGTAGGCTGGGCTCAGTGGCTCACGCCTGTAATCCCAGCACTTCGGGAGGCCGAGGTGGGTGGATCACCTGAGGTCAGGAGTTTGAGGCTAGCCTGACCAACATGGTGAAACTCATCTCTACTAAAAATACAAAAATTAGCTGGGAGTGGTGGTGTGTGCCTGTAATCTCAGCTACTCGGGAGGCTGAGGTTGCAGTGAGCCGAGATCATGCCACTGCACTCCAGCCTGGGCAACAGATCAAGACTCTGTCTCAAAAATAATAATAAGAAGAAGAAAAGACCACTAGTAACACCAACAATGAGACAACTGGCTCCTAGTAACACCAACAATGAGACATACTACATTAGGAATGTACAGTTAAAATACTGTGTCTTAAAGTCACCAGAAATAATAATTCTTCATGGAATTATACCAAAATTTTACATATATTAAAATCACTTATTTTGTTTTTTGGGGGGAAGAGTAAATTTTTTCTCCTTTTGAATTGCTTTTAGTACATAAAAAGATTTACATGGCTCCCCTAAAATTGCTCTTCTTTCTCAGGTTTCTTCTAGTTCTCCTTGCTTTTTTTATTCTTTTAAATGGCACAAAATGCAAAACACAAAATAAACACTATACTTGATGGCATATTTCACTGGGATTTCATTATATTCATAAGGTAAACTAACAAAAAGTAATATCCTTACTATGGTAACTCCATACCTAAGAACATGGTATCTCTTTTTTTGTTCAAGTTTAATTTTTTTATTTCAGGGGTATTTAAACACATTATTTCTGCACATTTGTTAAGTTTAATCTTAAGTGTTTTGTTTGTTGGTTTTATAGACGGGAGTCTATGTTGCCCAGGCTGGAGTGCAGTGGCTATTCACAGACAGGAATAATTGGGACTGCAGACGTGTGTCACAACACCCAGCTTAAGTACTTCTCATACAGTTTTTGTAAATATATTCTTCTTCCCTTATGTGACATATGTTACAGATCAATTCCTTTATCCCCATTTTTAAAATATCCTGGGATTATGATGGGGACTGCACTAAATTTTAGACAAATTTTGAGATAATTTGTATCTTAAAAATATTGTCTCAACTGATTTAAAAAGATCTAAAAACAACTTTTTAAGGTTTTCTGTGTAAAGGTCTCCTACAACTTTTTTCAGATTTAATCTGATGTATATAGATGGTTTTGATGTTTATAAATGGTACGTTTATAAAATTCAATTTTCTACTTGCTTGTAAGGAAAAATACAATTGATTTTTATGTATGAACGAGTATCCAACGACCTTGTTGAAATGACATAAATTTCAAAAGTTCACACTTAGGTAATTTGGGGTTTTCTACATACAAATCATGTCATCTGTAAATCACAGTTTTATATTTTTTTCCAATCTCTTTTTTCCCCTGCCTAAATGCATCTCCTAGCCAATAGTTTTGGTATGGTGAGCTTTCTCCATATATTCCCAAATGTTGGGAGAAAGTTTTCAATGTTTATTATAGGGTTTCTGCAGGTAACAATTAGGTTATAAAAGTTTCATTCCCTTCCTAGCTTGCTAAAAGCTTTTAAAATCATGAACGGGTTCTGATTATCAAGAGCTTTTTCTGCATCCATAGAAATGATTACCTGATTTTTTTCTTTAATTATATCAATGTAGTGAATCACACATTCAAATGCTAAATCAATTTGTGATTCTGGAACTAAATTCAATGTAGTCATGTTGTTTTATCCTCTGTATGTATTACTGAAATTGGACTACCTAAAATGTTAAGATTTTTACATTTATTTTCATTTAAAAATACTAACCTATAATACTGCTTTTGTATAATGCCCTTGTTAGGCTGTTATAAAAATTAAAATAGGCTCATAAAATAAGGCAAAGAAGTTAAAGTTTTTCTATTTCCTATTAGATGCTAAGTATTATTTCTTCTTTAAATGTTTGGAAAAATTTACCAGTGAAGCCACATGGGTCTGAATTTCTAAATGAAAAGGTTTATAATTACAGATTCACTTTCTTTTCTAGATATTGGCTTGTGCAGATCTTCTGTTTGTGTGTGTATATGCCAGTTTGGTTTTTTTTTTTTTTTTCCAAGGAATTTGACTAAAACTTCAAACTTACTTGCTTTAAGCTTTCCATACCATCTCCCTTATTAGCATTTTAAAAATGTTTGCTAGATCGTAGTAGTGAATCCTTTTTCCTTCCTGATACTGATTGTATGACATGTTTTATTTTTGATTATCTTTGACGGGTTTATCAATTTTCTTAGTCTTTTCTGAGACTCAACCTTGTCCTTTGTCAATCCTCATTATTCTAAGTTTGCTTTTATGCCACTGATATTTATTTTTATATTGATCTTTACTATTTCTTGGCTTGTGATTACTATTCATATGCTGCTCTTTAATTTCCTGACATGAATACTTTACTGTCAGCCTTTGCTCTTATAGCACTAGGGCTTAAATTTCACAACAAGAAAGGCTTACGCTGAATTCTACACATTTTAATAGGTCATATTTATTCATTTAAAATATTTTCTAATTTTCTAAGTAATTCTTCTTTGACAAGCGATTTAGAGCATACGCCTGAATTTCAGAAGTTGTATTTTTTTTTCTAGCTGTGTTTTTATAATTGGTTTTTAAATTAATTTCATGGTGGTCAGAAACTATAAAATTTTAAATACTGAAATTTTGAGACTTGCTTTATGTCCCAGCATGTGGTCAAATTTAAAAAACATTCCATGTGCACTTGAAAAGTAGGCGTACTCTGTTGTTGATAAGTGTAGTGTTCCCTGTTATGTCTCTTAGGTAAAATGTGTACATGATGAGGTTCAAATCCTCAATATCCTTACTGACTCATGGTGGTTGTTTTGTCAGTTACTTTAGAGGTATATTAAAATCTCCTGGCCAGGCAAAGCGGCTCACACCTGTTAATCCCAGCGCTTTGGGAGGCCGAGGCAAGAGGATCACCTCAGGTCAGGAGTTCAAAACCAGCCTGGCCAACATGGCAAAACACTGTCTCTACTAAAAATACAAAAATTAGCTGCACGTGGTGGCGCACACCTGTAATCCCAGCTACCTGGGAGGCTGAGGCAGGAGAATCACTTAAGTCTGGGAGACAGAGGTTGCAGTGAGCTGAGATTATGCCACTGCACCCCAGCCTAGACGAGAGAGCAAAACTCCATCACAAAATGAAAATAAAAATAAAAATAAAAATAAAAATCTCCCACTGTGATTGTGGGTTTGTCTAGTTCTGATTTTACTAAGGACAATTTTTGTTTTATGTATTTTGAAGGCATGTAAAGCTTCAGGATTGTGTAACCTTGATACAATTAACCTTTTATCACTATACAGTACCATTCTTACATTAAATAATGCTTCTTGCCTAAAAGTATACTTTGGGCCAGGCATGGTGGCTCACACCTGTAAGTCCAACACTTGGGAGGTTGAGGTGGGAGGATTGTTTGAGGTCAAGAGTTCGAGATCAGCCTGTGAAACATAGCAAGGCTGTCTCTACAAAAACAATAACAACAACAACAACAACAACAAATTAGCTGGGTATGGTGGGGTGCATCTGTAGTCCCAGCTACTTGAGAGACTGAGGAGAGAGGCTCACTTGAGCCCAGGAGTCCAAGGCTGCGCTGAGCTATCGCACCACCGCACACTCTACTCTCGGTAAGCCCCTTTTCTTTAAGAAAAAAAGAAAAAAAAAAAAGAAAAAAAAAAGTTAAAACAAGGAGATTACTTTACAATGTGTCAGATTAAGATGACTAACTTATCAGGTGATCAAGAATGTGTTCAGTAACAGACACTTCCAATCACCAGTGGAGTTAATCAAATCTGTACAAATAGACAAAACCATTTGACCAGGCATTTTTAACAATTCTGAAAAATTTCACCTATTTTGGATTGTTTTCTCCTATAACTCATAAAGCATTTAAAATTATACCAATCATCAATAAATTTAAATTTTTGAAATTTAAAAATTACCAGCCATAAATACATATACTTGATGTGACTTTTTATTTTATATACTTGTTTTTCTGAAATACTGAAGAATAAATTGGAGATATAATGCTTCTTGACCCCAAAATATGTCAACATGTAACTGCTAACAATAAGGACTTTGTCTTACAGAACCACAGTATGGTTATCAAACTCAGGGAATTTGATATTATCCAATCTGTAGTGCATATTTTGAATTCATCAATTGCACCAACAATGTCATTTATAGCTATGCCTATGATTTCTCCTTTTCTTCCTCCTCATATGAAAATATTACATAAAGTATGTAAAACAAGCACTAAAACAGAATGTATAACACTGAAGTAAAAGCAGTATTTCTTTTGCATATAGTATGAGAAATACAAAATACAACTAAAAAGTCAGAAAATCAATACTGCCTGGGCAGTTTTCTTGCCATGTTCCTCAATACATACATTAAAAAGAAAGAATTCTGAGGCTCTAATAGGAATCCCATATATTCAGTGCTTAAAGAAAATAAATTTGAAACAATACATACTCCATCCTTGAAAAAACTTGAATTCAAGAAACATTCACTGAATACTTACTATGCAGGCAGTACTCTGCGATACTCTCGGAGACACAAGTGGAATAAGACATAATCTTTGCCCTGTAAGAGCTTAAAATCCAGTTGCTCACATAAAATTAGGGATAGTGAGTTCATGGTTATACAGATGATCCAGTTTAAGAAAGAGAAAACAAACTATTTGAAGGTATCAATCTGACTATAGCACCATGAAATGGAAAAGTAGTTTGGTTTTGAGCCCTTACATTAAAATGCTTCATTAAGAATTCAATTTCTCTTCTTGACAGTTCAAATCTAATCAGATGACATGGTCATCTACATGAGATCCTAGTAGGACAATGAGTCCACTCGGTATATGCTGTTTTCTAGTCAGGTCATCTTAGAACAACGTAAAAAGCAAGCTGTGTTCTTGATTCTTCTAATACTTAAAAAAAAAAATTCTAAAGTTACATCAACTACTTAGCTCTTTTAAGAAAAAATAAAGAATTATTCCTTAAATACACTCTTAAATAAAAACTTATCTTAAATAATTAAAAAGTGAAAATACTAACACCATTTCTTACTTGGATCTAATTGTATGTCTTTTTACTTTTCTCTACTTCATTCTCTCTAGTCTAGGGCACAGACTATAGAATTCAAAGTTTATTGAAAAAGTAAAATTGAATGGGAAAGAAGAAATCACCTGAGGCTGGGCGCAGTGACCCACGCCTGTAATCTCAGCACTTTGGGAGGCCAAGGCAGATGGATCACCTGAGGTCAGGAGTTCGAGACCAGCCTGGCCAACATGGTGAAACCCCCATGGCTGCTAAAAAATAGAAAAACTAGCTGGGAATGGTGCCAGGTGCCTGTAATCCCAGCTACTCAGGAGGCTAGGGCAGGAAAACTGCTTAAACCTAGGAGGCGGAGGTTGCAGTGAGCCAAGACTGCACCATTGCACTCCAGCCTGGGCACCAAGAATGAAACTCTGTCTCAAAAAAAAAAAAAAAAAAAAAAATCACTTGAAAACTCATGGTCCCCTTTTAAAACTTCTAATTTTCTGGTAGAAGGGGGTAAAAAATACCAAATCTGCAAATTATATGTAAGTGTATCATGTTTCACACTCTCTTGAGGATCAAAAAAAGTCTGAAGAGACAGAAATAGATAAACCTGGTAGATAGTTCTGATGCTACTTGATGAAATCTCTAAAAGGTCATAGTAATAAAACCTCCTTAAGTGTTTAAAGCCTACTACATTTAAAGTTAAAACTGAAGCATATCAAAAACAATTCAGCATTCTTTAAAGTTCTTACCACAATCATTTCTGAAGGCTCTAATACAAGACAATCACATCCTCTTTTTCCTCCAAACTGCTTACCAAAACTATAAAAACAGAAAAACAATTTCTTTAGCAAAGGTTATTAATAAAATATATCAATATAGGAAAAGAAAACAAACAAACAACAAAAAAGCCCTGAGATATTATCCAAGAAATTCTGATCCTGTCACAATATTTATGTTAAGATTTTCTAAAAAAGAAAGAAAAAAAAAAACCTTTCTCTTAATTGTCCAGATATAACTGATCTCAATACTATATGAAAATTCTTTTTAAACTTCTGCCTTTAACTAGTCCCTAAAATTAATTATAAAAGATAACTGTCTAATCTCAAATTTCTAACATCTGTCAATATACGTTGCACAAAGAAAAAAATACACTTAGTAAAAATCTAATAAAAGTGATAACCTGATTAGGCAATTTAATAAAAGTAAATTATTATAATCTTTTGGGAGCAGTGTTAAGACAACAGATACTAAAAATAAAAAAACTTAAAAAATATTCACACTTGAGTAGTCTCTTGGTATCCAACTGGGATTGGTTCCAGAATCCCCAAGGATACAAAAATCTACCAGTGCTCAAGCGCCTAACATAAAATGATGTAGCATTTGCATATAACCTATGTGCATCCTTCCATATGCTTTAAATCAACTTGAGATTTTTAATAATACCTAATACACGGGAAATGCTACATAAATAGTTGTTATGCTTTATTGCTTAGGGAATAATGACAAGTAAAACAAGTCTATATATGCTTAGTAGAGATGCAACCATCCATTTTTTTTTCCAGGATCAGCAGTTGCTTGAATTAATGGATGTGAAACCCACGGATATGAAGTGCCAACTATATATAAAGAAATGTAGTTAGATATAAAGATGACTTCTTAAAAGAAAGTGTTGGAGTCACAGCTCTTTGGAAAAAACTAAAGCTGGACCAGTACTAAAAGACAGTATTTTTATATTCTTGGTCTCAGAAAGATTTCTCAGCATATCAAAAAGAAAGCAACCACAGAGAAAAAGATAGGTTTCCATTTTAAAAGATAACCTGAATTTTTTTTAATGAAGAATAAAAAAAAGCCCTGTCAACTATACTAAGACACAAATGACTTACATATGAAATATACAGAGCTCACTCAAAATAATGATAAAGCAACCAAAAGTATTATCATATATGAAAATTTAGTGCCAGTGTCAGTTAGTAAATAAAACATATAAATATTACTCCAAAATAACCAAATGGAAAAAAAACATTAATCATTCAAACAAAACAAAATACCAAAAAACATCTAATAAATAAATAAGTCATTTATAAAGAAAATTATACAACTTCATTGATGGGCTAGAAACAAAGCTTAAAGTAACATAGCTATACTTTTATGGGAAGGTTAAATATTTAAAAATGTCAATTTCCCAAAGTATAAGGTTCTATACAAATAACAGTTAATAACAAAATTCTAATCAAAATCCAAACAAAATAACTTTTGAACATAACCAAAAAATCACTTATGTTTTTTCTTCGAGACAGCATCTCACTCTGTGATCACCCAGGCTGCAGTGCAGTGGTGCAATCACGGCTCACTGTAGCCTCGACATCCCTGGGCTCAGGTGATCTTCCCATATCAGTCCCAAGTAGCTGGGACTACAGGCATGCACTACCATGCCTGGCGAATTTTTTAAATTTTTTGTAGAGACAGGGGTTTTGTCATTTTCACTATGCTGGTCTTGAACTCCTGGGCTCAAGCAATCCACCCACCTTGGCCTCCCAAAGTGCTAGGATTACAGGCGTGAGCCACTGCACCAGGCCTCACTTGTTTTTTCTTAAGCAGAAGATCCTTATCTTTTGTTTCCCCCAAATTCTTGTATCACCTAATACATTTAAAAAAGCAAATCTGTAAAAGTTTGCTTTCATGCAAGATGGAATAACAGGGACTGGGTTTACTCTCCCACCTGAGGACAAAAACAGAAAACAAAACAAAATATATAAAACAACAATTTCAAGACACCAAAAAGAAGGCAGGGCAGGGCTGTAATTCCTGAGGGAGGAAACAAAAAACTAAGATGACTCTTGCAATACACCATTTTACCACCTACAGGCAAGAGAAGCGTAACACAGCCTGACAATTTCGCTGAGTTGAAAAGCTAATAAGCGTTTTGGGGTGTGGATGACAGGGGAAAGATACTTAGAATTTGCAAGGCAGTGTTCCTGAAAAGAGGGAGAGCAGCAAAGAGATACGGGGAGAGAGAGAACAACATTGTGCACAAGAGTATGCATGAGCATTTGTGTGCATATATGCTTTGAAGAAAGGTCCTCTTGAGTCTTTGAGTGAGTACTGTGGATATGTGAGAACAAAGAGTCACAGAGGAAAGACGACATAATACATGGGGTACTAGGTAGGGTCCTCAGGAATGTATTTCCTCAGTAACAAAATAAATTAGTCCCACACTAAAGTGCTGAACTTGCGCAAATACATTTAAAAGATAAAGCTCAGAATAATCAAATAGATTCCAATTAGCTAGACTATACGTTAGAACAAAACCCAATACCACCTAAAGAGATGCAAAAGCTGGAACCCAGTGACATAAAATTCATGATGACATCAATAAAGAAACAAGCAACAACAAACCAGGCATGCAAAGAAACAGGAAAATATAATCCATAACCAAGAGAAAAAAACAACCAATAAAAACAGACCCAGAACTATCAGAAGTATAGAAATCAACAGACAACAATATTATAATAGCTATTGCTATGTGTGTTTTGTATGTTAAAGAAAGTAACGATAAATACGAACACAACAGAGAGATATAAAAAAGACCTAATGCAATGTTCTATCAAATCACATATGCAGACACATAAGGTCTGTTTGTTCCATTTATCAGTAATGTTAAAATTGGTGAGTAGCTTCAGACAGTGTCAACTTGACCCACCATTTATAAAGTTTCCTCTCAATTTTCCATCTATTAGTTTTAGCATTTTTTTTATCAGTACGTAGACTGAAAGCATTATTAGGGCTATTAAAATACGTATTTTATATTTTGATCATCCTTTCTGAATTTATTAGCTGGGGGCACTAATATAAACTCTCAACTATTTGAGTTCCTAGAACTACTGTTTATATAAAGTGAATTCACTGTATATAAAGTGAATCCTACAAAAAAGCTTCAGAAATATATTAATTTAGCAAGATTGAATAATAAAAGCGCAATACCCAAAAATCAATTGTTTTATTGTATATTAGCAACAATCAGAAAATAAAATCTTTTGACTCCATTAAAAATAGAATAAAAATGATACATTTATCAAAATACACACAAGACTTCTACAAAGTTACAAATTTAAAAACTATGAAACATTGCTGAGAAAAATTGAAGACCTGATTAAAAAGAGATATATCTTGTTTATGGATTAAAATGGCAATTCTCTCCGAAGTGTTCTACAGATTCAATACAATCACAATAAAAATCCCAGAAAGTCACCTTGGAGGACTGACATAATGACCCTAAAATTTACATGGAATTGTAAAGAGCCTAAAATAGCTAAAACAACTTTGGAAAATAAGAACAAAGTTGAAATATTTATAATATCAGATTCTGGCACACTATTAAAGCTAGAATACTCAAGACAATGTGGTATTTGATCAACTTATAGATCAATAAAACAGGATAGAGAGAACAAAAGGAGACCCATAAATACATGTTCAACTGATTTTTGGCAAAGGTACCAAAAGAATTCAATGGAGAAAGATAATCTTTCCTATAAATGGTGGGAAACAACCAGATATCAATACAGAAGAAACAAAGGCAGTGGGGGATGGAGCTCTTAATATAACACCATAAACAAAAATTAATTATAAGTGGATCAGAACCAGGTATAGTGGCTCACGCCTGTAATCCCAGCACTTTGGGAGGCAGAGGCTAGCAAATAGCTTGAGCTCAGGAGTTCAAGACCAGCCTGTCCAACATGGCAAAACCTCGTCTCTACAAAAAAACACAAAAATCAGCCAGGCATGATGGTGCATGCCTGTAGTCCCAGTTACTCGGAAGGTTGAGGCAGGAGGATCACTTGTGCCTGGGAGGTCCAGGCTGCAGTGAGCCATGAGCATGCCACTGCACTCCAGCCTGGGTGACAGAATGAGACTCTGTCTCAATAAAGAAAGAAAAAAAAAAAAGGATCAGGGATACAAATTTAAAAATTAAAACTAAAATATAATAATAAAATTTTTGTACATTCCCTATATCAGAAAGTTCCCTTCTGTATGTCTAGTTTGTTCAAATACTTTATGCTGAATGAGTTTTAGATTTTTCCCAGAAGCTTTTTCTGCATTTATTGAAAGGATCATGTGGTTTTTGCCTATTATTTTATTAATAAAGTATACTGTGTTAACTGACTTACAAATGCCAAACCAACCTTCCATTCCTGGGATAATCCCAACTTGATCATGGTATAAAATACTTTAAATATAAACCAGGATTCTGTTTTCTGTTATTCTGTTAACAATTTCCGCATGTATATTCATGAGGAATAATAATCTGGAATTTTTTTTCTTGTGATTTTTGCCTAGTATTGGTAGCAGTAATACTGGACTAACAGAAATGAGCTGAAAGCATTTTCTCTACCATTACCCTAATACAAAGTCTTTTGGAATGTATGTAATAATGCTTCTTATGTTTGAAAACATTCAGCTGTAAAGTTATCTGGGTCTAGACTTCTCTCTGTACTCAAAGTTTCTTTTTCTTTTTTTTTTTTGAGCCTTTTTTTGTAATGTATGTCTTTGCAAGATTTGCCCAATTTATTGATAGCAAGTTGATCATAAATTTCCTTTGTAGGCCGGGCGCGGTGGCTGACACCTATAATCCCAGCACTTTGGGAAGCCGAGGCAGGTGGATCACCTGAGGTCAGGAGTTCGAGACCAGCCTGGCCTGTCTCTACTAAAAATACAAAATTTATCTGGGCGTGGTGGTATGCACCTGTAATCTTAGCTACTCAGGAGGCTGAGGCAGGAGAATCACTTGAACCCGGGAAGTGGAGTTTGCAGTGAGCCAAGATCATGCCATTGCACTCCAGCCTGGGCGACAAGAGCAAAACTCTTGTCTCAAAAAAAAAAAAAAAATCCTTTGTAATATTTAAAATTTCTTTAGGATGTTAATGTCCCCTCTTTTATGCCTGATTCTGGAAATTTGTATCTTTTTTTTCATGGTCAGTCTAACTCAAAGTTTATCAAGTTTTGTTAAACTTTTGAAAGAGCCAACTTTTTGTTTCAATGATGTTTCTCTGTTATCTTTCTTGTGTTTATTTCATTGATTTCCACTTGAACCTTCCTTGAGCTTGCTTTTGAGTATACTCTGTTCTTTTCATTCTTAAGATGACTAGATCAAAACCATTCTTTTCTCATAAATATGATCTAAATTTCCCTGAAAGTACTGCTTTAGCTGCATCCCATAAATTTTGATGTGTGTTCACTTCCACTGTGTTCAAAATATTTTCTTCTAATTTCTCTTGAAGTCTTCCTTGGTCTATTATTCATTTACAAATGTTATCTAAGTTCTCCTATTTCTTTCTGATATTGATTTATAACAGAATTGCACTGTAGTCAGTGGACAAACTTCAAATGATTTCATTCCTTTCAATGTAATGAGACTTGTGTTATGTTACTAGATTATACGCCCTATCCTGGAGAATGACCCATAAATCTTGAAAAAAAAGATTATATATCAGATCAAAGTGGTTGGTAATACTTTTCAAGCTATACCTTTACTAATTTTCAGTCTAGTGGTTCTATTATTGAAAGACTTTTGAAATCACAAACTATAATAGTTGAACTCCTACTAATCCTTTCAATTCTGTCAGTTTTTACTTCATATATTTTGAAGCTCTGCTATTAAATATACAATAAAAATTGCTATGTATTCCTAATGTATTAATCCTTTTAACACTACGAAATTTTGCTTCTGGTCTCTAGTAATATTTCTTGTCTTAAAATCTATTTTGACTCAGGCTCTAGTTCTCTCATGAATATAGTTTGCCTGGTATATCTCTCAATCCTTTTCAACTTATTTGTGCTTTTACAGCTAAAGTGTGTTTCCTGTATACAGCAGATAATAGGATTTTGAATTGTCACAGAACCTGATAATCTCTTTTGATTGGAATATTTAGACTATGCACATGTAATGAAATTACTAACTTGTCTGGATTATGTCTTCCATTTTCCTATTTTTTAAATGTCTCATCTGTTTTGTTCCTCTGTTCTTCCTGTACTACTATCATTTCTGTCAAATATTTTTGTTTAGTATCCCATTTTAATTCCTTTGTTGATTTTTTAAATGTTATTTTTGTTATTTTTTTTTTTTAGAGATAGGGTCTCATTCTGTTGCTGAGTTGGAGTGAAGTGGCATGATCATAGCTCACTGCAGCCTAAAACTCCTGGGCTCAAGCTATCCTCTCGCCTCAGCCTCTTGAGTAGCAAAGACTGCAAGTGTACACCACCACACACGTTTTTTTGTAGAGACAGGGGTCTCCCTATGTTGACAAGCAGATCTCAAACTCCTGGCCTCAAGTGATCCTCTGGCCTTGGCCTCTCAAACCACTGGTATTACAGGCATGAGCCACACTGTACCTGGCTGATTTTTGTTATATTCTTGATGGTTAATCTGTGGGATTGCAATATGCTTCAGGAACAAGCAAAGGTGGTCCACTCTCACCACTTCCAATCTACTCCATACTGGAGACTCTCACCAGTACAATAAGGCAAGAAAAGACATTAAAGGCATACAGACTGGAAAGAAAGAAATGAAACTATGTTTAACATAGTAGACTGATCCTGCATGTAGAAAATTCTAAGGAATCTACAAATATAAACTACTAGATCTAATAAAAGATTATATCAAGGTCACAGGATATAAGATCAATATGCAAAAACCAACTGTATTTCTATATACTAGCAATGAATAATATGAAAATGAAATTAAGATACAATTCCATTCATAATCCTATTAAGAAGAATAAAATATTTGGAAATGATTTAACAAAAGTGTAAGACTTATACACTGAAAAATACAAAATATTGCTGAAAGAAATAAAAGATAAATATATGCAGAAGCAAGCCATGTTCATAGGCTGGAAACACAATATAGTTAAGACTGCAATTCTCCCCAAATTAATCTATAGATTCAAATCATTTCCTATCAAAACCCCAACAGGCTTTACGGTATAAATTGACAAGCAAATCCTTAAATGTATATGAATATACAAAAACCTAAAATAGCCAAAGCCATTATAAAAACGAACAAAGTTGTAAGACTTACTGGATTTGAAGTTACAATAAAGCTACAATAATCAAGACAGTCAGGATTGGTACCAAGACAGAAAAATAGTTAAAGGAGACAGAACAAATGGTACAGAAAACAAACACACATATTTATGGTTAACTGATTTTCAACAAAGGTACCAAGGCAATTCAATGGGGAAAAAAACAGCCTTTTCAATAAACCATGCTAGGTAAAATGAATATGCAAATATCCATATGCAAAAATATATATATACAAACAAAACAAAAAATTAACTCACAATGGATCACAGACCAAAATGTAAGAACTAAATTTTAAAACTTTTAGAAAAAACTGTAAGATGAAATAATCGTGAGGTTGAAGATTTCTTAGCTATGACACCAAAAGCTCTATTCTCAAAAATAAACCTTAAAGTAGATATCATCAATATTAAAGTTTTATGCTTCAAAAGACACTATTAAGAAGTCACAGACTGGCTGGGCACGGTGGCACACGCCTGTAATCCCAGCACTTTGGGAGGCTGAGGTGGGCAGATCACTTGAGGTCAGGAGTTTGAGGCCAGCCTGGCCAACGTGGTGCAACCCCCATCTCTACTAAAAATAGAAAAATTAGCCAGGCGTAGTAGTGGGCATTTGCAATCCCAGCTACTTGGGAGGCTGAGGCAGGAGAATTGCTTGACCCCGGGAGGCAGAGGTTGCAGTGAGCTGAGATCACACCACTGTACTCCAACCTGCGGAGCAGAGCAAGACTCTGTCTCAAAAAAAAAAAAAAAAAAAAAAAAAAAAGCCAGAGACTGAGAGAAATTATATGAAAACTACATATATGACATAGAACTTGGATCCAAAATAGATACATTCTTACAATTTGATAAGACAGTACAATTTAAAAATGGAGAAAATGTCTGAATAGACATTTCACCAAAGAAGATACAGGAATGTCTAGTAAGCACATAAAAAGACCCCCTACATCACTCATCACTACTGAACTACAAATTAACATCACAGTAAGACACTGTTAAATATACACCAGAATGGCAAATAATATAAAAGACTGTCAATACCAAGTGGTGGTCAGAATGTAAAATGGTACAGTCATTTTATAAACAATTTGGTCTTTTCCCAAGAAGTTAAACATGTACTTACATAACACAGCAATTCTACTCCTGCATATCTATAATAAAGAAGTGAAAACACATGGCCATATAAAGACTTTTATGTAAATTTTGATAGAAGCATTTTTGTGACAGCCCCAAATTAAAACTAAAATTTTCAATTTTTAAAATCTTCTGAATGGATAGACAAAATGCAGTATCAACAATTTAAAAAATGGACATGCTAGAATTGATATGTGCTAAAACATGGGTGAGCTATAAAAACATTATGCTAAATGAAAAAAACTAGATTAAAAAACTATACAACATATTCCATTTACATAAAATAGCAGAAAATTAAATTTTAAGTAAAATACTCTCTCTATATGTAAAATACTCTCTCTCCAGAAAGCCAAACAGTGGTTGTCTGATGAAGAAGGTGTGGAAAGTAGAGATTACAGAGGGGCAACCAGATAAAGGTCATCTATGAAAAATTTAGAGCTAAGATTACAGTTGGTGAAAAACTGAATGAACGCTTCCAACTCCCCACGTCTTCATCCCCAACTACTTTTTTTTTTTTTTTTTTTTGAGAGGGAGTCTGGTTCTGTCATCCAGGCTGGAATGCAGTGGCGCAATCTCCACTCACTGCAACCTCCGCCTCCCAGGTTCAAGCAATTCTCGTGCCTCAGCCTCCCAAGTAGGTGGCTTGGGTACATGCCACCACACCGGGTTAATTTTTGTATTTTTAGTAGAGCCAGGATTTCACCACGTTGGCCAGGTTGGTCTCAAACTCCCAACTTCAGGTGATCCACCCGCCTTGGCCTCCCAAAATGCTGCGATTACAGGTGTAAGCCACCATGCCCCGCCCCCAACTACTTTTTATTAATAGATTGACAACAAGGATGTTTGCTCCACTCTGTCACAACAATGTACTATAGTTTTCCCCTAGTACAACAAGGAAAAAGAAATAAAAGGCATTCAGATCAAAATAAGATCTGAATTCAAAAATTCTTATTCAAAAATAAGAAATGAAGCTGTTTATTCACAGATGACAAGATCACTTACGTACAAAAATACTAAAAAAATATAAAACAGCAATTAGAATAAGTGATTTAATAAGGTTGCAAGATGTAAGATCAGCATATACAATATCTCTACACTGAAAACTGCAAAACATCATTGAGAGAAATTAAAGACCTAAATAAATGGAGTGATGTACCTCATTCATGGTTTAAAAGAATCAACTATTAAGATGTTCACTTCTCCCTAAACTGGTTTATAGATTCAGTGCATTCCCAATCAAAACCTCAGCAGGTGTTTTTGTTTTTAATTAACAAACTGATGCTAGAAATCATACGGAACTGCAAAGAACATATGAAAACAAATAACCAAAACAATTTTTACGAAGTTGGAGGATCCATACTGGTAAGTCCTCTGAGCTGGCCACACCATGGTCAAGCCATCGTGACATTCCCGCCACCACCGCCCCCAGCCTGTGATAATGTACCCTTGTGAATGTACTTTGTAACATTCCTCCCCGCCCTTGTGAATGTTACTTTGTAACATCCTCCCAGCCCTTGAGAATGTACTTTGTAATATCCATCCCCTGCCTGCAAAAAATTGCTCCTAACACCACCGCCTATCTCAAACCTATAAGAACCTATGATAATCCCACCACCTTTCACTGACTCCTTTCTTGGACTCAGCCCACTTGAACCCAAGTGAATAAACAGCTTTGTTGCTCAAACTAAGCCTGCTCAGGTGGTCACTTATATGGACGTGCGTAACATTTGGTGCCGAACACCCAGGACAGGGGAACTCCTTCGGGAGACCGGTCCCCTGTCCTCACGCTCCCTCCGTGAGGAGATCCACCTATGACCCTGGGTCATCAGACCAGCCAGTCCAAGGACCATCTCACCAATTTCAAATCGGTAAGCGGTTCTTCACACTCGGGTAAGCGGTTTTTTCGCTCTCTACCTAACCTCTCTCGCCTCCCTTCAATCTCTCTCCTTTCAATTTCAGTTTCTCTCCCTTCCAGGTAGAGACAAAAAGGAGACACACTTTATCTGAGCATTTAAAAACTCTGACGTCGGTTACTGACTTGGGAAGACACATCTTCCCTTGGTGTCTGATCACCACAGGGACGCCTGCCTTGATCATTCACCCACATTCCCTTGGTGGCAGGTCAACTGTGGAGATGCCTGCTTTGGCTGATCATGCCTGCTTTGGCTGCTCACCCACATTACAGCCCAAGACTCAGTCAGGGACGCCTACTGGAAGCCTGGTAGCTGCCCATCTCCATTTCTCCATGTCTCTACCTTCGTCCTTAAATTTACCTTCTCCACTATGGGCAACCTTCCGCCATCCATTCCTCCCTCTTCCCCCTTAGCCTGTGTTCTTAAAAACCTAAAACCCCTTCAACTAACACCTGACCTAAAACCTAAATGTCTTATTTTCTTCTGTAATACCACTTGGCCCCAATACAAACTCGACAATAGTTCCAAGTGGCCAGAGAAATGGCACTTTCGATTTGTCTTCTTACAAAACCTAGATAATTTTTGTCAAAAATTGCGCAAATGGTCTGAGGTGCCTTACATCCATGCATTTTTTACACTTCGCTCCCTCCCTAGTCTCTGCTCCCAGTGCGACTCATCCCAGACTTTCCTTCTTTCTCTCCCATCTGCTCCTTTCAGTCTCTGCTCCAAGCTCAGAGTCCTCTGAATCCTCCTTTTCCACTGACCACTCTGACCTCTCTCCTTCTCCCCTGGCCGCACCTTGCCAGGCTGAATCAGGTCCCAATTCTTCGGCAGCCTCTGCTCCCCCACTCTATAACCCTTCCATTACCTCCCCTCCTCACACCTGGTCTGGCTTACAGTTTCGTTTAGCAATTAGCTCTCCCCTACCTGCCCAACAATTTCCTCTTACAGAGGTGGCTGGAGCTGAAGGCATAGTCAGGGTACGTGTCCCCTTTTCTCTATCAGACCTTTCCCAAATCAGCCAGCGTTTAGGGTCTTTCTCATCAGACTCCACTAAACATATACAGGAATTCCAATATCTAACTCAGTCCTACAATCTAACCTGGAGTGACTTAAATGGAGTCACTCCATTTAAATGGAGAGGTCGTCCTGACCTCTACCCTCTCCTCAGATGAACAAGAAAGAGTTTACTTTCTAGCCCAGTCCTACGCAGATACCCACCGGCTTCATGAGCCAGGCTTCCAAGAGGGCACCAGGGCAGTTCCCCGAGAGGATTCCCATTGGCAATACCAGACGGACTCCCCAGGTATAGCTAGGCAAGATTACACAGTCTCCTGCCTAGTCAAGTGGCTCAAAAAGGCAGCATACAAAGTTGTTAATTATGACAGGCTAAAGGAAACTACCCACGGTAAAGATGAAAACCCAGCCCAGTTCATGGCCCACTTAGCAGCTACCCTTAGACACTTTACAGCCCTAGACCCAGAGGGGCCAGAAGGCCACCTTATCCTTAATATGCATTTTATCACCCAATCCACTCCTGACATTAGGAAAAAATTCCAAAAGTTGGATTCTGGCCCTTAAACCCCACAACAGGATTTAAACAATCTCACCTTCAAGGTGTTCAATAACAGAGAAGAAGCCACCAAGCAGCAGCGTATCTCTAAATTACAGCTACTTGCCTTCACTGTGAGACAACCCACAACCATGTCTCCAGCATACAAAACCTTCAGAACATCCAAGCCACAGCTCCCATGGGCTCCATCAAAACCTCCTCATGGACCTTGCTTCAAATGCCAAAAGCCTGGCCACTGGGCCTCAGAATGCCTGCAGCCCGGGATTCCTTCTAAGCTGTGCCCTATCTGTGCGGGACCCCACTGGAAGTCAGATTGTCCAATTCACATCGCCGCTGCTCCTAAAGCTCCTGGAGCTCAAACCCAATGTTCCTTGGCCAACTCCTTCCCAGATCTTGGCTTAGCGGCTGAAGACTGACACTGCCCGATCGCCTTGGAAGACCCCTGGACCATCATGGATGCCGAGCTTCGGGTAACTCTTACAGTGGAGGGTAAGTCCATTCCCTGTTTAATCAATACGGGGGCTACCCACTCCACATTACCTTCTTTTCAAGGGCCTGTTTTCCTTGCCTCCATAACTGTTGTGGGTATTGACAGCCAGGCTTCAAGACCCCTTAAAACTCCCCAACTCTGGTGCCAACTTGGACAACATTCTTTTATGCACTCTTTTTTAGTTCTCCCCACCTGCCCAGTTCCCTTATTAGGCCGAGACATTTTAACTAAATTATCTGTTTCCCTGACTATTCCTGGACTACAGCCACACCTCATTGCTGCCCTTTTACCCGATTCAAGGCCTCCTTTGAATCCTCCTCTCGTGTCTCCCTCCCTACCTTAATCCAAAAGTATGGGATACCTCTACTCCCTCCTTGGCGACCAATCAGGCACCCCTTACCATCCCATTAAAACCTAATCACCCTTACCCCGCTCAACGCCAGTACCCCATCCCACAACAGGCTTTAAGAGGACTAAAGCCTGTTATCACTCACCTGTTACAGCATGGCCTTTTAAAGCTCACAAATTCTCCTTACAATTCTCCTATCCTACCTGTCCAGAAACCAGACAAATCTTACAGGTTGGTTCAGGATCTTCGCTTTATTAACCAAATTGTCTTACCTATCCAGCCTGTGGTGCCAAACCCATACACTCTCCTATCCTCCATACCTCCCTCCACAACTCATTATTCTGTCCTCGACCTCAAAGATGCTTTCTTCACTATTCCTTTGCACCCCTCATTCCAACCTCTTTTCACTTTCACATGGATTGACCCTGACAGCCACCAATCTCAGCAACCCACCTGGACTGTACTGCCAAGGCTTCAGAGACAGCCCCCATTACTTTAGTCAAGCTCTTTCTCATGATCTACTTTCTTTCCATCCGTTTCTCACCTTATTCAATATATGGACGACCTTCTCCTCTGCAGCCCCTCTTACGAATCTTCCCAACAGGACATCCTCCTGCTCCTTCAACATCTGTTCTCAAAGAAGTATCGCGTATCCCCCTCTAAAGCCCAGATTTCTTCCCCATCCGTTACCGATCTTGGCATAGTCCTTCATCAAAACACAAGTGCTCTCCCTGCTGTGTCCAGCTAATCTCCGAAACCCCAACCCCTTCTACAAAGCAACAACTCCTTTCCTTCCTAGGCGTGGTTGCACACTTTCGCCTTTGGATACCAGGTTTTGCCATCCTAACTAAACCACTATATAAACTCACAAAGGGAAACCTGACTGACCCCACAGACCCTAAGTCCTTTCCCCATTCTTCTTTTTGTTCCTTAAAGACAGCCCTAGAAACAGCTCCCACATTAGCACTCCCTAATTCATCCCAATCCTTCTTCTTACATATGGCTGAAAAACAAGGCTGTGCGGTCGGAGTTCTCTTACACAGGAATCAGGCCCATGACCTGTAGTCTTCCTATCCAAATAACTTAACCTCACAGTTCTAGGCTGGCCCTCATGTCTACGTGCAGTGGCAGCCACCACTTCAATACTTCTAGAGGCCCTCAAGATCACAAACCATTCCCCACTTACTCTCTACAACTCTCATAACTTTCAAAATCTATTTTTCTCCTCACACTTGAAGCATATACTTTCTGCCCGACTCCTTCAACCGTACTCACTATTCATTGAAACTCCTACAATTACCATTATTCCTGGCACAGACTTCAACCCGGCCTCTCACCTTATACCTAGCACCAAACCTGAACCTCGTGACTGTATCTCTCTAATCCATATGGCATTCTCCCCATTTCCCCATATTTCCCTCTTTCCTGTTCCTAATCCAGACTGCGCTTGGTTTACTGATGGTAGTTCTTCAAGGCCCAATCGTTAGTCATCGGCAAGGGCAGGCTATGCTGTAGTGTCTTCCACATCTGTCACTGAAGCTTCCTGCCCTGCCCGCTTCCACTACCTCTCAACGTGCCAAACTTATTGCTTTAACCCGGGCTCTCACCCTTGCAAAGGGACTACATGTCAATATCTACACTAATTCCAAGTATGCTTTCCACATCCTACATCACCATGCTGTTATATGGGCAGAAAGAGGTTTTCTCACCACACAAGGGTCCTCCATCATCAACGCTTCCTTAATAAGAATCCTCCTTAAGGCTGCTCTACTGCCCAAGGAAGCCGGAGTCATTCACCGCAAGGGGCATCAAAGGTCACCAGATCCCACTGCTTGAGGCAACGCTTATGCTGACAATGCAGCAAAAGTAGCAGCTAGTATTCTCACATCTGTCCCTCACGACCAGTTTTTTTCCTTCTCATTTATCACTCCCACCTATTCTCCCACTGAAACTATTACTTATCAATCCCTTCCTACTCAAGGCAAATGGTTCTTGGATCAAGGAAAATTCCTCCTTCCTGCCTCACAGGCTCATTCTATCTTATCATTCTTTCATGACCTTTTTCATGTGGGTTACAAGCCAATGGCCCATCTCTTAGAACCTCTCATTTCTTTTCCATCATGGAAATCCATCCTCAAGGAAATTATTTCTCAGGGTTCCATCTGCTACTCTACCACCCCTCAGGGATATCTCAGGCCCCCTCCCTTTCCGACACATCAAGCTCGAGGATCTGCCCCCACACAAGACTGGCAGATTGACTTTACCCATATGCCCCGACTCAAAAAACTAAGATACCTTTTGGTCTGGGTAGATACATTCACTGGATGGGTAGAGGCCCACAGGGTCTGAGAAGGCCACCGCAGTCATTTCTTCCTGTCAGACATAATTCCTCAGTTTGACCTTCCCACCTCTATACAGTCCGATAACGGACCGGCCTTCATTAGTCAGGTCCCTCAAGCAGTCTCCCAGGCCTTCGGCATCCAGTGGAACCTTCATTCCCCCTACCATCCTAAATCTTCAGGAATGGTAGAAAGAACTAATGGTCTTTTAAAAACACCTCACCAAACTCAGCCTCCAAATTAAAAAAGACTGGACTGTACTTTTACCATTTGCCCTCCTTAGAATTAGAGCCTGTCCTCAAGAAGCTACAGGGTATAGTCCATTTGAACTTTTATATGGATGTACCTTCTTGTTGGGCCTCAATCTCGTGCCAGACACCAGCCCTCTAGGCGACTATCTTCCAGTCCTCCAGCAGGCTAGACAGGAAATTCGCCAGGCTGCTAATCTTCTCTTGTCTACTCCAGATTCCCAGCCATATGAAGACACCCTAGCTGGATGATCAGTTCTTGTTAAGAATCTGATCCCTCAAACTCTATAATCTTGATGGACCAGACCCTACTTAGTCATCTACAGTACCCTAACTGCCGTCCGCCTGCAGGACCCTCCCCATTGGGTTCACCATTCTGGAATAAAGCTGTGTCCATTGGACAGCCAGCCTGATCCCTCCTCTTCCTCTTGGAAGTCACAAGTACTCTCCCCTACTTCCCTTAAACTCACTCGCATTTCTGAAGAACAGTAATAACCCTTATGAGCCTAATACATCCTTTCATCCTATTAGGTCTATTCGTCCTTACCCTACTTTTTGCAACATGGCTTTACGCAGTCACCCCCACTACTTGGACTGCACCCCAAAAACTTGTCATCCCTACTATCTTCTGTCTAGTTATACTCCTATTCACCATTCTCAACTACTCGTAAATGCCCTGCCCTTGTTTACACTGCCGGTTTACACTTTTCCTCCGAACCATCGTAACTGATTATCTTCTGGTTTTTCCTCAAACCGCCACCCTTAACTCTCTCTTGGAGTGGATAGAAGATCTTCAGTGGCAAGGTACACTCCAATTCTTCTATCCTGATGAAGTCCTTTTTTTTAACTTTTCTACTCACTCTTATCCCTGCCCCTATTCTCCAGTCACTCTCTACCTCTCCCTAGTTACCTCCAGCATACTATCAATTGCACCCACTCTCTCCTCACTGCCTCCAATCCTTCTCTAGCAAAGAATTGTTGGCTATGTGTTTCCCTTTCTTCCTGCTCTTACACAGATGTCCCCACTCTATAGGCTGACTGGGCTACCTCTCTTGTCTCCCGGCACCTCCAAACCTCCTTTAATAGCCCCCATCTTTACCTGCCTGAGGAACTTCTTTACTTTCTAGACAGATTTGGTGAGAACTCCCCAGACATTTCACACCAACAAGCTGCCACACTACTCCGCATCTACTTATGGCACCTTTCTCCTTATGTCAATTCCATCCCCCCATATTTGGACCCCTAACCACACAAACAACTATCCCTGTTGCCACTCCTTTATGCATCTTCCAACAACAGCTTACTGGAATCCCTTTAGGCAAACTTCCACCGTCCAAATGTTCCTTTATTCTTTATCTCCAGAACCCAGTCACGCACATTAACAAACAGATGGGAGCATTCCAACTTCGCATTACTGATAAGCCCTCTATCATTATTGACAAACTAAAAAACATTAGCAGTCACTATTGTTTAAGAAGACACCTACTCTGCATCTCACTCAATCCTTGGCTTTGCTCCCCCTGCTCATCTGACTCTCTGCCCAGCACCTCCTCTTGCTTGCTTATATCCAGCCCCATTGTGTCCGAAATTGGTGGGTTCTTGGTCTCACTAACTTCAAGAATGAAGCCGCGGACCCTCGTAGTGAGTGTTACAGTTCTTAAAGGTGGTGTGTCCAGAGTTTGTTCCTTCTGATGTTCGGACGTGTTTGGAGTTTCTTTCTTCTGGCGGGTTCGTGGTCTCGCTGGCTTCAGGAGTGAAGCTGCAGGCCTTCGCGGTGAGTGTTACAGCTCTTAAGGCGGCACCTCTGGAGTTGTTCGCTCCTCCCGTCTGGAGTTGTTCATTCCTGCTGGTGGGTTCATGGTCTTGCTGGCCTCAGGAGTGAAGCTGCAGACCTTCCCGGTGAGTGTTAAAGCTCATAAAGGCAGTATGGACCCAAAGAGTGAGCAGCAGCAAGATTTATTGCAAAAAGCAAAAGAACAAAGTTTCCACAGTGTGGAAGGGGACAGGAGCAGGTTGCCTGCTGGCTGGCACAGCCTGCTTTTATTCCCTTATCTGGCCCCACCCACATCCTGCTGATTGGTCCATTTTACAGAGAGCTGATTAGTCCATTTTACAGAGAGCTGATTGGTCCGTTTTGACAGGGTGCTGATTGGTGCGTTTACAATCCCTGAGCTAGACAGAGTGCTGACTGGTGCATTTACAATCCTCTAGCTAGACACCAAAGTTCTCCAAGTCCCCACTACATTAGCTAGACACAGAGCACTGATTGGTGCATTTACAAACCTTGAGCTAGACACAGGGTGCTGACTGGTGCATTTACAATCCTTTAGCTAGAAACAAAAGTTCTCCAAGTCCCCACTAGATTAGCTAGACACAGAGCACTGACTGGTGCATTTACAAACCTTTAGCTAGACACAGAGTGCTGAATGGTGCATTTACAATCCTTTAGCTAGACATAAAAGTTCTCCACGTCCCCACTAGATTAGCTAGATACAGAGTGCTGATTGGCGCATATACAATCCCTGAGCTAGACACAGAGTGCTGATTGGTACATTTACAATCCTGTAGCTAGACATAAAAGTTCTCCAAGACCCCACCCGACTCAGGAGCCCAGCTGGCTTTGCCTAGTGGACCCAGCACCAGGGCTGCGGGCAGAGCTGCTCGTCAGTCCCAAGCTGCGCGCCTGCACTCCTCAGCCCTTGGGTGGTCGATGGGACCAGGCGCCGCAGAGCAGGGGGTGGCACCCATTGGGGAGGCTCGGGCCGCGTGGGAGCCCACTGTGGGGGGGGGCTCGGGCATGGCGGGCTGCAGGTCCCCAGCTCTGCCCCATGGAGAGGCAGCTGAGGCCTGGTGAGAATTCGAGCGTGGCATGGGCAGGCCGGCAGTGCTGGGGGAACCAGCGCCTCCTCCACAGCTGCCGGCACGGGTGTTAAGCCCCTTACTGCCCAGGGCCGGCAGCACCAGCCGGTCACTCCGAGTGTGGGGCCCACCAAGCCCACGCCCACCCGGAACTTGTGCTGGCCGCACGAGCGCTGAGCGCAGCCCCTGTTCCTGCCCACCCCTCTCCCTCCACAACTCCCTACAAGCAGAGGAAGCTGGCTCCAGCCTCAGCCAGCCCTGAGAGGGGCTCCCACAGTGCAGCGGCGGGCTGAAGGGCTCCTCAAGCGTGGCCAGAGCAGATGCCGAGGAGGCGGTGAGAGCGAGAGAGGGCCGCCAGCACGTTGTCACCTCTCACGGTGAATAGCAGTGAAAGGTTATTCATAGACACTATGTGTTTTCTCATACACCATGAGAACAGAACCTCTCCCTCTACGCAGTTGCAACATCAGTTCCCATTACAACCTCTAATGGCTGCTGCCCTTGCTGGATCTCTAGGATTTGGGGTGCAGGACTCCTCTTGCAGTACACCCTCTCACCTTTTCACTTTACATTTCCAGTTCTGACTGACACAAGGTCTCTTCTTTTTATGTGCCTCTTCCACCCACATGTGCCTACCCGCCAACTGGAAGGGCACATGTACTCTAGTCTTCCTTACCCCCAAAATCCAGCTTGCAGATGGGAATGAACAACTGCCTGTCTCCCTCATGACACCAACACGACAAAAAGAGTCATCCCAGTAATCCCTTTACTTGTGGATCTAGGACTTTCTGCCTCCACTACCAGACTTGGAACTGGAATAGCAGGCATCTCAACCTCTGTCACAACATTCCGCAGCCTCTCCAATGACTTCTCTGCTAGCATTACAGACATATCACAAACTTTATCTGTCCTCCAAGCTCAGGTTGACTCTTTAGCCGCAGCTGTCCTCTAGAACCGCCGAGGCCTTGATTTACTCACTGCTGAAAAAGGAGGACTCTGTATATTTCTTAATGAAAAGTGTTGTTTTTACTTAAATTAATCTGGCTTGGTATATAACATCAAAAAACTCAAAGACAGAGCTCAAAAACTCACTAATCAGGCAACTAATTACACTGGACCCACCTGGCTACTCTCTAACTGAGTATCCTGGCTTCTTCCAATTGTTAGTCCTCTAATACCTATCTTCCTCCTTCTCTTCTTACTCAGGCCTTGGGTCTTCCGATTAATCTCTCAATTCCTACGAAACTGCATCCAGGCTATCACTAATCACTCTACACAACAAATGCTGCTTTTAACTCTACAATATCACCCCTTACCCCAACATCTTACTTCAGTCTAATCTCTCCCACTTAGGTTCCCGTGCCGCCCCTAATCCAGCTCAAAGCAGCCCTGAGAAACCTCACCCATCACCCCTCCATACCGCCCCCAAAATTTTCACCCCAAGTTTTCACTACTCTTTTTCATTTTATTTCTTCATTATTAACATAAAAAGACAGGAATGTAAGGTCCTCTGAGCTGGGCACACCATGGTCAAGTCATGGTGACATTCCCCCAGTCCTTGTGATAATGTACTTGGTGATATTCCCCATCCTTGCAAATGTACTTTGTTAACATTCCTCCCTGCCCTTGTGAATGTACTTTGTAACATTCCTCCCCACCAACCCTTGTGACAATACACCCTCCCTGCCCTTGTGAAAGTATGTTACTTTGTAACATCCTCCTCACCCTTGTGAATGTATTTTGTAACATCCTCCCAGCCCTTGAGAATGTACTTTGTAATATCCATCCCCTGCCGGCAAAAAATTGCTCCTAACTCCACCACCTATCCCAAACCTATAAGAACCAATGATAATCCCACCACCATTCACTGACTCCTTTCCCAGACTCAGCCTACCTGCATCCAAGTGAATAAATAGCCTTGTTGCTCACACTAAGCCTGCTCAGATGGTCTCTTATATGGATGCAGGTAACACATACCACCTGATTTCATGATTTATTATAAAGCTACAGTAATCAGGATAATGTGGTATGGTATCAAGATAGAAAAATAAGTGAAACAAAAAGTTGGGAAATATACCCACAAATACACTGTCAATTAAATTCTAATAAAGGTGCAAAGGCAATCCAGAAGAGAAAAAATATTTTCATCAACAAATGGTGCTGGAACAATTGAGGATGCACAGGCAAAAAGATAAAATTAGATCCACACCTCATATCATATACAAAAATTGGTTTAAATAGATCACACACCTAAATAGATCATAGTAAAAGCTAAAACTGTAAAACTTCCAGAAAAAAAAATTAAGAAAATTATTTGCAACCTTGGGTTAATAGCAGATTTTACATATGACCCCCAAAACATAGTCCATTCAGGGAAAAAAATGATAAACTTAACATCAAAATTAAGTACTTCTGCTCTTTGAAACACAATTAAGAGGGAAAATACAATGCACAAATAGGGAGAAAATATTTGCAAATTATATCCCTGTTAAAGGACTTACATATAGCATACAAGAACTTTTGAAGCACATACAGAACTTTTGAAGCACAAAATAAGAATTTTATTATCAAAAATGGGTCAAAGGCTCAGAGACACTTCATAAAAGATATGAATTCTCATAGACTGCCGGTGAGAATATAAAATGATACAGCTTTGGAGAAGAGTAAGGCACTTTCTTAAAGGTTAAACATGCATCGACCATATAACTTATTGCTAGGTATTTTTCAAAATATATGAAAGTATGTATTCACATAAACACGTACAAAATCTAGCCATCTACTCCTACATATTATGCAGAGAGATGAAAGTATATGACCATATACCTTGTACACAAATGTCCATAACAACATTCTTTGCAAAATAGTCAATAACAGTCAACAACTCAAATGTCCATCAGCAGTTGAATGCTAAACAAATAGTGGAACATCCATATAAACTAACAATAAAATCCTAAACCCCAATCGACTAAATGGACCCCCTCTTGGCCAGGGGCACCCCAGAGAAACCTTGAAAACTGAGTTCCCAGCCATGATGGGAAGGGAGGTCAGACATGCCTTGTTATATCCCCTCCATTGTGAAGTTTAGACACAACTTATGAGTATTAATTGTTTTTTAAAACAGAGATCATAAGACTGACAAAACAGACCCTTTGTGGCAATAAGATGCCAAATTATAAATAAGACCTAAGGCCATGCAAGGCAAGGATTAAGTCACACCTGCAGACCAACAATGTCACTGAACAGGTCATTTTATTGTAACTGACTTGGACATAGCATTCTTAACTTAAACATTCCTTTCTGCTGATTCCAAATTTTCGACAGAGCCTTACTCCTTTAACCAATTAAGGTTCTCTGGATCCACCTATAATCTATAACCCCCTGCTTCAAGACATCCTGCCTTTTTGGGCTGAACTAATTGTATCCCTTCCACATACTGATTTGTGTCTTTGCCTCTTAACTCCTGCCTCCCTGAAATATATAAAACCAAACTGTAGCCCAACCACCTTAGGGCCACTTACTCAAGGCTTCCTGAATTTGTCTTTTCCCCTGGCCATGGTTATTCATACTGGCTCAGAATAAATCTCTTTAAGATATTTTACAGAGTTTGGTTTTCCTGTTAACATCCATGAGAGAACACTGCATTAAGAAGAAATGAAATATTGATACACATAACACGGATAAACCTCAAAATAATTTTACTGAGTGCAAGAAGCTGAATGAGAAAAGAGTACATACTGTATGTTTCACCTTACACAAAAATTTTATAACATGTAAACTAATCTACATTGATGAAAAATGAGTAATGGCCTGGGACCAAGGAAGGGAGCAGGGAACTATGAGAGGGAAAGTTTACAAAGTGGCATGAGGAAACTTTTTCTAGTGATAGAGCTTATTATCTTTGTAATACTGGTGGTTTTACATGTGTTTATATATGCCAAAGCTTATCAAACTGTATACTATAAATCGTGCTGTTCAGTGTATGTCAGTTATACTTCAATAAAGTTTTAAAAATAAATAAAAATGCAAGTCAAATTAATGGGATAAAATGGTTAACAGACAGCTTGCATCCTGGATGTAGAAAGATTCTTATAGAATAATAATGAAACTGCCTCTGCAAAGTTATAACCATAAGAAAATTATGACAGTGAAAGAGATCTGATCTAACCAATACCCAGCTTTCCTTTAACCTCTAAACTGCCCTCAATCATTCCTTGGCCCCGGCCACCCTAACTTTAGGAAACATTTATAGTTTAAATGATAACTAAACTGCTTTTGTAAAGCTAATGAAAGAAAGACCACCAGATTACAAGGATGAGGAGCTGAATTCTGCTAAGCTGTAGACATAAATGATTACCAGTCATTATTCCAAAAGTCACAAGATTTGCAACTCCCTCAATTACTCCTGCAAGTAACAGTGCTATTGTAGAATTTGAGATTGGCCTATTGAGATGTCTTTTCAGGTTTTTAGCATTTCTGATGATTCATCAGTGGCCACCAGGACCCACAGACCTCCTGCTAACCAGTCCTGTGGCTTCACCCAGAATCCAGATTCCCTGGCCCACCAAACTATCCTTAAAAAATCCTAACCTCCAAATTTTGGGAGAGATGAATTTGAGTAATAACTCCATCTCCCACAGGGCGTGGCCAGCCTTGTGTCAATTAAACTCTTTATTACAATGCCATGGTCTCAGTGAATTGGTTTTGTCTGTACAGGTGGGCAGGAAGAATCCACTGGACAGTTACAGTAATAACAGGAGTTTAACAACAGGCACACAAAATTTAAGGGATACTTTATTAAAGAAAAAACAGAAAGCAATGGCCAATAAGCATAAGGGCATAAGGAAAAGTGTTCAACATCATTATTCATCAAAAACATGAAAATTAAAACTGGCACACACATATGTGGATATTTGATTTACATAAAAGGTGGCACTAAATGAGTGAGAAAAGGACATCTAGGTATCCCTATGGAAAACGACGCAACATTATACCATACCCAAAACTCAATTCCAGGTAGACTACAGATTTAACTGTGAAAGGAAAACAAGAAAAGTTCTAGAAAATAAGAAAAAAAAAAAACTATACATACATACATACATACATACATACATACATACATACATACATATATATCTCCATGGCCTTGTGAAAGCAAAGTATCTTGAGCCTCCCAAATCACTAAGCTAAAGGGAAAAGTCAAGCTGGAAACTGCTTAGGGCAAAGCTGCCTCCCATTCTATTCAAAGTCACCCCTCTGCTCACTGAGATAAATGCATACCTGATTGCCTCCTTTGGAGGGGCTAATCAGAAACTCAAAAAAAAACAAAAATGCAACCAGCTGGGCACAGTGGCTCACACCTGTAATCCCAGCATTTTGGGAGGCCGAGGTGGATGGATCACCTGAGGTCACGAGTTCGAGACTAGCCTGGCCAAGATGGTGAAACCCCGTCTCTACTAAAAATATAAAAATTAGCTGGGTGTGGTGGCGGGCACCTGTAATCCCAGCTACTGGGGAGGCTGAGGCAGGAGAATAGCTTGAACCCATGAGGTGGAGGGTGCAGTGAGCCAAGATCGCGCCATTGCACCCCAGCCTGGGCGGCAAGAGCGAAACTCCGTCCCCAAAAAACAAACAAAAAAAGCAACCATTTGTCTCTTATCTACCTATGACCTGGAAGCCCCCTCTCTGTTTCAAGTAGTCCTGCCTTTCCAGACTGAACCAATGCTGATCTTACATATGTTGATTGAGGTCTTATGTCTCCCTAAAACGTATAAAACAAAATTGTGCTCTGACCACCTTGAGCACATGTCATGAGGACCTCCTGAGGCTGTGTCACAGGCACACGTCCTCAGCCTTGGCAAAATAAACTTTCTAAATGAACTAAGACCTGTCTCAGATTTTTGGGGTTCACAACCTCAGAAACAGGAAAGACAAATTTTTCTACATTAGAATTAAGAGCTCATGTTCATCCAAAGACGTTACTAACAGAATGAATACGACAATGAATAAGACAGAGTGGGGAAAAGTATTTCCAACAAAAATAACCAAGCAAGGTTTCTTATTCAGAATATATAAAAAATTTCTACATCTCAAAAACAAAAAGACAACTTATTAGGAAAATGAGGAACAGACCTGAGAAGTCACTTTACAAAAAAGGTCATTCTAGGCTGGGTATGGAGGCTCAAGCCTCTAATCCCAGCACTTTGGGAAGCCAAGGCAGGTGGATTACTTGAGGCCAGCAGTGGTGAAACCCTGTCTCTACTAAAAATACAAAATTTAGTTGGGCGTGGTGTCACGCACCTGTGGTCCCATCTACTTGGGAGGCTTAGGCAGGAGAATTGCTTGAACCTGGGAGGTGGAGGTTGCAGTGGGCCAAAATTGTGCCACTGCACTCCAGCCTGGGTGACAAAGTAAGACTCTATCTTAAAAAAAAAAAGTCATTCTAATGAAAATGTATTCATCGGCAGTCATTAAAATGCAAATCAAAACTATAAAATTGAAAAGAATGACTGAAATTAAGCAGCCAAAAACTTTAAAGTAAAAAGACTTGTATTACTAAGTGTTGGTTAGAATGTGGAACAATGGGAACTCTCACACACCACTGGTGGGTGTGTAAATTAGTGCATCAATTTGGAATGCAACTTGGAATTAACAAAGCTTAATGTAGGCACACCCTGTTGAGACAGTCAAGTGTAAAGGGGTTCCCAGAAAAATTCTAACTGGCCTGCACACTGGGAGAAGCACACACAGGGGTGGAGCCACAGAAGTCTGTGCCCTTTGCTGTGAGGAAGAGCCTGGCCCCTCCTCTTCCTGCATGGTACCTGGGATTCAATCTGCCAGGTGGGAAGCATACTAGCAGAAATTGGTTTTGCAGAGAATTCTTGTTTCCCCTTTTTCCTTTTTGCCCAATAGATTCCATTATTCTCATCCTTCAAAGTGTCTGTGAGCCTAGTATTTCATGGCTGTGTAACAAGACCCGGCTCTTAGCTGAACTAAAAGGAAGTCCTACAACACTGTGAGCCAACAATTCCTTGTTAAGTATATACAACAGAAATGTATCCACATGTGCATCTAATATACAAAAATGTTCACAGCTGCATTACTTATAATAACCCTCAACTAAGGTATACATATCCACAGGCCAAAACTCTTCAGAGATACAAGACTGATTAAAATTCAGGAAACTGGTGTTGAGGAAAAGTAAGAGAGTAGATTTAAGAAAAGGCATGGAAGCTGCTTCTAGGTAATGACAATGTTCAATTTCTTGATATGGGTAGTGATTAGACAAACATTCAATGTATAGTAACTCACTAACATGTAGATTTATGTTATCTGCACTTTTCCCCATATTATATTTCTCAATAAAAGAGCTAAAACTAGAGAGTTGTTGGAACTCAGAAAACAATACTCCAAAATATGGTGCTTTGGCACGGTGAGTTCTTTAAAGGATATTGAAACGACTCAAAGGCAAAGTCTCTGACCTTCTCTTGCCCCTCTTTCTCCCTCAAAGTGAGTAACAGAAACCTCTTTCCCAAGGTGAGTCATAGAAAGTAGAACTCCTCTTCCCCAAAGGAAGCCATAAAACCTAGAAATGTTACTCTCCTTTCTCCCTTGAAAACCCTCATTCCAGAGGGGTCCTGCCCCCTACCTGGAAGGAAGGAATGCTACATAGGCCAAGAAAAATCTGGAAAGGCCTTGCTGGGTTTGCTCCCTCAGTCTGTTTAGAGTAAAGATCTTAGGTCCACAAGGTATTTCCTTATGGACAAATCATGAGGGAGCAATGTAGCTTTTTTTTTTTTTTAAATTTTTGTAGCTATCTTATTTAGGAATAAAATGGGAGGCAGTTTTGCTGGATGCTGTTCCCAGCTTGACTTTTCTCTTTGACTTAGTGATTTGGGGGTCCTGAGATTTATTTTCCTCTCATAAACTCATTCACACTATTTTTGCTTCCCCTCCCAACAACTCTAAGCTCTGCTGGTTTGGAGGCTTAGTGTACAAAAGAGTATTGCTTCTACCAGTAAACACAACAATGGTTCCACTGAACTAGAGACTTCTACCTAGTCATTAAACCAACAGGCAGCAAAAGAGGTTAGTCTACTGGCCCACGTGACTGATTCCAATTAGCAGAGGAAAAATGGGTTACTGCACAAAATGTAGGCAAGAAAGACTACATCTGGAACTTAGGCCATTCTCTTATGCTCCTGTTAGTATTGCCATGCCCACTATTAAAGATTAATGGGGCCAGGTGCGGTGGCTCACACTGTAGGGTGGCTCACACTGTAATCCCAGCACTTTGGGAGGCCAACGCAGGTGGATCACTTGAGGTCAAGAGGTCGAGACCAGCCTGGCCAACATGGTGAAACCTCATCTCTACTAAGAATACAAAAATTAGCCAGGTGTGGTGGTGCACACCTACAGTCCTAGCTACTTGGGATGCTGAAGCAGAGGGATCACTTGAACCTGGGAGGCAGAGGTTGAGGTGAGCCGAGACTGAGCCACCGCACTCCAGCCTTGGCAACAGAGTGAGACTCCGTCTTAAAAAACAACAACAACAACAACAAAAACAATAAAGATTAATGGAAAACAGCCAGGCGAGGTGGCTCACACCTGTAATCCTAGCACTCTGGGAGGCCAAGGGAGGCAGATCACTTGAGGTCAAGAGTTTGAGACCAGCCTGGCCAACATGGTACCCTGTCTCCACAAAAAGTATAAAAATTAGCCGGGCATGGTGGTGCATGCCTGTAATCCCAGCTACTTGGGAGACTGAGACAGGAGAATTGCCAGAACCCGGGAGGCAGAGATTGCAGTGTACTGGGATCACATCACTGCATTCCAACCTGGGTGACAGAGTGAGACTCTGTCTTAAAAAAAAAAAGGTTAATGAAAAACTACAGCAACTAAGAAAAAGGCAGGATAGTTGAAGACACATCAAAATTAAAGTTTTGTTCCAATCACAAAGTAAAGGACACAGAACAGCTGAAGTTTTAGTTAAGGCAAGAAATACTGAATGGGTAGTGAAAGACAGAGATATGAACTATAGCCTTGTGTCCCATTATAGAAACAAAGACTGTAGTAAGTAGCTTTTTGCATTTTCTCTTTGCTTACTATATATATAGTATAAGATATTGAAGGTAAACTTTATAAGGTAGTCTTTAGTTAACAGAATATTCAGAGGCACTATGACAGATTACATACAAATATAGCTAGCAATGATTGTTGTTGTGTGTCTCCTTATTTGGGGGAGAGGGTAAGAACTCCATTTGTATAAAGGATAGTTTTGTCTTGTTACGTAGACACAGATTGTTGAATGGAATTTCAAGTGTGTTTAGAAGCATTCATAAGGAAGCTGAGCAGCCAGGGGAGTGGACTGTGACAGTTATTTACTGCCTCTCCAAACATACTGGCTCTCAGCTTCAAATCTACCCTTTATTGCCATACTTTGTGATAAGGATGAGAATTGTGTAAATGTTCTCCTTTGCTAGCTGAAAATGTTACAGTTTTGTCAGCAGAGGGTGCTAGAGTAACACTGCAGTAAGAAAGTCTTTCCTCTGCAATTGGAGGGCTTCTGTTTCCTGTCCCCAGCTTCAGGGGCCATCTGCATCCTGGTAAGGGGGGTCTCCTAAGTGCCACTCCTGGTCAGCAGTTCCCTTCCCCTTCCTGCCAGCCTTGACCAGACAACTGTGGACCAGCTCTGTCCCAGAGCAACCCAGTGAATGTCTCTGCTATTTATTGGGCTGCAACTAACATTCTTCAACCAAGTCTCAACTCTAGTCGTGAGGAAGGGGTCTGTCTCCCTTTCAAGTTTGTTTTGTCTTTGGGAACTCGCCCTCAGCTGTAGGGTATTCTGCTTTATCCTTCTTAGTAGCTAATCCCTTGAACTAGTTTAATTTTAAAATTAAACTTTACCTGCTCAGGCCAGGTACAGTGGCTCATGTCTGTAATCACAGCACTGTAATGCCCAAGGCGGGCAGATCACTTGAGGTCAGGAGCCTGAGACCAGTCTAGCCAACATGGTGAAACCCTGTCTTTACTAAAAATACAAAAATTAGCTGGGTGTGGTGGCACACACCTGTAATCCCAGCTATTCGGAAGGCTAAGGCAGAATTGCTTGAACCCAGAAGGCGCAGGTTGCAGTGAGCCAAGATCATGCCACTGCCCTCCAGCCTGGGCAACAGCGACTCTGTCTCAAATTTAAAAAATCATAATAATAAAAAAATCAAACTTCACTTGTTCCAATTACGGTATGGTTTCTGTATTCTGACTGAAGAAGCCAAAAATTACTTGATGCTTAATATATGCTAAGCATTATTCCAGGTAGTTTATTTGTTATAGTAACTCACAAATCCTAAAAATGAACCTACAATAGCCTATTATAAATCTTTCACACAAAAGATAAATTCCCTAATCAGTATTATTCTTTAGAATAAAGATTAAACTTCCATAATCATGTTTCCTGTGAAGTTTATGATTACATTAATGCATACCATGATTTTTCTAAAATCTCAAACATTCTGATTATTTACTTAAAAAGATAAACTTCATTGTCTTGATCACAAACTAGTAGTGAATTATTGCAGTTGATTAAGGGCTATTAAAAGTCCTCATAACAAAGATCTTGACCATTCAGAACAGCAGGAGTGTTCAACAGAAAAATACTAATAATCTTAAAATATAACCATAGGCAATATCAATCCAGCATATTCAGTTCTCAGGGACTAACAATACAAATTCATTAATGTGAGTTTCACAAATACAGGGAAAAGGAACAATGGCCAAAAAGCTCAAAAAAAGCCAAGAACTACTATATATTTATAAATACAGTCAACTATATGTGTTATTCAACTGGTCAATTAGCACATTTCATTTAACCAAAGGCCAATGATGTAAAGTTTCAGGAGTCAAGGCATGACTTCTAAAATGATATTTAAATTGAGATGTCCCATATCCTGATATTTATGTTAAATAGTTATGCCACTAAATTAACTACAATTGGAAGTCTTACTTTAAAAGCCTAGAAATTTCTTCTCAACATTTTGGGAAAAAAGTCACAAAAAATTACATTTTTATGTCACTAAAGCATACGTTGAGGCCCTAAAATCTTAATAATTACTAACAGAATTCCACAACTGACCTTCTTTCTACCACCCTTCTCTTTTACCTAATAGTTAAAATAATTAACAATTACTTCTAACAGCCAGGCACTGTTCTAAGAGCTTTATGTAGAGTAAGTCATTTATTTCTCAGAACTAGCTTATGCTATGAAAGAGGTTGTATTATTATGCTCATTTTACAAATGAGCAAAGTAAGGCACAAAGAAATTAAGTAATCTGCCCAAGAAACAGTAGAGCAGATATGAACTCATGAAGTCTGGCTCCAGAGTGTGAACCCTTATAGACTTCTGTTGAGAACATTTGTAGTAGTTTCCTAACACCTCATGACAATACTTAAGTAGGTACCATTATTATTCCCATTTGTCAGCCAAGAAAACTAAAATTTGTCCAAAGTCACATAACTAGTGATGGAATCAGAATTTTAATCTAGTTGATTTACTCCAAAAACCAATTTCTTAACTATTATATCACCTCTCTACACCCAATAACAGCAATGAATCAAAAACCAATTAGATAAATCAGATCAAATCGTACATAAAACTAATTTTTTTTTCTTTGGAGATGGAGTTTCGCTCTTGTTGCCCAGGCTGGAGTGTAATGGCGTGGTCTCAGCTCACGGCAACCTCCACCTCCCAGGTTCAAGCGAGTCTCCTGCCTCAGCCTTCTGAGTAGCTGGAATTACAGGTATGCGCCACCACACCTAGCTAATTTTGTATTTTAATAGAGACGGGGTTTCTCCACATTGGTCAGACTAGTCTCGAACTCCCGACCTCAGGTGATCCGCCCGCATCAGTCTCCCAAAGTGCTGGGATTACAGGTGTGAGCCACCGTGCCCAGCCCCATAAAACTAATTTTCAGACAGGAAGAAGATATCATGTCATGGTGTAAGCTTACAGATTATACCCTCAGAAATAACAAAAGATTAACTGATTCCTGCCAAGTATTTCCAATGGTGCCAACAAGCAAAGACATTTAAAAGATGTATCACTTACTGAAAGAAAATATACATCCTATACAAAATAGTTTAACATTAACTTTGCCTGCCATATAGCAAATGTAAACGTACCTGCAAGGAGGCAAGACCATGGAGCCTTTCACAAGCACAGATCCAGAAAGTAGGATATACCAACATCTGGCAATCGTTTCTGAACTGTTTAAATAAATAAGTAAATAAATGAGCAAAACAACACACATGTTCATATGTATATGAATTCAATAAGAAATATATTCTGATAATAGTACAAATAATTAAAAATGAAGTAACACTACCTGGAAATTTGGAATATTTTGCCTGTTGCCTAAGGTTTTATACAGACCACGTTTATGTGAAATAAAAGTATAATCACTATCTTAAGATACATACTATAAAACACCAATACTTAAAGTGAATAAAGTATTTTGGAAATACATTTTAGCAAAAAACAACAATCATTGTTTATACTGTTCCTTGAAATAAATTTCAGTTTAATTAAAGCTTTAAAGCTAAGAAAGCAATTAAGAAACATGTTTCCTAGAAAAAAAGAAAACAGAAGAATTGTATCACACTTGTAGAAGAAAATAACATTTAATTCTGAAGTATATTAGCACATACAAGTTAAAACTTGAATACAACAAAAAGATGAACAGAAAATAATTTTCAAATGTGATACAATTAAAGATAATACCTGTAATAGGTATCAGTACTCACAGAAATGCATTACTATTTCAAGTAGTAAATGAACAGAAGATTAAAACAGACAATTCTTAACAGCTACACAGAACACAGAGTCACTAGTAAACAGAAAATGCAAATGAAAACAACTCTAAAATACTAACCAAATCCACATATAGTATCCATTTTACAGGGGCTGTGATAAAAATTTATTCACTGCTTACTAATACTACAAATCAAAATCACCAAAACCCTTTTTCCAAATCAATATAGGAATCTTCAGCACAAGCCACAAGGATGTCATAACCTTTAGCTCCACAATGTTATCCCAAGGAATTTACCACAGAGAAATCATTCTTATTCTTCACAACAAAGTTTCAGATGAAGTTTTTCTCACTGCCTATGTTTTCTAATTTTGCTATAATTATATGTGCAATAATAGAAATACAAATTATTAGTAATAGTGGGGCACTGCTACAAAGATACCTGAAAATGTAGAAGTGACTTTGGAACTGGGTAACGGGCAGAGGCTGGAATGGTTTGGAGGACTCAGAAAAAGACAGAAAAGATGTGGAAAAGTTTGGAACTTCCTAGAGACTTGTTGAATGCTTTTGACCAAAATACTGATAAGTGATATAAACAATGAAGTCCAGGCTGAGGTGATCTCAGATGGAGATGAGGAACTTACTGGAAACTGGAGTAAAGGTCACTCTTGCTATGCTTTAGCAATTAGACTGGTGGCATTTTGCCCCTGCCCTACAGATCTATGGAACTTAGAACTTGAGACATGATTTAGGGTATCTGGGAGAAGAAATTTCTAAGCAGCAAAGCATTCAAGAGGTGATCTGATTGTTTCTAAAAGTGTACGTTCATATGCATGAACAAAGAGATTATCTGAAACTGGAACTTATATTTTAAAGGGAAGCAGAGCATAAAAGTTTAGAAAATTTGCAGCCTGATAATGTGGTAGAAAAGAAAACCCCATTCTCTGGGGAGAAATTCAAGCCCGCTGCAGAAATGTGCACAAAAGGAGCCAAATGTTAATAGCCAACACAATGGGGAAAATGTTTCCAGGGCATTTCAGAGTCTTTCAAGGCAGCCTCTCCTATCACAGGCCCAGAGGCCAACCAAAAATGATTCATGGGCTGGGCCCAGGACCCTGCTACTCTGTGTAGCCTCAGGACATGGTACCCTGCATCCCAGCTGCTCCAGCTCCATCTGGGGGCAGATTTACCGCATGCTGTTCTCATGATAGTGAGCTCTCACAAGATTTGCTAGTTTAAAACTGTGTGGCCAAAAGGGGCCAACAGTATAGCTCAAGCCATTGAATCAGAGGCTGCAAGCCTCAAGCCTTGGCGGCTTCCACATGGTGTTGGGCCTGCGGGTACGCAGAGGTCAAAAGTTGAGGTTTGGGAATCTCTGCCCAGATTTCAGAGGATGTATGGAAATGCCTGGATGTCCAGGAAGAAGTGTGCTGTAGAGGCAGAGCCCTCATGGAGAACCTCCACTAGGGCAGTGCAGAGGGAAAATGTGGGGTTGGAGCCCCCACACAGAGTCCCCACTGGGGCACTATCTAGTGGAGCTGCGAAAAGGGGGCCATTGTCCTTCAGACCCCAGAATGGTAGAACCACAGTTTGCACTAGGAGCCTAGAAAAGCCACAGGCACTCAACGCCAGCCCATGAAGGTAGCCACAGGGGCTGTACCCTGCAGAGCCACAGGGGCAGAGCTGCTCAAGGCCTTGGGAGCCCACCACTTGCCTCAGGGTGCCCTGGATGTGAGACATGGAGTCAACGGAGGTTATTTGGAAGCTTTAAGATTTAATGACTGCCCTGCTGGGTTTCGGACTAGCATGGGACCTGTAGCCCCTTTATTTTGGCCAATTTCTACCATTTGGAACAGGAGCATTTACCCCATGCCTGTATCTCCATTGTATTTTGGAAGTAACTTGTTTTTGATTTTACAGGCTCATAGGTGGAAGGGACTTCCCATGTCTCAGATGAGACTTTGGACTTGGACTTTTAAGTTAATGCTGGATTGAGTTAAGACTTTGGGGGACTGCTGGGAAGGCATGATTGGTTTTCAAATGTGAGAAGGACATGAGATTTGGGAGGGGCCAGTGGTGGAATAATATGGTTTGGCTCTATGTCCCCACTCAAATCTCATGTTGAATTGTAATCCTCATGTGTCAGGGGAGGGACCTGGTGGGAGGCGACTGGATCATGGGGACAGATTTTCCCCCATGCTGTTCTCATGACAGTGAGTTCCACAAGATCTGATGGTTTAAGTGTGGCATTTCCCCCCATCGCATTCTCTCTCTGTCTCCTGCTCACCGTGGTAAGGAGTGCTTGTTTCCCCTTCACCTTCTGCTGTGATTGTAAGTTTCCTAAGACCTCCCACTCATGCTTCCTGTGAAGCCTGTGGAACTGTGAGTAAATTAAACCTCTTTTCTTCACAAATTACCCAGTCTCAGGTAGTTCTTTATGACAGCGTGAGAATGGAGTAATACAGAGACCAAAGTTAATTTGCTATCAGCTTAAAATAGTGCATTATAACAAGAGTCTTTATGCTAGCTCTATAGTAAACATAAAGTAAGTACAGCAGATACACAAAGGAGAAAGAGAAAGGAAACAAAGTATAGCACCACAGTGAGCCACAAAACCACAGAGATGAACAAGAGAGAAAGAAGGCTACAGAAAAAAAAATCTATAAAACAACCAGAAAACCATTAACACAAAGGCAGGAATAAATCCTTACCTATAAATAACAGCCTTGAATGTAACTGGGTAAGCTCCTCCAATTAATAGATATAGAATGGCTGAATGGATAATAAAACCCAAATGTATGCTGCGTATAACAGACTCACCTCACTGTTAAAGACATAGATTGAAAGTTAAGGGACAGAGGTTGGGTGCAGTGGCTTATGCCTGTAATCCTAGCACTTTGGGAGGCTGAGACAGGCAGATCACTTGAGGTCAGGAGTTCAAGACCAGCCTGGCCAACATGGCGAAACCCTGTCTCTACTAAAAAATACAAAAATTAGCTGGGTGTGGTGGTACGCGCCTGTAATACCAGCTACTTGGGAGGCTGAAGCACAAGAATCGCTTGAACACAGGAGGCAGAGGGTGCAGTGAGCCAAGGTCGCACCACTGTGCTCCACCCTGGGGAGCAGTGCGAGACTCCATCATATAAAAAAAAAAAAAAAAGTTAAAGGATAGAAAAAGACATCCATGCAAATGGAAAGCCAAAGCAAACAGGAGTAGCCATGCTTACTTTAAGTCAAAAACTGTAAAAAGAGACAGAAAAGGTGATTATATAATGATAAAGGGATCAATTCAACAGGAAGATATAACAATTACATTATTTATAATATATATTATATAATCATTATATAATATATATTTGTGTCTCATATATATATTTACAGTATATATTAACACACACACCCCAAACACTGGAGTGCCCAAGCTTGTAAAGCAAATATCATTAGATATAAAGGGAGAGACAGACTATAATAGAGTAATAGCAGGGAATGCAAATACCCTACTTTCAGCAATGGACAGATCGATAGACCTCAAAATATACTACAAAGCTACTGCAACCAAAAAAGCATGGTACTGACATAAAAACAGACCAATAGAGCAGAATGGATATCCCAGAATTAAACAGACAACTGATTTTCAAAAAAGGTGCCAAAGACACTTAGAAAATGTATATCTCCTTGCAGAAGAATAAGACTAAACTCCTACCTCTCACTATATACAAAAATCAACTCAAAATGGATTAAAGACTTAAATGTGAAACCTGAAACCACGAAATCTACTGGAAGAAAATAGGGGAAAATGCTATACAACACTGTGCTAGGCAAGGATTTTTAAAGCGAAGACCTCAAAACACAGGCAACAGAAACAAAAACAGATAAATCTGATTACATCAAACTAAAAAGTTTTTGCGCAGCAAAGGAAACAACTGACAAAATGAATAGACAACCTACAGAAATAGGAGAGAATTGCAAACTATACCTCTGACAATGGGTTAATATCCAGAATATATAAAAAACTTAATAGCAAAAAAAAACTGATTAAAAATGGGCAAAATAGCTCAACAGACATTTCTGAAAAGACATAAAAATAGCCAATAGGTATATAAAAAAATATTCAAATAAACTAATCATCAGGGAAATGCAAACTCAAATCACAACAAGACACCACTTCATTCCAGTGAGAATGGCTACCATCAAAAAGACGAAAACAAGTGTTGGCGAGGATTTCAGGAGAAGGGAACACTTATACACTGTTGGTGGGAACGTAAATTAGTAGTTATTATGGAAAACAATATGGAGGTTACTAAAAAAAAAAAAAATGGAACTTCTAGGTAATCCTGCAATCCTACTACTGGATACATATCCAAAGGAAATGAAATCAGTATGTTACAGAAATATCTGCACTCCCATATTTTACAATAGCCAAAATACAGACTCAACCCAAGTGTCCAACAATGAATGAACAGATAAAGAAAATGGGGTATATATACTCAATAGAGTATCATTCAGCCATGAAAAGAATGAAATCCTGTCATTTGCAGCAATATGGATGGAACTGGAGGATATTATGTTAAGTGAAATAAGACAGACATAGAGAGGCAAATACTGCAGAATATCACTTATACGTGGAATCTAAAAAATAAAAAGTTGATACCATAGAAGTGGAGTAGAACTGTGGTTACCAGAGACTGGAGTGGGGAGGTGGGAGAGAAAGATGAGGAGAGGTTGGGTAGTGGGTACAAAGTTACAACAAAATAAGAAAAATAAATTCTGGTGTTCCATTGCACAGTAGGATTATTATGGTTAACAGTAAAGTACTGTATATTACAAAATAGCTAGAAGAGAGGCTTTTGAATGTTTTCACCACCAAAAAATGATTAAATGTATGAGGTGATGGATATGCTAACTACCCTAATTTGTATATTATATAACACATAACTGTATTGGAATACCAACTTGTACTCCATAAATATACACAACTATAATGTGTCGATTAAAAAGTTAAAAAAAGTATCAACATTGCTGGAAATGAGACCAAATAACCTAAAACCAACAGAAAAAAAACCTGCTATATTTATTACGTTCAAGAAAAAAGGAAAACAGATGATGGATTCAACCAAAGAACTGGTATCTATGAAACAGAAATGAAAATCTAGAATTGAAAAACTACAATTAAAACTTAAAAATTCACATGAGTGGGTATTTTAGACTAGAAACAGCAGAAGACAGAAATTCACAAATTAGAAAATAAGGCAGTAGAAAATGGGAGACTGAAACACAGACAGAAAAAAGGACGGGAAGATGGAAAACAGTGTAAAGGAAATATGGGACAAAATAAAGCAGGAAGGAGGAAAGAGAAAACAGGACAGAAGCAATAATTTTTAAAATACTCTGTAAGAATTTTCCAAAATCGATGAAAGATATCAAATCAGGGTATCATGAAGATCTATAAACCCTAAACAGAATAAATCCAAAGAAAACCATACCTAGCAACATTAGACAAAACTGCTGAAAAGCAAAAAGCAAGAAAAATCTCAGAAGCAGTCAGAGGAAAAAACATATTAACTGCAAAGGAGTAACAAGAACACTGATTACTGAGTCTTCAACATAAATAGAAGCAAGAACATGATAAAACATCTTAAAAGTGTTACAGAAAAAACTGCTCAAACTGTTTATGTTGGAAAAACACCCTCCTAAAACACTGCTGTGAAGAATTAAAGAAGACTAAATAAATGGAAGAATATACATGTTTGCAGATTGACAGATTCATTGTAACAACGTCATTTCTCTCTGAATTGATTTATGGATTTAATGCTATCCTAATCCAAAGCCCACAGCCTCCCAAAGGCTTTCTTGTGTATAACTGTGTGTGGAAATTGACAAGCTGATTCTAGAATTTACACAGAAAGGCAAAGCAACAGTGATAGCCAAGACAATCTTGAAGAACAAGCCTGAGTACAAGCCTGAGTTACTCTACTGAATACAAACTCATGCTATCAGATATCAAAACACACAGCTTAGGCCGAGCGTGGGGGCTCACGCCTGTAATTTCAGCATTTTGGGAGGCAGAGACGGGCGGATTACTTGATGCCAGGAGTTTGAGACCAGCCTGGCCAACGTGGTGAAACCCCGTCTTTACTAAATCCTGTCTCTACTAAAAATACAAAAAGTAGCCGGGCATGGTGGTCCACGCCTGTGGTCCCAGCTACTCGGGAGGCTGAGGCATGAGAATCGCTTGAACCCAGGATGCAGAGGTTGCAGTGAGCCGAGATTTTGCCACTGCACTCCAGCCTGGGTGACAGAGTGAGACTCTGTCTCAAAAACAAAAAACAACAACAACAACAAAACGAACAAACAAAAAAACTCAAACTACACAGCTTGACAGTGCAGTACTTGCATGAACACAGGCATGAGCAAAATAAACAAATGAGCAAAATAAACAATAAACAAATGAGCAATAAACAATTGAGCAAAATAAAGAGACCACACAGAGATACACACACACACACCTACACACACGGGGTCACTTAATTTAACACAAAGTGGACACTGCAGCGCAAGAGAGAAAAAGATAGTTTTTCAATAAATGGTGCTGGATCAACTGGATGTCCATAGGGATACCTAATGAATCTTGCCAATAATAAAATCCATGCCTTCAATCAACAATTTACATTTTAGAAAATTTGTATCCATTACTGTGAGCTTGACACTTCCCTAAACTTTTCAGAAGAGGCTGGTGGTGATATTAGCAATGCCATTTTTGATAAATTTTTTTTTAAAGTGCCAAAATGAGAAAAACTACATACACCAGGACCATGAATATTTTCCAAATGGCCAACGCATGGCATTACAAAAATCAAACATAGAGAAATGATTTATTCAATGTGCAAGATAGACCAATTGTTTCTAATGCAACACAGTAAAAAGTTCATGGATAAAGTCTCAGACCCCATACTGAAACTAATCTGTAAGCAACCTGTCAAGTTTTGGTACTGTTTTAAAGAAGAATACCCAACTTATCTGAAAAGAACTTTCCCGCATTTTTTTTTGTTTTAACAACTTCTCTGTATGAAGATTTCTTTCATTCAAAAAATATATCACAACAGACTGAATGCAACAGATATGACAATCCGATTAATGTCAGAAAGATATTAGATTTGCTAAACTATAATTAAATCTTTTATGAAAATAGTTCTTTCTCATAAATGTTAATTGTGTTAACATGTAATGAGGCTGGGCGCAGTGGCTCATGCCTGTAATCCCAGCACTTTGGGAGGCCGAGGCAGGCAGATCACCTGAGGTCACGAGTTCAAGACCAGCCTGGCCAATGTGGTGAAACCCCATCTCTACTAAAAATACAAAAATTAGCCAGACGTGGTGGCACGCGCCTGTAGTCTCAGCTACTTCGGAGGCTGAGGCAGGAGAATCGTATGAACCCAGGAGGCGGAGGTTGTAGTAAGCCGAGATCGCGCCACTGCACTCCAACCTGGGTGACATGGTGAGACGAAAAGAACTAACGAGAAGGAAGGAAGGAAGGAAGGAAGGGAGGGAGGGAGGGAGGGAAAAGAGAGGAGAGGAGAGGGGAGGGGAAGGGAGGGGAGAGAAGAGGAGAGAAGAGGAGAGGAGGAGGGAGCGAAGGAAGGAAGGAAGGAAGGAAAAAAAGAAACGTGATGGGTTTCTCATTAAATTTAAAATGACTAATAAATATTTTTAAAATTAAGAAAAATGAATCTTGAATTCTACCTCACATCAAAAGTAAAACTCAATTCCAAGATGAATTGTAGATCTATATTTGAGACAGAAAACACCAAACTTTTGGAGGAGAAACAAAGAAAATCTTCGCAATCATGAAGAAAGGAAAGATTTGATTTTTTTTAAAACAGGACACAAAAGGCCCTAATCACAAGGGGACAAGTTGAGAAAGGAATTACTCTTTCTCAAAAGATGCCAATAATAGAGCAAAAAGAGCTGGGTGTAGTGGCGTATGCCTGTAATCCTCGGGAGTCTGAAGCAGGAGGATCTCTTGAGCCTAGGAGTTCAAGACTGGCCTGGGCAACGCAAGAAAACTCCATTTCAAAAAAAAAAAAAAAGAAGGCTGGGAGCGGTGGCTCACGCCTGTAATCCCAGCACTTTGGGAGGCCGAGGCGGGTGGATCACCTGAGGTCACGAGTTCAAGACCAGCCTGACCAACATGGTGAAACCCCATCTCTACTAAAAATACAAAAAATAAGCTGGGCATGGTGGCGGGCGCCTGTAATCCCAGCTACTCGGGAGGCTGAAGCAGGAGAATCCCTTGAACCCGAGAGGCAGAGGTTGCAGTGAGCCAAGGTCACACCATTGCACTCCAGCCTCAGTGACAAGAGCGAGACTCCGTCTCAAAAAAAAAAAAAAAAAAGGAAAAGTGGCACAGTGGAAATAGATAATAGACTAGACATACCCAACAAAGGACTTCCACTCAGAATTCAAAAATAACTTTTACAAATCAACAGAAATGATAAAGACAACCCAATTAATAAAAGAAGCTATCCAAATACCTGATAGAAACATAAATGTCATTCATCATCATTAGTAACAGGAAAATGTAAAATAAAATCACAATGAACTAACATAATGTAATCAGCAGCAGAGTAGCAAAAATTCAAAATAAGCAAACAATAAAACACAAACATTAAGGGTTGTCAAACATGTAGAGCAACTGGAACTTAACTATACACAGCTAATGGTTATTAAAATTGGCACAATTGGCCGGGCGCAGTGGCTCACGCCTGTAATCATAGCACCTTGGGAGGCTGAGGCAGGCAGATCATGAGGTCAGGAGATCGAGACCATCCTGGCTAACACAGTGAAACCCCGTCTCTACTAAAAATACAAAAAAAATTAGCTGGGCATGGTGGTGGGCACCTGTAGTCCCAGCTACTCAGGAGGCTGAGGCAGGAGAATGGCACGAACCCAGGAGGCGGAGCTTGCAGTGAGCTGAGATTGTGCCAGTGTACTCCAGCCTGGGCGACAGAGCGAGACTCCGTCTCAAAAAAAAAAAAAAAAAATTGGTACAACTAATTTTAAAAAACTGTCACAATCTCCTGAATTTGAACATGCACATTTCCACTACAGTCATGCCTTGCTTAATGATGGTGATACTTTCTGAAAAATGCATCATTAGATGATTTCATCATGCTAACATCATAGAGTGTACTTAACACAAACCTAGAAGATGGTATAGCCTACTATACATCTAGGTTATATGGTATAGCCTATTGCTCCTAGTTTACATACTTGCACGGCATGTTACTCTACTGAATACTGCAGGCAACTTGACACAATAGTCCATCACTGACTGAAACAACGTTATGTGGCACATGACCATAATTTTATTCCTAGGAATATCCTCAACAGGAGTAAGCAATAAGGGCACAAAAATAACAGAATGTTAATAGAAACTGTATTATTTATAATACTAAAAATTAGAAATTGGCCAGGCACGGTGGCTCACACCTGTAATTCCAGCGCTTTGGGAGGCCGAGGCAGGTGGATCACCTGAGGTCAGAAGTCTGAGACCAGCCTGACCAACATGGTAAAACCTCATCTCTACTAAAGATACAAAAAGTAGCCAGGCATGGCGGCTAATGCCCGTAAACCCAGCTACTTGGGAGGTTGAGGCACCAGAATCACTTGAACCTGGGAGGCGGAAGTTGCAGTGAGCCAAGATTATGCCATTGCACTCCAGCCTGGGCGACAAGTGCGAAACTCCATCTCAAAAACAAACAAACAAACAAACAAAAAGAAAACTAGAAATAACCCAACTATTAACAGTGGAAGGGACAAACAAATCATTATTTGCACACAATTATATATTGTACAGCAGTGAAAAAGAACACATACAAAAACAGAAAAATTTGGATATTTATTAAGTAAAAAAGCATCACCAAAAGATTCTCTCTATACCAAGTTCAATAAGTGGCAAAACTAACCTACAGTGATACAAGTCAGAATTGTCATTACCTTTCAAAGTTGATTAGAGCCTTCTGGAAAACTGGTATCTCTATTTTCATCTGAGTAGTCATTACACATTTAGTATATATTTATTAAAATTCATTGCTTTGTACACTTTTGGTGGATTCTATGTATGTTATATACTTCATGGTCTATGAATATTTTTCAGTGTGCTCTACATAAATTGTCCCAGAATCAAATGAATTTCAATGCTAAGAGTTAAAATTTAAACATAAAAGTCATTAGTTTATGTGAATTATGGAAATACTTACCAAAAGAGAACCTGATTGCCACTGTATCTCTCATAGCGTGCTCTTGCAGACATTAATCTATTAAAAAAAAAAATTGAAGATTTTATCTTACATTTTGTTTTTAAAATTGTTATAATTTGACCTCAACTAATTATTATAATCTAATTGATTGTTAGAAAATGACCAAATCTACCAGTATGTTGTCACTAAACTACAGAGAGTTTAGAAATATATGTGTATTTTATATATATACATAATGCAATAATATAGGTAATATTCAGTGGCATCAACCTTAATACTCTTTATGTACATTACAAAATCTGTCAAAATCTGTCAGTTCACACCAAATAATGTTTTCATTACAAAAAATATACATTTGTCTGATTCACTACTGAATCCTCAGTGTGAAGAACAGTTACTGGCAGAGGCATGTACATACAAAAAAATTGCTGAATATATAAATCAGTTTGCAATAAAAAATATTTTGAGTATTACAAAATGCTAATTTTTCAGTTTTCTTTCTTCCTGATATAATTATTTGGCATACACTAACAGCTGAATTATGTTATACAGAAAATATATAATAAATAATAAATCTCTAATAATTATATTTTATCAATCTGGTCAATAACCAGAAACTTGATGAAAACCCAGGAAAAGTCACTGGATAAGCTGTTCGTGGTGGGAACACATGTTTAATTAAAATATTATATAGTTAAGTGTTTTATAGCACTCGAAAGTGTTTTTATAAATATAATCATAATGATATATGATAACCAGGACAGATAGCCAGCCCATTTTTCAGAAGAAAAAAACAAGGTTCAGAAAGTTTATGGGTTTTCTCCACAGGAGCTTAGGCCAAATCAAGATTCCTGCTCCTTTCACTTGTATAATACAACACTATAATACAACATACCATACCCAGCTGAAGCATTTGGCATAATAAATATCAACACAAACTACAAAAAGATAACAGGAGTTTTGTCTTTACTAACTAGCACAACCTCAACACTGTGTTTTGCTTTAGGTACTTATTTTCATTTAATCCTTGAAATACTTCAACAAAGATACTATCATTACCCCTATTTTATTGAAGACAAAACCACAGTTAAAGGTTAGTTCTGACTTAAGGTCCCATGGCTAAGAAAAACTGAATAAGAAAAACAAATTCAGTTTTTATTGTCAGTGTTTTTCCCCAACTCCAAAATCACCCCTACCAAAATATAAACTCCAGGAAACCAGGGATCTAATCTATAATGCATATACCAAGGGCTTAAAACAATAAGGAATATAAAGGTGCTTAACAAATATTTGGTGAATAAATGAATGAATGGCTATACAGCGTGTGCTCTTAAATACAGAACGACACTTACCTAAGCTGATGTTCCCTGAGATTTGATAATATTTCCATTCCATGAAGATAAGAATAAATAGTATTTAAGTCCTGTGGAACAGAAGAAAAAAATTAGATTATTTTTCAAATATGCTGTTTAAAATATAAGGCACCCCACAATTCTGATTTTAAGCAAACAACCACTTATGGCAAAGCAGTTAACTATGGAAAAATCATAAAACCTCTGAATCATAAAAGATTTGAAAAGGCAGAGAAGAGATCCCTCAGCTCTCAAAGGAACTCCTCTTCAACGTGACCAATGGCCTCTATTCATTCAAACAATGCCAGAACCCCAAATTCATTATTTTATATGAAAGTATATTAATTCATTATTTCACTTCTAAGCAGATGTAAACTTTCCTTCTTTAGTGGCCTCCAAATATTTGATATCCAATATCCTGGCTGACATCTCTAGAGATGACCCAGTTTATCAATATTCCTCTTAAAATATGACTTTCTAAAGAATTTCTTTCTAAAGAGACTCAAAATGACATAATCTACCACTAAATAAAAAAGATTTCCAATGGTACAATCCTATTGTTCACTCTGTGAAAGAGGTAGAACATCTTTCTCTATTCCTCACCCAGATAACTAGGCATTAAAACAACAACAACAACAAAAACCTCAAGATGACATAGTATAACCTCAACTAAGAGCAGTGGCATAGCAGAAGAAAGTGGAAAGAGTCTATAGATCCCTAACAGCAAATAGTATTGTACCACTGATGTCATTTAAGATTAAAAGCAGACAAGCTACGAGCTGATGGGTGCAGCACACCAACATGGCACATGTATACATATGTAACTAACCTGCACGTTGTGCATATGTACCCTAAAACTTAAAGTATAATAAAAAATAAATAAATAAAAAATAAAAAGCAGACAAGCTTAAATTCGCTATAAAAAACATACTTCCTATTTCCTATGAGGAATAATGCCTTTATACCAGGGCAAACTACTTCCAAACACTGCCTTCCCACTCTGATATACAACTGGCCAAGAAAATTATCAGATAGTAGTGGGGGTACTGGGGGAGAAACTAAAGACAACTTGTTTTCTAGTAGGTTAATAAGACAACACGGAGCCATTAAGAAAAGCAGCAAGCTAGGCTGGTCACGGTGGCTCACGCCTGTAATCCCAACACTTTGGGAGGTCGAGGCGGGCGGAACATGAGGTCAGGAGATCAAGACCAACCTGGCTAACACAGTGAAACTCCATCTCTACTAAAAATACAAAAAATTAGCCGGGTATGGTGGCAGGTGCCTGTAGTCCCAGCTACTCGGGAGGCTAAGGCAGGAGAATGGCGTGAACCCGGCAGGCGGAGCTTGCAGTGAGCTGAGATTGTGCCACTGCACTCTAGCCTGGGTGACAGAGTGAGACTCCATCTCAAAAAAAAAAAAAAAAAAAAAAAAGAAAAAGAAAAGAAAAGAAAAGCATCAAGCTGAGCACAGTGGCTCTCGCCTGTAATCCCAGCACTGTATGAGGCCAAGGTGGGTGGATCACTTGAGCCCAGGAGTTAGAGACCAGCCTGGGCAACATGGTGAAACTTGCCTCTACAAAAAATAATTTAAAAAAATTAGCCAGGCTTGTGGTACACATCTGTAGTCCCAGCTACTTAGGAAGCTGAGGTGTGAGGGATGGCTTGAGCCTGGGAAGAAGTTGCAGTGAGCCGAGATCGCACCACTGCACTCCAGTCTAGGCGATTGAGACTCCATCTCAAGGGAAAAAAAAAAAAAAAAAAGGCAATAATCTCTAATTCCAAAGATAACAACTGTCAATTAACCACAGTGAATTGAACAACCACATTTATTTCTGCTAAATCCTTACTAAAGTAACAGTGAAAAAGATATTTAAGTATATAAAAATAAAGATTTGAATAGGTTAAAAGAAAGGTCTACCAAATTTTAGCAGATAGCAGATGAAGCACTGATATGGTAAACTGTATTTCCAAAGATGGCCACAGAGGTATTTCTTATCCCATATGCTCTTTTGCAATGCAGTCTTGCCAGTTACCCATCAAAACCTGGAATCTATGTGCCCTCCCCACAGATGTGGGTTGGCTCTGTGACTTGTTCTGACCAAAAGAATACGATAGAAGTGAGGTTGTATAAAAGATTCAAGCACCCTGAGACCACTAATGTTGTGAGGAAGCTCCAGCTAGCCTTAGGGAGGCAGAAAGGCCACATGGAATAACACCAAGGTACTAGATATGTAAGTTATGCCTTCCTAGAGCAGCTTAGAGCTACCAATTGAATGGAACTAAAAGAATGATCCCAATTGAGGCTCTACGGGGTAAAAGCACCAACCACTCAGCCAGAACCTGCTGAATGTAGGTAATAAAGAGAGTCATGGCAAAAGTGTGGCTCACAGTGGGTCCACTGAGTCTGCAGATCCACCTAATAATGGTCATTCCCCACTCCCTCAGTTTATAATTAGAATTTATATACTTGGCAGTTAGAATACCCTAAATAATGGGTCCATGACCTGTGTGGTAAAAGCCGTCACAATGGAAAAAGCCAAGTGGAAACCTCTGCCCCATTCCCCAGAACAAGACAGTAAATAAAAGACTATTTCTTCCAGAGGGGCACAGAATAAAGACTAGTGCCACCAGTAAAGACTCAGAAGTACGCAGAGGTAATAGTTTCTATTGTATTCTATTTAATTTATGGAGAAAGCAGACAGATCCTAAAAAATGACTGTGCAGACTACCACAGAATGAACCAAATTCTAGCCCTAATCACAGCCTGCAGTCTCAGCCATAATATTGCTGCTGAAGCTGATTAAGCCTCAAATACTGATGTGGTGTTACTTTCCATTACTTTACTTTCCATTCCAATTAGAAGATCAGAAAAAAATCTGCATCCATGCAAGGCAATATTAACTTACAGTTTTATCTTAGGACTCTTAACTCTTCCGCTCTCTGTCATAACACAGTCAGTGGGGGTTGGGTGGGGGACAGACATCTAAACCTCCTGATCTATTTACATATATTACATCATGCTGATTGGACAGAATGAATAAAAGAATAGGCTAGAGGTGACTGGTACCCTTAGAGTCCTTGGTAACACACATGCGGCTCCAGAAAATGGGAGATAAACACTATGAAGACTCAAAAGATATGCCATTTCAGTGAAGTTTTTCGGGATACAGTGGTTGGGGGCACGTCAGGACACCTCCTGCAATGTCGAAGTGACTTTGGCTTTAGGTCAAGATAAAATAAAAGAAACTAGACTTACTCTTCACCTAAAACAACTAAAAACAACAACAAAAAAGACAAATATATAAAACGTTTTTCATAAGATAGGACATCCGGAAATATCTAAAGTGAAGTAAAGATCCACCTGAAAAAATCATTGTAGTAGTCCTGAACTAAGACTGATTCTTCCCATCTTGGTGATATTTAGCAACGTCTGGAGTTATTTTAGGCTGTCACAATTTTGAGGGAGTGGTGCTACTGGCATCATGTAGGTAGAAGAGATACTGCTAAACATAGCCATGCCCATTCATTTACCTATTGGCTATGGCTCTTTTCATGCTATAAAAGCAGAGTTAAGTAGTTGTAAGAAAAATCATCTGGGCCACAAAACCTAAAACATTCACTATTTGGCCCTTTATAGAAAAAGTCTGTTAACCCTGGATAAGAATGTCTATATTTTAAATCTTATCAGTTATGAAATGCTGGGAACATTCCTGAAATCCAAGTTCCCAGATGCCAGCCGCCAAAAAAGACTACTTTACAAATAGGTCTTCCTAAGGACAGCAGTCTCAGATCTGTTCTATTAACTCTTTTTTTGACAGGCTATGTTGAAGTCACATTCAGGAACAGCCTTAAAAGAAAGAGAAAAGGAAAAATCTCCTCAATGGGTAGAGTTGTGAGCAGTAGATATGGGTCATGCCAAAGGATAGCAGCTGCTATGGTTTGGATATGGTTTGTCCCTGCCAAAACTCATGCTAAAATTTGATCCCCAATGTAGCAGTGTTAGCAGGTAGGACCTAGCAAGAGCTGTTTGGGTCATGCGGGTGGATCCCTTGTAAATAGATCAATGCTTGTCTGAGGGGGTAAGTGAGTTCTCACTCTCACAGAAACCAATTGGTTCCCCCGAGAGAGGGTTGTTAAAAAAAGTCTGGCTTCCTTGGTTTCTCTCTCTTGCTTCCTCCCTTACCACGTGATCTCTTTTTTTTTTCGCAGCATCAGCATGGCTCACTGCAGCCCCAACCTCCTGGGCTCAAGCAATCGTCCCACCTCAGATTCCTGAGTAGCTGGGACTACAGGCACATGCACACAACACCATGCCCATTTAGTTTTATTTATTTATTTATTTTATTTTCTGTAGAGACAAGGTCTTGCTTTGCTGCCCAGGCTGGTCTCGAACTCCTGGGCTCAAGCAATTCTGCCTTGGCTTCCCAAAGTGCTGAGATTACAGGCGTGAGCCACTGCGCCCAGCCTGCCATGTGATCTTGCACACACTTGCTCCCCTTTCACTTTTTGCCATGAGTAGAAGCAGTCTGAGGCCCTCATTGGATGCAGGTGGCCAATCTAGAATCTTCCAGTCACCAGAATTGTGAGCCAAATAAAGCTCTTTCTTTATAAATGACCCAGCCTCAAGTATTCTGTTATAGCAACACAAAACAGACAAGACAGTGGCCCAAGGTGAAAATATATGTAAATTCCAGTGCATGGATGTCTGGTCAGGGGTCTAGAAGGAAAAAGACAAAAAGATCAGGGACAAGGAGGGATAGGGTAAAGACACAGGATGGAGACATGGGAATGGGCACAAAGTGTATAAAGTTTTCTGTATTCCACACTAATGCCCACCAAAAGGCATTAAACATGGAAGAGGCACTGAACAACCATGAAGATAAAAAAGGATATCCCAGAACTGGCACAATTAATAGATGATTAGACTGACCACAATGACACTAGATAGAGGCTACACATGTGTCCAACAATATAAACTTCCACTTATCAAGGTCTGTCTAGCTACTGCTACTTCTGAATGTCCAACCTGTCAGCAACAGAGACCAACCGTATGAGTTCCTGATATGATCCTATTATTCAAGAAGAGCAACCAGTCATTTGATAACAAGTAGACTATATATGGTGTCTCTCATCCCAGAACGGCCAGTAGTTCATTTCACAGTGATAGATATCTATATTCTGGGTTTGGGTTTATCTTACTTACCTCAGAGGTTCAGCCAGGATCATAATCCAGGGGCTTCCAGAATGCCTGAACCACAGGACTAGAATCCCACATACCAGAGTCCAACCAGTGGACCCAATTCAAAGCAAACACAGGAGTATGATCACAACCTTGGGACCACTAGTCATATCACATACCACACAATCCAGAAGCAACTGGCCTCACAGAACGCTGTAATAACCTTATAAAGGCATAGCTGAACTTTCAGCTTAAAGGCAATAATGTGAAATAATGGAATGACACCTTTTAATATGAAGATACATCAAACCACAGACCTCTATATGGAGCAGTGTATACAGCAGGAAGAACAGATGGGCCTAGAAACAAATGAGTAGAAGCAAGAGTCACCCATTTATCATTATTCCCAATGAGCCACAAAGGGATTTTGTACTTCCCATTCCTACAGCTATGGACTCTGCATGTTTGCAGGTCCTGGTTCCAAAGGCCTATACTCTTGCCAGGCAACAGTACAAGAGTCTCAGTGAACAAGTTTACAGCTGCCACCAGGGCACTTTAAACACCAGGGCCCAAGAATCAGCAGGTAAGAAGAGTTGCCATTTTGGCAGGGATAACTGATCCTGAGCAGTAGGTGGACGCAGGGCTGCTTTTATGTAATGTGAACAGAGAGGAATGTGTGGAATCCACATGACTCGCTTGGTTATTCCTTTACCTCACTGTAACTGTAAACGGATATATATCCCAGCATTAGCCTGAGAAGAATGATTACCAAGGGTTCAGACATTTCAGGAAAGAAGGCTTGAGTCATACCAACATATAAGCCACTGAGACCTGCAGAGCTGATTATGTGAGGAGAAAACAAAATGCATAGTGGAGGAGAGAGGATAAGTACCAGTTGCAACCCCGAGATCAACCATACAGGGGCTATAATTCTTCCCACCACCATCTCTTGTCTAAGTTTCTTCTCAGGAAAAGAAGCTCATTGAGAGCCATGGAGGAGCTGCTCCCTGAACTTCAAACCTATGTGAAGAAGTAGATTTGTGTGGTGCAAAGTGTAAGCTCAGGTGGCCTTGAAAATATGCCTCTCAGATTCCAAACTACAGGGAGTGTATTTGAACAAAATCCCTATTACGGGGCTCTGTAATTTATCAACATGTTTGAACTGGGGCCCAGCTTCCCATGCGATACTCCCAATCAATAACTGAGCCTGGTAAAAATACTAAGGAATGCCTGTTCTGGGAGACTCAGGAATACTCTGATGGGTTCAAGGATTCTCCTTCCACCTTGCTAAACCACTGTTACAGTGCAGTCTAAGGCTCTTCCACTCAAACTTCCTTTCGTCTCTCCTTCACAAATGTCACATGAGCATTCTGGTGTGAATGCTCTACCAACTCTCTCCATTTTTGCTCAGAGGCATTTTCCCTAATAAATTCCTTGCATGTCTAATATTGTTGTGACAACTGCTTCTAACAGAACCCAGACTAACACGAACACTTTGTAGTATTCAGTAAATAAATTTTCTATACTTTTTGTTGGATTTATTCTTAAATATTTAGTTTTCTAGTATTTTTAAATAATGTCATGTTTGGCTGGGTGTGGTGGCTCACACCTGTAATCCCAATACTTTGGGAGGCCAAAGTGAGTGGAGATCAACTCAGGTCAGGAGTTCGAGACCAGCCTGGCTAATATGGTGAAACCCCGTCTCTACTAAAAATACAAAAATTAGCTATGTGTGGTGGTGCATGCCTACAATCCCAGCTACTCAGGAGGCTCAGGCACAAAAATCACTTGAACCTGGGAGGTAGAGGTTGCAGTGAGCCGGGATCATGCCACTGCACTCCAATCTGCGTGACAGAGTGAGATTCTTGTCTCAAAAAGAGTCATTTTTTAAACTAGAGGCTTTTTGGTTTATTGCTGGTTTACATAAATCAATTGATTCTATATAATAAACTTGAGTCCAACCATCTTGTTAATAAATTCACTTAATTTTCAGAGTTTGTAGATTATTTTTGATTCTCTGCATATACAATGGCCCTGCCTATGAATACAGTATTATTTCTTTCTTCCCAAATTATACACTTTCCCCCATTTTTTCATGCCTTATTATGTAACAATAGCCGGAGTAAGTGTGGCCATATAGAGACAGTCCCCATCTTACAATGGTTCGACAAGATTTCCTGACTTTACAATGATGCAAAAGCGATATGCATTCAGTGGACACTGAATTATGTTTCTGTCTTGTTTTGCTTTTAGAGACGGGGTCTCACTCTGTCACCCAGGCTGAGTGCAGTGACGGCAATCATAGCTCACTGATGCCTCGATCTCCAGGACTGAAGCAATCCTCCCACGTTGGCCTTCCAAGTGGCTGGGACTACAGGCGTGCACCACCATGCTCAGCTAATTTTTTTTTTTTTTTTTTTTTTTTTGGTGATGACAGCCTGGGAAACGATAATTTGAATATCCATTCAATCATTCTGTTTTTCACCGTTTTCTGTACAGTATTCAATAAATCATACCAGATACACAACACTTTATTATAAAATAGGCTTTGCGTTAGATGATTTTGCCCAACTGTAGGCTAATGTAAGTGTTCTGAGCATGTTTAAGGTAGGCTAAGCTATGATTTTTGGTAGGTAAGGTATATTAAATGCATTTCTGACTTACAAGATTTTCAACTTACCATGGTTGTATTATGATATAACCCCATTGTAAGTCAAGGAATGTCTGTACTACAAACACGGCTGCCTGGGCCCCAACCACTGAGTTAGGTGTAGGCAGGCAGGCACTCACAAAATGTCTATCCTGTGGAAATGTGCTTGTAATTTTTGACAAGACAACTTGTTCTGGTGGCAAACAAGTTCTGAAAATTGTAATACACAAAAGTTAGGTTATGGCAAACAGAACTCCCATAACTTGACTTACTCCATGTGGGTAGGCTAGTGTTACAGGGAACCAGAATTTTCTAAGACTCTCAACTAAACTTATATCATATAATTTTCTCCTTTCTCAAGTTACAGGACATCTTCGGCACATCATTAACAATGCCATGAATATATGAGAAAGAATTAGAAATTAACTTTTCAATGTTAAAGTCTGAAAGAGAATTTCACTCACAAGTTTGAGATATACATGTATCTTCAGTTCTCTGCCTAAAGAGAGACTAATAAGGTTTATCACTTTAAATCTGAAAAGCCCCTCCTCAAAGAGCTTCAAATATTTGTTTGTAATCTCCTTATTTTAAAGGGACAATTTGGACAAATGAACATGTAGTCCTTCACAACATCTGTAATGTTGACTGCATGACCCTGAACTAAAATATCAGCATTATGGCCAGGTGTGGTGGCTCACGCCTATAATCCCAGCACTTTGGGAGGCCCAGGCAGGCAGATCATGAGGTCAGGAGATCAAGACCATCCTGTCTAACACGGTGAAACCCCGTCTCTACTAAACATACAAAGAATTAGCCGGGCATGGTGGCGGGCGCCTACAGTCCCAGCTTCTTGGGAGGCTGAGGCAGGAGAATAGTGTGAACCCAGGAGGCAGGGCTTGCAGTGAGCTGAGATTGCGCCACTGCACTCCAGCCTGGGCGACACAGCGAGACTCCGTGTGTCTGTCTGTCTGTGTGTGACTCTCTCTCTCTCTTCATATATATATATATATGTATGTATGTCAGCATTATTCCTGTCAGGGGTTGACAAACTTTTTCAATAAAGGGCCAAATAGTAAATATTTGTGGCCCAGATGGTTTTTTATCACAACTATTTAGCTCTGCTTTTATAATATGAAAACAGCCATGGACAACAGGTAAATGAATGGGTGTGACTGTTCCAATAAAACTTTACTTACAAAAATAGCTGGTCATATTTTGTTAGCTCCTGAAACATATGGTCAAAAATAGCTACAGTGTGGCCAAGCATGAATGAGCTCCTCTCTGACAACAGACCACCTTATAAGTTTCAGTGGAGTTCTGTCTCCCACCATGAAAGCTGAAAACACCAAATTTTTATTTTTCCAACCTCCCATACAACAAAGGCAGGGGCAAATTATTCAAGTGTTACCAATTAGACATATTCATCCCAGACTTTAAATCAGAAGCTAGTGACACCGAGAAGCAAGAACTGCATAGAATCCGCTTGGGCAGCCAGTGGCTGCAGCAGGGTTGTATTAGTCCATTCTCACACTGCTATAAAGAACTACCCGGCTGGACACAGTGGCTCACACCTGTAATCCCAGCATTTTGGGAGACTGTGGTGGGTGGATCACCTGAGGTCAGGAGTTGGAGATCAGCCTGGTCAACATGGTGAAACCCCATCTCTACTAAAAATACAAAGATTAGCTGAGCGTGGTGGCAGGTGCCTGTAATCCCAGCTACTTGGGAGGCTGAGGCAGGAGAATCGCCTGAACCTGAGGGGCGGAGGTTGCAGCAAGCCAAGATCATGCCACTTCATTTCAGCCTGGGTGACAGAGCAAGACTCTGTCTCAAAAAAAAAAAAAAAAAAAAAGAAAGAAAGAAAAAGAAAAAGACTACCGGAGCCGCGGTAATTTATAAAGAAAAGAGGTTTGGCTCATGGTCCTGCAGGCTGTACAGGATGCATGCCTGGGAAGGCCTCAGGAAACTTAAAATCATGGTGGAAGGTGAAAGGGAAGCAAGCACATCTCGACATAGCCAGCAGGAGAGAGACAGCAAAGTAGAACAAAAGTGCTACATGCTTTTAAACAACTCAAGATCTCAAGAGAATGAACTCTCACCATCACGAGAACAGCAAGGGGGCAAATCTGCTCCCATAATCCAATCACCTCCCACAGGTCCCTCCCCCATCACTGGGGATTACAATTCAACGTGAGATTTGGGTGGGGACACAGAGCCAAACCATATCAAGGGTCTACAACATACGCAATGGACAGTACAGGTGGTCCACAGTGCAAACTGTGGCACTCACTATTCACTGCTAGTAGCAGTAGTATCTACCAAATCTGTGATAAGGGTCACAGACCCAAGCCTGTTTTTCTAGTATCCCAAGCCTAGCCCCAAGTCTGGTTTTCCAGTATTCCAAGTAATTCTGTAGCTACCCAGAATCCTTTCAGTAAATTATTTCTTTCGATTGGCCAAAATTGGGTTCTGTTGCATGTAAGTAATAACCCTGTGAGATCCTGAACCAGCACAATCAGCATCATTTAGGAACTTTGTAGAAATGTAAATTATCAGGCCTCACCCCAGATCTAGTCAATCAGAATATCTGGGTTGTAGGGACCAGCAGTCTGTGATTTAATAGGTCCTACAGGTGATTCTTCTGCACACTAAAGTTTGAGAACCACTGTTTATAAGTGGGATCTATGTCACTCTGGATTGTCTGACCTATTAATAGCGAAAGACAACAAGCATTAAGATGCCTAGTAAATCCTAGTCCCTTTCTTTGTGTACCTAGTTTGAGGGTCACAAGAATGCTAAGCATTCACAAAACAGAATAAAGAATGGTTGTAGTGGTGAGCTGATTAATTCTTTTTCATATGATGTGGGGGTTATGGCATTTTGTTTACACAGGACAGCATGGAGTTGTGGAGTCTGTAATGCTGAGCTTGGAAAAGGGTTTCTTGGGGCTTTTGTGTCAATTATCTGCAAGATAAGCTTGAGGTACTATATTATCTATTAGGCATAAAGTCACAAATAAAAAAAGAAAGAACCCTGACAGAGTCAGACTGGAAGTCTTACAGACAGTCTTCGGCAGTAAAAAATTTAAATGCTAGATTCAAGGAGGTGCTAATCATTTACGCTGAATGCACTTGAAAGCTGCTCTATGTAGCTTTCAAGAGGGAAGTCGGCTGGGTACAGTGGCTCACACCTATAATCCCAGCACTTTGGGAGGCAGAGTGGGCGGATTACTTGAGGTAAGGAGTTCACGACCAGCCTGGCCAACATGGCAAAACCCCGTCTCTACTAAAAATACAAAAAAATTAGCTGGGCATGGTGGCGCACACCTGTAGTCCCAGCTACTTGGGAGGCTGAGGCATGAGAATTGCTTGAACCCGGGCACGGAGGCTGCAGTGAGCGGAGATCACACCACTGTACTCCAGCCCGGGCAACAGAGCAAAACCCTGTCTCAATTAAAAAAAAAAAGAGGGAAGTCATGAGAAGGGTGGGAAAACTATCCACCTGGCATATCCTGACATCCCAGATCAGTAACATCTGATTCAGCACTAGTTCTGTAACTGCAACAAAATACTGCAGAAATTGTCCAGGGGTATTAGAAAAACAAGTACCAGCTCAGGATTAGGGAATAAAATAATGGGTTCTACCTAGGGGCGAAAAAAAAAGAAGAAGAAGGTGAGGAAGTGGTGATGACTTGGTACTTCCTAAAACAGATAAGCTACACCCTCTCAGCCAGTAGTTTTTATAGCGAAGGTGGGATAAGCTGAGGTGGGTGGACAGCTGCCATTGTATAACAAGACAACTCTTGTATACCCTTTAAACAATTCTTACTTACAGCATTCATTGCAGGTATATTCTGTGGATTTTCAATTTAGTTGTTAAATGAAAATAAACTCATATTTGGAGCACTGTATAAACAAGTAATTACTAATTTAAACATATATTTCTAATTAAGCAGGTTGGAATTTTTTCCCCTTCCTTAGTTTACAATGTTATGCCAAGCAACTGTGCTGCTCTCGGAAACTCCATTTCCCAATTCTCCTCACTGTCCTTCTACAGGTGTTTAGAAAATCAACCAAAACTTGGAAAACTCAAACTGGGATGCTTAAAAAATTTTTGCATTTTTCTGGTTCTTAAAGTTTAAAACAAGTGAATTTCTTACCTATGATACACTTAATTCATCACATACAACGTTTTTTCTCTGACACAGGCTCTCGCTATGTTGCCCAGGCTGGAGTACAGTGGCACAATCACGACTCACTGCAGCCTCAACCTCCCAGGCTCAAGTGATCCTCCCTCCTGAGACTCTCGAGTGTGCCACCACCCCCAGCTTTTTTTTTTTCCTTTGTAGAGACAAGGTCTATGTTGCCTAGGATGGTCTTGAACTAAGCTCAAAGGATCCTCCTACCTTGGCCTTCCAAAGTGCTGGGATTATAGGTGTGAGTCACCGCACCCAGGCACACAAAACTTTCAATAAAACATCATTATCCAAAACTTTCATTAACCAAGATATTTTATTCATTCTCTTCTTAACCTAGAAAATAAATCTATCCCAGGAATTTTAACAAAGAAAAATGTCCCAGGATAGATCCTAAGGTCAGCACAAATTCAACTGTATCATACATACATTCTGCAGCTATGGTTCTATAATGAAAAGTTATGCTGAGGAATCTTCTACAAATCATTTGGAAGGCAGTCTAACAATGTGGAAGACAGCTGGATGCAGTGGCAGATGCCTGCAGTCCCAGCTACTCAGGAGGCTGAGGCAGGAGGGATCACTTGAGCCCAGAAGTAGGAGGCCAATCTGGGCAATGTGGAGATACTTGGTCTCTAAAAAAACAGCACCACACACACACACACAAAAAAAAACCCAATTTGGACTCTGGAGACAACCGTGTTTAAATTATGCCTATTTCAGCTCTGTTAGTTACTACTTGTGTAAACTTGGATAATCTGCTTAACGTTTATTATCTGTACCACAGAAAAGATAAAATATCTCTGAACACAAACGATTGTTTTTTTGAGACAGAGTTTCACTCTTGTTGCCCAGGCTGGAGTGTAGTGTTACGATCTCAGCCCACTGCAACCTCCACCTCCCGGGTTCAAGCGATTCTCCTGCCTCAGCCTCTTGAGTAGCTGGGATTACAGGCGCCCACCACCACCCCCAGTTAGCAGTGGCTCACGCCTGTAATCTCCAGTACTTTGGGAGGCCGAAGTGGGTGGATCACCTGAGGTCAAGAGTTCGAGACAAGGCTGGACAACATAGTGAAACCCCGTCTCTACTAAAAATACAAAATTTTTAAATGTTTATTAAATGTGCAGCAGAGAGGCTATCACATGGTAAATATATTCTAAAATTACAAAATAAGGATTAAAATACACAGACTACTAAAGCATTTTGGAGATTTAAACAATATGCCAAAGTTAATACCATATATTAAACATAGAACTTATTGATTTTCTCATTCATGGAGGTATAAACAACATTCGGCAAAATGGCAGTAAAGAGGTATAAAACATTTACCACAACTGGAGCCCAGACTTTGGTTTCTAAATTCATTTCTCACTAAAGGGGACTGAAGTTCTTTGGATAAACGGCTGACTTCAGTACTAGAGCAAAGAAAGTCAGGACCTGGAACATCTTTTTATGCCAGAAAGCAAAAAAGTACTTAAAGACTAATGGGGTCACATCAAAAGGACATAGGACCTGACTTTGAAAGGGCTTCCACTGGCTATATTTGGAGCACTTTAATAATTAAAAAGGATGACAATATTGAACACAAAAAATAATCCATTACTTCATAGTGATTTAAAAAAGAGAGGAGAAAGGAAGGTGAGGAAAGCTCTTCTATACAGAAAACAACTAACAAATGTAAAAGAAATATAGAATCAGAAAATTATGGCCAGGCATGGTGGTCCACAACTATAATCCCAGCACTTTGGGAGGTCAAGGTGAGAGGATCACTTGAGGTCAGGAGTTCCAGACCAGCCCAGGCAACACAGTGGAAACCCCATCTCTACTTTAAAAAAAAATACAAAAATTAGCCGGGTGTGATGGCACATGCCTGCAGACTCAGCTACTCAGGAAGCTGAGGCACAAGAATCGCTTGAACCTGGGAGGCAGAGGCTGCAGTGAGCCAAGATCACACCACTGCACTGCAGCCTGAGTGACAAAGGGAGACTCTGTCTCAAAAAAAGAAAAAAAGAAAATTATCACTTTGTAACAGCAAAGTAATAGTTAATTTAGGTGAGGATTATCAATGAATGCTAAAATCACAAGGTAAAACCACTGTTGGAGAACACGACATTCACACATTCTCCAACTATAACTTTGGATCACTTATAAATTATAGCATTGTACCTTTAAAACAAAAGAGATGCAGATGATCCTATTTAGTATGCCCAATAATGGAAAGAACTGACAATGTGTGTCAGTGATGGGACAATACGGGAAGTACAGACCACCACCTATGCAGTTTCTCAACAAAATCATTTCACCTTAATCTAATCATGAGAAAACAACCAGATGAATCCAGATCATGATACATTCTATAAGGCAGCCGGCCAGGCTCTTCAAAAGTGCAATGTTCATGAAAGGAAAAAAAAAAAAAACAGGACTGTTCTAGATTAAAGGAGACTATGGTAACCAAATGTAACGTAACATACCTTGACTAGACCCTGGATTGAAAAATGAAACAGAGGTGTGAGATGGCCAGGTATGGTGGCTCACGCATTTACTAATCATTCTCAGCAAACTAACACAGGAACAGAAAACCAAACACTGCATGTTCTCACTCTTAAGCGGCAGCTGAACAATGAGGATACATGGACACATGGAGGGGAACATCACACACCAGGGCCTGTTGCGGCGGGGCTGGAGGGCGGGGGGGCATAGCATTAGGATAAATAATACCTAATGTAGATGACAGGTTGATGGGTACGGCAAACCACCATGGCATGTGTATACCTATGTAACAAACCTGCACGTTCTGCACATGTATCTGAGAACTTAAAGTATAATTTTAAAAAATTACACCCTAAAATTTTAATTTTTAAGAATGAAAGTCTCAATGATATGCTTAAACTTTAGGACTTCAATAATTAACCACTGAAATTACAACGTATCAAAAGATTGAGCATCCAATTGTTTATAAGTTCAAAGTGTAGCCTTTCACTTCACTTTTCTGATCCTACCATGCATTATGAAGTCACCTAATACTTGTTAATTCTAAATTCCACATGTACTTTTCAATCCTTATCTCTCTTCGAATTCTCTACAGCATTTGACTGCTGACATGTCATTCTCTCTCCTATCCCTTCTGTAATATGGTTCTTTCTGGATTCTCGTCTTAATGAGAAACATTAAGCAACGATTATAAGCACAGACTATGAAATCAGACTGCCTAGGTTTGAATCCTGACTACACTGGGTCTAGCTGTGTGACATTAGACTAATTAATCTCTCTGTGATTCAATTTCCCCGTATGTAAAATGTGGATAATAATACCTTCTTTCACAGGGTTTCTTGAAGGATTAAATGTATATAAAGTTTTCATAACAGCAACAGGCATCCAATAACCACCATACAGTATGCAAGTCTTCAGTATTTTATTTCCATTATTAGCTTTCTGCGGCGGCTGCTTTTTTTCAGTTTTTACTTTTTGTTATTTTGGGTCCATCTGCTCCATCTAAGTCTCCTTCATAGGTTTCTCATTTTTTTCTTATTCCTATAAATGTTTATAAAGTTTATGTTACCAGAACTGCCAACAGCTGCCTTTTATTCACTAGAGACTCTCTACTGTTAGGAATACCTTCCACATCCATAGCTTCAACTATCACATATGCCTATGACTCCCATATTTGTATTTCTAGCCCAAAGCTCTCCACTAAACTTAGATACTATATGTTCTACTGGACACTGAACACTTTCAACCTGGCTGACCCATCAGCAACTCAAGTGCAAAATTCATTACTGGTTCCCTAATTTAGTTAACAGTACTCAGGTTCATTGGCTCTGGCCAGAAATCTGTCAATTCTACTTTCGAAATATCTCCGTTTACTATTGCAAATGAGGCAATTTAGAAATTCAGTATTTCCCAGTGAATAACTGAAATAACTGGATTCTAAAATCCATTCTTTTTTTTTTCTTTTCTTTTTTTTTTGAGACACAGTCTCACTCTGTTGCCCAGGCTGGAGTGCAGTGGCTGAATCTCAGCTGACTGCAACCTCCGCCTCCCAGGTTCAAGCAATTCTCACGCCTCAGCCTCCCAAGCAGCTGGGACTAAAGGCACGCATCACCATGCCCAGCAAATTTTTTGTATTTTTAGTAGAGACAGCATTTTGCCATGTTGGCTAGGTTGGCCTCGAACTCCTGGCCTCAAGTGATCTGCCCACCTCGGCCTCTCAAAGTGCTGAGATTACAGGCATGACAAACCATGCCCACGGTAAAATCCACTCTTCACATATACTGCCAAAGCGATCTTTCTGGAAGCCAAATCTAAATTCCTTAATAAGGAGAACACAATTCCTCATGATCTGGATCCTGACAATTCCTCCAGCTTCATCTACTTTACCATTCATTCTTGTCCCAGTGTTCCAGCTGCCTAGGCAACTTGCATGTACATACCATACGTATCCTGTGGCCTTGGCATATGCTGTTACCCTTTCAAGAAACACACCTTCCCTTCTACACTTAAATTTCTATATATAGTTGTTCCTTGGTATCCACTGGGTTCATTCCAAGAGCCTTTGTGGATATCAAAACCCATAGACACTTGAGTCCCTTATATAAAATGGTGTAGTATTTGCATATAACCTACAGACATCCTCTGGTAGGCTTTATTTTCTTTTTCTTTTTTTTTCAGACAGGGTCTCACTGTGTTGCCCAGGCTGAAGTGCAGTGGCACGATCACAGCTCACTGCAGCCTCAACCTCCTGGGCTCATGCGATCCTCTCATCTCAGCCTCCTGAGTAGCTGGCATGCACCACCACACCCTGCTGATTTTTGTACTTTTTTGTAGAGATAGGGTTTCACCATGTTGCCCAGGCTGGTCTCAAACTCCTGGGCTCAAGCAGCCAGGAGTTTGAGGATCCACTTCAGCCCCCAATGTTTTGGGATTACAGGCACGAGCCACCACACCTGGCCCTTGTATGCTTTAAATCATTACTCTAGATTATTTATTAATACCTAATACAGTGGAAATGCTATGTAAAGAGTTGCTATACTGTATTGTTTAGGGAATACTAGCAAGAAAAATGTCTGTACCTGTTCAGCACAGGCACAACGATCATGGGCCTAACTTATTTTCCAATCTCGGTTGGTTGAATCCACAAATGCAAAACTCACAGATATGGAGGGCCAACTGTATCCTAAACTCATCAGGGTTCCCTTTTCTAAAACAACTTGAACAGCACCTGCCTACCCTTTGCTCTTCTCCCCCAAAGGCCTTCCTACAAACTTCTGAGCACCTGATATTTATAATTATCACAGTATTTAATTAGGCCATATTTTAATTGTCCATGTGTTTTGCTATCTCCTCCCCAGATGGAAGAACTATCTTTAATCTTTTATCCCTGGCACATGAAACAGTGCTTACTTAATATTTACCGCACAAATGTTCATTAGGCAATCTCCCTCAAAAAAATTATGTATTCACCTGTGCCTCAGAGAGTCATTTAATAATCCTATAAATAATCCAAACTCCACACCAGGCACTTGTGACACTCATAAACTCTTTCCTAAAAAAAAAAGAGGATGGTAACCTATTTTAGTTTGGCTTCTTAACTTGAGAAAAGCTGCAGTCATTTGGAAGTTTAGACACTTAAGATTTTGATTCTGAGAGATTGAGGAATTTCCCTCAGAATTCTCCAAAGGGAAGAAGGAGGCAGGCATGATGAGCCTGACTACACGACAAAAATCTTGGTCTTTGCAAGGGACAGACTGACTGTGAACTCTATAACACTGTGTTTATCATTTGACTTTACCTTGGACCAGCCTAGGTAAACTAAGGTCTGGCTGTAAATAAAAACAGAATGAGCAATTTTATTAAAATAGTGGAGAATGTGTCTCACCTTTGGCATGTAATGCCAAACATGCGTTGCTTATGCCTCAAACATGTGTTGCTTATGCCTCCACAATCTAAAGTTTTTAATAAAATCGCTCATTCTATAGTCAAGCTCATCGAGTTGGGAATCTCCAACACACGTAAAATGATGGGCCTGGAAAAGATGTTCATCCAGATAATCCAGGTCTCATCCAGATCTAACATTCCCCTTCTATCCAACTGGATTTACAAATGAAGGTCAAGGGGCCCCAGAAGTATAAATAAGTTCTTTTTCTTTCCAAGGAACCCTCTGAATGTGCATCTGCTGTGGGAAAGCACAACAGAATCTTTGTTCTGCCAACCAGGGATGTGCACAGTGACTCACTCCAAAAATGACTCCAAGTACAATGGTGCTCTCTCGCCAATTCAGAAAAAAACTCTGCAAGTGTACATTTGAAGACCATTTTTCTAAATTCTGTAACAGATTAATAAATGGTTATACTAAATTTTACATTTTTTAAATTCCCAGCTCCTTCTTTAACTTTTTAATAACCAAAAATACCTAGTTCTAAAACAAAACAAAACAAAACAAAAAAACTTCTTCTAAGTAGGCAATTACGTTAACACCTAGCAGAGCATGAAAATTTGCCCAGACGTTTTGAATCATCTGGTGAAAGAACATAAACAGTTAAAATGGGCATTAATCTATATTTTTCTGTGATGTTCCCTGCAAATGTGTTTTGAAGCCATGCAGAAAAGGAATCTTTCTTTCAAGATATTACTAAGTTTCCTCCATCTGAATTGTCTCTCAAGAACTGCCAAGTAAAACACTGTTTATGGCAACTCTACTTTATTCTTAATGAGAATAGTAATAGCACATTTTGCCATTTTGCCAAACTTCATCAAGCCTTTTTATCTGAACACTTTAAATATTAGACCAGTAGAAATCACTACTAGAATAGTAAAGGAACAGTATTTTTCACATTGCTTTTTTTTTTTTTTTTTTTTTGTGAGACAGAGTTTCACTCTTGTTGCCCAGGCTGGAGTGCACAATGGTACAATCTTGGCTCACCGCAACCTCCGCCTCTAGGGTTCAAGCGACTCTTCTGCCTCGGCCTCCCAAGTAGATGGGATTACAGGCATGCACCACCACGCCCGGCTAATTTTGTATTTTTAGTACAGAGGAGGTTTCTCCATGTCGGTCAGGCTGGTTTCGAACTCCTGACCTCAGGGGATCTGCCCGCCTCGGCCTCCCAAAGTGCTGGGATTACAGGCGTGAGCCACTGCGCCCGGCCTTGATTTTCTTTTTAAAGTCACTTACTCTACAAATATTTAGATATCTACTATGTACCAAGTACTGTGTAATGAACACTGGGAGATAAGGGTACACTCACTGTCTTCAAGGAGCTTACAATCAGAGAGAAATATGCAAGTAATCATAACACAGCACAGTAATTACTACGGTGGAAGAAGGCGCAAAGTATCTAGGAACACAGAGGAGTGGAAAAGTGAGGAAGGAAGGATGCACAATTCTGCAAATGAGCACTAGAGCTTTCAGTGAAGAATCAGAATGTACCAGGCCAGAGGATGGTTTTCCAGACAGAGAAAATAGTCAGCTAATATGTAGGCTATCATTTACTGTTTATTATCAAGATACTTTGCTAATTATTTCACATATATTATCTCATTTGGTCCACACAAGAATCCCAAAAAGATATTCAATCCTAGAGAAGTTAGATAACTTGCCTATGGTCAAATTCTCAGAACTGGAGTCCAGATTTGAAGTAGGCTTGTCCAAATGCAAAATTCAAAGGCCAGTGACACCGTTACCATACTGTTCCCATCCTATGCAATGCACAGAAACAGAAGAGATTTTAGTGTCAGGATATAAAGGATAGATAATCAGATGACTAGCAAGGAAAGCCCCAAGAGAGGAGGTTAAAAGTCCAATACAAAGGCAAAATGCAAAGAACCAAGGTAGCTTCATAGTCCTCTTGGCTGCCAGAAAGAATACTTACAATGAGCTGGGCATGGTGGTATACACCTGTACTCCCAGCTACTTGGGAAAATTGCTTGAGCCCAGGGGCTGGAGGCCAACCTGGGCAACACAGCAAGACCTTGTCTTTAAAAACAAAACAAACAAACAAACAAACAAACAAAAACACTCCACTCAAATTAAGTTCAAAGGCACAAAGAAAAAAATCTGCAATGACAGAACCAGAAGAGTGGTTTCCTTTGGGAGACTGAGAAGGAAAAAGGGGAAATTTCTGGAGTGCTGGTAATATTCTTTATCTGTATTCTGTATCATGATACACACAGTAAAATATGTTTGTAAAAATTAATCTGGCAATGGCTGGGCGCAGTTGCTCACGCCTGTAATCCCAGCACTTTGGGAGGTCGAGGCGGGCAGATCACTTGAGGTCGGGAGTTCGAGACCAGCCTGACCAACAAGGAGAAACCCCGTCTCTACTAAAAATACAAAAAGTAGCCGGGCATGGGTGCAGTGGCTCACACCTGTAATCCCAGCACTTTGGGAGGCCGAGGCGGGCAGATCATGAGGTCAGCAGTTCGAGACCAGCCTGGCCAACATGGTGTAACTCTGTCTCTACTAAAAATACAAAAATCAGCCAGGTGTGGTAGCAGGCATCTGTAATCCCAGCTACTTGGGATGCTGAGGCAGGAGAATCCCTTGAACCCGGGAGGCAGAGGTTGCGGTGAGCTGAGATTGTGCCACTGCACTCCAGCCTGGGAGACAAGAGAGAAACTCCGTCTCAAAAAACAAACAAACAAACAAAACAAATTAATCATCTGCCAATGTATATTTAGGGCATATGGACTTTATGTTTTATAGTTCATTTCAAAGTTTTTCAAAAAAGTCTGGGGGAGGAGGAGAAATTATCTTTCCAACCAGTGACCAGGTTGGGCCAATTCTACCTCCTTAATACCTCACTATCCCACTTAACTGCTGCCACCACTGGGTCCAGGACCTTATCTCACACCTGAACTACTGTATTTGTTTCTAACAACAAAACATACTTCTTGGTGGCTGGGCACGGTGGCTCACACCTGTAATCCCAGCATTTTGGGAGGCCGAGGTGGGTGGATCACGAGGTCGGGAGATCGAGACCATCCTGGCTAACATGGTGAAACCCCGTCTCTACTAAAAATACAAAAAAATTAGCCAGGCATGGTGGCGAGCGGCAGTAGTCCCAGCTACTCGGGAGGCTGAGACAAGAGAATTGTGTGAACCCGGGAGGTGGAGCTTGCAGTCAGCCGAGATAGCGCCACTGCGCTCCAGCCTGGGTGACAGAGACTCCGTCTCAAAAAAAAAAAAAAAACCATACTTCTTGGTTTCCATATTATCTTAGTATAATCACTAGTAGTCTTACCTTTCACATGGAAAATATCCCAGTTTGGATAAAATACATGTCCAGTCTACCTGTATACCTATAAGCCTCCCTGTCTCTAGTCTGCTCCTCCCCACTCAATTACATCTCCAAAATGCTCACATAGTAGTCTTTATAAAACTGATCTTATTTCCAGGCTTTAAACCCTGCAACGGTTCTTTCTCCTTTATTTATAAGATGGAGTCCAAATTTCTGAAATTATCCAAACCCTGCTAGTACGTCCAGCTTCATCATTAAACATCTCACATCATGTACCATCATCCCCAAACATCCTAGACATTAGCCCCAGTGTTCTGCAACCTTTTTTTCATTTTCATCCCCTCCCAAAGAACCTTTCAGACAATTTTTCGTAAGCACTGCCCCATCTCTAATTAAATACTAAAGAATAAGACACTGTCAGTTTAGGGCTGAGTTTTAGAGGGCCACAAACCATACCAATAGCTGTGATTTTTTTTCCCACTCCCATAAAAGGCAATTTTTGCATCTTTGGGAGCGATATCACTTCCAACGGGAATGCCTGCTCTAGACTTACAGATTGGCTTCTTATTCTACAAGTATACATGGCTTGCCATCATCAGTACTTTTGCTCCTGCCTCTCTGCTTGGAATGACCTCTCTTGATCATCCAGAAATCAATTCATGACATTTAACACTGGGAATTCAATGCTCCCCCATGAAGCTTGTTCCCTTCCCCATCTTGCAATCCCAAAGCCCTACTCATACCTTTGTCACTAATAACTAAAACATTTATTACATTTATGTTTTCTTATGTCTCCCAAGTCATTGATGAATAGGGACCATGTCTAACTCCTCTCTACAACCTTGGTTTTTAATATATCAGATATATTATTTCTTAAATGAATGTACAAATTAATGTTATCATCTGGGTGAGGTAACCATATCTCAGTTTAAGCGGGACAGTCCCTCTTTAACCTGTTACTCTGAAATAAATATTAACAGCTTCTCTTTTAATTCACAAAAATGATTTGAACAACATATTGTTAATCTATACCTAGGAAATATAGGAAATAAAATTCTGAGCAAGAGTAGAACATAATCAGATCTGAGAGGAAGATCACTCTAGCAGCAAGACTCAATGACTCAAGCAATAATTTGGGGGTAGAAACAATAAAACAGACTGAATTAGAGTAGTAAAACTTGTAAGAAAAGGGCAAATAAAAAGATTCAGGGGACAAAGTTTAGTGGCAAGTTGCATCTATGAGGAATGAAGAGAAATAATACAAATTCCTAGAGACAGCAACTCGGCCAGCTGCCAACAGATTATGAAGGAAGAGGAATAATGATGGCTCAATTTAGGACAAGTGGTTGAAGAACCTGGAGGACAAGATGGTTGATATATGAAGCTGAAGCACATAAAATTTAGGGGATAAGTTGGAAAACATAATCCTAGGAGGCATTAGCCTATAACAACTAACTGAAACCAAGCTGCTGAGTAAGACTGTCCAAGAAACAAAAAGTTAGCAGTTCCAATGAATACGAAGTGCTACCTTTTTAACATATGATGACTTTACAAAATGTATTTCCAAATTTTGGCTTGTAAAATATTTATTCATCATTTAATATGTGCAAATCATGGCATTAAGCACTGAGAGGGAAATAAACATTAAGGGAAATATAAGGAGTTCATTCTGAAGTAAAAAAAGGAACGTTATAAAGAATGGTATTAAATGTGGATTGAGCTGAGAAACAGCCAAGTTCAAGGTCTAATTATGACTGTGGCTTCTTTAAGGAATTCTGGCATAATGACGCAAAGAAGTACAGGCATACTCTGTTTTATTGTGCTTGGCTGGTATTGTGGGGTTGTTTTCTTTTTTTTTAAATACAAATTGAAGGTTCATGACAACCCTGCATCAAGCAAGTCCAACAGCACCATTTTTTTCAACAGCACATGCTCACTTCATGTCTCCGTGTCACATTTTGGTAATTCTCACAACATTTCAAACTTTTTCATTATATTTGCTATGGTGGCCTGTGATCAGCAATCTTTCATGTTACTACTGTAATTGTTTTGGGGCACCACAAACTGTGCCCATGTAAGATGGCAAACGTAACTGATGTATGTGTTCCAACTGTTCCACTGGCTGTTCCACCTTCTCTATCTCCCTCTCTTGGGGCCTCCCTATTCCCTGAGACATAACAATACGGAAATTAGGCCAATTAATAACCCTACAATGGCCCCTAAGTGTTCAAGTGAAAAGAGTCACCTATCTCTCACTTTAAATCAAAAGCTAGAAATGATTAAACTTAGGAAGGCTAACAACGGCCCAAAGCCAGGCCTCTTGCACCACACAGTTAGCCATGTTGTGAATGCAAAGAAAAGGCACATGGAGAAAATTAAAAGTGCTACTTTAGTGAACAAAAAAATGATTTAAAAAAAAAAAGTGAAAAAGTCTTATTGCTGATATGGAGAAAGTTTGAGTGGTCTAGATAAACCATCAAACCAGCCACAACAGTCCCTTAAGCCAAAACCTAATCCACAGCAAGGCCCTAACTTTTCAATTCTAAAAAGGTTGAGAGATGAGATGGCTGCAGAAGAAAAGTTTGAAGCTGGTGGAAGTTGGTTCATGAAGTTTACGAAAAAAAGCCACCTCCACTAACATAAAAAGTAAGTTATCCTGAAGATCTAGCTAAGATAATTAATGAAGGTGGCTACACTAAAAATCAGATTTTTAATGTAGACAAAACAGCCTTATATCAGAAGAAGATGCCACCTAAGACTTCCATAACTAGAGAGGAGAAATCAATGCCTGGCTTCAAAGCTTCAAAGGACAGGCTGACTCCTGTTAGAGGATAATGCAGCTGGTGACTTTAAGTTGAAGCCAATGATCATTTACCATTCTGAAAACCCTAAGGCCCTTAAGAATTATGTTAAATCTATTCTGCCTGTGCTCAGTAAATAAACAACAAAGCCTAAATGACAGCACGTTTGTTTACAGTATGGGTTAATGAATATTTTAAGTCCACTGATGAGACCCACTGCTCAGAAAAAAAGATTCATTTCAAAATACTACTACTCACTGACAATGCATCTTGTCACTCAAGAGCTCAGATGGAGGTACACAAGGAGATTAGTGATTTTTTTCAGGCCTGCTAATACAACATCCATTCTGTGGCCCATGGATCAAGGAAAAGTTTCAACCTTCAAGTCTTGTTATTTAAGAAACACATTTCATAAAGCTACAGCTGACATAGACAGTGATTCCCTAACAGATCTGTGAAAAGAAAATTGAAAACTGTCTTGAAATGATTCATCATTCCAGATGCCATTAAAACCATCTGTGGGCCAGGCATGGTGACTCACGCCTGTAATCCCAACACTTTGGGAGGCTGAGGTGGGAGGATCACTTGAGCCTAGGAGTTCAAGACCAGTCCAGGCAATGTATTGAGACTATCACTTAAAAGAAAAAAAAAATTGTGAAGCATGGGAGGAGGTCAAAATATCAACACTAACAGGAGTTTGAAAGAGGTTGAATCCAACCTTTATGAATGACTTTGAAGGGTACAACACTTCAGTGAAGGAAGCAACTGCATGTGTGGTAGAAATAGCAAGAGAACTAGAATTAGAAATAGAGCCTGGGCTGGCTCCCAGCACTTTGGGAGGCTAAGGTGGGAGGATTGCTTGGGCCCAGGAGTTCAAGATCAACCTGGGCAACATAGCAAGGCCTCGTCTCTACAAAAAAAAAAAAAAAATCAGCCACGCATGATGGCATGCACCTGTAGTACCAGCTACTCAGGAGGCTGAGGTGGGGTCACTTGAGCCTGGGAAGTAGAGGCTGCAGTGGGCTGTGATTACGCCACTGCACTCCAACCTGGGCAACAGAATGAGATCTTGTCTCAAAGAAAAAGAAAAAAAAAAAAAAGGAAAGAAAAAAAAAAGAAATGAAGATGGAGCCTGAAGGTGTGACTAAATTGCTGCAATCTCATGATAAAACTTGAGTAGATGAGAAGCTGCCTCTTATGCATTAGTAAAAAAAGTGGTTTCTTGAGACAACCTGCTCCTGGTGAAGATGATGTACATATTGTTCAAATGACAACAAAGAATTTAGAATACCACATAAGCTTAAGCTTAGTTGATAAAGCAGCAGCAGAATTTGGGAGGACTGACACCAATTTTGAAAGAAGTTACTGTAGGTAAAATGCTATCAAACAGCATCACATGCTAAAGAGAAATCTTTCATGAAAGAAAGTCAATTGATGTGGCAAACTTCATTGTCTTATTTTAAGAAACTGTCACAGCCACCCCAATCTTCGGCAACTACCACCCTGATTGGTCAGCAGCAGCTATCAACACTAAGGCAAGACCCTCCACCAGCTAAAAGATGACAACTAGCTGAAGGCTCAGATGACTGGTTAGTATTTTTTAGCAATAAAGTATTTTTAAATTAAGGCATATATCTTTTTTTAGACATAAGGCTATCACACACAATAAACTACTATATGTGTAAACAACTTTTATGTGCACTAGGAAATAAAATTCACGTGACTCACTTTATTGGGATATTGGCTTTACTGCAGTAGTCTGGAACCAAACCTGCAGTATCTGGGAGGTATGTCTGTACCTTAACAGTTTTTGTTGTTTTAGTGCACTTAATTGTCCATGGAGTATTTAAGTCTGAAATTTTCCATAAGAATATCTTTGCAAATTGAGAAAGAACTAGCTCAGGAAAGACAATGTTCTGTGGAAGCTGAATCTATAAGTAGGAGAAATCTCTCACACACACACTGTGTTAGAAAGATATCTAAATGGCACACTTTACAACATGTGTCTGTACTTGATGTCTGGCTCACTAGGATTATGCCTGAGTTGATAGTTTCACCTAAGGACGACAGATGGTTCAAAATAAAGGAACCATTCATTTTGTCCCAGAAACACAAGGAGTTCTTTACTCATTATTTACTCATCAATTACACGATGCAAACAAATGATTTCAACATACTAATTCTCATCCCTTTGTATATTTTTCACAACGCTTTGCACCCAGTAGGTATTCAAGGAAAAATAAGCCAAACAAATAATTTTATCCCCTTCTATTTTACAGCTTATTAATTTGGCTTCTAGGGCACCACCACTCTCTCGGTTTTTCTCCTACTGCACTGTTTGCTTCCACTCATTCTCCTTTGCTGATTTCTACTCTTCTCCCCGACCTTATACTGATCTCATGTCCCATGGTACTCACTGTCCTTGGTCCTCTTCTATTCTCTACGTACACTCACTACTTGGTAATTTTACCCAGTCTCATGACTTTCAATATCTATAAACTGATGACTATAAAATTGTTATCTCCAGCTCAGGCTTCTTAGTAATACAAATTTGTATATGCAACCTCTTACTCATTTCTAACAGACATTTCAAACTTGACATGTTCAAAACTGAATTTCTGATCTTGCCCCTAAAACCTACTCCTCCTGCAGCTTTTCCCATCTCGCTGATGGCAGCTCAAACCTCTCTGACAATAACTCCAACACTCCAGTTATTTAGGCCAAAAACCTTGAAGTCATGCTTGATTCTTCTCTTTTCCTCAAGGTCCACATCTGATCTATTAGCAAATCCTGTTGGCTAACCCTACAAAATATTTCTAAAACTTAACCACTTCTCACCACTTCCATTACTATCACTATCACTTTAGTCAGAGTGACCATCATCTCTAACCTGATTTTATGCAATAACAGCCGTTAACCTCCTGCTTTTGCCCTTAAACACCTACAGTCTATTCTCAACACAGCAGCCAGGAGACTACCCAGTAAGGTAGTCAGGTGTAGTGGCACATGCCTGTAGTTCCAGCTACTTGGGAGGTTGAAGCAGGAGAATCTGTTGAGCCCAGAAATTAGTGACCAGACTGGGCAATATAGTGAGACCCTCTTTAAAAACAAAAAGGTAGGCCAGGCGTGGTGGCTCACGCCTGTAATCCCAGCACTTTGGGAGGCCAAGGCGGGCAGATCACGAGGACAAGAGATTGAGGCCATCCTGGCTAACACGGTGAAACCCCATCTCTACTAAAAACACAAAAAATTAGCCGGGCGTGTTGGCACACACCTGTAGTCCCAGCTACTCAGGAGGCTGAGGCAGGAGAATCGCTTGATCTCAGGTGGCAGAGATTGCAGTGAGCCCAGACTGCACCACTGCACTCCAGCCTGGGTGACAGAGCAAGACTCTGTCTCAAAAAAAAAAAAAAAAAAAAAGGTTAAGTAGGTCAATATCACTCCTCTGCTTCAAAATCTTTCAGTGCTCCCCCTCACTGAAAAGTCAAATAGGATGTGCCCTATGCTATGCATCATTATCTCCACTCCTCCTTCATCTCTTACTACTCTCACACCTGTTCACCCTTCTCCAGTCACACAAAGCTGCTTGCTATTTCTGGAATGCATCAAAACATGCTCTCAACATAGGGCCTTTGCAACGATTGCTCCCTTTGCTGGGAAAGCACTTTCTCCATATACCCCTATAGTTAATGCCATCACATGCATCAAGTCTTTGATCAAAAATCATCTTCTCAACCAAGTTAAACGAACCACCTTATTTAAACTGCAACCCAGCCCTTGCCCCTTGCTTTCAATCCCTCTTACTCTGCTCTTTTCTTTTCTAGCAATTATAAGCTACATATTATGTAACTTACCTTTTAGTATATTCATTATCTGCCTTCCCCACTCTTCATGCTATCAGAATGTAAGTCTTACTAGGGCAGACCTGCTTTGTTTATGGATACAACATAGTGCACAGACTAGTGCCTTCAGCTGCTAGACTCCCAATAAGCAACTATAGAGCTAATATATTCATAATAGACCCTTGGGAGTCCAGTAAAAGGACCTTCTGAAAACAGAAATGAACTTGGGAGAATTTTGTCAAATTATTTATCACAAACAAATCATCACTAGGATTCAGATTTCCTTCTTCATACTTCTTTACCCCAAACAAATTCTACACTCATTCAAAAGCACTACCAATGCATCAGTTAACCTCTTATGCTGCTAGATGTCAGGGCTACATTCTGTGTACTGTGGGCAGCTGTTTAGCATTCCCTTGAACAATGCTTCTGTTCCAATTAAGCACAATAAAGTACTTAACACAGCACACAGTGGCCAACATAACTTTATGAACAGTTTAGAAAATTTCCTAAGGCTCAAAAATAGGCAATTTCAGCCAGGCGCGGGGCTCACACCTATAATCCCAGCACTTTGGGAGGCCGAGGCGAGCGGATCATGATGTCAGGAGTTCAAGACAAGCCTGGCCAACATGGTGAAATCCCGTCTCTACTAAAAATACAAAAATTAGCTGGGCATAGTGGCGTGTGCCTGTAATCTCAGCTACTCGGGAGGGTGAGGCAGAACTACTTGAACCGGGACCCAGGAGGCGGAGGTTGCAGTGAGCAGAGATCGTGCCACTGCACTCCAGCCTGGGCTATAGAGGGAGACTTTGTCTCAAAAAAAATAAAATAGGCAATTTCAAAATAAATAATTCTGCTGTTAAAGAGCAGTAGGATTTTTCCATTAAAATGTGAATTTAGTAGCACAAGTAATGTTGAAAATTAAAAGCAGCCGGGCAACTTGGCTCACACCTGTAATTCCAGCACTTTGGGAGGCCAACGCGGGCAGATCACTTGAGGTCATGAGTTTGAGACCACCCTGGGCAATATGGTGCAACCCCGTCTCTACTAAAAATACAAAAAATTAGCCGGGCGTGGTGGCGCCTGCCTGTAATCCCAGCTACTCCGGAGGCTGAGGCAGAAAAATCGCTTGAACCCGGGAGGTAAAGGTTGTAGTGAGCCAATATCGCGCCATTGCACTCCAGCCTGGGTGACAGAGTGAGACTGTTTCAAATAAAAAATAAAATAACATTAAATTAAATTAAATTGAAACCTGCAATACACATCGTAAGCCTTGTATAATACTTTCCAATGCTATAAAGGCTGTAAGATAATTCGCCTACTGAAATTCATAAATCAGCTCACATTGACTTCAAGAATCATCATAAGGAAACAAACACTCATCGAATTATAAATGTATATCTCAAAAAGAGAACTCTGGAAAGTGGTAGAATTTGTGTTGTTCCTATGCAAACATCAGGATCTTCAATAACATAATTTGACCTATCATGGCTTCCGTTGTGACCTGAATAATTGTCACGACCCAAAAGGTCAGCCCAACGTTACTGAGACTCAGTATGCAAAACACTACATATCTGAAAAACTCCAAAGTGAAGAATTAACCAAAGCATTTCATTTCATTTACTGCAACTTTAAACAAAACAATCCAATAATCCACTCACACTGTTTAGTGTTTTGTTTAGAAAATATGTCCCACTTGTTATAGAAACCTCCAAATCAAGGAAAACCTTCCCCAAAACCTTAGCATTCTACCGGGATAAGCAAAGCTAACAGGTTTTAGTTATATGCCTGAAAACTAGCCTTCATGAAGGTCGAATGAAAAATCTTTTAAGCTGATGCCATAACTGTTAACTCGACACAGCAAATTTTGGATCCAAGTACAAAATACTGTAAAATTTCCCAGTGACAGTCTGAAAAAGTACCTACAGTGGTGTTCTTTAAACATGCATCATCTACTACAGAATTCACCATTTGACTGGATGTAAACTTTTAAACTAACTTTGAAAACTTTATCTTTTTTTTAGGCAACTGTACAATATTTCAGAGACCTTTAAAGAAAAACTATTTCTAAATTACATGGCTGAGATACTTCCCTTACAATTTCCATCTCGTTTTTCATAGTCTACTTAAACGAATGGGCATCTAACTGCGAAACTCATATTACCCAACTCAGAAAATACGACTTAGTAATGGTGCTTTCTTAACGACACTCAGAAGCCCCCGGCAAGGACGGGTACGCGGGTTAAGACCGCATCACAGGCAGGAAGGGCGGTCGGCACCCTGCTGGCGACAAGGGCCTGGGTCAGGGAAGAGACTCAAGCGAACAGATTCCCAGTAGCAGGTGCGAGACTCTGGCAAGAGGGCAGTCGCCGCGGATTTCGGACAGACAGGAGGATGCTGTCTACTGGACTGTGAGACGCACATAAAGGTCAACCAGCCTCACCTCGGGAGTCCGCTCGGGTGGCTTCTTCCTCAACGCCTGCCTAGCGCCAGGGTCCACGGGTGAGTTCATGGCCACGGCCCGGGTACTCCGCAGCCTGCCCTTAGCAGCCCACGCCACAGTTCATTCACACTAGGTAGCGGGTGCGGTACCTTTCCCCCGCCCCAAGGAGGGAACTTCGCGCCGTAACAAGGTCCGAACTCTAGCAAACAACCCTTCGCAACGCCCGCCTAAGGCCTCTACCCACGCGCGACTGGCCGGAGACAAGTCTGCGCGGGGGCGGGGGAGAGTAAGTGCGCATGCGCAGCACGCACGCGCACGCTAAGAAACGCCCAAGGGAGTAACTCCACTGTGACGTTAAAATTGGGGCGGTGCGAGTAAGTCGTTTCCTGCTGTCGTCGTGAGATTTAAAGACACCTCGCGAGACCTCACCTAAATCAGTCACGGGGTCTGCCTTGGCGTTGTGGTTCCGTCTTCTCCATCCGTTGGAGACACCGGAAACGCGCTGAGGACCTGAGCAAAAATAGCATTTTGGGGCAGAACCGTGGGGAGGCGTTCTGACTGGAGAGAACTGTTGTGCCCAAATCCGGAAGCCCAGGGTGTGGCCAAGTCCGGCTTTGCGCTCTCCTCTGCAACTTCTACTGCCGACTTTGAATATGCGGAAGTAGAAGCCGCCATTCGGCAAAGAAGGAATTCCACGCACACCTCATATCTCTTTAAATAAAACGAGATCTCTTGTGAAAGCTGCCGACAGAGAAGTGCTTGATCTATTCGAAACGGACGTCCTGAGACCAGGGCAGAGAAAGCAAACATTCACGGCCAGGATAGGCAGCCGGTGCCGCGGCCAGCTCACGATTACCTTTGAGTCAAAAAACTAGATTTAGACTGCGTTCTTGTAACTAAATGCCCGGGGCAGCCCTCCCTCAGGCAACTGCGTTTAGGGTTGGGACTCGAGTGGCAACTTTTGCAATACTTTTTACATTCTAGTCTGCTTCCCAACAGACCGAATAAAGCCAGTTTTGTTTCACTGCTCCCTTGGTAAGAAAAACAGACCACCCTTAGGAGCAGCCAGAGAGCTGCTGAGGCCGTTTCAACAATAAGCTCACTGACAATTCCAGAATCCATCGTTCTAGGATACTCCTTACCCTTTCTCATAAGTTCATAGGTAACTAACTTTGGCGACACCACCTTTCCACTGAATTTTAAGCTCCTTGATGGCTGTAACTACATCTAGGTACACCTTGGTATTTCTCACAGCAGTTAGCATAGTTCACTAAATAACAAGGTGATTTATGATTATGACATGCTTTCCAATTAATGACTGCTTCACAGTAATTTTAATGACGTAATAAGAGTTAAAATTATATTTGAAAACAATGAGAGTTCAGGCTACAACACCGTTTCTGGGACCGGCAATGACTTAAGGACTGTTTTCTGTTGGTCCTGGGGCTTGCCCAAACTGGGAGTTTACAACATACTATTAGCATTTCTCTTTTTCAGGTATAGATCAAAAACTTTACCAGCGAAGTGTGGCATAGCCATTGTAGAAATAAAGTAATTGTGGAAAAAATCACAGGATGTTGCAGACGATCCGTTTTCCTCATTTTTTGTACAAATATAACCTCTCAAAGATCTGCCCAGGATCACAAACAAAAGTTAACCCTTCCATTCTTCAAGGATCAATTTTCAGAGTCACATCAATATTTTGAAAGAGGGAGAAAGAACTATAAAGCATGATCACCATGAACTTGAACTTTAGGGGCAAACAGACCTAGAATTTGTGTCTCTAATATTAGACCTCTTCTAGTTAAGTGACTTGAAGTTATTTAACATCTCTGAACTTCATTTTCCTTATGTTAAATGGGAATATAGTAAAGGACCTATTGCTTCAGAATTTTCTTAAGATTACGCGAGAAAATTCACATGAAGCACTTAGTATGTTGCCTTCATTTTCCTTATGTTAAATGGGAATATAGTAAAGGACCTATTGTTTCAGAATTTTCTTAAGATTAAGTGAGAAAATTCACATGAAGCACTTAGTATGTCACATGAAGCACTTAGTAAGATTACGTGAGAAAACTCACGTGAAGCACTTAAGCACTTAGTATGAAGCACTTAGTATGAGAAAATTCACATGAAGCACTTAGTATGCTGCACAATCCGAGCACTCCTTATTATTTCCATTATTTTGCCTCTAGGAAGTGATTTTTTTTTTTTTTTTTTTTGAGACGGAGTTTTTCTCTTGTTGCCCAGGCTGGAGAGCAATGGCGCGACCTCGGCTCACTGCAATGTCCCTTGAACTACTCGGGAGTTCAAGGGATTCTCCTGTCTCAGCCTCCTGAGTAGCTGGGATTACAGGCGCCCGCCACCACGCCCGGCTAATTTTTGTATTTTTAGTAGAAATGGGGTTTCACCATATTGGCCAGGCTGGTCTTGAACTCCTGACCTCAAGTGATCCACTCAATTTGGCCTCCCAAAGTGCTGGGATTATAGGCGTGAGCCCCCGCTCCCGGCCTGGGAAGTGATTCCTCTAAAGTAGAAATTCAACTTTGAATAATTGAATAGATTTTTTTAATACAGTTTTTTTTCACTTATAACAATTCAGAAACACATTTAAGTATTTGTGAAGATGTGGAGCAAGAGGAACTCAAACTGCTGGTTAAGTGCAAGTTGGGAAGTCACTTTTGGCAAAAAAAAAAAAAAAAAGTAATAAAGTTGAAACATAACACACCTTATGACAGCAAGTCCTTTCTTTGATATATGCCCTATAGCAGCAGTCCCCAACGTTTTATGGCACCAGGGACTGGTTTTGTGAAAGACAAATTCTCTATAGGGGTTAGGGGGAGGGTTTCAGTATGGAACTGTTCCAACTCACATCATCAGGCATTATTAGATTCTCATAAGGAGCATGCAGCCTAGAGCCCTCACATGTGCAGTTCATGATAGTGTTCCTGTTCCTAGAGAATCTAATGCCCCTGCTGATCTGACAGGCGGAGCTCAGGCAGTTATGCTTGCTTACCTCCTGCTGTGCGGCTGCTTCCTAACAGGCCATGAACCAGTACCGGCCTGGGGACTGGGGACTGGGGACTGGGGACCCCTGCCCTATTAATAGAAAAGATGGACAAAAATGTTCCTTATTCATAGAAGCCAAAAACTGGAAATAACCCAAATATCCATCAATACTAGAAGGGATAAATTGTAAAATATTCATCCACAATGGCACATAGCTCCATAGCACATAGTGATGATTCTCCAACATAATGTTGAGAGAGAAAAAGCAAAACAAAATACAGAGTATAATTACACAGACAGAGTTTAAACACAAGCAAAATTAGGTCTTTTAGGGATGCAAATACAGGGTAAAATAATAAAGAGAAAGCAAGGAAATGAAGTCAGGTTGGTAGTTACAAAAGTGAGAAGGTAGAGAATTATGATCAGGATAGGGCACATGGAGGAGGGGGCTTCTGGGATGCTGAAAATGATCTACTTATTGGCCTTAGTGATGGTTATATGAGTATATATTTACTCTGTTTTCTGTATATATTTCACAAGAGAAAGTATGCAAAAATAATTAGGCTTTCTCATTAGGCAGCAACAGTAAAAATTACATTAATATACATGGTGACTATCCATAACTAAATTTAAGTATACATTTTCAAAATCTATCTTGTCCTTTACTATCTTGTATTATATTGTTATATACAGAGAAAAGTGAGGAGAGACAGTAAAGTTCTAATAGCTATTTTCAGACAAAAGGCAACCTCCAGGACAGGATTCACCAGCATTAACTTGTATCTGAAAGAAACAATGCAAGTAATTTATTAAATTGTGGGAAAATAAGGACTTTTTAATTTGCTTAACTATTTATTTTTGTTATACTTACTACTACCTGACAGCACATTACATATGAGTAACATGTATATGTATTTAATTTTTTTTGGTCTATCCCCTCCACCAAAAGGAAAATATGTAAACTCTATGAAAACAGAAATAATGTATTATTGGCATATCCCTAGTATCCAAACCTATCCCTAGCACATCATAGGTGTTGAATAAATATTTGCTGAATGACCAAGTGCAATTAAGGACTAACTTATTATGAGGGCATTTTGCTATTAAGAGAGGTACTTGAATATCATGAAGCTGCTCAAGAGTGAAAAAAAAATTTTTTTTAAACAGAGGTACTTGATTGCTCTCCAGTGACAAAGATCATCTCTGGTTACATAGCTGTTGCATTACAAAACTGAATGCTCAATAAACAGACATAATCATATGTCCATCTTTCCAGAATAACTGCAAACCAACAAAAATGGGGTAAAAAGCTCAGGTTTTAACAGTACCTGAAATGAAGTAAGGAACTGAGATTTGGAGTATGCTAGAGATTGAGTCACTACTATGGACAAATAAGAGCTTTTACTGACTCAAATCCAGAAGGTCAGTTGTTATCATTGAATCAGAATCTCTGGTGGTGGGAGTATAGGAGCTCATATTTTTCAAAAGCTACCCCAGGTGCTTCCAATATGCAACCAAGTTTGAGAACCACTTTAAACTATAATAACTGTGGTTCTAAACTAGTCTGATCCATCTTTAACCCCAGCCATTGTACCACACTAAAGAAGGACATTGACTTGTGAGTGCTAGACCAAATATGCCCAAGAATGATATCACAAGATTCTTACGGAAATACCTTCCCTGTACTTAACACATTTATCAAGAGTTTCGTCCTTCCCCTTGAGACAATGTAGGAAAGCAATACTGCCTTTATCATTAATTTGAATTTGTGCACTGAGGTAAATGTAAGGACTGTCGTTATTAAGACAGCCACTTGAAAAGGAAGGAAGCTCAAGCCTCTTTAACTTAATACTCTCCATAGAGTAAATACAGGTGTATTTGTGGGATGTCTAAGAAGACTGCGTTAACCCAGACAGAGGTGTCTGCAATCTGATGAAGGGATCAGTCTAGATTCAGGTTCACCAGAAACAAAGTTAGTGTTAAAAGAAAGATAAGAAGAACTAGTCACCTGACTATTGGAAGAGAGAGGGTAACTGAGCACATGCTTTAAGACCAAAAGGACACTAAAGTTCTCCCGATAAATAATGGGTGGGAACATATTCTGTTTTGGACTGCTTGTATTTTTGGGGGGGGGGCGGGGAGGGGAAGTCTCAACTAATCTTAAATTTAGAGCAAACAGGGCAAACCCAGTCTGCAGGATGGAACAAAAACAGGGAGCACTACACTCCCCTGTGCCCCCCCATTTCTATCTGCCTAAGCAGTTCCCACTCACAGCTACAATTTTCCAGCCCCACCTTGCACCTTCAGTTTAGGTTTGGTCCTACTTGCCACCCTACCCCACCTTGCATATTGGCAAAGACAAATGAAGAAATCCCGGATATCTTTACAATACAGCTGTCACCACATAGTAGTTGAGAAAACATTCTGGTCTGAGAGACAAGATGAACACACAGGAAAGACTGTGACTTCAGATAATCACATTAAAGTCTCTGTATCTCCTTTTCTCACTAGCAAAAATCTTCTCATAAACGTTACCAATTTTAAACCTCTAAAATAGCTGACAGCTGTTTCCCAAATACTTGAGACTTCTCTGCTTTGAAACAGTTCACTTACTCTCTTTGGTTAAATGTAAGAGTGATAATATGTAGTATTATATGAAAACAGGTACCTCAAAAAGCCCCTGGTCTAGTCCCGCCCCCAGGACTAACTCTGCCCAGATCAACCTAGCCTGAGCAAGACAGCTTACCAATAAGCCTACTCACTGATGAATCACTGCTATAGAGCAGGCACAAAGCTGATTTCCCTACAATACAGATGAAAACAATAGACTTGCTCAGTCACTTGCAAATCAGTGAACAAAGAGGATTAAAACCCAAACTAATCAGCCAATTTTTTGTAAAGTATAGTAATTTGTATTGAATACAATGTTCTTTTTTATTTGAGATAGAGTTTTGCTCTTGTTGCCCAGGCTGGAGTGCAGTGGCAGGATCTCAGCTCACCGCAACCTCTAGAGGCTGAGGCAGGAGAGAAGCAACTCTCCTGCCTCAGCCACTGGAGTAGCTGGGATTACAGGTGCCTGCCACCACACCCGGCTAATTTTTGTATTTTTAGTAGAGAGGGGGTTTCACCAGGTTTGTCAGGCTGGTCTCGAACTCCTGACCTCAGGTGATCTGCCCACCTCAGCCTCCCAAAGTGCTGGGATTACAGGTGTGAGCCACCGCACCCAGCCTGTATTGAATACAATTTTCTTAACATTATATAACTTCTAGGTTTTTAGATTGTTGGGTTCACTTTGCTTTCATAAAAGCATTTAAAGAAATTTTCAATTTGTTGCTCGCTGTAAGAAGATACTCTTATATTTTCTGTTACTATGTTTTTATTCATAAGAACATACGCTAAAAATTCGCAAAACAATAGGTGGGGGGCCACAAGAGGAAGGCTGGACAGATTATCTGGTAAAAGTAGCAGCCAAAAATTATTTAGCACTTGGAGTATGCCAGTACTGAGCTAAATCCTTAACATTCATTATTTCACTTGATTCTCACAACCACCTCATGAAGTAGATTCTATTAAATTACCAATATGGAAATACCAATGAGGAAAGGTCACATCCTTAGAAGTGTCAAACTTCTAAGTTTGACAGAAGTTATATCAGTCCATAACTTCTGTCATCTGATGTCTGGACAGACATCAGTCCATGTTACGTATACCTTAATATATGAAAGAAAGACCAACACCATCCATCAAGTTGACATGTGTATTTATTGCACAAATATCCCCTAGAACTGGGAGGTTATTATAATACAAGTGTACATTTGAGAAATGTATACAGAACAAGAAACAGCTATGTACATATCCAACATCTAAGTAACTTAGAAAAAGCAGAACAATCTCATAAGACATCTACCAGAAGTAGGCATTATGTAAAATCTGTTTTTTTAAGTGATCATCCCCAGAGTATGCCAATTGGAACAAAACAAAATCTGTACTAGTATGTTTTTATTGCACTTAACATTTTCAAACTCAAAATTAAGACATATTAATAAAAGCCAGAAATATTTAAAATCAAACCAATTAGTTTATATACAAGAAAAAATTAGTTTTAATTCTATAATGTAAAAGATCCCTTTTTTATTTCCTGTTTCAATAAACAGGTTTTTTTTGATATGTAACAACTGTCTGTACCATAACTTGTAAAAATTATTTAGAACAAGCCAAAACTCTTTTCACATTCATCATAATGACCACACTTTAAAGTAGCAGCAGCTCATTCCTTGGGCTTTGCGTAAGGAAAGAATGACTATGGTGAAGGTAATAGAAATTATAGAAGGATTAGGAATTACAAAACTCAGGAATGGGAAGCAGTGGGGAGGAACAAAACAGTAACTCAGGAATCCTATAAGGATTAATGATTCTTTAAGAAACTATAGGTCATTTCCTTCCCAGCAAAGCTTAGCTTTAGGAACAACAATAGCATGAGCCACCCACTTATTGAGGACTAGAATTTCTAAACGGTAATTAAACATTTTAAATAAAGAACAGTTTGATGGTTAAGGAGACACCCAGACATTATCCAAGTGCTATACAGAGCTACAATAAAAAAAAAAAAAAGTACAAGGCTGGGCACAGTGGCTCACGCCTGTAATCCCAGTACTTTGGGAGGTCGAGGCAGGTGGATCACTTGAGTTCAGGAGTTCAAGACCAGCCTGACCAACACATGGTGAAATCTCATCTCTACTAAAAATAAAAAATTAGCTGGGTGTGGTGGCGCACACTTGTAATCCCAGCTACTTGGGGGCTGAGGCAGGAGAATCACTTGAACTGGGAGGCGGAGGTTGCAGTGAGCTGAGATCGCACCATTGCACTCCAGCCTGGGTAACAAGAGTGAAACTCCGTCAAAAAAAAAAAAAAAAAAAAAAAGGTACAATGGCCCGCAAATGTATGAACTTTTTAATATTCTGAATTCTGCCAAAAAGATTGACTCATAGAATTCCAAAATCAGACAACTGGATAATTTTGTTAATGCACAGAATAAGAAAATTAAGCCAAAGAAAATATATCCACAAACACTCCTTGGCAGCAAGTCATCCATGGGAGACTCAGGTAATAACTGGGACTAGGTAAAAGGTCATGGGCCAAACAGATTGCAGACACACCAATTTCAGGTTTACATTCCATTAAAACAACAATTTTTTCTTTGTCTAGTTGGAAGTCTCTTGAATACATACACAGCAAGGCAAAATGTGACCCAATGCTGTAAATTCAAGGTCAAAGACAACTTTCCATTAACTATTGAAAATTTAAACAGCAAGAATGGATGTGTTATATAGTAAATATATTTAATAACTGAATAAACAAGTGGTTTTCTTTTTTTAATCAATGATGAAATTATGATGAAAATAGTCAATGAAAGCAGAAACCAACTTTACTACTAGCATTAAAAGTCTCTTAGACCAGATAAGCAAAGAATAAACTATAATGTAGTACTCAAGTAAACTGAGGTAGTAGAAAGTATTGAAAACTTTATCCACCCACCTTTCTATTTACATTACTTACAAGAGTTTGGTTCCATATTAGCCTTTCTTACAAGCAACACTCTATAGTATGTACAAAGGCAACAATTGAGAAGTGAAAATCTTTGAAAAAAATACACTTTTGGAAGGGAGGGACTCTTAGAAAAAAAGAGAATAATTTTAAGAGTTATGAATAGTGTAAATTGAGGATTATTAAGCAGTGAAACAAATATTCAGCTCCTATGGGTTCATGAGGGTTGATACCAAAAGCAAGGGCCTTGGCTACCTGAGCACTTTTAAAGAATATAGTATTGTTTTTGCCGATGCTTTGGTGCAATTTTTAATCCTAATTTTCATTTATGTTAAATTAGTGAATATGTAAATATTAATATTTATAAGAACAGTTCATACTTATAAACAAATGGTATAAAGTAGTATTCTCATTTTGGGAATCTCAGCCTTAAAAAAAAGGTTGGCTTTACTTATATTTTAGAGTGTGTGAAACAGAAAAATCACCAATAAGTAATATTTCAGCATTATAGACAATACTAGTTGAAAATATATATATTTTTAAAGGCATGTTTACCAGTCTTGTATTTCTATTTCTGCTTTTTAAAAAAAAATAGGTACATATGTACACTTGGGTGGATAACATAACACATTTACACTCATTATTCTGAGTTTCTTATAATTAACAGGCTGTTTAAAATACTTACTTTGAGAAATAACCAGACATTAGCTGTTTTGAATTGCAAAACTAACAAATAATCAAGGTTTTATAGATCTCTGTACCTTAGAAATTAAAAATTAAAAACTAATGAATAACTATTTCTGAGCCATTAAATCATGAGACACTGTTGCTATTTATGAGCTGTGACAACACTGCAGTGATCACATGAAACTCTTGATAATATTCATTTTGTAGAAATTTCTACCGTACACTTTGGCTTTTTCAAATGCTTCAAAATTATTGTTGCTTTAATTTCATTTGTTTAAAAATCTACCACCACCCAAAAGTCCAGTCAAAAAGAAAAAGCCATCTGACATACACAGAATATACAATGCTATGCAGAATACCCTGGTGACTGACTCATTCAGATGGAAGTCTAAAAGGGAAAAAGAATCTCCATAAATGCATGTTGTGTCTGCTTCCTTGGTTTCTACCTATTTTCCCACCAATTTCTAACAATTTTTAGGTATATTAAAGGAGTATTTGTGCAACATATGGAGAGTGAGTGCTTGCTACAGCAGCCAGAAGTGGAAGATCACTGGATTCAATCCTGAAATAAAGGGGAAAAAAATGTCAGTTTTGATTTTCTGTACTGAGGACATGAACTCTACAGGCAATGACCACCAACTGTAAGGTCACTATACCTCAACGGTTAAGGAGCTAGGCCACTCTGGCCGAAAGGAAAAATTCTCAGTAAATAAAACACAGAACTACAGATACGAGTAACAACATCATAAACGTAGAAAAGTGTCTCAATGACATGCTGATGGAACATGAACTGGGGCATGGCACAATGACTAACAACTGCAATCTAGTGTAATAATAGCTGGGTGAGGTGACTCGTGCCTGTAATCCCAACACTTTGGGAGGCCTAGTTGGGAGGATCGCTTAAGCCCAGGAGTTGAAGACCAACCTAAGCAAGATAATGAGACCCTGTCTCCACAAAAAAATTTTAAAAACTAGCTGGGCATGGTGGTGTGTGCCCGTGGTACCAGCTACTCTGGAAGCTGAGGCAGAAAGATCTCTTGAGCCTGGGAGGTTGAGGCTGAAGTCAGCTATGTACCAACAGCAGGGCAACAGAGCAAGACCCTGTCTCAAAAAAAAAAAAAAACAAAGAATAATAATGTGTACCCAGATTGTTTTGGATTCAAATGTTTCTATAATAAGATGTATTGGAAGTAATGGGAGCTACTTCAAAATACATCCTACCACAAATTTATAGGAAAAGAAAAATGGCCAACCAACATAGAAAATATTAATCAGACTCCCTCATGGTTAGAGAAATGTGAATAAAATCAGATACCATTTTTTAGATAGTAGCCTAGCAAAGATCAAATCTGGTAATAGCCAGTACTGAGAAGAGTGCCTCTTACTGTTTGTGGGAATTCATTTTGAAACTTTCTGGAGAGTATTCAGTATAATCTGTCAAACTATCTATCAATACAGGCCCTTTAACCAAAAATTCTATTTCAAGGAATTTATCCTACAAATGTCAGAGACTTATATTCAGTCTGGCACTGGTTTATAGTAGCAAAAAACTAAAAATAATCTAAATTCCAACATATAAGGGAATGCTAGACAGCCATTAGGAAGAATGAGATTATTCTGTGCTTATATGAACATTCAAGATATAGTAAAAGGCAAGTTGTACAAGGACACAAGAGTATAACTCAACTTAGATTTTTAAATAATATTCATTTAAAAATTCTACAAAACAATCTGTTAACAGTGTTTGAGTAGGGGTTGGAAGTTGGGGGAAGAAGACAATGACTTACTTTTCATTGTATGCCAAAATGCACTGTGAATTTTGGTTACATTTATGTTACTTTTTAAAACTTGTCTTAAATATTTTTACATAAAGGCATTAAACACACAGCTCACTCCCCAGAAAAACAAGGTTATATCCTGTTACTGATTTTCCAAATACTGGAGAACAATTCTCTCTGTATAACTCAAGTCAAAATCATCAAGTCTGGACCAACAGTGTGGTACTACAGAATATAAATAGGGTCTAAAGTAAAAAAGATATAGAGTCATTCAAATCCCTAATTAGTCCTACCAGTGTGTGACATCTGGCATGTTAACTTCAGAATCATCTGTTTCCAACCTGGATAACACTGCCTACACACTGCAGGATGATAGTAAGAATGAAGAAATAACACTAGTAAAAAATTTTCATGTGGTTTGACATACAGTAGGTTCTCAGTGATATTGGTTTCTTTTCCCATCATAAAAGCCAAATTAGATAAAAGTTCTAGCTTGTTTTGCTTTCTTTAATGGCATTTCAAGAAATAATTCATATGAACCCACCTAAAGTGGCCAGAGAACACAAGAAAAGTGACCACAGAACATAATGAAATAGGGCTATATTATGCCCCCCCTACCAACTTCCCATTCCTCCTTCAGTAAGCATTTTTGATAACTGTTTTCTGCCAGAGAATAATGCAGAGTAGACAGATATAATATATAGTTAATGGGGGGGAAGGAGTAATATATGGATAACGTATTACCATCTACAGACTTCTGTTACCTCAACCAGCTCATGTGGAAGGCAGGGCAGATACTTGGAATAATGAGTTTGCAACATATTTAATAAATGAGTATGTACTTATGTTTCTGAGACAAAAATTCAGATTTTAATTCACTGTGATTATATTCTCAACCTACTGTATGTAATGGCACAAGGGATAATGCCTTTCAGATTAGTGGATGACAGGGAACCTGCTATTACATGGTACAGGGCAACCTAAATGATAACAGCCTCCAGCTTCTAATAGGAGAAGACACGTAAAAGGAAAAAGGGCAATTCTGAGGAAAATTCCTTGCCTGATGACAGGGCAATGAAAGCAAAGCCAAAAAAGAAACCATTAACATACCCCAGAACCACTCCCAGCTCCTTGACATGAACACGCATCTGCCCCCTCAGGTATTCAGACAGCATTTTACTTTTGAAGTATAGCTCCTGCAACCGGTCTTCAAGATGCATTACACACTGCAGTTAGGGAGGAACCAAGAACCAGGTCAGAAAACAGTTTGCAACTCTCAGTCATGGCAAACTCCAAAACATAATGTTTTTGACAATTCTGTTTGTTTATTTCAATATGAACTAAAATTTGGAGCACATTTTTAAAGTATGTAGTTTTAGCTAAAAAGAGAAGTGAAACTTTTTCTGGCTCATATCAAAGATTAGCTTCTACAGCGTCTTTTTTTTTTTTTAACTGTGCAAAAATACACATACAATTTGCCCTTTTAACCATTTTTTGTTTGTTTTTTGTTTTTGAGATGGAGTCTTGCTCTGTTAACCAGGCTGGAGTGCAAAGCGCGACCACAGCTCACTGCAACTTCCGCCTCCCGGGTTCAAGCAATTCTCCTGCCTCAGTCTCCTGAGTAGCTGGGACTACAGCCATGCGCACCACACCCGGCTAATTTCTTTTCTATTTTTAATAGAGATGGAGTTTCACCACGTTGGCCAGGCTGGTCTCAAACTCCTGACCTCAGGTGATCCACCCACCTCAGCCTCCAAAGTTCTGGGATTACAAGTGTGAGCCACCATGTCCAGCCCTTTTTAACCATTTTTAAATATACTTCAGTGGCACTAAGTACATTCAGAATGTTGTGCAACCGTCACTACTATCCATTTCCAAAACTTTTTTCACTATGTTTTTATTTCAAATTTGATAAATATAAAATTTTTATAAATTAATACTTTTCAAATGTATTTACATAGGAAAGGATGTATTCTCCTGTGGAGAATAAAAAACAGTTTGCAAAAGTTCACAAAGAATGCTATGTGGTTCCCCAATTTCTAAGCTGAAAGACTGAAAATTAAAACACATCTGGGCATGGTGGCTCATACTTGTAATCGCAACATTCTGGGAGGTGGAGGCAGGAGGATCATCTGAGGCCAGGAGTTCGAGATCAGCCTGGGCAACACAGTGAGACTCTGTCTCTACAAAAATTAAAAAAAAAAAAAAAAAAAAAGAATTAGCCGAGCATGGTGGCACGTGCCTGTAGTCTTAGCTACTTGAGCCCAGGGGTTTTGAGGGTGCATTGAGCCATGATTACTACTGCAATTCAGCCTGGGTGACAAAAGTTACAAAAAAAAAAAAACCTGAAACACATACATTTTGTTTAATGTCAATTAACTTGCTCAATTTACTAAAATAGGTGATTTATCATGTGAATTGATGCTAAACATGTTTGAGGAAAAAACAGAAGTTTCAGGTGCTAAACATTAAATTCATACAGAGTGTTCCTTTCCAATGAAAATCAGTTATTAAAAGCTCCTAATAAAAATCTACTTTATTATTGTAAAACACAACCAAATGGTTGTGGTTTTATAGTGTATGTTTTTTCACAATGCTTTAGGCTGATAATGCCATAAGAAAATTTTAACTGCAGAATATATGTAGATATAAAATATGTAATATAATTTACTATATTGACCACTTTACAGTATATAATTATATAGTCCTAAGAGCATTCGATGTTGTGCAACCATCACCACCATCCATTTCCAGAACATTTTATCATCTCAAAAACTCTGTGCTCATCATCTCAAACAAAAACTCTGTACTCATTAAACAATAACTCCTTATTCTCTTCTTACCCGCAGCCCCTGGTAACCACTATTTTAGATTCAGTCTCTATGAATCTGCCTATTTGTGGTACCTCATATAAGTGGAATCATACAATATTTGTCCTTTTGTGTCTAGTTTATTTCACTTAGCATAATGCTTATGAGGTTCATCCATGTTGTAGCATGTATTAGAATTTCAGTCCTTTTCATGGCTGAATAAATATTGCATTGTATATATTATACCACATTTTGTTTATCCATTCATTTGCTGATGGATGCTTGGGTTATTTCTAACGTTTGGCGATTGAGAATAATGTTTCTATGAACAAGAGTATATACTGCCTGAATCCCTGCTTTTAATTGTTTTGAGTATAAACGCAGAAGTGGAATTAATAGATCATATGGTAATATACAATGTTAAACTTTTTGAGGAACAGCCAAACTTTTCCACGGCTCCAGCACCATTTTACATTACCATCAACAATGCATGAGGGTTCCAAGGTCACCACATCTTGGTCAATACTTACTATTTTTTGTGGATTCTTTTTATCATAGTCATCCTTACAGGTATTGAATGGCAGCTCACTGTGGTTTTATTAGCATTTCCCTAATGACTAATGATGTTGAGCATATTTTCATGTGCTTATTGGCCATTTGTATATTTTCTTTGGCAAAACGTCTATTCAAGTCCTTTGCCATTTTTTAATTCAATTATTTTTTTCCTGTTGAGTTGTAGGAGTTATTTATATATTCTGAGTATCAATCCCTTTTGAGATATATGATTTGCAAATATTTTCTATTTTATAGGTTGTCTTTTCACTCTGTTGATAGCTAATAAACAAAAGTTTTTAATTTGATGAAATCCAATTTATCTATTTTTTTACTTTTGTTACCTATGCTTTTGGTTTCAAATTCAAGAAGTCACTGTCATATCCAATGTCACAAAGATTATCCCCTAGGTTTTCTTGTAAGTTTTATAGTTTTAGCTCTTAAATCTTTGATCCATTTGGAGTTCATTTCTGTACGTGGCATAATTCTTTTGTATGTGGCTATCCAGTTTTCCCAGCATCTTTTGTTGAAAAGACTCCTTTCCCTGTTGAATGGTCTTGGCACTTTTGTTGAAAATCAACTAAACTTATATGTGAGGGTTAACTTTTAGGATCTCCATTCTATTCCATTGGTCTATATACCTGTCCTTATGCCAGTAGCACAATGTTTTGATTACTGTAGCTTTGTAATAAGTTTTGAAATCAAGAAATGTGAAATCTACCAACACTGTTGTTTTTCAAGATTGTTTTATCTCTTTGGGGTCTCTTGAGATTCTTAATGTATTTTAAGATGGGTTTTTCTATTTCTGCAAAAAATATCAATTGGATTTTGATAGGGATTACATTCAATCTGTAGATAACTTTGAGTAGTAATGATATCCTAATAATATTAAGTCTTTCAATCCATGAGCATGGGAAGTGCTTTCATTTATATATGTCCTTAATTTCTATCAATAATGTTTTATACCTTATAGTGTACAAGGGAGTCTTTTGTCTCCCTAAATTTGTTCCTAAGTAATTTATTCTTTTTGGTGCTATTGTAAGTGGAATTGTTTTCTTAATTTTCTTTTCAGAGTGTTCATTGTTCGAATAAGTATATAGAAATGCAACTTATTTTTATGGGTTTTGTATTATGCAAATCTGCTTAATTTGCTTATTAGCTCTACCAGTTTTCTGTGGGATCTTTATGTTTTCTATGTACGAGAAGATCATGTCATCTGCAAACAGAGATAATTTTATTTCCTCTTTTCCAATCTTGAAGTCTTTTGTATTTTTCTTGCCTGATTGCTCTGGCTAAAACTCTCAGTAGCATGTTGAACAGAAGTAGGGAAAGTGGGTCTTATTGTCTTTTTCCTAATCTTAGAGAAATACTTTCAGTCTTCCACCACTTAGTGTGATGTTGGCTATGGGTTTGTCATAGATATCCTTTATCATCTTGAACTACAGAGCTTTTTAACTATGGTATGTTATAGTTCTCCTAATAAGTGAAAGAAAGAACCTTGAAAGTTGGAAATGGGATCTTTAGAAAGAGGTTACCAGTATTATAAAGAGATCAATAAAAGTCCTGACATGACAATGAGGATCCAGAATGTACTGGCATTCTACACAAAGCTGGGAGATGTTGCATGACTATACTACACATGATCAAAAATTCTGGCTGCTGAAATCAGAACATACAGACATGTACACAACCCCTTCTGTCTTAGCTTGGGCTGCCATAACAAAGTATCATAGACTGGATGGATTAAAAAAAAAAAACAGATATATAGCTGGGAATGGTGGCTCATGCCTGTAATCTCAGCACTTTGGGAGGCTGGGGCAGGAGGAACACTTGAGCCCAGAAGTCTGAGACCAGTCTGGGCAATGGGGCAAAATGCCATCTCTACTAAAAAAATACAAAATATTAGTCAGGTGTGGTAGCACGTGCCTGTAGTTCCTCCTACTCAGCAGGCTAAGGCAGGAGGATCACCTGAGCCCAAGAAGTTGAGGCTGCAGTGAGCCAAGACTGCACCACTGTGCTCCAACCCAGGTGATGGGATTAAGACACTGTCTCAAACAAACAAAAAACCCCAGATATTTATTTTCTCACAGTTCTGGAAGCTACAAATCCAAGACCAAGGTGCAAGCATGGTTGGGTTCTGGTAAGGGCTCTCTTCCTGCTGGCAGACAGCTGTTTTCTCACTGTGTCCTCACATGGTGGAGACAGAACAATCTTTCTCTTCCTCATCTTCTTAGGCCACTAATACCATCAGAGCACCCCACCCTCAAGATCTAATCTTACCTTAGATACCTCCCAAAGATCCTATCTCCAAATACTGTCACACTGGGAATTAGGGCTTCAATATATGAGTTCGGGTAATGACACAAACATTCAGTCCCTAACAGCTTTTTTTCAGAAAAAACAATGATGAAAGCTTTAAGCAGTGCTTAAAGTAATGCAAGCAGTGTTACACATACTTACAAAATTTGGAGACAAGTTATGCTTATAAAGCTGAAGTGTGGAATGAAGCAGATTGGAAACAAGACTGGAAACCAATACTTCCTTTCCCAATTTATTATCTGTCACTCGTCTCTGGCTACTGGCCACTTGAACAGTCCATTTATCCATGTCAGCTATAATACAGACAGCTTCTGCTATTGGTTCATCCAAAACTGGATGCTGGAAATAAAAGAATAATTCATCTTATGTTTAGCAAATGAAGTTTCCAAAGATAATGGTAATTCAGCAATGAAGGTTTACTAAACAAAAACAGAAAAAAAAATTAAACTTCAATATTTCAATATCTCCTTGACCAAGAAGAATAATTAACTCATTAACAAATACCCTGAGACATATTATAGATATCATCGTAGATTGAGACTTTGTATTCATTACAAGGACTTTGTATTATTTAGTCCAGAACTTAACTTTCAACAGTCTTTTGATCATTCATTAATTTGACAAATGTATTAAGTGTCTACTATGTGCCAGGCAATTGAAAGAAAATGTTTTTTTACCCTGAAAGAGACAAACATTTTATTTTATTTTATTTTCAGACAGAGTCTTGCTCTGTAGCCAGGCTGGAGTGCAGTGGTGCAATCTCAGCTCACTGCAACCTCCGCCTCCCAGGTTCAAGCCATTCCCCTGCCTCAGCCTCCCAAGTAGCTGGGACTACAGGCACACGCCACCACGCCTGACTAATTTTTTGTATTTTAGTAGAGATGGGGTTTCACCATGGTCTCGATCTCCTAACCTTGTGATCCACCCACCTCGGCCTCCCAAAGTTTTGGGATTACAGGCGTGAGACACTGCACCTGGCCTGAGACAAACATTTTAAAAACAGAACAGGACAGGACAGGACAGATGACATGGTTCACATCTATATAATCCCAGCACACTGGGAGGCTGAGGTGGGAGGACTGCTTAAGGCCAGGAGCTTGAGACTAGCCTGAGCAACATAGCCAGACCTCGTCTCTACAAAAAAATCTAAAAAATCAGCCAGGAATGGTGGCATGCACCTGTGATCCCAGCTACTTAGGAGGCTGAGGTGGGATGATTGCTTGAACCCAAGAATTCAAGATTGCAGTGATCTAAAACTGTGCCACAGCCCTCCAGTGTGGGTCAAAGAGTAAGACCCTGTCTTAAAAAAAACACAAACAACAACAACAACAAAGAAACAAGACTTATTCACACAAATAAGTCAATGGTAAGATTCTGTGCTAACTATCCCAATATGTCAGGCATTAATATCCCTCAGCACCAGAGAAGGTATTCCTTGATGTCATGAAGTGCTTTGCTGCCTACATGAATTAGATTTTTCTGTTTGACTAAGACATCTGTCCAGAGTATGAATACAGCAGTTAAAAATGGGACACATCAAAATATACTAACAGGGTTCTCCAAGACACATTGTTAAGTGAAAAAAAAAAAATTCAGGCTGGGCGTGGTAGTTCACGCCTATAATGCAGGCACTTTGGGAGGCCAAGGTGGACCGATCACCTAAGGTCAGGAGTTTGAGACCAACCTGGCCAATATGGTGAAACCCCAACTCTACTAAAAATACAAAAAATTAGCCGGGCATGGTGGCAGATGCCTGTAATCCCAGCTACTTGGGAGGCTGAGGCAGGAGAATGGCTTGAACCCGGGAGGCAGAGGTTGCAGTGAGCTGAGATCGTGCCATTGCACTCTAGCCTGGGCAACAAGAGCGAAATTCCGTCTCAAAAAAAAAAAAAGTCACTATACATACAGTTATGTTTCTAAAAATTCAGATCTACATCTAAATGAAAGTGTATAGAAAAAAGAAAGAAAATACTCAAATCAAGTATGAAGTATTGAAGATCTCTGTGAAGCAAGAACGTTAAGAGTATGAAGGACTTCTACTTTTTACTCTGTATATCTTTATACTGTTTGAACTTTTAAATTTTTATTTATTTTTTTCAGACAGTCTCACTCTGTCACCAGCCTAGGCTGGAGTACAGTGGCGTGATCTCAGCTCACTGCAACCTCCACCTCCCGGGTTCAAGTGATTCTCCTGCCTCAGCCTCCTGCGTAGCTGGGATTACAGGTGTGTGCCACCACGCCCGGCTAATTTTTGTACTTTTAGTAGAGACAGGGTTTCACCATGTAGGTCAGGCTGGTCTCGAACTCCTGACCTCGCAATCCACCTACCTTGGCCTCCCAAAGTGCTGGGATTACAGGCGTGAGCCACTGCACCCAGCCCTTATTGTTTGAATTTTTATCACAAGCATTTACTTTCATTGTTAAAAATGTTAAGACAGTGAAAAATAATATTTTGACTCATATATACATAGTCATGAAAGAGCCACAAGGCATATGGCTATGTCCTTACCTTCCCCCGGTTTACAAACAAAGACCAAAAATGACAATTAAGTACAGAGCATGTCTGCCAGAAACAGATAGTGACCCTACCTTTAATATTTTTCTGTATTTGGAAAGGTAAGGATTTTTTTTTACTACTGGCCAAATGGAATAGCAGCAACAAGACTGAGATTAAAACTATAATATGAAATACTGAGACCAATGGCTTTTCCTCTCTAACTTTTAATGTTACTACAATTAGGATAAGGTACCACAATAAGGACAAAAGTTTACTCCTGGATAAGCCCAGGTTTGGCATCCTCAAATGATATTCCTTTGCCTAGTTAATGAACAACTACTCTGAATAAAGCTCTTTCCTGGAAACTAAAGAAACAAAGACAACAGAACTCATAGACTTGTGAGGGAGATCAAAATAAATACATCTAGCTTTAAAAAAAATGTGTTACTGATGAAGCAGAAACCAAGTGCTGGGAAGTAGAGGAGGGCAATCGTGGGATCTGTGTGATAGGGAGTTTCGCAGTGAAAGGGACATAGGACTATGACATTGAAGTGTATAGATAGGACTACTGGTGAAAAAAATGGGAGAAGAACATGGATAATTCGGTAAGAGTAAGAATCAGAAATAGAAGTAGATGCAAATGGCTACATTTGTGAGAAATGATATTGAGAAATAAGAAGAGAATGGCAAAGGAAAAGTCCAAAAATATACCTTGGGAAGATTTTCCATGGAGCCCCAAATTTATATTTGTTTTTTATAAAACAGTATTCAAATATTTATTCATCTCTTGCCAGGGATAAATCACTTTGTTATTCATCACTTAATTATGGAAATATAATTTTGGCAAAGATATATACATCTGTGATATTGTGAAATATATTCAGCTGACCAACAACATGGGTTTGAACTACAGGTCCACTTAGATGCCAATTTTTTCCAATATAATATATGGGTAAAGTTTTTGGAAATTTGCAACAATTTGAAAAACTTAGACAAAACCGTGTAGCCTAGAAATACGGAAAATAAGAAAAGTTAGGCATGTCATGAATACATAAAATATATGTGGATGCATGCCACAGTAGTGTGCATTTGTAATCCCAGCTACTGGGGAGGCAGAGGCGAGAGGATCAATTGAGCCCAGTAGTTCGAGAGACTAACCTGAGCAACATAGTAAGACCCATCTCAAAACAAACAAACAAACAAAAAAATGTAGGTAGTATATTTTATCATTTACTACTATAAAATACAAATCTACTATAAGAAGTTAAAATTTATAAAAACTTACACACTTACAAGGCATACAAGGTGACATTCACAGCCCAGAGAAATGTTAACAAATGTATAGTATTAAATCATAACTGCATAAAACTAGCTGTAGTACCTACTGCACTACTATAATAGTTTTGTAGCTACTTCCTGTTGCTATTGCCCAGAGCTCAAGTGTTGCAAGTATGTACTTCAAACACCCTGCCAACTTAATCATCTCTGCAGGAGCAGTTCCGCTCTCCAATAAACAGCATATCTCAGTTAAAAACTAATCTCTTTTCGAGGCCATCCTGGCTAACACAGTGAAACCTCGTCTCTACTAAAAATACAAAAAAAAAAAAAAAATTAGTTAGGCATGGTGGCAGGCGCCTGCAATCCCAGCTACTCCAGAGGCTGACGCAGGAGAATGGCGTGAACCCGGGAGGTGGAGCTTGCAGTGAACCAAGATTGCGTCACTGCACTCCAGCCTGGGTGACAGAGCAAGACTCCATCTCAAAAAACAACAAAACAAAACAAAACAAAAAAAAAACTAATCTCTTTTGGGAGGCTAAGGCAGGAGGATCCCTTAAGCCCAGGTGTTTGAGGCTGCAGTGAGCTATGACTGCACCATTGCACTCCAGTCTGGGTGACAGAGTAAGACTCTGTCTCTAATAAAACAAAAAGCCAAAAAGATAACAAAACTGGTGTTTAAAGGTTCTCATGTATTTTCCATCATGGTTAGTGTGATACAGCAAACCCTGAATAACATCATGGGATCCACATGGAGTACCACTAGTGATGCTGGAAATGCTCTCAAGAAAAGTAGAGAGAAGTTAAGATATTACAAGAAAAACTTGAATGGCTTGATATGGACCATAGATTAAGTAGCTGTGGTTACCCATCATTTCAAGATCAATGAATCCACCATGAGGACAGTTGTAAAATAAGAAAAGGAAATTTGTGAAGCTGTCATTGCAGCAATGCCACTAGGTGTGAAAACCAGGTACTTTTGCAGAATACCTTTTAAATCTCATAATGAAAATGCAGCTCTTATGTGGGTACAGGGTTGCTGTAAGAAAGCTCTAACTAAAGACTCTAATATTATTTTTTAGATGAAGTCATTATATGACAACTTAAAGCAAAAGGAGGGTAAAGGATCTAAAGCTGGAGAATTTAACGCTAGGAAAGTATGGTTTGATAATTTTAGAAAGAGTTTTAGCTTAAAAAATATCAAGATAACAGCTTTTGCTGACCAAGAGGCAATACACAAGTTCTTGGACACCATCAAGAAAATCATAGAGGACAAAAGGTATCTGCCTGAACAGGTTTTTATTGCTGATGAAAGAATCCTATTATGGAAAAAGATGCCACAAAGTACATTTATTAGTAAGGAACAGGAGCAAGCACCGAGATTTAAGGCAGGAAGGGATAAGCTAACTCCACTGTTTTGTGTAAATGCAGTCATGATTAAGATCAGAACTACCCTTATATAAAGAGCTGCTAACCTCTGGACCTTGAAGGAAAAAAGATAAACACCAGCCCTGCTAGTCTTCTGATAGTAGAACAAGAAAGCCTGAAAAACAAAAACTCTTTTTCTGGATTGAATCCACCCATGCCTTTTTTTTTTTTTTTTTTTTTTTTGAGACAGAGTCTCGCTGGGTTGCCCAGACAGCTCACTGCAACCTCCAACTCCCAGGTTCGAGTGCTTCTCCTGACTCAGACTCTCAAGTAGCTGGGACTACAGGCACCTGCCACCATGCCTGGCTCATTTGTGTATTTTTAGTAGAGACGGGTTTTCACTATGTTGGCCAGGCTGGTCTCGAACTCCTGACCTCATGATCCACACACCTCAGCCTCCTAAGGTGCTGGGATTACAGGCGTGAGCCACCACGCCTGGCCCCACCCATGCTTTATTTCTAAAATCAAGAAGTACCTTGCCAGTAAGTGACTGCCTTTTAAAGTTCTTATGTTGGACAATGCCCCTGGCCACCCAGAACCCTATGAGTTTAACACTGCAAGTGTTGAAGTAGTCTAATTGCCCCTAAACACATCTCTAACTCAGCCTCTAGATCAGGGTGCCATAAGGACCATTAAACACAATATTCTATAAAAATGATTGTCAGTGCTATGGAAAAGAACCCCAGTGGAGAGAATATCATGACAGTCCGAAGAATCACGCCATAGAAGATGCCATTGCTGTTACAGAAAAAGCCATGAAAGCCATCAAGCCTGAAACAATAACTTCCAGCTGGAGAAAACTGTGTCCAGATGTTGCACACAGAACTTAACAACAGAGCCCATCAAGGAAATGATGAAAGAGCTTGAAAATAAGGCAAAAAAAAAAAAAAAAAAAAAACGGTGGGTGAAGGCTTTCAAGATACGGATCTTGCAACTTTGGGAGGCCGAGGCAGGCGGATCACAAGGTCAGGAGATTGAGACCATCGTGGCTAACATGGTGAAACCCTGTCTCTACTAAAAATACAAAAAAATTAGCCGGGTGTGGCAGTGTGTGCCTGTAGTCCCAGCTGCTGGGGAGGCTGAGGCAGGCGAATGGCATGAACCTGGGAGGCGGAGCCTGCAGTGAGCCAAGATCACGCCACTGCACTCCAGCCTGGGCAACAGAGCAAGACTCCATCTCAAAAAAAAAAAAAAAAAAAGATATGGATCTTGCAGAAATTCAAGAGCTAACAGACACCATACCAGAGGAATGAACAAAAGACAACTCGATAGAGACGAGTGCTTCCAAACTAGTGCCAGACAATGAGGAACAAGACGTAGAAGCAGCAAGGCCAAAAAACAAATTGACGTTAGACAATCTAGCAGAAGGGTTCATATTATTCAAGACTGATTTTTATTTCTTTTACCACATGGGCCCTTCTATGATACTGAAACCGCCTTTGCAAAAGTTATATTAGTGAGAACATTATAACAGTGAACTAAGCTAACCCAAAACCCATTTTGGCCTTTCCCTTAATTATTCCTGGGGTATGGGGCCAAGCTAACTTCGGAAGACATTTAGGCTACAGCTTTTTGTTTTTTTTTAAGGTGTGCAATTTTATTCAACTGGTCTCAAGTCAGTGTACAGGTAAGCCCTGGCTGCCTCTACCCACTCCAAGGGTGACCAAAAGCCTTCATACATCTCAAGTTGGGGGACAAAAGGGGGGCCACAAAGGCTGATCATTCAAAGTAAAACAAAATAAAAAAGTATTAAGGTGAAGATTAAAAAATTTTGCATTATATAATTTACATGAAAGCAATGCTATCACCTTCCCTGTGTGGACTTGGGAGAGGACTGGGCCATTCTCCTTAGAGAGAAATGGGGTGGCTTTCAGGGGGGCAAGGGACTTCCTGTAGCAATGCATTTCACGATATTTGGAATGACTATTAGAAAAAAGAACAATGTACAATCAAAGTCCTCGGCCACATTGCAGAACTTTGGGGGATGCTTGCTCCAGCTGACTGCTGTCACCTTCACTGTCCCAGTTTTTAAATCCTGGGTCTAGCCAAAAAAAAAAAAAAAAAAAAAAAAAAAAATCACCACCAAAAACAAAAAAACAAATAAAGCCATGCTAATCTCATCTTGTTTTCTGCACAAGTTAGGTTTTGTCAAGAAAGGGTGAAACGCGACTAAGTAACAGTCCGCCTAGAAGCATTTGCGATGGACGATGGAGAGGCCAGACTCATCATACTCCTGGCTTGCTGACCCACATCTGCTGGAAGGTGGACAGCAAGGCCAGGATGGAGCTGCCCATCCACACCAGAGTGACGATCTTCTGCACCCTGTTCGCAATGCCAGGGTACATGTTGTTGCCGCCAAACAACACTGTGTTGGTGTACAGGTCTTTGCGGATGTCCATGTCACATTTCATGATGGAGTTGAAGGTAGTTTTGTGGATGTCACAGGATTCCATGCTCAGGAAGGAAGGCTGGAAGAGCGCCTCAGGGCAGCAGGATAGCTCATTGCCAATGGTGATGACCTGGCCATCGGACAGCTCATAGCTCTTCTCCAGGGAGGAGCTGGAGGCCGCTGTGGCCATCTCCTGCTCAAAGTCCAGGGTGACATAGTATAGCTTCTCCTTGATGTCACACACGATTTCCCGCTCGGCCATGGTGGTAAAGCTGTAGCTGTGCTCGGTGAGGATCTTCATGAGGTAGTTAGTAAGGTCCCGGCCAGCCACGTCCAGACACAGGATGGCACGGGGGAGGGCGTAACCCTCGTAGATGGGCACTGTGTGGGTGACTCCATCGCTGGAGTCCATCACAATGCCAGTGGTACAGCCATAGGTGTACAGGGACAACATGGCCTGGATGGCCATATACACGGCTGGGGTGTTGAAGGTCTCAAACATGATCTGAGTCATCTTCTTGTGGTTGGCCTTGGATTCAGGGGGACCTCAGTCAGCAGCATACGGTGCTCCTTGGGAGCCACATGCAGCTCATTGTAGAAGGTGTGGTGCCAGATCTTCTCCATGTCATCCCAGTTGGTGATGATGCCATGCTCCATGGGGTACTTCAGGGTCATGATACCTCTCTTGCTCTGGGCCTTGTTGCTCACATAGAAGTCCTTCCGACCCATGCCCATCATCACACCCTGGTGCCTCGGGTGCCCCATTATGGAGGGGAAGACGGCCCGGGGGCATCGTTGCCCGTGAAGCAGACCTTCCACATGCCAGAGCCATTGTCGACGACAAGCACAGCAATATCATTATCCATGGTGAACTGGTGGCAGGTGTGGATGGGCGGCAGAGTGGTGAGGGTGAGGCTCTGTGCTTGCAGGGTGGACACAGTCTTGGTGGTCCAGGCTACAGTTTAAATGATAATAGGCCTTGCCCAAAACTCAACTGCTTTTGTAAAGCTAAAAGGAAGCCATCAGGCTGAAAGTAGGAGAGGAGTTTGAGTTCTGCTAAGGCACAGACATTATTCTGGAGATTATAAGAAATGAAACTTTCCCAACTGCAAATAACACCACTATTGTGCACTGGCATTTTGAGATATCTTTCCAGGTTTTTTGCATGTCTGACACCCTTGGCTCCACCTGGACTGACAACCCACTCCTGTAGCCCCATCCAGAAGCGATTTGGCCCCAGTAGGATAGCTTCAACCCCCTATGATGTTATTTCTGCCCCAACAAATCAGCCGTAAGCACCTGTTACCTGGCCACCGCACCCCTTTCCCCAAACTGCCTTTTAAAAATCCCTAACCTACAAGCTTTGAAGGAGATGATTTGAGTATGAACTCCATCTCCCATGTGGGGTGGCTGGCCTTGTGTCTATTGAACTTTTTCTCTACTACAATACCATAGTCTTTATGCAGTGGGCAGGAAGAACCCCTGGGCAGTTACAAATTTGGGGGCTCATCTGGGATCACCCTTGTGGCTACCTGCCCACGGTGTGGTAGTCCCCCACCGGCAATAGATCCAGAGGCCAGCCCAAGTGGCTGCGTAGTTCTCTTGGACTGGGGGCTGACGCTGGCACTATCTCTACCAGCAACACACTGCTGACCCATGGTGCATGGATTCAATTGCAGTAGAGAAATTGTTCCTGTAAAGACATCTCTAAACTGGTCTGGTGGGTATTCTAGGTGGTGCCAATGCCTCCTTCCTTCTCCTGACTGGTTTGGCTTCTTAAGGGATCTAAGTTTGGCCCCTTTGGCGGTTTCAATTGGCTCTCCCTAATCAGTAGGAAGAGTCTTGGTTGGGGAGACTTCTCCTCAATCAGGAAGATTTCAGGGAGGTTTCTCAGAGAATAGAAGCATACTCTTAGAATTCTTGCTCAGGGATCTTGCTTTGGGAGACCTTCTGTCCGTCTTGTCTTTGTTTTGTGTGTGTGTGTGTGTGTGTGTGTGTGTGTGTTTGTACATCTAGAGGGGATCTCTAAAGGAATTGGTGATGGAAGTCCAGCAGACCTAACTCGGAGAACCTTATTTGGTCACATTTGCTGAGCAGTAAAGGAAGTTCAACAGGTTTGACCTGGGGTGACTGTCTGCTCTTCATGTTGTCCAGACATCACCCAGTGAATTCCCAGTCAGAGGTCATCCCTCCCTACCTTGAGGGGATCAAAGATGACAGGGGCACACTAGAAAAAGATTGAGCCTTGATAAGTCAGTATTAGGTGCTGAGCAAAGTGACTAGTGTCTGTTTTGTTATGTGTGCTTCACCAAGCTGAGATAAAGAATGTTAATTTGATGGTCTCTCGCCCCTCTCCCTCGCTCCCCCACACAGCCTATTGGGTGACATCTTACAAAGTTGAGAGGTTTTTGCCTATGGTTCAATGAAACACACAAAAGTAATTTTCCTTTGTGACTATGGTGCGGTGAGCAACATCGCCAGGGCAGCTGAGGGAAAGGGAAATCAGAAACCTGCCGTGCCAACAAAAGGTAAGAATTTCTTACCAGTGAGGCTTCTGGCCTCTCTCTCTCTGTGCAAATTAGATAAGTGAATGGTAAAAATCACTGTTTATTAATAAGAAAAAGGATCTGTGAGAGGCTAATCTGAGGCTGTAGTGATTCTGGTGTACTTTTCGATGGGTCAGTTATAAACTTTGCTGTGGGTCCCTGAAACAAAAACTAAATGAGGCTTCCCTCTAATCTTGTTTTACATCCTTGAGAGCATGACTTTGTGACCATGTGGGGATACTCTCTCTTGGTCTCCACCATCCAGAGAACAGGAATTTTCAAGTTCATGTCAGGCACCCAATCCGAAAGGGCTGGGAGTCTGAGATGAGTCAGCACATTCTTCATCCCAAATGTGTCAAGCCCTTGGGTGAGTTTTGTCTGAAAAGGTCCCATCTCTATAGGGCATTTGTCATCTTTTGCTATCTTAAGCCCATTTCTGAGAGTGAATTCTTGGGGATCATGGAGATGCCTCTTCTACCCTAGATACCTTTTGCTTCTAATGTAAAAAGAAAGGAAAAAAAAAACTGGAAAATTATCATCTAAACTTTAATAGGCTTCTTAGATTGTGTCACTATTGGAACTGACTACCTCATTGAAAGAAAAAGGTTAAATTAAAAGAAAGATGCATAATAATGACATGGTTAGTCTTAGAAAATTCTCTTGAGCAGTTGAAGTCCTTTGCAAGCTTGAAAATGCTCTAGACTCCTTCTGGGAAAGACAACAGCAGTCACCTTGTACTGTAGGTCAGTTGCAAAGGCTTTGCCCTCCCACAGTGGTGGGTGGCTTGGGTTCAATTCCAGGCTTTGGGAGCAAGTCCTTTTTGGTTTAATACTTGTGGAACTTTTGCCATTTATTGATTCTTTTCCCTTCCATGCACAGCTTCTCATTTCTTATCTTGAATTTTCTTTTCTCTGAACTACCTTTGGAGATATTCTAGATTTTTTTTTTTTTTTTTTTTTTTTGAGATGGTGTCTCACTCTGTCACCCAGGCTGGAGTACAGTGGCACGATCTTGGCTCACCACAACCTTGGCTTCCCAGGTTCAAGCGGTTCTCCTGCCTCAGCCTCCTGAGTAGCTGGGATTACAGGCATGCGCCATTGTGCCTGATGGCTACTTTTTATATTTTTAGTGGAGACGGGGTTTTGCCATGTTGGTAAGGCTGGTCTTGAACTCCTGACCTCAGGTGATCCACCTGCCTCGGCCTCCCAAAGTGCTGGGATTACAGGTGTGAGCCACCGCGGCTGGCCTGGGGATATTCTAGATCTTATAAATCATTTACCATCTCTTTGGAGACACCTCCTACATCCCTGTTTAAGTCATCCCCTTAGTTAAGGCTTATTGATTTCACATAGAAGGTTACCTCTAGTAAAAGGATTCAGAAGTCAGAGTTTGTCCTCACTGAAATCTGGTAATAAAAGATTTTAAAAGAATTTTTCTCTTGAGAGCTCCACAGTTAGAAATCGACTTAATTAAATAGCTGATATTTGGGCTATATATACAGATATTGTTTGAAAGCTCCAGCCTTCCCTTCAAAAGCTTCTCAGTCAATGGAATTTTTTCTTGATTCTCTGTTTCTGTGTATTTATATGTGTCATGTGTGTGATGTTTATATATACAGCTCCAATTAATTGGCTTAAAGAAAAATAAGCGCTTGAATCAAACATTGTCAGAAAAATGGAAACTTTAATCCCTGTAGGTCTCATGACTCTAATAATCTTTTTGTAAATAAAAAAGAAGATTATTGGTAAAGTAAAATGAAAATGTCTTCAAAGTTTATATATTTAGTCTAAATTTGGCAGGTCAAACACTGTTTGCTGGATGCTTTAAGGTGATAAACTGCTTCTGTGACTTTTACTAATTGTTTGTCTGTTCTACAGCCAATAGATTCTAGGTAAGGCCTGGAGACATATGGAGTTAGGCAGGTCCCCTGGCTAGGCTGGGAAAAGTCATGGGTTCTGCAATATTATACATGGTTAAAATTGCTTGTTTACTAGGTTTCTCACCAAAAATAAAATTTGCTAAAAGTTAACAGTGCAGCATGCACTTGAGACTACTGGAAAAACAGTTTTATATACAAGGTGTAGAAGGAAAAAAGAATGTGGTTTTGATGGGAGGCTATAAGAAGGCATGGGAATATGGTTTTTGTTAAAGGGAATGAAATTTTGTCTAGCTCAGAGGGTTTTAACAATTGTCTTAACCTAAAAGAGTAATGGGACAAAACTGAAGGTTTAAGCAAGGTGTAGAGGGTTTGTGAAGGGTTGATCTCATAAAGGAAGTTCTGTAGGTATAAGCAAGTTTGCTAAGATTTGAAGGGGATTATTTAATTTTTCTGTATGTTGAACACTGAAATAAGAGCACACTAATGCAGGGCCAAAATCTGGGCTCACATGTCTGAATAACATGGTTTTCTTAGTGAATTGATCTACTGCTTAACAGAAAATTATAAAAGATTAAAAAAGGTTTATTAAAATTTTACCTTATGGTTAAACTAAGATTGAATCAGTTTGTTTATAAGGTTTTATTAAGAATTGGGTTTAATGTTACTAATACACTAATGCAAAGGTGAAACTTGGCTTTCTCTTTAGAACAAGATTTTTGGGAGGCCGAGGTGGGAGGATCACTTGAGGCTCCAGAGTTCGAGACCAGCCTGGATAATACAGCGAGACCCCATCTTCACAAAAAATAAACACATTAGCCAGGCATGCTGGCATGTGCCTACAGTCCCAGCTACTGGGCAAGCTGAGATGGGAGATTGCTTGAGCCCAGGAGTTCAAGGCTCCAGTAAGCCATGTTCGTGCCACTGCACTCTAACCTGGATGACAGAGCAAGACCCTGTCTCAAAAAAAAAAAAAAAAAAAAAGAGCAATAGGAGAATGGTGAGAAACATAAACTATGACAAAACCATGCAATAATCCATATACATTAAAAATAATGTTTACACACTATGTTAGTATGGGGAAATATTCTTACATTAACTATTATGTAACAAAAGCAGAATTTAAAACAGATAATATAAAATCATAAAGAGTATAAAAATATGGGTATATATAAATACATATACATGCATATATTTTATATATAAGGACTCAGCTATATAAAAATATATACTTATATATAAAAAGATATGCTTGTGTATATCTGTGTATTTATATATAAAATGATATGCTTGTGTATTTATCTGTGTAAATATTGTGTATTTACACAGATATACACAAGCATATCATTTTATATATAAGGCTTCAGACATATATATGATATATAAATACACATACATACAGAATAATAATCATAACAAGAAGATGCAAAGCACAGTGTGACTAATATCACCACACAGTGTAAGTCTGGTAAACAAACATCAGTATTACTTTCATTATAGCCAAAGAAACTGAGGCTTTCCTAGAGTAAGTATTCTGTCTTATGATATACCGGCAATAAGTGGCCAATTCTGGGTTTTATGAGAAGCCACAATGCTGCCTAATGCCTGGAGGAAGTTTCTGTATAAGAATAGCTGATGGTAGAGTTAGGAAAATTTGTGTTTGGCTTTCTTCACATTTCAACATTTTGTATAATAAATATATATTAAGAAAAATGCTACTTTATTAAAAATCAGGGAGAAAAAGAAAAGACACTCTCCTCTTATAATTCAGAAGACTGTATTTTTTTAAAGTATCACTTCCATTATTTATATATTAAAAGGTTCCTACATGTTTTTCCATGTAGTCACATAAAAAAATTTCATGTTAAATATGATAAACTTTAAGTATGCAAGGATTAAAAAATATATATATATATAGATAGGTTTTTTTTTTTTTTTGAGATGGAGTCTCACTGTCACCTGGCCTGGAGTGCAATGGTGAAATCTCAGCTCACAGCAACCTCTGCCTCCCAGGTTCAAGCGATTGTCCTGCCTCAGCCTCCCGAGTAGCTGGGATTACAGATGCCCACCACCACACCCAGCTAATTTTTTGTATTTTTAGCAGAGACGGGGTTTCACTATGTTGGCCAGACTGGTCTCGAACTCTTGACCTCATGATCTGCCCACCTTGGCCTCCCAAAGTGCTGGGATTACAGGCGTGAGCCACAGCGCTTGGCCTAAAATAATACTTTTTTTTTTTTTTTTTTTTGAGACGGAGTCTCGCTCTGTCGCCCAGGCTGGAGTGCAGTGGCGTGATCTCACCTCACTGCAAGCTCCGCCTCCTGGGTTCAGGCCATTCTCCTGCCTCAGCCTCCGTAGTAGCTCCACCACCATGCCTGGCTAAATTTTTGTATTTTTAGCAGAGATGAGGTTTCACTGTGTTAGCCAGGATGGTCTTGATTTCCTGACCTCATGATCTGCCTACCTCGGCCTCCCAAAGTGCTGAGATTACAGCTGTGAGCCACCGTGCCTGGCCAAATAATTTTTTTAGAAATCCTATACATGCTTTGGAAAAATGATTGATAACAAAGTTCAACAACTTGTCAGTGCTGAGATTGAAGGTATTTTATTTTTCTTTTTGTCAAATTTTTCTATAATAGTGCTTTGATAGTATACTTACATGACTAAATGAAAATATGAGAAGGAAAGACTAGAAACCCAATTACTAAAACAGAGGGGGAAAGACAAATAGCTCCTTCCTTTTTACCATAGTGGAAGGAATCCAAGAGCAACAGACCTGGGACCACTAATATAAAAGTCTTATAACTTTGTAATGGTGATTTTGCTATTTGTATTACTCTTTGTTCATCAGTTTTAGTAACAGTATGGCATAGCAGCTTAAGAACAGGCAGTTAAGAACTGAATTCTAGTTTTGCCATTCCCCATCTATGTAACTTAAAAACTTCTCTGAGCCATATCTGAAACACAAAGATAACAATAATAAGTACCTCAAAGGATTATTATAAGATTAAGTGAAATAGTACACTTAAGTGCCTGGGACACAGTAAGGCAACAATAAAAACTAAATACTATTATTATTATTCATCCTATAATAGCAGGAAGAAACCCTTAAAATCAAAATGTTGTCTTTATCTTCAGCAGGAGACAGCAATGTTTTCCAACGCCAGGCTTTCACAGAGAAAGTCACAAGATACTGTGTTTGGCGATGGGTACAGATGAAAGAAGAAAAGAGACTAAGCAACTAGGATCAGACATAAAGAAAGATAAGAATGCATTAGAAGACACAGAGTGCATTAGAAGAACTCATATACAATTCCTTAACCAAGTAATTCAACAAATAATAGGCACTTCATCAGGTATTGGGAGGGAAGCATTGAAAAAACTAGAAACGGTTCCTTTACCCTGAAGGGCATCCATACCACCAACTAATAAAAAATCTGTCCTTTGAAGCAATAATACATTCAAGTATCTTCCTCAGGCACTACTTTTGTTATGTTTTATACTACATTTATTCATACACTTGGCCTTATTTTCTCTGTTGCTAAGTTAAAAACTTGAAGTCAGAAACTTTTTCTTTTTCATACATATATCCCTTGGAGTACTGGCACTATATTCAGAACACAGTAGGTCAATAAATATTTATTTGATTGGTATTCAAAAGCTGGGCAAACTAGCCTTTAAATATGAAGATCACAAGTTCTGATAAGTTTTTCTCACAAATTGTTTTTATCTATATTTGCCATAATTTCTCTACTATACAATAAAACACCAAACTTTACAACTTAGGTAACTTTCTACAGACACAGAAGGTTTAAACCTTATTGGCTAACAATTGACTGTTGCTCACTAAGCCACATTTTCTCATCCATAATTTCCCACTTGGCTTTCTTCACTTCTGTTTTTTTGTTTGTTTGTTTGTTTGTTTGTTTGTTTTGAAATGGTTGTCTTGCTCTGTTGCCCAGGCTGGAGTGCAGTGGCGTGATCTCGGCTCACTGCAACCTCTACCTCCTGGATTCAAGTGATTCTCCTGCCTCAGCCTCCCAAGCAGCTGGGATTACAGGCACATGCCACCACACCCAGCTAATCTTTGTATTTTTGTAGAGGCAGGGTTTCACCATGTTGGCCAGGGTGGTCACAAACTACTGACCTCAAGTAATCCACCCACCTCGGCCTCCCAAAGTGCTGGGATTATAGGCGTGAGCCACCATTCCGGGCCTCTCTATTTCTTTATTAACTTTTTAAATTGAGAGGTGGCCAGATTTTGTTATTAAAGCAAAGTATTAAAGTGATATGTACAATTGAAGGGAGAAATAGAAAATTCAACCAAACAATAGCTGAAGACTTCAATACTTCATTCTCAATAATTGATGGCAGAAACAAACTGAAAATCAGCACGGACATAAAAGACTTAATTAAGACTATTATCTAAAGGTTATCTAACTTGACCTGATAGCTATAGAACATTTCAACAAAAGCAGAATATATATTCTTTTCAAGTGCCATAAAACAGTCTCAATAAATTTACAAGAGGTGAACAAAGTAGGTTCTCCAACCATAATGGAATTAAATTAGAAACCAACAGCAAAACAACTTTTGAGAATTCCATAAATATTTGTAAATTAAACAGCATACTTCTAAATAACTCATAAGTCAAAGAAATTACAAGCAAAATGTAAAAACATTTTGAAATGAATGAAACTGAAAATACAACAGATCGAAATTTGTCAGATTTGGCCAGGTGCGGTGGCTCACGCCTATAATCCCAGCACTTTGGGAGGCTGAGGTGGGTGGATCACCTGAGGTCGGAGTTCCAGACCAACCTGGCCAACATGGTGAAACCTCATCTCTACTAAAAATACAAAAATTAGGCAGGTGTGGTGGTGGGCACCTGTAATCCCAGCTACTCCAGAGGCTGAGGCAAGAGAATCACTTGAACCTGGGAGGCAGAAGTTACTGTAAGCTGAGATGGCACCACTGTACTCCAGCCTGGGTAACAGAGCTAGACTCTGTCTCAAGAAAAATGAAATAAAATAAAATAAGAACAAACAGGAAATATTTTAGGTTTGGGGGCTGAAAAGTCTCTGTCTCAATAACTCAACTCTGCTGTTAGGCATGAACATAGCCAGAAGCATATAAATGAATGACTGTGGTTGTGTTCTAATAAAACTTCATCTATAAAAAGCAGGACAATTTGGCCCACTGTCCATAGCTTGCTAATCCTTGATGTATATGGGCAAAAAATATATACAATTTAAGTGAAACCACGAATGAACTTCTCTTTGGAGAAGCCCTCACCATTTGAAAAACAAACAAACAAAAACACACATTACAAAATTCAGGAACAAAAGAGGGGACATCACTAGCAACCTTATAAAAACTAAAAGGATTGTAAGTGTATAATATAAACAACTTGATTCTAGTAAATTAGGCCACTTAAATGCAACTAATAAATTCCTAAAAGACAAAAATTACCAAAATGGACTCAGAAACAAATAGAAAATCTAAATGTATAAAAGGTGAAGAAATTAAATTAGCAATTTAAAATATTCTTATTCTTAAAAGCCTGGATGCAGATGGTTTCACTAGTGAGTTCTACCAAACGTTTAGAGAAAAAAAGTAGTACTAATCTTCTGGAAACTCTTCCAGAAAATAGAGGATGTGCCAATATTATCCTGATATCAGAGCTAGACAAAGACATCACAAGAAAACTAAAAAGCAATATTTCTCATGAATATAGACTCCAATGTCCATAATAAAATATTGGTAAATCAAATCCAGCAACACATAAAAAAAATTATATACCATGACAGAGTGGGAATTGCTTCCTAGGAATACAATGGTTGGTTTAACATCTAAAAATTAATTAATGAAATCCATGACATTAATAGTTTAAAGATGAAAAATGACACGACAATACAATCTCAATAGACATTGAGAAAAAGCATATGACAAAATCCCACACTCATTCATGATTAAGGGATGGACAAAAAAAACCAAACCGTCTCAAAACTAGGAATAAAAGAGAACTGCCTGTCTCTAAAAGAAGTATTCGGTTAAACAAAATAAAAATAAAAAGGGAACTTCTTCCATCTAATAAAGGGCATCACAAAAACCTTACAACTAACAACATACTTAATCATGAAAGATGCAATGTCTTTCCCCTAAGATCAGGAATAAGGCAACGATGTCCATGGTCACCACTTCCATGCAACATTGTATTGAAAATTCTAGCCAGTACAATGAGTCAAAAAAAAAAAAAAAAGTTGGGGGCAGCGGGGACAAAAGGCATCCAGATTGTTAAGAAAGATTTAAAACTATCTGTTCACTGATAACATGAGCCTGTGTGTAGAAAACCTTAGGGAACCTATACAGAAAAATGAATAGACTAATAAGAGTTTCAGAAAGACCAAAGGATATAAGATCAATACACAAAAGCCAACCCCACTTCTATATGTAAGCAATGAGTAATCTGAAAAGGAAATTAAGAAAATAATTCCATTCAAACTTAAGCACTTGCAAATTTTTGATACTATAAATAACCTAGTTGATGGACATCCATGAATACATAAAGTACTTTCTGTATTTCAGATATCCATGTGGATAGATTTCTGGAACTTTATTTGCTTTCACAGTGACAGATACAAAGATACGGGCACTGAATATAAAATGATGGATTCAGAGAACAATGATTGTGTTGTAAAAAGTATGACCAAAAATATAAGGCAATTTTGGGTTCTGCTGCTTAACAGAGTTTCTTCTAAATAAACTCAAAAACAGTGAAGGTCACTCACCTGCACAGCATGAGATAAATCTGACATCAGACACTGACGGAACCTCTCATCACTCCCAATTCCTTGAAGAACAAAGTCAGGCACATAAGATGAGCAGTAGCCACCCAGCAAGGACCTCCCGAAGTTGGCAATGTTGGGCTGAACAGCACTCACTTCGATTAACTTTGACCTGGAAGAAAAATGCCCCCAAAAGACATTTATTTAGTAATAAATATATTTAACCAGTAAAAAAAAAAAAAAGTGAATTCTACTTGTCCATATTTTACACTAGTCTGTATTAAAATCAAGTGTAAAATCATCCTTATATAATGGTAACAATCGTAAAAATTAAGAGTAAAATGGTAATAATAGTAAAATCAAGAGTAAAATCATCGTTATTTAAAAACTGGCTCAAGTGCTCTATCAGAAAATAAAATACTCCTTCTTATTCAGAGAAGAAGGTCTGATGAGCAACTGAGTAATGAAGTGAGGATCAATCTTTCCTAAGAGACTTTAAGAGAATTGTACCTTGTGTTTGTAGCACATTCTTAATACAATCAGATTATGAAAACAATCATCTAAAACAAAACAATTAAATGCCTCACAAGTCCAAAGCTAGGTATGTAATGTTTCTCAAGCATGAATATTCTCCTTGCATACTTGACCCAAAGTATACATTCTCTGTTTTCCTCTTAGTCTTGGCCAAATCTATTTCTAACAGCTATTCTAACATCTCAGGGATTAGTGCTCCCTAACTGCCAGGCTCAGCATATGTCCTTTGGGGGGCATAAGTCACTCCTAAATGGCTTGAAACCTTCTAAGCAGTAAGAAATCTTATACTTATCAACCAGATCCTTTAACTTTTATTTGAGGTCTTCATAAAACCTTTCCAGGGTGTTTCTGGAGCTTAGCCTTTACTCCTTCTTATGAGTTAAGAGAATATGAAAACAAGAGAGCTATCCAGAACAATGATCTCTTTTATACTAACCTTCAGAGAACAGCTAAAAAAGAGAATGGTACATATTTATATAGGGCCCATTATAGGTGAAAACTTCCTACTTACCCAGGAAAAGGTATCTCATCCTCTTCTGCCCAATCTTCTTGCTCTCCTCCATAATAACTGCTAACTTGTCTAGTCATATCATGACCTGTATCTTCACTTTCACTATCCCCAAGGGCACTGTCTGAACTTTCATTTCTTGGAATGTCCCATTCAGTTCCTACAGCAATTTTTTTATCTGAACTCTCTTTATCCCCATGGGGGACAAGAATGGAGAGTGTATCTCTTTGGTCCTGCTGAGGAAAGCAGGTTTTACATGAATCTTGGGGAACTGTTTCTATACATTTACAAAATTCATTGTTCTGCTTGTTATTTTTTGTACACAATATTTTTGAAAACTCTAACATACAGCAATGGTCTTTACTATCTGTACTTGTTTTAAATGGAACATCATCAATAGTCCTGGTTTCGATTGAATCATCATTAAAATATTCGTCGAATAAGCTCATGCTTTCTGGGTCTGAATGATTCCAACAGGGAAGTTCACAGGGCTCTTCAGAAACCATGTTCTGTGTATCAGACTCTCCAGATTGGTCCTTGGTTGTTTGTTTAGTTTCTTGATGCTGATCAATAGCCCCTCTTTCTTCCTTCAATGGTTTGGTGTGATGTCTGGTAATCTGATCCACCACTGCCTGACTTCGAAGCTCAGTATCTGAATCAGGTGACATAGAATCCCCAATCAGGAAAGTAACCTTTGTCTGGGCAGCCTCACAAGAAAATGAAGCAGGCACAATCTTATCTGGAGGTTTTTTTTCCACAACCATTCCTGTGGATCTCATTGCTTTGCCTGTGTGACTGTCTGAATCCAGCAACTTCTCACTCTGCCATGTTTCCTCTGTTGACTCTAAGCCTGACTCTGACAATGCACATTTGTCTACTGGAACAGATCCTGTGCAAACAACTGTCTCTAACTTGGCGTCAAAGCAAGTTCTTAATTTATCTCTGTACTGTTTAACATCAACAGCATTTTCTTCTTGGCAGTCAGAAGGAGAAATCATCTGGCACTCATCTGAAATTCCTAGCAGCTCCTTAGAGCTGTTTTGAATATCTTCTCTCTCTTGTTGTGAAATGTTCTCTACATTTTGCCCAAGGAGTGGATGACTGCAATATTTACAGTTACAATTGGGAGTTCTAATTTCTTCTGACTCTTTAAAGAGCAAACTGCTTTTGTTTCTATGCATTGTGACAAGGACATACTCTGATTCTTCTATTTCACCTTTCTCTAAAGTGGTAGTAATTACTGTGCCTGGCATAACGATGGCTTCATCTTCTCCATTTTCTAAAAGATGCGTTTCTTGAAGTTCAGAGCATCTTATAAAATAAGTAAGAAAATAAAGTAGCCTCTGGACCATGTCTTGTCGTTTGCCAACTACCACAGTCCTTGCTAACCGTACGGGAGAGCCAATAGCGCCATACAAGTCTCCTGTAATGGAAAAAATCAGTTATTGGACATGTCCTTTACTGACACAGCTAAGTAAGCTATTTTTAATGATCAGAAACCTACTTCTTTTACTGTATGAGTAATAGTTTAGGTTTTACTCGTTTTTTTGTTTTTTTTTTTTTTGAGACAGGGTCTCACACTGTAATCCTGGCTGGAGTGCAGTGGTACAATCATGGTTCACTGCAGCCTCAGCCTCCTAGGCTCAGGTGATCCTGCTACCTCAGCCTCCTGAGTAGCTGGGACTATAAGCGCGTGCCACCATGCCTGGCTAATTTTTTGTATTTTTTTTTTTTTGTAGAGACAGAGTTTTGCCATGTTTCCTAGGGTGGTCTTGAGCTCCTGGGCTCAAGCAATCCACTGGCCCTGGCCTCCCAAAGTGCTGGGATTACAGGCGTGAGCCACCATGCCTGGCCTCACTCTTAGTTCTTTAACAGATGAGTGACTATTCAAGGGAGGAAGATGAGATGAATAATCTTAACCAGAGAGAAAGGTGAATTTAAGGGTTTTCTGGTTTCCTCTTTAAACAAATGCTATGGTTCAGAAACCTCAAGCAAAGAGTCAGTTCTGAAACTCACATATCCCAAGAATATTCTCTAACCCAGGCTCCATGCAGAGCATTTTTACCTTGTTAGAGAAGTACTGCCTGAAGTACTATGTACACAAGGATTCTGTAGCTGTGTCCAATCAAGAAAAGACAAAGCACAATATCCACTGGCTTGCAAGGAGAGGAAAGGAGTAGTGGTAAAATGGAGCAAAGCTATAGTCGTCACACCACACACTTAACCATTCCTGATTTAAATCATATCTCTGGGGCCGGGCACAGTGGCTCACGCTTGTAATTCCAGCACTCTGAGAGGCCGAGATGGGTGGATCACTTGAGACCAGGAGTTCAAGACCAGCCTGGCCAAGATGGTAAAACCCTGTACCTACTAAAAATACAAAAACTAGCCAGGTGGTGTCGTGGGCACCTGTAGTCCCAGCTACTTGGGAGGCTGAGGCTGGAGAATTACTTGAACCCAGGAGGCAGAGGGTGCACTGAGCCGAGATGACACCACTGCACTCCAGCCTGGGCAACAAGAGCAAGACTCCGTCTCAAAAAAATAAAAATAATAAAAAATAAAAAGAAATAAAATAAAAAAGTAAGTCATATCTCTGAACTTTAACTGTTGTTCCTCTAGCCAGCACCCCACCCCACCAGCTCCCATGTTTGTAAAAGCCTATTTTCCCCTTCCATTCCCTAGAGGGTTGGGTACTCAGGATAGGCCAGAAAGGGCAGGAAGAGAGAGACTCATCCTTACTAAAAGGAAAAGAAAGGGCAACAAGTTCAGCCATGCAGTTCATTTTCACTTTTGAATCCATTCTAAACATGACTAGCCATTATGTTAAAAGCAGGGGAGGTGAGGGGGGCAGGACTAGAAATTAGCATTTCTATATTTATGCTATACTTCAAATTAAACCAGTAATTTCAGTGCCAAAACTATGGAGAATAGGGCTGGGCATGGTGGCTTACACATGTAATCCCAGCATTTGGGGAGGTGGAAGCAGGCTGATCACTTGAGCCCAGGAGTTCAAGACCAGCCTGGGCAACATGGCGAAACCCTTGTCTCTACAAAAAAATACAGAAAATTAGCTGGGCATGGTGGCGCGCACCTGTAATCCCAGCTACCTGAGAGGCTGAGGCGGAAGAATCACCTGAGCCCAGGAAGTTGAGGCTGCAGTGAGCTGTGATCGCACCACCACACTCCAGCCTGTGCAATAGCGTGAGACCCTGTCTCAAGAAAGAAAGAAAAAAAAAGGAGAATACAAAGCCATTAATTTCAACTTAATTCAATTTTTGAAGTTGTCAGTATACACATTTAAAATCCTCTATTTTTACTTTACAAAGCCCTCACACTTTTTAAAGGAACAAATATAAATAGGTCTCAAATAAATATAAGCTATAGATACTATTATGATAAATTTTCTCTTCTGGCTAACACACTGGCTCAAATATCACCATGCCACTGTTCTAAACTACTCCCATAATTCCCACAAATTACCAAGTAAGTTGAAATTGCTTTGGCATGGCAAGTGAGTCTTTCATGATTCCCACTTTACTTTTCCAGCTTTATTTTCTTATACTTATCCTCCTTCTTGGCAGTCAGAAGAAGAAATCATCCTTATTCGCACAAAGCCCCAGTTAAACTGGACCACTGAATATGCTCTGCACTTTTAACACCTAGACTCTTTACTCATGTGATGTCCTGTCCCTTTCCTCAATATCTCTGCCAGTCCATAGCTTCCCACCTAAGCATCCTCACTTGGACAAAAGTAGGCTCCCCTGTTGAACTCTCACTAAACTTTTCATTTCTCTTATAGTTCCTCCTTGAATTATCATTGTTGTCTGCATATATATTACCTACAGTCTTAGACTGTCGACTTCTTGAGGGCAATTTCCAAATCATTCATCTTTACAGCCTCTGTGCTTTTTAAACAGAGCCTAGACAGTCAACAAATGATTGTAGAATTAAAAAAGGATTTAAATGTCCCAATTTAAAAAATACTACTAATAATTTGATTTTAAAAAGGTCCATGCAATGGAATACTACTCAGCATTAAAAAGGAATGAACCATTAATACATACAAAATAGGTGAATCTGAATTATATTGAATGAATGAGATCAAAGAAAGTATATACTGCATGATTCCATTCATATAAAACTCTAGAAAATGCAAGTAATCTACCATGACAGAAAGTAGGCCAGTGGCTGCCTAGGGATGGTGGAAGAGGAACAGAGAAGTTGGGGAGAAGGAGATGGGGAGGAGGAGGAGGAGGAAGAGATTACAAAAAGGCATAAGGAAACTTTTGTAAGTGATGCAATATGATTACCATTTTGATTGTGGTGATGGTTTCAGAGGCATATATGCGAAACTTATCAAATTGCTTTATTTTTTTGAGACAGATTCTCGCTCTGTCACCCAGGCTACGGTGCAGTGGCATGATCTCGGCTCATTGCAACCTCTGCCTCCAGGTTCAAGGGATTCTCCTGCCTCAGCCTCCTAAGTGGCTGGGATTATAGGCGCCTGCCACCACGCCCAGCTAATTTTTTTTTTTTTTGAGACAGAGTCTTGCACTGTTGCCCAGGATGGAGTGCAGTGGCATGATCTCGGCTCACTGCAAGCTCCGCCTCCTGGGTTCACACCATTCTCCTGCCTCAGCCTCTTGAGTAGCTGGCGCCCACCACCACGCCCAGCTAATTTTTTGTACTTCTAGTAGAGATGCGATTTCACCGTGTTAAGCCAGGATGGTCTCGATCTCCTGCCCTCATGATCCGCCTGCCTCGGCCTCCCAAAGTGCTGAGATTACAGGCGTGAGCCACTGCACCCAGCCATTGTTTTGTATTTTCAGTAGAGGCAGGGTTTCACCATGTTGGCCAGGCTGGTTTCGAACTCCTGACCTCAAGTAATCCACCCACCTCAGCCTCCCAAAGTGCCAGGATTACAGGCATGAGCCACTGCACCTAGCCCAAACTGTGTACTTTAAATATGTGTTGGGCCAGGTGTGGTGGCTCATGCTTGTAATCCCAGCACCTTGGGAGGCCAAGATGAGCAGATCGCTTGAGTCTGGGAGTTTGAGACCAGCCTGGGGGAACATGGCAAAACCCCATCTCTACAATAAATACAAAAACTAGCCTGGTGTGGTGTTACGCGCCTGTAGTCCCAGCTACTTGGGTGACTAAGGTAGGGAGATCATTTGATCCCAGGGAAATTGGAGCTGCAGTGAGCCATGATCGTGCCACTGCACTTCAGCCTGGGCAAAAGAGTGAGACTTCATTAAAAAAATGCATTTACTGTATGTCAATTATAACTCAATAAAATGGAAGGGAATGGGGGAGGGAACAAGGGAGAAAGCCAGTAGGGATGGAGGTTGGTTATATGAATTGATATATGTCATATGACATATTGCCATATGACAATCCACCTGGCAAGCTCAATCACAGAGCAACCTAAGGAAAGTTACTACCCAGTCACCAAAATGTTCTCATCTTACTCTTCCCCCATCATCTAAAAGCAACAGAGTAGGAGCAGAGGTAATTAGCAGCTACGTTTACGAGACACAGTCTCAACCATTTTACATGTATTATCTCTTTTAATTTTTACAACTTTTAAAGTATGTATCATCTACTATTATTCCTACTTTATGAATAAGGAAACTGTGATTCAAATGTGGTGTGCCTGACTCCACAGCCTGTGTCTTTAGCACCCTGGTACAATCCCTCCCTATTGTCTATGAACTTATCAACCATCTACTCTCCCCTCTGTTCCCCGACTTGTTTAGTGGTGCTTAACACTGAGGGAAACATTTTCCAAAATGACTCAGCAAGTGAACAAAAGTGGATCAACAGAAACCTCAGTGAATTGCTTCACTCCTAACCAGATTGATTTTAGGTATCACCGGTGACTGTTGATTTATTCTTTCTTGCAAAGTACCTAACACAAAGTACAAAATCATAAAACATCCTGAAGATCTGAAGTTACTAGTAAACGAGCTATCAGCCTGCTCCTCTTGCTCTACCTGCAGTTCTTCATCTATAAGGAATGATTTCAGGTCTAAGACGAGGATAAGACAAATTGGCAGACATGAAAGGACAAGCAAAGCAGAGATGCTTTAGAATGCAGGAGGTAAAAGCATTTTATTTATTTTTGGTTTTGCTATAAAATAATTACAGATAGCTACAAAAAAGTCTAATACATAGTGTAACAGTTGTCAGATTACATACCCAGTTGTGCCCAAAGTGGGTTATATGGATGAGTCTTTGCCAACATGTCCACACTCTGAGAGGAATGCTTTTCTAAAAATATTTTTATAGGTGGTTGTCCATTTGGCATGACTGTTGGAACCCAGGCAAGATGATTGGTCAGAACTGCAGTAATGAGAGCTGGCAAGAATCTGAAAACAAAATACATCTGATCAGATTCCAATCAGTCTTCATGAAACCTTAGGTAAAATGTAGTGAAAAAGTAAGCAAGGGGAGTATATATGTTCATGTGGCCAAATGGCACCAAAAAAAGGAGAAGAGAGAGGAAAGGATGAGTATATAACACCAAGATTAAAATGAAAGTTAATAGTTTCTGGTTGAGGAGGAGTTAAAAACTACTTGAAATAAAGATAACACATTCATAAGAGCTATTGCAGATCGTAAGTACAAAACAGAAATGCCATTTTACTTCAAAAATTATGGATTATTTTCAGTGTTTAATCACACAATTAATTACTGAATCAACCAGCAGGTCCTTACATTTCCAAATTACTGAATGGGAAAACGAGGCAAAGTATTAAGCAAACTCTGTCTATCATCAAAGAGAATAAAAACAACTGAATTATTCATCTGGATTCCAAAGACTTGAATAGTTAAAATAATACAATACGATAAAACATCACATTGAAAATGCATCATTAGAATCCTACCATTTCCTTATATGTTTTTTTTGTTTGTTTGTTTGAGACGGAGTCTTGCTTTGTCACCCAGGCTACAGTGCAGTGGCGCAATCTCCACTTACTGCAAGCTGTGCCTCCTGGATTCACGCCATTCTCCCGTCTCAGCCTCCCAAGTAGCTGGGACTACAGGCACCCGCCACCATGCCCGGCTAATTTTGTTTTTGTATTTTTAGTAGAGACAGGGTTTCACCGTGTTAGCCAGGATGTCTCGATCTCCTGACCTCGTGATCCACCCACCTCAGCCTCCCAAAGTGCTGGGGTTACAGGTATGAGCCATCACGCCTGGCCATCCTTAAATGTTTTCTACCTCTTTTCTATGAAATAAAACTATAAATGGATACAACTCACAAAAAAATGGGCAGCCTCAGATAATTCTACAATATGTCAGGAATTTTAATTACATAATTACAGACATTTTCACTGCTTTTCATTCATAAGGTTCTGTAATACTCTTCCATACCCTATCATTTAATTATTTTTTAGAATTCTGATTATTAATTTTGATTAATAATATAAAATAATTCCAAAGATAATGGATGATTCTTCCACATCTGTAATTGAGTTTGATTACAATCTAGATATCTAGTTATAATAAATAAATTCATACTGATTTTTGGAAGCATTTTCCATTAGAAAGGTGAACTCCTTCATGAAACGATAGCAAAGGTGGTTCTTTTCTGGAGTCCCCGACATCATTGTAAGCCAGACAGGTTCTCCAATTCGTGGCATCGTGTAAAGATTACAAATTGTTGTTCTAAAAAGAGGAAGACACATTATGAAATGTATAGTTCCAAGAGTTACATACTCTTAAAATAATTTTAAGTTTATATTGCCAGCTTGGTCCTTACATCTAGATTATTAAAGCTTTTGAGGAAAGACAATGGACCAAGTCCTTCTTTCCTTGTCAACAACACAGTACCATGGGAAATGTTCTCAAAATATGTTGGTTCTGGTGTTGGCTCTCCCCACCAGTGACTGTGTGCCCTAGAGTAAATTATTTCCCTACTTTAAGCATTTGTTTCCCATACCTGTAAAATGAAAGGATACGATGATAATTTCTAAAGCCCATTCCAGCTCCACATTTCTACGGGGTATGCTGTACTTAAATATACCGCAAATAATCAACTACATGTACAAAAAGAAAATATTCTAAATGAGGTAACAGCTTATCCATCTACCCACTCAAAACAACAGTTTATCTGCATCATTTTGTTGCCTATGCTAAGACTCTAGTAACATTCTTAAGGACAGCGAGAACAGTATACATACATGCTACATTTTATGACTCTCTCAACCTTCTACAGTGTTTCCTTGAATCAACACAAAAAAAGATTATCACACAATTAGCACAGTGCTTTCTTAGCTGTCTCTTGGACTAATTTAGACAATAGCTAGTCCTGTGACTTGTACTTTCTCCTGAAGGCTTCAAAGCATACTTTCAAGATGTTAATTATTTTCTTTTTACATCATTATCTATTTAACAAAGCCCTATACATTTACTAGACTAAGCAACTCCTGCAAAAGCCTGAGGCTTAAGAAACTAGTCAATCCTGGAGAACTACAGAATGGTGTCCTACTTTCTACTTTTTAAAACAATGCTGTCTAGTAGAACCTGGCAATGATGGAAACCTGCACTGTCTGAAATGGTAGCCACTAGCTGTATGTGGTTACTGAACACATGACATGTGACCAGTATGACTAAGGAAGGGAATTTATCTTAATTAAGTTAAATAGCCACATGTGGCTGACGGCTGAGATTTTATTGTGCAATACTGCTCTAGAAAGTTCTCTGAGATTTCCATAAATTCTAATACCAACCTCAGTATCACTGTCTGGTAACACCTAGGAGCCAAAAAAGAGAAGAATTATCTTGCCTCTACAAATTTTGTTGAATTTGAAACAATATAAACATGATGTATTACAATGGATAGAAACAATAAGAACAGGTCACTTTAATGAGCTCTCTGTAGAACATATAATCATTGCTAAGAATTTTAAAATAAACAAAAAGTTATTTTATAGAGCAAATATGACTAGAATACAAACTAGGCATATATGAAAATGTTTGTTTTTAAAGCTTATTACAGGTGTCCAGATACGATGGAAAATTGAAGACAAATGTTTATCCTCTCTTCAGTTTCTGAGGCCCCAAATGAACACCACCTAAAGATTTGAAAACAGATAAACTAGTGCAACAAATAGAATTAGAGAAGAACCAGCTGGGTGTGGTGGCTCACACCTGTAATCCCAGCTCTTTGGGAGACTGGGGCAGGAGGACTGCTTAAGCCCAGAGTTCAAAACCAGCCTGGGGAACACAGTGAGACCCTGTCTCTATTATTTAAAAAATAAATTACTTAATTTTAAAAAAATTGCCAAGGAACTATTACTGAAAATTAAAATTAGAGATTTCATGAAATTCTGGAATACAAACATATGGTGGAATTGTGATTGAAGTAGCAGAGTAGAGAAAGTTATAAGGTCATAGTATCACAGAGGGAGACATGGACAAAGGAGAGCTAATTTGCCCCACTAAAGCAAGATGAGGCTCAAGACTCACAAATTTTTGGGAAAGTCATGACAGGAGTTACGATACAGTACTGAAAATTGGGAGACTAATTCAAAGTCCATAAATGGTTGGCAGCTCCCTACCTCCTCTCCACTTCCCCAGAAAATGACTACAGATAGGAGAGAGCAGATATAGCAGTTGAATGGCCCCGAGGAATGACCTTTTCCAAACTCTTCCTGGCATTTGTATCTTTCAGAGTATATAATCAGATATAGAGTATATCTTGTAGTGTTAAATCTTCATGGGATTGTGGGGGGCGGTGGTATTGAAGGAGCAGAGATTAGGGGAAAAATATCTAAATATGCTTCTTCAGGTAATGATAATAAAAAAAGGTTGAAAAACACTGCCCTGAAGTGAAGGTCTCCAGTCAAAAGCCTGATTATGCACAGAATTCCTAACCTACAGTTTGTTACCTCATTCTCAACTACAGAGCGCAACCAAAAACACTGATATTTAGAGAAAGCCTCCAAGCAGAGAAAAAGACAAGAACAGAAACACACACATACTCACCCATATAAAATGACTCCAGAGGAAAACAGAAATAATGCAAACAATGGAAGAAAACTTTTAAACAAAACTCTAATGTACATTAAAATTAAAGAGTATGGTAGAGAATCTAATTTTCAAAGAAAAGGATTATCCAAAAATAAGAAAGCATCAAAGATTTGCTGAAATGAAAAAAGCATAGAAGGGATAGAAAAACAAAACATTCACAAAAAGAGAAGGAAAATATGAAAAAAAAGGAACACAGAACAATCCAGGAGTGCCAATTTCTAAAAAAAAAAAAAAAACGGATTCCAGAGAGAAAACAGAATAAATTGTAAAAGAAAGCAGAAAAATTACCAGAGCCGAAGAACATGATGGTGCTATAACAATACTGAGACCATAAAGGACCAAGAAACAGGTATAAACCCATATATCATGGCAGAAAATAAATATGATCTAAAACTGATAAATGAGGAAATAGCAACATTTCGTATACTTTTTAATAATATGGAAGTAAATAACAAGAAATAATAGTTAAAAAGAGAATGTGTCTGGGAAGAATGGGGTGAGTAGGATAGGATTCATTTATTTTTAATTATTGGACCTTTCAGAAATTTTTGTTTCTTAATCATGTGCATATACTTTTTGATTAAAAGAAACAATGTATAAATAAATAAATAAATATGCTGATCATTTAAGACTTTTTCATGAGTTTCTTCAGCATATTACCGTCTACTATAAGTCCATGTGTCATTGCACAGAGCCAGATCACAAACACTGGTATTAGTGGTCCAATGAGAGCCTTTGCTTTAGTATTTTAGTATTATATTTGTTTAAAAGTATTATATATGCTATGGCCTCAGAGTGTTATCAAGTATAAAGAAGGCAAAGAAATTAATTACGCAACAGTGCTTCTCACTATATACAACTCTATGTTGTTGTCATTAACAATCTAGAAGTAATGGCCAGGTGCGGTGGCTCACATCTATAATCCCAGCACTTTGGGAGGTCTAGGTGGGCGGATCACCTGAGGTTGAGAGTTCAAGACCAGCCTGGCCAACATGGCAAAATCCCGTCTACTAAAAATACAAAAATTAGCTGGGTGTGGTGGTGAGTGCCTGTAATTCCAGCTACTTGGGAGGCTGAGGCACAAGAATCACTTGAACCTGGGAGGCAGAGGTCACAGTGAGCTGAGATTGCACCACTTCATTTCAGCCTGGGCGGTAGAGCAAGACTCCGTCTCAAAAAAAAAAAAATCTAGAAGTAATGGTTTATTCTAGAAATCATTTCTTTCTTCTCCACTAATAATTGTGCCCTATCATTCAATGGTAAGAAAAGCAAATACTTTCAGTAATCTGTCCCCTTATTTTTCCCAGTCTGTCCCCTTATTTTTCCCAGTGCCCGGACAATGAAAGACTCTTTTGGTTGGGAGGAAACTGTAGGCATGATTTAGTTTTCTTTGATATGCCTAGGGTCTATATAAAAATCTAAAGACTTCGTCTTTGTTAGGCAGCAATGTTAACTAAACATGCTTCCTGCTTCTCTAGCTTTCATGGTTTCTGTACACATGTAAATAATTTCCTTCCTCTTCTCAACTGCCCAAAATTTACTAATCACTTGATCTCAAATAATCATTTAAAGATTATGTCATTGTTAATTTTAAATAATCCCTTAATTTAAGAAGTACATTTATCTCTTGGTGTCTTCAGGGGATTGGTTCCAGAATTCCCATGGTTACCAAAATCTGTGGATGCTCAAATCCCTTATGAAATGGCATACTATTTGCATGTAACCCATGCACATCCTCCTGTATACTTAAAACCACCTCACTTTGGGAGGCCGAGGCAGGCAGATCACGAGGTCAGGAGATTGAGACCATCCTGGCTAACACGGAGAAACCCTGTCGCTACTAAAAATACAAAAAAAAAAATTAGCCAGGCGTGGTGGTGGGCACCTGTAGTCCCAGCTACTCGGAAGGCTGAGGCAGGAGAATGGTGTGAACCCGGGAGGCAGAGCTTGCAGTGAGCCGAAACTGCGCCACTGCACTCCAGCCTGGGTGACAGAGCAAGACTCCGTCTCAAAAAAAAAAAAAAAAAAAACCATCTCTAGAGTACTTATAATACCAAATGCAGTGTAAATACTATGTTAATAATTGTTATACCGCATTGGTTTTTTAATGTGTATTTTTTTAATTGCAGTTAATTTTTATTGGTTTTTCTTTTTCAAATATTTTGATCCGAGGTTGGCTGATTTGCAGATGTGGAACCCACAGATATAAAGGTCTGACTGCAGAGTCTATTCTCATTATTTGAGGTAGTTATTTTCTATAAAGCCCACTCAAGCACTGAATTAGCAACACTGAACCACTGCCCCTAAGGAAAATAAACAGGTTCCTATGAGCCTCTGGTCACATTTTCATCAAACCCTCAATACATAACCTTGATGTGCCTCTCTGTTTAAGGATATCTTATTTGATGCTGTTGATTCATTAATATTAAACTCATGGCTGACAGCACCATAAATAATGTCTGAAGGAAGCTTATCTAACACATGTATTTTTTCTGTAAGGTACATCACAATCTTCTTACACTGAATATTAGACAGCATTTCAGCACTACATTTGGAAGCCATTTTTAACAGCAAAGTCACTAACAAAAAGCAGAAAAATGCAAAAAAATTGGCACTAAATAAATGTCAAAAAAGTATATTTGTTAACAGTATGAGAATTAAAACAAGAAGGCAAAGCATTAGACCTTGCTTGATCTAAACTAGGAACATATGCGTCAGGCAACTCACATTTTTCATTGCTTTGCACATGTAAACAAATTACTGCAAAAGCACTGCAATTATATTTTGGGGTTACAAATAAATGTTAGCAAGTGGGTGAATTCTAAAATACAAAATCCACAAATGGTGAATATCAATTGTATATGTGAAAGTACTTATATAGGTAGACCTCCTATTGAAAATTATAAAATATTATAAGAATATTTAATATCCCTTTCATATTTGCACAGCAACTGAAGCAAAATAATCAAACAATACAAATGGAAAGGCACATAATAGTGACATATACTTTTACAGATTTTATAACTCGCATGCTGTAAATTCCAGGCAATCTTGAAATTCTAAGTCTAGGCCATTTGTACTATATAATACCACAGCAATTGACTCACAAGTATTTAATTAAAATTTTGAAAAATAAAAAAGTCTTTTAAAATCTAAAAGCAAGATCAGTATCCTGTTTGGAGGGAGTCTTATGACAATATTTACTGTTCTGGTGACTTCAGCTGGATCTATAATGACAGTGTTTCCTCAGAGCCCAAGCAGAAACTTTTGGCCTTTGCCACAAAGCTTGTGACTGCAGAAAAGAATTTGTCAATCCAATAGTATAATTAACTGCAAGTTCAAGGGCAAAGATTCACTGCCTTATACTAATGCAATATGTGATACTCAGAAAGAATCCTGAAGGATTCTTTCAAGCAAATAAGCAAAAAGAACTATTGAAAACATATAATGTACCCACAAAATTTTAAATGTCTTGATTTCAATAAATAAAATAAAATGTCTGGATTTCGATAAAACGTATTAATAATAATTCTGGTGTAAACAAAGTAAACTAAAACAACTTAAACCAGACAAGGCACGGTGGCTCATGCCTGTAATCCCAGTACTGTGGGTGGTTGAGGCAAGAGGATCCCTTGAGGACAAGAGTTCAAGATTAGCCTGGACAACATAGTAACCCCATTATACAACATATTTAAAAAATATTTAAAAATATCAAGGTTCCAGTGAGCTATCCTCTGCCACTGCACTCCTGCCTAGGAGTGTTTTGAAACCCTCTCTCAAAAACAAAAACAATTTAAACCACAAAAAATAAAAAATTACAAATGAAACATCTGATTATTCATTGCACATTTCTTTTATATTACTGGCATAATATCTACTTCAGGGGAAGCAAAACCCTTAAGAATCTTTTTTTTTTTTTTTTTTGAGATGGAGTCTTGCTCTGTTGCCCAGGCTGGAGTGTAGTGGCACAATCTCAGCTCACTGCAACCTCCGCCTCCGAGGCTCCCTGGTTCAAGCAATTCTCCTGCCTCAGGCTCCTCAGTAGCTGGGGCTACAGGCAGCCGCCACTATCCAGCTAATTTTTGTATTTTTAGTAGAGACGGGTTTCACCATGCTGGCCAAGATGATCTCAAACTCCTGACCTCAGATGTTCCACCCTCCTCAGCCTATCAAAGTGCTGGGATTACAGGCGTGAGCCACTGCACCTCGCTCCTTAAGAATCTTTGAGTAAGCTTTCAAGCAATCCTGCCTCACTCCAGTTAAAAAAAAAAAATTCCAACTGTAGATTAAATTTAGACAAATACAAGGCTATAACTTTTCATAGTTCTCAAATACTACTTATATTCATAAGAGGCCTATTTTATAGGTAGAGAAACCACTCTAGTTGTGTGTATGTGTGTGTTTGAATTGTGGTTAAGTTCAATCTTTCAGCTATGTAAAGAGCACAGGCACTGGTGGCACATGCACTGGGCTACAAGGGAATGTATACAGAGTAAAGCTGTCATAAACCATTAGGGATAATAAATAACCAATTTTACCCAATTGATAGTATTTTAGCTTATCAGGATATTAGGTTCAAAATGTCCTGATTTCAATAAAACACACAGACACCTTCGTTTGCATATATAATCACTCTGAAGAATCAGAAATTGCTCTTTATTTCAATACAAAACTGCTCTCAAATGCTGACTCTGACATCCCTGCTAAGAGTTGAACAGTAATTGTGTAAGACAAGGCTTATAGTTCCATTATAGTAGTGCAGAAGAAAGACACAATTTGGTAATTTTTCTCCTTGAAAAGAGTTTTGTCCTTTTTTTAAAGAGATGTGGTCTCACTTTGTCACCCAGGCTGAAGTGCAGTGGCACAATCATAACTCACTGCAACCTTGACTACCTAGGCTCAACCAATCCTGCCAAGCTTCAGCCTCCTAAGTAGCTGGGACTACAGGTGCACGCCACTTGAGCCTGGCTACTTCGAAAATTTTTACTTTAGAGATGAGGTCTTTTATTGATTTTAAATTTTGTGGGTACACTGTAAGTGTAATATAAATTATGGGGTACAATGTGTAATAATCATATCAGGATAAATGGGGTATCCACCATCTTAAGAATATATCCTTTGTTACCAACAATCCAATCATACTCTTTCAGTTACTTTAAAATGTACAACTAAATTATTATTGACTATAGTCACCCTGTTGTGCTATCAACAGACACAGGGTCTTGCTTTTTTTGCCCAGGCTGGTCTCAAAACTCTAAGCAATCCTCTCACCGTGGCCTCCCAAAGTGCTGCGATTACAGGCATGCGCCACCAAGCTTGGCCCCTGAATAAAGTTTAAGCTAGTTATTACCAAAAGAGTTTGTGAAATGTAGATGCTAGCCCCATACCTACTAAACAAACTCTAAGAGTTTGGGAAACAGTTTTCATTATACTTCTCTAGTGACAGCAGTATCTGAATGGTTTTTTTTTCCTTTCTCAAAAAAAAAAAAAAAGCATAGGTTTATGATGTAATTTAAATTCCAAAGAAAAGTCTAGATCAATTTAGGTTGTGGTTTGTTTGGCTTTTTTTTTTTTTTCCTTTGAGACAGGGTCTTGCTCTGTCATGCAAGCTAGAGTGCAATGGCACAATCTCGGCTCACTGTAACCTCTGAATCCCAGGTTCAACTGATCCTCCTGCCTCAGCCTCCCCAGTAGCTAGGATTACAGGCATGCACCACCAATCCTGGCTAATTTTTGTATTGTTTGTAGAGACAGAGTTTCACCATGTTGCCCAGGCTGGTCTTGAACTCCTGGACTCAAATGATCCACCTACCTTGGCCTCACAAAGTGCTGGGATTACAGGCATGAGCTACTATACCTGGCCCAATTTCAGTTTTTAACTCAACAAAGTTTTAAATCTTACTTCAGTTCAATGTATTCTTACATTAAAATATTGATTTAAAAATATGTGAACTTCCAATTTCAGCTTTGACCTGCAAAGAGCTTGGAAGTCATTATTCTTGTTCTCAGAACAAGGGAAAAACTGAAGGAACTGAAAAATCAATGACTTTTCTTAGTTACATCACCAAACTGCGGACAGAGGGAAAACCATCACTCTGAAAACTGAAAAAATGGGTAAATACAGAGAATGACAACTGAGATCAAGTTACCTGAAGCAGAAGCCTTTGGAGCCAATAACCAGCAGGAACACTTAAATAGTAATTGACTAACTGCTGAAGAATGAGTGTGAATTCCTCTCAGTGACAAAAACTCCTAGGGACCTAGTCTTAGGGAGACCTCCCCACTTTCATGGGATACTACCATATTTTCATGGTGAAAATCAGAGAAACATCTGGCTATGGTTCGGACAGAGGTAGTGACAAAGTAACAGTTTTGAAATATTCCTAGAACATTCTCCAAAACAAAGGTCTGCCCTCCAAATAAAACTATTTTACCAGAGCCTTATCTGACTTGAGAGAGAAGCAGCCTTCCTCGCTGGCCTCTGGAAAGAAAAATAGGTGGCAGGGAGAGGGGATGGCTAAGAAATACTTCCAAAGGTCACATCCCAGAAATTCAGACTAAAAAAAAAAAATCAGATTTAATTTTAAGATTACAGAACATTTCCCCTTCCTCTCTCCAACACCTTACTTCCATATCAACATAGCTCCAGTGTAACAAATGCAGATTACAACTAAAAGAGCTGCAGGACACAGAATCTATTCAAAGAAGTAGTTCTTGGGGAAAACCAAAGAAAGAGGAGTTTAAAATAAAAAAAAAAAAAAGGAAACTATGGGAAAGTGAGGCTTCTGGCACCTACAACTAACATTACAGCAAACATTAAACACATCTAAGGCTCCTAGCTAGGTTAATATAAAACTTCATACTAAAATCTTATTAAACTCAGTTCCTATATCCTAATACATCATATATAGCTATCAATGAAAAATTAGAAAGCAACAAAAACTAGTCTGAACAAAGAAAGCATCAGAATCAAACTCAAATTTGGCAAAGATTTTAGAATTATCAGAATGGGAATTGAAAATTATGATAAATATGTTTATTTTATATAATATATATGATTATTGTTGCTCTGATGTTTAAAATAGACAACATGCAAGACCAAATAATGCAACAGCGAGATGGAAAGTCATTTAAAAAATCAAAAGGAAATGCTAGCAATTAAAAAAAAAAAAAAAAGGAGCAGGAATGAAGAATGCTTTTGATGGGCACATCAGCAGACTGGACATGACCAAGGAAAGAATCAATGAACTTGAAGGTATGTCAATAAAAATTCCGAAACTGAAAAGCCAAGAGAATAAAGGATAAAAAATAATATCCAGGAGCTGTGGTACAATTACAAAAGTATACATGTAATAAATACAAAATGGAGAAGTAAAATATATGAATAATAGCTTCGAATTAAAAAAAAATTAGTAACAGACAACAAACCATAGACGCAGGAGGCTCACAGAACACCAAGCAGGATAAATACCAACAAATCTACTCCTATATATATCATACTGAAACTGCAGAAAACCAAAGACAAAATCTTAATGGAAGTAAGAAGGACAAAAACAACCTTACCTATAGAAGAGTAAGAACTGCATTAGAGTTCTTGTTAGAAACTATGCAAAAAAAAAAAGAGACTGGAGAAAAATGGTTAAAACATTGAAAGAAAAACAATAACCTAGAATTCTGTATCCAGCAAAATAATTCAAAAGGAAAAGAGAAAGACTTCCTCAGACCAAAACTGACAGATTTGATGGCAGAAAAAAATGACATTTAATATATGTTGAAAGATATTTTTCAGAGAAAACAGGTTAGAAATGCAAATCTACATAAAAAGAGTATCCAAAAAGTAATAAATGTAAAATAAAGTCTTTCATTTTCCTTATTCTAAATTGACCTAATAGAAAAATAATTGTTTAGGGTAATAAAAATGACAATATATTGAATGATCATAGCTAATGGAAAATTAAATTGAATGACAGCAATGTTATAAGGGATGTGATGTGAGGGAGAAATTGGAATATTTTGTTATGAAGTATGTGCACTCCCTGTGAAGCAGTACATGGTTATTTGAAAGTTGTAAATGTGTATTGCCAACTATAGGACAAACACTAAAAAGTGAAGTTTTTAAGAAATATAAATGACATGCTAAAAGAGGAGAGAAAAATGGAAGCGTTTAACTGCTTAAAACCAGAGAAGACATAAAAAGAGGAGGATAAAAACATAAAGTGAAATAAATAGAAAACTATTACAAATATGATAGATATTAATCCAACTATATCAATTATCACTTCAAATGTGAGTGGTCTTAATACACCAGTTAAAAGGCAGAGAACCAACTTTATGTTGTCTACAAGAAACCCATTTTAAATATAAAGTCAGAGATAGATTAAAAGTTAAGGTATAGAAGCCGGGTGCAGTGGCTCACGCCTGTAATCCTAGCACTTTGGGAGGCCGAGGAGGGTGGATCGCGAGGTCAGGAGATCGAGGCCATCCTGGCTAACACGGTGAAACCCCATCTCTACTAAAAATACAAAAAAAAATTAGCCGGGCATGGTGGCGGGTGCCTGGAGTCCCAGCTACTCAGGAGGCTGAGGCAGGAGAATGGTGTGAACCCGGGAGGCGGAGCTTGCAGTGAGCCAAGATCACGCCACTGCACTCCAGCCTGGGTGACAGAGCAATACTCCATCTCAAAAATAAAATAAAATAAAATAAGATAAAATAAAATAAAAGTTAAGGTATAGAAAAAGATATACTACATTAACACTAACCAAAAGAAAGCTGGAATAACCGATAAGGTTAGGCTTTGTGTCCCTACCCAAATCTCATCTTGAATTGTAAGCCCATAATCCCCATAATCCCCACATGTCAAGGGATCAAGACCATGTGGAGGTATTTGAATCACGGAGGCGGTTTCCCCCATGCTGTTCTTGTGATAGTGACTGAGTTCTCATCAGATCTGATGGTTTTATAAGGAGCTCTTCTTTCCCCTTCGCTCGGCACTTTTCCTTCCTGCTGCCTTGTGAAGAAGGTGCCTTGCTTCCTCTTCACACTCCGCCATAATTACGAGTTTCCTGAGGCCTCCACAGCCATGCTGAACTGTGAATCAATTAAACCTCTTCCCATTATAAATTACCCAGTCTTGGGCAGTTCTTTATAGCAGTACGAAAATGGACTAATAGCCGTGTTAACTTCAGACAAAGCAGAGGTCAGAACAGTGAAAATTATCAGAGATAAAGAGGGGCACTTCATAATGATAAGGAGCTAATTTTCCAAGAAGACATAATTATCCTTAATGAATTTGCAGTTAACAAAAAAGCATCAAAGTATGTGAGGCAAAAACAGAGCTGCAAGAAGAAATAAATCCACTATTTTCCTTAGAAACTTCAACACTCCTCTATCAGTAAATGACGTATCCATCAGGCGGAAAATTAGTAAGGATATAATAGAGCTGAACAGTACCATCAGTCAACTGAATCTAATTAACATTTATACAATACCTCATCCAAAAACAGGAGAATACACAATCTTCCCATGCTGACAGGGAACATTTGCCAAAATGGACCACATTCTAGGCCATAAGACACACCTTAGCAAATTTAAAATAATACAAATCATACAATGTATGTTCTCAAATCACAAACTAGAAATCAGTAAGAAAAAGATAACTGGAAAATCCCCAAATACTTGGAGATTGAAAACATGCATCTAAATAACACATAGGTCAAAGAAGACATCTTGAAAGAAATTTTAAAATATTTTGAACTAAATGTGAATTCAACTTATCAATACTTGTGAATGCAGCAAAAGGAGTGCTTAAAGGGAAATTAATAGTATTGAATACATATATTAGAAAAGAAGATCTAAAATCAACGATCTAAGCTTTAATCTTAGGAAACTAGACAAACAGCAACATAAAACTAAAGCATTCAAGAGATAAGGAATAGTAAAATCTAGAGCAGAAATTATTGTAATTGAACAGAAAATAGAGAATATCAACAAAACCAAACGCTGGTTCTCTGAAAAGATCAGTAAAATTGTTAAGCCTTTATCAGGAAACCAAGAAAAACACAAAAAGACACAAATTATAAATAACAGAAACAAAAGAGGGGTATCACTATAGATACTATGAACGTTAAAAGGATAATTAAGGAATTATATGAACAAGTCTATGCCCACAAATTTAGATGAAATGCATCAATTTTTTGAAAAACACACACTGCCAAAACTCACATAAGGAGAAATAGATTAACTTGAATAGCCTATGTCTACTTAAAAAATTGAATCAATAATTATCTACTCCTGGCAAACAAAGAATAAAGGGGAACTACCTCAACTTGAAAGAATATCTACAAGAAACCTACAGCTAACATCATACTTATGGTGAGAGACTGGATGTTTTTTTTCCTATGACTGGGAGCAAGGTCAAGATGTGTCCTCTCACAACTCTCATTCAATATCATACTGGAAGTTATAGCTAGGGCTGTAAGAAAGACACAAAGATACAAAAAAGAGGGAAGGAAGGAAAGAAGGAAGACAGAAAAAGTATACATGTGGAAAGGAAATAAAACAGTCTTTATTTGTGGAAGACGATTTTCTATATAAAAAGTTTCAAAGAATCAATCGAAAGAAAAAAACAACTGTTGGAACTAATAAATGATTATAATGAGGTTGCAGAATACAATGTAAATATACAAAAGTCAACTGCTTTCCTACAGACCAGCAATGAACAACTGAAATGTAAAATTAAAAACAATACCATTTACATTAGGTTCCCTCCCCCTGACCCCCCCAAAAAACATGTATAAATCTGAGAAAATATACACAGGGTCTATATGAGGAAAAGTATAAAATTCTGTTGAAAGGAATCAAAGATGATCTAAATAAATGGGAATAGTTTCCATGGTAATGAATAGGAAGACTCTATTGTTAAAACGTCAATTCTTCCCAAGTTGATCCATAGATTCAACACAATCCCAATGAGAATCTCAGCAAGTTATTTTGTGGACATCTACAAACTGATGTTAAAGTTTATATAGAAACAAAAAAGACCCAGAATAATCAACACAATACTTAAGAATAAAAACAAAGTTGGAGGACTGATACTACTGAACTTCAAGATTTACTATAAAGATATAGTAATTAAGATAGCATGGGGATTGGGAGATAAGGGAGATGTTGGTCAAAGGACACAAAATTTGGCATGAGGGCTCATGCATGTAATCCCAGTACTCTGGGAGGCCAAGGTGGGCAGATCGCTTGAGGCCAGGAGTTTGAGACCAGCCTGGCCAACATGACAAAACCCTGCCTCTACTAAAAATACAAAAATTAGCCAAGTGTGGAGGCACACACCTGTAGTCCCAGCAACTTGGGAAGATGGGGCATGAGAATCACTTGAACCCAGGAGGTGGAAGTTGTAGTGAACCAAAATCGCACCACTGCACTCCAGCCTGGAGGACAGAGTGAGACTGTCTAAAAAAAAAATAAATTTAAAAAAAAAAATTTCAGGGCTCCAGAGAGCTATTACACATCATGGCAACTACAGTTAATAATAATATTATATACTGGAATATTGCTAAGAGTAGATTTTAAGTCTTTTAATGACAAAAAATGATAATTACGTGAGGTAATAGATATGTTAAATAGCTTGATTTAGCCATTCCACATGTGTACACATATCAAAACATCATTTTATACACTATAAAGATACACAATTTTTACCTGTCAACTAAAAAAAAAAAAAGCATGGTAATAGCTAAATATATACATATATATATATATATATACACATATATATATATACATATATATATATATATATATATATATATAGTTACAGAGATCAACAGAACAGAACAGAATAGAACAGAACAGGGAGCCCCCAAACAGATTCACACAACTAGAGTATAAACTGATCTTTGACAACGGAGCAAAGGTAATTCAATTGAGAAAAGAAAGTATTTTCAGCAAATGGTGCTGCAACGACTGGACATCCACATGTAAAAGCATGAATCTAGACAAAGACCTTACAGTTTTCATAAAATTAATTCATAATGGATCATAGTCATAAGCATAAAATGCAAAACTATAAAGCAGACAGAAAATTACACTGGAGATAATCTAAATGACCTTTGGTTAGGTGATGAGTTTTTAGATACAGCACCAAATACTATACAGGAAAGAAAAATTGTTAAGTTGGACTGCATTAAAATTAAAAACTCTGCTCTGTGAAAGACACTATTATAAGAAGAAGCCACAAACTGTAAGAAGTATTTTTTTTAAATCTGACAAAGAACTGGTATCCAAAACAAAACAAAACAACAACAACAAAAACCGTCAAAACTCAACAATAAGAAAAAAAAGCCAACTTAAAAAGGACAAAAAACCCAAACAGACACTTCACCGAAAAAGATACACAGATGGCAAATAAGCATTTGAAAAAATGCTCAACATATGTCATTGGGGAACTTCAAATTAAAACAATAATGATACATCACTACCTGCCTCTTAGAATGGCTAAAATTGACAAACTGACCATATCAAATGCTGACAAGGATGTAGAGCAATAGGAACTCTCACTAATTGCTGGTGGGAATGCAAAATGGTACAGTCATTTTGGATGACAGTTTGATCATTTCTTACAAAGCTAAACATAGTTTTTCCATAATATCCAGCAATCATGCTCCTATGTATTTTTCCAACTGAGTTGAAAACATGTCCACATAAAACCCCAAACATGAATATTTATGGCAGTATTATTTATAATCACCAAAAACTACAAGCAAGATATCTTTCGATAGGTGAATGAAAATGAATAAACAAACTGTGTTACATCTATATAATGGAATATTACTCGATGATGAAAAGAAATGAGCTATTAGGTAAAAACAACAGCAACACCACCACCACCACCAAGGAAGAATCTTACGAAAGACTGGCTAAGTGAAAGAAGCCAGTCTGAAAAGTCCACATAGCATATGATTTCAAGCATACAACATTCTGGAATTGATAAAAATATAGAGAAAGTAAAGAGGTAAAGAGATCAGTGGTTGCCAGCAGTTAGTGGGTAGGGATAAACAGGTAAAGCACAGGGGATTTTTAGGGCGGTGAAATTATTCTATATGATACTATAATGGTGTGTATATGACATCATACATTTAATAAAAACCATATAACTATACAACAGAGTGAACTTTAATGTAAATTTTGGTCTTTGGTTAGTAATAATGTATTAACATTAGTTCATTAGTTTTAACAAATATATCATACTAATGCAATACATTAATAACTGACGCCAGGTGTGGTGGCTCACACCTGTAATCCCAGCACTTTGGGAGGCCAAGGCACACAGATCACTTGAGACCAGGAGTTTGACACCAGTCTGGCCAACATAGTGAAACCTCATCTCTATTTAAAATATAAAAATTGGCTGGGTGTAGTAGTGCACGCCTGTAAACCCAGCTATTCAGGAGGCTGAGGCACATAATCACTTGAACCCTGGGAGGCAGAGGCTGCAGTGAGTTGAGATCGTGCTACTGCACTCCAGCCTGGGCCACAGAGTGAGACACTGTCTCAAATAAATAAATAAATAAATAAATAAATAAATAAATAAATAAATAAATAAAGCATTAACTGGGAAAACTGTAGGTTGGGGAAGAGGGCTATATGAAAAAACTGCTATTTGCTCAATTTTTCTGTAAATCTGAAACTGTTCAAATTAAGTCTCTTCATTGTGTGTGTGGGCACGTGCGTGCATAAACTCATGCATCAAACTGGAAAAATAAAGCTATATACAGCTATTTATACTCTTAACTGATAATACAGAGTGGCCAAGAAATAGACAATATAAGAGATAGGCATGTCTTAGAATTTACCATTTAGTTATTGTTTCGTTTTGCTGTCCCCCACTCCCACTCTCAATATTCCAGAAGAAAAGAAAGAAGGGATAGTCATTATTCAGCCTGTGCAGGTCTAGCTCTTCAGACACAAACATGGATAGTATCAGAAGATGCACGAAAATCAGACTGCACTACAAATTAAAAAAGAATAAGGTCTAGATTAATGGCTATAAATCACCAACTCCTAAAACCGAAGTATAAACTAATAATCTTCCGAGGCCTGGCAGGAATAAAATTATACAATATATGGGTTAATACAACTGACTGAGAGAGATACAGCCTATGCCAAACTAAAGAAAGCTTGCCTGGCCTACAGGCCTAAAGGTTCAAATGTTTATTAAAAAAACACAGTAGTCACATAAAATGTCTGCTGGCTGGCTGGAATTCCATCACCTACAATTTACCTGCTTTCAAAAACTGTGTTCAACATTGAGAAAACAGAAAACCACTTATCTTGAGCTTAATATGGGCTTCTTTTTCCTTAACTGTAGAACACTTACTGAAATATCAAATCAATGGTTAGGATATGTATCCTAGGCAGGCCTAAACCATTAACACTTGGTTTAAGCAACTTTGTATAATTTACCTCCTAAATCATAAAGAAGATACCTAAACATTTATATTAAAACAATACAACTCAAAGAAATTGTCATCTCAAGCAAATAATCCTGATGTTAAAATTATTTCCATCTTACATTCATAAAATCATCAAATTTTGTGTTTTCACAGAACTTCTAGAAACATACAAACAGGGCTATATAAATTGAGAAGTTATGAAGCCAAAGTAGACTGTACATCAGGAAGCTCATAAAAGTTGCTCTAAATTCCCTCTGCAAATGTATTTGATTTCTCCTACACTTCATCTATAAAAAACATGCATATAATGCTTTTATTTAATCATGAATGGCACCCAAAATGTGATAATCTCAACCTTTATGGTTTAAGTATGAAGAAATGAAATTATGAATAACTTTGCATATAATTCAGATATAAAGAGTGAAGATGCCAGTAAACTAAAAAAAACCCACACTGATTACCGTATCACTAGAGTTTCAGTGTCCCAAAATGAAAAAGCTTTAGAGATTGATTTCAAAACAATGTAAATATGCTTAACACTACTGAACTGTACACCTAAAAAATGATTTATAAAGCTAAATCTAACGTTATAGATATTTTTACAATAAAAATATTAAATTAAAATTATTTGTTAGCATGCTCCATATAATAAATGCCTAAAATTAATGTTAAAATAAAATTAATATATGGCAGAAATATCATCTCAAATACAGTTTTTGCCTGTACAAATTATTTCTAATACCAAAAAATAATATAAGGTGAAATTAAATTCTCTCTGTTTTTCTCTACATTTCCCCTAACCACTGAGTGTACTGTACAGAACAGTAAGATATATTTAACTAGCTTTTCATATCTTTTATCCTAAACATTATGATGCATAAACCAAATGAATGAGTAGACATTATTCTCTTTCTCAATAATTGAGTCAAGTAAATGATTATTATACAATAGTCATAAACTTCTTCAATTTAAATCTACCACTCTTTAGCTCAGTTTTAAAAATGTTTTATATATTTTAAAAGTTTTAAAATTTTATATATATGTATGGCATGCCTACAATTTCATCATAGCAATCCTGCAGTTACACAAACTAAAACAGCCTTTCACTCCAAGATGTGATGGCCCATTTAAACAAACAACAATCTAGAAGATCCCTGCCCCAGTAAGAGACCACACAGTTGTCAATAAAAAAAATGTAGTTTTTCTAAAAGTAAGGTACATAGACTACTGGTAATAATAAAATTTACACAGTGGTACGTAGTGTACACAATGTGGTATACAAATACACATTTATTATTATTTTTGTGACGGGGTCTCACTATGTTGCCCAGGCTAGTCTCGAACTCCTGAGCTCAAGCAATCTAACCACCTTGGCCTCCCAAAGTACTGGGATTACAGGCACATGCCAACACGCCTGGCCCAGATACATATTTTTAATTTTAGTTACTATAAATTTATTTTTATAGCTAGTTTTATTATGGTAAAGCATATTGTTTCCCTATCTAGGGTAATGAAGTTTCATGTTGAAATAGATTTATTTAGGTATAAAAGATGGTCAAATTTAAAGAGAAACACTAAATTTAAAAAGTATACATGATATATAAATTTGGCAAAATTGTTAAGATATGATGTAAGTGACTTAAGTTGGGGAAGCACTGCTGTAGGTTATGTTTACCATAGGCCAGGCTCAGTGGCTCATGCCTGTAATCCCAGCACTTTGGGAGGCCAAGGTGGGCGGATCATTTGAGGTCAGGAGTTTGAGAACAGCCTGGCCAACATGGTGAAACCCCGTCTCTACTAAAAATAAAAAAAAAATTAGCCAAGCATGGTGGCACGCGTCTGTAATCCCAGCTACTGAGGAGGCTGAGGCAGGAGAATTGCTTGAACCCAGGAGGCAGAGGTTGCAGTGAGGCAAGATCACGCCACTGCACTCCAGCCTGGGTGACAGAGCAAGACTCCACCTCAAAAAAAAAAAAAAAAAAAAAGAAAGAAAAAGAAAAGAAAAGAATGGTGCCACTAATGTCAGGCATTCTGCTAAGTACCTTACACACACAATTTCATTTGATCCTTATAACAATCTATTAGATTATTACTAAATTGAATTTACCTATTTTATACTAGAAAACTAGGGGTCAAAAACGCTAATGCACTTGCCCAAGATCACCAGAGGTAGTAAATGACAGAGCCAGGGTTAAAATCCACGTCTGTCTGACAGATTCTAGAGTCTTAGTTTTCACTCCCTATGCTATTCTATCTCTCTAGTCTAAAGGAGGAAAGATTGAGAAAATGAAGTAGACCTAAACCGAACCTCTTGTCGAGGGAGACATATCAGTCACTTAGTATACTAATTCCCAACATAACATCATTTGTAGTATGTATGTCACATAGTTAGAAGACAGCTACAGCAGTTGTTGGGGCTTCAGGTACAAGCTTTGTTGAGCCAGAAAACCCTAGCGGAAGGACTATTCACTGTGCCATATCTAGAGGAAGGATCAAGCAACAAAGCCATTTAGAATATCAAGTGCATGTTCCTTATATCCATATATCCTTGTATCTCATGTATTCAAGAATATCTGATTACTACCACTGGTTAAATAACACTTAACAGTCCCTACATCTAGGATCCCAAGAGAGAACAAAGCATACTTTTGCTAGAACAAGGGTCTTTCCTGGTCATATTTGCTTGTCAAATGGCCCAATACTGAAAAACATACCACTGATGGCTCTCAATGTGCTTGATTCTCAAGCACATTTGAGATGTAATAACATAGGAGCCAATGGTCTACTGAATTACACCATCATATGACTATAGGACAAAGAAATCAAATTTTATTAGAACAAGTTAAAGAAAAAATGAATCTTCCTGTGTACACTATGAATTACTGCATTATGGAAAGCTGGGCAATATGTACCTGAATTCATTTAGGGCATCAACTATTCGATTATATGCCAAACTTCTCTGACTGGCATCAGCTGATCTCCGGCTCATTTTCATAGCCTTGAAAACAATCATTGAGATAGTTAATTCTTATGTTAATCATGAGCAAAACATGGAAAAAAGTCTTTTTTAGACAGAGTCACATATTTACACAACGCTCTATCAAAATTCTTATCGAGAAAGAAATAAAGAAAGTAAATGCATTTATTGTGGCTTTTTCTTCTACACATTTGGTAATTAATGAATGGTTGAACAAAGTTCAAAATTTTTGACTGTTTTCAATCTCTTATTTTTAAAACTGCAGACTGTCAACACATAAAAAAACTGATGTTGACAGTTTCTGGGTTACAAAAAACTTATTTTTCCCAAACAGAACAAGACATAATGATAACTCAGTAACAACAACTCATGGTTTTATGCTTATATTTCACAGATAACACTTCTGTTAACTCCTTTTTTTTTTTTTTTTTGACAAGAGTCTCACTCTGTCACCTAGGCTGGAGTGCAATGGCGCGATCTCGGCTCACTGCAACCTCTGCCACCCGGGTTCAAGCGATTTTCCTGCCTCAGTCTCCCGAGTAGCTGGGATTACAGGTGCCTGCCACCACGCCTGGCTAATTTTTATATTTTTAGTAGAGATGGGGTTTCACCATGTTGGCCAGGCTAGCCTTGAACTCCTGACCTCGTGATCCACCCACCTCAGCCTCCCAAAGTGCTGGGGTTATAGGCATGAGCCACTGCCCCCAGCCCTGTTAACTCTTTTTTAAAAATTTGCCCAGCCTGGCCAACATGGCAAAATCCTGTCTATACTAAAAACATGAAAATTAGCCAGGTGTGTTGACACACGCCTGTAATCCCAGCTATGAAAGAGGCTGAGGCATGAGAATCGCTTGAACCCAGAAGTCTGAAGTTGCAGTGAGCTGAGATCATGCCACTGCTGCACTCCAGCCTGGGTGATGGAGTAAGACTGTTTCAAAAAAAAAAAAAAAAAAAAAGGGAATATAAAGATTCTACAATAAGATAGCTAAAGGTGTTAGTAATATTTGCTTTTTTTTTTTTTTAAGACAGAGTCCTGCTCTGTTGCCAGCTGGAGTGCAGTGGCACAATCTTGGCTCACTGCAACCTCTGCCTCCCAGGTTCAAGCGATTCTCCTGCCTCAGCCTCCCGAGTAGCTGGGACTACAGGCACACACCACCATGCCCCGCTAATTTTTGTATTTTTAGTAGAGATGGGGTTTCACCATGTTGACCAAGATGGTCTCGATCTCTTGACCTTGTGATCCGCCTGCCTCGGCCTCCCAAAATGCTGGGGTTATAGGCATGAGCCACCATGCCTGGCCAATATTTGCTTTCTTAAAATATATTTAGCCAAGGTTAAAAAGCCTTAATCTAGGTAGGCAAAAAGGGGATCAGGATTAGGATATGGAGGTCAAAAAGAACTTTAATCTTTAACACTTTTTCAAAGAGAATTGAATTCTGTATTCTTTATATAATTACAAAGTGATTAAATATTGTTTAAAAAAATAATTAAGATGTCAGCCTACTTTAGGCCAGAAATCATGTTCCTGTACACCCAAAAGCTTCAGAGGGTGAAAGTGAAACACGCTTTATGTTTTTTCAAACTGTTAAGAGACTGGCAATTTATAAAGAAGTGAATATTATTTTGCTAGAATTTGGTAGTGTTCTTCCTTAATCTTATCAGCAATGCTATTTTTAAATTAAATCACAAATCTCAAAAGATAGAAGACTTCAAAATAATTGCCAAGGTGTTCAGAAACAAAATCCATAGCTTTTATTTAAAAAAAAAAATAGTCTGAAAACTGGCCCTAGAAGATAACTTCTTTGGATGGTACAATATTCACTATTATATTCTATTCTTAATAATATTCTATCATTAAGTAACTACTATAGAACTTTAAAAATTAAGTCCCATTCACTTATGTAAAAGCATTCATTTAATTTCATCTTTCAGCTTTAATAAAAAATGCGATACTACAATTGAACAAATATCCAAACAACTATAAGCATTAACAATGTACATTTTAGGTCGGGGTCCCCAGCCTCTGGGCCGTGGACCAGTACCCGTCAGTGGCCTGTCAGGAATTGGGTCGAGCAAGCAAGTGAGCGAGCATTACTGCCTGAGCGCTACCTCCTGTCACATCAGTGGCAGCATTAGATTCTCATAGGAGCGCATACCCTATTGTGAACCGTGCATGCAAGGGATCTACGTTGCACACTCTTATGAGAATCTAATGCCTCTGAAACCATGGCAACTCCCCACCTCCCCAGCCCCATCCGTGAAAAAATTATCTTCTACAAAGGGTCCCTGGTTGCCAAAAAGGCTGGGGACTGCTGCTTTAGGTTACAGAATTATCAAAGCGTTAAAACATGAAAACACTTGAAAAGTAATCTTTAATGAGTTCTATAATGCCTATTTCAAGTTTTATACAAAGTTTGAAATACTTCTCCAAATAACTAAAAATGTCAGTTCACCCACAACTTATTACTGTGTGTGATGACTTTGGCTAGACTACAAAATGTGAGTGCAGCCAATTGAAGAAATGTAATCAGTGTCTAACTTAAGAAAAGGTAAATGAAAATGGCCTTTACTCATTTGTTCAATAAAAATGTATTGCTAATGAACTATTTATTTTTTGACATACTCAATATGAATAACTAACATCTATGTCTTCTCTAAAGGCAGATCATCCTTAGTCACTAATGAGTTATTGAGATACATCCTTTCCTTTCTAAACCATTCTAACGGGTCTACCCACCTCTCGTCTCTTACTCCAGTCTCTTCAAAACGCACTACCAAGTGCTCGTTTCAGCAGCCATATACAAAACACACTGCCAAGTTAATCTCCCCAAAGTACAACTTGCAAACAGCCTTAAAGACAAAGTCAGAACTCCCTGGCAAGCACGCTACATTTTTTGTCATCAGGTACTCATTAACTTCGCCAGTTGTACCTCTCACTATTCCTCTTTGTATCCTTTCCCTTCCACAGACTGTTGCAAAAAACTCTGGTGACAGCCACTGATTTTATCAGCTCAACTTCTGGGAATCTCCTCTAAAAAATAATCTGGAAAATTCGCCAAGATGTTAACGATAGGGTAGCAACAATTGTGCAAAAGTAGAAATGGCCTAACAGGGAAACTGTTACTTAAATTGAGGAGACCTACTAAAATATATGTAAGAACCATTTACAATAACTTGAGAAATGTGTATGTGACAATGATGTTTTTTATTTTACTATTTGAGATAGGGACTCACTCTGTTGCTACAGTGCAGAGGCACAATCACAACTCACTACAGCCTCGACCTTCTGAGCTCAAGCACCCCTCCCACCTCGGCCTCCCTAGTAGCTGAGACTACTAGTGTGCTCCCCCATGCCTGGCTAATTTTTAAATTTTTTTTTGTAGAGACCGGGTCTTGCCATGTTGCTCAATCTGAGTTTTTTTAAATGGGCATATAATTTGAAAAATGTAGACACAGCACAATCCCTACCAAGTAAAAGCACAATATGCATAAAAAAGGCCTAAATAAGATTTTTCAGCAATGAGTTACTGTGTTCCCTTTGGGTGGCAAGAATGTCGATTTTCTTGCTATTCTGCTATATCCAATTTTCAGAGCTTTATGTTCCAAAACATCCCATACATCCTTCAAAATGCAGTCCAAATGAAACTTCTTCCCAATAGGAAGTCATTTCACTTTCCCCCAAATTTCTAAAAAACCTTTGTCCTTCCTTTTTAGCTTAGATTCTAATATTTCACAATTTACTATACATATTTGTATCGTATATACTATCTCAGTAGCAACTGACAAAAGTGATCACTCCTTCCTTGAAATACTTTCTGTACTTGGCTTTCCCCAAAAGAATACACTCTTGTTTTTTCTCCTAATTGAATAGCCAATCCTTTTCCTTCGCCTCTGCTGGTTCCTTCTCATCTCGTCAAACTCTTAATGTTAAAATGCACCACAACTCAGGCTTACCATTGCCTGTCCTCTCTTGCCAATCTCCATCAGTTTCATGGCTTTAAATACCATCTATACACTGATGACTTCTCTGGTAAACTCCAGACTCATAAAAACACAAGGATGTCCATATGCAAATATAAAATACCCATCTTCCTTTATCAAATCTGTTTCGCTTGCAGTCTTTCTCACTTCAATGCTGGCAACTTCATCCTTTTAACTGCTTGGCTAAAAAAATCTTAGAGTCAACCTTAATGATTAGTCTACCAGCTAATCAAACTGGCTGTTTTCAAAATATATCTAGAATCCAACTCTTTCTTACCAATTCAATCACTAAAGTGGTTTGCGTATTCATCATCTGGATTACTGTAACAGTATGCTAATTGGTCTCACAACATCTACTTTTGCTCCTAGAAATCTATTATCCACCAGCAGTAAGAGTGATCCTCATAAATAATGTCCTTCTTCCTCCACTGAAAACCCTCCAATGGTTTCCCATCTTTCATACTTTTGTAAGAATAAATGCTAATGTTCTTACAATGGTATCTTATAAGGTCCTACATGATCTAGTCTCACTTCAACCTAGGCACCTTGGCCTCGTAATGCTGCTTAAGTATCAGGCTTACTCCTGCAATAAGGCCTTTGCCCCTGCCTGGAATATCTCGTTCCAGATGGTTGTAGCTCACCTGCTCCGTATTTCTGGACCACATTCACATGTCCTTTAATAAGGGGCATTCCTGACTAGCCTATAAAAATTAGTAATCCTTCCTTGCAGGATCCCTTATATACCGTTCTCCGTTTTATTTTTCTTCACAGGACTTATTACATACATCTATATTCATATGTTTATTTGTCCCATGAGGTCAGAAGTGTTGCTTTTATCACTTCTCTTTAGTTGGTAGAACGGTGTCTACCACATTTTAGTCCCTCAAATATTTATTTACAGAACAAATGGATGAATGATCTTATATCTTTTACTAGACAGTAAGCACCTTAAAAAGGGTTCAATCTATTTGCATCCACCAGAGCACTTTATAGGACACATGCACAACGTCTGTTAATTTTTCTGCCAAATTAATAAATATAATGCTTAATTGGGAGAATAAGATTTTAAAAGGAAAATACATAAATAAATAACTATGCTTACCTGTTCTATTGCACTCTTTAATTTGTTCATGTGGCTTTCAAAGAGAGGAAAATGTGAAAAAAAGAATTCATTAAATTTGTTATTTTCATCTTCATCTTTGGACAATGAAAAGATTACCCCAATTGCAATCTTCTTTTTCCGCACAATTCCTGGGTTAGGGCCACAGCTTTCATCTGAGAGATTAAAGCTTTCTTCTATAGACCTTAAAAATAAATGATTTTTTATTAATTTACAAAAGTAAAAATAAATTCACAATTTAATCTTCTTGCTAATTAAATGTAGGTAAGCTAAGTCTTTTGCTGTTTTATCAAACAAACCTATAATTTCATACCAATTGTATATCTCTTTAAGAAATCTACTGGCTATTCTTTCAGGTTCATGTTCTTGTAAGAAATTTTACTACAGAGTCAGATTGGGAACATTTTTTTGTCCAATTAGAAGTAACTAAAGAAGTAGATAATCCCAATTCATAATCAACCAAAAAGTGGCTAAATTTTAAGATTTATAGATGAGTCTGGTACAATCTTTTCCCTGTTCTAGGCCCTTCTGGTGTCTGTTTTTGATTTCAGGAGTAAAGTCAAAGATGAAGGAATAAAGGAAATAAAAAAGAGGAGAAAACAAGAACTTTTAGTATCTACAGTTGTACTTAATGTAGATTAAAAACTAATCTTTCAAGAATGAATTACCTTGCCAAAATAAAAACATGAAAAACTGAAATATCAAAACATGTAGTATATAAATCAAAGACCTAAACATAAAACTCTTAGAAGAAAACAAAGGGTAAAGGCATCATGCATCATGACACTGATTTGGCAATGGTTTCTTGGATATAACACAAAAGGCACAGTCAACAAAGGAAAAAAAAATAAACTGGACTACATACAAATTTAACCTTTTGTGCATCAAAGGACACTATCAATGGAGTAAAAAGGCATCCCACAGAATGTAAAAAAAATTTACAAATCATATATCTGATAAGGGATCAATATCTAAAATATATACAGAATTTCCAGACATCACCAACAAAGCAAAAAAATGCAGTTATAATATGGGCAAAGGACTTAAATAGACATTTCTCCAAAAAAGATATACAAATAGCCAATAAGCACAAGAAAAGATGATCAAGTCAGATGTGGTGCCTCATGCCTGTAATCCTAGCACTTTGGGAGGCTGAGGCAAGTGGATCACTCGAGCCCAGAAGTTCTACTAACCTGGGCAACATGGCGAAACCCCATCTCTAAAAAAAAAGAAAAAAAAAAAATTAGCCAGGTGTGGTGGCAAGCCTGTAGTTCCAGTTATTTGAGAGGCTGAGGTGGAAGGATCACCTGAGCCCAGGGAGGTTGAGGCTGCAGTGAGCCGGGATTATGCCACTGCACTCCAGCCTGGGCGACTCAAAAGGGAAAGAAAAGAAAAGAATAGAAAAGATGTTCAACTTCACTAATTATTAGATAAATGCAAATAAAATCCACAATGAGGAACCACTTCAGACTCATTAAGATGGCTATTATCAAAAAAACAGAAAATAAGTGCTGGTGAAGATATGGAGAAATTGGAACCATTGTGCATTGCTGGTGGGAATGTAAAATGGTACAGTAACCATGGAAAACAGTGTGCAGCGTGACAGTTCCTCACAAATTTAAAAACAAAATTACCATATGATCCAGCAATTCCACTTCTGGATATATAACCAAAAGTATTGAAAATGGGGACTCGAACAGATACTTGCACACTCATGTTCAGAGCGGCATTATTCACAATAGTTAAGAAGTGGAAGCAACCCAAGTGTCCATCAATAGACAAATGGATAAACAAAATGTGGTATGTATATACAACGGAATGTTATTCAGTCATAAAAAGGAATGAATTTCTGACACATGCTACAACATCGATAAACCTTGAAAACATTATGCTAAATGAAATAAGGCAGACACAAAAGGACAAGCAGTGTATGATTTCATTCATACAAGGTATGAATGAAAATTCATAAAGACAGAAAATAGAATGGTGGTTACAAGAGGAAGAAAAGGGAGAAATGAGGAATTACGTTGAATGGATACAGAGTTTCAGCTGGGAAGAGGAAAAAGTTCTGGAGTTGGATGGTGATGATGGTTGCACAACAATATGAAGGTATTTAAACAAATGTCACTGAACTGTACACCTAAAAATGGTTAAAATTGTAACTTGTTATGTATAACTTACCACAATTTTAAAAATGTAGTAAATTTTAAAAGTTTTCAGTTTCAAACTTAAAATACACAGAATACAAGTCCAGGTTCTAAAAAACCCATATAAAATTGTGTTTAAGGAACTACTCAATCTTGTTCTGTGTTTAAAGTTCCAACTTACCATCTAGGAAATACCCCATTTTCCAAACTTGTTGTTTGGCTGCGTCGCCAACGTCGCTGGTAGCTGCTGGCACAACTTCGGGTAAGTGAGGAGTTTGGGGAAGGAAATGGAGTGATCAGCAAGCTGCTGAGAGATGCTGTTAAGTCAGAAGAACAACAAGTATAAGTCAATAATGACTAAGCATAATGACAAATTTCTTTTTAACAAAATTACAAATAGGTTAAGTTAAACTTTATTTTGCTTCATGAGCCTCAAAAATGTTCATTAAAAGAACACATCCTTCTTGTAGCAAGGTCTCAGAGGAGAAAAATCATATATTAACAATGTATCAGCAAAAAACTCTGAGACAATCCCCTTTTGGCATTCCCCTCTAGGGACTCCAGAAGAAAATTATACTTTGCAACAAGGCATTATCCCTTTGGCCACTGGATTGACTGTCCCCTAACTCAGTTGAATCCTTTTAGTTCTTAAATTAAAGGAAATCTGATGCTATTCAAACTTAATGCAGCAGCTGGATTTTAAGAACAAGCTATTGAAAATAAGTGTCTGAATGGCATTTAAAGAGGTCATTTACAAGTATTCATGGATCACATGTGCACATGTAGTCAAACCTACCACTTTTAATTAAGAATCATGACTATACCTACTAAGCTCCAAAAAAAGAATGCTCCCTGGAGCATCTAAGGTGACAAACACATTCCAGCAGACTCCACTCTTTCACGGCTGCAATCCCCTGATCTTGGGGATGGATTATTCCCTTCCCGAAACACTTCTGTGAAATCTGTAAGATATGTTTATTGCTTGAGGTGTTAAGAGCTACAACTGCTGATTTTTCATTAGGCTAGGAGATTTTCATCAGGCTTTTCCCCACTGGATTTAGAGAGGATAACACTTGCCATTAAGGGCTTGCTTTTGTTTGGCAATATTCCAGACTTCTATCTTTCATGATCATAAGCACATACTGAAAATGTATATTCAAAACAGGGAACCATTATCATCACTATTAAAAAGGTACAGGCCAGATGATAAATTATTTTGGACACCAGCACTAAAAACTGAGACACTTTCATTATGAAGATCTATTCATTTGAATTCTGACAAATTCAATGATAGAGGATAAAGCTGTATGTGCCATGCAAACATGTAGACCATCAATGAACTCATTCTAAATTACTTTAGAATGCAGATTCTAAATGCAGACCACATTTTATCAATTAGTATTATAAACTCTTGTAGTCCAAGATTGGGTATGTACAACTAAATCTGGGTATGACTTCAGTGAAAAATAAAATGCTGTCCTAAGTTTGGAAAAAATACATTTCACTGCATTCTAATATTAAAAATAACCCTATTAGAAAAAAAAGAAAACACACATTAACTTAAATGGCATATATGAATCCAATAACTTGAAGCAGCCTAACAGATCAGTCTAGCCAGATGCTTCAACTTACAAAGAATGTAAGTATAAATAAATTATACTTAAATCTTAAATAAAATAATGAGAATTAAATTCCTGCCAGGGAAGACTAAATATCTAGATTACATCGAAGCAAAGTTTATTAAAAGAAATAAACTCTAGATTCTTTAAAACAAAAATAAGAAACTCAATTAGAAAAGAAAGATGAGATTACTTGAAAAACACAAGCTACTCTTATTAGAGTAGTGGTCGGCAACCCTAGCTATCCATTAGAATCAAGTGTTAGGTTTTGCATTTTGTTTTGTTTCACAAATACAGATGCCTAGAGATACCTTCTCTAGGTTACACGAGAGTCTTTGAAAGTAGAGTTCAGGCACTTGAATTTTTTATAAAACTTCTCTTTGTTATTCTAATACATACCTAGGGATTGCAATATACAGCAAGTTTAGATTTTTCATTTATACTCAAAACTGAATTACAAAACAATTTCGATAGCAGAGCCATATAATGTAACAACACATGCTATCACACTGAATTAAGTTTCTCATATCTAACAGTAATTCAAGCCTAAAATTACTCCTCCTTTTACTTATGCTGCTCTCTGGGCCCCAACAAACACTTTTCCTTTTAGCTAAAATGCTTTTCTGAGCTTTTGCCTGGATAACTGCTATTTATTTCTCAAAATACAACTCAATCATCATCCTTCTGTAAAGCATTGTTGGCATCCCTGCCCCTTGCCCAGGCTAAGTGTGGTGCTCTTTCGCTGAAGCTTTTTGCGCAGGCCTATCACTAAATGCATCACACAATGACCTATGACAGATGATTTTCCTAATTTTTCTCCCAGTAGACTCCATACATCTGTGTTCCGTAAGGGCAGACTCTGGGCTTTAATTTTTTTAATGTCCACCATGTTTCAATAAATGTTTGCTAGACCTACAAATTTTGGACAGGTCCATATTTGGAAAAAAAAAAAAAGTATAACATTGATTCAAAATGCCTATGCTTTTCTGGGCAAGAGACAATATGACAATTTAAACTTTAGTTAGCAGCAAGCAAATATAAGCAAACGTGTTTTTTTTTTACTACAGTTTCTAAGCAGTTTTTCTGACCAATGCTTTTCTTCTTATATTCACTAAGCTTCAACCAGTGTACTTTACTCTGGCTTTACTTCATCCTGGCTTTATCCTACTTAGCACACTTAAAAGTAAACATGAAAAATATTAAATTTATAAGACTTTGCTCTGGTCTTTTCACAGTTCTCTTGTAAGGCTAATATCAATATGAACAAATTTGATAATAAAGGGAGGGATAAAAAAGAAAATCAATGCCAACAGTAATCTCATAAAAAACTGAATACAAGAACGTGACATTACCAGACCGTGCTATGCCACTGTCTCTGTCCTCATTGAGCTCTCTTCCAGGCATGTCCATTGGGTTGCTGTGAACTATAAATAAAGATGAAACTGTCAGTTATAAAATATATTGCTATTCAGGTGGATGAACAGCTCCTTTTAAATAGCAAACGAAATCATGCTCATCTCATTGCATTCCCTTATTTTTTTCAATAGCATGGCACCAACCCAACACCAAGAGCTATTACTCAGTTGAACAAGCTTTGAGAGCTCTGTGAAGATTTGATACACAGTATAAGAATCTAAAACATAATATCTAAAGAAGCAAGGAGTGACTAAAAGTCATATTTTGGAAGCATATTCAGTGACATATTTATAATATACTATTAAATGAAAAAAAGCAAGCTACTGAACAGTATGAGTGCTTGCTGGGACCAAGTGGTGGGTATATCATAGTTCACTGTACTGTTTCTGCCTATAACAATGTATGTTTCAAAATTCTCTATAATAAATTGAGATATTTATTTGAATAGTATGATCCCCATTTTCTTTAAAAAACAAAAAAGCAGGTATTTCTGGCTGATAAAATGGCTAATATATATTTTTGCCTTTTAAAAGTGTTTTCCAAGTTTTCTACAAATATATATTTTTTATATCTAATATTTACAGGGAAAGAAAATATTAATCAAAACAAGAAGGGCTAAATTGATACCAATCTGAGAACAATGAAGAGTAAATGTGTTCACATTCCAGTAATTTCCACTAAAAGGTTACAATGTTAGGTAATCCGCTAAAATGTGTGAAAACAAGGAATATGATTAGAATCCTGGATATATACACATGAACATACTCTACAATCATCAACTTGATTATGTAAGCAAATATAGTCATATATGCCTTTTACAGAGCATTATAGTAGTGCTTGTTCATCTAAATCTTAGCTCCAAGAAAAACTGCTCTTATGGAATAGTGTAGATCAGAAATTTTACAATAATAACAAGATAGGATAATTTTCTGCAATTGGTGAACTATGGTACAAAAGCTACTCAGCCATGGAAACAAGACAGTGTCACATTAAAAATTCCAAGTGGTATCATAAGAAATAAAGTTCATATTAAGTTTTGGTTTCAGATTCTGAAGTTAAAATCATTATGCCACAAGAGAAATGACAAACTGAAATTTCATAAAAATGTCAATTCTACTGATAATCCGGTGTCTGGAAACTTTAAGAACATGTTCAGTAGAAAAGGAATTAAGTTTTTATACTTCCTAATGCAATGTTTTCTTAACCACAACCTCACCAACTGCATTCATCTACTCTCTTGTTTCCACAGCTTAACTACAGATTCTAGCCGTTGGGGCACACCAACTAGTCTACCCACACAGCACATCGCAAACCTGCAAAGAAAGAGGCGCTCCTGATCAGGCGGAGCGGACCCTGCTCAGAGAATGCCCGCCTGGGGCTGCAGAACTGTGAAAGACCTACATGGCAAAAACGTAAAATACACATGAAAGAGGACTGTTAGAGAAGCCACAATGCGTCAGGGAAAAAAGGTGAGCTAAGGCAGCACAAGAGCAGACCAACAAATATGGATGGAAACTTTTAAACTAAATAAGAATTCAAGCTGTCTTTCCCATTTTTGAAACAGGATGGTGTTTCTTTAGCCATGATTTATATGAAACAACAACTTCATGTATTTTTACTAATAAATCTATATGTAATAAAAACAAGCTTCTGCTATATAAAGTAAAAATTATTTTAAATGTTCAATCCTTTCTAATGTAAAGCAGTATTTTTAAAGATTTGAAAAAGTACGATAATGTTATCTATCTAATCTGATATTTGCCAAATAAATTCATTTTTTTAAAGTTGTTTGAAGATTATAGTATGTGCCTACAACTGCAGCGAGGAGAAAACCACCTAAGCACTTGGCACACAGCATACAACAGGGTGCAAAACCAGAAGAGATCTTACTGACAAATTAAAAATTGGTTTTTCTAACCCAGTTGTAAGTTACAAAGTAATGGAAGAAACCAAGGTTACTAAACCAGGAGTCAGCCACTGTGGAAGGAGGAACACAAATGAAGCTCATCAGGGACCAGACTCCCAGCTGTTCAAGAGAAGTGGCTGCCACATGCTTCATCAAGAAAAGGTAACTGCAGTCTGAAGACCCAAGAAGGACATTATAGCCTGAAAGCAAGCAGCTGGGTTACCTGTTAGTTATGCTTCATGAAAATAGTCTAAATAGCCATGAAGGACATTTAACTAGGATGGAATACGGGGCTTTCTGTTTTAAAAAGTGACAATTGCATGTTTCTTCTTTCCTTTTTTGAAACAGAGTTTTGCTCTGTCATGTAGGCTGGAATGCAATGGCATAATCATAGCTCACTGCAAGCTCGAACTCCTGAGCTCCAGTGATCTTCCCTCCTCAACCCTCCCCATGAGCCAGGACTACAGGTGCATGCCACCAGGCCCAGCTAATTTTGAGAACTTTTTAGTAGAGACAAAGTCTTGATACATTGCCAAGTTGATCTCAAATTCCTGGGGTCAAGTGATCCTCCTGCTTTGGCCTCCTAAAGTGTTGAAATTACAGGCATGAGCCACTGTATCCAGCCAACTGTAGTTTTCAAATTGCTAACAGATATTATTTTTCTGTAGCAAGAACTTCTATAATTACAGCACATGTACAGCAATCCTTCCATGTCTCAATGGTCAGCTTTTTAATTCGTCCTAGCTTTCTTTCCCTCGTTACTTTAAAAATTATCTACTTCTTCAAACTCCTTCCCTACCTCTTCTTCTCAGCATAAAACTTTTGTTTCCTAGAGTATGCACATGCATATATGCACATACACACAGTAGAATTAACCAGATTGGAACCCTTTTTTTTCCTATCACCCTGCTTCAAAACTTACTCTCTCATCCATCCTTGCCTCCTTCCTGCCTAAGCTGTCATGTTATTCAAGCCTTACAATGTGCTAGTGACTTATTAAAAAATCCTAAGTTCCTTCCTCCCTTCCAAAGTTAACTCTAAGTCAGCTAGGACCCCAATCCCCCATTCTTCTTCAAAAACCTCCTTCTATCAATTACTACTTCTAGTCTTTAATTTCATGCTCCTTATAACTTCCTTATTCTGTCAACACTTAAACACAATCAATTCTCTTCTACCACCCTCCATATATCTAATCCTACAGCAGTTCAGCAGTTCTCAAAATGTCATCCAAGGACCCGTTGGGTCCCCGAGACTTTCAGGGGGTCTGCGAAGTCCTCCATTTTCCAACTACATATCTGTGTGAGACAGGATTTTCTTGATACACTTCAACGAAAATATCACAAAAGACTGAATACAGACGCAGATATGAGAATTTAGCTGTATCCTCATCCACAAATTAAGGAGATTTGTAAAAATATAAAACAATGCCACTCTTCTTACTAATTTTTTGGAGGCCTGTAATAACATGAAAGGGGGTATTAGTGTAATTTTTCAAGGATTTACTAAATATTCTTCAATTTTTTGGTTGTAATTTCTAATAAAGTATTTATCAGTAGTTGTAATCCACATAAACAAAAGTTCTCTGCAGTCCTCAATAATTTCTAAGTGTGTAAAGGGTTCCTAAAACCAAAAAGTTTGAGAACGACTGCTTGCATCTTGGACAAAAGTCCAAACCCTGAGTCGTCCCATTCTGATGTCTATTCTCCCCACTGAAACTGCTCATCTAGGCCACCAAAAGCCTTCCTGTTGCTTAATTTAGTCCATATTATTTTATATTACCTTATAGCAGTAATTGATGCTGATTATATTACACTGTAAACTTTTTTCCCATGTAACACACTCTCTGTATTTTTCCCCCTCAGTCTTAGTCTGTGTGCCTCTCTTCTCCTACCCCTTTTTTTTTTGAGACGGAGTCTCGCTCAGGCTGGAGTGCAGTGGCACGATCTTGGCTCACTGCAAGCTCCGCCTCCCGGGTTCACGCTATTCTCCTGCCTCAGCCTGTAGCTGGGACTACAGGCGCCCGCCACCACGCCCGGCTAATTTTCTTTTGTGTTTTACAAAAGAATGGGGTTTCACCATGTTAGCCAGGATGGTGTCAATCTCCCGGCCTCGTGATCTGCCCGCCTTGGCCTCCCAAAGTGCTGGGATTACAGGCGTGAGCCACCGCGCCCGGCCTCGTACCCCTTCTTAAAGCCAGCATTCCCCAGGGTTCCATCTTCAACAATCTTTCCTTCTCATTCTTTACATTTCCTAGGTCATCCTCCATTCCCGTGCTTTCAATTATAATTTATGTCCTGATGATTCTCAAATCCACAGAAGATACAACTAACTGGTCAACTTCTATTATTTTTAAATTATTAAACACTCATCCATTTTTATGTTAAAGAGAATACCCTACAATATACCTATCTAACTAGCTAACAACAATGGATTTCTTCACTTGGATATTCCAGTACTTCCAACTGAACATGCCTAAACCTAAAATCATCAATTCTGATTTCTTCTATTTCCCTTAGTGAATAGCACCAATATACATGCAATTAAACAGCCAGCAAAGTGCCAAACTTGATTCTTCCTTTTGCCTCACCTCTTCTATTTAATTAGCTAATCTGGTCCACTCTATGTCCCTTAGCGAATTTCTCAACAACTATCCCCACTGACACTAATTTACTGTAGGTAACATTATCTGTCATTTGGAGTAACATGATCAGCCTTCTAATATGGGCCTTTTCTCAATCCCACTTATCTGAATCCATTCCTACTGCAGTTAGAATATTCTTCTACAGATACAAATGTAATCTGTGTTGCTATATTCCAAAAATTCCTCTGTGGTGACCTCGAGAATATATGTCAAAGATCTCCAACTATAAAGAGTATGTTGATTAAGAACACCTGCTGAAATCTATTGCCACATTTGTGCAAGGACACATAGCTGATAGGCTGCTCCCAGCCAATGGCTGAACACAGTAGGTATACAAAGGCAGGCCCATTTTGGGGAGACATGGGACACTTCTGACAACCAACTTTGACTCAAATACTTCCCAGGGCCTTGCTAACCCTCCCTTGAACTGTATAGCGGGCTGAGACACTTCCAGTCAACATTCTACCCCTCTCTCCTTCATTCATGGTCAGACTTACATCACAATTCGATGGGTCTCTCAGCCTTTCCCAGCATTTTCCTCATTTTCCTTTACATAGTCATTTCCCCTAATACAATTGTTGCATGTTTAATCCTGTCTTTGGCAAACCGTTAAAAAAAACAGGTAAAGGACCCGAACCAACACACCTGCACTGGTGCCCAACTACACTACACCAAGCATTAACTCTAAATTCCTCAGTGTGGCCTACAGTGTGTTTTGTGATCTAGCTTTTGCTCCATTCTTTCTTTTTCATTAACTTTACCCCTACTCTGTGCTCCACACATACTGATTTATTCACATTCTTTCCATACTCTATGATCTCTTACCCCTAGGTCTGTGTACGTACCACTGCTTCTTCATAGAACATTTCTTCCCCTAACCATCTGACTAATCCTTCAAGCTTAAGCCTCATGTCCTCAAGGAAGCCTTCATTGACTCTCCAGGACTGAATTGAGTGCTTCTCCTTATTTTAATCACACACTGCTTTTAACTCTAAGAATTTACTATAGTATACTGTAATTGTTGTATTACTTTTCTGACTTCCACTCACTATAAATCCATTGAGGCAGGAACTGTGTCTGGTTCACCACTGCATCTTCAGGGCCAAGCAGAGTGCTTGGTATATTACAGGTGCTCACCACATACTTATTGATTGATTGACTGATTGATTGGAAATTGAAAGAAAATAAGAAATGGTAGACACACACACAAAAAATCCTTGATTCACAATTAAAAGAGTGCAAGTAAATGTTGCTCATTATTTAAAGTCAGTAGTATGTAAAATGGATTTTCTACTCTATATTAAAAGTGAAGACAAGTATATCTAACCTCTATAGTATAATTTACCTTTATAAGTAATAATGGATTTGTGTTGTTAAAATGAATTCCTTTTGGCTGGGGCACGGTGGCTCACACCTGTAATCCCAGGACCTTGGGAGGCTGAGGTGGGTGGATCACCTGCGGTCAGGAGTTCGAGAACAGCCTGGCCAACACATCAAAACCCTGTCTCTATTAAAAATACAAAAATCAGCCGGGTGTGATGGCGCGTGCCTGCAGTCCCAGCTACTTGGAAGGGTGAGGCAGGAGGATCGCTTGAACCCGGGAGGCAGAGGTTGCAGTGAGCTAAGATCACGCCACTGCACTCCAGCCTGGGTGACAGAGTGAGATTCCATATCAAAAAACAAAAACAAACAAAAAAAACCCATAATTACTTTCAACTTTCAACAAGCCCCTTGAGCTTTGAAAAGTATCAAATTATAAAGAAAAGAGATTTCGTTATTTCTTTGTCACATTTTTCCTTTATTAAAATCAATGAAGTAATCAAACGAGTTAAGAAAATGCAGAACTTCTATTTTTCTATAACACACACACATTATAAAGTATATGCCTAACACTATGACTAGCCCACAGTAATAGGTGTTTTATAAGTGATTGCTCATTTGAATAAACACAAATTATAAAAAATAAATAATAGGATGTCATACAGTTCAAGTTGGAAGAAAAAACTTTTCTACTAATATATAACAAATATTTATTAAAATTAATTATAAATAAAAGTTCTTACTAAACAGAAAATGGAAGAAATATTAATACTATTCTAATTGCTATCCCATTCCCTTGGCTACTACATAGCTTTTTATGCACCAGAAGTATCGCAATACAGCAGCAGTTCAGTTGAGCTGTCTAGAAAAAATGACCAGAAATTTTAGAAAGTCTGTCACTTTAAAATGTGGTACTTAAATAACAACAATCAGCTAACCAAAGTACTAAATAAATTGTTATTCTAATAAATCTTTTAAGAAACATCAAATTTGAACATCTGCTCATCTGAGTTACAGGTCACAAAAACAAGCATCATTTTAAAATAACTTTTATGGTTATGGAAGACAGAAGGAAGAAGGTGTAATAGTCTTCCTCAGCTGAAATAGCCAAAAGAACTACTAAGGGCTTTTCTTATCACTGACACCTTTCAAAGATGCATCAAATTTAACAACGAAAAACAATGAAGACAAATTAGATATATCTACAGCAGTACTCTTTATCAGATACAAAATAAATATTGTGTTCAAATATATGAAAAATATGTTTTCCAAATAAATGTTATACATACTGGCAATTTAAATGCCTCTTCCACTTACAGTATTTGAAATTCTTTGTTATCATGACAGATCTGCATTATTAAGGAATAACTTCAAAAAACACTTGTTACCCTGCTAGTATTTTTTAAACTTATAAAATCAAAGGAACCATTTACCTATATTTCCAAGCAGTCCATTAATAACTGTGTTATTATCAGCCTTTAATGTATTGTTGTCCTGATTGATGAATTCAAGACTATCTTGTAGCCTATGGAGGGTGAGAAGAAAATTAATTCCAAATTCATTTTATGGTTTAAGGACAATTCTTTGTACATCCTGATGAAATTTTAAGTGCAAAAACAGTTTCTTCCTATTAGCATTACAAATTAACTAACATAATCATTTAAATCAGAGGTTGGTAAACTATAGCCTGGAGTGCCAGATCTAGTCTGCTGCCTCTTTTTGTAAATAAAGTTTTATTGGAACACAGCCATGCCCATTCATTTATATACTGTGTATGAATGCTTTGATGCTGCAACAGCAGAGCTGAGAAACTACAACCCATTGTCTGGCTCACAAAGCCAAAAAAATATATATATATTTTTTTTTATTATTATATTTTAAGTTTTAGGGTACATGTGCACAATGTGCAGGTTTGTTACATATGTATACATGTCCCATGTTGGTGTGCTGCACCCATTAACTTGTCATTTACATTAGGTATATCTCCTAATGCTATCCCTCCCCCCTCACCCCACCCCACGACAGGCCCCAGTGTGTGATGTCCCCCTTCCTGTGTCCATGTGTTCTCATTGTTCAACTCCCATCTATGAGTGAGAACATGTGGTGTTTGGTTTTTTGTCCTTGTGATAGTTTGCTGAGAATGACGGTTTCCAGCTTCATCCATGTCCCTACAAAGGACATGAACTCATCCTTTTTTATGGCTGCATAGTAGTCCATGGTGTATATGCGCCACATTTTCTTAATCCAGTCTATCACTGTTGGACATTTGGGTTGGTTCCAAGTCTTTGCGCCAAAAAATATTTACTATCTGGATCTTTAAAGTAGAAGTTGCTGAACCTGATTTAGATTACAAACAAGGTTTCCCCTCATATTTTAGACCTAAAAATATTTTCTAATTATCTGTTAGGGAGAGGTGGAAGCTAGGAGGAAGAAGAGGAGAATAAATCATTAGGCAAATATCCAAAAACTATCTTTACTGTAATATATTACAAATAACCTATATCACTTCTTTTAGTGTCTCTTTCAGGATAAGAAAAATAAAAGTACTTTATGCTTTTAGTGCAAAATATCCTTTCTAGAGATTTTAGGAATTATCAGAACTTAGAAAAGGTGAAAAAACTCTGGTGATTATGGCTAACATCAGTGATTCCAACATGGAATCTTTAATTTCTACTTTAGTAGATCTCTAATTTCTACTTTTAAAAATCAGTATTTTTGGCTTCAATATTTTTTAAGGCATCCATAATATTTTAAAGGATACCCCCCATGGCCGGGCATGGTGGCTCATGCCTGTAATCCCAGCACTTTGGGAGGCCGAGGCAGGCAGATCACTTGAGGTCAGGAGTTTGACACCAGCCTGGCCAACATAGTGAAACCCTGTCTCTACTAAAAATACAAAAAAAAAAAAAAGTCAGCCGGGCGTGGTGGCCTGCGCCTGTAGTCCCACCTACTCTGGAGGCTGAGTCAGGAGAATCGCTTGAACCCAGGACAGAGGTTGCAGTGAGCTGAGATCACGCCACTGCACTCCACCGTGGTGACACAGTGAGGCTCCATCTCGAAAAAAAAAAAAAAAGACTACCTCCCACTTTCCTTCCAAAGAGTTACAGGTATTAGAAACTTAGCTAATAAAACTCTTCCAAACAGGTCTTTTTAAGGCATTAACAATTAATGGGGGCTCTACAGAATTTCTGTAGTCTGGAGTAGCTTCCTTGCTGCCTTTGACCTTGGGTTACCCCCAGGGGCTCTGACTAGCCAATGAGTCTTGCTCTGATATGGCACCTGCAAAATCTCTCTCTGGGGTCTTCCACTGCCTAACTTTAGCCCCAGTAATTTACTAGGTTCTGGCACATGGCCCATGATCCTGACACCAGGCCTGCCTTTGTTTCAGCTTCACTATTCTAATCTTTGCATTAATAGCTTGTAATACCCTGGTGGCTATCATTATATAGTGTATATGTGCAATATCAGTATGGCTGACCTAGGTCAGTCCTGTCTTTAGGGTTAATTTCGTAGGGGATCTGAAAATTGAAGAGCACCAACCCTACAGATTGTGGTAACTCAGGTAACTCAGCGTGGTACCGCAAAACTGAAAAATCAGCATGTTGCCCTAAGACGGAAATCCATTCAACATTCTACTTCCAGATACTGCTTCTAGCAATTCACAGAAACAGAAACCACATCTCATGTTTCTCAACTAAACTCAATTAAGAGTGAAATCTGGCTTCCATGAACTTTTAAACTTAAGGAAAGACAGAAAATCTGAACTTGTGCTGCAGTCCTAAAAGCAGTTGGTTAGTTTTCATACTTTGCACATCTAAAGTGATACATTTCCCCCTGTATCCATAAGCACTTACGTATTGAGACTCCCACAAATACTGCTGCCAGTCCGAGCAGTAAACACTTTGCTGAGCATGAGCTGTGGAGGGGAACTATGAAGAAAAAGAGAAAGAGAGAGACCAAAACTAAAATATAATGACCTTTTGGATTTATTATAAATAAAAATGTGTAAGTCACAGAGGTTTCACAGCATAGCTGCAAGAGCCATGAAGTAGCATTAAAACCATAGAACATGTTAAATGGAGTATGACAAGCTCAATCTGAGTGAAGATCATATAAAATTCTCTCTAAAAAAACGAAAATATCTAAAAATGGGACTCGTTAAAAAAAAATCAGAAAACCTCTCACCGAATCTGATGAATTTTTAAGGTGGATCCTTTGTAGCTCATTGCTACTGAGCCAAACATCATCTCTCCAAGCATATTGGCATCAGAAGAGCACCGAGAACCCTAAACAATAACCACATATTAACAAACTGTGTTAATTAAAAGCTTATGACTATTTCATATGTTGATTTTTATTAAAAATTCTTGATATAGTTATTCTACATTAAGAGTTGTACTTCTACACTGTATACGCTGTTCTGCAACTCGATTTTCTTCCTTTTAAAATGTTTTCTTGATGTAACCATGTTGTTACACATAAATTTGACTAATTCCTTTTAAGAGCTGTACAATATTTTATTGTATGAAAATACTACAGTTTGTCAGACCAGTTCCCTTTACTCACGGGCATTTAAGTCACTTCCAGATTTTTGCTATTACCAATAATGCAAAAGCAGGCATTCTTAACCACATCTTATGCATATGCAATGTTTCTCCAGGATAGATAATAAGTGAAATTCAAAGAATATGCAGAATAATTTTTACTACTCCTGTTGTATATAAGAAGCATCCATAAATGGGGCAATTTATATCTATTTTGTATTTCTGTAAAGACATATCTGTGATCTACAGTTTCAATACTATGCCTATGAAAATCCTAATGGCATTTTTTACAAAAACAGAAAAACATATTAAAATTCACATGAAACCACAGAAGACCACAACCTTCTTCTTCAAGAAGCAGCAGCCAAATCAACCTTGAAAAAGAACAAAGCTGGTGGGCATTACACTTCCTGATTTCAAATTATACTACAAAGCTACAGTAGTGAAAACAGTAAGGTACTGACATTAAGACAGACATATAGACCAATGGAACAGAACAAACAGCCCAGAAATAAACCTACATGTATACAGTCAACTTATCTTCAAGAAGGGTGCTAAGAATACACAATGGGGACAGGATAGTCTCCTTAACAAATGCTTCTTGGAAAACTGGATATCCACATGCGAAAGAATAAAACTGGTGTCCTATATCATGCACAAAAATCAACTGAATATAGATTAAAGGCTTACATGTATGACCTGAAACTGTAAAACTCCCAGAAGAAAACAGGAGAAAAGCTTGATGACATTGGTCTTAGCAATAATTTCACAGATATGACACCCAAAGCACAGGTAACAACAGCAAAAACAGACAAGTGGGACTACATCAAACTAAAATGTTTCTGCACAGCAAAGAAAATAATCAAGAGGGCAAAAAGATAAAATATGGAATGGGAAAAGATAAAATATGGAATGGGAAAAAATACTTGCAAACCATGTATCTGATAAGGGATTTGGCTTCAAAATGTACCAGAAACCCCTACAACTCTATAGTAAAAACTAATAACGCAATTAAGGTCTTGAATAAACATTTCTCCAAAGAATTCATACAAATGACCAACTGATACAGGAGAAACGCTCAACATTTCTAATCAGAGAAATGTAAATCAAAACCACAAAACCTGTCAGGTTGGCTATAATCAAAAAAGCAAAGACAACAAGTGGTGAGGATGTGGGAAAACTGGAGCCCTTGCACATTGTTGTAGGAATGCAAAATGGTATTGTACTTATGGAAAACAACATGGCAAGTCCTCCAAAAATTAAAAATAGAACTACCATGTGATCTGGCAATTCCACTTCTGGGCATTTTTCCAAAATAATTAAAATCAGGATCTCAAAGAGATGTTAGCACTCCTATATTCATTACAGCACTATTCACAATAGCCAAGATGTGAAAATAACCCTAAATGTCCACTGACAGATGCATGGATAAATGAAATATAATAAATACATAGAATGAAACACTATTCAGTTTTCAAAAAGAAGAAAATTCTGCAACACGCAACACGGATGAATCTTAAGGACGTTAGGCTAAATGAAATAAGCCAGTCACAAAGAGATAAATACTGCATGATAAGATAAATACTCCACTTATATGAGGTATTTAAAATAGCCAAATTTACAGAATCAAAGAGTAGAATGGTAGTTACCAGGGGCTGGGGTGAGGGGGAAATGGGGAGTTACTAATCAATGGCATTAAATTTCAGTCAAGCAATTTGAATAAGCTCTAGAAATCTATAGTGTAACACTGTACATGTAGAAAACAATTCATTGTACACTTAAAAATTTAAGAGGGTAGATCTCATGTTCTTCCCACAATTTTTTTTTTAAAGACTTCCTTGAGGCTAGCGCGGTGGATCACGCTTGTAATACCAGCATTTTGGGAGGCTTAGGCGAGAGGATCACAAGGTCAGGAGTTCAAGACCAGCCTGGCCAACATGGTGAAACCCCATCTCTGCTAAAAATACAAAAAATTAGCTGGGCATGGTGGTGCATGCCTGTAATCCCAGCTACGCGGGAGGCTGAGGCAGGAGAATCGCTTGAGCCCAGGAGGCAGAGGTTGTAGTGAGTGGAGATCACGCCATTGCACTCCAGCCTGGGCGACAGAGCAAGACTTCCTTGAAACATTATAATGTCTTGTTTCCAAAGAACCTCCTGATTAAAAAGTTATTCTCTTTCATTATTCTTTGTCTTCACAGGAGTCAGACAATAGTTAAAGATTGAGCTTATCCATTTGGTTACTATTTAGATATCATGGCAAATATCACTTTTTACCTACCAAGTATCTATTCTCTAATTCTTCCTCATTTTTTGAAGTCCAGTTTGTTTTAGGGCAGTAATGTGCACAAATGAAAAAAATTTCATTTCACAGCCTCACTTGAAGATAGGAGATTTAGAATAATTTTTATACTTAAAAGATCAGTGTTATGGTTGAAGTAGCAATTTTCAGAACTATTCATTTACATGCATTTGACACAGGCCTGGTCAGTAAGATGTAAATGGAAGTCACTACAGATGGAGATGTCATATTATAACAACAATGCAACAAGTACACACTAACTCTAAGTAGAAAGATAAGGGAACCATGGTCTCTGAGGGTATCTGGAAGCCCAGTATCATACCTAGATAGTACACTTTTAGGGTTATCATGTATGTCAGCAACGCAACCCCTAATTTGTTTAAGCCACTGTTTAGAGAGTGTCCCAATACCATTCTTAACTGATGCAATTATATAAAATCAAAAAATAAATGGTTTCTAAAATATTTAGGAAAATTCTAATAACCATAAAGTGAAGAGAATCCCCATTTTACAACTGGAGACCAGGATATACAGCTGCACACTGTTTTTCGTTTTATCATGTGACTCTTTTACTCCTTTATCTCTTTACTACCTATCTTAAATTGTCCTATTATTAGGGTTAAGATAATCCACGTTTAAATATTTGTACTTTTCTTTAAAAAGACACCTTCAAGTAGCAACACATTTTTTAATACATGGCTATTTTTATATCAGTTTCACATTTTTTTGAGATGAAGTCTTGCTCTTGTCGCCCAGGCTGGAGTGCAATGGCACAATCTCGGCTCACTGCAACCTCCGCCTCCTGGGTTCAAGCAATTCTCCTGCCTCAGCATCCCGAGTAGCTGGCAATACAGGTGCGTACCACCATACCCAGCTAATTTTTGTATTTTTAGTAGAGACAGGGATTCACCATTTTGGCCAGGATGATAACAATCTCTTGACCTCGTGATCCACCTACCTTGGCCTCCCAAAGTGCTGGGATTACAGGTGTGAGCCAACTCGCCCAGCCCACAAAGTTAATTTTTAAGAAAAAAGTCATTTCTGTCATACCTAGGTTACTAATATACAAAGCAACTAATTTATTCTTGAGATTTGGTTAAGATCAAATTTTTATTTTAAGACATAGAGGCTTGGGTACTGAGAACAACATTTCAGAAAAGGAGCAGAAAATTTTTTTAATGATAAAATAGCTATTTAAAAAATCAATGCCAGTATTACTTGGCAACCTAAATTACTTCTGGCTAATGATAGACATGGCAGCCTTCCCTTATAAGCTCATTTTTACCATAATGTGTCTAACTCCATTGTTATTTTGACTGAATTTCTTATTTCTTGTATTAAGCAAGCTATACAAATTTAAATACCAAGGCATTTATTTATAGATTTTACTATTATACAAATAAAATAATCCCCAGAAAGCAAAATACAGTAAAAATATTAATAAATTGCTATGTGAATTTTATGACACCATATAGTTTACTACTAAGGTTCTCTTTGTCTGTTCTAACATATACTAAATAGTTACCATGAATGTGACTGGCAAGGTATGTATTTTAATGTGACATAATCTACAATGAAGCTTATAATTAAAAGGATGCTATTATCATTATTGTCTATTTTAAAATGCCTTATTTAAAAGGTCTATTCTAAGTACTCATTCCTGGAAGCTAATAATCTGTTAAACCCTGTGTAACTCAAAGACAATGTTCCACTTACCTGAAATTATATACATTTAAAAAAAATTATTATTATGCTTTTTAGTTCTGGGATACATGTGCAGAATGTGCAGGCTTGTTACATAGGTATAAAAGTGCCATGGTGGTTTGCTGCATCCATCAACCTGTCATCTACATTAGGTATTTTTCCTAATGCTATCCCTCCCCCTAGCCCCCCACCCCCCAATAGGTCCTGGTGTGTGATGTTTCCCTCCCTGTGACCATGTGTTTTCACTGTACAACTCCCACTTATGAGTGAGAACATGCAGTGCTGGTTTTCTGTTCTTGTGTTATTTTGCTGAGAATGATGGTTTCCAGCTTCATCCATGTCCCTGCAAAGGACACGAACTCATCCTTTTTTATGGCTGCACAGTATTCCATAGTGTATATGTGCCACATTTTCTTTATCCAGTCTATCATTGATGGACATTTGGGTTGGTTCCAAGTCTTTGCTATTGTGAATAGTGCTGCAATAAACATATGTATCCATGTGTCTTTATACTAGAATGATTTATAATCCTTTGGGTACATACCCAGTAATGGGATTGCTGGGTCAACTGGTATTTCTGGATCTAGATCCTGGAGGAATTGGCACACTGTCTTCCATAATGGTTGAACTAATTTACACTCCCACCAACAGTGTAAAAGTGTTCCTATTTCTCCACATCCTATCCAGCATCTTTTGTTTCCTGACTTTTTAATGACTGCCATTCTAACTGGCTTGAGATGCTTATCTCATCATGGTTTTGATTTGCATTTCTCTGGTGACCAGTGATAAAGAGCTTTTTTTTCATGTTTGTTGGCCGTGTAAATGTCTTCTTTTGAGAAGTGTCTGTTTGTATCCTTCACCTACTTTTTGATGGGGTTGTTTGTTTCTTGTAAATTTGTTTAGTTCCTTATAGATTCTGGATATTAGCCCTTTGTCAGATGGGCTAATTGCAAAAGTTTTCTCCCATTCTGCAGGTTGCCTGTTGACTCTGATGATAGTTTCTTTTGCTGTGCAGAAGCTCTTTAATTAGATCCCATTTGTCAATTTTGGCTTTTGTTGCCATTGCTTTTGCTGTTTTAGTCATAAAGTCTTTGCCTATGCCTATGTCCTGAATGGTATTGCATAGGTTTTCTTCTAGGGTTTTTATGGTTTTAGGTCTTACGTTTAAGTCTTTAATCCATCTTGAATTGATTTTTGTATAAGGTGTAAGGAAGGAATCCAGTTTCAGTTTTCTGCATATGGCTAGCCAGTTTTCCCAACATCATTTATTAAATAGGGAATCCTTTCCCCATTGCTTGTTTTTGTCAGGTTTGTCAAAGATCAGATGGTTGTTGATGTGTGGCATTATTTCTGAGGCCTCTGTTCTGTTCCACTGGTCTATGTATCTGTTTTGGTACCAGTACCATGCTGTTTTGCTTACTGTAGCCTTGTGGTATAGTTTGAAGTCAGGTAGCGTGATGCCTCCAGCTTTGTTCTTTTGGCTTAGGATTTTCTTGGCTATACAGGCTCTTTTTTGGTTCCATATGAAATTTAAAGTAGTTTTTTCTAATTCTGTGAAGAAAATCAATGGTAGATTGATGGGGATAGCATTGAATCTATAAATTACTATAGGCATGATAGCCATTTTCACGATACTGATTCTTCCTATCCATAAGCATGAAATGTTCTTCCATTTGTTTGTATCCTCTCTTTTTCCTTGAGCAGTGGTTTGTAGTTCTCCTTGAAGAGGTCCTTCACATACCTTGTAAGTTGGATTCCTAGGTACTTTATTTTCTTTGTAGCAATTGTGAATGGGAGTTCACTCACGATTTGGCTGTTTGTCTATTACTGGTGTATAGGAATGCTTGTGATTTTTGCACATTGATTTTGTATCTTGAGACTTTGCTGAAGTTGCTTAACAGCTTTAGGAGATTTTGGCCTGAGACAATGGGGTTTTCTAAATATACAATCATGTCATCTGCAAACAGCAACAATTTGACTTCCTCTCTTCCTATTTGAATACCCTTTATTTATTTCTCTTGCCTGATTGCCCTGGCCAGAACTTCCAATACTATGTTGAATAGGAGTGGTGAGAGAGGATATCCTTATCTTGTGCTGGTTTTCAAAGGGAATGCTTCCAGCGTTTGCCCATTCGGGATGATACTGGCTATGGGTTTGTCATAAATAGCTCTTATTATTTTGAGATATATTCCATCAATACCTAGTTTATTGAGAGTTTTTAGCATGATAGGGTGTTGAATTTTATCGAAGACCTTTTCTGCATCTGAGATAATCATGTGATTTTTGTCATTGGTTCTGTTCATGTGATGGATTACATTTATTGATTTGCATATGTTGAACCAGCCTTGCATCCCAGGGACAAAGGCGACTTGATCGTGGTGGATAGGCTTTTTGGTGTGCTGCTGGATTCAGTTTGCCAGTATTTTATTGAGGATTTTCCCATTGATGTTCATCAGGGATACTGGCCTGAAATTTTCTTTTTTTGTTGTGTCTCTGCTAGGTTTTGGTATCAGGATGATGTTGGCCTCATAAAATGAGTTAGGGAGGATTTCCTTTTTTTCTATTGATTGGAATAGTTTCAGAAGGAATGGCACCAGCTCCTCGTTGTACCTCTGGTAGAATTTGGCTGTGAATCAGTCTGGTCCTGGACTTTTTTTTGGTTGGCAGGCCATTAATTACTGCCTCAATTTCAGAACTTGCTATTGGTCTATTTAGGGATTTGACTTCTTCCTGGTTTAGTCTTGGGATGGTGTATGTGTCCAGGAATTTATCCATTTCTTCTAGATTTTCTAGTTTATTTGTGTACAAACTATGATAGTAGTTTGTATTTCTGTGGGATCAACACGTTTCTTATTGTGTTTATTTGATTCTTTTCTCTTTTCTTCTTCATTAATCTGGCTAGTGGTCTATTTTGTTAATCTTTTCAAAAAACCAGCTCCTGGATTCATTGATTTTTTGAAGGGTTTTTTGTGTCTCTATCTCCTTCAGTTCTGCTCTCATCTTAGTTACTTCTTGTCTTCTGCTAGCTTTTGAATTTGTTTGCTTTTGCTTCTCTGGTTCTTTTAATTATGATGTTAGGGTGTCAATTTTAGATCTTTCCCACTTTCTCCTGTGGGCATTTAGTGCTATAAATTTCCCTCTAAACACTGCTTTAGCTGTGTCTCAGAGATTCTGGTATGGTGTGTCTTTGTTCAAACTTATTTATTTCTGCCTTCAGTTTGTTATTTACCCAGTAGTCATTCCGGAGCAGGTTGTTCAGTTTCTAAGTAGTTGTGTAGTTTGAGTGAGTTTCTTAATCCTGAATTCTAATTTGATTGCACTTTGGTCTGAGAGACTGTTTGTTATGATTTCCATTCTTTTGCATTTGCTGAGGAGTGTTTTACTTCCAATTATGTGGTCAATTTTAGAATAAGTGTGATGTGTTGCTGAGAAGAATGTATATTCTGTTTATTTGGGGTGGAGAGTTCTGCAGATGTCTATTAGGTCTGCTTGGTCCAGAGCTGAGTTCAAGTCCTGAACATCCTTGTTAATTTTCTGTCTCGTTGATCAGTCTAATATTGACAGTGGGGTGTTAAAGTCTCCCACTATTATTGTGTGGGAGTCTCAGTTTCTTTGTAGGTCTTTAAGAACTTGCTTTATGAATCTGGGTGCTCTTGTACTGGGTGCATATATACTTACAATAGTTAGCTCTTCTTGTTACACTGATCCCTATTGTTGCATTGATTCCTTTACCATTATGTAATGCCCTTCTTTGTCTTTTTGTTTTTCTTTAATATCTTTGCTGGTTTAAAGTCTGTTTTATCAAAGACTAGGATTGCTACCCCTGCTTTTTTTTGCTTTCCATTTGCTTGGTAAATATTCCTCTATCCTTTTATTTTGAGCCTATGTGTATCTTTGCAGATGAGATGGGTCTCCTGAATACAGCACACTCATGGGTCTTGACTCGTTATCCAATTTGCCAGTCTGTGTCTCTTAACAGGGGCATTTAGCCCATTTATATTTAAGGTTAATATTGTTATGTGTGGATTTGATCCTGTCATTATGATGCTAGCTGGTTATTTTGCCTGTTTGTTCATGCTGTTTCTTCTTAGTGTCAACAGTGTTTACAATTTCATATGTTTTTGCAGTGGCTGTTACCGTTTTCCCTTGCCATATTTAGTGCTTCCTTCAGGAGCTCTTGTAAGGCAAGCCTGATGGTGACAAAGTCTCTCAGCATTTGCTTCTCTGGAAAGGATTTCATTTCTCCTTCGCTTATGAAGCTTAGTTTGGCTGGATATGAAATTCTGAGTTGAAAATTCTTTTCTTTAAGAACGTTGAATATTGGTCCCCCACTCTCTTCTGGCTTTAGAGTTTCTGCAGAGAGATCCACTGTTAGTCTGATGGACTTTCCTTTGTGTATAACCCAATGTTTCTCTCCGGCTGCCCTTAACATTTTTTCCTTCATTTCAACCTTGGTGAATCTGACGATTATGTGTCTTGGGGTTGCTCTTCTCGAGCAGTATCTTTGTTGTGTTCTCTGTATTTCCTGAATTTTAATGTTAGCCTGTCTTGCTATGTTGGGAAAGTTCTCGTGGATAATATCCTTAAGAGTGTTTTCCAACTTGGTTCCATTCTCCCTGTCACTTTTAGGTACACCAATCAAACACAGGTTTGGTATTTTCACATAGTCCCATATTTCTTGGAGGCTTTGTTTCTTCCTTTTCATTCTTTTTTCTCTAATTCTGTCTTCATGCTTTATGTCATTAAGTTGATCTTCAATCTCTGATATCCTTTCTTCCGCTTGATTGATTCAGCTATTGATGGCTTGCGTATGCTTCATGAAGTTCTCGTACTGTGTTTTTCAGCTCCATCAGGTCATTCATGTTCTTCTCTAAACTGTTTATTCCAGTTAGCAATTCATCTAACCTTTTTTCCAGGTTCTTAGCTTCCTTGCATTGGGTTAGAACATGCTCCTTTAGCTCACAGGAGTTTATTACCTTTATTATCTTCTGAAGCCTACTTCTGTCAACTTGTCAAACTCATCCTCCATCCAGTTTTGTTCCCTTGCTGGCAAGGTGTTGTGATCCTTTGGAGGAGGAGAGGCATTCTGGTGTTTGGAATTTTCAGCCTTTTATGCTCGTTTTTCCTCACTTCGTGTATTTATCTATCTTTGGTCTTTGATGCTGGTGACCTTTGGATGGGGTTTTCATGTGGATGTCCTTTTTGTTGATGTTGATGCTATTCCTTTCTGTTTGTTAGTTTTCCTTCTACCAGTCAGGCCCCTCCGCTGCAGGTCTGCTGGTGTTTGCTGGTGGTCCACTCCAGTCCCTGTTTGCCTGGGTATCACCACTGGAGGCTGCAGAACAGCAAAGATTCCTGTCTGTCCCTTCCTCTGGAAGCTTCATTCCAGAGGAGCCCCTGCCAGATGCCAGCCGGAGCTCTCCTGTATGTGATGTCTGTTGACCACCGCTGGGAGGTATCTCCCAGTGAGGAGTCATAGGGGTCAGGGACCCACTTGAGGAGGTAGTCTGTCCCTTACCAGAGCTTGAAAGCTGTGCTGAGAGATCCACTGTTCTCTTCAGAGTCAAAAGGCAGGAACATTTAAGTCTGCTGAGGCTGTGCCAACAGCCACCCCTTCCTCCAGGTGCTCTGTCCCAGGGAGATGGGAGTTTTATCTATAAGCCCCTGACTGGGGCTGCTGCCTTTCTTTCAGAGATGCCCTGCCCAGAGAGGAGGAATCTAGAGAGACAGTCTGGCTACAGTGGCTTAGCTGAGCTGCAGTGAGCTCCGCCCAGTTCTAACTTCCCAGCAGCTTTGTTTACACTCAGTTGGAAATGCAGAAATCACCCGCCTTCTGCGCTGATCTCACTGGGAGCTACAGACCGAAGCTGTTCCTATTTGGCCATCTTGCCAGCCACCCTATATACATATTTTTTTTGAGACAAGGTCTCACTCTGTCACCCAGGGTGGGTTGCTATGGCATGATCATAACTCACCACATCCTAGAACTTCTGGGCTCAAGCAATCCTCCCACCTCAGCCTCCTGAGTAGCTGGGACTACAGGCTCACACCACCACACACAGCTAATTTTTTTTTTCTTTTTTTGAGACAGAGGTTCGCTCTTGTTACCCAGGCTGTAGTGCAATGGCGCAATCTTGGGTCACCACAACATCCGCCTCCCAGGTTCAAGCAATTCTCCTGCCCCAGCCTCCTGAGTAGCTGGGATTACAGGCATGTGCCACCATGCCTAATTTTACATTTTTAGTAGAGATAGGGTTTCTCCATGTTGGTCAGGCTGGTCTCGAACTCCTGACCTCAGGTGATCCGCCCACCTCAGCCTCCCAAAATGCTGGGATTACAGGCATGAGCCACCATGCCCGGCCCACATGGCTAATTTTTTAAAAATCACAAAACTTTCAAAGTTGTGCAAAATGGTGTAAGTCATGATGGTGTTGTATAGCACAGGACTATTATGGATTTGTTAAGGTATCATGCCTAAAGGGGAGATGGAATAGAAGAAGGCAGGGGGAACTGTGCAGTAAATCCAAGTGGAGTTTAGTAATTTCAGACTCTTTTCACATAGCTTGTCCCATTGATTAGGTATAAAGATCAATTTCCATCAAAACACAATCATCTCATTACCAGTAATTAAAAAGTCAAGATTCTATTTTGATACTGAGTAAATATAAAATACTTGTGATTAATGCAAACTTGGATGACACAGATAAATTTACATCAGATGACACTTGCTAAGCATGAGACCAAATACTGATCTTATATAAAATGTAATACATTTAGAGAGAAGTTCCTATGTATTATACTTACTAATACGTTTAATTCCATATTTTACAAGAAGTCACATTACTTTTGAGAAATAAAACTGTGTATTATGTATACTTCCAATCATACTTTAATTTCATACAACTGAAACTGTATTAGTATATTTATCTTCATTTTTCAATAATAAAAAAGTATGTAAAATAAGAAATTATTCTGATAACCCAATAAATCTGAATTGGGAAATATAAGGAGAAAATACTCATGCAATCTATGCCTATAGCTTTCTACTTCTCCTATTCTAAGATTTATCAAAGTTCATAAACATAATTGTTTATCTGTCTCTCCAGCTTCAATGCAAGCTCTAGGAAGATAAGGACTAATTGCTATTATATCTCCACAGTCCACTGGATGATGTTCAAAACTAATTATAAATGAATGAATAAATAAATGACATCAATGATCTTACCTGGTACTTAAGACACTGGTCTTTTATATCAGAAGATGAAGTCACAGAACTATCTAAAGAGGAAGAACTGTCTCCTCCAGGTTTCAGTTGGCAGCATTTCCCAAAGACTTTAACTTGAGCATCACTGCCGAGTTTCTGAAATAACAGATATTTCCACTCATGTTTTAACAGATTTTTAACCATATACAAATTTCATCAAAGTATAAAAACCTTTGGAAAAACCAAGAATGAAATAACTCAAAATACAACATTAATATGGCTATTGGCATTTTGCTGTATTTTCTCCAGTACTATTTTCTATTCTTTGTCTCATAACTATAATAAAATTTGTGGGGTTTGTATTTCTGGCCAACATTATTATATCCTGAGAATTTTCTAGATTACCACGGCCTATACGATGTTCATTAATACCGATGTAATAATATATTGCAGTAGTTTTCAAATTATTTGGTCTCAAAACCCCTTTATGGGCAGGGCTTGGTGGCTCATACCTGTAATTCCAGCACTTTGGGAAGCTGAGGAGGTGGATCACTTGACACCAGGAGTTCAAGACCAGCCCGACCAACAGGGAGAAACCCTGTCTCTACTAAAAAGACAAAAATTAGCTGGGCATGGTGGCACATGCCTGTAATCCCAGCTTCTTGGGAGGATGAGGCACAAGAATCTTTTGAACCTGGGAAGTGAGCTGAGACTGCACCACTGCACTCCAGCCTGGGTGACAGAGTGAGACTCTGTTTCAAAAAAAAAAACAAAAAAAAACCCAAACAAACAAAACAACCCTTAATGTTCTTACAAGTTATCGAGGATCCCAAGAGTCTTTTGTGTACATGGGTTATATTTATCAATATTTTCCCATATTAGAAATCAAAACTGAGACCATGTAAAAAATACTTATTCATTCATTTAAATACAACAATAAACCCAAGTTAATGTAAGTAACACTGTTATAAAAAATAACCTATTTTTCTGGGGAGAAATGCAGGGATGAAAGGAGAAATGCAAATGAGACTTTCAGATTTAACTATACATATGTTTATTCTTTCGAAATGAGAATATACTAATGTAATAAATAAAATTTTAATGAGAGAATGAACTTAGGACCAGATGGTTGTGCAGTCTAGTGTAGAAGAAAAATGTATTTCTTTTTAATTCCTCTTTCTCTTTTTCCTCCCCAACAGCTTCTCTACATCTTTCACTGCTCACAACTACCAAAGTTACAATCCACCAACATCTGTGATATTCCTAAAAGTATTCCAGTGCTTTATCACAGTTACCAGTATGTCCATTCTTTCATTTAACAAACCTCAGGTAGGTTTTTAGAACAAATAATCTGACTAAAGTCACATTTACTGAAGACTGAATGTTTTCTAGTTACCAACATCACCAAAGGCATTGTTAAAAATTACATGTACTAGTCTCCAGTTATCTCTAACCAAAAATTTAAAGTAAAAAGAATAAAAGCTTTAGAACTAGATATGAGTTCAACATGAGGTCCTTGCCCATGCCTATGTCCTGAATGGTATTGCCTAGGTTTTCTTCTAGGGTTTTTATGGTTTTAGGTCTAACATTTAAGTCTTTAATCCATCTTGAATTAATTTTTGTATAAGGTGTAAGGAAGGGATCCAGTTTCAGCTTTCTACATATGGCTAGCCAGTTTTCCCAGCACCATTTGTTAAACAGGGAATCCTTTCCCCATTGCTTGTTTTTGTCAGGTTTGTCAAAGATCAGATAGTTGTTGATGTGTGGTATTATTTCTGAGGGCTCTTTACTGTTCCATTGGTCTGTATCTCTGTTTGGTACCAGCACCATGCTGTTTTGGTTACTGTAGCCTTATAGTATAGTTTGAAGTCAGGTAGCATGATGCCTCCAGCTTTGTTCTTTTGGCTTAGGATTGACTTGGCAATGTGGGCTCTTTTTTGGTTCCATATGAACTTGAAAGTAGTTTTTTCCAATTCTGTGAAGAAAGTCATTGATAGCTTGATGGGGATGGCACTGAATCTATAAATTACCTTGGGCAGTATGGCTATTTTCACGATATTGATTCTTTCTATCCATGAGCATGGAATGTTCTTCCATTTGTTTGTGTCCTCTTTTATTTCGTTGAGCAGTGGTTTGTAGTTCTCCTTGAAGAGGTCCTTCACATCCCTTGTAAGTTGGATTCCTAGGTATTTTATTCTCTTTGAAGCAATTGTGAATGGGAGTTCACTCATGATTTGGCTCTCTGTTTGTCTGTTATTGGTGTATAAGAATGCTTGTGATTTTTGCACATTGATTTTGTATCCTGAGACTTTGCTGAAGTTCCTTATCAGCTTAAGGAGATTTTGGGCTGAGACGAGGGGTGTTCTAGATACACAATCATGTCATCTGCAAACAGGGACAATTTAACTTCCTCTTTTCCTAAATGAATACCCTTTATTTCTTTCTCCTGCCTGATTGCCCTGGCCACAACTTCCAACACTATGTTGAATAGGAGTGGTGAGAGAGGGCATCCTTGTTTTGTGCCAGTTTTCAAAGGGAATGCTTCCAGTTTTTGTCCATTCAGTATGATTTTGGCTGTGGGTCTGTCATATATAGCTCTTATTATTTTGAGATATGTCCCATCGATACCTAATTTATTGAGAGTTTTTAGCATGAAGGGCTGTTGAATTTTGTCAAAGGCCTTTTCTGCATCTATTGAGATAATCACGTGGTTTTTGTCTTTGGTTCTGTTTATATGCTGGATTACATTTATTGATTTGCGTATGTTAAACCAGCCTTGCATCCCAGGGATGAAGCCCACTTGATCATGGTGGATAAGCTTTTTGATGTGCTGCTGGATTTGGTTTGCCAGTATTTTATTGAGGATTTCTGCATCAATATTCATCAGGGATATTGGTCTACAATTCTCTTTTTTTGTTGTGTCTCTGCCAGGCTTTGGTATCAGGATGATGCTGGCCTCATAAAATGAGTTAGGGAGGATTCCCTCTTTTTCTATTGATTGGAATAGTTTCAGAAGGAATGGTACCAGCTCCTCCTTCTACCTCTGGTAGAATTCGGCTGTGAATCTGTCTGGTCCTGGACTTTTTTTGATTGGTAAGCTATTAATTATTACCTCAATTTCAGAGCCTGTTACTGGTCTATTCAGAGACTCAACTTCTTCCTGGTTTAGTCTTGGGAGGATGTATGTGTTGAGGAATTTATCCATTTCTTCTAGATTTTCTAGTTTATTTGCGTAGAGGTGTTTATAGTATGCTCTGATGGTAGTTTGTATTTCTGCGGGATCGGTGGTGATATCCCCTTTATCATTTTTTATTGCGTCTATTTGATTCTTCTCTCTTTTCTTATTAGTCGTGCTAGCGGTTTATCAATTTTGTTGATCTTTTCAAAAAACCAGCTCCTGGATTCATGGATTTTTTGAAGGGTTTTTTGTGTCTCTATCTCCTTCAGTTCTGCTCTGATCTTAGTTATTTCTTGCCTTCTGCTAGCTTTTTCAATTTGTTTGCTCTTGCTTCTCTAGTTCTTTTAATCATGTCTACATCACCAAAAGCAATGGCAACAAAAGCCAAAATTGACAAATGGGATCTAATTAAACTAAAGAGATTTGGCACAGCAAAAGAAACTACCATCAGAGTGAACAGGCAACCTACAGAATGGGAGAAAATTTTTGCAACCTACTCATCTGACAAAGGGCTAATATCCAGAATCTACAAAGAACTCAAACAAATTTACAAGAAAAAAAACAAACAACCCCATCAAAAAGTAGGCGAAGGATATGAACAGACACCTCTCAAAAGAAGACATTTATGCAGCCAACAGACACATGAAAAAATGCTCATCATCACTGGCCATCAGAGAGATGCAAATCAAAACCACAATGAGATATCTCACACCAGTTAGAATGGCGATCATTAAAAAGTCAGGAAACAACAAGGGCTGGAGAGGATGTGGAGAAATAGGAATGCTTTTACACTGTTGGTGGGACTGTAAACTAGTTCAACCATTGTGGAAGACAGTGTGGCGATTTCTCAGGGATCTACAACTAGAAATACCATTTGACCTAGCAATCCCATTACTGGGTATATACCCAAAGGAATATAAATCATGCTGCTATAAAGACACATGCACACGTATGTTTATTGCAGCACTACTCACAATAGCAAAGACTTGGAACCAACCCAAATGTCCAACAATGATAGACTGGATTAAGAAAATGTGGCACATATACACCATGGAATACTATGCAGCCATAAAAAAGGATGAGTTCATGTCCTTTGTAGGGACACGGATGAAGCTGGAAACCATCATTCTCAGCAAACTATCGCAAGGACAAAAAACCAAACACTGCATGTTCTCACTCATAGGTAGGAATTGAACAATGAGAACACTTGGACACACGAAGGGGAACATCACACACCAGGGCCTGCTGTGGGGTCGGGGGAGCGGGGAGGAACAGCATTAGGAGATATACCTCATGTAAATGACGAGTTAATGGGTGCAGCACACCAACATGGGACATGTATAGATATGTAACAAACCTGCACATTGTGCACATGTACCCTAGAACTTAAAGTATTTTATATATATACACACATACGTATATATGTATATATACGTATAAAATATGTATATATACGTATATACATATATACGTATTTATATACATGTATATACATATACACATATTTATATATGTATACATATACACGTATTTATATATGTATACATATACACATATTTATATATGTATACGTATATACGTATATATGCACATATATATGTATATATACGTATAAAATATGTATATTAGAAGAACTAGATGTGAGTTCAAAACCTGTATCCTTGAGCAAGTTAACTGACCTCTCTAAACCTTAATTTGTTATTTGTTTAAGGGGAAGAAAAACCCTACCTAACAACACTTAAGGGAATGTGTGTGTGTGTGTGTGTGTGTATTTTATATACACACATGTATAATACATATTATATATAATAGTTATAATATCCTAGCTATCTCCACAGAGCTGGGACTACAGGCGTATGCCACCACATCCAGCTAATTTTACTTTTTGTAGAGATGAGGTCTCATTATGTTGCCTAGGCTGGTGTCAAACTCCTGGGCTAAAGTAATCCTCCCACCTTGGCCTCCCAAAGTAATCCCTGGCTGGGATTACAGGTGTGAGCCACTGCATTCAACCTCGTTATAATTGTTATTAGAAAACAGTTAACATGAGGGGCTAACATAATTGAAGTCAGGCACTTCACTAGGTATTTCCATGTATGTTTCAACTCTTGATAAAAATACGGGTATTTTTACTATTGGCATCCTTCGCCACATCTTAATAACCTTATTACTTATTGATCACCAACAAAATGCCAGGCCTTAATGTACATTTTCTCTAATACTAAGCATGGTAGGTATTATCGATGCTATTTTACAGATGAGAAACGTGAAGCTCAAACAGGTTAAATAACTTCACCAAGGTTACAAGAGCTAGTAAATCTGTTATCTACTTATAGACAAAACCCAGTTGGCTTGACTTATCCACTATCACGAACCACCATTTCATCAGTCAACAAAAGTATTTAAGTACTACGCGTTCTAAGCCAGAGGGTGGCTGCAGACCAGTACCAGTCCATGGCCTGTTAGGAACCAGGCCACATGGCAAGAGGTGAGCAGTGGGCAAGTGAGCATTACCGCCTGCACTCCACCTCCTGTCACATCAGCCTCAGCATTAGATCCTCATAGGAGTTCGAATCCTATTGTGAACTGTGCATGGGAGAGATCTATCTCTAAAGAGATACAACAAATAAATGCAATGCAAGATTCTCAACTGGATCCTTTTGTTCTGTAGGATGTTATTTTGACAACTTGCCAAGTTTTAATGGGATCTGAGGATTATTTGGCTATAATATATCAATGATTTCCTGAATTTTTGCTGTATTGTGGTTACGTAGAAGAATGTTCATATTTTTAGGAAATACACATTGACGTATTCAAAGCTGATGGGATATCAAGTAGGCAGTTTACTCTTATTCGGTTCAGAAAAGCAAAAGTTCTTTGTATTGAACTTGCAACTTATTTGTGATTGTTTCAAAAAGTTAATAAAAATTATAACCTAGTTATAGAAAGCCAGTTGTATTTTTCAGTAATATTTATAACTTTTTTTGCATAATTCGAAGGTATTTGTTTTTGTGGGCTAGACATAAAGTACAGCATCACTTCTCTGAGATAACAAAGTAAAATAATAAGAAATTGAACCCTTTTTCCTACAATTCCTGCTTATAGAAGTCCTGTGCTTACATGAGGGATTGTTGTTGACTGCACCTTGTCCCCTCATTACAGGACCATCTGCCACTGTAGTTGCTGCTGTTTGCTTTCAGAAAAGTCACGACTTCAAGATGGGAGGGAGTAGAGAAACAACAGCTGAGGAGCTGATGGGAGAATAGTATGTGTGTGTATGTGCATCCTTTTGTACACACTTTTAGGTGTGTTTTTATGCTTTAGTCCTGGAACTGAAGTATGTCCCTTTTCTTCCTCTAGCAAACTTTTGTTTCAGAGATTGGACATACAGGGTTACCTCAGCCTGGAATGTCTTTCCAGCTCTCTCAAGTGCTTCCTCTTTCACCTTAACTCTTAACGCATTTTTCCCCCATAGTCTAAGCTTAAAATATCACTTTCTTGATCTCCCTAGACTAAATGAAGTCCTTTCATGGCAATTCACTTAAACATTGTCATCCTTTAACCTCTTTATCTATAAATCGGAATAATAATGGTAGTACTCTTCTGTTTTACATATATTTACTCTTTACATGTAAAGATAGTAAGTGCTAACGTGAGTTAGCTGCTGCTATCATTATTACTTTTATTAGACATACTTGGAATACACATTTCATTACACATATTTGTGTAATTATCTGTTAACTGTCTCTTTCTCCTGTTAGATTCTTAGTTCCATGAGGAAAAGGACTATGTCTTCTTTTATTCACCTGTATTCCCTAGTGCTTAACAGCGGTTGCCAACCTTTTTGGCACCAGGCACCAGTTTCGTGCAAGACAATTTTTCTGCAGACTGGGGCAGGGTAGTGGGGATATGGTTTCAGGATGAAACTGTTCCACCTCAGATCAGCAGACATTAGTTTTTGTCATTAGAAAAGGAAAGACCTGAAATCTCAGTATAGGTTTTTTTGCTTTTCTTTTTTTTAAGAGTTGAGTTCTCACCATATTGCCCAGGCTGGCCTCAAATTCCTGAGCTCAAGCAATCCTCTCACCTCACCATGCCCAGCTTCAGTATAGTTTTGATTTTCATTTTCTTAATTATGGATAAGGGAGAGGATCTTATAAACGTATGATTTTATTAAACGTGTCATATCAATTTGTATATCAACGCTCAGCTCTTGTCCTTCACTCAATTATCTACTGAGTGGTTCTTGATTTCTAGGAACTCTTTATATTAACACTTGGCATTTTAAATTGTCAAAGTGTTTTCTCAGGTTGCCATCTGTCTTTTAACTTTCCTTATGGTGTTGTTTTCTGTTTTATCATGCAAGTTGAAAAAAAATTGGCTGTCAAATTTGTCAATCTTTTACTTTATGGCTTCTGAATTTTAACTCATAGCTAGAAATATCTTTGCTTGAGACAGAGTCTCACTCTGTTGCCCAGGCTGGAGTGCAGTGGCATGACTGCAATCTTGGCTCACTGTAGCCACCGCCTCCTGGGATCAAGCAATTCTCGTGTCTCAGCCTCCCTAGTAGATGAAACTACAGGCACGTGCCACCACACCCGGCTAATTTTTGTACTTTTTTTTTTAGTAGAGACGGGGTTTCACCACGTTGGCCAGGCTGGTCTTGAACTCCCGACCTCATGTGATCCACCCTCCTCAGCCTTTCAGCCTCCCAAAGTGTGGGATTACAGGCATGAGCCACTGCATCCGGCCTTTTTTTTTTTTTTGGCCAGCGGGGAGAGGGTCTTGCTTTGTCACTTAGGGTAGAGTGCAGTGGCGTGATCCTGGCTCATTGCAACCTCCACTTCCTGGGCTCAAGTGATTCTTCTGCCTCAGTCTCCCAGTAGCTGGGACTACAGACACTCAGCACCACACCCAGCTAATTTTTATGTTTTCTGTAGAGACGGGGTCTTCCTATGTTGGCCAGACTGGTCTCAAACACCTGGCCTCAAGTAATTCACCCATGTTGACCTCCCAAAGTGCTGGGTTTACAGGCGTGAGCCACTGCACCCAGCCTAGAGATACCTTTTCCACTCCACAGATATATAGGAACTCCCTCATTTTTTCTTTTGTAATGTTATAGTTTTATATTTTTATATTTAAATGTTTGATATACTTGGTTTCATCCTGATGTACACTGTAAGATATGAATCCAAATTAAGGCTGGGCACAGTGACTCATGCTTGAGCCCAAGAGTTTGAGACCAGCCTGGATAAAACAGTAAGACGCCATCTTTAAAATAATAATAATAGTAAGTAGTAACAGTATGAGTCTAAATTAATCTTTCTTCCACATGGCTAATTGTCTCAACACCATTTAAGATGATGCCTTAATCATATACCAAAATTCCTGAACGTATTTGGATGTATTTCTGATCCTCTATTTTGTTCCATTAGTCTATTGCCTATTTATGTGTCAATAACACACTGTTTGGCCAGGCGTGGTGGCTCACGCCCGTAATCCCAGCACTTTGGGAGGCCGAGGTGGGTGGATCACGAGGTCAGGAGATGGAGAACACCCTGGCTAACACAGTGAAACCCTGTCTCTACTAAAAATACAAAACGTTAGCCGGGCGTGGTGGCCGGTGCCTGTAGTCCCAGCTACTCGGGAGGCTGAGGCAGGAGAATGGCGTGAACCCAGGAGGCGGAGCTTGTAGTGAGCTGAGATTGCGCCGCTGCTCTCCAGCCTGGGTGACAGAGTGAGACTCCAGCTCAAAAAAAAAAAAAAAAAAAAAAAAACACTGTTTTAGATACTGAGACTGTGCAGTATATTTTCAAATGTGATAGGACTGGCTCATCCTCACTGCCCTTCTTTTTCAGTTTTCCAACCAATCATTGCTAATTTTTTTCCATTTGAACTTTAGAATCCACTATTTAGTTCCAGACACTACCCCCACCCCAAACACACAAAAATAAGGATAACATTGTTTCTGTGATAGCATTATTTTACAAAGCACTTTGGACAACTTTATAACATTGACTACTGCCATGGAATATGTTTAGCCTTTCCATTTGTTAAGGTACGTTTTTACGTCCCTTAAGAAGACTTTTAAAGTTCTAAACTTACAGATTTTGTTAAGTGTATGCATAGGCAACTTTGTCATTTTAATTTCTATTTTAAATGAATGTCTCACTTTTATGTGTTCAAACTGGAAGCTATTTGCATATATTGAGCTTACTGATTTCTGTATATTAACCTAAATCCAATTATCTAACCAAATCCTATGTGCAAATGTGATATCATAAATAAGACTCAACTATTCAATTAGCACTGTACGATGCTTCGGAGTGTTTCTCATGTCTTAAAATCTGTAATCATCTTTCCAAAGTTATGTGAATTTACTGATGTACAACTTTATCCTTGTTTAGAATCAGTGAAAGCTGATACATGTGAATGGTCATATAACTTAACTGGGAACTCATGAAATAGCATTGCACTGTTGTTGACATAAAAACAATGTCTAGGATAAGGATAATAGTGTGATAAAATCAGAATGGATCCATTTGGCTATGTTAGTGTTCATATCGAAACCATATCTCAATATATTTTTCTACCACGGGAAGGTTCTTCTGTCAGAGATGTTGAACCAGAGCAACTCCATCTTGAATAGGGGCTGGGTAAAATAAGGCTCAGACCGACTGGGCTGCATTCCCAGATGGTTAAAGCATTCTAAGTCACAGGAGGAGATAGGAGGTTGGCACAAGACATAAGTCATAAAAACCTTGATGATGAAAAAGCCTGCAGTAAAGAAGCTGGCTAAAATGCACCAAAACCAAGATGGCGACAAGAGTGACCTCTGGTCATCCTCACTACTACACTCCCACCAGCTCCATGACAGTTTACAAATGCCACTGGCAACATCAGTAAATTACAGTATATGGTGTAAAAAATGGGAGGCATGAATAATCCACCCCTTGTTTAGCATACAATCAAGAAATAACCATAAAAACCCACAATCAGCAGGCCTCGGGGCTGGTCTGCCTATGGAGTTGCCATTCTTTATTCCTTTACTTTCTTAATAAACTTGCTTTCACTTTACGGATTTGCCCTGAATTCTTTCTTGCTCAAGATCCAAGAACCCTCTCTTGGGGTCTGGATCCAGACCCCTTTCCGGTAACACTTCTTTAAGATCACTACACATATTCACTTTAATTGGGTTTTATAATTCAACAGTCATTTTTCATAAAATATATAACAGATCTGAAAAAATGAGTTCTGAGGAAGCTATACACTGATTAACAATTTTATTTCAACTTACATAAGACACTATTTGAGCATGCAAAGTACTTTGGTTTCTGAAGCATAATCAAAGCATTTATGTAGTTCACTTTGTATAGAATTTAAAATGTAATAAAATACATAGCTTCCTAATTTTCTCCCAAAACCCATTAAATATACTCTACATACACAATGTTTGCTTTGCATGGAAATACAAAAATGATCTGCTTATATTAATAAACTGCTGTTATATTCTTCATTGACAATTCTTTGGTTCAACCAAACGCAGAAATGGATCAATATTCCACTGTGAAATATTGCCTTCTCTCACACTCCAGATAAAAGGTACTCAAAGTGAATTATGATCATCTATAATCTTTACAAGGAAAACTGCCATGTGTCTTACACATTTAAAAGGACTCCAGTAAGTATTTTTACAATGACTATTTTTTAACGCTGAAATAGCTTCACAGTAAACAATCAATAGGATTTTGATTTAATTAAATACACTCAAACATATTGAGTGAGCCCAAATATTACTATCTTCTACTCCTACTTGGCAATTTTCAAATGATATTTTTCAAAAATTCAGATTCAGGCTGATAACAAACTGTCCCAAGTAGCCTGAAGAGGGAGGACTGCGTGATCCCAGGAATTCAAGTCCAGCCTGGGCAACATAGCAGGACAGATGGACGCTGCTTCCAAATGAGAAAATGTTTTAATTTCTTTTTTGATAAAGCGAACAGAGTAAAACAATTTTGCAAGGCTCACATTCTAAAGCTTGACTTTCTGTTTATAACTCATGGCGACATTATGTTCTAATTTTTTTAAAAAGAATGTTTTCAATAAAAGTTTTGGTAAATAGGCCAGGCAAAGTGGCTCCCGCTGGTAATCCCAGCACTTTATGAGGCCAAAGCAGGCGGTTCGCTTGAGCCCAGAAGTTCGAGACCAGTCTGGCCAACAAGGCGAAACCCCATTTCTACTAAAAATGTAAAAATTACCCAGGTGTGGTGGTGCACACCTGTAATCCCAGCTACTCGCAAGGCTGAGGCACGAGAACTGCTTGAGCCTGGAGGCAGAGGTTTCAGTGAGCTGAGATTGTGCCACTGCACTCCAGCCTGGGCGAGAGAGCGAGACCCTGTCTCAAGAAAACAAACAGACAACAAAAAACCCTGTCTCAAAAAAGAAAAGGCTTTGGTATATTAAATGGTCAAAATAATATTTATAGTCCTTATTCTCTCTTGTAAATTGTTTTAAACTAAGAAAAGTGTTTTAAAACTAAGAAAGAAGAACATGAGAAGTTACTTCAACATTTACCACAGCAAAATAGAATATTGTACAAATACAGCAAAGCTGAATAATTTACTTTCATACAGCAAACTGCTAATGCTTAAACATAATGTCTTTATTATGTATGAACCCAAATTATAATGTAGAAAGTTTAAAAAAATTTACAGCACAATGTCCTTCTTTCCATATATAGAACCCAGGACAAACAATGAGTATTTCAATATGTACAGTAGTGTTCAAAAGGAAGACATAAAATCTTCAGGAGAGTATTTACAGGATTTTGAAAATAAACTTCCTAACAGTAATTACAATCGATCAAAATGTGTCCTGAGTACTTACCACATGTAAGGCAATGTGCAGTGTAGGAAATAAAGGTGAGTAACAGGACAATTTTTTACTTTAAGGTTTTTTTCCCAGTCTAGTAACAAATACACATACGAATACAGCTATGATATAGAAGGCTATGAATATGAGTAAAGAATTATGAGAATTCTGATGGAGGAGAAAATAAATCTACCTAGAGAAAATCAGAAAGGATTCATAAAGTTGTGATAAACTCTGAAGGAGGATAAATTTTCAATTAAGGGAGATAGTATATAGGATAAAGGCATAATAAAATAAATGAGACTGGAAGTAGTCAACAATGTTTGATTTCTAGACACTGATGAGTTTCTAGAAAAGTTTTATAATAAAAAGAAGAGTAGGTTTATAGGCAAATTTCAGAAAGTTGAGTAATAACTGGATAGTTTGAGAAGAGAGTCAATGTATTACTACTGAGACACCGAGAGACAGAGAAGACCAAGGAGAGACCAACAGAGAGACTGAGAAGAGACACTCTAGAGAGCCTGAGTGATAGAGAGACAAAGGGAAAATGAGAGACACCAACAGACACCAAGAAAGATGACTGAGAGGGACGAAGAGGCCAGGGATGGGAAAAGACAGAGAAGGACACTGCTATGGACTGAATGTGTGTCTCTCCTCAAAATTTATATGTCGTCCTAACCCACCATGCGATATTAGGAGGTGGGGACTTTAGGAGGTGATTAGGTCATAAGAACGAAGTCCTCATGAATGGGGTTGGTGTCCTTATAAAAAGGACTTGAAGAGTTCTCTTGCCTTCTTTCCACCATGTAAAGGGTAGAGTGAGAAGTCAGCAGTCTGCAACCCAGAAGACAGCCCTCACAAAAAACTCAAATATGCTGGGAGAAACCAAAGTTTCTTGTTTAAGGCACCCAGTCTACAGTATTTTGTTATAGTAGCCTGAACTAGACAAACACAAACCTGAAGGAAAAAGTAAAGAAAAATTATTTTAGCAGCTTTGTGAATGTTTCCAAGCAAAGAGAAAAGCTGAGAGGGATGAAGGAATACATCGCAGGAGAGAAATTAATGAGACTAATGAAGCATCGTCCCAGAAAAGGTATGCAGGGAGAGTTCAAAAAACAGCATGAGTGGATTCTTACAGGGCTGTTTAACATAAAAGAGAAAAGCTGAACAAACACAAAATGAACAGCATTAATCAAAATTAAGAGTAAGGGAGAGGCATATGTTGAAATTCAATAGGATACTATCAAATACAAAAAAAAAAACTTCAATAAATGTTTGCTGAAAAAGTAATAAAAAATAATCGAGATAATTAAAAAAAAATCAGCCTCAGCCAAGTTCTGCTGAGCTGTTGTCAGCAGTCTAAATACAAAGAAGTCATGCTTATCACATTTGTTAAGTTAGCCTTGGATTTCAACTGTCTGCTTGACTGTCTCCAATTCTATGACTCCTAAGCATCAAACCACTCCTCAGCTATTCAAATCAAAATGTTAGATTCACCAAACATTTCCTTCTCCCTCAGCCCCAATATCCAGTCATTTCCTTCTCCCTCAGCCCCAATTATCCAGTTTGATAATACTGGAATTATCAAAATGTTCAACATTAAAAGTCAACCAAATCAATAATGATGCTCACCGATACTGATATGTCCTCATTTCTTCTCTTAACACTGGAGTCAAACAAAACATTTCTCCCTCGTCTTTCACAGTCTTGATATACAATCAGTCGAATCTGGCTTGGATCAAACTCTGGTAAAGGCCAACTTGAAAGAAAAGTAAGGAAAAGTAAAGATCCATTAGAGTTACATTAATAAATATTCCATATACATTATTAGAAATAAATCTATATAATAAAGCCCAAAATTATCTTATTGTTAAATAATATATATATCTTTATATTAAATATCACCAGTTCATGGCTGAAAACTTTAAAGTAAAAATAAAGGCAAAACAAAATTATCTTTATTTAAAAATAATACTGGTAACTATCAGTATATATAAAATATAGTTATCTCGTGATTTTTGAAAGCATTAACTTAATAAATATACATAAGTATATTTAACATAATGAAAATATGTACTGATTTCATGTCATGGACCAAGATGACATAATAAGGTTAACCCATATTTTTAAGTAGTTTTGTTACTATTTCTCCAATATGGAAATGTGAAAAATGAAATGGTTTTCAGTTTAAATAATAGCAAAGGACTTACAAGACAAAAAACAAGCCAAAAAAAAAAAAGTGGAGAGCAATCAAGTATAGTGAAAATTCTCATATGCTGCTGGTATGAATACAAACTGGCACAACTCCTGGGTGTGGTGGCTCACACCTGTAATCCCAGGACTTTGGGAGTTCAAGGTAGGAGGATCACTTGAGCCCAGGAGTTCAAGACCAGCCTGGACAACATAGTGAGACCCTGTCTCTACAAAAAGTTAACAAAATTCGCCAGGCATGGCAGCACACATCTGTAGTCCTAGCTACTTAAGAGGCTGCAGTGGGAGGATCGCTTGAGCCTGGAAGGTCGGGGCTATAGCAAGCTGTGATCATGCCACTGTACTCCACCCTGGGTGACAGAATGAGACCCTGTCTCAAAAAATAAAAATAAAAAATAAATAAATTGGCACAATCTCTTTAGAACACAGTTTTTTAAAAATTTATATATAAATTTAGTATGTGTATATATATGTGTGTGTATACATACACACACACATACACTAAAACAAATCCCAGTAAAAATGAAGTTGATCCCAGCAATTCCACTTCGGAAAAATTTATCACAATGAATGAATTTCAGCTATAGGCAAAAATGGACAGACCACAAGCAAAAGAAGTCAGACAATGACTCACACACACACAGATAGCTACTGTATTTTTCCACTTATATAGAGGTTAAAAACGTGCAACGTTTGTCTAGGGGTTCATACTTAGTTTTTAAACTATAAAGAAAACAATGTAAGTAATGACCTCCAGAGTTTGGAGAGTAATTTTCTAGGAGTAAGGTGGAGGGAAAAGTGTAACCAGAAAAGGGACGTAACAGGTGAACTGGCGCAATGACTATGTTCTCTGTTTTGACCAGATAGTGCTGACATGGATCTTTACTTTACAGTATGTATTTAAACAGTACATCACATTTGTTTTATGTACTTTTACATATCCATTACATTCCACAATTTAAAAGATTAATGGGGTGGGTGAGGCAGAGAAGAAGGGAAAGAGAAAACAAACCAAATGACAAATATCTGGTAAACTGAACACAATACAAATGACAGGACAGCTGCTAAGAAATGGGAGAACAGACATGCCAGGAGCTGTTTCTCATTAGTTACAACAGGCTATTTATTTTTTATAATTTCAACTTTTAAATTCAGGGGGTACATGTGGTGCAAGTTACATGCATATATCTCATGATGCTGAGGTTTAGGGTACAACTGATGCTGTCACCCAGAGAGAGAGCATACAACCCAACTATTAAGTTTTTCAACTCTTGCCCCTCTCCCTCCTGCCTTGCTCTACTAGTCCTCAGTGTCTATTGTTGCCATCCTTATGTCCATGAGTATCCAATGTTTAGCTCCCACTTATAACTGAGAACATGCGGTATCTGATTTTCTGTTCCTGCATTAATTCACTCAGGATAACGGCCTCCAGCTGCCTTCGTGTTGCTGCAAAGGACTGGATTTCATTCTTTTTTATGGCTGAGTAGTATTCCATAGTACATACATACCACATTTTCTTTATCCAATCCACCACTGATGGGACCCTCCCTAGGTTGATTCCATGTCTTTGCTATTGTGAACAATGCTGCAATGAACATACAAGTGCATGTGTCTTTTTGGTAGCTTTGTTTTCTTTTGGATATATACTCAGTAATGTGATCGCTGAGTCAAATGGTAGCTCTCTTTCAAAGTTCTCTGACAAATCTTCAAACTGCTTTCCACAGTGGCTAAACTACTTTACATTCCCATCAATGGTGTGTAAGTATTCCCTTTTCTCCACAGCCTCACCTGCATCTGTTATTTTTTGACTTTTTAATAATAGCCAATCTGATTGATGTGAGATGGTATCTCATTGTAGTTTTGATTTGTCTTTCTCTGATGACTAGTGATGATGAGCATTTTTTCATGTTTGTTGGCTGGTTGGATGTCTTCTTTTGAGAACTGTCTGTTCATATATTTTGCCCACTGTTTATTGGGGTTGTTTTTTGCTTGTTAAATTGTTTAAATTCCTTATAGATTCTGTATATTAGACTTTTGTCAAATGTACAGTTTGTGAATATTTTCTGCCATTATGTGGGTTGTCCACCAGGCACAATTCTTCACTTCCTTAAGAGAGCCTTAACCCTAACTCTGTCAACGTATGTGAAACTATGTGTAACCGGCAACATAAAACATCTTCATCCCAAATTCTTGACAGAAAATATAATTTTGGTTTTCTTCTGTCTAATCTTTAGTAAATGTCTGTGTGCTAGTAAATGATAAAGACCTACCTAGACATCCAGGCTAAACCAGAGACTCCTCCTTAAACCACAATGACTTGCATCACACTGAACTGTTTCTACTAAATTGTGCTTTCATACCATGCAAAGGAAACTGTAAAGGAACAGACCGACAAAGGATGAAAATAGGGAAAGGGGTCTCACGGAAACCAGTGAAAAAGAACATTTTAGAAAAGAAAAAGAACTACCACGGGAGTCACTAAAAAGTATCCACTAGAGAAGCAAAAGTCATTGGTGACCATAGCAAGGACAGTTCTAAGGAATAAAGAGTACAGAGGTCAGATTCTAGGGGACTGAAGAGTGAATAGGAGCAGAGAAAACAGACAACTGGTAAGAAAAAAAGAGAAAGAAAATGAAACCTCAAGTAGAGTGAGAGTGACAGATATTCTGCTATTTAAAAAATGACACATCTGAACATGTTTACATATATGCTGATGACAGAATCTGAGGTGGAGGAGAAATACAAGGCCTCTGAGGAAGTAGAGAACAGGATATAGAGCACAAGTGAAAGCATTAGCTCAAAGAAAATAACTCTCACACTAGGATGGAAAGAAAGGAGATAAAGATGTACATGGGTGCAGAAAGATTTGTAGATATGAAGGTAAGGTGCGGAGGGAATCCATATCTAAGAGATCCATTTTCTTTGTCAAGCAGGTGAAGGCAAGTAAGGGAAAGGTGGTAAGATGTGGGGATAGTAGAGAGTAAAAAAGAGAATAGCAGTTGTTGGGAAATAAAATAGTCATACACCATATAACGTTTTGGTCAACAACAAACTGTATATATGATGGTGGTCTCATAAGATTATAATGCAGTTCAAAAACTCCTATTGCCTAGTAACACTGTAGCTGTCATCACATGGTAGCACAAAGTATTACGCACATGTCTGTGGTGATGCTCATGTAAACAAACCTACTGCACTGTCAGTCATATGAAGGTATTACGGATACAATTATGTAAAATACGCAATACTTGATAATAAAAGACTATGTTGGCCGGGTGCAGTGGCTCACACCTGTAATCCCAGCACTTTGGGAGGCTGAGGTGGGCAGATCACAAGGTCAGGAGATTGAGACCATCCTGACTAACATGGTGAAACCCTGTCTCTACTAAAAGTACAAAACAAAAATTAGCCAGGCGTGGTGGCATGCACCTGTAGTCCCAGCTACTCAGGAGGCTGAGGCAGGAGAATCTCTTGAACCCAGGAAGCAGAGGTTGCAGTGAGCCAAGATTGCGCCACTGCACTCCAGCCTGGGCGACAGAGTGAGACTCTGTCTCAAAAAAAAAAAAGAAAAAAAAAAAAAAAGACTATGTTACTGGTTTATGAATTTACTATACTTTTATCATTATTTTAAAGTGTACCCCTACTTATAAAAAAATTAACTGTAAAACAGCCTTAAGCAGATCCTTCAGGAGGTATTCCAGAAAAAGGCATTATTAGCATAAGAGATGACAGTTCCATGTGTGTTATTACTCCTAAAGACCTTACAGTGGGACAAGATGTGGAGATGGAAGATAGTGGTACTGATAATCCTGACTCTATGTAGGCCTACGTTAATGGTGTGTTTGTGTCTCAGTTTTTAACAAAAAGGTTAAAAAAATTTAACTGAAAAAAGCTTAGAATAAGCACATAAAGAAAGAAAATATGTTTGTACAGCTGTACAATGTTTGTGTCCTAAACAAAGTGTTACTACACAACAGTTCAAAAGATTTTAAAATTAAAAAGTTAATAAGGAAAAAACTTACAATAAGCTAAGGTTAATTTTATTATTGAAGAAAAACATTTTTAATAAATTTAATGTAGCCTAAGTATACAGTGCTTATTTATAAAACCTACAGTAGTGTACAACACTGTCCTAGGTTTTCACAGTCACTGACTACTCACTCACTGACTCACCCAGTAACTTCCAGTCTCGCAAAATCCATTCACAGTAAGTGAATGGATCGCCCTATATAAGTGTACCACTTTTTATCTTTTTTTTTTTTTTTTTTGAGATGCAGTCTCAGTCTATCGTCCAGGCTGAAGTGCAGTGGTGCGATTTTGGCTCACTGCAACCTCCGCTTCCGGGTTCAAGTGATTCTCCTGCCTCAGCCTCCCCAGTTGCTGGGTTTACAGGCGTGTGCCATCATGCCTGGCTAATTTTTATATTTTTAGTAGACATGTGGTTCCACCATGTTGGCCAGGTTTGTCTCAAACTCCTGACCTCAGGTGATCCGCCTGCCTCGGCCTCCCAAAGTGCTGGGATTACAGGTGTGAGCCACTGTGCCCGGCCTACTTTTTATCTTTTATACCATATTTTTGCTGTACCTTTTCTATGTTTGGATATGTTTAGATACACAAATACTTACCATTGTGTTACAACTCCCTACAGTGTTCAGCACAGCAATACGCTGTACAGGTTTGTACCCCAAGAGCAATAGGCTATTATCATACAGCCTAGGTGTGTAGTAGACTATACCATCTAGTGTGTGTAAGTACACTGTGTGATGTTTGCATAACAACAAAATTGCCTAACAATGCATTCCTCAGAACAGAGCCCCATCATTCACTGGTGCATGAGTGTATGTTGAATAGAAAACATAAGATTTCCAGGCAATGCTGTACATCTACATAACGTTGAAGACTATGAACTAGGACGATGTACTGGCTGCAAACTACAGTTAGGTGATTTTCTCCAGTAGGACCTCATGTGCTTGAATTTGGATCAGACTGTGCCAAGGTAAGGGTTTTGATAGGTATACGGAACAAAAGAAAAGGAAGGCTATGGAAATGGAGTATAAGACTGACAAGAATACAGCTGAATTGATCTAAGCTAGTTAGGGAACGTAGTGATGGGACAACAATAACAAAAGAAAATGGAGGCAGTACGGTCAAAGTGCTGAAAAAACGCAAAGAAGGAGAGTGGGAGGCAGAGAGGACAAGGAATAGGAGGCTATAATCACAGGGCAGGATCCTAGAGTTTAAGATATTAGAGGTAGAATAGCTCATTTAATCATTAAATACAGATATGTACCTACTATGTGCCAAGCAGTGGTTAGGGCAAGATAAAAAAGAACCTCTCTGGAAGAAAGATACAACAGTAGCTAAGCAAAGAAATAAATTAACTTGATAACTTCAGGTAAGTCAATAGACTATGATAGAAGGTGGTAGTGAGAGAATGGTTTGGGTTGAGGGGAGGTATATTCTTCCCTTCTTTCTTTTTTTTTTTTTTTAGACAGAGTCTCTCTCTGTCTCTCAGGCTGGGGTGCAGTAGCATGATCTCGGCTCACTGCAACTTCTGCCTCCTGAGCTTGAGAGACTCTTGTGCCCCAGCCTCCCAATTAGCTGAGATTACAGGTATGTGCCACCACGCCCAGCTAGTTTTTGTACTTTTAGTAGAAATAGGGTTTTGCCATGTTGGCCAGGCTGGTCTCAAACTCCTGGCCTCAAGTAATCTGCTGGGATTACAGGTAGCACGAGCTACCACACCTGGCCAATACATTCATTTTTTAAAAGGTGCCTAATATGGACAAAATTTTCTGGAGAAAATGAAAAGTTGGGCTTCACTGGATATGTGGTCTTCTAACAGACCTTATATAAGCAGTGATGCCATTTCATTTAGCCAAACTCCTTTGGTCTCCCAGACACCCAAAGAATAAAATCCAAGTTCCTTTGCTTAGATGTAAAGCTCTTCATGGGCTGGCCCAGATCTGCCTTTCCAGACTCTTTTCATGTTACCCATAATTATCATACTGAGCTTCTCAAAGGTGCCAAGATATATCAATTCCATGCCTTTGTACAAGCCATGTCTTCTACCTGAAATATTCTCACTCTCCTGGCAAACTCTTATTTATTCTTAAAGATCTAGCTCCAAATGTCACCTACTCTAAAAAGTTCTTATTCATTCCTCCAAGCAGAGTTAGCTACTGAGTTTTGGGATTACACTTTACCTTAGATTATAAATCTAATAGTATCTTCATCAGATTGTCTTGTAATTTATCTGTTCACATGCCTGTTTCTTCCACTAGAAAAAAAAAGCTCCCTGAGGGAAGATCTTATTCATCTTTGAATCCCCAGTCCCAAGCTTGGTAAATGAGTAAAACTACATATCCCTAAGTAAATGTAATATCATAGGCACTAAATATTTCAGGAGTGAATGGATTCCACAATCTGAAAAAAAAAAAAAGAAGAAGAAAAAACAAATGTGCTTTCTTTAAAAAGTTAAAAGGCATGTCCATGAACTCATGAATAAACAAAATGTGGTATGTCAATACAATGGAGTATTTGGCCATAAAAAGAATGCATACTACATGGGTGAACCTTGAAAACATTAGGTTAAGGAAAAAAAGCCAAACACAAAAAGGCTACGTATGATGATTCCATTTACATGACTTGTCCAGAATAGGCAAATCCATAATGACTGCAATGTGTACGAGGTTTCTTTCTGGGGAGATGAAATGTTCTGGAATTAGACAGTGGTGATGGTCACCAAAAAACTTTGTAAATATACCACAAACAAAAACAGCAACAACCAAACCAACCTAAAACACTGAATCACGCACTTTAGAAGAGTAGATTTTATGGAATGTGAAGTATATCTCAGCAATAATAAAAAAGGCTTTATTACCAAACTTATTTGTGAGTTTGTATTCTTTTTTTTTGGAGACAAGAGTTTCGCTCTGTTGCACAGGCTGGAGTGCAGTGGCGCGATCTTGGCTCACTGCAAGCTCCGCCTCTCCGGTTCGCGCCATTCTCCTGCCTCAGCCTCCCGAGTAGCTGGGACTACAGGTGCCAGCCACCACGTCCGGCTAATTTTTTGTATTTTTAGTAGAGACAGGGTTTCACCTTGTTAGCCAGGATGGTCTTCATCTCCTGACCTCATGATCTGCCTGCCTCGGCCTCCCAAAGTGCTGGGATTACAGGTGTGAGCCACCGCGCCCAGCCATGAATTTGTATTCTTTGTTAATTTAAAATAGGACTTTATGAAAAAGGTAAAATTATAAAGCTTCTATAAAGAAACACAGGTGATTATGCCACCTTAGGTTAGGCAAAGAGTTCTTAAACAAGATACAAAAATTACTATGCATAAAATAAAAAATTGGTAAGTTGGACTTTATAAAAATTTTAAACCTGAACATCTAAAAAAAAAAAAAAAGACCAGTCCAGAGATTGGAAGACAATATTTGCAATGCACATATCTGATAAAAACTTATAAACAGCCAAAACAACCCCCACAAAGCAGTAAGCAATAAACAATCCAATTTTAAAAGGGTACAGGTACAACTTGGGCATTTCACAAAAGGAGATATATGAATGGATAATCAGTATGTGGAAATGATAATTAACAGTGTTAATCATCAGAGAAATGCAAATTAAAACATGGCCACGGCCGGGCGCGGTGGCTCACGCCTGTAATCCCAGCACTTTGGGAGGCCAAGGCAGGTGGGTCACCTGAGGTCAAGAGTTCAAGACCAGTCTGACCTACATGGGAGAAATCCCAACTCTACTAAAAAAAAATATAAAATTAGCCAGGTGTGGTGGTGCATGCCTGTAATCCCAGCTACTTGGGAGGCTGAGGCAGGAGAATTGCTTGAACTCGGGAGGTGGAGGTTGCAGTGAGCCACGATTGCATCACTGCACTCCAGCCTGGGCAACAAGAGTGAAACATCGTTTCAAAACAAAACAAAAACATACAAACAAACAAAAAAAATGGCCACAAGCATTAAAATGGCTAAAACTGACACGACTAATAACACCAGTGGTTGGTAATAATATGAAGCCCTTGGAACTCCCATACATTGTTAGTAGGAGTGTAAAAGTGTACAACCATTTTTGGAATATTGCTTGACAGCTATGATTCAGCAATTCCTCTCACAGGAAATTTATCCAATAAAAATGAAAATAAATGTTCACAAATACTCTCACAGAAATGTTCACTGCAGTTTTATTTAAACCCAAATGCCACAGAGAATGGATAAACAAACTACGATATATTCCTACATTGAAATACTACTCAGAAATACCAAGGAATGAATTACTGATCCCACGGTAACAAAGATGAACTCAAAAAATACTGTTGCATGAAAGAATCCAGACACAATGGGGCACCTACTGATAATTCTATTTATGTGTAGAAGAGGTAAAACTAATGGACAATGATAGAAATCAAAGCAGTGATCAGGGATAGGGAGTGAGGGAAATGGAGGAGAAATGTATACTAAGGAACTTTCCAGAGTGATCAAAATGTCCTTTATCTTTATTGCCATTGTGGTTAAGTAGATGCATATATTTTTCAAAATAAATTATACATTTTATTATATGCAAATTATAGCTCAATTTTTAAAAGAGAAAGACTACTAAAAAAAGTAATACTATATTCATCAAGTTACATTACATTATGGACATCTCATTAAAACAGATTTTTTTTTTTTTTTGAGACAGAGTCTCGCTCTGTCACCAGGCTGGAGTGCGGTAGCACAATCTCAGCTCACTGAAACCTCCACCTCCCGGGTTCAAGCAATTCTCCTGCCTCAGCCTCCTGAGTAGCTGGGACTACAGGCACATGCCACCATGTCCAACTAATTTTTGTATTTTTAGTAGACACAGGGTTTCACCATGTTGGCCAGGATGTTCTTGATCTCTTGACCTCGTGATGTGCCTGCCTTGGTCTCCCAAAGTGGTGGGATTACAGGCATGAGCCACCATGTCCGGCCTAAAACAGACATATTAAACATTTACCACACTCACAGCATAATGCCAGGTACTGGGAATATTTCTCTGTCACATTCTTTATGTATTCATTCACTGACTTAAAAGCGTTCATTCAGCATGAAAAGAAAAAGATAGCCATACCATGAAATGCTCAGTCTAACAGAAAAGACAGACAAATGATTTTATCAACGTGATACATGCTATGACTGAGGCAAACTTACAATCTAGATAAGAGGTGTGCATAAGCAGGTCAGGTAAGAGTTTACTGAAGAAAAATCATAAACGACATACAATAAATAATAAATAACCTGCCCAAAATAACACAGCTAGCTAGTAAATGTGTCAAAGCTGGGTTTAGATTCCAGGCAGTCTTTCAGTCCATTATCTAAATCATTGTGTATGGCCTTGGCCTATTGAGTAGGAAGTGATACTTCAAGTTTCAGCTTCAAGTGATGGGCAGGGGAGAAGGGCATTCTCTTCTCTGGAAGAAGAAAACAGCATCTGCTGTAATTCTTAGTGACCCTAGCTCAGAAGTGTGCAATGAAGCAACAGGCACAGCTATGAAGGCAGGCTGGAGCATCAGATCAACAGACATAACCAGTTCAACACACACATACAGACTTCTTCATCCAGGCAATGAGTAAACAAAGGTTTTAAACAATAGCTGACAAGATCACTTGTGCATTTTAGAAAATCAGAAACTTGAAGAACTGACAAGATAGAGAGAAGCCTGGAGAAAAGAATGTTATATACCCTGAACTAAGGAATAGCACTGAAAATAGAAAGGGATAGAGCTAGATCTTATTTAGAAGGCAGAGATAGGACCTGAAGACTATATGGGGAATAAAGGATGAGAATGGCTGACTCTCAGCTTTCAGATTTCATGAAAGGAGATACCATTAACCAAGATAAAGAATATCTCAGGAGGGGGAGTAAGTTTGGGATAAGGGTGTTGCCAGATTGAGTTCAAGGGGGCTGCGAGACAGCTGAAGAAAAGATGTGCAACCGATTGATGAAAAATGGTCTGGTGGCCGGGCACAGTGGCTCACGCCTGTAATCCCAGCACTTTGGGAGGCCAAGGTGGGTGGATCTCCTGAGATGAGGAGTTTGAGATCAGCCTGGCCAACATGGCAAAACCCCATCTCTACTAAAAATACAAAAATTAGCCGGGCATGATGGTGGGCGCCTGTAATTCTGGCTGCTTGGGAGGCTGGGACAGGAGAACCACTTGAACCTGGGAGGCAGAGGTCACAGTGAGCCAAGATCACGCCACTGCACTCCAGACCAGGTGACAGAGCAAGACTCAATCTTAAAAAAAAAAAAAACGAAGAAGAAGAAAAAGAAAAAGAAAAATGGTCTGAGGAGAATGGCTGGGAACAGAGTTCCAGACACAGGAGTTACTGACACACAATTGGTAGTGAAATCTTCAGGCAGAACATATTAATTGAAAATAGAAAAGAATGTGAAGAACTAATAAACTAGAATTTTAGGATACATCAATATTTTAAGAACAGAGAGAAGAAAAGCAGAGAAGCCAGGGAAGATCAGTAAAGACAGACTACTAGAGAGGAAAAGAAAACTCATGGTAAAGCACTGTTACAAAAGTTAAGGAAGATGGGCCAGGCACGGTGGCTCATGTCTGTAATCCCAGCACTTTGGGAGGCCGAGGCTGGTGGATCACCTGAGGTCAGGAGTTCGAGACCACCCTGGCCAACATAGTGAACCCTCGTCTCTACTAAAAATATAAAAATTAGTTGGGCATAGTGGCACATGTCTGTAGTCCTAGCTACTTGGGAGGCTGAAGAAGGAGAATCGCTTGAACCTGGGAGGCAAAGGTTGCAGTGAGCCGAGATTGAGATTGTACCACTGTATTCCAGCCTGGGCGACAGAGAGACTGTGTCAAAAAAAAAAAAAGGTTAATGAAGATGAAAAGAAAGGAATCACGCACAATGCAAATGTTGCAGAAAGACCAAAATTTATGAAGAGTAAAAGTGTTCATGGAATTTAGCAATTTGGTGTCTTTGGTACTCTTGCTGGAACAGTTTCAGTGGAGGCAGTGGGGAAGGAATAACCATATAGCAATTGATTGAAGAGAAAGAGCTGAGAAAGACAGTATATAATATTCCATGTAAAAAAGGAACAGTGAGGAATAGTGTGACCATATAACCAACCATCTAAACTGAAGTTTTAAAACTAAAAAGGGATCCTAAACAGACAGAAATAAACTGAAATTATCTTGAATCACCAAGATGCATGGTCACTCAGGTAGAAGAAGTGAGGCTACAAGAGCCCTTTTTTTAAAAAAAGGAAAAACGTGTATGTGTATGAAATACACAGGTGTATAATATAAAGGAAAAAAGGCATCTATTTCCTTTCTAATATTTCCAAGTTGAGGGGAAGGAATCAGAAAAAGAATTTAAAGGTAATCAGAGAGAATTTTTGGATTAAGATCACAGAGAAGTTAAGACACAGTATCCCGGGCAAGGGTGCCCCTAATGAACAGCAGAATACACTTAATGAGGTAGGGAAAATGACCCACAGGTGAAAATTACTGCAGGTAAGTATGCAAGCTGGAGAGATGAAATCGAGCATTTATAGCTGATCATTCATGTTTTATAAAAAGCAGCGGTCAAGCATATTTACAAGCATATGTGAGGTGGGTGGCTTGAATTGGAGTACAGGATTTGAGATATAAAAGTCCAGCATAATCATCAAAGAAAATGGGGAAAGGAGCTAGCCCAAGAAAAGCAAAAGGACTATCAAACCATATTTGGGGGCCCAGCTGAGTGGAAAGCCTTAAATCTGTGATAGGACTAATTTTCTGTACTACCACAGAAGATTCCAGGTGTGAAAGGGCCAAAAGTAGGCAATGGATTAAACAGTAGATTTTCTGAGCAGCCACAATGAAAAGGAGCAAGGCTGTTAAGAGTGACAGTGAGAAAGAAAAGTCAGGACTGACTAGCTGAGGAAATGTGGCCAGAATGGAGCTGATAGGAGAAAAGGAAGTATAAAACAAACACATATAGTGGTCTCAACGAAGTTAAAGCACAAGTCTGAATAAGGATATGAGAGATCAAAGGATATGAAGTTGTGGTCAGAATGGGAAGATCTCAGAAAGAGAGGAGAGTCAGTTAGCTAACAAGGCTCAAGGTACAGCCAAGAAGAACACATAAAGGTAGAGAATAAGAGAAGGAACTGGAAGGCCAAAATGTTAGATGTATGGGCTGCTTAAGATGACTGCACAAAGTGATCTGGAAAGAAGGACTATCAGCCAAGTGTCAGAGTTCTTGATGAACAGTGGGCAACCATCTGGTACATGTCAGCCATGGATGCCAATAACAAAATAGAGGAAAGTGTGGTACAATATCATAGGCCTCATAAAGAACAGGTTTTCATGAGAGGACAAGAATAGTTTCCAGGCAATAGTGACAGGGCCAAGTTACTAGGCCCAAAGTTGGGTAGTGTGTGGCAAAATAAACATTCCCTACTGGAAGGGCAAAAGGAAGAATTACGGCCTCTGAAGGCCAAAAAAAAAAAAAAAGGTGGACAAATTGGGAAGAAAGTGGGGACACAAGGAAGGAGTTCTAAATGATGCAAAGAAAAGGCAGCATAGGCATTATTAGACGGGGGAGGGAAGGATGGAGTAAAACATGAAAGCTCACTTCATAGAGGGGCTTATATTTTGGGTCATATCTGAATAAGATAGGAATGTCTAAAGCAGAGATGAAAATAACATAGCTTTATGTTTAAACACAAATCTTGGTGAAGCTGTTTTGGTCTAGATCAGACATCCCTAGAGTCATAAACAAAAAATGAAAACAAAATGCTGGTCAAAATTATCTGGGAAGACATGTGTACTTCTGCAGAGTATGTCCCTGAAATGGTGAAGTGTTACTAATAAAGTTCTGATTCCCTTTACCTTATAATAGAAAGAAGTTGTGACATGGAAATCTATAGACACATGAAATTAACGAAATAAACTTATTACCTAAAAGTTGCCTGACAAATTAATTGCTTAGAATATGATATTAAACAACAAACAATCACAACAGAGTGGCTCTTTTAATAGGCAAATAAGTTTAAATGGTAATAGTCATTCTAAATTTATTCATTTCATCAAATGAAAGAAGTGAAGGAGAAGCAAAACTGACCTACCTAAAGTTGCTGTTCTGGATACAGCTGGCTGGTGCCTCTTCTTTTCACCTGTAGCCCTACTCTGTCTTCACTGGTATTTGCTTATGCTCAGTACTCAAGTGTTTAGAATGATCTCTCATTTTACCAGAACCTAAGTCTTCTGATACTGCCTTCCACTTCATCATGTTCCTTCTTTTTTATCAAAATTTAACTGAAGACAAATGTAAGCCAAATCACTAACAGTGTTAAGTATACCACCACCATTCACACAAATTTATATGCTACAGAAAAACTTTTCTTAGTAATTACTATTAAGCAATTGTATTTAGCATATTTAAACGTTGGTAAGAAAACTATTCAGTGATGAACCACAAGCTATTTTAAGACTTTACCCAGATGTTATTTATAGTGTGTCAGCTTATCTGCTCTGCATGTTTTTTTATCTGACACCTTCAAAGAATGCTAATAGAAAATAAACATGCTGGAATAGACACTTTCCTTTACACACTGACGCTGCACCTCAGAAGACCATGTGAACTCCTGTAACACACATTACTGACAACTAAAATAGGACTAAGCCATGCATTCTCAATGCGGGCAAGATCACTTCCAAGAGGGCAAACTGGTTCTTGGTGGGGAGGGGAAGAGAAAAATACTTAGATATTAAGTGGGATGTAGCCCTCAAAAGGGCCACAGTACATAGGCAAATACACAGCATATCTGTGGTGTTAAAATTTCATGGAGGGGGAATGGTGCTTAACAAAAAAGGGTGTTAATCCCTATTAAATAAAAGGTGCTGGGATAACTGGCTAGCCTTATCTGGATCCTTACTTTTTAACCGTATAAAAAAATTAACTCAAGATGGAGTAAAGATTTAAATGTAAGATCTCAAACTTTAAAAATCCTAGAAGAAAACCTAGAAAATACCCTTCTCGACATTGGCCTTGGCAAAGAATTTTTGGCTAAGTCCTGAAAAGCAACTGCAACAAAAACAAAAATTGACAAGTGGGACCTAATTAAACTAAACAGCTTCTGCACAGCAAAGGAAATTATAAACAGAGAAAACAGACAACCAACAGAATGGGAGAACATATTCACAAACTGTGCATCTGACAAAGGTCTAATATCCAGAATCTGTAAGAAACTTACACAAATCTACAAGCAAAAAACAACCCCATTAAAAAAATGGCCAAAGACATGCACTGACACTTCTCAAAAGATGACATCCAAGCAGCCAACAAACATGAAAAAATGCTCATCATCACTAATCATCAGATAGAGACAAATCAAAACCACAATGAGATACCATCTCACACCAATCAGGCTGGCTTTTATTAAAAAGTCAAAAAACAACAGATGCTGGTGAGGCCGTGGAGAAAAAGGAACACTTATACATTGTTAGTGGGAAGGTAGTTTAGCCACTGTGGAAAGCAGTTTGGAGATTTCTCAAAGAATTTAAAACAGCTACCATTTGATCCAGCAATTCATTACTGGGTATATATCCAAAGGAAAATAAATTGTTGTACAAAAGGATACATGTATTCATATGTTCATCACCATACTATTTATGATAACAAAGACATGGAATAAACCTAGGGGCCCATCAATGGTGGACTGAATAAAGAAAATGTGGTACAGATACACCATGGAGTAATATGCAGCCATAAAAAAGAATGAAATCATGTCCTTTGCAGCAACATGGAGGCGGCTGGAAGCCATAATCCTAAGTGAATTAACACAGCAACAGAAAACCAAATACCACATGTTTTCATTTATAAGTGGGAGCTAAACATTGAGCATACACTGACATAAACATGGGAAAAATAGACACTGTGGACTACTAGAGGGAAGAGGGAAAAAGCATGGGTGGAAAACTACCTATTGAGTACTATGCTCACTACCTGGGTGATGGAATCCATACCCCAGACCTAAGCATCATATAATATGCCCATGTAACAAACCTACATATGTACACCCTGTATCTAAAATAAAAGTTGAAATTAAAAAAAAAGAAATCAGGGTGTTAATTTTTAAAAAGGCTCCTTGGGGGAATATAAGTGAAAAAAAAGTATTGAGAAATACTGGGCTAAACACTAGTTTGTATCTCAATACATTAAAAATTGTCACCTATAAGGAAAATACCGAAATAATTCACTTGTGTTTCTAAGTGATCAACTCTTTTCCTTATCAATCATTTTAAAATTGAATTTCATGAACCTGTAAATAAATACCAGTTAATCTCTTCTCTTTCTCTACCCTTATTTCCATTTGACCATCCATATATTTTCACCTCTAGTTAGCATCAGAGGGTCTTACTATAGAGTATACTTATCAAACATGAAGATTTTTTTAGTTCATGAATTGGGTAATTATCTGTACAGTGCCTATTATGTGTCTTGAACTATGTTAGTTGTTCTTTCCTGAGCCTTATCCATCATTGTTATTTCTCACTGAAAACACGGAAGGTGATACAGATCATTCTGAGAAACCATTAACATCCTATGCTCCTACATGGAATAGAAAAAGAGGAGCCAAGTTTCAAAAGCTATGCATGTAGAATTAGGGATTCACCACCACCACCAAGCAGTGAAAAACATTCTGAGTTTGATGACAGGAGGGAAAGAGGGAAGAAGGGAAGGAGGGAAGGAAGGAAAGAGGGAGGGAGGGAGGGAGGGAAGGAGGGAGGGAGAGAAGTATGCTAAATTACGCGGCAAGAGCCAAGCCAAAAACATTCCCAATACAGCAACATGCCAATAACTGGCCACCATCAGAAACCAAAAGCACCACAGCCAATTGAAGAAATATTTTCTGAACATTGGTAAAGTTTTCTGAGTTTTTAAAAACCTCTGAATAGATTTTACTTTAAAGAAATCTGCTAACTGACCAACTTTTAAATATGTCTTCTGACAGCAAAGTATATGGTCATATAATGCTCTATTACTTTACACAACATTTAATTTTTTGGTCCTACAAAGAAATAGCATTCATCATTCCCTCTGTAAAACATACTGACCAGGAAGTCCTAGCTGGAGCAATTCAACAGGAGAAAGAAAAAGAGGGCATACAAATTGGAAAGGAAGAAGTCAAATTAAGCTTGTCTGCAGAGACATCATCTTACGTTTGGAAAAACCTAAAGACTCTATGAAAAAACTATCAGAACTGGTAAATTCAGTACAGTTGCAGGATAAAAAGTCAACATACAAAAATCAGTAGCATTTCTATATGCCACCAGTGACCAATCTGAAAAAAGGTTTTTTAAAGTAATCCCAATTACAGTAACTACAAATAAAACATCTAGGAACTTCACCAAAGAAGTGAAAGGTCTCTACAATAAAAATTATGAAACAGTGATGAAAGAAATTAATGAGGACATTAAAAAATGGAAACATACTCCATGTTCACAGATTGGAAGAATCAATATTGTTAAAATGTCCACACTACCCAAAGTAATCTGCAGATTCAATGCAATCCCTTTCAAAATACCAATGACATTCTTGACAGGAATAGAAAAAAAAAAATCCTTAAATTCATACGGAACCACAAAAGATCCAGAATAGCCAAAGCTAACCTAAGCAAAAAGAACACAACTAGAGGAATCACATTACCTGACTTTAAATTATACTACAGTGCTATAGTAACCAAATCAGCATGATACTGGTATAAAAACAAACACACAGACCAATGGAAGAGAATACAGAACCCAGAAACAAATCCTACAGTGAATTCATTTTCCAACAAAGCTGCCAAGAACATACATTTGAGAAAGGACAGTCTCTTAATATAAGGCCCTGAGAAAATTGGATATCCATATGCAGAAGAATAAAACCAGACCCCTATCTCTCACCATACACGAAAATTAAATCAAAATGGATTAAAGACTTAAATCTAGGACCTCAAACTATGAAACTGCTAAAAGAAAACATTGGGAGAACTCTCCAGGATATTGAACTAGGCAAAGATATTCTGAGAAACACAGGTAATTAAAGTGAAAACAGACAAATGGAATCACAACAAGTTATAAAAAGTTTCTGCACAGTAAGGGAAACAATCAACAAAGTGAAGAGACAACCCATAGAATGGGAGAAAATATTTGCAAACCACCCATCTGATGAGGGATTAACAACCAGAATGTATAAGGAGCTCGAACAACTATATAGGAAAAAAATCAAATAATCCAATTAAACATAGGCAAAAGACCTGAATAGACATTTCTCAAAAGAAGACATACAGATGGCAAACAGGTATATGAAAAGGTGCTCAATACCACTGATCATCAGAGAAACGCAAATCAAAACTACCATGCAATATCATCTCACCCCAGTTAAAATGGCTTTTATCCAAAATACAAGCAATAATAAATGCTGGTGAGGATGTAGAGAAAAGGCAACCATCATATAGTGTTGGTAGGAATGTTAGTATGACCACTACGGAGAACAGTTTGGAGGTTCCTCAAAAAAACTAAAAACAGAATTACTGTATGATACAGCAATCCCACTGCTAAGCATATACCCAAAAGAAAGGAAATCAGTGGGAACCAACCTAAACGTCCATCAACAGATGGATAAAGAAAATGTGGTACTTATACACAATGGAGTATTATTCAGTCATAAAAAAGAATGATATCCTGTCATTTGCAACAACATGGAGGTCATTATGGTGAAATAAGCCAGGCACAGAAAGACAAACTTTCCATCTTCTCACTTAATTGTGGGAGCTAAAAATTAAAACAACTGAACTAGTGGAGATAGAGTAGAATGATGGTTACCACAGGCTGAGAAGGGTAGTGGCAGGGGGAGTGAGGATGGTTAATGGGCACCAAAATATAGTTCAGTAGAATTAATAAGATCTAGTGTTTGATAGCACAACAGGGTGACTACAGTCAACAAGAATTTATTGTACATTTTAAAATAACTAAAAGTATAATTGGATTGTATGTAACACAAAGGGTAAATGCTTGAGGAGATAGATACCCCATTTACCTTGATGTGATTATTACACACTGTATGCCTGTATTAAAATATCTCACATACTTTGCAAATGCAAATACACACACACACACACACACACACACACACACACACACGACTACAATGGCCAGCAAAAGATTGGCAAATGAATGCATATTATTGGTCCCTTCTCACATTGCTGTTAAAGGAATACCTGAGACTGTGTAATTAAAGAAAAGAGTTTTAAATGCCTTACAGTTCTGTAGGCTGTACAGGAAGCATGATACTGGCATCTGCTCAGCTTCTGGGGAAGCCTCAGGAAAACTTATATTTGTGGAGAAAGGCGAAGAAGGAGGCACCTCATGGCGGGAATAGGAGGAAGAAAGAAATGGGGGAGGTGCTACACAGTTTTAGGTCTCATGAGAACTCCACCCCCATGATCTAATCACCTCCCACCAAGCCCTACCTCCAACACTGAGGATTACAATTCAACATGAGATTTGGGCAGGGACACAGACCCAAACCATATCAATATTTACATGTTTTAAGCTAAAAACAAAATGTTACAATATATAATTTTTAAATTCCTCACTTCAGTTGACTTTTCCATTAATATGCAAGCCTCAATTGAAACAACTGCGAGCATATGGTCCTGTTATCAGTAATTCCTAACCATTTCTAGTAAGATACCTTTTGATATAGTTTGGATCTGTGTCCCTGCCAAAATCTCATGTTGAAAGTAATCTCCAGTATTGGAGATGGAGCCTGGAGGGAGGTGACTGGATGATGGGGATGAGTTTCTCATGAATGGTTTAGCACCATCCCTTTGATGCTGTCCTTGCGTGAGAGAGCTCTCTTGAGATCTGGTTGTTTAAAAGCGTGTGGTACGCCCCCTTGCCTTTTTTTTGCTCCTGCTCTAGCCATGTGAAGTGCCTGCTCCTCATTCATCTTCTGCCATGACTGCAAGTTTCCTGAGGCCTCTCCACAAGCCAAGCAGATGCCAGCATTATGCTTCTTGCACAGCCTACAGAACCATGAGCCAATTAAACCTCTTTTCTTTATAAATCATCAAATCTCAGGTATTTCTTTATAGCAATACAAGAATGGCCTAAAACACCTTTTTTTTTTTTTTTTTTGAGACAGGGTCCCACTTTGTCACCCAGGCTGGAGTACAGTGACATGTTCATGGCTCACTGCAACCTCGACCTCCTGGGCTCAAGTGACTCTCACCTCAGCCTCCCAGTAGATGGGACCACAGGTGTCCACCACCACACCTGGCTAATTTTTGTTTCTTTAGTACAGATGAGGTTTCGCCATGTTGCCCAGGCTCATCTCAAACTCATGGGCTCAAACAGTCTGTCCATCTCAGCCTCCCAAAGAGCTGGATTAGGGGTGTCAGGCCTCCATACCTGGTCATACCTATTTAATGTTTTTTAAAAATTAAGTACACAGTAACTAACAAAATACGACTGAAAGATACTATGAATTTAGTATAGCACTACTGAAAAGAACATCTATACGCATTTGAGAACCAGAACTACACATGCATCAATTATTTACTGTTTATAGATAGTACTCAATATTTTTGTAGAATCGAGGACTAGATACAATAACTCCTCACTCAGATATCAAAATTTTGCCATTTTCAGGCATGAAAATGGCTGTTATACTGCTCTATGACACTATACTTGGTGAAATTAAAACTTCCTTAAAGGTAAGTAGAAGCATGCTTTCTTTAAGATGCATCATACGGCTGGGTGTGGTGGCTCACACCTGTAATTCCAGCAATTTGGGAGGTTGAGACAGGAGGACTGCTTAAGGCCAGGAGTTCAAGACCAGCCTGGGCAACATAGTGAGCCCCTGCCTCTACAAAAAATGAAAAATTAGCCAAGTATGCTGGTGCACGCCTGTAGTCCCAGCTACTTGGGAGGCTGAGGTAAGATGATCACTTGAGCCCAGGAGGTCCAGATTGCAGTGAGCTGTGACAATGTTACTGCACTCCAGCCTGGATGACAGAGGGAGACCTTGTCTGCGGGGGAAAAAAAAAAGCATCATGAAAACTTTTCTTTCAGTTAATGGAAGTGTTTGAGGGAGAAACACCTTTCTAAGACATGTTTCCTTTTCTATTGATTCATATTACATGGGTTTATAGATTCAGCTATAAAAGGCAAATGTAAGCATGCTTTCTTTCAGATGCATCATAAACTGTTTTCTTTCAGTGAATGTAAGTGTTTGATGGAAAATCACCTCTTTAGGCAAACCCTGAGGATATGTTAGAACATGTTTCTTTCTCCATTAGTACCTACTAGGATGAGTTGAGAAATCCAGCAATAAAAGGCAAATGTAAGCATGCTTTCCTTAAAAAGAAATCAAAACTATTTTAATTCACATTTTAAAGAATATTAAACCCTTTTAATCTGCGTGTAAATATCCTTTCTTCTATTCTGATGTCTTCACTTTAAGTATCTGATATTGGCTTCTGTTCCAATGGTTTATCTTTACAGTACATAACTCTAAAGCACATAACAGGTGATACTTTCTTCACCTTTTCTTTTTCCTCTGTATTTCAGCAGAATTTCATCCTTGACCTTCATGACACTTACTAAATACCCCACTTATCAACTCTACTTTTTATTAACAGCCCTATAAAACCTAATTTTGTCACATAAATTTTCATTTCTGTGCAATCTTTATGTTCTCCATCTCCCTTTTCATTGTAATCTTACATCTTCTTTGCCAAGTATCTTCTTCTCATGCTCTGCTGTTTCAGAAAACATTCTTTCTTGCATACTATTGAGGATGCCAAATTATCTGATTACAAATTTTGATTCCAACTAGTAAATTTCAGAAACCTAATCTTTTTCTAAGTCTGCAGATTAATATTCCCTTTCCTCTATTCTATAGTGTTACTGCTTTTTCTTTTTTTTTTTTCTTTTGAGACACGGTCTCACTCTGTCACTCAGGCTGGAATAGTGTAACCTTGAACTCCTGGGCACAAGTGATCCTTCTGCCTCAGCCTCCAAGTAGTGAGGACTACAGAAAGGGTCTTGCTATGTGGCCCAGGCTGGTCTCAAACTCCTGGTCTCAATCAATCCTCCTGCCTTGGCTTCCCAAAGTGCTGAGATTACAGGCATCAGCCACTGCAGCTGGCCTGTAGTTTTTAAAGCCCTGCCCCTACTTATCTTTAACAAGCAGAGACTTCTCCAATCCAAATGTTTAAATTTCCCCGGTCCCAATCTACAATTCAGTTGAATGCTGGTTAAATCTCCTTCTAAGTTATTTAGCCAGGAAGCAGTCAAGCCCAAATGTCATAGTCTAGAAGGTTTCTGTACTGGTCAGGGTTCTCTAGAGAGGTGGAAACAACAGAATATATATACAGATATATGAGAGGGGATTTATTAGGAAAATTGGCTCATGAGATTACAGAGGCTGAGAAGTCCCATGACAGGCCATCTGCAAGGTGGAGACCCGAGATGCAAGCAGCATGGCTCAGTCCAAATCCAAATACCTCAGAACCAAGGAAACCAATGGTGTAATTCTCAGTCTGAGGCCAAAGGCCTAAGAACCTGGTGAGCCACTGGTATAGGTCTTTGAGTTCAAAGGCCAGACAGCCTGGAGTTCTAATGTCCAAAGGCAGGACAATGTTCCAGCTCCAGAAGAAAGACAGAGGAAATCCCATTTCCTCTGCCTTTTTTTTGTTCTGTCTAGGCCCCCAGCCAACTGGATGGTGCCTATCTATGTTGAGGGCTGATCTGCACTCCGTCCACAGACTCCCACACCAAATCTCCTCGGGAAACACTCTTCACAGACACACTCAGAAACAATGCTCTTCCAATTTCCAGGTATTCCATAATCCAGTCAGGCTGAGACCTAACATTAACCACTACGGCTTATATCACTGCAACTCTACTGCACTCCACTTGAAAGTATCTCCTACTATCAGGCTTAAAAGAAATTTTCTTGGCCAGGCGTGGTGGCTCACGCCTGTAATCCCAGCACTTTGGGAGGCCGAGGTGGGCAGATCACGAGGTCAAGAGATCAAGACCATCCTGGCCAACATGGTGAAACCCTGTCTCTACTAAAAATACAAAAATTAGCTGGGCATGGTGTGCACCTGTAGTCCCAGCTACTCGGGAGGCTGAGGCGGGAGAATCGCTTGAACCTGGGAGGCGGAGGCTGCAGTAAGCCAAGATTGCACCACTGCACTCTAGCCTGGTGACAGAGTGAGATTCTGTCTCAAAAAAAAAAAAAAAAAAAAAAAAAAAAAGAAAAGAAATGTTCTTAAGCAGGTAGGACCATCAGTGACAAGACATCATTTTGTACCAGTTTCTATATAATTCAATTTGATCTTGTAAGCTGTGGAAATTCCTTCCAGATTGACAACTGGTTAATCACAAATTAACCTAAATACCATAGGAAGAAGCTGTAAGAGATAATGAATGTAATAAAACTTCAACCACTTTGCTAAACAAGTGAGTAAATGCCTATTTCAAGGAGTACCATTTTAATGCTGGAAGCCTGTATATATAGTAATCATTTTTCTATCTAAGGAATTATAATTCTCTAATCTGACAGGAAAATAATTCCATGACTGATTTGCTAATCTCAGTTCCAAAGACTTTAGTTATCAATTTAGGACTTATTTGTATCACAAAATCTTGATTAATATTTATATAGGCTGTTTATATCCAATTATTTTTCTCTAACTACATCTTAATATACTAAATGTTGTAAGAACACTAATCTTTAGACTTATTTTGTCACAATAAATTCAACTATACTCAGGGTATTAATGTAATTCTAGTGACTGTAATTTACATTTCAATGACAGGGATAGTCAGCTGCTTGGCCATAGTATTACTATCATCATTTAATCAAATTAGATGTGAAAAAAATACCATAACAAAAATATAAACTATTACCAGCATTAAAGTTCCAAAATTCATTTATATTTATTGTACAATTTAACATGCATAAAATTATATGCACAAAAAATTCATTAACATGAATTCTTGGTAAAAATGGCACATTGGCAAATAGTAGATTTCTACACCATAAGAGCTATCATGTATCATAATATGCTATCATATTTACTTAGTATTTTTCAGCAATACGTATACCTAATTGAAATGTACCTGGCCTATGTGGTTTAACTTTCTGACATTAACTCTATATACCTGTGAACTTAAAAACTACAGCAAAACACTGGAAGAATGTTAAATGAGCTAAAACAATAGAGACCCAGTATCCAAGTTGTTTAACTGGGTCATACACAGTTTTTTTTTTTTTTTAAAAAGGGGGGAACTTGTATAATGTGACTTATTTAAAATAAAAAAACAGGCCAGCATGGTGGCTCATGCCTGTAATCCCAGCACTTTGGGAGGCTGATGCGGTTGGACCACCTGAGGTCAGGAGTTCAAGACCAGCCTGGCCACCATGGTGAAGCCCCATCTCTACTACAGATACAAAAATTAGCCAGGGGTAATGTAATCCCAGCTACTCGGGAGCCTGAGGCAGGAGAATTGCTTGAACCCGGGAGGCTGAGGTTGCAGTGAGCCAAAATTGTGCCACTGCACTCCAGCGTGGGCGAGAGAGCAAGACTTCGTCTCAAAAACTAATAATAAAATAAAATAAAATAAAAACAATGTACCTAAATTAGTATAAGGCCATTACTAATTCAAATTATTTAACTCAAATGACTAAGTGGGGACACACATTTAAGGTGTTCACAAAGCATCAAAAATAATTCTAAATAAATTCAGGTCCATGTCAGTAAAATTAGAGAATACCGTTAACTATAAAAATAACTGGATTATGATCAATACACTAATACAATGTCAAGCTTTTAATTTACATTTTACTTATAAATATATATATGGGATACAAACAGAAAAGCACACTGCTTTCCAAAAATCTGCAGTGAAGGTTCCCATGTAAACATACCAAGAAAGAAGAGCAACAAATGGCAGAAAGAGAATCATAAAATAAACATAAACCAAGGACTAACATACTGTACAGTATTTATGAATTACATATTTTAAAACAATAATTAATACTTGCTTAAAACATTTTCAAGAAGTCATTCTAATAATTAAGGTTATTATCATAATTTAACTTTCAATAAAATAAGTATCTAAAATCTTGGCATTTAAAATTTTCAGATATTTTAAAGCAAATATATCACCAAATTAATAACTAGATTTGGATTATTTTGATGTTAACACACTTGAATATCACATTAAGTTAAGCTCTACATTAGTGGCATCCTATTTCTCTTAAGCAGTTCCACTTTTCAAAATCCCTAAAAACTCCAGTCATGCACAACTGTCAACCCAGGTTAATAACAGCAATGAACCATATTTATCTGAAACCACAAGACTGTCAGATGACATACCAAGAAGTCTGAATTTAACTCAAATAAAAGGCTCTCCATGCTGCAATGCAAAAAGGCTTAATCCCAGCAATGGAACCATGAGGGACCGGGAGCCTTTAAGAAATCTGTTGCCCATGACAAAATCTGTTTTTGCAAAAGGCTCCATCTATCCAGTCCTACCATTTCACAAGTAACATCCTGCTTTTTTGTTTCACTGAAGAGTCTGGGATTTTTACAGAAGCAATTACGACTGCTTTTCAATTCCTTTATCTCTTCTACTATAAGTACATGACTACGAGAAAATCAATCTAAGTATTCTGTTCAACTAAGTGCTGTCCTGGCAGCTAGTGCAGACCAGAAATGCCAATGTATGTATTTTTTAAGGATGCTTTAACTAAACAAGGTCTGGTCCAGAGTAAGAGTGCTCAGGCAACCAATGGCTTAGAACCCAGGTCTTCAACAATCCGTATCTATAACAAATTGAGGTTCATGCAGTAAACAAGAAAACACAATAGTTCCTTTCTCAACTTCTGTATGTCCCAACTCTGCTATTTCAGACAAGTCCACATACACATTCCTGGAAGCCATAGCAAGCTTGTATTCTACCCAGCTGACAAGCAAGTTGAAAAGCAGGCCCTAATGATCACAGGGCCCAGACTGGTCAGTATGTAAACTGGCTCACTAATCTGAACTCTTGTGTTGAGTTCAAGTAGACAAGTCTAGCAGAAAATACTGCCTTTTAATTTATAAACCTCAATAAGACTACCATATTGTAATACATTAAGTAGCTGGTTCATGAAATAGAGACATTTTAGAATGCTTTACAAGCACTGTCTTTCAGTGGGTTTGTATTTTAATATGTATCAGCATGTTCTTTTAGAAAAACCAAGGGGTGCATCTGTGTATGTATCCCGATAGGACTAATTCACTAACAGAAATGCGTTAATACAATGGGCTATTAATCTATAAGGTAACAGACAATATGCTGAAACCAAGAATCATTCCTCACACCCAACATGCCAAAAACAGAAGAATGGGCTCTGAATCAGCCAAACTTAGATTTAAATTCCAACTGTGCCACATACTGATTCTCTGTGATTGTAGAGAAGTGCCTTAACTTCTCTAGTCCTCAATTACTTGTCTATAAAGTAAGACTACCTCTAAGATTGGTATAGGGATAATGTTTCTCTCTTCAACCCTTAGAATGTGCATCACACACATCAAGATCTCCAAAGTGATTATCACGTGAAGAAAAGCAAAATTCAAAACTGTATGTATACCATCAGTGTAGAGGCAAACAAACATATCAGTTTGTTTGTATGTGCACCAAACATTTTCAGGAAAGATGAATTAGAAACAATACAAAGATATAAATTCTTTTTTTTATTATTATACTTTAAGTTTTAGGGTACATGTGCACATTGTGCAGGTTAGTTACATACGTATACATGTGCCATGCTAGTGCGCTGCACCCACTAACTCGTCATCTAGCATTAGGTATATCTCCCAACGCTATCCCTCCCCACTCCCCACAACAGTCCCCAGAGTGTGATGTTCCCCTTCCTGTGACAAAGACATAAATTCTAACTAGTAAACTCAGAATTAACTATTAAAAGATGTAACCCCAAGGAAAAGAAAATTGGAGAAAGGGAAACATCTATGCTTTCTACATTATGATTGTCTGTACCTCTAGTCTGATACTAAAACTTCACATTCATTTCAAGAAGCACTTCTTTGAATCCCCAGGATTGTATATCCTTTCCTCCAAGGAATACAAAATAGCTTAATAACCATCATACTCTTAAGGCAGAACATGATTTGTTTTTCCACTGAAGGGTTTCAGGATAGGAAAGAACTGGCCAGAGAAAAGCTTGATGCCCACTAGCTTGAAAACCAGCAAAGTGCCACAAAACTAAGAAACAATGGATGAAAAAGGAACATGTTCCAAAACAGGAAAACCAGTATTTGAATTAATTAGAAGTTTACTTCTCTAAAGTCAACCTACTAAGTCTACTCATCCAGACACTCAGATCAAAAATCTGTAAGTCCTCTCAATTCACTTATAACAGCACCCAATCATACTAGTTCTCCTTTTACCTTAAAGAAAAAAGCGTTCCTCTCCCTCTCCACGTCTACAGAGTTGATCCATCCCTTCTAGTCTCCTGTTAAATCTTCCCTATTCCTTATACCTCTGATTTGTTTCTTTCACCTATTTATCTTTAAAAAGTTTTACGTTACTGTCACATTTACCTTCCCTTCTAAACCAAACATGAAAAACAGTCCTAAGCACAGCCTCTTATGTTCCATTCCACCTACGCACATTTGACACTATGACCTCCTTGCACTCTACTCCCTAGTACCATTATCTCATACCATGAGACGGGAGTCCAAGAAATTACCATTTCCTGGCTATCCTTCTGAATTCAGATATATTAGGGTTTGTAGCCCAGGTAGGTGTGTTTCTTAAAACCTTCACACATACAAAGGAATACTACTTTGCAACAAAAATACACTACTGATACATGGAGGAATAACATGCATAGAGGAATGTCAAAGGCATTTATACTAAGTGAAAGAACCTGATACAAAAGGCTACACAATGTATGATATCATTTATAAGACATTCTGGAAAAGGCCAAACTGTAGGGATAAAAATCACATCAGTTCTTGCCAGGGGCTCGATGTGGGGGAGAAGAGAATCACTAAAAGGTACAGGGAACTTTCTGGGGTAATATTCTATATCTCAACTGTAGTGTTGGTTATATGACTATACATTGTCAGACTCATCAAACTGCAAACCTAAAAAAGAATAAATTTTACTGCATGTAAACTGTATCTGAATAAAACAAATTCAAACCAAAAAAAAAAAAAAAAATTACTGTAATGATCTAAAAGTGATTGATCTAAAGGGTAAAATTTCAAAATCTCTCACCCCAATTGCCTACTAAGAAAACTGTTACCTGAATCTCAGCCTACCTCAAACTTACTAAGTACAACTAAATTTCTCTATCTTCTCCACCATGCCTACTCTTCCCTCCTGCATTCCTTACCTTAATAGCTCTATGTTTTGGCACTACCATGGCCCATGCACCAGTCTCCCAATTGGGTAGATTGAGGCCACAACTTCTTCTCCTTCACATCCCATATTCAGTCAAGCATAGAATCCTCTTCTCCCAGATATGGATCGCTGTTTCCCATCTCTCTGCTACCATCATGACCCTGCCCTCTCTAACCTGTAATAACTGCAACAGTGCTTCACTGGCCTCTGCTTCTAATTTCTTCCCACTCTGTCCCATTTTTCTGTCATGACATCAACTGAGATAACTTCCTAAAACACAAAGCTGATTGTACCATATCATTGTAAGTTACCAGTTGCCTAGTATACACAAAACTCTCCTTATAATCTGAGCCCCAGCATTATCTCAACCTCTCATCTCTTGCCATTCCCTTAAATGTGTATCTTGACTCTCAATAATCATCAAACCTGTCATACCCTTCCTGATGCTATTCCTATGAGCATGCCTCAATTCTGAGTACCTCTTCCTTACTTCATCCAACCTGAAAATTCCAATGTATACTAAATTTAGAATACAGCTCAATGCTACCTCTTCTAACAGAAGTAATCTCCCATATATACCCCCAAATTATTTATCTAGCTCTATTAATAACTAACTGTTTAATGTTTACTGGACACTGTGAGATTATAAAAATGTAAAGATAAATGAGACAAAACCCCTGCTCAGGTTTCAATTATTATATAACTACCCACTGAAGTGTCAGTCTCACAGCCTAAACTAAAGCTCCTAGATCAGGGATTCTTAACATGCAATCTGCTGACCCACACAGATCTGTGGTTTGGTGTGCCTGTCAACTTGGATGGGGAATGAATTGTAGTTAGAGATTTCCACCAATCTCTAACTACCATTTAGCGTTTCCTTCTATTAAAATGCAGGCAACAAACTTCAGAGGTATAAGGTTCCTATAACTTTGATCACCAATAGGAATCATAGATAGTTTCATCATTGTACAGCTGATGTAGATACCTAGAAAAATGTGTTTATGCACATCATTATTCAAAATTACAATACTTATTAGATCCACTGCTAGGTCTTGTTATTTCATGAGTTAATAATATAGTATGTGCTACTATATTAGAAATTTAATATTCTGACAACTATCTCAACATAAGTTTACTTTATAATCCTCTATGAATTTCATTTTAAGTGTTTCTAAACATTTTTATAAGAAGAGGTTTGTGTATAGGTTTTACCAGGTTGCTAGAGGGGTATGTGGCAGGAAAAATGATTAAGAATCATTAGTCATTCTTAATCTCATTCTCTACAGGATCTCATTCTTCTATGAAGGCCCAGTACAGTGGCTGGCATTAAAAAGAGGGAGCAGGGGGAGGATGTGCCCAACATGTGCTTACCAAACAAATGAAACAATTATGTTTGAAGTCAATTGTTTAATTCCTTTGCATTTTGAGACAGAGTCTCATTCTGTTAACAAGCTGGAGTGCAGTGACGTGATCATAGCTCACAGCAACTTTGAACTCCTGGGCTCAAGTGATTCTCCGGCCTTAGCCTCTGAAGTAGCTGGGACTACATATGAGTGCCACCATGTCCAACTAATTGTTTTATATTTTGTAGAGACAAAGTTCTCACTTTGTTGCCTAGGCTGGTCTTGAACTCTTGGCCTCAATCCATCCTCCCATCTTGGCCTCCCAAATTGCTAAGATTACATGCATGAGCCACTGCGTCTGGCCTCCTTTGCATTTTTAAAACAAAGCCAAAATAGTCTTTATTTTCCAAATAGTGTAAAGGCAGTATATCCGATATAACATCTTATGTTACCTCTAAAAAAGTAACACTGAACAAGTCTTAGATTTTTAAGAGCTCTTTCAGATCAACTTTTGAAAGTCACACACCTATCTTTCATTTCACACCCTCCCATACGTTCTGTAAGATTTTGAAAAATTCATTCACAAAGGTTCTCTGTTATTATAAAAGAGTAATCAGGCTAACTAATAAAGGTAACCTCTAGTTAAAATGAAGTCATCCCAATGTTTGGTCTCCATGTTCAAGGAGGAAAGCAAGGTTAGACAGCTGCTGAAGACCAATAAAAGAATAAACACACAACTAAAATTATCCACTAGTATGATTTTTAAATACTTGCAAATTCTGAGAGCACCAGAATATTTAGTATATATCTGAAATATTTTAACAAACACAGTCATGGAATTTGAAATTTCTCCCAACAGAAGCTCTTTTCTTGAGAGGAAGGAGTCTGCAAAGCTTCTAAAGTCAGACATATGATACCCATAAATGTTTCCTCATGCTCTCTAACTGCTATGGTATCTTCTATTAATTTATAACTTATTAGTAATGTTACAAAGCTTTTACAAATATTATCTAAACAAATCAGTACATTTAGGTGTGCTACATATTGCTTCGGTATTAAGGTATATAAAAATGGATTTGATCCAAGCAAGTTGCCAGTTTCTCCGAAGTTGCTAGTTTCACGGAAGCATATGCAAAAATACTTATGATCAAAGAAGGATTCTAATGCATAAACTACAGTGGAACATTACTGTTTGTTTAGTATCTAGTTTCCAGTTCCAAACTTCTATAAATAAGATATGAGACAGCAAACAAACCTACGTAATACCAACTGGTACTAGAAGACAACAGAGCTTTTTTTGCCCCCTGGCAAACAGTTATTTATTGTGTATGCTATGTTTTCAGAAAGTTGAATAATCTTTCCTCTGAGCTTTTTAAATTAACATGTAAACATTTATCAGTATATATTTACTGAAAAAAAGTAAAATCCCAAAGCATCTTTTATACACAAGTGTAACAGTAAGGATAATAAAACAGTTCATTTAAAAATAAAATATGTATCATCTAATAATTCCATATTGAATTTATCAATATAAATATAAATATATATATACATATTATATATACTTTTTTTTTTTTTTTTTGAGAAGGAGTTTCGCTCTTTCGTCCAGGCTGGAGTGAAGTGGCGCACTCTCGGCTCAATGCAACCTCTGCCCCCCGGGTTCAAGCAATTCTCCTGCTTCAGCCTCCTGAGTACCTTGGATTGTAGGCGTCCGCCACCACGTCCGGCTAATTTTTGTATTTTTAGTAGAGACGGGGTTTCACCATGTTAGCCAGGCTGGTCTCAAACTCCTCACCTCAGGTGATCCGCCCGCCTCAGCCTCCCAAAGTGCTGGGATTAGAGGCAGGAGCCACCTTGCCCAGCCCTGTAGAGTTGTTTTGAGGATTAAATGAATTAATATATCTAAAGTCCTTAAAATTCTGCCTGACACATAAGCTACAAATAAATATTTTGCTATAAGTTACTTTCTCTTACCTTTTAAATCTGTGTTTATAGATATGCCACATTTTTAATCTACTATAGCACTTCACACATTCCTTCTGGTACTTAAATGACTTCAGCACAATGCAAAATAATGTATGCTATGTTCATATCTTAACTCATGTATTAGGCTGTGAGTTCCTTGGCAGCATCTTTGTATCCAGAAAGTTTGACAAAATGCTTTTAAAATGGTAAATTTGTAGAACTGCACTGCTTACTGCAACCATAGCAAAACTGACGTCACTGGTGTACTTCTGCATATTTTATATGGTAAGGTGTAGTTTTATCTATATCTTCTACATCCACAATTACATTGGGGTTAAACATATAATTCTGACACATGTGCAATGTGTATTACACAACATATTTAGGAATGCAATGTGTGTAACTTTGGAACTGTCATATAACATACATTCCAAACACAGAAATGCTGAAGAGAAACTATCAGCTAAAGTATTCAGCATCTGTCCACCGAAAGACATATATAAAAATATTCATAGCAGCACTATTCTTAATAGTCAAAAATTGGAAATAACCCTTTGACTGAAAAACAATACTCCATCAATAGACTGGGTAAATTGTATCTTCACATAACAAAATACTAAACAGCAGCAACTGCTACATGTGGCAATATGAATAAATCTGAAATACCTTGAAAACAAGCCAAACACAGTAGTGTGTGATTACAATATGATTCCACTGGGCTTGCTTCCACATCACATATACTAAAATTGGAACATAATTCCATTTACACAGAGTTAAACAGACAAAACTAATTTATACTGTTAGAAGTGAGGATAGTGGTTACCCCAGGCAAAGATGAGGGAGAGTAACTAGAAAGGCAAATGAAGTAGGTTCCAGGACACTGGTAACGGTTTGCTTGTGCATCTGGGTGCTTATTATATATTATATAAAGTGTGTTCACTTTCAGAAACTGTACTGAGGTGTATGTTTACGATCCGTACACTTTTCTGAATACATGTTATACTTCAATAAATTGTACTTTAGGCTGGGTGCATGGCTCATGTCTATAATCCCAGCACTCTGGGAGGATGAGGTGGGAGGATCGCTTGAGCTGAGGAGTTCAAGACCAGTCGAAGCAACATAGCGAGACTCTGTATCTACTAAAAAAATTGTCTAAGATATATTAGCAGGGCACGGTGGTGCACTATTATTATTCTGAAGCTACTATACATATATATATATATGTTATAAAATAAACTATAGTAAGACTGTTAGAAAACAGAATTTTCAACATAAAAGAAATATTTTAAAAATTAAAACAAAATTTAATTTGAATTGGAACTTTCAGTTAACTTTTTTTTTTGAACAAGAGAAATTTTGTATCTCTGTTTTGTACTCTGAAAACACCTAGAAATAATGATGACCAGTGACAATGAAGATCTCTAGAATACAGTGTGATACTAAATGCTGTTCCTACCAAAAGGAACTGGAATCGCTGGGAAAAATGGTCCTGTCGTAAAAACATGCTTGGAATAACACACGGTGCCCGAAAAAAACTACTAAGGTAATGTGAGAAGAAAATAGGTGCCCATCTAAAAGGGTCCCAACCAGCCAAAGATGATTCACAAAAACATATCATGACTGCAACAGACTGAATCAAATACTAAAAAAACAAAAGGAAATATCAACCAAAAAAAGTTCACTGGTCACCTTTGAAAGCTGCTAGAACACTGAATCATTATTTTGAAAACTGGTAAATAAAACATATATACTATCTTTACTGAAAAAACTTATTTCAGAAGAAATGCAAACTATCAAATCATTATTTTGCAACCACTAATGATATCATATTGTGGTTCTCAAAGTGTGGTCCCTACACTAACAACATTAGCACTAATTAAAAACTTGTTAGAAATACAAATTCCTGGGGGTGGGGTCCAACATTCTAAGTTTTTGCTAGTCCTCCAGGTGATTCTGATGAATGCTAAAGTTTGAGCATCACTGAAATAATAATTACTGTAATCATCACCAATGGATGCTAAAACCATGAGGTGAATGGTTGATAGGCAACCCTATAATGGCAGGATCAGGTTGACACCCCATAAACCTACTGATCCATCTTAGCACCACTAGAAATGTGACAACCTGAGGTTCTGTGCTTTCTGGTACTTTCTGTTTTTTTGGCTCACGCTTGTAATCCCAACACTTTGGGGGGCCCAGGCTGCAGGACTGCTTGAGCCTGGGAGTTCAAGATTAGCCTGGGCAACAAAGCAAGACCCCCCTCTCAAAAACAAAAACAAAAAAAACAACATACCACCACCTATGACATTGTCTTGGGAAACAAACAAACAAAACCTGACTCTGAATCTAATCAAGCCTCTAGATCTAACTCTCAATTTAAAGAAAGTAATGTAGACAGAGGAACAAGGTAAAGTATACTGTGAGGAAGAAAGAAGACATTTATGCAGCCAAAAAACACATGAAAAAATGCTCATCATCACTGGCCATCAGAGAAAGGCAAATCAAAACCACTATGAGATATCATCTCACACCAGTTAGAATGGCGATCATTAAAAAGTCAGGAAACAACAGGTGCTGGAGAGGATGTGGAGAAATAGGAACACTTTTACACTGTTGGTGGGACTGTAAACTAGTTCAACCATTGTGGAAGTCAGTGTGGCGATTCCTCAGGGATCTAGAACTAGAAATACCATTTGACCCAGCCATCCCATTACTGGGTATATACCCAAATGACTATAAATCATGCTGCTATAAAGACACATGCACACGTATGTTTATTGCGGCATTATTCACAATAGCAAAGACTTGGAACCAACCCAAATGTCCAACAATGATAGACTGGATTAAGAAAATGTGGCACATATACACCATGGAATACTATGCAGCCATAAAAAAGGATGAGTTCATGTCGTTTGTAGGGACATGGATGAAATTGGAAACCATCATTCTCAGTAAACTATCGCAAGAACAAAAAACCAAACACCGCATATTCTCACTCATAGGTGGGAATTGAACAATGAGATCACATGGACACAGGAAGGGGAATATCACACTCTGGGGACTGTGGTGGGGAGGGGGGAGGGGGGAGGGATAGCATTGGGAGATATACCTAATGCTAGATGACGAGTTAGTGGGTGCAGCGCACCAGCATGGCACATGTATACATATGTAACTAACCTGCACAATGTGCACATGTACCCTAAAACTTAAAGTATAATTAAAAAAAAAAAAAAAGAAAAAGAAATCAGACCCAAATCCAAAATATGGAACATTCTATAGACAAATAAGTATGTGAACTCTGGGATCCTATTTCAAACATCCAACTCTAAAAAGTCATTTCTGAGACAATCAAGGAAAACTGAACATGGACTGAGTATTAAATATCAAAGAATCACTGCTCATTTTTAGATCTATTAGTAATTGTTTCAAGATTCATATTCAAGGATGTATACATGAAATGATAAGATGTGGCCGGGCATGGTGGCTTACGCCTGTAATCCCAGCACTTTGGGAGACCAAGGTGGGTGGATCACAAGGTCAGGAGATCGAGACCATCCTGGCCAACATGGTGAAACCCCACTTCTAGTTAAAAAAAAAAAAAATACAAAAATTAGCCAGGCATGGCGGCGTGCGCCTGTAGTCCCAGCTACTCAGGAGGCTGAGGCAGGAGAATCGCTTGAACCTGGGAGGCAGAGCTTGCAGTGAGCCGATATCGCACCACTGCACTCCAGCCTGGGCAACAGAGTGAGATTCTGTTTCAAAAAAAAAAAAAAAAGAAAAGAAAAAGAAATGATAGGATGTCTACAATTTGTTTTAAAATACAGTACCAACCAAAAAAAAACAGTAATAGTATTAATATTTAAAATAAGGTGGGGGAAAAATGAAACAAAAAACCAGAAATGTTGATAAATGTGAAATCTGGGTAATGGCAGATGTTAGAGCATGCTCTTTACATTTTTGTTAGAAATTTTTTTTAATAAAAAGCTTTAGGGATGGGTGCAGGGCTCATGTCTATAATCCCAGTACTTTGGGAGGCCAAGGTGAGTGGATCCCTTGAGCCCAGCAGTTTTGAGACCAGCCTGGGCAACATGGTGAAACCCTGTCTCTAGCAAAAAAATAATAATAATAATAATAAAAGCTTTAAAATTTTTCAGGAAATCCATGTAAGCAAGGGACACTGACACATTCAAAGCCCACTAAAATGACAGTAAATGAAATATATGTATGTATCTTTAAGACAAAGAGAATATGACAGGAAAATATCAAATGTAGAGACTTCAATAAATATTTGAAAGATGAAAACTAGCAAATCTAGCAAATGAATTTTCAAAAACACAAGTAACTACATCCTAAATGTCTACATATGGGAGTGTCAATGAGCAACCACAGGATTCATCTCAGAACCCAGAGAAGCAAAGTCCCTGGAAGCATAAAGTACCTTCAAGAATGGAGGAAAAAGGCACAGAACAGAAGTCTATGTAGGCATCTTATTTTATTGAACTCCGCTTTATTGCACTTTGCAGATACCACTTTTTTTATTTTTATTTTATTTTTATTTTTATTTTTTTTACAAATTGAAGGTTTTTGGCAACTCTGTGTTGGTTCCATTTTCCAACAGAACATGCCACTTTTTGTCTCTGTGTCACATTTTGGTAATTCTAAAAATATTTCAAACTTTTTCATTATTATTTGACCTATTATGGTGATCTGTGATCAGTGATCTTTGATGTTACTATTGTAATTGTTTTGGGGGCACCAGGAACTGTGCCCATATAAGACAGCAAACTTAATTGGTAAGTGTTGTGTGTGTTCTGACTGCTCCATCAACCATTCCTCATCTCTCCCCCTTTCCTGGAGCCTCCCTATTCCCTGAGACATACCATATGGAAATTAGGCCAATTAATAACCCCACAATGGCCTCTAAGTGTTCCAGTGAAAGAAAGAGTTGCACATCTCTCACTGTAAATCAAAAGCTAGAAATGATCAAGCGTAGTGAGGAAGGCTGAGACAGGCCAAAAGACAGGCCTCTTGCACCAGTTAGCCATGTTGTGAATGCAAAGGAAAATTTCTTAGAGGAAATCAGAAGTGCTACCCCAGTGAATAAAAAAATGGTAAGAAAGTGAAACAGCCTTATTGCTGATAGGGACAAAATATGAATGGTCTGGATGGAAGATCAAACCAGTCACAATAGTCCCTTAAGCCAAAGCCTAATCCAGGGCAAGGCCCTAACTCTCTCAACTCTATGAAGTCTGAGAGAGGTGAGAAGTTTGAAAGTAGTATAGGTTAGTTCATGAGGTTTAAGGAAAGAAGCCATCTCCATTAACATAAAATTACAAGGTAAAAAGGCAAATTACCCAGAAGATCTAGCGAAGATAACTGATGACACTGGCTACACTAAATAACAGATTATCAGTGTAGACAAAACAGCCTATTTATTATCAGAAGAAGATGCCATCTAGGACTTCCATAGCCAGACAGGAGAAATCAATGCCTGGCTTCCAAGCTTTAAAGGACAGGCTGACTCTCCTGTTAGGGGCTAATGCAGCTAGTGACTTTAAGTTGAAGCCAAAGCTCATTTGCCATTCCGAAAATCCTACAGCCCTTAAGAATGATGCTAAATTTACTTTGCCTATTCTCTATAGATGAACAACAAAGTCTGGATGACAGCACATCTGCTGACAGCATGGTTTAACTGAGTATTTTAAGCCCACTGTTGAGACCTACCGCTCAGAAAAAAACATTCCTTTCAAAATATTACTACTCATTAACAATGCATCTTGTCACCAAAGAGCTCCAATGGTGATGTACAAGGAGATTAATGTTATCATGCCTGCTAACACAACATCCATTCTGCAGCCTACGGATCAAGGAGTAATTCTGACTTTCAAGTCTTACTAATTAAGAAATACATTTTAGGAAAAAGAAAAAAAAAAGAAATACATTTTAGGGCCAGGTGTGGTGGCTCATGACTGTAAATCCCAACACTTTGGAAGGCCAAGGTGGGAAGACTGCTTGAGGCCAGGAGTTCAAGCCCAGCCTCCACAACATAGCAAGACCTTATGTAAAACCAAAAAAATTAGCCAGGCATCGTGGCAAACACCTATAGCACTAGACACTTGGAAAGCTGAGGTGGGAGGATCACTTAAGCCCAGGAGTTCAAGGCTGCAATAAGCTAGGATCACACCACTGCATTCCAGCCTAGGCGACATGGAGACTCTGTCTCTTAAAAAAAGAAAAATAAAAAGAAGGAAAAGAAATACATTCTGTAAGGCTATAGCTGCCATAAATAAGTGATTCTTCTGATAAATCTGGGAAAATAAAATTGAAAACCTTCTGGAGGCCAGGCACTGTGGCTCACACCTGTAATCCCAGCACCTTGGGAGGCTGAGACGGGGGGATCTCTTGAGCCCAGGAGTTCGAGACCAACCTTGGCAACGCAGTGAAACCTCGACTCTACCAAAAAACAAAAAAACAAAAACCAAACACGCACAAAAATTGGCCGGGTGTGGCAGTACCTGTAGTCTCAGCTACTCAGGAGGCTGACGTGGGAGGCTTGAGCCCGCGAGGCAGAGGTTACAGTGAGCCAAGATTACGCCACTGCACTTCAACTTGAACAACAGGGCTAGACTCTGTCTCAATGAAGAAATAAAAAAGAAAGAAAAAGAGAAAGGAAGGAAGGGAGGGAGGGAGGGAGGCAAAGAGGGAGGGAAAGAAAGCCTTATGGAAAGGATTCATCATTCCAGAATATCCATGATTCATGGGAAGAGGTGAAAATACCAATATTAACAGGAGTTTGGAAGAAGCTGAAGTCAACCATTATGAATAACTTTGAGGGGTTCAACACTTCAATGAAGGAAGTAACTGTAGATGTGGTGGAAATAGCAAGAGAATTAGAATTAGAAGTGGAGGCTAGGCCAGGCGTGGTGGTTTCACCATGTTGGCCAGGCTAGTCTCAAACCCCTGACCTCAAGTGATCCGTCCGCCTCGGCCTCCCGACGTGCTGGGATTACAGGCGTGAGCCACCGCGCCTGGTCCGTTTCTTAAGTATTTCTAGATTAAAGTTAGGTACACATTGTTTTTTAAGACATAATGCTACTACACACTTAACAGACTACAGCGTAGTGTAAATGTAACTTTTATATGCACTAGGAAACCAAAAAATTTGTGTAGCTTACTTTTTGGCAATATTTACTGGCCTAGAATTGAACATGCAATATCACCTGTGTATGCTTATATACTATGAAGTTCCCTTTCCTAACCCCATCCTTTACACAGAACAGGTGTATTCTCTTCAGAAACTGTCAAAGAAATACCAGACTCATGGTCATTAGGACTTCAGAGAAAGAGGTTGAAAAACAGATCTGAAAAAAGAGAATTATGAAAAGGAATAAGAATGAGCTCTTGGAAACTAAAAACATGATAACTGACATAAAAATAGACACTTCACCCCCCAAAAAATGAAATCTCCTAGAAGTAGAATAGAAAACTAAGTCAGAAATTAGGAGAGGAAAAAACAAAACAGACCAAAAAAAAAAAACAAGAAATTTGAAAGATCAATACGGGAGACTGTCCCTGGAGGATCTAAAGTTCTAAAAAGAAGTGATGCAATCTAAGAAATCATGTAAGAAAATTCCTTAGAACTAAAATGTCTCCAGATTAAAAGCCCCATCAAATATCAGCAAATGAATTAAAAAACAAAAATAAACAAAATCATGAGGTACATCACTGAAATTTCAGAATGAAGGTAAAGAGAAAAATCAAGAAAACCCCCAAAAAGCTTCTTGGGGGTCAGTTATGGCTTTTGACTTCTCAGCTGCAATACTGGAAGCTCAAGACAATAGGGCAATGCCTTCAAATTACTGACTTAAAATGAATCTCAATCTAGAATTGTGTACTTAGCAGACTGCCAACCAAGCATAAAGATAGAACAAAGACATTTTCAGACTTGCAGTCTCAAAAATTTATCTCCCACCCTTTCATTCTCAGGAAACTCCTGGATAGATATGGTCCACTGAAACACAGGAATAATCCAAAGAGGAAGAAGCCATGGAAGCCAGTCAATGGGTAATCTGCCCCCAACAAAAAAAAAAAAAGAAGGAAAAACAAAAGGGCAAAGTAATTCCCAAGACAAGACAAAGGAAGCCTCCTGACAACACTAGGGAGCATACCTACAGGGCCAGCAGTCCAGACTGGAGCCAGAGAGGGCTGGAAGGTTCCAAAAAAGGACATATCCAGGAGGAAACAATATGAACTGATCAATTATCTGTCAGATAATTGACTAAGAGATAAATTGCTTTTAGAGGTTTTATGGAGCCGTTGAAGGATATAGAAATACTAATGATTTCAAAGAAAACGAAACACAAAAATTCAGCAATTACCTTCAAAAGGAAAGAAAACATAAAATACACTTAGCTCATCAGTGAACAGACATTTACGATACAACAATATAGTTAATTTTGATCATTCAACCAAAAATTCTAATATTGAAAGAATGAAGGAGAAGGGTATGTATGTGTGTGTGTGTTAAAGACCTAAATCTTTAATTATCAGGAAATAATAAATAAATCAATAATAAACAGTATATTTAATTTGTTTGAAACTATAAAAGAAGGCTGGATGTAGTGGCTCACACCTGTAATTTCAGCACTTTGGGAGGCCAAAATGGGAGGACTGTTTGAGCCCAGGAGTTCGAGACCAGCCTGGGCAACAAAGTAAGACCCCCCCATCTCTACAAAAAATAAAAATTAGCTGGGCATGGTAGCTCTTGCCTGTGGTCTCAGCTACTTGGGAGGCTGGGGTGGGAAGATCACTTGAGCCCAGATGATCGAGGCTGCACTGAGCCATGACCACGCCACTGCACTCCAGCCTGGGCGACAGAGTGAGACTGTCTCTCAAAAAAATAATAATAAAAACAAAAATATTAAAGTAAATATTCAAAAAAAAAAACAGCAAAAGTAATTGAAAAAGCAGTTTGCCTCTAAGATCAGGACTGGGTTTGAGGCACGGTGGGACAGGGAACTACTATCATAAGTAAATTTCTTATAACTATATATATATCATATATATATGATATATATGACTATATATATGATATATATGACATATATATGATATATATGACTATATATATCATATATATGATATATATGACATATATATATGATATATATGACTATATATATATCATATATATGATATATATGACTATATATATAGTCATATATATGATATATATGACTATATATATATCATATATATGATATATATGACTATATATATATCATAACGCTATTGGGCAGGGCAAAATTCAACACATAATATTTTGAGTCAGATTTTAACAAGTAGGCCGGGCACAGTGGCTCACGCCTGTAATCCCAGCACTCTGGGAGGTTGAGGCAGGTGGACTGCTTGAGGTCAGGAGTTCAAGACCAGCCTGCCCAACATGGTGAAACCCCGCCGCTACTAAAAATACAAAAATTGGCCGGGCGTGATGGCAGGCGCCTGTAATCCCAGCTACTCAGGAGGCTGAGGCAGGAGAATCACTTGAACCCGGGAGGCGGAGGTTGCAGTGAGCCAAGATTGCATCACTGCACTCCAGCTTGGGCAACAGAGACTCCGTCTCAAAAAAAAAACAAAAAACAAAAAAATTAACAAGTAACGAGCTTCACCACTTAGCCAGTCAGGAGTTCCATGATTGGAACTGATCGTGTCACAGACGGTACATTAACATGGGGCTTTACTATGTAATCTTTAAAAAATGTTCAGGCATTTCGTTAAAAAAAATTTAAAATATTAGCCGGGTGCAGTGGTATACACTTGTAGTCTCAGCTACTTGGGAGGCTGAAGCAGGAAGATAGCTTGAGCCCAGGAGTTTAAGCCCAGCCTGGGCAGCAAAGTGAGACCTTGTTTCTTTGAAAATATTTATTTTTTAATATTTAAATTATTCACAAATAATGTCTATTTTTTACAAATGTGCAGTTTGTGTTTTATATTCTAAAGTAACTAGAAATTAATCAAAATACATACAAAATCCTTATTTATGGGAGTCATAACCGATTCCAAAACTTATTCTGGAAACTTATTCTGGAAAATGAGGCCACCCTTGCAATGTTTAAAAAAATCAAAATAAATAAAATTTTCCTTTAAATTGATAAACAATGATGTCAAAGAAAAATCTGCTTAAATTGCTCATTGAATGAATAACTTTAGGCAAGCAACACAAAACAGAAGCATCTTTGTTAAATGAATTAGAACTTTTTCAGTTCAGTGACTATTTTTATTCATTTGTTCATTCATCAAATATTTATTGAATGCCTTCTTTGAGCTGGATACCAGAAGTACAGCACTAAGTTAGACAAAGGCTGTGCCCTTATAGAACTTACAATCTAGTGAAGTATTAATATAGATATATAAAAATGCAATTAAAACACAAGCAAGTATCTGCCACAATGAAGAAATACAGGAAAAACATGGGTTCTATTGGAGCTGTAAAATACGTCACATCCAAAGTATTCCAAGCAGTTTGCAAACACATGAAACAGATTATTCTCAAGAAACATCAAATGGTCCTAATTAGAGGCTACCACTAGAGGACAAACTAAAATGAAGGCTGGAAAAGAGAAATTGGGGGATTAGAGTGCTATAGTTTGAATGTGTCCCCGAAGTTCACATGTCAGAGACTGAATCCTCAATGCAACAATTTTGAGAGGTGAGACTATTAAGAGGTGATTAGGTTATGAGGGCTCTGCCCTCATGAATGAATTAAGGTCATTATCTCGAGAGTGGGTTTGTTATAAAAGTGAGTTCAGCACCCCCTTGCTCTCACCCGCATTTTCTCTTGCCCACGTGATGCCTTTTTCCACGGGATCACCAGCTGCCAGCACCATGCTCTCAGACTTTTTAGCCTCCAGAACTATGAGCCTTATAAATTTCTTTTCTTTATACATTACTCAGTCTCTGGTATTCTGTTATAACAGCACATACTGAACTAAAGCAGGGGATGTGGGAAGAAATTCTAACATCTGAGTACCTACTATGCCATTTAATCCTCAAAACAACTATCAGAAGGTAGGTATAATAAATACTGGGACTATCTCTTCAGTATCTACTTCCCCCTCTTCAGCCAGCATTTTGTGGGAGACTGACCTCACTACTAGCTCCAGATGTACTACCACAATCAGAGCAACTCCATTCCCCTTGCCACAGTAACCAAAATAGGTAGTCTATGCCTAAGCCAATCAGGTCATGATGACCATGAATAAGTTCAAGGGTGATATAAACAGCACCGAGTTTAGGACTTTTGCTGAAAATCTTGGAGTACAGAGTCTTGTCTCCTAGGCAGAGTGGTATGAGATAACAGATCAAGAGGCACTGCTTCTAGCATTACCTAATGACAAAAGAGAATGAAGCCTGAGGACTCAGCAATTAAGTGTGAGAACTCGAGTTTGAAAACCAAGTGGTCTGATTTCAGAATTAAGAGATGCAAGCATACACACAGACACCCCGCAGTACTGGGGCATGGATCTGAACTCATCAAGTCCATCACACCAGCTACAACTTGATAAAAGGCTGATAAGCCAAACTGAGGACTTTGAACTTGGTTAAGAACAAAGGCTCTAGAACTTAAACATCTAAGTTCAAATCTTAATTTCATCACTTAATAGCCACGTGACATGGGGTAAGATACTTAATTTCTCTGTGCCTGTTTCCTCATCAATGAAACAGGGATAATCAGACCTCTTTATAAAGCTATTGTGAGAATTAAATGAGTTAATAGGTGTAAAGCACATAAAACAGTGTGCAGCACAGATCAATCCTCATTGCTTAATGAGGAGTCAAGACTTCTGAGTGTTTTGATTAGAATTATGATCTAGGAAAATCAATTTAGAAGAACAGTGTGGGGCCAGGTGCAGCAGCTCACACCTGTAATCCCAACACTTTGAGAGGCCAACGTGGGACCACTGCTCGAAGTGAAGTTTGAGGCTGCAGTGAGCTAGGATTGCGCCACTGAACTCCAACTCAAGCCTGGGTGACACAGTGAGACCCTGTCTTCCTGCTGAAAAAAGTAGTAGTATGGTGTGGAGGGGAACACAGAACACACAAGAAGTGGGAAAGTAATGGAAAAGTTTCAAGAAAGGCATCAACGGTTTGTATAAGGTGATGACAGTGGAAAATGAAAAAGAACTGAAGCTACTAAGAATCTGAATCAACAGGACTTAACAAATGAGCAAATATGGCAATCAAAGACTAGGAGGAATAAACAATGATCTCTGATTTTCAACTTGGTAGACTAAGAGAATGGTGGTCCCAGAAACAGAAACAAAATCAAGAGAGAGTAGATTAGGACTCCTTTAAAATGAAAGAGGTTATCTTATGTTTTACATGGGAAGTTATTTTAAGCAAGTTTAAAATCAATAGGATTTAAGATAATTATTATATTAGTAAGAAGTGAGATCCAAGGCCAGGTGCAGTAGCTCACGCCTGTAATCCCAGCACTGTGGGAGGCCAAGAAGGGCAGATCACCTGAGGTCAGGCGTTTGAGATCAGCCTGGCCAACATGGTGAAACTCCCATCTCTACTAAAAATACAAAAATTAAAATAAATAAATAAACACAAATACAAAAATTTTTGGGCGTGGTGGCACGTGCCTGTAATCCCAGCTACTCGGGAGGCTGAGGCATAAGAATTGCTTGAACCCGGGAGGCAGAGGTTGCAGTGAGCCGGGATTGTGCCACTGCACTCCAGCCTAGGTGACAGACTCTGTCTCAAAAAAAAAAAAAAAAAAAAAAGAAGTGATATCCAAGTTTCATAAACTACACTTTAAAGCTGTATTTTTCTCTTTTTTTCAATAAACCCAGTGTAAAAAACAAATCTAATTCCACTACTTAGGGATGAAAAAGCAGATAAAATTAACAACCAAAATTATAATATTTGCACTTCTTACTGTGAAATTAAACTACCATATGATCCAGCAATCTGTCTACTGAATATATATCCAAAAGAAAGAAAATTAGTATGTCAAAGAAATATCTGCACACTCATATTTACGGCAACAGTATTTACACTAGCCAAGATATGCAATCAACCTAAGTGTCCATCAACAGATGAATGGATAAAGAAAATGTCGTATATATACACAATGGAATATTATTCAGCCATTAAAAAGAATGAAATTCTATTATCTGCGGCAATATGGATGAGCCTGGAGGACATGATGCTAAGTGAAATTAGGCACAGAAAGACAAATACCACATGTCCTCACTCACATTTAGAAACTAAAAAAGTTGATCTCATAGAAGTAGAGTAGAATAGTGGTTACAAGAGGCTGGGACGTGTATAATCCAATCAATTAAAAATACATATATTTAAAATAAATTAAGTAAAATAAAAATTCTTGTGGGTATGACAAATTTTTAAAAATCCCATTTAAAAAACAAAACTTCTGAAACATGATTCTTATAATTGTTGGTAATATTATGAAGCTAGCTTTTAAGAACTTCAGAAGCTCAAAATGTGACATAAAATCAGAACACTGCAAGTGAAAAAATAACTCGGCACTACAGAATATTTATCCTATAGAAATAATAGAAAGTTAAGTAGTGGGGCCATTTCCTCACATTTACTCCACATCTATCTCACTTTTCCCCCCAAACATTTATCCTCCCTACCAAAAAACCATCAAGGTCACCAATTTCCTCCATCTTGACTAATATAATGGACACTTTTCTGTTTCTCATTTCACGAGACCTGTCAGCAACCAGTATACAAACAATTTATCACTCACTCTATCATTTTTTAAACACTTTCTTTTCTTGGCTTCCCTAACACCACACATCCCTGGCTTTTCCCTATCTATCTTCTTGGTATATCTTCCTCTCTCAGATCTGTGTATTTTAACACATCCTCAGGGCGAAGCCCTCCGTCCTTTCCACTTCTCTATCTACACCCTTTTCCTAGATGATCTCTTCCATTCTGTAGTTTTAATACTAACCATACACACAAACTCATATCTGCAATCCCAATCTCTACTGTGAACTCCAGACTGACTTTATTAAACTGTCATCTCTACGTGGGCATCTCAATGGCAATTAAAACCAGACCAAATATCCAAAACAGAACTTTTGACCCTCTCCCTCTGCCCTTAAAATTGTTATTTCATTTATTCATTCTACAAATATTTCCTCAGCATATGCTCAGGCACTGTGCTGTCCACTGGCACAACAATGTGAACTTGGGGGAGACAAATTATAATAAATTATTAAAAGAGCTATAATGGATATAAAGTGTGTGTTCTGACAGAAAATGGGGAGAAGGTGGCTATTTTTGATAGCGTGTTTAAGATCAGCCTCTATACTGGCCTGGGCAACGTGGCGAAACCCCGTGTCTACAAAAAATAAAAAATTAGCCAGCCATGATGGCCCACACCTTGCAGTCCCAGCTATTCGGGAGGCTGAGGTGGGGAGATGGCTTAAGCCCAGGAGGCGGAGGTTGCAGTGACCCAAGATCGCACCACCGCTCTCCCGCCTGGGCGATAGAGCAAGAACCTGTCTCAAAAAAAAAAAAAAAAAAAAAAAAGGCACCTACTTAGTTGCTCCAGCCAAAAACCTAGGCATCTATTCCCCATACACAACCCCTTACGTGAATTTACAGAGTTCTGACTATAAAATAAATCTTGATGCTTAACACTGAAGAAAAGGCTCAAGTAAGCAAAGAAGAGAGACGTGGACAATGACAACTATGACAGATGTCACAGAAGGACATGCAATAAGCTATGAAACAAAGTTACAGTCAGACCTACTCTAGTCTGGAAGAAATCAGAAAAGGCTTCCTGGAGGAAGTAGTAATTAGAATAAGCCCAGATGATCACTACAAAAAGCCAAACAAAAAGGTATAAGGGACTATATCAAGAACAGGGAGCAGTACAGCTTGGCACATCCCAGAATCTAAAATAAATCAAAGGTGATAAACTCTTAGAAGGAGGAGTGTAGATTAAGACATAGGCCAGAAGAAAGCAAGAAGTTATCAAAGATTAATGAGGTCATGTCAAAAAGAAACAGAAGTCAACCTAAAAAGGCTTCCATTGGCCAAATATGAGACAATTTGACAGGAGTGGATTAAAACACACTAAAATCCAATAGCTCATGATAATCTTTTAAGATGATAATTAAAACAAAAAACCTGCAGTGAACAGCTCATTACCAATTACTTTGGAAAATGACAAAGGGAAATCACCTTTTATGCTCCCTTTTCTGTAGCAAGGAGTAACCAAATAGTTGATAAAAGTTATTCCAGCAAATAAATGCATAAAAAATTAGAGAATCAGGATATCACCATTTTGCAAACTCTAACAAAATAATGAATTCAGGCAATGATCAACAAAGAATGCTAAAATCATTAGTTAAAGGGCAAATTATGTAATAGAAGAATAAGGCTGATACCACCTGAAATCACTACAAGTGGGGCAACCAGGTAGGTAACTTTGATGAATAGGAAGTACACAACATCTACAAAATAATTTTATTGAAAAAAAGGGAATGTAAATATGATAAAATATCTAAATCGAACTTCAAGTTTTCAGGAAAGACAAGAAACAGAGAAATAGGTTATAGCAAACTTACAGCAAACCTGAGCATCAGAATTGCCTGGAGGGGCTTTTTAAACCACATATTGCTGGGAAACCATAAGACTGGAAAAGCCAAACACAGAATGTGGGGAATTTCACATTTAAGTGGGGGAGGGCTGTTATAGAATAAAATTTACTTAAGCTGCCTAACTGCAAATGCAATATACAGACTCTTAAGACTGATTCAAACAAAACTACCATAAAAAGACATATTGAGATGACACCAAATTGGAATATGGACTAAGAATGGCTTTTATTAAGGAATTTCTGTTAATTCTATTAACAATAATACTATAGTGGCTTTTTTAAAAAATGTCATTATGGAAAGAAAAAAAAAAAGTCAAGGCTAGCAAATTAGCAAAAGCCATACTATGTAGAATGGGCAAAAGCCATCCTTTAATGAGTCTGGGCCCAAACTAAGTGGTTTTTACACAAAACTGATATAACAGTAACAACTACTTCTGGTTCCTGAAAGCCATGTGCTAAGCACCACATTAAGTTCTTTACATGACTTATCTCTGAATCCTTAAAATAAACCTGTTATGAAGATATTAAATTCTATACATCATTTTGTCTCATTTTGTCTGCTGTTCATGATGATAACTGGCACTTTTTTTTTTTTTTTTTGAGACGGAGTTTCACTCTTGTTGCCCAGGGTGGAGTGCAATGGCGCGATCTCAGCTCACTGCAACCTCCGCCTCCCGGGTTCAAGCGATTCTCCTGCCTCAGCCTCCTGAGTAGCTGGGATTACAGGCGCCCGCCACCACACCCAGCTGATTCTTGCATTTTTAGTAGAGATGGGGTTTCACCACATTGGCCAGGCTGGTCTGGAACTCCTGACCTCAGGTGATCCACCTGCCTCGGCCTCCCAAAGTGCTGGGATTACAGGCATGAGCCACCGTGCCCAGCCACAATTGGCACTTTTTAAAAAGTGACATATTGAGGGTAGTTTGGAAAAAGGCAAGAGTGATCACAGAAAGACCAGTTAAAAGGCTGAGTACCTTAAGAATCCCTGATATAAAGAATCAGAATAAATGTTCATATATTTGGGATACAGGATGAGCATCTCTAGTCCAAAATTTTTTTGATCACTGACAAGACGCCACAGTGGAAAACTTCACATCTGACTTCATGTGAGGAGTCAAAATGCAGTCGACACTTTGTGCACAAAATCATTAAAAAGTACTGTATAAATTATGTGCTATTATGTGTACAAGGTATGTATGAAATAAAAATGAATTTTATGTTTAGACTTAGGTCCCACCTCTGAAAAAACACATTATGCATATGCAAGTATTCAAAAATCCAAAAAATTCCACAATCCAAAACACTTCTAGAACCAGGCATTTCAGGTAAAGGATACTCAACCTGTATAACAAAAATCCAGACATTATTTAACAAAACATTAATTATGCCCTACAAACATTTCACTTCAAAACAACCTTCTTTGCCAAATTAGTTTTCAGGAATTTTATTTAAAACAATCTTTTTTTTTGAGACAGGATTTCACTCTGTTGCCCAGGCTAGACTAGTGCAGTGGCGCAATCATGGCTCATCACTGCAGCCTTAACCTCCCAGGCTAAGCAACCTCCCACCTCAGCATCCTGAGTAGCTAGGACTACAGGTGCATGCTGCCACACATGGCTAATTTTTTATATTTTTTGTAGAGACAGGGGTTTTGCCATGTTGCCCTGGCTGGTCTTGAACTCCTGGGCTCAAGCACTCCTCCCGCCATGGGCCTCCCAAAGTGCTGGGATTACAAGTATAAGCCACCAAACCCAGCCCAAAATAATCACTTTTATATGTACTATAGTTATTGGGCTTATACTTTTTACTTCCACTGGAAGAAAATGGAGAGAACATAAAGCAATATTTTCTACTAGAAACAGCCTTTTCTCCCAAATTCTTGAAATGGAGAAAACAAATTACTGTCTCAATTCTATAAATGACTGAAAAAATACACTCCCCATAATATTTTTCAAACTCATCTCCAGCTCAAGAATCTTAGATAAGCACATAGAAATCGATATGGTAAGAGACCTTAGAGTGAAGACAAGGGAAGGGGGTATTTCCTGGCCATCTCTTCCAATGGGGTAACCATAAAAGACAATACAGAAAGGTTCCTAAAGCTTCTTTATCGGAAGTCTCTCCTATTCTAAAGTCCTGCTGTGGCTTACAATTACTGAGCTTTGTATATTGGTTACTCTAGGAACTGCCTCTTAGGGACTGAGCTACAGTTAGTTGCCAATGGCTAACTACACCCAAGCCTGATTTAACAATTTAGGCTGACTAGAACAAAACAAAACACCCAAAAAAGGATTCCAGCAATGAAAGCATGGTATACTAGAATGAAAACAAAATGTTAGTCTACTCAAAAACCTGGGTTATATAAAAAGATGCTGAATATGATCTTCGGGAAATGCAAATTAAAACCACAAGATACCACTAGAATGGCTATAATCAAAAGAATAAAAAAACGATTAAGACAGTAAATTTTGGCCAGGCATGGTGGCTCATGCCTGTAATTACAGCACTTTGGGAGGCCAAGGTGGGAGGATACTTAGGAGCCTACTCAGGAGGCTGAGGTGAGAGGATTACTAGAGCCCAGGAGGTCAAGGCTGCAATGAGCCTTGATTGTATCATGGCACTCTAGCCTGAGCAACAAGTGAGACTCCATCTAAAAAAAAAAAAAAAAAAAAAAAAAGTAAATTTCATATTTTTTTTACAATAAAAATTTTTAATTAAAAAAGAACAAAAATAACAATATCAATATTGAAGAGATTGTGAAGAACCTGTAACCTTCATGCATTGCTACTGAGAATACAAAATGGTACAACTATTTTGGAAAAGTCTGACAATTTTTTTTTAAAGTTAAACACAACATTTAGCACATGACTCTGCAACCCCACTCCTAGATTTCTATCCAAGAGAAAAGAAAATATATGTCCACATAAAGATTTATACACAAACATTAACAGCAGCATTATTCATAATAGCCCAAATCTGGGGAAAAAATATGTCCTCCAACTAGTGGCTGAATAAACAAATCATGGTATAGCCATACAATGGAATACCATTCAGTGATAAAATTGAAGGAACTGGCTGGGTGTGGTGGCTCATCCCTGTAAGCCCAGAACTTTGGGAGGCCAAGGTGAGAGGATCCCTTGAGCCCAGGAGGTTGACAGTGTATTAAGCGTGGTCACGCCACTGTACTACAGCCTGTTGACAGAGTGAGAAAAAAAGGAACTAATAAATGCAACAAACAAGACAGACACAAGACTATGACAGAAAGTATCAGTGACTGCCACGGGTGAGGAGGAGTTAGGCTACAACAGAGCATGAGGGAACTTTTTGGGTGATGGAAGTGTTCTAAAACTTCATGGGGGTGGTGGGTACACAACTGTATACGATGTATGCTTAAAATGTATTTATACTTTATTGTGTATAAATTATAGCTCAATGAAATAGTTTTTAAAAAACCCTGGGTTGATTAGATCTGTAAGTTATTAGCTATGTGACATTAACCAGAATGGTTTTTTTTCCTTCAGATATGCCTATTCTGTTTCATCAGTTTTCATTTCTCACATGCACAAGTTTTATTTTTAAAGTGAGAGATTCCATAATGTACTGCAGTTATTGGGCTTACAGATAATTCTTACTTCCACTGGCAAAAGTATATAGTTATCTGCACTGCTACTTGCTCTATCTCGTAAGATTGCTGTGAAACATCAAATAAGATAACTGATGAGAAAGTTCTTTGGTAACTGTAAAATAGTATTACGCAACTATGTAGTAGACTTTACATTTTTGAAAACCAGACGTGAAAATGTTTTTTCATATGAGTGACTTGAGAGCCTTGTAAACCTACGTACCCAAAGTCAATCTTTGTCCAGAAATAGAAAGCAGTTGTCTATTCAAATGCCACCTTTTAAATATCCTATCGGAACCTGTTTCCTATTGTCGCTTGAGTTACTAGATGGCTCAATGTAGTATTATCTAACCTGCACTTTCATTTTTCAAAGGAAAAACACTAAAGAAATGTTTAAAGAGAGACAGATGAGCATGACACATTTATTTTTCAGGGGAAAAGACAGATACGTAGAAAAACCTCTTCAATTCCATATGCATTTACTGAATTTTTCCTGATGAGACCTGCATTAGCAAGAGAGAGTGAATAATTTTAAGAATAGCAAAATTTCTTAAACCAGTGTGGCAACTTCGCCTGTTCCAAAATTTGACAGATTCTCTTTTTTTATTTTTATTTTATTTTTTTGTTTCTACTATTGTTGTACAACTGGGCTCTTTGCTATCCTACCAAGTTTAAAACGTGTGGCATTTGACATTTAGCCTAGTTATATTTGCAAGTTTCCACACTGCAATACGTATAAAGGCTGTTTGGACATAATCTCCTCAGGTGCAGTTTAACGACTAAATTTTACCTTGAATTCAGGTTTATATCAAATCTTACAATTCTGAAAAGTTACTCTGCCAGCAACAGGTACTACAATGAAAAATTAACAAAGCCTGTAACACTACAAAATGCTCTACTAACATTTTCAATTTTTAAGACTCCTTTTCAGTAACAATTCGAGGAGGAAGAATCTACAGCCAATTCCAAGGCCAGATTTCATTCAATTTGGTCTTCCTTCGGCAGTAACCCTAAACTCAAGTTTCACATTTCTCCTTCGATAACATTAAGGTCGCTCGGTCCGGTTACTGCACACCTCCAATTTTAGCGTCCAAGAAACCTGAAAGAACGGCACGTTGCCTACTCGCTCCTCCAGCCTTCTCTCAACTCAGAAGCTTGGCCAAACGTGCCGCTCTCTCCACAACGCCAACGGAGCTGGAACGCAGCGCCCGGAGGACAACTGGTCACGGGGAGGAGGGGAGAACTTCGCGGCCCGGAGTACGGCGGCTGAGGTCCAATCCAGCCCGCGCCCAACTCTACTCGGTGCCAGGAAGGCGTGTGGACCCAAAGTCTCAGGCCGCGGTGCTAGGTCCGGAGGAGCAGAGTCGCGCGTGGCTGGGGGCAGGTCGTAAACAAACCGACGGGAGGAGGGGGAAGGGGCAACGGCGAGGCGGGTGGGGTAAAATAAAAGGTAGGACCTCGCTCCAACCCTTCGGCGCTAGCCCGCAGCCGGCTCCACCCCACCGAGGACCAGATGCTGCTCTCGGCGCGGCGCTTCCGCTCGGGTCGGAACACCGAAGGCCCCAACACCCCTGGAGCCCGGAGCCCACAAGGCCATCGGCTCCGCGACCCCCGCCCCACAGCGCCCTACCTGAACCCGCAATCTGGGTCCCGGGCGTCGCGGCCGGGCGCGCCCAGCCCGGTCCTCTTGCTGAAGAGCTTCTGGAACAGCGTAGGGGCCATGCTAGCCACGGCCAGGCAGGGGTCGCTCCGCTGGGCGCTTGCTAGGCCCCTGCTCCTACAGCCGCCCCGCCACCCCCATGGGCGCCTCAGTCATATGACAGAAATTAGTCACTTCAAACGGCCACGGCGCGCGGGGCGGGGCGCGAGGCAAGGCCGGCACTCATTGGCTGGAGGGGGGCCGCATCACGTGGCGGCGCGCGGAGCAAGGGGCAAGGTGGGGGCGTGGGGCGGAGCTGCCTCCCATAGGCTCACTGGCGGGTCCCGTCACGTGGCAGGGGCGGGGCGTGAGCCGAGAGGACAGGACTGGAAGGTGGCTAGGGATGTGTAGCGGGAGAAGGGTCAGTCTCGATCTTCCCCTGTGAAGCTGTCAGCGACCATCAGAGGGTACGCCGGGGTGGCGCGGGGACGATGCCAGGAGCCTTGGAGTGCAGAAGGCTTCGACTCCCCGCACCCACAGAGTTGCGTAGGGAACCACGGGCAACCGACTCTTCCTTGTCAGCCCCTCCCTAGCTTCTGCGGCTTCACACCTCCATTCCGCGCCGGGCAGAGTCTGGCGGCTCCTGGAGCACGGAAGGCCCACAAGCGTACCCGTGGGGCCGCGGCCAAGGCTGGACTTTGAGCCCAGGACCCCAGGACCGCCCTTAGAAGGCTGCGCCGGCCCGCGAGAGGTCTGGGATCTGGACAGCGCGGGGGCTGGCTCACAGGGACTGGTGAAGGAAACTGCCGGGACCCCTGCCACAGCCATGGCTCCCCGCAAAGACGACCTCGAGCAGGCACTGCGGGCAGTTTGTACTAGCGCCTAGAACCCTGACACCGGGAATTAGTCTCTTGGAAGAGCTAGCGATTGGAGGCTCAGGAGTTAGGCTGTTTCCTTGTTAACCAACAAAATCAGGTGAAACCAACGAAGTCAGGAAGCCTAAAGACATATATGTACAGATATCTAACCCTTTACGCTAATTATTTAGATTTTTAATAAATCTATCTTAATGTTTAGGTATGAAGACGGGAGGAACTGTGGAATTTTAGTCAAGTTACAGGGAAGAAACGCTTTCTAAAAAAAGAAAAACATTGCTCACATGTGACCTCACAGTCTTATTTAACCCATGGAACCAAAATATATCAGAGTTTGTATCAAACTAATCTTATAAATTTTCAGCAACCCCATCCATTCACTCACTCCCCCTCCAGGATGAGGAAGCTCGTACAATGGGATGTAATCCTCAGAGAAATTTAGGAAATAACTTGTATATGGTTGGAAGGCTGGATAAAAATACTTTGGGCAGGCGTGGTAGCTCACGTCTGTAATCGCAACACTGCAAGGCCGAGGCAGGCAGATCGCTTTAGCTCTGTAGTTCGAAACCAGCTTGGGCAACAGTAAGACCCTGTCTCTACAAAAAAAAAAAAAAAAAAAAAATTTTAATTAGCCAGGTGTGGCCGGGCGCTGTGGCTCACGCCTGTTATCCCAGCACTTTGGGAGGCCGAGGCGAGTGGATCACCTGAGGTCACGAGTTCAAGACCAGCCTGACCAGCATGGTGAAACCCCGTCTCCAAAAAATTAGCCGGCGTGGTGGCGGCGAATGCCTGTAATCCCAACTACCTGGGAGGCTGGGACAGGAGAATTGCTTGAACCCAGGAGGCAGAGGTTGCAGTGAGCCGAGATTGTGCCATTGCACTCCAGCCCGGGCAACAAGAGCGAGACACCGTCTCAAAAACAAACAAAAATTAGCCAGGTGTGGTCACGGCGCACACCTGTGGTCCCACTCGGGTGGCTGAGGTGGGAGGGTAGCTTGAGTGTGGGAAGTCAACGCTGCAGTGAGTGCCACTTGTACTTCAGCCTGGGCAACAGAGGGGGGCCCTATCTCAAAAAACAAATACTTTTTGAGAATTTCATTTAATTAGGTATACAAATTAAATTTTATTTTCTTTAAGTGGCTACCAACTCCCACTGATTTGCAGCTAGAGTTTATGCTCTAAATAAGGGTCTGAAGATATTTAGAAAAGAAAAAGTAATAGGCAGAATTTATATCTCTTTGAGAATTTGTCAACAACCAAAATACTGAGTTTCAATGTTCCAAGACTTTTTTAAAGCACTATTTATTGATGATTAAGATAGTAACATATTCTTTCCACAATCATTTATGTTCTAGGCAGTGGGGATCCAAAGTAAAAAAGAGCTAACTTTCTAGGTGAGGAGACAGTAAATAAGTATTTAAAGTTATTGCACTATTTATTGATGATTAAGATATTAACATATTCTTTCCACAATCATTTACGTTCTAGGCAGTGGGGATCCAAAGTACAAAAGAGCTAACTTTCTAGGTGAGGAGACAGTAAATAAGTATATAAAGTTATTTCAGATAGTAACTAATGTTGTGGAGTTAGTAAGAAATAAGCAATGAAATGAGGGTGTCAGCAAAGTCTGAGGAGGTAACATTTGAGGTGCTTAGGTTGAAAATCATTCAGTTGCTCTGTGTATTACCCAAGGTCCAGAAACTACTGGGCAATACAGGATCAAAACAGCAGTACTATTTCACCTAGACATTTCAGATAATCCTCTGGCATCAAATGCTGAAAGATTTCTAACAGGGTAAAATGAGCTGTGTATATTTTTCTCACAAAACATTTGAATGTAGAATGAAAAATGAAGTTTTTGTAAACAAAAAAATAAAGTCAATGCAATTTTTAAAAAGTAAACAGAAGTGTAGATCCTATCAGTCAATTAATGGGGCAATCATTTGGGAAGTTTTGTTTTTACACTAGTTAAGTTACACTAAATGAGTACAAGTGGAAACAGGCCAAAGTCTGTCTATACGGGACCAAAGACACTAAGGACTAATGGCTGTCCATGACTGGCACAGAAAAGAGTAGTTCCAGGTCCCCTCAGAAGGAACTTTCCAAATACAATAACCTTGTGTGCTTTCGTCTTGGGAAAAAATTACTTCATGGGTAATTATAGATATTAATAGTAAGGGAAAAGAATATAACTGCTTGCATAAGAGACACTTTCAGTATTCTCTAATCATGTAATAGCTTTATTTCTGTAGTCTCATTTAGTCTTGAAAGGTACAGAGAAAAACTAGATTTACTTCCTATTATTGATCACATTTCTCCTACATTGCAGTGTAATACTAAAGTCACAGAATCAGAGAGCGCTGAAATGATACAAGTTTGTAATAAAAGAGGACAAAACTATACATAATTATTCAGATTAAAATTTAAATATTTCAATTTTAGTATCAGTGAATATTATCTTTTATTTTTCCTTTTACTTAGTACTACATCCTATCACAGAGAAGCTGAGGTGTCTTACAGGCAGCCTTTGTAAGTTTAAGGAGTCAGCAAAGAGGAAATGTGAGAAAGAAAATAATTACCTACTCATTCATGCTACGTTATATCAATGTGGAACTACTGGGTTACAAAGATTAGACATAAGGCCTACTACACTCTCACTCAAGGGTGGAAGATTTAGTCTCCTCAAAACTCCAACAGTCTATAGATTTCTGTCCACCTGCTTCAAAGATTCCCCTCCTGATAGCATAAAAGACAGGCACTCTTTGCTATAGGCATTTCCTGGTTACTACATATAGGAAAAGGTGGCAATAAAACTAAAATCTTCCTCAACCATCATGCTAATAAGTATAGTCTCAATTATGCTGAATTATCATGAAACAAATTATAATTTCATTGATGACATCTCAGAACAAGACATTCAAAATCAAGATGATCAAGTAGACCTGCCCGAAAAACATTAAATGGGCTCAAGTTACCCCACTTTTAAAAACTCCTAAACCAACTGACCATTTATTGCTATATAATAAGGAAATGGCAGTATTCTGAAGCACCAGAAAACATAAACAGTGATTTATTCAACAAACATTTCTTGAGTCCCTCCAACATCTCAGACTCTACTGTAGGCACTGGGAATATGGTACTGAACAAGAGAGTCCTTATTCTTAGAAACTTAGTTTTTTGTGGGAAGAGACAAAATAAACAAGATGTTTGCAAGGTGTGCTAGGAGCCAGGAAAGAAAGCATGGATAGCAAGCAACTGATGGAGACCAAATTTAGATAGGGTGGTCAGGGAAGGCCTATCCAAAGATGCGTGATTTTAGCTAAGATGTAAAGAATGAAAAGGAACCAGCTATAGGAAGAAGGTGGTGAAGAACATTCTGGCAAAGAGAAGAAAAAGTACAAAGCCTCTAAGAGAGAAATGGTTTTGGCCTGTTTGAAGAGGAGAAAGGAAGCCAGAAGAACTAAAATATACTCTGAGAATGGGAGATGGTTTGAAATGGTTAGAAAGGTACAAGGGGCCAGATTATGTAGGACCTTGTAAATTATGGAAAGGAGGTTAGACTGAGTGTGATGGAAGCTATCAGAGGGGTTTGAAATAGGAGAGGGACATAACACAATTTATGATTCTACTGTGGCTGTTCTGTGGAGAAGGAATTTTAAAAGAGGAAGAATGGAATCAGAGATGAAATAGGTGACTACTTGTACTTTAGGAGAGAATTGATGGTGGCGAGCAAGTTATTTTGGAGATACACACTTCTAATAGGAATGAAGGAAAGAAAAAGATGACTCCTACGTTTCTGCTGTGAGCAACTTAGTGGGAGTTATTTCCTGATTAAAAGACCAGGGAACACATGGATTTTAAGAGGAAAACCAAGCATATTAAGTTTGGATGTATTAAGTTTGAATTGCCTATAAGACATCCATGTGGAGATACTGACTAGAATATATGGGGAGAAGCTAGGATTAGTGAGAGAAATTTGGGAGGCATCAGCTTCTAGACAGAATTTATTTTTATTTATTTTTTTTGAGACAGAGTCTCACTCTGTCTCCCAGGCTGGAGTACAGTGGCACGATCTTGGCTCACTGCAAGCTCTGCCTCCCAGGTTAACACCATTCTCCTGCCTCAGCCTCCCCAGTAGCTGGGACTACAGGCGCCCACCACCATGCCTAGCTAATTTTTTTTTTTTTTTTTGTATTTTTAGTAGAGATGGAGTTTCACTGTGTTAGCCAGGATGGTCTCGATCTCCTGACCTCGTGATCCGCCCACCTCTGCCTCCCAAAGTGCCAGGATTACAGGCGTGAGCCACCGCGCCCGGCTGACAGAATTTAAAATAATGGAATGGATGACTTTACGTGAAGGGAGTGTATATATAAAAAAGAGGGTTCAGAACTAAGACCCAAAGAGGATAACACTTACAGGTCTGGAAGAGAAAGATCCAACATAGAAGAATGAGAAGGAGCAGCAGTAAGACAAGAGAAGAAAATGTCTCTAAAAAGAAATGAGTCAACTGTGTTGAATGATGCTGAAAATTCAAGTGTTCATTAGATTTGTCAATATGGGTATCTTCACAAGAACAGTTTCAATGGAGTAATGTGAGTGAAAGCCTGAAGCAGTTTCCAAAAGATAAAGGGGGCAAAATGGAAGTGGTAAAGCAAATGCAGACAACTCCTCTTTTTTTGCTGAGATGGGGAGCAGAGAGGAGATGGAAAGGGACAATTGGTTTTCTTTTGTTTTAAGATGGAAGATAGTAGAGAATTTTGTATGCAACAGAAACAACCTAATAGGGATGGTGAAAATAAGCACCTACTATGTTCCAAGTGCTAGGAATACAATATGAACAAGATGGGTACAGGCCCTGCCCTTAAGAAACTAAATAACAAAAAAGCTATTACAGATTGTCATAAGTTATTTCAGGGAATCAAACTTTTCCTTCAAATATAAATTGGCTTGAAATCCTCATCTTGAATTCTATTATAAGTGCACAAAACTATGACAAAAATTATTTCAAAAAATATTTTCCAAACATTTAATATGCTTAATATGTATCTGTGCTAGAATCGAGCAATACAATAAAGAACAAGACATAGTTTCTGCATCAAGGACCTTACAGTCTAGGGAGAAAAAAACAATTGACAGGCTGGGTGCAGTGGCTCACGCTTGTTAATCCCAACACTTTGGGAGGTCAAGGCAGGTGGATCACTTGAGGTCAGGAGTTGAAGACGTGCCTGGCCAACATGGCAAAACCCTTGTCTGTACTAAAAATACAAAAATTAGCCAGGCATGATGGTGCACAGCTACCAGCAGTAGTAGTCCAAGCTACTACTCAGGAGATTGAGGCAAGAGAATCGCTTTAACCCAGGAGGCGGAGGTTGCAGTGATCCGAGATTGTGCCACTGCACTCCAGCCTGGGTGACAAAGAGCAAGGCTCTGTCACAAAAAATACAAAATAAAAATAAAAAATGGACAGGCAATTATAGTACATTTTGATAAATGCTATGATGCGGGAAACTCTAGAAAGATTTTGATTGAGTCCATTAGTCAGGATGTTCTACATTGCACATGATAGAAAACCCAAACAAAACTAGCGTAAGCAAAGAATGAAATTGATTAGCTCTCATAACTGGATCTAGTGTAGATGAACAGTTCAGGCACAGCTTTATCCAAGGACTGCATCAATGGTATCGAGAATTCAGTTTCTTCTTCTCATCTCTAATTTCTCTGTGCAGACTCTATTCCAGGCAGTGTTTCCAAACATGGACATAAGCTGGCTGCCAGCAGCTTCCAGGATATATCCTTTCAGATGAAAGTCCAAGAGAAAAAGAAAAGTCTGTCCCAGCATTCCAAGAAAAAAACTCTGATATTTAATCCCAATAGGATCATTTTAGGCATTGGACCCATCACTGAACCAATTACTGTGCCAGAGTTGAGAAGGCTAACATGCATTGGCTTATGCCATTAAAGGCCTACCCCTGGAACTATGGGTGGGATCAATCCCACCTAAACCATATGGCTGAGAAATGTAAAATCCACTTAGGATAAAGTTAGAAAGGCAATGGATAGATGCAGGGGAAGTCACCACACATGTCCACTACCAATATCCATAACAGAGACAAAAACTTGGGGTCAGCTGCACAGAGATGGTAACTAAGCCATGAGTATATGAGATCACCCAGTGCAAGTGTTGCATGAGAAGATGCCCCAGAACAGAACCCCAGGAAACACCAAAACTTAAAGATTGGGCAGAAAAAAAGGAGCCTTTGTAAGAAATGGAAAAGAGTGAGCTAAAGATGAGATGAAAGCCTGGAGGGTAATGTTTCAGAGAAGTCATTCTTTTCTGGAGGCTTTTAGGAAGAAAGTACTAGTCTATAACATCATTAGCTGGAAGAAGTTGGGTAAGATGAGAACTGAAAAATACCCCTTAGATTAGCATCAAGGAGGTTGCTGGGAGCCTTAAGGGGAACAATGTCAGCGGAGAAACAAAGCTAAGGCCAAATTATGTGTGTTTGGGTATGTTTAGGAAGGGTGAAAGGTGAGGGGTCTGTGACAAAGTAGAAAGCACGCTCTTTAGGAAACATGAATACAAACGGATGAAGAATGATAGGCTAGCTAGAAAAACATATGGAGTCAAGGTAGGATTTAACATGTAAGATGATGAAACATTTTAAAATTCTGGTTAGAAAATAAGAGTAGAGCAGGAGAGGTTGAAGATAACTTATCTGGAAAGTTTGGGCATCACACCTTTATATAAACATATATGCTATATACACAACATAAAAGGCTATTCATTACTGAACAAACCATGATGAATGATATCTTGGAGAGGTGGGAAAAAAAGTTCTAGTTAAAAATGGAAATGACATCAACTTTCATGTACTTTTTTTTTTTTTTTTTTTGAGATAGGGTCTTGCTCTGTCACCCAGGCAGGAGTGCAGTGGCACGACCATGGCTCACTGCAGCCCTGCCTCCTGGGCTCAAGCAATTTTCCTACCTCAGACTCCCGAGTAGCTGAGACTACAGGCAAGCACCACCACTCCCAGCTAATTTTTGTACTTTTTTTGTAGAGATGGAGTCTCCCTACGTTGCCCAACCTGGTCTCAAACTCCTGGGCTCAAGTGATCTGCTTGCTTCAGCCTCCCAAAGTGCTGGGATTATAGGCATGAGCCACTGTGCCTGGCTCTTTCATGCACTTTTAACTGAACTTTTGAGGTACTTATGACCTGAGATTTGTTTTTAATGAGATAAAATTTTAAGATATAATTTTAAATGCTTAAAAATAAAGTTTAGTTACATGCTGAAGTAAAAAGGTTGTTTCATTAACCTTTTTTAGATCGCAGACTACACTGAAAATAGATAAAAACTATGAATCCCTCATCCCAGAAAGAGATGAATTCCTTTTTTCATATTCTTCCAGGGAGATTCACTGAAAGACCTCTGAGGCCTGGAACAGATGTAAAGATTACGCATACAACCTTTTCCAAGGACTTGCCAATAGGATTCCTCTTTGGACTTCTCATGTCACCAGCCAGCAGGCTTCTTCTGCTTTACTTTTTTTTTTTTTTTTTTCTTTGAGACAGAGTCTTGCTCTGTCACCCAGGCTGGAGTGCAGTGGCGTGGTCTCGGCTCACTGCCAGCTCTGCCTCCCGGGTTCATGCCATTCTCTCGCCTCAGCCTCCCAAGTAGCGGGGACTACAGGTGCCCGCCACCATGCCTGGCTAATTTTTGGTATTTTTAGTAGAGGCGGGGTTTCACCGTGTTAGCCAGGATGGTCTCAATCTCCTGACCTCGTGATCCGCCTGCCTCGGCCTCCCAAAGTGCTGGGATTACAGGGGTGAGCCACCGCACCCAGCCATTCCTTGCTCTTAATCATAATTGAAGTTGTTATATCCTCCACTCCTAAGCCTTGAATGCCAATGCCAATTCCAATTCCTTCCTCCCTCTGACCTTTCCTTGTGCTGCAGTCTATAAAACAAAAACATTGAATGTGCCTTTTCTGGGGAGAAGGAAAAAAATATTATATTCAAATACTCCTGCCCCGTATCTTGGCTCCATCACTTCCTAAATTACATAGCCCTGGCCAAACATTTACCTCTCAGAGCTACCTATATTTTCTTCATCAGCAATGTGAAACCATCAAATGTTTATTTCTTCCACCCCACCAGGCCCAATCCAAGAATCAAGTATCTTTCCTTCTCACAGGAACCTATCACCTGATTAGAAACTAGCAAATAATTCATTCTCATTCTCTCACATCCCACTTGAAATATAAACTGCTTGAAGGCAGAGAAGAGGGCTTCTATTTCATTCCTTACTTCCCCACTGCTTATCACATTTCTTCTTTTAAAACCACCACAAGAGTTGCTGACTTAGTTGAGTATTAATTTAGAATACAGGTCTAAATTTTATGCTAGTCTCCATCGTTAACGTTCTCATCTATGTTTCTTCACAACTTTTCCATATTTCATCTTCAGATGAAATCACAAAATCACAAATAGCTTTGTTAGTGGCTTAAAGCCTTGTCAAATCATTATAAGAGTACCTTCATAGGGATGCCTTGTTAAAAATAAATACTATACAGATTATTTAACTGCAAAATAACTCATAGATGTTACAATCTTTCTTAATCCTGAAGTTTTGAAAATTTGACTCTTATGAATGTATAATATTAGTAAAGCCCTTTAGCATCAAGGACTAATCAAGTTAAAATCTCTCCAAGTTATACAACTGGACTCTGTTCACTGTACAGGATCATTGCTTTTTAAGAAGGGAATTGTTGAGATACTGCAAGTTATATTACCAAATTTTTAAAAATCCTACAGATAGTATTAGCTAAAGAAGGTTTTTTGGGGGGGGATAAGGTAATGTATTAAATAGTGTAGGACTGATTATACATATTATACATTCCCTACTTCAGCAAACCTTGAGTATAGAGTTTCTTTCAGTCAGACCTGAAATTAGGTCTCTCACTCATGTGGTTTCAATTAAGTTCTGTTATAAATAGCTCATAATATAAGCATTTTCATTTTTAGCACTTCAATAACTTCACTACTTTTTTGTTTTGTTGTTTGTTTTTGTTTTTCTCTACATTGCTTTAGAGAAAGATTTACTACTTTTAATCGTACTAGCGATAAACTTTGAAGAAAAAAAAACAATCAAAGGAAGTTACATTGTACCCTGGCATTGTCTTTCTTTTTTCCTTCTCAGACCTCTCAGGGATGAAGCCTCTTTATAAATAGCTAAAACCATCTATTTTAGTTTACAGTCTTCTAATACCAATGATTTGGTTCTTTATCTTTTAATATAAATACATATATTTAAGAAGCATATGGAATAATTTTTTTTCTTAACTGATTAAAAGTAAATGACAAGAACCTCAGTAGAATTTCAACATAGAGATATATCACAAATAACTGGAGAATTTTTAATTTTTAATTTCATATAATTTCAGGCAGACATTCTGCTTTATAGACTTTGACTTCACACTCCTGTCTTCAAAGTGGTGAAAATTCAGCCACAGCTGTTTTTTCATGCCATTTTTATTATGATATCTGGAGAAAAAAAAATAACAATAGATTACTTTGTATACAAGCAGGTGTCCAATACTTACTAATAACCAGTCTGCAGGGGAGAGAGCACTTAATGCCCAGGTCACTCTAGTTTCAGCCCATCAAGCCTTAGGAAACAAATCCAGAGGCCATTTAAAAAAAAAAAGGAATATTTGGCTCATCCCTTCTAGGACATGCTGAGGACATGTTCTCTTTGGAGAAGCAAGGAGATCTGCTCAATAACATTCTGGTGGAAAGCCCAGCAAAAATTGCTGTCAGTGGCCATCACAGAGCCTTTAACCCCAGCCTTGTAACCTGGAGCACTTGATCCAGTTGTGCTTTTCATGACCCTGTCCTCAGCCACCACCCAGGAAGTCGCCTCTCATATTCTCTTGCCCATCCTTCCTTTGCATTTTCCTAACCTTTATTACAGTTGAACCCAGGTTCCATCCCGAAGACAGGATTGATTCTGGGGCCTTTGCCCCCACATCTTGTGCCAAGAGATCCAGAGTGGAACCAGCTTTACCTAGTTAACACTGCCACTTTCATACTATCATATACCTCATCCTCTGGCCAAATCAGCCGATATCAATGGCTCTGAAATTTTGTTGCATCTAAAACTACCTAGGATTTTAAAATCCTGATATCTAGGCCATCTTCCATACCAATTAGATAAGGGACCCACATATCAGACAACCAGGAAGGTATGATGTGCAGCTAAGCTGAGAACCAGACACCTGTATCTTTGCTATTCAAAGTGGGGTCCATGGACCAGTTATGTCAGCATCACCTAAAAGGTTGTGAGAAATGTAGAATCAGCAGTCCCATTCTAAAAGTACTAAATCAAAGTCTCCATTTTAACAAGATCCTCAAGCAATTCACAAGTACATTAAAGTCTGGGAAGTGCTGGCTATACCTACTACTCTCTACTCCTCCCTGTTTACTGACCTCAGACACTGCTCGCTCATTAAAGACTTTGCAAAATGGTTCACAGTCATCCTCTCCACATGAACTTCTGGGTAACTTCCCAAATGGGTAATCAGCCCACCCAACTATCTTATCTCACCTACCCTTCAAATTCTCAGTCTTCAAATACACATCCAAGGCCATGACCTATATTCTCCCTCACCATCACCTACAGTGCATCATTTCTGATGCTTTACAATACTAGAGACCCAAAAGTCATCTCTAACTACCATTCTTTCTTACTACGCTGCACCAGTACCTATGTTAGTCACTAAGCCCTGTCAATTATACCAATAAAAAATTTCTAGTTTAAACTGGTTCTCCTAAATCCTACAAAAATCCTAAATCAGATCCCTGAGGCGATTACTTGGGAATCTGCATTATTTATAAGTTCCTCTGGTGGCCTGAGCACCACATTTTGAGATACACTAGCTCAGATACTTATTTTTTCAACTTTGCTCACTGGAACTTTTGCAAAACTCCCACTTGGCCTTTTTGTTTCTAGGGTCATTTCTTTTTCTCAAATCACCCCTATACTTCCTGTGAGAATGAGCAAGTAAAAAGTAAATTTGGGCCAAGTGTGGTGTCTCATGCTTGTAATCCCAGCACTCTGGGAGGCCAAGGTGAGCAGATTGCTTGAGCCCAGGAGTACGAGATCAGCCTGGGCATCATGGTGAAACCCAGTCTCTACAAAATACATAAAGATTAGGTAGGCATGGTAGCACCTGCCTGTAGTCCTAGCTACGTGGCAGAATCGCTGGAGCCTGGAAGGTCGAGGCTACAGTGAGCTGTGATCACACCACTGCACTCCAGCATGGGCGACAGAGCAACACTCTGTCTCAAACAAACAAAAACAAAAACACATATATACCTCTATTGGGCTTGTTTTACATATCTGACTTCCTCTATGAGACTATAAACTTTATAAAGACAACTATGTCTTTATCTCAATATCACCAGCAACTATTTCTAGCATATGATATCCAGACTCAATAAATGTTTGCTGAATGAGTGAACCAAATAACTGGAGAACTTCATCTTTTCATTCTATAACCATATGACACTAAAACAACAGACTTAAAAGGCCTCCACGATGGCAAACTAGTTGGATTTCTTTATCCCCAAGGCACTGGCTGGCATACTTCATCTCTTTATTTTCACTAGAACAATGGTTCTGTGTCAAAGACTATACACACTTACCTGACATATTCTTTACATGAGGTGGCATAACCCAATTTACCATCAATGACGCTAACCAGTCAGCATATTTTAGGCTTTTTGCAATTTGATAAAAACCAAAGAACAGGCTGGGTGCGGTGGCTCACGCCTGTAATCCCAGCACTTTGGGAGGCTGAGGCAGGTGGATCACGAGGTCAGGAGATCAAGACATTCCTGGACAACAGATGAAACCCTGTCTCTACTAAAAATACAAAAATTAGCTGGGCGTGGTGGTACGTGCCTGTAATCCCAGCTACTCGGGAGGCTGAGGCAGGAGAATCGCCTGAACCAGGGAGTCGGAGGTTGCAGTGAGCTGCCACTGCACTCCAGCCTGGCAACAGAGTGAGACTCTGTCTCAAAAAACAAGCAAACAAACGAACAAAAAAAAAAAAACAAACAAAACCAAAGAACAGTTTTCAAAAGGGAGATGAAGAAAGCTAAACTTGAGAAATTAACCTAACCTATAGAAACAAATAATTATTGCATAATGAGTGATTATTATATGTCACACTCTTTACAAAGATTATCTCTAGTCCTCACAACAATTCTTTGAGGTAAGAACTACTATTTTACCAATTTTACAGATAGGAGGCTAAAATTCAGAAAGTTTAAGGAATGTGCTTATGTAACAGTTAGGATTTGAACTTAGGGATGTCCTATTCTTAAGTGATTTGTACTACCATCTTTCGGATACTCGAATAAATATGTTTCCACTTCATTTGTCATATATCTGTGTGATACTTCTGCCTGCTATTATTATCTAGAAAATCAAATTTCTCACTAAAGATAACATATGCATCCAGTTAAAGGCCGTGATTCTACAGTACTAGACTGAGATATGAATTCATAACACATAATTTATCGTCTCTTCTGGAGCTCAAAATAGAATAAAAAAAAATCTTAAAATTTACTATAAGGATAGCTGCAGGTTTTGTCTGATTAGCCAAAAGGTATTATTAGACTTCTCTAACACCTCAAAGTTAAAAGTGTCCTCTCTTGGGTTCCTACAGTGTCTTGTTCTAGTTCTGATTCTACAAGTAATAAGCTCTGTGCATTTGGGCAAGTCACTTAACCTGGCCAGGTCATTTTTGTTATATGTAAGATGAGTAAAATAGACTAATGAAATGGTTCTCAAATGTTTGTGCTTACTGGAATCACTTTCAAAATGCAGGTTCCTGTGCCATCTCTAGAGACTGAAGTTTACCAGGTCTGTAGTTATTCTGGTGAGGTAGTCAGAAGGACCATGCATTGAGAAAGCTTAGACTAGATGTTTTCTACAGCCTCCTTTATCTGGCTGTCACTATTCCAACGACTTACCCACACCACCTCCTCTATCACATCTCTTTGGTTCACTTTCACCATTGTTTTTTATTTAATCAGCATAGTGCCAGTTATTAATGAACAAAAATCATACTGATCACAGTCCTAGACTGAAATTCAAAAGTGAATTTCACCCTGTAGTCCTGATTAGATTACTGCCAAAATAGCTAAAACTTTAAATGCCAGGACTAAAAATAGGCTGCTGCATGTTTAAAATAACATGATCACTAGTTAGCTTGGTGCTTTGCTATTTTTACTAAAGGAAAGAGAGAAGTGGCCAGAGGTTGAAAGGGAAACAGGAGGCAGCTGTTACGGTGAGAGCCTAGAAAGAGGCCAGGAGATGGCACCGTTAGTTCATTAGTTCAACATTAATGGGGAGGGGAATTAAGGGCAGTTATCTCTGTAAATTAAACTAAAAAACTTCAGTCTGAACACTCAAAAGAACCTCCCAGACACACTTTGGTTTTGATTTGTTGCATACTTAAGTCCAGAATTTTAACAATATCTAACGTCAGAAACTAATATGACAGGCCAAAAAGATCAAATTAAGAGTGTTGCTAGTGTTATTTGTAAACTTTTTCTTTTCTTTTTTTTTTTTTTAATTTTTTATTTTTGAGACGGAGTCTCACTCTGTCATCCAGGCTGGTATGCAGTGGTGCAATCTCGGCTCACTGCAACCTCTGCCTCCTGGCACCTGCAACCATGCCCAGCTAATTTTTGTATTTTTAGTAGAGACAGGGTTTCGCCATGTTGGCTAGGCTGTTCTCGAACTCCTGACCTCAGGTAATCCGCCCACCTCGGCCTCCCAACGTGCTGGGATTACAGGCATGAGCCATCATGCCTAGCCAACTTCTTCTTTTTTTTTTTGAGATGCAGTCTCACTCTCGCCCAGGCTGGAGTGCAGTGGCACGATCTCGGCTCACTGCCAGCTCTGCCTCCCGGGTTCATGCCATCCTCCTGCCTCAGCCTCCTGAATAGCTGGGCCTACAGGTGCCCATCACCACGCCCAGCTAATTTTTTGTAGTTTTAGTAGAGATGGGGTTTCACCGTGTTAGCCAGGATGGTCTCGATCTCCTGACCCGCCTGGGCCTCCCAAAGTGCTCGGATTACAGGCCTAAGCCACTGCGCCCAGCCCGGCCAACTTCTTCTTAAAGTATAACAAATACACAGAAATGTACACATATGTACAGCTTGATAGGTTTTCACAAACACAACATACCTGTGTAAACAGCACTGACATAAGGAAACACAACATTATCGGCACCCTAGAATTCCCCCTTGTAATCCCTTCCAAGTAATGCCCCCACTCCAACAAGGGCATCCACTATCGTGATTTCCATTATAGTTTAGTTTTGCCAAGTTTTATACTGTATGTAGATAATATTAAATATACTCTACTGGGTCTGGCACCCTTTGTTAAACGCATCATTATGTTTGTAATTTTGTATATAACATGTAATATGTAACAGTTGCATATAACTTTATATTGTTGATTTTCACTGCTATATAGCACTTGAATGAATGAATATACCATAGTTGATCCATTTTACTTAATGGGCATTTGGATAGTTTCCAGCTTGAGGCTATCATGAACACTGATGCTATTAATATTCTAGTAGATATTTTTTGGTGACACATATATACATTACAGTTGGGTATATTCCTACAATGAAATTGGTAGGTCTCCAAAGGCCTTCCACCTTTGTAATTTCCAGGGGTCAAGTAGTATGAGGGACATCCCTATTAAGGCGAAGAATTAGGTATTGCATCTGGCACCTCCTATAACCAAAAGGCAGACACAATGCCTAGTCAGCTTTTTTGGATGTTGGAGTTAACATATTTCTCATTTAGGTGTGCCACTCCAGCCCACTCACTGAGTGACCTAAAAAGCTGCTAGATTTGAAGGGAGGCCCAGAACAAGAGAATCATCTGCAATAGGTCGAGGTTGCTGTGGAGCTGCTCTGAAAATTGTGCCAAATGATCCAGCAGATCCAACGGTGCTTGTAGTGTTAGTGGCAGATAGAAACGCTGCTTGGAGCCTTTGGCAGGTCCCTGCAGGTGACTCCCAGGGTGAACCTTTAGGATTTTGGAGTGAAGTCCTTCCATCCTCAGTGGAAAACTACTCTTTTGAGAAACAGCTTTTGGCTTATTGCCAAATTTTAGTAGCAACTAAGCACTTAATCATAGGCCATCAAGTTACCATGTGACCCACACTGCCTATCATGAACTATGTGCTGTCTGACCTACCAAGTCATAAATTTGGTGTTAATGGCAGCACTCCATTATCAAATGGAAGTGGTTTATGTAAAATTGAGCTTGAGCAGGCCCTGAAGTCATAAGTAAGTAACATGAGGAAGTGACCCAAATGTCCATGGCCCCCACCCTGGCTACATTACCTTTTTTCTCACTGCCTGCTCTGAAGATGACATGAGGAGTTCTCTACAATCAGTTGACTGAGGAAGAGAAAACTCATATTTGATTTACAAATGGTTCTCTATGATATGCAGGTACTGCCTTAAAGTCGACAGTTAGAGCACCTACAATTTCTTTCTGGGACATCCCTAAAGGAAATTGGTGAAGATAAGTCCTCCCAGTGGGCAGAACTGAGAGGAGTGCACCCGGTTGTGTGCTTTGTTGAAAGGAGAAATAACCAGATATTTAACTATATTCTTTTTTTTTTTTTTTGAGACAGAGTCTTGCTTTGTCACCCAGGCTGGAGTGCAGTGGCATGATCTTGGCTCACTGAAAGCTCCGCCTCCCGGGTTCACGCCATTCTCCTGCCTCAGCCTCCTGAGTAGCTGGGACTACAGGCACCCGCCACCATGCCCGGCTAATTTTTTTGTATTTTTAGTAGAGACGGGGTTTCACTGTGTTAGCCAGGACGGTCTCGATCTCCTGATCTCATGATCCGCCCGCCTCAGCCTCCCGAAGTACTGGGATTACAGGCTTGAGCCACCGTGCCCAGCCGATCTTTAACTGTATTCTAGAGTGGTAGCCAATGATTTGGCTGTATGGTCAGGGACTTGGAAAGAACATTGTATTAGTCAGGGTTCTCTGAAGGACAGAACTAATACAATATATATACATAAAAGGGAGTTTATTAAGGAGTATTAACTCACATGATCGCAGAGTCCCACAATAGGCCATCTGCAAGCTCAGGAGCAAGGAAGCCAGTCCGAGTCCCAAAGCTGAAAAACTTGGAGTTCGATGTTAGAGGGCAGGAAGCATCCAGCATCAGAGAAAGATGTAGGTTGGGAGGCTAAACCAGTCTAATCTTTTCACATTCTTCTGCTTGCTTTTATTCTGGCATGCTGGTAGCTGATTAGATAGATGATGCCCACCAAATTGAGGGTGAGTCTGCCTCTCCCAGTCCACTGACTCAAATGTTAATCTCCTTTGGCAATACCCTCACAGACACACACAGGAACAATACTTTGCATCCTTTAATTCAATCAAGTTGACACTCAGTAATCCATCACAAGTGGACTGAAAAATTTGAAAGGAGGCATTGGACAGATCTTTTTTTTTTTTTTTTGAGACAGGATCTCACTCTATTGCTCAGGCTGCAGTGCAGTGGCGTGATTACAGCTTACTGCAGCTTCCACCTCCTCGGGCTCAGGTGATCCTCCCACCTCAGCCTCCCAAGTAGCTGGAACTACAGGAGTGCACCACCACACCTGGCTAATTTCTGTATTTTTTTGAAGAGATGGTTTCACAATGTTGCCCAGGCTGGTCTCAAACTCTTGGGCTCAAGCGATCCACTCGCCTCAACCTCCCAAAGCGGTGGGATTACAGGCATGAGCCATCACACCCACCCAGGACAGACCTCTCTCAATGGGAAAAAAAAGAAAAGAAGAAAAGAAAAGAAGGATGTATGCCATAAAATTCTCACCAAAGGTGATCTTAGCAGAGGAGGATTTTAATAATGAAGTGAATATAGGATAATCAAGTCTGTGGAAACCAGTCAGTCTCTATTCCAGCCACCTCTGTCAGAACAGGGCTGGGGAAAGAGGCTAACTGGTATCCTCTTTGTTCATGGCTCATGAACAAAGTGGCCACAGTGGCAAGAATGGAGGTCATACATAGGCTCAGCAATATGGATTTCCACTATCCAAGGCCAACCTGGATGCCACTGCTGAGGGCCCAACCAGTCAGCAGCAGACAACAACACTGACTCCAAGTATGGCACTATTCCTCTGGGTGCTCAGTCAGCTTTGTAGTTGATTACATTGAACTACTTCCATCATGGAAGGGGTAGCATTTTGTTCTTACTAGAACAGACCCTCGATACAGATTTGCCTTCCTCATACAAAATTCTGCCAAAATTGTCATCCATGGTCTCATGGAATGCTTTACCCATTGTCATATTCCATACAACATTGCTTCTGATCAAGGAACTCACGTCACAGCAAAAGAATTTCAGTATGAGTCATTGCTCCTGGAATTCACTGGTCTATGTTCCTTATCATGCTAAAGAAGCTGGCCTAATAGGATGATGGGATGGCCTTTTGAAGATTCAGTTATAGCACCAGCTAGGTGGCAATAACTTGCAGGGAGGGCAGAGTTCTCCAGAGGGCTATATATATGCTCTGAATCAGCATCCAATAAATGGTACTTTTTTTCCCTCCATAGCCAGGAATCAAGGGGTAGAAACAAAAGTGGCACCATGCATTATTAACCCTGGTGACCCACTAGCAAAATTTATTCTTCCTGTTCTCATAATTTTATGCCCCACTGGCTTAGAGGTCTTAGTTCCAAAGGGAGAAATTCCTCCACAGGAGACTAATTCTATTAAACTGGAAGTTAAGACTGCCCCCAGTCACTTTGGAGTCAATAGGCTAAGAAGCGACTTACGGTGTTGACTGGGGCGACTGATCCGGACTACCAAGGAGAATCTGAACTACTACTCCACAATGGTGGTAAGGAAGAATATGTCTGGAACACAGGAGATCTCTTAGGGTATCTGTTAATTTTATCATACCCTGTGATTAACGTTAATGGAAAACTACAACAACCCAATCCATGCAGGACTGCTAATGGCCCAGACCCATCAGAAATAAAGTTTGTGTCACCCACCAGGTAAAGAACCATGACCATCTGAAGTGCCTGCTGAAGGCAGAAGGAATATGGCATGGGTAATAGAAGAAGGTGGTTATAAATACCTGTTACGATCACCTGATTAGTTAGGCAAGTATCTTTGTTTTCTTCTCTCTCTTATCCCTTTATCATATGATGTACAATGTATTAATAATAGTTAACTTTATATCACAGTTTTTAAGTTACAGGATAGCAAGAAGAAGGGTGAACATTGCCCGAAACTTTGTATCCTCTTCTGGGGAAAGGGTTAGCACATTTTCAGTTTTATGCAGGAGAGTTGTAGCATGTTAGGCAAAAGTATGACTTTATTATTGTCTTTATCTGGAGATTAAATTATGGTTTAAGGAGATGCAAATGGATGCATAGTTGATAAGGAATGCGCTGTGATGGTTAGTTGTGTGTGACAACTTGCCTAGGATATATTACACAATTATTCAGTTCAATACTAATCTAAGCGTTGCTGTGAAGGTATTTTGTAGATGTGGTTAATATCTACAATAAACTTTATATAAACTTCAAGGAGATTATCCCTGATAATATAGGTAGGCCTCATTCAATCAGTTGAAAGGCCTTAAGAGCAAAACTGAAGTTTATCTGAACAAAAAGAAATCTATCTGTAGACTGCATCATTGGCTCCTGCCCAAGAGTTTCCAGCCTGCCATACAGTTTGCAAACTTGCCCAGCTATACTTCTACAGCTCCATAACTGTATAAGTCAATTCCTTGTTTTATTCTCTCCGGAATGGTAATTTGCATACGTTAGGCCTTATTCTATCCTCTATAACTTTCAACCTCTCTTTAATGTTTTCCATATATATAAAATTGGCTTTTTCTTTTGTAGGATCCTGACAAATACAGGATCTTGCTATTCCCTACCACTATGCTGATGTTATCAGAGATAGAGATAGAAAGAAGTCAATTATGTGCTTTCTCCTTGAAAACTTCATAACCTAAGGAATATGAAATATGAAAAGTCAGCACTGTAAATTAGGTTGGGTAGCAATATATTATTGTGATGGTCAATTTTAGATATCAATTTGGCTGGAATAAGGGATACTCAGAAAGCTGGTAAAGCATTATTTCTGAGTAGATCTGTTTCTGTGAGGATGTTTCCAGAAGAGACTGGCATTTGAATCAGTGGACTGAATAAAGAAAATCTGCCCTCACCCAAAGTGGTCAGGCACCATCCAACTGGTTGAGGACCAGAATAGAAAAGGCGGAGGAAAGGCAGATTTACTCTCTCTTCTGGAGCGAGGACATCCATTTTCTCTTGTCCTTGGACCTTAGAACTCCAGGTTCCTTAGCCTATGGATTCTGGGAGTTGCATAAACACTCCCCAAGTTCTAAGTCCCTTGGACTTGGACTTAGTGATGCCACTGGCTTCTCTGGTTCTCCAGCTGGCAGATGGCATATCATGGAACTTTTCAGCCTCCATAACCACATTAGCCAATTTTCATTAAAAATCCCCCTCACTGGCCGGGCACGGTGGCTCACGCCTGTAATCCCAACACTTTGAGAGGCCAAGGCAGGCAGATCACAAGGTCACGAGATCGAGACCATCCTGGCTAACACGATGAAACCCCATCTCTACTGAAAATACAAAAAAAAAAATTAGCCGGGCGTGGTGGCGGGTGCCTGTAGTCCCAGCTACTCGGGAGGCTGAGGCTGGAATATGGTGTGAACCTGGGAGACGGAGCTTGCAGTGAACTGAGATTGCGCCACTGCACTCCAGCCTGGGTGACAGAGCGAGAATCTGTCAAAAAAAAAAAAAATCCCCTCTCATATATCTCTATCTCCTTTAGGTTCTGTTTTTCTGGAGAACCCTGACAAATACAATTATTAAGTATCAAATGAGTAGCACTGAATTGAGTATTCAAGGAACTTATAAAAAAGGGATCTCTATAGACTTAGAGAATGCTCAGGGCAGGTACTGTGGAGGAAATAAGTACAAGAATTAAGAGTGGACATCTTGGTTGAATTGAAGCTGTACATATCTAACTAAATTTCAATTGCTTCATTGGCTATTTACTCATAAAAATTCCAAAGTGCCACTGAGTAATTAGACATTCTGGCTGAAGCATAGTGAGGGGAGATGTTAAGCCTTCTAAACTCAAAAAACCAAAGAAAAAACAAAACAAAACAAAAAAACACTGCATTTGGAGTTAGAAAGCTTAAAAGATTGAATTCCTCTCTACCACTTGAAGAAGTATGATCTTGGACAAATTCCTTACTACTTTAAATCTCAGAGTCTTAATATGTAAAATGGGAATAACAGTACACATCTATTATAAAGTCGTAATGAAATATAAGGTTCTTAGCACAGTGCCTTTCACAGAGGAAGTACTCAACCAATATGAGGTGAATGCAAAAACATCTCCACATCTCTAAAAATAATGCTACTAAAATTGAAACCAAAACAATACTAAATTTCACATAATTATAAGAGAAAGTATCCTGGATAAATATATTTTACATTAGTGCCATACGCTAATTTTTCAAAAGATAAAGTATCTGTCTTTCAAAAAATTATTTTACTCTGGTTCTTGTTCTGAAATCTGACCAGACTTTATTTTTTTTAATGAAGAGACAGGGTCTCTCTCTGTCACTCAGGCTGGAGTGCAGTGACCTGATGATAGCTCACCATAACCTTGAACTCCTAGGCTCTACTGATCCTCCTGCCTGAGCTATCCAAAGTGCTGGGATTATAGGCATGAGCCACTGAGTCCACCCCTGACCAGGCTTTTATAATTTTACCATTTCCACTTTCTGCAAGAACTCTTAGAATACAATTTATAATTGAATTTCCTGTGTACATAAGGCATTTTTAATGAAAAAAATGTTTTATATCATCCAAAAAGTATGCTCTGCATTCATACTACAGTACCTTGAGGGGTATCCTTAGGAAGAGAATATTTCTTCTTCTTTACAATAACACCTTTATTTTTCACTTGTCTAGTTCCTGGTGATGTTCTAATAATACAACATATTTCTGATGCATTTGCAGGAAACTGGAAAAGAAAAAAAGCAGATATTGCATAATTCCTCCAAATACTACATTTGTATGTTGCTTTATTTCAAATGCAACTAGTCTTAATATCTGTATTTCTTAGATATTAATAACAGCAAGCATTTATTAAATGCTTACTCCACTCCTAACAGTAATTGGTTTTAAAACATATGTTCATTTAATATTCACAAGAACCAAGCAAGGCAGATTATATTATCTCCATTTTATAAATGAGAAAACAGTTTCAGAGAGATTGACTTACTTAAGGATAGGGAGTAAGTAATGGTAGAGCTGAGATTCAAGCATGCTGAAGTGGGAGAGAAAGTTTGCATGATTTATTGAGTTAAAATCCAAATTTAAATTTAACTGAGTTAAACACTAAATTCCTTGATTTTTTACCTCAGGTAATGTTGACAATTTCCCATCAGGCAGATAGTCTCCAGAATAAAAAAATACCGGCTGGGCACGGTGGCTCACGCCTGTAATTCCAATACCCTGGGAGGCCAATGCAGGAGGATTCCTTGAGGCAGAGGCAGAGGTGGAGGAAGAGGCAGAGGGGGAGGGAGAGGGGGAGGGAGAGGAGGAGGGACAGGGGGAGGGAGGGGGAGGGGGGAAAGGACGGAAAGCAATGCCATGTCTTTCAGAAGTGACATATCTTGTTTTTTAGAATTAAGAAGCAGAGATGTATTTATCCAGGGCTTCTGTTATTTTAAATAAAGTCTATATAGAAACTTCCTTTTTTTTTTTTTTTTCTTGAGACAGGGTCTCATTCTGTTGCCCGGGCTGGAGTGCAGTGGTGTGATCTCGGCTCAAAGCAACCTCTGCCTCCCACGTTCAAGTGATTTTCATACCTCAGACTCTCAAGTAGCTGAAACTATAGGCATGCACCACTACATCCAGCTATTTTTTTTTTTTTTTTTTTTTTTTTTTTGAGACGGAGTCTCGCTCTGTCGCCCAGGCTGGAGTGCAGTGGCGGGATCTCGGCTCACTGCAAGCTCCGCCTCCCGGGTTCACGCCATTCTCCTGCCTCAGCCTCCCAAGTAGCTGGGACTACAGGCGCCCGCCACTACGCCCGGCTAATTTTTTGTATTTTTAGTAGAGACGGGGTTTCACCGTTTTAGCCGGGATGGTCTCGATCTCCTGACCTCGTGATCCGCCCGCCTCGGCCTCCCAAAGTGCTGGGATTACAGGCGTGAGCCACCGCGCCCGGCCTTTTTTTTTTTTTTTGAGATGGAGTCTCACTCTGTTGCCCAGGCTGGAGTACAGTCGTGTGTTCTCAGCTCACTGCAACCTCTGCCTCCCAGGTCCAAGTGATTCTCCTGCCTCAGCCTCCTGAGTAGATGGGATTACAGGTGTGTGCCACCACGCCTGGTTAATTTTTTTGTATTTTTAGTAGAGACAGGGTTTCAGCATGTTGGCCAGACTGGTCTCGAACTCCTGACCTCAGATGATCACCTCAGGTGATCTGCCTGCCTCAGCCTCCCAAAGTGCTGGGATTACAGATGTGAACCACCGTGCCTGGCTGATAAATGATCTTTCAAATGTATTGTTGAATTTGGTTTGCTACTATTTCATTCAGGATTTTTCCATCAATATTCATCAGAGATACTGGTTTATAATTTTGTTTTTTTGATGTGTCTTTCTCTGGTTTTGGTATCAGGGTAATTCTGGCCTCACAGAATGAATTTGGAAGTATTCCCTCCTCCATTTTTCAGAACAGTTTGAGTAGGATTGGTATTAGTTCTTCTTCAAATGTTTGGTAGAATTCAGTAGCAAAGCCATGAGGTCCTGCGCTTTTCTTTACTGGGAGACTATTATGGCTTCGGTCACATTACTTGTATTGGTCTATACAGGTTTTTGATTGATGGTTCAATCTTTGTAGGTTCTATGTGTCTAGAAATTTATCAATTTCTTCTAAATTTTCCAAATTATTGGCATATAGTTGCTCATAGTGGACACTAATGATCCTTTGAATTTCTGTAGTATTCATTGTAATGTTCCTTCTTCATCTCTGATTTTATTTACTTGGGTCTTCTTTTTTTCTTAGTCTGGCTAATGATTTGTCAACTTTGTTTATCTTTTCAAAATACCAACTTTTTGTTTTGTTGATCTTTTGTATGTTTCTTCAAATTCACTTATTTCTGTGCTGATCTTTATTATTTCTTTTCTTCTACTAATTTTGGGTTTGCTTTGCTCCTGCTTTTTCTAATTCTTTAAGATGCGTCATTAGATTGCTTATTTGAAGTTTTTCCTCTTTTCTGATGTAGGCACTTACAGATCTAAATTTCCATTAGTACTGCTTTTGCTGTATCCCATAGGTCTTGGAATGTTATGTCTCCATTATTATTTGTTTCAATAATATTTTCAATTTCCTTCTTAATTTTTCATTGGCCACTGGTCATTTAGGAGCACACTGTTTAAATTCCAGGTGTTTGTATAGTTTCCAAAATTCCTCATTATTGATTTTAAGTTTTACTCCATTGTGGTCAGGGTAGATGCTTGACATTGTTTCAATGTTTTGAGTGTTTTAAGACTCATTTTGTGACCCAACACATGGCCTGTCCTTTGAGAATGATTCATGCGTTGAGGAGAAAAATGTGTATTCTGAAGCCACTGGATAAAATGTTCTATAAATATCTATTAGGTCCATTTGTTCTACAGTGCAGATTAAGTCTGATGTTTCTTTGTTGATTTTCTGTCTGGGAGATCTGTCCAATGCTGAAAATGGGCTCTTTAAGTCTCTAGCTATTGTTATATTGAGGTCTGCCTTTTTTTTTTTTTTTTTTTTTTTTTTGCGAGACAAGATTTACTCTTTTGCTTTTGCCCAGGGTGGAATGCAGTGGTCCAAACACAGCTCACCGCAGCCTTAACCTCCTGGGATCAAGCAATCCTTCCACTTCAGCCTTATGTATAGCTGGTGCCACTATGCCTGGCTTTTTTTTTGGAGACATGGGGTCTCACTTTGTTACCCAGGCTGGTCTCAAACTCCTGGGCTCAAGTGATCCTCCCACTTTGGCCTCCCAAAGTGCTAGGATTACAGACATGAGCCACCACACCCAGCCTCTCTCTTTAGCTCTACTAATATTTGCTTTATATATCTGGGTGCTCCAGTGTTAGGTGCACATGTATTCACAATCATTATATGCTCTTACTGAACTGACCCCTTTATCTTTATGTAATAACCTGCTTTGTCTTTTCTTAGTTCTTGCCTTTAAATCTGTTTTGTCTAAGTACAGCTACTGCTTCTTTTTGGTTTCTATTGGGATAAAATATCTTTTTCCAGCCCTTTATTTTCATTTTGTGTGTATCTTTATAGCTGAAGTGTGCTTCCTGTAGGCAACAGATCATTGGGTCTTGTTTTCTTTTTTTTAATCCATTCAGCCACTCTATGTTTTTTCATTGGAGAGTTTAGTCCATTTACATTCAATGTTGTTATTGACAGTTAGGGACTTACTGCTGCCATTTTATTATTTTTTTTTCTGGTTGACTGACGGTCTTCTCTTTCTTCTTTCCTTCCTTTCTGTTTTCCTTTTAGTGAAGATGATTTGCTCTTGCAGTACACTTCAATTTCTTGCTTTTTATTTTTTGTGTATCTGTTGTATATTTTTTGATTTGAGGTTACCATGAGGCTTGCAAATATTATAACTAATTATTTTAAACTGATGACAACTTAACACTGCTTTCATAAACATTCAAAAATAATATTAAAACTCTATAACTTTGTCCTCTTGCTTTTTAACTTTTTGTTTTTTCTCTTTATGTCTTATTGTACTGTCTATGTCTTGAAAAGTTGTAGTTATGATTTACTGGTTCACTGTTTAGTGTTTCTACTTAACTCAAGAGAAGTTTACACACTGTGATAACAATGTTATACTATTCTGTTTTTCTCTGTGCTTACAGTTACCAGTGAGTTTTCTACCTTTAGGTGATTTCTTATTGTTTATTAACATCCTTTTCTTTCAGAATGAAGAAATCCCTTTAGCATTTCCTATAGGACAAGCCGGGTGTTGATGAAATCCCTCAGCTTTTATTTGTGTATGGAGATCTCTATTTCTCCTTCATGCTTAAAGGATTTTTTTTTTTTTTTTTTTTGCCAGATATACTATTCTAGGGTAAAAGTTGTTTTCCTTCAGCACTTTAAATATGTCATGCCACTCTCTCCTGGCCTGTAAGGTTTCTACTGTAAAGTCTGCTGACAGACGTATTACAGCCCCATTTTACGTTGTTTCTTTTTTTCTTGCTGCTTTTAGGATCTTTTCTCTATCCTTGACCTTTCAGAGTTTGATTATTAAATGCCTTGAGGTAGTCTTCGGATTAAATCTGCTTGGTGCTCTACAAACTTCTTGTCCTTGGATATTCATATTTTTCTCTATGATTGGGAAGTTCTCTGTTATTATCCCTTTAAATAAACTTTCTACCCTATCTCTTTCTCTACCTCCTCTTTAAGACCAATAACTCTTGGGTTTGCCCTTTTGAAGATATTTTCTAGATTTCATAGGTGTGCTTCATTCTTTATTCTTTCTTCTTTTGTCTCCTCTCTGTCTTTTCAAATAGCCAGTCTTAAGCTCACTAATTCTTTCTTCTGCTTGATCAGTTCTGCTGTTAAGAGACTCTGATGCATTCTTAAGTATGCCAAATTGCAGTTTTCAACTCCAGGATTTCTGCTTGATTCTTTTGAAGTATTTGAATGCCTTTGTCTAATTTATCTGATAGAATTCTAAATTCCTTCTCTATGTTATCTTGAATTTCATTGAATTTCCTCAAAACAACTATTTTGAATTCTCTGTCTGAAAGGACATATATCTCTGTTCTCCAGGATTGGTCCCTGGTGCCTTATTTAGATCTGGTGGGGTCATGTTCTCCTGGATGATGCTGGTGCTTATAGATGTTCATCAATGTATGGGCATTCAAGAATTAGGTATTTATTGTAGTCTTTACAGTCTGGATTTGTTTATGCCTGTCCTTCTTGGGAAGGCTTCTTAAGTATTCCAAGGGACTTGGGCCCCAAGCCAAGTAACACTGGTCTTTGCAGACTTGTAGCAGTACCACCTTGGTAGTACCACCTTGGTAGTGTTGGATAAGATATGGAAAAATTATCTGGATTCCTAGGCAGAGACTTCTGTTCTTTTCCCTTACTTTCTCCTAAACAAATGGAATCTCTATCTCTCTTTGCTGAGCCACCTGGAACTGAGGGTATGGTGATCCAAGCACCCCTGTGACCACCACCAATGGGACTAAGCTGGGTCAGACCTGAAGCCAGCACAGCATTAGACCTTGCCCATGGCCTTTCCCTCCAGTGTGGTGAGTTCCCTCAGGCCCCAGGCTCTCAAGGATGAACAAGCAACCAAAAACTATCAGGAATAAAATGCAGGCCAGGCGTGGTGGCTCACACTTGTAATCCCAGCACTTTGGGAGGCCAAAGTGGGAGGATCACTTGAGGCCAGGAGTTCAAGACCAGCCTAGGCAGCATAGTGAGACCTGGCTCTAAAAAAAAAAAAAATAGAAAACTTAGCCAGGTGTGGTGGTCCACACCTGCAGCCATAGCTACTCAGGAGGCTGAGAGAGGAGAATCACTTGAGCCCAAGAGTTGAAGGTTACTGTGAGATATAATCCCACTGCTACACTCCAGCCTAAGTAACAGAGAGAGACATCCTGTCTTAAAACAAAACAAAACAAAAAAACAAAACAATAACCAGGAATGGAAAGAAGATTTGAAAAAGAACCAGAATTTCTTGAAATGAAAAAGTTTTTGAAATAAAAAATTCAGCGAAAGGCTTAAGAAGCAGAATAGATAGATAAAGAAAGAATTAGTAAGGAAATTGCCCAGACTATAACAAATAAATGAAAAATATTGAACAGAGGTTCAACGATATGGAGGATAGAATGCAACCTAACATATAACTACCATTCCAGAGAGAATATAATAAATAATAGCTGAAAATTTTCCCAAATTAATGAAAGACATGAATCCACAGATTTAGGAAGCCCAATCCCAAGAAAAATTAGAATATACAAAGAACAGCAAACAAAATTAATAATCAAGCCAGGTGCAGTGGCTTACACCTGTAAACCCAGTACTTTGAGAGGCTGAGGTGAGAGGATCACTTGAGTCCAGGAGTTCAAAGCCAAGCTGGGTAATATAGGGAGACTTCATTTTACTGAAAAAAAAAGAAGAAGAAGAAGAAGAAGAAGCTGGGCATGGTGGCATGCATCTGTAGTCCCAGCCACTCAAGAGGCTAAGGTGGGAGGATCACTTTAACCCAGGAGGTCAAGGATACGGTGATCCATGATCTTACCACTGCACTCCAGCCTGGGTGACAGAGTGAGACCCTGTCTTAAAATAATAATCATCATCATCCACTTATGTACACATTCCAGTAAAATTATAGCACACCCCAAACAAAGAGACCTTAACAAAATCCAGAAAGAAAAGATATATGTGTCAGGCCCCAAGACCACTCTCAGGTTCAGTGATTTGCTAGGACTCATAGGATTCAGAAAAGCTGTTATACTCAGGGTTACAGTTTATTACAGCAAAAGGATACAGATTAAAATTGGCAAAGGGAAAAGACATAGGGCCAAAACAAGGAGCAGTTGTCCTCCAGTGGAGTCACATGGTCAGCACTTAATTCTCCCATGTGCAAAGCGGAAGCTCAGTGAGGCTTGAGGTCAGGGTTTCTATTTGGGGTCAGTCACACAGGCATGTAGTTCCTTCATGACAGACCTCAGCTACTCAGCCCCCAGAGGTCAAACAGACACAGTGTGGACCAAAACCTCCGGCATCAAAAACAAGTATTTACCATAAACCACATTGTTTGCATAAACTATCTGGCAAGGCCCAAGACCTCAGGCATACAGACATTCCTAAGAAGCAGAATACTCCAAGGACTCAGAGGTTATCTCCCAGGAGCCTGGCCACAGGACAGTCCTAAGGACCTTGGGAATGTGCAAGCCTGCTGAGTTAACCCTTTCCTGCATACATACAAGGCAATGACAATTATACTATTAGGACAACTGTAACTGCCACATGTAAGTCAAAAGACAGTGGAATGATACCATCAAAGAGCAGAGAGAAAATGACTGTCAACTTAGAAATGTGTACCAAGAAAAACTATCTTTCAAGAATAAAGGCAAATTAAAGGCATTTTTTAAAAACTAACACAATCTACCACCAAAGACCTTCACTAAATAACCTAATCTAAATGGTGAATTTTTCTTGTTTTCTTTTTTTTTTTTTTTTTTTTACTAGAGATGGGATCTCGCTATATTGCTCAGGCTGGTCTTGGACTCCTGGCCTCAAGCAATCCTCCCACCTTGGCCTCCCAAAGTGCTGGCATTATAGGCATGAGTCACTGCGCCTGGCCTAAATGGTGAATTTCAAAATGAAGAAAAATGATCTGAGACGGTTGTCCTAAGAGGCAAGAATAAAAGGTTATTAAATTTAAATATATGTAATATAAACAAACATTGTCTAAATAATAGCAATAATGCTGATTATTATAATTTGGGGTGAAAGAAAAGACAGAACCAAAATACTGTAAAACAAAAATATGTAAGTTGGGAGTGGACGATTGAACTTAAAAGTACTGTAAGGTCCTTATATTTTTTGCCAACAAAGTTGAGTTATTGTTCATTTTTAGACATTACTAACTTAAATATACCTCGTAAAATTTCAAGAGTAGCCATGATTGATAGAGTTTGGCTCTGTGTCCCACCCAAATCTCATCTTGAATTATAACCTAAATTATAATCCCATGTTGGAAGAGGGACCTAGTGAGAGATGACTGGATCCTGGAGGCAGTTTCCCCCATGCTGTTCTTGTGATAGTGAGTGAGTTCTCATGAGATTTGGTTGATACGTGTGTGGCACTTCCCCTGCGCTCTCTCTTTCCTGCCACCTTGTGAAGAAGGTACCTGCTTCCCCTTCACCTTCCACCATGATTGTAAGTTTCCTAAGGCCTCCCCAGCCATGCAGAACAGTGAGTCAATTAAACCTCTTTTCTTTATAAATTACCTGGTCTCAGGTAGTATCCTTATAGCAGTGTGAGAATGGACTTATACAATGATAAGAAACAAAATAGAAAGTATTAGTTTCAAATCAGTAGGGGAAAGAAGTGAAATGGAAAAAGTTAATTTTTTTTTAAATTTTTAAGAGTTTCACTGTGTTGCCCAGGTTAGAATGACACAATCATGGCTTACTGCAGCCTCAAACTCCTGGGGTCAAGTGATCCTCCCATCTCAGCCTTCTGAGTAGCTAGGACTACAGGCATGTGCCACAATGCCTGGCTAATTATTTTTCCTTTTGTAGAGACAGGGTCTCTCTATGTTGACCAGGCTGGTTCTGAACTCCTGGCCTCAAGCAATCCTCCAGTTTTAGCCTCCCAAAGTGCTGAGATTACAAGTGTGAGACATCATGACCAGCCAAAATTGTTTTTTTCAATGAATCAAAAATTGTTAAGAAGAAAAGGGAGGCATACAAAAAAAACTGGATGAAAGGAAATAATAATTATGATCACAGAAATAAGTCCAAATGTATCAATAATCACAGTACATATAAATGGACTAAATTTGAAAGTTAAAAGACAGAGCTTGTCAGACTGGAAAGCTATTTACAAGAGACCTACCATAAACATAAGGCTATGAGAAGGTTGAAAATAAAAGGGTAGAAAAAGATATACCAAGGAAATATGTAAAGAAAAGTGGGATAACTATATAGCAGACAAAACAGAATTCAAGACAAAAGAAAACATTATTAGAAACAGAAAGGCTTGCTAAAGAATGAAAACAGGTTCAGTACACCAGAAAAGCATAACAATCATAAACATGCATGGAATAAATAAAAGAGCTTTAAAATACATAAAGCAAAAATTTATAGATCTATAGGAAGAAAGTAATAAATCTACCATCGTAATAGTGGCTAATTTCAACACATTATCAACAATTACAGAATAAACATTACTTTCAAACACACGCAACATATAATAAAAATTGACCATGTATTAGGCTGTATTGCAACTATCAATAAATTCCAAAATAATTTGCCAGGCATGGTGGTGCATGACTGTGGTCCCAGCTACTCAGGACGGCTGAGGTGGGAGGATCACTTGAGCCCAGGAGTTTGAGGCCGTGAACATGCCACCGCACTCCAGCCTGGGTGACAGAGCAAGACCCTGTCTCAAAAAAAAAAAAAATTAAGATTAGAAGATGTAGTAACCATGAAATAGTGAAGTACCCAGAGAACAAAAAAGAGCTCCTATACATTAAAAATATTATTGCATAGTACAAAAGGTTTAATATAAGATTTGTTTTGAGACACATCTGGCTCTGTCGCCCAGGCTGGAATGCAGTGGCACGATCTCACAATCTTGGCTCACTGCAATCTCTGCCCCTCTCCGGGTTCAAGTCATCCTCCCATCTCAGCCTCCTGAGTAGCTGGGACTATAGGCACACACCATCATGCCCAGCTAATTTTTGTATTTTTTTTAGAGAGGGGATTTCACCATGTTGCCCAGGCTGGTCTTGAACTCCTGAGCTCAAGCGATTTGCCTGCCTTTGACCTCCCAAAGTGCTGGGATTACAGGCGTGAGCCACTGTGCCTGGCCTAATATAAGATTTGGAAGATAAAATTGAGGAAATCTTCCAGAGAATAGAACAAAATGACAAAAGGTTTTTAGAAGAAGATAGGAAGCTAAGAAGGCCAATACAGGAAGCCCAATCTCCATATAACAGATGCTCAAAAAAAGAAAGAAGTAGAGATTATCAATAAAATGATTTTTAAAATTTCCCCAAACCAAGGTGCTTATTTTTCCAAATTAAAAGAATCCACCATGTTCTACCACATTATATAGAAAAAGACTCATATTAAAGCACATTTCAAAGAATCCATACCAGGTATGCAACACTTTCTCTGACCTTGATGTAATTAAGTTGGAAGTGAAAAACAAATATATGTTAAAAGTCTTCATGCACTCAGAATTTCTAAAATCCACATTTCTAAGGAACTCCTGGGTCAAACAAAAAGTCATAATGCAATTTAAAACTACATAAACCCAAATAATACTGAAATTATAACCTATCAAACTTGTTGGATAAAGCTAAACCAGTACTAAGCAATGTATAAAATAAGCTGAAAGAAAATAGAAGGAAAAAGTCAATAAAAATAAAAGCAGAAACCACTGAAGCACATCATCATAAAATATCAGAATACAAGGGACAAGGAGAAGATCCCTCTAGCTTCCACAGAGAAATAGTTGATCATTATAAAGGAGCAGAAATCAACATGGCTTCTCAAAGCAACACTGGAAGCTAGAACTACAATAAAGTTATGCTGAAAAAATTATAAAGAAAATTATTTCCACCTAAAATTCTAGCCAACTTAAATAATCAATCAAATATGAAGATGAAATAAAAACATTTTCAGTCATGAAAAGTCTCAAACAATTTCTATAACACGTACCCTTTCATAGGAAGCCAATGGAAGATTAGCTCCTAAACTAAGGCAAAAAGAGAAAGCCATGGCATGGGGAAAACAGAAGATTGGCAAAGTGAGTTCCCAGGATGATGGTACGAGGAGATCCTAGGATGGGGCACAGAGAGCAATAGCACCCTATGGGAGAACAGGTAAGAATGCTCTAGGAGAGACTTCCTTAGTAAATTGAAATTTGTGGTAAATTTGGTGAATCTGAAGATCTAGAGAGGCAATATAGGCAATCGGCAAAGAGTTTAGGAGGGACTAAACAGAAAAATAAAAAAAACAAGTGTTATGGGTTGAATTGTGTTCTCCTCCCAAAAAATATGTTGAAGTCCTAACCCCCAGTACTTGTGAAGGTGACCTTATTTGGAAATAGGGTCTCTGCAGACTTAATCAAGTTAAGATCACAAAGACAAAGGGGGAAGACAGTCATGTGAAGATGGGAAGTAGATATTGGAGTTATGCTGCCACAAGACAAGAAATGCCTGAGTTTAACAGAAGATAGAAGAAAGTGCCTCCCCTAATGGCTGTGGAGGAAGCATGGCCCTGCCAACACCTTGATTTCAGACCTCTGGCCTCAGGAAATGAGATAATAGATTTCTGTTGTTTTAAGAAGCCACCTAGTTTGTGGTTCTTTGTTACAGCATCTTTAAAGCATTAATGTAAGAAGTAAACAAGATAATAATTTACTCTAGGAGAAACACACAAAAAAGTGGTCACAGTTTACTGTATGCCATAAATTGGGTAGAATCTCCACTGATTTTAAGATTTATGAGACTGGGCACAGTGACTCATCCCTGTAATACCAGCACTTTGAGAGGCTGAGGTGAGCAGATCGCTTGATCGCAAGAGTTTGAGATCAGCCTAGGCAATGTGGTGAAACCCCATCTCTACAATAAAAAAAAAATACAAAAATTATCCAGGTGTGCTGACACATGCCTGTAGTCCCAGCTACTTGGGAGGCTGAGGCGAGAGGATCAATTGAGCCTGGGAGGTCAAGGCTACAGTGAGCCATTATCGTGCCACTGCACTCCAGCCTGGGCAAGAGAGTGAGATCCTGTCTGAAAGAAAAAGATTTATGAAACAGAAAACAAAACAAACAAAAAAACCTTAAAGACTATTTGCATTACAAAAGAAAGTAAATGAAACTAGGCAATGATTGGAGATATAACAGAAAATGAGTTTAACACATTTTCAAAAGAAAAATATCTGCTCAGCAAGATTCTCATCGTCCTTTTGGTTATAAACTTTGTCACCTGACCACAGAAGTAAGCAAGTGACCCAGGATTAGCCAATTATAGTTTACCATTTCCCTGGCAATGACAATTGGTCCAAAATGTAGGCATGTGAAAAAGTCAAAGCTAACTGGAGCCCTTAACCAGAACTGAAAAACATACACACCTAGAAAGAAAGCTCTCCCCTTCAATCTAGACTGTGACAAAGTAAGCCACAAGAGATGAGTGGAAGTCTGTTTCTTGGGTGGAAGCCCAAGAAAATGAAGCCAATCAAAGATAGGTTAAGATTTTAAAAACAAGAACAAACAAAACCTACAAATCTGAGGAGGACTTTGGTTTTTTTTTTTTTAGACAGAGTCTCACTCTTTCACCCAGGCTGGAGTGCAATGGTGTGATCTCAGCTCACTGCAACCTCTGCCTCCTGGGTTCAAGTGATTCTCCTGCCTCAGCCTCCCAAGTAGCTGGGACTATACGTGTGCGCCATTGCACCTGGCTAATTTTTGTATTTTTAGAAGAGACAAGGTTTCGCCATATTGGCCAGGCTGGTCTTGAACTCCTAACCTTTGGTGATCCACCTGCCTCAGCCTCCCAAAGTGCTGGGATTACAGGCATGAGTTGAAGAGGACTTTCTAACAAGATCCACTAAAGTTTGGATTCATCACTCTCCTTCCCATTTATATGAGTCAATAAATCCTCTTTTGGCCAGGCATGGTGGCTCACACCTGTAATTCCAACACTTTGGGAGGCCAAGGCAGTAAGACTGCTTGAGGTCAGGAGTTTGAGACCAGTCTGGGCAACAAAGTAAGACTGCTGTCTCAACAACAAAAAAAAAATTAAAAATTAGCCAGTTGTGGTGCCACATGCTTGTAGTCCTAGCTACTCAGGAGGCTGAAGTGGGGAGATTGCTTAAGCCCAGGAGTTTGAGATTACAGTGAACTATATCACACCACTGTATTACAGCCGGGGTGACAGAGCAACAACGTGTCTCAATCAATCAATCAATCAATCAATCAGGAAGTCAATAAATCCTCCTACACTTTTTATTTTTGGCTTACACTATTTGAGTTTTTTTGTGATTGTAACTGTATTAGTCTGTTTTCATGCTGCTGATAAAGACATACCCGAGACTGGGAAGAAAAACAGGTTTAACTGGACTTACAGTGCCACATGGCTGGGGAGGCCTCAGAATCATCGCAGGAGGTGAAAGGCACTTCTTACATGGTGACAGCAAGAGAAAATGAGGAAGAAAACAAATGCAGAAACCCCTGATAAACTCATCAGATCTTGTGAGGCTTATTCACTATCACAAGAACAGCATAGGAAAGACTGGCCCCCATGATTCAATTACCTCCCCTGGGTCCCTTCCACAACACATGGGAATTCTGGGAGATACAATTTGAGATTTGGGTGGGGACACAGCCAAACCATATCATTCCACCCCTGGCCCCTCCAAATCTCATGTCCTCACATTTCAAAGCCAATCATGCCTTCCCAACAGTCCCCCGAAGTCTTAACTCATTTCAGCCAAAAGTCCACAGTCCACAGTCTCATCTGAGACAAGGCAAGTCCCTTCCGCCTATGAGCCTCTAAAATCAAAAGAAACTAGTTACTTCCTAGATACAATGGGGGTACAGGTATTGGGTAAGTACAGCCATTCTAAATGGGAGAAATTGGCCAAAACAAATGGGTTACAGGGCCCATGCAAGTCTGAAATCCAGCAGGGTAGTCAAATTTTAAAGTTCCAACATGATATTTTTTTTGACTCCAGGTCTCACATCTAGGTCACACTGATGCAAAAGGTGGGTTCTCATGGTCTTGGGCAGCTCCACCCCTGTGGCTTTGCAGGGTACAACCTCCCTCCTGGATGCTTTCATGGGCTGGTGTTGAGTGTCTGTGGCTTTTCTAGGTGCACGGTGCAAGCTGTCAGTGGTTCTACCGTTCTGAGGTCTGGAGGACAGTGGCCCTTTTCTCACAGCTCCAGTAGGCAGTGCCTCAGCAGGGACTTTGTATGGGGACTCCAACCCCACATTTCCCTTCTGCACTGCCCTAGCAGTGAGAAACCCGCCCTTGCAGCAAAATTCTGCCTGGGCATCCAGGCATTTCCATATATCTTTTTAAATCTAAGAAGAGGTTCCCAAACCTCAATTCTTGACTTCTGTGCACCCACAGGCTCAATACCATGTGGAAGCTGCCAAGCTTGAGGCTTGCATCATCTGAAGCCATGGCCCAAGCTCTGCGTTCACCCCTTTCAGCCAGAGCTAGAGTGGCGAGGATGCAGGGCACCAAGCCTCTAGGCTGCACACAGCATGGGGATCCTGGGCCTGGCCCAGAAAACCACTTTTTCCTCCTAGGCCTCCAGGCCTGTGATGGGAGGGGCTGCTTTGGAGACCTCCAACATGCCCTGGAGACATTTTCCCCATTGTCTTGGGGATTAACATTTGGATCCTCATTACTTCTGCAAATTTCTGCAGCCAGCTTGAATTTCTCCTCAGAGAATGGGATTTTCCTTTCTATCAAACTGTAAGGCTGCAAAATTTTCAAACTTTTATGCCGTTTCTCTTTTAAAACAGAATGCTTTTAATAGCACCCAAGTCACCTCCTGAATGCTTTGCTGCTTAGAAATTTCTTCTGCCAGATACCCTAAATCATCTCTCTCAAGTTCAACGTTCCATAAATCTCTAGGGTAGGGGCAAAATGCTGCCAGTATCCTTGCTAATTTGCTAAAACATAACAAGAGTCACCTTTGCTCTAGTTCCCAACAAGTTCCTCATCTCCATCTGAGACCACCTCAGCCTGGACCTTATTGTTTATATTGCAATCAACATTTTTGTCAAAGCCACTCAACAAGTCTCTAGAAGGTTCCAAACTTTCTCACATTTTCCTGTCTTCTTCTGAGACCTCAAAACTGTTCCAACTTCTGCCTGATACCCAGTTCCAAAGTTGCTTCCACATTTTTGGTTTAATTGGACTAACAGTTCCACATGGCTTGGGAGGCCTCAGAATCATAACAGGAGGCGAAAAGCACTTCTTACATGGCAGCAGCAAGAGAAAATGAGGAAGAAGCAAATGTGGAAACCCCTGATAAACCCATCAGATCTTCTGAGGCTTATTCACTATCACGAGTATAGCATGGGAAAGACAAGCCCCCATGATTCAATTACCTCCCAATGGGTCCCTCCCAGACAACATATGGGAATTCTGAGACATACAATTCAAGTTGAGATTTGGGTGGGGACACAGCCAAACCATATCAGTAACCAAAGAAACCTCTGAAATATAACAATAAATTAATGTCTACCAAGCTCTACGAAGAAAATGTTTGTAAAATGTTTATCTTTCCTTTGTTTCTACACAGATATTCTCAGATAATAAAAACTCCAAAAATTAATCACTGCATTCTTCATGAAAACCTTGTCTTCAGACACACTCTACCTACCTAAGAAATAAGTAAAAGTTAACAACTAAAAAATGAGAGAGCTATGATGAAAGATAACTGGTAGTGGATACTAAAACAAACAGTTTTACATGTTAATAATGGCTGTACAAAACTGACTGCAAATATTTTGGTTTGGAAGGAGAGGTGTACTAAGTGTCCACTGTATTTTATTTATAATCACCATTTTATTTTTTCCAGCTTTTCTCAGGTATAATTGACAAATAAAAATTGCATATATTCAAGGTGTACGTGATTTGATATACACATACATTGTGTAAGAAGTACCACAATCAAATTAACACATCCATCAACACACAGCTTCCCTTTTTTGTTTGTGGTAAGAACATTTCAAATATGTTCTCTTATTATATTTCAAGTAAACAATTCACTGTTATTAACTATAGCCACCATGCTGTACATTAGATTCCCAGAACATACACATTTTATAACTAAAAGTTGGTACCCTTTGACCAGCATCTCTCCATTTCCCCCAGCCCCAGCCCCTGTCAACCACCATTCTACTCTCTGCTTCTGTGTGACATTTTTATATTCCACATATAAGTGAGATCATACAGTATTTGTCATTGTATGTGTGGCTTATTTCACTTAGCATACTGTCATCCAGGTTCATACATGTCACCTTTCTTCTTTTCTAATAGCTGATTGGCAAATGTATGTCACATTTTCTTTATCCATTAATCTGTCAATGGACACTTGTGTTGTTCTCATATCTTGACTATTGTAAATATTGCTGCAATAAACACGGGAGTGCAGATATCTCTTTGAGATACCGATTTCATTTCCCTTGAATATATACACAAAGTTGAAATTACTGGAACCTATATTTTTAATTTTTTGAGGAACCCCCATCCTTTTTTCCATAACAATGATACCAATTTAAATTCATATCAGCAGTGTACAAGGGTTCCATTTCCCTACACTCTTGCCTATACTTTTTAATCTGTTGCTTTTAAAATAAGCAATTCTAACAGGTATGAGGTCATCTCTCATTGTAGTTTTGATTTGAATTTCCCTGATTAGTGATGTTGAGCTCTTCATATAAGTGTTGGCCATTTGTATGTCTTTTTTGGAGAAATGGCAATTCAGGTCCTTTGAGCATTTTTTAATCTAGCTATTTGGTTTTTTGCTAGAGTTTTGTGTTCCATATATATATGTGTATATATATGTGTGTGTGTATATATATGTGTGTATATATATGTGTATATATATGTATATATGTGTATATATATGATATATGATATCAACTCCTTATCAGATATGTGGTTTGCAAATATTTTCTAACATTCTATAGGTGTGTATTCATCACGTTGTTTTCTTTGCTGCACTGAAGCCTTTTTATTCAATGTAGTCCAGAATGTTTATATTTGCTTTTGTTGCCTGTGCTTTTGGTGTCATATCCAAGAAATCACTGCTAAGACCAGTATCAAGAGGCTTTTTCCCTATCTTTTGTTTCAGGAGTTTTATTATGATTTCAGGTCTTACATTTAAGTCTTTAATCCATTTTGAGTTAATTTTTCTATATGGTGTACTTCTGGGCACTCTGTTCTGTTTCATTGGTGTATATATCTGTCTTTTTTTTTGTTTTTTGAGACGGAGTCTCGCTCTGTTACCCAGGCTGGAGTGCAGTGGTGCAATCTTGGCTCACTGCAAGTTCCATCTCCCGAGTTCACGCCATTCTCCTGCCTCAGCCTCCTGAGTAGCTGGGACTACAGGTGCCTGCCACCAGGCCTGGCTAATTTTTTGTATTTTTAGTAGAGACGGGGTTTCACTGTGTTAGCCAGGATGGTCTCAATCTCCTGACCTTGTGATCTGCCTGCCTCGGCCTCCCAAAGTGCTGGGATTATAGGCGTGAGCCACCATGCCCAGCCATGTCTGTCTTTTTTTAACTTTTAAGTTCAGGAGTACAGGTAGAGGTTTGTTATTAGGTAAACCCATATCATGGGGGTTTGTTGCACAGATTATTTTGTCATCCAGGTATTAGGCCTAGTACCCATTAGTTATTTTTCCTGATCCTCTCCCTCCTCCCACTCTCCACCCTTTAAAAGGCCCCTGTGTTGTTCCCCTGTATATGTCCATGTGTTCTTATCATTTAGCTCTCATTTATAAGTGAGAATATGCCATATTTGGTTTTCTGTTCCTGTATTAGGTTGCTAAGAATAATGGCCTCCAGCTCCATCCATGTTCCTGCAAAAGACATGATCTCATTCTTTTTTTATGGCTGCATAGTATTCCATGGTGTATATGTACCACATTTTCTTTGTCCAGTCTATCACTGATGGGCATTTAGGTTGACTCCATGTCCCTGCTATTGTGAACAGTGCTGCAATGAACATACACATGCATGTGTCTTTATGGTAGAACAATTTATATTCCTTTGTGTATATACCCAATAATGAAATTGCTGGGTCGAATGGTAGTTCTGTTTTTAGCTGTTCAAGAAATTGCCATAATGCTTTCCACAATGGTTGAACTAATTTACACTCGCAATAACAGTGTATGACTGTTCCTTTTTCTCCACAACCTCATCAGCATCTGCTATTTTTTTACTTTTTAATAATTGCCATTCTAACTGGTGTGAGATGATATCTCATTGTGGTTTTGACTAGCATTTCTCTAATCATCAGTGATGTTGAGCTTTTTTTTTATACACTTTTTGGCCACATGTATGTCGTCTTCTTAAAAGTGTCTGTGCATGTCCTTCGTCCACTTTTTAATGTTTTTTTTTTTTCTTGTAAATCTGTTTCAGTTCGTTATAGATGCTGGATATTAGACCTTTGTTAGATGCATAGTTTGGGAAGATTGTCTCCCACTCTGTAGGTTGTCTGTTTACTCTATTGATAGTTTCTTTTGCCGTGGAGACAGTCTTTAGTTTCATTAGATCCCATTTGTCAATTTTTGCTTTCATTGCAATCACTTTTGGCATCTTTGTCATGAAATCTTTGCCTGTTCCTATGTCTCCAGGATTTTCATAGTTTTGGGTTTTATATTTAGGCCTTCAATCCATCTCGAGTTGATTTTTACACATGGTGTAAGGAAGGGGTTCATTTTCAATCTTCTGCACATGGCTAGCCAGTTATCCAAGTACCATTTATTGAATAGGGAGTCCTTTTTCCTTTGCTTGCTTTTCTCAGCTTTGTCCAAGATCAGATGATTGTAGGTGTGTGGCCTTATTTCTGAGCTCTCTATTCTGTTCCTTTGGTCTATTCGTGCCAGTACAATGCTGTTTTGGTCACTATAGTCCTGTAGTATAGTTTGAAGTAAGGTAGTGTGATACTTCCCCCTTTGTTCTTCTTGCTTAGAACTGCCTTGGCTATTCAGGATCTTTTATGTTTTCATACGTATTTTAAAACAGCTTCTAGTTCTGTGAAGAATACCATTGGCACTTTGACAGGAATAGCATTGAATCTATAAATTGCTTTGGGTACTATGGCCATGTTAACGATGTTGATTCTTTCTATTCATGAGCATGGGATGTGTTTCCATTTGTTTGTGTCATCTCTAATTTCTTTGAGCAGTGGCTTGTAGTTCTCTTCGTTGAGATCTTTCACCTCCCTAGTTAGCTGTATTCCTAGGTATTTTATTCTTTTTCTGGCAATTCTGAATAGAATTGTGTTTCTGATTTGGTTCTTGGCTTAACTGTAATTGGTGTATAGGAATGTTAGTTATTTTTGTACATTGATTTTGTATCCTGAGAGTTTGCTGAAGTTGTTTATTAGCTTAAGGAGCTTTTGGGCCAAGAATATGGAGTTTTCTAGATATATGATCATGTAGTCAGCAAACAGGAATAGTTTAACATCCTGTCTTCCTATTTCTATGCCCTTTATTTCCTTCTCTCACCTGATTGCTCTGGCCAAGATTCCTAATACTATACTAAAGAGGAATGGTGAGAGAGGGCATTCTTGGCTTTCTTGTGCTGGTTTTCAAGGGTAGTGCTTCTGTTTTTGCCTATTCATTATGATGTTGGCTGTGGGTTTGTCTTGGATGTCTCTTTTTGAGGTATATTCCTTCAATATCTAGTTTATTGATAATTTTTAACATGAAGTGGTGTTGAATTTTATCAAAAACCTCTTCTGCATCTATTGAGATAATAACATGGCTTTTGTCTTTAGTTCTGTTTATGTGATGAATCACATTGATTTGCGTATACTGACTCAACTTTGCATCCCAGGGATAAAGCCTACTTAATTGTGGTGAATTAGCTTTTTGATATGCTGCTGGAATTCAGTTTGCCCATATTTTGTTGAGGATTTTTGCATCAATGTTCATCAAGGATATTGGTCTGAAGTTTTCTTTTTTTGTTGTGTTTCTGCCAGGTTTTGGTATCAGGATGATGCCGGCCTCATAGAATAAGTTAGAGGGGAGTCCCTCATTTTCAATTTTTTTTAATAGTTTAAATAGAAATGGTATTAGATCTTCTTTATACTTTTGGCATAATTTAGTTGAGAATCCTTCTGGTCCTGGGCTTTTTCTGGTTGGTAGGCTTATTACTTATTCAGGAAATCATTATTCATCTGTTCAGAGATTCAATTTCTTCCTGGTTCAGGAAGGTGTATGTGGAGGGTGCATGTGTACAGGAATTTATCCATTTATTCCAGAATTTCTAGTTTGTGTACATAGAGGTTTTCATAATATTATCTCATGGTTATTTGCTTTTCTGTGGGGCCAGTGTTAATATCCCTTTTGTCACTTCCAATTGTGTTTATTTGGCTCCTATCTCTTTTCTCTTTATTAGTCTAGCTAGCAGTCTATGCATTGTATTTTTTTTTTCCAAAAAACCAACCCCTGGATTTGTTGATCTTTTGAATGGTTTTTCATGACTCAATCTCCTTCAGTTCAGCTTTGATTCTGGTTGTTTCTTGTCTTCTGCTAACTTTGGGGTAGGTTTCCTCTTGGTTGTCTAGTTCTTTTACTTGTGATGTTAGGTTGTTAATCTGAAATCTTTCTAATTTTTTGATGTGTTCATTCAGTGCTATAAATTCCCTCTTAACACTGCCTTAGCCGTGTCCTAGAGATTCTGGCATGTTTTATCTTTGTTCTCATTAGTTTCAAAGAACTTCTTGATTTCTGCCTTTATTTCATTATTTACCCAAATGTCATTCAGGAACAGGTTATTCAATTCCATGTAATTGTATGGTTTTGAACTATTTTATTTGTCTTGAATTCTATTATTAATGGTGCTGTAGTCCAAATGATTGTTTTTTATGATTTCAGTTCTTTTGCATTTGCTGAGGAGTGCTTTATTTTAGACTATGTGATCAATTTTAGAGTATGTGACATGTGGTGATGAGGAGAATATATGTTTTGTTGTTTTGGGGTGGAGTGTTCTGTAGATGCCTATCAGGTCCATTTGATCCAGTGCTGATTTCAGGTCCTAAATATCTTTGTTAATTTTTTGCCTTGATGATCTGTCTAATACTGTCAGTGGGGTGTTGAAGTCTCTGACTATTATTGTGTGAAAGTCTAATTCTCTTTGAAGGTCTCTAACAACTTGCCTTATGAATCTGGGTGCTCCTCTGTTGGGTGCATGTATATTTAGAATAGTTAGATTTTCTTGTTGAATTGAACCATTTACCATTATGTAATGCCCTTGTCTTTTTTGATCTTTGTTGGTTTATTATCTGTTTTGTCAGAAACTTGGATTGCAACCCACGCTTTTTTCTGTTTTCCATTTGCTTCGTAGATTTTCCTCGATCCCTTTGTTTTCAGCCTATGTATGTCACTGCATGTGAGATGGGTCTCTTGGAGACAGCATACTGTTGGGTCTTGCTTCTCTATCCAGCTTGCCATTATGTGCCTTTTAATTGAGGCAGTTAATCTGTTTAAATTCAAGGTTCATATTGAAATGTATGGATTTGATCCTGTCATCATGATGTTATCTGGTTATTATTCAGACTTGTTTGTGTGGTTGCTTTATAGTGTCACTGGTCTGTGTACTTCAGTGTGTTTCATAGTGGCTGGTAACAGTCTTTACTTCCCATATTTAGTGCTTTCTTCAGAAGCTCTTGCCTCCTTCAAGTTACATCTGGTGATAAATTCCCTCTGGTGAAAACAAATTGCTTGTCTGAAAAAGATATTATTTCTCCTTCACTTATGAATCTTAGTTTGGCCTGATATGAAATTCTTGGTTGGAATTTACTTTCCTTAAGAATGTTGAATATTGGTCCCCAATCTCTTCTGCCTTTTAGGGTTTGTGCTGAGAGTTTCATTGTTAGACTAACGGCCTTCCCTTTGTGGGTGACCTGACCTTTTTCTCTAGCTGCCTTTAACCTTTTTTCTTTCATTTCAACCTTGGAGAATCTGATGATTATGTATCTTAGGGATATCTTCCTTGTGAAGTATCTTAGTAAGGTTCTCTGCATTTCCTGAGTTAAAATGTTGGCCTCTCTAGCTAGGTTGGGGAAGTTATCATGAAAGATAAGTTTTCCAAGTTGCTTCCATTCTCCTCTATCAAGGACACCAGTGTGTCATAGATTTGCTCTCTTACATAATCCCATATTTCTTGGAGGTTTTGTTCATTCCTTTTCATTCTTTTTTCTCTATTCTTAGCTGTCTTATTTCAGAAAGCTGTCTTATTTCTTAAGCTCTGAGATTCTTTCCTCAGCCTGGTCTATTCTGCTATTAACACTTGTGATTGCATTATGAAATTCTTGTAGTGTGTTTCTCAGTTCTATCAGGTCAATTACATTCTTTTCTATACTGGCTTTTTGTCTGTTAGCTCCTGTATCATTTTACTGTGATACTTAGCTTCCTTGGATTGGCTTTTAATGTACTCCTGCATCTCAATTGTCTTCATTCTTATCCATATTCTGAATTCTATTTCTGTCGTTTCAGTCATCTCTGCCACATTCAGAATGCTTTGTGGAGAGGTAGTGCTATCGTTTGGAGGAATAAAGGCACTCTGGCTTTTTGATACATCAGTTTTCATGCGCTGGTTCTTTCTCATCTTTGTGGGCTGATATTCCTTCAGTTTTTGAAGTTGCTGTTCTTCAGATTTTTTTTCTTTATCTTATTTGATGGCCTTGAAGGTTTGATTGTGGTATAATGTGAGTTCAGTTGACTGGCTTTGTTTCTGGGAGATTTTAGGGGGCCAAGTCTCAGCTCCCAACTCCTGAAATGCAAGCTCTAATTCTGAGGGACTTGTACTGGGCCCCAACTTTGTTCTCTGGCTCCTCAAGGTTAGGAACTTACTGCACTGGGTGAGAGTGGTTGCGGGGGTGAGGTGCTCCCAGACTACTGGTCTCTACAATCCAATGGGTGGTGCCAGCCAAAGCATTTCATAGGTTGGTGGCAATGGGATCCATTCTCATTCTCATGTGCCAGCAGTAGCAGCAGTGTGGTGGGGCACATACTCATCAGCTACAGCAGGGTGCTAGTGGATCCTAGGGTGCCTGCCTCCCTACGGGCATTTACAGCAGCAGTATGTCTGTTTCTATACCAGTACCATACTGTTACACAGGTATAGACTACTATTGTTTTCAAATATAGCTTGAAATTAGGAGGTGTGATGCCTCCAGCTTTGTTGTTTCTAAAGATTGCTTTGGCTATTTGAAATCTTTTGTGGTTCCATATGAATTTTAGGATTGTTTTTTCTATTTCTGTGAAAAATTACATGGGAATCTGGATAATGATTGTAACGAATCTGTAGATCACTTTGACATGTGGACATTTTAACAACATTACTTCCTCCAATCAATGAAATGGTATATCATTACATTTATTTGTGCCTTCAATTTCTTTCATTAATGTCTTATAATTTTTAGTATATAGCTCTTTTGCCTCCTTGGTTGTATTTGTTCCTAAGGATATTATTTTCTTAATCCCTTTTTTGGAAGCTCACTGTTAGTGAATAAAGACAACTGATTTTTGTATATTGACTTTGTATCCTGTAATAAGATATTGTTTATTAGTTCTAACAGTTTTCATTGAAGTCTTTAGTTTTTCTTTCATGTGAAATCATGTCATCTACAGAGACAATTTAACTTCTTTTTTTTTTTGAGACAGAGTCTCACTCTGTCTCCAGTCTGGAGTGCAGTGGCACGATCTTGGCTCACTGCAACCTCCACCTCACAGGTTCAGGGACTACAGGTGCATGCCATCACGCCCAACTAATTTTTGTATTTTTAGTAGAGATGGGGTTTTACCATGTTGGCCAGGATGATCTCAATCTCTTGACCTCGTGATCTGCCTGCCTCGGTCTCCCAAAGTGCTGGGATTACAGGTGTGAGCCACCTTGCCTGGCCAACTTCTTTTTCAATGTGGATGCTTTTTATTTCTTTTCATTGCCTAATTGCTCTGGCTCAGACTTCTAGTACTATGCTGAATAGAAGTAGCAAGAATGGGTACTCAGGTCTTGTTGCTCATTTTAGAAGAAACTTTCAGCTTTTTATCATTGAGTATATTAGTTGTGGGCTTATCATTAATGGCCTTTATTGTGTTGAGGTACATTCCATCTATACCTAATTTGTTGAGAGTTTTTATCATTAAAAATTTTGGATTTTGTCAATGGTTTTTAAGCATTGATTGCAATGATAATACGTTTTTTCTTCTCTTGATGTTTTTCATTGTGATTTGTTGATTTTTTTTTGCAATAGTGTGTGTTCATTCTTTTCTATTTATCTTTTGTGTATTTACTAAAGGATTGTTCTCTGTGGTTACCATAGGGCTCACATAAAACATCTTGTAGTTAGAACATTCTATTTTAAGCTGATAACAACTTAACTTCAATCACATACATTCTATGCTTTTACTCCACCCTTCCACATTTTATGCTTTGGATATCATGCTTTACAACATCTTTTTATTTTGTGTAGTCTTTAACAAATGATGGTAGCTCCAACCCCACATTTTCCCTCCACACTGCCCTAGTAGAGGTTTTCCATGAGGGCTCTGCCCCTGCAGCAGACTTCTGCCTGGATGTCCAGGTGTTTCCATACAGCCTCTGAAATCTAGGCAGAGGTTCCCAAACCTCAACTCTTGCCTTCTGTGCACCTGCAGGCCCAACACCATGTGGAAGCCACCAAGGTTTGGGGCTTACCCTCTTAAGCAATAACTTGAACTGTACCTTGGCCCCTTTTGGCCATGGATGGAATTGGAGTGGCTGGGATGTAGGGCGCCATGTCCCAAGGCTGCACAGAGCAGCAAGGCCCTGGGCCTGGTCCAGAAAACCATTTTTCCCTCCCAGGCCTCCAGGCCTGTGATGGGAGGGGCTGTTGTGAAGGTCTCTGAAATTCCCTGTAGGTATTTTTCCCACTGTCTTGGATATTAACACAGCTCCTCTTTACTTACACAAATTTCTGCAGCTGGCTTGAATTTCTCCCATCAGAAAATGGGTTTTTCTTTTCTACCACCTGGTCAGGCCACAAATTTTCCATACTTTTATGCTCTTCTTCCTTTTTAAATGTAAGTTCCAATTCAGACCACCTCTTTGTGAACAACACATATAAACATAGGCTGTTAGAAGAAGCCAAGCCACGTCTTGAATGCTTTGCTTAAAAATTTCTCCCACCAGATATCTTAAATTATTTCTCTCAAGTTCAAAGTTCCACAGATCTTTACAGCAGGAGCACAATGCTGCCAGTATATTTACTAAAGCATAGCAAGAGTAACCTTTACTCCAGCTCCCAATAAGTTCCTCAGCTCCATCTGAGACCTCATCAGCCTGGCCATCTCTGTCCATATCACTATCAGCATTTTGGTCAAAACCATTCAACAAGTCTCCAGGAAGTTCCAAACCTTCCCTCATGTTCCTGTCTTCTTCTGAGCCCTCCAAACTGTTTCAGTCTCTGCCCATTACTCAGTTCCAAAGCTGCTATCATATTTTCAGGTACCTTTATAGCAATGCCCCATTTCTCTGATATCAATTTTCTGTATTAGTCTGTTCTCACATTGCTATAAATAACTACCTGAGACTGGGTAGTTTATAAAGAGAAGAGGTTTAATTGACTCACAGTTCCACAGGCTGTACAGGAGTTATGGCTGGGGAGGCCTCAGGAAACATGGTTACGGCAGAATGTGAGGTGGAAGCAAGCATATCTTCATGTGGCAACAGGAGAAAAAGAAAAGGGAGAAGTGCCACACACTTTCAAACAACTAGATCTCGTGAGCATTCACTCACTGTCACAAGAACAGCAAGGGGGAAACTGCCCCCATGATTCAATCACCTCCCACTAGATCCCTCCCCCAACACTGGGAATACAATTCAACAAGAGATTTGGGAGAGGACACAGAGCCAATCTATATCATTCCAGACTTACCCTTTCACCTAAAACAACAAAAATAAATCAGAAAAAAATATATGAAACAACAGTTTTCAAGACACTGGACATCAGACATTGAAGGACAGTAATCTCCAAGAGATTGAAAACAAACAATATGAGTCTTACAATTTCCCCAACTTACTGCCTTGAGAGAATTTCTAGCCTGCAGTACAGGGAGGGAAAACTAAGCAGTACCCAGCAGACTGCCTGACTTGAGGAGATGTAGCTGAGTACTAGGGAAACCAAAATGACTTAGTTTATAGGGCGGAATACCAGAGAGGAGAGAGCTACATACAGAGAGAACCCCAGCAATATGCATACTGTTCAGTATGCAGTAGAGTACTGATCAGTACAAGCTTACGAAGAAACTATCTGAGGCCAGTAAAAGAACTATCTGAAAAGATTAGCAGAAATAGTGCTAATGCTTACACAATATTGGGAACAGTACCTGAAGATTTAACAAGCAAGAACCCTTTTTTTCTCAATTTTTTTCTTTTCTCCTTTTAGGAGGTACACAATAATGGCTAAGACATTAAAAAACAACTGCATATACAAGGAAAGCTAGACAGTGACTGTGCATGTCTAGAAAAATATGCAAACCTCAGAAAAGACCTAAGAAGACCTTAAGTTTACACCTCAAGCTGATCTTTGGCATACAAGTAGCCTATGACAATGAAAACAAAAACAATTACAAAAGATGCCAAAGTTGGCTGGGTGCGGTGGCTCACGCCTATAATCCCAGCACTTTGGGAGGCCGAGGCGGGTGGATCATGAGGTCAGGAGATCGAGACCATCCTGGCTAACACAGTGAAACCTCATCTCTATTAAAAACACAAAAAATTAGCCAGGCATGGTCGTGGGCACCTGTAGTCCCAGCTACTCCAGACACTGAGGCAGGAGAATGGCATGAACCTGGGAGGCAGAGTTTGCAGTGAGCCGAGATGGCACCACTGCACTCCAGCCTGGGTGACAGAGCGAGAAGACTTCGTCTTAAAAAAAAAAAAAAAAAAAAAAAAAAAAGATGGCAAAGTCTAAGAAGGGTGGAGAGACTCATTTCCACATTTACTACATTATTATATTCAAACATCCAGTTTTTAACAAAAAAATCAAAAGGCATAAAAGAAACAGAAAAGTATGGTACATTCAAATGGAAAAGAAAATCAGCAGAAACTGCCTCTAAAAAGGAACTGATGATAAATGTATTCAAAAACTTTAAAACAATTCTCTTTAAAAGATGCTCAAAGAACTAAAGGAAGATGTGAAAAAAAGTCAAAAAAACTATGTATAAACAAAATTAAAATATCAACAAAAACAGAAAACCTCAAAAGAAGCAAAAAAAAAATCTAGAGCTTAAAAGTACAATAACTGAAAGGAAAAATTCACTAGAAAGATCCAAGGGCATATTTAAGCAGGCAGAAGAATCTATAAACTTGAAAATAGGACAATGAATCTATTTAGTCTGAAGAAAATAAATTTAAAAATTGAAGAAAAATGAACAGTGTAAGAGACCTGTGGGACACCATCAAGCAAACCTACATATATATTGTGAAAGTCCCAGAAGGAAAAGAATGAGAAAAGAGGGAAGAGAGAATATTAGAAGAAATAATGACTGAAATTTTCCAAATTTGATAAAAGACATAAACATCTAAGAAGCTCAACAAACTCCAAGTAAGATGAACTGAAAGACACCCACACTTATTATAATCAAACTTTAGAAAGAAAGACAAAGAATCCTGAAAGCAGCAAGAGAAGTGACTTGTTGCACACAAGGGATCTTTATAAGATAATCAACAGATTTCTTGTCAGAAATGTTGGCTACCAGAAGGCAGTGGGCTTATAAATTCAAAGTGCTAAAAGAAAAATATCTGTGAACCAAATATCCTACATCCAGTAAAACTGTCCTTCAAAAATGAGGGAGAAATTAAGACATTCCCAGATAAACAAAGCTGAGGGAGGTAGTTACCACTAGATTTGCCCTGCAAGAAATGCTTAAGGGAGTCCTATAAGGTGAAATGAAAGGACACTAGACAGTACCTTGAAGTTGTATGAAGAAATGAAGATCTAAATAAAGGCAAATAGAAGGGGCAATTATAAAAGCTACTATTATTATAACAACAATTTATAACTCTACTTCTTGTTTTCTATATGATTTAAGAGACTAATAAATTTAAAAAATAATTATTGGTATAAGAGCTAGTATTATTGTAACATTGGTTTGTAACTCATATTTTATTTTCATAATTTAAAAGACTAAAGTGTTTAAAAGTATTATTGACTGGGCATGGTGGCTGACACCTGTAATCTCAGCTGCAGGCAGACTGCTTAGGCCCAGGAGTTGGAGGCCAGCCTGACAAACATGACAAAACCCTGTCTCTACAAAAAATACAAAAATTAGCTGGACGTGGTTGTGCATGCCTGCAGTCCCACCTACTCAGGAAGCCAAACTGGGAGGACTGCTTGAGCCTGGGAGGTGGAGGTTGCAGTGAGTCATGATCATGCCACTACACTCAGCCTGGGCAATAGAATGAGTTTCCATCTCAAAAAAATTATTAATTTATGTTTTAAGGCACATGATGTATAAAAATGTTAACATCATCATCTGAAAGGGGTGAAGTAAAGGGGCAAAGTTTTTGTATGTCATTGAAGTTAACCATAAATTCTAATTAGAGTATCATAACTTTAGACTGCTAAATAAATTCAAATTAGAGTATCATAACTTCAGACTGCTAAAGGTAATCCCTCTGGTAACCACAAAGAAAATAGCTATAGAATATACACAAAAGGAAATAAGAAATAAATTCAAATATTTCACTACAAAAAATCAATTAACCACAAAAGAAGACAGTAATGTAGAAAGTGAAGGACAAAAAAAGATAAAGGCATATAGAGAACAATGAGCAAAATGACAAAAATAAGTCTGTCCTTATCAGTAAGTATTTTAAATAAACAAATTAAATTCTCCCATAGAAAAACTGGGATTGGCAAAATGGATAAAAAACATATGCTATATGTTGTTTATAAGAGACTCACTTTAGATCCAAAGACATAAATAAATTAAAAGTGAAACAGAAAAAGCTACTCCATGTAAATAGTAACAAAAGAGAGCAGGGGCAGCTATAATAATATCAGATAAAGTTTCAATCAAAAGGTTATAAGAGACAAAGATGAATATTATATATTAATAAAAGACTCAAGATAGCAAGAACATATAACAATTATAAACATTTACACAGTGAATGACAGACCATCAAAATATATGAAGTAAAAACTGACAGAACTGAAGGGAAAAATAGACAGTTCTATAATAATAGTTGAAGACTTCAATACCTCTCTCTCAATAATTGATAGAATAACCAGGCAGAAGAGAATATGAAAATAGAGGACTTACAATCAATTAAGTGTAACATATATACAAAACAATCTTTCAAATAACAGCATATATATTCTTCTCAAGTGCACATGGGATATTTTACAGGATAGACCAGGTATCAGGCCATAAATTAAGTCTCAGTATATTTTAAAAGATAGATATCATACAAAGTATTTTGTCTGACCAAAATAGAATGAAGTCATTAAAAAAAACCAGAGTTTGTGAAACTGAAAAATTCAACAAACTGTGAAAATTAAACAACATACTCTTAAACACCAATGGGCCAAAGTAGAAATCACAAGGGAAATTAGAAAATACTTAGAGACAAATGAAAACAAAACCACAACATAACCAAACTTACGGGATTTAGTGAAAGCAGTGCTTAAAGGGAAATTTATGGCTATAAATGCTTAAATTGAAAAACAAGAAATGTCTCAAATCAACAACCTAACTTTACAACTTAAGGAACTAGAAAAGAAGAACCATCTAAACCCAAAGCTAGCAGAAGGATGGAAATAATAAAGATTAGAGCAGACAGAAACAAAATAGAGAATAGAAAATCATAAGGAAAATCAATCAAACCAAAATTGGTTCTTTGAAAATAGCAACAAAACTGGCAAACCTTTAATGAAAAAATACTAATAAAAAGGGAAAGAAGACTTAAATTACTAAAGTCAGAAATGAAAGTGGTGACATTACTGCCAATTCTACCAAAAAGAGAATTACAAAGAGAGTATTATGAACAATTGTATATCAACAAATTTGATAACCTAGATGAAATAAACAAATACCTATAAACACAAAGCCTCTCAATACTAAATCATGCAGAAATAGAAAACCAGAATATACCTACAGAACTAGTAGGGAGATTGAATCAGTAATGAAAAAACTCCCAACAAGGAAAAGCCCTAATTCTGATGCCTTCCCTGGTGAATTCTACCAAACATTTAAAGAACTAAAACCAATACTTCTCTAACTTTCCAAGAAGAGAAAGGAATGATTTGTAACTCATTCTATGAGACCAACATTACCCAAAGTCAAACAAAGTGTCTTTTCTGGACAATACATGAAAAGAAAACTACAGGCCAATATCCACTAGAACATTGAAGAAAAATCCTCAACAAATTACTAGCAAACCAAATTCAGCAGCATATTAAAATTATTATAGGCCACAACTAAATGGGTTTTATTCGTGGAATGCAAGGATGGTTCAACATACAAAAGCCAATCAATGTTTCTGCTTAATTTGGCGAGACTTAAAAAAAATCAATCACTGTAATATACCACATATAGTAGAATGAAAGGAAAAAACAACTGATCTTCTCAACTGATGCTGAAAAAGCATTTGACAAAATTCAATACCATTTTGTGATAAAAACAATAAACTAGGAATTGAAGGAAACTACTTCAACAAAATAAAAGCCATTGATACGGTTTGGATTTGTGTCCCTGCCCAAATCTCATGTGAAATTGTAATCCCCAATGTTGGAGGTGGGCCCTGGTGGGAGGTGACTGGATCATGGGAGTGGTACTTCACAGGGGTGGTCCCCAATTGTTTAGCACCATGCCCTTGTTGCTGTTCTAGTGGGGGAGTTATTGTGAGATCTTGTTGTTTAAAAGTGTGTGGCACCTCCCCATTTTCTCTCTTCCTCCTGCTCTGGCCATGTAAGATGCCTTGCTCCCCTTTTGCCTTTCACCATAATTGGAACCTCTTTTCTTTATATATATAAAGAAACCTCTTTTCTTTATATATATAAAGAAACCTCTTTTCTTTATATATATAAAGAAACCTCTTTTCTTTATATATATAAAGAAACCTCTTTTCTTTATATATATAAAGAAACCTCTTTTCTTTATATATATAAAGAAACCTCTTTTCTTTATATATATAAAGAAACCTCTTTTCTTTATATATATAAAGAAACCTCTTTTCTTTATATATATAAAGAAACCTCTTTTCTTTATATATATAAAGAAACCTCTTTTCTTTATAAATTACCCAGTCTCAGGTATTTCTTTATAGCAATGTGAAAATGAACGAATACAGCCATATATGAAAACCCACAGTAAACATCACATTCAATGGTGAAAGATGGAAAGCTTTTCCTCTAAGATGAAGAAAAAGGCAAGGATGTCTGCATTTTCAACATACTACTGATAGTTCTAGCCGGAGCAATTAGGCGATTAGGAAAAGAAATAAAAGGCATCCAAATTGTAAAGCAAGAAGTAAAATTATCTCTGTTCACAGACAACATGGTATCACTGTGGAAAACCTTAAAGATTGAATTAAAAATTATTAGAATAAATGAATTCAGCAAATTAACAGGACACAAAGTCAATACACAAAAATCAGGTGAATTTCTACACACTAACATAAGCAATTTGAAAAGAAATTACCAAAAAAAACAAAAAAAAAGAAAATAAATTACAATTCAATTCATAATAGCATCCAAAAGAATATTTAGGAATTAACCAAATAAGTCAAAGACCTACACAATAAAAACTATAAAACATTGGTAAAATAAATTAAAGAAAACATAAATAAATGAAAACACATCCCATGTTTATGGATTGGAAGATGCAATACTGTTAAGATGCCATTACTACCTAGGGTGATCTACAGATTCCATTCAATCTCTATCAAAACCCCAATGATGTTTATTGCAGAAACAGAAAAACCCACTTTAAAATTCACATGGAATCTCAAGGGATCCTGAATAGTAAAAACAAAAATGAAAAAGAAGAACAAAGCTGGAGGACTGACACTTCCTGATTTCAAAATGTACAAAGCTACAGTAATCAAAGCCATATGGTACTAACATAAAGACAGACATATAGATCAATGGAATAGAGAACTCAGGAATAAACCCTCACATATATGGTTAAATGATTTTTGGCAAGGGGGCCAGACCATTCAATGGGGGAAAGGATGATCTCTTCAACAAATGATGCTGAGAAAACTGGATATCTACATGCAAAAGAATGAAGCTGGACCCTTACCTAATACTATACACAAAAATTAACTCAAAATGGATCAATGACCTAAATACAAGACCTAAAACAAAAAAAAATTGAAGAAAATACAGGGCAATAGCCTGGGCACCATAACGAAACCCAGTCTCTACAAAAAATACAAAAAATTAGCTGGGCATGGTGGTGTATGCCTGCAGTCCTAGCTATTCGAGAGGCTGAGATGGCAGAATCACCTAAATCCTGGAAGTCAAGGCTGCAGTGAGTCTGTGAGCCTTGACTGCACCCTGGCACTCCAGCAGAGAGGACAGAGTGAGACTCTGTCAAAAAAAAAGAAAGAAAAGAAAAGAAAAAGGCAAAAAGCTTTAGACATTTGATTTGGCTGTGATTTCTTGCACAGGACACCAAAGGAATGAGCAAGAAAAGAAAAAATAGACAAACTGTACTTCATAAAAAATATACAATTTTGTGCATCAAAGACCCTAACCAAAGTGTAAAAAGGCAACCCACAGAATAGGAGAAAATATTTGCAAATTATGTTTCTCATGAGTTAAGAGATTTCTTATAGCACCTCATATACAAAGTATCTAATGTAACAGTAATTATTTCCTTTAGTAATTGAAGGAAAAATGGAAAATACTACCTCATTTGAAGAATTTTCCTGCAAACTTGACACAGGAACAATTTCATTTGAATTAACATAATTGCTGACATTTGGAAATAGTTCTTCAAAAGATGCTTTTTGCACTGAGGACAAATCAATCTATAAAAGAATACATTATTGTTTTGTGGAAGTTAAACATTGCAAAAGCAATGATTTTTAAGTAATTAAAGAAAAGTTGAAAAATACCATCTCATTGGAAGCATTTTCCTGTAAACTTGACACAGGAACAATTTCATCTGAATAAACGTAATTACTGACATTTGGACATAACTCTTCAAAAGATGCATGTTTAGAGACAAATCAATCTGTAAAATGGGTTATAACATTCTTTCATTTTAAAGTAATTTTTTAATTAGGAATTTTTGTTTGCTATGATACACCAGAGATTTTTAAATCACTATCTCTAACATAGAACTCTCTCCTAAGTGCCATATCCATTTTTCTATCAGGTTACTGAAATCACCACACATTTCTGTACCAAATTAAAAATTTCCAAAAAAGATGACTGATTGATTTAGAGATGATTTAAGGTGTGCAGGATGCACGTAGGTTATATGCAAAAAACCAACACTATGCCATTTTACATCAGGAACTTTAGCATCCACATATTTTGGTATCTTTGAGAAGTCCTGGAACCAATTCCCCATGAATACTGAGGGATGACTGTATATAGTTAAGACAACTGAAAACATGTTTAACAAACACTTGTCAACAAATGTTCATAACAGTATTATTCATAATAGATAATAAATGGAAATAAATGCGCATAAACTGAATTGATAAACAAAATATGGTATATGTATATAATGGAGTATAATTCAGTTGATTTGGTTTGGCTGTGTCTCTACTCAAATCTCATCTTGAATTGTAATCCCCATAATCCCCATAGGTCAAGGGAGGGACCCGGTGTGAGGTGATTGAATCATGGGGGTGGTTTTCTCCATACTGTTCTGATGATAGTGAGTGAGTTTTCCCGAGATCTGATGGTTTTATAGGGTAGTTTTCCCTGCTCTTCCATGCTCTCTCCTCTGTTGCCATGTAAGACAGGCCTCTTCCCCTTCCACCATGATTGTAAGTTTCCTGAGGCCTCCCCAGCCATGCGGAACTGTGAGCCAATTGAACCTCTTTTCTTTATAAGTTACCCAGTCTTGGGTATGTCTTTATAGCAGTGTGGAAACAGACTAATACATAGGTCATAAAAAAGGAATGCAGTACTGATACCTGCTATAACATAGATGAATTTTTAAAACATTATGCTAAGTGAAAGAAACCAGGCACAAAACGCCACATGTTATATGATCTCATTTATATGAAATACTCAGAAAGAGCAAACCTATAGAGACAGAAACTAAATCAGTAGTTTCTTTGGACTGGAGGGTGGGATGGGGGGATGAGGGCTGACTATTAACGAATAGGGTGATGAAAATGTTCTTAAATAGGATCATGATGATAGTTGCACAGTTTTTAAGTATGCTAAAAACCACTGAATTATATACTTTAGTATACTGAGTTTTATAAAACGTAACTTGTACCTCAAATTTAAAAATATGTTGATATTTGTAAAATAGTCACTAAATTAGTTTTGCCACGAAAAAAATCATTTTGGTACATTTGTTATTCATCAATACATTTTAACTCCAAATATCAACCAAGAATGAATAAAAAATGAGACACTCATTTTCTGGAAAAAGTATTGATTTTTGGGCCACTGGAAAGACTGTGAGCAGAGGATTAACAAAATCCTTTCTCCCATCATGAGCATCTATTGGTTAAATCTGTAACTCCTTTCCCCTAGGAACCTGATAAGTGTAAGAATGTCAACTGTGTTACTAGGTAACATTGCTTATGGTAAAAATAATGTCTGATTGGAAAATTGTATCTATAGGAGGAACTATAAATGCACTATAAATAAATAACTACTGCACTATAAAAGCTAAAATACTTTGAGTTTCCCTGAGTGCAGGGACATTGTAATTACACATGTCCTTTGTGGAGACCATGGACGTTATGCATAAGTGCTGTTACAAAAGATACTGGATTTCATCTCCTTGTGCCTGAGCAGTCCCCACACTGCTATGTAAGCCGCTGCATGGACCTCTGTGAGGATTGCTCACACTGAAGAGGAACATTGGATATTTGACTGAAGACTTGATGACACTGGATTTGATAATCATTTCTTGGATATGACATCAAAAGAACAGGTGAGAAAAGAAAAAGACAAATTTTACTATGACAAAATAAAAAACATTTGTGCATCAAAGGACACTATCAACAGAGTGAAAAGGCAACCCATGGAAGGGGGCAAATTATTTGTAAATCATATGTTGGGTAATGGGTTAACATCTCAGATATATGAAGAACTCCTACAACTCAACAATTAAAAATTCAAAAATAAACAAAGGACTTGAATAGATATTTTCCCAAAAAAGATATACAAATAGCTAATTAACACATTAAAAGATGCTCAGTGTCATCCTTATTAGGGAAATACAAATCAAAACCATAATGAGATACCACCTCACATCCATAAGAACTACTATTACAAAAAAGAAAATAACAAGTGCTGGCAAGGAAGTAGAGAAACTGGAACCCTTGTGCATTTTGCTAGTGGGAATGTAAAATGGTACAGCTACTAAGGAAAACAGTGTGGTGGTTCCTCAAAAAGAAAAATTGAATTACAATATGCTGTAGCAATTCCACTTCTAGATACATACCCAAAGAATTGAAAGCAGGGACTCAAACATATATTTGTACACCCATGTTCATAGCAGCATTATTCACAATTGTCAAAAGGCAGAAGCAACCCAATTGTCCATCAATAGATGAATGGATAAACAAAATGTGTCATATACATACAATGGAGTATCAATTCATCCTTAAAAATAAAATTCTGATGCATGCTGTAACATAGATGAATTTGAAGATGCCATGCTAAGTGACATAAACTAGTCACAAAGGACAAATACTGTATGGTTCCACTTATATGAGGTACCTAGAGTAGTCAAATTTATAGAAACAGAAAGTAAAATGGTGGTTTCCAGGGGTGGGGTAGGGAGGAGCAGGAAGTTACTGTTTAATGCATATGGAATTTCAGTTTTGCAAGATGAAAAAAGTTCTAGAGATGAATAGTGGTGATGGTTGCATAATGATGTGAATGAATATACTTCAACTGTACACTTAAAAATGGTTAAAATTATAAATTTTATGTTATATATATTTCATCACAATTTTTAAAACTGAAAGGAAAAAACAGAAGAATCCTGGTTGTTGCTGCAGTACTCTAATTTTTCCTTCTCTCTTGCATGTATAGTAGTATACAAAGTACTTTCATTGAAAGTGTGCTTAAGCAACAGAAAAACACAGATATTATTCTCCATAGGCAATATTTCCCTGATATGAGAAAAATAGAAGAATGGGGAGAGGAGGAGCCAGAAAACAGATACTACAAGTGCCAAATGCTAATACTTACCACAAAACCAGCTGTCTCTGAAGATGGAGTACTTGTTAAAAGGCCTCTGTTTTTCTTACCAGGAGTACTGGAATTTGTTTTCTATAAATGTTTTTATAAAACAGGGATTGAACAGCAGAAAGAAATAAACTATTTTAGTATAGTAAAACTACAATTTCAAGTTAGTTGACCAGATCATAATGTACAGTACTAAGAAAATCCTTAATCTGTTCATTAAATTTTAAACCACTTCACAGGAAACTAAAGAATTTTCTCACTTGAGCTAGATCAAACAACATCCAAGAGAACTCTATATGGCATAGCAACTATATGAGAATACCTTGGTTGAAATGAATACCTTGGTTGAAATTACTATTAATTTAGAAAGAAAAGCTAATTAGAGTGTTGAGTTAGGAAATGGCGCTTCAGTTATCTTTGTTAACTACTAAGAAAGGTATTTTACTTTCAGCATTTAATTCTTAGTATATTATTGTACTTTTTGTGGAAAGAAAGTATAAGTTATTTCTGGAGCTGTGAAATATATGTAGCAAGGATAATTGGTTTAAAATATATAACGTTAAATGTATATAGATACTTTCATTTATGGAACATCAAAGTTAAAGAAATTATAAAGTAGGATGTAGGCTCATTTTCTACTTTTTGAAGATACAAAGAGGCAGACAGACAGACAGGTAGACAAAGCAAGAAAGAGTAAAAGACAGAGTGAGGAGAGAAACAGACAAGATACAAGACCTAAAGAAAGTGACAGAAAGCGAGGAAGCGACAGGCCAAAAGAGAGAGAGGGAGGAAGGGAGAAGAGGGGAATGGAGAGGAGATGAAGGAAGAGGTAGAGGAGAGGAGAGGAGGTAGGAGAGGAAGAATGAAAAGCAAAAGACAGAGAAGGAGAGAAAAAGAGGAAGACCAAGAGAAGGAGAGAGGAAAAAAGAGAAAGACAGAGAAGACAGAAACCAACATAGATTGTGAGCAGAGATTGAGAGAGAGAGACAGAGAAGGACAGTGAGAGAGATCAAGACAGAGACCAAGGAAAAGAGACAGAGCTTGAGACTGCAAGAGAGAGAAAATCTAGGATAGCAAAAGCAAAGAAACGGGTAGAAAGGTAGAGTAGAAAGTAAGAGTGATAGTCAAACAGACAGAGACAGGCAGCTTTATTTCTAGAAATCAGCTGCCTTTTCGGCCTTTAGACTCCATGAAGCAACCATATCCTTCTGATAAATGTTCTTTTTGAGTAGGTGTCTCTTGTAAGATGTCAAGTCTGGAATCTTACTTTCAACCTTTCTTTCCCTTCTGGCTTAAAAGCTTTTAAACTGATCGTTGGTACAAGACATAATCTGGAATAGTTTATTAGGAAAATTTTTGTCAGAAATGTTTATGGGTATATTTACAATAAAATGAACACATCAGCCTCTAACTTACTAGCTATATTTAGTTTTCGCATTTCAACAATGAAGGTTATTCTACCTCTAGGGACTGTGATGCAAGGGTTACAAATAATATATGTAAAAAGAACCTATGGTGTCTGGAGAGTAGGAGCTACTCAATGATAACTATTATCATCATCATTGTGGCAGTCCTGAAGGTCCTCTGCTCACATTTCTTCAAACAAAGAACCAGCTGTTCCAGTGCAAGGAGTGTAGTTAGCTGACAGCCCCCAAGCACAACATCTTTAGAATATGCTTCAGCTTTCATGCTGAGGCCACCATCTTTTCAAGCAGCCCCCAGCCAATGTCTGGGCATAACAGTCCAACACAAGACTTTCATAATAGACAATCTTTTCTCCAGAACTCCCCATTGTTGAGAGCTTCTGTCAGATCTGCACTGAAGACTGGGGCTATCCCTGCATAATCCTGCTTCTTCCCTGCCTTCCTTTCTTAGTCATTAGCCCCTGATGTTTGAACTCTTTATACTGTCTGAGTATCTGCTTCCCAGAGGTCTCATTTGACATAATTGTCAACTATCAGTCCAATTTTAAAACATCAGCTTGTATGCAGCTGTAAGTATATAGCTTCCCTACATTTTTTCTTAGATTTGTTAAAATATATATATATATATTTCTAAATCTTCCCAATCAGTACATATTTATAGTCTTTTCAAAAAATATTAGTTAATAAAAGACTAGTTCTTATCAATGCAGGTTTTGGGGACTGAGGCAGCAGAACTAAACTGTTCTACCTGCATTGCTTTCTTTTTTTTTTCTTTTTATTTATTTATTTATTTTTATTATACTTTAAGTTTTAGGGTACATGTGCACAACGTGCAGGTTAGTTACATATGTATACATGTGCCATGTTGGTGTGCTGCAGCCATTAACTCATCATTTAACATAAAAGCAGACCTATAGTGGGAAGACGGAACCTTGACTTTTAGATAATGAGAGTTTAACTGAAAATTTGTAACTCTATGTTCAGAATCTTTTCCAGGCTGAAACAAATTCATAATCAAGAAATACATTTTATAGTGCTATAAAAACATTTCCAGCACTTCTCACATGTCCTATTATTTCAACTTGAAAAAAAGATTTAAACTTAGAAATAAATGATTTTCTGGAAAAAAATAACGTCACACATTTAAGTTAAAAAATCTGCTGAAAGACAAAATAGTTCGAAACACAGGTGGAGCAGGATGGCCAGGGATGCCCATCCTCCAAGGCTCGCCATACTCTTCTAGGTGGCTTTAGCTTTTGGGTAACTGTAGGACCTGGACAGAGTAGGGCAGTCTTGTCCATGAGATATGTCCAGTCCGATCTGAGTGTCCTCATCTGCCAGCCTCTCCTGGGGCCCCAGCATGGCATGCCCGCTTGTGGCACAGCCTCGCATGCCTAACCAGGGTGCTTCCCAGGGGCCCTTCTCATAGCTCCTTCACTAGCAGACCATGCCTCACCGTCAGAGAGCTCCCGCTGACCAGCCACCATGGATGCGCACCTGCCTACCTACAGCCTCCACTCCCTTACAGCCTTCCTCCACCTCACTTTGCTGTCATGCACTCGCCCAAGGTCCTCTCCACTGCTTTGCTGGCCCGCAAGCGCAGGTGACCATACTTCCTCTCTCCCACTGGCATGTGTGTGTACATGCACCCTGCCTCTCCACCACTGCTGGTGTGAGCACACCCTGCCACCGCTAATGTGCGGCACTCTGCCCTGCCAATGTGGCCTGCATGAGGGTGTGTACAGAATCCAGTGCCTCACTCCCGCCAGCAACTGTTCACCCCAGCCCACCACTGCTGCTGCTGCCACACTCAAGCTAGCATAGATCCTGCTATGCTATGCCACTGCCTGAGGAAAGGCACTGGCCAGCACTCCCCATCACAGTGCTGTGGCCAGCAGAGCAGGAACACCGGGCCCCTCCAGTGCAGCGAGTTCCTAAGCTCCTGAGACCAGAGAACAAAGCTGGGGGCCTGGTACCAGCACCCTTAGAGTTAGAGCAGTCAAACTAGGAATGCTGAGCTGAGCTCTGGCCCTCTAAAATCTTCCTCAAACAAACTTAACAGACACATAGACCAATGGAACAGAATAGAGAGCCCAGAAATAAAGCTGCACACCTACAACCATCTGATCTTCGACAAAGCTGACAAAAACAAGCAATGGGGAAAGGACTGTTTTATTCAAGAAATGGTGCTGGGATAACTGGCCAGCCATATTCAGAAGACTGAAACTGAACTCCTTCCTTATACCATATACAAAAATCAAGATGGACTAAACACTTAAATGTAAGACCTAAAACTATAAAAACTCTAGGAGAAAACCAACAAAATACCATTCTGAACATAGACCCTGGCAAAGATTTCATGAGGAAGATGCCAAAAGCAAATGCAACAAAAACAAAAATTGACAAATGGGACCTAATTAAACAAAAGAGCTTCCGCACAGCAAATGAAACTATCAAGAGAGTAAACAGACAACCTACAAAATGGGAGAAAATATTTGCAAACTATGCATCCGACAAAGGTCTGATATCCAGGATATATAAGGAACTTAAATTTACAAGCAAAAACCAAACAGCTCCATTAAAAAGTGGGCAAAGGCATAAACAGACATTATCAAAAGAAGATATATGCACAGCCAACAAGCGTATGAAAAAATGCTCACCACTAATCATTAGATAAATGCAAATCAAAACCACAATGAAATACCATCTCACACCAGTCAGAATGACTTATTAAAAAAGTCAAAAACTAATAGATGCTAGCAAGATTGTGGAGAAAAGGGGAATGCTTATCCACTGCTGGTGGGAATATAAATTAGTTCAGCCACGGTGGAAAGCAATTTGGTGATTTCTCAAAGAACTCAACGCAGAACTACCACTCGACTCAGCAATACCATTATTGGGTATATACTCAAAGGAATATAAATCATTCTACCATAAAGACACCTGCACACGTATGTTCAATGCAGCACTATTCACATAGCAAAGACATGGAATCAATCTAAATGCCCATCAATGGTAGACTGGATAAAGAAAATGTGGTACATATACACCATGGAATACTATTCAGGTGTAAGGAAGGAGTCCAGTTCCAGTATGCTTAAGTCTTTAATCCATTTTGAGTTGATTTTGGTAGACAGTGATGATGTAGTGTGAATATGTGTTCCCATCCAAATCTCATGTTGAATTGAAATCCCCAATGATGGAGGTGGGGCCTGGTGGGAGGTTATTGGATAATGGGGATAGATTTCTCTGGAATGGCTTAGCACCATCCCCTTAGTGCTGTTCTCTTGATAGAGTGAGTTCTTACAAGATCTGGTTGTTTAAAAGTATAGCATCTCTCCCACCCTTTCTCTTTTGTTCCTGCTTTTGCCATATGAAGTGCCTGTTCCTGCTTTGCCTTCCACCATGAGTAAAAGCTCCCTGAGGCCTCCCCAGAAGCAGATGCTGCCATGTTTCCTGTACAAGCTGCAGAACTGTGAGTCAATTAAATCTCTTTTCTTATAAATTACCCAGTCTTAGGTATTTTTTTAAATCACAACACAAGAACAGCCTAATAAAGGTGAGGAATAGGGGTCTAGTTTCATTCTTCTGCATGGGGATATCCAGTTTTCTGAGCATCGTTTACTGGAGAGACTGTCCTTTCCCCCGTGTATGTTCTTGATGGCTTTGTTGAAGATCAGTTGGCTGTAAATACGTGGATTCATTCCTGGGTTCTCTATTCTTTTCCTTTGGTCTCTGTGTCTATTTTTCTACCAATATCATGCTGTTTGGGTTAGCACAGCCTTGTAATATATTTTGAAGTCAGGTAGTGTAGTGCCTTGAGCTTGTTCCTTTTGCTTAGGACTGCTTTGACTATTCTGGATCTTTTTTGGTTCCATATGAATTTTAGCGTTGTTTTTTCTAGTTCTGTGAAAAACTACATTGATATGTAGTTAGAGATTGCACTGAATCTATAGATTGCTTTAGGTAGTATGGTCATGTCTAATGATATGAATTCTTCTGATCCATGAGCATGAGATGTCTTGTTTCTTCTTCAATTTCTTTCATCAGTGTTTTGTAATTTTCCTTGTAGAGATCTTTCACTTCTTGGTTAAATTTATGCCTAGTTTTTTTTTTTTTTTTTGGTTTTGTTGGTTTGTTTTGCAGCTGTTGTAAATGTGATTGCCTTCTTGATTTTTTTTCAGATATTATTGGTGTATAGAAATGCTGATTTTTGCTTGTTTGCATCCTGCGGCTTCACTGAATTTGGTTCAGTTCTAACAGTTGTTTTTTTTGTTTGTTTGTTTTTTGAGACAGAGTCTTGCTCTGTTGCCCACACTGGACTGCAGTGGTGTGATCTCGGCTGACTGCAACCTCCGCCTCCCAGGTTCAAGCAATTCTCTGCCTCAGCCTCCCAAGCAGCTGGGATTATAGGCACCCACCACCATGCCAGGATAATTTTTTTTTTTATTTTTAGTAGAGACGGGGTTTCACTATCTTGGCCAGGCTGGTCTTGAACTCCTCACCTCATGATCCACCCACCTCAGGCTCCCAAAGTGCTGGGATTACAGGCGTGAGCCACCATGCCCAGCCTGTTTGGCTTTTTTTTTTTTTTTTTTTTTTTTTGAGAGAGAGTCTTGCTCTGTCACTCAGGCTGAAGTGCAGTGGCACAATCTTGGCTCACTGCAACCTCCACCTCCTGGGCTCAAGTGATTCTAGTGCCTCAGCCTCCTGAGTAGCTGGGATTACAGGCATGCACCACCATGCCCAGCTAATTTTTGTATTTTTTAGCAGACATGGGGTTTTGCCATGTTGGCCAGGCTGGTCTCCAACTCTTGGCCTCAAGTGATTGCCTGCCTTGGCCTCCCAAAGTGCTGTGATTACAGGCATGAGCCACCATGCCCAGCCCTAAGAGTTTTTTGATGGAGTCTTTTGGTTTTCTAAAAATAAGAATAGGCCAAGTGCAGTGGTTCATGCCTGTAATCCCAGCACTTTGGGAGGCCGAAGTGGGCGGATCATGAGGTCAAGAGATCGAGACCATCCTGGCCAACATGGTGAAACCCTGTTTCTACTAAAAATACAAACATTAGCTGGGCATGGTGGTGCATGCCTGTAGTCCCAGCTACTTGGGAGGCTGAGGTAGGATAACTGCTTAAACCCGGGAGGTGGAGGTTGCAGGAGCCAAGATTGCACCATTGCACTCCAACCTGGGCAACAGAGAGAGACTCTGTCTTCAAAAAAAAAAGAATAATGTAGTTCCCAAAGAAGAGGGTCAATTTGAGTTCCTCTTTTATTCCTTTTTCTTGGCTGATTGCTCTGGCTACAACTTTTGGTACTATGTTTAATGGGCATGGGGAAGGTGGGCATTCTTGTCTTGTTCTTAGAGGAAAGGCTTTCAACTTTTCCCCATTCAGTCTGATGTCAGCTGTGGGTTTTGTCATATATTGCCTTTATTATTTTAAGGTATGTTCTTTCTATGCCTAGTTTGCTGAGAGTTTTTGTCATGAAGGATGTTCAGTTTTATCAAATTCTTTTTCTGCATCTATAAAAATAATCATATAGTTTTTGTTCTTGGTTCTGTTAATGTGATGTATCAAATTTATTGATTTGCACAGGTTAAACCATTCTTGCATCCCTGGTATAAAACCCACTTAATCAGGGTGTTTTATCTTTTTGATGTGCTGTTGGATTTAGTTTGCCAGTATTTTGTTGAGGATTTTTGTGTCTATGTTCATCAGGCCTGTAGTTTTCTCTTTGCTGTTGTTGTTGTGTCCTTGTTTAGTTTTGGAATCAGGGTAATGTTAGCCGCAAAGAGTGAGTTAGGGAGGATTCCCTCCTCTTCAACTTTTTGAAATAGTATGAGGAAGACTGGTATTAGTTTTTCTTTATATGTTTGGTAGAATTTGGCACTGAATCCATCTGATCCTGGGCTTTTCTTTATTGGGAGACTTTTTATTATTGATTCAATCTCACTACTCATTATTGGTCTGTTCAGATTTTCTATTTCTTCCTCATTCAATCTTGGTAGGTTGTATGTTTCCAGGAGTTTACCCATTTCTCCAAGTTTTCTAGTTAGTATATAGTTATTCATAAAAGTCTCTGCTGATGTTTTCTAATTCTGTGGTATCAGTAGTAACGTCTCCTTTTTCATTCCTGATTTTGTTTATTTGGGTCTCCTCTCTTCTTTCCTTGGTTAATCTAGCTAGTGGTTTATTAATTTTATCTTTTTGAACAACGAACTTTTCATTTCATTGATACTTTGTATTTTTTTAGTCTCTATTTCATTTCTTTCTGCTCTGATCATTATTATTTTCTTCTGCTAATTTTGGGTTTTGTTTGTTCTTGCTTCTCTAATTCCTTAAAGTGCATCACTAAATTCTTTACTGGAAATCATTCTACTTTTTTTCTTACATAACATTAAATTTACATAAGCACATACTACTTTTTTGATGTAGGCATTTATTGCTATAAAGTTCCCTCTAAGCACTGCTTTTATGATATTCCATACGTTTTGGTGTTTCGTATTTCAATTTTTATTTATTTCAAGAATTTTTTTTTAAAAGACAAGGTCTTAACTTTGTCACCCAGGCTAGAGTGCACTAGCACTACTGTAGCTCCCTGCAGCCTCAAACTTTTGGGCTCAAATGATCCTCCTGCCTCAGACTCCTGAGTAGTTAGGACTACAGACATGCACCACCATGCCTGACTAAGTTTTAAAATTTTTAGGAGACAACGGGGTTTCAATATGTTGCCCAGGCTGGTCTCAAACTCCTGGCCTCAAGTGATCCTCCCACTGCAGCCTCCCCAAGTGCTGGGATTACAAGCATGAGCCACTGTTCCTGTCCTTATTTCAAGAATTTTTTTATTTCCATCTTAATTTCTTCATTGATCCAATGATCATTCAGCGGCATCTTGCTAAGTTTTCAAGTACTGTATAGTTTCCAAACTTCCTCTTGGTATTGATTTCTAATTTTATTCCATTGTGGCCTGAGAAGATACTCGATATGATCTCAGTTTTTTCAAGTTTGTTGAGACTTGTTTTGTGGCCTAACATAGGATCTATCCTGGAGAACGTCCCATGTGTAAATGAGAAGAACGTTAATATGTATTCTGCAGTTGTTGGCTAAAAGGTTCTGTATATGTCTGTGAGGTCCATTTGGTCTAAAGTCCAGTTTAAATCCAATGTTTATGTGTTGATTTTCTGTCTAGATGATCTGTTGAGTGCTGAGTGAGTGGGGTGTTGAAGTCTCCCCCATTACTATATTGGATTCTGTCTCTCTTTAGATCTAGCAATATTTGCTTTATACATCTGAGTGCAGCATTGTTGGGTGCATATGTATTTAGTATTGTTACACGCTCTTCTAGATTGATCCTTTTATCATTATATAATGACCTTCTTTGTCCTTTTTTTTTTTTTTTTTTTTTTTTTTACTGTTTTTGACTTAAAGTCTGTTTTATCTAAGTATAACTACTCCTGCTCAGTTATGGTTACTGTTTGCATGGAATATCTTTTTCTATTTGATATAGTTTGGCTCTGTGTCCCCACCCAAATCTCATCTTGTAGCTTCCATAATTCTCACATGTTATGGGAGGGACCCTCTGAGAGATAACTGAATCATGGGGGCAGGTCTTCCCCATGCCGTTCTTGTGATAGTGAATACGTCTCATGAGATCTGATGGTTTTGAAAATGAAAGTTTGCCTGCACAAGCTCTCTCTGCCTGCCACCACCCATGTAAGACGTGACTTGCTCCTCCTCGCCTTCTGCATGATTGTGAGGCCTCCCCAGCCATGTGGAACTGTAAGTCCATTAAACCTTTTCTTCTTCCCAATCTCGGGTATGTTTTTATCAGCAATGTGAAAATGGAGTAATTCACCATTCCTTTGAGTCTCTATTTTTCTTTACAGATAAAGTGCATTTCTTGTAGGCAGCATATAGTTGAATCATGTTTTTTTAATCATTCAGCCAGTCTATATCTTTTAAGTAGAGAATTTAATCCATTTACATTCAAGTTTATCATTGATATGTCATGCTTTGTTCCTGTTATATTCTTAATTGTTTTCTGATCTGTACACTCTTTGTTCCTTTCTTTTTCTCTTATTTGTCACCATGTTTTGGTGGTTTTCTGTAGTAGAATCATTTGAGTCCTTTCTCCTCCTCCTTTGTGTGTTTGCTTTACTTGTGAGTTTTATAGTTTCATGTGTTTTCATGATAGTAACTATCATCATTTCACCACCAGTTGTAGGACTCCCTTGAGTTTAGTAGTAATGAATTTTCTCGGCATTTGATTGTCTGGGAAATACTTTATTTCTCCTTCATTGGTGAAGAACAAATTTGCTGTATATAGTATCCTCGGCTGGCAGATTTGTTCTTTCAGCACTTTGAATATATCATATCATTCTTTCCTGGCCTGTAAGGCTTCTGCTGAGAGAGTCTGCTGTTAGTCTAATGGGGTTTCCTTTATGACTAGATACTTTTCTCCTGCTGCTTTTAGAATTCTCTGTCTTTCACTTAGACAGTTTGACTACAATATGCCATGGAGAAGACATTTTTATGTTGTATCTGTCTGGGAAATCACTGAGCCTCCTGTATCTGGATGCCTAAATCTCTTGTTAGACTTGAGAATTTTTCATCTATTATTTCATTAAATAGGTTTTCAAACCCTTTCATTTTCTCTTTGCCTTCAGGGATATCAACACTTTGAATATCTGGTCACTTGATAGTGTTCCATAGTTATGAAGGCATTGCTCATTCTTGTTAATTTTTTCTTTATTTTTGCCTAACTGGGTTATGTCAAAAGAACTGTCTTCAAGTTCTGAGATTCTTTCCTCTGTTTGATTTAGTCTATTGTTGAATCTTTTGAGTGTATTTTGTATTTCATTCAATGAAACCTTCATTTCCAGAATTTCTGTTTGGTTCTTTTTTCAATAATATCCATCTCTTTGGTAAATTTCTCATTTGTATCCTGAATTTTTTTTCTGATTTCTTTGTATTGTTTTTTGGAATTCTCTTGCATCTCACCAAGCTTCTTTAGTATCAAAATTTTGAATTCTTTTTCCTGGGATTTTGTGATTTTTTTTTTTTTTAGATGGAGTCATGCTCTGACGCCCAGGCTGGAGTGCAGTGGCACAATCTCCACTCACTGCAAGCTCCGCCTCCTCGGTTCATGCCATTCTCCTGCCTCAGCCTCCCGAGTAGCTGGGACTGCAGGCATGCGCCACCATGCCCGGCTAATTTTTTGTATTTTTAGTAGAGACAGGGTTTCACCATGTTAGCCAGAATGGTCTCGATCTCCTGACCTTGTGTTCCGCCCACCTGGGCCTCCCAAAGTGCCGGGATTACAGGCATGAGCCACTGCACCCGGCCATGAATTTCTTTTGTATTAGGATCTGTTGCTGGAGAATTATTGTGTACCTTTGCAGGTGTCATATTTCCTTGCTTTTTCAAGTTTCCTGTGTCCTTACATTGATATCTGTGCATCTGGTGTTACAGCTGCTTTTTCCAATTTTTTTGAATTTGCTTTCATCAGGGGCACATTTTTCTGAAGATGTGTGTATGTGCATATGTGTTGGTAGGCTAGAGCACATTTGCTCTGATTCTGGGCATATGCAGTATTACTGTCTTTGTATGATTTCTTTGGCTGTAAACAGCATCAGTGTTATCTGTGATTTCCTTGGTGGCTTAGCATGTGGTTGTTAGTGGAGGCTATGATGAAGTTTTGCTGGGGACTGGGATGCCAAGTAGACTGGTCTTCAGGCCTCAGTGGCAGCAGTGGTATGTTAAGCATGCCTGTCCTTGGTCCCCAAGGCAGCACAACCTGGCATTGGTGTTAGTGGATCCAGGTAGCCAATTCTTGGGCCTCTAGGTGTCTTGCTTGTGTGCCAGGTATGGCAGCAGTAGGCTGTGCAGGTGGGTGAATTCTAGAGTCCTTGTGGAGTGTGCATGGCATGGCCAATGGCAGTAGCAGTGGTAGGAAAATCCACTGGAACTCAGTCAACTGTGTTGGTGTTGGCATGGCTACAATGGGTTGGGCAGGCTGGTTTCCAGATCTGCAAGTGGCACATGCTGGTGAATGCCAGCTGTGGTGGTAGTGGCAGGTTGATTGAGCCTGATCTCAGACCCTGGGAAGAGTGCTCAGGTGCAACCAATGGTGTACCGGGCTGGGTGATCTTCAGACCCCTGGATAGTGTCCTTGGGTACTAGGGGAGGTAGAGCCAAGCTAGGTTGTGCCTTTAGGCCCCCTCATGGTGTGTAAAGATGCTGGCGGTGGCATGCAGGGGCAGAATGACCCTGTGGCCATTGGCAGAATGCTCAGGTGGAGGCAGCAGCAGCTGTGCTGTGGCCCTGCAACTGGGAAGAGTGGGGTTGCTTCCCCCGGGAACAGCCATAGGCAGGAAACTGAAAGGGACTGGCTTCATCTGAGCCTTGGCCTAGAGCAGGCAGTGGAATTTGTCTTTGGAGTGTGTGAGAATGCACAGTTGCCCCTCTGTGGGGGTGAGGGAATAGGATTGCTGTCTGTGGCTGCCTCTTCAGCCCCAGGAGGGAGGGAAGGTGAGAGAGCAAGGGAGAATTCATGGAACTGACAGTATGCATGGAAGCAGGAGAAGGACAGGTAATCATGAGGAAGTGAAGAAAAGAAAATGTAGAAAGGATGGGGAAGTTTTTTTATTGCTTTTGGCTAAAGAAGTGAAATTCAGGCCAAGTTCAATTAGATCTCTAGGCCACAGAGAATTCTAGTTGCCTATTGAGTTAAATTTAGCTATCCTCTCTTCCTCCCCTTCTTCATTCCCATTAGTCCTCAACAATGATACAGTATATCTCATCTTAAAAGAAAAAGCTTCCTATAACCCTGCATATTCATCCAGTTACCATTATTTTTCTCTATTTCCCTTCAGAGTCAAGCTCTATAAATAACTGTTACTTCCTCACTTTCCATGGTCTTCAACCCATTCTAATCTGGTTTGCCTCTCTTTAGTCTGCCAAAATTTTTCCTACCAAAGTCACCAGTTTCCTTCATGATTCCAAATTCAACTGACTTTTTAAAAAAAATTAATGAATTTTATTTTTTAGGTCAGTTTTGGATTCACAGCAAACTTGAGCAGAAAATATAGACTTCTCATATATCCCCAGTCCCCATACATGTAAAGCCTCTCCTGCTATCAACATCCTATACAATAGTGGTCTATTTATTATAATGAATGAACCTACACTGACACATCATTATCTCAAAAGTCCACAGTTTACCTTAGGGTTGGGTTCACTCTTGGTGTTGTATATTCTGTGGGTTTTGACAAATGTATAATGAGATGTACCCACCATTCTAATATCATACAAAGTAGTTTCCCAGTCTTAAAATTCCTCTGTAATCTGCCTATTCATCCATCCCTTCCTCCTAACCTCTGGCAACCACCAATCTTTTTATTGTCAACATAGTTTTGCTTTTCCAGAACATCATATGGTTGGAATCACACAGTATGTAGCCTTTTCAGTCACTTCTTTCACTTAGTAATATGAATTTAAGTTTCCTCCATGTCTTTTCATTGCTGGATACCTAATTCCTTTTCAGTGCTAAATAATATTCCATTGTCTGGATATACCACAGTTTATTTATGCATTCACCTAATGAAGAACATTTTCGTTGCTTCCAAGTTTTGGAAATTATGAAAACAGTTGCTATAAACGTTCAGGTGCATACTTTGTGTGGATACAATTTTTCAATTCATTTGCATAAACACTAAGGAATGTAATTGCTGGATCATATATGAGTATGTTTAGTTTTTAAAAATCATGAAACCATTTTCCAAAGTGACTGTATCATTTTGCATTCTCAGCAGCAAAGAATGAGATTTCCTATTGCTTCACATCCTCCAGCATTTGGTGTTGTCAGTGTTTTGGATTTTGGCCATTCTAATAGGTGTGTAATAATAACTCGCTGTTGCTGTTTCTGGTTTTTTTGAAACAGAGTCTCACTCTGTTGCCCAGGCTGGAGAGCAGTGGCATGATCACAGTTCATTGCAGCCTTGACTTCCCAAATTCAGGTGATCCTCCTACCTTCACTTCCAGAGTAGTTATGACTACAGGCCTGCAGCACCATGCCAGGCTAATATTTTTTAGTAGAGACAGGGTTTTGCCATGTTGCCCAGGCTAGTCTTGAACCCTGGGCTAAGGCAATCCACTTGCCTCAGTCCCCCAAAATGTTGGGATTACAGGCATAAGCCACAGCACCCAGCCACTCATTGTTGTTTTAATTTGCAATTCCAATTGCCTAATGACATATGATGTTGAACAACTTTTCATAAACTATTGCCTTTTGTATATCTTCTTTAGTGAGGTGTCTGTTCAGGTCTTTGGCCCATTTTTCACTGGGTTTTTCATTTTCTTATTCTTGAGGGTTTTTGTTTGGTTGGTTTTGTTGTTGTTGTTGTTTTTATTTTTTGAGACAGGGTATCACTCTGTTGCCTAGGCAGCAGTGTGCAGAGGTGTGGTCAGGGCTCACTGCAGCCTTAACCTCCCAGGCTCATGCGATCCTCCCATCTCAGCCTCCCGACAGGGATTCTGTCTCTACAAAAAAAAAAAAAAAAATGTTGCCCAGGCTTGTCTCAAATTCATGGGCTCAAGTGATCTGCCTGCCTTGGCCTCCCAAAGTGCCAGGATTACAGGCATGAGCCACTGTGCCTGGCCCTTATTGTTGAATTTTAAGGCTTCTTTGTCTATGTTGGTTTACAATCTTTTATCAGATATGTCTTTTGCAAATATTGTCTCCCAATCTGTGGCTTGTTATCTCATTATCTTGACATTGTCCTTCATACAGCAAAAGTTTTTTTATTTTAATGAAGTCCAGGTTATCAATTATTTCTTTTATAATTGTGCCTTTGGTATTGTATCTAAAAAGTCATCACCATACTCAAGGTCACCTAGATTTTATCCTATGTTATCTTCTAGAAGGTTTACAGTTTTGCATTTTACATTTAGGTCCATGACCCATTGTGATTAATTCTTGTGAAGAGTATAAGGTCTGTGTCTAGGTTCATGTTTTTGCATTTGGGGGTCCAGTTATTCAAGCACCATTTGTAGAAAATACCAACTTTTCTCCATTATATTGCCTTTGCTCCTTTGTCAAAGATCAGTTGACTATATTTATATGGGTCTATTTCTGGGCTCTCTCTCTATTCTGTTCCATCGATCTGTTTGTTTATTCTTTTACCAAACCCATACTGTCTTGATTACTGCACCTTTACAGTAAGTCTTAAATACAGGCAGTATCAGTCCTTTGACTTTTTCTCCTTCAATATTGAGTTGGCTATTCTGTATCTTTTCCCTCTCCATATAAACTTTAGAACCAGTTTGTCTACCACATAGTTCCCCCAGCAGGTTAGGTTCTGAAAAATACTTTCTCCTGAGGCCAGGCCTTGTTACAAAAAACAAAAACAAAAACAAAAAAACCCGAATATTCTCGCATTCTGTTTCACATAGTTCCTTTCTCTTCCCACTGCTAGAAGCATGAGAGGATTTTACTCTAACATTTACTATGAAGACCTGATGGCAGAACTCCTGGAAGTAAAACTCACAAAAGTGGCAGGGGGACCACCTACGACTCTCAGATTTGTCCATATTCAGCCTCCAGCAATTCATCAACACTGTTTAGGTTTTCCTACCCTGGCAATGGTTCCCATGGAGGTTTCTGTTCATGGGTTTCTGTTTTGGTAAGTTGTGATTCTCTGTATCCTCCTGTCTGTCTCTTCAATATTTGGTGCAGCAGTTTTCTCTATGACCTTACTTCTCTGATGAACTCAAGAAAAACTGGTGACTTTTCAGTTTTTTCAGCACTTTACTTGTTGTTAGGACAAAGTGATGACTTCTAAGATTCTTACACTGCTGCACTGGAAACTGGAAGTCCTACAATTGACTTTTAAATTCCTTCCTAACACAAAGAAACAATAAACTCTTGAGATGATGGATATCCCATTTACCCTGATTTGATTATTATGCATTTGTGTGCCTTTATCAAAACATCACATGTACCCCATAAAGACATACAGCTATTAAGCACTCATAATAATTAATATTTTTAATGTAAATAATCAAAAATAACATAGACACACACACAAAAAAAGTCTTTATAATACTGGACCTTCAAGCAGCATTCAACACTGTTGACCATTTCCCCTTTTCTGGGTGAAATGATTTCCTCTCTTGATTTCTATGATACTATGTTCTGTTTATTTTTCTCCTCTTCTCCACCACTCTTCCTTTTGAACCTGACGATGGAGTTTTCCAGGGATTGACCTGGGCCCACTTCTCTTCCTTACTCTATAGATACTATTTCCTAGGACATTTCGCCCGTTTCCACGACTTAAAAAAAAATTATAATACAGTACATCTGTTCCCCTGACCTCCAGATTGATAGCCAATGGCCTTCTCAACATTTCCATCTTCATGCATTCTCAGAACACCTGTCTTTCCTATCACACTAAATAGCATCTTTATCCACTAAAGATGCTCAAAACGGAAACCCAGAAGTCTTTCTTAACATTTCTTATTCCTTCATCATTTGTATCCTATCGATCAACTCTACAGGCAAAATTATCTTGAATACATGCCTATTTCTTGATCTCTCCTATCAAACACCCTAGTCAAAGCCACCACTATAGGTCACCAAAAATCTTTGTAACTCCCTACTAATGGGTCTCCCTATTCACCCTCTTGCCCCTTTTCTATTTGCTCTCTAATTCCTTACAGTGACAATCTAGTGTAGTAGAAAGAGTATAGGCTTTAGATCCGGAAAGACCTGCCACAACCTCCTCAAGAAACTGATGAAAATCTAAACCTCAGTTTTCTCAGCTATAAAATAGGTAAAAACAGAAGGAGGAGCCAAGATGGCCGAATAGGAACAGCTCAGGTCTACAGCTCCCAGCATGAGCGACGCAGAAGACGGGTGATTTCTGCATTTCCAACTGAGGTACCCGGTTCATCTCACTGGGGTGTGCCAGATAGTGGGTGCCGGACAGTGGGTGCAGTGCACCGTGCGCAAGCCGAAGCAGGGCAAGGAATCACCTCACCCGGGAAGCACAAGGGGTCAGGGAATTCCCTTTCCTAGTCAAAGAAAGGGGTGACAGACGGCACCTGGAAAATTGGGTCACTCCCACCCTAATACTGCACTTTCCCAACTGGCTTAAAAAACGGCACACCAGGAGATTATATCCCGCACATGGCTCAGAGGGTCCTACGCCCAGAGTCTCGCTCATTGCTAGCATAGCAGACTGAGATCAAACTGCAAGGCGACAGCGAGGCTGGGGGAGGGGCGCCCGCCATTCCCGAGTCTTGATTAGGTAAACAAAGCGGCTGGGAAGCTCGAACTGGGTGGAGCCCACCACAGCTCAAGGAGGCCTGCCTGCCTCTGTAGGCTCCACCTCTGGGGACAGGGCACAGACAAACAAAAAGACAGCAGTGACCTCTGCAGACTTAAATGTCCCTGTCTGACAGCTTTGAAGAGAGTAGTGGTTCTCCCAGCACGCAGCTTGAGATCTGAGAATGGGTAGACTGCCTCCTCAAGTGGGTCCCTGACCTCCGAGTAGCCTAACTGGGAGGCACCCCCCAGTAGGGGCGGACTGACACCTCACACAGCCGGGTACTCCTCTGAGACAAAACTTCCAGAGGAACGATCAGGCAGCAGCATTTGCGGTTCACCAATATCCGATGTTCTGCAGCCACCACTGCTGATACCCAGGCAAACAGGGTCTGGAGTGGACCTCTAGCAAACTCCAACAGACCTGCAGCTGAGGGTCCTGACTGTTAGAAGGAAAACTAACAAACAGGAAGGACATCCACCCCAAAAACCCATCCGTACGTCACCATCATCAAAGACCAAAGGTACATAAAACCACAAAGATGGGGAAAAAACAGAGCAGAAAAACTGGAAACTCTAAAAATCAGAGCACCTCTCCTCCTCCAAAGGAATGCAGCTCCTCACCAGCAACGGAACAAAGCTGGACGGAGAATGACTTTGACGAGTTGAGAGAAGAAGGCTTCAGATGATCAAACTACTCCGAGCTAAAGGAGGAAGTTCAAACCAATGGCAAAGAAGTTAAAAACTTCGAAAAAAAATTAGACGAATGGATAACTAGAATAACCAATGCAGAGAAGTCCTTAAAAGACCTGATGGAGCTGAAAACCACGGCACGAGAACTATGTGACGAATGCACAAGCCTCAGTAGCTGATGCAATCAACTGGAAGAAAGGGTATCAGTGATGGAAGACGAAATGAATGAAATGAAGTGAGAAGAGAAGTTTAGAGAAAAAATAATAAAAAGAAATGAACAAGGCTTCCAAGAAATATGTGACTATGTGAAAAGACCAAATCAACATCTGATTGGTGTACCTGAAAGTGACGGGGAGAATGGAACCAAGCTGGAAAACACTCTGCAGGATATTATCCAGGAGAACTTCCCCAATCTAGCAAGGCAGGCCAACATTCACATTCAGGAAATACAGAGAACACCACAAAGATACTCCTCGAGAAGAGCAACTCCAAGACACATAATTGTCAGATTCACCAAGGGTGAAATGAAGGAAAAAATGTTAAGGGCAGCCAGAGAGAAAGGTTGGGTTACCCACAAAGGGAAGCCCATCAGACTAACAGCTGATCTCTCGGCAGAAACTCTACAAGCCAGAAGAGAGTGGGGGCCAATATTCAACATTCTTAAAGAAAAGAATTTTCAACCCAGCATTTCATATCCAGCCAAACTAAGCTTCATAAGTGAAGGAGAAATAAAATCCTTTACAGACAAGCAAATGCTGAGAGATGTTGTCACCACCAGGCCTGCCCTAAAAGAGCTCCTGAAGGAAGCACTAAACATGGAAAGGAACAACTGGTACCAGCCACTGCAAAAACATGCCAAATTGTAAAGACCATCAAGGCTAGGAAGAAACTGCATCAACTAACGAGCAAAATAGCCAGCTGACATCATAATGACAGGATCATATTCACATATAACAATATTAACTTTGAATGTAAAGGGACTAAATGCTCCAATTAAAAGACACAGACTGACAAATTGGATAACGAGTCAAGACCCATCAGTGTGCTGTATTCAGGAAACCCATCTCACATGCAGAGACACACATAGGCTCAAAATAAAGGGATGGAGGAAGATCTACCAAGCAAATGGAAAACAAAAAAAGGCAGGGGTTGTAATCCTAGTCTCTGATAAAACAGACTTTAAACCAACAAAGATCAAAAGAGACAAAGGAGGCCATTACATAATGGTAAAGGCATCAATTCAACAAGAAGAACTAACTATCCTAAATATATATGCACCCAATATAGGAGCACCCAGATTCATAAAGCAAGTCCTTAGTGACCTACAAAGAGACTTAGACTCCCACACAATAATAATGGGAGACTTTAACACCCCACTGTCAACATTAGACAGATCAATGAGACAGAAAGTTAACAAGGATACCGAGGAATTGAACTCAGCTATGCACCAAGCGGACCTAATAGACATCTACAGAAATCTCCACCCCAAATCAACAGAATATACAGTCTTTTCAGCACCACACCTATTCCAAAATTGAACACATAGTTGGAAGTAAAGCACTCCTCAGCAAATGTAAAAGAACAGAAATTATAACAAACTGTCTCTCAGACCACAGTGCAATCAAACTAGAACTCATGATTAAGAAACTCACTCAAAACCACTCAACTGCATGGAAACTGAACAACCTGCTCCTGAATGACTACTGGGTAAATAATGAAATCAAGGCAGAAATAAAGATGTTCTTTGAAACCAACGACAACAAAGACACAACATACCAGAATCTCTGGGACATATTCAAAGCAGTGTGTAGAGGGAAATTTATAGCACTAAATGCCCACAAGAGAAAGCAGGAAAGATCTAAAATTGACACCCTAACATCACAATTAAAATAACTAGAAAAGCCAGAGCAAACACATTCAAAAGCTAGCAGAAGGCAAGAAATAACTAAGATCAGAGCAGAACTGAAGGAAATAGAGACACAAAAAAACCCTTCGAAAAATTAATGAATCCAGGAGCTGGTTTTTTGAAAAGATCAACAAAATTGACAGACCGCTAGCAAGACTAATAAAGAAGAAAAGAGAGAAGAATCAAATAGATGCAATAGAAAATGATAAAGGGGATATCACCACCGATCCCACAGAAATACAAACTACCATCAGAGAATACTATAAACACCTCTACGCAAATAAACTAGAAAATCTAGAAGAAATGGATAAATTCCTGGACACATACATCGTCCCAAGACTAAACCAGGAAGAAGTTGAATCTCTGAATAGACGAATAACAGGCTCTGAAATTGAGGCAATAATCAATAGCTTACCAACGAAAAAAGTCCAGGACCAGATGGATTCACAGCCGAATTCTACCAGAGGTACAAGGAGGAGCTGGTACCATTCCTTCTGAAACTATTCCAATCAATAGAAAAAGAGGGAATCCTCCCTAACTCATTTTATGAGGCCAGCATCATCCTGATACCAAAGTCTGGCAGAGACACAACAAAAAAAGGGAATTTTAGACCAGTATCCTTGATGAACATTGATGCAAAAATCCTCAATAAAATACTGGCAAACTGAATCCAGCAGCACACAAAAAGCTTATCCACCATGATCAAGTGGGCTTCATCCCTGGGATGCAAGGCTGGTTCAACGTACGAAAATCAATAAATGTAATCCAGCATATAAACAGAACCAAAGACAAAAACCACATGATTATCTCAAAGATGCAGAAAAGGCCTTCAACAAAATTCAACAACACTTCATGCTAAAAACTCTCAATAAATTAGGTATTGATGGGACGTATCTCAAAATAATAAGAGCTATCTATGACAAACCCACAGCCAATATCATACTGAATGGCCAAAAACTGGAAGCATTCCCTTTGAAAACTGGCACAAGACAGGGATGTCCTCTCTTACCACTCCGATTCAACATAGTGTTGGAAGTTCTGGCCAGGGCAATCAGCCAGGAGAAGGAAATAAAGGGTATTCAATTAGGAAAAGAGGAAGTCAAATTGTCCCTGTTTGCAGATGACATGATTGTGTATCTAGAAAACCCCATCTTCTCAGCCCAAAATCTCCTTAAGCTGATAGGCATCTTCAGCAAAGTCTCAAGATACAAAATCAATGTACAAAAATCACAAGCATTCTTATACACCAATAACAGAGAAACAGAGAGCCAAATCATGAGTGAACTCCCATTCACAATGGCTTCAAAGAGAATAAAATACCTAGGAATCCAACTTACAAGGGACGTGAAGGACCTCTTCAAGGAGAACTACAAACCACTGCTCAATGAAATAAAAGAGGATACAAACAAATGGAAGAACATTCCATGCTCATGGGTAGGAATAATCAATATCGTGAAAATGGCCATACTGCCCCAGGTAATTTATAGATTCAATGCCATCCCCATCAAGCTACCAATGACTTTCTTCACATAATTGGAAAAAACTACTTTCAAGTTCATACGGAACCAAAAAAGAGCCCGCATCGCCAAGTCAATCTTAAGCCAAAAGAACAAAGCTGGAGGGATCATGCTACCTGATTTCAAACTATACTACCAGGCTACAGTAACCAAAACAGCATGGTACTGGTACCAAAACAGAGATATAGACCTATGGAACAGAACACAGCACTCAGAAATAATGTCGCATATCTACAACTACCTGATGTTTGACAAACCTGACAAAAACAAGCAATGGGGAAAGGATTCGCTATTTAATAAATGGTGCTGGGAAAACTGGCTAGCCATATGTAGAAAGCTGAAAATGGATCCCTTCCTTACACCTTATACAAAAATTAATTCAAGATGGATTAAAGACTTACATGTTAGACCTAAAGCCATAAAAACCCTAGAAGAAAACCTAGGCAATACCATTCAGGATGTAGGCATGGGCAAGGACTTCATGTCTAAAACACCAGAAGCAATGGCAACAAACGCCAAAATTGAGAAATGGGATCTAATTAAACTAAAGAGATTCGGCACAGCAAAAGAAACTACCATCAGAGTGACCAGGCAACCTACAGAATGGAAGAAAAGTTTTGCAATCTACTCATCTGACAAAGGGCTAATATCCAGAATCTACAATGAACTCAAACAAATTTACAAGAAAAAAACAAACAACCCCATCAAAAAGTGGGCGAAGGATATGAGCAGACACTTCTCAAAAGAAGACATTTATGCGGCCAACGGACACATGAAAAAATGCTCATCATCACTGGTCATCAGAGAAATGCAAATCAAAACCACAATGAGATACCATCTCACACCAGTTAGAATGGCGATCATTAAAAAGTCAGGAAACAACAGGTGCTGGAGAGGATGTGGAGAAATAGGAACACTTTTACACTGTTGGTGGGACTGTAAACTAGTTCAACCATTGTGGAAGTCAGTGTGGCGATTCCTCAGGGATCTAGAACTAGAAATACCATTTGACCCAGCCATCCCATTACTGGGTATATACCCAAAGGATTATAAATCATGCTGCTATAAAGACACATGCACACGTATGTTTATTGAGGCACTATTCACAATAGCAAAGACTTGGAACCAACCCAAATGTCCAACGATGATAGACTGGATTAAGAAAATGTGGCGCATATATACCATGGAATACTATGCAGCCATAAAAAATGATGAGTTCATGTCCTTTGTAGGGACATGGATGAAACTGGAAACCATCATTCTCAGCAAACTATCGCAAGGACAAAAAACCAAACACCGCATGTTCTCACTCATAGGTGGGAATTGAACAGTGAGAACACATGGACACAGGAAGGGGAACATCACACACTGGGGCCTGTTGTGGGGTGGGGGGAGGGGGCGAGGGATAGCATTAGGAGATATACCTAATGCTAAATGAGGAGTTAATGGGTGCAGCACACCAACCTGGCACATGTATACATATGTAACAAACCTGCACATTGTGCACATGTACCTACAAGTTAAAGTATAATAATAATAAAATTTTTAAAAAAAGCAAAATTATGTAATAAAAAGTTGAATTTTTTTTAATGATTAAAAAAGTAGGTAAAAACAAACAAACAGAAACTAACTACTAACCTGCCTGGAATACCATAAACAAAATATATAATTAATGAAAGCTACTCAAAAAGTAGCTCTTGCTATATACAAAATAAAGTCCAAATTTTTCCCTAAAGGCCTCCAGATTCCAGCTGGGCATGATGGCTCACACCTGTACCAACACTTTGGGAGGTTGAAGCGGGTGGATCGCTTGAACCCAGGAGTTCAAGGCCAGCCTGAGCAACATGTTGAAACCCTGTCTCTACCAAAAATATGAAAATTAGCCATTTGTGGCAGTGTGTGCCTGTAGTCCCAGCTACTAGGTAGGCTGAGGCAAGAGAATCATTTGAGTCTGAGGAGGTCAAGTTTACAGTGAGTGGTGAGAGAGCCACTGCACTCCAGCCTGGGTGACAGAGGAAGACCTTGTTTCAAAAAAAACAAAAGAAAACAAAAAAAGACCCCGATGCCATGCCTAACGTAATGATTCATAAGTAATCTTCAGCATTATTCAAAGGAAAGTTGGAAAAAATGTAAAGCACACTGGTCCCCGCACCCTGCCCCCCAGTCACCCATCCACAGTTTTGTCTACCACAGTTTCAGTTACCTGTGGTCAACCACAATCCAAAATATAAAATGGAAAGTTCTGGAAATAAACAATCTGTAAGTTTTAAATTGCACACCATTCTGAGTAGCATGATGAAATCGTGTGCCATCCCCCTCAGTCCAGTCCACTCTAGGATCAATCATCCCTTTATCCAGCATATCCATGATAGACATACCATCCGCTCATTAGTTACTCAGTAGCTGTTTCAGTTATCAGATCAAAAACATGTAGTATATATAGGGTTCAGTACTATCCACATCCACTGGGGGTCTTGGGATGTATCCCTCACAGATGAGGGGGGACTACTATACATTTTCATTCTCTTTCATTAAACTTATATAGAGTATATACTCATTTATAAGCTGCATAGCTTTTCCATAAATTGAATAATCTATTTGATAAACTCCCAAAATGCTTTTAATTATTGACTTAAATAGCTGAAAAGGAATTCCTATAAAAGTATTGGTTGGCTGGGCGCGGTGGCTCACGCCTGTAATCCCAGCACTTTCGGAGGCCGAGGCGGGCGGATCACGAGGTCAGGAGATCGAGTCCATCCTGGCTAACACAGTGAAACCCTGTCTCTACTAAAAATACAAAAAATTATCCAGGCCTAGTGGCAGGCACCCGTAGTCCCAGCTACTCGGGAGGCTGAGGCAGGAGAATGGCATGAACCCAGGAGGCAGAGCTTGCAGTGAGCCGAGATCATGCCACTGCACTCCACCCTGGATGACAGAGTGAAACTCTGTCTCAAAAAAAAAAGTATTGGTTAAGGCTGGGTACAGTGGCTCATGCCTGTAATTCCAGGACTTTGGGAGGCTGAGATGGTAGGATCGCTTGAGGCCATGAGTTTGAGATGAGCCTGGACAACTAGTGATACCCCATCTTTACAAAAAAAATTTAAAAATTAGCTTGGCGTGGTAGTGCATGCATGCCTGTAGTTCCAGTTACTCAGGGGGTTGAAACAGGAGAACAGCTTGAGCCCAGAAGTTCAAGGCTGTAGTGAGCTATGATCACAGCACTGAACTCTAACCTGGGTGACAGAATGAGACCCCATTTCTTAAAAAAAAAAAAAAAAGTAAATTTAAACTGTTAGTTAAAAGTATATTCTTTATTAATGAAATGTATTATGATTTATGTAGTTATTCTGCTTCAATACTTGCTTTTTTCTTTGTTTTTTCAGGGGTTGAAGGGCAAGTTTTCTCAGCAAGTAAAATCTCACAAGCTGCATTATCTATAAATAAAAACATAGTTCAGTATTCTACTTATTTCAACTGTCATTAACTATGAGTCCAAAGGACAAGAGAATTCAAATTTGACAAAACAAAATAATATTTGTAAAACCCCTGATTTTAATGACTGCACCTTTGTCAATAATTAAACAAGAAAAATTAATGTATGTTGAATAATAAAAACATCCTTATCTTAAGAGCTCCAGGTTTCACAGAAGCAAATAAAAAATATGTAAAATATTTTCTTTTCAGTTAGTAGGGAAAGTCGCATGTGATTATACTTCTTCATTCATTATCCTACCATTTCCACTCTCCACATTTTCAAGCTCTTTTTCTACTACAATTTTTTCTTTTTTCTTTTTTTAAATTTCAATAGCTTTAGGGGTACAAGTGGTTTTTGGTTATATGGAAAAATTGTACAGTGGCGAAGCCTCGGCTTTTAGTGTACCTGTTTACTGCAACTTTTCTATCAGCATTTTAAACATTCTCAAGCCTGTTTCATCAAAAACTTTCCTTGTACCTCATATCCACCTCCTGCTATAGCCCCTGTATCTCCTCTTGCCCACAGGCAAATTTCTTAAAAGATCTGTCCACATATACCAACTTTATTTCCTCTCCTCCTATTTACTTCCAAATCCAAAGTATCCAGTTGCACTTCCACCAATATCAGCAGAAACCTTTCCTGTCCTACCTCACTGGACCTTACTACAACAGGCTGGAACATTTCTAACCTGGCTCCTTTTTATGTCTCTTCTTCAGTCTTGAGTCTTCCCTTTTCCTCTCTCTGGACTCAATCCAAGCAACAAGTATTTATTGAGTGTCTGCTATGTGCCAATTTTGCCTATCATATGCATTTAAAATTGCATATTCAGCTTTTCTTTTTCTTTTTTTGAGATGGAGTCTCACTCTGTTCCCCAGGCTGGAGGGCAGTGGCGTGATCCGGGCTCACGGCAAACTCCACCTCTCGGGTTCAAGCAATTCTCCTGCCTCAGCCTCCCAAGTAGCTGAGATTACAGGCACACACCACCACGCCCAGCTAATATATATACAATTTTTTTTGAGACGGAGTTTTGCTCTTTGTTGCCCAGGCTGGAGTGCAGTGGCGCGATCTAGGCTCACTGCAACCCCTACCTCCCGGGTTCAAGCGATTCTCCTGTCTCAGCCACCCGAGTAGCTGGGATTACAGGTGCCTGCCACCACACCAGGCTAATTTTTGTATTTTTTTTTTTTTTTTTTAGTAGAGACAGGGTTTCACCATGTTGGCCAGGCTGGTCTCAAACTCCTGACCTCAGGTGATCTGCCCGCCTCGGCCTCTCAAAGTGTTGGGATTACAGGCGTGAGCCAACGTGCCCGGCCTATTTTTTTTTTTTTTTAAGTAGAGACGGGGGTCTCACCATGTTGGCCAGGCTGGTCTCAAACTCCTGACCTCAAGTGATCCGCCTGCCTCGGCCTCCCAAAGCACTGGGATTACAGGCGTAAGCCATGATACCCGGTCCAGCTTTTCTTTATTCTTAGCAATACTACCTTGAATTAAGGCACCAAAAGATTTTTCTTTAGGTTTCAATAGCATTTCAATTCACCTCCCTCTGCAGTCCATTATCCTTGTATACTTAAAATGCAAATAGTGTTTGCTTAAAACTCTTCAAAGGCTTTCTACTGCCCCCAAGTTAAACTCAAGCTCCTTAATGTACCATTACAAAGTCCTTCTTTTTATGACCTGTGTATTTCTTATGTATTCCTCAGCCTCACTACAGAGGCTAATAGGGTTGCCAGATAAAATACACTATGCCCAGTTAAATGTGAATTTCAAATAAACACTGAATAATATTTTAGTATATCACATTTAATAGCACAAGCATGAGCAATATTTAGGACATACTTATCTTAAAAATTATTTGCTGTTTATTAGAATTCAAATTTAACTGGGTATTCTGTAACTTTATTTGCTAAATCTGTTAATCCTAGAGACTAATCACTCCTGCCATATGGGTCTTTGAGGGTAAGAAGCAACAGGTGGGTTTGAGAGCTCTGTAGGAGATAAAACTAATACCAAGATTTGGAAATAGATTAGATATTAGCCTGAAAAATGACAAAAAAGAAAGTGTTAAGGATAACCTTCAGGTTTCTGGTTTGCTAAACCACATCTGTTAACCAACATGGAGGATAATAGTGTAGGACCAGGTTAGGTCTTGGCTGTGACAATTGTTAGTCCTCAATCCTCATTTGATTTCATAATCTTGATAACTTTTGTCATAGCTGGTATCATTCCTTCCTTAAAACACTCTCCTCTCCTGGCTTCATCATTCTTTCCTGGTTTTCCTACTACAGCACAAGCCACTAGGTCTCAGGGTTTTTTTGCCGGATATTTCTCCCTTTCCCTACCTCTAAATGTTGGAGTGTCCCATTTCCATTCACTGTGTATGTTTTTTAAAAATTATTTTTACCTCCTACATGATTTCATTAAATCCTATGGCTTCAAAACATCTCTTTGCTGACTCCAAATACGTATCCATAGCCCCAGCCTCTGGTCTGGAGTTCTCCAGACTCCTGCATCATAAACTGCCTTCATGACATCTCCACTTGAAAGCTAATAAGCCTTTCAGTTTTTAAAGATTTTATTGAAGTATACCATATATATAATAACAGTCACAATCTTGGTATATATGTATTCATCCATGTATCTACCACCCAGATCAAGATACAAAATATTTCCAGCACCTGGGAAGTTTTCTATGTGTTCTTTCCTCGTTGGCACCCTTTCTCCAAAGACTACCACTGTTTCGACATGTCACCCAGAAGAGTCTTGCCTGTTCTTGAACTTTATATATATGAAATTATATAGTATATACATGTGTGTTCTTTCACAAAACTTAATGTGTATGGGCTGACAGATCAAATTTGATATGTCCAAAAAAATTATCTTAACCATTCTCCCAACTTGGTCTGCCCTATAGTGCTCCCATCTCAATAAATGGTACCATCATTCATCCAATTTCTCAAGAATTTAATATTCATCCTTGACTTCTATTTTTTTCTCTTACCTAATATCCAGCCTAATCACAAATTCCTGGTATATCTGCCTGTAAAATATATTCCAAATCAGACCACTGCTACCATCATGGTTTAAAACACTATTATCTGATCACTGTAATAGTTTAATAAGGTCTCCTTGCTTCTACTCTCGCCCTCTTAATCTATTCTCCACATAACAGCCAAAATGATAATTCTAAAATATATAATCTGAGTCTTTGGAACTTAGAAAAGTACCACCTCTTAGAACCTTAGGACCACAGATGCACTGGACCCAGACACATAGAACTCAAGGGCTCTTGGAAGCTTGGAATTTCTCCAGTTTACAGCTTGCTCCTCTGGAGTGATGGACAAAGCAGAAAGAATAGGTGAAACACAGTAGTTTCTCAGATTTATATTTAGATTATTTTCCATCTTACTACAACATATATGAATATCCTAAAATGGTAATGTCAGGTGTTGTAGCTACCGACCTATGGGGCTATTTAAATTCATTTAAAATGAAATAAAATGTAAAATAAAAAAATATATATCTGATCATGTCATCCCTCTGCTCTAAGATGATCTAAGATGTATTTCTCAGTACATTTAGAATAAAATCCATAGTCCTTACAATAGTATACAAGGCTCCACTTTACACAACCTGGTTAGCTCTCTGACCACAATTTCAACCATTCATCTTCCTGCTCACTGTGCTCCAGCCACACTGACCTCTTTCCTCTCCCTCAAACATGCCAAGCACATTCCCATCTCATGGTTTTTTCACTTATTGTTCCCATTGCCTGGCATGCTCTGCCCCCCAGGTTTCCACAAGGCTGACTCTCTAATTTTATTCAGGCTCTCACCTCCTCAGAGAGGCCTATCCTGATTGCTCTATCTAAAATAGCATGCCTAGTTACACCTCTTTACCCTACCTTATATTCCTTAGTTACTGTTATTTCTATTTGACGTTATATATTTATTTATCTGTTTATTATCTTTTTTTCCACTATGTAACATTTGTTCTATTAGGGCAAGGATACTGTCATGTTTCCCGGTAACTAAAACAGTTTATGCCATACTTAGGTGCTTAATAAATATTTGCTGAATGAACTAAATTAATGAACACTAAATTGAGATGCCTCTAAAATATCCAAGAGGAGATATCTAGAAGGCAGCTGCATATAATGGTCTTAACCTCAGAGGAGAAGAGTCTAGGTTAAGAGAAAACCTGGAAATCCTGCCTATTACAAGACACCTATATATATCAGGCAGAAGATAAAAAGAGATTAGAATCTAGGAACTAACTTTGAAAAACTCCCACATTTAATGACTGATGTTGGCAATTAAGATTGCAAGTCTGAACAGGAGTTACTTGAGAAGTACTTTCTTGTTTATTTGTTTATCTCTATTACTAGACCATACAATCCTTGACAGCAAGAAAAACAACCATTTCTGAATTTCTTAACACTTAGTAGAAGAGCCTGGCACACGGTTGAAACACAGCTGGATTTGTTGAATTAAGAAATGTATAAGGAAGGACAAAGCAAGATGGCCGAACAGAAGACTCCACTGATCATTGCCCCTGCAAGGACACCAATTTAACAACTATCTACATACAAAAAGCACCTTCATAAGAACCAAAATTCAGATGAGCACTCATAGTATCTGGTTTTAACTTCATGTTGCTAAAAGAGGCACTGGAAAAGGTTAAGAAAGACAGTCTTGAATCACCAATGCCACACCTCCTTCATCCCCCCACAGCAGCCCTGTGGCATGTAGACAGAATCTGTGCATTTGGAAGGAGAGTAAAGGGATTGTGAGACATTGCACTGAACTCAATGCTGCCCTGTCAAGTGGAAAGCAAATCTGGGCTGAACTCAGCTGGTGCCCACCCATGGAGGGAGTATTTAAACCAGACCTAGCCAAAGGGAAATCGCCCATTCCAACAGTCAGAACTTGAGTTCCAGCAAGCCTTGCCACTATGGAATAAAATGCTCTGGGGCCCTAAATAAACTTGAAAGTCTAGGCTACAAGGACTGTAACTCCCAGGCGAGTCCTAGTGCTGAACTGGGCTCAGAGCCAGTGGACTTGGGGTGGGCAGGGCGGGGTGGTGTCGGGGAGCGGGGATGTGACCTACTGGGACACCAGCCAAGGCAGCTAAGGGAGTGCTTGTGCCACCCCTCTCACAACCCCAGGCTGCACAGCTCATGGCTCCAAAAGAGACCCCTTCCTTTTGCTTGAGGAGAAGAGAGAAAAGACTAAAGAGGACATTGTCTTCCATCTTGGATACCAGCTCAGCCACAGCAGGGTAGGGTACCAGGAAGAGCAGTAAGGCTCTGGCTCCCAGACAACGTTTCTAGACACACCCTGGGCCAGAAGGGAACCCACTGCCTTGAAGGGAAGGAAGACCCAATCCTGGCAGGTTTCATCACCTGCTGATTAAAGAGCCCTTGGGCCCTAAATAACCAGCAATGATACCAGGTAGTATACCATGGCCCTTGGGTGAGACTCTGAGACTGGCTGCAAGTGACACTCAGCACATTCCCAGCTATGGTGGTTATGGGAAGAGACTCTCTGCCTGAGAAAAGTGAGGGAAATGTAAAGGAGATTTTATCTTGCACCTTAGATACCAGCTCAGCCACAGAAGGGTAGAGCACCAAGCAGGCTCTTGGGGGTCCCTAATTCCAGGCCTTGGCTCTTGGACAGCATTTCTGGATGTGCCCTGGGCCAGAGAGGAGTCCACTGCCCTGAAGGGTGAGTCCCAGGCAGCATTTACCATAAGCTGACTGAAGAGCCCTTGGGCCTTAAAGGAACACTGGTGGGTACCCTGGCAGTATTCCCCATGGGCCTGTGGTGGCCGTGGCCGCAGGGTGAGGCTCCTCTGCCTGTGGAAAGAAGAGAGAAGAGTGGGAAGGACTATGTCCCATGGTATGAGTGCCAGCTCAGCCACAGTACAACAGAAAACCAAGTAAACTGCTAAGGGTTTTCACTCTAATTCCTGGCTCATGGACAGCCACTCTGGACCTGCCCAGGGTCTGGGGGAACTTGCCACCCTGCAGGGAAGGACATAAGCTTAGTTGGCTTCATCACCTGTTGTTTGCAGAGCCTTAGGGCCTTGAGAAAACACAGGCAATAGCCAGGTATTAGTTACAATGAGCCTTGGGTGAGACCCAGTGCTGTGCTGGCTTTAGTTCTGACCAAGCACAGTCCCAGTATTGGGAATTGGAGGCCACAGAGGTGCTTGTGTTACCCCACCCCCAGCTGCAGGCCACTCAGAACTGAAAGAGAGAGAGAGAGAGAGAGAGAGAGAGAGAGAGAGAGAGAGAGAGAGAGAGAGAGAGAGAGAGAGAGAGAGAGAGAGAGAGATTGAGATTGATTCTGTTTGTATGGGAGAAAGTAAGGGAAAAGAAAAAGAGTCTCTGCCTGGTAATCCAGATAATTCTTTCAGATCTTATCTAAGACCACCAAGGTGGTACCTCCATAAGTCTGCAAGAACTACAGTGTTACTGGGCTTTGGGTGCCGCCTAATGAAGATACAGTTTAGATCACAACACCCAAGTCCTTTCAAATACCTGGAAAGTCTTCCTAAGAAGGACAGGTACAAACAAGCCCAGAGTGCAAAACTTACAAGAAATAGCTAACTCTTCAGAGTCCAGACACCAACAAACATCTACAAGCATCAGTACTATCCAGGAAAACATAACAGCTCAGCCACAGAGGGGTAGAGCACCAAACAGGCTCACCAAATGAACCAAGTAAAGCACCAGGGACCAATCCTGGAGAAACGGAGATACATGAGCTTTTAGATAGACAATGCAAAATAGCTGTTTTGAGGAAATTCAAAGAAATTTAAAATAACACAGAGAAGAAATTCAGAATTCTGTCTGGTAAATTTTACAAAGAAATTTAAATAACTAAAAAGAAATAAGAAATTCTGGAGTTGAAAAATGCAACTGACACGTTGAAGAATCCATCAGAGCCTTTTAATGGCAGAATTGATCTAGCAGAAGAAAGCATTAGTGAGCTTGAAGACAGGTTATTTAAAAATACATAGAGAAGACCAAAGAAAAAAGAATAAAAAACAACGAAGCATGTTTACAAGATCTAGAAAATAGCTTCGAAACGGCAAATCTTAAGGGTTGTTGGCCTTAAACAGGAGGTAGAGAAAAAGACAGGGGCAGAAAGTTTATTCAAAGGGATAACAACATGGAATTTCCCAAATCTAGAGAAAGATATCAATATCAAGTACAAGAAGGTTATAGAACACCAAGAATATTTAACCCAAAGACTACTTTAAGGCATTTAATAATCAAAGTCTTAAAGTTCAAGGATAAAGAAAAGATCTTAAGAGCAGCAAGAAAAAAGAAACACAACATACAATGGAGCTTCACTAGGAGCAGACTTTTCAGTGGAAAACCTACACTCCAGGGGAGAACAGCATGACATATTTAAAGTGCTGAAGGAAAACAACTTTTACTCTACAATAGTATATCAGGCAAAAATATCCTTTAAGCACCAAGGAGAATCACAGACCTTCCCACAAACAAAAGCTGAGGGATGTCATGAGTGCCAGACCTGTCCTATAAGAAATTCCAAAGAGAATACTTCATTTACAAAGAAAAGGACATGAATGAGCAATAAGAAATAATGTGAAGGTACGAAACTCATTGGTAATAATGAGGTCACAGAAAAACACAAAGTATTATAACAGTGTAATTGTGGTGTGTAAACTACTCTTATCTCTTTATTTTTTATTTTTTTATTATACTTTAAGTTCTAGGGTACATGTGCACAACATGCAGGTTTGTTACACAGGTATGTGCCATGTTGGTTTGCTGCACCCATCAACTCGTCATTTACATTAGGTATATCTCCTAATGCTATCCCTCCCCCCTCCCCCCACCCTAATGCTATCCATCCCCCAGCTCCCCATCCCCTGACAAGCCCCAGTGTGTGATTTCCTCGCCATGTGTCCAAGTGTTCTCATTGTTCAATTCCCACCTATAGGTAAGAACATGCGGTATTTGGTTTTCTGTCCTTGTGATGGTTTGCTGAGAATGATGGTTTCCAGCTTCACCCATGCCCCTGCAAAGGACATGAACTCATACTTTTTTATGGCTGCACAGTATTCCATGGGGTATATGTGCCACATTTTCTTAATCCAGTCTATCATTGATGGACATTTAGGTTGGTTCCAAGTCTTTGCTATTGTGAAGAGTGCTGCAATAAACATATTGTTTATATGTGTGCATGTGTCTTTATAGTAGCATGATTTATAACCCTTTGGGTATATACCCAGTAAGGGGACCACTGGGTCAAATGGTATTTCTAGTTCTAGAACTTTGAGGAATTGCCACACTGTCTTCCACAATGGTTGAACTAATTTACACTCCCACCAACAGTGTAAAAGCATATTTCTCCACATCCTCTCTAGCATCTGTTGTTTCCTGACTTTTTCATGATCACCATTCTAACTGGTGTGAGATGGTAATTCACTGTGCTTTTGATTTGCATTTATCTGATGACCAGCGATGATGAGCATTATTTCATGTGTCTGTTGGTTGCATAAAGGTCTTCTTTTGAGAAGTGTCTGTTCATATCCTTTGCTCATTTTTTGTTGGGTTTTTTTCTTGTAAATTTGTTTTTTTTTTATTTTATTATTATTATACTTTAAGTTTTAGGGTACATGTGCACAACATGCAGGTTTGTTACATATGTATACATGTGCCATGTTGGTGTGCTGCACCCATTAACTTGTCATTTAGCATTAGGTATATCTCCTAATGCTATCCCTCACCCCCTCCCCCCACCCCACAACAGGCCCCAGTGTGTGATGTTCCCCTTCCTGTGTCCATGTGTTCTCACTGTTCAATTCCCACCTATGAGTGAGAACATGCGGTGTTTGGTTTTTTGTCCTTGTGATAGTTTGCTGAGAATGATGGTTTCCAGTTTCATCCATGTCCCTACAAAGGACATGAACTCATCATTTTTTATGGCTGCATAGTATTCCATGGTATATATGCGCCACATTTTCTTAATCCAGTCTATCATCGTTGGACATTTGGGTTGGTTCCAAGTCTTTGCTATTGTGAATAGTGCCTCAATAAACATACGTGTGCATGTGTCTTTATAGCAGCATGATTTATAGTCCTTTGGGTATATACCCAGTAATGGGATGGCTGGGTCAAATGGTATTTCTAGTTCTAGATCCCTGAGGAATCGCCACACTGACTTCCACAATGGTTGAACTAGTTTACAGTCCCACCAACAGTGTAAAAGTGTTCCTATTTCTCCACATCCTCTCCAGCACCTGTTGTTTCCTGACTTTTTAATGATCGCCATTCTAACTGGTGTGAGATGGTATCTCATTGTGGTTTCGATTTGCATTTCTCTGATGGCCAGTGATGATGAGCATTTTTTCATGTGTCCGTTGGCTGCATAAATGTCTTCTTTTGAGAAGTGTCTGCTCATATCCTTCGCCCACTTTTTGATGGGGTTGTTTGTTTTTTTCTTGTAAATTTGTTTGAGTTCATTGTAGATTCTGGATATTAGCCCTTTGTCAGATGAGTAGATTGCAAAACTTTTCTTCCATTCTGTAGGTTGCCTGGTCACTCTGATGGTAGTTTCTTTTGCTGTGCAGAAGCTCTTTAGTTTAATTAGATCCCATTTCTCAATTTTGGCGTTTGTTGCCATTGCTTCTGGTGTTTTAGACATGAAGTCCTTGCCCATGCCTACGTCCTGAATGGTATTGCCTAGGTTTTCTTCTAGGGTTTTTATGGCTTTAGGTCTAACATGTAAGTCTTTAATCCATCTTGAATTAATTTTTGTATAAGGTGTAAGGAAGGGATCCAGTTTCAGCTTTCTACATATGGCTAGCCAGTTTTCCCAGCACCATTTATTAAATAGGAAATGTTTTTCCCATTGCTTGTTTATGTCAGGTTTGTCAAACATCAGATAGTTGTAGATAAGTGGCATTATTTCTGAGGGCTCTGTTCTGTTCCATTGGTCTATATCTCTGTTTTGGTACCAGTACCATGCTGTTTTGGTTACTGTAGCCTTGTAGTATAGTTTGGAGTTAGGTAGCGTGATGCCTCCAGCTTTGTTCTTTTGGCTTAGGATTGACTTGGCAATGCAGGCTCTTTTTTGGTTCCATATGAACTTGAAAGTAGTTTTTTCCAGTTCTGTGAAGAAAGTCATTGGTAGCTTGATGGGGATGGCATTGAATCTATAAATTACCTGGGGCAGTATGGCCACTTTCATGATATTGATTCTTCCTACCCACGAGCATGGAATGTTCTTCCATTTGTTTGTATCCTCGTTTATTTCATTGAGCAGTGGTTTGTAGTTCTCCTTGAAGAGGTCCTTCACGTCCCTTGTAAGTTGGATTCCTAGGTATTTTATTCTCTTTGAAGCCATTGTGAATGGGAGTTCACTCATGATTTGGCTCCCTGTTTCTCTGTTATTGGTGTATAAGAATGCTTGTGATTTTTGCACATTAATTTTGTATCTTGAGACTTTGCTGAAGTTGCCTATCAGCTTAAGGAGATTTTGGGCTGAGAAGATGGGGTTTTCTACATATACAATCATGTCATCTGCAAACAGGGACAATTTGACTTCCTCTTTTCCTAATTGAATACCGTTTATTTCCTTCTTCTGCCTGATGGCCCTGACCAGAACTTCCAACACTATGTTGAATAGGAGTAATGCGAGAGGGCATCTTTGGCTTGTGCCAGTTTTCAAAGGGAATGCTTCCAGTTTTTGGCCATTCAGTATGATATTGGCTGTGGGTTTGTCATAGATAGCTTTTATTATTTTGAGATACGTCCCATCAATACCTAATTTATTGAGAGTTTTTAGCAAGAAGGGTTGTTGAATTTTGTCAAAGGCCTTTTCTGCATCTATTGAGATCATCATGTGGTTTTTGTCTTTGGTTCTATTTATATGCTGGATTACGTTTACTGATTTTCGTATGTTGAACCAGCCCTGCATCCCAGGGATGAAGCCCACTTGATCATGGTGGATAAGCTTTTTGATGTGCTGCTGGATTCAGTTTGCCAGTATTTTATTGAGGATTTTTGCGAAGGATATTGGTCTAAAATTCTCTCTTTTTGTTGTGTCTCTGCCAGGCTTTGGTATCAGGATGATGCTGGCCTCATAAAATGATTTAGGGAGGATTCCCTCTTTTTCTATTGAATGGAATAGTTTCAGAAGGAATGGTACCAGCTCCTCCTTGTACCTCTGGTAGAATTCAGCTGTGAATCCATCTGGTCCTGGACTTTTTTTGGTTGGTAAGCTATTAATTATTGCCTCAATTTCAGAACCTGTTATTGGTCTACTCAGAGATTCAACTTCTTCCTGGTTTAGTCTTGGGAGGGTCGAGGAACTTATCCATTTATGTGTCGAGGAATTTATCCATTTCTTCTAGATTTTCTAGTTTATTTGCATAGAGGTGTTTACAGTATTCTCTGATGGTAGTTTGTATTTCTGTGGGATCAGTGATGATATCTCCTTTGTCATTTTTTATTGCGTCTATTTGATTCTTCTCTCTTTTCTTCTTTATTAGTCTTGCTAGTGGTCTATCAATTTTGTTGATCTTTTCAAAAAACCAGCTCCTGGATTCATTGATTTTTTGAAGGGCTTTTTGTGTCTCTATTTCCTTCAGTGCTGCTCTGATCTTACTTATTTCTTGCCTTCTTCTAGCTTTTGAATGTGTTTGCTCTTGCCTCTCTAGTTCTTTTAATTGTGATGTTAGGGTGTCAATTTTAGATCTTTCCTGCTTTCTCTTGTGGGCATTTAGTGCTATAAATTTCCCTCTACACACTGTTTTGTATGTGTCCCAGAGAGTCTGGTATTTTGTGTCTTTGTTCTCATTGGTTTCAAAGAACATCTTTATTTCTGCCTTCATTTCGTTATGTACCCAGTAGTCATTCAGGAGCAGGTTGTTCAGTTTCCATGTAGTTGAGCGGTTTTGAGTGAGTTTCTTAACCCTGAGTTCTAGTTTGATTGCACTGTGGTCTGAGAGACAGTTTGTTATGATTTCTGTTCTTTTACATTTGCTGAGGAGTGTTTTACTTCCAACTATGTGGTCAATTTTGGAATAGGTGTGGTGTGGTGCTGAAAAGAATGTATATTCTGTTGATTTGGGGTGGCGAGTTCTGTAGATGTCTATTAGGTGCGCTTGGTGCATAGCTGAGTTCAATTCCTGTATGTCCTTGTTAACTTTCTGTCTTGTTGATCTGTCTAATGTTGTCAGTGGGTTGTTAAAGTCTCCCACTATTATTGTGTGGGAATCTAAGTCTCTTTGTAGGTCACTAAGGACTTGCTTTATGAATCTGGGTGCTCCTGTATTGGATGCATATATATTTAGGATAGTTAGCTTTTCTTGTTGAATTGATCTCTTTACCATTATGTAATGGCCTCCTTTGTCTCTTTTGATCTTTGTTGGTTTAAAGTCTGTTTTATCAGAGACGAGGATTGCAACCCCTGCCTTTTTTTGTTTTCCATTTGCTTGGTAGATCTTCCTCCATCCCTTTATTTTGAGCCTATGTGTCTCTGCATGTGAGATGGGTTTCCTGAATACAGCACACTGATGGGTCTTGACTCTTTATCCAATTTGCCAGTCTGTGTCTTTTAATTAGAGCATTTAGCCCATTTACATTTAAGGTTAATATTGTTATGTGTGAATTTGATCCTGTCATTATGATGTCAGCTGGTTATTTTGCTCATTAGTTGATGCAGCATCTTCGTAGCTTTGATGGTCTTTACAATTTGGCATGTTTTTGCAGTGGATGGTACCGGTTGTTCTTTTCCGTGTTCAGTGCTTCCCTCAGAAGCTCTTTTAGGGCAGTCCTGGTGGTGACAACATCTCTCAGCATTTGCTTGTCTGTAAAGGATTTTATTTCTCCTTCACTTATGAAGCTTAGTTTGGCTGGATATGAAATGCTGGGTTGAAAATTCTTTTGTTTAAGAATGTTGAATATTGGCCCCCACTCTCTTCTGGCTTGTAGAGTTTCTGCCAAGAGATCAGCTGTTAGTCTCATGGGCGTCCCTTTGTGGGTAACCCAACCTTTCTCTCTGGCTGCCCTTAACATTTTTTCCTTCATTTCAACTTTGGTGAATCTGACAACTATGTGTCTTGGATTTGCTCTTCTCGAGGAGTATCTTTGTGGCGTTCTCTGTATTTCCTGAATGTGAATGTTGACCTGCCTTGCTAGATTGGGGAAGTTCTCCTGAATAGTATCCTGCAGAGTGTTTTCCAGCTTGGTTCCATTCTCCCCGTCACTTTCAGGTACACCAATCAGACGTAATTTGGTCTTTTCACATAGTCCCATATTTCTTGGAGGCTTTGTTCGTTTCTTTTTATTCTTTTTTCTCTAAAATTCTCTTCTCACTTCATTTCATTCATTTCATCTTCCATCACTGATACCCGTTCTTCCAGTTGATTGCATTGGCTGCTGAGGCTTATGCATTCGTCACGTAGTTCTTGTGCCGTGGTTTTCAGCTCCATCAGGTCTTTTAAGGACTTCTCTGCATTGGTTATTCTAGTTATCCATTCATCTAATTTTTCTTCAAGGTTTTTAATATCTTTGCTATTGGTTCGAACTTCTTCCTTTAGCTCGGAGTAGTTTGATCATCTGAAGCCTTCTTCTCTCAACTCGTCAAAGTCATTGTCCGTCCAGCTTTGTTCCATTGCTGGTGAGGAGCTGCGTTCCTTTGGAGGAGGAGAGGTGCTCTGATTTTTAGAGTTTCCAGTTTTTCTGCTCTGTTTTTTCCCCATCTTTGTGGTTTTATCTACCTTTGGTCTTTGATGATGGTGACGTACAGATGGGTTTTTGGTGCGGATGTCCTTACTGTTTGTTAGTTTTCCTTCTAACAGTCAGGACCCTCAGCTGCAGGTCTGTTGGAGTTTGCTGGAGGTTCACTCCAGACCCTGTTTGCCTGGGTATCAGCAGTGGTGGCTGCAGAACAGCAGATATTGGTGAACCACAAATGCTGCTGTCTGATCGTTCCTCTGGAAGTTTTATCTCAGAGGAGTATGCGGCCATGTGAGGTGTCAGGCTGTCAGACAGGGGCATTTAAGTCTGCAGAGGTTACTGCTGCGTTTTGTTTGTCTGTGCCCTGTCCCCAGAGGTGGAGCCTACAGAGGCAGGCAGGCCTCCTTGAGCTGTGGTGGGCTCCACCCAGTTAGAGCTTCCCAGCCGCTTTGTTTACCTAATCAAGTCTTGGGAATGGTGGGCGCCCCTCCCCCAGCCTCGCTGTTGCCTTGCAGTTTGATCTCAGACTGCTGTGCTAGCAATGAGCAAGGCTCCATGGGCGTAGGACCCTCTGAGCCATGTGGGGGATATAATCTCCTGGTGTGCCATTTGTGAAGCCCGTTGGAAAAGCGCAGTATTAGCGTGGGAGCGACCCGATATTCCAGGTGCCATCTGTCACCCCTTTCTTTGACTAGGAAAGGGAATTCTCTCACCCCTTGCACTTCCCGGGTGAGGCGATGCCTCGCCCTGCTTCAGCTCACGCATGGTGTGCTGCACCCACTGTCCTGCACCCACTTTCCAGCACTCCCCAGTGAGATGAACCCGGTACCTCAATTGGAAATGGAGAAATCACCCATCTTCTGCGTCGCTCATGCTGGGACCCGCAGACTGGAGCTGTTCCTATTCGGCCATCTTGGGTCCACTCCATAAATTTGTTTAAGTTCCTTGCAGATTCAGGATATTAGCCCTTTGTCAGATAAGTAGAGTGCAAAAATTTTCTCCCATTCTGTAGGTTGCCTGTTCACTCTGATGGTAGTTTCCTTCACTCTGATTGTAGTTTATTTTGCTGTGCAGGAGATCTTTAGTTTAATTAGATCCCATTTGTCTATTTTTGTTTTTGTTGCCATTGCTTTTGTTGTTTTAGTCATGAAGTCTTTGCCCATGTCTACGTCACGAATGGTATTGCCTAGGTTTTCTTCTAAGGTTATTATGGTTGTAGGTCTAACATTTAAGTCTTTAATCCATCTTGAATTAATTTTTGTATAAGGTGTAAGGAAGGGATCCAGTTTCAGCTTTCTACATATGGCTAGCCAGTTTTCCCAGCACCATTTATTAAATAGGGAATCCTTTCCCCATTGCTTGTTTTTCTCAGGTTTGTCAAAAATCAGACGGTTGTAGATGTGTGGTGTTATTTCTGAGGCCTCTGTTCTGTTCCATTGGTCTACATGTCTGTTTTGGTACCAGTACCACACTGTTTTGGTTACTGTAGCCTTGTAGTATAGTTTGAAGTCAGGTAGTGTGATGCCTCCAGCTTTGTTCTTTTGGCTTAGGATTGACTTGGCAATGCAGGCTCTTTTTTGGTTCCATATGAACTTGAAAGTAGTTTTTTCCAATTCTGTGAAGAAAGTCATTGGTAGCTTGATCGGGATGGCACTGAATCTATAAATTACCTTGGGCAGTATGGCCATTTTCATGATATTGATTCTTCCTATCCATGTGCATGGAATGTTCTTCCATTTGTTTGTGTCTTCTTTTATTTTGTTGAGCAGTGGTTTGTAGTTCTCCTTGAAGAGGTCATTTGCATCCCTTGTAAGTTGGATTCCTAGGTATTTTATTCTCTTTGTAGCAATTGTGAATGGGAGTTCACTCATGATTTGGCTCCCTGTTTGTCTGTTATTGGTGTATAGGAATGCTTGTGATTTTTGCACATTGATTTTGTATCCTGAGATTTTGCTGAAGTTGCCTATCAGCTTAAGGAGATTTTGGCCTGTGACGATGGGGTTTTCTAGATATACAATCATGTCATCTGCAAACAGGGACGATTTTACTTCCTCTTTTCCGAACTGAATACCCTTTATTTCTTTCTTTTGCCTGGTTGCCCTGGCCAGAACTTTCAGCACTATGTTGAATAGGAGTGGTGAGAGAGCACATCCTTGTCTTGGGCCAGTTTTCAAAGGGAATGCTTCCAATTTTTGCCCATTCAGTATGATATTGGCTGTAGGTTTGTCATAAATTTTGAGGTACATTCCATGAATACCTAGTTTATTGAAAATTTTTAGCATGAAGGGCTGTTGAATTTTGTCGAAGGCCTCTTCTGCATCTGTTGAGATAATCATGTGGTTTTTGTCTTTGGTTCTGTTTATGTGATGGATTACGTTTATTGATTTGCATTTGTTGAACCAGCCTTGCATTTCAGGGATGAAGCCCACTGGATCATGGTGGATAAGCTTCTTGATGTGCTGCTGGATTTGGTTTGTCAGTATTTTACTGAGGATTTTCACATCGATGTTCATCAGGGATATTGGTCTAAAATTCTCTTTTTTCATTGTGTCTCTGCCAGGCTTTGGTATCAGGATGATGCTGGCCTCATAAAATGAGTTAGGGAGGATTCCCTCTTTTTCTATTGATGGGAATAGTTTCAGAAGGAATGGTACCAGCTCCTCTTTGTACCTCTGGTAGAATTCAACTGGGAATCAGTCTGGTCCTGGACTTTTTTTGGTTGGCAGGATATTAATAATTGCCTCAATTTCAGCGCCTGTTATTGGTCTATTCAGAGAGTCAACTTCTTCCTGGTTTAGTCTTGGGAGGGTGTATGTGTCCAGGAATTTATCCATTTCTTATAGATTTTCTAGTTTATTTGCATAGAGGTGTTTATATTATTTTCTGATAGTAGTTTGTATTTCTGGGATCAGTGGTGATATCCCCTTTATCATTTTTTATTGTGTCTATTTGATTCTTCTCTCTTTTATTCTTTATTAGTCTTGCTAGTGGTCTATCAATTTTGTTGATCTTTTCAAAAAACCAGCACCTGGATTCACTGATTTTTGAAGGGTTTTTTGTGTCTCTATCTCCTTCAGTTCTGCTCTGATCTTAGTTATTTCTTGCCTTCTGCTAGCTTTTGAATTTGCTTGCTCTTGCTTCTCTAGTTCTTTTAATTGTGATGTTAGGGTGTCGATTTTGGATCTCTCCTGCTTTCTCTTGTGGGCATTTAGTGCTATAAATTGCCCTCTACATACTGCTTTAGCTTTGTCCCAGAGATTCTGGTACATTGTGTCTTTGTTCTCATTAGTTTCAAAGAACATCTTTATTTCTGCCTTGATTTCGTTATTTACCCAGTAGTCATTCAGGAGCAGGTTGTTCAGTTTCCATGTAGTTGTGTGGTTTTGAGTGAGTTTCTTAATCATGAGTTCTAATTTGATTGCACTGTGGTCTGAGAGACAGTTTGTGTGATTTCTGTTCTTTTTCATGTGCTGAGGAGTGCTTTACTTCCAATTATGTGGTCAATTTTAGAACAAGTCCAATGCGGTGCTGAGAAGAATGTAAATTCTGTTGATTTGGGGTGGAGAGTTCTGTAGATGGCTGTTAGGTCTGCTTGGTGCAGAGCTGAGTTCAAGTCCTGGATATCCTTGTTAACCTTCTGTCTCACTGATCTAATATTGACAGTGGGGTGTTAAAGTCTCCCATTATTATTGTGTGGGAGTCTAAGTCTCTTTGTAGGTCTCTAAGGACTTGCTTTATGAATCTGGGTGCTCCTGTATTGGATGCATATATATTTAGGATAGTTAGCTTTTCTTGTTGAATTGATCCCTTTACCATTATGTAATGGCCTTCTTTGTGTCTTTTGATCTTTGTTGGTTTAAAGTCTGTGTTATCAGAGACTAGGATTGCAACTACTGCTTTTTCTCGCTTTCCATTTGCTTGGTATATCTTCCTCCATCCCTTTATTTTGAGCCTATGTGTTTCTCTGCACATGAGATGGGTTTCCTGAATACAGCACACTGATGGGTCTTGACTCTTTATCCAATTTGCCAATCTGTGTCTTTTAATTGGGGCATTTAGCCCATTTTACATTTAAGGTTAATATTATTATGTGTGAATTTGATCCTGTCATTATGATGTTAGCTGGTTATTTTGCCCGTTAATTGATGCAGTTTCTTCCTAGCATCGGTGGTCTTTACAATCTGGCATGTTTTTGCAGTGGCTGGTAGCAATTGCTCCTTTCCATGTTTCATGCTTCCTTCAAGAGGTCTTGTAAGGCAGGCCTGGTGGTGACAAAATCTCTCAGCATTTGCTTGTCTGGAAAGGATTTTATTTCTCCTTCACTTATGAAGCTTAGTTTGGCTGGATATGAAATTCTGGGTTGAAAATTCTTTTCTTTAAGAGTGCTGAATATTAGCCCTCACTCTCTTCTGGCTTGTAGAGTTTCTGCCAAGAGATCCACTGTTAGTCTGACGGGCTTCCCTTTGTGGGTAACCCAACCTTTCTCTCTGGCTGCCCTTAATATTTTTTCCTTCATTTCACCCTTGGTGAATCTGACAATTATGTGTCTTAGGGAGGAGTAACTTCTCGAGGAGTATCTTTGTGGTGTTCTCTGTATTTCCTGAATTTGAATGTTGGCCTGCCTTGCTAGGTTGGGGAAATTCTCCTGGATAATATCCTGAAGAGTGTTTTCCCACTTGGTTCCATTCTCCCCATCACTTTCAGGTACACCAGTCAAACGTAGATTTGGTCTTTTCACATAGTCCCAGAAGCCTCTTGGAGGCTTGTTTGTTCCTTTTCATTCCTTTTCCTCTAATCTTGTCTTCTCGCTTTATTTCATTAATTTGATCCTCAATCACTGATATCCTTTCTTCCACTTGATGAAATCGGCTATTGAAGCTCGTGCATGCATCATGAAGTTTTCATGCCATGGTTTTCAGCTCCATCAGGTCATTTTAGGTCCTCTCTACACTGTTTATTCTAGTTAGCCATTCGTCTAACCTTTTTTCAAGGTTTTTAGCTTGAAATAGGTTTTTCCTTGCAATAGGTTAGAACATGCTCCTTTAGCTCAGAGAAGTTTGTTATTACCAACCCTCTGAAGCCTACTTCCGTCAACTCATCAAAGTCATTCTCCATCCAGCCTTGCTCTGTTGCTGGCGAGGAGATGCGATCCTTTGGAGGAGAAGAGGTGCTCTGGTTTTTAGAATTTTCTGCTTTTCTGCTCTGGTTTCCTCCCATCTTTGTGGTTTTATCTACCTTTGGTCTTTGATGTTGGTGCCCTACAGATGGGGTTTTGGTGTGGATGTCCTTTTCGTTGATGTTGATGCTATTCCTTTCCGTTTGTTAGTTTTCCTTATAACAGTCAGGTCCCTCAGCTGCAGGTCTGCTGGAGTTTGCTGGAGGTCCACCTCAGACCCTATTTGCCTGGGTATCACCAGCAGATGCTGCAAAACAGCAAATATTGCAGAACAACAAATATTGCTGCCTGATCCTTCCTCTGGAAGCTTTGTCCCAGAGGGGCAGCCGCCTATATGAGGTGTCTATTGGCCCCTACTAGAAGGTGTCTCCCAGTTAGGCTACACGGGGGTCAGGGACCCACTTGAGGAGGCAGTCTGTCCATTCTCAGAGCTCAAACGCTGTGCTGGGAGAACTGCTGCTCTCTTCAGAGCTGTCAGACAGGGACATTTAAGTCTGCAGAAGTTTCTGCTGCCTTTTGTTCAGCTATGCCCTGCCCACAAAGGTGGAGTCTATAGACGCAGTAAGCCTTGCTGAGCTGCGGTGGGCTCTGCCCAGTTCGAGCTTCCCAGCCACTTTGTTTACCAACTCTAGCCTCAGCAATGGCGGAAGGCCCTCCCCATGCCAGGCTCCACCCTCACAGGTCAATCTCAGGATGCTGCGCTAGCAGTGAGCAAAACTCCGTGGGCATGGGACCCCGTGAGCGAGGCACGGGAGAGAATCTCCTGGTCTGTCGGTTGCTGAGACAGTGGGAAAAGCACAGTATTTGGGCAGGAGTGTCCCGTTTTTCCATGTACAGTCTGTCATGGCTTCCCTTGGCTAGGAAAGGGAAATCCCCTGACCCCTTGCACTTCCCGGGTAAGGCAATGCCCCGCCCTCCTTCGGCTTGCCTTCCACGGGCTGTACCCACTGTCCAAGCAGTCCCAATGAGATGAACCAGGTACTTCAGTTGGAAATGCAGAAATTACCCATCTTCTGTGTCGATCACGCTGGGAGCTGCAGACCGGGGCTGTTCCTGTTCAGCCATCTTGGAACTGACCTCTACTCTTATCTCAATTAGAAAGACTAAATGATGAACTAGCCAAAAATAATAACTACAATAACTTTTCAAGACATAATGCAATAAGATATAAATAAAAACAACAAAAAGTTAAAAAGTGGGGAGATGAAGCTAAGATGTAGTTTTATTAGTTTTCTTTTCACTTGTTTGTTTATGCAAACAATGTTAAGTTGTGATCAGCTTAAAATAATGGATTATAAGATAGTATTTACAAGCCTCATAGTAACCTCAAATCAAAAAACATACAACAGATACACAAAAAATAATAAGAAATTAAACTATACCACTAGAGTAAATCACCTTCATTAATAGGAACACAAAAAGGAAAGAAAGAAGGCCACAAAACAACCAGAAATAACAAAATGTCAGGAGTAAGTCTCTACTTATCAATAGTAACACTGAATGTAAATGGGCTACACTGTCCAATCAAAAGACACAGAGTGGTTGAATGGATTTAAAAAAAAAAAAAAAAAAACAAGACCCAGTGATCTGTTTTCTTCAAGAAACACACTTCACCTATAAAGACACACACAGACTGTAAATAAAGGGATGCAAAGAAATATTCCATGCCAATGGAAGTCAAAAAAGAGCAGGAGTAGCTATATTTATATCAGACAAAACAGATTTCAAGACAAAGAAGGTTATATATAATGATAAAGGGGTCAATTCAGCAAGAAGATGTAATAATTTTAAATATATATGCACCTAACACTGGGTCATCCAGATATATAAAGCAAACATATTACAGCTAAAGAGAAAAATAGGCCCTAATACAAAAATTGCTGGAGATTGCAACACTCCACTTTCAGCACTGGACAGATCTTCCAAACAGAAAGTCAACAAAGAAACATTGGACTTAATCTTCACTTATTCATTTGTCTTCAATTATTTAGAACAAATAAACCTAATAGATATTTGCAGAAAATTTTATCCAATGGGTTCAGAATATACATTTTTTTCCTCAGCACATGGATCAGTCTCAAGGTCATATGTTAGGTCACAAAACAAGTCTTAAAACATTCCAAAAAACTAAAATAATATCAAACATCTTCTCTGACCACAATGAAATAAAACTACAAGTCAATAACAAGAGGGAAGAGGGAGGTAAGTTGGCTGACTAGACACAGCCAGGAGGAACATCTGTCGCTGAGGGAATGGGACATTGGGAAGACTGGTGAATTCCTAGCAGATCTTCAGAGGGAAGGCATTGAGAGTGAAGGAAGACATAGATGCTAGGCTAAAGGAAAAAGAAGCTGGGAACCCTGCAGAGGGCTAAGGCGCACTGGGACTCATTCCTGGCCCCAATGACTCCTGGGGAAGGGGTGAGTTGAGCAGGCAAGTAGCAACCCACCCTTACCATGGGCCTCTGGAATCCTGGCAGGAGACCTCATGACCCCCACAGACACTTGTTCTGTAGGGGCAGAACTCCAGCTGGTGCAGATCTCGGAGGGTTTGGTGTTGGAGCATGTGCAGTGGAGCATAGCCAAGGACGCCCATCCCCCAAGGCTTGCCTTCCTCCTCTAGGAGATTTTAGCCCTAGGGGAACTGTTGGACTTGAACAGCCCAGGGTAGTCTTGCCCATGAGATAGGGCTGGTCTACCTGGTCACCTCTTGGTTGGCCTGCCTATCCTGGGGATCCAGCCTGGCAGCACTTGCTTGAATGTAGCCTCAGATGCCCAGGTGGGGTGCCTCCTGGGAGAGCAGCATCATAGCTCCTGTGCTGGCAGACTGCTCCTGACTGGTACAGAGCTCCAGGAGAGCAGACACTGTGGATGTACGCCAGCCCTCCCATGCCCTCCCCCTGCTGCAGCCTCCCTTGTGCGGCTTTGCCTGCACACATTTGCCCATGTCCAACACCTAGACCGCTTTGCTTGCACATGTATGCATGGGTGGACCTTGCTGTGCACCCCACCCACTCACCCACCATGCTGCCATTGCTGTCGAAGCATTTGCAGGCATGAAGACTGCTAGCCCCATGCCTGCCAGTGCCCTGTTCTTGTGTTGACACTGCCACTGGCGTGAAACTGCACATGGTGACCAACAGACCTACCCCACACCCTGCAAGGCCACTGCCACTCACATGAATGCACGCACAGATGGCGTCAGTCCCACACCTACCAATGCTCTGTCCCTGTGCTGACACTGCCATTGGCACAAAACTATATAGGGAGACCGGCAGACCTTCCCCTACCCTGAGCGGCCACTGCTGCCTGCATGGATACCTGTACAGATGGCACACAGAGTCCCATACCTGCCAGCACCCACCTCGTCCTAACATCGCCACCAGTGTGAATGTGCACACGGACCCCAGTGGGGCCTGTTCCCCCCTGTGCCATGCTGCCAACCCCACCACTGTTAATACCTGCATGGACACTGGTACCCCTACAATTGCCAGCACCCTGCCATAATCAACAAGTATGTACCCTGCTGCACTGCCACTGCTGCTGGCATGTACAAATCCCACTGCCACTGCCCTGTGAAGAGCTTTGGCTGGCACCACTCATCAGAGTGCTGTGACCAGCAGTCTGGGAACACCTTGGCCCTTGGTGAGCAGGTTTCTCACCTCAAGGGGCCAGAGAACAAAGCCAGGGGCCTGATACCAGCCCCACAGAATTGGAGCACACAATCCAGAGGTCCTGAGCTGAGCCTTGGCCCCCCACAAAATCTTCCAGAAACAAAACCAGTTGACTGAACCCACCTTATACAACAAGAAAACCCCCAAGGATATCAAACAGGGCAAAAGAAAAAAAAATCCAAAGGGCAGTGATATGATTTGGATCTGTGCCCCTGACCAAATCTCATGTTTGGTCATGAGATTTAGAAGTGGGTCCAATGTTGGAGGTGGGGCCTAGTGAAAGGTGATTAGATCATGGGGGTAGTTTCTCATAAGTGCTTTAGCACCACCCTCTTGGTGCTGTTATCATGATAGTGAGTTCTCATGAGATCTGGTCCTTTAAAAGTGTATAGTACCTCCTCCCTCTCCCTGTCTCTCTTCTCCTGCTCCAGCCATGTGAAGTGCCAGCTCCCTCTTTGCCTTCTGCCATGACTGTAAGTTTCCTGAGATTGCTGGGCACAATGGCTCATGCTTGCAATCCCAGAACTTTGGGAGGCCAAGGCGAGTGGATCACTTGAGCTCAGGGGTTCGAGACCAGCCTGGGCAACACGGTGAAACCCTGTCTCTACTAAAATACAAAAAATTAGCTGGGTATGGTGGTGCACACCTGTGGTCCCAGCTACTCAGAAGGCTGAAGTGGGAGGATCACTTGAACCTGGGAGGTGGAGGTTGTGGTAAGCCAAGATGGTGTCACTGCACTCTAGCCTGGGTGACAGAGTGAGATCTTTCTCAATTTAAAAAAAAAAAGAAGAAGTTTCCTGTGGCCTCCCCAGAAACCAGGAAGATGGTTTCTTGTACATCTTGCTTCCTGTACATCATGCTTCCTGTACAGGTACAGCTTCAGCATCATGCTTCCTGTACAGCCTGCAGAACCATGAGCCAATTAAGCCTCTTTTCTTTATAAATAACCCGGTCTCAGATATTTCTTTATAGTAATGCAAAAATGAATAATACAGACAGCAACTTCAAAGACTGAAGAAACATCAGCCCACAAAGATGGGAAAGAACCAGTGCAAAAACTCTGGCAATTCAAAAAGCCAGAGTGTCTTCTTACCTCCCAAAAACCCCACTAGTTCCCCAGCAATGATTGTTAACCATGCTGAGATGGCTGAAATGACAGAAATAGGAATCAGAATATGGATAGGAACGAGGATCATCGACATACAGTAGAAAGTCGAAACCCAATCCAAGGAATCTAAGGATTACAATAAAATGATACCAGAGCTGATAGACAAAATGGCCATTATAAGAAAGAACTGAACTGATGCAACAGAGCTAAAAAATACACTCTGAGAATTTCATAATGCAATCGCAAGTATTAAGAGTAGAATTGACCATGCTGAGGAAAGAATCTCAGAGGTTGAAGCCTGGATGTACAAAAGAACTCAGATAAAAATAAAGAAGAAACAATGACAAAGAATGAACAAAACCTCCAAAAAATATGTGATTATGTAAAGAGGCCTAATCTATGAGTCATTGGTACACCTAAAAGAGAAGGAAAGAAACCAAGCAACTTGGAAAACATTTCAAGATATCATCCATGAAAATTTCCCCAAGCTCACTAGAGAGGCCAACATTCAAATTCAGGACAAGCAGAAAACCCCTGCAAAATACTACATAAGAAGACCAGTCTCAAGACACACAGTCATCAGATTCTCCAAGGTCAAAATGAAAGAAAAAATGTTAAAGTCAGCTAGAGTGAAGGGGCAGGTCACCTACAAAGGAAATCCCATTAGGCTAACAGCAGACCTATCAGCAGAAACCCCATAAGCCAGAAGAGAATGGGGGCCTATATTCAGCATTATAAAAGAAAATAATTTTCAACCAAGAATTTCATATCCAGCCAAACCAAGCTTCATAAGCAAAGGAGAAATAAGATCCTTTTCAGACAAATTTGTTAGCACAAGACCTGCCTTACAACTGGTCCTAAAAGGAGTGCTAAATATGGAAAAGAAAGACCGTTACCAGCCACTACAAAAAACACACTTAAGTACATAGACAAGTGACACTACAAAGCAACCACACAAACAAGTATGCATAATAACCAACTAACAACATGACAAAAGGACCAAATCCACACATATCAATACTAACCTTGAATGTAAATGAGCTAAATACTCCCAATTAAAAGGCACAGAGTGGCAAGTTGGATAAAGAAACAAAACCCAACAGTATGCTGTCTTCAAGAGATCCATCTCACATACAATGACACTCACACACTCAAAGTAAAGGGATGAAAAAAAAATCTACCAAGCCAATTAAAAAAAAACAAAAAAACAAAAAAATAACGGAAAAAAAGCAGATGCTGCTATTCTCATTTTGGACAAAACAGACTTTAACCAAGATCAAAAAAAGACAAAGAAGGGCATTACATAATCTAAGAAGGGCATTATGGGGCTCAATTCAACAAGAAGACCTATCTTTCCTAAATATATATGCACCTAACACAGGAGCACCCAGATTCATAAAGCAAGTTCTTAGAGACCTATGAAGAGATTTAGAAAACCACAGAATAATAATGGGACATTTAAACACCCACTGACAGTATCAGACAGATTGTCAAGGCAGAAAACTAACAAAGATATTCAGAGCCTTAACACAACACTTGACCAAATGGATCTAATAGATATCTACAGAACTCTCCACCCCAAACCAACAGAATACACATTCTCCTTATATGCACATGGCAAACACTGATCACAAAGTCAGGTACAAAAGAATCTTCAGCAAATTTCAAAAGAAATGAAATCATACCAACCACTCTCTCAGACCACAGAGCAATAAAAATAGAAATAACTGCTAAGAAAATTGCTCAAAATCATACAATTATTGAACTAATTTACACTCCCACCAATAGTGTAAAAGTATTAAAGACAGTGTGGCGATTCCTCAAGGATCTAGAATCAGAACTACTATTTGATCCAGCAATCCCATTATTGGGTATATACCCAAAGGATTATAAATCATACTACTATAAAGACACATGCACACGTATGCTTATTGCAGCACTGTTCACAATAGCAAAGACTTGGAACCAACCCAAATGCCCATCAATGATAGGCTGGATTAAGAAAATGTGGCACATATACACCATGGAATACTATGCAGCCATAAAAAATGATGAGTTCATGTCCTTTGCAGGGACATGGATGAAGCTGGAAACCATCATTCTCAGCAAACTGACACAGAAACAGAAAACCAAACACCACATGTTCTCATTTATAAGTTGAACAATGAGAACACATGGACACAGGGAGGGGAACATCACACACCAGGGCCTGTCGGGGGGTTGGAGGATAGGGGAGGAATAGCATTAGGAGACATACCTAATGTAGGTGAAGGGTTGATGGGTGCAGCAAACCACCACGTGTATACCTATGTAACAAACCTGCACGTTCTGCACATGTATCCCAGAACTTAAAGTATAATTTTTAAAGAAGTGAAAAAAACCCCATACAATTAAATGGAAATTTTAAAAACCTGCTCCTGAACGACTTCTGGGTAAATAATGAAATTAAGGCACAAATCAATAACTTTTTTGAAACTAATGAGGAAGAAGATACAACATACCAGACTCTCTGGGACATAGCCAAAGCAATGTAAGAGGGAAGTTTATAGCACTAAAAGCTCACATCAAAAAGTCAGAAATAACTCAAATTAACAACCTAATACCGCAACTAGAGGAACTAGAAAAACAAGAGCAAATCAACCCCAAAGCTACCAGAAGACAATAAATAACCAAAATCAGACTAAAGGAAACTAAGATGAAAAAAAACATACAAAACATCAATGAATCAGGGGCTACTTCTCTAAAAGAATTAATCTGATAGACCACTAGCTAGATTAAGAAAAGAAAGAGAAGAGCCAAATAAACACAATTAGAAATGACAAAGGAGACATTACCACTGACCCCACAGAAATACAAAAAACTCTCAGAGACTATTATAAACACCTCTATGCACACAAGCTAGAAAACCTAGAAGAAATGGATAAACACACAGACCAATAGAGAAACAAAATAGAGAACCCAAACATAACCACCAGATCTTTGACAAATCTACCAAAACAAGCAATGGGGAAAGGACCATTCCATAAATGGTGCTGGGATAACTGGCCAGCCATATGCAGAAGACTGAAACTGGAGATCCCTTCCTTACACCATAAACAGAAATTAACTCAAGATGGATTAAAGACGTATATCTAAGACTCAAAACTATCAAAACCCTGGAAAATAACCTAGGAAATACCACTCTGGACAAAGGACATGGCAAAGACTTCATAACAATGACGCCAAAAGAAATTGCTATGAGAGCAAAAATGACAAATGGGACCCAATTAAACTAAAGAGCTTCTGCACAGCAAAAGAAACTATCAACAGAATCAATAATCTACAGAATGGGAGAAAATATTTGCTAACTATACATCTCACAAAGGTCTAATATCAGAATCTATAAGGAATTTAAACAAATTTATAAGCAAAGAACCATTCCATTAAAAAGTGGGCAAAGGACATGAACAGACACTCTTCAAAAGAAGACATACACACGACCGACAAACATGCAAAAATGCTCAACATCACTAATCATTAGAGAAATGCAAATCAAAACCACAATGATACCATCTCACACTAGTCAGAATGACTATTATTAAAAAGTAAAAAAGTAACAGATACTGACAAAGTTGCAGAGAAAACAGAATGCTTATATACTGTTAGTGGGAGTGTAAATTATTTCAACCATTGTGGAAAGCAGTGTGGTAATTCCTCGAACAGCTAAAAACAGAACTACCATTTGACCCAGCAATCCCATTATTGGGTATATACCCTAAGGAATATAACTTATTCTACCATAAAGACACATACAAGCACATATTTATCACAGCATTATTCACAATAGCAAAGACATGGAATCAACCTAAATGTTCATCAATGGTAGACTAGAGAAAAAAAATGTGGTACATATACACCATGGAATGCCATGCAGTCATACAAAAGAATAAGAATATGTCCTCAGCAGTAACGCAGATAAATCTGGAGGCCATTATTCTAAGCAAACTAATACAGGAACAGAAAACCAAATACTGCACAGTCTCACTTATAAGTGGGACCTAAACATTGGGTATATATGGACAGAAAGAAGGAACAACAGACACTGGGGCCTACTTGAGGGTGAGAGGAGGGTGACTATTGAAAAAGTACCTATCAGGTACTATGCTTATTACATAGATGAAGAAATAATCTGCACACCAAACTACTGTAACAGACACACAATTTATCTACATAACAAATTAGATATGTTTACACCTGAATCTAAAATAAAAGATAAAAAATAACGAGGAATTTTGGAAACTAACAAACACATGAAAATTAAACAATATGCTCCTGAATGACTAGTGAGTCAATGAAGAATTAAGAAGGAAACTGAAAATATTCTTGAAACAAATCATAATGGAAATACAACATACCAAAACCTACAGGCTACAGTGAAAGCAGTACTAACAGGGAAATTTACAGTTACAAATGCTTATATCAAAAAGAATAAAAACTTCAAATAAACAACCTAACAATGCATCTAAAAGAACTAAAAAAGAGCAAACCAAACCCAAAATTAGTAGAAAAAAAAGATCAGAGCAGAAACAAATGAATTCGAAAACAATACAAAAAAGCAATGAAACAAAAAATTGGTTTCTTGTAAAAAAAAAACTGACAAACCTGTAGCCAGACTAAGAAACAAGAGAGAAAACCCAATTAAATAAAATCAGAGATGAAAAGGGAGACATTACAACTGATACTGCAGACATTCAAAGGATCATTAGTATCTACTATGAGCAACTACATGCCAGTAGACATATGCAATCTAGTATGACTGAACCATGAAGCAACCCAAAACCTTGAGCCGGGCAGGTGGCTCACGCCTGTAATCCCAGCACTTTGGGAGGCCAAGGTGGGCGGATCACGAAGTCAGGAGTTCGAGACCAGCCTGACCAACATGGTGAAACCCCATCTCTACTAAAAATACAAAAATTAGCCGGGCGTGGTGGCATGCGCCTGTAATCCCAGCTACTCAGGAGGCTGAGGCAAGAGAGTCACTTGAACCCGGGAGTCAGAGGTTGCAGTGAGCTGAGATTGTGCCACTGCACTCCAACCTGGGCAACAGAGTGAGACTCCGTCTCAAAATAAATAAATAAATAAATCCAAAACCTGAACAGGACAATACAAGTAACAAGATTGAAGCTATAATAAAAAGTCTCCTGGTAAAGAAAATTCCAGGACCTAGTGACTTCACTGTTGAATTCTACCAAATATTTAAAGAAGTACTAATACCAATCCTACTCAAACTGTTCCAAAAAATAGAGGATGAAGGAATACTGACAAACTCATTCAATGCTATCAGTATTACCCTGATACAAAAACCAGACAAAGACATATCAAAAAAAGAAAACTATAGGCCAATATCTCTGAAGAATACTGATGTAAAAATCCTCAACAAAATAGCAAACTGAATTCAACAACATATTAAACAGATCATTCTTCCAGACCAAGTGAGATTTACCCCAGGGACGCAAGGATGGTTCAACCTATGCAAATCAATCAATATGATACATCATATCAACAGAATAAAGGAAAAAAACCATATGATCATTTAAATTATGCTAGAAAATCGTGATAAAATTCAACATCCGTTCATGATAAAAATTCTCAAAACAGTAGGTACGGAAGGAACATACCTCAATATAATAAAAGCCAATATATGACAGACCTACAGCTAGTATCATACTAAATGGGGAAAAACTGAAAGCCTTTCTTTGTAAACCTGGAAGAAGACACGATGCTCACTTTCACCATTATTATTCAACATAGTATCGGAAGTCTAGCTAGAGCAGTCAGACAAGAGAAAGCAATAAAGGGCATCTGAATTGCAAAGGAAGAAGTCAAATTATCTTTGTTTGCAGATGACATGGTCTTATACTTAAAAGAAAAACTAAAGATTCCACCAAAAAACTAGTAGAACTGATAAATAAATTAGCAAAGTTACTTGATACAAAATCAACATATAAAAATCAGTGGCATTTTCATATGCCAACTGTGAACAACCTGAAAAAGAAGTCAAGAAAGTAATACCATTTACAAGAGCAACAAATAAACTAAAATATCTGGGACTTAACCAAAGATCTGAAAGATCTCTACAATGAAAACTATGAAACACTGATGCAAAAAATTGAAGAAGACAGCAAAAAATTGGAAAGATATTCCATGTTCATGGACTGAAAGAATCAATATTGTAAATATGGCCACACTACCCAAAGCAATCTGTAGGTTTAATGCAATCCCTATCAAAATATCAATGAAATTCTTCATACAAATAAAGTACTAAAATCTATATGGAACACAAAAGATCCAGAATAGTCAAAGCTAACCTGAGCAAAAATAACAAAACTGAGAAATCACATTACGTGACTTTAAATTATACTATGGCGCTACAGTAACCCAAACAGCATGGTACTGGCATAAAAAACAGACACATAGACCAAGGAATCAGAAAAGAGAACCCATAGATAAATCTATACATCTACACCGAACTCATTTTTTACAAAGGTGCCAAGGACATTCTTTGGGGAAGGGCCAGTTTCTTTAACATGGTGCTTGGAAAACTGGATAGCTACATGAAAAAGAATGAAACTAGACCCTTGTCTGTTGCCATATACAAAAATCAAATTAAAATGGATTAAAAACTTAAATCTAAGACCTCAGACTATGAAACTACTACAAGAAAACATTGGGGAAAGTCTCTAGGACATTGGGCTGGGCAAAGATATCTTGAGTAATACCCCACAAACACAGGCAACCAAAGCAAAATTACAAATGAGATCACATCAAGTTAAAATGCTTCTGCACAGCAAAGGAAACAATCAATAAAGTGAAGTGACAACCCATAGAATGGGGGGAAATATTTGCAAACTACTCCACCTAATTAGGGATTAATAACCAGAATATATAAGGAGCTCACACAACTCTATAGGAAAAACAAAAATCTGATAATCCAATTAAAAATGAGCAAAAGACCTAAACAGACATTTCTCAAAAGAAGACATACAAATGGCAAACAGGTCTATGAAAAGGTGCTCAACATCACTGATCATCAGAGAAATGCAAATCAAAACTACAATGTCATATCATCTTACCCCAGTTAAAATGGCGTTTATCCAAAAGTCAGGCAATAACATGCCGGTGAGGATGTGGAGAAAAGGGAACCCTCGTATACTGTTGGTGGGAATGTACATTAATATAACCACTAAGGAGAACTGTTTGGAGCTTCCTCGAAAACATAAAAATAGAGGTATCATACGATCCAGCAATCCTACTGCTGAGTATATACGCAAACAAAAGGAAATCAGTGTATCAAAGAGGTATCTGCACTCCCGCATTTGTTTCAGCACTATTCACAACAGCCAAGATTTGGAAGCAACCTAAGTGTCCATCAACAGATGAATGGATAAAGAAAATGTGGTACATAAACACAATGGAGTACTATTCAGCCTTAAAAAAGAATGAGATCCTGTCATTTACAACAACATGAATGAAACTGAAGGTCATTATGATAAGTGAAATAAACCAGGCACAGAAGGACAAATATCACTTGTTCTCACTTATTTGTGGGATCTAAAACAAAAACAATTGAACTCGTGGAGATAGAGAATAGAAGGATGGTTACCAGAGGCTGAGAAGGATAGTTGGAGAGGGGGAGTGGTTTGTAGGGAAGGTGGGGATGGTTAATGGGTACAAAAAAATAGAAAGAATGAATAAGACCTAGTATTTGCTAGCACAACAGCATGACTGTAGTAAAAAATAATTTAATTATACATTTAAAAATAACTAAAAGAGTATAACTGTATTATTTGTAACACAAAGGATAAATGCTTGAGGGCATGGATACCCTACTTACCCTGATGTGATTATTATGCATTGCATGCCTGTATTAAAATATCTCATGTAAGCCATAAATATATACACCATCTATGTATCCACAAATATTAATAATAAAAAAATTGTAAAAAGAAATGTGTAAAAAAAAATCTCTAGAGTAAGTGGCTTATTTAATTTTAAATTTTAAGTTACCATATAAAAGTAAGAATACAGAAACATACAGAATTCAAGAATCACTATTCTGCCCTACCACCAAGCTTTGTAAATATTTTCCACAGCTAAAGCAACACTTTTTATTTGGCAAAACCTAGGTAAAATCATGGTTGATTTTGGTACACTTACCACTTTCCCTTTAATTAGTGCTCATCTGTTATTCACACATTCCCTTATTCTTTGATCTGTAAAACAAATCCTTCTTCCAATGCTAACCCTCCAGGGTAGAAGGTATTGCTCCTTCCAAGGATTTTGTGCTTTTACAAGATTAGTTTTTATCACTAGACTAATTTTGCTTAGAACAGAAAGTATATTAATTGTTTTATACCTACAGTTCCTAACTTAATGTGTGGCATTTAGTAAATGCTCATTAAGATAACTTCTTAAAATGAAGATTATGCAAATATATATACATACAAACATTTACAACCATCAAGAGCAAAATCAGCAATTCTTCAAGTTTACTCTCAAATGGATGCTATAAAACTTGATGCAGGAAATATAGAAAAATATGAGATACAGCAGAGGTTAATAAGGATGTAAATGTCTTGCTAAATTTATCCTAATAGTAAACTACATAAGGGTTTGCAAGACACTTTGCTTATCCCTTTATTTTTCAATCATTATGCATAACTACAATATATGTTCACTTATTGTCCTCTCCTACAACTGAAATCTACAAGGGGAGGAAAAGTGTATCACTTCCACTAGTATATATAACAATATCTAGTATGGAGTTCATATTCATTAAATGTTTATTAAATGAATAAATGATTGATGCTGTGGGGATAGCTAAGACCCACTTTCTGATCCCACATATCTTCATTTCTTAAATACAACCAAGCTAAAAAGTACTCGGTTCACTGGGCTACTAACTTTGTTAATGCATGTTGCAGGTAGCAAAAATAAACACAGAATCGTGTTTTAACATAAATATTACAATTACTACATAAAATAATTAGTTTCATTATTTGTTACCTGATTCTGAATTTGAAGCACACTTTGCTTTTGGAGAAACATTTTGATCTGCTACTGTCATCACTCTATAACAAGAACAAACTGTTTAGTGGTATTTTCTAAATCCTTCAGTAACTTTCAAAAACCCTCAAATAATACTTAAAATAAAGATATTTATTTGAGATTAATTATCCTGTGGGAAAATATACAGTTGCTTAGAAAAATGTTATGGTATTTATATGAACAAATAGTTTAATAAAAAAGGCAATATATTTATACATTTATGAGTGTGAAACAATATGCGTAGAGGACAGGGCATAGTGTTTAGAATAAGACAGACCTTGCTTTAAACTCCAGTTCCACTACTCACACTTGGGTGGCCTTTGGAAAGCTACTTAGCCTGTCTTGAGTCTTGGTTACCTCATTTATGCAAAAGGGATAGCAATCATGTTTCCTAAGATTCTTGTGGAAAGAATTTTAAGATACATGACAGATTGATTATTATTATTATTATATTATTATTATTATTATTGAGAGAGGGTCTTGCTCTGTTACCCAGGCTAGACTGCAGTAAAAGGTTTTTTTGAAATTAATATCCTGGGGTTTTTTTATTTTGTACTTCTACAAACTAGACAACCCCCAGTTCTATCTAAATGTGTAGGAAAGGACTAGCTATCACAAAAGGAATAAATAAGAAAGGATCAAAGCTCAGCCTCTGACCACAAAAATGGGATTTCTGAGTCCGTAGCAAGAAAATGCAGTTGAAAACCAAATGTGAGAAGGGAATTTTCTAAATTCCTACACTGATTAATTGAATAGTTGAACTCAGTAAACAGAAACAATTTTATTCTTTCATATTTCCTTTTAAACGTATCCTGTCAAAATAGTACCTTCTCGCCTCTGAATGAACTTTCAGGTAGATTTCTTTTTACTAACACCTTTCTGGCATTCTCTTGTAATAAGTAGCTATTTTTAGGTAACAAAAAGTTCAGTGTAATATTACAAATCCAAACTCTCCTTATGCAATTTAAATTTTTTCCTTTTCTCAGCTTGGGCATGATTTAGACTCAGAATATGCTGTGGGAAGAGCAACCACCATTGGTTTCATCTCTGTTTCTTGTTCTTTTCCCTTGCCTATTTGGAAACTACACTTTGGGTTCCTCTGGCAGTGAATTATAGGAAAGGAGTTTTAGAAATGTACAGGAAAGTCTTTCTCAATCTTGACTGATATAGTTATGTGCCATTGGTATCTCTGGGATATGACACATAATCAAATGTGGACCCTTTTAAACTTGAAGTATTCTGAAGGGTTCGTTGGAGGTTTACCTATCACTGGAGCTCTACCTATCACCGGAGCTCTCTCACTTGCTGCTTTTTATCATCTCCTCAGCTTTTGCCTTTGATGATGGAACCTCCAGCTGCTTTTGAGTGAGGTTACTTCATCCTTTGCAGGAAGTCATATTGGGCATAATCCCTTTCAAGATGATCATAATTAGCCCCCTTCTATGGAATCCATATTTGGCCTATTGGCATTATGCACAAATCTTTGTCATGTCAAACTCTGAAAGTATATCTAGCTTCCTCTTTATTCTGCCATTCCAAAGCACCTAACAGACCCTCTTTGCCTTTAGACCTTCCGGGTATGAGTCAGAAACTAACTCCCAGTGACATATGTTGAACCTTCCAAATGGTTCTCTTGGAGCTTCCTTTCTTGTGTTGAGGTGAGGGAGAAGACTCCTCGCTCCATGTGACACCAATATATAGCTCTTATCAAAGAAACACACATTCTTGGACTTTTCATCCTCTCCATGTATTCTTAGCCTTTTCTTAGTTTGGAGATGAGTAATAAGCTAATGCTGGTAGAATTGGGTTTTGACTTCACCTTTTACAAACTCCACATAGATAATTCTACACAGAATAAGGAATGGGGGTACTTGTCAACGATTTGTGTTCATCAGTAAGGCCACTGTCCAAACTCTAAGACAACATGAAAACCACATTTAACATTTTGCTACATTCCTCAAGTTCCTATTAACATATGTAAGTTAAAACACAACTACAGAGTTCTACTATTAGCCATTGCTATGGTTTGAATGTTTGTCCCCTCCAAAATTCGTGTTGAAATTTAATAGCCAACGTGGTAGTATTGAGAGACAGGGTCTTTAAGAGGTGACTGGATCATGAGGGCTCTGCCTTCATAAATGGATTAAGCCATTCATGGATTAATGGAGTAATGGATTAATATGTTATCATGGGAATGGTACGATTGGCTTTACAAGAGGAAAAAGAGAGACCTGAGCTACCATGTTCAGTCCCTTTGCTATGTGATGCCCTGTGCCACCTCGGGACTCTGCAGAGAGTCCCCATCAGCAAGAAGGCCCTCACTAACTGCAGCCTTGGCCTTAGAATTCTTAGCCTCCATAACTGTAAGAAATAAATTCCTAGCCAGGCATGGTGGCACATGCCTGTAGTCCTATTTACTCAGGAGGCTGAGGCTGGAGGATCACTTGAACCCAGGAGTTCGAGGTTACAGTGAGCTATGATGGTGCCACCGCACTCCAGCCTGGGCAACAGAGTAAGACTCTGTCTCAAAAAAAAAAAAAAAGAAAGAAAGAAAGGAAAGAAGGAAGGAAGGAAGAAGGATGGACAGACAGATGGAAGGAAGGGGAGAGAGAGAGAGAAAGAAAGAGAGAGAAAGAGGAGAAAAAGAAAAGAAAAAGAAAAAGGAAGGGAGGGGAGGGGAGGGGAAGGGGAAGGGGGAAGAGGGAAGGGGGAAGAGAAGGGAAGGGAAGGGAAGGGAAGGGAAGGGAAGGGAAGGAAAGGGAAGGAAAGGAATTCTTTTTCTTTATAATATAATTGCCCAGTTTCAGGTATTTTGTAATAAGCAACAGAAAACAGACTAAGACAACCATATGATACAGAAAAAGCTAAGGAAGTTAACAAAGATAGATCTCTCCTCCACACCTTCCAGTCTAGAGCATTATTAGAAAGAGAAGGGGGACAAAGACTTAGAAAACAAGCAGACAATGGGAGCTGACTTTTCTCCCTCAAGGCCCAAATATGCAGATAGGGGTAATAAATGGGAAGATGACATTAGAAGAGATGAAGAGAAAGTCAAAAGAAGAGGGAGTATGTACTAACTCCCTGTTTAGAACTCTAGGAGATGTCCATACAGGGTGGAAACAACATAACAAGAAGAGCTGGGGATGTTCAGGCAGAGAGGGGGCATCAGTTAGCTCTCCTGAGATTCTCTTAATTCCTGGGCATTGAGAACAAGTTCTCAAGGTTCCATACACCAAGGGCAATGAAGAAAGTGGCCAAATTTACAGCCAAAACACCTGGCATAGGTGTTCTGTGGTGAAGTGACTCTACTACAAAGGTTGTGGAAAGCCACCCAGTCAAAGTCTGGATATAGGACTTCAATGAGACTCAAAGGGTTTGAGAAAACAACAAAAACCAAGGTGAGGTAAAATCAGCAATGGAGGACCTCAGGTCCTAAATAAGGCCTTAAGTTTATGAGTCAATGATTTTTTCAGTGGAGCCCAGACCAGGTATAGAACCAGTCTAGAAGCCTTGCAGCATGTATCAGTAAAAATCCAGAGACAGCTTATGGGATTCCAGATACCCTCAGATCCCAACCTTACCCTTTCCCCAGCACTGCTACAAGGCTACGTAAGGTCTGCCCCTATTCCTAAACACTTAACATTTAGGGTGACTATTTGTCCAAACTGGAACATTTCTGAGAGTACAAGGGTACTCTATTAAGAATTATGTCAGAAAAACAGGCATATACTGAAACTGCCCAGGCAGATAAAGGGATATGATCACCTACCAATATGCCATTCTCAGGACTATGGAATGGGGAGAAAATCCGAGATTCAGCATTTACCCAAAGAGGACTTCTAACCAGAAGTAAATGGATGACAGTAAGTAAGTTTAACTCATTATTTCCCAGCTAAATAGGGGAGAAGGGTGATGAGGGTTTAAGAGAAGTTTAGATGAGTTATTTAAAAAAAAAAATAAATGAAGCTATGTTTTCTTTGCACATGTAAGTAGTAGGTTTTATTTTTCAAAGAGAGGTCAGTATTTAGGTGAGACAGGAAATAGTCTCAGATACACATAATCAAGTGTTTTATTACATTTGCTCCATTTCAATACATAGGCAACAGTCATTAAAGTGGATCTACAAAGAAGTTATCGCAATATAAATAAAACCCCGTCTCCATTAGCTACTAAGTCAAAGTTGTAGGGGTTTTACTTTGTGAATGTGCTACTTAAATAAAGAGAATGCCAGATGTCTAGTAGATAATAGGCACTCAAATCTGGTATCATTATTATCCAAATACCATTCTATCCTCCTTAAGAAAATATTACATTATAAATTGTGGAAGGAATTTTTTAAGCAAGTCCATCATCATCTCTGGTCACCTTAGTCATTTATATTTACAATTGTCACTGTCATTTACTGAAGGACAATTCACCCAAAAAAACAGCTAACAGATTTTCTTTTCTTCAGAAATTTCTCACCATTTAGATACAGGCATATTTATAAAGAGGCTATCATACTAACGCTACTCTCTTCTCACTCTACATTCTTTCCCAAGGAGACAACTATGCCTTCAGCCCAGGACTTTTACCTTGCTCTCCAGGCTGGGCCATCCAATTTGTTGTTGGACATCTCCACTTCAAAGTGCTGTCGGTACCTCAGTATTACCCCAACCCACTCTTGTGTTTTCATTTGTGTTCCCTCACCTAGTGAACAAGTTTTCATCCAATTTCCTAAGTCAGAGGGCTGAGAGCCAACTTGGATTTCAACTTCTTCCAATCTGTCACTAAAAACTATTGACTATCCCTCTTGAATTTTTCTCAAACTTTTCCTTTTTGCTATCATTGCTGAGGGCAGAGATTTCGTTTTTAATCAATTTTGTTCACTACTATATCTCTAGCAATTACAACAGTCCTGACACATAGTGAGTCCTCAACAAATAATAAATGAACACCTGAGTTTGTGGACTAACAATCATATTTGCTATATAACTATTATAATACAGGGTTTCAGAAGCTCAACAATTTTAAAATTTTTAGTTCTTACGTTTTTCTATGGCATTTCTGATAGTCTTCTGAAGAGGTACCTAGGAGAGAAAATAAAAACAATCTATTAGAAATATAATTCGAAGGCAAAAATTAGGTAAAAATGAATATTTTCCCCCAAGTGCAGTTCATTTTTATAACTTTTTAAATATTGTTTTTATGTCTGCCACTTAAATTAGGTAAAAATATTTTCAAAATATCAAAGTAAAAAAATGCTGCAAAATTTTATGAGATACAGGAATCTCTCCCTTGTATTTGAATAGTTCTTTATAATTTTTGAAGTCTTTTCACGTGTATTATCTTACTTGATTCTTACAACAATCCTGTCAGGTAAATATATCAATTTATTATCCCCATTTTACATATAAGAAAAAAATAACTGGTCAAATTACAAAACTAGGCCGGGCACAGTGGTTCACGCCTGTAATCCCAACACTTTTGGGGACCGAGGCAGGTGGATCACCTGAGGTCAGGCGTTCAAGACCAGCCCAGGCAACATGGTGAAACCCCATCTCTACTAAAAACACAAAAATTAGCCGGCCGTGGCAGCATATGCCTGTAATCCCAGCTACTTGGGAGGCTGGGGCACGAGAATTGCTTGAAGCCAGGAGGTGGAGGCTGCAGTGAGCCGAGATTGCGCCACTGCACTCCAGCCTGGGCAAGAGTGATACTCCATCTCAAAAAAAAAAAAAAAAAAAAATTAGAAAACTCACAGTCAAATACTAGTCCAGTATCAAATATATAGAAATGCATACTAATAGATTGATTAGTCAAGAAAATTTCTGCCAGCCAACATTTGACTGCCTCAGGTACATTAAGATATTACTAGGAATATAAAGAACCATGGGTATAGTTGTCTAAAGAAATTAAAACCTTTAGTTTCTGTGGTACTTATGTTAGATTAGAATTTTTAAATCTCACCAATTAAGAGGAGACAAAGTGGATGATGCCTTTAAGCATTTCCTCAAAGGGAGGTTCTCAAAACATAAAAGGCTACAGTGGACCCTCATCATCTAGCATCTACTCTGTTTTTGCTGGTAACAGTCACCTCATTTTTTTTCCCCCGAGGGTCCAGGCATAGCCTATAACTCAATGCTGTGAGAGCCCTGCATCTCGCTGGACAAAGTGACTGGTTCAGGGTAAGGCATATAAACTAATGAAGCCCATGTGTAAGGTCCAGGACTTCAGTTCAAATTGTTGGGAAAGAGAAGCACTTTTTTCAATGTATTTGAGGCTGTGATTATGTAAGCCCACAGCCAGCAAAAGTTGCTCTAAGAAGGGACTTGTCTGAGAGCATAACTGACATAGAGGGATCCTGAGCCAAGAGATAGAGAGGAAATGGATCCTACCGATATCATTTGAAACCCTGGATCAAGTTGCATTTGCACCTGATTTATTGCTGAATTTTTCAAGTACACGTGGTAACAAATTCCCTTTTTAACCTAATACTGTTAGATTTTTTGACATTTGCAATGGACAAGAATCCTAACCAAAGTATTTGCTAAAGAGACAGCCTGCTTCTTTGAGAATTTTGTTTCAGTAAAGGAGTTGCCAAACTAAACATAACACAGAAGACAAGGCCTTCAAACACTGTAGAAATATGGCCATCCAGACAGCTATCAACTTTCCAATAAAGGACCCCTAACTCAATGTTCTTTGACTAATATGACCCTTTCTTAGTGGCAGGCTCTAATAGGTGGGCTGACAATATCCATTCCTACTCCTCTTCTTCATTTTCCTTGCCTTCTACCACAATAGAGGATAGGAAAGCAAAATACTTGGTTTCTCAGCCTCCCTGGTGGTAGATAGATGCATGACCCAGTTCTGGCCAATAGACCAAAGTAGAAGTCAGCTGGGAATTTCTGGGAAAGCTTTTCTTCTTCCAATAAAAGAATACATGTGGGGCTACTCCTGCCCTATCTCATTCTTTCTACCAGGAACACGGCTGTGACACCTAGAGTTTAGCAACCACCTTGCAACTATGGGGAACAAGCCAACACACTTGGTTGTATGTTGACATAAGACCCTATGATCTTGATGATATTAGAGAACTGCTACACTAGCTCTGGGCTGGTATGGGAGAAACATAAACCCAGTATGAATAAAAAATTTTTGCATGACAAAACATACCATGAACAAAAAGACAACTGACAAACTGGGACAAAATATTCATAATATATACAACAGACAAAAGGCCAATATTCTTCAAATAAAAATGGCCCTTAAACATATGAAAAATGTTTAAACTCACATATAATCATGGAAATGCAAGTTAAAATAGCACAGAGATACCATTTGTCACCTATTAGAGTAGCAAAAATTAAAAAAAAATATGACAACACATTCTGTTGGTAAGGATATAGTGAGACCAGCACTTTAACACACTGCTGTTGGGAATGCAAACTGTTATAATCCTTCTGGAGGAAAATTTGGCAATATCCAATAAAATGATATATGCACTTACCTTTTGACCCAGCTATCCTACCTCTGGAAATCTACCTTGAAGACACACTGCCAATAACATGAAAATATATATCATAGGTTTATTCATTGCAGTATTGTTGATGGTGGCAAAATACTGGGGAAAAACCTAAATACCCAATTTATAGGTATTTTTGAATCAACAAAAGTACATCCACAGAGTGGAGTACTATGCAGCTGTAAAAAATAAAAGGAAGATCTCTATGTAAACCAATGTGGAGTGATTTCCAGTACATACTGTTAGGTGGAAAAATCAAAGTGAAAAAAGAGTAGCTATATAGCACGGTACCCTTCATGTAACAAAGAAGAGGATATAAAGAAATACATGGATATCTCCTGATTTGTACAAAAGAAACACAGGAAGGATAAGCCAAAAACTAAAAAGACCAGTTATCCATAGGGGTTAAGTGAGAAAGGGGTAGAAAGAAGAGAAGAATGGTAGCTGGAAGAAGGAGAAAGTGACAATTTTCTGAGAATAACTTTTTATATAGCTATGACTCTTAAAACCATAGTAATATTTCATATTCCCGAATACATAAACAAAACCAAACAGGAAAGGTGAATGCAAAAGTGAATCAATAACAAATGAGTCTAGCTATACATATTACAAGTGAATAACTTCTCATATGCTAAGGGAGGTGGGGAGAAAATGAACTTACATAACTTTGGAAAATTAGTATTTTGACTGGATGCTGTAATGCTAAAGACAAAAAGAACTGTATGCAAATGCTGTAATTTATTTACTAAATGTGTTTCTTACAGGAGCCTGGGTTAACACTTCTGAAACTACTCTATACATATATACTAGAAATAAATAAATAAATGAACGAATGATGAAAATATTGGATTTCAAACCATAGAATAAATATCCATGAGTCTACACTGAATAAGTAATCAAATAAACAAACAAATGGCAGAAAAGAGAAAGTTCTTCTTTTACAGTAAAATTCCAATTAATAAAAGTAGCAGGAAAGAACAGAATAAAAAATCACCCTTGGACAAACACCACAGTAATAAAGGTTGAAGTCAGCTGGCTCCTCTGATGGCTGCTAAAATTAGTGAAATAAAGTTTGAGGAGAAACAGAGTTTACAGTCTCAAACTATCTTTTTGTAGATATTCAAAAATTACAAAGAGAAAACATAATCTTTAATTGGAGAAATTCAGCAGATACCACCTTAACTAAATGATGAAATTTACCATCACCACTAGTAAGACATAATATTCTTCAAATAAAAATGGGGGGACATCATGAACCCTTTGATATGATATGATACACTGCAAAGGCACAACATCATTTCTGTGGTATTCTTACCAAAAACTGCATAACTTCATTTTTTTTTTTTTTTGAGAAGATCCTCATTCTGTCACCCAGGCAGAAGTTCAGTGGTACAAACGTGGCTCACTGTAGCCTTGACCTCCTGGGCTCAAGCGATCCTCTCATTCTCCCACCTCAGCCTCTTGAGTAGCTGGGACTACAGGCGTGCACCATCACATCTGGCTCATTTTTTATTTTTTGTAGAGATAGAGGTCTCACTATGTTGCCCAGGCTGGTCTCAAACTCCTCGCCTCAAGCAGTCCTCCCACCTCAGTCTCCCAAAGTGCTGGGATTACAGGTGTCAGCCACTGCACCCAGCCATAACTTCATTCCTATCACGAGGAAACATCAAGACAAATCCCAACTAAGGGACATTCTACAAAATAACATCAGTAATCTGAAAGACTGAGGAAGTATTACAAACTGCAGGAGACTAGGGAGAAATAACAATTAAATGCAACATGGGATCCAGGATAGGATCATGAAACAGAAAAAAAGAAAGACTAAATGAAAAGTCTAAAAATAGTTCAAAATAAAAAGTTATAAAAGACTGAGTGCAATGGCTCATGCCTATAATCTCAGCACTTTGGAAGGCCAAGGTAGAAGAATTGCTTGAGGCCAGGAGTTTGAGACCAGCCTGGGCAACATAGCGAGACTCCATCTCTAGAAAAAATTGTTTAAATTAGCTTGATGTGCCTGGGAGCAGTGGCTCACACCTGTAATCCCAGCACTTTGGGAAGCCAAGGCAGGCAGATCACCTGAGGTCAGGAGTTCAAGACCAGCCTGGCCAACATAGTGAAACCCCATCTCTATAAAAATACAAAAATTAACTAGCTGTGGTGGCACGTGCCTGTAACCCCAGCTACTAGGGAGGCTGAGGCAGGAGAACTGCTTGAACCTGGGAGACAGAGGTTGCAGTGAGCCTAAATCATGCCACCGCACTCCAGCCTGGGCAACATAGTGAGACTCCATCTCAAAATAAATAAAAAAGTAAACTCATACATACTTATGCTATTATTAGATATTATCTGTAGCCAAAGGCAATCCAACTGATAGACTTAGCTTAGAAATCATTCAAGAGAAAAAATACTTTGCTTTTCCAACATAGATGAGAAATGTTCCCCTGTGTGTGCAACTCACTGAAAATTGCTGAGACATTTGAAAACTGTGGTGCCTTCTCTATCGCTACTGCTTTACTGGTATCCAGAAGAGTAGAATTCTTCCACTGCATGTGTTCTTCCAAGTTGGGACACTCCCAGTCTAAAACAGCAGAGAAGAAATAGTGTAAGACTTTGAACAACAGCCTACAAATGATGGGTTACTCCCTACCCCACCTTAGGCCCCCAGCCCATACTAAATGATGGTATTATATTTGAAGGTTTTGGATGAGACAGAAAAAAATAAGCCTTGATGGATCAATATAGTAAATAATCTATAGTCTATTCTGGTTCTCTTACCCTGCCTTCCTCTCTAGACTTTTCTACCATGCGGATTATTGATCTAAGAGACAGGTAGCACACATGTGAGCTGCCTGTTATATTTTATATATGTTATACCTATGTGCCATTAAAAATCGCATCACTAAATAACATACAGTCAGCCCTTTGTATTTATGAGTTCCACATTTGTGGATTCAACCAACCATGGACTGAAAATATTCAGGAAAAAAATTGCATCCATACTCAACATATACAGCCTTTTTTTTTTCTTGTCATTATTCACTAAACAATACAGTATAACAACTATTTACATAGCATTTACATTGCATTAAGTATTATAAGTAATCTAAAGATTATTTAAAGTATATAGGAGGATGTGCATAGGTTACATGCAAATACCATGCCATTTTATATCAGGGACTTCAGCATCCACAGATTTTGGTATCCAAGGGAGGTCTTGGAACCAACCCCCATGGATACCAAGGGACAACTGTACGTAAACTGCTATTACTTAATATCAGTTTTAAGCTTTCTAGTGACTTCCCACTATGGAATAAGGCTATTACCTGTATATTCGCCCATCCCCACCTTTCCTACCTCTCCCATCGTTCCCATATTGTTATATCATATATTAAGTTAGATCAATATTCATATAGACATATGATGATAAAATGTTATAAAAATGCTGTTTACTCTGGTGGTATATCAAAACCACCTTTTGTTTTTCCTGGAGTCAATACAAGTCCCTTTCCTCATCTGTTTAGTTTTATACACACACACACACTTTTTTGAGAAGAGTCTTGCTCTGTCGCCCAGGCTAGAATGCAGTGGTGTGATCTTGGCTCACTGCAACCTCCGGTTCCTGGGTTTAAGTGATTCTCCTGCCTCAGACTCCTGAGTAGCTGGGATTACAGGCATCCACCACCACACCCGGCTAATATTTTATTTGTGTAGAGACAGTTTCGCCATGTTGGCCAGGCTTGTCTCAAACTCCTGACCTCAAGCAATCCGCCTGCCTCAGCCTCCCAAAGTGCTGTGATTACAGGTGTGTGCTACCACTCCTGGTCCCTCTATATTTTTAAATCTATTTAATCTCAAATGCTACCAAATTGCATAAATCCATTCCATTTATTCCACTCCCAGGTGTTTTAGAATTTCTAATGCTGTGCCTTGGTGTTTTTCATCTACTGTACTAGGCACACTATGGTCCTTTTAACCTGGAAACTCATAATTTATAGCTCGAAAAATGTTCTTGAATTATTTCTTAATAATTTTCTTCCCTTTTTTCTGTTATCTTTTCCTGGAACTCCTATTATTTGATGTTGGATTTCATATACTGTTCTTCTATCTTATATTTTTTTCCTCTAAATTTTAATCTTTTTTTTTCTTTATTTTCTCCTCTTTTTTCCTCCTTTTTTTCTTATGATTTTTTTTTCTGGTAAATCTCAACTTAATATTTTAATCCTTTTACTGAGTTTTCCATTCTGCTTTTGCACTTCATTGTTCTTAGAACAGCCTCTTCTTCATAGCATCCTATTCTTATTTAACGGATAAAATACATATTTTCTTATCTCAATGAAGATTTTTAAAAATATTTTCCTCTCCTTGTTCCTATTTCTCCTTGATTCTTTTTCCTCCTACTTAATTTCCTTGTTTCAAGATTTTTTTAATTTTAAAAGTTTAAACATTTTAATATTTAAAATTATTTTTATAGTTAGAACACTTAACATGAGATCTACACTCAAACTTTTAAGTGTACAATCCAGTGTTGTTAACTAAAGGCACAGTGTTCTATAGCAGCTCTCTAGAGCTCACTCCTACATGTGTAAGTGAAACTTAATACCCATTGATAGCAACTCCCAATTTTCCTTTCCTGCCAGTTCCTGTCGAACATCATCCTACTCTCTGCTTCTATGAGTTTGGCTCTTTTAGATAACTCATATAAGTGGAAATATCAAGTATTCGACCCTCTGTGACTGGCTTATTTCATTTAACATAATGTCCTCAAGGTTCATCCATGTTGTCACAAATTGCAGGATTTCTTTCTTAAGACTGAATAATATTCCATTGTATTTATACATCACATTTTCTTTATCCATTCATCTATCAACAAACATTTAGGTTTTTTCCACCTCTCGGCTACTGTGAATAATGCTGCAATGAATAAGGGAGTGCTAATATCTCTTTGAGATCCTGATTTTAATTATTTTGGATATTCACACAGGGATTGATGGACCACATGGTCATTCTGTCTTTAATTTTTAGAGACACCTCCATACTGTTTCTATAGCTGCTGTGCCATTTTACATTCCCACCAACAGTGTACAAGGGTTCTAATTTATCCACACCCTTGCCAACATTTGTTATCTTTTGTTTTTTGTTTTTTTGGTAATAGCCCTTTTAACAAGTGTGAGGTGATACTGTGGTTTTGATTTGCATGTTCCTGATGATTAATGATGTTGAGCATTTTTTCATATACTTGCTGGCTATTGCTGCTGCTGCTTTGGAGAAATATCTATTCAAGTTATTTGTCTATTTTTTCAATCAGGTTGTTTTTTTTGCTTAATTTTGCTATTCAGTTATAAGAGTTCCTTACGCATTTTAATTATTTACTCCTTTATCAGATATATGATTTATACATATTTCCTTCCATTTTGGTAGGTTATCTCTTTACTCTGTTGATTGTTTCTTTTGCTGTGCAGAAGTGATGATGTCTCACTCGTTACTGCTCTTGTTGCCTATACTTTTGGTAGCATATCCACGAAATCACTGCTAAGACTAATGTTATGAAGCTTTTCCCCTATGTTTTCTTCTAGGAGTTTTACAGCTTAAGGTCTTATATTTAAGTATTTAATCCAATTTGAATTAATTTTTGTGTATGGGTGTCAATGTCCAATTTCATTATTTTGTATGTGGATATTCAGTTTTCCCAATAGCATTTGTTGAAGAAAGTATCCTTTCCTCATTGTGTATTCTTGGCACTCCATCCTGTCAAAGATAAGTTGGCCATATATGTACAGATTCATTTCTCTTATGACAGTATCATACTGTTTGAATTACTATAGCATTGCAATGTATTTTGAAATCAGGAAGTATGATGTTCCTACTTTGTTCTTCTCAAGATTGTTTTGGCTATTTGAGCTTCTTTGTGGTTCCATATACACTTCAGGGTTGCTTTGTTATTTCTGTTAAAAAATGCCATTGAGATTTTGATAGAGATTGCATCAAATTTGTAGACTGCTTTGGGTGTATGGATATTTTAACAATATTAAGTCTTCCAACTCATAAACATGGGATGTGCATCCATTTGCTTGCATCTTTTTAAATTTTATTCATCATTGTTTTCCAGCATACATATCTTCTACTTCTTAAGTTTATTCCTAAATATTTTATACTTTTTGATGATATTGTAAATGAGATTGTTTTATTTCCTTTTCAGGTAGTTTATTGCTAGGATATAGAAACACAACTGATTTTCGTATGTTGATTTTATAATCTACAATTTTACCAAATTCATTTAATCGTTCAAATAAGTTTTTGTGTTTTTTTTGTTTTTTGTTTTTTTTGAGACAGAGTCTTGCTCTGTCACTCAGGCTGGAGTGCAGTGGCATGATCCCGGCCCACTGCAACCTCTGCCTCCCAGGTTAAAGTGATTCTCCTGCCTCAGCCTCCTGAGTAGCTGGGACTACAGGCACCTGCCACCATGCTGGCTTATTTTTGTATTTTTAGTAGAGAAGGGCTTTCACCATTTTGGCCAGGCTGGTCTCAAACTCCTGATCTCATGTGATCTGCCCGCCTTGGCCTCTTAAAGTGCTGGGGTACAGGTGTGAGCCACCACACCCAGCCTTGTGGTGTCTTTAGAGTGTTTTACATATAAGATCATGTCATCTGCAAAAACAGATTATTTTACTTCTTTTCAATTTAGACGCTTTTATTTTTTTGTTGCCTAATTGCTGTGACTAGGACTATGCTGAATAAAAGTATTCAGCATACTTCCTGATCTTAGAGGAAAAGCTTTCAGTTTTTTACTACTGAGTATGATGTTAGCTATGGGCTTCTCATATACAGTCTTTATTATGTTGAGGTAATTGCCTTCTGTTCCTAGTTTGAGAGTTTTCATCATAAAAGATGTTGAATTTTGTCAAATCATTTTGCTGCATCTACTGAAATTATCGTGTAATTGTTACCCTTCATTCTGTTAATGTAGTGTATCACTTTAGTTGATTTTTGTATTTGGAACCATCCTTGCATTCCAGAGATAAACGCCACCTGGTCATGGTGTATGATCCTTTTAATATAGAGATGAATTTCAATTGCTAGTATTTTGTTGAGGATTTTTACATCTATGTTCATCAGGGATATTGTCTTACAGTTGTCTTTGCTTGTAGTATTTACCTCGCTTTAGTATGAGGGTAATGCTGGCCTTAAAGAATTAGTTTGAAAGTGTCTTCTCCTCTTTAATTTTTTAGAAGAGTTTAAGAATTAGAATTAAATACTCTTTAAATGTTTGGTAGAATTCACCAGTGAAGCCATCTGGTCCTGGATTTTCTTTGTTGGAAGGTTTTTGATTGCTGGTTCAATCTCCTTACTAGTTATAGGTCTGTCCAGATTTCATATTTCTTCATGACATAGGTTATATGTTTCTAGGAATTTCTTCTTTCCTTCTAGGTTATTCAATTTATTGTCCTATAATTGGGCATGGTAGTCTCATGATTATTTTTGTTTCTGTGGCATCAGGTATAATGTCTCATCTTGCACTTTGAATTTTATTGAGTCTTCTTTTCTTAATCTAACTAAAAGTTTGTCAAACTTGTCTTTTCAAAAAACCAACTCTCAGTTTCACTGATTTCTTTCTATTTTTTTCAATTTTCTGTTCCATTTATTTCTGCTCTAAATTTTATTTCCTTCTATCTGATAATTTTTGGCTGTTCATTCTTTTTTTCTAGTTCCTTGAGGTGTAACATTAGCTTATTTGAAATTTTTCTTTTTAAATTTAGTTATTGTTATAAAATTCCCTCAGTACTGCTTTTGCTATATCCCACGTTTTAATATATTGTGCTTTCATCCGAAGATATTTTCTAATTTCCCTTTTGATTTCTTCTTTGACTCACTGGTTATTCAAGAGTATGTTAAATTTCCACATATTTGTGAATTTTCCAGTATTCCTTCTGCTACTGATTTCTAGTTTTGTTCCATTATGGTCAGAAAAGATACTTGGTATGTTTTCAGTCTTCCATTTGTTAAGACTTGTTTTGTGACATAATGTGATCTATTATGGAGAATGTCCTATCTGTGCATGAGAGAAATATATATTCTGCCACTGTCAGGTAGAATGTTTTGTATACATGTTAGGTCCATGTTGTCTATAGCGCTGTTCAAGTCTGCTGTTTGCTTACCTGTTTTCTGTCTGAATGTTCTATCCATTGTTAAAAGTGGGTTATACTGAATTATCCCACAATTATTGTATTACTATTTTTCCCTTCAGTTCTGTCAATGTCTGTTTTATATATTTAGATGCTGATGTTGGGTGCATACATATTTATAACTGTATATCTTCCTGGTGAATTGACCCTTTTATTATTATTTTTGTTCTTCTTTGTCTCTCATGACTGTTTTTGATTTAAAGTCTATCTTGTCTGACATAAATATAGCCACCCTCCTCTCTTTTGGTTACCATTTGTATGGAATATCTTTTTCCATCTCTCCATTTTTAGTGTATGTATCCTTAAATCTAAAGAGGATCGGCCGGGCGCGGTGGCTCACGCCTGTAATCCCAGCACTTTGGGAGTCCGAGACGGGCGGATCACGAGGTCAGGAGATCGAGACCATCCTGGCTAACACGGTGAAACCCCGTCTCTACTAAAAATACAAAAATTAGCCGGGCACGGTGGCGCGCGCCTGTAGTCCCAGCTACACGGGAGGCTGAGGCAGGAGAATGGCATGAACCCGGGAGGCGGAGCTTGCAGTGAGTTGAGATCGCGCCACTGCACTCCAGCCTGGGCGACAGAGCAAAACTCCGTCTCAAAAAAAAAAAAAAAAAAAATCTAAAGAGGGTCACTTGTAGACATCACATCATTAGGTCTTGTTCTTTTATCCATTCAGTCACTCTGTGTTTTGATTGGGAAGTTTAACTTATTTAAAGTAATTATTGATAGGTAAGGACTTAACTATTGTCATTTCACTAATTGTTTCTGTCTTGTAATTCTTTTGTCCCTTTTTCCTTTAGTGCTGCCTTTGTGTTCCACTGCTTTTTGTATATATCGATAATGCTTTTCTTTTTCTTCTTTTGTGATTCTTCCATAGGAATTTTGTTTGTGTTGACCATCGGGCTTACGTAAAATCTTCTATAGTTGTTAACAGTCTAAGCTGATAACTTAATTTCAATTGCATACAAAAACTACACTTATACTTCTCCCCCTCCTGCACTTTATTCATGTCACAATTTATATATTTTATGTTGTATTATTAACATCTTCAGTTAGTTTTTAACGTTTTTATCTTTTAACTCGTATACCAGAACTAAAAGTGATTTAATTCTGGTATACTACTATAACAGTATTACTGTATTCTGTACAGTATTACAATTACTATTACATTACTATTGTAATAGTATACTATAAATAATTAGTGAGCTTGAGGACAGGTCATTTTTAAAGACTCCAAAAGCAATTGCAACAAAAACAAAAATTGACAAATGGGACCTAATTAAACTGAAGAGCTTAATAGTAAACTACTATTACAATATTACTGTATTCTGTATTTATCTATATATTTATCTTTACCAATGAGTCTTATACTTTCATGTTACTGTTTAGCATCCTTGAGTTTCAACTTAAATAATTCCTTTCAGCATTACTTGTTAGGCAGGTCTAGTCATGGTAAATTCCCTCTGCTTTTGTTTGTCTGGGAAACTCCTTGTCTCTCCATTTTTGAAAGACAGTTTTCCTGGGTGTACTGTTGTTGGTTGATAATTTTTCTTTCAGCACTTTGAATATATCATCCCATTCTCTCTGATCTGTAAGGTTTCTGCTGAGAAATCCACTCATAGTTTTATGGGGGCTCCCCTGTACATGTCAAGTCACTTTTTACTTGCTGCTTTCAAAACTGTCTTTGTATATGACTTTTGACAACTCATTTATACTGTTTCTCAGTGTGGATTTCTTGGCTTCCTTCTACTTGGGTCCCTTGGGCTTCCTGGATCTAAATGTCCATTTCATTCCCCAGATTTGGGATGATTTTAGCCACTATTTCTTCAAATACACTTTCTAGTCCTTTCTCTCTTCTTCTCTGGGACTCCCATAATGCAAATGTTGGTCTGCTTGATAGTGGCTCACAAGTCTCTTAGGATTTCTTCAATCTTTTCATTCTTTTTTCTTCACTAATGGCATAATGCTAAATGACCTTTATTTTTCTTCCAATTTTTATTTTAGATATAGGGGGTACAGATGCACATTTGTTACATGGGAAAACTGTGTGTCACTGGGGCTTGGTGTACAAATGGATTTTGTCACCCAGATAGTGAGCATAGTATCCAATGGGTAGCTTTTCAATCTTCACCCTCTTCCCACCCTCCAACCTCAAGTAAGCCCCAGTGTCTACTGTTCCCTTCTTTGTGTCCATGTGTACTCAATGTTTAGTTCCCACTTATGAGAACATATGGTATTTGGTTTTCTGTTCCTGCATTAATTTGCTTAGGATAACGGTCTCTAGCTGCATCCATGCTGATGCAAAAGATATGATTTCATTCTTTTTTATTTCTGTGTAGTATTCCATGGTGTACGTGTACTACACTTTCTTTATCCAGTCTACCACTGATGGGCATTTAGGTTGATTCCACGTCTCTGCTATTGTGAAAATAGCTGCAACAAACATATGTGTTCATGTGTCTTTATAGAATGATTCCTTTGGAAATATATCCAGTAATAGGATTGTTGGGTCAAATGATAGTTCTAGGTTCTTTGAGAAATCTGCAAACTTCTTTCCACATTGGCCAAACTAATTTACATTCCCATTCCTCCTGTGTACCAGCAGTGTATAAGCTTTCCCTTTTCTCTACAATCTCACAAACACATTATTTTTTGACTTTTTAATAATAGCCACCTTGACTGGTATGCAATGCTATCTCATTGTGGTTTTGATTTGCATTTCTCTAATGAGAAGAAGACATACTTCTTTAGTCTTCTTTATATTCATGTCCTCTGCCCATTTTTTAATAGGATCGTTTTTTTGCTTGCTGATTTAAATTTCTTATAGATTCTGGATATTAGATCTTTGTTGGATGCATAGTTTGCAAATATTTTCTCCCATTCTGTAGGTTGTCTGTTTACTGTGTTGATAGTTTATTTTGCTGTGCAGAAGCTCTTCAGTTTAATTAGGTCCCATTTGTCAATTTTTGTTTTTCTTGCAATTGCTTTTGGAGTCTTTAAAAATGACCTGTCCTCAAGCTCACTAATTCTTTATTCTTCTTGAGCTAGTGTGCTGTTATATTGCTCTACTGAATTTTTCTTTTATTCTTTTTTATTTTTTTTAGAGCAGTCTTGCTCTGTCATCCAGGCTGGAGTGCAGTAGCATAATCATAGCTCACTGTAACATCAAACTCCTTGGCTCAAGTGATCCTCCCACCTCAGCCTCCTAAAGCATTGGGATTATAGGCATGAGCCACTGTGCCTGGCCTCAGTTCAGTGATAGTATTCTTCAGCTCCAAAAATTCCTATTTTGTTCTTTTTAAAACTTCCTTTTTGTTGAAATTCTTATTTGGTTCATGTATTGTTCTCAACTTGTTGAGCATCTTTTTAATGATTATTTTGAATTAGTTGTCAGACAATTTGTATATCTCCATTTCATTGGGGTCAGTTTCTGGGGATTTATCTTGTTCCTTTGTTTCGACCATGTTTCCCTGCTTCTTAATTTTCCTTGACAATTTTACTTGTATCAGCATCTACGCATTAGAAAATAACAGCCACTTCTCCCAGTCTGGCATTGTACAGAAGACCCTTATGAATAAGCCTACCCAGGGATCTCTCAAATCTTTGTGCTAGTCCAAACCACCGTCTTTGTTGTTATCAGCCTCCAGGCATTTACAATATGTCAGATCTTGTCAACATTGTAAGACAGGTGTGACAGAAGGTAGTCCCAAGAACATCCCTTGAAAAGTTGGAACATTGGACACAAAGTCCAACTCTTTCTCTCCCGAGGGAGAAGCTGGAATCTTTTTTTTTCCCCCACTCACTCTGCACTGAGCTAGGTGGAGAGCCTATGGCAAATGTTTGTGTCCTAGACCAAATTGTCATCTTTGTTCTCAGCAGTCACCAATCACCTTGGGTATGTTGGGTCCTATCAGCACTCTGAGACAGGCAAGACCGAAATCAGTTCCCTCAGGCATCCCTCAGAGAATTCAGAACACTGGATGTATTGTCAAGTCCCTTATCTTGCTCTTCCCCTCAGGGAGAAGCTGAAAACTGTGGTATGGGTTTCCTCTCAACTGTATGATGCTGTGCTAGGAGTAGGAATTATGGTGAGGATGTCTCAAATTTTCCTACTGGCTTTGATGTGGCTGGCCCCATGCTTGCCAGGATGCAGGCGCCTGTCGACTATTTTCTGAATTTTTCACAAAGGGAACTGGTCCATATATTGCTGTTGAATTGGTGTGTCCATAAGGAGTAGGCAGATCCATGGCTTCCTGTTTCAACATCTTGCTGACACCATTCTCACATTTTGTTTTGTTTTGATATCTCTTTTTAATGTTAGAGGCTTTCCTCAGAAGTCTGGTGATCCTTGGCTCTCTGTTCATATTTAGAAGTGGGTCCTAAAAGGCTAAGTGGTATCCCTATGGCCTAGGTGGGGCTTGTCACATAGTTGGCTTCACTGTAGGGTCTTCCACCTGGTCAGTTTCATTGAGGACTCCTGGGGTCAGTATCTTTAGATATTTTCTTCTGGGGTACTCAGTTCCTGAGAAAATAATCTTCCATTTTCTCAGCAGAAGGTTCAAGTCTGGGAAGCTGACAAGAAAAATGGGCTGCTGGGGTGGGGTGGAAATAAGCATTGGGTGAGCAGATCCCATAATTTAGGATGTACACTTTTACTTAATTCCCTCTTCCAAATTCAGTACATTATCTGCAGCAGTCTGCTTTGGCTGTTTAATAAACAACCACAAAATCTCAGTGGCACAAAGTGAGAAGCATTTATTTTTTGTTTCCATGTCTATTAGTTGGCTCAGGTAACTCAGATTACAGATCTGCAGATCAGCTGGGGCAGCTCTCTGAAGTGAGCTGGTTGCCTAGACTGCTCCACTCTGTAACTCTCATTCTGGGGTTCCACGAGAGAGGCAGAAGCTAATTAGGGTCCATTCTCATGATAATGCCAAAAGTGCAAGAAGACAAGCTCAACCATTTAAGCAATTTGAAAGCTTTTCTTAAATTGTGTTTGTTGCAGAAAGCAAGTGACATGGCCAATCCCAAAGCCAGAGAGTGGAAAAGAATACTCCACCCATTACGAGGGTATGAATATAATACTACAGAGAAACGAATAATTGGGACTGACATTTCAAAATACCACAGTATCCCTGCTATTAAAAGGACCTAGTATTCTCCAGTCTAGAGTCCCTGTTTCAAAATATTCTAAAGAATACATCTCCAGGCTCCCTTTGAGCAGGAAAGGAGCAGTTAACCACATCTTTCATGTTTTTGACATCTATTTACAAGCATTTGGCACAACCAAATTATGAGCTTTTCTGTGACACTATAGTGCAAATTGGCTTGTTTCTGGGGTATTCACATTGTTGGTTTAGGACTCCGCTTTCTTAGGTCTGCTGTATCAGATCACCTGATTAACCTTCCAAACTTTGTACTTTCTTTTTTTCAATTATCTTTGTCCTTATGAGCGTATTACTTTAAAGAAAAAGCTGTTTTCTGCCATTGCAAGATTGTAGAGTAAGGCATGTATTTGATCTGCCATCATTAACCAAAGGTTATATTTATATGTATAATAAATGTAAATAACTCTTAATTTGTGGAGAAAATTCAAGCAGGGACTTGGCCTAGCTAACATTTAAGTTATTTGCTGAAAAGTAAGATAAGTACAGGAAAAAAAAGATAACACATGGTTCAAGAGAACAAGTATACATTCATTAGGTGCAAAATTGATTAATAATTGGATGTGTATTACATATAAATGCTAAATGACATTTCTTCATCCTTCCTTGATCTGAGGGCTTTTGCTCTATTAGTCCTATGTGACTGGGAATGAAACACAACGGGTAATGGTCAGGGAAGTGAGGTGTTGGTGAGGAAGAGGAGTATGCCTTCTCGAAAGGGACGTTTATTCATTGGAGGATTTGTGGACAAAAGAATAATTTCTATAGTAGAGCAATTTAAGGTTGGAATTACTTTCTCACCTAAATAATCTGATTTTCTGAACAGTTCAGGTGATGGAAAGCTCTCTTCAAAACTCTTGTATTCTGCATAAGAGTCTGTGACTGAATAGCTCAGAAGAGAACTGGCCATACCATGGTGCAAACTTAATCCTGTAGAATAAAGGAAAAAAAAATTGATAAATCTTTTGATACAAAACAATGTGAAATCCTAAAAATTGAAATGTATGGAAATGTACATGCTTAGTTATATATTATTACTAGAACATAAGACTGCTTCTACATACAACTAAAAAGGCATAATATTTTAAACTATTTTAATTTGATCTTGGACAATCATTCTATTTTTGATGGTGATAAATTTGTTATAATCCCCTTTTGTTGTTTTTCAAAGTTTTACAACTTACTCCTTTTCTCTAGTTTGGTTCAGTTGTGATTCTTGGCTCAAAAATTTAATTTTTTAATTTTTTTTTTTGAGACCGAGTCTCACTCTATAGCCCAGGGTGGAGTGCAGTAGCACGATTTTGGCTCACTACAACCTCCGCCTCCCGGGTCCCAGTTCAAGCAATTCTCCTGCCTCAGCCTCCCGAGTAGCTGGGATTACAGGAATGTGCCACCATCCTGGCTAATTATTTTTTTTTTATTTTTTTTTTTAGTAGAGACGGGGTTTTACCATGTTGGCCAGGCTGGTCTTGAACTCCTGACCTCATGATCCACCTGCCTCGGCCTCCCAAAGTACTAGGATTATAGGCGTGAGCCACCGTGCCCAGCCAAAATTTAAGTTTTATATATAAGTAACCCATTAATTGTAAGCTAACTAGCTGAGGAAAGGGTGATTCTAGTTATTTCATCTAAAAAACAATGAGCCTACACATACACAAATATATTAAAGGAATTTAATAAGAGAGCATGGAAATAGACTCACACATAGATAAGCAACTGATTTTTGACCAATATGTAAAGGCAATTCAGTGGAGAAAGGATAGTCTTTTAAACAAAATGTGCTGGAACAACTAGGTATCCATATAAAAAAACAAAATAAAAAAACTTGCACTCATACCTTCCATCATGTAAAGAAATTAACTCTAAATGCATCATATATCTAAATGTAACTCCTAAAACTCTAAAACTTCTTTTAAAAAATGGAGAAAACTGTAACACCGAGTTATGCAAAGAATTTTTTTATATAACACTAAAAAAGATTCATAAAACAATAGCACTGATAATTTGGACTTCAGCAAAATTTAAAACGTCCCTTCAAAAGAGACTATTAAAAGACAAGCTATAGGCTGGGTGCAGTGGCTCATGCCTGTAATCCCAGCACTTTGGGAGACCGAGGCAGGCAGATCACGAGGTCAAGAGATAGAGACCATCCTGGCCAACATGGTGAAACCCCATCTCTACTAAAAGTACAAAAATTAGCTGGGCGTGGCAACATGCACCTGTAGTCTCAGCTACCTGGGAACCTGAGGCAGGGGAATCTCTTGAACCCAGGAGGTGGAGGTTGCAGTGAATCAAGATCAAGATCGGCCACTGAACTCCAGCCTGGTGACAGAGTGAGACTCCATCCAAAAAAAAAGAAAAAAGAAAAAAAAAAAGACAAGCTACAGATAGGGAGAAAACATTTGCAAATGGACTGAAATCCAGAATGTAAAGAACTGGCTCGGCACAGTGGCTCATGCCTGTAATAACAGCACTTTGGGATGCCAAGGTGAGAGGATCATCTGAGCCCAGGAGTTTGAGACCAGCCTGAGCAACATAGTGGAACCCCGTCTCTACAAAAAAAAAAAAAAAAAAAAAAGAAAGAAAGAAAAACCAGAATATGAAGAACTATGAAAACTCAATAATAAGAAAACAAATCCTCAATAAGAAAATGGACAAATATTTGAACAGAGAATCTTCCCAGACTCAGCAGTCTTAAAGTCATTCCTATGGGAGTGGACTAGAATGAAGAACTGTCCAATAAATGATGGTGACAGAACATAGTACTAAAAGTTGAGGAGAACCAGAGATTTGGTAAGAAAAGGGAAAATGTGCTCTGCTATATTTAGTCTACATTTATTAAACATTTCCAATATGACAAGATAGAGATCAACACTGATAGAAACTGGTTGCGGGGGTCGGGGGTGGTGAGTAAGAGATCAAAGGGGAGCATTGTTCTGAAAACCTATTATCTCCTGCCCTGGAACTAACTTACACCTATCTCTGCTCATCCATTACCTACTTGAGACAACTAACTCTTTGTCCTTCCTCCTAAGACCTCATCACAACTTTTTCTCCTATGCCAACTCCCTTGTTAAAAATGAGAATTGTTTTCTACCTGGCCATCTTCTCCAGCTGCCACTGGAACACTTAAATTGACTGACTCAATCTACCATCCTTCTCCATATCCTCAACTGTCAGAGTAGTAGGCTTTCCCTCTGAGCATCTTTTGCTTTCTCTTCTCCAACTGCCCTAGAGTGTCCTGTCCCTGTCCTTGCTAACTTTTATCCTTCTCACACTGTCTTCATCCTTCCCATCCACATATTGTATCTGTCTTGCCTTCCATTTCTCAAAATTTCATGAATACCCCTCATAGCTGAGCTATCCTTAACACCAAGCCCCAGAACTCAAGCCAGGCTCAGAAATAAGGAAAGCCCACCATCTGGGTAGTTGAGTAGAAAAAATAATAAATGTTAATGCTGTATCAGTGGGAGGCTGTCCTGGTGTCACAAGTTAGAAATGTAAATGCAATTAAAAAACATATTTTTATCAAATTGTTCATTGTTAAAATGACAAATAGTTCTACAAGGCTTATAGCAAAAACTGCAATCTCTTGTATCATATCTCCCCATCATAATTTTCTACTCGCTAGAGACAACTACTTTCAACTCTATTAATGATTTCTTTTGATAGGCACCTCCTTTACATTTCTAAATTAAATAAATTCAATGTTTCTATTATTATGACTATTCAAATATACTCGTAGCCAAGCCCTATACTGTGGGCCACATTCATCACCTTTTTGCTACAATTTCTTTTCCTTTGAGCTATTTATTACCTAATTTTAAAATTTGTTTTCTAAGTACTTATTAAGTATTAATACTAAGTACTATTTTGTTCCAACTTTTTTTTCTTTCTTTTTGAGACGGAGTCTCACTCTGTCACCCAGGCTGGAGTGTAGTGGCAGGATCTTGGGTCACTGCAACCTCCGCCTCCCAAGCTCAACCAATCCTCCCACCTCAGCCTCCTGAGTAGCTGGGATTACAGGTGCGTGCTGCTACGCCTGGCTACTTTTTCGTACTTTTAGTAGAGATGGTCTCGAACTCCTGACCTCAAGTAATCCTCCCACCTTGGCCTCCCATAGTACTGGTATTACAGGCATGAACCACAGCGCCCGGCCTTGTTCCAACTTTTCCCAAGAGTATAAATTTCCTCTCAATACTTTTAAAAACACCAGGTTATCTATTTTTTATTTTCCTCCCTCTCTCCCTCTTCTTCTGTCTTTTCTTCTTTTTTAAAAAAGTATAGCTATTGGAGATCTCAATCCATTTGCTCAAATTTGGACTGTTTGTCCTCTATGCATCCTACACAGTTGTTTTCTTGGTATTTCCCTTTACCATTATCCTAAGAAATTCACATATTTCCTGTATTAGATAAGAGACTCTGATTCCTAGATCCCATGATTTCTTCCTTATTGATTTATTTCCTGGTTCACGAACATCTGCTTCATTTCTGAGAAAAGGTACAAAGAATATGTGTCTAAAAATTCCTTTATCCTAACAACTGAGTGACAGTTTGGCTGGGTAAGAATTCTAGGTTAGTATATTTAAGAGACTGATTTAATTTTTTGATGTGTGACAGCTTTTAAACCTCACTGTTCCCTCTTCCCCTTCCCACCTCACCTCTGGGTGACAAGAGAGCCTTGGTGTTCCATCTTTTGGCAATGGTAGCAAGTTTAAACCATGCACAGGAAACCTCAACCTGGTCCAATCCTCTTAACATCATGAAAACTACAGGCCAGGTCTCCTTCCCCTGCATTCTCAAGTCATTTTCAGTCCTGCTTGGAGTCACCTTTCCCCCGAGAAAGGCTCGTTATATGAGTAATATACCTTTCCATACCTTCTTGGTGTGTGGATGGCATAATCAGTGTTGACATCCAGGACAACTTTTGAGTGGGAGTCCATTTTGACTCTGCAAAATCAGTGTTCTTCAGAATTCTGAATACGTTTTTCTCTCCACCATGTTCTACCTTCTGGAGTTGTTCTTCAGAAGTCCAATGCCATTGATATTCTTGATCGCTTATTGCAACTGATTATTTTTTCTCTGGAAAACTAATAAATTTCTCTATCCTGAGAATTTAAAAATTATATAATGTTGTAACTTGGTGTGGTTTTTTTTTCATTTATTGGGGTGAGCACAGTTTGCACCGTCCAAACTTGGCTCTCAGTATCTCTGTTCATACTATTCAGAATCTGAATGGCTCTTTCAGTAAATACACTCATGACCATTTTTAATTCTAGGAAAATTTCTAGCTTTGCGTGTTTAATAATTTTCCTTCTGTTTACTCTATAATGTCTGAACTACTGTTTTTGAGATGTTAGAATCATTGGACTCATCTTCTAATTATTTTTCTTGTTAAAATAACAACTTTATTGAGATATAATTCACATGCCATAGAACTCGCCCCTCACCCCCTTTTTTTTTTTTTTTTTTTGAGATGGAGTCTCGCTCTCTCACCTAGGCTAGAGTGCTATGGTATGATCTCAGCTCACTACAACCTCCACCTCCCAGGTTCAAGCAATTCTCCTGCCTCAAAAATTCCGAGTAGCTGAGATTAGAGGTGCACACCGCCATGCCCGGCTAATTTTTTGTATTTTAGTAGAGACAGGGTTTCACCGTGTTGCCCAGGCTGGTCTCGATCTCCTAGGCTCAGGCAATCCACCCGCCTCGGCCTCCCAAAGTGCTAGGATTACAGGGGTGAGCCACCGTGCCTGGCCAAAACTCACCCTTTTAAAGTGTACAATCAGTGGTTTTTTTGTAGACTTATGGAGTTGTGTCACCACTGATGCTATTTCTATCCTTTATCTTCTCTTTCATGTTTGTTCAACTTTTTGGAATATTTCCTTAAATTTATCATCCAATTCTACAGAATGTTTTCTGATTTCATATTTTTATTTTTTAACAAATTTTTTTGTTCTGAACACTTTTTACAAGAGCCTGCACTTGTTTCATGGACATAACATTTTTCCATCATCCTGAGGATATTAATGAAACTGTGGCTTTTTAAAAGATTTTTCTTGTATTGTCATTGTCCTTCAAGTTTCTTTTATTTAGTAGCTGTTATTTTAAATGTTTACTTAAAATGTCTGCTAATTCTTGAATGTTCGAGAATGAAGTACCAAAATGGCATAATAACTTGGGCTTAGGAAGAAGTGGATTTTACTGAAGAGTATTTAGACAGGGACCAGGCCATATTACCAGAACGCACAAATTCCAGTCTTCTCCTGGGGACAGAAACTTCCAAAAGAGGAATCCTCTAATCTTCTAGTTGGAGTGTATTTGCCTGAGTGCATAAGGGGTCTGGGGATTTCACATCAAAATATACAGACTTTCACTTAATTCCCTTTCCTCCCCGGCCACTGCTAGTTTTCAGTACAGTATCCTTGAATCCAGTCCCTCTGCTTCAATGTCTTAGACTACCAGGGTGGGAAGAAGCATAGTTGCCTGGCCACAGTGTGTTAGGGAAAGGATCAAAGCATCTAACTGTTACTTTTGAAGATTCCAAAAAATCTTATTTTAAAGATTTCCTCCAGGAATATGTAATGCCTCTAATTCCTGAACCTTTAGCCTGAATCAGTTTGTTTCTTGGTTTGTCTCTACTCTAGACACCTAGTTTTCAGCTTTTTTTTTTTTTAAGATCTGTTAGGTCAATTATAATTCATTAATCTACCTTCCACATTCCAAACTTTCATTAATTATCTGTTGTTAGCTGAGGTCTCTTCTTTTTGAACCTACAGCTTTACAACATTTTTATGCCTTTATTGATATTTTAGTAGGGTTTCAGAAAAGAGAAGTAAATGTGTATTCAATCTTCCACATTAAATATAAAATCCTTAATTAATTTTTCAACGTGTTATAAAGTTACTAGATTCCAAGGTAGAATTAAAACAATAAATCATATGTTAACTAAAATTCTGTGGGCTGCTCAAAACTTAGCCCATCACAGTATTTTATTATGGGAAAAAGTATTTCAGGTTTCAAATATCAATCAGCAAATGAACTCTCAGAATACAAGCAGTTTGTAAGTTAGAGACAACTAATTTTCTATTTCCTTATACCTTTCACGTGTCAACTTGATAAACCTAGTAATCAAGGACATTTCTCATATATTTAAACTATGATTTTAGAAAATGCTGATTATGATTAAATGGTATTTTCTCTAAATAGAGTACAAGACCCATCCAAAAGCATTTGAGACATTCGACAATTATTTGAACCTGTATTATCTTTGAAACTGTATTCCAAGCATGAGATAGGAAGATAAAAGATAGTGCTAATTCTCAATGGTTTTAGAGCCATTTTCCTCTTTTTGAAGAGTTAAAGACAGACGAAAACAATTACACTGTGGTTTTAAGTCTTTTGACAGAAGTATATAGAGTGCCACAGAACTACCAGGGTAGAACAAGTCACCTAGAAAAAGAGAAGTCAGAAGAGGCTTCCCAGGAGAAATAGCTGCTGAATTTATTTTTGAAAAAGTTAATAAGGCAAAGAAGGGAGAGGAAGAAGGAGAGAAAAGCATTTCCTGAGCACCTCCCATGTTCTTTTGCACTGCATTCTAGGAAATATTCCTCTAGTCTATTTTCTAGCTCACTAATTTTAGTTGAATTAATTCCAATATTAGACTCCTCGGTTAAGTTTTAATTTGAAATAATATTTTTAGTTCCCAGGGACTATATTTTTTTTCATAGCAGCCTGCTATATTATGGATTCAGCGGCCTCTGGTATCTACAGATATTTAGTTTTGTGCCATTTCCTCAAATGTTAGTTCTGTTTGTTTCATTTGTTGCCTCTTTTCCATGGAACTGGTTTTCTTCAAAAGTTTGGATATTCCTGGTTGCTTTATTTGTGTCTCTGAGAATCTGTTTATATGGCAGTAAGTAAAAATTCTGAAATAGTGGCTTGCTTCTGGAGATTTTGGAAGAGTGATGAGACATTCTGGGAACCTGTATTCTAGGTGGGGATGTCCTGTATTTTTTAGGTACTGTAGGTGACATGGGGGCACTGCCCTAACTGTCCGGCCAGTGTCCACACTGGAAGTCTGCTGTATCAGAAGTCTCACGGTTCAGAGAGCCATACTAACTTTATTATGGAGTTAACAAACATAAGAATTGACTACATCTTTTACTTTTTTCTTCCTCTGCTATCCTTGTAGCAATATGGAGTTACTTCAGACTCTCCTCTGTTTATCAACTCAGCCCCAACATTGACCCTTAAGAGCCAGCCCCCCCGATAGTTCACTTTGCTTGTGAGTAATTATCAGGGTTTTCTCCTGGCAGCAGGCACTGGTAGCTGCCAGAGTTTCCAATATATTAGGGGATTATGAAAAAGGGACCAGATATTTCAAATGTAGTTCTTAATCCATCGCCTTGACAATTCCTTCAAGATCTCTTCCTTTTTTTTTTTTTTTTTTTTTTTTTTTTTTTTTGTGACGAAGTCTCGCTGTTGTCCCCCAGGCTGGAGTGTAATGACACAATCTTGGCTCACTGCAACCTCCGCCTCCCGGGTTCAAGCGATTCTCTTGTCTCAGCCTCCCGAGTAGCTGGGATTACAGGCGCCTGCCACCACGCCTGGCTAAATTTTGTATTTTTAGTAGAGACGGGGTTTCACCATGTTGGCCAGGCTGGTCTCGAACTCCTGACCTCAAGTCATCCGCCTGCTTTGGCCTCTCAAAGTGCTGGGATTATAGGCGTGAGCCACCGTGCCTGGCCCAAGATCTCTTCTATTACAGTCTTTTGCTTTACTGATCAAGGGTTTAGAGTATTTCCAGGCTACTTTTACCTCTGCAGTGGTTTTTTTTCCTGCTGTTGATATGTTCATCAATCTTGTCTCATTTGCTTTTAAGAATTCCTCTGTATTTCTGATGTGCTGGTGGCATCCTTGTTTTCAAAATAACTTTGATTATACCAATATGTAGATGGCTCACAAATTTCTATCTCCAGCCTTTCATATCCAACTATCTGGTTGATATTGCTACTTAGTCATCTTAAATGCACTCATAACTTAATATACTAAAAACTGAATTTCTAGTCTTTTCTTCAAACCAGTTTTTCTTTCAGTGAATGACACTACCTTGTATCCAGTTACACAAGCCAGAAACAGTAGTCATCTTTGACACCTCCATCTCCTTCACTCTTCATTTGCCAAATCCTGTCTCATTACCTAAAATAGCCATCACATCACATCAGCACCCTTTTTTCCATCTCCAATGTCACCACCCTAGTAGAAGGCGCCATTATTTCTCCCCTAAACTACTTGAACAGCCTCTTAACTGCACTCCTGATTCTTTCCAGTCCTTCTTCCACACTGCAGCTAAAGTGATCATATCATTCTCTATTAAAATGACTTCAATGACTTTTTGCTGCTCCAAATATAAACATCAATATTTTTTATATGGACTACAAGGCTATGCAGGGCCTCAAACTGGTTGTCTAATCCTGTCTTACACTCACATATCCTCCTACTCTCTGTACTGCAGTCATACTGGCCTTCTTCAGTTACTCAATACATAATGCTCAGTCCCATGTTAGAGCTTCCCTCTGCCTGAATTTCTCTTTACTCATCTCTGCATAGTTAATTTCTACTCTCCTTCAGATCTTAATTCAATTACCATTCCCTCATGGAAGTCTTCCCTAATTTCTCTAGGTAAACTCAATCACACTCAAGTCAATCTCTTTTACAGTACTTATCACAAGTAATTTCACATTTACTGGCATGTGCTTAAAGGCTTTAAGGATGAGATCTATAGCACAGTCAGAAGGATTCACTTTGGAGTAGGGAAAAGATACCTCTTCCACTGAGATAGGAAGATGGGGAGAGATACAGATGGATGCTTATGTTTGGAGGAAAAACAGAAAGCTGAGGGAGTTCACATTTGACAGTCTTACCTGATACTAGTTCACTATTTGATGAACTACTATCAACCTGGAGGTCATCAGTAACTGATTCCTAAGTGAAATAAGAATTAAAGCTATAGCAAAATTATGAGATTGACCATTTCTATATTATAATCTTGTACAGATTTATTTTAGAAAAATGAAAACATCAACTTTTTATATGTTTCATATATATAATACATTCATTCAGTTTATTGTTCAGATGTAATCTGATATTTAATATTAAACCTAAAAATAAATATTAAAATATAATACTATGAACATATCTTGTAATCAACAATATGCTAGTCAAGTAACTACTGTGGGATGACAGCAAATAGAAGATAGAGGTGAATATTTTTCTGGTTCCCTAGTGGGGAGGGGCTTTTTTTCCATCTATAGAGGCAAATATATAAATCAAAAGAAAAGACTAGTAAGTCTAAAATACTAGAAATAAAATTAAAGGCAAGTAAACAAATATGGAAATATTGGTTATATATGTATGTACAAAAGTATAGCTATCTTTAATATTTAATAGACATTTCACAAAACAGTACAAATGGCCAATAATTTGAGAAAAAAAATATCGACTTCCCCAGCATTCAAAGAAATGAAAAGTAAAAAACATGCTACTTTTCATCTATCTATCTATCTATTTCATATATATACACACACATATATATAAAAGTTTCAGGTAAGATGGTGCTGATTTATCAACATGAATAAAAAAACTTGAAACATGATCCAACCTGTGATCCACTGCAAAGTATTTATCTTAGGGTAACAATGTGAGGTACACAAAAACCTTCTGTAACAGAATGTCTATGGATATCAATAACAGCAAAACCTTGGAAACAATCTCAATTTCCCAACCACAGGGAAATAGTAATACAAATTACAGTGTATCTATCTACAAGACAAAGCACTATGAAGACACTGAAAGTCATATTTTTGAAGACTATTTAATGTATGGGAATATACAATAAGACAACTGGTCATTTTTTTTAAAGCACAGGAGAAAAGGAACAGAAATATATAAAAATTTTAAGAAACTTTCAAAACACTATTTTTTCATAGTATAAATACTCTACAAGGACTACTTTACACTGTTAAACTATGGATAAAAGCCTTTTAAAAAAATGTCTTGTGTTGAAACTGCCTTCCCCCAAAAACATGTTATAAAGGAATATTAAGTTAAAAAAAAATAGAACTTGGCCAGGTGTGATGGCTCAAGCCTGTAATCTCAGCACTATGGGAGGCCGTGGCGAGCAGATCACTTGAGGTCAGGAGTTCGAGACCAGCCTGGCCAACCTGGAGAAACCCCCTCTATACAAAAATTAGCTGGGTGGTGGTATACACCTGTAATCACATCTACTCAGGAGGTTGGGGCAGGAGAATCGCTTGAACCCGAGAGGCAGAAGCTGCAGTCAGTGAGCCAGGACTGTGCCACTGCACTCCAGCCTGGGTGACAGAGCAAGACTCTGTCTCCAAAAAAAAAAAAAAAAGGAACTTGACTATGAAGTTTAATGTTAATGTCAGATGAGTCACAAGCAATTTTTAAAATCTGAGCTTCCCTAAATTAGTGCTGTACAACTTTAAAATATAGTACAGAATTCATATTAAATACAGCACATCAAGAAGTTATAAAATATTCTAATGAATAAACATTAGAATGCTCTGTAACATATTAAACCCTTAGTAATGAATGTTTCCAGTTGTTAATGGAAAATCAAATGGAAAACATGAAAAAAGGAGTTATTAAGTAACATTTTGTATTTGTCATACAGAAAATTCACCAATTATGGACGTTTCTCCAAAAACGTGTCAAGAGAAAGAGAAAAACAAAAATGCATGACTATGAATCTACCCAAGTCAGAAATTCAAGGCCCTGTCTAAAGACACGTAAGTGTTTATAAAAATACTGGTGAGCTATGTAACATCTACAGAACAAAGCCCATTTTATTCTTTCATCCGGAGGTACATCAGGTACTGATAGTCTCTACACTAAGTGTGTCCAAGGACTAAAAGAGAAGCATACATACACGCAACGATGCAATCTTCTCATCCTGGGTGTCTTCACTAGACCTATTTTCTTGCAGGCTTTTCTCTCCTGTAACTCCTAAGCGAGGGCTAACAAAGAGACAACGCAATTAGTTTGCACCATCTGGATTTGGCTCTCCACGTCTCTGTTCAGACTCTTTAGAATCTGAAAGGCTCTTTAGGGACATCTTTAGGAAGAAGTAAGGACCAGAGTGGTGACTTGCACCAAAACCCAAATGCAGTGACACAATCGTATAGCTCACCGACCAATTTATCTCACTTCCTTTTACGTAAATTGGCAAGCCTTCCCCTTTTTAAAAATAAATCTTCCTGAAGTCAAATTTTGGGGTCCATGTTCTGAGAAGAGCAAAATCAGAGTACTGTATTTGTTTTGCTCCTTGACTGTTAGAATAAAAGGCTACTAGCAGAAAATTCGGCTTGAAGTTTTCTGAGGTGGCAAGCTAGGATCGGGCTGTTACTGGAGGCTACATACCTGAACGGCCCAGAGCCGCTACCTCCCTGCCTGCTCCGCTCTGCTTTCTCTGCAATCTTCGACAAGCCGTGCACTTTGCCTTTTCTCTTCGAACCTGAGAGAGGGCGGCACGTTTCAGGGCAAGAAACCTACCCACCGGCTTCGGGGGGGTCCTGGGCCCGAGGCCTAGCACCCCCGCCCGCCCTCGGTCCCGTCCCGGAGGCAGCTCGGCTGAGCTTACGGTGGGCGAGCCTTGAGCCTGTACCTGGCGGGGCCTCGGCCTTCGCTGGAGAGCCTAGGTCTGGCGTCGGGGTGAGATTGAGCCTCTGACCCTCCCGCTTTTTGCGGGTATAGACCCGTAGCGGCCACATTGCTATCCCACCCTACCCCCAGGCCACGGGTGCCTCTGGACTCTCGATGGCCTGCCTTCCTGAGGATCAGGGCTAAGTCACAGGGAGTCAGCGTCCAGGCGAGGCCCGCGGAGCAGCCTCACAGCAACTAATCGAGCGAAAGCAAAAGCCCCAGAACTGGAGCCGCCGGGCCTCGCTCCCGCGCTTTTATCTCTGTGAGGCCGCGCAGAGGCTTCTGGGAAAACGGAGGAGCGCGGCAGCCGCCCAGCCTTCCTATAGGGGCCCAGTGGTTTCTGGCCTTCTGGCGCAGGTTCCTTCAACTCCAGCGAAACGAGAGTTTTTTGGAAAAAACTTTTTCCTCGTCCAGAAAAAGGTTTAATTCAGCCCCTCCTCCTCCGTCTGAGCACTTAGGTTTCGCCTGTGGCTGCATGCTTAATTCAACTGGGCATGCAGGAGTAAAGGCGTTCCCTCCTTTGGGTGGGCCCAACACTTCCTCTGAGCAAGCTCTCCCTATCAGCACTGCATAAGGCCTTAGTAATGGAGTTTTAGGCCACCAGCACAGGCAGTCTTGTGAGGGGTTGGCCTCAGTGCAGGAAGGTCACAAAGAGGACTGAATGCACCTTAAAGTGACAAGGAGCTTCTCCCTGAGGAATCAACTTCAGTCCCCTGGGCCTGCAACTGACTGGGAAGCTATGGTAATTAAGAGGCTAACCAAGCCTCTGAAGATCCCGGGCTCTAGGAGGCTGCTTCTGGACGACAAACAGTCCCTTAGCCTGTGTCCAGGAGCCATCTCTAGACATCTGGGCATCCTTGTGGTTAAGGTAGAAGATTCCATAGGGGCTCTCCTCCTTGTGCCCTGGGCCTCAACTTGTTGCTGCACCAGACCGATCTGTTTCTTCTTCTTCTTCTTCTTTTCTCCTTTCTTCTTTCTTCTTTCTTCCCCTTCCCCTTCCCCTTCTCCTCTTTTTTTTTTTTTTTTTTTTTTAAGACAGGGTCTGGCTTGTCACCCTGGCTGGAGTGGAGTGGTACAATCATAGCTCACTGCAGCCTCAAACTCTGGGCTCAAGTGATCCTCCCACCTCTGTCTCCCGAGTAGCTAAGACTACAGGCACATGCCACCATGCCCAGCTGATTTGTAAATTTTTTTATAGAGACGGGGTCTTGCTATGTTATCCCAGCTGGTCTTGAACTCTTGGCCTCACGTGATCTTCCTGCCTTGGCCTCCTAAATTCTTGGGACTACAGGTGTGAGCCACCTTGCCCAGCCTTGGTTCAACTTTTATGTAACAAAATTGTGAGTTGTTTTTCAGTTGCCATGAACCCTGAGGTCATGTAACCTGAGCATGCCTAGATGAACCAAGCATGCAGCCACAGGGGAAACCAAGTGCTCAGATCAAGGAGGAGGGACTGAATTAAGAAGTAGATATGGCATGGCAGGATCCAACCGGGTTGAGCTCTGGCTTCATCCCATAGCAGGATCCAGTCAGATCATGCCTCCCAGCATCACCTCATTACAAGATCCAATCAGATCACATCTCTTTACCCTATGCTTATAAAAACCAAACCAAACCCCAGCTTAGGAAGACAGATTTGAGCATTTCCTCCTGTCTCCTTGCCAGCCCACTTGCAATAAAGCTTTTCTTTTCCCAAAAGCCAGTGCCATGGTATTAGCCTCTGCATTCATCAGGCAGTGAGCCCATTGACTGCTCGGTAGCAAACTCTTCTGCTCTGTCAATTAGAGATATGTTGGAATTACCTCCCTTTCTCTCCATACCCTAGGTTGAACCATCTGGCGACATCAGATGAGCATATTATGCACATAACAATAACCATCTTTTTATTCTAAAAAGTGGAAATATTTCATAACATTTAAAATGCAGTTTGAAGAGATAAAACTATGAAAAGCTTAAAGGTTTTTCTGTAACACCTCAGTCTTGTATGTGCGAATATAAGCACATATATATCCACAGTATTTTTGTAATATAATCACTGAATATTTTATTTAAAATCTGCTCACAGAAACATTTATGATAATCAATTTACTAGATAATTAATCATCAAAATCTAGCTTTCTAAAGAACAGATGGTAGGCATTCTTACCTGGTTTTACCTCGGGTTTTGAGTCATTGAATCAATATTTACTGAACACCTTAATCTGTATTAAGCACTGTGGTAGGTCCTGGGGATACAGAAGTGAATCAGAAATGGTCCTTCAGTTAAAGATCTCACAGCCTTGCTGCAGTATAAAGCAATTATCATCTTTCAACATTCTTTCTTTAGTCGTGTCCATAATATGCTGGCAGGCAGTCTCTAGTTTACAAGCCAGGCCTTTATGCTCCCCCCTCTCCCTTTGGGGGCTGTTGTGAAAAAAATTCAGACTTCTTAAATGACATTTGGGAGGTCTAGAGCCTGGGGTGCCTTAGGCCCAGAAATGGAAGAAACATTGCAAAATGAAAATAGGTTAAACCAAAAGCTGGTCTGCCATTTGGTGGTCCTGTTCCCTAGAACTCTGTCTCACTATACTGAATTACATTCACTGATATGTCATCAAGTAATTCCCATAGGTTTGTGGGAATTAACGTATCAGGTTTCAAAACCAGAAATAAACTTTGATATGATTTCTTTAGCCAAAAGGGTCCTTAGAGATGATCTAGATGCCCCCTCATTTTGCCACTGAGGAAACCAGAGTGTAGGGAAGCTATTTAAAACAGATGATTGGCATAGGGAACATGGTTCTCCTGGCATCTGGCTGCTGCGCTTGTCATACTCCCATTCTTCCTAACACATGGCTGGGAGAAAAGTAGGGGGAGCAAAGAGAGGAGCTTGAATTCCTTGGTGGCAAGGGGAAGTGAAGGAACTAGAGACAGACTTGGTCTCTTTGATACTTCACCTAGAGTCAACCTATAAAGGGGGAAAGAAACGTGTCTCCTAAAAAGGATGAGACAGGGCAGAGATATCTCAAATTCAGTCATCTATCTCCCCCTACTCCACTTCCAAATCTGCAAACACCAGTGCAAGTGTTTAATCATGAGTGTTCAAACTTCTTCCATTTCCCCATTGCACTGCTTCCATACCTAGACCCAAAACTCAGTAATCAGCATTTCATTTCAACACATGGTGGATTTGACTAGGCTTGGAACAGTCATGAAGATATTAACTTCCATGGGAAAACAAATGTCAAAGAGATTTCTGAATAAATCTTTTGGGAAAACAGCCAGTTTGTGGGTTTGAGATTCACTGGAGCCCAAAGTAAATCCTTTTGAATGATGTTTTCTTATGGAGTAACCCACTGAGCATCTTTGTGGTGCTATCCGTGAACTATGGGAATCCAACCACAAACCAGTTTATTTTTGCTTGGATGACAAGAATGGAATAAATTACAGTGAGAGAGGAAATATACCTTCAGGTATTGCAGTCTTAATGCTATGCAACACAAGAAAAAGGACCAAGGGGATTTTCCTTAACATTTCTTTAGCATCTGCTATCAGCCAGAGCCGCACTGGGCATAAAACTTCAAGCAACTCAGTCTACGTGGGGGTGGGGCAAAAGGACCATCAACCAATCAACCACGTGGGAAGCTTCTCAGAGAAAAGGATGCTGGAATCTGAGTTTTAAAAGATGAATGGTTGGAGTTAGGGGAATTAGAGGAAAGGGCATTCTAGGAGAAAGGGACTATATGTGTAAAGGCAGGTAGGCACAAGAAAGTATGATGCTTTTAGGGAACTACAAAAGTAATGAATATGATTGGAGCCGAGGCTCCATAGAGGAGGGAGTAGAAGAGATGCTAGTCCCTGTGTGCTGAACCAGCGAGTTTGAAGTTTATCCTGGAAACTATGGGAAGTCACTGAAGGACTATTAAGCAGGAAAGTGGCATTTTCAATCTAGATTTTCAATTTAGAAAGATTGCCCTGGCTGAAATGTGGATGGCGAAATTTGAGGATGCTGGAATGGAAACATGAAGGCTAGTTAAGAAAGCACTGTAATATTCCAGACAAGAGATAAGGGTGGCACAAACTACACTAATAGCTGTAACAATAGGGAGGAATGGATGATAGCAAACATATGGAGAAGGCAGAATCTGTCTATCTTGGACACAGCAGAATTCATTATTTTAAGAAATTGTATCCATTATTCTGAATATGAGTAAAAGACATGGAAATTATATTTTAAAGGCCACCATCATGGAAAATTTGAAGACAGTTATTTGTTATGTATTCATAAAAATGATTTAAATCCAGGAGATATCTGACAATAGCAAAAATTCCAACAGAGGCTTGAGCAAAGGAGCTCTTCTCTGGATGGACCATAATTTCTTGGAGTTTGTGGAACTTTAACAGAGGACGTAGAGTACGGATGTAAAGTATACTGATTGGTAATGCAGCTTGGTACTATGTTTATCATAAGCAGTAACTGTGATTGATAATTACCAAATATACTCACATGAGGGTATTATATTATGCAAATATATAAAATAGTAATTATAAGCAACTTTGAGAAATGAAAAATCTTTTATTTTTTACAAAAATTTTCATAAATGCATTTTATATTTAATATGCATGCTACTATAACAAAGCAACTGAAAATGTAATTACAGTTAAGATACTTTTATGCATATTTAAAAAGTAATATTTTAATCCCCTCGATTTTTAAAAATTGAAAGTGGAATAAGCAATTCTTCAAAAAATATCCATTCTCCCCCATGCAACTGTTGCAATGATTTAACAAGGAAAATTAGAATAATCGGTCAAATGAATGTTTAAAAGCCACTGTCACCTCATGAAACCCTTTCCATTTGGTACCAAGTTTAGAAATGCTCACATTTCAAATATTTATCTACTGCCTCTGTGTTACAACCACTAATGTGTTCTAACTGAAGAGTTTCTCATTTGGGGTATTGACCTTACTTGAATGCTAACCCACTTCTTATTGCAGTTAATTGTAAATTCATAGAAAGTATTTTCTAGCATACTTGAGAGGAAATTCAGACTACTAGGATCCTTTTTTCTTTTCATGTAAATGCTTCCTTAAAATTAAAACCGGCAAGGAAATACAGCCAATTTATAGTTTACCAATTTTATATACGGTTATTCATTCTTTTTTTCCTGAGATATTAAGCACATTTGTAAGTAGTCTGTTTTCATGCAAAAATATATTTTCCCATTCTTCACATTCATTTTAAAGTATTTTATATTTTAAATAACTATATTGCATTTGTGCTTCATACATTTGGAAAATAAAGGATATTTCATTTTCTTTACTGCAGAAAAAGGAAAGGTTATTGGTTCTTTGATAGGTAATACAATCAAATTAAGTGCTGATTTCAAGTTGCTAAAACATTACCTGATTGGAAAAAATTCCAATGGAAAGTTCTATTTTTTCTCATACTTGTAGTTTTAACTACATGTAGAATGAAAGCATGACTTGCATAAATGAAGGAGACATAAAATGTTTAATCCTTGGATTTCTGAGTTTATGAGTTCCTAATACATGGGGCTAGGCCTACACACTATACCTGACCAGAGTCCCGTCTCTCATTTGCAAGGGAAGTCTCAATATTATATAAAGACATCTTCCACAGCAAAAGGAAAAACAGATTTGGTATATATTTTATAATATACACAAAAGGATCTGTTTGCAAAATATGAGAATTACTAATACATTTGAATAACAGATAAAAAGGCCAAACATTTAAGAACATATTTACACTTAAGGAACTGATTATCTGTTATACTTCTAGGCTTAAATAGATCCAATGCCCAATATGAATGTGACCATCGTAAGTACATCACCTTTTTCTATCTCTGTTAATGAGAAATACAGATTTTTTTCTCCTCCAGAATAAAGTTGGGAAATCTGAAGCAAGAAGGATTTTTCCACTGATACATAGGGTTTCATTTCTCATTTCTTACAAAATTAAGTGGCATTAAACAGAGAAATAGATAAATGTACATGCAAGATATTTAGGGTACACTATTTACTTTTCTCAGCACATCTGAACTAACCCATTTATTGGCCCAAGTGTGATGATTTCCACATAGACCTGGAAATCTAGAAATATAAGATATTTTAAGTGGCAAAAAGAAGAAACCTTGTTTTTGTTTTTTTTTTTTCTTTCTTTTTGAGACGGAGTCTCGTTCTGTTGCCCAGGCTGGAGTACAGTGGCGGGATCTCGGCTCACTGCAAGCTCCGCCTCCCAGGTTCATGCCATTCTCCTGCCTCAGCCTCCCGAGTAGCTGGGACTACAGGCGCCCGCCACAACGCCCGGCTAATTTTTTGTATTTTTTTAGTAGAGACGGGGTTTCACTGTGTTAGCCAGGATGGTCTCGATCTCCTGACTTCGTGATCTGCCCGCCTCGGCCTCCCAAAGTGCTGGGATTACAGGCATGAGCCACCGCGCCCAGCCAAAAAGAAGAAATATTAAGTTGTCCATAATCTGTTATATCTAACTATTATAAAGTATAAATAAAACAAAATAAGTTTTACATTACTTGTTTCTGTCACATTGTTCAAAATTCTTTTGGGCTTAAAGCCAACTATGAATTTTAGTTGAGTAGGAGGACAATGGGAAACAGATTCTTTTTTTGTTGTTATTGAAATGTAAGCAACTTGCCCTTAAAATAGTATGAATATCCAGTTCAGGTAACAACTTTCACTTTTAATTAGTCAAATATATATTAAATATAAAAATCTAATGCTGTACAGATGTGACTTTGGACATTTTAAGTATTAGTTTATTCAGAAACGCCTTTAAAAATCAGTGTGTATAGAACTAGCTCATTTCTTAACTGTCAAATTTAGAAGTGCAACAGTGGGTCTTCAGAGAGAATATGCCCAAGAAAAACTGGATAAAAAGACTGGGTAAATACATCAAATGAAACAGTGATTCACTTTTGACAAGACTGAAATATAAGTATATAATCACTGATGCATATTTATTCAGTAGGCCCATGTGATTATGTGGTTTTTAACTAACAGCATTTATTTTTGCAAACTGCTTGGCATTCCTCCAAGGGAAAGGAGCTTCTAGACTACAAACACTGAGCACATACATTTTAAATTAACACATGAATTGCATATGGATTGTTGATATGCTTTTAGAGTCTTGTCTCTACAGAAGAAAAACACGTTCCTGGGGTCCATGCCTTTTTCAGAGGCACAATCTATAGCTTGGAACTTAATTGCTGTCCATGGTATCTGGCCTTTAATTATAAGAAATTGTTGACACCCCAATACAGGGTGCATCTAAATACATAATGCAAGAAAGGAGGTTTTAGTGGTTAAACTTCGGCACGCTTAAAGATTTTAGGAATGTAATTATGCCATTAGGCAGTATTTCTTTGTCTATGGACTTAAAAAGTTTTCTTGGGGCATTTTAAAGAGGTTTATCAAAGTTATATTGTTGAAAAACTATTTTCCCTGGAAATAATGTCCCCTCCTTCCCACCTTCTGCCTTGATATTCTTACTGGAAAAAAAGTGAAATTGTTCAGAATTACAACCATATAGGGTTTCCAGGCATAGCATGGGCACATTGGGAATGGAAGACTAGAAGACCCCAGCAAGGAATGTAGGTACATTAATTGCTGCCTACCCTGAGAAATAACTCTGAGTTTCTTCTCCCAAGTATTCCTCAAGGATCCATTCATTGTAGAGTCAACAGATGTCTTTTAGAATTCATTATAATAAGAAGTCCATGAACATACACACACTATCCTTGAATAGTTTTACATTATATTTTTTCTAGGTAGTTCCTGAATACTTTAATGAGCTTAATAAATGAGAAAATGTATTGAAAGGTCTTTGTAAGTTACTATATAAATATGACATGTGTTTTAATAATATCTGAATTTGGCTGGGAACAATGGCTCATGCCTGTAATCCTAGCACTTAGGGAGGCCAAGGCGGGAGGATCCCTTGAGCTCAGGAGTTTGAGACCAGCCTGAGCAAAATCTCTAAAAAAAAAATTTCTATTAGCCAGGTGTGGTGGCATGTGCCTGTACTGTAGTCTCAGCTACTTGGGAGGTGAGACAGGAGGATCACTCGAGCCCAGGAGATGGAGACTGCAATGAGCCATGATTAAGCCACTGCACTCCAGCCTAGGTGACAGAGCAGACCCTGTCTCAAAACAAAAAGGAAAAAAAGAATTTCTGAATTTTCATTTTTCATGAATGAAAGTAAAAATCAGAGAGAAAATTTTCACATATGACAATGTGGATTGTCATGTTTAAAGACTCTGAAGTTACGTAGACTATGAGTTATCATGTTTTCTTTTAGCATGATTCTATACACCTAGCTTTAATTTTTGAAGTCTGATTTAATTGTGATTTTGACAATCAGTTACTGAATGAGGTAGTCCACATTGCCTAGATATTTGCTGCATCTGGTTACTGATTCACAAATAATTAAGTAGAATATATCACTTATGTTTTTCCTTTATGTTTAATAGTTCTGTGAACATTGACAATATATTACTTTTAGTGGTACACAGTTCTTGAGAAAATGTCTTGATTTTTACATTGCCATTTGTGATATTTTTAGCAGTCCACCACAATATCATTTTTATAATAAAAATAAAATATACTCATTGATGATAGAGAAAATATTGTTAAAGACCTCTTGGGACAGGAAAAGGCTCAGTCATAAAATCAGATGCTTATTCATTTTCAGCTGTGTCATTTTGACTCATTACTTTCAAGAATAACTATAATATTGCTAGACAGTTCATTACACTGAGAAGAACTTTCCTTGAACTTCACATGGAGATTGAGTAAAGCTCTTCTATTTGTTTTTTGAAGTACTCTCTCAGCTCAGGTCTCTTAGCTTTTAGTGTTGGTGTCAGCAAGCCATTTTGAACTGAGAACATGTCAGAATGGATGTGAATGGCTTTAACCTAAAAACCAAATGCAGAAAACATCTTTAACAGGAATAGAACACAGTATTTATAGTATACATGGTAAAAAGCAAACAGGCACATGAGAGTAGATATATTGACATACAGACATTATGCTAAGTCAAAATTATGTTGAGAACATTTCAGCCTATTTTACGTATCTAAAAGCCAACTTTTTTCCTTCCTATTCATTCATTTAGCCAGTCAACAGAAATGAATTAGTTGCTTACTCTATGCCAGGCACTGAGGATACAAAGAGGAATCATGAATGCCTCTGCCCTTAGGGAGCGCACATTCACGTCCAGTAGTGGAGACAGAGAAACACTGGGCAATTATCAGTATGGTATGCATGAGATAAAGGGCACCCATCTCAGGCATAGGAGGGGAGAGGGAGAGACAGTCAGGGAAGACTTCCCAAATCAGATGGATGTTAAATAATGGGTTATAGTTAACCAGCAAACGGGGAAAAGTGGGTGGAGAAGGGCATTATAGGCAGAGGCAACACCAAAACAAAGCCATGGGAGTGAGAAATGTCAGCGTGTGAAAAGGGAACTCTAAGTGGTTTCTTGTTCCATAAAATAAGAGGCAAAGAGTGTGAGGGATGAAGCTAAAGTGGTAGATGAGCCATTTTATGGAGGAGCTCAAATTTTATTCCAAATACAATAGTAAGATACTGAAGGTTTTTAGTTAGGGCAATGGCATGGCTGAATACACATTTTGGAAAAATCTCTCCAAGAGAAATGGGAAGATTGTTTTTGAGGGTATTTCTAGGATATCCAATTTAAATAGCTGGAAATCTTGCCTAAAGATGGGCATCATCTTTATGGTATCATTTATGGCTAAAGATAGGTATCATCTTAAATAGCTGGAAATTTTGGCTAAAGATGTGTATCATCAAGTGTTTCAAAATCAGATATGGTTATTGTAAAAAGGGTTTTGTTTGAAAACTCTTTCAGTATGCTTGACATTCAAAGAAGCACAGATTCAGTAAGGAATAGGGCTGCTGTTCTTTGTACCCTATAGAATATACTTTTTTCCTAATTTGTTGTTACAAAACATAAACCATCCTAAGAGACCCAATATTTATTGGAAACAGGTCCCAAGGGAGACGTTTTTAAACCATAGTGCACTGAGAACTAGGTGATCTGCAGAGGCCACTGCTGGGGATGGTATAGAAGTGGGGTTTAGATAGGTAAGGGTAGAAAGGAAATGGAGAAGGGTGGGAAGATGAGGTGAGGTGCTTAGGAGGAAAAGTGTGTGTGTAGAAGCTCTGGCTCAAGCCCTAAACCAACCTGAGTAGCACTGCTCTTATGTTTTGTGCATGCTCAATTTTTATATAAGATGTCATCTAAGTTCTACTTAAATAAGTTTGGAAATCACCATTTGATGACAAAATTAATTAGCTTAAAGAAAACATTAACACAATCAAAATAAAATTTAACCTTAGTTACAGGGATTTAATGCAGTAGTAACTAACCTTTACTGTCAAAATGAAAAACTAAAAAATTGACAGTACTAATATCCTTAACTTTTCAAAAAAATTTCTTTCTGTAGAAGCACTATCACATGAAGACTTCTGGTAAGTACAAACCATCTATCCACCTTCTTTTGTTATTAAAATTAATAATATGCTTTTAAAAATGAGATACAAATGCCAAGATGTAATTTCTCAGTGTTGTAGCCTGGGTTTCGGCTTGTCTGCATTCCTAACAGCATGTGGAGAACATTGTATAATTGGGACAAGAGTCTATGTTCAGTATGGGAACTTGGGGTGAGTATCTTTGAAAAGCCAGCAGTGACAAGCAGAAACTACTAAAAAATACAGTACTGGAAATATAGATTTATAAGGAGAGGTATATAATGTCATTTATATGGTTAAGTAGAAATGTAAAAGAAAACATTATGATCTTAGGAAGAAAGAACAGCATCAACAGGTAGATTTGGAATATTGCCGATCCAGCTACCTCCCCAAACCTAAATGGCTGAGTGGGACATCTGCAGCTCTATGTGGCTGTCTATAAAATAGTTCTGCCTGAGAAGAGGCTATATCATTAAATACAGCCTTGCAGAAGCCCAAGCAATATGGCAGCCTGCTCTGGGCTCACCTTTCAGTCCCTTAGTGAGCAGGTCGGAGCGGCACTGCTGCTAGGCTGCCAGTCCCTGGTCTGGTCTGACCTACAGCCCTTGGACTATTTAAATGCTTCTATGAAAATACCTATACAACCTGCTTGAGTGACTAAAAAATATAGGCAGTAAGTGGAAAAAAATGAGTCAGCCAGTTGTTTAACTGACACTGACTTTAACTACGGGCCACAAACCTATAGTTTTTTTTAGAAGTGAATCAATGATAAAAACACATGTTCATTTTTTATAATAATTATTTTCTCATAAAGCCAAACTGTCCAATTGTGAACTTTTTAAAAAAAGGTATGAGAGTCCTTATTCTCTCTTTATGCCACACACTTCATGAAACTGGAATTTCCATTTTTTAATAAGCAAAGTTTTTGTTGGGAAAAGAAAAAGGGAGATGCCTAATGTTAGCTTCCCTTCCTGAAACCATACTCTTTTCACTGAAAAGAGATGCTACAGGATTTTTAAAAATAATTCAGAAATACTGTAACATTTAAATATGGCATTGGAATAAAATTCCTCAAAATTGTCCATTTATGCCAACTCATAAAAGCACAAACTTCATAATTTTAGAGACATAGTATTTTAAGTTTTTCAGTGGTCTTAATGAAATCCTTTAACACAATATTGCTTGTAGATAATAAACACAGAGTGAATAATTTAGAACAGGAGAGATAAAGTTAAAAAAAAACAATTACATGAGTTAGGGAAATGCTCATTTTCTTATTTAAAGGCAAATTGGTTAGGTAAGTGTTCATTTCAATGACAGGAAATACAATAAAATATTTTTAGTAAGTGCTTAATTAGTCAGAAATTGAAAAATCTATCAAGTGTCAAAGTTCACATTGTATTGCCTATGCAAATTAATAAGGCATATAAATGTCAAACAAATGGTTAAATCATGGTTAAGTATGCTCAAATACTGCCCAGCCACCTATCTACTCATTAAAATATATCTTCCAAAGATCTCCATAAATTAATAATGGTTGGCCTAGTTCTAGGAATTGTCTGTTCTTGGAAATTAAATTACATCATTTGTTTTTCTAATTCAAGGTTTAATTCAGATCAACCAAGTCCAGTAAGTCTGAACTCCTAAAGCTTTTGTTGAATGACTTAAACTTTGGATATAGAACTTGAATTCGTTATTTCTGTGTGTATGTGTGTGTTTAATTAGAGTTATGCCTTAATTGGCCATTATTTTTGAGGAAGAGGGAAAAGGACAAGCTGACAATGGATTATGGATTAACTGAAATAATTTATGTTGAGCTTTGGATCACAACTGAGAGCACACCCTCCTCAGGCATGAGGCCTGGTTTTTGCTTTCCTGTGGTCAGCTGAGGGCACACACTGGCTATGGTAGGGAGGATGTCATAGACCAACAAAGAGGAGAATGAGAACAGAGAAAATCAAAAGGCGACAGCCTTGGCAATAAAACTAAAGGCCTCTGAGATCCCACATGACTTCTCTGTATTTGAGGTTACCATGGTGAGGGCAGATTATTAGAGCAGAAACTCTGCGAAAGGCATGTGGAAAGTCAAGAACTCGTCTCCTCTCAGTGAAAGCTCTAACCAGAGCAATGGTTAACACTGGAAACTTAACTAAAGGTCTCTTTTAAGCATAATCTTAAGAGTTGGTATTTTTTTCCATGAAGAGGAATCTGGGTGTCATGATACTCTGTGTGCCCTGGGACAGGTCCCGCATCCAAACACAAGCAGGAGGCGTGAAGGCCTTGTGAATGCACCAGGATGTCCGCAGGAACTGCAGCTTAGGCTGCAGCCAGCCCTTCAAATCCACGTAGGCCCAGACCAGCCAGGCCTACGACCACTCATTTGTGGTCTCTGGTCTACATGATCACAGAGGATCCCATCACACAACTCCCCACTGAGGAAGGGCAATGAAGTCAGTTCATATGCCAAAATTGACCTTTGTCTTTTAGAAAGATAAATGTAACTTGCCTGAATGCCTCAGATTCCATACTTTTAAAAAATATTTATTTACCCAGGCCTAAATTGCCCTAAAACATACTGACAGTTGAGGGTAAAGCAGTGTTTCTCAAAATGGATTAATGTAAAGATCTATTTTTAAAGAAAAACAGTATTTTTAGACCCTGAAACTATGCTTAGATTTCCATAGTTTGAAACTAAAAAATAAAAATTTTAATCCATGAAAATGTTTTTTTAATTGCAAATTAAAGCACTGTAAGAGTTTTATATTTTAAACTGGTTTTAAATGTTTTTAGGTTATTAAGCGAATATACAAAATTTAAAGATTCTTGTCAAACTTGAAGACCCCTGTCACTAAATTTGGGGTAACAAACTTGTATGAAAAACAATTATTTTAATGAAATGTTTATCTTATGAAAAACAATTATTTTAAATATAAGGAAATTTTAAAAATCAGTATATTAATATTTTTCCATTTGAAGCATTTTTCTCTTTGAATTTTTGACAAAAGGGGATGTATAAATGGTATATGTAAGTCAGAGTAAGTATGCTTATGAGCTCAATTACAGTAAGAACCCAACCTTGCAGAAAAAAAAAAAAGTCTTGGAGGACTGCTGTGTCCTCTCCCAAAGCATTCTGTTTCCTCCTCTTTACAGAGGGCATGCTGGGCTGACAGATCACTGGCCCGAGAAGACCAATCTTTCCAGTGTCCTCCTAACAAGTAAACTTGTCTGCTGAAGCCAAGAAGACGGTCCCCACAAAAATAAAAATAAGATAGGACTGTCGTCTTCGGTAATGCAGGAAGCTTGGAAGACAGATCATGTACACATGATTTACTAGTGACAGCTAGGGTATTATTTCAGCCTTATGAAAGTTTGTAATTATAAGGATGGGTGCAATCTCTTTTGATATGTGACCTATTTTGGTTCAGGAGGCAGCTTGGAACAGGCCTTCAGGGGTCCATTGGTACACAGCCTGCTGGCGGGCCACACCATGAAAAGTCAGGAATCTAGGTCAGGGTCACCATGGGTTAATTTAATTTTCATCACTGCCTGAAGGGTTGTAACGAGTATGGGGAAGGTAACAGTTACCTGCTCAAAAGAATGGAGTCCACTTTCTTTTCCTAACCTCACCATATCTTCCAAAATGGCTTTCTTCAGATCCTGAATCAAACCATATGAGAAAAATTACAAGACAAGAACACATTTCAAAATGGAGGTAGAGGAAACAACACTTTTGGGTAAAGTACAACTGATGATTGTGCCAACATGTGCTAACCCACAGCCCGCAACTGAGGCTGATACTCCCTGGCAACACTCCAATTACCACCTCTCATCTGGCAAGTAAGTACCTGAAATGGCCAAAGGAGTGACCATGAATGGGCTAAGGGACCACTCAATTTTTTTTTAAAGCAGGCTTTTGGTCAGCCTGGTGAGTCTTGCTACCCCTAGATGAGCCCAGGGCCCAGGGTCCCGTAGGAGAGGGAGGGTCTATGGCTACTACTAAGAAATGGACCATGTGACTCAAGGGGCTACACTGAGTCACAGCATGGCGACCTCCTCCACAGAGTTCTAGATGTGCCATTAGAAGGTTTCAGGAAGGTGTGAGTAGCTAATGCTCTAAGCAGAAAGAATTGTGCTACTTTTTCTATTCCATGACTAGCTGTCTACACCCAGCAGACACAAAATCCACCTTACATCTGAAGGAGCATGGCAGGTGAGTCAGAAAGCCTATGCTCACATCTGACTCTGCTGCTAACCAGCTGTGTGACCTCGGGCAAGTTACCCCCCTCCCTGGACTCTCCTCTAAGCCACAAAGCAACAGGGCTGGATAAGCTTTCTGTGATGTCTCCTGGCTTAAAATCCAAACGTTTGTCAATCTTTCTAAGAAGAAATATGAGTTTCTTCAGTAACAAAAAGACAAATCTCTGGTTTAGAATCCCCACTATATATAAAGTAATGTTAGAAATTTCGTACGAGCTCGAATTTCACTGGTCTACAACTTTTCTGTCTTCTCATTATGTGGTACCATAAAACATTCAGTAACCTTTCAGGAGACAGCCCCAAGATACCAACCTTATTTGTGCAGAGATCTGCATATGTTCCTTCAATTCCTCTCTTCTGGGCCCAGGAGGGCATAACTTCAGGGTCAGGCACAACAATGCCTACCAAAAAGGCCTGCAGTGCTCACCAAAGGAGAACACAGTCATGACAAATGCATTTAAAGTGGTTATTTGTGGTCCAGCATTAAAATTCTCAGACTCCACCTTTTTCAAAAACTAAGTATATGTTTATAAAACATTTGTTGATGTCATGAAATCTTTCTGCCAATATATCATACCATTCATTTTCTGATATATTCCCCTAGTTTTATATGAAAAAATAAGGACATTAAGAATCAGTAAAGTTAGACTGATATGCACCTTTGATTCTCATGCCAATCTCAAATCAGCACATCTTCAGGAGGCTGAGCAAACAACTCTCTGATCCAAATTCTCTGAACCAAAATGTTTCCCAGGATTACCAAACCACGTTGAAATGGTTTCATTAATACGATCTTCATTCATGAAAGACTTCATTTTGTTTATTTTTTTCTTTTGAGACAAGGTTTCACTCTGTTGCCTAGGCAGGAGTTCAGTGGTATAATCATGGCTCACTGCAGCCTCGACCTCCTGAGCCCAAGTGATCCTCCCATCTCAACCTCCCGAGTAGCTGGGACTACAGGTGCATGCCACCACATGTAGCTAATTTTTGTATTTTTTGTAGAGATAGGGTTTAACCATGTTGCCCAGGCTGGTCTTGAACTTCTGGGCTCAAGTGATCCTCCTGCCTCGGTCTCCCAAAGTGTTGGGATTACAGGCGTGAACCACCATGCCAGGCCTATTTTGATTTTTAAAGCATTTCTTTGAAAATAATTTCATAATATTTATAGAAATGCAATGATAGTACAGAATATATTTGATATCAGGCAGGGCATGGTGGCTTATGCCTGTAATCCCAGCACTTTGGGAGGCTGAGGCAGGCACAACACTTGAGGTCAGGAGTTCAAGACCAGCCTGGCCAATGTGGTGAAACCCTGTCTCTACTAAAAATAAAAAAAAAATATATCCAGGTGTGGTGGTGGGCGCCTGTAGTCCCAGCTACTCGGGAGTCTGAGGCAAGGGAATCACTTGAACCCTGGGGGTAGAGGCTGCAGTGAGCCGAGATTGTGCCACTGCACTCCAGCCTGGGTGACAGAGTGAATATATTTGATATCTTAGATATCATAGAATATACTCATGATCTTTCTGACTTTAAATCTAAATAGTATTGAAAGGAAAATAAGTATAAAACTCCTCCAAATAACTGAATCCTAGTAACCTATATTAGTATTAGTACCATTAGTACATTTTTTTGCAGTACTCATTAATTTGTAAAGTTCATTTGCATATTAAAAAAATCAAAACAGGCCAGGTGTGATGGCTCATGCCTCTAATCCCAGCACTCTGGGAGGCTGAGGCAGGAGGAGAATCACTCGAGCTCAGGAGTTCGAGACTAGCCTGGGCAACATAGTAAGACCTTGTCTCTACTAAAAATTAAAAAAAAAATAGCTGGGCATGGTGGTGTGCACCTGTAGTCCCAGCTATTGGGGATGGGGAGGGAGGGGGAAGGGGATGAGGTGGGAAGATGGCTAGAGCCCAGGAGGGAGATTGAGGCTGCAGTGAGCCATGATTGTGCCACTGTACTCCAGCCTGGGTGAAAGAGCGAGACCCTGTCTCAATAATAATAATAGTAATAATAATTTTTAAAATAAAAATAAAAACAGTAGAAACCCTGAATCTTGCTCTAGTATTTTATCTCAAAAATCCTTGGAAGTAAGTAGAGCATAAGTGAAAAGGAATGGGAATGTTCATTAGTACTACTTCAGACAATTTACTTGACCTAATTACATTTTAACAAACTATAAGTAAGATTTCTCCTTTAAAAAGGAGTTTTCTCTCATGTTTTAAAATGCGGAGGAGAATCCTGGTGCCTGATTGGAGGTTAATGTTTAATCTGGGTTTTTCAGCATGCCCAGGATATGTGGGAGGGCTGAAGCCTAGAGGCCTCACCTTTAAGCTGTCCCCATGGACATAGATTTGCGCCACAGGTTGGCTCCGGATGTAGATGTTCTCAATCTTCTCGGGTGCAACATATTCTCCCTGAGCAAGTTTAAATATATGCTTTTTCCGATCAATAATTTTAAGAGTTCCTGCCTGTAGAGTTGGACAAACAGCTTTATAAGAACATGGCACTCTCAAGCCTGAACCTTTGCTCCTCAGTGCCGTAACTCCCTGCCCTACCCCACCCTGCAGACCCCACCCCGATTTCTTTTCCATCTGTTGTGTCTGCTCTTAGGGAGCTGCAGGGCTCCTGGAGAGAACCACTGTACACCGCAGGTTGATGGCATCCAAGTTCTGCTGGGCCGTGAGCATCCACTGTCCTTTCCCCTCAGCAGTTAGCCCCCCACACAGTCCTCCCACCACTGCCACCCTCATGCCTAGCAGCAGGTATCCTCACCTCCTCCTTCTTGGAGGCCCACCGCCCTTCCATCAGGGCACCCCTCTTGCACACACCCTTGTTCCAGGTGCCCTTTTTCTCACCAGCATCTTTGGTTCACTCCCTTAGACCACACTCAAGTCTCTTGCCCAGCTACTGTCTCCACCCCTAAAGAGCAGCCTCTGCATCCCCTGGCATATAGCACAGACCTGACAGAGCCCCTGTGACTCCTACCTGACATGCCAGATGGCACTAGGAGCCCAGGCCCCTGTAGGACTTCTGCAGCAGGCAGATCACCTCCTTGGACAGGGAGTGCTGATGCCACTGGCCTCCAGGACCCGTCCTCACCTCCCTGACTCTCCTTGACCTTTCTGAGCTTCCAAGGTGATTACGTGGGCCTCTTTCCCCTCACCGCCACTGACAATGCACCTTGGAGTAACCACCGTTTTCTCTTCATTGGTCACTCCCAAGTCAGTTCAAGCTTCCAGCTCTTCACTGAGCTCCAGATCCAGAACCCAAATACCCTTGGAATGCTTCAAAAACTAGGCTATTTGTCTCAGAGGATGTAACATGCTCCTATATGAAACTCACGACCAAGCTTCTCAAGCCTGCCCCAGCCTCCAAACCCCAAACCTGGAGATGACCTTGTTGTTTGCCTCTCCTGGGATCTCCAGTGGTCAGGCTCACCTGTCCTTGCTCACAAATCCATCTCATATCCACCACCTCCTCCCAGCAAAACCACTTTCTGACTGGACTTCTGCACACACTCTGTCTCCACTCCATCTGCTTGATCTGCCAGTGCCAGAGCAATCTCTCCAAAAGAGAAAAATGAGCAGACTCTGTTTTGCTCAAAACCCAGGCTAGACATCAGGCACTTTCCCTACCCCAGCTTATTTGGTCCTCATGGTCCATTAGCTGGGTGTTGTCACCTCTGTTTCACAGATGAGGAAAATGAGGATCAGAAAGCTTAGTTAACTCCTCCAAAGCCACACAGCTAGAAGTTGGGGAACCAGGATTTGAATCCCGATCCTTCTGGACCAGAAGACTATGCTTATTCCTTGATCTATTTAACATGATTTCAAAATAACGTTTTTAAAAGCACAAATGTCTTTATAGATGATTTCTACCTAAATTTCAAGAATGAATCATTCAAAGCTTGAACATACTCTTCCAAAAAAATGGGGAAAAAACCCACTTACCAACTCATTCAATAAGCTGACAACAAAACCATAATAGGGTTGTATATAAAAGGAAAATTACAGATCAATCTCATTTGTGAATATAAATGGAAAGGTCAAACACAATTTTTAGGAAAAATATTATTTAAAAAGTCACATCATGATTAAGTTGAATTATGTCAAGAATGCATGATTTGCTTTACATGAGAAATATAGAATAATAAGTATCTCAATAGCTGCAATAAATTTTAATTAAATTTCAAAAATCATTTAAAAATAATAATTTAAAAAATGGACTCTCACAGACTACCTGCCTGCAACTTTAGGCCCTGTGCTCAAGCACAACACTAAGTGCTTTACATGAATTCATTTATTTGCTTCATATTACCCCCTAAATGGTGAATGGTTTCATTCAAGTTACAGGGCATCAGCAGCAGATCCAGGGATTTGTGAGACTTCAAGCTTTTACAATATTGAGGGCCCTTTCTAAGAAAAACCAGGTAAAATGAAGTGCAGGGCCTTGGAAGGGGCTGATGCAAGTGAGGGGGCTTGAAGCCTAAGCTCCCTGAGCCAACAGGACAATCCACCTTCTGCAGATGTTCAGGACCTGCTGACCTCTCTAGCCTCTCTCTCCCACACCTATGGGTCTTCAGTTGGAATTAGTTGCTTCCCATGTCTAGTGCCTCTACTCAGCATATATTACTATCACGCCCTGATTGTCCTTCCCAATCCCACCTTTGGAACATGACTCATATCCTAAGGCTTGGATGCAGTAGGTGCCTGTCCTCCTCTGCCTCTCCCGAGGTGAGTGTGCCCCCAGTGTGCCCCCAGCTCATGCCCATCACATTGGGTTGGGAACTGTCTAATCATGCATATCTCCCCTAAGCAGAGTCCCTGGGCCAGGGCACTCACTGGAGATACATCTTTGTCTGGGGCAGGCATGAGGGTTTCTCAAAGGGAAGTACACAGGCCCAAGCAGGGGCAGATCCATTTACCAGCCCACTCAGCCTGCCTTGGGCTCAACATCATTCACGTGCCTCATTAACTCAACACCTCAAAATGTCCACCCAAACCTTAGCACTTCCCAAAGACACAGGAGAGTTTCCTGGGGTGGGCTGCTCCAGGCAAGAGTGCTCAGTGTCAGTGACAGCCGTTTTCTGGTCAAAGCATTCATCTAAGCATCTCCTATGTGCCCGGTACTGTGCTAAGTGCTTTGTAGGCATAATCTCATTTGTTCCTCACAAAAATAACTTTATTTTTCTTTCTTTTATTAAAACATTTTTAAAAGATAAAATCCAGGCTGAGTGCAGTGGCTCATGCCTGTAATCCCAGCACTTTGGGAAGCCGAGATGAGCAGATCAGTTGAGGTCAGGGGTTTGAGATCAGCCTGGCCAATGTGTTGAAACCCTGTTTCTATTAAAAATACAAAAAAGTTAGCCAGATGGGATGGCGGGCACCTGTAGTCCCAGCTGCTGGGGAGCCTGAGGCAGGAGAATCGCTTGAACCTGGGAGGTGGAGGTTGCAGTGAGTCAAGATCTCGTCACTGCACTCCAGTCTGGGTGACAGAACGAGACTCCATTTCATAAATAAATAATAAAGGATAAAGTCCAGATCTTGCACAACACAACAATAATTTCAGAGGTAAGCAACACTGTGATCCCTATTTTAAAAATGAGAGAATGAGGCAAAGTGGTTTTGGCTAAAAGCTGGGGGCCATGGGCAAGGAATGCTATGAAGGCTTGTTCTCCTGTTCTATAAGTGAGTCAAGGTGAAGCCACAGACGGGGATGAGGCTCTGCTCAAGGTTACATGAGCAACTGCTGGCAAAGCCACAGGAACTAAGGCATTCTCCCTCCTGTCTCCAAGCTTTCCCCTTCACTCAGTGCCACCTTTTGGCTGCGGGCCAGCATTGGAGGGCTTGCAGGCCTTGCCCTTCTCAGACGTCCTAGAGACATGTACCCCCTGTTCCTCCTACTTCACATCAGATTCCACACACTGTCAGATGTCTTTCTGGAAACCATTAAGGATAGGAATTCAGTCTCCAAGACCTCAGCCACACCCACCTGCACAGGTCCCTCATCACCTTCATGAGACGGAGTGAGAAGAGGAAGATGCTCTGGGGCTCAGGGAAGGAAGAGCCTCCCCCCAGGCCCCAGAGGTGCTCCTGAATGACTCATTGTCAGGGGGGATTTGGAGAAGACTCCTGCCTCAGTGACCCGGACCACACACCCTCCCACTGCCAAATGTTTGGAGCTCCGTGGTTCCAAACATACACACCGGCAGCCATTTTCCGATGTCTCCAGTGTGAAGCCAGCCATCGCTGTCCAGGGCCTCCTTCGTCCTGTCTGGATCTTTCAAGTAGCCTTTGAACACATTTGGTCCTCTCACACATATCTATGGGACAAAAACCATGGCTTCTCTCAGCCACATCATGAGGAATCAGGAGATGGGAAGCTGTCACCAGGCATACGGAGATAAGGTGCACTACCCATCAGGAAAGCCACTGTGGATATGGCAGGGATGGAAACAGAGGACAAGGAACAGCCAGCAGCCATCTGAACTGTCTCCTGCCTTCTGTCAAGCAACATCCTCCCCATCTTTCCCCCCTGCCCTGGCCACCCTAGGCCTTTGTCATCTCTTCTCCCTCAGGAGCCCTCTGGCCTTGGCCACATGCTGCTCTGTGACACTTGATGGGGACTCATCACAGATATTGATGGCTGGCTGATTCTACCAGGGATGCTTCAGCCCCCTGCTCCATTAGCAGGCAATCATTCCCACTTACTCCCATGGAATGAACAAGTACAGGCCAGCTCTATCTACTCCATCTGGCCTATTTGTAAAGGATCATGTTTCTGCTGGGACAGATCACACAGCAGCAGGCCATGACACAGTTAGGGGAAAAAATGAATTTTTACAAAATTTGGGGCTGGGCATGATGGCTAGCACCTGTAATCCCAGTGCTTTGGGAAGCCGAGGCAGGAAGGATTGCTTGAGGCCAGGAGTTTAAGATCAGCCTGGGCAACACAGCAAGACCCAATCTCTAAAAAAAAAATAAAAAGTTATCTTGGCAAGGTGACACATGCCTGTGGTCCTAGCTACTTGAGAGGCTGAAGCAGGAGAATTGCTTGAGCCCAGGAGTTCGAGGCTATGGTCTCGAGTTCAGTGGACTATAATCACGCCACTGCACTCCAGCCTGGGTGGCAGAGCAAGGCCTTGACTCTATTAAAAATTTAATTAATTAAGGGCCAGGCACGGTGGCTCACGCCTGTAATCCCAGCACTTTGGGAGGCCGAGGTGGGCGGATCACGAAGTCAGGAGATTAAGACCATCCTGTCTAACACGGTGAAACCCCGTCTCTACTAAAAATACAAAAAAAATTAGCCAGGTGTGGTGGCGGGCACCTGTAGTCCCAGCTACTTGGGAGGCTGAGGCAGGAGAATGGTGTGAACCTGGGAGGCGGAGGTTGCAGTGAGCAGAGATCACACTACTGTACTCCAGCCTGGGAGACAGAGCGAGACTCCGTCTCAAATTAATAATAATAATAATAATAATAATAATAATTAATTAATTTAAAAATCTGGGAATTCCAAATCTTTATTTAAACCAGCTCAGTCCCAGCACTAGCTCTTGGTTGCCTCATAAACAGGAGAGGAGATGCTGAGTTGAGCTGAGTCAAATTAATCAGTAGTTTAAAATGACTTTATACACAAGGCAAAAGGAAAATCATTCCATCCCTACTGTTCTTGTTTTTACTCACTACATGTAGCAGCCACAGGCATGAATGGCTAAATCCTTGTTTACCTCTCCCTCTCCTTTGCAGGCCCAGTAGTTCAGTTCCTCAACATCAACGAGCTTGATATGATTGCAGGGAAGTGGCGCCCCTACGTGCCCTGGAACACCGGAGCAAGATGGCATTTGTTAGTGTTCAGATCTGTTTTAGCACTGAAGATGTTCCAAGCCCCTTAAAATCTCTGAGTGGCCAAAGTGGGGAATTATGGATGGAAAGTAACACATCTTTAAAGGGGCATTTGTTACTGCAAGTGTTGGTAATAAAACAAAGTGCTGGAGAAAGCAAAGGCCAATCTCTGCCTGGGCATTTGTTTTACATCCGATTCTTAATAAGCAGGACAGGCACACCTGGCCCAGCACCAACGTGCACAGGGTCCTGGGTAGGGTAGGATGGGGGGCATCAAACACAGGGTCAAGATTTTTGAAAATGGTGGCCACATTAAATCATTTTCCCCATTGTCAGATCACACGTCTTGGTTTGGGGATCATAAAATATAGCAATCATTGCTTTTCCTCTAGCCACCAGACTGTTGATTACTATGCTGGAAATCTAGAAATCATAAGCTGTGGATTCTGATTCACTGGGTTTGGAATGGGGCCTGAGATTCGACATTTCTTACAGGCACCAAGGCGATGCTGCTGCTGGTCCCACACCACATGTTGAATAACAAAGGAATGGAAAGCTGGGATGAAGAAACTTGCCCCATGAAAATAAGACTCCAAATTCTCTTGGTCAAATTTACCACAAAATTACATCTAAGTCATTTTTCTAGTGATTGTGGTTGTTAGATAATTCACTGGCAAGTTGGAGGAGTTTTAAGCAGATGCTAGCCAAGGTCCTGAAAGAAAATTGAGCCGCGTATATGAAAAATGAGGCTTACCACCTTGGTTTCTCTTTTAAAAGAGAGGCTGTCAAATTTTTGGCAATACTATTCAAAGATATCAATCCTTATACACAAAAGCCTTTTCAAGTTTTATGCTAAGAGTGAACTGAAAAAGGGAAAAACCTCAGCAGTGTTTACATAGGAAAATGTAAAGGATGACTTGAGAGGGAAGAGATACATGTCCAAAAGGAAGGGATACATGAGGGTAGATACTGGAAGAATCTGCTCTACATCTGATGGGTAATCCATGGGCTGCCTACTACAGACCTGTTTCCCCTTTTGCTGAAAACCACTCAGCAAAAGAATCCTTCAGGATACTGACTTCCTTTCCAAGCCTGGGGCCACTCTTTGTACTTAAGTTTGCTCAGCTACAAACTGGAAAATTTTAGGATGATGTGCATGTGAAAGAAATATGCTGTTTAATGCAATATTATTTTCAGAGTACCTTGAGATAGTCAGCAGAAACAGGATAGGTGGATTTTAAACTGAAATCATATTTGGCCAAGCTAAGTATAGAAGCATTTTTTCCTTAGTCCTGTCTTTTAAAATTATAGTTGAATAAAACCTATTTTGTAAATAAGTTATTTAATCAATTTGCTGCTGGCAGATCTCCCACAGGAACCACCTTTGGAGATTATTGTGTTTTTTTTTTGTCACAGGTTTTAGTATTTTCCTATTTCTTTTATAGCTAAATAGAAGTTATGCACAAAAGAAGTAATAGATCACAAGATACAACTCCAGATGGAAAAATGTTTATAATATCAGTATATTGGATTTTTATAGATTCTAGATACTACATGGCCTTGCTTATAGTATTTTAGAATGAAGGAAGCAGGCTATGAATTGGACCTGACGTGTAAAGGAGAGGCAGGTTCATAGGGGCCAGGGTACTGTTTCTTAAAGGGCCATTTTAGAGGCCCTTTGAGAACTACGTTCTCCTGTGATATCAATGTCTCAAAGGCAGCGGCAACCTCAAAAAGGAACAGCTCTCATCCACACCCTCATTCTGAGGAGATTCATCCTTCAGGGCCAAGGGAAAGCAGGGCTGTAGTGGGTAGCCCATGGATTACTCACCAAATTTAGACCAGATTCTTCCAGTGTGTTAAGGATGAATAAAAAAGGGAAAAACCTCAACAGTGTTTACAGATTCACAATGCCACAACCCAGACATAACCACCATTAATGTTTTTTTCTGTCTCTTTTGCTTTATTCCTAAGTACCCATGCAAATTTACTTTCCATGAGGGAGTTTTAGAGCTGGCTGCTTTTACTCCACAGTGCCTCGCGAGCCAGTCCTATATCTCTAGCCCATCCTACCTGAGGTCCAGTCGCCAGGAGTGGTGAAGGTACATCCAGCTGTGCACTCAGTTTGGCCATAACCTTCATAAACCTTCAAACAAAACACAGAAGCCACACTATGGGCACACACCCTCCAAGAGCTAACTGGCCACCCCTTCCAGACAGCTAACCTCCCACTGAGCGTGTCTGACTGCTTCATGATCAGGGCGATGGAGGGAGGGAGGTGCTCTGGAGGTAGATAACTCCAGGTGAAACTGAACACAGACAACAAGCATGGCCACATTTGCTTGGAAGAAGTGCTATTTTTTTTTTTTTTTTGAGACGGAGTCTCACTCTGTCGCCCAGGCTGGAGTGCAATGGCGTGATCTCCACTCACTGCAAGCTCCACCTCCTGGGTTCACGCCATTCTCCCGCCTCAGCCTCCCGAGTAGCTGGGACTACAGACATGTGCCACCACACGTGGCTAATTTTTTGTATTATTAGTAGAGACGGGGTTTCATCGTGTTAGCCAGGATGGTCTTGATCTCCTGACCTCGTGATCCACCCACCTCGGCCTCCCAAAGTGCTGGGATTATAGGCGTGAGAAGTGCTATTTTTATCACAGACACTTAGTAGATAAGGTTATATAGTTTAGGGTAAAGATTTCTGACCTATTTTCAACCACTGAATCTACTTTTCATCTGGATAATAATGAATTAAAGATAAACATTTTAAAATCTACTCTGTGTTTTATTTTGGCTCCATAAGCTATTCCCCTCCAGAGCCCCACCTGTTTGCATGAATACACCATGCAGGAGTGTCTGCCTTTAGAAGTGGTTAGGCCATGCTGATGTGGAATAGGAGTACAGTGAATAAAGATCAAGGCTTCTAAAGCAGAAAAATTTAAGCACGCACAATTATGAAAAAGATGGGTCTACTTTACTTCAAATCCATCAGCCACAACCACGTTATGATACCCTTCATATGCAGAAACTTAATAAATATGAGCTGAATGGAAAATGAAGAAATAAACTTTTAGAGATGACAAAACATAATAGATCAAATAACACATAAATGGGCTTTCTCCCTTGTTCTCCTTTTCTGGGTTGCAAGATATTTTGCAGGCTGAAGAAGGTAGAGATGCAGTACAGGTATGGTACAGATTCTACCGCACATTGATGATCTGTCTATGGTTTGTCTGATCCCTTTGCCCTTTGTGAAAAACTTCCAAAGGTCCAGATAAAAGAATTTCCCAGAGTGGATAAACCTGGGCTTTCCAGAATGTGGCAATGCCATCCTGGCTTTCACTGGCTCTGAGTTTTTTCCTCCTCAGAGGAGGGAGCTTTTGTCTCACAAAAATCTTGTCCCCCGGTTCTTTCTCTGAGCAGTAGAGGGTATAGTAGTTTTCCTGCCCTAACGAACTTCCTGCTGTTTCCAAGGGAGGACACACAATGACAATACCTGGCACCCTAGAGCTGCCCGGAGAAATCCCAGAACTGTTGGTGATGCTGGGGCTGCTCCAGTAACAATCATCCGCACACACCCACCAAGACTGGCCTGTGGGAAGAAAGAAGAGCTGCCAAATTTTGTGATGTCTGAGATGGTGTCCAGTCCATCTGGGTTTCATCCAAGGTCAACATCCAACAACTGGGTCCTACCTGGATGCTAGGGCTGGGATCAGAAAGAAGGCCTGAGGTTGTACAACACACGAGCTGAGGAAACTCCTTCCCCTTCCTAATGATAAACACAATCAGCTCTGCAGCTCAATCCACCATATGACCAATTCTTTTATGCCTTTTGAGATAAGTACCATCAGTCTGGGTGGCATTCTATAATATTGGTTCTTCTCCCTTCCTTAAAATACACAGCTGTTCCGTCACTCTCCCATCATTGACAAGAATCCAAAACAATTACTTAGGACAATTTCTTCCAATTTCCATTTTAATGGCATTGCCTTTTTTCATGTATAAATCAATACCATGCTTTATTTACTATGTACTGCTGAGGACGAAGAATACTTGAAACACTTTGTTTATGTAAGTTGAGCCAAGATATTTTAAATATTAATTTTCATAACTAAAAATAGAGTAGCAAGAAAAAAATGAATAATGCTACTAATTGACTACAGATTCCTTGGATAATGCAGAGTTTAAAAACTTTTGAGGAGGTACAGAAATGAGTAATTCAAGATTGGCCTGGTGTGGGAGATACTAAAGGGACAGAACACAGAAAAGAAAAAGAAGATTTTGAACCATTTGGCTAGACCCATGCTGCTGGAAAGCCACCATGGCCAGGATTACAGGGAGGGGCAAGAGAACTTCAGGGCCCAGGAGCTTCTCAGTGGAGCACTGACCTGACTACCCAAGGTCAAAGCCACACTGTTGCCTGTGGAGATCAAGGGACCTACTATCCATAGTAGGTTTTCTTCTTGCTCATCTCAAATGTAACGTATCTCCAAAAATCAAAAATGTCTAAGTTTAAAATTTCAATCATAGCTTAAGCTTTGATTTCATGAGCAAATGAGTTACTATTTCACATGATTACAGGGCACTGGGATGAACTTCTCCAGTTCTCCTGCAAGGTCACCCGTTGGATACTTAGGTGTCACTCTATAATCACTTGTTCATTTTCTTACCTGAATCTTATTAAAGAAGAGTTCATCCCAGATACTATCATTCCTGATGATTCCACTCCGGACCTCGGCTTGCTTACGCTTTGCTGCAAACTCCAGGAGCCAGCGCTTTAATGGTGTGTTTGCCTGGCTGAAGATCTGAGGAACATAAGTTGGAAGCAGCTGTCAGAGCCTGAATGTCTCATTTCTAGATATATCCCCCAGGAATAAGGCCCAGACTGGCCAGCAGAGAAGCCATGTTCCATTTTGCCCCTGCAGGAGGTCACTGAATGTGTGACATTGAGCTGAAGGTTAACACTGCCAGGGTCCAGGCATGCTGTGAAGATGGAAGTTCCTGAAAAAAAATCTCTCCCGCAGGGGTATTTGGAGAATAGGAAGAAAACAGGAGAAGGAAGAATGAGAAAGAGTCAGGAACTACAAGAGAGGAGGCAAGTTCCAGGACTTGGCAGTGGAGGCACTGAAAGCCTGCCTGGGGCTCCAGACCCTGTCCAAACAAGCAAATATGCAGCCCCTCAGCCTGGCTGAAGACTCCCTGCAGAACTTACCTTGTCGTACATCCGGTTCAGCAGTCGTGGGACCACAGGGAAGATGGTGGGGCATAGAGCCTTCATGTCATCTGAGAGAAGGCGGATATCTCCCTGGAAGAAGCCAACACGCCCTCCGTGGCAATAGACGACAGACTAGAAAGACAGGACAGGAAGGGAGGAGTCCCTTAGGGTGGTCACTACTGGCGATAGTCCAAAGCTGTCCAAAGTGCTGCCCTACATGGAGGGCACCCATGACCCCCTGACCCAGCTCTGGCTGCTGCCATGAGACACTGATGAATGCCATCTGAGGTGACCCCCACCCCCTCACCTTCCAACCAAGTCCCACTCAGGCACAGGGAGATGAAGCAGAAGATGGAGTGGAATCCTGAGCCTCTGGGAGATGCCAAAGCAGCCATTCTCACTGGCGTGTGCCCCCCTCACCTACTCCCAAACCCTGGACATGGGCCTCCCTGGGGACTCAGGCCTTTGAGATGTACTACAGCCTACTAATGGGTCTGCTCCAGGTCTTAGAGTTGTTGGATTTCCCCAGGGAATTCTGGGAAGGTGAAGGTGTGTAAGCCCCATGAGTACTGGAGATGCTGCTGAAGTTGGCTGTGGGTGCTGTTTAGTGCGAGGCCAAGGGGGAGCCCCTGGCTGGTTCCTAATGGGACTAGGAGTACACCAGGGGCCTTATATATGCTCCTTTCTTTAATGCTCATAGCAACCCTATAAGGGAAGTGGCATTTCTACAGGTAAGGAACACAAAGCTCAGAGAGGTTACATGACTTGCCCAGGGTCACAAAACTAATTTACAGTAATTGCTGGCATTGAATCCAGGTCTGGAAAGCTGGAAAGCATGCTCTCCAGATGCCACGGCCTTACCTGCACTATTACATAAGACCTCCCCCAAGGCAAAATGGGAAAGGCCTAGAAGACACAGTTTTTTCATATGCTGGTCCCTTGAGTGACACATATATGGAGAATTCCTTGTCTCCATAATCACATATGGATTCCTCCTCCCACTCCCTCTGTACTTCCACAAGGCCTGTCTCAGGGCCAGCCTCAGGCCAGTCCCCATCTGCAGCCTGAAGAGCCATGCCAGTTTCATTCCCCAACTTTACTCTTTTGTTTTCTCTTTTAGGAGTTTGTGAATTATAAAAGTTATGGAACATAAGTGTTTTGGTCATAAACGGAGCTGTACTGCACAGAGCTTGAATGGTAAAGCACTTCTGCAAAGCTGCAATACTCTCTGAGAAGATGCTATCAGCTGGGGTCTCTCTCAGCTGAGTGTGTCCATGGGTAAGACAGGGCAGGCCTGGGGGCTTCCCTGGAACAATGCTCCCAGGAGGGACAAGTGGGGTGGCTAAAGTCCTCTGAGCCCTCTGACCCCTATGGTACCTTCTGAGGACAGGGCAGTTTGGTCCTACTTCATGCCACCAGTGACAAGTGACACCCGCTAGGGTTATGGGTTCTAGGCACAGAGTGTGCCTCCCTGATGCCAGGGCCTTACCTGCACCATTCGCTCAAACATGTGTGCTAAAGGCAAATAGGAAATGTGCACATCCGCACAAGTGGGAGCCCACTGACTCTGTAAGAAAAAAGAAGGAGCCCAGGCAAGGCCCGGTCAGTCAGGTGGGTGTCTTACCTGGATTACTCTCTCAAACATGTGAGCCAGAGGCAGGAAGGAGATGAGCACATCGTCCTGTCTCGGAAAGATCACTTTCTGCAGGCGACGGGCATGGGAGACAGAAAGGAAAGAAACACTGACAGGAAGACGACAAGAGAATCATAAAACAATAAAGAGAAAATGGTCCTGGAGGGTAAACAGGAAGAGGGGGAGGGGAATGGGAGTGGTGAGGACAGAGAGAGAGGTGAGATGAAAGAGAGAAGAAATGAGAGAGAGAGGGAGAGAGAGAGGGAGGGGGAAGGTGCAGAAAGAAGAGAGAGACAGGGCAGCATAGGAAGCGGAGTGTTAGGTCGCAGCGTCAGTGGGTCTAGGTTATCTGCAGAAGCAAAGAGCCAAATGAAGCACACAGAAACCAGCAGAGTGGGCTCCGCAGGGAAGTCTCCTCTCTGAGGGCCTGCCCCTCACTTGCAGTCAGTCGGCTCTAGCCCGGCTCTCTCCCCTTCCTCCCCACACCTGCAGGACCTGCCCCACACCCCATTTCTCCAGGATCCCTGGGCTACCCGGGCAGGGATTCAGAAGGTCTTGGCTAGTCAGCACTTTCTAGTCCTTGCAGAGAAAGGGGCCCAGAGACTCCTAAGTCTATGCAACTGTGGCTGGGGTATGAGCCCCAGCCAGAGGAGGAGACAAGGCCAAACCCCAAACACTGGCTGAGCCTGGCCTCACAAGCCATCCCTGGAACCAGGGCCTTAAAGAGGAATGCTGACAGGGAGCCCTGCTGTGCCCCGCCAGCAAAGGGAGGGCCCAGGACACATCTCACAGATGGGACTGACCCTAGGGACAGGGGCTACTCCAGCCAGGGGAGCCCTGCACAAGGCTTGGGATCTGGGTGGGCTGTGCCTCCACGTGCTCTCCTCTGCTGGACTTCCCTGCTCTCCACCCCTTTGCAGAGGCCTTCACTCTCCTGTGCTGGCTTTTGGGCCAGCTTGGGCAAACCTTGGCTCCTGACCTGGGCTCAGCCACCAACTGTCTCTCACAGTTTTCTGCTAAAATAAACTGTCTCTCACAGTTTTCTACTAAGTGTTTGGGGCACACACTTCATAATGTCATCTACCATGAATGTGGAGTGTGACTTTCTCCACAGTGAAGAAAAAGCCAAACTTTTTTGAAAAGATACACTCCTTTATGCTGAAGGAAACTGCAGGACATACTCACCACTTGTGGGAAAAGTCCTCCTTTGTTAGCCAGTTATAAAATGCTAACATGCTTTGGTCAGGCCAAGACATCAAAGCTTTTTTGATTTTAGATTTACCTTTAAGTACAGCCTTATAAATTAGCAGTTGCCGTTGTTTCTCAGACTCTAGTAGTCCTTAAACACAAAATGACTGAATTAAACCCTGACCTTTGAAAAACAAGTTATTAAGGATTACTTTCTAAATAAAGGTACACACAAAACCATGGGTATATCAATTTTTGAAGTTATTTGAAGTTAGAAAGGAAAAATAGGTTTGCATGCTTTTCTTTCTGGGATCTTAGTACTCCCAGAAATCAACTGAATATTTGTCACGTATGGGTCATTTCAGTATTTGGAGTGAAAAGTGATGGTAAAAGTGGGGTTGCTCTAATGAGAACAGAAACTCCTGCCTGTGAATGGCAGCCCAGGTTATATCAAGAAAAAAAAAAAAAGAAAAAGAAAACAAACAAATAAAAAAAAATCCTCTGAGGCTTGAGGTTGTCCTCAAGAGACACCTGCAACAGTAATGCTACTTTATTCACCTCTGTCACTTTCAGAAAGCCTGAGAAATCAGCCACCACGTTCCCATGGGTGAGCATCGCACCTTTTGGGTTCCCTATAAAAAGAAAGCAAGAAGTCAAATTAGTTGGAAACTCAAGGGCCACTTCTTGAGAGCAGTGCCCAAGTTGGCAGTCCCAGACACCCATGCTGTCTACCCAAGCCTCTGGCCTTTGTCTTCAGCCACCTTTAGACTTACAGGCAGATGAATGCTGCTTCAGGGACCGCTATCCTATAGACATAGCCTACCATTAGGCTCCCACCAGCATGGGACCAGGAGGCAGGTGATATGGCTGCACAGGAGGGGTGCCTCAAGGCCTGAAGGGTCAACTGCTTGTGGTCTGTGCCTTATCCTCTCCCGTCTTCCTTCAGGAGCAGAGGCTGTCAGCCCCGAGTCCCCTTACATATAGCAAGGGCTCTGTACTACTCCCTGGGCCTGAGTGGGCCTGGTCTCCTGAGTCCAGCAGCCAACTCTGATGGCAAAGGACTTCTCTGCTGCATTTGGCACCTGGAAAGGCCCCAGGCTCAGGCCAGGCTGGAGATCCAAGAGGGCTGGGCAGCCCTTCCTGCCTGCTCCTTGGCAGAAATGGGACACAAATATTCTTGCTTTGTTTTGATATGACCTTTCACTACTGCTCGTGAGGCCTAGTTCTCTGGGCCCTTGAGGAAGTCAGGGGCTGCTAGGATGACTCAGAGGGTAGAGATGGCTAGGGATCCCAGGCACAGCAGGCTGGGAAGGGAGGACAACTTGGCCACCATTTCCTGTCAGGGTAGATACAATCCCAAAGTTCCTGCCGGACAGATCTGACAGGGCTCAAATCCTAGCCTTGCCACTCACTGCCAGCATAACACTGGCAAGCCATTGTTCCTCTCTGTTTCCTTACCTGTAAGATGGGGAGAGTAATGCCCACCTCACAGGCTTCTATAAGATCTAAAGATATAATCTAAGTATGAAAGATGTTAAATTAGGTTCCACTGAGGCAGCCAGAGATGTTAAATCAGACGTTTCCACTGAGGCAGCAGATACAATAGCTGCAAAACATCAAATAAGCCAACATGTTAACTTTGCAACCCTCACCCTGAATGAGGCAATAAAAGGGCTGAGAGAGACTAAGAGAGTGTTGTACTCGATGCCCCTGAATTGCTCACTTTAAAATGGAGTTGATTTTATGCTATGTGAAATTTGCCTCAATGAGGGGGTGGGGAGAGAAAGAGAGAGAGAGAGAGAGAACTTTTTTTCATCTTTGGAGACAGCTACACTGAGTCATAGCCCATCAAAAGGGGAGGAATGAAGGGTCCTCTCTCCTAATCTCAACCTAACACCCGAGCTAACTCAGCCCCTAATGGGATCACTTGAAGTGCCTGATTGTGCTCCCTGCAGCTGGGAGACCCAATGAGAAAGATGAAGAAGACTGTGGTTGTAAAACGAAAAGAAACCAAATTAATCCCAGGGAATCTGGATATGGAGTCTACAGAAGGAACATCAGTCTTAGAGAGCAGTGGTGGGAATGGTGGGGTGCAAGAAATCTTATCCACGAGACCAGTTTGCCAGGGCAAAATGACAATCGCCCATGAGGGGAGACAATCAAGAGTACACCAAAGACAGAAGCTGAAGTGGAGCAGGCAGCAGGCAACCCAAGGAAGGACACCACCTAAATCAAGAGTGCTCATGAAGGCAGCCATGAAGCAGAGGGAGTTTTAGACGTTTGCCCAAAACCATCTTTCAACTTTCATAGTCTACTTATTTATTCTCCTACCCCACTTCAAACCTGGTAGGAGAGGGCAGAAACCTCTGTTAGCAAGCTGGGGGAGAAGGAAAAACATCAGAGAGGAACAGAGGAGAGAAGGACCGTGCCCTCCTTACCAAGCCTGCAGCCAGCCCTCGCTCGGGAAAGGAAGGAGTCTCAGTGAAGTGTACTGATTCCTATTTTGGACTGACACTTGTAATTCTGAATTAAGACTGTGTTTGTGACTTGCAATGTCCATAGGACTTTTTATTAACTGAGAGTGACCAGAAAAGGCACAAGATGCCTGAGTTTTTGCCCAGGAGCAGAAAAAGAACTACCCCCGCGGCACAAATTTAAAGGCACGAATGGAGATAAAAATAAAGTTGCTCTCATAATTATATCCCAGGAGGCCTACTTGTTCAACTTACTGGTGACCCATTTGTCAGAGATAAGAGCATCAGGCATGGCCCAATCTTTGAATTCAAGAGACAAGACACATCTGTTTGACTGAAACGTATGGTGGATGGGATTTTAACCTGCACTCTGGCACTTCCACCCATATTGCAAATCACAGAGGTGATTCTGGGGACACAGAAGATTATGACATGATTTAAAAAGTTACATTTCTCTAATAAATAGCTGTCAAAATATCTTCCTTTTGAAAAGAAAAAGTGCCATGGGGTCTAATTTTATCTCTGCCTATCCTTCTTTCTTCCTAACATCCTTCCTCAAACCCAGGCTCAGATTAAGAAATATCCAAGTTGTCTCATATACAAATCCCACAGAGTACCTGGGCCCACAGAGTACCTGGGCCCACAGAGTATTCCAAGTGTCACCTAGCAATTTCTTCCCACTGACTCTTAGGATCTGGAAGTTTCTAAGGAATATCTCCCAAACACTAGGTATGAAATCAGAAGTGTCATGAAATAAGAGTCCTGTGTTACAGAGCTTTGGATTTGCAAAGTTGGCTGACTTGTTCATGCTTGAGAGAACTCAGGGTGAATGGTGTAAGAATCTCAAGGGAAAACTGTCTTCATTGATAAAAAAAAATTCTAAAGCCGCCATTCAGTTCAAGCCAAAACACGTACAACAGCAGTAGTTATTCAATTCCACTTGGTTAGATAAGTCCTTTTCTTCTCCAGCATGATGAGAAAAGTTCATGTCCTTTAGTTTTCTTGTGGATATGAATGCCATTTTATACATGTCTAATGGCATATGGAATTTTAAAACATTCCCAGACATGCCCAAATTATTTCTTTAAGTTGTCTCTACATGTGGTCCCAAAGGGTGAAGAAGAAGTGAATGTTGGCAACAAATTGTGGGGGAAGACTGAAAGGTTGCAGAATCAAATTGCAGAATTTTCCCTGGTTTTCTCCTTTTCTGGTGCAATGTCAGTAAGAGATGCTGGCTACCCAGGCCGCCAATGTCTCAGCGGTATGAGACCCACTGTCTATTTCCCATCATCCACTCATAAGCTGACCATTCTTGTATTTAATTTTCTCTCTAGCCACTGAAGAAAAACTCTCCAAGTGTTAGATTCTGCCAATGACATTTTGGCTTTGGTCAGTGTTCCTGGGCAGGCCTCCCATGGCTATTATGTAGAAAGGCATTTTGCTGGGTGACGATCTGCCCTGATTGGATGTTGGCTCCAGGTGACAGCAGCTGCGGATGGACTTGAGCTCAAGGTTTCTCCTGCAGGGGTGGAAGTGGGTTTGGGGACAGTTCTGGGCCACCCAGCTGGGGGATTCTGGCTGCTTGTTTCTGCTTTTAAATACTCAAAGGTGGGTTATAATAGTTACCGGTGACTGACATTCTCTGGAAGTTTCATAATGCAGCTAGAGTGTTCGTCTTCCTGCTAAAGGCTCTCAAATCTTTAGGTCTGAGTCTTACTTTTATCAATCCCATATCCACCAATTTTTAAAAAATCAGACTTGAGGGCTAGTAAGAATAGAAATAATAACTATAATAGTAGCCAAGTACTCAACACCCACTAATGTTGGCACTGTGCTGGGCACTTCATACATGGTAACTCAGCACTCCTGCTACATTCATTCAGGTCTTGAACCAAATAGCACAAAACGAATAGGTCATGGTGAACATTTTCCCCAGAAAGCCCACCTCTGAGTAGCCACAGTTCTGGGGATGATGGGCACTTACATGCTCAGCTAAATGACTGTATATGCCTGGGCTTTCATGGGCATCCTCAGTTAGAACAGAAGGGACGCCCCAATTTGAATGGTCTCCACCCCCTCAGCCTCCCAGCCCCACAGCCAGTGCTTAGAATTGATCTCTCATGTTTTGAGACACTTTCATATGACTCCAGACCTGTGGCCCTTCCCCTCCTATCTTCTTTCTCATCCCTGCCTCCCTCCCATGCTGACTCCTGTGTCCCTCCCTTCAGTCACTCTCCTGTCAAGTGCCTCACCTCTTGGGCCTCCCCAAGGATCCCATTCTGAAAACCCCACCAAGCCAATCCAGTTGCCAACCTTCCTGCTCCCTCCACAGCGCAGCCCCCGAGGCTCACAGTCTCTGTCCCAGAGGGGCTCTCTTCCCAGAAACTGTCAACACATGCCCCCTTTAGACTCCTCTCATCCTCAGCCAGGACTCTGACTCCCACTCCACAAAGGAGGCAGAAGCCGTCAGAGGACTCCCCGCATCTTCCTGGCCTCCCAGACTCTTCTCTTACCCCTTCCTTCCTAGCAGGGCCATCTCCTCCCTGGTACTTGGAGACCTCCTTTCTCCCCCACCCACACCAAAGCTTCGGGGGCTTTGGTGCTTGAGCATCCTCTTCCTTTCTTCTGTCTCCAGTGGCCCCTTCTCAGCTATAAGAAACACTTTCAGGATCTCCAGAAGAGCAACAAACCTCCCCCAAAGCCCTTGGCTCCACCAGCTGCTAATCTTGCTCCCTGCCATACCTTCATAGTCAACTATTAAAAAAAAAAAAAAAAAAAAAAACACAACTTTCTCCTCAAGTATAACACACACATGGAAAAGTGCCCAAATAAGTGTAAAGCTCAATGGAGTTTTCCAAAGTGAACTTGGCTGTACAACCAGCACCCAGATCAAGACATAGAACATCAACCAGCATCCCAGAGGCTCCCTTATCACCCTTCCAGGGTGCCATTATCCCAGAAGACACCCTCTACCCTGATTTGTAAAACCACAGGGTAATTAATCACGTTTTATAATTTTATATGAAAGAAATCATACAATCTTTTGTGCCTGGTTTCTTTTGCTCAACATTGTGGCATAATGTTCTACTGTAAGCAAATAAGCATTTGAATTATTTCCAGATTTTGACTATTACAAACAGTGTTGCTATGAACATGATGGAGCATGCCTTTTGATGGCATGGCCAAGCTTCGTGAAAGAAGTGCACACATGCTTGTACTGAATCAATATCTTTACTTCCCATTTGCTCCTCAGTCCACAGCACCAGCTCCTCCACCCCACGCCCCAGGACCAGCCTTTTTTTCTTTTTTTTTGTGATGGAGTCTCGCTCTGTTGCCCAGACTGGAGTGAAGTGGCACAATTTCGGCTCACTGCAACCTCTGCCTCCCAGGTTCAAGCGATTCTCCTGCCTCTGCTCCCAAGTAGCTAGGACTACAGGCATGCGCCACCACACTCAGCTAATTGTTTGTATTTTTAGTACAGACAGGGTTTCACCATGTTAGCCAGGATGGGCTCGATCTCCTGACCTTGTGATCTACCCACCTCGGCCTCCCAAAGTGCTGGGAAGACCAGTCTTTTTTTTTTTTTTTTTTTTTTTTTGAGACGGAGTCTCGCTCTGTCGCCCAGGCTGGAGTGCAGTGGCGGGATCTCGGCTCACTGCAAGCTCTGCCTCCCGGGTTCACGCCATTCTCCTGCCTCAGCCTCCCAAGTAGCTGGGACTACAGGCGCCCGCCACTACGCCCGGCTAATTTTTTGTATTTTTAGTAGAGACGGGGTTTCACCGTTTTAGCCGGGATGGTCTCGATCTCCTGACCTCGTGATCCGCCCGCCTCGGCCTCCCAAAGTGCTGGGATTACAGGCGTGAGCCACCGCGCCCGGGACCAGTCTTTGTCAAGAGCACCAGCAGGTCATTTCATGGTGACATCCTCCAGTTACAACTTAACCACAGACGACACTGACAAATCCTGTTCTCCTCTAGCCTCTCCAGCCCCTCCTGCCTGACCTCTATTGGGAACTCCTGTCCCATCATCTCCCTCATGCTCGTGCCCTCAAGCCCTGCCTCGGGCCCTCTCTTTTCCTCTCAAAACTCCCTCAAAGCAGCGTGTTCTGTGCTACCATCAGGCCTCCACATATGCTCTTTCTCCTGCAGGGAATGCCTTTCCCTGGCTTCTGCAGCTACAGATCTTTCAGGACTCTGCTTAGACTGACTTCCTCTGGGAATCCTTTCTGTCCTGCTGTACTGATCTCTCAGTGGCCGGGTAACCCATGCACCAGGGATGCAGACCTCAAGGCAGTGACCGCATCATATTGTAACTGCCTGATGACACAAGCTGGGAGCTCACGGGTGCAGACCTATGTCTTCTCCATCCCTATGCCCTCAGCACCTAATGCTAGGTCTGATGCATAGTGGGTACTCACAAAAATGAGCTGAATGAGTGAATATAGATGAATTAGAAAAAGAGTGCTAAAAACACATAGACTGAAAGTTATGTTTTTTAAAAGCACTGTATTTTCTTTGCTGGGAAGACAAGGCATATGAACTCACAAGGATAAAACATCCTAACTATCATTCAAGAGACCCAATTTCCCAAACTGGGCTATGTTACACCCACATATTATCTTTTTTTCAGAGGTGGGAATGGGTTCAGATTCCAGTCCAGCTAACTGTTATTTTGAAATGAACAGCAAACCACATGCCCACCCCTCAGCCATCACTGGGTACAGACAGACCACAAGCTCTCACCACCTCCCAGGCCTTCTTGGCCTGAATAGGGACTTCAAAGTACTGACTTATTCTAGGAATCTCCACAGATTTTTTCCACCACATGCTAAGAATGAAATCTTCCTGGAATGATTCCACCAGAATCATGGGCCAAATGTCAGGTTCAGATCATATTTTCCATCTTTCCCCATGAAAAGAACAATGTGGCCCTTGATGAGGCTGGGAGCCAGGACATTTAGCTTACATTTAAGGGAAGCTGTATCTGGGCTGTGACGCTGAGGACACACAAGGCTGATGTGCCCGACAAGAGGATGAGTACAAGAGGCACAGCATGGGCTTAGCCTAAAGCCAAGGAAATCCAAGTGCACAGCCAGATGGGGTGATATCAGGCCAGAGCCCTGCTCACTCCCCCAGCTCTGCCCAGGCAACAGCCATAGCTTTGGAGTGGGAGGTCTGGGATAGTAAATCACAGCCTATGTTTCAAGCCCTATACATTCTGCTTCCACCACACAGAGCTTGAGCAGGATGGCTCAGCTTCCTACAGTCTGGAAAAGCACTGGACATGATGTCTGCCCTCCCCAGCCAGGCAATAGCACATTTCTGCATCATGAAGTTTTTCTCCAGATCCAAGGGCAATGTCTGTGACCAAGTGACCTGTTAAAAGGCTGAAGGCACACTTTGAAGGCAGGTCCAAAGGTAAGGCCATAGCAGTGACCTGCTCCCCAAAACCATGTCACCAAAAATTCACATTGTAAAACTCAAGACAAAAAGACATTGGAAAGTGCTCTTTAAAAAGCAACATAAACCTGAAGGGCATTTTTGAATTCTGGGTTGGCTCTGGATGTCAGCTCCTGGAGAGGAAGGGCTGTGTTGTTATTTTTCTGACAAAGTTTAGTAGAATATGGTGGAAATCCTTGAACCCATGTGAGTTAATGGTAAAAATCTATCTATATTCAATAAAGCATGTTTATCATGATCCACTGACATGAATAATCCTGGTTGTAGGGCTGGTCACAGGTCTGTCAAATGCCTTAGAGGCTGCATCTGCAGAAGGCATGCAGAGCCCCAGTTCACTGCCCACTGAGAGCTGTCATCAAGATGGGCCAATCCTCAGTTTGGAAAAAGAAGGCTGGAGACTTCCTGCCCATTCAGGGCAAGACAAGTGACATCCACGTCATCAGATGAGATGGAAAGGCAGCACTGGGAAAGGCTCTGGCCTGGGAATTATGACAGCAGGGCACAGGCCCTGGTGCTTCTACTTGCTGATGGTGTCCCTTTGGAGCAAGCAGGCTTGGTGACAATCCTGCTCACCTCACAGGCTGTGCTGAGGCCCCAGTGGTGCAGAGAGAGGGTGGACAGCATGCTATAGAAATGCAGAGGGTTGTGCCTGTGCTGTGTGTGTCCTCTTGTGCTTTCTGCCTCCCCCAGGAAGCCTTCCTTGATTATTCCTGCCACTGTTGATGTGTGTGCTCCTCTGTCAGCTCCAAGCACAGAGGATATCATTTCTGCTTGTGTGCTTTGCCTGACAGCCTTGCTCATGGCACACCAGCCCCAGCCTGCAGAGCATCTGCATTGCCCTTTCACACACTGTCCCATCTCCCACTTGGCACCTTTAGCCACCCTCATGGCAGATGAGAAACTGGGGACACTGGTGGCAGAGAAGTTAAATGAGTGGCTCACAGTCCCCCAGCAAGCAGTGGAGGTAGGACTCAAACCAAGGCTCTCAGACGCCAAACCTCACACTCTTTCCCCAGTCTCCAACACAAAGGCCAGGCAGGGGCAGAAAGCAGGGGAGTGAGAGCTGTTTACCAGAGAGAAATGATGCCAGTGAGAAAGGACCTTCCCTCAGCACATGATCCAGCTGCCCATGACTCTGCTGACTCAGCTCTGGGAGGTGCCAAGCCCTCACACTGGACCTCCCAATGCACACTATCCATCTGCATCTGGCCACTCTTATGCAGGGCACTGGGAGGTGCAGGAGGTCACCCAGTGTCTGGAGCCAGGAACAAGACAAGGCTCAGCCCATTTCAAACAGGGTATCAAAGACTCCAGCAGTCACCTGCTAGGCCACCAGGGAAGGGTGCAGGTAGCCATGGCTGGGGATCTGCGTGCCTCTGCTTACCTGTCGTGCCGCTTGTGAAACACACAATGGAGAGGTCATCAGGCTGCGGGGGCTGCAGGGGTGAGAAGAGGAGTGTGTTAGGGAGACCCAGTGTGGCCAGCCAGGGCCCAAGATGCCTGGGCTCCCCAACCAGCCAGGCCCATATGTATGCTGTATGTGGGTGTGAGCATGTGTTGGGCACGCCTGCATGCTCCTGTGTGCTGCGCTCAGAAAGGTGGGCAGATGAGCGCTCAGGAAAAAGAAAAAGAAGCTGAGGAAACCTAACTGGGGTGTGAACACTAATCTGTCCCACCAACCTCACATCTGGTCCCACTGCCTCCCCTACTTGAGCCTGGGCTGAATTATCCTAGGTGGGATTGGGCTGCAGTGGCCACATCTCAGTCTCTATCAAAGCTCTGACCTTTCTAGTGGATGTGACCCAGTTCCCTCCCTCCTTCCCATGTTCTCCCAAGTATCTGAGGTTAAGCTTGGGAGCACGTGTGGCTTGGGCACTGAGCTGCCCACTGTGTCACCAAGGCTGCTCTGCATCAGCCCTTGCCCTGGCACTGGGCACATAGTCTGGGGTCACCAGAAGGAGCCCACCAAGTCTGCTTGCATGTAGAGGATGGCTTCCCAGAGGAGGTGACAGTTGAGTTGAGATGGAAGCGCAAGCAAGATTTCTCCCGATGAAGTGTGGGTGGGTGTTTTGGGGAGAGGAACCAGCCTGGGCACAGGCACAGAGGCAGAAGAGAGAAAGGGTGCTGAGGGATGGGAGAGTGGTTCTCTAAAACTGAGCCGTGATGTGTAGGAGATGGGCAAACACCAGGAGCTACCCATGCAGTGCCCTGGGAAGCCGGGGGTGACCTGCTCAGGCCTGTGTGAAGGGAGAGGGAAGGACTGAGCTGGAGGGAGGCCTGGAGGCCATATGCCTTTTAGAAAGTTGAAAATCCCCACATGGCCCATCCCGGGGGCAGCTGCCCTCACTGTGGCTCAACCCCAGGAAGTATCACATGGGGATGACGCACAGAACAGTTCACAAAGCAAAGATGAACAAAGACAGCAGATGCCACAAGGCCATTTGGCACAAGAGTCCATTTCTGGTTCTGCTGTTGCTTCTGTCTACTGCATCTTCTGGAGAGTTTGCCATATTCATAGTGAGAAAGTAAGACTTCCCAAAGAAGTTACTTGAAGAACCAAGGGTGGCCAGGATTGGCAGCTCTTTTTTCTCCCTCCCAAATACCTGACTCCTGTTCCAGGTCCTTCCCTGGGCCCTCGGCCCACAGAAGTCCTGGACACTCAAGTGGGCATTTCCTGGCTTGCACACAGGAGTTGCTTATTAACACAGAGGTGCTGTTCTGTGCACAGTGAGGGACTCTGTGAGGACAGGCCCTGCACGCCATCTCGCTCAATAAAGACCTGCAGGTGAATTCGCTTACCACAGGAGCCTGGTGATTCTCTTGGCCACAGTCCTGAAAGAAGAAAATGCTGTTTTTAAATGCTCAAAAGTTCTCTCTCTCTCTCTTTCTGTCCCTCTGTCTCTGTCTCTTTCTCTCACACACGCACATACACATACACACACACACATACCCACACACTCACACACACACACACACACCACACACAAAATCAGAATAAACAGCTCAGTAGGCCTTACTCCTGCACCAATCCCAGAGTTTAAGATTCCAAAGCAGCCACTGAGATGGTCATGGCAGACATGACCTCAGTGGCCTCTTCTCAGACAGACATCTAAGCCTGAGGCTCCTGGGAGACAGGGAGGGTGACTAGAGGTTCTAGGCCACCCCACACATTACAGACAGGGAGTCTGAGCCCCAGGGAGAGGCTAAGCAAAGTGCACATGCCACCTGTATGATGGCAATCCGAGTGTGAGCATGTTGGGTTTAAAGTGCTCTTGGCACGGCTGGGCACATGCTCAGGATGCAGCAGCTGGGTGGACTAGGCTTCTGGATGAGCAGTCAGTGCTAGTGGGGCAGGTGGGGGCTGCCAGTGTAGGTCAGCTGCCAGTGCCAGGGAGGGGTACAATGCATAGGCATTACCAGTAGAGTGGGGAGCACATAGGGAGGCAGGAGAAGGAGGGCCTGGGGCCTAGATCCAGTAGGGCATAGTGGGGGGTCAGCTGCTACTGGGCAGGGCCTGAGGCCTTGGAGGCCAGGATGTCCTGTGTCACCCCAGCAGACCACCAACTGCCACCAACCTGATGTCTCTGGGGAGGCCAGGCACAGAAACATCCATTCTGCTGGCCGCTGGGGGTCTGGATCACATTTGTAAGAACCTCTCCCAGACTCCTGGACCTATGTCTGTAGTCCTCAGACACAGACAGGCTGAGGCTAGCTGGAAATGAGGAAGCTCCAGAGGCTGTGTGAGTACCTCTGAGGTAAGCTGGCACCACGGTCCACCAGTCAGCACCTAGTGCCAGGCTGGATTAACTGATCCAGCCACGGAGCCTATCTCCTAGAGGATGCCTGTGGGCACCAACCCCACCACTCACCACCAGCCCTTGCAAAGCCTGCCCTGTCTGGACACTGATATACCCTGCGGGCCCAAAACAGCCACCCCAGGGCATGAGAGGGACAGATAACCAGAAGTTCTGACTTGGTGACCAGCCAGCAGTAGCCCAGCAAACCGCCCAGAAGCAGACCCTCACCTCCACGGCCTGCATGGACTTAATGACCACCCCGCACTTCTGCCCTCTCTCTTTCAGGGCTTCTTCGAATGGGTCCATGAGGATGATCAGCTTGAGGCCTGGAGTCTCCTTCCTCTCCACATGCTCTAGCAGAAGCACAGCCTTCTGAGGTTTGTCCACAATCACGGTGCTGATGTCCGCTGCAGGGGGCCATCAAGGAGAGTCAGGCCATGTGGGCCCAGGTCATGAGTGCAGGCAGCATGTGCCAGGCAGCACATGCCAGGCAGCACTTCCATGGTCTGTGTGCCCATAGCTTATGTGTAAATAAATACATAAGACAGGCCTCGTGTACAGAGGAATTTGCCGTGGGTCCTGGGCGGAACCAAGGGCAGAAGGCCATGGAACCTCCTCAAGCAGAGTCCAAGCTCCCCTTTGTTCCAGGCTCTGCCCCCATCATCCCAGGTCTGTTTGAGATATTTACCACCCCCTGCATCTGTGCCAAGCTGTCATGAACTTCAGAGGGCTGTACCCTGTGTGGAGGCTGTTGCAGAGGCTCCTTCTTGGCAGCTGAGCCCTGTGGAAGGAACCTTCGTGTGAAGTCTGACCAGGGACAGCTTGACTCAGGAAGCCAACTCAGGAGCCACAGTGTAAGCCCCTAGTATTTTCTGAGAGCAAAGTGCCTCTTACGAGTGTCAGACAATCAGCATAACCTGAGAAGCTGGAGGCTGGAGGCTGGGGACCAGTTGCCAGTGGCAGGGTGGGGTGGCAGTGGGCTTACCTGTATTGATGATGTAGCGGATAGCCCCAGGGCCCAGGGTGTCATAGAGCGGGACCACCACCATGGAATATGTGTAGCAGGCCAGCTCCACAATGATCCACTGTGGAGACACATGAGGCGGGGGTGGGGAAGAAGGGGAGATTAGAGGGCTGTCCTGCCCTTAGGCCTAGGTAACCAGCGTCCCTGCTCTAAGCCCTATGCCTGTGGCAAGGAATCCATGAGGTTAATGGGTTGTGTCTGCTCACCCACAGCCTTCTGGACCAGGCCTGTACCAGAGAATTCTGTAACTCCTGGATTTCATGTCTAAACTGCCCCAAGGACAGTTCCATGGCCTGCATGAGCCTGTTCCTCAGGTCTTTCCTCCCCATTGGCTCAAGGGGCAGCTGTTTGTAGAGCTGGGTGGGGTGTGGATGGAGCATGGCTGGGGTGGCCAGTGCTGATGAGGGGCAGAGCCAGGGTGGGAAGAGGAGTGGTGGCATAGCCCAAGGGTCTCTGTTTTTTCTTTTGTCCTGGGCCCTACAAACAGTGAAAGCAGGACTATTCCATGGCAGCCAACCCCTACCCCACGAATCCCTCTAAAACCAGTCAAGGTAGATGCTCACCTCTGGCCGATTTTGTGCAAAAACACCAATAAACTGATCAGTGCATGCTTTACAATTGTGCTGGAGAAGTCCGGACCCCAGAAATTCAGCCCTGTCGGCCACCTGCACACAGATGTGGGGAAGTGATGGGAAAACAAGGACTCTTCAACAGGGGAAGGAGATCCCCAGGAGGAATTCTTTTTTTTTTTTTTTTTTTTTTTTTTTTTTGAGATGGAGTCTCGATCTATCACCCAGGCTGGAGTGCAATGGCACAATCTCTGCTCACTGCAACCTCTGCCTCCCAGGTTCAAGCAATTCTCCTGTCAGCCTCCCGAGTAGCTGGGATTACAGGTGCATGCCACCACACCTGGCTAATTTTTTGTATTTTAGTAGAGACGGAGTTTCACTGCGTTGCCCAGGCTGGTCTCAAACTCCTGTGCTCAGGCAATCCACCCGCCTTGGCCTCCCAAAGTGCTGGGATTACAGGCATGAGCCACCACGCCCAGCCGGGATTCTTATAGATCTGAGGGACCTCCCTGACTTCCAACCCGGGTATGCTGGAAGCCCTTCAAGGCTGTTGCCAGGAGTTTGGCAGACAGGCCAGGGAAATAAATGACCCTCTGAGACCCAGCAGGTGCCCACATCCCTCCCTACCTGCCCTGAGTGCCAGATCTGAATGGGTGGCCAGGGTGGGGCCTGTCCTGTATCACTCACCTCCTGGTAGGACAGCCACTGGTAAGGCTGCTTAGGCTTCCTGAAACCAAGACAGGGCCCATTCCCTGTAGAGAGATAAGAAAGCCTTGTGTCAGAGAGGGGTCAGAGTGGGTGTGCCACCTGCATCCGCCCATCAGAAACCTGGATGGACATCCCATACTGTAGTGTGTCCATGGGCCAAGTGAACTGCCCTCCTGCACTGCCAGCTACCTGTCTAATCTGCTGAAGCCCAAGAGGGCCTAAAGCACATAAGTATGGCATCATCCCAGGGATCAGGGAGGTCTGGAAATGGGGAATGATGCAGTGCCTAGTCCCCATCATAATTTGTGTGGTGATCCCTATTACAGACCCAAAGGATACAGACACCTGGGGACCACTGGGAGGAGGTGGTAGGCTGCCTCTCTTTGCCTCTTACCCTGAGAGCACCCAGACATCTCAGAGGTTCAGGTTCAGAACCATGCCAGCCAGTGGCCTGGCAGTTCAAGGCTCCCCAAGAGTATAGAGTGTGGGCCAAGTGATGGCCTAAGGTCAAGCTGCCCCAAGGGCTGGAACAAAGCTGAGGTCAGCCCTTTAGCCATATAATGCAGCTGCTTCTCTGACTGGTGGGAGAAAGGCCAGGAGTAGCTTCTCTCCACTGAACCTGGGGATAGCTCACCTGCCATGGCCCTGGTATCATGCTTGCATACCCACCCTTGCACCCACTCCACCCCTGCCACACAGCCCCTCCACACCCCCCCCCACAACCCTTCTCACCTGAGATGCTAAGCCCACGGCGGAACACCTGGTACATGGTCCGGGCATCATCATAGTAGTGGGTAAGTAGCTGAGGGCCAGACCCAATCACAGATCGCCGTGCCCCGCCACTGTCCTACAAGCCAAGCACCGGCCAGAGAAGTTGGCTGAGGCAGGTAGGGGTGCCAGGAGAGGGCCGCAGCATGCACAAGGCTGTACCCAGCTCGGATGTACAACCCGTGCATGCAGTTAGCACCGTGGCATCTGTGTGCCCGCGTACACATGGACTACACACACCTGGACTGTATACACTCAACCTGCATGTAGCCACACTCCGACATAGTTGGCTCATGCATAAAGGCCGGGTATACCAGTGTCCCCACATACAAACTCCACACACACATACAGCATTCACACAGCAGGTCAGCATATGCAGAATGTCCAGAGTTTTCAGTTAATGTTCGTACACACCCATGTCTCATTCATACAACACAGTGGGGAGTATTGGCTGGATTCAGGAACAACCTGCCAAGGTATCTCCCATCCCATCATCTACTGCTATGCCCCTGAGTTAAGGATCAGTTGGGTGTGGTGTTAGCTAAGAAGGCTGCCACCCATCATTCACATAATGAAGTGAGTTAGAGGACTGTGCTGAAGGTTCTGTCCCAGGCACAGAAGCCTAGGAGGCTAGGGAGGGAGGACAGGCTGAATTATGTTCATGTGCAATGGGGGAGGAGAGGCAGGCAGCAAGTTCCTGGGCCCAAAGTGGCACGGGTGCAGAGTGGGAAGGTGGCAAACCCCTCTGTGCTGGTGAGTAGGGTGAGGAGCCAGCCTTCTCCTGCCTCCTCCCCTTCTACCCTGTCACCCTTCCCCAGGGTGCCCAAACCCAAACTCTCCAGTATCACAGCTCCACCTCTTCTTCAAGCACTATTTGAGCTACCCTGGGCTGGGCCAGAGCCTGCCACCTCTTGGAACAGCAGGTCTAAGGAAAAAAACATCTGTGAGAACCAGAAAGCAAACAGCCGAACTCAAAACCACAGGCAGCTCCCGACTGTTTTCGAGTGGAAAGTTCTGATTGGCCAGTGCTTTCAAGGACCAAGCCCACCTAAGACCTGCAAGAGAAGCTGGGACACATCCAATCAGACCCAGTTGCACTTGGGCAACAGATATGGTACAAGGAGAGACTGTATGCCAGGGACAGAAGAGGCTCAACACTGGGCATGTGTGTTATCGATCAGCTGCCAAGCTGGGCTTCGAAGGATGGATGGGGGTTGCCGGACAGAGTGAGGAGGAGGGAATAGCAACCCTGCATAGGCAGCACCACATGCAAATGCACCGGCAGGAGGCACAGGTGCATTTGGGGAACTGTAGGCGATTCATGGAGCTCCAGATCGCAATGGTTGGGGAGGAGGCCAGAGAGGCTGCAGATCAAGGCAGAATCTGGACTTGAGGTTGAGGGTAATGGGGAGCCAGGAAAGGGTTTTAGGCCAGGCGAGTGACAAGATCTGAATTATTTCCCACCACACAGCAGGCACAGTCAATGCTGCCAGGCCCTGTCTGATCTGGGCCCCTCTTGCCTCTCCCATCTCATTTCCTACCACTGTCTCCTTTGCCTACTCCGGTGCAGCCACTCTGGCTTTCTGGGCTCCTGGGGGATGAGGCAAGGGAGGATGCAGTCATTCCAGGAAGGGAGGCATTAGCTTCATCCCATGTCCTGTCTTCCAGACCCACAAGGTGACTCACTCAGTGGCCCCTACACACGAGCCAGGGTCATCCCTCTCACCATTCTGACACCATCCAGACCACTGTCACCTTCAACCCAGATGCCTGCAGCTGCTTTCTTACGCTTGCCCCTGTCACACCCACCTTTCTACGGCACAAACTGGCCATGTCTCTCCCTACTGAAAATCTCAAATAGCTCCACGCTGTTCCCTCTGCTGGTCCCTGCACAGTTCACAGGGCTCTGTCCTTGCTGACCTCTCCAGATGTGATATAGTCACAAGCTTAACCAAAAACAGCTGTCCTTAGTGACTTCTCTGGGTCATCACACCCAATCTTTACCACACCTTAGAAAGCAGGTGCTCTTTTTATTACACACTTTACAACTGAGAGCCCTGAGGCTCAGAGAGTTAAGAAACTGCCCAGGGCCATACACCTCAGAGGCACAGCCAGGCTTCAAACCCAGGACTGCCAGACACCAAAGGCCATTCTCAACAGCACTTGGCCAGCCCATCTCTGGCCCCTCTCCACTACCTAGCGTCCCACGCAAAGCCCCCATGTGCCTCAGCACACACCTGCACCTTTGCACATACCATTCTTCCGCTGGAAAAATGCCCTGAAGATCCCAGCCCCTACCTCAACCTGCACCCTCCCCTACAAGGCAAAACATGCTTATGATCGCCAAGGTGCACTGTCAAGAGCAAAAGGCAAGGTGCACAACAGGGTATGTGGTGGATATGAGTGAAAGCGTGGTGAGTATCTCTACACATCTGCTCACGGCCAGGACAGAGCATTAGCAGGTTGCATCAGGGGAAGAGAACTGGGAGAGCAAGGAAGAAGACACAAGCTTTTCAGTACATTCCATTTGTTTGTTCTGGACTATGTGGATACATTATCTATTCCAAATGAACAGAATTCAAGAGGAGAAAAAGCAAATTTTTAAAAGGCAAAAATAAATTCCATAAGCTTAATAATGAAACACACCTCACCAGTCCTTCCAGGCTTAGCCTAGAACACCCTTGTCCACTGGCCCTTGTATCGTCTTCCCCTTGGTGGCACCATGTGTGAGTCCATGTACTCAGGGAGAGCAGGGCCAGGAGTGGGCTGAATCCTGGGTCCCAGCACCAGACCAGGAGAGTTTGGGAGGGAATCTACCAGGAAGCTCCTCAAGAACCTGCTTAGGCTTCCTACTGCAATACCAATGAGCCAAGGCCCTCCTACCCGAGAAGCAGGCAAACTAGAGGCCCAGTGCAAGGCCCAGGTCAGGCTCTACCCAGAGGCAGTTCCTGGGAGAGGCAGAAGGAGTGCCTGGTAGGAGACCCTGCCCAAGGCTGCTGCAGAGCTAAGTGGCTGACTGCCAGGGGAGACACCTTCTCTGGGCCATGTGAGGTCAAATAAGCCACAAGTCTGGCTTCTACTTCCAAGATGCCTGTCCTCTGCCCCCTACTTTCCGCAGTGGAACGTCTCCTATCCTGCTCACCTCTACTTCTTCTGACTGCATCAGGAGGTTGCATGGCGGCTGCAAGGCCTTTGGCCGGTGAGTGAACCAGTAGGCAAGGATGGCAGCCAGGGCACCCATACTCACGAGGGTGGTGGCCGAGAGGCTGCGGAAAAACTGTCCCAAGTCACCTAGCTCAGGCAGTCGCAGTATCCTCAGGATCTCCTGTGTCTGCATCTTCTCCAGAAGTGAGAGGACAAACTCTGTTGAAAACAAGAGTCAGATAAGGCAAGAGACCTGACGGGCAGGTTAGGGAGGGGTCCTGGGTCACAGGACCTGATATCTGGTCTGAAACACTGTAGGGCAGGCCCTCGGGGAGTTGGGATGTACAGAGTGCACCCCAGAAGCTGGCTACCTAGAAGGGCTTTTCCCAGGAAGAGGCCAGAACCTTCTGCCGTCACACCTGACAGTCAGATGTCCTGCCCACTTTTCCTGAGAATCATACGCTCAGGCCCTGGGCCATGGCTGACAGCTGCTTCCATATTTTCCAGGGCCACTGCTCTGGCAGCTCTGGGAATGATGCTTCCTGGACCTCAAGGCCTGGGTGCTCTGTTCTCCTGTGTGACAGCTGTCATAGCATTTTACTTATCTTTGCTCCTGGGGTGTGGAGAAGAGGGAAGGGCAGCAGAAGTGCTCAGCACAGTGCCCAGGGGTGAAGGAATGCAGGCTCCTCCCTCTCTACCTCTAATCTCCCAACTCCAGGCCCTGACCCTGAGTGAGAGCGAAGTGGGGGCAGGGCAAAGACCGCAGATCAGCCCTGACAGATACTCCAGCCCTCATGATGTGAAGGTGAAGACCTATCTGACTGTATGAGCACTATGGCTCTGCACTGTCCCTCACCGACTACCAAGAGGACAACTGGCCCCACCATAACTGGGCCCTGTGCTATCCTCCCTGATCCCTTCAGCAAGTGTTCAGAGGCAAGGCAGGTGGCAGAGGAGAGCAGGTGTTAACCTGGTAGGAAGAGAAACCACGACTCAGAGAGAAATGGCTCAGCGGAGTGCTGTGTGCGCTCCCCGGGGGACCAACATCTCCTGCCATGTCACAGATGGCAGCCAGGGAGCCACCCTCACCCACTACAGCCCAAGTGGGTACAGTGGGCCCATCAGGGAGACATGGCAGATGCCCTGGGGTAGAGAGAGGGAAGGTCTCTGTGAGAAGCACTGGAGAATGGCTGAAAGAGAAGCAGGCCCCAGGGGCCTGCGGCATCCTCCTCTCGGCCACTAAGTGAGGCCGTGTTGGCACAGCAAATACACAGCCAGCTTGGCTCAAGGGTTCTGTACCTTGCTTGGAACTGAGGAAAGTATCAAGGGTGGGCCAGGTGATGGGTGCTGGCATCCCCAATGGGACCCCCTCATGTCACTGCCTAGTAGGACTTGAGGCTAGAGGCACCTACAGGTCTGCCAGCCCAGTGATGGCAGGGTGGGCTCAAGGCTGCCCTGTACCACCCCGAGGCACCCTCCTCACAGGCCCTAAGCCTTTGGAAGCATGGCTGTGCTTCCAAGAAGGGAAACAAGGAGAATGCAACAGTGGCTACTCTGCAGCCATGGGATATGAGCCAAAAAATTGCTTGACCCCTGAGAGAGGGGAGATCTGCTGAAATCCCAATAAATGGCATTTGTGTTAAACCATAACATCATGACACCGGAGATGAAGTCAGTGATGTGCAAAGTCATTGCAGAGACACACAAAAAGCCCTTCAGTTGTAATTCCTTCTCCTTCTCTTATGAGCAATGCAAGGTTGAGCCTATCCTTCTTCTCTGAACCTCCACTTCCCCATCTTTAAAATGAGGGCAGTACCATTTAGACATATAAAGCCCCTTGCACTGCATCTGGCATATTCAGAGGACTAAAGAGATGGTTAAAGTATATGCTTGTCAAACCAAGAGGACTGCTCAGCCCAGGACACATGAAAAGGGGTCAGGAGCAGGCCTGGTACAAGCACTGGGCAGAGGTGATTTGGCCTGCACACTGTGGCCCCACAGAAGGAGTTTATGCCCTGCAGATGGCACAGCAGGCTGAGTCCTGGGAACACTCATCAGCCACCCACAGGCTCTGGGTGAGCCTCTAGCCAAGTGTGGTATTTTCACTGAGCTCCTGAGCTGGAAATCCAGTTTTAACAGAAGCTTCCTTGAGCTGGGTCAGTTATGAGACCATCCTGGAGGAACAACCCACTCCTAGCATATCCATCCAATTCAGCTTCTGCATAATAAAGCAGAGGCCAAGTTATAGACCACAGTAGATTCACCAGGGAAAATCACTCTGGAGAAGACTCTGGGTAGGTGACTAGCTGGCCTTCTTGGGACATTTACTTCCTTAAGCTATAGATGGGAAGATGAAATCACAGCCAGGCCTATCAGATAAATGACTCACTACTTAGTAGAAAATCCAGACATGCTCACCAACTCGTAGGGTGGGTTCTGAGCTGATGGACATTTTTCTTGAAGGAGCTGAACTGACTTAATGATATGAGAAGCCAAGGACCAAGAAACTCATGCCTAGCACGAGGGCTCAGCTGTATACCCCAAAAGTTTTAAAGGGAACCCTGGAAGGATACCTCATTACCACCAGTCCCTGGTCCTTGGCAGATGCTCACAGACTCTGAGCTTTGCATATTGTGGCATTCGGTGCAATGCTAGAGTTTTTACAGAGCACAGCCCAGATTAGCCAAGTCATCCATCTGTCTTTCAACGCATCTGGCAGACCCTCACACAGTCCCTCTTCTCATCTAGCTCAGAGTTGGGCCTGCCCTCGGTCCCCTGGGAAGGACACATGAGGAAATGGGCAGTGTTATGATCAGACATGGGGAGCCAGAAAAGCTGCCTGACTTAGGTACGAGAGAGTCAGGGCAGGCTTCTGGCAGGAAGTGATATTGATCCTGAGAATGAAAGATAAAGATGAAAGGGTGGCCTGGCAGAGGAAAGTAAACATACAAAGGCTGGAGTTGAAAGAGCACATGGGACACTTAGGGAACAGAATATTCTGTGCAGAAAATAAAGCACTGAGCCCACAAAATCTCATACAAAGATCAGTGCTACAAGTCTGTGAGGCTGGCCTCTTGGATATGCTGAGCTTTCAGCAGTCACGGTATTACCATGGTCCTCAGTGGGAGGAAGAAGGGGACTTGGCCTAAAATTCCTGAGTTCCTGATGCCTGGGCAGCCTTTTCCTACACACTGTACTGTTTGACCCTCACAACAGCTGCAGGTACTCCCTCTAAGGTGGGAGAACAGAGGCTCCACTGGAGAAGCCACCTTGTTCAGCAAGCGAGGCACACAGTAAACAAGTAGTAGAGCATAGACTCAAGCCCAAGACTGCAGTCTCAATGCCAGCCCCTCATGTGGTATGGCCACCCCAACCCCTGCCAACATTGGGCCCACTCCCACAATCCATCCTTTCCTTCGCATTGGCACTGAACCCACAGACAACCAGCTCCAGCTGCCTGGAAGAGCCCAGGCCCAGGTTCAGGGGCTGGGGGAAGTGCAGGGCCACCAGAGCCTGTATGAGGGGACCAGCCAGTTGGGCCAGTCATTTGCTATCTTTCGCCATGGACATGGGTGGGCTTCTTCCTGGCCTTACATCAAGAACTCACCATCTTCTCCTGGCTGAGTCCTTCTCCTCCTACCTGGGGTGATGGAAGGCAGTGCGCAAAGGGCTTGGCTGCCCACTCCTCCTTGCAACTTCTACTTAGGTGCTCACCCTGAAGGAGGTATTTGCAGCAGTGGCAGCTCCTCTGACCTTGAGGCTGGGCCTGTACCCCACCTTGGCTGGGCAGCAACCAGAGGGTCTCGTTCTTTCAGGCTTATCGACCTTCTCAGTCAGAACTGCTTGCGTTTACACTGAGGTTCCCTTCAGACCTGGGAGCCACTGCAAGGCAGAGCTGTGAGTCCAGGTCCCCTGAGGACATGGGCCTCAGAGCCAGCCCAAGCCACCAAGCCTTTGACATGGGGAGGGCAGAGCCTAGGCCTTGGAGTCTGGTCTCATCTCATTATTTCACAGGGCCTTGGCCTCCTCTGACCTCCACACCTCTCTTTTGACCTGGGGTAGGGCTTGGTGGTCTCTAGGGTCCCAGCCATACTGCCTCCTTCCATACCCCAAGAGACTCTCTTGGCTGCAGCAGAGATGTGCATTGTGTGTGTGTCGGGGGCAAGAGGAGTGTGGACAGCACTCAAGGGAATCAGTGGTGCTGGTGTTGCCAGGTGAGTGACTGTGTTTGTAAATATTCACCTGGCAGGAGGACTCAGGCATGAACAAGCCACCTAACATGAACTAGCCACCTCCTCCTCTCTTCCTGGAATATCCGACATCTTTTTCTCCAGCACAGACCAGTTCAGAATACCAAGTGGTAGCTAAGGCTAAGGAAACTGGAACTTCCTCCCACCTCAGCATGGCCTCTGCTGATTTAGGGCAATCCAGCATGGGAGAGAACAGGAAGAAAGGGGCCCTGGTGGGAAATATGTTGGCTCCAATGTGGTGGGGTGGCAGAAGCAAAGCCCCAGAGCACAGTCACTGTGGAACTGGCCCTGGGGACCCTGACATGGCTCCAAGAACTCTCTGCTGGTCCAGCCTCCTAACCTCAATACTCTAGGCTTCATTGTCTAGCTGGATACCCGACCACTCCTCTCTACCCCAACGGCCCCAGGCCTGACAGCCACCACCAACCACAGCCCAGACTCCCATACCACCCTCTCCATAGGTCTCCTTGCTCTAACAGGTGCTTGCCCTGTTACCAAAGTTATTTCCTGATATGTAGATAGGATCATGTCATGCCACTGCTCAGAAACCTTATCTGGCTTCCTATTGCCTTAGGACCAGAGTCCAAACTAATGCTCACACTGAGGCTCTCCATGATCCTCGGATTCTTCCCTCCCCTTTGAATCACTCCAGCTTCCTCTGTATCAGCCTCTCTAATAGGGGTTCATATGATGGAGTTCTGGGCCTCTGCAAACTTCTGAGGTCTTCAAAACGGGTGGGGAAGCTCAAGCCCAGCCACCAAATCATCAAAGAATCTCCTCAACTCCAAGTGAAGAGCTCTGAAAAGAAAACTACAACCTCTCCCAGGGCCCAGGGACCCTAGCAAACGAGCTTGGGAGAGGACCCAAAGTGGGTATTCTGGGTATTCCGGTGCTGAACTGACCTGGGTCCAAATCATGACTCAGTCTCTTGATAGCTGTGTGGCCTTGGGCAGGTCACTTTGCCCCTCTGGGCCTCATCTCAAACAAGCTCATGGACAGAGAGTGCAGTGCCAGGCATGTAGTAAGGGAAACACTTAGTAGATAGCAAGTAGCTGAAGCAGTTACTCCATCTCTTTGCAAGCCAAAGGGGCTCAAAGACAACTTGCACAAGTAGATGCATTCACACCCTACCTTTCCAGCAGGCTCCTGGCACTGAGGAGGCGGCTGAGCTCGTCCCACTAGAACCAGCCTCCCTTTATAGGGCCTGTGGGGCCCAGGGAAAGAAGTTACCACATCTTGATCAAAGCACAAAAGTGGCGAAGGCCCTGCCCCGAGTCTGCCCTCCTGGGGACAGTCGATGGCAACAGCCGCCTGCTCTGAGAAGCCGGGTGGTGGTAGAGCCGTTAGCAGTGGTAGCACAGGCTCCCTGGTGGCTGTGGGAGCAGGTCTGGCAGGGAACAGGGCACACAGCAGTTCTGTAAGGAGTTGCTGGCCCCTCAAGGCCCCCGCCAGCCCCACCTCCATCTGCATGCAGGGCGGTGCTGGCTCAGATCAGCTCAGAGCCAAGCAACCCAGCCTTAACCCTCACCCTGCCAGCGTGCCAGAGCCTCAGCTTACACCCCCCTGCTTTTCCCCTCACCCCACCCTGTTTGCAGTTCTGAAAGGGAGTTTGCCAAGTGGGTTTCTTAAGAACAAAGTCTCCTTACACATCCATTTGAGACAATGATTAGGGCCAGGCCTTTGCTGTGGGCTTGGGACTGCAGTGAGCATGAGTTTATGTGTGTAGGGGGTGGGGGGTGACAGGAAGTAGTGGGGAGTAGGGGATGGGGATGCTAGCTCTCTGGCACTGAGGGCGACTGTACCATCTACCCGGGAGATTCTGCCTCCAGCCTCTCCCAGGGGCTGCCTCTGCTCCCCACCCCCACAAGGTCACAGCCAATCTACTTGGGAAGAGGAAAGAAATGGCACAGTTCCAGATAAAACATCTGCTTAGGGATGCTCTGGGGAGTGAGGACACTCTGGACCAAGGATCAGAGCCAGCAGGTGGAAGATAGTGGCTGATCTCCACCACAAGACCCCAGGGCAGCACACCAGCCCTGCTCTCATGCCTGCACTAAGAGATACTGTTGCCTAGTTTGCATGGGAATGGTCACCCTGGAGCCAGAACCCACACCCTTGCCTATTAGGACCGAAGCTGAGCTCTGAAGTCCTGCAGCACCTCTGCCAGACTGAGAGACTGAGGTCCCAGGGGCTCTCGGGGGTCTCACTACTGCAAGATCTGTGAGGCTTAGGGGTGTGGGTGGCTACTTCCATAGCATTTTCACTACTATTTCCATGGCTAACATGTGGCTGAGCACACAAGTATGATCACTGCGTATTTTGAATTGGACACTCATTCTGATCATAAGGTAGACAGCTAGACTCATGGTGGCACCTGCTAATAAGTAAAAGACAAGTCTAGGCCACAGGAGCCAGCTTACTACCACCCCCAGGCCCTACCCACATCAGGTGCTTCTGGGCAATTACGAGTCTGCCTGCACTGGGCCACTGTCCACCCAAATTTAACCCTGCTCCCTTGCTGCAAGAATGTCCCAGGACAGGACCCAGTGCTCTGAGCTCCCTCTTGAAAGCTGTTTGCCCAATTGCCTGGCAAGTCTAGAGCCCACAGGCTTGCAACACCTTCCCTGGAGCAGATAACAGCTTCCACTACTCACCCTACCATCTGGGTGAGCCATGAGAAGAGCGTCCTGCCTCAGCGACCCTCATCTGGAACTTGGCCCTAGCTTCCCCCAACCCACCCCGATTAAAATGAACGAATATCTGAGCACCCCCGATCAGCCCACAAAGTCACTTCACCTTTCTTCTAGGCAGGACCCTTACTTTTCTCCAAATATCTTCAGAGATGCTTTTAATATGAAAGCTTCCTTTAATGCTTCTCAAGGCAGCCTCTGGGGCAGGAAATCCAGTGGTCTGTGGGAAATCCCACAGAGTGCCAGAGGCATAGAGCTGAGGGAGTAGTTTCACCCCAAGCAGTGTGCAGCCCAGTTGCCAGGTTGAGAAATGCACAGCCTTCACCATCACACATGTACAACCCTGACCTGCAGAGGTGCAAACACAGCAGCGCACACTTGCCCAACACCTGCCCTCTCCACACAGGGATTCAAGCTTCTCTCTGCTGTGAGAGAAGGGTTTGCTCTCCATTTTCCTCTTGGGTTTTAATTAGATTCACAGAACCACATAAGACCAGGGCAGAAATGGAGCAAAGAGCCTCCCTGACTTGGGAATTGCCAGGTGGGACCCACTGTACATCCCCCATGAGATAGAGGCCCAGGATACGATACGGGGTTGCCAGGTTACATGGTGGCTCACCTGCCAAGCTTCCCCAAGGAGCCTGATCATAGCTCTGATGGTTCAATTAAGCCCCTTGAATGTAGAAAGGCCCAGCTAAGGCTGGCTGTGACTGAGTACTTTACAGAGCCACCTGTTGCAACTAGCCCAAGCTCACTGTGAGCATGCCTCCCTTTAGCAGCCTCCACTGCCCGCTGGCCTCCCCATCCTCATGACAGTACCTCTCAAAAATCTCACTCACCCTAAGCCCTGCTCAGGGAATGTGGGTCCACATTCCTGATGCTAGCACCAGGAAGCCAGGCACAAACAATGCTTTCAGGAACTTTAAAATATGAATAGCCTTGAGAACAGAGGAGCAAACAGATACACAGTGTCTTTCACACGCTCTGAGATAAACGTTGCCCTCACCATGAATTAGGCAGGACAAAGTTCTCAGAGCAAAGAGGGACAGCAGGGGCTAAAAAAACAGCAGTAGTCCCTTTGGAAATATTTACAGGGTATGATAACCAGGACTGATGGTGTGGACGAGTTCAGATCCTTCCACGCCAAGCCCTGGGACAGCAGGCAGGACCCTAGGAATACTGACCAGGGTCACCATCACCTCACAGGCACAGGGACACTCCCTGGCCAGGCCCTCCTGTGCAGGAAGCCAAATCCTGTGGCTGTAACACGATCCTTTGCCTTTCCGGCCATGTCCACGTTAGGACTGCTGGTGTCCCGGCCTCAGGAGCAATGATTCATTTCTGCCACTGGCTCAAACTTAGGACACACTGCAAACTAAGCTTGAACCAGTAAAGGGCATATGGGCTGCTCATGGCGAGGCCATGCACTCAGAGCTCAACTGCAGGTGGCTGGGGTACAAGCAGGATGGGATGCGACCTCCTCCAGCTAGAGGGAAGCTCCTTGAAGTAGGGAGGGTCCTGCCAATATATGGTTGGGGGTCACTGAGGTGGGGGGAGCAACAGAGGGATTTGCTTGCCTGCTTGTTCACTTAGGAGCCCTGCTGGTCTCCTGGGGACACGTGCTAGGGGAGAAATGCACAAAAGACAGAACCTGAGACATCCTTAGCCAGGGAGGGAGAACAAGGAGAGGATCCGAGCTGGGTGGGAAAGGGTAGAGAACAGGGCTATCGAAGAGGGACAGAAGTGGGTTGGTAAGTCACAGGAAGAGCCTGTAAGATGTTGGGGCCCCTGGCAGGAGCCCTCACACAGTGGCGGGAAGGAGGCAGAGGCCTGTCTGCACTGAGGACTGGGGCAGGAAGCTGAGGCTGGCAGGATGGCACTTAGCTATGGGAGAAAGGAAAAAGATGGTGATGGGTACTGTATATCTGCCTCATGCCTTCAGAGTCACAGCCCACAAGCTAATGGCACTCAGCCCTGGGGATGCAAAAGTGCCCCAGGCAAGCTGTGCTCCTACATCCTTGGCAAAGGGATTGCTGCTGCAGCCAGGATCCGGCATGGCTCCTTCACCTACCATTCCAGAGTCACTGAATTTTTTTGTAGACTAGAAAGTGAGCAAGACAAAAAGAGTTTTGCCCTTGGTTAAGGGCACATTTTCTGGCAAATTTGGTAAATAGCTGAATATTCTGGCATCCCCATAGTCTGACAAAATTCCTCTTCTGAATGCCTCAAGAAGAAACAAATCTGAATTTCCTCCAGTTTAGCAAAAGGCTGTGCTGGTCAACGGGAATCTGCCACCTCCTGAATCCCCCCTCTGGAGGTCAGGCGGCACAGCAGCTGCAGCCTTAAGCTGCTCTCCCTCCGGCAGCAAGCGGTCAAGTTCTGCTGTTGGCCTGTGAGAGCCTACAGTGTCCACAGAGTTAACATTAGACTGGAGCGGCCCAGCCCTCAGCGGGCAGGAGCACTGGGAACTCAGGCCTCCTTTTCAAGGCCAGGATGAATGGGAAATATGCAAATGGCCGCCTCCCAGGAGCGGCAGGGGAGGGCCTGCTGCTGGCAGGAGGGCATCACTCCACTTGGGTCTGTCACATGAAAGGGTTTGTATTCCTGCCGCTGGCCGGCTCCTGGCCAGGCTGGGGCTGTTCTCACCAGAAAACAAAAATGTCTTTCAGACCAAAGCAAAACGAGGCCCCAGCTGGCCCAGGCAGGCCATTGGGCGTTGTTCACACTGACCCACTATGAACACCAATCACTGGGGCTCTCACTTTGCACCCACTGGAAGGAACCCATCATCTTTGGAGACGGAACTGGAGGCCTCGGTGGCTGCTGAGGAAAGCACTACGTAAGTTCGGGGGGATGGAGGTGGGATCCAGAAAGAGGGTCAGCCCCCTCTGAGGCTCTGTTGGTTTTGTGCTTTTCGAAAACAGTAGTGGCGGAATCTGGAGTAGCACCCTTTTTTTGGATAAGGAAACTTCAGTTATTCTCACAGTGTTGATGGTAAACATGGAGAAAGAAATGGGAAGAAAAAAGTGCTGGTACACAAGAAGACCCTGCAGTGCACAGAGAGGACTTTCAATAATGGAGGGCACGTGTGTCCTCTGCCTGGTGCCCACACTCCTGCTGCCACAAGTGCCCTCGAGTGGGAGGTGGGGATAAGGGCAGCCCAGAGCCCCATGTGCGGGATCACTAGCTTCCAGGGCTGGGGCTCCTTCTTCAACCAAGGCTCCATGCCAAGGTCAGGCTTCTATCCTTTTTTTTTTTTTTTGGCTGACTTTCAGCAGCCAGAACACTGCTTCTCTGACACCCCATGGTCACCAGGAGCTGCCTATTAACCACAGCACAGACCTTGTGCCCTGTGGAGCATGGATGCCACTCAGACTCCCACTACCAGGAGAAATAGCACAGCAAGATCTCAAGCACACATGTGGCCGTTGAGCCTGAGAGGACATCTAGGACAAAACCACTTTGGAGTTGATTTTGAACCAACAGGTGGGTTGGTGGATGCTCCACAGATCTCCTGAAATCCAAGGGAGATATGTCTTGTCAGCCTCTGGGGCTAAAGGAAACTGGTATTCGTTTGGGCCACACAGTATCTTCATGAAGCCAAGGTGCCAGGCATGTCTCTGTGAGAGGTCATGGAACTGTCCAGGGAGCAGAAGCAGGAGACAGAGGAGACAGGACACTTCAGAATGACCTAGAAAAGTTGGTTCCACAGGTCATAGCCTTCCATATCTGGTCTGTGGCAAGGAGATCGGGGACACATGCACCCAAATCCCCTACCAGCCTACTGGATGGGGGAAGGCCCAACCTCCATTTCTCTCTAAACCCTCCCTGCCACCACAGACAGACCTAGGCTTAGGGGAGTTGGCCTACAGAATATGCATGAGTTGGCTGGGCATGGTGGCTCACACCTGTAATCCCAGCACTTTGGGAGGCTGAGATGGGTGGATCACCTAGATCACCTGAGGTCAGGAGTTTGAGAACAGCCTGGCCAATGTGGTGAAACCCCGTCTCTACCAAAAATACAAAAAAATTAGCCGGGTGTGGTGGCAGGCACCTGTAATCCCAGCTACATGGGAGGCTGAGGCAGGAGAATCACTTGAACCCAGGAGGCAGAGGTTGCAGTGAGCCAAGATCACGCCATTGCACTCCAGCCTGGGCAACAACAACAAAGCTCTGTCTCAAAAAAAAGAAAAAAGAAAAAAAAATGCGTGAGTTGAAGGTGTCCTCAGAGAATCACATCCAGCCCATCTGCTGGAAAGCACAGTCACGATGAACACTGAAGTTCTCCAGCCACTAAGCAGGGTCCTGGGGTCTATGTGGCTTCATGCAGCATCAGCTCTAGTGGCAGGGCAGAGTGGCCAGAGCTTCCCTTCCAAAGCAGAGGGGTCACTGCAGGCCTGGATGGGTCTCCACTGAGTCTACTTTCTCCATACTGACAATTGTCTTCCTCTCACTGGCCTAAAGGCCTTAAGGCCTTACTCCAGCCAACCTCCCTGTCCAATCTCACTGGCCGGCTCACATGCCACCTTGCTGATCTCTGTCCCAGCTCTAACTGTCCTTGCTGTGTAGCCTCTAGCTGCCCTTTCTATCCAATATCTAGTTGACCTCACTGTCTCTCCCAGTGACATTTCTGCCTGTTTATGAGGCAGGATCTGCAGTCAGTATCTAGAATGGTCTGCAGCAAAGCTAAGGCTGGGACAGGGGTGCGTGGGCAGGAGGAGTCCCACGGGGGAGTCTCAGCCCCTACAACAGTCCATGAGTTGGAGGGAAAAGCAGAGCTTTGTAGCAGAGCTGAGTCTTGATCAGTCCCTTGGAATCCACATCCTGCACTGGTGGGCCAGGCTGTGCTGAGAGTGAGGCGGGGTCCCAGGCACTGGTCAATAGGGTCTGTCCCAGAGCTGCCCAGTCAACCTGGGCCTACCTACTCACTCATTTCTCCAATAGCTATCAATTACTAAGTCTGTTCCTGGCCCTAACAGGTGCCAGCCCACATTTGCTTATACCAGGGGCTGAGCACTAAGATGCTGATTGTTCCCTCACTGGCCTGGCTTCCTGCTCTAAATTCCCAGGAGACAGTGATCTCGGAACACAAGCTTAAATGGGCAGATGGCAAATCAGAAGCCATTCCCAACTCCCCCAGACGCCCCTACTACATGCCTGGCTTAGGTGCAGGGAGAGGAAGGGTATCTCTGGGAAGAGCTGGCAAATAGGGTCAGGTGAGACTTCTTGGGATTTGAAATCCTTCTGGCTCTGAGAGTATTGGTTGGGTCTCAGAATAGATAGCTCGGCTTGGCTTGAAATTTCTGTTCCAATCCACTTCCCATCTTCCCATTTCTGCCTGTCCCAGGCCCCAAGATTCACATGAATTAGGAGCTACACAAAGGAAGTAGGCCCAGGAATAACCACACCTACCACGGATCTCCCGAGGCAGCCGAGCAAATGATGAGGAACCACCCCTGGGCATCCTGAAGGACAACCCCAAGGGCTCAAAGCAGCATCTCATCCACAGCACTCCCCTAACCCCACCAATCTGTGGACCCAGTGGATGGTTAGTGGGAACTCTGGCGAGGCCAACGCAAGGAATGGGAGCATCACACCAGACCATCCAGTGAGGTGAGGACCTTGACTGGGAATTCCTCTCATCTATGCTTGGCAGAGTGGCCCAAGCTCCCAATCTGTCAGGTGACTGGAACCTTGGAGCTCTAAGGAAGCAGCAGCCCTCAGAGAAGACTCTCTTCCACAAAACTGGTCACCCAGAAGCTGTGGGTTCACTAGTTGATTCATTCATTCATTCAACAAACACTTCTGGAGCACCTCCTTCTATTCCAGGCTGCACTGGTTCTCAGCACACAGGGTTCTCCAGTGAAGGGTAACCTGGCCCTGCCTGCAAGGAGTTTACACCTGCTTTTCCCTACTGCTTCTAACATATTGGCATCATCCCCCACCTGGGCACAGAGCCTAGCATCCTAGCAGGAGCACACTCAAAATCTGTTGTTTACTGATTGACTTGTGGTAAGGAAACAGCTTATAAAACACATTATTAAAATAAATTACGCTCAGGGAATTCTTTAGTTTATGCAATAAACTCTTATGTACCCTGTGTGCCCAACTCTGGGTTGGGGACATAGACATGAGACACCTGGCCCTGCCCTCAAGGAGACCATGGACTTGTGGAGGAGGCTTCTGGAGCACAGGAATAGTGTCACCTTGGTCATCCACATGCCCAGTTCTACCCACACCTCCTTGACATAACCGCTGCACAGAATAAAGCCAATGCTGTTTGGCCTGTTATCCTAGGCCTGCAGAGCCCACCTCTGGCAACCTCACTGGCCCAGCAGAATTGGTCCTTCAACTTCATTCAGTCCTATTGCCAATCTTCCCTCACACAGGTCCCTTGGCCTGGAATGCCTTTTCTTTTCCTACTCCCTTTCTGCATGTCAGAATCCTGGATCCCCTTTAAGGAAAGCCTAATACAAGTTATTATAATTTTAGCTAACATGGCTGGCTGATCATGCCTGGTGGTCCCTTCCTGGACTGAAAGTCTGAGAATGTGGCCTGACTCACAGCTCTTACAAGTTGCTTCACCACTGAACCTCGCTGAGTCTCAGGGCCTCACCTAGGCAATGGGGAGAACACAACACAGTGTTGTGGGAGGATGGAAGGAAAGTTTGGAGAATCATAGACAGGGTGCTTGACACATGGTAGGTGCTCAGTGAAACAACAGCCAAGTCAGCCTGTTTGCAATAGTTAATCCCATAAAAACACCCCTCCACACACACCTAGTACTTAATGAGTATTTGAGTGCCTACTATGTGCCCAGTGCTGGCTGGATACACAGTGTAGCTTCTGTTATACAAAAGCCTGTAACTTTTGCCCATTTTTATAAACAAGCCAGAGCCTCATGATCACTCACCCCATGTATGGGACAGTCCTGAGTCCCATCTGGGGCTGTAGCTGAGCCAAATTCAGCCTTCTGAAGGTCAACCCATGAATCCTTATAACCACAAGGGACAGAACAATAGCTGGAGAGCATAATGACTGGGTTCTGCTGCCCCCTGGTGTCAGTATGTTCTTACCATATAGGCTGGAGAGCTGTGAGAAGGTGCTGCGGGCAAAATCCTGCTCCATGCTGGTGCACCTTGTACAAATTCAGGCTTTCTTTGTGAGGCATGTCCCCAGCTGGCCACAGAGCCACCTGTTCTGCCTGGAGCTCTACCATCTGTCCCAATTCATAACTGCAATCTCCAAACCCCTGGGGTGGCCCTAGACCTCAAGTCAGTTCTCTGTCCTAATGGGAGCCCAGAGTGGGGTAAGGGGAGGATCTCACAGGCCTGAACTAAGCCAAAGTGTGCAAGTCTATGCTTGCCCTAGGCATCTATAGCCAGGAGCATGCCAAACCATTCTTTAGACGGGCAACTTTGTCTCGCCCCACCAGGGCCAGCCCCACTTCTCCTAAGGCAGAGGCCAGGGGTGGGGGCTTATCTCTTCTCCTTACTGGAGCCCAGCCATGACTCAAGCCATCCTTGGACCACATCTATTCTTATCCATAACATCATAACGACCTCCTACTACCCTCCTGGACTCCACTCTCTTCCTCTTGACTCAGCAGCTAAATGGAGGGATCCTCTACCATCCAAATAAAACCTTCTCCAGAATCCTCTCCCACAACCCACATTGCTCAGGCACAAGACCTTGAAGACTCATCCCCCATTGCAGTTCTTCCACAAACTCTGCTAGTCTGGCTTCCTCCACTTGGATCTTGGCCTCCCTATCTCTGACAAATTCCCCTGAATGCTGCAGAAGCCCACTCATATGTCACTGATGGTTGGGTATATGATTGAACAGATTAGACCCTGCGGCATGGGGCTGCCTTAGCCTAGAGGAAGGTGTGCCCTTTTAGAAAGTTATCCACCAAGAGTGAGACTTCTTCCTACTTTGCACAAAGGTGCTGTACAGGCAGGCAGAAGCTCTGATCCTCTGCTCCCATTGTCCTCTAGGTGTTTATGGCACTGAGGGCATGCTTCCCCAAGCCAGACCTAGCATCTGACTCATGCTGGACTTATTTTACTTGTCTCCTTGTTTAGTATTCAACACACAGGTGAGATCTGGGCTGGCCCAGGACTCATTGCTGGCCTCTCCAGCAGGCAACAGGACAGACACAGCCCAGAACAGATGGCTACCTCCCACAAACAACAGTCAGCTCCTCCTCCTGGTGCATTGCCACACCCCCATCCCCGACTTTATGTCATCTCTCCCTGAGGGCCCTTGAGGGAAACCCTTGCCTGGCCCTACCTTGTCTCCCTAGGGCCAGGTTAGGTGGCAAAAAGCACATAACTCTACTAAAGAGAGACATTGCCTCCTGTTACTGGCTGAGTGGAAGGGATCTGGCAGCTGCCGTGGGACCATGGGACCCTGGAGATGACAAGGCAGAGCATGTTCTCAGGTGTGCTCACAGAACTACAGCTCTTAACTCAGGAGTCTCTTCTGCCACCAGAGAAAGGCTGGGGGCCAGGTGGAGTCTCAAGGAGGGTGGATACATAACTTAAAATGCCCCAGCAATTGTCTGGGTTATTCTATCCAATAAGCACCATAGACCAGCCTCAGCCTCTTGCTTTTTGCATTGGGAAGCTCGGCCTCTGTGGAAGCAGCCACTACCTGCCCCAAGAATCGCTCCTGCTTGACGGTTCTGAGGCCCTGTATAGTCTCTCAGTGAGGCAGATTCCCCAGTTTCCCATTAGAGGAGGGAGCTGACCACTTTAGGAAATGCTCCACAAGGAAACAGGACTCCACTTTGAGTCAGTGCCAGCTAACCCTGCTCACAGACAAGGACCCCACAGGGTGAGGGACTTTTTCTCACAGGCTGCTGATGACCCCGGTCACAAGTGGTCTTGCAGCCCCTAGACACCTCCCTGCAGCCACAGAAGATCAAGTCTTCAGAGAGCTGACCTTGGACCCATGGTTGGGTGGGGCCTCCTGAGGGTAGGGCAAAGGGGTCCTGGCAGTGGGGAGAGGCTCTGAGACCATCCATCACTCAGGCATTAAATGGTGGCTGTTACGACCACCATCACCATTATTTTAATTATCCTTGCCCTTTACCTCCAACCCCAGCTCTAGCCCTGCCCTTGTCTGCTGGATGTGCCTCAGGACCAGAGTGCCCCTGCACAGCCAGTCACAGACACTGGCAGACAGAAGGAGCTTAGGGAGCTGAGGGGATTAGGGAGGCTTCACTCACTCTCCCAGCTCAGGGGAAGTGTCCCTGTGGCCTAACTTAAGGAAATGGTGGGGGTGAAGGAAGTGATTACTAGGCCCACCAACCCTCCAGGTTCAGGCCTGATCCAGCCAAGCACTTAGCATTGGTTGATCAATTAAAACCTCGAATGGAATCCCAGTCTGCCAAATATCCATGTGACACTAGGCAAGTCAATTGACCTCTGAACTCAGTAAAAAAAGGGATGGTGCCACCGACCTCCTAGGGTTTTCCATGAATATTAAATAACACGTACAAAGCCTCAGGTAAAGATTTCAAGAGGGTCAACTTCCTCCCCTTCCTTGGCTCAGAAAAAGCTTTATTACCACTTCTGATGGTGCTGTTTGAATGTGAGATAATAATAAACACTAACATTCATAGAGCATTTGCTGTGGCCTAGGACAGGTTTAAGGCCAATTTAAGGATCAAGCACTGCACACAAATTATCAGGCTGAATCTGCACATGGGGGTTGGGGTGGAGGTGGAGATCCTTTAGTGGTATTATACTCTGGAGGACCCCAGGCTCAGAGAGGGGAAGTAGCCGGTGCAGGTGGTAGAACTGGCAGATAAAAGGGCCTGTGGTGAGACTCCAGGTGTGGGTGTATGGGGGGTTGAGGGAGGTAAGCGCGGAGGCGGGATCGAGCAGGGGTCCTTGTAGCCGCCTAAGAAGTGCAGTGGTGAAGCTGACTCCTGTGAGGTGGAGGGGAGGGGTCTGGAAACAGTGGAGACACAGCAGCCCTGGGCAGAGCAGAGGAGCCAGGTGAACCCTACCTTACAGAAATCTTGTACTCTGGCTGAAGGACGGGCAGGGAGGGGTCGTGAGGAAGCCCCTCGCCGGGATCAGGAAGCCTAGGTCAGTCCGGGTTACATAGCTGACCTGCTGTGGGACCTCGGGGACCAACACCCTCGGTTTCTGGTCCCAGGAGATGGACAAGGACGCAATGTCTGTTCCTGGCCTTGGCTCAGGGCCTAATCTGATCCGCGGATGGTCCTTGCCATCAGGGAAGGGGGACGCAAGAACTCGGCGGGGGTTTGTGGTGGGGTCGCAGAGAGCAAGCCCTATATCTCCCTCCGCAGACCCAGGTGCTCCCCAAACCCGGCCCGGAGCCCGCGAGAACTGGGGGCGGAGGGTGTACTTAGGCGGCCCTGGGGACCTTGACGGGACAGCTCAGCAGCAGGGGATGGGGGCTCGGCGGCCGCGGAGATGTAACACCTCCACCTCGGGCGAAGACCTCATAGCCTGCGGGAGATGGGAGTCCGGGACGCGGACAGGACGGGCACTTACCTACGAATAGCCAGAGGGAGCCCCCCGACACGAGGAAGAAGGTCAGCATGGCGGTCAGCGGGGCCCGGCCCGGCCCGGCCCGGCCTCCCCGACCCGCAGCCCCGCAGCCCCGCAGCCCAGCAGCCCCAGCAGTAGCCGCGCCGCCGCCGCCGCTGCCGGGTATTTTTAGCCCCCGCCCTCCGGCCCCGCAGCTCCCGCCTCCCCGCGCCGCTGCGGAGACGGCTCAAGGGGGAGGGCGCGGCGCGCACTCGCAACCGAGCCTTACTCCCTGCCCTGCAGCCTGGCCGGCCGGGTCTGGGGCTTGCCCCGCACTGACCGCGGTGTCGGAACCGCCAAGCTCCCGGGCGGGGGAGGGGCCCGGCCGCAGAGCGAACCAGCCCTCTCCGGCCCCGCTCTCCAACGTCAGTACCTGGCATTCTGCGGAAACCGGCTGGAAGGGGGAGCACGGGCGACGAGCGCCAGAGCGTGACATTGAGCCCACCCCGCCGCCACCCACCCCATCAACACGCGACCCTGCCCCCGCGCGACTCGCAGCCTGGGTTTTATGGCTGGGCAGGCTCGAATGGCAGCCGGGTCGCGGTTACCTGTCCTAGGAGGTGCACACTCCTGTGGGCTGTTGCCCGCTGACACCAACGCCCCCTAGGACCCGAGTTTGCAGACATGGGGAGCCTCCGGGTGCCACCTCTGCAAACCAGTGAGGGGAGGGAGTGGCAAGTGTTCACCTAGGCTCTGACAAATCAGGCAGCTAGACCAGATAGTGCCCAGATCATCTGGGGACGCACGAGTTCAGGTCTGAGGCTACGCAAGGTCACAGGAGACTCAGTGTGATCACAGGCTGCCATATGTGTTCACCAGTAGTAACATGGTCACAGGCAGCCACATGGAATCACAGGTGTCTCATGAGGAAATCATGATCTTCGTACACAACTGTATGTGGCACACGAGGTCTCAAGAAGCCCCTCATAGCCACAATAAATGGCCATATAGCCACACACAGCCACAGATGCCCACACTGCTGGGCTGAGGGCTTGGACACCTGTTGCAGTGTCTGCCATTGAAAGGAGGAAGCCCAGTTGCACATTTTCTGAAATAATAAGGGTAGGCATCCTGGTGGGCACCCCATGAACATCTGCACCTCCAAGCAAGATCACCTCTTCCCAATGCCCTTGCTTGTTTTCCTCAAGCATGCAGAGCCCACCAGGACTCCAGCACCGAGGACAGCGCTCAGGCAGCCGGGCCTTCTCTATACGCAGCCCTCCCAGGCCAGGAGCTGGCTGAGCCACAGCCCAGAAAGAAGAGGATAGAAAACCAGAGAGCAGAAGTCAGGAAGCAGAGAGTGGAAGAGCATGAGATCTCTTCAGGCCCACCAGAGACCATCAGCCATGAGTGCATGTGGGCTCACAGCTCAGCAGCTGGGTGTGTGGGGGGGCCTGTATCTGTAGTACGAGTACATGGCATGTGTGTGCCCAGGCCTGTGTGCACCTTGTAGTGGTGCAAGTGTGCAGATGTGTGCCTCTGAGTCACTTCCAATCTTTACAATAGGATCCTACACCTTCTCCATCATAGGATCTGGACTCCTGGGAGAGCTGCTCCAGCTTGAACTCAGCCACAGCCTGGCAGGGACTTTGCTGGGATCTCAAGCTTGGCAGGGCTCCTCCAAGAGGGTGTGACAGAGGCTGTATGGCAGGACTCCTCCCAGCAAGTAACATGGCTTTGAGAATCCCCCCACCCCACCCATACACTCCCACTGGCAGCAGAGTAACTGGAGATCTGCTAGTACTGAAGAGGAGACCCAGGGGAACCAGAAGCCTGGGCAGAAAGAACATATCTCCCCAGACCAGATTGGTCTAGGGAGGTGGTCAGGTAATTTCCCCATAGGCCAGTGGTTCAACAGAGCATTTCTTCACAGAGCAGGGGGCCAGGAGCCAGGCTGCAAGCCTCAGGCCTCTGCGGCACTCAGCTGCAGGAGCACTCCGGGCCCTATGCGGCTCTGGCAGCCTCCTCTTCAGAGTGATGTCATGGGACACATTTAGCTTGGCCTCCAGCAGGATGTCGCATCCCGTTACTCTCCCTACAGATGTCTCTGCTACTTGTGAATATTTTAATTCAAAAACCAGTACTGGAGCTGTGACTGATTCTAGCTTAGCCAAGTATTTTTCTGTTTTCCTCTGAGCATGGCTTGGCTTCCCCTGAGAGATGGGGACAGAAAGGCCCTAGCCTGGTTGTGGGATCATGGCCAGGTCTCTCTCCTCTCTAGGCCTGTTCCTTCCACTGAGTAATGGGACTTGTTCTTTCCTGTCCTGAGTTCCCAAGGTCTTCTTCCTTCTCTGTGAGTCTCAATCTGTGGACCATCTGCAGGCATGGGTAGACGCTGTGACTCAGGCCCTAGACTGCATGGGTGTGGCATCCATGGAACCCAGGGCCCAGAAATGCCCAGGCCAGGCTGGGGAGCCCTTGGATATCCCTCTTGGTCCTTAGCCAGCAAATCCAGCCACCTTAGCGGCCAGCCATGTTCACACATATCTCCTCCCAGACTAGCATCTCTAAGTGGGTTGGCAGGCAGGAGCCTAATCATCTATTTGCAGCCCTGGCTTGGGGTCTGGCCCAAAGAATGCAGAGGATATTATCCCATTTGACAGAGCAGAAGACTGACGTTGGGAAAGGCGAACAACTGTCTTAGGTCACACAGCAGTTCTGGGCTCCTGACTCCCATTTATTCATTTTTCATTCATTCTCTCCTACATTTTGATAGTTTCCCAAGTTGCAAGTGTCTCCGGTAGAATCCAGAAAACTCACTTTTCCAGCTTCCTTTGCAGCTAGGAGTGGATTAGTGACTTAGACTGTACCAATGAAACACACTCTCATGAGCCTTCGATAAAAAAGCCAGAAATGAGTGAAAGAAAGTCATGCACATGGCATCTACGTTGCTGGCACAAGGGTGGTAACAGAAGCCATGGATGGTGGATGATTCTGGGAGTCATTTCAGAAACTGAAATTTGAGCCTGTTTCTTGAAGTGCCCCAAAAGTTGAGCCTTTTAGAAGTGAACATGTTCTTTAATGTACTCTTTTTCTGATTAAAACAGTCAGTCCAGACTTTGTTTAGTCAGTTTGGAGCCAAGAACTCAAACTGATCCACTCACCATCCCACTGCTGAAGGTCTTTCCTGCCCTCCAGAGGGTGTGGATATGGGGCTGGCACACAGCATGATGCATCCTCTGTCCCCATTACTGCATCTCCTAGTGGAAGCTCTGACTGATGGGGCTGGGTGGGCTGAGCCAGGTCTTTGCTTCTCTGTATTCTGACAACCACATATTTGGAGACCTGAACCAAAAACTTGAAACTCAACAAAGAATCCACTAAGGATAACTACCCAATCTGGAGCAAAGGCTTTTAACACATGATATAATGGTTGGGGAGCTGCAAACAATATTCAACCATGTCTTTTACTGAGTAGTGGTGTTTTTTCCCCCTCAGATTAGTAAAATTGTTCAACATAGAAATTTTGGAAAATATAGAAAAGTATAAGATAAAATCACTTGTAATTTCATCCCCCAATGAGAATGCAATAATAACTAATGCAGTTCTGTATATTTTCTAACAACAATAATAATATCCAACATTTACACAGGGCTTAGTATGAGCCAGACATTATTTCTAAGCACTTTACGTATGTGTTATGGACCGAATTGTGTCCCCCACATCCCAGTTCATATATGGAAGCTCTAACCTTCAATGTGACTGTATTTAGAGACAGGGTCTTTAAGGTAAGTAAGGATAAATGAGGTCATAAGGGTGGAGCACTAATCCAATAGGACTAGTGTCCTTATAAGAAGAGTAACATCAGGAATAAAGACCTGAACTTTATTGCGAGAAAGTTTATTGTGATAACTTTATTGCAGAGAGAAGGCAGTCATCTTTAAGACAAGGAGAGGTCTTGCAGACCAGACACCAACTCTACCATCACCTTGACCTTGGATTTCCAGCCTCCAGAATCATAAGTAAATAAAATTCTGTTGTTTAAGCTACCAAGTTTGTGGTATTTTTGTTATGGCAGCTCCAGCAGCCTAATACAATATGCTAACTTGTTTAATCTTTACATCAACCCTGTCTTTTCCCCATGTGTAGTGCAGTTCAAGAAATACTTGTTGAATGAATAAATGAATGATGGATATTGTTTATTCAGTATCTTATGTTGCCCCCTTTTTTTTTTTGGAGAGTGCAGTGGCATGATCTCGGCTCACTGCAACCTCTGAACCTCTGCCTCCTGGGTTCAAGCGATTTTCCTGCCTCAGCCTCCCGAGTAGCTGGGATTACAAGCGCCTGCCTCCACCCCCAGCTAATTTTTGTATTTTTAGTAGAGACGGGGTTTTGCCAAGTTGGCCAGACTGGTCTCAAACTCCTGACCTCAGGTGATCTGCCCACCTCGGCCTCCGGAAGTACTGGGATTACAGGCATGAGCCACCATGCCTGGCCCTTATGCTGCTTTTTAAAAACCTAACATGAGTTTTTTTCCCATGTTATTACCTCTTTGCATTTTAAATAATGAATACATGAGAGCCATTCACGCATTCATTCATCTAACAAGTATATGCTGAGTCCCCACTATGTGCAAGGCATTGTTCTAGGTCCTGAGGATGTAGCAGTAAACAAACAAAAGGTCCCTGCCTGCATGGAGAGCACTTGCCCTGTGGAAATGCCATTGTCCATCTGTCAGGCATGAATTAACCCCGCTTATTTGGGAGGGTTTCTTCTAATTGAAAATTCTCTGTTGATCCAACCAGACAGACAAAACCAATGAGATTCGTTTTAAAAAAAAATGCCAATTAAATAACTGAAGGGCTTCTGGGATTTCCCCAGAGCTATGGAAAGGCAAAGATAGAGCTCTTAGAAGTTGTCCTGAGTCCACTGGGCTGGAAGTTAGCAATCGTCAACTGGCTGGGAGTTAGCACTGGCACCTCCAGGTTCCTGAGGGGATGCCTGTGCATATGTCTCCCACTCACACGAGGTCAGAATTGAATGGGAAACAAACTACATTTTAAAGACTGAAAATGAATCCAACTTGAAGAAAATATAGATTAATGTTTACACCATCTGGGGATGGGGAAGGTCTTTTTATGCACAACAGAGAAGGCAGAAACCACAAAGGAAAAGACTGGTAGATTTGAAGGTCTGAATACATGCAAATTTTAAATGTTTAGTTGTTAAAAAACACCATTACAAAAATCTAAAGAATCAATAGATAACTTGCAAAAATATTTATGCCACAGGCAACAGAGGGTATGACATGTAATCCAAATCAATAAGAAAAAGACAAAAGAGCAAAAGCCATAGACAGGCAATTCAAGAAAGAAATGCTGTCCTTCTCAGCCGAACTGCCCACCCAGGCGAAATGTGAAGCTGTTGCCTGTATGTTTTGTCTCCCTCCTCCAGAGACTATGGTGGCATCGCAGGGTGCTGATCCCTGTGATAGGAGAGATGACCAGCATTCCATAAGCCCCATCTCATCCATCTGGAACCCCCTCACCCACCCCAATCACTTTTCTCTTCACTAAGAATCCAGACCCTTTTCCCCAGTGGCCACCTAAGCAACTCAAGCCCACCAACCAGGCCAGATGATTTTAAACAATAAAAGCAGGATAGAGATGTTAAGAAACTGTGTATCTGAGGGTCTGACATCCTGAGAGCCCTTTCTGGGGGGTGGGGGTGTTTGGTAAGGAGTAATATAAACCTCAAAAAATTCTTACCTTTGGACTATCAATGGTGGGTTGCTCAGGAATTAATACAAAGTGTGTGTATGTGGTGAGGGGGGTGGGAATCAGGAATTATTTGTTCAAAAGGATTGTCATTGCAATATTATTTACGGTAGTGCCAAGTTGGAAGCTACCCTAATGCCCAATCACAAGGTTGGAAACATTTTTGGATATCTATAGGATGGCATATGCTTTGCTACCCACAAAAACGATGATGCAGGAGACTGCACAATGACACAGAGAGATGTTCATGGCATGCGGCCAATTGAAAAATGCAGGTTATAAAACAGTATAGTCAGCATTATTCAAATGATGTTTAGAAGCAGTTATATATTCACGGAAAAAATAGAAGAAAGGTTAATAGTAGTTATCAGTGAGTGATGAGATAATAAGGCTTTTTTCTTCTTTAAATTTATCTGTATTTTCCAAATTTTCTACAATGAATAAACATTTTTGTAACAAGGAAAAATCTATTATAAGAAGAAGCCATTTCCGGTGTCTCTTGGTTCAGTGAGGGCTGGGGTGCTGGAGAAGGGGAAGCAGGTCATGGGAAGATAATTAGGGAAATCAGAGTGACGCCCCCTCCCACATTGCCTGAGAGCAGGGTACGAGCAGAGAGTTCCTCCTCCCGGGACCTGTCACCTTCTGACCCTGCAGTCTTTTGGCACCTGCCCCAGGTCCCCCTTTCTCTTGCGGCCGTTAGAAAACCACAGTGAGCTGGGGCTGGAGAGAGAGAGAGAACAGGGCTGGAGGTGGCCATGAGGACTTTCAGGGTAGCTCCTTTAAGCCTGGGAAGACAGTACAGAGGGAGAGAAGAGGGAAGAGTCAGAGGCTTTTAGAGGTGGTGGAAGGAGGAACTCCAGGAGGCGGCCAGGTGCCAGGAAGTCAAAAAAGAGAATTTCCAGAAGAGGATGGTGCATTCTCTGGAGGCAGGCAGAATGTGTCCTGCTCACAGAGCTTATTACAGGGAACCAAGACTTCAACACCTAAGACACTGGACCCTGCCCATTTGCACCCAGACCCATGGAAAACAAAACCTGTCCTTTGGGAGGACACCCTCAGGTCCAGGAGAGTAACAGGAAGGTGGAGAAAAAAGTCACTAGAAATCTGCTGGAGGGCACCAGAAAGGTGCAGAAGGGGCCTGACGATAGAAACAACCCCAAGAACCAGTGGCAGACCACCCAGAAAGGCCAGCAGGGCGGGGGTCTGAGAAGCCATCGGAGCCAGCTGTCCTGTCCTCCCTAATTCCACAGAGGCCCAAGGTGGGGCAGGAAACTGCCCCAGGCCACACAGAAAATTAAGACTAAGACCAGACCAAATCATGGATTTCTAACTCCCTCCCCAATGCACCATTCATTATTCCCTAGGGAGAATGTTTAAAATGTTGAAAACTTAAATAATTCCTGCACATAAATTATTTAAAACTATATAAAAACATTATTTGTCATCCAGTTCAATTTATGAGGTAAATATAGACACAATTCCAAGACTTGATGTGACATCAAATTTTTTGAACTAAAAATAGACCAATATTGAATAGAAATACACGCACCATAATCCTAAATGAAATTTTGACAGATGGATTAACTATATAAATAGAAATTCCATGAAAATAAAACAGCATCTCTCTCCAAGGTGCCAGGTTGATATGGAACAAGCAGCCAGGGGCAGAACCCACAGACTTGTTGAGCATCATCCAAGCGCAACTGCATGATGAACTCACATTCTACCCCTAGCCACGCTAAAATATAAGGATGCTAGGATTATCTCTGCAGCAGCTTCTTTAGAGAATGCCTGCTTTCACTATGCCCTTCATTCCATCCATAAATTTATGATAGCAGCTGCCTTGGTCACAGAAGTGTGACCCTGTTCACTGGTCACCTATGAAACATCCAGGTGACCAATAACTAATTGGTCCAATAACTAGCTGGACCCATCAGAGTTCTTCCCTGGGAACTCTGAATTGGGACTTTAGTCCTTTTCTGCAGAGAGTATTTATCTGCAGAAAACATGACAAGTGAAGCAAATATGCCCAGAGAAGCAGAGATGAAAAACAGAGGAATGCATTGCTAGATTCTCTATAGGGCAGATGACAGGTGGGGAAATCAGTGCAAAAAATCAGACTAGAAGAGGGCTCAAAACCAACTATGCTGCATCTCAAAGCCCAGGTAGAGGTTTTCAGCCAGTCCTGAATGGAGTCTGACCTTTCAGTGGCCCTCATTTCCCACTGTGCCTGCAACTCTGATTCTAGTCAGCCCTGGAAGCCCAGCTGCACTCCTGCATTTGGAACATGTGAGATACTTCTGGTGACAGACTAATCAATCTCAATTCCCTTTTAGCTGGCTTGAGTAGGTTACAGTGCTTGTGGTCACTTGCACTGACTAACACCTCATTTTACAGATGAGGAAACTGAGGCTTAGAGAGCTGACATAGCTTGCCCAAGGTCTCACAGCTGGCCTGAGATTTGAACCCAAAGCCATCCAAATTCCAAGCCTGTGTTCTTTCCATTATACCTATTAATAGGAAAACTGGCAAAGATCATACAAAGAGGAATTCACAACAATTCAACATCTTTTCTCAATAAAATCTATTAAAATTAGAAATAGAGAATTTCTTATGTGGAAAAGGAAACGCAAGAATTAATTTCTTGGGAAGAGGCAAACTGAATTCAGGAGGCACTCTGTTTCATAGTAGGAAAACATTGCAAGTGTAACCCCAGAAACCTTAGTAACTGGAGCCTTTGCTCTCATCACTGAAGCTACTACAGCCTTGCTGTGGTTGTGTAGGGGCAAACCCCAGAGGGAAAGAAACAGAAGATCTCCTGCTTTTGTAGAAATACCAGAGCCAACCATGAGCTCTCAGTGATGACACAACAGCAGGGAATCCACCCAAAATACCAGCACATCCTACACTCCAACCTCTCTCAAAATAATTTCCAAAAAGAAAAGGTGAAATCTGTACAATGAAAACTCCCAAACAAGGAAAACGTAATGGCATGTAAGACACTTAGGACAGACACACTGAGCCAAGTGTGCAATGAAGAAAGGACAGTTTCACAAAGTGAATTCCCCGAAACTGTGAGGTGAGGAGTAAGGGAGGTGACTTGGCCACAAACACCTGTGAAAAGTCAGATCGAAACCCACAGGGCCACCCTTTCCTGACACTACGTCACCTCCTACACTCAGCATGCACATGGTATCTCGCTCAGCCTTCTGGCAATCCAGAGACACTCAATAAAGGCATTCACTAAAATTTTGTGCTGTAGAATTTCAGAATGAAAGAGAAGTCCTTGAGCAGGTGTAAACACCAGTAGGGCCTGTTCTGGTGGAGAGTCAGAAAATAATTCACCCTGGGGCAGTACTTTTTGTGCCAGAGTCAGCATGTGCATTTTGTGCCCTTGGTTTCCTCAGCAGGGCAGGGGCAGACAGTGGCTCTTGAAGGAAGAGGAGCATTGGCAGACAGGTCCGTACTCACCCTGCACCTCCCTCCAGGCACCTCTGTTCCTGCCAGCCCCCTTCTATGCAGATTCAGCCCCTCTTCCTCCATGGGCCATTCTTCTATTCCCATCACCATGCTCCTCAAGGGTGGGTCCTCCCTGCCCAAGCATAAAGTCCAGGTCCTCCAGCCAGCCCAAGCATCCAAGGCCTGGTCCTGCTGAACCTCCTGCCATATTAACCACTACTCCCTCCATGTGCTTTCTGCTTCCCCTAACTGATTTGCTCCTACCAGGGGACCTATTTCCACAGTTCCCTGGCTGGGTATCCCTCCTGACTCAACCTGGACAAGTCTATGCCTCCATACAAGACTCCTCTTTCCAAGATAAGCATCAATGAGCTCACTGGGGGAAGATCGCACTCCTCTGAGGACAGCAGCCCACACTGCTTTGTACTTCCGCTTTGGATTACTCAAATTTAGCTCTGCGTCTATATGTGGATGGAAGAGAGAACGAGAAAAGACCTAAAGTGAGTGCCTGGAGGGCAGAAACTTCAACGGAAGCAATTAAAAAGCTTTGTACATAAGAGGAGTATTTATGAGGTGGTTGAATATTTATTGCATATGAAAAGAAACAGAAAAATAACAGGAAAAATGTTTCATTCAAAAAGCAACAAAAAATAGAAAATAACTGGGAATACACTTAAGATGTGTGCAGGACCTAGATGAAGAGCAATATAAAACTTTATAGAAGGACACAAATGCACGAAGAGGTAAACTATTTTCTTGGATTAAAATACTAAATGTTATGAAGATGTTAATTCTTCCCAAACTTATGTTTATATTTAATGTAATCTCATTTTTAAACTTAACAATGTGAATCTAAATATCATTTGAAAATTGTACATGTACAATGCTTGCCAAGAAACATTTGTGAAAGGAGAATAATACTAAGCATTAAAATACCATATTAAGTAAGTACAATGTATAACACAAAAATAAAATCTGTGATACAAGTACGAAAATGGATAGATCAATTGATTAGAAAGCCCAAATATTAAAAAAAAAACCATATAAAATTAAAAAAATTTCAACTCGAAAATATGTATTATATGAGGAGCTCTTTATAAATCAATTAGGAAAAACACACCCCAAAAGAAGCTGACTAAGCAATTCAGAAAATAAAAAATACAAATCACTAGTAAATATCTGTCAATCCCAAAAGTAATCAAAGAAAAAGCCAATAAAAATAAAAATAATGTACATCTTTCCTGTCAGTTATCAGAGTTTAAAGCATGATAATAGATTCTATTGGAAAGGGTTAAGGACAGGGGTTTAAATCACCCTTTTGGGGAGGGAAGGCAATTTGGCAAAATACGTAGAAAATTTTAGTAAACATGGTAAACCCAGCAAGTCCCCCTCTAGGAATTTATCTTAAGGAAATATGTACAAAAAATAGCTATATATGAAGATGTTCACCACGATGTTACTGATAATATAACACGTTTGAAGCAACTTTAATATCTAACAATGGTGGATTAGAGAAATAAATTATTGCATACCCATAGGACAAATACTATGTAGCCAGTAAAAATAATGGCATATGAGAATGGGAAATAATGCCAGAAGATGGCTGCACTGCATTAAATTAAAATGGGTTACAAAATCCATTCTTCCAACAAATATTTATTGAGTACCTACTATGTACTAGGAAACAGCAGTGAACAAAGAAGATAAAACCCCTGTTCTCATGGAGCCTACATTCCATTATGAAATTTATAAACTGGAATGGAAGGTATGGCTCCAATTAACAAAAAGAAGATGTGATTGGAAGGGAGGCAGGAAAGACACAGACTGATGTGTCAGAAGTAAATAATGACCTCTGAGCTGGATCGAGGGTGGTTTTTGTACTCTTTTTGGTGCTTTTCTGAGTTCTCCAAACTTTCTATAATGAACATATATCACATTTATAGTCAGAAAGAAAAATGAAGTTATATTTTTAAAAAGGAATGCAAATTAAGACATACGTAATAATCAGGTTTTCAAAATCAGAGGGTTTGTTTTTCTCTAAATGCATTTCCCACCGCTGCAGAGAAGACAGGCTGGATGGGGCTCAGGAGTTGGCTGCTCTGGGAATGGAGGTGAGGGGGCTCTGGGGAAGGGACATCTCAGCAGCAGAGGTGGGTGTGGGATCCAGATAACACAGGATGAGAGGTGGGAGGAAAGAAAGTTCAGGCAAAGGAACATCTTGCAGGTCTTTCTCAAACAACCTCCCCCACAAAATCATATTGATCCTGATTACAGCGTCTTTCCCATGAGTCAGTGTCATCTCATCCCCAGGCATGGCTGAGGCCCAGGCTTCCCTTGAGCAGCTGGGACAGACAGGTTGCCCACTGGCTTGACTCAGTCCTTCCTAACCTAGCCTTTTTGATTGTTTTTTTTTCTGAGCCTCTGCTGACTTTTTGGAAATTAGCCTTCAGAATTGGTCAGTAATTATTTGACCGCTTGTTTTCTTTTTATTCATCAAATGTGTCACTTTTGGTTCCTTCTAGTACCCAGGTAATGGGTGGCCAAGATTTTTTTCCCACATCCTGAGGTATTGTAGACCCACCACACCCATGACAATCCACCCAGCCCAGTCCAAGCCCTTTCCGAGATGCCTGAGGTCCCATTTTCTGACCTCTGCTCACCCTCAGGGGTATCCTGTAAACCCCTGGCAATAGTCTGACCCCTGTAATCTCCACTCCTCAGGTCATTGGCCCCTCACCCCATTCCCCTTCAGCAACCTCCATCCCAGCCTCTGCTCCCATATGGCCTTCCTGTGTCCTCTGGACTCTAGAGCAGGAAAATCCCGAATGTCCTGGAAGTTTTCACAGACCCTCCCTTCACCTCCTGCCCTGATCTGGCCCAGGATGCTGCTCCTGGAAGTCCTCGGTAGGGGTTGTTTCTTCTCATGGACCACACTAAGGTGGGTTTGGCAGATGGGCAGGACAGCAGCAGTCACAGATCATCTACTTACTCCCTGTGCTCCAGCTCCTTGTTTGACCCCCAGTCCAGCCCTGCTCTATCTTCTAGAGCTGGTTATGGTGATCCTCCCTAAAATGGAGTGCTGATAGTCTTTGGGGTTTCATGTGGCTCCTAAGTCAGCCATGGATAGATCTTGCCCTGATCTGTGCAGCTAATCATGTGGCTTCTTTCCCAGGTGTGGATGGGCCACTGGGCTGGAGTTCGGTGGCATGAGTGAAGAAATGACACAGCTCAGAAGGAGATGAATGCTTCCAAACTTTATCATGACACACGTGATGACTTGGCACCAGCTTATGGGGCTTCTCCCAGCCCAGGCACCATCAGCCTCCAAGGATGGCCCAGAACTTTAGGATCCTGTTCCTGCTCTCTTCTTCCAGGCCATCACCTCTGTGTCCCAGCTCTCCCCTTCCATGACTTTTACCCACACACATCCCATACAACACAGCCTCAGGATGGTCCAGCACTCGTGCCACTCTCCCTGCCATGCTGGCCATTGGGCCTCTACTCTCCCTCATCCTTTTATTTCCATTCCTGTCCAGCCCCAACTCTCTGATGCCCATGCCCCCAACTTCCTATCAATCACTTTTGTCAGTGCCCTGGGTTTTCCGTCTGTGCTGATGCCCCCGTGAATGGGGCTTAATCTTCCACTCCATTGTCCCCAGCCCGGGACCAGCCTGGGCTGCTGAGAAGAGGTGGGCATGGGTAGTTATAGCAGGGTGGGCTGTGTGCTCTGACAGAAAGACTCCAAGGGGTTTGGAGGCATAGGGCACAGGGGCTCCTAGCCCAGGGCTGCTCTGAGTCCAAGTTCAACACAGAACAGAGAAGAAAATGACTGTCCTGTGGCCTGGATGTTCCTTTTGGACCACAGCTGTGAACCACATGGGCACTAGCTCCAGCCATGATAGACTCTTACTTGAGTCCATTTTTACCGCCAAATATCGCACCTTTTCTCTTCCATTCACAGCAAAATTCCCTGATGGAGCCATCTACACTCACTATTCCTACTTCTCCACCTCATGGCCTGTCCTCCAAGACGTGACTTGTCAAGGTCACTAACACCACCATGTTGCCAAATCCAGGGTCCACGTCTTTGTTCTCATCTTGCTTTTTTGCCGGGCAGCCTTCCACTCAGCTGCAGGGAAACAGCTTCCTGAGTGTTTTCTTCTCTTGCTTCCATGACAGCACACACCCCAGGCTTTCCTGCCACCTCTCCAGATGCTCCTTTGTTCTCTCCTTTGCTGCTTCTCCTCAGGAGCTGTCCTGCCTCTAAGTGCTGGAATGCTCTGGGGCTGAGTCCTCAGAGCACAATTTACACATGCTTCTCGGTCCCCTCTCCCAGCCTCACAGGTGCAAGTACTGTCTACCTGCCAATGACAACTAAATTCTTATTTCCCACCCTGAGCTCTCTCTGGAGCTTCAGACTCCTATATCCACCTTTCCTCTTGGTAACTCACACCGGATATCAAGTGGTCTCTCCAGTGAACTACAGCCCTATGGACATCGGTGCAGATGCGCTTTCCTGGCATCCTTCCCACACTTCCTGCTCTGGTACGCAGATACTCCTAGTGTGAAAGCAACTGGTAGAACCCTGCATCATTGCCAAAGTGATTGGTCGTCTAAATTAAACAAAAGTTCAGGACTTTTGTTTAATGGCTTGACAGCAGAAACTTCTGCTGGTGGATGTCAGGACTGGAACCAGTGCAGCCATTTTGCCTTATTGAGGGATGCCAGACAGAGGACAAACCAACTGATGGAGAAGCGCTGAGCCAGCCATGCCAGAACCTGTACCACCTCTGGGCTTTTCAGTCACTGGAGTCTATGCAGTCCAACTGCAATCCTCCAGTTCACCCTTGCCTCTATCTTCTCATACCTCACATCCCGCCCACCTGTCAGCAGCTCCTTCCAGCTCTGTTTTAACGACAAATGCAGAGTCCATGGGTGACTGGCTGCTCTGCAGCTGCCCCCAGCTACCTGCCCTGCCATGGCAGGTGCCTCACTGGTCACCCCACTCCTACTCTTGTCTCCCTGCTTCCCACTCCACCACAGCAGCCAGGCTCATCTTTGAAAAACCTAAATGAGATCATGTCACTAGCCTGCCTGAAACTCTCCAACTTGGAAGAGAATCCAGAGTACTTATCAGGTCCACAAAGCCACGAGCGATCCAGCCCTGTCTACCTTTCTGGCTTATCCTCTCCATGGCCCCCACCCACTCATACTGGCCTCCTCTTCCTCGGAAACTCCCTGGTCACTCCCACCGCAGGCTCTGTCCCTGTTCCACTGCACCCAAGTTCTTCCTATGCCATTCAGGTCTGAGTTCAGATGTCCTCTCCTCAGGGAGGCCTGGCCTGTGGCCCAATCTCATGGCGCCCACCCAAACTCTGTCGCAGTCCCTTGATGGATGAATACCACTTATCACTATGGGACATTACCTTGTGTGTGCATGTGTTCACTTTTTAATTGTCTGTCTCTCTCCCTCCCTTGGTAACTCCTTGTTGGCAGGCCCAGCCCTGTTCCTTACTATGTCCTAGGTCCTAGCATTGCATTTGGACAGAATGTGAATTCCAGCAATGTTCGTGGCCATCATAGAAGCAGAAGGTGGTTGTGGCCTCGCTGGTGTGGGACTTTCTGCCCCACTGCACTGGAAGCCAGAGTTTTCCTCCAGGCCTCTGGGCAGAATAGAGGTGCAGATGCAGAGGGTTCAGGGGAGAATCTGTGAGGCTTTCAGAGACTGTGGCTCCAGAGAGTAGTTCACACCAGTTCCCAGATGTTCTATGGAAAAAGCATCAGAGAAAAGGGGCCTGAGAAACCTCTGTGGCTGCAGGCATGGGAAGCCCCAACTCAGAGAGGCCCTGGGGCAGGGTGTGTGTGGGGAGATCTCAAGTCATCCTGAGGCCTTTGGTCATACATTCCACATCTGCTGGGGTCTGGAGTTCCTGATGCCATAGTGACCACCCTGACCACTATGGGGTGGGTGATACCATCTGGGACAAAGTGGGCCATGGCAGGCCTCAGGTCAGACCTGGGACTCTGCTGGACCAAGGCTACTCAGGTCTGGGCTGGGGGCGGTGGGGCTGCTGTACACATTTCCTGGCACACGCTTCCTTTCTCCCATTTGATGAGCAAATGTTGTCATTGGCGCCTTGGCCACAGTTTCCTGCCTTCTTCTGAGATCAGAAGCCATAGTCACAGTCTCAGTGACTGCCCCACAAGGCTGGTCTTGGCTGAGAGTCAGCCAGACTACTTTAGAGACAGGGCCAGGCATGTGACGTCAGCCCACGCTCCCCCACCCCCACCCCAGCCCTTCCCAAGGTGGGCACTCTGTGATTCAGGGGACACATTCAGTGGCAGCCAGTTGGATGTCTTGGGGAGGGTCAGCTCTGGCCCTGGATGGACAGGATAGCTCTGGGTAGACCTGCACTCACCACAGGTATGATGAGCACCCTTCGGGCTCTGGGGAACCCCACTGAACCCGTGGCCAAGGGTACAGATGTAGGTACTGGGGGCCATCTGTGGACCAACATCCCTGGACTGTGATCTTCACCCAAGCTCTCCACAACCCAGGCTGGACATGCCTCATGCACACAGCCCTGCCCTCCTGAAGCCATGATTGGCCTGTGGCTTTCTGCAGAGCCACTCTCTCTTTCACTTTTCATGCTGCTTCCTCTGCCTGAATACCTTTCCCCACTGTCTTCACTCATGGGACACTCCTCCTGGAAGCCCTCCATAAACTCCCTGCCATCAGGGAGGGCACCCCTCTATGCTCTCAAAGGCCCTGGACAGTGTAGTTCTCTTTCTTTTCTTTTTTTTTTTTTGAAATAGGGTCTCACTCTGTAGCCCAGGCTGGAGTGCAGTGGTGCAATCTCGGCTGTCTGCAACCTCCCCCTCCCGGGTCCAAGCAATTCTCCAGCCTCAGCCTCCCGAGTAGCTGGGACCACAGGCATGTGCCACTACACCCGGCTAATTTTTGTATTTTTTGTAGAGACAGGGTTTCACCATGTTGCCCAGGCTGATCTTGAACTCCTGAGCTCAAAGTGATCCGCCCGCCTCAGCCTCCCAAAGTGCTGGGACTACAGGCATGAGTTGCCATGCCTGGCCAACAGTGTAGTTCCCAATGAGGCTGCAAATGATCTCCCCAAGTGCTGCCTTGACTACTTTATTTAACATTGCTATCCCTCCTTCTTCTTCTTTCAAGTATCTTTGGTTCCCTTATTCTGCTCTACTTTTTTCCAAAGCATTTATCAGCTTCTAACATCCCATACATTTTCTTACTAAAATCACATGTAGTATTAGTATTGTCTCTCTTTCTCCTTGCTGAACTTTACAAGGACAGGGATCTTTGGCTGTTTTCTTTACTTATACATCTTAAGCACTTAGAACAGTGTCTGGCAACTAGGAGGCGGTCAATAAATATTAGTGGAATTAATGAACCATAGCTGTCTCTTTACTTGTTGTTAAGCTTCAAGGGTAGGGCCTAAAGATGAGCCACCTCTGTGTACTCAGCACTCAGTGCAGGATTGTGGGCAGAGCAGGCATCTGTAAACTAAAGCCCTTGGCCTGCCATTCAAGGCTCCTATCATCTACAACCAAGCTTTCTTTCTAGCCTCATTCAGCAGAGTACAGCGGGAAGAAGTTCTGGCTAAACAGTTGGCCAGCTGCTTTGCCCTGTTCACTGTGGCTCACTCCAGGCTGCCCACTCTGCCAACACCTTTATCACTACATGAATGGGACAGGCTCTGCTAAAATCTCCTGCCAATGATCAGTGGTCACTTGTACCTGGGAGTGAATAATTCTAACATCTGAGCATGAGTGGGCATCAGTATGAGTTGTGTGTGACCATGGATACTGCTCTGGGGACACTCAGAAATAATTGAGGGATGGTGGAGGGGCATGGACGTGTGTGGGTCAGAGCAATTCCTGTAATGTTCCTATTGCTATAATTACATTTGAAGAGGGGTGAGTTACAGAATACAAATCAATGGGGGAAAGGATCAATTCTTCACTAATAGTGATGGGGAAAATGGCTTTTTAGGAACAAAACAAACAAAACAAAAGCTGGTTGAGATCCCTGCCTCATGCTTAATCACAACAAAATTAATTCCAGCTTGATTAAAAGCTAAATTAAAAAAAAAAAGCCCAACAACTAGAAGAAAAGTTTAAATACTTATCCTCTCATTGAATGGTAGAAGAGTTTCTAAATAAAAATCAATGAAAGAATTTATCCAGGAGAAATCAATGTATGTGTCCATATAATGAATGCCTGTTCATGAATGATTGCAGCTTTAGGTGTAGCGGCCCTAAATTGGAAACATCCCAAATTTCCACCAACAGAAAAATGGATAAACAAATTGAGGTATAGCCATACAATGAAATACTACTCAGCAACAAGAAAGAATGAACTTTACTTTTTTTTTTTTTTTTCTGAGATGCAGTTTCATTCTGTCACCCAGGCTGGAGTGCAGAGGCATGATCTCGACTCATTGCAACCTCTGCCTCCTGGGTTTAAGTGATTCTCCTGCCTCAGTTTCCTGAGTAGCTGGGACTACAGGCATACACCACAACACCTGGCTAATTTTTTATATTTTTTTGTAGAGACAGGGTTTCACTATGTTGCCCAGGCTGGTCTTGAACTCCTGGGCTCAAACAAGCCACCCACCTTGGCCTCCCAAAGGGCTAGGATTACAGGTGTTAGCCACTGCACCTGGCCTAGGTATGTCTTATATATAATAATATAGATAGATACGTGTACAACTCAGTGAATTTTTGCATATGCGTATATACTTGTGTAAGCAACACTCAATCAGGATCTAGAACATTTTCAGTACTCCAGAGGTTTCCCTCATACTCCCTCTTACTCAATATCCTCCCAAAAGAAACCAGAGAAAGGCCAAAAGGCTAGTAGATGTGCTCATATAAATTTCACTTTTATGTGTGAAAATCATCATGAATTATATTAACAAGTAAGTATCAGGCTGGAGAAAATATTTTCCACAAATATGACAAAACATTTCTCACCTTAATATGTGAGAAGCTCTTCTAAGAAAAACTCTTGAGGCCTCAATGGAAAAATGGGCAAAGCAAAGGAAAAGGGAAAAGGAAAGGAAAAGGAAAAAGGGAAAGGAAAGGAAAGGAAAAGAAGGAAAAAAGGGAGAGAGGGAGGGAAGAAGAGAAAGAAGAAGGAAGGAAGAAAAGAAGATATTCAATCACTTTTAGTCAACTAGCATTTATGATGGGACTACTGTCTAGGCATTGACTAGATGCTGGGATTATAAGAGGAAATAAGGCACAGTGCTCACAGTGCCATGAGAAAGATAAGCAAATGACAATTAAACGAGAAGGATAAAGTCTACAATCCACCTGGTAAGCACAGGTGCTATCTGAGCCCAGAGCAGTTATCTGACCCAGACATGGAGGTTTCCTGGAGGGAGCAGTGTCTGAGCTATGGTTTGAAGAGAAAGAGGTGGTACGAAGGCAGGAGAGGAGGAGGCCAGCATTCCAGAGTGAAAGAAAAACTTGCGTAAAGGCCTGGGAAGGAGAGAAAGGAGCATGAGTTGTTCAGGCCGGGTGAACCCAGGGTTCAGGGGCACAGGAGTGATGGGAGATAAGGCTGGAGGAAAAAGGGGCCATGACCTTGGACACAAGGCCATAGAGAAACTGAAGAATTTTGAGAAGCAGGGGAGTGAGATGCCTGGAGTTAAATTTAAGAAGACCACATCTGGCTCTGGGTGGGAGAGAGATTGACAGAGCAGGACTGGAGGGCAGGATTCTAGTGAGAAGCCTGTAGTAGACAATGAGTAAGAAGCCATGGGGTTGGGGGCAGGGGACAGGGCCAGGAAGAGTCTTCCCAACAGGATTGAGAGAGTGCTTGAAGGTAGAGGTGAGGTGAGCAGGTGATGTGAGGGTGAGGCGCAGGGGAGGTGAGGATGACCATGTGGCTTGAGTTTCTGGGTGGATGATGGTGGTAGTCACTGGGTGAGAAATGCTTTGGGAAGAGAGGGCTCAACTAGAGAAAGATGATCCAGCTTAGAATGTGGTAAGCTGGAGGTCGGGCACAACCCAGGGGAGACACTGGCCTAGAGGTGTCATGGAGCTGTGGAATGCTGGCTGTCCTGGTCTAAGTGGTAGAGTTCTAAGACTGTTTTGGAGTCAGACAGAGGCAGAGGAATAAGTTACAAAGTCTAGAAGGAGCTGTCAGGAGGATAACCAGAAAAACCAATAAGGCTGCTGCTGCAACAGGTTAAGGATTCTGAAACCATTTAGTGAAATCCCTGGAGTAGATACTCACTGAAATTGAACCCTCATGTGCTTCAACTATAGCAAGGACCTTAAGCAGTGCTCCTTTCAAAGCAGCCTCCTTGGGTAGTGGGCTCACAGCCCACACTGGAGGAGTGAAAAAGGAAATATGAGAGTAGGAGAGAACAGGATTTCTACCCAAACTCCTATCCCCCTCATTGTTGCTTGTGGTCCCTGGGCTCTGCTCCTTATAACTTTCCTTAGTTCCCAAGAAGTCAAAGAAAAATCGTAAGATGACAATTACATTAAAGGAAAATGTTAGGGGATATTACCCAGTTGTAATTTCCTGGTAAATTGTTATCCACAAGGCTTCCCCAATTCCCATGGAATGTGATGTATCTGAGACTTCCAGGGAGGGGTCAGAAACAGAAAAAACAAAACAAAACAAAACAAAACAAAAAAAACTTTTGAGTTTCAAAAGCCCAAACTCTTAAGGAATTTGGGACACAGGGAATGAATGCAAAATGATTTTGAGCTAGGCCTCTAGCCCAACTAGACAAAGGTTCCCTAGACTGGTAGGAGGGAGTATTTGGGGCGATGCCAGCCAGAGGGAAAGCGAAGGTCCCTAGGAAAAGTCCTGTCCCTCCCCCTTCTTGGCCAGAAGGATTTAAAGGATCTCGGTGTGGAAGGGTACCCTCTTCTCAGGTGGAGCTAGAGGTGGGTGAGACCACACAGTGGCCAATCTAGGTTGCTGGGCCAGAGACTCTCACAGAGATTACTGTGAACCTCCAGCTTGGCCCAGGAGCAACAGGATGGCTAGGGGCAACAGAGCCATCCAACCTCTTCCCCTCATGGCGGGGTGTCTGTGACCTGAGAGAGGGTCAGATGGAAGAAGCCTGGGTGAGGAATGAGGGAAGATTTTGCAATGACATATGAAAACCAACATCTGAAGGCCCTCATTGATTCATGATTACGTGGTTTGTTGTTGTCCATGCCTCTCTCTTCTCTGATGGCTCCAAAATACCCAGAATGTAAATACAACCCAGGAAATGGGAGAAGACCCAGATGAATTTATCAAGTATCACAGAGGCTTGCAATGGAGAATGCATTTAGTCACAAAAATAAACTAAAAGGCTTCATTTACAGTAATATACTGGTCTAGGTTATTTGAATTGAAAAAAGGCATGAATTACTTGATAAGATAGTCAAGAAGGACTAGAGTACAACCTAGGGGTAGAGTAAAAACTGAAGGGGAGAAAAAAGGGAAAACAAAATTCTGAAGCCACTTCTGCTCAGAGTATTTACCAGTCCTGCAAATCTTGACTTCAGTTCTGATGGTCTTACAGAGTGAGGAGTCAGAAGTCAAAGTGCAAGCCTGCCTGAGGTAGGGAGTCTAATAGGGCACACTTTCCTCACTAGCCTGTGGCCCTAGAGGCCTGCACTTTCAGAATAAGAATGAAACAGAAATAAATCTGGCAGGAGCTAATGCAGTCACCTTCATCTTAGACCTCAATTATCACCATAAATAATTTTTCAAGGACTTTGAAACATGCACAGTAAAAATTAACCAGGCATATGAGAAAACAAAGCACTGTGAATGAGCACCAGAAGAAACAGAACCACAAAGACTTTAGATATTTCAATTATCAGACATAGATTATAAAACAACTATGTTTGTTAAGATTCAAAGAAACAGAAGAGAAGCTTGAAAATATCTGAAGGAAATAGGAAACTATAAAAAGTAATCTAGCAGTTTTGAATTAAAAAATAAAGTAGAACTTGTAGCATTTTAAAAACACAACACAAATAAAAAACTCAATGGAAAGGTTTATAGCATACTAGATTCAGCTGAAGAGAGACTTAGTAAACTGTAAAACAGGTAAGAGGGCATTATCCAGATTATAGCACAGAGAGAAGAAAGAAAGACAGAAAAAAGAGAAAAAGAAGAAAGAAAGAAGAAAGAAAAAGAAAGAAGGAAAGAAAGAAAGAGAGAGAAGGAGGGAGGGAGGGAGGGAGGGAAGAAGGAAGGAAGGAAGGAAGGAAAAAATGGAAATTAGGATATATGAGGGATCAAATAAAAAGAACTAACCTATATTTAATCAGGATTCCAGATGAAGCAGAAAGAATGAAACAGAGGAAATATTTAGAGACAAAACAGATTTTATTTTTCCAAAACTGATGTAAAGGCATCAACTGTCACACTTAAGAAACTTATTGAAACCCAAAAAGAGTAAATAATAATAAATCTACATTAAGACACATTATAGGTATACTGTAGATCATAAACGACAAATAGGCAATCTTAAAAAGAAGTCAGAAAAGGAATATATTGACTTGAAAGGAGCAGGAATTAGATTGACAGCTGACTTTTCAATAGCAATAATAAAGCCAGGAGGCAGGGGAATCGTTTATGGAATGTGCCAAAGGAAATAACTGCCTGCCTAGAATTTTATATTCAAGAAATAAAAACTGAGAGATTTCGTAACCATTTAGTTCTGACTAAAGGAAATTCTAAAAGATACACTCAAGGCGTTAGGAAAGTAATTCCACATAGAATGTTTGAGATGAAAGAAGAGCAGAGAAAGTATAATCATGGAGGGGGGGAATAGAACTAAGCAAACACAAACTGCATAAAACAGAAATAATAATCTCTTATGGAGTTAAAATATAGCAGGAAAATACACAAAAATGAAAACATATAAGTTGGGAAATAGGTAAATGATATTAAAATGTTCCAAACTATTTCTCAAGAGGAAAATAATAATTAACTTTAGACCTTGATAAGTTAAGAATGTTATAATTTCTAGGGTAATCACTAAAAGAATTGAAACACAGTGTATAACTTCCAGTCTAGTAGAGGGGTAAAAAAGATTTAAAAAAGAAACTAATCCAAAAGAGCAAAACCAAACCAAAACAAACAAAACAAACAAACAAAAAAACAAAGAAAAAGAGCAGGAAAGACAAATGAAAATCACTGTATAAGATGATAAATTTATCCAAAATATAACAATAATTACATTAGATTGAAAAACAAACATTTTGGGTAAAAGATAACAATTGGGTTAAAAAGCAAAACTCAATTATATGTTGCTTACAAGAGACACACCTGAAACATGAGAAAAGTTGAGGTAAGACTAGAGGAAGATAGATATACCATGCAAGCACTTACCAAAAGAAAGTAAGTGGAGCCATAGAAATATAAGACAAAATAGACTTTAAGGCAAACAGCTTTTCTAGAAGCAAAAAACTCAATGACCAGGAATTGTTCAATTCAAGAAGATACAATAATTTACGATTTGTATGTATAACCTCAAAATATATAAAGGAAAATTGACAGAACTACAAGGATAATTAGGCACATTTACAATCATAGTGGAAGATTTTTACATGCTACTCTGTGACTGACAGAATATACATATCAAAAATCCAGTAAGGACACCAAACTTTAAAAACAGTTTGGTTTTTAAAGAAAACCTGACCAAATAAACATGGATAAAATGCTGTATCCAATAACTAAAGAATACAGATTCTTCTCAACTATACATGGGACATTTATAAAAATTGACATTATACTAGACAATAAAGTAAATCTTAATAAATTTCAAACCATGACATCATCTGTAGATCCACTGTCCAATACAGTAGCCACTAGGCACAGGCTGAACACTTGAAATGTGGCTAGTCCTAATTAAGATGTATCAACACTGTATTTAAAGACATTGTCAAAAAAGAAATGTAAAATATCAGTAATTTTTTATATTCATTGCATGCTGAAATGATATAGTATTTGGATATACTATATTGTGTCAAATAAAATATATTATTACAATTAATTTCCACCTGCTTCTTTTTACTTTCCCAATATAGCTACCAGAAAATTTAAAATTACATATGAGGCTTGCATTATATTTCTTTTAAATAGCACTGATATAGAGTATATTCTCTGACCATAATGCAACTAAATAGAAATCAGTGGCAAAACAGACAAATGAAAAAAAAAAAGAAAAAAAAAACAAGAAAACTAGAAATGTCTAAATACTTAGGCATTAAGAAACATTTCAAAAATAACTCGTGCGTCAAAGAAGAAATCAAAATGTTTTATGAAACATTTAAACTGAATAAAAAAGTATAACATCAAGGTCTGTGGCATGTTGCTAAAGCAATACACTGAGCAAAGTTTAGAACAAAATGTGGCAAAATCCAGCCCACAACCCGATTTTATAAATAAACTTTTATTGAGACAAAGTTACTTCTATTTGCTTATTTACTGCCTTTGCTGCTTTTGCCCTACAACAGCAGAATTGAGTAGTTCAGACAGAGACCTGCCGAGACAAATATATTTACTATCTGACCCTTTACAGAAAAAATGTTTGGTTTAGTACATACATTAGAAAAAAATACAGCATGAAAAGTAAAAAATTAAGGATCTATGTCAAGAAATATGGCAAAGAACAGCAAAATAAACCCAAATAAAATGTATGAAAGAAGGCTGGGTGCAGTGGCTCATGCCTGTAATCCCAGGACTTTGGGAGGCTGAGGCTGGCGGATCACTTGAGGTCAGGAGTTTTGAGACCAGCCTGGCCAACATGGTGAAACCCCATTTCCACTAAAAGTACAAAAATTAGGTGGGTGTGGTGGCACATGCCCGTAGTCCAGCTACTTGGGAGGCTGAGGCAGGAGAATAGCTTGAACCTAGGAGGCAGAGGTTGAAGTGAACTGAGATTGCGCCACCGCTCACCGGCCTGGGTGGCAGACTGAGACTCTATCTCAAAAAAAAAAAAAAAAAAAAAAGGATGAAAGAAAGTAATAAATAGTAAAGAGTAATGAAATAGAAAATTATTATTTAATAGAGAGGATTGACAAAGCTCAAAGCTGGTGTTTTGAAAAGACTAAAACAATTAACAAACTTCTAATGAAATAATAGAGAGAACTAATAACCAATACCAGAACCTTTAATGTTGCAGACATTAAGAAGATGAGCACATATTTTGAAAAACCCTATGCTAACACAATTTAGAAAAAATTGACAAATTACTACAAAATTATAACCTCAAAGTTGACTAAAAAATAGAAAACAGTAATAACTCTATAACCTATAAAATAATGGATTCAGTAAGGAAACTTTGACCCCCAAATGGCTTCAACAGTGAATTCTACCAAACATTCAAGGAAAATAACTGTTCCAATCTTATACAAACTGTTCTCGGAAATATAGAATGAGAAAACATTGCTGTGATACCAAAACTGGACAAAGATAATATGAGAATATAATACCACAGGCCATTCTTACTAGCGTGACCATATACTTTATCATCCAAACCCAGGCACTTTAAGAGTGTAAATGTTATCAATAATGATGCAGAAAAAGAAGTGTAAACTGGAGTTGTTCCAGGTAAATTGGGCCATGTAGTCCCCTAAATCTCACTCATAAACATAGATACAAAAATCCTTCAAAGGTATAACACATAACTAGTAATACCAAAAAAATGGTAATAACATATGATGACCATGTTGGGTCTACCTGGAATATGAATTATTTTAACATTAGAAAATAACTTAATGGGATTCACCATATTAAAAGATTGAAGAAGAAAACACATATGATCATCTCAATATCTGTGGAAAAAACAATTGATAAAATCAACATCCATTCATGATGAAAGCTCTTAGCAAACCTAGGAATACAAGGGAACTTCCTTAGTCTGATAAAGAATATCTGCAATACACTTAGAGGAAACATCATGCTTAATGGTAAAATGATGAAATCTTTCCCTTTGAGATCTATAACAAGGATGCCTGATGTTATTACTTTTATTCAGCATTCTACAAGATATCCCAGTCTGTGTAGTAAGGAAAGAAAAATAAATAAAAGATAGAAAACTAAGAAAAATAGAAGAAAATCTGTCACTACTCATAGGTGATGCATTTGTATATGTAGAAAATTCAAAAGGATCTATAGATAAGATTTTAGTATTGATAAGAGAGTTTAGCAAGTTTGCTGGATACAAAATCAGTCCATAAAAATCAATTGCATTTCTTTATACCAGAAAAAGACATTTATTAACATGATATTTTAAAAGAAGTTGCCTTTTTTAATATAATGCCAAAATGCCAAGTTCCTAGGAATAAATATAACAAAAGTTCTCTATTAAGAAAATTTTAAACTTTATTGGGAGACACACACACACACACAAACACACAAAGTGAAAATACTGTGTTTGTTAACTAGAAGTCTCAATATTGTAAAGATGTCATTCTACTGAAATTGATTTATAGAATCAGTGCAATCTCAAAGTCCCAGCATTTTGGGGTGTGGTGGGAAAAGTTGACAAGCTAGTTTAAAATGAATATGGATAAAGAATAGCCAAGACATTCTTAAAGAAAAAGAACAAGGTGGGAGAACTTGCTCTTGTAGATACCAAGATGTATTATAAAGTTAGAATATTTAAGACAATGTGATATTAGTTTAAGGAGAGACAAATAGAGCAATGGAACATAATAGAAAACCCAGAGAAAGACCCACACCCACGTATCTATGAACCCGTGAAATATAAGAGTCAGCAATGCAAATCAGCAGGAAAAGAAGTCTTTGCAAAAAATATGCTGGAACAAATGAGTATTAATATGGAAACAGCTAAACCAGAGCCCTGCCTCATGCAATTCCAGGTCAATTAAAGACATAGATGTGAAAGAAAAGACTATAGAGTTTTTAAGATACTATACAAGAAAATATCATCATCTCAAGGTAGAGAAGGAATTCCTAAACAAAACAAAATCAGTACCTATTTTTTTAACTTTCATTTTAAATTCTGGGATACAAGTGCAGGTTTGTTACATAGGTAAACTTGTGTCATGGGGGTTTGTTGTACAGATTATGTCATCACCCAGGTATTAAGCCTAGTATTCATTAGTGCTTTTTGCTGATCCTCTCCCTCCTTTCACCCTCCACTCTCCGAAAGGCTGCAATGTGTTCCCCTCTTTGTGTCCATGTGTTATCATTTAGCTCCCACTTCTAAATAAGACCACGTGATATTTGGTTTTCTGTTCCTGTGTTAGCTTGCTAAGGATAATGGCCTCCAGCTCTAGCCATGTCCCTGCAAAAGACATGATCTTGTTCTTTTTTATGGCTGCATAGTATTCAATGGTGTATATGTACCACATATTCTTTATCCAGTCTCTCATTGATGGACATTTATGTTGATTCCTTGTCTTTGCTATTGTGAAAAATGCTGCAATGAACATACGCATGCATATGTCTTTATAATATGATTTATATTCCTTTGGGTATATATCCAGTAATGGGATTGCTGGGTCAAATGGTATTTCTGTCTTTAGGTCTTTGAGCAATTGCCACTCTGTCTTCCACAATGGCTGAACTAATTTACACTCCCACCTATAATGTATAAGCATTCCTTTTTCTCCACAACCTCACCAGCATCTGTGATTTTTTGACTTTCTAATAGTAGTCATTCTGACTGTTGTTAGATGGTATCTCATTGTGGTTTTTATTTGATTTGCATTTCTCTAATTATCAGTGATGCTGAGCTTTTTTTCATATGATTATTGGCTGCATGTATGCCTTCTTTTGAAAAGTTCATGTCCTTTGACCATTTTTTATGGGGTTTTTTTTTTCTTGTAAATTTGTTAAGTTCCTTATAAATGCTGGATATGAGACCTTTGTTGGCAAAAATTTTCTCCCATTCTGTAGGTTGTCTGTTGACTCTGCTGATAGTTTCTTTTGCTGTGCTGAAGCTAAGTTTAATTAGATCCCATTTGTCCATTTTTGCTTTTGTTGCAATTGCTTTTGGCATCTTCATCATGAAATCTTTGTCTGTGCCTATGTCCTGAATGGTATGGCCTAACATTGTCTCCCAGGGTTTTTATAGTTTGGGATTTTACATTTAAGTCTTTAATCCATCTTGAGGTAATTTTTGTATATGGTGTAAGAAAGGGGTCCAGTTTCAATCTTCTGCATGTGGCTAGCCACTTATCCCATCACCATACATTGAATAGGGAATGCTTTCCCCATTGCTTGTTTTTGTTGACTTTGTCAAAGATCAGATGGTTGTAGGCATGTGGTCTTATTTCTGGGTTCTTGATTCTGTTCCATTGGTCTACGTGTCTGTCCTAGTACCAGTGCCATACTATTTTGGTTACCATAGCCCTGGAGTATAGTTTGGAGTCAGGTAGTGTGATACCTCCAGCTTTGTTCTTTTTGCTTAGAATTGCCTTGGTTATTAAGACTCTTTTTTTTTTTGTTCCATATAAATTTTAAATTTTTTTTTTCTAGTTCTGTGAAGAATGTCAACAGTAGTTTAATGGAAATAGTATTGAATCTATAGATTGCTTTAGGCAGTATGACCATTTTAATAAAATTGATTCTTCCTATTCATGAGTATGGAATTTTTTTTCATTTGTTTGTGTCATCTCTGATTTTTCAGCAGTGGTTTGTAGTTCTTGTCAAGATCTTTTACCTCCCTAGTTAGCTATGTTCCTAGGTAGTTTATTCTTTTTGTGGGAATTGTGAATGGGAGTTTGCTCATAATTTGGCTCTTGGCTTGAATGTTGTTGGTGAATAAAAATGCTAGTGATTTTTGCACATTGATTTTGTATCTTGAGACTTTGCTGAAGTTGCTTATCAGCTTAAGAAGCTTTGGGGCTGAGATGATGGGATTTTCTAGGTATAGGATCATGTCACCTCCAAACAGCAATAGTTTGACTTCCTCTCTTCCTATTTCAATGCACTTTATTTCTTTCTATTGCCTGATTGTCTTGGCCAGAACTTCCAATACTATGTTGAATAGGAGTGGTGAGAGAGGGCCTCCTTGTCTTGTGCCAGTTTTCAAGGGGAATGCTTCCAGATTTTGCCCATTCAGTATGATGTTGGCTGTGGGTTTGCCATAGATGGCTCTTATTATTTTGAGGTATGTTCCTTCGATACCTAGTTTATTGAGAGTTTTTAGCATGAATGGATGTTGAATTTTATATAAAGCATTTTCTGCATCTATTGAGACAATCATGTGGTTTTTATCTTTAGTTCTGTTTATGTGATGCATCAAATTTATTGATTTGTATATGCTGAACCAAACTTGCATCCCAGGGATAAAGCCTACTTGATCATGGTGGACTAGCTTTTTGATGTGCTGTTGGATTCTGTTTACCAGTATTTTTTTTGAGGATTTTTGTATTGATGTTCATCAAGGATACTGGCCTGAAATTTTCTTTTTTTTATTGTGTCTCTGCCAGGTTTTGGTAGCAGGATGATGCTGGCCTCATAGAATGAGTTAGCGGGGAGTCTCCATTTTGATTTTTTGGAATAGTTTCAGTAGGAACAGTACCATATATTCTTTGTACATCTGGTAGAATTTAACTGTGAATCTATCTGGTCCTGGGCTTTTTTTTGGTTGATCGGCTATTTATTACTGCCTCAATTTCAGAACTTGTATTGATCTGTTCAGGGATTCAATTTCTTCCTTGTTCAGTCTTGGGAGGGTGCATGTGTCCAGGAATTTATCCATTTCTTCTAGATTTTCTAGCTTATGTGCATAGAGGTGTTCATAATATTCTCGGATAGTTGTCTATATTTCTGTGGAGTCAGTGGTGATATCCTCTTTATCATTTCTGATTGTGTTTATTTGAATCTTCTCCATTTTCTTCCCTATTAGTCTATCTAGCAGTTTATCTATTTTATTAATTTTTTCCAAAAGCCAGCTCCTGGGTTCGTTGATCTTCTGAATGTTTTTTTTCATGTCTCTATCTCCTTCAGCTCAGCTCTGATTTGGGTTATTTCTTGTCTTCTGCTAGCTTTCAGATTTGTTTGCTCTTGGTTCTCTAACTCTTTTAATTGTGATGTTAGGTTATTAACTTTAGATCCTTCTAACTTTTTGATGAGGACATTTTTTCCTCTTAACAGTGCTTTAGCTGTGTCACAGAGATTCTGGTATGTGTCTTTGTTTCAAAGAACTTCTTGATTTCTGCCTTAATTTCATTATTTATCCAAAAGTCATTCAGGAGCAGGTTATTCCATTTCCATGTAATTATATGGTTTTGAGTGAATTTCTTAGTCTTGGTTTCTAATTTGATCGTGCTGTGGTCTGAGAGTCTGTTTGTTATTATTTCAGTTCTTTTGCATTTGCTGAGGAGTGTTTTACTTCCAATTATGTGATTGATTTTAGAGTAAGTGCCATGTGACAATGAGAAGAATGTATTTTCTACTGTTTCGGGGTGGAGAGTTGTGTAGATATCTATGAGGTCCACTTGATTCAGTCCCAAGTTCAGGTCCTAAATATCTTTGTTAATTTTCTGTCTTGAATGATCTGTCCAATATTGTCAGTGGGGTGTTAAAATCTCCCACTATTATTATGTGGGAGTCTATATTTCTTTGAAGATCTCTAAGAACTTGCTTTATGAATCTGAGTGCTCTTGTACTGGGTGCATATATGTACTTAGGCTAGTTATATCTTCCTGTTGAATCAAACCCTTTACCATTATGTAATGCCTTTCTTTATCCTCTTTGATCTTTGTTGGTTTAAAGTCTGTTTTGTCAGAAACTAGGACTGCAACCCCTGCTTTTTTGTTTTCCATTTGCTTGATAGGATTTTCCTCCATCCCTTTATTTTGAGCCTATGTGTGTCACTGCATGTGAGATGGGTCTCTTGAAGATGGTATACCAATGAGTCTTGGTTCTTTATCCAGCTTGCCACTCTGTGTCTTTTAATTAGGGAACTTAGCCCATTTACATTTAAGGTTGTATTGATATGTGTGGATTTGATATTGTCATCATGGTATTAGCTGGTTATTTTGCAGACTTGTTTATGTGGTTGCTTTATAGGGCCAGTGATCTGTGTACTTCAGTGTGTTTTTGTAGTGGCTGGCAGTGGTCTTTACTTTCCATATTTAGTGCTTCCTTCAGGGGCTCTTGTAAAGCAGGTCTGACAGTAATGACTTCCCTTGCTTGTCTGTAAAGTATTTTATTTCTCCTTCACTTATGAAGCTTAGTTTGGCTGGATATGAAATTCTGGGTTGGAAATTCTTTTTGTTAAGAATGTTGAATATTGCCCCCCAATCTCTTCTGGCTTGTGCTGAGAGTTCTATTAGTCTGATGGGCTCCCCTTTGTGGGTGACCTGGCCTTTCTCTCTAGCTACACTTAACATTTTTTCTTTCATTTCGATCTTGAAGAATCTGACGGTTATGTGTCTGGGGGATTATCTTCTAGTGGGATATCTTATTGGGGTTCTTTGCATTTCCTGAATTTGATTGTTGGCCTTTCTAGCTAGGCTGGGGAAGTTCTCATGGATGATATCCTGAAATATGTTTTCCAGATTGGTTCCAGTCTCCTCATCTCTTTCAGGTACACCAGTCAGTCATAAATTCAGTCTCTTTACATAATCCCATATTTCTCAAAGGTTTTCTTCATTCTTTTTCATGCTTTCTTCTCTTTTCTTGTCTGTCTTATTTTACAACAGTAGTCTTCAAGCTCTGAGATTCTTTCCTTTGCTTGGTCTACTCTGTTATAAACACTTCTGATTGCATTATGAAATTCTTGTGTGTTTTTCAGCTCTATCAGATTAGTTCCATTCTTCTCTATACTGGTTATTTTGTCTGTCAGCTCCAGCAATGTTTTATCATGATTTTTAGCTTCCTTGCATGGGGTTACAACATACTCCTGTAGCTTACTGAAGTTCGTTCCTATTCATATTCTGAATTCTACTTCTGTCATTTCAGCCATCTCAGCCTCAGACTTCTTCCAAACCCTTACTGAAGAGGTGATGCAGTCATTTGGAGGAAAGAGGGCACTCTGGCTTTTTGAGTTTTCAGCATTATTATTCAGATTCTTTGTCATCTTTGTGGGCTTATCTATCTTCAATCTCTGAGATTGCTGACTTTTGGATTTTTTTTGTTTTTAACAGACTGGCCACTTTGCTGCAGTTTGCTTGGAGTCCACTCCAGTCCCTAGTCACCTCAGATTTTCCAGTACCTGGAGGTATCACCAGTGAAGGCTGCAAAACAGTAAAGATGACAGCCTGCCCCTTCCTCTGGGAGCTCCTCCTTGGGAGGTATGGACCTATTGCTGGCCCAAATGCACCTGTAGGAGGTGGCTGGAGACCCCAGTTGGGAGGTCTCACCCAGGAGGATCGGGATTGAAGACCCACTTAAGAAAGCAGTCTGGCCATGCTTTCATAGAGTAGGTGTGCTGTGCCAGGTTACCACTTCCACCCCCCATCGTCTTCAGCTCTCCTAAGCCTGGAAGCTGGAATGGCAAAGTCACCAAACAGCAAAGATGGCAGCCTGCCCCTCCCTCTGGGGGCTCTGTCCCAGGAAGTTTTCAAATCTCTGTTAGCCAGAGAACACTGGTGGTGGTGGCTGGAGGCTCTGGTTGGGAGGTCCCGCCCAGTGAGGGGGAACAGATTTGGGACCTACTTAAAGAAGTCTGGCCACATTTTGGTACAGTAGCTGTGCTGTGCTGGGTTATCCCGTCTGCCCCCAGTCAGTTTGAACTCCCCAAAGTCTGCAGGCTAGAATGGCTAAGTCACCCAAACAGGAAAGATGGCAGCCTGTCCCCCTAACTCTGTCCCCGGGAGAATTCAAATCTCTGTCAGTAGGAGAACACTAGAGGAGGTGGCTGGAGGCCCGGTTGGGAGGTTCTGCCCAGTGAGGAGGAATGGGATTGGGGACTTGATTAGAGAAGCAGTCTGACCATGCTTTCATAGAACAGCTATGCTGTGCTGGGGTACTACTTCTGCCCCGGTCAGTTTGGGCTCTCCAAAGCCAGAGTTGGAGGCTTTGTTGCCCTGAGTTGGGCTGAGCTGCCCAAATAGCAAAGATGGTGGCCTGCCCTTCCCCTGGGGAACTTGCCCCAGGGAGAATTCAAATCTCTGTTGGCCAGAGAACACCAGTGGGGGTGGGCTGGAGGCCCCAGTTGGGAGGTCCTGCCCAGTGAGGAGGAACAGATCAGCGACCTGCTTAAAGAAGCAGCCTGGCCAAATTTTGGTAGAGCAACAGTTCTGTGCTGGAGACTCCCTTCTGCCCCCAGTTGGTTTTGACTCCCCACAGTCCAAAGGCTGGAATGATTGAGTCGCCCAAACAGCAAAGATGGCAGCCCTCCCTTCCCCATAGGAACTCTGTTCCAGGTAGGTGCAACACTGTTGCCAGTGGCTGGCTGAAATTCCAAGACAGTGGGTCTTATCCTGTGAGGTGCCCTAGAAGTGGGGTCTGCAGACTGTCAGTTCTTGGGCCCCTGGATTCAGCCTCCTTCCTAGGAGTGTGTATGGGGGTCTAACCTCCCACTTTGCTGGAGTTGCAGTTACTTTTGCCAGGAAGCCTGGAGCCCGAGTATGTAAAACTCCTGAGTGTCCACACATGCCTGAGCGGCTGCTCTATGTGTCACACTGAAGGCCCCGATGGAGTGGATTCACGAAGGGATCTCCTGACCGAAGGGTTGCAAAGATCCGTGGGAGAAGTGTGGTTTCCCCACTTCTTCCCCATTCACTCACCACTTCCTTGTCTGGGAGAGGTTCCCTCGGCTCCGTGTTGCTCCTGGGCGGGCCGTCATTTTGCCTTGCTTTTCTCCATCCTCTGTGTGTCAGGTTGTTTCCTTGATTACTCCCAAAGAGAGTACCTGGATGTTTCTGTTGAAGGTGCTGTATTTACTTGCCTCTTTCATTCCTGTGAGAGCCATGCACCCTAGCTGTTTCTAGTTGGCCATCTTGGCCACACTCCAGTATCTACAATGAAAATATTTGACTACACTAAAATTTAGAACTTTGGTTCCTCAAAAGATACCGTGGAATGAAAAGATACAAAATAGTGGGAGAAGACATTTGCAACATATATAATCCATAGAGCATTAGTATCCAGAATGTTAAAAAAAAAACTTCAATAAATAAGAAAATTAGCCAGGACATGGTGGTGCACACCTGTAGTCCCAGCTCTTTGGGAGGCCAAGGTGCAGGGATCACTTGAAGCCAGGAGTTTGAGGCTGTAGTGAGCTACGATCACACCAACTGCACTCCAGCCTGGGCGACAGCAAAACCTTGTCTCTATGAAAAAAAAAATAGTGCAGACAATCCTATAGAAAGCCAGACAAAGGTTGAACAGGCACTTTATAATACAGGAAATCCAAATAATCAATAAAAGGTTCTCAACCTCACTCATAATCAGATCAAGGAAAATTTAAACCACAATAAGAGAAAGAATTCAAATTTCTGTTGGGGGTGACTAGAGGCCCCAGTTGGGAGGTCCCACATAGTGAAGGGGAATGGATCAGGGACCTACTTAAAGAAGTTGTCTGGCTACATTTTGGTAGAGCAACTGTGCTGTGCTGAGGACATTTGTGCATATCAGATTGGTATAAATGAAAACATTTTGGGCTGGGCATGGTGGCTCATGCCTGTAATCCCAGCACTTTGGGAGGCCAAGGTGGGCAGATCGCTTGAGGTCAGGAGTTTGAGACCAGCCTGGCCAACATGGTGAAACCCTGTCTCTATCAAAAAATACGAAAATTAGCCAGGCGTGGTGGCACACGCCTATAGTCCCAGCTACTTGGGAGGCTGAGGCAGGAGAATCGCTTGAGCCAGGAGGCAGAGGTTGCAGTGAGCTGAGATCCTGCCACTGCACTCCAGCGTGGGCAACACAGTGAGACCTTTTCTCAAAAAAAAAAAAAAATTGGCAATTTCAGACAATTTAATGTATTGGCAAGGATGTGGAGCAAAAGGAATTCTCAAATACTGCTAATGGAAGTATAAATTGTATGTTTGTGAAATTAACATTATCTAGGAAAGTGAATATATCCCGTGATTAATTCAGCAATTTCAGTCCTATGTGTATGTGTGCATGTGCACATATACACATGCATAATCACAAATTTAGTGGCTAAATAATGCACATTTATTATCTTACAGTTCTAGAGCTAAGAAATCCTAAAATCAATGTATTGGTAGGGCTGCATTCCTTTTGGAAGAATCTGTTTCTTTGACTTTTCCAGCTTCTAGAGGCCTCCTGAATTTCCTGCTTCATGGCCCCTCCCTCCATCTTTAAGCCCAGCAGTGTAGTGTTTAAAAATTTCTCTCTCTCCTTTGCTTCCATTGTCATGTCTCCTTCTCTAGATCTGACCCTCCTAATTCCCTCTTACAAGGATTCTTGTGATTCCATTGGGCCTACCTGGATAATTCAGAATAATCTTCCCATCTCAAAACCCTTAACTTAATCACATCTGCAAAAGCTCCTTTTGCATGTAAAATAACATATCACAGGTTCCAGGGATTAGGACATGAACATTTTTGGGGGTGGGGAGTGTGATGTATTATTCTGTTTAATAAATACATGTTAATGTATTCATATATACGTGTACCAAGATAATGTTCACAGCAGATTTGTTTGCATTATGTACCGAAAACAACCCCAATCTATTTATTTAAAGTTTAAAAACAGGCAAAACAAAACTGTATTGTTTAGGAATGTGTAAGTAAGTGACAAAGCTACAGAGAAAACCAAGGAAGAAAAAAATTGCCAGAGATCCAGGTTAAAAAAAAAAAAAAGAAAAAGAAAAGAAAACCAAGGAAGCAATCATCATAAAAGACAGGTGAGTGGGTTACCTCTAAGGGCGAGCAGTCACGATTAGAGGACAAATATGGGGAGAGTTTTGGAGCGTTGGCGATTTTTTTTTGACTTAAGCATGGTTAAATGGGTGATTGCTTATAATTACTTGTTAAATTAGGTTAATTAGGTTTTATTTACATGTTTTATGCTCTTTTCTGCATGCATTTGTGCTCTATTTTTTTAATTAAAAAATAAAATAAAGTAAAACTATGTTTCTTGCACTTAAAATACTGGAAAACCAAAGAGAATCTGAAAAACTTTTAGAATGAAGAGAGTTTGGCAAGACGGCAAGAACCCTTGCTTTTTCCACTGGGCCTTTCTTCCTCCCACCCTGAGGGTGCTCCATGGAAAATGCAAATCTACTTAACTGACTTTCGCAAATGTCAAATGTAGAGTACGAATTTCAAGGGGAGCCTGGGGCTGTGCCATATCCTGCTGTGAGCTACAGTTTTCCAGCCTCTAGAGCCATCTTAACAAGGTGCCTGCCTGGTGTCTACTACCCCAGTATGTGCTCCAACCCCTGCCCAGGCCTCCTAGTGCTAGAGAGGATATAGACATGGCCTCTCCATGGAAACCTCCAGGGCTGGTATGACACCTTAACAAACAAAAAGGGAGGATTGCCGGTACAGCGGAGTCCCGCAGGAGGATAGGTGTTGCCTTCTAGGTGGTAGGGAGGCTGAGAGGGCCATCCAGAGTAGGGACCACGAACTGGGGTCTCAACATGAAGAGTCGTTCATCAGATCTCAAGGGGGCAAGGCCCCCAGGCTAAGGAGGACTAGGGGTCAGGGTGGGGAGGATGCTGGGATTGGCTGGGTGCTGTCTCTATGGGAAACCTTGGAAAGAGTCTCAGGGTCTATTGAGAAAACATCCAGACTAGACTTTTTTCATGTGATAAAATATACGTAACATAACCATTTTTAAGTGTACAATTCAGTGGCATGAAGTACATTCACATTGTTGTGCAACCATCACCACCATCTACCTCCAGAATGGTTTCATCTTCCCAAACTGAAACTCTGTACCCATTAAATATTAACTCTTCATCCCCCAGCCCCCAGCCCCTGGTAACAACTACTCTACTTTCTAGCTCTGTGAATTTAAATACTTTAGGTATCTCATATAAGTGGAAGCAGGCTGAGAGTGGTGGCTCACACCTGTAATCCCAGCACTTCGGGAGGCTGAGGCAGGCAGATCACTTGAAGTCAAGAGTTTGAGACCAGCCTGGCCAACATGCTGAAACTCTGTCTCTACTAAAAATACAAAAATTAGCCGGGCATGGTGACTTATGCCTGTAGTCCCATCTACTCAGGAGGAGGCTGCAGCATGAGAATTGCTTGAGACTGAAAGGTGGAAGTTGCAGTGAGCCAAGATCACGCCACCGCACTCTAGCCTGGGCAACAGAGTGAGAACTCTGTCTCAAATAACTAACTAAATAAATAAATAAATAGACGCATATAATATTTGTCATTTTGTATTGACCGATTTCATTTAGCACAATGTCTTCAAAGTTCATCCATATTGTCACATGTCAGAATTTCCTTTCGTTTTAAGGTTGAGTAATATTCCACTTATATACACACCACATTTTGTTTATCCATTTATCTACTGATGGACATTTGGGTTGTTTCTACCTTTTGGCTATTGTGAATAATGCTGCAGCTACAGACTGAATATCTATGCCTCAATATTCTTATGTTGAAACCTAAGCCCTAATGTGTTGGTATTTGTAGGTGAGGACTTTAGGAGGTGATCAGGTCATGAGAGCAGAGCCCTCATGAATAAGCTTAGGCCTTTATAATAGACACCTCAGAAAACTCCATTACCCCTTCTTCGATGTGAGGTTATAGCAAGAAGATGGCTGTCTATGAACCAGAAAGTGGGTCCTCACCGGACACCAAATCTTCTGGTTCCTTGATCTTGAGCTTCCATCCTCCAGAACTGTGAGAAATAAATTTCTGTTCTGAATAGCCACTCAGTATGGTATTTTATTATAGCAGCCCTAACGGGATAAGACAGCCACTATAAACATTGGTGTGTGAATACAGCCTAGATGTTTCAAAGTGAAAAACTACGGCAATTTCAGTTAAGAAAACAACCGTTGGAGAGGCCAGTACAGTTACAATTACCAAGACCAGAGAGAGACCCAGGAACTCCAAATCCATCTCCTACCTGCTGTCAGTGACCTCTTGGCCCTGTTGGCACAGGCATCTCTGCAGAAATGAAGTGTGGTCATTCCAGGCCATGGGCTTTTCAATAGCAGCTAAAACCTCATCCCAGCCTCATGGAATACTGTACATGTTCAGTAGAGTGACAAGAATGTGACTCAGTGGATAAATCAGAAAGTTTTCAGAGTTGAAAAAGTCCATCGCAAACCTGCGAGATCCAGTATGCAAGAAAATGCTTGGAAAACGTTAGTGCTCAATAGTAAAGTAAATGTTTCAAACTAAACTCCTACAAATGAAGCCAAATGTAAGGTTCTATGTATAGACGAGAGACTCACCAATCAGGGACAGCATAGAGATCCTCACTACAGTGAGGTTTGCCTGGACCCATCCTGGTTTTTTAAAGCTAAAAGTCCTTTGTACTGGGAGCCCCCTCAGGCCAGGGCAAATCTCTTGTGCTCTTGGGCTTCACAGGGCCTTCAGCAAAGATGTCTCTGCCCTACTTGCCTCTGGGTGCCTGCAGGGGAAATACACACAGTGAGCAGGGAGTTTATAATCCCCATAATTGCAGCCACGTGTAGGAAAATAGCCTGTTGCATGGCAAGAGTGATGCCATCTTGAAGCAAAACCACCATTGTGACTGACGTTTGACTCCTGCATACCAAGGTGTTCGACAGCAAGGTCAAGAAACAATGCGTGTAGTATAGATAAACCATTGTAAAGATGCTTATCTAACTCCCCCAGAGGTTAGGAGTTTCACAAGAGTGTCTAAGATATGAACAGTTGCACATGCATTTATCCTAAAGCTTGCCGTATTAAGAGTACTTTCTGGAGGACAAGTGTGGGGACCTACTGTCTTGGCTGCCAGAGACATCACTTCCGTTCCTAAGTCCCTATTAAATGCTTCTTTCTGAAAAACTGGACTTGTCAGACTTTTACTTCAGCCTCTTATTACTTCAGCCTCTCAGCTCCCTTGGCCTTCAGGGGTGGGTGTGCGTTAGACCTGCTCACCGCAGAAGCTATGTAAATTAAAGGATGGCAACAGCAACGAGCCAAGCAAAGCCGATCTCCGCTAGCATGCATGAGGTGCCTTTGCATGGGTGAGAATTCGCCCTCTAAGTGGGCGAATTACAGAAAGACACTTTTCCTCCTGGATGATACACTCTTGCGCTCAGCCCATGTCGAGGTCTGGCTTATGACCCTCTTACCGCTAAAGCTCAAATCCCTTTTGGAAAACTCAATGTGCGTGATTATCTGGGAAGAGCACTCTGGAGAGCTCTGAGTAAGAGGCAAGTGAGCTTGTCCTGGAGTCATGTGAAACACAGAGCCCTGCAGCCCCCACTCCCTGCATCAGGAGTAAGGTTTATAAGGGCCCCGAGGTATTCTCATGGGCCTGCTCCTTTACCCCAGAAGTGGACACTGTCAGAAGGTGCAAAGTCTGTAGAATGCAGAGCTTACATGAAGAGGTGCAGTGAAACCCGTCCTGTGTGGTCCAGGCCTGTGTCATGGAACACTGTCCTCCAGACTTCTGGGTCACTCTCCCCTTAATGCCCAATTACATACAACCCGAGCCCCAGCCTGCTGGGACCACACAGCACTCCCGTGATCTGGGGCCCTGTGGCTTCCTCTTTCTCTGACCACTACTCAGGGCTCTTGGCACTTATGCTCCAGGCTGCTTGTCACACTTCCCTTGCTGCTGTAACTCGGAGCTACCCACTGTATGGACTGGAAACCAAGCAGTAGGGGGTGGGCATCACCCCTGCGCCCACAATTCCTGAGCCAGGTATCCAGGCCTGAGATAGGGGGCCCTACCTGGGGATTTGAGAAAGTGGATCCAGGCTCTGCAAAGGAGAAGACCTCTGGCATCTTCTTGAGCTGAGTACTGATGAAAGAGCAGGCCTGGGAGGAGGGCTTTCTCTGAGAAAAGAGGGTGATGGTCCAGGGGCTGAAGGATTTTAGCTCCCCAAAGAAGTGCCCTGGAGGAAGATGTGTGTGCGTCAGAGCAGTGAACATTTGTCCAAACTCTCCTCTCTCAGTCTCAGGGACTTCCACTTTAGCAGGAATGGAAGGTTATCCACACCCGACAGGTCTCCTTGGGGAAAGGTTAGTCAGGCATCTGAATGGGGAGGCAGGTGCATGGGAACAGCTGGCTTTGAGTGAAGGGCATGGGGGAGCTGCGGCAGGGCCGTGGGCAGCTGGTTTAGGTGCTCTACACCTGCACGTGCTGTGGCATGCCTGGAACCTGGGGGGCACACACAGAACACTTTGTTTTTTCCAATCACCAGCCACAACTGTGTCCCTTCCTGCCACTCACTCCTGACCCTGGTCAACTTCTAGGGCAGATTCCCAATTCTGGAGTCACTTGCAGCATTAAAAAAAAAAATCCAGCACAGCTTAGAGCCTCAATCTCTTTTCCAATGTGACGCCCGTCTCTTCCCCTCCCCCGGGCTGACCAGCACTGGCCACAGACAGCTGAAATGGGGGTGCAGGGGAGGGCATGGTCTGGCCTTTCTGTTCTCTCCTCCCTCTTTAGGACCTTTTCTTCCATGGTGTACTGGGGCAGGGAAGAAGAGGGTGGAAAGAGACCTGTCTCTTACATGACAGACACTATCGTCCTCCTCTGATCTGTTGCTGCTGTTTGGACTGGCTGTGTCTGGCTGTGAGGCTGTCTGACAGATGGGTCCCCATGGGGCATGTGTATGCATCCTACAGGACTTTCCATAAGAACAAGCAGAGATCTCCCTCCTCACAGTTCCCCATCAAGGGAAAACCCATGGTGTGGCCTCTTCTGAGCCCCCCTGCTCTGGACCCTGTGGTTGTCCTGCAACCTCTGCCTGATGGGTCCCCTTGCCTGGAAGGCAACCCTCTTAATCAGAGGTTTAAGCCCTCTAACTTTTAGGCGTCCACTTAGGGGACGGGAAACCCTATGTCCTTTCTCCCCCACATGGTGGGAGGGTAGAAGGCTCTAGGGTCCTCTGTCTGAACAGTTTCTTCCTGGCTCAGAGGCACGTGGTTGGGTGCCGCTTGTCTTTTCCAGGGCAGTTGGTAAAATCCTACCTAGCATCCTGTTAAACTGTTACCCAACACTGAGGGGGCAGTTTAGAACAGAATAGGCAGATGGCTCTAGTGGACAGTTAACTAGTAAGGAGGCAACACTGCAGTTGCCTGGTGTCTGTAGTTGGCGTCCTTTAGATGGAGACTGATGGCAGGGTTTTAGAGTATAGAAACTGGGGCAAGGAGCAGTGGCTCACGCCTATAATCCCAGCGCTTTGGGAGGTCGAGGCGGGTGGATCAGGTTGAGGTCAAGAGTTTGAGACCAGCCTGGCCAACATGGTGAAACCCCATCTCTACTAAAGATACAAAAATTAGCCGGGTGTGGTGGCACGCACCTGTAGTCCCAGCTACTCGGGAGGCTGAGGCACAAAAATCGCTTGAACCCAGGAGGCAGAGGTTGCAGTGAGGCGAGATTGTGCAACTGGACTCCAGCCTGGGCAACAAGAGTGAGACTCCGTCTCAAAAGAAAAAAAAAGAAAAGAAAAAAGAAAGTGGGGGCACGTTTCATCTCACATGGTATGGGTCGCATGCTTCTTATCCAGTAGACCCACGGGGATAGTTCCAAGGAGGTGGAGGAGGGCAGGAGGGGAAAGAGAGAATCAAAGTCTTAAATAGGGGTGAGGGAGTTTTGGCAGGGCAGGGATCCCAAAATAAAAAAGACCCATTGTTCCCTGGACTGGAAGGAGCCCTAGGAATCCTCAGTGGGGATTTCCACAGGAAGAAAACTGGCTTGTTCGTCTCCTGGGTCCTGGTACCAGGGAACCAACCGTAAATCAGTGGAGGGCCAACAGCAGAGGTGACGTGAGCAGAGAGGTGTCCAGAAAGGCTGCTCTGACAACTGGGAGACATGCAGTGGCAGAACCCAGGCCTGAGAGCTGTGGTGAGAACCAAGGCGGCCAGGCCTGGACCAGGATGGGGGAGTCCATGGGAGCGATGAGAAGCAGACGGCGCAGAGAGGCCTTCAGAGGCTCGTGTGGGCAGTGGGGAGAGGAGCGAGTAGGTGGAGCGGGAGTGATGGGGGTGACTGAGCCAGGGAGAACGAGCAGGGTCTGGGTGGGCCCACTCAGGGCATAAGCTAGGGAAATACCAGGAAAATCCCCAAAGACAGAGTCCTGAGAGGAATCCAAGCTGTGGCATGAAAGAAATTAACTGTGGAGTGTGGAAATTGCAACCCAGACCCAAGTCAAATGGAGAAGCCTTCTAGAAATGCAGCACTGCTGACAAAGGGACCCTCTACAAAGTGCTCACTTTCCCAGAGGAGAAGGAATTTACTGAAACCTGAGAGAGAAATGTAGATGCTCTCGTACCCGCTCTGAGCTCTGCTCAGAGGCTCCTAAGAGGGCTCCCTTAATAAAATAAAATATTTTCACAACAAAGTGAATAACCGTTAAGTAATCTGCAACATAAATACACATGATTGTCAGTATCCCCAAGATGAAAACTGAGCGGCTCATTCCAGAGCTAAACTTTCAACTGCCAACGTCTGTAACAAGGAGTGGAGTATTCCTGGGATATCGAGAAGGAATATTGGTGACCCAGGACCTGAGCCCAGCTCTCAGGCCTGGGAGTTCAAGAGCCTGAACAAAGGCATGAGAGATTTGGTTGGTAGCAAGAGCCCAACATCACCCAGGGTTCTCGGGAAGCTATTCAACAAGTTATTAGAATTGCTTTCTTCGATGTGCAGCCGCTGTTTTTCCCTTGAAGAAACCAGAACATTGGGTCAGGTGTAGAGAAGGTGGAAGGGTCGTGGCAGGTACCTTGCTCAGCCTGGGGCAGTGGGCATCCCAGCCCAGGTGGCAGCTTCCCTGGGGTGTAGGTGTGGAGATGGGCAAGGTTTGCAGGAGTTCCTGTGGGCCAGAGACAAAAGAGGCCAGTCAGCTTCTGGAAGCCAAATAGACCAGGAGGGCCTTTTGAAAAGACTGAGAAGGTCCTGGGTGGTGGCCCTGGCCCAGCCCTGGAGGGGCTGCTGGCAGTGGAGAGGGGAAGAACCTGGGGGGCAGAGGTGGAGTGGAAATGCTGTTCCTGTTTGGGAAAGGGCAGGACAAGGGCAGGTACTTTGACCCGGAACGGGCTCTTCTGGGAACACAGAGACTCCAGTGACAGAGGGACGCTCCCCAGCCTCACACACCTCAATCATCTTTGGATTGTTCCAAATGGATAAAGAAGATGAGGTTTAAAGAGCTTTGAGGTGTTCAGTAAGGCAGCCAGGTTAGGCTTCAGAAAGGTGGTGTTCTACAGGGGCCAAGTGTGTGTGGTACGGCCAGGAAGGGCTGTCCTTGTGGCCTTGTTTGCCATTCCCCTGCCTCCTTTCTGGGGTGGCCTTCACTAGTTCCCCCATCACCTCCCCCAGCTCTGTCCTGCCCAGGCCCCAGGAGGAACCCAGCTGCTTTAGGAGCACAGCAGCCAAGCGGGTCACAGCACAGTCTGACACAGGCCGGCAGGGCAGGGACCATCATGCCTCCTGGCTCCAGATGCACTGGGCAAGGGCCTGGGGTATACGGGCACTTTCTGAACCAGCTTCCAGGATGCAAAAAGAAGGAAGCCAGCTGTGCCAATGTGAATATTACAACTCCCACACTTGGCAAAGAACATCTACCACGCACATCCTCCATGAGGCAAAGAATAGGCTGGTGGATGCATCTGCAGTGAAGATGCCAGATAAAGGCTGACTCCAGTGTGACCCTGCAGGTGCGCCTCACCCAAATGTGCCCAAGCCCAGAGCAGTGACCAGCAATACAATGGCAGTGACGACTGGTAGGGAGGGCAGTGGGACTTCGGGGCTGTGTGCCCACCTCAGGATCCATTGCTCCTGGATCTCACCTTTCTGCAGGGGAAGAGCAAGAACCCATGAGTGCCTGGCCTGGGGCCGAGCGGAGCTGTTCCTACCCTGTGCCCATCTGGCACCAGCTACTCATAGAGGGCGTGCTCAGTTGCCACTGGATTTCAAGGATGATGTTCAAGAAGTTGTCTTTAGTCTGGATTCTAATGGCCATTGTGGGTAGGGGCTTTTGGAGGCTGAGAGGAAGAAGGATGAGGAGGAGGGGGAGGCAAAACGGTCTCCACATATCTGTACTGCTTGGAGGTACCGTGGTCTTCCCTAACCTGTGTGGATCTGAAGTGGCCTGGCCCACATCCTCTGTAAAGGCCCAGCACGGGTGAGGGCGGTGCAGGAGATTCAGGGGGTGTGGGGGTTGGGGGGGATGATGAGGTGTGGGGAGAAGCCCCAGTGGACTGATACTCTTTTCTGATATGGAACCTCCACGACAAACACATCAACTTATTCATCATTTTCTGTAAAGAAAAGATCAGTAAGGCTGGAAACAATGTAAAAGGTTTCTCCTCACCTCACCAAGGAAGATAAGACAGAGCAGGCACGGCTGAGAGGCAGCCTGGCTCTGAGCTCACCTGGGTCTGTCTGTGCCCCTGCCTAGCTAGCATCTGGTCCTGTCCTTCCCTGGACAGCTCTGACCTGCAGCTGCCCACCCAGGCCGGCCCTTCCCCTCTCTCCCTGGGAGGCAGACAAGACTTCGCATGGCAACATCATCTACACAACTAATGCTCCATGTGAAGTCTCCCCCACTTAAGAGAGCATTTCCTGAGGGCCTGGACTGCCAGGTTCTTAGCATTTATGCCCCAACCTTGTCACCTCACAGTTTGGGGGCAGCTTCTTTGAGAACGGGGAGCTCTTGGTTTTGTCTGCGATAGATATGATAAATGCAATAGGAATGCATCTTCCAAAGCTTTGTATTTCAGGTGGGTAACAAGAGAGTGACAGACACTGAAAGCCCATAACTTATTAATAACAATAGGAACCATATGGCCACCCCAGGTATCCAGATATTGGAGCCCTGGATTGAGGCCAACAGATGGAGCACCTGCAGCCCCAAACCCAGCACTCCCTAGGGAACACTTCTTCTGTGGCTTGCCTGGCTCCAGATCATCCTTTAGGTCATAGCTGTCCTTTCCTCCTGTCTTCTCTGATGGTGCAGGCTGGATGAGGCTGCCTCATTTCTGGGCTTCTGTCTCCCACAGGCATATCATTCTAAATGGGGATTCTCCAACTGTCTTCTCTATTAGACTGGGCCTGGGATGGAGGGTCTGCTCTGCACCGACTGGGCCCCAAGGAAGCCATGACCCTGCAGCAGGGAATAGAAAGGCGAGGGTGCACAGGTGGAGGCTGTGTAGGTCTTGGGGATGGAGTGCAGAGCCAGGTTGGGACAGGAGGCCAGGGCTCTCCAGCTGGGCCCGCTCGGTGGCTTTTTCCTGAGCTCTCTGCTCAGGTGAGCAGGGGACATCTGGTTGCACTGCTTGGCTGGCCAAGAACCCTGAGCTGCCTTCTGTGGTGACAAAACCAGGCGATGTCATCAGGGCCACCAGCGGAAATACAACCGAGGTCATGGGCAGATTAAATCTGACACTTGTGATGCCATGGAAAGGGTGGCGGAGGAGCTTGTCACAGTGACTGAGGCCCAGGTTCTTGCCTGTGGCGGGTACCCCAGAAAATTCCACTAGGCCTGTGGGGGTGAGTGATGGGAAGAAGGAGGCATGTACCTCTAGTTGGACTGGACCCTGAGGGCCAGGACTTCCAACAATGTGGCCCACTCCATAGGGATGGGGTCAGGCCCACAGGGATCCATTAGACAGGGGTCCAGAGACCCCTCCTGAAACCTCCAGGGCTTTGGCAGACCCTGGGCTGCAGTCTTGGGCTGGCTCTCCTGTCCGGGCCCTGGCACACCCTCCCTCATGCCTGCCCCAGGGGTGGGCACGTGTGCTCATTTCCCTTCTTGATAGCAATCAGCCCAGCCCACAAAGGAGGTTTCCCCTAAGCCGGGCTGGGTTGACACAAAGGCCTGGGGTGGAATCACCATCTTACAGGGGACCAGGTCTCTCCTCAAGGGCTGGCAGGACTGTCGCCTCTGGAGGAGGGAAGTGGTGCCCATGATTTTGCATGAAGCTCCTATAGAGTCAAGGCAAACCTTGAAGGAGACCCCCAGGATGACCCAGGCTATGCCTCGGTCCAAGGGCTCACGGAAGCGCTGTGGTGGCCAACTACCCAGATATCCTTGGCAGCCCCTTTGGAATGAGGTTTGCTTTTAGGAACATGTCCCTCCATTCCTCCCTGGTTCATCGAACGGCAGCAGGTATTGGGCTGCAGTCACTGGGCCTCTCCGGGGTCCGGGGCTGCACCACCTCCTGCCTCCTTTGCTCTGCCCAGCTGGCCTCCCTGCCCATCCCAGCCTCCTCCCATGGCCCCACTCCCTGCCTCTGGGGCCTTCCATTCCATATTCTTGCCTGCCAAGGCCCTGGGTCCTCCCAACCTCCTCGCCCTCTGACCCCAGGCTGCCAGCCCCTCAAGGTCACCTCCAGGTAGTCACAGCTCAAGCCACCAAACCTCACCACCCTTATTGCTTCTAGCCCCACCTCAGGGGCTGACTTGACCTCTATTTCACAGAGAACACAGAAGCCATTGTCCCCTCCCACCACAAACCTGTGGACCAACCAGGCCCACCCCACTGCACCTACCCCACCCAGATGGACTGGGCCACCCAGGCAGCCCTTCCCTGAGCTCTCTGCGAGGAGCCCGTGACAGCTGATGGTGGGGCTCTGCCTGTGCTGGCCGGCCAGCCATCTCACCCATTCCCGGCTCACCTCCTTAAGAGAGGAAGGAGCTCAAACTTCTGTGTGGAAGGTGCGTCTCTGACCCTGTGACTCCTCTGGCTGCCCCATCCCCCTCTTTCCTTCAAAATAAAACTTCAAAGAATCTTCTACCCTCCGTCTCACCGTCACTCGCTTCTCAGCCCACTGCCAGAGGCTTTGCCCCACCATACACTGAAACTACTCCGCCAGAGGCCTCAGGGATCTCCCCGTCAGTAATCAGAGTGGTTACATCTCATCCTCACCCTGCTGTCCCCTCCTGCCACATGGCATCATCCTTTAAGGCCGTCATTGTCCGATGCTGCCCAGGGGGTGCTCAGCCTCTGGGTTGGACTGTTCTGCTTATCTCAGTCCCAGTGATGTCACTTCCTAGCTACATCAGCTCAGCTTCTCTGAGACTCAGTTTCTTCATCTGGAAAATGGGGCTAATAACAGCACCTGCCTCACAGTTCATCATGAGGATTAACAAGTTCAGCCATGAAAAGAACTTAGTTCTCCACACTTCACAAGTGCCACTCAATAGAAGTCAGCTGTGAGAGCGCTTCCCTTCACCCAGTCCTCTCCACCCCGTAAGAACCTACCTAGTCCAGCTTCCCACCACCTGTCTTCCAGAGGACTCCCAATATCTCCTCACTGGCCACCCTGCTGCCTTGAACTTTCTCATCCTTTCCCCCACAGCAGGTGCACCTGAGCTTCACCTCGCCTCCCCTGGTTGAAAACCCCGCAAGTCCTCCAATGCTCCTAGCATGAAGCCTCAACCTCTTTTGCCTTTAATAAACTATGTGTATATATATAATTTTTTTGGAGAGATGGTCTCACTCCAACGCCCAGGCTGGAGTGCAGTGGCACAATCACAACTCACTGCAGCCTTGACCTCCCAGGCTCAGGTGGTCCTCCCACATCAGCCTCCTAAGTAGCTGGGACCACAGGTGTGCACCACCACGCCTGGCTAATTTTTTGTATTTTTTGTAGAGATGAGGTTTCGCCAAATTGCTCAGGCTGGTATATATTCATTTTTAAAATGAGAAAAACACTACAAATGTCAAGATTTACAATACTACTATTCAGGATTTTGTGTGCATGTGTGGTTACAACACAAAGTCTTGACTTTTAAAGAAACAAAAAAAAATACAGGAATGTTTTGTCTCCACAGCTTTAAATTCATTGAACTTTAAAATTCCCTAGAAAAGCCCACTTACACTAAAAAAAATACAGCTTTTCTCTGTAAGGAATCACATTATTTGTGCACAAGTCCCCAAAACGTTTACATAGACAGTAACACCAAGGTACAGTTGAGTATGCAAGGAACAAACTCTGGGTCCGTGGGGCAATAGGGGACCCTACCGGAGCTAAGATTGCTGAGGTAGTTAGATCAGAGCCCCTCAAATGCACTGAATCACTGAGGATCTTATCAAAATGCGATTTTTGATTCAGAAAGTCTGGGCTGGGGCCTGAGGGTTGACACCGCTAACAAGCTCCCGGGCAGGGCTGACCTGCAGGTCTGGGACCACAGGAAGGGTAGCAAGACTGGAAATCTGTCTCCTCACAAGACTGAGCTGCTAGTGGAGGTTACCATGTCTGTTTTATTCACAGCAAGTGCTTTGTAGACGTCTGTTGAATGAATTGTGCCTACGGAGTACGCAAGCTGGTGCTAAGGCTCCCCTCTGTGTGTTGAGTTGTGCCTGTCAGACTCCACTCCGGGTCCAGAACCTAGGGCTCTTCCTGGTCCAGGGCCCAGCCTGGGGCTGAGCCAGGAGGGCATATCAGCTACAGAAATCATCCTCACAGCATGGCCTTGAGTCACAGCCTCTTCACCTGCCTCCCCACAGCCACATCCTGGTCCTTGTCTTCACCTGATCTGCTTATGCTCAGAAGCCCAAAGCACCCAAATTCCGCTGCCTCAGCATAACCTCCTATCCCGCATCCCCCACACTGATCACAACACACCGCACCATGACCCAGACCCTGGCCTTTCCTTACTGCTCTCCTCTCCCTCCCACCCGGGGCCAGTCATCTTGAAGAAGTCTTCCACATGCCCCTGTCACACTCATCCCTTTACCAAAAGCCCCTACCCCATGGGGTGGGTCAGGCAGGCCCCAAGACAGGCCCGTATCAGGAGGACCCCTCTTCTCTCAGGGGCTGCCCTCTGGGATAACCACCCCCGCCCTTCTGGGTTTCCTGCTTCCTATCTGGCTGCAGTTTCTCAGGTCCCTTGTGGATTTCCCCATGGTCTGTCCCCACTCACATCCCCTCTCTGCAAACCTTGCCTACTGGGCCTGCACCTGGCAAATCCATGCTCAGCACAGACGGGGATCAAGACCTCTCAATACAACTGTCTCCTGCCAATCCCTGCCCCAGCAGCCTGAGGCCCAGTCTGAAACCAGGGAGTTGCTCTCCTTTCTCCTCCCTTGACCTCACCCCTCAGACCATGCCAATTCTGCCTCCTAAACCTCCCAGGCCAGCCCCTCCCCCAGCTCCCAGTGACAGTGTCCTCAGGTACCTGAGCTCAGCTCTCGGTGCTACCAGAGGGACTGCCAGGGGCTGCAGCCGGGCCTCCTGCAGAGGCTGAGTCCCACACGCAGGGAACAGCCATGCCACTGCTAGCAGACCAGTAAGAGAATGGCCACCTGGGGCCTGAGCGCCCTCGGCCATCCACCAGAAACAAAGTGTCAAGGAGAAGCTGCCCGAAGCCCATGGGACAAACCACTGGGGACTGGAACACCAGTAATTCTGTATTGGGAAGCGGCACCAAGAGATGTGCTTCTCAGAGCCTGAGGCTGAACGTGGATGTTTAGCAGCGTGACCGGCTACCAGACAAACTCTCATCTGTTCCAGTGGCCTCCTGGCCACCCACCAGGACCAAGCAGGGCGGGCAGCAGAGGGCCAGGGTAGTCCAGGTGATGGCAGATGAGATCCCACTGGGCAGGAGGCCTCAGTGAGCTGAGTCAGGCTTCCCCTTCCTGCCACAGGGGTCCTCTCACCTGCTGCCATGCTTCCCATCTCTCATCCTCCTTGACAAGATGAAGTGATACCGTTTAAGTAATCTTTTTTCTTGTTTCACTGATCTTGAGTACTAGAAAGTCATGGATGAATAATTACGTCTGTGGTTTTCTATGGAGGTTCCATGTCAGATAAAGATCCTTCCGACGCCTGCCCCACACCACCACCTCCCCCCGCCTTGCCCGGGGTTGTGGGCACCTTGCTGCTGCACATATAAGGCGGGAGGCTGTTGCCAACTCTTCAGAGCCCCACGAAGGACCAGAACAAGACAGAGTGCCTCCTGCCGATCCAAACATGAGCCGCCTGCCCGTCCTGCTCCTGCTCCAACTCCTGGTCCGCCCCGGACTCCAAGCTCCCATGACCCAGACAACGCCCTTGAAGACAAGCTGGGTTAACTGCTCTAACATGATCGATGAAATTATAACACACTTAAAGCAGCCACCTTTGCCTTTGCTGGTGAGTAGCTTGGATAAGACTGGCCTGCAGCAGTGAGGGGTGGTGGCTGCCTAAGGCCAAAAGGCCTCATGGGCCTTTCTCTCCCTTCACCCCCACAGGACTTCAACAACCTCAATGGGGAAGACCAAGACATTCTGATGGTAAGAGCTCAGCCCGTGGATCCCGATCCACTTCCTGCCTGGGTGACTTCAGCCATGTCATTCCATCTTACCTAGCCTTGCTTTCTTCATCTGTAAAATAGGGTTAATAGCACCTATCTCAGTGGGATTGTTATGACAATCAAATGGCACAATGTGCATGTTCTGGCCCAGCATCTGGCACTTAAGAGTTCAATACATGGCCACAGCCATGGCTATAATAATGAAAATGACTTTTAAATTAGAAAATGAAAAGGCAGTTCTAGGTGAGGAATACCAAGGGCCTTAAGGTCAGTGTTTGGTAGGGCAGACTCTGGACTGACAGACAGAAATTTCCCCCTCAGATGTGCCAGCTTCTTTTTCCCTTAAAAAATTGAGTTTGTGTTTTCCACCCTCATTGGCTGTGGCATTATCATTTACAGTTATTTTTCATGGTTCCAGTTGGTTGCAGTTGTTCTGTCTCACCTTTGCATGACATTTCTTGGGTCAAACAAGAAGTGGAAGCCTTTGCTGAGTTCCTGGGCCATCTGTGTTTGGGGCACTCACAGCTCACATGCTGCACCCATTTCCATGCTGGGGTCTCTGTGATTTTCTTCTTGATTTCTAGGAGACTTTAATTCAGTCAGGGCATGAACACTGTTATCAGCCTCTGAGCTACAAATACTTCCCTTGGAAAACCCCCTGTCTTTTGTAGAGCTTCTTTTTGGAGATATTTTTTCCCCCAAGTGCAGAAAGATCCACCTAGGTACCCCCTCCCCACCCATTTTTTTTTTTTTTTTTGAGACAAGAGTCTCACTCTGTTGCCCAGGCTGGAGTGCAGTGGCACGATCTCAGCTCACTGCTACCTCTGCCTCCTGAGTTCAAGCAATTCTCCTGTCTCAGCCTCCCAAGTAGCTAGGATTACAGGCATGCACCACCACTCCCATTTTTGTATTTTTAGTAGAGACGGGGTTTCACCATATTGGTCAGGCTGGTCTTGAACTCGACCTCAGGTTATCTGCCTGCCTCGGCCTCCCAAAGTGCTGGGATTACAGGCTTGAGCCACTGCGCCCAGCCCACCTAGGCCCTTTATGTAGCTCAAATGGAGCCAGAGACTGGGGGCTTGAGGAAACCAGGTCCTGCCTGCCACTCACTTCTAGGCCTGTGCCCTTGGGCAGGGACCCACCTGAGGCAAGAACGGGACTAGGAGGGAACCCGAGGATGTCCCCAACAGTGGGCTTGGGAAACTGTGGGGGTGACTTCCACCTGCTTGTGGGAGGGATACTCTGTAACCTTTCCCCCTTAAGTGTATTCTCTGCCCCGTTAGGAAAATAACCTTCGAAGGCCAAACCTGGAGGCATTCAACAGGGCTGTCAAGAGTTTACAGAACGCATCAGCAATTGAGAGCATTCTTAAAGTATGTGAAGCTGTTGAGGGTTTGGGATCCCTGTGTTGGCCCTGCCCTGCCTCTGGGGAGGAGAGCAGGGCCCACTCCCTTTCCAAGGGAATCTCTGACCATCTGCTTTGGTCTCTTTCCACAGAATCTCCTGCCATGTCTGCCCCTGGCCACGGCCGCACCCACGGTAAGCTGTCCCCCAAGATGCCCGTCATGGCTTGCTCCTCAGCTGGTCATCACCATTACAGCCTGGACTCACCTAATGCCACCTTCTTGGTTTCTTTATAGCGACATCCAATCCATATCAAGGACGGTGACTGGAATGAATTCCGGAGGAAACTGACGTTCTATCTGAAAACCCTTGAGAATGCGCAGGCTCAACAGACGACTTTGAGCCTCGCGATCTTTTGAGTCCAACGTCCAGCTCGTTCTCTGGGCCTTCTCACCACAGAGCCTCGGGACATCAAAAACAGCAGAACTTCTGAAACCTCTGGGTCATCTCTCACACATTCCAGGACCAGAAGCATTTCACCTTTTCCTGCGGCATCAGATGAATTGTTAATTATCTAATTTCTGAAATGTGCAGCTCCCATTTGGCCTTGTGCGGTTGTGTTCTCATTTTTATCCCATTGAGACTATTTATTTATGTATGTATGTATTTATTTATTTATTGCCTGGAGTGTGAACTGTATTTATTTTAGCAGAGGAGCCATGTCCTGCTGCTTCTGCAAAAAACTCAGAGTGGGGTGGGGAGCATGTTCATTTGTACCTCGAGTTTTAAACTGGTTCCTAGGGATGTGTGAGAATAAACTAGACTCTGAACAACTGCTTTGTTACCAGTGTCTCAATTTGACTTGGGACTTAGTGACCATTTTAAGGGAGACTGGTGTGCCACAAATCCTGGGTGGCTTGATCCTGCCACGTGGATGCTGTCTGGGTGAGCTTGTTCTCACACTGCCCTCCTGCCACCCCCATTTCCAGAAAGGTGATGATAACCCTAGCAATCTTGAAAATCCACAGAACTGCTACCAGGTACCAGGAGCCGTTCTGAGCATTTTACCTATGCTATCTAACTTATTCCTCACCCCAACCAAGAGTATGTTTTCTCCGTTTCATGGGAAACTGAAGTTCGGCCTGGTTGAGCAACTGCCTAAGCTGATAGTGGCCCAGCTGGGGCTTGAATTCAGGTCCCTGTGGTCTGGAGCATGCTAATCCTGTGGCATGTCTCCCCCTAGTGGTCCTTCCAGAAACTGCAGCCGCCGCCCCTGCTCCTCCCAGGGCCAACATCAGGGATCAACATCCCCTGACCCCCTCAAGGCAGCAGGTTCTGCTGACACAAGCCACCCAATTCTTCATTCCATTCCTTTAAAACCCTCCAAGCCTGGAGTCTCCACCCCTGCCTAAGCCCCCAGCCTCTCCTGCCTGATGATTTAGCAGCCACCCTGTAGGCCTCCCGGCCAGCCCTGGAACCCACACCCTGACGATCTGTGCTCTACTGGGGAGCCAGATGGAGTTTTAGAAAATGCAAATCTGACCATGTGGATCTATACTGAATCCCCCAGTCCTCGGGGTCTTCTGGACCTTGTCCATATCCTTAGGACAACGTATAAGGCTCACCTCCATCTGTTGCTTCTGTTTCCCCCATGGCTACCACCCTAATCAATGCTCCAGCCAACAGGAGTGCTGGGACTTCCTAGACAGCCTTCCATGAAGCCTCTCTTCATGCCCTGGAGCTTCTATCCACATTGTCACCTCAGTCTGGCATGCCCTTACTTGGCTTGATGAGTTCCTATTCCATGGACCAACTCAAACTCTGCCCACCTCTGGACTGTCCACACCATCCCAGGATGGGGCCCTCCTCCGAAATAGGTGGGTACACAGGGACCCACTGGAGGGACAGCCACTGTGGCACGGAGGTGGTGCAGACCAGCCTGGAGGCAGAAGGCAGGAGGCTGGGACATCCCGAGTGTGGCTTCAGTCTACCACCTGGCCCTTTAGCCCTGAGTGCCCCCCTCTAACTCCCCTGCACACCACCCTGTGGCCCTACTCAGTCTGCCAGTGGAAGGAGGGGCAGAGGGGCCTTCCTCTGTCACCACGTAAGCAGCAATAGCATCCTCTCTGATTCCTCTCAAGTCCCAGAAAAGCGTCAGAGGCTGACACCAGGTGCAGGGGTCCTGTCCCCCTTTTTCCTGTTTTCCACCTTGATCCATCCCTCCCTTGAGGTTATGAATAAGGAACAGCCCGGCTGCTTGAATGGGACTGGAGATGATGGAAGATTTATCTGCTACAGGCTCAGAACTCTATTTCCCTAAATTCTTCCCCCTAAAAAATCGTTATGTTCCCACAGAAGAACTCTCTTTTCCCCCTCCCCCCACCTCTCCCCAGCCTGGCTCACTGAGGGCATTGCCTGGGGACCAGGGGATGTCTGTTGTTGGACTTAGCCTGGGAGGAGATACAGAGGATGCTGCTGCAGTTTCTGGATTGACCACTAGGGGGAGGTGTGTGCCACTGGTCTCAGGGCACTTCAGAGGTCCTGGAGGAGCCAGGCCTGAGAGGGTAGGGTGAGAGGTCTGACTCTGGACTGGGTTTCCCAAGTCTCCTGCACACCCAGCTCCCCCCAGCCCTCACTTTCCCTCCCTCTCGCACGTGACAGCTAGTCCTGTTTTCATCCTGGGCTGAGGCAGCATTTGTGCCCCAGCCCCATGTTCCCAGATGAGTCGCTGCTTGCCACCTCCTCTTCACACCCTGGAGAGTGGGTCAGCAGCTGTCTCCTCTGCTGGTCCTGTGTTAGTGACTGATGCCTGCAAGAGGCAGGGTTAGTGGCTGGATCAGACACAGACCTGGTGCACGAGGCCAGTCGTCAGGACCTGTCGCTGGCGGAGGGTGGCACGCGGAGGTGACATGCTGGAGAGGGCAGTGGGCGGACCTTTTCAGATGCGCTGGGGGCTCCTCGCTGACCTTCTGGAATAGTATAGACTGCAGCTTAAAGCCAGACTGGGGCCAGAACCAAGTGGCAGTCAGTTCCTGGACAGGCTGGGGGAATTTCTACATGCTTTGACAGAAGGTTTATGTTCCCTCCAAATTTGTATGTTAAAATTGAATCCCCACTGTGATGGCATTAGGATGTGGAGCCTGTCCTTTGGGCCAGGTCTGTGTGTCCAGATGGCGCCAGGGGGCAGCATCGCCCCATTATAAATCCCAGAACCACCAGAGAAGGCCCAAGTTCCTGCCTTCCCACATCCCAGGTGTCTGCTCAGGGGGAAGGTGGATTACAGCTCTCAGCCAGGAATTTTATTTTTCACTTAAAAACTATTGTTGGAGCGAGACTCCATCTCAAAAAAAAAAAACAAAACTATTGTTTTTCATTGGAGGAGAAGATGGGAAAGCGTATATACTCTTTACTGAAAAACTTGGAAATGCAGAAAAATAGAACAAAGGGAAAATTGACAGAAAGGCAAGTGCCTAAGGAGGGCAGAACTCAGAAGGCACAACAAGCCTCACCCCTTGACAGGAATCCTCCCACTCCAGGAAGGGGCTCTGTTCCTCCTGCCCTGGACTCAAGCCCCCATTTGACTCAGTGGAGCAACTGCTCTGAGGACCCTCCACGGCTCCCCCAGGCTGGGGCGGGCATAGGTGAGACACTGGGCCAGGCCTTTCAGGCCTCCTGGCCTTGTGCAGTTGGCCCAGCACAGTGCGGTGGGGGTCATTACAGACAGCACAGGACCGACGGATGGGCGTGGACCTCATCGGAGGCACTGCCCATGGGTGGCACAGAAGGGGCCTGAGAGAGAAGTTCATCCAGCAGAGAAGGGTGGGAAAAGCACAGGGAAGGAAGGAGGCAGATGCCCTGGGGGAGGAGGGCATGGAGGTCGAGAAGACAAGGTAAGCGGAGGCACAGGAGAGACTAAGCAGTGGAGAGGCCAGAGTGTGGCTGGGTGCCAAGTGTCCAAGGTGAAGGCTGTGCCCTGGGTCACTGCTTTTGCCCCTGGAGCCCAGCCAGCCTGGGCCCCAGGCACCTCTGGGTCTTAGCTAGTCTCTTCTCCCCATTCCTCCCTCTCTGATCCCAGGCCAGCCCAGCCCAGACTGGCCGCTGTGGAGACGGTAAGACTGGACGACTGTGGCCTGAGGAGGGGTGGGTGGAGGGAGGCGGAAGGACAGGATGGAGCCATGGCAGACACTGTGTGTTTAACACCAACAAGAAGGAGCAAGGGCAGAGGGAGAGAGGTGCTGGAGGAAATAGGGGCTGGTCCAGCAGAGGGGAATCCCTGGGCCCAGGAAGATGGGGGACCCATGGTGGGAGAGAGGGAGAGGAGGCAGAGGTGGTGTGGACCAGGGGTGGGGGCTAGGGGCCCAACTTTCCCCCTTGAAAGCCTCAGATCAAGCTCAACGAGGTGGGTCAGCAAAGTTGCTGCTGCCCTCCTGGACTGAGAAGGGACTCAAAGAATCCCCACAATGACCCAGGCACCCAGGCTGTGATTATCCCCATTACACAGACAGAGACTGAGGCAGAAAAATGAAGGTTATTTGAGTCCAGAGCCTCTGAATCCTTAAGCAACAGTGGTTCACTAATGCCCACTGAGGCCCAGGAATTCTTTTAAGTCTGACCCTGGATGTGCCTGGGGTCTCCCCTTGACTGGATCCAAGCCTCCCGTGTTAACTTCTGCCCTACAACCTCCTGGTTCCAGGCCCACAGTGAGCAGCGCAGCCTTAGCGCCTCAGCTCCATGCTTCTCACCTGACCACTCTCATATTGCCCAGTAAATGCCTCTACACGCCCATCTGTCCTGTCCTCCTACCTGGCACCCCCTCCCCACAACCAACACACACATTGGGGGCTTAGATCCAGGGAGGTGGTCCTCTGTGCTCCTCTTTGTCTCTGTCCCCATGCCTTAAGGAACTTCTGAGAGAGACCCTGGCTCCCAGCTGTCCCCTGCCATGGCTGGTTGTCAAGGCCTCCTCCAGCTCCCACTCAGGCTCCCCAAAGACCCCAAGCTCAACTCTACCTCCAGCCATGGCTCATGAGTGACCCCTTCCCTTTCCCTTCCATGAGCCCTCCCTGCCCTGTGGGGTCCATGGAATCCTTCTGGTGTGAGGCCTCCTTCCCTCCTCCTCAGACTCATGAGCCCTTGACCCAGGGTGCTCCCGGGACCTGCTTTGGCAGAGACTTGCCTGGGGCCTGCACTTGGAGACTCAGCCCTTTCCTGGAGGGAAAGTGGGCTGTGCTGGAGATCAGCGGGCAGCAAGGACAGCAGGCTGTGTGGATGATGTGTGTGCCCTGAGGGGCCAAGTCAGGGTGTCAGGGAGGGAGGACAGCTGTGGGGAGGCAACGGAGGGCAGCGGGCGCCGGAGCGAAGGCCGAGCAGCAGAGCAGGGGTCTCCTTCCCTGCCTCCCTTCGTGAGCACCAGCTGCGCACCTGCTCTGTGTCCTGATCCCATGGGCTGGGCCGAGGCCCTCCTGAGCATAAGGAATAAAAACACTGGGCAGCCGCCACTACCATTCAGAGAGCCTTGAATCAGGGAGGATGTCCCCATGCAGTGGGTCTGTGATCAACATGACTCCCCTGCTCTCCCAGGCTGATGGCCAGACTCAAGAGCTGCCCCTGGCAGCCTTGGACCACCTCCTCCCCACCAGGACAAGTGGAAAGACTGAGGAGGATGGTTCCCTGTCCTGGTGTTCCAAGCTGGCTCTTTCTGGAAAATCTGTATGGCTCAGCCACTTTGCCATCAGTCAGGCTCGAGCACCAGGATGCAGGTGGCGTTTGCCTCCTGGGGCTGGGGTGGGGAGGCTTTAGGGCCCTGGGGAGGGGTCTACACAGGCCCACTTCCCATGAGGGAAACCTAAATTTACACTCACCTCCAGGGAATGAGAAGGCTGGGAGGCTGGTCCGGACCCTGGTAACCATTCCCTCTCTTTGATGGACAGCGAGACTGAGGCTAGATGGAGGCACCTAGCAAGCCAAAACAGAAAACCAAAACAGAAACACCTTCCCTTGCAGATATCCAGTGCATCTCCCAACAGCCTGCAAAAGTAGTGCTGCATGCCCTGTGGGGTGAGCCAGCCGGGGCTCAGAAGGGGCAGGCCACAGGCCAAGGACATGCAGCGAGCTGTGCCTGCCCAAACAGGGCCTCAGGGAAAGTCTGAGGGACCCGTGAGGGATCCAGAAGAGTCTTGGAGGAGGCTCATTCCAGAACCACTCGTCCTGCTGAGAGCAGAAAGCCCACATCTGCCACCTCAATTCTGACCCATCAGTTCCAGGGGGATGCAGGTGCGCGAGCCGGGCAAGGGCCTGGGACTTCCACCTGGCATCTTGACCCAGACTCTAGCTCCAGACATAGAGGGCAGGAACGGATGCCTGCAGGACTTCAGAAATTAAACAGGCTTCTGGTCTCATGATTTCTCCTGCTTTTGATTTTTAATGCACCTCCCGATGGCTCTTCCCAAGAGGGCACACATAGGCTGTGGCCCCTCTGGGTGCCTGATGATCCTCCCAGCCAGAGATGAGGCTCAGAGCAGAGACTCAGGAGCAGGGGATGCATTTCTGGCCCTAGAGGGAGTACACCAGGCGAGTAGTAGACACAGGTCAGGGAGGGCACTGTGGTGGGAAGGCCTGGCACACCCATTGGGCGTTTGTGTCCACAAGGACTCCTCTGCCTGAGTGATGTGCATGGTGGAGTTGCCAGATCCTGAGGGAAAAAAAGGAAGCCCCAAGAACAAAGAAGCAAACAAGGAGGTCTCATTGTCCTTGGCCATCCTCAAAAGTTGACACCCCGCCACTACTTTCTGCCTGGCTCACTCTCCACAGCCCCTCTGGTGTTGGGAGCCTCCTCTTTACCAGTGACTTCCAAATGCCCTGACTTCCGGACCCACATGGCCACAACTGACTGAGTCTTCCTGGAGGTCCCCTGGCCTCTCAAACTTGCCATTCCAGTGCAACATGGGCTGACCTCTCAAACTTCCCTGTGACCTTGTGTCTCCCCCATCACAGCAAATGGTCTCCATGTCTCTGCCTATGAGTGTGGGCCTTGTGCTCCCTGTCCCCCACCCCATGGGACCACCAGAAGTGAGCTCTCCGAGTGCAAGGGGCCTGTGAGGTGCGTACTCCGCAGCAAACCCTCCCGGAAGCTTGGCTGAATAGATGCAGAGACCACATGTGGTTGAGGGTTAACCACCCTCAGATCCTCCCAGGCCTCCCTGGCACTCCCCAGTGCCAGGAACCTGGGAATACCAAGAGGCCAAACTGGAATTGGAGCTTGGCGAGGGCAGCTTCCCTTTTTGAGGTGTACATTTGGGGACCGAGACAGAGGGGATGCACGTGGGGACAGAATGGGGCTGAAACCGCAGAAGCCAGAGATGTTGCTTCATATGTCTGGTGTGGCCTGGAGTGACAAGGGAAGGACAAACCACTCATGGTGCCATGCGGTACCAGGATCTCCTGTCGGTGATGCAGGACCCAGGAGCCCTGACTCAGGTGGAGGCCGGACTCCCTACCTCACCACGTGTGTCCAGAAGGTTGCCCTCTGCGGCTAGGGCTGGGCAAGGGGCAGCTGTCCCTGGAAACTCCAGCAGGCCTCGCTCCTCTGCCCAGTTTGGGCTTCAGAAATCTCCCCTAGCACTGGGCAGAGGAGAAATTGAAGGATTGTCTCTTCCCTGGGAGGATCTCCCACAGAGTTTCCTGGGGCAGGCAACAGTTTCCTCGGTGAGGCAGTGGCCATTAACCCATTGTACAGATGCAGGGGTTGAGGCTCAGGGAGGAGGGACTTTCCTAGGCTTCAGGGATTGGTGGTGGCTGGGTAAGGGCAAGAGCCCAAGCCTGGGGCATAGAGATGCCTGGATGGCAGGATCTGCTGGGGAAACTCTGCCTTCAGCCCAGACTTCCCTGGGACAGTCACAGGCCACTCCAGCCTACCTGCGAACACCTGGCAGGCATCTCTCTTTACAGCTGCCTTGAGGGGACAAGCACGCTGGGTCCACCCCCTGCTGGTCCAGCCAGGTGATCAGCATTTCCCAACTTCCTGACCCCAAGACAATGGAAAATGCTAGGATAGCAGGAACAGATATGGGTTCAAATTCTGGTTCTGCGGTCACTGATTGTGTGGACTGGGCTGACCACTGGTCTCCCAGATCTCAGGTCCCCAGAGATAACAAGAACCCTCATCAAGGGTTGGACAGGTCAAAGAAGGATCAGATCAGCCCCAAAGCCTGTGCGGGGGTGCCATGGTACCGAAGGGACTTTGAGGCCCATTTCCTTCCCCTTGTGATAATGTCTCTCGTGATAAGGATCCTGGAGTGACTCAAGCCCCTGTTTCCTACAGAGCCTGTGGGGTGGACACGCATAGGAAACTCCTTCCAGAGGGTTTTCTCCTGTCTCTGTAGGAAGGGGGGCCCCAGAGGGGTCATACCACCCATCGTGGTCCCCGCCTCTGCCCTGCCACAGCCCCATCGGAGCCCCTGAGTCAGCATGGCTGGCTATCGGTTGACACTGTTTAAAATACAGTGCAATCTAGGAATGCCTGCCTGTGTCATGGCCTCAGCCCTGATGTCATCTTTCCATGAGAAAGATGTGTGGCTGCCCACAAACCTCATCACCAAACCCATGGATTTCTGTCCTGTTTGTGCTGACTTGGGCACCTGCAGGCCACCACTGCCGAAATGGATTTCTTATTATGACTCTTGCTTTCCTCCTTTCCTTCCCTCCTAGGCCCTTGGCCACTGGCCTGTTACTTGCCCATCTGTTATGTCCCAGCCCTTAAACACAGCTTTGCTGGCCCTCAGCTCTTCTTCCTGAATAACTTCCGTGGCCTCAGCTACCACACAGACATGTACCGCTGCCAGATCTGTCTCCTGTACATGCAGACTCTGAAACTCCAAAACTTCCCGTGGGCCTCACGCTCTGAAGATCTGCTCCTTTGTCCCCTGGGTCCTCACCTTAGCCATGTGGACAGTGATTCTAACTCCTCTTACTCACATTCAAAGCACACTTTGGTGGGGGGGGAGGGGGGTGAGTAGACTAATCTTGCTCCTCCATGGATGGGGTTAAAAAGTCCTTGGAGGCAGGACCCTGACCGTTTTTGTCATCCTTATGTCCCTTTTCCCTGCTGGGAACCTAGTAGATGCTCAAAAAATAATGAATGACTGAGTGACTTCACTATAGCACCAAGTCCTGTTGAGATTCTACCTCCTCAATCTCTCTGGAGTCTGCCTGCTGTTCCTTATACCCATTCCTAAAACCCCAGGGCTCCCTGTGCCCAGAACATTCTCCCCTGTCCTCTCCTGCCCCTCTCCTTCCAACCCAACGTACCCACCTGACTTCTAGCCTTTCAGCCTGGGCTTGCAGGCAGGATCTCTAGTGAAGCTCTCTGGTCCCCTTGGATCCCCAAGCTAGAGAAGGTGGCCCTCTGGGATCCCTCAGCTCTGGACTTCCCCCTGCCGAGTCAAGGTCACACCATGGGAGGGTCCATTGCAGTCTGTTTCCTACCAGACTGGGAGCCTCAAGGGCCAAATGTGAGGGCCAGTGGGAGGGTCCCGTTTACCTCCCCAGAACAGGTCCTGGTGTGGATTGGAAAGACTTGTTGACTGACTGTCTGAGCTATGACAACTCATTTCTAGGAGGAAAGTGACCTTCTCTCCCAGATGGGTCATACAGGCTCTCTGCCTCCCTGGCCATCAGCTGAACCACTATCTATGGCTCCCTTCCCTGCCCTCCAGCCTCCAGGGTGCTATCCAACACATGTGATATCTACATGTAGTATCCATGTCCTCATCTCTCCCCCGAGAGCTCCCTGGAAAGAGCTGAGCCAAGGCCTTGCAAAAAAGGTGGAGAAAGGGCCAGGGCCTGGACATTTCATGTTCCCACCCCAGCCTGGCCACTAGGAGTGTTCTACGCAGGCTCAGATGGATGGGGCTGGCCTCACAGTGGGGTCTGGAGGACTAAGGTTTGGTTTCTCTATGCAAGGTCAGAAAAACTCCCACAGTACAGGGAAACTGGCCAGGGCTGCAGACTCAGACCACAGTGCTAAAGCCATGAACTCCACCTGCTCTCTGAAGGCTCGCCAACCTGAGTCCAGCAGAATGTTCTCGCTTGTGTCCAACCCCACTGGTTTAGGCTGAATCAGCCTCTAGGGCCCAGAGGCACTGCACCTGGAGTAGGGAGCTTCTCCAGTATCAGAGTCACCTTCAGAGGCCTGGAGCCTTTCATAAAGCAGGTAAGAGGACTCAATAGATGCATCTGCATGGAAAACATCCTCCCCTCTACCAGGCACCTGTATGTACAACCAATCACAGCAGCACACATACACCCAGAAATGGGCACGTGTGGGCCCACACCCCTTTAGCTATGAAACCCAGGCATGGGGCAGCTTGAGCCAGATACCTTGTGCAAACACAAACTCGTGCTGTCTTCTCTGAACTCCATTGTGAAAATCAAACACTTGTCAGCCCCTCAAGAGCCTTTAGATTTCCTACTTCCACACTTCCACAGAAAGGCCTCTGGAGTTGGGGGATGCTGGGGTTATGTAGGAAATTAAGCCTGGAGGGCCTTGCTGGGGAAGCCATTGTCCCTGTACCTGAGATGGATGCAGCCACAGCCCTGGAGCCAGCCTGAAGCTCCTGGTGTCTTCTGGGGGCTACATATAGGAGTGTAGTCCGAACCTCAGAGGGGCAAACCTGCTCTGCAGAGGGAATCAAGGTTCACATAACCAGAGAGGGGAGTCACTCAGGAAGGTGGCTCCAGAGCCAAGAGTCAGACTCTGGGTCCCGACTTGACCCAGCCACACCCCCTCTGAAGCTTGCTGAGAGTGGCTGCAGTCTCGCTGCTGGATGTGCACATGGTGGTCATTCCCTCTGCTCACAGGGGCAGGGGTCCCCCCTTACTGGACTGAGGTTGCCCCCTGCTCCAGGTCCTGGGTGGGAGCCCATGTGAACTGTCAGTGGGGCAGGTCTGTGAGAGCTCCCCTCACACTCAAGTCTCTCACAGTGGCCAGAGAAGAGGAAGGCTGGAGTCAGAATGAGGCACCAGGGCGGGCATAGCCTGCCCAAAGGCCCCTGGGATTACAGGCAGGATGGGGAGCCCTATCTAAGTGTCTCCCACGCCCCACCCCAGCCATTCCAGGCCAGGAAGTCCAAACTGTGCCCCTCAGAGGGAGGGGGCAGCCTCAGGCCCATTCAGACTGCCCAGGGAGGGCTGGAGAGCCCTCAGGAAGGCGGGTGGGTGGGCTGTCGGTTCTTGGAAAGGTTCATTAATGAAAACCCCCAAGCCTGACCACCTAGGGAAAAGGCTCACCGTTCCCATGTGTGGCTGATAAGGGCCAGGAGATTCCACAGTTCAGGTAGTTCCCCCGCCTCCCTGGCATTTTGTGGTCACCATTAATCATTTCCTCTGTGTATTTAAGAGCTCTTTTGCCAGTGAGCCCAGTACACAGAGAGAAAGGCTAAAGTTCTCTGGAGGATGTGGCTGCAGAGCCTGCTGCTCTTGGGCACTGTGGCCTGCAGCATCTCTGCACCCGCCCGCTCGCCCAGCCCCAGCACGCAGCCCTGGGAGCATGTGAATGCCATCCAGGAGGCCCGGCGTCTCCTGAACCTGAGTAGAGACACTGCTGCTGAGATGGTAAGTGAGAGAATGTGGGCCTGTGCCTAGGCCACCCAGCTGGCCCCTGACTGGCCACGCCTGTCAGCTTGATAACATGACATTTTCCTTTTCTACAGAATGAAACAGTAGAAGTCATCTCAGAAATGTTTGACCTCCAGGTAAGATGCTTCTCTCTGACATAGCTTTCCAGAAGCCCCTGCCCTGGGGTGGAGGTGGGGACTCCATTTTAGATGGCACCACACAGGGTTGTCCACTTTCTCTCCAGTCAGCTGGCTGCAGGAGGAGGGGGTAGCAACTGGGTGCTCAAGAGGCTGCTGGCCGTGCCCCTATGGCAGTCACATGAGCTCCTTTATCAGCTGAGCGGCCATGGGCAGACCTAGCATTCAATGGCCAGGAGTCACCAGGGGACAGGTGGTAAAGTGGGGGTCACTTCATGAGACAGGAGCTGTGGGTTTGGGGCGCTCACTGTGCCCCGAGACCAAGTCCTGTTGAGACAGTGCTGACTACAGAGAGGCACAGAGGGGTTTCAGGAACAACCCTTGCCCACCCAGCAGGTCCAGGTGAGGCCCCACCCCCCTCTCCCTGAATGATGGGGTGAGAGTCACCTCCTTCCCTAAGGCTGGGCTCCTCTCCAGGTGCCGCTGAGGGTGGCCTGGGCGGGGCAGTGAGAAGGGCAGGTTCGTGCCTGCCATGGACAGGGCAGGGTCTATGACTGGACCCAGCCTGTGCCCCTCCCAAGCCCTACTCCTGGGGGCTGGGGGCAGCAGCAAAAAGGAGTGGTGGAGAGTTCTTGTACCACTGTGGGCACTTGGCCACTGCTCACCGACGAACGACATTTTCCACAGGAGCCGACCTGCCTACAGACCCGCCTGGAGCTGTACAAGCAGGGCCTGCGGGGCAGCCTCACCAAGCTCAAGGGCCCCTTGACCATGATGGCCAGCCACTACAAGCAGCACTGCCCTCCAACCCCGGTGAGTGCCTACGGCAGGGCCTCCAGCAGGAATGTCTTAATCTAGGGGGTGGGGTCGACATGGGGAGAGATCTATGGCTGTGGCTGTTCAGGACCCCAGGGGGTTTCTGTGCCAACAGTTATGTAATGATTAGCCCTCCAGAGAGGAGGCAGACAGCCCATTTCATCCCAAGGAGTCAGAGCCACAGAGCGCTGAAGCCCACAGTGCTCCCCAGCAGGAGCTGCTCCTATCCTGGTCATTATTGTCATTATGGTTAATGAGGTCAGAGGTGAGGGCAAACCCAAGGAAACTTGGGGCCTGCCCAAGGCCCAGAGGAAGTGCCCAGGCCCAAGTGCCACCTTCTGGCAGGACTTTCCTCTGGCCCCACATGGGGTGCTTGAATTGCAGAGGATCAAGGAAGGGAGGCTACTTGGAATGGACAAGGACCTCAGGCACTCCTTCCTGCGGGAAGGGAGCAAAGTTTGTGGCCTTGACTCCACTCCTTCTGGGTGCCCAGAGACGACCTCAGCCCAGCTGCCCTGCTCTGCCCTGGGACCAAAAAGGCAGGCGTTTGACTGCCCAGAAGGCCAACCTCAGGCTGGCACTTAAGTCAGGCCCTTGACTCTGGCTGCCACTGGCAGAGCTATGCACTCCTTGGGGAACACGTGGGTGGCAGCAGCGTCACCTGACCCAGGTCAGTGGGTGTGTCCTGGAGTGGGCCTCCTGGCCTCTGAGTTCTAAGAGGCAGTAGAGAAACATGCTGGTGCTTCCTTCCCCCACGTTACCCACTTGCCTGGACTCAAGTGTTTTTTATTTTTCTTTTTTTAAAGGAAACTTCCTGTGCAACCCAGATTATCACCTTTGAAAGTTTCAAAGAGAACCTGAAGGACTTTCTGCTTGTCATCCCCTTTGACTGCTGGGAGCCAGTCCAGGAGTGAGACCGGCCAGATGAGGCTGGCCAAGCCGGGGAGCTGCTCTCTCATGAAACAAGAGCTAGAAACTCAGGATGGTCATCTTGGAGGGACCAAGGGGTGGGCCACAGCCATGGTGGGAGTGGCCTGGACCTGCCCTGGGCCACACTGACCCTGATACAGGCATGGCAGAAGAATGGGAATATTTTATACTGACAGAAATCAGTAATATTTATATATTTATATTTTTAAAATATTTATTTATTTATTTATTTAAGTTCATATTCCATATTTATTCAAGATGTTTTACCGTAATAATTATTATTAAAAATATGCTTCTACTTGTCCAGTGTTCTAGTTTGTTTTTAACCATGAGCAAATGCCAGTGGTGCCTGCCTTCCCATGAGGCAGGGGAGGGAGGAAACGGGGAGGTGGAGAGGGGGCGGGGGCCTCCCAGGCGTTGGGCACTATCCAAGGGCCAACACTGTCAGAGCAGAGGGGAGGTGAGAGCCGGGCATAGGTGCGGAATTCTGCACACCTGGACGGGCTTCCCGGGATGCTCCAGGGCTCCCACCCCAGAGAATGGCTCTCAAGTTCACCTGGAAGTCCAAGTGACCAGCCCAGGGAACTCTTATCCCAGAGAAGGGCACCACCCTTCCTGGGGAGGCCTGGGGGTTGGCTGGTCACTGGCTGAACAGGCCCACTCTGGCATCAGGCAAAACACCTGCCCTGTAGAGGCCTTGGCCCCTGTGCCCCACGCCCTGCCCCTCACACTCTGAGATTTAACCATTCCGAAAGTAAACAGCAAAATAGACTAACTGTTCAGGGGAAAAGAAACCAAACCACAGGGGTCACAGTGCAGCGTATTTACCAAACTTGCCCCAAAATGGGTGATCTTAATCTCTGAGAGTCAGAATGTAAGGTCATAATTTGTTGGTACATGGCTGTAGTGCCGCATGTTTCTGAATTGGTTTTTATTTTTACATGAAATTTTGAATCTAATCAGGCACTTTCCCCTAAAACTCATGGCCTGCAGGCTAAAAACAAAGTAGGCCTCCTCCTTCTCCTTACTTTGACAGCTGGGCTCAAGGCCTTGTTCCTGAACCTGTTCCCTCATCTCCCTCCAGGACTATGAGGAAGTGGATGTGCCCCAAGTCTTAGGCGGGCAGCAGGGCCAGCTTCTCCTTGACAGGTGGGCCTAAGGAAGCTGGCTTGTGGCAGCTTTAGCCCCTGCCTGGCACTGTCTGCAGTCATGCGCCCACCACCCCTCTTGCTTCCTCTACTTCAGTCAGCACCTGCAGACAGCGCCAGGCCTGGCCAGAGACCCACTCCATGCTCATGCAGAAAGACCGTGACTTCAGGTGTGATTACAAATAAGAAGTCAGGGTGAACGCTCAGGATGAAGCCTGAGTGTCAGCACAGGCAAGAATCCATGAAGTGTGCTGTGGTTGTTGAAAATGCATGAAAATCACATCTTGCCCAGCGATAAGGTCCTCTCTGTCTTCCGCGTAAGCCAGTGATGACTGATAAGAGGTTTAGCATTTCCTTAGCCTCACATATATAGGTACCCCTCTCCACAGAAATGCTGCCAAGCCCAGGGCTCGGACCAGCTTGGAGTCACCTTCAAGTAATACCATGCACCTGTACGTGCTCCTGGCTCATGTGCTCTGGGGGTCAGAAAGCCATTCTTCCCAATGAAAGTAGCCACGATATCTCCCCACGAAAAGTACACAGCAGTCTGTGCTGACATTCAGAAAGAACTCTCGGCTGACAATAACACACACAAGATAAGTCTGGGTCTCCATCAAACGTTATTTTGCTCTTAGTGCCCCTTTGTGCTCCTGACCAATTTCTCTGGCTTCCGGGGTCCCTTCAATAGGCCCCAGAAAACCAGTGAGGTAAGAAACAGCTGCCCCGGGACCTTTCATACCACATTTGAACAGGGAGAGAGAGATCTCACCAGTCAGTGCCCAGGGAAGAGATAACAACAAGGGATAGTGGAGTGAGAAATCTGGGAGAAAGCTCAGAGTGTGGGGATGGAACCTCCAGCTCAGTCAGCAGGTGAGCCTCCCAACCAAGTGCAGCCCTGAGCCCAGGGAGAGACCAGATGCCCATTGCCTCCACTGTTTGGCCTGCGAGACCCACAGGTCTCCTTGTGGGAGAATCAGGGTAGGGCCTGAGCTTGGGTCCAGGGCTCCTTCCGGCCAGGTTGACCAGGGATGGATGAGGCTGGGTCATCTGGTGCCCTGCTGTGCACCAGAGCCCTGAACCTGTTTCAGGAGCTCTGCTATGAGGAGTTTACAAAGAACTTTACCTTCACCCTGAAGAGTCTCATTAACAAATATGACAAACAGGACCATCACATAACGAAGGTTTACATGGACATGGAATAACTCATCAAAATCTGCCCAAAGCTGAAAGTACATTGTTTGCTGTTTGCTCTTAGCAGAACCTGAGACATCATTTCCCTGCACCACAGCCAGGGGCCCAGTGAGGCAAAGGGCTTTTATACACCCTGACTGCCACATGCAAGGTCTCTGGTGCTACTCCTAGGCCACAGGTGGCTATCCTCTGGAATTGTCTCCAATCTAAAAGAAGTCTACTCACTGACACAAGGTGGAGGGTGGGGAGTGCAGGGCTGGGTGTGAGGAAGTGGGGATTCAGAGATTCTCAGGGTTTCTGTCTGTGCTCTCTGCCAAGCCCCCATGCACAGGGATCAGCATGGGATAGGTCTGAGACAGGTCAGAGCAGGACTGGTCATGGACTCAGGCTGAGGTCATGGACTTGAACTGAGAACCAGTGCAAGCTTGCTCCAGTTTGCCCTGTCCTTGGGGCCTCTTTTGGATGATGAAGCCCACTGAGAACCCATGATGGGGGGATGAGCAGCAGTTTGCAGGGGCATGCCTGGAGAAGTGACTGAGCTGCCTCCCCCTCTTTTCCCACTGCTCAGACAGTCCTGGGTACTCCTCCCAGCCTGCTTGTCCTTATGTCCCTGTCCTGGACAGCCACGGGACCTGCCTATCCTGCGGGCTCCCTCTCCAACACTATGGATAGTCCTCAGACTCTGGACCCTTCCATCACCACACAGCCCCTGTGCCCTCCCTCAAACAGTTGGGGAGGGCTGCCAGTTACCTCCTAGAGGATGGCTGGAAGGACAAGCGTTTGCTTTTATTTATTCATTGTTTTTCCTACTAAGAAGATGACTGAAATGTGTATTTCTCGTTTAGCCAACAGACTCACCCAAGAATGGTACTATTGAGTAAAGTCATTTCTCCAAGTTCAAGGAAGCCTTATAGAGTGTTATCATATCCATAGAAGGATGGAAATCTTCTAAGAGGATCAAGGGCAGCCTCTGGGCTCCTGCCCTCTCCCGAGGTTAGCACTGCAGGAAATTGATTGGAAAAGCATCAGGAACAACTTACTGCTGGGTTGGGGTGTGAGTTTGCTGGCCCTGGGCCGGCAGACAAGGGTGTGGGTGGGTATTGGGGGTGGTGGTGCCTGGGGACACATTTCTGTAACTGACACCTGCTGCTTCAATAAGGCCCAGGATGTGGAAATGCTGGTGAGTGAGAGTCATGATGGAGTCCAGCCTCGTGGGGATGCAGTCCTGTTAGACTGCAAAGGGTGGAGGCGATGGCTCCATTTCTGGGCTCCATACCTGGAGTTCCACGGGTCTCTCAGGAGAAGTATCTGGCCGTGGATGAGGCAAATGGGACCCCACCTCATCTGAACCCCCACTGCATCTCCAGTGCCAGTGGGCACACAGTAGGGGCTCTATCAACTTGTTATGCCCCCCTTCTCCTTGTGTCCATCAGAACTCAAGATTTCAGGTCCTTTCCCAGGCCCGCCTCCCCAGCCTCAGTCAGCACCTGCCCACTCCAGATCCAAGTGCCAGGACTTGAAGATCAAAGCTCTCCGTCCTCTGTTCTGTATCATAGCTCCTGGGGAGCTCTAAATCTAATCCAGCCCTGCCACCCCCTCAAGGCCCAGTGCGGCACCACAGAAATGTCAGCCCTGGTAAATGGCTCAGGGGAACAGGGCCTTTCAGGTGACTCACAGAGCACTGGGCACAGTGTGGGACCTGGGGAGGAGGGGGCCCACAGAGGCCAGGGACATCTCCAAACCCCTGGCTTCCTCTGGACCAACAGAGTCATCTGACCTCAAAGTAAAATCTCTTTCTTGGCCTGCAAAACCGTGGCCAACACTCTCCTGTGTCTCCATGGCATGACGGCCCCTCCATGACTAGTACCACCTCACACCCGCAGAGCACTGGGCCCTGCCTGGGGTGAAATGCCAGTTGCTTGAGTCCTAAAGTGCTGCCAGACTGGGCTACAAAGCTCTGACCCCCTACCCTTAGCTCTAACTTGAATTCTAAACATTTGAGTTTATTGGAGGCAACTGGGATTACTCCACAGTCCACACAGCTTCCTACAATCCAAATCTCTCCAACTGTGAGTTTCTCCACCTGACCAGGACCGATAAAGACCCATTTGTTCTGGAACATAATTGTTAAGTTGCAACCACAACTTAGCCCAGGCCAGACCTGCAGGGAGTTTGCCACATCTGCCCATCGACAAACCTGCCCAGCTGTAAAGCTTCGGACAGCACCTGCAGCCATGCAGGCCAACCACACACCTGCCCACCCCATCCCTTGCCCTAGGATCCCAAGACCCCCACTGCTCATCTCCACCTTGAGGGAACACATCAGTCTGGAGGTCAGCAACTGTGCCTGAGAAAAGTTGCCAAATCATCTAGAACATGGAGGGTAGCCCTGTGATTCAGGATCAGATGTCAGGGGCTAGTGCAAGGCCAGGGTCCAAGGGTGGTTTCAGTCCAGAGAAAGCCCACAATCCAGTCACCAGAGACTGTAAGCTCTTGTCCCTTGGGTGCACCACCTGGGTGCTCAGAGGTCCCAAGGCTCTGGAGTGTATGAGGTGCATAGCTGGATGGCGCTGCTGGGACACTCTGGCAAGGAGACCCTCCACTTCCCTGCCCCAGCCTCCTCTTCCCTGCCCCAGACCTCCTCCAGGCATGAGGTCTCCTGACCTTGAGCTCCTGACAAAGCCTGAGGTACCTGACAGTGGGGGTGGGGAGCATAGACGTATGTCCTTTTCACCTCAGTGCCACGTTCAGCACAGCATGGTACATGTGAGACTGGCCTGCCACTAGCTTGTTGTGTGACCTGGGACAGGTACTTCAGTCTCTCAGCCACAGAGTCCGCAAAGGTGGGGTGAACTCCAGCCCCAGAGGCCAGATCAGAACTCAGGTCCACGGTTTTTATCCAGCGAAAGGACCTCAGGGCATCTGGCTCAACTCTGGGGAAACTGAGGTCAGAAGGGTTGACAGGGAGCTTCTGGTACCTCTTCTGGTAAACAGGGAAGTTGGAAGGGGCACTGGTGGGAAGCTGGCTGTACTAAACCAAGTGACTGCCCTCATCACCCTGACAGCCTTAACCCTTGGTCAAAGTCACCAAACAGCTACCCATGAAGAGACTGCAGTGACGGCCACCTGAGTTTTCCATGTGCCCTTGTTCTACCGTCAGGTAGACTCATATCTGGACAGTGGGGCTAGGGAGCCTGCTGGGGGCTGGAACCAGGTGGGAGGGCCATGTGGGTACTGCACCTGAGACTCAGGCAGGCCTGAGCCCACAGCTCCCCAGAAGCCTGCTGGCATTGCTGCTTCAGGATCTCAAGATGCTGGCCTGCTGGATTCCTGGAGCCCTGGGCTGGATACCTGGGCCCAAGAAGCTTGGTCTTGACTCCCAATTGGCTGGGACTGGCCCTGGGTACTCCCTTTCCCAAGGAGGCCAAGAAATAGGTCCAAACAATATTCTTCCGTAGGAGACAACTATAGCAGGCCGGGCCCTGAGGAAATGCTCTAGACTGGGAGGAAGAGCAGGGCTTGGTGGCCTGAGAAGATTCATTCACACATCAAGACCTCTCAAGACAATGGGATAGCCCCTCCTTTCACATGGGCCTCCCAAGGACCACCTCTACTCTCTACCACCCTCCGTGTCCTCTGTACTCTCTCCCACTACAGAAATCAGTAGCATTGAGGCTGGAACCAGAAATCTAAGAAATACGCTAAGGCAGCAGGGCAGCCCTCTCTCATATGCTGGGCCTTGAGAACCAGCAGCCCCACAGCAGTCTCTGTCACAGTCATAGTATGGCCACATCCTTTGACTTGGCATTCATACCCAGAGAGACCACACATAAGGAGGGAAGCTTCATCCATGGAAATGGCCAATCTGTCAGTCTGTGAGATGAAATGATGGGCATGAAACTAACAGGGCAACGTGGAAGGGCATCCCTGAAAGGTCCAGTATGGCGTGGCTGCCAGGATAACCCCATGTGGGCCAGGGACTGGAAGGGAATTGGGATGATGACTTGGGAGGTGGGATGGCAGATGAGCTTTTCCCTATGGCTTGATCTGAAGAGAGGGGCACAGTGCCCAGGTCAGCGGCCATCACGTGGTCCCCGTGCTTATAGAAAATTTCCATCCTCAGTGTCCCTGGCTAAATGAGATTCTCTGTGGTGTCCTTGTGTCAACTGATTCCACAAGTTGGCTGTTCGGCCAAGATGCTGAACATCTTGATTAGCTTACAATGAGGCAGGTTCCCTCAAAGGCCCACAGCATTCCTGCCTGGGCAAGAGCCAAGGTGCCTCTTTCAGCACAGACAGCAGAAGAGGCCTGTCTGCTCCTCCCGGACAGGCAGAACAGCTCACAGCATGGCCTGAGAGGGTGCAAGTGCTGTCCACACATCCTCAGTTAACCTCACACGTTAATGCCCTGTGCATGGAGTCACAGATAGGGGGCTACCCATTTGGCCTGCACCACGCCAGCCCCAAATGGACAGGACTGGCCCTGGTAATCAGATGTGCTATGTTCTGGAGACTTTACTCCTGGTTCCTGGCTGCCTGCATATGTATGTGCTTGGTAAGCTGGGTCTGCATAATTGAAGTGGAGGGCAGGGGCTGCAGGCACCACACTGTGCTGTCCCAGGCTTCTGAGCCCGCTGCTGGTTTGTGCTGAAGGCACATGGCTGGTGTCCCTGGACCCAGCGGCTCCTGCCGTGGATCCTCCCACTTTGTTACATGGGCTTCACAAGAAATGTGATGCGTGGGTCCCTCTCTGGCCTGTTTTCTTATCTGTGAAGTAGGGGTGAGGCAGAAATGGAAAGACCCCAGCCCAAGACCAGCTTGCCCTGACACCATTAAGACCAGGCAGATGCAGAGTCGGGAAAACCTGTTGCTGCTGAGAACACCCTGATGCGTGCCCTGTTCCTCAGAGGGGTGGGGAGGCCAGACACTCATGGCATGCAGTCTGCAGAGCAAGTCAAAACAGGGGCAGCCCCCAAGATGGGAGCTGGGGGTGATGAGCAGCCATCTCACCTACTGTCAGTGCTGGAAGCTCCCCAGCCCCAAGGCCCAGAGAGGGCAGGGACTTCCTCAGGACCACACAGGAGGTAAGCTAGACAGAATTGTTGAGCCTGGCCCCACAGAAACCCCCTCTCTGGGTCCTCTAAAGGGCTGCTGGACACAGGCCTCACTCTTGGAAACAGTTGACCAATTTCCCTTCTGTGAGGGGACCCTGCACCATGACTGCCAGGAAAAATGCAACTTCAAAAGTTATTTTTCACTGTGGTTTAAGAAAAGAGCAGCGAAACAGTTTCATGTTGGTGCTGCTGATGTTATCTCTGGCCCAGACCTGCTCTTTCAACCTGAGAGATGATTAATTAAAATCTTTCTCCCTTTTTTTGGTCAACCTCAAGGGAAGATCAGCACGAACTTCCCAGGCCCTTCCGTTAACATACCACCTGGAAGTTCAGCACTTCCTTCAAAAGCCTGCAGTTCTTGTGTAGGTGGAGAAAAACCTTTTAAAAAGTTATTTTCATTTTTATTGCAATATTGTACAAATGAAGTGCACAAATCTTAAGTATATCGTTCAGTGAGTTTTTATATTTATACCTATATAAATAACTGGCACCCAGGGAAACACATACACCATTTTCCACTACCACCAAAGCCTTCCTTGTACTTCCCTGCTCCTAATCAGTATCCTCCCTCCAAGTATAGCCACTATTCCAACCTCTGCCACCATAAATTAGTTTTGCCCATTCTTGAACTTCATTTAGAACAGAAGCATGTACTATACCCTTTTATGATTGACTTCTTTCATTCAACGCTGTGTCTGTGTAATTCTCTAGTTATTGCCCATCATTGTAACGTTATTTTTCACTGCTGTATAATATCCCATTATAAAAATATCCTAAAATTTATTTCCCTATTCTGGCCAGGTGCAGTGGCTCATGCCTGTAATCCCAGTACTTTGGGAGGCTGAGGAAGGAGGACTGCCTGAGGCCAGGAGTTTGAGACCAGTTGGTCAACACAGCAAGACCTCATCTCCACAAAAAAATAAAACAATTAGCTGGACCTGGTGGCGCAGGCCTGTAGTCCTGGCTACGTGGAAGGCTGAGGCAGGAGGACTGCTTTAGCCCGGCAGTTCAAGGCTAAGGTGAGCTGTGATTATGCCACTGCACTCTAGCCTGAGCAACCGAGTGAGAACCTGTCTCTAAAAAAAATTTTTTTAATTAAAAAAAAATTTCCTATTCTACTGCTGACAGACATTTGGGGTGTTTCCACTTTGGGGCTAATATTAATAAAGCTTCACTGAATATTCCTGCACTCATGTTTTGGTGAGCATATGTTTACCTTTCTTCTGGAAATGCTGGGAATGACATGGAATTGCTAGGTCATAGGACATACATATTTTAGCTTTAACTAAATACTAGCTTTAGCTGCTGGCAAATATTTAATATTTTCCCAAGGAAAAGTCTTTCATTGGCCGGGCACAGTGGCTCATGCCTGTAATCCCAGCACTTTGGGAGGCCGAGGCAGGCGGATCACAAGGTCAGGAGATCGAGACCATCCTGGCTAACACGGTGAAACCCTGTCTCTACTAAAGATAGAAAAAAATTAGCCGGGCATGGTGGCACGTGCCTGTAGTCCCCAGCTGCTTGGGAGGCTGAGGCAGGAGAATCGCTTGAACCCAGGAGATGAAGCTTGCAGTGAGCCGAGAAAGCACCACTGCATTCCAGCCTGGGTGACAGAGCGAGACTCCATCTCAAAAAAAAAAAAAAAGTCTTTCATGAACAATGTTGCTGTTGGTTTTCCTGCCTTTTGTAGACACTGCTTATCCACCAGACACTGGAACTCTCTTCTTCTTTCATATGATCTGAGCCTGCTTCCCAAATGCTCCCATCATTACCAGAAATTCTTCTCTGCGTTGTTTACTCCTGCATCTCCTTTTTGGGAGAGGTAGCTCACAAAGGGCCCAGTTTGATGTGGCTGTGGATGGTGTCTTGCCAGCACACTGTGGAGTGCAGCCCTTATCTACAAGGTCTCAGAGCCTCTGGGAGGCTCCAGGTAAACTGTAATGTTTTGCTATCCTATGTGGAGAAACCAAGTGGAGAGACCTGGGTACTGTCCTGGGTTCCTCTTGAGGTCTCGGTCCCTTAGTCAGTCCCCTGCCATGTCCTGGTACATTCATCTTCCCAGCCCCTTTCCAACCTGCCCACTTCTCTTTGTCTTTATGGCTTTGCCCTGACCCAGTCCACCTCACTAATGCAGACAATCACCCCAAATACCCACAGGCCTTGTCTCTAGACCCTTCCTGCTTCTCTCCCCACAGCAGCCACCCATTAATTCATTACATAAATATGTACTGAGCACCTACAAAGTGTCAGGAACTGTGCCAGGCTCTGAAAGGAAACCAACCCTTGAGGAGCTTACACTTTAGGGGTTAGTCTGGCTGTGTGTCATAAGGGTTACCTGCCAGCTCAGCATGAACTCCAAGCCCTTTGGTCTGACCTAAGACCCTCCCTTACTGCCCTGGCCCCGTCAGCCCCTGCAGATACCTCTAGCCTCATTGCTCACCATCCATCTCCTTCATATCAGCCCTGGACCCCAGTAACACGAACCAGCCACAGCACTCCCACCATCACCTGCTACCCCTGCCTGGAATGCACCCCAGCCAAATGGTTGACATCTGTCTCCACAATGGGGTAAGACTAATGTCCAGTGGGAGGTGGAGAGGTCCTGCACTGGGGCCTCCTCTTCCTCAACACCTACTCTGAGGCTTGCCTGCCCACCTCTTACGCCACAGGGGTGGACTGTTATCTGTTCCTCAGGGGACTGTGAGGGTCTCTGCTCTGAACTACTGCTTTATCCCCCAGCTCGGAGGAGGGCCCCTCATGGCATCAAGTGCCAGCAGTGACTATGTTCCAGAGTCTGATGAAAGTGAGCCTCTTTTCACCTTTGAATAAAAGAAATGCACACAGCTTTTACAGAAGTCCGGATGGAAAGGCAACATCCAATTTTCCAAAGTTTAGAAAATGTTCTTGGGACCAAGATCAGCAACAGGCTATAAGCAGGTACTAAGTACACAGCCAGGGCTGTTGTTTTCATTATTCTTATCAAAAATAGCATCTGTGAGGGAGCCAAGAGGAGGCCCTTGGGGCCATCCAGGAGCCAGGGGAACTGGGAGCCCAACACCAGCACAGCTGCCAGCTCTTTTTCCCACTTAACGGATTCGGGAACCATCTCAAAGGAAGCTGCAAGAGGGAGGGAAGCCCAGCTCTCTGGGAATGTGTCACACTTCCTCCAGTTAGGCCTGGGGCAGCCCCAAGCTCTCCTGATGGAGGCCCTGGCTCCTATCCAGGCCTCTTCCTCTACCAGACTGGATAAGGGTGAGGTCATGTGCTGGGGAAGGGAGGCCAGGGAAGCAGCAACTGGGTTGGAGCCAGTCAGAAACAACACAATAACAGGATAACTCATAGTCTCCCCTCTCCCCTTACACTCCAGGAAGCTGTCCCTGAGTGAACTCCATACCCCTCAGGTCCCTTCTCCCACTGGGACCTCTCTGGGGCAGATTCTGTGGGTGCCTCTTAGTCCTCAACTGAAATGGAAGCTCTCTCTCTTCTCAGGGCTAGGGGAAGCACTGTGAATCAGACAGACCCTAATGCCTCCTCTCACCAATCCAGTCCTGGACATGGGCAGCAACCAGTGTTGGAACCCAGGTGGAAATAAGAGGAAGCTGCCAGAGCCTCGAGCCATACCCTGGGCCATGGTCACACCAAAGGTTCTTGTGCCTATGGGGCTGAGGGACAGAGATATGCAGCCTTGGGCTCTGAGATCAAACAAAAATGGGTGTGGGCCTGGGTCCCCAAGTTACAATGAACCCCCCTGTTAGGAAGGTGCATCTGACCTTAGACTCTGTCAGGCTGAAGGACCAGGTCCCCAAGTTACAATGAACCCCCCTGTTAGGAAGGAGCATCTGACCTTAGACTCTGTCAGGCTGAAGGACCAGGAGTCACAAGCAGACAGACAGACACAGCAGGACCATGACAGGGGCAGACAAACAGATAGGCATAGCTCAGGCTCCTGGCAGTGATGAGTAAACGGACAGACACTGATAGACAGTTAGACTCAGCGAGAGCCTGGAAAGGACAGATGGAGAGACAAGAGGGAACGCTGGCAGTGAAAGACTGACAGACATAGAGGAGATGGCGGACTTGGCAAGAGCCCCTGGCAGGGACAGACAGAGACGCAGTTGCAAGCTGTGGTCAGGTTAAAATGTGGCCATTCTGTCTCTGAGCTCAGCCCCTGACTGCAGATCCCGATTCTCTTGGAGGTTCCTCCTCTTGGCACTGTGATCAGAGACTTTGTGGGACTCTTGGGACCCATTTCTCCAGGACTACAATGCCCTCAACCCCACAAGTCCCAGGAAGGTAGTAGGCTGTGGCCCTCACTGTCCCTGGAGTCAGACTCAAGAATCAATCCATTCTCCTGGTTTTTTCCTCCCCTTCCTGGCCTGTGGGGCAGAGAAAGCCTCCTCGACATCTCTCCTGGGGCCACCTACTCCCAGCATGGTGGCTGTGCTTGTCGTGGAAAAGGTCTTTTTAGGAACCACTATGAGTCCGGACTCTGTTGGCACAGGGGGCGGTGCCCAGAAGAGGCTATAGTCCGGCATTTGCACGACTATCCGAGGATGTTGAGCTCCACCTGGCCGCCTTCTCTTCTCACCACCCCTCATGACCTCCAGGCCCCAGAGGCCTGAGGGCCTAAAAGGTTTTGACCCAGGGGAGCAATTCCAGGCCAGGTGAGGATGGGGTGATTAGTCCCCTTCATAGCTGCAGAGACTGAAGCTGACTTGAACACACTCTGCTCTGAGGCTGTAGGGTCCAAGAACCCCCCTGGGGTGAGCTGAGGTTTTTCTACTTTCAGGGGACCGTTGTGCTGAAAGCATGACGAGGCTGCCTGCCTGAGGTTGGGTTCCCTGGGAAGCAGACTCTGAGACAGAAACTGGCATGCAGGACTGCTCATGGAAGGGAAGGGAAGGAAGCAGGATTGAACAGAGGGAGAATTTGGACAAAATACAGTCACAACAGAAGTCTCAGCTGATCCTAAGGAGACTTCTACAGCTGGGATGGCCCTTCAGACTCTTCCTATGTTGGGGCAAGGAGGTCAAGCCTTTATGCCTTCATTTTGATCAGTAATTGGATGTAAGCTGCCCCTGGAAGGAAGCATGACCTTAGGCACGGAAATTTTCTTCAGCAGGGGCAATCAGACCTTGACTCCTGAAGGGTGTTCAGGGCAGCATATCATAGCTTCCACCATAGTCCATCCCTTGAGCTTTCTGGATCCACTTCTTCATATAAACACTTCCCACTGGTTCTGGGAGCAGCTCCTCCAGGATTCCAGTGGTGTGCTATCAATAACTGGTTCTCCAAAAAAAAAAAAAAGAGAAAAAAAAACTATCATGGTATAAATACTCCCACCATCGGTGCACTACCAACGGTTTAAAAACAGACTGGCAACAACTTTAGCAATGGGATCTCACGAGCAAGTAGCCAGCTCTAGCACACCAATGGTTCCAGCAGGCTTCTACTTCTGGGAGACTTAGAAGAGGAAGGTTCACAATGAACTACAGTCCCTGCTGTTGCAGTTGATCTCAGGGCCACAAATGACACTCATCATCTCCTCCTCTACTATCCATTCCAGATTCCCCCTCACTCTCAGTTAGCACCTTTGCTCATCCTGCTGGCTCACCTGGTAGCATGACCCAATCCTTCATCTCTAAGAGGTCTGATTCCATCTCAGGCTGGGATTGTTGCACTTGTCCATTTACTGTCAAAATTGGGAAAGGGAGTAATAAAGAGGTATCCAACTGGATCACCGGGGTGCTACATGTATGCCTCCCTGCCTCCACTGTGTAGTCTTACCTCCTCCTGATGATCAGGCTCAGGTACCCCTGCCAAGATGGTACCTCCTTTTCTTTCCTGCTTGTCCCTAGACACAAGAAGGCTGAAGTGCCCTGGCAGCATCCCTAGCTGATAGTCTAATGGGACTTTTGCTGGAAATGTTCCCTCCTGGGGAACCAGGATCTCCAAACCCACAGAGCCCAGATTTGCAGGGATGGGAGGCATATATTTTCCAAGTGGGCCACTGGGAATGATAGTAAAGGGGGCCACTCCTGTTTTTATCTCTTGGTTCTGAAACTCTTGTATTATACCTATTGGAACAGAGCTCCATATAAGGTCTTTGATTTATAGTGAGAACTGCATCCTGAAGAATAGTTCATTATCCTGTAAAGTAGCACCCCAAGCCGGTGCTTCAACTATGCCATCAACAGGCTGTTGCCCAACACTCTACCAAACTGACAACACCTGAGTGGTGCAATATGTGATATGACTAGCACATCCTATGGTCATGGACCTGTGCTTCCACTTTCTTTGATATAAAGTAGATCCCTCAGTCTGATATGCTATGTGAGATCCCATACCAGGGGAATAAAAACTCTGAAGGCCCTTGGATAGTGATGTTGGCTGTGGCCCTGCAGCCAGGAAAGGCAACCTCATGCTTAAATTGTGTCTTTATTCTTGTCAAAATGAATCACTGGCCCTTCAGGGGTATAAGAGGGCTAATGTAGTCACCTAGCAGTGGGGTGGTCTCTTGATCTCCCTGAGGCCGAGTATTGTATCTGAACTTATTTGGGAATCAAGTTTGAGCTTTTACATCCTCCATCAGCTGGACACAAGGGATCACCCATGCAGCCATAGATGTGAGCTGGGGGAAGGTTTTGGTGTCCTGGAGTTGGATGGTACAGGGTTCTGGGTCACTTGCACCTGCAGCTTATTTGTGTCTTCCAATCCTGCTCATTGGTTAGAGTTGTACCACTTCCATCTTATGATGGATTGCTGTTGAGCCCACCTGACCTTATGGCTTAGTAGGTCTCACAAAAACCAATTCATCATGGTGGTTCTTGCTGCATGGTCACTGAGTCAGGCCCTCCAGGCCTACCAAGGCTCAGAAGCATGGCACAGCTGTTTTTCAAAAGGTATGTAATTCTCCAGTGCAGATGGTATGGCCTTGTTCCAGAACCCTAGGGACAGTGTATTTTCCCAGTACAGATACCTTTAAAACCACAGTATCTGATGACTCATATGGCCCACATGGCAGGGCTACATGTACTACAGCCAAAGAGCCCTTTCCTGCCTGGGGCCCCACTCAAAGATGGCAGGCTTTTGTGTCACTGCCAGGTATATGGTTCAGAATAATATTCCCAAGTGTGTAATAGGTTTCATCCATATAGGTTGCATCCATAACCCTAAGAGGCCTGCCAAACATTCCGCTTCCTTCTTCATGGTGGGAAGTACAAGACATAGTGATTTGTCCTATACTTTGGTGGGAATTTTCTGCACGCTCCAGACTACTGGATTCCTAAAAACTTCACTGATGTGGCAGGCTGTGAATATTCATAGGGTTTATCTTCTGGAGTGCATGTGTCTTGCCATGGCCATCAATCTTGTCTGACTGGCATAATATTATCAATAGAGTAGACCAGTGTGATGTTCTGCAGGATGCCCAAGTGGTTCAGACTTCTTGGAACTATGTTATGACAGAGGGCAGGAGAGTTAACTTTGCCTTGGAAATTTGAACTGTTGTTTGTCCCAAGTGAATGCAAACAATTTCTAACAGGGGTGGAAAAGAATGGATTCACCAAATCAGCAGCTACACACTGTATGCCTGAGCCCATGTTAATCTGTTGTAGTGAAGACACATTTGGCAAGCACAGTGGCTGCAAATGGGGCTACTGTTGAATTGGTAGTAGCCTGCTGTCATCTTTCAGGATTTAACTGGGTTTTGCTGGTAAATTAAATGAAGATATGACGGACTCCCTTTTAGGTCTATAATGGTGGCAATAATTTCTGCCATTAACCCTGGAATGTGATATTGTTCTTGATTTACTATTTTGCCTGGAATGGGAAGGTTTTGAAGGCTTCCACTTGGCTTTCTTCACTATGATCACTCTCACCATGCAGGCCAAGGACCCAATGTAGGGGCTGTGCTAATTATCAAGTGTGTTGATCTGATTATATCACTGTGGGTCTGTGGACCCAGAGGACCTGCTATTAGCAGAACTCAGGCCAGGAATCTATCACCTGGCCCACATATACCCCTCATTCTAATGAGAGGATTTTGGTGCCACTTCAGGTACCTAGGTAACAATGTCAATTCTAATCCCGGGTTCAATAGTCTTTCACATGTTAGGATATTCTCTTTCCTAGTATGTAGCTATCCAAGTTAAGTGCCCACAGGTCCCCCTGGGAAAGGGCTGGGGAAATCATTATCATGCACACTTGCTGTGGTGGTGTGGGACTCTTCCTTCTGGGAGATCTGGCATCTTCTTCAATCAGTAGGTTCTAAGTCTGAAAACTGGTTCAGATCTGGAAACTCGGCAGGTTACTTTTTATTGGGGTGACTGGACTCATTATCCATGATTGATTTCTTTTTCTTGCACAGAATAACCCGCAGCACTGTTGGCTGGCCATCTATTGTGACCCTCCAGATGCTATGTTTTATTAACCATGTCCATAACTCCCCGGGAGCCAGGCCCTCTTAACAGCCATTCCAATCTTGCCACCCAGACAACTGGGCCAAGTGCTATGACTTGGCCTCTATTATCTCAGAGTCCTATCACCCCTACTGCTATCAGTGAGCCCAGTTCTGTGACATTTCCTATCAATGCTGGCCTATTTTAGCCACCATTTTAGTTCTTGGTGATACTGGTGCCCTTCTTTCCAATACATTTCTTGTTTTGGTATCTTCTTGGCCCTCAGGCGAGTATTCTGAATTTGCTTAGTATATTTATTCCTGCACACCCACGTCCTTCATAGTCTGCCATAGCCATTCTGGCTACCCTCACTTAATATGGGCCATCCTCTTTCCATGCTTCTAGGAGCCATCCAAACGATGTATTTGCACCATCTCTTGGGGCCTTGCCACAGTTTTAAATACTTTATCCTGGAAGAATGTTCCCATATCCATAAACTCTTTTGTTCAAATTTCTGTTCCACCCCCTTGGTCCAGAATCCAGTCCTGTGCATACTCTCCAAGCTCCTGCTAGTACTCTCTGGATATGACCAGAATTTCCTTTGAGGTATAGTCCTTTTCTACACTAGCAAGTTCAGCATGTCTGGCCAGGTTAGGTTTTGACTTAACCCTAGTTATTGGCCTAGCACAAAGAGGTAACATGGAATGAGAGCATGTCTTGCAGGACAGAAGCCTCCGCATTTTCTTTTTAAAGTAAGAAGCAAGTTCTAGCTTTTAACAGAGATGAGTAGGTCACTTCTGCAGGTCCAGAGTGTTTAGTGAAATCTGAGGATTCAAGATATTCAGGTGCAACAGAGGTCCTCATCCCACGTGTCAGGGTCTCATTCTTCCCCAACCAGGGCTCTGCCCTTGGCATAGAAGACCTGCCTTGGTTGGGAATATAACCTTCTTTGAAGCTTAACTACTTTGACAGAAGTCTGGGTCTGATTCTCTGCTTTTTCTTCTTTTCTATAGATGCACCAAAGAGGCCTACGGCTTTCATGCTTATGTTTTCATTGCCAATTAATCACTCTAAGCTCTCCATTTTCTTTTACTGAAAGTTAGTCAAGCTTAGCAATTCCATTGTCCTTGCAGTGGCTAATTCCCCCATATTTCTCAAACACCTGAGGCACTGCACCATCTAATGCATTCTCTTCCAACATAGGTAAAAGTTTTAACAATTATTACCATGGGCCAAAAGCTGTCTGCTTCACCTGCCACCTGTGATGGGAGTCCTCATTGGCAGCCAACAGTGGATGATCCAGCTCCAAAATCATATCTTAGCATCTCATTTTTTTTCTGTCACTCCTAAAGCCAGATGCCATAGATTAGGTTCTATAGGAAACAGACTGAGTAGGATATGAGCATGTAGGACCTTTATTAGGAAAAGATCTTGGGGTCAACATCAGTGGAAATGAGGACTGAAACAGGACTAGGCAAAAGGAGAAGTGGAGCTACTATGCAATTCCAGCCGAGGTTCCAGCTGAGACCAGGAGTGCTCATCTGTGATGATCCTTCAGAGTTTTCCCAAGAAGGAGAGGGAGCCAAGCCTTTATACCTTCATATTTATCAGTTGGTAGACGTGGGCTCCCTACAGAAGTAGGTGTGACCTTACACAAGGCAATTATTTTTTAGCAGTAGTCCAAAATAGGGCTGACAGCTGGGGCTGTCTTCTGGCAGCTCTCCCACCAGCTGGTGAAATAAATCTTTCATTCATAAAGGGGATGGGGCGGGGGGGTCTGAGCTGTGTATCACAGCATCCACAAGACCACCTTAAAAAGCCTGTACAAATCTTGTCCCTGGGCAGATGGGTCAGAGCCTGATGCTTACAAACCACGCTTCCCCCCACAACCCTGGCAACTGGGATTCTGTTGCTTTCCTATTGTGACACATAAGCCCAGGGAAGAGCCTCACTCTGCCATTCTCAGGTACTCAACTCCTCAGGAGAAATGGCTACAGGGTCCCTCTCCCCATCTAATATTGAGTACTCACTGTATCTCAGCCACCAGGTATCAGAGACACCTGTCAGGCAGCTTTTGTCCCTAGCAGTAGTGAGCAGAATCAGTATCATCTGGGTTGGGGCGGCTATAGTTTCTTGGTCAGTCTATGAAAAGAGGAGGAGTCGTTTGCCAGGTGGCAAAGGGGCAGAGAAAAACATGCTTGTGATGGGATGCCTTAAAGAAAGCCCTTCAACCAGGCCAGGTGATCTGGTAAGAGGTGTGGTGGGGATAGGCTGAAGCTAGATCAAAGAAATCTGGACCTAGTAGCTCGCATTTAGGATGGCTCCATAATCGTGGAGTTTCTCCCCAAAGAGGGGCATGCAGAAACATGTCTGGGAACACCACTAGTCTGAAGTGTTGTTTGTAGGGTGGCAGGTTAAGAAAAGGTAGGGACCCTTGTTGGAGGGTGCAGACCTTGATTTGGCCTTTAGACCGCAAGTTTGAGACCTGTAGGGTAGCCAAAGAGAGAAGTACCAAGCCCCAAGGAACTTGGAAACCTAGAAGATGGGCAGAGGAGGAGGCAGCTGTGTAAGAGGCTTGTAAGAACTGGTCACAGAGGAGAAAGAGAAACAGGAGCGGTGGCATCAAAGAAGCCATGAAAAACATAGAAGTCAGAAAATACCAATCCTGGAGGAAGCAGGTTGGTGTGGGGAAGTGACATTTGTTGGCAGGGGCCTCGGGGCAGGCCTGTGGAGGATAGGGAAATGGAACAGTCCTGGCAGTTCAGGTGGCTGGGGGCTGGGACCTTTGGACAGGCTGTATATTAAGCAGGTTTCACGCGACGCCTCCCCTTCTGAGCATTCCCCATGGCCTCGCTAGTGCAGGATGGACAGGAACTGTACTCAGGTCCAGGTGACAGCTCATGCCTGGATTTTCCCAAGGGGGCGGATCCAACCAGTCCACCAGTCCGTTCTGGCAGCTTTAAGCTCCTCTCAGACAGGGTGACATCCAACTGTTTCAAGGGCTTTCCAGTGGGCTGCACTTGTTCTGTCCCACAGGATCTATAGGGAAACCCCAGCTCTGGGCAAACAGACCCCCACCCCCTGACTAAGGCCTCCAGAATCTGGGCCAGAGGCCAGGGTGGGGCAAGACACTGAGTCAGGACAGCGGTTTTCTGGCTTCCTTAGTTTGTGTCCACAGACATCCTCACTATCCTAGGAGATGACCCCAGCAGGAATGGGGAGCTGAAGCCTGAAGAGTCACTGAAATGATTTACATAATTTCCTTAATGCTCACCACGATCATGTGAGAGAGAGAACATGACCCGTTTCACAGACGCATCACTGAAGCTGTGAGCAGAGAAACGACTTGTCTGCCAGACAGTGGCAGATACAACACTTAAACCAAAGTCTCTGAGTCTCCTCAGGTGCCCTTTCATCACTCTTCCTGCTACTTGGCATCAACCAGCCGGGATGAGACACTGAAAGGGATGCCAGGTCTTTGTTATGTTGCATCCAAATGCTAGCTAGCCCCTGCCAGCCCATCCACCACACCCGGGCTGCCTCTCATATCTAGTATCTCAGCCCTCCAGACCCTCACTCCTCCTTGAGACTCTAGCCCCCAGTCCCCAGTTCCTCCCAGACTTCCCAGACTCTTCACAATCACCAGTGTGGAGGAATCCATTGTACCAATGAAGAGTCTAAAACACAGAGAAGCACAGGGAGCCAGGTGCAGAGAGCACATGGATATGACACTTGCCCTATGGCAGCTGCCCTAGTGTCCATGAATGGCAGAGAAGTGGGACAGTAGCCCTGCGTCTTAACCACCACAGTGAGGACAAGGGTGAGGCTGCTGGGGCAGTCCCAGCTCCAGGGCCTTTGGAGGGGATCTCCTCTCCTTGCTCTCCACAGGAAGCATGTGGTGCTGGCCAGCCAGCCACAGAGGTCTGGGCATCCCCAGGGAGCAGCACAGAGGTGCCCGGCAGCCCCCACCTCTCCACCCTTCAGCCCTCTTCCCACCTCTATCACGCTGGCAGCCACACTTCTTATCTCCAGGACTTGGCTTCCTGTTGCTTTTAAAGAGACCCGTGGCCTACTGGCTGGCATCCACTAGGCCAAGAGGCCTTGCCCCGTAACTCCTGGGGTTATGGCAGGCTCATGCCTTGCTCGCCACAAGGAGAGGCTCTCCTCTCCACTCAGCACTCAAGTCAGCCTGAGGACTGCTTGACAGCCCAGTGACTGGCAATGTGAGCTCTTCTTAAGAATGGATTCATTCATTCATTCATTCATTCATTCAATAAATACTTTTTGAGTACCAATTTACCATGTTATCAGGCACTGTCCTGGGCATTAGGGCCATGCGGGACAAATTGTCTGCCCTCTTGATGCTTACAAGGTAGTAAAGAAGACAGTAAAGCAGTAAACAAAAGAATGCTCAAGATAATGTCAGTGGAGATAATAAAATAAAATACAGAGTGGAATAACAGGCATTGGAGACTTCAAAAGATGGGAGGGAGTGAGGGTTGAAAAATTACCTATTGGGTACGATGTTCACTATTCAGGTGATGGCTACACTGAAAGCCCAGACTTCACCACTACATAATATATCCATGTAACAAAACCACACTTGTGCCCTTTAAACCTATTTTTAAAATAAAAATAAAATAAATAGAATATGTGATGATGGCATGGAAGATTTTAGATGGTCAATGGGAGCCTTTCTGAGAAGGTGACATTTGGCTGAGACCTGACTGACAAGAAGGAGCTGGATTTATGTTTTTAAAGGATCCCTCAGGCTACTGTGCTGGCCAAAAGTCAGTAAGGGGATCAGTGAGAAGGTTTTTATATTTGCTTCGCCAGAGTTGATGGCCTGAACTGGAGAGTGAGGGTAAAAAGGGGGAGAAGTGGTCAAAGAAGGGCTCACAAAGGAATAGAGGACAGAGGCTGGGGCACAGGAGGCTGCCTGGGTTCAGTGCTCAAGGTCTTGGCAGGTGGAGGCTTTTCAACACCTCTACCTCTGCTCCTCAGTTGGCCTAGGTACTTGGAGGCCCCTGTCAAATGCCCTGGGACAGGGCCAGAAGTATCCAGAAGGAAGAGGGAACAGACAGCAAGGGAGCCCTGGGGCCAGGTCTAGCTGGGCTCTGTTCTCACTTGCAGGGAACTCTGACTCTAATCATAAAAAGAACTGAACTTGACATGCAGCAAGTGCCCTTCAACCTGGTGCTCTTGCATCTTGAACTGACAGAACTTTGACAGGTGGACGCCACAGCAGTTGCTTGTTGACTGCCTGGCACTCAGCACCTTGACCTGGTCATAATCCAAGCTGATGCCCAGATGATGCCCACTGAAGTTGTAGCTCATTGGTCATAAGGTGTCCAAGCTGGAATCCTCCTGGTCTGTAGCAGCTTTTGAGCTCCTGGCCATGGGGAGAGCAGAGAGCAATGTTTGAACAGTGGTAGTGGTAGAGCCGAGGGAAGGCGGCTGCCAGGAGGAGAGAGAGTCAATTGTCATCAGAGGTCCACTAGTCATCTCCTGCTCACCACCAAAGAGAGCTCTCCTCTCCACTCAGCATCCAAGCCACAAAGATATCAAAGCAGAGGGCTGGGGATGCCAAGGTGAAGGGGGCAGAAATGGAAGCAAGGACAATTGAAGCATAAATGGGAATACCAGGGAAGAGTCAAGGGCCTTGTGTGAGCATTCAGTGTTGGGGCAGAAATTATCCATTAAAGTCACTCCAATCAGCAAATCTCAGTGGTGTGGGGCAGGGTGGATGTCTGTGACACATCCAGTAATATACCCCCTCACAGTTTGGTACCCGGTAGTGGGACCCCAATGGTCAGAGAGTATGAGAATTATGCCATTTTCAAACTGGGCTGCCCTGGACTCTAAGAATGAGCCCAGGAAAATGTTGAATCAGGATGATACTAGGCTTCCAATATAGAAAACATCATGGCTGAAAGGCAGGTACTCAAATGTTTTGCTTCTGCACAATTTTATAGCTTTCTTGAGAGACCATTTGGGAACTTGGCCTGTCTCTTGAACTGTTTTACAGGCTAATGAAGCCAGTGTATCTGAGATTCACATGCAAATGTCCACACTGGCAGGTGCCATGAATCAAATCTCCAGGATTTAAACAGAATAAAGATGAGATTCCTGTTCTCATATATGCCAGTTCTACAGGAGGCCTGCAAGTAGAACTTCTGGACCTAGAGATTTTGTTATCCTGAAGCTGTCAAAGATGTCTCATGTTTACCTGAGCCCTCACTCACCACCAACCAGTGTATAGAGCAGGGGTGTCCAATCTTTTGGCTTCCCCAGGCCCCAATGGAAGAAGAATTGTCTTGGGCCACACATAAAATACACTAATGATAGCTGATGAGCTTAAAAGAAAAAAGTCTCATAATATTTTAAGAAAGTTTATGAATTTGTGTTGGGCCACATTCAAAGCTGTCCTGGGCCGCATGTGGCCCACAGGCCGTGGATTGGACAAGCTTGAGAGGGATACTACAAACCTCAAGTTGTTCTTACGTTTCTACCCAGAGAGAAGGCTTTCTCAGACAGTGATCAAATGACTAAGCATGTGCACGGCTCTGGGTCTGAGCAGTCACCAACCTCAGCTGAAGAGGGAAGTTTGGGCACTTCTAAGGAATCTGTTTTGCTAGGCCTCACTATCTCATGCACCCTGACTTGGGCTGTCCATCATGGTGTCAGCACAGTCAGGTGGCCCCTCAGATAAAGCAATGTAACCACTGAAAACAGTTAATCACACAGGTACCACACAAATCTTACCGGACATTTCAGAGACATCTTTACAAACTAGCCTATTGTCCTAAGAATGATTTAAGTTTACTGTTAAAAATTCAAACAAGTAAAGAGCATCCCATATCCAAAGATGGCCCTTGGGTAGCATCCTTCCAGGTACCTGGATTTTCTCATCCATAAAGTCAAGTATATCCAATTATTCCCTGTATGAAAATGCTTCTACTATACAGACTATAACCTTTTTTGTTTTGTTCATTTAAAAATTGTAATGTGCCACATGCCAACAATATTATTCAGAATCAAATGATTCAAATAGCTAAGATAAAGTTGTGACCTAATGTTAAGTCAGCCTACTGTCTTTTATAACAAAAGTGTAGTTTTGGAGAAAATCCTTCCTTTCTTGAACTACTGACAATGATTAACATTTATTAACAATGGTTAACCTTTCTCAAGCATTTACTAAGTTCTAGGCACAGTGGTACTAAGCATTTTTGCATATACTCATTCACTTAATTCATATAACAAGCCTCTCTGAACCTTTGTTCTTCATCTATAAAATGGGAATAATAGTACCTACCTCACAGGTAAGTAATTTTTCAACAGTCCCATAACAACCTGGGGGTGGGGGGACAAGGAGTGATATGGATGTCGGTGTGTGTCTGTAGAACCAAACTGTTCTGCTGAAGAGATCATGCCTCTTGCTCATGTGACACCAGCAGAGTGACTGATATGGAAACGGTGAGCACATAGATGGAGGCTGTCTGGGCGCCACAGTGCCCCGATGCAGAAACTCATCATCACATCAGTGTGTCAACATCACCGAGAAACCTTTGACAAATCTAAAGACCCTGTTAGCAACAGTGAAAGTTTCCTGAAGAGTGAGAAAACCACAGGGAGGAGGCTGTCTTGGCATCTGATTGGCACATTACTTCTACAGAAAGGCAATTAGTCAAATTGGTTTGGGGACCCCAGCTGTTCATGCTTCACCACCTCTTTGAGAAAGAAAAAGGGAAAGTGACATTTACTAAGAGCTTGCTAGTACTAAGACCTTTCATATATTATCATATTTAACCCTCACTACAGCCTGTGAAGTATAATTATCCCATTTTATGTGTGCTAAAGTGAACTCCTAATCTTCCCCTTCATGCCTGCCCCACATATAGTCTTCTTGTCTCAGTTGAGGTCAAATCCTTCTTTCCAGCTGCTCAGAGAAAAACCCTTGGAGTCATCCTTAACTCTGATCTCTCTCTCATACTCAACATCTAAGCCATCAGCAAATGCTGATGATTCTTCTTCCAAAACAGGTCCAGAATCCAACATTTCTCATTTCTCCCCACTTCCACTGAATCCATGATGATTCCAGCCACTATTATCTTCTAGAATATACTTCAGTGGAAGCCTAGCTAATTTCCCTGCTTCTACCTGTTCCCTGCTCTATAATCTATTCTCAACTCAGCAGCCAGAGTGATCCTGTTATGCTCTAGTCAGATCATAGCCCTCTGTTCAAAACCCTCTTGGAGTTCTGTGTTTTACCACAGAAAAGCCATAGTTCCCACAGTGGCCTGCAAGGTCCGCATCATCTTCCCCTTTATCTTTCCATCACTTTCTTTTCCCCTGTGACCCTCTCTGCTCACTCATTCTGCTCCAGCCACACTTGCCTCCATGTTGCTCCTTGAACACACCAGCCTCAGAGCCTTTGCGCTGGCTCTTCCCTGTGCCTAAAAGGGGCTAACGCCTTCAACACCTTCAAGTCTTTGCTCAGATGTTATTTTCTCAGAGATCTGCCATGTCCATACTGTTTAAGATTGCAGCCCCTTCTACCACCACTCCAAGCACTGCTTATCTTGCTCTGTTTTTTCCCATAGCACTTACCACTTTCTAACTTGTTAACAGCTTTGTTGCTTATTTTGTACCTCCCATGCCATGATACACATTTCTGAAGGCGGAACACTTACCTATTTCCTCTACTGATCACTCCCAAGTACCTAAACTAGTACCTGGCACATGGAAGCTACTCAGGAATTTATGTTGAGTGAATGAGTGAGTGAGTGCATGAGTAAATGAATGAATTTGACAGGGGCAAATTCAAAGTTACCAAACTGTCCAAGGTCTGGCAACTAGCAGGAAGGAGGAAGTGGCAGGAACTGGAGTCAGGTGTCTCCCACTCCAGAGGTCCGGCTATTTGCACCAAATACCTCTCAGGAAGAGTGAGGCGGAGGATCCAAAAGCAATGTGACTGCGGAACTTTTGCCTAAGTGACAGTCAGTGGATTCTTTTGGGGTTGGTGCCCATTCAGGGCTAGTCCTTCCTCCAGCTGCACCTGCATCTTCAGCTGGATTCAACACACGGTGGCCCGCCTGAGCACTGGCCTTGAGTCACCCAGAAAGGTATCAGTTGTGGTCAGCACTGATGATTAAGGTGATTGGGGAAGTATGAGAAACCCCTGAAAAGAATGTCTAACGAAGAAGGTTTCACTAATGTCTGGAGTTTGCCCATCTGTGTTATTTAAGAGGCATTCCCCCATGAACTCAGACTTCCACTTTTCTGAGGGCAGAGTAGTCACCTCACCTATACCCAGTTGTCCTCTCAATTTCTTGTCTGTAGTTTGTACGCAAACCATCATTCACCTGCCAAACCTTCCTCTAAACCTGCCCTGAATGCAACGCCTGCTCATTTGCCACTCCCACCTCCTCATGTGTGGCAAGGCATCCTCTTCCTGAATTGTCTATCCTGAGATGACGGTTACACCCTGAGAAGACGGTCTAAGGCTTTGAGGCTGAGTTATTTCTCAGCCCCCTCTGACCCACATCAATATCGGGTACCTGGGGAGGGTAGGTGGGTGATTACCTACTTCTGTGACTTCACGGGCATGAAAAGGGCCCTTAAAGACTTCCAAACATTTGGGTCATTGGGCCAATCCCTGGCTCCTCCAGAATCAAGGCAGCATGCAGGCCTTTGGAAAAAGAGGGATTACTTTCAAATAAACAAACAAACAAACAAATAATTAGAAACAACAAACATTCCTAATGCCACCTAAATGCCACCAACTGACAAGCAAAGCATGCGACTGCCCCCATGGCTTTGGTGGCAGGGCCCAGGGGCAGGCTCTCCTCGCTCCTCAGCCTGGCAGCGCTCCGCCAATTCCAACAGCAGGTACGCTCCTCAGAGGCACCAGTCGAGCCCAGGAGCTGGGGTGAGACACTCTAGGAGTTTGGGAGAAGGGGCTCACCAGGTGAGATTCCCACAGAGAGATGGGCTGCAACTAATTCTCCCTTTCTAAGGGAAGCCCACCCTGGGAATCCAGGTGTGAATGCCACACAGGCTGACACAGTCCTGTCTTTCTAAAGGCAAGGAGCTCTGAGTCCTGTGTGGTTTCCTGAAGGTGCTTCATGAACTACTTCCATTAATAAACTCTTTCATCTTAAATTTTTAAAATGAAATGAAACTGTCCTAGAAAGTTACAGACTGAGTCCCTCACCATTATTGATACCTTGGAGTACATGGGTCTTCCCTTGAGTAGATTTTCTGGGAGCTATTCTACCCACGTCCGTTTGTTGAGATCTTACAGGATTTCTTGCCCCAGTTAAATCTCCTGGGGTAGGCAAAGTGCTCAAGAAGTTGGAATGGGGCTGTGGGGTTCCACAAACAAGGGAAGCACCCAGAGGGCCCAACATCAGTACTCAGGGCCTCCTTGGCTTCTGGCCTGCAGCTGGGGAGGCAGGGCTGCAGTGCTGGAGGGGCATCTCTGTCAGCCTCCTGCAGCACAGGGGCCAGGGTCTGGGGGCAGCAATCACTTTGGTGACTAATAACCTAATCATGGAAAATTACAACTTCCTGAGCTAGGTATATCAGAGGTGGCCACAAAACTCTTTATGATGTGGCCAAAAATTCCTCCTACCACCACAGCCCTTGAAAATAGGTCAAAGACACCTTCTATGGAACTCTCAAAACAGGGCTTAGCTCACACCATCTACCTCCGTCATTGTGCTGCAAACACTGGAGCTTTTGTGAGAATGCTCTCCTCTTCTGCGGTTTGAGCTCAGTTTTGGCTCTGGGCTAATCATCTGTCCTGTCCTACTTGTCTTCCACAAGGGACCGACTGGTCATGAAGGCCATGAAGGCTGTCTGCTGTGTGTCCCTGGAAATGTCTGTCGACAGCCTCTCTAGGCAGAAGTGTTTCTTCTTGTGTACCAACCAAGACCTATAGGCCTCGCCTCATCTCCCAAGCTATACCTCACCACAAAGCAGAACAAGGGTGGACTAAGAACTGGCAGAGACTTATACTTGGCTTTCCAGAGGTCCCAGGTTTGTGGTAGGGGTTCATGAGGCTGGCTGCTGTCTAGATGAGATATGCAGAGTGAGCTCTTTTCCCTGAATGCTGGGCATCCCATCGGTAGTATGGGACAGGGTAAGCTCCTGGCCTGGCTGGCTCCAATGCTGCCTGAGTGAAGCTATGTAACCCTGGGACATCTCTCTTAGCATGCTGATATTTGGCTGCTTCTCTGATAATGGGAGCAGCATTCTCTGGTATGGGGTGCTGTGGAAGACCTAGGGAATGGGACAACAGATTAAAATGGGCTTTGAAGACCCTTGCAGAGGTGACCAGGGAGGCCCAACCTTCTATTTCCTGTGCTCAGGCCTTGGCAGAGACAGAAACCACGAGGCTCCAAGGTCCCCAACCAGTGGGACCCCGACACCAGGAGGACAGGACTCTCAGAGTTCTGTGCCTACTCCTCAGTTTCTTTTGTGTCTGCTGCTATCAGGAGTCCCAATCTACAGGGCTCAATCAGGATGGGATCCTTAGTGTGGCACCTGGGTCAGAAAGCCGCCCCTGCTAAGAGGCTCAGGACAGGGCTAACTGGGAGAAGAGGCCCCACCTAAGTGTCTGCCACCCAAGATGATACTTTTTTTGGCCCAGAAGCCTCATCTGACCTCTGGCCCAGGCCTCAGCCTGGGTGAGGGTGGACATCTCTGTCCTAACAAGATCCTTGGGAGCCTCCAGGCAGTCCCCTTCCAGGGATAAGAGGTCCTGTGTCTGCTTGGCCTAGAGCCAGGCCTGTGCTGAGTCACAGGACTCTGGTGTTCAAGGCCAAAAACAATGACTTAAACATTCTGAAATCCAGGAAAAATCAGCACTGGCTTTCTACCTAAGAACCCTGCCCAGCTAGGCATGAGTTCACCCAGCAAGACAGTGACAAGGACAATGGGAAACTGCCTGTCCCCTGTAGGCAAGAGGAGCAGGGGGCTAAGCCTTGAGCCTGAAACCAACCCTGAAAGATTCTTTAAAAACCCCATATCATTTCATCTAAAATTAGCTTTCAGCATCTAAATCACTTCCTGTTACAGAAACCACAGGCCTGATGCTTCAGTCATCACCCTGCCTGCCTCTAGGGGTGGGGTAGGTGAGGTAGGAGTGCTGCACACAAAAAACAGTGACTATCCAAAAGTGACACAGCAGTCAGGAACCCCTTTCCCCACCCCCCCCACCCACTGCAGAAAGGATGGCTAAGCAGGGCCCTATAATGGTGTTGTTGTGGGGACCAGAGCCAATGTGAACATGCATGTGCATGTAGGCAAATATACACACATATGCACACTCCCCTGCATGCACACTATACACACAGACCAGAGCTTTCTCCACTGCCGCAGAGAGACTGCCGTATGGACAGCCCAAGCACGTCTCCGTTGTGCCCCTTCTGAGCACAGGACTCACCAAGAGAGGAGGGCAAGTGTCTGGCCTCCTTGGAGCATCTGCATCTCTGTTTCCACTTCTCTTACAGCCCTGGTTACTTTATGCCTAATTGGCTGTGAGCGAGGTTAGCCCAGCACTTGGCACTTGGCTCTCACTCATTGTTTCAGCCAACATTGCCAAGTGTTTCCTGTGTGCAGAAAACCAGGTGGTGGCCGGATTGAGGATGTGGAGCAAGTCAGAGGCCATCCCTGTACACCAAGAACTGAAGTTGAAGAAACCAACTGAATCTCTAAACCAGAGATGTCCAATCTTTTGGTTTCCCTGGGCCACTTTGGAAGAAGAATTGTCTTGGGCCACACATAAAATTCACTAACACTAACAATAGCTGATGAGCAAAAAAAAAAAAAAAAAAAAAAAAAAGAAAGCAAAAAATCTCATAATGTTTTAGGAAAGTTTACCAATTTATGTTGGGTCACATTCAAAGCTGTCATGGGTAGTATACAGCCTGTGAGTCATGGGTTGGACAAGCTTGCCTAAACCATCCAGAGAGCTCTGTTCTTCCTACTGCCTCAAGCTAAGCCCTGACCCAAACCTGAGACCTGGATTGAAGGATGCCAGCATCTGTGCACAGATAAACTGCAGCCACAGAAGGAAGACACTGATCATCTGTCACAAACTTGGTGAGTCATAAATAGTGCCACCTAAACCATGAGATAAACTGGGGGTGCACCTGGAAACCAGGTAGCCCCCCTCAAGGGCAGGGGCTTTTGTATTATAGGTCTGCTGCTATTCTCCCAGTACCCTCAATGGCACATGTCATGTAGAAGAGTCTCAGTAAATACCTGGTGGGTGACAGAATGGAGGTGGGTGATTCTGTTGATGAGCAGGCTGGCACCGATGAGCATGGAGTATCTGCCAGCCCTAGGATGGTGCTGTGTCTGTGTCCATCCACTGTATGGTTACAAGAACTCAAGGTACCTGGGATCCCTCAGTCCTCACAGACCAGCTCCCAAGCTGGGCACAAAAGACAATGTATGTTGAGTGTTGTTTCTGACATGAGACTACTGGGACAGTAGGTGTCTGCCTGCTCCAGTATGAGGGATCCCACTACTTTGTCACTGGATGGCTTTGGTTGCAGTGGTTTTCTAACCAAAGCACAATGACCCTTCAGTGGGGTCAGCTTCAGCAAGATAAAGGCCTGGCCTGAAACAGGTGTCTTCTATAAGAAAGACAGAGTTGTGTCCATTATGCCTCTCTCGCTGCTTCCTGGTAAAGGGACCTAGGCATCCCTGGGTGACTGGAATGCCTGGTGACCACTTCCATCCACCCCCATTAGCTGCTGCTAAGGTACACATGAAGTATCTTAGGTTCCCAGAAAGAGAACCCCTGTTGAACAGTAACAAGCCCCAGCACAGGGTGCTAATGATTTATCTGCTTTCACATTTGAGCGTGCTTTCTTGGAAGTGATGGAGAATCTTCGGCCTGAAGATGTGGAGGCGCATGCAGAGTCCTGAGCTCCCCACAGGCAGCTTAGGTGTAACTGAGAAGGAGCTGTGAGCATATCTGGCTCTCCAGCTCCCACAGCAAGCGGGGTCCACCAGTATTGACATGGCTCTTGTCTGCATGATAAGCTGGACCAACAAGGCCAGGGCTCTGCCCACAAAGCTAAACTAGTATGGGGACTTGGCACTTGTCCCTGTCAGGGGAATGGTAAGCATTTTCGCACAGACTAGACATATTTTCCAAAGGCCTGCTTTAAATCAGGCCTTATCTGGGCACTGAGGATACAATTAGGAAGAAGACAAAAGTCTGTCTCTCAACAATGGCATATTCCACTGAGGGAGACATGTAATTATAATACCAGATTGTAAGTACAAAACTAGAGAGGTATTAGAAAAAGACAGACATGGTGCTCTCGGTGCATAGAGAAGGAACATGCCACCCAGCCTGGAGGCTAGGCACAGTTTTGGTGAAAATTTTTACTGAGGTAGAACTCAGTAGGAATAAGACATTACCAAATTGAATTAAAAGAATAACAGATCATGATCAAGCAGGGTCATTCCCAGGAATGCAAATTTGATTATGGAAAATCTACCAATGTACTTCTCCACAATAATTGGTTAATCTAAAGATGATCATCTCAACAGAAACATCCGTTTATGAGAAAAATTCTTTGTCTACTAGGACTACTAGGAAGCATCCTTAATAAGATCAAGAATTATACCAGAAACCGGCCAGGCGCAGTGGCTCATGCTTGTAATCCCAGCACTTTGGGAGACAGGCAGATCACTTGAGATCAGGAGTTCGAGATCAGCCTGGCCAACATGGTGAAACCCCATCTCTACTTAAAAAAAAAAAAAAAAAAAAAAATTATCCGGGCATGGGAGTGTGTGCCTGTAATCTCAGCTACTCCAGAGGCTGAGGCACAAGAATTGCTTGAACCTGGGAGGTGGAGGTTTCAACGAGCCAAGATTGCACCACTGCTCTACAGCCTGGGTGACAGAGTGAGACTCTGTCTCAAAAAAAAAAAAAAAAAAAAAAGAGAGAGAGAATACTATAAACACCTCTATGCAAATAAACTAGAAAATCTGGAAGAAATGGATAAATTCCTCGACACATAAACTCTCCCAAGACTAAACCAGGAAGAAGCTGAATCTCTGAATAGACCAATAACAGGCTCTGAAATTGAGGCAGTAATTAATAGCTTACCAAACAAAAAAAGTCCAGGACCAGATGGATTCACAGCCGAATTCCACCAGAGGTACAAGGAGGAGCTGGTACCATTCCTTCTGAAACTATTCCAATCAATAGAAAAAGAGGGAATCCTCCCTAACTCATTTTATGAGACCAGAATCATCCTGATACCAAAGCCGGGCAGAGACACAACAAAAAAAGAGAATTTTAGACCAATATCCCTGATGAACATCGATGCAAAAATCCTCAATAAAATACTGGCAAATCAAATCCAGTAGCACATCAAAAAGCTTATCCACCATGATCAAGTGGGCTTCATCCCTAGGATGCAAGGCTGGTTCAACATATGAAAATCAATAAATGTAATCCAGCATATAAACAGAACCAATGACAAAAACAATATGATTATCTCAACAGATGCAGAAAAGGCCTTTGACAAAATTCAACAACCCTTCATGCTAAAAACTCTCAATAAATTAGGTATTGATGGGACATATCTCAAAATAATAAGAGCTATCTATGACAAACCCACAGCTAATATCATACTGAATGGGCAAAAACTGGAAGCATTCCCTTTGAAAACTGGCACAAGACAGGGATGCCCTCTCTCACCACTCCTATTCAACATAGTGTTGGAAGTTCTGGCCAGGGCAATCAGGCAGGAGAAGGAAATAAAGGGTATTCATTTAGGAAAAGAGGAAGTGAAATTGTCCCTGTTTGCAGGTGACATGATTGTATATCTAGAAAACCCCATTGTCTCAGCCCAAAATCTCCTTAAGCTGATAAGCAACTTCAGCAAAGTCTCAGGATACAAAATCAATGTACAAAAATCACAAGCATTCTTATACACCAATAACACACAAACAGAGAGCCAAACAATGAGTGAACTCCCATTCACAATTGCTTCAAAGAGAATAAAATACCTAGGAATCCAACTTACAAGGGACATGAAGGACCTCTTCAAGGAGAACTACTAACCACTGCTCAATGAAATAAAAGAGGATACAAACAAACGGAAGAACATTCCATGCTCATGGGTAGGAAGAACCAATATCATGAAAATGGCCATACTGCCCAAGGTAATTTATAGATTCAATGCCATCCCCATCAAGCTACCAATGACTTTCTTCACAGAATTGGAAAAAACTACTTTCAAGTTCATATGGAACCAAAAAAGAGCCCACATTGCAGAGTCAATCCTAAGCCAAAAAAACAAAGCTGGAGCATCATGCTACCTCACTTCTAACTATACTACAAGGCTACAGTAACCAAAACAGCATGGTACTGGTACCAAAACAGAGATATAGACCAATGGAACCGAACAGAGCCCTCAGAAATAATGCCGCATATCTACAACGACCTGATCTTTGACAAACCTGACAAAAACAAGAAATGGGGAAACGATTCCCTATTTAATAAATGGTGCTGGGAAAACTGGCTAGCCATATGTAGAAAGCTGAAACTGGATCCCTTCCTTACACCTTATACAAAAATTAATTCAAGATGGATTAAAGACTTACATGTTAGACCTGAAACCATAAAAACCCTAGAAGAAAACCTAGGCAATACCATTCAGGACATAGACATGGGCAAGGACTTCATGTCTAAAACACCAAAAGCAATGGCAACAAAAGCCAAAATTGACAAATGGGATCTAATTAAACTAAAGAGCTTCTGCACAGCAAAAGAAACTACCATCAGAGTGAACAGGCAACCTACAGAATGGGAGAAAATTTTTGCAATCTATTCATCTGACAAAGGGCTAATATCCAGAATCTACAATGAACTCAAATTTACAAGAAAAAAAACCCATCAAAAAGTGGGCGAAGGATATGAACAGACACTTCTCAAAAGAAGATATTTACACAGCCAAAAGACACATGAAAAATGCTCATCATCACTGGCATCAGAGAAATGCAAATCAAAACCACAATGAGATACCATCTCACACCAGTTAGAATGGTGATCATTAAAAAGTCAGGAAACAACAGGTGCTGGAGAGGATGTGGAGAAATAGGAACACTTTTACACTGTTGGTGGAACTGTAAACTAGTTCAACCATTGTGGAAGTCAGTGTGGTGATTACTCAGGGATCTGGAACTAGAAATACCATTTGACCCAGCCATCCCATTACTGGGTATATACCCAAAGGATTATAAATCATACTGCTATAAAGACACATGCACACGTATGTTTACTGTGGCACTACTCACAATAGCAAAGACTTGGAATCAACCCAAATGTCCAACAATGATGGACTGGATTAAGAAAATGTGGCACATATATGCCATGGAATACTATGCAGCCATAAAAAAGGATGAGTTCATGTCCTTTGTAGGGACATGGATGAAGCTGGAAACCATCATTCTCAGCAAACTATCGCAAGGACAAAAAACCAAACACCGTATGTTCTCACTCATAGGTGGGAACTGAACAATGAGAACACATGGTCACAGGAAGGGGAACATCACACACTGGGGCTGTTGTGGTGGGGGGGAGCGGGGAGGGATAGCATTAGGAGATATACCTAATGTTAAATGACGAGTTAATGGGTGCAGCACACCAACATGGCACATGTATACATATGTAACTAACCTGCATGTTGTGCACATGTACCCTAAAACTTAAAGTATAATAAAAAAAAACAGCTCTGTACAATATTAAAAAAAAAAGTACAAAGGATGTTCCTGAGATGAAGGTGCATGTGGGGGCTGCAGCTCCCCACTGCCTTTCTTGCTTTCTCACAAAGGCATCCTCCAAGTTCAATGGTCTTGGCAGCCTGCATAAAATGAGATGTCCCTCATGTCAGAAGAGTCCAGATTCGAGCCCTCACTGCCCTTTACAGTCCTTCCTGTGTGAGCACCAGAAAGAGCTTACACTACCAAAGAAAGCAAGAACTCTGCTCTTCAGTAAGCCACATTACATAGGTCTAATATGCAAATCCTAGGCCTTAAAAAGTCTTGTGCCAGTATCTTGGGCAATCTTTCTTTAAAAACTAGTTGTACAGTTTTGGAGTTTACAGTTCATGTTTACTCTGGGTCTTTGAGGAAGCAGGCCTGGCCAGGGTCTAACACAACTGGCGTTTTATGTCAGTATGAAACGAAGAACCTTTCAATAAACAGCACTGAGGCAATTGTTATTAAATTGGTTAGGAACACTTTCAGATTTAAGTAAGAGAAAAGACAACTCAAATTGGTTTAAACAATAAGGAAAAGTAAATGTATAGAAAGACGTCTGGAAGGATATACACCTAGCTGAGAATTGTGGTTACTTGCAGAAGCTGGAGTAGGGGATGGGGATCAGGGCAGCCAAAGGGCGGCCACTTTATTTAACTTTACAGTTTTACAATCTTAAGACTAAATAACTTTCTTTTTTATTTAAAAAAAAAAAGGATTTTCTCTTTTTAAGATTTGACAAAAGAGTGTATTCATGCATCATTGGGGTGCTTAAAAAACAAAACTAATTTTTACAGGATCATTAGAAGTCAGACAAGCAAAGGCCAAAGGAGGCTGCTCCCTCTGCAGGAGGCCCTGCTGACCACCGGTGACCTAGCTCCAGACGTCTCTGCTCTCCTGTATATCTCTGCCTAGGCCTCCCTGCCATACTGGTGGGCCTTCCTGGCTCCTGAGGGTGGGAGAATGGGTCTCTCACCTGCACCACAGCTAAACGCTCACAATTATGGGACAGGAAGCAGGTACAAGGTACTAGAGAGCCACAGGGCTAGATGATAAGGGTTCCTCTGTTGAAATAAGTTCAAAGACAGAAAATAAGGAAGGTCAAGCATTCAGAGTCTGTATGCCTATCCCCCTGCACTCCCCTCTTCTCTCAGCCATACCCCAACTTCCTGAGGCTCTCTGCCCAGACTTTGAGAGACTGTCCCTTAGCTCACCTTGGGTCTGGGGCACTGGCTAGAACAAGGGTAGGACTAGAGGAAGAATAATGATCTGGGATAGTATCAGGGTCAGAAAAAGGGGTGTGCAGAAGTCAAAACAGAATAGGAGCTGGGAAAGGGCCAGGGGTCTGCATCAGGAGCAGAGGTTCTGTTCACATCCATAGGTAGTAGTGGCAGATGAAACCACTACCTCCCTTTTTCTCTAGCATAGAGCAAAATGTCTTTTACCCACAGGGAGAGCTACCTTAAATCCCATTTCATTTAGCCAAGTCAGAGAGGAAAAAGCCTGCCCACCAGGCCAGGGCAAAGTAACTCACTCTTTCCACTGGAGAAGTTCTAATGGAACTCAAGGCAGAGGGCAGAGCCCTCCCAAGGCATGGTCCAGAGGCCTGGGCCAAGATGGCTAGATGTGCTGCTGCTACATCTGCAGGAAATGGAATTCTGGGGGTGGTGTGGTTAAGAAAAAACCCTCTGGTTTTGATAGATCCACTTGTAAGTTTACCAAGAAAATTCAGACCAAAGCATCACCCTCACCTTCCTCCACCCACTCTGCAATGACTTCAGAGAAGAGTTATGAGAACTAAAGTGCTCCATCCCAAGAAAAAGAAGGACTTCCTTTGAGGTTAAGGTGTAAAATAACAAATACTACTGCACCTAAGAAGGCCTTTCCAATGCAAGACTTCCCACTCCTACCTTCAGAGACTCAGCAGGAACTGGGGAATAGGTGAGAACATAATTAGGGTCTTAAAAGGAATAGATAAGAAAAACTTTCTTTGCATCCTTTTATAGCTGAATGACCTTTCATTAAATGAGATAGCTTCAAAAATGGGTTTGTTTTCTTATTTATGCCAGGCCCAAGGGGGCACAATTTGAAAGTGAGGGACTTCTTTGCAAAATAATGTAAGGTACTCGCTTTATTATGGGTAGAGAAAATTTTGGAGCAATTAGGAAAATGCTTTTCCTCCTTCTTGTAAATTTAGAATATCCAGTCTGTAAGAATTAATGTGTGTGTGTGTGTGTGTCTGTGTGTGTGTGTGTGCGTGCATGTGCACGTGTGCCTGATCTAATAGTTACCAGATGGGCAACTGGAATAATGAAGAAGTTATACTTTCTATAGTGGCAACAGGGAACGTGATAGGAATGTGCCTTGGAGTACTTACATCTACCTTGATAGTCCTGCTGGAATTTGGCAGTATTATTCTAGATTAGCATTATCCAACAGAACTTTCTGTGGTAATCAGAATGTTGTATATCTGCACTGTCCAATGTAGAAGCTACTAGCACATGTGGCTATTGAACACCTGAAATATGGTTACGGCAACTGAGAGTTTTAAATTTCTAATTTTATTTAATTTTAATTAATTGGCCATATTTAATTAAATAGCCATATATGGCTAATGGCTACTGTACTGGACAACACAGTTCTAGATTAATTGCTCTGTTTGTTTGGGGCAGGGTTTACCAAAGGGTAGGAGAGGATGTGTAGTGGAATTTGGTAGGAGAAAACACTACTATGAGAAACAAAACCCTCATGACAGATGAAGCTAAGAGCAAGCACCATGGCAACATAAAACACATTTGGCACCGCAAGTCTTCTCACGAATCTGCTCACACACAAAAATCTTGTACAAGTGATATTTTCAGAAAAGCCCAAGGAAAGGTGCTATATTGGTGAAACTGAGTTATATGAAACAAGTCTAGCAAACCGAATGACAGAACAGTGTGATCCTACTGATAATCTGGATAAAACCTTCATTTTTACTCCCATTAGTGAGAAGTCCCACTTTGGCAAGTGGCCAAAGGAAACTATGGTTGGAACCATAGTGCACAGTTTTGAAATTTGACTTACCTGTTTTCCATAGAGAGGGACCCAGGAAGAAAGAGTGATGAGTTGAAAGAGGCCTCAACTTTCCAACCATGCTGGAAAGTGCTCCCAAGAAGCAAAGAAAAGTCATGACATTAAGAAAAACTGAATCCATTAATATGTACTGTACATTGAGGTCTGCAGCTGCAGTGTGTCCACCATTTCAAGATAAATGAATCTAGTGTAAGGACCATTGTTAAAAAAGAAAATGAAATTTATGAAGCCATCACCACAGCTATGTCACCATGTCCAAAAACCTTGCATTTTTTTGTGAAATATCTTTTTATCTCATATTGAAATTGCAGCTTTATGTGGGTAGAGGATTGCTAGAAGAAAGGTATAACTATAGACCCTACTGTGACTTGAGAAAAAGCAGAGTCATTATATGACAACATAAACCAAAAGGAAGGTGAAGAGGCCAGGTACACTGGCTCATGGCTGTAATCCCAACACTTTGGGAGGTCAAAGCGGCCTGATCACCTGAGGTCAGGAGGGAGTTTGAGACCTGCCTGGCCAACATGGTGAAACCCCATCTCTACTAAAAATACAAAAATTAGCTGGGCATTGTGGCACATGCCTGTAATCCCAGGTATTCAGGAGGATGCAGCACAAGAATCACTTGAACCTGGGAGGTGGAAGTTGCAGTTAGCCAAGATTGCACCACTGCACTCCAGCCTGGGAGACAGAGCGAGATTCTGTCTTAAATAAATAAACAAACAAATAGGAAGGTGAAGGATCTAAAGCTGAAAAATTTAACGCCAGCAAAGGATGGTTTGATAATTTTAGCAAGAGGTTTGGCCTTAAAAATATCAAGGTAATAGGAGAAGCAGTTTCTGCTGACCAAAGGCAGGAGATAGGTTCCCAGGTATCATTAAGAAAATAATTGAGGACAAAGGATACCTGCCTCAACAGGTTTTTAATACAGACAAAAATGCCCTATTCTGAAAAAAAGTGTCACAAACGATATTTATTAGTAAGGAACAGAAGCAAGCACTAGCATTGCCCTTATCCATAAAGCTGCTAACTCCCAATCCTTGCAGGGAACAGTTGTATACCAGCTGCCAGTCTTTCAGCTGTAGAAGAAGGCCTGGATGATGAAAATCCTTTTTCTGTATTGGTTCCATCAATGCTTTGTCCCTGAGGTCAGGAAGTACCTTGTGAGTAAGGGATTGCCTTTAAAAGCTTTTTTGATGTTGGATAATGCCCCTGGCTACCCAGAACCCCATGAGTTCAACACTGAAGGCATCAAAGTAGTCTACTTATCCCCAAACATAGTCTCTATTTCAGGTATCCAGGATGCAGAATTCCCCTTTGGAAAACTCTAATATCTCTGCCATATCTGACATGCTAGCCAGGGTTCAGACTGCAGTAGCCACTAGCAAATAAACTGTCTGATGCTGACCTTGTTACTGCTTTGGGGATGGTAGTAATCAGAGGTCACTCCAGGGAATATCCCAGGAGGCTGATCCAGGTTGGGGGAAGGGAAGAAATAGAGAAAAGGCAAGCTGGGAGCAGTGGCTCATGAATGTAATACTAGTGCTTTGGGAGGCTGAGGCAGGAGGATCACTTGAGGCCAGGAGTTTAAACCAGGCTGGGTGACATAGTGAGACCTTGTCTCTACAAGAAAAAACTTTTAATAATTAGCCGGGCATGGTGACGTGTACCTGTAGTTGTAACTACTTGGGAGGCTGAGGAGGAAAGACTGCTTGAGCCCAGGAGTTTGAGGCTATAATGAGCTGTGATCACACCACTGCACTCCAGCCTGGGTGAAAGTGAGACCACATTGAGAGAGGGTGGGGGTGGGGGGAGGCAGATGGGGTAAAGGCAGAAAAAGACAAAAGGAGACATCTTGCATCAATGGAGTTTTTTTTTTTTTTTTTAATGGCCCTTGTCTTAATGCAGAATAGAACTTCTTGAAGCACTTCTAACTATAATTCTTTCTTCCTGGCTCAAAGGCTTCCAATACCTTCCTGTAGCCACAACGTAAAGGCCCAAATCCTAAGCTTAGCAATCAAGATGAATGCTCACTGGGTCAGGACCTAAGTACTCTATGCCCTGTATGCCTTTTCTACCCCAAATGAACCCTTTTACTTCTCCCACACGTCATGCTCATTAGGGCCTCTACAACATCTTTATCAGTTACTCCCACTCTCTAGTCCACCCAAACCACATCCTTCCTTTTTCCAACCACTTCTTCAAGATGTAGCTAATATTGTCCCTTTTTGGAAACCTTCCCCAACTATCCAGTTTGGAGGAAGCCCTCCCTTCTTTCAGCACATCTAGATTTCTTGAGAAATCTGTGGTTATTATTTAACTCTTCAAATGGCTAATATCCCCTGCTAGATGTAGCATCCTTGTAGGATGGGCTGTGCTTTTATTATCCCTGAATTTCCCATAGCACCTAGGACAGAGGCATACAGCAATCAGTCAGTATACTTTGATTCATTTCAAGAAATGCATTCTGAGTACCAACTCTGTATCAGAAACCATGCTAAGTGTTTCTGCCTGGGATCATACAGATAACTGAGAGGTGGCTCTAGTTTATAAATATATTTATTTCACCTTCAGACATAGCTAGGCCAGTCTCCATTTCCTCTGACTCTCCAAGGTTGGAAAACCTCCTTTTAATGACAGACAATTCTCTATATCAGGCCTGACTCTTGACTTTATCACAACTCCCACTCCCACGTCACTTGCTTGAGATGTGCAGGGTCACAGATGTCAGCAATATAACAGTCAACAACTCATACAAGGTAATCGCTTTTACTGAGTAAAAGAATAAACAATCAAGAATATTTCAGATATTGATAAATGCTTTGAAGAAAAAATAAAACATAAGAATGACTTAGTGATGGAATGGCTACTTTAGGTGTCAGGGAAGAATTCTCTGAAGAGGTGACAAGTGTACTTAGTCATCAATGAAAAAAAAGCATTCATCATGAAAAGGAGCCCTCTAGGTACAGATACTAGCTACCGCAAAGGCCCTGAGGGAAACATATAGCATAGTTAAGGAGGAGAAATAAGGTCAGTATGTCTAGAGCACAGTGAGCAAAGAGGAGAGCAGTAGGAGATGAGGGTGGAGAAGTATGCTGTGGGCTGCTTATACATATATACATAAGGCATGATAAGAAGCATAAGTGTGAGGGAAGTCATGAGAGGGCTTTTGGCTGGAAAATATTCCCTTTGGCTGCTGGGTGAACAATAAATTGTTGTTGGTAAAAGACGAGGCAAGAACACCAAGTAGGAACCTATGTCAATAGTCTAGAAAATGGATCACAGTAAACGTGGACTTGGGTTTTAGCAGTGGATATAGACACAAGCAAATGGATTAAAATAGATGAGCAAAAATACATAAAATAAGAAATCAGAAGCAGTAATAGACAATGAAATCAGAGGACTATTTTGCTATGATAATACAGAATGAAGACAAACATTCGTAACAATTTCTGGGCTGAATAACAGTTTACAAAATAACCAAAACAACAAGGAATAAAGAAAATTCAAGATAAAACTGATAAAACCATGATAATAATGAACATCGTGAACGTATTTCTTTCATGAAGAAGACAGAGAAATTGACTATTATTAATAATTAATAAACTTGGCTTAAGAGAGACATTAAACACTATAGCCCATAAACATTGGCTATACATTACTCTTAAAAAGTCATAAAAACAACCTCAGCAAATTTCTCAAAGCAGAAATTTTATTGCCCATATTCTTTGACTGCAATGCTATAAGAACAGAAATATTCTTTTACAAAAATCTCAATTTTTTAAAGTCACTAAATTGCAAATAAATAAAAGCAAACATCAATTGGCATTGTATACAGTAGAACATATGAAATAGATTATAGTAAAAAATTCTTAAGAGAGAGTTGGCAAGATGGCTGAATAGGAACAGCTCCGGTCTGCAGCTCCCAGCAAGATCGATGCAGAAGGTGGGTGATTTCTGCATTTCCAACTGAGGTACCTGGTTCATCTCACTGGGACTGGGTGGACAGTGGGTGCAGCCCACGGAGGGCGAGCGGAAGCAGTTGGGGCATCGCCTCACCCAGGAAACGCAAGGGGTCAGGGAATTATCTCCCCTACCCAAGGGAAGCTGTGAGGGGCTGAGCCTGAGGAACAGTGCACTCTGGCCCAGATACTGCACTTTTCCCACGGTCTTCACAACCCCCAGACCACGTGCCTATACCACCAGGGCCCTGGGTTTCAAGCACAAAACTGGGCAGCCATTCAGGAGACACTGAGTTAGCTGCAGGACTTTTTTTTTTCCATACCCCAGTGGCACCTGGAATGCCAGCGAGACAGAACCATTCACTCCCCTGGAAAGGGGGCTGAAGCCAGGAAGCCAAGTGGTTGGGCTTGGTGGGTCTCACCTCCATGGAGCCCAGCAAGCTAAGATCCACTGCCTTGAAATTCTCGCTGCCAGCACAGCAGTCTGAGGTCAACTTGGGATGCTTGAGCTTGGTGGGGGGAGGGGCATCCGCCATTGCTGAGGCTTGAGTAGGTGGTTTTACCCTCACAGTGTAAACAAAGCCACCTGGAAGTTCAAACTGGGTGGAGCCCACTGCAGCTCAGCAAGGCCACTGTGGCCAGACTGCCTCTCTAGATTCCTCCTCCCTGGGCAAGGCACCTCTGAAAAAAAGGCAGCAGCCCCAATCAGGGGCTTACAGATAAAACCCCCATCTCCCTGGGACAGAGCACCTGGAGGAAGAGGCGGCTGTGGGTGCAGCTTCATCAGACTTAAAAGTCCCTGCCTGACAGCTCTGAAGAGCACAGATCTCCCAGCACAGCATTTGAGCTTTGCTAAGGGTGAGACTGCCTCTTCAACTGGCTCCCTGACCTCCATATATCCTAACTGGGAGAAACCTCCCAGTAGGGGCCAACAGACACCTCATACAGGAGAGCTCTGGCTGGCATCTGGCAGGTGCCCTTCTGGGATGAAGCTTCCCAAAGGAAGAGGCAGCAATCTTTGCTGTTCTGCAGCCTCCACTGGTGATACCCAGGAAAACAGGATCTGGAATGGACTTCCAGCAAACTACAGCAGACCTGCAGCAGAGGGCCCTGACTATTAGAAGGAAAACTAACAGAGACCCCATCCGAAGGTCACCTACATCAAAGACCAAAGGTAGATAAATCCACAAAGATGGGGAGAAACCAGTGCAAAAACGCTGAAAATTCCAAAAACCAAAAAACCTCTTCTCCAAAGCATCACAACTCCTCGCCAGCAAGAGAAAAAAACTGGAAAGAGAATGAGTTCGATGAATTGACAAAAGTAGGTTTCAGAAGGTGGGTAATAACAAACTCATCTGAGCTAAAGGAGCATGTTCTAACCCAATGCAAGGAAGCTAAGAACCTTGAAAAAAGGTTAGATGAATTGCTGACTAGAATAACCAGTTTAGAGAAGAACATAACGTGATGGAGCTGAAAAACACAGCACAAGAACTTCATGAGGCATACACAAGTATCAATAGCTGAATCAGTCAAGCAGAAGAAAGGATATTAGAAATTGGAGATCAACTTAACGAAATAAAGCGAGAAGACAAGATCGGAGAAAAAAGAATAAAAAGGAACGAACAAAGCCTCCGAGAAATATGGGACTATGTGAAAGGACCAAACCTATGTTTGATTGGTGTACCTGAAAGTAATGGGGAGAATGGAACCAAGTTGGAAAACACACTTCAGGATATTATCCAGGAGAACTTCCCCAACCTAGCAAGACAGGTCAACATTAAAATTCAGGAAATACAGAGAACACCACAAAGATACTCCTTGAGAAGAGCAACTCCAAGACACATAATCATTAGATTCACCAAGGTTGAAATGAAGGAAAAAATGTTAAGGGCAGCCAGAGAGAAAGGTCGGGTTACCCACAAAGGGAAGCCCATCAGACTAACAGCAGATCACTCTGCAGAAACCCTAGAAGCCAGAAGAGAGTCAGGGCTAAAATTCAACATTCTTAAAGAAAAGATTTTTCAACCCAGAATTTCATATCAAGCCAAACTAAGTTTCATAAGTGAAGGAGAAATAAAATCCTTGAGAGACAAGCAAATGCTGAGTATGTTGTCACCACCAGGCCTGCCTTACCAGAGCTCCTGAAGGAAGACTAAACATGGAAAGGAACAACTGGTACCAGCCACTGCAAAAACATACCAAATTGTAAAGATCATTGACACTATGAAGAAACTGCATCAACTAACAGGCAAAATAACCAGCTAGTATCATAATGACAGGATCAAATTAACACATAACAATATTAACCTTAAATGTAAACTGGCTAAATGCCCCAGTGAAAAGACAGACTGGCAAATTGGGTAATGAGTCAAGACCCATCAGTGTGCTGTATTCAGGAGACCCATCTCATGTGAAAAGACACACATAGGCTCAAAATAAAGGGATGGAGGAATATTTATCAAGCAAATGGAAAGCAAAAAAAGCAGGAGTTGCAATCCTAGTCTCTAATAAAACATACTTTAAACCAACAAAGATCAAAAAAGACAAAGAAGGGCATTACATAATGGTAAAGGGATCAATGCAACAAGAAAAGCTAACTATCCTAAATGTATATGCACCCAATACAAGAGCACCCAGATTCATAAAACAAGTTCTTAAGATCTACAAAGAGACTTAAGACTGCCACACAATAATAATGGGAGACTTTAACACCCCACCATCAATATTAGAAGGATCAATGAGACAGTAAATTCACAAGGATATTCAGGACTTAAACTCAGCTCTGGACCAAGTGGACATAAAAGACATCAGAACTCTCCACCCCAAATCAACAAATTATACATTCTTCTCAGCACCACATTGCACTAGTTCTAAAATTGACCACATAATTGGAAGTAAAACACTCCTCAGCAAATGCAAAAGAACAGAAATCATAACAAACAGTTTCTCGATACCACAGTGCAATCAAATTAGGACTCAGGATTAAGAAACTCACTGAAAACCATACAACTACATGGAAACTGAACAACCTGCTCCTGAATGACTACTGGGTAAATAACGAAATTAAGGCAGAAATGAAGATGTTCTTTGAAACCAATGAAAACAAAGACACAACGTACAGAATCCCTGGGACACATTTAAAGCAGTGTTTAGAGGAAAATTTATAGCACTAAATGCCCACAAGAGAAAGCAGGAAATATCTAAAATCTCCATCCTAACATCAAAATTAAAACTAGAGAAGCAAGAGTAAACAAATTCAAAAGCTAGCAGAAGACAAGAAATAACTAAGATCAGAGCAGATTGGAAGGAGATAGAGACATGAAAAACCCTTCAAAAAATCCATGAATCCAGGAGGTGGTTTTTTGAAAAGATCAATAAAATAGATAGACCGCTAGTCAGACTAATAAAGAAGAAAGGAGAGAAGAATCAAATAGACACGCTAAAACATGGTAAAGAGGATATCCCCACTGATCCCACGAAAATACAAATAAACTAGAAATCTAAATACACCAGAAAATTGAGAAGAAATGGATAAATTCCTGGACACATACACCCACCCAAGACTAAACCAGGAAGAAGTCAAATCCCTGAATAGACCAATAACAGGCTCTGAAATTGAGGCAGTAATTAATAGCCTACCAACCAAAAAAAGCCCAGGACCAGACAGATTCACAGACAAATTCTACCAGAGGTACAAAGAGGAGCTGGTACTATTCCTTCTGAAACTATTCCAAACAAGAGAAAAAGAGGGAATCCCCCCTAACTCATTTTATGAGGCCAGCATCATCCTGATACCAAAACCTGGTGGAGACAGGCCAGGCTTTGGTATTCAGAAAATTTCAGGCTAATATCCCTGATGAACATCAATGCGAAAACCCTCAATAAAATACTGGCAAACCAAATCTAGCAGCACATCAGAAAGGTTATCCACCACAATCAACTCGGCTTCATTTCTGGGATGCAAGGCTGGTTCAACATACACAAATCCATAAGTGTAATCCATCACATAAACAGAACCAATGACAAAAACCACATGATTATCTCAATAGATGCAGAAAAGGCCTTTGACAAAATTCAACACCTCTTCATGTTAAAAACTCTTAATAAACTAGGTATTCATGGAACATATCTCAAAATAATAAGAGCTATTTATGACAAACCCACAGCCAATATCATACTGAATGGGCAAAAGCTGGAAGCATTTCCTTTGAAAACCAGCACAAGACAAGGATGGCCTCTCTCGCCACTCCTATTCAACATAATAATATTGGAAGTTCTGGCCAGGGCAATCGGGCAAGAGAAAGAAATAAAGGGTATTCAAACAGGAAAAGAGGAAGTCAAATTGTCTCTGTTTACAGATGACATGATTCTATATTTAGAAAATCCCATTGTCTCAGCTCAAAATCTTCTTAAGCTGATAAGCAACTTCAGCAAAGTCTCAGGATACAAAATCAATGTGCAAAAATCACAAGGATTCTTATACACCAATAACAGACAAACAGAGAACCAAATCATGCGTGAACTCCCAGTCAAAATTGCTACAAAGAGAATAAAATACCTAGGAATACAACTTACAAGGGATGAGAAGGATCTCTTCAAGAACTACAAACCACTGATCAAGAAAATAAGAGAGGACACAAACAAATGGAAAGACATTCTATGCTCATGAATAGGAAGAATCAATATCATGAAAATGGCATACTGCCCAAAGTAATTAACAGATTCAGTGCTATCCCCATCAAGTTACCATTGACTTTCTTCACAGATTTGGTAAAAACTGCTTTAGCTTTCATGTGGAACCTAAAAAAAGACTGCATAGCCAAGACAATCCTAAGTAAAAAGTACAAAGTTGGGGGCATCATGCTACCTGACTTCAAACTATACTACAAGGCTATAGTAACCAAAACATGGTAATGGTACCAAAACAGATACATAGACCAATGGAACAGAACAGAGACCTCAAAAATAACACCACATATGTACAACCATCTGATCTTTGACAAACCTGACAAAAACAAGAAATGGGGAAACGATTCCCTATTTAATAAATGGTGTTGGGAAAATTGGCTAGCTATATGCAGAAAACTGAAACTGAGCCCCTTCCTTACACCTTACACAAAAATTAACTCAAGATGGATTAAAGACTTAAATGGAAAACGCAAAATCATAAAAACCCCAGAAGAAAACCTAGGCAATACCATTCAGGACATAGGCATGGACAAAGACTTCATGATTAAAACACCAAAAGTAATGGCAACAAAAGCCAAAATTGACAAATGGGATCTAATTAAACTAAAGAGCTTCTGCACAGAAAAAAAAACTATCGTCAGAGTGAACAGGCAACCTGCAGAATGGGAGAAAATGTTTGCAATCTATCCATCTGACAAAGGGCTAATATCCAGAATCTACAAGGAACTTAAACAAATTTACAAGAAAAAAACCAACCCCATCAAAAAGTGGGCAAAGGATATGAACAGACACTTCTCAAAAGAAGACATTTATGCACCCAACAAACATACGAAAAAAAGCTCATCATCACTGGTCATTACAGAAATGCAAATCGAAATCACAATGAGATACCCATCTCACGCCAGTTAGAATGGCAATCATTAAAAAGTCTGGAAACAACAGATGCTGGAGAGGATGTGGAGAAATAGTAACACTTTTACAGTGTTGGTGGGAGTGTAAATTAGTTTAGCCATTGTGGAAGACAATGTGGTGATTCCTCAAGGATCTAGAACCAGAACTACTATTTGACCCAGCAATCCCATTACTGGGTATATACCCAAAAGATTATAAATCATTGTACTATGAAGACACATGCACACGTATGTTTATTTGCGGCACTGTACACAACAGCAAAGACTTGGAACCAACCCAAATGCCCATCAGTGATATACTGGATAAAGAAAATGTGGCACATATACACCATGGAATACTATGCAGCCATAAAAAACGATGAGTCCTTTGCAAGGACATGGATGAAGCTGGAAACCATCATTCTCAGCAAAATTAACACAGGAACTGAAAACCAAACACTGCATGTTCTCACTCATAAGTGGGAGTTGAACAATGAGAACACATGGACACAGGGAGGGGAATATCACACCTCAGGGCCTGTCGGGAAGTTGGGGGCTAGGGGAGGGATAGTATTAGGGGAAATAACTAATGTAGATGACAGGTTCATGGGTGCAGTAAACCACCATGGCACGTGTATACCTATGTAACAAAACTGCACATTCTGCACAGATACCCCAGAACTTAAAGTATAAATTAAAAAAAATTCTTAAAACACAAAGAAATTGCAGGATGTGGAAAGCTGGGATGAGTATTACATCCTAACAGCAACAATAGCCAGATAAACTACAAAATCATAACTTTTCCTAAACTCATTAGAGAACTGAGATCATAGGGCAATCAAAAAGTCTAAAATGGGCCGGGCATGGTGTCTTATGCCTGTCATTCCAGCACTTTGGGAGGCTGAGGCGGGTGGATCACCTGAGGTCAGGAGTTCAAGACTAGCCTGGCCAACATGGTGAAACCCCATCTCTACTAAAAATACCAAAAAATCAGCCAGGCATGGTGGCATGTGCATGTAATCCCAGCTACTCAGGAGGATGAAGCAAGAGAATCACTTGCACCTGGGAGGTGGAGGTTGCAGTGAGCTGAGATCTTGCCACTGCATTCCAGCCTAGGCAACGGAGTGAGACTCCATCTCAAAAAAAAAAAAAAAAAAAGTCTAAAATGTAAGAAAAGATAGATGCCACCAAAGAGAAATGAGACATGAGCACTGGGTCATCTGTGGCAGAACACAAAAGGAAGAAACACTGGGCAACATAGAAGCAGGTAAAAATAATTTCTGTGGGGTTTTTTTTGTCTTTTTCATTTTTATTTATTTTTTAATCTTACTTTGATATCTGGGATGCATGTGCAGAATGTGCAGGTTTGTTACATAAGTATACACGTGCCATCATGGTTTGCTGCACCTATCAACCCGTCATCTAGGTTTTAAGCCCTGCTTACGTTAGGTATCTGTCCTAATGCTCTCCCTCTCCTTGCCCCCCACCCCCTAACAGACCTTGACGTGTGTTGTTCTCCTCCCTGTGTCCATGTGTTCTCATTGCTCAACTCCCACTTATGAGTGAGAACATGCAGTGTTTGGTTTTCTGTTCCTGTGTTAGTTTGCTGAGAATGATGGCTTCCAGCTTCATCCATGTACCTGCAAAGGAGACGATCTCATTCTTTTTTATGGTTGCGTAGTATTCCATGGTGTATATCCAGTCTAGCATTGATGGACATTTGGGTTGGTTCCAAGTCTTTGCTATTGTAAATAGTGCTGCAATAAACATACATGCACATGTGTCTTTATAGAATGATTTCTAATCCTTTAGGTATATACCCAGTAATGGGATTGCTGGGTCAAATGGTAGTTCTGATTCTAGAACCTTGAGGTATCGCCACATTGTCTTCCACAATGGTTGAACTAATTTACACTCCCACCAACACTGTAAAAGCATTCCTATTTCTCCACAGCCTCGTCACCATCTACTGTTTCCTGACTTTTAATAATCACCATTCTGACTTACATGAGATGGTATCTCACTGTGGTTTTGATTTGCATTTCTCTAATGGTGGGATGATGAGCCTTTTTCCATATGTTTGTTGGCCACATAAATGTCTTTTTTGAGAATTTTCTGTTCATACACTTTGCCCACTTTTTCACGGGGTCATTTGATTTTTCTTGTAAATTTGTTTAAGTTCCTTGTAGATACTGGATACTAGACCTTTGTCAGATGGGTAGACTGCAAAAATTTTCTCCCATTCTGTCGGTTGCCTGTTCACTCTGATGATAGTTTCTTTTGCTGTGCAGAAGCTCTTTAGTTTAATTAGATCCCATTTGTCTATTTTGGCTTTTGTTGCCATTGCTTTTGGTGTTTTAATCATGAAGTCTTTGTCCATGCCTATGTTCTGAATGGTATTGCCTAGGTTTTTCTTCTAGGGTTTTTATGGTTTTGGGTTTTCCATTTAAGTCTTTAATCCATCTTGAGTTAATTTTTGTATAAGGTATAAGGAAGTTTCAGTTTTCTGCATATGGTTAGCCAGTTTTCCCAGCATCATTTATTAAATAGGGAATCCTTTCCCCATTGCTTTTGTCAGGTTTGTCAAAGATCAGATGGTTGTAGATGTGTGGTGTTACTTCTGAGGTCTCTGTTCTGGTCCATTGGTCTATATATCTGTTTTGGTAGCAGTACCATGCTGTTTTGCTTACTGTAGCCTTGTAGTATAGTTTGATGTCAGGGAGCGTGATGCCTCCAGCTTTGTTGTTTTTGCTTAGGTCTTGGCTATACGGGTTCTTTTTAGGTTCCATATGAAATTCAAAGTAGTTTTTTTAATTCTGCAAAGAAAGTCAATGGTAGCTTGATGGGAACAGCATTGAATCTATAAATTACTTTGGGCAGTATGGCAATTTTCACAATATTGATTCTTTCTATCCATGAGCATGGAATGTTTTTCCATTTGTTTGTGTCCTCTCTTATTTCTTTGAGCAGTTGTTTGTTGTTCTCCTTGAAGAGGTCCTTCACATCCCTTGTAAGTTGTATTCCTAGGTATTTTACTATCTTTGTAGCAATTGTGAAAGAGAGTTCATTCATGATTCGGCTCTCTGCTTGTCTATTGTTGGTGTATAGGAATGCTTGTAATTTTTGCACATTGGTTTTGTACCCTGAGACTTTGCTAAATTTGCTTATCAGCTTAGAGAGATTTTGGGCAAGACAATAGGGTTTTCTAAATATAGAATCATGTCATCTGTAAACAGAGACAATTTGACTTCCTCTCTTCCTATTTGAACCCTTTATTTCTTTCTTTTGCCTGATTGCCCTGGCCAGAACTTCCAATACTATGTTGAATAGGAGTGGTAAGAGAGGGCATCCTTGTCTCGTGCTGGGTTTTCAAAGAGAATGCTTCCAGCTTTTGCCCATTCAGTATGATATTGGCTGTGGGTTTGTCATAAATAGCTCTTATTATTTTGAGATATGTTCCATGAATACCTAGTTTATTGAGAGTTTTTAGCATGAAGGGATGTTGAATTTTATCGAAGGCGTTTTCTGCATCCATTGAGAAAATCATGCAGTTTTTGTCATTGGTTCTGTTTATGTGATGGATTACTCTTATTGATTTGCATATGTTGAACCAGCCATGCATCCCAGGGATGAAGCTGACTTGATTGTGGTGGATAACTTTTTTGATGTGCTGCTAGATTTGGTTTGCCAGTATTTTATTGAGGATTTTCTCATCAATGTTCATCAGGGATATTGGCCTGAAGTTTTCTGTTTTTGTTATGTCTCTGCAAGGTTTTGGTATTAGGATGATGCTGGCCTCATAAAATGAGTTCAGGAGGAGTGCCTCTTTTTCAATTATTTAGAATAGTTTCAGAAGGAATGGTACCAGCTCCTCTTTGTACCTCTGGTAGAATTTGGTTGTGAAATCTGTCTGGTCCTGGGATTTTTTTGGTTGGTAGGCTATTAATTATTGCCTCGATTTCAGAACTTGTTATTGGTCTATTCAGGGACTCGACTTCTTCCTGGTTTAGTCTTGGGAGGATGTATGTGTCCAGGAATTTATCCATTTTTTCTAGATTTTCTAGTTTATTTGTGTAGATGTGTTTATAGTATTCTCTGATGGTAGTGTGCATTTCTGTGGGATCAGTGCTGATATTCTCTTTATCATTTTTATTGTGTCTATTTGATTCTTCTCTTTTCTTCTTTACTAGTCTAGCTAGGAGTCTATCTATTTTGTTAATTTTTTTTTTTTTTTCAAAAAACCACCTCCTGGATTCACTGATTTTTGAAGGGTTTTTTGTGCCTCTATCTCCTTCAGTTCTGATCTAATCTTAGTTATTTCTTGTCTTCTGCTAGTTTTTGAATTTGTTTGCTCCTGCTTTCTAATCCTTTTAATTGTGATGTTAGGGTGTCAATTTGAGATCTTTCCAGCTTTCTGATGTGGGCCTTTAGTGCTATAAATTTCTCTCTTAACACTACTTTAGCTATGTCCCAGAGATTCTGGCATGTTGAGTCTTTGTTCTCATTGGTTTCAAAGAACTTCTTGATTTCTGCCTTAATTTTGTTATTTACCCAGTAGTCATTCAGGAGCACATTGTTCAATTTCCATGTAGTTGTGAGGTTTTGAGTGAGCTTCTTAATGCTAATCACACTGTGGTCTGACAGACTGTTATTATTTCCATTCTTCTGCATTTGCTGAGGAGTGTTTTACTCCCAATCATGTGGTCAATTTTAGAATAAGTGCCATGTGGTGCTGAGAAGAATAAATATTCTGTTGATTTGGGGTGGAGAGTTCTGTAGATGTCTATTAGGTCCCCTTGATCCAGAGCTGAGTTCACATCCTGAATATCCTTGTTAATTTTCTGTCTCGTTGATCCATCTAATATTGAAAGTGGGGTGTTAAAGTCTCCCTTTTTTATTGTGTGGGAGTCTAAGTCTCTTTGTACATCTCTAAGAACTTGTTTTATGAATCTGGGTGCTCCTGTATTGGGTGCATGTACATTTAGGAGAGTTAGCTCTTCTTGTTGCATTGATCCCTTTACCATTATGTAATGCCCCTCTTTGTCTTTTATGATCTTTGTTGGTTTAAAGTATGTGTTATCGGAGACTAGGACTGCAACTCCTACTTTTTTTGCTTTCCATTTGCTTGGTAAATATCCCTCCATCCCTTTATTTTGAGCCTATGTGTGTCTTTGCACATGAGATGGGTCTACTGAATACAGCACATGGATGGGTCTTTACTCTTTATCCAATTTGCCAGTCTGTGTCTTTTAACTGGGGCATTTAGCCCATTTACATTTAAGGTTAATATTATTGTGTGTGAATCTGATCCTGTCATCATGATGCTAGCTGGCTATTTTGCACATTAGTTGATGCAGTTTCTTCATAGTGTTGATGGTCTTTATATTTTGATGTGTTTTTGCAATGGCTGGTACCAGTTTTTCCTTTCCATAGTTAGTGTTTCCTTCAGGTGCTCTTGCAAGGCAGGCCTGGTGGTGACAAAATCCTCAGTATTTGCTTGTCTCTCAAGGACTTTATTTCTCTTTTGCTTATGAAACTTAGTTTGGCTGGATATAAAATTCTGGGTTGAAAATTCTTTTCTTTAAGAATGTTGAATATTGGCTCCCATGCTCTTCTGGCTTGTAGGGTTTTTGCAGAGAGATCTGCTGTTAGTCTGATGGGCTTCCCTTTGTACGTGACCCGACCTTTCTTTCTGGCTGCCCTTAACATTTTTTCCTTCATTTCAACCTTGGTGAATCTGAAGATTATGTGTCTTGGGGCTGATCTTCTCAAGGAGTATTTTTGTGGTGTTCTCTGTATTTCCTGAATTTGAATATTGGCCTATCTTGCTAGGTTGGGGAAGTTCTGGATAATATCCTGAAGTGTGTTTTCCAACTTGGTTCCAATCTCCCCATCACTTTCAGGTACACCCATTAATTGTAGGTTTGGTCCTTTCACATAGTCACATATTTTGTGGAGGCTTTGTTCATTCCTTTTCATTCCTTTTTCTCTAATCTTGTCTTCATGCTTTATTTCAGCAAGGTGGTCTTCAATTTCTGACATCCTTTCTTCCACGTGATTTGGCTACTAATACTTGTTTATGCTTCACTAAATTATCATGCTGTTTTTTCAGCTACATCAGGTCATTTATATTCCTCTCTGAACTGGTTATTCTAGTTAGTAGTTCCTGTAACCTTTTATTAGGTTCTTAGCTTCCTTGCATTGGGTGAGAACGTGCTCCTTTAGCTCAGAGGAATTTGTTATTACCCATCTTCTGAAGCCTACTTCTGTCAATTCATCAATCTCATTCTCTGTCCAGTTTTACAACCTTGCTGGAGAGGTGCTGCAATCAGTTGGAGGAGAAGAGGCATTCTGGCTTTTGGAATTTTCAGCATTTCTGTACTGGTTTTTCCTCATCTTCATGGATTTATCTACCTTTGATCTTTGAGGCTAATGACCTTTGGATGGGGTTCTTGTGTGGGGATCTTTTTTATGTTGTTGTTGTTGCTGCTTTCTGTTTGTTAGTTTTCCTTCTAACAGTCAGGCCCCTCTTCTGCAGGTCTGCTGTAGTTTGCTGGAGGTCAACTCCAGACCCTGTTCACCTGGGTATCACCAGTGGAGGCTGCAGAACAGCAAAGATTGCTGCCTGCTCCTTCCTCTGGAAGCTTCATCCCAGGGGGCACTGGCCTGATGCCAGCCAGAGCTCTCCTGTATGAGATGTCTGTTGATCCCTGTTGGGAGGTCTCTCCCAGTCAGAGGCACAGGGGTCAGGGACCCACTTGAGAAGGCAGTCTGTTCCTTAGCAGAGCTAGTACACTGTGCTGGAATAATCCCCCTTGTCAGGATCAGTTGCTTTCTTCAGAGCCAGGAGGCAGGAAAGATATAAGTCTGCTGAAGTTGTGACTGCAGCTGCCCTTCCCTCCAGATGCTCTGTACCAGGAAGATGAGAGTTTTATCTGTAAGCCCCTGACTGGAGCTGCTGATTTTCCTTCAGAGATGCCCTGCCCAGTGAGGAGGAATCTAGAGAAGCAATCTGGCCACAGTCACTTTGCCATGCTGTGGTAAATTCTGCCCATTCCAAACCTCCCAGTCTCCTTAGCACTGTCAGGGGAAAACCGCCTACTAATGCCTCAGTACTGGTGGATGCCCCTCCCGCCACCAAGCTCGATCATTCTGGGTCAACTCCAGACTGCTGTGCTGGCAGTGAGAATTTCAAGCCAGTGGTTCTTAGCTTGCTGGGATCTGTGGGAGTGGGACCTGCTGAGCAAGACCACTTGGCTCCCTGGCTTCAGCCCCCTTTCTAGGGGAGTGGACGGTTCTCCTGTCTCTCCTGTCTCCTGTCTCATTATGGTTCCAGGTGCCGCTGGAGTACAAAAAAACTCCTGTAGCTAGCTCAGTGCCTGCCCAATCAGCTGCTCAGTTTTGTGCTTGAAACCCAGGGCTCTGGTGGTGTAAGTTCACGAGGGAATCTCCTGATCTGCAGATTGCAAAAATCCACGGGAAAAGTGTAGTATCCAGGGAGGGTAGCACAGTCCCTCACCACTTCCCTTGGCTGTGGAAGGGAGGTCCCCTGGCTCCTTGCACTTCCCAGGTGAAGCGATGCCCCACCCTGCTTCTGCTTGCTCTCTGTGGGTGGCACCCACTGCCTAACTAGTCCCAATGAGATGAACCGGGCACCTCAGCTGGAAATCACCCACCTTCTGCGTTGGTCTCACTGGGAGCTGCAGACTGGAGCTTTTAAAAAAAAAAATTACTAAAGGCAAATTGTGGGCTAATGTGTGAATATGAAATTCCTGGGAGTCACAGACACAAGAAAAATTCACACCTCTCTCATACATTTTTCTCCACAGACCTTTACTGGATGCTCACAAGAAAGACTGGCTCTCCATGTCTGGAGATTTCCTGGTGATCCTGATCCCCTCTCTGAGACAGCCAAACTTTTCCTTGTTTCTTTGATGGATCTTGACCTGGAAAGAACATTCTACCCTTCCAACAGTGGTAGAACACCTCATGGCCAGGTGCGATAGCTCACACCTGTAATCTCAACACTTTGGGAGGCTGAAGTGGGTGGATCACTTGAGGTCAGGAGTTTGAGACAAGCCTGGCCAACATGGCAAAACCCCTTCTCTACTAAAAATACAAAAATTAGTTGGGCATAGTGGCACATGCCTGTAATCCCCTCTACTCAGGAGCTGAGGCAGGAGAATTGCTTGAACCCAGGAGGCAGAAGTTGCAGTGAGCTGAGATCGCACCACTGCACTCCAGCCTGGGTGACAGAACAAGACTCTGTCTCAAAACAAACAAACAAACAAACAAACAAACCAATAACAAAAACCTCTAATGAACTTGGGCCAGACCATTTCCTGCCCTTCCCACAGGCTGACAGAACTTTTAGCCTGTCTAATAGTGAGGCTGGACCAGGACAGTAGAGAGTCCTCACTGGTCCCCATCACTGGACTAGCAAGCATGAGTAACAAGGAACAGGAGACCACTGCTGGACAAGGGGCAAGCATGCATCAAGAAACATCCCTCCAAGGTACAGGTCCACTGGGAATTCTGAAAGCTGCAAGTAAAGCAGGAACATTTTAAGAAAACAAAACAAAAAACCTCTGGAAACCCAGCCTCTACTCTAAGCACAATGCTTTGAAGTTGGAGGTACACTGAAAGCAACCACAAAAACAAAAACAAAAAAATCCCAAACCCACACCACATCCTAATAAACTGACTCAACTCCACTTTTCTTCTGGACATGTACACAACTCTTCTCCTAAGCCTTAAAATTCCAGAGGAAGGAAGTAGATTTTAATTTTTCTTTTTAAAAATTTTTTTTATTATACTTTAAGTTCTGGGATACATGTGCAGAACGTGCAGGTTTGTTACATAGGTATACACATGCCATGATGGTTTGCTGCACCCATCAACCCGTCATCTATATTAGGTATTTGAAGTAGATATTTTTTAAAGAAGAAATATTTAAAGAGAAATTAGCCAAGAATCTTCAGAAAATAATGAAAGATACAAACTACAGATCCAAGAAGCTCAGAGAGATGATTGGGCATAGTGGCTCATGCCTGTAATCCCAGGTGGGAGGATCGCTTGAAACCAGGAGTTCAACACCAGTCTGGACAACACAGCAAGACCCTGTCTCTAAAATAAATAAATATATAAAAAATATACATTTAAATATATATTAAATATATATATATGTATTTTTTAAAAAAATAAACTCAGAGGTCACAATCAGGATAAATACCCCACCACCACCACTAAAAGAAATCACGCTTAGAAAGATACGTTATATTTAAACTGCTGAAAACCAAAAACAAATAGAAAATCTTAAACATGACAAGATAAAAAGAAACATTACACACAGATAAACAAGATAAGAATTACAGCAGACATATTCAGAAATTATATAATCCAGAAGACAATGGTGTGAGATCTTTAAAGGAATAAAAGAAAAAAAATTGCTATCAACCCAGAATTCTACACCAAGTGAAATAATCTTTTAAACTGAAGGGGAAAAAATCTTTTAAAAAACAGCAGTTTTAGGTTCACAGCAAAATTAAGCAGGAAGTACAGACTCCTCATCTATCCATGCCCCTACACATGCATAAACATCCCCACTATTGATGTACTGCGTCACAGTGGTACATGTGTTAGATCAATGAACCTACATTGTCACATAATTATCACCCCAGGTCCACAGTTTATATTAGGGTTCACTCTTGGTGGCGTACATTCTGTGGGTTTTGACAAACGTATAATGGGGGTGGGCATGGTGGCTCATGCCTGTAATCCTACCACTTTGGGAGGCCAAGGTGGGCGGATCACTTGAGGTCAAGAGTTCAAGACCAGCATGGCCAACATGGTGAAACCTTGTCTCTACTAAAAATGAAAAAATTAGCCAGGCATGGTGGCACGTGCCTGTAATCCCAGCTACTTGAGAGGTTGAGGCATGAGAATCACTTGAAGCTGGCCTTCTCAGATGAGCTTCTTTCACTTAGCAATATGCATTTAAGGTTCCTCCATGTCTTTTTATAGCTTGATAGTGCATTTCCTTTTAGCACTGAACAATATTTCATTGCCTGGATGTATCAGTTTATTTACCCATCCATCCTTCCAAACCTGGAAGCAAGACATCTTGGTTGCTTCCAGGTTTTCGCAACTATGAAGAAAGCTGCTATAAACAGCTGTATGCAGCTGTTCTGGGTGAACATAAGTTTTTAACTTATTTGGGTAAATTCTAAGGAGTGCAAGGGCTGGATCATGTGCTAAGAGCATGTTTAGTTTGGTAAGAGACAGCCAAACTGCCTTCCAGAGTGACTGTGAAGTGTTTACTGATATAGTTTGATCTGCCATATCTGTTACTATTTTCTATTTGTTGCCTTTGTTCTTTGTTCCTATTTCTGTCTTCCACTCTTTTTCTGCCTTCCGTGGTTTTAATTGAGCATTTTATATGATTCCATTTTCTCTCTTTTCTTAGCATACCAATTATACTTCTTTTTCTTACTTTTTAAAGTGGTTGCCCTAGAGTTTGAAATATGCATTTATAACTAACCCCAATCCATTTTCAAATAATACTATACCACTTCCCATACAGTGCAAGTACCTAATAACCAAGTATTTCTAATTCTCCCTCCCATCCCTTGCATCACTGCTGTCATTCATTTCACTTATTCATAAGCACACATAAATGTGTATATTTATATACACACACAAAATTGAATGCATTGTTAATATTGTTAAACAAACTGTTATCAGTTACATCAATTAAGAATAAGAAAAATGTGTTTATTTTATATTTACTTACTCCTTCTCTGATGCTTTCTTTATATAGATCTGAGATTCTGACCTATATCATTTTCCTTCTCCCTGAACAACTTCTTTTAAACATTTCTTACAAGGAAGATCTACTGGCAACAATTTCATTCAGTTTTTGTTTATCTGAGAAAGTCTTTATCTCATCTTCACTTTTGAAGGATAATTTTGCAGGGACAGAATTGTAGGTTGGTGGGGTTTTTTTTTTTTCTCTCAATGCTTTGATTTTTCACTCCAATTTTTTCTTGCTTGCATGATTTCTCAGGAGGAGAAATATTTCTTATCTTTGCTCCTTTATAGATAAGATTCCCCCCTCCACCCCCGGCTTTCTTTCAAGATTTTTTTTCTTTATCTGAAAATTTCTGCAGTTTTAATACGATATGCCTAGGTATAGTTTTTCATTTTTGGGGCTTTTTAAAATTTTATCCTATTTGGTGTTCTCTGATTCTTAGATCTGTGGTTTGATGTCTGACATTAATTTGAGGAAAATTATTTCCTTACTGCTTCAAATATTGCTTCTGTTCCTTTCTCAGTTTCTTCTCCAATACTATCATTATATGTACTTACATTTTTGTGGTTGTCTTACAGTTCTTGGATATTCTGTTTTTTAAAGTTTTATTTCCTCTTTGCCTTTCATTTTGGGAAATTTCTATTGACATATCTTAAGTCTCACTGTTTCTTTCCTCATCTGTGTCCAGTATACTGATGAGCTTAACCAAAGGTATTCTTAATTTCAGTTACTATGTTTTTATTTCCAGCATCTTCATTTGATTTAAATCTTTCTTAGAGTTTGCATTTCTCTGCTTACATTACTCATCTGTTCTTGCATGTTACCTACTTTTTCTATTAGTGCCCTTGGCATATTAATCATAGTTGTTTAAAATTCCCAGTCTGATAATTCTCACATCCTTGCCACATATGGGTCTGATTCTGATGGTTGCTCTGTCTCTTCCAATTGTGTTTTTTGCCTTTTAATATGCCTTGTAGTATACTGCTGAAAGGTGTACGGGGTAAAAGGAATTGTGGTAAAAAGACTTTTAGGTTGTGTGTTTATTTGTTTGTTTTTGAGACAGAGTCGCACTTTGTTGCCCAGGCTGGAGTGCAGTGGCGTGATCTCAGCTCACTGCAACCTCTGCCTCCCGGGTTCAAGTGGTTCTCCTGCCTCAGCCTCCCAAGTAGCTGGGATTACAGGTGTGTGCCACCAAGCCCAGCTATTTTTTGTAATTTTAGTAGAGATGGGGTTTCACCATATTGGCCAGGATGGTCTTGAACTCCTGGCCTCAAGTGATTCTCCCGCCTTGGCCTCCCAAAGTGCTGGGATTATAGGCGTGAGACGCCGCGCCTGGCTACATAGGCTTTTAGTAATGTAGTGGTAAGATATGGAGGGCAGGGAAGTGTTCCATAGTCCTATGATTAGATCTCAGTCTTCTGGTGAGCCTGTGTTGCTAGACAATGAACTTCACCAGTCGTTTTCAGCTTTTTATCCCCCCTTTAAATGGGAAAGGATAGCCAGAGGGGGCTGGAGTTATTTCCCTTGCCCCAGATGGGTCGAGCTCTTACAAAACTTCAGCAGGTTAGGCTCAGGTCTGGTCAAGAACAGAATGCTCTTGACATATTACAAAAACGTTCCTTTTTCCTCCCCCTGCTGGAAGCATAAGGAGATTTTTCTCCAATCTTCACATAAAACTTACAGAAGTGTGAGGGATACCTGATGACTGGGATCCCCTGGGGTTTTTATTACTCAGGCTTGTCCACACTGAGCCTCCACAATTTGTCAACTATAGTTCAGGTTTTTCTATCCCGGTACTTCTTCTCATGGAGGTGAGTTTCCGCTCTGGTAAGTTGTGATTTTCTGTATCTGCCTGTTTTTCTCCCCAATTCTGGGGGCAGAAGTTTACCTTGTGACCTCACCTCTCTTATAGATCTAAGAAGAGTTGTTAATTCTTCAGCTTGTTCAGTTTTTATTTGTTGTTAGGATGGAGTGGCAACTTTTTAAAACTCCTAACATGCTGGACTGGAAACTCAAATTCCTAAATATCTTTTCAGACAAATAAAAGCTGAGATAATTCATTATCCACAGACCTGCCCTACAAGAACTTGAATCTACACAAAGTAATAAAGATGTCTGGGAATGGATAAATGAAGATAAACATAAAATACTTTTTCTTATTTTTAATTATCTAAAACATAATTGTCTAAAGCAAAAAATAGTAGCAGTGTGTTGGAATACAGCATATAATAAAGTGCATGAAAACTATAGCACAAAATTGGGAGGAAAAAATTAGGAGTATCATAAGGTTCTTAAACCTTATATATATTATACGTACTATTTGAAGGCTGACTGTGATTAATTAAAGGTGCATACTGTAAACTTAAGGACAACCACTAAAATTTTCTTAAAAGAGGTTATAAATAAGCCAATAAAGGAAGGAAAAAAACAGCATAAAAAATAGTCCAACAATGATAGACTGGATTAAGAAAATGTGGCACATATACACCATGGAATGCTATGCAGCCATAAAAAATGATGAGTTCATGTCCTTTGTAGGGACATGGATGAAGCTGGAAACCATCATTCTCAGCAAACTATCACAAGGACAAAAAATCCAAACACCGCATGTTCTCACTCGTAGGTGGGAATTGAACAATGAGAACGCATGGACAGAGGAAGGGGAACATCACACACCAGGGCCTGTTGTCGGGTAGGGGGAGAGGGGAGGGATAGCATTAGGAGATATACCTAATGTAAATGACGAGTTAATGGGGGCAGCACACCAACATGGCACATGTATACATATGTAACAAACCTGCACATTGTGCACATGTACCCTAAAACTTAAAGTATAATAAAAGAAAATAGCCAATTCAAAAGCAGGCAGAAAAGGGGAAAAAAAGAACAAAAAACAGATGGAACAAATAAAAAATAGCAAGAAAAATGACAGATTTTAGTCCAACTATATCAATAACTATATTAAGTATAAATGATCTAAACATACAATATTAAAAGAGATTGTCCAATTGGATGAAAAAGCAAGGCATGATTATATGCTTTCTATAAGGAGCTCACTCTAAACATAAAGGCAAAGATGGGTTAAAAGTAAAATATGTCAAGAGAATAAAAAGAAAAGCCACAGACTGGGAGAAAATATTTGCAAAACACGTATCTGATAAAGGACTGTTATTAAAAATATATAAAGAACTCTCAAAACTCAACAATAAGAAAATAAATAACCCAACTTTAAAAATCGGCAAAAATATCTAAACAAACACACCTCATCAAAGATGATATACAAATGGCAAGTAAGTATATGAAAAGATGCTAAATATTGGCCAGGCGTGGTGGCTCACACCTGTAATCCCAGCAGTTTGGGAGGCTGAGGCAGGCAGATCACGAGGTCAGGAGTTGGAGACCAGTCTGGTCAACATGGTGAAACCCCTTCTCTACTAAAAATACAAAAATTAGCCATGCATGGTGGCAGGCGCCTGTAATCCCAGCTGCTTGGGAGGCTGAGGCAGGAGAATTGCTTGAACTCGAGAGGCAGAGGTTGCAATGGGCTGAGACCGCACCACTGCACTCCAGCCTGGGCAACAGAGCCAGACTCCATCTCGGGGGGAAAAAAACGCTAAATATTATATGTCATTAGGGAATTGCAAATTAAAACACCAATGAGATATCACTATGCATCTGTCAGAATGATGAAAATCCAAAACACAGGCAACACCAAATATTGGTGAGGACATATAGCTATAGAAACTCTTATACACTGTTGGTAGGAATGCAAAATGCTATAGCCATTTTGGAAGAGAGTTCAGCAGTTTCTTACAAAGCTAAACATAGTCTTACTATACAATCCAGCGATCATGCTGCTTGGTATTTACCCAAATCAGTTGAAAATCCAAGTACACCCAAACACCTGCATACAAACGTTCACAGTAGCTTTATTCATAATTGCCAAAACCTGGATACAACCAAGACATCCTCCAATAGATGAATGGATAAACAAACTGATACAGCCATACAATAAAATATTATTTGGCAATATAAGGAAATGAGCTATCAAGCCACAAAAAGACAGGGGGAAACCTTAAATGCATGTTGCTAAGTGAAAGAAACCAATCTGAGAAGGCTAAATAATGTATGACTCAAATTACATCACATTCTGGAAAAGGCAAAACTATACAGATGGTAGAAAGACCAGTGGTTGCCAAGAGTTTGCGGGCAGAGGGAATGATGAATAAGTGGAGCACAGAACATTTTTTTGGCAATGAAATTATGCTGTATAAAACTGTAACGGTGGACACATGTCATACAATTGTCAAAATCTACAGAACTGTACAACACAAAGAGAGAACTCTAATGTGAATTGTGGACTTTAGTTAATAATAATGTATCAGGCTGGGTGCTGTGGCTCATGCCTGTAATCCCCGCACTTTGAGACCATCCTGGCCAACATGGTGAAACCCCGTCTCTACTAAAAATGAAAAAATTAGCCGGGCATGGTGGTGCATGCCTGTAGATCCAGCTACTCGGGAGGCTGAGGCAGAAGAATAGCTTGAACTCAGGAGGCGGAGGTTTCAGTGAGCCGAGATTGAGATCATGCCACTGCACTCCAGCCTGGGTGACAGAGGGAGAGACTCTGCCTCAAAATAATAATAATAATAATGTATCCATATTTGTGCATCACTTGTAATGAACACACCACGTGAAAGCAAGAAGTTAATAATAGGAGAAACTATATGGGGGTAGGGGATTATAGAAGCACTGTACTTTATGCTAAGTTTTTTGTAAACCTAAAACTTCTTTTAAAAATGAAGTGCATTAATTTAATAAAAATAAAATGATGGAAAATGATATATTGTTGAAACATAAATCAAAAGAAAGCTAGAACAGCTATATTAGTATCAAAAAAGGAGACTTCAGAACAAGAAATATTTTATATATATATATAAATTTATATATATATATAAAATATTTCTTGTCCCTGTTTTCATATATATGAAAACAGGGACATTATAGGATGATAAAGTGGTAAATTAACCAAGAATACATAACAATCCTAATTATGTACTTACCTAACCAAGAGTTTCAAAATACATGAAGCAAAAATGATAGACCTGAATAGAAACATACAAACCCACAATTACAGTTACACCTCAACAGTCCTCAATAAATGATAGAAAAAATAGAGAAAAAATAAATAAGGATACAGAAGACCTGAACAACACTATCAACCAACTTTACCTAGTTGACATTTAAAGAGCATTCAACTAAACAACAGCAGAATACACATTCTTTTCAAGTGCACATGAAACATTCATCAAGCTAAATCATATTCTTGGTCATAAAACAATCCTCAACAAATTTAAAATAACTGAAAGCACACAAAGTATGTTATCTGACCACAACAGAATAAAATTAGAATAACAGAAATATCTGGAAAATCCCCAAATATTTGTGAAATAAGCAACATGCTTCTAAATAACTCATGAGTCAAAGTGGAAGTCATAAAGGAAATTAGAAAACATTCTGAGTTGCATTTACATGTAGGGACAACATATCATACTTGTGTGATGACCTTGGCCAAGTGATCAAAGTTTACTTCATCAGTCACGTTCCCCTAAAATTATGCAACATGAAGGGTACATTCTTCCCTCAAATTGATAACTTTGGTGTAATCATAAGAAAACATCAGAAAAATCTAAGTTGGTGGCCCTTCTATAAAACATATGACTCTTAATAACCATCAAGGTCTTTAAAAATAAGGAAAGAATAAATGAAAGAGACATGATGACTAGATGCACTGTGGTATTTTGGGTTGGATCCTAGAACAAAAAAAGGACATTAGTAGAAAAGTTGGTTAAATCTGAATAAAGTCTGGATCTTAAGGTAATAGTAATATATCAATGTTAATTTTTCAGTTTTGAAAAATGTACCATGGTTATGTAAGTTATTAACATTAGAGGAAATGATGAAATATATGAGAGAACTCTATATTCTATTTAAAACTATTACATAAATCTAAAATTTATCCCAATATAAGAATTTTTTTTTCAAATTTTGGCACAATATAGTCAAAACAATGCTTACAAGAAAATGTAGATTATTAAATGTTTTTATGAAAAGTTTCCAGTCAATAACCTAACCTGCTACTCTAAGAGCCTAGAAAAAGAACAACAAATTAAACGCAAAGCAAGTAGAAGGAAAAAATTTATGTAGAAGGGCAGAAATCAATGAAATATGACAAAGAGACACAATAGAGAAAATCTGTGAAACCAAAGGTTAACTCCTTGAAAGGTGAAAGACCTCTACAAGGAAAACTATAAAACACTGCTGAAAGAAATCATAGATGGCACAAACAAATGGAAACAGATCCCATGCTCATGGATGGGTAGAATCAACATTGTGAAAATGACCATACCACCAAAAGCAATCTACAAAGTCAATGCAATTCCCATTAAAATACCATCATCATTCTTCACAGAACTAGAAAAAACAATCCTAAAATTCATATGAAACCAAAAAAGAGCCTCCACAGCCAAAGCAAGACTAAGCAAAAAGAACAATCTGGAGGCATCACATTATCTGACTTCAAACTATACTATAAGGCCATAATCACCAAAACAGCTTGGTATTTAGTATAAAAACAGGCACATAGACCAATGGAACAGATTGCAGAATCCAGAAATAAAGACAAATACTTACAGCCAACTGATCTTCGACAAAGCAAACAAAAATATAAGGTGGAGAAAGGACACCCTATTCAACAAATGGTGCTGAGATAACTGACAAGCCACATGTAGAAGAATGAAACCAGATCCTCATCTCTCACCTTATACAAAAATCAACAAGATGGATCAAAGGCTTAAATCCAAGACCTGAAACCATAAAGATTCTAGATGATAACATTGAAAAAATCCTTCTAGACACTGACTAGAAGGCAAAAACTTCATGACCAAGAACCCAAAAGCAAACAAACAAACAAAAAAAAAGATAAACAGATGGGACTTAACTAAAAAGCTTCTCCACTGCAAAAGAAATAATCAGCAGAGTTAACAGACAACCCACAGAGTGGGAGAAAATCTTCACAATCTACACATCCAACAAAGGACTAATATCCAGAATCTACAAGGAACTCAAACAAATTAGCAAGAACAAAACAATCCCATCAGAAAGTGGACTAAGGACATGAATAGACAATTCTCAAAAGAAGGTACAGAAATGGCCAACAGACATATTAAAAAAAATGCTCAACATCACTAATGATCAAGGAAATGCAAATCAAAACCACCATATGATACCACCTCACTCCTGAAAGAATGGCCATAATCAAAATATCAAAAAATAATAGATGTTGGTGTGGATGCAGTGAAAACGGAGCACTTTTACACTGTTGGTGGGAATGTAAACTAGTACAACCACTATAGAAAACAATGTGGAGATTCCTTAAAGAACTAAGTACAACCACTATGGAAAACAGTGTGGAGATTCCTTAAAGAACTAAACGTAGATCTACCATTTGATCCAGAAATCCCACTCTTGGGTATCCACCCAGAGGAAAAGAAGTCATTATACAAAAAAGATACTTGCACATGCATATTTATAGTAGCACAAGACATATGAAAATAAATCATATGATGGAATACTACTCAGGCATAAAAAATGAACACAATAATGGCATTCTCAGCAACCTGGATGGAATTGGAGACCATTATTCTAAGTGAAGTAAATCAGGAATAGAAAACCAAACATCGTATGTTCTAACTCATAAGTAGGAGCTAAGCTATAAGGATGCAAAGCAAAAGAATGATATAATACAATGAACTTTGGGGATTCGGGGGTAAGTGAGAAGGGATGAGGAATAAAAGGCTACACATTGGATACAGTGTACACTGCTTGGGTGACAAGTGCACCAAAATCTCAAAAATCACCACTAAAGAACTTACTCATTTAACCAAACACCACCTGTTCCCCAAAAACCTATTGAAAATTTTTTTAAAAGTTAACTCCTTGAAAAGATCAATTAAAGAAGCTTCTAGTCAAACTGATATTGAAAAAAAGAAGAAACAAATTGCTTATATCAGGAATCAAAGAAGGACTATCACAGATTTCTCTGACATTAATATATTTAACAACTTGGATGAAACAAACACATTCCTTGAAAGACACAAACTACCAAAAGCTCATTCAAGAAGAAATAATATGAACGATCCCATGCTTATTAAAGTATATTCCAACAAAGAAAATTCCAGCACAAATGGGTCCATTTAGTGAATTCTACCAAGTAAGTAAGAAATACTAGCAATTCTATATAAACTATTCTGGAAACTAGAAGAGAATGGAATAGTTCCCAACTCATGAGGTGAGCATTGCCCTGATAACAAAACCAGAGAAAGACAATATAGAAAAAGAAAATTAAAGAGCAATATACCTCATGTACATAGATTTTAAAATCTGCAAGAAAAACATTAGTAAGTTGAATCCATCAATACATCAGACAGATAAGACATCATGATCGAATAAAGTTTTTAATCCCAAGAATGCAAGGTAGAAGCTACAGTAAGTGATCCAGAAGACCTAGCTAAGATCCCTGATGAAGGTGGCTATACTAAACAACAGATTTTCAATGCAGATGAAACACTCTTCCATTGGAAGAAGGTGCCATCTAGGACTTTCATAGCTAGAGAGATGTCAATGCCTGGCTTCAACGGACAGGCTCTCTTGTTATTGTGATATTCACTTTATTATGGTGGTCGAGAACTGAACCTGCAATAGCTCTGAGGTATGCCTATATTTCTGTGTGAAGTATGGCAGTTAGAAATGAGGCATTTTGGCCCCTGTTGAGATGTTCTAAATAAAATGTTTTATAAAGTATGACAGTAGAAGTGATACAAGTTTTTTCAAATAAGCTTGCCTCTTCCATCCCTTGACTATTTCCAAAGAAGGCACTGCTCTCAAGGGATGATCTAGTAAGGGCTAAATGAGTATTGATAAAAAAAATACTTAACATAAAAAATAGTAGATTTATGTATTTAAATATTTAAATATAGGCAATTTTTCAGCTATTTCATTTAAACATAGGCAATATATTTATTTTATTCAAATAAAAGGCAATTCTTTAAATATAGGTGATTCTTTTAGTATTTAAATACAGGCAATTCTTTTAATATTTAAATACAGGCAATTCTTTTCAGCTATTTTAACATTCATGCATAGCATATGTCATTTGCTGAAAAGAAAAGCAAATTCAAACAGCTGAAAAAGTTCTGGTTAGTGACACTGATTATTTGAAATGTAACAAGGTGTCATAGAAAAAGACATCCTTCTAAAAGCAATTTTAACTACATAAATTTCTGAAAACCACCAACAAAGAAAAAAAGTACCCATTATTTATGCCTACGTTGTAACTGGGAAACACAGAATAGTACAAATTTCTGTTTTCTTAGAAGTGAATAAATAAATATTAAATGTCAGCAGAGTACTCCAGTGACAACTATGCAAAGAACCAGTCTGGGACTGCAGAAAGAGTAAATGATGCAGTGTGCTTTTAATGTGGTGTAACATATATATCATCTAAGGTCCTGCTTTCAGAGGAAAAGGGCTCCACCCTGAGTGGAAAAGTACAGAGAGAACATCTGAGACTTAGTGCATCAGAGGACTGGCTTATGGATATTTTAAACACAAGAGCTTGTAAAGCACACAGAGATAGTATAAGGAAGGCACTGTTCCTGGGGTGAAAGAGGAACCATGAAAAGTGAACTGTCCTTTGGAGGTGTGGTGGTGAAGAGAATGAAGTGGCTGAGAGTAAGAGCCCTATTAAAATTATACATTAAGAAACAATTTGAAGAAGACATACCATAAAAGTACCTTTAATTGAAAAAACTGCATTTCACTATAGAAATAAAAGAAACAGTTGACTCAAGATCACTGGTTCAGGAAAATCCAACACAAATAAACATAGGAACAACAAAAATAAAATTAAACCCAACATCCACATAAGTTACTATAAATAGAAAAACATAAAATATAATCAAAATTTTTCAGGAGTTGAAAACACAACAAAACAATCCTGACCTATCCAAAAAAAAAAGAGAAAAACTATAACAAAATACAGTAAGATTAATTAAATATAATTAAGCAAACAACTGTAGATATGAAAGAATGCCAAAAATCAGAAATATAAAAACTCGGAATGGATATGGACAACAAAAGATGTAAAATAGAAACTGATCAAACTCAAGAAAGTTATTGAAGAAAATGATAAAATAATTGTAGAAACAAATACTAAATTATAATGTGCCTAAGAAAGAAAGAGATATGACCAAAACTGTACTAAACAATACAGAGGAAGATGAGAAAAGTCAAGAAAATGAAGCAAAAATGAACACAGAGGTAAACAGGGCCAGAAATAGTGATAAATATAAAAGAATCGCAAAGAAGAGCAACATAGGTATAATTGGAATCCTTGAAAGAAGAAAAATCAAAGAATGGAGTTAACCTAGAATGGCCAATTCCAAGATATATCCTAGTAAAACAGGAAAATATAAAATAATAAATACAGAAAATTAACCTGGAATAATACATCAAATTGAAACCAAATATATCAATCATAAGAATAAAAAATTACTATGAGTAAATTATTTTTATTAAAAATAAAAGATGTGAAAAATATGGTTGAATATTTTTCTATCACAGTGACCCACACACAGATAACAACTATAAACTCTGGATAAAATACAAAATACAATTAGTAGAAGTCAATGGAGAGTAAACAAAAGCAGGCAGATAATGGGTGGAAGTTGACCCTTGAATGAAGAGAACAGTACAGGGTGATTTCCTGTTTTTAAAATGACTATTAGCCTCAGGACATACCATAGTTGATGGCATATACAGCTGCTAAAATTTTGATAGAAAACCCAGTTTTCTTAACCTAAAATATCAGATTACAGAGTCTGGAGCAAGCACAAATTCTGAAAAGTAAAAAGGAAATCCCAGTAAAAAGAGGGGCATGGAGACACTCCATCTGTGTGTAAACTCTGCCCAAATCTCCGGCAGACTGCTAAACAACACATATGTAGGTTATACTGCAAGTAGCCCAGCCAGGAATAAAAGAAATATACTGCACAAAAAACAGTTTGCAGTTTGTGTCCAACCAAGTTAATTGCTTGGTAATTAACAACAACAACATTCTTCCGGCCAGGCATGGTGGCTCATGTCTGTAATTCCACCACTTTGGGAAGCCAAGGTGGGTGGATCACTTGAGGTCAGGAGTTCAAGACAACATTCTTCAAAGGAATATAACAGAATCTGGAGTTCCCTCAGTAGCAACCAGGATACAATAGAAAGTTGCTTGACATGTGAAGGACCAGAAACATGTGACCTATTTCCAAGAGAAAAGACACAGAGATCAACCCAAAGATGAAACAGATGTTGGAATTCACAGACAAGGATTTCAGAGTGGTTAATTAGAGCCACGTTCAATGACGTAAAGAAAAATAATACTCATAGTTAGTGAAAAGAAGACAAGTTTCAGAAAAGAACAAGAAACAACAATAAAGAATTAACTAAAAATTATAGAACTGAAAAATACAGTATCTGAATTTAAAACTTTAATAGATGGGGTTAACATGAAAATAGAGATGACAGAGGGAAGAATCATTGAGATTAGCAGTAGACAATGGATATTATATAATCTGAAGAAGAGAGAAGAGAGAAACAAATTAACAGAGCCTCAGGGAACTATCAGACAACAATGAAAGGTCTTACATATGTGTAAGAGGAATCCCAGAAAAAGAAAAACAAGAATGTGGTAGAAAAACTAACTAGAGAAAGAATGACCAAAATTTTCACAAATTTGGTAAAAGACATAAACATTACAGATTCAAGAAGCTAAACAAACCCAGCATGGTACTAGCATAAAAATAGAACAGCAACAAGAACCTAGAAATAAATTCATATATTTACAGCCAACTGATTTTCAACAAAGATGCCAAAACAGTACTGGGGAAGGAATAGCCTCTTAAATAAATGGTACTGGGAAAACAGAATATCCACATGCAGAATAACGAAACTAGACCCCTCTCTTTCACCACATGCAAAGATCAACTCAAAATGAATGAACTACTTTAATGTAAGACCCCAAATTATGAAACTACGAGAAGAAAATATTGGGGAAACACTTCTAGACATTTGGTCTGGGCAAAGTTTTTTTTGTTTTGTTTTGTTTTTTTCACCAAGACTTACTTTTATTTATATTTTTATTCTTTTTTTATTATACTTTAAGTTCTAGGGTACATGTGCACAACGTGCAGGTTTGTTACATAGGTATACATGTGCCATGTTTGTTTGCTGCACCCATCAACTCATCATTTACATTAGGTATTTCTCCTACTAATGCTATCCCTCCCCCAGCCCCCCACCCCATGATAGGCCCCAGAGTGTGATGTTCCTCTCCCTGTGTCTATGTGTTCTCATTGTTCAACTCCCACCTATGAGTGAGAACATGCAGTGTTTGATTTTCTGTCCTTGCGATAGTTTGCTGAGAATGATGGTTTCCAGCTTCATCCATGTCCCTACAAAGGACATGAACTCATCCCTTTTTTATGGCTGCATAGTATTCCATGGTGTATATGTGCCACATTTTCTTAATCCAGTCTATCATTGATGGACATTTGGGTTAGTTCCAAGTCTTTGCTATTGTGAATAGCGCCGCAATAAACATATGTGTGCATGTGTCTTTATAGTAGCATGATTTATAGTCCTTTGGGTATATACCCAAGTAATGGGATGGCTGGGTCAAATGGTATTTCTTCTAGATCCTTGAGGAATCGCCACACTCTCTTCCACAATGGTTGGACTAATATACACTCCCACCAACAGTGTAAAAGCGTTCCTATTTCTCCACATCCTCTCCAGCATCTGTTGTTTCCTGACATTTTAATGATTGCCATTCTAACTGGCGTGAGATGGTATCTCACTGTGATTTTGATTTGTATTTCTCTGATGACCAGTGATGATGAGTATTTTTTCATATGTCTGTTGGCTGCATAAATGTCTTCTTTTGAGAAGTGTCTGTTCATATCCTTTGGGCAAAGATTTTTATGGCAAGGATCTCTTTTGTGCACAGGCAACAAAAGCAAAAATAAACAAATGAGATTATATCAAACAAAAAAACCTTCTCCACAGCAAAGGAAACAATCAACAGAGTGAAGAGACAACCTGCAGAATGGGAGGAAATATTTGCAAACTATTCATCTGACAAGGAATTGATAGCCAGAATATGCAAAGAACTCAAACAACTCAATAGCAAAAAATAATAATAATCCGATTAAAAAATAAGCAAATAAGCTGAACAGACATCTTAAAAGAAGACATAGAAATGGCCAACAGGTATATGAAAAAATGCTCAACATCACTAATCATCAGGCAAATGCAAACCAAAACCACAATAAGATATTTTCTCACACCTATTTTTAAAAAGACAAAAAATAACAAATGCTGGCAAGGCTGTGGAGAAAAGTGAACTCTTATACACTGTTGGTAGGAATGTAAATTAATAAAGCCATTATAGAAAACATTATGGAGGTTCTCAAAAAAACTAAAATAGAACTACTTTATGATCCAGCAATCCTACCGCTAGGTACATATCCAAAGGGAAGGAAATTAGTATGTCAAAGAAATATCTGCAATCCCATGTTTATTGTAGCACTCTTCACAATAGCCAAGGTATGGAATCAACGTAAGTGTCCATTAACATGAATGGATAAAGAGAATCTGGTATATATATATGAAATATTATTTAACCACAAAAAGAATGAAATTCTCTCATTTACAGCAACATGGATGAGCCTGGAGGACATTATGTTAAGGGAAATTAAGCCAGGCAGAGAAAGATAAATAGCACATGGTCTCACTTACATATTGAAGCTAAAAAAAATTGATTTCATAGAAGAGAATAGAATAGTGGTTACTAGAGGCAGGGAAGTATAAGAGAAAGGGTGGGATAGCCAAAGGTTGGTTAATAGATACAAATGTAAAAGCTAGATAGGAGGAATAAGCTCTAGTGTTCTATAGCACTGTAGGGTAAATATAATTAACAATTAATTTTTTATTTTCACATATCTAGAAGAGAAGATTTTGAATGTTCACACACACACAGATAAATGTTTGAGGTGATAGATATGCTAATTACCGTGATTTAATCATTACACATTGTATATACATATCAAAATATCACACTGTACCCCATAAATATATACAATTATGTCAATTAAAAAGAAAAAGGCAACAAACCCTAAAAAGCCATATGCAATCTTTAAAACTAAGATAAAATGTTGAAAATTAATAAAATTTAAAGAGATTTTTAAAATTCTCATCTGAGGTACCAAATAATACATAATGATATTTATTTCTTCTGGAGGACCAGGTCATTAAAAAATAAATCTGCTTGCAACTCTGCTACCAGCTTTTTCCTTAAGTTTCTCTAAAATAATGACAGCAAGGTAGGTCTCAGGAAGTGGCAGAGGGAAAATGTGGTGAGAACCAACTGAGAAACTTACTTTGGGCTTCACAATCTCCTTCATCCTTTTGATTTCCTCCTCAGACATGACATTATAATACCTGATGATGTCCCACTCATCATCCTCTTCCAAGTGAGTGATGAGAAGCTGTGGAGCCCTCTTGCCATGGTAGTACCTACAGAAAAGCCTCTGCTGCTTCTGTGGTGCCTGGGGAGCACAGAGCAACAGGCTCTCGCTTAAGTACCAGTCTCCTCTGGCTGTAGGCACTAGCCCCACTCCTTATGCCCACCTCCTTCACCCCTCAGAACTGAAACAAAAGTCCTTTTCTTGGTTGGCACAAATGACAAACATAAACCATTCAACAGCTTCTTATCTCTCAGGAACATTCCTCCTCACATCTGCAAGCTCTATGAGGGAAGCCACCCTTACACAGGACTTGTACAACGGTAACAATTCAATTTCTATGGGGCTGGAAAGAAACAGCGTTTCTCTTCCAGTCATCTTTCTATCATGTCCAAGGTAACTGGCTCACTCCCCTGATTGAACCTTACAGTGCTTTCTATTCTGTACATCCTTGCTACTCCCAGTGTAGCAGGGAGATTGTTAGAAATACAGACTCTCAGGCTGTACTCTAACTTACTGAATCAAGATCTGTACTTTTCCAAGATTTTCAGGTGATTCCTATGCACAATTAAGTTTGAGAACTGCCTAACAAAGCAAAATCCAAGTTCTATGTCATGATCCACCTGACCCTCCATAATACAAGCCTGCATATATTAACATCTTGAACACCATAGTTTCCTTTTTCAAATTTTATGTTCTTCTAATAGAAAAAATTATTGCTGTTCTCAAAATACAGTGTAATTTTTTTACTGTATATTTGCACATGAAACAGCATCAGCCTAAAACTTCTCTTACTACCACTGTCTACATGAAATTCTAATTCAAGAGTCCTTTCCTTGTGAACTCTCAATCCTCTCTGTCCTAAAGCAGAGTTAATTGCGTCTTCTGTGTTGCCACCAGACTTTGCACATACCACTACCATATTAAAATCACTGATTTACATTTTAAATTTTCCTTTAATAGACTACACTCTACCAAAGAAGGGGCATATATTAATTCATTTTTCCACATGTATCACTAGTACTGAACCAGAAACAAGTGAGTACAAAACATTAATGCTAATCATGCCAAAATACAGGAAAAAGGAACTTTCCAAAGGCAATAAACTAACAAACTATTAAGAAAATGTCCCATGAATTAATCAAAGTGAGTGCAATAATTCAGATATGATGAAAGACTGAGAAAATACTTAATTTTTTTCTATAGCCATTTAATAAAAAATTATCAAAAAGTAATATAAATAATGGTCTTAATGCCTAGCACCTAATTAGCCATCAATAAAAATAAGTGTTCAATATAACTGTAACACTGAGAGAGACCCAGAGGTGCATTTAAGGGCCAGGTTTGAGGACTGGAATACTTTCTCAACCAAATCTGGCCCTTCAAAGCCAAGGTCCCAAGCATTCATATTATCAGGGGATCTGAAGGTCTCTCAAGGACCCTAAGCAGCCCTTTCAACCCCATCCACCTCCTTTCCCATTTTTACAGGTGTCTTTGTCTAGCCGGGCTGCTCTAACAAAATACCTTTGACTGAGTGACTTATAAACAAGAGAAATTTATTTTTCACAGTTTTGGAGGCTCGAAGTCCAAGATGAAGGCACCCAGCAGATTCACTGTCTGGTAAGAGCCTGCTTTCTGGTTCACATATGGAGCCTTCTAGCTGTGTTCTCACATAGTGGGAGGGGTCAGGAAGCTCTCTTGGGTCTCTTTGACAAGGGCACTAATCGCCTCCCAAAAGACCTCACCTTCTAATACTATCACCTTGCAGGTTATGATTTTGACATATGAATTCCAGGGGGACACAAACATTTAGAGCACAGCAATGAGTTTGATACCCTCTCCACAGCAGAGGCCCTCATAGACCTCCCAGTTTTCCAGACGGTCCAGAGAGTCCTCAAGGACACTACTCAATGTCTCCTTCTTGGTCTTTGATGCCTTGTATCCAAGCTTTCCTGCCCTTTCTTCCTCTAACAACTTCTTAAAGTTGGCAGATTCAACTAGGCTTGTTTGTGAGAGGAGTCTGGACATTGGAAAGAAGAGAGGGTAGGAAATGGCTAGCAATCAGGGAGGTCGCTTAGAGAAGCTCTACAAATCCCTTTTTCAAACTACTGTCACAAAACCGTGTAGAATTTGAACACTGTCCAGAATTAGAATCGAAAGAGAAATAAAGATTAGGGTGGAGAAAACCCATCCCACCTTTCATCACCCACTAGTCCCAAGGTCTCTAGCACAGACAGACAGACAGTTGTCCTACCTCTCACTCACAATTCACATTCATGCGATCACATCTGCTTCCTAACATGTTTTCATGACAATGTTATGTTTTACACCGCTGACCATAGTTAAAATGTACACTAGAGTCCCAGATAACTTATACCTTCCCTGATAATTTCGACAGGTATCATCATCTCATCTGCCTTCACAATACCCAAGAGAAAAGTCCAGCCAATGTTTTGGTTTCCCATTCTTCAGATAAGAAAACTGATTCCCAAAGTAATCAAGGAACTTAGGTCAAGGTCATATAGAAAAAGAGGGGCAGATCAGAATTGGAGCCTAGACGTCTAACTCCTAGTCCAAGGCTCTTACCAAATAATTGAAGGAATTTACAAAGCTTATTTTTTACAGCAGTCATGAAGGATTCTCCCATGCTAGCCAAAGTCAAAGACAGGACCCTGGCAATAGTGTCAACAGAAGAAAGATTTTCCTAACATGAGTTAGCGCAGCAAAGTCTAAGAGTGTGAAATCAGCCGGTCATGGTGGCTCACACCTGTAATCCCAGCATTTTGGGAGGCTGAGGCAGGCAGATCACCTGACATCAAGAGTTCGAGACCAGCCTAGCCATCATGGTGAAACCCTGTCCCTACTAAAAATACAAAATTAGCAGGGCATGGTGGCGGATGCTTGTAATCCCAGCTACTCAGGAGGCTGGGGCAGGAGAATCACTTGAACCCAGGAGGAGGAGGTTGCAGTGAGCCGAAATCATGCTACTGCACTCAAGCCGGGGTGACAGAGCAAGACTGTCTCAAAAAAAAAAAAAAAAAAGGAAAAGAGTGTAAAATCTTCCCAAGATTATCTAAAACAGGTTTTTATGATGGTATAACTAAAAGAAAACATATTGCAGTCAAATTAGAAGTTGCCCTTTGGTCAGCTACAGTGATTATAAAATTATAAATCCAGCATTTGAGTACATTTCCCTGAGCTCTCACAGTACTCTGAACATCCATTTTATGACTTGCCACACAATCAACTGAAGATGTCTGTTTAAATATCTAGTCTACCACCACCATCCCCAAATAGACCATAAGATATTCTGGACACACGCCATAAATGTTTCACTTTTTTGCTTAGTACAGCATCCTAGTATGTAACAGATGTTAATAAGTTTACTGAATTCAATAAAAATGAGGTGACTCTGTAGTATCCCCATTTGTTGGTTGTCTACTTTATGCCAGAACATCTCCTTGGATAGAAATGGAGTGTACTACCTGTCAAGCAGTTCCTTCCACTTTTTGGCAGTTAAGATATTTATATATATATATTTTAAGTTCTGGGATACATGTGTAGAATGTGTAGGTTTGCTACATAGGTATATATGTGCCATGGTGGTTTGCTGCACCCATCAACCCATCATCTACCTTAGGTATTTCTCCTAATGCTATCCCTCCCCTAGTCCCCCACCCCTGACTGGCCCCAGTGTGAGAAGTTCCTCTCCCTGTGTCCATGTGTTCTCATTGTTCAACTCCTACTTATGAGTGAGAACATGCGGTGTTCGATTTTCTGTTCCTGTGTTAGTTTGCTGAGAATGCTGGTTTCCAGCTTCATCCATGTCCCAGCAAAGGACATGAACTAATCCTTTTTTATGGCTGCATAGTATTCCATGGTGTATATGTGCCACATTTTCTTTATCCAGTCTATCATTGATGGACATTTGATTTGGGCTGGTTCCAAGTCTTTGTTATTGTGAATAGTGCTGCAATAAAGATACATGTGCAAGTGTCTTTATAGTAGAATGATTTATAATCCTTTGGGTATATACCCAGTAATGGGATTGCTGGGTCAAATGGTAGTTCAGGTTCTAGATTTTTGAGGAATCACCACACTGTCTTCCACAATGGTTGGACTAATTTACACTCCCACCAACAGTGTAAAAGCATTCCTACTTCTCCACATCCTCTCCAGGATCTGTTGTTTCCTGACTTTTTAATGATTGCCATTCTAACTGGCATGAGATGGTATCTCGTTGTGGTTTTGATTTTCATTTCACTAATGACTAGTGATAATGAGCTTTTTTTCATATATTTGTTGGCTGCATAAAAGTCTTCCTTTGAGAAGCATCTGTTCATATCCTTTGCCCACTTTTTGATGGGGTTGTTTTTTTCTTGTAAATTTGTTTGAGTCCCTTGTAGATTCTGGATATTAGCCCTTTGTCAGATGGAAAGATTACAAAAATTTTCTCCCATTCTGTAGGTTGCCTGTTCACTCTGATGATAGTTTCTTTTGCTGTGCAGAAGCTCTTTAGTTTAATTAGATCCCATTTGACTATTTTGGCTTTTGTTGCCATTGCTTTTGGTGTTTTAGTCATGAAGTCTTTGCCCATGCCTATGTCCTGAATGGCATTGTCTAGGTTTTCTTCTAGGGTTTTTATGGTTTTAGGTCTAACATTTAAGTCTGTAATCCATCTTGAGTTAATTTTTGTATAAGGTGTAAAGAAGAGGTCCAGTTTCAGTTTTCTGCATATGGTTAGCCAGTTTTCCCAACACCATTTTTAAATAGGGAATCCTTCCCCCATTGCTTGTTTTTGTCAGGTTTGTCAAAGATCAGATGGTTGTAGATGTGTGGTGCTATTTCTGAGGCCTCTGTTCTATTCCACTGGTCTATATATCTGTTTTGGTACGACTGCCATGCTGTTTTGCTTACTGTAGCCTTATAGTATAGTTTGAAGTCAGGTACCATGATGCCTCCAGCTTTGTTCTTTTTGCTTAGGATTGTCTTGGCTATACAGGTTCTTTTTTGGTTCCATATGAAATTTAAAGTAGTTTTTTCTAATTCTGTGAAGAAAGTCAATGGTAGCTTGATGGGGATAGCACTGGATCTATAAATTATTTTGGGCAGTATGGCCATTTTCACGATATTGATTCTTCCTATTCATGAGCATGGAATGTCTTTCCATTTGTTTGTGTCCTCTCTTATTTCCTTGGGCAGTGGTTTGTAGTTCTCCTTGAAGAGGTCCTTCACATCCCTTGTAAATTTTATTCCCATGTATTTTATTCTCTTTGTGGCAATTGTGCATGGATGTTCATGCATGATTTGGCTGTTTGTGTATTATTGGTGTATAGGAATGCCTGTGATTTTTGCACATTGGTTTTGTATCCTGAGCCTTTGCCGAAGTTGCTTGTCAGCTTAAGGAGATTTTGGGCTGAGACGATGGGTTTTTTTTTTTTTTGGTTTTTGTTTTTTTTTTTTTGAGATGGAGCCTCTCTCTGTAGCCCAGGCTGGAGTGCAGTGGCACAATCTAGGCTCGCTGCAAGCTCCACCTCCTGGGTTTTCACCATTCTCCTGCATCAGCCTCCCATGTAGCTGGGACTACAGGTGCCCGCCACCACACCTGGCTAATTTTTTTTTTTTTTGTATTTTTAGTAGACACAGGGTTTCACTGTGTTAGCCAGGATGGTCTCGATCTCCTGACCTTGTGATCCACCCGCCTCAGCCTCCCAAAGTGCTGGGGTTACAGGCGTGAGCCACTGTGCCCAGCCGAGATGATGGGGTTTTCTAAATATACAATCATGTCATCTACAAAGAGAGACAATTTGACTTCCTCTTTTCCTATCTGAATACCCGTTATTTCTTTTTCTTGCCTGATTGCCCTGGCCAGAACTTCCAATACTACGTTGAATAGGAGTGGTGAGAGAGGGCATCCTTGTCTTGTGTCGGTTTTCAAAAGGAATGCTTCCAGCTTTTGCCCATTGAGTATGATATTGGCTGTGGGTTTGTCAAAAATAGCTCTTATTATTTTGAGATGTGTTCCATCAATACCTAGTTTATTGAGAGCTTTTAGCATGAAGGGGTGTTGAATTTTGTCAAAGGCCTTTTCTGCATCTATTGAGATAATCATGTGGTTTTTGTCATTGGTTCTGTTTATGTGATGGATTATGTTTATTGATTTGCATATATTGAACCAGCCTTGCATCCCAGAAATAAAGCCAACCTGATTGTGGTGGATAAGCTTTTTGCTGTGCTGCTGGATTCGGTTTGCCATTATTTTATTGAGGGTTTTCGCATCAATGTTCATCAGGGATATTGGCCTGAAATTTTCATTTTTTGTTGTGTCTCTGCCAGGTTTTGGTATCAGGATGATGCTGGCCTCATAAAATGAGTTAGGGAGGATTCCCTCCTTTTCTATTGTTTGGAATAGTCTCAGAAGGAATGGTACCAGCTCCTCTTCGTACCTCTGGTAGAATTCGGCTGTGAATCCATCTGGTCCTGGGCTTTTTTTGGTTGGCAGGCTATTAATTACTGCCTCAATTTCAGAACTTGTCATTGGTCTATTCAGAGATTCAACTTCTTCCTGGTTTAGTCTTGGGAGGGTGTATGTGTCCAGGAATTTATCCATTTCTTCTAGATTTTCTAGTTTATTTTCATAGAGGTGTTTATAGTATTCTCTGAAGGTAGTTTGTATTTCTGTGGGATCAGTGGGAATACCCCCTTTATCATTTTTTATTGTGTCTATTCAATTCTTCTCTCTTTTCTTCTTTATCAGTCTGGTTAGCAGTCTATTTTGTTAATCTTTTCAAAAAACCAGCTCCTGGATTCACTGATTTTGATTTTCTGGAGGGTTTTTTGTGCCTCTATCTCCTTCAATTCTGCTCTGATCTTAGTTATTTCTTGTCTTCTGCTAGCTTTTGAATTTGTTTGCTCTTGCTTCTCTAGTTCTTTTCATTGTGATGTTAGGGTGTCAATTTTAGATCTTTTCCACTTTCTCCTGTGGGCATTTAGTGCTATAAATTTTCCTCTAAACACTACTTTAGCTGTGTCCCAGAGATTCTGGCACATTGTGTCTTTCTTCTCATTGGTTTCAAAGAATTTATTTCTCTCTTAATTTCATTATTTACCTAGTAGTCATTCAGTAGCAGGTTGTTCAGTTTCCATGTAGTTGTGCAGTTTTGGGTGAGTTTCTTAATCCTAAGTTCTAATTTGATTGTACCGTGGTCTGAGAAACTGTTTGTTATTATTTCTGTTCTTTTGCATTTGCTGAGGAGTGTTTTACTTCCAATTATGTGGTCAATTTTAGAATAAGTGTGACGTGGTGCTGAGAAGAATGTATATTCTGTGGATTTGGGGTGGAGAGTTCCATAGATGTCTATTAGGTCCACTTTGTCCAGAGCTGAGTTCAAGTCCTGAATATGCTTGTTAATTTTCTGTCTCATTAATCTGTCTAATATTGACAGTGGGGTGTTAAAGTCTTCCCACTATTATTATGTGGGGGTCTAAGTCTCTTTGTAGGTCACTGGGAACTTGCTTTATGAGTCTAGGTGCCCTGTATTGGGTGCATAAACATTTAGGATAGTTAGCTCTTCTTGTTGCATTGATCCCTTTACCGTTATGTAATGCCCCTCTTTGTCTTTTTTGATCTGTGTTGGCTTAAAGTCTCTTTTATTGGAGACTAGGACTGCAACCCCTGCTTCTTTTTGCTTTCCATTTGCCTGATAAATATTCTTCCATCTCCTTATTTTGAGCCTATGTATGTCTTTTCACGTGAGATGGGTCTCTTGAATATTGCACACAGATGGGTCTTGACTCTTTATCCAATTTGCCAGTCTGTGTCTTTTAATTGGGGCATTTAGCCCATTTACATTTAAGGTTAATAATGTTATGTGTGAATTTGATCCTGTCATTATGATGCTAGCTGGTTATTTTGCCCATTAGTTGATGCAGTTTCTTCATAGTGTTGATGGTCTTTACAATTTGGTATGTTTTTGCAGTGGCTTGTACCAGTTTTTCCTTTCCATATTTAGTGCTTCCTTCAGGAGCTCTTATAAGGCAGGCCTGGTGGTGACAAAATCTCTCAGCATTTGCTTGTCTGGAAAGGATTTTATTTCTCCTTCACTTATAAAGCTTAGTTTGGCTGGATATAAAATTCTGGCTTGAAAATTATTTTCTTTAAGAATGATGAATATTGGCCCCACTCTCTTCTGACTTGTAGAGTTTCTGCAGAGATCCACTGTTAGTCTGATGGGCTTCCCTTTGTGGGTAACCCGACCTTTCTCTCTGGCTGCACTTAACATTTTTTCCTTCATTTCAACTTTGGTGAATCTGATGATTATGTGTCTTGGGGTTGCTATTCTTGAGGAGTATCTTTGTGGTGTTCTCTGTATTTCCTGAATTTTAATGTTGACCTGTCTTGCTAGGTTGGGGACGTTCTCCTGGATAATATCCTGAGGAGTGTTTTCCAACTTGGTTCCAATTTCCCCCTCACTTTCAGATACACCAATCAAACGTAGGTTTGGTCTTTTCACATAGTTCCATATTTCCTGGAGGCTTTGTTCATTTCTTTTCATTCTTTTTTCTCTAATCTTGTCTTCACAGTTTATTTCACTAAGTTGATCTTCAATCTCTAATATCCTTTCTTCTGCTTGATCGATTCAGCTATTGAAATTGTGTATGCTTCGTGAAGTTCTTGTGCTGTGTTCTTCAGCTCCATCAGGTCATTTATGCTTTTTTCTAAACTGGTTATTCTAGTTAGCAATTCCTCTAACCTTTTTTTCAAGGTTCTTAGTTTCTTTGCATTGGGTTAGAACTTGCTCCTTTAGCTCAGAGGAATTTGTTATTACCCACCTTCTGAAGCCTACTTTTGTCAATTTGTCAAACTCATTCTCCATCCAGTTTAGTTCCCTTGCTGGTGAGGAGTTGTGATCCTCTGGAGGAGAAGAGACATTCTGGATTTTGGAATTTTCAGCCTTTTTGCGCTGGTATTCCTCATCTTCATGGATTTATCTACCTTGGTCTTTGATGTTGGTGACCTTTGGATGGGGTTTCTGTGTGGACGTCCTTTGTGTTGATGTTGACGTCATTTCTTTCTGTTTGTTAGTTTTCCTTCTAACACTCAGGTCCCTCTGCTGCAGGTCTGTTGTAGTTTGCTGGAAGTCCACTCCAGACCCTGTTTGCCTGGGTATCACCAGCAGAGGCTACAGAGAATGCTGCATGTTCCTTCCTCTGGAAGCTTCGTCCCTGAGGGGCACCCGCCAGAGGCCAGGCGGAGCTCTCCTGTATGAGGTGTCTGTTGACCCTTACTGGGAGGTGTCTCCCAGTCAGGAAGCATGGGGTTTGGGGACCCACTTGAGGATGCAGTCTGTCCCTTAGCAGAGCTCTATGGCTGTGCTGGGAGATCCACTGCTCTCTTCAGAACCAGCAGGCAGCAATGTTTAAGTCTGTTGAAGCTGCACCCACAGCTGCCCCTTCCCCCAAGTGCTCTGTCCCAAGGAGATGGGAGTTTTATCTATAAGCCCCTGACTGGGGCTGCTGCCTTTCTTTCAGAGATGCCCTGTCCAGAGACTAGGAATCTAGAGAGGCAGTCTGTCTACAGAGGCTTTGTGGAGCTGTGGTGGGCTCCGCCCAGTTTGAACTTCCAGGCAGCTTTGTTTACACTGTGAGGGGAAACCTGCCTACTCAAGCCTCAGTAATGGCAATGCCCCACCCCCCTCACCCCCCCATCCGCCCCCCACCCAAGCTTGAGCATTCCTGGTCAACTTCAGACTGCTGTGCTGGCAGCAAGAATTTCAAGCCAGTGGATCTTAGCTTACTGGGCTTCATGGGGGTGGGATCCACTGAGCTAGACCACTTGGCTCCCTGGCTTCAGCCCCCTTTCCAGGGTAGTGAACCGTTCTGTCTTGCTGGTGTTCCAGGTGCCACTAGGGTATGAAAAAAAACTCCTGCAGTTATCTCGGTGTCTGCCCAAATGGTCACCCAGTTTTGTGCTTGAAACCCGGGGCCCTGGTTTGTAGGTACCCGAGGGAATCTCCTGGTCTATGGGTTGCAAAGACCATGGGAAAAGTTCACCGAACCCTTGCACTTCCTGGGTGAGACAACCCACCCTGCTTCAGGTCGCCCTCCATGGGTTGAGATGAGCTGGGTACTTCAGTTGGAAATGCAGAAATCACCTGCCTTCTGCATTGATCTCACTGGGAGCTGCAGACCAGAACTGCTCCTATTCGGCCATCTTGCCAGCCCATGGCAGTTAAGATTTATCTTCATACAGAACCCAAGTATATCTGTCTGCATGTTCTACATATGTGCTCTAGGGCTAATCCTCAGGGCCACAGAGAAAAAAAATATAATCAATTGCTTTAATTCATTAGTTCATCCTTTCTTCCTTCAATAACTTCAATTTCATTCAATACAGATCAAATTAAGTACTCAGCACCACAGTTGGGCTTGAAAATGCAAAAATGATTTAAAAATCAGTCTTTGCTTACTGAGGGAAACAGTTTAATAAAAGCAATATAGATGTAAATGGACAATTAAAATTAAATATAACCAACTTCTGTAGTGGAGCGAATCACGGGCTACTATGGAACAAATGGAAGATACACCTATTGGGAGGTTGGGGAGAGGAGAAGGATGTCAGAGCAGATTTCTCAGAAGAGAGAATGCTCCAGTTGTGAGCCTTGTTGCTTTATGATCCAATGAAGTTTTTTTCTTTTTCATTCTCTATGTCTCTATTCCACATGCTGTTTTTCATATTATGTTCACATAACCCTTTAACATCCAGGCTACTTTCTTCTGAATTAAACGATAATGTACAGCTATTAATATATATCTGGAAGGCTGGTCCAACTGAGAAACAGCCACCACTTTCTCATTCTAAATGCCAGACCACTATTAATTCTGTCTAGAATTACACTAGGTTGTAAACCTATTTTATTGCCTCAGATTTCAGCATACTTCCTGTTTGTCACTATATATGTCACTGGAGTTCACTAACAATTCAAGGGGTAGAAGAGACCCAAGGAGGTCAATAAGGCAGATTTGGGTTCAACAGGTTAAATGGAAGAAAAACCCAATTTTGCAATTAAAAAAATAAAGTGATTTCAGCACTTGAACCTTAAAATACAATACAGAATTTTCACTTACCTTAACAAAGCTTAGCTCATTAATTCCAGGCTTTCTTCCTTTCAAATTTAGTCATTTAAGGCTATAAATAATGGTAAAGGGATCAATTCAATAAGAAGAGCTAACTATCCTAAATATATATGCACCCAATACAGGAGCACCCAGATTCATAAAGCAAGTCCTGAGTGACCTACAAAGAGACTTAGACTCCCACACATTAATAATGGGAGACTTTAACACCCCACTGTCAACATTAGACAGATCAACGAGACAGAAAGTCAACAAGGATACCCAGGAATTGAACTCAGCTCTGCACCAAGTGGACCTAATAGACATCTACAGAACTCTCCACCCCAAATCAACAGAATGTACATTTTTTTCAGCACCACACCACACCTATTCCAAAATTGACCACATACTTGGAAGTAAAGCTCTCCTCAGCAAATGTAAAAGAACAGAAATTATAACAAACTGTCTCTCAGACCACAGTGCAATCAAACTAGAACTCAGGATTAAGAATGTCACTCAAAACCGCTCAACTACATGGAAACGGAACAACCTGCTCCTGAATGACTACTGGTACATGATGAAATGAAGGCAGAAATAAAGATGTTCTTTGAAACCAACGAGAACAAAGACACAACATACCAGAATCTCTGGGATGCATTCAAAGCAGTGTGTAGAGGGAAATTTATAGCACTAAATGCCCACAAGAGAAAGCAGGAAAGATCCAAAATTGACACCCTAACATCACAATTAAAAGAACTAGAAAAGCAAGAGCAAACACATTCAAAAGCTAGCAGAAGGCAAGAAATAACTAAAATAAGAGCAGAACTGAAGGAAATAGAGACACAAAAAACCCTTCAAAAAATCAATGAATCCAGGAGCTGGTTTTTTGAAAGGATCAACAAAATTGATAGACCGCTAGCAAGACTAATAAAGAAAAAAAGAGAAAAGAATCAAATAGACACAATAAAAAATGATAAAGGGGATATCACCACTGATCCCACAGAAATACAAACTACCATCAGAGAATACTACAAACACCTCTACGCAAATAAACTAGAAAATCTAGAAGAAATGGATAAATTCCTCGACACATACACTCTCCCAAGACTAAACCAGGAAGAAGTTGAATCTCTGAATAGACCAATAACAGGATCTGAAATTGTGGCAATAATCAATAGCTTACCAACCAGGAAGAGTCCAGGACCAGATGGATTTACAGCCAAATTCTACCAGAGGTACAAGGAGGAACTGGTACCATTCCTTCTGAAACTATTCCAATCAATAGAAAAAGAGGGAATCCTCCCTAACTCATTTTATGAGACCAGAATCATCCTGATACCAAAGCCGGGCAGAGACACAACCAAAAAGGAGAATTTTAGACCAATATCCTTGATGAACATTGATGCAAAAATCTTCAATAAAATACTGGCAAACCGAATCCAGCAGCACATCAAAAAGCTTATCCACCATGATCAAGTGGGCTTCATCCCTGGGATGCAAGGCTGGTTCAATATACGCAAATCAATAAATGTAATCCAGCATATAAACAGAACCAATGACAAAAACCACATGATTATCTCAATAGATGCAGAAAAGGCCTTTGACAAAATTCAACAACCCTTCATGCTAAAAACTCTCAATAAATTAGGTATCCATGGGACGTATTTCGAAATAATAAGAGCTATCTATGACAAACCCACAGCCAATATCATACTGAATGGAAAAAAACTGGAAGCATTCCCTTTGAAAACTGGCACAAGACAGGGATGCCCTCTCTCACCACTCCTATTCAACATAGTGTTGGAAGTTCTGGCCAGGGCAATTGGGCAGGAGAAGGAAATAAAGGGTATTCAATTAGGAAAAGAGGAAGTCAAATTGTCCCTGTTTGCAGATGACATGATTGTATATCTAGAAAACCCCATTGTGTCAGCCCAAAATCTCCTTAAGCTGATAGGCAACTTCAGCAAAGTCTCAGGATACAAAATCAATGTGCAAAAATCACAAGCATTCTTATACACCAACAACAGGCAAACAGAGACCCAAATCATGAGTGAACTCCCATTCACAATTGCTTCAAAGAGAATAAAATACCTAGGAATCCAACTTACAAGGTATGTGAAGGACCTCTTCAAGGAGAACTACAAACCACTGCTCAAGGAAATAAAAGAGGATACAAACAAATGGAAGAACATTCCATCCTCATGGGTAGGAAGAATCAATATCGTGAAAATGGCCATACTGCCCAAGGTAATTTACAGATTCAATGCCATCCCCATCAAGCTACCAATGACTTTCTTCACAGAATTGGAAAAAACTACTTTAAAGTTCATATGGAACCAAAAAAGAGCCCGCATCGCCAAGTCAATCGTAAGCCAAAAGAACAAAGCTGGAGGCATCACGCTACCTGACTTCAAACTATACTACAAGGCTACAGTAACCAAAACAGCATGGTACTGGTACCAAAACAGAGATATAGACCAATGGAACAGAACAGAGCCCTCAGAAATAACGCCGCATATCTACAACTATCTGATCTTTGACAAACCTGAGAAAAACAAGCAATGGGGAAAGGATTCCCTATTTAATAAATGGTGCTGGGAAAACTGGCTAGCCATATGTAGAAAGCTGAAACTGGATCCCTTGCTTACACCTTATATAAAAATCAATTCAAGATGGATTAAAGACTTAAACGTTAGACCTAAAACCATAAAAACCCTAGAAGAAAACCTAGGCATTACCATTCAGGACATAGGCATAGGCAAGGACTTCATGTCTAAAACACCAAAAGCAATGGCAACAAAAGCCAAAATTGACAAATGGGATCTGATTAAACTAAAGAGCTTCTGCACAGCAAAAGAAACTACCATCAGAGTGAACAGGCAACCTACAAAATGGGAGAAAATTTTCACAACCTACTCATCTGACAAAGGGCTAATATCCAGAATCTACAATGAACTCAAACAAATTTACAAGAAAAAAACAAACAACCCCATCAAAAAGTGGGCGAAGGACATGAACAGACACTTCTCAAAAGAAGACATTTATGCAGCCAAAAAACATATGAAAAAATGCTCACCATCACTGGCCATCAGAGAAATGCAAATCAAAACCACAATGAGATACCATCTCACACCAGTTAGAATGGCGATCATTAAAAAGTCAGGAAACAACAGGTGCTGGAGAGAATGTGGAGAAATAGGAACACTTTTACACTGTTGGTGGAACTGTAAACTAGTTCAACCATTGTGGAAGTCAGTGTGGTGATTCCTCAGGGATCTAGAACTAGAAATACCATTTGACCCAGCCATCCCATTACTGGGTATATACCCAAAGGACTATAAATCATGCTGCTATAAAGACACATGCACATGTATGTTTATTGCGCCATTATTCACAATAGCAAAGACTTGGAACCAAGCCAAATGTCCAACAATGATAGACTGGATTAAGAAAATGTGGCACATATACACCATGGAATACTATGCAGCCATAAAAAAGGATGAGTTCATGTCCTTTGCAGGGACATGGATGAAACTGGAAATCATCATTCTCAGTAAACTATCGCAAGAACAAAAAACCAAACACCGCATATTCTCACTCATAGGTGGGAATTGAACAATGACAACACATGGACACAGGAAGGGGAACATCACACTCTGGGGACTGTTGTGGGGTGGGGGGAGGGGGGAGGGATAGCACTGGGAGATATACCTAATGCTAGATGACGAGTTAGTGGGTGCAGCGCACCAGCATGGCACATGTATACATATGTAACTAACCTGCACATTGTGCACATGTACCCTAAAACTTAAAGTATAATAATAATAAAAAATAAATAAATAAATAAGGGCTGTAAATATTGCTCCAAGACAATCTAAATGCATCCCTCAAGATCTGATATATATTTTTATTATATTCATTCCATTCTAATATTTTCTAATTTCTATAGTGACATCATAACTTTTTCATTAGCTATTTAACTGTATATTTAAATTTTTAAAACATGAGCTTTTAAAAGTCACTTTTGTTACTTTCTGACTTCAAGGAATGATTATCAGAGAACATGGTCTGTTCAGTTCCTTATTTTGGGAACCTGAGGTTTGTTTTATAACCTAGTATGTGGGGAATTTTTAAAAGATATTCTATAAGCACTTGAAATGAACATGCAGGGTTCTCTATGTGTTCATTGTATCAACCTTGTGAAATGTGTTGTTCAAATTATCAATAACCTTACTGTGCTTTGATTTGCTTTACTTATTTGCTTTATTTTTTGATTTGCTCTATTTACTGAATAGGTACATTAAAATATCCCACAATAATTACAGCTTTATCAATTCTTCCTTGTAATTTTGTATTTGTTTTAATATTTATATGCTGTATTATAATGCCCAAGCAAGTTTAGCATCCTTAACATCATTTGCCTTAAAGATCATTTTGTCTGATACTAATATTGCCATATCAGCATACTTTTTTCTAATTGTCTAGCATATATATAATTCCTTTACACTCAACCTTTCTGTATTCTCGAGTTTTATGTGTCTTTTGTAAACATAATATAGCTAAATTTTTTATTGAATCTGAGAACATTAAATTCCAACTTCCCAGCACCCCCAGCCTTGCTCACACTACTCTATTTTATTCATAGCACCTAATATATTTTAACATACAAAAAACATACTTAACCAGTGTATTTTATTGGACTTTTTCCCTTAACTAGAACATTAGTTCCATGAGGGTGGAAATTCTTGTCTAGTTTGCTTGCTGATGCCCCATGTATTTACAGCAGAGCCTGGCATATAATATACACTGAGTATTTGTCGAACATTAAGTGAATATGTCTCTTCTAATTGCTAAGTTCAATGCATTTGTATTTCTTGTAATTACTATTATATTCAGATTTCTACAATCCTATGTTTGAAGCATAGTTTAGTAGACCATCTAAGAAACAAAAAGATAAATTTCTAAAGTACAGCTTTTCTTTGCTAGCCAACCAGTTGTTTCTTCATCAGGAAATTCAAGAACTGACGGACTCCTTCATCAAATGTTCTTTGGTTAATGTACTGGCCTTGATGAAGAGTGAGGATGTTCTTCCATCCACCACAATTGGGGATCTTTTGTCTTAAATGTAAAATTGAGTGAACTTACTTTTCTTAACAGCTTTACTGATAATTCACATACCATAAAATTCATGTAAAGTAAAGCGTAGTTTTAAATTACACAGCCATCACCTCTAATTCCAGAGCATTTTTGTCATATCAAAGAGAAAGCCCGTATCCATCAGCAATCACTCCCTGATCCCCCTTTTCCATCCCTTGGCAACCACTAGTCTAATATCTATTTCTATGCATTTGGCTATTCTAGATATTACATATAAATGGAATTAAACAATATGTGGCCTTTTGTGTCTGGCTTCTTTCACTTAGTATAATTTTTCTAAGTTTCATCCATATTACAGCATGCATCAGCACTTCATTCCTTTTTATTTTGCTGAATAATATTCCATAGTATGGATATACCACATTTTGTTTATTTATTGGTCAGTTGATGGGCATTTGGGTTGTTTCTACTCTCTGGTTAATTATGAATAATTCTGCTATGTACATTCATGTACAAGTTTTTGTGTGGATATATATTTTCATTTATCTTGGGTATGTACCCAGGAATGAAATAGTTGGGTCATATGGTAACTGTATGTTTAACTGTATGAGGAGCTGCCAATCTGTCTTCCAAGGTGGCTGCATCATTTTACAACCCCACCAGCAATGAATGAAGTTTCTAATCTCTCCACATCTTCGCCAACACTAGTAATTTTCTGTCTTTTTTTATTTTAGCCATCCTACTGTATAGGAAGTGGTATCTCACTGTGGTTTTGATTTGCATTTCCCTAATGATTAGTGATGCTGAGCATCTTTTCATGTATTTATTGGCCATTTGTATATCTTTTCTGAGGAAATTTCTATTCAAATTCTTTGCCCACTTTTAAATTGAGTTGTTGGCCAGGCATGGTGGCTCACGCCTGTAATCCCAGCTCTTTGGGAGGCCCAGGCAGGTGGATCACCTGAGGTCAGGAGTTCGAGACCAACCTGGCCAACATAGTGAAACCCCATCTCTACTAAAAATACAAAAATTAGCCAGGCGTGGTGGCAGGCGCCTGTAATACCAGCTACTTGGGAGGCTGAGGCAGGAGAATCGCTTGAACCTGGGAGGCGGAGGTTGCAGTGAGCTGAGATCGTGCCACTGCACTCCAGCCTGGGGGACAAGAGCGAGACTTTGTCTCAAAATAAATAAATAAATAAATAAATAGGGTTGTCTTTTTACTGTTGAGTTGTAACAGTTCTCTATATATTCTTGATACAAGTTCAGATATGTGATTTGCAAATATCCGCTGCCCTCCCCCGCCACCACCTACTTATTCTGGAGTCTGTCTGCACTTTCTCAACAGCGTCCTGTAAAACATCAGAATTTTACAATTTTGATGAAGTCCAATATATATTTAAAACCAATATATCAAATTTTTCTTTGATTCTGTATGCCTTTGATGTAATATATGAGAGATCATTACCTACGTAAGGTCAGGAAGATTTAGTCCAATATTTTCTTCTAATAGTTGAGTTATTTGAGTCCTCTGTATTTTTTTATTGGTTAACCTAGCCAAAGGTTTGTACATTTTGTTGATTTTTTTTTAAATCCACTTTTGGTTTTACTGATTTTTTTTACTGTGTTTCTATTCTCTACTTAATTTATTTCTGTGTTAGTCTTTATTTCCTTCTGTTTGCCTTGGCTCAAGTTAGCTCTTTTCTGATTTCCTAGGGTAAAAGATTATGTTTTAATTTAATATTTTTCTCCTTTTTAAATACAGGTGTTTACATCCATAAATTTTCCTCTAAGCGCTGCTTTAGCTACATCCTCTAAGTTTTGGTATATTGTATTTTCATTTACACTCATCTCAAAATACTTTCTAATTTCTCTTGTGATTCCTTATTTGACCTACTGGTTATGTAGGAGTATGTTAACAAATTTCCACATATTAGTGAATTTCCCAAATTTTCTTGTTATTGGTTTCGAATTTCTACTGTTGTAGTTAAAACATACTTTATATAATTTGAATTCTTTTAAGTTTATTGAGACTTATTTTATGGTCTGACATGAGGTCTAGAGGTTGGCTGCAGTAGCTCATGCCTATAATTCCCTATCTGGGAAGCCAGGTGGGAGGACTGCTTGAGGCCAAGAGTTCAAGACCAGTCTGGGCAACATAGTGAGACCCTTTCTCTACTAAAACAAAAATATTAGCGAAGCATGGTGGTGCACACCTATAGTCCCAGATATTTGGGAGGCTGGAGCAGGAAGACTGCTTGAGCCCAGGACTTTGCAGCTGTAGTGAGCTGTGATCATGCCACTGCACTCCAGCCTAGACCACAGAACAATATCCTGTCCAAAAAAAAAAAAAGAAAGAAAGGGAGAAAAGAATTTTAAATGTGTATTTGAGAAGAATGTGCCTTACACTGTTGGGGAGAGTGTTTTATAGGTGTCTATTAGACTAGTTGGTTTATAGTGTTGCTGAAGTCTTCTAGTTCCCCAGTGATCATCTACCTATATGTTGTATCCATTTTTCAAAGTGAGGTATTGACATCTCCAACTATTATTGTTGAATTGTCTATTTTCCTTTAATTCTGCTGGGTTTTGCCTCATTTATTTTGAGGCTCTGCTCTTAGGTGCATATGTTTATAATTGTTATGTTTTTTTGATGGACTGACCTTTTTAATATAAAATGTTCTTCTTGGTCTCTAGTAACAATTTTTGTCTCAAAGTCTATTTTGTCTAATACTAGCACAGCCTCTCCAGTTCTTTTTTGGAGAATTGTTGTATTCTGTATCTTCTTCCATCTTTTCACTTTCAACCTATTTGTTTCTCTGAATATATATTTGTCTCATAGATAGCATATAGTTGGATTATGTTATTTTATTCATTCTCTTAATCTATGCCTTTTGACTGTAGTGCCCATTTCATTTCTTGGAATTACTGATGAGATTTACATTTGCCATTTTGCTGTTTTCTGTACATGCCTTTATGTTCCTCTATCCTTTCATTACTGCCTTCTTTTGTGTTAGTTTTCTAGTATACCATTTTAATCCACTTGTTAGCTATTTTACCACTTTTTTTAGTTCTTTTATTAGTATTTGCCCTGGGGACTGCAATTAACGTCTTAACTTAAAGCAATCTAGCTCAGAGTAATATTGACGTAATTTCAATAATATATAAAAACCCTGTTCCCGTACAGCTCCATTCCTTCTCCTCTCCTTTTATTATTATTGGCATTAAAAGAATATCCTTACACATTATTAAATATATAATTATAATTATTGCTTTATGTAGTTGTCTTTTGAATCAGATAGAAGAAAAAGGTTACAAACAAAAATAATATTTATACTGACTTTTACATTTACCTATAGAGTTATCTTTACCAGTACTCTTTATTTCTCTGTGTGGATTCAAGTTACTATTTAGTGTCCTGTCATTTCAACCTAAAGAACCCCCTTTCATATTTCTTATAGGGCATGTCTGCTAGTGAAGAATTCTGTTTTTGTTTACATGGGAATGTTTTAAATTCACCTTAATTTTTGAAGACTAGCTTTGCTGAATATACAACTCCTAGTTGACAGTCCTTTTCTTTCAGCACTTTGAATACATCATCCCTCTGCCTTCTGTGGTATCCACAGTTTCTAATGAAAAGAAAGCTGTTAATTTTATTGAACATGCCTTGCTGCCTTCTCTTTCTATTTTCAATATTCTCTCTCTCTCTCTCTCTCTTTTTCTTTTTTTTTTTTTGAGACGGAGTCTCGCTCTGTCGCCCAGGCTGGAGTGCAGTGGCGCGATCTCGGCTCACTGCAAGCTCCGCCTCCCAGGTTCACGCCATTCTCCTGCCTCAGCCTCCCGAGTAGCTGGGACTACAGGCGCCCGCTACCACGGCCGGCTAATTTTTTGTATTTTTAGTAGAGACGGGGTTTCACCGTGTTAGCCAGGATGGTCTCGATCTCCTGACCTCGTGATCCGCCCGCCTCAGCCTCCCAAAGTGCTGGGATTACAGGCGTGAGCCACCGCGCCCGGCCTCTCTCTTTCTTTTTGAGAGGTCTGGTTCTATTGCCCAGCCTGAAGTGCAGTGGCACAATCTTGGCTCACCACAACCTCTATTTCCTCCCATCTCAGCCTCCCGAGTAGCTGGGACTACAGGCATGCAACACCACGCCTGGCTAATTTTTGTATTTTTTGTAGAGACAGGGTTTCTCCATGTTGCCCAGGCTGCTCTCAAACTTGTGAGCTCAAGTAATCTGTCCACCTCAGCTTCCCAAAGTGCTGGTATTACAGGCATGAGCCACTGTGCCTGGCCAAGATTCTTTCTTGATCTTTGGCTTTCAATAGTTTGACTATGACGTGTCTCTAGGTTTATCCTACTTGGAGTTCACTAGTTTCTTAGTGTGCAGATTAGTGTTTGTTATCAAATTTGTAGTTTCTTGCCATCATATCTTCAAATATTCTTTCTGCCCTTTCTTTTTCTTTTCTTTTGGGATTCTCCTTATGCATGTATTGATACATGTGATGGTTTCTCACAAATCTGTATGGCTCTGTTCATTTTTCTGCATTCTTTTTTCTTTCTGTTTCTCAGACTGGGTGATCTTAAGTTCACTGATTCTTTATTTTGCAAGTTCAAAAAGGATGATGAGTCCCTTTAGTGAATTTTACATTTCAGTTATTGTATTTGTCAACCAGAATATCCATCTGGTTTGTAAAATAACTTATATCTTTTAATTGATATTCTCTATTAAGTAAGACATCATTCTCAAACTTTAATTCTTTAGACATAGTTGTCTTTAGTTCTTTGAAAATATTTATAACAGTTGGCTTAATGTCTTTATTTAGTAAGTTCAATATCTAGGTGTCCAGTCTGGTTTTTTCTTGCATGCCCTTGTCCCCTCTGTAGTCTACTCTACAAAATAATCTTCTATGATCTCACTCATAGTAAAACCTCAAAGTCCTTCCCCCGACTTTCAAGGTTCTGCATGCTCTGATATCTGGCTACTTCATCTACTAAAGCTCCTTAACCTTGTTCATTCGTTCCAGCCACAGTAGCCTGACCTTTACTTTTCCTCAAAAACACCAACTACTCTCCATTCCCAGACACCTTGTATTTGTTATTCCCTTTGCGTGAAATGTTATTTTCTTTTACTGCCTTCAGGATTCTACTCAAATGACTCTACTAAGAGAGAGTTTCCTAGTCTCTCTATTTAAGATAGTAGACTCTATCAATCTCTACCCTGTTAGGCTGCTTTATTTTTCTTCATAGAAGAAGCTAATCCAGGTAATTGCACTTCGTGTCTTTTGTAAAAATCAAAGTAAAATCCTGTTAAGTTTTTAATGGTAACAAGAGAAGAGTATACATTCTAGAGTAATTTCTGAAAACAAAAGGAAAGGTCAGAAGAGGGAGGAAAAAAGAAAAAGTATAATAAAGAGAACTGACTACCACACTCACAGGCAGCATCTCTAAGAAAGAATTAGACCTAAAAAATGATGGTTCCATGGTACACCAAAAAGAGTACCAGGACTTGTCATCTCCAGTTTCATGAACCCCAAAGTGGCATAGAAGCAGAAAACTACCATCCTTTAAGGAAACTGTGGATATGGACAAACATCCACATACTAGCCCAATGACCATGACAAACTCAAAGTTAGAAGTTTTCCTTCTATTTTCTAGCAACCTTGTTAGTTTGGTGGGAACTTCTGAGGTGACACAGCCCTAATAGTGACTGACAATACATTTCTCACCAGCTCATCAGGGAAGAGTATCTAAGTCAAATTTAATTTGAATTAGGAAAAAAATTACAATACGCTATTTCTTGCTTTCTTTTTTTTTTTTTTTTTTTTTTTTTTTTTTTTTTGAGATGGAGTCTTACTCTGTTACCCAGGCTGGAGTGCAATGGCGCAATCTCGGCTCACTGAAACCTCCACCTCCTGGGTTCAGGTGATTCTCCTGCTTCAGCTTCCAGAGTAGCTGGGATTACAGGCACCTGCCACCATCCCCAGCTAGTTTTCGTATTTTTAGTAGAGACGGGGTTTCACCATGCTGGCCAGGCTGGTCTCGAAATCCCGACCTCAGGCGATCCACCCGCCTCGGCATCCCAAAGAGCTGGGATTACAGGCGTGAGCCACCATGCCCAGCCTACAATATGCTATTTCTTGCTTACCAAGGTTTAGATTCAGATTTTGTACACACAAATTGGATCAAGTTTCTTCTACTCTTCAAAAATTTCAATGACTTCACACTACTTTTTCAATAAAATACAAACTTTTCACCATAGACTTCAAGATTCCGCAGTGTCACCCTTGTTTAGCATACTACCCTTCATCTGCCACCACATTCCCTTTGCTCACTATGAACCAGCTTCTCTTTCAGTTCTTCAAAAATGTCAAGCTCTCCTATCACTCAGGGTCTGTTCTCTTGATTTATAATGCTCTTTCCTTTCCCTTCCCTTCTTCACACTTTGATTCCTTCTAGTCTTTAGTATCAGCTTTATGTCACCACTACAAAGAGATCATCCCTAAACAATCTATCTGAAACCCTTCTGCTCTGAGATTCTCTACCACTGAACCACCTTGATTTTTCTTAGCAAACTCAGAGCTTTTCAGATTGAATAAATAAAACAAGATCCAAATACATGCTACATACAAAGACACACTTTAGATTCAAATAATCTAAAAAGGTTTTTAAGGTTAAAAAAAAAAAAAAAGGTAAGCCAGGCGCAGTGGTTCACACCTGTAATCCCAGCACTTTGGGAGGCCAAGGTGGGTGGATCACTTGAGGCCAGGAGTTTGAGACCAGCCTGGCCAACATGGTGAGACCTCATATCTACTAAAAATACAAAAATTATCTGGGCGTGGTGGTATGTGCCTGTAATCTCAGCTACTTGGGAGGCTGAGGCAGGAGAGCCACTTGAACCCGGGAGGCAGAGGTTTGGGTGAGCTGAGATGACGCCACTGCACTCCAGCCTGGCAACAGGGTGAGACCCTGTCTTAAAAAAAAAAAAAGAGGTAAAAGATGTACCATGCAAACAACAACTACAAGAGAGATGGGGTGGCTGTATTAATATCTGACAAAATAAACTTTAGAATAAGAAATACTGCTAGAGACAAAAGGAAACATTTTATAATGTAACAAGAGTCAATATATCAAAAAGATGTAATAATTATAGATGTATATCACTTAATGAAAGCCCCGAAAGACATAAAACAACAATTGACAGTGCTGAAAGAAGAAATAGGTAATTCAATAATAGCTGGATATTTTGAATACCTCACTCTTATGAACTGGTAAAACAACCACACAGAAAATCAGGAAGGATATACAAGATCTGAACAATGCTATCAACCAATTTCACCTGACACCTATAGAATTCTCCATCAAAAAACAGCAGAATACACATTCCTTTCAAGCTCACACAGAACATCCTCCAGGAAAGACCATATGTTAGGTCACAAACCAAGTCCTGATAAATTTTAAAGATTTAACTCATACAGAATATGCTGTCCAACCACATGGAATTAAACATAAAAAATAGAAAGAAATCTTGAATATCTTCAAATATTTGGAAATTGAACAACATTCTTCTAAATAACCCATAGGTCAAAGAAGAATTCACAATGAAAACTAAAATATATTTTGAACTAAATAAAAACAAAACTACAATATATTAAAATTTATGGGATGCAGTTTCAAGTGGTACTTAGAAGAAAATGTATAGCTTTAAATGCCTATATTTAAAAAAAAGTCTCTAATCAATAACCCAGGCTCTCACCTTAAGAAACTAAAAAAGGAGGGGCAAGTTAAAATGATCAAAGCAAGCAAAATAAATGAAATAATAAGGATAAGAGCAGAAATCAACAAAATAGAAAATGGAAAAATAGAGAAAACCAAAGAAACCTAAAGGCTGATTATTTGAAAAGATCAACAAAATTGACAAACCTTTAGACTGACCAAGAAAAAAATAGAGAAGATAAAAATTACCCAATAAAGGGACGAAAGAAAGAATAGACTACTGATCCTATAGAAATTACAAGGAAATGCTGTAAACATCTTTATGCCAACAAAGCAGGCAACTAATATGAAGTGGAAAAGTTCCTAGAAAGGTACAAATTACCAAAATGAACTAAAAAATATACAGAACAATCTAAATAGGCCTATAAAAAGTAAAGAAACTGAATTAGAAATGTAAAATCTTCCCATAAAGAGAATTCTAGGCCCAGATAACTTCACTGGTGAATTTTATCAAATATTTAACCAAAAAATAATGCTAATCCTTCACAAAGTCTTCAGAAAATAGAGAAGAGAACAGATCCCAACTAAATCTAAGATGTTTATTACCCTAATCCCAAAGCTAAAGACATCATACAAAAAGAAAACTACAAAACCCTCATGAACATCATCATGAGAATCCTTAATTATTAGCAAACTAAATCCAGGAATATGTAAAAAGAATGTATACACCATGACCAAGTGAGATTTCTGCAAGAATATGAGGTTGGTTTAACATGCAATTAATGTAAGAGACTACATAGAATAAAGGACACATGATTATTTCCACAGACGCAGGAAAGGCATTTGACAAAATTCAACACCTATTTATGATTTTTAAAAAAAAATCTAGGCTGGGCATGATGGTTCAGACCTGTAACCTCAGCACTTTGGGAGGCCAACGCGGGTGGATCACCTGAGGTCAGGAATTTGAAACCAGCCTGGCCAGCACGGTAAAACCCCGTCTCTACTAAAAATACAAAAATTAGCTGGATGTGGTGGCGCACACCTGTAATCCCAGCTACTCAGGAGACTGAGGCAGGAGAATCACTTGAGCCCGGGAGGTGGAGGTTGCAGAGAGCAGAGAGCAGAGATTGTACTGCACTCCAGCCTGGATGACAGAGTGAGACTCTGTCTAAAAAAACAAACAAACAAACAAACAAACAAACAAAAAACCTCTCCACAGACTAGGAATAGAAGAGAACATTCTTAATGTGATAAAGACAGATACGAAACTCTCACAACTAACATCATACTTAATGGTGAAAGATGGGCTGCTTGGCTCCTAAGAGCAAGAACAAGGTAAAACCTATCAAAATCTTAGCTGGGCTTGTTGTAGAAATTGACAAGCTGATCCTAAAATTCACATGGAAATAAAAGGGACCCAGAATAGTCAGAACAATTTTGAAAAAGAATGAAGTTGAAGGACTTACATTACCTAAAGGACCAAGGAAGTCTTCTCTCAAGGACATCTATGCTTAGCCCACTGAAATAAATAGATAGGCTCTTGACCACTCTGCTCACCCTCTCCCAAGAAACACTTCAGGAAGAAAGCCTGACCAGAGGTAAGTTGCTCTCTCTTTGAGGTGATGTTATAATTTCATCTAGAACTCTATAGCCCTTATAACTCTCTCCCTTAAGCTGGCCAATTAGGAAAACTAACTCATCTGCTTAGTCATTTTGTTTATAAATTCTCTCAATTGTTCTATCTGAACAATAGCTGCAATAATAACATGAATTGATATATTATCCCATTGTTATAGCAAAGTAAATTAATGCACAGTGTCATTAAGTTAACTTGCTCTAGGTCATCCAGTATGTGGTGGAGTCAGTGTCTTATTGTAGAACCAGGATAGGAAGAGCTGTTTAAAAATGTATAATCATCTTCTAAGTTAGTATCAGCTAGCATTGATAATAGCATTATACAAAGTCTATAAGGTAGGCATGGCAAGAATTTTCCACTGTTTGAAGAAACCAATGACGTTCTAAATATTTAAGTGATGTATCCAAATTTAGACATTTGCTATCTCACTGGTGGCTACATCCAAAATTGGAATACAATATGAGAGAACAGAGAAGATTTAATTCATTTTTTTACAAAGACCATGATTTAGAGAAATATTTTTGTTTTTTTTTCCAGGTTATATTTAAGTGATTATATACCTTGGAACTGAGGAGCTAAACCCACTTAAACTGACAGTAGTTTCTCATTGTTACTTTGCTGTTATTGAATAATCTTAAGAAGAAAGGTTGATATTTCTCAAAACAAATCAAAAATCACCATTAAGAGAGACAGAAAAGGCAAGCAGCCACTAAAGGTGGAGAATATCTACACAACATATACAACCAATAAAAGGCTTGTATCCAGAATATACAAAGTCTTTCTACAAATTAATAAAACAACTCAATAGATAAATGGTCTAGAGACTCAAAAAGAACTCATAAAAGAAAATATTCAAAAGACTGATAAATATATGAAAGTGTTCTGTATCATTCATAATCAAAGAAGTGCAAAATAAAACTATGGGATACAACCACATGCCACCAGGAAGTTTGAACTTTAAAAGTCTGACAAATACAAAGATACTGCTTAGGATGCAGTTTAGAGGGGAACTCTCACATACTGCTATTAAGAAAAAAATGCGGCCAGGCAACGTGGCTCTCGTCTGTAATCCCAACACTTTGGGAGGCCGAGGCGGGCAGATCACTTGAGGTCAGGAGTTCAAGACTAGCCTGGAACATGGTGAAACCCCATCTCTACCAAAGATACAAAAATTAGCTGGGCATGATAGCACATACCTGTAATCCCATGTACTCAGGAGGCTGAGGCAGGAGAATCGCTTGAACCCAGGAGATGAAAGTTGCAGTGAGCTGAGATCACACCACTGCACTCCAGCCTAGGCGACAGAGCAAGGCTCCATCTCAAAAATAATAATAAGAAGAAGAATGCAACTATTTTAAGAAAGTGGCATAATCTAGTAAATTTCAGTGGACCAATAATTCCATTCCCATGTATAACCTGCATAAAAATATACTTTCAGGAAATAAGTACAGAATATTCATGCCAGAATTATTCATTATATCCCCAAACTGGAAGAAACTCAAATGCCCACAAAAGTCAAATGGATAAACAACCTATGGTATGGTCATCCAATGGAATACCATAAAGCACTTAAAAGGAATAACTATAGATATACAGAAATAACATGGATATATCTTAAAAACATAGCATTGAGTAAAATAAACTGGATAAAAATAATATGTATTATATGAGTCCATACACATAAACTTAAAAAAAGGCAAAATTAAACTACATTGCTGTAATAAATTAAATTTATGAATTTAATAAAACTGAACTATATCACAGACCATTAAACTTAAATATTTAGTTATATGTACTTAGTACATATTTTAGTTATATATACTTAGATGGAAAAATCTTCAAGACATATTAACAAAACTATAGAACAGTATGTATGATTCTATTTATGTAAAACAGAACATCTATTTGCGTGATATATACCTAAAGCACTGTCCAACAAATCTTACTGCAATCATTGAAATGTTCTATAATCTATGCTGTTTAATTCTGTAGCCATGTGTGGCCATTGAACACTTAAAAATGTACTTAATAGCACTGAGGAACAGAATTTTTATTTAATTTTAATTAATTTCAGTGTAAATAGCCTCACGTGGCTAGTGGTTACAGTATTGGATAGTGTAGTTATGGAAAATGATATATAACAGATTACCTCCAGAGCAGTTTTTCAACCTGGGCACTACTGACATTTGGGATAGGAGAATTATTTTTTTTATTTTTATTTTGTTTCCTTTGGATTACCAGTGCAAAACACATTTTTTTACAATTACAGTGCAAAATCCATATTTATTTGGCTAGCGTTATGTATTTATTTTTAATCTATGTATTAATTTTTTTTAAAAAGCCATAATAAACACTTGGATTCCAAATACAGTATTTTGTTGAATACTGTGCCAAATACATATCATACAGAGTAAAAATTTGAAAATATCTCCAAACCATAACAATAAACATAATAAGGTAATGATATAATACCTTAGAAGGTGTTAAGAACAAAGGAAGGAAACAAGACTATAAACAGGTAATGGGAACTGTGGGTGATGGTGTTGTTTATATATATATTATAATATATATTTAAAATATATTTTTATATTTAATATATTTAATATTAATTATATTAAATATATTTAAAATATATATTAATATATATTAAATATATATTAATATATTAAATATATATTAATATAATTAATATATATTTAATATAATTTAATATAATAAATATATATTATATATTAAATAATATATATTATATATTTAAAATATATATTAATATATATTATATATATTTAAAATATATAATATATATTAAACATATTTAAAATATATATTTAAAAATATAAATTATATATTATATATAATATATATTATATATTATATATAATATATAATATATATAATATATAATATATATATTATATATAATATATATTATATATTATATATTTATATATTTATATATTGTATATTTATATATTGTATATATTTATATATTATATATTTATATATTTTTATATATTATATATATTTATATATATTATATATATTTTTATATATATTTTTATATATTATATATTTATATATATTTTTATATATTTTTATATATTTTATATATTTATATATATTTTTATATATTATATATATTTATATATATTTTTATATATTATATATATTTATATATATTTATATATTATATATATTTTTATATATTTTTATATATTACATATATATTTATATATATTTTTATATATTATATATATTTATATATATATATTTTAGTGCCCAATAGGTAGTTTTATTCCAGTAGTATCCCCTAAGTCAAGGCAATCAAAATTGTCTCCAGACCTTGTCAAATATCTCCTAGGGAAGAGGTCCCCAATGCCCAGGCTGCAAATCAGTACCGGTCAGTGGCCTGTTAGCAACCGGGCTGCACAGCAGGTGAGCAGCAGGCGAGTGAGCATTACTGCCTGAACTCTGCCTCCTGTCAGATCAGCTGCAACATTAACTTCTCATAGCAGCGCAAACTCCACTGTGAACTATGCATGCACATGCGAGGGATGTAGGTTGCATGCTCCTTATGAGAGTGTAATGCCTGATGATCTAAGGTGGAACAGTTTCATTCTGAAAGCATCCCCCACCAACCCCCGTCCATGGAAAAATTGTCTTCCATGAAACTGTCCCTGGTGCCAAAATGTCTGGGGACCACTGCCCTAGGGGACAAAATCTCCCCAGCTGAGAACCACTGCTAAAGACATAGGAGAGTAATGGGAGGGAGGGGGCACTGTAATATTTTATTCTATTTCTGTTTTGCCTAAATTTGCTTAGAGGTAACATGCATGTACATTTTCTTTGTGTAATTAATAATTTTAAAAGTAAGCCTGTTTTCTCATGAGTAAAATGGGAACTATATACCTAAACTCTAAGGTTGCTCTAAAGATTAAGAGCAAAATAGAAACGAGTTACCAATTTCCTGGAACAGTGGGGGAAAAATACCAAGCAAAGTGAAAAAGGAAGTTCACATGAATAGTTATCAAGAACAGTGAAGAAAGAAGAGAGAATCGCCTCCTAGCTGAGGCTAGGAGAATGATCAGTCATTTTTGCCATTTGCAAAGATAAGTAAAACAGAAATAGGAACCATTTAAGGGAAGTATAATGAACCTGGTTAGGGATCTATTAAAATGGAAGAACTTGCGGGCCATCTAAGTAGAGCTGGAGCTGGAAGTTGGAAAGTAATAAAAGCTAGAATTAAAGACTCAAGAGTTATCAATATCAATATACTGATATCAAGTATTTGGAATATCAAGTATTTGGAAGTCATGAGCCTTCAGAGAAAAAAAAAATGGCTATAAAGAAACTCTGAGCCATAACTGAGGATTGGGAAAGGAGGGCCACAGGAGACTACGGTATTGAGAAGTTGTAGGCAGAGATAGAAGAAAAACCAGAAGATAGTTGGATCATGGCAGCCAAGAGAAGGGTTTAAACAAAGTGGATAATGTCTCCTTAGATCTCACCTTTATTAAAAAATAAATATTAACATATCAATACAAGAAGAAAAGAGATGAAATATATTTCATTCAAGAGAGAGTGGGGGTCAATCTCAAAACAGCACTCATGGACCATCAAGGCAATAACTCTGGAACTGAGAAGTCACTGGCCCAACAAATAAAGAAGGCAAGTTCTGCTGGAAGGAAACCCCTGGCACCTCATGCACTTCTACGACTGCCTGATCACTCAGGGCTCCTACAAGGCACCAGGCCTCAAAACCTTATCTGTATTCCCGTCCAGCTGGAGGGGAGCAGATTACACTCTTTTTTTTTCCCCCAAGAGAGTCTCACTCTGTCGCCCAGGCTGGAGTGCAGTAGCGCAACCTTGGCTCACTGCAACCTCCAACTCCTAGGTTCAAGCAATTCTCCTGCCTCAGCCTCTCAAGTCACTGGAATCACAGAAGTGTGCCACCACGCCTGGCTAATTTTTTTGTATTTTTAGTAGAGACGGGATTTCACCATGTTGGTCAGGTTGGTCTCAAACTCCTGGCCTCAAGTGATCCACCCACCTCGGCCTCCCAAAGTACTAGGATTACAGGCGTGAGCTACTGCACCCAGCCAGGTTACACTCTTAATAGCAACAACTTCGTAAATTATCTGAAGCAGGCCCTGGTCTCTGACCAGGCTAAGGCTATTTGGACTGTGAAACATGCAACCCACAGTTAATCAGAAACTCTCTTTGAAATGTTAACAAAAGACCATGAGATGCACAGAGGAAGAAAAGGGAAAAAAAACTATTTTCAGAGGGAGAAACAATCTACAAATTGGGGAATGCAACCTCCCAGGAAAACCAAAAGGACATACTCCAAAAGGGAATAGGAAGCTGGTATTTATGCCTTACAGGGATACTCCAGGGTGTGCGTGGTTTGCTCCTGTCCTCAGCACATTTGATCATGTCACTGCCTGCAATTCTGTCATCTTTGCTCCAAGACAGATAGATTTGGATCCCTTTTTTCCTTTTTCCTCAGCAAGTTCAGAAAAAGAGAAAAGTGTTGCTTGGCTATTTCATTACACACCAAAGTACAAAATGGGGAGGAAGTGTTTCCTGCATACACCATGGGCCCTAAAAAAGAAACTCACCATTGCCCTTCCCTTCCCTCTTCTGTCCCCTGGAGCTTGGCTCCCCTCTCACTTCCTTGGGACCTTGTTATAGTTGACTCCTAAAATTGCCGCCGCCATACACACACGCCCACATGGATCAGGGGAATCTGTGTTTAGAAATCATCATGAGGCTGGGCGCGGTGGCTCACGCCTGTAATCCCAGCACTTTGGGAGGCCGAGGCGGGTGGATCACTTGAGGTCAGGAGCTCAAGACCAGCCTGACCAACATGATGAAACCCTATCTGTACCAAAAATATAAAAATTAGCTGGGTTATATTTAGCAGGCTTAAAGGAATCTGTGAATATTCATGAGGGAAGTCAAGCATGTGTGCAGTGGGTAAACATATATGTAACATGCATTCCATGTTCACTTTGGGGTGGGGTTTTAGCATTAAAGTAAGGTGAATTTGGCTCTTTGCATCAAAAAGGTGAACTACAGGGCACAAAGACAGTTTGTGTACAGTCTCTATAAGCTGGCCAAAACTGGCTGGCTTGAGGTCTATGGCTATTTATCAGGAAAGAAAGTAAGGCCAATTCTCTGTCCCATCAGAATTGTGGCAGGACCATGGTGGGCAGCCAGCAGATCGGTCGGCTGGTGTCAAGTAGTAGTCTATCAGGGTCAACAGGAAATTTCCAGCTGTAGTTTCTGTGATGTTTTTCAGGACCTGGTTTCTGCTTACAGGAAAGAAAACCTTATGGTAGTTAGTAACACAGGGATACATGACCAAGCCCTCATCTTGCTGTGGCCGTTAGATTCTGGTTTTGGTATGTCTCATTTTAGCCACAGGGAGTCTGCTGGGGTATATTTCAACTCTAGGGCTCCAGATTTTTCATTCTATGTTGCTACTGCTAAAGACAATGTTTCCATAAATCAGCCTGATGTGATTAATCAGGGTTAACGTTTGATGACGGCTGGAATACAATGCATTCCCATTGTAAGTTTCCAAATCTGATGCTTATCTGTGAAAACACACTTTTTCATTTTATCATTATCATATCAGGAAGCTCTAACCAAAGCCTCAAATTCTTGAACTACAGAAGGTCTAGGAAGCTTTGAAACAGGCAAAATTTTGTGTGCACTTTTTAAAGGGATAAAGACCCTGAAATTTCATATGGGTCTCAAGAGGGTCTGTCACCCCAAAAGGTTAACAGTCATTGTAATTGTATTTTTCCTACATCAGGCCCTATTTGTGATCATTTGTTGAATAATTTCTGACACCTATTCTAGATGTTGGTCCAGGTGGGTATGTCCTCTAGAAGGCTGGATATAAGGGTCTAAAACAGAGCTCAAGAGAAAGATTTGAGTACAAAAAGACAATTCAATAAATCATAAACATATACATGTTAAAGCAGTGGAAGTAAAGATCCTTCCTCCTATAGCATACAGTACTACCGTGAAAAGGAAACAAACTAGACTAGGGAACATATATATGAGAAGCCTAGGCTGATGAAAAGGAGCCAGGGAGGCCGGAAATAAAGGAGAACTTGAATCACGAAGTGCTTCGCTAGAGGAAAAAAAAAAAACTGTCCGAAGTGTCTACTGGGTTTGGCCACTAGGAGGACCCAGAACACTTTACCAGACAATTCCAGAGAATTAGTTGGGGGAGACTCACTGCGTCAAAAATTTAAGAATGGAAGGTGAGGACAGTAAATCTAGCATAAGCAGCTTGCCTTAAGCTTCTTGAAATCAAAGAAGCAGGCAAGATGACAGCTGTGAGCCCACTGGGTACAAAAGCAGTTTGGGTCATTACTTTAGTGAGGCTCCGTTGGCTGCAAATTTCAAGAGAAAGAGATGGACTTTTCAGAGAAGAGTAAGAGAAGGGAGGACCAAGCTGGGGTGTGGGGAGGGGGCTGATCCTCCATGTTATAAACGCACTTTCAGAAAGACACTGAAAAGTGCCTTAAAAACAAAAAACTTTGAGCTTGCCAAATACCCATGGCCTTTCCTACCACTTATCTTCTCACAACCCCCAAATGCTTTACAAAAAAAAAAAGTTGGCAGAAGGGGTATAGCTCAGTGGTAGAGCATTTGACTGCAGATCAAAAAAAAAAAGTTTCCCCCGAGTTTAGAATAAAGAATCTTCACAAAAGTTAAACCTCTTCAAAGTAGCGTCAGCCTTAGATATTACGTCCAAGACATCATTTGACGCACCCAGACCCCCGCTCAGAGCACATCCTTGACTCACCAGCCTCTCTCTGACTCTGTCCTTGCGGAGGGACCGCCTCACAGGACAGAGCCCCACTGGCCCCAGGAGCCTTGCGAGCTGGTCCTGCGGGGCTGCTCTGCCAGACCAGGTCGGAAAGGAGGGGCCAGCCAGAGCCCTAAGCCAGGGCAGCCACAGACACAGCCTGTAGCCCCACTGCTGTCCGCTGACCCCGCCATTCTCACCACCTGACCTCTAGGAACACGCCCACAGGTCAAAGGCCTTTCCAGAAACCTCTGACCCTGCCAGACCCCGCCCCCAGGTCCTCAGAGGCCACGCCCCTTCCTGTGGCCTCGCACGGCCTCGCCCTTTCCCGAGGCCTGCGCGGGGGAAGGGGTGGTGTCCTTTATCTGGGGGGTGTCCTTTATCTGGGTACTGAGCTCCGAGTGCCATTTCAGTGCCCACTGAGCAAGAGAGGCTGCTCGATGCTTTCCAAAGGCCCATTCTGGGCACTGGGGATAGAGAAGTGGAAAAGCAAAGTTCTTTCCTTCAAGGACCTTCTATACCATGGGGGAGACAGACCACGAACTGATACCCAAATTAAATCTCTTAACGGGTGGTAGTGATGTGGGGCAGGTGAGCCCCAAAGTGGAGCTTAGCCCACGAGAGTTCTTGGCTTTGCCCAGGAAAGAATTCAACGGCAAGCCAGAGGTAGAAGAAAACAGCTTTCTTGAAGAGGCAGAGCAGGGCTACCCCATTGACAGTGGGTAGCAGCTCAGGGCAGTTTTGCAGTCATGTTTATTACTACTTTTAATTACATGTAGATTAAGGGGAGGTTTATGCAGACACTTCCAGAGAAGGAGTAGTAACTTTGGGGTCATTGGGTCATTACCATGGAAAGGGGCCCTAACGCCAGGGTGTTGTCATAGCAACTGCAAACCGACGTAGCACCCTGGTGGGCTGATTGAAAGCTACTTTGGCCCTGGCCCTGTTTTAGCCAGTCCTCAATCTGGTCCGGTGTCCGACGCCTGCGTCTGGAGTCAAGTCCCACCTTTTACCTCAGTGATAAGTGCTCTAAAGAAAAATAAAACAGGGCTGGGCGTGGTAGCTCACGCCTGTAATCCCAGCACTTTGGGAGGCAGAGGCGGGAGGATAACTTGAGGTCAGGGATCGGAAAGCAGCCTGGCCAACATGGTGGAACGCTGTCTCTACTAAAAATACAAAAATTAGTCGGGCGTGGTGGTGCATACCTGTAATCCAAGCTACTCGGGAGGCTAAGGCAGGAGAATCGCTTGAACCCAGGGGACGAAGGTTGCAGTGAGCAGAGATCGCACCATTGCACTCCAGCCTGGGCTACAAAGCAAGACTCCATCTCAAAAAGAAAAAAAAAGAAAAAGAAAAAGAAAAAAGAAAGAAAACAGGCTAAGGAGGAAGAGAATGAGAACGCAAATCCTTCGTAGTAGTCATGAAGGCCTCTTGGAGTGGGCTGCAGTGAGCCGAGACTGCGCCCCTGCACTCCAGCCTGGGCAACAAAGCAAGACTGTCGAAAGAAAGGGAAGGAAGGGAGGGAGGGAGGGAGGGAGGAAGGGAGGAACCTCTTGGGAAGATTGCTTGAGGCCAGGAATTCCAGACTAGCCCGAGCAGCACAGCAGTGAAACAAGAAGAACTCTTTTGGATAAGGTAATCTTTGATCAGTCTTGAAAGGAATGAGGGTAGAAACTACTAGGTATTGGTACCTTCCAGGCAGAAGGACCAACAAGCACGAATGTACTGGGGCCGTCAGTGTGACTGAAGCAGAGGGAGCTGGGGAGAGGGTCATGGCAGTGGGGAATATGCTCGCTCCTCTGCCCTCGGATGGAGTGAGGCTGCTGTGTTCTTCTAGACCTGGTAAGGACTGGACATACCTACAGGCTGGACAGTGTGACACAGAAGCCATATGACTTCCCGTGTGTGCGCTTCAGTCATCCACATAACCAGCAATCAAACAGGCAAGACGGTGTTGGTGCAACAGTTACATTGTACTAAGAAGCAGGCAGCTTTTTCAACCATGTAAGATAATTATTTTTAGAATTACCAGATATTATACAAAATGCCCAGTTAAATTTCAGATAAGCAACAAACTTTTTAGTATGCATATATCCTATGCAAAAATTATGTGTTATTTATCTAAAGTTAAACTGGGTGTTACTTGTATTTTCATTTGCTGAATCTGGCAAATCTAATATTGGAGTCAAAATGCCAAGTTTGGAAACTTAAGAGCAGTGCTGTGCCAAACTATATTGAAGCCTGAGGCAAAATGAAAAACGTATGCTTCTTACGTACGTTTTCGTGTTTTTGTTAATTTTTACACATTAAATTGGTTGACAATATTGAAAGTTGGTATATTAAAACTCATATTAAGTTTAAATATTTTATACCAATGACTTTAATGGAAGTAAACTGATCAATAAAATTGTCAAAATCTACTCTTCTTAAGTGACGATCTTAAATAATGTTCTTTTTTTTAGACGGAGTCTCGCTCTGTCGCCCAGGCTGGAGTGCAGTGGCGCAATCTCGGCTCACTGCAAGCTCCACCTCCCGGGTTCACGCCATTCTCCTGCCTCAGCCTCCCAAGCAGCTGGGACTACAGGCGCCCGCCACTACGCCCGGCTAATTTTTTGTATTTTCAGTAGAGACGGGGTTTCACCGCGTTAGCCAGGATGGTCTCAATCTCCTGACCTCCTGATCCGCCCACCTCACCCTCCCAAAGTGCTGGGATTACAGGCGTGAGCCACCGCGCCTCTTAAATAATTCTTAATTAACTTCAGGATTTTGCAGGATACCATGGTGCATTGGTCTGTTCTTGCATTGCCATAAAGAAATACCTGAAAATGGGTAATTTATAAAGAAAAGAGGTTTATTGGCTCATGGTTCTACAGGCTGTACAGGAAGTGTAGTGGCTTCCATTTCTGGAGAGGCCTCAGGAAACTATGAATCATGGCTAAAGGCAAAGGGGAAGCAAGCACATCTTACATGGCTGGAGAAGGAGCAAGAGCAAGAGAACGAGACAGTGAGAGAGACAGAGAGAGAGAGAGAGAGGAGGTGCTACATTTTCTTTTTGAGACAGGTCTCTGTCACCCAGGCTGGTGTGCAGTGACACAGTCTTGGCTCACTGCAGCCTCCACTTCCCGGGCTCAGGCAATTCTCCAACCTCAGCCTCCTGAGTAGCTGGGACTACAGGAGTGAGCCACTATGCCCAGTTAATTTTTGTAGTTTTTGTAGGGATGAGGTTTCACCATATTGCCTAGGCTGGTCTTGAACTCCTGAGCTCAAAGCAATCCGCCCGCCTCAGCCTCCCAAAGTGTATACACACTTTTAAACAACCGGATCTCACAATAACTCACTATCAAGAGAACAGCACCAAGGGAATGGTGCTAAACCATTCATGAAGGACCGCCTCCATTATATGATCTAATCACCGACTACCAGGCCCATGACCAACACTGAAGATTACAATTTGACATGAGATTTGGTGGGGACACAGATCCAAACTATATCACACTGTGACTGGTATTGTTTTAAAAAAATTATCAGGACCATTTTGAAATTTGGGTAAGGCTGCCCGAAGAAAAATTTGCAAATCCGTTTTAGAGGATACAAACATCATGATTTTATATTACAAATGTGAACAAAAGTTCCCTGGAAGAAAGAGACTTTATTCCAGTGAATAGTTTGCAAACTAGGGAGTCCAACACAGCCTTCAATGTAAAAGGAAGGTGCGGTCCAAAGAACAAAGGAAGGGTTCTAGCTTTATAGCAAAAGTTCCTGCCCTGGTTCCCAATCAGGTGCACTGATACAAATGAGATGGAAACACAGTTCTGATTGGTTGATACAACTGAGCAGCAAGGGAGGTGGGCTCTGATTGGCTGGTTCAGGTGAGCTCTGAAAGTTCCAAAGTTAAAGAGGTGTGGGTTTTCAGGGAACTCAAAATAGGTGTGTGGCCTCTAGTCACCAAATGGCTTCTTGGCTCTGCTTTAAATTTAGGCCCACTCAGCCACTTAAGATCCATCTTGAAGGACTGGCTCTTTCAGGGTCACATTTGTTCATGCAAACTATTGATATTGCATGCTATTTACCACTATTTCAGATGAAATTGCCACAGGATATAAATCATTGGACTATTTAAGAGGTAAGTCAAGGCCATGGCTGCTTTTTGTTAATCAGATGTATTCGTAGAAAATTTCTCCAAGTAAAAATACAAAAATACTTCATTTGATTTTTCATATCTCCATCTCTAGGACATCTGTAATCTCTTTAATTTCTATTCGACGAACACTTTTCCCACAATAATTGATATACTCATTCAGTAATTTGTATATTTCTGATTTTTCTTTAAGTATATTTATATCTCTTTTAAAGTTTTACATTAACGAAACATAACTTTAAGTTACTTTCTCTCATTTGTTATAAGCAAACGAATAGGCCTTTTCTTAAGCATGCAGCTTTGTATATAGTCTTTTTTTTCATAAACCTTTTTCTACTATATTTAGTTCAAAATGCCATGCCACATAGACAAGTTACATGAAAATTTGTAATCTGTTCACACAAAGATGGTTCCTATTTCAGGATATTGTATTTTGTCATTTTATGTTCTTTTAATATTTGACAAACATCTTTGTGTAAAGTACCTTGATCATATTTGACTTTGATGCCTCTCAGGATTTGTTTTTAATGTAGTTTTTAGAACAAGCATAACATTCCACTGCTCAATGAATTCATAAAAGATTATGTATCATTTGTACACACTAAAAAGGTTATATTTTAATTCATAGAAGCAGCATTTTTGCACAGATTATGAACTTATTTGGCATAACCATTTTGGGGGAAAATAATGGCTTTTCCACCCTTATATACACACCTGCTGTATTTGTCCAATTATATCCATGGCCTCAAAGATATTTTATGTCAATATCTTTTTTCAATTTATTAATAATTTCATAAGAGCCTATATCTCTTTTCTCAAAATAAAAAACTTCTAGTGTTATGACATTATTCTTATGCAAACATACTTAATAATCAGATACATTTGTTCATGATGGGCTATATCTGATGTACAAAGAGTAAGGAAAAGTATTTTGCTTTAGTCTCAATAGTATATCAGATCTAACATGATTTCCTAGTAGTTTTATGTGTTCTCCCAAAATTCATATGCTAAAGTCCTAACCCAATATGTGACTGTATTTGGCAACAGGGCATTAAAGACATAATTAAAGTAAAATGAGTTCATATGTGCAGGCTTTAATCCGATATGACATAGACAACACATAGACCAAGAGGTGACATAGACAACACACAGACCAAGCCAGGCAGTGAGGCCTCAGAAGAAACACAACCTGTTGACACCTTGATCCTAGACTTCTAGCCTCTGGAACAGTAAGAAAACAAATTCCTTTTGTTTGATCCACCCAGTGTGTGGTATTTTGTTATTGTAGCCCTATCAAATTATATACATTATAAATTCATTTTGAATTCTATTAGACAAATAAGACACAAATTCCTTTTTATGATTAGCTACATCAACATTATAGTGACTAATTCAACGAAATTAAGAAACATAACATTTGTGTTTTTCACTTTTAGAAGCAACTTACTATGGCTACTAAAATAATGTCCAAAGCATAACTGACCGGCAGTTGGGAGACAAAAGGGTATATGATACTTAATTCTATGTGTCAACTTGGCTAGACAATAGTGATCATTTGTTTGGTAAAATTCTAGTTTAGATCTTCATCTCACCATCTTAGTTTTAACCAAACAAAAAAATTTATGTTGCCAGGCAAACAAGAGAGGACTATACAAAATATAACTATCAAAAAATGGCAAAGGCAGGGGGAGGTACCATGGGAGATAGTGAATATAAACTAAATGATCATCTCTCAAATTTCTGAAGTGGAAAAATCAAGGAACAGCATTTTATAAGCATTTAATAGGCAGAAAAATTTAAAATAATTTGAAAAGGTTCCTCTAGGAAGGGGGACTAGGAGTTGGCAGTAAGGTGGGACAGCAACTATTTAGGGTAATTTCCTTTGTCCCTTATTTTTTAAGCCACGTGCATGTATTTTAAACTAGGATAGCACAGTAAACAAATTCCTGCTCATACTTCAAGACCCAGCTCCAACGGTGCCTACTGTAGTGCCAACTTCTTGGTTAAAGTAGACCTTCACTCTACTGTGCTCCTCAAGCACATTCTCTGTTACCAGACTTCTCACATTTCACACACCTATTTATGAGTCCCTTCCATTGCTCAGAATTCTTTAAAGATAAAGACAGTCTTTATGTTTCCCCATCAAATCTTTAATAACTGTTAAATGCATGAAAATATAAATTTTGTTTTAGAGCAAAGGCTTTTGGAAGCTGCCACAGTTTCATTCCCAGGTCCTCCACTTACCAGCAATGAGACTTCATGTGACCTCAGGTATATTACCTAACCTTTCTGACGTTCTGCTTCTTATGTATTCGTTCTGAAGAGTTGCTGAATGCAGTAATAGACTGTAACATCCCTAGCACAGTACCAAATGCATAATGAAACGCTCAATAACTCTTTACTGCCCTAGTGAACATATTAATGCCAAGCTCAATTAATAAGGATTGCTGAAAGCAGTGCCCTGGCTCTAAGACAGAAGTTATCTCATGCTTGTTCCCAGGACCATGCTGGGATTGATAGGCAGACATCAACATATAATAAGATTCTTTAACGGCTGATTCCATGCTTAATGTCAGAAATGCTCAAGATGAGTGTGAAGCGTCTTGTTATACTAGGTAACAAAAGAAGATATGAAAGATAAGGTTTTCTGTATCAGTATAGGAAAAATGATTTTTTAAAAAATGAATAGGCCACTTCTACTTCCAAGATAGAGTAGCTTATGGTAGACCAATTTTCATTCCTAGAATAAAGCTGAATAAAATCTCTTAAAATTGTTGGAAGACATCAGTCAATTGCTGAAGCAAAAAGAGTTTGAGCATCAAGATCCTGAAGAAGGATAAATCTTGTGGGTGAGCCAAAAGTCTGTAGTCTCTTTTATCCTTAAACAATTTACTGGCCGGGCGTGGTGGCTCATGCCTATAATCCCAGCACTTTGGGAGGCCGAGGCGGACAGATCACGAGGTCAGGAGATTGAGACCATCCTGACTAACACAGTGAACCCCCATCTCTACTAAAAAATACAAAAAATTAGCCGGGCGTGGTGGTGGGCACCTGTAGTCCCGGCTACTCGGGAGGCTGAGGCAGGAGAATGGCGTGAACCCGGGAGGCGGAGCTTGCAGTGAGCCGAGATTGCACCACTGTACTCCAACCTGGGTGACAGAGCCAGACTCCACCTCAAAATAATAATAATAATAATAATAATAATAATTATTATTATTATTATTATTATTTACTGATTGTAGCCATGGGGTAAGAATGAGGATCCAGAGCAATGGGCAACTACTAAGAGGCAGAGAAACCAAAATAATTTTTGACAGTGTCAAGGGGCATTGAAAAACCAAAATTAGCCAGTAGTTTCTCAGAATATTGAATAAGAGGGAGGAGTGGAGAACTTGGCCACTCAGCCTGTTTACCCACTGAGGCATTTTCTGAATTCTGACGCTGTGCAGAATGCAAGGCTAAGAAGGTAAGCAAAAAATATCTGCTTAGATTCAAAAATTCAAATTCTTTGAAAAGGAGGATAAATTTTTTGGGCTGAGTCTGGTACTGAGAAGACAAGAATTAGAGTTGAGGAACTGCCAGTGGAAACAGATCCAGTGAACACACTAGGCTCTCAATTAGAAAATCCTGGAGGACTACATCCTATAAGGGGGGAAATAAGGGTAAACCAGAGATAGAGTCTTAAGAAAACTACCACCCAGTCTTAATTTTAAGTCAGCTCAGATCCTTACTGGATTAAGGTGATTGATCCCCACTCTGCATAGTAGAGGAAAGGGTGAGCCCTTTGTGCAGGAGGTTATCCATCCAGAGGCTCTACAATTTGTCATACACATTCAATCAAAAATTGCCAGGCATATCAACAGAGTGGACCAAATGACCAGAAACTAAGGAGGGAAAAAGACAATAGAAAGAGAGCCATAGAAAATCGAAATCATGGCGTTATCGGACAAAAAAATTCACATAACTGATTTATCAGTCCGAGAAAAACACAGAGAAAACAGAAGACAGATTCTCCAGAGAGTTAAAATCCATTAAAAGGACATGAATGGGCCAACCGTGGTGGCTCACGCCTGTAATCCCAACATTTTGGGAGGCTGAGGCAGGTGGATCACTTGAGGTCAGGAGTTTGCGACCAGCCTGGCCAACATGACAAAACCCCATCTCTACTAAAAATACAAAAATTAGCTGGGTGTGGTGGTGCGTGCCTCTAATCCCAACTACTTGGGAGGCTGAGGTGGGAAAATTGCTTTAATCTGGGAGACAGAGGGTGCAGTGAGCTGAGATCCCGCCACTGCACTCGAGCCTGGGTGACAGAGAAAGACTCCGTCTCAAGGAAAAAAAAAAAAAAAAAAGACATGAATGGATATTTTAGAACTGAGAAATATAAGAAAAATGAAATTAAGAACTCAGTAGATGGGTTTAGCAGCAAAAGTAATAAATGAATTGCAAGACAGATCAGTATAAAATATCTAGTCTGAAACACAAAGAAAAAAGCATGAGAGACACAAGAACTGGAGATATATAGAGCACTATGAAAAGTTCTAACATTCAGATTACTGAAGTCTCAGAGCAGATAGAGAAAAAATGGGACAGAAACAATAGTTGAAGATATAATGTCTGAGAAATTTCCAAAATTGATCAGACATCAACCCAGAAATTCAAGAAGCTAAATGCCAAGCAAGAAAAGAAAAAGAAACCCATACTAAGTACACCATAGTAAAACTACTGAAAACCAAAAAGAAAAAAATCTTTAAAGCAGCCAGGTGAAGGCAAAATCACCTTCAAAGGAACAACAAAGGACCAGATAGCGACTTTTCAACAGAAATGGTATAAGCCAGAAAACAAAGAATTACATCTTTAAAGTCCTTAAACAGACTCCTGTATGCACTTGATAGAAGACAGAATTAGTGAACTTTGTACAAAACAGCTATAAAGTTCTCCCCAAATATAGCATATATATAAAAATATGAAAGACAGATTAAGAGATAATATCATGATATGATCCAACTTACATTTAATCAGTTACAGAAGAAACAGACAATGCTGAAAGAAAAAATCATTTAATTTTCCACAATTGATTAAGGATACCATTGTACAAATTCAAGAATCCAAAAAAGTCTCAAACAGGAAAAGAAAAAACCTACAAACAAACCACCTAGTGTGCCAGTCACGTTTCTATTCTCAGCTGCAAGCTCATCCTTGTAGTCTCTACTGTTCTACTGTAGCTGCCACTCTGTAAACTACATTTCCCAGATTCCCTTATCAGCTGGCTTCCTGTTAGGGTCTACCAATGGAAGCCACTAGAGGGAGATTAGACGGCAGTAGATAGCAATTGCCCTAGACCCAGTGGTTTTTTGCATGAGACAATTTTATATATTAAGCCCCTGAGATTTAAGGATTATTACTACAGAAAAAGCCCATCCTATCCTAATAAAATATGCAAAAAATTAAAAGTAGAACTTTACACTTCATACCACGTATAAAGATAAACCTAAATGACAAAGACTATATAGCTTTCAGAAGAGAACACAGGAAACATCCTCATGATCTTGGGGTATAGAAGGATTTCTCAAATAAGACATAAAAAACATAAATCAAAAAGAAAAAGCTTGATAGATTTGACATAAAAATTAAAAGCTCCTGTTTATCAAAAGACAGAACTAAAATAGTGAAAAGACAAGCCACAGAAGATATTTGCAAAATATATAACAAAGAACTTGTGTACATATTTTAAAATTTGTATGAATAAGAACACTTGAAGAAACCTAATAACTAATAAACATGAAAAGTTGTTCAACATTATCAGTAATGTTCAAATAGACACTATACATGTACTGTCTTAGGTAGAGCTGCTATAATAAAATACCATACATTGAATTAAAAACATTTATTTCTCATGGTTATGGGAACTGGAAAGTCCGAGATCAAGATGCTAGTAGGTTTGTTTCTGGTAAGGGCCCCCTGGTTCATAGACAGGCATCTTCTTGCTGTGTGTTCGCATGGCAGAAAGAGGGCTGGGATCTCTTCATAAGGGCACTAATCCCACTCACGTGGGCTCCATGCTTACGACCTCCCAAGGGCTCCGCATCCTAATATCATCACATTGGGGGTTAAGATTTCAACATATGGGCCGGGCGCGGTGGCTCACGCCTGTAATCCCAGCACTTTGGGAGGCCGAGGCGGGCGGATCACGAGGTCAGGAGATCGAGACCATCCCGGCTAAAACGGTGAAACCCCGTCTCTACTAAAAATACAAAAAATTAGCCGGGCGTAGTGGCGGGCGCCTGTAGTCCCAGCTACTTGGGAGGCTGAGGCAGGAGAATGGCGTGAACCCGGGAGGCGGAGCTTGCAGTGAGCCGAGATCCCGCCACTGCACTCCAGCCTGGGCGACAGAGCGAGACTCCGTCTCAAAAAAAAAAAAAAAAAAAAAGATTTCAACATATGAATCTGGTGGGGGGACACAAACATTTAGTCCGTAACATGTACCAAGCTAGCTAAAATTCAAAAGTATGAAAATACTAAATACTGGAAAAGATTGGGGTAATAACTCTCATTTACTCCTGGTGAGAATGTGTATAACCACCTTGGAATACATTATTTAGTAAAGTTGGAACACCATTAAGACTCCACATTTCCACTCCTAGATATATATCCTACAGAAATATGTGTTTATATGTGCACCAGGAATCATGTATAAAAATGTTTATCACAGCATTATTCACAATATACAAAGACTGAAATCAATTCCAGTGTTTATCAGCAGCATGCTGCCTGTATTATGGTACAGTCCTACAATAAGCATTAACAAAACTGAATGTACTATAAAGATTAAAACAAATTACAGCTACACAAGCAACACGGATGAATCTTAAAACAATGTTGAACAAAAGAAGCCACATACCCAAAAATATTTACTCTCATTCTATTAGTAAAAGTTCAAAATCAGGGAAAACAGAATAACTACTTATTTAGGGATCTAATCATAGATGGTAAAACTATAAAGACAAGCAAAGGAATGAGTACCACACATCATGAGACAATGATTTATCTCCAAAGTGCTGGGGGCAGTGAAGGAGATGTGATCTAGGAGGGGTTCCCAAGGGGCTCCTGAGGTACTGACTTGAAAACGTTCTCTTTTCTAACTTGGTGTTGACACAGGTGCTCCTGCTCACCTTCATATTTTTTTAAGTATACATCTGTGTATCATGAACAATTCTTATCTCAAAATTTAAAAATGAAGTACACATTATAACAGCATTACAATCATGAACACATGTGCTATGTTCTCTGGGAGACAAAGAGAAACTATTTACCCTACTTTCCAGAAAAGGACACTGACACTTAGAGGGAACACAAGTGTTGAAACCAGGTCTGAAATCCAAGACCCAAGATGCTTTTTTGCTGCTAAAGCATTCATTATCCAGACTCTGCCTGCATGAAGGTGATGCATAGGAAATGATGAACCTGGTAAAAGCTTCCAGTCTTAAAAATACTCCAAGTAAGGCTCTTTAAGGCTTCTGGTAGGGACATTTTATTTTTTGGTAAAGCCACAATAGATAGAAATGCCATAAAAACAAACATGTAAACAAGGTATCAGAACTTTGGTTCACTGAAACATCTCACACCTAAAACACCTGAGGTACAAAGGCACCTTGCTAGGCGCTAGACAGCTAACTCTGCTGCAGCCACTTTGATCCTAGCCTTGGGGCCAGGGATGGCACAGGCTGAATGGAAGGGCTGGGACTTCAGTCACACAGGAGTCGCCCTAGTATGGTCTCCCTCTGCTCCAGACAAACATTCATTTCTCCAAAAATCAGCCTGATAGGAACATACAAAGGAACATACAAAGGTGTCTGTCACGTTGACATGGGCTGAAGGACCAGGAAGGGGAAGGACAGAAAAGGATGTCAGTCAACTTCTGTTGATCCACAAGGTCTCAAGAACTCCTGTCCTCGTTCATGGAACCACTTATTGGAGACTGTGAAAAGAAAGCAAGCATGTTACAATCCTATTGGTCAGTTTAGTAGCCTGAATGAATGACTCCTTCATGATGACCCCCTGCACTGTGCCCTGGAATCAGACACAAATAAGACAAGACATGATCTCAGGCCTCAATTTGCTGAAGAATTGGTAAGGAAGACACATGTAAACAGATAATTGTATGAAATTCTGCCAGTGGGACAAGATACATGTGTGCAGGTTGCCATGGGAATAGCACCCAAGGGCATCTAATCATGCCCTTTCATGCCCATGACCTTTGATGCCCTTTGGCTCTATTCCCATGGCAACCTGCACACATGTTTCTTGCTCTTAGAGGGAAGAGGAAATCCTAGGGCTAGAATATAAAGCTACATAGAAGTTATCCTGGGAAGAAGATGGGCATACCCAGATGGTTCTCTCACCAAGAGGGTCCCAGGAGTGACAACAGGATGAGAAAGTAATCAAGGCAGAAGCCACCCTGACGTGTGTTGGGGACTCAAGAGGCCTAATATTACTGGGAGGTGGCAGGTAGAAACTGAGAGGTAGGGTGTGAGGATGAGGAAGACTGTCAGCATTGCAGAGGGCTTGGACATTAACCTCAGGAGCCGTGGACCAGCAGATCCAGTCTGTATGCCATGGGCACAAGAGCAACAGAGCTGCTGCCAGCACTATCACCCCACGCCATATCTTCAAACACACAGGAACCATGATTCTGTTCCTCACAGACTCTCTCATAATGAATAAAAATTTTATTTCAATGCACTACTGAAGTCACAGAGCTTTTAAAATATAAAGTAATAACATGTACTTCATTGAAAAAAATAAAATTGTCGCAAGGCTTATAATGATAAATAGCACTCCTCCTAAGCCTCTCCTTCCCATCCCTAATCTCCACTCCCAGGGAACATTAAACTCCTCTAGCTGTTTCTTCTGATATTTAACCTCATTTTTCTAGATAAGATGCTTATAGTTCTATTCCTTGACTTTCAACTTTGGAATTCTTTTATTCTACCCCTAAAACACAAACTCATCCCCTCCCACCTTTCCAGTACAGGTAAATCATAAGTTTTAGTTAAAGTAATACTCAGTGTGTACATAATTATATCATGTGTTACACCTGAGCCATCTAGTAGATTATACTTACATTTCCTTTCTTGTACAACTTTTTTTCCCCTGAATTCAGCAACTGCCTTGTTTTCTTTTCCATTTGCTTAATTATCTGCAAACCTATCACTATTTATCTTCAAAACTCTCCAAGGGGGCTACACACTCATCTCCTTACAAACACTTCCTGTCATATCCTGGTTTGAGCCTCTCCGAGGCTCACCACAACTGCTCCCAGGATAAGGCTCAAGCTTGAGCCTCTGCAGTTTGGTCCCAGCCTCCAGCCTCATCTTCTGGCCCCTGTGCCACAGGCCTCCCTTTCTTCAAGTGACAAGGGAGCCAGCCCCCACACCCGTATGCTGGTTTTAGCCTGTGCCTCCATCCATATGGGCCTTGTTTGCCTGAGACACTCTTTCCCCTCACTGCTTCCAGCTCTCCACTCTGCTCCCTCAGAAGCCTTGCCAGAGGGTCCTGGACCTATGGTGCTTATGCAGCTATTCGTCCTCAGGCCTTCTTCAGCTTCCTGTGTATCTCTGAGTGTTTCCAACCAGCTGCCTTGGCATTTACCAGCTGCATGGACATTACATGGCTGGATGGTAATAACAGCAGAAAAAAACCTAAGAAGGGAGACAGTCTCAGCAAATTTGGCAGCAGTTGCCTCCCAGCTCAGAATCTAAGGCCAATAAGCAAAGCCCAAGCTGAGGCCACCAACACCAACACTACCCCTTAAGACACTCACCCCACTTGCAGCCCACAAGCACAGGGCAGGCAGCATGTCTTGTTCGGTAGTCACCTTCCCCGCTCCGCAAGAGGTTGTACCAGAACACAGCTGTACCCTGGGAAAGAGATGGCCTTTCAGAACACATTCTTAAGAGACTGTGCTCAGGGACCTGACTGCAAGCATCACAGAAGCTCTGCCCTGAGCAGAAACACCCTCATTTTCCCATGGACAGGGGATAGGGCTCTGGGACTCCAGCAACAGAGACATTTCCCAGAAAGCACCTACCTTTCTGAGGTAGAAGTCTGGGAACTCACCCGCCCCTGAAGGGACTTCCCTCCCTGTCCTTTCTTCACAGGGAGAAGCTGGGCTACCAGGTCAGACCCCAGGTGGGCTAAGGCACATCACAGTGACAATCAGGCAGGCCAGGTAATGGTACTGGGGGACATGGACAAAGTAAAGTCTGAGCCTTGCTTCAACCTCTGACCCACAAGAATCAGAACTTACCTTCTTAGGCCAAATTGCAGCCCCCAGATCAGGGAAGACGGTGGCACCACCAGCTTCTACATCACTCATCTGGAAATATAAGACATAGAGCTTGACCCTCCTACCCAAGGCTCTCAGAGCAATTGAGCCACAAAGGACATGACAAGGTATATAGATTGCCCTCCTCTCAGCATGAGTGACACTACTTGGTGTCTGCTCCATGGCCAGCCCTTTAGCCAAGAAAGGCTCTTCCCATGCCTACTTAACCAGTGTGATTCATTAGAACAGTCTCCATGTCATGAGTGTTCAAGAGTTGAGGCCCACAGGAGACCCACATCCGGGCTGTCCCTGGATGAAAATAATCTGAGTCTGTACTCAGAAAATGCCTGTTCTGACCCCACCCTTTGAATCCCCATCTAGCCTTGGCCTTGCCTAAGCCACTGTACTCTGCAAAGTGCCCTGACCAGGAGCTCTGTACTGTTTCCAACACCATGTGCAGTCCCCACTGCAGCTCTGTTTCTCTGGCTCTAGTAGTTTGCTGCTCTAGTCAGACCTTCACCTTCCCAGAGTAGCCACCCTTCCTGGGGCCAACTGAGTGGAAGGGTGGGGCACTGTGTCTCTAGAGGCCCTGCTTTCTCCTATGGTAAGGCCTTAAACTACATTGAACACAAGTTCCACACTAGCAAGGCTGTACTCATGCCCACAGAGCATGCCTTGACTCATGGCCAAAGCACTACTTCTTTCCCATCTGGCTCTCTTACTTTTTTTGTCCATAATTTAATAAAAATTGGAGGTAAAAAATATTTCCACAGGACACATACCAGACTCACTGAAGGGTACTTGACAGACATATGGTAAATGAATAAGACAAAAGCTCTGATGGCTTCTCACAGCCCTGTGGATCAAACTCAGATTCTTTTCTAGAACCCCAAGGCCCTGTCAGTCTCACTAGCCTCTCTCCAGACACACCAGCCTTTTTCTACCTTTCCAACATCCCAAGTTCCTTTTCTCTTACAGGACTACATACACTCTCTCTTCTGCCAGAAACCATGTTCTACCAGCTAATTTCCACTCAACTTTTAAGTCTCAACTGATATGTTACTTCCAAAGAGAGGCCTCCACTGAACCCCAAGCCTGGGGTTCACAGCACCTGTCTCCATAACTACATAATAATCTCTCTGATGTTTAGGCTGGGCATGGTGGCTCACGCCTGTAATGCCAGCACTTTGGGAGGCCAAGGCGGGTGGATCACTTGAGGTCAGGAGCTTGAGACCAGTCTGGCCAAGATGGTGAAACCTCATCTCTACTAAAAATACAAAAATTAGCTGGGCATGGTGGTGCACGCCTATAATCCCAGCTACTTGGGAGGCTGAGGCAGGAGAATCGCTTGAACCTGGGAGGCAGAGTTTGCAGTAAGCTGAGATAGCGCCACTGCACTCCAGCCTGGGCAACAGAGGGAGAGTCTGTCTCAAAAAAAAAAAAAAAAAAAGATAAAGAAGAATCTCTCTGATGTTTAAAATAAGTCTCTCATATTGGACCTCAAGCACAAGAGAGACCACATATGTTCTGCTCACCAGCATGTACACAGCACAATCCCCAGCATGTAATAACCACACAATAAAAGCATAAAGGGAAAAAATGGACACAGGCTTCTGTCTCCAAGTTACTTTACTGCCTCTATGCCTCTTTAGAGCTGGCTCTCAGCAGAGGGGAGAGGAAACTGCTCCTCATGTGAAAGATAAACCCTACAACCTATGGATAAAACAGAGGCAAGAGGTGGGAATCAGGCCATTAAGCCTTGGAGAACACAAAGGCAGCTCTCATCTAGAGAGAGCTAAGGCTATCTCCTCACTCTGATGCCAAGGAGGGAACCCTCCAGGGCACCCATCCCAAAAGTCCAGACTAGCACTGGGCCCATCAAAAAGGAACCAGAATGGCAGGGCGCAGTGGCTCACGCCTGTAATCCCAGCACTTTGGGAGGCCGAGGGGGGCGGATCACCTGAGGTCGGGAGTTTGAGACCAGCCTGGCCAACATGGTGAAACCCTATCTCTACTAAAAATACAAAAATTAGCCAGGCGTTGTGGCTAGCGCCTATAATCCCAGCTGCTTGGAAGGCTGAGGTATGAGAATCACTCGAACCTGGGAGGCTGAGGTTGCAGTGAGCCGAGATCCCACCACTGCACTCCAGTCTGGGTGACAGAGCAAGACTCCATCTCCAAAAAAAAAAAAAAAAAAAAAAAGAAGAAGAAGAAGCCAGAATATGCTACAACATGGATAAACCTTGAGGACATTATGCACCAGCCACACAAAAAGACAAGTGTTAATACTTTGATTCCATTTATTTAAGTAACCAAAATCACAGCGACAGAAAGCAGAATGGTGGCTGCCAGGAGCTGCAGGAGGGGAATCTGGAATTATTGCTTAATGGGTAGAGTTTCAGTTTTAGATGATGAAAATAGATGGAAATGAATGGTGGTGATGCTTGCGCACTATGAATGTATTTAATACCACTGAACCGTACATTTAAAAAATGGTTAAGATGGTAAGTTTTATGTTATGTCTGTTTTATCACAATTTTAAACACTGGGGAAAAAAATAGGAGCCAGGAATGTTAAAGTCCTGCTGGTGGCAGTGGGGAAAATGAATAGAAACAGAGGCCAACTCTCCCTACTGCAGCCAAGAAGGGTGCTGAGAGCCAGAAGGACCTGACCATTACTTAACAGCAGATGAGATCAGCCCTGATGGGGGTGGGATATAAGGCAGCCCTCTGGACCCAGGGTCCCCTTAGGGCTCATCAGCACACATCATACTCACGTAGTTTAAGAAAGTAGCCACACGATTCCCCGTCCCTAAATGCTTGAAAGTATCTCGCTCATCATTCTACAAAATTAAGTGAGAATGAACAGGTGGGCCTGGACCCAGTACTTACGTAGTTAAGAAACGTCGCTAACCTATTCCCCTCTGTTTTGAGGCCGCTGTCAAAAGGTCGCTGCAACAGACAACAACTTTCACCCAAGTTTACAACAGGCTTCATCCACCACCCACAAGACTAGGACCAAAAGGGTCAGGGAAAAGTAATAAGTGTGTGTTCCATAAATCAGCCTGGAATATGTGCCAAAGCTGCAAAGTAAATTCTGGCTAGGGCATGGAGTAGACGGGGAAGAGGAAAAGGGACAAGAACAGTTTTCACAAAGACCTAGTGAGGCTCTTTGCTTTAGAATCAGGGCAAAGGGTGACAGAATTAGGGCAGGGGACGAACGCCCCACATCTACAGGGGAGACAGCCAGGCTCCACTGCATTCTGCAGGACCCTTGGTTCCAGATTTGGGATTCACCAGTAACGAAGAGTTTCCCCTGGTGATGCAGAGGTGGAGGGAGGACAAGGGGTGGGGGTACTGATGTGGAGGCTGAAATGCTCCTAGAAGCTCCACCCTTCTCAAATCAGCTAGAGCAGGGCCCTTTGAAAGCACCTGTGATTTAGGCCTTACCCTAGAGAAGTCGAAGTGCGGTTCATACTGTCCTCCCACTCCATAATTTGCAACCTGTGGGAAATAACAGCATTAGACCTTGTAAGCAGCATGAACAGCTCTGTAGCAGCCAATCACTCTAGGGATACCATCTTCCCAGGCCTGAAAACAACCAGAACTCCCAAGAGCAGCCTCTCTAAGGTGGAAGACAACCATGCCCTGGCAGCACAGGCAGAGCAAACATCACAAACAAGTCTACAGTTCTGTCCAAGAGTAAGGCTGCGGCACAAATGTGGTTTCCCAAACAAAACAAGATGGGTGAACTGCATATGATCACTGAGGAAAAGCACCAGCCCTTCATGGACACTCAGACAGCAGCAAAGGGAACACTGCTTGAGGCGGGCCCTGGCCTGGACCCAGTTTGTTTGGGACATATTAAGAAAGTAATCCAGAGGAAAGTGAGTAACAAATTTAAGACGAGGATTTTCTTTTTTAAACTAGTTTTGGAGGTACTCAGCACCTGGCACTGTTCCTACCACCTCTGCTATTCCTGGTGAGACTGAGTGGGGCAGACTCCCACAGTGGTCTACTGCATGGAGTGAAACAGCACAACATGGGTGGCCAGCTGCCAGGCAGTCAAGAATTACCGTGCTACATCAGCAACCCCAGTGTGACCCTGGACCTGAAGTAACATCTGAGCAACTACCAGGTGTCATAAATTGGATTAGAAATTGTAAATGCCTTTGTGGACAGCTTATCAGCACAATGGGAAGTCCTAAATCACAATTATTGTCTCAGCGTCAGTAGACAGAATGAGAGACAAGGTTAAAGATGAAGCACAGAATCTGACATGGAAGCTGATGGATCAAGTAGCACCACCAATGTCCATCTGGGAACAGTTGGCTATTGTGTCTCACTGAAAACATAAAAACCTCTGGGGCTAGGCCATAAGTTCTCAGAAAGTTGGTATTTTTTGTATATCCTTTTCTGCAATCCCAACAGTCAGGTGAGAGATGCTACAAAACTAGCAATAACAGAGACCTATAAAAACGTGGGACAGAAGCCAGGCGTGTTGGCTCACGCCTGTAATCCCAGCACTTTGGGAGGCTGAAGTGAGAGGACTGCTTGAGCTCAGAAGTTTGAGACCAGCCTGGGCAACATAGCAAGACCCCATCTGTCTCTACTAATGAAAAAATTAGCTGGGCACAGTGGCGTGCACCTGTAGTCCCAGCTACTCAGGAAGCTGAGGCAGGAGGATTGCTTGAGCACAGGAGTTCAAGGTTGCACTGAGCTATGACTGTGCCACTGCACTCCAGCCTGGGCAACAGAGTGAGACCCTGTTTCACATACACACAAAAAAAGAAATGCAAGAAAGAAAGGGACAGTGGACTTTATAAGAGATGAAATCCTCTTATTAGAGCACAAAATGTTGGCAGTATCATTTTCCATGTCTACAAAAATAAAAATTTTAATACAAAGCATGGATGAAAACATGTTGTCATCCATTGCTTCAGCCTTTAAGATTCCTGTACCAAAAATACCTGGAAATCCTGTCAACAGCACAAGGAAGCCTGGTTCAGCAGGTGGCCCTAAGGCTGGAGATGCATCTAAGGAGAGAAGTGCCAGAGCAGCTGAGAAAGCATATCTCTTTTTGTAGTCAAGAGCTTGAAGAAAATTTTTTTCTCTCTCCTTTTTTTTGGGGGGAGTGGGGGTAGAGACAGAGTCTCACTATGTTGCCCAGACTGGTCTCAAACTCCTGGCTTCGAGCAATCCTCCTGCCTTGGTCTCCCCAAGTACTGAGTTACAGATGTAAGCCACGACACCTGGCATGGAAGAAAATTTTAAACACAACTGTGACTGCTGTGCAGGTACACTCAGGAAAATTCAATTAGTGCTTGTTGCTGGAGCTGCAAAGTATGACTGCATTTTCCAATACTTCCACTTGTTAAATGGATTGCTTAAATTTACAAATCCCAGGCAGTGAAAGAAGCTGCATTGCGAGAGCTGGCTCATCTTTTAGGTTTGGAGAATTATATTTGATTATGGTTCTGAAGCCACCGTACCTACTTTCTTTAATACAGTTCCCAAATAAGTACAAAATGCATAGGACCATCTAGATTTGCAGCAGTAAGATTCCCTATCCAGGCATACTCAAGTCCCCAGGCTCACGCCTTTAATAACAAGAAACTGTACGTCAAGACCGATTCATGTGAGGAGGTATTCACTTAAATCTTTAGACTTACTATTGTAAGAGTGGGGTCAGTTATTTGAAAGATGTGGGTATTTACAATGCTAAGGACAGAGTAAAGGCAAAATTAAAAAGGTCAGAAATCACTTTTCTGGTGAGGCTGAGACATCATGCAGCCAAAGTCTTCAATCTTTAGAATCCTAGAGGTGTAGCATCTCTTCCTCTCTATCAGATAAGCCCTCATCCAATTCACCAGAAAGCCTCAATTACCTTTTTCCTTCAAATGATCTACAGCAAACATGTGAGCTACAGCTGAAAGAATGTCAACAGATAGAAGAACCAGCTCCTTTCCAGAGGCCTGCAGCATTTCCTAAAGGACCTGGTGTGAGGGCTGTTGCTGGTGCCTAGGCATGTATCATACCACAAGCATTTCATATGGAGTAAGCACTTAGGGATACATGCTGAAACCCAGGTTCCTGTTCCCCAGACCATGAAGGATCAAAGCCTTCAATACCACTGACTGGCAAAGGAAATGTCGAGACAGTTCCTAGGAGAAGAATACAAACAAAAATGGCATCTCAACCACTTGGCAGCTGTGGTCTGAATTTCCAGAAGATCCTTAACTATAAGAGCCCCTCTACCAAGAGGTCTGGCATTCGGGCCCCAGACAATTGAGCTACAACACAATGAGAGGCCAGACAAGATAAAGGCTGAATTGTAGCAGAGAAGTCAGTCCATAGGCAAGAAGCTGCTATCTTCCACGGGTGAGTGTAAGACAGGGATACAGTGAGTACAGCCGCACAGCTAGCCAGGAAAGCAACAGAGCCACAGGTCCTGTCTACTCAGCCTCTTGGTCCAGGGTATGAAATCAGCCAAGCAGACTGTGGTCTTTGATCAGGACCATGAAAGTCCTGAAGACTGGCTCTAACACAGAGGAAGCAGTGGCAGATGTCTTTAAAAACAAAAACAAAAACCTGCTCCAAGAAGATATGAATCAAGACAATGCCAACAGGGACTCATCTAGCACATCAAGAGTGCCTATCACTCTTGAAATGGTGGTGCTCTTACACATACGCAGCAAGTGGGAGATGAGGCAGAAGTCCTCCATGGATGTGCTTATCTGCAGAATTTATTTAAAAATTACAAAACACTAAGTTGAGCTGAACTGAAAAAAAAATTAAAATTTCACAGTACTATTTGCAAGGTAATCAGTATGCTTTTTAAAACTCTGGTAGACTTCACACCAATCCATAAAGATGACCTTCAAAATTGATTTTCCAATTGCTGATGCAGCTACACAGAAAAAACAACAAAAAGAAGGCTGATTTGCTTAGGCGTGTCCAAGCAAAAGTTCAAAAAATCTTTTCCAAATGATCTTTAATCAATATTCTAATGAGATCTATGGTAGATCAGACCCAAATGCCAATCCTAAAGGTAAAGGCTGCTATCTTTAAGTATACAGAAACTTTGGCCAAACAGAGAGACCCAGAGGCCTCTAGAAAGATGCCAGTGAAACTTCTCTGATGGTGTCTCAGGTCATCAATTTTACAACAGAACACAGAAGTTCCAATATTTATAAGGGAACATAGCCAGTGCTGATTTGGACTCAATACCCAAGAGGACACTTTACTAAGCTTTACCCAAGAGGATACTTTAATAAGGAGCTTTACCCAAAACCTTTCAGCAGGGTGCTGCCACATTTCTTCAAAATCACCTCTGAATAAAGGCAGGAAGCCAGGGTCCCAGTGGGAGTACTTGGACAAGAACATTCCACCTGCACCAGCTTAACCAGTCCAGGCCTCTCACTTCCACCTACATATCACAGTGTAAGGTCCCCCAGACCCACCCCGCCTTTCTTTCTTTGTTCTGACTGAAAATCAGACTCCCTTGACAGCTCTGTGACCCAGCCAGCTGCAGGTTTTTCCCTTCAGGCTGGAACACAAGCTGGAGTCTTCAACATTCCCAGGCACTGATGAAGGTGTTTAGGTTGTTGCCCATAACACTGAAAGAAACTAGCCCCAGCCCTGAACCAAATTCCCTAAACCCTCAAATAAACTCCACACTCTGACTCCCTCACTGTGGAAATACTTAGGTAAAACAATTCTTGTCTCTTGCTGTCCATTTTGAGGATTGCTGCAGCCCACTCTGCAAGTTCCCTAATAAATGCTGTGGACTGAAGACCCAGGGGTTTAGTGCCGCTTTCTTTGAATTCTCAACTGACCCCATCTTGGCAGTCCCTCATGGGAAGTCCCCTGCTGCTGCTTTTGGAGCAACTTCAGTTGTGGTTCAGCAGGAGAAAACACACAGAATACTTTGACCTTCAAATGTATTTGATTATGACACAGAACCATGGCCTCTGAAGTCATTTTTAGCTCTCTTAGAGATGTCCCTGAGACCATTCAGGATTTGAGCTTCTGTTGTCAAGAAGACATGAACGAACCTACCATAACTACCCCTGATCCCTAGCTTGCAGCACACTTGGGCACACAGCAGATGCTCAATAGATATTTGTTGAACACTAATTGTTGAAAGCCAGCAGGCATGATTAATTCTGGTTTCCTAAAATGAGATCACTCCATATTCATAGCATCAGGCAGTAGTCATACAGTTGGGCCTCTTGGCCCAGTTCTGGACACCCTGTGAGACCATCTAGCCACAAATACCCACTTCCCAACTCCTACAGTCCCAGGTACTATCTGTACCTGTAACAATTCTGCAGTCTTTACTGTTAACCCTGTGATATGCTGCATCCGACGATTTACTCGGGCCACAACAGGGTCATCATCTTCCTCTAGCCAGGAGCTGGGCAAAAAGAAAAGGGCAGAGAAAAGAAGACGGAAGGGCAGGCTTCCATGAGGTCCTGAACTCTGTCCCCAGAGTCAGGGCCAGCATGAACAGGCAGTACAGGATGCCTGCTGCAAGGGGGTGAGGAGGTGCCAGCAGGCAGGAAAAGGCAAGCCACCCATCCCTAGGGTAGGCACTGAGAAGTCCTGAAGTTGGGGCTTGAGCAGCTACGAACCCCTGCTCTTTGCTTACCTTTTGGAAACCCGGTAGCTGGCGACAGTGAGGACTCCTGTCTTGGGATCACGAACGGTGGCTCGTGCAAGCTAGAAGGAAGGAGGAGAGGGAAGACTTGATTTGTTTGTTTGTTTGTTTTGCCTTGAATATTTTCCCAGAGAGCACTGGGACCAGATTTACTGCCATGCTAGTGGAGGAAGCTTTGCAGCCAATGGCTCTAGCCAAGGCCCCAAGATCCTGCAGGCCAGTTGAGGGCAAGAGTCTGAGGCCTCCACATTCCCAATCCGCAATCAGTTCCTGGCTATTGCCCTGCTCGGTCACTGCTCATCCCTTCTCCTCCCCAGGTCCGCTTTGCCTGCAGAATTATGCCTGCCTTGTCTACCCATGCATCTGCCTGACTAGCCCCTTTCCTTGCCAGGCCCACATACCACCCCTGCCTGAGCACAGCCTGCCTGAGCTTAGCTACTCCCACCATTTTCAGACTGTGCCACCATGCCTGAGCCTCCGCCTTATGTACTTCTCTCAATTGAGTCAAGTTCCACCATCCTTCCGAACCTCAGTGGGCTCCTCTGCCAAGAAACCCATCCAAACACTCTCCTGCTGCACCACCTCACACTGGGTTCCCACAGCCTCAAGAAGCAAAGACAGATGGCACAGTTTTCGCTCCCTTGGGATCCTTACAAGTCAGATGATAAAACCAGGAAAAGATTCTGTAAGTTAAAATAAGTGAACCACTGCCTGGAAGCCACCCACTCATACAGGTACACACTACACATGCACTCCCTGCATCTACTTCATCTCCCCCAGCCTCCACAGTTAGGCTTAGTGAAACCCCAAGGGGGACTCGCCGCCCAGAGCCAGCCAACATGGCAAAGGTCCATGTGCTTCAGCTGTGGACTGTCCTCATGACCTCACATGGGTGGGGCCATAGGCCCAGGTACTCCCACCCCAACACACTTCCCCTTGATTTCAATAAATATTGATGAGTGCCTACTTTGTGCCTGGCACTATGCTAGGTAACTGAGACATGGCCCCTGCACTCTTACAACTCAGTCAAGTGGGGAAAGCAGAAAACCAGTCAGGTAACTGCAGCACAGCATGGGTGAACTTACCATCCTGTGGAAGCTCAGGGTATAGTGTCAAGAATAGCTTCCTAGGGGAGGAGACCACCTAGCTGAGGCCTGAAGGGTTAACATGAGTTATCCAAGTAGAGGAACATTACAGGAACAGGGAAAGAGCAGCAATCCAGAGGCCTGGGAATGAAAATGGGTGTTGCAGTAGGTGTGGATTAAAGGTTATGGGAAGTAGTAAGAGAGAACAGGCTGAAGAGACAAGCAGGGGCTAGGAACTAGATGCAACCTTGTGGCCAACGAGAAATGGGGAAGGCTTTATGCAGGGGAGGGACACTCAAAATGTGAATGTAAAATGGATCACTGTGAATACCTCATGGAGAGTTGACTAATGAGGGGCCAGAGTGGGGACTGGGAGGCTAGTGAGGCCACGACAGAGGTCAGGGCAAGAGATGATGGTGGCCCGGGCCAGGTGGTGGCAGAAGGGATGGAGAGGAGTAGATGGACCAGAAGGCTAGTAAGGGGGTGAGATGGACCAACTTGGACACTGTGCTGCTATGGCATGATCTGGTAAGATGGCCAGCACAAGCAGGACAGACGGCTCCCAAGCTCCTACTCATGGCCCTTCCTGAGCTTCAGCTCATGTCAGTCCCTCCCTGAAAACTGCAGCCACAGCCAGACCCCATCCAAACATCTGTGCCTCAGCATTGGCCTGACACCCACAAAGAGGCTCTGAGCAGCTGTGCTCTGCCCCAGGGGAAGCACAGGGCTATTTTGAAAGCAGGCCAGAGACCCCACAGACAGCTGCCAGGCATTCCCCACAGGCCAAGTTAAGCTCATTGGCTCTACTTCAAAGCCAGAATAGCATCTGTCCCTCACAGTCTCCGGAAAGGAGGGGTCAGCTTATCTTTGAATAGAAGCCATGTTAAGAGCCAAACATGTTTGCCAACCTTGTTTGGCTCTTTGCATGGCTTCTATTCAAATATATCTTTTCCTAACACTACCCTCTGGCCAGCCACACACATGTGTACACATATGCACACATGCACAGAGAAATGTTCTCAGTGTCTGGAACTGAAGAACGGGTAAGAAATCTCTCAGGAAATCCTGGCACAACCAACAAAGTAGTTTTCTTTCCTGGAGGACTCTGGAGCTGAGTAGAAAGGGGAGTCCTAGTCCCCATTCTCCATATATCTGGCTAGCCCCCTTCCTCAGCCACATCGATGATGCCAACCACTGACTCAAAGCCCTAGATGTCCTAGTACCTCAAGCCAAAGCTGTTCCAAGATGAGGTCCAGGGGCCAGGATAGGAACCTATTTCAGGTCTCTCCATGAGTGTCGGGCCTCCTGGTCACCTCGGCCCCTACAATTCTATTAGGAGCAGAGCAATAGAGAATCGAGCTAAATCCTCCCTCCCAATCATCAGTGATGGGATATGGCAGCAAATAGGTCTCTTTGAAAGATGTCAAATGGGGAACAAATCTTTTATGAACTAGAAACAGAAGAATAATTTTAAAACATGGCATATATACAAAACCAACAGCCAACTGCATTCTTAGCAGTAAAATACCATAGGAATTTCCAGGAAATTCAGGAATGAGACAAGGATGCCTATTCTACGTAATTATGCTCTAGAAGTTCTGGGCAATTCAATAAGGTTATAAAAACAAAGGAACTACAAGTATCAGGAGAAAATAAAATTTTCCTTATTTCCAGGTGTTAATGCTATCCAGGCAACCAAAGAGAAATCAGCTAAAAACCAAAAAAGAAATAAGTAAATTCAACCACTAGCTGCAATCTGTATGAGTTTGCTTTTTCATAGGTAAAACAGAGACAGTGACATCATTATGAGCAGCTGTTCATAACTGTGACATAACACTTAATATATATGTTAAGCACTTAGAAGTTCCTGCCACAGTTAAGAATTCAGTAAACATTAGCTCTTACTATGAAATGTATTTGTAAAATCAATAGTTTGGCATATAATAGTAAACTAATAAAATAATGTAACCAGTTAAAAATAATAATGAAGAAATAAAGTAAATTAACAGTAACAAAGAAACTACCAAGGAATAAACTTAAGAAATGTTCAAGGCTTATATGAAGAAAACTTAAAAAGATATGGAGAGACCTGTCATGCCCTTGGATGAGAAGACCCAATATTATAAAGATATACATTCTCCTCTAAGTCATTCACCTCATTTACAGTCCTAATCAGGAGCTCCACAGGACCCAGCTTCATAGCATCCTATGGAACATTTCCAAAAAACTCACCCACGCACCAGTCTCCCAACCAGGTGAACTGACACACCAGTGTAGACCTGCCCTGTTCCCAGCGTGACCTTCTATGATAGCACTTGGCTGTCCACATTGGTTACCCTGTTCTTCTTCCACTGGACCATGAACTCACAAGGTCAGGCTGAGTCTGAAGCATCTCTGTATCCCCACGGTAGGCCCATGCTAGATATGGATAAAGGGTGGCTAGATGGGCAAACCAACCACCCATAGTGCTAGGGATGAGAAAAAGGACCTTCCCCCTTCAGTGACCCGAGAAGGACCTACAGTGACACCTACTTTAGGTTTTGCGATCTCCTTGATCCTCTCGATTTCCTCATCAGACATGACATCGTAGTACCTGACGATGTGCGGGCTGTCCCACTCGTCCTCCTCTTTGAAGGGGGCAATGAGCAGCTGTGGGGCCCTGTTGCCATGGTGGTACCTACAGAAAAGCCTCTTCTGTCTACGGGGTGTCTGGAAAGCACAGAGTAACAGGCCCTGAGCTGAGTGAGTCCTAATCCTCGGTCCCAGTCTGGCTGTCTGCAGACACTGGACTCACCTCATGGCCAGCAGCTGCTCCCTCCCACCACACCACAGAAGAAAACAAAAGTCCCAGCAGGTGGGCATGCACAGTGGCTCATGCCTGTAATCCGAGAACTCTGGGGGGCCAAAGGATAGCTTGAGACCAGGAGTTTGGGACCAGCCTAGATGACATAGACCTGTCTCTAAAAAATTAGCCAGGCATGATGGTGCATACCTGTAGTCCCAGCTACTCAGGAGACTGAGGCAGGAGGATTGCTCAAGGCTGGGAGGTCAAAGCTGCAGTGAGCTATGATTATACCACTGCACACCAGCCTGGGCGACAGGGTGAGACGAAAGAAAGAAAAGAAAAGGAAAAAGAGGAAACAGGAAAAAGAGAAGAAAAAGGAAGGAAGAAAGGAAGGGAGGGAGGGAGGGGAGGAGAGAGGAGGAGAAGGGGGAGGGGAGGGGGAGGGGAGGGGGAGGGGAGGGGGGGAGGGGAGGAGAGGGGGGAATGGGGGGAGGGGAGAGGAGAGGAGAGCCCCTTCAGCTTAACTGGCATGAAATAACACCCCACAAATCATGCAATTTTTCTTCTCTCCCAAAATCACCTCACATCCTCAAGTCCCATGGCAGAAAGTAATTCCTGACCCTTTTCGTGAAGACTTGAGTAGGTCTGAAGGGCTGGGACAGGGGAGAAACCTTTCTTGGTGGAGGAGCCAGTAGAAGCCATGCAGACAGGGGCATGGAAAAGGCTCAGAGCCTGTCACACCTGGGCCTCCTCAGGAAGCACTAGGATCCCAGGGCTCTCAAAGGCTCGATACCAAGCTCTAGTACACGCTGGTGTCTTTACCACAGAGACTTACTCTCCACTTATACCATGACTTCTTTTGGGGCCTGAGGTACGTCCACCCATTGTTTTCTTCCCAACAGTGAGTGAAGCAAAAAGTGGGACATATTGGGGTAAGGAGGCGAGCTCACTGGTAACTTAGAGGAGCAACACTCTACCTGGGGCACGAGGGGAGAGAGTCTCCTTTCCTACACCTCAGAGAATATCCACATGTCAGCCTCAGGAGATGCCATGAAAAACTGGGGGATATACTGAGAAAAGTACCTACAGAATAAAGAACACCTTCCCCAAATCTGCCTGCCCAGAGCCAGAGTCCAGGTCCACAGCTTTGGCACCCTAGCCCCCTCACACATCTCACCAGTTTGACACCCTCCCCACGACAGAGGCTCTCGTAAACATCCCTCTCAGGCAGGTAGTCCACAGGCCTCTCATAGATGCCTTCTGGGGTTGCTAGCTCAGCTTCTGTCTGATTTGTTAACGTTTTTTCTCTCTCTTCCTCCAATAACTGCTCAAAGTACCGCAGATTCCCTCCAGCTCGTTCGTGGCTTGGGTCTAGAAAATGCAAGGAATGAGAAGGAAAAGGAAACCACAAACATCTGTTAGGTCATTTAGAGAAATTATTCTGTAAGGGTTTCTCTCCCAGCAGCTCACCTGCATGCTGCATTCTACCTTCCACAGCATCTAACCAGAGTACGCTGGTCGTAACTGGAAAACCAACAGAGGCCAGGTGCGGTGGCTCATACCTGCAATCCCAGCACTTTGGGAGGCCGAGGCGGGTGGATCACGTGAGGTCACGAGTTCGAGACCAGCCTGACCAACATGGTAAAACCTCATCTCTACTAAAGAAAATACAACATGGGGCATGTGCCTCTGTAATCCCAGCCACCTGGGAGGCTGAGGCAGGAAAATCTCATCAACCCGGGAGGCGGAGGTTACAGTGAGCTGAGATCGTGCCACTGCTCTCCAGGCTGGATGAGTGAGACTCTGTCTCAAAAAAAAAAAAAAAAAAAGGTAGATGAGTTTTAAAGGCACAGTGCTTTTGGCCTTCTTCAGTCCAACAGCACAAGGCACACAAAGTATCAATGCCATATGAAGTCCTACTATTAGACCTCAGGCCTCTAATAGCACCGCTACTGTTTGTCACTGTAACAATCCTAAAGTACAACCTGACTCCTGAGCTGCTCCTGATGTAGTAAAGGTTCCACCCTGTGTAGTCCTGCATGGTGACAGATACACCATAACAGAGTCCTTATTAAAAAGGCCCACAAGTGCCACAGGCCTGAGCGTATCTATCAGCGACTGCGCAAACCTAAGGCCAGGATTGAGGTGGGTAAGGAGCTAGTAAGAAGCTGGACTGGTCCTAAAGTCAGTAAGGCATTAGTCACTGGCCAAGTGACAGGGTAAACTGACTCAGTCCCAGGAGAGGGGTCAGGCAGATGCCAGCACAGTGCAGTTCCTCTGCCACTCTCCATTCCCATCTTACCTTCCCCTAGAATCTCCTTACCAAGGGAGAGCAGGCGGCGGGTGAGCTCCAGGGCACGGTGCAGATCACCCAACTGGAAGACAGCATAGCTGAGGTAGTCCAGCACCTGTGACTTGGTTGTGGTGGCCTCCTCCCCGGCATCAAGCTGCTTTAGCACCTGCTCCATCCACAACACCGTATGATAATAGTCCCCTTCATTGTAGGCCGAGCGGCCCATCCCAAAGCAGTCATCCACACTCAGCATTGCCTGGTACTTGGTTCCTACAGCAGGGGAAGTAAATTGTCAGGCTCCAAAGAGCCTCTGGATTAGGGAAAGAGATTCCCACTTCAAGGAAAGCCTGAGCCACTGGATAGGGGGCATCACCAAGCAGAACTCCATCGGACATTTAGACTGCATATCCTAAAGGGCCACTGACACAGTGAGCACAGACAGATGGCCCAGCCCTGCCCTGGACTGGGGTTCACAGCCACCTCTTAGCCTCAGATTCCCCATCTCCCAAGTGGGAAGGGGCCTTTTTAGGGGGAGCCCCAGAAACCCACCAGGAAGCATTGTTGAGGACAGTGGGAAGGTCCTGTGGACCACAGAGAAGAAGATGTCTGGTGGGCAGTTTGCCATATGAGTCTAGAGGATGGAAAAATTAGCTGAATATAAAAAACATAAATTTAGGTGGCAACCAAGCCATGGGTGAGGAAAATAGCTTGCAGGAACTCTGAGGAAAGAATGGAGAAGATGACTAAGGCCAGAGCTCCAGGGAGCACCTACCCAGAAAGAACAGACAATGAATAACCCTGAGAATGAACTAAAGATAGGAGAAACAGAGGGAGCGGGAGTGGTGTGAGAGACACCAAGGGAGGCCAAGAGCCAAGGTTGCAGTGCCAGCTTTGGCTGTTAAGTGGCAGGGACCTTGCTGAGTATCAGTTCAGTGGGTCTTATGACCAAAGGTCATCTGCTGTAGAGGGAGTGCTGGAAAGTGACCATGAAGATAGTTTCAAGCCAATATGAAGAAGCAGCTATAGGGAGATGCAGGATTTAGGGTGAGCTCAAGATGGGAAAGACTATGTGTGTGGTTCCTCAGAGAATAATGAGAAAGCAGATACCATGGAGGGGAAGTGGGGGCTGTGACTCTCCCTGGAAAGCAAGGAAGACTCCCCACAGCCCCATTAACAGCAACCTGGGCATGGCTGACACAAAAGAACTCAGAGAAGGCTCTTTCTGCCTGGAATGAAACCACTACACAGTAGGCTAAATGCTTCAGAGACCAGGGTCTGCTAACCCCGGTGGCTCAGGAACCAATAACGAGGAATAGGAAGTTGGGGACAGTAAACACAAGATGAAGTCCCTAGGTAGGCCAGGGACTGGGGGGCTCCTGGAGCCCCTTTTCCTTCTCCACAGGTCTCCTCTGGCTCTGCAGGCCCAGGAACCTACATTGCTGGGGCAGAGTAACATAGCTGACTGAGCTGGGGCTCTGGAGCTGAACTAAACTAGGTTTGTGTTGGCCTCACTAGGGCGCCAACCAGCTGTGTGACTATAGACAAGTTACCATATCTAAGTCTCAGTCCCCTTATCTCTAAATAAAGATAATATCATCAATTTTAAAGAGCTTGTGGCAAGAATTCAATAAGATGACATATGAAGATGTCTCCTATGCTCCCCAGGATGCTAATGACCAGTAGCTATTATCAACATGTCTCCCAGATGCCAAGAATGCTAAGAATGGCTCCCTGGCACTCAGCATCCTCCCCAGAGCCAACTCGAATGTCTACTCCCTGGAGAGCATTTGGGAGAGTGACAGCTGAGCTGAGTGCTGATAGGCAATCAGACATGGAGTAGCCTAGCTGACATGGGTAAAGGTATTCCTATAGAGGGGTTGAGACAAAAGAGCTGAGTGATAGGGAAAGCTGAGTACAATGGGCAAGGAAGCCAGGAAAATGGAGTCATGCAGGACCCCAAAGACCACACACAGGAGGAGTTTGGGTTTAGCTTTGGAAATTAAGCACAGTAATCAGGAACTCATGTGAACAAATGTGTGCTTAAGACCACATGGAGGATGGTCTTAAGCAGTAAGCTGGAGGTAGGAGACAAGTCAGAATGGTATTTTGATAATCAAATTGAGAAAAAAGTAGCTGTGAGGCTGGAGTCAGGGGATAAGCACGGAAGACATGAGAGAAGGAGGTAGAATCCATAGGCCTTAGGCTTCTGGCTTAGGCAGCCAGAGGATGGAGGTCCTTTTTGCTGAGATAGAAGGATGAGGGGGAAGGTAAAGTGTTTACAAGGAGATGAGGATTTCAGTTCAGGACACATGAAGTTCGAGAAGTCCATGGGACATTCAAGTACAGATGTCCCAAAGGCATCCGTCTACACTGGTTAGAAGCTCGGGAGACAAGCCTTGGCAAGAAACACAGATCTGGATGTCATCCACCTCAGGTGATGGAAATGGCTGTGCTCACCTGGGGAAGGTGCTCAGGGAGAAGATGAGGTAAGGATGGAGTCCTAGGGAGTAATTCCTTTCTGCCCCATAACCCTATTCAGGACACTCATGGGTTTGCTGAGTGAACGTGAGAGGTCAACGCCAGGGTATGGTTCCCTCCTCCAAGCAACCAATCTCAAGGCTACAGAGTGAACAGATCTTGCAGGTGCCCTGAACTGCCCTCTCTCTAATGGAGTCTAAAGGGGGCAGCTGAGGTTCTGGAGCTGGAATAAGCTGGGTCTGCATGAGCCTCACACAGTGAATCGCTGGGGTTACTTGTCTCCAGCAGCCCTCAAAACATCTTCTTATAAACACTAACACTGGGAAGTCAGTGGGAGAGGGGCCACTTGAGAGAAAATGACCAGAGAGGCTAAAAGAGAAGCAGATATCAGTATGCCAGAATTCAAAGGAGGAGAGAACATCACAAAGAATGAGGCAATCTATCTGTCAAATGCTGCTGGGAAGTTAAAGAACATTATGTGTGAACCTTGTTCGCTGGGTTTACCAGCCAAGCGGCCACTGATGACCTTGTAAGAACAGCATCAGTGACAGTGGGGAAAAAGGCCAGATACTGTGAGTTCAGGAGTATATGGGAACCAGGAAAATGGACAGAGTGTAGATTACTCTATCCAGTAGCCTAACCAGGAGGGGAGAAGAGATGAATCAGCAGCAAAGACTCGAAAGACTCTCAGATACCGAGGGAGGCAAGTGTTAAGATGAGCAAGAATAGAGCCTATATGGGAGCTCAAGGGTAGAACCCAGAGAGGTGGAGACAGAATGTATAGGAGCAGAGACTGTAACTAAGAGGACTCAAGACAGGGGGATAGTAAGCCCAGATCAGCCTTAGATGAAAAGACATTGGAGGGTGGGAGACAAGAAGCAGGTCTGAATGCAGATCTGTGTGGTGCTCTGGGGACAGACGTGGAGGGGGTTCCTGAGCAGCAACTTTGGCTTTCTCTGAGATGCAAGAGGAGAGGGCCTTGGCTAATACATGGAGGGAGGTGGCAGGGCAGGGGCTGAGGGAGAAACCTGTCATGGGAGAGGGAGTCCAGCACAAACTGGTGAGCCAAGAGGTGCACCAGAGGTGCACCCGAGGTTAAAGGCCACAAGTTGGTGGTGGCTCCAACCTGTCCCGCCACTAAAGAGACACATGCGGGACAGGCAACGCCTGGAGTGGTGAGTTACCTGGAAGTTCCCCTCTGGAAATTGTGCCTGGGTCCAGCCTGTATGTGTCCTGAAGTCTCATCAGGGCTTTGGCAGCTCCTATCTCGTCCTCATCAGTGGGGAAGAACTGCCGCTGCACAGAGAGGTTGGCGATAAAACCTTCCAAATGAGAGTCAGAACAAGAGATTACCCTTGATCCAGGGGCAGAATTCCACTTGGGACCAGAGAGGCAGCCACAAAGAGGGTCTCTGGCTAGTGAAATTTCCCCGCCCCCTCCCTCAAAGGCTGTTGCCCCCTTCCACCAGGAAGTTGTCCCTGATGACTCCAGTCTATGGGGACTTTTCCTTTCTTACTCCTCACCATACCTACTGCCTGTGTTGCTCTTTGGAACTAAGTAGAAGCAGCCCCCCATATTGGTTAATATTTAGGAGTCCAGAAGTCTTGGCTCCAAATCATTCAGTCAGAGCTGGTGGAGACAGAAGAAACAGAGGATAGAGAGGGTAACTGAGAAGAGCACGGGAGAGGACTCAGGAAGAACTGTCAACCACTCAGTGGAAAATAAATCCCATGGAAAACCTTGATCCAGGGTAATTGGGCTAGTCAGGTAAACACAGACTTCCAGCACACATTTCAAGTTGAGGAGTCCAAGGGACAATGACAGTTAACTAATGAAGCCGAGCTGGCCACTCATTACTGACCACTGGCACTTATCATCCAGAAAGGTGATGATGAAAGTCCTGGAAGTCATCCCCCTCCCCCTAGGTTGACAGCTGAAGGACCACCTAGACAGGCCAAGGACCAAGGTGGGGTTGCACCAACCCAGCAAGGTCCGTCCCCTAAGAGACCACGGTGGGCCTGTTCTCCTCTGTACTCCCACCACTCAGACCTTCAATGAGTTCAGGGCATGGGCTCTCCAGTTATGGTGCTCAAGACCACAGCCTGAAGCGTGGGAGAGCTTTTGACCACAGAAGTACTCCAAGGAGGCTTTTCTGGGACTCCAAGCCCTAGCTGTAAAGTAAGATGTGTACCTCCTACAATCCCAGGTGGGAGCCAAGCCTTCCCAGGCTGACTTAGGGCCTTCAATTCTGCCTCTAAGCTGAGAAGTGAGAGGGGAACAACAAGGCCATTCCTTCCCCAACCTCTTCCCAAGAGTAGCTGTATCCACTGCCACCTATGACTTCAGACCTAAACATCCACTTCAGCCATAACTGGGGACAGGGACCAAGAAGCTGTAACCCTGCCTTCCTTGTCTTCATAGCTACATGGTCAGGGACTCTAAAGAGTTTAGAATCTGGTGGGGTGGGAGTAGGGGAACATGCTGCCAGGAAAAGCCACACTGTCAGCATGCCCTGCTCGTTTCAGGGGCAAGAACTCAAAGTCAGAGATGAAAACAACCAATTATTCTCTGGGCCTGCCCTATCTCCTTCCAGGTAATCATAAGGTTTTCCAAAGGAACCAGATGATGGTGGGAGTGTAGGGTGTGGAGAACAAGATTGGAGAGAGGAGGTCATCTGGGTAGGCTTAGTCTCCTGCCGTGCAGGCAGAACAGCCTGTCCCGAGCTGCAGGCCCAGGCGGAGAGGCGGGAGTCTGGGAAAGGCAGCCGTGGTTTCTGGAGGCAGTGAGCTCACTGGGCACAGCTCCAGCCTGGCTGAGCTCACCAATCCCTCTCCAGAGGCCACCCTGCCCCCAGGCCCAACCCAGTCTGGCCACATGGGCTAAAATGTCTCAGCCAGAGAGACAGCTAGTCTGAAGTTAATCAGCACTCACAGCTCAGGGAAAAGAGGCAGTGAAGAGCTGGGTACAATGGCACTGTGCCTATAGTCCCAGCTACTCAGGAGGCTGAGGCAGGAGGATCACGTGAGGCCAGGAGTCCAAGGTTGCAGTGTGCTACAATCGCACCTGTGAATAGCCACTGCACTCCAGTCTAGGCTAATATAGTGAGACCCTGTCCCTTTAAAAAAAAAAAAAAAAAAAAAAAAAAAGGCAGCGGGCATGGTGGCTCACACCTGTAATCCCAGCACTTTGGGAGGTGGAGATGGGTGGATCACGAGGTCAAGAGATCAAGAACATCCTAGCCAACATGGTGAAACCCTGTCTCTACTAAAAATACCAAAAAAAAATTAGCTGGGCATGGTGGCATGTGCCTATAGTCCCAGCTAGTCAGGAGGCTGAGGCAGAAGAATTGCTTGAACCCGGAGGCAGAGGTTGCAGTGAGCCGAGATCCCGCCACTACACTCCAGCCTGGTGACAGAGTGAGACTCAGTCTCAAAAAAAAAAAAAAAAAAAAAAAAAGTCAGTGAGTCCAGGGGACTAAACCCAGGGCTAGGAGTTAGGAGAGCCCACCTCCAGGCCCACCGTACCATCTCTTCTTATTGACAGAAAAGTATTAGGGCATAAAAAGTATTATCACAATAAAAGCACCAAGTATAGTTTAAAGCTTTTAAAAAGTTCACACTCTCATCGGTAATATCACTTCTAGGAACTTACCCTAAAAAAGTAATCAGAAGTATACACCAAGAAATATGTAAAAAGGTGCTGATAATTCAGAAAAAATCCCATATCCAATGACTTGACCCATTTGACAGTATTATCAGTATGACAGATTATCACCATCTGACAGGTAATCACCATCCAGCCATTAAAATCATGTTGCAGAAGAACATTGAATGGCATATAAAGAAGCTGAGAAATTCACAGAATTTTTTCTTCTGTCACAAATCTACCAACAGATATGCTTTGTTTGTAAAACATATGAATAGGAATGAATTTAGATCAGACCTATGCTCCCCAACTTGCCCTGGCCCCACCATCCAGCCCACTTGACACTTGTAAATTCATTGTCCCTCCAAGCAACTGAGTTTGCATGCCCTGGTATGTATGTATAGTTCCATTTTTTAAATGTATATGCATAGGTAGAAAAACTACAATTTTAATAATGCTCACCACTGGGCAACTGGATTAAGAATTATAATTCTCTTGTTTTTGTGTTTTCCGACTTTTCTATAAACATGTATCACTAAAGTATAATTGGAAAAATGTCATTAGCAAAAAATAAGAAAAGACAGACACTAAAAAAAAGACGCTAAAAAAAGAACTGAACATCATTACATGTTAAAAACCAAGGCCAGCCAACTTCCAGGTCCCCACAGAGAAGGGAGAGAGCCATGAGACCAGCAGGGTCCTGTTTCCACAATGTACTTGCCCACCAACACCCAGACCCAAGACAGGCTCAGACACAACAACCCAGGCATGAGCACACAAACATATGGGCTCACTCAAGCACCTGCTCACCGTCCCTCACCTGCAGCTGAGTCCTGCAGGACAAGGTCCTCCAGCGCAGGCCAGTCTGTGTTTAGCCGCTTCACCAGTTTGTAGGCATTCACAGGGTGAGCCAGGTAGCCCTCAGCATCAGCAGCTGACTTGCTAGTCAAGGCTTCCATTTTGTTGGCCCAGCTGTGGAACCAGAGGAAAAGGAAGACTAATGCGTCCACCCACATAGGTCTTGACCTGTGACAATTTTCCTAGTGAGAATTCCCTGGTGCCAGGTTCTGGGGCCCTTTTCATCAAGAGGCAATGAAAAATGAATACAGTAACTCCCCACAGATACTTCTAGCCCCTTAATCTAGATAACAGCTGGGACCCCCAATGTAAGGGAAAAGGTCTTAAATAGAAAATAAACAGTGACTCCTTAGCCCATGTACTTAGCTCCTCTCAAGCACTGGCATGAAGTAACCAGGCCAGCCCCACATCACCCTCTCAAAGGTTTCCTCTTATAGGCACCCTGGATGGCTTCCTTGTTCCTTGAGGGGCAGAAGGGAAGGAAGGCCAACTAAGGATGGTTGGGGACTTAGGACACCTCTTAATCTTGGAAAGCTTGGCTTCCTCCACAAGGATGTACTCTTTCAGAGACTGCACCAGCTCTTTCTCTGCATAAATCAGGTCAGTCATGTGCCCTGCAAGGGAGAGAAGAAAGACACCAGTGAGAAACAGATGAGGGATGTCCAGCCTCCTTCCTTGGGGCACAGAATACCAGCACAGAAGCAAGTCCCCTGGGATAAGAACATGTCAGCTCTCTGAGGATTATGGGGACTTGGAGTTAAAGGGGGCCTAGGCACTCATGGGGCTCTATCTCGCAACTTCAGGAAGAAAGAGGCAGAGGCACCAAGGGGATGTTTGAGATAAGTGCACTGGATGTCACTCAAGAAGCAGCCCTAAATCTCATTCTCCGACTGTTACATAGCTGGTCATGACACTGGGGCATGGATATCCTGGGGGCTCACCACAGGATAAAAAGCTCTGAACTTTAGGTCGGAAGGATAGGAAAAGCTTGATCCTCAGGATACAAAGGATTTGCTGCTCAGAACCACTCTCTGGTCCATGGGCAAGGTGGTCAAAAAGACCAGAGAGCCCAAGTGCAGCCTGCACTTCCCAGGAAGAAAGACCCAATTCAGACATCTGGCTCCCTGAACATCCAGATCATTGGGATCTTATAGGGGAAAACAGCAACTCTGCCAGTTCCACTCTCCTCAGAACTGGCCAAAACCAGTAGTTAAGGCTATCCCACTCTAAATGAGAACAGGCTGCAGCCAGAGACATCCGTGGCATGTGAGCCAAGGTGTCAGGGAGACGACAGTCCTGTTGGCACGTACCAATAGAGGTGAAGAATTCGGCCTGCACACAGCTCAGGACACCAAACCAGGCCATCAGCAATGCAGACACCCAGAGTTTCATGGTCACAGAGGGAAGTGTCTGAAAGGCATTCAATGACAATCACTGGATCAACAAAGTGAAAAAGACTAATTTAGGTGAGGAGACACATAGGCATGTACACACATATGCAGATAATCAAACATATCAAAATCCTGGCCTAGCACACAGAAGCTAAAAAGGACAAACAGCAGAAAGAACAAAGAGCGTGCAGCCAGTGATGTGTGCTCAATTCTGGTCCCTGCTCTGGGAAGTCACGTGCCCTGCGGAGAGAGCCCATCCTCTCAACTCCCAGCAACCACCTGTACCATGAGAAGGCGGAATCGCAGTGGGGTACAGTCAGCTCGGGTTCCAATGGTCTGTCAGTCCAAGATTCTGGCCCACTCCTTCTTATTTCACAGACTGCTGTTTGTTTCTATCTTACCTTCCAACACATATGCCAGGACAGTGCCAGGTTTTGGGGAACCAGTCCCTGCCCACAAGGAGGCAACAGTACATGAGAGACAATAACAGAAAGATAATTTGACACAATATCCTCCAGAGTACCAACACCCAAACTAAGGTGTACAACAGATGGCCAGCCAGAAGAGGAATAAAACTAACCCTTGTCAGTCTGCACCTGCCAGAGAAAGAGCAGTCAGAGGAGACAGTCTCCTAGGTAGACAGTGTTCTTCCTGTAGTAAGGCTCCTTGGCAGACACTGTTCTCACTGGCCCGTCACCATTCATTCACAAATATTTACTGAAGACCTGCAGATGCCAGGCACTGATCTAGGCACTCAGGATACAAAAATGAATATGGCACACATGGCCAAAACCTCAGGCTGGGCTGCTGACATGGGAAAGGGGCCAGCTACTGTCTTCTCATCAGCCCAGAAATAGGCACAACCTGAGACAAACCCCACTGGCAGTAAACCTCAGTCCACAACAGAAGCCTCCGATACCGTCTCCCAGCTCAGCCATGCAGCCTAGACTGTGCTGGAGGATTAGCACCCATCTGTACCCCAGCTCTGCCGGTCTTCTTCCTGCCCTGCTTTTGAGCACCCCACTGGAGTGCTCAAATGGAAATTCACTAAGACAAAGCAAGCAAAACAAAGGAAATACAAATGCTTTCCCAAAAAAACATAAGCCTTATCTGACAGAATTCTAAGTCTAAGATAATGCCAGTTCATCAGTTTTTTGCCCGCCATACTTGATTAGACACACAGCACACCCACCATTCCTCATCTTACTCTTTCAGAAGAAATCCTAATCCATTGAGATTCCAGGTTAGGCTCAGAGAAGGCCAACCACAACTCCCATCTGCAAATGGATCCTCTATCAGAAGGAAAGCATAAGTGAATGGCGCCATGTGTTCATGCCTATGCCAAATGTCTGCAGAGCTGACAGTCTTCCTGTCATAGTCTAGGTGTGGGGGTCCCAAGACACACAGGACAATTATCTTCCAACCTGGAACCTGCTGCAGGGTAGGGCGTATTGTGCTAAGGGGTCCATTAGGGAGTTAGAGCAGCAGAAGAGAGCAAGTCATCAAGAGAAAGTGAGTAAGCCTGGGCTTGCCCTGAGGCAGAGTCCAGGCCCTCCTGGTTCTAGCCACAGGTCTGCTCCAAGGCCTTACTATACTGTCTTCTCTATCCCAGGATTTCAGAAGGCTTCTCTCTTGCTTACACAAGCCCCTTATACCTAAGGGATTGGGTGTCTGTTTCTTGTTCCTCAAAAGGCTTGACTGGCTCAGGCTCAGCACCTTCTGTATGTATGTAGGGAGGGGACAGTGAAAACATAGAGCTGGGAGGATGTATCTGTGATCAGAAAGGGACCAGCTGACTGCTCCTCAGAGCTGGGGTGGTGGGAGAACAGGGCCCAGGCAGGTTCCAAACCAGACATGGTTGGAAGTGGGGAACCCAGCATCTCTACCCAGGTGTGTCTCCAGTTGCAGTTGCATACCTTTTTAGAGGCCAGATAAATTCCAGGGAGGAAGTCTGTCCATTCCTTTCAAATCATTCTGCTCCTATCATCTACGGTTCATACCTCACAACACTCAGGGAAAGCCAGGTTTCTTCATTACATGAATACCAGCTGTGATTTCTCTGGAATGTGCGATCTGGCTTAGACTGAGCCCATTCTTGAATCTCAGCCTGGAGGCAGAGCCTCAAAGAATCACAGATAGGGTTTGGGCAGAGCCTCAAAGAATCACAGATGGGGTTTGGGCAGAGCCTCAAAGAATCACAGGTAATTACAGATGACTTACCTACCAAGAGCCTGCAAAGTCTTGCTCTGGTGGGAGAAGGGGATAACTAACTCTGCTAGCCTGGAGAGCTGGGCACCTCCAAGCAGCAGCTCCCAGACTACCACATCAACACTGACATCTCTGGCAGGGGTACTCTGGAGCCCTACCCCATTTCTCCCAAGCCTGGGCCCCTTAACTCAAAAGGCTCTGTACAAAAAGTCCTCTAATTAGAGTCAGATTGGGAGGAGGCAGCATCCGAGAGGGACTGTGCCCCACAATGTGGGAAAGGCCAACCTCCAACCCATCTCATAACTATGCCCACAGCTTGCTTAAGACAGAGTAGGTGAAAGTATGTGTACCTGCTGAGTGCCCCTACAAAGTGTCCAGTGCTGCTAAAAGCCCTCCCAGAAACCCTCAGAATCCAACTGGAATAAGTCTGGAGGTGAACAATGTCAAACCCACTTTTATGAAAAACAAAGTGACATCTTGAGCAGAAAACCAATACTGAGTTTTATCTGTGCTGCATCCCCAGAGTTTAGAACAATGTCTGTCCCATACCAGGAACACAACAAAAAATACTTCACCACAGACTTGTTCAAATTAGGAAACTACAACAATAGAAGATTTTACATTTCTTCTATACAATGAGTTTTTATGGAGTATATTAAAAATGAATACTATATATCAACATGAAGAGATCTAAGCATACTGTTAAGTGAGAAAAGTGGGCCCCAATAATATGCACTCTATAATTCCATTTTTGTAAGGAAAAATTAATGTATATGTGTATATAGAGAGATGCAAGAAAAGAGTCATACATCTGGCTATATCTTGGTGAAATAATTTCTTTTTATTTTTATGCTTGTTTCTCTAATCTTTCTACAAGAAATTCTATAGCAATTTTTAAAATTATTTTATCATATGCTTAAAATGTAAAGAAAACAAAGCAGGCCCTTCTCAAACAGACTCCAAACGGGCCCTGCCAGCCCTAGTGTTTGGACCCCCACAGGAAAGTCCTGCAAAACCTGCCAACATCCCAGCAACAGTGATTCACCCATCAGGCGACTGGCACTGTTTCTAAACACAGGGCAATTCCAAGACATACAACCAGAGGTCCCACCAAACCTGAACTTTGGAAAAGACATTTACAATCTGGCCAAATGGCCATGAAAAGATGTTTCCAGCTGCAAACCAGCAGCGTCCTTAGCTTCTCTCCTTACCTCATCAGGCAGAATCTCTGCCAAGCTCCCAGCTGCAACCCAAATGCAACAGCCTGAGTTTTAACAATGTATTTAACAGCCTAGAGACAGAACATGAGCTTGCTGAGAACAAACTGGTCTTGCTTGGCACTGAACAAGAACCTGCCTGCCTTCTGTGAAGGGGGAAAACCTAACTGGACACGGCTCCCCGCTGCCTCCAACTCTAGGATAACAGGGCTGAAAGGACCTGTGTGTTCAGCCTAAGAGGATCCAGAGGCTCCAGGAGACCCTGCCACCAAAGCACATGGATGTCCATTCAGGCCTATAAGCTGCTGCCACGGCACCCTAGGCAAGTATGGGGGGTACCCTACTCTCCTTAGCCTCAGTCATCACCCTGATCTGAGCCACCCCTAACTTCCCCTACAGGCATCCTGGCCCCCACTACACTGGCCTCTCCACATGTCATCTGGCCTTCCTCCCACCTCTGCTCTACAAAGTAGCCAGCATGGTTTATCAAAGCCCTCCTTTGGCTCTCTACTGCCGTCAAGATAAAGTTCAAACTCTTTAGCCCAAAGGGTCCTTTTGAGTGTGTGACCAGGCCCTACTGCCCTCTCTAGCCTCATCTCACCATGCCAGGTTTCGTATCTTCAACAACTACTTTATGTGAAAAAATATTCTCCTTCACGAAGAACCTAATAAAGCCAAGATGTTTATCTGTATCTATCCACATACTTTCTCAGTCTGGTACATGAATAGTGGTTGACTTCCACTTCCCCACCTGGGTACCATCACCACCACAAAGTCTTGCTTCAGTAACTAGACAATGAAGTAGCAGAGAAGGCTGTTAAAACTGACATGCAAAAGCCAAGTTGGGTTTTCAGTCATAGTCTTGGCAGAGACTTGGCAGTCTGGATGAGACTAACCCACAAAAGGGAACTACACTTGAGGATAAAATCCATATACCACTATATTGGATGCATCTTACGTCCCACCTTGCAACCTCTTGGTCTCACCCATCTCCCAGGTCCCAGGGTATTTACTTTGCCTCAGCCCAGTGGAGGAGACTATCCAGGCCCACGCCAGAATCTCTGGCTCCTCTCACTATCTCCAGACTCTGTTGAAGTACCAGACTGGCCTCCCCAGTGGCTACCAAAGGGCCCTCATAGGGTAACCAAGTACATCTCTGTGCAGAGTAGCCAGCTTGCTAAAACACCACCTCCCATCCTCCTTTATACCTCACTTTTTTCTTTTGTTTTTTTGAGACAGTCTCGCTCTGTCGCCCAGGCTGGAGTGCAGTGGCACAATATTGGCTCAATGCAACCTCCACTTCCCAGGTTCAAGGGATTCTCCTGCCTCAGCCTCCTGAGTAGCTTGGACTACAGGTGTGTGCCACCATGCCCAGCTAATTTTTGTATTTTTAGTAGAGATGGGGTTTCACCATATTGGCCAGCTGGTCTTAAACTCCTGACCTCAGGCAATCCATCCATCTCGACCTCCCAAAGTGCTGGGATTATAGGCATGAGCCATCGCACAGGCCTGCACCTCACTTTTGTTTTCCCTCACCCTGGCTGCCCTGCAATTACACCTTCCAATAAAGCATTAAGTACTTAAGCTCTGTCTCAGGCTGTTTCCTGGGAACATAGTCTGAGATAAGCACTATTTGTTTCCAAAAATCTTTCATTTCTACTATCTAATTCTCACCCAAACCTTCTAAGCTAGATAACTACCTCCATTTCAGATATAAGATAGATACAAATGACAAACAGCTGAGGCTGAGAGAAGGTTTCCTACATATCTGACATCTGACAGCAAATCAATGACAGAACCAAGAGTCAAACCCAAAACACACTCTGCTAGATATTGCAGCTATCCAGTCCTACTCAATAATCTGTTACCTTAAAGTGCAATGGACTCCCAAACAGGGAAGCCACACTTTGCCCAGGAAGAACATGCCTGCCCAGGTTAAGGACTTTATCATGGGTTACACCAAAGGTTCATAAAGCAGGTCCATGACACGCCTGGCTGGATCTCACCAGAGGGAGGAACGCAACATGGACCCAGAAAACAGCAACATGGTCCCTTAAGTTCAGATGGGCAGTCACTCCTACCTTAGACATGACAGCACTCACAAATAACCAGCCAGTCCAGCTCAGGGCAAGGCAGTACAGTCAAATGGACAGGCACACCTGCCCTAGGGTCAGACATACTAAGAGTTAAACCCCAATTCTATACCACTTCCCGGCTTTGTGACCTTGGACAAGTTATAGGATTCCTCAGTTTCCCCATGTATATAATAGAGACAATACTAGGACCTATATCTCATAGGGCTGTTGGAGGACTGAATGTGATGACAGATGTTGGCAGGTAGCCCTGCACTAGGCATAATTTATGTCAATCATTAGTACCAAGGGCACCAGAGAAACATCAGTGGACCTGAGGCAGCCAGCTGCCCAGCCCAAGTCAGCTGATTCCTGGGTGAGAAAGAAGGTCCAGACTAGGGAACAGTGAAGATGCAAACAAGGCAGAAATTGGGCGATCTCCATGTTCCAGGAGCACCACAAGAAATGAAACATTTAATTCAGGAGAGACTGGAATCAGGTATAATGTAGTACATTGATCATCAGGGGATAACCCTGGAACTGGTCAATCACTGGCTCTAAAGCTCATCAAGCAATGTTCTCTAGCAAAAGGCGGGGGATTGGACCAATACTCTAGGAACTCATGTACTTATATGCCTCTGACCTGCTCATTCCAGGCTCCTACAAGTACCCAGGCCTGAGGATCTCCACTACACCCTGGCCCTCAGAGTGCCAGGTACAAAACAGGCCACACTCTAAGCAAGCACTTCCTGAAAGGTCCAGAGCAGATGCTGGCCTGTTACCAGGCTCAGATAGATTCCATCTGAGCTGGAGAGCACTCTACCCAAACACTTAATCCTCTGCCCTGCAATGACACCAGCTGAACAAGAACTCTCTTCTAGGGCTCCAGTAAATCATCCAGACTTTTCATTCTCCTCTGCTCTGAGGAAAAAAAAAAAAAAAAAAAACTGTCTTTCTATCTCTCATTCCATGTCCGTAACACAAAGCCCACAGACCACAGGACCTTCCAGCCCTCTTTGCTCTAGGACAGGCTGATGTCTTACCCTAAGGAACTTCAAATGTCCAAATTGCTAGATGTGAGCAACTTTCCCGAAGTTTAACTCTCACTCCAGCACTCTGCTGGGCTTGCATGTACTTGCATCACAGCTTTTCCTGCCAACTTCCATCTGCATAATAGTAAACTCTTGACAGACCCCAGGAGCCAGGGACACACCTCCTAGCCCTCTGCACACTATCAGCCAGCGTGGCCACACATCAGCCAAGGCCTTGCTTCCAGTCTCAGACCCTCCCAAGGATGTGGGAGGGCAGAGTGAAAAAGGGAGGCCTTCTTAGGAAATGAGGAGACCCTAGATTCCCTCAACCGACTCATTCCTCAGAGCTGCACCCACGTAGTCTCTTCCTTTGATGAGCACTCACAGCCGGGCTCCTCCCCTGGCACATGGCCAGCTGCCAATATGAAGCAGCAATCTCAGAGTACGAGCTACCCACAGGCAAGAATAGTGCCTCGGCCACCTCCTCTCTCTCGTCCCTCATTCTAGCCCCAGGCACGCTCCAGTCAGAAGCCAAACAGGCAGAAGGCACTCAAGGGATGAACTGAGATCAGCTGGGGCCAGTCTAAACCGGTGACTAAGTAAGCACTGTCTAGAGTACCCCAATGCAGAGCTTTCGACAGGATACAAGGGCCTATCACATGCCACAGACAATGCCTCAGCTAAGCTGTCACCAAGTCTGCCTGCTGAGCTCTCAGAGAACTAGGGTGATCCAGTATGACAGCATCTTTGGGATGAGGCCCCCAGCCAACTCACTCCATCCTTGCTACGTGGCTTCATTGGCTGGGCCACACAGTGGACACTCGGCTGTGTAAGAACAAGGAGGCCCTAAAAGAAAAGAATTCAAAGACCAAACATTCTGTGAGTGGGGAGAAGCAACCAGAGAGACTGGGCGCTGAGGCCCAGAACCACAGTGAGAGGCTGCACCTTGGACACCTCAGGGGCAGTTTAAGTACAAGCCAAAGGAAATCCTAGTTCATTTAACAGAGACTAAATTATGGAACCTAATGTCAGATGAGACACAGGCTGAGAACAAGCAGCAGACCCCAAAAACATCCTATAAATTCTTAGGTGGACAATGGATCTCCACAAAGTCTGGGACATTTAAGAATGCCCCAAGCTACAACGTAACGGACTCCAGCCCTTGCTCCTAGGACAGGATTTCCTACAAGAGGGCTGGGGCTGTGAGGCCCCAGGTAGTCTATTATCAAGAAGCACAAATCTCGGGTGTCACTCTACAGCAAAAGACAACAGTCACAGTCTTGGGAGGGATCCCAATGCTCTCCTGCACCATCTCTCTTTTTTATTTTTTTTTTAAGATGGAGTCTCGCTCTGTCTCCCAGGCTGGAGTGCAGTGGCACGATCTTGGCTCACTGCAACCTCTGCCTCCCAGGTTCAAGCGATTCTCCTGCCTTAGCCTCCCGAGTAGCTGGGACTACAGGCGCGCGCCACCATGCCCGGATAGTTTTTTGTATTCTCCTGCACCATCTTAAAGTCAAATAGAATACAAAGGCCAGGGACCCACCTGGGCTGTCCAGCAATACCTGAGGCAGGAAGTGCCCTGATCCAGGCTCCTGCTGCGAAGGTCAACTGGGCATCTTACACATGCAGGGCACAGTACCAGGCACGTTATCTCACTCCAGGGTCTTGTAGACAGCGTCCGTGGACAGCTATCCCCTACAGTGTTCCTTCCCCATCACCTTGCTTCCACTACAAGGCCATAAGGAATGGCATTGGCCAAGGTCTCTGCTCCCACTCACATAGGCTGTTCCTCTGTCCACGATGCCCTTTTGCCAGCCTTCCTCTGACCACTCCAGCTCATGGGTCACCTCCTCCGGGAAGTCCTCTGGCCGGAGGCAGTCAGTGCTCTACCAAGTACCCACTGCCCGCATTCCCTTCCAGCACAGCGCTCACCACACTGCTCTGGGCCAGGACCTTCCCGCTCTTCCAATCCGCCTGTCCCACTGGGTTAGCAACTGCTTGCGGTTTCTGGCACACAGAAGGGTCCCGTTTGTTGAATTAGTTAACGAATTATCACGGGTCTCCGCAGCTGCCAAGGAAAAACAACGCTGGTTCCACAAGGATGTCTGGGGGAGAAAAGACTTTCTGATCCAATGGCCCATCTAATGGGCTCCAAGCTGGACCCTGCCCGGACAAGACCTAGGACTCCCAGCCCTTGGGAGGGTGCAGAACGGGCTTAGCCAATATGAAGAGGCCCCTCAGGGCCAGGCGGACGCCGCGCCCCCGCTCCCAACAGCCGGCAGCCCGGGGTCAGGCCGCCACTTCCCGGGAGCCTGACAGGGAAGAGCGGCCAAGTTCCCAGCCCCGCCCGACAGCCGAGGGAACTGCACGAAGGGCGCCGCTGACCTCACCACCCTGAGCTCGGGAAGGCTTGCGGGCGGCGGCACAAGAACCCAGACGGGTGCAGAAACAGGGCGGAGGGTGCAGGGTGGCGGCCCGGACTGCGCTGCTGGCGGCTAGCGGCGCGACCCCCGGCCCCGGATCCGGCCCCGGCCCCTAACTCTCAGCCCCGCGCGGGCAGAACGCACCGCCTGGCGACCCCAGCCCGCGCCCCAGCGCTAAGGTTGATCTGGCGGCTGAGCGGGCGGGGCGCTCACCTGGACACTCGCAGCTCCCGGCGTTTCCAGAACCTCCCGCGGCGTCGCCCGGTCAGCTCGGCGCCTCCTCCCTTGGCGACTCCGCCTCGGGCCGCTGCCGGGGCTCCGCCCACTTGAGCCGCCGCCACGTCCCCACCTCACGCTCCACACGCCTGCCTGCGTCCTGGTCCCCAGCTCCGGTGGCTCCGCCGGGGTTCGCCGTCCTCTGCGACCCCTGGGAACGCCCAGGCTACCCGGCCTCGCGGGAGCCGGAGCCGGAGCCGGAGCCGGAGCTGGCCGCCCGCGCCCTTCATGCCGCCCGCAGCCCACCGCACGTACTCCGCGCCCGCCTGGCTTTGGCGCCCCCACCTGCGGGCCTTGGCCCGCCCTCCTGCCCAGCCCCTGGGCGTCTGGAGAGGTCGCCACGACCCGATCCCCTCGCCGGGGCTGTAGGGAGAGCGTCCCTGGAGGCTGACGGATTTCCCTGCCTGCGCTCATGCCCATTGCCTGGGGGGCCCTGCCGGGTACACGGGCCCCTTCTTCCCAGCACCACCACAAGGAGGCTGTTACGGGAGGCTGGGGTCACCCCGGCTAGGAACTGGGTATCAGGAGAGGAGGCAGAACAGTGGAGAAGACCCTGAGGAAGACTAGGGACCTGGGGCCCACCCCCTGGAGACCGAGATTGGGAGGCCCATTCCCAGGGCCGAGCTCTCAGTGGGTTTCAGAGAGTCCCGGGCTCTGGTCCAGGCAGTCCTGGTGGCATGTGCAGGGGTGATGGATTGATGAGAAGGGGGCCCATCAAAGGCTGGGTGGGGGCGGAGGCGGGGGGGCGGTAACAACCTGGGGCACACTGGGTTGCCCAAACCCTTCTTTATGCCATGGGCCAAAAAGAGTGGACACCTGGTTCAGCCAATCCAGTCTGGAAGGGAATAAGGACAGAGATGCAGCAAACCTCAGCCTGAGCGGGAGGAGGCCCTGGCGGCCAGGCAGGTTCCCACGCCTGCTCTGTGAACCTTCCTCTCATGAATGAGGGGAAGCACGGTCTGAGAATCTCATCAGGGAGCAAGCCCAGAGCGGGAGATGCCCAGCCTCCGCCCAGGCCCAGTGTGGATATTCCCTACGGCACACGGGCCAGGCAGGCGGCCCAGACCTGGGGAAAGCAGGAGCACGCACACGGAAATACACATAAAACATGGGTGAGCCATTGTTCCTGCCTGCGTCAGCCACCGGCTCGAGCCCGGCTAAAACTACACAAACCCTCCTGCATCTGCTACATCCACAGAAGCTTCCTTCCATCTCCTCCCCCTTCTCAGGAGTTTGCCCCATGGAACATCCCTTTTCTCTCCTGAAGGCTCAACTACCCGCTCTCAACTGGATCTTTCCCATTGGCCTGTAAATGTGTTCAAGCCTCTACTATGGGAACAAAACCCTCATTCGACCCCACTGAGTGTCTCTGTTCTCAACCGCAGCGGAATTTCTTGAAAGAGCTGTCTCCCCATCCTCACATCTCTCCCACTCTTCAGGCCCTAAAGGAGCTGTCTCTCCCACTCTTCAGGCCCTGCAGTCAGCCTTCTAGCTCCCTAACAGCACCAAACCAGGTCTCAATAAACTGTAGCCTCCAATCTCCAATTTCAACGGCTGTTCTTCAGACCTCATCTGCCAGGGCCCTGAGCAGTGTCTGACACCCAGCGATGACCACAGCCCCTCTGGAACACTGATTTCCCTTGGTTTCCCCTCATCCTTTCTGGCCACCTCTGCTCAAGCTTCTTCAGCATCCTCTCCCTATTAGTAAAGGTTGGGGGTTCCTCAAAACTCAGGTCTAGGCTTTCCACTTCACGCTTCTCTTTACACGCAGGTGACACAAATTTCTCTCTTTACCCTTATCCTTACTGCTGAACCCCAGATTCATGTAACTCACTGTTCAGTGTACATCCCCACTTGAGTGTCCACAGGCACCTCAATGGCAACATGTCCAACACAGAGTTATTGTTCTCCCCCTACATCTTCCCCCTCCACACATCCTGTCTTCACTGCTGTACTGAAGGAGATACTTCCCATCAGTTACCTAACCAGAAGCCTGGGAGTCATACTTGGCAGCTCCCTCTCCCTCATCCCCAGACCCTATTTACCTATATCCCAAGTCTGTTCAATTTTACCCCTAAATCTCCCTCTAATCCACCCACTTCTCTCCATCTTTTTCACATGAGTGATGGCAACACTTTCCTGACTGGCTGCTCCTCCATTTTTGTTCCCTCTCATCTCTCCTTCACTACAACCATGATGATCTCAAAATGCAGATCTGAGCCCATTACTTGCAGCTGGGAAATTGCCCTGATCTTGAGAAACATCAAAAAGTGGTTTATAAGGTTCCACATGGTTTGGCCTCTGCTCACTTCTGTAACCACATCGAACTTCCTCCAGTCTCTCTAACTGGCCATTCCCCCTCCCCACCCCAGACCTTTATACATGCTGTTCCTTCTGTCTAGAAAAAATTTTTCCCTCCCTGATTAAAACCTTCAGAATCCTTCAGATTCCCTCAGAGGCAGAGAGATTTTCCTTACTTCCCTGAGTAGGTCAAAACCTCCCATAACAGACCAGGCACGGTGGCTCATGCCTGTAATCCCAGCACTTTGGAAGGCTGAGGCGGACGGATCACCTGAGGTCAGGAGTTCGAGACCAGCATGGCCGACATGGTGAAACCCCGTCTCTACAACAATACAAAAATTAGCTGGGCATGGCCAGGCACGGTGGCTCACGCCTGTAATCCCAGCATTTTGGGAGGCCGAGGCGGGTGGATCACGAGTTCAGGAGATCAAGACCATCCTGGCTAACATGATGAAACCCCGTCTCTACTAAAAATACAAAAAATTAGCCGGGTGTGATGGCGCATGCCTGTAGTCCCAGCTATTCAGGAGGCTGAGGCAGGAGAATCGCATGAACCCGGGAGGCAGAGCTTGCAGTGAGCCACGCATGATGGCGGTGTCTGTAATCCCAGCTACTAGGGAGGCTGAGGTGGGAGAATCACTTGAACCCAGGAGGCAGAGGTTGCCGTAAGCCAAGATCGTGCCATTGCACTCCAGCCTGGGTGACAAGAGCAAGACTGTCTCAAAAAAAAAAAAAAAAAAACCACACACACAAAACCTCCCATAACAGCTTCTCATGTCCCCGTGTGCTTCGTAACACTTGCCACCGTTGATAGAATTGAATGATCGCTTGGGTAACGTCTTCCCCGACTGGCCTGGGAGGTCTGGGAGTACATAAACCATGCATGCATTTGTCCATTGCCATTTTCCCACCACCGAACTGGGCTCAATATTTGCTAACTCCTTGAATGGACGGATATCTCCTCAATACCTTGCTCCACACTGTAAGATTTAGTCTCCAAAGGCATGAGTAAGACCTCCGCAGGGTCTTGGAGTCCTGGCAGCTCAGGACCACAGCATTGGTCAGATATCCTCCTAAAAAATCTGCAGCCTTGAGAAGGGGCAGGACTTCTGAGGATCATGTCTCCTTGGTCTTCCTGCCTTGCAGGAAGTGGCCATTCATTTGTTTTTATATTCCTTTTCCTCTACCTGCCTCCACCCAGAAGATACCATTTCTGACCTCTGCCTTTGTAGCCTCACTTTCACCACTCAGCCCTTAACATAAGGCCCTCAGACTCCATCTGGGCTCCTGATCTATTCATTTCCTGGGGTTGCCACAACAAATTACCACGAACTAGGTGCCTTAAGTCAACAGAATTTTATTCTCTCACAGTTCTGGAGGCCAGAAGTCCAAAATCAAAATGTTACCGGGGTGTGCTCCCTCTGAAGGCTCTAGGGGCGAACCCCTCCTTGCCTCTTCCAGCTCCTGGTGGCTTAGGAGTTCCTTGGCTTGTGGCTGTATCACACGAATCTCTGCCCCATCTTCACCTGCACTTCTCCTCGGTGTCTGCATCTTCTGCCCTTCTGTTTCTTATAAAAATAACTGTCATTGGCTGTAGCGTCTACCCAGGTAATCCAGGGCAGATTGGGAGGTCTACCCAGGTAATCCAGGGAGGTTTGGCACTGAAGCCTCCCTGAATGCTGATGACTCTTGCAGGCCCTGGAACCACTGCAACAGCTCCCTTAATAACCTGTAACTTAATAATATCTGTAAGGTCCATTTTTCCAAATAAGGTCACATTCACAGGATCCAGGTAGTAGGACATGAATGCAATTTGGTGGGGTTGGGGGGCACCATTTAATCCACTACATTTGACATTCCTCCATGCCCTCAAAGGCTTCTGGACCCATGTAAATCTATCACTCAGTTTTGAATCTCCAGCCTGGGTCCACTCCAGACCCACATCGTCACAGCCTTTTCTTTATGACCACTTGATAAGTGAACTCATTGTCTCATGTAGGGTCCCCCAGGTTCCCTCACTTTTTTCTCTCTCCTGACAAATACCAAATGCCTTGACCACTCTATGACCCAGACAGCCGAAGGTTTTTTCCTGTAGGCTTGAGCCCAAGCTGGGGCCTTAAACATTCCCAGGCACTGATAAAGGTGTTTAGATGGTCGCCCGAAACACTGAAAGAAACTAGCCCCGACCCTGAGCCAAATTCCTTAAAATCTCATATAAATTCCATACCCAGACCCCCCTTGCAGCAGGCATACCTAGATAGAACATCCCTGTCTCGCTGTCTGCCTACAGGATGTACTGCAGCCCCCTCAGAGACCGAGAAATTTCCCTAATAAATGCTTTGGACTGATCACCCTGGCATTTAGTGCTACTTTCTTTGGAATCCCAACCATTTCAGGATGGTTTGGGGTAGTCCCGTATGGGGACCCCCCTGCCACTGCTTTTGGGGCATCTCCAGCTGCAGGTTCAGCCAGGATGAAACATCTCCCCCATACCACAGCCCACACCACCCAAACTGCTTCTGCCCCAGCATTTCCTACATCTCAGCAAATATCACCATCTCCCAGTCACTTCCCTTTTCTTTCCCACTGCATGCCCACCCTGGAGATCTTACCTGGTGGATCTCTCTCAGTTCACTTACTTCTTCCCAACCCTGCTGTCGCAGACCAAATTCAGGACACCACCATCTCTCACTTGGACAATCCATCTTAGCCCACTTTTCTACTCCGCTCCCTCTATCCTTACTCCATTACACAGGGCAGAGTGACATTGTAACCATGTGATTCCCATCATGTTATTTCCGTATAGAACCTCTCAAAGGTATTCCATGGACCCAAGGGTAGACACAAATCTTGCCAATGCTGCCAATCCCTTTTATCCAGCCCTGATGGTCTCTCTTCTTATGCACAGCCTCAAACTTGATGCTGCAGCCACTCCAGGCACTTTTCAGTTCCCTGGCCTTTGAATGTGTTATTCCTCCTGCCTAGAACATTCTCTTCCCAAAAGGTGGTTTCTTTCAAAAGGCTTTCTGGGTCTAGCCTGAGCCAGATCCTGCCATAGGCCCCAAAGCTCCTCATGGATGAGTTTCACACATGCTACCTGACCTCATTCAATGTCTACTTCATTTACCATTTGGCCCTCCTGGGGACTGCCTCTAACCTGTTCATCACTGTGTCTCCAGCTCTAGCATAGGGTCTGGCGCCCAGAGCCTAGAGAGGAATTGGTGAACAAAAATACATGAATGAATGAGTGGACATTCCCACTATTGTGGCCTCTAGCAGACCTCATTGAGTACACCCAGTGTGTGTCACTTAATGAATCCACAACCATCTTTAACAGCCACACATCACAGCATGTTATAGAGATTCACATCCCTTCTCCCCAAATCCATTGTATGAACAAGGCCATACCTCCCTTCTGGAACAGCTCTATGGTGTTCATTTATGTGTTCACTCAACAAACATTTGCTGATCACCAGTTGAGGTCAAGGCGGGGGATTCAGGGACCACACATATCAAAGGGGCTCTGTCTAGTATAAAAACTAGTAGATAAGCAGAGGCCCGCCCAGCAACTTTGTCTAGGGAGGGAAAAGCCCAAGCCTTTCCAGCTGGGAAAGGCTACTAGTAGGAGGTACTGCCTACCTAGACCCAGTCTTAGAGACCCTTCCTAGGCTCAAGATCAGGCATGGCCTATGACCTTTCACCCCAGCATGGCCAGGGCATTGCCAAATGAGGCTCTACCTCCATGCTGTCCCTAGGCAATATCCCTGGCCAATGGCTCCTTGAAGCAGTCTGGACTTGTCTGCCTGCCATCCCCACCCCGAAGGAAGAACCTGGTGTTTCCCCAGAAGGGATAGTAAAAACATCTGTGCTGGGCGGACAGGAAATTGGATGAATAGGAGGGTGGATGTGGCATAGCCCTTAACTCTAAACAGGGGCCTACTCAGCCTGCCCTGCCCCAGCCTCCTCCACTCCTACTCACCTGTGATCCCTGTTTTGGGGAAGGGGAGTGGGGCAAGCTCCACTGCTTGGCACTGAAGTCTCCCTGAATGCTGATGACTCTTGCAGGCCCTGGAACCACTGCAGCAGCTGGAGGTGTGGTCAGGGTTTACGACTATCTGGCCTTCCATGGAATTTCCCAGAGCAAGGCCCTCAGGTTCAACCAATGCCACACAGAGGGCATTGTATATGTGGATACACATCTGTATTCTTCGGTACATTCCGCATGCAGCTGTCCACTGGAGCTCAACCCACCCTAGGTTTCTCCCCTTAGAGACTGAGGAAAGACCGAGTGTGTCTCAGTTGGCTGGCGCTTTGACTCAAGGCCAAACACAGACAGCAAGACTTGTGGCTTGAGTGGGGCTACCTAGTAGTAGCCCTACTGCTTCTGAAATAGGGCCTATCCAGTAGTCTGGTCTTATAGCCTGGTGGTTGACCCTGGAAAAGGGAAAGATAATCTGGCAGAATCCCCAGAAGCCTGTGGGGACAGGCTGGGCAGGACCAAGTGTGTCCCTAGAGAGTGCCCCCCTAATCCCTGAACCCATCTGGTGGGTGCAAAAACCAAAGCAGGCTACAACTCTCCTACCATTTGCCTCCCCCATGGACCCCTGCAACCCAAGACAAGCAGAGTCAGCAATCAGGCTGAGTTGTCATTACAGGCATGCCAAGACCTTCAGGAACTGCAATTACACAGCAAGTCCAGGGCAGGCCCCCCATGGTGTAAAGAGTGAGTTTACACTACAACTTTCCTCCTCACTTCACCTCCATCCTGGGCGAGAGGCTCTGGACTAGTGCAAATGTCCAGAGGGCAGGAGTTAGCTAGGCATGGTGCTTGAAATCTGATATTTTGATGTATATACTGTAAAGCACACTTTTAGAATTATTATTACAGTCCAGCAGCCACTCGTCCTTCCTTCCCCAGTCCTGACCCTATATTGGGGCTGGGTGGGGATTAGGGATAGGTGATAAGGTGAGGGTTAAGGATAGCTATTGGGCATCTGATGTAGCTACTATCTAAAAGGCTGAAAGTTGAGTGTTTTTAATGTTTTTTTCAGGCCTTGTTAAAATGTCAGGAAGCCAGTAGAGATTAGTCCTATAAAAAGTTTAATAAAGCTAATAAATGTTAAGTGAGATCATAGAGGTGAAGCCTTACTTGAATACGACTGGTGTCCTTATAAGAAGAGGAGAGACAAGAGAGTTGTATCTCTCCACATTTGCACAAAGATGAGGCCATGTGAGGACATAGCAAGAAGGTGACCATCTACAAGCCAGGAAGACAGGCCTCATCAGGTACCCGCCCTGATGACACCTCAATCTTGGACTTCTGGCCTCCAGAACTACGAGAAAATGAATTTCTATCGTTTAAGCCACTCAGGCTGTGATATTTTGTTATGGCAGCCTTAGCACACTAATACATCTCCCCAGTTTATTGTCACAAGCCTCCAAGGCCAAACCCTGGAAGCTCTTGATTGGGGAACAATGGTGGAGCAGACAGTAGGGGAGTAATAAGAGGTAAAGCTGCAGAGATCCCAGGGACAGATCACCTGAGGCCTCATGGACCACAAAAAAGGATTTGGATGTGAGGCTGAAGACAAGGAGCAGACACCCCAGAGCAAAGGCAGGGGAGAAGCAGGATAAGATTTGGGATTTGGGAAAAACACCCTTTCTACTGTGGGTGAGTGGGGGAGAAGGAGGAGCAGAGCTTGGCTGAGGCGGGGTGACAGCTGATGGTGACCTGAACTGGGAACTGCCAATGAATAGAGAGAGAAGTGGATAGTTAAGAATTGGTGACGTAAAGTAGGAAGGGCTATGTTCCTTTGCTCATTCATTTATTCTGTAAATATTTGTTGAATGCTCTGCCCCCCATTCTGAGCTCCCTTTTAGGGATGAGGTCCTACTTGTCATCCAAGCCCCCTCAGCCCTGTTACCCTAGAGCAGCCCTTGCTAAAGGAAATTAGTGGCAGCCCCCAGAAAGTACAAGAACAGAGAGTGAAAATTGGCTGCCTCCAGAGAACACGCCAGCACTCTTCTGGGTTTCAGGCTGACATGGAATCCTAATCACAGTGTCTGGCTTCCTCAAATACGAGACTCCTTTCATTGCGAGGTAACCACACATTTAATGACAGTTTCAGCACAAACTCTCCTGGTGCCACCCTTCCTCTCCTTTTTTCTTTCTTTCTTTTTTTTTTTTTTGAGACTCACTCACTTTTTTTTTGAGACTCACTTTTTTTTTTGGGTCTCACTCTCTCCAGGCTGAAGTGCAGTGTACGAACACAGGCTGGAGTTCAGAGGCTCACTGCAGCCTCAGCCTCCCAGGCTCAAGCAATCTTCCTACCTCAGCCTCTCTGGTGGGACCACAGGTACACGCTACCACACGTGGCCAATTTTTTATTTATTTTTATAGAGACGAGGTCTCGCCATGTTGCCCAGGCTGCCTCTCTCTATTTTTAAATGAATGTACTTCACTTTGCTATAATGAAACTTGTTTGTAAGGCACCTTATATCCTTTCAGGAGCAAGACTGGTGTCCATGAATCTATCCATGAGTGATCCTAGCCCAATCAAACATTGCTCAATTGGTGCACTGCACAATGATGTCTCCATTTACATGGCAGCCATCATAGATGTGCATAGTCATTACAATAAGTTTTCAGTAGATGGAAATAAAGTGAATTGAAAAGGGAGTATCTTTTGCTAATTAAAAAAAAAAATTGGCCAGACGCGATGGCTCACAGCTGTAATTCCAGCACTTTGGGAGGCCAAGGTGGGTGGATCATGAGGTCAGGAGTTCAAGACCGAGACCAGCCTGGCCAACATGGCGAAACCTCATCTCTACTAAAAATACAAAAATTAGGTGGGCATGGTGGTGCATGCCTGTAGTCCCAGCTGCTCGGGAGGCTGAGGCAGAAGAATCGCTTGAACCCAGGAGGCAGAACCTGCAGTGAGCCAAGATCACGCCACTGCGTTCCAGCCTGGGTGACAAAGCAAGACTCCGTCTCAAAAAAAAAAAAAAAAAATCACCACATGAGCTGTCAGTGGCTAGCCCTAATCCCAGTCTGCTACCACATAATCACAAAAGCCTGAATCACTGGTGTGGCTGAGGCCTGCTCACTCCTGTCTCAAGGACCCTAAACCCTCCTGTGGCCTCTTTCCTGCCCTCAACTGCCCTGCTAGTGTCAGCTCCAGTTGCAGCTCTGATCTCCCCTTCCCTTCAGTAGACACCAGCATTTGAACTTGCTAGTCAGCCCTGCCTTGTGGCCCTGCAGTACACTGCCCTGGGACTCTTACCCACCACAAGGAGGCCAGGGCACTCATTCCTCCAAAGGTCCTGACTACCTCATTCCACATCAAACCTATTCCACACACCCACATCCCACATAAATACATTTTAAACTTGACCACACAAGAACATGGCTGAACTTCAGTTGACTATGACTATGACATACTGTTAACATTTACTATATTTAGTATTTACATTTTTTATAGCTTTCTATATTTTTTTCATGTTTCAAACATTTGCATAAACCTGTGAGAAGCTTGATAATCCCTGAGCTTCTAGTGCCTGAAAAACAGAGCAACTTGGCCATAGCCTCTAGTAAGAGGGCTCTCACCCACAAACACACACACATACGCACACACACACACACATTTATATGCTCACGCACAGAGGGATTCACATGCATACGCAAGCGTGTGGATCTGGCCTTTCACATGAGAAGGAGGAGGTTCTGTCCTTTGTCCTCTGGCTCTGCCCTTAATCTTGACTCTGAACCAGAGCCTGATATTGACTTTGGACCAGGCTCTGGCCTTATTACTTACTCTGACCCTGAACCAGCTAGTTGCAGACTTGGAATCAGGAAGATGTCTACCTCTATCATCTGTAGAAATCAGAGCCCATGGGAGAAGGGATGGCTTGGACAGTACATCTTCTTGGCTGAAGAGTGAATGATCAAGGTGGTGAAGGTGGAAAGATGGCTTCCTCAAACTGGCTGGGTCGTTAGATGCTGTCATTGGTGGCTGCAATTTTGGGGGCAAGTACTGCCCTCTCACCCCAGTGGTCACCCAACAGCTGTAGGCCAGGTTGACACCAGTGGTCACCCAACAGCTGTAGGCCAGGTTGACACCCTGCCCTCATCAAGTTCTGGAATTTTCTCTGCACTCTCTCCTGGGGCACCAACAGCTATTTTTGTCCCAGGGCAAAGGTGTGTGAGGCCTTCTGGGAGAATCTTTTTAGGGGAGCTGCTTCCTTCTTGTCCAGAGCTGTAGTTGCAAAAATGAGGTTGGCCACCAGAGGGTGCATGGAGCTCAACAGGGCTCACTCAAAGGAGCAGCCCCAGCCTTGCTCAAAAAGCCCCTCCACTTGGTGCCCCATCCTTCCAACCTGCCAAGGTTTAGCTGAGACCTGTGACTAGGCCTGCATAATCATGAGCAACGGGAAGGGAGAGATGTTTTCCAGGCCCTGGGGAATGACTCCAATGCTGGGACCTCCACTGGCTGAGGAGGCAGGGAGGATATTGGGAAGACCCCAGATCCTTTCCTCAGCCCATAGTGATCAGGGGCCTTCATGGTCAGCTAAGTTGACTTGTAGCCTTGGGAAGCCTCAGGCTGTGGAAGCCTCAGGCCATAGGAGCCAGTAGCCCTAAGGAAACACCAAGGACTAGTAATGCAGTGAAGTTAGGAAAGGAGATGGGGAGACCTTGAACTCTGAACATACCCAGAATATCCTGGCTCTGTGGAGAGGAGCTCCTGGAGGAGAAGAGCCAGAGAAGCAGGATGGGCAGTCCTCATCTGGGTTTCTATGATGCTCTGGGATGCTTCTGTGATTGGACAACTAATTTATGGAGCACTCTCCCTGTACCAAGTGTTACCTAACACTTGACAGATGTCATCTGCTTACCCTTCCAGATCTCCTCTCCTGTCTCCTCTTTCCCCTGCTCTGCGCCCTGACTGCTGACCTATATGGATAGCATCAACAGGTTCACCTGCCCTGCAGCTTCTGGTTGGGTTCAACCAATGGGGAGTAGCAGGAAAAGATCAGTAGGGAAGAGGAGATGGACTTTGAGGAAGCTGTCTGCAGCCTAGACATGAAGGCCTGGCTCTATGACCTGTCAAGCCTCAGCACTGCCTTTGAAGGAGAAGACCAGCTGCCTTGGTCATGCTGAAGTGTGGCAAGCAGGGTTTCCATACTTGGTCACTCAGCCTAGGGCTTCAGGAACCCTCTACACCCTCACTTACTCACATTCAGTCAGTCAACAGACATCCCCTGACACCTCCCTTGTGTCCAGTCCTGGGTACCCAGGGACACAGAGATGAGTCAGAAAAACACCCTGCCTGCATGGAGCTCATGTTGTTTTTTGTTTGTTTGTTTGTTTGTTTTGTTTTATGGGGGGAGAGGAGGCACAGATGAAGAAATTGACGGTGAATCGCAGAGGCTGAGGGAGACTACAGAAGGGGAGACTCACTTGCCGAGTGGTCAGGTAGGAGGATGAGGTGTGGGTCTCCCTGCATAGTCAGCCAGGGGAAGTGTTGGAGGTCTGGGAGAATGGTATTGCAGCAGAGGAGATAGAATGAGCAAAGCCTGGGAGAGGGAATGGCTCATTCCCACGGAGACCTACGGTGGCCAGGCAGGGCCTCATCCCTCTCTGGGCCTTGCTGTGTTTAGGAAGTAGAGGGAAGTGCCTAATGAGAGAGTATACACCCCACCACCATTGGGACTGGGCTGGGGGTATCAACAGTAAACAGCATCTCTCCCCAGTGGTGACAAACACAGATGATACTTCCAGCAGAGCAGAGGCCTCCCAGAGCCATGGACAGCAGAAGTAGCAATGGGTGGCAGGGCAGAGCTGTCAGTCTGGCTCAGAGGCAGAGGATTGTTGCAGAACACACTGAGGTGACCCCCAGGAAATGCTCTGAGATCAGTGGGGTGGAGGGGGCCAAATTGACATGGGTGTAAAAAGTAAATCAGCTCCTTCTGTGGATTGAATTGCATAGCCTCAAAATTCATATGTTGAAGCCCTTACCTAAATGTGACTGCATTTGGAGATAAGACCTATAAAAAGGTTAATAAAGCTGATAAAGGCTAAGTGAGGTCGCAGGGGTGAAGACTTACTTGAATAGGACTGGTGTCCTTGTAAGAAGAGGAAGAGACAAGAGAGTTGTATCTCTCCACATTTGCACAAAGATGAGGCCATGTGAGGACATAGCAAGAAGGTGGCCATCTATCTACAGGCCAGGAAGAGAGGCCTCACCAGGAACCCACCCTGATGACACCTTAATCTTGAACTTCCGGCCTCCAGAACTATGAGAAAATGAATTTCTATTGTTTAAGCCACTCAGGCTGTGATATTTTGTTATGGCAGCCTTAGCACACTAATGCATCTCCCCAGTTTATTGTCACAAGCCCCCAAGGCCAAACACACAGGTCACCCTGGAAGCCCTCTTTGATTTGGGGAACCAATAGTGGCATGCAGAGAGAGGAAGAAGGAATGCATGAATGGGTTCCATGTGTGACCTGCAATTGGTATGCCCTGCTCCATAAACTAGGGGTGCGAATATGAGCCCATCTTCTATACACTGGAAAGCTATTAATAGTATCTCCCTCTTCGGGCCTCACGAATCCCCACTAGCAGGGGTAGAGAGGCATGGGCAGCCAGTGTGCTTTTGTTTAAAAACTTACTTATTAAGATACAGTTAACATACAGTAAACTAAACATGTCTGAATATACAGCTCAATGTGTTTTGCTTACATATAAATTCACATAATTACCTCCCACATAAAAATATAGACTATTTCCAGAATACCAGAGGGCTTCCATGTACCTTTTCATAGTCAGTAAACTCTCCCAAAGTTAAGCACTATTTTTTCTTTGTTCACTTTTGATTAGTTTTGTCAGATTTTGAACTTTATAAAAGTGAAGTTATACAATATATATTCTTTCGGGTCGGCTTCTTATACTCCACATTATGGTTGTGATATCCATCTATCTTGTTTGTAATAGTTCCTCATTCTTTTTCATTGCTATGTGGTATTCCATTGTTTGAATATAACACAATTTATCCATTTTTGTTGATGAACATTGGGTTGTTTTTAGTCATGTTAAATAAAACTGTTTTGTATATGTTTGCACATGTCTTTTGGTGGGCACAAGCACTTATTTAAATATAATAAAAATCCAGGAGTGAAATTCCTAGGTCATAAGACATGCATATATTGAGCTATTGTAGATATTACCATTTTTCTAAATGGATGAACAAAATTACATTCCCAATGGCAATGAATGAGAGTTCCAGTTGCTTCATATCTTTGTCAACATTTGTTATTGTTAGCTTTTCCAATTTCAGTCATTTTGGTGGGTGTGTAGCAATATCTCATTGCAATTTAAAAGAACATTTCCCTGGTGATATTGAGCATCTTTTTAGGTGTTTATTAGTTATTTCTTGTGACATGACTGTTCAAGTCCTTGTCCATTTTCCTATTGGGATTTCTGCATTTTCCTCACTGAATTGTAGAAGTCTATATATTTTCTCCATATGAGTTTGTTGTTGGATATATGTATTGCAAATATTCCCTCTCAATCTGTGCTTTGGCTTGTTCATTCTCCTAATAGGATCTTTTGATAAATAAAAGTTCTTAATTCTTACAAATCCAACATATTAATCTTTTATATTTTGGCTAGTGCTTTCTATGTCCCATTTAAGAAATGTTTCCCTACCCAGAGGTCATGAAACTATGCTTCCATGGTTTCCTTTAGAAGCTTGATTGTTTCATAGTTCAGTCTATGATCCATCTTAAATTAATTTTATGTGTGGTACAATGAGGAATCAAGGTTCAAATGGCACCGGACAGGTAGAGGTCACATTTACATAATAAAAGATTAAGGTGGGATGGCCAATTTCTTCTCGGGCTATGTAACCATTTACACCTGGTCAAACCAATCCCCTGGCCCCTGTGTAAATCAAACACCGCCTCCTCAAGCCTCTCTATAAAATGGATCGCATCCCACCTGCCCTGTATGAGAAAGCTCACTCTCTCTTCTTTTTTGTCTATTAAACTTTCCCCTCCTTAACCTGCTTCACGTGTGTGTGTCTGTGTTGTTAATCTTCTCAGTGCAAGACGAACCTAGGGTATTTCCCCAGACAATGAAGCCACTTCAATACCACAGAAATACAAAAGATTATTCAAGGCTACTATGAAGACCTTACATGCATAAACTAGAAAACCTAGAGGAGATGGTTAAGTTCCTGGAAATATACAACCCTCCTAGATTAAACTAGGAAGATATAGAATCTCTCAACAGACCGATAACAAGCAGTGAGATTTAAATGGTAATTTTAAAAATTGCTGGCTGGGCACGGTGGCTCACGCCTATAATCCTAGCACTTTGGGAAGCCAAGGTGGGCGGATTGCCTGAGCTCAGGAGTTCGAGACCAGCCTGGGCAACATGGTGAAACCCCGTCTCTACTAAAATACAAAAGAAATTCGCTGGGCATGGTGGCGGGCGCCTATAGTCCCAGCTACTCGGGAGGCTGAGGCAGGAGAATTGCTTGAACCTGGGAGGCGGAGGTTGCAGCGAGCCAAGGTCATACCACTGCACTCCAGCCTGGGTGACAGAGCGAGACTCCATCTCTTAAAAAAAAAAAAAAAAAAAAAATTGCCAACAACAACAAAAAATCCATGACCAGGTGGATTCACTGTTGAATTCTATCAGACATTCAAAGAAGAACTGCTACCATCCCTATTGACACTATTCCTTTCAAATCCTGTATCATGTTTTTGATTTATTTAAGTAGGACTTCACTTTTCTCTGGTACCTCCTTGATTAATTTAATAATCGACCTTCTGAATTCTTTTTCTGGCAATTCAGAGATTTTGTCTTGGTTTGGATCCATTGCTGGTGAGCTGGTATGATCTTTTGGGGGTGTTAAAGAACCTTGTTTTGTCATATTACTGGAATTGTTTTTCTGGTTCTTTCTCATTTAGGTAGACTATGTCAGAGGGCAGGTCTGGAATTCAAGGGCTGTTGTTTAGATTATTTTGTCCCATGGGGTGTTCCCTTGATGTGGTGTTCTCCCCCTTCCCCTAGGAATGGGGCTTCCTGAGAGCTGAACTGTAGTGATTGTTTTTGCTCTTCTGGGTCTAGCCACCTAGCTGAGCTACTGGGCTACAGGCTGGTACTGGGGAGTGTCTGCAGAGTCCTGTGATATGATCCATCTTCAGGTATTGCAGCCATGGATACCAGCACCTGCTCCTGTGGAGGTAGCAGGGGAGTGAAATGGACTCTGTGAGGGTACTTGGTTTTGTGTTGGTTGGCCTCCATGCAGGAGGTGGTGCTTTCAAGAGCACATCTGCTGCAGTCCTATAAGGAGAATGCAAATTTGCCCTAGGGACACCTGGTTAAGACGGTGGGCAGGGCCATAGAGCTCCCAAGAGATTATGACCTTTGTCTTTGGCTACCAGGGTGGGTAGAGAAAGACCATCAGGTGGGGGCAGGGATATGCATTTCAGAGCTCAGCCTCTCTTTGGCCAGGGCTTGCTGCAGCTGCTGTGGGGGATAGGGGTGTTGTTCCCAGTCCGATGGAGTTATACTCCCGGGGGTGATTGTGGCTGCCTCTGCTGAGTCATACAGGTTTGCCAGGGAAGTGGGAGAAAGCTGGCAGTCACAGGCCTCACCCTGCTCCTGTGCAACCCACAGTCCTAAAGGCCAATCTCACTCCCACCATGGCCCCACAACAGTACTGAGTCTATTTCCAGGTAGCCAGTGCCCAGGGCTGAGAACTTGTCCCAGACCATGACCCTCCCTGCTGAGAAAACATGCAGACTCACAGTTTTTTTGCATCTCGAGGAGCCTGCAGTAGTGATCCAGTTCCTTCAAAGGGTCTGTGGATTCTCTTGGCTTTCCTGGTATGTTCCTGCAGTAGTTCTTGGAGCAAAAGTTCAGGATGTGAGTCTCCACACACTGCTCTGTTTGTCTGAGCAGGAGCTGCAAGCTAGTCCTGCCTCCTATCTGCTATCTTTATCAGTATTCTGGCAATTCTATATTTAAATTCTCTAGCTTTTCATCTTTTTTTTTTTTTACTTTCCCTCTATTTTCTTGAACATTTTCATCATAATTATTGGAAGTCTCTCATTTCTGAAACACCTGTGGGTCTATTTCCATTGTCTGCCTTTTCTCTTGATTTTTAGTCATTTGGCCCTGTTTTTTTGTTTGTGTTTTGTTTTGTTTTTTAGCATGTCTCATACTTCTCTATTAGATGACACACATTTTGGATGAAAAGTTGGAAAGTCTCTGGGTGATGTTGTATTCATCCAGGAAGAGAGAATTAAGTTGACTTCTGGAAGGCAGAGTACCAAATAAATACCCTACTCCTGTCAAGGCTTTGGTTTATGTCATGGTTTGGCTGGTGTGGTTCTTTTTTGTCCTAGGACATATCTCTTATTCCTAGGATGTGACCCTCTCTCCTAGTGTGTGACCCTTCTGGGACTTAGCAGAACACCTACGCATTTACCAAGGCCTCTCTACCTTGATAGAAGTTGAATTCCAATTTGTCTCCCCAACACTTTAAGACTACTACAATTTGCTCAGTTCTTTAGCCTGATAGGCTAAAAGTAGGCCAATAGGGTGGGCATGGTGATTCATGCCTGTAATCCCAACACTTTAGGAGACCCAGGCTGGAGTATTGCTTGAGCCCAGGAGTTCAAGCCCAGCCTGGGCAACATAGTGAGACCTCATCTCCACAAAAAAATAAGCAAAGTCAGCCAGGCATGATTGCATGTGCCTGTAGTCCCAGCTACTTGGGAGGCTGACGTGGAAGGATGGCTTGAATCCAGGAGGTTGAGGGAGGCTGCAGTGAGCCAAGATCACACCACTACACTCCAGCCTGGGCAACAAAGCAAGACCCTGTCTCAAAAAAAAGCCAATAAAGTTGGAGGAATTTGCATGCAATTATTGGGCTCCTTCTCTCTTCTTTCCTACCTTCTGGAATTTTCCTTCTTAATTTCCATCTTCTTCGGCAGCCCTGAACTCTGACCTTTGTATCCTCAGTCTGGTAAGACTGATGCTTTCTGCTTGGTCCCTATTCCCTCAAGTAACAATGTGTGAAATGCCCCTAGGGAAAAAGCAAAGGTAAATGTGGAACTCACTACACATTATTCCCTTTTCTCCAGGATCACAACTCCTCAATTCTTAGCTGTATTGGTTGTTCTCAAATGCCTTCAAATAGTTGTTTTATACATTTTGTCCAACTTTTATAGTTGTTTTCAGCAGAAGGATAAGTCTGACACAACCTGCTATAGTGGCCAGAACTGTACATTTTATTCAGTCCAATTCTGATGCCAGGTTAGAAAGAACTACAGCAGGGTATGCTCAACTGGCCCAGCTGCTTTGAGATGAAGCTCAGACTCTTAGACATTTATGACATCAGATCCACATCTTGAATTAAGGGTCCCTATTTTCTTTTCCTTTTCTTTCTTCTTTTAGTTTTCAAACTTTCCTTAGGTTCCAACCATAACTGATAAGTTGGTAATAAACTTCCCTCCCCACTGTAAACAACCATAAAACTCGAAATATTTATAGCCAGTGATTATAGGCATTGAACATCAAATAGCCTTTGTCCTTGAGAGAAGGGAAACAAAAGGGAAAGTGCTTTGCCTAGGATACTTTCCAAACCATGGCATAAGGAAGTGGTGCCCAGAAAGCAATGGCACCAGGCACAGTGGCTCATGTCTGTAATCCTAGCACTTTGGGAGGCTGAGGTGGGAGGATCCCTTGAGGCCAGGAGTTTGAGACCAGCTTGGGCAACATAGCAATACCCTGTCTCTACAAAAGTTAAAAAATTAGCCAGGCATTGTGGTGCACACTTGTAGTACCAGTTACTCCAGAGGCTTAGGCAGAAGGATCACTTGAGGCCAGGAGGTTGAGGCTGCAGTGAGCCATAATCGTGCCACTGCATTCCAGCCTGGGCAACAGAGTGAGACCCTGTCTCCAAAGAGAGAGAGAGAGAGAGAACAATGGTCTCATCATGTGAAGGAGACAAAGATCATAGATAGCAGACGCTGAGGTGGCTGAAATTTGTGGGATAAGGTATCAAAGAAGAAGGAGCTACACAAAGAAGGAGCTCTGGAAAGCTATACAGAGGTGCTCCTGAGGCTTTGTCTAAGCCTCACATGCAGAGCAAGATTCCATAAGGCCTAGTGGATTAAAAACAACAACCAAACAAACAAACAAACAAAAAACACACAAAAAAAACTTCTCTGGGTCTAAGAACTAAGTGGGGATTCTAGAGGGCTCATGATTCTGAGATCTGTTCTGATCAACAAGGTGAAAAGACTTTGTTGAACACCCTGAGCACTCAATGAAAACCCAAGAAAGTCCACGCTTTAAGAATAGGGCTACTCTGTGCCTGTAATACGCAGTATCTTAGACCTGCCATAATAAAGCCTAAAACCAAGCCTCAGGCTCAAATTGAGCCTCTAGTGAATTTACTATCTAATAAAACAAACTCAACACTCTTTAAACATGATCCAAACTCTTAACAATGAAGTATTCACAATTCCTAATATACAGTCAAACATTACTAAACATATGAAGAAGCAGGAAAATATGATTCATAACCAGGACAAAAAATAATCAACAGAAATAGATCCAGAGGTAACACAGATATTGGAACTAGCAGATGAGGACTTTAAATAGCTATTATAAATATGTTAAAGAAGTTTAAATTACAAGATAGAGATAATAAATGAACAGATGAGCTATCTCAGCAGAGAAATGAAAACTATAAAAAAGGAGCTGAATGAAAATTCTAGAATTGAAAAATACAATATACAAAATGGAAAATGTACTAGATAAACTTATGAGTAGACTGGATGCTACAAATGAAAAGATCAATGAACTTGAAGTCAAGACTATGGAAAACATCTAAAAGTAAAAGGACTGAAAAATACAAACACAGCCTCAACAAAGTGACCTTGAAACAGTATCATGTAATCTAATATATACATAAAATTGGAGTCCCAGAAGGAAAGGGGAGAAAGAGATTGGGGCAAAAAAAATTCTTTTAAATGGTAAATGAAATTCTATATTTGATTTAAAAAATTATTAATACACCATCCCAAGAAGCTGGGGTTTTAAAACTCCAAAGAAGATAAAAACAAGGGAACTACATCTAGGAACATCATAGTCAAAATCTTAAAACCAAATAGAACATCTTAGAAGTGATAAAAGAATATAGGCACATTACATAAGGGAAACAACGATTAGAATCACCATTTATTTCTTAGCAGGAGTAATGCAAGACAGAAAACAATAAAATTATAGGAATTATATATTAAATATTAAATAATCTATGAGAAAAAAAAGCAACCTAGTATTCTATATCCAGAGAAGTTATCTTTAAAAGAGGAATGAGAGGCTGGGCACGGTGGCTCACACCTGTAATCTCAGCCCTTTGGGAGCCTGAGGCGGATGGAACAGCTGAGGTCAGGAGTTCCAGACAAGTCTGGCCAACATGACAAAACCCCGTCTCTACTAAAAATACAAAAATTAGCTGGGCGTGGTGGCAGGTGTCTGTAATCCCAGCTACTAGGGAGGCTGAGGCATGAAAATCACCTGAACTCGGGAGTCAGAGGTTGTAGTGAGCCAAGATCGTGCCACTGCACTCCAGCCTGGGGGATAGAGCAAGGCTCTGTCTCCAAAAAAAAAAAAAAAAAAAACAAAAAAAGGTTGGGGGACAGGGTGGGGAATGAAAAATAAAAATACTTCGGGATCTTAAAAAAATGCTGACAGAATTCATCACCAGTCCGTCTGTACTACCGGAAATGTTAAAGGAAGTTCTTTTTTTTCTTTCTTTTTTTTTTTTCCAGAGACGGAGTCTCACTCTGTTTCCTAGGCTGGAGTGCAGTGGTGCGATCTCAGCTCACTGCAACCTCTGCCTCCTGGGTTCAAGCGATTCTCTTGCCCCAGCCACCTGAGTAGCTGGGGCTACAGGCGCACGCCACCATGCCCGGCTAATTTTTTGTATTTTAGTAGAGACAGGGTTTCACTGTTGTTGCCTAGGCTGGTCTGGAACTCCTGAGCTCAGGCAATCCGTCTGTCTCGGCTTCCCAAAGTGCTAGAATTACAGGCATGAGCCACCGCACATGGCCTAAAGGAAGTTCTTAAGGCTGAAGGGAAATAAGCCATTTCTCTGCTGAGGTGGCTCATTGATACCTGTTGGAAATTCAGCTCTAAACAAAAGAACAAGTGCTACCAGTAAACCTAACAAGTAAATAGAAAATAGGTTTTCTTGTTTTTTAAATTACTTAAAAGACAGTTGACTGTTTAAAGCAAAAATAATGAGTATTTATTATGGAGTTTATAGCAAATACAGAGGTAAACGCACAACAACATTAGCAAAAAAGAAGGGAGAAGTAAATGGAAGTGTATTATTGTAAGGTTCTTACATAAGAAGCAGTATTTGTCCTTCTGTTGTCTTTATTTTCCTTTTTATTATCTTCATTTTTCTAATTACAAACAGTAAAATTTATTTATATGAAATTAAAACACTGTACAAATATATAACTCAGAAAAAGTAAATGTCCCAAAATACCATCCCCAGAAACAAAAACTACCAACAGTTTGCAGCATATTTCTCTGATTTTTGAAATCTATATGTAACAGGAAAACATATTTCAAGTATTTATCTTCACGAAAGAGATGTTTCTCACCTCAAGTCTTAGTCTGCTTCAAGTTACTATAACAGAATACCAATAGCTGAGTAATTTATAAAGAAAAGAAATTTATTTCTCAAAATTCTGGAAGCTGAGAAGTCCAATATCAAGGTGCCAGCATCTTTCAAGGGCCTTCTTGCTGCATTATTCCATGGCAGAAGGCTAGAGGGTGAGAGAGACAAAGGGGGACCGAGCTCCTCCTTCACAAGGACACATTCCCACAATAACAAACCCACCTCTGTTGGCATTAATCCATTGGGGGCAGAGCCCTCATGACCTTATCACCTCGTAAGAGCCCACCTCTCAACACTGTTGCATTGTAGATTAAGTTTCCAACACATGAACTCTGGGGGACACATTCAAACCGTAGCACCATGATTATAAAAATATTAATCTATATATTTTTTTACCAGTCATTTCTGGTAAAGCATATGAGTAGTTTATAAAAGCATTCACATTGGGAAAATTAAAATATATAGATCATGAATCCATTTGGGATTTACTTTATAATGTGGGAAATTATATAGCATATAGAATTATAGCCTTATTTTTTATGCATAATAGTAAATGGCCCCAACATGAGTTATTGAGTAAACTACCTTTTATTCCCTGAATTAAAATGTTTTCTTTATCTCATGCTATGGACTCTCTTTTGTTCCACTAACATATTCGTCTTTTCCTATGCTGCTATCACATTCTTAATTATTTTAGCTCTATTGCATACTTTGATACTTATAGGGCAAATCTTACTTTATTAGTCTCTTAATCCAATATTTGTGGGTTTTTTTCATACTTACTTTTCAGTTGATCCTTAGAATCATCTTGTCAATTCCTCCCACCCAAACAAATTTTGTTTGGAATTGCATTGAATTTACTAATAAATTAAAAATATTGATTTTTCTAGAAACATGACATATGCCTGCATACCTTTTGTCTTCTTTTAAATCTATCCTAGATCAAAGTTCATAGGCCCTTTGTTCTCACCACCACTAGGATAAGAAAAAGGAAATAAAAAAGAAAAAAGTTTATAGGCTTTTGATGTACTCAAAATTCATTTCTAGATATTTTTAATGTTTCACCATTATCGTGAATGGTAAATTGTTTTCATCACATTTTCCAATCAGTTGTGACTTAGCACTCTTAAAAGCTATTAAAATCTATATACATATATTAATTTATTCTACTCTGCTCCCTCCTACTGGATTCTCCTACTGGTCATAATCATTTTTCAATTGATTCTCTTGGATATTATGAAAGGAAAATCATAATATCTGCAAATAATGATCATTTTGACTCTATTACTTACTTCCTTTACTTCTCCCTTATTTCTTCTTTTCACCCTATTGTCCTGGTTAGGACTTCCAGAGCAACACTGAACAACAGTAGTGAAGAGGACATTGGATTCTCCCATTAATAGAACTTCCTAGACTGTTAAATCTAATGCTGGCTTTTGGTTTTTTATATCTGTTCTTTAAAATGTTAAGAACATTTCCTCTCTTCATGGTTTTCTAACTTTTATCGTGTGAATGGCTGATGAATTTTGTCAATGCCTTTTGAGATAATTACAAGATTCCTTTCTTCTTTTAATCTAATGTATTAATCATTACGTTTTATATTAAATCAAGCTTGTAATTTGAAAAAGAATCCCCAAGGTGGTAATAGTGTTTCAATATATTATGGGAGCCAATTTGCTATATTGACAATTTACAGGGGGCCACCATTTTCTTAAAGGGGATATATTGGTGTTAGGATAACAGATCTTCACAAGGATTGTGGAAGCTCTCCATCTCTCTCTGGCTCTGGAACACCATGGTTCTCTGAGGGAGAATGCTTGTGCACCCTCTCTGGGCCAACAATGCTTCATGCTTGAATGCCCAATGTCACAGCTCTCCGCAGTCAGCTTGTCTTAATCCTACACACAGCTACTTCTCAGGGACTGCTGGTCCTAGAGCCTTAGGTGGGGCCTTTTCCAACACTGTGTGCACTTCAAGCCCAGATCCGCCATTTTCTCTTCATCTTCCCTGGGATGAGACAGCTTCTTGTTTAACTCTCCACACATAGAAGTTCTCATTATACATTCTCTTAGAGCTCCTGGTTTCTCCTGCAGGAGAGGCACAGACTCCGTTGTTCCTAAGCAAGCCTATCTTCCCATTAATATGGTGATTTCACAGGGGGCAAACAATTTGATCAGGCATCCTCTTGCTGGAAGCTCAAGTCCTGTGAATGCTCTTACCATTGCGGGTGGGTATGAGAGATGCAGGGTGTGAGGATTTCAGTCCCACTCCCAATGAAAGCTCTGCCTCCAACTCCACACTGCTGATCCTGAATCTACACAGCTATGGACCTAGTCTTGGGAGGGGAAGTGAGAAAGAATTTTGATTTTCTTAGAAGCCAAGAAAATAGCCACCCAGGACATGAGGCTGACTCATGGGCCCTGCTCCAATCCATTCTCTCAAGAGCCTCCAGCAACCTCAGCCCAGCTTCACCCTCACAGGCCTGGATCTGGCTCTTCCGACTTTAATCCCTATGGCCCCCTGCACCTGGATTCCCAGACCTCTCGGCCAGCTGGCAGCTACTGGACTCGGCGACATGGCTCTGCCTGACTCTCCCAGCAACACAGGCGGCCAGGCTCATACCCAGTGGCCACAGCTGGCGTCCTATGGCCAGGCCTGGAGGTGAGGTCAGCCTGAACAGTCCCCGCCAGCCTGTGACTCAGTCACCACTGGGCAGTGCTGGGCACCACGGGGCAGGGCACTTCACCAAGACCAATCAGTGACTAAAGGAGCTGGCACTGCAGGGGAGAGGGCCAATCGTAAGAGATAGAAAGGATGGGGCAGGGAGGATAGGCTAGCGACAGGCCTATGCTAGCCAGACTCCTGAGGAGAGCTTCACCACCTCTGCCAATCTGAATCACAGCCCCCAGGACCCCTCAGGATCAAGAGACAGAGGTCTAATCTATACCAGTGAGAAAATCATGGGCATCAGGAGTTATGGGGGTCCCTCCTGAGACGAAGAACCAGGAAGACTGGAATTTAAATCTTTGAAGTTATTTCCAAATGAGGCTATCCATTTTAAATATGTATTATAAAGACTTAAGGCCTGGCACAGTGGCTCATGCCTGTAATCCCAGCATTTTGGGAGGCCAAGGTGGTTGGATTGCTTGAGCCCAGGAGTTTGAGACCAGCCTGGACAACATAGTGAGACCCCGTCTCTTTTTAAAAGATAATAACAATAAATAAATAAGTAAATAAATAAATAAAACTTAATAGTTTAACACTGAGGCCTAAAACAGTGCCTGACACATAGGAGGCTCTCAAAAATATCTGATGAATAAATAAACAAAGCAGAAGTAACAAATGCCATAATTCTTGAAACACTATTTTCACATTTCTTCCTTTTTTATTTTATTGGCAACGTAGAAATATGAAAGTGCTCCAAGCTCGTTCTAGCTGCTATTAAAAAAAAAAAAAAGAAGGATGGGAGGAAGAAATATGGAAGTAGCATGGGCCTCTCCTGCCTTCTGAGTAGCCCTGGATGTCAGTTCTAGTGGTCAAGAAGAGAAGGAGGGGCCTCAGGCCAGAGACCAGACAGTCCTGGCCAGGTCACTGCTAAATTTGAGTGTCTGTGGATGTGTGCGCTGGGGCAGGGCTAAAGCTGGGCCATGAGTCCAGGCCCCAGCTGACAGATGAGTGACAGAGTATGTCTGGAGAGCCCCAGTAACTGAATTTCTGGGCTGCATGTATGTCCGTCTCCTTCTTGTCAACCCTGCACTTTTGCTCAAGCCTTACCTGCACCTTATAGCAGCGTCTCTCTCTCTCGGGCTGAGAAGGAAAGGTTTTTACACCCCTGCTTTTGTCCAGGCACAGTGATGGTCAGGCCACGGCCAAGACATTCTAGGTCCAGGGCGTAGAATGAGCACATGGTACAGTTGCTCTGCAATCCCTCTGCTGCTCTGCCTGGAGGAGCTGATTTGTAAATGGAGGCACCTTCTCCTCACAGACACCAAGAGGCAAGACTAAGGGAAGGCTCCAGCTGTCAGGAGAAACTGGAAACCTGAAGACACCTGGGTTGGGCCTCTATTTATGGACTACAGGTAGACTTGGGACATCTGATGCTGGGGGAGACTAAGGGATGGCCGGCAGGCTGCCCGAATCCTCTGGCCTGAATGAGAAGTGGGAGGGGTGAAAGGATGGGGGTCTCCTTGAGGCAGAGGTGAGGCTGTGATGCTTTTGCAAGCTGCCTTCCTGAGGCCCCAGTTGCACAAGGCTCCATCACATGGGCCTCGCTGCCACCACAAACAGCCTGTTCTGTCACTTCCCTGCTGGGGCTGCGCTGAGCCACCTCTGGCTCTCCCACCTGTCAGCTGCCTTCCCCCTCCCACCCCCCCCACCCCCACCGTGTGAGATGCCACTCCTCCCAACACCTTTCTACACCCAGGCCTCAGGGCCAGGGCCTCTCTGGGCCCAGCTAGGTAAACCTGTCCCCGCCCTGCTGCCTGGCAACCCCTTTGTTGGGTCCCAGAGCAGACTGGTTTTCTCTGTGAAAACAGAGAAAGAGCAGGTCTGACAGGGGTGCTGATGGGGACTGCAGGTCCAGCTGAGACACATCTGTCCCTGGGGCAAGGCACATGGCACAAAGGCACCAACACAGGGTCTAAAACCCCAGACCTACCACTTGAAACTGTGTGAGCGTGTGGTGGTCACACACCTCCCCCAGGCTCAGTTTCCTGAAGAGAGTTGGTTCTGCTCTTGTGTCCGCCCTGGAATCTGGCTCAGGGCCAGTAACTGGGTCCCAGTTGGCAGAGCCAGCTTTGTCCCTGTTTGGATCCTCAGAGACTGACCCCCTCTGGAGCCTCCAGCATCTCAGCCCCTAGAGAGGTGTGGCAGCTTGGAGAATCCCCACCACACTCCAAGGTTAGTTGACCAGGTCTGGGCTGGACATAGAGCAGGCACTCAATAAGTGTTTGTTGAGGGATTGAATGGCACAAAACTAGAGCTGGGAAACGCCCTTTGCCACAGGCACGCCCTCCCCTGTGTGTTCTGCTGAACCAACCACGGCTCCAGGACCAGTTTTGTTGCCTCCTGACTGAGTCCTGTCCTTCCAGGATATGCTGGGCATCAGCCCCCAGCCCACCTCACAGGCTGTACTGTCTCAGACCTTCCTTTTGGATGTTGCCTGGTGCCCATGCCTGTGGCTGCCTCTACCCCTTGCAGAGCCCTTGACCCCTGCCTACAGTGGGCCTGCCTTAACTCCCTGTCACTCTAAGGCGCAGTTCTAGCCCTGCAGGAGACCCACGCTGCCCCCTCTATCCAGCTGTGCCCACCACAGACTGCTTCCTCTCCACCATTCGAGTTCCTGGCCTTGACCAGCAGGCTTCTAAGAGAGCAGACATCTGGGTGGAGCTGGACCAGACAGGTCACACTGAAATGAAGGCATCTAAAGTTCTCTCTGGCTGTTTGCTGAGGCCCTGGAGTGGTCAGTACTGTGGACTGGGCATTCCAGGAAGATGGAACTCCCAAGCAAGGCTTTAGATCCCCTTGGAATCCAGGCTCTTGGCTGGGGAGACGGGGCTGGGCCTTGAAGGAGAGATGTCTTGGCCTCCAGGAGCTGAGCCAGAATGGAGCAGACTCTACCTAGAGACCTGAGGCCACCAGGCCAGGGAGGAGCGGGTCAGCAGCTGAGCTCTCTGGCTAGCCCCCAGGGCCTCACGGGAAGGTATCCTCAAATATGGGCTGCCTCATCAGCTCCACCGCACCTCCCCACTCAGGGCTACATCAATTCTGGGCACTCTCCTGGATTGTCCTCCAGGTTGACCTCACCCTTAGCCTGAGGTTGTTCTTGTCCCAATCCTTCCCTCTTATTCTAGGCTCAGGCCCAACAGCATTCCCAAGGGTGTCTGCTCCTGCTGGAGCCTGCCAGCCCTGCCTGCCCATTGAGGAAAGAGCACAGTGACTTCTCCTGACCTTGGACAGACCTGGCTGCATACAGAAGGCCTGGGCATCGTGCCCTGAGCCACTGGGTGTGGCCTCGAAGGCAACAGAAGCAGAATTCTTCACCTTCCTAAGCCCCCTTATGCCCTCCCTGCGTCCCTCTGGGTCATGTCCAAAGGGTAAGCTAAGATAATAATTCCTGTAACTGTGGTGTTGTTAATAGCAAATGTTTTTTAATGCCTTGTGTGTGCCAAGTTCTCTGCGGGGTGCTGGAGAGACACAAATAAATAAGACAGACACAGCCTCTGCCCTTATGGATGATACCTGGACCCATCCCTGAGTACTCAATACGTACTTATGCAGAGAAGAAGAATGCATGAAATAAGCAGTCTGATTATTCCCAGCAGCACAGACACCTGATGGGTGTGCAGTAAATACGTGAAGGCCACTAGGGCAGGGGTGATGTGTGACCTGGCCACCACACATCCCCACCCTGAAGAGGGCTTCCAGACCCTGTGACTGCCTTATGACTTGGTATTCCAGCATGATAGGGTCTCAGCAATACAGCAATCTCCAAGGACCAAGGCCATTACAGGGGAAAAGGAAATCTGAGGGCTTCCTTAAAGAACTTTCGGGAGAGCTGGAGAAGCCATAGAATCTGCAGCTTGTCTGACCTGCTGCCTAGAACTCAGGGTACCTTATGAGTGGGTTTACAGCATGGCCCCTAAGAAGGGCCACCCCCAAACTCCAGGTACAGAACCTGACCTGGCATCTCCCCTGTGGGAAGGCACAGTCAGAAGTAAGCCTCTGATGTTCTCTTAAGTCAGGGATGTCAACATGAGCTCATGTGAGGGAATGACTGGCCTGGACCCGGATCCTGCATCATTCCAATCTGTCCAGATGCTGCCCAATGAAATGGGGAAGTTTATGGACCAGATTCTAAAAAATTCATCCAGAGTCCCCACCCCACCTCCACCTCCAAACTTGTGATAGAAGCCTTTGGAGATGGATTACACTGCCCAGAGACTCAGGGGCCAGGAAGGTCATATTCAGGAGGACCACTTCACATTCCCCCGGACAGAAGTAAACGGGTAATGAAGGAATTTCAGGATGGAGGCAAGGAGTGTAGGCAGTCTTTGGGATGTGAAATCGGGGGAAACAAGCAATGTATGAAGAGGAGTTTCAGGAATTCACTTTGGGATACATTGGGTGGAAGCTTCCACAGACCCTTGAGGATCCCTTCCCCCCAGAAAAGGTCTGCACTGTTTACATTCACTAGGACTCTTGGAGCCCAGCTGACAGGCCTCTGACCACAAGCCATGCTGTACACCAAACCCTCAGGACAGCCAGTGATAAGTGATGGCTGCCCCTTACTCTCTACCCCATTTAGTAGGGTCTAAGTCCTGGGGAGCTTCTGGCCTACAGACCTCAGAGAGACAATGCAGTGACCAGCTCTCCTGCTGGCCCTTCCACCTTTCTTCACTTGGGATCCAAGTCTGCAAGGGGCTGAGCAGAAACCTCCTCCACCACAAAGTGATGGAGAACAGCCCAATGGCTGGTGCTCTAATGGATTCAGACACCGCACCCCCCCCCACACACACACCCCAAATACACTCCCATATAAACACCGCTACCACACACCACTTGTTTCTCTCCCAGCTGAACAGATAGCAGCATCTTGCCTCCTACAGAGGCACCCACATTCTACTCTGAAGGGCCCCTCCCTTCCTTGGACTGCCCTAGGTTTGTGCTTCTCAAGCAGTTCTCCTCTTTGCGGGTTGTCAGAGACCCAGTGGACACATTTCATCCCACCACCTGTGAGGAGCCCAAGAGCAGGGTCCTTATCACAGCTTGACTAAAAGGACACATAAGGTTAAGGATTTGGGCTAAATGAGAGACCTCCACAGAGTCTGGAAAAGTAAAAGGTGTCTCCCTGATGTAGCCAGATAGAAGTGCCGAGAGAACCAGAGGGAGGTTGGTGGTGCCATGGCATCTGCATTGGCTGTTCAAGTACATCCCCGGAGGATAATGGTTGGGAATGGAGAGAAGACCTTGGAGAGAAAAGGGCCCAAAGTGAAGCGCTGCATATATTTCTTCCCTTTACACTGCACAGCCACGACCCCAGCCGCTCCAGCTGCTACTTTCTCAGGAGACCTGGGGAAACAAATCTCCTGGCAAAGGACGAGGGGAGGGGGCTGTGCAGACAGGGAGGTGGCCTGCGAGGAGCCTGCAAGCAGCAAGAGAAGGCCTGAATGTTCTGGGGAAGCAGGGACACCTTGCTTCCAGATACAAGTCAGGGACCACCTCTTCCAGGAAGCCTTACTGGCCTCCACAAACTAGTCTGAGGACCTTTCTGTGTCCACTCCCACGCTCGGCGCTGCCTGCTGTCGTTTTGGGTCTGCGTCCCCGGCCCAGTGCTGCGCAAGCCCCTGGTTCATAGGGTTCTTGGTTCAGAGGGCTCCTCACACGGCAGGATGGGCCGCAGGTGTGCCAGTCGGGCCCATGAGGAGGTATCTGAGCTGGGGCAGCCCCATCCCCCAAGTGGGCCCTCCATCCCTCCTCGGGCTGGAGCACCGCCCCTAAAAGCGACTTCAAAGGGCCGGTGTCGACAGCTGGGTTTGGGTCCGCGGCCTGCAGATCCAAGGCCCGAGCAGGATCCAGGCCGTCGGGGCCGTCCGAACGCGGGGATCTCTGAGAGCTGAGTGGGGGTGCCGGGTTGCCGGCAGCCGGGGCTGAGGGCGGGTCCTCAGAGCCCCCCGAAGTGGGAGGGTCGGGCTGGCCGCGGGGCCAATCCAGGCGCACAGGGAGCGGGGGCGGGGGCTGGGCCGAGTGGGGACAGGGGCGGGCGGGCCGGGGGCGGGCGCGGCGTCCAGGCGGCGGCGGCGGCTGCGGCGGCGGCGGCTCCTCCTCAGAGTCCGGCTCAGGCTCCGGCTGCGGCTCCAGCCCGCGATGCCCCATTCCGTGACCCTGCGCGGGCCTTCGCCCTGGGGCTTCCGCCTGGTGGGCGGCCGGGACTTCAGCGCGCCCCTCACCATCTCACGGGTGAGTCTGGCGGCTGCGTGGCGGCAGGGCGGTCCCATGTCTGAGACCGGGTTCTCGCGGTCCGCCCGGGACCCAGATCCCCTGTGTATCCGAGGCTTGAAGGCGGAGGGTTGGCCTGGGCGCCCCGCATGCTGTAGAGGCGGCTTCCAGGCAGAGGCAGGCAGCCCCAGCCGCCCTCCTCCCACGCTGGGCCTGTCTGCCCGATCCCGCGAAGAATCTCCCAAGAGTTCACGCACCCGCCTCCCCGCTGGCCTCATCTGGGGGAGCCACTGTGGACCCGGGAAGGACCCGCGGAGATGGGCCAGGGGTCTAGACAGCTCTACAGAGGCCCAGAAACTCTTCAGACTCACCCCCTGCCTGAAGATCTGGGGCAAAATGATTTAGAGCCCCCCTTCCCCTATCAGGGGTCCCTGCCGGCAGAGCTTGGTGACCCAGGGAGGTCTGGGGTCCTCGCTGAATCTGAGAAGACAGAGGTCCATCCACTTCCCACTTTGGGCGTGAGTCAGTCTCTCATTCACGACCTCAGTCACCCTAAGGGGAAGTGACCAGGAGGAATTTTGGCTTCCAGGGGAAAGGGAGACTTAACTGTGAGGTTGTGAGACCCCTCCCCACAAGATGACACAAAGCCGGGGGCCAGGACAGCCTCAGGCCCGTTCCTCAAGTTTCCCAGGGCCCTGCCTTGCCCACAGAGAAGGAAAAGGAGCCGGCACAGCCCTGGAGCGTGGCTAGTCTGAGGATAGAGGAGTGGAGGAGGTGACTCAGGCCCTGTTCGAGGGGGTGCCTGTCTAGGGGAGACAGGATCCTGGCCCAGCCTCGACATCCTCGTGTCTGGAGGGCCAAAAGAGAGGACTCAGACCCTGCCCTTGGGGGTCCCCAGCCTAAGGGACAGAAGAGGAGAGAACCCAGGCCCTGCCCTTGGCGGCTCTCAGTCTGGAAGGAGCAGAGGAGATAACCTGAAACCATCTGACGGCCATCCCTTGCTCCCACACAGGCTGATCTTGTCTTTGGGGGCCTGTGTCAGAGGCACAGAGAAGCACCTTCCCCCACCCTACTGCCACCTCTTGCCATGGGGGCTGGGCCAAGCCGGCTGGGCTTTAAGAGACTTCTGTCCAGTTCTTGGGAGGGGGTGGGCACCAGGTGGAGCGTGGAATCATGGAATCCCGTTTCTGGGGGCCAGGGTGACAGGCAGGCCCAGCTGTCCTAGGAGGCTTCCCACATCTGCCCTCACTGCCAGGTCCCTGGGGCCGAGTGAGGTGGGCCTTCAACACATCCCAGAGCCTTTCATCTCCTCTTTCCTATAGGATTCCTGCTGTGTGTGTGTGTGTGTGTGTGTGTGTGTGTACGCAAGCCTGTGTCTGCTTGTGTGTGTCATGCTGTGTGTCCGCTGAGGGGGCTGGTGGGGACACTAAGCGGGCTGGCCAGGCACCCTGGGCGTGAGGCCGCTGACAGGCTCAGTGGCGGCGGCTGACGGCTGCAGGCGGCAGGGAGCTGAGACATCTGTTGCCCACGCGGCTGCCTGCCCTCCGAGGAAAGGCCTCCACACGTCACAGCTGCGGCTGCGGCAGCAGCAGCAGCAACAGCCTTGTTTGGAGCTGACTGGGGATGCAGGCCCCAGGCAGGCAGTCTGGGAGAAGGTTTGCCAGGAAGAGCCTCCTTTGTCCCCCAAAGTCACGCGGCAGCAGCTCAGGCCCAAGGAGCCAGGATGGCTGAGGTTGGGTTTGGGTGGGATCTGGGGAGATTTACAGCGCTGGGGAGGCACAGGCCACAGCTTGCCTAGCAGGTACCTCTGGGGCAGGTCTACAGGGACTGAAGATATGTGGGAGTGTCTTCACCAGTGGGGCTCAAGATCCAGCCCCTCCCTTGCTTCCAGGACCTCCCCTACGCGGGACCTGGTAGGGAGGGACAGCCTCACACAGACAGGGAGGAGGCTATCGGCCCGGCAGGGCTGGGGGCTTGCAATCTCAGCCCATGAAGCCTCCAGGAGTCCCAAGAACATCATCCGGGGCTCCTTCCCCACAAGCTATAATGATGGCTGGCCTTGGCCAAGCATCCAGGGTGTGCCAGGCCCTACCCTAATGGGTGTTGGTAACAGCTCCCTCCAGTCCCTGTAGTGAGCACCACCTTATTTATGCCCAGCCTCCTGTGGGGGCTTTACATGCCCTGTTTTTCTCAAATAGTCCTTACAACAGCCTTTAGAAGTAAGGACTCCCTCTGGCCTTACATAGATGGAGACCCAGGCACAGAGAGGCTAATGTAATCAACCTAGAGAAGCAGAGTGGAGACAGGAGGAATCCAGGCAGTCTGCAGTTTGCTGTGACTGTGTAGGACAATGTGGCACCTGGTTCTGACTTGGACTCCCAGCCCACCACATCTAGGCTGGGTGGAGCAGGGGCTGGGAATGCAGCCACTACCGGTAAGGGGCTGATTCATGCCCTCACCGCCCACCTGACTTCACTGTTCCTGTCTCTGTTCCTTCTTTCTGTTTATCCTGTGCTTAGGAGCTAGACGGATCGGCCTGAATTCCACTCTGTCCTGTGACTTCCCGCTTAGAGCCCTCCATGGTTCCCAGCCACCCAGGAGAAATGCCAGCTTCCCACCCGGGTGTACAAGACTCTGCAATATCTGATCCCTGCCTCTTCTCTGACTTCATCTCTCCCACTCTCCCCTCACTCATGATGCTCCGGCCATACAACCTTCCTTCTTCTTTCTCTCCAGATATGCCATTATACATGCTGGTCCTTCTGCCTGGAACACTATCTCTCCCTCAGATACTCTCTTTTCCCTTACCCCCTTTGGAAGAAAAATGCAGGTGTTAAGAGCATAGTTTTAAATTTGGAATCAGGTGGCCTGGATTGAAATCTTGATTCAGTCTTTTATCAATTAACTATCCTTCTGTACTTCTCTGGACCTCCGTTTCCTGATCTAGGAAATGGGCTTGCCTTCAGGATTAATGAGATAATGCATGTAAAGGTGACTGGGAGAGTCACAATTTCTTGGCCTCACGCCCTCTCTGACCAGAACTCCCCTAGCTCAATAGAGCTGGCAGCATCCCAGCCACCACTGCTTTCAAGAAACTTCCTCCGCCCACAGAAGCCTGAATGTACCCCTTGTGCTGGCTGAGTCATCCTGCCGCAGTTAGCCGCCCCCTGAAGAAAGACTCCTCTCCAGTGTGGGGACTGGGGCATGGCATCCCTCCCCCAAGCTTCTTTCTCTTCATCTGTAAAATAGGGATGAGAACAGCCTCTGCCTCACCAGGTGGTTGAGGGGTTGCTGTGAGCTAGTTATGGGTAAAGCATAGAGCCCAGGCCCTGGCACAAGGCAGGTATCCATGAAGGGGAGGAGGCAGAGGATGGCCTTGAGGGGAGGGTGGGATGGTGCCAAGTGGGTGTCTCCCCCAGGATGACAGGCTTGCACAGGTGCCCAGGCCCTACAAGTGAACATTAATGATGGGCTAGTTGGCTGAGGGTGTCATGCTTCAGAAGAACGTTTCCTTGAGGCAGCCTACTTCAGGGCAGGTCAGCTTGGGCAGTGCCAACACCAGGCCTCCAGCCAAGGAGCTGCCAGCACCTCAGCTTTGTCCACTCACTACTGAGACCTGGCTGAACTGAGCCTAGCTGGGCTTCCAGGAGTTCCCACCAGTAGGAGCTCCCACCCAAAAGAATGGGGTCACTGGCAGCTTTTGAACCAGCTGGGCACTGGCTGGAGAGGCTGGGTAAGAAATATATTTCTAAAGGCTATGTTGGGGTCAAGGCAGGGTGAGGGGTGCTCCATGGCCTGGATTCCCCTGAGTTGCTTACTTAGATATCTCTGTGAGTCTAACTCCACCCCCCATTCTAGCCTTCTTCAGTTGACCAGCATTGTAAGAGCTTCCAGGTGTGAACACTGCTTGACCCCGAGGGGTCAATAGTGGCACTGAGGTAGCCTGAGTTCCTGTCCTGCAGGGGAAGTAGAGGTAGAATTCTGACCCCCAAACGCAGGCTGTCAGCTGGAACTGGATGGCCCTGGACTTGCTCAGGGAGGTGATGTTCAGACCTTCCCATTTTAATTATAATGAAGTATTAACATGAACAGTGTAGGGGGAAAAGGTGGTCATGGGAGCACACTGGGTAGTGAGATCCCAGAGAGGCTCCCAGAGGAAGTGGCCTCTATGCTGAGATCTGAAGGATGAGGATGTGGGAGTCAAAGGAATGTTCCAGGTGGAGGGAGCAGCTTTTGCAGAAGTGTAGAGGTGAGTGATATATGGTGCCTGTGAGCACCCCATAGACATTCACATGGTCTGGACAGAGTGTGGGTGTGGAGGTGGGGATGAGAGTTGAAATCAAGCAAGTAGGAAGGCAAGGTCACTAAGGGTTTGAATATTAGGTCAAGGTGTGTAGTCTGTCTGGTTGGGGCCTTGTCTGTGTAGGGTATCTGTGATATGTCCATGCTGTGTATGTATCTGTGAGCACCTATGTCTCCATGTGTCTCTGTGTCCCCTGCATGTCCTTGGGCACATACGCAGGCTGCAAGAACAACATCCATTTGTCCCAGCCCTGAGGAAGCCCTTCTCGTATATCCTCATGCCCTGCCAGGCCTCCAGGTGCTGGAGTTGGAGGTGTTTCCAGCAAGGCTGCAGCCAGGCTACATGGGGACCTCAACCAGCCACTCGGCTTGCCCATCCACAGGCCATGCTGGTAGCAGGCCACACTGGCTAGGTTCTGAGGTTGGAGGAGGCCTAGGGCACAGCTTGCAGCAAGACCATATCATGACTGTGCCCAGCCATCTGGCTTGTCTGCTCGCAGGTCCATGCTGGCAGCAAGGCTGCATTGGCTGCCCTGTGCCCAGGAGACCTGATCCAGGCCATCAATGGTGAGAGCACAGAGCTCATGACACACCTGGAGGCACAGAACCGCATCAAGGGCTGCCACGATCACCTCACACTGTCTGTGAGCAGGTATGCACAGGTGGGCTGGGCTGGGAGGATGGAAGGACGAGGTGGGCAGTTATGGGCAGCTGGCATTTTGGGTGAGCCCAGCTTCACACAGCCTCTCTGCCTCAGCTCCTGGGTGCCCCATCCAGGAACAGTCCCAAGGAGTAGCACTTTCATGGGGGCCTGGCAGATACTGTTTAGAGTTATAGCTTAAGAAGGGAAGAAATCCCCTTTTAACTTAGACTAGAAGTGTGTTGGGGCACTTATGGCAAGTGTTGCAGGCAACTGAAATAAGACCTTGAATAGCCTCTGGGGCATTTGTTTCATTCCTTTCCCCTCCCCTGAGTGACCAGCTTGATGACCATTTCAAAGTAGTTTCTTGTGCAACACCTCATTTAACCCTCATTTACCAACTTAAAAAAGGGCTACTATAGTCCCCACTTCACAGATGAGACAAGTGAGGCTCAGAAAGGTTAGATGGTGCTTAAAGTCACACAGAGAGGGAGTGGGGTAGCAAAATTTGATTTTGGGGCTCTCTCCTAAGACTACAGACCCTTAACTTGGCTGCTGACTACTCCTACCAGCCCCTCAGCTGCCCTGCCACAGCTGTCGCCACCGTGGCCCACACCTCTGCCCTGGTTAAATCTGGATTTGGGAAAAGTTCCCACTAAGGACTGTGTAATGCTTTGCAGCCAATCAAGAAGGGGAGGACAGGGGGTTACCAAGCCCATCTGTGCTCCATAAATGATCCTGGGATAGAAGGTCCACTGGGGGTGGGGGTGGGGGGACCCAGCCTTGCTCAGGTCCTGGGTCTTTACTCAGCTCTGAGAAGCAGTTGGCCTAAGCCTGGCTGAGTGGGATCTCCCCACTCCCCTGCCCACCTTGATCCACAGAAGTCGGGCATAACTTATCAGCTCTGCCGTGTTCACTGCTGAGGGGATTTCCATGACCCCCTGTGGAAGTACGTGGGCAAAGCCTCCCCAAACCACAACACAGCTAACCATGCCTCTGAGCTGGCAGGGTGGGAGGTAAGCCACTGGCTTGGAGCCTTTAAACATGGTGGAGAGGCCTGTGAGGTCAGCCCTGTTTGTGCTTGGCCCTGGCACACGGTGAGGATGCTCCATCTTTGGAGTTCAGCAAAGCTGGTCCTCATCCAGCCTCTGGAGCCTTAGGTGCCCAGATGACCTCTATGAGCCCGGGGTTTCCTTTCCCATTAACGGATCACATTCATCACCCTCCTCCAGACTGAGATACAGGCTGGATGGGGGAAATGTCAGCATTGCTCTGCCCATGAGTGACCTCTGAAGCTTCCCCACTTGGCTGGGATCCTGGCCCCTGACTCACCTCCAGCCTTGACTCTGTGTGGCTGAACAAGGGCAGCCCTAGTGGTAGTGGAGTAGTGGGGAGGAGTGCCTCAGAGGGGGCCTGAGTCAGGAGCTTCTCAGAGTGTATGATGTCAGCGGAGGGTGGTGGGGTGGAGGTCCCCCTCCTTCTTTCCTTCCTTCCTTCCTTCCTTCCCCAGTCCTTTGTTCCAAACCAGGCATGGATGGAGCCAGAGGTCCACTGACCTGTTCCACTCTGAGCATTTCAGCCCCAAAATGTCACTGGCCATGGAGCAGATGAGAGCACATTCTCTACTATTACAGAGCTGGGTTGAGAATTATGCTCATAATTTTACCCATAAAAGAGAGAGAGGGAGAGATAACTATGCTGTGCTCCAGAAAGTGATTTAATCTCTTGAGCCCATAACTTCCTCAACCAAAAATATGGACCATCTTGCGCTCTGGACATTGAGTGATGATGTACCAGGCCTGCTCAGTCAGAGTGAAAACCTGAGTCCTGCCCTGCAGCCCCCTCACACATGCAGACTCTGGGGGATCAAGACATGAGGGCCACCTTGACTTTCTGAGCCAACATTTCTTCTCCTGGACACTTGCCCACCTGCAAGCTTTCTGACTCTGCTCCCTATCTTGCCTGCTATGCCAGGACCTATGCCTGGCCCCCAACGACACTCCTCCCCGCCCCCACCACACACACCCACACAGCAAGGGCTCTGCAGTAAATCAGCCTGTTGAGCTGGCTGGAGTGAGCTACCCTGTGCTCTCACTCCCAGGGTTCTACCCCAGACCAGCTTCCCTATCTGCCCTCTTGTGTACAGAGAGCTCTAATCCCCCCACCAACTCCCCCACAGAATGAAAAGTGTATCAAAGGCCCAGCTTCCCCACTGGGCTTCTTTTGCTTTGAGCCCAAAGCCAGGCATCCAACAATCCAAGCAAAATCACACTTCCTGGGCATGTTCTATAGGTCCAGGACCTTTCTGACATCAACTCCAACACTGAGGCCACTGATAGAGTCCCTGTTGTCCATCACATGTGGCCCAAGGTACCTTTGCACAGCCTACCCTTTGCCTGTCATTTTGTTTAAAGAGCCCAGCCTGGGATGGGGGTTGACACATGATTAAGCCCTTCATTCTGATCTGATGCATTGGGCCACATTAATGGCTCTGGGTACTTTGTGCCCTTCGACCTTAGACGTCAGGCTTGTACTGCTCTTCTGGGCAGAACTTCAGGGAAGTTGAAGGCCAAATAGCCACACAAGATGTCCCAGCTTTATCCCAGAGGAGTTCTGAGTAGATAGAGGCCACAGTTAGAGCTGTGAGTTAGGGTACCCACTTGGGAGCCTGGTTGAGGGGGCTAGAGACAGGGACTATGGGGCTGGTGTTGCCCTGGGGCAGCAGAGCTCTAATACCAAAGGCCTGGAGTAGAGAGGTAGCCTCCAAGGGACTAAGGAATGGGCAGAGGCGAGGAAGTGCAGAGTGAGTATGGACCATAGGCATAGATAGATTATTAAAACCCTCAACTGAAGGGGGCAGAAGAGGCAGGGGCAAGCTGCTAGGTCAGTAATGAGACCTTGAGAAGCCTCAGGAGGCTTCGTGGGGTGAGTTGGAGGGCATTATTCCCCTTTGGTCTAACCAGCCTCACCTCATACCCACCTGCCAGTCCAGGGTCCATGCCCCTTCCTGGCCTGCCTTCTCACAGGGCTACTGAGTGACAGGGCTGGGCCTTAGGCACGTAGCCTCTCGGCCTGCCTGCCCTGCTTATGGCAGGTTTATGATGTTTTTCTCCCTCCTGAGTGGTGTTTGGCTTTTGGTTTCTATGGCGAAGCAGGAATTTCCTAATGGCCTGTTTCCCATCTGGGCTGGGCAGACTCAGTGATGACTCTGCCGGCAGCAGCAGCAGGAGGAAAGACACACCCCTCAGAGCCTCCATTCCACCTACCCCAGAGCCGACGGACGCCTGACCCCACACCCCACCAGAGGCTGTAGATGCCCAGAGGATGCGTGGATAGGCTTCTAGCTGGTCAATGTGTGAGGCCTGGCTTGCAGTGCTATAAGCTGGGCCTCTTTGAGCTGAGCTTCTGTAGGCCACGAAGAGGGTGGAAGATTAGGGAAGACACAGGGCTTCTCCTGCAGCCTCTCCAGGAACCAGACTAGAGAGGGATTGGGCAGCCGATGGGGACAGAAGCATATAGCCCTACCCCAGGAGGATGGCAGCTAGAGTTGTGGCTCATTGCCACAACAGTCACCATTGTGGTACAGGGGAAAGCACTGGAGTGGTGTTCTTCTACCTGCAGGGCACAGCCCAGAGCCCAGCCCCTCTTGATCCTGGCTCCCAGGCATGGTGGGCGTGGTAGGAGACATATCTGACCATCACAATTTCTGCCACAGGCCTGAGGGTAGGAGCTGGCCCAGTGCCCCTGATGACAGCAAGGCTCAGGCACACAGGATCCACATCGATCCTGAGATCCAGGTATGTACAGACACTGCCTGGCCTGGCCTGGCTCAGAGTGAGCCCAGGGCAGAGGGGCCAGCATGCAGGTTCACCTGCACTGAATGTCCTCACTGGGGCTCTCAGATACCCAAGACAGAGACTGAAGCAGAAGTTTTCTCTGGACCACATCCATACCCCATCCCATGTTCCTCAGATGATGAGCACCTGGTGTGGGCTCTGTCTCTACTCCGGGCAATCCTGGATTCTGGACCAAGGTGCCTATGATGTCCAGGATCTGGGCTAGGCCTTGGTTTGCGGCTATCACACAGCCAGCTGGAGTTCACTCTGGTGCTCAGTGATGCCAGACCAGAAAGAAGTCACTGTGCTTGCAGCGGGGGAGATTGGTGGCAGTCTCAGGCTGTGGAGTGACCTCAGGCTATGGGACACTCCTCTGAGTGCCCTATCCAAGCCTGAAGTTCTCTCCTGGCCATCCTGTGGTGCTTCTAGCAGAACTTAGGCTGCAGGCCTGTCTGCCCAGTCACCTTTCTGTGTGTGATAGAAGTCATATCTCTGGTCCTGTCCTCAAGAAGAGTGAGGGGGTCAGGCTATTCTAGGGCCTTGTTTTGCCATGGCATAAGGAGTAGCCAAGTGGGGATGACTGAGGTATCCAGAGCCATCTCTGGGCCACAGAGTTTGGGCAAGGAGACTGGGATGGTCTGTGATGGAGCCAGAACCATGGGACCCAGCATGTGGGACCATTGCCTCCTGGGCCTGCCTTTGTCCACCCTCTCAACATGAAAGAAAAGGGGCCAAGGCAGGGAGAGGCTTCACTGAACCAGAGGGAAGGATGTGCCCCAGCTTCTCCCTCACTATCTACCCCAATCCCATCTTGCTCTATTCCCTACCCTGCCTGGCTGGCATCCCTGGAGCCAGATGCTTACCACCTTCCAGGCAGTGCCCATTCTGGCAGGGGAAAGGCACTTAGAAGTTCTGGGCTAGGGGAAGCCAGGGGCCAAAGGAGCCCAGAGTAGTCACATGACTCAGACAAGGAGTCAAGGAGTGCTTCCTGGAGGAAGGGGTATTGAAGCCAAGACCTGAAGGGCTAGGAATGGTAAGGCAGGCAAAGGGGTATAGGGAGAGGAAGTGTGGCCCAGAGGTGAGGTCTTGCACCACAAGTTCAGAGAAAAGAAAGGTCCAGGGGAAGGGAGGACAAGATGGAAGGAGTGAGAGGACAGAGGTGAGAGATGAGGTGGTGGAGCAGGGCCACAGAAAGGCTCTTGGGCTTCTCTATCCTGGACCTCAGCTGTTCTTACAGGGATTCATGGCCACATCTGTGTCTCAGAAACTTGCTCTGATGGCCCCATGGACCCCAGACCTTAGGGGTAGGGGTACATGTTGCCATAGACAAATGAGCCAGGTTTGCCACAGGCCAGGCAGAGGGGAGCAGCAGGGTGTGGGCCTCAAGCTCATGCATGAGGCCCAGCCTCCCTCAGAGGTAGCAGTGCCAGGATGACGTGGTGGGGAGGGGGTTCAGTCTTCCAGGAGAGGCTCAGGGCCGGTGGGCCTGGGAGGCTGGCGACTGTAGAGCAGCTCCCCCTGCCCCCACACTTGTTCTCATTGACTCCCTTGAAGACCAGGCTGCCAGTGGCTCAGACTGGAGAAGGAGGGAGTTTCCACAAGCACCAGGGCAGCCCCTCAGCTGCTGCCCCACTTTTGTACTTAAAAGGTCATGGGCTCCATGGGTGGTGACAAAAACACCCCCACCCCACCCCTGCAGGGCTGAGTCCTTGCTAACACAGACACAGGGCCCATTGTCCCCATGCTGCTCCCACCCTCTGCCTGAGTGGGGGTGTTGGGGAGGGGGTGGAGCTAGCTGGAGCCATCGAGGAGGAGGAAACCACAGTTGGCCCTAGGACCAGCACAAGGTGCCCTGGCACACATCCCCGAGTGGGATGGGACAGGGCCAGCTGGAACTTCAGGCCCACCTTCCCTGTGGGGCGATAGGAGAACCTCCTTCTCTCAGGCCTCTTGTGGGAACACAGGAGGCACTTGGCCTAGCCCAGGGTGGAGGAAGGATAGTAACTTATTACTATCCTTCTGGGTTAGTAGGGTTTTCTGGAAGGAGTGGCAATTATGCTCAGAACCAGGTGATGGGGAGAAGCAAGTCAGGTGGAGCAGGCAGTCCTTGCACACTCAGCCTGTCCTCCCCAGACCAGCAGAGAGCTAGAACTGAGCCTCTAGGAGATGGCACCTGCTCATCTGGACTCAGCGCCTGCCTCCATCCAAGTTGAGTGTCCCAAAGCAGGTAGTTACCCCCATCCTGCTGAAAAATCCACTGAGGCTTCAACAACCAAGTGGGCAGCAGGCTGGTTCTCAGAGCAGAGGAGCATATGGTACGAGGTGTACCACCCACAGAGGGGGAAAATACAGGACTGGGGGCCCAGGAATTCCCCTGACAGCCATTCATCCAACAAGTATGTGCTTTATGCCAGGCACTATGCAATTGTCTTATTTCATCTCCACAAGGAACCTGATGTGGAAAGCATCACATTCCCCAGCTCATAGATAAAGAAACAGGTTCAGAGAGGTGAAGAGACTTGCCCAGTTAGGGGATAACCCTGGGACTCAAACTAAAACTGAGGTAGCCATGTGTGTCCTAGCCACAGAGTTCAGGCCTAGAGAGGCAGCTGCATGGGTGACCGTGGGAGGGGCAGTGGCTCTGATGGCCCTGCAGTGGACCCCTGCACCCTGCTGGGTAGGGGTGAGTGAGGGCCTCCTTCCTCCCAGTCCCAGTCCCTCCAACTCCTCCCTCCCACCAAAGCCTCTGCCCGGAGGCTGAGCCCCACCCCCACTGGCCACAGCCCATCTGGTCCCCATTAGAGGTCAGCCCTGCCTGCATGCTTGCCCGACAGACACACGTGTGAGAGCGCTCACGTTTCTCAGGGGCTTTTGTTGGGCCTGATGTGGATAGGGGTTTTCCTGTTGCTGCTGCATTGATGGGGGCCACCTGGGCAGCAAGACCCTCCTGTTTGTCTGTTGGGGTGGGGGAAATGGAGGGGGGCCCACCCAACTGCTGGTCTGCCTGTTCCCCAGGTTCCCACCCTACAAAAAGCAGGGGGTACTCAGGGCAGAACCCCACAGGCTCAACTATGCCTCAGAGCTTCCTAAGTCCAAACCAGGGTTCTTCCCACTACGATAGGCATCCTTTCCTGTCCACACTGGGCTCTCTGACCACACTGTAGAGCAGAGGAGGTTTACACGTCACTCCCAGGCTGAGGCTAAGACCTACCCCATGGCCTGGCCTCAGACATCATCCTAAAATCAGGCTGCTCTGGCTACTAGCCCAGTCTCAGCTATGGAGGCCACTATGGCCATTCCCAGGGTGACCAGTGCTGGCTCCAAGTCTCTGTAACCATGCGCATGTAGTTAGTTGTATGTAGGGAGATTGGTAGGTGCATATGTGTTGTCCTTATGTGTGTGTGTGTGTCTTTAAAGCATAATTGTGAGAGTGTGCATGCCCCTGTTTACATTGCTGTGGGGTGCTTGTGTGCACTTGCAAGCTGGGAACTGCACAGCTCTGGACTCTGCAGGGACAAAGATCCCCAGTCCCCACTCAGACCCCCACACACAGAGATACTGCCCTCTCCTCATGGCTGAGGGGGCAGGTTCAGGACACTCCCACCCAAAATGTTTCAGCCATGGGCACCAGGCTGGCTGTGGGGTAGTGGGGCAGAGAGCCTTGAGCCCTAGCCTGGTCTCTGCCCCTCATCTGCTGTGCCTGCAGAAGGCTACTCATTGTGGCCTGGAAAGCAGGAAATGGGGGACAGGTGTAGGCCCAGAAGGGGCTGACCTCACAATGGCACTCTTGAGCCTCAGCCTGCCCAAAGGGCCTTGGACACATGACAGTCAAGGACCCTTTCTGACTGTAGGACAGGAGTTACGTTTTTTGAGTTCCCAGCCATGGGCCTACCCAGTACCCACCACAGTTCAGGAAGGTGAGAAGGCTTGGCACCAGGGCCACCTCTGCCAGGAGGCCACATACTCTGCTGTAGCCACACAGACCTTAGGCTTCTTGGGATAGGCCTGCCCCAGTACTGTCCCTTCCTGAGTGGTGGTGGGCAGAACCACTGCAGGGCTCACAAGCCCAGGCTGAGTCTCAGCTGCCCAGGTTTTTGTGTCTGACTTTCCAAGGACGTTTCTCATTTCTGCAGGGGCATAACCAGTCCCCAGGCCCAGCCCTTCCCCAGAAATCCCTTCCCTGGCTGAGCACCACAGGCCAGAGATGCCGAAGCAGAGGAAGCCAACTGACATCCACCACCTGGCACAGCACAGCAGGGTGGGGGTGGGGTGAACAAGGAATGGCTGGAGGCCAGAGGGTCTCCCAGTGCCTTAGGCCTCTCTCTAATAGGACGGCAGCCCAACAACCAGCAGGCGGCCCTCAGGCACCGGGACTGGGCCAGAAGATGGCAGACCAAGCCTGGGATCTCCATATGGACAACCCCCTCGCTTTCCAGTCCCTCACAATGGCAGCAGCGAGGCCACCCTGCCAGCCCAGATGAGCACCCTGCATGTGTCTCCACCCCCCAGGTAGCACAGAGATGCCTTCGGTGCCATGCCCAGAACCCATCTTAACCCTTGATCCCTCAAATCTCACCCAGTCCCACTCTGACCCCTGACACTTGATCCTTGGGTCTTAGCTGGTTGCATTCTGACTCATAAGCCTTACCAGACCCCAAGTCCACAGGGTGAAGGCTGGAACTGCATCCCTTCCTCCTCTATTTCTTTCTCCCTCCCAGCGCTGACCCAGCCAGAGGCCTCCCGCGGAGCCGGGACTGCAGAGTCGACCTGGGCTCCGAGGTGTACAGGATGCTGCGGGAGCCAGCCGAGCCCGTGGCCGCGGAGCCCAAGCAGTCAGGCTCCTTCCGCTACTTGCAGGGCATGCTAGAGGCCGGCGAGGGCGGTAAGACGCCTGCCACCTGTCCCCATCTGCCTTCCCACTCCCTGCAGTGCCCAGGTTGCCCCCTAGCGACCCCACGTCCCGCCTCGCAGTCACCTGCCCTCTTCGGTCTCTGCGGCCCGGTCCCACGCCCTTGCTACAACCTTGCTACGCCCTGGCTTCCCGATTCCCTCTCCACCCCCTGTCGCTGCCCCTCACCCCACGCCCGCCAAACCCGTTCCCCAGTCTCGGGTGCCGATGGCCCGTCTGGCGCCCAACCAAACACCCCGCAGAAATGGAGTTCTGACCTCCTCACCCCGTTCATGCCACCTACGCTCCGGGTTTCAGGGGATTGGCCCGGGCCTGGCGGCCCCCGGAACCTCAAGCCCACGGCCAGCAAGCTGGGCGCTCCGCTGAGCGGCCTGCAGGGGCTGCCCGAGTGCACGCGCTGCGGCCACGGCATCGTGTGAGTAACCGCCCCCGCTGCCCCTCCCGGACCCTAGCCTTCCAGGGCCCTGGATGCGGGCGCAGTCGTGAACCCATCAGTCACTCGACGCTGTCCTGTCTCGTTCCCCCCATCAGGGGCACCATCGTCAAGGCACGGGACAAGCTCTACCATCCCGAGTGCTTCATGTGCAGTGACTGCGGCCTGAACCTCAAGCAGCGTGGTTACTTCTTTCTGGACGAGCGGCTCTACTGTGAGAGCCACGCCAAGGCGCGCGTGAAGCCGCCCGAGGGCTACGACGTGGTGGCGGTGTACCCCAATGCCAAGGTGGAACTCGTCTGAGCTGGGACCCTGCTCCCACGCCTGCTTCTTAAGGTCCCTGCTCGGCCGGTGTAAATATGTTTCACCCTGTCCCTCTAATAAAGCTCCTCTGCTCCACCTTGAACCTGTCACCTGGCCTGCCACCCTCCTGCGCAGGCCATGCATGGCTCCCGAGTACAGTAGTATCTGCTTAGGTGCCAGGCATGTCCTAGGCTCTGGGTGCAGTAGTGAGCAGGACGGGTACCATGCTGCCCTGAAGGGGGCCACAGCCTGGGTGGAAGGCAGACCTGAATCACAACGGGCCAGCTCTAGTAATACGAAGGTGAGGTCTGGGATGCTGCGTGCGGCGCGACGACAGGAGGTATGACCTGGGTGGGGTCAGGGAAAGTCTTAGCTGAGAACTAAGAGATGAGGGAGGCACAAACTCTGCACGGGGGAACTGTGTGTGCAAAGGTGAGCTGGGGGCGAGAAAGGCCTCTGTGGCCGTCATCGGCACTAGCGGGTTGGGGGTGGTGGTGGGGTGCTGGCAGCCTCAGGAGCGATCGCTCCCCTGGAGAGGGTGATTGAGTGTGGAGATCACCGGGGCCGCCGCGGGCCGTCTGCACTTCTGTTCCAGGTTTTTCTGGCATTTTCTGTTCCAGGTTTCTTCCACCCACGAGCACTTTATTCTCCTCCGAGACCCCCTTTTCTTCCCCTTCCTCTCTCCCCCACCAGGGGGCGCGCTTAAATTTCCAGACAGAGACCAGAAGGAAGGTTTAGAAAGAAAAGAACACTTGCCCAGGGCAGCTTTGCCCTCCAAGAGGCTCCCTCCTGTCTCTAAGTCAATTCCACCCCTCCTCGAAGTCCCGGCTTCCACCCCTCTCCTCAGAGTCCCGGCGTTTACCTCGTGGTGTGTTTGCCTTGGGCCTTTCATGCCCCGGCTGCACACATCGTCTGTGAATTGTGGCTGTTCACTCCCGAGGATGTGTCCTAGACTCCGGGTCGCGTGGATCTACCCTCTAGTTTACTTGCTCGGGAGAAGAAACTGACTCGTTTTATTTAGTGCCTATTTAGCGAGCCCAGAGTAACGTACATTTGTGCTGTTTTCAATTTTGTGCTATCGCAAATCACAAAAAAACTGTTATCAATTCACATTCATCATCAGCACGAGACCCATTTCCTTGTGCTCCTGCCAGCTCAGGATATTATGTTTCTTTTTTCATTTTTGCCAGTCTGTTAAGTAAAATGTCATATGCGTTTGTTTTAATTTGCATTTCTCTGATTACCAGTGATGAACATTCAGTTTTTGAGCATTTATGGTGTGTTTGCTGGGTGCCTAGCACTAAGGGAACAGAGTGGTCCTCACTCTCAAAAGAGCAGTTCTTGTGTAAGTTACCCCAAACCCTTCATGATTTTTTTCCAAGGCTTATTTAACTTCTTCTTAATGATTGGTAGGAACTTTTCCTAATTTTGTACGAATCTTTGTTACTGGATTCTGGTCATCTGATCTATTTCCCTGTTAATGTATAATTACTACTGTGTTGGAGTTTAATAGCCAATCTCTCCTCCTTGTTGGTCATTTACAAACCTGTCAAAGCTATTCCTCTACATTTCCAGTTGTCAGAAGTTGAGACTGCATGCCTCAGGCTCTGGAAAAGCAAACCTCTGAACTGTGACCAGGTTGCCCTGAATCTAGGGACTCACTTGGGAAGAACTGGCATTAGTCTTTTCCTCCAGAGAGGACTGTGATCTGCACTTCCTGTGCATTTATTCAGATGTTGTGTCTGTCTTCGCTTAAGTTTTTATTTTCCTTTCTTCTCATAGATCTTCTGTTCATGGTTAAATTTGTGCTAGAGATTCCCTCTTAAGGCTCCTTTTGCCTCCTCCCTTCCCTGAAGGAGCACAGTTCAGGGCAATGGGCAGGTGCTGATAGAGCAGTGAGGCAAGGTGGCGTCCTGGTCCTGCTGGTGACCCCAGATCATGTCTGGCCCTTGTCTCCTTTTGCTTCCCAAGGGGTCAGACTGTGTGCGTTGAGGCCCTGAGGGCGCCCCACCGTAGCGCTGCGCAGGTGTGCACGCACACACGCTCCCTGCAGCCACACCCAAATAGGGTGGGGTGGTGGAGGAGTCTGCCCTTGCCTGCCCACCCTGCCTCCGCTGACTTGGTCCCAGCCCCACCCAGTCATAGGTGGGAGAGGAGAGGATGACTGGCACCCAGGAAAGCAGGGAAGCATTATTAAGCACAGGAGTGGGTGGAAAAATACCGGGAGCCATGGGCCCTGGCCCCCACCTCTCACTCCCACTCACCCGCAGAAACTCGACTCTCCCACTGGCCACCACAGATCCACTAGCCGCTGGTACTCACCTTAATCCCATGACATGCAATAACCCCTTCCCCCAACAGAAACTACCACCCAAGAGGCTCCCTGCCACCATAGGCTACCCCGAGATCAACAGCTCCACCCCTTCAGGGTTGCAGCAACTACAGCAGCCCCTGCCTGGGCATCCTGGTTGGGGGTGGCTTGGAGGGCAGCTAAGGGGAGTGGCATTCAGAGCTGACAGCCTGATTTGTCCTTTCCCCAGCTTCAAGGCCCAGCCTCTACCCAGTCCCCCAGCCCACCTCGTCTGCCCAGGGGCCCTGAGTGTAGTAGACCATGAAAAGCTTGGGACAGGGTCCTCATAGGACAAGGTTTGTATGGCCCAGGGTGCCAGTACTGAGACAGGGGACATCAGAGTCTCTCTCCAGGAGGGGGAACCAGATCCAGGATCCCCAATTCACAGTGCTCCAGGCTCCAGCCTACCTGGCTAGAACCAACTTTCACTGTTGTCCCCAAACCTGCTACATCCCTCGAACCCCAGGGCCCAGTTCCTTACCTCAGGGGCTTTCAGACCAAAGACATGGATATCATCCTCTACACCCTCATGCCAGCCATAACATCCTACCCAGCACTGTGTCTAGGATTTTGCCTCCCAAGCATTTTTAGACCCATTTCAGGGCAGCTGAAGGAATCTCTCATTCCTTTGCTTCAACTCTTCCAGGGCCCTCAGGATGGAGTCCCTGGTCCTCCTCCTAACATTTAAAGTCTCCCTGACCTCAGGGCCCTCAGGATGGAGTTCCTGGTCCTCTGCCTAGCGTTTTAAAGCCTCTCTGACCTCGGGGCCCTCAGGATGGAGTCCCTGGTCCTCCCACTAGCATTTAAAGCCTCTCTGACCTCGGGCTGCTGACTACTTTGTCTCACCTCCTCTGCTACAGCAGACAGTCCAGTCCAGCATCCTCTGAGCTAGTCCACCTTTTCATAGCCCTCAGACCTCTGAAGCTCAAAATGCCTTTCTTCTTTTGTCATGGCTCAGCAAACTCCTACTCACTCTTCAAGGCCCAACTCTACTGCCCCCTCCCCTAGAGCAAAGCCTCGGCCCTGCCATCCCCAGGGAGAGTTAATAGTTTCCATCCACATGCCCTCCATCCCATCCCTTCCAGTTTTGCCTGGTGCCTCTGGCACAACCTGTTATCTCCTTGGTCAGACCCTGGCTCAGATTTACCTCTGTCCTGCCCAGCCTCCACCCAGGCCAGGAACTGGGAGGTACAGGGGTCCTGGAGAAGCACCCACCCTCACTCAGGCACACAAGCACACACACCCACTCACACATACACTGGGCTTCCCTTCCTCCCACTACCTTTCACCTCACCTCCAAGCATCCTGCCTGAGTTCTCAGTGGGAGGTAAGTCTTGGAGCAGGGGTCTTCAATCCCCAGGCCATAGACCATGGCCTGCTAGAAATTGGGTTGCACAGCAGGAGGTGAGTGGCTTGCAAGCGAGTGAAGCTTCATCTGTATTTACAGCCGCTCACTATTGCTTGCATTACCACCTGAGCTCCATCTCCTGTCAGATCAACAGTGGCATTAGATTCTCTAATTCTAGGATTCTAGGAGTAGGGATTCTAGGATTCTAGGATTCCAGGAGTATGAACCCTATTGTGAGCTGTGCAAGCAAGTGATCTAGGCTGTACATTCCTTATGAGAATCTAACGTCTGATGATCTGTCACTGTCTCCCATCACCCCCAGATGGGACCATCTAGTTGCAGGAAAACAAGCTCAGGGCTTCCTTCACCATACATTATGGTGAGTCATGTAATTATTTCATTATATATTACAATGTAATAATAATAGGAATAAAGTGCACAATAAGTGTAATGTGTTTGAATCATCCTGAAACCATCCCTGCCCTCCATCCATGGAAAAGTTGTCTTTCACAAAACCAGTCCCTGGTGCCGAAAAGGTTGGGGACTGCTGTCCTGGAGGGCACCTGCTCCCTCCTGCATCCTCAACCTCAACTCACTCAGTCAACTAAATATTTATTAAAAGGTCATGCACAGTGGCTCACGCCTGTAATCCCAGCACTTTGGGAGGCCAAGGTGGGGGGGATCACTTGAGGCCAGGAGTTCAAGACCAGTCTGGCCAACATGGCAAAACCCCGTCTCTGCTAAAAATACAAAAATTATCCCGGTGTGGTGGCAATCACCTGTAGTCCCAGCTGCTCAGGAGGCTGAGGCAGGAGACTTGCTTGAACCCAGGACGTGGAGGTTGCAGTGAGCCAAGATCACGCCACTGCACTCCAGCGTGGGTGACAGAGCAAGACTCTGTCTCAAAAAACAAAAATACCTATTAAGAACCTTCTATATGCCAGGCATTGTGTTGCACCCTAGGAAAACATTTTGAACGAACATGTAAAATAACTACAGGCTATAAGCAGTGCTATCAAGGAAATAAAGAAGGCATTACAGTAGAGCATAAGGGATTCTCTTCATATATGGAATCTGGAAAGGCCTCACAGATAAGGTAACATTTGGGCAGAGAACTGAGGTGGTAAGATATCATCTGTGCAGGTATCTGGGGGGATTACATTCCAGGCAGAGGGCACAGGAAATCCTAAGGCCCTAGGCAAGCAGTGACTGAAGTAGTATAAGTGAGGTGGCTGGAAGTAGTAGATGAGGTCGTCAGAGAGATGTGAGGGAGACAAGGCTGTGTTGGCCCTTGTGAGCCATTGTTCCATGGATAGCAGGACTATGCAAACCCAAAGGCCGAGAGAGCTGAGAAGCCAAAGAAAGAGGTTGACAAATCCATTTTCTCAGAGAGAAATATATAAGAGGGACTTACGAACAGAAGTGATGTCTCGAGTGGCTGCAAGACTGAATCCTCACACCAACCAGCCTTCCAGAAAGTATCCTTTATATAGCAAGCTCTTAGGGTAAAACATGTGCAGCTGGTCCCGTCTTCAGACTTTCTTGCCAAGACTCGTGACCACTGGAGAGGTTAAATAAGCATCTTTATGAAGAGTTTTCTATTCTACAGGCATTGTTTAAAGATCTTGCTGATGAATATCTTGGCATCTAGGGGTCAAACATTGGTCATTACGGTGGTTTTGGATCAAGTGGCCTGGAACAGTGGCCCACACCTGTAATCCCAGCACTTTGGGAGGCCAAGGCGGGAGGATCTTTCAAGGCCAGGAGTTTGAGACTAACCTGGGCAACATAGCGAGACCCCCTCTCTAGAAAAAATAAAAATGAAAAAAAAAATAGCCAGCTGTGGCGGCATGCACCTATAGTCCAAACTACTCAGAAGGCTGAGGTGGGAGGACCCCTTGAGCCCAGGAGTTCGAGGCTGCAGTGAGCTATGATCTTGCCACTGCACTCGAGCCTAGGCAACAGAGTGAGACCCTGTTAAAAAAAAAAAAAAGCATCATTCTTGCCACGCAACAGGCTGTTCTCCTACAGCCATGGTAAGGACTTTGACTTTTACTCTGAGATGAAAAGCCAGAGGAGCGGCATGACCTGGAATTATGTTTTAACTAGGATCACATTGTCTGCTGTATGGAGAATAGGCCCTAAGGGGCAAAGGTAGACGCAGTAAAACCAGTTAGCAAGCATGACTGCGTTCATCCCTAACTAATTCCAAACTAGCCCACTCTCCCCAGTCCAGACGCCACTGTCTCATGCTGAACAGTGTAAGGGCCTCTGCCTTGTCTCCCTGTCTCCTGCCTGGCCCCTCCCTCAATCCTTTCTCTACATAACAGCTAAAGGAGGTTTTTCAAGTGCAATTCCCTGTCAATCTTGCCTATTATAGTTTCCATGGCTCCTCACTGCTCTTAGGACAGAGTCTAAATTCCAAATCCCAGCTCACAGGGCCACATGAGGTACACAGCCCCTGCTGGCCTCTGTGGACAACTTGTGCCTCTGTAACTCTCATTGTGCTTATCTGTAAGTTCAGCCCCATCAAACTCTCCTCAAGACTCTTGCAGGCTTCCTTGACCCTCCAAGGAGGTTGAAACACAAATGGAGTCCTTTCTGGTTCTCTGAGTGACAAGCTTTGTTATTTGATACTTTCCTCCTAGAGAACCAAAGAAAGGGGTGAAGGTAGGCGGAGCCCAGATGCAGCTTCAAGCCAGCCCTCCCTTCATGGCCAAGGACTCAGCCCCTCTAGGGGGTGTGCTAGCTTGGCCCTGGGCTCACAGCCCTTGAACTGCTGAGTTGGATGGGTGGGAGCAGTGTTGTGACTTGCACAACACCATGATGCCCAGAAGCCTGGGCTGTGGGCCCTGAGTCCCTCTGCCCCACCTGGGGAGTGCCCCACCTCCCCTCCACCTCTGGGTGCCCCTGTCCAGCTACGTGCACTCCAGTGCTATCCTGGACAACTCATTCTTACCCAACTTCTTGTCTTGCACCCCAGGCCGACCCCTGACTTGCTTTTCATGTAACTTCCTGGTTTATCATTTTCTCACAGAATAATCTGTCTTTCTAACAACATTCCCACAGCACCTCTGAATGGAGGTGGAACCTCTAAAAAGGTTTAAGGGTAGTGAAGAGGTTTCTCTAATAAGCAAGCACTGTCCTCCTGTGTCCCCTCTACCACAAGTGGGAAACTATTTGGGTCCCTACAGAAACCAAACCTCAACTTTGCTAGTGTCTGACATAGATCCATTTGTGGCTGGAATGCAGAGACTAGAAATCCCAGGAGAGACTGCTAGAGACCTCACTGGGTCCTGCAGGGTCTGGAGTCGGTCTCAGCCATGTGGGCTCAGAAACCGCATTAACCAGCCCTTAAGTGGGTCTGTCAGGCCCGGTGAGCCAAGCTCAGAGGCTGATGCACCACCCCCGACACCCACGCGCGCGCGCGCGCGCACACACACACACACACACACACACACCAGCTTCACTGACAATGGCTGCAGTGCAAGAACACTCAGCTGCCATCCAGGGTGTTCTTGGTCTGTAATTGAATTTTCATGGGAAGCTGGAGCACACCCACAGTCTCAGAAGAAGGGAAGGGAGTTGGATAATAACTATTATGGGAGCTAATGTGTCCCAGGCCTTCATCTCCAAGCCCTTAGTGAACGATATGATTGTTTTTAATCCTCATACCAACCAGAAAGGAAGTATGGTTATTATCCCCATTTTATGGATGAGCTCAGAAAGGTTAAAAAACTTGCCAAGGTCACACACACCCTAGCAAATCTCCATGGCAGGGGCAACCAAAGTAACGGCGCATACCAGTCTTCCATGGAGAGTGTTGCCTGCCTACCAATGGTTTAGTGACTCTGACCAAGCCATTTCTGAAGGGTGCTGATCTGTTTCCACTTGGCAAGTCCCCAGAACAGCCCAGAGTGCAGGCTCAACCTTACCAACTTTTTGCATGGGGCATGGAATGGTGGAAGCTGGACAAAGTAAAGGTGACCCCTGAAGCTTTGGATCTGAGTGTGGACAAGGCTGGTGCCACAGCACCTGATCACCAACTCTGATATGCATGAACCTACCACCATGCCTGCTTGACTCACTCGTCTGGTCATGATCCCGGCTAAATGGGTCATCCCCACCACTCACTGACCCTCCGTGGTTCCAGGAGCCTGCTGAGAGACAGCCTGGACTGGCCCCTTCCCAGCCCCCAGGGCTCTCTCTCCAATTGCTGGAGACTGTCTCACCACCCAGAAAGAGATTTCTGGGTGGAAGAAGTCTCTTTCTCCTCAGTCCTGTCACCCTGTGCCTTCCCAGCCAGTGTTCCTGTCCACTCTCTTGCCTGCCCCTGAGGCACCACTCCTCAAGGCCCTGTCCTAGCTCCTCCATTCCTCCCCAGATGCTCATTGTCTAGGGTTGTTTGTGCTGTTTGCGCTGTCTAATAACCACATCCCTTCTAAACTGTCCCTACCCTCCTTTTGTGCTCTTACTCCAGCCACACTGGACTTGTTCTGGGAGGACAGTGATCAGAGGCCACCTGGCCCAGTCAAGGAGCCACTCCTCCCCTTCAGGCTCAGTCTGAAGCAGGCTGCCCTGTTAGGGCTCCACTCTGGTCTGTCTACTTCCCAGGCGGGTGCCATCTCCAACAGCTGATTTCTGCTTATCTCAGCAGTACCTCAGCTTTCCCATCAATTCTGTGAGCATGCTTGCAACCAGGAACCCTGGCTGGCTCTGCTGTCACAACAAGGGCCTCAGGAACTCTGCAGTTATGACCACTCCCAAATAGGTATCTCCAGCCCAGACCTAAATATTCCCTACTTCTGAACCTTAAAGATGGACATTTCTGAGACCCATACCCAAATTTCTTACATCTGTAAACAACCTACTGCTGCATTCTTCTTCTTCTTCCTCTTCTTCTTCTTCTTCTTTTCTTCTTCTTCTTCTTCTTCTTCTTCTTCTTCTTCTTCTTCTTCTTCTTCTTCTTCTTCTTCTTCCTCTTCCTCTTCTTCTTCTTTCCTCTTCCTCTTCTTCTTCTTTGGCTTCTAAATAGATTTTAATTACTTAGAAACAACACAATTTCGTACCAAATGTTTAACAAGCATCTTTGCTAAAATGTGAAATCAGCATTATTTGCATCCAATCAGCTACACAAAACTCACCAATTTTTCATCTGACAAAAGGTAGTCAAAATCCCAAAGAATAAGGGAAAGACTACTCATTAAAGGTCATGTTCACTAATCTAGCACCGTAATTCCAGTCTTAGAACCTCCCAAACGGCTGAAAGGAAGATGTGGAAAGAGATAAGGATGTCGGAAATATAAGGGTAATGTAACAAGAAAAACCCAAAATTGTATTAAAAAAAATACCTTCTCCCAAATTGAGAGGGAGCCAAGAGACCAAAGAGTGCCTCAGACAAGTCCAGCTTGGTAAGCAAATGAGTTTATGAGGACTTACACACAAGGCATTCCTGGATGGCAGTGGGACAGCTTTAGAGATCTGTGCCACCTCCCATCCCTAAGCTGCTTTTAAGCTAATTTTCTGGCTCTTTGCTTCTTCTGTGTGTGTGATGGGACTCTTTCCCTTGGTAGGTTCTCAGCTATTCTCTGGGATGTTTGGGTCCTCAGGGTCATTTGCTCCTTGGCTGGGTACCATGGCCTTGGGTCATCACCTGATCTTCAGAGTTCAGGCAGCGGACATACACCCTTGAGTCACCTGGCCGGGGAACCTGTCATACTTCAATTCATCCCATTCCCCAGCTCTTATATTCTTTCCACCAACCTTGCTCGAGAGTCCCTGAGCAGGAAACGAGGGGAAGAGCTATAGAGGTCTATAATGTATAGCCACAGTTTGTGGATACAGGCCACTTCCATGGTATACATAAGAGCATAAAAAGCAGAAGCTATCTATAATTATGATGCCTATTAGCAAAACATAATTCCAGCAAGTAGGTAAGCTGTGTACCTAATTTAAGAATGAGTCAAAGTAACCTAATTGAACTATATCATGGATCTGAGTTGACAAATGATTTAAAGCATCTGTGACATGATTCTCTTTATCAGAGAAATAACAGGTAGTGCCTATGAGGACGTATGTTGTTTGGTCTCTGTCATGTTGGCAATTTGGCCTCCAGGTGGAGGCAGTCCCCAGTGAGCCGGATTGCCTTATTGATGCTGTTGAAGCAATCATTCCAGTTCTGTTGGGAGAAAGGCAGAATATTCCAAGGCATGCCATTATCATTTGACAGGGGGAGGTATCCCTATACCCAGTAACAGGGCTGGTTGTTGACTGTTGCTGCAGCTGCAGCCCAGTCCAGGAAGACATTACTAGCTACCATGGGTAGCAGAAGCCATGGCCTTTGGGCATAAACACAGGCGTTTAGTAGAAACCCTCATAGGTATATCTATTCCTTGTAACTTAATTATTGCTAACATAATCATTTTTCCCATTGGCCCTATTAGGGCAGATGCCCTGGGCCTCGAGCCTGGCTTACAGTACTATATAGGGTTTCCCTCCACAGGGGTGGGCATAAAGCCAATTGGTAAATTTCTGGCCTTGCCTGTGCTATCCACATTTAACGCATCTAGCAGGTGTTGGTGTTGCTGCATGTTGATAACGTCAGTATCTCGGATCTCCATCAGGGAGCACGGCTGGGACCATTTCCCCTCAGTCAGTCTTCATGGTGTCCTCCAGCGCTATAAAATCGATCTAGTATGGGGGCATTTTCCAGCTCAACTTTGGGTCCATGTAGCCATCGCCACTTGGTAGATCCACTGATGTGCTCAGGGGCAAAGTCTGGCCATTTGTTTCAGGATCATGGATCTGAGTCTCAGAGGTAACCCCAAGAGTTTGTGGGGCCTGGTTTACAAACCTTGCCAACCATTCACAGGAAGTGATGCCATGCATGGTAGTGGGTGACATTTAAAATTTGTATTACAGGGAGATTCTTAGTCCAGTCCTAAGACAATGCATGTAAGGCCTGCCCCTGTTGGGTTACATGGTAAGTGGAACTTTCAGTCTATGTTTTGTTCTGATGCCCAGTGTTTAATATTATGGCCTGTGAATTGGGGCCTTGATCATTATCTATCCTTTTTGGTATGCCATACATGACGTTAAGAGCAGTGAGGTCCAGGCATGGTAGCTCACGCTTGTAATCCCAGCACTTTGGGAGGCTGAGGTGGGTGGATCACTTGAGGTCAGGAGTTCGAGACCAACCTGGCCAACATGGTGAAAACCCATCTCTCCTAAAAATATAAAAATTAGCCAGGCGTTTTTGTATTACAGGTGGGCACCTGTGATCCCAGCTACTTGAGAAGCGGAGGTTGCAGTGAGCCAAGATCGCACCACTGCACCCCAGCCTGGGGGACAGAGCAAGATTCTGTCTCACACACACACACACAAAAGAGCAGTGAGACATTTGATGATCTCCAGTTGAGTGGCACATTTTATTGGGAAGGCCTGTAGCAGCCCCGTTGTGTCCATACAAGTTAAGGCATACCTTTTCTTTCTATTCTGGGGCAGGGGACCAATACAATTGACTTGCCAGGCTCACATAGTTTGTATGGCTCAATGTATGTGACCTGGTGTGGAGGGAATCTTTCTAGGTCACAGTTGTGAGCAGATCTCATGGTTCTGAACAGCTGCCAAAACATTTGCTTATTGGATAGGGATGCCTGCTGCTTTTGCTATGGGCCACTCTGTGATTGCCCCTGGTGGCCGTTTTTATGATGTGCACATACGGCATTTCCTCGGATGGGCTTGGGCAAATTGCCTGCACGTGAATGAGTAAGGCCATTCGCCTTTTGATTTCCAGAAGGTTGTTTGGGCTATGTGCATCCATATGGTACATCACAAGATGGACATCCCTTTCCTGTAACCTGATGTGGATGTCTTGCCACATGGTCATTCCCCAGAGGATCCTGCCCCAAACTTGCCAATTGTCTGTGGCACTCTGATTGATCCACATGGTAAGGCCTCTGTATGTAGTCCAATTATCTGTGCAAATGACTAATGGCCAGGGCTTGTGGGTGATGAGTATCCAAACTGCCTGTAGCATGGCCCATTGACTGCTTTGTCCTAATTCCCATTCTAACCATATGTTGTCAGTGTCCATATTCACCATGATTGCCAACCATTGGTGTTGGGTGCCTTTGCTAGACCCATCAGTGTATTAGGCCCTAGTGGGTATCAATGGAATCCCTTCATATATGATGGTTGGCCTAGTAGGTAGATTCATTGCCATGTCGGCCCCTTCCACTTGTTCAAAGTGGATGGGTCTGAGCATTTTCTGTGGTGCCTGACTTACAGGACTCATGGACAAGACACCTTCTGTTGTAGATAGGCATGCCACTTCAGCAGTGTGTGATTGTATCATCCCAGAGATGGGCTTGGCTAGAAGGCCCTCCATCTCCCCTTTTATAGGAGAGGAAGTTTTTATTGTGATGGTTTGCTTTCTGGTGATGGCCTCCATTTGTTGCAATGCCCTATATACAGCCAGAGTTATTGCTCCAGGACTATATAGTGGGATTATGCCCCCTTCCATAATTGAGACCAAATCTTACAAGTACCATTACTGTTGGTTGCTTTTGCCACAAACACCATTTCATCCCTGCGGTATCTCTAGTGACTTCTAATGCAAAAGGGTGCTGTGGCTGTGGGGCACCTAATGCTTGGGCTTGTTTTACCAACATTTTTGCTTTGTCAAATGCCTCTTGCTCTTTATGTGTCCAGTCCCATTTTGCATCCCTTTTTACTAGGGTGTGTAAAGGCCAGAGGGTTTGTGTCAAATGAGAGATGAATATTTTCCAGTAGCCTAATAAACCTAGGAAAACGTGAAGTTGCTTTATTGTCTGAGGAATAGGCTACTGTGCTATCTTATCAATAACAGCTCTGGGTATGTTTCGTGTCTTACCCATCCAGGTAATTCCTAGGAATTTGATGGCTACACTGGGCCCTTGTATGTTTTGGGGGTTGACTTCCCATTCCCTGTCCTTTTTAGGCTGTCTAAGATGGTGTGCAGGGCAGTCTCCAGATTTGTAAGAGATTCTGAGGTTAACATTATATTATCAGTATGGTAAAACAGGAAGACTGAGGTAGGCAAGAATCTAGACAGGTCCTGTGCAATCATATCATGAAAGACGGTGGGGCTGCACAGATATTCTTGTGGTAGCACCTGGAAAATCCATTGTTTGCCCTCCCAAATGAATGCAAACTGCTCCTGTGAATCGTCTGCTAAAGAAATACTTTAAAAGGCATTAGCCAAATTAATCACAGCATGGACATTTCCCAGCTTAAGGACCATTTGCTCTAGCAGCTGAGCAATACCGGGTACAGCTGCAGGTACGGGGGGCATCACTCTGTTTAGCTCACGGCAGTTTACTGTCATTTTCTAGGTATCATATGGCTTCTTTGCAGGCCACATAGGGCTGTTATAGGTGCTCTGGACTATTTGTGCCTTATGTAATTCCTGGATTGTTCAGGTGATTTCAAAGCATCCCCCTGGCAGGTGGTATTTTTTCGTGTTAATTGCCTGCCTATACCAGGGCAAGTGTACATTCAATTGGCTCATCCCCTTTTTGTTCTTTGATTATTTCCTGGACTTGGTCCTCGTTTTGCAACAGAGTCTCACTCTGTCGCCAGGCTGGAGTGCAGTGGCATGATTTCGGCTCACTGCAACCTCTGCCTCCCAAGTTCAAGAGCTTTTCTTGCCTCAGCCTCCTGAGTAGCTGGGACTACAGGCACGCGCCACCACGTCCAGCTAATTTTTGTATTATTAGTAGAGACGGGGGTTCACCATGTTGGCCAGGATGGTCTGGATCTCTTGACCTCGTGATCCGCCTGCCTCGGCCTCCCAAAGTGCTGGGATTACAGGCGTGAGCCACCGCGCCCGGCCCAGTCCTTGTTTTTATCTAGCTCATTAAGGTCCACAAATACCTCGCCCATATCATAACCCTTTTTAAACTGGAAATGACCTAGACATTCAATGAGTACCTAAAGTAATTTTAAGATTTTAAACTATACAGAATTTTCACCTACACACATTTATCTCATTTACATGTACTCAGTTTATTCATTTTTAGCAGTTTATCTAGATTACTTGTGAGAACCAAGACAGTCAACAAAGCTAATCGTCATTGCAAGTTATTTCCCTGTTAACCATTTTCATAGCTTGTGAATATCAGGTGTTCATCTAAGCAAGAGCCTTAAAGTTAAACACATGGGGATTCCTGCTGATAACTCAGAAAATTCAGTTGTTTTCATTAAACCAACAATATCGAATTAGTCTTGCTTATCAAAAAAATCATACAGACAAAGATCATTTTATTTTTGGCTGGGTTTACAGTCTTCTAACTTTCATGTAAAACCCTGACCCTTTAAAGTATCTAGCAGAGGCAAATATAAAGTGTATTTTATCAGAAGACTCAGACAAAAATGTATGCTGACACTTTTGAAGATATCTTTATTTTTATTTACTAATAATTTAAAAGCCAACTTATTTAGCAAAGATTATTGAATTCCTGTGAACTTGAAAAGCATTTGGACTTTATACCCATTTATCTATAATTTTATTTGGTAGCATGTTAGAACATATAATACATGCACATATATAATATATTTAAACATGTATATACATACATACACAAAGATCTGATAATTTTACTTCAGAACTCTAGCCATGAGACAATATAATAAATTTGTAGTTTTTACAAAAGACAGTTGGACCCAAATTACTTTTGACAAAATTGGGACCTGTTATGGCTAAGCTCTATTTTCCCTGATAGGTAATCCAAGGAAAGCTGTGGATCAAAATTTGGGGGAAAGAAGTTTCCATGGCAGTTTGATTTTTAAAAACCTCTTTTTTCCTTTTCGTTTTCATTTTATTGTTTACATTTTAACTAGAACTGGCTTAATTGTATAAGAAAAACAAAATCTCCAAATAACCTTGAATTAGTGTTACCATAAACAGTGAGTTTTATCTCAACACGGTGGCTTAATAACAGCAGATTCAAAGCATGTGGGAAAAGAAAGAGAGAAACAGAGAGCATATGAAGATGCTATTTAACTCTATAGTTGCAGCTTAACCATTTGAGCTCTTTTTTGTTGTTGTTGTTGTTATTTGCCCATCAGTTTTAGAACGTGCACAAGAATAGGCCATCATATGTAACCTGCTGGTGTCCTAGAAAACCTGGCATGCCTTTCACCTTCTGCAGGAGTTTTTACCCTTTCTCCCTTTCCTGCTCTCATGATTTCTCAGTAGCTACCCTTATTGCAACAATAGCACATTTATTATCTTTATCGTATTTTAATATCTTAACTTCTTACAATAGGTGATTCAGTTTCTGCCAGTGTTTTCCCAGAGTCCACGGTGGCCTGTGAAGATTGAGCAGTCGGGCAACTCCACGCCACATGCATGTTGCCAACCACCCTAGGATTCTCCCCGCAGATGCGCCTTCCTAATTCATCCATTGGTTTCTCAGATCCTGCTCATGACAGCAATTGTAATGAGAAAAACCTGGAATTGTATTTAAAAAAAACCTTACCCCAAACTGGGAGGGAGCAAAGAGACCAAGCATGTCTGGGACAAGTTCAGCTTGGCTAGTAGATGAGTTTATTAGGACTTATGCATGAGGCACTCCTGAATGGCAGCAGGACAGCTTTAGAGATCTGTGCCACCTCCCATCTCTAAGCTAATTTTCTGTCTCTTTACCTACTATGTGTGTGTGATGGGACTGTTTCCCTTGGTAGGTTCTCAGCTATTCTCCAGGATGTTTGGGTTCCCAGGGACACCTATTCCTCAGCTATACACCATGGCCTTGGCTCATTGCCTGGCCTTCAGGGTTCAGGCAGTGGACATGTACCCTTAAACAACCTGGCAGGGGATCTGTCACACTACATAGGTAGTTCTTAACTTGTGGCCCTATTTTTGTCCTAAGGCAGCACCGGGTCTAGCCAAGACGAAAATCGCTGAGGTTGGAGATGAAAACAAAAGCCTTTGGTTGAGATGGTAAAGGAGGCCCTCAAGAGTGGTGCAATCAGTGTATCCAGAAGGCAGTGCTGGAGTCGGCCTCATGAACTAGGGGGGTTTTCTCGGCATTGCCCTTTTTCATTTCATCAAGTGTTTTATCCAGGTTTGGCGTGGCATAGTTCTGAGCCAGATACATTCCAATCACATTGCCAAAGTAAATTCAAGCAGGAACTGGAGCATGATGTCGGCAGGGAGGATGGGGAAGGCAGGGAGGGCGCAAAAGGCGGCTGCAGCTCTTCGGGCTGGTCTGAGACTCTGCACTTTTTTTTTTTTTTTTGAGACGGAGTCTCGCTCTGTCGCCCAGGCTGGAGTGCAGTGGCGCGATCTTGGCTCATTGCAACCTCTGCCTCCCGGGTTTAAGCAATTCTCTGCCTCAGCCTCCCAAGTAGCTGGGATTACAGGTGTGTGCCACCACGCCTGGCTAATTTTTGTATTTTTAGTAGAGATGAGGTTTCACCATCTTGGCCAGGCTGGTCTTGAACTCCTCATTTCATGATCCACCCACCTCGGCCTCCCAAAGTGCTAGGATTACAGGTGTGAGCCACCACATCTGGCCTCTGCACTCTTATATTGGCTTCCCTTCTTTCCTGTTTTACTCTCCCCAGTCACTTATTCCTGTTCCTTTGGATCCATTCCCAAATAAATCACCTACACACAAACTCTTGACTCAGGCTTTGCTTTCAGGAGGAAATCTGGGCTAAGACAGTCGACATAAGAGTGGTCCTAGAAGGCAGACCTGCAAGGAAGGGATTCACAGCCGTGATAGCTCTACTTTCTACAATGGAGTCATGGCCCTGATAGGAAACATATGGAACCCTGGAACAAAGAATGGGAACATTTGAATAGATTAATGTGAGAATTTTGAATTCCTGGATTCTCCTAAACCTTCAAGGCCAGCAGAAGCAGCTATCTTTCTCCTGCTATAGGAGACAAGCCTCTCCTTGCCTGGAATCCTGCCAAGACTCCTCCTAAGGCAAGGGCCCCAACGATGATGCTTATTCTCCTCCATATCCCCTACCTCCCTTCATTGCCTGCAGACCAATAACTAGGGTTAGGTCTCAGCACAGCCTAAGTGGAGAAATACAGTATCTGATTTATAAGCAAATAGCATACACATTGAAAAAATTACGGGACCTATGTTGTGGCAGGAACAGGGATAACAGGGGTGTGAGGAGAGGGTTGTAAGAATGTATCAATCTGGGGGCACTCTCATTATTCAGGGATTAACATCCAATCAAGGATACATAAAACCATTTTCACATGCTTCTGAGATGCTTCTTTGAAACTTGGACACAATTACGACCTTCGGAAATGAAGTAGAGATGCCAGAAACTTCCTTGGCAGAATACTGAAGGAGTCAGAAGTCTCAGAGGGATTAGCATGTTAGATTGTAGTTATTATGCAAGATCAGAGAACCTACTAGAAGACTACATTCCCATGGGAAGTCCAGAGGCCACTCTTTTCACCGAGGCAACACAACATGTAAAGGTGAGGAATTCTTAGTGTCAGTGGGGATGGTAGGACCCTGGAATTGCAGAGACTAGATGGGTAACAATCAACAGAGGCAGGGTAGATATAAAAATTATCACAAAATGGCCAGGCGCGGTGGCTCACGCCTGTAATCCCAGCACTTTGGGAGGCCAAGGCGGTTGGATCACGAGGTCAGGAGATCGAGACCATCCTGGCTAACACGGTGAAACCCCATCTCTACTAAAAATACAAAAAATTAGCCGGACATGGTCGCAGGTACCTGTAGTCCCAGCTACTCAGGAGGCTGAGGCAGGAGAATGGCATGAACCTGGGAGGCGGAGCTTGCAGTGAGCTGAGATCGCACCACTGCACTCCAACCTGGGCAACAGAGTGAGACTCCGTCTAAAAATAATAATAATAATAATTACCACAAAACCAAAGTGGCAGCTAAGTGCTTTGACCCATAGGGTCTATCTATGGCAATGGCTAATAGACCATAGTGTCCCTAGAGTTAACTAAATTGGCAGATGACTGTGTATTACTTGACTGTAACAACAGCAATCCCCAAAATCAAGGGCTCATGAGCAGAAGGCAGATGACAGCTGCCATAATGGAAAATAGTATTTCCTCATAAATTTCCTTGATCTAGGCCAGTTCTCAGGCTCAGAGCCTATTGATTTAAGGAAAGGCCAAGCCTTTTTATAGAAGAGCCCTCCAATGCTGCCAAAGGTATACAAGATAATTATTTCCCCAATCTTTCCACATGAGAGATCTGTGGCCATTTATCATAGTAACTCTGGTCAGGGGGAAGAAAAAGAACCAGACTTTCAAAGGCTATTGGGTACAGAGTATGAGCTGGCATCAGTGCTGGGGGGAAACACTATCATGGTCCCCCCGTGACAGAGGCTCATGAAAGCCAGGTAAATGGAGTACTCTTGCAAACAGATCCAGAAGTCTGAAGATCCACACTGTACTAATTTCCTTATCCCTAAGTAAATAACTAGGACAGATGTTCTAGCAACTGGCAGTACACTAACATTTACTCCCTATTTTATTAAGAGCCATTAAGGTAGGAAGGGCCAAATGAAAGCCCCTGACACTTACCCTCACCTTTCTTACTGATTTATTAAATGAGAAGTAAAACCACATCCTGGGTGGTATTGCAGAGATTAATTTCAACATCAAATATTTTCTTCTCAATATCCTTCAGTCAGGAGGATGAAAAACTGTTTGCTTTTATGTAGGAATAATAGCAGTACATATTCACTCTCTTGCCTCTGGGCTATGTTAGTTCTCCTCTCTGCACAACACAGTATCTAGCGACTTTGATTGTCTCAATATTCCATTGAACATCATGGTAGTCCACTGTATTGATGACCTAATGCTAATTTGACCTAGTAAGCAAGAAGAAGCAAGAACTCTAGATGTCCTAGTAAAGACACATGTATGCCAAAGGATAGCAGATAAAAATATGAAGATTCAGGACATTCATATTGTTCAACTTTTTTCTTACCTTTTTGTTCTAGAATAAGTTAAATGGATGTAAAAGTAGACAAACTAGTAAAACGAATCCCTTGAACCACTATTCACAGCCCATATTATTTCATCTATATCCCCACCAACTTCTTCTATCCCATATTATTTTGAAACAAATGGGTAAAGTTATCAGGGATCAGTAGTCATGCCAGGTTATCCCCTGTAAAGTAAAGACAAGTTATTGAGCTCTGTATCCTCCAACACTAAGGCATAGTGCTTGGTGGAGTATTCCTCTGACCCATCTATTTCGTGCCCCTGAAGGCTTTCAGTTTCGGGTGAAACCCAGAGCAGGAGAGAGCTGTACAGTGTGTCCAACTAGAGTACAAGCTTCTCTACCATTTGGTTCATATTATCCAGCAGATACAATGGGGCTAGAGGCATACATGATGAATAAGGCTACAGGGCAGAGTCTCTGACATGCCCTAATAAAAGAGTTTCAGCACAGATCTCTAAAGTTCTGGAGCAAGGCCATGCAGCAGAGAGATATTCGACTTTTGAAAAGCAGCTGTTTGGCCCCAATAAAAACCAAGAGCCTAGCAATGGGACATCAAGGGTCTATGCAACCAGAGATACCCATTGTAAGCCAGGTATTGTCAGAGTCTACCAAGTCGTAAGATTAGGCAGGTTTAAGCCAGGCATGGTGGCTCACACCTGTAATCCCGGCACTTTGGGAGGAAGCTGAGGGCAGAGAATTACTTGAGCCCAGGAGGCAACATGGCAAAACCCCATCTCTAAAAAATAAAGAAAAAAAAATTAGCTGGGTGTGGTGGTGTTTGCCTGTAGTCCCAGCAACCTGGGAGGCTGAAGTAGAAGGATTGCTTGAGCCTAGGGAGGTTGAGGCTGCAGTGAGCTGTGATTGTGCCACTGCACTCCAGCCTGGGTGACAGACTGAGAATCTCTCTCAAAAAAAAAAAAAAAAAAAAAAAAAAGCAGACTTATCAGCAATCCATCATATAATAATAGAACAGGAATGGTAAATTCAGGATCAGGACTAAGCAGGTCAATAGGGTGCATGTAAGTCAACAAAAGGTGGCTCAGACTCCTATGACACCTACCTCAGCTATCGGCTATACCAACCCTTCTGTCTTAGCTCAGACCTACAGCCTTAGTAGGTAGTTCTCTGTAACCAACTGATGGAGGGGAAAATAGCCCTTACTCACAGATGGATTAGCTTTAGACATTGATACTAGTTAAAAAAGAAAAAAAGAAAAAGAGATTGTTCCTGTAACATAGCTCCATTTAGGGGGTAGCCCTAAACAACTTTGAAGGGAAATTCCCCCAGTGGGCTAAGCTGTAAGCAGTATACTTGTTCATTCATTTTGTATGGAGGACAAAACAATTCCAGATAGAGATTTACATACACTTGTGAGCAATGGCAAATAGTCGAGTGGTACCTGTTCAGCCCTCACTTATGTGCAATCTGGAAGTGCAAGCAGTTGACCAATGGAGACAGAACTAGGAAACAAATACCTCCTCATTCTATATGGCTCTTTAGAAGCCCCCAGTGGGATTAAACCTCAGTAACCCACAGCAATGGGGATTGAGACAAGGCTGAGGTGAGGAAAAAGAGCAAGGCACTTGTCTCTGGTGCAAATTTAAGGAGGCACCAAGAAATTCAGTAACCAAGATTAATTATATTTTAATGCAATATTTTTTAAAATAGAAATTAATGCAAATACCCATGATGAACGCAATATCAAAATTTTCAATAAAGACAGGCTCAGTATTGCTAATTTTCCATTTATTCTTAGGCTCCACTAGGGCTCCACACAACACTGTTACTGATCTTGGTCATCGCCAATAACCATCTCAATTTCACAGTCTATGTTGGCTTTACCTCCCTCTCTGTTCACTCTCCTCCCTAGTCCCTCACTTCTGTTTTATGGTATCATTACTCAGAATAAACGACCTTATATACGTTCTTGTCTCCAACTTTGCTCTATTATATGGGGTGGAGTAGGGAGATGAAACCCAAGCTAAGTAAGATAATGACCATAATATATCATTCGAAGAAGGATACTTGTGAAAGTAAAGGGAGGCTCTATTAATAATTTCACTGGATTAATAGGCATAAATCAGAGCTGTCCTAGCACATCAGGATGTATAGTCTTATTACAGGTAGGAAACTGAGGTTCCAAGGGGGTGGGAAGTCCTCCTAAGAGGAGGGGTCAGACTGGAAGCTACACAAAAAGAGGCAGAAATGTCCCTCCGCCTCTTAATCGGAGCCTGGGGAAACAAACACACTCGTGCAAAATCTCCAAAGAGGTGAGCTCTTCACCCTGTCAATTTTATCTGCCTCGTGAACCCCAGGGCTCAGGCTCCAGGCCCGGGCTAGCTCACACAACAGCAGAAGGGCCTTAGGTCTGGGCACTGAGCCAAAAAAAGGGAGGCTGTGGTCCCTGCTTTGGTTACCCTGCCGGGTCTGAGCGCCAAATCGGATCTCCTACTTCTCTCTCCCTCCCTCCCTCTGTTCCTGGACTGGGGGCAGGCCCTTCTGCTAACAGAAAGCCTTCCAGTCGGAGAAAGCTCTGACAGCCTGCCGCGATAAAGGGCCCTGGGGGCGTGAGGAGAGCAAGGGGCTCAAAATCAGAACCCAGCGTGACGACAGTGCCTCCATGACTGTGCTCCCGCAATGCGCAGGCTCCATGTCCTGGCGCCCGCCCGCCCATGGACCCGGCGGGGGCTTCCAGGCTGGGCTCAGCCATTACGCCGGCGTGCGGGGGAGGAAACTCGCCTCCCGGGCACTCGGTTGTCTCCTGCCCCCGCCCCTCCCTCCGATCCGGGCCCATCTCTGACGTAGTGTGACCTTGCTCATCCCTTCCAGGCTGTGGGCCTGTTTTCCCTGTGCAAGATGAGGGTCCTGGCTGTCCTGAGGACGCTGTCCGGGCGCCGCCAGGGGTGACCGAATTCAGCTCTGCTAGGACTGTTGGGAAATGAGCTCCCTGTCGGCGTGTGCCAGCCGCCTGCGCGAGGCGCCACAGGAGAGGGCGCGCTCCTGTCGCTCTGCCGCCCCCAGAAGTTTCCCGGGAACCGACTCCACTGACTCGCCCCTCCGCGCCCCACGCGTGGCAGCCTAAGCTCAGCCTCCAGATTGGAGGAGACCGCGGAGGGAACCCTGCTGGGGTCTGGGCCCGGGGCCACGCGGCCCGAGCAGATCGAGGGCCGACCCCTCCGAGAACTCGCTCTCTGGCCTCGGCTCCTCCCTTGCGCCCGCCCTCCCACGTGGGGCCCAGGTCTGGGAATCAGCGCTCGGGGGTGGCTGGGGACAACCGAGAACGAGCTTCTTCCCCGGCACGCGGGCGGAATGGCTGAGCCCAGCCTGGAAGCCCCCGTCAGGTCCTTGGGGGCGGGCGGGCGCGCGAAGCACAGGGCGGAGACAGCCGGGAGCCCAGCCTCCCGGGCTGGGCCGCCCTCCCCTTCCCCGCGCCCGGCCGGGGATGGGGGTGTGGTCCCAAGTGTACAGTGGCATCAAGCTCAGCGCGAGCTCCCGGGAACGCTCCAACGCCTTCAGCCTGTTTCCCAGGAACGGTCCCCGGCTTCGCGCCCCAATTTCTAACAGCCTGCCTGTCCCCCGGGAACGTTCTAACATCCTTGGGGAGCGCCCCAGCTACAAGACACTGTCCTGAGAACGCTGTCATCACCCGTAGTTGCAAGTTTCGGAGCGGCAGTGGGAAGCATGCGGGACTACGACGAGGTGATCGCCTTCCTGGGCGAGTGGGGGCCCTTCCAGCGCCTCATCTTCTTCCTGCTCAGCGCCAGCATCATCCCCAATGGCTTCAATGGTATGTCAGTCGTGTTCCTGGCGGGGACCCCGGAGCACCGCTGTCGAGTGCCGGACGCCGCGAACCTGAGCAGCGCCTGGCGCAACAACAGTGTCCCGCTGCGGCTGCGGGACGGCCGCGAGGTGCCCCACAGCTGCAGCCGCTACCGGCTCGCCACCATCGCCAACTTCTCGGCGCTCGGGCTGGAGCCGGGGCGCGACGTGGACCTGGGGCAGCTGGAGCAGGAGAGCTGCCTGGATGGCTGGGAGTTCAGCCAGGACGTCTACCTGTCCACCGTCGTGACCGAGGTGGGTGCCAGGCCGAGACCGTTGACCCGGGAGTGCCTGACCCTCCCTCTGCGTCAGCCCCCCTTGAGACTCCCTGCGCAGTGCCCGGGTCAGCGCTCCCCTCCCCCTCAAACCTGCTGTTCATACTTCCAGCAGCGGGTGTGCACCCCAAGAAAGAATAGGACTCACGCGAGGCGCATTCCTGGGTCGTTTCTGTCCAATAAGGAGGTGATGGAGAAAGGAGTTTGTCACCAACTGTCTTTTCATTTCCGATTTTCACAACAAATGAAGTTTCCTAAGAACCTAGATGTTGCGTTGGGGGAAGCGCAGCCCCAGGCTACCCAGACGCACTGCCTGAGTCACCTTCCTGCCAGGCATGGGAGGAGGGGTGTGAGGGACCTTGTTACTGGGCAGGGCGGGGCCAAATCTTGTCTGTTCCCTGGCCACAGACTTCTGGAGGCATCAGGAGGTGTACTGCCGTACCATATACTTGTGAGGTTTGGGGTCCTTTCCTGAGGCCCCAGTTTCTCTAAGACAGCAGATGGCCTCCTGAGGCTCATTGGGTGCAAGGAAGCACAGAAGGCGAAACCCCAGCTGGAAGCCCTGGCCCTCAGGGACCTCTCTGAGCACAGGGTGAGTTGGCAGGCAGGGGCTGTAGCCCCTCAGCACCCTGCGTGGTTAGTGGCAGGTTTTCTAAGTTCCAGGAATGAGGATGCACACACACTTCTCCCGCTTTTGCTGCTTCACATCTGGTAAGGACCTGGGTCAGGATACACCTTTCTTCTGAGGAGAGCATCCTCATGGAGCTGTTGCCTGCTATTGGTCAGGCAGGTAGGATTTCCCTGCTGCTAGTCCCTCCTCTGCCTCATGCTCCTCCCAAGAAAAACCTGAGTGGCCTCTGCTAGTCCCTTATCCCTTTCCCTCAGCACGGTATAGCGGTCATCAGACATTGTGTCTGGCCTTGTGCTGAGCACTAAGGTGTGGACATCTGGTGTGTGGAGCCTACCCTCAGATGCCCATGGGGCACACTGGCTGTGTTACTGAGAAGGCTAACATTAACCCTGGTTAGCAATAGGGTTCTGGAACCCAAATTCAAGTCCTGCCTTGCTTGCTATGTGACCTGGGATAAATAAATCACCCTCTCTGTGGGACAATAGGTGGAGGAAATACTCCAAGAAGGGGTGATATGATTTTAGCTGATTCTGAAAATGTGAGCAAGACCTGTCTAGGCAAGAGTATGGGAAATTCAGGTAATGGAATTCTCATATATCGGAGTGGCTGGAACTCAAGGGATGACAGATATGACAAATGAGACTAGAAATGGCCACAAGGGCTAGTTCATAGTGGCCTTCTATGTATACTGAGGAGCTGACTTTATTCGGAGGACAGTGAGAAAATAGTAAGCATTCTAAGGCCAGGTTCGTGCTTTTGGAAAGAGCTCACTCTAGCTGCTATGATAAACAAGAAGACCAGTGAGGAAGTTTTGAAACTCTCCTCTGCAAGAGAATGGTGGCCAGCCAGGCGTGGTGGTTGTCGAATCTGTGGCACCTGTGGGAAGTGGGCTCAGCCCAGGGACTGCCTTTGGATCCCCCAGCATTGGCACCATACCTACCCTGGGCCCTAAGGTGGCCATGCTTCTCTGGATTTGCTTCCCTAGCAGGGGCTCTAGTGCTTGCCCACTCCCTGCCCACAGCATGGCCTGGGAGCAGCTGAGACTGGGGGCCAGCTCATCCCGCGTCGATTCCTGGAAGTGTTATCAGTGCCTGTTATGGAGGCTGGACCCATGAGTGGCAGCCTTCCCTGGCAGCTGGGCTGACCTGTCTGCTTTTCCATTGCTCGCTGGTTTTGTTCACTGTAGGGCGTGAGGGGTGAGTAGCTGCTGGCCTCCAAGTCCATAGCTACTCATGTTGTACGCTGTTCACAGGGACCTCTAAGGATGTACATCATCACACATTCACACACATGCACCAGGATTTGCTTTTTTTGGCAGCTTTTCCCTTCCTGGCTTCCTTTTTGAGTGGTGGAAGTAAAATAAAAAGCAACTAGGGGCTGGGCACAGTGGCTCACGCCTGTAATCCCAGTACTTTGAGAGGCTGAGGCGGGCAGATTACTTGAGGTCAGGAGTTTGAGACCAGCCTGGCCAACATGGTGAAACCCCGTCTCTACTAAAAATACAAAAATTAGCTGGGAGTGGTGGTGCACCCCTGTAGTCCCAGCTACTCGGGAGGCTAAGGCAGGAGAATCACTTCAACCTGGGAGGCGGAGGTTGCAGTGAGCTGAGATCACACCACAGCACTCCAGCCTGGGTGACAGAGCCAGACTGTGTCTCAAAACAAACAAACAAACAACAACAACAACAAAAAACTGGGCTCTGGTGGTTGGGAGGAGGAGGGAAGGAAGCAAGTACCAGGGTAAGCAGGATGGATGGATGGCTCTCCCCCAGAGGGGCGGCAGCACACAGAGTTCTGGAGTCAGACTCAGTAGAGGGCCAGTTTTGACTCCACTGCCAACCACCTGGCTGACTCCAGGCAGGTTACATCACTGATGAAAGCCTCAGTTTCCTTGTCTATAAATTGGGGGTACAAGCGATGAAAAGAGGCTCAACATCACTAATCACTAGGGAAATGCAAATGAAAATCATAAGGAGGTACCACTTTGTACCCTTAAAAATAGTTACTACAAAAAGAAAAAAAAAACACCCAGAAATCCACTTTGGGAGGCCGAGGCAGGAGGATTGCTAGGGGGCAGGAGTTCAAGACAGCACTGGGCAACATAGTAAGACCCCATCTCTACAAAAAATAAATAAAAAATTAGCCAGGCATGAGGGCATGTGACTGTAGTTCCAGCTTCTCAGGAGGCTGGGGCAGGAGGATCACTTGAGCCCAAGAGTTTGAGGTTGCAGTGAGCTATGACCATATCTCTGCACTCCAGCCTGGGTGACAGGGCAAGACCCCACCTCTAAAAAAGTGTTGTTGTTGTTTTTAAACACAGAAAATAACAAGTGTTAGTGAGGATGTAGAGAAATTGAAACCCTTGTTCATTCCTAGTGGGAGTGTAAAATGGTGCAGCCACTATGGAAAATAATGTGGTGGTCCCTAAAAAAATTAAAAATAGAATCACCATATGATCCAGCAATACTAATTCTGGATATATGTCTAAAATAATTGAAACAGGGTTTCAAAGAGATATTTGTACACCATGTCTATGGTAGCATTATTCACAATAGTCAAAAGGTGAAAGCAACCCAAGTGTCCTTCCACAGACAAATGGATAAACATAATGTGGTATATGCGTACAATGGACGATTATTCAGCTTTAAAAAGGAAGGACATGCTACAACGTGGATAAACCTTGAGGAGACTACGCTTAGTGAAATAAGCCAGTCACAAGACAAATTATTTTCTGATTTCACTACAGGAGTAGTCACACTCACAGAAGCAGAAAGTAAATGGTGGTTGCCAGGGACTGGAAGAAGGAAGGAGTAGGGAGTCGTTGTTTCATGGGTATAGAGTTTCAGTTTTGTAAGATGAAAGTAGTGTTGGAGATTGATTGCACAACAGTGTGAACGCTTCTGAACTGTACACTTAAAAATGGCTAAGATGGTAAACTGTATATTATGTGTACTTTATCTCAGTTTTCAAAATGGGGATAATAAGAGAAGCCACCTTATCTGAGTTGTTGGGAGGACTCAGTGAGATAATGCCCCATGCCCCATCCGGTGGTGGCCAGCACAGAGTGTGGCACCAGCAAAGAGTGTGGCACCAGCAAATGGGCTTCCTAGGTGGTGGTGAGGAGTGGTAAAGGCAGAAGCTCAGCACCTTCTTTGCCTTCTCCACTGGCTGGGGACAGTGGGCATGGTGGGAGCTGTTCTAAAGTCCAGGTTGTGGCCTGTGTAATAGGTGATGGGACTTGCTGGAGGCTGAGCCCCTCTCCCCACAGTGGCAGTTCCAAGCCTCAGAGAATAGAACACAAGTCCAAACCCATACTGACTTGGCCAGTGCCAGTGTACAGGGCCAAGCCCAGGGCCCCTGAGAAGGTTCTCTGCATCCCAGTTGGCACAACACAGGTAGTGGGACTGTCCTCAGATTGTGTCTTTGCCTTATACTGCCGTGCCAGGATCTCCCAATGGGCATATCTTTGGGGACAGACAAGTCTGCCTGAACTGCCCCCCAACACCTCTTCACAGGAGGACAGGGTTAGCCAGGAACCAAGGATGGCATGCTGTGCTGTAGAAATGCCTTTCATAGTATGCCAGGAGGTAGCAATAAGGTGTCTGAGTTGGGGTTTGCGTGAGTGCATTCGTCTGTGTGTGTACATGTGTATAAGGTAGTTTCCTTCTTCAGGGGTTGATTGTGAGGTCCAAGTTTTTCAACCTGTGCAGTTACTAAGAGTCAAATTATTTTTCGTTTTATTTTATTTTATTTTATTTTATTTTATTTTATTTTTTTGAGATGGAGTTTCTTTCTTCGTTCTTGTTGCCCAGGGTGGAGGAGTGCAATGGTGCCATCTCGGCTCACTGCAACCTCTGCCTCCTTGGTTCAAGCGATTCTCCTGCCTCAGCCTCCCGAGTAGCTGGGATTACAGGGGCCTGCTACCATGCCCGGCTAGTTTTTTGTTTGTTTGTTTGTTTGTTTTTTGTATTTTTAGTAGAGACAGGGTTTCACCATGTTGGCCAGGCTGGTCTCGAACTCCTGACCTAAGGTGATCCACCTGCCTCGGCCTCCCAAAGTGTTGGGATTACAGGCGTGAGCCACCGCGCCTGGCGATTATTTTTTAACTTTATTTTGAAATAACTTTTGATTTAGAGAGAAGTTTGAAAATAGTACAGAGATTTCACATATACCCTTCATCTAGCTTTCTCTGATGTTAACAATTTAAATACGCGTTATGCATTTATCCAAACCAGGAAATTAACATTGGTTACAATAGTAATAACTGAACTACAGACTTTGTTTGGATTTCACCAGTTTTTCTACTACTGCCCTTTTTCTATCGTAGGATCCCATCCAAAATCCCATGTTGTATTTAGTTGTCATGTCTCAGTCTCCAATCTGTGATTGTTCCTTAGTCTTTCCTTATCTTTCATGATCTTGACATTTTTATGAGTATTTTGATGAATGCTCCTCAGTTTGGGTTGGCATGATTTTTCTCACAATTAGATTGCGTTATGCACTTTTTGGTAATGATACCTTAGAAGTGATGCATTCTCTGGGCATCATACCAGTGGGTACATGATGCTGATGTGTCTTATTACTGGTGATGTTAACCTTGATCATTTGTCAAGTTGGTGTCTGTGGAATTTCTCTGCTGTAAAGGTACTATTTTTTCCTCTGTCACTAATAAATATCTTAAGGGAGGTTCTTCGAGATTATACAAAATCCTGTGTCTCCTCAAATTTTTATTCACTGATTTTAGCATTCATCACTAGGTCTTGACTGAAACAATTATTACTGCAGTTTGCCTAGTGATGATTTTGCATTTTCTGATTCCTTCAACATTTATTAATTGGAATTCTTCTGAGAAGAAGAGCTTCCCCTCCACATCTATTTATTAATGTATGCAATTGTTAACTTATATCAGTACAGGTTCATACATACTTATTTTATTTCATCAGTTATAAACTAATGCTATCCATCTTTATTTTGTTGCTCCAGTTATTCTAGCTCAAACCAAGTTATTTTTCACTTTAAGGATAGAGAATGTAGATATCCAGGGTAAGGGCCTTTATCTGTCTCTGCAGTCAGGGCTAGAGGAGTCTGTGTTTACCCCTGCGGGAGGAGTGCCAGTCACAGCTCGTTGCTAAGTTTTCCATCAGGCAGCAGTTGAGCAGGAACGCAAGCAGGGACTGGTGGGACCTGGGTTGGGACTGAAGCTTCTGTTGGGGAAGGAAGTGCCCCAAGCAACCCAGAGTGTCTGATGCTGGGGTCCTCATCCCTGAGACCTACTGCAGGGGTCAGATCTCAGTCTCCATGGGCATGGCCCTTCATATATAGCCCTCAGGGCCAAGACCTCAGAGAGAAGAGGCCCTGCGTGTGAGGAAACCCGGCAGCCTCCTGCCCTGAGGCTAAAGGAGCAGGAAGGGCAACAAATGCTCTGCTCTGGAGAGGGCCTAAGTTCATCTGCAGGGCCACAGGGCAAGCAGCAGAGGCAATCCTGGCTCGTGGCCAGGGGCTAAGCATGGGCTGGCCTTTGCCTCAAGCATGTCCTCTTCTCCCATGGAGCATCATTAGGGTCTTGACCTTCCCATCAGTCCATGGGCTGGGAAAACTGAGGCAGTCACCTCTAAGCTGGATACCACTTCTGCCAGGTCTTGTGCTCCAGAGGCCCTGGGGGAACCTTGTGTGTTAAGGACCAGCCTTCTTTGCAGGCCACCAGTGATCTAAGACAGGGCTGCTGCCACACCGTAGATCCTCCTGTCCTCTTCTGCAGCTGGGCTGCCTCCTCTAGGAACCCTAGTGGAGCTGCTGGTAGCCCACTGGTAGTGGAGTTGATGGAGCCTCCAGCAAAGGGCCTGGACCTCTGGTGGCACTAGCCTTGTGCTTTCCTGGGAACTGGGGTCAGGGCCTGAACAGCAGTAGGACTTACTGATTCCCCACCCATAACCCAGAGGCGAGCCAGGTTATGTGGCGAAGGATAAGGCCTCTTCCCCTGCTAACGGGGAACTTCTGGGAGGCACTGAGAGCAGCAAGCAAGGGAATAATGAAACAGACTAACCCTCACATGCGGCTGCCACTATGTGGGACTTCACATAGCGGCTCTCAAGGATGCACCTCCCCTGGGGTCTGGGTAGGCCCCGACAAAAGGGGAAAACCTTCCGTGATAGGCAGGTTTGTGGAGTTTCTATCAGGCCTGCAGGCTGCCCTGGGACATTGCTCACGGGTGTGGAGACTGTCAAGATAGCCTGAATATTAACCAAGTTGATCATCCAAGTCCATACTCAGACCTGCCCTCTGGCAGATTCCAAAGGGGATAAGGTGTGGGGGCCTCTGGCTCCAGCCAGCCCGGCGAGACTTCTATTTCCAGTCAATGCTTCAGAAAGTAGATCTTGCCAGAGAGCACATAGAGGAGACTCAGGGGCTTCCCCTTGCTCTGGCCTGAATGTGCTTCCCTGTTTGTTTATCAGCTGCCTCACCCCAAACTGTTTGCCTCTCTGCTGTGTTCCTCTGACAACAGCCACCAGGATCTCAGAATATGCTTTTGTTCAGAGGCTGCTTCACCTGCACCTCCTGCCAAGTTTCTGGATAAACAGACTTTGTCCATCCCTCTTGGTGGGCAGCAGAACTCTCAGACAGAGTCCAAGGTGGCATTTTGACAAAAACAAGGCTTTGACAGGACTGGTCAGGGGGAGCTGCAGGTACCTTGGGCCTCTAGAAGGACTGTAATTCCTCCCTTATGGCAGGCTGCATTCAATTTAGGTGTAAGACTAATACAGGTGTGCCTTGTTTTCTAAAGCTGTGTTGTGGTTTTATGCATGTCTCTGGAGTCCAAAAGAAAGGCAAGGATCCCCATTTGGAATGAAGAAGGTGTGGAGAGAATGGACGTTCTGGGGAAAGGCTGGAATGACCCACATGCTCTAGCAAGAAGCACAGACAGTCCAAGGCTGGTGGCTCCTGCTCAGCATTTGCAAGACTGGAGGGCAGGTTCAGGCGGCAACTTCCAGAGCTTCCCCTCAGTGCTTGGTGACTGGCACAGACACGATGCCATTTGCTCATGTTCCCCTAATACAGACTGGTAGAGCTGTGGTGGATCCATTGTCAGGATGCAAGGGGCACAGCCAGGTCCCTGAGTGACCCTTCTCCTTCCCACAGCCCCTCCACTCCCATCCCTATCTTCCCACTCACACTCACTGGTTCTTCTGCTTTGGTTTAGCCTCCAATGATCACAGAACTCATCAGTGAGGCTTTTCCATCTGTGGTAGCTTTTCTAATATAAAGAAAGAAAGATACTGAGAACATTTTAAGGCTTAGCAGCCTTCTGGCTTAGTTGTTTGTAAATGAAAATATGAGTAGAAGAATTAAACAGCCAAAAAGATAACCCACAAAATGGGAGAAAATATTGACAAATCATATATCTGATAAAGGATTTGTATCTAGAATATAAAAATAACTCTGATAACTCAGCAATAAAAAGACAACCTGATTTAAAAATGGATAAAATCATTTGCCCATTTTGGAGAATAGATGTTTTGCCAAAGAAATACAAATCAATTAGCACATGAAAAGATTCTGAGACTTCGAAGTTAGCAGTGTGAGGAGCGCCAGCGCCATAGACCAGCTCCTCAGTGAAACAGCCATAACTGGTGAAAATACACACACACACACACACATTTAGAGTCTCTGGAAGTTGTCCTAAGGGCATATATTTATTCAAGAAAGTCGACTATACCTTGGCAAGAACAGTGAAGTCTATGATATTTGAGTCATAACTCCTTCAGCCCTCCCCTTCCCCTTCCTCCCAGCACAAGAAAAATGGAAGTTCCACTCTAGGTGGGTATGGCCAAGAAAATACTGTTCTCTCTCCCATCAGCTTCCAAGGAAGGGCTACAGCAGCCCACCAAGAGGGACAACCAATGCCCATCCCCCACCCATCCCTGTATTCTCTTAGCTCCAAACCACAGAAGGTAAAATCCTCGTGAGTGCAACCAGGGGATCATAGGTTCCCATCCTCCACCCACCGCCTATTCATATAGTAGAGACTCTACTCCAGGTGCCACAAGTTGAGAATATTAGAGCCTTGATTGCCCTTATCCCAGCTCATTCATACGGCAGAGATTCCACACCAAGCTCCCACTTCCACTCAGTGTCTGACTCATAAAGTAGGGGTGTCATTCTGAGATAAATGGGCCGCTTTCCCTGCCTACCTCTCTACAACAGGAGCTCAGATATTTTGCCCAGCGGGGAGAGATAATCCAAAAGAACAGAGTTCTAAAGCTGTCCCCACAGGAACGAACTTTATTTGAAATAGAGTGTGTGAAAGGACAGCCTAAGATTGCTCTCAAGAACAATGGAGAATTTAGTGGTAAGCAACTAAAAGGATTCTGGTAACTCCATTAGAGCAACAAATGAACCCATAATGCAGCTAGTTTACCAGGAAAAAACAGAAAACAAACAAACAAACAAAACAAGAAAGAGACAGCTAAGAGCAGCCCTTCTGGAGTCAAAACAAACCTTATAGATTTGCCTCAAAAACTACCACTGCAAAGAGGCTTGACGTCAACTGGATTAGACTGTGGGACAATATATGCCCCCAGGGCATTATTGAAATGAATGAGGCAACTGGCTAGCAATTAGTGAGGCTAACAGCTGGGTGTGATACCAGCAGACACAGACAGCTTAATAGAAAGATCAGACTGGCGTGGTGGCTCATGCCTGTAATCCTAGCACTTTGGGAGGCCAAGGCGGGTGGATCACCTGAGGCCGGGAGTTTGAGACCAGCCTGGCTAATGTGGGGAAACCCCATCTCTACTAAAAATACAAAAATTAGCTGGGCATGGTGGCAGGTCCCTGTAATCCCAGCTACTCAGGAGGCCGAGGCAGGAGAATTGCTGGAACCCAGGAGGTGGAGGTTGCAGTGAGCCGAGATCATGCCACTGTACTCTAGCTTGGGCAACAGAGTGAGACTTCATCTCGGAAAAGAAGAAGAAGAAAGATCAGGGAAATGGGGGTGGAAGAATGTGACAGTACCTAATTTCTACAATATATTATCTAAAATGTCCAGTTTTTAACCAGAAATTACGAGATATGCAGAGAAACAGAAAAATATGACCTATACATGGGGGGAAAACGTGGGCAACAGTAACTGCCTGAGAGGGTCCACATGTCAGATTTTAACAGACTTTAAGGCATAAGGCAGCCATTATAAATATGTTCAAAGAATGAAAGGAAGTCATGCTTTTAAAAGTATGATGACAATATTGCATCAAATAGAGAATAGCAATAAAGAGAGAAAAATTACATTTATATTTTTAAAAGCTGAGCCAGACATGATGGCATGTGCCTATAGTCCCAGTTACTCAGGAGGCTGAGGTAGGAGGATTGCTTAAGCCCAGGAGTTCAACCCCAGCCTGGGCAACAGAAAGAGACCTTGTCTCTTAAACAAACAAAACAACTGAATAGAACTTCTGGAGTAAAAGTATACAATAATTGAAATTTAAAAGTAACTCAAGGGCCTTAACAGAAGATTTGAACAGGCAAAAGAAAGAATCAGCAAACTTGAAGATAGAGGATTGGAAATTATGCAATCCAAAGAACAGAGAGGAAAAAGGGAATAAAGAAAATGTATAGAGTCTCAGAGAAATGGGGAACACCATTAAACATAGCAATATATGCATAATAGAATTACTAGGAGAGGAGAGAGAGAGAAAAGGGCAGAAAAAATGCTCAAAGAAATAATGACTGAAAACTTCCCAAATTTGGTGGAAAACATTAATCTACACCTTTCAGAAGCTCAACAAACTCCAAATAGAATGATCACAAAGAGATCCACACCCTGATATATCATGGTAAAACTGCTTAAATAAAAAAAGAGACAAAAACGAAGGGAAAATTTTGAAAGCAGCAAATATATGACTAGGTACATACAAGAGAACTCCAATAAGATCAACGTTTGACTTCTCATTAGAAACCATAAAGGACAGAAGGCAGTGGAGTGGCATATTCTAAGTGCTGAAGGAAAAAAGAAACTGTCAACCAAGAATCATGCATCCAACAAAACTGTCTTTCAAAACTGAGATAAAGAAATTCAAAAATACACAAAACTTGAGAGAATTGTTTCTAGCAGTGATGTCTTACAAGAAATATTAAAGGAGGCACTTCAGAAATAAATTTAACCAAAAATTTGCAAAATGTATACTTTAAAAACTATAAAATGTCATTGAAAGAAATTCCAGAAGGCCTTAACAAGTGGAAAAGCTTCCCATGTTCTGTTCATGGAGCAGAAGACTTATTGTTAGTATGGCAGTGCTCTCCAAATTGATCAATAGATTCAATGCAAAAGATGTTCAACATTAGTTATTAGAGAAATGCAATCAAAACCACAATGAGATACCTCTTTACACCCACTACAATGACTAAAATTAAAGACACACAATAACAAGTACTGGTAGGAATGTGGAGAAATTGAAACCCTCATTCATTGCTGTTGGGATTGTAAAATGGTGTAGCCACTTTGGAAAGCAGATTAGGAGTTCTGCAAAAGGTTGAGTATATACTTACCGTATGACCCAACAATTTCACTACTATGTATATACCCCAAAGAAATGAAAACATGTACACACAAAATGTTGTACATGAATGTTCACAGCAGCATTATTCATAGTAGCCAAAAAGTGGAAACAACCCAACTACTTATCAACTGATGAACAGATCATTGAAAACGTGGTAGACCCAAACCGTGAAATATATATATATATATATATATATATATATATATATATATATATATATATATATATATAGTTGTTGTTGTTGTTGTTGTTGAGATGGAGTCTCACTTTGTTGCCCAGGCTGGAGTGCAGTGGTGTGATCTCAGCTCACTGCAACCTCCACCTCCAGGCTCAAGCAACTCTCCTGCCTCAGTCTCCCAAGTAGCTGGGATTACAGGCACGTGCCACCGTGCCCAGCTAATTTTTGCATTTTTAGTAGAGACAGGGTTTCACCATGTTACCCAGGCTGGTCTTGAACTCCTGACCTCAGGTGACCCACCCGCCTCGGCCTCCCAAAGTGCTGGGATTACAGGTGTGACCCACCGCACCCAGCCCAAACCATGGCATATTATTAAACCATAAAAAGTAATGAAGTGCTGATACACTGCACAATGACATGGATGGACTTAGAAAAGGAGCTAAGTATAAGAAGCCAGTCATAAAACACTATATATTGTATGATTCCATTTATATGAAATGTCCAGAATAGGCAAATTCATAGAGACAGAAAGTAGATTAGTGGTTTCCAGGGGCTAGAGGAAGTAGCGAATGAGGAGTGACTGCTAACAGGTATGGGTTTTCTTTCAAGGGTGATGAAAATTCTAAAATCAGATCATTGCTGATGGTTGCTGAAGTCTGTGAATATACTAAAAATGATTGATTTGTATACTTTAAAAGAGTAAATGTTATGGTGTATAAATCATATCTCAATAAAGTTGTTACAAAAAAGTAATTAACTAGCCATGTTTGTTTTTGTTTTTCTTTGTTTTGTTTTTTCATATTGTCAAGGAATTCCCAGCTTTAAGTCACAATCAAGTGACAAAGATAGAACTGGGGTGGATGTATAGTCCATTATTAACTACTACTTCTTACTTTTCTCTAGAATAAAGGATAACTATGAGAGGATACTATAGAAATCAATCTTTTATTCTTAAAAGGACCATTGCTAATTTTTCACTCACAGTCATCTCTGGGATTGAATTCCATTTATCAAATCCCTTTTATAAGAGCTTTTCTAGCTTTTAGTAATGGACTGGAATAATTTTTATTTCTTAGAATTTCTTTCTCTTAGTCAGATTTAAGTGTAACCTGCTTTGCTTATTCGTCCATGTGTTCCAAGTCATGATTTTGCTCAGGACAAATAAAATGCTCTACTAGTATGAGCCTGGTAGAAAGGGAACTACCATTTAATGAGGCCTGTAATGTGTCAGACGCTCCACTGATATTTCCCATCCAATGCACACAACAAACCTAGGAGCAGGTATTATTGTCATCTTTTTGAAGGTGAAGAAGCAGGCTAATAGAGGTGAATGGATTGCCCAACATCACACAGTCCAAAGTTGCAGACCCCGAGAAAGCCTGTGTTCTTTGCTGAACACCAGGCTACCTTCCAGCGTTCTCAGTTCCGTGCAGGTCAGACGGGGTTCACTTATCTTTATGGTCCTTTATAGCTCTGGTAAAAACTAAAACTGCCAGACTTTGGCTACTTGGAGAGTTAGTTCAAGGCTGAGGGTGATTTTCCAAGTGCAATGCGTGATACTCCTCAGCCCAAGAACCACATTTTCCAGGCTGATTTTCTATGACTCCTAATTAATTGTTCAATATTCATTCAACAATTTGTTAAGCACCCACTGTGTGCCTAGCACTGTGCAAACACTAGTCATCTAAAATATGATTATACGGATTATTCAGGTTTTAGAACTCTGTCCTTCTGCTGGAGGATGGTGAGGAGGGGGTGCCTCTTTCCTCTCTAGCCAAAGAGCAAGGGTGAAGTGGCCCAGAACAGCGCCCACCCCACCCAGGGCTGCTGGCCTCATGCATGCACATGTGCACATCTGTCCTGTAAAGTATGCTTGACCTTGAGCTTTGTGAGGGCAGGGACCATGTCTTTCTTGTGCCCTACACAGAGCCTGGCCTGGAGCAGGTAGGTGCTGAATGTCAGTTGAATCAATGATTAAGCAATTTTTTTTTTTTTTTTTTTTTTTTTTTTTTTTTTTTTACCAATTCACTAGGAGAACTTGGGCTGGTTGCTTTATTGCTCTGTGCCTTCATTTCCTCATTTGTAAAACAAGGATAAGAGTACCCATCTCACATGCCAACCCTGAGATCCCCTGAGATAATACACGGCACTCAGTGAGCACTCCACACACTGTTACTGTCTTTCCCATTACTCCCTTTACTATAGGGAGCCATGGGAAGCGGCACATCCTTCTATGCCAAGAGTGACCTCCTATCCCCTATTACCTTGTCACCTGGATTTTTGTTTCTTAAATTAGAGCTGAAGGCCATGCGGCCCAGCTAAATGGAGCTCACTCTGCTCTGTTGTGAGAACCTTGGTCTGGGACCCTGCTGATGGGACAGACATAGTAACCCCGGGAGGCCCCATCAGAGGGGCAGGGAGAGGGGAGGTAAGCTATGTTTCAGAAATGTTAGGATTTGACTTGAAAGCACACCCCCAAAGCAATGCCAGCCAGCTCCTTACCAGGACATCTGCCATTAGCCTCTGAGCTGGTCATGTGTATGTATGTGTGTGTGCATGTATGTACAAACATGTGCAGGGACCCACAGGGACAGGTCTGTCCCATCAAGGAAAACACTGTCTCCCACTGGGCCCGCCATGTCACTGTTAACCACAGGGAGGTTTTGTGGCCCTGGCTAGCGGAGACCCAAGACATATCCCTCAAACCTGAAGGGCCCAGGGGCAGGCAGGGCCGGTTTCCTAAGAAAAGCCTTTTCTAAAGGACCCCTCTTAGGACTGGCAGCTGATTTACTGGACTCTAGCCCTTCGCTCCAGGTAGAACTTCATCTGCCAATCCTGTGTCCTAATACCAGGCCCCTCACAGCTTTCCAAAAAGACACTTGCGGCACCATAACTCCCCAAAGGAGAGCCCAGCCCTAGAATCAACCATGGGCAGCCATGCAGTCTAGCTGCCTTCCCCTGCTGGTTGTAAGCAGGGTCTCCAAAGGCAGATGGCACCCCTCATGGGCTTGGGGCAAACGGCCACTGCGTGTGCATGGCTCTTCCTGTGCTGCATGATGCTGACAGGGCTTCTTGGGCCCCTCTTCAGGGAGGGAATGGGACCGAAAGCCATCGATGCAGAGCCTACAGGAAGGAGAATGATGGGAGATGGCCCTCACCTCACCCCCCTTCCCAGTGTCCCCATTCAGAACTCCTGCATCTGCTTCATTTCCTGGAGGCCAGGTTTGATCCCCTGCCAGGGCCAGCTTCATGGGCATGCAACTGTGCAGTCACACAGAGCGCCACACTTGGTTTCAATGCTTTGCCATTGCTGTATTGAAATTCTTAATAATTTTTGACCAAGGAGTTCTGCATTTTCAGTTTGCCCTGGACCTTGCAAATTAAGTAGCCAGTTCCCAGTCCTACCCTTTGCTCATGCAATGCCTGGCTCCACATCTAACAGCCTTCCATTCCTTTCTATCTCTAAATCCTATCTATCCTGCCCTAAGGCAAAGTCCAGACAGAAAAATATTTGACAGACTACAAAGGAGAGCACATTATATTTGAAAGAGCTTTTCTGCTCAACTGCAGATGGAATGATGATGGTTGGCATGTTAATGCCTCTACCAATCTTGAGTTCTTCTTGGCTCAGTCTGAGGCTAAAGGCTGTGATGGAGGCCTTCTACTCCTAGTCCTGGGTAATTGTCTCCTGGTATCACATTCCTTGAAGAAGTGTAGGGCATCATATTTAATAAGCTCATTTTGTCCTGCCTTAGGGAGTATAGGTCCAAAGCAGGACACTGGTACAAGATTGGGTTCTGAGGCCCAAGTAGGTATCTATCATGCTCATTTACTTGCTATGACTTCAGACAAATCCCATTCTCACAGTCTCAGTTTAATCTTCTGCAAAATGGGTCACACCACATCATGAGGCTTTGGGCCTCAATTGCTCATCTCTCTAAGTCAGAAGCAGAACCCAAGCTTTTATCTGAAGCTTTGGACAATTATTTTTGGAGGGAGATGGCCATGAATGCAGGCACACGTCCTGTTTACCACTTCCGGTCTATGGACTGGCAGAACACATTAATCTGGCCATACAGTTTTAGAGGATTCATTTCCCTTTCTCCTGAAGCCCATGCAAGAGCCCCAGGCGAGGCAATCCTGCTCTGGGTACAGTCTGAGATTTATCCTTGGATTGTGCCTGAGCAGCAGAGCGCTAACTTCCTGGCCCGAGTTGTTTTTCTTCTGCAGAGCTGTGTTGGGCGTTGCCTGTGGCCAGCATTTGAGCACTGTGACAGGCGGCCTCATGAATCTTGCTATTGTCTCTAGGACAGGACTATTCTCGAGGACATTATCCTCAGCATCACAGAGTGGCTCCTTTGTGGAAGAAGTACATAGGAGACACTTCTTTCGGATCTCAGTATTCAGAACAACTGTGCTTCTGCGAATAAGCAGACTACTTCGGATACTGTAACCCTTCTGAGAGCTGAGCTGCTGGGATACGCAGAGCCAGTTTTGGAGCCCCGTCTGGCAAGCAGGCAGGCCCGTGGACAGGATAGTCTAGGGTCAGTCTTACCCCAGGCTTGGTTTTTGCAACTTCCCTCCTCTTTATTTTCCATTTTCCCCAATTCCCTTAGCTTTTTGTTTTACATTTTTCTCTTGTGTGTGTCTTTATAAACACCTCTGTCTGCTGCAGAATAAGGTGTGATATAAATATGTGAGTTTGTGCTTAAATCCACCACACTTTCAAGGGAGTTGTGAGGATTCAGAAGGAATTGTTTGGCGAATGCAGTAAAAGCAGCCCCATCCAAGATGGAGCTAGGGCTGGGTGGGAGGCAGGGGTCTTTCCTCCAGACTGGATCATCTCGCCACAGACAGCAGCCCCCAAAACCCAAGCCCAAAGTGCTCATTGGCATCTGTTTGTTTATTTATTTGTTTTTAATAAATGAAAGGTCACTAAACACACTTTGAAATTTTTGTCACCTCCCTTGAGATGTTGCTTAATTGACTTAAGTCAAACTGAAACTCTGGCTGAAACTCATTTTGTAGATGCACTGGCAGGGACTTGTTAGGGCAGCAGCATCCCACAGACCCTAGGGAATGGGAGGGACCACACTTCTGGAAAGACTGGATGGGAAGGAGGGTGTAGGGATGTAGGAGGGGAGCTAGGGAGCCCTGGAGAGGAGTAAGTAGGCCCCAGAACGATGGGGCCCCGAATCAGGCCACAAGCTTGGCCTAGGCGTGAGTGGACCAGGGACCACATGATTTCTCAGAGGGGCCTGCTCAGAAAATAAAGTCACAGAGCTCCTGGAACCACTTGCACTTTTCAACAAGGGAAAAGAAATTTTACGCCTGGACCAAGTGGCCATGCCCTCTGCCCTGCCCTTTGGGCTTTTCAAACACCTCCCCTCCGCACTAGGCTGGCTTCTGAAGATGCAGTGCCACCTTTACTTTGGACTGCCTCACAGCTGAGGGGTCACCAGTCACAGCCATGGCCTTGGCTGGCTTCTTGCTATGTAATGCGAGCGGAGTAGGAGCATCACCCTCCCTTTCCAAAGAGGATCCTGAGTTTCAGGGAGGGCAGTGACCTGCCCCAGGTTACTCTCCCCAGTCCCGGCACAGGCCAGTCAAACCCAGGGCTGCAAGGCCTATGCCCTTTGTACAAAGGCAATATCCTGGCCCAGGGGAGGAGAGTCTGCCCGCCAGCCGTGCTAATATTCCCTCAGAGCTGGGCTGGGGTTGAGGTCTGCCTCAGGGTTGGGCTCACGCTTCATGCTGTCTTCCTTGGCAGTGGAATCTGGTGTGTGAGGACAACTGGAAGGTGCCCCTCACCACCTCCCTGTTCTTCGTAGGCGTGCTCCTCGGCTCCTTCGTGTCCGGGCAGCTGTCAGACAGGTAAGCACATGGGAGGGGAGGAAGGTGGGATGGTGCCCCTTGTCAATCACTGCCTATCTTGGGGCTGGACTGAATTCAGGGTATTTCTACCCAGAGAAAGGGAGGACCCTCAGGCCACTGATTCAGTGATAGGAGGAGCCCCGATGTCTCCTATTCACCCCGCCCTCAGTCCCCTTCACCTGGACACACTTTTGTTCCATTCTCCCAGCCTCATGCTCCCAGGGCTTTGGCCAGTGGTGGGGAGGGGCCACTGACCCCACTGGAAAGTGGGGTCCTCATACCACAGACTCCTTGACAAAACATGACGCTGCCATCACCACTGCCCTCCCTGCTCCACCACCACCTCAGGGGTAGGGGTGGATGGCACAGGATCTGTCTGCAAACAGCCAGCAGCCAGACAGTGAGCCCCAACTGTGCACACACTGCTGCTGTGGCTTGGACCCTGGGCCAGGCACTGGGGCCACAGAGCTGATGCTGGCTCTGACCCTCATAGAGCTTACAGGCCTGAGGAGGCAGCATCACAGCACCAGGAGACAGTATTCCACAGGCCCCTGTATGTGCTGGGTGACCAGTGCAGGAAGGTGGGGGTACTAAATGGCAATGCTGGGGAAAGCCTCCCAGCCCAAGCCAACAGCCAGAGACATGAGTTTGGAAAATGGGGCGGGAAAGGCTGTTCTGCTCACACCTGTGCTCCATTCTATCCACTGGTCACTACCAGAATGTGAAGATAATACTTAAAACAACTTCAGTGTCACCAACAGACATTGCTGAAAGCTACACCTTCCCACAGAGCAGTGGTTTGCAATTTTTGTTGCACGCTACTCATCTGGGAAACTTTCCCAAATCCTAATACCCAAACTGTATCCCAAAATCTTGGGAGGTGGGGTGCTGGCATCAGTATTTTTTCCAAGCTCTCCGGGTGATTCCAAGTGCAGCCAAGGTTAAAAACCACTTGCAGAGTGACTCTTAGTTCTGGATTTACAGAATTTTCATGTTGCTGATTCAAGAAATATCTGCAATCTGTGCTGTACCCACTTTCCAGAAATGTGCTGGTAGCATCTATCTGTGGCTCCTTCTAAAGAGCATATTTCCACAAGGTCCTTGCGTACACTGCTCCATGCTTTTGAGACATGGTGTCTCCACAGGAAGCTGAGAATCTCAAAAGATATCTCCTGAGCAGATGGATGCCTGAGACCTCACCAAGGAGGAAGATGGGAGGATGTGACAGAGAAAAAAGTCTGCCAGAGCCCTGAAAAAACACTAAGTCTGCATTGATGCCTGACTCAGGGCTTGCAACACACCTTGGCAACCTACACATCTCATGTTTTGTGTTATACTGCATTCTCTAGGTTTGGCAGGAAGAACGTTCTCTTCGCAACCATGGCTGTACAGACTGGCTTCAGCTTCCTGCAGATTTTCTCCATCAGCTGGGAGATGTTCACTGTGTTATTTGTCATCGTGGGCATGGGCCAGATCTCCAACTATGTGGTAGCCTTCATACTAGGTAGGAATGGCTTCTGGGACATGGGGTGCTTCCCTCTAACCCTCTGAAAGGCCCAGAAAGAGGAAATCATTGGGCCATTGGGCTGTGCTTCCAAAGCCTTTGGATATATGTGTCTTGGGAGGGAGCCGTAGCCACAGCTCTTGGAGCAAGTCAGGGGCAGGGCAGGCACTCGCAGGGAGCCACCTCTGTGCTGAGCCCTGAAATGTGGTGGAGAAGAAGAGCAGGAGCCATTAAGAACCAGCTGCACAACAGCTGAGACACATTCTCTGGAGCACAGGGCTTAAGAGAGGCACAGAGGAGGACAGTTTAGGGGAAGGGCAGCCTGAGGATGTCTTTGATCTGAGTTGTGTAGGCTTGAGACTTCTTCCTGGTTGCTTGTGAAGAGACTTAGGGTAGTCACTGTGGCCAGTACACAGGTGGGGAGGCTCATGTCAGACAGGGGGAGTTCAGTGCCAGCCCGCCATCACTGGGCCTATCTGGCCTCACCCTGAGTTAGAGCCCACCCCAGAGCCTATCAGCTAAGCACAGGACAAGCCTCCCCACACTGATAGCCCCATCTCCTGTCAGGCTGCATGAGGAAGACTCATCAGTTACAAGGTCATGAAGAGGTCCCTGGGGCCCTCAGCAGCTTTTCCTGGGAGGGAGTTAGGTGAGCTCCAGGCGAGTTGATGAGGGTCATCCACAGGAGTGAGAGAGTGTGTTCTCTTGAGCCCAGCGAATGGGCAAATGAGAGAAGCAGAGGTGAGGGGTATCCCTGGGACAGTAGACACCAGTTCCCATCATCTCTAGGGTGATAATATATTCTAGGTGGCTCAGTACCATCCCAATTTGTCCCTATTGTCACAGTGTCATTATTAATAATACTCCTTTAATAGAAGTCTAACGATTCTTCTTGCCTCAAAAGTCCGAATCTGGTTAGGTGACTCTGATTGCTTTTTAAGAGTCTGAAGGACTCGTTGGCTTTGGAGATGCTGCACTGTCTTAATTGATGGTGTGTACACCTTCTGTCAAGTTGCCAGGATGGAAATATTCCAACTCTACTCCTTTAATTATTTGCGAAGAGCCCCGTGCCATGGGCTCAGCCTCAGTGTCTGCAGAGGGGAGAAGGGAGGAGACAAGGTGGGAAGAACATGCTGGAGCCACATGGTCCCAGCAGGTAGCACACTCTTCAGCAGGCCCCAGCGGGAGGAGGCTGCTCCCCTTCCTGCAGGGGGAAGGAGCGGGGCAAGATTTTCTTGAAGATCATTTGTGTAGAGGGCACAGGGAGCTTCAGGCCAGTGTTGTTGGAAACTGGAGGTTGGAGGAACTTAAGATAGAAATTGCAACCTCCTAGTCCCCAGTGGCTCCAAGAACACAAGGCAAAGCCTATTGTCTTCATGTTCAAAGTCCCCAGAATCCATCTTCCATGTGACGATCCTCCCTAAGCCTGAAAAACCCAACATGTGGCTCTGCTTGGGCCAGACACATACCAAAAGCCAAACAGGCCTCCCCAAAACGGAGGACTCTGACCAGCAGGCCCATATCCCAGGAGGACCTGAAGGACCATCTGGAACAGAAGGGTAGAGAGTCACGGTGAAGCCAGAGAAGCTCTCTCCGTGGGAATGGGAACAAGGTGGGACTTGTGCCAGGTGGTGGCATCCCCGGTTCTATAGAATGGGCAGCACTGAGATCTGCCTTTTTAGTGGCACAGGGTGATTCTGGAGCCTCCAAGCCTCCCCTGTGTGAGCGGGTGAGGCAGGGAGAGCATACCCCAGGCTTCCTACAGGAAAGGGCTGCCCTCCCCCGCCGGCTCTGACACTATCATCTACTCTCCTCCCAGTTCCCATGCAGCATGTGGTCCCACATGCAGGGTGAAGAAGGGTAAGAGGGCCAAGGGGAAAGTAAGGCCATGGAAGATCAGTCAAGCCAGCCAGTCAGTAGGTAAGACCCTGGGTGCAGCAGCCTCGCTATCAGCTGGGATCCAGGCCTCTCAGGGCTTGCTATCAGCCTGGGGCCAGGCCTGTTATAGGGTGCTCTGGGAGCCTCTTCATGGTAGTTTTACTCCATTGTGCTCTGCAGGAAATTACTGGCTTTTGTATCCTGGTATGAGACTCGTTGTGTTGGGTTCTCAGGTCTGAAAGTTTAAGTGTCCCTGAAAACCAGCCTGCTCTGGAATGGCTGGACGCCCCAGTCAGCACCTGGGGTTGGGGGACACAGTACAAAGGCAAGGTGGCTGCTAGCTTCCCTACAGTGCAGCAGTGCTCTCTGGTGTTTCTGGGATAAAATAGCTGAATTCCAGGTTGTATTTGACTAAAATAAACCAAAGGGTGTGGTCTGGGCTGAGGAGTTTGGTAGGTGCCTTCGCTTCCACCCTCTGGCCCTAAGGAAGGGTTGGCAAAGCTCTGCATGATAATTTCACATTAACTTGGGAAGCCAAATTACTCCCACTGTCAAAGTAGTGCAGAAATGAGTCCTTGTTTTGTGCTGCTTTTAAAAAATGATCAAGGCTGCCACAGTCGTAGCAGACTAGAAAAGAGAAAGAAAGAACAGTGCTACCCTACACAGCATAAAGCAGACATGCCTGGAAGTGATGGTGTTGCCGGAATGATGCTGGTTTAGGAGGAAATGACCACTCGGGACCAAGGACACTAACCCTACCCACGTTCCAGCTCCCCTCACAATCTCCTACTGTTGCCCAGAAATAATGCCCTCCACCTGTCAATAGCCTTCTGGGTAGAATGCCATCAGTATCCTCTCTTATCCCCCATAACTAGCTGCTTAAACACAAAAAGTGTTTCTGTATTTAATAACACAGAAAAAACTCTTGACTGATTCATTAATTCAGTATTTTTCAGTACTTCTAACATCAACCTCCATGTGACATTTCTTTGGGCATGCTGAACCATTTAAAGCTTTGCTTCCTCTGATGTCTAGAGGTTCCTCCTTTTGATAGGTGTGTAAGTGATGGCATCTTCCTTTACAACTCTGGCTACCAGGAAGCTCAGGCAAATTTGAAATTTAACTACATCAATGATGCAGCTTTTACCAGCCACATATATATATATTTTTTACTGTTTTTAAATTGAACAGTTGAAATATAATTTTGTCTTCGCCTGTTTAGGATGCCGTAACAAAATCCTATAGGCTGGGTGGTTTAAACAACCAAAATTTATTTTCCACAGTTGTGGAGGGTAGAAGTCCAAGATCAAAGTGCCAGCAGGGTTGGTGTCTGGTGAGGGTTCTCCCATTGGGTTGCAGATGGCTGCCTTCTCCCTAAGTCCTCACATGGTCTTTCCTCTGCGCAAGTGCTCAGAAAGAGGGAAAGCAAGAAAGAGAGAGTGAGCCATAGAGAGCTCACTCTCTGGTGTCTCTTCTTGTAAGAACACTAATCCTATACCCTATCAGGTCAGGGGATCAATGTATGAATAATAGAGGGACACAAACATTCAGTCCATGACAGATTTGCATACCATGATATTCACACTTTTAAAGTGTATAATTCAGTGGTGTTTAGCATATTCACAAAGTTGTACAGCCATCAACACTATCTAACTCCTCATCACCCTGAAAAGAAACCCTATACGAATTAGCAGTCATTTCCCTCTTCCCCTCGCCCCTGGCAACCACTAATTTACTTTCTGCCTTTAATGGATTTCCCTATTCCGCACATTTGATATAAACAGAATCATATATTATGTGGCCTTTGTGACTGACTCCACTTGTTTTCAAGGTTGATCCATGTTGTAACATGAATTAGTATTCCACTGGATGAAGACAACACATTTCGGTCATCCATTCATCAGTCATTGAACACCTGGGTGTTTCTACTTTGGGGCTGTTATGAATAATGCTATGAACATTGGAGAATAAGTATTTTTGTGGATATATGTTTTTAATTCTCTTGGGTATAAGGTAGGACCTCTGCTGGGTCCTATGGTGATTCTATATTTAACCTTTTGAGGAACTGCCAAACTGTTTTCAAAATAGTCAGCTGCGTATTTTTGATCTTTTCACCAAGGCACAACTTTTTACTTTTCTTTATATCTTACTTTAATGTTACCATTATTTTATTGTATTTAAATTTGAAGTTGCCTCAAAATCTCCAAGGGATGAGCTGGCATATAAATACGTAAACATGATGCAGAAATTTGCTGGCATACCTTATTTGCATTGCACCGTAAGAGGGAAGAACTGGGGAGACCCAGGGAAGAGCAAGAACTTACTCCTGTCTATTCACAAGGAGCTCACTGCCTGGTTGTGCCTCTGCAGCCAATGCAGCTGTCACTGTGGACATGGGGACATGGGTCAAGGGAGTGGGGCACATATTGCTGGGTATACACAGAGATAGGAAATGTTACTTTTGACTGGAGTGATTGGTGCAGACAGAGGGGAAGCCCTGAGCAGGGGAACATCTGTTAAGCCCTGAAGAGGAGTTCTGTCTTCCACTGGGCCTTTTTGGATCAAAAGCATTGTACTTTCCATCACTCCCCTGACATGTAGCACATTTCAACTGCTTGATCAGGATAAAGAATAACTATTACTGAGCACCTGCCACATGCCAGACACCCTCCTAGGCACTTTGCATACATGATCTCAGTCTTCATAATAATATCTCCATGAAAGACGGCTTATCACAGTCACTCTAGTAGCAACTCAGCATCAAGGAACCCAGGTTCTCCCCGTGCCAGATGGAGGACACTCCTAGCCCATGGTTCCTGGGTCTCGCCTCATATCCTGGCAGCTGCACTACAGTCTTGTTTCTTGAGCTGGGGTCTACTGAGAGCCTATGTTGGTCATTTATGAAGGTGCATGTCCTGCCTCTGTGTGGAATGGGCCCAGCGGTTCCTGGGGCAGGTACTGCTCTACATGGAAGGCAGCCTGGCCCTCTCTGAGTCACTCCCTCTTGGAGAGAGTGCTCAGATTCAGAGGGGTGTGACAGGTGGTGGGCAATACTCCTAGGGCTATGCTGGCCCTCATCCTAGCCAGGTCATGTCCCTTTGGCTTAGATGTCAAAGTTTCACTCCCAGGAGAAACTCAGAAGCCCAGCCAGACCAAGACCAACCAGGCTTTGCCCTAGAAGCAAAGCAGGCAGAAGAGGCAGATAGAGCATAGGGGGCCAGGACAGGGATCCCCCGTCAGCACAGCAGGAGTCACTGCTGTGTCATCTGTTTCACTGCCACATGGAAAGCTCATGGCAGCTGCAGGCCATAAAAGATCTGTGTAATCAGGGTTCTCTCCTAGCATTACTCAGAGGGGTCTGGCTGGCTTCCAGTGACAAGCCAAGGAAGGGAAAATGTAAATCCACTTCTGAAAGGGGGATAAGGTGGGTGGATCACCTGAGGTCAGGAGTTCAAGACCAGCCTGGCCAACATGGCAAAACCCCGTCTCTACTAAAAATACAAAAATTAGCCGGGCATGGTGGCAAGCGCCTGTAGTCCTAGCTACTTGGGAGGCTGAGGCAGGAAAATCGCTTGAACCCAGGAGGAAGAGGTTACAGTAAGCTGAGATTGCACCACTGCACTCTGGCCTAGGCAACAGAGCACAAGTCTGTCTCAAAAAAAAAAAAAAAAAGAAAAAAAAGAAAAACTGTAAAAATGACAGCAGGATATGGCCTTACCCATCTCCCCTCATGTCTCTACTGGACTCTCAGTTGAAGAACTGCTTTATAAGGCCAAGTCATGCCCCCAGTAATTTTTTTCTTGGAAGGTAGACCAGTATCCATAGAGCAAATAAGGCTTAAATCCTGGTGCACCACTTATTATGTGCATGAATTTAAGCAATTGGCTTTAACTCTGAAGTCTCAGCTAATTATGTGTAAAGTAGGAGGAATATTAGCTTTTGTTTTAGTTTTTGTTTTTGTTTGAGATGGAGTTTCGCTCTTGTTGCCCAGTCTGGAGTGCAGTGGCATGATCTCGGCTCACTGCAACCTCTGCCTCCTGGGTTCAAGCGATTATCCTGTCTCAGCCTCCCGAATAGGTGGGATTACAGGTGCCTGCCACCATGCCTGGCTAATTTTTGTATTCTTAGTAGAGACAGGTTTCATCATATTGGTCAGGCTGGTCTCAAACTCCTGACCTCAGGTGATCTGCCTGCCTTGGCTTCCCTAGTGCTGGGATTACAGGCATAAGCCACCGTGCCTGGCCTGGAATATTAGTTTTTATATAACTGGTGTGAAGGGTCAAAGAGATAATATATGTAAACACTTAGCCTGGAACCTGTCTCAAAGTACCTACTCAAAAAAATGCTAGCTGTGAAGATGGTGATCCTGTTTAAGGAAGGGTGACTGCCTAAAAGAGAGCAGAAAGTAGGACTAAAAAGGAATTATTTCAATTTGTACCATCCATGCTGTCCACAGGAAGGCAAAGAGAGAGACCTACAAAGTCTCTGTCCCCAACATGCACTCTGCAAAGTTATATAACTGTTCTGGTCTGAGACCCATGCTTAGAGAGGGAGATTATCCAGGAACCCAGTAGTATAACTTCTCTTTTCTTAACAAGGTCATGAAGGTAGGAGAAAGCTCCTCTGGCCTCACAATTCTACAAGATTCTCACTTGATCCTGCGCCCTTTCTCTTTTCCAAAATCAAACCCTCTGCCACTGAATCTCTGCTTAAGAATAAAGCACCTTCTATTTATTTCCACATCACAATCACGGCCAAGGGGTTTAGAAACCAGTGCATAGCAGGAAGGTCATTAATGAGGTCAGAAAAGACCTGGAAATCATACTCATGATCCTCAAAGAAGTCAGGCCCTATCCTTGGAAATGGGTTTATAGGCTGAGCAATGCTCTGGGTGGTTAGGGCAATTGTCTCCAACATGGGATGCAGGAGGCACAAAGTACTGGCTGTTTCTATCAGTCCAGGTTTTTAAATGGCCTCTTGAGAGGGACCCACTGAGGCAGATCTCTCAGTTATGAACAGTGAAGGGGAATGAGTGGGGTGGGATGGGAACAGATAGGTGGTAAAATGAGAAACCAGCCAACATAGTAATTTTGCTGCTTCTCTGGAATTAGCTCTTAATCCCTTAGCCTGTGCCTAGGGCATATAAACATGACTGAGAAAATCTCTCTTAAAAGGCAAGCATGAATGACCTTTGAATTATCTGTTTTGTATCTTCCAGGCCACTTCTCTATAGCATGGGCAGATCCCCAACAAAAGGCAGAGCCATTGCCATTGGTCACATCTCCGCCCCAGGTGTAGTGAACCAAGGGCAGACTCTGTGGAAAGGGCCCAGAGCTCCGTGACAAGAGAAGGAGCTTTGTTCTTGGACTCCCATCTGGTGCCATCTCTGCTCACTGTGGCACTGAGCAGAGCAGAGGCCAATAGTCGCCTGCATGTCCTTTCCCAAAAAGCAGTGCCCGCACCAAGCAGTCATGGGCCTTTCTGCTGTTCAGGGAAAGCACTGTGAGTTCAATGGGTGTGTGGACAGGTCTAGGGCTGCTGCCTGCAGGGGCAGCAGAACAGCGCCTGCTTTTCTTTCCTTGGTCCAAATGGACTGTGGACTGTGTCTGCCTGGGCTGATCTCTGGGCACAGCATGCTGCAGGAAGGCCTGTCTGTGTACCTCCAGAGCCAGCTCACTCCAACTGATTTCTCAGGGCTCAGGCATGGGTAAGTGTGCCCTGAGGTCTTGGAAATGATGAACTCTCCACTGCTTCCTGATGGGCCAATGTCTGTTTATTTACAGTTCAGAACTGTTGGAAAGGCTACACACACCTTGACCCCACATGGCCCCTCAGAAGAGCCACTGCTTGTCTCCTGAAATGCTCTCTCTGCTTCTCATGTTGGGGCTCTTATTTTGGAAATGTGGCATTCTCAGAAGGGATTAGCTCTTGGGGCTGGGCATGATATTTTTATGACATGGAATGGCCTTAAAATAAGTTGGCCAGGCGCGGTGGCTCATGACTGTAATCCCAACATTTTGGGAGGCCAAGGCAGGTAGATCACTTGAGGTCAGGAGTTCAAGACCAGCCTGGCCAACATGGCGAAACTCTGTCTCTACTAAAAATACAAAAATTAGCCAGGCGTGGTGGTGCACGCCTGTAGTTCCAGCTGTTCGGAAGGCTGAAGTGGGAAGGTCACTTGAGCTTGGGAGGCAGAGGTTGCAATGAGCTGAGATCACGCCACTGCACTGCAGCCCGGGCAACAGAGGGAGACTTTGTCTCAAAAATAATAATAATAATAATAAATTAATTAAAAATAAATAAATAAATCTATGGCTCCATTAAAATCTCATAGAAATTCAACCTTCTATAAGTTGCCAAGTCTTGGATCACGTCCCACCTTCCTCTACCCTGACCATGCCTGCTCTGGGCCATGAGGCAAATGCCTTTCCCCTTTTCTAAGTGGTGATAGTTTGAACTCTAACTGCCACATAATGATATAAAAAGCAAATATTAAAGTGAGTTAATATGCTAATACTCCTCCCTTGTTTTGAACAGGAACAGAAATTCTTGGCAAGTCAGTTCGTATTATATTCTCTACATTAGGAGTGTGCACATTTTTTGCAGTTGGCTATATGCTGCTGCCACTGTTTGCTTACTTCATCAGAGACTGGCGGATGCTGCTGCTGGCGCTGACGGTGCCGGGAGTGCTGTGTGTCCCGCTGTGGTGGTGAGTGTGACTCGTCCCCAGACAGGCCCTCTGCTGCGGGTCAGCACACCTGGAACACACCTGGAGCCTGATGCTGACCTAGCCTGGGCTTGCATGACCTCCACGGAACTCGCGGAGGCCAGCTTCCAAGCCGGGAGAGTTTTTGCCTCATTGTGGGTGGGCCTGTGTGCTGGAGTTTGAGTCTCCATTGTCCTAAAAAGCACATTCTCAGGATTCCAATCTCTTCCTTGATACCAGCCACTCCTGTCTGTTGCTACTTGTTATTTGTGGAGCTGGTGGTGTTGGATTTTGTTGTTTTTAACTCTGCCCCCTGCTCTTTCATCACTTTTCTCTCTCTAGAAAAATCTCACTCTATCCAACTAATGTAATTCTTCAAGCTTCCCTATCATATAACGATTAGCATCTATGAAAGGGAAGCCTATTTATTAGCACTATGATAGTGTGCCTATTTATCTGCTATGTCTCGAAGAGTGAGAAAATTACTTTTTATTTAATAAATTGTTAGAGAAATGTCCTCTTCTCTCCTCCCACAACCTCCCAACTCAGTTTTAACACAACAGTTATAGGAATAACAAAGTTTGAAGATTCTGGCCTCAGTCTTGCCCAATATGACTATCTGGGGGATTTCAGGTGAAAGAATAAATTAAAAATCATAGAACAAGGTGTCAGACATACCCTCTTTTTGGAGATTTCCTGTTCCTTTGCTTTTTCATATTTAAGCAAGAGAAAAGGAGATTCCTTCCATTGGTGGGTCTGGTTCTGTCTCTCTCTCATTCTCTTTCTCTCTCATTAATTCTTCTTTGTTTGATTTCATTATATCAAAGTCAAATCTTCCAGCACTGACTGGTTTCACCGAACTGCATAACTTCTACCTGCTTACACATAACACAAGCTTCTTTGACCATTTTTTGGAACTCACAATTTAGACTAGACCTCATGGTTGCCCTGTCCTTTGGATACCTCCTGACTGGGAAGCTGTCTAGGCCTTTATCTTACTGCAGCTGTTAGGCAGTCATAGAGGTTGACAGGCAGGCCACCTGTCTGACGAGATAGCGCAGGTCAGGTGGGCTCACTCTAAGCCCCTGTATTCTCATGACCTGTAAGAGTGCTGTGATTTACTAGTGTAAATTATTGGCATGAAGTGTGCAGGGGGAGTTGACAGTTTGTTAAAGGTTATGTATTATTCTGATTTGCAACATTCCTCTGGAACCCTGTCTGAGGACCGGGAAACCCGGCCTGAGGAGCAGTGAATAAGGGCTGGCCATTATCTACATAGCTGTGCCTCCAAGGAAAGCATCCCAGACTTACAAGAGCAGAGCAATTTTCTGAATGAGAGTAATTATCATCATCATCATCTGTCCTTCTCTCCACAACTCCCTTGCTAGCTGAATTTATTGGAAAAGATGTTAGTGACTAAGGTTCTCTCAAGACACATGACAAGATTATTCAAAGGTTCTTTTCTGCCTCTTCAGCTGAATGGTTTTAATAAACTATGTTCTCTGGCTCTAGTTGTCATTTTGACCTAAGAGACCAGTACTTTCAAAATGTTATAATTAGCCAGGTATGGTGATTCACACCTGTAATCCCAGCACTTTGGGAGGCCAAGGTGGGAGGATCACTTTAGCCCAGCAGTTCAAAACCAGCCTGGGCAACATGGCAAAACCCTGTCTGTACTAAAAATAAAAAATTAGCTGGGTGCAGTGGTGAGCGCCTGTAGTCCCAGCTACTTAGGAGGCAGAGGTGGGAGGGTCCCTTGAGCCTGGGAGTTCAAGATTACAGTGCGCTATATGATCATGCCACTGCACTCCAGCCCAGATAGAATGAGATGCTGTCTCAAAAAAAAAGTTATAATCAATCTGATTAAGGTATGATTCTATCAGAGAGAAAGAGAGAGAGAGAATAACAATATAAAGCCTCTGATGGGCTGTACAGAGATTAGTAGGGATGGGATCTTTGCCTCGGGACCATATGTCACAGCGAGGAACGAACAGCTCTGATCCATTAGCCCTCCAGAGTCAGCCTCCAGAGTTTCCAGCAGAGAAGGTCCATCCCACAGGGAGCCTGCTCACTGTGCCCTAAGGAGAGCTTTTTCTTCTATTCCCCAGGAGCTGGTCCATGAATGCTCCTGGCTGTGGGCATACTGTACCAGGGACAGGACTTGCCCCAGACAGAGGCCAGCCTGGGACCAGCACTGACAAGCTGAGTGCTCCCCCTGAACATTTACCAGTGGTCTTACCATTTTCCTATAAAAGAAAATAGCTTTCTTCTGAACATCCCATCCTTGCAGGTGGGTCTTCCCAAAGGGATGCTCATCAGTCTAGTGGTTGGGGTATGGAGGGATGCTTAGAGCTGACATGGACCCTGCCGCCTGCTCAGTATGAGACAAGCTCTCCAGCAACACCTCACTGCTGTTTAGTCTGAATTCAATCTACAGAGAGATTATAGTGTGCTACCTCATTTGGCACTCCATTGACTTTTGAAATGATCAGCTAGATTTGAGATTATGTGCACCAAAAAAAAATCAAAGCAATTCAAAACTAGAGATACCAGTGGCCCTGAGTACAGTGGGCTAGAAATGGGAGGTAAACCTACATAGAGGCACTGCTGGTGGTTTGGGGGACTTTTTATGTCCCAAGTTTCCTTTAAAAGGCTTGGCAGTAAGTGGCCACAGGTGTGAATGGAGTATGTGTATAGGCGGTGGGGATGGGGTAGGGAAGCAGGCCATAGATGCAATGTGAGGAAAGCTATGCAATTTCTAGCTGATTAAACATTAAGAATCTGAGGCCAGTGGTCTGTAGAAAAAAAGGTAGGATATTTCTAAGCATAATCTGGTTGGAGAAAGATACTGGCCCCATCCATGAGGTATATCGTGGCTGTGTAGTAAGATCTCTAATTCTGCACTAATATAGTAGCCACCAGCCACATGCAGCTATTTAAGTTAAAATTAATTAAAAGTAAATAAAATTGAATTTTCATTTCTTCAATCACACTAGCTCAATAGCTACATGTGGTTAGTGGGTGCTGTCTTAGTACAGATACAGAACATTTCAGAAGTTTCTATCGGACAGCACAGTTCTAATTACTGAGAGTCAGTGACCTAACATTATTGTAGTTCCTATAGGGACCCACTAAAGGCATATTCTGAAAAATGCAAACTAGGCTCATTTTTCAACTCATGTGCTATTAAGCTGGAGAGGGGACCTGCTGGTTGGTCATTTGTTTTGCTCTGAGCTAATTCCTAGTGTGGGTTTGGGGCCAATTAACTACACAGGACTCTGTGTCTGCTACTTATAATTTGTTGTCTAGGCTAAGTAAGTACAGATGCTCTTTGACTTATAATGGGGTTACATCCCAATAAGCCCATTGTAAATTGAGAATATTCTAGGTCAATACACCTAACCTACTGAGGTAGGAGGCCAGACACGACTCCAGAGGCAGGGCTTGGACACTGGACCAAATTGAGGACCAGCTAAAACACAGCCAGGGCAGAAGACGCTTTCCATAAGACACGCCCACCCGTGTGCCATGTCAGTTTACTGTTGCCATGACAACACTCAGGCTTTATTGCCCCTTTCCATGGCAATGACCCAATGACCCAAAAATTACTACCCTTTCCCTAGAAATTTCTGCATAAACTGACCTTTCATCTACATGTAATTAAAAGTAGTTATAAATATGAGTGCAAAACTGTCCTGAGCTGCTACTCTCTGCCTGTGGGGCAGCCCTGCTCTGCAGGAGCAGTCACGGAGCTGTAACATTGCCTCTTCAATAAAGCTGTTTTCTTCCACCTCCAGTTTGCCCTTGAATTCTTTCCTGGGCAAAGCCAAGAACCCTCATGGGCCAAACCCCACTCTGGAGCTTGCCTGCCCTGCATCCCTACCAAATATCATAGCTCAGCCTGACCTACCTTAAACATGCTCAGAACACTTACATTAGCCTACAATTGGGCAAAATTTTCTAACACAAAACCTATTTTATAATTAAGTGTTGAATATTTCATGTAATTTATTAAATACTGTACTGAAAGTGAACAACAGAATGGCTGTATGTATGAGCACTCAAAGTAAGGTTTCTACTCAATGCATATCATTTTTCTCCTATAGTAGAAAAATCATAAGTCGAACCATCATAAGTTAGGGACCATCTGTACTGACAATAGGTAAGGAAAATGAGAGCTGACAGGAGAATGGCTAAAAGATTTTGAGAAATAAAAATTTAGAAAGAATAGAAGCCCTATTATTTGCAACTGTGTTTGAGCATCAGCTATAAATGGGAATAGACTATGTAATTTAAAACAATAAGCTTTTTTAGACATTAACAAAAAGACAACATTGGGGCTCATCTCCCAAAAGCTGGTTTGGGCACTCGCTGATCTGGGAATCTGTTGAAAGCCATGGGGGCCCCACACAGGCGGGTGTCAGTGCCCTCACTTTCTCTTTTGACTAAAGGAAACGATCAAGAACACAGGTGCCCTGGCCATCCTTTTCCCAATAAACTGTGAACATCACCAGCTGGGACACCAGCAATTCTCCTTAGGATGGACCCACTGCAAAGACAGTCTCTTCTCTAGGGGAACTTATAGTCTAGTAGCTATGTTTCTTTTATGAGCCACACTACCTATAAGTTTTGGATGAACTTCTCCAGAGCCCTGGCTCAAACATGCCCATAGTTAATGTCACCCCTTATGGTCTGGTCCTGGTCTCAAGCACAACTGATGATCGGTCTTATAATTTGATCAGAAGTTTGAAACTTGAAGGTGGTTTTATTTATTCCTATGCTCCAATAGAAATCTTATGTGGACTCCCTTTAAAAAGACAAACTAGAATTTTACAAAATTAAAACTATTTGGGGGAAACTCAGATTTAATAGTATCCAGCCCTGCTGTTGTGAAAAATTATTAAATATTAAAAATAAATTATAGGTTCATTCCTGAATCTCCCCGATGGCTGATATCCCAGAGAAGATTTAGAGAGGCTGAAGATATCATCCAAAAAGCTGCAAAAATGAACAACATAGCTGTACCAGCAGTGATATTTGATTCTGTGGAGGTAAGCATTTGCAGATGTTTCCTCTTGAGATCAGCTATGCATTCTTGATTTTATGGAATTTAACTTAATTCAATATTTGTTAAGTGCCCACTATGTACCAGGCATTGCACTAGGCCTTAGGAACACAATCATGATTAAATTCTAAGATAAAATCCACCTTAAAGGGCTGTTTATAAGAATTAAATGCAATAATATATGTAAACTGCTTAGCAAATAGCAAGCGTTCATTAAATATTAGTTTGCTTTATTTTGCAAGTTTATCATCAACTTTCTATTGGCATTGCTCCAAACCACTGACACAGCTATGTACTGATGATTTTTAAATGTCCAGATTAAGTGGAAAAATATGTTTCAGGGCTAGTCCACCCTGGGTTCTCCACTGTACCCTGAATCTTACCACAGACTGCTGAGGAAGCTATGCATGTCTTTAGTCTCACTCTGTGTCATGTCTAGAACCTTAAGGCCTGAAAGCACAGGCTTGAGGATTCACCCTTGAAAGCTGGTGGCCACAAGGAAAAGCTGATATTCTGTGGAAGCAGCCACACCTCCTGACAGTTCGTGAGGATATGCAGTGTGCCATGCCCTGTGCTGGCTCCTAGAGGAAATAAGAAAAGACACAGCCCAAATTCTAAAGGAACATAGAATGTAACTAAGATTGGCAAGAGGATTAGATAAAAAGATAAAGAATGGCATAAGGGAGGAAATGGTAAGTATCCAAGTAGAGACACTGTGTGCCAGCAATACAGAGAAAGATAGCAGGGTGGCCCATGGCTGGAGGCAGGTCCAAGCCAGGGAGGACAGCAGGACTCACTTAAATGAGTGGAGAGGATGGGGCAGGGCATTCCTGTCTAGGAGATAGGTAGGAGTCTGCTCAGGACACCTAAAAAAGACTGTGGTGGCTTCAGTAACATTATACATGCCCTGCACCAAAGCATGTAGTACAGAAAGCAGAACTCTGTAGAGGACGGTGGGCATGCCACTGCTCACCCCCACGGCTTCCCCAGTCCCTGGCCTTCAGGACCTTTTCCAGAAGCAGATACTCTGGCTATGGCTAGAGGCTTAGACTGGCCATGAACTCAAGCTCTCAGAGGGCTGCCAGGACAAAACATCCCTTAATCCTTTGCCCTTCAAATCAAGAAGTCCATTTCAAGTCTCAGTCAATTTAAATGGATAAAACAACAACAACAACAACAACAACAACATTGGGAGTGTCTAACACTTCTGCCCTTCAGGGCTGTGCTGGGGTGTTTATCGGTATTTATCAGCTAGGTGGCCTGATTCCTATCTGTGAAACTTAGAGTCTAGTTGTAGGGATCTACCTATGTGGATGACAGCAATCATAAAATAGATATGAGATATATAGTTATGGACAAATAAGAATATAGTTCAGTGTTAAAACACATGGTTCTGGCAGTGCCTTTATATATATATATATACACACACACACACACACACACACACACACGCATATATAAATGTGTATATATATGTGTGTATGTGTATATATATATATATATATATATATATACACACACACACTTTAAAAAAATTTTGAGTCTCACTGTTTTGCTCAGGCTAGAGTGCAGTGGTACAATTACAGCTCAATGTAGCCTCGACCTCGACCTTCTGGGCTCAAGCAATCCTCCCACCTCAACCTCCCAAGCTGGGACTACAGGCACTTGCCACCAAACCCAGCTAACATTTTGTATTTTTTTTTGTAGAGACAGGGTTTCACTATGTTGCCCAGGCTGGTCTCAAACTCCTGGGCTCAAGCAATCCTCCTACCTCAGCCTCCCATAATGCTAGGATTACAGATGTGAGCCATCATTCTCAGCCTGACAGTGCCTTCTTTCTTCCTGCCATGATGCACATCTAGCCTGAACTGGACAAACCCATTAAGGGAAAGGGGGCTTGCGCTTTCCTGAGGCCTGGTCATCTCCCCTGCTCACCTCCCGTAGGATCCTCTTTAGGAGGATCTGCAGAGCCCTGTGCCAGCAAATGCACCCTATTTAGAATGATATTGAAGAGCCTACCAAATGCCAGGCACTGTGTTCTGCTCATTGCTCATGCTTTTTTTTTTTTTCAAAAAAAGAAACTAAGGCACAGCGAAGTTAAGTAACTTGCCCAGGATCACACAGATGTTAAACTGGGATTTGTGACCTAGTTCTCCCAGGCACCAAAGTACATGCTCTTAACAACTGTGATTTTTCACTTCATGTTACAGGCAGTAGCATTAACTTGGATAGGAAAAGATATAGAGTAGAGTATTGTCTTAGAAAGCAATCTCAAGCATCCTTGGCTTCAGAAGAAGCACCTTCAACCTGCTTCTGGTACCTGATCCAAAGACATTTTGGTGGCTCCACCCAGGCCAGGGACAACCACTGGATACAAGCATATTCTTGTTCTGAGGTTTCCAATCCTGGCTGCTCATCACAATCACCCAAGTGCTTTAAGAATACAGATTCTCAGGCCTCTGTTTAAAAGAGTCGAAGTAGGCAAGCCCAGGGAGGAACCTGGCAACCTGCATTTAAGAAGGGCCCCGTGGAACCACCAAGTATTAGCACAGGACTGGTCCACAGGTCCTGTCTGTGTGCACCACCCTGGAACCCTCCAAGAAGATGTCTGGTTCCCACTAGTTTATGCAGTGGCTTTGCTTTGTTATAATACCAGGGTTATTCTGCTGGGGGCATGTTCTGGGGCTCTACAATCCAAATAGTGCAAGAGAGAAAAGGCAATGTGGCTGTGAGCTGTGTAAGTGTCTGATCATTCCTAGAAAAAAGGACACTCACATTTGGAGAGGACCTGCTGTGAAGGCAGGCCTGGCACTCCCACTTCTTCATAATAAAAACTCCTCCATCAGTCTCTTACTGCGCATGCACTGTAGGGCCACAAAGTCACAAAGTCCTGGTACTTCATCCCTGAGAGATTCCCCACCTCAGAGCCTAATAACTTTTATGTTAGTTTCAATTCTAATCAGCTTGGTTACCTTGATTCATAACTCATAGCAAGTTAATATCAGCAAATTAAAAGCAAAAGAATAGGCCGGGCGCAGTGGCTCACACCTGTAATCCCAGCACTTTGGGAAGCTGAGGTGGATGGATCACCTGAAGTCAGGAGTTTGAGACCAGCCTGGCCAATATGGCGAAACCCCATCTCTACTAAAAATACAAAAATTAGCCAGGTGTGGTGGCAGGTGCCTGTAATCCCAGCTACTCAGGAGGCTGAGGCAGGGGAATTGCTTGAACCTGGGAGGCGGAGGTTGCAGTGAGCTGAGATCGCGCCACTGTACTCCAGCCTGGGCAACAAGAGTGAAACTCCCTCTCAAAAAACAAACAAGAAAATAAATATAAATAAAAGTAAAAGAGTATAAACCCATTGATAGCAGTAAGGATTTGTCACTGACCGCTGATGGCTAGCCTCTTTTCCTCAATGATACAGTAATAATAATAATAGTTTAAATTTACTGGACATTTACCATGGTTCAAGCACTGTGCTAAGCTATATATATATGATCTCATTTAATCTCTCAACTCCCAATTAATATACCCATTTTATATAGCAGTAAGCTGAAGTTCAGAGAGGATCGTTACTTGCCCAAGGCCCGCCAGTAAACTGAAGTCTGTTCTGATGCTAAATGACTACAACAAGAGAAGTGTAAAAAGCAAGGCTGGGTAATCCCAGCACTTTGGGAGGCCAAAGTGGGCAGACTGCTTGAGGCCAGGAGTTTGAGACCAACCTGGCCAACATGGTGAAACCCAGTCTCTACAAAAAATGCAAAAATTAGCCAGATGCGGTGGTGCTCGCCTGTAATCCCAGCTACTCAGGAGGCTGAGAGGCAGGAGAATCGCTTGAACCTGGGAGGTGGAGGTTGCAGTGAGCTGAGATCACACCACTGCACTCCAGCCTGGGCCACAGAGCTAGACTCCATCTAAAAAAAACAAACAAATAAACAGAGAAGTGTAAAAAGCAGACGTGGCCTCAAGGAAGGGACTACATGGCCCTACCCTTCAATAGGCAGTCCTGAGGATCACAGATCAGTGTGGTAAATGACATCCATTCTCTGACTGTCAGTCAGAGAAAGGCTATGTTAGCCAACAGGCTTTGTCTAACGAGACAGGGAAGGGGGTGTTATATATTTAAAAGGCTTCTGTGTAAAATGGACTACAAACATTTTAAAGTGTCAGAGTAAGTGTCATATATGTAGATGCCCTATTGCCTCCAATCACCAGACTTCTAAGCATAGTCAAGGTGAAGTGAGAGTTGCATGCATAAGTTTTCCCCATGCATCATAGCCAAAGATACTTCCTTACTACCTCTTAATCTCATGGTTATTTGCATTATTTTGGTTACAGGAGCTAAATCCCCTGAAGCAGCAGAAAGCTTTCATTCTGGACCTGTTCAGGACTCGGAATATTGCCATAATGACCATTATGTCTTTGCTGCTATGGTAAGTAATAAGTGACCTGGAAATGCAGATATCCAGCACATAAGTATGCAACTGATTTTCTTAACTCAGAGGAACATTATGACAACGACTGGGTTTTCCTGAGGAAAAATTAAGATTATAAAATTCTAAATTATTTTGAAATGCCTCTATTCAGTTCATGGGACTAGATATTGAAAAATGTCACTGGGCGCAATGGCTTACGCCTGTAATTCCAGCACTTTGGGAGGCCAAGGTGGGCAGATCACCTGAGGTCAGGAGTTCGAGACGAATCTAGCCAACATGGTGAAACCCCGTCTCTACTAAAAATACAAAAATTACCTGGGCATGGTGGCACATACCTGTAATCCCAGCTACTTGGGAGGCTGAGGCAGGAGAATCACTTGAACCCAGGAGGTGGAGGTTCCAGTGAGCCTTGATCGCACTACTGTACTCCAGCCTGGGCAGCAGAGCAAGACTCCATCTAAAAAAAAAAAAGTCACAGGGTACAGTATTTAAGTCTGCAGTACTGGGACCCAAAGGGAAAGCATTCCCTTCCCCCTCCTAAAGTTATGGGATTGAGATCATTGATGTCCCTGGGTAATGGTTCCCTCCCCACCAAAAATTATGAGATTAAGACTAATGATGTCCGTGTTGCCTGAGGCAGAGATGCTAATTCAGCTCCTGCTTCCTGAAGCTGACCTGGCAATTGAACACTGAGGCTAGAATAACCTAGATCCCCATTGCCTGGATTGGAGCCTTGATCAGCTTTTTACACGTGCCAATAGCAAACTAACAAGTGGCTTTCAGGCGCAGAAATACTGAATTGGCTTTATAGATTAGATTTAATAATTTATCTGCCAAGAAAAAAGGAAAAAAGAAAATTCCTACTCTATGATGGCAGCACACACACACACACACACACACACACACACACACACGATGATCGTCAGAACTGGTAGATTTAGGCTGCAGCTAATCTAAGTTTATTTTTAAGGGCCATCCTACTTGGCAATTAGAAGAGATCAATGACAGAGCTTATGCGTCTGAATTAAGCAAGTGTGTCCTAGGTACATGGGCTTCTTAGTTCTTACATTTCAGCCTATATCCCTGATGCAAATGTTCTTGGGTAGTGGTGCTACTAAGCTAATAAAAAATTAGTCACTAGTTCTATCTAAACTACTCCTATTACTAAATGGGAAAATCACTAAGATCCCTTGAGCATACTTATTTGTTGTGTTTATGAATTAGTCCTTGTATTATCTAATTTGGGTCTAGTATGTGTAAAAAGATCCACTAGTGTTCCTGAAGTCATTTTTCAGATATCCTCTGCTTCTCAGTCATGTTAATAATAAGCAAATTTCTACACAGGGGTGTCTGCATAGTGCAGTTGTAACAAAAACTCAGGTTCAGTCACTCACAGCTTGCAGCGTCCAATTAACAAGAGCAAAGTCTGATGTAAGGAAAGTGACTTTTTATTCCAAAGCTAGCTTAGGGAGAAAGGTATCGGCTTCCTGCCTGAAGGGTACCACCGCTCCTCTTTTTGAAGCGGAAAGCAGGCACTTCTAAAAGGCAGGGGAGGACGCGAGCAGGTGAGGGATCAGAGGGCTAGCTTGCTGCCTTATCTACTGGGCAGTTGAGGTGGTGCCTTCATGGGCAGAAACAGGTTGTATAGGTGGCCAAAAACTCTAGCAGGCATACTTTGAGTTGGAAATTGACTGATATCGCTTGAGGAAATCTGGGCGGTGAGAGTTCCACTCTGGAGCTTCTAAGCACATAGTTAGATGAATTTGCCCTGCAGGGAGTGTCCAGTGAAGAGGAGGTTAAAAGGCTATAATTGCACTTCTAAAGAGCTAAGTAGAAAGTGCAGAAAAGGAGGAAAGAGAAAAGAAGAGAGAGAGAAAATAAACTATCTCTTAGAAAAATGGGGGTACTCAGTTACATAGTTATTTTTCCACAGAGAAGCTTCTTTTTTTTATTTATGTTTTTATTTTTTTGAGATAGAGTTTCGCTCTGTCACCCAGCCTGGAGTGCAATGGTGCGATCTCAGCTCACTGCAACCTTCGCCTCCTGGGTTCAAGCAATTCTCCTGTCTCAGCCTCCCAAGTAGCTGGGATTATAGGCACATGCCACCACCATGCCTGGCTAATTTTTGTCTTTTAAGTAGAGACGGGGTTTCACCATGTTGGCCAGGCTGGTCTCAAACTCCTGACCTCAGGTGATTTGCCTGCCTCGGTCTCCCAAAGTGCTGGGATTTCAGGCATGAGCCACCACGCATGGCCCACAGAGAAGCTTCTACATGGAAGTTAACTATAATGACAGAATATACAGACTGCAGTCTGTGATACTTTGAAGGATTAGGGGACATTCACTCTTTTCCCTAAAGAGAATCAGAATTTATTCTAAGTGAATCCCACAGTATGACCCTTGTATCTCTTTTTTGTTAAAGAATGAAATCTGGATTTTATGTTCACTGATGTGACTAATATTTTTTCTTCATATAATAGCTCTAAGAGATTGAGGAGGTACAAACTATTCAGGAAATAGGAAAACTTGAAATCAACTAGCTGAGAAAAGTTATTGTTGAATATTGGTATATCTAGACTAGCACTGTCCAATAGAACTTTCTGCAGTGACGGAAATGTTTCATATCTATGTCGTTCAATATAGTAGCCACTAGCTACACGTGGCTATTGAGCACTTGAAGTGTGGCTAGTGTAACTAAGGAACTGAATTTGTAATCTTATTTAATTTTAATTTATTCAAATTTAAGTAGCCAATGAGGGTAGTGGCTACTTATAAGACAGCAAGATATAGAGAATTTCTTGACCATCATAAAATTTTAGAGCGATTCACACCATCCCTTTGTCATTTTTACCTTCTTCTTTCAGGATGCTGACCTCAGTGGGTTACTTTGCTCTGTCTCTGGATGCTCCTAATTTACATGGAGATGCCTACCTGAACTGTTTCCTCTCTGCCTTGATTGAAATTCCAGCTTACATTACAGCCTGGCTGCTATTGCGAACCCTGCCCAGGCGTTATATCATAGCTGCAGTACTGTTCTGGGGAGGAGGTGTGCTTCTCTTCATTCAACTGGTACCTGTGGGTAAGAAGTTAACCAAGATGAACAGCTTACCAGAAAAGACCCACATATTGACTAGGCTGCTTCTGAGTCACTGCTCCATGTTTATTCAGCCTTTACATCATAAGCCATTCATAAGTCAATTAGACAGGTGATTGCTCACTACGTATGTTGTTTCCTGTGTTCAAAACAACTACCCCAAACAGAAGAGACAGTCTCAGAGAAGCAGAAAGCACCAAAGAGGAAGAGTAACTCTCCCAGTCATCCCCTTCACAGAAAGACTCACCTAACATCTCCCTTTAACTCATAGTCATGATTCCTAATTTCTGGCTACTCTCAAACATTTTCCCTGGGTGTATATTCAAGTATTACAGTGAGTAGGACATGTCGGTTCCAGGATACATTCAGTGGTTTTCTGGTCTGAATCTTTAAGTAGTTAAATAGCACACAAAAGGATATATGCTTCCCTTTTCCCCTTGTGTCTGACGTTCTCATAATATTAAAATGTCACTAAATTATTGATAGTAATAGAAATACATATTTCTTAATAATAAGAAAGAGGATAGAAAGGATTGGTCCTCCTCTTTGAAGATAAAACTTAACTATATTAACATGCTAATAGCTTACCCATGAAACTGTTTTAACAAACAAAAGACAAGTGGACAAAGGTCACTGAATGCATTAATGACCTAGAATAACAGTAGAACAAAGTACAAAGCCACCCCTCACATGAGCTCCATCTTTGTCCATGCCCAAATATTAGGACATTTGAAGAGAAAATGCTATTTTGGGAATATATTTATGTTAATAAAAGTACTCCCACTGAAGCAAAAAGGACAATAAAAATAACTGATATAAGAAAGTATCACTTCTAAAAGCACCATTGTTTATACCGGGTCTCTTTTCCAGATTATTACTTCTTATCCATTGGTCTGGTCATGCTGGGAAAATTTGGGATCACCTCTGCTTTCTCCATGCTGTATGTCTTCACTGCTGAGCTCTACCCAACCCTGGTCAGGAACATGGCGGTGGGGGTCACATCCACGGCCTCCAGAGTGGGCAGCATCATTGCCCCCTACTTTGTTTACCTCGGTGAGCTGCATCTTGTGCATTTGTTCTTCCTTTAAATTAGTTTTCAATGTAAAAGTAAGATTTTCATTGTGAAAATGTCAAATAGCATAGAATGTACTGGAAAAAAGTACAAGTTCACCTCTCCTCTCCCAGGAGGAGCTCTAGAAAGCCAATCACAAACTGGTGAGTAGCGCTACAGACATTTTGTTTTGCACAACATCATGTACACAGGTATGTATATAATTTTTTAAACACACAAGCAACTCAGGCGTGGTGGCTCATGCATGTAATCCCAGCACTTTGGGAGGCCAAGGTAGGTGGATCACCTGAGGCCAGGAGTTCAAGACCAGCCTGGCCAGCATGGTGAAACCCTGTCTCTACTAAAAATAAAAAAATTAGCCAGGTGTGCTGGCAGGTGCCTGTAATCCCGGCTACTCTGGAGGCTGAGGTAGGAGAATTGCTTGAACCCAGGAGGCAGAGGCTGCAGTGAGTCAAGATTGCACCACTGCACTCCAACCTGGGCAACAAGAGCAAAACTCTGTCTCAAAAATAAATAAAAATAATAAAAAATAAAAAGAATAAACACACAAATAACATTATATATGTTAAAACTTTTTAAACTTAACATTGTATCAGAATATCCTTCCAAATAGTTACATATTGCTCCTTTACCTTCTTTTTAAATAGGTACCTCCTTTTAAAAATGTATATAAGTACATTTTAAAATAAGTATATGTAAGTATAATCTACAGATAGATTCACAGAAGTAAAATTCCTGGAGCAAAGAGTGCCGTTAAAAAATTATATATATATGTGTGTGTGTACATAATGTTGTGCAAAACAAAATGTCTGTAGGGCTACTCACCAAACAGTTCATGTTGGTTTTCTAGGGATCCTCCTGGGAGAGGGGAGGTGAACTTGTACTTTTTTCCAGTACATTCCATGCCATTTGAAGTTTTCACAATGAAAATCTTACTTTTATACTGAAACACATAATTTATTTAACCAGGCTCCAATGAATGGAGGACATGTAGGTCATTTCCAGGTTTTTGCTATTACAAATAACATTACAACGAACATTCTCCTATGCTCCTACACCCTTTGTGAATTTACTTACGTATATTTGGATTTACAGGTAGATTCATAGAAGTAAAATTCCTGGAGCAAAGAGAGCCATTAAAAAATTTCATAGATATTCCCAAATTGAACTCTACATATTGTGCCAATTATAATCTAATTATTAATAGGTAAGAGTGGTTTTCAATAATCTCACCAACAATAAAGATTACCTTTTTTTTTTTTTTTTTTTTTTTCTGAGACAGGGTCTCACTCTGGAGTGTAGTGGTGCGATCCTAGATTCCCAGCTCACTGCAGCCTCAATCCCCCAGGCTCAAGAGATCCTCCCACCTCAGACTCCCAACTAGCTGGAACTACAGGCATGCACACCGTCAAGCCCAGCTAATTTTTTTTTTTTTCTGGTAGAGACGGGATTTTGCCAGTTTGCCCAGGCTGGTTTCGAACTCCTGGGCTCAAGTGATCCACCCGCCTCAACCTCCCAAAGTGCTGGGATTACAGGTTTGAGCCACAGCACCTGGCCTACCTAATTTTTTAATCATTGGTTATCTGTTATGTGAAAAATGGATATCATTGTTACTTTCATTCCTATTTATTAATTATGAATGAGGTTGAGCATGTTTTTGTGTATTTTTTGGCCATTTTATTTATTTTTCAGTGAACTGACTGCTCATGTTCTTTGCCCCTTTTTTTTTTTTTGGAGATGGAGTCTCACTCTGTCACCCAGGCTGGAGTACAGTGGCGCAATCTCAGCTCACTGCAACCTCCGCCGCCTGGGTTCAATCAATTCTCCTGCCTCAACCTCCTGAGTTGCTGGGACTACAGGCGCATGCCACCATGTCCGGCTAATTTTTTTTTTTTTTGTATTTTTAGTAGAGATGGGGTTTCATCATATTGGTCAGGCTGGTCTCAAACCCCTGACCTCAGGTGATCCACCTGCCTTGGCCTCCCAAAGTGCTGGGATAACAGACATGAGCCACTGTGCCTGGCCTTCTTTGCCCATTCTTTAATGGTGTATATCGGGCAAAATTCAGCCCTGATAATTCACATAGGTTCTTTTCTATTTTCCCTAAGTGCCAGCTGGTCTGAGAAATAAAGGGACAGAGTACAAAAGAGAGAAATTTTAAAGCTAGGTGTCCGGGGGAGACATCACATATTGGCAGGTTCCATGATGCCCCCTGAGCCATAAAACCAGCAAGTTTTTATTAGTGATTTCAAAAGGGGAGGGAGTGTACGAATAGGGTGTAGGTCACAGAGATCACGTGCTTCACAAGGTAATAGAATATCACAAGGCAAATGGAGGCAGGGTGAGATCACAGGACCACAGGACCGGGGCAAAATTAAAATTGCTAATGAAGTTTTGGGCACGCATTGTCATTGATAACATCTTATCAGGAAACAGGGTTTGAGAGCAGACAACCGGTCTGACCAAAATTTATTAGGTGGGAATTTCCTCATCCTAACAAGCCTGGGAGTGCTACGGGAGACTGGGGCTTATTTCATCCCTACAGCTACAACCGTAAAAGACAGCTGCCCCCAAAGTGGCCATTTTAGAGGCCTACCCTCAGGGACGAATTGTCTTTCTCAGGGATGTTCCTTGCTGAGAAAAAGAATTCAGCGATATTTCTCCCATTTACTTTTGAAAGAAGAGAAATATGGCTCTGTTCTGCCCGACTCACCAGCGGTCAGAGTTTAAGGTTATCTCTCTTGTTCCCTGAACATTGCTGTTATCCTGTTCTTTTTTCAAGGTGCCCAGATTTCGTATTGTTCAAACACACATGCTCTACAAACAATTTGTGCAGTTAACGCAATCATCACAGGGTCCTGAGGCGACATACATCCTCCTCAGCTTATGAAGATGACGGGATTAAGAGATTAAAGACAGGCATAGGAAATCACAAGGGTGTTGATTGGGGAAGTGATAAGTGTCCATGAAATCTTCACAATTTATGTTCAGAGATTGCAGTAAAGACAGGCGTAAGAAATTATAAAAGTATTAATTTGGGGAACTAATAAATGTCCATGAAATCTTCACAATCCACATTCTTCTGCCATGGCTTCAGCCAGTCCCTCCTTTCGGGGTCCCTAACTTCCTGCAACAGGTGTATTCATCTTTTTCTTTTTGACTTGTGCAAACTCTTTGCAATGGAAGAAATTAGCCCCTTGTATATATGTTGTAAATATTTTTCCTAGTTTACCATTTGTATTTTCACTTTATGATATCTTTGTAATGAAGACAATTTTAGTTTTTATATACTCAAAGGTGTCAATCTGAAATGAAACTACAGAGGTGTTTCAGCGGCATGTTCAATCTGATGTAGGATCTGACACCCCATGCCTGGTCCTCATTAAGGACTCTACTGGTGAGAAATGCAGACACACCTCATCAATTGGGCAATTGGTTACCTACTGGTACACACGTACACACACACACACACACACACACACACCTGAAAACATGTATGAATTCTCAGGAAAGGTATAATCCAAACCCTTACAGAGAAAGAGAAACATTTTCCTAACAAACATATTCTGCACAGTTGCCCTGTGCCACACCTGAGATAGCAGATTATACAGAGTGGTGTTATTTTTCCCTTTGTCCTTCCCTGTACTTTCAAACTATTTCAAACTATGCTCAGATGGTCCAGTGGTCAGACACTGGTACATAAGACAGGGAGTCCAAGAGTCTCCTACTCCACACAGCTACTCCTGTTAGTGACACAGAGGCCTCAGAGAAGCTGCAATAACAATATTTTCCTTATGTTTTGGGTCAAATGAAATCCATGGGTGTGCTGTTCCTCTGTAAGCTCTGTATGTATACAGGGGCAAAGCAAGATGAGGATCTGTTTTTCTCCTGTGTGAGTAAAGCTTCACAAAGAGATTACATATTAACCCAAGACATGTAAGTGCTCCAAAAAGAAGCCAAATCCAGGCACACAGTGCCTTTACAGAATGTGCCTGATACTTATAATTTACTGATTTAATCTGAAGTGAACATAATACTTAGTTGTTTTTTTTTTTTTTTTTTTTTTTTTTGAGTCTCATAGCCCTGTGGACCTAACTTTCCACTGCAGCCTACTAGTTTGGGCAAAAGCAGAGTCATGCCAGACCTATCATAGCCAAAACCTATCCCTGAAACATCCTGGTTAACCTCCTTCTCCTTGATGTCCTCCCATCCCCCATTTCCAATTACCTCCACCTTAAGAGGAGAACTCTGGTAGGCAAAGAACTCTACCAAAGGAACATCTGTCACACATGACTGAGTAGTAGCTTAGAGGATACCAGTTGACAGGAAAGAATGAAAAGCCTTATGATAATGCAAAAGGATTATAGACATGCACAATGTCATCTGCCAAAAAGAAACTGATATTTTGCTTACTTTTTTTTCTCTGAAAATGTTCAGATTTAAATCCATTCTCTTATACTGTTCACCAACTTCACAAAATGATGCTCAAGAGTGCCCAGAGAGTCCTCCTATCTGATTGATGTTCTTATGTCCCGGGCTTTACAGGTGCTTACAACAGAATGCTGCCCTACATCGTCATGGGTAGTCTGACTGTCCTGATTGGAATCCTCACCCTTTTTTTCCCTGAAAGTTTGGGAATGACTCTTCCAGAAACCTTAGAGCAGATGCAGAAAGTGAAATGGTAAGTAGGACTTTTAACAAAATGATACCAAAATGCCTTAGGGAGAATAAGCATGGAAGAATAGCTAGGAAGGTTCTGAAATAGAAGAGTAATAAGTAGAGACTAGCTCTATCAGATAATAAAGCATATTGTTGGCTGGGCACAGTGGCTCACGCCTGTAATCCCAGCACTTTGGGAGGCTGAGGCAGGTGGATCACCTGAGGTCAGGAATTTGAGACCAGCCTGGCCAACATAGTGAAACCTCATCTTTACTAAAAATACAAAAAATTAGCTGGGTGTGGTGGCAGTCACATGTAATCCCAGCTACTCAGGAGGCTGAGGCAGGAGAACTGCTTGACCCAGGAGGCAGAGGTTGCAGTGAGCTGAGATCACACCACTGCACTCCAGCCTGGGCAACAAGAGCAAAACTCCGTCTCAAAAAAAATAAATAAATAATAGGCCAGGCGCGGTGGCACATGCCTGTAATCCCAACACTTTGGGAGGCTGAGGCAGGCGGATCATGAGGTCAAGAGATCGAGACCATCCTGGCCAACATGGTGAAACCCTGTCTCTACTAAAAATACAAAAATTAGCTGGGCATGGTGGCACACACCTGTAGTCCCAGCTACTCAGGAGGCTGAGGTAGGAGAATTGCTTGAACCCGGGAGGTGGAGGTTGCAGTGAGCCAACATCATGCCACCGCACTCCAGACTGGGCAACAGAGCTAGACTCTGTCTCAAAAATAATAATAATAGTAATAAAGCATATTGTTGAGCAATAGTAATTAAAACAATGTGATAATGGTATAGGAATAGAAACCAATGGAATAGGATAGAGTTCAGGATAAAACCCAAGAAAATATAAAAATTCAGTATGTAATAAAAAGTAGCAAAGTCAAGGGGGAATAGTTATTCAGTAAAAGGTATTAGAACATTCAGCTAGACATTTTGAATAAATTAAAAAGTTGTCTCTTTAAAAAATGCATTGGCTGGGCATGGTGGCTCACACCTGTAATCCCAGCACTTAGGGAGATTGAGGCAGGCAGATTGCTTGAGGTCAGGAGTTCGAGAACAGTCTGTCCAACATGGTGAAACCCCATCTCTACTAAAAATACAAAAATTAGCCAGGCATGGTGGCGCACCCCTGTAATCCCAGCTCGCGGGAGGCTGAGGCAGGAGAATCGCTTGAACCAGGGTGGTGGATGTTGCAGTGAGCCGAAATCGCGCCACTACACTCCAGTCTGCGTGACAGAGCGAGACTCCGTCTCCAAAAAAAAAACACATCAAGATAAAATCCAGACAGTTAAAAAATTTAGGCCTAAAAATGTAAAATCATAAATATACCAGGAGGAAACAAACATTTTTATAACCTTAGAGAAGATCTTACTGAGCATAACATAAAATCAAAGAACCATAAAGGAACAGATTGATATATCTGATTGTACATTTTTTAAATTATTGGCAAGGCAAAAAGAAACCACCCACAAAGACAAAAGTCAATAAGCCAGGAGAAAATATTTGCTACACAAAACCTAAACATAAGGCTAATATACTTAATATACAAAAAGCTCATAGTAACCAGTGAGAAAAAGACAAACAATTCAGTAGGAAAACCAGCAAAGGACAAGAACAGACAGTTTACAGAAGAAGTCACTTCAGTGTCCAATATATACATGAAAAAAGTTATTTGTCCACATTAATAAGGAAATGCAAAAATAAAACAATTCAACATCTTTTTTTGGCTTATGAGATTGCGCAAGGGTTTTTCTTCTTGACGCAAACCAATTCTGACACCTATTGAGTGTCCTATAATGCAGTTCAATTTTGACAATACCTAAATTTAGCATCAGACTCCACAGGTGTAAAGACTCAGTCCCACAATACTGCCTTGCTTCACTTGCCACTCACAAATGTCAGGTCCCCAGGTTACCCACATTTCTCTCTGACTTTGCTACCAAGTCTGGGGTTCCAACAAATCCCCTCCTTGGGTTTGATTATTTGCTAGAATGACTCACAGCACTCAGAACACTGGCCACTAGCGGTTTCTTACAAAGGATACAAATGAACAGCCAGATGAAGAGGTACATACAGAGAGGTCTGGAAGGGTCCTGAGTGCAGAGGTTCTGTCCCTACGGAGTTAAGGTGCACTGCCCTCCTGGCATGTGGATGTGGTCACCAACTCGGAAGTTCTCCAAACCCCATCATTTAGAGGTTTTCATGGAGGTTTAGTCATGTTGGCATGATGGATTATTAAGTCTATCCCCAGCCTCTCTCCTCTCCCCAGAGGTTCCAGGCTTCTAATCCAGGCTTAGTCTTCTGGTGACCAGCCCCCACCCTGAAGCTATCTAAGGGCCCAGCCAAGGGTTGCCTCATTAGAACAAAAGAAGCTTTTATCACTCCCTATCACTCCAGAAATTATAAGAGATTTAGGATCTCTATGTTAGGAGCCAGGGACAAAGACCAGTATCTTTTTATGACACCACAGCAAACATTTAAAAGATTAGTGGTATTTAGGAGAAGTTTAGAGTTTCGAGTAACACTGCCTGGCTTTAAATCCCAAATCTACTGCAAAAATTTGGGCATATCACTTAATATTCACTAAGCTTCAGTATTCCCATCTGCTATATGGGATATTTCATACGGCTATTTTGAGGTTATAAAAGATAAAGTGTTCCCAGTGCCTGGCCTTGATAAAGGTAACTCTGCATATGAATTAATTCTGATCCCTGACAGAACATTTATAGCAAAAAGTGCCCATTGTTGATAAGTTGTTTTCTTCTAATGATAGAACTACTTCAGTATCAACTTTAATTGCCAAGAATTTCATGCCTCCCTCTCTATCCTTTGCTTGGGAAAACTGTGAAAGAGTTTAAATTCTGGCTTCTATGCTTAATTAAGAAAGTAGCCTCAGATGTTTAAAAGCATAAAATATTAGATCTACACCATGAGGTTCTCATTAGAGTTCAAATAGTTACTTGTTCATTGATTGGAGAAATATTTTTCAATGTCAATTTGGATGGAGCATTTTGAGGAGGAAAGTCTTGAATATTTAATTTTCCTTAGCATCTATTTTATTTTCAGGTTCAGATCTGGGAAAAAAACAAGAGACTCAATGGAGACAGAAGAAAATCCCAAGGTTCTAATAACTGCATTCTGAAAAAATATCTACCCCATTTGGTGAAGTGAAAAACAGAAAAATAAGACCCTGTGGAGAAATTCGTTGTTCCCACTGAAATGGACTGACTGTAACGATTGACACCAAAATGAACCTTGCTATCAAGAAATGCTCGTCATACAGTAAACTCTGGATGATTCTTCCAGATAATGTCCTTGCTTTACAAACCAACCATTTCTAGAGAGTCTCCTTACTCATTAATTCAATGAAATGGATTGGTAAGATGTCTTGAAAACATGTTAGTCAAGGACTGGTAAAATACATATAAAGATTAACACTCATTTCCAATCATACAAATACTATCCAAATAAAAATAACATCATTGTATTAACGCAAATATTAGGTGACAACAATGTGTGTGTATGTGTGTGTGTTTGTACATGTGGAAGTGAACCAGCACAGTCAAAATTATAGTAGTTTCTGAAGTGAACCAAATGATTATATGCAGTATTCCTATCCAGAAAACCTTCCACACTCCTTTGAGAGGGAGTGATCACTGTTAGAGGAAAAAACAAACCACTTTTTACCCTGTACTGTCACACTCAACCCACAATACTTCTGTGACCAGATGTGGTGGGGGGCTTCTCATACACCAAGTAATTCTCCAGCAGATACCAATGGGGTGTTCTCTAATAGAATTAAGCTCTGACCCTATCTGCGGGGAGATAGTGTCAGATCCCACAGGTTGTGTGCTCTGTCCCTCTTCAGATGCCATTCGAACATCCAAGCCACACGCACCTCTGACCTACCAACTACAAACCAGGGTTTCCACAGACCCCTTCTTAGGTTCAATTAATTTTCTAGAAAGGCTCACCAAATTCAGCTAAACCTTTACATTTGCCAATTTATTATAAAGGATACAGATGAACAGCCAGATGAAGCAGCATGAAGGGCTAGGTCTGGAAAGATTCCAAGTGCAAGAGCTTCTGTCCCAGTGAAACTGGGGTGCAGTGCCCTCCCAGCTTGTGGACGCATTTACTGGAAGCTCCTCAAATCTTGTTGTTCAAGAGTTTTTAGGCAGCTTGATCTCCAGCACCTTCCCCACCCAGAGATCAGTGGGTAGAGCTAAAAGTTCCAACCCTCTAATCCTCAAATGACCTGGTCTTTCCGGGAACTAGCCCCATCCTAAGAATATCTAGGGCCCCACATTAAGTAACCTCATTAGCATAAACTCAGGAGTTATCGAATCAAAGGGGCTCATTATCACTAATGAGATATTCCTACCACTCAGGAAGTTCTAAAGGTTTGGGGAACTCTATGACAAGAACTGAGACAAAGACCAGGTATCCATATTTCATATTAAACCACAATGGTAGATATTAATTGTATTTTAGCCTGGCTCATCTGGCCAATCTGCCTGCAAGAAGGCAGCAAGGCAGCTCCTAGCTACAGTTTCAGCAGCTACACCTCACAGCCCTTACACCATTAAATGCTCCCCATTTGTTGTGCTTTTGTTGAGCACGTGACTAAACCTCCTGTTTCCTAAAAATGGCTTAAGATATATTTTGCCGGTAGATACAAAATCAGAAAAACTGCACAAACCAGTTAGATTGGTAGAGGTGGTTTATGTGCCCCATAGCCAAGAGAGGTGTGCACCAAGGAGGATATCATCAAATCTGACAATCTGGAAAGCCTTTGAAACTGTTCTTTTCCTAAGCACAGTATTCAGCTGTGTCCTCTTGAACCCATATCTATCAGGTCAACAGCTTTAGCCCATTCCACATGATATTGGCTGTGGGTTTGTCATATATAGCTCTTATTATTTTGAGAAACGTTCTATCAATACCTAGTTTATTGAGAGTTTTTAGCATGAAGGGCTTTTGAATTTTGTCGACGGCCTTTTCTGCATCTATTGAGATAATCAAGCGGTTTTTGTCATTGGTTCTGTTTCTGTGATGGATTATGTTTATTGATTTGCATATGTTGAAACAGCCTTGCATCCCAGGGATGAAGCCCACTTGATCGTGGTGGAGAAGCTTTTTGATGTGCTACTGGATTCGGTTTGCCAGTATTTTATTGAGGATTTTTGCATCGATGTTCATCAGGGATATTGGTATAAAATTCTCTTTTTTTTTTTTTTTTTGAGACGGAGTCTCGCTCTGTCGCCCAGGCCGGACTGCGGACTGCAGTGGCGCAATCTCGGCTCACTGCAAGCTCTGCTTCCCGGGTTCACGCCATTCTCCTGCCTCAGCCTCCCGAGTAGCTGGGACTACAGGCGCCCGCCACCGCGCCCGGCTAATTTTTTTGTATTTTTAGTAGAGACGGGGTTTCACCTTGTTAGCCAGGATGGTCTCGATCTCCTGACCTCATGATCCACCCGCCTCGGCCTCCCAAAGTGCTGGGATTACAGGCGTGAGCCACCGCGCCCGGCCTCTCTTTTTTTTGTTGTGTCTCTGCCAGGCTTTGGTATCAGGATGATGCTGGCCTCATAAAATGAATTAGGGAGGATTCCCTCTTTTCTATTGCTAGGAATAGTTTCAGAAAGAATGGTACCAGCTCCTCTGTACCTCTGGTAGAATTTGGCTGTGAATCTGTCTGGTCCTGGACTGTTTTTGGTTGGTGGGCTATTAACTACTGCCTCAATTTCAGAGCCTGTTATTGGTCTAATCAGAGATTCAACTTCTTCCTGGTTTAGTCTTGGGAGGCTGTATGTGTCCAGGAATTTATCCATTTCTTCTAGATTTTCTAGTTTATTTGTGTAGAGGTGTTTATAGTATTCTCTGATGGTAGTTTGTATTTCTGTGGGATTGGTGGTGACATCCCCTTTATCACTTTTTATACCATCGATTTGATTCTTCTCTCTTTTCTTCTTTATTAGTCTTGCTAACAGTCTATCAATTTTGTTGATCTTTTCAAAAAACGAGCTCCTGGATTCGTTGATTTTTTTGAAGTTTTTGTGTCTCTATCTCTTTCAGTTCTGCTCTGATCTTAGTTATTTCTTGCCTTCTGCTAGCTTTTGAATTTGTTTGCTCTTGCTTCTCTAGTTCTTTTAATTATGATGTTAGGGTGTTGATTTTGATCTTTCCTGCTTTCTCTTGTGGGTATTTAGTGCTATAAATTTCCCTATATACCGTGCTTTAAGTGTGTTCCAGAGATTCTGGCACGTTGTGTCTTTGCTCTCATTGTTTTCAAAGAACGTCTTTATTTCTGCCTTCATTTCGTTATTTACCCAGTAGTCATTCAGGAGCAGATTGTTCAGTTTCCATGCAGTTGTGCAGTTTTGAGTGAGTTTCTTAATCCTGAGTTCTAATTTGATTGCACTGTGGTCTGAGACACAGTTTGTTGTGATTTCTGTTCCTTTACATGTGCTAAGGAGTGCTTTACTTCCAACTATGTGGTCAATTTTGGAATAAGTGTGATGTGGTGCTGAGAAGAATGTATACTCTCTTCATTTGGGGTGGAGAGGTCTGTAGATGTCTATTAAGTCTGCTTGGTGCAGATCTGAGTTCAAGTCCTGGATATCCTTGTTAACCTTCTGTCTCATTGATCTGTCTAATATTGACAGTGGGGTGTTAAAGTCTCCCATTATTATTGTGTGGGAGTCTAAGTTTCTTTGTAGGTCTCTAAGGACTTGTTTTATGAATCTGGGTGTTCCTGTATTGGGTGCATATATATTTAGGATAGTTAGCTCTTCTTGTTGAATTGATCCCTTTACCATTATGTAATGGCCTTCTTTGTCCCGTTTGATCTTTGTTGGTTTAAAGTCTGTTTAATCAGAGACTAGGATTGCAACCCCTGCTTTTTTCTGCTTTCCATTTGCTTGGTAGATCTTCCTCCATCCCTTTATTTTGAGCCTATGTGTGTCTCTGCACGTGAGATGGGTCTCCTGAATACAGGACACGGATGGGTCTTGACTCTTTATCCAATTTGCCAGTCTGTGTCTTTTAATTGGGGCATTTAGCCCATTTACATTTAAGGTTAATATTGTTATGTGTGAATTTGATCCTGTCATTATGATGTTAGCTGGTTATTTTGCTTGTTAGTTCATGCAGTTTCTTCATAGCATCGATGGTCTTTACAATTTGGCATATTTTTGCAGTGGCTGGTACCGGTTTTTCCTTTCCATGTTTAGTGCTTCCTTCAGGAGCTCTTTTAGGGCAGGCCTGGTGGTGACAAAATCTCTCAGCATTTGCTTGTCTGGAAAGGATTTTATTCTTCACTTATGAAGCTTAGTTTGGCTGGATATGAAATTCTGGGTTGAAAATTCTTTTCTTTAAGAATGTTGAATATTGGCCCCCACTCTCTTCGGGCTTGTAGGGTTTCTGCCGAGAGATCCGCTGTTAGTCTGATGGGCTTCCCTTTGTGCGTAACCCGACCTTTCTCTCTGGCTGCGCTTAACATTTTTTCCTTCATTTCAACCTTGGTGAATCTGCCAATTATGTGTCTTGGGTTTGCTCTTCTTGAGGAGTATCTTTGTGGCATTCTCTGTATATCCTGAATTTGAATGTTGGCCTGCTTTGCTAAGTTGGGGAAGTTCTCCTTGATAATATCCTGAGGAGTGTTTTCCAACTTGGTTCCATTCTCCCTGTCATTTTCAGGTACACCAATCAAACGTAGATTTGGTCTTTCACATAGTCCCATATTTCTTGGAGGCTTTGTTCGTTCCCTTTTACTCTTTTTTCTCTAATCTTCTTGAGTTATTTCATTAATTTGATCTTCAATCACTGATATCCTTTCTTGATCGAATCGGCTATTGAAGCTTGTGCATGTGTCACAAAGTTCTCGTGCCATGGTTTTCAGCTCCATCAGGTCATTTAAGGTCTTCTCTACACTGTTTATTCTAGTTAGCCATTCGTCTAATCTATTTTCAAGGTTTTTAGCTTCCTTGCGATGGGTTAGAACATCCTCCTTTAGCTGGGAGAAGTTTATTATTACTGACCTTCTGAAGTCCACTTCTGTCAGCTCGTCAAAGTCATTCTCCACCCAGCTTTGTTCCATTGCTGGCAAGGAGTTGTGATCCTTTGGAGGAGAAGAGGTGCTCTGGTTTTTAGAATTTTCAGCTTTTCTGCTCTGGTTTCTCCCCATCTTTGTGGTTTTATCTACCTTTGGTCTTTGATGTTGGTAACTTACAGATGGGGTTTTGGTGTGGATGTCCTTTTTGTTGATGTTGATGCTATTTCTTTCTGTTTGTTAGTTTTCCTTCTACCAGTGAGGTCCCTCAGCTGCAGGTCTGTTGGAGTTTGCTGGAGGTCTACTCCAGACCTGTTTGCCTGGGTATCACCATCAGAGGCTGCAGAACAGCAAATATTGCAGAACAGCAAATATTGCTGAGTGATCCTTCCTCTGGAAGCTTCATCCCAGAGGGGCACCTGCCTGTATGAGGTGTCAGTCGGCTACTGGGAGGTGTCTCCCAGTTAGGCTACATGGGGGTCAGGGACCCACTTGAGGAGGCAGTCTGTCTGTTCTCCAAGCTAAAACACCATCCTGGGAGAACCACTGCTCTCTTCAGAGCTGTCAGACAGGGATGTTTAAGTCTGCAGAAGTTTCTGCTGCTTTTTGTTCAGCTATGCCCTGCCCCAGAGGTGGAGACTACAGAGGCAGTCAGCCTTGCTGAGCTGTGGTGGGCTCCACCCAGTTCGAGCTTCCACAGCCACTTTATTTACCTACTCAAGCCTCAGCAATGGCGGATGCCCCTCCCCATGCCAGGTTGCTGCCTTGCAGGTCAATCTCAGACTGTTGCACTAGCAGTGAGCAAGGCTCCATGGACATAGGATCTGTCGAGCCAGGCACAGGATATAATCTCCTGGTGTGCCATTTGCTAAGACTTTGGAAAAGCGCAGTATTTGGGCAGGAGTGTCCCGTTTTTCCAGGTACCATCTGTCACGGCTTCCCTTGGCTAGGAAAAGGAAATCCCCTGACTCCTTGCGCTTCCCAGGTGAGGCGATGCCCTGCCCTGCTTCGGCTCACCCTCCGTGGGCTGCACCCACTGTCCAACCAGTCCTAGTAAGATGAACCAGGTACCTCAGTTGGAAATGCAGAAATCATCCGTCTTCTGCGTCGATCACACTGGGAGCTGCAGACCAGAGCTGTTCCTATTTGGCCATCTTGGAACGGAATCCTCAATGAGATATTTTAAGAAGTTAAAAAATATTTGTAAAGAGCATCTGAAAAAAGAAATATGTAATATGTTTAAGAAATTTTTGAAAAAGATCATTGATAAGGGGAAATGTTCTCTTACATATATAAAAACACACAATGACTACACTACTCTGGGTTTCCTGGAAAACACACAAACACACACACACACACACAGACACACACACAAAAGATAAATCAATCAACGAAATAGAAGAGGTATCACAGAAACAGACCCAAGTGTTGAAAAATTGTAACATATGATAAAGATGAATTATAAATTATCAAGAAAATGATACATTGTTGAAGACTGGTGCTGGGACAATCGACAAGCTGAAGAACTGGTAAAAATGGAAAAACTGGGGGAATAAATAGTATCCCACCATAAACCACATACCAAATTAATTCCTGATCAACTAAAGAGCCAAATGTAATAAATGTAAATAAAATAGAGCCAAGAGTAAATAAATCAAAAGCTAGAAGAAAATATAGGTGACATTTAATTTTAAGATGAATAGGAAATTGAAGATAAATAGATTTTACTATAAACTTTTAAAGAATTCTGTACAACAGAAAATCTTAAAATTAACTCAAGTTGGAAAAGTATTAACAAAAACATACTGGACAAAATTACCATCCTTTGTACATATGCATCAATTTTTGTAATGCCCACTAATACTCCAGTTAAAGCAAATAGGGCTAAGTACATAGCCTTTGGAGACAAGTGTTCCAGGACCTGATGCTGGGTGTGTCACTTCTCTATCAGCTGTGTGACTTTGAGCAAGTTACAGTCTTCCCTAAAACTCAGCTTCTTCATCTGTAAAGAGGGATGATAACAATTCCATTTGGGTGGGGATTACATGAGACAATGCATACTGTGTTTGGCTCCATACCTGGCAAAGATGTCCACGTTTTTGCTATCTCTCATCTTACTCATGTCCTCACACCCCTTCTTGGCCAGCTTAAATTCCATGCTTAATCATCATAATCATCTTCCTTGCCCCTTTCTTATCTGCCTTGCTTTTGTGGGAAACTATAAAGCTGGTTAAATCTAACCTCCCTCCTACTTCTTGCTAGCACCTGCATAGCCAAATGTAGATGGAAAATATATTCCATCTGACTGGTTTCACTTTAAACTGACCATCAGTGACTTCAAGAGGATCCTAATTGCCCTGGTTCATTCTCTATCCTGGAAGACCTTCTTTCTCTTCAGAACTCCATCACCTCCTCCCCCATGATCACCCTCAGCTGTGCCTTGGCTTCCTATTTCACCTAGAAAATAGAAGCAATGGAGAGAACCTCTACAAGCAGCATAATCCACCAGCCTAACTCCATCTGTACCCACACCCTCTGTCTTTTCTCCCGTTTCTCCTGAATGGTCTCTCCTCCCCGCTGGAGTGCAGTGGCTCACTGCAACCTCTGCCTCCCAGGTTCAAACGATTCTCATGCCTCAGCCTCCGAAGTAGCTAGGATTACAGGCATGCACCACCATACCCAGCTAATTTTTGTATTTTTAGTAGAGACAGGGTTTTGCCATGTTGGCTAGGCTAGTACTGAACTCCTGGGCTCAAGTGATTGGCCTGCCTCAGCCTCCCAAAGTGCTGGGATTATAGGTGTGAGCCACTGTGCCCGGCCCCAGCCTTATATACTTCTTACCCCTCCCCCACCCCCTACTCCCTTACCAACAGCAGAAAAGTAACATGATGTAATTGAGATAGCCCTGACTACTATGCTGAGAGTAGATTGAAGGGGCGTAGGAGCAGCCTTAATGAAGAAGGATTGGCTGGGGGCTAACAGAATACAGGCAAGAAACTGGATTCTACATATGTTGAAATTATGGCAAAAGACTTTATTGACAGATTGGATGTGGAGTACGAGAGGAAGAGCAGCCAGGAAAATAAAGTTTCCATTTACTGAGTTGGGGAGGACTTCAGGAAGAGCAGATTTGGGATGAAATTAGGAGCACATGTTGCTCTAGCAATTCTCCTGACTCCCCCATCATAAATCTTTTCCCTCTCTACTGGATCTTTCCCATTCAGTATGCAAAGAGGCTGTAAAAGCTCTCTCTTGACCCAGTTTCTGCTGTCAGCTCCTGCCCCATTTCTCCCTGTCCCTTAGCAGTGAAACTCCTTGGAAGATTGCTATATCTACTTGCTACTTTCAACTTTGTTCTTCCAATTTTCACTTGGCCCCACTACAATTAAGCTTTAGCCCTCACCTTTCACCAGAGCACCTCTATCAAGGTCCGCAGTGACCTGCATGTTTCTGAATTCAATAGTCAATTCACAGTCATCATCTTACCTGACCTCTCAAGGCATTTGACAAACTCATTTCTCTTTCATCCTTGAACTGCTTTCTACATGACACTTGCGCCAGGCGTGGTGGCACACACCTGCAGTCCCAGCTACTTGGGAAGCTGAGGCAAGAAAAACACTTGGACCCAGAAGGCAGAGGTTATAGTGAGCCGAGATTGTGTCATTGCACTCCAGCCTGAGTGACAGAGTGAGACTCTGTATCAAAAAAATCAACAAAAATGACACTTGCTTGGTTTTCCTCTTACCTTGTTGGCTGCTCCTTTACCATCTAGTGTGCTGGTTTTTCTTCATCTCCGCTACTGCCCAAAATTGGAGTGCCCAGAACTTAGTCTTCAGTCCTCTTCCTTTTTAAAAAATCCAGTCTCATGATTTAAATATCATCTCTGCACTGATGACCACCAACACATAGAGAGAGTGAACTCCAGGCTCACATAATAACTGCCCACTTGATATCCTCACTTGGATATATAATAGGTGTCTCAAACATAACATGTCAAATTTAACATGTGCTCCTAATTTCATCCCAAATCTGCTCTTCCTGAAGTCCTCCCCAACTCAGTAAATGGAAACTTTATTTTCCTGGCTGCTCTTCCTCTTGTACTCCACATCCAATCTGTCAATAAAATCTTTTGCCATAATTTCAACATATGCAGAATCCAGTTTCTTCCCTGCATTCTGTTAGCCCCCAGCCAATCCTTCTTCATTAAGGCTGCTCCTACGCCCCTTCAATCTACTCTCAGCATAGTAGTCAGGGATATCTCAATCACATCATGTTACTTTTCTGCTCAAAACCTTCCAATCGCTTCCCATCTCAGTCAGATTTTTTGAAAGCCCAAGTCCTTACAATGGTCTATAAGTAGAATGATTACACGTCAGAGTTTGTCCAGCACAGTCCTGGCTTCTCTCCACTGAACTAGTGTTAACTTTTTTTTTTTTTTTTTTTGAGACGGAGTCTCGCTCTGTTGCCAGGCTGGAGTGCAGTGGCATGATCTCAGCTCACTGCAACCTCCGACTCCCTGGTTCAAGCAATTCTCCTGCCTCAGCCTTCTGAGTAGCTGGGATTACAGGCATGTGCCACCATGCCCAGCTAAATTTTTTTTTTTTTTGTATTTTTTAGTAGAGAACGGGGTTTCACCATGTTGGCCAGGATGGTCTCAATCCCCTGACCTCGTGATCTGCCTGCCTCAGCCTCCCAAAGTACTGGGATTACAAGCGTGAGCCACGGCAACCAGCCCTAGTGTTAATGATTAATAACCCTCACCTCCAACTTTCATTCTAGAAGTCTCCTAATTTGGATGACAAATTATATATGGCAATAACCTACAGGTCACATTTGACAGTTTACTTTAAAAGTAAACAGCTTCCAAATTAACCCATCTTGGGAAGGTCTTGTGATTCATGGCGATACCTTGTCCTGAGTAAGGAATCTTAGAAGTTCCTCAAATTGTTGATGTACTGATCAATGCACCACCTACTGACACTGAAAAGGACACTGATTTATTTCTGAGTCATAACATTTTACTGATTGTCTTGCATGTAGACATGTTAGTCTGCATGTTGCAATCTGTAGCCAATTATTGTAACCTTTGTATTGTACCCTCCAGTGAAAAAGGACAACTCCTGTATGAAGAGTCCCCCTCCTGTCTTCTAACTTTCCAACTTGTAACAGACTCCAGAACACTCTCAACTTTGTTGGTGTGTTTTCCTGGGTTCATCCTCACATTTGGCTTCCAATAAACTTTTATCAAATCATTTCTGCCTCAACAGCCTTAATTTCATTTGACAGTGGTCATCCAGTTTATAGGGCCCTACTCTAATCTTCATGCCCTCCTTTAGCTCGCTGACATCATCTCTTATTACTCTCTCCATTGCTTTCTTCATTAAGGCTACCAAGGCTTTGCTATTCTTTGAACATACTAGACATGCTTCTCTATTAGATACTTGTTCCCTCTTCCTAGGAATGCTCTTCCCAGCTATCTACATAGCTTGTTCTCTTACTTCCTTAGTGTCTTGGCCCAAATGCCACCTCCTTAATAAACCCTTATCTGACCACACTATTTAAAATTGTATCCTGTTCTCTCTCTGAACTAACTTTATGCATCCCTGCTTCATTTTTCTCCTGCTTCATTTTTCTCCATGGGACTTATCACTCTCTGACATCCTGACTAATTTACTTCTTTGTTGCATTTATTGTCCTTCTTCCTCCACTAGACTGTAAGTTCCATGAGGAGCACTTCTGTATTCTCAGAAGTTAGAATAGTACTTGGCTGGTCAAATGGTTGTAACCAGAATGCTGATGGTGATATGGAAAGTGAAGGCGTGGCTGATGAGGTCTCAGATGGAAATGAGGAACCTAGAAATGGAGCAAAGGCCACCCTCATTATGGCCTAGCAAAGAACTTGGCTGCACTTTGTTCATGCTGTAAGGATCTGTGGAAGTTTGAACTTCAGAGTGACAACTAGGGTATCTGGCAGAGGAAATTTCTAAGCAGCAAAGTGTTCAAGAAGTTACATGGCTGCATCTAACAGCTTAACTCAGATGTGAGAGCAAAAAAAATGACTTAAAGTTAGAAGTTATATTTAAAGGGGAAGCAGAGTGTAAAACTTTAGAAAATTTGCAGCCTGGCCATGTGATAGAGAAAGCAGAAGCATTTTCAGTAGAGGAATTCAAGCAGGCTGTGGAGCAACCACTTGCTAGAGAAATTTGAATAACTAAAAGAGAGCCAGGTACTAATAGCTAAGACAATGGGAAAAAGGCCTTGAAGGCATTTCAGAGATCTCAGGGGCAGCCCTTGCCATCACAGGCACAGGCCCAGAGACCTAGGAGGAAGAATCATTTCATGGGCTAGGCCTAGGACCCCATGGCTCTGCACAGCCTCCTTAGGACAGTGCTCCCTACATCCAGGCTGTTCCAGCTCCAGCTGTGGCTCAAGGGGCCTCAGGTACAGCTCAGGCTGCTGCTCCAAAGAGCAAAAGCCATATGCTTTGGCAGCTTCCATGTGGTGTTAAGCATGCAGGCATGCAGACTGTAAGAGTGAAGGAGGCTTGGCAGCCTCTACCTAGATTTCAGAGGATGTACAAGAAAGCCAGGGTACCCAGGCAGAAGCCTGCTGTAGGGGTGGAACCCTCACAGAGAACCCCTACTAGGGCAGTTTGGAGGGGAAATGTGGGGTTGAAGGCCCCACACAGTCTCCACTGGGGAACTGCCTGGTGGAGCTGTGAGAAAGGGGTCACCACCCTCCAGACCTGAGAATGGTAGATCCACTGGCAGCTTGCACCCTGTGCCTGGAAAAGCCACAGGCACTCAACTCTAGCCCATAAGAGCAGCTGTGGAGGCTGTACTATGCAAACTACAGGGGCGAAGCTTCCCAAGGCCTTGCGAGCCCACTTCTTGCACCAGTGAGCCCTGGATATGGGACACGGAGTCAAAGAAGATTACTTTGGAGCTTTACAATTTAATAATTGCCCTGCTGGGTTTTGAATTTGCATGGAGCTTGTAGCCCCTTTCTTTTGGCCAATTTCTCTTTTGGAATGGGCATGTTTACCCAATGCCTATACACCCATTGTAACTTGGAAGTATATAGCTTGTTTTTGATTTTATAGGCTCATAGGTGGAAGAGACTTGCCTTGTCTCAGATGAGACTTTGAATTTTGGGCTTTGGAGTTAACATTGGAATGAGTTAAGACTTTGGGGAACTCTTGGGAAGGCATGATTGTATTTTGCAACTTGAGAAGGACATGAGATTTAGGAGGGCCAGGGGCAAAATGACATAGTCTGGATATTTATCCCTGTCCAAATCGCATGTGGAAATGTAATCTCTAATGTTGGAGGTGGGGCCTGCTGGGAGGTGTTTTGGTCATGGGGGCAGATCCCTCATGGCTTGGAGCTGTCCCCACCATAATAAGTGAGTTCTTGAGAAATCTGGTTGTTTAAGGGTGTGGCACCTCCCCCCACCTTGCTCCTGTCTTTACCATGTGACACACCTGCTCCCCCTTCACCTTCCACTGTGAGTAAAAGCTCCCTGAGGCCTCCCTAGAAGCTGAGCAGATGCCTAGTGCCACACTTCCTATACAGCCTGTGAAATCGTGAGTCAATTAAACCTCTTTTCTTAATAAATTACCCAGTCTCAGGTATTTCTTTATAGTAATGCAAGAATGGCCTAACACACACTGGTTCTACAAAAAAAAAAAAAAAAAAAAAAGGAAGAAAAAAATTAATTTAAAAAAATTAGCAGGGTGTGGTAGCATGTGCCTGTAATCCTAACTTCTTGGGAGGCTGAGTTGGGAGGATCCCTTGAGCCCAGGAGTTCGGGGTTGCAGAGTCATGATCATGCCACTGCACTCCAGCCTCGGGCACAGAGTGAGACCCTGTAGCTAAAAATATAAAATAATAAAATAAAACCAGTATATGAGTGTTAATCAAAGAATGAGTGAATAAATGAATGAATAAAGTGAGTTTTTAAAGCGTGAAAAATAGCCAGGTGTGATGGCTTATGCCTGTAACAACAGCACTTTGGGAGGCCAACACAGGAGGATCACCTGAAGCCAGGAGTTTGAGATCAGCCTACCAGCCTGGGCAACAGAGCAAGACTTCATCTCTTTAAAAAAAAAATAAACATATATACGTATGTAATGGCGGGGGGCTGGGGTGGTGGTGGGGAGGCATGAGAAAAAGACCAGAAGAAAGTAGGCTCAGCTGGGCACAGTGGTTCATGCCTGTAATCCCAACACTTTGGGAGGCCAACGTGGGCGGATCACCCAAAGTCAGGAGTTGGAGACCAACCTGGCCAATATGGTGAAACCCCCATCTCTACTAAAAATACAAAAAAATTAGCTGGGCATGGTGGCGTCTGTAGTCCCAGCTACTCAGAAGGCTGAGGCAGGAAAATCACTTGAACCTGGTTGCAGTGAGCCAAGATCACACCACTGCACTACAGCCTGGGCAAAAAGAGCAAAACTGTCTTAAAAAAAAAAAAAGGCCAGGCGCATTGGCTCACACCTGTAATCCTAGCACTTTGGAAGGCTGAGGCGGGCAGATCACATGAGGTCAGGAGTTTGAGACCAGCCTGGCCAACATGGCGAAACCCCATCTCTACTAAAAATACAAAAATTACCAGGGCATGGTGGTGGATGCCTGTAAGCCCAGCTACTTGGGAGGCTGAGGCAGGAGAACTGCTTGAACCTGGGAGGCAGAGGTTGCAGTGAGCCGAAATCATGCCATTGTACTCCAGCCTGGGCAACACAGCAAGACTCCATCTCAAAAAAAGGAAAAAAAGAAAGAACGTAGACTAAGGTATTAACAGTAGGTATGTTTGGATGGTCAGATTATAGATGACTTCTGTTTTATTTTTTCCAGATTTCCATACTTTACAAATGCTTCATATATTACTTTTATAATCATAAAGCAGTTAAAAAATAAAAACTTACTGAGTGTTGACTAAGTGCCAGGTCTTCAGAAGCATAGATGAAGAGCATGAAGAATGCAAATTCATGCATCAGGCTGGGCATGGTGGCTCAAGCCAGTAATCCCAGCCCTTTGGGAGGCCAAGGCAGGTGGATCACTTGAGGTCAGGAGCTCAAGACCATCCTGGCCAACACGGTGAAACCCTGTCTCTACTAAAAAAATACAAAATTTAGCCAGGCATGGTAGCGGGTGCCTGTAATCCCAGCTACTTGAGAGGCTGAGGCAGGAGAATCACTTGAACCAGGGAAGCGGAGGTTGCAGTGAGCCAAGATCACACCACTGCACTCTAGCCCGGGTGACAGAGTGAGACTCTGTCTCAAAAAAAAAAAAAAAAAATTCTTGCATCAGTGGGCTTAGTCTAGCCTGGTTATAAACTCCTGCTTGTGGCCTTAGCAACTTGCCCAGTGCTCCCCTGGGGCTTAGCCCTGTGGAGGCTGAAACCCAGGTCAAAGTCATGTTCTCCAATCCAGAGCTGGGTGTCTCTCTCACTTCCTTTGAGCAGCAATCACCTCTACCCTGATTTAGACCAAGCCAAGCTTGCTATGCTGAGGTAACTTAGCTTATCACCAAGGTTATATTTAACAGACTGCTGAAAGGATTATAAAAAATTATGGGGATTTGAACTATCACCCAATGCCTCCGTCTGTTGACACAGACAAGTTTAAAGCTTGATTTTGTGAACCTTGAGATGATCTTCCTCCAGCACTGCAAATGTAATCCTTCTCATCTAAAACTCCCATTCTAATGCCCTACTGTGCTCCTGCCCCTGCAGAGCCCTCCAGCTCACCCTCCTGCAGTTGTCTTCTCTGTGACTGAGTCCTCTGCAACACATATTCCATTGTAGACATGCAACTCTCCTCTTTCAAGTACATCCCTGGTTGTTCTCTCCATCTCCTTTCCTTGATAGAGATCTGGCTTCTTTCTGAGCACTCCACTAGCCTCATGGCTCTGTCTCTCAAAGGAAGGCTACTCATTTTGCACTATCCATGATCCTGGAAGACAAGAGCTGAGCAGGCTCTCAGCATTCTCCTTGCTTCCCACTGCCATTTCTAAATCATAACTCCTTCACCTTCACATACATAAAAGACCTGCTCAGGTTTGTGCTGTGCCCTCCTGGTTGCTGTTACCAACATCTGCCTGGTTGGTTATCCACATTCTGTGAGCTCTCTGACACCCAGCCCAAGGTGCTGGTGACTTTTGTGCTCAGGAAGATGAGTAGTGCTACACCTTAGCCTCGCAGTACTTGACCTTCACCTATACTTCACACTCTTGCTGCTGAGGACACACCCTGGGCCTCTCATCAGTCACAACAGCTCCATCTCACTCTAGGACCTTTGTTTTCCTCCCAACTCTTCAGCTCTCACCTGATATCATTTCCTTTCCCTTTCAGTTTATACCTTGTGATCCCTCCAGCCCATTCATACTCTTGCCACTACCCCAGTCCTTTTGTTTACTAGTCTTGCAAAGGCTAAGCTCACAATAAGTCAAACCATTTTACTCTTCACTCTCAATCCAGGATGCTGACTTAAGATACAAGAAAGAAGGGGGGCTGTTGATGGGTGCAAGGAAACATGGGTTGAGAGAGTAACAAGTGGGCTGAGGGTCCAATTGTGATTGGAAATGTAAATGTGTCAAGACACCAACTCACATGGTTGTGTGATTTCCTCCAGTGACCCAGGGTAGGAGTACAGTGACCAAATGGTTGGATTTAGGGCCTTGCAGTAGAGGTGAATGGAATGATAAGACAACGAAGGAACTGAGATAGACGGAAGCAAAGGGCCATAGTAGTATCTAAATTGAAGAGGAAAGGGAGTAAAAGCATAACTTCTGTTGGGCCTAGTATGTACACTGTATCCATCTACTTTCTTTTTCTTTATTTGGGGTATATGAGAACCTGGCACAGTGTTAATAAGACCCAAGTGTTCAGAAGAGAATGCAAGCCAGGCTAATGAAGGTGGCAGGAATAGCACCATCTCTCCTGGACCATTCACCACACACAAATGTGACTGCGGTGACATGGAGATCTAAAATGATCTAATGCAGCCAGTTGGTAAGGGCTCAAGGCTAGATTTCATCTTTCAGGGTAATGAGATGTAGCATCAGTAATTGAGAGTGCAGGCTTGAAGGCAGGGGGCTACAATCCAAGAACACCAGGGGATTCCTGAAACCTCAGATAGTACTGAACACTATATATACTAGGTTTTTTCCTATACATACATACATACGTACCTAAGATAAAATTTAATTTATAAATTATGCAGAATAAGAGACTAACAATAGCTAATAAAATAGAATGATTATAACAATATGCTGTAATAGAAGTCATGCAAATGTGCATCTCTCTCTCAAAATATTTTATTGTACTGTACTCACCTATTTGGTTTACCCAGTTGGCCGTAGATAACTGAAACTGCAGAAAAAAAAAAAAACTGTGGATAAGGGGGTATTAGAGTTTTCCAAAGAAACCCAACTAATAGGATTACAGATATAGGTATAGATCAATAGGAGGAGATTTACTATATGAACTGGCTCATATGATTACAGAGGCTAAGAAGTCCCATGACATGCTATCTGCAAGCTGGAGAACCAGGAAAGGTGATGGTGTAATTCAGTCCAAGTCTGAAAGACTGAGGGGAAAAGGGTAAGGTGTAAGTCCCAGAGTCGGGAGATCCAAGAACATGGAGCTCTGATTTCCTGAAGGCAGGAGAAAATGGATGTCCCAGCTCAAGAAGAGAGAGAATGAGAGAATTTGCCCTTCCTATGCCTTAAAAAAAAATTTTTTTTTTTTTGAGACGGAGTCTTGATCTGTCGCCCAGGCTGGAGTGCAGTGGTGCAATCTCCACTCATTGCAACCTCCGCCTCCGGGGTTCACTCCATTCTCCTGCCTCAGCCTCCTGAGTAGCGGGTACTACAGGTGCCCACCACAACGCCCGGCTAATTTTTTGTATTTTTGGTAGAGACGGGGTTTCACCATGTTAGCCAGGATGGTCTCGATCTCCTGACCTCATGATCCGCCTGCCTCGGCCTCCCAAAGTGCTGGGATTACAGGCATGAGCCACTGCACCCAGCCAAAAAAAATTTTTTTAAAGAGAAAGGTCTTGCTATGTTGCCCTGGCTGGCCTCAAACTCCTGGGCCCCAGCATCTTCCTGCCGCAGCCTTCCAAGAAGCTGGAACTATAGGCACATCCTCTGACTTTTTGTTCTGTGTGAGCAGGAGTCCTCAGTGAATTGGATGATGCCTGCCCACATTGGTGAGGGCGGACCTTATTTGCTCCGTCTACTGATTCAAATGCTTGTGAACCTCTCCGAACACATCCTCACAGACACAGACACAGACACAAATAATGTTTTACTTGCTATCTCATAAAATTAACCATCATGCAGACAGACCAGACCTCTAATATGGACCTACCACATGCTAACTATAGCAACTGGGTAAATTACTTTACTTCTCTTTTGTTTCTTTGCCTGTAAAGTGAAGACAAGAATATCAATCGCGTAAAGCTATTGTGAGGATGAAATGAGGTCATGTACTATTGTTAGTATTATTCTTGTAATAATACAATAGCAGAGCAAATTGATACTTGCCCAGGACCTCCTAATTTCTGCCTTAACCTGGCATCTAGCTTAGAACACATTAACATAGTTAATAACTTATATTATCCAAATTTAACTCAGCCAAGACCTCCTGATCTCCTTCGATGGAATTTTACTCTAAGATGACTGTATTCCCTAGGGAAACCTATGTGTTCCTATATGACTTCTCTCCTGGGTGATTCTGTCCAGACCCATGGCCTTAAATACCATCTATATGTGAATGATTCCCTAATTTATATCTCATTCTGATCTCTTTTATGACCTTCAGACTCATATATCCAGCCGTCTATTTGACATTTTGACTTGGATGTCTAATAGACATCCCAAAATTGCATTTAAAATAAAACTCTTGCACAGGCAACAAAAGAAAAAATAGAAAAATTGGGCTACATCAAAAATGTAAAACTTCTGTGCGTAAAAGGATATAATCAATAGTGAAAAGGCATAGAATGGGAGAAAATATTTGCAAATCATGTATCTGATAAGTGGTTCATATCCCAAATATGTAAAGAACTCCTACAATTCAACAACAACAAAAAAAAAACCTGATTTTAAAATGGGCAAAAGAGTTGAGTAGACATTTCTCCAAAGAAAATATATAAATTGCCAATAAGCACATGAAAAGATGCTCAACATAATTAATAATTAGGGAAATGCAAATAAAACCACAATGAAATACCACTTTATACCCATTAGGATAGCTTCTGTAAAAAAACAAAAACAAACAAAACAACAACAACAGCAAAACCACAGAAAATAACAAGTATTGGCGAGGACGTGGAGAAACTGGAACTCTTGTGCACTGTTGGTGGGAATGTAAAATGGTACAGCTACCGGGGAAAACAGTATGGCAATTCCTTAAAAAAATTAAACATAGAATTACCACATGATCCAGCAATTCCACTTCTGGGTATATACCCAAAGAATTAAAAGCAAGTACTCAAATAGATACTTGTACATACATGTTCACAGCAGCATTAGTCACAACAGGCAAAAGATGGAAGCAACCCAAGTGTCCATCAGTGGATGAATGGGTAAACAAAATGTAGTATACATATATAATGGCATATTATTCAGTCTTAAAAAGGAAGGAAATTCTGACATATGCTACAACATGGATGAACCTTGAAGACATTATGCTAAGTGACAATAAAAGCGAGTCACAAAAGGACAAATACTATGTGATTCCACTTATGAGAGTGGTCAAATTCATAGAGACTTCTGTATTATAGAAGGGTTTTCGGGGCTAGGGTAAGGAGGGGAGTGGGGAGTTAGTGTTTAATAGGTACAGAGTTTCAATTTTGCAAGATGAAAAGAGTTCTCTACAGATGGATGATGGTGATGGTTGCACAATGTGAATGTACTTAATGCCCTTAAGAGTGGTTAAAATGGTAAATTTTATGTTATGTGTATTTCACCACAATTTTTAAAAAGCAAAAAATAAAAATAAAAAACTCTTAATTTCCCAAACCCCCACCCCATCAAATCTCCCCATTTCAAAAACAAACATGAAAAGCTATAAAGTTGCTCAGGCTAAAAATCCAGGAGTCATCCTTAATTTCCTTCCCTCATGCCCACATCCAATAGTAAATCATGTCACCTTTTTCCTCCAAAAATATTCTGAATTCATCCATTTATCTCTTCCACAGTTACCACTCTAGTTCAGGCCATCATAAGCTCTTGCCTATAATGCTGCAATGCTTTCTAATCAGTCAACCTGCTTTCATTCTTGTCCTCTACAGTCCCTTCTCTATATAGCAGCCAGAATGTTCCTTTTATGCTAGAAGTAAGACCTTATGCTTTTCTCTGCCTGAAAATACTCTGATAGGCCAGGCACGGTGGCCCACACCTATAATCCTAGCACTTTGGGAGGCCAAAGTGGGCAGCATTCAAGACCAGCCTGGGCAACATGGCAAAATCCCATCTCTACAAAAAATACAAAAATTAGCCAGGTGTGGTGCGTGTAGTCCTAGCTTCTGGGGAAGATGAGGTGTGAGGATCACTTAAGCCCAGGAGGCAGAAGTTGCAGAGAGTCAAGATCATGCCACTGCACTCCAGCCTGGGTGACAGTGAGACCCTGTCTCAAAAAAGAAAAAATATTCTGGTAGTGTTCCATCTAGAATAAAATCCAAACTCCTTGCCACTATCTACAAGGCACTAGACAATTTGGCTTCCATAAAAACTGGCCTCCTGCCAATGTCTCTGACTTATGTTCCAACATTACTCACTTTGATCACTATGTTCTAGTCACGCTGGTCTTCTCTCCGTTACTTAGTCACCCCGAGCACATCCCTTACCTCACAGTCTTTGTACTTGCTGCTCTTCTGCTTAGTACACCTGCTTCCCAGATCTTCACATGACAGATTCCTTCTCGTCCTTTGCCTCTCAGCTCAGATATCACTTTCTCAGAAACATGTTCACTTACCATTCATCTAAAGCAGCTACCCAATGACTGTCATTCTATACCATTACTCTCTTTTCTTTCACCTTGGCAATTACCACTACTTGAAGTTTGTATTTATTTGTACAAGTTTATTGTCAGCCTCTCCATCCTCCAAGTAAAATACGAGCTCCATGAAAACAGATAGCTTGTTTCTTTCCTCAGTTCCCAGAACTCGGAACAGTGTTTGGCACACATCAGTCTATTCATATGTTTGCCAAATGAACGAAGAAGTAAAAACCACTAGTGACCCAATTTTCCTGCCATGTCATATATATACATAAAAGTCTTTTGGGAAAACTCATATTTCTATATTGGCCCTCACTAATGTCTTTTCCATCTATTCTAGAATGCAATAACCAGTCTTTAAAATGCAAGCAGAATATTTCACATTTCATTTTTGCAGGTATCTCTGAGGGGAATGAATTTACATTTCTACTACCACAAATAGGATGGTCAAGTTTGTTGCAATGCAAAATTTTTTCTGTGGAATTCAAAAACTGTCCTGTACCTCTTGAAGCCGAATTGTGGGGTTTCACATTGGAAATTACACTCATCTAAAGAAACAGTCTGGACATTTAAGTCCTTAAACAGTTGTTCAAAGTATTTTATTACATACTTTTTCTAGTCTTCAGAATGTTTCAAGGTCCATTGTCTTCATGGCTAGTTACCTGTCTGTCCAGGCCAAACAAACTGGAGTTAAAATGCAGAATCACATAACAGCAGAAATGTGATTTCTCATTCTATTGTGCAATCCAACAGAATTGTGCCAAGTCTTGCTAGGCTGACGCTGCTCTACTCTGCCCAAATGCCAATATGCATTGGGGTGATGACATCCCACTTGGGATATTGTCTGATGACACAGACAGACTTCTCTGTTTCTCCACTCTTGGGTCATATAATTCAATGTTCTGGGGCTGAGGCAAATAATGTCTTACAGTGATTTTGGCAAGAAAAAAACAGCTATTTCAGATTTTGTTCAAGTTCCCCTAGTCATGTCAGACCCCATTGACTTCAGTAGGGATGGCACCATGTTCAAGAGGCTGAAGAAGAGACCTAGAACCAGAAACTGAGACATAAGGTTTATTGAGGGGACTTACAATACAGGGCAGTCCAGTGGCAGTGGGCTGGGCAGGAGAACCAAAACTCCTTGTAAAAAGCATGCAATTGGCCAGGCGTGGTGGCTCATACCTGTAATCCCAGCGCTTTGGGAGGCTGAGGCAGGTGGATCACCTGAAGTCAGGAGTTTGAGACCAGGCTGACCAACATGGGGAAACCCTGACTCTACTAAATACAAAAAATTAGCCGGGCCTGGTGGTGGGCACCTGTAATCCCAGCTACTTGGGAGGCTGAGACAGCAGAATCACTTGAACCCAGGAGGCGGAGGTTGCAGTGAGCCGAGATTGCACCATTGCACTCCAGCCTGGGCAACAAGAGCAAAAACTCTGTCTCAAAAAAACAAAAACAAACAAAAAACACCATGCAGTTTATATAACATTTTTACTTAACACCTTTCCCCTAGCAACCTCCACCAGGCAACCTTCATTTAACCTAAAACAAAGGGCTTTGATCGCCTCGTAGGGCCTGCATTCTACAGGATGGGCTGGGGGTGGGAGCAGTTCAGAAGTTCGTCATAGATAAGAAATGAAATATCTGGGTTGGCCACTCCCAGATTCCTTAGCTTGGAGCTCTGAACACACATTCTTCTTAGACCATAGGGTCATTCTTCAGGTATGCATAAGTTATTGCTGCCAAGTGCATCTGTCGGGTGCATCTGCCATACACCCCTTACCAGAAGCGTCCAAACACGGATTTGAGGGATCTACAGCAGACACTGGACAGATGCTCTGAATCATTCTCTACTCTGATGCTGAAGCTATAATATTGGACTAAGCTTGGGCCTTCTACTCTTTTCTTTCTTTCTTTTTTTTTTTTTTGAGACGGAGTCTTACTCTGTTGCCCAGGCTGGAGTGCAGTGGCGCGATCTCGGCTCACTGCAACCTCCACCTCCCAGGCTCAGGCAATCCTCTCACCTCAGCCTCCTGAGTAGCCGGGACTACAGGCGCGTGCCACAATTGGCTAATTTTTGTATTTTTAGTAGAGACAGGGTTTCACCATGTTCCTTAGGCTGGTCTCAAACTCCTGACCTCAGGTGATCCACCCTCCTCAGCCTCCCAAAATGCTGGGATTACAAGTATGAGCCACCGCACCCAGCCTATTCTTTTCTTAAAGGAGGAGGCCTTCCCTTCCTCAGGCAAGTAATTGCTGACTACTCCAGCCTACATAACGTCCAGACATATCCAAATCTGTGGAGAACACAAAGTTCTTAAGGTATTTATTTAGAGTCAATAATCAAAGTAAAACTAATAATTATAGCTAATATTTAGTTTGTAGTTAATATATGCTAGGAGCTCGAGCTAAGCACTACCATCCCAGGAAACTGAGGCTTAAAACACTTTTAAAATTTGCTCAAGCTCACAAGCTTGGAATTGAAGAAGAAAGCAATTGAATATTGGTCTTTCTTCTATCATACATCCAGAGGCTCTGCACTTAATCAATACAACATACTGTCTCTTATTGCACAAGTAACTACAAGGTTCATCTGTAAAATTCTATTCTGTAGAATAGAAGGGAAAACAAATTAAGGAATTACAGATGTTTATTCTTCTGAGCTTTAATTTAACGTATTGTTTGATTCAAATAATTTATATATTAGCTATCTATTGCCACATAACATAATACCTCAAAATTTACCATTTTAAAACAACCAACATTCATTATTTCTCAGAGTTTCTGAGGATCAGGAATCTGGGAGCCACTTAACTGAGTGGTTCTGGTCCAGAAGACTCTCATGAAGTTGCAGTCAAGCTGTCAGTAGTCATCTCGACACCCAACTGATGCTGAAGGAGCTACTTCCAAGCTCACTCAAGGTTGTTGGTGGGCCTCAGTTCCTCATTAAATGTTGGCTAGAGACTTCATTCCTTGACATCACATGGACCCCTCAAAGGGCTGCTTATAACATGACAGCTTGCTTGTCTCTGAGCAAGAGAAAGGGAAAAGAACACCCATGATGGACATCTTTTATAATGTAATTACCCAAGTGATATAAGTATCATCACTAATGCTGTATGCTTTTGGTCACATAGACCAATCCTGGTACAGGGATCATTCATTGGGTGCCATCTTGGAGGCAAGCTACCACATCTGCCAGGGTATGAATGCATTTAATCTAAAGTTCTAGCCCTGAACTGTAGGGTTATCTACCATATAAATCAGTTTTACATTTTTTAATATGTAAAATAGGAACATCCCAATTCAGAATATTGCAGGATAAAGGGCCTCAGGTAACTGATTAAGATTCTAAGCTCTCTTTCTCTTTTAAAAGATGAAATTTAAGGCTGGGTATGGTGGCTCCTACCTATAATCCCAGTACTTTGGGAGGCCAAGACGGGGGGATCACTTGAGGTCAGGAATTTGAGACCAGCTTGGCCAAAATGGCAAAACCCTGTCTCTACCAAAAATACAAAAAAAATAGCTGGGTGTAGCGGCGCGTGGCTGTAGTCCCAGGCACTTGGAAGGCTCAGGTGGGAGGATTGCTTGAGCCCAGGAGGTTGAGGCTGCAGTGAGCCAAGACCACCTCACTGCACTCCAGCCTGGGTGACAGAAGGAGACCCTGTCTCAAAAAAAAAATGCAATTTAAATAGTAATGGCATTCAGATAGTAATCACAGTGCACCTGGAACTGGACGGCACCATCTTAGGTTGCTCTCTGCTTTGCGCATGTGGACAAGCCATCTATGACAAATAGTTTCTTTTCTTCCTAAGGATATGCAGCTTCTTTTGTAGTATACTGCATTGTTTTCAGTCCCTTTCAGGAATGTTATCTGATGCCCAACTGATATTTCTCAAATGTTAAAATAAGACTTCTTCATCTTGTTTGGTCTGGACAGAGGTCAACATTCTTCTCATAAAAGCTTTCATTTCTTTTGAAGCATTAAAATAATATTTTAGCACACAAAAAAGGAGTTTATTTTCAAGAAGCTTTGCTTTCTTTTTCAGTTAGTTCTAGATAAGAACTATAACTTCACATAAGATGTTAGAAGGATTTAAGTACATTGCTGAAGGTATAACCATCCATCTTCAGGAAGTAAGAATAGTGAATAGTAAGTATAAAGAAACAAACAAGTCCTGTGATAACATCTTTATCATAATTTTTTTAAGTCTATTATGCTTTATGCAAATGTTTAGATTTCCTTGTTAAAAATCTGCTGGCCAGGTTAGGTTCCCTTTCTGTAGCTTTATTTTCAACTCATAATATAGTGACTATTAAATATTCTTTACTCAACACATTATATTGTAAAAATATACACTTAGTTCTGTTTCTATCACTAAGCCACTACTATTTTAAAAAGGAATATCTTGCATTGTTAAGTTTAGCAGCCCAAATTCTTAAAGGCCTTAGGAATGGTGCTGTCCAATAAGATAACCAATAGCTACATGTGGCTACTGAGCACTTAAAAAATGAGTCTGGCCAGGCATAGTGGCTCACGTCTGTAATTCAGCATTTTGGGAGGCTGAGGTGGGAGGATTGCTTAAACCCAGGAGTCTGAGACCAGCCTGGGCAACACAGGGATGCCTTGTCTCTGTAAAATAAAAAAAATAAAAAAATTAGCTGGGCACGGTGGCATGTGCCTGTAGTCCTAGCTACTCAGCAGGCTGAGGCAGGAGGCCCACTTAAGCTTAGGAGTTCAGGGCTGCGGTGAGCTATGATTGTGCCACTGCACTCTAGCCTGGGTGACACAGTGGGACCGTGTCTCCAATAAATAAATGAATAAATAAATATTAAAAAATAAAAAGTGTGGCTAGTCCAAATTGAAATGTGCTGTAAAATACACACTGGATTCCTTTTTTTTTTTTTTTCAAATCCTGAGAACCTGTGAAACACACTGAATTCTTAAGATTTAGTATGAGGAGGGGAAAAAAAGATCAATGATTTACATATAACAATGTAAAATATCAATAATTTCTATATTGATTATATGATGAAATGATCATGTTCTGGATATACTTGATTAAATATACCATTAAAGTTAATTTCATCTTTTATTTTTACTTTTTAAATATGCAGCATTGCCCAATAAAATACAGGACAACCAGTTACATTTTTATTTTATATATTCCTGCTTGGGACATAATATTTAAAAATTATTCATTCTATATCTGAAATTCAAATTTAACTAGGAGTCCTATATTTTTATTTGCTAAATCTGGCAATTTTATTAATATGGCTACTAGAAAAGTTAACATAACAAATGTAGCTCCTTATCCTATGGAACATTGCTGCTTTAGAATCACCTCGCTGCTTTTTTTTTTTTTCCAGTTAGCTTCTGAATAAACTCTGCACGGAAATAACTAATCTGTGGGGAATATTTAACCCTAGGCTAGGATCGTTAATCGTGAAGTTAAATTTTTACATCTGCATGAACAAAATGGCTTGTTACAGACGAAAATGTGGAAAGGGCATCTGGACTAGAATGAAAAGTCATAGCTCCCAGCCTCTCTACTAGGGTAGTTAACAGTCCCAGGTTCAAAATAATCCCCGTCCCTCTTATAAGATTAGGCGGTGTCAAGAGCAACTATCTGTGAGACCCTGGGCCAGTGACTTTCTCCTTACCTCCGCCCCCAAGTAGGCCTTGCAAAAAGCTGGGAGGGGTGCGTTTTCAACACTGGAGCTTCGCGGCCGCTCTCCCACTCGCTCCCCGCCCGGCGCTAGAGGAGCGAGTTCGGACTCGGACCCCAAGGCCTCGAGTCCCGCTGCCTTCCTAAGCCGAGCCCGGGCTACCTCGGTCGTCCCCAGCAGGCTTGGCTGGCAGAGGCCGGGCCTCGCCAGGTCCCCAGGACAGGCCCCGCCCGGGCCTCAGGTGCACTCCCGGCCCGCCCCGCGCCCTCGCGTCCCGCCCCAGCTCCGCCTTCGCCGGCGCCGCTCTGCCTGCCAGCGGGGCGCGCCTTGCGGCCCAGGCCCGCAACCTTCCCTGGTCGTGCGCCCTATGTAAGGCCAGCCGCGGCAGGACCAAGGCGGCGGTGTCAGCTCGCGAGCCTACCCTCCGCGGACGGTCTTGGGTCGCCTGCTGCCTGGCTTGCCTGGTCGGCGGCGGGTGCCCCGCGCGCACGCGCAAAGCCCGCCGCGTTCCCCGACCCCAGGCCGCGCTCTGTGGGCCTCTGAGGGCGGCATGCGGGACTACGACGAGGTGACCGCCTTCCTGGGCGAGTGGGGGCCCTTCCAGCGCCTCATCTTCTTCCTGCTCAGCGCCAGCATCATCCCCAATGGCTTCACCGGCCTGTCCTCCGTGTTCCTGATAGCGACCCCGGAGCACCGCTGCCGGGTGCCGGACGCCGCGAACCTGAGCAGCGCCTGGCGCAACCACACTGTCCCACTGCGGCTGCGGGACGGCCGCGAGGTGCCCCACAGCTGCCGCCGCTACCGGCTCGCCACCATCGCCAACTTCTCGGCGCTTGGGCTGGAGCCGGGGCGCGACGTGGACCTGGGGCAGCTGGAGCAGGAGAGCTGTCTGGATGGCTGGGAGTTCAGTCAGGACGTCTACCTGTCCACCATTGTGACCGAGGTGGGTGCCGGCCCCTGCTGGGGCTGAGACCAGGGCTCGGAGGACCTGTCGCGGTCCTTGAACCCGAGCTCCTCTCTCCCAGATGCGCACTGGACGCTGTCACTCCCCCTCCCCCAACGGTCAACACCCTAGCGATGGAGACCCTCCAGCCAGGTGGCTTGGGAACGCTTCACGAGGTGACCTCCAGCCACAGTGTGCTCCTCCCTGCACAGGTGGTCAGTCTGGCCTCCCGTCCTGATGGCCACTTTGAAGAGGGTACCAGGAAGGTCCTGGCGGTCCCTGGGCGATGCTCTATGGCCCTGTGTGTCCAGGACTTACTCTAGTTGGGGTTGGGGGTGGTAAGTAGCAGAGCCAGGACTTGGGCCAGGGGCTATCCCGTTTTTCCTCTAGTCTCTTGATTTCTTTTTAGAAGAGAAGAAATACTTCTCTTTCCTGAACTTTTAAAAGTTAAATAAAGCATGTGTATACAACTGCCTCTTCCCTTTTTCCTCTAGTTACTCCTTCCCCTACCGTCCACAACCCAAAAACGACAATCTGGTCATGCCCTGTAAGTAATTGTTTGCCTTTTCCCATGGTCAGTTGTCAGTCTTTTTTTTTTTTGAGACAGAGTCTCCCTCTGTCACCAGGCTGGAGCGCAGTCGTGTGTTCTTGGCTCACTGCAACCTTCGCAGTCGTGCGTTCTTGGCTCACTGCAATCTTCGCCTTCCGGGCTCAAGTGATTCTCCTGCCTCAGTCTCCGAGTAGCTGTGAGCCACGACGCCCAGCTAATTTTTGTGTTTTTAGTAGAGACGGGGTTTCACCGTGTTGGCCAGGATGGTCTCGATCTCTTGACCTCGTGATCTGCCTGCTTCTGCCTCCAAAGCTGGGATTACAACCGTGAGCCACCACGCCAGGCCGTCAGTTGTCACTCTTTAAGATCCATTCATCTGAAGATGGGTTCAGGGTGACTTGTTGACCTGGAATATTTTCTCAGGTATTATGAGGCAAGGCTGTCGGCCAGATTTAGTTAAAGCATACAGCCTTAGGTCATAGGGTGTAGGGGAGCCTTTCTCATTTCTCATCCCCTTGGATTTTCCCTCTGGGTGGTTTTGTCTGTCCCCTCCGAACCTGTTGGAGCAGTTGTTGGAGCTGGATGTAGGAACATGATGTTAATGATGTATGTGTTTTGTGTCTTTTTTAGACACTGGCACTCTAGCTCCCTGAAGTTTCAGCAGCATTGAGTAAGTAGCCAGTGAATAGCCCTCATTGATAGATAGGCTCACTAAATGTGCAGATGACCAATTCGCAGGTTAGAGAAGGCTTCCCAGAAGAGGAGGCCTCTCCGTGAGCCTAGGGTGTTCAGCTCAGCATAATAGTGAGCTGAAGGCCCCAGTGCAGCAGCAAGAAACCACCCAGCAGGACGGCGGAGTTCACAGAGAGGGGAGAGTTCATAGAGAGGGAGAGTGCCACAGGCCCTGGCACAGCTTCAAGCCCTGCTGGATGTTGGTGCTGAGCCTCCCCTCCTGGAGCCTCAGAGGGGCTTACAGGGGCTCTGGAGATCCCAACTGTGTTGCTTCTTGGCGTCATCACCCTTCAATGGAGTCTGAGAGCTACCCTGGGAGATCCAAGTGTGTGTGCATGTGTGTGTTTTTTCTTTTTGGAAATTTGATGTCCCCAGCATTTGGACCTGCTTTCTCCACATATATGTAGTGGGAGTGTGACCGGAGCCCCACTGGGATTTCTTAGCTAGTGACATAGCTTCAGTGTCCAGAGGCATCATGGCTTGACAAAAGAGGCACTCCTTGGAGGTAGCCAACTGTGCTTTCTGGCCCATGAATCCACAGGAAATTGGAACCTTCAGTTGCCACAAATCCTGGGTCCTAGCCTCACAGGTGGGTGTGTTACCTTCCCGGAAGCCAGTGAGTACTATGAAAGCAGAGGCTGTCCCTGAGGTTGCAGGCAGAGGCCACAGAGGGGAACATGACACAGGAATCCCTACAAATTCTACTTGGGGCTGCCTAAAGAAGAGGGAAGTAGTGAAGCAAGAAGAAGCACATGGCATCTCTTGGAGTTTTACATTGACCCCTGAGGGTTCCCCGGCTTACTCTAGTCACTTGTTCCTGCTTTGCTGCCTCCATCCCACATTGGGCTGAGTGATGGTGGCATTGATGAGCTCCCAAAGGCCAGCTGTGCCAGGGGGTCTGACCTTATCTTGCTGCCAATGTCAGCCTTTTGTTTTTTAATATTTAGACTATTTATTTAGCTGTCTTAGCAGTTTCAAAGGAGTTATGTGCCCTTTCACCTACTTATATGTTGTCAGTCTTTGCAGGGAGGCCAGATTAATGCTTAGATCTTTGTTTTGGGCTACTGGAATGCTTGACTTGAAGTTCAGAGCTGCTTGTTCCCAGGTGAACAGCTACTGCTGGAAGTTGCTGCATCAACATTCTAATGGCTTTTTCTATGGCCTGTTGTCTTTCAACCCAAACCTGGCCTGCTGACCACTGCATCTAGTCCCATGCCTGCTAAATGTCTCTAAGCCTGCCCTCTGCCCCAAATCATACATAAAGGTGTTTGTAAGTACACTGGTATTGAATTACTAGTCATATTTTTTCCACTGAAGACTGGAACCTCAGGTGTCCTGTTTGGATTTTTTTAATTTGTTCAAGTTAAAGTACATACATGTAGTACCAAACTTTGTGGTGGATTTAGATCTTTGCGTCTTCCTCAATTTCTGACACAATTCTGGATGCAGAGGGAGGTTCTCAGGAAAATTTTTATTGAATGAGTTAATGAATAATTTAAGAAATCATCTCTAAAGTTTGAGAACTAAAGAAAAATAGTTCAGTTCTTAGAAGGGAAACTTGAGGGTGGCTGAAAAGGATTGACTGGAATTTTTTAAAGGAAATGTGACTCCCCCTGCCCACTGACTGGGGCTTTGATGCCACATGGATGTGGAATGAGGTGTTGGGATTGGCAGAGGGAATCTGCTAGCAATTAATAAATAAATATTGGCAGGGCGTGGTGGCTCACGCCTGTAATCCCAGCACTTTGGGAAGCCAAGGCAGCAGGTCACTTGAGGTCGGGAGTTCAAGACCAGTCTGGCCAACATGGTGAAACTCCATCTCTACTAAAAATACAAAAATTAGCTGGGTGTGGTGGCACATGCCTGTATTCCCAGCTACTTGGGAGACTGAAGCAGGAGAATCGCTTGAACCCAGGAGGCGGGCTTTGCAGTGAACCGAGATCGAGCCTCTGCACTCTAGCCTGGGCGACAAAGCGAGACTCCATCTCAAAAGAATAATAATAATATTAATAAATAAAAATGATTTATGAGGTAAAAGAGTTTTATGCCCCCATGTTCCAGGAATAGTTTGGTGGTCCACATGGTTCTCGGCTGGCCTCTCCTCTGGCCCCTCAGTCATCCCTGGGGTACTGGGGAATTAGCCAACCCATCATGCAGTGCTTCTTGGCCATGGACTGCCCCATCTGCTGGAAACCTGGGTTGTTTCTGAGGTTGTCTGGGCTGTCCGCTCTTTGGTTTCACCATAGCTCTGTCCAGCCTATGGACAGACAGGTTCCTTGAGAAACTTCCGGCTGGGTGTGGTGGCTCATGCCTGTAAACCCAGCACTTTGGGAGGCTGAGGCAGGTGGATCACAAGGCAGGAGTTCGAGACCAGCCTGGCCAACATGGTGAAACCTCGTATCCGCTAAAAATACAAAAATTAGCCCTGCGTGGTGGTGGGTGCCTGTAATCCCAGCTACTCGGGAGGGAGGCTGAGGCAGGAGAATTTCTTGAACCTGGGAAGTGGGGGTTGCAGTAGCCAAGATCGCACCATTGCATGCCAGCCTGGGTGACAAGAGCAAGACTCCGTCTCAAAAAAAAAAAAGAAAAAGAAAAGAAACTTCCAAGCTGCTCTGCATCGCCTTGCTCTCCACCTGTCTGCTTCTAAGAAGCCCTCGGCCCAGTCCTGGGTGGGACTCCCACTCCCTCCCCATTGTCCTGGACTAGCTTTTCTATCAGCCTTATCTTGTGTAGAGACAGATAGTCTTAGAAGATGGGAGAGCCCTCACTGTTATCCCCAAAGCTGCCTGGAGGAAAAGCCAGAGCAACCTGGGAGCTGGGACCGGGGCTGACTCTGGGCAGCAGAGACCCGAGAGACCTGGAGCTTGAACCTCACTGTTACGCCTTTGTTGATTTCTCTCACTCAGGGGACACACAGACCCTCATCCAGCCTTTTGCAGCTATATGGCAAGGCAGAGAAGCCACTTGCGGGGTCCCGTGGCCCACTATGCACGTACATAGTAGACACATCTGGCCATGAGTGGTCAGATTGAGCCACTCTCTAGCTAGCTGACACCTGTAATCCTGGGTCAAATTTCTGACAGTTGACACAAAGCAGGGGGTCAGGGAGCCAAAAAAAAAAAAAATGGCCAGGTGTGGTGGCTCTTGCCTGTAATCCCAGGGCTTTGGGAGGCCAAGGTGGGCAGATAACCTGAGGTCAGAGTTCAAGACCAGCCTGGTCAACATGGCAAAACCCCGTCTCTACTAAAAATACAAAAATTAGCCAGGCTGGTGGTGCATCCCTGTAGTCCCAGCCACTCAGGAGGCTGAGGCATGAGAATCACTTGAACCCAGGAGGTGGAGGTTGCAGTGAGCCGAGATTGTGCCACTGCACTCCAGCCTGGGAGACAGAGCAAGACTCTGTTTCAAAAGAAAAAAAAGAGTATTCTGGAGATTGAAGTTCAGGAGTTCAGGGTTCATCTCGACTTTGGGCAGCCAAGCAAGAACTAAAGTATACCAAGATGTTGAAGGTTGATACCTTTTTATTTATCGATTCATTCACTCACCTATGTACCAAAGAGCTCCTGAGCCTCTCTTCTATACAGGGGGCACTGCCAGGAGTTGTAGAGGATGTGATAGCAAAGATAGGAAATACCTTTTCTCTTTGCTCTGACAACGGTGGGGCAAGGATTCATCATTGATTTCAGCAGGAGGCAGGATAAAATGTGTGTAGGAATATAGGAATACATGGCAATCAGTAACATGTGGTACCTAGCAGCATGTCTGACTGTTGATACGGTCAGGCTAGGTACATCCCCTCAGGGAAGAACTTCTGTCTTAGGGGCACACACCCTATCTTTTTTCCCTTCCTGCCAATTCACAGGTAAGAACATTTAGTCCCAGGGAACTATGTCATCTCTCTACTTCTCATAACTGAAAAAGCAGTGCCAATTATGTATGAGGTATAGGAGACACAATTCTCCCTCTTTTTAAAAATGTTTAATAGCTTTATTAAGGTGTAAATGACATAAAAACTGCATGTAGCTAAAGCATGCAATTTGGCACACATGTATCTCTACACCCTTGAAACCATCACCACTAGAAAGGTGCATTTCTCCCCAGGAAGAGGGGCAAGTCTAGGCCCTTTGCCAGAGTTGCTCCCAGATTGTTTTCAGGTTGGGCCTGCATTCACAGCTCAGCCAGCTGAAGGGTGACAGCATTAGACTCGTGACCCAAATCTTAAACCCACACATTCCATTTTAACATTGATACCTGTGATCATCAGCCAGTATAGCCCATCCCATGTGCCAGGCGGAGGCATCAATAAGCTGGTCTGTAGCAGCTTTAATCACAGCTGGGGAGCCAGGAGCTAAGGAATGCTAGACTCCTTTGTAAACAATTTAAGTAGGGGGTACTTAGCCTGGACTCTATGTGCTTCTCATCCACCTCTTCTCAGGGAGATTCTGGCCAAGTCCTGGAACCTACTGCAGTCCATCTGGTGGTTGACAGATATGTGGACGGATTGGCAGGCTGGGACCCAATCTATGTTTGCCCTTGTGTTCAGTTTTGAGACCTAGCACCTTTCCTGATCCTGCTCACAGACCCCCTGCGGCCAATAGGAAAGAAGTGTTAATGCATATTTGCTTTTGGAGGGCCCAAAGCCAGGCCCAGAGAGTTGTCAAGGGCGGTCAGTGGTGGGTGGATGGCAGAGTTAACCAAGGAGTTACACACCTGCCTAGACTAAGGACAGGCTGGACCAAGTAGAGAGGGTGGGGCTAAGGGAGCCTGAGAGATGCTCTGGGGCCTATCTCAAAATGAGCACTATAGTCACCCTGTCCCCTGCAGAGATTGTCTGACCTGGTTTTAGGTCACACCCAACCTTGCCAGCCAAGGAGTCTTTAGAAGCCTGATATTGGGAGACCTGTCCTGGGGTCTACAACCCCAGAACTCACTGCAGAAGCCCACGTGGATTGCTAGTCTAGCTCAGCCATATGGGTCCCCAACCCTCACCTCATGATAGTCCTGTGAGAAACCGCTGCTGACCCTTTGTTCATGTTTTCATCTTTTCCACTATAAAAGACATGCTAGCTGGGAAATAGAGCCCATCATACTCAAGAGTGGCAGGAGCCAGGTCCTGGCCCCTGAAGCTTGGCCTCACACACAGAGGCCGGCACCCTGTCATCAATTCCCTCAGCTTTTTCTCCGCCTCCACTCCCAGTCCTAGATTTAGCAGCCATGTGTGGGTGGGGGCCACTGCAGGGATACTTACCCACCTACCAGAGAGATGGCCTGTGGGTGCTGGCCCTTCTGAGGCTGTGGAGGTTGGAGGCTGTGGCAGCCTGGGCAGTCAGGCTGTGGTCCTCCCATGTTCTTGACTCCTGCTAGTCTGGGCTGCCTCCTGATTAGGGGTTGGATGCTCCAGTTCTTCCCTGGGTTGGGGATTGCCACCCTACTCCCAGCCCATCCAGGTTCACGCTTATTCCAAAGCGGAGCACCAGCAGTGTGCCTGCTGCGGGAGTTCTCCGTGTCCAGCCTGAGGGTTGCCTGCCAACCCCTCTGAGAGGTGCCCGGAGGCTGTGCGCCCACACTGCCCAGCAGTGCGGAGAAGCAGGCTTGTTTTTCCCTGTCACTGGCTTGGAAGAGATGCTTTGTTCTAGGGAGCCGCATGTCCCCTTGCCTGCGTTGTTGGTGAGGAGCCAGCAGGCTCCGTGGAGGGCAGGCTAGCAGCCTGGCACCAGGGAGGCAAGGGTCTGAGTTCCTAGGAGGGTGGTTGCTCATGTGAGAAGTCTGCAAAGGTTACTACTGAGCACCATCTCTCTGTCTGAAAAACATTTTTCATTTTTCTGTGAACCACTAAGTTTCCCGTTTGGGCTTTCTTCCTGCTTTTGGCTCTTGTTTAGGCAGGCGCAGCCAGATCCAAGCGTCTGGCTGCTTCCCCATGTCTTCAGACCTCTTTTTCTGTTCATGGTAACTATAGATGGAACCACACATTGGAAGCTGGAAACTCAAGCGGTGCAGCCTATTCCTTACCCCAATCCCTGTTTTACAAATGGGGAAATCAAGGCACAGCATGGGGTGATGCTTATCTGAGGTTGGAAGAGTTTTAATAGTAGAGTGGGAGCTAAAACCCAGTTTCTTACCTCCAAGCTCAGGACTTTCAGCTGTAATTGAGCCTAGTATAGTTGGTGTGCAGCATCAGGGATTCCAGCTCTAAAGGTCACAAAAAGGACCCGGGGGTCATTGGCCCAGGGTGGGAACCCGAGCAGAGCAGGTCCAGATGGTGCACTCTGTGCCCTGGCCTTAGTTTCTTGCTGGATGCTTTGGCCCGTAGAGCCCCAGAGCCCTGCTTCCAGAACCACTCCAGTGACGTTCATGCCAATGGCCTGAACCCCACTGAGCGAGGGTGCCCTGCCTCTTCCACAGCCCTGGGCTCCGCTCAGATTTTTAGGAGCAAGCGTTAGAGGCCTTGCTTTCTCCAGGGTCAGCATGTGGACAGAACACTTACTCTCTGCCTGTCTCTCCTCCTCAAAATGGAAGCAAGACAGTGGGGCCTACAATGCTATGAAAAACAGGATGGGAAAGAAGCCTGCTCTCTGCCTTCCTGCCCAGGTGAGCCATCACCTGACTAAGTGAGTTCACACTCAGAGCGTGTGGGGATGGCAGGATGTTCTGACTTCATTTTCCAGGATGCCTTTGCTTTAAAACCTTTTAAAAAGAAGTGAATGATACACCCCCTTTGCTCATCTTGCAGTGGAACCTGGTGTGTGAGGACGACTGGAAGGCCCCACTCACAATCTCCTTGTTCTTCGTGGGTGTGCTGTTGGGCTCCTTCATTTCAGGGCAGCTGTCAGACAGGTAAGGTGTCTGTCTTCTGGAGCACCAGGGGACCTCAGCACTGAGGAAGAAGCGTGTGCCTGGCCCTTGATTTCAGTTGGTAGTATTCTTTCAGCGCAGGGCCCTGTATTTTAAAGAAGAGGAAGCTATGTCTGTGATATAGACTCCATGCCTAGTAAGAAGAGCCAACAAATCTGACTCCGTAATTCTTGCTAAGTAAAGAAACCTGAGCTGTCTAAGCTGAATGTATCTGTGACCCGGTTGACTAGGTAATATGCCATGATTCACTTCTGCAGTAGCCTGGCTTGCCTCCCCTGGGTCACTGTGACTCTGTCATGCCCCTGAGCATGGGAGAGGTTGACATCATGCACACATGCACATGTGCTAGATTGTAGATCTGTAGTAGTGCCACGGTGTCTGCCTCTGTAGTCCCAAGAAGACCAGCATTCTCTCTGCAAAGTGAAAGGAGCTCTCACCAGCCACTAGTGGTATGAAAAGCAGAACTCTTTTGTCCACAAGGCTGATGCCCCTTAGCTAAGTGGCCTGTGGTTTTGGCATTTACTTTATGACAGGAGGGAGAATAGTGTTTTGATCCATTTCTTATAAGCAGGTTATTTGTATAATTCTAAAGCTTTTAACTCAAGGAAACATTAACGGCTTAGAGAATCCCAAACCCCTCGAAATTATATGCACAATGTTAGAGACTACATGTGAGCATTTTTTTGGAGAGAGGTCCGTAGCTTTCATGAAGTTCTTAGAGGGGTCCATTATGTTGTGTCTTCTTTCCCTGGAGCTTCAGGGTCTGTCAGAGAAGACTGTGAAGAGAGTAGCAGCCTTCAGCAAGTCCTTGGCCACATGACACATGTGAGAACACCCCACAAATCGGTGGGTTAGCCGGTGGAAAGGAGTCCCAGCATCTTCCCTGGTTTTTAATTCCTGGCCTCAAGCAATCCTCCCTCCATAACCTCCCAAAGTGCTGGGATTACAGGCGTGAGACACCATGCGCAGCCAGATATTTTTTATTGTTGTTGTTTTTTTTTGGAAAAGGAGTTTCACTCTTGTTACCCAGGCTGGAGTGCAATGGCACGATCTCGGCTCACTGCAACCTCTGCCTCGCAGGTTCAAGAGATTCTCCTGTCTCAGCCTCCCGAGTTGCTGGGATTACAGGCATGCACCACCATGCCCAGCTAATTTTGTATTTTTAATAGAGACAAGGTTTCTCCATGTTGGTCAGGCTGGTCTCAAACTCCCGACCTCAGGTGATCCACCCACCTCGGCCTCCCAAAGTGCTGGGATTACAGGCGCGAGCCACTGCACCTGCCCAGCCAGATTTTTTTTTAAAAAGCAGGTTAACCTGTTTATTATTCCTACTTTACAGATGGAGAAAGTGAGACAGAGGGATTAAATAACTTGCCCAGGGTTTCACAGCTGGCAAGTGGCAGAGTTAGGATTTGGACCCAGGTAGTCTTGCTCCTCTATTGTGTATGGACTACTGTTCTAGGTCCCTGCTGTCCTAAAACTTGCTTTCTAGCAAGGTGGAATGTATTAAACAACCAAGTGAGGAAGTCGTTGTTGTCCTTGGCCATGGTAAGAGATACAGAGAAGTGCAGGGTGCCACAGGAGTGTCTAACAGAGGAGGTCAGGGGCAGCATCCCTGAGAAGGTGAAGCATGAGCGAGAGTGGGAAGATGAGTCGAAAGTAGCCAGCTGAGGGGTAGAGAGGAGAAAGAACATCCAGGCAGGGAGAATAGCAAGTGCTAAAGCCGGGGCTCATGAAAAGGCATGGGAGCAGGACAAAGTCCGTGTGGTAGAGGTGCGGAGAGTGGTGTTAAGATGAAGGGGAGAGGCAGGCAGAGCCCTGGGCAGATGAGCAACCAGGGCTTAGTGGATCACAGTTAGGACTTTGGGCTTCAGCCACAGAGCAGCGGTGGGCTACTGAGATTTTTTAAAGCAATAGTGTGACAATCAGATTTGTCCTTTTTTTTTTTTAAAGATGCTTTGACAACCTTGTGAAGAAAGAATTGAAGGGAAGCAAAAGGTGTTGTAGAGAGACCAATTAAAAGGTTGTCACAGTAGTTCATGCCAGAGATGATGGTGGCATGGCCTAGCATGACGGTGGTAGAAATGGAGGGAAGTGGTAAGAGGTAAAATCAACAAGACTTGCCGATGGGCTGGATGTCGGAATTGGGGGAAGAAAGCTTTCTGGCCTGAGTAACTGGGTGAATGAAGGTACACTTCTCTAAGACAGAGAATGCTGGAAAAGAACCACGTTCATGGATATTGAGTTCAATTTGTGTGTACTAAATTTGGGGTGACTATGAGACCCCTAAGTGGAGAAGTAGAGTGTGAAGCTGGCTGTATGGATATGGTACTGCATGAGAGGTTTTGGCTAGAGAAACACATGTAGGATTTGTCAGCATATAGAACCCTCAGCAGAGCCCCAGATAGGGATGAGGTTGCCTGGGGAGAGGGGAGTGGGGAGGGGAGGGGGGAACTGGGGGAGGATTGTGCTATGCTTAGAGGCCACCTGAGTGGACATGGGAGATTCCTTCTCACGGAGCTAAGTGACAGCTGCGGCTCAGAAGAATGCCCTTGATGTGAAAAGGAGATACCCCAAGTTCAGAGTAGAAATGCAGTGTATTTTTCTGGGTCAGCTGTGTCATGGGTCAGCTTAAGAACCTTCTTGCCATGTGACACAATGATTACCTGAGGAAAGCATTTAAGTTCCAAAAGGTCTATTCCCAGGGAAACTGGAAACAAAATTTGTGAGTGTGTTTAGGACCACTTTAGTCTACAGAAGGGCTAATATAGTGTTTTTCAAACCTTTCTAAACATTTTGGCCACAGAACTTTCATTAAAGTAGGATAATTTAAGTCTAGTAAATGAAATACACCCTAAGTGGCTAAAAGTATGGCTGTTCTGCCTGCAGCCCCTGCCTTCAATTCCCAATGCCCTGCCTCAAGCCTGTCTGTGCCCCCTTGGAAGGCCCAGGGCCCTGTGGGATGGACAGCTTCTGAGTGCATTACTTCTGAGTAAACCAGTTCTAAAACCTAAGCTAAGTAGATTACCTGAAAGCAATCAATTCATGCCCTAACTTGTCTAGGACATCAATGTAACTTTTTATATAGTATAAAGGTTTCACCTTCTTTCTGGCCTATGAATATGTCTGAAATTCAAGAGCAATTAAAGTACTCCTGGGTTGTCAAAGCCCTTTATGTAACACTATTGAGTTATCTTTATGCGTCTGACTTGTAAGAGATGCACAACTCTAGGAAGAAGTAGACTGCTGTGTCCTGTTTCCAGGTATGTGTGTGTTTGCCATTTTGTTGACAGACTTTAAAAGCAAACATTTCTGGCCCCAACCCTGAACTGCCAAGGACTGGTGCTATGTAAAGGGTTCTCTGGATCTGTCTCTTCCCTACCATCCCAGGGAGCTCTTAGGAAGGGAAAGGGCATAGAGATTATACCAGCCTGCCTTGTGGTTAGGAACCACCCCTTGGTTGGCATATAGAACATGCTTGTTAAAAAAACCATGCAGGGGAAAGTAGAGTCTACTACCAGGCGAGAGTTTCTCAACCTCGACCCTATTAACATTTTGAGCCAAATAATTTTGTTCTAGGGCATTTTCCTGGGCATTTTAGAATATTTAACAACATATCTGGCCTCTACTCATTAGATGCCAGTGAACCCCAAGTGATGGAAAAAAACAACAACAACAGAAAAAAACCTCTTTTATTGAGGAAAAACACCAAACTCTTCCACATAGTTGCAAGACCTTGTGCAATTTGCCTCCTAGCCACCACTGTACTCTTGAATTGCACGCCTGATGCCAACCACACTGGTTCCTCATGTTCACCATGCCCCCTCCAGCCATGGGGGTGTGTGGTCTTCTCAGAGTCTGAAGCATTCCCCACCCACCCCAACCCACCCCCTGTGGCCTTCTTTAACCATGCTGGCTAATTCAGGATCCCTAGTTCCTTATGACTTTCCTTTAAAACGTCTACCAGAAATTGGGGGAAAAAAAGTGTTATTATAGGATTAATGTTGGTCTTCCGCACTATACTGTGAATATCATTGAGAGCTTGGTCCCTACACCTTAAATCCCCCATCGTCAACTATTTTTTCCCATCTCAGTGTCCCATGATCAAGGAGACCCTCCCTGAATGTCCAGTTCCCCAACCCTTACCCCCAGTCCAGGGTAGCTTCCTTCCTTGTGCCTCTCATTAACCTGCATGCCGATCCTTCAGTGCACTTGACTCAGTGTGTAATTGTATATTCAGTAGCGTGTTGTTAGATTAAAATGTGGTTAATATGTGTTTCACCAGTTATACTATGACACTCCTTAAGGGCAGAAACAGCATCTTTTTTAATTTATTGATATCCAAGTGCCCTCTATAATAGATGCTCAATAAACATTGAATGAAAGTGGGTGTCAGCCAGTACTGGCCAGACTCAAACTGAACCCACTGCTTCCCACTAGCTTGACTTTTTCCTCCTGTTTGTGGCACTCTCTTTAAAACAAACCAAAATAAACCCAATTTTAAAAACTTTTTAAAATGAGCACGGATACAGAAAACCACACAGAACAAATGTGTAGCTTAATGAATTTTTTTCAGAGAAATAACCTTATGACCACCACCAAGTCGAGCAGTAGAACTTTGCTGTCCACTAAGAAGCCCTGTCCATGTGCCCCATCCCAATTACAGCATCCTCTCTCTCTCCCCATTAAGTAACCGCTAGCCTGACTCCTGTAATAATCACTTCCTTGTGAGTTTTTTTAGTTTTATTATCGAAATATGCATCCTTGACACAAATTTAGTGTTGCCCACTTAATATATTTGATGTCTTTTAGTCTACTTAATCTATGGATTCTCCTTCTATCGCCTTCTATGCCTTACTGATTATCTATGAAGAACCTGAGCTATTCCACCTATAGAATTTCCCAGTCTGGATTTGTTGATTGCACACTGATGATGCAGTTCAGCACATTCCTCTATGCTCTGCATTTCCTCAAAATTGGCAGTTGGATCCAGAGACTTGAGATTCAGGTTCTGATTCAGGTTCAGTCCTTTTGGCCAGACCATAGGAAGCATGCAATTCCTGACTGTCTCTTTATGATGTTAACAGTAATTAGTATATAATGCATAGATCTATTAATCCATTGGGGGCTATAAATGGTATTATTCTAATTTTATTACCTTTTCATTTAAAAGTTAGAATACTTTTGTACATGATACTACCTCTTATCTATTATTGGTTGCTGTTCACATAGTTTACAAAGGAAAATCAGGACAAATGTTTCTTTCTCTTTATTTGCCAGTTTTCATTTATAATGAATTGTTTCTCTGTTATTCTCCAAATTTGGCAGATTCTTTTTTAAAAAAAATATCATTATGAATGTATGGATTAAATAATTGATGTATTTCAGTCTCTTGCAATCATTATCATAATTGTAGCATTGCTTTTTAGGCAACCCTGGTACCCAGGCTGTACATTTGTCATGGGGAGTGGGGAGGGGGAGAAATAGCATGGGCACTGTGAGACCGAGACTGTCCCTGGCAGCCAGTATTCTGGCAACACTGTTCACACCCACTTACTGGATGGATCTTGAGAAAGCCCCACTTGGTGGAGCCCATTCCTGCTGCCCTTTTCCAGCTGGTTATCTGTCACTCTCCTTTTCTTCCCAGGTTTGGCCGGAAGAATGTGCTGTTCGTGACCATGGGCATGCAGACAGGCTTCAGCTTCCTGCAGATCTTCTCGAAGAATTTTGAGATGTTTGTCGTGCTGTTTGTCCTTGTAGGCATGGGCCAGATCTCCAACTATGTGGCAGCATTTGTCCTGGGTATGGCCATCAGGTTGGAGTTGAGTACTTGATCCTGTATTTCACCATCATCCCATCACCTACCTTTCTGGAGACAACTGTGATGTCCCTCAAGGGGGACAGGGTTTCTAACAAAACTAGCCAGAGCTTCCTGGTGAACCTTACTTACAGGCAGGGAAACTGAGCCAGACATGAGACCAGCCTGGGGTCCCCAGCAGCACAATGGCCTGACTTCTGATTTCCAGTTCTTTTCTGGCCTCTGGGCTGTGGCTCCTTGGTCTTAGTACTTGATGGTCAATTTACTAGGACTCACCAGAGATCCTCCATTTACAAAAAGGGCCTGCCACTGCACAGGGCTGAGCCAGCCCCAGAAAGAGGGCGGCATGGTTGGAGGAGGAGGGGCTGTGACTGGCAAGCTTGCTAAGGTAGAGAACCCCTTGTCTGCAGAGCACTGTGGCTGGTGATATCTACGGACAAGAATAAATTGATAGGAAGGGGCTTTCGTCACCTTCAGGGTTTTAATTCAGAGTGCACACTGCAGGGCTTTGTCTCAAATGTGCCAGCCTGTTGTCACTGAGAAGCTGCCAGGCCGGCCTGTGTTTGGAGGAACCTGACTCTAGCTGATAAGGCCTTTGAGTTCCTTGGGTTGTATTGTTGAAAGGGTTGTTTTTTCTTTTTATATTTAATATTCTTTCCTTGAGGCTTAAGTCAGCATGTGCTGACTTAGTAATGACTTCACTTTTAATAAATTCTTCCTCATGTGAGGATTAAAGGGGGCCTACCATGGCATCTTTAGCACATGGCTTCAGAACATGGCGAAATTTTCAAGAGAGAACTGTTGCTTGGGGGCCTGAGAGGCCACAGGGATGTACCCCCAGGAGACAGTCAGACAGGAGGGGTTCAGAACGCCATCCGCTCCCTAGCGCCATGAACTTAGAGAGAGTTCTCGCTGTTTTCTTGTCTGTGTATTCACAAAGATACCATAAAAAATTAATAAGGAAGGAACCCAAATTAAACTGCTAACTCGACCTCCCTTGTTTTGAACAGGGACAGAAATTCTTGGCAAGTCAGTTCGTATAATATTCTCTACGTTAGGAGTGTGCATATTTTATGCATTTGGCTACATGGTGCTGCCACTGTTTGCTTACTTCATCCGAGACTGGCGGATGCTGCTGGTGGCGCTGACGATGCCGGGGGTGCTATGCGTGGCACTCTGGTGGTGAGTGTGACCTTGTGCCCCATGTGCCCACTGGCAGGATGATTTCTGTCTGGCCTTCACTAGAGGGCAGCAACAACCCATGAATCCCTATTTTGTCTCCCAGAGACAGGAAGCATAGATTATAAATTATTTCAGAATGTTTTCTCCACACTCAAAAGAGCCAAAACAAAACAGAATCCCATGACAGCAACAGACTTGCTCTCAGCCCTGTGCTGGGTTGCCCCAAGTGTGGGGAAAAATAGCAGTAGCTGTGAGAAGATGGGGTCCAGCATGCCCTGTAGGAAGTTCCCAAGCCTCAGGGCAGGACAGTGTAGGCCCTAGTTCTGGCTGTGTGCTGCTGAAGCCTCATGCCACAGGCACTGGCACCAAAAGCAAGAGTCCTCAGGGTAGCCACATGGAGGAAGCCAGGCTCCTTCTGCACCACCAAGGTAGAGGAGTTGAACAGGCAGAGAAGAGGCCATTCCAGACCAAGAGGGGAACACTGCAGAGGTGCTAAGGTGGGAATCACCCCTTGCAGGTGGAGAAGGTGAGATCACCAGCCCAAGTGGAGCAGAGAGCATTTCAGGGCATAGTGGGAGAGTAAGCCGCACATCATGGGGCCCAGTCATGACCGAGGGTGGGGGGCGGCTACCTGGTCCCAGCAAGGTGGAAAATAATATCCATAGAGCACTCAAGTGCCTTGATAAACATGCTAATTTTTTTCCTTTTTTTCTTTTCTTTTTCTTTTCTTTTTTTTTCTTTTTTTTTTCTCAGACAAAGTCTCTGTTGCCCAGGCTGTAGTGCAGTGGCGTGATTTCCACTTACTGCAACCTCCGCCTCCCCAGTTCAAGCGATTCTCATGTCTCAGCCTCCCGAGTAGCTGGGACTACAGGTGCCTGCCACCACACTTGGCTAATTTTTTTTGTATTTCTTTGGAGAGACGGGTTTCACTGCGTTGGCCAGGCTGGTCTGGAACTCCTAGCCTCAAATGATCCACCGGCCTTGGCCTCCTAAAGTGCTGGGATTATAGGAGTGAACCACTGCACCTGGCCAAACATGCTATTTTAGGTAGAGTATCTGACTAATCTGTTGGATAAATCAGGGGTAGGGTGAGGAGAGAAGAGAAGCTAAAAGGCCAGTGCAGAAGCTTCTGTTGGTGCCGGGGACAGGGAGGAGAGTGTAGCAGGGCCTGGGCTGACATAGACATGCACAGAAGCCAGGCTTCCGGAGCCCATCTTGCACCCATCTCCTCAGCCCAGCAGATGGCAACACTGCTCTTCAGAAATGGAGGTGGCCAGCCAGCATGGGGATGCCGTCAGGGGGTGCAGGGCTCTCCCATTTTTGTGCGGTGTGGGGTACACATAAGCTCATCCACCCCAGGTTATTGCTGCGTGTGGATCAGCTCTTTGCTTCTGGCTTGTGATCACCAAACATTCCACAAGCTCTGGTTCTGCAACCTTATTCCCACCTATGGCTGTGCTCTACCTGGTCTGTGGGTCTGCTGTTGGCAGGGAGGCCTCACTGAGATTGGACCTTGTACTGCCAGGTTCATCCCTGAGTCCCCCCGATGGCTCATCTCTCAGGGACGATTTGAAGAGGCAGAGGTGATCATCCGCAAGGCTGCCAAAGCCAATGGGATTGTTGTGCCTTCCACTATCTTTGACCCGAGTGAGGTAAGCACCATGTGGGTGTGGGTGAGAGGGACAGACTGACCGTGATTTGAGAGCAGCAGCACCCAGCCCTGAAGTCCTCCCTGCTCACAGCAGCCCAGCCCTCTCTCCGCCCAAGCCCCAACTGCCCATTCCCCCCATCCCCCCACTCCCCACCCCCACACGGGCCCTGTTAACACTCAGAAGTTGAGGAATAGGTTACAGCTGCCTCACTCTTTTCACCACGGGTTTCAGATTTTCATTTTTTACTTCCTTTCTAGGCAATCATATATTTTAACCATTACTTCTAACAATAAATACTCTTTTTGAGTAATAGGCCTTTCATAAAGTCAGCATTTGGGAAAATCATTGTTTCTTATACCTAAGGTGGCTTGTCACCTTACAAAGCTAACCCCAAACGTAAAATGTAAAGCACAAATAGATTTGGAGTTAGAAGTATTTCATCTCTTGAGTATTAGCAATTATTCATTAAAAAGAAAAAAAAAGTGTTTAGTCTCTTTCTGCCCTCCAATGGTTAATTATTGCATATCATCTTGGAGTCAGGTCCTTTTTGATGTCCACCTCTTCCCCCTACCCCACCCCTCCCGTCAGCCCTGTTCTCACACACCATGACTCATTTCTTGGCTCTACCTAGTTCCTGGTTCTTGCTTTTCCTTCCCGTTCCCTCTCCTACCATCTCTGTAGCAGGCAGTTTTCCTTGGTCTCGTGACTATGAGAGGTTAGAAGCTGTAAATGCTGCCTGGTGGGGTTCTGGAATGTGTCTGTGGTCTGACTGGAAGATGAGGGGTTGGGTGTGGGAACAGCCACAAGCAGCCCTGCTGAAGTGTGAGAGGCAGGCATGGTTGGGCTTGGAAAAGAGGGAACAGTTATTGTAGACAGCGGAGGCCAATGGCCACTGCCAGCCCTGCAGACTTCCCAGTGAGTGGTGGCCCAGCAGCCACTGTCAGCATGCACCAGAAAGGGGTCCTGTGCGCAAAGGTCAGGCAGGAGTGTGGCAGAGGGCTTTTAAGTTAGGTGGTTTTGGGGGCTTTTAAGTGAGGGGTCAATCTGGGTGAATGCATAAGCCCCACTGGCATCTTTGAGGAAATGAGGCTATTTCAGGGGATACTTTCAGTCCAAAGTTGACCTTTTGTTGAACTTCTAACTCTGGAAAAACAAGCTCCAAACCTGGGTTTGCTTAAGAAAGCAACATCAGTGTGTTTAGACGTGTGGTTTATTAATGGCCTTGGCTGTGCTGAATTTCATAGGAAGTCACTCTGGGTGAAGCTCAGGTCAATTTTCCTGTTTTTCTATTTGAATTCTTTTTCCCTGGAAGCACACCAGTAACTACATAGTATAAGGACTCAAAACATTAACTTTTAAAAAATATCAGACCAATAAACCACACAGCCAGGTACTCTCTCTGACCCAGAGGGCAGGGAGCCAGGCTTCGGGAGGAATACTTAGAGGCCTCCTTGGAATGTGGCCACCGACAGGAATATGTGGGGGTGCAGTGAGGAAGCTGTCAGCCTGGGCCTCTGTCTTCCTGTACCCTTGAGGGACTGGTCACTTACTTTTCCTCATTTTCATTCACTCTGATTTGTTACTGACAAGGCCTAGGGAAGTTTTCACAGCCTAAAACACAGTCAGTATACTTACTGTTCTTAGAAACGTAACACTCCCCGACGCTGAGATGCAGACAGCTAAGATGCCAGGGATTCAAGTATGTTATTGTGTGCTCTGAGTCTCTGACCACCTCTTCTTCCCATACACTTATGATGTTGTTCCTGCAGTTACAAGACCTAAGTTCCAAGAAGCAGCAGTCCCACAACATTCTGGATCTGCTTCGAACCTGGAATATCCGGATGGTCACCATCATGTCCATAATGCTGTGGTATGTAAAAGAGACCTGCCTGAGGCTTCCAGACAAAGCTTCTTGAAGTGGCCATTGGGCCTCTTGTTTACAGACATGCCTCAGACAAAATTCAAAGCCTATGTCATCAGAGAGTGAAAAGGATATGTCTTGTGTTAGATGGAAAAAATGGGCATGTCACAATTCTTAATGGGATGGAACCTCAGAAAAGGAGAATGAAAACAATTGTGGAGGCTGTTGTGGGAAATATGGACTCTTGTGGGGAATCTCTCCAGATCTTAAGATGAATCCTTGCCCAATTTGGGTCATTTAGTTCCCGTCTCCTACCCAGTTACCGACAGTGGCTGAGGAGGCCAGGTAGGGCTTTTAAGAAGGATCTGAGTGAAGACACCATGTCCTGTAGGCTGCAGAGGCTGCCAGTTACTTTCTGGAAATGTGGAAGTGGGATGTGCTCCTCCTGGGATGTCCATAAACGGTCCTGGAGTCAGGGCTATAGCCTAGATGTCCTTACCAGGTTCCCACTAATGAGGCAAAGTATGTCAGAAAGGGATTTGTGAATTACCAGGGAGAGGAAACATGTCCAAGTGCACATCGCTAGCTTTTGCTCAGCGGCCGAACCCTGGGATTCTAGGCGACTTCTGGAGCCTGGTGGGTTAGCGGTGAGAAGATGGGCGAGGAGGGCGGACTTCATCTCAGAGTCCTTATTACTAGTCTCATCCAGCTTTGAGGCAGTCAGCCACTGTGCCTACTGAGGGAGTGCTATGAGTCACCCGCTTCCAAGGAATGGCCCAGGATCCCTCCAGGCAGTTCACCATTCCCTGAGTTGGCCTCAAGACAGGAGCAGCATGTAGCCTGCACCACAGACATGCAAGCCTGTGATGAGTCACCCACTTTTGTGTTCACCCAGGCTCTCCTCCCTGCTCTGGATTTCCTGGGGACTCATGCACATACTCTTTTTATTGTACCAGCTGTGTGTTCCACCTGCAGATGAGTCAAAACAGTCTAATCCATAAAGGTCTGGTTTGTCAAAGAGTGTGGGTCATCAACAGAGAGAATGCCTACTGGGGATGCCCAGGTCAGGGGTACTGCAGGGCATCCTGATGAGAGGCAGTGTGGCCCCTCCATTGGGAGCCACCTCTGTGCTCCACAAGTACCGCGGGGCTGGTGTCAGCTGTCTCTGACCAGCCTCTTCCTGACTGGTCACCACAGGTAGTGTGTGAGGGTCTCTCTCCAAGTGTTTGACCTAATGTTGTTCCTTTTGTTATCTTATCCCCCAAATCCTATCACACCTCACTTGATGTCTGCCTCCTGACTCATTCTCTAGCTCCTTCTGCAGTTGCTGGATTTGAGGAGGTTCAGCTTAGGATTTTTAAAGCTGAAAGGCAGGTTGGAATTTTTCTTTTCAATGAAGTAAATCTATCTGAATTATACAAGCTTTTTTGCTGGGACACTGTCTATATGGAAGGCTCTGAGAGCGCACTGGCGCAGGGTTTACACTGTACCACTTGGGCTGGGGAAAATTATCTTTTGATCTATGAAGTAAGACGCAGGGTTACAGTTACTGCTGCCTTACTAGTCTCTGCTTAAAGATGGTTTGGAATTTACTGAAATAATTGCATTGTAAAAGTTGTACAGGTTGGGAAAGATGTGGATACTGCTTTTCCAGCTTTCTTCTGCACTCTGTTTCAGGATGACCATATCAGTGGGCTATTTTGGGCTTTCGCTTGATACTCCTAACTTGCATGGGGACATCTTTGTGAACTGCTTCCTTTCAGCGATGGTTGAAGTCCCAGCATATGTGTTGGCCTGGCTGCTGCTGCAATATTTGCCCCGGCGCTATTCCATGGCCACTGCCCTCTTCCTGGGTGGCAGTGTCCTTCTCTTCATGCAGCTGGTACCCCCAGGTAGGGACCATGTGCATCTATGGTTTGGGGTCTTCACTGAGTCTCTTACTGTCTACCAGGCTGTCTCAATTAATAAAGAGAATAAAATCAAGCCCATCACAGCTCCCTTGCTTATATACATTCTTGGCCTAAAAATCAATAGAAAGTGTCTTCTGAGACTAGAACACTTATGGCCTGGGCTTTGAGGGAGTGGGAAAAAGCAGCCATTGGGGCTGTTGGTTAATTTTACTCTGTACCCAAGTTAATGTGCTCATACTGTTTTCCACTGCAGAAGAAGAGGGAAGAAATAGCTATCCCATTCCTTTTTTTCCTGGCCCTGTCTTCTTTATTTATTCAACAAATAGCTATGGCATGCCTACCATGGGCTGGGCACTGTGCTCGGTGATAACGATACACAAGAAAACAAGCCAGGCAGAACCCCAGGCCCTCATGGAACGTACACCCTAGATGAGAAGACAGACAACAAACAAGTAAATAAAATGCTTAATATAGTTCAGACTGTGTTACCTTCTAGGAATACAAATGAAGGACAATGCCGAGTTAGTTTACATAGTCACAGATAGTGTCCCTGAACAGGGGGCAGTTCAGTAGAAATGTACATAAAGTGACAGAAAGCCCTGAAAAAGTCTAGGAGAACATTTTAGGAAGAAGAAATGGCAAAGGCAGCGACCCTGAGCAGGGGATGAGCCTGGCATGTTTGAGGAGGAGGGAGAAGGGGAGGGGCCAGACCACTGAGAGGGCCTCACAGAGCCTTAGCAGGATTTTATTTCTGAAACTATCTTAGTATCCCACAGATGGGTGGGAGGTAGCCATTTCCAATAATTTATAGAACAGTTCATGGGCCCTCATCTCTCCCTCTCCATCACTGTGCCCAGAGACTTCAGTGTACCTGTAGATTTGGGAGCCTCTGATGGTCACTTTTGGGCCCATCAGGCTGAGAACACTGCACGGGAACAGCTCCCCATGGGATGTGGCAGGAGGAGCCCAGAACTGATGTAGAGGCTCACAGCTGAGCTCAGAGTGACCTTCAGGTCACACATAGCTCTCCCATCAGCACAGCACAGAGAGATTAGAAGATCAACTTGAGATTCTGATGGCCTATGATTTTTTTGAGGTCTGAGTGGGAGGAAAGCATGAAATGAGTTAGAACTGAATTCTCCATTCATCTAAACATCATGAGTTAATTCCATAGTGCCTGCAGTGTGAGGTTCTGGGGTGACAGTTAATCCCTGACAGACATGTCTTTAATGACTTATAGACTGGGAAGCAGGTTGATTGGACTATTAAGGAGCTTACTCTGGTGGTCTCCAGGTTGAGGAAAGTGCATGTCCTTATAGCTGCAGGTCCCAGCCTCCTTTCAGCAATCAATTTGGAGGGAAATCTTGGCTATAGCCCCTTCCCCCACAATAGGAAGTGATAGAAACTGACTCCCCAAAAAATTTGGGAAGAAAGTATGTTTGTTTTGCTCTCAATAGCTGCATGCCATGGGTTGGTACCTACTCCTACCCTCTTTCCTTTGCTTCTCCAGACTTGTATTATTTGGCTACAGTCCTGGTGATGGTGGGCAAGTTTGGAGTCACGGCTGCCTTTTCCATGGTCTACGTGTACACAGCCGAGCTGTATCCCACAGTGGTGAGAAACATGGGTGTGGGAGTCAGCTCCACAGCATCCCGCCTGGGCAGCATCCTGTCTCCCTACTTCGTTTACCTTGGTAAGTCCCATGAGCCAAGGGCACACTAGAGCAACGGGATGGAAGTACTAACTGGCTTGAATGTGAGCTGGAGGTTGCGTGTTAACAGGAAAACAAGTTCATACAGTACATGGGCTCCATCCAGTACTGGATCTTTGGCCGGGAAGGGTTCTTGTCCCAGTGCACTGGCCCTCACTTTCAAATGGAAAACAACCTATAGATTACCTAGAAATTGATGAGAATATTAGAGGGTTTGTTTCTGTTTTAGCCATCCCAGGCCTTCCATCAGAGACTACAATTCCTTTATCCTAAGAACCTACAGAGTGGTTTAGGGAGCCAGTGTGCTTAGTTGGAGAAATTTCTTGGAATCAGAGTTTAAAAGGAACATGAGGGGAAAGATGTCCATGCAAGAGGTCTGATGAACGGAAAATTATTATAACCTAGAGCACTATAGAGTGATTTTATCTTGTGTGAAGATCCACCCCATGCCATTTTATGTAGCAGGTCTCCAGTTTTCTCTTCTCAGAATTATGTCTTCATAGCACCTGTGGTTTCCTGCACATCCCTAGCCAGTACCTCTTTAGGGAGGGTGGCACCCACCTGAGAGTACTCAGAGTGCTTTGTGAACATGCTATGTAGATCTCAAAGCAAGCAAAAGCACCCTGCCTAATCTGAAGGCAGATCACATGGGCTGGGACACATCTGCAGAGGTGGAAGAGTTATTTCCATCCCTGGACAAGTACCTCAGGTTCCTTGGAAACCCAACCTTGGTAAATAAGAATAATCAGCATGGCCCAGAAATAGGAATAATCAGCATGGCCCAGCTCTTCTACTGCAACCGCCCCTTTGTACTCCTCCCCTGCATGGTGGAACACTGCTGGGCTCTGGGCATGCCTGTGCCAGCTCTGGGTTCTGAAACCTGTCTAGATGCCAGATTCTAATCTGACTGCTCAGACTGTGAGAGATGTGAGACCAAGAAGGAAAGTGATCCCCTTCCAGAGTCCTGGGAGCATAAAGGGGTAGATGAGAGACCAAGTCTAACTGCAGCCCTGGGCCTGAGGCTCCGTCTGCTTTGCCATAGGTGCCTACGACCGCTTCCTGCCCTACATTCTCATGGGAAGTCTGACCATCCTGACAGCCATCCTCACCTTGTTTCTCCCAGAGAGCTTCGGTACCCCACTCCCAGACACCATTGACCAGATGCTAAGAGTCAAAGGGTAAGAAGACCTCCTCTGTCAGTGTTGATGCACTGGGTCTGGGTCTGGCCAGGTCTCAGGAGCCCCTCACAATAGAGCTACTCGCAAACTCCCTCTCACAGACACCATGGACTAGTTTAGCCATTAAAGGGTTGTAAATGGCAAGGTGCTTACTTATAGCCCATCCTCTCTGGTCTGTTCCTGTGTGGACATGTCACTATACACATCTCCATGGCAGTAGCCGCACTGGATAACTCAGAGGCTAGAAGAAACCTTTCAGAATCTGCTGCAGGATTCTCTTCCCAGGGAAGATATCCTCAGTTCTTGTTTGTTTGGAGACTGGGAGGCATCTTTTTAAAATGTGTTACTGACATATTTTTGCTTGTTTTTATAGAATGAAACACAGAAAAACTCCAAGTCACACAAGGATGTTAAAAGATGGTCAAGAAAGGCCCACAATCCTTAAAAGCACAGCCTTCTAACATCGCTTCCAGTAAGGGAGAAACTGAAGAGGAAAGACTGTCTTGCCAGAAATGGCCAGCTTGTGCAGACTCCGAGTCCTTCAGTGACAAAAGGCCTTTGCTGTTTGTCCTCTTGACCTGTGTCTGACTTGCTCCTGGATGGGCACCCACACTCAGAGGCTACATATGGCCCTAGAGCACCACCTTCCTCTAGGGACACTGGGGCTACCTACAGACAACTTCATCTAAGTCCTAACTATTACAATGATGGACTCAGCACCTCCAAAGCAGTTAATTTTTCACTAGAACCAGTGAGATCTGGAGGAATGTGAGAAGCATATGCTAAATGTACATTTTAATTTTAGACTACTTGAAAAGGCCCCTAATAAGGCTAGAGGTCTAAGTCCCCCACCCCTTTCCCCACTCCCCTCTAGTGGTGAACTTTAGAGGAAAAGGAAGTAATTGCACAAGGAGTTTGATTCTTACCTTTTCTCAGTTACAGAGGACATTAACTGGATCATTGCTTCCCCAGGGCAGGAGAGCGCAGAGCTAGGGAAAGTGAAAGGTAATGAAGATGGAGCAGAATGAGCAGATGCAGATCACCAGCAAAGTGCACTGATGTGTGAGCTCTTAAGACCACTCAGCATGACGACTGAGTAGACTTGTTTACATCTGATCAAAGCACTGGGCTTGTCCAGGCTCATAATAAATGCTCCATTGAATCTACTATTCTTGTTTTCCACTGCTGTGGAAACCTCCTTGCTACTATAGCGTCTTATGTATGGTTTAAAGGAAATTTATCAGGTGAGAGAGATGAGCAACGTTGTCTTTTCTCTCAAAGCTGTAATGTGGGTTTTGTTTTATTGTTTATTTGTTTGTTGTTGTATCCTTTTCTCCTTGTTATTTGCCCTTCAGAATGCACTTGGGAAAGGCTGGTTCCTTAGCCTCCTGGTTTGTGTCTTTTTTTTTTTTTTTTTAAAACAGAATCACTCTGGCAATTGTCTGCAGCTGCCACTGGTGCAAGGCCTTACCAGCCCTAGCCTCTAGCACTTCTCTAAGTGCCAAAAACAGTGTCATTGTGTGTGTTCCTTTCTTGATACTTAGTCATGGGAGGATATTACAAAAAAGAAATTTAAATTGTGTTCATAGTCTTTCAGAGTAGCTCACTTTAGTCCTGTAACTTTATTGGGTGATATTTTGTGTTCAGTGTAATTGTCTTCTCTTTGCTGATTATGTTACCATGGTACTCCTAAAGCATATGCCTCACCTGGTTAAAAAAGAACAAACATGTTTTTGTGAAAGCTACTGAAGTGCCTTGGGAAATGAGAAAGTTTTAATAAGTAAAATGATTTTTTAAATAACAGCAACTGCCTAGAATCTTTATTTCTAGAATTTAGTGAGCCTGTGCCACACTGTCATCTGCCTTTTCTCTGTATCAGCTTGGGCTAATTCTAGCAATGGTTGGGATTAATCTCTAAGACTAAGATTTGATTCTTGTGCACTAGAATTCTTCACTTTATTAATTGACTATGGGCTGAGCCAGCCTTCTTGCACAAATGTATCTTGGGTTCCCTTGAAAGTAGAGACTGAGACAAGTGCTTCTGTGCAGTTAAGCAGTTTATGCTTTGGGGACAAGATTCCAGGGAGCAGCAATAAAGGACAGGAGGAGAACAGGGAAGGAGGGAGGCTGAATACAAAGATGCATTTTCAGGTTGACTAGCACCAAAGGCAGGGATGCTCCATCCAGCAAGGACTTCAGAAGAAGCTTATGAAATGCATCTCAACACCATCTGTACCTTGAGTAAAAGGGGGAAGCATTTCTCTGTTGGCATCCATTTGTAAAGGCAGCCCACAGGTGTCAGCTCCACATGTTTCCAGGCTGCACATGCATGAGTCCCAAATAAGTTCTGTCCCGTGGGTAGAAAGCAAGAGAGAATACATTGCAGGGCTGAAGTAGGGGTTGCCAGAGCCCATCAGAACTGGTCACTGCAACAGTGGCTGGAGTAAGTGGTGGGCTGAGAGGATTGGGGGTTGAGTGTGGTGCACAAGAGGTGTCTTAATCTATATACAATTTGCACAGGGCATTTTGGGCTAGAAGGTGTGGATGGACCTGGGTAAAAAGCTCCAGTGTTGGATAGAAACTCAAGGGCATGTTGCATAACAAAACAAGCAGCATCAAACTTGGGGGAGAAGGAAGGCAGCACGTCTTCTGGAACACTGTTGGCTTCTCCACTCTCCTCAAACATGGTTCTGTGCTGGACTACTGATTAACTGTCTTCCCAGGGGCTCTAGAATCTGAATTGCAGTTCTGTCTACCCATTGTCCTGTAGCAGGAGTGAATAGTTTCTGCATTTTCTCTCTTATTCTCCATGCCACTGATTCCAGTCATTTGTGGCCTTCTGAGGGCAAAAACCATAATTACCTGAATGCTTAGAGCTCTTCATGTGGTGAGGCAAGAGCCCAAGTCACTTCCAGGGTTGAGCCAAGCATGTGGAATTCCAAGTCCTCTGTCTAAGCCTGTTGGATTCGTGTGTGGCTTGTTTCCCTTAGAGCCATGACTTTGGGAAGACTGAGTGTGTTATCAGACCAAGGATCTCCTCTGCTCCAGGAGAGAGGCATACACAAACTGTAGCCACAGGGGCAGAGTTGGTGAGTGATGAGGTGTTCAGTTAATGTGTATAACTAGAAACCAGCATACCCACAGAAATATAAAAGACAAAGAAAAGGAGGTGGAGGAACAACCCAGATTTTCTTAAAAACCAGTTTCCTGCCACAGATCAAAGTAAAGGCAAAGATTTGCCATACCATCTTTTCCTATTCTTGGAAACTAGTTCTTATCTCTGTCAGGGTTCCCTGAACATTCTCATGGATTCCATAAGGCTGTTGTTTGTCAAAGAGAATTATTCTGCTTAATACCTGGTCTAAGTGACGGTCAATGAGGTGGGCACAAGACCCTATTCCCTGCCAGGTAGTAAATAGCACAATAGAACTTTCTTCTGGGGGTTTGTCTTTTAATTCTTTTCCTAAAGGGCTTTTAGGCTGATAGAGGCTTGATGCAATGCACTGGCAACACCTTATGTTCTATGCCATTGCTTTAAAAGCACTTTGGAAAATAAAATCTCATGAGATTAACAGAGGATGCACTGATGACAGACACAGGTTTCTCAGCAGAAATCATGTTTTGGAGCTCTCAGGCAGACCCACCCCTGAAGGTGTCACCTCATGAAGAAGGGACATAACCTCAGGGACAGAGTTCTGTAAGAAGCCGCCAGAGACACTGGGACATCATCTGTCTGTTGCGCCAGCCAGAGGGCAGCAGCCAGGCCCCTGACTGGCTCTTTACCTGGGAATAAGTCTCACAAAAGACTTCTCATAGAGGAAGTGTGAGGATACACTCCACATCAAGGATAAGACTGCTAAATACTAATACACAGTGATATTGGTATTTTGCATGGTTCGTCTACTGAAGAGATTTGAAACTTAATGCTCATGCAACCCCTGATTATGAGCAAAATAGTTCTGAAAATTCTAAATGTCCTCATAGAATTGCCCCCCACCCCATGCCAAACAAATGAGCACTAAAAACGTAAAAGCCCCAGGAACAGCTCTGGTCTGGAGCTCCTAGCGAGATCAACGCAGAAGGTGGGTGATTTCTGCATATCCAACTGAGGTACCCGGCTCATCTCGTTGGGACTAGTTAGACAGTGGGTGCAGCCCACGGAGGGCAAGCCAAAGCAGGGTGGGGCATCGCCTCACCCAGGAAGTGCAAGGGGACAGGGAACTCCCTCCCCTAGCCAAGGGAAGCCATGAGGGACTGTGCCATGAGAAACAGTGCACTCTGGCCCAGATACTATGCTTTTGCCACAGTCTTCGCAACCCGCAGACCAGGAGATTCCCTTGGGTGCCTACATCTCCAGACCCTGGGTTTCAAGCACAAAACAGGGCGGCCATTCGGGTAGACACCAAGCTAGCTGCAGGAGTTTTTTTTCATACCCCAGTGATGCCTGGAACACCAGTGAGACAGAACCATTCACTCCCCCGGAAAGGGGGCTGAAGCCAGGGAGCCAGGTGGTCTTGCTCAGCGGATCCCACCCCCATGGAGCCCAGCAAGCTAAGATCCACTGGCCTGAAATTCTTGCTGCCAGCACAGCTGTCTGAAGTCAACCTGGGACTCTTGAGCTTGGTGGTGGGAGGGGCGTCCACCATTACTGAGGCTTGAGTAGGCAGTTTTCCCCTCACAGTGTAAACAAAGCCCCCAGGGACTGCAGTCTGGCAAAGCCGCTGTAGCCAGACTGCCTCTCTAGATTCCTCCTCTCTGCGCAGGGCATCTCTGAAAGAAAGGCAGCAGCCCTAGTCAGGGGCTTATAGATAAAATTCCCATCTCCTTGGGACAGAGCACCTGGGGGAAGGGGCAGCAGTGGGTGCAGCTTCAGCAGACTTAAATGTTGTGCCTGCCGGCGCTGAAGAGAGCAGCGGATCTCCCAGCACAGCACTTGAGCTCTGCTAAGGGACAGACTGCCTCCTCAAGTGGGTCCCTGACCCCCGAGCCTCCGAACTGGGAGACACCTCCCAACAGGGGTCGACAGACACCTCATACAGGAGAGCTCTGGCTGGCATCTGGGGGGTGCCCCTCTGGGACGAAGCTTCCAGAGGTAGGAACAGGCAGAAATTTTTGCTGTTCTGCAGCCTCTGCTGGTGATACCCAGGCAAACAGGGTCTGGAGTGGATCTCCAGCAAACTCTAGCAGTCCTGCAGCAGAGGGGTCTGACTATTAGAAGGAAAACTAGCAAACAGGAACAGCATCAACATCAACATCAAGAAAACGGACGTCCACACAAAAACCCCATCCGAAGGTCACCAACATCAAAGACCAAAGATAGATAAATGCACTAAGATGAGGAAAAACCAGTGCAAAAAGGCTGAAAATTCCAAAAACCAGAACGCCTCTTCTCCTCCAAAGGACCACAACTCCTCGCCAACAAGGGAACAAAACTAGACGGAGAATGAGTTTGACGAAATGACAGCCTTCAGAAGGTGGGTAATAACAAACCCCCTGAGCTAAAGGAGCATGTTCTAACCCAGTGCAAGGAAGCTAAGAACCTTGAAAAAAGGTTAGAGGAATTACTAACTAGAATAACCAGTTTAGAGAAGAACATAAACGACCTGATAGAGCTGAAAAACACACACAAGAACTTTGTGAAGCATACACAAGTATCCATAGCTGAATCAATCTAGCGGGAGAAAGGATATCAGAAATAAAGCGTGAAGACAAGATTAGAGAAAAAAGAATGAAAAGGAACGAACAAAGCCTCCAAGAAATATGGGACTATGTGAAAAGACCAGACCTAGGTTTGATTGGTGTACCTGAAAGTGACAGGGAGAATGGAACCAAGTTGGAAAACACTCTTCAAGATATTAACCAGGAGAACTTCCCCAACCTAGCAAGGCAGGCCAACATTCAAGTTCAGGAAATACAGAGAACACCATAAAGATACTCTTCAAGAAGAGCAACCCCAAGACACATAATTGTCAGATTCACCAAGGTTGAAATGAAGGAAAAAATGTTAAGGGCAGCCAGAGAGAAAGGTTGGGTTACCCACAAAGGGAAGCCCATCAGACTAACAGTGGATCTCTCTGCAGAAACCCTATAAGCCAGAAGAGAGTGGGGGCCACTATTCAATATTCAATATTCTTAAAGAAAAGAATTTTCAACCCAGAATTTCATATCCAGCCAAACTAAGCTTCATAAGTGAAGGAGAAATAAAATCCTTTCCAGACAAGCAAATGCTGAGAGATTTTGTCACCACCAGGCCTGCCTTAAAGAGCTCCTGAAGGAAGCACTAAACGTGGAAAGGAACAACTTGTACCAACCACTGCAAAAACACGCCAAATTGTAAAGACCATCAATGCTAGGAAGAAACTGCATCAACTAACGAGCAAAACAACCAGCTAACATCATAATGACAGGATCAAATTCACACATAACAATATTAACCTTAAATGTAAATGGACTAAATGCCCCAATTACAAAACACAGACTGGCAAATTGGATAAAGAGTCAAGACCCATCAGTGTGCTGTATTCAGAAGACCTATCTCATGAGCAAAGACATATATATTGTCTCAAAATGAAGGGATGGAGGAAGATCTACCAAGCAAATGGAAAACAAAAGCAGGGGTTGCAATCCTAGTTTCTGATAAAAACAGACTTTAAACCAACAAAGATCAAAAGAAACAAAGAAGGCCATTACATAATGGTAAAGGGATCAATTCAACAAGAAGAGCTAACTATCCTAAATATATATGCAGCCAATATAGGAGCACCCAGATTCATAAAACAAGTCCTTAGAGACCTACAAAGAGACTTAGACTCCCACACAATAATAATGGAAGACTTTAATACCCCACTGTCAATATTAGACAGATCAATGAGACAGAAAATCAACAAGGATATCCAGGACTAGAACTCAGCTCTGCACCAAGTGGACCTAATAGACATCTACAGAACTCTCCACCCCAAATCAACAGAATATACATTCTGCTCAGCACCACATCACACTTATTCTAAAATTGAACACGTAATTGGAAGCAAAGCACTCCTCAGCAAATGTAAAAGTACAGAAATCACAACAAACTGTCTCTCAGACCACAGTGCAATCAAATTAGAACTCAGGATTAAGGAACTCACTCAAAACTGAACAACTACATGGAAACTGAACAACCTGCTCCTAAATGACTACTGGATGAATAACGAAATGAAGGGAGAAATAAAGATGTTCTTTGAAAACAATGAGAACAAAGATACAACGCACCAGCATCCCTGGGACACATTTAAAACAGTGTGTAGAGGGAAATTTATGCACTAAATGCCCACAAGAGAAAGCAGGAAACATCTAAAATCAACACCCTAACATCACAATTAAAAGAACTAGAGAAGCAAGAGCAAACAAATTCAAAAGCTAGCAGAAGGCAAGAAATAACTAAGATCAGAGCAGAACTGAAGGAGATAGAGACATAAAAAACCCTTCAAAAAAAATCAATGAATCCAGGAGCTAGTTTTTTGAAATGATCAACAAAATTGATAGACCGCCAGCAAGACTAATAAAGAAAAAAAGAGAGAATAATCAAATAGACACAATAAAAAATGATAAAGGGGATATCGCCACCAATCCCACAGAAATACAAACTACCATCAGAGAATACTTTAAACACCTCTACGGAAATAAACTAGAAAATTTAGAAGAAATGGATAAATTCCTGGACACGTACACCTTCCCTAGACTAAACCAGGAAAAAGTTGAATCTCTGAATACACTAATAACAGGCTCTGAAATTGAGGCAATAATTAATAGCCTATCAACCAAAAAAAGGCCAGGACCAGACAGATTCACAGCCAAATTCTACCAGAGGTACAAAGAGGAGCTGCTACCATTTCTTCTGAAGCTATGCCAATCAATAGAAAAAGAGGGAATCCTCCCTAACTCATTTTATGAGGCCAGCATCATCCTGATACCAAAGCCTGGCAGAGACACAACAAAAAAAGAGAATTTTATATCAATATCCCTGATGAACATCGATGCAAAAATCCTCAATAAAATACTGGCAAACTGAATCCAGCAGCACATCAAAAAGCTTATCCACCATGATCAAGTTGGCTTCATCCCTGGGATGCAAGGCTGGTTCAACATACACAAATCGATAAACGTAATGCATCATATAAACAGAACCAATGACAAAAAACACATGATTATCTCAATAGATGCAGAAAAGGCCTTTGACAAAATTCAACAGCCCTTCATGCTAAAAACTCTCAATAAACTAGGTATTGATGGAATGTATCTCAAAATAATAAGAGCTATTTATGACAAACCCACAGCCAATATCATAATGAATGGGCAAAAACTGGAAGCATTCCCTTTGAAAACCAGCACAAGACAAGGATGCCCTCTCTCACCACTCCTATTCAACATGGTGTTGGAAGTTCTGGGCAGAGCAATCAGGCAAGGGAAAGAAATAAAGGGTATTCAATTAGGAAAAGAGGAAGTCAAATTGTCCCTGTCTGCAGATGACATGATTGTATATTTAGAAAACCCCATCATCTCAGCCCAAAATCTCCTTAAGTTGATAAACAACTTCAGCAAAGTCTCAGGTTAGAAAATCAATGTGCAAAATTCACAAGCATTCCTATACCCCAATAACAGATAAACAGCCAAATCATGAGTGAACTCCCATTCACAATTGCTACAAAGAGAGCAAAATACCTAGGAATCCGACTTACAAGGGATGTGAAGGACCTCTTCAAGGAGAACTACAAACCACTGCTCAGTGAAATAAAAGAGGACACAAACAAATGGAAGAACATTCCATGTTCATGGATAGGAAGACTCAATATCGTGAAAATGGCCATACTGCCCAAGGTAATGTACAGATTCAATGCCATCCCCATCAAGCTACCAATGACTTTCTTCACAGAATTGGAAAAAACTACTTTAAAGTTCATATGGAACCAAAAAAGAGCCCGCATAGCCAAGACAATCCTAAGCAAAAAGAACAAAGCTGGAGGCATCACGCTGTCTGAATTCAAGCTATATTACAAGGCTACAGTAACCAAAACAGCATGGCACTGGTACGAAAACAGATATATAGACCAATGCAACAGAACAGAGGCCTCAGAAATAACACCACACATCTACAACCATTTGATCTTTGACAGACCTGACAAAAACAAGAAATAACAAGAAATGGGGAAAGGAATCCCTATTTAATAAATGGTGCTGGGAAAACTGGCTAGCCATATGTAGAAAGCTGAAATTGGATCCCTTCCTTACACCTTATACAAAAATTAATTCAAGATGGATTAAAGACTTAGACGTTAAGATCTAAAACGATGAAAACCTGCCAGGCGCAGTGGCTCACGCCTGTAATCCCAGCACGTTGGGAGGCTGAGGAGGGCGGATCATGAGGTCAGGAGATCGAGACCATCCTGGCTAAGATGGTGAAACCCCATCTCTACTAAAAATATAAAAAATTAGCCAGGCGTAGTGGTGGGTGCCTGTAGTCCCAGCTACTCGGGAGGCTGAGGCAGGAGAATGGTGTGAACCCAGAAGTCGGAGGTTGCAGTGAGCCGAGATTGCACCACTGCACTCTAGCCTGGGCGACAGAGTGAGACTGTCTCAAAAAACAAAAACAAACAAACAAAAAAACACCATAAAAACCTAGAAGAAAACCTAGACAATACCATTCAGGACACAGGCATGGGCAAGGACTTCATGAATAAAACACCAAAAGCAATGGCAACAAAAGCCAAAAATGACAAATGGGATCTAATTAAACTAAAGAGCTTCTGCACAGCAAAAGAAACTACCATCAGAGTGAACAGGCAACCTACAGAACAGGAGAAAATTTTTGCAATCTACCCATCTGAAAAAGGGCTAATATCTAGAATCTACAAAGAACTTAAACAATTTTACAAGAAAAAAACAAACAGGGGCAAAGTATATGAACAGACACTTCTCAAAAGAAGACATTTATGCAACCAATAGACACATGAAAAAATGCTCATCATCACTGCTCATCAGAGAAATGCAATTCAAAATTACAATGAGATATCTCACGCCAGTTAGAATGGCGATTATTAAAAAGTCAGGAAACAACAGATGCTGCAGAGGATGTGGAGAAATAGGAAAGCTTTTACACTGTTGGTGGGAGTGTAAATTAGTTCAACCATTGTGGAAGACAGTGTGGCGATTCCTCAAGGATCTAGAACTAGAAATACCATTTGACCCAGCCATCCCATTACTGGGTATATACCCAAAGGATTATAAATCATGCTACTATAAAGACACATGCACACGTATGTTTATTGTGGCACTATTCACAATAGCAAAGACTTGGAAGCAACCCAGTTGTTCATCAATGATAGACTGGATTAAGAAAATGTGGCACATATACACCATGGAATACTATGCAGCCATAAAAAAGGATGAGTTCATGTCCTTTGCAGGGACATGGATAGGCTGGAAACCATCATTCTCAGCAAACTCTCACAACGACAGAAAACCAAACACCACATGGTCTCACTCATAGGTGGGAATTGAACAATGAGAACACATGGATACAGGGCAGGGAACATTACACACCAGGGCCTGTCAGGGGGTGGGAGGCTGAGGGAGGGGTAGCATTAGGAGAAATATCTAATGTAAATGACAAGTTGATGGGTGCAGCAAACCAACATGGCACATGTATACCTATGTAACAAACCTGCACATTGTATACATGTACCCTAGAACTTAAAGTACTTAAAAAAATATGCTAAAGGGCCAGGCACAGTGGCTCATGCCTGTAATCCCAGCACTTTGGGAGGCCAAGGTGGGCAGATCACCTGAGGTTTGGAGTTTGAGACCAGCCTGGTCAATATGGTGAAACTCTGCCTCTACTAAAAATACAAAAATTAGCCAGGCTGGTGGCACATGTCTGTAATCCCAGCTACTTGGGAGGCTGAGGCATGAGAATCACTGGAACTTGGGAGGCAGAGGTTGCAGTGAGCTGAGATTGTGCCACTGCACTCCAGCCTGGACAACAGAACAAGGAGACTCCATCTCAAAAAAAAAAAAAATGCTAAAGGGAGTCTTTCAGGCTAAAATGAAAGGACACTGGCCAGTAACTTGAATACTTGAATCTGCATGAAGGAATAATGAACATGGGGAGAGGTAGATACCTAAGTAAATATAAAGGGCAGTATTAATTTTTTTCCTAACCTCTCTTTTCCTACATAATTTTAAAAGACAACTGCATAAAGCAATAATTAAAAATTTAGGTTGATGGGCATACAATGTGTAAAGATGTAATTTGTGGAAATATAATATAAAGGGAGTAGAGCTGAATAAGAACAAAGTGTTTGCATATTATTGAAATTAACTTGGTATTAATCTAAACCAGGTTGTTACAAATTAATATATGAACTGTAATCTCTAGGGCAATTATTAAGAAAATAAATAAATAATATATACTTTAAAAAGATACAGATTTAGAATTATCCTAGAAAATATGGATTTAACACAAAAGAAAGCAGTAATGAAGGAATTGAGGAGCAAAAAAGATAAAAGACATAGAAAACAAATAGCAAAATGGCAGGAGTAAGCCCTTTTCAGTAATTATATTAAATGTAACTCTTCAATTAAAAGGCAGAGATTCACCAAATAGATTTTAAAATCATGATGCAACTATTATGATGTCTACAACAGTTTCAATTTAGATTCAAAGACACAAATAGGTTGAAAATTAAAAGGTTGGAAAGATCTTCCATACAAATAACCAAAAGAGAGTTTGAATGGCTGTATTAATATCAGACAAATAGATTTTAACAAGACAAAGAAGGTCATTATATTACGATAAAAGGGTCCAAACTTCACATATTTTTAATGCATTTCAACTCCTGATATGACACACTTTTAGCTCTCTATTTCTCCTTGACACTCCTGCCTCCATCCATACGTTGTCCTGCTTCATCTCTGATTATCCCAATTCTATTCATGTTCAAGGTTTACCCCATGACACCCTCTTTCTTGGAGGCACTATGGCTTTGGCTAAGTGCCCAGATCCAGAGTAGATAAAGTATATGGTCCAAAAGTAGATGTCTTCACTTACTAGCTCTATAACTTTGGGGAAGTCACTTAACTTTCCTGAGACTGTTTCCTCAACTGTAAAATTCCTTACCTATATCAGGTTTCTATAAAGATTAAATTAGATCATGCATGTAAATTATAATGTAATTATTGACTCTACAAATAATTAGTCCTTATCATATTATGCTTGGTTCCATGAGGGAAATTGTAACTACCTTTGGCGGAAAAGACAGGCTTATCCCTAAGGTGCTTAAGTAGTACACTCACTGTACATTTGGTAGTTTTAAAAAAAAAAAACTTAACAAATGCTTTTACTCATTCATCCTTGAATGAGAGACACAGCCCTCAGCAAAACATCCTTCATGAAGCCCACACCTACTTCTTTCTCTTTTTAGACCAAGCAGACTAATAGTATCTGGGCTTCCTGACAGCTTGGGAACAAAGCATGTAAACTCGCCTACTGTCAGCCTCCACACCACCATGAGATGGATATGGGCTCCCTGGGGTGTGCAGTTGGTGAGGGAAATGCTATACTTGACTATGACTGAGTGCCACGTTCAAATATTCATGTAGTACTCATGATTTGTGTTCAAGCCTCCTTCCATGGGAAGAACCAGCGGTGGACCTGAAGAGCTCTGCCTTCAAACAGATGATTCACTCAGAACAGGTTGCTGGTGACTGAACCTCAGTGACAGGGTCATCCTTTGACACCCAGCTCTCCAAGGGCACCTTGCTCAGGGAGGCTAAGCTCAGAGCAAAAGTGCCTTTTGGAGTGCTAGCTTCTTTCTACCAACAATGACAGATTTCCATCTGTGCTGCCAAACATGTAAGTTCTTTCCTTAAGGAACACTTATAAAAGATGACTTCCAGGCCGGGTGCAGTGACTCACACCTGTAATCCCAGCACTTTGGGAGGCTGAGGTGGGTGGATCACCTGAGGTCTGGAGTTCGCCACCAGCTTGGCCAACATAAGGAAACCCCGTCTCTACTAAAAATACAAAAATTAGCCAGGTGTGGTGGCGGGTGCCTGTAATCCCAGCTACTTGGGAGGCTGAGGTAGAAGAATCACTTGAACCTGGGAGGCAGAGATTGTAGTGAGCCAAGACCACACCATCACATTCCAGCCTGGGGAACAAGAGCAAAACTCCATCTCAAAAAAAAAAAAAAAGACTTCCTTTTCCCAGAAAACTAAGGGCCCCCCTACATCAAAATTATTTCCCTTTGGCTGTTCAGGAACAATTGCTCATCTCCTTTCGATTTTTTGACTTTTAACTCCTCCTCAAGGAAGTTAAGGGATGTTTTTTGCTATTGGTAGGTTGTGCTTTTCTAGAGGGAAATAGTTCTAGTATTGAGATCTAAACTGAGAATTGCTGATTATCCATGGAACAAGCATTTTAAAAACAAGACCAGACCCTAGCTCCCACAGAGGACATGGTTGATAGCTTAGTACCAAAGCACAAGCATTATCTTCTGAGTGGGAAAGCAGATATGGAGCTTCCTTGCCCACCTGACACCTAAGCCAACATGTGCAGAATTGGAGCCCTCCAAAACTTGGGCCTCTTCCAAGGTTCTCCAAGTCAATGAAGGGCATCATTGTGTCAGCTTGGGTCCTCCTAGAGCAGACACCAAGATGGAATTAAACCTGGAAGAGTTTATTGGGGAAAATGCCTATGAAGAATAAAGAGGAGCAGAAGCAAGAGTAAGCAGAGAGAGCCCCACACCGTAATGCAGGTCTGACCCCTGTGAAAGAGAAGAGGGAAGGATGGAGGAGTAGATAGGAAGAGCCTCAGACTGCAGAGCCATTCTGAGAAAGTGCTGGCCAGACTGACAGGAAGCCCCAGAGTACAGGTGGCCCATTAGAGGAGTTTTGCCTCTGGCATTCCCTCTTATAGCGTCAAATGCATCTTGTAGTATTTAGGATGGCATTCTATATTTGACCAATTATTTGATTGCTTTATTACCTCACTCAAGTGTGTTTCCCGAGGGCAGAGACCACATTTATTTTTGCTCATCACTGAATCCCCAGCATTAGCAGGGTGGCTGCATTTTGTAGTTGCCACAGAATATTTGTTGAATGAAATATCTAAAAGGGTTATTTTTTTCATTTTTATCTGAATCACACATCAGGTATTTTTTTTTCCTAACCAGTGACTCCTAAGTTAGATGCTGCTTGCACCATGCTTTCATTCCATTTATATCATTCTTCAGCTGGGTTGCGTGATCATCAGCTGTGCCCCGCCCCCCAACCCTCCATTGCCCGATTCTGTAGTAAAGTCTTTTGGGACTGGCCTTGGACTTGGACTTTTGCTTCTTTTGTGTCTTTACTGACTATCAGTGCAGGCCTGGATAAAGTTCTTGTTGCAGAACTTGCTACTGCACAAACTTTTGTTCCAGGGTTAGATCAGGAAGGATAGTAAGGAAAACAGAGCTGTCTCCAAAAGGTGGGATAGAAAGCTGTCCTTTAGAAGTTAAATTATAAATCAAGCCAATCAGAGCAAAGATACAAAATGTCTCCATAAAGAAAAATAAGGGCTGAGAGACCTTACTGAGTAATGTTACTCAGTAACGCCTTGCTCTATCTAAAAATGTCCATCTGAGGAGAGGCGGCCTGGGTACCATAATACAGAGAGCCTCATCGACACAAACAGATGGTGTCCACCAGGCCCCATCTAGGGAGAAGGGCTGGCCAGGCCAGCAGGGATGAGTGAACAGTACTTCCTATAGGTTTTGACCTGTGTTGTGGAAAGAGACATCCCACATTGCCCGAGCCTGATATCATCAAACATTTAAGTCAGACAATTCACTCTTCCGATTCTGATTTTAGGCTCACTAAGCCACCTTCTGACTATGGGGCTCCAAACTGCATGGCTACAAGAAGAGAATGTGTTCATCAGGTGGCCTCGAGTCCAGTGTTCCCGACAGTCTTGCTTCTAACAGGAATGGATAAGCTTCAGGTTTTGGGGTCAGATGGCCTTGATTCAAACCCTGCCACTAACATACATAGTAACTATGTGACCTTGGGATTTCCTTCATCTTTTTTTCTCCCAAATGAAAAATAAATAGATTATAATATACCACATGATAGTAGGGAGAAATAATGAGGTAATAATGCATGTAATGCATTTAGCATAGCACTTCTCTAGCAAATAGTGAATGAAATCAGTCAGTTGTCATTCTGACTTTATGCAACAGTGCTAATCGACTCTGGTACACTGGAAGTCAGATGAGATTTTTGGCCCCACAAAGTCAAGGACCAAACCTGGACCTTGGGAAGTTGCCAAGATGAAAAACATCAGGCCGGCCTTGACCTCCTGATGCTCTCTGTTCACATGTGTGATGTCTATAAAAGGTAACCAGGATTTGGCTTATCTGCTTACATCTCTTCCTGTCTTTTCCTGATCTTCATCTTCCCAAACATAGTTTTTATGCAGAAGCAGATTTAACTCTACTTTGCTATCTTGGAGTCAAGAATTGTCCTATAAGGAGGAAGAGGCTCCAAGGCTTGCCTTTTTTGTTTTTTCTTTTTCCTTCATACTACAGACTAAAAGTAGCATCTTCTGGACAGAGAAACAGGCTGTTGTTTTTCTAAGGTCATCATTTGGCCTGCCCCACTTTCCCACCTGCTCTTGAGGGAACTATTGCAAGGACACATACAAGCCCCTACATCAGTCACAGACCAGGGCCTCCATCTTGCAGGGAATGTGCCCAAATTACAAACAGGTAAACCAAAGTGACTCTGGGCAGATTTAATAGCTCATTTTGGTTTCTTGTTCCAGTTATAACAGACTGCTCTGTGTTTGCTCTATGGCAAAAACTTTTATGTTTGCTTTGCAACAAACGTACAGACAGGGCAAACTGTGTTTGGAGTATGGTGTCTTACCAATGTTTTCTAAAAGCAAGTGAATAGAAATGCTTGCAAAAGTATTTTCAGACCTCAGTGGCCAGCGCTGAACACCGCTGTAGGAATGTCCATCAAACGTTGTGGCCATGCTCCACTCTAACAAAAACCTGGTTCCGTGGCATAATTGTGGGGGCTAATTGTCAGGCTAAGTTTCAGACACCTTCCAAAAAAAATTGCAGGGCTTCCTCAGTCTTTAAACTCCAGATAATATTGTCCAAACTTTGACAACTAACCTGTTATCATGGAGATAGCTCCAAGTTGATGGACTGGCCATTAGAGAATGTCTATCAAGCATCCAGGTAAATGACTTGGTTGCTGCCCTCAAGGAACCCACTTAGAGGCTGTCAGAAAATTTTAAGTATTTTCTTCCTTCTATTGTTCATTCCTAAAATTCTGGCAGTAGGTATGATTATTATTATTCCCATCCCACAGGGGAAGTAATTAAGTCTAACTACTTGAATATTTTGCCCCAAATCACTGACAGTAAGAGACGGCCAGACACTGAAACCTGGAATCTCTAAATGTTTAGATATTGATGGGCACCGCTTAGACCAGGGAGTCCAAACCATAGGCTTGCTGTTCCAGTTTCTCTTATCGGATGAAGGGACCCCCATTTCACCGACGTCATTGACTTTTGGGTTCTCCGCTGACCCCAGATGAGATGCCTGGTACCTCATGGTCAAGTCCCCTCCAACGGGGACTCCTCAGAGGCTTGGTCCCAGTTGCTCAGGCTGCCATCTGCCTCCTCAGGCCAGAGCCCGAGGCGCCGCCAGCGGTCAGGTCCCGGGCCGGCTGCCAGCCACAGGCCCAAGTAAACGCTGAATGAAGGGCAGATGGAGGAACCTGTCCCGGTCGGCCGAAGCGCCGCGGGCGCCTTTCCACTTACGGCGGGCCTGCCCAGCCTCCCGCCCAGCCCGGGCCCGGGTCCCGCCGAGGCAGGTGTGCGTGGCGGACTAGCTCTCGGGCACTCGGCTGGCCCAGCTCCACCCCGAACGCCACCGGGCCAGGCCACGCGCAGACCCGAGCCCGGGGCCCCCGCCTCTGGCTGCCGGCCCGCGCCCGCCGCGCGCCCCGCGTTCACTGCGCGCTCGGCCCCGGTCCCGCCTCCCGGAGGGTTTCGCTTTCGCTTTCCTGCCGATGTCGTTGAGGAAAATGAAAGCGGTCGTGGCCAGGACTGGCGCAGCTGCCGTTTCAGGCGAGGGGCGCAGAATGCAGCGGCCGCCAGCCTGGAGCGCGGGCCCTGGGGCCGCAACCCGCGCCGGGCGAGGTAAGCACAGCCCCTTCGCGGCCGCCTCGCGGGCTCCTCCTTGCGGACCCGGCGGGCCCGACGCCAGGCGTTTGACCCGGGCAGGGTCAGGGGTTCTGCCGTGGGGGCGGGGAGGGCCTGAGAAGCGGCACCCTTGGGTTTCGTGGCTTTGAGCCTCCAGGCCAGGCTGGAAGACCTGGGAGGCCTCAGACAAGCGTGCCAAGGGGCTAGCAGCCCGGGGTCGAGCTGGAACCGTGGCAAGTCGGGCCACCTGAGCACGCCTTTCCCTTTTGTAGAGCACCGACCTCCCTGGGTGTTGGTAAAAATCAAAAGTGGGAGGGTGTACGTAAAATGCTGAACAGAATGCCTAACCTGAGCTCATAATCTACTCCCTCTGACCTGTCAGACTCATTTTTCCCACTGGGCCCCACCCCATACCTCATGTAGTTTGCTTAAGTTTCCTAGATCTGGTGCACCTGGGGGCACTTGGAGTGCCTTCCAAGTGTTCCTTGACCGAGCAAGCTGGCAGCTCATCTCCCTTGATCACGGGCATGGAGAGCAACTAGGCCAGGATGTGGCCCCCTTGCCCTGGCCCTGTCCATGTGAAGTCAGGGCCTTACTCTGCTGGGGCCCCCATCCCGGGGCTAGCATAGATGTCAGGGATAGGTGCACTCACAGACCGAGTCCTTCCCAGACCAGGAAATTTCCAGTCCACTGCATCTGCCAGCAGAAGCATGAAAGATGCGTGCCACCTTGTCTTTGCCCTTCGTCAAGTATAGCCAACTCATTCTTGGTATGCAGGAAGGGGGTTCCACCCCAGGGCTGTGGAAACAGCCCCTGCCCTTAGGGCGTTCCCATCCCCTGAAGAGAGAAAATATGTATTCAAGTTACCCATCAGGCAGGTTGTGTAGAACAAGGACAGGTGAGTGAAAGAGCTAAGAGCTGAGAGTAAAGTGACTAAATCATCAGAAACTTTACATTTAAGTTATGACAGGTTTTGCAGGCCAATACCAAGAATCCCCTTTAACTCAATTTTTGTCTCAATAATAATGAATTCAGCCTAATCACACAGATCTGATCATACGGCCCATTACTGAAACAAAACTTGAATGATCTTTACTTTGAGAAAACCATCTGAATTTGACAAAAGATGGTCTAAGTTCCTAAGTTTCAAAACATGGAGTCCGCCGCTGCCCTACCTCAGCAGGATGGTGTTGAGTACTGATTGCTTTTAGAAAATGCTGCTCTTGCCGGGCACGGTGGCTCACGCCTGTAATCCCAGCACTTCAGGAGGCCGAGGCGGGCTGATTACCTGAGGTCGGGAGTTTGAGACCAGCCTGACAAACATGGAGAAACCCCGTCTCTACTAAAAATACAAAATTAGCCAGGCATTGTGGCACATGCCTGTAATCCCAGCTACTTGGGAGGCTGAGGTAGGAGAATTGCTTGAACCCGGGAGGCGGAGGTTGCAGTGAGCCAAGATCGCGCCACTGCACTCCAGCCTCGGCAACAAGAGCTAAACTCCGTCTAAAAAAAACAAAGAAAGAAAAAAAGAAAATAGAGAAAATGCTGCTGTTTTCATGAGCCAGAAAATTAGATGCACTTCCATTCACATTCCATTGGCATGGACTAGTCTCATGGGTCTCACCTAATTGTAAGGTGGCTGGGAAATGTAGCCTGGTGGTGTTCCCAGGAGGAAAAGAACGAGAGACTGGTGAGCACTAGTAACCTCTTCCACAATCGACTAATGTGGTGAATTACTTTATCATGATGTATTTGTAATACACTTTCGTATTTGATTAGATAATATTTTATTTAGGAGTTTAACATCTATGTTTATAAGTGAAACTATCCTGTATTTTTCTTTATTTGTACAGTCCATATTTAACATTTCAAAATCAAGTAACAAATTGGGCAATGTTTTCTCTTTTTTTCTATTTTCTAAAGCAACTCCATTAAGATAGAGATTTTCTGCTCCTTGGAAGTTAGTAGGAGGCACTTGTAAAATCTTCTGGGTCTGAAACTCTATGGGGAAGAGGTTTCAAAATTATTTGAGTCTCTTAAGTGGTTATTCACATTTTTGTGCCAAATTTGGCAATTTTTATTGTCTAGAAATTATTCATTTCATCTGTATTTTCAAATGTATTATCATGTGTTTATATTATTCCTTTATAAGTTTTAAAATGTCTGTTTTATTTGTCATTTCTTCCTTTTTCTGTAATCTCATTTTTAAAAAATCTTCTGTCAGTTATTCTTGATCAGTCTCACTAGAGGTTTGTCTACTTTCAAATAAATACTTCAAGTTTTGTTAACCACCTTTTTTTTGGTCCTCTATGTCCTCTATTTTGCTGATTCTGCCCTTATGTTTATTATTCCATTTTTTCATGTTTCTTTAGTCATATGCTTTTGTAATAAATTCAAACAGTATAGACATTTGTAAAGTGAGACAGGAAAGTCCACTTCAGCCTCCATAGGCAACCACAGATATCATATTGGTGTGTTTTTCTGGACCCTTTCCTATGCTTATACAAATATTTTTCTACAACTTTCTAAACTGAAACTCATAGGTAAACTGCTCTTTATAGGCAACCACAGATATCATATTGGTGTGTTTTTCTGGACCCTTTCCTATGCTTATACAAATATATTTCTACATCTTTCTAAACTGAAACTCATGGGCCTCTTTCTGTGGTGTATACACACACATACACATACATACACACACATACACATCCATTAAAATGGAATACATACCATAATTTATCCATTTTCCATTTATGGGCATTTAGGGTGAAAGTCTTGGTCTTTTAACAATGGAATTTAATTCATTCATATTTATTTTGATCACTGATAAATGTGGTCTTATTTTTGCCATCTTGTTTTGCCATGTATTTATCATGTGTGTTTTTTTTTTCCTTGTGACTCTATGGATTCATCAAAGTGTATTTGTCCCCTGTTTCTTCTTTCCTTCTTTTTATTCAGTGAGTTGGAAGTTCTATATCTTACAATAGGCCATCATTTAGTTCTTAAGCTTAGATAAACTTGTATTTTTGTCTCTGGCAAAAATTAATCAGAACCTATAACCTCCTTCCAAACATAATAAATCTTTTTTTTTATTTTTTGTTTTTGTTTTTGTTTTTGAGATGGAGTCTCGCTCTGTCACCCAGGCTGGAGTGCAGTGGTACAATCTCAGCTCTCTGCAACCTCCACCTCCCGGGCTCAAGCACTTCACCTGTCTCAGCCTCCCGAGTAGCTGGGACTACAGGTCCCACCATGCCCAGCTAATTTTTGTATTTTTAGCAGAGACGGGGTTTCACCATGTTGGCCAGGATGGTCTCAATCTCTTGACCTAGTGATCCACCCGCCTCAGCCTCCCAAAGTGCTGGAATTACATAAGTATGTTTTCTCACGTCTCTTTTTCCTTACCTTTTCCCCACAGGCACATATACACATAGGTATCTGCCTGGGAATTATTAAAATAACCTGAACAATTCCAATTGTTATTAATTCTTCTTGCTTCAAAATACAATTTCCTTTTTCTATGTTAGAAATATTAACAATTGCATTAATCTACAATCTAACCTATTTGTGCAATTGCATATTATACCAGGATAGGAAAGTTTAAACATGTATTTCTTTTAGACTTTTCATTGAATTGCTGAAAATTCATAGTGAATTGTATCTTGAGTAATGCTTCTCTGAGTCTCTTATTTCCCAAAAGTATACTTTGGAATCCATGCAATTCTGATCGTTGTTTGACCTTTGCTGGCACAAAGGCATTCTGAAATATTTGCAAATGCTAAAGTCACTTCCTCATCTTTTACAGAGTTTACTTCAGCTTGGTGAAACCAAGTGCAGTATCAGTTTGTTGTAAGCTTACCACTAATTAAAGGTTCATAAAATAGCCCTGCCCTAGGGTCAGGGACTAGCTAGAAGAGCATGAAAATAGCCTTTGAAGATTCAGCTGCTGGATATTTTACATCAAAAAGCTGAAACGTTTTAACTATTTTAATATTTTGTTTATAGTACTTAATATTTGTGAACGTGAAGTAAAATGGACACAGTCATAGTAAAACTGTGGTAAAACTAACTTGGATGGTGTTTGGGCTGTGGTTATCAGAAGCTGCTTAAAGTGTCCATGCCTTTTATCCCAGTTCTACTTCCAGGAATATGTCCTAAGGCATGTTTTCATATGAGGTTATTTCAGGTGGCGCAGGGTAATTCTAGTTGGGACACATTTGCCACATTGTCTAACACTGACTCACAGTGAGAAAGTTATTCCCATGCTCAATTCCTTTTCAGTCTTCTGATCAACGGAAGGTGAAAAACTTTAGCTTGGTGCTAGCATACCTTTAACACCTCTCTAAGCCTCTCTAATCTCCCATTTTATATAAAAGAATGGGCAAAGGGGTAGCAGTATTTTGACTATATTTTAACCACAGTGTTTTTTTATTCCAATAAAACCTATTATGATTGCCTTCATTTATGGCATATGATGTTGGTTTTCCACTTAAATAAGGTTTGTTTGTTTGTTTGTTTGTTTTTTGAGACAGAGTCTTGTCCTGTTGTCCAGGCTAGAGTGCAGTGGCATGATCTTGGCTCACTGCAACTTCTGCTTCATAGGTTCAAGCGATTCTTGTGCCTCAGCCTCTTGAGTAGCTGGGACTACAGGCACGCACCACCACACCCGGCTGATTTTTTGTATTTTTAGTACAGACGGGGTTTCGCCATGTTGCCCAGGCTGGTCTTGAACTCTTGAGCTCAGGCAATCCGCCTGCCTTGTTTTCCCAAAGTGCTAGGATTACAGGTGTGAGCCACTACACCGAGTCAGGTTTGCTTTTAAAATACATTTGTTTAAGGACAGAAATGAGTTGATGTAAAGAGAAATGTTAAGTACATTACAGATGGTAATTAATTATAGCAAAATAGTAATGGCAATGCATGGATGTAGGAAATAGGACCCTAAGGAAATAATCAGAGCTATAGACATAGATTTATATCTAGGGATATTCCCGTAGATGAGGAGGTTCCTCCCAATGACTTATGTTACCATAAAGTTAGAAACTACTCAGTTGTTCAGCAATTAGGGATTGGTTAAGTGATTTTCCTACTTTCATATGATGGAATACTAGCATTATGAAAAACTGTATTTAATACATGGAGGATTATATACTGTTATATAAAACTGGTTATAAAAGTATATACAGTATTGTAATTTTGTTAAAAATGAAGTATGAGTGTGTGTGTGTGTGTGTGTGTGTGTGTGCGCGCGCCTGTGCCGAAATCAATGGGGAAAAAAGACTGGAAGAAAATATTTCCAAATGGGTTATCTCTGGATCATTGGACTACAGGAGTTGTTTGTGTTTTCCAGTAATAGACATGTCACTTTTGTCACCAGAAAAATATATCTATTTTTAAATTAACATGCTCCTACACTGACAGGACTACCTGGTATTTTGTCATCTGCAGGCATTCCTGGGTCCTTTCATGTTCTTACAATTCAGTTAGGTCCCTGTGGCCTGCTGCAACATCATGGGGAAATAGTACGGTTAAGACGTCATTGTCATCTCTCAGTACAGTCCAAGGTACTTGGTTTTGGAGTGTGCATATTTATATTTTTGGAGTAGAATGGGAGAATGTTTCTAAAATTCTCTCGAATAATTTTTATTGCTTTTTCTTCTTGACAGCTCCATTAAACAGGACCAAATTAGGATCCCATTTTTTAAGTAGGTCTGGATTATTAAGCAAGAATAGAGTAGACGCTGAGTCTCCTAGTTTCTTGTTTAGTCTTTCTTTAATTTCTGCATTTTCTGCTGACCATGAAGTTTTTAGATGTTAGATTTAATCATGGTTCTGTATCACCTGTGTTGGAGATGTGTATATTTAAATCTGGACACCTCTCTTCCAGAATTACAAAATCTCTGTTCACGGAAAAAAAAAAAAAAAGTTCGCTGCAAGGCTTAATGCTTGGCAGAAATAATTGCTACCTTTTGCCTAGTAAAAATTCCCCACGTGTTCTTTCTTAGGGCTTGTTCCTGGAGACTCTTGAACTTTTTTGTGGGAATGGGGTTGGCAGGTTAAGTGAGTAAATGGTGCATCTGCCTGGGAGTGGTCTACAGCCCTGGTGTGAGCTTCCTCCTTCTGTAAAGCTGCTGGGCTGTAGCCAGGGTGAGCCAGCCAGGGCCTGAGCCTGAAAGAGGCCTGTTGTGGCATTCCAGTAACATCTGCCAGATTGCAGCGAGACCTTTGACTGGTCAGCTCTTCCCCTGCTGGGGTCCTTCAACTGCACCACTCCTCTCCATCCCCACGGCCACCACTGTGGTGCAAGCTCTCACACCTCTTGCCTGGACCACAGCAGTGACCTCTAGCTGGTCCCTGCCTCGCCTCGCCCTTACGTCCAGTCTGGTTTTTTACAGGAGCTAGTATGTCCTATTCTCCTATTGCTGCTGTAACAAATTACCACAAAATCAGTGCCTTAAAACAACACAAATTTACTCTTTTAGAAGTCCTGAAATTAAGGCTTTGGCAGGGCTGCGTTCCTTCTGGAGGCTCTAGAGGAGAATCGTTTTGTTGCTTTTTCCAGCTTCTAGAGGCCACTGCATTCCCTGGCTCAGGGCCCCTTCCTCCTCTTCGAAGCCAAGTCTTTCTCGTGCCACATCATTCTGAGGCTCCTCATCTGAAGTCAGATCTCCCCCTGCCTCCCTCTTATAAGGACACTTGTGATTATGTTGGGCCCACCTGGATAATCTCCGGTTCTCAGGACCCTTAACTCGATCACATTTGCAATGTCCCTTATGCCATATAGGGGAACATACACACAACCTCCAGGGATTCACACATAGACATCTTTGGCAGGGCCATTACTCAGCCTACATAGATAATCTTTTAAAAGTACACATCTAAATGCATTAATCCTCTGCCTAAGACCCTTGTGTGGTGCTCCAGTTCTCCAGGGTTAAGGCTCGAACTCCTCTTGTGGCTGGGAGTGTCATGCAAGGGTCACCTACACTGCTTCTCCAGCTTCACCCTGCCTCCTGTCCCTGCCAACTACCCATGATCCAGCCTGTGCACAGGGTGTGCTTTTGACAGGGACACTGCTTGATATGGTTTGGATGCATGTCTCTTCCAAATCTCATGTTGAAATGTGATCGCCAGCATTGGAGGTGGGGCCTGGTGGGAGGTGTTTGGGTCATGGGGCTGGATCCCTCATGAATGGTTTGGTGCCCTCCCCGAGGTAATGAGTGAGTTCTTACTCTGTTCAGGCGAGAGCTGGTTGTTTAAAGGAGGCTTGGCACCTCCTCCCCTTTCTTGCTCCTTCTTGTGCCATGTGACATGCCAGCTCCCCCTTTACCTTTCACCATGATTGTGAGCATCCTGAGGCCTGACCAGAAGCCAAGCAGATGCTGGTGCCACACTTGTACAGTCTACAGAACTGTGAGCCAAACCTCTTTTCTTTTCTTTTTCTTTTTTTGAGACGGATTCTCGCTCTGTCACCCAGGCTGGAGTGCGGTGGCACGATCTTGGCTCACTGCAACCTCAGCCTCTCCAGTTCAAGCAATTCTTCTGCCTCAGCCTCCCAAGTAGCTGGGATTACAGGCGTGCACCACCACACCCAGCTAATTTTTGTGTTTTTAGTAGCGACAGGGTTTCACCATGTTGGCCAGGTTGGTCCCGAACTCCTGACCTCAGATGATCCACCTGCCTCAGCCTCCCAAAGTACTGGGATTACAGGTGTGAGCCACTGCACCCCGCCTTAAACCTCTTTTCTTTATAAATTACCCAGCCTCAGATATTCCTTTATAGCAATGCAAAATGGACTAACACATTGCTCCTCCCCACACTCCATTTCAGGCCTCCCCTTAGACAAGGTCAGGCCTCCTTGAGATGCTCTCACAAGGACTACATGCAATTCTGCTATCACACCTATCACAGATTAACATCTTTGCATTTATTTAGGTGATTATTTGACTAATAATAGATGTTCCTCTTATGTAAGTACTCCATACAGGCAGAGACCATGTCTATTTCTTACCCACAATTTTATCTGGCATAGTGCCTGGCATGCAGCTGTGGGCAAGAAATGACATGGTTAGTAAGTCCTTGGAAATAAGTGAATAAATGAATGGGTATTAACAGCATTGTCATTGTGCTCTATCTCTTTTTCCCTGCTTTTTCTTCTGCATGGCATTTGTCTCCTTTTCTACTGTTGCCTCCCCGCACTGGAACAGAAGCTTCGTGAGAACAGGGACTTTGTCTTGTGTGTTCGCTCCTCTCTTCCCAGGTCCTAGAACAGTGTCTCGTCCATAACAAACACTCAATGAATATTTAGGGAATGAATGTCTGCAAGATGCTGAGAATCTCTCATAGAGTTTTCATATGTGACCCCTCTTTGAAATTGGGTATTATCAAGTTATTCATTTTAATGATTCAACCTAATTCAGTAATCAGGCAAATTGGCAGAGACCTAAAATATTTACCCGTTGTTGTGAGGATGAAATAAGTAAACAAGTGTAAGTTATTTAGAGCAGTGTCTGGTAACCACAGCCCTGTGTAAGAGTTTGCTGCTGTTGTTAAGAAATGCTTGACTTCTTGATATCTTAGAGTTTTTGCTGACTCTGCTGCCTGTGTTGGGATCCCAAGCAGAAACTGTTTGTGGCCCAGCAGGTGTTGGCACTGGGTGAGTGCTTCTGGCTCTTGTCCCACGACGGGCATCCAGGTCTTCCAGCGGCCTGAGGATATAGGAGGGGCTTCAGGCGGATGATTGGGGCCGTTGCTTATGTTTTTTCCTTGTTTGGCCTGCAGGTGGCAGCACACCCTGGGCCCCCCACTCCCCGCCGCAAGTCCTGAGGATGGCCAGCAGAGAAACAAGAAAATGGACTCCCTGGCTGCTGGAGAGTTGAATGCCAGCCACCAGCCATGGGTGAGTGGAGAGCCTGACCGGAGTTTTTCTCTAATTTGTTCTGCATTATTTGTGTTTTGATATATGAATTGGTGTAAATCACATGTGTTCAATTTTGAGGCCATTTGTTGATTTTTGCGGTTTATTTACAAAAACAACAAACAATAGCAGTGAAACCAGAATTATTCCTGCAATGTTTCAGAGAGTATGAGGGACAAGGGCGCATCCTCTGCATTGTAAGTGTGACTTCCCTTCCCTTCTGCATCTTGGGCCTGTCTCCTTTGCCATCCAGGTAGGAGGTATCCACCCAGAATAGTTCAACAAGTGTGTGGCAAGCTGGGAGTGTGAGGTGTTCTTCACGGGGACCCTGCAGTCCTTCTTCCAGTCACTCCCAGGGTGGACTATTCTGCACTGTCATGCCTGGCCCCTAAGAACCCAGGGTTTCCATCTGCCTGCACAGGCCTTTCAGCCCCTTGGTGGACTTCTCCCGCTGACCCTCCCCTCTTCTCACCCCTATTAATTTCACAGCTCTATCTTATTTATCCCAAGATCCTATTTGTGCTGCATTCTGAGCACTTGAATGAGGATTGTTTATTTTCTGTTTTGATCACATTTGTTAGCTTTGTGCTTAGAATAAAATAATTTCAGTTTCATAAATGGGAATAAGCCCTTATGTCAAGGGCCACTACATCACTTCTTGGCATTCCAGTGAGGGGTCTAGTGAAGAGCTTCCCTGAATTTCAGTACCTTTCAAGGCCTCTCTTGAAAGAATGTGGAATTAATTTGGGTGGAGGCTTGTGCATGGACTTTTTTCTGAGTGTATTTGGCCAGTGGGCCAATGGGGAAGCAGAGGCATGGACAGAGAGAGGAATGCGGCAGAAGGAGAAGCTGGGGCTGCAGGATGCCATTTGCTGTTTGTATGGCTTCCCATGGCCCACTGTAGTGGCTAGAGGGCACTGCCAGGAATCCTTCATGTGGCTGTTGCTTGCTGTTGGGGAACATGATTCAGAGCTGTGTAGCTCCATGTCCAGTTCCACTCTGCATCTCACTCACAAAGCTCTAGCGTTGGGCTGCTGGGTTTTGGTGAAAGCAGGTGCTATGAATATATTGAAGGACAAATCAGTCCCTAAGGGACTTCGATAGACGCAGTCCTAAAAACATTTCCGGGCTGGTTTCTTTTTTTTAAACACCAGTTAACCGTTTTCAGTTTAACTGTGTTTTCCTTCCTGAAACCTTTAAGTGAGACTAATTGGTATGATTTTTTTTTGTATGCTTTGTTTTTAGGGAGTTTCTCAACTTGTCAAGTCTGCGTTGCAGACAGAGATGAAATGATTTTTTTTTCCCACACAGACCAAGCATGCAGAAATGGGAATGATTTAAGTTTGTCTTTAATTTAATTTCTATATCTTTCTTTTCCTTTCCTTGGGAAATAGAGGAAATACTTGGGGGCATTTTCACCAAATTGTAACTTGTAACTTCACAAGAGCCCATCAGCAGGAATTTCTATGCGTGTTTTAATGCCTGGTTGGGGGAGACATGAAATGACAACAGACAGTTGCCCTCAAGGATCCTTTGTTCTGTTTGGGGAATCAAAACTGTGTTCCTCCCTGTAACACCAAATACTAGAGCCCCAGGGGCAGGTCCCATCATGAATGCCCAGTAGTCAGTGCCAAAAAAACCCAAGTCAGGGAAGACTATGAGACCTGCCTCTGGGGCTCTAGTAAATTCAGATGAGAGAAAAGAAGGTGGGTGGTGTTTCCAGGCACACAGGTGTGAGAAGGACTAGGGAGCACTTAGGTCCAACTTGAACATTATTTGGAGGAGTGCAGAGAGATTGTATTGGACAGGTTGGTTAACCAGATTTCAGTGGTGGTGAGAGTTTGACTATCAAGCCAAGGAGTTTGAATTTGATACCATAAGGAATAGGAAGTGGCCGGGCGCGGTGGCTCACGCCTGTAATCCCAGCACTTTGGGAGGCCGAGGCGGGTGGATCACGAGGTCAGGAGATGGAGACCATCGTGGCTAACATGGTGAAACCCCTTCTCTACTAAAAATACAAAAAATTAGCCAGGCATGGTGGCGTGTGCCTGTAGTCCCAGCTACTCAGGAGGCTGAGGCAGGAGAATGGCGTGAACCTGGGAGGTGGAGCTTGCAGTGAGCCAAGATTGTGCCACTGCACTCCAGCCTGGGTGACAGAGTGAGACTCTGTCTCAAAGAAAAAAAAAAAGAATAGGAAGCACGGTTGGCCCTCCATACCAGCAGGTTCTGTGTGTGGACCTGTGGATACGGAGGGCTGACTGTGCTACACATTTTTTGTTTGTTTGTTTTTTGTTTTTGAGATGAAGTCTCACTCTGTCACCCAGGCTGGAGTGCAGTGGTGCGATCTTGGCTTATTGCAACCTCCGCCTCCCGGATCCATGCAATTCTCATGCCTCAGCCTCCCGAGTGGCTGGGACTACAAGTGCATGCCACCAAGCCCGCCTATTTTTTGTATTTTTAGAGGAGACGGGGTTTCACCATGTTGGCGAGGCTGGTCTTGAACTCCTGACCTCAAGTGAGCTGCCCACCTCGGTCTCCCAAAGTGCTGGGATTACAGGCACGAGCCATTGTACCCAGCCCTACGTCACTTTTTATAAGGAATTTGAGCATCGTGGCTTTTGGTATCTGAGGAGCTGTCCTGGAACCAATTCCTCGAAGATGCTAAGGGACAACTGTAATAGGCTTCTGAATGGGGGACAACTGACTGTTTTAAATAGGAACTTTTATTTCCATTTTACATCTGCTTTTCAAATAATGTCTTTTCAAATAATTCTCCAAGGTCACAGGTTGGTGGGTGGGGCTTAGATCTGCCAGACTCCAGAGTCCATGTACACGCTAACCCCTGCACTGGCTTGCATTATCTCCAGACACAGGTTGGCCTGCATGTGACCAAGGCTCCACCCAGCCCTGACCTTGGATGACTCTGAGTCTATACATAGCTGCATTTGCGTGTCAGCCTCACTCCCTGGGCTGAACTGTTTATAGGGTGAAAGGGGACTTTGGGTAAGTCACTTCCCTGTCTTTCTGAGACTCTAGGAAATCAGGGGCAGGAACTCAGCTATGCATCCATGGTCTGCACAGCAGCAGCCCAGATAAGTTCCAAGAGCTGCAGAGGCTGTCAGAGAAGCTTCAGAGCTGTAGGTCCCTGGGCAAGTCTCCTCCAAAGTGGGAGCTGCAGGGCTGATGCGGATCCAGGCAAGGTGACAGCACAGCACAAGTTGACTCCTGTTACTGCCCTAATCGTCCAGCATAGGCAGGAGGAGTTGGGGATTTGAAGTTTGAAGTTCGAGGAGTTGAACTTTGAAGTTCTTTATGCATTCCTTTGTCATTCCTTCATAGAATATTCAGCAAATAACTTAGCACCTAATTGTTCCAGGTCTGGCCCTGGGCCCTGGGCTTACAGCAAGGAACAAAACAACCCAAGTCCCTGCCCTGGTGCCACTTACATTCCAGTTGGGGAGACAGACAATGTATAACACAATGTTAAGGAGCAGTGAAGTAGAAGAGGAAAGCAGGGAGAGGGGATAGAGTACTAGGGCCAGAGACCTAGAGGTCCAGGAAGGCCTCTCTAAGGAGGAGCATTTGTGCAGAAACCTGGCATTTGAGCTAGCCAGGGAGCTAGCAATGTGAATGTCTAGGTTGCAGGCAGAGGGAATGGCAAGTTCATAGACCTGAGGTGGGATTGCCTGGGAAGCAGCGAGTAGGGCAACGCATTAGGGAGAGAGGAGAGTGGGAAGAGCCCAGGCTGCATGGGGCCAGACCTTGCCACCTTGCCAGCTATTGAAGAAAGGTAGGGTTTTGTTCTTTCTCCAGCTCTAAGGTATGTTTCAGGCATCGTTCCTGGCTGACTGGCTCTAAATCTGCAGCCCTCCCAGAGAGCCTTTGATCAACCCAGTATCCTCCTATATCATCCCTTTTCTGGCTGAACTAACCACTGTTCATTCTGTTGTCTACAACTATGAACCCTGCCTAATACAGAGCTTTGGAGGAGGAGGAGAGTGCCAACCAGCTTTATAAGGAAATTAAATATGTTTTTAAGGTTGGAAAAGATGCACTTGGATATTATACTAAAACGTTTAAACTTTGGTAGAAAGGGCTCCACCTTGGCCATGCAAAGGGGCCTTTGTCATCACTGTTTCCTCCCCTAGGAGCCAGGAGGCTGGGGTCAGTCTCCTCCTTACCTGCCAGCCAGGGGCCTAAGCTGGTCACCCTTGCTTGACCTTCGTGGTCTCACCTGTATAATTCAGTTAGTTATATTATTCCTGCCTGAAGGGAAAGAGGAATGACTTATTGAGGGTCATTTCTATGTTGGAGGTCTCTGATGTTGCGAATAAGTTCCACAGAAGGTTCTTGGGGGTTAGGACTCTTCCCTGAATTATGTCTGGGCGGGGCAGGGGGTGATTTATGTTTATTTTATGCATCCTCCCCACTTTTTTTTTTTTGCTTTCAAAACACTTTTACCTCTGTCCTTGATCTCTGTAAAAGGGCTCTGTATGTTACAGTGGTTAAGAGCATGGAAAAACAGATGTGGTACTGAGTGCCAGGTCCACCTTTGCTAAGTTTGTCACTTTGGGCATGTCCCCTAACCAGCCTGTTCCACAGTTTCCTCATCTGAGAATGGGTATGAAAATAGTAGCTACTGCAAAGGGTGCTGTGAGAATAAATATGATAATGCACCCAACACAATTCCTGACCCAGAGTACAGCCTCCCTGAAGGTCAGCTGTAATGATTGTGATATGTAATGATTCCCACCCAACAGGCAGGAGAGCCTAGACCATGGAGGCTAGGTGACTTGCCTATGGTCACCTGATAAAGCCAGAGATAGAAGCCAGGGCTCATGGAGTCCCAGGCCAGTGGTCTTTCCCCAGGATTCCTGTTGTTTTTTAGGAGGAAATGTTAATATAGACAGTTCTGTCTGTGTCTAACCCCTTAGTAGCTGGTTCTGGCTTTTGTAGGGGATTGGGGGACAGGACTTCCTCAGCACACAAGACCCTCAATCCTAGGCATTAGCCCCTCTGGGTGGGGCATTTGTGGGAGCAGGGGACATGGCATGACTCCCTCTTTGTTCTGTGAGAGGCAGAGGGGGTTAGGAGTGCTGTGCTCCCAGGACTCTCCTCCTCCCACCGCCACCTGCTGCCTGCCAGATCCTGTAGTCCTTCCTGGGGAATCATCACAGAGGCCTCCAGGAACCTGGAGTGGGGAGGGAGCAGGACAGGCAGGTCCTCCCTCCTGTGGCAGGACTCTGTGGCTCAGGCCTGGGAACTGAGTGTGGGAGGAGGTATGGTCTCCCTAAATAGTTGCTCCCAGCGGGCCATTTGGAAAGAGAAACAGACTTTTGCGCTAGGGGGCAGGGGCATAGATACCCTCTGCAGCTGCCCTGGTCACCTTGTTGCCTGAAGACTGTTCCCAGTGGTCTTAGATACAGAGTGGTGGCCCTTGCTCCTGTCAGAGTAGGTTTAAAGACCACACAGGTAGATTTCTCCCAGAAACAACACCACTTAGAATTTTCCTTCAGGGAGCATAGCACAGGGGAGATGTCCACACACAGTCATACCTGTGTTTGAATCCCAGCTCTGCCTTTTTGCTTGTGGGTGGTCGAGTTGGGAGTGTGCTTGAGAAATTATTCAGCCTCTTCAACTCTCAGTTTCTACCTCTATAAAACGGGAACAAGAATACTTACCTCAAAGATTTGTGGTATGAATTAAACAAAATAACCTGTTTGAACTGCTTAACATGTGTGTGCACGTGGTAGCCCGTGGTAGCTATTTTTATCATCATCATCATCGTTAAGCATGTCAGTGGCCTCTACCAGTCTGTGGGTGGAAGCAGCTTTCATGTGTGGCTCAGCCTCATGGAGGCTGTGCATTTGCTGTGACTCAGGATTCTAGAATGACTGAGCCAAAGATCTCAAACTTCTCTTTGCTATATTGTTATTTGCAGTCACACTCACACACTCAGTTATCCAGGGTGAATAATTAAGTTTCTGTTGATGTAGGTTGCCATGCTGTTTATTTCCCTGTTTCTCTTCTGTTTAGTTCAGCGTCCTTCAAAGAAGACAATAGTTAAGTAGCTAAACTATATTGAGGGCTTAGTATACTAAAAGTGTTACATAAATTAGCCCCTTTCATTCACATAACCAGATTTAGAAACAGAGTTTCAATAATGCCTAAGACTACACTGCTACCGTGCAGCAGACCCAGCAGACCCGGGCTTCACATGTCTCATTCCAGAGCCCACACTGGCCTCTGTACTACCCGCTTTTAAACAGGACAGTGGTTGAATTTGGTGACCTTGAGAGATCAGGTAGTCTGGTCTTTCTTACCTCCTTTCCAGGCTGAGCTGAACATCACAGAGGGGAATATCTGTGATTTTCTTGAGAAACTTTACAGCGAAAGCTGCTGGCTCTGCCCTTGGTAGCCATTTTTATGGTCTGGAGGGACAGTGGCTTCTTCCTAGAGCCACTTTGCAGTGTTCCCTTGAGGCCAGCTGTCCATCCTCGAGAGCAGTTAGGAGGTCCATGTTGAGAGTGTGCTCAGTCCTTAGTTGGAAACCTGGAAACGCAGACCATGAGGGTGGTGTCCCACTGGCACATGGCAGGTGGGGCCTTCTGCCACCCTGGCTGTGTGTGTGGCGTCCAGTGCGAGTGGTAGCCAGACATCATGCCCACCTGCCCTCGAGCTGCTTGCCTGCAGCTGGCTCCTTACTCACAGATCTGCATCCATCCGGCGCTGGGGAGCAGAGGAAGTGGTCTGTGGGCCAGCTGAATTGCCCAAGGAGCTGAGTCACTGGCTGATTTCGGCCTGCCCTGCAGTCCCTGGGGTGACTATGGTGATAGGGGAGAGAAATCTGCTTATCTAGGGGCCTTGAAGCCTGAGAACTCAGACACTCCAGGAGGGTCCTTCATGCCACAGCATTTACTGAGCACCTACTGTGTGCCTAGAGAGGTCATGCGAGAGACCTCAGCATGGGAGTGTGTGTTGGGCTGCCTGGAGCCCGGGTGGCTGGTGGCCACCAGGGAGCTCCACTGCCTTAGAAGGATCTGAGGCTGGCAGAGGGGCCAGGTTGGTGTGCTGCTGTTTATCTGAGCAGATTCCATGACAACCAGGAGATAAATGCCTGAGGTCAAGCAAACCCTGAAACAAGATTAGGTGTCTGGGTAGGGTGGGACCTATACTGTGATTTGGAGACCCTTAAGTGACCAGTATCTTCTGGGTGACTATTTAGCATGCTTAATTAATTTGTTAATTAACTAATGCCCCATCCTACTCCAGAAAGGATTGAAAGTGACTCAATTCAGCAGGTCTTTTAGAGGGAGGAAGGCATCCTGAGTTTGCTGTGAGTGAAAAGCTAGGGTTTATTCAGGCCCCGAGAGGGTCATTTACCAGCTGCCAGCCCAGCTCCACACTCCTAGGGCTGGCTCCCATGAAAGCACAGCCTTTGCTGCCAAAGCTGGTTTGCAGCGTTGCTGGGATCGCCTCCTGGTCTCTTTGCAACAAGTGGCCCCGACACCTTCCTGCTTTGATGCAAATCATGTGACTTAAGAGAAGCAACCTGACCTCAATTACCAGGTGCAAACATCAGTCACTGAGAGTAAGCAGGAGGCCTCCAGTGTCCCTGGTTGTTTTAGCCTCCAGCATTAAATATTAAGAGTGAACTGTTCAGGGTGTGATAAAGGCTGTGTCTCACAGTTTATGATTTCCAGTAAACCAGAGGGCTTAAAGGAAGGGCCAGGGACAGGTGAGAGATTCCAGACCTGGCCCTCTGCTGAGCTGGTAGAGCAATTTCTGCAGGAATGGGAGGGGCAGGGAGTGAGTCCACAGCTAGTAAAGATTTGCCCTGTTCTGTGGCACAGCTAGAGAGCTGCATTGTCTGCCCAGCAGGCCCCAGAAAGTGAGGCCAGTTTCTGCTCCCAGCCAGGCAGCTGCATGCACTCTCAGCATAGGGATATGGGAAAAAGAAGAAGTGTGATGTGTCCTCACCGTGCTGGCCACTGTGCCTGCCTCCTGCTGGGTGCCAGGCCAGCCAGGAGCCCTGGGCACATTCCTCTATCAGTGTAGGCAATGGGCAGCTCCAACTGCTCTCACAGAAAGCTAGAGGAACATTTCGGTATTCAGAGCCTTCAGACACATGGGCTGGGGTTGCTCAGCATCTGGCCTCCATGGGGAAGTCCAGGCCACAAGGAAGCTGCAAGCAGGCAGCATATCCCACTTAGGCCTAGGAAGGGAACTGAGGTCCCCCTCCCACCCTGCAATGTCATAAGGAGACTCAGCCCTTTCTGAGTTTCTCTAGAGCACCTAATCTGATAGCAGTGATAGAAGCCATACATCAAATTAACTCAGCATGCAGTAACAGTGGCATGCATTCATTTAACAAGTATTTAATGAACACTTGACTCTCTGCCACACACTGTACTAGATGCTGGGCATACAGTAGTGAACAGACAAGGTCCCTACTCAAATGGAGCTACAGCATAATGGTGGAGATAGAAAGAAAACACAGAAATAAAACATTGGTGCTAGCAGTAAGTGCTCTCTAACAAATTAAAATAGACTGAAGTGTAATCAAGTGACTGAGTGACTGCTTTGGATTGGGTAGTCAAGGATAGCCTCTGAGGAAGTGGCATTTCAGGGGATACCTGAAAGAAAAGACTAGAAAAGAGCAGGTGAAAGAGCAGACTCTGTCCTGTCTGCTGTAGGCGCAGGAGAGCCAGAGTGACAGGAGGAGAGGAAGAATGTTCTAGAACATATAGCTTGGTTAACTTGCTTTGGTGTTTGTGACACTTTCTTGCTTATTTTCTGAATTACGCGCTAAACCTTCATTCAGTAAAGTTTTATTGCATGCCCTCTGAGTGCCAGGAATTTTGCCGGATGGCATTAAAATCAAGATGAATATGTCAAGTCTCTTCTCAAGGGGTGTCCAGTGTGTTGGGAGAGATGAGCCAGGAAACCAAGACAGTGTGGAAGTGCTGTGAGTGAGAGAATCAAAGAGGGCTAACAGGAGCATACAGAAGGGCTTCCCAACTCCCCGTGGGCAGTCCAGCAGGGCTCCCAGAGGAGAGGACACCTGAGAGGTCCTGGAGGCTGCGGAAGGTTAGCCAGAAGGAGAATGTATGTCCCAGGCACAGAGAGTGGCCTGTGCAAAGGCCTGGAGGGTAGGGTAAGCAAATGAGAGAAGGATGCTGGAGGGTCTTGGAGATGGAACAGGTGGCCAGGAATCACAGAAAGCCTGGAATGCTCTGCTCTAGAGCCTGAACCAGACACTGGAGAATAGCTTGCGGAATGAAGACAGATTCCTAAGGGGCCAAGTCAGCAGCTGGTAAAGGCTGGAGGAAAGGACACTGAGTTTATGAGTCACTGTTCAGACCACTCTCTGGGGCTCCCTTCCTACCTGGGAGCTATCCCAGGCGACGACCAACACACTCTAGCCATTTCCCAAATCAGAATAGAACATTCACCTGACCCAGGCACCCAGGCAGGAACATGCAGGTATTTAAACATCCAGGTTAACACATTTGACTACTTGGTTTTGGGGGAGCAGGCATGATGGGTTAAGACTTATTAATCTGGAAGTAAGCACTAGGTTTTCCTTTAGGGCAGGAAGACCTTCCTTGCAAAATCCCTTTCTGGCAAGTCTCACTGGGCTGTAAAATTGCAAACGCACTGTTATCACATCCCAATAAGTGCATGATTTGATTTTAAAGTAAGATAATCTTGCGTTCATTCCAGCCTCATAGGGAACATACAGTTTTCTCCATCCTTTTCTCTTACTTACTCCCCTTCCTCTGTTTCCCTCTGTCATCTCTAATCCCCAGAGTATCTGGTTATCTTTTTTATACACTCATTACTCCTTCAAAACACTCCAATATAGATAACAATACTTGATTATTTGGAAGTTATCTCAACTATACATGAGCTGATGAAAACCAGGAAGTAAGCAATAAGCAAAACAGGCAGACAGAGAGTCCAAAGTCCAAAATAAATTAACATTTGTTGAGGACTTGTGGACTTACTATGTTCCAGGCATTATGCTAACCTCATCACAGTCTCTATTTTGATTAATCTTCTGTTTGCCCCTGCAGATCCACTCTCCGTCCTCTCTACCTGCTCTGGGTTGGGAGGCTGACCTGAATGGGCCACATCACTCATCTATCTTGCCTCTGGATTCTAGTTAGATTTGGTCCATGGGGAGCATTAGCAAGAGATGGAAGGACTCAGGAAGATGAGGTCAGGAGTTCCCCGAGGAGGGCAAGTGGTTAAGTTATTCCCCCGGGTCCCTATCAGGTCGCTTTAGGCCAACTGCATCCTCCACTGGAGCCCACAGCTCCTGCCAGACACCCTTCCAATAGCTGCCTCCTTTGGGTCCCCTTACCCATTTATTCCCTTCCTTCATACCTTCAGGTTACAAGTGGTAACAGCTCCCCATTGTTGCTAGCCCCCATATGCTTCACTGTCTCATCTTGATTTCCCTGAGCCCTCCCCACACCTTTGTAAACAGTCCCAGTCCAAGTTCACCATCTGTTTCCTACCCAACTTGATGATACAACGAGGTAAGCACTGTATTAGCCCATCTTAAGACAAGTAACCTGAGCCCCAGAGAAGTTTAATAACTTGTCCCAGAACACACAGCTGGTAAACCACAGAGCTAGGTCTCAAATCCAGGTGTTTCTGATTCCAAAGCATGGGCACGTTTCGTCATTATATCATATTGCTTCCCATGCCCTAAAGATCGTCTCCCCCAGACTTCATGAAACATCAGTTTACTCTGGTATTTTTCCCAATCAGCAACCATTTAAAAAGAGCAAACACTAGAAGTAAATGCTTTCAAATAAATCGTGAGAGGTAACTGATGCTGGTCTGGATTGAGAAAGGCACAATAACTATTCAAAATAGGCCTATGAACTTCAGAAGCCTGTGGAATCCACACTTGCCGTGTCCTCTGCACTTTCCTTCTCTGTGCCTTCTGAAGGGTGGTGGCATTGACATCACCATCTGTGGGAGCTCACATAAAGTCCTGAATCTGCCAAAAGACATAACTTGAGGTTGCCTAACATCACCCCCATGTAGTATCCAAACACTGGTCCTTATTTTAGTGGCTGGTTTTCATGTTTAATTTGTGATACCCCAAGAATACGACAGAGGTTCTTTTTTTTTTTTTAAGTTCTGAAACTGCTGATTCAGTTTGCATGAGGATATTACTTTTTTAAAGGAACTTTCAAAAACACCTAAAATTTAATTTTAGCCATAGTTTAGTTAGAGAATCCCTGGGTACAGAATTTTTCTCTACTTCCCAGCATTTACAGAATCTGATGTCACTTGGGAGTTGGAGGGAGACTTTGGGGGAACAGCCAGGAAGTGGCCCTTGGGTCCTTGAGCCATCTAGTTGGGGAGAAAGGGCCATTTTTACCCTGAAACTCTGTTCTGTTCATGTGCATTGTCCCAAGGTTCTTATGAAGACAGTCGGTCCTTATGAAGACAGTCAGTTCTTGACTGTCTTCATGACTTGTCTGGCCAGCTCTTCAATACCTTAGCCAGACAAGACCATAAAAGGCCACCTGCTTTACTTATATTTGACTGTTGGTAAGGTTGACCCTGAAATCTTTTACATTTGTATTTCTTTTGATAATTTTGTTCACATGTATGTTAGAAACTGCTCATTGCTCTACAGTATCCATTCCCTCTTTCTTAGTAACAAAACCAATTTTTTGCTGATCCCTTTTCCACCCAGCTGAAAACTACGTTCCCCTGGCAATTTTGCAGCAAAGTGTGATCATGTGGCTGGGTTCCGGACAATGGATGCAAGTGGGTGTCATATGGGACTTCGAAGCCAGCTCCTTAACAGGAGGGGGTGTGCCCTTTATTCACCCTCCTTTCTCCATCCTACTTTCTTAAATGAGGATGTGGTGACTATCACTCTAGCAACTACCACAAGACATGAGAATGAGAGCTGCACTTTAGGAATAGGGGCAGGATGAGCCAGAAGAAGCGTAGGTCCCTGGTGACACCTGAAGTCACCAAACCAGCCCTGAACTGATCATTTCTAGACCTTTTTTTTCAGTGAGAGAAAGAAAGAAAATCCCATCTTGCTTAAGCCACTATTGTTTTCTGTTTTATGTAACTGAACAAAATTCTAACCAATACAAAATAATGTTTATAATACACAATACCATAATCAATGCTGTTTTTCTTTTTCTTTCTTTTTTTAAGAGACAGGGCCTTGCTTTGTCAACCAGACTGGAGCGCAGTGGCACAATCATAGCTCACTGCAGCCTCGAACTCCTGGGCTCAAGCAATCCTTTTACCTCAGCCTCCAGAGTAGCTAGAACTACAAGTGTGCACCACCATACCTGGCTAACTTATTTTTTATAGAGATGGGATCTTGCTGTGTTACCCAAGCTGGCCTTGAACTCCTGGGCTCAAGCAATCCTCCCACCTTGGCCCCCTGAGTAGATGGGATTACAGGCACATACCACCATGCCCAGCTCCAGTGCTGTTTTTCTTTGGAGAGTGTATTTTTATTACTGATTACAAACTCATCTGTGTTTTTTGGGTTTTGTTGTTGTTGTTGTTTTGTTTTTTGCTTTTTTTTTTTATATGAAGTCTCACTCTGTCTCCTTGGCTGGAGTGCAGTGGTGCAATCTCAGCTCATTGCAAACTCTGCCTCCTCAATTCCAGCGATTCTCCTTCCTTAACCTCCTGAGTAGCTGGCATTACAGGCGCAAGCCTCCATGCCCAGCTAAATTTTTGTATTTTAGTAGAGACACGGTTTCACCATGTTGCCCAAGCTGGTCTCAAACTCCTGACCTCAAGTGATCCACCCATGCTGGCCTCTCAAAGTGCTGGGATTACAGGCATGAGCCACACCCAACCATATGTTTTTTATATATGAAGGACATGTCCTTTCTGTCAGTGTTGCTGTAAATATAATTCCTTGTTTTTGCTTGTCTTTTGATTTTGTTTATGAGTTCTGTTTTTAAAGTCTTGGTGTTTGTTTTTAATATGGCTAAAATTTCTTTAAAATGCTGTTTGCTCTTTTATCCAAAATTCTTCCCCCCTTAGATAAGTATTCACCAATATTTTTCTGGTTTTTCAATGACTTCACTGTTTACAATTAGCGTTTTAGTCCATTGGTGAGTACTGTTGGTAAGTTTTTAATCTTTTGTAGGTCATAAGTGTTTAGGCCTAAATACTCTCCTGAGTTCTAAAGCAGGAGCCAGCGTCACCTCTTGTTTATACACCCTGTCCTGGCCTGAGCCTCCTGAAGGCTGGCACATTCAGCACAGACCCCTCTCACTCCTACTTCCCACCCACCGCCCTTCTGTGGGTCACCTGCCCACTACTCAAGATAGCACTCTTGGCTTCTTCTGGAACTTCTGTCTTCACCACCCTGTGTTCGGCTCTATTCCAACTCATCTCTAATTTCTCTTTACCGAGACCAGGCCGCTGACAGCCCTCTCAACGATTCTAGGAGATTTTTGTTATTTCTTCTCTGGAAATACAATATAAAGAATTTTTATATGGTTTTCCAAGTAGATATGAAGCTTTTTAAATTAAAATTTTGTGTTCTGATAAGAGAAATGAACCATCTTCATCATTTTAAGAAGTAGAAAATATATTATAGAAAAGCACCAAAGAAAATAAAAACAACATAGAAAGTAAAAAGTGAAAGCCCTACCACCTTCAAGAGGTGACCTCTGTCAACAGTTGATATATCTCTTTCCAGACTTATTTATACAAACAAATGTGGATCTTTATAAATATACGTATGCACAGCTTTGTTCATGAAAATGGGAGCATGCTATATACTTTGTACAGCAACTGGCTTTTTTTTTTTTTTTTTTTTTGAGACAGAGTCTCACTCTGTTGCCCAGGCTGGAGTGCAGTGACACAATCTTGGCTCACTGCAACCTCCACCTCCCAGGTTCAAGCGATTCTCCAGCCTCAGCCTCCCAAGTAGCTGGGATTACAGGCACCCGCCACTACGCCCAACTAATTTTTGTATTTTTAGTAGAGACAAGGTTGCACCATGTTGGCCAGGCTGGTCTCAAACTCCTGACCTCAGGTGATCCACCCGCCTCAGTCTCCCAAAGTGCTGGGATTACAGGCGTGAGCCACCACTCCCGGCTAGCAACCGGCTTTTTACAAATAGCAGTCTATTGTGTATATTTCTCTATGACAGTACATAGAGACCTGCTGTCTTCTTTTTAAAGGCTGCTTGGTATGTATTCCACCACGTAGATGTACTGCTAGTTCATCTCCTCCCCTACAGATGACCACAAAGTTTTTCAATGTCCTGATAATATTTATAGGCCACTACATCCTCATTTTTATACTTTTATGCATTTGTGCTAGTGTTTCTATAAAATAGATTTCTACAATTGAGACTGTTGAGTTAAAGGGTATATACATAGTAAGTTGTATATACTTCCAGTTGCCCCTTGTTGAAACCTTGTACCAATCAGTGCAGTGTCCTTTTAAATGGTCTTTTCATTGCCTGTTGCTTCCCTGTCTCCCCACCCCCCGGCTCTTCACCCTAGTGCTAGAATTGCTTTTATGAAACTCAGATCTGACCATGGCTTGCCCTGTTTAAAATACCTCAGTGGCTCCTCACTGTCAGCAAAACCCAAACATTCATCTAAGCTCCTTCTCAGTTGGAGTCCTCTGGGAAGCAGACACCAAAACAGAATGAAAAGTGCAGAAGATTTATTGGGGGTAAGAAGAGCTAATGCCTATGAAAGATAAAGGAGAAAGGAGCAGAAGTACGGAGAGAAAAGACAGCTTTCAGACTGCAGTCCAGATCTAACTCTGGGACGCAAGAGAGGGAAGGATAATTCTGTTGAAAGAGCATCAGACTGTGATGCGGCTGTAAGAGTGTCTCAACGAGCCCAGTGGGGAGTTCCAGCCAAAGATTGCCCAGGAGAAGAGTCGCACTTTGGGCAGAAATGGACAGGCCCGAGCAACCCTGCCATGTTCTGTCATTGGCTGGGGGCCACCCAGGAGGCAACATGGTCTGACTTGAATGGTGTGGATCCGAGGCTGCAGCCTGTCAGCTGTCTGCACTCCATGCAACAGGTCCTTTGAATGGCATGTGTTCGTGGCTGCCATAAACTGCAGCCTGCCTTTTAGCCTTACCTCCTTTGCTCTTGCTCTCTGACCCCGTGTTCTGGCAACACTGGCCTGACTACACGCCGTATCACATACAACCAACTGCCCATACCAACCCCAACCCTGACCTTTGCTCACTCAGTTCTTTCTGCCTGGAATGCCACTCCTTCCCAGTTATACCCAGCAAAATCCTAATGTGCTTTCAAGGCCCAACTTAAAAATCATCTTCTCTGGTTGACCTCACCATGTAGAATTAATTGTTCCTTGCTCCTATGGTGCTATGTGTATATTAGTACTTCCCAGATTGGAGTATTCTTAGCTGTTTTTTTCTCAGATTTTTGCCTCCTCTAAACCTAGCAAAACGTCAGCACACAGTAAATGTTGACTGAGCTGTTTCCCTGCTCCTCGCAAAGCACCTTGAGGTTGCAGAATTCCAACTCCCGGAATGGTTGGAAGCACACAGTACATGGTCAATAAGTGTTTGTTGACTTGTCTGGGACCTAGTATTGGTGGGGTGAGGTGGGCAGAAGGCTGCTGAGGGTGGGTATTTACTGTTGTTGGGGCTCACCAGTCTGGGGCCACATTGGAGTTTTAAGACTAGAGCATGTCTTCCCCTGTTTTTATTTTTCTCCATGATTTGGAAAGACCCCAGAGGTGGGTTTTTTTTTTTTTAAGTAATCACTTTATTGTCTCTGGTCAACAAATGAGAACTTTTATGGGTCTTCCCTTTTTCAACCACATTTTCATGAGTTGGGATTTTGCATTTCTTCATTACCCATTCTCCTTATGGGTAAAAGAAGAGCCATTATGATACCTAGGATGAGAGCTCCAGGTCAGATGGGTAATCATTTTCAGACTGGAGGCTCATGGGATACAGGGAATTGGGAAGGTAGAAATGATATTTTTCCTCTTCCTCTTTCCCACATCCACCAATTAAAGAACTTCCCTGGGAGTGGACCTGTGGGAAGTGGCTAAGGGTTTCCGGGGTGGGTACAGCAGGGAGTGACATCAGGGCGTGGTGGGGATGAGGTGGGTGGAGAGGACAAAGAGGGACTCTCCACCTTCCTTTGGATCTATGAGGATGTTCCTTGGCCACTGTCCCTCAGCAGAAGGAGGCTAGAGCTGAGGTGGCCACACCCTCCACTCATTTTCAATCCCTTCAAACTGTCAGGCCCTCAGAGGAAACCCTAGGGTTTCCCCACCAAGATGTAAGGGCTGTGTGCCTCTGCCTTCTCTCTTAGGGTGGTCAGCACAGGTGGAAGCAGGGAGGTACTGGGCTGAGGCTTCGGTTGTCAGTGCTAGCTTGACAGCAGTTAAGAATTTTTTTTGTTTTGTTTTTTAAAATTTATTTTTCTGTAATTTTTAATGTAGTTAAAATTTATACATAATTCACACCACTTCAATTTATACATATTGAAACATCACTATGTATCCCATAAACGTATAATTATTATGTATTATCATTGTCTGGGACCTCATATTGTGTGTTATAATGATTATACATATTTACAAGGTACATAATGATGTTTCAATACATATTATGTATAGTGATCACATCAGGGTAATTAGCATATCCACCATCTCAAATGTTTGTCATCTCTTTGTGTTGGGAACAGTCACTATCCTCCTCCTAGCTATTAGCAGTGGTTAGGGATTTTGGAAGTTGTGTAGTGTGAAGAAGCCTGTGGGCCAGAGGTTCTTATCACAGACTCTTTCTTCTTCAGGAGCTATGAACCATCCTTCCCCAAAGTGTTATCAAACTGTGCCTTTGGTGGAGGCATAGCTCTCGTCGGATTCTTTTTTGCCAGAAAGATCTGTGAACGAAACTGCTACTATGTTAACTCAGAGAACAGCCTCCCTAATAAAGAAGAGGATGTGTTCCTACAAGAGCCAGGTTTTAGTTGGATTGTTAGTGTGAGTGATGAAGACCTCAGAATGGCTCTAGAAAGAAGCCCAGATCTCAGCTTTGCACTGTGATTGTCCCCCAGCAACTTTGCATTCCCCCTGTATGGGAATAGGGACCTGTGGATTCTGTTGCCATAGATCCAGAGATTGGACCTAGGAAAGTGAGACCAGGTGGTCTGACACCTACCTCCAGAGCGGACAACCCAGAGACAGAGCAGGCCCCTGCAGGTGTAGGGGCTGGCGGCGAGAAGACAGCTATGTTTACCCTTGTAGACTAGGAATATCAGTATGAATAGACTAGTCCTAGGCTTTGAAATGAATTTTAGTGTTCATTATTATTTGGTCATTCTAAAAACCCCTATTTTGAACCTCCACTTCAGAGAAATAGTTCTGATGTTCTCAGAAAATGTCAGGAGTGTATGGTGCACAGCAGTGGACAACAAAGGAAGAGAAAACCAGAAAAGGAGAAAAGTGAATAAAAAGAAACTTCTCAAATTAGAGCAAAATACTGAATTCAGTTATGCAAGCATACAACTGTAACGTGACAACCTCTCTGATTTTGACAGTCCCCCTCCACTTGTATTTTTAAAGTCCTGGCCACAGTTATAAATAGGGAACCATATCTGTTGAGACTTCCCAAGGGTTACATAAACAGTTTGGATGGTTACATCTTTTTAAACAACAGTTTCTACAAACACTGAAAAAATCCCACTTATTTAACAGTCTGATGCCTTGAGCCAGTCCTGGGAGTCCCTGGGAGGCCTTGCAGAATCACTTCCTTCTGACTGTGAGTGGGGGCAGGGGCCTGGCTTCTTGAGAGAGAGCAGGGGAGGAAGAACCCAGTGTGTATGGGGGCGGGCAGGGAGGAGTGGGGTGGGGCAGAGGGAGGGAGGAGGAGGCCCCAGACTGCTACTCATACAGGCAGCTGTATCTTGTCTCCAGGAGAGAGCAGGGACCCAGGATGGAGCAGACATAGGTCTTCTGGGGACTCAGCCCTTTCAGGAGGGAGTGTGTGCTCTAGGCACACCCTTCCCATTTGACAATCTGATATGAGGTGGAAACAGGGTCCTTGGGCCCCTAAGTCATGTTGGGAATGTTTCCTTCTCTCAAGCCGGAAGAGCTGAGGTTTATCTGAGAAATGCCTATGTCTCTTTTGACACATCGTAGTCACTAACCCCTTGTTCCTGCTCCAGGAGCCTCTAAAAAGCCATCTAGACCAGAAAAATTGGTCTTTTTTAGTGATGGGAGTGGCTTTAATGTCATTCTCCCCTATTTAGTTATGAGCTGTACCTCAGTTTTGTCATTAGAAATATAATTTTAGGTCAGGTGCAGTGGCTCATGCCTATAATCCCAACACTTTGGGAGGCTGAGGTGGGCAGATTACTTGAGGTCAGGAGTTAAAGACCAGCCTGGGCAACATGGTGAAACCCTGTCTCCACTAAAAATACAAAAATTAGCTGGGCATGGTGGTGGGCACCTCTAATTCCAGCTACTCAGGAGGCTGAGGCACAAGAATTGCATGAACCTGGGAGGCAGAGGTTGCAGTGAGCTGAGATCGTGCCATTGCACTCCAGCCTGGGGGCGACAAGAGCAATACTCCATCTCAAAAAATAATAATTATAATAATAATTTTAGTTAAGCGTTCTCCCTTCCCAGATGTCTTTTTAGAAGTGCAGTTAGCTAAAGATACATAGCTCATTACTATAAATTAATTTTATCAAACTGATCCATGCACTTCCATTTAAAGAGGACTCGGTCCAGTGGGTCTTAACCTTTTTTTGAGGTCACACACCCCTTCCAGAATCTAATGGCACACATAGACCCTTTCCCCAGGAAAATTCACAAACATCCAGAATTTCATATGCCACTAGGGGATTTAAAAGACCCCTTTGACTCCACCCTGGGCTTCTGAGTTCTTATGAGAGGGTGGCACATGGAAAAAGTGGTGGTGAGGGGCAAGGAACAGGGACAAAAAAGGAACCTGGGTCCTTAAGAGATCACTTAGTTGTTTTACCCAAGACTTGGCATACAAAAATATCAGAAATGAGTGTCTGCTGCCAAGTGGGGTCACTGCACGTCCTAGAAAAAAAGTATGCCTTCATCTGCAGTGACACACAGCCATGGTGTTGGGACTGGCACACTGCATCTCTAAGCCGCCAAGAGCTTGACCCTGGATGGGAAGAAAACTGCCCCAGAGATGCTGGAGCTGGCTTTATGAACTGGCTTTATGCTGGGGAGGTGGATGGCAGATCGCATCCATCTGGTAGGTTGAGGTCCTCTTGGCAAGCCTACTACCATCACCTCCCAGCAGAAGAGGACTGCAAACTATCCTTAAAGGGGACTCGGTCCAGTGAGTCTTACCTTTTTTTGAGGTCATACACCCCTTCCGGAATCTGATGGCACACATAGACCCTTTCCCCAGGAAAATTCACAAACATCCAGAGTTTCATATGCCACTAGGGGATTTAAAAGACCCTGCAAAGGACACTGCAAACTCATAACCTTGAGTCCAAGATCTCTTTTTTTTTTTTTTTTTTAGGGAAGTCAATTGTATGATGTAGCTTGTGACTCCCAGGGTATTGTTCTACTCAAACTGGGGAAAACATGGGGAAAGTTTCTGGATCTAGACTTCATACACAAGCATCACAGGGGATTTTGAAAGTGATGCAGCATCGTGAAATGAGCATAGGGATCGTTTGGAGTCGAGCGCTTGTTATTTGAAGCTCCTCCTGTCTATGTGGTGACTCAAGGAGGGGAGAATTTCCCCTTTGTGAGCCAGCTGGACAAGTGTCAGCACTGCTGTCTTTGCAGGCTCTGGCACAGAGGCGCAGGGCCTGGACTAAAGGGAGTCTCCAGGGTTTGGGGGTCAGACCCAGCTTAACACACATGAAAAGGAGTGATCTTTCTCTTAAGCCATTGAGCCAGGGTCCCCCTACAGCCCACAGAGCCCTTTCCACCACCTGGTGCAGCATCTGAACCAAACAGAGGGCATGTTTGTTGCACTGCCTGGGGGTTCAGCTCCCATCCATACCACAACACAGGACAAGGCCCGGGCTTTGCACAGCACAGTCAAGTGAGCACACTCTCACGATCTGATGCAGTCCTTCTCCCACACCCACCATCCAATTTTTTCCTTCACTTCTTTGTCTTTTTTAATATTAGTAATTTTTGTTATTTCTGTTAACTGGACTTCTTGGAACTAAGATTACTTAAGCAGGATACACTAGCCATAGATGAAAAGATGGGTAAATTGAACATTTATGAACTTTTGTTCATCAAAAATACCATTAAAGAGTGGAAAGGCGTCTGGGTGCGGTGGCTCACACCTGTAATCCCGGCACTTTGGGAGGCTGAGATGGGCGGATCACAAGTCAGGAGTTCGAGACCAGCCTGGCCAATATGGTGAAATCCCGTCTCTACTGAAAATACAAAGATTAGCCGGGCATGGTGGTGGGCACCTGTAGTCTCAGCTACCCGGGACGCTGAGGCAGGAGAATCACTTGAACTCGGGAGGTGGAGGTTGTAGTGAGCCGAGATCATGCCATGCACTCCAGCCTGGGTGAGAGAGCGAGACTCTGTCTCAGAAAAAAAAAAACAAAAAACCTAGTGGAAAGGCGAGCCAGAGACTGGAAGAGGAGAGGATATTCTCTGTAACATATCCGACAGACGACTGGGGCTTATATCCAGAAGGTCCAAAGAATTCCTGTAAGTAAATAAGAAAAAAGCAAATAGGCAAAAGTCTTAAACAGGAACATCTTAAAAGTGGATATATAAATAGCCAATAAGCAAATTAAAACGTAAAAGATACAACTCTATACCCACAGGAAGGACTAAAATTGAAGACTGATAATACCAAATGTTGGCAAACACTTTTATATGCTGGTAGGAGTGTACATTGGTACAATCACTTTGGAAAACTATTTGATAGTATCTACTAAAGCTAAGACTATACCCATTCCATAAACCATCAGTTCCACCTCTAGGTACATACTCAAGAGGAATGAGTGCGAATGTCCAGAATGTCCACCAGCGGACATAAACCAAAATGTTTTTGTCTTATGTCTAATAGTATCTTTCTCCATAAGAGCCCCAAACTAGAAACAACACAAATGGCCATCAACAGTAGAATGGTTAAATTGTGTCATATCTACACAATGGGATACAACACAGCAATCTTAAAAAAGAACAAACTGTGTCTATACATAACAGCATACATGGATCGCACAGATAATGTGTAGTGGGAAGAAGCCAGACACCCGAAAGGTACATTGTATGATTCTATTTATATGAAGTTTAAAAACAAATAAAATTGGCCGGGTGCGGTGGCTTATACCTGTAATCCCAGCACTCTGGGAGGTCAAGACAGGAGGAATGCTTGAGACCAGGAGTTTGAGACCAGCCTGGGCAACATAGCAAGACTCTGTCTCTTTAAAAAAAAAAAAATAGCTGGGCATGGTGGCACATGCCTGTAGTCCTAGCTACACAAGAGGCTGAGGTGGGAGGATTGCTTGAGTCTAGGCGTTTGAGGCTGCACTGGGCTATGATCGCACCACTGCACTCCATCCTGGACGACAGAGCAAGACCCTGTCTCAAACAAAAGGCAAAAACAGATAAAATTAATCTCTGGTGATGGAAGTTAGAACAGAGGTTACTTTTTGGGTGGGTCCCAACAGGGAGGGGCATGAGGGGCCCCCTGTGGTTGGAAGCATTCTGTCTCAGTGCTACTCAAAGTATTGCAATTGCCAGCCACCTTGCCATTCACCCCACTGGCTCCTGGATGATAAGTATAAGGGTGCACCTTTGTCTGAACCCCAGTGCCTAGCACAGCCCCCGCCATGTAGAGCAGATCCTCAGTGGACATTTATTCAAAGAATGAGCAAATTGCACCAGGCGCAGTGGCTCACTCCTGTAATCCCAGTACTTTGGGAGGTTAAGGTGGGCGGATCACTTGAGTCTAGACCGAGACCAGCCTGGCCAACATGGGGAAACCCTGTCTCTACTAAAAATACAAAAATTAGCCGGGCGCAGTAGCACAGGCCTGTAATCCCAGCTACTTGGGAGGCTGAGGTGGGAGGATGACATGAGCCCAGGAGTCAGAGGTTGCAGTGAGCCAACATCATGCCACTGCACTCCAGCCTGGACAACAGAGCCAGACCTTGTTTCAAAAATAAAAAATAAAAAAGAATGAGTGAAGTAAGACATGGCCTTTACAGAGTAACATTTGTGTGTTAGAGGGGAATCAGTGTGGGAAGGCAGTTAACAACTGCTCAAAGTTTACTATAAAACAAAGCAGAAAATACATGCTGCAAAGAGAAGCAGAAATGAAGGTCTTTCACTAGAATGGGGGATGGGGTGACAAAGAAGCTGTCGGTTCAAGGAAGAGGCCTTCACAAGTACTTGGGGGACTACGGGGGCTTCCCAAAAGAGATGGTATTGAGCTGAACTTTGAAAGGTGGTTGAGATTATAATAGGCAGAAAATGGCTGAGAAAGGCAACCTGGGCTCAGGGAATGGCTCACCCAGTGGTTCTCAAACTTTAGTGCAACCAAAATCACCTAGAAGACTCATTAAAACAGTTTGCTGAGTCTCATCCCACAGGTTCCAATTCAGGAGGTCTAACAAGTCCCAGGTGATGCTGATGCTGCTGGTCTGGGGACTATTCTTTAAGAACCCCTAGCTTAAGCCAAAGCCAGCCTGTCCAGGCAACTGCATCTCCCTTTGGGCACTGTGTTAAGTGAGTGAAGGGCAAGATGAGAGGGAGGTGTGGATGGACAGGTGGAGTGGGCCAGAGCCTGAGACCTTTGGCTACTGTCTGCGGAGTTTAGGCCTAATTCTGTAGACTTAATTTAGGGCCTCAATAGATGGACATAGTGTAATGACCTGTTCTCTAGGGAAGTCCTACTCCAGGGTTTATAACACCCTCTACCTGAAGCTTAAAGCTGTACACACAGGCAGGTGATAAGTTCATACTGAGTTTGGTCCTACAGAGACAAGCCCTGCACTGTCCCCCACAGCATACCTGCCAGGGGAGACACAGTTTACACTGATAGACTGAAGCAATTGAAGCAAGGCACTATTTTAAATGTGCAACATCAGGATTATTTGTAGCCATGCATGCAGTGGGGATGGCAAGTGGAAGAGGAATCAGTCAATCTGACCATTCAGGCAAAAGCAGCAGTTTTGGTCTCAATAAAGAGATAATTGGTCTGTTTGTTTGTTTGTTTGTTTTTTCTCATATCATAGGTCCCTTCCAGATTCCCAGGGGCAAGGATTTATACCACATCCCCAGTCCATTTTTGTCACTAGGGAAGCACCTAGATCCAGGTAGTTTCCTCCAAGTGGTGTCTCTTTGGCTAAGAAAGGGAGAGTGTGCTGGGAGCGGTGGCTCATGCCTGTAATCCCAGCACTTTGGGAGGCCCAGGCAGGCAGATCAACTGAGGTCACGAGTTTGAGACCAGCCTGGCCAACGTGGCAAAAGCCTATCTCTACTAAAAATACAAAAATTAGCCAGGTATGGTGGTACATGCCTGTAATCCCAGTTACTCGGGAGGCTGAGGCCAGAGAATCAATTGAACCCAGGAGGCGAAGGTTGCAATGAGCCGAGATTGTGCCACTGCACTCCAGCCTGGGCAATAAGTGAGACTCCATCTCAAAAAAAAGGGAAGGAAGAAAGAAAGGAGGGAGGGAGAGTTTGTTGCCTGGGGAGGGAGCACCCTCTGTGGATGCTATGGATGTCCTTGTCAGAACCATCCTGGTCAGGACACACTGGACATTGGCCCTTTCCCTGATGACCCAGACATGCAAGGCGGATGCCATCTGTCATCCTGCCTACTGGCTTTTGGTTACACCTTCAATAAGCTGTACTTACTGAGTATCAACTCTCTGTAAAGTAATCTGCTGGTTGTAGTAGAGACACAAGGATGGATCAGCCATGGACCCATCCTCCAGAAACATACAACATAATAAGAGGTAGGTGACATTAAAACACCTACTACCTGATGCCTGTTCCCTCCCTCTGCATCCCTGGCTTGAGTCTAGCTGCTTCTTCTCCCTAATGCCCTGATGCTGGAGGCTGGGAGCTCTCACTCATTCAGCCTTCACCTCAGCAGGTATCACAGGGGTCCTGGGCTCACAGGGTGAGTACATCAAGATGTGTGTGGTCTGGTAGGGAGCCTTCCCGCCCCATAGCTGGAGATAGGCTAACTCCTGAGCAGGTGCTCTACAGCCATCATCCTGCTGCTGGGGCCACAACAATCAACTCTGGGCCGCCGATCCCCAGTCCCCTTGCCGGCTGGGCTTCACACCAGTAGAGGGAACCTGGGGGCCCCCTTTGCCTCAGCTTATGCTGAACTAGAGGCCTCTGGGGGTCACAGCTGCTGCATGCACGATGATCCACGGGGAGTCAGGATGGGGCTGAGGCAAGTGCAGTGTCCTGCTGCCTCCCCAAGCACCTCCTTCCTCTCGAAGCTCTGCCTGCCTTTTTCTCAGGGACATGAGAATTGGCTCACTTCCTTCTCACCTCCAACTCCCTTTTGCAAGAGAATCATCTAGAATAGAGTTGTCGGTCAAACTGTAAAATATTTGAAGACATCTATTCTGAGCCAAATATAAGTAACCAATGGCCTGTGAGACAGCCCTCAGGAGATCCTGAGAACATGTACCCAAAGTGGTCAGGCCACAATTTGGTTTTATACATTTTAGGGAGACATAGCCATCAATCAATGCATATAAGATGTACATTGGTTCTGTCCAAAAAGGCAGGACAACTAGGTTGGGGAGTGGGGGTGGTTTCAAGTCATAGATGGATTCAAAAATTTTTCTGATTGACAATTGGTTGAAAGAGTTATTATCAATAGAAAGCAACAGAAAGGAATGTCTGGGTTACGATAAGGGGCTATGGGGACCAAGGTTTTATTATGCAGATGAGGCCTCCAGGTAGCAGGCTTCAGAGAGAATGGACTGTAAATATCTCTTATCAGTCTTAAAGAGTCAGTAATTCCAAAAGGGAAGAGGGTATAACGAGGCATGTCTGGCTCCCCCTTCCCATCATGGCCTAAACTAGTTTTTCAGGTTAACTTTGGAATGCCCTTGGCCGAGAGGAGGGGTCTATTCAGACAGCTGGGGAGTACCTTGGAATTTTCTTTTTGGTTTACAGAACACAGGCCCAGAAATGAGAACCAGGTTTAGGTCTTGCTCTCCTACTCTCCACTGTGTGACTTGGGCAAGGCATCTAATCTTTCTAAGCCTCAGTTTTCTCATTTGTAGAATGGAAATAATGCCCTTGCTTACTTCATAGTGTCATTCAGAGGCACAGACGATAGAGAGGCAAAATTCTTGTCTTTAACTGCCCTGAAGCTTCATGGAGGAGTTGGACAAGTACACACACAATGTGCTGCATACTACACCAGAGGTATGTCTAGGGTGTGGTAGTAGCAGTGTGGAGGTAAACTAGTTCTGCCAAAAAGAGGAGACTACAAAGCATGGGGCGTGGTGGAAGTAGCCCTCCAGGGCTTTGGACTCTAATGTTTCTCAAACAGTAGAGTGTTAACTGTATTAAGTTGTATTTAGTCCCTACAACAAACCTGTGAGATAGGTGTCATCCATTTCACATATGAGCAGCTGAGGCTCAGAAAGGATCATGCATTGGCCTGGCCTGGTATTTATAGAGCCCCTGTTGAATGCTAAGGGGCGCAAATCTAAGTTCCTTCCTCGTAGCTCACATTCCACAGGTGAAGTCACTTGCCCAAGACGAGGCTGGAATGTCAGAGCCTGGATTCAAACCCTCATCTGGTGGCCTCCCACCTTACCCTAGAACTCACTAGCCCTCAGGACATCCTCTTACGGGGAGCATAGACTGTCCCTGCCAGCCCCTGTGGGGAATTTGAGGATTTAGGGAAAAGGCTGGGTCAGGGATAGGACAGGCCCTGCTACTCCTATGGAACCTTCTGTTTCCTGAGCATTCCCTGGCAGCCCCTCCCCAAAGAGAGATTGAAGGCCTGACCGTGCCAATGTTTTCCCCAGGGACGGAGGGCAGGAGAAGCTTCCCCAGGGGATTTCAAGGGAGGATGGAGGTGGTCTCTATTCTGGGGTCAGAGAGTGACACCCTCTTCCTGCTGAGGTGGGGAATCCCCTTGGATTTCTCTGGGTTTATGGGAGAGGCCTATTGTTTTCGTACTGATCAGGCCCTCAGGGGAGGAAAACTCAAGACCTGGCATGTCATAGGACTAAATCAGCCTCTGGCATCTGAGTGGCTCCTTAGGCTTGGGGCTCATTCCTGCCCTCCCATGCCCTCAGCCTCAGGCTGCCATGAGACCCATGGCACTGCCACTGGGCAGTGACATTTTGTTTTAACCCAAGGAAATAAGAGATTGGCAAACCCCCTTCTCCAAGGAAAAATATACAGGATTGTTTATTAGAGCATTTGCTGGTAGTAACAATCATAGGAAACAATGTAAATGGCCAATGTTTAGGAATTAAATAAAATATGGTAAAAATCTACATATAATGAAATACTTTTAATGCAGCCATTTAAACTCATTATGTAGAAGAAAATTAATTTCATGAGAAGAGTGCTTTATAACAGATTTAGTCAAAATTCAGATCATAAAACACAATGTACATGATCTCATTTTTAACCCAAGGAAATAAGAAAAAAAATACCTATATATATGCATAGAAGAATGTCTAGAAGGATGCATCCAAAGTTAATTGTAGTTATTTCTGGGTAGTAGAATGACACGTTTTCTCCTGTTTTCAATATTTCCAAGTTTCCTTCAGTGAAAATGCATGTATTTTGTAATCATGGAGAAAAAGTTCCCATGGTGTGTATTGGCGAGAGAAGAGGATTGTTTCCTTTTGGCTTTGCACTTAGATGGCCCAAGGCCTTGGCCTTGTTCCCAGAGTGCAGATATTGTAGAAGCCACGGGGAAGGCTGGGAGCAGCAGAGGAGAGGCCAGCTTGAGGAGAATAAGCTGGGCATCGCTGTCTAGGTGTCATCCTAAATGTCACCTCCCAGAGAGGCACCTGACCACACAGCCTGGCGAAAGGAGGTCGCTCCCACACTTACTCTGTGTGTTTCACCCCAGCTTACTGTCTTCATAGCACCCATCTGCATCTGAAGTTACCTGCCTGCATATCCATTTCCTTGGTGATTATTTATCTCCTGCACAGAAGGCAAGCTCTCCAAGAGCAGAGTCCCTTGCTCACTCTGACTTCCCATTAGGAGAAAGGACCCAAGCCAGATCTTGGTCAACAAGCAACTGAGGACTTGCTCAGCAGCCCCAAGCTATGGGCATTTATCCTAAGGCTACACACAGCAGTGAGAAAAAGGAAATAACTTCATAGGAATCTAGAAACAGGTGGAGAGCTAGCTTATAGGACCAGACCTGGGTGGTGCTCAGCAAGCTGGAGGACCTGGCCCAGTGTTAGTAACAACAGCGGCCACGTACAGGTGTTGAGGAAGTACCAGCTTTGTGTTTTCTCTTAAGGTGGAACCAATGTAGGTTAGATCCCTCTCCCTCTGCTTCCAGCCCTCCTGCTGTCACCAGCCAACTCCACCCCTCAGCTCCCAAATTCAGCTCCTCTCTTTAGAACCTGCTGTAGTCAGATTCTCACTCCAACTGTTCCACTGAATCATCCCTGACCAGGATCACCTGTGACTCCAAGATGCTAAATCTCTGTCTTCATATTATTAAATAGTTGATCTATCACAGTGGACTATGCCATCCTCCTCAGAAGTCTTTCTCCAGGTTTCCCTCCTACTGTACTTGCTAGTCCTTTTCAGTCTCTTTTGCTGAGCTACTGAATGGGGCTCAGCCCCTTGCACAGCTTCCCTGGTTTTTTTTTTTTCTTTTCTTTTCTTTTCTTTTCTTTTTTTTTTTTTTTTTTGAGACAGAGTCTTGCTCTGTCACCCAGGCTGGAGTACAATGGCACAATCTCCGCTCACTGCAACCTCTGCTTCCTGGGTTCAAGTGATTCTCCTGCTTCATCCTCCTGAGTATCTGGGGTTACAGGCACCTGCCACCACACCCAGCTAATTTTTGTATTTTTAGTAGAGACGGGGTTTCACCAGGTTGGCCAGGCTGGTCTCGAACTCCTGACCTCAGGTGATCCACCCGCCTTGGCCTCCCAAAGTGCTGGGATTACAGGCGTGAGCCACCGCACCCGGCCGACAGCTTCCCTATTGACATCCACCCTCTTGATGATCTCATCCTGTGTCACAGCTTTAAAGAACTATGTGCTGAGAACTCACAAATACTCATTTCCAGCCTGGACCTCTCCCCAGATTCACAGTTCCACCTGCCTACAGTCTTCTCCACTTAAGTGCTTAAAAGGCATCTCACACTTACATCCAAAACCGTATTCCTTATCTCCCCACAAAACATGCTCCATCTGTACGCTTCCATTCAGAAAATGGCAATTCCATCCTCCCAGTTGCTCAGGCCAAAACTGGGAATCTTCCTGCTGCTCCCAGCCAACTCTGTCTCCTAGTTCACAGCTTCAGCTCCTTTCTTTTTAACCTGCCCCAGTCAGGTTCTAAACCCATTCTTTTTAATCTCTCACTTCCAATCCATCAGCAAATCCTCCATGCTACTGCTCTGGTCCAAGCCACCATTGTCTCTTGCCAAGATTTCTGCCATAGCCTCCTAACTGGTTCTACTCTTTCTCTCAGTTTATTCTCAACACAGCATCCAGAGTGATCCTGTTAAAATGTGAGTTACATCATGTCACTTCTCTGTAAAAAACCCTCTAGTGGCTCCTGTCTCAGAATCAGAGCCCAAGTTCACACAAGGACCTCCCTTGAATGCCGTGAACACTGTGGAGCCTCTCACTACCTCTCTGATCCCTCTCCTGCTTCTCCCTTATTCTCTCTACTCTGGCTACACCACCCTCCTCACTTATCTGTTAACATGTCAGACAGGCCCTCACTGCCAGGCTGTTGCACTTGCCATTCCCTCCACCTGGGAAGCTTCTTCCCCGTTAATTCTCAGGGCTCATGTCCTCACTTTTTTCAGGTAACTTTGTTCATAATTTACCTTCTCAGGTGTCTAGCCTTCTCTGGACACACATTTTAGAATTTTTACACGCCTTCTCACCTTCTGCCCCAATATTCCTTACCTCTCTCTCCTGCCTTATTTTTTCCTCCCTAGGATTTACCACTTCTGATTCCTATATTTTTAATTTATGTATCTTGTTAGTTTTTGGACTCTTCACTACCACCACCGCCCCACCCCCCTACCCAGTAGACTTCAAGCTCCATGAGGGCAGGGTGTTAGCCTTTTTAGTCCAATGCTCTATTCCCAGAGCCCTAGGACAGTGCCTGGCATATAGTAGGTGCTCAGTAAATAGCTGATGAATGGATATATCCATGGAAATGAATGAAGGGACAACTTATTTTTTATACAAGGCCTTGAGACAAAGTGGGAAGGGCACTGAGGTTTCTGCCAGTATAGGAGCATTAACAGGCCAAATGAGAAAGAAACCCTCTGAGTGGAGAATGCCGCTGGGTGGAAGCTTGTGCCCGTGTCTGCCCTGGGCCAGCATCCTACCAACTCACACCTCAGCAGCTTTCAAAGAACTCACCACAGATGGGCTCTCATCTTTCAACTTCCATCCAGGCTTGCGTTGTTCAAAGGCCCACCTTCAGTGCCCTGCTTCAATCATTTACTTTCCTTGTTTTTTGCAGGTGCCAGAGTTTGTAGCCTATTGGAGGAAAACACACCAAGGTAAGACAACAATAAGACCACATCTTGTTTGGGACTGCCCAACGTAGCCTTGGAAACTGTCCAAGGAAGACCAGGGTGCTAAGTGTTGGCAGCTGGATAAAGGGAAGGCCCAAGAGACTTTGCGTTGACTTCCTGGATAGAGTGAGAGTCCTGGGGACAGTGAGGCAGCTCAGTATAGTCAGTGATGGCTGTGAGGTCTTTAGACTCAGGAAGACAGTGTTGCACTTGGGAAAATGTAGCAGCCTCCCCCAAGCCAGTTGGTTGTGGGCCCACAGCATGGCCCTCTTGCCCTCACTTCCCTACCTCCCTCCGGGTCTCCCTTTCCTCACTTGCCCAGAAGTGCTGCCTGGCCCACTGAAGGCACAGCAGGCTGCTGCAGAGGGTCTAGTGCTTTTTTTTTTTTCTGAGATGGAGTCTCGCTCTGTCGCCAGACTGAAGCGCAGTGGCACAATCTCGGCTCAGTGCAACCTCTGCCTCCCGGGTTCAAGCGATTCTTCTGCCTCAGCCTCCCAAGTAGCTGGGACTACAGGCACACGCCACCACGCCCAGCCAATTTTTGTATTTGTAATAGAGATGGGGTTTCACCATGTTGGCCAGGATGGTCTCAATCTCTTGACCTCATGATCCGCCCACCTCGGCCTCCCAAAGTGCTGGGATTACAGGCATGAGCCACCGCGCCTGGCCTTTTTTTTTTTTTTTCTAAAGTAAGACTGGTTTAGTTCAAGAGGTATATACTAAGATCTTTCCAGCATAGGGCTTCTCTGATTCTGTGTTTAATCTCAGTCCAAATTTTGTGAAGATCCTCAGCAAATAAATGGATGTGGGAAATGTGTGATTGGGAAAGAGGCAGCTTTTAAAAATGTGTCTGGCCTTTGACCACGCAATTTCACTTTCCAGTATTTATTCTAGGAAAATACTCATACTATTGCAAAGTTTATATATAAAGATAGTTATAACTGCATTGTTTATCATTTACAAAAAGAAAACATCTGAAAGCCCAACAAGACGGAACTGGTTATTCCACATTGGCACATTCCTACAAGGGAATGTCATTAGGAAGAATGATGAAGATAAATATTTATTGATGAGAAAGATATTTGAACATACCATTTTTTTAAAAAAGAAATGGAAAAATCTTACAAACCATTCAAGGAAAGTAGCTTTGGATTCAGCCTGAAGGGTTGAGATCTAGCTTAGTCTCTTAACCAACTTGGGAACTCAGGCAAGTAATGTGATCTCCCTGAACTTGTTTCCTGCCTGTAAACGGGGCACAATAACACCTATCTTGTGAAGTTGGAAGGATTAAGAGAGATTAACACATCTAAAGGCCTCAGCACAGCCCAGTAGGTGATGATTGCTCAGTAGCTGGGTGCTTAGATGAGACATGGACTGTGATAGTATTTTTACCCGTTTATAAGCCTGGAAACATTCTGGAAATTCATACACCAGCAGTGGAGTTTTCTGACTGATAGAATCATGGGTGATTATTAATATTTTCTTATTTTTCTACAAGGAATATCTCCTGCTTATCTAAGGATGGTATAGTTTAAAAAAAAGTGACAATTTAAAAGGTTAAAAAAAAAACAGTGCATTTCAGCAGGTAAGTTTGCTAAGTAGTCCCTGCACAGAGCTCTGGAGAACTGAGAGAGAGGTGGGAAAGAAAGGGAATAGAGAGAACAATGGGTGAAGGAAAAGAGAAGGGGAGGTCAGACCCCAGGGCTAGTGGCCAAGGAGATGCACCTCGGCGGTAACGCTAGAGCCCCACCAAGCATGTGTTTGTCCTCCCATCCCCTATGATTGGCACCTCCCGGGAGAGCTCCAGGTAGGAGATCTTGTAACCCAAGGCTCATCTGTCCCAGCTTCTGATGACAATAAATGTGTGTAGCCTCTTTTAGCGGCCGAGACAGCCTGACTATGGCACGTCCAGGGAGAGGCCCCGTGGCTCTAGTCCTGGGCCTGACTCATCCACCTTTGGTAAACCCAGCATTTTTTTCCATGTCCAGAGTAGGAGAGGCAGGGCATCCTGGTGAATTCCCAGAAGTCATCCTAAAAGGATTAGCACCTCTCTTCTTTAGCAGCCCAATAGGATCTATACCCAAGAGATAGGTCTCCCAAGCAAATACAGGCTGCCAGGAGAGGGAAATGGTGACCACCTAAGGGCTGCCATGCCTGGCTCTCATCCCCACCCTCACCCCACCAACTGCCTTAGTGGCCAGTGACATCAGGAGGAACCCTTCCATGCTGATGGTGCTTGTGCCCACCTATGCCAGTTCATTGAGCATTCTTAGAGAGGCATGACTCTTCTACATAAGCGAATTTTCCAAATTATTAAATTTGATCCCATCACATTGCAGTTTTAAAATTGTACCCTTTTAAATTAATTTCTATTCTATCAAATTTATCAAAATAATGCACAAATTCAAAATAGCTGGAAGAGATGATTTTGAATGTTGTCACCACAAAGAAATGACAAGTGTTTAAGGTGATAGATATGCTAATTACCCTGATTTGATCATGTCATGCTATATGTATGTCTGGAAACATCACACTGCACTGCATAAATATCTACAATTATTATGTATCCATTAAAAACAAAATAAAAAATAATGCATGCATATGGTTTAAATATCAGTTGTACTGAGAAGCCCATAATAAAAATCCCTTCCCCGCCTTTCTCACTCCCCCTCTCTATAGGCTGCCTCTTTCAACCATTTACTAGTTTCCATTTCTGTTTATACTATTTTTTGATCTACCGATTTTAGGCATTTGTTGACTTCTTGTGATAGATGAGGATTGAACTTTCCTACAGAACCATCCCCACTTTTCCTCTCTCCATCCTTCCAATAGGAACATAACACAATCTGTGGTTAACTCAATAGTGAATGTGGACATATTCGTCACTGCTGAGTTATGTAGCATCTTTGAGTCCTGGAAGATTTTCTTGTATTATTTATTTAATAATTTTCTTCCCTGTATTTTATCTGTTGGATCATCTGGATTAATGTTTTAGTTTCCTTATATTTTCTCTCCTACTTTTCATCTCTTTGCCTTTTTGGTCTACTTTCTTGGGAAACCTTCATTGACTTCATACTCCAACCCTTCTGTTGATTTTTTTTTTAATTTTGGCTTTCTTTTTCTAATATCCTAGTACTCATTCTTGTTCTTCCTGTTCTTTTTCAAAAATACCACATTCTTTTTTATGCATATACTATCTCCATCCTATTCTTCTTGAGGCACTATTTATTTTTCATTTGTCCATTTGTCTTAATAGTCTTCTAGTCTCTATTTTGTTTTTGTTTCTACCTGGAGGTGGCAGCGGCGGTGGTGGCTGCTTCTTGTTGTTGTTGTTGTTGTCGTTGTCGTCATCCTCCTTCTTCTTCTTCTTCTTCCTCCTCCTCTTCCTCTTGTTCTTCTTCTTCTTCCCTCTTCTTTCTTCCTTCTTCCTTTTTCCTTCTGCTTTCTTTTTCTTCTCCCTCTCTCTGTCTCTCCATCTCTCCTTGTTGGAGGCTTTCCTTAAATGCCAAATATCTCAGCTATCTGTTGGTATTTATTAATGGAGCAATAAAAGGCTGAACTAAACTCTGCTTGGGGAGAATTTATCAACTGGGGTTTCACTACAGGAAGCAAGACAGTCTTTTAGTTAACAAGCCTCCAATGAGCACCTTTTCTCTAGAGCTAGGTTTCTTAACCTTGGTACTAGTGACATGTTGGGCCAAAGAATTCCTTGTTGTCAGAGGCTGTCTCATGCATTGTAGAATGTTTAGCAGCACCAGTGACTTCTGCCTACTAAATGCCAGTAGTAACCCCCCTCCCAGAGTTGTGATAACCAAAATGTCTGTAAACATTGCCAAATGTCCCCTGGGGGACAAAATCACCCTGTTGAGAACCACCACCCTGAAGCCATTCAGCTCCTCAAGAGAAGCATTCTAACTCCTAGTTCTAGTTATTGAACGCTACATAACAAACCACCTCAAAACTTAGTAGCATAAAACAACAACCATTTTTTGGGCCACTGTCAAGGAGTCAGAAGGGCAATTCTCTGCTCTACGACGGCTAGGATGACTGGAATGACTCGAGGTGACTGGAATAACTGGGAGTTGGAACAGCTGGGGCTGAAGGGTCCACTTGTAAGATCGTTGTTCACTTGGCAAAGAGAGCTGGAAGGCTGGGCTCAGCTGGGACTGTTGACCAGAGAGACTACACATGATGTCTCCAGCACCATGGCCTGGTCATTGGACCTCTTACGAGGCACCTCAAGTCTCTGGTGTGAGTGTTCTGGCCAGCAAGACAGAAGCTGCATGGCTGTGTATGTCCCAGCCTTGGAAGTCACATAGCTCATTTCCACTGTAGTCAGAAATCCACACAGGTTCAAGGAAGGAGACACAGACCCACCTCTCCATTGGAGAAATGTCAAAGAATTTGCAACCATCTTTTAAATTCACCATACCCTCATCCAGAGTGATATATACCTGGGGTGGGGCAGGGCAAGGTAAGTGGGTGGGACATTGAGTCCCACGCTTCATTCTTCAGACTTTTCCCTCACCTCCCTGTTTTCATCCCTGTATTCATCTGCCCTCCCTCCTGCCTGTCTCTCTCCTGTTCAGTGTCTTTGTCTCCAGCTGTGTGGGGCAGGGTGTGGAGGTGAGACCTGGGGAGGATTTCAACCAGTTTCCTCCATTCATTACCCCCACAGGCTGCTGTACCTCAGCCCCACCAGCCACAACACCTGGACTCCCCAAGTCTGAGCTCCTCCTGCAGGGTTCCAGGGGTAAAGTGGCTTGCCTCCTGTCAGTGTGCCCCTCTGCAAGCCCTTCAGAGCCTAGCTTCCTCCATGTCAGTCATTATTCCTCCACCTGCCTCCCAGCTTCCTGTAGTTTGGGGAACTCTTTCAGCCACTCATGTCTCCTTTACCATTCTCTTTGCCTTTGAGAGTTAATACCATTTGGTTGGTTGGTTGTTTGAGACAGAGTCTCGCCTTGTCACCCAAGCTGGAGTGCAGTGGCACAATCTTGGCTCATTGCAACCTCTGCCTCCTGGGTTCAAGCAATTCTCATATCTCAGCCTCCCGAGTACCTGGGACTACAGGCATGTGCCACCATGCCTGACTACTTTTCGTATTTTTAGTAGAGTCGGGGTTTCACCATGTTGGCCAAGCTGGTCTCGAACTTCTGATCTCAAGTAATCCACCCTCCTCATCCTCCTAAAGTGCTGGGATTACAGGCATGAGCCACCGCGCCTGGCCCCATTTGATTTTTTTAAGAGACAGGGTATCACTTCATCGCCCAGACTGGAGTACAGTGGTGTGACCATAGCTCACTGCAGCCTCAAACTCCTGGGCTCAAGTGATCCTCCCACCTCAGCCTCCTGAGTAGCTGAGACTCCAGGTACACACCACCACACCCAGCCAATTTTTTTTTTAAGACAGGGTCTTGCTATGTTGCCCAGGCTGGTCTTGAACTTCTGGACTCTAATGATCCTCCTGCCTTGGCCTACCAAAGTGCTGGAATTATAGGCGTGAGCCACTGCACCTGGCCCCATTTGATTTCTAGACTAGCATTTTAGTGGTGCTTCAGGAGAGAAAGGAAACTAGGAGTGTAAATAACTGATGTGTTGAACTGGAAACCCTGTTGTACCTCTCTTGTATGGATCTATCTCTACATTGTGTTATAGTCTTCCCTGCCCTGTAACAGCTCTGTGAAGCAGTACAGTGACATTTAACCTTCTGTTGATCATTCAGAGTCCTCCTTATGAAAATACTTGTTTACCTTGGAATTATTAAGCTATTAAGCTATTACCTTGGAATTATTAAGTAAAGCTATTTGTTCTTCCATAATGAGGACCCCAGTCATTTTGCTGGGATTCTTTAAACCTTTCTTCGTGGCCGCCTCTGTCCCTGGCTGCCTTTCATCCTATGTATTTGTGGTGAGAGTGCCACATTACAGCACGTTAGCTTCTGATGTACTCTTTTCAAATGGCCAGCCCCGGTGACTCTGCCGGGCATTGTTTGTTTGCCACCCCCCCACACATCCCTGCTCCAGTTGATTTTCTGCTCTTTCCCACTCCTCCCAGGATTTGACCTTTGTGGATTCCATCAGCCAGGCTCCAGGTCCCCAAGCTTCCAGTTGGGTTTGGCCAATTGAAGACCCCTCCCCTGACCAGAGGTTGGAGGCTGGGAGGGGAAATGGGAGGTGCTTTATCCCCCCAGCTCCCTCCCTTGCCAGGTCTCAGGTCAATAGTGCCTGTGTTTTTCACCCTAAAACCACAGCTCCTGCCGGCAGTCCCCTCCTACTGGTCTCTCTGGGTTCCAGGAGCCCTCCCACCTCCTCCCTGGGGATTGGTGGTCACAGCTCCCACTGTTGCTGGCTGCAGGATGCTTCACCTTTCCTTGAGGGTTTCTCTTCATCTTGCTCACCCTTGGAAACGGTCCTTTCCTCAGTCTCTCCTGTTACCAGTGGAGTGTGCATCTGTTTCCTGCTGGGACTGTGATCAATACAGCAACCTTTTCTGATTTGCATCTAAAACAAGGATACTCAAGCAGAGAGGGTATCAACATTTAAAAAAATAAAACAAGAATAAATAGTCCCTGAGTGAGCCCTGAGAGACTCTCTTAGGCGAGAGTCTGGGTGTGAGCTTTGTGACTTCTCTAGGCTACGCAAGGGCTTTTGTTTGTTCATGTCGATGTTTTTAACTATAATGCAGATAATAGAGGGCAATAGATTAGTGACTTCTGTACTTACTGGAGTGATTTGAGAAGGAAAATAAGCATGTAAATCAAGGGAAGCCAGGATCACTCACTCTCCTGGTCCCAGTCAGCCCTCGTTTTTGTTTAATTTGTGTATTTCGAAGCACACATATCTCTAGGGAAGAAAATGAAATCAAGAACTCCTCCTGGCCACCGGTTTCCTGAAGCATGAAAAGGAAGCATTTCATAAATGCTTTGTAAAGAAGACAACAGGAAGGGGTAGTGTCACTGGCTGGCAAGAGCTGCTGTTGTGGTATTTCACAGACAAGGGAGGTGACGTGGCACATGGGGGCTGAGGTCCCAGCCAGAGGCCACACAGGCACAGGCCTCAGAGCCCAGGCCTCCCTCTGGCCTGTAGACCCTCAGCCCTACTGGACAGGAGGAAAAGGCCTAGGGGACATTGCCCCCATTTCACAGAGAGGAGGCTGAAGCCAGTGAAGCAGAGAGTTGCAGCTTCAGTGGGGAGACACTGTTATGCCCCGCCTGTCTTATTCATGCTTCTTTTACCTGTAGGGATTTTTTTTTACATGGCTACCCTTGAGTGATAGAGCCTTCATCAGCTTAGCTTGTCCTCTTGCAGCCTACGCCACTCTGTGCCCTTTAGCCAAGGAAGCCCAGCTGAGGCCCCGCAGCGTCCCTGCCCAGCAGAGCTACAGGAGGCCCGAGGCCCCTTCCTGTTCACTCTTGCTCTATAGACGCCACGCTGCAAAGCAGATGTGCAGGGACACCACCTGAAGACCCAGCCTGCAGCTCAGCCCTACACACTGTGGATGGTGGAGATCCCAGAGGGCCAAGAGAAGCTTATTGAGACTTCTCTGCACTGCCCCTCCCACAGCAGGAGGTTCATGGCCCATGCATTTCTGGGAGGGTTGACAGGGCCCAGGTTGTGGAATACCTGTCTGTGAGCCCCATGTCCTGTCTTGTCCCAGCTGCCTGTAGTTTGACAGAGTATGCTAGAGGTCAGCCATTGCTAGGGAGGCTGCCACTAACCACACAGAGAGGAAGGAAAATTCTCAGCCACAGCACTTAGAGCTGAGCCTGACATGGTCCTCAGCAAGATGTTGCAAGTTCCTAATCTGAACACAGAGGCCAGGGAGTAAGCATCATCTGGAGCCCAGAGCTGACTGTCATTACCCACAAACATAAACACCCTGAGTCTGGCCTTCTCCCCACCCTGCCGAGGTTGTCAGAGCCTCAGCACTGGCTCTGCCCTGGGTGGCAGCCCCTGGGAAGCCCAGCTGCCACCTCTCTACAAATGGCCCTGTAGAAGCTGTGCTCAGTGATCCACTTCCTGGGGGGGGCTGGGCCCACCTTGTTGCCATTACACCCCATTACAAACTGATGCAACCAGCTTTCAACAGACACTGCCAAGGAAGATACACATTACAACAGCATGCTGCAATACCTCTGCCTGTGCAAGAGACTGACCCACATCCAAAAAATGGACATCTTCCCACCCCAGTGTCTCACTCCACTGAGCTGGAAGTGGCCTTTGTCAGGACCCTGTGAGGTCTTGAGTGGATCTGCTTTTCCCAAGATATTAAACCAGTGACTTTAAATCCTGGCTGCATATTACCATCATCTGGGATATTAAAAAATACTGATGCCTGGATCTTGCTCCCACCCAAAGAGTCTGACTGAATTGATGGGGTTTTCAAACATTTTTTAAGTGTTTGTTGAAGGATGACATACATGCAAAAAAAAAAAAAAAAGCACAAACCATAAGTGTAAAGCTCAGTGAATTTTCACAAAATGAATTTACCCCGAGTAACCAGCATCCAAATCATGAAACAGAACATCACCAGCAACCCCTGGTACCCCTTCCACTTACTACCTGGCTCCAAAGGCTAATGTCCATTCTGGCTTCTAATGGTGTACAGTCATTTCTCCTGTTTTCAAACTTTATATGATGTAAATGGAATCAGGCAGTATATATCCTCTTGTTGTGTTTGTGAGATGATTCATCCAAGTTGTTACTTAGAGCTGCAGTTTATTCACTCTTCTTGCTATAGAGTATTCCACTCTATGGATATTCCTCGATTTATCCATTCTACTGTGATGCATTTTTGGATATTCGAGTTGTTATTTATAATTCGGAACTATTCTGACTATTGCAATGACATGCTAGTGTGTATTTTTGGAGTACATGTATATCCATTGCTGGGGAAGCATGGGTATGAGTATGTTCAGCTTTAGTACCTTATGCCAAATAATGTTCCCAGGTGGCTGTACCCATTTACACTCCCTCCAGCAATGTATGAGAGTTCTGGTTGCTTCACATTTTTGCCAACCATAGATATTTTCTATCTTTTTCATGTTAGCCATTCTGGCAGGTATGTAGTGGTATCACAGTGTGGTTTGAATTTGCATTTCCCTGATGACTAATACAGCTGAGCAACCTTTCATATGTTTGTTAGCCATTTAGATCTTCTCTTTGCAAAGTGCCTGTTGGAATATTTGGACATGAGTATTTTTAAAAAGCTCCTTAGGTAACTCTACTGTGTAGCCAAGGTGGAAAACCACTGAACTAAAACCACAAATTAGTATCTGCGTCTCCCTTTCTTCATGATTTGCCTTTGAACTTAGAGCATTTTGGATCTGAGAGGACCTCGTGGAACTGGGAAAAGATTATATTCACTCCCTACTAAGATGAGCCTGTCAGGAAGAAGCAATTGGAGCTGGCAGTTAAGAATCTTTAGGAATGTGACCTCTACTTCAGAAGGGTCCAGGGAGGGCCTGTGGTGTCCACAGCTGCCACAGACATTTCCTAACCACAAAAATGGCCCCTTGGTGGTCTCCCCAGAGCTCCAGGCAGTCATGGGGAGGAAGCGGAGGGCCCCATGCCAGGTACTTCCCAGTTTCTAGGCCAACATGAATGGGACACAGCTCATATGGGGTTGTGGTTAGACTGGGGACAGTGGAGCATATGTTCTGGGGACCTGGGTGTGGCCAAGGGAGGCCTCCTGTCTGTGGCCTTTGTCCCAGATTGGAAATCAGCCAGTGGGGCTCTCCTACATGGGTCCAGGCCTGGCTAGCTCTTGAATTCTGTGCGTTTGCATGTGGGTCCTTATGCATGCGTCCTAGAGCAGGGTCCCAGGGGGCCACTCCCCCCCCCGACCCCTTACTCCTCTAAGCTGGGAAACACGTGGCATGAGAGAACACACTGTGGCTTCTAATGACATCGTGTCTTGATTGCATCCCCATTGCATCATCTGGGCTCATCTCATCCCCACCTCTGGACTGTAACATCATCCCAGGGACTGCCGGACACTCATCTGTGCTCCCCCACAGAGAGTATAATGCCATTTGGTAATTCAGTACAGCCTCTTCCAACTTGAGAAAGAAGATGCATTTCCTTCCCTCAGTCTTGAGCTGTGCAGGTGTCACGCTGAGCTGCCCTGTGTGGGCTCCATGTTGGCACACATCGGTTGCAAGGGGCTCTGTGTAGTGAGTCTGGAGTTGGACCACTGGCCAGGCGCTGGGATGCTAGTGCCTGGACTGAGTGTGCACAGAGGCCCCTCAGGCAGAGCCACAGTGGGCGCTGAACCTCCTGGTGAAGTTCACCGCAGTAACTAGAGCTCAGTGGGAGGGGCTGGCCTATCAGCACCTGTCCTGTGTGCTTTTTGAAAAGAGCAGGGTCTACCTTCTGTCAACTGAAGTCCTGCCAGCTGCATGGCATGAGATGAGGGACAAAGTGGCACGTGAACAAAGTTGACATTTTGGAGGCTGTTAGGCTCAGAGCCAACCCTGGGCTCCATGTAGTGCCATGACTCATGGATTCAGGCCCATCTTGGAAATTGCTCTGGGCGTAGAGCTCTCATTTCTGATAGTCCAAGTGCAGATATTGGGGTTCCTCTAATTGGCCCAAATGGTGGCCTGCACCAACCAGCGACCAGAGTGCTGTCTGAATCTAGAATAACAGGAAGAACACGCCTCCAGCAGTGTAGGAGAGTTCCCCATGCAGTGTGCTTCCCATTCTTACCAGCAGTTGGTATCTTCTGTCTTTTTCACACTGGCCATCTGAGTCTCATAAGGAGACTCCTCTCCTTCCACTGAGCCTGCATCCCAGCCTCTCCCCTTTCTTCAGGGACCTCTCCCCAGCAATTACGCCCTTCCATTCTCTCAACCAGGGAATCTTCAAACTCTTCTTCTCCACTGGCTCCTGCTGTGCTCCTGTCTCCATCACCTGTATAATGCTTCCTGCCATCCTGCCTTCCCCGTGGAGTACAGCCATGCTGTCTGCTGCTTACAGCCAAGATTCTGGAAAGAAATGTCTCCTTTTTCCTCGTCATCAACCACTCATTTATTCAGCAAGTGTTTCTTTTACACTTGCCTGTGCTGGGCATGGCAGCAATGCAGCAGTGAACAAAACCATCAGCCCTGCTCTCATGCAGCTTATAATCAAGTAGAGAGACAGACATAAATGATTAATAGATGCTCCTGTAATGGTGGTTGTGAGGTGTGCTGCCACAGCCCAGCCACACACGCCAGTTCCCTTCTCTGCACATGTACATGTCTGCTCATCCTTCCCACCTGAACTCATGTGCCACCTCACTTATGCCCCTTCCCAATGCCGCACCCACACAACAGGGTGTCCCTCTGTGCCCACAGCAGCCCTTGGGTATAACTGTTCCCCACAGAGGCTGAACCCCAAGGGCAGAGTCCAGGCCACACTCACCACGGAGACCCCTGCCTGGCACAGAGCCCAGCCCAGCAGAGATGCTCAGAAGATGAATGAAAGTCCCTGCTGAGATTGATCCAATCTGTTTGTGAACATCTCTGGGGTCCAAGAATTCACGGCTTTCTTTTTCTTTAGAGAGCCTTTTGTTTCTTTTTGCCATTATATACTATATTTGGGTTAGGGCACAACAATGTGAATATACTTAATACTGAACTCTACACTTGAAAATGGTTAAGATGGTAAAGTTTTAAGTTATATGTATTTTGCCACAATTTTTTAAAATGCAGAGCATAGGTACAAAGAAGGAAAAAAAGGGGGCAAGGTCCATTTTATTGAGAAATAAAGAACAAAGGGTTCAATTCAGAGAGGATTGGATTTTAAAACGTAATTTAGATTAGGGAAATGCAAATGAAAACCATAATAAGTAAGATACCACTTCACATCTGTTAGGATGGCTATTTTAAAACAACAAAAACAACCTGAAAATAAGTGTTGGCAAGGATGTGAAGAAATAGATACCCTTGTGCATTGCTATTGGGAACGTAAAATCATGCAGCCTTTGTTGAAAACAATGTGGTGGTTCCTCAAAAACTTAGTTATCATATGATCCCGCAGTTCCACTTCTAGGAATATACCCAAAAGAATTGAAAGCAGGGACTCAAAGTGATATTTGTACACCAGTGTTTGTAGCAGTATTATTCACAATAGCCAAAAGGTGGAAACAACCCAGATGTCCATGACAAGAGGAGTGGATAAACAAAATATGGTGAATATGTACAATGGAACATAATTCAGCTTTAAAAAGGAATGAAATTCTGGTACATGTTATAACATAGATGAACCTTAAAAACATTATGCTAAGTGAAATAAGCCAGACACAGAAGGAAAAATACCAGATGATCCCACTTATATGAGGTACCTAGAATAGTGAAATTCATAGAGACAGAAAGTAGAAGGATGGTTGCCAGGGGCTGGAAGGAGGAAGAACAGGGAGATACTGCTTAGTGGATGCAGAGTTTATGTTGAGGGTGATGAAAAAGTTCTGGAGATGGATGGTGGTGATGGCTGCACAACAGTGAGAATGTACTTCATACTATGGAACTCTGCACTTAAAAATGGTTAAAATGGATGTAGACATTTTATGTCTATTTTGCCATAACAAGAAAGTAATTTGGGTGTATTTTAGAGATTTTAGAAAATACTGTAAGCACAAGAGGAAAAAAATTAAAATCATTCGCAATCACCAGGTAGAGACAACGACTGTTGAAAGATCAGTGTGTATCTTTTCATTCTCGTTCTCTCTCTCAAAAAAGTGTGTGTGTGTGTGTGTGTGTGTCTTCAGATGTCACACTGGACTTTCAGGAAAGGTTCCCCTCTCTGCTGCTTCCCTGCTGGAGCCATGGAGAGCAAGTCTATCCCTGTTCCATAGGTCAATCCTTTGAATGATTTCTCATGGCTGAGTTCACTCCCCTGCACCTCCAGGGTTGCACTTCTCTGAAAATACTCATTTATTTTATGTGTCTACTAAAAACATGGCACCCACGACCCAATAATATGTTGGAAGGGGTTGGAGAGAGAAACGCGAGTACCTCTCACACCTTCTCACACACTACACATCTTAGCGATGGCCGAGTGAGCATGTTGGCTCTCTGGACTCCTCAGTCTGTTGGTCTGGGCTGCGCCAGGCTCAGGCTCCCTGCCTCCCCCCCAACCTTGATCCCCTTGCTTCTTGAACCTGATGCTGGGCCTCACATTCTCCGTTGATTCTAGCTCTTAAATCCTGCTTCTCCAGCTTGTCAGGAGGCTGTGCCCTCACACCCCAAAGAGCAGATCTGCCCTCTCCACTGAGAGGGAAGGAGTGAAGGTCCCACAGCCTCTGACCCCTGCTGGGCCCAAGAGAGGAACAGCTGCTTGCTTTATTTCTCGTGGGAGAAGTGTGTCTCCTCTTTGTCTCAGGCACCCCTCTGCCCTGTACAGCAGCAAGTCAGCAGGAATGAGCTGAGCCGCCCAAGTAGTGGCTCCCTCCACTATGGGGGCTCTGTGGTCCTGGGGGCTGTCCTGCCTCCACTGCCATAGGCCTGGCCCCAGAGCATGCTGCAGTGGTCACAACCTGTGGAGGTGCCCCCAGACCCCCATATTTGGGCCCAACTACAGCCTCCTTCCCCAGCTTTGCCACCTGGCTTGGGAGCCAGGGCACCACCAGCTTCACTGGCAGGGAGAGATGAAGAAAGAGGCCATAGCCACGCAAGTGACTGAAGTTCATGTTCGTGCACACCAATTAGAGAGGGACAGCACGTTCATTTACCTCCAAATCCAGCCACAGACACATCGCCCTTTTCTCTTGGCTCTGAGGCCTCCACAGAAGGGTTTTTTAAGGTTGCAGCCAGGACCTTTATAGCCTAGTCCTGAGAAGATTATCTTTTTATTGCAACTTTGATTAATGATTGATCAAAAACTGATACTAGAAACACTGAAGAACAAATTTGCTGTAGACATTAGGAAAGGTCTACATCTGGCAGGCCTGGAGACCTGCCCACCCTCTCCCCCCACGGTCAAACCAGGGCAAAGGTACATTGGAAGACCCAACCCCTACACACTCTTACACGTGCACTCGCACACACACACTGAGGGGAAAGAAATATTTAATTGTCCTTAAATCCTCTTGGATTAGGCTATAAATTGCAAATAAATGGAGCAACAGACAGAGCAAAAGCACATAAGGTCCTTTAATAGAATTTCTCTATCTTATTCTGTTTCTATGAATGCCTGTTACAAATTAGCAGCTTAAAGGGAAACCTGGAGTGTGGGAAAGAGCGACCCTTGTGTGAAGTCCACAGCCGGGGTTTCCTACAGACCTCAGGTCCCAGAGAACATCTAAGATGCCTCCAACACCAGATGGAGGAGGGCAGGAGATGCTGCACAGAGAAGCAGCACTTCCCGAGCATCTGTGGCAGGAAGTGACTTGGAGAGGATGAGGCCGTGCCTCAGGTGTGCTCTAGCTGTTCTGATGGTCTCTGAGGCCACGACTGCCATGGTGAGGTCCACAGCCTGCATCAGAATCACCAAAGGGCCCAAACGTACGGCCTCAGAGCCTGGAGAGCCAGGAATCGGCATTGCAACAACTCCCTGCTCAGTGGGTTCTACCAGTCCAGTACCTGCCCTCTGAGGGTGCCCAGGGAGCAGGGTGCTTGCTGGCTGGAACACTTTTTCCTGCCCCTCAGCTCCTCTGTGATGCCCTGAGGCACGGGCACTGGAAAGCTGGCAGAGCTGCTTCTAAATTGAAACTGGAAAATGAAACTGGAAATCACAGTTTCATTTTCCAGTTTCACTCGCTCCCCCTACTGTTGGGGTTTCTTTTCCACAAGGAGAGTCCCCCAGGGAGAAAGAAGCAGGAGTGGGAGTGGGGGAGCATGTTGGGGGAAGGCAGTGAGGGTGTCCTGTCTGCAGCAGGGCATGGAGGGGCCCCAGCGCTGCACTTGCTTCCTTTAAGCCTGGCCTGCTTGCTGTCAGCCCCGGGGGTGGTTTCCTCTCTAGGAAAAGCTAATGTCATGCTTATGCTGAAAAACTCTTTTCAGAGGTACTTTAGGAGGGGCCTGGCTCTCGATTAATCTGGGCCATTTCATACCGGCTGTGCTCACCCAGGCACAAACACTGAAAGCAACAGCTGGCAAAGCCATCGCTTGGTAGCAGCTTGGAAGACACCACCAAAGAAGCTCTCATGGAAGCGGCAGATTTCCTGAAGCGACTGGAATGCGGGGAAGGAGGGCAGTCGGGGAGAGCCGAGAACCAGCCCCCCTGCCAACTCCACCCCATTCCTCTCCTCACCTGAAATGTCTCATCCTTAGAACAGCTGCCCTAACCCCCTAATCCCACACACTCCTTTGTAGGTTAAGACCCCTGAAGTTGCACCCTCTCGTAGGAGCTATGTTTTTCAGAGATCCATGTGATTATTTGCCTAATGTCTGCCTCCCTCAGGGAAGTAAAGTCTGTGACGCGTGGACCTGGTCTGTGTTGTTCACTGTGCATCCACAGTGCCTGGGTAGTGCCTGGCATGCAGGAAGTACACACAAAAAATATGTGTTCATGAGTGAGGGCAGGCTTGAAGAGCCCAAGAGAAGGACAGTGCTCCAGGGAGGCGTCTGCATCAGGCTCCCCAGTGTCTGGACTGCATCCCAGCCCCTCCGAGCAACTTCAGGGGAGGATTCTGTGAACAGATGCCCCAGCTCTTCCGCCCACAGCTCCTACCCCCAGCCTGAGGAATGCTTTGACTGTCCCCAGTGTGTGCAGGCAGTGGGGAGGTGATAGGGGGAGGTGTCCCACATGGCACACTCTCCCTAGCCCTTGCTTTGCCTCCGTTACCTACATAGATGGGCTTCACAGCCTCTTCCAGATAGGCAGGGCACTGAGCTCTGTGGGCCACACCTAAAAAGAAAGGGAGACAAGCTGGCGGTGGGGGCATGACAGTGTTTTTGTTTGTTTGTTTGTTTTTTGAGATGGAGTTTCACTCTTGTTGCCCAGGCTGGAGTGCAATGGCGTGATCTCGGCTCATCGCAACCTCTGCCTCCTGGGTTCAAGTAATTCTCCTGCCTCAGCCTCCCGAGTAGCTGGGATTGCAGGCATGCACCATCACACCCAGCCAATTTTTGTGTTTTTAGTAGAGACGGGGTTTCTCCATGTTGCTCAGGCTAGTCTCGAACTCCCAACCTCAGGTGATCCACCCACCTCAGCCTCCCAAAGTGCTGGGATTACAGGCATGAGCCACCGTGCCGGGCTGACAGTGGTTTTTAAAGGGGGAGGGCAGATGAAGGACGTTGGTGGACCATCCTCTGGGAGGAGATGTGGACTGAGGAAGCAACGCTGACCTCAGGCCCCACACCACCCTTTCACCTCAGCCTCACTTTCTCATCAGTAAATGGAACTCGTTCTTGTGTATGTGCCATGGAGGCAATGTAGCAGAAGAGAATAGGGCAGACTTTGGAACTCAGCCATCTGGGAGAAAATCCTAGTTATGTGATGACCTTGAGCCAATGACTGAATTTCTCTGTCTCATTTTCTCTTCTGTAAAATGGGGACAATTACAGTGAATTCTGTGAATTCATTCATGTCCCTGACACATGGTGTGAGCTCAGTCATTACCTTTGCGAGGGTTGCAAGGATGTAATGAGATGGCAGATGTGAGCACAGCTCCCAGACCCGAAGGTGCTGTATGAATGGGAGGGAGCAGTGAGTGTTATTTGGGAAATATTGAAGACACAACTTCCCTCCCACATTTGTCTGGGGTGGAGCAACAGTTTTACTTATTTAATGATAAGCTGGAAGATGCACCAAAGGGAGGTGAAAAACTGAAACCGCCAACCGTTTGAGCTCCAGGCTGCACCGAAGCGGTGTGGCTGGTGCAGATGGTGAGAGCCCCAGTGCCGGCCCACTTCCTCCATGAGTGCCACACGCCTTTCTCAAGCTAGCCGGCTTCCCAAGGCTGCAGGAAGTGGGGCCAGGAACAGGCCCTCCGGCTGTGTTGGGGGAGGCCTGGGCAGGGGTTGGCAGCTGCTGGGTGTGAACGGAAGTCTTGGAGGTCCTTGAAGGTCCTGGGGCCGCCTGCACAGCAGCCCCTGCCCTCTCCCTGTCCAGGCCTGCCCAGGACTAGCTTGTAGCAGACTCTTCTTGTAGCCTAGGCTCTTGCCTCTTGCAGTAGTGAGCCATTGTACAAAAGACATCCAGCGGAGGGAGGCAGGCTGGAGAGGAGGACAGCCGAATCTTTTCTCAAAGGAAATGCAGTTGTGGTTTTGAGACGTTCATATTTCACATCTGTGGTTGGCGTTTCCCAGGGTTCTCAGAGGTGAATGCAGGGTCAGCCCTGTGTCACCAAATAAGGCTCACAGTGACCTTAGCAACAAGCTTTGCTGCCCATTGGCTGTCACTGCTGCCGCCTGCCAATGCGGCCTCCTGAAGGCCAGCACTGATGCTGAGCTGAAACTTCTGCATGTGCCAAGGTCCAGCTGCCTCTGTCAGAAATCACCGTCCTTGGAAGCAGCCACAGATAGGTAGAGAGCTCCGGACAAAGGTGGACAAGGTCAGTGGGAGGACTGTCCAGGTGTCCATGTTTCAGAGTCCACCTGGCCAGCATTCCATTCTCACATAGCACCAAACCAGCACCTTGGTGGCCTGGTCCCAGCTTGCCAGGACAACCCCCCATTCCACCCTGTCAACCTTGAACTCTATAATGGTCATCATTTCATAGCTCTGCTCATTTTAGTTCCACTGGGTTCTCCCTTGTGCTTGGCACTTGACTAAGCTCCTTCTACACATTACATCTTTTACCTCTCTCAACAACCCTGTGAGCCAATTAGCCCCATTTTACAGGTGCAGAAACTGACACCAAAGGAAGTCAGTAATGGCCCAGGTGACTGCACCACTAGTAAGTGGGGAAGTCAGAATTTAAACCCAATTTAAACAGACCTAGATCCCATGCTATTAACCATTGCACTGTATTGACAGACACTCAATGTCCGTGCAGCTCAGTGTCTTCATTCTGTGACATGGGGATGACAGTACCGTACCTCACAGGGTTGGGGTGAGCATTGTGTGGAGTGACTTATGTCCAGAAGCACACCTTTGCACCAGTGGCCTTGGCACCCCCAAGGCATGCTCCACAAACAGCTTGCACATTCCTTTCTCACAGCGTGTGCTGCTGAAACATTGAGGTTTGTGGACCGGACTTCTCTGTAGCCCTTGTATTTAGTTTTCACTTCCTCTTTCTTGACCTCCTCCCACCCCCCACCCAACTGCAAGGTAGGGAGGCTACTGAGGGGCCAGCCTGTGGATTCCAGAGGGCACAGGGCTATCTGGGATGGAGGGGACAGGGTTCTGAAGACAGAAGGTGGGAAGGTCACACTGTAAGGGCAGACATACCCCATTTCTTCTACCTAAACAACTGGGTGTAATACCACTGTTTCCCTGAGAAACACTTTCAGGATTAAAAAGTATATAAGTAAAGAAAATAAAGCATATAAGTGATCTGGTAAAGATGAAAACATGGCTGATCTGAAGGTAGTGAATTATCTCAATTGACTTCACAGTCAGTTACAGATCGAACTCCTTGTTCTACTCTTTTCCCCCTTCTCACTACTGCCCTTGACTAGTCTTTTTTTGTTGTTGTTTTTTGTTTTTTTTTTGAGATGGAGTCTCGCTTTGTCACCCAGGCTGGAGTGCAGTGGCGCGATCTCAGCTCACTGCAAGCTCTGCCTCCCGGGTTCACGCCATTCTCTTGCCTCAGCCTCCTGAGTAGCTGGGACTACAGGCGCCTGCCACCACGCCTGGCTAATTTTTTGTATTTTTAATAGAGATGGGATTTCACCGTGTTAGCCAGGATGGTTTCAATCTCCCAACCTCATGATCCACCGGCCTCGGCCTCCCAAAGTGCTGGGATTACAGGTGTGAGCCACCGCGCCCAGCGACTAGTCTTTAAAAAAATGAATAATATAAATTTTTTTAAAAGATGAAAACATATATATACCCTGTAACCCAAGAGTCCCACTCCTCAGACTCTTCTCAAACCACACTCTTACCCATGTGCACCAGAATACCCACACAGCACCAGAAAATGTCCAAATGACCATCAAAAGTGGAGAGTACAAATAAATTGTGCAGTGTTCCTGGAGTGAAATGAACTACAGCGACTTGCAATAACTGTAATATTGTCATATTGGATAATAATACTGTAATAACAAATGACTCATCAATGAATAAAACCTACAAAAGAATGCATACAGTATAATTCCTTTTAGCAAAAATTTAACAGCTGGCAAAACTGTATTGTTAAGGATACATGCAGAGGAGGTCAAACTACAAAAAGCACAGAATTATTACAAATGTCTACTTATGCAGAAGGGAGGGTTGGGGTTGTGATTAGTAGGGGAACACGTAGGTGCTTTGGGGGTGCTAGTATTGTTTTCTCTCTTTAAGTTTGGGAGATTACCCTGGATTATTGGGTAGAAACTGGGGTGGGTGAGCCCAATGTAATCACAAGCATTCTTAAATGGAGAAGAGAGAGGCAGAAGGGTCAGAAGCAGAAGCAGAAGCAGAGAGATTGCAATATATGAAAGACCTGGCCAGCCAGTGCTGGCTTTGAAGGTGGAGGAAGGGGCCGCAGGCCAAGGAATGCAGGCAGCCTCTAAAAGCTGGAAAGGGGAAGAAAGGAAAGAGATTCTCTACTAGAGCCCCCAGGAAGGAATGCAGCCCTGCTGACACCTTCAGTTTAGCCCAGTGAGACCTGTTTTGGACTTCTGACCTACGGAACTATAAGAAAAGAAATTTGTGTTGTTTTAAGCCCCTAAGTTTATGTTAGTTTATTAGAGCAGCAACAGGAAGCTGATCCACTGGGAAACCATCTGGGATATGCAGCTGCCCAAAATCCCTGCTCGTGGTTAGATTCAGCCTTACGAGGCTCCACAGCCCCTCTGCGAAAGACTCCATTCCCTCTTGGAGAAGCTCAGACTCTAGAGCCCTGGGCAAGGAATGGGCCTTCATGGCATGGGGGCGATCAAGAAGGATGCCCCCCAGGACAGTGACTCTGCTGGACTTCTCTACAGAAAACAGTATATCCCTCAGTGGCATGAGAAGATCCAATAGGGTCACCACACTCCACAACTGCAGGGGACACTGTTCACATTTTAGTCTATGCAGCCTCTGGTGGCCAAAGATTAAATGAGAACACCTTTGCTGTGTGACCTGAAGTTCATGGTCAGTAAATTGTAGCTATTGTTATGCACGACTTAGGGGGAAGCAGGGGTCACTGCAGAGCAGCAGTGGTTTTATAGAGATTTGCTTTATGATTATTTGTTAAACTGAACATATATTCTATGTATTTTTCTGCATAATTATTGTTTCACAATTTTTAAAAAGCATATACACACATGAATCTTCTCTAGCCCCGAACAGCACAGTGAATGGATAGGGCAGCAGATGAGCTCTGCCCCACGCCGGCCCTGTTTCAGAACAGCACTCCAGAGTGCCGCACTGCTTGCTGAACCACAGCTGTTACTGCAGATTGAGGAGCCTCAGAGGGAACAGAAGATAAAGATCATTATGGAATTTAGGATTGCAGGACATTCTTTGACATTTCATAACAGCCAGGGGAGATCAACTGTGGTCAGGGGACAGGGGCAGGAAGAAACCATGGCCAAGGCCTGTCTGGCAGGACTTGAAGGGGCAGAGGGACCCTTGCAAATGACCCTGCCTGGAACCCACCCCCAGTTGGCCCCTGTATAGCACTGATCCAGCTGGGGCTTTTATCCCAGGATACCCTCTTCAGGGATGCCTGTATTTGTTGATTATCTGCCATATGCCTGGTCACTGCAGAATACAAGGAAGAAAATAGCCTTCAGCAGAAGCTGAGACAGGAGCCTAGAGGATGGACAGTAAGGAGTCGAAGGCTCAGGATGAGGCTTTCCTGACTTTCTCCCCTAGAGGACTGATGTTCTCTACTGGTACAGACCTTGTTTTATTCATCCTTATGTCCCTAACCTGGAATGGGCCCAGGGTGACAGTTATAATAAGTGTTTGTCAAGTGAGCAAGTGTGTGGAGTGTGCATTGTAGAGAGTAAGGTCTCTACAGGATCCTGCTGGAGAGGCAGCCCACTGGGCTCACCACTTCTCCAGAGGAGGGACTGGTCCCTTGCCAGACAGCCCTGCCAGCTGGAGCAGGCTTCCTCAGGGGTGCCTGGAGCTGTTGACCATGGCTGTTGCCCTCTGGCCCCTCTTGGGAAGAGCAACCTGTCAGGTGTTAAAGACGGTCTTCATTTCTCTTCTCCAAGTAAACATGACTAGTTTCCATCTCACCATCTTCTGGCCCTCAGCAGACTGGTTATCCAGTCTGGAGAGGCAACAGTAGTATCCAGATGTGATCCGAACAGACAGAACGATGGATGCAGACGGAAAATTCAGGTTTGTGTGCTTCGGCAGTCAGTATATGCAAGTCGTAATGGGGACAGTGGCTGGCATGGCCTTTAGCACTGTGGGAAGGATCAGGGTGTCTGCCCATCATTTTTCTCTCTTTGATAGACACTGTTTACGTAGACACTGTTTTGGTGTAAAACCCTACGTTGTAGCTCTTGTCAACAGTGTTATGTTTCTCCTCAACTGTCCTGGAAACTCCCTGAGGTGGCTGGCTTGTAGGCACTCCATACCTGTTAGCTAGTATTATTTATTTATTGTTTTATTATTTGAATGGACAATCAATTCATGTCATTTAATGAACATGGGCTATGTGCCAGAAACCACCAGGTGCCAGAATACAACACTGAACTACAGTAGGCCTGTCCCTGGGCCCCAGAGCTCCCAGACACACTAGGAAGACTTGTTGATTTAATGATAAACCTTGATTGAGCTCATGATTAACATCTTCACCACCAGACATCATTGAGTGCTCTCTGTGTGTTCAACTCAGAACATACCCTTCCTGCCCTCAGAGGCTGGAATGTGAGAGTCATTAAGGGAGACACCATTGTGGGAGTGAGAAAATCCTGGACTTGGAGGGAACTGACTAGGGATCACCTCCCAGCTCTGCCATGGACCCACTGTGTGACCATGGGCAAGTTACTTGACCTCTCTGAGCCTCAGTTATCTTATCAGTGAAACTGGGTTAATAATATATCTCTCAGTGGCACAGGAGGATCACATAGGGTCACCACACTCCACAACTCCAGGAGATGCTGTTAACATTTTAGTCTATGGATCCTCTGGTGGCCTAAGATTTAAATGAGAGCACTTTTGCTATGTGACCTGAAGTTAATGTCAATAAGTTATAGCTATTGTTATGTACGATGTAAGCAGGGGTCACTGCAGGCCAGAAGGCTGACACAATTTGGCCAGGCTTTGTTCTTCAAGGAAGGGCAGGGCTCTGAGAAGTGCAGACCGTGATGCAGGTGAAGGCCAGGAGGCAGGGACTCCCAGGGCAGGTCTGGAAGGAGCGAGGCTGGTGACGGAAGTGGTCAGCAACCTCAAGGCATGAGTAAGGCGCTTGCCCTTCTCTCCAGGCACAGAGGAGTCACTGGAAGCTGGGCAAAGAGCTGGGATGGATGAGACCAAGGCGAATACTTTACTTATTAAGCTGCAAAGGACCCTAGGGAGCATCTTGTCTTACCAGGCAAACAAAGGCCAGGGAGGGAAAGTAGTGAGTCTCCAGGGTCACACAGCAAGGACCAGGGCCCGCGCCAAGACTCCCACCCCTGCAGAACCCAGCTCAAATGATTCCTTGAGCCCAGTGTGTGGCTCCACAAAAGAAAGTTCCTGGCACTTTTCATATTTATTTATAATTTTTTTTCTGATTATAAAAGTAATTATAGGCCAGTCAAGGTGGCTCACACCTATAATCCCAGTACTTTGGGAGGCCGAGGCAGGAGGATTATGTGAGCTCAGGAGTTCGAGACCAGCATGGACAACATGGCGAAATCCTGTCTCTACAAAAAATTAGCTGGGCATGGTGGTATGTACCTGTAGTCCCAGCTTCTCCGGAGGCTGAGGTGGGAGGATCACTTGAGCCTGTGAGGTCGAGACTACACCGAGATTGCACTAAGCCGAGATTGCACCACTGCGCTCCAGCCTTGGTCAACAGGGTGAGATTTTGTCTCAAAAAATAAGTAAAAGTAATTATAGGTCATCATGGAATATTTTTAAACTATAGAAATATAAAAAATATATAATCACCTGTAATCCCACCATCCAAAGATAATCACCTTTAGTATTGTGATGTATTCCCTCCATCTGTATTCCACAAAAAAATTATATATTAATTAGATTTGAATTGTGTATAGTTTCACATCTCCCTTTTCCTCTGTAAAATTGTGCTTTATGAGAAGGAGGGATTATTTTTAATGTAGAAGAAACTAGAAAACCTTTTTCTTAAAAAAAAAAAAAAAAAAAAAAAAGCAAAGCCCCACAGTCTGTAGTGGTTGGAGGACATCCTGTGGGGCTGCATGGTGGCTCTGTCGCACATCCGGTGTGAGCTGCGGGGCGGTGGCAGTGGCTGGGTCCTTTTCTCCCCTGGCCAGGCTACACCCTTCTGCCTGTGGGTAAGACAGAGTTTTGAAGCGTCTGTGCTCACCCTTTCCTCCCTAACACAGGATGCTGTGATCATTCACCCTATCAAAAGGCATGTGGGGTTGTGATCGTTACTGTTTGCATCTCAAGTTGTGCGGCACAATGTTTTCTCGTGTGTTATCTCACCTGAGACTCACACACCCTGTGAGACAGATAAGACAAATGATGTTATACCCATTTTACAGATGAAGAAACTGAGGCTACAAAAGATCTAGTGGCTTATTTGAGGCCACATAGCTAGTAAGTGGCAGAGTGGGGACTTTTTGCAGATCTGGCTGGCATCCAGTAACTATTTTTTTTCCTCTATACTTTTTTTTCCAGTAGTCCTAGCTTTTCCAGAGCTAAACTGAGTCCCCTTAGTATTCCCTTAGTAAGGCCAAGGACTGAGAGTGTTATGAGTATTGTGGATGTGTGGAGGGGCCATGCAACTCCTTCCTGGGAATCTTAAGCCAAGCCCTGTGGCCTCTGACTAGCTGTCCTAGGTGGCCTGACCTCAGGCAAGCCCCTCCATGACCACTCAGAGCCAGCACCTCAGCTCACTGAGGTTTGGGGAGGGGGCTCAAAGAGGCAGCTGCTTCCTATAGAGAGGTCCAGCAGAGGCACTATCCTGGGGGGCATCCTTCTTGACCCCCTCCATGCCATGGAGGCCCATTCCCTGCCCAGGGCTTTAGAGTCTGAGCTTCTCCCAGAGGGAATGGAGTCTTTCACAGAGAGGCTGTAGAGCCTTGTGAGGCTGAGTCCAACCCACGTGCAGGGATTTTGGGCAGCTGCATCCCCCAAATGGTTTCCCAGTGGATCAGTTTCCTATTGCTGCTCTAACAAATTATCATAAACAGGGGCTTAAAACAACACAATTTTTTATTTATTTATTTATTTTTTTGGATACAGGGTCTTGCTCTGTCACTCAGGCTGGAGTGCAGTGGCTCAATCTTGACTCACTGCAACCTCTCCCTCCTGGGCTCAGGCCATCCTCCTACCTCAGCCTCCCAAGTAGCCAGGACTAAAGGCACGTGCTACCACACCTGGCTAATTTTTTGTATACTTTATAGAGACAGGGTCTCACTATGTTGCCCTGGCTGGTCTCAAACTCCTGGGCACAAGCAATCTGCCTGCCTCAGCCTCCCAAAGTGCTAGGATTACAGGTGTAAGCCACTGCACCTGGCCCGTTTCTTTTCTTATAGTTCTGTAGTCAGAAGTCCAAAACAGGTCTCACTGGGCTAAACTCAAGGTGTCAACAGAGCTGCATTTCTTCCTGGGGGCTCTAGTGGAGAATCCCTTTCCTTCCTTTCCCTTTCCAGCTTTTAGAGGCTGCCTGCATTCCTTGGCCTGCAACCCCTTCCTCCACTTTCAAAGCCAGCACTGGCTGGTCAGGTTTTTCACAATGCGATCTCTCTGGTTCTGACCCTTCTGCCTCCTCCTTCTTCATTTAAGAACCCTTGTGATTACACTGGGCCCACACCAATAATCCAGGGTAATCTCTCTATTTGCAAGTGAGCTGGTTAGCAACCTTAATTCCATCTGCAGTTTTAATTCCTCTTTGCCATGTAGCAACATATTCATAGGCTCATGCATTAGGACGTGGACCTCTTTATTCCACTGTGGACCAATACTCTGCCTTCCACACCTAGCCTCTCTTCTGAGTTTTCCAAGGGCCCCCCATCCTCAGGCATCCTCAGGCATAGACAGCCGGCTGGGCCAGACCACAGTCAGGATGTTCCCGCCACTATCAGAGAGGTCCTTTCTACCTAAGTCCCCTCCCACCTGCCTGCTCCTCTTTCAGCTCGGTCTGTCCTGGATTCCTCTTCCTTCATCCTCTGCTCCCAGTCTTAGGTAGAGAAGAGCTGAGCAGGAAGTGCCAGGGGGTGTGGAGATGGAGGAGGGGGAAGGTAAGGCCTGAGGCACCAGGGCTCTGGGAGCCCAGGGAGCTGAGGCCTTTCAATCCAGACACCCTGCACTTCTCTGGCTCTGGGGCCTCTGGGGACCACACACTCAGCTCCAGGGCTGGAGGGGTGGCCAGCCAAGTATTGGAACCCTTCTGCTTGTACATCCCTAGCTGCCCTTAACAGCCACAGTTCACCTGGCCCTTTTCTTGGGTGATGACAGACTGTCTGCCTTAATTTATTCCCTTTCCCCTGTCCCTCCCTAGGCCTCAGGCTGGAACTTTCAGGAGCTTCCACGGGAGGCAAGGCCCCAGCCAGGCCTCTGTCCCTGGGCTGCTTGGTGTGGGGATGGGGGATCCAGAACCCCAGCAGGAGGGCAGATGGGGAGCACAGGGCAGGAGGGGCAGGACAAAGCCTTTGGCCCTCAGGGAGGGTGACCAACTGGCCCTGGTTTGCCTGGGACTTTCCCAGTTTTAGCACTGAAAGTCCCAAATCCTGGGAAACTCCTCAGTCCTAAGCAAACTGGAACAGTTGGTCAGCCTATCTCCAAGCCTTTTGCACCTCCTAATCTACTCTAGATCACCTCTGCAGCCTGCACAGCCGGGCCTTTGGACTCCTGGATGCTAGAGTGACCTGGGCGCTGAGGAGGGCCCCCGAGCCAGTACCAGGAAAGGATAGACTCCTGCTTGCAGCATTCCCAGCAGAGGCATCGCCTGTGGACACCGCGTCTGTGTCTGTATATGGCAGAGCTCCCAGATATATGCACAAGGGAGTGAAAAAATGTGTTTGCACCCCAGTCTCTAAAAATTCAACAGCCTGGTTACTTCTGGGTGGTATATCGTAGGTGGCTTTAATACGTGTTATTTGCTCATCTGTATTTCTTACTCTTTGCACAATTAAACCATGTTCCTTTTACTTATGTACATTTTTAATAAAAGAAAGTTGTTAATGACTCAGCCTTCTATCTCCAGTACTGCCGAAAAGAGACAAGCGGTCATGCTGCATGTCATGCACACACTGGCCCTTGTTCTGGGGACTTTGACCTTGGCTGCTGGTTGGTCATGGCCTGTTTTGCCCAGGGCTCTACTGCAGGGGCAGGGTTGGTTATTCCTCTGTGCCCTTTTTGCCTCTCAGCCTGCCTGCTCCTCTGGACCCCAGAGTCTAGCCTGGTTCCCCCAGGGGAGGGACTCAGAAAGTGCTACTATAGAGAGATGCTAACTACATCTCTGCTGAGCAGCAGGAGATGCTCTGAAGTGCCAATCCTGGCTGAACACTGTGAGAATATGGAAGAGATAAGCTGCTTGCCCCTGGGGAGCTTCCAGTCTGGTTGGCGAGATTGGGTACCCCGCAGACCCTGTGGGGACTGGCAGACAGGAAGGGACAGGCCCTAGAGGGTGAGGCTTTGCCTGTGAGGGCTGTCACTGGTCAGAGAAGGGAGGGCCCCAGGGCTCCATTGTACAAGTCTTAGGATGGCCAAAGACCAAAAATGGGGTCCTCTTCAGTGACCTGAGGCAGGCCGCACAAGCTTGGGGGTAGATGGTCTCCTGTGCCCAGAACTCTGGCTGCTCGCCACCTATGACAGAAGAATGGTGATGAACACTCACCAGGCTGTTCCAAGTCTCGGAAAGTTGGACACCCCTTCAGGTCCTCCTCCCTGTCCCACCCCACCCCACCCCTACCCCATATGGGAATGCCAGGCTGTAGCCTTCGCTGTGACCCATCCCAACTCCAGCTCCTCTCCCCATCCCAACTCCAGCTCCTCTCCCCATCCCAACAAGCCAAGCAGGAGCACTTGGAGGGGAGCCCTGGGTCCCCAGCAGAAACAGCCCTCCACTGCCTCCACAATCAGGTCATCAGCCCCTGCCCCAGTCCACTGTTGCCCTAGTGTGGCCGACATGACAGGACTTCTTGTAATTCTGGCCTAATGGTTCCCACATCCCCAAACACCAACTCCATGTCCATATGCCTCCCTTGTTACACAAAGTCAGCTTTCTCCAAGAAACCAGAGAAGCACATGATCCCCGCCACACCTCTCCAGGGGCCTCCCTCCTGATCTGAGATCCTCGGTATATCCCATGGCCTCTCTGAGCCAAGGTGTAGCTGAGTTGTGTGGGGTTTTTGTTTGTTTGTTTGTTTAACCACTGTGTAAGAACTCACTACTTGGGCCCCAATTCTGGACAAATTCCAGATTGACAGTGTGAGGGAGAGGTGGTAGCAGAACTGGACACCCCCACAACCTTGTTGCTTTGAAGGAAAGAAGGAGGGCAGAAACAGGAGGGGATCCAGCCAATCCAAGGCATTTGGCCCGAAATGGATGTGAAGACCTCACCCAGGCTGCCCCTCTGGGCTGGCACAGGAGGGCAGGGGAGGGCCTTCCCTAAAGGAAGCCTGCAGGTGAATCCCAGCGCCCGCCTGATGTAAGGTGGCAACTGGCCAGCAGCCAGAGGTGCCAGGTGTTCTCAGGGATCAAGAAACCAGGAATTAGGCCCACCAGAGCCATAGGGTCTGACCCGAGCCTGGTGGCTGGGAATGAGAATGCATCTGTGCATGGTCCTGAGTCTCACAGCCATCCAGGGTCCAGACCTCTGAGGAACTCCAGGACCCAACAGAGGGTCTGGTTTAAAGCAGAACAGGAGACTAGGTTGTCTTGCTGAGACAGAAACATGGCTAAAAAGTCCTCTTTGATCCTGGGAGCTGAGATAAGGCCTAGCAGGCCAGAGTCCCCCGTTTGCTCCAAACAGGCCTGGTGTGGCCAAGCTGCCCCCTGCACTGAGGCCAAGTTACAAGCCTGTCTGTGTCTCGGCCCCCTGGGGCCCCACCCTTCGAAACTGCAGGTGGCCTCCAGGGCATAGGTGGGGCAAACCCTACCCTGTTGGGGCCCTGGGGCCTGTAGCGGCAGAGCCATGTTGCCAGGGGTGTTGGAAGGTGTGTGTGCTGGGGGAAGGGAGGAGAGCTGAAGGCAGGGCAGCACAGCAGCTGCAGCTTTTGCCGCCTTCCCTCAGCATCCACAAGTGCTTGCTTGGCATAAGGTGCTCGGGCCCTGCCCCTTGCTAGCTCTCCCCAGCTTCTTGTGCAGGCCTCCGTGTTCTTCTCTCAGGCAGCCTGATATGGAACCAACCTGGATTCTGGGCACAGATAGATGATGTGGGTTGGAACCAAGGCTCCATACTGATTAGGTGGTGAGAGTTGGTTTCCTGGTCTGTGAACAAGGGCCGTGGTGGGGTGCCAGTGCCGTGGTACACACGTGGTGCTTGGCATAGCACCCAGCACAAAGTGAGCACTCGAGGCCTGTGTTGCCATTATCCAGCCACACTTTGAGGTCTTTTCCAGTTCTGCTCATTTGTGAGCTTGTGGGATCATCTCCTTGGGTGAGGAATGGTGGGCTGGACGTCTGCCTCCCCTCTTTCATTCAGTCCCCATGTCCTTGCTCCATAGCCTCCAGTATCTCCCCAGCTGAAGTTTCACTCAGCAGACTCTGCAGGCTTGTGTCTTACCACTGAGCCAGCAGAGGTGGACTTCTGTAACTCCTTACCCTGAGAAAACCAGCATAAATGGGTCTCTTGAGAGCTGCCTGGAGCTAGGAAAACTATGCGGCCAGCCAGCTATACCCTTCTGAGGCCTTAGACTTGGCCCCACAAGGGAGCTCCGGATGATAAAGCCAAGCTCCACCCTGCCAAGTACTTTCACCCCTGGAAAAGGAGGGCACCAGCTTCCCCTTCTCCCACCCCAGGCCTCCTTCCTCTGTGACAGCCAGCAGAACTGGGGAAAGGTTAGTGCTGAGTTCTGATGAATTGGAAGATCAGTTGTGCCCAAGTTAAGGAACAGCATTACATCTGACAGAGACAAAAGCTTTCTATAGGGTCACTATATTAGCCCTGGGTGCTCCAACAGGACTGCCTGGAGGACATCTGTACCCCCTTTCCCCTCCAAGTATAAGGGCAGAGTTTTGGATCTGTACACAGTGTGAAAGATCAAGTGGTCCCAGAGAATGACAACCTGGCTGTTTCCCAGCCCCACCAACCAGGAGACATCACTCCTAGAGAAAAAAACTCCACTTCCCAGGGCTACCCCAGGATTTCAGTTCCCACTTTGGCAGGCCCCACTGGAGACTTCCAGAAAAATCAGAGAAAGCTCTTTCCTTTGGAGTTGTAATGGTCACAACACCCTGCACACAGTGCACTGAGAGATGTTGAAAGCTGACACACCAAGAAGGGATGGTTTGCCTATTAGCTTCTAGCTTTCTTCCTATTGCCAAGTGAGCTGAATGAATAAACCAGCCCAATGAAAGTGACCAGCCAGCTATACCCTTTTGGAGTTAAGGCAAGGAAACCCATGACTAACCACAAATGCCCGCAAATGTCTGTAAACTTGGCCCAACATGAGAAATCTAGCTGGTGTGGCTGAGCACCACTTTTGTCAGTTTACCCCAGTGGAAAGTGGTCCTTGATGACAGTTATCTCATCACAACCCCAGCAAAACAGATCTTTCAACAACCTCCTAGCTCCCTCAACCTAGAACTTCCACCATTAGTGCTTATACTGAAACTCTTGAGAATGACCCACAGAAGCACTGTCAGGTCCTTAGAATGATCTAATTATTAAGCACAAACTTGGTTCAGATCTTACTAATACTGCTCCGTTTCAGGCACTGTTTGGCTAATGACTCGGTAGTGTCAGCTGCCATCACCTTTAGGTGAGCTGTCAGACCTTATTTAGTTTCTTTTCCTAGGAAAAGGCTGAAGTCTTGGTAGGATGTGATGGGACAGCTCTCCATCCTGAAAGGTCTGGCTCTATCCCACACTACTCCAGGCTTGGTCCCTAGGACCCAGCTCCATTGTGATGGGGGCCAGGGGAGAGTTTTGAGGTCCCTCCCTGGAGATTCCAAGCAATTGCTACCAATCATTTAGGACTCCTGGGATCAGAGGGGATGGGGAAATTGAGGACTACATCTTGGTTGTGGAGATTGGAAGCTGATGGACATAATTCCTCTCTCTTTTTGGTAATTTACAAGCAATTAACTTTGCTTTTAGAACTTGAGAGATTTCCACAGCTGCCTAAGACTTCACATACTCACTGCCTACCCTCCATCAGGGATTAGATTGAAGGGCAGGAGAAAAAGAAGTCAGAGCTGCTGCTTGTTCTGGGTGGTATCACTTTCCTCCCGTCAGTCCACTCTACCTTGCTCTGCACCACCTGCCATCACCCACTAGGAGAACCCAGATGGAAGCCACAGGTGGCTAGCCACCTCAATCCAAATCTTAAAAAGGGCTGGTCCCTGAAGGAGCTGGAAAAGTCCATCCTGTCTATTCCTCTGTTCCCAGGTGAAGCTATTCTTGAGAAATCCAAGTGGAGCTTCCAAGTAGAACTTCTTTTTTTTTTTTTTTTTTGAGACAGAGTCTCGCTCTGTTGCCCAGGCTAGAGTGCAGTGGCGTGATCTCAGCTCACTGCAACCTCCACCTCCTGGGTTCAAGTGATTGGCCTGCCTCAGCCTCCCTAGTAGCTGGAATTACAGGCATGCACCACCACGCCTGGTTAGTTTTTTTTTAGTAGAGACAGGGTTTCACCATGTTGCCCAGCCTGGTTTTGAACTCCTGAACTCAGGCAATCCACCTGCCTCGGCCTCCCAAAGTGCCAAGATTACAAGTGTGAGCCACCGCGCTCGGCCCAAGGGGAGCTTCTGACAAGCAGGGCCTGGGATAGGGGCCTGTCCAGGCATCCACATATAGAATATTTACCCAGCAGGAGTCCCCCTGCCACTCACACAGCATCTCCAAGATCAGGGACCAGTACTTCCTGAGCTTGACAGAGAATGAATGTGTCAGACTGACCTCTGCCCATTTTGTAGTTTTCTCATCATTTTCTCACTCAGTCTTCCCTTTTCAAGGGCCCACACTCTTCCCGAGGGCTGGGCCTAGTGAGCGGGGTCACAGTACATATGGTTTCTGGGACTGAGAAGGTGGAAGATGTGTCCATAGAGCTTTTGTTTCCTAAGCAACGTATTACTGCCATGATTCCATTCCCTAGATGATGCTGGTGATGCAAGCTGGCTTCTCTTGGCCAGCCTACCTACTGCTGGGTAGTGTTTATGCCCCATGGCCAGACACTGAAGAGGGAGACAGGAAAAGCACATATCCACACCTTCCACCCTCAGACATTCCTGTAACTTGAGCTTATCTAAGGGGGCATTGTCATATGTCAGGGGTTCCCAAACTACGGTCTTCAGAAACACTGTTTACCCTCCATAGAGGTTGTGTGCATCAGCCCAGGCAGAATCCTGCTTCATGAAGGTGTTTTCCTAATGCATGTGTGCATGGACCTGTCTCATGCTACACTGCAGGGCTGGTATTCAGCACCAATAGTTATTGTTGGCTGCTAAAATAGCAAACTACTCAAAATGGCAGGTAAATAGCCCCAAGCCCCTATCCCCAGTGTCCTCCCACTACTCAAACCCCTCTCCCTCAGATCTGCCCCCAGTCCAGTATCTACCTGCACTGTTCAATATGGTAACCACTGACCACATGTGACTATTTACATACAGTTTATTAAATGCAATTAAAAGTTCAATTCCTTATTGCACTGGCCACATTTCAAGTGCTTAGCTGGCACATGTGGCTAGTGCCAGTGCCTACTGTATTGAACGGTACAGACAGAGCATTTCATCACTCTAGAAACTGGATGGCAAGTGCTACCCAGCACAGCAGCCGTGAGGACCTTTCTTGGGCTGCTGACTGTTCTGTCTGTGACTGTGTCATATCAACTGACTTTTTGGAGCAGCATCTGTGTGTTAGCAGGACACATCACCTATGGCACATGCCTCAAAACTTAACACTCCTTGGGCCCCAGGAGCCCAGAATCAACTGACAGCCCTGGTGATAGTCAAGGACAGGTGACTATGTTTATATAAGCATGTTCCTATGACAGGAATGTCCCCTCCTTCTGCCATTGTCTATGTGAACATAAACAAAAGGATTTTTTTTTTTTTGAGACAAAGTCTCACTCTTGTCACCCAGGCTGGAGTGCAGTGGCACAGTCTCAGCTCACTGCAACCTCCATCTCCCGGGTTCAAGTGATTCTTGTGCTTCAGCCTCCACAGTAGCTGGGATTACAGGCGCCCGCCACCAGGCCCGGCTAATTTTTTTTTTTTTTTTTGAGACGGAGTCTCGCTCTGTCGCCCAGGCTGTAGTGCAGTGGTGCAATCTCGGCTCACTGCAAGCTCTGCCTCCGGGGTTCATGCCATTCTCCTGCCTCAGCCTCCCGAGTAGCTGGGACTACAGGCACCCGCCACTAGGCCCGGCTAATTTTTTATATTTTTAGTAGAGACGGGGTTTCACCGTGTTAGCCAGGATGGTCTTGATCTCCTGACCTCGTGATCCGCCCGCCTCTGCCTCCCAAAGTGCTGGGATTACAGGCGTGAGCCACCGTGCCCGGCCTAATTTTTGTATTTTTAGTAGAGATGAGGTTTCACCATGTTGGCCAGGCTGGTCTCAAACTCCTGACCTCAGGTGATCTGCCCACCTTGGCCTCCCAAAGTGCCAGGATTACAGGCATAAGCCACCATGCCCGGCCAAATGAAAGGTTTTTTTTTTTTTTTTTTTTTTTGGTGCCCGGGCTGGAGTGCAATGGCATGTTCTCGGCTCACTGCAACCTCCACCTCCCAGGTTCAAGCGATTCTCTTGCCTCAGCCTCCTGAGTAGCTGGGATTACAAGCACCCGCAACCACGCCCAGCTAATTTTTGCATTTTTAGTAGAAATGGAGTTTCACCAGGCTGGTCTCGAACTCCTGACCTCAGGTGATCCACCCATCTCGGCCTCCCAAAGTGCTGGGATTACAGGTGTGAGCCACCGCGCCTGGCCGAAAGGATTTTATAATAGATGCATGTCCCTGTTCACCCCAAAGTCAAGTTCAGGCGGGATGCCAATAATAAGTCCATCAGTGTTTCCATAAAAAGTAAAATCATCTACAAGTTAAATTTCTCTCTAAAAAGGCCACACCCCTTATAAACAATTTACTTTTTATAAAAAGACAAATGTACATATTTACACACGTCCTTATGTGTTCACACATGACTTAATGGTTAGATGACATTTCCAATTTTAAGTCATACCAAGGCGCTCACACTTCCCTCCCTGGGCCTGTTGAGGGCTGCTGGGGCTTGAGGGGGTGGTGGGCGCCGAGCAAGGCACTGTATAAATAAATGCAAAGGCCAAGAGCTCGGGGGAAATGTTAGTGTACACCTCTGATCAGAAATGTGGCAAGATCCACACGAAAAAGTGCCAAGTTTTTTTCCCAAGCCCCTCAGCCAAAGCAGGGAGCAGGGTAGAGCTCCTCTGAGGCTGAGGGAGCATCGCCCCGAAGGACCCCACTTTCCTTCACATTTCACTGGCTTTGGAACAGTCCCCAGGGCTCAGCTGAAAAGGGGGTAGTTCTTTGGGAACGAGATTCATTTAGTGCAATTTTCTCTTAGTGCAGAGCCAGCCCTGGGATTGGTGTTATGCTTTTCTGGGGTCACTGGTCTGTTCCCCTAGGAGCCAGCCAGTGACAGCGAGACCCTCTCCAGGCAGCTGGGCTCAGAGGAAAAAGCCAGACACTGACTCCTGTCCAAGTCCCTGACCTGATACACTGGTCTCAGAACCTCATCTTCCCAGGAGGCAGGGCCAGCTTTACACCACAAGAAAAACCCAGACACTGGCCTGCCAGGCCCTGAGAGGTCAATGACCCAAGGAGGGAGGCCCCATCCCCACTTGGCAGTGGGGTCACACTTGGCTGTTGAGGGGCCCACAGAAGTCCAGCTTCTCTGCACCATATCCACCATGATGCCAGGTCCTGCTTGCCTAGAGGAATAAGAGGGGCCCAGGGGCCCTGCTACGGTGCACAGGGAATGGCCTGGATGGAGGGCAACCGGACTGGGGTCAGCAGGCTGTCCAGCCAGGTGGCATCCATGTTCTTCAGATCTGTGAAGACACGCTGTAGACTCAGCCCAATATCCCCTAGAAGATGTGAAGAAGGTTGTATGAGGGTAGGGGACGGTGGCATCAGGTGTGCTTCCCCCTACCCCTGAAGGCCATAGACATGGCCTCTGCTCTTCCCAGCACAGCAGTAAACATCCACTCAGCTTCAGGCAAACCTTAAGGCATGGCAGCCGTAGCTAATTCACAATGTGTCAGTACCCCAGATGCTTTACCGCCCTGCTCCCTGGCCCTGCCCCCAAGCTTTCTCCATCCCTACGTGGTTCTCCCTCATCTAAGAAGCCATAAGGATCCAGGGCCTTCTTACCCCCTGGGCTGTCAATTTCTGGCTCCTCCTTACAGCTAAAGTCTCCATAGACAGAGGTGGGCTGGACTCCAGGTTCATTGAGTAGGTACCCCTTCCCATCCACGTTTGTTGGCTGCCACTCCGACTGCTCCAAGAGCTGGGGACAGAAGAGCAAGAGGCTATCAACTCCCTTCCAGTGCAGACTCACCCTGTGGCCCTGCCCTCAATGAGCCAGCTCCTCTCAGCCAGTATCACACCCTTGGCCATTTTCACAATCTCAGATAGGATGCAGAAGTGCACTGCAGTCAGGACAAGGGCCCGGGAGGGAGGAGGCAGAAATGCATGTTGGCACTGGTCCTCAATTCATTTTCCCACCCCTCTCACACCCACTCTCTGGTATAGCATCTCCACGACTTCCCTCTCAACTGTGTAAGGACATAGTAAGAGGGAATGTGGCTTAAAACAAAGGTTAGCATAATAAATCAAGAAAAGATGACTAGAAAAGCTAGAGATAAGGAACGACATCCATGTCTCAATTTTTTGGGCTAATGGAACAGCTGGCGTACAACTACTGCAAAAACTTTTTTTTGAAATGGAGTTTTGCTCTTGTTGCCCAGGCTGGAGTGCAATGACACAATCTCAGCTCACTGCAACCTCCGCCTCTCAGGTTCAAGCGATTCTCCTGCCTCAGCCTTCAGAGTAGCTGGGATTACAGGCATGCGCCACCAGGCCCAGCTAATTTTTATATTTTTGGTAGAGATGGGTTTCACCATGTTAGTCAGGCTGGTCTCAAACTCCTGACCTCAGGTGATCCACCCACCTTCGCCTTCCAAAGTGCTGGGATTACAGGCATGAGCCACTGCCCCCGGCTGCAAAAACTATATTCACTTTCAAAACTGAAGCAGAAAAAAAAACCTGGAGGATAATTTGCTAACTTTTTCTATAAAGCCATCATCATATTAACGGATCCTAAAGGCTGATTATTGAAGCCTGATGTGCATTTCCCGAACTAGCAGGGCTGGGGCATGTTGGGGCAGAGGATGCAGGCCAGGGACCCATCGCTGATAGTGCCTGACTCACAGAGCTGTCTGATGCCCCAAGGCTTGCTTCAGGACGGCCTGTCAGAGGCCAGGCCTCCCACCTGCCTTCCCTTCCCATGGTGGCTTTCCCACCAGTCAAGCCACGTGAATGTGGCACTTGTGGGACAATGCAAGCAGCCAGGTGACAACAGCAGCTACCCATCCTCTGATTTGGAAGCTTCACTGGTTCTCTCTCCTCACTGAGAAACGGTCACTTCAAGAGTGCCCAGGTAGGAAGGGGCTTTACCTTCATGATGTCCTCAGGTAATTTCCCTTCCTCATCCTCATCTGTTGTAGCTGTGGATGGGGAAAGCAGAGAGGTTGGCTGGCAGTCAGCCACACTCACCCTGCAGTTCCAGTTCCAGCCCACCAGATCCCCCTGCCCTTTCTCTGTCTCTCTGTCTCTCTGACACACACACACACACACACACCCTCCCGGTGGACCTATCTGCCATAGAGATTCCAGAACAGGACCCTGGCCTGGTGACTCAGCCTCTCAAACCCTGAAGCCACGCCGCTTCCCACCCCTACCCTACTTCCTTCCTCACCCTCAGATGCTGGGCTACAGAGGAGGAAGGAGAACCAGCACCCCAAAATGCAGCCCCTGGCCCCCTTCCCTCCTCTCACCAGCCCCCACTGTACTGCAGCCCACTCTGAACTGCCTTCCTAGTGTCCCCGTCGCTTGCCTCCCCCTATGGTGGCTAAGACTGGGCAATGCCCAACTCAATCAATTCAGTGCCAGGTGGAGTTCTGATCATCTTTTCTCTCTCAGGAAGCCCTTCACAGGACCCAGACAGTCAAGCAGGCAGGCCAGGCCCCAGGAGCACCAACCTTCAGAGGTGGAGGGCATGGGTGACACCTGGAAGTTGTACAGATCACTGGTGCTGTCCGGCACAACTTCCACTGGGATGTGCCAGTCGGGGAGAGTGCTGCTGACAGCACATGGCGACAGTGCTGGGGAACAGCAGAAGCCACAGGTCAAGGTTGTGTGCTTTCTTAGTTTGCAAGACATCGAGCGCCCTCCGACCAACCCTGCAGCCTGCACTAATGGGCCACCATGTGCCAGCACCATGCCTCCAAGAGAAAGAGTCATCCCACTGACCTGTGGGGTCTCCTGCCAGACCTGGACCAGCTCACCTGGAGTCAGGGCCTGCTCCACCTCCAAGTCCTGCATGTAGCCTGGAACTGTGTAGCTGCTGTGGTCATCAGGCAGAGTGGAGCTGCTGAGTCCATCAGAGAAGGTATCAGGGCTGGAATCCCCACATGACTGTCGAGGGAGAAAGCAGCTTAGGCCCAGGCCCACCTTAGCATTTCTTCCACTGCTCACCCTGGCCCACAGGTGACCAAAGGCCTGGCTGCTTAGGACCACACTCACCTTCCTCTTGGCCTTGCTCTTAGCATCTCGGCTGGACTTCGACTTTCTTTCTGTGGGGCAGACGGGCTGTCAGCCTTGGTGCAGGCTCTCCAGCCCCAGCTGACCTCCTTCTACCCTCCCTCCCTGAGGGCTTCCCAAGGACCCAGAGTCCTTGGATACCTTTTCTCTGGTTCTTGGTGAGAGGTGGAAGCATCCGGTACACTCGCACAGCTGAGCTGCCCTTGTTCCTGCTCTGGTCTTTCACCTCCTCGATATCTGGCAGGGAGTTCATGGCACAGCGAAAGTTGGCCTTCCACGTCTTGGGATCTGGCTCCTTTTCCCCTGCTTTGTATCGGCCTAGAGGGCAGGAGAAAAAAGAGGATCGTCAGGGCCATGGGTAGGGATCCTCAGCTGCCCCTGGCCTGAAGGAGGAAGGCAAGGTACCCCTGACCTCTTATGCTACCAGAGAGCCACAGTGGTCAAACCAGCAGGTACTCCCGGTGACACTCTGCAGGTCCTAGGCCCTGGGCCTTCTCAAATGCCCAGGCTTGGCTTAAACACATCTAGCGGGCCTCAGTGAAGGGCCCAGCCAGAAGCACTAGAGTCCCCATATCCCCAAAGTGTACTATCTGTGTCTCAGACTATGCCCAGTCTTCCTCCTTGGGCTATCAGCAGCCAGAGGGTAGAGTGGGCACAGACTGGGCAGCAGAGAACAGTTACTAAATGGGTGGGCTGACTGTTCTGAGATGGGCCTAGAGCTCCATCTCTCAAGGATAAAGGAGGCCACCAACCACATGAGGCTTGGACCAAGGGCCTTGGTCAACACGAAGAAAAAGGCAGACCTGGGTCTCTTTCAGTGCCCTGGCTTACAGCTGCTTTTCACAGATGCTTTTGCCAGGGAGAACTTTCATCTAGCCACAAACCCCCTGAAGCCACACACTTTCTAAGATCTTGGCTTTTCCCTTTGAGAATTTGCTGAGATGATCGACTCTCTTCTCCAGAAACACAAGTCTGCCACCAGCCCCTCTTCCCAGTAATTCTGCATGTTGTCTCAGGGAGCTCAGGGACCCCAGTGAAGAGCCTCTGTGTTAACGTGAGTGCCTCCTCTTGTCTCTACCCTGGGCTTCCTAGGCCTGAGTCCCAGGCACACACCTGTGTGAATGGCCCAGCTCCGGAACAAACAGGCATCCTTGTTGATGTCCCAGCCATGCTTGGCAGCATGCTTCCATGGGATCTGGAAGATCATCTCCTCCTGAACAATACACACATACACATAAGGCTGTGTCAGGTCAGAGACCACAGACTTTGGGGCTGAGTCTGAGACCCAGGCCTGCCCAGCCAGACAGGTCTGAGAAAAGGCTGACTTCCCCTTTTTTCCCCTGACATCTGGCTTGGACACCCATCTTGAGGCTGGCTTAAACAGACCACTCTGGATCTCTCAGGAGGGACACCTAGTTTGGATGAGCTGCAGCATTATTAGCTCACAAAGACCTCCCTCTGCCTGTTACACATGTGCTAGGACCCACACAGGGCACCCTCCCCCAAAGCCCTGGTTTTGAAGCTCTGGGATGTTTCTCTCTGGCTTGTAAGCACCCACATGGAAGTAAGAACTTCTTCCATTAGAAAGGACTCCTCAGGACACCTGGGAGCATGGGCTCTTACACAGGGGGTCCTGGTCATACCACTGAGGGAGCTCTGGGCTAGACTTGGATGGTGAACACTGTGTAACCCTGGCATTGTCACTGTATCTCTTTGCCCCTCAGTTTTCTCTTCTCGGAAATGAGAAAACATATCCAACAAAATTTTGAGGATTAAAAACCAGAGGATGTGTAGGGACACAGTGACAAATATGAAGTCTAAGGTCTTACTGTTATTATATCACTTATGGTTAACAGTAAAGATTTCTGAGTCAGACCGTTCAAGTTCAAATCTTGGCTTCATCACTTTTTGTGTGATCTTATGATCTACCTCTCAGTGCCTCTGTTTACTTATCTGAAAATGATGACATTAGTAAGATCTAACCCACAGGACTACTGCGAGGATTAAATGACACAATGTAAATAACATACTTAGCAGGTGCCAGGCACACAGGGAGTGTTCAGTAAGCATTAGCTATTATTATGAATACTATCATTGCTACTAAGTCTATAGGGTCTATGTTGCCCCAAGTGCACCAGCTATAGGCTTCTTGGGCCAGAGTGACTGGTGCAAGATTAACTCGTTTGTCCTCTGCTAAGCCAGGCACGTTTCTGCCCAGCAGCATCCACTTCTCAGTCTTCTATTTGTTCGATTGGAGCCCTGCAGAGTGCTGTGTATGTTTGTAAGGGTCTCGCTTAGAGGAGAGCAGAACTCCAGCTCTGCAGATGCTGGAAAGTCTTGCTGCTGGAAACTGGAAGTGCCTTCAGGTGGGTGCCCTACCTCAAGAAGGGAAGAAGGCAGGAGTCATGCAAGTGAGGCCCAGGCTGGGCCGTGCACACTCCCTGCATGCAGGACCCACTGGGAGAAACACCTGCTTGTCCCGTTATCACTTCCCTTTTTGAGCTGCATCTGAAGCTTTGGTCCCTCCAGAAGTACATGGGTTAAAACAGTGGCAGGAAAACCCAAAGAGTTACACTCACTTTATTAATCCAGATGAGCCCCGGGATTTGGTTGGAATTAATCTGCATCTCTAGCCAGGGTCTCATGCGCATCCGAGTGATGGGCATGTTGGCTGTAAAGAGAACACAGAGGCTCCAGTCTGGAATCTGTTGAACAGTACCTGGGCAGTGACCTGCCCCACCCGAGGTCACTTAGTTACCCTCCCCTCACCTCAGCCAGCTGCTAGGTACTACACTCAGTGCGGAGGGGAGCTGCGCTGGAATAAAACTGCTCTCCAAATTTTTTCAGCATCTTAGGCAAAAATGCTTTTGCCCCTTCCTTCAGCCCCTCCCAGCCAGTCTCTGGAGGAGACAGGCATGCAAGTGATGGCTTCAGGATTCATATGCAGGAAAAGAGACAAAATGCACAGATACCCTAATTTCAGAACTTTTCGCTCAAAATTCAAATCCTTTGGGAAGGGAGGGACTTCTTTTGCTTGATGCCAAGAAGAAATTCCCTTGACTTGAGTTGTAACCACTAGCTAGCAAAGGGCTAGCCGTCACCCTGAACAGCCCCCTCCCGCCCCCCTGAATCCATTCTACGCCTTCCTGACAGCCACAGCGCCCACAACGCTAAGACCAGGACGCTAACCCTTCCGGCCCGGTTTCCCCTCCTCTGGAGAAGTGGCCCAAGGAACACCTGTGGCGCCTCTTCCCGCAGTCTCCGTAGGTCACGATTCCCTCCAGCCACCTGGGCAGTAAGCCAGCCCTTGCCACCAGCACAGGGAGCCCAAAACCTGTCGCCTGGGCGCGGAGCTGGGACCGCCGAAAGCCGGGAGCACTGGGCGCCCACGCGTGGGCTGACACTCGGTCCCCGGCACGGCGTGTGGATGCGCGGGACGAACATAGCGGGCCACCTACAGGCCCCTGGCGGCTGCGCGCACGCAGATCTGCGAAAGCTGCCGGGCGCCGGCAGCCTCGTCCGGGTGGGCGGTCCACGCCGCGTCCCGCCCTCCCCGCGCCGCGGCCCGCGGCTCGCAGCTCCTCCGGCGCCCCCCGGAGCCCGCGCGGAGGCCCGGGCAACGCCGCGCGCCGGCGAGTCTCCAGCCTGGAGCTTTCGACCCCCCACTTCCTGGTGCCCCGCGCGCCTTTTATTCGACGCCGCCGGTGCCCCGCGCCTCAAAGGCGTACTCACCTCTGCTGCAGGAGCGATTCGGCGGTCGCGCGCGAGGGTCCCGGCGACGCAGGGGCTGCAGTGAGGGCGCGCGGAGCGCGACTCCGAGTGGAAGAGGGAAGAAGGCAGAGGTTGCCGGGTTCTTAAGGCCGCCGGGCACGGCCGGCGTGGACTGGGCACGGCTCCGGGTGGCCTCGGTTCGGCGGGGCTCGGGCGCACGTCTTGCCTCGACTAAGGAGTGGCGAGCTCTGCCAGGGCAGCGGCGCCACCGAGCAATCCAAACACTTAGCGGGATTCCCCAGCCCTGGCCGGCCCCGCCCCCGGACAGCCGCGCGGGCGCCCATTGGCCGGCTGCGTGCCGTCATTTCGGGGAAATCAGGCTGTTGTAGAGCTAGCGGCGAAGGGGAAGTACAGGGCGGCTGCTCCGCCCCACCCTCTCCGGCCGGGCGCCACCGCCCCGGGGCCACCGCGGGCCCGCCCCGAGCGCTCCCAATCCACCCCTGCTCCGGCTTGCCCGGAGGAGGGCTGCCCGGGACAGCCCAGCGCCCCTGGCCCCAGCCTGTCCTCTCACTCCGCCTTGTCCCAGCCGGCTGGCTCCTGGGGCCATCTTTTCACCCTCCTGGCGGGGCGGGGGCGGGGGTATATCTCCCGAACGCAGGTGAGGGGATCGCCCGGGCACTTGCCGCCCTCTCCAGTGGGAACACTGGGCCGAATCTCCCGACTGGCAGCCTGGCTCCTCAAGCTTGCCAGTGGGATATCAAGAAGGGAGGGTTTCAGTCCTAGCACTACCCCTGTTTTTAGGGGTGACCCCCTCCCTCCAGGTCACTCACCTGCCCTGGGGAAGTGAAGAAGGCAGAAAGCCTACCCTGCCCCGTGTGCTGTCTGGGGCTGCTGGACCAGGGGAAATCCCAACTTGGCCGCTGCTGGCACAGCCCCCAAGGGACGCAGGACCTCTGTTTTTCAACCATAAAATAATAGTAGCCCTACCTTGATGGTTTGCTGTGATGGGAAGAGATTGTAAAGCACTATGCTCCACTCGGGCAACAGACGCTGAGTAGTTTTCAAGGTCGCCGTTGCAGGGTCTAATAGTGACCAGGATGACACCCCACCCCTTTTCGGTCTGCCTCCCTGGGACTCCCCCTGGCTGGCTTTAGGGAACAGAGGAGGAGAAGGGGTTCAGAGAAGCCCAGACGGCTGAGTGAGGGTAGGGGTGGGCTAGCTCTGATCCCTCCTAGCACTCTTGCCTCAGGCCGCCTCCAGAGCCTCCCTGTGGCCCGCGTATGGGAGTTCCGCAATGGAAGCATTGCTGTCATCTCTGAGTCCCCAGGGCTTGGCCCAGAGAGGTTCTGGGCAGCATGGAGGAATTAGCTCAGGGCTGATCAACGCCATGGGGCTAGCCAAAGGGTTGGGGAGCCCAGGTCCCATGCTCCTTGGTAAGGCCCCTACTTAACTCTCGCGCACAACTAGTCCCCGCCCCACGTATAGTCCTAGAGACTTGACTGGGTGTTCATTTTCCATCCAAAACTCTGGCCCAGGAGGCTTCTTCCTTCATCTCCCTAAAGCTCCTGCAGAAGTAAGTTACTCTCCCAGGCGTGTCATTTCCTTCACCCCAGCTCTCCCTCCAGGGCAGCACCCCATTTTGCAGGCTATAAATAGACACACCCATGCAACATTCGACTTGCCAGTCACTCTACCTCCCTCCCGTAGAGGAAATGCATGGGTTAATCCCATTCTGGCGCATTGCAATCTGAGTGCTGTGACCAATGCCAAACCTGGTTCCCAGGATACCAGCAGGAATGGGCAAAACTGTCTACCAGATAGAGGTGGGTCAGGAGCTAGGAGAGGAAAGGAGGTAGGAGAAACTGAGGAAGGAACCTAACTGAGTGTTAAGCAAAGTGGAGGGCAATGACACTCTGGAATGGAAAGGTGGGTTTTGGGGTACTTTAAGTGACAAATGGAAGTGGGGACTTGCTACAGGGACCAAGACCTTCTGAGCAAGAATAAGAGAAAACAAGTGACCCCTGAGTCGTGGGATCCTTTCTTGGTACAGCAAATAGATGCTTGTCCTTCCCCTGAGAACCTGACACATCCACTGGAAAATTCAGGATGAGATTAGGGAAAGGAAGTTTGCATCTTTGTGGTCTGATAAGTTGACCACAGTGACCCTGTGAAGGCAACAGGACACTATAAAAAATGCTTTAAAACAAAAACTTAATTTTAATTCACAGATACAGGTATAAATATACCCGTATATGCATATGTATATTTAGCCATAATGAGCATCTTTCCATGTCATGAAATGTACTTATGCAATGTCATTTGTAATAGGTATACATTATTCTTTCACAAGGATAAATAAAAATTTACCCAATTAATCCCCTATTGTAGGACAGTTAGGTTATTTCCATTTTTTCGTAATACAAACAACACTATTAGCTAAATCTTTGTGCATATCAATAATTTTTTGCTTAGGAGAAATTCCCCAGTTAGGATTTACCAATGAAACTGTCATTTACATTTACATCTTTGACCTTTTTTTTTTTTTTAACCTTAGGGATTCTTACTTTATTTTGAAGCCTGTAAGAATATGCTTATTATGACTAGGGGTGCTATACTCCAAATCAGTGAAATAAAGCTAAGCCATGTTTAAGTACCCAACATTTTTATTGTAATGGCTTTTGATGAATCACATTCTAAGATGTAGAACATTCTGTGATCCCCAGCAGAACACATAGGCTCCTGTAGGCTCTTATTAATTCGGAGCCAGCCCTTTTCTTTCCCACCTGGTCTTCTGGGTCTTCCTTCCCTGTATCGGGTTGTGATTTCATAGTCCAGGACCAGACTATTGTTGCCCCAACCTCCCCTTGGGCCTCCTTGCCTTGCCCAGGTAGATGGGGAAGATGGTGCCTCTGCACTGGAATGATCTCCCTAACTCGGATGATCTCCCTAACACTCGGGGCCACCCAGGAGCCTTCTGAGCTCCCCTACATTCAGCCCCACATTCAAATCTCTGCTCAGTCTTGTCCTGGGGTCCCATTCCAACCTTCTGTCCCTGACAGCTTCCCTACCCTTGGCAGTAGGGAAGATGAAACTAAAGGGGGATGAAAAGAGAACACAGGATTTGAGTCTGAAAGCCTGGGTTCTTATTGTGCTTTTTCCACTTGCTATGTGATCTTAGCAAGTTACTGTCCCTCTCTGGGGCTCAGTTTTCTCATCTGTAAAATAGAGATAATCTCTCTCCATCTCTCCTAATTGTAAAATTAGACTATCAAAATTATTTCCAAACTGTAAGACATAAGTCAAATGAAATGTATGAACAGGAACGCATGAACCTTTCACTGTATTTCCATTATCTGAACACACTGTGTTTGTCCCCTCATCCCTGTCTCCTCAGGATACTTGGCAACACTCACCCTCTCTCCATCTCTCTCTCCCTTGCCCACCCCACCACTTCAATCTCTGTGTCTTTTTTTAAGGCCCAGAGCATATGCCTGATCTCTTCAAAATGCCCGCAAAGCAACCAACCAGAAGTCCTTTCTTTTCCCTCCTTGGACCCTTTGGTCCTTAACTTTCCTATGTTTCCTTTTCACCACTGGTCACTTTCTACATGGTGGGAACAAACTCTGGGGAACAAACTCTACATTTTTTCTGTGAGAAAAAGAACTCTCCATGTTTTCTGTGAGAAATCTAAGCAGGTTCCTCATGCCCAGCAGCTGAAGCGAGCTAGGGGTTAGCTGAGGGTAGCCAGCACCCTGCACTGTGCAAGGTCTTCCTTACAGATGCCTCTCATCCATAGCCTCACTCAATGAGGGTGAATTCATTGTGTGGCCTCTCTGTATTGGGACCTGGATTTTTCTGTGCTGGCAAGAGGAGGCTAACTGGCTGGCAGGGGCTCCTTTGAAGTGACTTCTGCAATCAGGATGCTGAAGGCAAGATCATCTCACACACACATTCACACACCCTGTGGGAGCCTCTACCCTGACAGACAATTCTTGTCCCCAGTCCCCTCCCTCAGGCTCTCAAAACACTGTTCACCCCCTAAGTGGGCTGCAGTTAGTCCTGAAGCCCAGAAGCATGGCTCCCAACATGTCACCATGCACACACACATCAATGCACAGGGCCACACGGACCACACTAAGGTGATGCCGCCATCCTTGCACTCCCCCGAAGAGTGGCTACCATGGTAGGCACTCAGTAAATCCTAGTTAAGTTGATGTGTGACCCCTCTTCCTCTGGAGTTTAGTGTTCCTTCTATCTCAGATTATGAATTCTCTCAGATACAGACATTTCTTGGCAACCTGTGGTTAAATCCTCTGCTGATAGAGATGAGTGTGTGCTCAGAAATGAGAGTTTGTGAGAGCTGAGGTGCAGGTGCCAGTGAGGTTTAAACTAGGTGTTTTTTTGTTTTGTTTTTTTGAGACGGAGTCTCGCTCTGTCACCCAGGCTGGAGTGCAGTGACGTGATCTTGGCTCACTGCAACCTCTACCTCCAGGGGTTCAGCAATTCTCCTGCCTCAGCCTCCCAAGTAGCTGGGATTACAGGCACCCGCCACCATGCCCAGCTAATTTTTGTATTTTTGGTGGAGATGGAGTTTCACCACATTGGCCAGGCTGTTCTCCAACTCCTGACCTCAGGTGATCCACCGCCTCGGCCTCCCAAAGTGCTGAGATTATAGGCATGAGCCACGGCGCCCGACCTGAACTAGGTTTTCGACTGGGAGACCTGCTACCTGTGGAGCCTGCTACCCAGAGAGGGGGCCACGGTCCCCAAAGCAGACAAACTCCCCAGCATGCCTTCCAGGTTCCAGGTCCAGAAGTAGTAGGGCTCTCTGAAATGCTCAAAGCCTTCATCTCGATTTTCACAGAAACCTGGGAGGCAGGCAGTCCTAAACTGTGAATTGCAGAACACAAGCCAGAAATAAAAGCATCCAAAAGCTTGAAGGCAGAATCCAAGGGTCATCACCCTGCCTGCAAGGAGCCTAACTGGAGAGAAAGAAAGTCCCTTAATTCATTCAACACATATGAATCACGCAGGCCTGCTTTTTGGTGAACCCCAGGTTTGGTTCTGGAGATACACTGGGGCACCAGACCAGCCCCTCCCCTCTCAAAGGTTTGGCAAAATATGCTGTATGACACAGCAGAATAAACGTTGCACTGTTATAAAATTCCTAAATGCAGAATGTGGGGCTGAAGCTGGCTGGAAAATCACTAGGGGGTCATGATAGAATACTGAGCCAAGGAATTGCTCCAGTGCTCAGGGCTGTTCCGGAACCCCCTGAGAGCGGGGCGGGGTGACAGTGTGGGCTGCCGCTGATGGCCGCTGCGGAGCTTCATTTCTTATAAACACCGCCGTTGGGAGGAAAGAGAACTCAGCCCCCTGTCAGTCCCATGGGGCCCCGAGGCCGGGGGAGGCTCCTGGGCCAGGCCCAGCGGCCGCGACCTGGAGCGGGGCTTGATGGGATCAGCACTCTCCTCCCCCGCGCCAATGGGTGCTGCAGAACGGCCCACGCCCACTGCCGTTCGCCCGGGGCGCCCCTGGCAGGCTTCTCGGTCTTTGTGGGGGCTGCAGCACCTCCACTTCACCGTGATGTGGAGTCCTTCGCCCCCAGGTGACCCACGCTCCACAGCCCCGGCCAGAACTTGGTGGGGGACGCGGGGGGGGGGTGTTTGACGGGGAGGGGGCACAGTCCTTTCGGGCCAACTTCCACATTCCTGCTCCGCCCAGGCGGGGGGTGAGTCGGGGTGAGCAGCCGGCTCCAAGCTGGCCGGCTTCCTGGAAAGGGAGGGCCAGCAGGAGAACTGCAGATCCTCCCAGCCCTGGTGGCTGCCCGCCTCCTCCCTACCTATTCCTCCCCACCCCACTTCCACCCCTACCCCCAGCAAGCTGGCAGCCCCGCCCCTGCCAGGCGGCTCACCTGCCCGCGACCAAGGCACTTCCTCCTCCTTCCCCGCCCAGCCTCTTGCTATAGGCCATGGGTTTGCAGCCGGGTCAGCAGCTACAGGCTGTGTGACCTCAGGCAAGTTACTAAACTTCTCTGTGCCCATTATCTCACCCTGCGAGATGGAGCTAGCAACAATCGGGGTGCAGAGCTTTCCGCGAACACCTCTGCACTTCCCTGCTCCCCCCCCACCTTCCCCTTCCGCTCGGTTTCGCAGGGACATAGGGGATGCACAGAAAAGGCGCCCGCTTGTAAATTGCCGCAGGGGAAGGCCGCGTTGCGTCCCTTGCCGGGGCACTGCCATCCGTTGCAGCCTGAGACTTGGGATAGACCTGCGGCTCTCCCGTTGGAGGCGCGGGTGGTGCTGAGCGGCTGGACGGATGCTGCCCGCCGGGGTTCGGCGCGCAGGCACTCAGATGGCTCCCACCTCCGCCTGGGCCTTGCAGCTGGCGGTGGGGCGGGGCGCAGGGGCCGGGTAGGGGAGGGCTTGGGTCCGGCCATCCAGTGGGGGTCAGCCCCATCGCCGGGTTCCGCGGGGCCGCGCCGAAGGGGCGGAGCCTGGGTTTCGGTTTCTTGCAAACGCGGCGGCAACAGGGAAATCGAGGAGTTTCCGGGAACCGAACCACGCTGGGAGCGCTGAGGTCTGCGCAGCGGCGGGGGCCGGGGGACGGGCGGGCGTCCAGTGTTACCGGCCAGTGGCCAGCTGGAAGTTCCAGCGGGAGCCGGGGAAAACCGGCCCCGGAAAAGCCCCACCTGAATGCACCTGCCCAGGCCTCTCCGGATGGTGTTCATGCTGAGGGTGGGGGTGTGAAGGATGGACCTGCCTGCAGGGTGGCCTTTAGGGAATGAGGGAGGAGTTCTACAAGCTAAGGGGTTTGAGGGTGTGCACGCGGGGAAAGAGGGGACTGTGCGCAGGCAGGTGGGATCTGAGGAATTGGGATATCCCCTCAAATGACTGAGGTCCCCAGCTGTCCCCTCACTGTCACATCCCATCTTATTGTCCTTATACGATGAGGTCTCCTTACTGAGATCATATCCGTAGTGTCCTCTTTTGCTTATTTGTTGGAGGATTTCCCCGAACATGACTTGGAGCCCTTGAGAGTGAGCCCTGACTGTCTGGTCTAGTCTCCTGGATCTAGAACCCACCAACCTCCACGGGGGGCTTGTGACTGTTTACTAAGTGAGAAAAGGAGTAGGGTGAGTTCGAGGCATCTGTGAGGTCCATATGCCTTCTGACCTGCTCCCCCACAGGACCCCTAGCCCACTCAGGTCCTGCCATGTCCCCAGTTGAAGGAAGCCCCACTCTGCAGAAGATGCCTTGGCTTTTGTGGGAGGGGCTTCCCTTGTAGTTCCCTGAGAACTGCCTTCCAGCTGGGATGGCTGGGCAGAAGGCGGACTGTAGTCATCACAGAGGAATGCTGGCCGTGGGGTCAGCCACTTCCTTCCCTCCCCAGGGCTTGGAGCTCAGGCCAGGGATTATGGTGGGTTGGCCCTGGATCTGAGACAAGAAGGCTGGGAGTTTGGGTGGCAGAGGGAGAGTCCAGTACCCTCCCTGATCTCTGCAGCCCACAGCAGTACCTGGGGTCAAGGTGGACAGTGTCACTGGCAAGCCCATGTTTCCTAAATGCATGCCTTTGAGACCACAAGTCTATGGTAAGGATCTCTTTCCTTATGGCCCTGAGACCATGGCTCTTGGAAAGACATAAATCAGACTAAATGGAGCTCCCTCAGCCCAGAAGAGCTGGGGCTGGGGCAGGTATCAGTGGTGGCTATTCTGGAAGCAGCCAGCTAGCCAGTGGAAGGAGAGGCAGCAAGACCTCCCTAGCATCCCTGTATGGGCCAACACTGACTTTCACCAGCCCAGGCTTAGGATCAGGGTGGCTGGCCTGGGAGAGGGCCAGGGAAAGTCCAAATACTGCAAGAGTGGAGCTTGTGCCATGAGCGCCTGGCAACCCTGGTGACTCAACCTGGGAATCCCAACTCCAGGGGCAGCCCTGGAAATGAGGCTCAGGACAGTGAAGGAGTGCCACGGAGGGGCCCACCAACCGTGGCAGCTTTTAGTGAGGCCACAGATCAAATAGGTTGTTGTCCCTTCTTTCTCCTGTGGCCCAGGGTTAGAAACAGTGATGCTGGTCCTCTGCCCGGTCCAAATAGTATTTTTGATCCAGGGAATCCAACTCTAATCCTAGCCCATAAATTTGACCTGGCAGAGGACCTGGTCCTCAGAATGTCTGTGTTGGGCTCCATTTGATGTTACATCTTAGAAATGGTAGATGTAGCTCAAGCTAATAAATACCCACAGGAATGTGTCTTTGTGGTCTGGACTCAGCAAATGCTGAGTTATTGGTATATTTATGGAAGGAAAGCAGGGCAGAGACAGGAGAACAGGTGTCCCTGTGGGTGCTCGGCCCTGTTCACTGTTGTAGCCTCAGGAGCCAGCCTCAGCTGAGCAGAGAGCAGGTGCCCCATGAACCAGTGTGACATGGTTGGATGGATGGATGGATGGATGGATGGATGGATGGACGAACAGACAGATGGATAGATAGGAATATGGATGGTGGATTCAGATGGCCTCAGCAGCATGCACATTTTCCCCACGATGGTCTTTGCAATAAGACAATTTCCACAGAAACTGGTGGGTGCCCCAGAAGGAGGGGAGGAAGAATGTGGCTTCTCCAAGCAGCGCTGTGGTTGTTTCTGCCAGGTTCTATCTCTCCAAGGGGACCTCTGCTCCCTTTCCCATAGCCCTGTTGACATGTGTGGCCCCTCAAAGTCCTGCAGAGACTGGGAGCCTAGTGGCAAGGGCCACCCAGACACAGAACAGGGGAAAGGAGCTGTTAACATTAGCTGGCTGTTCCATTCCTCTCCTGGAAAGTAGGTCCACAAAGAAATTTAGGTAGGACCTCAGCCAGGTGTGAAAGATTCCAGTTTTTTTCTCTGCATGAGTAAGTCCTTGGGAAAGCATCTGTTGACCAATTGACTGATTGACTGGCAAGAGGAGCAAAGGGTCAGCAGAGACCCACCTGCCTGGATGGTGTGGGAGAAAGCATGACCGCCCTCCACCTTGACAGGTGACAAACCACAGTGAATGTGTCACCACATCAGATAGCCAGCATGAATTGCTGCACTGGGAGTGTTTAAAGGTCTGGGTGCATAATTGGGAGCAAAATGGACAAGGGTATGCTGGGAGCTCTAAGCCAGGAGGCCTCTGGTGGCTAGTCACCTCCAGGAAGCAAAAGCCGTTATTTCTTCCTTGAGAATCCCCGTGAATATTGGAGAGGGCTTCTCACAGCCCCATGGGCTGGGGCATGAGTGTGTTATGCTTTGCTTTTAGTGGAGGAGGTGACTCCAGAAGGCTAAAGATTTAGGGACAGCTGATGGTCCTGGAATGCTTCTCAGCCTTGGGCCTACGCTGGGCCCTGTGAGGGGACTTAGAAGTAAGCACCGTGGTCTCCACTACTAACCTGCATGTGAGCTCTCCAAGGACAGAGGATGCTCAGAACCACCCCCACACCCCCACTCTGGCACCCAGCACATTGCTCTCAGGCAGTAGGCACTTAGTAAGTGTGCTCTGATTGCAGTGCCAGACGTATGTCATACCTCGAGTAAGAGGCAAAGAGGCAGAGATGCTGGGAGTATGGAGACGGAGCAGGTTATCTCAGTCATTGTTCACAGATGGCTACTCTGAGGAGGGGACAGTTCAGCAAAGCCTCAAAGGATGAGTCAAAGGTTAATAGGCTAATAGTAGGGGAGGGCATTCCAGAACGTGAAAACAGCCCAAGGAAAGGCTTGGCAGCTCAGAAGTGCAGAACGGATCTCGCTTTTGGTGTGGCCTGGAGTAGCTGCCCCAGAAGCTGAGGCTGGACCAACCAGTAGGGGCCACACTCTGAAGAGCCTGGATGCTGTGCTCAAGAGTGGACTCTATCCTGGTAGACAGAGGCCGCTCAGGGCTGGACTGATGTTGCCTTCCTTTCTGGAGCCAAGGCCCAGACCAGGGTCTATCATCAGGTGTCTGTTGAATTAAATGCTAGGGCAGGTCTTGTGAGGGCCACTGGTGGCCTGACCTATGCTTTAGAAAACTTTCTGTGGCTGCTACAGAGGATTACGCCTGTGGCACACCAGGGCAAGACTAGGGTGAGATAGTTTCCTAAAGGCACAACATTTAAGGAGGTACTCGCTCTCAGGGGCCAACCCTATACTTGGGTGAGTCTGACGGTGAGTAGCTCCTTAAAGGTTTCACCCTAAGCACCTGCCCTGCCTGCTTGCTCCACCCTATCTGGTCCCTTCTGCACACTGGAGGCTGGGAGGTAGACTAGAGGCAGCTCAAGTGATCCAGGCATATTAGGGCTGTGGCCACAGGGGATAGAGATAGGCCTAGTTGAGAGCAGAATCAGATGACAGGATTTGCCAGGACATGAGACTGGCTGGAGCAGGACCCATCCCCCCTCCCTGGGTGCCCCATTCTGGGAGAAGTGTAGGAGACCCCCCACTCTGCCTAGGAGTCTATATGTCCACAGCCAGGGCCAAAACAAGATCTTAGGCCTTGGCTTCTGTCCTAGGTTATGAGTCTAGGGAACCAAGGACACTAAGCTAAAGAGAGTAGGGCAGCAGGTGAAAAAGCCACAGGCTGCCCCAGGAAGGCCCAGGCCACTGGAGACCACAGCTAGAACCTACAACCATGTCCCGAGACTGCTCGGCCTTGCCCTTTGGATGCTTGGGCACAGCAGGAAGGAAGTGATAAGGGTGCCTCCACTGCTGGATGGGGCGTGTCTGTCAGTCCATCTTCCCCCCGCTGTCTGCCCAGCAAGACCAGGGGCCACCCCCAGGTGCTCCCCAGGGGATTAGCAGCTTGGTTCCCCAGCCCACACCCCTAGAAGCTCTGACCCTATGGCAACAGCACCCCCTGCTGGCTAATATGGAAAACCAACCCCTTTCCCTCCTCTAGCAGGCGGAAGTTTAGGGGTCTTGGAGAAAGAGAAGGGTGCAGGCACAATGCTGCGGGAAAGGGTGGGGGCAGGAATTCAGGATGGACTTTGGCTATGGCAGATAAGCAGGTGCCACCTGGTAAACAGAGCACCTATTTCCTGATCAGTAGCCTTTGAACAGATGCCAGAGAGGCCAGGACACAAGCAAAGGCAGAAATGGGGGTTTCTAAGGTAACTGCTGAGCGAGGCTGGCTCTCGTGGGAGTCCCTGCCTTCTCCTACAGCATCATGGCCCAGGAAGGCCTGCATCCTCTGTTGAGCACTGTTCTCCTCAGGTGGGCTCAGGAACTCCCTCAGATTCCCCCTGAGCAAGCCACCTGGCCCCACAGAGGATTTGGCCTAGGACTGAAGGCTGAGAGCTAGGCCTGAGACAGGGTAGTGCCCCAGGCACCCCAAAAAGAGGATTTGTCCCTAAAATTCCTCCCGCAACTATCCAAGGCTAGGAATAGAGGCAGGGACACATCAGCAGAACAAAATCTCAGAGCGTCCCTGAGCAGCTGCCTGGCTCTTCAGATGCAAACCTGGTTAGACACACACTTCTCCTGAGCTCTAGGCCCATGGCTCAGGCACAAGGACCACCTCGGAGTGCTGGATGAGGTGCCCAGTGGACAGAGGAGTGAGAGGACCCAGTGTATGCCACTTTGACCCTTCAGCTGTGAGCCAGGAAGTCCAGGCAGACACAGCCACAAGCAGGGCCATGCCCTGGGCAGCCACTTCCCAGAAAAGTTTCTGCCGCAAAACAGAGAGAGTGGCCTTCCCTGCCCTGCATGACCCTGGCACCTGGAGTCCTCACCTCAGATAAGAAGCCAGTAGTTCTAGGAGTTTACTTACATCATGGCTCTTGATTACAGTGAAGACCGGGGCCTTGCCCTACCCCAGGGAAACTTCTCTCCCGGGCCAATGGTGTGGATGGCTGCTGTTCTCTTATGACTCAGTGTGGGCCTGGTGCTCAGGAGAGCTGCTCCTTCCCATGCCCTGGATGTGAGCTCAGCAGCCATCTTGATTCACCAGGACAATGTGAGCTCCACACACCACCCTCAGACCCTCACCTACCGGGCTCTCAGGGAGAGATGAGGCCTCCCGGAGAGTCCACAAAGAGAAAAAAGCGGCTTGGCTGCCAAAACTGCCCACGCACCCCAGATGCCATGCTCAGCTAGCAGCCCTGGTGCCACACAGCCTGAGAGCAGGTGGGAGCCATAGATGCAACAAGCTGTCATCAGGCATGGGAGGGCTGGGCTGCCATGCTGAGGCTGGTGGGGTGGGAAAATCAACTTGCAGCCACCAGGAAGTACAGGAGCAGAGTAAACAACAGTTGAGGTCAAAAGGGTCCAATTTCCTTGGACAAGCAGGCCTCAAGAAGGCCTCTGAGCTGCACTGCCAACTGTATTGTATTCTTGTGTGTGTTCTGTGTGAACCTAACACCCCCGGCGGCCAAGGGAAGCCCCTTGGCCCTCCCTTGGGTGGCAGCCAACACTAGGACCAGAGAAGTGGCAGTTGTGTCATAAAGTTCCCAAGACACTTCTGGAGGAATCAATCTTCTTTTTTAGTCTTCTCTGCTCATTTTTTCTTGTCATTTTCCTGTATGTGTATCTTTTCCCTCTCTCTTCTAGCCCAGAAATGCTTATTGACCACTGGTGGCCTATTGGGAGTGGATTACTTGACACATTCACATTTACTCTGTGCCCAGATGCTAGGCACAGAAGTAGGTGCTATGGGCACAGGCATTCGACAAGAATTTATTGAGCCCATACTATGTGCCAGACATGGCTCTAGACCCTAAGGATATAGAAATGAATAAGGCAACACCCCTGCTCTTATGAAACTCATATACCGGTGGAGGCAGACAACACACAAATAAACAAGGAAAGTGTCACATCGTGATAATTATTCTGAGAAATAAAATAGCATGATATCATACAGAGTACAGAGGTGGTCACATTAGATTTGGCACTCTAGGACTGTCTATCTGAGGAGGTGACATTTTAGTTCTCTAAGTGACAGAAGGGGTGACAATGTGCAGAACAAGGGGAAGCGCATTCCAGGCAGAGGGAATAGCTAGTGCCAAGGCCTTGGGAAAAGAACAAGCTCAGTCTGTTTGCAGGAAAAGATTGGTGTGGCTGCAGCATGGTGGGCAAGGAGGTGAATGATAGACGATGAATGATAGAACATGCAGCTCATAAGGTAGGAAGGGGTCAGATAAGGTGGGCATTTGGGGCCTCTGATCAGGGGCTTGGGCCTTATGCACAGGGTGAAATGGGCCAGTGTGCATTTTACTTATTTTTAAACTTTTAAGTTTTCTGTTTTTCATTTTTTTAGATGGAAAAATGTTGTCCAGGCTGGTCTCGAACTCTTGAGCTCAAGCATTTATCCTGCCTCAGCCTCCTGAGTAGTTGGGATTACAGGTGCTCATCACTGTGCCTGGCTCAGTGTGCATTTTAGAAAGCTCACTGGCTGCTGTTTGCAGACTGGGCTGCAGTGGGGCAAGTGTGGAAATAAGGAGACCACTGGGGAGACTGGAGTAGGAGGGATGAACTAGAGTGGTGGTGGTGGCAATGATGAGAATGGGGAATGAACCCAGGCAGAGTATAGAGGGGAGGACACACAGAGATGAATAAAATGTGGTGGCTCCGAATGGGAGAAAATATTTGCAAAACATATATCTAGTAAAGGGTATGTATCTAGCATATGTAAAGAATGCTTACAACTCAATAAGGCAATGCATTTTTGTTTGTTTGTTTGTTTGTTTGTTTTTTGAGACAGAGTCTCACTCTGTAGCCCAAACTGGAGTGCAGTGGCACGATCTCAGCTCACTGCAACCTTCGCCTCAGGGGCTCAAGCGATTCTTGCGCCTCAGCCTCCTGAGTAGCTGAGACTACATGCGTGTCACCACGCTCAGCTAATTTTTTGTCTTTTAAGCAGAGATGGGTTTTCACCATGTTGCCCAGGATGGTCTCAAACTCCTGAACTCAGGTGATCTACCCACCTCAGCCTCCCAAAGTGCTGGGATTACAGGCATGAGCCACTGCACCCATCTTGACAACCAAATTTTTTAATGGACAGAAGATTTGAACGAATTTTTCGCCAAAAAAGGATACGCAAATAGTAAATACACATATGTAAAGATGCTCAACATCATTAGTCATTAGGGACATGCAAGTTAAAACCACGATGAAATGCCACTACACATCTACCTGGATGGCTAAAATGAAAAAGACTAACTGTGCCAAGTGTTGGCAATGACGTGGAACAACTGGGATGCTCCTAAACTGCTGGTGGGAATGTAAAATATTCATTTTTTCTTGACTTTTTAATAGAGATAGGGTCTCAGTATGTTCCCCAGGCTGGTCTTGAACTCCTGAGCTCAAGTAATCCTCCCACTTTGGCCTCCAAAGATGCTGGGATAACAGGCGTGAGCCACCATGCCCAGCTGGGAAGGTAAAATAATACAACTACAGTCACGTGCTGCATAATGATTTTTGGTCAAGGACAGACTGCATATACGACAATGATCTCATGAGATTACAATACTGTATCTTTACTGTGCCTTTTCTGTGTTTAGATATGCTTAGATACACAAATATTTACCCTTGTGTGGCAGTCGCCTACAGTGCTCAGCAGAGTTACTTGCTGTACAGGCTTGTACCCTAGGAGCAATAGGCTATACCACATAGCCTAGGTGTTTGGTAGGTTATACCATCTAGGTTTGTGTAAGTACACTCTATGATATTCACACAAGGACAAAATTACCTAATGAAGCACTTCTCAGACTGTATCCTTGTTACTAAGCAATACATGATTACATTGGAAAGCAATTTGGCAGTTTTTTAAATAGCTAAATATATGCCTATCATACAGCCTAGCCATTCAATTCCAGGTATTTATCCACAATAAAGGAAAGTGTGTGCTCACACAAAGATTTGGATATGAATGCTTACAGCAGCTTAATTTGTAATAGCCAAAACCTGGAAACAACAAAAATGACCATCCACAAGACAGTGGATAAATAGCTTATGGTATCTACGCAGTGGATTACCACCAGGTTCCAGGTTTAGGTAAGATAAAGTAAACATACTCCACCCTGTCTCTTCCACTAAGTGAAGCAATAGAACCTGTACAGAATGTATGAAGGACTCTGAAGAGTAAATAGCAGCAGATGAATTAGGAAAGAAAAATCAGAATTTGGAGTACCACGGAATTGGAGGAGTTTCCCATTTTTCCCTCTAGTACTCCCTGGGCTAGACTCGAAACAGCCTGAAACCTGGAAGTGAGCAGCAGGCACAGACAGTGGGAATCCCAGAGCCCTCTAGTTCTGCTTTGAGGAGTGGGGAGGGAACTCCTAATGCTCAGAAAGAGTGAGAAAATAACCACCCCCACGCCACCTTTTTTTCTTTTCTCCATTCTCTCATGCCTCAGACCTCTGGCATTCTTGTTGCAATGGCATGAGAGGACTAAAGGCACCTAAAATTCTAAGGGAGAGAAAACTGTCTGTTGGACAAGCCCCAAGAGGGTCTCCCTCCTTCCCCCCTTCTCTCTCTCTCTCTCTCTCTCTCTCTCTCTCTCAATATCTCTCTCCTTTTGCCAGTTGACCCTAGCTGAGGGCACAGTCGCAGGAAGTACACAGCAGAGCAAGGTAGCTAAAACTCCAGATTTCTGGCCAGAGGACCAAAAGGAGGAGACCCAGGGAATCAGAAAGTACCAGGGAGATCATGGAAAGGGAGGAATGCTGGAAACTGAACCCACAAAGTTGTTTATGAATTCCTGGGCTCAACTCCAAACTGAGCTTGCATGGATCTAGCATACCAAAGACTTGAGAACTGAACCTAAGGATAAACACCACCCTTTTCTCAAGCTGACCACTGGAGGGTGCACACACAGGACAGATCTAAACAGCACTATAAAGGCTTTGAAAATGGAACAAACATTGAAACTACAATCCACAGAAGGCTGGTCGGAACTTGTGGCCCAAATGCAGCTGCATTGATTGCCTGCTAAAATATAAACATTAACACTCTCCACAATGTTCAAATAATACCCAGAGTCTCATAAAATTTAAAATGTCCAGGATACAAAACCAAAGTATGATCTTCCTGGCCTATGATAGGAAAAATCTCATTTTGCATGGGAAAAGACAATCAAAAGAGACCAATGATGAGATGTTGGAATTAAGTAACAAAGACTTTAAAGTACTACTATGAAAATGCTCCAAGTAAACCCTCTTGGAATGAATGGAAGATGGACAGTCTCAGCAAAGAAATAGGAGATATAAAGAATAGGGAAGTAAAAGTTTTGGAACTTAAAAATATAAGGGCCAGGCATAGTAGTTCATGCTATAATCCCAACACTTTGAGAGGCCAAGGCAGGAGGATAACTTGAGCCCAAGAGTTCGAAGCTAGCCTGGGCCACAAAGTGAGACCCCGTCTCTAAAAAAAATAATAAGTTAGGTGTGTTGGCATGAACCTGTGGTCCTAGCTACTTGGAAGGCTGAGATGGGAGGATAGCTCAAACCTGGGAGTTCGAGGCTGCAGTGAGTCGTGATCACACCACTGCACTACAGCCTGAGTGACAAAGCAAGACCCCGTCTCAATAAATAAATAAATAAATAAATAAATAAATAAAATATAAGAACCAAAATTTCAGTGCTCACTAGGTAACTCAAGAGCAGAATATAAATGAGAGGAAAGAGGAAGCCAGTAACTGGAAGACAGACCAACAGAAATTATCCAAACAGAAAAACAGTGAGAAAAAGATTTTTAAAAAGTGAATAGAACCTCAGAGACTAGTGAGACAATACCAAAGGTCTAATATTTATGTCATTAGAGTTCCAGAAGGAAAGAAGAAAGAGTGCAGTGAAGATAAAAATGTTTGAGGAAATATTGACTAAAAACATCTTCAATTTGGAAAAGGACATAAAACTGAAGAATATATGTACATATATATATATATATATACACACATACATACATATAAGCATACATGTACCATTGCTAGAGAAAAATGACACATCACACATAGGAGAACAATTCAAATGACTTCAGCTTCCTCATGAGGAGAGAGGAAATCTCATCGTAGAGACCAGTAGGAAGTGGAATCACATCTTTAAAATGAAGAAAAAGAACCATCAACCCACCATTCTCTTCACAATTTCAAGAATACTCAATGAAAATATGCTTCAGGAGTGAGAGTGAAATAAAGACGTTTTCAGATGAAGGAAAACTAAGAGAGTTCTTTGACAACAGACCCGTCCTAAAATAATTGCTACAAGAAGTTTTTCAGACAGATGAGAAATGATACCAGAAGTTAACTTGGAATATCAGGAATGAAAAAAAGACCAACAGAAATGGTAAAGATCTGAGGTAATGCAACATTCTGTGCTGCTCTTGAGTTCTTTAAAATACGTTTTATGGTTAAAACAAAAATTATAACATTTTTTGATGGTGTTTTCAATGTTATATGTAGATAGCACATAAGACAACTACAACATAAAGAGGGTAGAATAAAAGAAACTAAAGTTTTACATTACACTTAAAATGGTAAAATATTGATTCTAAGTAGACCATGAAAAGGTAAAGACGTATATTGTAATCCCTGGAGCAACCACTAAAAACAAAAACAAAAACAAACAGAACTATACAAGCAGATAAAGTTAAAAACACAATAAATGTCCTTAAAATGGTAGACACAAATCCAACCATATCAGTAATTCCATTAAATGTAAATGATCTAAGAATGGTATCAGCAAAAATGGAATAGAGAACTCCAAAACTCCTTTTTCCATAAAAAACAGTGAAAAAAACTGGCAAAATCAACTTTATTAGAACTCTGGAGACTAATAAAAAGTTTAATAAATAAAATAAATTCTTTTTTTTAATAAAATAAATTCTTTTTTTTTTTTTTGAGGGAGAGTCTCATTCTGTTGCTCCGGCTGGAGTGCAGTGGTGTGATCTTGGCTCACTGCAACCCCCACCTCCTGGGTTCAAGCGATTCTCCTGCCTCAGCCTCCTGAGTAGCTGGGATTACAGGTGCCCTCCACCATGCCCAGCTAATTTTTGTATTTTCAGTGGAGGCAGGGTTTCACCATGTTGGCCAGGCTGGTCTTGAACTCTTGACTTCAAATGATCCACCCACCTCAGCCTCCCAAAGTGTTGGGTTTACAGGCATGAGCCACAATGCCCAGCCAATAAATTTTAATCAAGAAGAAAAACGGCTAAATCTCAGTGGGAAAACACTGTGGTGTTTTAACATACCTGGGCTCCATTCTCCTCTTTCCCAGCTTGGTGGCAGCCTTGAAGACAACAGCCTGCATTCTTGATATAGGTTCTTAGTGTTCGAGGGAGCAGAATGGAACTTACTCTCAAAGGATTGTGGTTGCCTGTTTTGACCTGTCTGTTGGTTCCCTGAAGGATGAGCACAAAAGATTTACTTTAATTTCACCTAACTTAGAACTCTCCCAGGGCTGAAGCAGCTACCTGGGGCATTTGGAAAAACAAACAAACCACACACACATGCACAGAGTTAAAAACAAATGCATTCACTAATGGTAACAGTTAGGGAAATAATAGACAAACCAAAAGCTTAAGAAAAAAGGCTGGAGAAGGAAACACTTTAAGAAATAAGGGCTTTAAAAAGCTTTCTGGATATCTAAGAAGGTCACACATATGCTCAGAAAATATCCTAGAAGACTCTACACTCTCACCTCTGACTGACCTCCAGACTCTGCAAGCAGAAAAGGAAGGTTAAGGCAGAGTTGTAAACAGCCTGGCTAAGTGTTAAAAGCCACACCTCAAAACACATACAGAGCTCATCTGAAGATATTGGGAATTTTTTTTTTATGTTGTTCTAGGTATAAAGGAAATTTCAGTCATCACTAGCCAACCACTAGTGGAAAAGTTTAATGGAAAAGTCTTTTCAGTGGCCACACGTGACAAAGAATACAGACTTTAAAAAATTAGTTCAGAAAGGTCACTAAGTAAACAACAACAACAACAACAACAACAAACAAAAACAACTAGCAAACAATGACAACAAACCTGAAAGGGGAGCAGAATGTGATTTCCAGAGTTGTCACATTATAACAGTAAAAATGTCCAGTTTTCAACAAAAAAAATTACATGCCATGAAAAGACAGAAAAAAGTATGGTTCATACGCAGCAAAAATAATTAATAGAAACTGTCCTTGAGGAAGCTCAGGAATTGAACTTAATAGATTAAGATTTTAAATCAAGTATTTTTAAATGTACTGAAAGAGCTAAAAGAAACCATATGCAAAGAACTAAAGGAAAGCATGAAAACAGTGTCTCGCCTAATAGCAGATTTCAGTAAAAGAATAGAAATTATAAAAAAGGACTTAGAAATTTTGAGTTAAGAAGTAAAATAAGTGAAATGAACAATGCACTAGAAGGGGTCAACAGCTATGTGAGTAGGCAAAGAATGAATCAGTGAATTTGAAGACAGGTCAATTGAGATTACCCAGTCTGAGGGACAGAAAAAAGAATGAAGAAAAACAAATAGAGCGTAAGTGGCCTGTGGAATACCACTGATGGTACCAACATATGCATACCAGAAGACCCAGGGGGAGAGGAAAGAAAGAAAGGGGATGAAAGAATATTTGAAGAAATAATGGCTCAAAACTTCTCAAATTTGGTAAAAGTAAAGGATATGAATTTACACATGCAAGAAGCTCAACAAACCCCAAGTAGGATAAACTCAGATATTCATATTGTGATACATTATAATCCAATGGTCAAGATAAATACAAAGAGAGAATCCTGAAAGCAGTCAGAGAGAAGTGATGAGTCATATACAAGGATACTTAATGTGATTAATGGCTAATTTCCCATCAGAAACCACAGAGGCCAAAAGGCAATATGATGACATATTCAAAGAGCTGAAAGAAAAACTGTCAACCAAGAATTCCATATGTGGCAAAACTATTCTTCAAACATGAAGGAGAAGTTAAGACATTCCCAGATAAACAAAAACTAACAGAGTTCTTTGCTAGTATGCCTGTTGTACAAAAGTTGCTAAAGGGAGTCCTTCAGGCTGAAATGAAAGAACACTTGTGATGATTAATTTTATGTGTCAACTTGACTGAGCCACAGGGTGCCTGGATGTTTGGTCAAACATTATTCTGGATGTTTCCGTGAGGATGTTTACAGGTGAAAATAACATTTAAATTGGTACACTGAGTAAAGGAGATTACCCTCCCTAATATGGGTGGGCCTCATTCAATCAGTTAAAGGCCTAAATAGAACAAAATGACTGACCCTTCCCCAAGTAAAAGAGAGTTTCTCCTGCCTGCCTATCTTTGAACTGGGACATTGGCTTTTTCTTGCCTTCAGACTCAAACTGAAACATTGGTTCTTTCTTTGTCTGGAGCCTGCTGGCCTTCAGACTAGAACTAAGTCATTAACTCTCCTGGGTCTCCAGCTTGCCAAGTCACCGTGGAGATTTTGGTACTTGTCAGTCTCTGTAATCATGAGAATTAATTCTTTATAATCTCCTCTCTCTCTCTCTACACACATACACACAAACATGTGTATATGTATATACATATATAATATATATATATATATACAGCTTGCTGGTTCTGTTTCTCTGGAGAACCCTGACTAATACAACTAATACAACATTATGCAGTAACTTAAATCCACATGAAAAATAAAGAACACCAGTTATGATAACTATGTAGGTAAATATAAACATTAATATTAATGATATATTTTTTGTTTTAAACTCTTTATTTTCTATATGATTTAAAATACAATCATAAAACAATGATCCTAAAACTATGTTGATGGGCATAGGTTGCATAAAGATGGTTTGGTGTTTTTGTTTTTGTTTTTTGTTTCTTGGGTTTTTGTTTTTGTTTTTTTTGTAGACAGAGTCTCACTCTGTCACCCAGGCTGGAGTGTAGTGGCACCATCTTGACTCACTGCAACCTCCACCTCCCAGGTTCAAGCAATTCTTGTGCCTCAGCCTCCTGAGTAGCTGGGATTACAGGCACATACCACCACGCCCAGCTAATTTTTTGTATTTTTAGTAGACATGGGGTTTCATCATGTTGGCCAGGCTGGTCTTGAACTCCTGGCCTCAAGTGATCTGCCTGCCTCAGCCTCCTAAAGTGCTGGGATTAAAGGCATGAGCTACCACCCCGGCCACATTACATAAAGATGTAATCTGTGACATTAACAACAAAAGTTAGAGATGAAATTATACAGCAGTAACTTTTTTGTATACCATTGAAACTAAGTTGTTATTAATTTAAATTAGAGTGTTGTAAATTAAGATGTTAATTGTAATCCCCAGGACAAATGCTAAGAATATAATATGTAGTAAAATAAATGAGAAAGGAATCAAAAGAGTATACTACAAAAATCTATCTTACACAAAAGAAGACAATAATGGAGGAACTGAGGAACATAAAGGATAAAAGACATAATAGAGGACAAATAGCAAAATGACAGAATTAAGTTCTCTCTTATCAGTAATTATATTAAATGTAAATGAATTAAGCTCTTCAATGAAAAGGCAGAGATTGGCAGAATGGATTTTAAAAAGAACCATGATCCAACTATATGCTGTCTATAAGAGACTTATTTTAGATTCAAAGACACAAATAATTTCCAAGTGTAAAGATGGAAAGCATACCATGCAAACAGTAACCAAAAATGAGCTGAAGTGGCTATGCTAATATCAGACAAAATGGACATTGACACAAAAATGTTTCAAAAAACAAAGAAGTACATTAATATGATAAAATGCTCAATGTATTAAGAAGATATTGCAATTATAAACAAATAGGCACTTAACAACAGAGACCAAGAACCTATGACAAAAGATTGACAGAATTGAATGAAAAGTTAAAAAATAGTCGGAGGCAAGGTGCAGTGGCTCATGCCTATAATCCCAGCACAATGGGAGGCTGAGGCAGGCAGATCACTTGAAGTCAGGAGTTCGAGACCTGCTGGGCCAACATGGCAAAACCCCGTCTCTACTAAAAATACAAAAATTAGCCAGGCATGGTGAAGCACACCTGTAATTCCAGCTACTCAGGAAGCTGAGGCACGAGAATCACTTGAACCCAGGAGGCAGAGGTTGCAGTGAGCCAAGGTCATGTCATTGCACTCCAGCCTACATGATGGAATGAGATTCTATCTCAAAAAAAAAAAAAAAGTTGGAGACTTAATACTCATGTTCAATCGTAGCTAGAACAACTAGACAAAAGGTAAACAAAGAAATAGAAGACTTGAACAACAATAAAAGCCACCAAACCTAACAGACATCTACAGAACATTTCATTCAATGACAGCAGAATACATATTATTCTTCTCTGCACATGGAAATATTCTATAGAAGAGACATTGTGTTAGGCCACAAAACAAGTCTCAATAAATTAGACAAGATTGAAATCAAACAGGGCCAGGTGTGGTGCCTCACACCTGGAATCCCAGCACTTTGGGAGGCCGAGACAGGCAGATCACCCGAGGTCAGGAGTTCGAGACCAGCCTGACCAACATGGTGAAACCCCACCTCTACTAAAAATACAAAATTAGCTGGGCGTAGTGGTGCATGCCTGTAATCCCAGCTACTCGAGGGGCTGAGGCAGGAGAATTGCTTGAACTCAGGAGGTGGAGGTTGCAGTGAGCCGAGATCACACCATTGCACTTCAGCCTGGGCAACAAGAGCGAAACTCCATCTCAAAAAAAAAAAAGAAAAAAAAGAAATCAAATAAAATATCTTCTCCTACGAAAAAGGAATGAAATTAGAAAGCAACAACAAAAAGAAATCTGGCAAATACACAAATATGTGGAAATTAAACAATGTACTTTTCAAGAACCCATAGGGCAAAGAAGAAATCAAAAGGGAAATTACAAAATATTTTAAGATGAATGAAAATGAAAATACAATGTACCCAAATTGATAGAATACAGTAAAAGCAGTGTTCAGAGGAAAATTTACACCTTTACAGTTACATTTTAAAAAAAGAAAGATCTCAAATTAATAACCTAACCTTCCATTTTAAGGTGCTAGAAAAAGAAGAGCAAACTAAACCTAAAGCAAGAAGAAGAGAGGAAATAATAAAAGTTAGCGCAGAGATAAACAAAATAGAGAATAGAACAACAATAGAAAAGTTAAAAACTGACAAGCCTATAGTTTGACTGACCAAAAGAGAAAGAGAGAGAAGACTCAAATTACTAAAATAAAAAATGAAAGTGGGGACATTACTACAGACCTTACCAACAAAAGATTATAAGAGAATACTATGAGCAATGTATGCCAAAAAATTAGATAACTTAGATAACATTGACAAATTCCTAGAAACACATAAACTACCAAAACTGACTCAAGAGAAAATAGAAAACTACAGACCAATATACTTTATGAACATAGATGAAAAAGTCCTTAATAAAATACTAGCAAACCAAATACAGCAACGTATTAAAAGGATTATATTCCATGACAAAGTGGGATTTCTCCCAGGAACGTAACAGTTATTAAACATACAAAAATTAATCTGTGGGGGGAGGAGCCAAGATGGCCGAATAGGAACAGCTCCAGTCTACAGCTCCCAGCGTGAGCGACGCAGAAGACGGGTGATTTCTGCATTTCCATCTGAGGTACCGGGTTCATCTCACTAGGGAGTGCCAGACAGTGGGCGCAGGCCAGTGTGTGCATGCACCGTGCGCGAGCCGAAGCAGGGCGAGGCATTGCCTCACCTGGGAAGCACAAGGGGTCAGGGAGTTCCCTTTCCGAGTCAAAGAAAGGGGTGACGAACGCACCTGGAAAATCGGGTCACTCCCACCCGAATATTGCGCTTTTCAGACCGGCTTAAAAAACGGTGCACCACGAGACTATATCCCACACCTGGCTGAGAGGGTCCTACGCCCACGGAATCTCGCTGATTGCTGGCACAGCAGTCTGAGATTAAACTGCAAGGCGGCAACGAGGCTGGGGGAGGGGCGCCCACCATTGCCCAGGCTTGCTTAGGTAAACAAAGCAGCCGGGAAGCTCGAACTGGGTGGAGCCCACCACAGCTCAAGGAGGCCTGCCTGCCTCTGTAGGCTCCACCTCTAGGGGCAGGGCACAGACAAACAAAAAGACAGCAGTAACCTCTGCAGACTTAAGTGTCCCTGTCTGACAGCTTTGAAGAGAGCAGTGGTTCTCCCAGCACGCAGCTGGAGATCTGAGAACGGGCAGACTGCCTCCTCAAGTGGGTCCCTGACCCCTGACCCCCGAGCAGCCTAACTGGGAGGCACCCCCCAGCAGGGGCACACTGACACCTCACACGGCAGGGTATTCCAACAGACCTGCAGCTGAGGGTCCTGTCTGTTAGAAGGAAAACTAACAACCAGAAAGGACATCTACACCGAAAACCCATCTGTACATCACCATCATCAAAGACCAAAAGTAGATAAAACCACAAAGATGGGGAAAAAACAGAACAGAAAAACTGGAAACTCTAAAACGCAGAGCGCCTCTCCTCCTCCAAAGGAACGCAGTTCCTCACCAGCAACGGAACAAAGCTGGATGGAGAATGATTTTGACGAGCTGAGAGAAGAAGGCTTCAGATGATCAAATTACTCTGAGCTACGGGAGGACATTCAAACCAAAGGCAAAGAAGTTGAAAACTTTGAAAAAAATTTAGAAGAATGTATAACTAGAATAACCAATACAGAGAAGTGCTTAAAGGAGCTGATGGAGCTGAAAACCAAGGCTCGAGAACTACGTGAAGAATGCAGAAGCCTCAGGAGCCAATGCGATCAACTGGAAGAAAGGGTATCAGCGATGGAAGATGAAATGAATGAAATGAAGCGAGAAGGGAAGTTTAGAGAAAAAATAATAAAAAGAAATGAGCAAAGCCTCCAAGAAATATGGGACTATGTGAAAAGACCAAATCTACGTCTGATTGGTGTACCTGAAAGTGATGTGGAGAATGGAACCAAGTTGGAAAACACTCTGCAGGATATTATCCAGGAGAACTTCCCCAATCTAGCAAGGCAGGCCAACGTTCAGATTCAGGAAATACAGAGAACGCCACAAAGATACTCCTCGAGAAGAGCAACTCCAAGACACATAATTGTCAGATTCACCAAAGTTGAAATGAAGGAAAAAATGTTAAGGGCAGCCAGAGAGAAAGGTCGGGTTACCCTCAAAGGAAAGCCCATCAGACTAACAGCGGATCTCTTGGCAGAAACTCTACAAGCCAGAAGAGAGTGGGGGCCAATATTCAACATTCTTAAAGAAAAGAATTTTCAACCCAGAATTTCATATCCAGCCAAACTAAGCTTCATAAGTGAAGGAGAAATAAAATACTTTATAGACAAGCAAATGCTGAGAGATTTTGTCACCACCAGGCCTGCCCTAAAAGAGCTCCTGAAGGAAGCGCTAAACATGGAAAGGAACAACCGGTACCAGCCGCTGCAAAATCATGCCAAAATGTAAAGACCATCGAGACTAGGAAGAAACTGCATCAACTAACGAGCAAAAGCACCAGCTAACATCATAATGACAGGATCAAATTCACACATAACAATATTAACTTTAAATATAAATGGACTAAATTCTGCAATTAAAAGACACAGACTGGCAAGTTGGATAAAGAGTCAAGACCCATCAGTGTGCTGTATTCAGGAAACCCATCTCACGTGCAGAGACACACATAGGCTCAAAATAAAAGGATGGAGGAAGATCTACCAAGCCAATGGAAAACAAAAAAAGGCAGGGGTTGCAATCCTAGTCTCTGATAAAACAGACTTTAAACCAACAAAGATCAAAAGAGACAAAGAAGGCCATTACATAATGGTAAAGGGATCAATTCAACAAGAAGAGCTAACTATCCTAAATATTTATGCACCGAATACAGGAGCACCCAGATTCATAAAGCAAGTCCTGAGTGACCTACAAAGAGACTTAGACTCCCACACATTAATAATGGGAGACTTTAACACCCCACTGTCAACATTAGACAGATCAACGAGACAGAAAGTCAACAAGGATACCCAGGAATTGAACTCAGCTCTGCACCAAGCAGACCTAATAGACATCTACAGAACTCTCCACCCCAAATCAACAGAATATACATTTTTTTCAACACCACACCACACCTATTCCAAAATTGACCACATAGTTGGAAGTAAAGCTCTCCTCAGCAAATGTAAAAGAACAGAAATTATAACAAACTATCTCTCAGACCACAGTGCAATCAAACTAGAACTCAGGATTAAGAATCTCACTCAAAGCCGCTCAACTACATGGAAACTGAACAACCTGCTCCTGAATGACTACTGGGTACATAACGAAATGAAGGCAGAAATAAAGATGTTCTTTGAAACCAACGAGAACAAAGACACCACATACCAGAATCTCTGGGACGCATTCAAAGCAGTGTGTAGAGGGAAATTTATAGCACTAAATGCCTATAAGAGAAAGCAGGAAAGATCCAAAATTGACACCCTAACATCACAATTAAAAGAACTAGAAAAGCAAGAGCAAACACATTCAAAAGCTAGCAGAAGGCAAGAAATAACTAAAATCAGAGCAGAACTGAAGGAAAGAGAGACACAAAAAACCCTTCAAAAAATCAATGAATCCAGGAGCTGGTTTTTTGAAAGGATCAACAAAATTGATAGACCGCTAGCAAGACTAATAAAGAAAAAAAGAGAGAAGAATCAAATAGACACAATAAAAAATGATAAAGGGGATATCACCACCAATCCCACAGAAATACAAACTACCATCAGAGAATACTACAAACACCTCTACGCAAATAAACTAGAAAATCTAGAAGAAATGGATACATTCCTCGACACATACACTCTCCCAAGACTAAACCAGGAAGAAGTTGAATCTCTGAATAGACCAATAACAGGATCTGAAATTGTGGCAATAATCAATAGTTTACCAACCAAAAAGAGTCCAGGACCAGATGGATTCACAGCTGAATTCTACCAGAGGTACAAGGAGGAGCTGGTACCATTCCTTCTGAAACTATTCCAATCAATAGAAAAAGAAGGAATCCTCCCTAACTCATTTTATGAGGCCAGCATCATTCTGATACCAAAGCCGGGCAGAGACACAACCAAAAAAGAGAATTTTAGACCAATATCCTTGATGAATATTGATGCAAAAATCCTCAATAAAATACTGGCAAATCGAATCCAGCAGCACATCAAAAAGCTTATCCACCATGATCAAGTGGGCTTCATCCCTGGGATGCAAGGCTGGTTCAATATACGCAAATCAATAAATGTAATCCAGCATATAAACAGAGCCAAAGACAAAAACCACATGATTATCTCAATAGATGCAGAAAAAGCCTTTGACAAAATTCAACAACCCTTCATGCTAAAAACTCTCAATAAATTAGGTATTGATGGGACGTATTTCAAAATAATAAGAGCTATCTATGACAAACCCACAGCCAATATCATACTGAATGGGCAAAAACTGGAAGCATTCCCTTTGAAAACTGGCACAAGACAGGGATGCCCTCTCTCACCGCTCCTATTCAACATAGTGTTGGAAGTTCTGGCCAGGGCAATCAGGCAGGAGAAGGAAATAAAGGGTATTCAATTAGGAAAAGAGGAAGTCAAATTGTCCCTGTTTGCAGACGACATGATTGTTTATCTAGAAAACCCCATCGTCTCAGCCCAAAATCTCCTTAAGCTGATAAGCAACTTCAGCAAAGTCTCAGGATACAAAATCAATGTACAAAAATCACAAGCATTCTTATACACCAACAACAGACAAACAGAGAGCCAAATCATGAGTGAACTCCCATTCACAATTGCTTCAAAGAGAATAAAATACCTAGGAATCCAACTTACAAGGGATGTGAAGGACCTCTTCAAGGAGAACTACAAACCACTGCTCAAGGAAATAAAAGAGGACACAAACAAATGGAAGAACATTCCATGCTCCTGGGTAGGAAGAATCAATATCGTGAAAATGGCCATACTGCCCAAGGTAATTTACAGATTCAATGCCATCCCCATCAAGCTACCAATGACTTTCTTCACAGAATTGGAAAAAACTACTTTAAAGTTCATATGGAACCAAAAAAGAGCCCGCATCGCCAAGTCAATCCTAAGCCAAAAGAACAAAGCTGGAGGCATCACACTACCTGACTTCAAACTATACTACAAGGCTACAGTAACCAAAACAGCATGGTACTGGTACCAAAACAGAGATATAGATCAATGGAACAGAACAGAGCCCTCAGAAATAATGCCGCATATCTACAACTATCTGATCTTTGACAAACCTGAGAAAAACAAGCAATGGGGAAAGGATTCCCTATTTAATAAATGGTGCTGGGAAAACTGGCTAGCCATATGTAGAAAGCTGAAACTGGATCCCTTCCTTACACCTTATACAAAAATCAATTCAAGATGGATTAAAGATTTAAACATTAGACCTAAAACCATAAAAACCCTAGAAGAAAACCTAGGCATTACCATTCAGGACATAGGCGTGGGCAAGGACTTCATGTCCAAAACACCAAAAGCAATGGTAACAAAAGCCAAAATTGACAAATGGGATCTAATTAAACTAAAGAGCTTCTGCACAGCAAAAGAAACTACCATCAGAGTGAACAGGCAACCTACAACATGGGAGAAAATTTTCGCAACCTACTCATCTGACAAAGGGCTAATATCCAGAATCTACAATGAACTCAAACAAATTTACAAGAAAAAAACAAACAACCCCATCAAAAAGTGGGCAAAGGACATGAACAGACACTTCTCAAAAGAAGACATTTATGCAGCCAAAAAACACATGAAAAAATGCTCATCATCACTGGCCATCAGAGAAATGCAAATCAAAACCACTATGAGATATCATCTCACACCAGTTAGAATGGCAATCATTAAAAAGTCAGGAAACAACAGGTGCTGGAGAGGATGTGGAGAAATAGGAACACTTTTACACTGTTGGTGGGACTGTAAACTAGTTCAACCATTGTGGAAGTCAGTGTGGCGATTCCTCAGGGATCTAGAACTAGAAATACCATTTGACCCAGCCATCCCATTACTGGGTATATACCCAAATGACTATAAATCATGCTGCTATAAAGACACATGCACACGTATGTTTATTGCGGCATTATTCACAATAGCAAAGACTTGGAACCAACCCAAATGTCCAACAACGATAGACTGGATTAAGAAAATGTGGCACATATACACCATGGAATACTATGCAGCCATAAAAAATGATGAGTTCGTGTCCTTTGTAGGGACATGGATGAAATTGGAAACCATCATTCTCAGTAAACTATCGCAAGAACAAAAAACCAAACACCGCATATTCTCACTCATAGGTGGGAATTGAACAATGAGATCACATGGACACAGGAAGGGGAATATCACACTCTGGGGACTGTGGTGGGGTCGGGGGATGGGGGAGGGATAGCATTGGGAGATATACCTAATGCTAGATGACGAGTTAGTGGGTGCAGCGCACCAGCATGGCACATGTATACATATGTAACTAACCTGCACAATGTGCACATGTACCCTAAAACTTAAAGTATAATAATAATAAAAAAAAAATTAATCTGTGTAATCCACCATGCTAAATGTATGAAGAGGAAAAATCTCTTTAGCTTTGACTGATGCAGATATCAATGCAGAAAACACATTTGACAGAATCCAATTATTGGGTATAATCTTTTTAAATGCTCAATAAACTACAAATAGAAGGGAACTCTTCAACCTGATCAAAGATAAGATTTACACCATTATAAAAGAGCAAGTTTGGGCTCCTTTTGCCTCTTTGCCCTTCCACCTTCTGTGACATGATGATGTAGCAGGTGCCTTACTGGCACCTTGATCTTGGACTTCCCAGCCTCCAGAACTATGGGAAAATAAATTTCCATTCACTATAAATTACCCAGTCTCAGGTATGCTGTTATAGCAGCACAAAACAGACTAAGATATATTCCTTATTGAACAGAAATGCAAAATCCTCAATAAGACATTAGTAAATTAAATCCAGGAACATATATAAAGGAGCATACACCATGACCAAATGGGATTATCCCAGGAATTTAAAGAAATTTAATACCCCATGCTAATAGAACAGAATAAAGGACAAAAACCATATGATTGGGCTGGGCATAGTGGTTCAAGCTTGTAAACTCAGCATTTTGGGAGGTTGAAGTGGGTGGATCACCTGAGGTCAGGAGTTCAAGACCAGCCTGACCAACATGGTGAAACCCCATTTCTACTAAAAATACAAAATTAGCTGGGCATGGTGGCACATGCCTGTAATCCCAGCTACTCGGGAGGCTGAGGGAGGAGAATCTCTTGAAGCCAGGAGGCAGAGGTTGCAGTTAGCCCAGATCACACCATTGCACTCCAGCCTAGGCAACAAGAGTGAAACTCCGTCTTAAAAAAAAAAAAAAATCATCTTACTAGGTACAGAAAAAGCATCTGACCAAATCTAATACCCATTCATGATTTAGCAAAAACAAAAATGAAACAAAAAAATTCTTTCAACAGGCCAGAAATAGAAGGGAATTTCCTCAACCTGATAAAAGGCATTTATGAAAAGCCTATAGTTAACACCATATTTGCCGGATGTTTCAGAACAATGCAAGGAAGTCATGTCTCACTACTTTTATTCAGCATTATACAGGGGGTTCTAGCCAGTGCATGAAGACAAGAAAAAGAAATAAAAGCCTCATAGATTGGAAAGGAAGATGTAAAACTGTTGCAGACAACAGGATCCTGTATATAGAAAATCCTAAGGCACTCACACACGAGAAAAAATTTACTACAACCATAAACAAGTTCATCAAGTTTTCAGAATAGTAAATCAATATATAAAATCAATTATATTTTTATATATGCTAGCAAATCAAAAATGAAATTAAGACAGTGATTCCATTCGTAATAGTATCGAGGAGACTACTTAGGAATAATACAACAAAAAGATACCAGATTTATACACTCAACTACAAAATGTTGATGAGAGAAATTAAAGAAGACATAAATAAGTGGAGAGACATTTCATGTTTAAAAATTGAAAGTCTCAATATTATTAAGTTGGCAATTCTTCCTAAATTAACACAATCCCTGTGAAAATCCCAGTAGGCTTTTTATGGAAATCAACAAGCTGATCACAAAATTCCTGTGAAAGAGATCCAAAATAGCGAAAACAATATTTAAAAAGAACGAAGCTGGAGGACTCACACTCATCTATTTAAAAGCCTACTATAAAGCTATAATAATCAAAACAGTGTGGCAGTAACATAAAGATATATTTATATGGAACAGAACTGACAGTACCAAAATAAACCTTCACATTTATAGTCAGTTCATTTTCAATAAAGATGCTGAGGCAATTCAATTGTATTTTCAACAAATTGTGCTGGGACAATTGAATATCTACATATAAAAAGAATTTATACACTTACCTCACATCATACACAAAAATTAATTCCAAATGAATAAAAAATGCAAGAGCAAATGCTATAAGATTATAAGATATTTAGAAGAAAACATAGAAGAATATTTTTGTGACCTTGGGTTAAGCACAGATTTTTTAGCTGCAGCACCAAAATCATAATTCATATGTGAACAATTAACAAATTGGATTTCAAGATTTAAAATGTTTTCTTATCAAAACACAACATCAAGAAAATGAGAAGTCAAGCCACAGATTGGGAGAAAATATTTGCAAATCCTATAATGGATAAAGGACTCATATAAAAAATGCCTTTCTTTCTTTCTTTCTTTCTTTCTTTCTTCTTTCCTTTCTTCCTTCCTTCTTTCTTTCTTTTTTCTTTCTTTCTTTCCCTTCCTTCCTTCTTTCTTTCTTTCTCTTTCTCTCTCTTTCTTTCTTTCTTTCTTTCTCTCTCTCTCTCTCTCTCTCCTTCCTTCCTTCCTTCCTTCCTTCCTTCCTTCCTTCCTTCCTTCCTTCCTTCTTTCAGATGGAGTCTCACTCTGTCATCCAGGCTGGAGTGCAGTGACACAATCTTGGCTCACTGCAACCGCCACCTCCTGGATTCAAGCAATTCTCCTGCCTCAGCCTCCGGAGTAGCTGGGACTACAGTCGTATGCCATCACTCCAGGCTAATTTTTGTATTTTTAATAGAGAGGGGGTTTCACCATGTTGGCTAGGCTGGTCTCAAACTCCTGACCTTAGTTGATCTGCCCACCTCGGCCTCCCAAAGTGCCGGGATTACAGGCATAAGCCACTGCACCCAGCCCACTTACAATTCAATAATAAGAAAAATAAACCCATTTTTAAATGGGCAAAAAATTTGAATCATCATTTTACCAAAGAAGATATATGAATGACCAATGTTTAAGTAACTCTTAGGAAGTCAGGAAAAAGCAATGAGAAATGAGAAAACAAAAGAAAACAAAAAATAAACTGGCAGACTCAAGCCATAATATATCAACCATTACATTAAATGCAAATGTTTCAACATTATTAGCTGTTAGGCAAATGCAAACTAAAACTATGATGAGATACCACTACACATCTATTAGAATGGTTAAAATAAAAAATATTGGCAAGGCCAAGGCTATGGAGCAACTGGAGCTCTCACGCATTACAGATGGAAATGCAAAATGGCAGTCCCTTTTTTTTTTTTTTTTTTTTTTTTTGAGATACAGTCTCACTTAGCCAGGCTGATCTTGGCTCACTGCAGCTGCCACTTCCCAGGCTCAAAGGATCCTCCAGCCTTAGTGTCCTGAGTAGCTGGGACCACAGGCATGAACCACCATGCCTGGCTAATTTTTGTATTTTTTTGTAGAGGCGGAGTTTTGCCGTATTGCCCAGGCTGGTCTTGAACTCTTGAGTTCAAAGTGGTGATCCACCTGCCTCGGCCTCCCAAAGTGCTGGGATTACAGGTGTGAGCCACCGCACCAGGCTGGCAGTCACGTTAGAAAACAATTTGGCAGTTTCTTATAAACATACACTTACTATGTGATCCAGCAGTCCTACTCCAGGTATTTATTTTAGAGAAATAAAAATATATGATAACACAAATACCTGTAAGAATGTGTATAGCAGCTCTATTCCTAATTGTCAAATACTGGAAGCAACCCAAATATCATTCAACCAATGGATAAACAAATTGTAATACATCCATGCATTGGAATACTACTCAGCAAAAAAGGAGCAAGCACACAATTTGGGAGACTTCCAAAGTCATTATGATGAGTAAAAAAGTCAGTCTCATTAATATGATATTCCTGAGAGAACAAAACTATATTCGTGGAAAACAGTTCAGTGGTTGTCGCGGTACTGGGTAGAGGGAAGTAGGACTACAAAGGGATAGCATGAGAGAGTTTTTTGGGTTAATGCAACTGCCCTGTATCTTGATTGTGGTGGTTACACAAATCTATACATTTGTAGAACTGTTCACCAAAGGATGTTATTTTTACTATATGTTAAAAATATAATAAACCAAATAAGGAATAAAGTTTTGATATATGCAACAACATGGATACGTCTCAAAATAATTATTCCAAGTCAATGAAGGCAGGCTGGCCGGGCACGGTGGCTCACGCCTGTAATCCCAGCACTTTGGGAGGCCGAGGCAGGCTAATCACCTGAGGTCAGGGGTTTGAGACCAGTCTAGACAACATGGCAAAACCCTGTCTCTACTAAAAATACAAAAATTAGCCAGGCATGGTGGCACGCGCCTGTAATCCTAGATACTCGGGAGGCTGAGGCAGGACAATTGCTTGAACCCGGGAGACAGAGGTTGCAGTGAGCCAACATTGCGCCACTGCACACCAGCCTGGGCAACAGAACAAGACTCTTAAAAAAAAAAAAGAAAAGAAAAGAAAAGAAAGAAAGAAAGAAACTAGACTATGATTCCATTTTTATAAAATTCTAGAAAATGCCAACTAATCTATAGTGACGGAAACGAGGTCAGTGATTGCCTGGGAAGAAGGGATTGCTGGAAGGCATGAGGACATTTTGGAGGTGATTAATGTGTTCAGTATCTTGATTGTTCTGATAGTTTCACAGGTGAATACACATTCTAAACTTATTGAATTGTACACTTTAGCATGCCCGGCTTTTCATATACTTTAGTAAAGCTGAAAGATAAAATACAATGGCTGCCCTCAAGGAATGCAGGATCCAGTGACAAGGAAACTAAACCAGAGTTACAGAAACTATGGGGACCCAAAGCAGAAATCTCTCTCCCCTACCCCAGCCCAACTCAGAAATCCTCCTGTGACTGGTTACAGCTGATGCTTTTTAACTTGCATCCACAGCCTGAGTGACAGAAATCACAAGATCAGCTCACGATAAAGCCAAGCACTGGAGAAAATTTCACTTTTTTCAGAATGTTCTTCATGCATTTCATCTTATGTCTTCCTGCGGTACCGCAGCCTACCATTCCCAGCATGTGACCTTGGGCAAGTTCCTTGGCCTCTCTAATTCCCACTTTCTTCATATGAAACATGGTGATATGGTTTGGCTCTGTGCCCCCACCCAAATCTCATCTTGAATTGTAATTCCCATAATCCTCACCTGTGGAGGGTGGAACCTGGTGGGAGGTGATTGGATCAGAGGGAGGTTTCCCCCATGCTGTTCTCGTGATAGTAAGTGAGTTCTCACGAGATCTGATGGTTTTATAAGGGGCTGTTCCAGTTTCGCCCATTTGCGGTCTCTCTGGTCTGCTGCCATGTAAGACGTGCCTTTGCTTCTCTCTTGGCTTCTTCCATGATTGTTTCTTGAGGCCTCCCCAGCCATGTGTAACTGTGAGTCAATTAAGCCTCTTTCCTTTATAAATTGTCCAGTCTTGGGTATGTCTTTATAGCAGTGTGAGAATGAACTAATACACATGGGTAATCCACATACCCAACTGCCAGGGTTGGTGTAAGGAGTGAAGGAATCATCTGTAACATAACAACAGATACCCAACTGACAGATAATACTTCTGGGAGGACTCAGTTTTATACCTTTATGAGTGTGAGTGTGTGTTTAGGATAACAGGCATGTAACACTCCTGATACTGAAAAAGAAAAGACAGAACTGAAACTCTGGGTCAGGAAACCACAGTCTTAAGTGAGATTGGGCACTTTTCCATCCCACTTACATCCTGAGATCAAGAGAAAACCCCATTCCAGTTTACAGATGGGGCCATGAGACACAAAGGGCTAACTGATGACAAACCTGGTACTCCTGACTCCTAGTCCAGTGCTCTGACAACAAGGGCAGATTTGGGGGACAAAGGCCATGGAGGAACCAAAAATGGGAGCTAGAAATTGAGTAGAGGAGGTAATTGGGTGAGAAACTCTAAAAAGCCATAGCAAGCCAGGCACAGTGGCTCTCGCCTGTAATCCCAACACTTTGGAAGGCCAAGGTGGGAGGATGGCTTGAAGCCAGGAGTTTGAGACCAGCCTGGGTAACATAGTGAGACCCTTCTACAAAAGCTAAAAAATTAGCCAGGTATAGTGGCACACACTTTTGTTCCCAGCTGCTTGGGAGGCTGAGGAAGGAGGATCACTTGAGTCTGGGAGGTGGAGGATGCGGTGAGCCATGCATCTGTTCACACTGCTGCACTCCAGCCTGGGAACAGAACAAGACCTCATCAAAAAAAAAAAAGAAGAAGAAGAAGAAGAAAAGAAAAGCCATAGTATTCTGCCCTCGAGGGGCAGGGTGAGAAGGCAGGTGGCAGTGAAGGAGCAGCATTCATTACATTCATTCCTCCCTCCATCCATTCATTCTGCTGCTGATATGCATGGATGCCTCCATAGGACAGCAGCGTGCTGGGATCTGAGGGTTCAGTAAGACAGGCCCCTTTCTCTGCAGAGCTCACACTGATGCAGGCCTGAAAGGTGAGGACATAAAAGTGGTGTTTTGACACAATTCCAATTCTGTCAGTGAGTTTGGCCCCAGCTTAGCCAGTCACCCTGTCTTGTTCTTGGTGCCCACTGGGCCAAATGCGAGGGTGAGGAGCAAGAAGCTGCGAGGTGTGGAGTGGTCTGGAGAAGGAGTAGAGGTGGAGGATGGGTGCTCTCCATCTCCTGTAGGCCTTCTGAGCTTAGGGTGTCTCCCACCTGCCCTATCTCCTTGTTGGGTGAGCTGGGGTTGACTCCCAGAAGTCAAAGGGCTCCTGCGCAGAAGGCAGAACTGGAGCAGAGGGCTTGGCTCCTCCCTGTACCCTGTGCGCCCAGTGTGGGGGCCTTGGGGGACCCAGACGGGGAAGGCTAGTGCACAGGTACTTCACCTCTGAGGTGGGGACAGAAGGGTTTTAGGATTAACATCTGCCGACCACCAGAGGCCGGTGTTGGGACATGCAGGTGACCCAGAAAACCGCCTCTGCCCGGGGACAGTACACAGAGCGTAGCCTCCCTCAACCCAGGCTTCTGTGTCACACAGGCTTCCTTTCCTTTTCTGATATGTCAAGCCTTAACCTCTTAGAACCTTGTGGGCAGGAGCAGCACTGGACAGCCGTGTGGCCAGCCAGGATCCTGCTCTAGGACTTTTTTTTTGGAAATACCTGCATCAGCCACTAGAGGGAGGTAGGAAGCTGAGATCTTGGGTCCATAGGTGAGCAATGAATTGTTACAAAAGGGCTACAGAAATTGCTCTGTGTATTAGAAATAAACTGCAATTGGGTGAAGAGAGAGGGGGAACTGGCAAGATGGCACAAAGCTGCAGACAGAATGGAAAGGGGGTGAAGAAGAAGAAGTTCTATCACTGTAGCGTGACCACAGGACTTCAAGAATAGGAGCACTAGCGCTCACTTTGAAGTTGCTTCTGCCACAGGCAGATCCGGGTGATGGTCAGCTTGGCTGTGTGAATGGGACTCAGTGGAAAGGACTGCCTTCTGTGGGGTGCAGAACAGGGGCATTACTTTTTGAATGTCCTGATGAGCCACACACAGATCTAACCATGCTGTATCAGGAGAGAGTCAGTGCTAGTCATGCACAGTCATGCACAAGGGAACTTGCAAACACCCTGGCAAAAGCTTTCCACTTGCACGTGAGCAAATAGGAGCTTGAGCCTGTCGTCCAGGTCTTAGGAGCCTGAGAGAGCCTGACTGATGTCTGTGTTACACAAGAGGGGTCTAGGGCCACGAGGCAGCAAGTTAGGAGGAAGAACGTGGGAATCCCAGGTCCAGGGAGCCCCCGCCACCTGCAAACAAAAAATAGGGAAGGAAGGCTTTCCCAGCAGAAGGTAAAATTTGGGTCTGGATTCTGAGGAGAGAGAAGCAGCTGCATAGAGGTGGGAGAAGAGAGAGATCAGATGCCCACTACAATGCCCTGCACTGTAGGATTCTGTCTTCTCCTCCAGCCCACCCTGCACCATTCACCCTGTATAACCATGTCACTCACCATGGAGCAATAGCATCCTAACTTGTTTCTCTGGTCGAACATTACAACCTAATCTGTGCCCACACAAAAGCTAGAGATCTTTTAAAAATGTAAGTTGCCGGGTGCAGTGGCACACACCTGTAATCCCAGCACTTTGGGAGGCCAACATAGGCAGATTGCTTGAGCCCAGAAGTTTGAGACCAGCCTAGGAAACATGGAGAAATCCCATCTCTACAAAAAATACAAAAATTAGCCTGGCGTGGTGGCACATGCCTATAGTGCCAGCTACCCAGGAGACTGAGATGGGAGGATCACCTGAGCCCAGGAGGTTGACGCTGCAGTGAGCTGTGATGGTGCCACTGCAATCCAGCCTGGATGACAGAGTGAGACCCTGTCTCAAAAAAAAAAGTAAGTCATCTGACCCTCCTCTGCTTTAAACCCTCAGGGACTTCCCATTACTAGAATGAAATGCAAAGTCCTTTCTCTGGCCTGCATGAGTCTGCATGAGCCCTCTCTTCCCTCCCTAGCCTCATCTCCTACCTCCCTGCTAATGTGCTCCAGCCATCTGTCTTCCTGCTGTTCTTCAACCACACCAACTTCATTCCTGCTACTATACTTTCACACTTGCTGTCCCTCTGTTTAACTATCGCCAGCCCCCAGGCTTTCACATAGATGGCTCCTTTTCATCATTTAGCTCTCAAATGTCACCTTGTCAGACATATAAAGTGGCCCTCTCTCCCTGGCACTTCCTGAATCTCCCTGGATCACGTTAGTCCCTAGCCCTTATCACATCCGACATGGCCTTTGCTTGTCCAGTGACTCTTCCTCTGCTATCATGTATGTTCCTGGAGGGCAGAACCTTGTCTGTCACCTTCACTATTAATCCTTAGTGCCTGGCATGGTGCCTGGCACATAGTGGTGCTCAATAAATATTTTTGGAAAGAATAAATCTTCAATCAATCCTATTCAGTAGGTTTGATGATCACTTCCAATCTATAGAAAGGAAAACTGACTCCTAGAAAGATTAATTAACTTGCCCAATGGCAGGTAGCAGTAGAAGCAGAACTTAAAACCAGGTAGCCTGACTTTAGCATCTTAACACTGGGTTGTTTTGCTTCTACTACTTGCACTGAAGGCACTTACCACAATTTATAGTTGTTTTATTTGTTTGTTGTCTGACCCTCCTAAATGTGTATGATGCTGCTAGAGCAGGGCTATGTCCTGCTCCCTGCTGTGCCACCAATACTTAGAACAGTGCCTGGCACATTGCAGCTGTGTGAGTATTTGCTGAGTGAATGAATAAACAACCAAATGAACAGACAAGTGAGGGATGACTGTGGAGGAATAGGGGGTGCCAGTGTGGCAGTTTCCCAGGCCCCAGCTGGATCCCAGTGCCCAGTCCAGCTGTACCCACGTAAAGGGATCTGCCAAGAGGTGGCTTTTCGCTGTTGCAGAAGGCATCTCTTGGGGCTGATGACGGTGAGTCTCTCATTCTTAACAGCAAGAGTCACCCTGCTCCATGAATCTTCAAATTTGGGGTCATTTCCCACCTAAAGGCAGAGATTTGGCCTATGTTCCCAACCACAGCTGAGAGTCCAACCTGCCCCTCGGGTGACACACATGGCTCTGGGTAGATCCGTGTATACTGCCTCGATTCTACTCATTACATTATGTCAGCACCTTTTTCAGCTTCTGAGAAACAGGAAGCATCATGATGTGTGGTGGGGCTTGAAGAAGATGATAAGAGACATAATCACATTTCTTTGGTTGGGGCACAGAGGGCTGGGGTTCCTGTTTGCTCTGACTCTAAAGTGTCACCTTTTCCCTTAAGCCAGAATGTTGGAGGATGAGGACTATTTAGACAACCTGCTTTCAAGGGGAAAGAAAAGAGCAGGGATCAGAGCCTTTAAAATTATTATTATGAAACATCATACATACAAAAAAATTACAATCTCTATGTATAGTTTAAAACATAACAAAAACCCATGTGTCCACCACCCAACTGAAGGGAACATTCCCTCTCCCCATGAAGGTGTCCCTCCAACAGCTTCCATGTCCCTCCCCACCAAAGGGAACCATTATCCTTATTTTTTTGGTTAATCATTTATTTGTTATTCTTGTTTTATTATATATATAAATATCCTCTAATTATATATGATTTCATTTTTCCTATTTTTGCCCTCTTTATAAATGGAATCATGTTGGATGTATTTATTTAATATTTGCTTTTACTGGTCAACAAAATGTTTTCAGACTCATCCATGTTGATACATATAACTGTAGTTTATTTATTTACTGTATTTACTTTACTATAATCTTCTAAATGAGTAAGCCATAATTTATTTATCTATTTTATTACTGATGGACATTTTGCAGATTTTTTTTTTTTTTTTTATGATATGGAGTTTTGTTCTTGTTGCCCAGGCTGGAGTGCAATGGTGCCGCCTCGGCTCACTGCAACCTCTGCTTCCTGTGTTCAAGTGATTCTCCTGCCTCAGCCTCCCGAGTAACTGGGATTACAGGCATGTGCCACCATGCCTAGCTAATTTTTTTTTTTTTTTGTATTTTTAGTAGAGACGGGCTTTCACCATGTTGGCCAGGCTGGTCTCGAACTCCTGACCTCAGGTGATCTGCCCACCTCGGCCTCCCAAAGTTCTGGAATTACAGGCGTGAGCCACTGCTCTTGGCCCATTTTGGGGGTTTTAAAAGTTTTAGTTGTTAAGAACATGCTGCAAAAAGTAAGTAAAACTAAAGAAATCTGAATAAGATATGGACTTTAGTTAACAATAATGCATCCATATTGATTCATTAATGTGACATGTATAGCATACTAATGTAAGATGTTAAGGACTGGGTGCTGTGGCTCACACCTGTAATCCCAGAACTTTGGGAGGCCGAGGTGGTGGATCATGAGATCAGGAGTTCGAGACCAGCCTGGCCAAGATGGTGAAACCCCATCTCTACTAAAAAATGAAAATACAAAAATTAACAGGGCACGGTGGCGGATGCCTGTAATCCCAGCTAGGTTGAGGCAAGAGAATTGCTTGAACCCGGGAGGCAGAGATTGCAGTGAGCTGAGATTGTGCCACCGCACTCTAGCCTGAGTGACAGAGGGACACTCCGTCTAAAAAAAAAAAAAAAAAAAAAGAAAGATGTTAAGAATAGGGAAAATTGGATATGGAGTACGTGGGAACTTTCTGTACTATCTTCCCCATTTTTCTGTAAACCTGAAAGTTTTCCTAAAATAAGTTTATTTAAGAAAACAGTCTACTATGATTGTGGTTGTTTATCTCTCCTGACGTTCATGGGCAAGAATTTCCCTAGAATATGCACTAGGTTGAAATTCGGGGTCATAAGGTACGTGCACGTTCAATTTTTTACTAAGAACTACATTTCAAAAGTACCATTTTACTCTTTTGTGGACAATGTGTAAGAATTCCTTTTACTTTACATCCTGGGCAAGAATTGTAATGTCTGACTTTTTAATTTCTGCCAGTCTGGTGGGTGTGAAATGTTATCTCACTGTGGTTTAATTTTGGATTTTCCTGACTACTAATAAGGTTGAACATCTCTTTATATGTTTATTGGCCATTTGTGTTTCCTGTTCTAAGAAATACTTATTCATGTCATTTACCTTTTTTTTTTTCTAGTGGGTAATTTATCTTTTTCTTACTGATTAAGAGGATTTTGTTAGACATTCTTGAAACTAATCCTTAGTCATTTATATATGAAACAAATATTTGTCCTAGCTTGCGGTTTGTCTTTTCACTCTCCTTATGGTAAATTTGATGAATATTGAATGTATCAGTCTTTTCCTTGGTGCTCTGCTCTTTGGGGGTTTTATTTATGAAATCCTTCCATTCCATCTGGAAAGCTCCTATTTGCCTCTCCAGATCTGCTCTCCACCCCCTTTTAGCCTCTGTGTCCTGGGAGGCTGACCAGTATGAACTACATTAATAGCTTATTTGCCCACAGGTTCCCATTGGGTTTGACCATGGGAGCATTGACAGGTGATCAAAAGGTAGGAGGTGCGTGAAGCAAGGTATGTATGCCCTTAGCTCTCTCCTTGCAAGGTTGCTGCAAGCTGGTTGTGTCCCTTGACTTAAGGTCCCAGCTCTTGCCAATTGGCCGTCTGCATGTAGTGCTCTGTATCGCTGTAGTGCTCTGTATCTCTGTGTGCTCTGTATCTCTGAGTTTCAGTAAATAGTCCCTCTCCTGTTGCAGTTCCTGTTACCAGTCGCCAAGGGCTTTGTTTTCCCTACACTCTATTCTTTTATAATGGTCCCTTTATTAAATAAACTGCCTTAAGTTACTCAATATGAGTGTCCCTACTGTTTCCTGCTGGATAAGCCCACTCCCAGGTCATATTTTCTGTTTTTAAATTAGTTTTTCACCGGTCTATCTGTCTACCCCTAGGATTTCTCAACCCTGCCACTACTGACATTTTGGATGGGAGAATTCTGCTGTGGAGGGCTGTTGTGTGTACTGTAGGATGTTTAGCAGCATCCGTGACCTCTACCCAGTAGATGCCAGTAGCATCCCCTCCTTCCCCTCCAATTCTGACAACCCCAAATTGCCAAATGTTCCCTTGGGGTTGGGGAATCACCCTCTGTTGGGAACTACTGTTATAACCCCTTGTCAAAACCACACTTAATTATTAAGGCTTGATATCTAGCAAGACAAGTTCTCCCATTTGGGTTTTGTTTTGTTTTGTTTTGTTTGTTTGTTTGCTTTTGAGACAGGGTCTCACTCTATTGCCCAGGCTGGAGTGCAGTGGTGCAACCTCAGCTCACTGCAACCTCTGCCTCCCCGGCTCAAGCGATTCTCATGCCTCAGCCTCCCAAGTAGCTGGGACTAAAGGTGTATGCCACCACGCCCAGCTAATTTTTTTGGATTTTTACTAGAGATGGGGTTTTGCAATATTGCGCATTGTGGTCTCGAACTCCTGAGCTCAGACAATCTGCCTACCTTGGCCTCCCAAAGTGCTAGGATTACAGGTGTGAGCCACCACACCCGGCCACGTTCTCCCATTTTCAGCTCCTTCTTTAGAATTGTATTGGCTATTCTTGGACTCTCATTTTCCCGTGTACATTTTAGAATCAGCATAGTATGATCATGAAAAAAATGCTTGGGATTTTGATAGGAGTCACATTAAATGTATAAATCAGTTTGCAAATTACAGTGTCAAGTCTTGATCCGTGGACATACTAGGTCTCTGCATTTGCTGTTGTTACTATCTTTCATAAAGTTTTTAAATGTTTTCCATGTTTTGTTAGATTTATTCTTTGGCACTTTACATTTCTTTTTTTTTTCTTTTAGAGAGAGAGAGATGGGGTCTTACTCAGTTGCCTAGGCTGGAGTGCAGCCTCAAACTTCTGGCCTCAAATGATCCTCCTGCCTTAGCCTTTCCCAAGTAGTTGAGATTACAAGCACGTGCCCCCATACCCTTTGGCACTTTATAGTCTTATAAGTATTATAATAATGCTTATACTTATTTGTAATGATGTCTTCTTTAAAATTACATTATCTGTTTTTTGGTAATGTATAATTTGTAATTGATTTTGCATATTTATCCAGCAACTTGCTGAACTCTCTTATTCCTTATAATCATTTGACTGACTCTACGTGTTTTTGAGTTCCATTTTTATCATAGTGTATCATCTGCAAATATATATATGATTTTTGTTTCTTCCTTTATAATCCTCATATTTATTAGTTCTATTAATATGAATGATCTTTTTGCAAAGGCTGGGACCTTTGGTCAGTTTTTAATGGAAACAAAGTTAGTCTCCAGGGACACTAGTACATCATATAAAGCCTCTGTGCAAATTGGAAAAAGATACTTCTATCTGGTATGAAATTGTCATACATACTCAAATATATAATGTCTCTGATGTAAATGGTGCTTCCTGGGATTGTGCAGTGCACAGAGTGGTCCTGCAGGTATTCTTGCATTATTCTTTTTTTAAAGAGATGATTTGAACATATTACCATTGAGCACAGTATTTTCTGTAAGTTTATCAGGTTAAAAAAGTTCCTTTCTATTTTGACTTTGTTAAAAAGTAATTATAATAAATGAATGTAAAATTTCAGTAATGCTTTTTCTGCATTGATATCATCATGTGATTCTTCTCTCTCTCTCTCTCTCTTTTTTGTTTTGTATTTTGAGACTGAGTTTCGCTCTTGTCACCCAGGCTGGAGTGCAATGGCACGATCTCAACTCACTGCAACCTCCGCCTCCCAGGTTCAAGCGATTCTTCTGCCTCAGCCTCCAGAGTAGCTGGGATTACAGGTGCCCGCCACCATGCCCAGCTAATTATGGAATTTTAGTAGAGACAGGGTTTCACCATGTTGTCCAGGCTGGTCTCAAACTCCTGACCTCAGGTGATCCACCTGCCTCGGCCTCCCAAAGTGCTGGGATTACAGACGTGAGCCACTGTGCCCAGCCTGATTCTTCTCTTTAAAAAGTGATTAATGTGGTAAATTACATTAATAGATTTTCTGACATTTAATTTTATATTCCTGAAATAAAGGAATATTTCATATTCCTGACACTTAATTTTATATTCCTGAAAGAAAGACATTACATTAGTTGTTATGTAATGTCTTTTTATACATGCTGGATTTGGATTTATAAAACTTTGATAACAATGTTTATGTCCACATTCATGAGTGAGTATGGGATCATAATTTTTCTTTCATATATTTTCCTCCTCTGACTTTCGTATGCTACATATTAGCTTCACAAAATGAGCTGGGAAATATCTCATTTTGTTTATTTTCTATAAGAGTTTATATATGTTTGGAATTATATGTGACCTGACACTTTAGAAGGACTCACCTAGAAAACTATCTGGACTTGGTGTATTCTTTCAAGAAAGATTTTAAATGACTGGTTTAATTTCTTTAGTGGTTCTAGATCTGTTTAGATTTTTCTATGTCTTCTTGCATCAGTTGTGGAAATTTATGTTTGTATTGGATACATATTTGTGTGCCTTCTCAGATTGCCCTCACTGCCTCCTATCTGTCTCTTTGTCAGCACCAACACCAACACAGCACCCTTAATTTCCAGGCATAGAAGGCAAGCAGAGCCTGACTTCAGGCTCTGCTTTCTGAAGAGACCTGGCTATGACAATTAGTATCAGATGTAATTTTAGGTAACAAACACTTGGAAATGGAACATTGACATTGGATTATTCACTATTTTAAAATAATATGAACCTATTGCTGAATATAAGTAGGTTGATAATAACTTCTGGCAGGCAGTGGCTTTGCAATTTCTTAAGCTTTTAGCTCTGGTTAATTTAGATGAGGGGCAGGTGGACAGCAAGACAATGAAAGATAAAATGACAGGGTTATATGAGAACAATGGTAATTATAAAGATTGCAGAGTACAATGACTCTTCTGACAGCACTGAAGACCTTACCAAAAGAAAATGATAGGCTCATGGCAATCTAATTCTAACTTAACATATTCTCGGAATGCTCGACAACTCCCATGGCAACTTTAGAGGAGACTCTTATTTCCAGCAACTGCAGGGCAAACCGATCTGAAAATTAGGCTCAGGATCTGATTATTTGCAGCCTTTGAAGAGCTTCAAAGGAGAAGAGTGGATTTTGCACATTCTGTGTCAAAGTCAGGGCTCTTATGAGGAAAGGCTGGGACCATGAGACCTGGGATAGAAACATTTGGGTGGACAAACCTAAAACTCTTGAACCTCCAAATTCTCTGAGCCCTCCTTAACTGGTAGAAGCAGACCTTTCCCCCTTGCCAGAGTAGACTAACTTCTCCTTGCCTGGAAACAGAATAACTATTTCACTTGAAACATATACTTCACAAGATGACATTTGTTCTGCCCACAACCCTCCCTCAACACCCCTTATTGCCTCAAGGCCAATAATTAAAGTCAGATCTAAGAACATCTTGTGTTAACTAGGCACCAACCAGGAGACACAAACTATACCAGTTATTTTAATAAGCAGAATTAAATATAAAGAACTGTTAGCCAGGTATTGGAAAACTAGGCAGGCAAAAAGGGAACAATAAGGTATCAAGGAGGTGGCAATTGTGGGAAGCAGCTAGCACTTCTATGTCTGGGAAGCAAAGGGAACAGGTGAAAATTATTAAAACTTATAAATTTGGAGGACGGGCTTTGTGGACCTGAAACTCAGACATCTGTAGAGGGGACACTGCTCTGCATGCAGTGCAGTTCCTGAGCTCAGAAAAGGGGTCCTTTGGGAATGGGATCCAGACCTCTGAGGGGATGCTGATTGGCTGTTGCTGGGGTCTCAGAGGGAAATGAGGTGTGCTAAGGTCGGTTCTATGAATGGTGGAAAAACTGCAAACTATAATCAAATGTTGCTACTAGAGTCAACTACTGCTGCCAGGGTTCATGTTAGGATTAGGATTAGGAATAGGAATATAAGAGGACAGGAACAGGAAACAAAAACAAAGAATAGGAAGCAACAGGAAGAAAAAAGTCCCCTTTTCTTCCTCCAGCCTCCTAGTCTACACCCTCCATTGACAGATCCTAACAGGGTTGCAGCTGGCAAAGGAGAAATTGGTTTGCAGAATCCCAGCTGCAGCAGAGTATAGTATAGTGGGCTTGAAGCTGAGAGACAATAGCTTCACAGCTGACATACAGTCTTGGCAGGGAAGTGTAAGGTGTGCAGGAGTTTACTAATATGTACTGTCAGAATCCAGAATCGAGTGCATCCTGCAGCTGTTTGTCCAGAAGAATATAGAGTTGAATGGGATTGGATTTATTGGTGTGGGTATACTTACGACTCAGAATTAAGTTTTCGCAAGAACAACTGGAGTTAGTCCTAATAGTTTGCTGGAGTGGCTCCTTGAAGCCTGATCCTGATGATGGTGTACAGAATATGAAGTGGAGACACCTGAACTTCCTCCCATAGTATTGAAGAAAAGAGCAGATAGCTCAGAGAAGCAGGAATACTAAAATGGATTTTTTGTATCTGGCCTGAGAACCTACTATCTGAGTATGTTCCTGGAGGACACAGAATATACTCCTTTTACTAACACAGCAACAGATACACTAGTGAAGAGAAGCAGGCATCATTGCAAACATTGGTGGTGGATGTCCCCTGTAAGCTGGGTTGAAGGTGAAAGATGCTGCCAATGACATGGACTCCCTAATATCAATAGGCAACATGAGATCCCTAGAATGGCAGAGCTCAGGTTGGAAGCACTTAAACATTAGAGGCAAGGGGGACATAATTACCACCACAAACAGCAAGGCCATGGTGCCAACCAGGGTGCCTTGACTCTTAACCTTCAGGGATCTATTGTGGTGGCTAAGAAATTAAAGTGTTCCTAGAGACAAGAAACGTTGATAATCAATTAGCATGTATATGTAATCAAGTGGTAAAGGGCTGACATCAGCCACCACAGTGGAAATGCAAGCTCTTCATCCAGTTCCCACATCTAAGGCATTCATAAACCCAGTGTCCATTGATTGAACAGGAGGACTCTATAATCCCACTACATATACATGCAGTAAACTTTCTTTAATCCTTTACCAAAGCGATCTGGAGCCATTCATCAGGATAAGTACACACTAGTATAGGAGATACCCAAACTTTTCAAACATTGTTAAATATGAGGTCTGAGCTAATACTGACACCAGGAAAACCTAAATCTGCCATGATTCTTTGGTAAGAATGGGACTTCCATCGGACAAGTGAAACATGGAGACTCCTAGGCTTGAGTCTTTTATACTCTGGAACTGTTTTTCTAGTTCTTTGTTGTATAAATGGAATAAACATTCTAAGCACCTGGTAGAACCTTCCTGTGGCTTTGAAACTTTTGTAACAGCTCGTTACATTTATAGGCCTGTGCATTTTACTCTCTCTATGTCGTGATCCTGATGGTAAATGTACACAATGATATGAGACCATGAAAGCAGTAGGTCAGCTGGCCACAGGCAGGTACATTGAGATTAAAAAAACTGCTGGACATGGTGGCACTTGCCTATAGTTCCAATTACTCAGGAGGGTGAGATGGGAGGATCACTTGAACCCAAGAGTTTGCGTCCAGCCTGGACAACATAGCAAGACTCTATCTCTTAAAAAAATAAAAACAGTCCAGGCACGGTGGCTCATGCCTGTAATCCCAGCACTTTGGGAGGCTGAGATGGGCAGATCATGAGGTCAGGAGCTCGAGACCATCCTGGCTAACATGGTGAAACCCCATCTCTACTAAAAATACAAAAAAATTAGCCAGGTGTGGTGGTGGGCACCTGTAGTCCCAGCTGCTAGGGAGGCTGAAGCAGGAGAATGGCATGAACCTGGGAGGCGGAGCTTGCAGTGAGCTGAGACCATGCCACTGCACTCCAGCATGGGTGACAGAGTGACACTCTGTCTCAAAAAATAAATAAATAAATGAATGAATAAATAAATAAAAAGACCGGGCACGGTGGCTCACACCTATAATCTCAGCACTTTGGAAGGCTGAGGCAGGTGGATTGCTTGAGGTGAAGAGCTCAAGACCAGCCTGACCAACATGGTAAAACACTGTCTCTACTAAAAATATAAAAATTAGCTGGGTGTGGTGGCATGCACCTGTAGTCCCAGTTACTCGGGAGGCTGAGGCAGGAGAATCACTGGAACCCAGGAGGTGGAGGTTATAGTGAGCCGAGATCATGCCACTGCACTCCAGGCTGGGTGACAAAGTGAGACTCCATCTCGAAAAAAATAATAAATGAATAAATAAATAAATAAATAAAAATAAAAAGAGGGCAGTGTGGTGGCTCATACTTGTAATCCCAGCACTTTGAGAGGCCAGAGTGAGAGGATCACTTGAGGCCAGAAGTTTAAGACCAACCCAGGTCACATAGTGAAACCCCATCCCTACAAAATAATTTTAAAAGATATTAACTAGGCATGGTAGTAAGTGCCTGTAGCCCCAGCTACTGGGGAGGCTGAAACAGGGGAATCACTTGAGCCCAGGAGTTCAGGGCTGCAGTGAGCAATGATCACGCCACTGCATTCCAGCCTGGGTGACAGAGCAAGACCCTGTCTCTAAAAAAAAAAAAAGAAGGAGGATATGGTGAATGAAAACATCTAAAGGGCAATTACAAGTTTGTTGGGTGGGAAAGAAAAAAGATACTGAGACAGAGGGTATAGTGTGGACCAAGGCACAGAGGTATGAAAATTCATGGATATTCTGTGAAGAATAAGAGCTAGCATTCTTTACAGATCATCTCTTTGTTTTTTTTGTTTTTTTTTTTTTTTTAAACAGCCTCATACTGTTGCCCAAAGTGGCACAATCAGAGCTCATTGCAGCCTCACCTCCTGGGCTCAGGTGATCCTCCCACCTCAGCCACCTGAGTAGTTGGAACTACAGATGTGCACCACCACGCCTGGCTACTTTTCTTTCTTTTTGTAGAGACATCTTGCTATGTTGCCCAGGCTAGTCTTGAACTCCTGGACTCAAGTGATCCTCCTGCTTCAGCTTCCCAAAGTGCTGGGATTACAGGCATAAGCCACCATGCCTGGCCTGAACATCTCCACAATAAATGTTTTCCACATACAGTTCTTCTTCATAGAACGTGTCTCTCAATACAATGCTTTCCCACCAATATTTATATTGTAAAAATATTTATGTCCCCTAAACATAAGAAATTCTTTAACCAAGTGATGAGGGGAGTCAATGGACAAAGTCTTTAGGTTTATTCCACATATGATTAGTAGCAAATCAGCGTTCACAGAAGACAATCGGAAAGGCTCTGAATGTTAACTAAGGGGACGTGCAGCATGTTATACAGACAAAGCAACCATTATATTAACTGCTGAGTGATCAGGAAGTACTGTTTTAAATATCTTATATCCTTATTTTACTACAATTAAATAAATAAATACAAAATATTTTGTTTAAATTTTTACACCCTAATGTGTTTTTTCCTTATATACAGGCATTTTACTATGTTTTATGTTTTAAGAAGTTGGTTGAAGATTTTGGGTTGAGACATAATGCATTAAAATTTTTCGCACTTAAAATAATGGGAATGAGGCACCTGGTTAATGTTTTCTTGCCAAGGTTGTTACATGGATGATGCCTGTATTTCTGTATGTCAGGGGTCAGAGGGGGCAGAGGTCGACCTTGAATGACCTGTGAAGGAGCCTGGACTTCAGATGGTAGTGAGTCAGAGGTTTCTATGCACAGCAGTGACACGTGGACATGTGTGTGTGTTGTCAACAGGCTTGACATGAGTTCGAATCAAGTTTTATTTCAGTTAGTTGCAAACAGCCCTGATTGTTTTTAGCTTCTCTGGGACCTGGCAGATTGGTGAGGGCTCATTATTGGGGATTTAGATGTGATATTCCAGTCTTAAGTCCTTATTAACTATATTAGACCCTGATAAGAAAGAGGGGAAAGGAGCTTTTTTGAGAGGATATAAGTGTACAAGGGAAAGGATTTTGTCTGTTTTATTCACTGTTGAATCCTAGCCCCTAGAATAGTCCTGGAGTATACTGGAACTCAGTATCTGCCTAATTGAATCAAGTTGAGATTCAGTCTTTTTGCAAGTTGAGTTTCCTGTTTCCTGTCTCCTGTCTGTCTAGAGTGGTCAGCACCGTGCTGTCCTCATCCATCTTGCTCCCTCACTAGCTCTGCTCCTGATCCTGGGGCTTGGTGCATGCACAAGTTGGGGACCTGGTCCACGGTCCTGACCACCATGCCTGGGTGTGTGCTGGAAGGAAAACACGTCTTCTTCCTCGGAAGGAGTTCCATTCTCCTGCCTGGGAATCTGTGTCCGACTGCTCTGACCCTTCTCCCATGCCCAGAAAGAGCAGGAGCAATTGCTTCACACAGCAGTGGAGCCCAACACTGCAGCAATCCATGCAGATAAAGCCCAGGATAGGAGTACTGGCCTCTAAGGACCTCCAGCACAGGCCCACAGCTGCATCCCACACCCAGCAGAGAGCCTGTGATCAATACAGATTTGTTGAATGAAAGAAAGAGAGAATGGAGGGTCTCTCCTTTGGGTCTATATCAGTTTTAAAATATTTTAAAGAGCATATTTTCTGGATCCTTGAGAAGTTTTCTCAAACAGAAGAATCTCTAGTGATGCTACTGATAGCCATAAGCAGGCAGAATGGAGTGTTGTGCGGCCTGGTGCTGCCCTGCCCCCGGGAATACGGAACTCAGTCTTTCTAATGGGACTGCCCTACCAGTGTCTCTCTGTTCCTTTTGTTATGGTGCAGGGTCAGGTGGGGTAAGAACCCCTGCAGGCCTTGGCAGAGAGGGTTTCTGGCTTCCTCTCTATACTGGCAATGAGATTGATCTGCCAAATTCTTCTCACAGGCTGGGCAGGAACCTAGTTACAGGTTCCCACACTGCCCTTCTTCCAGGGGACGCCTTACAACTCATTTTAGTTCTACAATCAGTCTTGGAAAGCACATTCATTCATTTATTCCCTACCATTTACCCTGCACCATCCCAGGTTCTGGATATACTGTAGAGAGAAAACCAGGTTCACCTCCTGCCTGTGTCCCTGCTCCCCACATCCCCACTAAGTCCTGCTAGATCACTTCCACCTCTGGTGTGCCTTGCAACCTTGAGACTTCTCCAGAGAAATGGGGATGCTCAGCCACATGTGCTCAGACCCTTCCTCCAAACTGGGCATGTACTCAATGGACTGTGCTAACTTCAATTGCTAAGACAGAGGCCAGCAGCAAATTGAACAGTTGTCTATTTTTGTTTTATTAGAACACAACATAACATTAAATAAATACTAATTTACCAAATTCTTAACCATTTCATAAATACTATTAAGTTAACAGACATTTTACAGAATGTTAAGTTAAATAAGAAAAAAGTATATCAATTTTGCCTGGAGGAAAATACTTCAATGATTCTGATATCTGAAATATATTTTAAGAATTTTATGCTTTCTGGCAAAGTGTCAGTATGCCTGAAATATTTACTTTCCCTCTGAAGTTAAATTATACTGAAAATTAAGGCCTGACTCTTTCTTGGCCCTCATTCTCACTGCAGTAAAATGTCCTTCTCCTCCAAAATCTTTGGCTGCAACAAACCAGTTTAGTCTCAACTTTCTATTATCCACTCGGTGTTCATTACACCAAGAAACTCTTGCAGGTAGTCTAGGAATTGGTTTACTCTCCGTCTTTCTTCTCCACACTTTTTCTGTGAAAAAAGAAAAATGACAATAGGTATTACAGGAAACTGTCAATTCCATAGAAATAGGCACAGCCAGACAAATATAGCTTCCATTGAATGTGTGTAACTTACTTTTTGGCCGTCAATGTATTTCTTTATTAAGGACAAGTTTTTGAATAGTCTTTCCACAGTACCCCCTTGCACAGTTTGACTCTCCAGTGTGCCTATTCCCTGAAAGATTTCTTCAGTGCACAGTTGGTGCTAAATGAGGAAAATTTTTAAAATGCAAATAATCAAGACAAGGTATAAAAATTTGGTCCATTGTCCATTCTGCAATGTATACATACTTCAAAACATCATATTGTACACAATAAATATATATACTTTTTAATTCATCAATTAAAAAATAATTATTAAAACAATTTTGGTCCACAAAGTTAGGCTTTGTTTTGTGGTATTTACATGAGTTCCCTTCTCCAAAGAGTTTTTTGTTTGTTTTCTAGGCAACAAACCACCACATATTAAGATAAAATTTTCAAAAAGTAGATGAAGCTTATATGATTACTGAGGAGTTTTATAAAGGATATAACTTAATTATGTAACTGGAAAAAAATGTTTTGGAAGTGTAATGCATTATACATTAAACTCATATCAATGTGTTTCTACAGTTCTAGCTGGTAGTTTTATTCTATTTAGACTAATAAAACTATATATTTTACATTTTAATATGACCAGGACATATTCAAATGCATACAACACCATCATATAGTCATAATTATTTAAGTATGCAGAAATTATTAATATAGGGCATTTGTTATATATTTTAATGTCTACTGATCATGGTTCTAAAAATATAATTCTGAGTTGCTAATACTTTCAGAAACACGTTAGAGTGAGAAAGAGTCAGAACTGCACGGAGACTAGCACGCACCTCTCACTCAGTGTGGAATCCTTCTGGAAAGAATCCCTGACACGATGCTCTTTGGGAGGCAAACTAACAACATCACCAAAGAGCCTAATCCACTTGTTTAAAGGATTCTACTTGATAAAAAGTCATTCCTCATATTTATAAGTACAGACATTCACAGCCACCCATATGAAAACAAAATATAGAAAATTAAATAGTTCCAATGATAACTAATGATTTACAGCTTAAAACAGGAAATTTACTTATTCATGCCATCATTTTACTGAATCATAATTTAACTTACATTTTTATGTACAGGAACAGGAATCCTCAGAGTCTGGAGAGGAAAGGAAATACAATCATTTTTACAGCACACCAGCATTCATAACTTTTAACAGAATGTTTGCTGGTGATGTAGTTATCACCCATGTACTAATGTGCTCAGAATCTTATTATTTATAACAGATCTCTATATATAGTAAAGGAACCATCACAAATGATTACCTATGCACTTTACAGACTGTAGGAATCATAAAGAAAATTACCTCATTGGCTATCAGCAGAGTTCGATGAGTAGAAAGCAGTGCCAAGGTCTCTTTCACCAATGCACTTGTGGGAATTTCTGTGGGGATGGCATACACGTAGGCAGCTCCAAGAGCTAGCAAACTCAAATGCAGAAGCATCCTCATGGCTCTGAAACGTTCTGCGTTTGCCTTTGGCAAAGAAAGTGCATAGTACAAGACTGCGTCCCCAGTCAATTTATTGTCTGTCTTTGAGGAAATGAATAATTTCTAACAATCAGATAGAGAATGCCTAATAATGGCATATCGTGAAACTAAATGTTTCCAATGCCTTATATCTTAAAAAATAAATTTACTTTTATCTTTTAATAATAAAAATCCCTGTTTCCCCCCTTTAAAAACATTTTCTATTACGAAGAATCTTTGGGTTAATACATCATTGCCCCACATTTGCATTTCTTAAAATCAGAAAATTAACTTCCTCTTAAAAGATGTGTGCAAAACAAAGTATAAGGTAGACCACTAAACAGAATTTTATGCTAAAATACATAAATATTGGGAATGTTTTTTTCAGATCGGCTATGTTCTACTATGACTGTGGCTAGATTAATCTGTCTTAAAAGAAATTGAAAATACTGGTGGGAAGACAGTGATTGAAATGGAAACTGCCAAGCCTTGGCAGGGTCGAGTTCTGTTCACTGGGGTCTTGATTAGGATCCTTTCTGTTGCCAGTGACTAAAAACCTAACCTAAAGTTGTTGAAGATAAAGAGGGAAGGTATTGGCTCATAGAACCAAACAGTCCAGGAATGGAGGCTCTTTTACATTTTGATGGCTTCAGTGACTCTTCCTTGACTCCATCCTTGGGCACCTTTCCCATTGAGGTCTCAAGATGATGTCCAGACTCCTGGATCTATATGTATTCTGTTCATGAGCAGCAGGAAAAAGCAAGCTGTGCTTTTCTGATTGTTTAATCAAAAGCTTTCAAATTCAGTCTCTTTCTGACAAGGGTCACATGTTCATCCTTGAACTGTGACCAGGGTGTAGTATATACTGATTGGCTCTCCCTGGAGCTAGAGGTGACCCTAATCCTACCTCAACTGCATAGCTTAGAAATGTGGGGTCCCAGTAGTAAGGGGGACACAGATTCTAGGAAGGCAACCAATAAATATCTGTCACAGATACACAATACATGGATGTGTCCTCTCCTTTATGTCCCATAAGGGTGGAGGTGTCCTTTCACACCTTGGGCGGGCCATGAAATTAGGGGAATCAGCCTTTGTTCCTTAGGCTCAGACCTGTAATCCCAGAAAGGTACAAATGAGGCCCCCTCCTAGATCACACACTTCCTTTTTCCCTGGCCTGAACACATATGATGGAGGTGTATGTGGCTCATTGTTTTTAATAGAGTGCTTCAGTGAGCATCCCAGAGTGGCTCTATGTTGCAGCCTAGAAGCCTGACTTCAGGCCTGTCTTGAGCGTCAAGAACAGATGGTACCAAACACAAACTGTTGCCCAGAACAGTTTTCCAAAGCTAGGTGCAGTTGTGTAGGAGAAGTAGAGGCAGCTGGGAGGTAGACACACCTTTCATACATACTCAATCCCAGCTCTGCACTGGAAAGATAAAGACAGTCTTGGATTTCAGTGGCGGCCTTCTTGTACCACGTTTGGTTTTGTTTGTGCTGAAGTTTTGGACTCTTGGTTAGATGTGTCTGATTTGCGCACTTGAGAAATGTTTTCCTTGAGAAATGTTTCCTTGAGACTGCAGAAGTTTGGCTCACTTCAGAAAATCTATCGGGAGTGAGATTTTCGGGAGTAGGAATCACAATAGGCTTGGTCAAAGTGCTCTTAAAATGGTATTCTCAGAAAAGAAGCTGAGTTCTGGCAGGAGCTTTCTCTTCCCAGAGAATATGAGAGCGTTCTCTCTGATTCCCCCTGACACCTTTATGTTACACTGAGGAAGTTAGGGCTTAGGTGAAAGTTTCAGGGGAATTGCCAAATAACTTGTTATTTTAGTACCTTAAATACACAAAGTTCTGAGTGCTTAAATTCTATCATAGGAGGCTGGGCAAGGTGGCTCATGCTTGTAATCCCAGCACTTTGGGAGGCTGAAGCAGAAGGATTGCTTGAGCCCAGGAGTTTGAGACCAGCCCAGGCAACATAGTGAGACTCCATCTCTAGAAAAAATAAAAAATTGGGCTAAACACAGTGGCTCACGCCTGTAATCCCAGCACTTTGGTAAGCCCAGGCAGTGGATCCCTTGAGCCCAGGAGTTCAAGACCAGTGAGTGAAATGGGCAGGGTGTAATACATCAAAGCTGGTGGGGGTCACATGAAACTATAGCATGCATGATCTGTCTAAAGGTGGCAGGTGCTGCTCAGCTCCAGCTGATGGTTGCCAGGTGACACACCTGGGCTCACATTACCCGATCATTCTGTTTTTCAAAGAAGCCTTTATAAAAATTAGCCAGGCGTGGTGGTGTGTGCCTGTAATCCCAGTTACTCGGGAGGCTGAGGCAGGAGAATTGCTTGAACTCAGGAGGCGGAGGTTGCAGTGAGCTGAGGTTGCACCACTGCACTCCAGCCTGCGCAAGAGAGTGAGACTGTCTCAAAACAAACAAACAAACAAAAAAACAAAAAGCACAACAACAACAACAACAACAAAAAAGGAAGGCTGAAATCCTGCTTATTATATATAATCTCTGGATTTTTCAAATGTTGGCAACTGTATAATGTACCATTTTGCAGCCTCTGTTTTACAGCAAAACTGTGGGTTCTTATTGGAAGGCTAGTTATAAAAAATACTTCTTATTCAAAATTGTATTTCTTTTAGAAATGTTTAATTGTGGCAAAATACACATAAAATTTACTATCTTAACCATTTTTTTAAGTGTACAGCTCAGTAGCCTTAAGTACATTCATAATGTTGTGTGACAAATCTCCAGGACTCTTTTCATCTTGCAAAACTGAAACTCTGTACCCATTAAACAACAGCTCCCAACCCCCGCCCCCATTCTCCCAGCACCTTGCAACCACGCTTCTACTTTCTGTCTTTATGAATTTGATGACTTTAGGTACCTGATATACAGTACTTGGCTTTTTGTGACTGGCTTATATCATTTAGCATAATGTCTATTCTCAAGATTCATCCATGTTGTAGCATGTGTCAATTTTCTTCCTTTTTAAGGCTGAATAATATTTCATTGGATGTCTATACCATGTTTTGTTTATCCATGGTCTGTCGATGGACACCAATGTTGCTTCCATCCTTTGGCTATTGTGAATAATGCTGCTATGAACATGGGTGTACAAAATTAAATTTCTTATAAAGTTTTCGTGTCATTAACTTTTCCTCTATAAGTGTGATCTCCCCAACCTGACTGTAAACTGTCTCGGAGTTGGACCTGTAAAATAATGTATTTGAAAGAGCTTTATTGGCCAGGCATGGTGGCTCACACCTGTAATCTCAGCACTTTGGGAGGCTGAGGCGGGCAGATCACGAGGTCAGGAGATCGAGACCATCCTGGCTAACACAGTGAAACCCCATCTCCACTAAAAATACAAAAAAATTAGCTGGGCATGGTGGCCGGCACCTGTAGTCCCAGCTACTCAGGAGGCTGAGGCAGGAGAATGGCGTGAACCTGGGAGGTGGATGTTGCAGTGAGCTGAGATCACGCCACTGCACGCCAGCCTGGGCAACAGAGCGAGACTCCATCTCAAAAAAAAGAAAGAGCTTTATTAATGCAAAACTCCAAATAAAAGTTAATGATTTTAATCTCCTGTGCCCAAGAATTCAAAATAATGTATGTAGCTACTACACCCTCAAGGAGATGGAACACAACCCCCTTTCATTAAGAGTGGGATATACAGAGTGACTTTTTAAAAAAGAGAACTGTATGGAAAGGGGAGAATAAGAGGAATAACTTCACAGTGGAGAAACCTGATCAAACACTACTTCAGCTAGGTGATCCCAGTCAATGGTGGCAGTGAAACATCATGTTAACAGCATGTACCTTTGATTTGATGTGATAAGAAAGGAACTTTATCCCTGTCATCTTCCTCCCCAAAACCAGTAACCTCTGCCTAACCATGACACAAACACTACACATACCCAAATGGAAAGACAAAATGCCTGACCAGTACTCCTTAAAACTGTTAAGGTCATCAAAAACAAGCACAGTCTGAGAAACTGACACAGCCAGAGAGGCCTCTAAGAGACGTGATGACTACATACAATGTGGTATCATGGATGACACTCAGGAACAGAATAAGGACAACGGGCACAACTAAGGGAATTGGAAAAAGCCTGGAGTTTAGTAATGTACCAATATTAGTTCCTTAGTTGTGACAATTGTACCATAGTAATGTTAACAATGGGAAACTGGGTGCAGGGCACACTGGAATGCTCTCTAACAGTCTTGAAACTTCTCTATAAATCTAAAACTACTTAAAATAAAAAGTGTATTAAAAATAATACTGCGGCGAGGCATGATGGGTCAGGTCTGTAACCCCAGCACTTTGGGAGGCTGAGGTGGGTGGATTGGTTGAAGTCAGCAGTTCGAGACCAGCCTGGCCAATATGGTGAAACCCTGTTTCTACTAAAATACAAAAATTAGCTAGGCTTGGTGGCTGGCGCCTGTAATCCCAGCTACTTGGGAGGCTGAGGCAGGAGAATTACTTGAACCCAGGAGGCAGAGGTTGCCGTGAGCTGAGATAGCGCCACTGCACTCTAGCCTGGGTGACAGAGCGAGATTCCATTTCAAATAAATAAATAAATAAATAATAATACTGCACATTGAAAAAGTTAATGATTGTTTTTACCATTATTATTTAAAAGGCTTTGCTCAGGAGGCTGAGGCCAGAGGATCAATCGGGCCCAAGAGTTTAAGACTAGCCTGGGCAACATAGTGAGACCCTGTCTCAAAAAAAAAAAAAAAGCAGAACTTTGAATTCCATGAGTGTAATGCAGTTGGCACCTTTTTATTTCACCAGTAGACTATGAGCTCCTTGAGAATAAGGTTTTTATTGAATCGATCTCTTCATCCTTGAGGACTAGCCTATTGTAGACAGTAAAATAAAGATTTGTTAAATAACTAACTGAATGAACAAGCAGGCACTTACAACAACTTTATCTTTTGTTGTACTCGTTGAGTTAATGTGAATACAGCAGGTCCTTGAATAACTTTGCTTAGTTCCACGTTATTTCATTATACTGTTGATAAGAAAAACAATCGCTTCCCAGCCAAAGCCATTGTCTATGTGGAGTTTGCACAATCTCTCACATCCCAAAGATGTGCACGCGAGGTGAATTGGCATGTCTACACAGTCCCAGTCTGTGAGTGTGTGTGTGTGCGTCTGTGTGTGCGTCTGTGTGCTCTGCAATGGAATGACGCCCTATCCAGGATTGGTGCTCACCTTGTACCTTGAGCTACCGGGATAAACTCCAGCCATCTTCAACCTTCAACTGGAATAGTTGGGTAAGTTATCTTACTTGTTTTTATGAATCTTTCTTAAATGTACATATAGCTCATAATTGTTTCAATGTTTAATATTAGAAGTGTTTGGTCTTTGTTTAGAAGTGTGATGATATTTTTGTGGCCAGAAATATGCCATAGGAATGTAAGCTTTGTTCATATCAATTCACCTACGGTAAAATTGGTTTTGTTATACATCGTTTCCCTTAAAGTCTGTTTCCAAGAACCTATTGATGACATTAAGTGAGGATTACTATACTGTGGAAACTCAAGAAGTCTTTTTCTTTTTTTTGAGACAGAGTCTTGCTCTGTCACCCAGGCTAGAGGGCAGTGGTGCAATCTCGGCTCACTGCAACCTCCGCCTCCCAGGTTCAAGCGATTCTCCTGCCTCAGCTTCCTGAGTAGCTGGGATTACAGGCACCTGCCACCACGCCCGGCTAACTTTTGTATTTTTAGTAGAGACGGGGTTTCACCATCTTGGCCAGGCTGGTCTCAAACTCCTGACCTCGTGATCCGCCCGCCTCGGCCTCCCAAAGTGCTGGGATTACAGGCATGAGCCACCGTGCCCGGCCTCAAGGAGTCTTTTACCTGCAGCTAGGAGCCTAAAGTAACAAACAACAGGAGTTCTTTGGCAGAACTCCTGGGCAAAAGAGAGCAAAGCTTTAAAGTTCAGCTACAGAGACGGAGGCAATGTGAACTACCATTTAGATTTTTTAAAATCCACGTTATTTTAGGGAAATAGAAAGAAATAAACAATTAGTACTTTGATTTTTAAATAATTACTGGTTGGTAATTTTATAATTTAAAAAAAGCACTTTGATTAATATTGAAAAGTTACATTGGTGGGTAACATCCATCCTTTTGCCCTAAAACTTTTATCTCTATTAGTGGGTAACACATTGGCAACATGTCTTTAAAACTGATAACTGTGGTTTTTACTGTGTAGTCCTTAAGGTCAAATGACTTTTCCATGAACTGATTCTAATCAACTGAGCATGATGCCTCGCAATTTTCATGATGACTAAATGTAAATTGATAACATCTCTTTTTCTTCTTGACTCTATTCGAAATTCTATCCTTTCAATCTCCCTTTAATATGATTTTTTAATTGAATAAATAACATTATAGGAAAATAAACACAGAATTTCTTGGTATAGCAACTATCAGTTTTTTGAAATCATCTTCTAAACCTTACCAACACATAGACAGTTTTACAGTTTTAATCAGTGAATATATGCAGTTTGTATTTATCTTTTTTATGAGTATTTCTTTTTCACATATCTATACAATTTCCTACTTATTATTTTAGTGATAACCTGCTATTAGATGAAACTGATGTACCATAGTTTCCATCACCATTTCCCAACTTTTAGGCACTGGGGTTGTTTCTAGCCTTCCACAATTTTAAACAATGCTACTATAAACACCTGTGTAAAATTTTAAAAATTTTCCTTATGCTAATGAACTTGTATAATCATGTTTATAGCTTTGTTACATTTTACCAGATTACCCTCTGAAAATATCCAATGCAGAAAAAAGAAATCTTTTTTTTTTTTTTTTTGAGACAGAGTCTCACTCTGTCGCCAGGCTGGAGTGCAGTGGCACAATCTCAGCTCACTGCAAGCTCCGCCTCCTGGGTTCAAGCGATTCTCCTGCCTCAGCCTCCAGAGAAGCTGGGACTAAAGGCACGCGCCATCATGCCCAGCTAATTTTTGTATTTTTAGTAGAGACGGGGTTTCAACAAGTTGGCCAGGATGGTCTTGATCTGTTGACGTCGTGATCTGCCCATCTCGGCCTCCCAAAGTGCTGGGATTACAGGTGTGAGCCAATGCGCCTGGCCAGAAAAAATAACTCTTATATTTTCACAGGGTTTTACAATTTATAAAGCATTTTCACAAAAATAGCTTTGTTTAATCTTGATATTAGCACCAGGAGATATATTTCTTTCTCTGAAGGTCCATTAGCACCAGGCTTTAAAGGTTTTGCTAATGGAGAGCGAATGAACCCAGAAGGAAGAAGTGACGCAGAAGCAGTGGGAATCAAAGAGTTTGATAAATATGCTGGTAAACCTAAATGAATAATGCTGGTTTAAAAATAACTGATTTCATTTGTTTTGTTTCTTATTTGAAGACAATGAGGAACAAAAATGCTAAATAGTGATAATGTGGAAGGTGGGGGGTGATCTTCTGGCACATTTTACAGTCCTTGTATTGTTCAGAAGGATCCTAATGATATTAACTCTGGACTTCAAAATAGTAATGTGAAAAATTTAAGAGTGCCCAGTAAAAGAATAGAAATAGAATGTGTATTTTCCAAATCAGTAGAGTAAAACAAGGAATAAAGAAAGCTTGGATATTCTACAAAGCAGGAAAGGAGACAAAGAAACAAAGAAAAAGCACAGGAATAAGACATATGCCTAAATTTACCAGCAATCACAGTAATTGAAAACAGATGAAAGTCATTTATTAAAAGGCAAATACTATAAAATTGCATTAGAAATCATCTATCAGCTATTTTCAAGAGATACACAATGCAAAACAACATAGGAAGTTTGGATGCAAAGATACATAGCAGGTCCTAGAATAACTTTGTTATAACATTCACGAGAAAACAATAATTAATTCTTGGCCAGGCTGTGTGGAGTTTGCACATTTCCTAATGTCTGTGTGGGGTTTCTCTGGGTACTCCAGTTTCCTCTCACATCCCAAATATGTGCATGTGAGGTGAATTGGCATGTCTACATAGTCCCAGTCTGCGTGTGTGTGTGTGTGCGTGCATGCATGTGTGTGTGTTCTGTGATGGAATGGCATCCTGTTCAGGGTTGGTGCCCACCTCGCACCCTGAGCTGATGGGAAAAGCTCCAGCCACCTGCAAACTTGAACTGGAATAGTTGGGCAAATACTTATTTTACTTGCTTTTATGAATCTTTCTTAAATGTATCTATTGCTCACATTTGTTTCAATGTTTAATATTGAATAGAAGTGTTTTCATCTTTATTTATAAGTTTGATGATATTTTTATGACCAAAAATATGTTCTACGAACTTGTCTCTTGTTTATATCAACTAGGCTATGATAAAATTGGTTTCACTTCCCTTAAATTGCAATTTCTAAGAACGAATCCATACTAGTCAAAAGAAAGCTCATGTACCAATATTAATATCAGAAAAAAGGGAGAATTATGTTAGAAAGTATTGTAAGAATAAAGAGGTTCTCAGGCTGGGCGCAGCGGCTCAAGCCTGTAATCCCAGCACTTTGGGAGGGTGGTTCATGAGGTCAAGAGATCGAGACCATCCTGGCCAACATAGTGAAACCCCGTCTCTACTAAAAATACAAAAATTAGCTGGGCTTGGTGGTGCACGCCTGTAGTCCCAGCTACTCAGGAGGCTGAGGCAGGAGAATCGCTTGAACCCGGGAGGCAGAGGTTGCAGTGAGCCGAGATTGCGCCACTGCACTCCAGCCTGGCAACAGAGCGAGACTCTGTCTCAAAAACAAAAACAACAACAACAACAACAAAAAACAAAGAATAAAGAAGTTCTCTATTAGGTATAAAACAGTATCTCATAGTAGTTTTATTTTTTATTTCATTAATTTTAGCACCAGTGAAACTAAATATTTTTTGGAAGTAGTAGTTTACTAAGAAGTGGAGACTTCACTGATTTGCCTTTTTATTTTAGGGATTAATCATTTTGATTACAAATCTTTTCCACCCCAATCCTAGAGCTTTTATCTTAGTTTTATAGTTTCCATTGTTACAAAGTTGAAATTTTTTTGTAATGGAACCTGGTTACCTTGGCATGTCCATTTTTTTCCTTCAACTCACTATTTTTTTTCTGAAGTATTTTAAATTACAGACAACATGACACACTATCACTAATACTTCCATATGCATCTCAAAAAAGATCATTTTCTTACATAGCAAAATATTATCACACCAAATACAATGAAATTAACAAGAATTATTATTATTTTTGAGATAGAGTCCTGCTCTGTCACCCAGGCTGGAGTGCAGTGGCGTGATCTTGGCTCACTGCAACCTCTACCTCCCGGGTTCAGCGATTTTCCTGCCTCAGCCTCCTGAGTAGCTAGGACTACAGGTGCATGCCACCAGGCCCGGCTAATTTTTTGCATTTTTAGTAGAGACGGGGTTTCACCGTGTTAGCCAGGATGGTCTCAATCTCCTGGCCTCATGATCCGCCTGCCTCAGAGAATTTTTTTATTATCTAATTTCCAGTCTACATTGAAATTTCCCTACTTATCTCCCAAATTTCCTTCACACATCTATGGCAAAACCAGTTTCCAAACTAGGACCATGCATTCCATTGGGGTGGTATGTATCTCAAATCTCTTAATTTGCAACAAAATGTTTTTTAATAAGTCTTTTAAAATCTACAATAGTCTTTGCTTTAATGATAATGATCTCCTGAGAGCCTGTGCCAGTGTCTTGTAACAGTTTCTAGCTTCTGGATTTGCCTTTTCCAACCCTGTGTTGCTGTTAGCTTAATCCTTGTAATTCCTGTGAACTGAAAGTTACATCTAAAGGTATGATTAGATTCAAGTTCAACTTTTTTCCGTTTTTAAGAAAGCAAAACTGCATAAGAGATAATGTTGGGTACTTCATGCTAAGACCAGAGACAAGCAATATCTTATCTCAGTGATTGCTAATTTCTTATGCTACTTTGGGTCATAAAATTCCCCTTTAAAAGTAGAGGTAATTACATTTCTTGCTTCTTCTTTTATTGCTTCCCGAAATATCTTTCTGAAATTTTATCCACCAGAACTTACAGTGGTAAGTAAAGTAAAGTGTAGATTTGCTTTTTTCTTCCTACTGATATCCAAGTCTCCACAGTATTCATTTAAATGGTCTTGGTGGTGGCCGGGCACGCTGGCTCACGCCTGTAATCCCAGCACTTTGGGAGCCCGAGGCGGGCGGATCGCGAGGTCAGGGGATAGAGACCATCCTGGCTAACACGGTGAAACCCCGTCTCTACTAAAAATACAAAAATTAGCCGGGCGCGGTGGCGGGCGCCTGTAGTCCCAGCTACAGTCCTCAGAGGCTGAGGCAGTAGAATGGCGTGAACCCGGGAGGCGGAGCTTCCAGTGAGCTGAGATCGCGCCACTGCACTCCAACCTGGGCAACAGAGAGAGACTCCGTCTTAAAAAAAAAAAAAAAAAAAAAAAAAGGTCTTGGTGGTTTACACAAATGTTTATATTTGCCAAAACACATGGAATTGTACCCTGGAAAAGGGTGAATTTTACTGTATGTTAATTATGCTTCAATAAATCTGACTTAAAAAATGGTCTTGGCCAGGCGCAGTGGCTCACACCTGTAATCCCAGCACTTTGGGAGGCCGAGGCGGGTGGATCACAAGGTTAGGAGTTCGAGACCAGCTTGACCAACATGGTGAAACCCCGTCTCTACTAAAAATACAAAAAATTAGCCAGGTGTGGTGCCACGTGCCTGTAATCCCAGCTACTCAGGAGGCTGAGGCAGAAGAATCACTTGAACGCGGGAGGTGGAGGTTGCAGTGAGCCAAGATCGCACCATTGCACTCCAGTCTGGGTGACAGAGTGAGACTCCATCTCAAAAAAAAAAAAAAAAAAAAAGTCTCCACTTGAATAGTCAATTATTCAAAGATACACAAATGGCCAATAAACACATGAAATGATGCTACTAATAATTATTGAAATGCAAATCAAAATTACAATGAGGTATCACTTCACACTCATCAGGATGGCTACCATAAAAAAACATAAAATAACAAGTGTTGGCAAGCATATGTAGAAATTGAAACCCTTATGCACTATTGGTGGGAATGTCAAATGGTACAACCACTGTGGAAAACAGTATGGCAGTTCCTCAAATAATTAAAAATTGAATTACTGTATGATCTAATAATTCCACTTCTGGGTATATACCCAAAAGAATTGAAAGCAGGGTCCAGAAGTGACATTTGTACACCAATATATATAGCCACACTATTCACAATAGCTAAAACGTGAAAGTAACCCAAATGTCCATCAATAGATGGATAAGCAAAATGTGATGTGTATTGTAATGAATCTTATTCAACCTTAAAAACGACCTGAATTCTGATATATGCTACAGTGGTCCCCAACCTTTTTGGCACCAGGGACCAGTCTCACGGAAGACAGTTTTTCCACAGACAGGAGTGGGGTGATGGTTTTGGGATGAAACTGTTCGACCTCACATCATCAGGCATTAGATTCTCATAAGGAATGGGCAAGCTAGATCCCTTGCATGGGGCAACCTACATCTTTCTCATGGGCAGTTCAAAATACGGTTTGTGCTCCTATGAGAATCTAATGCCCCCACTGATCTGAGGCCCAGCTCGGGTGGTAATGTTCACTCACCTGCTGCTCACCTCCTACTGTGCCACCAGGTTCCTAACAGGCCAGGTATGCATACTGGTCAGTGACCCAGGGGTTGGGGACTGAGCTGCAACATGGATGAACCTTGAGGACATTATAAGTGAAATGAGCCAGTCACAAAAAGATAAATACTGTATGATTCCACTTATATGAGGTACTTAGTAAAAAATTATAGAGACAGTAAGTAGAATGTTGGTTGTCAGGGTTTGGAGGATGTGGGGAGGAAAGGGTTATTGTTTAATGGGTAGTTTGTTTTGCAAAGTGAAAAGATTTGTAGAGGTTGAAAGGTGGTGACGGTTGTACGTGAGTATACTTAACACCACTGAAATGTACACTTGGTTAAGATAGTAAATTCTTTTTGAGACGGAGTCTCGCTCTGTTGCCCAGGCTGGAGTGCAGTGGTGCGGTCTCGGCTCACTGCAAGCTCCGCCTCCCGGGTTCATGCCATACTCCTGCCTCAGCCTCCTGAGTAGCTGGGACCATCGGCGCCTGCCACCATGCCCGGCTAATTTTTTGTGTTTTCAGTAGAGACGGGGTTTCACCGTGTTAGCCAGGATGGTCTTCATTTCCTGACCTCGTGATCCACCCGTCTCGGCCTCCCAAAGTGCTGGGATTACAGGCGTGAGCCACCGCGCCTGGCCAAGACAGTAAATTTTATGTGTATTTTACAATTTTTAAAATAAAAAAAGGTCTTTCGTCTTTTCCCATTGTTTTATTACATTTGCTTTGCCAAGTAAGACATTCCTATATAATTTTAATGTTTTGTTCCATTAGTTATTTTAACTATTTTGTAATAACTGACACTTTCCGGTTTTTTTTAACCTGGTACAGCAAGAGACTATTTCTCACTGGTCTTCCCCACTTGCATCCTTTGGCACATACATTTATGTATTAGGTTCTGTAAATTATTTGCTTGGGATTGTATGACTGGAGAAACATTTCCTACATTTTTCCAAGGCAGGCAGAGGCAAATTATACCACTACAGTAATTCCAAATTTGTGTTTCATTTAAATGTCCTCCACTATTGTTTCAGTAATTTTTATGTATGTTTCTCTAGGCCCTTAAATGTGATATCCCTCCATTAAGTTTGTTTCCAAGAAAGCAATATTCTCAGTTACTTCTGAGACAGGTAACTTCTCTTTCCCTTATTTTTAAAGATATCTATTGCTGGGAGCACTGATCGGAATGGATTACCTCTACATTCTTCATATTTGCAGACTGCTTTTAGTTTTAGTTCCCAGACTTTTGGTCTTAAAGACGCCTTTACACTAAAAAATTACGGGGGACCTCAAAGAGCGTGTACGTGAGTTATAATTATCAACATTTACTCAATTAGAAATTAAAATTGGTATTTCTAAGCGCAAGAATACACATGCGCACATTCCATTAACCGCCACTGCAATGGCGTCATCACATGTTATGTGATCACTGGAAATTACTACACGAACGTTAGAGAGAGAATGAGAATGAAAAGGAAAATAGTTTTGACACGAACTGACCCCGCTTCCTGGGTCTCCAATCCACCCCACCACTACCCCCATTCCAGGAGTCCCAGGATCAAGCTTTGGGAAGCGCCATCCGTCACAGGTCTTGGTCTCCCCTTCCAAAAGTCAGTGCCTCTCCAGGCTGCCCATCCCCAGCAAAGATCCGGAAGTCCGCTGCCCCTGGCAACAGCACCCAGCACCTAGCCCTCTGCTTCGCCGTACCGCACCCGGAAGTCGGAGCTGCGCACGCACCGCGGGACTCTGATTTCCCGGCGTGCCCCAGGAGAGCGGCGTGGACGCGTGCGGGCCTAGAGGCCCACGTGATCCGCAGGGCGGCCGAGGCAGGAAGCTGTGAGTGCGCGGTTGCGGGGTCGCATTGTGGCTACGGCTTTGCGTCCCCGGCGGGCAGCCCCAGGCTGGTCCCCGCCTCCGCTCTCCCCACCGGCGGGGAAAGCAGCTGGTGTGGGAGGAAAGGCTCCATCCCCCGCCCCCTCTCTCCCGCTGTTGGCTGGCAGGATCTTTTGGCAGTCCTGTGGCCTCGCTCCCCGCCCGGATCCTCCTGACCCTGAGATTCGCGGGTCTCACGTCCCGTGCACGCCTTGCTTCGGCCTCAGTTAAGCCTTTGTGGGCTCCAGGTCCCTGGTGAGATTAGAAACGTTTGCAAACATGTCCCGGATCGAAAAGATGAGCATTCTGGGCGTGCGGAGTTTTGGAATAGAGGACAAAGATAAGCAAATTATCACTTTCTTCAGCCCCCTTACAATTTTGGTTGGACCCAATGGGGCGGGAAAGACGGTAAGTCTTCAGTAGCCGCCTTCAGTTTACAGGTCGCTACATCTTTCGGAGAATAAAATGGGAAGTTGAGAACTCTCCTTAGGAGCAGAAGCGTCCCTAGGGCTCCACAGGTGTAGGCCCTTAAAGTGCCTTAGGGTGTGGCCTGCAGGCTACAGCGACCTTAGGAGTTTGCCTGAAGCAGTCTCGGAAGGATGTCCGGACCTGGCCTGGGGACAAGGTTTACTTAAGAATCCCACGATACCGGGAGCTGTCGCCGCTCACTCAGAGTTCAGTTCCCACTGGATGCCCTTTGGTCTGTATTGATGTTTTTAACGCTGTCTCCTTGCTTTCAAAGCATAGCATTCACTTCCCAGTAGTTGTCCCATACAAGAATTCCTTTAAAAGTTATAAAATGATACATACATGACTAAAGAGTTTCCAAGTATGCCAACTGTCCAGACATAATACATGGAAAATAAATAAATTCAAAATGTAACTGATGTAGTGGGGCTTAACTTGGAAAACTTCTCTTCTTAAAACTCAGTCAAAAATTTAACGTTGGTGCACGACTGACTTTTTTTTTTTTTTAAAGCCGTGGGAATATTTATAAATTTGAATGGAAAGAATAACCAAGAGGCATTCTGGTCAGGAATAGTGGCTTAAGAAAAAGCAAGACGATGTCAGTATAGCAGGGAGAAGAGTCTAAAGGAAGGATTTGTGAAGAGTGTAGAAAGAGAGAAGGTTGAGAATTGAATGCCAAACTTGTTTACTTTTGTTTTTGTAAAAATGTTATTTGTTGAATGCTTGTTATGTACTTAGGATTGTACTAAATACTAGCAGAAGGGAGAGTAGTACTGTATAGTGTTTATGAGGACTGGCTGCCTCAATACAGCTTTTTCGCTTCATTTATTAGTTGTCTGATTGTTTGCGAGTGACCTCACTGCTCTGTGCCTTAGTTTTCTCATTTATAAAATGGAGATTAAAAATAGTTTCTACAGCTGGGCACGGTGGCTCACGCCTGTAATCCCAGCACTTTGGGAGGCCGAGGCGGGTGGATCACCTGAGGTCAGGAGTTCGAGACCAGCCTGGCCAACGTGGCGAAACCCCATCTCTAATAAAAATACAAAAATTAGCCAGGCGTGGTGGCGCATGCCTGTAATCCTAGCTACTGGGGAGGCCGAGGCGGGAGAATCGCTTGAACCGGGGAGGTGGAGGTTGCAGTGAGCCGAGATCACGCCATTGCACTACACCAGCCTGGGTGACAGAGGGAGACTCTCTCCCCCCACAAAAAAAAAAAAAAAAAAAAAAAAGTTTCTACAGGCTGGGCATGGTGGCTGACGACTGTAATCCGAGCCGTTTGGGAGGCTGAGGCTGGGGGATTGCTTGAGCCCAGGAGGTCGAGAGGTCGAGGCTGCAGTAAGCCATGATCATGCAGCTGCACTGCAGCCTGGGCAGCAGAATGAGACCCTGTCTCTTAAACAAAAAGTTCCTACAGCCTGGAGTTAATGTGAGAATTAAATAAATGTATGTAAGAGTGCTTAGTACAATACAGTACTTAACTGTTAGCCATTCTTATTATTAACTTAAATTAGTTTAAAGGGTTTCAGTTGAAAATAATTATTTTTTTCCCAAGTAACAATTCTTCATATTAGGATAACTTCTTAGTTATATAGCATTTCTGTGAACTTACAGCATTAACACTTAATCATATTTTTATTACAGGTTTTATAATGTCAGATTTTATCTTTTATAGTTTCCATGATAAATAATATTTTTGTAATGAATTCATATTTTATGGTAAACTTCTGTGGTTCTCTTATAACGAAATAATGTAATTTTCTATTTCTTTAGACCATCATTGAATGTCTAAAATATATTTGTACTGGAGATTTCCCTCCTGGAACCAAAGGAAATACATTTGTACACGATCCCAAGGTAATGGTGCTAGTACAATTTTGTATTTTTATAATTATAAAAATGATAATAGCTTATTATAGAAAACTTGGCACTGGAAAACTATAAAGAGAAATGAAAGTCAGCCCCACACAGTTTTAGCACCCAGTAGTAACCGTTGTTGACATTTTCATGTGTTTTCCTCCTCCTTTAAATACTGTTTTATATAGCTGATGTCATACTCTTAATTTTGTATTCTGGGTTTTTTTCCCCACTTAACATTATCATGAAGTCCTATGTCATTAAAAAACTATCATCTGGGTGTTTGGTATGTAAGTGTTTCTTTTAATCTTTATACTGCTTTGTATGTCTGAGATATTTTCTACTTAAAGTGCATGAACACTTTAGTAGTTATGTAATTTTCTTACATTAGATTGCTTTCAGTTTTTCATTAAAATGTACCATGATAAGCCAGGCTTGGGGGTGTGTGCCAATACTCCCAGATAGCTCTAGAGGCTGAGATGGGAGGATTGCTTCAGCCCAGGAGTTCAAGGCTAGCCTGGACAATATAGTGAGACCCACTGTCTAGAAAAAAAAGTATCATGATAAAAATCTTTGTGTATGAATCATTGTTTGAATTATGGTGTTTATACTATTCGTATGTGTAAAGGACATAGAATTTGGTCTATAGGTTTGTTTTTGCACATATAGAAGTGAAACAACAATACACACACACACACACACACACACACATATATATATAGTTTATTCGTTTTTAGTGGGGTCATGTGCCTCTCTAGCCGCTCCCTGACCCCAGTTCCACTATGTTTTCGTTACGTATTCTTCCAAGCTTTTTTCTGCTTATAAAACCATGTCTACGTGAGCACATAAATGCATTCACACATACATATTTTAGCACATTAATATAATTTTATACTTCTATTTTATTGTTTTTAATTAGTAAATTGTATTCCATTGAGTTTATATCCTGTAGTTTATTAAATGACCCCCTGTTGATTATTATTTGTTTCTACCTTAGTGTGATTAAAGATAACTCTGTAATTATGAAAATATTTATGAATTTTCCTCTTAGAAATGTAATAGTATTTAGTACATTTACTGAGTCCTCTCCATAATGACTGTTTCCCACCTTCTCTCTCCTTAAATCTACAATCTACTTTCCTTAATTGATGATCTTGCTTTGTACTTTATTGAGAAATAGGAAGAATCAAATGAGAATTCCCTTATTTTCCAATCATCACATCTACGAAACTACTGTACATACGTGCCCATACTGTTTTTTCTTGGATAAATTATTTGTTGTTTTATCTAAACATGAACCAGCTCCTTGGAGGCTAGATCTCATTGATCCCTCTTATCCACCCAAGGATTTTGCCCTTCAGTTTTTCCATCTCTCTCCTGGATCAGCAGTTTCTCTTGATGGATCATTCACATCAGCATATAAACATGCTCTGGTATCTCTAGTCTTCAAACAAAAAACTCTCCCTTTACTCCAATTTACCCTCTAGCCATTACCTTTTCTCTGTTCCAATATATTTCAAAATTCATAAGATTTGTATGTCCTCATTGTCTTTACTTCATTGACTCCCATTTTTCCCTCAATCTACTCCATTCAGGTTTTCTTTTTTTCCTCCACTAAAAGTGCCTTTGTAAGGTCACCAATAATCTCAATGTGCCAGATAGAGTGGTCAGTTTCTAATTCTCATTAACATCTTGTCAGATTTGACACAGTTGGCTATTTCTTTTTTAAAATATATTTCCTTCTTGGCTTTTGTGACACTATAATCTCATAGTTTCCTTCTTTCTCACTGGCTATACTTTAGTCTTTGTTGGGTCTACCTTTGCTTGATTTCTTTTTTTTTATGAGACGGAGTCTTGCACTGTTGCCCAGGCTGGAGTGCAGTGTGGCATGATCTTGGCTTACTGCAACCTCTGTCTCTCAGGTTCAAGCTATTCTTGTGCCTTAGCCTCTTGAGTAGCTGGGATTACGGGTGTGCCACCACACCCAGCTAATTTTTGTATTTTTAGCAGAGACGGGGTTTCATCATGTTGGCCAGGCTGGTCTCAACCTCCTCACCTCAGGTGATCCACCTGCCTCAGTCTCCCAAAGTGCTGGGATTACAGATGTGAGCCACTGCACCCAACCTGCTTGATTTCTAAAAGCCAGTGTGACACAAGAGTTGGCCATCTTTGCATTAACCCTCTTCCCTATCTCTCTTGGATGAGCTTATTCAGTCTAACGGCTTTAAGTACTGGTTATGTGCTGGTAACTACCACATTTATATATTTGACCCTGACTTCTTTCCTTAACTCTAGACATATATGTCTAGCTGTTTGTTTGGATATTTAATGGGCATCTCAAATTTAACATGTTCAAAACAGAACTCTTGATTCCTTGTACCCACTTCCTGCCTACATTCTCAGCTCTGTTACTACCTCAGTACCCCACCCCCGCCAGTTTTGTAAATGATGTCATCATCCCTACATAAGCAATTCTTACCTACCCTTCTAAAATATGTCAGAATTTGTCTACTTCATTCCATCGGCCACTGTGTTCCTGTTCCAAGCCACCATCATATTCCCTTTCAACTATTAGAATCGTCTCCTAACTTATTTTCCTGCCCTCATTCTTGAAGCTCTCTCTTTCTCACAGAGTAATCAGAGTTGTCTTTTAAATATTCATTCAAGAGGGAATGAGTTGTTCAAAATCTGGGAAGAAAACATTTCATTCAGTCTAGTTGCAGAGTCCCTGAGCATGGTTGGTGTGTTCAAGGAATGACAAGGAAGAACAAGGGAAAATGGTAGAAAATAAAGTTAGAAAGATAGGAGAGACTAGATCCTGTAGGTCCTTGGATTCTAGTCTTATTTAAATAGGAATCTGTCTATTGGGAGATTTTGAGCAGGGAAAGGACATGGTCTGATTTATCTTTTAAAGTGCTCAGTCTGGTTGCTGAGAGAAGACTGTCCGTAGGTAGCAAAGATAGGGCAGAGACAAATTAAGAAGATTTTGTGATGATCCAGGTGAGAAATATAGGTGGCTTCATTAAGGTAGTGGTAGAATGGTGAGAAATGTTTGGATTTAGGATGTATTTTGAAGATAGAACCAACAAATTAGCTAATGGTTTGGATAATGGTGTATGAAAGAAGTAAAAGCATCAAGCATAACTCCAAAGTTTTTGGCTTGAACAACTGGATAAAATAGTTTTGTCATTTATTATAATAGGGGCACTATGGAAAAAATATTTGGGTGGATCTGGTTTAAACATGCAAATTAGGGATATGTGTTAAATATCCAAAGGAGATGTCCAGTTGGCAAGCAGAAGTCTGTTCAGGAAAGAGATTAGGACTGGAGAAAGAAAATTAGGAATCATTAGTGTATACAGGTAGTTCCACATAGTTAATTTTTAAAGCCTGATGAGATCAAATAGAGAGTGAATATGGAAAAGATATTCAAGACCTTAACCTAGAGCACTAGAGCCGATGATGCCTTTAGAAATTGGGAAGAGGAGGAGAAGCTAGTAAAAGAGCAATTCGTTAAGTAAGGAAAACTGAGAGAGTGGTGTCTTGGAAGACAAGAGAATAAAGTGTTATAAGGAGGAAATCATCAACTGTGTCAAATATGTTGATAGCTCAAGAAAGAAGAGGAGTGTTTGGATATGTGGAGTCCGTTGTTGCTCTTGACAAAACCAGTTCCAGTAATCAGAGAAAAGATAAAGAAGTGAAACAGAATTATTTTATGAATTTTGTTGTAAGTGGACACAGACATAGGACAGTAGCTGAAGAGGTTAACAGGATAAAGGAAAGTTTTGTTGTTGTTGTTTTATTGTGTTTTTAAAAGTGGGATATACTAGAGCATTTGTAGACTGTTGGGAATGACTCTGGACAGAAACATTGATGCAGGAGAGGGGATAATTACAGAGCACAATTCTTGAGTAGGCAAAAAGAGATAAGATCCATTGCCCAACTGGAGGGGATACCAGGAACATCCACTGTTATCCATTGTAACAGGGATTTAGGCAGATTATATGATTGGAAACTTTAGTGGTGAAAGAATGAGTAAGTTCTCTTTTGATTGCTTTTATATTCTCAAATGAAAAAAGAAATGAAGTTACTGGTTGAGAGTGGCAGAAGGGGTTGATTGAGCCTAGAAAACATAGAATAGTTTTTAACCTCAGTAAGTAAATTGATTAAGGGAGGTGTTCTGGGATTACATGACAGTGTCAGGGGTTTTGTGAAAATTTAAAGAGAGACCAGCCATCATGGTTATGTATGTTTTTTCAGTCTTGTTCAGCCCAAGCACTGAATAAATTGGAAAGTTGCATTTATCCATGGTTGGGGATTTGGTAAATACTATGAAGGTAATGAGAAGCAAGGAATTGAGTACCGATATGGTTTGAATTTGTATCTGCCCAAATCTCATGTCAAATTGTAACCCCCATTGTTGGAGGAGGGGCCTGGTGGGAGGTGATTGAATCATGGAGGTGGATTTCCCCCTTGCAGTTCTTGTGATAGTAAGTTCTCATGAGATCTGATTGTTTAAAAGTGTGTAGCACCTCCCCCTTCACTCTCTTCCTCCTGTTCTGGCCGTGTAAGATGTGCCAGCCTCCTCTTCACCTTCTGCCATGATTGTAAGTTTCCTGAGGCCTCCGCAGTCATGCTTCCTGTACAGCCTGCAGAACCGTGAGCCAATTAAACCTCTTTTCTTTAACCAGTTTCAGGTATTTCTTTGTAGCAGTGAGAAAACAGACTAATGCAGAAAGTTGGTACCGAGAGTAGGGTATTGCTATAAAGATAGCTGAAAATGTGGAAGTGACTTTGGAACTGGGTAATGGGTAGAGGTTGGAACAGTTTGGAGGGCTCAAAAGAAGACAGGAAGATGAGGAAAAGTTTGGAACTTCCTAGAGACTTGTTAAATTATTTTGACCAAAATGCTGACAGTGATATGAATAATGAAGTCTAGGCTGAGGAGGTCTCAGATGGAGATAAGGAGCTTACTGAGAACTGGAGTAAAGGTCACTCTTGCGATGCTTTAGCAAAGAGACTGGCAGCATTGTGCCCCTGCTCTAGGAATCTGTGGAACTTTGAACTTGAAAGAGATGATTTAGAGTATTTGGTGGAAGAAATTTCCAGGCAGCAAAACTTTCAACATGTGGCCTGGCTGCTTCTAGCAGTATATGCTCATATGTGCAAGCAAAGAGATCTGAAACTGGAACTTATATTTAAAAGGGAAGCAGAGCATAAAAGTTTGGAAAATTTGCACCCTGATCATGTGGTAGAAAAGAAAAACCCATTTTCTGGGGAGGAATTCAAGCCGGCTGCAGAAATTTGCATAAGTAAAGAGGAGCAGAATGTTTAATAGCCAAGACACTGGGGAAAATGGCTAGAAGGCATTTCAGAGATCTTCACAGCAGCCCCTCCCATTACAGGACACTACTCCCTGTGTTTCAGCCACTCCAGCTCCAGCCATGGCTAAAAGGGCCCCAGATATATCTTAAGCTGCTGCTCCAGAGGCTGCAAGCTGTAAGCCTTGGCAGCTTCCACATGGTGTTAAGCCTGGGGTTGCGCAGAGAACAAGAGTTGAGGCTTGGGAGCCTCCACCTAGATTTCAGGGGATGTATGGAAACGTCTGGATGTCCAGGCAGAAGTCTGCAGGACTTGTTGCAGGAGGGACCTGGTTGGGGTGATTGGATCATGGGGGTAGATTTCCCCCTTGCTGTTCTCATGATAGTGAGTAAATTCTCATGAGATCTGGTTGTTTAAAAATCTGTCACAATTCCCCCTTTACTCTTTTTCTTCTGCTCCAGCCATGTAAGATGTGCCAGCATCCCCTTTGCCTTCTGCCATGATTGTAAGTTTCCTGAGGTCTCCCCAGTCTTGCTTCCTGTATAGCATGTGGAACTGTGAGCCAATTAAACCTCCTTTCATTATAAGTTACCCAGTTTCAGGTTTTTTTTTTATAGCAGTGCAAGAATGTACTTATACAACCATAATCTTAATATATTGACTTAATCAATCCTCCTGTATGTAATCAATGTCTCATCGTTGCATCAGGGCCCTAGCACCTCATATGGGCTGACTCCATCCCTGTATGCCAGTCTTCCTTATCCTGCGTAGGCTCTTGACTCTTCATTCTGACTCCCTCATGGGATGCTTTTCCATTCTGTATACACTTTGACTTCTGGTGCTAGATCATGTCCTCATTCCCCGCCCTTCTCTGATACCAGGTGGCCTCTTGCAGGGATGCCCACTGTACTCTGACCTGAATCTCCCCAGATCTGTGTCACTGAGAGGGTCACTCTTCTCAGTCTGATACTTTATACCAGGTGGCTTCTTGCAAGAATGCCGTCTCTACTCTATGATCTGACTTCCCCCTAGCCGACTTAACCCTCAGGTGGGCCCCCTTCTCATCATTATCAGGCTCTGAATCCCCACACTATTCCCTGGCGTGGACACTCTGCTTCTGAGCTGGATCCCCCCTATTTGTGGATTCCTCTTTCATCCTGCTGGAACTCTGATACCATTGGACTCTTGAAACTCTGTCTATGCCAAGCTGTTTCCCCATGAGGGTACCCTTCTCAGCCTACTCAAGCTCATTTATTCCACTCTAGGCTGAGTTATAGGTGCCTTAACCTTCAGCTGGCATGAACACGCACCTTCTTCTGCCCCACCTAATGGTTTTACAACTAGATTGTTTGGAGAAAGAAGGGTTTTTCTTATTTTTTATTTTATTCTTTTTGATAGAAATTGTTCTGAAGTATAATACACATTTCTTTGTTTTAATAATTCAATCTAAATTACACTTCACTTTTGAAGTGACTCTTCTTCAATAAGAGTGTCAACAACAATGTAGTGATAGAAATGCTACAAGATAGCCCTTGCTTGAATTCTATTTACTAATTTGATGTTTGCCGGGTAGCTAGGTCCTCGAAAAGTAGATGCCATGGAGAAAGAGTATGTGTATTTGGCTTGCTACTCAGGAACACTGTAAACAAATTAATTTTTTGCTGCATAAATACATAGCTCCTTAGTTCAACTACTGTGGATTAAACCTTCAGCAGAATGCTCTCCTTATGATGAAATGACAGAGTCAAGTCTGGGCTTTCAAAGCTTTATACTGACCTCTGGCCACCTCCTCATTGAAATGTCTGTATCCTAAGAGGCTGTTTCTGAGTAGCCAGTTCAGCGACTTCTTCCTCTTTACCTCCATCCTCAACCCTTGTCCAGGCTGCCTTCCTATCTCTCCTCGATTATTCCCTGCTTCATGTCTTGTCTCAGTTCACTCTGTTCACCCTAAAGACAAAATAATTCTTCTAAAATGCATATCTACTTCATGCAATTCCCCTGGTTCAAACCATTTAGTGCCATCACCTTAAATCCAAAAGCCTTACCAAGTTTAGAAGGCTGTTAATTTCTGAAACATTTTAGGTTGATACTCTTCTTTTCCCTACTTTCTATGCCAAACATTCTGAAATTTCTGTAGTCACGTAGTGACTCAGATCTTCTCATCTGGTTAACTTCTACCCAGATTGGTAGAAGTTTCATTTAAACATTCACTTCCTTTAGACTACCTTCCCTGAGCTGTCCTAGATAGGTTAGATGCTCCTGCTTTGTACTCCCAGATTATCCTGTGCTTATGATGGTGTTTAGCACACCTTGTCTACATTTAACCTATCTTGCATGCTTCAAAGGAAAAAAAGTCTGTCAGTTTGAACCAAAACAACACATGAAACCTACAAAGTGCCTGTAAATATTTGTTGAATGATTAATTGAATTAGTATCAAAGTTAAATTCATGCCAAGAAGTCATTAAAAAGTCAGCAAAGGATCTTTAATGATTTTTTTTTTTTAAAGCAGAATCCAGTACTTGTGATTTGGGTTGCAACAAAATAATGAGTATCACACTTATACTCGCAAGATGAATAACTGTAACACTGGAAAAGTATGTGAAACAACTATTTTCAGGCATTGGACCACAGATAATGCAGGGCTATATTCTTTGAGAAAGGAGAAACATAAAAGGTGATTCTGCATTCATTCCAGCTTTCTACCTGGGAACACTTTGTAAACTTTGGCACATGGAATTGGAATCCAGTAGAGAGCTGGGCAGAATTGGGCATCACTAGGCAGATGAAACAAAGATAGGATTTTGGATTTGCTAAAGTGACTGGAAATTGTAGAGCAGAGTACTGAAGTAGGGTTGTTGTGCAGAGATGGTGTACCAGAAATCTGCATAAGGATCTTTTGAGTCTTTGGCCAAATACTAAGCTATCCATGTATAGGATGAGATTTAATGAGGGCTAGTAGAGAACAACTACCAAGGTGGCAAGTGGGGCTGTGAGTGTTGTATTCTAAAGGTCACACAATGCTGTGAGACATTTGAGTCCTGATGTGCCAGAATGGAGTGACCTTGTGGAACTCTCCAGTGTTCACTTGAGACCTCAGAAAGGCCCACCTAACAAATACTGAAACCAGGTTTTGATAGAATCAAGCTGAGTTGCCAGTAAATTAACTGGCTGCTAGAACAAAACTCAAGACTTTTTAAAGGAAGCCTACTCAGTCGAAGCTCTCAATGTGGCATCTACAATGTGCAGAATATAATTTTAAAAATTAATGGGAATATGCAAAAGAAAATGTGGTCTATACCTGAGAAGGGAAAAGTGAGTAGAAGCAGATCCAGAGATGACAGATTTTGGAATTAGCAGACAAGGATTTTTTTTTAAATTTTTTTTAAATTTTTTTTTTTGAGATGGAGTCTCACTCTGTTTCCCAGGCTGGAGTGCAGTGGCACAATCTCGGCTCACTGCAACCTGTGCCTCCCAGGTTCAGGCAATTTTCCTGCCTCAGCCTCCCGAGTAGCTGGAACTACAGGTGCCCACGACCATGCCCGGCTGATTTTTTATTTTTTTATTTTTTATTTTTAGTAGAGACGGGGTTTCACCATATTAGCCAACCTGGTCTCGAACTCATGACCTTGTGATCCGCCTGCCTCGGCCTCCCAAAGTGCTGGGATTGCAGGCATGAGCCACGACGCCCGACCGGATTTTTTTAAAGCTATGATAGATAAGCTCAAGGACTTAAAGGAAAAGATGGACATAATGTGTGGGAAGACATCTAAACAGAGTAATAAAAACTATAAAAAAAGACCCAAGAAGCTGAATGCATCACAAGCAGCATAAACATAACTATGTTGTACATTACATTCAAATTGTTCAAAACTAAATATAAAATCTTAAAAACAGGTGGAGGAAAAAGTAACACATCATGCAGAGGGAAAGAATAATGAGTATGATTACTTCTTAGGAAAAGCAATCTAAACCTGAAAACAGTGGGACAGCACCTTTAAGGTGCTAGGGAATAAAAGTTAAACTCCTATATCCAGCAAAAATATTCTTTGAAAATTGGAGGTGAAATGGAGGACATTTTCAGATTTAAAACAAAATGGTAGAGGTAATTTGTTACAGACAGGCTTGCACTATAGTAATTGTTAAAGAAAGTTTTTGAGGCTGAAGGAAAATGTCGAAAATGATTGTAAATTAGTCCTAGAGTAAAAGCTGCTCTAGGTCCCCCTTTACAGACCTTAACAACAAAGGTTCAAAAGAATCCAACTGTTTGTTGCTCAAAAAACTTAACTGCATGCCAGAACAAAGTTCAGTACTCATTAAAGGAATAAAACAAAATCTTTCACCCAACAATACAAAATTCACAATCAAAAGTTAACAGGCATCCAAAGAAGCAGGGAAATAGGACCCATAATCAGAGAAAAATCAATCATATGAACAGATCCAAAATGAAAGAAATAATAGAATTAGTAGATAAGAACCCTAAAACCTTATTATAACTCTTATAAATATGCTCATAGATATAAAGGAAAACATAAGCATAATGAGAAAAATGGAAAATAATTTTAAAAACCCAAATAAACGGAATAATGGTGTTTTGTATATAATGGTACAAATAGGTTAAAAGCAAAAGGATTGAAAAAATATACTGTGCCAGCTAATGAAAAGAAAGCTGAAGTGACCATATTAATACCAGACAGAAGACATCAGAACTAGGGAAAATGAAACATTTTATGATGAGAAGAGGTCAATTTAATGCAAGGACACAAAAATTCTAAATGTAAAACTTCCAAATATATGAGGCAGAAACCTATGGAACAGAATGGAGAAATACACAAATCTGCAAGGTCAATTGGAGATCTCAATACCCCTCTCAGTAGAGAAAAGAAGCAGATGAAATATCAGTAAGTATATGGAAAATTTTAACAACACTGTTAACCAAATCAACCTGATTGACATTTATAGGACATTCCATTGAACGATAGCAGAATACACTTTATTTTCAAGTGCATGTGGAACATTCTGTAAGATAGACCAACATTCTGGACTGTAAAACAAGTGTCAATAAATTTATAAGGAGTAAAGTCATAGATAATGTATTCTGTGACTACACCAGAATCAGTAGCAGAAAAGTATCCGGAAAATCCCCAAATAATTGAAAAATTAAGCAGCATACTTCTAAATATTACATGGATCAAAAAAGGAATCACAAGGGAAATTAGAAAAAATACTTTAAATGAATCAAAAATATAGCATGTAAAAATATGTGGGGTGCAGCTAGATAATGCTTAGAGAGATACGGTAGAAAAGAAACCAATCAGTATAATTTGCCACATTAACAGAATAAAAAAGAAATATCATATGAACACCAATAGATACAGAAAACGCATTTCAATTTAATAGTCTTTCGTGGTAAAAACCCTCAGCATAACTGATGGAGGAATATTAATTCCTGAATAATTCAGTCCAAAATCCGTTAGGTGTGGCTGAGTGAGGAAGGCATCCACAAAAACAAGCTGTGACAGCCTGGTGGGGGATTGGAGCCCAAGTAAGGAATCTATGAGTTTATACTGATACAAGAAAATGGGGGGGGAAATGGAGAAAGAGCAAAGCCCCTTATACTAGAACCTTAACTAATATAAAAGGAATAATGGAACTAGAAAATTACTATAGGCATACCTTAGATATTGCAGGTTAAGTTCTAATGGATGGCGGTCTTGTCTACATTGAAAATCTGTTGTTTAGTGTAGCTACCTTCATCAATTACCTGAGCTAGATCTTCTGGATAACTTGCTGCAGCTCCTGCATCAGCACTTGCTGCTTCACCTCGCACTTTTATGTTGTGGAGACAGCTTCTTTCTTTAAGCCTCATGAACCAACCATTGCTAGCTTCCAACTTTTCTTTGCAGCTTCTTTACTTCTCTCAGCCTTCATAGAATTGCAGAGAGTTGGGGCTTTGCTCTGGATTAGGTTTTGGCCTGAGGGAATGTTGTGGCTGGTTTAATCTATCCCAACTACTAAAACTTTCTCCATATCAGCAGTAAGGCTGTTTCACTTTCTTATCATTTGTGTGTTCACTAAAGTAGCACTTTTAATTTTATTCAAGAACTTTTCCTTTGCCCTCACAACTCAGCTAACTGATGAAAGAGGCCTAACTTTCAACCTGTTTTGGATTTTGACATGCTTTTCTCAACTAAGCTTAATCATTTCTAGTTTTTGATTTAAAACGAGATGTTTGACTCTTCTTTCGCTTAAACACTTAGGGGCTGTTGTAGGGTTACTAATTGGCCTAATTTCCATATTATTGTGTCTCAGGCAATCAGGTTCCAAGGAGAGGGAGAGAGACGGGAATGGCAGGTCAGTAAAGCAGTCAGGACACACACGTTAATGGATTAAGTTCACCTCTTATATGTGGATGGTTTGTGGCACACAAACAATTACAGTAGTAACATCAAAGATCACTTATCACAGATCACTATAACAGATACAATAATAATGAAAAAGTTTGAAATATTGTGAGAATTACCAAAATGTGACACAGAGACACAAAGTGAGCACATGCTGTTGGAAAAATGGCACCGATAGACTTGTTAGATGCAGGGTTGCCACAAACCTCTGAAGAGCACAATAAGATGGGGTATGCCTGTATTTGATAGCTGTCATAATAATAATTCATTCAGGTAAGAAACAGTAGATGCTAAAACTAATGGAAGAAAGTTTGATGAAGTATGAGATAGTTGTATGGTCTCTGCATCTCTCCCTCAAATTATTAATTAATTGTAAAGAAAAATTTTTTGGTGAAGCTAGGAGATACACCTTTATCAAGAGATTGAAGTTAGTCTAGGCAACATGGTGAAACCACATCTCTACAAAAACTACAAAAATTGGCGGGGTGTGGTGGCATGCACCTATAGTCCCAGCTACTTGGGGGGCTGAGGTAGGAGGATTGCTTATGACTCAGAGGTCGTGGATGCAGTGAGCTGTGTTCATGCCACTGCACTCCAGCCTGGATGACAAAGTGAGACCCTGTCTCAAAAAAATAAATAAAGGGATTGAAGTTAATACCCTCCGTAATGAGATAAATGGAAATGATGTCCTGTCTGATGAGATGCAGTAAAAGGAACTCATCATCGCTTGTATAATATTCTTGCCAAAGATACATAACCTGATTCTAGTCGTGAGGAAATATTACCCAAATTTTGGGAGGTATTCTGCAAAATAATGGTCTGTACTTTTCAAAATTATCAGTCATGAAAGTCAAGGAAAATCTGAGCAACTATTTCAGGCTGAAAGAAAGTAAAGAGACATAACCACCAAATACAAAGTGTAATTCTGAACTGAATCCTTTTGCTCTAAAGGACGTACTGGGACAAGTGAATTAGGCTGTAGAAAAAGAAAAAAACAATCAGTATAATTTGCCACAGTAATAGAATAAAGAAGAAAAATCATATGAGCATCAATAGATACAGAAAAAGCTTTTCAATTTAATACTCATTCATGATAAAAACTCTCAGCATAACTAATGGATGAATAGTTATTCATTCCTGATTAATTCAGTCCAAAAGCCATTAGGTAGGACTGAGTGAGGAAGGCATCCACAGAAGTACCCTAGGGATGAATAGATGATAGAATTAGTAGATAAGAACCTTAAAATCTTATTATAAATCTTATAACTATGTTCATAGATATAAATAAAAACATAAAAATAAAAACATGAGAAAAATGGAGGACAATAACCAAAAAACCCTAAATAAAGTAAAAGGAATAACAGTGTTTTTATATATAATAGTACAGATGGGTTTAAAACAAAAGGATGGAAAAAATATACCGTGCCAGCTAATGAAAAGAATGCTGAAGTGACCATATTAATATAAGACAGAAGACATCAGAAAAAATAGGTGATTATATGATATTTGAATGTCTGTTCATTGTTGGTCTTTTAGGTCTTATAAGATGATGGTCATTTTCTACTACTTTAAGGGAGCATATTAAATTTTTTTCAACAGACTTTAAACTTTATTTTGTAGATCAGCTTCGGGTTTATAGCAAAATTGAGCAGAAAGTACAGTTTCTGTATATTCCCTGCCTGTACACACACAACCTCCTCTACTATCAGCATCTAACTTTTTGTAGATACTTTGCCTCATTCAAATAATCCAGGGTAATCTTTCTATTTTAAAGTCAAGTGATTGACACCCCAGTTCCATCTGTAATGTTAATTCTCTTTTGCTGTGTAATGTAACATTCACAAATTCAAGGGATTAGAATGTGGACATCTTTGGAGAACCATTATTTTATATGCCACAGCTGAGTTAATGGTAACTTATCACATTTTGGAACAACTGGCAAAACTTGAATGGGATTTGTGGACCATGTGGTAATAATATATCAGTATCAGTTTCCTGATTTTTGTTGTTGAAAATGTCCTTGTTTTGTAGGAAATACTGGTGTTGGGACATCAGATCAGCAACTTACTCTCATGTGGTTTGGGGGGCAGGAAAGCTATGTATACTGTAGTTCTGTGTATTACTCCATTTTCACACTGCTGTTAAAGACATACCCAAGACTGGGCAATTTACAAAAGAAAGAGGTTTAATGGACTTACAGTTCCACGTGGCTGGGGAGGCCTCACAATCATGGTGGAAGGTGAAAGTCATGTCTCACATGGTGGCAAATGAGAGCTTGTGCAGGAAAATTCCCCCTTATAATGACCATCAGATCTCGTGAGACTTACTATCATGAGAACAGCACAGGAAAGACCTGCCCCCGTGATTCAATTATCTCCCACCTGGTTTCTCCCACAACACATGGGGATTCAAGATGAGATTTGAGTGGAGACACAGCCAAACCATATGATTCCACCCCTGGCCCCTCCCAAATCTCATGTCCTCACATTTCAAAACCAATCATGCCTTCCCAACAGTCCCCCAAAGTCTTATTTTAGCATTAATTCAGAAGTCCACAGTCCAGAGTCTTACCCAAGATAAGGCAAGTCCCTTCTGCCTATGCGCCTGTAAACTCAAAAGCAAGTTAGTTACTTCTTAGATACAATGGGGATACAGGCATTGGGCAAATACAGCCATTCCAAATGGGAGAAATTGGCCAAAACAAAGGGGCTACAGGCCCCGTGCAAGTCCGAAATTCAGTGGGGCAGGTGTATCTTAAAGCTCCAGAATGATCTCCTTTGACTCCATGTCTCACATCCAGGTCACTCTGATGCAAGAGGTGGGCTTCCATGGCCTTGGGCAGCTCCACTTCTGGCTTTGCAGGGTATAGCCTCCTTCCTGGCTGTTTTCACAGGCTGGTGTTGAGTGCCTGCAGTTTTTCCAGGTGCACAGTGCAAGCTGTCAGTGGATCTATTATTCTGGGGGATCTACCAGTCTGGAGGACAGTGGCTGTCTTCTCACAGCTCCACTAGGCAGTCCCCTCCATAGGAACTCTGTGGGGTTTCAACCCCACATTTCCCTTCCATATTGCCCTAGCAGAGGTTTTCCATAAGGGCCCCACCCCTGCAGCAAACATCTGCCTGGGCATCCAGGTGTTTCCATACACCCTCTGAAATCTAGGCAGAGGTTCCCAAACCTCATTTCTTGACTTCTGTGCACCTGCAGGCTCAACACCACGTGGAAGCTGCCAAGGCTTCGGGCTTCCACCCTTTGAAGCAACAGGCCAAGCTGTACCTTGGCTTCTTTTAGTTGTGGCTGGGACACAGGGCACCAAGTCCCTAGACCGCACACAGCAGAGGGACCCTGGGCCTGGCCCACGAAACTATTTTTTCTTCCTAAACCTCTGGGCTTGTGATGGGAGGGGCTGTCACAAAGGTCTCTGACATGCCCCTGGAGACATTTTCCTTATTGTCTTGGTAATTAACATTTGGTTCCTTGTTACTTATGCAAATTTCTGCAGCTGGCTTGAATTCCTCCTCAGAAAATGGGATTTTATTTTCTATCACATTGTCAAGCTGCAAATTTTCCAAACTTTTATGCTGTTTCCCTTTTAATACTGCATCCCTTTAACAGCACCCAAGTCACCGCTTGAATGCTTTACTGCTTAGAAATTTCTTTCACCAGATACCCTAAATCATCTCTCTCAAGTTCAAAGGTCCACACATTCCTAGGGCAGGGGCAAAATGCTGCCAGTTTCTTTGCTAAAATATAACAAAAGTCACCTTTGCCCCAGTTCCCAACAAGTTCCTTATCTCCATCTGAGACCACCTCAACCTGGATTTCATTGTCCATATCCTCATCAGCATTTTGGTCAATGCCATTCAACAAATCTCTAGGGAGTTCCAAACTTTCCCATATTTTCCTCTCTTCTGAGCCTTCTAAACTGTTCCATCCTCTGCCTGTTACCCAGTTCCAAAGTCGCTTTCACATTTTCGGATAACTTTTCAGCAGCACTCCACTCCTGGTACCAATTTACTGTATGAGTCCGTTTTCACACTGCTAATAAAGATATACCTGAGACTGGACAATTTACAAAAGAAAGGGTTTAATGGACTACAGTTCCACCTGGCTTGGGAGGCCTCACAATCATGGTGGAAGGTAAGGAGGCGCAAGTCACATCTTACATGGACAGCAACAGGCAAAGAGAGCTTGTGCGGGGAAACTCCTTCTTATAAAACCATCAGGTCTCGTGAGACTTACTCACTGTCACAAGAACAGCATGGGAAAGACCTGTCCCCATGATTCAATTACCTTCAACTGGGTACCTCCTGCAACATGTGGAAATTCAAGATGAGATTTGGGTGGAGACAAAGACAAACCAAATCATTCTACCTTTCTATAAACTTGCAATTTTTAAGGATAAAAAACATTTTTGATGCTTACAGAGATAAAATTCATTTATTTGAAAAATCTGCATACCTGATCTCCTAATGATGCTGAATAAAGGAGGTAGATAGTATATCATTTTTGTAAATTAATTAAACAGTATTCTTCTATATTTTGGATAGCATGTAAAAATATCACTCATTTTGGATGTTTTTCTTTTTGTTCCCTCATTTTGGGTAAGATTGCTTATGCCTTTTTCTCAGAACCAACACTGGTGCTTATTAAAGTAACATAAGTTTTTTCTGTGTTTTCCTTCAAAGGTTGCTCAAGAAACAGATGTGAGAGCCCAGATTCGTCTGCAATTTCGTGATGTCAATGGAGAACTTATAGCTGTGCAAAGATCTATGGTGTGTACTCAGAAAAGCAAAAAGACAGAATTTAAAACTCTGGAAGGAGTCATTACTAGAACAAAGTAGGTGTTTATATGATATTTGAATTTCTGTTCATTTTCAGTCTTTTAGGTCTGTAAGTTGATGGTTGTTTTCTACTATAAGTTTAGGGGAGCATATTAAATTTTTTTCAATAGACTTTAGACTTTATTTTTTTAGAGCAGTTTTGGGTTTATAGCAAAATTGGGCAGAAAGTACTGAGCTTCCATTTTCTCCCTACCCCCACGCACACACAGCCTCCTCCACTATGAACATTTGATTTTTTGTGGATACTATTTGTCAGTTAAATAGAATGATCCCATGAAAGACTTAGGGTTATGTTCCATTCTCTTGAGTAATTTCTGAACAGTTGCTGAATTGAAAGCACATAATCACTCAAATACAGGTTGAATGAGTAAAAAATTCTAGTGTCATGTTTAAGAATGGGTGAGATGAGAAGCAGACAAGTAGGAAAGAATGATAAATTGTTCCTTTCAACCATTATCATTCTGTTAGAGGCAGGTATCATTTTCTAATGGATATGGATTTGGGGATTAGACTACCTTAGATTCAAGTCTCTGTCTTTGTTGAGCAAATTACTTGACTATTCAGCTTCTTCTCCTCCCTTTTATTTAACTAGCTAAGTAATTCCTTTATTTAACCAATAATGCACATCTACTATGTGCTGGAGGCACTATACTGGCTTCTCAAGCAGGTTTTCATCATTGCCATTTTAACACACTCAAGTATCTCTCATACCCTGGGATTTCATTCCACTCCAGTTACTACCTGTCTCCTTCTTCTCCTTTATAGCCAGTCTCTCAAAAGAGTTGTTGATACTGTCTCCATTTCTTCACCTCCTCTTCACTCCAATTGCAGTCCCATTCGTCCTTTGAAACACCTCTGACTAAAGTTACTAATAACTCTGTTTTTAATTAGGGTAATGCTGCTGCTATACAAAGTAGACCTAAGAGTGAGCCTCTGTTTATTTCATTTGTAAAGTAGGCATTCATTTTCACTGTGTGTATCTTAGATGTTGTCAAGGTTGAGCTAATGCATATAAAATGCTTAACATGTAGTAAGAGTTCATGTATTAGTCTTCTATGACTGCTATAAGAAACCACAAACTTAGTGCTATAAACAATACAAATTTATTATCTTACACTTATGTAGTTTAGAAGTCTGAATTGGGTCTCACTGGGCTAAAATCAAGATGTTAGTAGGGTTACGTTCCTTTCTGGAGGCTCTAAGGGAGAATATGTTTCCTTGTTCTTTCCGTCTTTTAGAGGCCACCCATATTTTTTAGATCATGCCCTCTTACTCTGTCTTCAAAGCAAGCAATAGTGGGCAGAGTTCTTCTCATATCAAATCACTGTGACCTCTTCTTCTCTCTTCTTCTGCCTTCCTCTCTCACATTAAAGGACCCATGTGATTACATTTGCCCCATCCAAATAATCCAGGATAGTCTATTTTAAGGTCAAATGATTAACACCCTAATTCCATCTGTAATCTTAATTCTCTTTTGCTGTGCAATGTAACATTCACAAATTCAAGGGATTAAAATGTGGACATCTTGGAGGACCATTGTTCCATGTACCATAGCTAAGTAAATGCTAGTTTATTACTTTTTATTTGAAAATTTCTTTTTCTAGACCTCCATGATACAATACTGTTCTCTCTTTCTATCACAGCTACATACTACTTCATTCACCCCATCAATAAAGGTTGGAAGTCTCATTAGGCTCAGTCCTGTATCTTCTCCTTTTTTTTGCTCTGTATTTTCTTCCTAGGTAATCACATTCTTATCCATTGCTCAAACTACTCTGTGTTCATAGATGACTCACAGATTTATGTCATATCTCCAAACCAGACCTCTGTTTCCAGACCCATTTACCCAGACCTATTTACCCATTTCTGATTTTTTTTTTTTTTTTTTTTTTTTTTGAGATGGAGTCTTGCTCTGTCTGTCACCCAGGCTGGAGTGCAGTGGTGAAATCTCAGCTCACTGCAACCTCCGCCTCCCGGGTTTAAGCGATTCTCCTGCCTCAGCCTCCTGAGTAGCTGGGACTACAGGCGTGCACCACCATGCCTGGCTAATTTTTGTACTTTTAGTAGAGATGGGGTTTCACCATGTTAGCCAGAATGGTCTTGATCTCTTGACCTCGTGATCCGCCCACCTCAGCCTCCCAAAGTGCTGGGATTACAGGCGTGAGCCACCGCGCCCAGCCCCATCTCTGATTTTTTTTACCAGTTGTTTCAAAGACAACTTAGGTTCAACGTTTCCAAAACCAAACTCAGTCCTTTCTCTTTGACCTCCCCCCTTAAAAAACCTCCAACAACTTGGTCTTATGGTATACCTCACCTTGGTGAATGATACCACTATCCGTCCAGTGACAAAAGCCAAGAACCTAAGTCTTGATATGTCTTTGCCTTCCATATCCAGTCTATTACTGAGACCTATGAATTTAATCTAAATGTCTCTGGAATCTGTTTCCATCTCTACAACCACCATTCTAGTCCTAGTCCAAGCTACCATTGTCTTTCCATGACCTCATGTGATAACCTATTGATTTATCTGTGTCTATTCTAGCCCTCTGCAAAGCATTCTTAATATATTCAGTATAATATTTTTTTTCTTTCTTTTTTTTTTTTTTTTTTTTTTTTGAGACAGAGTTTCGCTCTTGTTTCCCAGGCTGGAGTGCAATGATGCAATCTCAGCTCACTGCAACCTCACCGAGTTCAAGTGATTCTCTTGCCTCAGCCTCCCAAGGAGCTGGGATTACAGGTGCCCACCACCACACCTGGCTAATTTTTTTGTATTTTTAATAGAGACAGGGTTTCACCATGTTAGTCTGGCTGGTCTCGAACTCCTGACCTCAGGTGATCCATTCACCTCGGCCTCCCAAATTGCTGGGATTACAGACATGAGCCACCGTGCCTGGCCCAGTGTAATATTTTCAAAATACAAATTGAAATGTATAAAAAACAGTAAAGACAGATATTGCCTCTGCTCACCAGAGCAGTCTGTTACTGAAGAAAGAACCCCATTCTAAGATGTTTTTAACTTACCTTTGCCTGTCTGCTATTGATCATCATGTTTTGTTTTATTCTTTGTCTCTTATTTTTAAGACAGTTAATGCTCTATATAGTATCTCTAAGTATTCTAAATTATTATATTTAAAAGTCCAAATATGTAAAAAATAAATTCTGGCTTCCTTTCCTGAACTACTTTGTTTTACATATCTTTTCATCTGTGAACCGTTAAATAGTTTAAGAGTTACACTTTTTAGCATGATGAAGCCATTTCTAACGGGATAGGTGAAGGGCCTTTTTTTTTATTCTTTTAAAGAAGTACAGTATGAATTGATTAAGCAATAGAATAGATACACTGAAGGTTATTTTACATATATTCTTGATTTTCATTTTCTGTAGGCATGGTGAAAAGGTCAGTCTGAGCTCTAAGTGTGCAGAAATTGACCGAGAAATGATCAGTTCTCTTGGGGTTTCCAAGGCTGTGCTAAATAATGTCATTTTCTGTCATCAAGAAGATTCTAATTGGCCTTTAAGTGAAGGAAAGGCTTTGAAGCAAAAGTTTGATGAGATTTTTTCAGCAACAAGGTTTGTAACCCTTAAATAGACTTTGTAGTCCATTAAGTTATTGAACTGTGTTTGCAATTTGGATGCTTCTTTTTAACAGAAAAAATTTAAAAAGCAGAAAGGTCATCAGTTACTACCTCTCATCCAGCAGCAACCATTGGGCATATTTTCTTTCACTTGTCTTTCTGTGCGTATATTTATTTACCTGATTGACAGTATAAATGTAATTTTTTTCACTTACCATTATGTCATAGGCATTTTACAAGTTATTAAAAACTCATTGTAACTGTAATCTTAGTGACAGCATAATATCCCACTGTATGAATATATACCATAATTTACTTTGCCAGAAATTTGATTTTTGTTTCATATCTTCAAAGATACATTAAAGCCTTAGAAACACTTCGGCAGGTACGTCAGACACAAGGTCAGAAAGTAAAAGAATATCAAATGGAACTAAAATATCTGAAGCAATATAAGGAAAAAGCTTGTGAGATTCGTGATCAGATTACAAGTAAGGAAGCCCAGTTAACATCTTCAAAGGAAATTGTCAAATCCTATGAGAATGAACTTGATCCATTGAAGGTAACTTGATTTTATTTTTAATTGACAAAAATTGTATATCTTTATGGTATACAGCATGATGTTTTGATATAAGTATACATCGTGGACTGGCTAAATCAAGCTATTTAACGTTCATTACTTCAATTTTTTTATGGTGAGAACACTTAAAATCTACTCTCTTAGCAATTATATATTGTTATTAACTAAAGTCACAGTGATGTACAGTAGTTAATTTCTTGTATACTAAATAGGTAGTCCTTTTTTTGCTATAGTAGCATTCTCCCCTTATTTGTATATGAAACTGAATGGCTTGTATATTTCTTGAATTATCAGGGAGCTAATGTTTTAGGTCTATGTTAGTCTTTAAATTGCTGAAAGAGCTTGGATTTGAAAGAAAACAAATTTGTAGCATCACACTAAATTAGTAGTATAGATCACTAGGTGTTAAATAGCAATATCATTACCCAACCTTACAGTTCTGTATTAATATTTTTAAAAATTGACATCTTTCTAGAGAATTTTTAAAATTTGCAGAAAGTTTTTGAAGCATTCAAAAATTGCACAGAATTTGGAATTGATCCATAACATGTTCATATATTTGCAAATGAGTATACCTTCCTCAACCCGGTGATTTATAAGAAAGGCCTACAGGAAATTCCATTCATTCATTTAATAAGCATTTATTGGGTGTCTTCTTTGTACCAGGGTATACTGTGCTTGGGTACAAAGAGGACTACAACTGCACCCCTGTCCTTAAGGTATTCCTAGTCTAAATAAGAGCATTCTTAAAAATGGCTATTTGCTATGTTTTAGATAGTAGATTTTTTAAAGTCATTAAAAAATTTATTGATTTGGTTTTTAAAAAACTCACCTGTAAATACCAGTATAGATCTTTGAATCATGAAGTAGAAAATATATATATATTTTTAATGATGGCCATGCATAGAAATATATTGCAAGGGCTTCTGGGAGGAGGTAGGGCTGAGGTGGGCCTTGAAGAATGGGAAGAAATCAAGTCAGCAAACTAGAAGACATTTTATACATGTTTGTATTTATTTATTTATTTATTTTTGAGATGGAGTTTCACTTTTGTTGCCCAGGCTGGAGTGCAGTGGCACGATCTCGGCTCACTGCAACCTCTGCCTCCCGGGTTCAAGCAATTCTCCCACTTAGCCTCCAGGGTAGCTGGGATTACAGGCATGAGCCACCACGCCCGGCTAAATAAAAAAAAAAAATAGAATTTTTTGTATTTTTAGTAGAGACGGGGTTTCTCCATGTTGGTCAGGCTGGTCGCGAACTCCCGACCTCAAGTGATCTGCCCGCCTCGGCCTCCCAAAGTGCAGGGATTACAGGCGTGAGCCACCGCACCTGGAAATGTTTGTATTTATTTTGACTTTTCTTTTAAAAGTAATATGTGCCCCTAGTAAAAAAGTTATAAAAGGATATTAGGTGAAAAGTAAAAGATAGTCTTCCATTTCTCATCTCTAACCTTCCAGAGTATATTTTACCTGCAACTTTTTTTAACTGCATATATACAATACATATGTATATACAAACATTCACTTGTATGTATGTGCATATTTACCTTTACAAGCTTAATCAGAACAGGATTATGAGAGGAAGAGTCTGGGTTAAGTAAATCAATATAAAAGGAGTAAATGACCAATATGAATCGGGGTCAGATTATAGAAAGCTAATGGATTTCAGACTTAGTTCAATAGACAGAAGAGTGGAAGACTATGTTATATTTTAGGATGAGTTGTCCTGATAACTCTGTGTGGGTCCCGTGGTAATTACCAAGATATTAGAACAGATTTCCTTTTTTTTTCTTCTTTCCCCCTTGCCCCACTCCACGTTTTATTTTCTTGAGGAGCATCTTGGTTGGAGAGATGACAAGCACATGTAATGGTAAGGCAGAGAAAAAAACAAGACCTGTAGGAGCTCTGAGGATAAAGAAAGAGAATTTCTATCTGAGGTAGCCAGAGAGGATTTCATAGGACTGAATTTGGCCATGACTTTTTTGATCATAAATGAGTAAGTCATTGGAGACATAGAGACAGTAAAATCCAAGCTGTCTTTGAACACTGTCAAGGAAATCCATATTGTTGAAATGAAGCATTTATATTGGAAATGATGTCAAGGTAGGGCTAAATGATAATACCTAGGATTTAGTGAGTGGTGCCAAGATTCTAACCAAGGCTGTAGCAGAGGTTGAGGTATTTATTTACTTGTTTGTGTTTAATTGTGAGTAATTCTCCAAGGGTTTAATATTCTTCTCTGTATCCTCAGAGCCTAGCCTAGTGCCTGGCACATAGCAGGTGGTTCAATAAATGTTTATTAAGTAGATGACTTCCAAAGTCCTTTTTTTTAGCTCTGACATGTGAAGATTCTTCCCTTCATAGAACCCAATTAAAGTTTGGGTCAAATCACCTTCCCAGAAAAGACTACGTCCTTTCAACCATGCACTAGAATGCATCCTTTCCCATTTTTACTGATTCCCTTTATCTTCGGGAACTCTCACTCTCTCATAAACTACTTTATTACCATCCCACCATATCCTGTCCTCTTTTTTTGGCCTACTTAGATCTGTTTTCCTTTCTTGCCTTAAATGGGAATTGCTAGAGGAATATGTTTCTAACTTTTTTTTTCTGCACACAAGTTCATGGTCCTTCTATACTTGATAGCCCAGCTGCTCTATTTTTTTTATCTCATTTCACACTGGCACCTAAGCTTTAAACCCTTGGCTGTTTTTGTTATTGTTGTCTGCCTGCTTGTCCTAGCTCCTTTTACTAGGTGTGTACTCTGGGGATAGAACCTATGTTTTGTGCTCTGAGATTAGAACCAAAACACAGATGTCAAAGAAGGAATTCAGGGGATCTGGTGACTGGCTGGATTTAAGGAATGAAGCAGGTAGAGATGTCATGAAAGATCCAAGCCCAGATGATTATCATAATGTTTGTGCTACCAAGAGGCAGTGAAAACACTGATGGAAAGAAACTGAGCACTTTGTAGAGTATCATAGTAGAGCTGTTAGTATTCATTGCTCTTAAGTATCCATCCAGTTATATTTGTTAGACTCTACTCAAAAGGTATTTTCTGAGTACAGAATTTTTTTCACAAGTGGTGCAAATGGTCTCATTAATTGAATGTTTACTGCCTAACACTAACCCGAGTGCTTTAAAATGTATAATGTAAACTCCATAGTAACTGTGAGGTTGTATAGGCAGGAAAACTGAGGTACAGGTATTCACAGTGGAAATAAGGGTTAAAGGTAGGATTTGAGTCCTCTGATTCCTAAGTTTATACCTTTTTTTCTTTTTAAGTCAAGTTTATTAAGGTATAATATATATATGGTAAAATCCACCCTTTTTAGAGTATAAATTCTATGAGTTAGGACATATGCATACAGTAGCATAACCATCACTAAAATGAAGATGTAGAATATTTCAGTCACTCCAAAAAGTTCTCTCAAAGTCCTTGCAGTCAGTCCTCTCCCCTGCTCCCATCCATAGTAACCACTAATTTGTTTTCTGTCATTATAGTTTTGCCTTTTCCAGAGAGTGGCACATATATAGAATCATACAGTATGCAGACTTTTGTGTCTGGGATTTATCTATGTTGCTGCATGTGTGAGTAATTCATTCCTTTTTTTTTTTTTTTTTTTTGAGACGGAGTTTCACTCTTATTGCCCAGGCTGGAGTGCAATGGCATGATCTCGGCTCACTGCAACCTCCGTCTCCCAGGTTCAAGCAATTCTCCTACCTCAGCCTCCCAAGTAGCTGGGATTACAGGCATGTGCCACCATACCCAGCTAATTTTTTTTGTATTTTTAGTAGAGACGGGGTTTCTCCATGTTGGTCAGGCTGGTCTCGAACTCCCAACCTCAGATGATCTGCCCACCTCGGCCTCCCAAAGTGCTGGGATTACAGGTGTGAGCCACTGTGCCCGGCAATTCATTCCTTTTTATTGTGGAGGAGCATTCCTTCCATTGTATGCATGTATTATAATTTTTTTCCTCATCCATTCTGTGGCTGATGGACATTAAGTTGTTTTTGGTTGAACTAGTTTACAGTCCCTCCAACAGTGTAAAAGTGTTCCTCTTTCTCCACATCCTCTCCAGCACCTGTTGTTTCCTGATTTTTATTGATCGCCATTCTAACTGGTGTGAGATGATATCTCATTGTGGTTTTGATTTGCATTTCTCTGATGGCCAGTGATGATGAGCATTTTTTCATGTGTCTGTTGTCTGCATAAATCTCTTCTTTTGAGAAGTGTCTGTTCATATCCTTCACCCACTTTTTGATGGGGTTGTTTGTTTTTTTCTTGTAAATTTGTTTGAGTTCTTTGTAGATTCTGGATATTAGCCCTTTGTCAGATGAGTTGATTGCAAAAATGTTCTCCCATTCTGTAGGTTGCTTGTTCACTCTGATGGTAGTTTCTTTTGCTGTGCAGAAGCTCTTTAGTTTAATTAGAACCCATTTGTCAGTGTGGCGATTCCTCAAGGATCTAGAAATAGAAATACCATTTGACCCAGCCATCCCATTACTGGGTATATACCCAAAGGATTATAAATCATGCTGCTATAAAGACACATGCACATGTATGTTTATTGCAGCACTACTCACAATAGCAAAGACTTAGAACCAACCCAAATGTCCAATGATGATAGACTGGATTAAGAAAATATGGCACATATACACCATGGAATACTATGCAGCCATAAAAAATGATGAGTTCATGTCCTTTGTAGGGACATGGATGAAGCTGGAAACCATCATTCTCAGCAAACTACCGCAAGAACAAAAAACCAAACACCGCATGTTCTCACTCATAGGTGGGAATTGAACAATGAGAACACTTGGACAGACACAGGAAGGGGAACATCACACACTGGGTCCTGTTGTGGGGTGGGGGGAGGGAGGAGGGATAGCATTAGGAGATACACCTAATGTAAATGACGAGTTAATGGGTGCAGCACACCAACATGGCACATGTATACATATGTAACAAACCTGCATGTTGTGCACATGTACCCTCGAACTTAAAGTATAATAAAAAGAAATAAGTTGTTTTCGGCTTTGGGTTGTTACAGATAAAACTGCTATAAACTTCTGTATACAGGTCTTTGGATAACTTTAGGACTCGGGTTGCTAGGTCGTGTGGTAAATATATGTTTAACCTTATAAGTTACCAGATGGCTGTACCATCTGGTACCACTTCATAGTCCTACCAACAATATACCAACAATTTATGGGAATGTAATTGCTCTGCATTCTCATCCCCACTTAGTACTGTCAGTCTTTTTCATTTTAGCCATAACAGTAGGGGTGTGGTAGTGTCTCATTGTGACATTGTGAGGTTGTATTTCTTTATATTTTTAATTTGTGTTTTCCTAGTTGATCAGTCAATTGATTATTGATTTTGAGCATCTTTTCATGTATTTATTTGCCACCTGAATATCTTCGTTAGTAAAATATAAAAGTCTTTTGCCTATTTTTCAATGTTATTTATTTATTGGTCATTTTATTATTGAGCTGTGAGAGTTCTTTTTTTTTTTTTTTTTTTTCTTGTTTTTTGAGACAGGGTCTCGCTGTCTTACCCAGGCCAGAGTGCAGTGGTGTGATCTTGGCTCACTGCAACCTCTGACTCCCAGGCTCAAGTGATCCTTCCACCTCAGTCTCCCACGTAGCTGGGACTACAGGCACACACTCACCACACCGGTGAGACTTGTAGAGGCAAGGTCTCACCAGGTTACCCAGGCTGGTCTCAAACTTCTGGGCTCAAGCAATCAGCCTGCCTCAGTCTCCCAAAGTGCTGGGATTACAGGTGTGAGCTACAGTGCCAGGCAGAGAGTTCTAAATATGTTCTGGATACAAGCCCTTTATCAGATATTGGTTTTGCAGATATTTCTTAACTGCTTTTCAGAGGACAGGAGTTTTAAATTTTGATCAGGTACAGTTTATAAACTTTTTTCTCTTATGGTTTATACTTTTTGTTTATTATTTAGGAAGTCTTTGACCCAGTGTCACAAAAATATTCTTCAGTGTTTTCCTCTAAAAGTTTTATAGTTTGAGTTCTTACAATTAAGTATATGCTTCATTTCAGAATCTTAATATGATATGAGGTAAAAGTTGAGGTTTACTTTCTTACATACAAATGTCCACTTCTTCTAGCACCCAGAGCCTAGTCATTATGATACCCTGCCTTCTAATCTTATTGTTATCTTGTCTCCCAATCTTAACTATACAATTTTGTACAAGTCAGTTAAGTCCTTTGAATTTCCTGCTTAGTATATACTTTTGTGAGGATTAGAGAGAATTTATAGCAGCACCTAGTACAGTGTCTGGAACATAGCAGACATTCAATCAGTGATACCTGTGACTGTTGCTCTTGGTAAAATTATTTTTTTCAAATCTCTCTTTCGTTTAGCTAACATTGAACACCTATTGCATGTTCTGGGGATACATTAGGGAACAAAGTAAACAAAGTTTCTGTTTTTAGGTTCATTTGTATATGAACGTTTACGTTCATATACAAATCACAAGCTATACTATTAGTATAATTTTAATAAATTATGTTAAAGTCGAGGATGCATTTTGGTGCAATTATGAAAGCTTGCAATTGCTGTCTAAGCATTCCAATAACTTCATATGTTAGTTTAAAATTAGGTTCTGCTGGGCATGGTGGTACATACTTATAGTCTCAGCTACTTGGAGGCTGAGGTGGGAGGAACACTTGAGCCCAGGAGTTCAAGTTGTATTGCACTGTTATTGCACCTGTGAATAGCCACTCCAGCCAGGGCAACATAGCAAGACCTTGTCTCTGCATTTGAAATAATAATAATAAAAGTAGGTTGTAAAAATGTCTTAGAAGAAGAGTTGGTCAGTTTTGGAATCATAGAGGCAAACACTAGAAGAATATCCCCAGCATCATCCAATAAGAGAATGCCCCGAACCAGATCCCAGTATTCCTGGGAGATGAGGCAACCAGCTGTCTCTGGAAGCGAGCCTCAGAGCAGGCCACTGAGCTCCCTTGTTGTACTTTACTTGCTCAGAGTCCTCTGTGGTTGAGCAAGCTTTGGATTAAAGTATACTCTTCATGTAAATTTGCCTATAGGCTCAGAATGCATTGGTAACTCACCATGAATTTCTAGCCTTCTCAGTAGTCCTGACTTAAAAAAATACATTAAATAGTTACCTTTTTAAGGATTAAGTAACTCTAAATGCCCAATGAATGAATAATGACTTTTGTGGCAGGTGTTGAGGACAGGACATGGTGTTTGGAGTTAGAAGTGGAATTTAATTCCTGCTTCTCTCTACTAGCTGTGAGGACTTGGGCCAAGTTACTTAATGTCTCTGAACTTCAGTTTCTCTAGGCCTGCTCTACAGTGTTATTGTTAGCCTTAAATGAGATCACTTTTACTAAATGCCTGGACCTGGAGTATCTTACTTGTCTTCATCTATCAGCCATGTAAGCTATAGTGAGTTTTATTTATGTAATGTTTCTTTATTTTCAGAATCGTCTAAAAGAAATTGAACATAATCTCTCTAAAATAATGAAACTTGACAATGAAATTAAAGCCTTGGATAGCCGAAAGAAGCAAATGGAGAAAGATAATAGTGAACTGGAAGAGAAAATGGAAAAGGTTTGTGGTGGTAGAATTTTGTTCTGCTTCAAAATTTTGGGATTATTGTAATGAACTTTATTTGAATCCATTTTGCCATCCACATTGGAAAAAAACAAATACAGATCTTGTTACTTCTATGTATATGTTAAAATGAAGGATATTGAATAAGGTTTGGTTTATATTTGATACCTCAAAGTGATCATATTTTCTTATGTTTGTACATTAAAGCTTTTTATTTTGGTGTTACACAGGTTTTTCAAGGGACTGATGAGCAACTAAATGACTTATATCACAATCACCAGAGAACAGTAAGGGAGAAAGAAAGGAAATTGGTAGACTGTCATCGTGAACTGGAAAAACTAAATAAAGAATCTAGGCTTCTCAATCAGGAAAAATCAGAACTGCTTGTTGAACAGGGTAGGACAAAATGTTTATTTGGTCGTTTTTCCTACTATGATGTTATACATTTTCTGTATGAATGAAGAATCTCCAAGGACTTATGCTGAGTGAAAAGCCAATCTTAAAAGGCTATACACAGTATGTTTCCATTTATATAACATTTTTATAATGTCAAAATTTTAGAAATAGTGGAGAAATTAGTGGTTGCCAGGGATACTGGGTAAGAGAAAGGACAGGAGGGAGCTAGGTATGGTTATGATTAGAACAAAAAGAGAGTCCTTGTAGTATTGGAACTGTTCAGTATCTTGACTGCCATAGTGGATATATGAACCGACACAGGTGATAAAATTATATAGAACTTAATATACACACATCCACATGCTCAGGGGTACAAATAAAATTGGGGAAATTTGAATAAGATTGATGAATTATATCAATATCAGTATTCTGGTTGTGATATTTTACTGCAGTTTTGCAAAATGTTATCATTGGGAGAAACTGGGCAAAATGTACAAGAGACACACTGCATTATTTTTTATAACTCGTGAATCTGCAGCTATCTCAACTTTTTAAGCACCAGTTGAAAAAAAAATTATGAGATTTTTTTTTTAAAAGGTCGTCTACAGCTGCAAGCAGATCGCCATCAAGAACATATCCGAGCTAGAGATTCATTAATTCAGTCTTTGGCAACACAGCTAGAATTGGATGGCTTTGAGCGTGGACCATTCAGTGAAAGACAGATTAAAAATTTTCACAAACTTGTGAGAGAGAGACAAGAAGGGGAAGCAAAAACTGCCAACCAACTGATGGCAAGTATTTTGAAATACAGTATTTGTTATTTTGTTTGCATCATATTCTCTACTTGAATTGTTTTAATTTTTGGTTGGACTCCATTTTGGCATATTTTTCTATTAGTGTTAGGATAAAATCTGCTACAAGGCAGAAAAACCTTTATTGAAGCAAATGTTCTTAAGTGTATAAAGATAAAAATATGAAGAAAATGTAAACCTACATTTTTTATTTGGTTTTAAGTAAAAATTTTTAAAAACTAATTGCAGAGAAAACATTTGCTCACAGTTAATGATTATCTCTGGGTAATGGTTTTGATTGTTTTTAAAATACAGTCTTGAACCACATGTTTTGGTCAGTGATAGACCACATATTTGACATTGGTCCCATAAAATTATAATACTGTATTTTACTGTATGTTTTCTGTGTTTAGATATGTTTAGATACATAAATACTTATCATCATGTTACAGTTGCCAAAGTATTCAGTACAGTAATATGCTGTATAGGTTTGTAGCCCATAAACAATAGGCTATACCATATAGTCTATGTGTGTATTAAACTATACCATGTAGGCTTATGTAAATACATTCTGATGTTCACACAATGATAAAATTGCCTAATGATGCATTTCTTGGAATATATCCCTGCTGAGCAACACACGACTGTACTTTTTTGTATTTTCTTCAGTGTACATATATTCCTTTTGCAATTAAAAAACTTAAATTGTTTAGTAAATTATTAATGCTCATTCTTTACATATGCATTTAGAATGACTTTGCAGAAAAAGAGACTCTGAAACAAAAACAGATAGATGAGATAAGAGATAAGAAAACTGGACTGGGAAGAATAATTGAGTTAAAATCAGAAATCCTAAGTAAGAAGCAGAATGAGCTGAAAAATGTGAAGTATGAATTACAGCAGTTGGAAGGATCTTCAGACAGGATTCTTGAACTGGACCAGGAGCTCATAAAAGCTGTAAGATATTGTTTGAATAATCTAATAATTTTAAGATATAATACTTTTAGAAGTATTTTGTCTATTTTTGATCCTAAGATTATAGCATTTTAATAAAAACATCAACTTTGTCTTATTCTCATGTAAAATGAATTCATCTGAATATCTTGATCTTCTGACTCTTTGGTTCTACAACCCGATAGCCTGAAAATTAGAATCACATAGGGAGCTTTTTAAAGATACTGTACTCAGACCTTAAAGCTTCAGACCTTCCAAATCAAAATCTCTGAGAATGGGGCATAGAAATGTACATTCAAAACACAACAAAACTGGCTAATTCTTATGAGCACCTTGATTAAGAACACTTACCAGGCCGGGTGCGGTGTCTCACACCTGTAATCCCAGCACTTTGGGAAGCCAAGGCAGGCAGATAACGTGAGGTCAGGAGTTCAAGACCTGTCCAGCCAACATGGTGAAACCCCGTCTCTACTAAAAATACAAAAATTAGCTGGGCGTGGTGGCGTGTGCCTGTAATCCCAGCTACTTGGGAGGCCAGGGCAGGAGAATCGCTTGAACCTGGGAGGCAGAGGTTGCAGTGAGCCAAGATTGCGCCACTGCTCTCCAGCCTGGGTGACAGAGTGGGACTCCATCTCAAAAAAAAGAAAAAGAACACTTGCCAAAGTTTTAAAAAAGCAAGTATTTTTCCTCTAGGTCACACACGTTGTAATTCTAGATGATTTTTGCTGTATTATTACTTTTTCTGTGTTAAAAACTTTCTTAGCCAATCTTTTCAGGTATTTCCATATTTTCTTTCTTGCTTCTAGTCTGTCCTCCTTCTTCACATCTCCATTACCAAAGTAAGCATTCTAAAGCATGGCAAACTTCTTAAAGCCCATCTTGATAATTTATGTAAACATTTATTTTTGCTCCATAACTCACCATTGTAGCATACATTTTTGTCAGTTTAGCACTTCATCAGTGTTGTCTTGTTGGGGTGGGGAGATACTTGGTCAGGGACCACATCACACTATTTTTATAGTTTCTACATACCAGGCAATATAGTGAATTACATGGGGACATAATAAATATTTAATTGTTGACTGAGGACTCACTAATCTGTGTACTTAGACACATGTCTCCTAATTTTACAGTAATTCTCACATTTCTTTCCTGTTTGACCCTTCTAGGTTTATTTACTAATTCTCTACCATTATAACATAGTAAGGTCACTTTAATAAGATATACCTTAGAGCATATATAGTGCCTTATGTTTTTTTCTCTTGTTGGATGCAAACAGTAATATTTGGAACATTCTGAGGAGTAGTTAATTTCTAATACACTTTGTCATTATTTTAATTCTTGCACAAAATATATAACACCTTTGCATTTGTATGAATTATTGACTAGGAACGTGAGTTAAGCAAGGCTGAGAAAAACAGCAATGTAGAAACCTTAAAAATGGAAGTAATAAGTCTCCAAAATGAAAAAGCAGACTTAGACAGGACCCTGCGTAAACTTGACCAGGAGATGGAGCAGTTAAACCATCATACAACAACACGTACCCAAATGGAGATGCTGACCAAAGACAAAGTATGATTTTTCTTTTTGTTCTAATTATACTGTCTGGTACTTAAAATAGCCTACCTTGCACTCATAAGTCATAGACTATAAGGTATTAAGTTGGTATTGACTATATTTTAGAGGCTAAGTGAGCTTAGTACTCTATATAATAGACTTTCAAGCTTAAAAGTTATTGTTTAATTACAAAAAGTTAATACAGAAATGTATATATATGTATATACACACATGCACATTACTGTTAACTTTTAACATACACAAATTTTAAAATTTTATATTGTTCGACTTGGTACTCCACTCTTAAGGCTTAGAAAGACCATCCCCACTTGAAGACTTTAAGAACTTTAAGAAATTTTATATTTTATTTTCATATTTTTATAGTTTTAAGCTTAGAACTTTAGTCAGTCTAGAATTTATTTTTGTTCTTGATATAATGTGGAGATATAGACTTTATTTTTAAAAGATTTTTTTTTTACCTATAGGCTGACAAAGATGAACAAATCAGAAAAATAAAATCTAGGCACAGTGATGAATTAACCTCACTGTTGGGATATTTTCCCAACAAAAAACAGCTTGAAGACTGGCTACATAGTAAATCAAAAGAAATTAATCAGACCAGGGACAGACTTGCCAAATTGAAGTAAGTTGCAACATTTGGAGATGTAATAGAAATCTCTTATTTCATGCTTACCTGTTTAATTGTTTTAAAATAATTTATTGTCATGAAATGGTATGTTATATTGATAAACTTTAGTTCTTACATACAAGGAGACTTCAGAAAGTTCATGGAAAAATGGAATTAAAAGATAAAAATTTTAAATAAACTGTATTTCTCAACATAAGCTCCATCAAGTTCAAGACTCTTCTGAGCAGTGATACCAGCAATTTAGTTCAGTCCTAAAGAACTGAGGGTCCTGGGAATTTAACCATGTCAGTGTAGTCTTTTTTACATTGCTAGCATAAAAATGGGTGCCCTTTAAAGATTTTTTTAAGATTAAGAAACTAGAAGACAGGAGGAGCCAAATCAGGACTGTAAGGTGGATGCCTAATGATTTCCCATCGAAACTCTTGCAAATGGCCCTTGTTTGATGAGAGGAATGAGCAGGAACATTGTTGTGGTGGAAAAGGACTCTCTGGTGAAGCTTTCCTGGGCATTTTTCTGCTAATGCTTTGGCTAGCTTTCTCAGAACACTCTCATAATAAGCAGTTGTTACCTTTCTTCGGCCCTCCAGAAAGTCAGCAAGCAAAATGCCTTGAGCATCCCCAACAACTGTTGCCATGACCTTTGCTCTTATCTGGTCTGCTTTTGCTTTGACTGGACCACTTCCACCACTTGTTAGCCATTGCTTTCATTGTGCTTTGTCTTCAGGATTGTACTGGTAAAGCCACATTCCATCACCTCCTGTTACAATTCTTTGAAGAAATGCTTTAGGAACTTGATCCCACTTATTGAGGAAGTTCTGCTGTTGTCTGCAGCTGATCTGGAAGCAGTGATTTTGGGCATCCATCAAGTAGAACGTTTACTCAACTTTAATTTTTCAGTCAGAATTGTGTAACCTGAATCAATTGAGGTGTCTATGGTGTTGGCTATTGTTTCTGCTGTTAATCATTGATCTTCTTCAGTTAGGGCATGAAGAAGATGATTTTTTTTCCTCACAAATTGATGTGAACAGTCTGTCACTGTGGGCTTCATCTTTAATATCGTCTCATCCCTTCTTAAACTGAGTTATCCATTTGTAAACTGCTGATTTGTTTGGGGCATTGATCTCATAAACTTGTTGTAAAGTATCAATGATTTCACCATTCTTCCACCCACACTTCACCATAAATTTGATACTTGTTCTTGCTTCAGTTTAATTGGGGCTCTTTTCAAACTGATGTCTTAACCTTGTTAGTGCCTTAAACTAGATCCTATTCAGACATGTTATAACAAGTTAGTATGAGTTTGTTTCAGTGCAAAACATTTTGAACTTCATGCATAGTTTTTTTTATAATACACATTTTCCATGAACATTTTGAAGACCCCTCATATTTTGCAAATTAAGTAAAATGGTAACGGATAGTAATTTAGGCCTCTTGTCCCTTGAAAATTTGTAGACCTATGAAGATTAAAATTTAAAAATTCTATTTTCATTTCTGTGAGTAATCCATTATAAAAAGTGATCATGTTTCTCAGATGTTACCTTGGATAGTGGTTGGATAAGCGGGTCAAAAATTCCACACAGATTTTTGAGGAAAGTAGAAGGACTTGGCTTTGGTGGTGTTTAATCTGTGTTTCTTGTGGAAGTATCTGTGAGGGAATACAATATTGGAGTTTGAAATTCAGGAGATTGGAAGTTGTTGCTATGTAAGGGATACTCAAAGTCATTAGTATGTCACCTTGAGAGAGTTATGCAAAGGGAAGGAGTTACAATTAGATTCCTGGGAAGCACAAACATTTAAAATGTTAGCAGGCAAAGGAAAAGGAGCAAGTGAAGGAAACTGGGATGTGCCCAGGGAACCAGGGTGAGAGCCAGATAGCTGTGGTGTCTAGGTGCCTTGGGAAAATAGTCTTCAAGGAGAAGGTCAACAGTGTTTGGTGCTACGTAGAGGTAGAGTAAGATGAAGACTGTACTTGGCACTTAGGTCACTGGTGATCTTGATGAGAAGTGCTCAAGGGAGTCTAGGATAATGAAAATATCATCATATTAGTTACTTTTTTCCAAATGTTTACTGTGACTCAGGATGGGTAGTCATGATGAAGAAGCATGTGTGCAGTCACACACATTTATCTGAAACAAATTTCTCAAAGTAGTACATATACATACAGCCTACTCCAATATATTACCGTCTATTCTGTTTCATTTTTAAAAAATATGCTGAATACATTAAATTGATTACATGGTAGCTAATGCATCTAAACCTGCAAATTGAAAAACCATGTTATGTGTGAGTATTGAGGTTGGCTAGGATGATGTTTAAGAATTAAAGTGGGGATAAATTGTACTAGTAAGCAAAATCTTTGATGAATGAGAGGGAATGACTGATCTGGACGCAAGTGGATGACAGCAACAAGGAGGGGGAGGATACAAAAGAAACAGTATTTACAGGAGAGTAAGGAAGTAGTATTTGTGAAAGGACTAAAGGGAATTACGGGGATGTTCTCTTGTCTTCTTTCTGTCCAATAGTCCTAGCAAGCATCTTGCTGAGGCTTAACCTGGGATCAAAGACCATGAACCCCCAGAAACCAGGCAGAATTCTGTGTACATTTTTCTGGGAGCAGGCCCATGAGTAGGACTGGCAGGTGAGTCAGTGTCCTAGGGGGAGAGTTAAGGCAGAAGTGGACTAGTCCCTCAACTTCTGAAAAAAATTATTTGGTCATACCAAACTCTTGTCATGATTTGTTGGCAGAATTTGTCTTGTTTTTGCCTACTCAAATTTTCAAACTAATTTCTCCTATTTTAAAATGAAAATCCATATTTGCTCTTATTTTAGCAAGGAACTAGCTTCATCTGAGCAGAATAAAAATCATATAAATAATGAACTAAAAAGAAAGGAAGAGCAGTTGTCCAGTTACGAAGACAAGCTGTTTGATGTTTGTGGTAGCCAGGATTTTGAAAGTGATTTAGACAGGCTTAAAGAGGAAATTGAAAAATCATCAAAACAGCGAGGTAAGTTGTCTACTTTATATTATCAGGATACTTTGACACCTTTGAATTTTCATTCACAGGTAACTGTTAAGGATGGGGAATTTAAAAACCTGGTTATGGAGCCTAATGGCTTGGATTTCAGTCCTGGCTCTACAACTTACTCACTGTGTGACTTTAGGCAAGTTACTGAAACCTTCCTGTGTTTCATTGTCTATAAAATGAGGACACAACTACCACCTGTGGTACTGAGGTGTGAATGAGATTGTAATTATAAAGCCCTTAGAACAGTGCCTGGCACATAGAAAGCTCTCAGTAGGCATTTTGTTATACTTATAATGTGTTACCAAAAAATATTTATACAAATCTGAATGTATCATGCTCTTTGGAAGCGAATATCGGAATTTTAAATATCAGAATTTTTATTTCTTTTATAATATATTTATAAAGCAAGAATAATCATATATTTATAGAAAAAGATACAACCGTATTCAGAATACTGTATTTTATGTTTTTTTCTCATTGGTGATATAATTTATTTTCTTAAAATAGCCATGCTGGCTGGAGCCACAGCAGTTTACTCCCAGTTCATTACTCAGCTAACAGACGAAAACCAGTCATGTTGCCCCGTTTGTCAGAGAGTTTTTCAGACAGAGGCTGAGTTACAAGAAGTCATCAGTGATTTGCAGTCTAAACTGCGACTTGCTCCAGATAAACTCAAGTCAACAGAATCAGAGCTAAAAAAAAAGGAAAAGCGGCGTGATGAAATGCTGGGACTTGTGCCCATGAGGTAAGAATGGGATTTACCTTCACTGTACATGTAGCAGCACATTGTAAAAGGTACCCATCTCATGCCTGGGCAGATGGTAGTTACTCAGTAAGGACTCTGAGCTGGTATGCCCTGTCTTATATCACTTCTATGATAAGAAGATTCAATTATTTTGTTTAAAGATAAGCTTGTTTCCTGTCTTTTTTTCTTTTTCTTTTTTTTTTCTGAGACAGAGTCTCTCTCTGTCACCTAAGCTGGAGTGCAGTGGCATGATCTTGGCTCATTGCAACCTCCACCTCCCAGAAGCGATTCCCATGCCTCAGCCTCTTCAGTAGCTGGGATTACAGGCATGTACCACCACGCCCAGCTAATTTTTGTAATTTTTAGTAGAGATGGAGTTTCACCATGTTGGCCAGGCTAATCTCGAGCTCCTGGCCTCAAAGTGATTGGCCCACCTCGGCCTCCCAAAGTGCTGGGATCACAGGTGTGAGCACCGTGCATAGCCAGTAAGCTTATTTCTTAAACTATGAGGTAGACACAGTCTTTACGTTCTTTTGTATGTGTGTTTAATTCCCAAGACTTAGCTTGTGGGCATAGATTTTCACAGATTTAGGACTGTCTGTTGACATGCCACTTTCTGAACCCAGCAAAAGAATTTAAGTATTGAAAAGTTCTCCCAGAAGACAGATTTTAAACTATGTTTTTAATGTCTTTTCCACTTGCTAAAAGAATGAATCATAGATGATTTTCGGTTGTTTATATTTTCCATCACTTATACAAGAAATTCGTGTTATGTTCTGTTTACAAACAAAAATCAAGTCAGGAAATATGTGATGATTGCCTTAGTGTCTCCCAGAACATAGAGAACAAGGCTAGTGCCAGAGACCTAAGACATGACCCTCCAGGAGCTAATGGTCTGATTAAGAAGACAAGCTCTCAGAATTCAACATTTAGAAAGCTAGGCTTAATAAAGTGCTTAAAAAATGATTCAAACAGATGTGTTAGGTAAGAAGGGAGGAGCCAATGGATACAGAATGAGAAGAATATTTTGAGAATGAGGCAGGAAGAGGAATATAAGACCTGGAGAAGTTCATTCAGCTCAACTGAGAGGAGACGGAAGTCAGAACACGGTGCAAAGGGAAGAGGAGTATGACCTATGCTGCAGTAGAAATGTTATCTGGAGTTTGGGGAATTATTTATAGGGATTGAGTCCTGTATGTTGGGGAGATAGGGCTACATTATATTCAGGTCTAGTTGTAACTCTGATAGGTGATGAGGAGCCAACCTAAGGGAGTTAGTGAAAGATGTATTTTAGGAAAATTAATCTAATATTAATATATTGACTGAAACAGGCTGAGAAAAGCTCAGGAAGCAGAAAAACCAGGAGAGTGAAAGTGATTGTCCTGGAAAACCAAGGAGGAGTTTCAGGAAAAGGAGAAAGAAAGGCCTAAGAAGATGTGGTTTGTGGCAGCCAACTTCTAAGATGGTCCCTAGTAATCTCGGCCTCTTGGTATTTATACTCTTGTATAGTCCCATCTCATGCTGTTGCATGATTGGTCTATATAACTGATAAAACAGGCAGAAGTGATAGCATGGCCTTTCCAACATTAGGTTATTTAAGGTACTATGGCTTCTTCTGTTCTCGCAATGTGCTTGTACCCTTGTGTGAACTCGCTCACTCTCCCCCACTCCTCCCCTCTCTCACTCACTCTGTCTCCCTCTGTCTCTTGTCTGAGGGAAGCTAGCTGCCATGTTGCAAGCAGCCCTCTGGAGAGGCCCATATGCCAAGGACCTGAGGCCTTTGAGCAAGTGAGTTTGGAAGCAGACTTTGTAGCAGTCAAGCCTTAAGATGACTGCAGTCCTGGCTGACAGCTTGATTGCGACTTCATGCGAGACCCTGAGTCAGAAGCGTATCTCTTGATCCTCATATCTCTGAGAAATAATAAGTGCTGTTATTTTAAGCTGCTAAGTTTTGGGATACTTTGTTATGCAACAATAGATAACCAACACAAGCATCAAGGGTGAAAACCAGATTATTGGGGCCACAGAGATGAGGAGACAGAGGCAGTAGTTTGAGAATAAAAAGGAAGGAGAGGAATAAGGTAGTATCTTGAAAAGAAAAAGATCAAATGGATAAAATTTGAAATTGGTAGAAAGTACACGTAGTAGAAATATGAGCTTAGTTCTGTGTTAGACTGTTATACAATAAATGGCAGAAATTAACATCGTATTATATTTTAGGACCCTAGCTATCACGGCTCCTTTTTTTTTTTTTTGAGACAGAGTTTTGCTTTGTCGCCCAGGCTGGAGTACAGTGGCGCAGTCTTGGCTCACTGCAATCTCCACCTCCCCGGTTCAAGCAATTCCCCTGCCTCAGCCTCCCAAGTAGCTGGGATTACAGGCGCACGTCACCAGGCTCGGCTAATTTTTTTTGTATTTTTAGTAGAGAGAGGGTTTCACCATGTTGGCCAGACTGGTTTCAAACTCCTCACCTCAGGCAATCGCCTGCCTCAGCCTCCCAAAGTGCTGGGATTACAGGCGTGAGCCACCGTGCTGGGCCACAGTTTCCCCTCTAAGAGTAAGGTGCATGTCTTACTCGTTGTATCTCCACAGTTCCTTGTATATTGCAACTTTGATAACTATTTGCTAAATGAATGAGAACTGTAATGTCTGTTCCAATTATTTATTGCTATGTAACAAACCTCAAATCTGTCTCACAATAATTTTTCATGGTTCTGTGGTATGACTGGGCTCAGCTAGGTGGCTTTCACTTGGGGTCTTACGGTTGCAGTCAGATGTTGGCTGCAGTCGTCTCAAAGCATAACCGAGCTGGATGTTCTTGATGGCTCACATGACTGACAGTGATGCTCACTATTGTCTGGGAGCTCAGCTGGGGCTGTCAAAATAGGACATCTTCACATGGCCTCTGCATGCGTCTTGGGCTTTTGGCAGCACAGTGACTGGGTTACTAAACAGAGTATCCTAAGGGTAAGTATTCCATGAACAGGAAGTAGAAGCTGCAAGTCCTTTAAGGCCTAGACCAAGAAACTGGCATGGTGACACTTCTTTTTCTGTTGGTTAGAGTGGTCACAGAAACTCCCAAGATTCAGTGAGGGAGGATACTGTATCTCTTGATGGGAAGAGTGTCGAAGTACTTGTGGCTGACTTGAATCTGCCTAACCCTATATCTGCAGTAGCATCTGTGTGCCATTCTGGTTACCTAGAGACTAGGCAACCACACATTTGTATATTCTATATTGTAACTTTGATAACTATTTGCTGAATGAATGAGAACTGTAGTGTCTATTCCCGTTATTGATTGCTTGTAACAAACCCCCTCAAAACTGTCTCGCAGTGATTAGTTTTTCATGGTTTCATGGGATGACTGGGCTCAGCTAGGTTAGCCAGGTAAATGGCTGGTTACCACACATTTTAAGAGAACCTGAAGCTAGAAAAGGCCTACAGGAAGCACTGAAAATGGACCAAGATGCTGGCAGGGCTGCTAAGTGAGGACACATGTGTGAGGAAACCATTTTTATAAAGAAACCAAAACTTGAAGACCCGAAGAGCAGGGAAATGATGAACCCCTGTTTGTTTAGCAAGCTCTAACAGAATGTCAGTGGGCCATTCTGGAAAACTGGAGAAGGATGAGTTTGGGACAAATGAGAGAGGAAGTCTTCTTCCCAATAGTAGGAAATAACATTATAAAACACTTTTTTTAAGTTTAAATAAATCCACAAATGAAAGGTCAATAATGAATTAAGAGGACTTGATTGATTGATAGATAGGGTCTTGCTCCTGTCACCCAGGCTGGAGTGTAGTGGTGTGATTGATTATAGCTCATCGAAGCCTCGAACTCCTAAGCTCAAGCAATCCTCCTACCTCAGCCTCCCAAAGTGCTAGGATTACAGGCATAAGCCACCATGCCCAACCAAGAGGACTTTTTTTTTTTTTAAATATGGGAAAGCAATTGCCTAAGAGTGCAGTCAGGTTGACTTCAAATTCCAACTCTGCTGGGTGACCTTAGGGATGTTACTTAACCCATTTGGGCCTTCGTATCCCCCACGTAAAGTGAGGGGATTGATTTACATGATCATTAAGCTTCCTTCCACCTCTGGTTAGGATACTACTTTCAAATATCCCGTGGGGTCACTTTCAGAGACATTGTGGAGGTCTATTTATGATAGTCACTTAGGTGGAAGGTTATTGGTGAAGAGGGGTAAAGTAACAAGATTAAATTTATCTGTGCACCATTTGCTTTTTCACCTTTAGAATATGCCCTTGATGCCACCACTATCATGAGAACTGTCTATTCATGCAACCAATATAGGCAGTCTACTGGAGTGCAGGTAATACAGCAGTAAACAAAATGGACAAAGTCCCTGCCCTCATGGAGTTTATATCCCAGTGGGGAGGAGATGGATGACAAATAAGTAAATATATAATATGCCAGGGGATGATCAGGGGCATTGAGAAAACTACAGCAAGATAAGGGAATAGGGACTAGCTGAAGGGTGGTAGGAGGGGACTTGATGAAGGTGGCAGTGGAGTGGAAACTTGAGAGAAGTGAGGGAGTCAGCCATGCAGTTGTCCATAAGAAGAATATTCTAGGCAGTGCAAAATCTCTGAGACATATTTGACCTGAAGGCCAAAGGGAAAAGTTGTGGAAGATGAGCTCAGAGAGGTAGTGGGGAGCCATATCTTGCTTATCTTCTTTGCGGGAAATATTTTCATTTAAAGCCTCAAATTCGCCAGTATCTAATATAAACCTAACATCATGACTGAGATCTCAGCTGAAAATGTACCTGTTTATCATTTTGTCTAGTACTGACTCAGATTCATTTATTATAGCACCTCATTTAAATGCAAACTCAATTGGTATTTCTCCCACAGGTTTTTTTCAGTACCATATCTGTGTGAGCCTTTTTACACACAATCCCCTTAGAAAAGGAATGTTGTCTAAAAATAGGTGAATTGAGTTTCTGAAAAAACAGAAATCCAAAGAGTAAATTTCAAATGTCTGTCTATAAAAAATGATAGGCAGGCAAGGTAATGGATATGTTAAATTACCTTTATTTAATCATTGTGCATTGTGTACATATATCAGAACATCACATTGTACCCCATAAATGTTTGCAATTATGATTTATCTATTGAAAATAATTTTAAAAAACCTTGTGAATCGTGAGAAAAATTAACTCTTGAAAATAAAAAATAAAATGTCATAAATTTAAAAAAAAGAAAAACAAACCCAGAGAGTGCAGTGGCACAATCTCAGCTCACTGCAACCTCCACCTCCCGGGTTTAAGCAGTTCTCTTGCCTCAGCTTCCCAAGTAGCTGGGATTACAGGCGCCCTTCACCACGCCCAACTGATTTTTTGTATTTTTAGTAGAGATGGGGTTTCACCATGTTGGCCAGGCTGGTCTTGAACTCCTGACCTCAGGTGATTCACCAGCCTCAGCCTCCCAAAGTGCTCATATTACAGGCGTGAGCCGTCACACCCGGCCAGAAAACTTCTTTTAACATCTTATGTAATCATCAAAAAAGAAGGCACCAAAACCTAGACCATATTGATGAAAGATTTTGTGTGTGTGTAGGAAAATGTAAAAATAGGGTTAAAATTGTATGTATACCTACAGTTCTTCACAGAGATGTCCCCAGTTTAATAAATGCTTGGCCATCATTATTAGGCTGTCATAGCTGTGTCACTTTTTAGATATTGGGCACATAATTTAAGGCCAACTACTAATCTGTGACAACAGTGTTCAAGAGGAAACATTGGCATGGAATTACTCATAACCTGCATACCTTCATATTTATTATGTGGAATACAAATACCTCCTATTTCTGTGGTATAAAAAAAAACTGTAGGTCTGACATGCACACATATGTTTATTGCGGCACTGTTCACGATAGCAAAGACTTGGAACCAACCCAAATGACCATCAATGATAGACTAGATAAAGAAAATGTGGCACATATACACCATGGAGTAACTATGCAGCCATATAAAAGGATGAGTTCATGTCCCTTGCAGGGACATGGATGAAGCTGGAAACCATCATTCTCAGCAAACTAACACAGGAGCAGAAAACCAAACATTGCATGTTCTCACTCATAAATGGGAGTTGAACAATGAGAGCACATGGACACAGGGAGGGGAACATCACACACACTGGGGCCTGTCTGCTGGTGGGGGGCTAGGGGAGGGATAGCATTAGGAGAAATACCTAATGTAGATGATGGGTTCATGGGTGCAGCAAACCACCATGGCACGTGTATACCTATGTAACAAACCCACACGTTCTGCACGTGTATCCCAGAACTTAAAGCATAAAAATAAATAAATAATTAAAAAATTTTAAAAAACTATAGGTCTGTTGCCACAGGTCAGGTTGGCATTTCTTGGTCATAGTTTGCATTTTTAAAAAATCATTAAGTAATAGCCACTTGAGTTTCTGGTTATTCTTTAAGTTTATAATAAGACTCCTATTAGAGACCAGTTTAATTTATTCTACTGCTTTGTCATACTAATTCAATATAATTTTAAATAAGAATTTGGAATATTTCTGAAGTAAATTTTTTTTAAAAGATTAAATACATATTATTGTTTCAGAGGCATCAGCAAAAATAGTTGTCAGTACCTGCCATGGAGGTGGTAATTCATTAGCTACAGTAGTGAGTACCAGTAAAATGGGTTGACATTTTGTACCTTAAACCCATGTAGCATTTCACTTAGTGGCTGGCTTCCTTCCTTTTTTTCCTGTAATTTAAAAAATTTTTATTTTGAAATAATGTTAGGATTACAGAAAAATTATAAAAATAATACAAATTATTCATATATATCCCTCATCCAGCTCCTCCTGATGTTAACAATTTATGTACTCTGTTATAATACAGTTATCAAAACCAGGATTAACATTGATATAATGCTACTAACTAAATTACAGACCATATCGAATTTAGCAGTTTTTCCATCAATGCCTTTTCTGTTTCAGGGTTCCATGCAGGATCCCACGTAGCATCTAGTTGTTATTTCTCCTTAGGCTCCTGCAGTCTGTAACAATCTGTCTTTATCTTTCATGACCTTAACACTTTTGGTCAATATGACCAGTTCATTAGTAGAATATTTCTCAGTTTGACAAACACCACAGTAATAATTATTGCAAGCAAGATCTGTCAGTGGATACTAAAATCAGTAGGCAGAAAGTTGAGAAGCAAGATATTTACATAGTCTCAACATTTCTCTCCTAAGATACTTGTTAATTACAAAGACTAAAACAGTAACTTTACAGTGGAGAAACCTGGCCAACACCATCTAAGCCAAGTGAATAAGGATTAACATCATCAGTAATAAGACATATTGATATCATGATTCCATATCCACTGATATGATACCCTGAAAAGAACACAATGTCACTTCTGTGGTATTCTTCCTAAAAATACATAACCTCAGTCTAACTGTGAGAAACATCAGATACTTTATTTTTAATTGTGTTTTCTATTTAGGCAAAGCATAATTGATTTGAAGGAGAAGGAAATACCAGAATTAAGAAACAAACTGCAGAATGTCAATAGAGACATACAGCGCCTAAAGAACGACATAGAAGAACAAGAAACACTCTTGGGTACAATAATGCCTGAAGAAGAAAGTGCCAAAGTATGCCTGACAGATGTTACAATTATGGAGAGGTTCCAGGTAAGTTTATTGTAGTTTAAGGCAGAATAAAACTTGTTCCATGGTGGCTTGAATTTGAAGTGTGAGAGTTAAAAATAGTAGCTAGTATTCAGGTACAGGTTGTGTTTAGAATTCCCCATCCTGAATTTCAGATACCCTCAGGGAGAAACTGCTTAGTTTACATCCCTGGGTTTAAACTTTTTAATTCATAAATTTAAAAATTAAGACAGTTCTGTTTGTTTTTCATCTTTAGTCAGCTTCCTTTTGTTTACATCATTTGAATTGCTGATAATTAATTTCACTTTTATCCTATTAAACTTTGCTAAAATTGTATCTAGAAATGGTTTATAAGTTTAGATTTAAAAAATAAATGATAAGAGCAATTAATTTTTAAAGATTTTGAATAATGCAGTAAGTTTATTAAAGGAAATCATTTTGTTATATTCTTAAGATGGAACTTAAAGATGTTGAAAGAAAAATTGCACAACAAGCAGCTAAGCTACAAGGAATAGACTTAGATCGAACTGTCCAACAAGTCAACCAGGAGAAACAAGAGAAACAGCACAAGTTAGACACAGGTAATACAGTCTGTGTCCTTCTGTACTCATAGAGACTTTGACATTGCGAGCACATGCCTTTTACAGTCAATTTTATATCTGTTACATGGACAACGAAGTTCCTTCCTGTCCACATATATTTGCTCTTTTTTTCTGAAAAGCATCACTTCTCTTTGTTCTCTTACTTTGCACAACAGATTTTGAACAGTAGGAGAGTATGAAATAAGCTGTATTCTCTTTTCCTTTTTTTTTTTTTTAAGATAGAGTTTCACTTTTGTCGCCCAGGCTGGAGTGCAATGGTGCAATCTTGGCTCACTGCAACCTCCGCCTCCCGGGTTCAAGTGATTCTCCTGCCTCACCCTCCTGAGTAGCTGGGGTTACAGGCACACATCACTATGCCCAGCTAATTTTTGTATTTTTTCGTAGAGATGGGGTTTCACTGTGTTTGTCAGGCTGATCTCGAACTCCTGACCTCAGGTGATCCACCTGCCTCAGTCTCCCAAAGTGCTGGGATTACAAGTGTGAGCCAGTGCGCCTGGCCATGAGCTGTATTCTTTCTCATTCATACCTGCCCTGTAAGCTTTCCCTGTGAGTGGCCAGCAGGGAACATCAAGCTGATTTGAGAACTAGCAGGGTTCTCATTGTATTTTTGTTGCAGTGGGTGGGGCCCACAGAAATAGCATTTGTGGATTCCATAGACCGATAAAAATGGGAAGAATGATACAAATAGTATTTTCTATGCCCTTACATTAATTACTGTGATAATATGTTTTTGTGTAGTTTCTAGTAAGATTGAATTGAATCGTAAGCTTATACAGGACCAGCAGGAACAGATTCAACATCTAAAAAGTACAACAAATGAGCTAAAATCTGAGAAACTTCAGATATCCACTAATTTGCAACGTCGTCAGCAACTGGAGGAGCAGACTGTGGAATTATCCACTGAAGTTCAGTCTTTGTACAGAGAGATAAAGGTAAGAATATCCATACATGTTTTTTGTAAAATTATTTTAATTATTTATTTTTATTTTTATTTTTTGAGACAGTCTCGTTCTGTCACCCAGGCTGGAGTGCAGTAGCACGATCTCGGCTCACTGCAACCTCCATCTCCTGGGTTCAAGTGATTCTCTTGCCTCAGCCTCTGGAGTAGCTGGGATTACAGGCGTGCACCACCATGCCTGGCTAATTTTTGTTCTTTTAGTAGAGACGGGTTTTCGCCATTGGACAAGCTGGTTTCAAACTCCTGAACTAAGGTGATCCGCCTACCTTGGCCTCCCAAAGTGCTGGGATTACAGGCGTGAGCCAGCATGCCCCGCCCCATTCTTCTCTTTTAGAGACAGAGTCTTCATCAGTCTTCCAAGCTGGAATGCAGTGGTACAGTCACAGCTCACTCACTGCAGCCTCGACCTCCTGAGCTCAAGCAATCCTCCTGCCTCAGCCTCTCAAGTAGATGGGACTACAGGCACACACCACCACGCCTGGCTAATTTTTAAAATTTTTCTAGAGACAGGGTCTCACTATGTTGTTCAGGCTGGTCTCAAACTCATGGCCTCAAGCAATGCAGCCTTGGCCTCCCAAAATTACAGGCTTACATCACCTCACCCAGCCCATGTTTCTTTAATATGAAATGCTCTTTATTAGTGTAATGGCCAGAACTCTCAGCACCTCATCGCACTTATTCTAAAATTGACCACATAATTGGAAGTAAAACACTCTCAGCAAATGCAAAAGAACAGAAATCATAACAAACAGTCTCTCAGACCACAGTGCAATCAAATTAGAACTCAGGATTAAGAAACTCACTCAAAACCGCACAACTACAAGGAAACTGAACAACCTGCTCCCGAATGACTACCGGTTAAATAACGAAATGAAGGCAGAAATAAAGATGTTCTTTGAAACCAGTGAGAACAAAGATACAATGTACCAGAATCTCTGAGACACATTTAAAGCACTGTGTAGAGGGAAATTTATAGCACTAAATGCCCACAAGAGAAAGCAGGAAATAACTGAATTCAACACCTTAACATCAAAATTAAAAGAACTAGAGAAACAAGAGCAAACAAATTCAAAAGCCAGCAGAAGACAAGAAATAACTAAGATTAGAGCAGAACTGAAGGAGATACACGAAAAACCCTTCAAAAAAATCAATGAATCCAGGAACTGGTTTTTTAAAAAGATCAACAAAATAGACCACTAGCAAGACTAATACAGAAGAAAAGAGAGAAGAATCAAATAGATGCAATAAAAAATGATAAAGGGGATATCACCACCCATCCCACAGAAATACAAACTACCATCAGAGAATACTATAAACACCTCTACGCAAATAAACTAGAAAATAATAAATGGATAAATTCGTGGATACATACACCCTCCCAAGTCTAATCCAGGAAGAAGTCAAATCCCCAAATGGACCAACAACAAGTTCTGAAATTGAGGCAGTAATTAATAGCCTGCCAACCAAAAGAAGTCCAGGACCAGACAGATTCACAGCCGAATTCTACCAGAGGTACAAAGAGGAGCTGGTACCATTCCTTCTGAAACTATTCCTAACAATAGAAAAAGAGGGAATCCTCCCTAACTCATTTTATAAGGCCAGCATCATCCTGATACCAAAACCTAGCAGAGACACAACAAAAAAAGAAAATTTCAGGCCAATATCCCTGATGAACATCGATGCAAAAATCCTCAATAAAATACTGGCAAACCGAATCCAGCAGCACGTCAAAAAGCTTATCCACCACGATCAAGTCGGCTTTATTCCTGGGATGCAAGGCTGGTTCAACATATGCAAATCAATAAATGTAATCCATCACATGAACAGAACCAAAGACAAAAACCACATGATTATCCCAATAGATGGAGAAAAGGCCTTCGATAAAATTCAACACCGCTTCATGCTAAAAGCTCTCAATAAACTAGGTATCGATGGAATGTATTTCAAAATAATACGAGCTATTTATGACAGACCCACAGCCAATATCATACTGAATGGGCAAAAACTGGAAGCATTCCCTTTGAAAACCAGCTATTATGAGGATCAAATGAAAATGGTATAATAATTATTTGTGTGGTTCCTAAGTGATAGAACTTGTACTAGTAAGTAAAGATTTCTGGAAGAAGGAGTTTGCCATAATAAGGAAGAACTGGCTGCCTGGTTAAGTAGTAAATGTTATTGGAGGTGGTCAGGTGGTGGTTGGTTAATTCTGTATAAGGATTCCTGCTTGTACAGGAGGTTTGTCTTATCTGCAGATCCTTTATCTATGGCGGTCACTCTCAGTCATAGCACTCTTTCCATTTGATTCCGGATGTGGTTTCAGAACCCTTACCAATACAGTGAGCAGGCACTCAGTTGCCACTGGAATGCATTTGACATCCCTTATATAGATTAATCACATCTAAGACTCAACCAGTTATAAACAGTTATAAACAATCTTACCTAGGTTTATATAATTATGCGTACTCATTCAATAAGCACTAAGTATATTACTGAATAATTACTATAAATTTTTATTAAATTTTAGATTACAAAATATCAGAGGTTCAGAATATAATATAAAATAGTACTTGCATCTGTATAATTTTTTACTATTTATAAAGCACTTTGACATTGAACCATTCAGTGCCTCAGCAACCCTATTTAGATGATGAAATCTCTTTATAGAAAAATTGAGATTTACAAATGTCTCATGAGTGCCTAAGTTTATGCAGCTAATAGGAAGCAGAGTTGATTTTCTGATAGATCTTTTGACACTGAGGGCATTTGACTTCCTAACACACCATACCACTTCCCAGTATGATAAAATAGACCTATATTGAAGTAATTACTAAATAATTGTATCTACCTCTATAGATTCACTCAGTACTTCAGAATCTTAAAGTGCTTGAGGACCTCTGTTTTGAACTGTGGTTATCATATAACTACGTTGTAGATTTAGTGTTACAAGGCTAAATAATGGGGACTTCTATTTAGTAAAATAGTTTATTACTTGAAAGCCCCGTTCCTTCCAAAATAGTTGTGGAGACACCAACATTAGTTTAACAGTATGCTTTTATTACCATGAAATATCTGCGTAGCCTTAGCAGGCTAAGCTTAAGGACAGAAGTGTTTTTACCATCATGTTTTCATCTGAAAAAGAAAAGTCTGGACTGAATGAGCTTTCCTATTCTTTGATCATGCAGCAGTGACGGGCACCTATAAAATCATGAAAACTCATGCTTGAAGCCACACGCTAATATAATTGGGAGCACATGGCCTAGATTAAGAATCAAATTAGTGGTTGATGCAGTATAGCATGCGTAGTGGTTAAGAGCGTGAACTCTGGAGCTGGACTGGGTTAAAATCTTGGCTGCTTCATTTACTGGCTGTTGTGACCCTGGACAAATCATTCTCTGTGTCTGTTTGCTCGTTTGAAATATAGGACTGAAAATGATGGTACTGTCCTCATAGGGTCATTGAAAGGAGCAAATGAGTTGACTTTTAGAGCCTGGCACATAGAAAGTGCTTTTATTAAGACTGTGAAGTCTGACCCCTAAAGTAAGATAATGGAATATTATATAATACTTTATCTTTTTTATATTTTTAGGATGCTAAAGAGCAGGTAAGCCCTTTGGAAACAACATTGGAAAAGTTCCAGCAAGAAAAAGAAGAATTAATCAACAAAAAAAATACAAGCAACAAAATAGCACAGGATAAAGTAAGATTTCATTTATATATTTACTTATCAAATATCTGTATTAAACTTATGTTCATAGCACCACGTCGGACACTTATTTCACATGAAATTAAATAGCATAAGATAAATAGTATTTTCAGATTCATGGTATAATTTTGACATTAGAAATTCTTGTTAGAACAAGGATTTGATGTAAATTATTTTGCTGCTTGATCTACAATAGAAGTTAAGAAATGAGACTAATTAATCAATTCCTATAGGTGAGAAAGGGACTTGTCTGCGATCATAAAATTCAGTAGTGGTGGAAACTGGAACCCAATGTTCATAACTTCCCAGCCAGTGTTTTACTGTGCTCTCCTGTTATGTGCCCTTAAGTACAACCAGTGTAAATTTAATGAATATTTTTCTACAGCTGAATGATATTAAAGAGAAGGTTAAAAATATTCATGGCTATATGAAAGACATTGAGAATTATATTCAAGATGGGAAAGACGACTATAAGAAGGTAATTTAAAACTTAAAATTATTTATTTGATTGTATTTTTATTCATGTGCTTAAAGAATTTTCTTTTTTGTAGCAAAAAGAAACTGAACTTAATAAAGTAATAGCTCAACTAAGTGAATGCGAGAAACACAAAGAAAAGATAAATGAAGATATGAGACTCATGAGACAAGATATTGATACACAGAAGGTAGGTCTGTTTTGCTTATGATATCACTTACACCTATGACATTCTTTTCTATAGTTTTATTTTCAATAGAAGATCCATTGAATAGAAATGCAAAAAGGAAAGAGGCCAAGCGTGGTGGCTCACACCTGTAATCCCTGCACTTTGGAAGGCCGAGGCGGGTGGATCACTTGAGGCCAGGAGATCAAGACCAGCCTGGCCAACACAGTGAAACCCTGTCTGTACTGAAAATACAAAAATTAGCTGGCCGTGGCGGCGCGCACCTGTAGTCCCAGCTACTCGGGAAGCTGAGGCATGAGAATCACCTGAACCTGGGAGGCAGAGGTTGCAGTGAGCTGTGATTGTACCACTGCACTCTAGCCTGGGCGACACAGCGAGACTCTGTCTCTAAAAAGAAATGCAAAAAGTAAAGAAAAATAATTCCAATAACATTCTTACTTCATTTATTTTTTATTTTTATTTTCAGTAAAAGACTCATGGTAAAAGTTCGAACATAAAGGCATAAAAGTGTTCCTCCCCTTCTCCTAATTCTCAATCTTACTTCTACATGTCATTAACTGTTACACTTATTTGTTCTTAAAGAAGTTTTTTATTCATATACCAGCAGATAGGTAGATAAATTTAGGTGTGTGTGTATATATATATATATATATTTAAATTTACTTTTATGGATGGGGTCGTATCATGTTATTCTGTACCTTTTTTCACTTAACATAATTTGATTTTACCTATCAACTCACAGATGTATCACATTCTTTTTAATGATTATAAAATAGTCCATTTTGTGTATATACCAGCACTTACTCAGATTGATTTCATTTCCTTATCACAAACTGTGTGACAATGAACATCTTTAACATGTATCTGTATCTTTTCTTATTCTAACATATCTTTATGTAGCATAAATTCACAAAAGACGGATTAAGGTTTAATAATCTTGAAAGTAATCTGTAAGGAAAATATTTATATATTAAGTCATTTTCCAGTTGATTCCTATATCATTTATTTTCTCTATTAAAGAAATTAATTTCTATAGTATAATCAAAATCATATTAAGAAGCCATCATCACATGCTTTATGCAAGCATGGTAGTTAATGCCTTTAAAAACTATACCATTTCTCTGTTCTTACTGTTTTAAACAAAATTTACTATTTGAATGCCTTAACCACTTGGTTATAAGTGGTTGCTTAAAATCATTTGGAAGATTAGTTACATTAGTTTTCTGCTGGGTCTCTTTCTGTACCACCAAGAATTTCAAATATATGAAATATCAGTCAAAGGGAGATCAAATCTCTGCCTGGCCTAATACATATTGAATAACTGTATAAATTTATGATGCATATATAACAAAATAATTATCACTAGCTTTTATGTAGTTGCCTATATAAAAATCACAATCTGTAAATTCGCAGCAGCTCTCTGTATATATATACGAAATTGTTAAGATTAATGATCTATGACCCCTTTTAAAGTGATGGTCTAAACTTAGTGGATCTGATGGTATTAGTTTACTTTGTAACCTTCCTTGTTCCAGAAATTATTTACTTAGTTATATACAATAGAGCAAAGATAAATGTATTTCAAATTAATGGGAAAACAAGGCAGTGTAGAAATAAGGGCAAGAAAGTAATGAAACCAGGAGAGAAGTGTATAAAAAGTATGCATGAAGTCTGATATGCTTGCTGAAGATTCTAGTAGTCAAATAAAGAGAGGAGGCCAGGCGCAGTGACTCATGCCTGTAATCCCAGCACTTTGGGAGGCCAAGGCAGACGGATCACCTGAGGTCAGGAGTTCAAGACTAGCCTGGCCAATATGGTAAAACCCCATCTCTACTGAAAATAGAAAAATTAGCCAGGTGTGGTGACACGCGCCTGTAATCCCAGGTACTCAGGAGGCTGAGGCAGGAGAATCGCTTGAACCTGGGAGGCAGAGATTGCAGTGAGCCGAGATCACACCATTGCACTTCAGCCTGGGTGACAAGAGTGAAACTCCGTCTCAAACAAACAAACAAACAAACAGAAACAAAAACAGCCAGGCGTGGTGGCTCACGCCTGTAATCCCAGCACTTTGGGAGGCCAAGGCGGGCAGATCACGAGGTCAGGAGATCGAGACCATCCTGGCTAACACGCCGAAACCCCGTCTCTACTAAAAAATACAAAAAATTAGCCAGGCCTGGTGGTGGGCGCCTGTAGTCCCAGCTACTCAGGAAGCTGAGGCAGGAGAATGGCGTGAACCTGGGAGGCAGAGCTTGCAGTGAGCCGAGATCGCACCACTGCACTCCAGCCTGGGTGACAGAGCCAGACTCCGTCTTAAAAAAAAAAAAAAAAAAAAAAAAGTCACAATTAGTCAAGATTCACATTGTGTCAATGCTAAAAGAAAACCAGTTTCCTATACTGACTACAGGATAATGTCTCTATTCATAGAAAGGAAGACATGTATAGTCTTCAACAGACTTCGCAGGGCTTTAAAAAAAATACAGTGTATCTCAGCATCATTATTCCTTGATACGAGGTTCTGTAGAGGGTGGTATGATTGAAGCCTGAAGTAAATGTTAATGTTTAGAAAGCAAAGGTTCTTAGCTAGGGGCACCTGTAAATCGTCTGAGTTTTTCCACTTCTAGGTATAGAACTAAGAAAATTGAAAACATATGTTCCCACAACAACTTGTACAAGAATGCTCATAGCAGCATTATTTGTAATAGTCAAAATATGGACACACCCAAATGGCCATCAACTGATGATCAGATAAACAAAATGTGGTATACCCATACAATGGAATATTATTCAGCCATAAAAAGGATACATGCTACCACATGAATGAACCCTTAAAACATGCTAAGCAAAAGAAGCCAGTCACAAAAGGTCACATAATGTACGATTCCACTTATAATAAATGTACAGATTAGGTAAATCCAGTGACAGCAGATTAATGTTTCCAGGGGGCTAGAGGTGAGGAAGGAATAGAGTGACTGCTATTGAATATGAGATTTCCTTTTGGGATGATCAAATGCTCTGGAATTGGATAGTGGTGATGGTTGTATAACCTTGTAAATAAAGTAAAACTGCTAAATTGTACACGTTTAAACAGTGAATTTTGTGGAATATTAATTACATCTCAGTTTTTAAAAAATGACTTAGGTTATTAAAAATACATGTGTTGGCCGGGCACAGTGGCTCATGCCTGTAATCCTAGCACTTTGGGAGGCCGAGGCGGGCAGATTGCTTGAGCCTGGGAGTTCCAGACTATCCTGGGCAATATGGCGAAACCCCATCTCTACAAAAAAATTAGCCAGGTGTGATGGTGCATACCTGTAGTCCCAGCTACTCAGGAGGCTGAGGTGGGAGGATTGCTTGAGCTGGGGAGTTCAAGGCTGCAGTGAGCCCTTACTACGCCACTGCACTCCAGCCTGGGCAACAGAGCAAGACCCTGTCTCAAAAAATATATATATATATATGTCTATGTCTCCAATCCACACCAGTAAATCAGAATCTTGGGGGTTTGGGCAGAGATATGTGTGTTTTGTTGAAATTCCTTAGAGGTTCTAATATATCCCTTTAGCTGTCAATAACTGAGCCAGCACTGGATGGACTGCATAGCTTTCAGGCAGTCTTGTAGAAGTGGTGTTATTCCCAGCTAGACTTTTGGTGGACATTGGACTGTAATCTGTTCAGCATGCCACTCTCTCACAGGTATCTAGAATGCAGCTAATTTTTATGTTTCCATAGGTGACCAGCTGCATGCATTAACTGTCATCTGAGTTGGATGATTGGGGTTAATATTTAAGAGCTGAGGAGCCTAACAGTCACTTATTTACGTACTGATTTAAGCCCTGCTAAATTTAGTCCACAGAATAAAATAATTTGGAAACTTAACTGCCTTTCTCAGTTTTCAGCTGAAGGAATATATGAAGAGAACTGTAGGTGACCTGACTTGTCCAAGGTCACAAAAAGTAGTAACAGGTAGAACTGGACCCTACACTATCAAATTTCTAGTAGAATGGAAAAACATTTGTGGTATACTATAACTGCATCTGATTTTTTTTCCCTTCCTTTCTCTGATACATTTTGTAGACTATAATTGGAATTCTCACTGCTTACAGTACAAAGGACAAATTTGACCCAAAAGGCATTTTATTAGCAATTATTGAGTCAGGCACTATACTGATTACATACACTCATTCCTTTAATCTTCACAATAGTCTTTTTTTTTTTTTTTTTTTTTTTAAATTAGATGGAGTCTTGCTCTCTCACCCAGGCTGGAGTGCAGTGGCACAATCTCGGCTCACTGCAACATTCGCCTCCCGGGTTCAAGTGATTCTCCTGCCTCAACCTGCCTGGGGCTACAGGCGAGTGCCACCAGGCCTGGCTAATTTTTGTATTTTTAGTAGAGGTGGGGTTTCACTATGTTGGCCAGGATGATCTCGAACTCCTGACCTCAAGTAATCCATCTGCCTTGGCCTCCCAAAGTGCTGGGATTACAGGTATGAGCCACCACGCCCGGCCACACAATAGTTCTTTATGATAGATAGTATCATTATTGACCATGTTATAAGCAAACTGAGGTTCAGAGAATTTAAACTAATTTGCCCAAAGTTATCCAGTTTAAAAGTAATAACACTGTGATTTGAGCCTAGATGTATCTGACTTCAAAGCATTACACTCTTGATGTGGTATATACTGTCTTTCAAAACTAGAAGAATAATGGAAGCTGACCTAAAACAAAGAAATGCCTAGCTGTCTGGTAACAATGCAGGTAGACAGACCAGCAACAATATTTTGTGCCAAAAATCAGTCTCATCTAAAAATGTGATAGCACTTTAAAGAGTCCTTTCATGCAATTGTGAAAACAAATTCAAATGTTCTGGGGTATTAGATGAAAGTAAGCAGTAGCACATTCCCTTGTTCCTAATAAGGAACAACAAGCATAGTACCCCATAGTAGAACCTTGGTAAGTCACACCAGCTACAGTGGTACATTAGATTGCTTTAGCAACAAAGGACATTTATAACCATGTCATTTTAGTCACCTTTAACTGCCTATAATAATGCCTTTAGTAGATACATATTCAGTTGTCTCGGTATCTCTGGGAGGGATTGGTTCCAGGATCCCCCGATAAAACAGATACCGAAATCTAGGATGCTCAAGTCCCTTATATAAAATGGCATATCTAGTGTTTACATATAGCCTATCCATATCCTCTGATATACTTTAATCTCTAGATTGCTTTTGATATTAATATGTAAATGATACGTAGTTTTTATATTGTATTATTTTAAATTTGTATTTTTTTATTGTACTATTACTTTTTATTTTTTTTCCCCAATATTTTTGATCCATGGTTAGTTGAATCCGTAGATGTGGACCCTGTGGATAAATTGTATGTTTATATTATTTCCAGGAAAAATGAAAGTAGCCTTACTTTGTGACTGTTAAAAAAGAAAAAAAAAACTCTAAAAATAGTCACGCATAGAGGGGCAGGATTGGATATGAACATTAAGCATGTGAGAGAAATCCTTGATTTCCCTCTCTCATCTACCAGTCCCTGGCCTTTACTGTTGGTGCAAGATATTGCCACAGGTCTGTCCATCTCTCTCACTTCCCATGTCACTGAGTTTAGCTTAGCTGCAAGGGCTATTGCAGGAGGGTCCCAGCTCCCTCTTTGAGAAATCCTTACTCCAAATTCAGAATAAGTTTTCTATACACATGATTTGTGGGCCAAATCACCCTTCTTTCTGCAGGAAATTTTTTTTCCTCTAAATTCCAAAGAATCAACTTAAAAACTGTTTTCTAATGATTGTCTCTTGACAACATAGTTCATTTTAATCACCAGGAAAACCACTGAAATAATTTTGTTGTTGTTGCTGCTGCTGCTAAGTGTTATTGAGTCTCTTTTGAAGGACAAAACTACTCAACAAGAACAGCCAATTTTTTGAAATTTCATTTCGGTGGCTAAGGAGGTACCAAGTTCATAGATATATGCTACTATTGTGGCACTTCTTACTGCCTTGAGTGATTACAATTTGTCAACCTAAAGGTAGAAGTTGCAGGTAACATATACCTAACAGGTTCTAATGGTCTTGGTACATGTTGGGAGACAGAACTAGGACGAAAAAGTTGGGGAAGACTTCAGTAGTAGTATTGATCTCTTATAATCTTTCAGGTCAGTAGGCTTTATCATGGGGTTCCTATGCAAAATGATCCACTGGGGATGTAGGTATTAAAATATCTAGTTATATTTTTAATTTCACCATTTAAAATGTCTGTTTTGTATGTTTTTAATACTTTATAAGTAAATAAGTACACAGATATATGCTCAAATCTTTATGAGACTCCCCATCAAACAGTAGACCTGGTTTTTAGATTATGGTTGTGAAAGAGCAGTAAAAGCTGCGCTACAGGAGGTATTACACTTGTCACTGTGGATGGGGATGGGCCATCCAGATTGCCCCAGACCTGTAGATTCCTTCACACTGGCTTATTCTCCCTCTGTTGAATTTCACATGATTCTAAGTAAGACAGAAATGGCACTTGCTGTCACCAGTTGCCTGTTACAGATTTCATGTTAGTAACTTGGTTATTTTTGTTAACTAATTTAATGTTTACCTTTAGATACAAGAAAGGTGGCTACAAGATAACCTTACTTTAAGAAAAAGAAATGAGGAACTAAAAGAAGTTGAAGAAGAAAGAAAACAACATTTGAAGGAAATGGGTCAAATGCAGGTTTTGCAAATGAAAAGGTATGCTTTTAAAATAATCTTCAGTTTAAATAAACGTCTTTATTACTGGAATGTGAAGAATATTAAATACCTGTTTTAAAAGAATTTTAGCCTCAGCCTGGTATCCTTTGAGAGTTACTAGAAGGTGAACAGTGTTTTGATACAATTATATTTCATGGCCTTAAGAACTTTATTACTGAAGAAGTGATATAGAATTGGTAATCACACTGTAGTGATGGGCCTTAGTTATTCAGTATTGAACATGCTTAGTCCCCATACATCTGCTAGCCTGCTGCACAGAATAGTGGTACTAAGCATAAAGAATATGGAGCTGTGGACCTTGTCTGGGTCAGAGCTTGTACAGTCTATAATATTGTCAATGGAGTTGTTGCCAGAGTGATTTATCCACAGAGATTCATTTTAGATTTTCTCATTTGTAATTATGTGTCCACCAGAGCATTTCTTTTGAAAGATGAGCCTCATTCTTCCTTTATCTGGTCTTATTGTTACTTATTGTAGTTGCTACCTTCCTGGTACAGCAGAAAAGATTTTATTCCTGCCTTGACTGCCTTAGAGTTAGTTGCCTTAGGAATTCTGTAAGAACCTTGTTGATGCTAAGGCACTAGACTGGTATAAAAGGTTGTACTAGGCAAATACTTAGATTGTCAACCACCTCAGCTGGTTAAATCCAGGCCTCTCATTTATTAAACCCTTCCTTGTAGAGTTTTCATGTCTTCTTGAATTTATACAGAAATCTGAATGAAAAAATGCCCAGGCTTTTCTAAAGGATATAGTAAAGTGAATTTTAATTTATAAAGCCTAACAAATGGTTAATCCTGTGTTTTGGTTAAGTACTCTTAGCTATTTAAAATCTCTTTCCTATATCAGGGAAATCAGATTTTTAACTAGAAGAGCTCATCATCTTCAGAGTCTTCATTTTTGTATGCATTATGCACACTTAGACCCAGAAAAATCACAGAGGAAATTATGATGAAAGCCAAGAATGTGACCCTAATATCCTAGTTCCCAAGCCTCAGTTCTTTTACACGATACTCTCCATGGCAAGTTGGAAAAGTAATGCTTCTAGAAGAAATTTTGATATAAAATAATATATTCGTGGCTACTAAAGACCAAAACCAGATATTTAAAAAATTTCTTCTGTAATTGGTACATAACAGTACTTTTTACATTCATTCACATTACTAAGTACAACTATTTTTCAAACGTTTCTTCAACCAGGACATAACAGAAATGCCAACAAGACTTGTAATCCAGTCGACTCTGTAAGGATGCCCATAAGCTTGAGAGTAGTGCCTGACACATAAGAGGATGCTTAATAAGTGATAATAAATAAATGAAGATTTTTAAAGCATACATTGAAATTTGTATAATCTGCCAAAATATCAGAAAAGTTTGAATATTTTACTTTTTTGGTCATTATTATGGTTTTTACACTTGTGCAAGAGAAATTTTGTTTTCATGGAGGAATCTAAATTTTTAATAAGTATTACTGCAGAAAATTAATATATGATTTAATTCGTATTGTGCCTTTGACATGAGCAAAATGATGATGAAGCCTGTTATCCATAACTTCTTAGTGTTGATAATTGTGCATTCTCAGTTCACAATCAGAAGATTGTGAATTTGTAATATTAATCACCAGAGTGCTTTACTTAGCGTCTAAAGGCCAGGAACTTTATCAGTGATCACATGCTATGAGGGTTCTGTAATACACAAAATTAGCTATTTAGCAACCTATGTGCGGCAGAGATATGGAAGGAAGAGAGGGGTTTTCTTTAGTACCAAAGCCCTAAATAATAAGCAAGGAGAGACTCTGTTATAATATACTGATTGCTAAGGAGAATGATACTTAACCTATCTAAAGAAATCTATGACTTTTCCACTTCAGGTTGTTAAAAGCTAAAAAATGGTCCTCATTTGTCATTTTTCTTTTTTACAGTGAACATCAGAAGTTGGAAGAGAACATAGACAATATAAAAAGAAATCATAATTTGGCATTAGGGCGACAGAAAGGTTATGAAGAAGAAATTATTCATTTTAAGAAAGAACTTCGAGAACCACAATTTCGGGATGCTGAGGAAAAGTATAGAGAAATGATGATTGTTATGAGGACAACAGAACTTGTGAACAAGGATCTGGATATTTATTATAAGACTCTTGACCAGTAAGTATTAGACTGGGGATTTTCTTATTGCAGTTAATATTAACTAACATACTTTAGTCATCTTTTCTCTCATTTTTTTCTTTTTTTCTTTTTTATTTTTTGAGACAGAGTTTCACTCTTGTTTCCCAGGCTGGAGTGCAATGGCACGATCTCAGCTCACTGCAACCTCTGCCTCCCGGGTTCAAATGATTCTCCTGCCTCATCCTCCCAAGTAGCTGGTATTACAGGTGCATGCCACCACGCTGGGCTAATCTTGTATTTTTAGTAGAGACGGGGTTTCTCCATGTAGGTCAGGCTGGTCTCGAACTCCTGACCTGAGGTGATCCACCCGCCTCGGCCTCCCAAAGTGCTGGGATTACAGGCATGAGCCACTGCGCCCAGCCCCTCATTTTTTCTCTTTAAATATGGTATTTTATGTATACCATGGATTGGAAAATATATGTATGTATGTATGTAAACACACACTAGCTTAAGTTATGAAGTTAAGATATAAAGCATATTAATATCTACGAGTATTCATGATACTACCTCCCTCTAACCAATCTACCATTATCACTGATTGGCATCCACTTAGATGCTCCCTTCTTATCTCAACCTTCTGTCATCCCCATTCCCTATAACCAGTGACAAAGATTTTTACTTTCTCTGCTTTTTTAAAAAACAGTTTTATCATATATATGTCATATTTTGAGCTTTTTAAAAATGATATGATATTCTAGGACTTGCTTTTTTATTTGGATTTGCTTTTGTTTATCCATGTTGTTTATGGCCGTAGTTGATTCATTTTCACTGATGTACATAATCTACTATGGGAATAGACCACAATGCATTCATTCTCCTACAGATGGACATTTGGGGTTTTTTTCCAGGTCTTGTCATGTCTTCTGGAGGAAAGGTATAAGGTTATATTTGTGGGAGTGCATTGTGGAGTATGCTCAATTTTACAAAATAATATTGTTTTCCAGAAATGACTACTGATTTATACCACTAGCAGTATATAAGGGTTTATTTGATGGATCCTCTGACATTGGTTTTATAAATTTCTTAATGTTTGCCAACCTCATAGGTTTAAAATGATGAATCGTTGTTTATACATTATTAGTCTTGTCTTTTTGTGTGTTTTGGGACAGAGTCTCTCTTTGTCACCTAGGCTAGAGTGCAATGGTGCAATCATAGTTCAGTGTAACCTCAAACTCCTGGGCTCAGGCATTCCTCCCACTTCGGCCTCCCAAAGTGCTGGGGTCACAGGTGTGAGGCATTGTTCCTGGCCCTATTGGTCTTTTCTTATTGATTTAAATGTGTTCTTTATCTCTTCTGCATTTCAATTCCTTTTCAGTTATATGTATTACAAATGTCTTTTCAAACATTATGCTTATCTTTTTTACTTAGCATCTTTTGATGACACTGGATTTGATTTTGAGTTAGTTGAATTTAGCAGCCTTTTCTGGTTAGCTCTTTGTGTGTCTTGTTAAGAAATCCTTCCCTACTCCTCTCTCTCTCTCTCTCTCTCTCTCTCTACTCCTCTCTCTCTCTCTCTCTCTCTATATATATATATATAAAGATATATATATATAAAGATATATATATATATAGAGAGAGAGAGAGAGAGATATATCTTTTTTTTTTTTGAGACGGAGTCTCACTCAGTCGCCCAGGCTGGAGTGCAGTGGCGCCATCTCGGCTCACTGCAAGCTCTGCCTCCCAGGTTCACGCCATTCTCCTGCCTCAGCCTCCTGAGTAGCTGGGACTACAGGCGCCCGCCACTACGCCCGGCTAATTTTATTGCATTTTTAGTAGAGATGGGGTTTCACCGTGTTAGCCAGGATGGTCTCGATTTCCTGACCTCGTGATCCACCTGTATTGGCCTCCCAAAGTGCTGGGATTACAGGCGTGAGCTGCCACGCCCTACTTCTATATTTTTGTCTAAAAGTTTTAAATTTTGCCTTTCACATGTAAGTACATTTAAGTATTTAATTCTAAGTTGAATTTTTTCCGTTATGAATAACTGGTTGTCTTGGCTCTATTTATTGTAGACTATCCTTCTCTCAGTGACCTACAGTGTCATTTCTGTCATATATCAGAATTCCCTATGTGCCTGGGTTGGCCTGGGTTCTCTGTTCTACTTAATTCATCACTTTGTCTATCTCTGTGCCATTTCTCTCACCATCTTAATTACATATAGCAGAATTTTCTTTATCCAGTGTATGTCTGTCTTTTAACCAGTGAATTTAGGCCTTTCATATTCATTCTGATTACTCAATTGAGTTGGATTTATTTCTGCCATCTTTTTTTCCTTTCCTGCCTTTTTGAGATGGATTTATTTTTCTTGACTCCTCCTTTTTCCCTTCTTTGGGTTATCCAGTTGACCATATAACATGGGGATTAGGGACACTAAGCCCCCCACGCAGTCAGAAATCCACATATAACTTTTGATTCCCTCAGAACTTAACTACTAATAGCCTACTGTTGACTGGAAGCCTTACTGATAACAGAAACAGTTGATTAACATATATTTTGTATGTTATGTGTATTATATGCAGTATTCTTTCACAATAAAGTAAACTGGAGACAAGAAAAAATTATAAGGGAAAATATATTTTCTGTTAAGTGGAAATGAATCATCATAAAGGTCTTCATCCTTGTCCTCTTCACATTGAAGAGGAGGAGGAAGAAGAGGAGGGGTCAGTCTTGCTGTCTCGGATGGCAGAGGTGGAAGAAAATCTACATAAACATAGACCCACATGGTTCAAACCTGTGTTCAAGGATCGGTTGTATTCTACTTTAGTTATTTGAGTGTTTACTTTTTAATTTTTAAATACTTATTTGACTTAAAATCATATGCATTAGTTCTCAAAGTGGTCGTGGAGCACCATTATCAGTATCACCTTGGAACATGTTAGAAATGCCTCTCAGCTTCTACCCCAGACCTCGATCAAAAATTTGAGAGGTAGGGCCCAGCAGTCTATTTTTGACAGACATTTTGGGTGATTCTGATGCACATCAAAGTTTAAAAACCATAGCTTTAATGTGAATTGTTTTATCTTTTTCCTGAATACTAATTATCTTCTCTCATCTGCATTATTTCTTTTGTCTAATATTTTAGTTTTACCTTGTTTTTAAATCATCACAAATGAGTAATAATTATTGTGGTGGTTTCATAAGCCCGCATGTTTCCCAATTTCTTTGTTCATTCTTGCTTTTTAAATCCCACTCCTCCCTTCTTTAGGTTCAGTTTTCTTTTTTTGGAGTATATTCTTCAATAGTTTTTTCAGTGAATGACTGTTAGTGGTAAACAATCAGTCTTTGAGAAGTTTTTCCCCTTAATTTGATAGTTTAGCTGAGCATAGAGTTCTAGATTGACAGTTTTGTTCTCTTGGCACTTTGAAAATATTTCATTTTTTGTTGGCCTCTATGGTTACAGTTGAGAAATCATTTTAATTATTCCTTTAAAAGTAATCTGCCTTTTTCCCCTGGTTCTCTTAGGATTTTTCCCTTTGTCTTCAGTGTTCTGTATTTTTATAATAGTGTGTCTAGACTCAGCTTTAGTTCTTCTGCTCATAAATTATGCTTTTTGATCTGAGGATTGATATCTTCCATCAATTTTGGGGATTTTTCATACATTATCTCTTCAAATATTATTCTTTCTCCATTTCTCACTATTTTCCCCTTCTTCACTTTTTATTAGACATAACCTCCTCTTTCCTCTACATTGCTTAACCCCTCTTGCATATACTGGGCTCTGGGTAAATATCTTGTTAAATAAATTATTTAGCTGCTACTTATACTGCCTATTGAGTTGTCATTTTTTCCTCCATTTTTTTCTATAAGTTCTATTTTGTTCTTTTTCAGAAACTCACATGGTTTTTTTATAATTTTTTTTTTTTAAAACAGAGTCTGGCTCTGTCGCCCAGGCTAGAGTGCAGTGGCATGATCTCGGCTCACTGCAGCCTCCACCTCCTGAGTTCAAGCAGTTCTCATTCCTCAGCCTCCCAGATAGCTGGAATTACAGATGCATGCCACCACTCGGCTAATTTTTGTATTTTTATTACAGATGGGGTTTTGTCATGTTGCCCCGGCTGGTCTTGAACTCCTGGCCTCAAGCGATCCTCCTGCCTAGGTCTCCCAAAATGCTAGGATTACAGATGCGAGCCACTGCGCCAGGCCTATGATGTATTTTCTTCCTTTGTATTTTGATTCCTTCTTGAATGTGTCTTTACTCATTTTATACACATTTTATACCTAGGCCTCCCAAAGTGCTAGGATTACAGATGTGAGCCACTGTGCCAGGCTTATGATGTATTTTCTTCCTTAGTATTTTGATTCCTTCTTGAATGTGTCTTTACTCATTTTAACTATACACATTTTATATTCTCTTTCAGATTGTTATTTTTTAATTTCACATTTTGAGGAGTCTGCTTCTGCTGTTTTGTATGTTGATTCTATCCCCTAGTGAAGTTTCTGTGTTTTATTAACATTTAATTGTGTGCTTATCTTTAGTAGTGTTGTTTTTTCTATGAGACTCCCTTGTGACCTTTCCTTGTAGAGGTCCATCTACACAGAAATTTTGGTTTTATATTAACTAAGAGCTCCAGAGAAAACATTGGCCTGCATGTAGGGTTTTTGTTAATTTCTTAGTTGGTAGGTTCCTAGACTATACTCACTGGTAGCATAACTTTGAACCCCAAAACTATATAAAGCATTTGCCCAAGACTTTGAATTTTCAACTCATTAATTTTCCACTCTTTCATTGAGGATTGATGTTATAGCTCTTGAAGAGTCCCATTTTTTGTGTGTTGGGAGTCACTTCTAATCTTCTTCCTTACTTGGGTCCTATCCTTCATCTTCTGTCCTGGATGATAAGAACCAATCCCTAGGTTATAAAAACAATAACGCCAAGTTCATGGCTGGGCACGGTGGCTCATGCCTGTAAGCCCAGCACTTTGGGAGACCGAGGTGGGCGGATCACTTGAGGTGAGGAGTTCAAGACCAGCCTGGCCAACATGGTGAAACCCCGTCTGTACTAAAAAAAATACAAAAATTAGCTGGCTGTAGTGGTGCACACCTGTAATGCCAGCTACTCAGGAGGCTGAGGCAGGAGAATCGCTTGAACTGGGAAGTAGAGGTTGCAGTGAGCCAAGATTGCACCACTGCACTCCAGCCTGGGCAACAGAACGAGACTCTGTCTCAAAACTAACAATAACAGTAATAATAATAACCCCAAGTTTAGTTTGTCTGTCAGGTTACATACTGACTGGTCTGGTTTTCACTTCTATCTTCGTTTCTATTATGTAGGGATTTCCCTTTCTTTCTTGTGAGCTCAACTATGAATTTAAAATAAGTTTTGTTATAAGTCTATCTAGTAGTTCTGTTCATTTGTGGCAGGAGAATTATTACTTACCTTAGATTTTGGTGGTGGTTGTTTTTTCCAGAATGGCAAATATCTTCCTTAGCACTAAGAGAGTTACACAGAGAGCTTCTCTTCTAAGACTTCTGGTCAGATACAGCATAGTCAACAGACCAACCTGAGCAGTGGCATTCAGACCACAGGGCTCAGGAAGACAGGAGAACTCTGGTTTCAGTATGAGGACTTTTTTAGTTAGTGATGATAACAAAGGTGGTCCCAGAATTGCCTAGGCATATTTTTGGCATATACAAGTTTTAGGAAGTACGTAATCATGTAAGACAAATTAGATCCATTTACTGTGAAATATTGGGAGTGAGCCAATTAACATGTTATTTTTTAAAAATAAATTATACTAAGATTTTTGTTAGATTAAGTTTAACTTTTAAAACAATTTTTTGAGAGTATTCCATGGATATATCTTTTGTCCCATTTCATTGTGAGTGGGTACGTTAACATTACAATGTTCCCTGGGTCCAAAATGGCTCATAGAATTATATGCCTGCACCAAATGAGAACTTTTGTTTTTTAACTTCTTTGAATATTGCCATCTCTCCTAGATATTAGATCCAGCAGTTTAAAGTGGTTAGTCTTGGAATTTAAGGTGCTGAAACAAGAACATAAGCAAAACTTAAGGAATTCTTGCCCAGTAGACTACACATACATATATTTGTTTTTTGTTTTTTGGTTTTTTTTGCCTTTAATAATTCTTTTTAGTCTTCTCAGCTACCTCATTTATGCCTTTAGGGGACTTTTTAGTTTTTCTTAGTTCTTTAACAACAGATGCTGTGTATCTAATAGACTTATCAAACATTCATTGAGCATTAAGGAATAGGAGATCCAGTAACTTCTAGCAAGGATATTATAGTTTATTTGAAGAGACACAAATCAAAACAGATTTTTGTTGGTAAAAACCTATTTTGCCAGGCTTAGTGGCTTACGCCTGTAATCCTAGCACTTTGGGAGTCCAAAGTGGGTGGATTGCTTAAGTCCAGGAGTTTGAGACCAACCTGGGCAACATGGCGAAACCCCATCACTACAAAAAAATACAAAAATTATCTGGGCGTGGTAGCACACACCTGTAATCCCAGCTACTCAGAAGCCCGTGGCGGGTTGCAATGAGCCAAGATTGTGCCAGTGCACTCCAGCGTGGGTGACAGAAAGAGACCCTGTCTCAAAAAAAAAAAAAAAAAAAAAATCACCAAAACTTCTATTTGGAATAAGATAAGTTGGTTGTGATGGAAAAATAAAAATGGATATTAAAAGCAAGACATTGGACTTTGTATAAAAGTCCAACATGATAAGTTTTACCTTTTTTAAAAAGCCTCAGAAGTCCATAATACATGGTTAAAAGTGCTGTCTCTGAACACTACAGATGTCCAGATTTTGAATTCTTTTTTTTTTTTTTTGAGACGGAGTCTCGCTCTGTCGCCCAGGCTGGAGTGCAGTGGCGGGATCTCGGCTCACTGCAAGCTCCGCCTCCCGGGTTCACGCCATTCTCCTGCCTCAGCCTCCCAAGTAGCTGGGACTACAGGCGCCCGCCACTACGCCCGGCTAATTTTTTGTATTTTTAGTAGAGACGGGGTTTCACCGTTTTAGCCGGGATGGTCTCGATCTCCTGACCTCGTGATCCGCCCGCCTCGGCCTCCCAAAGTGCTGGGATTACAGGCGTGAGCCACCGCGCCCGGCCGAATTCTTTTTTTTAAAAAAAGTTTTATTCTTATTTTTTATGGCTATATAGCCGGTATATTTATGTGGTACGTGAGATATTTTGATGCAGGCATACAATGCATAATAATCACATCAGGGTAAATGAGGTTTCCATCACCTCAAGCATTTATCCTTCCTTTTGTTACAGACATTCCAATTATACTATTTAGTTATTTTTAAATGTACAATACATTGTTGACTGTAGTCACTCTGTTGTGCTATAATATACTAGATCTTATTCTTACTATATTTTTGTACTTGTTAACCATCTCCACTGCCCTTCCTAGTCTCTGGTAACTATCATCTCCACTATCTCCATGAGTTCAATTGTTTTAATTTTTCACTCCCACAAATGAATGAGAACATGCAAAGTTTGTCTTTCTGTGCCTGGCTTATTTCACCTAACATAATGTCCTTCAGTTCCATCCATGTTATTCCAGATGACAGGATCTCATTTTATTTTATGGCTGAATAGCACTCCATTGTATATATGAACAACTTTTTTTTTTTTTTGAGACGGAGTCTCTGTCTCCCAGGCTGAAGTGCAGTGGTGTGATTTCAGCTCACTGCAACCTCCACCTCAGCCTCCGAGTAGCTGGAATTACAGGTTCCTGCCACCACACCTGGCTAATTTTTGTATTTTTAGTAGAAACAGGGTTTTGCCATGTAGGCCATATTGATCTCGAACTCCTGACCTCAAATGATCCACCCGCCTCAGCCTCCCACAGTGCTGGAATTAGACGTGAGCCACCGCGCCCGAGAGGAACCACATTTTCTTTATCCATTTATCTGTTGATGGACACTTAGGTTGCTTCCAAATCTTAGGTATTATGAACAGTGCTGCAATAAATATGGGAGTGCAGATATCTCCTCAACCTAATGATTTCATTTCCTTTGCGTAAATATCCAGTAAGTGGGATTGCAGAATCATATGGTAGTTCTGTCTTTAGTTTTTTTAGGAACCTCCATACTATTCTCCATAGTGGTGATTTTGAGTCCTGACTGAAGATATTTAGCAAATTATTTAGACACTCTGAGTTTCCGTTTCCTCATCTATAAAATAGAATTTTTAAAAATCTATACTATTATTCAGTATAGAGTCAGAAAAGCTCAGAGGCGATTTAGTCCAGCTTCCTTTGTCATGTTCCATTCTTTAATGTAAGTTAAGTTCTTAAATTCTCTATTCTTTAATAGCACTAAAGAACTAAATTCATTAAGAAAACGTAGGTTTCTGTTCCCATTTAAACATTCTTTGAGGTTGAGGGCTGTGCATAGAAGACAATAATAGCAATTGAATACTACATGATAGCATAATCGATTTAATTATTGTATCTAACTCTGTTTTAAAGGGCAAGTATTTATCAGACAGATTAAGCAGGCTACCCAAGATTACCCAGGTAAATGGTAGAGATAAAATTAGATATCAGAACCACTGTGACATGCTGCTACCATAGTGGCCCCCTGCTTTTTTTTTTATTTTTCTGGAGACGGAGTCTCACTGGTTCTCTCAGCTCTCTCAGGCTGGAGTGCAGTGGCGTGATCTCTGCTCACTGTAACCTCTGCCTCTTGGGTTCAAGCGATTCTCATGCCTCAGCCTTCTAAGTAGCTGGGATTACAGGCATGTGCTACCACACTGGGCTAATTTTTGTATTTTTAGTAGAAACGAGGTTTCGCCATGATGACCAGGCTAGTTTTGAACTCCTGGCCTCAAGTGATCCACCCTCCTCAGCCTCCCAAAGTGCTGGGATTACGGGCATGACCTTTTTTTATAACCGTTAAAAAACTAGTATTTATATAAAAGCATTTTAACTGTTACTTATACTTCCTGGTTTAGAACCATAACTTATTTCTATATATTTTGTAACTCTTCAGTGAGGTGCTTGTGTACATAATACATAGTTGTATATTAGGATTTTGTTCAATAAAAATTTGAGTACATAAATGCTTGATACTGTTCTAGATACTAAGTATATAAGGATGAAGAAACAAAATTAAGAAATAAATTAATAACAAAATGGGTAGTAGTGGTAGGTATTACAGTGAAAATGAACAATGTGAGCATAACAGATGGGCCTTTAAGCTGGGACCTGATTGATGAGAAGGGAGCAAGATATGCAAAAAATGGGGTGCAGGCGTTCCAGGTAGAGAGAATAGTTACTGCAGCAGCCAAGACCAGTACGAACAGAAAGTGTTCAAGGACCAGGAAGAAGGCAAGCATGGGTGGAATATAGTCAGGGATAGACCATTCCCAGAGTATGTCATGCCTTGTAGCCTTGGTAAACAAACAGTTTTATTTCATTCTAACTGCATTGGGCAGTCACTGGAGGGTTTGAAGCAGGGAAGTAATATAATCTGATTTCTAGTTGGAAGAAATTGCACTGGCTGCTGGGTGTGGAGAATGGATTGTAAAGGGCAAGAGTAAAAGCAGAGACTGATGAGGAGACTTGTAGTAACCAAGAGATGGTGGTGGGCTAGATCAGGTGGTAGCAGTGAAAATGGAGAGAAGTGATAGACTTGGGATTTGTTCTGGAGAGAGAGTTGACAGGCCTTGCTTCTGAATTGAGTGTAAGGGAGGGAAAGTAAAATAACCAAAGGTTGCTCCTACATATTTTTGCTTGAACAACAGGATATTGGGAGAACAGGTTGCCATTCCCTAAAATGGGTGGGACTGGGGAGAGAAAATCAGTAGTTCCGTTTTGTACACTTTAAGTTTGAAGTGCCTGTAGATATCTAAGCAGAGCTGTCAAGCAGGCAGTTGGATATATAACCTCGAGCCTAGAGTTCAAGTGAAAGGTGTACACTGGGGAGTCATCAGCATATCCACGGCATTTAACCCATGAGATGAGATCACATGTGGAATGAGCATAGAGAGAGAAGGGAAAGGTCCCACCACTAGTTATGTTTGCAAATCCAGTAAATAAGCAGCTGGTGATGTGGGAAAAGATTTTAAAAGATGTGGTATCTTGAAAACCAAGTGAAGCAAATATATCAAGAATCTAATGCTATTTGGAGTCAAATAAGATAAGGACTAAGAAGTGGCCCTTAAATTTGACAAAATGGAAGTTGTTAATGACTGAGGAGCAGTCAGTGGCACAGTTGGAACTGAAGCCCGGTCAAGTTGGGTGGGGAGAGAATGGGTAGTAAGAAATGGAGACAGCAGCCGGGCACGGTGGCTCACACCTGTAATCCCAGCACTTTGGGAGGCCAGGGCGGGTGGATCACCTGAAGTCAGGAGTTCGAGACCAGCCTGACCAACATGGGGAAACCACGTCTCTACTAAAAATGCAAAAATTAGCTGGGCCTGGTGGTGCCTAGCCTGTAATCCCAGCTACTCAGGAGGCTGAGGCAGGAGAATCGCCTGAACCCGGGAGGCGGAGGTTGCAGTGAGCCAAGATCGTGCCATTGTACTCCAGCCTGGGCAACAAGAGAAAAAAACTGTCTCAGAAAAAAAAAAGAAAAAGAAATGGAGACAGAGAATATAGATAATTCTTATAACAACTTCTCCTGTGACGGGGAGCAAGAAAAATGGGGCAATGGTTAGAGTGGACCAGGGACCAAGTTAAATAGGCAGGTTGGTTTTGTTTTCAATTTTACTTGTAAGTATTTTGCTGCAAGGTCAGCTCTTCTCTTACAGCCCATTGACCTGCAGACCTGGGGTTTCATATGTATTCACTGAATAGAAAAACATACGTAGGAGCTCTCCAGCTATCCCTGCATACCCTGAGAACCAGTGGCAGCAGGAATAAGAATTCCCTTCACTTCCAAGATTAGGCTATAAGAGAAAAAATAAAAAAGAATTCAACAACCCTTGCTCTGCCACTTTCTTGTCAGGCTCTGGGAAAACAGGAATATCTTTCCCTGTCCCTCCTCCAAACTGCTGACAGTCTGTCTGATGGAGACCTTGGTAGGTGCTCCATAGTCTGTTTTTGACCTGGGCCTGGGATAAGAAGGAAGGGCTTTTCAGCAGAGAAAAGTGCCTCAGTCACAGAGGCATGCTGAGCAGAATGAGGACCTATGAGGGAGCTTGGTGGAGCCTGGCGGGGTGGAGAGGTACAGGAGTGCTTTCTAGCAATTTAGGCTTGTTAAGGAACAAAGCCAGGCTGTTTACTGAGTTCTCTTACCTGGTACTCAGATGGATTCTTCTAAATGAAAAGAGGTGATACAAATTTCCCCAAAATTGAGTCTTTGTGGCTTATGCTCGCAAACAGTGGCCTTCTCAAGATTTATACGGTGAGCCCTAAATTTGCCTTCTCACCCAGAAGAAAGTAAGGTACAAAATTTCCCTCATTCTTTCACGTCTTAGAATAAAGCATGCAGTCAGTGTAATTGTTGCGTTCAGCTGTCTATTTAAGGTAACACAGGAAGTCAGCAGTGCATTTTCAAGAAAAGCTGATTACCATCTGTTATTAGTAATCATCTAAAAACATCACTAAGTATAAGCATTGGCAGTGGTCAGAGACACATAGATGAAAAGGGGGAAATTATCCATCATTTGGAATGTATTACCCCATACTAATACAATATACCAATTTAAATGATGTTAGAATATATCACTCAAGATATGGTGTTCTACCCCATGCCCAAAATGTTCTACTCTCATTTTTCCCCAGATGTGGAAGGTTGCATATTAGGTAATACTTTTTTTTTTTTTTTTGAGACAGAGTTTCGCTCTTTTTGCCCAGGCTGGACTCCAATGGTGCGATCTCAGCTCACTGCCATCTCCACCTCCCGGGTTCAAGCAATTCTTCTGCCTCGGCCTCCCAAGTAGCTGGGATTACAGGCGCCTGCCACCACACCCGGCTAATTTTTTGTATTTTTAGTAGAGACGGGGTTTCACCATGTTGGCCAGGATGGTCTTGATCTCTTGACCTTGTGATCCACCTGCCTTGGCCTCCCAAAGTGCTGGGATTACAAGCATGAGCCACGCACCTGGCCAGGTCATGCTTCTTTTAAGACTCATTGTAAACACGTAACCTTTACAGTTTTGCATCCAAGGTAGCCAGCTTTCTGTGAGGCTCTTCAGAGCCTGGGTCCCTGCATTCGAGGGGAGCTTCAGATGAGGGCTTTATTCAGGGCTCACCTTAGAGTCACCATCTCTATCATGACCATGGATGCAGTAAGGTTTCACAGTAGCTCCTGCAACCTCAAGAGGGTAGATTACAAAACCCAAAGATAGCCAGTGGTGTTTCACACCTAAACAAATGTTTATCTTGCCATAGTGATTGAACCATAGGCTGAATTGTAAAAGCTGATGTTTGGGAGTCTAGCTAAAGAAAACTAAGTTAATAGGTTTAAAGAAGCAAGAGCTGGAAGGGTCTTCTCCTGGAAGGTGAGATATTGGTCTGTGGGGTGTCCAAGGGAGAGAATCCAGTCATGGGTTCTTAGCTTCTCTTTCTGGTTGGACCAGTAAAGCCTCTTCCTCATCCCTCTTTTCTGCTCATCACTAGAGACAAAACTAAAAACCATGGCTTCAGTCTGCTAAAAGCCTAGAACAAAACAGAACAACAAAATAAGGCAGGCTGGACAAGCTTGTTAAGACTTTCATGGATTACCAGAAATATAAATGCCATTAAAGCCATCATTTTTCCTCATAAAATGCAATCGATTGTTACTGAAATTTTTAATGAAATCTTTCAGACTCTTAATGAGTATTTAAATATCAGACTAAAGTAATTTATAAATCATTATTTTCTGAGCTCCGAGAGAGTCTCACTTTTTTTTTTTTTTTTTTTTAAGACAGAGTCTGGCTCTGTCACCCAGGCTGGAGTTCATTCTTGCAAACTCGGCTCACTGTAACCTCCACCTCCCAGGTTCAAGCGATCCTCCTGCCTCAGCCTCCCAAATAGCTGGGATTACAGGTGCCCACCACCACACCGGCTAATTTTTGTATTTTTAGTAGAGATAGAGTTTTACCATGTTGGCCAGGGTGGTCTCTAACATCTGACCTCAAGTGATTTACCCACCTTGGCCTCCCAAAGTGCTGGGATTACAGGCGTGAGCCACCTCACCTGGCCTCTCACTTTAAGAGCCAGTTTTCACAAAGAAATCATACTACTTCGCATGAGTTAGTATATGCATTTAACTGAGAGATGTGCATACTCCAGGCAGGTGGTGGAGCTGATACACTAGCCAGATGGCTACTTGACCATAACAGTTTGCAGCCCATGAAATTCAAATCTTTGCCTCACCAGACAGTCATGGACTTTCAAGGTCATTCTGTAAGTTATTTGATGTTAAATGCCTGTAAAGTCCAAGTGATAAAAGCGTGTTAAGTTAATTGGGCCACTATATGTCACTCAATAGCTCCTATAGGGTTCTTGTACAGGATCTCACTCTGTCACCCAGGCTGGAGTGCAGTGCTATGATCACAGCTCACTGCAGCCTTGACTTCCTGGGATCAAGCTATCCTCCCACCTTAGCTTCCCAAAGTGCTGGGATTGCAGGTGTGAGCCACCGCACCCAGCCCAGAGCTGCCTTCTTTCCATGGCTTCAGCCTAAGTAACTCTCACCTATTACCGTGGCACCTTTCCCACCTCTTATCTCTTACCGTCCTTCCTACCCCCACCTCCACCCATTATACTTCTGCCAGCTTCATTTTCCTAAAGCTGGTGGTCCCTATTCCCTTCTAATTTTAGGAATGACTTCCATACCTGGGCTTTCCCATTTCAATTCCTACTACCAAGTGTGTTCTAACCAAACAATTTTGTCCCATATTTTCCTGTGCTATCTCTCCCATCCTTGGAATGTTATGTTGATTAAGCCCTTCCCAAACATATGTGATTTTTTTCCTACCTTTGTACTTAATAATATTTTGTACCACTTATACAACTAAAGCCATTCAGCCTTGTATTACAGATATTTGGGCTTCCCCACGCTCCATAACTGCAAACCACAGAACACACTTCAAGGTAGACTTAGGCTCATTTCCATGACAGTGTCTAACTTTGATTCAGCCCTTAAGAATTATTAAGTTGGTGACATATTTTCATTTCCCTCACAATGGCTTTGCACATAGTACACCCAAATACATCTTTTTTGTTCTTTGTAAGCATTATCACAAGGTAGATATTTTTCTGAGTTTTTTTTTCCATTTAACGTGGTGATAATCTTTTACGTTCATATATTCAAGTACCTTGTATTTTTAATGGCTGCATATTCTGTAAAATGCATGATATCTACTTTATTTAACCACTATTGAACATATTAGAAAGCTTTTAAATATGTGCTACTACAGATAATGCTGCAGAGTGTGTCTTTGCACACTAAAGCAGATATGTCAAAAAGACAGCTTCCTAGAAATGGAGTTACTGGCTCAGATGTTATGTATATTTTTTAGTTAATGCCAAATTGCCTTCTAAAAACACTTAGAAAATTTCCACCAATAGTATATGAAAGTGCCCATTCCATGTCTGGATTTTGTTACTGACATTTTATTGGCTGCACAAAAAAAGCTTGCACTTTAATTTACATTTCCCTCTTTACTAGTGAAGTTAAATGTCTTTTTGTATGTTGTCTATTTGTATTTCTTCTCCAAGAATTACCTATTCATATCTCTTTGCCAGTTTTTCTACTAGGTTGTCTGTTTCTTGATTTGTCACATTTTAATAGATTCTAGATGTTAATTATTTTCACATACATTGCAAGTACCTATTCCCAGTTTATCGTTTGTCCATCAATTTTCTTTCGTTTTTTCTTTTTTTTTTTTTTTTTTTTGAGACAGAGTCTAGCTCTGTCGTCCAGGCTGGAGTGCAGTGGCACAATCTCAGCTTACTTCCTTCCGCCTCCATCTCCCGGGTTGAAGCGATTCTCCTGCCTCAGCCTCCCGAGTAGCTGGGACTACAGGCATGTACCACCACGCCTGGCTAATTCTTGTATCTTTAGTAGAGACAGGGTTACACCATGTTGGTCAGGCTGGTCTCAAACTCCTGACCTCAAGTGATCTGCCTGCCTTGGCCTCCTAAAGTGTTGGGATTACAGGTGTGAGCCACCGCACCCAGCTGCCTCAGCTTTCTTTATGGTATCTTTTGTAACTTTTAATTTTTAGGTAGTCAAATCTTTAGTCTTTTGATTTATGGCTTCTCAATTTTGTTCCTTATTTAGAAAGGCTTCCCAATCCTAAAATTATCAAAATGTTTTCATCTGATTGTTTTATTTTACCTTAGCTTTTGTTTTTTGTTTTTTGTTTTTTCAGACAGGGTCTTACTCTGTCACCGAGGCTGGAGTGCAGTGGCATGATCACAGCTTACTGTAGCTTCAACTTCCCGGGCTCAGTTGATCCTCTCACCTCAGCCTCCCAAGTAGCTGGGACTACAGGCACTCACCACCACACCCAGCTAATTTTTAAATTTTTTTGTAGAGATGGGATCTCACTATGTTGCCCAGGCTGGTCTCAAACTCCAGGCTCAAGCAATCCTCCCACCTCAGCTGCCCAAATACTTTAGCTTTTAATCCTTTCATTCATTTGGATTTTATTTTGAGGTTGGATAACGGGTAATAATTTTTTTTTTATCTTTTGTAACACTGTTGAAAACTTTCCAGTTGATTTGAACTGTTGCAGTTATAAACTAACGTTCTATATGCATTTGGGTTTGTTTCTGGATTTTCCTTTGTATACCAACTTTTAAAATTTATTTTTTTTCTTTTGTATTATCTCTTCTATATGAACTTTAGAGTCAGCTTATGGATTCTGTTAAGCATTTTTTAATTTTATTGGGGTTTCTGTTTGGATTGCATTTAATTTATGGATTATTTGAGGAGAACGGACATCTTTGTAATATCACATCTACCATTCTGGACTCCTTAGTATGCATCTCCTGCTCAATCATTTCCTTTTATCCTATTGTAAAGTTTTACAGCTTTTTCCTCTAGCTCCTATACCCTTTTGTTAGACTTATTCCTAGGCATTTTAGGGTTTTTATCGCCACTGTGAATAGGATCCTTTTTTTTTCTATTGCCTTTCCTATTGGTGTTTGCCTCTAGATAATAAAACTTCATTTTTATATATTTATCTCTGGCTATCTCATTAGTCTGAATAATTTTTCAGTTGATTTTCTTGGATTTTCTAAGCATACAATTCTGTCACCTGCAAAAATAATGACAGGCTTTTCTCTCTTTTTTTCATTTCTCATTTCTTTTTAGGTAGGGATTTGAATCGTGAAATCCCTGAATCGTTAGGGATTTCCAGGACCTTATTTTAGAGCAGCCATAATAGGAGGCATCTTTCTCTTCTTAGTTTTAGGAGGAACACTTCTATAGATTTTAAATTAAATTTGATGCTTGCTGTGGATATCTGAGGGAGTCATTTTGTCCAGTTAAGAAAACATTCTTTGATTTTTCACTTAAGATATTTTATCAAAATTCAGTGTTATAGTGTATCAAATGTTTTTATGACATCTATTGAAAAATTATTTTTTTCTTTTTAATCTGCTACTATATTAGTTGAATTATTTTCCCCAGTTTTACTGTTTCTTTCTTGTTGTAAACACTACTTGGTCATGATATATTCTTTTTACTACCCTTACTACTAAATTTCGTTTTATTTAGAATGTTTATATTCATAAGAAAAATAGCCTTGTACTTTTTTCCCCTTATGTTTCTCCTTGCTGTGTCATACCTTATATACTTGGGAGCTAGGTGTGTCTTGAAGATTTGATAACATTCCCTCATAAAACTGAGTCTGGTGGCTTTAAAAGATGGAATTTTGACTGCCTTTTCAATTTTAACTGTCATATTCAAGGGCTGTTAATATCCTAGCCACTTTTCTCTGATCTTGAACAAGTCACTGATTTCATTGAATCTTAGTTTTGTTAATGGTAAATAGAGATAACAGTATCTAATTCCCAGTATTGTCGTAAGGATTAAATGAAATTGATTATTTAGCATAGTTTTGTCTCGCATATGGTAAATGGTCATCAATAATAATCATTATTATCATTGTTATTCCCTTATGTAGATTACTGTAGCGACCTTAGTCATCCCCATCTCTTACACAGTACAGCTGTAAATTCCATAGTAGACAGAGAGGATACGAAGATGAGTTAATGGTCCGTCCCACAGTGGTAGTCATCAACTCCATCCGACACACTCTTTGGTGGGTTGAGACCTCTCCCTGAACTAGATCTTTTTCCCGCAGTGCTGTGTCTCAGCAGACCTGGCCATGGGACAGGATGCACCACCTGTGTTGTATAAGGGAGCCAAGGCAGACTGCACGTGTGCGCCTTGGCCACCCCTGCCTTGTCTGGAGCTTGTTCTCCACATTAGAATGCTTATGTTAGTTTTTGAAGATTTTTAACTTGAATGGAAAGATAACTTTTTTTTAATGTCATTTGAAAAATCAGGATCATGATATATAAGCTATGGAAAGGCAGTCTTTACATGATTGGTCTAACATTCCATCAGTTTTGTTTTGTTTTTAGGAAATACTTAGATGTTTTGTCTCCTTTTGAAAGGAGCATAAAATGTTAGGCTGAGATAAATGTATAAGGTAGAAAATGGAGACTTGTTGCATTCTCATCAACAAGCAGAATATGGTTTTTTCCAGTCTTCTACTACTTCACAGTCCTTCATCTGATATTTAAAATGTATTTATGTTGAGTCATTTCTTTCTCTCTTGCTGGTGAACCAGAAGATCACGAAATGATTCTACAGAGGCAGTAGCATTATATTCAGTTTCTTTTTTTGTATGCATCAGATAAGAGGCCTGCAAATGGAAGTAAGTCGCCTCACATCCTCACATCCTTTGTATGATGATCGCAGTAATGTTTGCCTTTTTACCACTGGTGCAACATTTATTAGTTCATAAACCCGCTTCCAAAGAACCTAAGGGCTTTTTGATGAAAGGTGACTGTGGTGGGAACAATGTTAGGTTTTGACAGGCTACTTTTGCTTTTACAAACATTTCTCCTCTTTGTTTTTAGTGTTTAGAAACTACTACCTTAAAAGAGAGTTGAGGACAGGGACATGTCTGGACTAAGTGGAATTTAGTGCTTAGAGTTAGGATTTGGAATATAAATATGGAAGTTAATATTTAGAATTAGGATTTCTGAATCTGTGAAGGAAAGGTAAAATAAAATTTTGATGTCAGTTCAGCTTAAGCTTCTAAATCATTCTCGCTGAACCAAAGCTTCCAGTTGGTAAAAATCTAAGATCTGAGGAATAAAACCAACATAAGAAGCTGACTTTTGGTAAGCCTTAACAGTGATAGAAGAGGGACAAGGTGGCAGTTCGATTCTCCTATTTTCCCCATAGACTGCAGGCCCCTTGGCTAACCGTAAACCTTCTACCCTTTAACTCCCTGTCGTCCATTCAGCAGGCCTTCCTGTGACCCGTGAGTATCAGTGGAAGCATTCCCTCCAATAAGTTACCACGGCCTAAGAAAAAAGTCTAAAAAATTATGTTTCCTGAAGTTTTCACAGTATTTAAGTATTTACGTAAAGGAGTATTTGTTGTATCCTAGAGAGTGAATATGGAGAAGGGTACCCCTGGAGCACTAGAAATAAGCCTGCCAATTTTCAGTATTAGCCAAGCAGCAAAGTTTTGCTGCTGTTTATTTTTGTAGCTCTTACTATATTCTACTTTTACCATTGAAAATATTGAGGAAGTTATTTATATTTCTATTTTTTATATATTATATATTTTATGTATTTTAATATTACTATTACACATAATTATTTTTTATATATATGAAGTACCAATGACTTCCTTTTCCAGAGCAATAATGAAATTTCACAGTATGAAAATGGAAGAAATCAATAAAATTATACGTGACCTGTGGCGAAGTACCTATCGTGGACAAGGTGAGTACCATGGTGTATCACAAATGCTCTTTCCAAAGCCCTCTCCGCAGCTCTTCCCCTTATGACCTCTCATCATGCCAGCATTACCTCCCTGGACCCCTTTCTAAGCATGTCTTTGAGATTTTCTAAGAATTCTTATCTTGGCAACATCTTGTAGCAAGAAAATGTAAAGTTTTCTGTTCCAGAGCCTAACAGGACTTACATATTTGACTGCAGTAGGCATTATATTTAGCTGATGACATAATAGGTTCTGTCATAGTGTAGATAGGGATAAGCCAAAATGCAATAAGAAAAACCATCCAGAGGAAACTCTTTTTTTTTTCTTTTTCTTTTTTTTTTTTCCAGATGGAGTCTCGCACTTCTCTGTCACCCGGGCTGGAGCGCAGTGGTGCAATCTTGGCTCACTGCAACCTCCACCTCCTGGGTTCAGGTGATTCTCCCACCTCAGCCTCCCGAGTAGTAGCTGGAATTACAGGTGCGCGCTCCCACACCTGGCTAATTTTTTGTATTCTTAGTAGAGATGGGGTTTCACCATGTTGGCCAGGCTGGTCTCAAACTCCTGCCCTCAGGTGATCTGCCCACCTTGGCCTCCCAGTGTTGGGTTTACAGGCGTGAGCCACCGCGCCTGGCCTGGAGGAAACTCTTAACAGGGAAACTAAGAAAGAGTTGAGGCTGAGGAACTGGGGCATCTGGGTTGCTTCTGGCCAGACCACCAGGCTCTTGAATCCTCCCAGCCAGAGAAAGAGTTTCCACACCAGCCATTGTTTTCCTCTGGTAATGTCAGCCTCATCTGTTGTTCCTAGGCTTACTTGATATGTTTGTAAATGACAAAAGGCTACAGAGCATAGGTTCCTCTAAAATATTCTTCTTCCTGTGTCAGATATTGAATACATAGAAATACGGTCTGATGCCGATGAAAATGTATCAGCTTCTGATAAAAGGCGGAATTATAACTACCGAGTGGTGATGCTGAAGGGAGACACAGCCTTGGATATGCGAGGACGATGCAGTGCTGGACAAAAGGCAGGTATCTCAAAAGCCTGGGGAGCCAACTCACCCAAGTAACTGAAAGAGAGAAACAAACATCAGTGCAGTGGAAGCACCCAAGGCTACACCTGAATGGTGGGAAGCTCTTTGCTGCTATATAAAATGAATCAGGCTCAGCTACTATTATTACACTCTCCTGAAGCTAACCAACATTTCCTGCAACATTATGTAGACTTTTAAAAGAAGGGCCTGAAGCATTCTCACAGGATAGGCTAAATGTAGAACAAGAAGCTGAAGACCCGTTAGAGTTTTCATGGCACTCCTTATCAGAATAAGGTCACTGTCTCATCAGTTATAAGACATACCACTATTTTATGTGCCAGCAGGAATGAAAAAATGCAATTATAACCATAAGATGTTTCAGAATCAATGACATAATAGTATTGCAAACCAGATTCTAGCTTAAGCTAGAATGAATATTCCAGTATAGTAAGGAGTCTCATTAAGAAAGTAGCCCCTCATAGAACTAAGTCCCTACCACAGCATACACAAAGACTTAGCTGCTGGGTCAGGCCATCTGGCTTCAGGTAAGGCTCTGTGAGGACAGCCTACATTGGAAATCAGGAAGAGGAATGAAGTTTTAAAGAATCAGGAATATGGCATCCTTGGGGAACAAGGCTGGATCCTTCACTGTGCACAGGTTTGTAACAAAGATGTCACAGATACTTGAGCTTTCTGCTTTCAGATCAAGGCAGAAGATTACACTTGATAACACCTCTAGGCCCTTGACTTTTTTTAAATAAAATTCTAAAATCATAGAAATAGATGCTTACATTATCTAACTCATTTTCATAGTTTGCAGTTTTTGCTTAAAGAACATGCCATGCAGCTGGGCATGGTGTCTCACACCTGTAATCGCAGCACTTTGGAAGGCCGAGGCGGGCAGATCACCTGAGGTCAGGAGTTCGAGACCAGCCTAACATGGTGAAACTCCGTCTCTATTAAAAATACAAAAATTAGCTGGGCATGGTAGCATGTGCCTGTAATCCCAGCTACTCGGGAGGCTGAGGCAGGAGAATTGCTTGAACCTGGGAGGCGGAGGTTGCAGTGAGCCGAGATCGTGCCATTGCACTCCAGCCCAGGCAACAAGAGCGAAACTCCGTCTCAAAAAAAAAAAAAAAAAAGAACATGCCATGCATATATGTATTATGTTGTCAGCCTAGACAGCTGATCCCAATTTAAAGCATCTGCAGATTACTGTCTAAATCATAGTCTACAAAAATGACAAACTTGTGATCTGTAATCAGTATCCCTACGTGCTTTGATGATTTTTAGTGGTAATTATAAATGAGAAAATACAGAGTTTGAAACATGGTCTCTTTGAATTAAAAATACTTTCAAAAATATCTTGAGGAAAAAGATTTTTTGTAGCTATTCTGAGTTATGAAAATTAATTAGCAATAATTGTCTCCTTGGTGTGAGGGGAGAGAACAAATAATGGAGGTGGGCCTCCAGCCTACCTAACACTGGCTTTTGCTGAGGCTCTAGCAGCCAGCCAGGGGCTCTGCATGTGAGTGGGTGGTGGTAGAGTTGACAGCAGTTTGGATTCAAAGACAGGAAGGAAATGCCTGTCCCTCACAGGGCCAAGCTGTGGCCCTGTCTTCTGGCTTGCCTAGGCATTAAAGAAAAGACATAAACTATTCTAAAATTACCAACTCACTGATGTGTGCGCACCCACCCACAAACTGAGGGGGAAAGGGGACTTACAGCTCACACCAGAGTAGTTTATACTTCCTAGAATAGCCCTACTCTCTCAATTCTGTGTGTCTTGTATCCTCAGATGGTTTCAGTGGGTCTGAGGGTTTTAGTATTAGGTTTCTAGTAACCACGAAAATGCCTAACAGTTCCAGTTACTTGGATTTTCTACAGGTAAGCTTAACTGAAACCACATTTCTATACTCCTGATACTTTGACCTAGGATTTTCTTTTTTATTCTCTCAGTCTCAGGATTATACACAAGAATATGGAAATTTAAAGGTAGCAGAGAAAAAGTGAGAGGCTCTAGAAAACGTGTCGAAGTTTTCTAACAGATCCCATTATCAGGCAAATAGCCAGGTCAAGAATTTTTAAGGTTGCTCATCTTACAGGATTATTAAAATTACAGATAAATGGCATTGTCTCTGTTTCTAGCCTTTGGTCTCAAGTTGGTTGTAGCTGATGTAATTTTTTATGTGAGAGCATCAGCGTTGTTCTGAGCATTTTGTTTTGTGGTGAATGATAGGCTGAGATCATGCAGGTTCTCCTTCTGGAGGACATAAGAATCTGGTCCCAGTGCTGGGCTCTCCCAGAGGGCAGTGCTTTACCTAACAGTGAACCTGTGACGTTTCCCACTTTTCCCTGCTGAAAAGATCATGTCAGGACTGCTTGCCTGCCATGAGATGAGAAGGTCTGTGCTGGGCTTCTCACATAGGGGCTTTTTTCCAGGTATTAGCCTCACTCATCATTCGCCTGGCCCTGGCTGAAACGTTCTGCCTCAACTGTGGCATCATTGCCTTGGATGAGCCAACAACAAATCTTGACCGAGAAAACATTGAATCTCTTGCACATGCTCTGGTTGAGTAAGTATCTCTTGCACATGCTCTGGTTGAGTAAGTATCTCACATTTGGGGACAGGTTGTGATAGTTCTTCAAAACCAAGAGAGTTCTGTGATGAAAACGTTCTCTAGCTGTGTTCCCCACTTCTTGGGGAAGCCAGTTGGTGCCAGGCCCTGGGCTTTACCTTTTGATAGTAATTCTTCAGATCCCTCCTAAAGGAACTAGATGGTGAACAGCAGCCCCAGACACATCCTGCAGCTCCCCAAGTGTGTTCACAGGGAGAGAGTCACTGTGAGGGGTTCCTGGCCTGGTTTTCCTGTAAACCTACCAGAGGAACCCACATGTCATGCACAGCAATTAGCATGCCCTGCTAAGACATCTGCAGGTAGTGGTAGTGGGTTTAGGACTGTCTCCCCAGCTTTCCACATGTGTCAGAGAACTGTGAGGAATGACAGAGCTCTTACTCAAAAAGCTTATTTGAGATTAGGTAAAGTCCAGTGAGGGTAAAATTGCACACCTTTTACCACATTCACCTGGGGTCAGTGTAGACGCCAAGGTTGTCAAGCAGCTCTTGCATAAGGACTATGCTGGCAGAGAAAAAGGCAGTTTCCCTGAGGTCAAAGGAGGTGTTTCAGGCACTCCTGGCTCCAGACAGTCCCTTTCTGGCAGAGAGGGCCAGAAGGAGAGCTCAGCAGCGCAGGGCCACCTTTCTGCAGCCATCATCACAAGTAAGGGCGAGTGCTTTTGAAACCTCAAATGCATCCAGCTCCAGGAAGGGGATAAGTGGCTAGCTAAAAGAAAAAGTCTTTCAGGTTTCAGTCACATTGCTGGTTACCTCAGCAAAATGTTCCCAGAACACCCACTCAGGTCCCTGTGTGTCATAGTAATGATGCATCTAGTGACTGGTGGTGGCAGAATTCTAAGTAGACCCAGCTCTTAAGAAAGCAGTGTTATTCCCCTTACCTGTAGTTTGTCTTTATTACTTTTAAATTTTTCTTCCAGAGAAAAGTAGTAACAGGTCAGGAAAATCCCAGGCGAAGGAGTAAGCCTTCTATAGTTGAACAGTTTGGATATTAAGGAAAACTCAATAAAATATTTATACCTGCTTTAGTGAGAACTTCTGATCTGGAAGAAACTAGTTCTTGTATTCCTGTGAGTCCCTAAGCCAGACCTAAGTGAGGAGTCAGGCCATGTGTCCCTACTGTCTGGAGAGGAGAAGAGACTCCTGCCTGGCTGGCCTGAAGGCCTGGGGCCACCCCTCCACTTCCTGCAGGGTAGCTGGGGCCCTGACACACAGCACAAGTTCATGTGTCTGACAAGGTTTGCGGTGACTTTTCAAATCAAAGAAGGGGTTATGCTCTTTACTAATAATATGTTCTGAATATATTGTTGCAGGATAATAAAAAGTCGCTCACAGCAGCGTAACTTCCAGCTTCTGGTAATCACTCATGATGAAGATTTTGTGGAGCTTTTAGGACGTTCTGAATATGTGGAGAAATTCTACAGGATTAAAAAGAACATCGATCAGTGCTCAGAGATTGTGAAATGCAGTGTTAGCTCCCTGGGATTCAATGTTCATTAAAAATATCCAAGATTTAAATGCCATAGAAATGTAGGTCCTCAGAAAGTGTATAATAAGAAACTTATTTCTCATATCAACTTAGTCAATAAGAAAATATATTCTTTCAAAGGAACATTGTGTCTAGGATTTTGGATGTTGAGAGGTTCTAAAATCATGAAACTTGTTTCACTGAAAATTGGACAGATTGCCTGTTTCTGATTTGCTGCTCTTCATCCCATTCCAGGCAGCCTCTGTCAGGCCTTCAGGGTTCAGCAGTACAGCCGAGACTCGACTCTGTGCCTCCCTCCCCAGTGCAAATGCATGCTTCTTCTCAAAGCACTGTTGAGAAGGAGATAATTACTGCCTTGAAAATTTATGGTTTTGGTATTTTTTTAAATCATAGTTAAATGTTACCTCTGAATTTACTTCCTTGCATGTGGTTTGAAAAACTGAGTATTAATATCTGAGGATGACCAGAAATGGTGAGATGTATGTTTGGCTCTGCTTTTAACTTTATAAATCCAGTGACCTCTCTCTCTGGGACTTGGTTTCCCCAACTAAAATTTGAAGTAGTTGAATGGGGTCTCAAAGTTTGACAGGAACCTTAAGTAATCATCTAAGTCAGTACCCACCACCTTCTTCTCCTACATATCCCTTCCAGATGGTCATCCAGACTCAGAGCTCTCTCTACAGAGAGGAAATTCTCCACTGTGCACACCCACCTTTGGAAAGCTCTGACCACTTGAGGCCTGATCTGCCCATCGTGAAGAAGCCTGTAACACTCCTCTGCGTCTATCCTGTGTAGCATACTGGCTTCACCATCAATCCTGATTCCTCTCTAAGTGGGCATTGCCATGTGGAAGGCAAGCCAGGCTCACTCACAGAGTCAAGGCCTGCTCCCTGTAGGGTCCAACCAGACCTGGAAGAACAGGCCTCTCCATTTGCTCTTCAGATGCCACTTCTAAGAAAAGCCTAATCACAGTTTTTCCTGGAATTGCCAGCTGACATCTTGAATCCTTCCATTCCACACAGAATGCAACCAAGTCACACGCTTTTGAATTATGCTTTGTAGAGTTTTGTCATTCAGAGTCAGCCAGGACCATACCGGGTCTTGATTCAGTCACATGGCATGGTTTTGTGCCATCTGTAGCTATAATGAGCATGTTTGCCTAGACAGCTTTTCTCAACTGGGTCCAGAAGAGAATTAAGCCCTAAGGTCCTAAGGCATCTATCTGTGCTAGGTTAAATGGTTGGCCCCCAAAGATAGACAGGTCCTGATTTCTAGAACCCGTGACTGTTACTTTATACAGCAAAGGAAACTTTGCAGATGTGATTAAAGCTAAGGACCTTAAGACAGAGTATCCTGGGGGTGGTGGTGGGGTGGGGGGGGGTCCTAAATGTAATCACGAGTAAGATTAAGAGCAAATCAATTCTAGTCATATATTAAACATCCACAATAACCAAGATATTTTTATCCCAAGAATGCAAGATTTCAGAAAATGAAAAATCTGTTGATAAATCCATCACTATAATAAAACCGAAGGTGAAAAAAATTCTGAAAAAATTCTAGCAGCTATATTTGATAAAATTCAACATCTCCTAGCTTTAGCAAACTCACAGTTTTGCAAATAATATTTTCTTAATGTTATCTGTTGCTAAATCAAAATTAAACAGTCATCTTAACTGCAAAATAAAACATTTCTCAGTAAATATTAAAGCCAGTTACCTTCTATCAACATGTTAATGAAAGTGCTAGTTGTTGCAGCAAAGAATAACAAAGGCAATACACGATCAATATAGGCAGTGAAACAAAAGTATCATTTGCAAGTTAAAACAGACTTCCCAATTTTAAATCTGGTTTCCCCCTGAATATGTGGCATCCTTGGCAGCACTTCTGAGAGTGGCTGCTTTCATTCCAAGAAGCCCATGGGTTTGGAGGTGGGATAGGTGCCTTTCTGGCTTCTCATTGCTGCTTCTAGATCAGTCTCCAAATATCCCCCTTCCCCACATTGGAATGAATAGCCATCACAGCATGGATGGAGGTTAGAATGAGCCAGACTGCCTGGGCTCAAATCCTAGCACACCACTCACTAGCTGGGGACCTTGAGCAAGTTATTTGTCCTGTTTTCTGTTTCCTTATATGTAAAAGTGGGTAAAATGGTACATATTTTGTAGGGTTGTTATGAAGATTGAATGACATTATTTACAAACTGCTTAGAACTGCTTGCCACCTACTAAATACTGTGTAAGTGTTCAAGAAAAAGCTGTCTTCATTTCACTCTTGTTGCAGTTATCTTTCATTCCCAGCTTGGTCACTCCCTCTTATTTGTTGAAGAGTTTAGCTCCCGGTTCAGTGTCACCCCATTACTAATAATCATTGCTGATTTCAATATCCAAGTGATGGTCTAATACAACTCCTTGGCCTCTCAGTCTTTTTTATTTTTTGAGGTGGAGTCTTGCTCTGTCACCCAGGCTGGAGTGCAATGGCACCATCTCAGCTCACTGCAACCTCTGCCTCCCTGATACAAGCAATCCTCCTGCCTCAGCCTCCCAAGTAGCTAGGATTACAGGCATGTACCACCACACCAGGCTAATTTTTGTATTTTAGTAGAGACAGGGTTTCGCCTTGTTGGCCAGGCTGGTCTTGAACGTCTGGCCTCAAGTGATCTGCCTACCTTGGCCTCCCTCAGCCCCTTTTTGTTTCCTCCAGTGAGAAGATACTCAGTTCTATGGTCTTATTCTAGAGCCCCGTCCTTTTAATAACAATAACTGCACCCCTCCAAAATCTCAGTTTTAAGCATCTCACTCTCCAATAACCCCATGGTGTCTACAATTTTCCTGTGGTCCTCAACCCCAGCAATTCTTTGACCCCACTGAGATTTCAATCCATTGATTCTATGGCTTTTTCACAGGTTGTTTCCCTGATGCCTGTACTTCTCTCCTTATTCAACTTAAATTCCATGGCTCATCATTATGTCACCCTCCACTGCATTGTACTCAAACTGTCCCGACAATCCCCAGCCCTACTGGAATCCAGCTCTGCCTCCTCCCTGCAACACCTGCACATCCCGTTTCCTTTGCTGTTTCCTCCTCATTTCCCTGGCCCCTCAATGTCACAGGTTTTAGTACTCAGAGTCTGCACCTCTTTTCTTCTCTGTGCTCACTTATTTGGTGATCTCATCCAGTCTCATAGCTTTAAATTATCTTAGTTTGGGTTCTCCCAGAAGCAGAGCGTAAAACAATGCTTCACGTGAAAGTAATCAGTAGGAAATTGGGGAAATTGTGTATGAAAGAGAAAGCAGCCAATGAAAAGTTTACTATTAAGCCAGCTACGGTAAGTGGGCAATTAGAGTTTGGTGCCCCAGGGAGACTCTGGGGAGTTTGGCAAAATATATACCTCAGAATTATCCCACCTAAGGGGCAAGAGACCTGGAGTATTTATATAACAACTTGCCAGGGTTACTGAGTGAAGGCTATTCTAGCACATGTTAGTTACTGGCTTGCCATGTGTACCGACACAGCTGCTTTCCACAGTTTAAAAAGAAAGTCTGAGCAACATAGTGACATCCCATCTTTACATAAAATTTTTAAAAAATTAGCAAGGCATGGTGGTGCACACCTGTAGTCTCAGCTACTTGGCTGAGATAGGATCCCTGGAGTCTGAGGGTTCAAGGCTGCAGTGAGCTGTGATTTGTGCCACTGCACCCCAGCCTGGGTGGGTGGCAGAGTGAGACCCTGTCTAAAAAGACAAAAAAAAAAAAAAAAAAAAAGCAGCAGCAGCTGAAAGTTGGCAGGAGCACACTGGCAGTTCCTAGGATCATAGGATATAGGCAGGGCACTGACCACTCCTACAACCACCATCTATACACTGATAACTCATAAATGTTTGTGTCCAATCCAGATCTCTCCTAAATGCTTGACTGATATATTCAGCTGCCTGTGGATAACTGGGCATCTATCTGCACTTGAATATCTAATAAACGTCTAAAACTTAAAATGACCAAAACCAGTCTTTCTCCCAGAACTTGAATCTCTTCTGTTAATGGCAACTCCATTATTCCAATTGCTCAGGCAAAAATTGGCATTATCCTTGATTCTTTATCTTACATCTTATATCTAATTCGTCAGTTTAATACTATGGGTTCAATTTTCAAAACATCCGGAATCTGACCATGCCTCACCATTTAAACCAGCAGTCCCCAACCATTTTGGCACCAGAGACCGATTTAGTGGAAGACAATTTTTCCATGGACGGGTGGGGTGAGGGGGATGGTTTCGGGATGAAACTGTTCCATCTCAGATCATCAGGCATTAGTCAGATTCTCATAAGGAGCACGCAACCTAGATCCCTCACGTGCAAATTCACAATAGAGTTTGCACTCCCGTGAGAATCTAATGCCACCACCAATCTGATAGGAGGTAGAGCTCAGGCGGTAATGCTCCCTCACCTGTCACTCACCTCCTGTTGTGCGACTCTGTTCCTAACAGGCTGAGGACAGGTAATGGTCTGCAGCCCGGGGGTTGGGGACCCCTGATCTAAACCATCATTGCTCTGGTCCAAGCCACTGCCATCTCTAACCTGAATAATCTGAGTAACCACGTAACTGCTCCCACTGATTTGGGGCCTGCTCCCTGTAGTTCTCAACACAGCAGCCAGTGATCTTTTTAAAAAGTAACTCAAGAAAATGTGTTTCTCACAGGGGTGTGGGTTAGCAATTTCGAAATTTTTATGTACATACTAAAGTCAAACAAATACATACCTGTGTTGTAGATAATACGAACTGAGTTTCTCACTGTTGGAAAAAGGTGTTTGCATATCAGGAAAGGAGGCCATAAAAAGAACCCCTTGGTGTTGATTGAATCCAAAGGATCTGTACAAATTTATAATTTTAATATCTAAAGGATTTCTACTTCCATAAGGGTGGAGTAAAAGCCATCCAAAATCTGCTTCTTCATAAAAGCAATAAGACTGGCAAAAATGTCAAAATCAACTTTTTCAGAACTTTGGAAATTAACTAATGGATAGCGACAAACTGAGGTGTGTTTATTAAAGGAAAACAGCTGAATCTCAGAGCAGAAAGTGGCATTTTAAGTTGCCCTAATCCCATGCCCTTCTCTCTTAATCCATGGTAACTTGAAAACCAACAGCCCTCTTAGTATCTGTGAAAATCAGCAACCTAGTAGCCACTGGAGGAGACAGAATAGATTTGGAGGTCCCCCAGATCTCCACTACTAGAGAACTGCCTCTATTTGTCTTGTCTGGCAACTCACTGAAAAGCTCCATTTTCAGGACCTATCTTTATTTGACTTAACTCAGAGCTCACTCTGAAAACAGCCCTTCCTGCAGAATAATCAGTGGCAACTGATTAACCCTGTGGCTGCCTGAGGCAGCGTTACCAGGTGGAGCTAACAAAAGGCTGACCAAGAAACTTAAAAGGAAAAATCTGGGAAGAAGATGTCCACGGGAGCTTTGACAAGCTCAAGCATATTCCTGGGAATCTAGAAGTCCATGTGCATGTGCAGGGATGTATGCATGTCCTGAGAGGGTCCTAAGCTCTCATCTCTGACTGACCTTGAAACTCAATTCATGCCAGAAATGAAGATAAAGGCAGTTGTAAACTGTCTGCTGACACATCAATGACATGACTCCACAAATACACACACATGCACACACTTGACAAAAGCTAGAAAATTTATTGGTTCAAGGCATTAGAAAGAAATATCTGTCCAATTATTCGCTTACCCACTAGGCTGAGTAGAGACTTCAGGAACCAAACATGACAAAGCATATAGAATTTGCAGAATTAGTCCAGGAAAGACACAGAACAAACCAACAGCAGCAACAATAAGAAATAGTAACAGGTGCAAGCCCTGGAGAGTAGGTAATCTGACTTCAATAATTGATAGAGTATTTAAAACAAGACACACAAAGAACAGGAACATCTGACCCATGCCATAAACAGCAATTTAAAAAACAGTCAATAGAAACAATCTATGAGGAAGCCCAGATGTTAGACTTACTAGGCAAAGACTTTAGATATCAGCTATTATAAACATGTTCAAGGAACTAACAGAAACAAAGTCTAAAGAATTAAAGGAAATTATGAGAATGATGTTTCACCAAATTATCAGGACTATCAGTAAGGAGACAAACATTATAAAAAAGAATCAAATAGATATTCTGGAGTTGAGAAATACAGTAATGGAAATAAAAATTCACTAGATGGGGGTCAACAGCAAATTTGAACTGGCAGAAGAAAGAATCAGTGAGTTCAAAGACCGGTCAATTGAGATTATACAGTCTGAGGAATAGACAGAAGAATGAAGAAAAATGAAGAGAGCTTCAGAGACCTTTGAGACACTATCAAGTGTACCAAAATGCCAAGTATACCAATCATAATGAGAATCCCAGAAGAGAGAGAGAGAGAAAGGAGCAGAAAGACTATTTGAAGAAATAGTAGCCCAAAACTTCCCAAATTTTATGAAAACATTAATCTTCGTATCCAAGAAATTGAACAAACTCCAAGTAGGGTAAACTCAAAGGGATTCACATTTAGATGCATCATGGTCAAATTGTTGAAAAAGAGATCTCAAACGAAAGAAGCAAGTAAAGCTAAGAAGTGACTTCTCTTAAGAAACAATGCAGGCCTGAAAGCAGTGAGATGACATATTCAAAGTGCTGAATGAAAAAGACTATCAACCAAGAATTATTTTTGCAGTGGTGCAATCATAGCTCACTGTAGCTTCAAACTCCTGGGCTCAAGCAATTCTCTTTCCTCAGCCTCTCAAATAGGACTACCAGCATGTGCCACCACACTCAAAAAAAAAAATTTTTTAAGAGACAGGGGGTCTTGCTGTCTTGCCCAGGCTGGTCTTAAACTCCTAGTCTTAAGCAGTCCTCCCACCTTGGCCTCCCAAAGTGCTGGGATTAAGGTGTGGGCTACTGTGCCCAGCCTCAATCAAGAATTCTGTATCCAGAAAAACTGTCCTTCAAAAACAAGAAATGAAGACACTCCCATATAAACAAACATTGTGATAATCTGTCTTCACCAGACTTGCCCTACAAGAAATATAAAAGGAGAATGAATCCTTTAGGGTAAAATGAAACTAGACTCAAATGCTCATGAATACTCAAATAAAGAGTACTGGTAAAGGTAAATATATAGGTAATATAAAAGTATAAATGTATTTTGGGGGCTGGGAGCAGTGGCTCATGCCTGTAATCCCAACACTTTGAGAGGCCGAGGTGGGCGGATCACCTGAGGTCAGGAGTTTGAGACCAGCCTGCCCAACATGGTGAAACCCTGTCTCTACTAAAAATACAAAAAATCAGCCAGGCGTTGTGGTGGGCGCCTGTAATCCCAGCTACTCAGGAGGCTGAGGCAGGAGAATCTCTTGAACCCAGGAGGCGGAGGTTGCGGTGAGCTGAGATCACGCCACTGCACTCCAGCCTTGGTGACAAGAGCAAAACTCGGTCTCAAAAAAAAAAAAAAAGTATTTTGGGTTGTAACTCTTTTCCTACATGATTGAAAGGGAACTGCATTAAGAATTTTAACACTGTTGATGGGCTTATAATGTATAAAAATATAATTTATATGACAATAATGCTACAAAAGAGAGAGGCAACAGAGCTATATAGGAACTTTTGAAATGGAAATTAAGTTGACATTCATCTAAATTAAGGTGTTCATTTGTAATCCCCAGGGTAACCACTAAGAAAATAATGAAAACTTATAGTGAAAGTAACAAAGTTATTTAAAGAGGGCCCAGTGTGATGACACCCCAGTAATAATGAGGACACCTACTTCCAAGATCTCGATTTTAAAACACGCTCTTCAATAAAAAGAACTCTGGCTCCTTGGTGAAGTGGTTGACTTCAGGGCTGAGGCAAGGAAAATACAAAATGACCCTAGAATTTTTTGTGGTGCCAGAAATTAAGAAAATATTTTTTTTAAAAAAAAAGGTAGAGTTTGTTCAAAGAACACAGAACCCAACCTGAAGTAACTCCCAATGATCAAAGGTAGAACAATTTGAGAAACAAAATAAAGACAGTATTGGATTATAACCGATAGAGTAAAATAAATATTCATGAACTTATGTGGCTATACACAAGTACTTACTTTAAAAAAAATGAGGGACAAGGACAGCACTTCTTTATAGTAGAATTACAAGTAATAAATGTAGAAGGAAAGGGAAAAAGAAAAGTCATCACTAGGCAAATACCACAATAAAAATCATTTCAGACAAGAGTCACTGATGAAGCTAATATTAGTAGGCACAAATCTGAGAAAAAATTTATATAATCTCAAACTATCTTTCCCAATATATTAACTAAAAAGGGAAAGATAGTAATTTTATCATGGAAGAACCTGACAGAAACCATCTTAACCAAGTGGTCAGGGTCAACATCACCAATAAGAAGGCATGTACCTCATGAACCCTGTGACCTGATGCAGTGAGAAGGCCCCAACTTCATCTCTGTGAAAATGTAGAACCTCAGTGCAATTAGGAGAAAACACCAAGGGGACCAAACTGAGGAACATTTGACAGCATAACTCATCAGTATTCCTGGAAAATGTAAGCGTTATGAAAGACAAGACTGAGGAACCATTCAGACTGCAGGAGACCAAAGAGAATTAACTCAATGCACTGTGAGATCCTGGGTTGATCTTGAAACTGAAAAAGGATGTGAATGGAAACACTGGTGAGATTAGAATAGGATCCAGTTTACTTAATAAATCCATGCTCATTTTTCTGTTTTTGATCATTGCACTATGATTATGTAATGTGTTACCATTGGGAGAAGCTGGGTAAGTGGAGGGGATATGGAAACTGTCTGTACTATTTTTGTATCTTTTCCGTAAATATAACGTTAATTCAAATTTTTTTAAAAAAAGAAAAAAGGTAAATTGAGTCATGTCACTCCTCTGCTCAAAACCTCCAGTGGCTCCCTATGTCACTCATCATGAAATCCTCAGTCCTCTCAATGGCTTACAAGTCTCCATATGCTCTGGACATACTTCTCTGACAGTATCTTCTCCCATGCCTCCCCTCACTCCTTCTGGCTTTCCTTGCTAATTCTCAGCACAGTGGGCATTTTCCTGCTTTGGTGCTACTATGGTTTGAGTGTATGTTTCCCTCCAAAATTCATACATTGGAACTTAATCCCCAAGGTGATGCTATTAAGAAGTGGGGCACTTAAAAGGTGATTAGGCCATGGAGGAATGGGATTCATGACCTCATAAAAGGGCTTGAGGGAGAAAGTTCTTCCCTTTGGCTCTTCTACCACATGAGGACACAGCAAGAAGGCACCATCTTGGGAGCAGAGAGCAGCCCTCACCAGACACGAATTCTGCTGGAGCCTTGATCTTGGATTTCCCAACCTCCAGAACTGTAAGCAATAAATTTTTATTATTTATAAATTACTCAGTCTTAGGTGTTCTGTTACAGCAGCATGAACAAAATAAGAAAAGGGCCTTTGCACTTACTTGTGCCTTCAGCTTGGAAATTTCTTCCCCCAAATATCTGCATGGCCACTTCCTCTCATCCTTCAGGTCTCTGCTCAAATAACACCTTCTCAGTGATGCCTTACGTCACCATCCCATATATAATAGTGTACTCACTCATTCTACCTGCCCTCTTTTTTTTCCCTCTCCACTGTACTTTTCACGGTCTAACATACTATATATCATGTGTTTGTTCATTATCTCTACCCACTAGAATGTATCTCTAAGAGGGCAGAGACTGTGCTGTTTTGTTTAGCACCTACACAGTAAGCACTCAATAAACATTTACTTAATGAATGTATGAACTTATCATTGTTATGGGAATTATTTGTAATTATTTGTCTTCCGGGGCTTGGCGCAGAAATGTATTAGATTAAGTAATAGGCCAGGTGCAGTGGCTGATGCCTGTGATTCCAGCACACTGGGAGGCCAAGATAAGAGGATCACTTGAGCACAGGAGTTCAAGACCAACCTGGGCAACAGGATAAGGTTGTTGCTACTATGGTTTGAGTGGTTATGAAGTGGGAGTTTATGTTCATTCCATTGTTTTTACTTGGAATTTATATTTTTAATGCAGAGAATTTATAAAAGAGACAAGCAATAAAAGGCAAACATTTATCTTGCACCTCTTTGATCTGGTATTAGTAAAACCGTGGTAAGTCTAAAGGTTTAACCCTATCTCTACAAAAAAAAATTAAAAATCAGCCAATGTGTGTGGGCATGATGGTGCCCTGTAGTCCCAGCTACGCAGGAAGCTGAGGTGGGAGGATCACTTGAACCCAGGGGTTTGAGACTGCAGTGAGCCGTGTTTGCACCATTGCTCCTCAGCCTGGGTGTCAGAGTGAGACCCCATCTCAAAAAAAATACTAATAAGTAAATAAAATATGTCAGCCAGGCACAGTGGCTCACACCTGTAATCCTAGCACTTCAGGAGTCCAAGGCAGGCAAATTGCTTGAGCCCAAGAGTATGAGACCAGCCTGGGCAACATGGTGAAACCTGGTCTCTACAAAAAATACAAAAATTAGCCAGGTGTGGTGGCTCACCTGTAGTCTCAGCTACTCAGGAGGCTGAGGTGGGAGGATTGCTTGTGCCTGAGAGGCAGAGGTTGCAGTGAGCCAAGATGGTGCCACTGCACTCCAACGTAGGTGACAGAGCAAGGCTCTGTCTCAAAAAAAAAAAAAAGAAAAAGAAAAAAAGTTATTTCCCTTTTATTTTAGGAATAAGGTACTTACCCTGTACATATCCACATACTAGCATGACAGATACCAAAATATTACAATGATTATTATCTCTGGATGCTGGGACTATGGGGCTTTTTATTTTTTTGCATATCTGTACTTTACACAATAACATTTTGTGTAATCTTTTTTTAAATGCAGAATACTGACATTGGAGAATGCTCTTCATATATTTTAAGTGAAAAAGGAGTAAAAACTATATAATGTATTATCTCATTTTTCTAACAAAATGTAAATGTGCATAGCAAAGATACAGAGGTGTTATAGTGCCAGGGAAAAGGGGTGCAAGACTAGTGTTTGCCTCTTATTTCTTGTCTTGTTTATAAATTCTCTACATTAAAAATATAAATTCCAAATGAAAACAATGGAATAAACACAAACTCCCACTTTATAACCAACTAAAATGACAGTAACTGAATTTTCTAAAGTTTTAAACCCACCAAAATGGGAGAAATGGATGACAGCACCAGCGTTTGAAAGGTGGAAAGTGGAGGGACGGTGGGCAGACTACTTGGCTGACCCAAGAAAACTGAATCCTAGGCCAGCTGAGACCTATGTTGATTTACAGAATCCCAAGAATGCTCAGGAACTGGGAGAAGACCAAGGACATCAGAAGAGAAGGGGGTGAAAATAAGGAAAGTTGTTGAAACTCAGTTTAAGAAACAGTTAGATATCCATTTTTGTTCATCAAAGTCGAGTGACTCTCCTGCAGCAGGGTTTTCTCCGGATAGGATATCTGGACCAAGAAACACTAGACACAGTAGAGGGCGGTCGAAATATGCTGAAATCAGGAACAGTCAACAGATGCTGAGGCCCCCACCCCAGCCCTCTCTCCACCCTTGCTGCTGGAATGCTGGAGACAGGGAGAATCTTTTCTGCGCGAGCTGACCTGCCTGCCAAAAAAACGACAAAGAAACTGCCACAGGAGGTTCCCCAAGTGAAAACAGTCAGCCACCTGCCCTATAGGAAACAGCCCCCTCCCACACAATTACCCTCAGAGATCCCTGTTTTAACATGTGCAGGCAATCCAGGATTACCTAACGTGCAAGGAAAGCCTATAAGATGGAAAAAAAATTTTTTTTGAGGCAGGGTCTGGCTCTGTCACCCAGGCTGGAGTGAAGTGGTGTGATCACAACTCACTGCAGCTTCGACTCCTGAGCTCAAGTGATGCTCCCACACAGCCTCCCAAGTAGCTGGGATCACAGGTATGCACAACCATGCCTGGCTAAGTTTTTTTTATGTTTTGTAGAAGTAAAGTCTCCCTATGTTTCCCAGGCTGGTGTCAAACTCCTGGGCTCAAGCGATCGGCCCCCCAAAGTGCTGGAATTACAGGGGTGAGCCACCGCGCCCAGTTCAAAACAATTTTTTAAAGAAAACTTGCAGAAAATAAAGATTATGTATGAAAAAGGAAACTTAGAAGATATCAATGAAACAAGAACATAGTGCTGTTAGCGTGCATGTGCACATGCGCACACACACACAAAGAATCAAATACCCTCAGGAAGATAAAGCTATGAGAATATCCCAGAGAAGAGAAATTTTTTAAATGGAAAATAGAATAAAAAGAAAATTAAAGGACAAGTCCAAGAGGTATATAGTCAAAAAAAATGGCAGTTCCAATAAGAGAGAACAAAGAAGAAAAGTCATAAAATGTCCCAATCTAAGTGTGAATACAAAAATATATTATTTTTATAGTAAGTGAGAAAAACAGGGTGCAAAAGGTGTATATGATGCCACTTCACATGTAGGGACAAGGGAAAATAAGACCATATATTCACAGTTGCTTGTATTTACATAAACTAATAGGATACCAAAAAAAAAAAAAAACAACACCTAAGAAAAATAGTTACTTGTGAGGGAAGGTGGAGATTCCACTGAATTTTTTACATACACAGTTGACCCTTGAACAGCAGGTTCTGAACTGCACAGATCCACTTATCCACGGATTCTCTCCTGCCTCTGCCACCCCTGAGATGACAAGACCGACCCCTCCTCTTCTTCCTCCTCGGCCTGCTCAACGTGAAGACAGTGACGCTGAAGACCTTTGTGATGTTCCACCTCCACTTAATGAATAGGAAATATATTTTTTCCTCCTTCCTTGTGATTTTCTTAACAACCTTTTTTTTTTTTTTTTTTTTTTTTTAAGACGGAGTCTCACACTGTCGCCCAGGCTTAAGTGCAGTGGCGCGATTTCGGCTCACTGCAAGCTCCGCCTCCCGGGTTCACGCCATTCTCCTGCCTCAGCCTCCTGGGTAGCTGGGACTACAGGCGCCCACCACCACGCCCGGCTAATTTTTTTGTATTTTTAGTAGAGACGGGGTTTCACCGTGTTAGCCAGGATGGTCTCAATCTCCTGACCTCGTGATCCGCCCATCTCGGCCTCCCAAAGTGCTGGGATTACAGGCGTGAGCCACCGCGCCCGGCCTATAAACAACCTTTAAAAGACAGTAAGGGACACAGCAGGGCAGTAAGTGCCTCACTCACAAGAGGAGCAGCAATGCCAGAGGCCCATAGAGCACGGATTCCCAGCGCTGCCGTTTTACATAATCAGCCTTCTTGATTTTTAAAATTATCTGCATTCGTAACTTTCCTAAAAATAAAAATCTAAAAAATTAAATCCTTTCACTTACAAAAACAACTCTCTCAGGCCTTACTCCTCCTGACTGGGCATCATGTCTTTGCCAACGGAGACCCAGAGTCCAGAGAAACCCGAAAAAGCAACCCCAGCTTTCCCAGGATGAGCTGGTCGGGAGGAAGGGAGGTCCCAATCCCAGCGCTTCGGGGCCAGAGCAAAGCGAAGAGGCTCCCCATGGCCATAAGCGGGCGGCCCACGCAGCGCATTGCAGGCAGGTGCGAGCCACATGCGCCAAGTGCCCGGAGCGGCCCTTTGGTAGTTAGTGTTAATTAAAATTACCCGCACGGGAGTGGATCCCCGCTGACAATCTAGAAACAAGCAACAGACCCTCTGATGTAGCCATCTGTGCCGCGCCTCTCCGCACCGCCCGCCACGCCTTGGTCCCTGGAGACCACCCTCCAGGGCAGGGGCTGCCGCTCGGCCGGGCCCGCGGGGTCCCTCGGCCTGACATGGCCGGTGCTGGAGCGGCACGTGCGCGCCTCGGCCCCTCGGCCGCTCCCGCCCCTCGCCGGTGCGCACCGGCGCTCGGGGAGCCGCTGGCCCGGGTGTCCAGCCGGCCCTTGCCCTGCCTGGCGCTCGGACCGCCACCTTTGCCGCCCCCTCGCCAGCCTCCGCAGCTTCCAGACTGGCCGGTCTGCGCGCCCACCCCTGCCTCCCGGACCGGCCACCGCCGGAGGCCGCGGAGGAGGGCCCGGCCGCGCAGATCCCGCTTATCGGGCCCATCTCCCGTTACATAAGGCCACCCCCCTATCTCCGCGGGCCATCGCCGCCGCAACCGCCGCGCCAGCGCCTTCTCCCACGCGCGGGGGCGCCCCTGCCCACCGCTCCCGGCAGGGCTTTTGGTGGCCATGGGGGATAAGGGGCGTTGACTCACCCGGGCGGGGCTCCGGGAGTTGCACAGACCAAGGTAGTTCCCCGCTCCTTCCCCCATCACGGAGACCCTGTGGGAGATGCCGTGGGCCCTCTACTACAGATTAGGAAACAGGCCCGTAGAGGGGTCACACGGCCAAGTAGCGGCACTCCAGGCACTGGGGGCCCTCGAGGGGAAGGGGCAGACTTCTGGGAGTCAGAGCCAGCAGCTGGGCTGGGAAGCTTCGAGTGTGGACAGAGAGGGTGGGAATGACGTTCCCTGTGGGAAGAGAGGGTGGGCAAGCCTGGGATGCCTCTGAGCGGGAATCCAGCATGCCTTGTGAGGAGGGTCACAAGCACACCCTTGTGAGGAGGTTGAGCCCCATCGAGGACAGGACGGAGGGAGCCTGAGCAGGCAGAGAGGGGGCCTGGGGAGGCGCTGGTTCGGGGAGGAAGTGGGTAGGGGAGAAATCTTGACATCAACACCCAACAGGCAAATGCCGTGGCCTCTGCTGTGGGGGTTTCTGGAGGACTTCTAGGAAAACGAGGGAAGAGCAGGAAAAGGCGACATGGCTGCAGGGGCCAAGCCCAGGAGCCGCCCTCCACAGCACTCATTCTGCAGAAGGGAAATTTGAGGCCCCCAGACGGCAGGGGTTGATCCTGCAGAGACTGGTGAGCAAAGGGGATCACCCCAAGCCCCAGTGGCACTAGGAACACTTACAATCTCTGACCTGGACTAAGGCTGCCAGCCTGGCCCAGTTAAGAGTTTCCCAGAAGGATGGCCCATACACTTTAAATTAAAGGGGCCAGACACGTGCACACTACTTCCAGCCACTCTGGAAGCTGAGGTGGGGGGATCGCTTGAGTCTGGGAGTTGGAGGCCAGCCTAGGCAGGCAACATAGTGAGACCCCATCTCCAAAAAAACAAAACAAAACAAAACAAAAAAACACCAAAAAAGCTCCCAGAAAGACCTCTGAATCTTTCTGGATCTCTCAGTGGAGACCTGGAAATCTGAACTTTGACAATCCCTCTCACAGTGGGGCCAAGGAGGAATTAGGCAAGCCAAAAGAAGTGAACTTTACTCTTCTATTGCCTGTTTGAATTTTGTATCCAAGCAAGTGTTACTTAAGTAATTTAAGAGACTGGTTCATCGAAAAAATAAAACTCCCCAAATTCCCATAGCTGGTAGACTGTGGTCACAGCCACAGTGCACTAAGACTATCTGCTCAGCACTTCTGGTGACCCAAAAGGGTCTGAGGACAGGAGCTCAGAGTTGGGTCAGCTGTCCAGGTACTCAGGGTTGTCACAGGCAAAACTGCTGGAACTCAGGGCAGCATTGCAAATGCCACGCCGCTCTCAGGGCCCCTTGCCTGCCGCTGGAATTAAACCCACCCAGATCTTGGAAACTCTGCCCTGGACCCTTCTCAATAAGTCCATGAGAAATCAAACTCTTTCCTTTATGCGACACTGGATTTTCCACAAAGTAAAATCAAGATGAGTAAAGATGTGGTTTCTAGATAGTGCCTGAAAAAGCAGAGACCATGGTGTCAGGCGTCACCACTTGGGCCTATAAAAGCTGCCACAAGACGCCAAGGCCACAAGCCACCCAGCCTATGCATCCGCTCCTCAATCCTCTCCTGTTGGCACTGGGCCTCATGGCGCTTTTGTTGACCACGGTCATTGCTCTCACTTGCCTTGGCGGCTTTGCCTCCCCAGGCCCTGTGCCTCCCTCTACAGCCCTCAGGGAGCTCATTGAGGAGCTGGTCAACATCACCCAGAACCAGAAGGTGAGTGTCGGCTAGCCAGGGTCCTAGCTATGAGGGCTCCAGGGTGGGTGATTCCCAAGATGAGGTCATGAGCAGGCTGGGCCTGGTCCTAAGATGCCTGTAGGTCAGGAAAAATCTCCATGGACCAAGGCCCGGCCCAGCCATGAGGGAGAGAGGAGCTGGGCTGGGGGGCTCAGCACTGTGGATGGACCTATGGAGGTGTCTGGCAGACTCCCCAGGGACTACCTGCTCTCCTGGCCTGGCCTTGTCTGCCACTGCCAGCTCCTACTCAGCCATTCCTGAACAGAGGACAGCAGAGAAGGGCCAGCACCCTCCCAGAACCATGTGGCATTTGCCAACTGGATTTTGACCATAACAATGCAGCCATTCTCCCCAGCACCATCATAGGCCCGCCCTTACAGGAGGATTCCTTAGTAGAGTCCGCTCCTTGCCCCACTAGTAACAGCTCACATGTCTGAGCACTGCTTACACCAGGCCTGGTGCACGTGCTTTATGTGTCATTTCATCACTGCCAGCCACCTCAAGAGGCAGGTACGATGAACCCATTCTGCTAAGGTTCAGTGAGGTTAAGTGACAGAGGCTGGATTCAAGCCAGGCCTGGCCAACACCAGAGTGTCCATGCTCCTAACTGCAGTGTTCCCTCACCATCAGAAGGCAGGGCATTTAATACACCAGATCCCCACCGCCTCCCATCTGATTTGTCTTGGTCAACAGTGGCCCAGGCCACTCCTACTTCACTCGTCCCCACCCTGGCCCTTCCCGCAGGCCCCTGTCCTCCTGCCCTGACTATGGCAAGCCTTGCATGCAGCTTGTCCCTTACTAGTGGTGTCAATTTTTTTCTCTCAGCTCCAAGACCCTAAACAGTGGGACCTCACCCCTATGCCTGCTGTTCAAAGCAGAAAACGAAGCTCAGGAATGCTGAGGGGCTGCCAGGCCTGCCTCTGTGCCACACCAGGGATGCTTGTGGGGCCTGTGCTGGGGCAGACCTGGCCTGGGCTGCCAGGGCAGGCCCACAACCCCTGCCAGCACTCTGCTCACTGTCACTTTGCTCCCACAGGCTCCGCTCTGCAATGGCAGCATGGTATGGAGCATCAACCTGACAGCTGGCATGGTAAGGACCTTTGGGTGCAGGGAGGATGGGGCAGAGGCTCCAGGCCTTGGGCTTATCTTCTCTGAGCCTCCCTTCCATGGCTGGGGTTCCAAGCAAGCTTCAAGTGCTCTCCTCCCTCCCGCCATAATCTGGCCCCTTCCCGCCCACCACCCAGACTCACCTGCGCCAGGCATCTCAGCCCCATCTTCCTGCAGACTCACAAAAGGCAGCTGCCCAAGCAGGGCCTGACCCCTCGGTGTCCCCTCCCCACAGTACTGTGCAGCCCTGGAATCCCTGATCAACGTGTCAGGCTGCAGTGCCATCGAGAAGACCCAGAGGATGCTGAGCGGATTCTGCCCGCACAAGGTCTCAGCTGGGGTAAGGCATCCCCCACCCTCTCACACCCACCCTGCACCCCCTCCTGCCAACCCTGGGCTCGCTGAAGGGAAGCTGGCTGAATATCCATGGTGTGTGTCCACCCAGGGGTGGGGCCATTGTGGCAGCAGGGACGTGGCCTTCGGGATTTACAGGATCTGGGCTCAAGGGCTCCTAACTCCTACCTGGGCCTCAATTTCCACATCTGTACAGTAGAGGTACTAACAGTACCCACCTCATGGGGACTTCCGTGAGGACTGAATGAGACAGTCCCTGGAAAGCCCCTGGTTTGTGCGAGTCGTCCCGGCCTCTGGCGTTCTACTCATGTGCTGACCTCTTTGTCCTGCAGCAGTTTTCCAGCTTGCATGTCCGAGACACCAAAATCGAGGTGGCCCAGTTTGTAAAGGACCTGCTCTTACATTTAAAGAAACTTTTTCGCGAGGGACAGTTCAACTGAAACTTCGAAAGCATCATTATTTGCAGAGACAGGACCTGACTATTGAAGTTGCAGATTCATTTTTCTTTCTGATGTCAAAAATGTCTTGGGTAGGCGGGAAGGAGGGTTAGGGAGGGGTAAAATTCCTTAGCTTAGACCTCAGCCTGTGCTGCCCGTCTTCAGCCTAGCCGACCTCAGCCTTCCCCTTGCCCAGGGCTCAGCCTGGTGGGCCTCCTCTGTCCAGGGCCCTGAGCTCGGTGGACCCAGGGATGACATGTCCCTACACCCCTCCCCTGCCCTAGAGCACACTGTAGCATTACAGTGGGTGCCCCCCTTGCCAGACATGTGGTGGGACAGGGACCCACTTCACACACAGGCAACTGAGGCAGACAGCAGCTCAGGCACACTTCTTCTTGGTCTTATTTATTATTGTGTGTTATTTAAATGAGTGTGTTTGTCACCGTTGGGGATTGGGGAAGACTGTGGCTGCTAGCACTTGGAGCCAAGGGTTCAGAGACTCAGGGCCCCAGCACTAAAGCAGTGGACACCAGGAGTCCCTGGTAATAAGTACTGTGTACAGAATTCTGCTACCTCACTGGGGTCCTGGGGCCTCGGAGCCTCATCCGAGGCAGGGTCAGGAGAGGGGCAGAACAGCCGCTCCTGTCTGCCAGCCAGCAGCCAGCTCTCAGCCAACGAGTAATTTATTGTTTTTCCTTGTATTTAAATATTAAATATGTTAGCAAAGAGTTAATATATAGAAGGGTACCTTGAACACTGGGGGAGGGGACATTGAACAAGTTGTTTCATTGACTATCAAACTGAAGCCAGAAATAAAGTTGGTGACAGATAGGCCTGATTGTATTTGTCTTTCATTTTGGCCTTTGGGGACACTGGTCTGTGGTCTGAAGACTCTGAGGAGCTCTTCGGGAGGCTGGTGGGTTGGAGGAGGGGACTGGGATGGATTACAGCGAGGGTAGGGTGCAGTGACCTGGGCTGAATGCAAGCTAGCTCCCGAGGGTGGGGACATGGCCTGAAGGAAGCCCCACCTTCTGTCTGCTGCACCAGCAAGGACGGAGAGGCTTGGGCCAGACTGTCAGGGTTCAAGGAGGGCATCAGGAGCAGACGGAGACCCAGGAAGTCTCACAATCACATCTCCTGAGGACTGGCCAGCTGTGTCTGGCACCACCCACACATCCATGTCTCCCTCACAACCCAGGAGGCCGATGAGAACTGTGAGGCTCAGAAAGCGTGGGCGGTTTGCCTAAGGTCACGTAGCTACTTCCTCACTGGGGTCCTGGGGCCTCAGAGCCTCATCTGAGGTAAAGGAGCAAAGTTGGGATTGGGGTCCAAAATTCACTTTAACTCCAAAGCCCACACACTTAACCACCCTGCCTATTTCTGTCCAAATGTCACCTGTCCTGAATGGAGTTTTTCCCCCTGTACAACTGTCATCAACCTGTTCGGGCCCTCTCACTGACAGGCAGGTCCCTACCTATATTTGAGGGGCAGCCCATTGCATTTCTGGACAGCTCTCGCCATTAGGGTGCACACACGCACCACCTCTGTGAACAGGGCTCTGGCTAGGCCACTCCTCAGCAGCTCTTGTTCCTTCCCCATGGCCCTGGTCAGCAGCTGGAGTGCAGAGACCAGCGGGCCTTACCAAGCCACAGCTCCAGGCCATGCCCGTCAGCAACACTTTTCACTGTGACTCTCTGGGAGGTGCCCAGGGCAGAGGGTGACTCCAGGATGGGATGCCTTTGCAGTGGGTGATGGTCTTCAAGAACCAGTCTCAAACTTGTAGTGACAGGCAGGTGCCCTCCCTGGGGAGCCCAGAGCCCTATGGGAACACCACAGTGATGCTCAGAAGTCCCTGAAGGCAGCCGCCCTCGACTGCTCATGGCTGTGTCATTCACGCAACAGCAGAGGACGTGGCAGGGAGTTCGCCAGGGGGCTGATGATGGTGGCCAGCTACTCCAGAACCACTCACTTTCCCCAGGGAGAGGCGACGGAAGAAGGCAAACCTGACAGTGCAGGGGGCAGGGGACACTTGGCCTAGAGGAGAGAAGACTGTGGGGGTGAAGAGGGTGATGGTGCAAGAGCTGGGTCTCCAGCAGGCTGTCCCGGGCAGGAGACAGGACCGGCTCTCTGGTGCCAAGCCTATTAAGTCCTGCCACGTTTGCTGAGGAAATACCTGCGGGGGACCACCCCACAGCAGACACCTGGGCTAGTGACAACCAAGACACCACATGCACTCAAGATTTAGCCCCTGAAAGAACTCTGTAGAAACAACAGAGGGTCGGGTTGGGGGAGCTGTATGTCCTCCCTCGGGAGGGCCTCCCCTCTGGAGGTGAGCAGTGGCTGCTTCCGCAAAGGACGAGAGAGTCTTGGAAGCCAGGGGAGGTGGGTGGGAGTCAGGGTCTCGGCATTCTTCTCCATCCAGAGCCTAGGGTTTAAGGCTGGAAGGATATTTACGGAGGGTAATGACTTTGTAAACAAGACCTAGAAATCTATCTCCCAGTAGCATCATCTTTGACCCATGTCCTCTCTGCCCAGCCAAAGTATTGCCCTGCCTATCCAGAAAGATGGAAACCCTTCCAGTGAAATTCCACGTGACTCCCTCAAGAACAAAGACTGGAATTGAGGCTGATGTGGGGCAAGGTTCCTCGGGATCCTCCAAGGCCGTGCTCTGAGCCACACATTCAGGACAGCCTGCGAGGCAGGTGCACAGTGCGGATGGCCGTCCCGGGCCCCACTAGGGGTCTGCAGCTCGCCACTTCCTCAGCCACCGCCGAGCTCCTGTCCCTCACACCTTCCAGGCTGCTCCCCAGGAAGGGGGACCTGTGGTCACTGGCAGTGTGCCCTGGGCTGGAGAGGGCGTGGGGCTCTCCAGGGATGAGTGACACCTTACTGAGCCACAGAACCAAGCTGCAGCTGGTGGCGACAGGGAAGGGGCCCTGTCAGGAATGAGAAAGGAAGACAGAACAAGGTAGGTAAGTGTCAGCACTGCAACTGTGGCTGGGAACCTCCCTCCCTGGGGACTGAGCCCTGGTGGTGTTTGCTGGGAGTTTTCTCTAACCACGTGGCCTAAGTTCTTTCATAAACAAGGCAAGCCCTCAGCAGGACTCAGAGAGAAGGGGGTTGAGAAGGGAGAAGAGTGCTTGGTGAGTGGGAGGAAGATGCTGGCCATGGGGCCCAGGGCGGGGAGCCCCTTGGCACCTCGGGAACCCCAGCCCAGGAGGTTTCACTGGAAGAGAGGCTGGGCTTGAGTGAGAAGTGAGACACACGCGAGTTTCCGGTGAACTCGGCACCAAACACCTCAGTTTGCTGCTCAGATGAGGTGTCAGAAAATGCTCCCAGTCACTTGGCAGGTTTCTCCGAGGCTGGCCCCCTGTCCTGCGCAGGACGAGAAGGAGCAGGCCCCAAGGGGACCAGGCCCGCATCTTATTTCCTTGTGACCGAGGCAGCAGCTTGAAGCCTGGCCTTCACCTGGCCCAGCGGCTTATCGCTTTTTCATTAGGGTCAAAGAGAAATGTCTTCTGCCTATGCCCTTCATCTAGCTGGTGCATTGTAACACACTCCAAACCTGTTTCCCACTTCGCCTGCCTCCCTTCTAAGAAGGTCCGGCTGGGGCCAGGCTGACTATGTTCCAGACAGGACAGCCTGGCCAGGGACACACTGGCCAGCTCCTATCTGGCCTTTCTAGGGGTCCAAGCTGGGGTCAGGACTGGTGGCTGTCTCCTCAGCTACCCTCCCCCACACTCATAAAGCCCCATTATCTTCATTCATTTCTCAGCTCCACCCAAAAGCAAGAGGGCAAGGGTTTGCAACAAACTTTCCCAGATCAACTGATTTCTCGGCAGCAAGGGAGGGCCCCATGACAAAGCCATTTGAAATCCCAGAAGCAATTTTCTACTTACGACCTCACTTTCTGTTGCTGTCTCTCCCTTCCCCTCTGCTATACCTTTTCTTGGGGAAAGTGATTCTCTCACAGCGTCGTTCAGAAACACCCCCAGCCATGTGCTGCCTGCCTGGGCAGACGCTGCTGTGTGGTCAGAGGTGACGCAGGCACCAAAATTAAATATAGCAACTCTCGTCAGCTCCACTCTCTGCATCACTGTGGACAACTGTGCGGGGGCTGGACACCATTTCCCCAAACCCTCAAGGGAGGAAGGCCCAAGCCACCGATGGCATCCCCTGTAGACCCACAGCCCGATGGCCTGTTGGCCACACAGTCCACAACTCCCTGCCCAGCCCAGGGCCCTGTGCCAGAGGAGCTGTGGTGATGCCACATTGGAAAAGGCAATTTTTATTTACTCTTCTTTCTTCTGATCTGTTTCCCACATTTTCTATAATGAGCATGCATTCATTTTCCAATGGGAGACAAGGATAAATTTCATTTTTAAAAAGCAAAAAGAACATGAACGTGATGTCTGCTCCATGGAGGATGTGGACCGAGACAGGCCAGTGAGGAGACCTGGTTGCAGCATCCCCCGGCTGGACCAGCACCAGCACCCCTCAGACCAGCCTAAGTCCTCCCTGGGGAGCCGGCCCTCTCGGGAGAGGAGGTGGGGGTCTGCAGGGGCCTGCAAGGCAGCCCCTCAGCCAGACAGGACTAGCACCGCTCCTCCCATGGGTTGGGCACTCTTGGACCCATCAGATCCCACATTGCCAAAGACAGAGGAAGGTGCTGCCTTCTTGGGGGTCTTCACTAGGCCCTGGCCTGCCAGGGCACAGGAGCCAGCGGGAGTGGGAAGGGAAAGGGTAGGCCGCCCATCTAGCTCTGAGGCTGAAGTGACATTAACACTATGGGGACAGATGGAGCATTCCTGCAGACTCCTCAGCAGCTCTGCCTCTCTTGGGAGAAGGACCTTCCACCTGCTTCTGAAAGGCAAGAGAAGCCAACAGCCTGCAGAGCTACTTCCCCACAGCTCCGCAAAGCGGAGTCTATGCCACTGCCTGCCAGCCTCGTTTCTCTCCTCCCCTCGGTCCCTGTGCCCTTGGATGGGGCCCTCCATGTGTCTGTGCTCTGGGCCCCATCCCCTCCCCTCTCAGGAACACAGGCAGAGCATATAGCCGGGGGCTCAGGGTGAAACTAGTCCCAGCTTCAAGCCCCAGCTGTGTCCCTGACTTCTAGTGTTGTTACTTCAGCCACGTCTCAGTGGCTCCGTGGAAATGGAGCTCCACTCATTCATTCAACAAGTATGGATTGAGGCCTTGCCTGGGTGCCAGACCCTGCTCTAGGTGCTGGGGGTCCACTAAACAAAACAAGGTTGCTTCTAGCAGGGAGACAGAATAAGCCAACGAGAGAACACTCAGTGTGTCGGGCGGTGGTAGCCGCTACCGTGGGAAATAGAACAGTCCGGGGCTGCACAGCAGGGAGAGTGCTGTGTTATGCGAGGAGGTTGGAGAAATCCTCCCCATGAGATAAGATGGGAACAGAGATCGGGACGAAACAAGGGGAGGGGACACCCATGCACAGATCGGGGCAAAGTCATCAAGGGAAAGGGAACTGCAGGTGCTAAGGTCTTGAGCAAGAGCGAGCTGGGGATGCCCTTCCCAGCACTCACGGGTGGCCCTCGGGCTGGAGCAGAGGCCACGGCAAGGGCAGCAGGAGCCCAGCAGGGCCTCAGAGGCCAGGACCGGGCTTCATTCTAAGTGGAATGGAGTGATGTGGTCTGACTCACATTTTAACAAAGTCACCGTGGCTGCTGTGTGGAGAACGCAACGCAGGGCGAAGGCGGAGCAGGGAGATGAGCGCCAAGGTGCCTGCAGAGATGCTGGTGGGGAGCGATGGTGCTTGTGGTAGTGGAGGACTGGAGAGGGGCGTGTGTGTAAGATGCATGTATACATTATACTGCTATCGTATACATTATTTACTTAAATAGTATATTATATAATCCATAAAGTATAGATATAAATATATAATATATAAATGTGCATATATGTTAATATTTACATTTGCTATGCAATTACAATTTTAAAATCTTCTATTACAGAAAATTTCAAATATACACGAAAGTCACTCCCAAGCATCCATTGCCCAGCGTCAACAATGAGCAACTCATGGCCAGTTTTGTCAATTTTGTTCCATCTCTACCCCCGCCCCTTCCCCACCACCACCAATCCGAGATGTCACATCAGTGAAAGGAGAGGCTTTGGGGTGGCTTGGATATGAGCGTGTGAGGTCTTCCCGTGTTGTGTGTGAACAACTGCAAGGATGAAGCTGCCGCTCGCTGAGCTGGGGCAGCCTGTGCTTGATTGTGTCCCATTCAGAACACAGCTGACAACCTACGACGCAGCCTGCAGCCCAACACAGCTGCCCTCCCAGATGCCCATACTGAGTTCCACCTCATCTGGCCACTTCCTGTGCCCCCAACTGCACTCAGATATCTCATGAGGTCACTGATTATCAACTCCACTCCGTGCAGCAACGCATGTCTGCCCTTATCTAGCCTCACCTACGAGGAACATTGCTGCCGCTGACCACTGCTCCTCCTCCCTGGGCCTCTCTCATGCCTGGACTCTGCACCCTGCCTCACCACCTTCCAGTGTCGCAGGAGTGCCCTGGCTCATTTCTTGTCCCCTGTCTTCTCTCACCCCTTGGCCATATTGTTAGGTCAACAGGAGTGGAGGAGAGCCAGGGTGACACCATTTTAAAATCAACTCCATCTTAAAACTAGCTAGGCATATTCCTTGCCAGTCACTACCCATGGTCATGAGATGTTTACGCCAAGGAAGCAGTTTAGTCACGCCCGCAAGGACAAACTCCTACAACAGCAGAATGTCTGGGTGTCCTGATGTCTCATAACAATATATGCTTTCAAGCTATTTACAGTAATGCTTTGATGTACTTACTCACTAAAAGGCCAAGGATAAAACATTATTTAAATCAACAAAGTACTAAATTTTGTGACACTGTCAGCCCACCTGCACATAGACATAATGTAGCTTGGCTTTTGTATAGACAAGACCCCTATATAAGAAAAGCTTTAAGCAGACAAGGCGTTCCTGCTCATGCTTTCTGAGGACACCCTACTCTGAGTAGTTTTCTACATCCTTTCTTTACCACACACCACGACTCACCTTGAATTCCTTCCTGTGCGAGATCCAAGAACTCTCTCGGGGTCTGAATCGGGACCCCTTTTTCCAGCAACACTGTGTTCTTCCCCTTGGCTTAGTCACCCTCCATGTCTACTGCCTGCAGGCTGGACCCTCCCCTGTTCTCAGAGTATGGCCCGTAGCAGCCCCTCAGCTGGTGGCTCCCACCCGCCGCCTGCCCTCTCCCCTGCCTCCTCCCCAAGCCAGAGACCTGGGGCCACCTGCGACTTCCTGCTCTCCCTCACCCCCACATTCAGTCACTTCCAAGTGCTATTAATGATGATGGTGGTGGTGATGGTGATTGCTGGCATTTTCCGGGGGCTTGCAATATGCCGGTCACCACACCAAACACTTCATATTTGTCACCTTCTATAGTATTCCCTCGCCCCTGTAATCAGCCCAGTTTTACAGAGAAGCCTGGATGGGGGAACTTTTCCAAGGTCACCCAGAGCTGGGATTCAGAACCAGTCAGGTCCCGTGGGCACCAAGACACCAGGTCTTAACCTAGACACTGTGCTGGGCCAAATGACTCAAGAGCCCACAGCTCTCCCTGCCACCATCCCACCCGATTCGCGCCAGCTGCCTCTGTCACGGGCGCCTGCAATGCTCTGGCTGGGTCCCCTCGGCCCGTGCTCCCCTCCTGGGAGCCCTCTCTTCAGTGACCTCGGGGCCTTCCACCTGCTGTCCCTTGCCTGCACTCACCCCACCCTGCAGCCCCTGCTCCTGGCTAAAGCCGGCTCATCCCTAACTCTGCTTAAGTGCCCCTCCCTCAGAGAAGTCTCACCTTTTTCCATGACTAAGCCTGTGGGGGTTGGAAAGCACTCTCCTGGGTGCTGGCCTGCAGGACTGACAGAAGAGGAGGGAGGTGAGATTCACCCGACTCGGACCACAGGAATGGCTGGGACAGCAAGCATCAATGAACGAGGCCCGTGGAGACTGGGCTGCATTGTGCGACCTGTATTCCTTTCTCCTAGTTGACTGCCGCGTTTCTGACTCCTTTGAAGCGAGCATCTGGCTTTTCCAATTAGATGAAGGCTGACAAGCTGTGGAGGGGAGGGCGGCAGATACCATGTACCTGGTCATTCAGACTAGGGGTGTCCTTGAGCAGACTCATGGTGTGGAAGTCAGACCGGGAGTCTCCTGGAGCAGACTCACAGTGTAGGGGGTCAGCAGAGGCAGCAGCTTTGGAATCCCGGCACTGCAGCCTCAGGGGTGGCTCGCTGAGTGGGTCAGGTCTTTAGGGTTCTGGGCCCAGCCTGGAGCCTGCCCCTCCAGCCCTCCTGACATTCTTAGAAGCACCTACTTTCCTGCATGAAATCCTTTCCTGACTAAAGCACCCACAGCTGTGTCTGTTCCCTGTAATGAATCCAGATACTAAAGTAGGCGGGCTGCAGTGTGGAGACCGTGACCCACCAGAAACAAGGACGGCAACTCAAAGACGGAGGAGGCACATCCAGGAGGAACCTGTGGGGAGGGCCCGTCTGGCCAGATCTCCACTGCCCTGTCCAGACTTGGGCTTGCCTAATAGATGAAGCATCAGTCATTTCAGCAACTCAAGATAGGAGTCATCATTATCATCATCACACTCACTGTGTGCCAGGCACTATTCTAAATACTTGAAAACTTTAAATGTATTCATTCCTCAGAGCAACTTCATGAGACAGGGACAGCTATGACCCCTATTTCACAGATGAGGCTGAGTAGCGTGCCCAAGGTCACACAGCCAGGAGGCACAGCAGCCAGGCCTGACAGACCACCTGGGCCCAGCGTCCGCTCTCTTAGCCACCGTGTACTATAGCAGCCTCTGTTAACAGACCCCCTTTCTGGATGACACATGCCAAGTACTTTCCATGGAACCACTCACTTGCTCCTCACAAGGAAGAGCCACATTATTCCCATTTCACAGGTGAGAAAATCGAGACCCAGAGAGAGTTAATGATCTACTCATGGTCACAGAGTTGATAAGGGCTCATTTGCTGGACTCCCAAACGCAGTGCTCATAACTGCTACGTTCCAGGGCCTGAAGGAAAAACTCTGCATCCATGGAGGGGCCGGCGCTGGTTCTCAGCTCTCACACAGGGGAGGGGAAGGGGCCTGTGACCGACACAGCCAGAGACAGCAGTATTCAACCTCCCTCCTGAACTTTGGTGTCAGGCCCACCACACCCCGCCAAGGCACTGCCCATGGCCCTGCAGGCTCGGAGACTCCTTCGCAGTGGTGGTAGTGGTGGTGATCACTGCCCTCCTCTTTGTCCCTGACAATGCAGGCACCCACCTTCCCCATCTCTACCCACCTGCCGCACCTGCAGCTGCCATGGTGCTGTCCCTGCAGGCGAGGATGGCCCATCCCCCACTTCTGCCCTCTGGGGAGACTCCTGGTCACTCTCGAATGTTCTGGACAGTTTATCCTTTCATCTTTGGCCTCATTTCACCATTGAAACAAACAAAACAAGCTGGATTCTGCTTCTGAGCTGAAGGTGCCCACCTAATATTCCCTTTTCACTCACCAGCTCTGCCCTCAGAGCCTCAAGCCCAGGGTCTGCCCTTTAGTGGGTGCTTAGAAAAACACCAGATGGACACATAAATGGCTGTTCCACTGCCCCCACAGACGCCCCAGAACCCCGCCCTCCCCACCAGCTCCCCTTCTGCATCCCCGACTCTCCTTGAGAACCTATTTGGCAGAAGCTCTCCACCCAGCAAGTCCGCAGCTTGATGAGCTCCCTCCTGTGTTAACTGGAACCGCTGCTGTACTTCATTCCACATAATAGTTCATCGGATCCAAAGTCCCCACCTGCTTTGGAAGCAACCACCTGCTCTTCTCATAACTCTCCTCCAGTTTGTGCAGTGAAGAATCAACCTTTATCCAAGAAGTCTGGCCTTTGTCCTGGCTCTTGGGAGGTCCTACCAGCTACAAACCCTTGGAGTAAACAACGTGGCTAGTCCTTGTCACCAGTTCCCAGGAGGTAGCCCCAAATTCCTAGGGATTTCCCAAGTGATAGGAGTATCTTATTATTCATGGTGGTCTCTGAGAGTTTATGCGAGTGAAGTGACTCATGGTGGGCCCTAGGTAGTTTTTGCTGACAATACGACCATGGAGGGGCTGGCCACGCCACTGAGGTTCTGTGATATCAGCCTGGCCTCCCGGAAGGAGACCAGGAAGATGAGTTCAACCCAGTGGCCAATGAGTCCATCAACCACACCTATATGATAAGACTCAAATAAAAACTCTGGACCCCAAAGCTCAAGTGAGCCTCCCTGCTTAGAAATAGTCAGCATTTTGTCACACGTCAAAGTGCTGAGAAGGTGATGCCTCTGACGCCACACGGGGAAGACAATGAGAGCTTTGTGTTTGGGCCCCTCCTCCATCTCGCCCCTGTGTCTCCTCTTTTGGCTGGTTCTGATTTGAATGCTTTTGTTATGATAAAACTGTGGCCTTACGTATAGCACTCTCCTGAGTTCTGTCAGTCATCCTAGTGCATTCTGGAACCTGAGGGGTAGTGGAAACTCCCAGATTTGCAGCCAGTCAGCAGTGAGGGTGGGCTGGGAACCCCTGAATGTGCAGCTGGCGTCTGAAGCAAGGGCAGTGTTGTGGGGGACCATACCCCTCACCTGTGAGGTGTGGCTCATCTCAGGTGGTTTGGCATCTGAAGCCACTGCATTTAGTTTGGTAACCTTGCTGCCCAGTCCCAATGGAAGGATCCTAAATATGGTCTAAGGACCTCCTGATACAATTATCCAGATTCTCTCCTTCACAGAACTTGAGGCACTGCGATAAGATCCAAAACTATATATAGACAGTGGAATACTATACAGCCTTAAAAAAGAAGGAAACGCTGTCATTCACCACAACATGGATGAACCTGGAGGACATTATGCTAAGTGAAAAAATCCAGGCACAGACAGACAAATACCACATGATCTCACGCATATGTGAAATATAAAAAAGCCAAACTCAGGGAGGCAGAGAGTAGGATGATGGTCACCAGGGGCTGGGAGGGTGGTGATCAGGAAGATGTTGGTCAAAGGATATAAAATTTCAACTGGGAGGAGTTAAGTTAAAGAGAGCCATTGTACGACATGGTGACAACAGTTGATATCAATGTCTTGTATACTTAAAAATCATGAAGACAGGCCAGGCGCAGTGGCTCACACCTGTAATCCCAGCACTTTGCAGGGGCTGAGGTGGGTAGATCACCTGAGGTCAGGAGTTCGAGACCAGCCTGGCCAACATGGTAAAACCCTGTCTCTATTAAAAATACAAAAATTAGCTGGGCGTGGTGGCAGGCACCTGTAATCCCAGCTACTCGGGAGGCTGAGGCAGGAGAATTGCTTGAGCTCAGGAGGCAGAGGTTGCAGTGAGCTGAGACTGCGCCATTGCACTCCAGTCTGGGCAACAGAGCAAGACTCTATCTCAAAATAAATAAATAAATCACAGAGTAGATTTTAAATGTTCTTACCAAAAATAAATATGTGAAGTATTGTATAAGTAGCTTGATGTAGCAATTCCATAACATGCACATTTCAAAACATTATATCATACAGCACAAATATGTGCAATACTTATTTGTCAATTTAATAATAATAATAATAAGGGAAGAAAAGATCCAAAACAGAGGCAAAACCTTGGCCGGGCATGGTGGTTCACGCCTATAATCCCAGCACTTTGGGAGGCTGAGGTGGGTGGATCATTTTGAGGCCAGGAGTTCGACACCAGCCTAGCCAACATGGTGAAACCCCATCTCTACTAAAAAAAAAAAAAAAATACAGAAATTAGCCAGGCGTGGTGGCATGTGCCTGTAATCCCAGCTACTCGGGAAGCTGAGGCTGGAGAATGCCTTGAGCCCAGGAGATCAAGGCTACAGTAAGCTATGATCACCACTGCACTCCAGCCTGGGTGACAGAGTATGGGGGCAGGGGGTGGTGAGGGGGGGGCGGGGAAGTGGAACAGAGGCAAAACCTTAGCAACACACATTTTTAGATGATCTTCCAGAATAAATTCATAGGGAGGCCCAGGCACAGTGGCTCACGCCTGTAATCCCAGCACTTTGGGAGGCCGAGGCAGGCGGATCACGAGGTCAGGAGATGGAGACCATCCTGGCTAACACGGTGAAACCCCGTCTCTACTAAAAATACAAAAAATTAGCCGGGCGTGGTGGCAGGTGCCTGTAGTCCCAGCTACTCGGGGAGGCTGAGGCAGGAGAACGGCATGAACCCAGGAGGCGGAGCTTGCAGTGAACTAAGATCACGCCACTGCACTCCAGCCTGGGTGACAGAGCAAGATTCCATCTCAAAAAAAAAAAAAAAAAAAAGAAATTCATAGGGAAAAGAAGGTCAGAGACCAAGGGAAGGGAAGGTTCTGGGAGAAAAGCAGGGGGCAGGCAGGGCCCAAGAATCCTGCTGCCCATGAGCCCTTACTGGGAGGTGGGGTGGCCTTGCACAGGGCCCAGGCACCTGAGTGAGTGGTGGGGTCCTTACGTTCACTGCTGGGGTGAGGCAATGAGCACCTTATTGTGTCCACATGAATTCAATAAAAAACAAGCAGGGCGGGTGGTGGGGCACTGACTAGGAGGGCTGATTTGTAAGTTGGTAAGACTGTAGCTCTTTTTCCTAATTAGCTGAGGATGTGTTTAGGTTCCATTCAAAAAGTGGGCATTCCTGGCCAGGCATGGTGGCTCACACCTGTAATCTCAGAGCTTTGGGAGACTGAGGTAGGAGGATCACTTGAGCCCAGGAATTTGAGATGAGCCTAGGCAACATAGTGAGACTCTTATCTCTATCAAAAAATAAAAATAAAAATGAGCCAGGCATGGTGCGGTGGCACGCACCTACTGCTAGGGGGGCTGAGGTGGGAGGATCACTTGAGCCTGGGAGGTTGAGGCTGCAGTGATCCCTGATCACAACATTGCATTTCAGCCTGGGTGACAGAGTGAGACCCTGTCTCAGAAAAAAAAAAAAAAAAGTCATTCCTGAAACCTCAGAATAGACCTACCTTGCCAAGGGCTTCCTTATGGGTAAGGACCTTATGGACCTGCTGGGACCCAAACTAGGCCTCACCTGATACGACCTGTCCTTCTCAAAACACCTAAACTTGGGAGAACATTGTCCCCCAGTGCTGGGGTAGGAGAGTCTGCCTGTTATTCTGCCTCTATGCAGAGAAGGAGCCCCAGATCAGCTTTTCCATGACAGGACAGTTTCCAAGATGCCACCTGTACTTGGAAGAAGCCAGGTTAAAATACTTTTCAAGTAAAACTTTCTTGATATTACTCTATCTTTCCCCAGGAGGACTGCATTACAACAAATTCGGACACCTGTGGCCTCTCCCTTCTATGCAAAGCAAAAAGCCAGCAGCAGCCCCAAGCTGATAAGATTAATCTAAAGAGCAAATTATGGTGTAATTTCCTATGCTGAAACTTTGTAGTTAATTTTTTAAAAAGGTTTCATTTTCCTATTGGTCTGATTTCACAGGAACATTTTACCTGTTTGTGAGGCATTTTTTCTCCTGGAAGAGAGGTGCTGATTGGCCCCAAGTGACTGACAATCTGGTGTAACGAAAATTTCCAATGTAAACTCATTTTCCCTCGGTTTCAGCAATTTTAAATCTATATATAGAGATATCTTTGTCAGCATTGCATCGTTAGCTTCTCCTGATAAACTAATTGCCTCACATTGTCACTGCAAATCGACACCTATTAATGGGTCTCACCTCCCAACTGCTTCCCCCTCTGTTCTTCCTGCTAGCATGTGCCGGCAACTTTGTCCACGGACACAAGTGCGATATCACCTTACAGGAGATCATCAAAACTTTGAACAGCCTCACAGAGCAGAAGGTGAGTACCTATCTGGCACCATCTCTCCAGATGTTCTGGTGATGCTCTCAGTATTTCTAGGCATGAAAACGTTAACAGCTGCTAGAGAAGTTGGAACTGGTGGTTGGTGGCAGTCCAGGGCACACAGCGAGGCTTCTCCCCTGCCACTCTTTTTTCTGAGGGTTTGTAGGAAGTTTCCTCAGTTGGAGGGAGTGAGAGCTGCTCATCAAGGACTTCTCTGTCCGGTTGGAGGTTAACTCTGTCTCTTGCTCTCTCATTTCTGCCTGGACCAAGACTCTGTGCACCGAGTTGACCGTAACAGACATCTTTGCTGCCTCCAAGGTAAGAAGCCGTCCCACGGTCTGTTTTAGCAAATGGGGAGATCCATCCCCAAATGTCTGAACAAGAAACTTGTCTAATGGAAAACGAGCGGGCCCAAATTAACTCTAAGGTGTTAGATGTTTTCAAAGAACGAGAAGTCTGATCTTTACTCTTAAGCATGTTTTGGTCTTTCTGGTTTCACTTGATTTAGAAGACATGTAATAGAAAGCTTACATGCTGTAGTCCTGACTCAGATCCTGGTCAAAGAAAAGCCCTCTTGGGTTTTACTTAGCTTTGGCATAGTGCCTGGAACGTAGGAGGCACTCAATAAATGCCTGTTGAATGAGAGAATTTTTCTGGCCCATACATTTCTGAAAAACCAAATACTCTCACAGAAACAGATATTGAGATGACAGGTTGAGGGAGCTTTCATTTTGTCTAAGAGACTTCCTATGGCAACAGAAAAGGTATCGCCAGAGCCCCTCCTCTTCCACAGCCTGGCCACCTAACAGCCCTCTGGGTTCCGGGGCTGGCCGTCCAGAGCTCCTCAGCTTGCTCTGGCCGGCCGAACTCCCCTCCAGCTCGGTCTGGAACCATCCTGCTGGGCAGCGTCCAGCACATCCCTGCTTCGGGCTGCCTGGGCACCTCGCCTCTCTGCCTCCTGTGCTGCCTCACCCCCACCCCTCTATCTGTAGTGGGAGGAGATAGATTTGACAGCTGATAGTGCATTTTCTCTGACAAACACATGACTACAGCCGTATCAATAGTTTTGTGCATTTCAGTTCCTGTTTTCATGGAAACACACGGCTGAGAATGAAAGCCCCAAAGCCTCAATTTCACAGTGGTCTCCTAACTACCTGCTTTCCATGCAAACTAGGGAGATGATATGGCCAGGAGTGAAGCCCTGTGTGTTGGGCAGGGTCACACTCCAGCACCCAGACCATAGAACAGGGCCCATCCTGCTTCATGAGGGAAACTGCTCTTCGGGCCTTTAGCTGGACTATCTCATTTCATTAGTTATCCCGGGAGTCCGATACAGGATGAGATTCTGAAGGGCAAATACACACTTTTTTTTTTTTTTGAGATAGGGTCTTGTTCTGTCACCCAGGCTGGAGTGCAGTGGTGCGATTTCAGCTCATAGCAGCCTCCACCTCCCAGGCTCAAGCTATCTTCCTACCTCAGCCTCCCAAGTAGCCGGGACGACAGGTGTGCACCACCACGCCTGGCTAATTTTTGTATTTTTTTGTAGAGATGGAGTCTTGCCATTTTGCCCAGGCTTGTCTCGAACTTCTGGGCTCAAGCAATCCGTCCACCTCGGCCTCTCAAAGTGCTGGGATTAGCCACTGCACCTGGGCAACAGTTTATGTGTGTGTGTGTGTGTGTGTGTGTGTGTATATATGTGTGTGTGTATATATATGTGTGTATGTATATATGTGTATGTATATGTGTGTGTGTGTGTGTGTGTGTGTGTATAAAATCTCCAAGTCCATCCAACCGAGATGGCTCCTACTAGAAGCCAAGAGTCCACCGGGTTGAGCACTGGGTCTCTGGAGGCCTGTGGCACTGCTGAGAAGGCTCTAACAAAGCCAAGGGAAGGGCCACCTCACTAGAAGCCAGGCCTGGAGGAAGGGTGAGGGCTGAGGGCCTGGAGGTAAGACTGCCTGTGGTTTTAGACCCAGCTCTGCCACTGACTAGCTGTGTGGCTGGCCTTCAGCACATCTTCACACCTCTCTGCACCTCAGTTTCCACATGTGAAGATATGAAAGTGATTCTGAAGGTGATTGCAAGGTTGATTGGAATCCAGCTCTTGAGTTAGTGCAAAGTGTTATTGTGAGATGATATAACCACGATTAAAAGCAAGAACAGGTGCAGAGAAGCGATGATTCTAAGAAGGAGGGGACCGGGTTGGAAAGGATCAAACCATCCAGGATGCCGAGTCTGGGGCAATCCATCTGGGCTGTTTCTGGAAGACCCCCGGGTGCAGGCCAGGACACTGCTGCCCTCCCGTCCTTAACTCCCCTCTTCACTCAGTCCTCACTCACCTCCCTCTCACACACACAAACATCTCCTAGAATAATCCCCACTGCCTGCCTTCACTCTTACCCGTCTCATTTGCCTCCCCTGAACTTCATCCTCCTGGAGTTCACGATCTCACTCTTCACTCTTTTCTTCCCCTCGAAGATTCAGCACTGCTTACTTACATGTTAAGATATTTCAGAACAGTGAAATGTTGCTATTTTCAAAAACCTACAAAGGTGGTATGCAGAGGAAAAGGTACTTCTTTGTGTTCCCAAAGAAAACATCTTTCCAAAATCCAGCCTATTGATTTTATTTCTTCGGGGGAACAAGAATTTTAGTATCTCTAAGTTGGGTAGCATTCTACTCTTGGCAGTTGCTGGAAAGAAGGCACTGGTCTAGGTCCTGGGCTTCACAGGTAACACCTGTCAGGGTGTCTATGAAGTCAAGGCTGTCTGAGGAACAGCAAAGTGGGAAGAAGCAAGCTGGCTGGCTGATGAAGGGTTTCTTGGGTGGACAAGTAGTTGGAGCTATTTCCTATTTACCAAAGAGAGCTAAAGTTCATAATTCTACAGAGAGTTCCATAATGAACCTCAAATACCTCTGTTTTTTGAAGGAGTTTCTCATATACAGCACTAGCTGACTATCCTGGGCAGGATGGGAGATAATGAATGCAGTGCCAATCGGGCTGGATTTATATGGTCCTCAGTGAGGCTGGTCAAGAACCGAGTTAGAACTCTCACAGAGTCACTGCCACAGAAGAAATCTCCCAAGTGGCTGTTTCCTGACATTCCCGGGAGGGACAGGCCTCCTTCTGAGTCACTCCCTAAGCAGTTCTGAACTGTGAGGTCAGCCAGGCTGTCCAAGTGCACTCCCTGAGCCACTGGCAGACACACTCAGCAGCCAGAGCTAGACAGGCAGGTGGTAGGAGTCCAGGGCCACGGCAGGGATGGAGTGTCGCCCCCTCGCTGCGATACCAGAGCAACTAAAACGTTAAGGCCTTGCACTAAAGCTGCCCTTAGGATGCATTCTTTTAAAGTTTTTCCATTTAATGCAGACTCTTTTCAATTCTTATTTTATCCTTGTTTCCTTTAGAAAGTCCTTTCAAAAATATCTTTAGAGGGTTTTTTCCTATACTATGTGGCCATATACGGGTCAAAATTAAGTTTAATTTCCAGGCTCCAAGCCAGCGTTTCAGAAAAATCTCACCAAGGTTTGTGGTAAAAGAAGCAAAGGGCTGACTTTTTGGTTTTCTTGAATCTCACTGTTCCCTCTGCAGCAGCATGCATGTCTGCCCACCTCCAGACACACAGGCACCATCTGCCGCCCCCCATCAGCCCGTGTCCCTTCCACCTCGACTCGCCTACAAAGCCCAGAGAGGTCTGTTTCTTGGCCCCCAGAGCCCAAAGATACTGACACACTCTTACATTTCCAACTAGAATCAGGAACGAGGAGTGACTCTCAGTCAGTTCATTAAGTAAATGTCTTTCTAACCGCTCTGCCCATGGGACATCACGCCCCACAGGGGAAAGGGGAAGCTTCTGTAGCCTGGGATTCTGGTGCCTCAGTCTGGGTCTAGACTTTCCTGAAAAAACGTTAAAATATGAACTGCATTCCTAGAATTTAGCCTACATAAATAAGAGATGAACACAAAGATTTCTATAGTTTACTCACTGCCGCTTATTTACAGAAGCAAAAATCTGCCACGATAGGGGCCTGACAAATGACAGTACCACTGTGCAATGCGTTTCTACGCAGCTCTCAATCCCATGTTCTCTAATACCACCGAAGGGCTTAGGAAATGCTTATGGTATATGTAAAGAGTAAAGAAGTTACAAAACAGTATCAACAGTTGACCCCTATTTTAAAAAGTATTTTTAAAAGTGTGACGATATTTACCAAAATATTAACAGCAATAGTTACCTCTGGCTGGTGGGATGAGTGAATGTATTTTTGTTGAATATATGTTACCTTTATAGTAAATATATGTTATCTTGATCATCAGAAAAAAAAATATGTAAGAACTTGAAAGCTGCTTGGACAGCGCTGCTGATAGAAACCCCTGAGCATCTTGTCACTGTTCTTCTGATTCAGAGGGTCTGGGTGGGGCAGGGGTGGTCTGAGATTCTGTATTTCTAAGAAGCTCCCAGTGATGTCCATGCTGCTGGTCCATGGACCACACTTTGAGTATCAAGGGACCAGAGCATGTCGGGGGAGAGGCTGGGGATAGCTTTCTTTATCTGAACTGGATAAAGGAACTGGGCTCAAGCTAAGAACCCTCTCCAGGTTCTGCATCTTTGTTCTTCAGTGAAAAATGAGAGGACACACCAGGCCAGGTTCAGACTGAGACACAATCCCTCTCCTGGGTTCCCAATGACTTGTCTCTTGTCCATTCCCTTCTCTAAGGCTAAGGGCCCCCAGGAAGAGCCATGTGGCCAGACCCTCACAGTTGCTGGCATTCCAAGGAGATTCTCACTCCGCATCATTTGGGGCCAAAAGGCCCCTTACAGAAGCTCTGCCCAAGGCTCAGATCAATGGCACCTGCTCCCAGAGCCTCCTCTGATCTCCCAGGACACCTTTCCCTGATCTGTGCACTTATCTCTTGCTGCCTGGCAAAATGTCTTAGCTCCTCACTTGGGCCATGTGCTGCTCTCCTCTCCCATGGGGAGAGCCACACGGAGAGTGCTGGCCAAAGCAGCAGAGTTCAGGCCAAAGGATGTGCACTCATTTATTCAACAGGCATGCAGGATTTCCAGGGAAAGCTGGATTTTAAAACCTCTGGGAACAAGAGCAGAACCTGACTGAGAGCTCATGTGGGCACTTTTCATAGCAGAATAGCTCATGAGGTATAGAGACACGGACGCAGAACGTGGGCTGTAGCGACAGATGGTCCTGCATTCTAGTCCCCACTGTGCCTTTTCCTCATGGGATGACTTTATTCAGGTACCCTTTCGGCAAAATCCTCCAAGAGAAAGGAAACTGGGAGGTTCTGGGGAGAAGGCTGCTGCGTTTGCAATTGGGAGAGGTTGTTGACAGAGGTTTATGTCTGTGGCAAGCAGCCTTCCTTCAGTGGAATACTTGAAGACAGGTCTGTAGTTGAGCAAACTCACCTCCATTTGTCCTCCTGGAAAGAAGAAATCAAGAGGAAAAATCTCTCTCCCATCCTCCAAATGGAGCTGGCACATTGCTATCTGTGGCATTTGTCTTTCCAGAACACAACTGAGAAGGAAACCTTCTGCAGGGCTGCGACTGTGCTCCGGCAGTTCTACAGCCACCATGAGAAGGACACTCGCTGCCTGGGTGCGACTGCACAGCAGTTCCACAGGCACAAGCAGCTGATCCGATTCCTGAAACGGCTCGACAGGAACCTCTGGGGCCTGGCGGGCTTGGTAAGCTGCACTGTATTCCTGGCAAGCCGGCCGCGTGGCTCCTGGTGGACAGCAGCCTCACTTCTAAACACTCCTTAGGAGCTGCAGCACCCTTGGTCAACCCATTCATTCATTCACTCATTCAATAAGTATTTGCTGAAGTTCCACAAGTGCTGGGTGTGGTTCTAGGTGCTGAGGACGTGTCACTAAAGACACGCAGGCCGAGTCCCTGTTCTCATGGAATGTTCTAATGGGAGAGTTAGAAAAACAAACATGTAAAATGATGGCCAGCAGTGATACGTGCTACAAAGAAAAACATAGAAATAAAGAACATAAGAGTCATGGGGGAGGGGGCTGACTTAGGAGCTGGTGACATTATCTGAGCAGATATTTGAATTGAGGGAGCAGGCCACATGACTAACTAGGGAGACCATTCCAGGCAGAAGGAGGAGGTATGCAAAGGCCTTAGGATGGAAATGAACTAACTTCCTGTATTTAAAGACCAGTAGGAAGGCCAGTGTGGCTGGATCAGAGTGAGTGAGGGGTAGTTTCCAGGACAGCAGATCACACAAGGCCTTTAGATTCCACCACGAGTATGGCAGGGAACACCTGCAGAGCTTTGGGCAGGACAAAGACTGTACAATCTGATTTACGTGATTTAAAAGGGTCAGTCTGGCTACTGTGTGGTAAATAGGCTGAAAGGGGGAAAGCATAGAAGCAAGATGGCCTGTTGGGAGGCTACCACAGTAAACCAGGCTAGAGATGATGGTGGCGTGGACAGAATGAAGCAAGATGGCCTGTTGGGAGGCTACCACAGTAAACCAGGCTAGAGACGATGGTGGCGTGGACAGAATGAAGCAAGATGGCCTGTTGGGAGGCTACCACAGTAAACCAGGCTAGAGATGATGGTGGCGTGGACAGAATGGGAGCAGTTGAGGTGAACAGATTTGGGATATGACTAAAAATAAAACCAGAAGGATTTGCTGACAGATCGGTTGTAGGGGGTAAGATACAGGGGAGGAAAAGATGACCTCTTTGTTCCTGCCCAAACCCCTCTGGCGATGGTCAGTACTGTTTACAGAGAGATGAAAGACTGGCGGCAAGGCAGGGCTGGAGGTTCAGCAGAAGATCAAGAGTTCAATTTTGTACATCGTACATGTAAGGTGGCTCTTGGATAGCCAAGTGAAGGTGTTGAGAAGATGGTTAGAAAAGTCTGGAACTTAGGGGAGAGGTCAGAACTTGCAATACAAAAAGGAGAGTCCTTAGATAGATACTGCTGAAAATCTGAATGACAGAAAGGGAGAGATCAAAGGACTGAGCCTGAGATCAACACATGGAGGTCAGGAGAGGAGGATCCAGCCAAGGGGCCTGAGGAGGAGTGACCAGTGAGGCAGGAGAACACTGGAGAGTGGGCGGTACCCCAGGAAGCCGTTGAGGACACTCAAGGAGGGAGGGTTGACTGTGTCAAATGTACTGAAAGGACAGGTCAGGTGAGGACCAAGAAAGGCCCCTGGGTTTGGCTGATGGAGGCCATGGGTGAGGCTGATGTAAATGGAGAGGCAGGAAGGAAAGCCCAGCTGGAGTGGGCTCACCGAGGATAGGGTGGCGAGAGGAGACAAAGAAGGAACAGTGAGGGCAGAACACTCTTTGAAGATGTTTAGCTATAAGGCTGCAGAGAAACTGACCCACAGCTGCAGGGTGGTTATGGAGTGAGGGAAGCTCTTTTAAGGTTGGGGGTATACCCAGCATGTTAATGCACCTGGGGGAATGGTCCAGTGGAGCAGGAAGAACTGAAGAGAGCAGAAAGAGGAAGAATCATTAGGGGGCAGAAGTCCTTGTAGCCCAGAGTGGATGTTATCTAATATCGAGTGGAGGAATTAATTGGCTTTAGAGGAGAACAAGGACATGTATCCCCTCTCTGGGCCTATCACCTTGTAGACAATGGGATAGGTCATGGGATAGGAACTTGGCACAACACATGTTCTCTCTTTTAATTCTCTCCATTATCTTATGAAGCAGGCAAGTAGGCAAACAATTGTCCCAACTTTACAAAAGAAACTGAAGCTTTTATAAATTAAGTAGTACATCCTAAGCAATACAATTAATAAATGGTAGAGCTGAGATTCAAACTGAAGCAGTGGCCTGGGGGTAGCATCTGGAATCCTTCCCACCTTTAGGGCTGCTGTGCTGCGGTGCTGCTGTTTAATGGCACAGGAGGGCCACATGACTGAATCTCTCTCAGCAGTCCAGGCAGTCATGCAGAAGGCCCAGTAGAGCACCGGGCAGGTCTGAGCCAGCATCTTCAAGTTCCACCCTCTGAGCAAGCACCTAGCTGTGACACACCTCTCCAGAGACTGCACTCCCCCCCGCGCCACCCACCCCAAAAGCAGATAGGTAATGGTATACAGTAACCATTTCTAGAAGTGTAAGTAGTATGCACCCAAAATAGGCAAAACCTGCTGGCCTAGTGATAGAGACAACTCCCAGTCAGGCTAGACTGGAGGCCTTGGTTTTATAAGTGTTCAGGTGACAAGTGCCACAGTAGGCTTGATCAAGTAGACAGGCAGGCAAGACAAATGCTTACCAATGCAAGCTAATGAAATGTTTCTTTTGCAGAATTCCTGTCCTGTGAAGGAAGCCAACCAGAGTACGTTGGAAAACTTCTTGGAAAGGCTAAAGACGATCATGAGAGAGAAATATTCAAAGTGTTCGAGCTGAATATTTTAATTTATGAGTTTTTGATAGCTTTATTTTTTAAGTATTTATATATTTATAACTCATCATAAAATAAAGTATATATAGAATCTAACAGCAATGGCATTTAATGTATTGGCTATGTTTACTTGACAAATGAAATTATGGTTTGCAACTTTTAGGGAAATCAATTTAGTTTACCAAGAGACTATAAATGCTATGGGAGCAAAACAGGAAAGACCACTTCCCCCTCGAGGGGTTCCCTCTCGAGTTAGGGACATAACACACAAGATAATTAAAGAACACAAGGCCATACAAGATGTAAATAAGACACCTTGGGTCCAAGAGTGCTATGGATTACCATATATTTCTGAACAGAAAAGGTATCAACTGGATGTCTAAAACGTTCTTCCCCCATTGGCACAAGGATTGTTATACTGAGTCTACAGAAAAAAGAAGTAATCCTCAGTACACCATATGGCTCTACAGTGAACGATATTTAAAGTCATAATAATGTAAATTCTCTTGATTCTCAAGTCTTAGAACCAACCAATAGACAAAGCACAGAAGACTTGATGATGGTTGGAGAACAGACTATAAATTGCTATCCACTGAATAATATAAGAGCTATAGCTGGAAATGGCTGGGAGGTGAAAGCAGAAGAAAAGAGAGGTGGGCATTGCTATCTCCAGCTTGCATGGACAAGAGGGCAGTTAAATAACACTGTGCACAGTGGATGGAACAAGAACACAAGGTTTAGGGATTTATCAAAATCACAAAGGTAATAGAAGAACTAAAAATAATTTACTATAAAAATTTGGAAGTGATAGAATTAGGTAAATTCTCTTTCTTCAATAGGGAAATCAATGTATGACATCTAACACTGATAAAGCAAAAAACAGTGGGTAAAAGTGGTCATGGGTTGACAGTTGTTGCAGCTGGGGATGTGTACAGGGGGTTGGTTATACTATTCTCCTTTTATACATAATTGAAAGTTTTCATAATAAAAAGAGAAGAAAAAATAATGAATCAAGCAATCTTTGGAATTATAATGATAGTCACTGGAAAAACTAAAAATAAAAATGGAAGATGGTTTGCTGGGAATGGGACTTGGACTAAGGAGGGGTGAAACAGGGCTGGAGACTTTCGGCTTTCCATTATAAGTCTGTGTGTGTGTGTGTGTGTGTGTGTGTGTGTGTGTGTGTGTGTGTGTGTGTGTGTGTGTGTGTGTGTGTGTGTGTGTGTGTTATGTGCATAAATGAAGTTTTTTCATTAAAGAAATAACATTTAAAAGACAATAACTGTTGGTGAAGATGTAGAAAAATTGGAACCCTCCTACATTGCTGGAGTGATTGAAAAATGGTGTAGTCACTTTGGAAAACAATTGGCAGTTCCTCAAAAGGATAAAATAGTTTACGATCCAGCAATTCCAATCCTAGGTATATACCCAAGGGAACTAGGAACACATGTCCACACAAAAACCTCTACACAAATGTTCATAGCAACATTATTCATAATAGCAAAAAAGTAGAAGTGGCTGGGAGCAGTGGTTCACACCTGTAATCCCAGCACTTTGGGAGGCCGAGGCAGGAGGATCACTTGAGGCCAGGAGTTCAAGACCAGCCTGGGCAACAAGGCAAAACCCTGTCTCTACAAAAAACTAGCTGAGCATGGTGGCACATGCCTGTAGTCCCAGCTACTGGAGAGGCTGAGGTGGGAGGATGGCTCAAGCCTGGGAGGTTGAGGCTACAATGAGCTATGACTGCGCTGCTGTACTCCAGCCTGAGCGACAGAATAAGACCCTGTCTCAAAGAAAAAAAAAAAAAAGTAGAAGCAACCAAAATGTCAATCAACTGATGGATAAACAAAAAGTGGCATATCCATACAATGGCATATTATTTGTCAATAAAAAGAAATGAAGTACTGACAGAGGCCACAACCCGGATGAACCTTGGAAACAGTATGTGACGGGAAAGAAGCCAAATGCAGAAGACCACATATGGTATGATTCTACTGATATGAATTATTCAGAACAGGAGAATCCACAGAGGCAAAAATAGAATATTGATTGCTACAGGCTGTGGGTGGGAGGCGGGTGTGGAGGCATGGGGAGTGACTGATAATGGGGGGTGGGGTTTCTTTCAGGGGTGATGAAAATGTTCGGATATTAGATAATGGTGATGGTTGCACAATTCTATGAACATACTAAAAAGCACTGACTCGTACACTTTAAAAGGATAAATTTCGTAGTAGGTGAATTCTATCTCAATAAAGCTGTTATTTAAAAGAAATTAAAAGGGGGAAAAAAACCCAAGTGTCATCAAAACTTGCCTTTTGAAGACTTGTTCTCTGTAAGAATATGGATCTAGTAACAGTGATTGAGCACTCTCTTTTCATCCTCGCTTACAGAGATGTGACAAAATTAATATGAGTACTAAAATTACACCAAAACATGTAACATCTTTTTAACCCTTTCAAAATAAGGGAACAAATCAAAAGCTTCAAGTCTCACCCTGACCACAGCCAGTTTCACCCTGCCCACATAAAATACCAGCATGCCAAGGGCAATAAATAGCTATGAGAGTCATGGAGGCTCCTCAGGCCAACCGGAGAAGACACATACTGTAAATTTTAATTTCCTTTCTTCTTTGATTGAGGCTCATTTGCATTCAATGGCTAATGTGAGTTGTAGTCTGCCACAGGATATGGGTAGTGGGTTACAGTTTGTATATGAGGACAGGATGGTAAAGGAAAGTAGGAAGATTTAGAGCACGCCATGGAAAGGACACATGCAGACTCTAAGCAGGTCTGTCATCACATAAGCTTCATTAGGCAAGATGCAACTCACATTTCCATTTACTCCCAGTCAGGCAGTCCTGGACTCTGGATGCAAACATGCAACAACAACAAGCCTTTGAATTTCCGAAGACAATGAGAACACAAATTGAGGGGGATACTTATAAAAACAGTGGGTGAGGCCGGGCGCAGTGGCTCACGCCTGTAATTCCAGCACTTTGGGAGACTGAAGCAGGCGGATCACCTTAGGTCAGGAGTTCAAGACCAGCCTGGCCAACATGGCGAAACCCCGTCTCTACTAAAAATACAAAAATTAGCTGGGGATGCTAGTGCACACGTGTAATCCAGCTACTCGGGAGGCTGAGGCAGGAGAATCGCTTGAACCTGGGAGGTGGAGGTTGCAGTGAGCCAAGATCGTGCCATTGCACTCCAGCCTGGGCGGCAGAGCGAGATTCTGTCTCAAAAAAAAAAAAACAAAACAAAAAACAGAGGGTGAAAAACCTTCAGGATTAAGTGAAAGTTAAGATGCTTGTCATCTGAGCACATTTATGTAGCAAACTCAGCCACAGCCCGTGCCTGCTTCATGGGACATGCCTTTTGTCTGTGTGTGGAATATGACATTGACAGTAAGTCTGAACCTTTCCCTCCTGGCTATCATACCTCCACCTTTTGCCAATGAATAAACTATCTGTAACTGGCATCTAGGGGGTAATAATTATTTATTGGAAAAATGAATCAAAAAATGATTTGGCTCAAATCTATGGCTGTCTTTTATGGAAACATTGTTGGGCTACAGTTACAAAGGGTCACCTCTGTTACAAATGCCAAGGGGGCTCTGCTTGTTGCTGTCCATGTCATTGACCCTGCTCTTGGTTTTTCTCTGCCCTCCTTCACATAATCTCAGGGTGCCCACATTATCTAAGGATGGGAATCTCAAGGCTAAGCACAACGCAGAGCTTCCTTATGGAGCTAGGCACAGCCTGGCCTATGACACACAGGGTTGGCTTCTCAGTTTCTAGTAGCTTCCACTAGGAGCAAGGCAGGCACTTTCTCTAGCCTTGGGGCTGATTTCTAGATTCAATTTATTAGCTCAAGTTTGAGTTCCATTCCCAGGTGGAGTACTAAAATCCCCAGTTAGCTGTCACGCCCAGCGTTTCCTCAACTGGGCTTTTGCCCTAAGTACCCAGACACCCTCTCCTTGGCTCTCTAAAGTGTTGTTGTTTTTTTTTTTTTTTTTTTTTTTTTAATGAGACAGAGTCTCGCTCTGTCACCCAGGCTAGAGTGCAGTGGCGAGATCTTGGCTCACTGCAACCTCCACCTCCCAGCTTCAAGCAATTCTCCTGCCTCAGCCTCCTGAGTAGCTGGGATTACAGGTGCCTGCCACCACACCTGCCTCATTTTTTTGTATTATTAGTAGAGATGGGGTTTCACTGTGTTGGCCAGGCTGGTCTTGAACTCCTGACCTCAGGTGATCCACCCACCTCGGCCTCCCAAAGTGCTGGGATTACAGGCATGAGCCACTGTACCCAGCCTAAAGTGGCTATCTTCTAATCCATCCTGTCAACTTCTTCCTAGTCCAACTTTAAGTCTCTAAGCTGTCTGTTCCTTCTAGTTTCTGATTAGCCAGAGTTCAGCCAAACGAAAATATGTTTTGATGTTTTGTATGCTCACTGCACACCTGGGTACTTACTAGGCAACGTGAATAAGAGGACACACATTTGCTCCCTCAGTTTATACCAATCACGAGTGCAAGCAAAACAGCTGAGAAGAGAGGGCGGTTACTCCTCTGGCTGATGACCCTTTCCACCTCCGGGACACAGGTGTGTATAGCATCTGCTCTCCCAACCACCATCCCAACCAGCATCCCGTCTTGCTCCCTCTAATCCTTCACAAACTCTCCAGCAGTTGTTTCTTTTTGTTTTGTTTTGTTTTTCTGAGACAGAATTTCACTCTGTCACTAGGCTGGAGTGCAGTGGTGCGATCTCGGCTCCCTGCAATCTCCGCCCCCGGGATTCAAGTGATTCTCCTGCCTCAGCCTCCCAAGTAGCTGGGACTACAGGTGCATGCCACCACGCCCAGGTAAATTTTTTTGTATTTTTAGTAGAGACGGGGTTTCACCATGTTGGCCAGGATGGTCTCAATCTCTTGACCTCGTGATCCACCTGCCTCAACCTCCCAAAGTGCTGGGATTACAGGGGTGAGCCACCACACCCGGCCCAGCAGTTGTTTTTCTAAAACACAAATAGGCCAGGTGCAGTGGCTCACGCCTGTAATCCCGGCACTTTGGGAGACTGAGATGGGAGCTTCGCTTGAACCCAAAAGTTCGAGACCAGCCTGGCCAACATCCTGTCTCTACAAAAAAAAAAAAAATTAAATTTTTACACAGCTGTGCTCTCAGCTAATTGGGAGGTTGAAGCAGGAGGATTGCTTTAGCCTGGGAGGTTGAGGCTTCAGTGAGCCTTGATCATGCCACTGTACTCCAGCCTGGGTGACAGTGAGACCCTGTCTCAAAATAAAACACAATGTGAATGGCCCACTTAAAATCCTTCTGTGGCTTCCCACTGCTTACAGAAAACTCTTCCACAGTAGGATCCTGTCCCATCTCTTTCCTTTTCAGGCTCATTTGCCTCCACCCCGTTTGCTCTACTTCAAGCACACCACCAACGCACATGGCATCCAAACTCACTCGCTCCTGGAATACCTTTCCCCAGCTGTTGAACTGCTGAAGACCTCAAACAGAACTTCCCCTGAGAAGCCTCTTCTGCCCCTTTGGTCAGGCAGACATGTGTCAGGCACCATGTCAGCTGCACAGGAAGGATGCCGTACCTGGCAGCTCACCATTCAGCCTCTTTTACCACAGCCCTCAGCATGCTATGCAGTCATTCTCCATTCATGTGGCCACCTCTCTCTCCTAAGGGAGGGTGTGAGTTTTGAAAAGACATTCTTCTCAGCATAGAGCAGGTACACAGTAAACACAGAAGAGATGTGCACATGTAACGGACTACAGCAGGAGATACACTTAAAACAGGGCACATGCTGGGCACAGTGGCTCACGCCTGTAACCTCAGCACTTTGGGAGCCCAAGGCGGGAGGACTGCTTGAAGCCAGGAGTTCCAAACCAACCTGGGCAACTTAGCAAGCTCCTATCTCTACAAAAAATTAAAAAATTAGCCAAGTGTAGTGGCAGACACCTGTGGTCCCAGCTACTTGGGAGGCTGAGGTGGATCATTTGAGCCTAAGAGTTTGAGGTCATAGTAAGCTATGATTGTGACACTGCACTCCAACCTGGGTGACAGAGTGAGACCCTGTCTCTAAAAATGAAAAACAAAACAGGCTACCTGGTGAGTAGCATAACTCATGGTGGGGTAGAAATCAAGGCCAACATAATATTTCTGTAATGACTCTGCTGCTTTTAGGTTGGGTTAGGCAATATCCTCTTGCTAAGATTAGTATCGACTCTGAGAAATACTTTATTCAGTTGTAAAGTCCCAGTTAAATTCCTTTGCACAACTGGAGAAATAAAGCCTTTGATTAAAAACTAAAATTTCCCCAGCCCTCTAAAAAGGGATGGGGGAGGGGAGCAGGTGGAGAGGAATATCTGATCTGTCATATTCTTTAGTCAGAGCCATAAACGTGTTTGGGTGAGACAATCTGATCTTCTGATAACGTTGATAAAAGTCACTTGAAGATTGGGTCACAGGAAGCCCAAGATAAATGCTGAGAGGAAACAGGTTCTTTTTGAAGTAGCCTCTTCGTAATCATTTTCCCACACATTTGTTCAACTTCCGAAAAAGGACTGAATACCTGATTTGCTTTGCAAATGAAACAGCTTAAGACAGAGAAATTGAGATAATAATTAATAAATGTGTTTGGAAGGCTCCTCCAGCTCGCTTTAAGTTCAGGCTGTGGCTTCAGAACTGTGTTAACTCCTTCTGTAAAGGCACAGGCTAACGGTGGTCTTCAGTGATTTTTACTCTACCTTGTTTTAAAAATGGATTCAAAGTGATTTATTGGAAAAGATTAAGACAGAAAATAACATTATTAGGACCAAAGCAGAAAGGGAGTAGGAGGAAATGATGATCCAGAGAAAAATAAGACTATAAGCAGGTCATCAGATATTATAGTCCTATCAGCAAAAGCACAGTGGAAAACGCATTATTTTACTTCACTCTTTTTATATATGCGGGGAGAAAATAGTCTGATATAATAATCTGGTACTTAGCTTTAAAAGAAATTTCTCGAGAATCTTCACAAGATGATAGGATGGACAATGTCTTCAGCAGCATCCCGACAACACAGGCAGTAACAGACGCGTTTGTAAGGGAGTGGCTCAGTGGTATCGCTTGATGAAACTGGACACCATAGCTCCAGAACTCAATTGCAGAAGAGGGGCAAAGGGGGAAAAGGCAGCACGATTTATTATCTTGTACATGCCAGGGCAGGCCTTTAATTTTGTCTTCATGTTCTACACACAGGTAAGAGTTTTACATAAGCTGGAAGTGGGGGAGAGGAAGACCCCTGGAATGACCAGAGGAGTTTCCACCCCTACAAAAAACACATTTTAAAAAAGCCACTTGACGCCAGGTGCAGTGGCTCACGCCTGTAATCCCAGCGCTTTGGGAAGCTGAGGCAGGCAGATCACGAGGTCAGAAGTTTGAAACCAGCCTGGCCAATATGGTGAAACCCTATCTCTACTAAAAATACAAAAATTAGCCGAGCATGGTGTTGCGTCTGTAGTACCAGCTACTTGGCAGGCTGAGGCCGGAGAATCGCTTGAACTCGGGAGGCAGAGGTTGCAGTGAGCTGAGATTGCGCCACTGCACTCCAGCCTGGGCAACAGAGTGAGACTCTGTCTCAAAAAATAAAAAGTAAAAATAAAAAATTATCCAGGTGTGAGGGCATGCACCTGTAGTCCTAGTTACTCAGGAGGCTGAGGCAGAAGGATTGCTTGAACCCAGGAGTTCAAGGGGGCAGTGAGCTATGAACGCACCACTGCACTCACGCCTGGGCAATAGAGCAAAACCCTGTCTTTAAAAACAAAGTCATTTGAGACACAAAATTACAGCTAGATAGAAGGTCTAGTGTTTTTATAGCACTGTAGAATGACTATAGTAAACAACAACATTTTCAAATAGCTAGAAAAGAAAATACTGAGTGTTCACAAGGACATAATGTCTGAGAAGATGTATATGCTAATTACCCTGATCTGATCATCATGTATTTTATCAAAACATCACGATATATCTCATAATATAATTATGTGTCAATTAAAAAATAAAAATTTCAGGCCGGGCGCGGTGGCTCATGCCTGTAATCCTAGCACTCTGGGAGGCCGAGGCAGGCGGATCACAAGGTCAGGAGATCAAGACCATCTTGGCTAACACGGTGAAACCCCGTCTCTACTAAAAATACAAAAAATTAGCCGGGCGTGGTGGCACATGCCTATAGTCCCAGCTACTCGGGAGGCTGAGGCAGGAGAATGGCGTGAACCCAGGAGGCGGAGCTTGCAGTGAGCTGAAATCGTGCCACTGCACTCCAGCCTGGGCAACAGATCAAGACTCTAAAAAAAAATAAAAACAAAAATAAAAATTTAAAGTCCTTTGAAACTTGTTGACAAATCAAAATTTCTCATTTTCTACTTTGAAGTTCTTAAGCCTGCCAGTCACAGTGCCTGGTAATCAATGTTTGTCAAAAGAACATGATTAACAATAACCCAAGTAATGTTATTGTCTTGGAGATACTTCAAGCTTCTGAATGAGATCATGGCACTGTTACCACTAAGTAATGGTACCTTTCATAGAATACATTCTACATACACACTTCCTTAAGTTATGACCTGAGAATTGGTTTCTGTTCTCAAACACATAATGAAAAGGATAACAAAATTCAGATAGAAGTATTTTTGGGGCTAGGCACAGTGGCTCACACCTGTAATTCCAGCACTCTGGGAGGCCGAGGTGGGTGGATCACCTGAGGTTGGGAGTTCGAGACGAGCCTGACCAACATGGAGAAACACCGTCTCTACTAAAAATACAAAGTTAGCCAAGCATGATGGTGCATGCCTGTAGTCCCAGCTACTCTGAAGGCTGAGGCAGGAGAATCACTTGAACTTGGGGGGCGGAGATTGCAGTGAGCTGAGATCGTGCCATTGCACTCCATCCTGGCCAACAAGAGCCAAACTCCATCTCAAAAAAAAAAAAGTATTTTTGGTGAAAAATACAGTTTATCAATGAGAAGAAGCACATTTAAAAACATTTCTCCAGCTGGGCACAGTAGCTCAGGCCTGTAATCCCAGCACTTTGGGAGGCTGAGGCGGGTGGATCACCTGAGGTCAGGAGTTCGAGACCAGCCTGAACAACATGGTGAAATTCCATCTCTACTAAAAATACAAAATTAGCCAGGCATGGTGGTGCATGCCTGTAATCCCAGCTACTCAGGAGGCTGAGGCAGGAGAATTGCTTGAATCCAGGAGGTGGAGGTTGCAGTGAGCTAAGACTGTGCCACTGCACTCCAGCCCGGGCAACAAGAGCAAAACTCTGTCTCAAAAAATAAGATAAATAAAATAAAATAATAAATAAAATAAAATAAAATAAAATAAAATTTAAAATAAAATAAAATAAAATTTAATTAAAAAAAAAGTTTCTCCAAAGAATCAAACTAAATGTCCATCAATGACAGATTGGATGAAGAAAATGTGGTACATATACACCATGGAATATTATGCAGCCATAAAAATGAATGAGATCATGTCTTTTGTGGGAACATGGATAGAGCTAGAGGCTATTATCCTTAGCAAACTAACATAGGAACAGAAAACCAAATACCGCATGTTGTCACTTATAAGTGGGAGCCAAATGATAAGATCTTATGAACACGAAGAAGGAAACAACAGACACTGGAGTCTACTTGAGGGGAGAGGATGAGAGAAGGGAGAAGAGCAGAAAAGATAACTATTGGGTATTGGGCTTAATACCTGGGTGATGAAATAATCTGTACAACAAAACCCCATGAGATGTGTTTACCTATGTAACAAACCTTCACATGTACCGCCAAACCTAAAAGTTTAAAGATGTAAATAACATCTCTCCCAGATTTGCTTCATGATTTCTGCTTAAAAGACCCACAACATTAAGCGTTTCTGGGTGTGAAACTACACAGGCCTCTCTTAACCACAAATTGAGATGCCAAGCACAAAGAACCTGCTCATTAATATCAGGGTGGAAGTAACCACAAAGATAGTTGAGAAAAGCAGCAGACCACTACTACAGGCATTAGGTAAAAGATTTTTATTCTTATTTAACCATGCTGCATGTATACATACAATACCAATATATACAACTTGAACAAATACAATTTATACATAAAATACAATGAAAGCATGGCTTTTGAAACTGATGCAACAAACTGTAATTTGTAATTTTGGCCAGCATACAGTATTATAGTAATGCTACTGAAGTTATTCATTAAATTAGTCAGACTACAGTATAAGTTCAAAGGCACTAGAAACATCTATGTTTTCTTCTAGTATTTTTAAGAACAAAAAATAATTTAAAATAAAACAAATGTATACATTAGGAAATTGGGCAGACATTGGTGTACTTAAATGTAAACGCTACCCATTCCTTAATTCACAGCCCTGTAGGAAAGAAGACTTTCCTTAAGAGTTAAGGGGAAGGATATTAAAAACAGACTAAAAGGAAACAAACAAAACAAAAAACAACCAAAAACCATAATCATAGTTTTAAAAACATGTTACAGAGGAAGTAGCACCACCCCCTCCCCCAATAAAACCTTAAATTTTTGCTGTAAAAAGAAAAAAAAAACAACTCCCTTTCTCCAGAAAGGAAATGAAATGGCTTGTCAAATGGATTCTATTCATGGGGCAAACATGGAGATGCGACCCTTCCCTTGATTACTCATCTCATGCTTTATAAGAATCTAAACACAAATAGGAAACACGATGATAATTTTAACATCCTATTAGTATATGTAATTGTAAGGATTATTAAAGAAGATACTATAAACCAATAATTCTACCAATGCTCCTTTTAATAAATAAATATCACTTTTTAAATTAAAGGGAAAAGAGAATACCCATTCAATAACCTATTTATATATATGTGCCACTCATTTTAAATCTGCATATTTATTTCAAAAAATGAGCAAGTGTGTTCATCTATATCGTCTCACGAAATTAACACTGACCTTACAACATATTTCATTTGTGGACAAAGACACAGTAAATGTGAGGAAACTACAGAATTGCTATGACTGGAGCTAAATGAATAGCTCTGAAGTCAGTGTCCCATATTTGCATATAGATATTCAGACCAGGCTTGAGGCCAGGCGTGGTGGCTCACACCTGTAATCCCAGCACTTTGGGAGGCTGAGGCGGGCGGATCACAAAGTCAGGTGAGACCAGCCTGGCCAACATGGTGAAACCCGGTCTCTACTAAAAAAAAAATACAAAAATTAGCTGGGTGTGGTGGCGCAAACCTGTAATCCCAGCTACTCAAGAGGCTGAGGCAGGAGAATCCCTTGAACCCAGGAGGCAGAGGTTGCAGTGAGCCGAGATCGCGCCACTGCACTCCAGCCTGGGCGACAGAGTAAGACTCCGTCTCAAAAAAAAAAAAAAGATATTCAGGCCAGGCTTATGTATCAAATTTTGGTATTTCTGAGATGGATATTTAATGTCCATCTGGTATAATCAGTTTTAACATAATGCTTTTTTTAAAAAACTGCTATAGTAGGCGGGGTGTGGTGGCTCAGGCCTATAATCATGCCTGTAATCCCAGCACTTCGGGAGCCTGAGGCGGGTGGATCACTTAAGCTCTAGGAGTTCAAGACAGGCCCGGGCAACATGGCAAAACCCCATCTCTACAAAAAAATACAAAAATTAGCCGAGCATGATGGCATACAGCTGTAGTTCCAGCAACTCAGGAGGCTGAAGAGACAGAGGTTACAGTGAGCCGAGATTGTCCCACTGCACTCCAGCCTAGGTAATAGAGCCAGACTCCGTCTCCAAACAAAAAACAAACACCCCTGCTATAGTAGCCTGCTTTTAGAACTTCTCAATTGACTTTTTATAGATCGGCTTTTTATTTTGACTTTTTATAGATTTATTTTTATTATCATGGTAGGGTGGGATAGAAAAAATATCTAACATACTGGCTTAAATTTCCATGTTTTAAAGCTTGATTTAAAAGTTACTCCTTTCCTATTAACTGAATTGTTAAAGGTTAGAAACATGAACTTTTAAAAAGAAGCGTTTTTTTTAAACTGGTAAAATTAAGATTTCTTTAGAGTAATTACTAACAGAGTTAAATGTGTATCATCAAAAACATTTTATAATTACCAAAATATTCTGATCACACAAAGCTTTTACAAGACACATATTTACCTCAACTCTTCACAGTATCTAAACAATGCCCCACAGAGTTAAGTAATAAATTTCTAGCTATCTTACATACCACAAACAAATGCAGCCAGTGAAATGCAATTCTAATCACCTAGAAAATGTTCACCACACACAGGACATTCAGTATTCCAATTACAGAATGGACTTTAAATTTATGGGTACATTTTTATCGCCACCTCAAGAGTACTCCACCTTCACTCACCCCTACTCTATACACAGCTTTGTCATTTAAACTAGGATTTAACAAAACTTATTAAAATAATATTAATTTAATAAATACTAACTTATAAAGTCTCAAAATATTTTCAACCAATGTGTTTCAGGGCTGATTACATAATTTTGAAAACCACAAAACATATATTAAGTGGTTTAGGAGTAGCATAACTTTATTTTTATTTTATTTTTATTTTTTGAGGTGGAGTGTCACCCTGTCACCCAGGCTGGAGTGCAGTGATGCCATCTCAGCTCACTGCAACCTCCGCCTCCCAGGTTCAAGTGATTCTCCTGCCTCAGCCTCCCAAGTAGCTGGGATTACAGGTGTGCGCCACCACACCCAGCTAATTATTGTATTTGTACTGGAGACAGGGTTTCACCATGTTAGCCAGGCTGGTCTCGAACTCCTGACATCAAGTGATCCACGTGCCTCGGCCTCCCAAAGTGCTGGGATTACAGGCGTGAGCCACCATGCCCGGCCAGGAGTAGCATAACTTTAAAAAAATACAATAAAAGTTTCATAAGCAGCTAACAACAGAAAAAAATAATTATCTCTATTACAACTTACTTTACTATGAAATCAACATAGTTTTTATTTGTAGAGGAATATGGTCTAACTGGATTACCCAATAGAAGAAATTCAGAAAATAATATTTTATTTTTAAAATAGAAAAACAAAATAAAAAAGTGTTTTAAAGGCAAAGTATTTAAAAGATATTTTTCTTGCTTAGCTGTATTTTCTGGAAAATGGAGACTCTTCTTAACTGGGAGACATAAAGTAATTCCCACCAAAATTTAGAACTCAAAGAAAAGCATCCATAACACTTCAGAGTGAATTTTTAAAAATATACACGCAGGCAAAGATAACTGAGCAGTATTTAGCTTCTTAATTTTCCGCAACAGTAGATCCTTTATATTTACGTACAATTCAATGTTTCAAGAGAACATGAAACCAGAACTTAAGGTGTATTTGATTTGAACTCAAACTGGCAAAAAAAAGTTAGGAAAGGTTCAGATGAAACATTTTCAACTTGTTAAAAAACATGTATACTCGCAAAGACTGTTAAATTATAACATTTTCTACAAAACATTCATAAGATCAGTCATCTCATACTTAAAATGCAACAAATGTTAGACAATTAGAATGTGTTCAAACAGGCTGGGTGGGTGTTAGGACGGAATCATTCTTTAGATGTACAGTCCAAACATTCATATATAACAGCGCAACATAGGACAATCTGATCTGCTTCTTTCTATGTGCAAAACAGGACACAGTTTTTTTTTTTCTATTTTGAAATTCTAGTTACCTAAATATACAGTAGTTGGATAAATAGCTAATCGATTTACACATACATCTAAACTGTAACTCTCTATAGTATGAACTGTTCCCCCAACTTCCCTGCACAGTACAATTGAAGAGTAGTAGTACAACAATTTGAACAATCACCAGTTGTACAATTTTAATGTTATATTAATATATGTAGACTAAAAGTTCTTAAGCAAATTATTATTTCCAGTCTTATTCATTGATCTACAACTTCCATTAATTGAAATTATAGAGAAGTCTTCACTGTTTTAATTAAAGATTTTGTCCAGGCATGAGAATATCACTAATTTTTATTGTGACTTTAAGTCTGTAACATTTACTGCAGTAAAGAGTCAATTACAGTTTCAGGCTTTGCAGAACGCTTTCTGTTTGGAGAAGAAAAAAAGCAATCATGAATGCTTTCCTAAAAGACTGAAATGCAAACATTTAACATTATATAGAAACTATGGGGTGGCCTGTATAGTCTGGAAACAAGCCAAAATTTGACACGTTTGACCATGGTAAGTGTTCAATTAATGCTCGCCTTTTCAGGCTACGGGAAGCTAACTTAAAGTAAATGCAAGAGGATGGCAGCCCACCCCATTATGCCAGATAGTGAAGGATAGGACAGGTGATAATTTCCAAGACTAGACTAGGTCATGTGGCCAGGCCAAGTGAGCTGCATGCTTGCCAGATTTGAACTTCCTGATTATCTCTTCTGAGGTACTCAAAAGGTGCAAGTGGATTCAGAGGAAATCAGAAACAAATCATCTCAGGCAATACCTGATGCATATGTAGGGACTTATGGAAATGCTACATTAATGTATTATATTTATTGCAATTTTGCCTAGCCCATCTAACTATGTGTTTCTAACAAGGAACATCACATTGAACATATCATATAATGTAACATAGCATCAATAAACCATTTAATGCATGTATTTGTCCATGTTTATGGCTACCATTTTCTTAGGGTTTCCATGGTTATAGCAGGCCAATTCCAGTATACAGAGATGGTGAGTTTGGCTCATATAATGTTGGGCCACACGATTTTTTTAATGTTAAACTAAAAAAATGACGTATCTTAAAATGGATGTTCTGGAAAACGTATTCAAATATCATATTATTTATTCATTTGCTTTAGGGTCCATATAGTTAAAAAAAAAAAAAGTAAAATTGACAGATCTCAAGTAAATAATTCGAATTTCTGGCTTTTCCTTAGAAAAGAGAAGATCCAGGCCAGGCACGGTGGCTCATGCCTGTAATCATAACACTCTGGGAGGCTGAGGTGGGCAGATCACCTGAAGTCAGGGGTTCGAGACCAGCCTGGCCAACAGGGCAAAACCCCATCTCTAGTAAAAATACTAAAATTAACTGGGCATGGTGGCAGGTGCCAGTAATCCCAGCTACTCAGGGCACTCCAGCCTGGGCAACAGAGTGAGACTCCATCTCAAAAAAAAGAAAAGAAAAGAAAACAGAAGATCCAGAAACAATGAGCCCTCTATTTCCATAGATAACTAGGAAGAGAATAGCAGCCACTCACTTTAGACAGGACTGCTCACCACTGCCAATTTTTCTCCTACGCTGGGGACAAATGTCTTACCATTTATCATCACACTTGCACTGTCATTTTATTAAAAATGGAAAAAAAGATACATCTAAAGGGACTCATGTTTCTTAGAACTGATTTGCTTCACTACAATATGCTTGGCATGTGTTGGTATAGGAAAGTTTTTAACCCCTCACCTAAATGCTAAAGAATGTAAAAATTTGTACATTTTTAATATTCAACTGTTTGCCCAACCCTGAGTTCAACCATCCCAAATTTATAAGTGTTAAGTCATGTCTATGAGATTATGTAACACAAAGATATCAAAACCGTACAACTTCATCCCACATGTAACTTGAAAGTCCATGCACTCAAAGTAGGGAAAAAAGCAGCTTATTATTTCCTACATTTTAGGAGCCCCAGAGTCTTAAAATCAGCTTAAATAAACTGAACAGTCCTTGATGTAGGAAAGGGAAAGGAAAAAAAAATAAGCTCCAGCCCAGGACTCCCATATCCCGATTTCCCTGAGCTTATGTGATGATACACGCAGACTACCCAACAGTCAAAACCAGTGCCCAAAGGAGAGGGGGAAATGTCCAAGGAAGTTCTCCTTAGCTGGTGACTGAGGAAATCAAGGTTCTTGGGGCACCTGACAGAAAAACTAACCAGCTGAATACAATACCTTGGGAGACCAAACAGGCAAATTAATTAGCATTTCATAAGAAGAATTAGTCTAAGAATTAAGGAATTAAACCCATTATACATTTGGAAATAACAGAGTGAATTAAAAATAAATTCTATTACTCAGAAGCCTAAGAAGTTGGAAGACCTTAATTCTTTGGCCAGATTTTATTTACTCAAATTCTAATACATAAGGAATTTGATTTTTTTTTTTTTTTTTTGAGACCAAGTCTTGCTCTGTCACCCAGGCTGAAGTTCAGTGGCATGATCTCATGATCTCGGCTAACTGCAACCTCCGGCTCCTGGGTTCAAGCGATTCTCATGCCTCAGCCTCCCCAGTAGCTGGGATTACAGGCATGCGCCACCATGCCTGGTTAACTTTTGTATTTTTAGTAGAGACAGCGTTTCACTATGTTAGCCAGGCTGGTCTCAAACTCCTGACCTCAAATGATCCACCTGCCTCGGCCTCCCAAAATGCTGGGATTACAGGCGTGAGCCACTGTGCCCAGCCAGGAATTTGATTTTTAATAAATCAGCCAAAATATGTATCATGTTTTAACTAAATAAATTTTAACTTCCTGTACATGTATCTAATTAGAATACCTCAATGCCTTCGTTTTACCAGATTCAAGGACAGTCCTTACCTTCTCCCTGTCTTTGGCCTTGCTTTCCCCTTTGAAGTTCGTGGTCTTTCTAGTTTCATCAAAGACTGACGCAGACTCTCCTCAGTATAGGCAAGATACACGTGAGAAAGGTCCACCTCAAAGGGCTAAGTAAAAGAAACAAACACAAAGCACTCTTAAGGCAAAGAGTTAAAGCCAGATTTGGGGGAAGATTTAAAATACTGAATAAACTCCTTGATCAAACCCACAGAAGCTAAAACCAAAGAAATGTCTAATGACATCATCTTCTAATCCCAGTATCTAAAATGTACTTAATAAAGGTTGGTGAGTAAGAAGCCCTGACACACTATAAATTTCCTTGGACATAAAAACTGTTGCTGTTTTTCTTAAAGCTGCCCCCTCTTCTTCTTCTTTTTTTTTTTTTTTTGAGACGGAGTCTCACTCTGTCGCCCAGGCTGGAGTGCAGTAGCGCGATCTGGGCTCACTGCAAGCTCCACCTCCTGGGTTCACGCCATTCTCCTGCCTCAGCCTCCTGAGTAGCTGGGACTACAGGCACCCGCCACCACGCCCGGCTAATTTTTTTTGTATTTTTTTAGTAGAGACGGGGTTTCACTGTGTTAGCCAGGATGGTCTTGATCTCCTGACCTCGTGATCCACCCGCCTCGGCCTCCCAAAGTGCTGGGATTACAGGCGTGAGCCACCACGCCCGGCCCGCTCCCTCTTCTTCTTGACCTAGGACTAGAACTAGCTTTGAAGAGAAAGAAAGACACATTCTAGTCTCCACCCATAATCCTACGACCCAGAGTGGTAGTGAAAAGAGGACTCCAAAGAGTGAGTCCATGCCCCTCTTGTGGTGGGAATAAGCCTGACATCAAGACTGATGGTAAGCAGAACTGTCCTCCTCATCACCCCATCCTAGAGCCTTTATTCCCAAAAGTATCAGCCCATTTTTCAGCAGAGCTGATTAACAGATATCAAGTTGATAATACAATTTAATGACTCATATTCCTATAAAGAAACAACAGTAGTTTTGTGTTTTGTTTTGTTTTTTTTTAAGTACTCTTACATCTTTCTCCTTTTTATCAGGTACTGGGGTTTGCTTCCTCATGTTATTTCCTGTATAAGCAACACATTTCTCAAAAAAAGAAAAGGGAGAGACAGAGAAATGTCTTAATTAGTAATCAATACTGTGAGTTAGGCAAATAACTGAGAAATCCTAACATTACACTAGTAAAACATGATTTGAATGCTAGAGCAGAAAGGGCCCCAGAGGTCACTTAGTCCCACATAGCCCCTAACTCTGACCATTTCCACCCAGACCATGATCTGTATGTTACAATTAATTACATGGAATTAGAAAAATATTTTATCTGCCCTACTGGATTCTCATCTGATTCATCTACTGGACCATGTTCCTCCCCACTGTAGCCAGCACAATTTCTAGACCATAGGAAGTACTCTTTAATTATTACGTGAAAGAATGAAGGTAATACTCACTAGCTGCCATTCTCCTATGTCTTCATTCCAATGGACATAGTTTTCAATCATTTCCTTTTAAAAGGGTGAAAGATAGCCTATTTTTAATATTTAATAACATCTAAAATATTGAAGTCATAAAACTAAAATCTTAATAACATTGAGTAATAAAAGTCTCAAAACATTATATACTGATATAACCTTTTTATAAATTCTAAAATACATATTTCTTAGGAATGCATGCAGATGAAATAAAACTAAATGAAAATGAAAAAACAACAGAATGAGAAACTTGGGAATCAAGATAATGATTACCTTGGGTTGGAAGAGGCAAAGGAATGAAATAAGGGAAGGGGAAACTGGTTAGAAGTAGTTATTATCAGGGTCCTAGATATTGTTTTGGGTGATGAGTTCATTACAAAATAACTAAATAAAAGCAGGCCATCCAAGGACCAATAAGGAGAATGTACCATGAACCCAGGACTAATTCCATGTACCTGAGGTCCAAAAAAAAAAAAAATGACTAAGACTTATTTTCAGACAAATTTCTTAAAACTGTATTGAGATTCAAAACAGATTTTTAAAAAATTGGCCAGGCATGGTGGTTAACACCTGTAATCCCATCATTTTGGGAGGCCAAAACGGGCAGATCAACCTGAGCTCAGGAACTCAAGACCAGCCTGGCCAACATGGCTAAACCCCATCTCTACTAAATATACAAAAATTAGCTGGGTGTGGTGGTACACGCCTGTAATCCCAGCTACTCGGGAGGCAGAGGCATGAGAATCACTTGAACCCGGGAAGTGAAGGTTGCAGGGAGCCGAGATTGCACCACTGCACTCCAGCCTGGGCAACAAAGTGACTCTGTCTCCCTGACAAAAAAAAAAAAAAAAAAAATCATGTTAAAGTTTACCAAAATGCACTGGAAAGACAAATTTTGGATTAAAAAAAATAGAGGCTGAGATTTTAAAATTATACTAGTACTAAGAATTAGCATCCATCTGGAGATGAATGATGGTACAGGTTGCACAACAATGTGAATGTCCTAAATGCCATTGAACTGCACACTTAAAATAGCTAAGATGGTAAATTTCATGTTATCTATATTTTACCATATACACACACACACACAAAGAATCAGCACCCACAGCAGGGAGAAAAAGGCAGCACAGAGGTTCCATTTATTCTACTTGTATGATAATGGGCGCTGAATGAAGGAATGGGACCTACACCTTGATTCTGATCACATATACATGAATCTGAGTTCGTCTAAAAGGCTAGATACTCAAACAGAGATTATGTATTAAAAGTTAACAACTAAAGTGAAATGTGATGGCATTTGTTCAAAAAATTGTACATTCAATAACTGAAGTATTAAGTATTTATCATCAGTTAAATTAGAAATCTTTGTTCCTTAATCCCAGTCAAGCGACTATCTCGGTCAGAGAACTTCCTTTTTACCTGATAATCCCGAGGTATAAAGTTATCAATAATAAGCATCTGAAGTCGAAGCTCCCGGCTAAGTTGCCGAATGTTCTCCAGTAGGCCTTCAATTTCCCTCTGATGTTCTTGTTGGAGATCAGCCATCTACCAGAAAATCCATAAAAATATTATGAACAAACAAGACTTTAACTACAAAACAGCACCATCTCACATAGGATGCTTGTCTAAGAAACCTTGTGAGAGCTTACCTAGTTCTTTTATAAAAATGATAAACAGCGTGACACTATCAGCATCTATTCTACACTATTTGTTAAGGTTGAAAAGAAACAATTTAGACTAATAGATAAAATTAAAAATTGCACATAAAGAAATATTTTATTTCTTTTAAATTATAAGCTCACATTATGATTATTTATAAATTCTTAATCAAAGAACTCCCTTTTAAAAAATCCAGAACTGCATTAGTAGGTAATTTCTAAGAGAACCAACCTCTGACTTTGCAGCCATCAGCATAGTCCAAACTTTCTTTAACTTCTTGGTCTTTCCCTGTGCTTCCTCTTGCAAACTGGTATATTTTTCTTCAATATCCAAGCGTTCTTGCTATGACAAAAATTAGTAAACTTCAGAATAAATTTCTTTGTAAAATCAAATATCTAATTCTTTAACAAATGACATAAATGTTTAGCAAATCTGATCTTCAAAGCAATCCATAAATATGCTTTAAAATTTCAATACGATTATAGATATTTAGCTTTCCACTAGAAAAGTTAAATCTCTCTGGCAAAATACCAAACTAAAAACAGAAAGTCACATTACCTCTTTTTCCTCAAGTTCTCTGCGAAGTTGCTCTGCTCTTTTCCTCCTTTCTTCCAGTTCCATGTTAGATTCTTCAAGAAGTTTCTCTTGTTCCTCAGCTTTGGCCAACAAGTCAACCCCACCAACAATTACCTTCTTTTCCAGGGCAGATAATTTTTCCAGCAAAGACTGATGCTCTTGTCTGTTGATTAGAATGAGAATACTCTATATTCACTGATGATCTATTATTCTACTAATATCATTTCCCAAAATTTAAAATTTGGATATACAATTTCAAAATAGAAATATAATTATGTAACATCTCTGCCAAATTACACCACTGTGTAGTATCGATTTCTAACTTAATTTATAACTCATTCTAATTCATTGATATGTTTTCCTATCACACGGAAATAAAATAACCAAAATAGATCTAGTTTTTAGAAATACACTATATACAATGGACCCTTCTATCCAAAATAGCTACACTGGAGACAAAAATCCAAGCTTTTAATTACTATTCAATTTTCCTATTTTATATATCCTAGGAAAAAACAGAAATTTAAATCATGAATTCATCTCAATTCAATAATACTCACTGGGCTTTAAGAAGATCTTTTTCCCGTTTCTCTAATTCAGCTCTAGCCTTGTTTCTTTCTTCTTCTTCCATGTCGAGCTTTGTTTCAAGTGCTTTTCTCTCCTCATCAATTTTTGCTTGCATTTCAATCATCTTGTCTGGGGAGACTTTCTTTTTTCCTATTTGAATCATTTAATTGCAACAATCACTAAAATGAATCAATGTTTCAGACTTATATAAATTACCTCCTTCAATATAGAAATGCCTACACTCCTCAATAATACAAAACCAATTATCAATATTTTAAGGAAATCAAACCAATAATATCATGCATTTCCATTTATTATGCTCCTAGAACTTTATAACTCATTGCTAAATTCAAACTGTTGTCCAATTGTACAATGATAACTAAGAACAAAAGCGAAAGAGAAGCAAAATAGATGAGCTAAATAATAGGAAAAGAAAGATTAACAGGAAAGCCAAATTAAAAAATATATATGTCCCCAGATAACAAATATAGGTTAAAAAAAAAGCAACATGATTCTTCAGTTACTTTTTCCTGATAACCAAGTATAAAATCAAGCGACTCCTTAAAATATCTTCCCCAAGTTCACATAAAACAAGTGAATAAAAGTCATATATAGGTATAAAATGCACAGATGAAAATATCAGGCAGAATTTACATCAAGTAGTTTTAATATATTTTTCAGAGTTTTTCTAAAATTTTTGTTTAATAACATTAAAGTATTTTATTTCACAGCATACTTTTAAAGGAAAAAATTCTATACTATGTAATTATGTAACAGTTACATACACAGTAATTAACCAAGCATTTCACAGTTGCTGAGCTGTCAAGATATATCATCATACACTAAAGGAACAACTAAAATAGCTTGTTATTATGTCAAACTCAGGACCCGAAGGCTCCCTAAGTCAGAGTAAACATGCCAAGTGTCAAATATAAGTAGAAATACTACCAAATAATAAAGCTGGAATATGGCTTCCAATTGATTATTTTTGCTAATAATGTCTAATAAAGTATTTTACATACATGTAATAGGTGCTCAAAGAAAGTTTATTAATGAATTTCAAAATAACAAAATCCAAATGAAAAAGAGAAAATAAAACTAGCTTATTAAACTGGTGATGAAACTGAATCAAAGACAATTCATTTCTGGTCATACAGTTTCTTAGAAACATACATTCCTTCAGAAAACCAATAACACTTTTCACAGAATTGGTCTGAGGCTCTCCTAGAACCTTTCCGTCATTCTTAACTTCCTTCCCAAAGAACTACAGAAGAAGAGTGTAAATCATAAGAGTGTATAAATTGTTAATGTCTCCACCCAAAAGCTAACCCCCACCACCTAACAAGGAAAAAGAACTGAAAAATAATTATGATGGAGATATATAACTGAGTATATTTTTTCAGGAACTATGAAATGAAGAATCATTAATAGGCTTTAACTCTTTATGACAAAATTATGTAAAAAACTCTAGGGTTTAAAATACATTATTTGTATAGAACTGTAAGTCCAGAGCAAACCTAAGACACAAGACAAATGAAATAAAAGAGTAAATAAAAGCACTGATCCAAATTCATGCTTTGGTGTGGTGTGATTCATTGCATTCCAAAAGTCAGGATGTAGACTGATTCTATTTACTGGCTTGTTTGGCACAGTCATCTGTATTGAATCTTTTGAATTAGCTGTTAAAAAATAACTTTAAAATAATTTAACTACTATTCCCAAACTACTTATCCCATCAGTCATACTATGTCTTAGAAATTTGAAGGAGAAAAGTATCAGTTCAGGTATATAGTAAGTATACGCATTTAAAAAAGTGTAACTTCCTTTCCACCTGAGAATTATAAATATTTAAAGACAAAATGGGACATATGTTAAGACAAAAATAATAAATGCATGAAGACACTGATGCTAACAGTATAGAGGAAATGATCTAATCAACATATGAACAGTAGTATGTACAGGCTTCAAGGGTTCTAATTGTTTCAATAGTTAAAAACAGTTTCAAAACCCATTAAGAAGCAGTAAAATAAAAAGTTTTTTAAATAAAAAGATTTTACATGTGGAAATACAAAGACACATAACTGTTCATGCATTAATGCATTACATTAGTAATTTAAAACCATTCAGGTATGTTTCCAAACTGATACTTTAGCAGCAAAAATCTTATTGTGGTCTTGTAACACTTTCATGAAGACAATCAAAGATATATAGCCAGGGTTAGTTTCAAAAGCCTAATATTTAAGTAACATATTACTTTAGCCAGAATCACTCTGACAAATCATTATATTTCTCCACAAATAATATTTTAAGCTAAATGTGAATATGTGCTAACTCTCCTAACCAGGTATTTAAAAATGTGACATCAGTAAAAGTCACTTTTATATGTATTTTTCAAAGGACTTTTTTTTAAAAAAACCTTCTTAAACCAATCAAACAAAAAAGAAATCTATTTCTAACAATGCATGATAAAATTCAGCACAAAATTTCAGGTAAATAAATATTTTTAAAAGTTAATGCCATAAACAGTATTTAACTAAACCAGACATAAGTAGCAACATTTTTTTATTGCCCTTTGCCATGTGCTCTAACCAATATTGTGAACGTTAACCGGCCAGGGTAAGTCAAAGGGGAAGAACTTCAGGGCAGTCCTAATTGAATTAATTTCATTTTTATTACATAAGCAACCACGGCATAACCAGGTATTTGATTCTTGGCTTTAAGAAAAAAGGAGAAAAATGTTTGAATGTGAAATAATTTACACTTGTATTTCCAAACTTTGGCTTAATGAGTCTTTAAGAATTTAGGGAAAAAAATGAAGTTCTTTTTAAAAGCTAAAGTTGAAAGATTGTTAAAAATACAAAAGATAGATACTTACCTGGTAAAAAAACTACTAAATTTTAAAAATTTAATGTATTTAAATAACATAGTTCTTTATAGGATAAATAATTGTACCATGTGGAGTGCAAATCAATCACACCAACCTGCTTGATCTTGCAATAAGAAGTAGTAAGCAAATCGCAGACAGGAAGCAATACGCACAGAGATGAGGAGGAAAAAAAGGAAAACATTATTTCTCTTGTGAAACAAAGAAAAATATATAATAGCATTCATTTAAGTGTAGAAATAAAAATCAAACCGTTATCAAAACTGAAATAGAGCCCATGTAAAAAGAAAGCATATTCAACACAACGAGAGATGTCATTTAAGCAAGAATATTAAAGTTAACTTAGTCTTAGATTATAACTCAAGTCAATCTCAAGATCTCACACTGATTCCCCAAGTCCTGCAAAGGTCACAGTTCAACACCATGTGGTTATGCTAACAGAAGACATGGAATTAGGAACCTGCTAAGATCTGGGAAGTAATCTAAAAGGGCAAAACAGAAAATTAAGGCAATTTTAACAACTAGTACATTTAAAGTGACAAAATTCACACTGTCCATATCAAAAATGTCCCAATTCAATATTTCTTTTAGTATATGGATCTATTATAGGCATGCTTCACTTTAAGAAAATCTAACACAAAAACCTGAACCAATCCAACAGATAAATTAGATTACAGTAATTTCCACTGATTATTTGATTAACAGAAAGGTCTAATGAAGAATTTTTAAAGACACAAGTTCTCCCAATACATCCGATTTCCCAACCGGATTAAGGGCTTTTTTTTTTTTCCAGAAAATAAAATTATTACATAAAATGAAGTATACCTGTACAGTAACAAACTTACATTCCTTCTATTAGTAGATTTTTAAGGGTAATTATAAACAATGATTCTACAGGAGTCACTGCCAATTAAGGACTCAAGCAAGAAACACCTTTTAAAAAGGCCATTGAGATATTTAAAAGGGAAGGTACACACAGCAACCACATGCTAGGACAACCATCTCTCCACTTCACCAACACGCCCACATTACAAGAAAAAAATTATGTGCTAGGTACGCAAATAGGAATTAAAACTTCTTGAATTGAACAAAGTACAACTCATTTCATAACATACTTTCATATAACTACTCTTTAAGAATTAAGTTTTAAAACAGAAAACTAAATTGCAACGCCTCCCACTCAAATATTTTCGCATATTTCACAGTTTATTATACAAAGTAATACCTCTATGTGGTTTCTAATGCAATTCCAAGTATTTTACAAATTATCCTTTGAAATGAATTGTTTTGGTAACTTGCCTACAAATTGTCAATAGAGAAGGAGATTTCTAATATTCTTGGAATTATTCTTCTAGAAAGCTAAAAGCATAAGAACAATAAGCAATTATTTTTGTCATTAGTTTTGAAAGGGTAAGTATATAGATAATGCTTTAAAAGACAGTAAGCTGCAGGCTGGTACAAGAAAGCAACACTACTCCCCTTTCTTCTGAAAATAAAATATAAATAAATTAAATTAAATAACACTTTTCAACTTAATTAAATTGTTTTAACAAAAGCCTTTAAGTTTGAAATAAGTCTAGATGGATCCTGCATAAAATCCACGTGATTCTGCATTCTCTAATCATACCTTAGAAAATCTCTTAAAATCAGCCGGGCGCAGTGGCTCACGCCTATAATCCCAGCACTTTGGGAGGCCGAGGCGGGCAGATCATGAGGTCAGGAGATCGGGACCATCCTGGCTAACACGGTGAAACCCCGTCTCTACTAAAAATACAAAAATTAGCCAGGAGTGGTGGCGGGCACCTGTAGTCCTAGCTACTCGGGAAGCTGAGGCAGGAGAATGGCGTGAACCCGGGAGGCGGAGCTTGCAGTGAGCCAAGACTGCGCCACTGCACTCCGGCCTAGGCAAAAGAGCAAGACTCCGTCTCAAAAAAAAAAAAAAAAAAAGAAAGAACTTTTCTTAAAATCTATCAGGTAATACAGAAATATGGATAAATGTCCATTTGAAATAAAACACTATTCAATTCATCTTTACTTGCTTCAAGCTTTATGTTTTTCTTTATTTGGGAGCCTTTAATCTTAAGCTACCACTAAGAATAGGACACCAAAGTGTAAAAAATTTGTAATTGTACGACATGTTATAATGGGCACTGGTGTACTTCAAATATAATTTGTACTTTTAGAAATACAAGATTTGATGTTACGTGTCCCTTATTCTGAGCAGGATTAGAAATGTGTCATGAAACCTAAAAAATAAGCATAAGAATTATTCTTTTATACAGCTTACTAGCTCTCTTTACATTATCTCAATTGCAAAAGCATGAATCTCTCTTCCATTGTCTCAAACATAAGCTAAAGCCTATGTTTTAACAATTATGATTAACTGGAAGCAATGAAAGGGGGTGGAGGAATCATCACATGCTTTGTTCTACTGAGGAATCCAACATGTATTCTTTAGGTAATGACAGGGAGTGGTGCAGCATTGCTCAAATGAAGCCCATGGGTTATGGAAAAGCCAAAGCTCTGTTAGAGAATGTAAGAGCTACCACTCACTAGGCAAGAACTTATCCAGAGGTTTCTCTATGACAGAACATGTGGAGTCTGAACTACTGCTGCTGCTACTGCCTGGAAAACAAAGAAATGAGCCCAACAGGAACCAAAGAAAGAGGAAACAAGAAAATGAACACACACACAGAGAAAAATTCAGTTTTCAGAGAAAAAAATTTTAAAGGACAATCAAGCTTTGTATTAAAGAACCAAAATTTACTTTCCTAAAAACCAATCTTGGTAGTTTATCCAATATTCTCTACTTTACAAAGCCATACAGAGGAATTAGAAAGTGTACTGCTTTAAGCAACTACTGTGGGCAGATCCTACTGGTCACCTAAAGCCTAATCATTCAAAGGGTTGAAATGACAAGAATAAAAAATAAAGAAGTCATTTGGTGAGATTTTAGTCTACTGAAACTATTTAGGTTGATAAGTTAAAGGAATGGAGTTTTAAAACTCAAAGTCATACACAATAAATATTATAGGAGTGATAAATTACCCTTCATAATAGGTTAGTCTATCTCCACTTTCAGTCTCTCCCTCCCCCAAAATATCAAACTATCAAATATGTTTAAGGTTTGATAGCAAAACTTTCAAAAGGCTCACTGAAAATTTTTAAATTTCTAAGCCTGGAAGGAAGATACATTATTGTTAAATATTTTAACATATTACTGGCATTTTTCTATTTAAAATTTTATTTTTAACAAATCTGTTATCAGCTTTAGCTTTGAAAATAATAATCTACTCTGTGAAAAACTAGGTGTGAACAAAAAAAATTTCTCTAAATCAGGCAAACGTTTTCTGCAAAAGGACAGATAAGTGTTTGAGACTTTGCAGGCCATACGGCTTCATGTGAAAGCAGCCATAGAGCATATGTAAATAAATGAGCATGGCTGTTTTAATAAAATTTTATTTACAAAAACAGGTGGTGAGCTGGATTTAGCCAGCAGACATTTTGCCAATTTTTGCCATAAATCATTATTTTTCTGTCTTTTGAAGTTACAAAATCTTTATAGTTTTTAAATTTGGGACTCCTAATCAAGCAGTGATGGGTTTATTTTTAGCACAATCATTTTAATAAGACAAACAAAATATGCACCAGCTTGAAAACAATGACCACATTAATGGAAGAGAGTTCTGAAATAAATATTTATGGTAAAAAGGTTTGAAATGTAGGCCATTATAATATGTCCATTTCATTTGCATATTATCTATATTCTGATCATAATAAACAGTCTTAATTCACACGTGGCAACAAATCCCCCACAACAGAGTGAGAATGAGAATACATTTTATAAAGAAAAAGAACTAAATTTAAAAATGGAATTCCTCATACAAATTTACTATTTAAAAATTCAATGACTTTTAAAGACTAATCTTGTTTGTGGAAAAACTCCACATTATCCTAATTTCCTTAAAATACTTAGGTTCCAGCCAGGCATGGTGGCTCACGCCTGTAGTCCCAGCACTTTGGGAGGCCGAGGCAGATGGATCATGAGGTCAGGAGATCAAGACCAGCCTGGCTAACAGGGTGAAACCCCGTCTCTACTAAAAATACAAAAAATTAGCCGGGCGAGGTGGCATTTGCCTATAGTCCCAGCTACTCGGGAGGCTGAGGCAGGAGAATCGCTTCAACCTGGGAGGTGGAGGTTGCAGTGAGCCGAGATCGCGCCACTGCACTCCAGCCTGGGCGACAGAATGAGACTCCGTCTCAAAACAAACAAACAAACAAACAAACAAAAAAACTTAGGTTCCTAACACAGATGTAAGTCCCTACATAAAATTAAAACACACAGGAAATTTTAAAATGGCATACCCAGTATTATAGAGTCTTACAATTCTAAATTCTAAAAAAACAGAACATATATTCAAAGTCAGCTATAAACGGATCAATACAGGAGAAAAAATGCAAAGTTAACCAGGTAAATGGCATACATCTTCTGTTCTAATTGTTATCTAATATATTAAACAGATAACGGCAAAATAAAAGTCATGCACTCTACCACCTTGTGAAACCACCTAATTTCTACAAATCAGATTACTAAACAGAACTTACCCCTTCTTTTTTTCCTTTTCTCTCCATCTTCTCCAACCTCACCCTCTTCATCATCATCTTCCTCTGACCCACTGATATCAGAGCCTGATATTTCTTCTCCTTGGACAGAAATTTAATACAATGTTTTTTATCCTGTACGAAGTCATTAGCTATTTAGGAAATACCTATATCAGCTTTCTTCCTCAGATTTTTGTTACTGCAAACAACAAATTTAAATACTATTTAAATGCTCCTAGAAAGTATAACAGATATGCCAATCTCAGACACAGATGAGATATCCAAAAAGACTTTATTTTTAAAGTCTCTAAAGAGAAGTTAAATTCTGACCCACTTAAAATTTCAAACCATTCTGGCTAGGCAAGGTGGCGCACGCCTGTAATCCCAGCACTTTAAGAGGCTGAGGCAGGCAGATCACTTGAGGCCAAGAGTTTGAGACCAGCCTGGCCAACATGGCAAAACCCCATCTCTACTAAAAATACAAAAATTAGCTGGGCTTGGTGGCATGCACCTGTAATCCCAGCTACTTGGGAGGCTGAGGCAGGAGAATCACTTGAACCCAGGAGGCAGAGGTTGCAGTGAGCCGAGATGGCACCACTGTACTCCAGCCTCAACAACAGAGTGACTCTGTCTCAAAAAAAAAAATAAAAATATTCAAATCATTTCTTTATGTATAATTTTAAATATATATATAAATTATGTGGTAGAGTTACTAATTCAGTCTTTTAAAAATGTGATCACTTTTGAGGAACAATTTCTTCTAAAACAGCTTCCTGTTTAAGATTTCAAATAATTCATTCAATCTGTATTTTTAAGAGACACAGAACTGTCATGTAACAATGATCCCACTTTTAGGACTGTATCACAAGATATTTTCAAAAAAAGAAGTGCTTATTTGTACAAAGACAGTGTTAACTACACATTAACTTAAAGATAAAAAACAAAAAAGGAATGATGAAGCCAATAAAACAGATCAGCACTATATCATCTTCAAATTAGCTATTTTTAAATGCCACTGTTTACATATGAAATGTCTAACAAAATAAAATAGAGGAGAAAAAAGTAAAATATACTCTAATCACAACCAGGTAATAATTGTACCTGTAAGTACAAGATGGAAAGGAACACAGAGTCTTGGGAGAAGAAATTTCTGAAAAATATTTTTTTCTTCGGGCTTAGAAACAATGACATCTTGGTAGTAATGAGCACAGCTAGTGCCCAAAACTGGGTTTCTAAATACCATTCTCCTACAGAAGGGACCAGAGAGAAGTGAATGATTCTAAGATTGGGCAAGGAAGACACAAGATAAACCTAAAACCTTTTGTAGTGCCAAAAAGTAATCAAATGCTCAAAAAAACTGATGAGCACATGCTGAAAGAATACAGGAACTACTCTGAAGGATCTCATAATAGCCAAAGCTGGAACAATTCAATGAACAAAATAAATAATGATAACACTGGATTATAATCCATGATCTAAATAAGATAAATACTTGAATAAATAAACAAATGGGAATGAAGGGGCTGTTCTTCCATACAATAGAATCCTAAACACTAAACAAGGAAGAAATGATGAGAATAGAAAATAACATTGAGCAAATGCCACAGGATTATTGTTGCAGACAAGAACTATTGATGAATACTAAAAATAGTAGAAGAAAGTATGACAAGAAACAGGACCTTTGCAGTCTCAAAGTATCCCCCACAAGATACATGTTAATTACGAATGGAAACATAAAACAATAGATTTGCAGTGGAGAAACTTTGCAGGGTCATTATAAAAGAAAAGTAGACAAACCCAAATTAATGAACATTCAACAAATATATGACCAGTACTCTTCAAAAATGTCAAGATCAAGAAAGACTGGGGAATTAGACTGAAGAACAAGTGTGCTAGACATCGTCATTAAAAAGGCATGACATGGCCGGGCATGGTGGCTCACGCCTGTAGTCCCAGCACTTTGAGATGCCGAGGCAGGCAGATCACGAGGTCAGAGGATAAAGACCATCCTGGCAAACATGGTGAAACCCTGTCTCTACTAAAAATACGAAAATTAGCTGGGCGAGGTGGCATGTGCCTGTAGTCCCAGCTACTCAGGAGGTTGAGGCAGGAGAATCGCTTGAACAGGGAGGCAGAGGTTGCAGTAAGCTGAGACTGTGCCACTGAATTCCAGCCTGGCAACAGAGCGAGACTCTGTCTCAAAACAAAAAACAAACAACAACAACAACAACAACAACAAAACAAAGAAAGCATGACAAATAAATGCAGTGTGTGATCCTGGATTGTATCCTGGACCAGGAAAAAGAGGCACTGGAAGGAAAACTGGCCAAATTTGAATAAAGTCCACAGATTAGTTAATAAGACTATATCAATGTAAATCTCCTGGTTTCAATAACTGTTGTATGCTTATAAAAAATGTTAACATGAGGTGAAGCTGGGTGAAGGGTAGATAGGAACTCTCCATATCATGTTTGCAAGTTGCATATAGCCTACAATAATTTTTAAGTTTAAAAATTATTATTTTAATGCTATTGCCTACTTTTTTATTGTTGATATGATCAACTCCATTAACTAGATTATAAAAAGAAATGTCATAAGAGCAAAAATGAACTGAAATGTATTAACAACAGTATTATCATAGAATCCAGCAATTCCATTGCTGGGTACATACCCCAAAAATGGTAAAACAAGAATTCAAACAGGTATTAGTATACCCACGTTCATAGCAGCATTATTCACAATAGCCAAAAGGTGGAAAGAACCAACTGTCCATTGGTGGATGAATGGATAACAAAATGTAGTATATACACAATGGAATGTTATTCAGAATTAAAAAGAAGTCCTGATACATTCTACAACACGGATGACCCTTGAAGGCATTATACTAAATGAAATAAGCCAGTCACAAAAAGACAAATGCTGTATTTCACTTTCTTTTTTTTTTTTTTTTTTTTTTTTGAGATGGGAGTCTCACTCTGCCACCCAGGCTGGAGTGCAGTGGCATAATCTCGGCTCATTGCCACCTCCACCTTCCAGGTTCAAGTGATCCTCCTGCCTCAGCCTCCCAAGTAGCTGGGATTACAGGCGAGAGCCACCATGCCCAGCTAATTTTTGTATTTTCAGTAAAGATGGGGTTTCACCGTGTTGGCCAGGCTGGTCTCGAACTCCTGACCTCAACTGATCCACCCGCCTCGGCCTCACAAAGTGCTGGGATTACAAGCGTGAGCCACTGCGCCCCACCAATTCCGCTTTCGTAAGATACCCAGAGCAGTCAAATTCATAGACAAAGCAGAATGGTTGTTGGCCAGGAACTAGGGGAAGGGAGGAATGGGTACATACTGTTTTTAATGAGTACAAAGTTTCAATTTTGCAAGAAGAAAACTGAAGACGGATAACTGCAGAACAATGTGAATGTAATGCCACAGAAATGTAGACTTAAATGTGATTAAAATGGTAAACTTTATGTTATGCAAGTTTAACCACAATTTTTTAAAAAGGAATAAAATTCAGGCACTTGCTACAATATGGATGAACCTTCAACGTTCTGTTAAGTGAAATAAGCCAGTCACAAGTAGATACTCCATGATTTTACTTATATGAGGTACCTAGAATAGTCAAATTCATAGAGACCGAAAGTAGAATAGTGGTTACCAGAGACTGGGGGAGAAAAGAATAGGAAGTTACTACTTAAATGGGCACAGCATTTCTGTTTGGGATGATGAAAAATTTCTAGAAATGAATAGTGGTGACAGTTGCACAACAATGCGAATATACTTGATGCCACTAACTGTACACTTAACTAACAATGGTTACAATGATAAATTTTATGTCATGTATATTTTACCACAACAAAAAAATGTAAAACATAAAGTCAGCAAAATAAAAGTATGCACTCACCGTTAACATCGCTAAGAAATTAAAAATCTTTAAAACATACTGGCTATAAATACCACCTAGTGGTCACATTTAAAACACCAAATTTCATTATCTAACAGTTCTCTTACTGCTTTTCCTCAATAACTACTTGTTTACTAAATAAGTACCCTCTCTAAACATTTGTGATGCTGGCGTCTCTGAATTTCACCTCTGATCTAGTCAGTCTTCTCACAGACTACAAAGGTGCTTTGAAACCAAAGCCCTGTTTACGTGGTTCGCGAAGGAGCTCTGTACCAATCAGAAAGGATCTGTTTCTCGCATTAAGGTGCAAGGACTCACTCAGCACTTAATGACTGGGAAGCGTCTCACTCTCATAAATAAGATCTTCAAATTTTCCAACTTTCTAGCATGATATTGTTAGAAAAGAATTTCCAAAATACAATCTCATGTTCAAATTTAGGTATGAAAGGATATTTTAAAGGTCATGCAATGCATTTTTCCTTATAGCAAACTTGGTTTACTCATGACTGTCTAATATCTTGCTTTACTTCAAACAATAGTTAGTTGATATTGATTGCAATGCCAGAATTCTGGTCATTTTCACCTAAATACATACATTGCAGAATTTGCTCTTATACAGAGACAAATAAACATTCATTCCTTAAAAAGTGGTCATATGAAATCTACAAAACATCATGCAAATGTTTTTAAAAAACCACATACACAAATATTATGTAATTTTACTTAAGCTTAATATGAAAATGCGAAAGTATGTAAGTACCAAGTCACTTTCTAGAAATATTCATTTAACTACCAATGTTAGAGGCTCAAAAAAGGTTTAATAGAGGGCTTTTGTTAGAACAGTTAGTGGTTCAACAATGTATTTTTAGCCAACATAAAGATTAATATTTTGAGGAAAAGCTACCTTCTTCAAGCTTCTTTTTCAGTTCTTCTATTTCTTTCTGGAACTGACGCAGCAAAGCATCCTTTGGATCTTCATTAATTCTAGCTTTATTTTTAATATTCTTAGCACGATTGGCATACCGTAATGTACTGATAGTTTCATCATAATTGTAATCTGCTGGCCCAATATTTGCACACTATTGAATTAGAAATATGAAACAAATCATTTTACACTTGACAGAGTTAAAATTAATACTACCATTACAAATACATCAAAAACATTTAAAGCACATATGCACCCTTGGCCTTCTCGAAAATGAGAGTGTCAACCACATGAGTTTCCAAAGGACACTATTATGGGCTAATACACGAGTGTACCACAAAAAGGACAACCACAAGTCAAAAAAAGTAAAATAATCAAGTTTAAAAAATGTGATACGTATCAATTATTGGCATAAATTACAATCTTAAATTTGCCTGATGTTAACTATATCACCAATTAAGTCTTACCATCATGGTTTTTGAATTTCCTCCTAAGGAATCCTGAAGAAGACGAGTCAGTTTAGAGTTACGATAAGGCACATGAGTGCTTTTTCCATCAACCAAGGCAGAAATTACATTACCAAGGGTGGAAAGTGAAAGATTGATTTTTGTAGCTTCCTTTAGGCGCTGTCCAGTAGCTCCAGTTTTTGCCTGTCTTTCTGAACCCTAGCAATAAACAGAGATGAAAGTAAAGCTAAAATTTTTTTAAAAATAGAATATTCTTCCCAAGGTTTTATTAAAAAGTAATGTAACAGTAAAAAACCTGATATGATGCCTGAATTCACTTCAAAATAATATAGGAAAGGAAGAAGTGGGGGAGAGTACATGAAACAAGATTAGCCATGAGCTGATTGTTGGGAGTTGGGTGATCAGTGTATGGGGGATCACTATACTATTCTATCTACTTTCATATACATTTGAAATGTTCCATAATAAATAATAAACATACACAAGTAACACCTTAAAAATCATATGTAAATCATACCTTTTCACTTTAATTTTCATTCATTTATAAAATAAATGGATCACAAGAAAGAGTTATTCCTTAAGCAGTGTCCTGTTACTTACAGCAAGATCTACAAGATGGAGCTTCCCCATCCTGACATGCATGTTACCATCAATGCCTTTTTCACTGCATTCTATAGTAATTGTAAAGATGGCATGGGAACGGGAACTATGTTCGTTCATATTAGTTGCACCAACAGAACCTTTAATAAATAAACGAAATCCTTTAAAAGTGTAACAGAGAGTGCCTTTAAAAATAATTAAACATCCTGAACAGTTTAAAACACTTAATTTTATCACAATCAAAAGCCAGAGAGCATGGCTAAACCATAAAGGCATGGGTGTGTACTTAGCCACTACATGAAATTTCTCTTATACTTTGTTGATAACAAATTTGTAAGGTTTCTCATATTAAAGACATAACTTTAGCAAAAAATAATTTCAATCCCTAGTAATACTGCCTAAAAAATAACTAATTTACACCAAAAAACCACATTAATTGGAAAAATTATTGCTGATTTAGCTATCTAAAGAGAAGTATGCATGCTGGTGTACTGCAGGAAGTAAAAAACAATAATAATAAAGAGAATTTTAGCTACTTGGGAGGCTGAGGCACAAGAATCACTTGAATCCGAGAGGTGGAGGTTGCAGTGAGCTGAGATTGCGCCACTGCACTCCAGCTTGAACATATAAACCACAGGAATACTTGCACACATATGTTAGACAATACAACAATATTCAGTGCAGCATTAAAAAAAATAAGGTAGATCTAAAAACGTGGAAAAATGTCCATAACATATAAATTAAAAATAAAAGCAAGTTAGAAAGAAATACATAACATAATCCTACTTCTGTAAAAAAAAAAAATCCATTCAAAATATGCAAAGTATTTGCATATGTGTAAATATATGAATATATTGTGTAAACAAAAAACATTTTTTTACAATAGACCTGTATTAGTTTTTTTCTTAAATTCCAAAGTATTTTAAAGTTAATTTTACTCAATGCCAAAATTATCTTCCTACTATACATTCATGCAGCATTTTTCTGTGCAAGCTTTGATTTTATAATTGAAACATTAAAAGGGTAATCTTTAATGAAGTGACCAAAAGCTCCAATTAACTACCTGAGAATTAAATTAATTTCATTCTATGAATGAAATCTTGTGTTAAAATTTTTAATTAAATAACCAATAATTAACATATTTCTGGTATTTGTTTTTTTAATAAAAGCATACAGAAAGCATAAAGTGAAAGCTCCTGACATTCCTTTTCCCCAATTTTATTTCTCCTTCTCTAAAGGTAACCACTACAATCTGTCCTTTCATTCTGTATTTTATATACATACGTGTAGACACAAACACACACACACTGCCCAAATAAATATATGGTTTAACAATTTTTCACATATAAATAAATGGGGTAAGGCAGTACATACATACTGTTCTACAATTTGCTTTTATCCCCCCACTGACAAACATACTTTGAAAATCTTCCAGCTCTGTGTAGGCACATTTACCTGACTGGGTTTTTTTGTTGTTTTGTTTGAGACAGGGTCTCCCTCTGTCACCCAGGCTGGAGGGCAGTGGCACAATCTCGGCTCACTGCAACCTCCACCTCCCAGGTTCAAGTGATCCTCCGGCCTCAACCTCCTGAGTAGCTGAGATCACAGGTGCGCACCACCACGCCCAGCTAATTTTTGTATTTTTAGCAGAGACGAGGTTTCACCAGGTTGGCCAGGCTGGTCTCAAACTCCTGGCCTCAAGTGATCCATCCGCCTCAGCCACCCAGAGTGCTGGGATTATATGCATGAGCCACCACACTCAGCTTGTTGTTTTTTTTGTTGTTGTTTTGTTTTGTTTTTGAGACAGAGTCTTCCTCTATTGCCCAGGCTGGAGTTCAGTGGTGCTATCTTGGCTCACTGCAACCTCTGCCTCCCAGGTTCAAGCAATTCTGCTGCCTCAGCATCCCAAGTAGCTGGGATTATAGGCGTAAGCCACCACGTCTGGCTGATTTTTTTGTATTTTTAGTTGAGATGGGGTTTCGCCATGTTGCACAGGCTGGTCTCTAACTCCTGAGTTCAGGAAATCTGCCCACCTTGGCCTCCCAGAGTGTTGGGATTACAGGCATGAGCCACCACACCCAGCCTAACTCATTGTTTTTAACAGCTTTATTACAGTCTATGGTATTTTTGTGTCATCATTTACATAATCAGGGTTTTATTGAAGGTTATTTAGATTGTTACATCTAAAAATATTTTCCAGAATGTCTAAAATTAGAAACACAGAGTCAAAAGGAATGTATTTTAAAATGTCAACAGATACTGTTAACAATGCCCTTCAAATAGGCTGCACCAATTTATATTCCATCCTCAGTGCCCATTTCTTCAAAGTCTCACCAACCTACATATCCTTCATCTAATCTGATGGGTGAAACATCTCTCTCTATCTTGTTTTAGCATTTTCCTGATTAGTTGTGAAGTTAAACAGCCTTTCACATACTTATTGCTGTGCTTAGTTCTTCTACGAATAACATACATATTTTTTGCTAATTTTTCTATTAAGATTTGGTCTTTTTCTATTAATTGGTTCATAAGAATGTAATTGATTTTTGAAGTTTTGTTGTTTGATTTCCTTGGGTTTGATATATCTATCGTCAAGTCACAGAAACTTATAAAAATTTTTCATTTCCTATTTCTCATCTTTTACCTCTAATCCCTCTTTTTTTCTTTTTTTTTTGGTTGCTGTGTTGCCCAAGTTGGAGTGCAGTGGCGCGATCTCGGCTCACTGCAACTTCTGCCTTCCTGGTTAAAACGATTCTCCTGCCACAGCCTCCCGAGTAACTGGGATTACAGGCACCCACCACCACTCCCAGCTAATTTTTGTATTTTTAGTAGAGACGGGGTTTCACCATGTTGGCCAGGCTGGTCTCAAACAAGTGATCCACCCACCTCAGCCTCCCAAAGTGCTGGGATTACAGGTGTGAGCCACCGCGACCAGACTTTTCACCTCTAATTTCTAATTGCTATTAGCTGCATCACCAGTACTAGGTTTGAGGCATCTGTATAATATCGCTGAAGCTTCCTACTCTTTAGACTAAAAATGTGACACAATTACTAAAAAGAATACAATTTTTTAATTTAAATTTTGTTTTGCTTTTCTTGTCAACAAAAGGGAAGCATTACAGTGCCTAGTTAATGCAGACTACTGGCCTAGGTTTTTTGGGTTTCTTCCAGGTGGGTTTCTTTAGGACAGGGGCTCCCTATTGTCCAGGCTGGTCTCAAACTCCTGGCCTCAAATGATCCTCCCAGTTCAGCCTCCCGAGTTGCTGGGATTACAGGCATGAGCCACTGTGCGTGGCTATGGCTTAGGTGTGATCACTCACTCTACCACTTAGTAGTTATAGTACTTAGACAAGTTACTTAAACTAAGTCTCACTTTCTTCATTCATAAAGTAAGAATTTAATGTCTTCATAGTCTCCTGTGAGGACTAAGAGAGCATCTTTATGAAGCACTTAGCACAAGCACTCTCCACTAAGAGCTCAATAAACATTACCAATTTTACTATTATAGCTACCAAGAGACAGCCGTATGAGAGTTGCATAGATTGGCGCTACTAAAAAGAAACAAAATTTTGCTCGGCATGGAAAATGATTTGTGGTATCTTTCATTCATCTATGCTCTCTACATGGTAAATAATCAAAGTGGAATGGTTTTCAAGAAACCTAAAAAATCCAGTCTCTACAGGGTAAAGTGCCATACCAAATTTGCTTCTAAACCAGCCTACTCAACACACAGATGCTTAATCACAATTACACACTATACTTACGATTTTTGTGGCCTAGCGTCATAATTCTATCCATATCATCAGCATTATTTACCACATAAGCTGATAAATCTTTGATATAAACTCCCACATCAGGTCTTTCTTTAACCTAAAAAAAAATTAAGACTTTATACTATATCAATAACTCTTCCACAATTATTTATTGAGTATCTCCTATGTGTTGGACACTCTACTAGACAGAGGGAATATACTGATAAGATAGACACTGTTCCTACACGCATGGAGATGTCTATAGGAAGAACATACAAATGAAGAATTACACATAAAAATTATTTTATTTCAATTGTGATGACATGAAGAAAAATACAGAAAAAGTACAGAACACTACTAAGCTAGTGAAGGAGATAGGATAAAATTCCCCAAGATGATGTTTAAGCTAAAATTTCTTTAAATAAAAAGGAGGCAGTTAGTCAGTTGAGGTAGGAGAAGAAGAAAATGTGCAAGAATCCTGAAATAAGAAAAAACTAGGCACTTACAAAAAATTAACAAACCGAAAAAGACAATGTGGCTGGAGAGAGCAGGAAACAGGGAAAAATAGGTGAGATATCTGGTTATATAGGAAGACAGAGACAAGTTTAGAATAGTTTTTGGTCTTTATGGTAAGAATAATTTGGAGAATTTCAAGCAACTGAGGGAAATAATCAGATCTATAGTATCAATGTTAAAATATGATCTTTCTGTGAATTACCTTATGAGAAATTTTAACCAAATTTGAAAAATGTATTTAGGATGGATTTACCTAAAATACAAGTGGCACTGTATAAACAAAATTCACTTTGGAAGGCTCAGAGTCATCTCTACAAACCAAAAGAATAAAAAGTGAAACTGAGGCAGAGGCCTGTGGTTGCCAGTGGGAAAAGCCATTCCACGGGTAGGAAGACCTCATAGACATCGAAGACAAATGAAAATCTGATAAACAATTCCAGGGGAAAACGTTATAAAGGTAGACACTCAACATTCCAGTCGTTGATTTTCAATGTTGTGTGTGTGTGCATGCGCCTTTTATAACAATTGATAAGATAAATTTACAAATTAGGAAAAATCCTTTATCTGTCATGGGATATAAATTAAGCCCTAATTCTATTAGTAGTAAAAAAAAAAAAAGTATGATGATCTCTATAAGCCAGTGGATTTCAGACCTTGCTCTGAAAAGCCCTAGAGGGTCCATGGTGGCACTGAGGCGGCCACTGTAGGAGTTTAGGGGTCTTCAGGCCCAGAGAAGTTCTAAAGAGAAGGGCGCTTTCATGAATTTTACACATTGAGCTTCCACATAAGGTTTGGTTTGATGAAAGTGTTGAAATGCTTTACACCTTTTAAAAGGTTTGAAAATTACTGGTCTATATCAATGCTTCTCAAAAAATCTCTGATAAAGGATGTACATATTTGTAATATGATAATTTTGTAAAATACAAAAATCATGCACTTGGATGCCTTGGCAATGTCAAATTGCTATGGAAGTTTTTAAGCACCTACTCTCAGTTTTTGTGTTCATTCTCACCGCAGACTGAAAATGGACATTCTTCAAACTGACATCTGTCTGCAAACTAGTGGTCTTCCAATCACAATATGCTATTAATTCAAAATTCAATTAATAAGTGTATTCAACTAATAACTGACTAGATATGAAAGATGAAGAAAGAAAATATAATTCCAAATGTGTGAAAGTTAAAAAACTGGATGGAAATGCTACCAAAGAATTTTTATCAAAAAAAACACAGGAATTCAATATCTATGACAAACACAGTTTATAACAATGGATCTCAATGGAAGCAGTTACCCTCTTGTCCTAGAATATTTTAGAAATTTGCGCAAGAGTTTCTGGTTCACTTGAGGACACTGTAGTTATTGACAGGCAGGGACCAGGAATACTAAACATCCTGAAATAAGTGGGACAGTCTCACCCAATGAAGAACTGTCCCACAGAATTTTGAATGTCCTACCAGATATTCACATGGTAAAAAAACTACTTATAATTATCTGAGTCTAGACCCAGATAATTATATCTGAGTCTGTCATATGTAACTTTATTTCACATATAAAGACAAAGTGCTTTTCCATATAGCAATAATATGAGAACACAGAAAAACTGAGGGAAGAATTGTGCTTTATTTCGCTCCAAACTCTACCAAGAGCTAGTCACTATTGTAAAAGACCATGTCATTGGCAATAACACCAATCAAGGGGTTTAGATCAACAATACAACATACCTGTTGACACTGCATTTGTAGCTGTTACAATTTTGATGATTCTATATGCCTCTATTTTATTATGTCATTAAGTGTGGTCATATCTAAGTGTTTACATATCTAAATACTAGCATTTATATTTAATTACTTGTATTCTCCTTTATATTACAGTAGGGTAGTATACGAATTTTTTAAAAAGTATGTGTATAGGTAGATTTTATTAATGTCACATATGAGTTTTATTTCAGGACAAAAACGTATGTTATTTAGAAAGGAGTTGGGATGTGAAGGACCTCTTCAAGGAGAACTACAAACCACTGCTCAATGAAATAAAAGAGGACACAAACAAATGGAAGAACATTCCATGCTCACGGATAGGAAGAATCAATATCGTGAAAATGGCCATACTGCCCAAGGTAATTTATAGATTCAATACCATCCCCATCAAGCTACCAATGACTTTCGTCACAGAATTGGAAAAAACTACTTTAAAGTTCATATGGAACCAAAAAAGAGCCCGCATTGCCAAGTCAATTCTAAGCCAAAACAACAAAGCTGGAGGCATCACACTACCTGACTTCAAACTATACTACAAGGCTACAGTAACCAAAACAGCATGGTACTGGTACCAAAACAGAGATATAGATCAATGCAACAGAACAGAGCTCTCAGAAATAATGCCACACATTTACAACTATCTGATCTTTGACAAACCTGACAAAAACAAGAAATGGGGAAAGGATTCCCTATTTAACAAATGGTGCTGGGAAAACTGGCTAGCCATATGTAGAAAGCTGAAACTGGATTCCTTCCTTACACCTTATACAAAAATTAATTCAAGATGGATTAAAGACTTAAATGTTAGACCTAAAACCATGAAAACCCTAGAAGAAAACCTAGGCAATACCATTCAGGACATAGGAATGGCAAGAACTTCATGTCTAAAACACCAAAAGCAATGGCAACAAAAGCCAAAATTGACAAATGGGATCTAATTAAACTAAAGAGCTTCTGCACAGCAAAAGAAACTACCATCAGAGTGAACAGGCAACCTACAGAATGGGAGAACATTTTTGCAATCTACTCATCTGACAAAAGGCTAATATCCAGAATCTACAAAGAACTCAAACAAATTTACAAGAAAAAAACAAACAACCCCATCAAAAAGTGGGTGAAGGATATGAACAGACACTTCTCAAAAGAAGACATTTATGCAGCCAACAGACACATGAAAAAATGCTCATCATCACTGGTCATCAGAGAAATGCAAATCAAAACCACAATGAGATATCATCTCACACCAATTAGAATGGCGATCATTAAAAAGTCAGGAAACAGGTGTTGGAGAGGATGTGGAGAAACAGGAACACTTTTACACCATTGGTGGGAGTGTAAACTAGTTCAACCATTGTGGAAGTCAGTGTGGCGATTCCTCAGGGATCTAGAACTAGAAATACCATTTGACCCAGCCATCCCATTACTGGGTATATATCCAAAGGAATATAAATCATGCTGCTATAAAGACACATGCACACATTTACTGTGGCACTACTCACAATAGCAAAGACTTGGAACCAACCCAAATGTCCAACAATGATAGACTGGATTAAGAAAATGTGGCACATATACACCATGGAATACTATGCAGCCATAAAAAATGATGAGTTCATGTCCTTTGTAGGGACATGGATGAAGCTGGAAACCAGCATTCTCAGCAAACTATCACAAGGACAAAAAACCAAACACCACATGTTCTCACTTATAGGTGAGAACTGAACAATGAGAACACTTGGACACAGGAAGGAGAACATCACACACCGGGGCCTGTTGTGGGGTGGGAGGAGTGGGGAGGGATAGCATTAGGAGATATACCTAATGTAAATGACGAGTTAATGGGTGCAGCACACCAACATGGCACATGTATACATATGTAACAAACCTGCACGTCGTGCACATGTACCCTAGAACTTAAAGTATAATAAAAAAAAAAAAAAATATATATATATATATATATATATATATATATATATATATATATATATATTAAAAAATCATTCTAAGAAAGGGATTACAATCTTCAATGGAGGTTCAAAACTCCCTGGCATAACAGGAATCCCCTAAATTAAAATTAAAGCAATGGAACATAAGAAATCCTAAAAACTATAACAACAATAAAAAAAACTTTCCTAAAATAAAAAAAAAAGGAGCACTGGGTCTAACAGAGTTGAGAACCATTGACAAGAATGTTCCTGAGAATAAATCTGATCTATAATTACTGGTACAAAAATGGAAATGTTCTTTCCAAATGATTTTTTCCTAGAATTTGCATAACACAACAAATTTTTTAGGACATGAAAGCACAGAATTAATCAGAACTAAAGTTGAAAACCAGCAACAAAGAAATTTGTTTCTATATTTGCTATATAAATGGTATCAGAGAATAAGGCTTCATGAGGTCCAACAAGCACAAACAATCCTTAACACTGTAATACACTGCTCCAAAAACTCAGTTTATGCAGTAAACTTAAAAAGAAAAAAAAGCTAATATTTATTATGTCAGGCATTGATTTAAACACTTTCATCTGTTAGTATTGGTAATAATCCTACGAAGTGGATACCATTATTATTTCCATTTTTATGACCAAATCAAGACTCACAGAGATTAAGTAACTTGCTCAAGATCAGAGCCAGAATTCAAGCTAAGATGGTAGACTGCTAGAACCACCTTCTTAATCCTAGATGATACTGCCATTCACTTGCTATATGACCTTGAGCAAGTCAAGAAACCCCTCTAAATTTCAGTTCCCACATCAGTAAAATCGAACTGCTGGGAAGATTAAATGAAATAAATTATTTACTACTACCAACAACCATCAATTACTGCACTGAATGCCTATATCACATTGCAAGAGCTCAGTAATGCTGGCTGCTGTTCTACAAATGCTCTATATTATTCTACAATGGCAGCTACTGCTGTTCTACATGTTACTCTACATACATTATTCTCCTCTATTTTACTGGTGATGCAATCCAACTAAAATTCCAGTATTAACCTTTTCCTTGCTGTATGTCTCACATCTTAAAATATTAAAATATGCAGCAATATCAAATTTACCAATAATTTACCACCTGACTCAGCAATCCTGCTTCAGTAATTTATCCCCAGATATGTCTGCAGATGTACGACATTATATATGTACGAGATTATTTAAAATATAAAAAGCAACTTTTGTTTAAAAAAAGAAGGGGGACCTTAATTTAGCAAATATTCTATTGCTTTGGAAAAAGTACTCCACCAATTTCAATTATCCTTACCTCTAACCTTTGTGTCTGATCCTTGCCCAAAAGGTCACGAACTTCTTCATTATATATTTCCAAATAAGACACTCGAACCAAAAATCTATAAAACATCATTTTTAAAAAGTCAAAGAGTGAAATATTCATAAGAACGGTTTTAAAATATGTTTATAAAATTTATACCTATGTGCCTTTCCAGTGTTTGTACTTCTCAATATCAGAAAATAAAAGAATTCCCTTTTACCTTGTATCACCCTCCGCTTTTGCAATATGACCAAATATGTGAGCAAATGAATTGGGAATTATTCCTCTAAGTTCAGGAATAGCTCGAACACCTTCCATGGTAAAAGTTTTGCCTGTTCCGGTTTGTCCATATGCAAAAATAGTCCCTGAAAATGATGAAGAGAATCAGTTACTTCTTAAAGTCTAATGCTACAGAACAATAGCTCTTAAAATTAATTCCTTTGACACTGTGATGTAATTTCTCCCCTGGATTCAAAATTTATTCTAGCACAAGTTTCACCTTTATTATCAACAATTACAATGCGTACTCTGTACCACAAGCACAAAGCACTGTTACAGCAGTCAATGAGAGATATCCCTAAGAATTAATAAAAAGCATCCCAAGCCCTAAATGCAAAAATCTTCCAGTATATCTAATTATGAGACATTTCTTGTCATGTGTATATAAAGTACTTATTGTGGACATTAAACTGGAGAAGGCAGTATAAGCACAGAAAAAGAATACAGGCTCTAGAGCAGGAAGACCTGTCTCAAACCACATCTGCCACTTTTTAGCCACTGACCTTGGACAAGTTATCTACCTAGAGACTGTCTCCTCAACCGTAAAATGGGGATAAGAAAATTCGCCATTGATAGTAAGAACCAAATGAGACAATTTCCTTCAAGTGACCAACACAACACCTCATAGAAAGTATCAGTAAAATGATAGCTTTTTTCTTAATCCTAAAATAAGTGTGTTTTTAAACAATTGTTTTAAAGTAACAGCTGTAAGAAACAGAGTTAACAAAAAGATGACAATACAATTATTACAGGTAACTAAAGATAAAATCTCAACTTTCTAAATACCCAAATTCATTCATTCAACAAACATTTACCACACACCTGAGTTTGGCATTGTGCTAGGCACTAGAGACACAGTGACAAGACAAACACAATCCCTAATCTTATGATGTGTATAATCTTGGGTTTATCATGATGATGAGTATTCAGAATGAGAAACAGGGAGTTCTAGATGGGAGTCAGGGACATCAACTAGGCACAGGAATTGTAATGGGAAAAAGGAGAGGGGGTCAGGGAGGACTTTCCAGAAGAGGTAAGGTTTAGATCTGAAATACAAGTAAGAATCAGATAGGAACAGTGTGGACAGCAAGAGCCAAGAAAAAGAATGGAAATTTTGAGGACTGAAATGAGACCAGAATGGAAGAAACAGAGATGGAAAGGGAAGATGGATGCAGGCAGAGCTAGAGAAACTGACAATGCCATAATCACACAGTATAATAAGGACGGTATTAAACTTTTTAGACCTTATCCTAAAAGCAACATGAAGCCATAGAATGATTTTTCAATCAGAGGAGTGACATCATGATCACTATGGCTATATTGTGGATGAAGAATTGGAGAAAACCAAGGGTCGATGTGGGGAAACAGAGGGCTGGAGTAGTTGGTCAGGACACAGTGTAGTAAGAAAAGATAGCCTTGGATGTGATGGCATATATGAAAACGGTTCCTCAACTAATACTACTCTATTCAGTTAACCTCAACTTTTCTCAGACTTTTTTTTGTGAAAATAATCATAACACACTTTTCAGACTTTTCCGTGAAAATAAATGAATCATACCAGAAGCCATTTTTTACACATGGGAATAAAAAAGTCTTAATTTTTTCAAACTGACTAAGTATTTCAAACTCTGCTATTAGGAATATAACACTGCACTTGAAGCAGAAAATATCATGAGCTCATAGACTGCATTTCAGAATAGACACATTAAATTATTAAATAAAAAATAAGCTTTATAAGGACATCAGCTGTCACTTACTGATCATTTGCTATGTGCTAGGTCATGTACTTTACATGCTTTTTTTTTAAGAGATGAGGTCTTGCCCTGTCACTCAGACTAGAGAGCAGTGGCACGATCATAGCTCACTGCAGCCTCAAACTCCTGGGCTCAGGAGAATCCTCCTGCCTGTAATCCACCTGTAAATAGCTGGGATTACAGGTGCACCTCCCAGCTATGTTTGCATTCTTATTTAACTTTCACCCCAATCCTAAAAAATAGGCACTATTTATTATTATTACTATTATTTAAAGATAATAAACTATGGCCAGGCGGGGTGGCTCATGCCTGTAATCCCAGAACTTTGGGGAGGCCAAGGAGGGCAGATCACTTGAGGTCAGGAGTTTGAGTCCAGCCTGGCCAACATGGTGAATCTCCACCTCTACTAAAAATACAAAAATTAGCTGGGTGTGGTGGCACATGCCTGTAGTCCCAGCTACTCGGGAAGGTGAAGCACAAGAATTGCTTGAACCTGGGAGGCGAAGGCTGCAGTGAGCCAAGATCGCACCATTGCACTCCAGCCAGGGTGACAGAGTGAGACTCTGTCTCAAAAAATACAATAAATAAATAAATAAATAAATAAATATAATAAACTATATTCTGGGCTGGGTGCCGTGGCTCCTGCTATAGTCCCAGCACTTTGAGAGGCTGAGGTGGGAGAATCACCTGAGCCCAGGAGTTCAAGACCAGCTAGGCAACACCTAGGCAACACAGTGAGACCCCATCTCTACAAAAAATTTTAAAAATTAGCCAGGCATGCATAAAAAGGAACAAAATAATGGCACTGGCAGCAACCTGGATGGAACTAGAGACTATTATTCTAAGAGAAGTAACTCAGGAACAGAAAATCAAACATCGTATGTTCTCACTTACAAGTAGGAGCTAAGCTAGGAGGGTGCAAAGGCGTAAGAACGATACAGCGGACTTTGGGAACTCAGGGGAAAGAGTGGGAGGCGAGTGAGAGATAAAAGACTACACATTGGGTACAGTGTACACTGCTTGGGTGATGGGTGCACCAAAATCTCAGAAATCACCACTGAAGAACTTATTCATGTAACTAAACACCACCTGTTCCCCAAAAACTTATTGAAATTAAAACTAAATTTAAAAAAAAATTAGCCAGACATGGTGGGATGCTCCTGTAGTCTCAGCTACTGGGAAGGCTGAAGCGAGAGAATCACTTGAGTCCAGGAGGCTGAGGCTGCAATGAGCCGTTATAGTGCCACTGCACCCCAGCCTGGGTGACAGGGTGAGACCTTGTCTTGAAAAAAACAAAACAAACAGAAAACAACAACAACAACAAAACTATATTCTGGGTCATAAAACAAGTCTTAATAAATTTAAAAACATTCAAGCCATAAAAAATATGTTCTCTAAATTGAGATTAAATTAGAAACCAATAACCAAAAATCTCTAGAGAATTTAAAAATATTTGGAAACTAAATAACACATTTCTAAATAACCCAGGATCAAAGAATAAATCAGGAGGTAAAATAGTATTTTGAACTACATGAAAATGAAAACATAGTATGTCAAAATCTGTGGGATGACACTAAAACAGTACTCAGTGGCAATTTATAGCATTAAACTCCCATATTAGAAAGGAAAAAAGGTCTCAAACCATGGCCTCAGCTTCCACTTTAAGTAGAAAGAAAAGAGGAAATTAAGCCCAAAGTAAGTAAGAAAAAAAAATAAAGATCAGAGCAGAAATAGATGAAATAGGAAACATAAAAACAGAAAGAAAAATTAATAAAACCAAAAGCTGGTTCTCTGAGAAGATCGATAAGATAAACCTCTAGTCAGACTAATCAGGAAAAAAAGAAAAGACGTAAGTTACCAATATCAAAAATGAGAAAAGTTATACCACTACATTCAACATACTAAAAGAATAATAAGGGAATAGTATAAACAACCTTTTGCCAATGAATTTGACAACTTAGATGAAACGGACTAATTCCGTGAAAGACAAGCTACCAAACCTCACTTAAGAAAAAACTGGCTGGGCACGGTGGCTCACGCCTGTAATCCCAGCACTCCGGGAGGCCAAGGCAGGCGGATCACCTGAGGTCAGTAGTTTGAGACCAGCCTGGCCAATACGGTGAAACCCGTCCCTACTAAAACTACAAAAATGAGCCAGGCATGGTGGCGTGTGCCTGTAATCCCAGCTACCCAGGTGGCTGAGGCGAGAGAATCGCTGGAACCCGGGGAAGCAGAGGAGACAGTGAGCCGAGATCGCGCCACTGCACTCCAGCCTGGGCAACAGAGCAAGACTCTGTCTCAAAAAAAGAAAAAAAAAAAAAGAAAAAATAGATAACCTGGCCGGGCACGGTAGCTCATGTCTGTAATCCCAGTGCTTTGCAAGGCTGAGGTGGGAGGACTGGTTGAGTCCAGGAGTTCAAGACCAGCTTAGAAAACATAGTGAGACCCTTATCTCTACCAAAAAAAAATTAAAATTAGCTGGGCATGGTGCGGTGGCACACACATATAGTCCCACCTACTCAGGGGGCTGAAGTGGGAGGATCGCTTGAGCCCGGGAGGTAGACGCTAAGTGAGCCATGATCACACCACTGCACTCCAGCCTGGTCGACAGAGTGAGACCCTGTTTCAAGAAAAAAATAATAATAATAGAAAAAATTAGCCAGGCGTGGTAGCACACACCTGTAGCCTCAGCTACTGGGGAGGCTGAGGTGGGAGGATTGCTTAAGGCCAGGAAGTCGAGGCTGCAGTGAGCTGTGATTGTGCCACTGTACTCCAGCCTGGGTAACAGAGTGAGACCCTGATTTAAAGAGAAAAAGAAAAAATACATAATCTGAATAGTCTTATGTCTATTAAAGAAATTGAATCAATAGTTGAAAACCTTCCCACAAAGAAAACTTCAAGCCCAGATGGCTTCACTGATGAATTCTACCAAACATTTAAGAAATAATACCAATTCTAGACAAATTCTTCTAGAAAACTGAAAAGAAGGGGATACTTTCTAACCCATTCTATGAAACTAGCATTATCACAATACCCAAACCAGAAAAATGCATTAGAAGAAAACTATATACTTACATCCCTCATGAACATGGATGCCAAAATTTTTTTAATTTAGCAAATAAATCTAACAATATATGAACAGAATAATGCATCATGACCAAGTGGCAAAGCTAGTTTCACATTCAAAAATCAATCAATGTAATTGACCATATTAACAAACCTTAAAAAAAAAGATTATTTCAATAGGTGCAGAAAAAAAATTACATTTGACAAAATCCAATATACAATCCAAAAACTCTCAGCGAACTAAGAATAGAAGGGAACTTCCTCAAACCTACAAAGGATATCTGTTAAAATTTACAGACATCATCATACTGGTGAAAGAATGAATGCATTTTCCCTAAGATCAGGAACAAGACCAAAATGTCCACTCTCACCACTTCTAATTTACTGGAGGTTCTAGCCTCCAGGTGCTATCAGGTAACAAAAATAAATTAAAGGAGATTGGAAAGGACAAAGTAAAAACTGTCTTTACTTGCAAACAACATTTTTTTTTTTTTTTGAGACAGAGTCTTGCCCTGTCACCCAGGCTGGAGTGCAATGGCACGATCTTGGTTCACTGCAACCTCCGCCTCCGAGGTTCAGGCGATTCTCCTGCCCCAGCCTCCCGAGTAGCTGGGATTACAGGCACGTGCCACCATGCCTGGCTAATTTTTTTATTTTTAGTAGAGACAGGGTTTCACCATGTTGGTCAGGCTAGTCTCGAACTCCCGACCTCGTGATCTGCCTGCCTCGGCCTCCAATGTGCTGGGATTACAGGCGTGAGCCACTGTGCCTGGCCAACATATTCTTACAAGTAGAAAATCCTACAAAATTTACAAAAAACCCAAAACATAAAAAAACTACTAGAATTAATAAGTTTAGCAAAGTTTCAGGATACAAGGTCAATATACAAAAATCAACTGTGGGTACTAAGAGGGCAGTCATCAAAAAGACAGTAACAAGTGCTGGCAAAGATGTGAAGAAATCAGAAACCTCACACATTGCTGATGGGAATATAAAATGGTGTAGCTACTGTAGAAAAGTTTGGCAGCTCCTCAAAACATTAAACAAAGTTACCATGTGACCTAGTAATTCCACTCTTAGGTATATACCCAAGAGAAACTAAACATATGTTCACACAAAAATCTGTAAAAGAATGTTCAAAGTAACATTATCTGTAATAGCTAAAAAGTAGAAACAACAAATGTTCACCAACTAATAAATGGATAAACAAAATATGATATATCTATACAATATTATTCAGACATAAAAAATAATGAATTGCTGGCCTAGTGCAATGGCTCACGCCTGTAATCTCAGCACTTTGGGAGGCCGAGGCGGGTGGATCACAAGATCAGGAGTTCAAAACCAGCCTGGCCAATATGGTGAAACCCCGTCTCTACTAAAAATACAAAAATCAGCCAGGTGCAGTGGCTCACGCCTGTAATCCCAGCACTTTCAGAGGCTGAGACAGGCGGATCACAAGGTCAGGAGATCAAGACCATCCTGGCTAACACGGTGAAACCCCGTCTCTACTAAAAACACAAAAAATTAGCTGGGTGTGTTGGCGGGCGCCTGTAGTCCCAGCTACTCAGGAGGCTGAGGCAGGAGAATCGCTTGAACCCAGGAGGCAGAAGTTGCAGTGAGCCAAGATCACGCCACTGCAATCCAGCCTGGGCGACAGAGCAAGACTCCGTCTCCAAAAAAAAAAAAAAAGTAATGAATTGCTGATATATGTTTATATGTTACAATAGGGATGAAGCTTGAAAACACTGTAAGTGAAAGAAGTTATTCACAAAAGGCCACATAGCATATAATTCCATTTATAGAAAATGTCCAGAATAGGCAAACTCATAGAATAGATATAGACAGTAAATTAGTAGTTGCTGGGTTGGGGGAAGGGAGGTGGTAATGGATTGGGAGTGACTGACTGCTAATGGATACAGGGTTTCTTTTTGGAGTGATAGAAATGTTCTGGAAACAGACAGCGGTGACAGCTGTACGACATTGTAAATGTACCTATGAACTATAAAGTGTAAAATGGTTAAAATCATAAATTTGATATTTGAATTTTATCACAAAAGCTACCTAAAGAAATCAATTTCATCTCTATATATTAGTAACACACAATCCAAAATTGAAATTATGAAAGCAATCCTATTCACAATAGCATCAAAAAAATACTTAGGAATAAATTAATCAAAACAAGTGCAATACTTGTACACTAAAAGCTACAAAATACAGATGAGAGAAATTAAGATATAAATAAATGGAGAGAAGCTGGACATGGTAGCTGACATGGGAAATCCCAGGGCTTTGAAAGGCCTCAGTAGGAGATTGCTTGAGCCTAGGAGTTCAAGACCTGACTGAGCAACACAGCAAGACCCAGTCTTTACAAAAACAAAAAAATGAGCCAGGTGTGGTGGCGCACAGCTGTAGTTCTCATTACTCAGGAGGCAGAAGTGAGAGGATAGCTTCAGCCCAGGTTCAAGGCTGCAGTAAGCTATGACTGCACCACTGCACTCCAGCCTGGGCAACAGAGCAAGACCCTGTCCATAATTCATTAATGTTTCAACGTTTTAAATGAAGAGAAGTATCATGTTCATGGACTGAAGACTCAATATTGTCAGAATGACAATTCAACACAATCCCTATGAAAATCCTAGCAGGATAAACTTCAAAAACATTATTTGATGTGAAAGAAAACAGATAAAAAAGGTGACATATTATATGACATCATTTATATGACATTTCAAGAAAAGGCAAAATTATAGTGACAGAAAGCAGATCAATAGTTGCTTGGGGGTGGGTCTGCAAATGGGCATAAAGGAAATTTTGAGGATGACAAGGGTGTTCTAAAGCTGGATTGTGATGATGGTTTCACAACTGTATATATTTACTACACTCATCAAACTGCACAGCTGCAATATGTGAATTTATGGCACAGTAATTATGTCTCAATAAGGGAGTTTTTTAAAAAGTAAAGATTCACTTACCATTGTAGCCTTCAAGTACAGAATCAATAATAGGTCTTGCAGTTAAGTTATAAACATCAAGTTGTTTACTCTCTGGTCCAAAAACAGTATCAAAAGTAAATGTCTTTGGAGGTTCATTGGAAGAATCAGTCTTATGTACAGTGATAGTTCCCCTCATCTCATCCACACTGACAGCCTGTTTGTAGCACATTGATTTCTCTCTCTCATTGAGGGGCCGGCACCTAACAACAACCTTCACATTATCGCAGCTTTCTGGCTTCTCTGATTTATTGATCTGTTGGAGATAATATTTACAAATAATGAAAAGAACATTAATTTTTACCCTCATCAGATTAAATTTATAAACTTTAAAAGGCTACTTTTCCAACTCAGTGCCTTGCACACATTAAACACTTCACAGGTATTTGTTAAATGCAATTAAAGATCTTACATATAGCTGAAAAGTTTATTAAAAGATACAAAAAGGAAAATCGTTTCTTTTAAAATGTAAAAGGGAGAGAAGAGCTAGTTCACATTTGTGGCAAAGGCTGTACAAGCAGAAACTGAACCAGTATATTATAGATCATCTTTTTGCACAAAAGTCTCTGACCCAGCGTTTCCTGCCTGTAGGAAAACACATGTGAACATGGTTAACAACTTTAACTCAAGAAAATAGTAGGTCCTTTGTTTCCCCTGAGACTTTAGTTTTATTTCCTATCACGCATCTGTAAAATGGTTTTTATCATGTAATATATCCATATATGGCTTATCTTCTCTACAGAAAACAATAATAAGATAAAGACAGAAATGAAAGTCTAATGGCAAAGAAAAATGCCTTAGTATTACCTAACCTTATAAGCATTTGTATATGTAAAGTTTCCATTTCTGAATTTTTTTTTTCTTATTTATGAGGCACAGTCTCACCCTGTCACCCAGGCTGGAGTGCAGTGGCGTGATCTCAGCTCACTGCAACCTCTGCCTCCCAGGCTCAAGCGATTCTGCTGCCTCAGCCTCCCCAGCAGCTAGGATTACAGGCGTCCATCACCATGCCCAGCTAATTTTTGTATTTTTAGTAGAGACGGAATTTCATCATGTTGGCCAGGCTGGTCTCGAACTCCTGACCGCAAGTGATCCACCCACCTCGGCCTCCCAAAGTGCTGAGATTACAGGCATGTGCCACCGCACCCCGTCATTTCTGAAATTTTATGATTAAGAAAATATAATGAAACACAATCCTATTATTGAAGTGAAAAGGACAGTTTAGTTGAACAGATACTTGTTAAATTCCTACTGTTTCAGATTCTCTTCTAAGCATTGAAGAGAAACAAATATGAGTCATTGTCATTGACTCTGACATTGTCACTGACAAGTAACAGATTATATCAGTACAATACACTTCTATCTATCTCTCATCCTATTCCTCTCATCTATTCATCACCCTAGTCTAAATCACCATCATCTTGGCCCTGGATTACTGCCTCCTAACTATACTCCTGAATCTAATCAGATTGCCCTACTGCCTATTCTCCAAATAGCAGTCAGTGTCAACACACATCTAATCATGTCACTCTCCTACTTAAAAATTCTTCAGTGGTTTCCCATAGATCTCAGAACAAAAACCAGAATCCTTAAGGTGGTCTGTAAGGTCTGGCTTCCACCCACGTCTGCTTCACTGGGCTTATTTCACAAGATATTCTGCCTGGCTCATCCATGCCACAGCCACACTGAGCTGCTTGGCCTTTTCTTGTCACCATGCTCCTCACCACTGGCCTTTCCATGTGCTGTTCCTTCTACCTAGAACCATCTTCAATCCCCTCTTCACTTAGTTAACATCTACTTATCCTTCAGAACTCAACAGCCACTTCACCTGGGAAGACTTCCTGACTAGGTCAAATACTCTTATAGGCTCAGAGAGCACCCTGCTCTCCCCTTCCTGGACACAAATTTTACTTTTGCTTGTTCCTTATTTGATTAATGTCTTTCTGTCTACACCAGAGGTTGCAAACAGGTAGTCAAGAGGCTGAATTCAGCCCACAAATTTCTTTTGTTTGGTTCATAGTATTTAAAGAGCTTTTGAATTAGTTGCTAAAATTGAGAAATTTCACAAAAATAATTTCTAAAGTCTCTTCTTGGGAGGAAAAAAAATGACCTGTTATCATCTGCAGACCATCATTCTTACATGGCAATACATTCCAATTCACCAGAATCTACTTCTCTCTATTGTAGGATACCCACCCACTTCATTATTAAGGTTTTGTGTCTTACGTCTGTAAATATGTATGATTTTCACCTCTGCCCAAGAAGGCAAGCCTCTCTCTTTCCAAGTTCAAGAACCTGACTGGTGTTGCTCAATGTTGTATCTTCAGGGCCTAGCATGTGGTTGGTGCCCAATATTTACTGAATTAAAACTTGAAAGCAGTGAACAGAACAAATATAGAGCATTTAATCTTAAATGTCAAGCACTGTCCTTCTAGTCTCCTGTGTATTATTTCACGCGGATAACAACCCCATGAGGTAAAGTTTACATGGGAACTAAGGACCCAGACAGATTAAATAATTATCCGAGGCCTCACAACCACTAAATAAGCGGCCATGGCTCAATTTTCCTCCATGACCCCTAATAAGGGGTCTTAGAAGGCCCCATTATTAAGTTCACGATAACAATCTGTGAAATCCTGGAAGATAAACATAACACCGCCACACACACAAAGACACCTACGGGTTTCATTCTGCATCATAAGCTAAAGCGCCACAAGAGCAATGACAGCTCAAGGCTAGGAGACTCGGAGTATGGGGCCTGGAATAGGGGCAGGCAGCCTTCGCTCCGCTGCCTCCCTGCGCTTGCTCCGAGGCGCAAAGGCCTCACCAGGTGTGCAGCATCCAAAGAGCCCCACCGTGGCCACCCCCAGACGCCCCGCTCAGCAGGAAGGGCTGCGAGCCAGAGCGCATCCTCCAGCACAGCGCCTTTTTGATAAGCGGCGCAGGCCCCACGGGATGCAGCAGCGACGAGGGCGGCAGGGCCTGACCCCAGGTCCCTGTCGAGGCCGGCCGGACCCCCGCGGCCCCGGGGCTGACCAGCCAGGCTCTCCAACCACCTCCACCGCACGACCGAGCCTGCCCCGCCCCACCCAGGCCGCCTGCCGGCTCCGCGCCTCCATGGCAACGGCCGCGCCCCCGGGCCAGGCCGCTAGGATGAGAAGAAACCCCAGAAGCGAAGCGACTCTCCTCACCGGCATCTTGGCCCCCTCCCGTGCCCGGCGGACGTCCCCGCCCGGGGTGCAGCCCAGCGACACCGGGTGCGCAGAAAGGATGGCCAGAGACTACCGAAACACCTCGTTGACGCTCTCGAGACTGCGGCTTCTCGGGCGAGAGCGCCCAGTGCGCAGCCGCATTCCGAGCTCGCCCCGCCCCAAGCCCAGTCTCAGGCTCTCTCGGCCCTTGAATTACGCCTGCGCGGAGGCTTTCCGAGTCCATCTCCTAGGACGCCAGACTGAGGCCGCGCGTGCGCAATGCTGCCATTCTGCTGCGCTAGAAATGTGGCACGCACTGAGGCGGAGGTAACCTGGCAGCCCGGGGTTGGGAGGAGGAGCTGCTCTTAGGCCCGTCTTCTGGCCCTTGCAATACCCGGAATATTAAAATCAGTAATAGCAATTGTACATTTTGTCTCATCCGAAGAATTGAAGACCTTACCTACCTGACCTCGCTTGATTGCTAACTTCCTCATGACCTGTCTTACCATTAGAAAGTGAGCTCTCTTAAGGAGATTGTTAGTATTCTCACATCTATCTCCAGAGCCCACACAGAGCCTGGCACAGAGTGGGATTTTTATACGTGTTGGTCAAAGAACCAGTGATCCGTCCATCCTCTTTCTAGTCCACTTGAATGTGTAATGGGCATTTCAAGTTAATCATGTCCAGAATTGAAATCTTGATCCCCCATCAATCGCCCCACTACCCACTCCACCCCCATCAAAAAATTTAAAAGGGCTCTCTCTCATCCCTCTCAGACTTTCTTCATCTCAATATGTGGGAGCTTAATTCCGACAACTGCTCAGGTCAAAATTGCAGTCTCTTTCATACACAATATTCTATCTTTAAATACAGCCTGTTGTATCTATCTTTGTAGTGGAACCAGAATTTGGCCACTTCTACCACCACCATCGTCTCTCACGTGCATTACTACAATCGCTCAGAACTGGTTTCCTTGATTGTGTGTCCTTGTCCCTTTTCAGTGTGCTGGACAGGAGCCAGAGTGCTGGTGCTAAAACATGAATCAGATCTTCTCTTTTCTCTGCTCAAAACCCTCCATTGATTTCCCATCTTACAAAGCTAAAGCCACAAGCCCTACAATCCTCCCTCTTGCTTCTTCTGCACCAGCCCCACCTGGCCTCCTTGCTTCATCCAACATTCCCGTCGTGCTTCCATCTTAGCATGCAAGGGCTGTGAGCTTGCAGTAGGAACTGATAGAAATAAAGATAAAGCATTTTACATAGTGCCAGTGTACTGTTCTACATGCTTTCGTTTTTTAATTCATTTAATCCACACAATAACCTTTTGAAATAGATACTATTTATTATTATTTTACAGATAAAGTAATTGAGGCACAGGACCATTAAATAACTTTTCCAAGGTCATACATATAAACAATGGCAGAGCCCAGGTCCAAACCCAGGCAGCCTAGACAGCTCTTTCCCTAAAAAACCACCTGACCACTCACCTCCTCCAGAAAGTCTTTGTTCACATAACCCCAGTGAACCCTAACATGATTTCCTTATTTAAAATTTCAACCTTCAGCCCAAACTCTTCTTTTTTTCCCTCCCCACTTTATATTTCTCCATAGTACCTATCACCATTCAATATTTTATATATACACACATACAAGCTTTACTGAGATATAATTTACACACCATACCATACAATCACCGATTTAAATTGTACAAGTCAATAGTTCTTACTATATATGGAGTTGTGCAACCATAACCTAGAACATTTTTATCATTCCAAAAAGACATTCTGTACTCATAAGCCACTCCCCCTTGCTCTCTGCAACCCTCCTCCCACCCCACTCCCAACATCCCAGACCTAGACAACCCACCAATCTACTTTCTATCTCTGTGGATTTGCCTATTCTGGACATTTCATATAAATGAAATTACACAATATGCAGCCTTTTGTGAGTAACTTCTTTCACTTACAAAGTTTTCAAGCTGTATCCCTATTATAGCATATATCAGCAATTTGTTACTTTTTATGGCTGAATAATATTCCATTGCATGGCTATAACATGTTTTTTTACCTATTTGTCATTGATGGATATTTGGGTTGTTTCTACTTTTTGCCTATCGTGAATAATGCTGCTACAAGTTTTTGTATGAGCCTATGTTTTCATTCCTCTTGGTTACATATGTAGAAGTAGAATTGCTGGATCATTTGGTAATGCTAATGTTTAACATTTTGAGGAACTGCCAAGTTGTTTTCCACAGTAGTGCACCATTTTAAATTCCCACCAGTAACATGTAAAGTTTACAATTTCTCCACATCCTTGCCAACACTCACTTTTGTGTAAAGTAGTATCTTGCTGGAGTATTTATTTATTTTCATTTCCCTGATCATAATGATGTTGAGCATTTTTTTTCATGTGCTGTTGCAATTTGTATAACTTCTTTGGAGAAATGTCCATTCAAACCCTTTACCCATTTTATTTGCCTTTTCATTATTAAGCTGTAAGAGTTCTCTACATAATCTGAATGCAAAGCCCTTTTCAAGTATATGACATGCAAATATTTTCCCCCATTCTGTGGGTTTTCTTTTTACTTTATGGATATCGTCCTTTGAAGCACAAAAGTTTTAAATTTTGATCAAGTCCAATTTACATATTTTTTCTTTTGTCACTATGCTTTTGATAAGTAAGAAACCATTTCCTAACCCAAGATTATGAAGATTTACCTAGAGTTTTATAGTTTTAGCTGTCACATTCAGGTCTATAACCTATTTTTCAGGGTTTTTTGTTTTTGTTTTTGAGACGGAGTCTCACTCTGTCGCCCAGGCTGGAGTGCAGTGGTGCCATCTCGGCTCACTGCAAGCTCCGCCTCCTGGGTTCACCCATTCTCCTGCCTCAGCCTCCTGAGTAGCTGGGACTACAGGAGCCCGCCACCACGCCTGGCTAATTTTTTTTTTTTTTTTTTTTTTGTATTTTTAGTAAAGACGGGGTTTCATTGTGTTAGCCAGGATGGTCTCAATCTCCTGACCTCGTGATCCGCCCGCCTCCGCCTCCCAAAGTGCTGAGATTACAGGCGTGAGCCACCGTGCCCGGCCCGGGGTTTGTTTTTTTGTTTGTTTGTTTGTTTGTTTTGTTTTGCTTTTTGTTTTTTGTTTATGAGACAGAGTCTCGTTCTGTCACCCAAGCTGGAGTGCAGTGGCGCGATCTTGGCTCACCGCAACCTCTGCCTCCCGGGTTCAAGCAATTCTCCTGCCTCAGCCTCCTGAGTAGCTGGGATTACAGGCATGCGCCACTATGCCCGGCTAATTTTGTATTTTTAGTAGAGACAGGGTTTCTCCACGTTGGTTAGGCTAGTCTCAAACTCCCGACCTCAAGTGATCCACCCGCCTCAGCCTCCCAAAGTGCTGGGATTACAGGCGTGATCCACCATGCCCGGTACTATTTTATTTTTGTATAGAGTGTGATGGAGGGACTCAGATTCATTCTTCTGCATGTGAATATCCAGCTGTCCCAGAACCATTTGCTGAAAAGACTATTCTTGTCTACAGCCATACCACCCTGAAAGAGCCTGATCTTGTCTGAAAAACCTATTCTTTACCCCATTGAACTGGCACCTTTGTTAAACTGATCGTAAATGTGAGCATTGATTTCTAGACTCTCAATTCTAGTCCACTGATGTATAGTCCATCCTAATACCAATACCACACTGTCCTGACTACTACATGTTTGTAGTAAGTTTTGAAATTATATAGTGTGGGGCCTCCAACTTTCTTCTTTTTCAAGATTGTTTTGGCCATTTTGAATCCCTTGAATTGCTATAAGAATTTCAAGAACACTTTGTTGATATCTGCAAAAAGACAGCTGGAAGTTTAACAGGGATTATGCAAAATATGTAGATTAATTTGGAAAGTATTGCCATTTTAACAATTTAAGTCTTCCTACCCATGAACACAGAATGTCTTTCCATTTATTTAGGTTTTCTTTAATTTCTTTTAGTGATGTTTTGTAGTTTTCAATGTATAAGTTTTACATTTTTTGATTATATTAATATTTTTCCCAAATACTTTATTTTTTGTTTGTTTGTTTGTTTGTTTTCTGAGATGGAGTCTCAATCTGTGGCCCAGGTTGGAGTGCAATGGCATAATCTTGGCTTACTGCAACCTCCACCTCCCTCCCGAGTTCAAGCGATTCTCCTGCCTCATCCTCCCGAGTAGCTGGGATTACAGGCACGTGCCACCACACCCGGCTAATTTTTTTAACAAATATTTTATTCTTTTTATGCTGTTGTAAATGAAACTGTTTTTTAAAATTCATTTTCAGATTATTCATTAAAGTGTATAGAAATAAAGTTGACTTTTATAGTACATTGATCTTGTACTCTGCAACTTTCCTGAACTTTCTTTTTAGTGGATTCCTTAAGATTTTCTATATACAAAGTCATATCATCTGCAAATAAAGATGATATGATTTCTTTCCAACCTGGATGCTTTTTCTTTTTCTTGACTAATTGCCCTAGCTGGACTCTCCTGTACATTGTTGAACAGAAGCTGTGAACACAGACATTCTTGTCTTATTGATGATTTCAGGTGGAAAGTATTTGGTCATTTACCATTAAGTCTGATGTTATCTGCAGGTTTTTCATAAATGCCCTTTATGCTGGAACATTTTCTAGTTTGTGGAGTGTTTTTTATTATGAAAAAGTGTCAGATTTTGTCAGATGCTTTTTCTGATATAATGTGTTTATGTCCTTTATCAGATACATATTGATTTTTAGATGTTAAAACCAACCTTGTTTTCTTTTCTGGCTCTCTCTCTGTCTCTCTGTCTCTCTCTCTGTCTCTCTCTCTTTCTTGGTTAGAGCATCAGGGTGATACTTGCCTCACAGAATAAGCTGAGGATAGGGAGCGATAGGGAGCAAGTTCTTCTTAGAAGGGCACTAATTCCATCCCAAGGGTCCCACCCTCATGATGTCTGAGAGCCCTAATTTCCTCCCAAAGGCCTCATCTCTAAATACCATCACATTGCAGGTTAGGGTTTCAAAATATGAATTTGCAACAGGGTGTGGTAGTTCACTACTGTAATCCCAGCACTTTGGGAGGCTAAGACGGGAGGAACACTTGAGGTTAGGAGTTCAAGGCCAGCCTGGCCAACATGGCTAAACCCTGTCTCTACTAAAAATACAAAAATTAGCCGGGCATGGTGGCATGTGCCTGTAGTCCCAACTACTCGAGAGGCTGAGGCAGGAGAATCTCTTGAACCCAAGAGGTGGAGCTTTCAGTGAGCCGAGATGGCATCACTGCACTCCAGCCTGGACGACAGAACAAGACTCCGTCTCAAAAACAAAAAACAAACAAAAAAAAAATATGAATTTGGGAGGGACACAAACATTCCGTCCATAACACAGCCCTAGCAGACTTAATACAATTATTTAGCCCATTCACATTTAATGTTATTATTGATAATATTAGATTTAAGTCTCCCATTTTGCTTTTTGTTTTCCCTTCCTTCCTCCCTCCCTCTTTCCCTTCCACCCTTCCTTCCTTCCTTCCTTCCCTCCCTCCATCCCTCCTTTCTTCCTTCCTTCCTTCCCTCCCTCCCTCCCTCCATCCCTCCTTTCTTCCTTCCTTCCCTCCCTCCCTCCATCCCTCCTTTCTTCCTTCCTTTTTTGAGATGGGGCCTCACTCTGTTACCCAGGCTGGAGTGCAATGATACAAACAAGGCTCACTGCAGCCTCAACTTCCTGGGCTCAAGCCTCAAGCCATCCTCCTGCCTCAGCCTCCTAAGTAGCTCGGACCACAGGTGTGTGCCACCACACCCTGCTTTTTCTTTTTTTTGGTAGAGACGCGGTCTCTCTATGCTGCCCAGGCTGGTCTCAAACAGCTGGGCTCAAGCAGTCCTCCCTCCTCAGCCTCCCAAAGTGGTGGGATTGCAGGAGTGAGCCACCATGCCCAGCCTGCTTTTTGTTTTTTAATACGTCATATTGTCTTTCTGTTCCTCTGTTCCTCCTTCAATGGTTTTTCATTATGTGAATCTTTTATAGTTTAACATTTGAATTTCTTTAATTATTGGTTTACTATTTTTTAAAGTTATTTTCTTGGCAGGCCCAGTGGCTCATGCCTGTAATCCCAGCACTCTGGGAGACAGAGGCAGGTGAATCGCTTGACGTCAGGAGTTCGAGACCAGCCTTGCCAACATGGAAAAACCCCATTTCTACAAATAACAGAAAAATTAGCCAGACACAGTGGCGTACACCTGTAATCCCAGCTACTCAGGAGGCTGCGGCAGGAGAGTCGCTTGAACCCAGGAGGCGGAGGTTGCAGTGAGCCAAGATCGCACCATTGCACTCCAGCCTGGGCAACAGAGCAAGACTTCGTCTCAAAAAAAAAAAAAAAAAAAAAAAAGGCCGGGCACAGTGGATCATGCCTGTAATCCCAACACTTTGGGAGGCCAAAGTGGGCGGATCACAAGGTCAGGAGTCTGAGACGAGCTTGGCCAATATGGTGAAACCCCGTCTCTACTAAAAATACAAAATTAGCTGGGCATGGTGGTGGGCTCCTGTAGTCCCAGCTACTTGGGAGGCTGAGGCAGGAGAATCGCTTGAACCCGGGAGGCAGAGGTTGCAGTGAGCTGAGATCACGTCACTGCACTCCAGCCTGGGTGACAGAGTGAAACTGCGTCTCAAAAAAAAAAAAAAAAAAAAAAAAAAGCTCTAGGGCTTCCAATATAGATCTTATCAGAATCTATAATACTTCAGAGTTATAATAATTGAATTCCAGTGACATATATAAATGTAACTCCCGTATAGCTCTATTCCCTCCTCCTCTTTTTGTGCTATTATTGTTATATGGATTACATTTACATGTTATAAACCAAACAATACTTTGTTATAACTTTATGTTATAAAATTTTATGTATTTTAAATCTTCCAAAGTAGCCGAGAGAAGAAAACAGAGCCAAGTTTATATTTATAATTTGTAATATTAATCTTCTTATTATTTCTCGTTCTCTTCCTTGTTTCCTGTGGATTCAAGCTACCATCTGGTGTTATTAGCATTTTATATGATTCCATTTTCTCTCCTTTCTTAGTGCATATGAATTATACTTTTTAAAAACTTTTTTTGCTGGTTGCCCTAGAGTTGGCAATATACATTTATAACTAATTCAAGTCCACTTTCAAGTAACATTATACTGCTTTCCAGGTAATGCAGGTAACTTAAAACAAAGTATTCTTAATTCTTCCCTCTCATGGCTAGTATCATTATTGTCATTCATTCAACTTATCCATAACCTACAATCATCAAATACATTATTATTATTTTGAATAAATGATTATTAGATCAATTAGGAATAAGAAAAACAAAAGTTTTATTTTACTTTCACTTATTCCTTAAAGTTCTTTCTTTATGTCGAAATTTATGACCTATATCATTTTCCTTCTCTCTGAAAAATTTCTTTTAACATTTCTTGCAAAGCAGGTCTACTGGTGAGAAATACCTTCAATTTTGTTTGTAAAAGTATTTCTCTTTCACTTCTGAAGGATAATTTCACTGAATACAGAATTCTAGGATGGTGGGGGTTTTCTCTCAAAATTTTAAATATTTCACCCCACTCTCTTCTTGCTTGCATGATTTCCGAAGACAAGTCCAATGTGATTCTTATCCTTATCCCACCTTATCTTATTTCCACCTCATCCTACCCAGCTCCTGCTCCCAGCTTTGCTTGCTCTTTCTTTCTTTCTTTCTTTCTTTTTTCTTTTCTTTTCTTTTTTTTGAGATGGAGTCTCCCTCTGTCACCCAGGCTGGAGTGCAGTGGCATGATCTCAGTTTACTGCAACCTCCACCTCTTGGATTCAAGCGATTCTTGTGCCTCAGCCTCCTGAGTAGCGGGGACTACAGACATGTGCCACCACACCTGGCTAATTTTGTATTTTTAGTAGAGACAGGGTTTCACCATATTGGCCAGGCTGGTCTTGAACTCCTGACCTCAAGTGATCCGCCCACCTCAGCCTCCCAAAGTGCTGAGATTACAGGCCAGCTTCTTTTGAGATTTTTTTTTTTTAATCTTGATTTCCTGCAGGCTTTTTTCAACTTTTATTTTAGATTCTGGTATATTGTGCAATGCTGATATTTGGGGTATGAATGATCCTGTCACCCAGGTACTGAGCACAGTACCCCATAGTTATCCAACCCTTGTCCCCTCCTTCCCTCCCCGCTCTGGTAGCCTCCAGTGTCTACTGTTGCCATCTTTACGTCCATGTGTACTCAATGCTCGCTTAAAAGTGAGAGCATGTAGTATATAATTTTCTGTTCCTGTGTTCATTTGCTTGGAATAATAGCTTCCAACTTCATCCATGTTTGCTACAAAGGACATGATTTCATTCTTTTTAATGACTACATAGTATTCCATATTGTATATGTACCACATTTTCTTTATCCAGTCGATCACTGAAGGGCACCTAGGTTGACTCCATGTCTTTGCTACTGTGACTAGTACTGTGATGAACATGCAAATGTATGTGTCTTTATGGTAGAACAATTTATTTTCCTTTTGCGTATATACCCAGTAAAGGGACTGCTGGGTTGAATAGTACTGTTTTAAGTTGTTTGAGAAATCTCTAAACTGCTTTCAACAGTGACTGAACTAATTTACATTACCACCAGCAGTGTATAAGCATTCCCTTTTCCCTGCAGCCTCACCAGCGTCTGTTGGTTTTTGACTTTTTAATAGTAGCCATTCTGATTGGTGTGAGATGCATTACTCTGATGATTAGTGATGTGGAGCATTTTTTCATGTTTGTTGACCACTTGTATATCTCCCTTTGAGAAGTCTATTCATGTCTTTTTGCCTGTTTTTTGATGGGGTTGTTTTTTGCTTGTTTAATTAAATTCCTTACAGATTCTGGATATTAAGACCTTTGTCGAATGCTTACTTTGCTAATACTTTTCTCCCACTCTATAGGTTGTCTGCTGACTCTGTTGATAGTTTCTTTTGATTTTCTACGGTTTAAATAGGAATGTCTAGGTGTAGTTCTTGGCATTTATCTTGCTTAATGTTCTCAGAGCTTCCTAGAATTGTGGTTTGGTGTTTGGCATTAATTTGGAAATATTCATTCTCAGTCGTTATTGTTTCAAATATTTCTTCTGTTCCTCTCTTTCTTGTCCTTCTGGTATTCCCATATATTTTTAATATACATTTAATGTAATGAATTTTTTAAACAAAATATAACTTAGGAGCCAGGTGTGGTGGTGTGCACCTGTAAGTCTCAGCTACTTGAGAAGCTGAGGTTGAGGGTAGCTTGAGTCCAGGAGTTTGAGGTTGTAGTGTGCTGCGATCACACCTGAGAATAGCCACTGCACTCCAGCTTGGGCAACATAGCAAGATCCACCCCTAAAATTTATGTATGTATGTGTATACATATATATGATTTGTATGATTTTCCTTATTATACGTTTATAGCTATATATGTATGTATAGATACATAAACATATATGTATATGAATGAATCACCTTGTGAGGGAGGTATTATCACTTTTTTTTTCGGAGAAGAGGTAGCCAAGGCTCTGAGAGGTCACGACACATGCATGAGATCACACAGCGCGTCTGGAATTCCATTTCAAGCCTGTCTGAGGAGGGCGCTCTCGCTGCTTCTTTACCTGGTCTTGTGTCCCCAAGTGTGTAATGTGAGGTAAGACCCAGGGTCTGTGTCCGGGAGTCCTGGCCCAAGGCGGGCGCAGTCTCCAGCCGCCCCACCCCTGGCTGGGGGCTCTGCTCAGGGAGCACGGCCGGCAGGGGGGAGGAGGCGTGCGCTAGGCAGCAGCGGGGATGGAGGGAAGGGAGGGGGTCCGCCACCCGCCTGTGCGCGCCCAGTCCTGCCGCATCCTGGGTGCGCGCCGCCCACCCGCGGGGCGAGTGCCCAGGAGGCGAGGCGCGGCCCGGTGCGCCAGAGGTAGCTCCACCGCGAGCGTTGTGGGTGGGGCCCGCCGAGCCCGCCTCCCCACCTCCCCCGGCGGCGCCCCAGGCTGCAGTGTTCCGGGAGCTGGGTTATAAAATGCCGGGTTAAGCGGCAACTCAGACTCAGGATCCCGCTCACGACATGGCCTCGGGCGCTCAGCTCCCGCCGCAGCCGTCGAGCTCAGAGGTCAGCGCCGTCCAGAGCCCAGGCGGGCGTCCCGGCGCCGGTCTGGAGGAAACAGCCCTGGGCGTTCCTCTCCCGCCGTCTCCGGGGGAGGCCCCTCTGCCCCGAAGCAACCGGAGCAGGTGCCCTGGGACCCGCCAGCCCGGAGCGGCCTCCCTCCACGCGGCGTCCGCAGCAGTCCCCGTGCGGCCCCGGCGCGGTACGGCGCCAGCCGGGAAAACCGCAGACGCGGTCCCCGCCGCCGCCCCAGAGCAAGCTCCGCGGCCGGCTCCACAGTCCCGCAAGCCGCGCAACCTGGAAGGCGACCTGGACGAGCGCCGGCTGCTCTGCCACTTGCAGCTGGCCCAGGACCGCGAGGCGCGCCTGTGGCGGGGCGGCAAACCCCAGGTACCCGTCGCTGCCGCGTGGCCCTCCTCGCGCGTGCACGGCAGGCGGATGTGGCCTCCACCTGCACCCGCGCTCGGGTGTTCTGAAACTGGAGGCCGGGCCCTTCCCCAGGTGTGGCCCCTCACGAGAGGCACGAGGCTGGATCCACCAGCTTCTCTCTAGGAGGGCGTCTTGCTAGCAGGGCCTTCGGAAGAGGGCCTGTTTGAATCAAGGAACTCAGCCTACGACGAAAAGTGGGCGCGAGGGGTGGGGGTGATGGGTGAGCCGCTGCGCCGGGGGGCGCTTACTCCCAGCGGGCATGCAGAGGAAGGGACTTCTCACTGCCCCACCCCCCGCACCTTAAGCAGGAGGCTCCTGCTGCTGGGGGACCAGGAGTGGCCGCTAGCGACCTTCCTCGCCCCACCTGCTCTTCTTCCTAGCAGGATGAAATCTGCGACGCCTTCGAGGAAGTCGTGCTGTGGCTCCTGCGGCTTCAGAACACCTTTTACTTCTCCCAGTCCACTTTTAACCTGGCCCTCACCATCTTTGGCCGCCTCCTGATTTCAGTGAAGGTAGGGAGGCCTCTGAGGGACGGTGGCAGATGGTGAGAGAAGAAACTAACCTTTGCTCCCCATTCCTGCTTGAGAGGTGAGGGTTTCCAGATGCTCAAAACCAAGGTGTATAAACTAACTTGCTCCGAGTGGAAGAGCTGGTGTTGGAACCTCTCCACATCCTACACTGGCTGTCTCAGGGTCATGTAGTCATCAGGATTGGACTTGGGGAGCGTGAGAGGACCTAGCTGGGAAAGGGCTTCCTGTGTAATGAGGTAGGATGTGCTTGTCTCGACCTGTCGAGGGCAGCTTGAGGCTAGGATGAGACTGGGTTCCCTGAGAAGGTGCCATATTTCCCACCTCCAGTCAGTCCCGAAATGAAGGAATACTGCCCAGTCATCTGCAGTTCTGAAATCAGGAGCATCTTCGTTGGTCAGATCTAAAAACGGCACTAACATTCTGTCTTGTGGAGAAATTGAGCCTTTTAAAAATGGGAAAAAAAAGCTTATTAAAACAAACGGCTGGGCGCAATGGCTCACGCCTGTAATCCCAGCAATTTGGGAGGCCAAGGGGTGTGGATCACTTGAGGTCAGGAGTTGGAGACCATCCTGGCCAGCATGGTGAAACCCTGTCTCTACTAAAAATACAAAAATTAGCCAGGTGTGGTGGCCCGCCCCTATAGTCCTAGCTACTCAGGAGGCTGTGACAGGAGAATCGCTCAAAATCAGGAGGTGGAGGTTGCAGTGAGCCAAGATCATGCCACTGCACTCCAGCCTGGGCAACAGAGTGAGACTCCATGTCAAAAAAGTGTATAAAAGAAAACAAACACAGATGCTTTTCAGTTTGTTTCTGGCATTCATATTCTGCTCAAATGTGTTTGTTCCATACTGCAGGTAAAAGAGAAATACCTGCATTGCGCCACAATTACTTCCTTGAGGCTCGCTGCAAAAGTTAATGAAGAAGAGGAGGTATGCATCCTTGGAAGTCCACACTGGGCTGCACTTGAGGTATAGGGGTGTAACATTGGAGGACTCCAGTTTCCTGATAGGTCTGTGCCCTTAGGTATGGTGGATGTTTTGAAAAAGTCACCAACTTGCCGGCATCTCTGCTATCCCTTCCATCGGCTTGTCAGGCTTTGAGACCCCACAAATGAACAAGTAGAGCAGCTGAACTGTCCTGGCCCACCAAACCTAGAGACCTGAACTCTTGACAGATACATCTGGCCTCACTGGTTGATGACAGATGCTACCTCTCTCTAAACAGGGGCATCTGCTGTTGAGCAAGGAAAAAGGCCTCCCAAACCATGTGACTTAACATCCACCCCAAGCAATTATGTCTAAGAAAGCTGCTTGAGACTTGAGGACTTGGCTGTGTCAATGAAGCTGGTCCTTGGGAACTCTGGGACCCCTGAGAGGGACAGGAGGGCCATGTGCTGGGGGTAAAGTACAAGGGGCCCATGAGCATTTCAGGCATGGCTGGATGGCTGAATTTCACTGTGGCATCTGTTCAGGAGGAGATCATCTCCTAATACCCTTTCCAAGCTTTCCTACCTCCCTCCAACTTCTCCCAGTTTGGGGATGGTGAAATCACTGCCATTGCCACGGGGGTCACCCTTAGCTGATCTCTGGGTCTGAGGAGGCAGGGAAGAAGTTGTGTGTCCAGTTCCAAACCTTCAATAAAAATGTTTTAAACTCCTGTTTATTAGAATAGAATTAATGCCCAAGTTGCTTTTGTCCAACTAAAAATCAAGTGACCCTTTTTCTGGAGGTTATAGTAATACTTCTGTTTATCTAAAAACATAGGATCAAGCCTTTAATGTACTTGGTACTCAAATGTTTACTCATAGACAAGCCTCATTAGTCCCTCTGTGGGAAAAGCCATAGTTTTTCCAGAACTGAACCACCTTCAATCAAGGTTGAAGGAAATGTGTTTGCAGTTGCGATGCTAAAAAACCCATAGGAGGTTTTATCAATGTGTCTGGTACAGACTAGGAAGCTCAAAAGCATAGTTTTTTTCTCTATGCCCAGTACCCACGGTAGGGATCAGGAATAGGGAGAGGCAGAACCCATGGCTCCTGGAAAGCTTGGGGTGAGTTCTTGCAGCTGAACAGGGGAGATGGCACAGCCCCAGCCTCCAAAGCACCTTTGGGTATGAGCTAGCATGCAGCTGGGGGATCAAGACCCGGTTTCAGAGGGGGACCATGTGATGTTCACTACATAACTACCTGAGGATTTGACAGATAGCCAAGATCTGGTTTAGTATTTCTTTCAGAAGCATTTTCTGTGGCAGGCCACAGGAAGACAACTCCACTAAGGTCATGAATGCCCAGTCCCCATGGGTAAGAAAACAAAAGCTACTATGACATGATGTAGGGCTTTGGCCTCTTTATTTTCTTTTTACAGTTTATTCCACAAGTAAAAGACTTCACAAAGCACTATGGCTCTGACTATTCCCCGAATGAGCTGCTGAGGATGGAGCTGGCTATTCTGGACAGACTGCACTGGGACCTCTATATTGGGACGCCGCTGGACTTCTTGACTATAGTGAGTAAGGAGGTGTTTACAGAGTCTACCCTAAACTCGTTTGTGCCTTTGGAACAGCTGTTTACAACATGGGATGGCAAAGCACAGGCGTGCACACGCCCTTGCACATGCACCACAGTGAGGTGACGCACAAGGCTCATGACATACGGAAGAGTGAAAAGGTATCTTAAATCCAACACAGTTCCACCAGACTCCCACTTCTAAAGGACATTAAATTAACTTTACAAAGATTTTTAGACGGCACTATTATGGTGAGTTTCTCTTTTAAATACACACTGCAAAAATATTTAACTTTCCATTCTATGAATACTGTACATAAATATCTGTCTGCTTTTGCTACACTTTACACACATTCACTTAGCTGTCTTTATTCACCTACACACAATCCTTATTGAAGCTTTAGACCATATTGATCTGGCACTTAAAAAAATATCATACATTAGTTTGTATTTGTTTTAGTTGGGGGAATGATGGTCATCCTTAAGGATATGATTCTGTTAGTAAGGCAAAATTATGCAATGTGGAAATCTCATGGGGTTTTGGTTTGTTATGAAGCATGAAGATTAAATTACTAAAGACTGTTTCATTACGAAAACTGGCCACCGTTGCCAAGTTGCAGAGTTTCGTCTTATGATAAGCAGATACAAGTAACTTTTCTGCTACCTTGGTCTTGAATAGTATGTTTCTATTTTTCAGAATGGAAACATTGTCATCTAGGTACTTTCCGCTCATAACGATGATGTCACAAAGCAGACTTTTTTTTTTTTTTGGTCCCGGAGTGGAAGCTCAGCTTGGCCACAGGATGGGCATTAAGCCTCAAGCCCCTTACGGAGCCATGGATAGGAATGAAAAGGGTTGGGCAACATTTGATGTTCCCTGATGGAAATTTAAATTGTTTGCACTTTTGATCATTGATATAGGAAAAGTATGGCGTTTTCTGTTCTAACATTAAAAACCATGGTCTCCAGTTCCATGCCCTGGTGGTCCTGAGCTGGCCCCATGTGTTGGAGCTGCTGCCTCAGAGGAATCCTTCCCTCCACGTCGCATCCCTGACCAGGCAGCTGCAGCACTGTATGGCGGGCCACCAGCTGCTGCAGTTCAAGGGCTCCACACTGGCCTTGGTCATCATCACCTTAGAGCTGGAGAGGCTCATGCCCGGCTGGTGTGCTCCTATATCTGATCTGCTAAAGAAAGCACAGGTAGACATCAACTTTGCCCCAGACCAGGCTCTGTGTTTTGCCCCTTTAGCTGACACACTCTGACCCCAAAGGGGTACCCTTTGCCCTTGTAGCCTCTGGAAAATGTTCTGGCCATAACCCTGGAAAGAGTCTGCCCAAAGGCTAGGCTTTCCACACTTGGTCACGCTCTATGCACTTGAGATGGGACATGTGTTCCCTTCACTGGACCAATGGGGGTGGTCTCTGAGAGTGAGAGAATCTTTATCTCAATGGGAGCCCTTGTAGCCAAGAGGACTGTGGGGAGTCAGGGGTATGTCTGGCTTAGGAGGAAGCAACCCTGAGCTTAATACTGAGGAGCATAAATTCTAAACTCCTTCACCTCTCCTTTGTATGAGTGTGTGGTACCAGGTACAGGGGTACCATGAGGCAAGCATTGTGGGGGCACAAGGAGGAGAGGGGTGTGTCAGAATCCCTCAGAACAGATAGGTTAGGATGGAATGCATAGTTAGACTAATGACAACTTTACTGAGGTTGGAAATGGATGTCCCTGAGATGGTAGGATTAGTGGTCCTTAGTTGGGTGGTTGGACCTTCCTGAACTTGCTTCATGCTAACATTTTGGCACTCAATTGCCAATTTCTTAGAATGTATGATGGTTCTGCTTGAAGATGGCCACTCTATTCTAATACAGGTTGGTGATATGCAGTACAGCTGCTGCAAGGAACTTGTAATGCAGCAACTGAGAAGTCTTCAGTCATCCTCCTGCACAGACAACTTTGTGTCACCTGCCAACTAGCCCCTCTGCCTCCACCCCGGGGCTTTCAGAGCATAGTGTGAAACCTCCTTGCTTGGACTACCATGAGTTCTTTGGCTTGTTATGAATCCTGTAAAAAGGGAAGGTGGCTCTGGAAGAGCAACTGAGAAAAAGTTCCCAACTGAGCCCTTGGAAAAAAAATAAAGGGGAGAGGGGAAAGGCAGGCTGAGGTCAGTAGAGGTCAGGGTGGTCTGATAGACTATGACCCTGTCTTCCCTTTTTCTCCTCTGGGCCTGAAGCCAGGGAGTATGAATGAATGTTCAAATGGCAGCTTGTTTTACCTTCCTTCTCCAGCAAGGGTTGGCATTGGCCCCTGGGAGCGCTGGAATATGAAACCAAGAGGCAGGCCTGGCTCAGGGCTGAAGGGCTGGGGCTAGCTCTGACCAGTTCTTGCTGCTCTACCTGCCAGAGCTGGCCAGGTCCTTCCAACTTCCCAGGCTTATCCCAAACACATATGTGGTGCTTCCAGTCCCAACTACCCTGCCTGCCACTCCTCACATGGGACAGTCTCTGCAGATGCATTTACCCAACCATGGCTATGACTTATGTCTTCCCTTTACAAGGACTGGATTATAAAGTATGCTTTGTTTAATGTAACTTGAGCAAGCTTTAGGCATATCTTTCCTTTGTTACTCTTAAGCAAAGTGGTTTCAGTTATTAGTTTAACTAGAGGGATTTTGTGCTAATGAATGGGTATTATAGGCTAACACCTGTGATGGGAGGCACAGCTCTGAATGCTTTCTGTTGGGATGAGCAGGTTCTGAGGCCAAGCCTGCTCCAACCACAGTGCTGCCAGGAGGAGGAGCCGGCTGCCTCTCTCATGCTGTGCTACCACAGAGCCATTCTCTAAGCAGGGGAGTGCAGCTGACAAAGATGCCAGCTGGGGCTGTGTAAGTTGTGTTGGGGGCATGAATGACTGAGCCACACATTCAGAGGTGGTTTGTGAAGTCTTCCACTGTGAACTATGGTTTTTTTTTTTTTTTTTTTTTTTTGGTGTGTTTGTGTAAATGTGCTAAGCCATGGGGTGGGAGGGGAAAGATTTACTAGGTGCAAAGTGGTCAAGGGCCAGATATACTATAATTGTCTATATTATAGAGTTAGTATACATCTGTATTTTTTCTTGACACACTTTTGCTTGTTGGTGCTTTCGTTAAAATTACACTTTAATTGCTTCCGATCCTGTATGAGTCTTATTTTGAGCTACCATGCATTTAGCCTTGCGAGAGTCAGATACATTTGGAACACTATCTCCTAGGTCATATCAAGAACTCTCCTCTAGTCCAGAACCCATTTTACAGATGGAGATGCTGAGGCCATGCTGCTCACAGCTTCCAGTGGTGGCCGTTGAGTGCCCTCTGCCTCCTTCCTTCCAGTGTAAGTGGGACCACAGTGCATGAGGCAGAAGGACATCCTGAGGGCCCATACCAGTTTAGGCATCCCAGGCTTTAGGGGAACTGCTGGAAGACATCTGCTGCTTAACCAGGTGGCTATGGATGTGAGCTGGATTCTGAGAGCTGATCCAACTCAAACCTCTTGGAGAAAGCAGAGGGTAGACATGTGAGTCCTAGGACTGGGGTAAGAGACAACCTTCTGCTCTGGCTTTCTATAAATGATAGAACTCTTCTATAGGGAAGCTCACTTTTGTATTGCCGAAGTCCCACTCGTGGATTTTTAAAAATCTTATGTGCTTTTCAAGCTTGCCGTGGGGCCCCAGGTCCCATCCTACTTCCCTCTAATATTCTTTTCTGACATTAGGAACTCCTATCCCACCTCAACTCAGAGATTGGGAAACATTTCTCAGGGAGAAATATGGATACAATCTATTTTCCTTTTGACCCCAGCTATTGAAAGGCAGGGATTGGTGAAGGAATGAGGCTGAAGAAAATGGAGATGGAAAAAGCTCAGAGGCAGATGCTATGGCAGAAAGAAAGGTAGGTGGGCTCAGGGAGGAACAGGGCAGGGGGAGCATCATAGACCTGTCTTAAACTTGTCCAAACAGTACTTCCCTGAAATGAATGAGCCAAGTCATTTGATGATGTTTCCACCACCTAGGAGGCCCTCCTCCCCCTGGCTTCCTGGAGAGTCTCTGTCCTTCAAAGCTTGGTGAATACTTTACTTTGCCTCCCTGCTGCCTGCACAAGTAGAGCTGAGCTATGCCTGCATTAGGGATGTGTTCATACCACTCTCCCTGCAGGGGTCCCCATTTTCTCATTTTGGTCTTCCCAAACCTACCTAGTGCTCAATGGAGAAAGCTCCTTAAAAAACAAACCCACATACTTTTTATCACTTCTTTTCACCAGTCTGCTCTTCCTCAGCCACTTTTGCCTGTCCCCTAGGGCTTTCTACCTCTAAAAAACAGTCTCAGGTCCACCAGCCCACACCATCAGGCTGTGTACTTTAACACTAGCCACACTTTCACTACTCTTCCATCATTCCATTGAGATGCCAAGGAGCAGGTGTAGCTCAGGATTTAAGGGTACAGACTACCAGCGTTCAAATCTCAACTTCTCCAGTTACTTGCCATGTAACCTTGGGTAATTACTTAAACCTCTGTGCTTCAGCTATAAAATGGGGATGAATGGTCCCTAATCATAGGATTAGGATGAGGATTAGAGGAGTTAATGCATGTAATATGGTTCCGAGCAGTCCTGGCACTCGAATATTAGTAGTCCCGTGGCAAGCCTTTGTGTTAAGGAGGAACACTCCTCAAGGGCAGGTGCCCCTTTTCTCATGTCCTGCACCCAGTTAACCAATAAAGATTCATGGACCACAGGCTGCCCCTTTACCTTCCTGTAACTTTCCTGTGACTCTTCCCTCCATCCCCCACCTATGCAAGAGCCTTTCACAGATGTCTGTAGCAGGGTTTCCTATTAAAACAATTCCTACAGAAGTAGATCAACCTCCACAAAATTCAAAGAACAGACAAGCTGTATTTTACCACAGTTGTAGCAGATTAATGGGCTCAGGAAACGTTAAATCAGAAAAGCTACTGCCCAAAAAAGACACCACAAAAACTCAAAATAAATGCAAAATTTAATGAAAAAAATAAGTACAAAGTGAATGGAAAAGAACAAAAACAGTCAATGAATGCAGGAGTAAATGAATTAACACGTGAAGCAATTTTAGAAAAGCATGTTAACGTAACAGACTAGCAAGCCACACTTCCTCAGGCCTCGTATCCATGAGCCCCACTTAACAGGGAGCCCACATTTACACATACACAAACATATGCAGTCAGTAATGCACAATTACAAACCACCTAGATCAGGGTACCCACAACTAGAAAGAACATATTTCCACATCGGCCTGGGACAGGTCTGGTTTATGCCTTTTGATCTGGTGTAATTAATAGCATCCCCTTTCTCTCTCAATAGTCCCAATTTGGGCAACGAATTATATGGTGATTCTTCTACCTCAAACAAACATGGTTTATGATAAAGACATGATAGTAAATGCCAACATGATCCTGTAAGACAGCCCTAATAAAGCCAACAAATGACAATGAGAAAAAGAGGGGTAAATGAGACTCTGCAGACAGGGTCACATTCTATGGGGGCTAACTTACTAAACAGTGGCAAGTTTTAAGCTCACTTTATGCACCAAGGTTTAATTTGGTCTCAGCTAAAGAAGACAAAATTCCAAACACAAACAGCAGGGGAGAGGTGCAGTGAGGCTTGCTGGAGGGACCTGTGGAGGCAGCTCAGACCAGAAAACACAAGTCTGTCAAGTGTCCTGAAGATCCTGGGAAGGCTTAGGCCCGCAGGCAGCCAGCCACGAGTATGGCCTTTCAGTATGCCTGGGGTGCGACCCGCAGGCCACAATGGACGAATGGCCAAGTCTGCATACTCCAGAGTCCTAGGTTGGCCCATGAACCAGGAATTCTCATTTCTTATGTATCCAATGAACCTGCTGGGTCACCAGGCCTCATCTTCATAAATATGTTAGCTGAGAGAGGCTATCTTAAAGGTCATGCTCTGACCCAACTGCATACACTTTCAGACATAAAATTACCCTAGAGATGAGCCATTGGCAGCCCACATTTGCCCTGGATATGCCAGTTTACCTTTTTAGATACCCTCACTGAAGCATCAGTTTTCAATTGCAACCAGATACGGACTTATTGTGACGCTAAGGAAGCTTAATCTTCAGGGCCCCTTCCAAGACCCTGTACCTAATTTTATATTAACATTGTTTTTCTTAAAGAAGTCTTTCTAAATAATTCAAGCTTTCAGCCCCATAAAATTTAGATCCACCCCTGGTCATAGCATAAAAAGTTGAATTGTCACTAGAACCTGCTCTGCTGCTGGAGCATGGAGCCCCTCACAGGTAAAGGCTGCCTCTTCCTGGCCGTGCCTCGGTGGACACACACAGCTCACCCCTCCACTTCTCCCTGAGCAGAACATCATCTCAGGAAGGCAGGAGGAAGCCAGGACTTGGTCCTGGAAATCAATAATGCAAGCCAGACAGAAAGGGGGAAATGGTCATGAGAAGGAAGACAGGGGCATGAAAAGCAAACTACCAATTCCACAATAAATTAGCACGTCTTCCTGAGGCTTCCAGCCAGGGAGTAGGCTAGACTGTGAGCTCCTTGAGGGGAGCGTTGTGCATTCCTCTGGGTAGCTCCAGTGCCCAGCACGGTGCTTCAACATTAAAACTACCCTTCCTTTCATTTAGTCATTTTACATCTCCCATTTTACCAGGCCGTATTCTCAACACTGACATTCTTGGTGGCTTGTAAACCAACAGGAGCATAGAAGAGTCAAAGCTGCTAGTACTTCCTTAAAATGTTCCCCTTTAGAGTGCAGCTGAAGGGGAAAGCTCCTTTGCCGCTCATTTTTCCCTAATTGTCTATATACATCAGACACCTTCATCTCTTCACCCTGTGACCCAGCCAGGAAAGAAGCAATGACTTTGAGGTAACAACCTTTTTCCCACTGAGTACTCTTTACATTTGGAATATGCAGGATTTGCTTGGGAGTCTTAATTGGAGTCAAACACTTAACACACACACATGGAGTTGGTCCCTGTCTACAGGTAGCACCTCTGGGGCACAGACAACAGCTTTGGGCTGCTGTTCCATTTACATTCACAGTAAAAACGCTGGACATGGTCTTGTTCATGTTCCAATTCCATCCATAAAGAAATGCCAAACACTGTCATTACAGGAAGTTTATTACCCACCTCTCCCTGTATATGATAGGCATACTTTATACATAAGAAAGGTTTAGCTGTATTTTTAGTTTTTAAAAATCAGGGAATCTGTGTTACTTATGAAAATAATGGGAGAGGATATTATTTGTCTTGACGCTGGTGCCAAAATAAATATTTAGAAGTGTTTTAAAGTTATTAAAATTAAGCTGTAGGTTAGAAAAATTAAAATGAGGGGAACTGGGTGAATTTTGCAGCATGTATACCAGACCACGCAGCTGCACCTAGGGCACCACGTGAGTTGCCATCTCCACGCTGAACAATTAGGCCTAGCATCCCGGCTGGGGCCTTCGCTAGAGCGGCACATAACAGCTCCGTCAGGGAATAGTGACACTGTAAATGGAAGACCAGCCACTGGCTCTGAAAAAAATAAACCTCGTCAGTTTTGGATTCCAGCATTCATGGCTTTTACGTGTTTGCATAGAGAGGGGTGGCCCGCCAGGCCCGGGGCAGCCTGGGGCCAGGGTCGGTGGGAGGAAAGCAAGGCTGTAAACACTGGAGTCTGTACCGGCTCCCAGTCCGTCCTCACACCATGTTATGGGAGAAGGGTCACAAGGTGTAACTCAAGCAACTTAACACATGAAAGTCTAAAGTCCACTCTTGACATGTAAGTCTGTGCGTGCGTTAACTGAAAAATAAAAATAAAACAAACAAAACAAAAACAGACACATTAAAAGATATGCAGACCAAATCAAACAGAAGCAAAAGACAGCAAGATGGACACCGTGAAAGGGCAGTCAGTTTGGCATTTGTGACGAGCAAAGCAGAGAATTCACCTCAGTTTGTGGTGTCCCAGGCTAAGGGTCAAGATCTGATTGGGAAGTAATTTTGCAAAAAATTTGGATTCAAATTTAAAGAGTATGCATAACCAATCAAAACCACTCAAATAAATGGTCATGAAAAACACCCCTGCCCCCATTCCAAAAATGCACTCCCGACTCACACTAGTCCCTTGACCAGGGCGGCAGGAAGGAGTACTCCCAGTCAACCCACCTACCCCATTCCTGGCCTCCACAGAGCCGTCATGGGAAGAGCGTTTTCTCTCCCAGGGACCAAACTGACTGAAGCTTTCTAGCAGGTCCAGAGAACAGGAAAGACCTGTTTTCCAGGCCCAGGCCTGGAGAACGTATCATGGAGCCCAGGCCACATGGGAAAAGCAGGGAGACCAGACACCAGTGACAAGCCCCCACCCCGAGGGCTGTGCTGGTGTCCTTTCAGCCTGCCTGCACCCACCTTCACTGGCCCTCAGACCCTGAACTGGCCACAGACCCCTGTCTGCAGTTGCTGAGTGGTTTCTCCACAGCTTATTTCCTAGGGAATCCTGGCTACCTTTTCTTTAACAAGATGGCAGGAAGCAGGGCAAAGTCACTTTGGGTGCCAGTACCTGGGTCACAGACTCCCGCTGGCCCTAATGGCTAGGCTCCATTGCCACCAAGGAAGGAAGGGCCTGGGCATACACATCCCCAAATATCCCAGGAGGAAATGGATCCCGAGAATGACGGCCAGGTTGGGTTCACCTGCTTAGTTCCTAGGTTGGCAAGAGAAGGATGGTACCCAAGATAGGCCGGGGCAGGGAGAAGCAGGGATGGATGGGATCCCCACAGTGTGACATAGCATGGCTGTGAATGAGGTGGGTGGGCGAGGGTGAGCCCCAGAAGCCAGGACATCTGGACTCCAGCTAAGGGTGTGGAAACAGGCTATGAAGATCGCCAGGGAGAAGTGACTCATAGTTGTCCCCACCTGACTACTCCGTTGACTGCACTCCTGGTGCTGGGAAAGGCCTCCCTGCCATCCAGTCTTTCTCTCCTCTCTCCACTCTGCAGGAACAACTCCAGCCTCTACTTGAGGGGCAGCTCTTCTCCCCAAAAGAACCCACAGAGCCCCTGTGGGAAGCCGCTTTCCTCCCTTAAGCCCTGCGGGCCCTTCAGAACAGCTGTGTGGTGACCAGTCTCCAGGAGGCCAGTGTTGGCTGGCGCGAGTGCCCGCAGTTCTCCATCACCACCTGCCAGCCAATACGGGCTCCACACCACTGCCCCACAGACTGAGGAGGGATGCGCCACAGGTGTCCAAGCAGAAACCACCACGGCTTTTGGAATCTGGCTGGAGATGCTGACATTCCCAGGTCCTGTCCCGCCCCTGGCCTGAAAGACCATTCCCAGCATTCCCAGAGCCCTGCAGCTTCGCCCTCTCCACGCTGCTCCTCACCCGTGCAGCCCCACCTTCACCACGCTGCAACAGGGCCACAGCTGCCAAGGGGGCTATGGGAGAGCGAATGGGTGAGCAAGAAAGTTGGAGGAAGAGGAAGAAGGGGGAAGAGAAGGAGAGAAAAAGGGAGAAGGGAGAGGGAGGGGGAGCACAAGATTGCCTGTGCAAGTGAGACTGCATGAGTATCAGAGCAATCCAGACGGCGAGACACTGGATCACTAGTGAAAGAAAAAGGCAACCAAGAAAGCTGGGGGGAGAGCCACTGAAGATGAGGGAAAACCAAACAGGAAAGGGGTAAGAGAGGGCGAGCAGGAGAGCGAGAAGGGAGGTGAGGGACAAGAACGAAAGCAAGAGCCCACAGGAGCAAGAGGAGCCAGCGCAGGCGCAGCCTGCCACCTACTTCTTCTTGTCCTTGTCCTTCCTCAGGGGCTGCTGCGAGGTGGCGTGCAAGGCCTGCGACTGCAGGGCCTCCACCGCAGCCTTCCGGCGATTGAAGGCGTTGGTCTCCTCCTCCAGTTCCCGGCGCTTTTCCTCCACCTTGCGCTTCTCCTCCTGGTGGACCCGCTTCAGGTGCTCAAACTTCTCATGGAGCTGGCATCAGAAAGGGGGCAGAAGATGCGGGGAGCAAGAGGAGGGCTTGAGCCTGGGCCAGGAAGGCACCCCCACCTCTACCCTCAGCCAGGCCTTCCCTCCCTCAGCTTCCCCATCCCAGCCCCCAGCCTGGCACATACCTCCCTTTCCTTCTCCTTCAGCTCCAGCTCTGTCTCCTTCACTTTGTTGACAAACATCTGCCTCATCTCTTCCTCCTTCCTCTGCAGCTCACTTAGGAACTCCTTCCTCTTGGCCTCGTATGTCTCTTGTAGGCTGTGGAGACCCAGAGAAAAGAGGCCAAGGATGGGATTATGACGGAATGGGATAGGGCAGGGCAGAGCCAGAGAAGTAGAATCATGTGGGCACGAGGGGTAAGAGGATGTGGGGTCCCTCAGGGAACAGATGCCAGGGTGGTGTGTCTGGCCACAGCTGTGAAGACAGGCTCACTCTGGCTCAGGCTGTCACCTGAAGGGCTGGCTGTCACCATCGCTGTCCTGAAAGCCCATCTCCTCCAACTTGCAGCGCCGGTAGAGCTCGTAGTGCCGGCTGTGGGTCTGCTCGCGGAGGTCTTCCATGTTCACCCGGATCAACATCTCCCGCAGCTTCACGAAGTCGCAGTGATTCTCATTCTCCACTGAAAGCAGAGGGCCGGTGGGGTATCAGGCAGGCATGCAGGCGGGCACACTCCAGAGTCAGGGTAGGCACGCAGGTGGGCATGAGGAGGAAACAGCACAGGGTACTACAGGCAGCAGGGCAGGCCAGGGAACTCAGTTCTACCCCCAGGATGCATTTCCTGTCCACACTCACCCTGCACCACTCCCCAGGGGTACTGCCGTGCTCGGACCAGCTTGTTCCCCACCTTCACCTCCTCGGTGCTGCCCACCACGGCAAAGGGCAGATGTGCCTGGAAAGGGGCCCGGGTATGCGTAAGCCCTGAGCTGACACAGACTAATGGCAGACTCTCCCTCCCTGCCCCTGGGTCCTAGGGAGGGGCAGCCAGACCTGAACAAAGGCTCCAGGGCCAGATGCTTACTTCCTGGCTCTCTTCTGGAGAAATGTCCCAGAACTCCAAACAGGGGAGTGGGCTGAACCCTCAACCCCCTCCCTGGTGCTCCTGATTCTCCAGGCTGTTCTTTCAGCACTCGGGCCTCCCAGGGGCCATTAGAGCTTCCTGAAAGGACCTGTGAGCCTGGCTCCCTTCCAGGTTCCCAAACCCTTAAGCCTGCTCAACTGCTTCCATTTCCAGGCTCCTCCATGAGTCCAGATCTTATGACACCCAAACCTGGGGTCCCCAGTGTAGGCCCACTATCAGATTCTTCCTGTCCCCTGCCCACAGATGTAGGACTGGCCAGCTCCAGATGCCCACCCTTCTGTCCTGGAGAAGCTAAGGCTGGAATCCTGGGGAACAAGAGTCTCCTGGGGCTGTGTCAGATCTGTGCCGGCTCCTCGCCCTCTGGCCCCAGGGCCCTGAGGCCCTCACCCAACGCTCACATTCATGACTGCGTTAATCTCTGCAACAGCCTCATCATCCGTGGGGAACTGGTAGATCTGGACCCCGTTGCTGACCAACTCGCCCATGATCTTGATCTTGAACTTGTGGAGCTCGCTCTTGGAGATGGTGTCAGCCTTGGCGATGATGGGAATAATGTTCACCTGCCAGGATCAGGGGAGGGGACAGCAGGCTGGTTGGCTCTTTTGAGCGGTGGTTCCCATGCCATGCCCAGGATATGGATAGACATGCCCAGGCCATATCCCTGGGCAGGGGGAAGGAGGCCAGAGAGATGGAGCCACTCCCACGGGCAGCCATAGTGCAAACCCAGCCACCTGTGGCCATTCTGATGAGTTTCAACAATTGGCTGCAGTGCTTCTTACAGCCCTGGTTCCCCCAAATCACCATCCAGCCCCAAAACTGGTCCCCCTAGGCATACCCAGCTTTGACCCAGAATCCTTTGAAGGTCCTAATTGGCCTGGGGCCTAACAGAAGGAGTGGTGGGGGGGCTATGCTCCCCACTAAGCAGGTAAAAGGACCCATCAGCAGTAGCCATAAGAAGATCCCAAAATCTCCCAGGCCCAGGCTATCCCGTTTTTTACAATAAAAATGAACTCCTGAGATGGGAGGGCAGTCACGTGAGAGCTGACAAGGGATGTGGGGTCACATGCCCTTCAAGATGCACAGCACTTCCAGTCCTTCCCATGAAGCTGCCTCCCTTCTCTACCCCTACAGTACCCACCCCTCATTCACATCCCATTTCTGGGCCTTAACTCTCCTCTCCCTGATGGGCTCAGAAGGAACCAAAGGACATTTATGTCAGGGAGGAAGGGGGAAGTGAAAGGAGGAGCTAGAAATTAGGAATTGAGAGATAGAAAATGAGCAGAGAAGAGGCTGAGATGGGAAGGGAGGTTCCCTGGAGCGAAGGGGAACAAACACTATCGGGAGCGGGAGGGGCTGACAATGAGAATGATTCAGCTGCAAGCAAGGGGCTCAGGGTCAGACCCAGGGCACAGGACTCTGGAGAATGAGCCCAGAGCATTGGGGGCCACTGGAGCAGGAGGAACAGACGCAAGACAGAGAGAGGACCGAGCCAATGGGGGGCCACCCACAAGCCCCCGACCAGGTCCCTGAGGACCATGGTGTTCAGGCATGAGGCAGCCACCACATCGCATCGCAGCAGAAGACTATGGAGCCTGTGACAGCAGGTGGGGACAGGGATACCTTGCTGTCTAGTTTCTTCATGGTCACTAGATCTAGAGACTTCAGGGAGTGCCCTGTGGGCGTGATGAAGTAGAGGCAAACGTGGATCCTTGTGTCATGGTAGTCGAAGAGCGAGCGGCGGATCTTCAGCTCCTCCTGCAGATAATTTTCAAACTGCGCATCGATGTAGTCAACTATGGGCCTGTAACTACAGACAGCTCCATCACCCAGGAGGCTGCCAGCTGAGATCAGGGGCTTGGGGCTTGGGGGGCTCAGGGCTCGGGGCCAAGCCAGGCTGCCCCCTGGCCTTTTCTTTCTGGGAACAGCTTCTGCCTGAGATCCCTGACTGGATACAGGCAGCTGACCCCTTCTCCAGACACCTAAAGGAGTAACTGGTCTGTTGGTGACCACAGAGCCTCAGATATTCCCCAAGAGGCCCTCCCTGGCCCCCTGCAGTGTGAGGGCTGGGCTACTGTTATAGGGGCCAATGTAGGTGGGGTGGGAGGAGGCTGGGTGGGGCCGCCCTTCCCGCCTCTTGCCTCTCATCCTTATTGATCTGATCCCCAAAGCCCACGGCATCCACAATGGTCAGCTTGAGCTGCACGTTGCTCTCCTGGAGGTCATAGGTCTGGGGCCGCAGGCGCACGCATGCCTCATGGTGACTGGCTTCCTCAGTCTCGAAGGTCGTGTTGAAGAGTGTGTTCATCAGTGTGGATTTGCCAATGCCGGTCTCCCCTGGGCAGTGAGGACAGGAGGGGAAGAAGTGGGTGTCATAGGCTGGAAATGGGCTGTCCTTGACTGGTGGCTAGGCCAGGCAGGGCTCAGGCATCCATGGCCCCTGGATAAGAGAAAGGGGCAGGCCGCCCACCCCATCCCTCATCACCCCCATTCCCCAGGAACTATCTTTTCCTGTGGCCTCAGAAATAACCTGTGGAAGGAAGAGCCAAAAGGTGAACTTGGACAGAAGACATAGCTGTGTGTGATATGTGATGTATTTCCTCAGGGAGCAGGGAAGAGACAGAGCCAGGCAGCTGTGTAGACACCACTGCAGACCCAATCACCTCACACATAACCTGCTCTACACAACACCCCTCCTGGGACCAGGGTGGTCATGGGACCAAGAGGGCCAGGGTCTAAAGCCACCAGTGGCTCAACCCATGCGCCCCGGACAGCCCTAGCTCCACATGGCTTTAGCTGGGGGAACTCAGGATGGGCTGCTTCCCGAAGGACACCTGCAGAGGGACCAGAAGAGCACTTTGTGTCCTTCTGGGAGTCCCAGGGAACCTCCGAGAGCCTCTCTGCTTGGGGCTGTTATTTGTTCACATGCGTGCTGGAGCACTTACCATAGGATATGGTGATGAGGGGCAGAGCTGTTTACCATAACGTCCTTGACACAGGGTGGGAAGCAGTAAATGAGTACATGTTTTTTAAATGAACAAACAAATGAATAAATGAACCTAAATCTCTGTGATAAACACCCACAGTTTACAAAGCACTTTCATGTGCCCGATCCAGTTTACTCTTCATGACAATGCTGTGTCAGGCCCTGGCTCTAACTCTATCCTTGACTCTGGCAGAGACACCAACCAAATCCTCGTCCTGACACCCCCAAAGTTTCACTCTGCCTGGGAAGCCCCCTTGCAGCTCAACAGGGGGCCAGAAGCACCCCCTCTCCCAGGAGGTTCTCACCCACCCTCTGTCTGAGGCCAGGCCCTGACACTCACCCACACAGAGGATGTTGAAGCTGAAGCCCTGAGTGACCGACTTGCTGACCAGCTGGTCGGGGAGGCTGTCGAAACCCACATGGCCGCCCAGGGAGAGGCTCCGGGGCTCTGGCTCTGCATTCTGCCAAGAGAGAAATAAAGCAAGACATGAGCCCACTGGGGAAGAAAGGTCAAGCTGCGGGGTGGGCGCTAAATCTGAGTTAAAACAGTGAAGCAGCCCCACCCGATGTCTGAATTCTCAACAAATCTCAGACACACCCTGAGTACACCCGAGCACCAACTCCAGGCCAAGTTTCCCCAGAGGGAGCCCGATGCCCCCAGGGGGAAAGGCCCTTCCACTCTGTAGCTTTGCTCCACCTGGGATGGCCAGGGATGCCTGGGCTGAGGGCTCCATGTCTCCTGGCATAGGTGGCCCCAGGGGCTGTGGTTGCTACCCATAAGGGCCCACCTGTTTTCCTACTCAGGAGGAGGCCCCAGATGGTCCCAGAGGACCAGATTGGAAAGTGTGTCTGTTCCTGCAGCCAGCTCTAGGAGACGGGGGATGCTGCCCCTGCCTAGTCCTCCCAGGCCCTCCCACTGATGCAGGACTCAAGTAGGGCCACGTCTGGTCCAAACCCCTCACAAGCATGCTCCCTCAGAGGAGCCTTCTCTATCAGCTGGGCTCGTAGCCCTCCATGTTCACCCCTGCTCCTCACACACCCACGTGTGGGACTCATGCATGGACCCTGCTAAAGGAGCCGGCCCTCACTCACACAACCCCCCCGTGGGGCTCAGGGGTGGGTTTCAAAGGGACTGAGACTCTGAGGCCTCCTCCCTTCTGCCTCAGTGGTATTCTCTAGAGACCCCCAGCTCCTGGCTCCTGACTCCTGCCACCCTTCCACCCCCATCTCAGCCCTGGTTGTCTAGACAGAAGGTTCCGGGTAAGAATGTGGAGGCCTGGCCTTAGCAGAGGGCTGAGCGGCAGGCCCCGAGTGAGCTGGGGCCACTGGAGGTGGCCCACCGCTCTATAAAAAGAAACCACGAGGACCCAAAGCAGAGGGTCATGGTCACACTCCAACTTGTGTGGCTGGTTTCTCTGACTCCCTGGAATGGGGTAAAATGCTGCCCGAGGGAAGGTTCCCAGGTTCAGCCCCTCTGGAGGGCAGACCTTAGGCAGCTCCATGTTGTGCAGAGTCATGCCTCCTCCATTCCTGAGCCCCACTGCCCTGAGACAGCTAGAAAGAGGAAGGAGAGGAAGGGGCAGCGGATTCAGAGTCTCTCCTGCCCATAGCCGCAGGGTGGTGAAGCAGGTCCAGCTAAGGACAGCCCAGGAGATAGGGCCAGTGGCAGCCCTTGTGCAGATGTGGATACAGGCTCGGGGTCAGGAACCGACAGGGGGCCCTGACTCCTGCCCCACAGAAGCATCTCCTCAGCACCTGAGCAGCTGACCTGTGCCACAGCCCACTGCCTTGGCCTGAACCCCTCTGGCCATCCTTCCCTCCCAACCAGAGAACCTTGGCACTCAAACCCAACCTTCTGCACAACTGATGTCTACCTCCCCACAGCAGCCTTGCATCAACGACTCCCAAGTGTGGGTGCTGGCAACCTAGACCCCACATGGCCCCTCTGGGCAGTTGTACCATCCCCTCAAACAAGTCAGGGCTACCCCTAAACCTGCTTTCTCCCATGACTCTCTCTCAACGGAGCCTCTTTTCTTATAGCTGACCCTTTCTCCCCATCACCTAGCCCCAAAGCATCATGTCCCAATCTCCCCACTCAAGCCCAGATCTCCTTAGGGCTGCAAACATAATTGGACAAGGAGGTCCCAAAGGCAGTTTCCTCTCATTGGTGCCCACATAAAAGTAGTTAATGAAGCCTAGGAGGTGCTGGGTCAGGTCCAAAGCCCTTAGCATGGTGTTCCAGGCCTTCCTCACTGGCCTGGTTCCAGCCCAGCTGGTAACTCTGAGCTCTCTTTTCAAACTCTGCCCCTCCCCTCGGCTCTACAGCTACTCTACTTTTCCCTTGGCACCCACTCTCACCTGGCCCCCAAGCACTTACGTTCCAGACCCCTCACTTGGCAGTTATCCTGTTTCCTAGTACTACTGGTTATCCTTTTTTAATGCATCTTGATTCTCCACCTATTCTATAAGCTTCTAGATGTCGGCTGCAGGTTGGGGAGGTCAGGTTTTCTGTTCTTCCTTCCCTCCCATTACTATGCCCAACATGCTGGACAATGCTACCATTTATAAGTTACTGAACACAGCCTCCAACTGCTACGGCATCAGAGCACCTGCCCACCTTACACAGGGCTTCATTATTTAGTCTCTGTTCCACCTCCTTGTGTCGGCTTGAGGATCAAATGGAGGACACAGTCGGTCTAGAGCTTTTTTCTTTTCAGGCAAGACTGAAAATCTCCAAAATTTAAGGCGTGCTGTGCTTGCAGAGAAGGCTATGTGTTTATTCATCCTCTTCTTCCAAGGGGTGACACAATCAGGATGCAATCCAACATCCTGTAGTCTGCCGCCAAACCCCACCAAGTCAGCTGTGTCTGGAAACCACACACACACACACACACACACACACACACACACACACACACGCAGCCGCAGAGCACTTACTGAGAAGCAGAGGCCATTCCATTCCTGTTTTCCCCCACTTTCTTACAGTTCTAGGCCCCAGAGGCTAAGTGTAGCACTGGGGGTTCTTGGGGTGGGTCTCACATAAACCACCTATCCACACACAGCAACTGCAGAGTGGCCTCCTCTCACACAGCTTGGCTCTCTCTGTGGAAGTGTGGGGTACAGGGAGGTCATCATCCCTAAGTTGTTACCCAGGCTACACTCTGTTATCGCAGGGGCCACACATCTGGGGCAATACCTGTTTAGGAGCCCCGGGGACCAGTCAGGGGTATGAGTCTATGGAGCATGCATGCACACACACACGTACACACACAGAATGGCCACTGGCCCTGATGGAGGCAGTGTTGTTACCTGGTCCCAGGAGACTGATCTGACCTCCAGGCTTTACCGAGGGGTAACTCTCACTAATGCCAACTCCCTGATCATAGATTTGGCATCGACATGTGATCTAAGTTGCATTGCTCACTCCAGGGTGCCTGCTCCAGGCATCTCTACCAACCTGAGTGGGGTTACAACCTAGGAGGAACCAGCAGCCCCTGAAGGACCTCCTGCACATCTCAGCTACCATGACTCAGAAATAAAGTCAGGTGACCCAGTGGCTACCAGCCCTGCAATTTGGTGGGTGAGACCACAGCTCCAACTCCCAGGGTGGGAGCCCATCAGCGTGATGCCATGATCGGTGCAAGTACAGGCAAGTGACGCAGGTTGAGCCTTTATGACCATCTTGAGACCATTAGGGGAGCTAGCCTAAGGCTGCAGTCTACTCACAGGATGGCAGAGCCAAGAAAATCACAGAGAAAAGAGGGAGCCAGAGTCTGCCCTATCTCTGGGCTTTTCCCCTTCCCCCTGGCCATATCCTCTTTATTGCTGAGGCTAGTTGAGTGGTATTATCTATTACTTGCAACTGAAACATCTTCGGTGCCATAGGATCCAAAGTAAAACTCTTTGGATGCAGAGGAACAGGGAGAAAGCGAGGAGAGCCAGGAAAGGAGGGACAGTGTGGAAGGTAAAACATCTCAGTATTCACAACCAAAGGAAGGAAGGGACGTCTGGGATGATACCAACACCTCACTGAGGACCACCATGTGTGAACTAAGCCAAGTGATTTACACCCAGGCTCTCACTTGGTCCTTCCTCACTGTGGATGACAGACTCCATGATTATCCCCATTTTACAGGGGAGGAAACTGAAGCACACAGAAGCTAGGGAACTAACCAGGGCAGAGCAGGGACCTGAGAACAGACCAAGCTCTTGTCCCAAACCACTCTGCTACATTGCCTCCCCTGTTCTTAGCAGGCTTCCAACTCATTCATTCAGTCACTCAACACACACGCACTGGACATGTCTGCTGTGTGCCAGGAACTGAGATGGCTGCCAGTGAAAAGATGAGGACATCAGATCCTTGACCTCAGAGGGCTAAGCCTAAACTCAAATGCCTTTAGAAGCCAGGCAGGTAACATATATAGGTGAAGGGGAGCAGCACCTTAATAACAATGGCAACAACAACAGACATAACTAACATGTATTGCATGCTTGCTTTGCGCAACCCTAATTTAATCTAATTTAGTCCACACATCAGCCCTATGACATAGGCCGTAGCAGCCTCCCCATTGTCTAGATGAGACAATAGAGGCATCAAGAGAGTGTGTAATTTGCCCAAGACCACACTGCTCAGGAGAGCAAAGCCAGGATCTGAATGGAGACAACATGACTGTGAAACCCACACTTCTAGTCACATCACTCCCCGCCTGCTGGATGAAAGACAGCCACTAACTTGGCCAAGCGTGGGGGTTCCCGGGGAGAGGTGGGAATGGCAGAGAACTGGAGAGCCTGTGCTTATGCTCAATCCATGGTGGCCACAGTTCCACAACGCCAGCCAACTGTGGGAACACAGATCTAGTGTTGCCAAATCTTCCCGTTTTTAAAGAGAACCCAAAAATCTCTCTCTATATATACATATATATATATATATATATATATATATATATATATATATACACACACATATATATATATGTGTGTGTGTGTGTGTGTGTGTATATATATATATATATGTATATATGTATATATATATGTATATATGTATATATATATATATGTATATATGTGTATGTGTGTGTATATATATATATATATATATGTATATATGTATATATATGTATGTATGTATTTTTTGAGACACAGTCTGGCTCTGTCACCCAGGCTGGAGTGGTGTGATCTCAGCTCACTGTAACCTCCGCCTCCTAGGTACAAGCAATTCTCATGCCTCAGACTCCCCAGTAGCTGGGATTACAGGCACGCAACCACCACGCCTGGCTGATTTTTGTATTTTTAGTAGAGACGGGGTTTCACTATGTTGGCCAGGTCGGTCTTGAACTCCTGACCTCAGGTGATCCACCTGCGTTGGCCTCCCAAAGTGCTGGGATTACAGGTGTGAGCCACCATGCCTGGCCCAGAAATCTATATTTTTATGTGAAATTCTGTAATTTTTAAAGATTGACAACCAATACAAACTGAGAATACCATGAGGGCCCAATACAACATGTCAGGGGGCTGGTGTGGGCCAAAGGCCTGCTGGTCTGTAAGCTGGCTCTGGTGGGAGGGTGAGCTGGACGGACCCTGCAGCCAGGCTCCATTCTCAAGTCAGGAAGCCCCATGGCAGACTGCTCTGTGGGGAGGAGCCTTCAGGCAGGACAACTTAACTTGGACCCCAGAGAGAGGTGGACCCAAAGCCTCTGGCTCATTCCACACACCCAGCTCCCTGAGGTGCTCACACAGGGGTGAGCGTTGTATATGTCTTCAAAGTCCCAGGATAGAGGGAGTTGGCAGCTCTGAGCTCTACATATGCAATGAGAAACTCCATGGGGCCATTATCCCCTCTCTAATCACTAACAAGCTTTTGGCTCCTGAGCCAGGCCCCAGGCTTCTGTGTCATCATTTCTTTGGCACATCAAAGACAACAACCAAAACAATAACTTCTCAGGCCGGCTGCGTGCCTCCATGCCCGGCCGTCCAAGACAAAGTAGAGAACAGCATTTTGTTACGCAGCCCAGTGGATAACTAGGACGCCCTTTTCCTGATAGGAAATGCTCTGTCTGAGCCTCCTAGAGCAGCCCTCATCACCAGCCAAGAGGAGCTGTCCCTTTTACCATGAAACAAGGTGGGATCTGGGAAGAAACTGCATCTCATGGTTGCCAACACACAAAAACAGGTTTTTATCCAGAAGGAACTGGAAATCTACTGAATCTCTAAACCAACAGAGCCGGGGAAGCTGTGGGTAAATAAAGACCCCTGTGATCCAAACCCCCAAACTAGGCTGGTTGTTGCAGTGGGAGTAGAAAGGATACCCCACCATAGGTGGATTGGCTACCGAGTAATGGACAAAGAGCAGCCCCCAGACCTCAGGCCTTCCAGAGTTCTCCAGTGCCTTGGACTTTGGATGCTTTTCTTCCTCTGGGCTCCCATGCCTAGCACCCACTCACCTGTACACCCAGTCAGGCAGACAGGAAGCCCACTCCCCAGGGGAGCTCCAGCCCTGGGGGTGGCCCTATTAAGTAACTGAGCAATGGACTCAGGAGTCAATGGACCACTGGAAGCTTTCTCCACCCATGTTCCTGGCACAAACTATGCTAGCCCCGGCTCCAGCTCCTCCCAGGAGCCTGGGCCTTAAATAGCCAGAGCAGAGGCCTCTAGCCAGAACCCGTGGTCGCGGTCATAAGCACAACTGTCCTTGAGCCTGAGAGGAATCCTAGGAATTTTCCCAGGAAAGGCTTCGGCTCTGGTCCCAGGATTCCACAGCAAGCCTCTAAGCCCAGGTCAGAGGTTACGGGAAATAACCAAGGAGACATACGTGGGAGGGTGGGGGTGGGATGCTGCTACCCGGGGCCAGGAAGGAAGAATAGAGGCAGGATATACCTGTCCCAAATCAAGAGGACACCTGGGAGCCAAAGCATCTTTCTCCTACAGTGGCAACAGAAAACTTGAGAGAAGATTCAAGCAAGGATCACCCGCCATGGTCCCAACATGACGGCAGTCAAGGTAACAGGAAGCCAATCATCCTCACAAGGCCAGTCCTACTCCACCCATCCTGGGAAGAGAAGGAATTTTGGGAGCAAAACCATCCCCTGACCCCAATACTCCATTCTCTCTGTTTCTCTGTCTCACTAAGAGGCACTGTCTTTCCTTTCTGCACACAGCCAGCCAGGCTGGAGCTTATTAATTTGGGATAGTGTGTTTCAAGCTTTTCCCATCAAAATCAGATTTCCAGGAAGCTAAGAGCACAGTTACTGGTAGCTGGGCCAGTACTCGCCACCCCAACCCCCAGGCCTAGGACAGACACATTCTTGGCCTTTATTGTGCTGCCTGAGAGGGAGTGGTCTATCCCACCACAGAGGAGATGGGGAAGGTGCTCTGGGCTGCAGAATGTACTAGAACTCCAGGCATTCATATTTTCTTACTTAGCTCAGGGACTCCAGTGGCAGCCACCACTGCCTTGTAACAGGGAAAGCCACGAGTGGTCTGGGTATCACTGGCAGGAGAAGGCAGCCTCTGTTTCACAGCAAATGAAACCCTTGGAGGGAGAATGTGGGCAGCAAAGGTGCCCCGCCTTCTGTCCAACCCCACGATGGATGCCAGTGCTGGAAAGGGACGGAGGAATGCATGGGCACCAATACGGGTTGGCAGAGGTATGGGGGTGGCACTGCTATACTTCTCTGCTGCTTGTCCATTCACTCCAACACCAGGCAGAATGTCAGGTTTGTACCCAGGCCCAAGAGCCATGTCTGGCAAGTGGGCTTGGGTCCATACCCACAGCCCCTCCTGAACCCCAAGCATCAGGCAGCCCAAGCCCTGGAGCCCCCTCAGAAAACAGCCAGCCACCTGCCAGCAGACATGGGCCCCTGTACCTTCCTCTGCTGGTTCTGTCCCTCTAATCTGACCTCTAGGATAGGGAACACCTGAAAGCCGTGTATCCTGAGGAGAATATCTAATTTGCCCCAAGAACATGTAGGGCAACTGCACGCAGAGCCAAGATGCCCCCTGCCCCGTCCTCCGCTGCCTCTTCCCAGCCAGTTCTTTCAGGAGCTCTGAAGGTTCAGATGGCTCCAAAAGAAGCCAACAGAGTGCCCCAGCTCTACCACAAGGGCATGGAGACCTTGGGAGGGCGTCTCCTCCCCAGGCAGATGTGTCTCCCTCCTGCATGCATAGCTCTGCATCTGGTTATCTGGCAAAGCTTTTGCCTTGGGGGCCATGCCTGGGGATCCTGAAACCCAAGCTGGCAGCACAGAGGCAGGAAGGCTGGGGAGGCTGCAAGGGACACACAGAGGCCAGCTGGCCCTCAGGCCCTTTGCTCTACCATCCTGCAGCTGCTCGCCTCTGGTAGCTGGACTTGAGCCACAGAGACATTCGTGGTAGTTACTGCCCCAAATATAATATATGCTTCCACCTAGCCCATCCGAGGGCTCAAAACGCCAAGGTATCCACCCTCTCTGTCATCTCTGGTATTGGAATTTGGATCTTGTTCCCCCTACCTTTGCTAGCCAATGACCAAAGTCTGCATCCTCACCCAACCTTGGGCTGTTGGCATCAACAAGATAATGCGCTCAAAGCACCCACTGCCCTCCTTGCCATCCAAGGTTTTTGACACAAGTCAGACCCTGGGTTCCCAGGCTCCATCCAGTCTCCCTCCTCCTTGGCCCTGAGCTTGGTCTCCTCCTTGCCATCCTCTCTGTTCCTATCATGGTCAGTCTTTTAGCATGTGCTCCCTGGAATGACCAATGCTTTCCATCAGCCCCGCAGCTCTGACCCACTGCAATCAAGACCCCAAGGAGACCTTCCTAAGGTGGGCACACATAGCATGGTCTGATGCCCAAGAGAGAGGGAGGGCAGGCAGACTCACCTCCTGGGGGAGAGGGCAGAGCTGCAGCTCTGCAGGTGGTGCTCACATGTGCCCTGGGAGCTGCACGGGCATCTCTTGCTCAGCTCCCGTTTTTCTTCGGCATGGCTCAGCAAGGAGGCTACTGGCCGTTTTTACAAGATGGGGAGATATCACTCTGACAGAGACCTTGAGCCTCATTTGGGTGCGGGCTCTCAATTCCTGCTTCAGGAGGGACTAGGTACTCCCTGAAGAGCCCGCTTCTTGGGGAAGTATCAAGATTGCAGGGGTGACAACGGAAGTGACAGATGGTGCTGGGGATAAAGCAGAGATGGGGGTAAGTGACTGGCTGGGAAGAACGCCAGTGTGAGGCTGTGTGCTGCACGTTTCTTCCTCTCCCCCTCAGCTTCACTTTCCCCAAGCCCTAAAGGGTTGCTCACCACGGGGTCTGAACCTGTGAGATTCTGGCAGGAGAAAACACCGGAGCTGGCCCTCGGGGAAGAAAGGGCTGAGCCCCAGAGTCAAGGTTCCAGTTAGGAGGAGGGGCACAGCAAGAGTGGACAGGAATCTGGCTGCCCGAGGAAGGCAAGAGGCAACACACCCTCCTCAGAGGGCTGCTCCACACACCCACACACAGGGGATGCCAACCCTTACCCCAATACTGATCTAGGGTGGAGCAGAGCCCAGTCAGGATGCCAAGGCTGTTGGCCTGTGGTGTGTACACCATGCTATGTGAGGACACAGGAACCCAGCACACATCCATCTCAAAGTACAACTCTGTATGCCGTCTAAGCTCCAGGTCAGGACAATTCTCAGGCCTGCAGGGCTAGACTGACCACTGAGCTGGCCAGAGGGACAGTGTAGACCTGTCATGGCTCCATCACATCCTGGGGCTTGCGAGACACCTCAGCATATTTCCAAACATGCCACGGACTGCAATTAACCCTCCATAAACTCTCTGAGGAACCAGTGTGGCTCTGCCCATTTTACAGCAAGATAAAGGCAGAAATGATTTTCCCAAGATGACAAGCCAGGAAGGGTGAATGGAGTCCAGACTTAAATTCAGGCCAAACTCCACCCAAGGTCTCCACCCAAATCCAACCCTATCCAAGCCCTTCCAGGAGGCTGACAGCCCAAAGTGCAGAGGGTGTGGAAGGTGTCCATCCCTCCAGCTGAAGCTGGCATAGCAACCAAGGCCCTGCGCTCAGGCTCTACGCCCTTGCCTGAGTCAGTCCCCTCTCTGTGCCCTGGCCACCCCGCAGCTAATACCAAAACTCCTCACAGGAATGGTCCGAGAGCAAACACAGGACCCCAGGGGAAGGCTTGACCAGCCCACAGCATGGCCTCTCAGCTAACCCTCTGAGGACCATCTCTGGACGAGCAGGGATGGAAGCTCTACAGAGAGTGCCATGAACAGGGCAAATGCATCCTCTGCTCCCTTCTTACATAGGGGGCCAGTCCTCACATCCACGTGGACAATAGGTAGCATATATTATTTATTGTGTCCTTACCATGTGCCAGACACAGGGCTAAGTACCTCCCCTGGATTCTCTTGTTGAATCCTCACAATACCCCTATGAGGGAAGAAATATTTCTATCCCATTATACGCATGAGAGCACCAAGGGGTTAAATAACCTGCCCAAGGTCACATGGCCAACAAGGAGTGTCTAGGATTCCTATCAGGCTGTCTGATTCTGGTTTCTCTACATACCTCTCCCACCTGCAACATCAACTGTTAAACCTCTGGCCACAGACAAGACCCAGACATAACTTTCTGGTCAGCTGGGCACAGAAAATGCACACAGACACACATGCAGAGACACCCAGGCACTCACGGGTCTCTTGGCCTCCAGCTAATCAGCAGGTCTGTTAGGATTCAGGCACTGCCCTCCTCCGGTACATAAATTCCAATTTATAATACGGGGCGAAGTGAATCTCTGAGTAGCCCAGCCTCTGAATCTGTTCCTCATGTATTTAAACTTACTTAACTGACATACGACCCCCTCTCCAATGGGAATAAAACACCCGAGTCTAGAAATTATGAAACCAAGAGCTCCTGCTTTAGTCATGCACATTTCCAAAGTAGAATAAGAAATGTATTTTCAGATTAAATGGAAAATTTACATATATAAATTGGGATGACGGTATTTATAGCATTAATTACATAAGTCCTGGCTCCCTTATTTAGCCCCAGAACCAATTCGTTATCGTTCACATATTCAGAATTCCCCCTTCCCTCCAACAGCCCTGGGCCTCCCTCCTCCTCCTCCTCCTTCTCCCCCTCCTCCCCCTTCCAGCCGACCAGGGCCTTACATGCTGGCAAGAGGACACAGCTTCCTTCACTGTCACAGCCTAGCCTCCCAGACACACCCAGATCCAGCCTTAGACAGCAGGGGATGTCCAGATACAACCCCCCAAAGGCCTCCCTCCCGCGAGTGAATTATGAAAGCCTTTAGTAAGTTGGCTGTCGGCAGGCTCAGGCCCAGTGAGACCCCTGCAGGGACCACCAGGGACATCAACCTTCTGAGGACCTGGACTGGAGCCCAAATAAACGCCCACTGGGCTGAGTCTGGAATCCCTCCAGCTCCTGGCGAATGGCTGCCGCAGACCCGACCACTGAGGCCTGACCTGCCTGGAGTCGCACCCAGGATTCCGGCGTGGGGAGCGGGGCAGAGGGGAGCGGGGGAGGAAGGAAAAGCAGGCCAAGGGTCTTCAGGACTCAAGTCTGCAACTGTCCTGGGCTCGTGTGGGAGACTCTCTCGGATCCTGGGGCCTCCATCCTCCCCGGCTGTACCTATCCCGCAGCACCTGTGCGGCTAGGACTCTTCCCCAAGTGTGCAGAAAGAAACACCCTGGGCGATAGGGTCCGGAGTGTCCCGGACCCTCACCTGCGGCCCCGCGGGCGCCACTCTATCTTCGCACCTGCCCGGAGCCAGGCGGGTCTTTGCTCCTTCCCGCGAAAGGGGTTAGCCTTGCCTGCGCCCCAGGAAGCGACCCCGACCAGCCGCCCGGCAAGGCAGGCCGCCCGACGCTCCGGGACCCCCCGATAGCGCGGCCGAGAGCCCGCGCCGGGGTCCTCGAGCTGGCCCGGTGTCGAGGCCCGGCCGTGAGGCGCTGACAGCCCGCTTCGCGCCCCCCGCCAGCTGCAGGGCGGCCCCTCCTGCGCCCCGCGCCTCCCGCGCGCGCCGTGGCCCAGCGGGGCCCTCACCGAGAAGCGCTCCAGGTCGGTGGCCGCCATGGCGAGCTCCGCACCGGGCGGGTGGGCTGGGACGAGCGCAGGGGCAGCGACAGGGACCAGCCGGCTGCGGGACGCGCTCCGCCCGGGCGGCTGCGGCTGAATGGATCCAATATGGCCACTTCCTGGAAACTCCCCTTGGCGGCGGCGGCGGGAGAAGCCGCGGAGCCGCCCCTGCCCCCGCCCGCGGGACCGGCCTCCCCGCCCGGCCCGGCCACGAGCGCAGCCGGAGCCCCGCCGCTTGGACGGCCGGGGGTCTCCGCGGCGAGGCGGGAGGTGCCAGCTGCGGGGACTGCTGGGACTTGTAGTCCGCGCGTTGGGGGACCGGGACGGCAGTGTCGGGGGGCTCGGGGCTGGTGCCCGGCGGGCCTCTGCGTGTCCCCTGGAGCCTGGGGCCGAGCCTAGGTGAGAGTCTCCTGGGTCCGCGCGCTGGAAAGCCTTTCCCGTAAGGGGGAAGTGGGGCACGGCGTGCGCCCTAGAGATCTCCCCCACCAAGCCGTCTCCACCCGCTGGAGCCTGCAAATGTGCTGGGACCACCAACCAGAGTGTGGACAAGCTGCGGGAGACCCGTCGGATCCGGGAGAGGCCGCGGCAGCCTAGTCTGCGGGTGTCTTGGGCCCCACCTGATGCTCCGGCCGGAGCTAAGGCGGGAACCCCGGCGGGACCCGCGCGTCCGGCCAGGCGGCCTTCCCGGGCAAGGGACCAGCCTTCGGCTCCTTGTGCAACCAACGAGCAGGATGCGCAGTTTAGGCTGGGATTCCTGCAATAGAAAAGCGGAGCTCGACGGTCAAGGCGTCAGATTGCAAGTGTCCATCACCCTGCCTGTCCCAAGGGCTTGGGACAACGTCTTAATGGTTCCACCATTGTGCAAAGAGGATGACCACTCCCAGTGCGTGCACGTTCTCTCCGCTAATGTCACTGCTCAAAACGTTCAGAAAATTAACACTTACGCCAGGGTCGGAGGCCTCAGGAGGTTCTGTATCCTTCTCACTGACAATCTATACAAAAGCAGCTCCCAAATCCTCTGAAACCCCGTTTCTTTCTCTTCCCTCTGCCTTTCTCTCTGCTCTTTCTGGGAATGTGGCAAGGTTTGCCCCCTACCCCCCACTGGCCTCATCCCAGGTTGGTCCACCCTCCACACACACCCCTCACCCCAGTATGCTGAGAAGCAACCTGACCTGTTTCTCCTACTCAGAAACTTGTGCTGACTGGAGGTGCCTAAAGACCACGTTCGACTTAGCACACCTGGCTTAAGAGGAGCCCCCTCTCTGCTGTTTGACCTTGTCACCCTGATTTGGCTTTCCCCTCCTCACTCTCCCAGGCAAACTGTAGCTTGTCCCCAAGGTGGACTGACTTCCCGCTGGACCTTCCTGACAATGTTTTCACTTTGCTCCTCTCTCTATGTTGCTGTTTCCCATGCTGTATTAAAGTTATCTACAAGAAATAGAGCAGAGCAGTGGTTAGGGTAGCTGGATCTATGGCAAACCTTCCTGGTGGAATCCTGCTAGCTTTTTAACCTTAGCTAGGCAAGTTACTTAACTATGCCTCCCTTCCCTGGTCCTAAAAATGAGAACAAGTATAGCACCTATGTTACAGGATTAAATAACATAAGTAAAGGGCTTTAAGTTGTACTTAAAATATAATATTAAATAAAATCTCCCTCTCTAGACTACAAGGGCCTTAATCTCAGAGCCCAGAGAATGTGTGGTCAATACTGAATTGATCATCCTAGACTGTATCTACTGTTTCCTTTTTCTTTCCCTATAACTAACAAGAAATCACGACCAACTGCCATCCGTATGGCAGTTCTGCATTACAACTCTCTGGGACTAGCCCTAAATTATCTTCAAAATGGTCTTTTATCTCTAATCGGAAATATTTCAAAACATGTACTTCTTACAGTCCTGGCCAGTGGCTATGAGAAGGAAAAGCTCAGAGTACAGGTGACTTCCTTCTTTTGGGATATATTCACTCTGCTCTGTAGGAGTAAACAGGAGAATTTCCTCCTATTCCACAATGCCGAAATTTCTCTCATTTTATGCTGCTGCTGGTCAGAACTTATAAAAGAGTGAGAATTATCTATGAGGGCTCAAAAGGTGAATATAACGATCATTTCTCACATGGCAAAGTGTTATTTCTTATGGCAGCATTTCTGAGTGTTTCGTATACACCTAGAGGTTAGTTCATAGATTTTACCACAAAAAGATTGGTCTCACCGTCAAATAACTGGGGAATGCTGAGTTCCATACACAGACAGGGTTCTGTAGAAGTCCTCAGCTTTTGATCAGCTAATATGCATTTTCTGTGCAAAAGAAAGGGGAATATACAGCTCTACCCACACTTTGTTGCCCCTTGTCTCTACCCTGCATACATACCCAGCACCACACTGAACTTGAACATGACAAGACTTCGCTTCAGGAAATGCTGCCCTCCAGGCCTCTTGCTTGTCTTTTACTTTTGTTTATACTTTCTTTTGTCATGTAGAAGTTTAAATTTTTGATGTTGTCAAGTGTACTTGTTATTTTATTTATTATTTTTACTTTGGCTTCTAAAAATAAAGACCCTTCCCTAACTTCACAAAGATATTGTGTTTGTGAGAAAAGAATAAATTTTCTTTAAAAACTTTTTTTTAACTCCTTCACATCTAGGCAATTTGTGTATGTGTATGCCAAACCAGTTGTTTCATCTTTCCCCTCTGATGTACAATGCAAATGGTATCACAGACGACATTTCTGTATGTGTGTGCAGGTTGTGCATCAGTTAGGATTATGTTCAGCTGCTTCAACAAGATAGAAATGTCTTCCTTTCTTACATTGTCCAGGTAGGTAGTCCAGGGCTTATGTGACTCTCTACGCACACTTTCTTCTTGTTGCTTGGCCTTACGTGGTCTTGCTCTCATGGTCCAATATGGTGATATCTGCATTCCAGGCAGCAAGAGGCAATGATAGTAATACAGTGCAAATGAGCCAACTCTCAGAGGATTCCAGAAGCTGCCATGTGGCACTTCTGCTTACATGCTATTGGCCAGAGCTGGAAAATGGGGTCTTTATTCTGGCTATCATGTGCACAGCTAAAAAGTCCATAAAATGTTAGAGGAGAGCAGATGTTGGGAGGCTGCAGCCATCTCTGCCAAGTCTGTTTCTGGACTATCCGTTCCAGTGAGATGCCTGAAAATCTTTTTTTCTAATACTATGAAATTTTTGTTTATTAGAAAATTAAAATATAAAAAATGACAAGCAAGAAAATAATCAGCCATACACCAACAGAATCAGCCACAGATAATTTCTTAGCCTTCCACCCCTTTTAAAGAAAAATTTCATGTTTTTAAGTGATATATGTACATTTTAAATAATTTGAATACAGAGAATATTAAATTATCCCAATCCCACCACTCAGAAATCACCATCATGAACACTACATTTATATCATTCCAGAAAACTTTCTATGTATATTTACTGATAGGAGGAAAGATAATAGAGATACTTTATAGGAATCTGGGCCATAATACAGATGCTATTTAAATTAAAAGTACTTAATTTTACTTGAATTTAAAAGAAGACAAAGAAGTTGAAACTGAAGAAAGAGTTGAACTTCAAAGAATGTTTCTTGACCACAAGAGATATTACTTCCTAAAAGATACCTCTGAGGTTAAACAAAAATTGTAAAAAACACTGAGGTTAGAGTTATTTTCTTAAAATGCACATTTCAGTGACATATGAGTGTGTGTGTGTGTATGTGTGTTCAGTGTGTTCATTGCTTTGAAAAATTCGCTCTCATGATTCTTTCCATCTCTGACTGACCTGCTTCCTAAGTTTAGTTACATATTATTGTTACATTATCCATGTTTATAACACTCATATTCTGTTTTGTAAACATAACTTCATAGTTAGTTGATAAATATTCTGAATTAAAATGAATTCAATGGTCATCGTTAGTCTTCTTACCAAGGCTTTTTTTTCCATTTGCAAGTTCTTTATTTTTGTTCATCTCTTCATGGACTAAATTAATCGTTAAGCTGTTTTTCCAGGAAGTATTTTCGATGTTTAACAGTATCTGTCTGTGCCTCGATACTGGAACCATATCTTGGCTGGGTATAATATCCTTGAGTCTCATCTTTCCCACTGAATGTGGTAGGTTTTGCCTCTTTTTCTTCTGGGAAGAAGCCTGAGGCCAGCCTGAATTTTCCCCTTTATAGGAGACATTTTTTTCTGCTTGAATGCCTAAAGAAGTCACTCTTCATCTTTTTTTTAGGTTCAATAACTTAACTAAGATGTCTTAGTAGTAAACATTTCAAATCAAGCTTTTCTGGAATATAGTGTGTTCTTTCAATCTGCAGCTTTAGTTTTGAAATTTACCTGTTTGTTTCTCCATTAAAGGAATTCTCTTTTGGTTCTGTTTCTGGTTTTCCTTCTTCAGGGATTTTAATTAATTTTTATATCAGATCAGCTTTGTCTGTCTTTCATTTCTACTAATTCTAATTGCTTTAATCTCTTTGCCTAGTTTAGCTGCCCTAATTCAGTAATTTGAGTTTCAATGGGGCCCATTCTCTTTCTTGTTAGTTCTAATTTGTTTGTCTATAATAATATGTTTTTGTCCTCAACTTGTTGCCTTTCCATCCCATTCTTGTGTTCTAGCATCCTATCGTTGAGCCCCCACTTTATTAAATTCACATTCTTAAGTCATTTCATAATATGAAGCAGTTGCAAGAAATTCCTTAAGTTTTTTTAGGGGTGGGGAGGAGCCCTCATCTTTCGCTCTCTGTTTTTCCCCTTATTTATCATTAATATTTTGCTGCCATGTGTTTGCATCCATTTCTTTTCTTTCTGGTTTGGTGGCTCTGTCCAGACCTTCTTTATGCCACTGTAACACAGCAGCAGGGAGAAGAGCTTACTGACGTCTCCCCACTGTTTGAGACCCTATTTTTCCCTCTGAGCTAAGCAGAAGGCTGAGTATTTAGGTTCTCTACACTTTTTGGTAGTCTGGATGGGACAGCTGAGCTGAAGCAGCCTGTGGTCTTTGTTGGAATGCCTCAGCATGCTCCTGTCCTGAGAGCCTTTTTAATGTCCTGTACGGGCTCATGCCACCTAACTGGGGTGGAAAGCAGGACTCTATACACCTTTTCTGAGGAAGGGGCAGAACTCAGGATCAGTTTCCCCATGGGGAGTGTTGTTCTGGAGACTTTATTTCCATCAGCCAAGTCAGCTTGGTGGCTCGTGCTCCCTGCTTCCCCATCTCCCCCCGGCATGCTTTTTAATACAGCTCATTCAGAAGAGGAAGAAGACAGGGCATGACTCACATCTGCTTCCTTTCAGATTCAGGAGCCATAGGAAGAATGTTCAGGTTTTGGTCCATTTCTGGGCACTCGGGACAGGGTAGGGAGCAGAGACGTGTGGTGCCATTCCTTGCCACTCCAGAATCCTCTACGTCTTTCTTTAGATGTCAATTTGGAAGTTTATTGTGTTGGTTGCTGATAATAGATTTTACTCCCTTGTTTTATTTACTTTCTTTGATTTTGTTAGGAATTGAGAAAGAGAAGTTCTGTGGGGAAGCATTCATCCATAATCTGTAAGCAGCAGTGTCCCTACACATTTTTATTTTTATTATTTATCAATTTATTGAGACAGAGTCTCGCTCTGTTGCCCAGGCTGGAGTGCAGTGGCTTGAGCTCGGCTCACTGCAACCTCTGCCTCCCAGATTCAAGCAATTCTTCTGCCTCAGCCTCCCGAGTAGCTGGGATTACAGGCACCCGCCACCATGCCCAGCTAATTTTTGTATTTTTAATAGAGACGGGGTTTCACCATGTTCACCAGGCTGGTCTTGAGCTCCTGATCTCAAGTGATCTGCCCACCTTGGCCTCCCAAAGTGCTGGGATTACAGGCGTGAGCCACCATGCCTGGCTTTCTGCACATTTTTAAAGCAGCACATGTTACTTCTGGCTTTGAGGTCTGACTTGTCCCAATGACTGCCGAAACAATACAAAACAAGAACAGACTCGAAGAGCCTACTGAATTCCAAAGTCCCGAGATGTCTCAGCTGGCAGGCAAACTCTCCCATTTTGAAAACCAGAATTCTTAAAAGCCAGATTGAGGAATTACAGTCTCATGGCAGTGCTGCCAGGTTGAGGCCTAGATCAGGAGTCCTGGCCTGATGGAAAAGTTAGCCTAGAGAGAAGGAACAATTTTCTTATGCGTGCCAGAAAGATTGGCAAGAGTTTGTACTGAGGCTGGGTACAGGGAGCCATGTGGCACAGAAGGAACAGCCAGCAGAAAGCAGCCCTTCCCTGGCCTCATGGGTTTATAGCTGTCCTGTGCCTCGGAATTCCACAGTGTACCCTCATGCTGCAGGATGCCTCCCTGCCTTCTACCAGAGCATTTAGCATGGATGTCCTGGAGACAGAGCACCAGGGACACCTTGGAAAGCCCTGGAAATGAGAATCTCTGCCTTTTTTCATAGAAGAGGCACGCCTAGCCCATGAGTCCCTGGGTTCCCTGAGACAGTCCTGAATCCAGGGTTCTCAGGGATGCAGCCAGGTTTTGTGGAGCCTAAAGCTTGTGGGATTTGGAAGGCTTTCTTTTAGGAAAAGAATACACTGGCATGGCATGGTGGCTCACATGTGTAATCCCAGCACTTTGGGATGCCATGGTGGGAGGATTGCTTGAGCCCAGGGGTTCCAGACCAGCCTGGGCGACATAGTGAGACCCCCATCTCTATGAAAAATTAAAAACTTAGCCGGGTGTGGTGGCACAGGTCTGTAGCCCCAGCTACTTGGGAGGCTGAGGTGGGAGGATCACTTGAGCCCAGGAGATCCAGGCTGCAGCAAGCTGAGATTTCGCCGCTGCACTCCAGCCAGGGTGGCAAAGCGAGACCCCGTCTCAAAAAAAAATTTTTTTTTAATTTAAAAGAATACACAGTTATAAAGACAAAATTAGATATGGACGTAATTACTTATTTAGAATGAGAAAAGAACAGGACTTAGAAGGGACACAAGCAAGTGAGTGACCTGGAAATGTAAGCCTCAAGTTTCATGAGGTCCAGGGTGCCCTCAGGGAATGGGCCAGAGACACCCACAGGTCTCCAGTCCCTGAGTCCACAGGGATCCCTGCAGCAACTCTATGGTCCAGAACTGCCAGCAGGGGAGCAGACCCCACTCCAAGCCTGGCCCAGAGGGTCTAAGGACAGGGCATTGACAGCAGCTTTACAAGGAGCTCCACGAAACTTATTCAAAGATTCTGCCCATGGCCTCCCCTAGAACCCTGGGCCTCTCCCAGGTGGAAGCATTCTGCTCTTTTAACGTAGTTGTGGCCAAAAAGAATTCTCTGGGCCAGGTGCAGTGGCTCATACTTGTAATCCTAGCACTTTCAGAGGCCAAGGCAGAAAGATGGCTTGAGCCCAGGAGTTCTAGACCAGCCCAGAAGACATAAAGATATCTCATCTCTACTAAAAATTTTAAAAATTAGCTGGGTATAGTGGTGAACTCCTGTAGCCACAGCTACTCAAGAAGCTGAGGCAGGAGAATCACTTGAGCCTGAGAGATTGAAACAGAAGTGAGCTATGATCAAGCCACTGCACTCCAGCCTGGGTACAGGGTGAGACCCTGTCTCTTAAAAAAAAAAAAAAAAAAAAGGGGGGCCGGGCACGGTGATTCATGGATGTAATCCCAGCACTTCTGGAGGCTGAGGTAGGCAGATCACCTGAGATCGGGAGTTTGGGACCAGCTTGGCCAATATGGCAAAACCCCATCTCTACTAAAAATACAAAATTAGCTGGGCATGGTGGTGTGCACCTGTAATCCCAGCTACTCTGGAGGCTGAGGCAGGAGAATTGCTTGAACCTGGGAGGTGGAGGTTGCAGTGAGCATGGATCCCGCCACTGCACTCCAGCCTGGTGACAGAGTGAAACTCCATCTTAAAAAGAAAAAAAATTATCTGGAAAAAAAATATGTCAACTGTCCCGTAACCAAACAGCTACAATCTATAGAAGTGGAGGACTTCAAGATGCTCCCATTACAGAGAGGCCACCCAGCTCCAGCTCATATCACCATGGTCTCCATCTCTGCAGCCATGAACAGGTGGGATACAAGCAGGTGAGAGGAAGCCCCACATGGTGACACCACTAGGCAAAGATGAGGAAGTTAAAGTGTTTTGCTTTTTTGGAAAAATGTGACCTTCAGAGGGCATGAGGGAAGTGCAGAGAGAGAAAGAATGCTTCATGCTGTTTAAGGTGCTAGAAGAAGCCATCAGGAAAGGAGACAGTTAACTAAGGACAGGCAAATCAGCAAGGCAAGATTTAAAACGAGAGGGGTCTGCAGAGCAATGCTTTTCAAACTGGGTCAAAAGGGGCCATGGGGGACAAACACTCATCTGGTGGAGCTCTACAACCTCCCCAAACAGCGCCATCCCGCCTGCTTCATATATAAGGCTTTCATTTCAACAAAGGGTTTTTCCGCAGCTAAAAATAAGTCTGACAAACCACCTCTCTGGGGGAAATGTATTCAGACAGACAAAATGGGTCTGGAAAAGGCTGCTGCTGGGAGGAATCCAGGGAAACCACTGAGTCCGAGTTCAGACAGCTGAGAGGTAGAGTTTTACCTAGAACCAAGGGGCTGGCCAGGGAGATTGGAAGAAAGGATTCAAGGGAGCTAAGAGAAATTACTCTAAGTTGAATTAGAAGTAGAAATGACGGTAAATTCACAATAAAGAAAACACACACCACAAGGCTGAGGCCATCTGACTGGGGAATGAAAATGGAGAAAGCTAAGGACCTGATTAACATACAGAATCCAGTCTAGATGAACTCATGAACAAGAGGCCAAGGCCCAGCACTCATCTGCTTGGTTCATATCACCTGTTTATTAAGTGTTCCTTGCCTGCTGGGGTGGGGAGCAGGGGGGCTGGATTGTGAAGGAGTGGTAACCAGGCAGAAGCCTTTGGGGAAGTGGAAGAAGGTTGAACGGAATACACCTCCATTCACGGCAGAACTTCTGCTGCAGGACTTGGGACTTGTTGATCCAGGACCTAGCGCAGTATGGGTTATGGGACCCATACCCACAGGCAAGATGGTATGGTGGTCAGAATAGTGGCCCCCCACAAGACGTCCACTTCCTAATCCCCACAGCCTGTGAATATCTTACCTTACATGGCAAAGGGCATTTTGCAAATATGATTGAATTGAGGATTTTTAAATGGAGAGATTATCCCTGATTATTCAGGTGGGCCCAGTGAAATCCCAAGGGCCCTTGTAATAGGGCTGCGCTATAATAGGGAAGCAGAAGAGTCGGAGAAGGAGATGTGATGAGAGAAGCAGAGATCAGAGTGATGCAGCCACCAGCCAAGGAATTTGGGCAGCTTCTAGACCGGAAAATGGCAAGGAAACGAATTCTACCCTACAGCCTCTAGAAGGAGCATAGTCCTGCCAATACCCCGATTTCAGCCCAGGAAGACTGTGGGACTGCTGACCTCCAGAACTGTAAGACAATGAATTTGTGCTGTTTTAAGCCACAACGTTTGTGGCAGCAATAGAACCCTAATACAAATGGCACTGTGTCTAAGGGTGTGCTCTCTGAACTCAGTTGTCTGAATTCTAATTCCAGGGCCATCACTTGCCAGCTGAGGGATCTCAGGTAAGTAAACTTATATTCTGTGCTCAGTTTCCTCATGTGCAAAATGAGGATAATAATAATTTCTGCCTCATATGGTTATTGTGAGGATTACATGTGAAGTGCTTAAAACTATTTCTGACACAGAGGAAGCTTTTCAATAAATGTTAACTGCTGCTAATATTATTATTATAATAAATTACCATCACAAGATTTATTTCCACCACCCTGCTTTCACCTTCCCAACCCTGGACCCAGAAATGAAGCTTGATCAGAAGATGAAGGACAAGTTCAATGTCACAGCTGTTAAGACTAGGCACCAGCATCCATCATTCACTCACTCAACAAAGTATTTGTTGAGTGTCTGTTATGTGCCAGCCACTGGTTCAGATGTGGAAGACACAGGAAGAGAGGAAAGGGGACAAAAGTCTTCTTCCTTGCATTGCTCTTCCTTTCATCAAGGAAGAAAATCTTTCCAGATCCCCCACTAAAAATGCCCCCTGAGATCTCAGTGACCAGAACTGAGTCATTTGACCACACAGAATATAAAGGATTGCCAAAGGTTGGCCTGGACTAATGGAATGTGTGTTGGCTGTATTACTGAGAATATTTAAATTTACTGTAGCAGGCAAGAAAAAACAAAAAACAGTAGGCAAAATTCAAAAGCTGTGTTAAGAATAGATGGTAAGTTGGTAACTTGAGAGACACGCTAGACATAGAATACATGAAACATATGGGTGTCAGGCTTAGATTTAAAAGGATAGAACACACAAGAGTATTACTTGGAGATAGAAAGGGATGGAAACCCCCAGTTATAAGGCAAGGATCATGCTAATTCCAGATGGACAACTGTCATCCTCAAATTGGTCCCCTTAGAGACTCCCACTTTGATCCCATCCTGGTCCCTCCTGTACTCTTTCCCAGCTGCTTGGCAGGTAAATTATATGCTATGGGTCTAGCCAGTGTATTTGCCCCTAGGCTTCTTTGATAAAGCCTGTTAGCTCTAGGCACCTTGTTTGCTGAGCCCCTTTGTTCAACCTTAACTCTTGTTTTCTTTTATCTTTCTCACTTTACTTATTTATTTATTTTTTTTCAGACAGGGTTTCCATCAGTCGCCCAGGCTGGGGTGCGGTGATGTGATCACAGCTCACTGCTGCAGACTCGACCTCCTGGGCTTAATCAATCCTCCCTTCTCAGCCTTCCAAGTAGCTGGGACTACAGGTGTGTGCACCAGGCCTGGCTAATTTGTATCTTTTTGGTAGAGAGGAAGTTTCACCATGTTGCCTAGGCTGGTCTCTAACTCCTGGGCCCAAGCAGTCCTCCCACCTCGGCCTGCCAAAGTGCTGGGATAACAGGTGTGAGCCACCGCACCCAGCTAACTCTTATTTTCTTGTTTTCATAATCACATTGTCAGTGTGGACAGATAATGGGGGAGAGGGAGAGAGAGAGAGAGAGAGAGAGAGAGAGAGAGAGAGAGAGAGAGAGAGAGAGAGACAGGGGTTGGGGGGAATATAGAGGGATAGTATGTGAACCCTGGAACACAGGATTCAGGCAGTATGCTCCCTCCAACTTGCTTACCCCATACCCTAACTGGGTTAACCTACCCCACCTCTTTCCCCTAGCTTCTCACTGTACGCTTTAAATTGGATCAATAAGCAGGGTGACTTAAGTATCTTAAATTGGTCTGTGAGTCTTTCTGTTCATGATCTCCAGACAGCTTACCTGACAGGGTACTTGGAAGCTACATTGCATTAAGATAATTTCCCACATGACAAAACAATGATTTGCCTCTAGGGCTGGGCACATTGCTATCTGAAAAAACTGGAGTCTGTTAGAAAAGAAAGAGAATGGCTGTTGGGTAGGTGCCTGAAGGCACAAGAGTTCACTTAGTCTGGCCTTCTGACTCCAGGTCAGGCAGGCTGAGTTCATTTTAGATAAAGGAAAGTGTCTGTTTTTCTGGTGAATTATGGATTTGGGGCCTGTAGAATTTGTTCTTATCTGTGAAGTCCCACTTGGAGGGGAGGGGAAGGGCTGGCTCACTTCTCAGGATCCTGCTGGCCCAGGTTATGACTATAGAAGTTCCTCAACAATTGAACACTGGGGTCATTTACACAACAAAGATTTACTGAGCGCTTACAGTGTGCCATGGGCATGAAGGTAAAGAAGGCATGGATGCTGCCTGCCAGAGTTCAGAGTTCAACAGGCAAGCACACATAAAAAGTATTAATTAAAATAATACACAGACCAACTTGACCACCCCTTTAAGAAATCTGCCCTCAGTCAAGCAAAATATGCTAAGAATAAGATAAAAGGGCAAAATACCAGCGTTACAAAGCCCAAATCCTGAGCCACCTGGTACCAGCAGCCTGCTCCGGTCTCTCACTGCCAACTTTTACCTAGTTCTTCCTTGTTCTCACCTCACTCACCTTGCCCGCCCAGGGTGACATTCCTTTAGTTTTCTGCTGGCCTCCAGAACCCTGTGTCTTGGCCATCCCCATTGTTCTTGCTCTCCTTGCCTCAGCAATCCTACTGAAGGCATACTGGTGGACACCTGATGGCTCAACCTGGCTCTCACCCTCCCAGTGTGTGCTCTGCTAGAGCAAATGCTTCGCCCCCAGCCCAGGCTGTCTTGGTGGGACCCAGACCATCACAAATCAGGAAGCACACTGCCCTGGTACCCCCTGCCAGGGATCCAGGGGAGAATGAGAGGAGGGAGATCGTCCCTGGAGATGACATTTGGGCTGAGGCTTAAATACTAATTTGCTCTGGTCAGCAGCAGTTTCAAACACAAACGATGAGCCCACCCAAGGCAAAGACACTCTCCAGGAATGAAGCCAGGGCCTTGGGGAGCTACATTAGCTCTTCCAGGCCACCACTGAGAGAATGACAGCAGGTCAACTCACATTACACGAAATCCATCTGCTTTCTCGGCATGCTCCTGAGCTGCCCAGAGTTTCATGAGAAAAAAAAAGTATCACCAGCCCTGGTGCCTGACAGCACTACATCCTGATGCTTCCCTGCTCAGCAGGCCTCCCAGAGCTGCCTGGAAATCCTGCACTTGTTTCTGGCCACCATCCTGTCCCTTCTCCACAGCAGCAGCCCCAAATATTAACCACTCTCCCTGCCTCCAGCCCCCTTCACATTCAGCTGATGCTTTGTCCTCTTTTTTTTTTTTTTTTTTTCTGAGACAGTCTCACTCTGTCGCCCAGGCTAGAAGGCAGTGACACGATCTCAGCTCACTGCACCCTCTGCCTCCTGGGTTGAAGCAATTATCCTGCCTCAGCCTCCTGAGTAGCTGGGATTAAAGGCACCCACCATCACGCCTAGCTAATTTTTAGTAGAGATGCGATTTCGCCATGTTGGCCAGACTGGTCTCGAACCCCTGACCTCAAATGATCCTCCTGCCTCAGCCTCCCAAAGTGCTGGGATTAGAGGTGTGAGCCACTGCACCCGGCCTTGATCTCTTTTATTACAAAGAAAACCTATTTATTGGTTCAAAAAAACATTAAAGACCTACTGTGTGCTAGCACCAGGGGGATAAATCAGGTGTGGTTCTTGCCCTCACAGTATAGTGGGAATTCAGAAAAGTACAGATGGTCATGATACCAGGACAAGCTGGCTACTCTGTAACTGAAGCCGCTGGGCACTGGCCAGCCTCCAAAGCCCTTCCCCAGCCCTCACCCAGCCAAGTGCCAACAGCTCTGCCTGGACAACCTTCCCTCTGGGCTCCAAGAAGTGCCCAACTCTTTCCCTGGGCATTCCCTTTAACAGTCTTAGTGATTTTTTTTTCTATTTGCCACATCTTAATAACTCTCTCTCCTCCTTCAGTTACCCTCTTATCTGGCCAACACCATCAAGTATCCTCCATCTAAAAAAGTCTGGAGTCCTCCTCCCCTGATGGGTCCTCCTTATCTCTCCTTCCCTTTCCTGTCCTAATCGAAACAGTTATTTACTTTCAACTCTCTCATGTAAGATGCTTGTCAGTTATCAGTTGTCAGTTTTCTTTTGTCTCCACAACTCCAAGGAAACTGTTTTTGTTGAGGTCACAAATAACCTCTTCATCCTGGCTTTTTTCTTTCTTTCTTTTTTTTTTTTTTTTTTGAGACAGGGTCTCACTCTGTCACACAGGCTATAGTTTAGTGGGGCAATCATAGCTCACTGCAGCCTCAGCCTCAATCTCCTGACCTCCTAGGCTCAAGCAATCCTCCTACCTCAGCCTCTTGAGTAGCTAGGACCACAGGTGCATGCCACCACATTCAGCTAATTTTAAAAAAATTTTATAGGCGAGGCATAGTGGCTCACATCTATAATCCCAGCACTTTGGATGGCCAAGGTGGGTGATCACTTGAGCCCATGAGTTTGAGACCAGCCTGGGCAACACAGTGAGACCCCACCTCTCTAAAAAAAAAAAAAAAAAAGAAAAATTAGCCAGGTGTGGTGGCACGTACCTGTAGTCCCAGCTTACTCGGGAGGCTGAGGTGGGAAGATTGCTTGAACTCAGGAGGTTGAGGTTGCAGTGAGCTAGAATTGTACCACCGCATTCCAGCCTGGGCAACAGAGCAAGACCCTGTCTCAAAAAAAAAAAAAAAAAAAAAAGTCACCTTCTCAGTGAGGCCTTCCCTGCCACCCTATGTGAAATCTCAACCCTCCCTGCACTTCATATCTTTTTTCTTTGCTTTATTTTTTTCTCCTTACCACTTTCACCTTTTTTCTTTTTTTTCTTTTTCTTTTTCTTTTTTTTTTTTTTAACAGAGTCTTGCTCTGGAGTGCAATGGTACGATCTCGGCTCACTGCAGCCTTCGCCTCCCAGGTTCAAGTGATTCTCCTGCCTCAGCCTCCTGAGTAGCTGGAATTACAGGCACACATCACATGCCCAGTTAATTTTGGTATTTTTAGTAGAGACAGGGTTTCACCATGTTGGCCAAGCTGGTAGCAAACTCCTGACCTCAGGTGATCTGCCCGCCTTTGCCTCCCAAAGTTCTGGGATGACAGGTGTGAGCCACTGTGCCCGGCCACCACTTGTCACCTTCTAATGTACCGTGTATTTCATTTATTTATCTTATTTCTGTCTTCCCTACTATATTGTGAGCTCCATGAGGACAGAGATTTTGCTGTTTTGCTCACTAATAAATTCCCAGGGCCTAGAACAGTGCCCAGCACTAGCAGGCCCTCAATAAACATAAGGCAAATGAATGAAGTTGCTGGGTTTATTTAGAAAACCTCATGCATGGACTTTCCTCCTTGTCAGTACATACAGCTCTTCCTCATGTGTCCCGCAGGGGTGGCCATAGCACAGTTTAGCCCTTCCTTAGATCTTGAAATTATTTCCTCCCTTGGCTTTTCTGCCTCTACAGAGGCCCATTCCTTCCTCCTCTGCTCCATGGCTATTCCTTCGCCTGCCTTTTTGGGACTGGGATTCCTCAGGGTTCTTCCTGTCCCTTCTGGCCCTTGCTACACCTTCCCCCTAGTTGGCCACCAACTGAAAGCTCAGGACTCCCCCTGGCTCCAGCCCAGATGTCTCTCTTGAGCTCCAGACCCTCATGGGCAGCTTCTTTTCAGGTGATCCACAAATACCCCTCTTACCTTAGAAACTTAACTTGTCCAAACTCAGCTTGTACCTTCTCCTTCTTTTATCTTTCCTATCTTGACAAACAGAAACAGTTTTCCTCTTCTCACAAGACAAAAACTATGGAGTCACTTTTGGATGCTCACTTTCCCTCATCCATCTGTGAAGGGTCACCAACTCCTGATTGTGCTCTTAGAAACATCTCCTGAGCCAGGCTCTCTTCTCTCCCCCACCCCTCCCGGCACTACCCTCATCCAGGACTTTTTCATCTCCTGTGGACTCCAGCAGTACTTCCTCAGAGGTCTCCCTGACATGGATCTCTCCTGTTCATCACCCACATTGCCACCAGGAGCTTCCTAGAAGCTGAGTCGGTCACACATTGACTCCTGGCTGACTACATAGAGCTCCTTCAAATCAGGAGTATAGCCCTGAACAAGGCAGGTGAGATCCTGCCTTCAAGGTGCTGAGAGTCTGCAGAGAGGCACTGAGCAAGTAGCTGCAATAGCTGGAGGCATGGTGATGGGGAAAGTAGAGAATGTGATGGAAGCACACATAAGGAGGGACTTGATCTAGTGGAGGCTCAGAGGAGACCCCTTGAAGAAGGGGCACAGACTGCAGCAGGTGTTAACCAGGCACAAAGTCTGTATGGAATGGGAGGTGGGAAAGGAGAACTATTTCAAGATGAAGGAACAGAATTTGAGAAGGTCCCAATGTAAGAGAAAAGGAGACCCATTCCAGGAAGTGAGAAGAGCTAAGGGTAGAGGATGAGTACTGAGAGACAGGGCCAGGGCCTCCCAGCTCAGGATCATCTCCTGTCTTTCCAAGATGCCATGACAGACATTGCTAGGAAAACTTCTAAAGTATATTCCTTTTTGCAATAGCACAGAAAAGAAGAGAAGAGATCTGAAGATAAAGGATTACAACAGGTTTCTAGGAGATAGAAAGTGGAAAGGTGACTATTCATGGTTAAAGCAGATTGGGTGGAGCTCAGAACCCTCACAGAGGGGCTGTATCCACCCATTCAGACACCCCTCCCTCTGCATGCAGAGACCACAGATGCCATGGAGACCCGGCAGCAGAAGGGGACTGAACAGAAAGAGGTGAATTGACTGCCCACATATTGAATATTCCCCCTTATATCTCCCCAACTAGGAGTAGATCAGGGTTAATGCTCTTTAATTTATTTGTATTTATTTTGAGACAGAATCTCTCTCTGTCGCCCAGGCTGGAGTATAGTGGTGCAATCTCAGCTCACTGCAACCACTGCCTCCCAGGCTCAAGCAATCTTCCCACCTCAGCCTCCAAAGTTGCTAGGATTATAGGTATGGACCACTGTATCCAGCCTGGCCTCACAGTTATTTTTAAGAAACCCACACCTAAACATGCCATGGTGAAATTTCAGAACTGCAAGATAAATAGAAGATCCTAAAAGCTCCCTCAAGTGGAAATAAACAAAACAAAAAAAAGGAGGCCACATGCAAGAAAAACAAAACTCAGAATGGCATTAGACTTCTCATTAGTAACATTGGTTACTTAGAAGAAAATGGAGCAACGGTTTAAAAGTTCCCAGAGAAAACTATTTTCAACCCAGAATTCTACACCAAGCCATCAATTCATAAGGGAGAATAATGAATTGTTCGGACATTTTATTTTATTATTATTATTTTTTTTTTTTTAATTTTTGAGACAATGTCTCACTCTGTCGTCCAGGCTGAGTGCAACGGGGTGATCTCGGCTCACTGCAACCTCTGCCTCCTCGGTTCAAGCGATTCTCCCACCTCAGCCTCCCAACCAGCTGGGACTATAGGCACTCGCCACCACACCCAGCTAATTTTTGTGTTTTTTAGTAGAGATGGGGTTTTACCATGTTGACCAGGCTGGTCTCAAACTCCTGACCTCAGGTGATCCGCCCAGCTTGGTCTCCTAGAGTGTTGGGATTGCAGGTGTGAGCCACCGCGCCCAGCCTCCTCAGACATCTTAAAAGGTATAAAGCTTACCTCATGTTTGAGTGTGAGAGAAAAGAAAAATAAGATCCATGAGGTTAAGTAAAATTCCTTAGTTTTCAATTTGATTTAGAAGTTTTGTAGGAGTTAATGATATATCTTATCTTTAAAGAAATGCATTTCTAGCTCAGTCTACTGAAAAGGCCTAGAAAAATGACGAACCCAGTAACAATGAGAAACAAATGAGAGCAATGACTTTATTCCAGGTCTACAATGGAAAATATAAAAAATAGAAGTGGGACATCTTAAAGTTTCAGATATCAAAGAAGAGTTGAGGCAGGAGGCTTGGAGTCAACTAAAAAATGTTTCCACTGGCAAAAGAAGAGATAAACATTGAGAAAAAATTTTAAAATTCACAGTTTGCCTTTGGAAGAGATAGGGACTCATTATTTTTTAAAATGGTAAATAAAGGGAAAGAATCAAGCATTTATTCTACCTTTCCCATAGGGACCTCAAGATAACTAAATAGTAAATAATGGGAAATTTCTCTCTAACATAGGAATCCTGCAGCTAATAAATGAGTGATAACATAACTAGAACATCACCATGTCATAATCATTAATAAAACAATGGATCTATACAAGGACAATCAATGGCTGCTCACATCATAAAAAAGAGAGAAGTAGACATGATGTGCCTCCTTTTGGGAGCACACAATACTACCTATGAAAGTACCCCCAAAATAACACAACATAATCTGATCAATACTCTAGATTTCATTGTTAACTCACAGGAACTATAGGGAATAAAGGACTATGTCATACGTCACAGCAGGAATGCAATCAGCAAAACCCAGACTCTGGGAAACTTTACAAGACAAAACAAAAAAAAACCCAGTTTCTTTCAACAAATAAACTGCAAGGGAAAAAATGAGATGAAGGAACCATAAATTAAAAGAGACTCAAGAGACATATCGAACAATTGCAACTGGCTCCAATTCACACAAGCAAATGTTTATATATATATCAGGGAAATTTGAACACTGATCAGTTATTTGATGACATTAAGAAATCATTGAGAATTTTTAGGTGTGCTAATGGTATATTTATTATGTTTTTTTATAAGAGTCTTTATCTTTCTGGGACATATACTTAAATATTTTCTGGTGATATGATATCTGGGGGAAAAAATAATCCAGGAGAGGTGAGCAGTGGCTAGGAGTGTGGGTGAAATAAGGTTGGCTGAGAGTTGATAATTATTGGAATGGTGGATAGATATATAAGGGTTCATTATGGTATAGTTTTATCTCCTTTTATAGATGTTTGAAATTCTTTTTTTGTTTTTTTCAAGACAGGGTCTCACTCTGTTGCTCAGGCTGGAGTGCAGTGGTCGATCACAACTCACTTTAGCCTCCATCCCCCAGGCTTAAGCCATCCTTCCATCTCAGCCTCCTGAGTAGCTGGGACCACAGGTGCGTGCCACCATGCCCAGCTAATTTTTAAATTATCTGTAAAGATGAGGTCTCACTATGTTGCCTAGGCTGGTCTCAAACTCCTGGGCTCAGCCAGGCGCAGTGGCTCACACTTGTAATCCCAGCACTTTGGAAGGCCGAGGCAGGCAGATCACTTGAGGTCTGGAGCTCAAGACCAGCCTGACCAACATGGGGAAACCTCATCTCTGCTAAAAATACAAAATTAGCCAGGTGTGTTGGTGCATACCTGTAATCCCAGCTACTCGGGAGGCTGAGGTGGGAGAATTGCTTGAACCTGGGAGGCAGAGGTTGCGGTGAGCCAAGATCATGCCATTGCATTCCAGCCTGGGCAACAAGAGCGAAACTCGGTCTGAAAAATAAAAAATAAAAACTCCTGGGCTCAAGAGATCCTCCTGCCTTGGCCTCCCAAAGTGCTGGGATGTGCCTGGGCTGAAGTTTTCTATAACAAAAAGGTTAAAAAAAATTATTCCCTAAGGACCTTTTCTTAGGAAGTTACTTGATAGCATGCTTTAAAGCTACCAAAGCAAAAGAAAAAGACACATCATTCAGAAACAGTGCATCCAACCCAGGACAGCAGTTATAGGAAATCCCAGGAGGAGAGCTGAGAGCTGTGCAGCAAGTCAAGAGAGCAACCAGGCCAGACTGTCTCCAAGGCTCTTGGAGAGAGGTGAGGAGTTGGGGCAGAGCATTCAACAGAATAGATAGTACAACTGATGGCCTGGCAAATTTATAGAATGCAAAAAAAGAAGAAAGGCAATTAATTGCACTCCCAGAAAAACAAAATAGACAAGAAAGGCCAAACCCAAACATGAAGCAAACCGAAACACAGCACAGAGGTGGTTGGAGTAAACACCAATTTTCTTTTCTTTTCTTTGTTTTTTTTTTAGGTGGAGTCTTGCTCTGTTGCCCAGGCTGGAGTGCAGTGGCGCGATCTCAGCTCACCGCAACCTCAGTCTCCTGGGTCCAAGTGATTCTCCTGCCTCAGCCTCCCAAGTAGCTGGGACTGCAGGCATGCACCACCACACCCTGCTAATTTTTGTATTTTTAGTAGAGAAGGGGTTTCACCATGTTAGCCAGGCTGGTCTCGAACCCTTGACCTCAAGTGATCCACCGCCTTGGCCTCCCAAAGTGCTGGGATTACAGGCATGAGCCACCGTACCCAGCCAACACCATTTTTCATGGTTATTACGAAGTTAACTTTTTTTTCTTTCAGAATCAACTTAGAAAGAACTTACGGAGGATTTTACTATAGCTAAACGAAATGTAAATGTTATTGAACTCCATAATGTATGCCAAGATATAGACAAGGAATGGTTGGGTCACAGAAGGTGGATGGGAGGGTAGGAGCTCTAAAGTTTCCATCTTACAAAATGGTAAGTCAAAAGTTCAAGACTGATGAAGACAGACATTGAGGTTTAAGTATATTTTTTTAAATTTGAGAAGAGACCTGAGGAGGAACCAGGAATCCTCTGGAGAGACAAAGCCAAGCACGATAGCTCATGCATATAATCCCAACACTTTGGGAAGCCAAAGTGGGAAGGTCACTTGAGGCCAGAGAAGACCAGCCTGGAAAACATAGCAAGACAGCATCTCTAAAAAAATTCTAAAAATCAGCCAGGCATCATCATGTGCGCCTCTATCAGCTACTTGGGAGGCTGAGGCAGGGAAGGAACACTTGAGCCCAGGAGTCTGAAGTTGCAGTGAGCCTTGACTGCACCACTGCACTCCAGCCTGGATGACAGAGAGAGACCCTTCTCAAAAAAAAAAAAAAAAAAAAAAGGGGGAGACAAAAACCCTTATTTGTTAGAGTAGGCTATCCAAGGTTGATAAATCAACAAACATCAGTATAAGTATACTATTTGAAGATATGGAGATCATCACCAGGAGTACTAAAACACAGAACTGGCCAAAAGAAGTCCTATGGGGAGGAAGCCTGGAAGTGGGGATCACAGTGTCAGGACACTACCACTTTTCATTCCAAGCTCCTCTGTGCATGCATTGTTTTGATCAGAAGCTATATCATAGAGGGCATTGTGAGCCATTGAAAGTAGCTTACGGAGTTTTACACAGACAGCCAAGTGATATGGTTAAATCTGTTTTCTAAATGGAATGCTCCGGCTGTAAGCAGAAAACAGAGTGTGGAGGCAAGCCAGACTGGGAGCAAGGAGATTGGGTACAACAGGGAGAGGGGAGGGAGGACTGCAGCAGATGTCCAGGCTGAGTTGATTATGGCCTGGCATAAGAATGGAGAGAGCAGGAGGAATTCAGGAGGTACTAAAGAGGGTGAAGAAGAATCATGACAGATGCCCAGGTCTCTGCCAGACCCAGATTGGGTGGGTGATGGTGCCTTTTTTTGAGCTGGGGAACCCTGGGGGAGGGAAAGGAGGGTTAGGGAAGAAGATAACCAGTTCAGCTGGGACATGTTCAGCTTTAGTCATCAAGGATGTGTAAGGCCCTTAATGGTCTGGCACCAACCACCCTCTTCAACCTGTTTCTGCACTCACTCACCCCCAATCCTCATCCCTGGTCTGTTACCCTGTACTTCTCGCTGTTCCACAAACACACTATATGCCTTTGCTTGTGCTCCTCTGCCAGGAATGATTTCCTCCCCCATCTCAGCTTGCAGAGCTCCTGGTCTCAGCTTCAAGGTCATGTCTTCTCAAAGTGCCTTCAGACTCTCCCAAGGAAAAGGGCTCCTTCTCTGGGTGTCCCAGACAGCTAAAAGATACCCCGTCTATCCCTTTTTTTTCTTTTCTTTTTTTTTTCTTTTTTTTTTTTTTTTTTTTGAGGCAGAGTCTTGCTCTGTCACCCAGGCTGGAGTACAGTGATGTGATCTCAGCTCACTGCAACCTCTGCCTCCCAGGTTCAAGTGATTCTACTGCCTCAGCCTCCCAAGTAGCTGGGATTACAGGTGCATACCACCACGCCCAGCTAAGTTTTATATTTTTAATAGAGACGAGGTTTCACCATGTTGGCCAGGCTGGTCTCGAACTCCTGTCCTCAAGTGATCCACCTGCCTCGGCCTCCCAAAGTGCCAGGATTACAGGAGTGAGCCACTGCACCCCCACCAACCCTACTGTCTATCCATGAGCACATCTTCCCGCAGATCTCTGTTTATATATGTATCTTCTCCATCAGGAAATGGTTTTACAGAAAACAAGAGCTGCCACCTATTATCCTTTGTATTTTTAGCTCTGAACTGGAAGTACTAAGGTGTTTCATCTTGTCAACTCTATCAGCTTGGTGATGGCTACCTGGAATGCCACATGGAAGATGATTCCAGAAAGATGCAGGCCATGCAGAGTGGTAGTGGGGTGCCAGAAAGTGCATGGGTGAAGGAGGAGGCAGGGACCAGGAGTTTTTCAAAGGAACTAACAAGAAACACCCCTCCCAAGGGCTGTAAAAAGCGACTGCTGGGCCGGGTGTGGTGGCTCACGCCTGTAATCCCAGAACTCTGGGAGGCTGAGGCAGGTGGATCACCTGAGGTCAGGAGTTCGAGACCAGTCTGACCAACATAGTGAAACCCCCATCTCTACTAAAAACACAAAAAACTAGCCGGACGTGGTGGCATGCACCTGTAGTCCCAGCTACTCAGGAGGCTGAGCCAGGAGAATCGTTTGAACCCGGGAGGCGGAGGTTGCAGTGAACTGAGATCGCACCATTGCATTCCAGCCTGGGCAACAAAAGTGAAACTCTGTCTCAGAAAAAAAAAAAAAAAAAGGTGACTACTGGCCTGTCTTATCACATCAAATACCTTGTAGAATGAGGAGCCTTCCTTGGAGTCAGAATACCTTTATGCTATAGGGAAGTTTTGCTCCTAAAATGTGATCCACACGTCAAGACTCTCCAACATGCAGCCAAAGCCATAGCTTTAGTTGAGACATGCCTGGGCCAGATCTCCTCACAGCCTCAGGTCATCTGAGTTCAAAGGCCTGAGGAATGCCACTCATATTTCAGGATAGAATCTTCCATTCCAGCAAGATTTGAGTAAACCCACCATTTCCTTCTAACCTTCGGTATTTGTTTCCTGTAGCTGCCATAACAAAATACTGCAAACTGGGTAACTTAATACAACAGAAAATTATTCTCTCACAGTTCTGGGGCCAGGAGTCCAACATCAAGGTATCAGCAGGGTCTCGGTCCCTCGGAAGGCTCTGGGGGAGAATCCCTCCTCAATACTTCCAGCTTTACGTGGCTGCAGATGTTCCTGGGCTTTCTTGGCAGCATCACTCCCATCTCTGCCTCCATCTTCATTTGGCCTTCTCCGTTTCTCCCACTGTGTCTTCTCCTCTTTTTTTTTTTTTTTTTTTCTTTTGAAACAGGGTCTCACTCTGTCGCCCAGGCTAGAGTGCAATGGTGCAGTCTCGGCTCACTGCAACCTCCACCTCCCAGGCTCAAGCGATTCTCCTGCCTCAGCCTCCTGAGTAGCTGGGATTACAGGTGTGCGCCACTACCACCCGGCTAATTTTTGTATTCTTAGTAGAGGCGGGGTTCCACCATGTGAGCCAGGCTGGTCTCGAACTCCTGGCCTCAAATAATCTGCCTGCCTCGGCCTCCCAAAGTGCTGGGATTACAGGTGTGAGCCACCGTGCCTGGCCCTCCTCTTCTGTCTCTTATAAGACACTTGTCATTGGATTTAGGGCCTGCCTGGATAATCTAGGATATTCTTATCTCAAGATCCTTAATTTAATTACATCTACAAAGATCTTTTTTCCAAATAAGGTCACATTAACAGGTTCTAAGACATAGACTTATCTTTAGGGGGCTACCATCTAACTCACTACATCTTCTGAATGGAAAATAACAAATAGTACCTAGGATGGGTTAACTTTGAGACATAAACAGTTTCTCTTAATGGAAACAAACAATGGTCTTTACAAATTTAGACTGAATAGTGAAAAACTACCATGAAAAAGCAGCAGCAAAAAAGCCCCATCCTAACGAACAACATTAATGTGATTGTTTTTGTCCTCGCTGTCACAGCCACACAGAAGGCTCTGTGCAGACTGTGGTCTTATTGTCTCTCCCCTGGAAAGTTCCTAAGCCCCAGTATGTTGAGCTTTTAGGACACTAGAACATTGTGACATTTTGCCAAAATTTTCCAGTTAAAAAATAAAGGATTATTTTGCCCAGGAAATTCTATCATCATTGCTAATGAAGACAAAGATTGGAGAAGGAAGAAGAGAGGAAGAAACACAGTGCCATGCATAAATAACCAAGCTGCAGCCTCTAGCCTCTTACCACTAATAAACAAATGCTCAAGAGCTTGTGTTTTAGAGACAGAAACTTATTCTGGGGGAAGCAGAGCCTTTCTTCCTGCTGAGTGCCCCCAGCATAATCTGTGTTTTGTTGTTGTTGCTGTTCCTTGCTCTTGCTCCAGCCATTTTTATCTGGAACTGAAGTCCTGTAGCTGCCATAATAAATTCCTGCAAACCGAGTAGCTTAAAACAACAGAAACTTACTCTGTTACAGTTGTGGAGACCAGAGGTCCCCAATTAAGGTGTCAACAGGGTCCCACTCCCTCTGAGGGCTCTAGGGGAGAAACCTTCCCTGCCTAAAGGTTAGTAGTGGAAATGTTTGTGCTGCTAACTGTGCTACGCTTACTTCCATTCATCAACATCTGGGAAGGTAACAGGTAACCAGAAGTTTACATTCTGAAAACTTCCAGAAAAACATCCCTCTCCACGGCCCCACTTCTAGCTCCTGAAATCATGAGACTCAAACCACTTCAACCTACTGTAACATATCCAAGGTGTTAATTGACTCTCACCCTAGGATGAGAGTCAGGTATGTAGACAGTAACCTCTGATCCCACTTTGAAAAGGAAAAATCCAAGTGATGAGAGTGGCGTTGGTGGTGTAATGGTTATAGTGGTTATAGTGGTGTGCCTAGCTGCCTTCTGATACAATGAGAGTCACTGCCATGTGAAGAATTGTTACTGTTTTGTCATTATCAATAGTTATTGAACATAAGGTACATAGACAGTAACCTGGGACCTCATTCTGAAAAAAAAAAAAAAAAACTCAAAGTGACCACAGTCACTACTATGTGACAAATTCTTGCCATTTAATCATTGTAAATATTTATCAAATATTTAGAGCTATACCCCAACTCATGAGGACATAGACTCTTACTCTTTGGAACTTGGGCCACCCGGGGAATAGGTAGCTGAAAGGAGACCTGCATTCATCCCTGTTTTCATTTAGCATTGCCAATATTTCACTGATGCTTAGTTAGGTAAGTAAAATCAGTACTATCAATGACTTCTTCCCCAGACCACACACCCTCAAAGGTAGAGTTCACCTTCCTGTTTCTTGCTCGTTGTTCAGTATCACAAATTATTCCTCTGAAGGCTGTAAATAAAACTCTCCAATATTTACATAGCTGATGGTCTCAAAGTGGCAAGCAAGCAGATCTTCTGAGAATCTCTAGACCATCTGGCTGCCTACCCACCCTGCCGCCCACCTCATGTCCTGCTCCCTCCACCACACAGACCTAGCTTGACTCCTCCCCGAAACACCTCCCCTCTAGAAAGGAGATTGTCAATCAACACCTGACATTCAGTCTTTTACTACTGCTTACTTCAAATTATTTTAAGCTCTCTGTGAATTAGCTCTTGGAATCATTGAATAGGAAACCCGATAAGCTGATGTTTAAGGATTTTTTCCTACCTTTAACCAAGTTGCTAAATAGAGGGCAAATTAAACATGGTATACTAAGCCTGGTGCAGTGACACATGCCTGTAGTGCCACCTAGTTGAGAGGCTGAGGCCGGAGGATCACTTGAGCCCAGGAGTTCCAAACCCAACCTGGGCAACATAGTAAGATTCCATCTCTAAAGACAAGCAAACATGGTACACTAGTACAACAAGAGTTTAGGGGATAATTGAGTTATTTCTACCTGTCATCTCTAAAGCCAGGACAAGGTTGTTTCAACAAGGAATGTTGTTGGTGGATTTCACATTTCCAGACATTTGGTGCTGTAATCTCCAAGCCCATCTGCATGGGTGATATGGTTTGGCTGTGTCCCCACCCAAATCTCATCTTAAATTGTAGCTCCCAAAATTCCCACGTGTCATGGGAGGCACCCCGTGGGAGGTAATTGAATCATGGGAGTGGGTCTTTCCTGTGCTGTTTTTGTGATTGTGAATTAGTTTCGCAAGATCTGATAGTTTTATACAGGGGTGTTTCCTTGCACAAGTTTCCTCTTGCCTGCCTCCAGGTGAGACGTGCCTTTTACCTTCCACCATGATTGTGAGGCCTCCCTAGCCACGTGGAGCTGTAAGTCCATTAAACTTCTTTTTCTTTATAAATTACCCAGTCTTGGGTATGTGTTTATCAGCAGAGTGATAACAGACTAATACAATGGGAAGCTGCATGGAATACAAGTCTGACCTCTGAGTTGCTAATTCATCCACCTTGACCAAGCAGGGACTCCATTTCATAACTAAAGAAATGGTTAAAACAGCACTTTGATTTCTGTGGGATTGGTGGTGATATCCCTTTTATCATTTTTTATTGCGTCTATTTGATTCTTCTGTCTTGTTTTCTTTATTAGTCTTGCTAGTGGTCTATCAATTTTGTTGATCTTTTCAAAAAACCAACTCCTGGATTCATTGATTTTTTGAAGGGTTTTTTGGGTCTCTATCTTCTTCAATTCTGCTCTGATCTTAGTTATTTCTGCTAGCTTTCGAATTTGTTTGCTCTTGCTTCTCTAGTTCTTCTAATTGTGATGTTAGGGTGTCGATTTTAGATCTTTCCTGCTTTCTCTTGTGGGCATTTAGTGCTATAAACCTCCCTATAAACACTGCTTTAAATGTGTCCCAGAGATTCTGGTACATTGCGTCTTTGTTCTCATTGGTTTCAAAGAATATCTTTATTTCTGCTTTCATTTCATTATTTATCCAGTAGTCATTCAGGAGCAGGTTGTCCAGTTTCCATGTAGTTGTGCGGTTTTGAGTGAATTTCTTAATCCTGAGTTCTAATTTGATTGCACTGTGGTCTGAGAGACAGTTTGTTGCGATTTCTGTTCTTTTACATTTGCTGAGGACCAGAGGTACAAAGAGGAGCTGGTACCAGTCCTTCTGAAACTATTCCAATCAATAGAAAAAGAGGGAATCCTCCCTAACTCATTTTATGAGGCTCAGCATCATCCTGATACCAAAGCCTGGCAGAGACACAACAAAAAAAGAGAATTTTAGACCAATATTCCTGATGAATATCGATGCGAAAAATCCTCAATAAAATACTGGCAAACCAAATCCAGCAGCACATCAAAAAGCTTATCCACCATGATCAAGTCGGCTTCATCCCTGGGATGCAAGGCTGGTTCAACATATGCAAATCAATAAACATAATCCATCACATAAACAGAACCAATGACAAAAACCACATGATTATCTCAACAGATGCAGAAAAGGCCTTCAACAAAATTCAACAGTGCTTCATGCTAAAAACTCTCAATAAACTAGGTATTGATGGAACGTATCTCAAAATAATAAGAGCTGTTTATGACAAACCCACAGCCAATATCATACTGAATGGGCAAAAACTGGAAGCATTCCCTTTGAAAACTGGCACAAGACAGGGATGCCCTCTCTCGCCACTCCTATTCAACATAGTGTTGGAAGTTCTGGCCAGGACCATCAGGCAAGAGAAAGAAATAAAGGCTATTCAATTAGGAAAAGAGGAAGTGAAATTGTCCCTGTTTGCAGATGACATGATTGTATATTTAGAAAACCCTATCATCTCAGCCCAAAATCTCCTTTAACTGGTAAGCAACTTCAGCAGTCTCAGGATACAAAATCAATGTGCAAAAATCACAAGCATTCCTATACACCAATAACAGACAAACAGAGAGCCAAATCATGAGTGAACTCCCATTCACAATTGCTACAAAGAGAATAAAATATCTAGGAATCCAACTTACAAGGGATGTGAAGGACCTCTTCAAGGAGAACTACAAACCACTGCTCAATGAAATAAAGGAGGACACAAAAAAATGGAAGAATATTCCATGCTCATGGATAGGAGAATCAATATTGTGAAAATGGCCATACTGCCCAAGGTAATCTATAGATTCAATGGCATCCCCATCAAGCTACCAATGACTTTCTTCACACAATTAGAAAAAAGTACTTTGAACTTCATATGGAACCAAAAAAGAGCCCACATTGCCAAGACAATCCTAAGCAAAACAAACAAAGCTGGAGGCATCACGCTACCTGACTTCAAACTATACTACAAGGCTACAGTAACCAAAACAGCATGGTACTGGTACCAAAACAGAGATATAGACCAATGGAACAGAACAGAGCCCTCAGAAATAACACCACACATCTACAGCCATCTGATTTTTGACAAACCTGACAAAAACCAGAAATGGGGAAAGGATTCCCTATTTAATAAATGGTGCTGGAAAAACTGGCTAGCCATATGTAGAAAGCTGAAACTGGATCCCTTCCTTACACCTTATACAAAAATTAATTCAAAATGGATTAAAGACTTAAATGTTAGACCTAAAACCATAAAAACCCTAGAAGAAAACCTAGGCAATACCATTCAGGACATAGGCATGGCAAGGACTTCATGACTAAAACACCAAAAGCAATGGCAACAAAAACCAAAATAGACAAATGGGATCTAATTAAACTAAAGAGCTTCTGCATGGCAAAAGAAACTACCATCAGAGTGAACAGGCAACCTACAGAATGGGGAAAATTTTTGCAATCTACCCATCTGATAAAGGGCTAATATCCAGAATCTACAAAGAATTTAATTTACAAGAAAAAAACAACCCCATCAAAAAGTGAGCAAAGGATATGAACAGACACTTCTCAAAAGAAGACATTTATGCAGCCAACAGACACATGAAAAAATGCTCATCATCGCTGGTTATCAGAGAAATGCCAATGAAAACCACAATGAGATACCATCTCACGCCAGTTAGAATGGCGATCATTAAAAAGTCAGGAAACAACAGATGCTGGAGAGTATGTGGAGAAATAGGAACACTTTTACACTGTTGGTGGGAGTGTAAACTAGTTCACCCATTGTGGAAGACAGTGTGGTGATTCCTCAAGGATCTAGAGCTAGAAATACCATTTGACCCAGCCATCCCATTACTGGGTATATACCCAAAGGATTATAAATCATGCTACTATAAAGACACATGCACATGTATGTTTATTGCGACACTATTCACAATAGCAAAGACTTGGAACCAACCCAAATGTCCAACAAGGATAGACTGGATTAAGAAAATGTGGCATATATACACCATGGAATACTATGCAGCCATAAAAAAGGATACGTTCACGTCCTTTGCAGGGACATGGATGAAGCTGGAAACCATCATTCTGAGCAAACTATCACAAGGACGGAAAACCAAATACCACATGTCCTCACTCACAGGTGGAAACTGAACAATGAGAACACTTGGACACAGGGTGGGGAACATCACATACCGGGGCCTGTCAGAGGGTGGGGGACAGGGGGAGGGATAGCATTAGGAGAAATACCTAATGTAAATGACGAGTTAATGAGTGCAGCAAACCAACATGACACATGTATACCTATGTAACAAACCTGCACGTTGTGCACATGTACCCTAGAACTTAAAGTATAAAAAATAAAAATAAAAATAAAAATAAACAGCACTTTGAGCCAGGCACATTGACAGCTGCCTGTCATCTCAGCAACTCGGAAGGCTGAGGCAGGGGATCACTTCAGCCCAGCAGTTCCAGACAAGCCCAGGCAACATAGCAAGACTCTGTCTCAAACAACAACAACAACAACAACAATAAAAGACTAGCATTTTGCAGGCCTCTCAGATTAGGCCCTTCCTAATTCAGACGGTGTCCCACATGAAAGAAAAGCTGACCCCAGGGAACACGTATTCTATTTTATGGAATGAAGTGTTGCCCATTAAAAGAAAAAAAAAAGAAAGAAAGAAAGAAAAAGAAAAACTGACCCCCCAAATGTCCCAGGGGTAGGGGAGCAGGTATACTCTTTTAAATAAAAACTCAGGCCGGGCACGGTGGCTCACGCCTATAATCCCAGCACTTTGGGAGGCCGAGGCAGGCGGATCACGAGGTCAGGAGTTCAAGACCATCCTGTCCAACATGGTGAAACCCCGTCTCTACTAAAATACAAAAAATTAGCCGGGCATGGTAGTACACGCCTGTAGTCCTAACTACTCGGAGGCTGAGGCAGGAGAATCCCTTGAACCCGGGAGGCAGAAGTTGCAGTGAGCCGAGACTGTGCCACTGCACTCCGGCCTGGCAACAGAGCGAGACTCCGTCTCAAAAAAACCACAAACAAAAAACACCTCATACCTGAGAAGGCAAGGGACTGAAAGGGATGATTAAAGATGGGTAGCAAAGGGCACCAACTGCTGGAGATTCATGAAGCCAGGACACAGCTTTCCAAGTCTCCGTGGACCAGGTCTGTGGCTCCCTACTTAGCAACCAAGCAATAGTCTGAGCAATCAGAGAAGCAGCAGCCTGAAAAATGAACTGCAGAGTCAAAAACTCAGTCTACAGCAGAAACACGTGAGCTGACACTTTCACTCAGATTTAGAAATAAAGTTCTTTTGACCTTAGAGAGAAGTGGGCTTAACAAGCTGCAGGCATGAGAGAGGTCCCCTTTGCTTCCCCTGGGCTGGAAGCAAGAACAAAGCACGATTTGTTCCGGAAGTTGACCGCAAAAGCTTGATATCTGGGCAAAGTCCCTTTACAGCCACTGCTGGGCAGCCCATCCCCCTCAAGTCCCTGGAGCTCCTGCCTCCTGGGACCGGAGGAACTCTTCTTTACAGATGAGATGTATTGGTGAGACACCAGGGGGCAGAGGTGGCAGGCTGCGTTGGATAAACGCAATGGAAGGAGCTGATTTGCACTGCCATGGTAGGGGAGAAGACATTTACAAACATTAAGCATCCGCTACAGCTCTTGGTGGGGCCTAGGCATGGGGTTCAGAGGGTAGTGTGGATTGGAATAAGGAATAGAACAGAACAGAATACAGACCAGGCGTGATGGCTCACGCCTATAATCCCAGCACTTTGGGAGGCCGAGGTGGGCAGATCACCTGAGGTCAGGAGTTTGAGACCAGCCTGAACAACATGGTGAAACCCTGTCTCTACTAAAAACACAAAAATACCATTGGCAGGCATCTGTAATCCCAGCTACTCAGGAGGCTGAAGCAGGAGAATCACTTGAACCCAGGAAGCAGAGGTTGCAGTGAGCCAAGATCGTGCCATCGCACTCCAGCCTAGGGGACAAGAGCGAGACTTTGTCTCAAAAATAATAATATAAATGTAATGTAACATAGCATAAGATTATGAAATTATTTTATTTTATATTTAAATATTGTAGCTTTAAAAATTACAGAGGGCCTCTACCCTGATCTGCTTCATATTTAAGATACTGAGATAAGAACAAATAGCCTTCCTATTTCATTCTCCATGTTCAAGACACATCATGGAATTTTATCCTTGCTATAAATATACATTTTATATTTGATTTTCCTAATGTTGCGGGCAAACTGCTGGGTCACTGGAAGAATTGATTCTCTGGCCTCACTGGCAACAGGGCATCAAAACTGAAAAGCAGCCTGGGGAACTGGATGTCATTAGCATCCTCACTGTAATGTTTGCTCAAACTATAAACTTATCACTTAAAATATTAAAGCAGAGTATGTTCAGAAGCACAAGCATAAATAAAAGTTTAAGTAAGGTATTTGTGAGGAGTTTTTCCCTACTTTATTTATTAAACATTCAGAACATCAATTTTAAATCATCAGTGACCTAACTTTGCATGGTAAATGAGCATAGGCAGGTAGCCTGGGGTTCCAGTTTGAGCTCAGCCAATTGTTAACTGTGACCTTGGCCAAGTTTCCTTATGTAGCTCAGAGCCTGAAGCCTGTTAAGCACTGTCAATAAACGGCTTGTACTAGCAATTCCTGTTCAATCAGTATTTAATCCTTGTCTACTCTTAGCGATCATGAAACCACCATTGCAAAATTATAACTGAGACAGTGAAAGAGATCTGATCTTACTAACTCCATCTTGCTTCTAACCTCCAAGTTGTCCTTGTTCATTCCTGAGCATAGGCCAAATTAACTTTGGGAGAAACTTAGTTTATAGTTTGAAACAAAGATGGTAACAGCCCTTTCCCAAAATGAACTAGACTGCCTTTGTAGAATTAACAAATTAGCCAAAAGATTAGATTATGGTTTAGAAGTCAGGCAGCTGGAGGCTGCAAGATTCTAAACCTCCCCAAATTGCCCCTGGGGATAACGTCACTATTGTGAAGCCTAAGATCAGTTCTTGAGATATTTTGCAGACCCTGTACTTGATGCATCAGCTGGCACCACCCAGGCTCGTAAACTGGCTCATCTGGTCTTGTAGCCCCCACCCAGGAGCTGACTCAATGCAAGAGGACAGCTTCAACTCCCTGTGATTTCATCTCTGACCTGACCGATCAGAACCCCCAATTCACTGGCCCCCCTACCCACCAAATTATCCTTAAAAACTCCAGTCCCTAAATTCTCAGGGAGACTGATTTGAGTAATAATAAAACTCTGGTCTTCTTGCACAGCCAGCTCTGTGTGAATTACTCTTTCTCCATTGCAATTCCCCTGTCTTGATAAATCGGCTCTGTCTAGGCAGTGGGCAAGGTAAATTAATCCATTGGGGGGTTACAATCATAGTCAAAATTAGTTCAAACCACATAAATCAATAATGATCTTTAACAGAGAGTGCTCTCCCTCATCTCTCTTCTTGGAGACAAGAGATGGTAACAAAAGTCCAAGTTGAAGCTTCACTACCTATGAGATCATGGAAATGACTTTTCAAGGAACACAACAATTGGCCCAGAAAAAGGTAGGAAAATAAAATATAAAAAGTAGCTATTGAAATGAAAATTAAAACAAAGGGAATATAACTTTAAAAGTGAAAACAAGACAATATAATGCAAGTTCTGTTTCTGAAGTATCTTTGGCACCCATCCACTGTCCGAGCTTGATAAGCCCTACCGTCTTCCACTGGACCCTGCCACTACCTCCCCAGGGTCCCCTCTTCCGCCCATTCGCCACACCAGTCTTGACTAAGGTAACATGGGTTCTTAGCAACACGCGGTCTAATCCCATGTGTACCAAATGGTGTAGATGGTTGTGTATATATCTATGGATGTACAGAGAAAAACTCCTCACAGCATAAACTAAAAAATATCAAGTGGCTCTCTAACATGTGACATATTCTTTTTATATTTTAGAAACTATTGAGAATTGGAAAAAACATTAATTCTATAATCAGAAAATAAAGCCACTTTTTAAAAAGAAGAAAGCAAGCTCTCAATGACATTCTACTGCAAACAGGGCAAAGTCCAAACTACCATTTAAGGCCCTTCACCCATCACCCCAGATGACTTTTCCAACATTATATTTTTCCATATCCCTGGCACACACCCTGAACTTCAAACACACTGGACACTCTTTACCCTGAATTCAGCCTTCATAGTCCCACTTTCTTTTTTTGTTGCCCAGGCTGGAGTGCAGTGGCACTATCTTGACTCACTGCAAGTTCTGCCTCCCGGGTTCACACCATTCTCCTGCCTCAGCCTCCCAAGTAGCTGGGGCTACAGGTGCCCGCCACCATGCCCGGCTAATTTTTTTGTATTTTTAGTAGAGACAGGGTTTCACCATGTTAGCCAGGATGGTCTCAATCTCCTGACCTCATGATCTGCCCACCTCCGCCTCCCAAAGTACTGGGATTACAGGTGTGAGCCACCACACCCGGCCCACAGTCCCACTTTCAAGCTTTCACCTATCCTGTTCTCATAGCCTGCCTCTTGGAGATGTCCCAGTCCTCCCTCTTCCCTATCCTTCCCCACCCCTTCACCCCCCATCCCCCACGTGCTCTGGTAAGTACCTGGAGCATTCATTTCATTTGGCTATGTCACATAATTAATTGTACTTAATGTTTTTCTCTTCTCCACTAAGCAGTAAGCTCTTCAAAGGCAGATTGTATCTTCTACCCAGAGTATCTGGCTTACAGCCTTGCACCCAAAGATATCCAATAGATGTTTGTTGAAATAAATTATTGAGGAATGCAGAGCACGATACACCTGAGGCAGTTTGCAGAAGGCTTTACAGGGGTGGGCCTTGAGGTGAGTCTAAAGAATGGGTAAGGTAGGGCAGGCGCAGTGGCTCACGCCTGCAATCCCAGCACTTTGGGAGGCTGAGGTGAGTGGATCACCTGAGGTCAGGAGTTCGACACCAGCCTGGCCAACATGGTGAAACTCCATCTCTACTAAAAATAAAAAATTAGCCAGGCATGGTGGCACATGCCTGTAATCCCAGCTACTTGGGAGGCTGAGGCAAGAGAATTACTTGAACCCGGGAGGCGGAGCTTGCAGTGAGCCAAGATTGCGCCATTGCACTCCAGCTTGGGCAACAAAAGCAAAACTCCATCTCAAAAGAAAAAGGGGGGGCGCTGGGGTAAGGCTAGATGCAGTGGCTCACACGTGTAATCTTTGGAGGCTGAGGTGGAAGGCTCGCTTGAGGCCAAGGGTTTGAGACAAGCTTGGGCAATATAAAAATAAAATTAGCTGGGTGTGATGCTGTTGCGTGTGATGGTGCGTGCCCTGCGAATTCTACTCCTAGGAGCCTATCCTAAGGAATTACTCAGAAAGGTGCACAAAGTCTTATATATCAACAGCATCATTTATAAGAATTAAAAACTAGAAACAATATAAACAATGAAGAACAAGAAAACAAAGTATAATACTACATTTATTTGATGCTATCATTAAAAGTTGTATGTTTTTGAAGACTAGACTAGCTATTGTCATTGGGAGGAATGCTCACAATATAAAGTGAGGGGGAAATGTTTAAATTGTTTGCATCTTGGGGACAGGGCTGAACTCAGAAATTGCCCCTGGGGATTGGATTGGGGAAAGGGGACCCTTTACATTTTAGTCTTCTGTTTTCCTTTTGAGTAATACTAATAGTAGTGACTATACTACTAATAATAATTCAAATGATTACTGTAAGCCAAGCATTATGCTAAGTCTTTTGTGTTTATTTTCTCACTTAATTCTCTCAACCATCTGAGCAGGTAAGTACTATTTTCCTCATTCCTTTACAGACAAGAAAGCTGAGGCACAGAGAAGTCAAGGCATTTGCCCAAGGTAGAGCCAGAACTCAAGTGTAGAATGTTGACTCCAGAGTCTTGTTTTCTCAGCTACTACAATATGCTGCTTCTGGTTAGATATATTTGTAGTACTGCAATTATTTATTTATTTATGAGACAGGGCTTGCTCTTGTCATCCAGGCTGGAGTGCAGTGGCGCCATCTCAGCTCACTGCAACCTCCACCTCCCGGGTTCAAGCGATTCACCTGCCTCAGCCTCCGGAGTAGCTGGGATTACAGGTGCGTGCCATCACACCCAGCTAATTTTTGTATTTTTAAGTAGAGATGGATTTCACCATGATGGCCAGGCTGGTCTCGAACTCCTGACCTCAGATCATCCGCCCAAGTCAGCCTCCCAAAGTGCTGGGATTAGAGGCGTGAGCCATCGCGCCCGGCCTGCATTTTAAATTAAGGAACTGATTCTACCTCTGCCAGGCAGTTCCCTCAACTAGAAACCTCTTCCCCGTCTACATAACTCCCTGATCTCCTTCAAGTCCTTGTTTAAATGTCACTTTCACAACGAGTACTATCCTGACTGCCCAGATCAAAATTGCAACCTGACCCTCATCCGTTATACCCCGCTGTGCTTTTTTCATAGCATGTATTTAGTATATCATATAGTTTTCGGATTCACCATATGCTTCTGTTCTCCTCCAACACATGAGCCCCACTAGGTCACGGGTTTTTAAATCTGTCTTGCTAACTGACGCATCTTAGCCAAAAAAAAAAAAAAAAAAGTCCTGGCACAAACTACGTGCTCAATACCTATCTGTGGAACAAACGAAGGTTTAAAACCATGGCATGACTCCGCATTGCTTTCTTACTTTAAAGCATAAACATACATACACACATGGGAGACAGGGAGAGGATATTTCAAAATGTTAATGGTGATTTCAAGTGATTTTTTTTCCTTCTTTATGTTTTCCTCTATGTTTTCCTGTTATGTTTATGTTTCCTGTGGTTTTATACCCCAAATTCTACGTGAAAATGTATTCTCTTACCATGAGAAAATTGCTTTTGAAAACGTCTCTCTAAACCTAGAGTAACGTGCATTGCCGCGCAGAGTGAATTGGTTTTGCTGTAAATCTCATGAAGCCGTTTTCCTGCATGAAACACAGTAAAAAAAAAAAAAAACTGGAGTGGTATTGACGACCTTTAAAAAAAAAAGATTGTTCTGAAATCATCGCTTGGTGTTTTGCAGTGGTTAAATGTTTATTAAAGGAATAAAAATCCATTCCTCCTTGGCGGACCGCGGCGTCCCTAGGGAACACACCCACCTAGCAACCGAGACCAGAGCTGGAGCGCTGCGCCTTTAATTCTGGGGCGGGCGGGGGGCGGCGGGAATTTCTGCTCCGGTTCCCTCTGCATCGCGGGGGCAGCTGTCACCTGTAAGGCGAGCGCGGCGCGGGGGATGGAAGCAGGCGCCCATTGGACAGAATACAAAGGCAGAAACCTACCCCGAAGGCCGGGGCCCGGCGGGGCGCTGGGGGTGGGCGCTCCCCGCGGCCCCCGGCGCCCTTCGCCCCGAGACGCCCCGGCCCAGCGGCACTGGCGCGACCGAGGTCCAGCTTCGGGGACACGCCCGGCTGGCCGCGGGGAAGGCACCAGGTGAGCGCGGCCGCGCCTCCCGGAACCCCGCTCCCGCGCGTCCCGCGGCGACGCGGCGCCCACCCGCCCCGGGAGCCAGGAACCCAGGGCCCCACCATGGCGCTGGCCGCCGCCGCCGCCGCTGCGGCTGCCGGGGTGAGCCAGGCGGCGGTGCTGGGCTTCCTGCAGGAGCACGGCGGGAAGGTGCGCAACTCCGAGCTGCTGAGCCGCTTCAAGCCGCTGCTCGATGCCGGCGACCCGCGGGGCCGCGCCGCCCGCAGGGACCGCTTCAAGCAGTTCGTCAACAACGTGGCGGTGGTGAAGGAGCTCGACGGCGTCAAGTTCGTGGTGCTGAGGAAGAAGCCCCGGCCCCCGGAGCCCGAGCCCGCACCCTTCGGCCCCCCGGGGGCAGCGGCCCAGCCGTCGAAACCCACTTCGACGGTCTTGCCGCGGAGCGCCTCTGCCCCGGGAGCTCCGCCCTTGGTCCGGGTGCCGCGGCCAGTGGAGCCGCCAGGGGACCTGGGTCTGCCAACAGAGCCACAGGACACCCCGGGGGGGCCGGCCTCCGAGCCCGCTCAGCCGCCCGGGGAGCGGTCCGCCGACCCACCGCTTCCAGCCCTTGAGCTAGCCCAGGCCACCGAGAGACCCTCCGCAGACGCGGCCCCACCGCCTAGGGCCCCTTCTGAGGCGGCATCGCCCTGCTCTGATCCGCCAGACGCGGAGCCCGGGCCCGGGGCAGCGAAAGGGCCGCCGCAGCAGAAGCCCTGTATGCTGCCGGTGCGCTGCGTCCCGGCCCCCGCCACGCTCCGCCTCCGGGCGGAGGAGCCCGGCCTGCGCCGGCAGCTGTCGGAGGAGCCGAGCCCGCGGAGCTCCCCTCTGCTGCTGAGGCGGCTCTCGGTGGAAGAGTCCGGTCTGGGCCTCGGCCTGGGCCCGGGCCGCTCCCCGCACCTGAGGCGCCTGTCGCGCGCCGGCCCGCGTCTGCTGAGCCCTGACGCCGAGGAGTTGCCCGCCGCGCCGCCGCCGTCCGCGGTGCCCCTGGAGCCGTCCGAGCACGAGTGGCTCGTGCGGACTGCCGGGGGCCGCTGGACCCACCAGCTGCACGGGCTGCTGCTGCGCGACCGCGGCTTGGCGGCCAAGCGCGACTTCATGTCTGGCTTCACGGCCCTGCATTGGGCCGCCAAGAGCGGCGACGGCGAGATGGCGCTGCAGCTGGTGGAGGTCGCGCGGCGCAGTGGCGCACCAGTCGACGTGAACGCACGCTCCCACGGCGGCTACACGCCGCTGCACCTGGCTGCACTGCACGGCCACGAGGACGCTGCCGTGCTGCTGGTGGTGCGTCTGGGTGCCCAGGTGCACGTGCGTGATCACAGCGGGCGTCGCGCCTACCAGTACCTGCGGCCCGGCTCCTCGTACGCGCTGCGCCGCCTTCTTGGCGATCCAGGCCTGCGAGGCACCACGGAGCCAGATGCGACCGGTGGTGGAAGTGGCAGTCTTGCTGCCAGGCGCCCCGTACAGGTGGCCGCCACCATCCTCAGTTCCACCACCAGTGCATTTCTGGGCGTCCTGGCTGACGACCTCATGCTCCAGGACCTGGCCCGAGGCTTGAAGAAGTCGAGCTCCTTCAGCAAGTTCTTGAGCGCCTCGCCCATGGCTCCACGTAAAAAGACAAAGATCCGCGGTGGTCTGCCAGCCTTCTCAGAAATCTCTCGTCGACCTACTCCGGGGCCTTTAGCTGGTCTAGTGCCCAGTTTGCCTCCAACAACCTGAAGGTCCCTGGGGCTACCACCTGGTTGATCTATCGTGGCCTGCTCGTCGCAGTCCAAACCCGCCCAAGACTGCAGCCCAATCAACGCCTGGAGCCTCATTCTGTTTCCAGCTTTGTCCAGGGCAGCCTGTTTTACCCAGATGGGCCTGCACCTCCAGCTTCTTTCTGAAGCATGACCCATCTCCAGAGATGGGATTTGAGAAATCAGTGAGAGCTTCCTATAAAGAACTCCAGGAGACAGGCCTGAACTCTAGAGGGAACTTGAAATCCAGGGTCAAAGGTTAAGGGGCAGCAGCTGGTCTGGCCCCTGAAAGCCTTCACCTGATGCCTCTGCAGCTACACAATCCCAAGACAGAGCTAGAGCAAGGGTCTCTTTAAATGTTGAAAGATGTTAGGTTGTCAGCTTTAAGATATGTGGTGGTTTTGTAATTTGATGCTTTTATTCTGTTTTTAAATTGAAATGAGGTAATGCAACTTTCGTAATAACCTTTTGGAATTATATTTTTCCACTTTTAGGCAAAGTGCTTAGACATTTTCAATTTTTTTTTTGCTAAATACTTTGGAATTCTATTTAAAAAATAGATGATCAAGATCTAAAGGAAATTAATCCCAACCAACAAACTTAAAAGTTTATCTACCTCGTTTTAGGCAATCAAGATTCTGGAGAGTCTTGAACACAGAATAACGATTGTGACCATTATGAATGTAACTAATTTCAGTTGTACTGTGAATGCTAAATATTTGCAAACAAGTACATCTTGAAAGTAAAGGTGACTTAGAGAAAAGAGACATTTTGACAGATACTTTTAATTTGTGGTTGTCTCCATCATGAAATAGAAACGTGTTTGGCACTTGTGGGTGGCTATTTTGATTTGGCATGACTACTTAATTTTTTAAAAAAATTGTGGTTTGTGAATTGCACCTTTGTGCCATGTTTCTGAATCTGGTTTTCAAATCCAGTGGAGCCTTTCAGTGAAATAGGTGACTATTAAAAAAGTAATAGTATTACAGAAAAATGAGCGATTAAATAGTAATGGATACAATTAAGGAGCAACTATTTTATATGACTGTTCTGTACAAACAAAAAGTATGTAATACCCATTTTAAAAAACCATTTGAAAGTAGACAACTTATTCCAAAATAGCAAATGCAGAATCTCTGCTCAGTGAGCTTGGATGAGTGGCTTAACTTCTCTGGGCCTTTGTTCCTATCTGTAAATGAGAAAGTTTGTAGATATTGCCAAGATTTCCCAGGCTCAATACAGTGTAATTATTTTATGTTTTAAAGATATGAAATCTGTTTACTCAACCAATTTTTTAAATGTCATATTGTGATAATGCTCTGCTTTTGCAAATTGTGTTTGCATGTCATTAGTTATATCAAATAGTTTTGTGGCATGGGGTAGTGGAGCTTCCCTCCCCACCCCCATATGTATCAGTGAAGCCTTTGAAATTACTTAAGGCAGTCTTTCATGGAATGTTTTGATTGAGCAATGAAATAAACAGTCCTCCATTTTGTTTCTGCTTGAGTGGTGATGTACTTCCCTTAAAAATTGTACAGTTTTTGCTATTGTATTTTTCTTTTCTTTTTATCTAATTTCCTTCATTCTTCTGCCTCTTTCAAGCATTCTGTTATTGAAAGAAGTTGGATTGCTCTGCAAAGTAAAGGAGTCAACCACACATGGATATCGTAATGGAGAACTGTAGATAAATGTGGGCCCTGATGTGACCTTCCCACCTTCCTTGCCTGGAACTCTGCATAAATTATTTTAAAATGCAAATTAAATCTTCTGCCTCTGCTGAAAAATTGTAGGAGACACAATTATAGCAATTGGAGTAGCTGACAGTCTAGAAAACAGAATAAAATACTAGAGATTTTCCATGGTAAAAGAGACACCTGACTCAGACAGGGCCTCAGACAAAGGTCACAGACACAGGTATGACCTGCCTTGATAAAGACAACGTTTAAACCAGCAAAGTAGTAATAACAATAACTAATGTTTATTGCACACTTAAATCAGAGGAGGGTCATTTGAACTGCCAGAAGAATCTATGTGTTTCAGAAGAGTGTGCTGCAAGCCTTCCAAGTGAAGTAAAACATTTAGCAAGAGTTTAGGATCAATATACCTAAAGCTCAGGTGTTAGAAAACACTGCTTTTCCTTGCAGGCCAAAGCTTTCTGCAACTATAAGGTAAGCCGATAAGAAATTATAGTTTCATACGCATAGGGAAAGTTTTTAAGAATCATATATCACCTAGCAGGAGGCACACCGTTAGAAGGGTATTTTCAACACTAACAGAAAATAATTGTGAAGGCAATTTAGCTGACAAGAATTGTCACAGGGACGAAATCACGCCTTTTAATGAGGGAGAATTGTTGATGTAGATGGGTATGAGTCGTATCCATAGCAAGCTTTTAAGTAAAGTTTTACATATCCTTTAATGGAGGTTGGAGGTTATTCTTAAGCATGTCTCCCTTACCTAATGGAGATCCAGGGTAATGCATATACTGTATAACCTGTGCTGATTAAGTGCCAGGCACAATTCGAAACACTTTGCAGGTATTAATCGCAAGTTTATAAGGTATGTACTATTTGTATCTTGATTTTAAAGTGAGGAAACTGAAGCCTAGAGAAGTCATAAGTTACTTGTCTAGGCCTCACAGCTAGTAAATGCAGAGCTGGAATAGTCTCCTGGTTCTCTTTTTCATGACACTGTCTGCTATCCTATTGCAGGAAGCAGGGTGGGCTCATCTCAGCCCTTTTTACTCATTTAGTGTCTTTGGGCAAGTCACCCAGCTCCCCAAACTCCATCTTCCCTGTCTACGGGACAAAAGGCTTCCTGTACCTATTTCACAGGCTGTGGGGGAAGGAAGAGCACGTAGAATGAGTGGATAGAGCTCTTTATGAACTGCAACACCAATGTGGGGTGCCGAGTTGGTTCCAGGGGGTAAATGGCTGCATCCCAAAACCAAATAGCTCTGATTTGTGGATCTGCTTTACATGATCATTCTTTCTTTTTTTTTTTTTCTTTTTTGAGATGGAGTCTCGCTCTGTCACCCAGGCTGGAGTGCAGTAGTGCAATCTCAGTTCACTGCAACCTCTGCCTCCCGGCTTCAAGCGATTCTCCTGCCTCAGCCTCCCAAGTAGCTGAGATCACGGGCACGTGCCACCATGCCTGGCTAATTTTTTGAATTTTTAGTAGAGATGGGGTTTCACCATGTTGGTCAGGCTGGTCTCAAACTCCTGATCTTAGGTGATCTGCCTGCTTTGGCCTCCCAAAGTGCTGCGATTACAGGTGTGAGCCACCGTGCCCTGCCATGATCACCATTCTTTTAACATGTTGGTGATTGTATACATAAGTAACAATCGACTCTACTAGGAAAAATGTATTCCCACAAGAGGGAAATTATCCCATATTCTGTACATGATATCACTTTAGTTAAAATAGAAATAATGTCTTTCTAAACTCACATTCCTCTAGCATTCCTACTCCTACCTTCCAGACCTAACCACTGCTATTCAGCCACCTGAGCTGGAGTGCAATGGTGGGATGTCGGCTCACTGCAACCTCCGCCTCCCTGGTTCAAGCGATTCTCGCTTGAAACGATTTCCGTGCCTCAGCTTCTCGAGCAGCTGGGATTACAGGCGTGCACCACCACGCCTGGCTAATCTTTTGTTAGAGACGGGGGTTTCACCATGTTGGCCAGGCTGGTCTCGAACTCCTGAGCTCAGAACTCCTGAGCTCAGGCAATTAGCCCGCCTCGGCCCCCCAAACTGCTGTGATTACAGGCGACAGTCAGCCTGTATTTATAGGCGCCTGGCCTATACTTAGATTCTCTTTTGCTCTCCAGATAGCCTTTTGCCTTGAACCCGCCTCACCTGTTTGGAACTGCCACACCTCCAGACTTCAACCTGGGGCCGGGGTGCCTCAGGTGTGCCTGCAGGGAAGAAAAAAGAAAGCAGAGACATCGAGATCTAGATTCTCTCCTCAAAGAAAAAAAAATCCTCCTCGTGGGAAGTGGGTGCTGATTTAAACATCAAAGACAACAGGTAAACGTCCATTGTGACCTTCCACGCTGTAGCTAGGCTGACAGCAACACTATGGGGTCCTCAGCAATTGCCGCCTCCCGCCTTCCTGCGCCCCCAAATGCCCCTTTCACCTGTTTCTCTCTGCAGCCCTCAAACACATTTGACCTAAATTTCCTGAGCTCCTGGTTTACATGTGAATGCACAGCACGGCAATTTGTTCCAATGAGGAGCCCTGAGGTTTGCGCCAGCCGCTCTCAGGGGTAAGTTTTGTGCCGAGCAGGATGTTCAAGACAGACTGCGCGCCGGTTTCGGGCACCGCCGAACATGGCTTCCCTGTTCCGTTTCTAATTTACAGCCTGAAGGTAAAAAGTACACTGATTAAATCCATGTTAGGAGGAGCAGCGGGGGCGGAATAAGCGAGCTGGGGAGGCGGCCGCGGGGCTGCCTGTTGCCCAGCAACGATGCCAGCCGCGGCCTGTGCTCCCCCAAAAGCCCGAAAGCACCGCGGCAGGCAGCCAGGAAGGAGGATGGGGCAGGGGTGCCGGCGGCTAAAGGAGATGGGGGCGCAGAAACCCCTATAGGGACCCATGCAACCCGCTTTCTCACCCTGGGAGACTACGCAAGGCTTTTTTGTTTTTTTTTTTTTGTTTTTTTGATACTTATGTTCGAAATCAAAAAGTGCACTGATCGAATCCGTATTAGGAGGATATGATTTAATCAGTGTACCGTTTAAATCCCCCCACACCCCTCCCCCCGACTGCCCTCTCTCCCACTTCTCATTGGCCAGCAACTTTCCAACAAAGGCCCAGTGGCAAAGACAGCCAGCCTTTCCCTGCCTGGCTGGTCAGTTTCTTTCTGAAAGAAGCAAAAGGCTCAGCTCCAGCTTTCGGGCCTAACTGCTCAGCAGGGCAAGTCAAAGTCCCTGTGGCTGGCCCAGAGGGCCTGGTAAGCTGGAGAAGCTGCGAATGGCGAAGCGTAGGTACCAGCTTTCACCATTAGGACAGCGCCCTCTGCTGGCAGTATCCTGAAGGGTCAGTTCACCGGGCTTCTGGTCCCCACAAAGTCTTGAAGTCTGAGGTGCTGATAACGGAACAAATGTGGTGAGCTCATTCTTGCCCTCTGGAGAAATAACGATATGGAAGGGAGAAAACTGGGGCAAGAAGACCGAGGGAAGATAGCAGGTCCATTGCAGGAGGTGTGGCCTTATTTTTGGGATTCTTCTGATCTGGCAAGGACGAGCACAAAAGCCTCATATTTATTTCCCCACGGAAAAACCCAGCGCACAACCAACGTCCAGTTTAATGGGAAGATGGAAGATGCCCCTACTCCTACCCCTGTGCTCCCCACGCCCAGCCGGACTGGGGAAGCTTTATTTGAAATACACAATTCCCATTGGCTGAATGGACATGTTAGCTGTGTTTCTTTTTTTCTTTTTTCTCTTTTTTTTTTTTTTTTTTTTTTGTTTTTGAGACAGGGGTCTCACTCTGTCACCCAGGCTGAAGTGGTGGAGTGTATTGGCGCGGTCTCGGCTGACTGCAACCTTCACCTCCCAGACTCAAGTGATCCTCCCACCTCAGCCTCCCAAGTAGCTGTGTTTCTAAGAATACCGCAACGGAATAATGCAGTAGGGTGCATACAGGGCAAAACGCAGAAATTAGTAGCTTCCATCCAGAACATGTCTCTGGGTGTGTTTACTAGGCTAAAGACCTTGGAGCAGAGGCCCTGCCCACTGTGTTCAAAGGGGCAAAGCAAAGCATAATGTTAGAACCCGCAAAGGCCTCAGCAGGAGCCCCATATGTTTTTTATAAAAAGGCATAATGTGAGCATTGTTCTGTGCTCAATAGCACAACTGTTATAACAAACGCTTTTGGTATGAATACAACCATTTAAAATTCCCAACCAGTTGCACTTGGTGACAATACGCATCAGAAAACAAGCCCAGGAGCACAGATTTCTCACTTGGGGGTCAGTTGGCTATAAATGCACATAAACATGCCTTTTAATGTGCCCAACTTCCAAAAATACACTGAATATTTGTGGAACAATGTTGTTGGCCCCAGCATTTGCAGCTACAAAGGCTGAAGCAGATTTCAACATGTATATCTGAGAACCTAACTTTGATTCTATATACATGGGGTGGATACACAAGTTGAGGAGTCCTATGTGTCATACCACTCCAGCCCCCAACTGCCCACGCCCAACCATGGCCCACCCTCAGATTACAACCACTGCTATGTCTCCAGGTCCTTAGTCCCAGCATGGAGGGTCTTGAGGTCTCCCACCCCTCACCTTCAGCTCCCACCCTCGACTGCCCGCCTCAGGCCTGGCTGACCCAGTGGTATCTCTGAAGGAGAGGAGGATAAACAGTGTTGATAACATAACTGGAAGAAGAAAGTGCTTTCTGGGTCTTGGAATGAATGTCCCCAGATGTCCAAGTATTCTGAATATTTGTCAGGGCATTTAGGCAGCACAGCATCTGAGCCCATTTCAGTAGCTTGAGTCTTGAAAGGAGACAGGACTCCTACTTCTCTACTGAAGCTGGGATGTTGGCTAGAAACCAGCTACAGAATCTGGACTCAGCCAATCAGACCTAGGCCTTTGTGGCTGTGACACAGTCACTGGAACAGTTAGGAAATACTGGTGACAGTGGAGTTGAAAGCGCAGTATTCCCCTGGTCCCTCCTGTTTTCAAGCCAGGTTCTCCAGACTAACTAGACATTGGCAGGGTTGACTGATATTCTGCCAGCAAATCCCTCTTCTGCTCTAGTCAGCCAGGGCTGGTGACTGTGTAAACAAGACCCCTCTCACTCCTCCCACAGCTGTGCTGCAGATGACACACACACTTCTCTTAACAATTTTTATTGAAGAAAAAATAGGCTGCTTTGCACCTTAAGTGCTCCTCTGTCTTCTCTCCTCCCTCCAACCAACCCCTGCCAGCCCCACACTCTCATCACAAAATGGGGGAATACTGCAGTTTTTAAGATCCATAAATTAATTACCAAATAATACACAAGACCTGGGTGAGGCCACATGAGAACACTTTGGAGAAGTATCTTTTTTTTTTTTTTTTTTTTTTTTTTTTTTGAGACGGAGTCTTGCTCTGTCGCCCAGGCTGGAGTGCAGTGGCGCGATGTCCGCTCACTGCAAGCTCCACCTCCCAGGTTCACGCCATTCTCCTGCCTCAGCCTTCCGAGTAGCTGGCAATACAGGCACCCGCCACCACGCCCGGCTAATTTTTTATATTTTTAGTAGAGACGGGGTTTCACCGTGTTAGCCAGGATGGTCTCGATCTCCTGACCTTGTGATCCGCCCGCCTCGGCCTCCCAAAGTGCTGGGATTACAGGCGTGAGCCACCGCGCCCGGCTGGAGGAGTATCTTAGAAAGGCCTGGACTGGGTCCTCCCCAATCCCTCAAGGGAAAAGCAGAGACTAAATCAGCATCACCCCACTTACGTGGGTGAGAGATAGGGGCGGTGCACCCCACCCTCTCCACCTATAACTATGTAAGGAGAAGAGGGAAGGGCGGCTGAACTGGAGGACAGGTCCCTGGGGGCCGCGCCGGGCTGGGAGACGGGGCATGATGGCCAAGGTCGTCCCTGATGGCGTCCAGTTGGTCCTGAAGGAGGCGGATGCGCTCGTCCAGGTTGCGCTGCTGGGCCAGGACGGCGGCCTTGCCCGCCAGCAGGGCGCAATAGACGCGCAGCTCCTCCACCGGTAGTGCTCGCACCAGCACCTCCCGCACGGCCCGCTCGCGCCGCGCTACGTGCTCCTTCAGCTCCTTGGCGTCCTCCTCCTGCCGCTGCAGGAGCCGGAGTCGCTGCAGCAGGGAGGCCTTGAGCCGCAGGAAGAGGCGCCGTGAGCCGGGTGAGGGCGCCGCCGCTCCCGGAATGGTTCCAGCCGGAGACAGCAGGCCCCTCACCGCCCTACTCGCTTGCAACCTGAACCCCTTTTACCTGCTCATCAGGGTCGCTGTCTGAGGCCGCCCGGGCCAGGGCGCGGCGCACGCGCGCCAGGCGACTGCCCAGCAGCAGCAGAAGGCCAAGCACGCGCTCTAGGTCGGCCATGAACCGGCTGAACCGCTCCAGCTCCTGAGGGGCACAGGCCTGGCGCACTGCAGCCTCCAGAGCCGCTTGGCGCCTGGCCCACGCTTGTGCCTCCCCCTGCAGCCGCTCCTGCTCCGTGTGAAGGTCCTGAAGCATCTTTTGGAGGCGGGCGGCCAGCTCCACCTACAGGGAAGGCTCAAGGCTGGGGCCAGGCTCATGACTTCCCTGCCCAGGCTCTGGGCTCCTACCCACCCCCAGCCTCCACCAGCCCTTCTCCACTCACTTTCTTGCCCTGGATGCTGTTGTTTGGTGCAGGGAGCCCCTGCCCACATGGCTGGTCAAGCACAGGGTGGGTGGCAGGGTTTTCAAGCCTTGTCTCCTCCCGAGGAGCCGGCAGGAGCTGGGTGAAGCTGAACTGATAGGACCTGGGAACAAAACCAGAGCTCCCTGGGTTTCCTGTCCCCAACTTCAGGGGCTCAGTGTCCAGATTCCCTAGTACACCTCACTCACCCTGGCTCAAAAGTACTGGCAGCCTCCTCTCCAGCCTCCCCACAGGCAGGCCGCATTGCAGCCCGGACCTCTGCTAAAGGAATCAGTCCATCCAGCAGGCCCAGGGGTGGCTCTGGGCTGGGCTGGGAAGCAAGAGGGTCACATAGAGAGGGATCTAATCTGGCCAGCTCCTGAACCAGCTCCTCGAGGCACTGACTAGGCCATGTGGGCCTGGAACCAGGCTGGCCAGTGCCCCTGGCTAGGGCAGTATTGTGAGAGGGACCTGGAGTATCATTGCCTGAAAGTCCCAAGGCATCAGCTGGGACAGGTTTGAGGAGGTCACTCTCTGCAGCTGTGGGGGGATTGGTGGTCAGTCCAGTGGGGTCAATAGTTGGGATGTTATCATTTGCAGTCCCAGTGGGGGTGTGGCTTGTGGGCCTGGAAATACCTACAGAACCATTCACCCCCTGCCAGCAGTCATCTGCCCCTGCAGTTCCTGGACACTCATGGAGCGGGTACTCTGTGGGGACTGTAACCTGGCCAGTTCTTTGGCCTAAGCCAGTTCCATACGGCTGGTCAGAGGCATGGACACTGGAAGCAGAAAAGACACTGAATCAGAAAAAGCTCCAGCCACAAACAAATGGTGGCCTCCAAGGGCCATCTGTCCCTACCCCCATCACCTGGAATCCCAGGCTCCAGCTAGGAGAGCATTCCCACCCCTCTAGCGTTTTGTAGATGTGTGTGTCAGGGGGTGCCTCACGATGCTTGGAAGCAAGAGGGAATTACCTGGCTGGGGGCCCCTGGGAGGCATGGGGGTCTGGTGGTGATCTCATTCTGACCAGTGGGGCCTCTTCTAGGAACACTTCATCAGGAAGGGAGGGGAGCCAGGCAGGCACAATGCAGGTCTCTGAGACCCTCTGTTCACTGTCAGCAGGGCTGCTCTGGGGTAACTCTGCAGGATACATCACCGCAGCCTCTTTCTGAGGCAAGAACCTGGAGGCAGGGACCCCATAGTGACCACAGTGAAAGGAAGGAAGCTCTTGGTGTTGCACCAGGGAGACAGTAGGGTATTTTCAAAATAACCAGAAGGCTCAGACTGAGGGTAGGTAGGAAGCCCTTTCATTTTTTGGGCAAAAGCTATGCAAGCTGCTTCCCCCCAACTTGGTCCAGAGTGGTCCGTGTCTCTCACCTGGAAAGTTTGGTCTGAAACAATGGTCTGGGGGTTTCTGCTCCTTGGGGAACAGCCTGGAAGGGTGAACAGTCGACTGAAATGTGGCTCAAGTTTTGTTTCCCAGATGCTCCCCTCACCAGCCTGCATCTCCTGACTTCCATACCTGGACAATGGGTATGGTCCCTCCTGATCCTCCCCAGGAACCCAAGACTTCGCCTGAAGCGCTCCGACTCCGACTGGCGGGCCTGAAGGCATCACCGAGCTTCAAGGACCCGGAGTCCAGGTTCATGGAGCCTTGGGGTTGCGTCTCGGGCAGCCATCCGACCTCGTGATCTTCAAACTTAGCCAGCGCCGGATGCTGGAACTCCAAGGGCTCGGGCCCAGGGAGGCCAGAGCTGGAGCAGGCCTCACCCAGGCATTCCCGCGCCGGCCCACCGCCCCGACCCACACGATCCAGCTTTCCTGGCTCTGAGAAGCACCACTTCCGCTGCTGGTTGGCGAGGGGACCCCGGCCGGCAGTTCCTGGCGCGGGAGCCCGGGAGCGCGCCGGCTCCCCCTCCCCGCCCGGGTGGCTGAGCGAGGCGGAGCGCGGGTGAGTCGCCGGGGGCCGCGCTGGGACAGTGGGCCGCAGACGGGCGGGCAGGCTCATGCGGAGCTCCTTGCGCTGGAACGACGTCTCCCGGAGCACTCGCCGCTGCGCGCCCTGAAGCCGCTGGCGGTAGGCGGCCCTCGAGGCCGGCGGGCTGGGCGGCTCGGCAGCCTGCGCCGCGGCCTCCGCCTCGGCCGCCAGCGCGTACAGCAGCGGGGTGGCCTGCCTGTTCAGTGGTCCCGGGGTCCCCGGGACCTCTGTTGGCTGCGGCCCACTGCGGGCTGCAACCGCGGGCCGGGGCCGCGGGGATGTGCAAAGGGCAGCGTCGGGCGGGGCGGGGCCCGGGCCGCCCCAAACCACACGCACGTAGTCCCAGTCTAGGTAAGGAAGGAGGTCTGTCCCCGGCGACTGCGTGCGCGGCTCGGGGCCGCCGGAGGCTGCGGAGAAAGAGCTGTAGGCCGAGTCCGCGCGCATGGACAGATGCCACAGGTCCAGGCTGCTAGTGGACGAGGCCGGGGAGGCGCGGTCGCCCCCAGGTCCCAGGGCCTCCATGGCTGCGCAGATGAGTGCTGAGGCTGGGTGGCTGCGTGGGTCCTGGGAAAACACAGATGTGGTGCCGGGTGAGGAGCTCCGGGTGAGGGCTGGGACAGCCTGCTGGCCCCGCCACCACGGACGGCCAGACACTTACACTTCCCCTCCCTGGTCACACCGTCACAAGCGCTGGCATCCCCCAGATTTTGGCAGAGTCACCTTGGGATCAGAGGTGGCAGAGGAAGTAGGACCAGTCCCAGGGAGCACCTCTGAAGGTTGAGGGCCCAGCTCAGGGGAAGGAATTGGGACCAGCTCATTCCCTGCCAGGCTCCCCTTGCCCACACAAGCAGCCTTTACCCTGAGACCTCCTGGAACGCTGAGAATGTACCCATGTTCCTTTCCTCCCCAACCCTGTTCCACCCAGGCTGCTTCCTGGCCGTTCTGTTGGCTTCTCCATGTGATCTTTCCCTGATAAACAATGGTCAAGAACACTCTTGTGACCTCAGGGGAGCTAAGAAAGGAGGGGTGGGGGAAGACCCAGGGCAAGGGGCAGAGGCAGCTTCACAGCCTTCCTCCCTCCCTCTGTGCCTGTTATGTTCCAGGTGCTTTATATAAATATTTATTTTGATCGTTGCAACTGCTGTCTGCATTTTACAGACAAGGACAATGAGGTTCTGAGAGGGAAATGATTTGTCCAGGGCCACACAGCTGGGACGTGGCAGAAGCCTGCCTGGAATCCAGGCCTGCCTCCACGCTCACTGCAGCCAGAATCAATTTCCTAGAAGCAAGCCCTGCTGAAAGGCAGTTTACCATCCCTCCTGTTCCCCAACAGCCTGAATCCTCCAAGGAAGCCCACACTCCACTATGGGAAAGTCACCCCTACCTCCCCATACACTATTGGCAGATTCCAAAATAATCTGGCCCCCACTTCTCAAACTCTGCCTTTCGTCTAGGAATGATGGGCCGACCCCCATCTTTGCCCTGCTTCTATTCTTGCTTCTCCTGTAGGACTCAGCTTAGAGGTCTCCTCACTTTTTGGGACTCCTACAGTGTGCTGAGCTGACCCCCACCCCACACTGTCCCTGTTGGCTTGCTTCTGATTCCCTCCTCCCATTCCCACCCCTGAGCTTCCTGAGAATGGGCCCTGCTCTTCCTCATTGCTGCACTCTCAGTGCCCAGCAGAGTCCCTGGCATACAGTCAATGTTAAATATTTGGGCCGGGTGCAGTGGCTCACGCCTGTAATCCCAGCACTTTGGGAGGCCGAGGTGGGCGGATCACTAGGTAAAGAGATCAAGAGCATCCTGGCCAACATCGTGAAACCCCATCTCTACTAAAAATACCAAAAATTAGCTGGGCGTGGTGGCACACGCCTGTAGTCCCAGCTACTCGGGAGGCTGAGGCAGAAGAATCGCTTGAACCCGGGAGGCGGAAGTTGTAGTGAGCCGAGATCGCGCCACTGCACTCCAGCCTGGCGACAAAGTGAGGCTCTGTCTCAAAACAAAACAAAACAAAACAAAACAAAACAAAACCCCAAATATTTGCTGAATGTCAAGGGAAATAACAGATTTGCAGGGAGTAGATGTAGGGGTGGCCTTGGTAGAGAAGGAAGAGAGTTCCTTAGCTTCTGCGCACGCTTCTTCCCTCCCTATTAGTCTTTTCTGGGGAAGAGGACAGAATGGGTGAAGCACTTGCCACCATAGACACTGGCCAGGTTCCTCATGCAATATTAGGTACGAACAGAGCAGGCAAGCACAGCTTGGGGCAGGACTCACCAGAAATCAATCCCTTCTGGTCCTGGGAGGGGGATCAAGGGTAAGAGTTGAGTGGGTGTGCCTGGGTCAGGGTAAGAGAAATTTTGAGGCTTGGGAAAGGGCAGTGTTGAGGTTTGGGGCTCCCTATGAACTATGGAGACTTTTGGGCGCTGGCCTCCATTCTCTGAGCTGCTTGGTAGGGAGTGCAGAGTAGGGTGGCCCACGGCTAGGGTGAGGACCAAAAAGCAGGCTTATTTGAGCCTCCTAGACACTATCTGGAGCTCAGAGTCACCCTCCACCCACGTCCCTGAGGCCCAGGATGTTACAGATTGCTGGTTAGGGCAAGGATGGGGGTTAGTGGTAGGAGGATATGGTGTTTCCTAAAAGGGAAAGGCAGTACCTACAACATTCCCAGGAGAGGCTCTCAGCAGACCTAGGACCAGAACATCTTGATGTCACCCACCTGGGGGCATTTGTATATGCCTACTAAGCCCAGGAGCTTAGCCCTCACACTTAGGGTTGGGGACCTCTTTTGCAAAGTATTTCCACTCTAAACTTTAGGAGGACAAGAAACTACTCTGAGTAGCAGCTCCTGGGAGGACAGTCCCCTCATCTAGGAAGCCCACCCGACTGCTCAGACATTAGCCCTTTCTCTTCCTACTCTTTCTGAGTCCAGCTTGGGAGCACTAGCTCATGTCACCCATCCTGCCCATTTTGGCTTGCTGCAGCTACAGATGGGGATCACCAAACACAAGATGTTTCCTCAAAAGAGGTCTTGAAAATCTATGAAAATCTATCTTATTTGTGAGTTACTATGTTAAAGGATTCTGAATTCAGCAAATAAAAACAGCTTGAATGGGCAATAAAAATGTGTCTACACATGTGTTTCCTTATTGACTGTAACTTGTTGAAGATGCTTTTGCACTGGTGGCCCTATCAGGTTGATGTTCACGCAGGCTCCTCACAGTGGGTGCTTTGCAGAACCTACCATGCCAAGAGGGCCCAGCTGCTTTGGTGTGTTTTGGGGGGCCTCAGCACAAAACAACAAGGCATTTTCATACTTGTCTGGCTGCAGGGAGCCTCTTGCAGTCCAGCCAGCCCCTGTGGCTGGGGGTAGCCCTACCTTAGGGGTCCCTGCCTCAGTGGCAGTGGTACCTGTGGGCTGGGCTGTTATGCCTGTGCCGGCTGCTGAAAGGGAGTTCAGAGGTGGAGCTCAAGGAGCTCTGCAGGCATTTTGCCAAGCCTCTCCAGAGCAGAGGGAGCAACCTAGACTCCCCGCTAGAAAGACACCAGATTGGAGTCCTGGGAGGGGGAGTTGGGGTGGGCATTTGATGTATACTTGTCACCTGAATGAAGGAGCCAGAGAGGAAGGAGACGAAGATGAGATTGGCCTTCAAAGCTAGGGGTCTGGCAGGTGGAGGCACCAGTCTGAAAGGAGGAGCTGGGGCTGAGGAATTGTCAAGGGGGCCAGTGCTCCTTCAGTCTGGGCTTCATGGTGTCTGTGACAAGTCAGGCAGCAGTTGGGATGTGGCTCTGGAGTTCAGCAGGGGAGGGTAGACCAGGCAAGACCCAGGTTTTTAGTTAGAGGTTACTGGGGAAATAGCTGAAGACAGTTTCCGGTGGATAAAATCACACCAAGGCAATGGGAACAGATCCAAGTAAGGCGACCGAGGAGGCACAGGAGAACGGACAGCCTCAAATACAACGAATGATCAGGATTTACATCATACCTCCCTCAAGGCCACCTCACATCTGACCTCTCTGTGGAGGGGCTATCCAGGCCGCCCCTCCCAGCGGGTCTTCCCTCAGTACTGGGCTCACTGTGTAGGCGCTGTCTCCCTGTCAGACTGAGTTCCTGGGTACTGGACCACGTCTCAAAACCCAGTACCCGCAGCTGGGTCTGGCTAGGCGGACGTTCTGGGAAGTTCACCGGCTCTCCCTGTCCCCAGCGTCCCCCGTTCTCCCAGCCTGTCCGCGCTGACAGCGCACCCCACGCAGCATCCACGCTCCGAGTGTGCGACTGGTTTACGGGCTCATCGGTCGCTGCACCCCAGATGCAGAGTCTCTGGAGACCCGAGCTCCGTGCCATGCACAGGAAATGCAGGAAGCTGGCGACACCCGGGGAGAGGCGGCCGCGGGCGTGGACAGACCCGGTTACCTGGGGTTCAATCTCTGGGAGCCGAGGCACGGGAGGGAGAGAGGCGCAGGCCCCGGCGGCCGCAGGGGGCGGCAGAGACACGCGGAGCGGCTCGACAGCAGATGGCCGCAGCCCCGCGCAGTTCTGGGCCTTTCCCGTTGGGTTCACCGTCGGGGAAGGATCGCGCGCAGGGGACAGCGCGAGCCCGGGAGGGAAGGACCCGGCTTCTCCAGATGCTTGGCGACAAAGGGCAGGAGCGGAGGGTGGCGGAGTGAGACCGCGCTGCCCGCCGGCGCCACACGCGGCGCGCCCAGCCGCGCCCCTGAGCCGCGCCGCCAGCTTAGAGTGGGCCGCCTCTCCGCCCTGCAGCTCTGCAGCTGGGAGAGGCGCGCTGGGGTCCGACTCCACTGGCGCAACCTGACGCGGCGCCGAGCCAGACACGTCCCGGCCGAACGATGCCCGGGCTGCCCCGCGACCACCGCCTCGCCGCCCGCTCTTCACCCCCGTCCGCCCGCAGCCCCGCCGGCCTCCCGGGGGAAGCGGACCCAGCCGCCCGCTTCCCGCTCCCCCGCCCCCGCCGCGTACCTGAGGCTCCCGCCGAGACGCGCTCCTGGGCCGTCGCAGCCGCGCGGTGACATCAGAGCCCCGGGCTCTGACTCCGACCCCACCTCCAGGCTCCGGCCGCGGCCTCAGGGGAGGCGCCACGTCCGGCCGCGGGGGCGGGAGCCGCAGCCTCTTGGTAGCGTCCGCGCGCCGGCCCAGTCCCAGGTCTGAGGGTGGACAGTGCGTTCCCGCGCGGGCCACAGGCCTCTTGCCCCAGGCCGGAGAAACCTGAGCGAGGTGGTGGGAGGGCGACTACGGCGACCGCCCACCGGCCTCCAGCGCGTCCGTGATGCTCGGGGGCCGGGTCCCTCGGGGCCTGACACCTCCCTCGGTGGGGAGGTCCAGGGCGGGCCCTTAGGCGCCTGACGGCTACCCGCTTTCCCCCCCAAGCCCGGCCAAGAAAACAGAGCTGCCAGGGCCTCGTGCCTCCCACCTGTCCCGCTGAGTAACTCGGCCCTTGATCAACTCTACCCCCAGACCCCCATTTCCAAAACTCTTCCAGCTCTTTGACTCCCACCATGGGCTCTTGTCTCCTGTTCCCTGTCCCATTTCTTTCCATTTCTCCCACTACCCAGCATGGTCTGGGCCCTCCAGCCTGCTACCGGGGTGGGGGAGAGGGGGGCGGAGCACGGGGAAGCCCCTGGACTTGTGTGCACCTTAGCTGTCCTGAGTGTGTCCTTAGGGAGCTGGACATATGCATACCCACTAAGGCTGGACACTGGCGCTCGAGGCCCTCACCTTCCAGGATCTCCATTTTCCAAAGAACGCTCTGCCTGCACCTGCCACTGAGCTCTCCTTGCTGTGTCCTCAGGCTCCCCTGCCCCGACTTCCCAAACTCTGTCCTATGAATACCACTCTGCCAAGAAATGCTCCGTTCCTGAGAGGGGCTGGGGACCCTTTGATGAGCCTCTCCGGCTCTCAGGTCTCTGCCTTTGTCCTCCGCTGCCCTCCCGCTCCCACAGGATCAACAGGGCTGGGCTCAGGGGCTGTGTCCTCCCATGGTAGTATCCCTGGCAAATAAAGGTTTATTGGTGTTAATAACCAGGACTCTGAACTCTGGCCAAGAGTCAAGGTTGCCACTTCCTAGGGACACTGGGAGCCTGAGGAACTCTGTCTTCTTGGGTCTTCTTGGGTTCGGAGGCAGGAGACACCTGAGCCCGACTTCTGAGAGTGGTGCCCGCTGGGCCCTGCTCCTTCTTCAACACCATCTGGACTCAGGCACCAGCTTCAGCTGGAGCGCTAGGCTTTAAGACAGTGCCTAAGAACCTTTCGGCTTTGAAAGACTTTTGTTGTTTGTTTTGCTTTTTTGAGACAGAGTCTCCCTCTGTCGCCCAGGCTGGAGTGCAGTGGCCGGATCTCTGCTCACTGAAACCTGCGCCTCCCAGGTTCAAGCAATTTTCCCTGCCTCAGCCTCCCAAGTAGCTGGGATTACAGGCACCGGGCACCACGCCCAGCTAATTTTTGTATTTTTAGTAAAGACGGGGTTCGCCATGTTGGCCAGGCTGGTCTCAAACTCGTGACCTCAGGTGATCCACCCACCTTGGCCTCCCAAAGTGCTGGATTACAGGCATGAGCTACCGCACCCGGCCTGAAAGACTTTTAATATTTTTAAGACCCTGATCCACAGAGTCTCACAGCAGCATCAAAATAGAAGAAAGACAGCCCAGCAAACAACAACAAAAAATTTTTAATTGCTCATGTTGGCTGGGGCGGTGGCTCATGCCTGTAATCCCAGCACTTTGGGAGGCCAAGGTGGGCAGATTGCTTGAGCTCAGGAGTTCGAGACCAGCCTCGGCAACATGGCGAAGCCCTGTCTCTACAAAAATACAAAAAAAAATAGCTGGACGTGGTGGCACGCACCTGTAGTCCCAGCTACTTGGAAGGCCTAGGCACAAGAATCGCTTGAACCGAGGAGGCATAGGCTGCAGTCTGCCGAGATCACGCTACTTCATTCCAGCCTGGGCAACAGAGTGAGATTCTGTCTCAAAAAAAAAAAAAATGGTTATGTTTTTTACTTATATTTCTTGAAAACTATGGGGACACAGTGTCCAGAACAATTCTATTAACCCACTCCACCCACCTACCACTCACCTCTTGCACACACTACAGCACCTCTCTGCTAGGGACCATGAGGACGCAGTCCAGAGCGATTCTTATTAACCCACTCCACCCACCTACCACTCACCTCTTGCACACACTAAGCAACTCTCTGCTAGGGACCATGAGGATGCAGTCCAGAGCGATTCTTATTAACCCACTCCACCCACCTACCGCTCACCTCTTGCACACACTAAGCAACTCTCTGCCTAAGTCCCCAGAAAACTGAAATCCCACCTACCCACGTCTCTCTTAACCTCTTCTGTTCTGAGAAAGAGAAAAGTAACCCCTAACATCTGAAAGGCCCAGCTGGACCTTGGTGTTGCCAGAATTTGACCTGACATTCACAGCAAGGCCTTACTGTTGTCCCATTGGACATAAGCCATTTCACAGGGCATCAATGTGAGACAGGGCCGTTCTTTAACAATGATGGATCAAGACAAAAACAACAGCACTCTAATCATGTCTAACACATACAAAAGCATGAACATTGTCCAAGTCACAAAAATGACCTAGCTAATGAGTGCCTGCTGTCCTAGCTAATGTGAGTACCTGCTGCTTCTTTACCAATTGCAGCTTTAGCCTCACTCTAATCATTCCTCTTTCTAGATAAGATTTATTAATATACCCAATCATAGAATTACTCTTGCTTCTTGACAGCATCCAGCACAAAGGAAAGTTCTGCTTCTTTAACCCTCTTGAAAAGCACTAACCCAAACCCAGATCCTCTAAGTCCTTTCCAATGCTCTCTTCCTGAGATGCCACGTGGTTTCCCATGCTACGTGTCCTCTCTCACTTCAACAAGCAATGAACCCAACTTGTTCAACTACAGGTGTGCTCGTGGTGGTCTTTGGCTAGGGGGCACTGATACTTCCTATCTCATTATTACAAAAGCACAGAGAATCTTGGAGAAGAGAAGGGGGAAGAAACTGCCACAAAGCTGGAGTCTCCCTTAGTGATGGTGGTTGGGGGGTGAGTGTGCATGGAGAGGGTGGAAACATGCACATATGCTTCCAATACATAAAGAGAGGTGTCTGCACCCTTCAGTATCTCAATACTTTCTCAGGCCTGGGGGAGTTCTTTTGAAGAGACCCTTAGATGGCTGTGTTTAGCTGGGATTAGAGCCACAGACCTTGCTGTTCCTGGCCAGGCCCTATATCAAGGAGCTGATAGGTGGGGAGGTGGTGGGCCTCCACTCCACATAGTTTGGCACTTGTAATCTGAACTGATGACACCAAAGCAAAGCAACTGCCCACCTCACAAGTCCCTGTGGTTTCTTGCTTTGATGCCCACTCTCTTTGTTGGATATGGTTAATGTGATGTGACTATGAGTGGAATACTAAAGACCACTTCTTTAGTGCCAAGCACTGTGCTAAGTGCTCTATGTATCTTTTTAGCCCTCTTACTCCTCAGAAGTAGGTATCAGTATAACCCCATTTTACAAGTGAGAAAGCTGGGACTTAGAGACATTATTTTGTCAAGGTCAGGTAGCTAATAAGCAGTAGAGGCAATACTTAACCCCCTAATGTCTGGTTCCAAAGGCCATGCTGTCATGTAAACATGAGCAGTGTAAAGAACTGTATGTTGTGGATATCAATGCAGCCTTCCTAGGAGAGCAGGATTTGGACTTCAGATTGAGCAGAACTCGCAAGCGAGCGGGAAAGATGAGACAGTAGCAGCAGTGAGACTCCAAACAGGACTTCCCCATCTCTGTGTGTCCCCAACAGTCCAACACATATGAGGGCTTAGTTTCATATATGATTTCCAGGGGTTTATTGTAAAGGACTTATAAAAACATTTCTTTCTGTAAGTACTTTTTTTTTTTTCAATAGAGATGGAGCTAGGTGTAGTGGCTCACACCTGTAATCCAAGCACTTTGGGAAGCTGAGGTGGGAAGATCACTTGAGGCCAGGAATTCGAGACCAGACTGAGCAATGCAGTGAGACCCAGTCTCTACCAAAACAAAATTTTTTTTTTTTTTGAGTAAGAGTCTCACTCTGTCACCCAGGCTGGAGTGCAGTGGGGTGATCTCAGCTCACTGCAACTTCCGCCTCCTGGGATCAAGTGAGTCTCACGTCTCAGCCTTCCAAGTAGCTGGAATTACAGGGGTGTGCCACCACATCTGGCTAATTTTTGTATTTTTAGTAGAGATGGGGTTTCACCGTGTTGCCCAGGCTGGTCTGAACCCCCGACCTCAGGTGATCCACCTACCTCGGCCTCCCAAAGTGCTGGGATTACAGGCATGAGCCGCCGTGCCCAGCCTTCACCTTTATTTTTTTCATTTGAAAGTATATCTTAGAGTTTATTCAAAGTAAGTACATAGGTTTTCTTGTTTGTTTGTTTGTTTTTTAAGACAGGCACATAGCTATGCATTGCATGGGCACAAATAAATTGGGTTAAATAACCCTATTATTGGACATTTAGATTAATCCAGTCTTTTGCTATTACTATTTTAGTAACAAATACCCTTGTTCATTTATTTTTGTTCACATTTGTAAGTCCACTTACAGGATAAATTTCTAAAAGATGAATTGGTGGGTTAAAGTGTAGGTAGTAGATTGTACTTTACAAAGACAATCATGAAAAAATTTTCCACCTCCCAAGCTTTTCTACAATGTGACTTTGCCACTACTCTACCCAGAAGAGGTGAGGTCTATTTCTCCATCCCCTTGGATAATGAGCTTAGGGGTGACAGTAACTGTTTTGACCAACAGAATGTAGCAGAAGGTATGTTGGGCTAGTTCTGGACATAGCCTTTAACTGGCCTGGTAGCTTCCACTTCTTGCCTCTTGGTAGTGCTACTACTCTGAGACCACTAAGCTATGAGAAATACAAGCTATATGGAGAAGCCCAGGAGTATGAGATAGCATGTGGAGAGGGAAAAGAGAGGCCAAGGAGCACTTAGGCATTGCACAGGCAAGTAACCAGGCCATCTTGGAAGCGAATCCTGCAGTGTCAGCCACCCCCGCTGACACCATACTGATCAGAGAAGAATTCCGCAGCCTAGCTCTTCCTGAATTTCTGACCCTCAAAAACATGAGCACAATAATTATAAAAGTGCAAACTACTAAGTTTGGGGGTAGTTTGTTACATGGTAATAGACAACTGTAACAGGGTACATGAATTTTCTATTTTGATTGATATTGTCAAATCACACTTACAAAGAGGCTATACCAATTTACAGTCCCATAAAAAATGTATACAAGCACACTGAGATGGTTTAGATCTGTGTCCCCACCCAAATCTCATGTTCAGTTGTAATCCTCAATATTGGAGGTGGGTCCTAGTGGGAGGCAATTGGATCATGGGGGCAGTTTCATCATGAATGGTTTAGCACTATCCCTGTTGGTCATGATAGTGAGTGAGTTCTCATGAGATCTGGTCATTTAAAAGTATGTGGCACCCACCCCTCCCCCTCTCTTGCTTCTGCTCTGGCCATGTAAAGGGTACCTGCTTCCCCTTTGCCTTCCACCATGATTGTAAGTTTCCTGAGGCCTCCTCAGAAGTGAGAATCTGCATTTCCTGTACAGCCTGCAGAACCGTGAGCCAATTAAACCTCTTTTCTTTGTTAATTACCTAGTCTCAGGTATTTATTTACAGCAGTGTGGGATTGCATTAATACACTCACTAACACAGTGCATTATCAACCTTTTTTTAGACGGGGTCTTGCTGTGTTGCCCAGGCTGGATTTGAACTCCCAGGCTCAAGTAATCCTCCTGCCTCCGCCTCCCCAGTAGCTGGGACTACAGGTGCACACCACTGTGCTTGGCCTTTTTAGCTTTTAAAGTGCCATGGACCATCCTGGCAGCCTTAGTCCAGGTCAGAGTGTGTAAGTGTTCCCAGTGCCATTGAGACTTGGGGTGATCCCCTTTGCCCACCAGTCTCTGTGGGACCAACCCCTGCCCTCTGGGGCCTCAAGTTTCCCTTCTGCAGAATGAGTGCTGTGGCCAACAGCTCCTGGGCCTGTCCCCTGCAAGCAGCCTGCCCCTGCAGGCACATGCCACCATGCCTAGTGCATTATCAAACTTTTGGATCTCTGAAATCTGAAAGGTAAAAATAATATCTGTCTTAATTTATATTGCATATATTATAAATTAGACTACACACCATTTTGTGTATTTTAAAGCCATTTGTATGTGATCTGGGATCTGTCAATTTTCTTTGCTCATTTTTCTATTAGATTATTGGTCTCATTGATTTGTAAGACCTCTTTAGGGCTGGGCACAGTGGCTCATGCCTATAATCCTAGTAGCATTTTGGGAGGCTGAGGTGGGCAGATTGCTTGAGCCCAGGAGTTGGAGACCAGCCTGTCTCTACAAAAGATTCAAACATTAGTTGGCCATGGTAGCACATGCATGTAGTTCCAGCTACTCCAGGGAGCTGAGGCGGGAGGATCACCTGAGCCCAGGAGGTTGAGGCTGCAGTTAGACATGATTGTGCCACTGCATTCCATCCTGAGTGACAGAGTGAGACCCTGTCTCAAAAAAACAAAACAAAAAAAAACCTCTTTATATATTAAGGTGATTAACACTTTTTCCTATGTGTGGCAAATATTTTTCCAAGTTTGTGTCCTTTGATTTTGTGTGTGGTTTAACAGTGGATCTGTAGTTCATAGGTGAAGCAACAGATGTGGTTTTGTTTTTTTTTTTTTTGAGATGGAGTCTTGCTCTGTCGCCCAGGCTGGAGTGCAGTGGCGCAATCTTGGCTCACTGCAAGCTCCGCCTCCCGGGTCCACGCCATTCTCCTGGGACTACAGGCGCCTGCCACCACGCCCGGCTTATTTTTTGTATTTTTAGTAGAGATGGGGTTTCACCATGTTAGCCAGGACGGTCTCAAATCTCCTGACCTCGTGATCCGCCGGCCTCGGCCTCCCAAAGTGCTAGGATTACAGGTGTGAGCCCCCACACCCAGCCCAGATATCTTTCTTTTAGGCAGCAGCTACATAGCTGGGCTACATAGCTGTCTCAATAATTCAGAGATGGTAATGTACTGGTTAAAGTATATTAGAGGTCAGAAACCTTTCAACAAAATCATGTTGTTTATTTTTAGAAATTCAACAAAGCGTGAATTATTGCTTATACACAAATGTCTACCTAAACTGTAAATGTTCTTCTGGGGTAAGTTTGTTTGCTTTCCGATTATGCACTGAATTCACCACAGTTGTCTAAAGATAGGGCTTTATAGGAAAGTAGAAAGTGCACAAGAAGGAAGTGCAGGGAGAATGAAGATTGCCTTCGCCGGTGGGGACACCTGACAGGCAGGGCCTCTTGGTGAGGCTGGGTGAGGGCTGACTGTTCCAGAGATTGAACCAGATTCCCTTTCAGATCAGCACTTCCTGGAAAGGAGTGCTGGGCTGTCACATCCCCATTAAGTACACATATGTCACCTTTTCCCTGCAGACATTGGGTGACACCCAGCCTCTGTTTGCTTTGGTCAGAATGACTTAACTTTTCTACTCCAGCCTGGCCCCCAGCCCCAGGCCTGAAACCATTCCATCCTTGTGGTCTTCATTCAGATGTTACTCACACATCCTTGGACAAAAGAGGATTCATGAAAAAGATGGATACAGGCTTCTTCTTCTCTGCCAACTTCAGTGGGCCCCGGACAGATAGGTGTGGGCAAATAAGCTTTTCCACTTTGCTCTTCTGGTCCCCTAAGGTTCATTTTGGTTTTCAAGAAAAGAAACTATCTCAGGCTCTGAACTCGGCCCCAAAAGCATTGCTTAGAGAAGGCAACAGCCTCCTCAGGCCCAGGAATGGCCAGACTGTCTCTCTTGTGTCCAGATCATAAAATGGGATGAGATAGTCTCTAAAAAGCCCCTCTCCTAAAACTGTCATTCTGTTTGAGCTAAACCTCCCAGATTTCTGCTTGCTGAGGAGTCACCCAGAATATTCAATGGAAGAAAAATCCAATTTGTGAGCTCTGGACCCCAGGCTGCACACAGAAGCTGCGTGATGGACTTGGTACAGAATTAGGTCACAGCATGCTATGTGCATGTGGATGAATTTTGGCTGGTGGCTCAGGAGACTGAGAATGCATGCCCTAAACATTCACCTAGAAAACTTTCCTGATTTTAACTGTGGTGTATCTCGTCAGTTACTCACATAGAGGACACTTTGTTCTAAAACCCGGGGGTATGCCCAGCATTCATCACAGTCTGGGCACTGTGTTTGTGGTCACATTTACCCCTGGCAGGGTCCTTAGGTCCTAGTTAGCAGCTTTTTCTACTTCAAGGGAAGCAGCAAGAAAAGTAAAAGACAAAACAAAAAACAACATAGCAAGTTACTTTTGACTTTCCTAGCAAATCACCTAGCAAGATGAAAGGGGAATGTGTCTCTTAACTGGATGACACCAAATGAATTATGGGGCAAAGGGCAACTGACAGCAACTGCCTAGGAGTGGCAGAGACAGATTTATAGACAGGCTCATTGCCCACCCTTGATTTCTCAAAATGAAACAGGGAGAGAAAGGTGTTCTTCAATTTGGTGTATCCCAGAGATAGAAAATCAGTGAAGTAGGAAAGAGTGTGAGTTTCAAAGTATGGTGACTTCAGTTTGAATACCAGTAGCTCTATGAACCTGGAGATGTCCCCACCTTCCTGAGCCTCCATTTCCTCATGTGTAAAACAAGGATACTACATACCTGCCAGATAAAGATTAAAGGAGATTTGATCACATAGAGTAGTGCCAGGCTCACAGTGGGCCACCAATAAGTGATGTTAGTTATCATTATTCCTCACTTGAGTTTCTCCTGAGAAATACAATCTCAACTAAACCCCAGTCCCAATTTTCTCTCTAAGGACTGGTTTATCCACCTGGGGTCTCCCATAGGTGTTGCTCATGCTGCTGGTAGTTTCTCTCCTAAGCTTCACTCACCATTCCGGCAAACAGGGCTGTAAACACTTTGTTCATATTGTGTAAGTCTTGGGGAGACAGAACTCCCCCTCCTGCTTTGAAAGCCAGCCCAGTCACTGTACAGGCCTGAGACCTGGACTTAATCAATTTGATGCTTCTTCCAGAAGCTGGGACTCTTACGTGAGTAAAAGAGAGACACTGGGACAGGTGAGAAATGATCACGAGTCAGGAGGCGCAAGGACAGTAGCAATCCCGGCCTGTCCCCTGCTCTTGCTGCGCAGCCTCCTTTGTTCTTGTTTATTTTCACAGCCTGGTTCTCCAGCCTTCTAGTCAATTCTGTGAACCACTAGGTCTCCTCCCAATACATTCCTTTTTTGAATGAGTCAGGCAGAGCTGCTTGCTATTGTTTGAAACGAAGAAGTTTCTAATGTGGAGCCAAGACACCTTTTTCATACTGCCAGGCAAGAGGAAAATCCAGCCTGTTGAGATTTGGGTGTTGAGAGCTGCCCTTTCCCTGGGAAAAGCAACTACTAGCAAAGAGGGCAAGAGAGATTTCCATAGCTGCCCCAGGGTTCAGGGGAGGCAGTGTCTCTGCCCTTTGATGTTGCTGGAAATCCTCTAACAACGCTTACACAATCTCAAAACTAGCAACTCAGGAAACAGGATAAAGCAGTGCAAGAGAAATACAAGGCAGGCAAGTTCCTGGTTCAAAGTCATAAACATTTGCCATAAAAATGAGAACAAGATTTCCCTTGATAAACAAAACAAAGGCAAGAAAATGTGGAGATTGGTTGCTTTTTCCTCTTGCTGTACTAAGGAGGGTTGACCTTGATTCTACCTTTTCTTTGCTCGACAGCATAGGCAAAAAGACTAAGCTGAAGTCAGGCCAGGGAGGAGACATAGGCGTCCATCCCATAGTTACCCCAACAGGGGACTGGGTGTGTCCTGAAGTTTCCTTTTTTCTTCCTTTCCCCACTAGCAAATGTCCCTGATAAGAACCCATCATGATGCTGAGTTACATGACCCCTGAGCCAAGTATCACCTCATCAGTGAAGCCTTCTTTGATATCCCCAGGTAGAGTTCGTTGTTCCCAGCCCTACATAATACTGCATTGGAGAGTATGTGGTCATTTAGTTGTCTGTCTGCCTCACTAGACCTATAGTGAGTGCTTTGATGGAAAGGACTATGCCTGGCAGTACCAGGCTCAGAAGTAATCTCAGAGTTTGTTGAATAAAATGAATGTGGGAGACCTGACTTCATGTGAACAGCTGTGTCATTCCTCTATTCTGTGAGTTCACAGTTGATAGCAACATGCCAAGAATGGCCTTGGCCTCCAGGCCCCGTATGTGTGTTGGTGGGGGGTATGGGAGTGGGAGAGTCCATGCAAACAGCATTTAAGGCACCAAATGGCCCTCCTAGGGAAGTGATTAAATTGAATAAAAGGACTTATTTAACTAGCAAGCAATTATTGAGTGTTCATGTACCAGTTGGCCCATACTTAAGGTAAGAGGCAGTGAACACATGTCCTAGGAGCCAGAAAGGAAATCAGCAGTACTCCTTCCACCAAGAGCCATTGCTGACAGCCCCTCTCTGCCCTGGCATCAGCCAGGGCCTGATGGCTCTGTCCATGAGCAGACTCATTGTCAGCCCTCACTTGGGGAACTGACTTTTTTGTTTAACTTTTTTGGGGCTTTCTGGCAAAAACCAGAAAGCCTGCTAGACAAATTCTAAGAGCTGTAACACTGGGAACCAACTTTTTTTTTTTTTTTTGAGACAGAGTCTTGCCCCGTTGCCCAGCCTGGAGTGCAGTGGCGAAATCTCAGCTCACTGCAACCTCCGCTTACTGGATTCAAGTGATTCTCCTGCCTCAGGCTTCCAAGTGGCTGGGATTACAGGCATGAGTCACCATGCCCGGCTAATTTTTTGTACTTTTGGTAGAGACAAGGTTTCACCATGTTGGTCCCAAACTCCTGACCTCAAGTGATCCACCCTCCTTGAACCAACTTCTAAAAAAACATTAGACCCTGGGGCCAGTCATTTCCTTCAAGTCACCACACTTCCTATATCACTCTCTCCTCTTGGTGGTTTTGACAAAAAGATGTGACTTGCCATACCCTAAGAAGCTGCTTTCTTTTCAGAGCAGATTGCTTTGGTCACTCACTTGGGCACAGCAATGAGAGGTCTAGGGAGGTGCTGCCATGAATGGAAGCAAGGACTTTCAAGAGAGTTCATTTGGACCCCATTCTTTTCTTTTTTTTTTTTTTTGGCAGAGTTTCACTCTTGTCGCCCAGGTTGGAGTACAGTGGCGCAATCTCAGCTCACTGCAACATTTGCCTCCCGGGTTCAAGTGATTCTTCCGCCTCAGCTTCCGGAGTAGCTGAGATTACAGGCATGCACCACCACGCCACGCTGATTTTAGTATTTTTAGTGGAGACGGGTTTTCACCATGTTGGCCAGGTTGGTCTCGAACTCCTGACCTCAGGTGATCCACCCACCTCAGCCTCTCAAAGTGCTGGGATTACAGGCATGACCCACCGTGCCCGGCCTAGATCCTCTTTCTTGGTTCTTGGGATTGGATTAATAACCTTTATTAGTGATGGTGGTAGGTCCTTGTTTATAATTATTCTGTGAACAAGCGTTCTTTTCGAAAACTTTATAAGTGCCTGAAAAGGATTAAAAATAGACTGGGCACAGTGGCTCACGCCTATAATCGCAGCACTTTGGGAGGCCGAGGTGGGCGGATCACCTGAGGTCAGGAGTTTGAGACCAGCCTGACCAACATGGAGAAACCCCGTCTCTACTAAAAATACAAAATTAGCTGGGCATGGTGGTGCATGCCTATAATCCCAGCTACTCGGGAGGCTGAGGCAGAAGAATCGCTTGAAACCAGGAGGCGGAGGTTGCAGTGAGCCAAGATCTCACCATTGCACTCCAGCCTGGGCAACAAGAGTGAAACTCCGTCTCAATAATAATAATAATAATAATAATAATAATAATAATAATAAAGCCAAACTGCAACTCTCTGGTCTTCCTGAAATAGTGAATGCTTTCCCTAAATTAGATTTACCTTAGTATGCTTAATAGCTTACAATGCACCAAATAAAAAGACAAACAATTCAATTTTTAAAAATAGACTAAGGATTTGAACAGGAAGAATTTGAATTTCTCGCAAGATCTACAAATAGCCAATAAGCACTAAAAAAGGTGCTCAACCTCAAATTCAACTCAAAAGCACAATTAGGTACCACTTCATACCCACTAGAATGGCTATAAGACAAAAAGTCAGATAGTAAGTATTGAGGAGGATATAAAGGAAACCTCACGCACTGCTGCTGGGAGTGTAAAATGATACAACTGACTTGGAAAACTGTTTCTTAGTTCACCAAATGATTAAACAGAAAGTTACCATATGACCCAGCAATTCCACTCTTTGGTCTATCCCCAAGAGAACTGAAAACATATGTTCATGTCAAAACCTGTACGTATGTTTATATCAGCATGATTCATAATAGACAAAAAGTGGAAACGACCTAAATGGCCACCAACAGATTAATGAATAAATAAAATCTGGTATATCTATACAATGGAATATTATTCAGCCATAAAAAGAAATGAAGTGCTGACATGTACTACAACGTGTGGACCTCGAGAACATTATGCTAAGTGAAAGAAAACGGACAAAACCCCACGTATTATTCCATGTATATGAAATGTCCAGAATGGGCAAATCCACAGAGAAAGAAGGGATGAGAAGTGACTATTAAATGGTACGAGGCCTCTTTGGGTGATGACAGAAATGTTCATCTCTAGGCCCCATCTCTAGATAGTGGGATAATTATAAAATCTTGTGACTAGGCTGGGTGTGGTGGCTTAAGCCTGAAATCCCAGCACTTTGGGAGGCTGAGGCATGAAGACTGCTTGAGCACAGGAGTTTGAGACCAGCCTGGGCAACATAATGAGATGCTGTCCCTATTAAAAAAAATTTTTTTTAATCTTGTGACTATACTAAAGATAACTGAATTTACATTTTTTTTTGAGAGAGAGTTTCACCCTGTTGCCCAGGCTGGAGTGCAGTGGCACGGTCTCGGCTCACTGCAGCCTCTCCCTCCCAGGTTCAAGCGATTCTCCTCCCTCAGCCTCTGGAGTAGCTGGGATGACAGGTGCCTGCCACCATGCCCAGTTAATTTTTTCGTATTTTTAGTAGAGACTGGGTTTCACCATGCTGGCCAGGCTGGTCTTGAACTCCTGGCTTCAAGTGATGCGCCAGCCTCAGCCTCCCAAAGCGCCGGGATTACAGGTATGAGCCACCGTGCAGGGCCTACACTTTTTGTTTTTAGTTGGAGTTTTGCTCTTGTTGCCCAGGCTGGAGTGCAGTGGCGCGATCTCAGCTCACTGAAACCGCCTCTCGGGTTCAAGCAATTCAATTCAAGCAATACATATACACACACACACACACACAAATATATGTATGTATACACGCATACATACACACACACACACACACTTAAGAGTTGTCATTGACATTGGCCTATTCTTTATTTTCTTGGAGACAGAGTCTCACTCTGTCGCACAGGCTGGTGCAGTGGTGCGATCTCAGCTCACTACAACCTCCGCCTCCTGGGTTCAAGTAATTCTCGTGCCTCAGCCTCCCAAGAAGCCAGGATTACAGGCACATGCCACCACACCTGGCTAATTTTTGTATTTTTAGCAGAGATGGGATTCTGCCATGTTAACCAGGCTAGTCTCGAACTCCTGGCCTCAAGCAATCCACCCAACTCAGAGTGGTGGAATTACAGGCGTGAGCCACCACACCCGGCCTGACATTGGCCCATTCATGCTCAAGGTCTTCACATACAAAGCAAGAGATGGCTTCTAAGGGTTCTAACCACTCTGATGTTTTAAGCATGTGTCTACAAATGCAGAAAGCAAGCTCAAGTACTCTTGCACTAAATTACTAATTCAGAGCACCTTCTGCCCATAGACCTAAAGGTATCTTGCAAGCCAGGTGATCTCAGGTTTATTTGTGGGCCACAGGCTCAGATGTTAATGTGCCTGCAGATCACATGACTTTTTAAAAATTACCATTGTGTGTAAATTAGTCTACTAATCATTAAAATTAAGAATCTTGGCCGGGCGCTGTGGCTCACACCTGTAATCCCAGCACTTTGGGAGGCCAAGGCGGGAGGATCACCTGAGGTCAGGAGTCCAAGACCAGCCTGGCCAACATGATGAAACCCCGTCTCTACTAAAAATTCAAAAATTAGCCGGGCGTCGGGGTGGGCTCCTGTAATCCCAGCTACTCAGGAGGCTGAGGCAGGAGAATCGCTTGAAACCAGGAGGTGGAGGCTGCAGTAAGCCAAGACTGTACCATTGCACTCCAGCCTGGACACCCAAGAGCGAAACTCCGTCTCAAAAAAGAAAAAAAAAAAGAATCTTTAGCAGTAATACAAAAGGAGTCTGTTCAAAAGTATATAGCCTAGTGCTACCTGTTAACCAACTCTAATCTGATTTGATCATATCATAATGAAAATATTTACATTATCCTCAAAACCTATCAGGTCAAGGCATGTCCCAATCCTGACACCCTGTTTGTATTTACATGGTAGTTCTCAGCTTCATGTTAGCAGTTTCATGAAACAATAAGAACTTTGGCAGAATTAGGTCGAGGTCCTCTTGGTGGGCAGAGTAACATCTCCCTGTATTCTATCAGTTCCTTTGACTTGGATAGGACAGATATTAGACAGCTCTTGAGGACTGCATTCCAAAGGTAGCTGCAGAAAATCAACACATTTCACAGGTGTCTCAGACTGTGCCTCTCTCCCAAATTGTGCCCATTTTCACCAGGGAGAGCTGCAGTTTATCTTATACCATTCATGATTCCACCATGCTTAGGCAGTTCAGTAATGGGAAAGAAGTATATTTGGGTTCGAGACCAGAAAGCTATTTGGGCATGGTGGCATGTGCCTGTTAGGCCCAGCTACTAAGGAGCCCAAGGCAGAAGGATCACTTGAGCCCAGGACTTTAAGACCAGGCTGGACAACACAAGAAGATTCTCTTTCTCTTTAAAAAGAGAGACAGACAGACAGACAGACAGACAGACAGAGAGAGAGACAGAGAAAGCCACTGCATAGGAGGAGGAAATATATTAAATAATAGGCTGGGCACAGTGGCTCATGCCTATAATCGCAGCATTTTGGGAGGCCAAGGTGGGTGGATTACTTGAGCTCAGGGGTTTGAGACCAGCCTGGGCAACATAGCAAGACCTCGCCTCAACTTTAAAAAAAACAAAAAAAATCAGCTGGGCATGGTGGTGCATGCCTATAGTCCCAGCTACTTGGGAAGCTGAAGCGGGAGGATTGCTTGAGCTCAAGAGATCAAGGCTGCAGTGAGCTGTGATCATGCCACTTCGCTCCAGCTTGGGAGACAGAATGAGACTCTGTCTCAAAAAAAAAAAAAGGATAATAAATATATAATGTGTATACATTAGAAGTATCATGAGCCCTACCTTGCAGCAGTATCAGGCAGAGTTTACAATAAAATCGTATGAGGAAGGGACTGTTGCACTGTTCAATAGAAATATGAGCCATATATGTAGTTTAAAGTCAGTTAATAGACATATTTAAAAAGTAGGCCGGGTACAGTGGCTCACGCCTGTAATCCCAGCACTTTGAGAGGCCGAGGCAGGTGGGACACCTGAGGTCAGGAGTTTGAGACCAACCTGGCCGACATGGTGAAACCCCATCTCTACTAAGAATACAAAAAAAATTAGCTGGGCATGATGGCAGATGCCTGTAACCCCAGCTACTCGGGGGGCTGAGGCAGGAGAATTGCTTGAACCCAGAAGGCAGAGGTTGCAGTGAGATCACGCCACTGCACTCCAGCCTGGGCAACAGAGCTAGACCCCATCTTTAAAAAAATAGTAAAAAGGGCTGGGCACGGTGGCTCATGCCTGTAACCCCAGCACTTTGGGAGGCTGAGGCTGGCGCATCACTTGAAGCCAGGAGTTCAAGACCAGCCTGGCCAGCATGGTGAAACCCAGTCTCTACTAAAAATACAAAAAAATTAGCAGGGCGTGGTGGCTCATGCCTACAATACCAACTACTTGGGAGGCTGAGATGGGAGAATCACTTGAACTCAGAAGGCAAAAGTTGCAGTGAGCCAAGATTGTGCCACTGCACTCCAGCCTGAGCAACAGAGAGACACCCTGTCTCCAAATAAATACATACATAAACGAATAAGTAAATAAAGTAGGCCAGGAATGGTGGCTCACATCTATAATCCTAGCACTTTGGGAGGCCAAGGTAGGCGGATCACCTGAGGTCAGCAGTTCAAGACCAGCCTGGCCAACATGGTGAAACCCCATCTCTACTAAAAATAGAAAAAATTAGTCAGACGTGGTGGTGGATGTTTGTGACCCCAGCTACTCAGGAGGCTGAGGCAAGAGAATTGCTTCAACCCGCGAGGTGGAGGTTGCAGTGAGCCAAGATTGTGCCACTGCACTCCAGCCTGGACAACAGAGTAAGATGCTGTCTCAAAACTAAATAGTAAAAAGAAACAGGGGAAACTAATTTATATATTAAATATATGTAACTATTTAATATATCCAAATAGACCCAATATATCAAAATATTATTTCACCATGTAATTGATAGAGATATTTTAATTTTTTGAGATAGAGTCTCGCTATGTCACCTAGAGTTCAGTGGTGAAAACACAGCTCACTACAGGCTCATGCCACCACACCTGGTTAATTTTTATTTTTATTTTTTTAGAGACAGGGTCTCACTATATTGCCCAGGGTGGTCTTGAACTCTTGGGCTCCAGCCATCCTCCTGCCTCAGCTTCCCAAAGTGCTGGGATTACAGGCGTAAGCCACCACGCCCAGCCTACATTATTTTCTTCATATTTCATCAGTCTTTTGCCACAAAGTAATTTTTATTATGCCACTGTGCAGGTAAGGAAACTAAGACTTAGAGAGGTCAAGTTCAGCATCTCAGAACTAATACGTGGTAGAGCCTGGACTCAGATCCAGATATCTCTGACTCCAAAATCCTTGCTTGCTCATAAACTCCCATTATACTTTTTTTTTTTGAGAGAGGGTCTTGCTTTGTCACCCAGCTTGGAGTACAGTGGGGCAATGATGGCTCATTGCAGTCCCAACCTTCTGGGCTCAAGCAATCCTCCCATCTCAGCCACCCAAGTAGCTGGGACTACAGGCACACTCCACCATGCCCAGCTAATTTTTGTATTTTTTGTAGAGACATGGTTTCACCATATTGCCCAGGCTGGTCTCCAACTCCTGGGCTCAAGCAATGCATCCGTCTTGGTGTCCCAAAATGTATCAACAAGACAAAAACCCATATGAATCTCTTGTCAAGCATTTAAAACACTCTTCCTTGGCAGGGAACAGTGGCTCATGCCTGTAATCCCAACACTTTGGGAGGCCGAAGTGGGCAGATCACAAGGTCAGGTGTTTGAGACCAGCCTGATCAACATGGTGAAACCCTGTCTCTACTTAAAAAAAAAAAAAAAAAAAAATTAGCCGGGTGTGGTGGCACATGCCTGTAGTCCCAGCTACTCAGGAGGCTGAGGCAGGAGAATCGCTTGAACCTAGGAGACGGAGGTTGCAGTGAGCCAAGATCATGCCACTGCACTCCAGTCTGGGCGACAGAGACTCCGTCTCAAAAAATAAATAAATAAATAAATAAATAAACATTAAAAATTAAAAAAACACGGTTCCTCATGACGAAACCAGTAGCTTGTTGTGGGCTTACTTTGGTACGGGATTTCTCAAAACAGTTGGACACACTACCAAGGCTGATGTCTCTGTTGTGACAATTTCACTCCGGCACAGCATTTGTGGGGCATTCTTTGGAAAGAGATGGGACTGCCAAGGCTTTTACGAAAAAACCCTGTCTTCCATGAAAATTCTCATATGTGGCAGTGAGCAGATATGTTCACAGAGCATCTGAATTCATGCACAGACAGATGCTCTGCATAGAAATTGTGACAAAGTCTACAGCCATACTACCCTGAACACGCCCGATCTCATCTGATCTCAGAAACTAAGCAGAGTCGGGCCTGGTTAGTACTTGGATGGGAGAAATTATGAATAAACTTCACAATTGCAGAACATAAAGATCTTTTATTTGCAGGGGTCGGAGATTAAAATTTGAATGTGTGAAACTGCCAATAGTTTGGTAAATACATCAGCCCACCAGCAGCCTTCAAAGGGAATTGAAACCATTTGTAAAAATCAGTGAGGTGGGCAATGTGTGGGCATGTGGGTTTTCCATGGAGGGAATAGATTTATGCTATATGCATAAATCTTTGATAAAAGACTTTAACATCTTTGAAAACTGGTAATATTTTATAGTTACAGCTCATCTCAATTTTGACTACCCACATTTTAAATGCTCAGTAGCTACACGTGACTAGTGACAACTGTATTAGACAGCACAGCTTCAGAGCATCTTAGCTGTGGGAATAATAAAAGCAGCGCTTAGTGAGAATTGACTTTGGTAGGCATTGTTCTGAGCTCTTTACAGGTATTAACTTATTAATCCTCACAACTCTATGAAGTAGGTATTATCATCCTGTTTTACAGAGAAGGAAACTGAGTTTCAGAGAGGTGAGCTTATTTGCCCAAAGTCATAGCCAAGGTAGTTTCAGAGCTTGTGCTTTTAACTATTCTTCTAAACTGCCTGGGGCCTGCCTACTATTTCTTTCTCTAGTGTGGTCTTAATAAGTGGTAATAAACCAAGTGCTACTCTGTTGGGAATACTTTTTATTTTGTTGGAGAAGGATCTGATAAGGTGGAGTCATGAACTCTTCAGGTCCAGGAAGTACTAAATGTGGGGCATCAACTCAGTAAATCTCCAAGATTCCTTAATCTCTACAATCCTGTTTCAGCCCTTTACAAATATTTCACAAACTGGCAATGGTCAAGGGCACGAACACAATGAAAACTTGTGATGCTAATCACTTTCTTCTCTAATCAGGCAATGATTTGCAAAGTTCACAGCACAATTTTCCTGGAGAATGATGCAATAGAAGCTGAGCATACTAGCCTTTTGACTTCAATAAACTGTGAAAACTGTTTGTCCATTTTCTAAAGGTAAAATTGAAACCCATTTTCCTACACTTAGACAAAACTTCAGATTAATTATTCCAAGTAATTTAGCCCTGCTAGTTAATATTATCTAATGAGGTAGTTTTTAATGTCAAATATGATATACAGTCGAAATGTTGGATGTTCTCCTGCCTTAGGAATACTCCTACTTTCCTTACCCAAAACTGATAGAAGGATGAGATGGAGAAATTTAAGGATGCTATCAAAGAACATGCAGCAAATTATTTGTAGGTCACAAAGGGATTGCAAATTGGTATAGACTTTTCTTACTCATTTTCTCCAAGCAGAGGTTTGGACAAGGACTTTACATGGTACTTTAACGAGCACCTCTTTTTGACTTGGAGAACTGAGCACATGCATTTATCTCTACTTCTTCACACTAACGTTAGAGCAAGTGAACATCAAATATACCCATGAGGACAAAGAATAAGGGAGGAGAGAACAGCAGATGAGTGTGAACAGAGTTTCAGAAGTTAGAAACTGGCTAGAAGAGTGAGCAGTTAGGAAAAAGTGAAACCTAAACCTGCTGGGGATGGGAATGTCAATGAGAAGCAAATGAGTCAGGCCTCAGATGCTGGGGAAGCTCAGGATTCATGTACCATGTATCACGCCATGTATCATGGAAAGCAGGGGGCCAGCTGTGACTGTCAGCTGAATCTTTACATGGAACAATTGGGCCCCTATGTACACTCTCATCCCAAGCAGCTAGATGACCACCCCTCTCCCAACTACAAGAGACTGGGAGTTGATTCTGTGGGAGAGTTTTAATCAAAGAGGTTCCAGGCAAATAAACTCCAGGCATGGTGGATGTTGGGGGAAGCGATACAGTATTGGGGAAAAAAGGTGAACTGTTCACTGTGAATGATGAGATCTTAGCTTGCATTGCTGGGCTCTAAAGCCCCAGTAGCTAAGTGTGTATCTTTGCCCCATCTTTTTCCCACCAGAAGATTGGATAATTCTTCTGTGGAGAAACCTGTAGAAATTGATAGGAGCTTCAAACCACAGTGCACTAACACATCTCATCTTCTGACACAGAGCTTCCAATGGCTTTTCTAGGGCCTTATAAGTAGACAACAAAAGACTTTTGAAAAAAGCTTCTACCATGAAAGGTAAAGGCCAAAATAAATAAAAATTCAAATGAATAAATGCAAGAAGAAAATTTCAAAAAAGTTGTAATTAAGAAACACTTCATTTGGATGGAACTATAAAGCCAAAGAATGGGATAAGTTGTATCCTTTCATTTCACTCAATAAACTTATGTTTCTTCTCTTATTAGAACATTGCCACCCTTTCACTTCAGAGATAAGCCAAATAAGAAAAAGCCATGAAAATAAATTCCAAGTTTTTTTCACTTCTCTGCACCCCCATCTCCACTGCCATAGTCCAAAGCAGCAGCATCTTTCACCTGAACCATAACAACAGCCCCTTCAATAGGTCTCCCTGCTTCAGACTAGTCCCTGCCAAACAATACTACATAGAACATTTAGAATGATTTTTTTTTTTTGAGACTCTGTTGCCCAGACTGGAGTGCAGTGATGTGATCACAACTTACCGCAGCCTTGACTGCCTGGGCTCAAGCAATTCCCCTACCTCAGCCTCCCAAGTTGTTGGGACCACAGATGTGTACCACCCACCTGGGAATTTTTTTTTTTTTTTGTACTGATGAGGTCTCCCTGTGTTGCCCAAGCTGGTGTTGAACTCCTGGGCTCAAGCAATCCACCCACTTCAGCCTCCCAAAGTGTTGGGATGACAGGCATGAGCCACCGCACCAGGCCAGAATGATCTATTTAAAAAAAAAAAAAAAAGAGGCCAGGCACGGTGGCTCACGCCTGTCAACCCAGCACTTTGGGAGGCTGAGGCAGGCCTTGACCTGGGAAGTCAAGGGTGCAGTGAGTCAAAATCATGCCACTGCCCTGTACTGGTCAGTTCAAAACCAGCCTGGTCAACATGGTGAAACCCCATCTCTACTAAACATACAAAAAAATTAGCTGGGCATGGTGGCACATGCCTGTAGTCCCAGCTGCTCGGGAGGCTGAGGTAGGAGAATTGCTTGAACCCGGGAGGTGGAGGTTGCAGTGAGCCCTTATTGCGCCACTGCACTCCAGCCTGGGTGACAGAATAAGACTCTGTCTCAAAAAAAAAAAAAAAAGAAAAGAAAAGAAAAGAAGAGAATCCAACCATTTCAGGCCCTTGATTAAACATTCTCAATGGCTTTCTTTAGAACTTGGAATACAAATCTAATGCCTGGCCAGGCGTGGTGGCTCATGCCTATAATCTTAGCACTTTGGGAAGCTGAGGCAGGTGGGTCACTTGAGCTCAGGAGTTCGAGGCCAACTTGGCCAACATGGCAAAACTCATCTCTGCTAAAAATACAAAAATTAGCTGGGCATGGTGGCATGTGCCTGTAGTCTCAGCTACTCAGGAGGCTGAGGCAGGAGAATCACTTGAACTCGGTAGGCAGAGGTTGCAATGAGCCGAGATTGCGCCACTGCACTCCAGCCTGGGTGACAGAGTGAGACTCCATATTAAAAAACAGAAACAAAACAAACAGAAAACAACTAATGCCTGGCCAGGCGCAGTGGCTCACACCTGTAATCCCAGTACTTTGGGAGGCCGAGGCGGGTGGATCACTTGAGGCCAGAAGTTTGAGACCAGCCTGGTCAACATGTTGAAACCCGCTTTCTACTAAAAATACAAAAATTAGCCGGGCATGGTGGTTCACGCCTGTAATCCCAGCTATTTTGGGGGCCGAGGTGGGAGGATCGCTTGAACCTGGGAGGTCATGTCTGCAGTGAGTCAAAATCATGCCACTGCACTCCAGCCTGGGTGACAAAGTGAGACCCTGCCTCAATAAATACATAAATAAATCTAATGCCCTTGTGCTGGCCAACAAGGTCTGGTATCATCAGGTCTGTGTGCTCCTTCAACCTCTCCCACTCCACTTGCCATTCCACCCATTCCTTCTCCCCCCTGACATGCCAGCCACATCCAGCTCTTTCTGTTCCTAGAACACAAGGTTGTTCTCCTCTCAGGCCTTAGCCTAGAGGTTCCTGAATATGACTGCTTTTTTTTTAATTGTCTGTGTCCCCACACTGTAACAAAAGCTCCATGTGAGCAAGTATCATGTCTATCTTATTTTCCATCAGACCATCTACAAGGGTACCTGACATGTAGTGTGTGCCCAATAAATATTGAATAAATTAAATCATAGTACAGAAGCCTCAGAGTTTCAAGGGAGAGGTGAAACAATGTAAAATGAAAAAAATATTGAACCATTAAGCAAATTCCATCAGGGAATATAAAAACTCTATTGATGTTAGAATCAATATTTCCCTTGGACCAAGTAGGTTTCAATGTCAAAAATTCTATTTTATCAATGTCAATATCCTGGTTGTGATATTATGCTATAGTTTTGCAAGACTGAAGGAACTGGATAAGAGATACACAGGATCTCTCTATTATTTCTTATTTCATGTAAATTTATAGTTATCTGTTTTAGCATATTATTTGGTATCTAAATTTACTAAATTATTTATATTACTTAGTATGTTATTTTAATATCTCTGCTAAAATAAAAAGTTTAAACAATTCTAATCAAAGGTAAGATCATTTAGTATTCACCCAGCCTGCTTTTGCAGTGCCACCCCAAAATGTACTCCTCTATAGAATGTTCCGCAGAAACGAATGCTCACTGATGGAACTTAGGGTCATAGAGGAAGCCTCCATAGCTGGTAGCTGATATCCTTCTCTGGGAGCTAAAAACATCAGACTGTTCTTAACCACACACAGCGCCTGGCCCATAGTCAGTGTTCAATAAATATTTATTCAATGAGCTAATTATTTGAGAAAGCCAAAATGACATCCAGGCACAGGTTGTGAACTCTTATAACACTGACTGTTATTCCAGCATGGGAAGATACCAGCATCAAAGACAGGTCTATAAATGACTGTGTACTGTTCACAAAGCCCCTATTACTCTTAAAGGAGTAAGATTCCCAAAATGTACAGTTGACACTTATCCACTTATGTCTAGTTACTCAATTCTTTGATACACAAAAATTTTTAAAAATAAAATTCTTTGATACAAATTGCATTACATACTAAGGTAGGACAAGGAAATACTCTGGTAGGCCATGTTATAAAATCCTGCTCTTTAAATAGATACTGAAATAGTCCTGGTCTTATTAACAAGCCCTTTCCAAAAATCGACTAGTAAATGTGTGGTTTGGGAAGGACAACTGTATCAGGAAGTAGCTACCCACATGAAGAGGCCCTATTTGACTTCTCAATGATGGTAAAGGATGAAGTGCCTGCATCTCCTGGTTGTGTTTATATTTTGTTTCTATTTAGAGAACAGTTAATGGGTTAAGCAGTATATTGTCTATTGTTATCCATTTAGCTAATCTACATACCTAAAATATTTTTGGGTCTTACATCCTCTAAAAGAACATCTTAAAATTTTTAATTCACTTCATTTATTACTTTATAAGTTACAATCCTTACAAAGTTAAACATTAAAATTGACTACATAAAAATTTTTTGTTTTTTAAATTTTTATTTTTCATTAAAATTGACTACATAAAATTTTATATAAACCAAGTTCTTCTGTCTGAACATTTTTCATTCCCTTCTACCCCATGAAAGAGCAATTTTTTTTCCCACAGACTGTCTAAACTGCACTCTAAACCAAGTCCAGTAGCTGCTGCCCTTGAAGCTGATTAGCAAAACACGAAGTATTCAACATAACACGGGAGCTGATTTAAACTGATAAAGGGCAGGAAATTCAGAGCTGAAGGTAAAACCAGCTCCTGACGTACTCCATTGTTTCTTGGCATACTAAGGCACTCATCACATTAAGTGACCTCATATCTCATCTGGACTAAATACCAAAGCTGAATGCATCTATTTAAGGCAGATGTAGCTTCATCCTTAAATTTCCAGATTTAAATCACTGTTGTCCTTTCTCATTTGTTTTCTAGAGTGGCAGCTTTTATAAGAGTAACTAAAGAAAATAGGTTTCATATGGGAGAGAGAGTTGAGTGATTAGTATACCCTTCTCAATAGTGTGTAAGAGAAACTTTGAAGTTTAAATTTAAAAGATCTATCAGCCTTGACACATTACAGGAATATTAACACTGTCCTATGAGTGAGACTAGATTTACAAATAAAGTCTACGAAAAAAAATTAAATGCCAAGCTATCATTACTCACCTGTAGCATCAAAACACTATGCAAAAAAAGTTTAGGTAAGTACATTTTAGAACTTACCTGTAAGAATGCCCAAAAATTTTTCTGCCCCTGAATTTTGGCATTGACCCTAATACTTAACTTCTATCAAAATTATCCCTTCATTTTCTTTTCCAACTCCCCTGCTTTCTTCTTTTTAAAATCTTCAGATTTCAGACCACATTCACACTCAAGCACAGAACTAGGTCATGCAAAAAATAAATGGACTTTCACTCCTTGCCCAGGCTGGAGTGCAATGACACCATCTCAGCTCACTGCAACCTCCACCTCCCAGGTTCAAGTGATTCTCCTGCCTCAGCCTCCCAAGTAGCTGAGATTACGGGCACACGCCACCACGCCTGGCTAATTTTTTGAATTTTTAGTAGAGATGGGGTTTCGCCATGCTGGTCAGGCTGGTCTCGAACTCCTGACCTCAAATGATCTGCCAACCTTGGCCTCCCAAATTGCTGGGATTACAGGCATGAGCCACTGTGCCTAGCCCATTCCGGATACTTTTTTACTTTTTTTATTTTAGAGATTGGATCTCGCTCCATCCATTGCCCAGGCTGGAGTGCAACAGCACAATCATGGCTCACTGCAGCTTCCGTCTCCCAGGCTCGTGTAATTCACCCATATCAGCCTCCAGAAGAGCTGGGACTACAGGTTGGAGCCGTCACGCCCAGCTGATTTTTTGTTGTTGTTGTTGTTAAAGACAGGGGTCTCACTATATTGCCCAGACTGGTCTCAAACTCCTGAACTCAAGGGGTCCTCTCACCTCAGCTTCCTTAAGTGGTAGGATTAGGCGTGAGCCACCATGCCTGGCCTTTTTTTAACTCTTAAGAATGACATAATTGGCCAGGGATGGTGGCTCATGCCTGTAACCCTACCACTTTTTTTTTTCCTTCTTCTAGATGGAGTCGCACTCTGTTGCCCAGGCTGGGGTGCAGTGGTGCGATATCTCGGCTCACTGCAGCCTCTGTCTCCCAGGTTCAAGCAGTTCTCCTGCCTCAGCCTCCTGAGTAGCTGGGATTACAGGCACATGCCACCATGCCCGGTTAATTTTTGTATTTTTAGTAGAGTCGGGGTTTCACCACCTGCCTCGGCCTCCCAAAGTACTAGGATTACAGGTATGAGCCACTGCACCTGGCCAGTAACCCTACTACTTTGGGAGGGAGGCAGGAGGATCACTTTAGCCCAGGAGTTTGTGACCAACCTGGACAACGTGGTGAGACCCCATCTCTACTAAAAGTACACAAAATTAGCCAGGAGTGGTGGCACTTGCCAATAGTCCAAGCTCCCTGGGAGGCTGAAGTGGGAGGATCACCTGAGCCTGGGAGGTGGAGGCTGCAGTAAGCCAAGATCACGCAACTGCACTCCAGCCTGGGCAACAGAGCAAGACCCTGTCTCAAAAAAAAAAGAAAGAAAGAGAAAAAGAAAAGAAAATTAAAGATTATTTAAACAAATGGAAAACATCTCATGTTCATGAACTGGAAGACAACATTGTTAAGACGGCAATTCTTCCAAAACTGATCTACAGATTCAATACAATCCCTATCAAAATCCTAGCTTTTTTGCAGAAATTAATGAACTGATTCTAAAATTCATATGGTTTTGGGTGGGCACGGTGGCTCATACGTGTAATCCCAGCACTATGGGAGGCCGAGGTGGGTACATCAGTTGAGGCCAGGAGTTGGAGACCAGCCTGGCCAACATGGCAAAACCCTGTCTCTACAAAAAATACAAAAATTAGCCAGGCGTGATGGCACCTGCCTGTAATGCCAGCTACTCCAGAGGCTGAGGTGCGAGAATCGCTTGAACCTGGGAAGTGGAGCCGAGATCATGCCACTGCACTCCAGCCTGGGTGACAGAGTGAGAGAGACTGGCTCTTTAAAAAAAAAAAAAAAGTGTCTATCTATCTATCTATCTATCTATCTATCTACCTACCTACCTATCTATCTATCTATCTTGACAGGACCTTGCTGTCTGTCGCCCTGGAGTACAGGCACATAATCATAGCTCACCGCAGCCTCAACCTCCTGAGCTCAAGCAATCCTCCTGCCTCAGCCTCCTGAATAGCTGTAACTACAGGTGTGCACCACCACACCCAGCTAATTTTTTTAATTTTTTATTTTTTGTAGAGATGATGTCTTACTTTGTTGCCCAGACTGGTCTCAAACTCTTGGATTCAAGCAATCCTCCTGCCTCTGGCTCCCAAAGTGCTGGGATTACAGGTGTGAGCCACCACTCCCAGCCTGGTCAACTATTTTTTGACACGAGTACCAAAATAACTCAACAGGAGAAAAAGTCATCTTAACAAATGGTACTGAAACAACCAGATAATCACATGCAAGAGTAAGAGTTGGACCTCTACCTCATACCGTATACAAAAATTAACTCAAAATGGATTCGAGACTTAAGTAAAAGCTAAAACTGGAAAACTCTTAGAAGAAAACATAGGGGAAAAATCTTCATGACATTGATTTTACAACCCAAAATTGGATCTGGCAATGATTCCTTGGATATGACACCAAAAGCATAGTCAAAAAATTGGAAAATGGATGTTTTAATCAAAATTGACTACTTTTGTGCAAAGGACTATCAAGAGAGCAAAAAGGGGCTGGGTGCAGTGGCTCACACTTGTAATCCCAGCACTTTGGGAGGCTGAGGAGGGCAGATTCCTTGAGCTGAGGAGTTCAAGACCGGCCTGGTTGGCCGGGCATGGTGGCTCATGCCTGTAATCCCAGCATTTTGGGAGGCCGAGGCAGGCAGATCACGAGGTCAGGAGATCGAGACCATCCTGGCTAACACAGTGAAACCCCATCTCTACTAAAAATACAAAAAAAAATTAGCCAGGAGTGGTGGCACTTGCCGATAGTCCCAGCTCCCTGGGAGGCTGAAGTGGGAAGATCACCCGAGCCTGGGAGGTAGAGGCTGTAGTAAGTCAAGATCACGCAACTGCACTCCAGCCTGGGCAACAGAGTGAGACTCCGTCTCAAAAAAAAAAACCAGCCTGGCAACATGGTGAAACCCATCTCTACACACACGCGTGTGCACACACACACACACACACATAGTGAAAAGGTAACCCAAAGAGTAAGAAAATATATTTAAAAGTGGACAGGGCTGGATGTGGTGTCTCCCGCCTGTAATCCCAGCACTATGGGAGGCTGAGGCAGGCAGATTACTTGAGGTGAGGAGTTTGAGACCAGCCTGGCCAATGTGGTGAAATCCCATCTCTACCAAAAATACAAAAATTAGCCAGGCCTGGTGGCATGCACCTGTAATCCCAGCTACTCGGGAGGCTGAGACACGAGAATTGCTTGAACCCAGGAGGTGGGGGTTGCAGTGAGCCAAGATGGCGCCACTGCATTCCAGCCTGGGTGACAGACAGAGAATGAATAGACATTTCTCCAAAGACGATACACAAATGGTCGGTAAACACATGAAGAAATACTCATCATCATCAATTATCAGGGAAATGCAAATCCAAACCACAATGAAGCTACTCTGCCTATGGAGTAACTATTCTTTTACTTTTCTAAAAGTAATAAATAAACTAAACAAAAAACCACACACACAATGAGATGCCATTTCACGGCCATTAGGATAGCTATTTTATATAATATATATATATTTAAAAAGCAAATAAAATTATAAGTGCTGGCTATGAGGTAGAGAAATTAGAATACTTGTAAATTGCTGGTAGAAATGTAAAATGCCACAGCCACAAAGAATTACCATGTGATCCCGCAGTTCCATTTCTAGGAATAGATCCAAATGAACTGAAAGTGGAAATTCTAACAGATATTTGTAAACCAATGTTCATAGCAGCATTATTCACAATAGCTAAAAGGTAGAAACAATTCAAGTGTCCATTGATAAACAAAATGTGGTATGAATACAATGGATTATTCTGCCTTAATGAGGAATGAAATTCTGATATATGCTACCTGCAGGAGCCTTGAAAACATTATGCTAAGTGAAGTAAGTCAGAGATAAAAGGACAAATATTGAATGATTCACTTATAGGAAGTACCTAGAACAAGCAAATTTGTAGAGCTATAATAGAATAGTGGTTACTAGAAGAAAGAAATGAAGATTTTTAAATTAATTATTTTGAGATGGAATCTAGCTCTGTCGCCCAGGCTGGAGTGCAGTGGCGCGATCTCGGCTCATCGCAAGCTCCGCCTCCCAGGTTCACGCCATTCTCCTGCCTCAGCCTCCCCAATAGCTGGGACTACAGCTCATGCCACCACACCCAGCTAATCTTTGTATTTTTTGTGGAGACAGAGTTTTGCAATGTTGCCCAGACTGGGATTTTTTTCATGGGTAACTGCAAAACTCTGTCTGTTGCCCAGGCTGTGAATTTTTTTTTTTTTTTTTAACTCTACATGGGTAGAGTTTCAGATTGGAATGATGAAAAAGTTCAAGATAGTAGTGATGGTTGGAAATCAATGTGAATGTACTTAATGCCACTGACTTGTATACTTAAGAATAGTTAAGATAGTAAAATGTTGTTATATATATTTTATAATAAAAATAACAAAAAGGTAACCTATAGAATGAGAAAATAGTTGAAAATTGTGTAAGAAACATATCTAGAATATATAACTCTTACAACTCAATAAACATAACAATTAGAAAATGGGCAAAGGATCTTAATAGACATTCTTCAAAAAAGATACACAAATGGCTAATAAGCAAATGAAGAGATGCTTAACATCATTATCAAGAGAATGCAAATCAAAACCACAATGAGATACCATTTCACACCCACTTGGATAGCTAGAATAAAACAGTAAGTTCATTATACATTGTATGCTTATACCAAAATATCACATGTACCCTATAAATATGTACAACTATTATGTACCCATAGAAAATAAAAACATCCCCCAAAAGTCAGATGAGTGTTGAAAGGATGCTGAGAAATCAGAACCCTCGTGCACTGCTGGTGGGAATGTAAAATGGTGCAGCTGGTTTGGAAAACAGTCTAGCAGTTCCTCAAATGATTAAATGTAGAGTTACCATATGACCTAGCAATTCCACTCTTAGGTATGTACCCCAAAGAAATAAAACTTCTACATGAATTTTATTAGCATTATTTGTAATAGCTAAAAAATGGAAACAGCCCAAATGTCCAACCACAAATGGATAAACAAAATTTGGTATAGCCATACAACGAAATATAGTCACTAGAAAGAAGTACTGATACATGCTACAACACAGATGAACCTTGAAAACATGCTAAGTGAAAGGAGTCAGTCTATTTTATGATTCCATTCATATGAAAGTCCTGAATCAGAAACCTATGAATAAGTTCGTAGTTGCTTAGGGCTGGGAGTGGGGCAAGACAGGAAATGGGAGTAATAGCTAAAGCATATAGGGTTTCTTTTTGAGGTGATGAACATGTTCTAAAATTGATGATGGTGATGGTGTTCTATGTTTATAAATATACTATAAACCACTGAATTGTACACTTTAAATGGGTAAATTATATGGTATGTGCATATTTAATGAAGCTAAAAATAGCACCAAGAAAAGATCATTTACAAGAATAAAAAGTACTTATTACATCTAGGAGTTACTTTTGGTTTATACATCAAGGTTTTAGAAACTCAAACACAAAATCACGATATCAACCCTACCTCTGTGCCTCCAGGGCTCTCTCAAAATAGATATATTGAAAACCTACATAAAAACCCTAGCATCCACATAAGACCCAGTCAATAACATAACCAGTCACTACTGCAAGCTTAGTAGGAACAGTTATAAATCTATCTGGAAAAAAACCTGTGGGGGTGGAGTGGAGGGAGCTAAGCAAATCAGCAAAAACCAAACCAAAACAAAAAACCTTCCCTGGCTGCCTTTCATAAGGTCAGAGGTTTTAAATATATAAAGAAAAAAATACACTTACAAAGTCTTGTACGTAGGTTTTCTTGGAAAAACATGCAAGGCAATTTCCTTTACATGAATGGGACAAATGTTATATTGTTCTGTGTGACTCGATTGATTTATATATGCTAGTTAACAAGGAGAATTAGTATACTGTTCACCAATCACACTAAAGCAACGGAAATGGGTTACACTGCCTGCTCTCTAGTCCTAGTGAGTCTTAACTTCATGAGAATTTCGGTGACATTAGCCTCCCTTTCACTCTGAAAAAGGATCAAAAGTCGAGCTATGGCCAGCTTTTAGACACTTCCTCTCCCCCACTAAATGATCAGCTTAAAAGCAATATTTAATAAAACACACACAAAATTTATGCCATTGACAGAAATTTATTCTTCTATTAAGACTACAGCAATCTGAATTGCCTATTTATAGCTGCAAGTCCATCCAGGATTGATGCTAATTAAGGTTTTTTCCCTATCAAGAATAAGACTCCTATGAAAAGAAAAAAAATCACTCAAGGAAAAAAATGTAAAGTTCTCCACAATAATTATATTTCATTTAAATTTGGAAATAAAAAAAGGCTCTGTAGCAACAATTGATGTTATCCCTTTATCCTGATAGATGCCATAGAAGGTACTAACCTACACAGGCTCCTCTTTATATAACATATGCTACATTTAGAGACTTAATATATGAAGCTTTCTCTTGAAGGCACACATAGGCACACAGTAGTTACTTTGCCAAATAGGCTCAAGGTTTTAAGAGGACCATTTGTTAACGACAGGTGCACTTTGTAGCTATCATATCTTCGTACTCTTTATAGGCAATTGAGCCATCGGGCTCAATGGTCAAAACACTCAAGGGGCTGTATTTGGCAGGTACACATGACGGTCTTGGCACTGAGGAGTCCAGCTTCTCATAGATGATGTTCTGTACCATGGTGTGAACTGGAGAGCCATACCGATGTCCAACTGCCCTTGGACAGTCCCCTTTACAGTATCGAGGGTTGTACCTGTGCGGAGCCACAATCCAGTTGTCCCACTTCAGCTGACTAAAGCTAAGTCTAAAGTCATGGAGCTCACACTCATTTTGGGGAAGAAGAAATTGTCTGAAGTATTCACTCAGATTGAAGGAAGCTGGGCCCAAGGGCTTCTTCAATTCAGAACTGACAGTTTCCTGACCTCTGCGGTGACGGTGATGGGAAGATCTCCCATCCTCAGCAGCCTCTTCTCCCACAGGATAGGCAGACAGACTTCTCTCCTGGTCAGGACCCTGGGAAGGCCTCCTTTTATAGTGAAGGGAATACCAGCTGTGATAAGCCTGAGCACTTGTGTCATTCAAATATAAGATCAGTGAGGGGGACACCAGAGTCATGTTAAACAAACCATTCTGTGCTGAAGGATGCTCCAGCTGGTCTTTCATGCAAGTAAAATTTATAGACATGTGAATACTTCTCTTGTTGGAGGCCACTAAAGGTTGAAGGAGGCTGGTCACATCAATCTGAATCCATTTGTGTTTCTTTCCAAATTCAAACTGTGAGTTAAAGGTAAATGAGTATGGAGCTCTGCCGAGAGTCCTGCTAGAAGACTTTGGCTCCTTTATCATTAGATTGCACACACATTTGACAGCAGAGGAAAAAGAAACTGAGTTGTTGATATTGTACAGCAAGACTGACTTGAGTAAGTGTTCAACGGTAGTAATGCGATCCAGGTTAAATAGCAGTTCCACTGATGGAAGGATTCCTAAGAAGAAAAAAAATCTACCAGTAGTGCTTGAAAATCAGTCAACACAACAGGCAGTCAAGTCAAAGAATTAGTACTTCATAATATGCTTTCTCCCTTCTCTTTTCCCCACTTTCTCAAGCCTCAAAAAAAAAAATGGGGGTTAATATAGAAAAGGAAGGCAATTGGTATCATTACTAATTCCCAGCAACCTTACTGGACATTTTATCTCCAGAAAGTCAGATTTGGTGGTGAATCAAAGTAACAGGGAATCACTACATTCTGAAGTTTCATTTTTATTTTTTATTTTTTTGAGACAGGGTCTCACTGTTACCCAGGCTGGAGTGCAGTGGCACCATCATGGCTCACTGCAGCCTCAACCTCCCAGGTGCAACTGATCCTCCCACCTTAGCCTCCCAAGTAGCTGGGACTACAGGCATGAGCTACCATGCCCAGCTGATTTTTTGTTTTTGTAGAGACAAGGTCTCGCCATGTTGCCCAGACTGGTCTTGAACTTCTGGGCTCAGGCGATCCTCTCACCTCAACCTCCCAAAGTGCTGGGATCACAGGCATGAGCCACTGTGCTCAGCCTGAAGCTTCATTCTGAGTAATTTGCTCCAAACACAGAAGCAGCTGAGCTGATAAGGAAAGTAGTATTTTTCTCTTGGATAATCTCTAGAGGGAAAACCATAATAGAAACACTTATCAGACTTACTAAGATGACATTCTAAGCCCTAGTGAAGAAAGTCAATTTAAAACAATGTAATTGGTCCTAGTTAATTTAGAACACTTGAGATTAAAAACAGATGCTCTAAAACCACTATATTAAAATAGGATATTAAGGAAGCAGATACAACTGCCCTGTTGGGTTAGAATGGTTTTAAATCAAGAGCTGGTAGATATATACTTTTTTTTTTTTTTTTGAGACAGAGTCTCGCTCTGTTGCCGGGCTGGAGAGCAGTGGTGCGATCTTGGCTCACTGCAACCTCTGCCTCCTGGGTTCAAGCGATTCTCCTGCCTCAGCCTCCCGAGTAGCTGGGACTACAGGTATGCACCACCACACCCAGCTAATTTTTGTATTTTTAGTAGAGACGGGGTTTCACCATGTTATAATTTTTTAAAGCACCACACCCAACTGCTGAGTCAAACTGTGGACTGATACTTTGTTCTTGTAAGGGCCAACTGTTCAAAACGGGAACTTTAAGCTTTTCTCTCACAGAAAGTAACAAACAAGAGAAAAATATCCTATTTAACACATCACACCAATAGCTGTAAGAGATGTTTAAGGTCCATTTCTGGGCCAAAAGCTTGGTGGAACAGAAAGAGGTGCTAACATTCTCTAGCAGCACTTCCGCTCAGCCTTGAAAGCCATTAAGTCTCTGGTGTTGCTTTAAAATTCCATCATATTAGCCCACCTTAACCAATGAGAGCGTTAGGAATAAACAATAAGCTCAAGTCCCAGATTTGTTTCAACTGGATATTGAGTTTTATGCAAAATAAAATACAATTCAAGGAACTAGGCTCAGCTCCTTTCTGTAATTGAAATGCAGAAGTGTCTATCATCTTCCCTCCACCCAGTTAACCAATCTGCTTTCACATACCTGTTACCTGGTCTCCAGGAGCCTGCTTGTGCCGGGTACAGGGGGTGAAGAGCCGAACAGTGTTGTAGAGGTGACTTCTATTGGATTTAGGAATCCCTTCCTTGGTAGCATATGTCTTATAGAGCTTCTTCATGTAGTGCAAAGCTCTGGAGTCTGGCTGCAGCCTAGGTGACCCACCTCGCCCAACAGATAGAACTTTGAAAAGCGCGGGAAGGAGGCCAGCTCTGTCTCTCTCATCTATATGCTGCAGCAAGGACCAAGGCATAGCCCCAGATTCCAACTCAGCACTAGCAGCAATCTGAGCTTCTCCCCCAGAAGCCTGAGAACCAAGGCTAATAGGAAAACACAGCCAGGCAAAGCAGCAAAACCAAAGGAGGAATTTGTTGGGACGTGCCATGGCTTGGGAGAACTAGTGAGGAACATATTTCTCCATGCCAGTCCTCTTCCTAAAGGCCAGGAAGAGCCTAGCTTGGTCTCTTAAATAAATTTCAGGTGTGTGGGTGGACTACGGTCACTTCTGTAATCAGGCCTCAAGTATGCCTAGCTGAAGATTTTATCAGCTCTATATCAAGCAGCTGATAACACCTTATTTAGCCAATTTGTTAATTAGATACAGATTTACTTGGTTATTTAGCTTTCCTCTCTTTTCCCCTGGCATTTACGTAAAACCCGTTACTGTTACACTACCGGACTAACTATGTAGCTGAAAGTCTAAGATAAATTGAGGAATGATCTTAAATAAAATCTCTCATTTTTTGAGAAATTTGGATTAAGATGTTCGCTAGGTGCTTGCTGAAACTTCTAAGGCATGTGGAAAAGCTAACCAATTATTCATGACGATACTCAGATCTGCTGGTATGCAACTTATGGTATTAGGTTTACTCTTCCTCTCAATTTATCCTCACGGCCTTTTCCACTTCCAGGTGTTTACAATTGTAATTATTCGCTGCATGTTAATTTGCGAATTTACAAATTTGGGTGAGAAAGTCACAATTGGCATAGAAGTTCCAGAAAGCAGAAAACCATTAGGTCTCTCAGTCCTCCCAGGTGGCTGGGTACAGAATACGTACTTGGAGTACTGGAATTGTATTTGCGATGTTCTTAAAAGAGGACACCGCCTTTAACCTTGACTTATTTTTAAATGTAACATACTGATGTCCTTACTTTGGTCTGCACACTCATCTATACATATTTTGGTTGAAAGGTTTTGGGATGTTTGCAGATGCTATAAAATAAATGAACGTTTTATTATTATTCATCCAAATGGTGGTAGAATTTGCCACAATATTTCTGTCCTTACCTGTATTTCTGTTCTTGCCTTGGAGCTGAGACCAGGCTAGACATTATGGTTTAAAAAAATGAGGCAAAGGAGCACCATGAAAAGCTGAAATGAGGGGATATTCAGCGCCACCCCGAAGGAGACTATGCTGGAAGAGTCAGCCTACACTCATAGTGCAAGATACGAAGCCAGTTTGTGCAGTACCTACATGAGAAAACTAAGGTATGTCTGCAAAATACAAGTTGACTGCCTGCCGAGCCTCCGTGGTCCGTAAGTAGTGTTATAAAACACAGCCAACTGTTGAATGAGAGCTTAGTCCTAGATAAAATATGGCCAGCAATTCCATTAACAAAACACTGACAAGACACCTCAGGGCGAGCTGTACATTGACAACAGCATCGTCAAGCAGAATGCACTTCAGGGAAAACATAATAAGGCCTCTCACCCGACTTTCCTTGCTTCTCACGTGGGGAGAAGAAAGAACTGGGGCATCGTGATTCCCCCCACCCCACGCAAACCATCTGGGGAGGACGCTGGCTGCTGTCGAGGCGGCCTCAGCATTCATCAATTGACGATTATTTGATTATTTTTGTGGCTGAAACTGACGAAACGTTTGTATTATCTCTTGGGAACGTTAACAGCCTGCCAGGGGACTCTAAAACAGAGTCCAAGAGAAGCCTTCGATGTGTGTCCCTGATTTTGGTGCTGGGGTCGCTCATGGCCTGAAAATAACGAAGCCCCCTTTGAGCTACTGGCCAAGGCCAAATGAAACCTCGTGCTCCTCTGCTGTGGGGCGGCCCGGCCTCGGGGCTCAGAGGCGCTCTGTCTACAGCTGGGAAGACTCGCAGGCCCCAAGCTCCTGGCCAGCGCTGCCCCGGAGGTCGGCAGGCCCCTTCCTCGTCACCTTTTTGTTCCCTCCCCCGCCTCCCGCATTCGGCCGCTTCCTGACTGGGATTCCACAGAAAAGCCGAGGGCTGAGGAGAAGTGTGAGCGCCTCCGCCTGTCCACTGTCCCCCAAAGTCAGTTCAATCCCCGACGTCCTCCGCTAGGCTCCACCCCACCGGCCCGGGCAGGGCCTCCAAGGCACCTCCCACCTACGGGTCACCCAGTCAGCCCACTTCTTTCTGGGACAAAGGCGTCATCCCTTAGAGACAGTAGGAAAATGGTATCTCCCGGAAGTTACCTCACGACCTCCAAGAGCGGCTTCCAACCTTGCCGGAAATGACGAACGAGTCAACCGGATCGGTGACTGTGGAGGGCGAGCTGAGCCCTGTGCGTGAGTGGGGTCTGGTTGTGCAGTGTTCGTGGACCCTGGGAGGCTAGGGGCGCCCCGCTGGGCTGGGAAAGGATAAGGAGTGCAGGGGCAGGAGTCTGGGGTTGGGGATGGACCCCCGCGGGGACTGCGGCGCTTCGCGAAAGCGAGCCAAGCGCCTGTCCACCCTCGGTCCTGCAGGGCCGCCGCCACAATGGGCCGCGAGTTTGGGAATCTGACGCGGATGCGGCATGTGATCAGCTACAGCTTGTCACCGTTCGAGCAGCGCGCCTATCCGCACGTCTTCACTAAAGGAATCCCCAATGTTCTGCGCCGCATTCGGGAGTCTTTCTTTCGCGTGGTGCCGCGTGAGTGCCTTGGGCCCGCGGGAGCGGGAGGCTGGACCCCAGCAGCAGCAGCAGTCACTGCGCCTCCCCTCTGAGCGCTGGCGGCCGGGCAGGCGCTCTGTAACTTGCCGTACACACCTTTCTCATTGAATATTCCTGACCGCCCTTAAGCTGGTCATATTATCCTCCCCATCTTACACGGGGAAAACTGAGCTACAGAACTGAAATGACTGGCCCAAGGTCACTCGGGTGATTCCAGCATGTTCCTCTGAGGTCACCTTTATTTAGTTCTTACCAGTGGTGAAATGCTTTGTGTTAAACGTGCAGCAGATAGTGATGATAGTTGCATGGCCTTGGATATGCTAAGAACTACTGAAGTGTATGCTTTAAAGAAGACAAGAGGACTGAGACCTTTTTTTTTCTTCTATATGTCTTATATGTGTGCTCTCTGTTTACTCTCTTAATTTTTAAAGAGTTTGTAGTGTTTTATCTTATCTACACATGGGGGACTGAAGAGTTCGAGAGATCCAAGAGGAAGAATCCAGCTGCCTATGAAAATGACAAATGAGCAACGCATCCGGATGACGGTTCCCTGTCTCTGAAAGACCTTTCTCTGGAAGAGGAGTCTGCATTGTAGTGTCTCAAAGACACAATAAACTTCCTATGGTCTGCACTGTTGTGATATTACATTTTTGTGAGTAGAATCCTGTGTGACCACTAATATTCAAGTTCATGAAGCGCCCCTCCTCAGCATGAGTCTTGAAGTTTTGCCTGGTCTCGGGTTTTGGTGAAAGAGCAGGGCTCCCCCTTTGTTCCATTATCTACAAGAAAGTAGCTGCAGGTACTCCTGCATCTAACCATTTGTGGGTGACATGGGCTATGGCGAGTGCTGGTTCTTGGCCCTCTGCTCCCATAGCAACAATAAAGTCTACTAACTATATTGTAATTAGTATGTGTCAGGGACGCTTTTATTTTTTATTTTTTGAGATGGAGTCTTGCTCTCTCACCCAGGCTGGAGTGCAGTGGTGTGATCTCGGCTCACTGCCATCTGTGCCTCCTGGGTTCAAACGATTCTCCTGTCTCAGCCTCCGAGTAGCTGGGATTACAGGTGCAGGACACCACACCTGGCTAATTTTTTGTATTTTTAGTAGAGACAGGTTTCACCATGTTGGCCAGGCTGGTCTGGAACTCCTGACCTCAGATGATCTGTGCGCCTCAGCCTCCCAAAGTGCTGGGATTACAGGCGTAAGCCATGGTGCTCTGGGCCTCAAATACTCTTCTTAGCTACACAAATGAACTGTTAAACCTCACAAGCACCTTTAACGTATCCTCATTTGGCAGATGAGGAAATGGGCACAGAGAGATTAAGTAATTTGCCAGAAATTATACAGCAGTGAATGGTGGAGTCTTGCACTAAAGTGATGCTCTTAAAACTATGCTCTATTGCAGGGGTGTCCAATCTTTTAGCTTCCCTGGGCCACACATAAAATACGCTAACATTACAATAGCTGATAAGCTTTAAAAAATGGCAAAAAAAACCCTCAGCGTTTTAGAAAGTTTACAAATTTTTGTTGGGTCGGATTCAAAGCCATCCTGGGCTGCTTGCTGCCCAGGACTGCGGTTGGACAAGCTTGCTCTACTGCCTTTCCTCCTAAGGCAGGCCTTAGCCTGAGGGGATATCAGCTATAAAACGGATGAGGTGATCTCTTAGCCTCCACAGCAGTTTTCTGTTTCTGTGCCAGGAGGCCAACAATGTTTTCAACCATATGTGGTTCATAAAGCCTCAAAGATTTACTCTGGCCCTTTATGAATAAAGTTTACCCCTGATCTAAAGCCTTTAAATTATCTTTTTGGTATTAAAGATACCATTTTCCCTTCGCCCACCGAGAGATGGTGGGGGTAGGTGTGGTTGGCAGTTTTATGCCTCTAGTTCCTTAGAGAGGCTTCTCTCTAAGCTTCGGGACATGGATCTCACCTGTGGTAGCAGGTATGTGGAATATGATGAGTTGTCATAGCTCAGTCAGTACAGTATATGCTATGGGATCTGAGATCCGTTTTTAGAAACTCTTCTAAGGACTCTTCCTGCTAGCAGCAACTTTGATTCTGGGTCAGACTGTGTTTTTTTTTTTTTTTTTTTGAGATGGGAGTCTTGCTCTGTCACCAGGCTGGAGTTTAGTGGCGCAATCTCAGCTTACTGCAACCTCCGCTTCCCGGGCTCAAGTGATTCTCCTGCCTCAGCCTCCCAAATAGCTGGGACTACAGGCGCATACCAACACACCCAGCTAATTTTTGTATTTTTATTTTTTTTTTTAGTAGAGACGGAGTTTCACCATGTTGGCCAGGATGGTCTTGATCTCTTGACCTCGTGATCCACCTGCCTCGACCTCCCAAAGTGCTGGGATTACAGGTGTGAGCCACCGTGCCTGGCCAGACTGTATCTTTATTATCCTAATTACTGCTATTGCCTTTTAAGAATCAAAAGTTAAGATACTTCAAAACATGGCCGGATACAGTGGCTCACACCTGTAATCCCAGCACTTTGGGAGGCTGAAGTGGATGGATCACTTGAGGTCAGGAGTTTGAGACCAGCCTGGCCAACATGGTGAAACCCTGTCTCTACTAAAAATATAAAAATTAGCTGAGTGTGGTGGCACACGCCTATAATCCCAGCTACTCAGGAGGCTGAGGCAGAAACGCTTGAACCTGGGAGGTGGAGGTTGCAGTGAGCCAAGATTGTGCCACTGCACTCCAGCCTGGGTGACAGAGCGAGACTTCAAAACAAAACCTAAAAGATAAACTACATTGTGAGGCAGGATACGGGGAAAAGGCTGAGTCTTACAGTCTTGGGCTCGTCCTCTTAGCCCGTCACTTCCTCATTATGTGATATAGGCAAGAAACCTACTTTCATGAGCCTTAAGCTTCTCACCCATAAAATAGAAATATTATAAAGTTCTTGGGTTGTGGTGATGGTGAAATGAGTGACAAGTGTCTGGCAAGATGGTACGGGCTTAACACAGGGCAACTAACTGAGGAACTCTTCTACCTCACCCCCAAAAGACAGTCCAATTTTCCCATTTGCCTCTTTGTCCAGATTTATTCCCAGGTCTTGCAACATATTTGGGTCATAGACTTGAGAATGATGAAAACTGTGGACCCATCCTTACCTTGCATAGCTTCAAAGAGTTCACAGCCCAGAGGAGGACCACTGCTTTGAGAGGCCGTTAATGTCTTTCTCCCTCTGGTGTTTGCCCCAACCCGCCGAAGTAGACGGCCACCCTCTCCCATCTTGCTCACCTTGTTCTACACTTAGACTATTTCTCCCTGGTTCTTTGACTCCTTTGGAGAGACCAGCTCAAAAGATCCAAATCCCTTTTCTCAGCCCAAACCAGGCACCAAGCCTATTCTTTTTATTCCAGGAGTGCTCTACTGAGATGACTCTGCCGTAAGCCCTGTGATGTGTGGAGCTTCTGCTTTGGATGAAATTAGTCTGCTTTAAGCCTGTGTCTCATCAAAGGGCTTCCCTCTCTAAGCTTGGGGAAATGGATCTCACCTGTGTGGCAGGAGTGCTGAGGTGGTGGGTGTGTGGAATGTGGTGAGTTTTAGTAGTTCAGTGCTCCTATACATGACCTGGGATCATTTTAGGGGACATTTGCAGAAATCCTCAGAGGAGAACCTGAGTAAAACCTTTGAAGGAAAGACAGCTGCTGTGGGCTTCAGTGCTGGTAACCCATCTGGAGCCTCCAGTCCTGGGTATGGATCCCTTACCTGCTACTCTGGCACAACCATTTGCTCCATTTGACCTTTCTTTTTCCAAATGCTCCTGCCCCCACAAGCGTTTTTATCTATGGGCTGCAGAGTCTGATGAAAGGAATGCCCTTGCTCTTTTAGTTTGCAGGCAGTCCTCAAAATGCAGGCCTAAGGTAGGCCCAAAAGTCTATGCCAGTTCCAGCTAGCAAAAAAGCAAATACACCTTGACCTTTTGTTGAAATTTTACCTGGTAAAGTTTTTCCATTTCAGAGTCTTTCATCTTTTATTAGGCACCTCCTGCTTAGGGACAGCAAAAAGTTTCCAATTACTGCCAACTCCTAGTGATCGACCTGGAATGTGTTTCAAACAGCTGCTCATGTAGCTATACCCTCTTTCTCCCATTTCATCCTAAGCATTTGCCTCAGAAGCATAAAATCTCTTGAGAGTTGTATCCAGAGTTACCAAGCTCTCAGCTATCAAATCTGCTTCAGTCTCATTTTCTTCTTGTAAATTAGTCATTTGAACCCCCAAACTGACAGAATAGGAGACTAAAGCCCAAAAAGGGGAAGGGCTGGCCTATGGGCAGTTGCACTCTGTAGACCCCAGGCTACTGCTTACCAGCCAAGCATTCTACCTTCTTACGGCTGCAACTGTTAAAGGCTACTTAGGCCTTTCTATTGGATGAAGGAGCATGCAGTTACGTGTATATTCACTGAGCAAAATACTTGATTGTAGAATCCATGAAATTTTTTTTTTTTTAATTTCAAGAAGAGGCCTTCACAGTCTCTCAAGTATGGGATGGCTGTGGACAAATACTGCCAATTCAGCTAACTGCTGCCTGGATGTTGCTTTGAGTTTGATTTTTGCTCCATACTTAACTAAAACAACTAGCATTCACGTAGACATGTTAAAATACTTTCCCCTTCCCCAACAGTGGTTCCTTCCACAGACAGTGACTAATGGTTTTTTCTTTTGGGGAGAGGGTGGCATACAACATAGAGGCTTGAACCAAAGGCCTCTGCAATGTTGTCACACTCATGAGGATGAATGGTCCTTTCCGCCTACACACAGAGGGGCAAGGGCTTCAAGCTCTTTCTTTCCTTGACTGTGTTATCAGCTTTACAAATTAACACCATGCTAGTTTGATCCTGCTAGAAGTACAGGAAGGCAGAAATGGAGGATTAGGAGAATTACTCATCTTTTGGATGAACAGTTTCCAAATCCCATTTGGCACATCACTCTAGACTGGTAAAGGGGAGGCTGACACTGAGGCCACAGACCCAACTGGCTCTAGGACATCACGTTGTTCAGTCCTTTGCTTATCTAATCATTTGTGTTCTTACCCAGTGCTCACTAGGTCACCCACATAGCCACTTCCCCTCCCAGCAAAAGTTCCCAGTTTAGGCACCTGTCTGGGATCATCCAGTATCCAAGCTTAGGGGTGAAGGGAGGGAGCAGAGAACTAGTCTCAACTGGTTCGTTGGTATATAGGTCTCTTCTCAATGTTCCTAAAGTGCATGCAGTGGCATCCCCCTCAAGGCCTGGCTCCATGATTCTGAGAGGACTAGAATCAGGACAGTCAGATCTGTGGTCACATCCTGCCCAATTCCAGCTCTGAGGTCCATCAAACCATCTGCTTCTCCCTTGGCAAGAAGCTCCCTCTGTCTGACTGGCAGCAGGGTCAGTGGCCATCCTTTTCTACCTTCAGCTGTTGTGCATCTCCTCCACGTTTTCCTGGAGTAAAGGAACAAGCAGGTTCTTATCCAAATACCCAACCTGTGAAGATGAGACGGCCCTTGGGAAGAGGTATTAGCCAAGTTTTCAGTATGATGCCCGGCAGAAAGAATTTGTTGTCTTTGTCTTAAGCTTATTATCCTCCCAGGTCATAGGAAGATCTAAAGTCCAATCAGTCTCCTTACTCAGAATTCACAGCTTTCCCCTCAAACTTAAAATGCCCATGTCATTTCACGAGTACCCATAACTACCCATCGTTTAGATACATGTCCTCCCTTGGTCTAGAAATCTGCAGCAGTTCCTACTTAAACTGATGGATGCTTTGGGCTTTGGAGGTATCTCATCCCTATGCCTGTTGCCCTGAAGCTGCCGGAAGGAAAGGCCCCACTCAACTACTGGGAAGAAAGCCCATAATTCAAGGCTTTTAATACAGTCACTACACAAGCTCTCCCTCTGATTTAGGAGATCTTGTTACCTCCTCATCTACATGTGCTTAAAAACAAAAAGAAACCTATAATTATTCAATTCACCTGTGGTCCAAATAAGTCTCACATCCAGCCATTCCCCTGAGAGGGCAGGAGGCCAGACTTTGAACTTTCCACAGCTGGGTCTTCATTTTACTAGTGAGATAAAGAGGTGCAGATTAGGGTGACAGTCCATCTAAGCAAGTGGACGATCTGGGGAACTGTAGGCCTTGCTGAAGCATCCTCCCACAGAAAGGAGATAAGGGCCTTATCCAATTGGCTGTACACAATAGATCAGTGCTTCTTTCCTAGACAAGGCTGAAAGGGGCCAACATTATTTCTGAAGACTTCATTATTGGAATTCTATGGGAGTGATCTCACTGAGCTATTTTGGAATAGAAATGTGGCTAGTTGCCTGACCTCCCTCAATGGTTTCACGTGGCTTTCAAAGGGAAGGAAGGGCAGTGCTGACTTTTGGTAAAATGGGCGAAAGGGTCCATGCCAGCAACACAATCACTCAAAGTCCAGATGAGGGATCAGTAAATACAACGTGCCTGAAAGGTGGCCCTTGAGCACATTCCTCCGGTAGACATTAACTTATTAAATTGATTCTGATTACAAATATAAACTTTGCCCCCATCTCACCCAGTAACAATGCAAGAGTTGATGTCAGTCTATAAAAGGAAGTAGGAACTGTCCCTGGCTTTCAGGCTCCAACATCCTCCCCCTGTCAAGATGTGGCACCTCAAACTTTGTGCAGTCCTCATGATCTTCCTGTTGCTGTTGGGCCAGGTAAGGAGGGAAGGATACTTATGTGTGTGTGTGGAGTGTGGAGATGATAGTGGTGGTGGAACTTGAAAGCTAGATTCAGTCCTGAGGAATGGTTCCTCTGTTCTGAGTCTACAGCATCTGCGGAATGGAATGATCACTCTTCCAAGGTGTGCAGCAGGGTGTCAACACTTTCATATCTGAATGTCTTTGCCCTTACAGATAGATGGCTCCCCAATACCAGAAGTGAGTTCGGCAAAGAGAAGGCCACGGAGAATGACCCCATTTTGGAGAGGGGTTTCCCTCAGGCCTATTGGAGCCTCCTGCCGGGATGATTCTGAGTGTATCACAAGGCTATGCAGGTACTCCCTGAACCTGGGAGCAGGGTTGGGCCAGAGAGCCCTGGGAAGCTGGGCAGAGGAGTGACAAGGGGACACATGAACCTAAGAATAAAGCTGGGATGGAGGAGTTCTAGACTGAGACTGGGAGCTCCATGGAAAATCCCTTAGGAGTTAGGAGCCAAGAACAGCTCTATGTGGGTACCATGAAAGAGTGGTGCCTTTCCATTCTTCAGTCTTTCCTGAGACTGGACAGATCAAGCAAAGAGGAAGGAAATGCAGCATAGGTGGCCCTGGTCATTCCTAGACCCAGTCTTAAAAAACTACCCTTTCTTTTCCCCTAGAAAAAGACGCTGTTCCTTAAGTGTGGCCCAGGAATGATGTACATACCAGGGAAAGAAAGGACAGCAGTCACCTCCGACAATGCTCCGTTCTATGGAATATTGATTAACTGCATTTTGGCTGGAGACACCCAAGTGAAGCAATCTTGTATTTTTAATATTTAAAGGCAGATGTACGCTTTAAATTGGTCTCCATTTCTTCTTAGAATGTTGATATATGGATAAGCATAACTAAACTTGTCAATTTAGAGTTTATTTTTCTATGGATACTATTAAATGTCTCAAATTGAAATTTTAGCAGTCTGGAATTCAAGCTTTTGAGGGAAAGAAGGATTCATTTTGTATACTAAAGAAAAAAACAGCATTGCCCAATAATGTGTTAACTTCTCAATCTGGAAAGTGTAGTGAGAGCTACATAATCAATAGCTACGTAATCAACTTCAGCAAGTTCCTAAGCTGTGGCCCTGGATCCCTTCACTCCATACTCTTCAGGGAGGTGTCAAAGGTGGTCAAGCTTGGGAGGCTGAGGCAGGAGAATCACTTGAACCTGGGAGGTGGAGGTTGCAGTGAGCCAAGATCATGCCACTGCACCCCAGCCTGGGTGACATAGAGAGACTCTGTCTCAAAAAAAAAAAAAAAAAAAAAAGATGGTCAAGCACTTGCCATCTAATGAAGCACCCAGGTTTGTCTATGGCTGTCTGAAGATAAGGCAGAACAGAGAGAAAAATCTAGTTTAATAAAGCAATGAAAGCCCAAGCCACCAAAAGCACCAAAAGAGATTTAAGATTTCTGTTGGGACAAGGTGAATTTTGACATATGCACAAGGACCCATGGCCAGCAAGTTCAGAATTTCTGTAATCAGAAAATGAGACCTCAGCTGGTGGGAACAGACTTTTAAAGAGTAGTAACGGACCTTAAGACACAAAACAGGAATTGCATGAAAAGGGCTCAGAGTTGAAGAAATATAAAGAGTACAGTGTTCAGTAACTTTAATACAGAAAATCTATTTGATATTTATTAAACTTAGTTTCTCCAACTATGGTTTGGCATTGTACAAAGCATCTTAATGACACAGTAGAGTTAAAAAGATCTTTACAAATTGAAATGTGATACCCTTGTCTCCAAATATTTTAATTGCCATAAATTTGTTTAAAAATACACATTAAACGCATGTTTGACACTCTAAACTTTCTATACTCTCAATACCACAAAATACATATAATATACTATACAGATGTGGAAAAATCTAGTTAGTATATAATACTTTGCTCACCATTAACAGCTTTATCGTGTGAAATGCACATACTGACTTAGAAATCCTAGCTTTTGAGCCCCAAAGTACCTCTGAAATTGTAATGTATTGCAACAAATAAAAATCACAGTATATAATTGAAATTCTGGTTGAAAATGTCAGATGCCTAAATATTTTGGATAAAAGAAATGTAAAACAAAGATTTGGTTCATGTACAAAACAAAGGCATCCTTATCAGTCACTAACAGTACCTTTCTGCAAAATCAACAGGCTTTTAATTTATCAGTGACATTATCTCCCCTCCAAAACCCTCCCCAAATATCAAACAATTATATACCAAATAATTTTAATTTCAAATAAAAGGATTTTCAATAAATATATAAGCATTTCCATCCTCCATATACAAAATTTCTTAAAACCATTCAAAACGGAGGCTAGATAGAAATTTTCATAACTGTGCTTACCAACCCCACAACTGGCCCTTAAAGGTGGTGCCTTTTCAGGCAATGTCAACTGGCCAGTTCTGTTGGTGAGCCCCCTACCCCCACCCCACCCATCCCAGTACTGTTGAATGCTCATGTTAATGATTTGCCAGGTGTGTGCATAAAGTTGTAAAATGGGGACACTTCTGGAACACCAACAACAAACTCAACAATATGGATGATCATGGCATTGATTTGAAAGGCAGCATTTCCAAATTGATATTTTCCAGAGAGGAACATAGCAGGTAGAAAATTCCAATGGTTAAAAGCTGAAAAGAAGTCCCACATGGAAGCAGTAAGAGGTCAAAACTGAGTATCACTAGAGTTTCTGGGTGGGAGCTTTTTTATTTTTAAGAATGGCAAGTTATGTTTAGCTGAGTAACAGTGGCAAGGAGAGGTCAATGCTGACATTCCTGAAAGTCAACTTCTTTACATGATGACTACTTAGGCTGCTATTTTAGGATACTTAAAGATCTCTAAGACTTGGATTAGACTTAACTTGAATACCTTATTCTGTGACCAAATTACATGAAAAGAAGATACATAGTTATTATTTCCATTCCCTTTTCTGGAGACAGCAAGTTCTTTCTAATTAACCATAGGGTTCATGTGAATAGGAGCTTTGTAAGACCAGCATCCACTTTACAGACTATTAATAATTTACTTTTTGTCACTTGCTAACTTGGTTTTGGGGTCTAGAGGTCTAAAGTGAATTTCTCCATTAGCGAGTATCTGAAAGACATGCTCACAAACATGAAAAATTTGGCCTCTTCTCACTACATATTCCAAGGTATTCAATAATTATCTCTTCTATTAGTTTTACTGAATAGCAACCTTAGATGTACAGTATTATTACTGGAAAAAAAGCCTGCCTCTTCAATACATTAATGCATAAAGCTGAAATGAAATTTATGTTCCATGTATTAGGGGATATACAGGTATGATAGGTGTCTATATGGGTTTGAAATGCTCTGTCTCCCCAAGTTACTTAGGTTTTTTAAAAAACATCATCACAAGCTGCCTAACAGTCATCCCCAGTAGATGTTCCTGGGACCCAGACACAAACTCCTATAAATCAAAATATATAATGAGGCCATACTGTTCAATTAGCAACTGGAAAATTAAAATCTTTCCCACCCTGTAAGAGCCCTACGACACTACAGAAGGGCTCAAATACATTTTAAAAGTTAATTTACTACAAATCATAGTAATTAAGCTTTAACAATCTAAAGGAATACACATTGCACCCTTGAACATTAATATTCAAGGTGTCAACAAGAAAGTGTCTTAGATCAATTTAATAAATAATGTGGAAATAGTTGCACTAAGCTAAAATACTAAACACACACATATTTGACAAACTAATTTCATGTTTTCATACATACATACATATATATAAAGTGTGTATGTGTACAGAATTTTAAGATCCAAAGTTGCATACCCTTACACCTAGAAGAGTGCACAGTGTACTCCTCCTCTATATAACTAGGCATCACTGACTGGAACAATCACTGGCTGCTCTGAAACTCCAGAGTACTGGCCTCTAGAGCCAGAACTTTCATTTATAACAAGTGCCTTTTGTAGGCTCTTGCTTCAGAATGCAAGCTCATTCATGAAGAAATGTACCAACGTTTCTGTCATTAAATACAAAATTATGCTGTCTGATCTGTCTGATTAAACCTTTAATGAAAAGAAACGAACAACAATTTTTTAAAAACTAGTGAATCTAATAAAGCCAAGTGTGTCATTCAAAGTGCAGCCCAAGTGCCTATGAATCCGCCACTGCCAGAGCTCCCAGAAACACAGGTGTCTGTGGGCTCACGCACACTGCTCTCAATTGTTTTTACACTAGAGAATTAAATAAATGGTGGTCAACCTTCTCCACTCTTCGGCAGCTGTAGCTGTAAGTTTATCTGAAGTACTCACTGCATATAAAGTCACTTCTTGGCTACTTGCCCAGAAAAAGGTGGCACTGAGGCAAGGAATGGGCTGGATGCTCTCTAGCCAGACTGGAGCCTGGGCTGAGCTGTGGAAACTCCCCTGAAGGGGAATGCTTCCCACAGCCCAGCCCAGTCTGGCCCAGGCAAGACTACTGTGACAACTGCAACCACTGCAATTGGTTCGTTGGTTGCTTGTAAAGAGTCTAATGGTGTATAGGCTGCTGCCTCCTGGCATACAAGTGTAGTCATAAAGAGCAGTCAACAGAGTAACTGTTTAAAATAGTTGTTGTTTCTATAATTAACCATATACTAAGTACAAGTCTCAGACTAAGTTTTTAGCCACTTGTCAAATTCAGTTTTAAATGCTTAGAAAACACTGAGGACACCTATTGAGGAGGGAGGGGGGAAGGTCACCTGTAAAGGAGTCCAAAGTATGTGCTGGAGCAGATGATGACAAAGACAGAACATCTAAGAAGATAGACATGGAGGAAAGGGAGTAGTATTTCCACACACTATGACATTGAAAATTCAATCATTTATGATAGGATTTTGATCCATTGCCCATTACTACCTTGTGGGAAAAATCCTCCACAATGAAAAGGTTGAAAAATTCATTCTCCAAAAATTGACACAGTTTTAAAGAGAAAATATTAGAGCAGCACCATAAACCATGCAGGAAACTCTGCTTTAACAAAATATCAGTGTGACCCCAAAAATGCTCCTGCTGCCTTTCAGGACATACAAGAGACTAGAACACAAGAACTCAGAGGTATCCCACTGGCTGTTGTTGCTGAAAGTCTGAAAGCCCAGAGGATACTTTTTCCATTTCTAAGACATCACTGCAAATTAAGGAATCCAAGTCAGAAAAATCAGAGAAGGACAAGACATAACATGTATTTGATTAACAACCATTATTTCTTACTAAATAACTATCATGATCATTGAGAAGTTGTCCTCTTATGGAAAACTGTTCCTAGAACACACTAAGATTAAGTTAGAAAGATATCAGAGGCAATTTCTCCAAGAGAAACAGGTTAAATTCAACATAATTTGTACATCTCAATCTTCAATGACATCTAAAAACAATCTGAGGTACAAAACAGTTAAGAAGCTCTATAAATATGAGGCCACAGGGACAATGAAAGTTCACTAACTTCAGAAATAAGTGTAAAAAAGTCTCAAACACAAAGGATTCACTGCACTACTGGACTTGAAACTTTTCTATCCCTTCTTTCCCCTTTCCTATTTCAAGCCTTAGCAATCATCTACAAATAGTAGGATAATCTTTTTTTCTGACTGAATGGATTCATTTTTGGAATGGGGAGAGGGACAAACTATTTTTCAAAGCAGCATTACCCAACTGGTTAGACTAAGTCATGTACCAAAGCAATAGCTTTTCTGAAAGAACTAATCTTTATATGACCCTAAAGAAAGATTTAAAATGAAAGAATTGAACATTATTATTGTAGAAGACCAATCATGTATGGACGATCTGGTCCTAGTGTAAAACTTCATTTGTAAACAATCCATAGAGTCTTCATTTAAAGGTAAGATTTAAGGCACACCAAACATGATAGGGGCATGAAAAATAAAGTATAGAGGGTACATTTCTTATCTTAGACTTCTATATGCACCTTGTAGCAAAAGGTACTTTGATATACAACTCTTACAGAGCCAGCTTCTTTAAGCTCTACCCCTGGCTCCACTCCCTGTCCCAAGAGCTCACACTGAATCAAGTTAGGTACACTTTTCTAGTGTGAAATTTTCTGATTCCATCAGAAACATACATCATTGAAGAGGGCCTTCATAATGCAAAAGGAGTAAACAGAAGATAGGTTTAAAAAGGAGAAATTCATCATCTCTACATCAGGCATTAGAACTGTAAGCTGTATAGCAAAAGCACACACCGAAGCTCCAGCCTATTTCTGTATCAGTCATTGCATGCTCATATCAGAGCATCACAATCCAGTATGAGGGGGAAAAATCTGAAAAATAACTCTAACTATCAAAGATAATCAATTAAAGACACACAGGCGGCAATCCTCAGGAGTTGGATCATCCTTTTTTCCACAGTAACTTATTCTGTTTCGATTAAGTGTCAAATGATTAGCAACAAAAAATAACATATGGTTTTAATAAAATCCGTAACGTTCAGGATTGTCCTTTTATGAAACCCTTCAACATGAAATGCTTCTTCTAGAAAGTTTGTCCTCCCTCTTTTGTAATGCATTAAATGCAAGCTATAGTCACTGTGTGATTGCTGTAGTGTTATTAACACACATTCACAGTTTTTGAAATAATGCATACCAAATCAGACACATTTCATAGTACATACATGTAGAATGCCATTTTCTCATATTTAAGTGATTTTTTCATGTGTAGAAGAATATCCTTAATACTAACTGTAAATTCCACAATAATAAAATTGGAGTTAAGATTTCAAATATCAGGTCAGGTAGCAGGTGTAGAAAGAATATGTCCTTATTTTAGACGAACCAATTCTTACTCTTAGAACAGCTACCACAAAAAGATATTAGGTAATAAAGCTCCCAAGGTATATAAATAAAAATGTCTACATTAAATTTATGCTAAATATTCAACAGAGTAAATTTATAGGCAGAAATAACTAAGTCTTAAACTAGCCCCAATCTGGGAACTTAAAAAAATTAAAATAAATAAAATTTCAATTCATTAGTTATGAATTGCAACTGGAATTTCAATCTTATCATAGCTCACGGAAACCATCTTATCAATGTGCTGCAGATTTAAAAGCATTTAAATAATCTTTCACATTGGAAATATTAAAGGGCCAACTGACATGATCGCTTTGGATTATCAAAAACAACAACACATGAACCAACGAGGAGAAAACTATTCCTCATTCTTAGTGTCGACTAGGTGGTATGTTATGGCAGTTTTCCTTCGTGATGTGACACAGTGTTGTGGAGAAAATCAGAGGCAACGAGAATGTGTTCAGTTCAAGATATCAACTTGGCATCCTGGCGAAGCCAGTGCAGTCCCTGCCGGGTATAACGAACTAGATCTGTCATGATGCTTGCATTAAAGATGAGAGGGCCCATTACTTTATCCAGTTCAGCAAAGAATTCTAGAAAACCAAAAACATTCATTAAATGATATATACTCTTTTGAATCACTGCTTTAAAACTATGAGTAGAGATTATAAAACAGCATTCATAAACTCAAAAAATACCTCCTCCTACACTAAAATGCTTACTGTCCATGTTTTAGAGCAAATCATTCCATAGTCTCTCAAGTTACATTTGTTCCCTAAGTCATGCAACATTTTAAACAGAATGTATGGTCAGAAATTAAGTGTTATATATAAGCAGGATTCCATGAATGGAAATGATAAATTGCTATTATGCAGTAGATATTATTAAAATGAAGATTTAATGCCATAATGTGCTACTGATTACTCAAAACATTTTGTGCATTGCTTTTGTATAAGAAGCAAGTGACACAAAAAGGAGGACATTCTTTGCCTGTTTCCTGTAACAGCCTCTGTGAGGTTAGACACTTAAGATTATATCAAACTTTCGGCTACCATCATATGCCATGAACCAACTGATAACTAAATCCCATGTTTTTATTTATTTTCATTTATTTTTAGACAGTCTCCCTGTCGCCCAGGCTGGAGTGCAGTGGCGCGATCTCGGTTCACTGCAACCCTGGTCTCCTGGGTTCAAGCGATTCTGCTGCCTCAGCCAAATATAAAATACAAAAAAGTTTTTTTTTTTTTTTTTTAGTAGAGATGGGGTTTCACCATGTTGGCCAGGCTGGTCTCGAACTCCTGACCTTGGGTGATCCACTCGCCTTGGCTTCCCGAAGTGCTGAGATTACAAGGTGTGAGCCACCACACCCGGCCACAAATTATGTTTTTATAAATACAGCTTTATGTTGAATGTTGGGATTCCTAGCCTGGGCAACATAATGAGACCTTATCTCTACAAAAAGTAGAAAAATTAGCCAGGTGTGGTGGCACACATCTGTAGTCCCAGCTACTCAGGAGGCTGAGGCACGAGGATCACTTGAGCCCAAGAGGTAGATGCTGCAGTGAACTGTGACTGTGCCACAGCCTGGGCAGCCTGGGTGACAGAGTAAAACCCTGTCTCAAAAAAAAAAAAAAAAAAGTTGGGATTCCACTTTTACCTTTCACCATTGCCTCTCTTTAGGGATAGGAATCTTTCATTTTCATCTGATTACCTGTTCACGCTGTAAGTATTTAAATGTACTCTGTGACAAAATGACACTTGATTGGCTAATGTAGTGTTTCTCTGTAAAGGATCTGCCTAAAGAGAAGCTGCATGCACATATTTGCTAATAACATCTACTAAATAAAATGGTGGTTATACAGTACTTTCCACTAAGGTCTTCAAAGACTTTATAATTCTCCATGTCCTTGGTTTGGGAAATAATAAACTTTTAAAGGGCAAAGCCTCAAACAACCTAATTTTAAAGAATGTTAAGAATTCTGGCCGGACGTGGTGGCTCACACCTGTAATCCCAGCACTTTGGGAGGCTGAGATGGGCAGATCACGAGGTCAGCAGTTCAAGACCAGCCTGGTTCACATGGTGAAACCCCATCTCTACTAAAAATACAAAAATTAGCCGGGCATGGTGGCGGGCACCTGTAATCCCAGCTACTCAGGAGGCTGAGCAGGAGAATCACTTGAAACCGGAAGGTGGAAGCTGCAGTGAGTCGAGATCGTGCCACTGTGCTCCAGCCTGGGCAACAAAAGCGAAACTCCATCTCAAAAAAAAAAAAAAAAAAATTTCTATTCATTCCCTAGTCTCCTTTATTTCACAGGTTTCTTCCAATATACCTAAAAATCCAGTATGAGCATGCTTTCTTATACATTAACCTTCTCAGATGTACAGATGTTTGGATGTAATCTTATGCCTATTGCCAAATTTACTGTTAACCATCCTAGGGTAGGACATATATTTTATTACTTTTATGGTATGAGCTGCATTTAATGTGCCAGAATATAAGCACATTTGTCTTAGTCCAAGAACTATTTTCAGTTTAGTTTTGTCACCAGAATCATGAGAGGTATCTTTTGACCAAATTCAGTTTCATTTATTGTTTAACTGCTAAGCAATGAAGACTATTAACAAACAGATTATCATTAACTCTAAATAATAAAACTAAATACAGACTAAACGCTTACTTAACTAAATTATAAAAGTTCCTTCTAACAATTCCATCCCTTGAAGTTTATCCAGAAACCTACCTACCTTTTTGCTCTTTGGAAAGCTGTTCAGCTTGGTCCCAAATTTCGGTGGCATAGAGGAAGTTGGATGTGACCTGAACATAGCTGGCTGCCATCTGGTGGATCTTCTGTGGAATGGTCACTGAAGAACCACTTGCAGAAGCACTACTGGCCCCAGATGAATAATTTCCTGAATTGCCTGGTGACAGCTTTGGAGAAACAGGGGAAGGCATCCCCACAGCTTTGCTACACAACAGAAATAGGAAGCTTGTTCATATGGACATGGTAAGCATTATAAAATCAAGTACTACTAGCTCTTTCTACATGAAAGCATTTAAAATGTAAAGATTCTCTTAAACTAGATGGGTTTTCAGAGAGCTACAATTTCTTCTAAATAAGTACTATAATCTTGTAATTCATAATCTTGTTATCTTAGAATCTGTAGCCTTTGTTTTAATGAATAACAACAAAACAAGAGATGGACAATAACTGAAGAAGTCATGTACCTTGTTACAGTTCAAAGACTTAAAAGCCAGATCCCCTCACTCTCTGCTCAACACTTTCCATCTGTTCGGGCATATAATTACATATTTTTTATACTGTTTTGTAGAAAGTTTGGTGGAATTCACATTTAACCTAAAAAACTGTGGTAGAAGATGGGAACATCTTTTATTGAACTCCACAATTTCTGACACTTTCCTAGTTTAACCAAATTACTCAGAGGTAACAAAGAGGTACAGCTCTCTCAAGCAACTGTAATCACCCCAAGCTTCCTGCCAATTAAATATTTCTTAGAAAACATACATGTTGAAATCTGGCAGGTTCATTTCAGGAGTATTAAAATTTGTGAAATGTTCAAGACTATGATCACACACTAAAAGAAAGGAAAAATCAAAAGTTGGGGTAAAAATAAACTTGTGTATACACATATATACATATTTTGGAGACACTCATGCTCTGTCACCCAAGCTGGAGTGCAGTGGCATGACCTCGACTTACTGCAACCTCCACGCCTCCCTGGTTCCAATGATTCTCCTGCCTCAGCCTCCAGAGTAGCTAGGATTACAGGCGCGCACGACACCACACCCGGCTAATTTTTGTATTTTTAGCACAGATGGGGTTTCACCATGTTGGCCAGGCTGGTCTTGAACTCCTGACCTTGTGATCTGCCCACCTCGGCCTCTCAAAGTGCTGGGATTACAGGCGTGAGCTACCATGCCCGGCTTGTTTGTATTTTTATCTGCACTTTTAGCATTATAAACTTATGTAAGAAAATACACACAGGACAAAGAATGTCAATTCTTATAAACATAATAACTGAACAGATACAATTTAAAAGGTTCCATGGTGTTTTTTATCCTTTGGGAGATAGGTGGGATGAAAGTGACGTGGAGATGAAGGAGAAATCACAATCATGTCATTGTTACTAAATTCTGGCAGTGCCAAGATCTGACTAAAGATAAGCCTGCTGTGATAAGTCCAAGTAACTATGGAAATCAAACTGTGAAAAGGGTTGAGTGCTAGTAAAAACTCAGATTTCTTAACAGGTGAAACGTCTCATATCTAATCTTTATGATTATGTTCATTTATATTTTCAATTCCTAAAAAATACAGAGAAAAAATTATAACTTCTAAAAATATTTTATCAGAGATGGTTTTACTTATTTAAAAAGTAGTCATCTTTCCATTTTTGGAAATTGGACCATACTCATTTCACTTTTATTGCCACAATAATATTTTACATAATAAAATTTTACCTACCTTCCCAAGCCAGGCGATGGTGCTTGAGAATTATTATAAGAATTCTGTGGAAAAAGTAAAATGTACTTAACAACAACAAAAACCACCACTACTTTAAGAAGTTCTAAATATATTTAAAAGCTTTGGGCAAGAGCTCATCGTGAGCAGCTGTAAATATTTAAGACACCAAAATACGTGTGTGTGTGTGTGTGTGTGTGTGTGTAAAAGTACAAAAGAAATAAATTATTAGGTGAGAGCTGGGTGTTCTGGAAGACTTCACAGAAGAGGCAAGGAAATAATGAGTAACACATGGATAAAGGGAAGGGGGATACATCCCAGCTACTCCCAGCTACCTGGGAGTAGCTGCAGTGAGCCATGATCGTTTTTTTTAAAAAACTCCCTCTTAAAAAAGGGGTGGGTGGGTGGGTGGGTGGGGAGAGGGGAGAGATGAATCATACTATGCACAAAGGCTGCAGAAAAGACAGTGTATGTGCCCCATGCAGTTTGCCTAAAGCAGAGGTTTAGACAAGGAACAAGAGACCCCTTGGGGCCAGGGTAAGGAGTTTAAACTTGACCCAGCAGGCAACTACTGAAGGGTTCCAAGTCATAATCAGAGGCAGATTTTAGGAGGATTTATGTGGTACTGGCCTGAAGAAACATAGGAAAATCTTTTAGGAAACTAAGATAGTAGTCAGAAAAGGATGGCATGAAAACAAAAGACTTTTTGTTTGTTTTTGAGACAGAGTCTCTCTCTCTGTCACCAGGCTGGAGTGCAGTGGCATGACCTCGGCTCACTGCAGCCTCCGCCTCCAGGGTTCAAGCGATTCTCCTGCCTCAGCCTCCCAAGTAGCTGGGACTACAGGCGTGTGGCACCATGCCTGGCTAATTTTTGTATATTTAGTAGAGATGGGGTTTCACCATGTTGGCCAAGATGGTCTCAATCTCTTGACCTCGTGATCTGCCTGCCTCAGCCTCCCAAAGTGCTGAGATTACAGGCGTGAGCCACCGAACCCGGCCGAAAACAAAAGATCATTTAAAAAGTAAATACAGCCGCTGCACATGGCTATAAGAGTTCTACAATCAGATACACGTAGATTAAAAAACTCAAAGAAACCTCAAACTTATTTGAAAAGTCCCAAACAGTAGCTCCTCCCCTGGTGTGTTTTGCATAAACATGAGGGCAGTTCTCAGATGGGGATGGGAGACTACAAATTCTGTCTCCTAGGAAACGGACCTTGTGCTTTTGCATACTTACCTTCAGGTGCTCTGTCAGTGTCTTTGAGTACTTCAGAGCATTTTCCTTCTTCAGTTTGAACAGCCTCAGGTACAGCAAAGACTCGCATCGCAGGCTAGCCAATGGAAAAGGGCGGCTTATTTACCAGGACAGCAAACTCTGGCCAGATTTGCACAGACAGCCTTTGCATTGTGCAGGAGACTGGCTCATGTGACCATGGCATAGGCCACAACATTAACCGTTAGGCAAAACCAACAGATGTGTTCTTATTGTGGTACACATCCTAGGGAGGGGAAGATGGCTAAGAAGCCTAGGACTAGGCTCTCATTATTTGCTGACATTCCAAAATCCAAACCTTATCCATAGGACACCAACATGTCATGAAGTTTTAAAAATTACGAAGGGGTAGAATTTCCAAACCAAAGTGTAAACAATCTAAAATTAAAAAACAAAAACTAGGAAACTGAACTGCAAATATTACAAACCACAACATAGCTTATAAAGACCGTGCAGGATCATCCCTGCCTATCTCTCCAGTCACACCCACTTCTCGCTGGTCTTCTTTTAGTTCCTTGAAAGTTTCCCATTCCTTTCCACCATCCAGCCCTTGTACATGTTGTTCCCTCTAAATAGAGTAGGTCTCCCTACCCTCTACTGTTACAGTTACATATACTTTTCTTTCAAAATACTTAATTCATATGGACTTGTATGATGATTTGATTTCTGTCTTCTCACACTAGACTATACTCCATGATGAATAGGGCTGTGTTAGTCTTCTTCTTAGCTGCATTCCCAGTGTTAAACACAGTGCCAGGTAAAGTAAAGACCTGTAACAATCGAACTGATAATATCTCACTGGGATGAAGCAAACAAGTCACATCCTTTATTCTGAACAAACTAGATGCTTGCTCCCTAAGGAAAAGTATATGTGAATGGAGAGAGCGGGTACCAAATGAAGAGTGTGGAAAAGTGATTATTCAAGACCATGGAGGTTTCTACTATCAGTCTCACAAAGCCAAGGCTTTCATCAAGAGGGAAATGGATCAGAGACTGACAACAACTCAAACCTTTCAGTAGGAATTTTGAGTTACTTCCTGCTTGACCCATCAGGAACAGATTTAAGACAGGATTACAGAAGTCTGATTCAAGGAAAACATTCAGAAGAGCACACACAGCACTATTTATTATAGAACTTCCTGTATCTAGCAGAGGCTAGAACACAGAAAACTCACCAAAGTACTGTGAGTCGTTTATCTGCAGCTGTAGCATCTGGTGCCAAGTAATTCTTTAGCTTCATAGTGTATCTGTTGAGTTACAATAACAAACAAATGACAAACAGAATACTTCACCTTGATCTTATGATTTCACTTGTCCTCAAAACATTAGAATTTCAAACCTAAATAAAAGCAAAAATACTCATTGAAGTATCTACTTCTCCTTTATCCAAGGACATTAAAGGATTATACACCCTCTTCAGTTTACTATATATCAGCCTCTTCCTTGATGGACCAGAGAAATAATGTTATTGCCAATGATCTGCCAAGTTTTTCCACTTACTTGATGAGATCCACCGTCTCTGAATACATAGGGAATGGGGATTTGGATTCCTGAGCATTCTTCTCTAATGCATTCCCACATTCAATGAAAGATACCACAGCATCAAGATAGTATACAGCTTTCTCAAACCTATCAGACTGAAGAAAGGAGAATGCAAGTAATGAGTAATGATCTACTATGGCTACAAACATCAGAAGATTACTTAAGTTAATTTGATTAAATACGTAAGTGTAAGGAGAATATCTACATACCAATGCATCTGCATTGTGCTTTAGCTTTTTTGCTTCTTGTAAATAATGGTCTGCTGAATAATTTCTGCAAGACAAATTTTCATTATAAATAGAATAGTAAATATTTTCATAATACTAGTTCATTTCAGTATCTAGTATCCCTCAGTTTTTATGTCCTCAAGCAAAGAAAATGAGCTGTTACTAAGAATTTGTTTCAGTATTTTCTGACAAATGTTTATATCAGGTTAAAAGCATAAGTTGTTTTGACCAACTCATGGCAAACCTAATTAGGAAAACAGAAATCAAGCTCCCTAGTATCAAATACTAAGTTACTCAAGTTGATTGTAAGATTAAGCATAAATAAAATGTGAGTAGGAGAAATTACCTTTTATTAAAATAGAGGAAAAAACAATATTGCTCTTCCTCATTTAAGAAACCCTCCATTTTAACAGTGATATCAGCAGTAGTAAGATTCTTCTACTGGAAGGCAGATCATTCACATCCCTCATGGGAGTCATGGAGTTAAGCTAAAGGAGCCGTACTTGGACTAGTGGGTACTTTTCAAATTGAAACCTGAATATTCTGCAGATCATACGTAAGTATATATCCTTCTGATCAATGATAGATTTTTTTTTTTTTTGAGACGGAGTCTCGCTCTGTTGCCCAGGCGGGAGTACAGTGGCACAATCTCGGCTCACTGCAACCTCTGCCTCCCAGGTTCAAGCAGTTCTCCTGCCTCAGCCTCCTGAATAGCTGCGATTACAGGTGTGTACCACCACGCCCAGCTAATTTTTGTATTTTTAGTACAGACAGGGTTTCTCCATGTTGGTCAGGCTGGTCTCAAACTCCTGACCTCGTGATCTGCCTGCCTGGGCCTCCAAAAGAGCTGGGATTACAAGCGTGAGCCACCGCGCCCGGCCAATGATAGAAATGAAAATGAGTTTCTTATATGCTGACTGGAATCATTTCTTAAATACAGATACAAAAAATCATATTATCTCACCTGTCATCAAAGACAAGCTTTGTTCTCCGAGGCTTAGAAGAATCAAGAGTTGGTGCAGATGGAGGACAGTTAGAGGAGCTACTTGGAGCCTTTTCCTGACCAAAAAAATATATAACTACAATGAAAACCGTAAGGAGATTAAAAATGAAACTAATAGCATTTCTTCAGCCACTGGTAAAAAGGAAACAAAATTTCATTGCCTTTCATAATGAATTTCCTTGTTACAAAACTTTTATAAACTTCATAATGTAAACTTTAAAAAAAAAAAGGGTCCATTTTATATAACTGAAATATTCATTCTAATATTTATATAAGGGTCTACTATATGCCAGGCACTGGCCTAGGCAGTTGTTAAAACATAAGGAAGACAAAAGCCTAGTATGAAAATGGCAGCACTACTTACGGCAACATTTATTGGTAGTTACTGGTCAATGAAAACAGCAATAATATTAATAGCATCTAATATTTATTATGTGCTTACTACTTACCAGGCACTAAGTTAACTAAGTACTTAGCATTATTGTTAATCCTTTAACAAACCTATGAAATAAGTACTGCTATTAAGATAAAATGAAAAAGCAGTCTCAAGGAGGTTGAGTAACTTGCCTAAGTTCAAACAGGTTTTAAATGGCATTCTTGGAATTTGAGTTTCAAATTCAGAATTGCCAGACTTCAAAAGCCTAGTTACTTTCTTAAACTTTACTCTGCCTCTCATCCACATGTCTTTTTTTTATTTTAAGAGATGGGAGTCTTGCTATGTTGCCCAGGTTGATCTTAAACTCCTAGGCTCAAGTGATCCTCCCACCCCAGCCTCCTGAGTAGCCGGGACCATGGGCATGTACTACTGCACCTGGCTATATGTCTATTCTGCCTCCTATCAATATAGCCCTTTATGAAAGAGCTATGACTCTCTCTCAACTGCCTTCCATCCAGCCCTATCTTTAATAAAACGAATATACATTTTTCCATAATAAAACACCATAAACAAGTGGAATTTATTCCAGGAATGCATGGATGTTTCAACATTAGAAAACTCAATAATATATAATTTTACTTTACCTATTTACCCCATATAAAATTTTTTATATTTATATAAAAATATAAAATTTTTAAATATATAATTATACTTTGAAATGGCTTTCTGAATATTATGTTGTACTGTAACATTACTAGGATAGCTTTTCCTCTGTTTTATTTATTTATTTGTTTGAGAAAGGGTCTCACTCTGTCGCCTAGGTTGGAGTGCAGTGGTGCAATCATGGCTCACTGTGGCTTCAACCTCCTGGGCTCAAGCGATCCTCCAGCCAGCCTCCCAAAGTGTTGGAATTACAGGCCGTGAGCCACCATGCCTGGCCCCCTCTATGTTTTATAAATAGACCCATAAGGACCTACATTCAGATTTGCTTTTCAGAGGATTTCTGAAAATAAGTTTCCAAATATTTAAACACAGTTTTCTTATATAAAAACTATGTGCAATGTTGATTTTCCAGATCTAATTTTTTCTTTAGTTGATAGAATAAAAAATAGCATATTTCCTAACTAAATTACAGATTATTCTCTAATAAACTCAAATGTCACTGCCTAACTTGGAAATTGTCAAGACTAACAAATACTAACTTCAGTAACTGTTAAGTGCCAAGAGCTATTGAAATCAAAGTGGTAAGGCCCTATTCCATATTTTGTTGAAAACAACAGAGTACCAAATGACTACATTTGATCCAACAAATATTTCCTCATTACCCAGCAAGTTAAGCACCGGATAAAACACAAAATAAGACACAAATGCCTGCTTTCAAGAAGCTGACGAACTTCTTGAAGAAACTCCTTTCTTACGTGTGATAGAAGCATACACAGTGATTTTTACCTACGAGATAGCAGAATCCAAATGAGCAGGAGAGCTCACTTATTTAAAAGCAAATAAATAAATTAATTAATAAATTAATTAATTAAATTAAATAATAATTTAAAAAAGCAATAGCAGGTTTCAAGAAGCAAGCACAGAGGCCTCAAATCCTACAGTTAAAGGATGGGAAATGGAGAAAAACCATCAGCAGGCAGATGGAGAACTGGAGCAATAAAGCAGGCCAATATAAAAGTCAAGGTCCTAAGCACCTTGTGCTAACACTAAACTACTAAAGAAAGAGGTTGTTCAGCTAGAGAAAAAGCTTTCTGTGTATTTTAATTTGAGAAGTTCTTAATTAAAATAATCTCAATTTAAAAAATTTTAATTTTACCAGTTAATAAATATAATAGCTTTAAGGAGTCTTATTTTTCAACTCTCAAACCTTTGCTTACTAAATAATAGGTATTTTCTGATTTAAGTAAATTTGCTCCTGATCAGAACAGTTTAGAAAGCAAACAACCTGGTAAACAAATTGAGGTTGAGTGACTATTAAAGTACAGCCTTGAAAAAGCTCCTTTGATCCAAATCTCCAACTATAAACATGAAGAATACTCCCCTGCATTGTGAGTATCCTAGGAATAATAATTAGAAATAATTTCAGTGCTAACTTAGCTAAAGATTTCTTTTTCTATTTCATGAATCAAAGTCAAATGATTGCTTTGTCACTTTACGTAATATAACTTGTTTGTAAAGTATAATTCTGAGAAACTCAAAGCCTATTTCAAACAATATACAACAACTCAATCTTAGCAACTAGAACCACTTAGTTCTTATTTTAAAAGCTTCCATAACCAACTTTTCCAATGACTGGTTTCTATCTTTTTTTTTTTTTTTTAAATTTTAAAGTTCTTTTACAGACAGGGTCTCACCACATTGCCCAGGCTGGACTCAAATTCCTCAAATGATCCTTCCATCTTAGCCTCCCAAATAGCTGGGACTACAGGTATGAGCCACTGTACCCAAGGGTTTTTCTTTCAATATGTATGTGACCAGCTGACTTACCACCTTCACAGTCTTATATCACTGTATTCATTTATCAGGATTATTACATATAGAGGGTAAAAGACATAGGCCTATATATTTACTGAGATGTTACAATAATTTCAAAGCACAGTGTCACCCTGGAAAAGTCACATGGCAAGTTGAATGATTTTCAAAAGCCCCAGGCCCCCAACACTTTACCTTAACCTCCTTGGAGCTACTGGAAGTCTTCCCTTCGGTCTTCTTCTGCTTTGATGTGGAGGAACTGTTTTTGCTGCTGCCACTCGTCTCCTTGTTGCTGTTACTGCTTGACTTTAAGGAAGAAGACTGACTAATAGTCCTCTTCCGAGAGCCATGCTCTGTTTTTGGATCTTTTGAAGGAACAGGCCCAGCGGGAGAAGGCAACAAATCCTTTTCTTTTGCAGCACTCTGCTTAGATGACCTGCCAAACCAAACGAATGCCTTCATTTCTCCACACAGTAATACAGGGGTAATTGATTTTTCCATTTCTCTTTGTCTGCTTTCAAGACAAATCTGTTTTTCCCCATTTGATTACTAGGACACATGATTTCTATAAAACAAAATAAGACTGTAAATTCCATGAAGGTAGGCATCTTCTCTGTTTTTATTCCCGTGGTTGTAAATCCAGGGCCAAAAACTGACCTACCACTCAGTAGTACTCAATAAATATTGGCTGAATGATTGAACAAATTGATGAATGGTGAATGAAGAGATTACCACTTTTAAGTTGGCAACCAGTCTCTTGGAAATTACAGATAAGTTTGCCATCTAACCAGAAAGTGGCATAGCTTTACTTTAATTCTCCCCCCATACTCACCCCTACCCCAATAAAAAATGAATAAAGGAAGAACTAATTAAATGTTAAATGTTTTCCATCCCTATTAGCTAAAAGTGAAAGCTCCCACTATTTGGCATATGTTATGTGTATGCATTTATATAACACTTGCTTACTAAAAGGAACACTCAGAGCATGTCAGAAAGTACCCACTATCAAATGATATACATATATTAACAACACTGGCATGCAACATGTTTTGGGAACGTACTCTCTGTTGCTGGATGGCTTATGGCCTGCTGAATTCTTGTCCTCCGTTTTGGGTTTCTTGCTCTCACTGGCTCGGTTATCATCTTCATTCTAGATGAAAAATAGAAACCGTGGTCTGATTTTTATTCAACTAACTTCAGCTTCCAGCACTAGCTACCCACAAAGAGTTTATCCATGATTAGGCATCAGAAAGAAGATAAAAGAGAAGTACTATAATTCATTTAAATAATATTCAAGAAGATGAGGTTTTAAGGCTGAGGTCGCCTATTTTAGATACACAAAACCCAGAGACTGAAACGCATTTCCTACAGTCTCTAAGATGGCATCTTTTCAATGTAATGATTTGGGAGGTAGTATCTGTGAAATTATAATTAAGATATAATTTACATAACATAAAATTCACTCTTTAGAAGTGCACAATTCCATAACATTTGGTATATTCAGAGTTGTACAACCATTACCACAATGAAATTTTAATTTTATTTATTTAGTTATTTATTTATTTTTCAGACGGAGTCTTGTTCTGTCGCCCAGGCTGGAGTGCAGTGGCACGATCTCAGCTCACTGCAACCTCTACCTCCCAGGTTCAAGCGATTCTCCTGCCTCAGCCTCCCAGCTAATTTTTTGTATTTTTAGTAGAGACGGGGTTTCACCATGGCCAGGATGGTCTCAATCTCCTGACCTCATGATCCGCCCGCCTTGGCCTCCCAAAGTGCTGGGATTACAGGTGTGAGCCACTGCACCCGGCTTAATGAATTTTAAAATATTTTCATTATCCTGAAAACACACTCTATACCCATTAGTAGTCACTCCCCATCTCCTCCTCCCCCAGACACTGGCAATCACATTTCATCTTTATAGATTTGCCTATTCTAGACATTTCAGGAAAATGGATCATTCAATATATGTGGCCTTTGTGGCTCCTTTCATTTAGTGTAACATTTTTAAGGTTCATCCATGTTGCAGCATGGATTAGTACTGCATTCTCATTTATGGCTGAATAGTATTCACTGCATAGAATTTATTCATTTCGTTTAGTCATTCATCAGGTGATGGCCATTTGGGTTGTCTCCACTTTTTGGCTAATATGAATAATGCTACTATGAACATTCAAGTACAAGTTTTTGTGTGGACATGTTTTCATTTCTCTTGGATATATAACTAGCAGTACAACTGCAGATCAAAAGGTAACTCTATGTTTAACTTTTTCAGTAACTACCAAACTATGTTCCAAAGCAGTGGTATCATTTCTATTCTCATCAGCACCATATCAAAGTTCCAACTTTTTCACAACTTTGCCAACATTTTTTATGGTCCATACTTTTGATCATAGCACAGCCTAGTGACTCAAAAAACTTTCTGATGGAAAACACAAGTGGTGGGCCCATCCATTGCCAATGTTACTTTTCTAAGTGAATCTAAGTTTTCCTTTTGCTTCAAATATCAGGGCACGAGAATGCAAATATTCTACCATAACAAAAGAATCTGTTCCCCTATACAAATGAATAAAGACAGACAAATGAAAACATGAGAAAAAGAAATCTACATCCTTTATTACCCTTAACTGGGTCTTCTCTTAGTACTACCTGCTTTACCTCCAGGTACTGCCCTTGACACTTTATATTTTAAATGTCTGAATACCTTATAGAAGGGCCAGGTGTGGTGGCTGACACCTGTAATGCCAGTGCTTTGGGAGGCTGAGGTGGGAGGACTGCTTGATTCCAGGAGTTTGAGACCAGTTTGAGCAATATAGCAAGATACCATCTCTATAAAAAATTAGCCAGGTGTGGGGTCGCATGCCTGTAGTCCTAGCTACTTGGGAGGCTGAGGAGGGAGGATCACTTGAACCCGGCAGTTTGAGGTTGCAGTGAGCTATGAATGCCATGGCACTCCAGCCTAGGTGACAGAGTAATACCCTGTCTCTAAAAGTAAGAAAAATAAAATAAAATCTTACAAAAAAAGTAATACTTTTTAAGCACAAAAGGACCATTTTTTAAAATTCCATAAAAAAAGTCCTAGCTTCCAAAAGAGCAGAGTCTATCATACACAAGCTCTTATTCCACATTATTCTATGAATTAAATCCCACAGCCAAGTCCAGCGATCTGAGGCTGTGGGCTACAGGGGCCAGCAGCCCTAAACAGCTTACTAGTTGAGCAAAACATCTCTATACTATGATAATGGAAACTCATTAGGTATAGTATAGAGAGTAGTAAGCTTTGGTTTTCTAAAAATTTAAATAATGTGGACAATTTCAATTTTTAAAGATTCAAAAAAGAAGTCATGTATTATTCTAATTTGTCTGAATATATATCATCTGCACGTGGCACTGTGGTTTTATGAAAAGGAGAGAGGAAAATATCTCACTCCATTTTAAGAAAGTGCTCTATTCTCCCTGTAGTATATGTGATTCTCAGGTCAACTGGAGTGGTGTTTGTGTTCTAAGTTTACTTACTTGGTAAGGCCATTCTGGTACCTATCTGTTCACCTACTCAAGCTTAACTTCTGGTCTTTCACAATCATAGACATGTATCGGAAGAAATTATAGTATTCTTTGATATAGACTACTTAAAACTTTACATTCTCCTGTAAATTCCTCACTAGAGCTGAAAAGATCAGGCTGTTTTTCCCACAGTCTCTATATATGTAGTGATTCAGATCTCTTCATTGTACGATTATTATCCTCCAATCACAGACATGCGTGAGTTTTCACATTTCCTTAGTCTAAGAAAAGCAGACCTTAAATATACAAATTTTGCCTCTATATCCAAAATTATCTTGGAAGTATTTAGGGATGACAGCTGGCTATAAGCCAGCAATATTTTTAGTTCTGACCTTTGTTAAGGAAAATAAGCTGGGGCATAGAGGTGCATAGCAGATTAGTTATTTAAGTGTGACTTGGTCTGGGTGTACATCAGAAGAGAATGGTAGGGATTATAACAATACGGGGAGTACATATCCAAACTAAAAACACCTAAAACCAAAATGTTGAGAATGTTGCAAATGCCAATTTGCAAGCTGCTGCTCTCTAACCTCTACACTGGCCAGCACATGCTGAAAAGCACTGACTCATTTCTTATTTCATTAGCAACTATTCTGCTTTACTGAAGGACACAGGCAGAAGCACAGAAATCCTCAAGAGACTGTTCCACATGTAGCCTCGCCTGGGCCTTGGGTTTACCCACTATTTTCCTTCACAGCTTATGACCCACCTTGTTACTTTGTGGCTTACTGAGATTTCCACCGCATTTCAGATTCTGATGTTTCAAAACAAACAACAAAAACCCTTCACAAACCTTATGCTTCCTCTTGCCTTTGTTGGAAACTTTTTCTGAGGCTTGTTTCTGAGCCTCTCTCGTGTGCTTTTCTGGCACATTTTTCTTTTCCCCCTTGGGCGGCTCTGTTTCTTTGTAAGGCTTTCCTGGTATTCTAGTCAAAAGATTCAGGTCAATCTTCACAATAAGTGGGTACCTGTCATCAGGCTCACTGAGGGGTGAAAGAAGTTCCTTCTCTTCCATAGGAGAGAACATTCGTTGCCGAAAAAAGCTATCTTCTTCCTCCACTGAGGAGGGTTTAACAGGAGTCCTATTGCTCTCGGGGTACTTAGGAGTTTGTGAGGAAGGAGGAAGGCTCTCACTTTCATCTGAATCTGAGGATGAGGTATCTGTTTCTATGATTTCCCTTGATTTCTGGGAAGATTTACTTGTTGACTTATATTTCTTTTTCTCTGCTGTAGGTCGAGGGGAAGACTTAGACTCCTTCTTTATATTGGGTTTCCTTGAGCCTTTGGTGGCTGCTTTGTGTCTGCTGGAGGGCATGCTGCTAGCCAAGTCTACAGGGGTTTCACTTTCTATCTTCAGGCCTCCACGAGGCTCTTCAGCAGCTGCCTTCTCAGCCTTTTTGGGTTGTTTTTTGCCTACAGTTCTTCTCTGTGTTGTGCTGTCACTCTGTGCAGGAGATTTCTGCCTCCCACGCCCACTTTCTGATCCCTTTTGGATGGTTTTGGAGTCTCGTCCCGGAGTAGCGGAACTCGTTTCTTTAGGTCCACTTGTATCAGTGTAGCTATTCCCAGTGCCCTGCTCTCGGCCTTCCTTTTTGTAGCCTTGAGATGATGGGATGTTACTGTCCACTGAAGAGGCGGGTGACACTTTATGTGGGTTCACTTTATTCAGCCAATTATCAAGTTGCCATTTGTTTGTTGGCGGGGGTTCAGGCTGAAAAACAGAGAAATATGTATGCTTTTTTCGATACTGAATGCTTTTTTCGTTCTCCCTCCTTTACAACCTCAAAGAAGAGGAAAAACCACAATGCCTAATGCAACAAAAGCAAATGGTTCTCTATGAACCAAAGCAAAGGGCTGAGTATTGACTATTAGCTCTTATCATCTGAATAAGAAGATAAGTGGCCAGGCACGGTGGCTCACACCTGTAATCCCAGCACTTTGGGAGGCTGAGGTGGGCGGATCATGAGATCAGGAGTTTGAGACCAGTCTGACCAACATGGTGAAATCCTGTCTCTATTAAAAATACAAAAATTAGTCAGATGCGGTGGCGCACGCCTGTAATCCCAGCTACTCAGGAGGCTGAGGCAGGAGAATCACTTGAACCCGGGAGGCGGAGGTTGCAGTGAGCCAAAACTGAGCCACTGCACTCCAGCCTGGGTGACAGAGTAAGACTCCATCTTAAAAAAAAAAAAAAAGATAAGCTTAATGTTATATATGACCTTTAAATAGCAAATATTCCTATTCAAGAATCCAATTTCAAAGGCATAATTACAAATTACCGTACAGAATATTTAATTCTAGAAAGTAAACAAATGATGTAGGTACAAAGAGATTTTTAACTGCAATTTAACAAGCTATACCAAAATTGTATTACATAAGACTCTTTTTATCAACAACATGATGTTCTTTGTAACCACAGAACATCAATTACCATGTTGAGTCATAAAAATAAAAGACCAAACTAAAGGTACACAGTATTTTAGTGACCTGTAATATGCCAAGCAGTTCCTAATCTAGACCGAATTTGTTCAAACAACAAGGAACCATCTAGATTTCCTCCAACGTACACAGTACAATTTCTTTTTGTCAGACTATGGAACCTTCTTTCCTTCTCCTTTTATATTTGGATCAGGTTTTAAATGGACATCACCAAGGACCCTGAGAGGGCCTGTGGAAGGTACCCCACCGCCTCTGTCTCACCTCGGGAGATGCACTCTGGGATGGCTCATTTGCCTCACTGTCACTGGAACTACTTTCACTCTCTGAGTCAGATCCAGAGCTGCTTTCAGATCCACTGTGGCTACTAGAATCATCCCTGGAGTTATCTGCTCCTTCACTATTATGGTGTGAAGGTTCAGAGTTACTAAAAGAGATGAAATATACAAATGTCCAAAGTTTATTTTACATTGACAACAGGAAAACATCCAAATCGACAACCAACTTTCTTTTTTTCTTCTTGTCTTTTTTTTTTTTAGACGGAGTCTTGCTCTGTGGCCCAGGCTGGAATGCAGTGGCACGATCTCAGCTCACTGCAACCTCCGCCTTCCAGGTTCAAGCAATTCTCCTGTCTCAGCCTCCCAAGTAGCTGGGACTACAGGCGTCCACCACCACGCCCGGCTAATTTCTGTACTTTTAGTAGAGACGGGGTTTCACCATATTGGTCAGGTGGGTCTCAAACTCCTGGCCTCAGGTGATCCACCCGCCTCGGCCTCCCAAAGTGCTGGGATTACAGGCGTGAGCCACCGCGCCCGGCTGCAACTTTCTTTAAAATGTTTACTATGTGTTAGACTGCTATAATTCTATGAATCCAGAGCTTCACTGTAAATGAAATGAGTAATTCTTTTTAAAGTTTCTGATGTGCTACTTAGCTATTAATACTCACCTTTTAAAAACAGTTTGAGGTATAATACACAAAACACCCACTTTAAGTGTATAATTCAATGACTTAATTTACAGAATTGTACAACCATTATCAAAATTAATATTTACTTATAAGGCCACTTATTATATCCCTGCAATGTTATCAGGCTGACCCAACTCTTACCAATAAAACAGAAAAGAAAAGGATGCCCACCTTCCTGGTGTACTCCTCGGCATTGTCTTATCACAATCCTAAAATTAAAACATAAGAAAGAATCTGTGAATGAATAAACAGTATTCTATTTGCTTAGTGTGAATAATATCTGAACTCTTAACAGAAAAAACTGGATTCTCTAATGTATGCAACAATATTTAGCACTTATACTGTTTTTACCTGAAGAGTAACTGAATTGCCAGAATAAGATCAAAAGCTTTGTTAATAGTTATTATTGTCAATAATCTACTGCTTCATGAGTATGTTTTGATCCATAATAAATGTTGAGGAAAACCCAATTTTTTAAAAAAATAAGAAAAAAATGGAGATTTAAAAACAGAGAAGAAAACTACAACATTTCAGTGTCAGAAAGCTTATAAGAAACTTATTTTAAGTAATAAATGCATTATTCAATTATCATTTTTATAAAATACAATGAAAATACTATATGAGACTGGCAAAATAATACAATAGTAGACACACCTGTTCCCCATCACTGTCTTCACTGCTGCTTAGTTTTAAGTCATCTTTTAACATACTAGAGGGAAAAGACAAAGAATTATTATTTTTGGAACAGTTTACATGGTATGCCAGAGTACTAAATATCTACTAAAAATTCTAGAAATAATCACTGTGGTAGCCAAAAATTTAACCAAAAAACAAAACACCAGTAAGTCTTATTCTATCTGGTTTGGTTCAAAATCTCAAAATTGAGAATGGAGGAATTTAACCATTCCTAAGCTCTATCCTTCCCATGAATAAAATATTCACCTTTTCTAATTAAACAAAAGCTACTTTCTATAAACTCTCATAATTCAGTTCTGTAATCTCTAACTTTTCCCCTAGTTGCACACACACATTCATTATTAAAAATTAACAAAGTCATACCCAACAATCCACTAGAGAGATATAATTCCTAAAAAGAAGGAAGATAAAATGAAAGCATCAAGCAATTCTTCCTTTGTCCCCCATGTTCCATAAAGAGAGGTTAGTATAACTGTTGACAACTGGGTAACTGTGAAAACCAGAACGGTTTCCTAAGCCAAAGTTCTAGTTCATAAATGCCTTGCTATGAAACAAAGTGCCCTCTGTAGAAATAAATATTTTGGGTAAAAGTCCTGGCTATATAGCAGAAATGGCTATGTATATATTTTTAAAACTTTGAAGTTCTGGCTGGGTGCGGTGGCTCATGCCTGTAATCCCACTACTTTGGGAGGCTGAGGTTGGCGGATCACCTGAAGTCATGAGTTCGAGACCAGCCAGGCCAACAGGGTGAAACCCTGTCTCTACTAAAAATACAAAAATTAGCCTGGCGTGGTGGTGGGCACCTGTAATCCTAGCTACCCAGGAGGATGAGGTAGGAGGAGAATTGCTTGAACCCGGGAGCTGGAGGTTGCAGTGAGCCGACATCCCATCACTGCACTCCAGCCTAGGCGACAGAGCGAGACTCTGTCTCAAAAAAACAAAACAAAACAAAAAAAACTCCCAAGTTCCAAAATCTCCGTTGATCAAACTTCAAATCAATTAAAACACATACACACAAATACTATAAGCTGACAGTTTCTGGAATTTGTTTTTGAAAGCAAAATTAAAGATGTAAATTTTCTTTTAAGGCCATAAAATCAAAACCATTAAACTTAAAATTTTCTATGTAACAGTCCACAAAACATTCCTTGTCTTTTTACATGGGAGGAAAAATTAATACAAAGCTTAGGGAGAACTACAACTAGGAAAATGTCTAATTTCTCATTATCAGTAATTCCATTACCTTTCTTAAAATTTCATTACAATCTCCAATCAGTGAGAAGGAAATCTTCTTTCACTCTATTAACTACTTGTACTTTTCCTCCTCAAAGTTTAACCAACATTTCTATATCTGACCCTAAGTTCAAAATATTACATATTAAACACCACCTTGAAATAAAGTAACCAGATGATTTTTAAGACTGGCCCAATTAAACAGAACAGGGAAAAAAGAGTTTTCTTTCAGACAGGGGCTTAGTGCATCTATCTCTACGACTGATTTTCCTCTAAGGAAATGTACTTAGTCTGAATTCTCTCGGCCTTTATGATTTAACAATGGCAGCTCAATGAACTTGTTTACACATGTGAATATGTCAAAGCTTTTACCAGACTGCTCAGGGCCCTGCACGCTTTTGTTCCCTCACAATCAAAGTGATAGGTATATATATGGTAAGACCACATCCGTTCTTTACATATAAATAAGTATGATGAATAGGAGTATAATTTGAATTTTTCAGCAGTGAAGGGGGTACTTCTTGTGTTCATGTATTTTCATTCTTAGTTCTTATATTCAGCTGAAGTGCTACCAGGCTAGGGTCATCACAGTATAGTCTGTGACTATGGCATAGAAAGCTGGCACTGTAGTCACTGCTTCTTTAGAACTTTGCTTTAATCACTGAGTTAACTTGTGGTCTCAGGAGTTCAGGAGTTCATTCTTTAAGTTGGAATTTATTTTCATCCAATACATTACCCTGTTACATTTTTATATATATTCCTGCTTCTACCAACAAAATAAAAATAAGAAAACTTAAAGACAGTACAAACTATGTATGTTACTTAATCTAGTGGTTAAATGAAGGGCTTGGCCTAAAGAAGAATCCTGTCTTTATTTTATGACTTATTAAATATAAATTAGGAATATACACACAAAAACATACACATACAACTCTCAGATGAGAAAAAACCATGATCTCAGAGCAAAGGTGGGCAAACTGTGGCCCACAAGCCAAATCCAACCTACCACATTGTTTTAAAGAGTGTGGCTGGAATACTGCCACACTTAGGGTCTACAGCTGCTTTCATACTACAGATGGCAGAGCTGAGCAGTCAAAACACAGACTATGTGGCTCTGAAAGCCTAAATATTTCACTATCTGACCCTTTACATAAAAATTTGCATGCTCATGCCTTAAATATTTCTTTTATTTTTTAATTTTTCTGAGATCAAGTCTCGCTCTGTGGCCCAGGCTGGAGTGAAGTGGCACGATCTCGGCTCCCTACAACCTCCACCTCCCAGGTTCAAGTAATTCTCCTGCCTCAGCCTTCCAAGTAGCTGGGATTACAGGCGCTCGCCACCACGCCTGGCTAATTTTTTTATTTTTAGTAGAGAAGGGGTTTCACCACGTTGGCCAGGCTGGTCTCGAACTCCTGACCTCACGTGATCTGCCTGCCTTGGCCTCCCAAAGTGCTAGGATTACAGGTGTCAGCCACCCTGCCCAGCCTCAATATTTCTAAATACTGTTCAAAATACCTAGATATTACAGGTAACTTTTAGCAAAAATGATAAATATTAAACTCATTAAGCAATAAACTTACGATTTAGACTGGTGCCCATTTGAAGTTTTAGAAGGATTATATCTTTCTGGAACAAAAAGAATGAAGTGAGCAACTAAAGGATGGCTATTTAGACTGTAAAATGTCTATGTAAAATACCCTCAAATAAATGTAAATCAAACAATGAAATATAATTCTTCAACCACCAAACTGGTAACACCTTCAAGCCCAATAATATGAGATACTGGTGACTACAGGGGAAATAAGCATGTGCATATGTTGCTGGTAGGACTATAAACTCATACGATCTTCTTGAAGGGCAATCTGGTAATACCTTCTCAGTACTGTAATTATATTGCTAAGTGACTTAATAATTCCAATGAAAGGAATTTACATTACAGGTATAATCTTGAGGAATACACGAACACACAAGCACACACTTGGGAATGTTTATTATAGCCTGGTTTGTAATGGCAAAAACTGGAAAAAAATGTCCATCGATAGGGGACTAGTGAAATAAATTAAGATATTTTCATATTATAACATAATTTTAAGGTTAAACAATGAGCTAGAGCTTTATGCTGATATAGAAATAGCTCTAAAACAAAGTGAAAAACACAAATAATGAGTAGAGGCAGCTTATGATCCCATTTGTGAACAGCTTTCAGAAAAGAGAATGAGAGAAGAGTAGAAGGATGAAGCATTCTTAAAAGATGACGACTAGGGAAAACAAGCTGAGAAAAAAAAGGAAACAAAAAGAAGAGAGAAAATGTAAATTCTCTGGCCTATAGTTAGCTATTTTCTGCATTTTAACATTTTCTGCATAATTAACAATGTCAAATCCCTTTTTCCTGTAAGCTACGGCCTTTAAGGTGGAACTAAGAAATTGATAGACAGATAAAGAAAGCATAACATCAAAAGAGGTATTCTTCTAGTTTTATCCCTGCATTAAGATCACTGAAGATAAACTAAGGATCAAAAAGTTCCACATTTTCATTTCCAAAATACCTTATGACTAGTACAAATCTACCTTAATTAAGAAGTTACTGCTCTTGGCAAAAAGAATACCTGTTTTGTTACAGAGGTATACGGTAAAGCCCAGACATTTGCATTGGTTCCTGATCTTACCACTCTCAATCTACACAACCACAATCTCTTGGGACCATAAGACTATCTTCCCTAGAATTCTTCTGACAGGCCAAGAGAGTAAGGGTAAAGGTGAGGGTATAGCAGGCAGCAGATTTTCTACCCAGATCAGAAAACCAAGGAAGAAAAAACAGGGACTGTACAAATATAAGAAGAAAAGGGCCATGGTCAGCTAAATAAAATGACCCTTCTTGTGCGGAGTTTTATCATCATAGAGCCAAGTATCTTCATGAAGTAAGTTAAAAGAAAGAAGAATAACTCTTGAGTTTACGAGGTGCCCATCAAATTGTATTCATGAACTATTAGTTCAAATGCTTAATAAAAGTAGTGTATTTTGATCTCCAATGACTTACAGTTCTTGAATTTTTTAAAGCATAACAATTTTTCAGCTCAACCCACTACTACCCATTAGATCATAAAAATTAGGATACGAGGGCATGGTGGCTCACACCAGTAATCCCAACACTTTGGGAGGCGAGGCAGGTGGATCACTTGAGCTCAGGAGTTCGAGACCAGCCTGTGCAACATAGTGAGACCCTATCTCTACTAAAAATTTAAAAAATCAGCCAGGCATAGTGGCATGTGCCCACAGTCCCAGCTACTCAGTAGGCTGAGGCAGGAGGATCACTTGAGCCCTGGAGATCGAGGCTGCAGTGAGCTACGACCACACCACTACACTCCAGAAAAAAAAAAAAAGAAAACAAAAATGAAAAAGGATATGACATGTAAAGGTATTACTAAAGTTATATATGGTGTGACCATGAAAACTGAATGTTCAATAAATAGCTTAATTTGAAAACAAAGAGGGAAAGAAATACTCACTTTGTTCTCCAGTGCCAAAATTGGACTGCTGAGACTCCTAAGAAAAAGGAACATAAAATTATACAAAGTTACACTAAAAAAGAAAGATTAGTGAAAAATGCTTAAATTACATAAAAACACTTCAAGTACTTGAAAAAGCACAGAAAGAATGTAATGATCCTGTCTGATCAGCCTTGGCAATTTTGGGATCAATAATGGACTTTCCCAGAGATTAATACAAAAAGCATTAAGCCACCTAATAATCTTTATCATTCAATTCTTTCAGCAGCATCCATTGTAGTCATATCCTTATTTAGAGCCCTTTATAAAATAACTAATTTCAATTTAAAATTCTTGGTCTTAAGAAAACACTTCATTTAAAACTAAAGGTAATACCGAAGACAGTGTACCAGGTGAAGATAGCTGTATAACCTTTATCCATTAGAAGTATACCACTTTTTTGGGAGGCCGAGGCTGGCGGATCATGAGGTCAGGAGATCAAGACCATCCTGGCCAACATGGTGAAACCCCGTCTCTACGAAAAATACAAAAATTAGTTGGGCGTGGTGGCGTGCACCTGTAGTCCCAGCTACTCGGGAGGCTGAGGCAGGAGAATCACTTGAACCCTGGGAGGCGGAGGTTGCAGTGAGCCGAGATCGCGCCACTGCACTCCAGCCTGGCAACAGGGCGAGACTCCATCTCAAAAAAAAAAAAAAAAAAGTATACCACTTTTATGGACTAAAAAAATCCCATATGGATATTTCCATGTCATTTTACTCCCTCCTTCTCCCTGCTCCCAATATTTTATATACATTAGCAACGTGAGGAAGAGATGGTCATTTACTTCCATGTAAGCCCTATAACAGCATAGTGTCCAGCACTCAGGAAGCACCAATAGAAAGAAGCCAGAATGTCACCCTTAGTGAAACATGGCTTTCCAAACTCAATTTTCATGACCAGAACAGCTGTTCCATATGTGCAAACTATGCATTTCTCAAAATTAAATCTGGATACAAGATGTAGCACTAAAATTATACAAATATTCCTAAAAGCTTACTTAAAAATAAGCATAATCTTCCTTTAGTTACAGAATTGTCTGTGAAAGAACAATCCAAATAGTTAGAAAGCTAAAATATAGTTTTGCGGTTAAAAAACATTAAAAACCTATTTCTACACTCAACTGATTTTCCAAGAGGATGCCAAGACCATTATATGGGAAAGAATAGTCTTTTTAACAACGGTGCTGGACAAACTGAATATCCATGGGCAAAATAAAGCTGGGCCTTTATATCACATCATATTAAAAACAAAACAAAACAAAACAAAAAACTCAAGAAGGATCAAAGACCTATAAATGTAAAAGCTAGAGCTATAAAATCTTTAGAAAAAAACACAATGCCAAATCTAAATGACCTGGGATTTGGCAAGATAAACTTGACTTAATCAAAATTAAGAACTTCTGTGCTTCAAAGATTGTTATCAAAAAAGTGAAAAGACAACTCACAGAATAGGAGAAAATATTTGCAAATGATGTATCTGATAAGGGGCTGGTATCCACAATATACTACAAAGAGCTCTTACAATTCAATAACAAGACAAGCCAATTAAAAAACAGGAAAAGGGCCTGAATAAACATTTACCCAAGGAAGACATATAAATGGCCAATAAGCAGATGAAAAGATTTCTCACACCTGTCATCACGGAAATACAAATCTACAATGAGATACCACTTCTCAACCACTAGGATGACTAGAATCAAAAAGACAGATGTAACAAGTGTTGACAAGTATGTGAAGAAATCAGAACCCTGGTAAGAATGCGAAATGGTACAGCTGCTTTGGAAACATTCTGGCAGTTCCTCAAATAAGTAAACACAGAGTTACCACATGACCCAGCCATTCCACTCTTAGGTACACAACCAAACAAAATGTAAACATATGTCCACACAAACACTTCTACATAAGTGTTTATAGCAATATTATTCATAACAGCCAAAAAGTGGAAACAACTCAAATGTCCATCAGCTGATGAATGTATAAACAAAATGTGATATATACTTATACACTGGAATATTATTTGGCCATAAAAAGGAATGAAGTACTGTTACATGCTACAACTTAGATGAATCTTAAAAACATAATGTTAAGTGAAAGAATATAGTCACAAAAGACCACATACTACATTATACTATTTATATAAAATGTTTAGAACAGAGAGATCTATAGAGATAGAGTAGATTAGTGGTTGCTTAAGGCTAGGAAGGTAGAGGGAAAGAGGGATAACAGCTAAAGGGTACAGTTTCTTTTTGAGTTGATGATTTATAAATAAACTCAAAACTACTGAACTCTACACTTGAAGTAGGTGAATTACATGGTAAGTGAATCACATCTCAGTACTGCTGTTAAAAAACTGTATATAGAGCAGTGGGCAAGAGGTCACTTTTGTGACTTTTGTTTAAAATGAAGATTCCAGGATGGGTGTGGTGGCTTATGCAGGTAATCCCAATACTTTGGGAGGCTAAGCAATGAGGATAGCTTGAGGCCAGGAGTTCAAGACCAGACTGGGCAACATACCAAGATCCTATCTGTACAAATAATAAAAATAAAATAAAATGAAGATTCCTTTACCCCCTCAAATTGTTTATTGTCTTATATTCATTTACTTGGTAAATGGCCTAAAAGTTAATAGCCCCATATTCCAAATAATCTGATTTATTTGTCTTATATCTGACAATAGTCAGCAGGTCCACAAATACTACTGGATTCTGTCTCTTAAACATCCACCAAAGGCGAGACCATCTGAACCGGAAAGACTTCAGGTCTTCATCTTGTTTACCTACAATGGCCTTCTAATGGATCTTCCTAGCTCTAGTTTATCTCCTTTACTCAGCTATAGCCTCCCTTCTACAGCCTGTAGAAGTTTACCCTTCTACAGCCCAAGTCTTAGTATGCGTCATCACTGCTCTCCTATTTTTCATAGAACTTCCCAATGACTCTTTGTTTTTTCCTAAGGATGAAACCCAAACTCTCTGGCAACACACTTACTCATGTATCAAAGTACTGAGAAAACAATGATAAGCAAAAACTGACAAGGGCCCTGCCCCCATGGAGCTTAACACCTATTTGAATGTCAATAATTACTACCTTTGCAAGTACTCACGCAAATCAAAGTAAAATGGCAACTGTAATAAACACAATGAAGGGCAAATACACATAATTATATTGAGTTTGTAATTGTGCATGCATGTGTACCTGTGTGCTTGTATGCATGTGTGCATATGTGTGTGTGTGTGTATGATCTAGCCAGGAAGATGAGCAAAGGCTTCCCTGAGGAACTGCCATTCAGATTGAAATTTGAAGGATATATAGGAAATAAACTGGGAAAGGAAGAGATAGGCTAAGTGCCATAGGGAGAGAGAAAACATGTGTAAAGTCCAGCTTAAAGGGAAGAGCATGGCTTGTACAAGGAACTTAAAGGCAGCCCACAGAGAGGAAAAAGTAAAGGTGGAAGAGTGGTGAGATATGAGACTGAAGACCTAAAATGCTAGATCACACAGTTTACAGACTTATAGACCATATTAAAGACCTGTGTGTGTGCAGCTTATTAAGTAGGAGAGTTACACAACTACATCTGCACATTGTGAGGATCATCTCGCCTACTAAGTGGAGAACAGTTTTAAGAAAGCTAGAATGGAGTTAAGGATACAAAATGAGGTTACTGGAGTAGTACCAGTAGGAGATAACTACAGCTTAAACAAGTTTGTCTTCCAGCTTTTTTTTTTTTAATCATATACTCCATTACTAAGAAATTTTTCCATTTGTATCTCCAAAATATGTATAGAATATGCATTACTACTTATGTATAAGATTAAAATACTGCAATTTCAAAAGCATAACAAAAATTAAATACCATTTTTAGAGTAATTTTTAAATATATTTATGAATGACAACAAAACCTTTCTTACACACAAAAATATAATGCTTCAAAGGTATGACGCTAAGATGGACTTATTTTTGATATCTGGTTTCACTGGATGCCACAAAGATATAGTTATACTCATGGAAGAAATACCATGCTTATTAAATCACAGTAACAAAATTTCAGTCCTATACATTAATTATGTAAAGAATTCTATTGAAGTTGAATTAGATTTCCATGTTCCTTGTTGTAAATCATTTAGAAAAATAAATTAGAAGGATGCATTTTATTATTTTTAGCAAATAGGTTCAAACCACTGATTAGAAATTTTTTTTCAGCTCTTTACAGTATTCATATTAGAACTGTGGTTTTTTGGTAACAAAAAACTAAAAATACATAAACAATGACAATATTATTGTTATTTTCCTAGCTTGAATGTATGTATATGTATATACACACACACTCATATATAATCTATACACTATATATATACATATATATATATATATATATTTTTTTTTTTTGAGACGGAATCTAGCTCTGTCACCCAGACTGGAGTGCAGTGGTGTGATTTCGGCTCTCTGCCACCTCCAGCTCCCAGGTTCAAGCGATTCTCCTGCCTCAGCCTTCCAAGTAGCTGGGATTACAGGCACCTGCCACCACGCCCAGTTAATTTTTATATTTTTAGTAGAGACAGGGTTTCACTGTGTTGGCCACGCTGGTCTCGAACTCCTGACCTCGTGATCCACCCACCTTGGCCTCTCAAAGTGCTGGGATTATAAGCATGAGGCACCGCACCCAGCCGCTCAAGCATATCTTTTAGGGAAGCGGTTACTTCATTCATTGTTAAAACATCATCTTTTTTTTTTTTTTTTTTTGAGATGGAGTTTCACACTCCTGTAGGATGTTTCATACTTGTTGCTCAGGCTGGAGTGCAATGGCATGATCTCTGCTCACTGCAACCTCCATCTCTTGGGCTCAAATGACTCTCCAGCTCAGCCTCCCAAGTAGCTGGGATTATAGGCGCATGCCACCACGCCCAGCTAATTTCTGTATTTTTAGTAGAGATGGGGCCGCCATGGTGGCCAGGCTGGTCTTGAACTCCTGATCTCAGGTGATCCACCCGCCTCAGCCTCCCCAGGTGCTGGGATTACAGGCATGAGCCACCACAATAGGCCAACATCATCTTTACTCTGAAGAGAGAAGGGGGTTTAATTATTTTTTAAAAATACATTATGAAAAGATACATATAGCATATTTCGTGGTGGTGTGCGTGTGTGTGTGTGTATCTGTGTGTGAGATAGAGAGATTAAAAAGAGAGAGGTGTCTAACTCATTTTTAAGTGGGATAACTGATATCATGAAACAATTTCTATGTTAGTGTAAAAAATATTCAGATTCACTCCTCATTTCATTACAGAATATATTGTACAGAGCATGATTCTATAACTGAGTTGAAGATATTCACAGTTCCAGACATTTCTGGCTTCAACATCATTGTTCCAACACTGCAACTGTGCATAAACTGCACTTTTGCCATTACTCTTGCCTTGTCCTGGGTTCCTTTTTGTAATTCCTGTTAAAGCAGCTACTGTATCAACAGGTGGAAGGGGAAGGTAAAGAGGGAAGGAGATGGGGAGGAGAAGATAAGATTTGTGAAGCACCTAGGTAAAGAGGTTCTAGGTAAAGAACAGAATACAAAGAGAAGACAACTTACGTCTAAGTGTGATGCACACAACTACACATCCAATTAAACACTAATAAATAATTCCTATTGCTTTCTTTTGTATTATTGATTTCTACAACCAAATGTTTGGTACAGGCAAAACACATTTCTTGTTTCACACTTCCTTATAACACCCAGCAAAATACCAGGGAAAAATAGCAAATATGAATCAATCTTTAGTAAGTTTTATTCTAAACAAAAGGAGTGACTGATGAATCACATGGAACAGAGGGATTGAATTGTTTTTGTTTTTAAATGGGACCAATTCAAGGAGAGAGATGAATATACTAAACCAGCTCCCCAATATGATCCTAAACTTAGCACCATTTGCCGCCTGTGAACTGCTCTTTCAGACTCGTCAATGGTGTGAAGTGCTTTCTGATGTGTTCCTTATCAACCCACATCTTGCTAGCACTCCTATACTTCTCCTTCAAACTCTAATTGGTGTCACCTCCTGTAGGATGCTAACCCCAAATTCCCTAGGTATAACAACTTTCTCCCTTCTCTGTCCTCTCATTGGACTTGGTACATATAGTTAGTGCACATGGAGAGTAAGTACCTATTAAAGTATCACACAGAGCTTTTAGGTATATTACACATGAAGTTGTACCCACTTAAATTTGGAGAATGAGATAAGCTATCGGTAAGAAGCAACCCACCTTAGCAACAGTCAGTCAGTAGCTGAGGTGTCTCACAAACACCAAAATCTAAACACTGTTACTTGAGTATATACATCCAAATTCAGTTAACAAACATTCATTGAACAGCTACTTTGTGCCAGAACTATTCTAAGCATTGGCACAGCGTTTTCCTATGTTCTTTAAATACCCATCTTAGAGCAAGAACATTTAAATTGTACAGCGTTCTATCTCCAGTGTCAAGAACACTGCTGGAGGTTGTTCCAAACATGGTGAGTAAGTGCAAAGGCAATCAAAATCTTTAATATTCTCCAAACTATCACTGGAAAATCTCCCAAGCTATCCCCAACTATACCCATATTCTCTGCTTCCCTCTGGTGCCAATGAAGTAGTGGTGTTCTATTCTAAAGCTACTGTCCTCTACTTGGGCACTGAATCTCAATCACTCTTGTGAAGATTTCCTAAGGTTACCTCTTCTCTTTCCCATGGATCATTTGTTTTTCCCTTTCTACTAAGCCATCAGCATTATAAAAATAACAAAATATCTTCATCTTATAAAAACACTCCCCGACATCACCATACAGTTCTTGGTATCACATTCTCTGTTTGCTTCAAAAGACACTCTGATATCTTTTGAGACTAGTACAACTAGTCTTTTACCCTCATCTTTCTACTAAAAATCTTTGTCATTAATAAAGAACAAGTTGTCAAATCTCATGCCAGGAACATAGTAAGAAGTTAATAAATATCTGTTTAATTAATAAATATATAAGCACTATCAAATTTTTATTGATAACATGTCTAACATAAAAATATGTATTAAATGTCTAACAGCAGATTAGACATCGCAGAACAACAGATTAGTGAACCTAAAGACACAGCAATACAAACCATGCAAAATGGAGCAATACAGTATAAGACCTCCCACAAAAAAAAAGAAAAAAAAAGAAAGAACAGAACATCAGTGAACTCTGGGACAACTTTAAGGGGCCTAATATACATGTAATTGGAGTCCTTGAAGACGACGACAAAAGGGGAGAAGAGGGTAAAAAAAAAAATTGAGTAATAGCAAGTTTCCCAAATTTGATGGAAACTATAAGACCAAAATTTCAAGAAGCTGAACAAACCTCAAGCACGAGAAAGATAAAGAGAACTACAGGAGAACGTATCATAACTGAACAGATTAAAAGCAATGATTAAAAAAAAACTTAAAGACCGCCAAAAAAAAAAAAGGACATTTTACATACAAAAAAAAGAATGACAACAATGTACATATCAAAAACAATGCAAGCTGGCAGATAGTTGCAAGGGGGCAAGGTCCTCAATCTAGAATTCTATAGCTGGCAAAAACACTTTAAAAATAAAAATGGAAAGGCAAAATAAAGATTTTTTCAAAGTACTAAAAGAAATATTAAAGAAAGTCCTCCAGATAATAGTAAAATGGGCCAGGTGCGGTGGCTCACACCTGTAATCCCAGCACTTTGGGAGGTGGAGGTTGGCGGATCACCTGACGTCAGGAGTTCGAGATTGTCTCTACTAAAAATACAAAAAAAAAAAAAAAAAAACATTTAGCAGGGCGTGGTGGCAGGCACTTGTAATCCCAGCTACTCCAGAGACTGAGGCAGAATTGCTTGAACCAGGGAGGTGGAGGTTGCAGTGAGCCAAGATTGCACCACTGCACTCCAGCCTGGGTGACAGAGCAATACTCTGTCTCAAAAAAAAGTAAAGATAACAAACTGTGTTTACTTATTTTGAGACAGGGTCTCACTACCACCCAGACTGGAGTGCAGTGGAGTGATGATGGCTCACTGCAGCCAAGACCTCCGGGGCTCAAGCTATTTTCCCACCTCGGCCTCCTGAGCAGCTGGGACCACAGGTACGTATCACCACACTCAGGTAATTTTTTTATTTTTTGTAGAGACAGGGTCTCACTATGTTGCCAAGGCTGGTCTCAAACTCCTGGACTCAAGTGATCCTCCTTCCTCGGACTCCCAAAGTGCTAGGATTATAGGTGTGAGCCATTGCGCCCAGCCTAAAAGATAATATATTGTTTAAATAAAAAATAGTAACAATATTGTGCCATTTATACTTTATGTGGAAGTAAAACATAAACAACAATCATACAGATTCTACGACGGGAGAAATGCAAGTATAATGACAATAGGGTCTTATACAGCAGAAAAGGATGGTATAAAATCACTTGAAGATAGAGGCTGACACACACACAACACACACACACACACACACACACACACAAAAGGGCTGATGAGACAGAGAAATCAAAAAGCAAGATAGTAGATTTAAGCCCAACTGTATAAATAATCACATTAAATGTAAGTGGTCTGAACACCCTAATTAAAGAGCAGAGTGTCAGATTATATTTAAAAAGCACAACAAAATCATATACTACCTACAAGAAATGCATTTTAAGTATAAGAACATAAACAGGTTAAAAGCAAAAGGTTGGAAAAAACTATACCATGCTAACATTAAATAAAAGAAAGCTGGAGCTGATCATATTAATATAAAAGTAAATTTTACAGCAAAGAATATTATAAGATTTAAAAGGGGTTGTTTCATAGTAATAAAGACTCAACTCATTAAGAGGTAACAATCCTAAATGTTTATGCACCTAAAAACAGAGTTTGAGAAAGCATGAAGAAACAAAGCAAGAACATATATACAAATCCAAAATTATAGTTGGAGTTAACTCTCAATAATAGATAATTGATAGAATTAAAATGAGTAAGGATATAGAAGATTAGTATAACACTATAAGCCAACTTGACCTAACAGGACACTCCACTCAACAACAGCAGAATACGCTTCTTTTTGAGAAAGGGTCTTTCTCTGTCACCCAGGCTGGAGTACAGTGGCATGATCATGGCTCACTGTAGCCTTGACCTCTTGTGCTCAGGCAATCCTCTTGTTTCAGCCTCCTGAGTAGTTGCAACTGCAGGTGCCCACCACCGTGCCCGGCTGATTTTTAAATTTTTGGCAGACATGAGGTCTGGCTGTTGCTCAGGCTGGTCTCAAACTTCTGGCCTCCAGGGATCCTCCCACCTCAGCCTTCTAAAGTGTTGGGATTACAAGCGTGTGCCACCACACTGGCTGGAATACACATTCTTTTCAAGTGTACACAAAACATTAGCAAAAAAAGACAATAATCTGGAACATGAAATAAGTCTCAATCTCATACAATGTATGCTTCATGACCACAATGGAATTAAATCACAAATCAAAACAGAAAATATGCAGAAAATCTCCAAATATTTGGGAACCAACACAGTTAGATATAATCCAAAAAACAAGAAATTAGGCCAGACACGGAGGCTCACCCCTGTAATCCCAGCACTTTGGGACACCGAGGTGGGTGGATCGCTTGAGTCCAGGAGTTTGAGACCAGCCTGACCAACATGGTGAAACCCAGTCTCTACTAAAAATACAAAAATTAGTCAGGCATGGTAGTGTATGCTTGTAATCCCAGCTACTTGGGAGCCTGAGGCAGGAGAATCCTTTGAACCGGTGAGGTGGAGGTTACAATGATTCGAGATCTCACCACTGCACTCCAGCCTGGGCAACGGAGCAAGACTCCATCTAAAAATAAATAAATAAATAAAATAAGAAAATAAGAAAAATCTCAATTAAATGACCTTAGCTTCCACCTCAAGAAATCTGTTAAAAAGATGAGCAAGCCGGGCGCAGCGGCTCACGCCTGTAATCCCAGCATTTTGGGAGGCTGAGGCGGGCAGATCATGAGGTCAGGAGTTCGAGACCAGCCTGACCAACATGGTGAAACCCCGTCTCTAATAAAAATACAAAAATTAGCCAGGCATGGTGGCATGTGCCTGTAATCCCAGCTACTCAGGAGGCTGAGGCAGGAGAATCGCTTGAACCCGGAAGGTGGAGGTTGCAGTGAGCCGAGATCACGCCACTGCACTCCAGCCTGGGAGACAGAGCAAGACTCCATTTCAAAAAAAAAAAAGAAGAACAAATTAAACCATAAGAAAGCAGAAAAGTGAAAGATCAGGGTGGAAATCAGTGCAATAAAAAACAAAAACAACAGAGAAAGAAAAAACAGCTATCAAGAAAACTGACAATCTCTAGCCAGGACACTCAAGAAAAAGACAAGAAAACAAATTACCGGAATAGGGAATAAGAGAAGTGCTATCATAATAGAATATGTTATATGTATAAGAGAATATTATAAAAAACTTACAGCAATTTGTTAACTTTGGTAATTCATAGATAAAATGGACAAATTCCTTGAAAGATATAAACAACGAAAGATCATTCAAGGAGAAATAGATAACATGAGTAGCCCTATAGCTACTAAAGAAGTCTAATTTTTGCTTAAAAACCATCTTACAAAGAAAGCTCATAACCAGAGATAAATTCTAACAAACACTTAAAAAAAAATACCATTTCTGGCCAGGCACGGTGGCTCATGCCTGTAATCCCAGCACTTTGGGAGGCCGAGGCAGGCGGATCACGAGGTCAGGAGATGGTCTAGACCATCCTGGCTAACACAGTGAAACCCTGTCTCTACTAAAAATACAAAAAATTAGCTGGGCGTGGTGGCGCATGCCTGTAGTCCCAGCTACTCAGGAGGCTGAGGCAGGAGAATGGCATGAACCCGGGAGGCGGAGCTTGCAGTGAGCCGAGATCACACCACTGCACTCCAGCCTGGGTGACAGAGCAAGACTGTCTCAAAAGAAAAAAGAAAAAAGAAAAAATACCATTTCTATACACACTATTCCAGAAAATGGAAGGGGAAGCAATTATTTCCCAATCCATTCTATAAGGCCATCATTACTCAGATACCAAAACAAGGCAAGGATATGAAACCACCCTCACAGGGTTAAACAGAATTCTGGACAGAAATATAATTATAATTAAGCATTAATTATACTGCACTTTGACCCACTTCTTTTTTTTGGGTTTTTTTTTTTTTTTTTGAGATGGAGTCTCGTTCTGTCACTCAGGCTGGAGTGCAGTGGTACGATCTCGGATCACTGCAACCTCCACCTCCCAGGTTCAAGCGATTCTCCTGCCTCAGCCTCCTGGGTAGCTGGGACTACAAGCACCCACCACCACGCTCGGCTAATTTTTGTATTTTTAGTAGAGATGGGGGTTTCACCATATTGGCCAGGCTGGTCTTGAACTCCTGACCCTGTAATCCCAGAGTGCTGGGATTACAGAAGTGAGCCACTACGCCCGGCTGACTCACTTCTTTGTAACAGGAAGTCACTAACACTAGATACTGACCATCAGCATCCCCATTGTTCCTATAGATAGAATTTCTGACATTAGAAACTTAAGGCTTTTGTTTAAGAATTGCTTAAGGCCAGGTGTGGTGGCTCACATCTGTAACCCCAGTACTTTGGGAGGGTGAGGCAGGTGGATCACGAGTTCAGGACCAGCCTGGGCAACACTGGGAAACCCTGTCTCTACTAAAAAATTATCTGGGTGTGGTGGCGGGCACCTGTAATCCCAGCTACTCAGGAGGCTGAAACAGGGAGAATCACTTGAGCTTGGGAAGCGGAGGTTGCAATGAGCTGATATCATGCCACTGCACTCTAGCCTGGGTGACAGAGTAAGATGCTGTCTCAAAAAAAAAAAAAAAAAAAAAAAAAAAAGAATCACTTAAGCAGGACAGTCTCAATAGCTCATGCTTATCAACCCAGTGCTTTGAGAGGCTTAGACAGGAGGATTGCTTTAGCCCAGGAGTTTGAGACCAGCGTGGGCAACATCATGAGACCCTGTTTCCATAAATTTTTTTTTTTAAAATCAAGAGTTGCTTAAGCACAGTGGAACAGCTGAAGCCAACCAGTTTAAAGATCTCCACAGGGGAACAGAATCAGCATGAGAATACTGCTTGTACATCTTCCTATCCCATAATTTCACCTAGCATTCTTTGACAAATCAATGATCTTAATACTTCAGCCCACTCCAAAATCCTTAAAAGCCATGGTCTCAACTCCTTGGGAAGACAGATTTGAGGTTTCCTCTCATCTCTTCGTTTGGAGGCCCTATAATTAAACTCCTTCTCTGCAGCAACCCAGTGTCTCTGTTATTGACTTGCTGTGTGCATCAGACAACAGACCTGTTATGGTTACAGATTTAAGAAGGGAACAATACAGACCAAGATAGCCCAGGAATACAGACGCAAAAATTAGAAAAAACTTTTAAAATCAAATTCAGCACTATAAAAAAATACATCATGACCAAGTAGAGTTTACATCAGGAATGTAATATTGATTTAACATTTAAAATTTAACCAACGTTTTTTGTTTTTTTTTGTTTTTTTGAGATAGAGTTTCGCTCTTGTTGCCCAGGCTGGAGTGCAATGGGGTGATCTTGGCTCACCGCAACCTCCACCTCCTGGGTTCAAGCGATTCTCCTGCCTCAGCCTCCCGAGTAGCTGGGATTACAGCCATGTGCCACGCGCCCAGCTAATTTTGTATTTTTAGTAGAGACAGGGTTTCTCCATGTTGGTCAGGCTGATCTCGAACTCCTGACCTCAGGTGATCCGCCTGCCTCAGCCTCCCAAAGTGCTGGGATTACAGGTGTGAGCCACCACGCCCAGCCAAATTTAACCAATGTTATTCACCATATTAATACAAATCAAAACAGGAAAATCTTATGATCATTCCAATAGATTTAAAAAATATTCAACAAAATTCAAAATTCATTCCTAATGAGAACTCTTAGGCAAAGAGGAATAGAAGAATTTCCTCAATGTAATAAATGACATCCACAAAAAGCCTGCAGCTAACATCACACTTAATAATGAAAGACTGGATACTTTCTCCTCTATGATAAAAAATAAGGCAAGAATGTCTAATCTCACTACTGGCATTCAACATCATACTAGAGATTCTACCTAGTGCAATAAAGCAAGAATATAAAATAAGGCATCCATTTGAAACAAACATTATAAAATCTTTATTCACAGGTGAAATGATTGTCTAGGAAATATATGGTATCTACAAAAATGCTATTAAGTAAATTTAGCAAAATTACAAGATGAAACATAAAATTATACATGAAAGGTATTTCTTTTTCTTTTCTTTTCTTTTTTTTTTTTTTTTTTTTTTTTTGAGACAGAGACTCACCTTGTCGCCCAGGCTGGAGTGCAATGGCGCAATCTCGGCTCACTGCAACCTCCACCTCCCAGGTTCAAGGAATCCTCTTGCCTCAGCCTCCCAAGTAGCTTGGATTACAGGTGTGTGCCACCGCACACAGCTAATTTTTGTATTTTTTTAGCAGAGATGGGGTTTCTACTAAACCATCTTGGCCAGGCTGGTCTTGAACTCCCGACCTCAGGTGATCCTCCTTCAGCCTCCCAAAGTGCTGGGATTACAGGCATGAGCCACCGCATCCAGCCCATGAAATGTATTTCTATAAATTAGCAAGGAAAAATCAAATACTGAAATTTTTATAAAATTCCATTTATAATAGCACTAAAAAAATCAAACAGGGCCGGGTACTGTGGCTCATGCCTGTAATCCCAGCACTTTGGGAGGCCAAGGTGGGCAGACCACTTGAGGCCAGGAGTTCGAGACTATCCTGGCCAACATGGTGAAAAGCCATCTTTACTAAGAGTATAAAGATTAGCTGGGTGTGGTGGCACTGGTCTGTAATCCCACCTACTTAGAAGGCTGAGGCTACAGTGAGCCAAGATCGTGCCACTGCACTCCAGCCTGGGTGACAGAGCAAGACTCTGTCTCACACACACACAAAAAAATCAGCCAGGCACAGTGGCTCATGCCTGTAATCCCAGCACTTTGGGAGGCCGAGGCAGGTGGATCAGTTGAGGTCAGGAGTTAGAGACCACCCTCGTCAACATGGTAAAACCTCGTCTCTACTAAAAATATAAAAATTAACTGGGCATCATGGTGGGCGCCTGTAATCCCAGCTACCTGGGAGGCTGAGGCAGGAGAATCGCTCGAACCCAGGAGGCGGAGGTTGCACTGAGCACCACTGTACTCCAGCCTGGGTGACAGAGTGACACTCTTTCAAAAAACAAAAAGATAACTCTAACAAAAGATGTCCAAAATCTACATATTGAAAACTACAAAACAATACTGAAAGAAATTAAATTAGACCAAAATAGAGAGAAATAAGGACTCATGGGTCAGAAGATTCAATATTGCTAAGACGTCAATTCTCCCCAAATTGATCTATAGATCCAACACAATCCCTGTCAAAATCCCACAAGACTTTTATGTTGAAATTGACAAGGTGTTGTTTGTTTGTTTTTTTTTTTTTTTGAGACAGAGTCTTGCTCTGTCACGCAGGCTGGAGCACACGCAATGGCATCATCTTAGCTGACTGCAACCTCTGCCTCCCAGAGACTCCTGCCTCAGCCTCCTGAGTAGCTGGGATTACAGGTGTGCACCACCATGCCCCGTGCCCAACTAATTTTTGTGTTTTTAGTAGAGACGGGGTTTCACCATGTTGGCCAGGCTAGACTCAAACTCCTCCTTAGGTGATCCACCCACCTCGGCCTCCCAAATTGCTGGGATTACAGGTGTGAGCCACTGTGCCCAGCCTAAAATTCTTATGAAAATGCAAAGAGCCTAGAAAAGTCAAATCTACTTTGAAAAACACTAATATAATTTGAGGATTTACATTGTAGTGACTTTACAGTAAGTCTCAAAGTCAAATCATCAAGACAGGCTCATATTGGCACCATGACAGACAAACAGGTTAATGAAACATAAAATGTCAGAAATGCATCACACATACAGAGTCAACTACAACTGCAAAGGCAATTCAATGGAAAGAGAAGGCTTTTAAATAAAGATGCTAATTGGATATGTACATACAAGAGGATAAAACTTCATTCCATATATTGTAACAATATAGAAAAATTAGCTTAAGATAAATCATAGATCTAAATGTAAAACCTAAAACTATAAAAAAACTAGGAAAGGCTGGGCACAGTGGCTCATGCTTATAACTGTAGCACTTTGGGAGGCCAAGGCAGGTGGATCATTTAAGCTTAGGAGTTCGAGACCAGGCTGGGCAACATGGCAAAACCCCATCTCTACTAGAAATACAAAAATTAGCCGGGTGTGGTGGCATGCACTTGTAATTCCAGCTATTCGGGAGACCAAGGCATGAGAATCGCTTGAGCCCAGGAGTCAGATGTTGCAGTGAGCCAAGATCACACCACTGCACTCCAGCCTGGGTGACAGAGTGAGACTCTTTCAAAAACAGAAAAGAAAGCCTAGGATAACTGAGAGCAGAGTCCCAGCTATGCAGGAAGCAGAGGAGGTGGGATGGTCACCTGAGCCCACAAGTTCAAGACTAGCCAGGGCAACACAGAGAGACCTGGTCTCTTATTTAAAAGAAAAAAAAAAAGTCTAGGAAACAACATAGGAGGATTTGGGTTAGGCAAAGATTTTTCTTTTTCTTTTTTTCTTTTTTTTCAGATGGAGTCTTGCTCTGTTGCCCAGGCTGGAGTGCACTGGCGCAATCTTGGCTCACTGCAACCTCCGCCTCCTGAGTTCATGTGATTCCCCTGCCTCAGTCTCCCGAGTAGCTGGGATTACAGATGCCCGCCACCATGTCTGGCTAATTTTTATATTTTTAGTGGAGTCGGAGTTTCACCATGTTGGCCAGGCTGGTCTCGAACTCCTGACCTCAAGTGATCTGCCCACCTCAGCCTCCCAAAGTGCTGGGATTACAGGTGTGAGCCACCAGCCCAGCGGGCAAACATTTTTTTTTTTTTTTTTTGAGACAAGGTCTCACTCTGTCACCTAGGCTGGAGTGCAGTGGCATAATCATGACTCACTGCAGCCTCAACCTCCCAAGCTCAAATGATCCCCCACCTCATCCTCCCAAGTAGCTGGGACTATAGGTCATGCCACCACGCCTGGCTAATATTTACATTTTTTGTAGAGGTGGGGTCTTGCCTTGTTGACCAGGCTAGTCTCACACTCCTGACCTCAAGTGATCTACCCACCTTGGCCTCCCAAAGTGCTAGGATTACAGGCAAGAGCCACCTCACCCAGCCAGGCAAAGATTTCATAGACACCAAAATCATGACCCGTAAAAGAAAACACTGAAGAAGTGGACTTTATAAAAGTTAACATGTGTTCTTAGAGGGACACTATTAAGAGAATGAAAAGGTAGTCCACAGAGCAAGAAAACAAAATTTTCAAATCACATATATGATAATGGCAGTAAGAATCTTAGCCCATTTCAGGCCGGGCGCAGTGGCTCACGCCTATAATCCCAGCACTTTGGGAGGCCGGGGTGGGCAGATCATAAGGTCAGGAGATCGAGACCATCCTGACTAACACGGTGAAATCCCGTCTCTACTAAAAATACAAAAAATTAGTCAGGCATGGTGGCAGGCGCCTGCAGTCCCAGCTACTCGAGAGGCCGAGGCAGGAGAATGGTGTGAACTCGGGAGGCGGAGCTTGCAGTGAGCCGAGATCGCGCCACTGCACTCTAGCCTGAGCGACAGAGCGAGACTCTGTCACAAAAAAAAAAAAAAAAGAATCTTAGCCCATTTAAAAATGGGCAAAATATTCAGACACTGCACCAAAGATGGGCAAAATATTCAGACACTGCACCAAAGAAGATAAGCAAATGGCAAATCAGTACATGAAAAGATGCTCAAGATACTCTGTCTCTAGAGAAATGTAAATTGAAATCACAATGAGGTACCACTATAATACTGCTAGAAGGCTAAAGTTTTAAAAGACTGACAATATCAAGTGTTAGTAAGGACATGGAACAAGTGGAACTCTCATATACCATTGGCAGGAATAAAAAATGGTTCAACCACTTTGGAAAATAGTATGACAGTTGTTTTCTTTTTTTTTTCTTTTTTTTTTTTTTGAGACAGTTTCGCTCTTGTTGCCCAGGCTGCAGTGCAATGACACGATCTCGGCTCACTGCAACCTCCACCTCCCAGCTTCAAGTGATTCTCCTGCCTTAGCCTCCAAGTACCTGGGATTATAGGCATGCGCCACCATGCCTGGCTAATTTTGTATTTTTTGTAGAGATGGGGTTTCTCCATGTTGGTCAGGCTGGTCTCAAATCCCAACCTCAGGTGATCCACCCACCTTGGCCTCCCAAAGTGCTGGGATTACAGGCGTGAGCCACTGCGCCCAGCATGACAGTTGTTTTCTAATTTTTTCTTTCCCCCCCAGAGAGAGTCAGTCTCTGTGACCCAGGCTAGAGAGCAGTGGCATGATCTCTGCTCACTGCAGCCTCAACCAGCTGCAGTCAAGCAATCCTCCCAGCTTAGCATCCTGAGTGGCTGAGACTACAGGCCTGTGCCACCATGCCTGGGTAATTTTTTTTTTAATTTTTTGTGGAGACAGAGTCTCATTATGTTGCCTACACTGGTCTCAAACTCCTGGACTCAAGTGATCCTCCCACATCAACCTCTCAAAGTACTAGGACTACAGGTGTGAGGCATAGACACCTACCATATACCTAACCACCCCACTAATAGGCATTTATAATACAGACATAAAAACAGGCCAGATGTAGTGGCTCACGCCTGTAATCTCAGCACTTTAAGAGGCCAAGGCAGGAGGACCGCTTGAGCCCAGGAGTTCAAGAGCAGCCTGAGCAATGTGGCAAAACCTCGTCTCTACAAAAAAATACAAAAATCAGCCAGACATAGTGGCATGCACCTGTAGTCCCAGCTACTTGGGAGGCTGAGGTGAGAGACTGCTTGAGTCCGGGAGTTCGTGAGTGCAATGAGCCATGATCATGCCACTGCACTCTAGCCTGGACAACAGAGACCTTGTCTTAAAAAGAAAGAAATAAAAGTATACATTTATACAAAGATTTATACACAAATATTCACATCAGCTTTATTTTTAATAACCAAAAATGAGGTTGGGCTCAGTGGTTCATGCCTGTAATCCCAGCACTTTGGGAGGCCGAGGCAGGCGGCTCACGAGGTCAAGAGATCAAGACCATCCTGGCCAACATGGTGAAACCCTGTCTCTACTAAAAATACAAAAATTAGCTAGGCGTGGTGGCACGTGCCTGTAGTCCCAGCTACTTGGGAGGCTGAAGCAGGAGAATTGCTTGAAACCAGGAGGTGGAGGTTGCAATGAGCCAAGATCACGCCACTGCACTCCAGTCTGGCGGTAGAGCGAGACTCCATCTCAAAAAAAAAAAAAAAAAACCAAAAACTAGAAGCAACCCAAATGTCCATTAGTAGATAATTAGGTAAATTATGATGCCACATAACTGAATATTACCTTAGTAATTAAAAAGAATGGGGGCCGGGCACAGTGGCTCACATCTGTAATCCCAGCACTTTGGGAGGCCGAGGTGGGCAGATTAGGAGGTAAGGAGATTGAGACCATCCTGGCCAACATGGTGAAACCTCGCCTCTACTAAAAACACAAAAAAGTAGCCGGGCGTGGTGGTGCGTACCTGTAGTCCCAGCTACTCAGGAGGCTGAGGCAGGAGAATCACTTGAACCTGGTAGGCAGAGGCTGCAGTGGGCCAAGATTGCACCACTGCACTCCAGCCTGGGCAACAGAGCAAAACTTTGTCTCAAAAAAATAATAATAATTTTTTAAAGTCAGCCAGGCATGGTGGTGCATGCCTGTAGTTCCCGCTACTCAGGAGGCTGAGGCAGGAGGATCACTTGAGCCTGGGAGGTCGAGGCTGCAATGAGCCATGATCCCGCCACTGCACTGCGGCCTGGATGACAAAGTGAGACCCTGTCGCAAAGAAAGAAAGGAAAGAAAGGAGAGAGAGAGAGAGAGAGAGAGAGAGAAAGCAAGGAAGGAAGGAGGGAGGGAGTCAGTGAGTGAGTGAGTTAGTTTTCAGTTTACTATAAATTTAGTGGTGGGCACAGTAGCTTGTGCTTGGGACACTGAAACAGAAGGATGGCTTGAAGTCAGGAGTTTGAGACCAGCCTGAGCAGTAGAGTGAGACCCCCGTCTCTATGTAAGTCTGGCATGGTGGTAAGCACCTGTAGTGCGTGGTAGTCAAGAGGCTGAAATGAGAGGATTGCTAGTGCTCAGGAGTTCAAGGGTATAGTGAGCTATATGATCACACCACTGTACTCCAGCCTAGGTAAGACCAGCCTAGGCAAGACCTCAGTCTCTAAAAAATTAAAATAAAATAAATAAGTAAAATTTAACATGCACTTACCCTATGAACCAGCAATTCTACTTTTTACTATGTGACCCAGTATTTACCCAGGATAAAAGAAAACATGAATGTTTATAGATGCTTTATTCTTAACAGTCTAAATCTGGAAATAACCCAAATGCTCATCAACAGGAAGCAAATTTTGGTGTTTCCATATAATAAAATACTGATTGGGAATAAAAAAAGAAAAACTGGGCCAGGCGTGGTGGCTCACGCCTGTGATCCCAGCACTTTGGGAGGCTAACGCAGGTGGATCACGAGGTCGGGAGTTTGAGACCAGCCTGACCAGCATGATGAAACCCCGTCTCTACTAAAAATACAAAAATCAGCCAGGCGTGGTGGTGCATGCCTGTAATCCCAGCTACTTAGGAGGCTGAGGCAGGAGAATCGCTTGAACCCAGGAGGCGGAGGTTGCAGTGAGCCGAGATCATGCCACCGCACTCTGGCCTGGGCAACAGACTGAGACTCTGTCTCAAAAAAAAGAAAAAGAAAAAGAGAAACCATGGATATAATCAAGAACATGGAAGAATTACAAAACTAAATACTGAGCAAAAGAAAGTAAATATATAAAAGAAGCACATGATGTACTGATTCCATTTACATGAAATTCTAGAAAAAGCAAAACTTATCTAGAGTGACATAAAATAGATCAGAAATTGCATAGGGACAGTGGTGGAGGCGAGGGAGACTACAAAGGAACATGAAGAAATTTGGGGGTGATGGAAATGTTCTAATTCCTAATTATGGTGGTGGTTATACAGGTGCACATATCTATCAAAACTCAAACTGCAGGCTGGGCGCGGTGGCTCACGCCTGTTAATCCCAGCACTTTGGGAGGCAAAGGCAAGTGGATAACCTGAGGTCAGGAGTTCGAGACCAGCCTGGTCAACATGGTGAAACCCTGTCTCCACTAAAAATACAAAAAATTAGCCAGGCGTGGTGGCGTGTGCCTGTAATCTCAGCTACTCAAGAAGATGAGGCAGGAAAATCGCTTGAACCCAGGAGGCGGAGGTTGCAGTGAGTCGAGATCGCACCAGGTGACACAGCAAGACTCCATCTCAAAACAAACTAACAAAAAACAAAACTCAAACTGCACATTAAATAACAGTGCATTGGCCAGGTGCGTTGGCTCACACCTGTAATCCTAGCACTTTGGGAGGCCAAGGCGGGTGGATCACCTGACGTCAGGAGTTCAGACCAGCCTGGCCAACATGGTGAAACCCTGTCTCTACTAAAAATACAAAAATCAGCTGGGCGTGGTGGCGGGCACCTGTAGTCCCAGCTACTCGGGAGGCTGAGACAGGAGAATCGCTTGAACCCAAGAGGCAGAGGTTGCAGTGAGCCAAGATCACACCATTGCACTCCAGCCTGGGTGACAAAGGGAGACTCCATCTCAGAAAAATAAATAAATAAATAAATAAATAAATAAATACCGGTGCATTTTGTATATGTAAACAAAGATATAAAAGGTAAGAGTGATATGGCACACATATAGACAGAAAATTTTTAAATCTACCTGACATCATTCACAAAGGTAAACATAAAAAATAAAACTAAAAACCACATTAAAATAAAAATAAGAGGGTATGTTTATGATCCTAGAGAAAGAAAAGTCTTCTTTAACAAGACATTAAAAGCAAAAACTATAAAGGAAGAGAAAGATATATTTTATTCATCAAAAATTAAAAACTTTAGACAATAAAAAGACAAGAATCTAACTGGTAGATAAATTTTCAGCATGTATAAGAAATTATTAGAATCCACAATTCAAACAAAACAACACAAAACAAAAAAGGAAGACCACCTAAAACTCAATAGGTAAAAAATGCAACCCAAAGGACAGTGAGAATAAGCAAATTTACCCACAAAGAAACCAAATGGATAACAAATATGTAAAGATGATGAACCTCACTAGCAATCAAGCAAATGGAATGCCATTTTTACTCAAAACACTGCTGTTTAATAATATCAAATGGTGGTGTGCATGTGTGAAACAACAGGTAATACAAGTGGGAATACTGGCTGGTACAAATCCTGTAATAGAACTATGGAAGGAATTTGTGAGTGTATGTATTAAATATATACTCTCAACACTCAGCAATTCTACTTTTTGCTTTCTACCCTAAAGAAAATCACATGCACACAGAAGGCACCAACAAAGATACCAACTGAAGAAACATTTATAGAAATGAAAACTTGCTATCAGCTTAAATACCAAAGAGAAATGGCTAAATAAACTAGGATATATTAACACTAAAGATGCAATAAAAAGAAACGAAATACCTCTACATGCAGTAACATGGACAGGTCCCCAAGACCTACTGCTGACTGATGAAAGATACAGAACAATATATTTGCGTAGAAATAAATAAGAAAATGCTTACATGTAATGATTATATATGTATTACATGAATATAAAAAAGACTTGCAAAGGTACTTAGGAAAGGAGCTCTGTTGGGATGAAGGGGACGGAATTGGGGAAAGGCTATTATTAGGGGGACTGGTAAAACTTTCACAAGGAGAATGTATTTCTGTATTATTTGTTTTAAGTGTAAATTAATACTGTTAAGTATAAGTTTAAAAAAAAGTCAATCTGCTGATTTTAAACAACCTTGGAACTGTTATCTGAGGAACCTCTTTCCACGGGACAAGTATGGTTGCTATGTCTTATGGAAACAGGTTCTTAAAACAACAGTTTGAGAAGCCCTTACCACCTCTGGCCTACAATACCATAATAGTCTGCAATAAATACCACTGTCTTTTTTTTTTTTTTTTAAGATAGAATTTTGCTCTGTTTCCCAGGCTGGCGTGCTGTGGTGCAATCACAGCTCACTGCAGCCTTGACCTCCCAGGCTCAAGTGATCCTCCCATCTCAGCCTCCCGAGTAACTGGGACCACGGGCCTGTGCCACTATGCCAAGCTTTTTTTTTTTTTTTTTTTTTTTTTTCCTTCCAATTTTTGGTAGAGACAGGGTCTTGCTATGTTGACCAGGCTGGTCGCAAACTCCTGGCCTCAAGAGAGTCTCTTGGCTCAGCCTTCCAAAGTGCTGGGATTACAGGAGTGAGCCACCGTGTCCGGCTGTATTAATGTCTTTTAAATCTCTCTCGCATATTGCCTTCAAAGCTTTCTTAATACCTCTTGATCCAAGATGCTCTCAGTTCCATTACCCTGCTAATTATCTTCATAACAGTTGTCACTATCTGAATTTATCTATTTATTCACTTATTTACTGTCTGTCTCCCACTAGAATAGGAATGGCAAGACAATTTTTAATCCATATGATTTTAGTCAAGCCATTTAGAGTTTTCTTACATTATGAAAGATACATTTTATTTACTTACCTTAGTTGGAAAAGGAAATTTGGAAGGTTCTGTTTTGCATGGTGTATGAATAGCCGTTAGAGGGGGAGGCCATGAATGCGTCATCTCCTGAAATGTAATTATTACAGTTTGTTTTCAACCAGGTCAAGGATAAAAATTATACAGCTAAAAACCAGATTTGTATTTATAAATACTGGTTTCATGACAGCTCCTCCAAAATTCTACATACTTAGTCAATAAATATTAAGCACAATTGTGTGCTAGGCACTATGGTGTAGGTAATAAGAAGATTAATAAATGCTCCCTGGCTTTGAGGAGTTTACAATTCAAATTATGAAACCTGTGAATAGTTACAGAAATCAGCCTGTAATCAAATACAAGGCACATAATAAAACGCTAATCAGGAAGAGCTTGCTAGGAGAGTGGGAGGAAGGGACAATGATAAGGAAAACAGCTAACATTTACTGTGTACCTTGAATGGGCCAGACACTGTGCTAAGTGTTTTACATGTTTATTACTCATTTAGTACTCACAATGACATTATGAGGTAGATACCATTATTATCCTACCTCTATTTAGGATGAAACTGAAGCACAAAAGTTATTTATTCAAGGCCATACACTTAGTAAATAATGAACATTATATTTCATCCTCAAAAGTCTGGCTATAGAGCCTATATATACTCGTAGAAAAATTTTGTCAGGGGAAGAAATCAGAAGAGAAATTTCAAAAGCACATGAGGAGGAAAACAGAAAAGCAAGACCCTAAGTTTGATTTCATTCAATGCCTTCTGCCTAATCTTAATGCCAAATATGTCTGGGTGAGGTCTGGTAAGATTACAATGTGTATGTTAGATAAGCCAAGGAGACAGAAGTATCAGAATAAGGAGAGAGTATATTATTTCTGGCATTTAGTTCAAAGTAAGCCATCAGGTAAATTAAGGAAATGCAACAAATTAACAGTGGTGTAACACCTAGGAATTTATCCCATAGCAATATCCACACAGTTTTGTAAAGATATACGTATAAGGGGCTCACACTTCAAAAACTGAAACAACCTAGGTAGTCAATGTGAAAGTTGTGAGAATCAAAATGGAGTCACTAATGTTTATATATTTAAAAAAAAACAAAAAAACAAACAAAAAAAAACCCAAAACACCCTGAGCTGGGAAAGACCATGAAGAAAGGCTTCTCATGCTTGTATGCCTGATAAACAAAAAAATCTACAAAAACCACAACCTTGCACAAAGGTCATCAAAACCTTAAACCAAAAAAATATTTCCACAAGGACATCTGTCCAGCTTGTCCGACCTCAGACTGGTGTCATCCTTACTAGTGATCTTTGTAGCCAAGGATAATTATTTCAAAAACAATTATGTAATCTTCCTCATTTTTTCCTTCAAAAACCTTTGTCTCTCTTTACCTCTTTGAATATGACCATAGACTACTATGGCACATGTATTTCCACTGCAATGCTCTATTCCCATCATCTTTTCTTTCAGAGAGCCTCTGTTATTTAGGTTGACACCAACACAGTACTGATTAAATAAATTACCAGACATCTATAAAATAGAACACCAGACATTAAAATGAGAAATTTAACTGTTGATATGTAATGATGTCCACAGTATTTTATTAAGTGACAAAGACAAATCAGTCTACGTCCTAGTTAATGTTTAGCTTTGGGCAACAGAATGACAGAAGGAAGAGACAAGGGCACTTGATATATTACTACTTGAACCTCTTAAAACAGCCACCTGCACATAATTGCTCTTTATTCCCTTAAAATGCTTTGATTTTTAATAGAATTTCACTTCCTGAAATAATATTATGTAATAGATTGCTTCCTACATCCAGCTCTAGAATATCAGCTCAAAGGCATAACATTATGACCACTGTATTCCCAGTGGTTGACACAAAGTAGGTGCTTAATGAGCATGCCTTGAATAAATCATTTTTTCAATAAATATACATTTAGAGTGAATTTTTTTTTAAGTTCATGATGGGGTTCCTAAAAATGATATGACTACAAATACAAAGAAAACATGAAGGGAACACACACCTGAAGTTCCTTGCATACTACAGACAGGAAAGGGAAAAGGAAACAAAAATTCATAAACTCAGGTTTTTAACATTGGCATTTTATATCTCAAATATCAAAACTCTCAACTGAAAATTTGATTTAATTCTCCAATTATCATCGAATGACTGAGCACCTATTAACTAAAGGCCAAGTGCCAAGCCCCTGCACATATAAAATATGGATGTCAATAACATTAAAGAGATCATTAAATGTAAGAAAATCTTCCACATACTAATAATTCTATGAACTGTTGAGGATTCAGAGGAAAATATTTATGCTCCCTTACACTTTTTATATACATGGCAACTAAGAAATGAATGAGATTCAAATGAAAGAGCTATCACTGTGGTCTCACAATCTGATACGGGGGAAGAAGTATTTCATTGGGATTACAGGGAAAAAAAATCTATATATAACTGAAGAGGGAGGAGAAATACATTCCAAGCTTACTTTATTTAAGGAGGTAAAAGAGAAAGAATGTATGTGGCTTAGGGAAACCAGTTTAGCAAAAGCGGTCAGTCAGTAATGAGAGAGGTTAGGATTGGCCTGCGGATATTAAATTTGGATACTATTCTTTCTATAATCTTAGAGAGCCACTGAAAATTTTTAGGGAAAAATTAATTTATGAAGACCACAGGGCCTGAAGTAAAGAATCAGGTAGCAATGCAAAAGACATATGAGTAGGGAGATTCTGGAGGCAGAAAGGCTGAATGAGGCCTCTGTTATAATTACTGAAGCTCAAGGCGGCAGAAACGGGAAGAAAGGAATGGATATTTAAAAAGCAAAAATTTTAAAGTCTACATCTAGTTTTGCAACTACATAGAACATGAGGAAGAAATTAGAGATATTTAGGATTCTACAGTTACAAGCATGGGAAAACGGTGTACTACTAATCCAAGGAAGTCTGATAAGTATGGCTTTAGACATGTTGAGTCTGAAGAGGCAAAGAGAAATAAATCCAAATGGAAACTCAGCTAAGAAGCAATTAAGAGACAAACCAAAACCCAAAGGCCAGTGTAGGACAGAAAGACTAAATAGCTGTCTAAGAGATAAAGCCAAGAATGGTGGAAAAGGCAAGTCAAAGAGCAGAGGCTAGAAGAATGCACCTGCACTTAAGAAACAAGAGAAGGCACAAGGGTTCCAAAAAGGGCAAAGAAAGAGAGGCAAGAAAGGTGGAAGGCAAATAAAAACAATGAAGCATAAAAACAGTCAAGGAAAGAAGAATGTTTGCAGAAGGAAAAAATACATAGCAGAAAGAATAAAAAAGAACTCAAATGATGCCTCTGGATGGAGGGAGAAAGATAATGACCATAGAGAAACAGGTTCAGCAAAATGGCAGAGGTAAAAGGGAGATTATAGTGGGCTAAAGGAAGGAATGGGAAAGAAAAGAGTGGAAGCAACCAATGCAGGTAGTCTTTCAAAGGTGTTCACAGTGAATTTAAGTATAGACACAAATTCAGGAGCTCACAAAAAAAAATAAAAAAGAAAATACAAGTAATATGTGACTGACAGTTTTCTCTACTAAGCAAAAAGTAGTCATTGTCATTCACTAATTCACTGGACTTTCTCTTTTTCCAATAGAGTAATGTACTTTTTGGTCATGTGTCAATTTTAAACATGTGTCATTAAATACCCAAAATGTTGGCTGGGCGTGGTGGCTCATACCTATAATCCCAGCACTTTGGGAGGCCAAGGCAGGCAGACAGGAGTTCCAGACCAGCCTGGCCAACATGGTGAAACCCTATCTCTACTAAAAAAAAAAAAAAAAAAAAAAAATTAGCCAGGCATGGTGGCAGATGCCTATAATCCCAGCTACTCAGGAGGCTGAGGCAGAAGAATCACTTGAACCTGCGAGGCGGAGGTTGCAGTGAGCTGAGATCACGCCACTGCACTCCAACCTGGGTGACAGAGTAAAACTCTGGCTCAAAAAAAAAAAAAAAAATGTGTAAAGCAGCCGGGTGCAGTGGCTCAGGCTATAATCCCAGCACTTTGGGAGGCCGGGCAGGAGGATGGGGGAGTGGGGAGTAACTGGAGGTCAGAAGTTCAAGACCAGCCCGGACAAAGTGGTGAAACCCCATCTCTACTAAAAATACAAAAATTAGCTGGACATGGTGGTGGGCACCTGTAATCCCAGCTACTCAGGAGGCTGAGGCACAAGAATTGCTTGAACCCAGGAGACAGAGGTAGCAGTGAGCCTAGATAATGCCACTGTACTCCAGACTGGGTAACAGAGTGAGACTCCATATCAAGAAAAAATAAATGTGCAAAACTGGAAGGAAATCTATTACTGTAAGATTTGACCAGTATGTACAAGATGAACCAAAGCAAGGTATTTTGATCATAATGGTTTGACTGATAACTACTGAGTTTTTTGCACTTCAAATTATTAACAGTTAAGCATGAGAAAGTACAGTTATAATTGGCTTGTTAATGTTTTCCAGGCAAAGTAAGTGTTAAGATTAAAATTTATTTTACTTAAAAGCAAAGAACGCGGCCAGGCGCGGTGACTCACACCTGTAATCCCAGCACTCTGGGAGGCCGAAGCAGGTGGATCACCTGAGGTCAGGAGTTCCAGGCCAGCCTGGCCACCCCAACTCCGCAAAAATACAAAAATCAGCCGGGCATGATGGCGGGAGCCTGTAATCCCACCTACTCAGGAGGCTAAGGTTAAAGAATTGCTTGAACCTGGGAGGTGGAGGTTGCAGTGAGCCAAGATCGCGCCACTGCACTCCAGGCTGGGCGACAGAGTGAGACTTCATCTCAAAAAACAAACAAACAACAACAACAAAAAAAAACACAAAGAACAAAACTAGCTCTCTGAAGGCAAATGGTAAACAAAGAAGAGAGTAAATTATTTATGATGGACATAATCAAGTTACAAATATAAGCAATCTGTTGCTTCAGATCCTTTGTGAAATACAGGTAGAAAGAGGGTAAGAAGGTGGCAGAGCATAAAAAATTAAAGAAATTGAAATGATTTTTTTTAAAAAACTTACTTTTAGGATTTCATCCACACAGCTCACATCACCAGAAGCTGATGCCTTGAAAGAAAAAGCAGCACACATTAGATTTTTATCAGTAGATTTTTAGTATTTGCTTCACAGATTTAAAAACATTATTAAAAGTATTTATGACCCCACTACTCTAAATCAGTACACTGGTTAGAATCTTTGGATTAATTTCCTTAAATATAAATTTTTCAAGCACCAGAAAATTTTAATCACCAAACTATACAAAGCTGGGGGAACTTTATAGTTTTCAAAGGTTTTAAGTTTTTTATCCTATATTTTAGATTAGAAATAATTTTTAGAATGTAATTTTTCAGGTGTGCAGCTTGTCTAAAAATTTAATCTTACCTATATATAAAACATATCATGATACTGAGATACATCATTTCACATAAACAAAGTTAACCCATTTATGCCAGAGGCTGCAAATTTTTTGTGTGAAAAATCGTACCTTAGCGATGACCTTGAGCAGTAGGACGTAAGTAACTCCTACGAGCTTAGCATTCCAATAATGGAACACCAAGCATAAATGGGTTAAACAAGTATTACTGAAAGATTACTAGTCTGGAACATGGACATTTTACATAGTCTTTCTAAGTCACAAAAACCAAATTGCTTATTCTAAGGCACAAACAGGAATTAGAGAGCCGAACTCAAGTCAAACTCTAAAGATCATGTTGTTTAAGGAAAGAACAAATTACCATTTTACTGTTCTCTTGAGAGGAGTAATCAGATAACAAATGCCACTCAAAATGAGTTTCCCAAGGCCACTGGAAAGATGTTTTAAATGTTTGCAAAACAGCATTTTACATTACGCAGATTCTTCCTTCCACCATTTTGAGCTAAGAGTTGTAATTTTTTGGCTACTGACGTCACTTTCCAAATTTTTTTTTATTGCACAAACTACATTAAAAGATAAAATTTGGGGCCAGGCGCGGTGGCTCACGCCTGTAATCCCAGCACTTTGCGAGGCCGAGGCGGGCGGATCACGTGAGGTCAGGAGTTCAAGACCAGCCTGACCAACATGGTGAAACCCCATCTCTACTAAAAATACAAAATTAGCCGGGCATGGTGGCACATGCCTGTAATCCCAGCTACTCGGGAGGCTGAGGCAGGAGAATCGCTTGAACCTGGGAGGTAGAGGTTGCAGTGAGCCGAAATCGTGCCGTTGCACTCTAGCATGGGCAACAAGAGCGAAACTCCAACTCAAAAAAAAAAAAAGAGAGAGATAAAATTTGGGCCAGGCATGATGGTCATGTCTGTAACCTTAGCACTTTGAAGGCCAAGATGAGAGGATCGCTTGAGGCCAGGAGTTCCAGACCAGCCTGGGCAACATTATGAGACACCCATCTTGAAAAAAAAAGATATAATTTCAGCTATTTCACAATGAAATGTTCCAAAATGCTTTGGTAAGCAATTCAATTTAAATTTCAAACCATCACTATGAACCTGGAGCAGCTGTCTTAATCCTTTAAGTATAACCAGAGAAAAGGATCATAGCATTCAAAGTATACAATATTACTATTTCCACAGACCCAAAAGTCCCATTTATCATAACCATAAACCATCACCTGCATCTCATTCATTAGTATCAATCTAAGCATAGAAAAGTTAATTTTGTTTTTAAACAACAACAAAGGTATATTGTTCTATAAAATCAAAATGCAGAAATCTAAGATATCAATTAGTCATTCTTTTATTCTATAACTGACTTGTCATCTAAGTATTTGAAAACTGTGAATGACATTTTCTCCATTTCCCAAGAGGACGAGTTAACAGATCTACGCATCCACTTGGGAGTAACTCACAAGTCTGTCTTTACATTTTTTTCATCTTTCAACTTTTACATTCCTTACTATTAAGGCAAGGAAGCAGTGTTCAAGTTCAATCGTAATTTCATGATCAGTCAATTGCTTCACGTAGTCACAATGTTAAAAGCTCTAAATGTGTGACTTACATCCAGTGGTTGGGAAGGTATTTTCAGCTTGGTGAGATGTGCTTTGCTGCTGGGCTTCAGCTCAGTCATGCTGTTGCCATGGGATTGGCTGCTGTAGTGCTCAGAGGACAGCTTTGGTTCCATGGACTCCTGTCCGTCCATGGGCCGCACATAGGCAGTGGGTTTCTGTAACATTGAATTGGACTTTGACATCAATGAGGGTGGGAAAGATTGAGTTGAGTGCTGCCCACTTGAAAAAGGTACACGGGAAGGAGAATCCCAGTTTGCATCAGGGTCCCGAGGTGATTTGGAGCGTTGATGTTCCTTGCTATGGTGATCATTCCCATGAGACCTGGAATGACTAGAGTTTAATGAAGAAACAGCCTGGGGTTTTCCAGGGCTGGAAGAACGTGATTTGGAGTGTTCTGATCCATGCTGGCCTTTTTTCCGGCTACTGCTCCCACTATTGTTATATGACTCACGGTCGTGCCTCTGACCACTACTGTTAGTGCCACTACTGCTACCTGCGCTGGTCCGCTGGCTACTATGTCCACTCTGTAAGCCTGAGGACCGTTTCTGAGACTGAGAAGTGCTGGGTGCGGGTCCTACTGGAGTCCATTTGCTACTCTGATGAGAGCCTCCATGTCTCTGTTCAAAGAAATTTGGGTTAGATTTTTCATCTGCTGATGGTGGTACTGTAGGCTTGGGAATTGCAACAAGCTTTGGTATAGATCTGTCTCCTATGAAATCCTTCATTTCATCGTAGTTTCCAAGCATACTCTGAATACGACTTGATAACTTATCTTCTTTGCTAGTCTACAAAAAAATAAAATAAAATAAAATTATAAAATGAGCATAATCAGAAATAAAATATAATTCTGAACTAATTTTCCAAACTTCGAATGGAAAGGGGCTTTTCAAAGGGAGGCTTTACCTCATATCTTAACGTTAATACCTTGAAGCAAACTCCAAATATATCATTTCTGTAGTGAAAAAAAAAATCATTGAAAAGTGCCTAAAAATAACCATAGTAAAATATAATCCGAGCACAGTGGCACGTGCCTGTACTCCCAGCTACTCTGGGCAGCTGAGGCAGGTTTGCTCAATTCCAAGATTTTGAGGCTCCAGTGCACTATGATTTCACCTGTGAAGAGCAACTGCACTCCAGCATGGGTAACATAGCAAGACTGTCTTTTAAATACACAAAGTATTTTGAAAGGCCAGGTGCAGTGGCTCACACCTGTAATCCCAGCACTTTGGGAGGCCAAGACGGACAGATCACCTGATGTCAGGAGTTCCAGACCAGCCTGGCCAACATGGTGAAAACCCATTTCTAGCAAAAATACAAACGTTAGCCGGGTGTGGCCAGACATGGTGGCTCACACCTATAATTCCAGCACTTTGGGAGGCCAAGGTGGGCGGATCACCTGACATCAGGAGTTGGAGACCAGCCTGGCCAACATGGTGAAACCCCGTTTCTATTAAAAATACAAAAATAAGCTAGGCGTGGTGGCGGGTGTCTGTAATCCCAGCTACTCAGGAGGCTGAGGCAGGAGAATCGCTTGAACCCGGGAAGCAGAGGTTGCAGTGAGCAGAGATTGCGTCATTGCACTCCAGTAAGACTCCATCTCCGAAAAAAAAAAAAAAACTAGCCCGGCAAGGTGGTGCACGCCTGTAATCCCAGCTACTCGAGAGGCTGAGGCAGGAGAATCACTTGAACCCAGAAGTCAGTGGTGGCAATGAGCCGAGATCATGACATGGCACTCCAGCCTAGACGAAAGAACAAGATTCCTTCTCATAAAAAAAAAAAAAAACTTTTGAAGAACAGAAAAGTAATCTGCCTTTATAAAATTAAGTTCCAGCTGGGCACAGTGGCTCAGGCCTGTAATCCCAGCACTTTGGGAGGCTGAGGCGGGCGGATCATGAGGTCAAGAGATCGAGACCATCCTGGCTAACATGGTGAAACCCTGTCTCTACTAAAAATACAAAAAATTAGCCGGGCATGGTGGCAGGCGCCTGTAGTCCCAGCTACTCTGGAGGCTTAGGCAGGAGAATGGCGTGAACCCGGGAGGCGGAGCTTGCAGTGAGCCCAGATCGCGCCACTGCACTCCAACCTGGGCGACAGAGCAAGACTCCGTCTCAAAAAAAAAAAAAAAAAAAAAAAAAAATTAACTTCCACAGTCCAGCAGATTAGCTAACATTCGTATTTTGGCAGTTTATGAAAATATTATATTCCTCATAACTCAATGTTATAGTTAGAAGCAGAAACAAAAATTTAATGAAAAAAGTGATACCCAAATGACTGTCTATAACAACAGAAAAAGAAATCAGACTGATACTGAAGACACATTTATTCAAACATACTAATAATCTCTGAAACTTTGTAAACTAAGTAGCAAATGGCAGTGAGAAGAAACAAAAGCATCTATGAAATATTCATTTTTTATTGATATCACACTTAAAGAACACCTAGGAAAAATCAAACAATGCAAATTGAGTTACAAAATTCTAATTTAATTCAAAATTCAGAATGGTGAAGTACCCGCCGATGGTTAGTAGCACAACTAGGAAAATAGAGGTAAATGTATGAGCCAACTCAGACCACATTTTTAAGAACACAGGACAGCAATAGGAGGTGGGTTGGAAAACGACTTTTAGGGTGCTGGTAATGCTCTATTTCTTGATCTGAGTTGTATGAAGCTGTTGATGCTGTGAAAATTCTTCAAGCCATAATACCTATGTTGTGTATTTTTCTGTAAGCATAATATACTCCAAAGAAAAGTTTATCCCCAAAAAATATCTTCTATGTAAAGGACAGGAAAAAAATGTTAAGTGGTATTCATAGTAATTCTTTTCTAATATAAACATTCAAGTGTGAAACATTTTAAAAGCAAAAATGTCATGCTAATGGGAAAAAAACATTCACAGAAGGGCAACTTACAACTTTGTATGGCTCTGCAAAGAGAGGAGAGCTAGGTGGGAAGGCGTCTTCGCCCTGCTGAATTTCCTGATTCCGCCTTTCCCGTTCTTTCATACGCAGCACATTCCGGTCTTCACGGTTCATGTTGCTATGAAAAGAAACACAATCTTTGTATCACAGAAATAAAAGGAAAAATTAAATATTCTGTACAGATTTTGTCAGCTTAACACTTCAATCACAGATTCCCTTTTGACCTCCAAGTAATAACAGGCATTAGTGCTGAAGCTGGGTTTTGGTAATGGTTTTATCAACAAATACCAATAGTGTCTTCCACAACTATTCCAAGGAAACACTAGCCCAGAATATTAGAACCCACCCCAACAAAACACTTAACCTTATCAATGTTTGAAGTACTCTGTTAGCTAAAAGCAAAAACTTGTACATTCAGAGGGAACGTAGTATTTGAACACAAATCCTCAGTATTTCCTTTTGGGCCCTCCTCTTCAGAAATCTGCCTATTCTTTGCCCTTAGAAGCATATAACCCACTCCCAACTACCACCCTTCCCCCCAGGGTCCAGTTCTTTTCTCTACTTTGCATCTACCTTATCTTGATTTCTTTTTGTCCCAAACACAGCTTCCTTGGTGTCCATCCTTACGGTAGTTTGACCTCAGCTTTGCTGTTGCTCTAGATTCCCTAAAAAACGACATTTCTGCTCTAAATATATTAATATTTCAATTAACACCTCAATAAATGGCAAAACCCAGGTTTTCAGTGATAGAATCAAAAATTAACTTGGATTAGTAACAGCAACTAAACTTGTATTGAAAAAGGAAGTCTTTGGAGTGAGGGGAAAATGGAAGTCCCATCTCTATAATCAGGACAGTTTGTCTTATTTTCACTAGAACAAACCAAGAGAAATACAGCCAATTTATAGCAGCAAGGATTTTGATTAAACAGACAATGGTAGTAAAGGCTGGCAAACTCTGGCACTAGGGATTACCAGGGAATCTGCAACACTCTTCCCTGGAGACAGATTAAATAATCAGACCTGGTTTTGTTTTTTTTTTTAAAAAAAAAGGCTCACTGGAGCCCAGAAAGAAACAATCAGGTTATATGTGTGGAGCATTTCTGGCCTATAATTCATAAATCAAATCAGAAAATTAAAGTTCATCAGAAACTATAATTATAAAATTAGAATTAGTAACAAAGCAGTATTATACTCTTTTTTTTTTTTTTGAAACAGAGTCTTGCTCTATCATCCAGGCTGGAGTGCGGTGGTGCGATCTCCCAGCTCACCACAACCTATGCCTCCCGGGTTCAAGCGATTCTCCTACCTCAGCCTCCTGAGTAGCTGGGATTACAGGTGCATGCCAATGGCTGGCTAATTTTTTTATTTTTAGTAGAGACAGGATTTCACCATGTTGGCCAGGCCAGGCTGGACTCCTGACCTCAAGTGATCCTCCCACCTTGGCCTCCCAAAGTGCTGGGATTACAGGCATGAGAGCAACCAAGTACTTTTGAGGACTTTAATCAGTGGTTAGAACTAGTGAAAGCAAACATTTAAAATTAAAACCTCCTGATTTGCATACTAAGTGTCATGCAATAAAAGCAATTTAACGGCCTGAGCGGCTCACGCCTGTAAACCCAGCACTTTGGGAGGCCGAGGTGGGCAGATCACAAGGTCAGGAGATCGAGACCATCCTGGCTAACACGGTGAAACCCCGTCTCTACTAAAAATACAAAAAATTAGCCAGGTGCAGTGGCAGGCGCCTGTAGTCCCGGCTACTCAGGAGGCTGAGGCAGGAGAATGGCGTGAACCCGGGAGGCAGAGATTGCAGTGAGCTGAGATGGCACCACTGCACTCCAGCCTGGGCGACAGAGAGAGACTCATCTCAAAAAAAAAAAAAAAAAAAAAAGGCAATTTAATGTTTAGAAAAAAAAAAAAAAAAGGGACCCGAGGTGGGAGGATCGCTTGACCTGCCTAGCCAACATGACAAAACTGCATCTCTACTAAAAATAAAATTTAGCCAGGTGTGGTGGTGGACACCTGTAATAGCTTCTCGGGAGGCTCAAGCAAGAGAATCACTTGAATCCAGGAGGCAGAGGTTGCAGTGAGCCATGATTGTGCCACTGATCTCCAGCCTGGGAGACAGAACGAGACCCTTTCTCAAAAAAAAAAAAAAAAGAATGTTCTAAGTGTTTCAGATATGTTTTCAAATTGTTTTGTATGTATACAATTTTCTAATAAGCTTAATGTATACAATTTTCTAATAAGCTTAAACAGGATTTCTTTGGTTTCGCTAATACTTAGCACTCTATAGAACTCTATTTCAATCTTTAAAGAATACCACAAAACTTAAGTATTCATAAAACAAAACCAAAGAACATATTATACTCCATCACATTTGAACCAAGTAATAGTTTTATATCACTAACAACCAGGCTTCAAATAGGCCTCTTGGGCTATGGTTCTGCCAACATACAAAGTTATTTATACCTGAGAGACTAAGGAATATGTTAACTACCAGTTTCCTTAAATTTAAATCCTGAAAGATCTGCAACTTCTTTTTTCTTTTTTTTGAGACGAAGTCTCGCTCTTGTCCCCCAGGTTGAAGTGCGATGGCACGATCTCGGCTCACTGCAACCTCCACCACCCAGGTTCAATTGATTCTCCTGCCTCAGCCTCCTGAGTAGCTGGGATTACAGGCACCTGCCACCACGCCCGGCTAATTTTTGTATTTTTAGTAGCGATGGGGTTTCACCGAGTTGGCCAAACTCCTGGTCTCAAACTCCAGACATCAGGTGATCTGCCTGCCTTGGCCTCTCAAAGTGCTGGGATTACAGGCATGAGCCTGAACTTTGGCTTAAGGCCAGGAGCGGTGGCTTACAACTGTAATCCCAGCACTTTGAGAGGCCAAGGCGGGCGGATCACTGGAGGTAAGGAGTTCAAGACCAGCCTGGCCAATGCAGTGAAACCCCATCTCTACTACAAAATACAAAAAAGTAGCCTGCCGTGGTAGCAGGTGCCTATAATCCCAGCTACTCAGGAGGCTGAGGCAGGAGAACTGCATGAACCTGGGAGGCGGAGGTTGCAGTGAGTCAAGATCGCACCACTGGACTCCAGCCTGGGTGACAAGAGCAAGACTCCATCTCAAAAAAATAAAAATAAAGGCCGGGTGCGGTGGCTCACGCCTGTAATCCTAGCAATTTGGGTGGCGGAGGCGGGCAGATCACAAGGTCAGGAGATTGAGATATCCTGGCTAACACAGTGAAACCCCATCTCTACTAAAAATATAAAAAGAAATTATCCGGGCGTGGCGGTGGGCGCCTGAAGTCCCAGCTACTCGGGAGGCTGAGGCAGGAGAATGGCGTGAACCCGGGAGGCGGAGCTTGCAGTGAGTCGAGATCGCACCACTGCACTCCAGCCTGGGCGACAGAGGGAGACTCCGTCTCAAAAAAAAATAAAAATAAAAACAAAAAATAAAGTATGATTTTATTTTATAGATTGAGCAGCACTGAAATAATCATTCAAGAAGTATTTCTATATCTCTTGTAAAAATAGGTGATTCCTATAATAAAATTCTTTCTGTAATTCAATGTCAAAGAAACTGGTTTTTTAAACAATCAAAGTCACACAAGTGAACACTTATAAGGCTACCAGGAAGCTAAGAACTAAATTAACTCACTGTAATAATTAGGTCGGGTGCTGTGGCTCACTCCTGTAATCCCAGCACTTTGGGAGGCCGAGGCAGGCGGATGACCTGAGGTCAAGAATTCAAGACCAGCCTGGCCAACACGGTGAAACCCCATCTCCACCAAAAATACAAAAATTAGCCAGGCATGGTGGCAGGTGCCTGTAATCCCAGCTACTCAGGAGGCTGATGCAGGAGAAAAGCTTGAACTCAGGAGGCGGAGGTTGCAGTGAGCTGAGATTGCATCACTGAACTCCAGCCTGGGTGACAAAACGAAACTACATCTCAAAAAAAAAAAAGAAAGAAAAGAAAAAATTAATATACCAGTTATAGTGCTTATTCTCTATTTTTTTCTGATCTTTTTGTATCAAATATATTGGTTCGATTTTTTTTGCCTCCTGTGTCTCTTACCATCACTATCTCTGGCTAAGATGAAATAAGTTTTCTCCAAAAGCAATAATTCCAGTAATTTCAACTCCTCCAACGTTAACATGAAATTTAAATGAGTCAATCTGAAGTATATCTTTGTCAAACGGGCAAAACTATTTTATAGCTATGAGAATACAGGAATAAACAAGCTCAGTTTCTTTTCTTTTCTTTTTTATTTTTTTTGAGACAGTGTCTCACTCTATCTCCCAGGCTGGAAAGCAGTGGCACAATCTCAGCTCACTGCAACCTCAGACTCCGAGGTTCAAATGATTCTCATGCCTCAGCCTCCCAAATAACTGGAATTACAGGCACACACCACCACACCTGGCTAACTTTTTTTGTATTTTTGTAGGGACAGGGTTTCGCAATGTTGCCCAGGCTGGTCTCCAACTCCCGATCTCAAGAGATCTGCTCACCTTGGCCTCCAAATGTGCTGGGATTACAGGTGTGAGCCACAGTGCCCAGCCAACAAACTCAGTTTCTCACACAATACTCTCACAACATCCTTCTAACACCAGATGTGTGGGGTTTTTTTTCGCACGCACAAGCAAGCAATTGGCCAGGCGCGGTGGCTCACGCCTGCAATCCCAGCACTTTAGGAGGCCAACGAGGGCAGATTACCTGAGGTCAGGCATTTGAGATGAGCCTGGCCAACACGGGGAATCCCCTCCTCTACTAAAAATACAAAAATTGACAGGGCATGGTGGCACATGCCTTAATCCCAGCTACTTAGGAGGCTGAGGCAGGAGAATCGCTTGAACCCAGGAGGCAGAGGTTGCAGTGAGACGAGATCGCACCAGTGCACTCCAGCCCGGGGAACAGAGCAAGACTCCATCTCAAAAAAAAAAAAAAAAAGTAAGCAATCAATTCTTCAGAAAATACCAGCTGGGTGTTCTCTGTCTCCTACCTGGAGATACTGTCAGACCCCACAGGTTGAGTGAGGGTTCAGTCCCCAAGGCTGCTCCCCACTTTTGATGTCAATCCCAAGTCCCAGGTTGTTTTTACCTGTGCTTCTGACCAACTGGCTAAAAATCAGGGTTCTGCAACCCCTTCCTTCAGTTTTAATAATTTGCTGGAGAAGCTCACAGAATTAATGGAAACCTGGTTACTAGGCTCTTACAAATGTTATTTTAAAGGATATAAATAAACCGTCAAATGAAGAGTTACAGAGGCAAGATGTACAATGGTGAAGGAGCTTCAATTCCCTTGGAGAAAGGTGTGCCACCCTCTCACTACATGAACATGTTCTAGGTTACCTTTCTGGAAGCCCCCTGAACTCAGTCCTTTTGACCTTTTTTTTTTTTTTTTTTTTAAAGACAGAGTTTCGCTCTTGTTGCCCAGGCTGGAGTGCAATGGCACCATCTCGGCTCACCACAACCTTCGCCTGCCGGATTCAAGTGATTCTCCTACCTCAACCTCCCGAGTAGCTGGGATTACAGGCATGCGCCACCATGCCAGGATGATTTTGTATTTTAAGTAGAGATGGGGTTTCTCCATGTTGGTCAGGCTAGTCTCAAACTCCCGACCTCAGGTGATCCACCCACCTCGGCCTCCCAAGTGCTGGAATTAGAGGCGTAAGCCATTGCACCCGGCCCATGTCAGATATTATTAATCCTGCCACTTGACAAAATACCATTTATCACCTGGGTGCAGTGGCTCATGCCTGTAATCCCAGCAGTTTGGGAGGCCGAGGCATGAGGATCGCTTGAGCTCAGGAGTTCAAGACCACCTTGGGCCACATGATGAGACCCAGTCTCTACAAGGCTACTGTGATGGGAAAGGGGTCCTTCAAGTACACCTGGGTCTTGGATAAACTGAAAGCTGAGTGTGAGGGTGGTGGCACTGATGACAGTTCCCTGCGGAAACTTGAGGCCAGAAAGTATTATGTAACTAGTTGACGCCCCAAGACAAAGATTTTTTAAAAAGCATGATTACAGGCACATCTCAGGCTGACTGTGCTACCCTGATTGTTGCAGCTGGTGAATTTGAAGCTGGTATCTCCTTCTGACTTACACACTGGGTGTGAAACAGCTAATTGCTGGAGTTAACAAAATGGATTCCACTTAGCCGCCCTACAAACAGAAGAGATACAAGGAAATGGTTAAGGAAGTCAGCCCTTACAATAAGAAAGTTGGCCACAACCCCAACACAGTAGCATTTGTGCCAATTTCTGGTTGGAATGATGGCAACATGCTGTGGCCAAGTGCTAACATGCCTTGGTTCAAGGGATGGAAAGTCACCTGTAAAGATGGCAAATGCCAGTATAAACACCCTGCTTGAAGCTCTGGATTGCATCCTACTACCAATTTGTCCAACTGACAAGCCCTTGTGTCTGTCTCTCCAAAATATCTACAAAATTGGTGGTATTGGTACTATCTCTGTAGGCCAAGTGGAGACTGGTGTCAGCATAGAGGTCACCTTGGCTCCAGTCAATGTTACAACTAAAGCCAAATCTGTTGCAATATACCATGAAGCTTTGAGTGAAGTTTTTCCTGGGAACAATGGGGGCTTCAACATCAAGAACGTATCTGTCAAAAATGTTCATCATGGCAATGTTGCTGGTGACAGGAAAAATGACCCACCAATGGAAGCAGCTGGCTTCACTGCTCAGGTGATTATCCTGAACCACCCAGTCCAAATCAGTGCTGGCTATGCTCCTGTAATGGATTGCCACATGGCTCACACTGCCTGCAAGTTTCCTGAGCTGAAGGGAAAGACGGATTGCCATTCTGGTAAGGTGAAAGATGGCCCTAAATTCTTGAAATCTGGTAATGCTCCCATCTTTGATAAAATTCCTGGCAAGCCCACACGTGTGTTGAGAGCTTCTGACTATCCTTCTTTGGGTTGTTTTGTTGTTCATAATGTAAGACAAACAGTTGCTGTGAGTGTCATCAAAACAGAGGATAAGCCTGTAATCCCAGCACTTTGGGAGGCTGAGGAGGGCAGATCACAAGGTCAGGAGATCAAGACCATCCTGGCTAACACGGTGAAACCCCATCTCTACTAAAAATACAAAAAATTAGCCAGGTGTAATGGCGGGCGCCTGTAGTCCCAGCTACTCGGGAGGCTGAGGCAGGAGAATGGCGTGAACCCAGGAGGCGGAGCTTGCAGTGAGCCGAGATCGTGCCGCTGCACTCCAGCCTGGGCGACAGCGCGAGACTCTGTCTCCAAAAAAAAACAGAGGATAAGGCCAGAAGGTCAGGCACGGTGGTTCACACCTGTAATCCCAGCACTTTGGAAGCCATGGCAGGAGAATCACTCAAGCTCAGGAGTTTGAGACCACCCTGGGCAACATGGTGAAACTCCATCTCTACAAAAAATACAAAAAATTAGCTGGGTGTGGTGGCATGCGTCTGTGGTCCCAGCTACTCAGGAAACTGAGGTCTGGGGAATGCTTGAGCCTGAGAGGTGGAAGTTCAAATGAGTCAAGGTAGTATCACTGCACTCCAGCCTGAGTGACAGAGTGAGACTCTCTCTCAAAAAATTTAAAATTGGCTCACGCCCGTAATCCCAGCACTTTGGAGGCTGAGGCAGGCGGACAACCTGAGGTCAGGAGTTCAAGACCAGTCTGGCCAACAGAGTGAAACCCCATCTCTACTAAAAATACAAAAATTAGCCAAGCATGGTGGCAGGCGCCTGTAATCCCAGCTACTTGAGAGGCTGAGGCAGGAGAATCACTTGAACACGGGAGGTGGAGGTTGCAGTGAGCCGTGACCATGTCATTGCACTCCAGCCTGGGCAACAAGAGTGAAATTCCATCTCAAAAAAAAAAAAAAGAAAAAAAAATTTTTTTTAATTAAAAAAACAAAAACAGTGGACAAGAAGGCTCCTGGACCTGGCAATATCATCGAGTCTGCCCAGAAAGCTCGGAAGACTAAATGAATATCATCCCTAATACCTGCCACCCCAGTCTCAATCAATGGTAGAAGAACAGTCTCAGAATTGTTTGTTTCGATTGGCCATTTAAGTTTAACAGTAAAAGACTGGTTAATGATAACAGTGCATGGTGAAATCTTCAGAAGGAAAAGATGACTGTTTTGTGATCCATTTTCAGTTTTTTTCATGTGGCAGTTTTAAATTACTAGTTTTTAAAATCAGTACTGTTCAATGGAAGCGACTTAACCAAGAATCTGTCTCAGAATTTTGAGACCCATGAAACAAAGTTTAATGAGAGGCTGGTTCGAAGGTAGTCAGTTATCTCAACTGATTGTTCACAGTCAAGTTATAGACTGAACCCCTTGCTCTAGTCTTTGACCCCTTCTCACTCCCACACTTGACTGCCTACTTTTAAAAACAAACAACACTGGGCATGGTGGGTCACGCCTGTAAACCCAGCACTTTGGGAGGCCAAGGCAGGAGGATCACCTGAGATCAGGAGTTCGAGACCAGCCTGGCCAACATAGTGAAACCCCGTCTCCACTAAAAATACAAAAATTAGCTGGGCATGGTGGTGGGCACCTGTAATCCCAGCTACTTGGGAGGCTGAGACAGGAGAATTGCTTGAACCTGGGAGGTGGAGGTTGCAGTGAGCCAACACTGCACCACTGCACTGCACTCCAGCCTGGGCGACAGAACAAGACTCCATCTCAAAATAAAAATAAAAATAAACAGGCCGGGCACGGTGGCTCGCGCCTGTAATCCTAGCACTTTCGCAGGCTGAGGCAGGCGGATCATCTGAGGTCAGGAGTTTGAGACTAGCCTGACCAACATGGAAAAACCCCGTCTCTACTAAAAATACAAAATTAGCCAGGCGTGGTGGCGCAAGCCTGTAATCCCAGCTACTCGGGAGGATGAGGCAGGAGAATTGCTTGAACCCGGGACGCGGAGGTTGTGGTGAGCCACGATTGCACCATTGCACTCCAGCCTGGGCAACAAGAGCAAAACTCTGTCTCAAAAAAAATAAATTAATAAACAAGTAAAGTTTAGTGAAAGAAAAAAACCCACAATATCACTCCACACCCATTAGGATGGCTATGATAAAAACAAAAACACAAAATAACACGTGTTGGTGAGGATGCAGACAAATTGTAACCTTTGTGCACTGCTGGTGGGAATATGCAATGGTGCAGCTGCTATGGATTGGCAGTTCCTCAAAAACTTTAACAAATAATTACCATAGGATCCAGCAATTTTACTCCTAGGAATATATCCAAAAGAACCGAAAGCAGAGACTCAAACAGATCCATGTACACCAATGTTCATAGCAGCATTGTTCACAATAGCGAAAAGATGGAAACAACCCAAATGTCCATCAACAGATGACGATCCATCAACACGGATAAGCAAAATGTGGTATATATACACACATACATAATGGAATACTATTTAGCCATAAGGAATGAAATTCTGATACATGCTACAACATAGATGAACCTTGAAACGTTATGCTATGTGAAATAAGTCAGACACAAAAGGACACATATTGTATGATTCTACTTAATATGAGGCACCTAGAATAGGCAAATTCATAGAGACCGAAAATAGAATAGAGGTGGGGAGGTTCTGTTTGGGATGATGAAAAAGTTCTGGAAACAGACAGTATTGATGATTGTACAACACTGTGAATGTACTTAATGCCACTGAATTGTATATGTAAAATTATTAAAATAGTAAATTTTATATTTTGCCACAATAAAAAAATTAGTACACCTTAAAAATAAAAATTTAAATGTGTATTCCTAGGAATTAAATGCATTCTATAATTTTTTTATAAACACATACATTAGTTATAAAACATTTTAGGTCAGGCGTGGTGGCGTGCTCCTGTAGTCCCAGCTACTTGGGAGGTGGAGGCACGAGAATCGCTTGAACCCGGGAAGCAGAGGTTGCAGTGAGCCGAGATCATGCCACTGCACTTTGTGGCAACTGAGTGAGACTCTGTCTCAAATAAATTAAATAAGTATATAAAACACTTTATGACTTTTTGCAAGTTTAATTTTAAAAAATTTAAAACAACCGAGCGTTGTGGCTGGCATCTGTAATCCCAGCACTTTGGGAGACTGAGGCAGTGGATCACGTGAGGTCAGGAGTTCAAGACCAGCCTGGCCAACATGGCCAAACCCCATCTCTACTAAAACTACAAAAATTAGCCGGGTGTGGTAACGCGCACCTGTAGTCCCAGCTACTCGGGAGGCTGAGGCAAGAGAATCATTTGAATCTCGGAGGCAAAAATTGCAGTGAGCCGAGATTGTGCCACTCCACTCTAGGCTGCACAACAGAGTAAGACTCTGCCTCGAAAACAAAAAATTAAAACTATTTAGTGTAAAATGTGTATTCTAACATCCCCCATTCAAGTGGAGGTCAGAATTTGTTACAATGTTTTTTGTTTTTTGTTTTTTTCACTTAGTGTCTTAAAATAACTATCCTACTGAAAAACAGAGTCATTCAACTATAAGATTATTGAGTGATTTAAACTCTGAAAGTCAAAATGAGATTTGAGCTAATATTTCAATTATTTTCAAACCCAGTATATTACAACTGCTATTAAACTGTAACTTTACCACAATGCACTATGCTAAAGCACAAAGCCTCAACAGTACATAAATCCCTCTTGGCCTCATTTGGTAGAATTTCTCTACCCATGAGACAGTCTGAAGAGGTCACTTCCTACAAGTCAGGGAAACAAAGGTTGTACACCTACAGATCAAAGCCAATAACAAAACATCAGGTCCCAAGACAATATTTAGCACAGAAGGACCTTTGCCCCAAAGTTAGTCATGAGACTTCTATAGCCTTCAGGTTTAAAATAATGTAGTGAAAAACGTGAAAACAAAGATAACAATTCCACACATTTTTGCTTTCTTCATCACATCCTTATGTATTATGTGAATTTCTTACTGTATTTCATAAATCATTCTCAACTCGTCCCTCAAAGTTTCCCAGAAATTGTGCTTTTTTTTTTGAGATGGAGTCTTGCTCTGTCGCCAGGCTGGAATGCAGTGGCACGATCTCGGCTCACTGCAACCTCCGCCTCCTGGGTTCAAGCAATTCTCGTGCCTCAGCCTCCCAAACAGCTGGGACTACAGGCACCCGCCAACATGTCTGGCTAATCTTTTGTATTTTAGTAGAGACAGGGTTTCACCATGTTGGCCAAGATGGTCTCGATCTCCTGACCTCATGATCCGCCCACCTCAGCCTCCCAAAGTGAAATTGTACTGTTTTTCTCTGATGAATGTTCTTTCCCATTCCTCACAAGTATTTCACGAAGTTCTGTGACTCCCCACAATCCTAATTTTCATTCACAAATAACCTTGTCTTAATGGACAAAGATTAAAAAACAATACTAAAAATCAGAGAGAGGCAGCTCCAGCAGCAAACACAGCGTTATCATGGCCTCACAGTGACGAGCATGTTCTGGGGCTTTGTTGGCTTCTTTGTGCCCTAGTTCGTCACTAAGCGGCCTAACTGGGGAGTTATCATCACCATGATGGTGACCTGTTCAGTTTGCCACTCTCTTTTGGCTGATTGCAATTTTGGCCCAATGCAACCCTCTCTATAGACCATGACTGAAAGATGAAACCACCTGGTATCTGAAGCATCATTGGCCTTGAGGAAGAAGACATGTTTTACAGTGTTCAGTCATTGAAATCAAGAAAGCGAATTCCTTTTTGGATGCAAAATCACCTCCAAATGCAGGCCACCTTCTTCGACTTTGCCTGTTTGGGGCATCAGCTGCCTTAAATGTTCATACCACATTTGAATTTTTTTTCACAATGCAGTACTTTTTCCTTGACCTTATTTACACTTTGATGAATTATGTGTGTACTTAACCTAAACTGTGCTGATTCCACACAATGTTTATGGACTCTTCCAAGACAGAAGATGCTCTCTTCTGAGAAATATATTAATCTATCCCTTGGAATTTATAGATTTGAAGATGGCTCTTGCCTTATCAAAACATGGGACTCAGTGACGGGTCTAAAAACTGCTACTAGACAAAAAAGACTCCAGTGGGGCAATCAGTAGGAAGGCATGTTGAGAGGGAAGATCCCAACAAAACTACACCAAATTACATTTTCAGGATGAAAATCTTATTTCTGCCTTTTTTTTTTTTTTTTTTTTTGAGATGGGGTCTTGCCATATTGCTCAGGCTTGTTTCAAATTCTTTGGCTCAAGCAATCCCCCTGCCACAGCCTTCAGAGTAGCTGAGACTACAAGCATAAGCCATCATACCTGGCTCTCTGCCATCTTTTGGAATAAATTATTTTTCTGCTTTAAGAAACAATGGGCCAGGCCCAGTGGCTCATACCTGCAATCCCCGCACTTTGGGAGGCCAAGGTGGAAGGACCGCTTGAGCCCAGGAGTTCCAGACCAGCCTGGGCAACAAAGTGAGACCTCATCTCTTAAAAAATGTAAAAATTAGGCCAGGCACGGTGCCTCAAGCCTGTAATCCCAGCACTTTGGGAGGCTGAGGCGGGTGGATCACAAGGCCAGGAGACTGAGACCATCCTGCGGGTGGATCACGAGGCCAGGAGATTGAGACCATCCTGGCTAACACAGTGAAACCCCATGTGTACCACACACACACACACACGCGCGCGCGCGCGCGCCAGGCGTGAGGGTGAGTGCCCGCAGTCCCGGCTACTCGGGAGGCTGAGGCGAGAGAATGGCGCGAACCCGGGAGGCGGAGCTAGCAGTGAGCAGAGATCGCGCCACTGCACTAGAGCGAGACTCTGTCTCAAAAAAAAAAAAAAAAAAAAGTAAAAATTAGCCAGGAAAGGTGGTGCATGCCTGTAGTCCTCGCTACTTGGAGACTGAGGCAGAAGGATCACTGGAGCCCAGGAGTTTGAGGCTGCAGTGAGCTATGTTTGTGCCACTGCACTCCAGCATGGCCAACAGAGCAAGACCTGGTCTCAAAAATAAACAAATGAAAATAAAAAGCGGCCAGGCATGGTGGCTCATGCCTGTAATCCCAGCACTCTGGGAGGCCGAGGCAGGCCGATCACGAGGTCAGGAGTTCAAGACCAGCCTGGCCAACATGGTGAAACCCCATCTCAACTAAAAATACAAAAAATAAGCCGTGCCTGGCCGGGCGCGATGGCTCACGCCTGTAATTCCAGCACCTTGGGAGGCCGAGGCAGACAGATCACCTGAGGTTGGGAGTTCGAGACCAGCCTGACCAACATGGAGAAACCCCGTCTCTACTAAAAATACAAAATTAGCCAGGAATGGTGGCACATGCCTGTAATCCCAGCTACCTGGGAGGCTGAGGCAGGAGAATCGCTTGAACGGGAGACAGAGGTTGTAGTGAGCTGAGATCGTGCCATTGCACTCTAGCCTGGGCAATAAGAGCGAAACTCCATCTCAATAAATAAATAAATAAACAAGCAAGCAAGCTAGGCATGGTGGTGGGCGCCTGTAATCCTAGCTACTCGGGAGGCTGAGGTAGGACAATCGCTTGAACCCAGGAGGCAGAGGTTGCAGTGAGCCAAGATTGCGCCACTGCACTCCAGCCCAGGCGACGGTGCGAGACTCCATGTCAAAAATAAAATAAAATAAAAATAAAAAACAATGGAAGAAAAATATTTTTATCAATCAACCATCAACTTTCAAACTATCAGCGTCTACATCTATTCTCTTCCCTCCCAGTGACAAAGGAAAAAAACTCGAATCTTCCTAACAAAGAACAATTATCCTCATTTTGCTATCTTCTAGACCTTTAGCAGTTGCGATTTTTTCTCCAACAACTTCAACTTCTCCATCTCTAGTGAATCCTACGAATCCTTTCCATCAGCATTCAAACATATTCTTCTTTAAAAAAATTTTAACAAAGGCCAGGCATGGTGGCTCATGTCTGCTGTAATCCCAGCACTCTGGGAGGCTAAGACGGGCAGATCACTTGAAGCCAGGAGTTCAAGACCAGCCTGGCCAACATGGCAAAACCCTGTCTCTACTAAAATTACAAAAATTAGCCAGGCGTGGTGGTGCAAACCTGTAGTCCTAGCTACTCAGGAAGCTGAAGCAGGAGAATCGCTTGAACCAGGAGGCAGAGGTTGCAGCGAGCAGAGATCGCCACACTGCACTCTAGCCTGGGCAACAAAGCAAGACTCCGTCTCAAAAAAAAAAAAAAGTCTTCATTGGCCCCACATCTCTCTCCAGCCAAGCTTCTCAAAAGGACTTTTGGTGATTCTCCACCTCCTCAGCAACCACTCATTTTATAAAATGTTACCCTAAAAGATAAGGACCAATACAGTGAACAGTTGTGCTACCCATCAAACAACCACCTTAGGAAATAAAAGCATTACCAACATAGTTGAAGGCTGCTGTGTACTTCTCCTGATCACATCTCCAAGTATTCTCTCCCCCTGTAAGCAGTAGACACTATTCTGATTTTGGTGTCAACCATTCTCAGGAATTTCTTTTCTTTTTCTTTTTTTTCAGACAGAGTCTCACTTGGTTCCCCAGGCTGGAGTGCAGTGGCACGATCTCGGCTCACTGCAACCTCCACATCCCAGGTTCAAGCAATTCTTCTGCCTCAGCCTCCCAAGTAGCTGAGACTACAGGCACCTGCCACAACACCAGGCTAATTTTTGTATTTTCAGTAGAGATGGGGTTTCACCATATTGCCTAGGCTGGTCTCAAACTCCTGACCTCAAGTGATCGGCCCACCTCGGCCTCCCAAAGTGCTGGGATTATTGGCATGAGCCACCACACCCAGCTAGGAATTTTCTTTGTACTTTTACTACATATGTATATATCTCTAAATAAGAAACTGAATTGTTTTGCATATTTCTTCAACATTATTAAAAAGGTATACTCTTAACAACTCAGTTTTTTGAATCCTCAGCATTATGAGGTTAATCCATTGCTGTAGTTCATTTATTTTCACTGTGTATCCACACAGTTTACTTATCTACTCTCCAGATGACACATATTTAGGTAGTTTCCCCTTTCTCTGCCATTACAAACAATGCTAAATGATCATTTTTATGCACATCTCTTTGTACCAATGAGTGAGAGTTCTTCTAGAATAGACAGCTAGAAGTGGAACTACTGCAGAGGATGAACATTTTCAACTTTAGTAGATACAGCCAAATTACTAATACTTTCCAAAATGCCGTCCGTATCCAATCACTATTCAACATTCTACTGTTTCCAATTTCCCAACATTCTGTTTCCAATTTCCCAACATTCTGTTTCCGATTTCCCACATCATATTTCTTTACCAAGATCATTAGCAACTTCCATATTGCTAAATTCAACAGATATTTTATCATTTTACTTGACTTACCATTCAATACATTCAGCCACTTATCTCTCCTTGATATACTCTTTGGCTTCTGTAACACTTAGCCTTCCCAGCTTCCCCAGTTCCTCTGGCTCTTCCCATCCTACCTACCAGATGTCTTCAAAAGTGGTGCTCCACCGTGCTCAGACATGGGTCTTATTCTCGTTCATTTTATATCCTCTCCTTACATTCCCAAAGCTTAAAATATCTCTATGTGGCCAGGCGCGGTGGCTCACACCTGTAATCCCAGCATTTTGGGAGGCCAAGGCAGGCAGATCACTTGAGGTCAGGAGTTCAAGACCAGCCTAGCCAACATGGCGAAACTCCGTCTCTGCTAAAAATAACAAAAAAAATTAACTGGGCATAGTGGTGCATGCCTGTAATTCCACCTACTCGAGAGGCTGTGGCATGAGAATCACTTGAACCTGGGAGGCAGAGGTTGCAATGAGCCAAGATCGTACCACTGCACTCTAGTTTAAGTGACGGAGTGAGACTCTGTCTCAAACAAAAAACAAAAAAAAACACAACTCTATGCCTACAACCAGAATGCCCACATATGCTCCCCATGACACTTTCTCTTCTGAAATACAAAACCACACATCCAGGAACCTGTTTGACAATGCCCTTTGGCTATCTAAGAAATCTAAATCAGGGCTAGGCACTACCATGCCTGTAATCTCAGCACTTTGGGAGGGCAAGGTGAGAGGACTGCTTGAGCTCAGGAATTCAAGACCAGCCTAGGCAACATAGGGAGAATCTGTCTCTACTAAAAAAAAAAAAAAATTGTATTATCTTTTTTTAATCCCAAAGGCTTCAAAACTAAGAAATCTCTGTTTTTTTTAATTTCGATTTTTTATTTTTTAGAGACAGGGTCTCAGTCTGTCACCCAGGCTGGAGTACAGTGGTGCAATCATAGTTCACTGTAACCTCAAACTCCTTAGGTAAGTGCTCCTCCCACCTCAGCCTCCTGAGTAGCTGGGACTAAAGGATGCATGACACCACACCTGGGTAATTTTTTTTTCTTTTCAATTTTTTGTAGAGACAAGATCTCACTATGTTGCCCAGGCTGGCCTAAAACTCCTGGCCTCAAGTAATCCTACCACCTCAGCCTCCCAAAGTGCTGGGATTACAAGAACTTTGTAATGAGTCACCATGCCCAATCCCAAAAATCTCAATCTTAATACATCTAAAATTAATTTTCTGATCTGCTTTCCCTTATCACCAACCACTCCTCCTCCAGTGATCCTCATCCTAATAGTAATGCATCCAGCCAGCCAACTGCTTTTGCTGAATTCTTCCTTCAACCTCTCTTCAAATCTAATCCATCACCATAACTGCCAAAATATATTTTGAATCTCCCTCCTCACTTCTTTTTCCACTGCCACCGTTCAAAACACACCACATTTTATCTTCCGCTTGAATAAACGCTACAGCCTTTCTAATTGGACTTCTACTTCCCTCGGTCTCTCTTTATATGCCATACGGCAGCCAAAGTAATCTTTCTAAGACACAAGTCAGGTCAGATTGCCTAACTCCTGCTTAAAATTTTTAAATAAGCTTTCCGTTTACTTTAAGATAAACTTTAAAGTCCTCAACATGGCTTACAATATTCTACTTGATCTGACTCTTGTCTCCTCATCAGATTAATCTCATACTTTCTACCAGTCCCTTCCAGTTCTTGAACACAGTGTGCATTCCAGATTCAGGAAAGTCATGCATATGAGCAGTTCCCAATCTTTTTGGCACCAGGGACCAGTTTCACAGACGACAATTTTTCCATGGATGGACAGGGGTTGCGGGGAGATGATTTTGAAAGAAAACCATTTCACCTCAGATCATCAGGCATTAGTTAGATTCTCAGAAGGAGTATGCAACCTAGATCCCTTGCATGTGCAGTTCACAACAGGGTTCGAGCTCCTATTGACACGGCAGAGTTCCCTCGACCCCATCACGTGACTTGTGACAGGGGTGGCTCACTTGCTTACCTGCCATGCTCAAACCCCTTGTGGGAGGGGGAGCACACAGGGTGAGTGGGTGCAGAAGCTTTTGGGTGCCAGCAGGAATTAACCCCATACCGGCTCATGGCAGCATCTAGGGGTGGTTGCCCACGACCTCTGGAGCCCCAGAGGGTGTGTGTTACAAACAATGCTCTTTTTTTTTTTTTTTTTTTGAGACGGAGTCTCGCTCTGTCGCCCAGGCTGGAGTGCAGTGGCGGGATCTCGGCTCACTGCAAGCTCCGCCTCCCGGGTTCACGCCATTCTCCTGCCTCAGCCTCCCAAGTAGCTGGGACTACAGGCGCCCGCCACTACGCCTGGCTAATTTTTTGTATTTTTAGTAGAGACGGGGTTTCACCGTTTTAGCCAGGATGGTCTCGATCTCCTGACCTCGTGATCCGCCCGCCTCGGCCTCCCAAAGTGCTGGGATTACAGGCGTGAGCCACCGCGCCCGGCCTAGACAATGCTCTTTTATCATTTGCTGTCCACGGATGGCTAAGTGTTAAGCTCACTGGAAGGTCAGGGTGATAGCCTTTCACATCCTGCCCTCCTGGTACCCAGGTTCTTCTCCGGTATCCAGGAAGAATCAGGTCACATGAACTTGAAGGATGCTGAATGCAGAGATTGTATTGAGTGGTGGAAGTGGCTCTCAGCAGGATGGGGAGCTGGAAAAGGGATGGAGTGGGAAGATAATCTTCCCCTGGAGCTCAGCTGTCCCTAGCTGAAATCCTCTCCAACCCATAGTCTCCGGTGTCCAGCTGCTGCTTCTCCTCTCTGCTTCTTCTCTTCTCTCCTCTGCCATACCACTCTGTTCCTCTGCTAGTGGAGCTTGGAGTTTTTATGGGTACAGGGTGGAGGGGCGTGGTGGGCCAGAGTGGTTATGGAAAAGGAAACATTCAGGCAGGAAAACAGGGATGTGAAGTTCTTATTTAGGGTTATGGGTCCAAGCTTGAGGGGCCCTCACCAGGTACCCCACCCACTTCTAGCCAGTATTTCCCTGCCTCCTGTCTGTATCACTATGAGAATCTGATCTGATAGGAAGCAAAGCTCAGACGGTAATGCTCACTTGCATAGTGTACTACATAATAGCGTACATACAACTATACAGGTCAGGTGTAGCGACTTATGCCTGTAATCTGAACACTTTGGGAGGCCAAGGCGGGCAGATCACGAGGTCAGGAGTTCAAGACCAGCCTGATCAACATGGTGAAACCCCCATCTCTACTAAAAATACAAAAAGTAGCCGGGCGTGGTGGCGGGCGCCTGTAATCCCAGCTACTCAAGAGGCTGAGGCAGGAGAATCGCTTGAACCCGGAAGGCAGAGGTTGCAGTGAGCCAAGATCATGCCACTGCACTCCAGCCTGGGTGATAGAGTGAGATTCCATCTCAAAAAAAAAAAAAAAAAAATATATATATATATATATACACACACACACACAAAATATATACATATACATGTATTACATAGATTATATAGTATATAATATACATCAGAGTATATTATATATGCTACATATAATATATACTATACTTACTATATTATACTATACTATATAGTATAGTATATATAATATAATGCACAAGATGTGTAATATATAAATATATAATACACGTAATACATGTAAATATATGTGTATTATACTCATATGTATTACACAAATATACATATTCTACAAACAAAAAACCCTAACAGCCACCAAGTAAATGGGGACCTTGTAACTAACTGCTCAACCCTAAAGAAATCCTCAAACCCAAGTATCCACTAAGGCTGGATTCAACAAATGTTTTTAGGGCCACAGTAAATATTTCAGGTTTGGCAGGCCATATAGTCACAATTACTAAATTCTGCCATCACAGCAGCAAAAGCAGCCACAGACAATACATAAACAAAAAACAAACGGGTGTGCTGCCTGTGTTCCAGTAAAACTTTATTTATGGACATTGAAATCTGAGTTTCCTGGCCGGGCCCAGTGGCTCATGCTTGTAATCCCAGCACCTTGGAAGGCTAAGGCAGGTGGATTACCAGAGGTCAGAAGTTCAAGACCAGCCTGGCCAACCTGGCAAAACCCCATCTCTACTAAAACTACAAAAATTAGCTAGGTGTGGTGGCGCACATCTGTAATCCCAGCTACTCGGGAGGCTGAAGCAGGGAGAATCACTTGAACCTGGGAGGCAGAGGCTGCAGTGAGCCGAGATCATGCCACTGCACTCCAGCCTGGGCAACAGAGCAAGACTCCATCTCAGAAAAAAAAAAAAAAAGAGAGAGCGAGAGAAAGAAATCTGAGTTTCCTAAAATATTGACTTGCTAAAAAAAATGATTTTTCTCCCACCATTTAAAAATGTAAACATGGGCCAGGCAAGGTGGCTCACACCTGTAACCCCAGCACTTTGGGAGGCTGAGGCAGGCAGATCATGAGGTCAGGAGTTCAAGACCAGCCTGACCAACATGGTGAAACCCCATCTCTACTAAAAATACAAAAATTGGCCGGGCATGGTGGCAGGTGCCTGTAATCCCAGCTACTCAGGAGGCTGAGGCAGAAGAATCAGTTGAACCTGGGAGGTGAAGGTTGTGGTGAGCCAAGATTGCACCATTGCACTCCAGCCTGGGTGACAGTGTGAGACTTCGTCTCAAAAAAAAAAAAAAAAAAAAAAAAAAAAAACAGAAAAATGGCCAGGTGCAGTAACTCATGCCTGGAATCTCAGCACACTGAGTGGCTGAGGTGGGAGGACTACCTGAGGCCAGGAATTTGTAACCAGCCCAGGCAATACAGCAAGACCCCATCTTTGCAAAAACCAAAAAATTTAGCCAGGTATGGTGGCTCGTGCCTGTAGTCCTAGCTACTTGGAAGGCTGAGGCAGGAGGATCACATGTGTGCAGCAGATCAAGGCTGCAGTGAGCCGTGACTGCCCCATGCACTCCAGCCTGGGTAACCGAGTGCAGTCCTGTCCAAAAAAATAATAATTATTATTATTATTTAAAATGTTATTATTTAAAATGTTATTTTATTTAATGCTAAATCAGATCAGACTTCTAGATGTTAACTATTAAAATTTACAGAAAGGACGGGTGCAGTGGCTCATACGTATAATCCCAGCACTTTGGGAGGCCGAGGCAGGCAGATCACCTGAGGTCAGGAGTTCGAGATCAGCCTGGTCAACATGGCAAAACCCTGTCTCTACTAAAAATACAAAAATTGGCTGGGCATGGTGGCAGGCGCCTGTAGACCCCAGCTACTCAGGAGGCTGGGGCAGGACTGCTTGAAATCCAGGAAGCGGAGGTTGCAGTGAGTTGAGATCATGCCACTGTACTCTAGCCTGGGTGACAGTGCAAGACTCCATCTCAAATAATAGAAATAAAAAAAATAAAATAAACAAAATTTACAGAAAATACAAGGGACAAAAGAACATATTACATGAAACCACTGGGATCTCATCAACACAATCTAGATTCTGAGAAGTATCATAGGGCAAAGACCTGGCTTCTTCAACAAACCAATTGTATGGGAATAACCACAATAAAAAGATAGAGGAAAACTTATAGATTAAAAGAAAAAAGTATCGATTACCTAAACCCAATGTAATATTTACAGACCTTATTTGGATCCTAATTCACAAAAATTGTAAAAACAATACAAAAACTATAATCAGGGAAATGTGAACACTTGATATTGATGATATTAAGGAATGCGTGTTACTTTTTTTAGTGTATAATATTGGGATTGTTTTAATCTTTATATTTTAGAAACACATAATGAAATATTACAACACTTACAGTCCTTCTTTTACTAGTGTCTTCCCTAATACATTTTTCGTGATGTTACTCAGCAGGCTATAGTCCCATAGTAGCTGCATAACAAATAATTAAAAGAGGTACACCAGCCTGGACAACAGGGCGAAACCCCATTTCTACAAAAAATACAAAAAAAATTAGCAGGGCATGGTGGTGCACACCTGTAGTCCCAGCTACTCGGGAGGCTGAGTTATGAAAATTGCTTGAGCCTGGGAAGCAGAGGTTGCAGTGAGCCAAGATCACATCACTGCACTCCAGCCTGGATGACAGAGTGAGACCCTGTCTCAAAAAAAAAAAAAAAAAAAAAAAAGGAGCTACAAAGTGATGCAGAGATTGAAAGGAAGTAGATCACAACTGGAGTGGGGTGAAGAATTAACCAAAACTTCAAGAAGGCAATGAAACGTAAATCAGGCCTTTAAAAACGGTGAAATTTTAACAGGTAAGAAACAAGTTAGAAGAAATAATATTCCAATTGGAAGAAATGGAAGCAACTGCAAAAAGGTAAGAAGGTGTGTCTCTACAGAGTATTGGCTGGTACTCATCTCTCCATAAAACTGTCCCTTCCCTAATGATGACATGAAAAGGAAAAGTCATAACCCACTAGGCAACTCCAAACTGACAAAATCCTGGGAGAGCTATTAGGCCCAAAGCAACTCCAGGCAGCCCTGTCCCCGAACAGATCTCTGGGTAATCAAACCATACTGGCTTTCCAGTGCAGTCTATTCATGTCAGTCCCTGATTCCTCCTACCCAACAACCTTGGGAAAAGAATACATGAAGTTCTTTTACCTGTCCTAGGAAATGATTATTGAAGTAATTAGTTTAAAACAGTATCCACTAATAAGCTACGTTTCCTTGCCTAAAAGCCACCAACACAGTTCATTAAGAACTCCAAGAGAGAAAAAGTTACATAAAATGCCTTCTGTCAGAACATTCCTCAGGTTACAGATTTTTTTTTTTTTTTTTGAGATAGAGTCTTGCTGTGTTGCCAGGCTGGAGTGCAGTGGTGCGATCTCAGCTCACTGCAACCTCCGCCTCCCAGGTTCAAGCGATTCTCCTGCCTCAGCCTCCCAAGTAGCTGGGACTACAGGCGCCACCATGCCCAGCTAATTTTTGTATTTTTAGTAAAGACGGGGTTTCACCATATTGTCCAGGATTGTCTTGATCTCTCGACCTCGTGATCCGCCCACCTTGGCCTCCCAAAGTGCTGGGATTACAGGCATGAGCCACCGGGCCCGGCAAGGTTACAGATTTTTTTAAATAAAGAATAGCTGATAAAGCAGGTAGCTAAGATTTTTTTTCTTCAAAAATAGAATAGGTAGTTCTAGTATTAAAATGTTTTGGAATACTCTGGAATTGAATTTGGAGGTTCTAATATTTTCTGTGCCCCAGTATCGTTAAAACTTTCAAGATATGATACCAGCGAAAATGAACATCAAGACAAACAGGAATGCAGATGATGTGCCAAAACTCAGTAACTGGAACATATATTACTGCCCTCTTCCGTGTACTAGAGTATCACTTCAAATAACCAAGAAGGGTATGTATAGGGAGTTAACAACAAGTAGGAGTGCTTTTCTTTTTTTTTTTTTTTTTTTTTTTTTGAGACGGAGTCTCGCTCTGTTGCCCAGGCTGGAGTGCAGTGGTGCGATCTCGACTCACTGCAAGCTCCGCCTCCTGGGTTCACGCCATTCTGCTGCCTCAGCCTCCCAAGTAGCTGGGACTACAGGCGCCTGCCACCACACCCAGCTAATTTTTTGTATTCTTTTAGTAGAGACGTGTTAGCCAGGATGGTCTCGATCTCCTGACCTCGTGATCCGCCAGCCTCAGCCTCCCAAAGTGCTGGGATTACAGGCATAAGCCACTGCGCCTGGCCAGTAGGAGCGCTTTTCTTAAACCAAAGGAAAAAGCAGCAAGGTAACAGGTCAGGTTAGCTTTAGGCAGTCTTTAGTCACTACACCTTCTTTCACAATAACTGAGACTAGCTAACACCCTCCCAGAAATCAAATAGAATTGTTCCAACTTATCAGAGGAAATGAATAAGGGAATGGGTAAAACATAATAAGGATGCAGGAGAGCTGGGAACCTTTATATCATATAGAAAAGTCTTCATAGTGAGATATCTGTAGAATAAAGCTAAAGTAAAAAAAAATCTAAGTCATCAATTTTTTATAGTACATGCTGTACTTCTGGGTCATTGTCCAGGTGTGCTCTCAATACTTAAGAATACCTCTTTGATTTTATTAAAAATACCACAAAGAAAAGTCCTCATAGATTTTGAACTCCATTCTAAACCAGTGGATGGCCACAAAGGAAGAAATACCTGTTTTATTTGTTCCTCTCAGGTACACATAAAACTACGGCATTTACCTTACCTTCTCAAAAAAGGCAAAATATATAACTTTTAGAAAGCTTCATCTTCTGTCTCATCTTCTGAAACTGACAGGTTTTTCCCTTTCAAATACTGATCCTTTGCTCATACAGCTTTCTTTACATTACCTTTTTGTGAAATCTTAGATAAGTTGATAGAACAACAATTTCAAGTTCAAAATATTATCACATTCAAATTCAATCTAGTAATTGTGTAAAATACTGAGGAAGATAAAAAGAGGAATAAATATAGTACTTCCTCAAAGACCCTGTAACAGATCTGTAAGAAAATTATTATGCATCCCTCAATATCTGCAAGAGACAGGGAAAAAAAGAAAATTACAGTGCAAAACATATAGTAGGCTTCTGCTTGTTTGAGACATCGCCTAGGTTGGCCGGGCGCAGTGCTCATGCCTGTAATCCCAACACTTTGGGGAGGCCGAGGCGTGTGGATCACGAGGTCAGGAGTTCGAGACCAGTCTGACCAACCTGCTGAAACCCCGTCTCTACTAAAAATACAAAAAACATTAACTGGGAATGGTAGTGTGTACCTGCAATCCCAACTACTCAGGAGGCTGAGGCAGGAGAATCGCTTGAACCCAGGAGGCAGAGGTTGCAGTGAGCAGAGATGGAGCCACTGCATTCCAGTGGTGTGATCTCGGCTTACTGCAACCTTCGCCTCCCAGTTCAAGCGATTCTCAAGCGATTCTCGTGCCTCAGCCTCTGGAGTAGCTGGGACTACAGGCATGTACCACCATGTCTGGCTAATTTGGTTCTCATGCCTCAGCCTCTCAAGTAGCTAGAACTACAGGTGTGCACCACCACACCTGGCTAATTCTTGTATTTTTAGTAGAGACGGGGTTTCATTATGTTGGCCAGGATGGTCTAGAACTCCTGACCTCAGGTGATCCGCCCACCTCGGCCTCTCAAAGTGCTAAAGTGCTAGGATTACAGGCGTGAACCACCAGGCCCGGCTGCAGAATATATTGCTACAAAAAGGGTACAATAACTCAAGAGTACACAGAAGAGAATGTATCAACCTGAATGTGAGAATCTGACAAGTAGAAAGTGACTCAGAACAAAAATATTCAATCTTTAAGAATTCTTAATTACACAGCTTCACCTTACACTCCCAAACTGTAGATCATGTTCCAATTAACACAGCTGGGCTCTTTTTTCAGACACCCCATCTTGTCCCCACTTGAAGCAAAATTTTATTTAAAGTAAAATTTGCCTACTGTTTCTAGAGAGTTAACAAAAATCAAAGTACCAGCCTGCAAACCACCGCAAATTGAATGAAACTGCTGGTAATAAAAAAAGAAAAATTTGACTGCTTCCAGGTTTTTAGTAAGTTAACTCTGAAAGATAACTTAAAATAACTTACTGGGAATTTTTCTTATATTTAGGAGCTGAAAGATGCAGTGATAATAAGGAAAACGAATCTGAGAAATTTAAAGAAGCCAGCTTTGTTGAAAACCAAGTGGCCACTTGCCAACACTTCTTTATGCACGTATGACCAAAGATGATTCTAGGCAGACTCACAGACCACAAAGGCTCTTTATCAAATCCCAAATTAAGAAAGTTCTCATAAATATTTCAATTTTGATAAGTTAAAGACCAGTTAAGTTTTAAAAAGCACTTTATGAAGTGCAGAATCAATACAGAAACGAAGCTTTGCGCTTTTCATATCTGAGCCCGAAAAACAGCACACATTTTATGTTACATTTACAGTCTATTCACAGACACCTATAGCTTAGATTCCATCAAGAAAAACACTGGTCAATGGAAAAGTGACTGGCCTTAGTATAAAATTTCCATGTGGCCAGCAGGGAAGAAACCGCATAATTCTGAATTACAACTGACAAAACTACGAGAACCCTAAATCGAACTCTTCGCCTTGAACTCCATATACAAACATTTCAGATTCGTACTTCCACTTCCTGAAAATAATACTGTTTGTAAACGAAAAGGCAATAAGGTTACTCCCAAAACTCCTGTACTCCATGATCCATCCTCAAAGAGTGGAAGGAACAGCAAAGTAGAAGGAACAAAGCACTGACGTCAATTACGAGATTAACCCCAAGCACAGGCAGCTGGAGGAAAGGCCTAAACATCAATATCCACGCACAAGCTACTGGGATAACTAGGTAACAGACCGATTCAGAAGTTGTAGGGGAGGGTATTCGAGTATTATACCCCCACGTTCCCATTTTTAGTCAATCCCCTTCGCAAGTCGAAGGCGGAAATTTTTCCTTCTTTTTTTTTTTTTTTTGCGGGGGTGGGGGTGTGGGAGAGGTGCGCAGGATCGCGAGAAGGAAAGCGAGAACTAGCTGGGTAATGTTAGCCAGAATCTGGGCCTATTTTCTCTTTAATTAGACATAATTTGAAATTGAGGAGGATATGAAAAAGTAACAAATCAGCCGATGGAACGTCTGAGGAAAGAAAGAGGAAAGGAGAAACACTAAACGGATGGATTTCTGGGAATTTTTGTTAGGATTGGGTTAGCTTTTTTTATTTTCTTATCTTTGCGGGAAGGTGGTGGGGTGGGACGCGCAGATGAGAGGAGGGGTGACGCCTGATTGAGCAGCCCCAGCCCGGAGGGTCTCCCCGAGGCTCCCCGCAGAACTTGCGGGCCCCCACCCCCACCCGGCCCCGGCCACAACCCCCGCGGCCCGGCCCGGCCCTGGGTCAGTCTGTCGGCCCTTCTTACCTCCAGTCCCGGCTCCGCTAGGCCCGAACCATCTCCTGGCTGCGGCAGTGGCGGCGCCGGGCCTGCACCTTCACCGGACGCGCATTCGAGCCCGCCCAGGGGGCGGTGACAGGCTGCCAAGGGCGAGGGGCTCCGGGAGGCGGCGGGGGTTCCGGAGGCCTCGACAAACGAAGGCGGCGTCGGCGGCGGCGGCAGCGATGCGCCTCACACGGAACAGGCGTAGGCCCCGCACCGCTCCATGACGGTCGGGCCCGGGCTGGGACAGCTGACTGAGGCGGCGGGGGCGGGTTAACGAAGACCTGGCACCAGGATCCCCGCCCCGTCCGCTGGCGGCGGCGACGGCAGCTGGACTCCTGCAGCCAGGGCTGTGACTGACGCAGCGGCCGTGCCACCATGTGACCAAGACCGGGCGGGTGCGGGGCGTCACGTGATGCCTCTGCGCCCCTCCCCGCTGGGGGAGTAGGGGGCGGGGGTCTGTGGGCCGGCTGGGCCGGGAGGCGACGCCCGGGGTGGTGACGTTCCCGGCTGTGGGGTCTGATGACCCGGGCCAGGCAAAGGACCCGCCCGAGCGGTATAGGCCTGAGCCTCTGGGCACTGCGGCCGCGTCCGGCAGGGCTGCCACGGCAGTACAGGGCCTGCACATCCGGGAGCTCACGCCCTCCTGCGCGTAGCCCGCTAGTGAGGTTCCGAAGGGCGGGGCCGGGCCGAACCGGATATGCCGGTTCTGGGGCTCAGGTGACAAACCCAGGCCTTCCGCCCCTCGCCTCTGGTGGGGATCCGGCCCAACCCGGAGCTTCCTAGACTTGCTTCCAGGTGTCGAAGCCTCGAGTCCTCAAGAGGTCCAGCAAAAAGGCAAAGGACGCAGGAGGCTGTTCGGTATTTCCAGTAAACTTACCCTAAGAAGCCAAACCGTCCCTCTTTCTTCGTCATTTAAACATCTTCTGCCACTAATGTTTTCCTTTTCATTTATTTATTGAGATAGATCTCGCTGTTGTCGCCCAGGCTGGAGTACAATGGCGGGATCTCGGCTCACTGCAACCTCCGCCTCCCGAGTTCAAGCGATTCTAGTACCTCAGCCTCCGGAGTAGCTGGGATTAAAGGGGGGAGCCACCACCTACGGCTAATTTTTGTATTTTTAATAGAGACACGGTTTCACCATGTTGGCCAGGCTGGTCTCGAACTCCTGACCTCAACCAATCCACCCGCCTGGGCCTCCCAAAGTGTTGGGATTACAGGCGTGAGCCACCGCACCCGGCCCACTAATGTTTTTCTTCAGCATATCATTCTGAACACTTCTTTCACCTCTAAACATCTACTATTTCTTTTAAGCTTCACTCTTTATATGCATTTTCTCTATAGAGCTATATAAATTAGGAAATGTCTTAATAGAAAACTCAAAACATGACAGAATAAAAAATAATTGATTCTCCCATCTCTGTCTGTTAGCTGTTTCAGTCCTGGAAGGCAATCACTTAGCATTTAATAATGTATCTTTCCCTACATATTTGTAAGTAATACATTAAAATATAGGGATACTTCTTTTTACACAAAAGGTAACACACTATATACGCTGTTCAGTCCTTTTTTTCTCACTTCAAATATCTTGGATAGGCTGGGCACAGTGGCTCAGGCCTATGATCCCAACACTTTAGGAGGCCGAGGGGGGCTGATCGCTTGAGACCAGGAGTTTGAGACCAACCCCGGCAACATGGCAAAACCCCATCCCTATGAAAAATACAAAAATTAGCCGGGCGTGGTGGTGCATGCGTATAGTCCCACCTACTCTGGAGACTGAGGTGGGAGGATCACTTGAGCCTAGGAGGTCGGTGCTGCAGTGAGCCGGGAGCTTGCCATCCAGCCTGGATGAGAGTGAGACCCTGTCTCAAAAAAAGAAAAAAGAAAAAAATGTCTTGGACATCCTGCCATATCAGTATATAATGAACTACCTTTTTCTTCCTAGAGGCAGAATAATATTCCACTTATGCAAACATCCTAATTTATTTAACCAATCCCCTACAGGTGGATATTCCGCTTGTTGCCAAGCCATTACTATTACATGCTAAGCTGCAATGAATAACCTCATACAAGACAGGGCAACATAGTGAGACCCCATCTCTACAAAAAATAAAAAATTAGCCGTTTGTGGTGGCACAGGCTTGTGGTCCTAACTACTAGAGAGGCTGAGGTGGGAGAATCGTTTGTACCCAGGAGATGAAGGCTGCAATGAGCCCTAATCGCACCACTGCACTCCAGTCTCAGTGACAGAGCAAGACCCTGTCTCAAAAAAGTTAAAATAATTAAAAACGAAAAACAACTCCATATAATGAGCAAATTATACCTGTATGATAAATCCTTAGCCTGGAATCTTTAGATCAAAAGGATTTTTAATTTTGATAGATATTACCAAATTATCCTACACAGAAATTGTGCCTATTTCATTTACTTGCTTTCAAATTCTGCTTAAGAAGATTTACAAGGCTGTATAGGTTGGAGGGTTGAGGGGATGGAGAGTGGCAAAAGAAAAGAATATTTGTCACTTTACACCGTAATAATTTTTTTTTTTTGAGACAGAGTCTCGCTCTGTCGCCCAGGCTGGAGTGCAGTGGCGCCATCTCGGCTCACTGCAAGCTCTGCCTCCCAGGTTCACGCCATTCTCCTGCCTCAGCCTCCCCAGTAGCTGGGACTACAAGTGCCCGCCACTACGCCCGGCTAATTTTTTTGTATTTTTAGTAGAGATGGGGTTTCACCGTGTTAGCCAGAATGGTCTCGATCTTCTGACCTCGTGATCCACCCGCCTCGGGCTACCAAAGTGCTGGGATTACAGGCGTGAGCCACCACTCCCGGCCACACCATAATAATTTTGATTAAAGATGAGTATTAAGGTGCAAATTGAAAATATGTAACAAACTTTAAGTTTCCTTGCTTATTCTGAAGTAAATGTTATTTGGCTAACGCAAATAATAATATGCTTTTGTTCCATAAAGGATAGTGATACTTTTTCAATACAAAATGAAACCTTATTTAAAAACCAAAAAGGGGAGGAATGGCCAGTATAGCCTTTTATTTGGCATTATTCTGCAAATAAGAAGTTTCCGGCCAGGTGTGGTGGCTCATGCTTGTAATCCCAGCACTTTGGGAGGCCAAGGCAGGCAGATCACCTGAGGTCGGGAGTTCCAGACCAGCCTGACCAACATGGGGAAACCCAGTCTCTACTAAAAATACTAAAATTAGCTGGGCGTGGTGGCCAGTGCCTATAATCCCAGCTACTCAGGAGGCTGAGGCAGGAGAATCACTTGAATCCAGGAGGCCGAGGTTGTGGTGAGCCAAAACCTTGCTGTTGCACTCCACCGTGGGCAGCAAGAGCAAAACTCCATCTCAAAAAAAAAGTTTCCTCTGTTTCAGCAAATAAAAGAAAAAGTTCCTAAAATTATTTCTAAGTTTTTAATATTTTAATATTGTATCATTTTGTTTAAGAAGTTACATCTGTTTTAACAAAGTGAATGTTCTGTCTCTAACTTCATGTTCTAGAACAGTGTAAGACTACTGTGCAGAATGGAGAAATTGCAGAAAATGACGTACCATAAAACTAAAAGAGAAACAAAGGCCGGGCACGGTGGTTCATGCCTGTAATCCCAGCACTTTGGGAGGCTGAGGTACGTGGATCACAAGGTCAGGAGTTCAAAACCAGCCTGGCCAAGATGGTGAAACCCTGTCTCTACTAAAAATACAAAAATTAGCTGGGGGCAGTGGCAGGCGCCTGTAATCCCAGCTACTCAGGAGGCTGAGGTAGGAGAATTGCTTGAATTCGGGCTTCAGAGGTTGCAGTGAGCCAAGATCGTGCCACTGCACTCCAGCCTGGGCGACAGAGGGAGACTCTGTCTCAAAAAAAAAAAAAAAAAAGAAACAAAAATCTCAAAGCAAAATATGATTGTTTTACTAGCATGCAAGATTTTAACAAAGGATTTAGGCCAGGCACGGTGGCTCATGCCTGTAATCTCAGCACTTTGGGAGGCCACAGCAGGTGAATCATCTGAGGTCAGGAGTTCGAGACCAGCCTGGCCAACATTGCGAAATTCTGTGTCTACTAAAATACAAAAATTAGCTGGGCACAGTGGTGTGCATCTATAATCCCAGCTATTTGGGAGGCTGAGACAGGAGAACTGCTTGAACCCGGGAGGCAGACGTTGCAGTGAGCCAAGATTGTGCCATTTACAGTCCAGCCTGGGCAACAGAGCAAGACTCTGTCTCAAAAAAAAATAAAGATTTAATGTATATTGTTAGAGTAGCAATACTTAGTAACTGAGTACTGTTTTTAAGTTAGGTTTTTGAAGGTAAAATTTACATATCATAAAATTCATCCTTGGCTGGGCGTGGTGGCTCATCCCTGTAATCCCAGCACTTTGGGAGGCAGAGGTGGGCAGATCACTTGAGGTCAGGAGTTTCAGACCAGCCTGGACAACATGGTGAAACCCATTCTCTACTAAAAATACAAAAATTAGCCAGGCATGGTGGCGCACACCTGTGATCCCAGCTACTCAGGAGGCTGAGGCAGGAGAATCACTTGAACCTGGTAAGTGGAGGTTGTGGTGAGCCGAGATCTTCCCACTGCACTCCAGCCTGGGCAACAGAGTGAGAATCCGTCTCAAAAAAAAAAAAAAAGTATATAATGTACAGTTTTATGAGTTCTGACAAATGCATACAGTTGTGTAACTACCACCACAGTCAAGATATAGAACATTTCAATCACCACAAAATATTCCCTCTTGCCCCTTCGTAATGAACCCTTCATTTCAACCCCAGTTCCTGGAAAACATAGATCTACTTTTTGTCCTTATACCATTACCTTTTCCAGAATATCAAACAAATGGAATCATGCAGTATATAGCCTTTCAAGTCTGGCTTCTTTCACTTGGTATAATGCTTGTGAAATTTATCCATTGTTGTTTTCATGTATCAGTACTTTCTTTTTTTTTTTAATCACTGAATAGTATTCCATTGTGTGGATATAACATAGCTTGTTTAGCCATTAATCAGTTGAAGAACATTTGGGTTGTTTCCATTAACAAAAAACAATTAGAAGTCATTGTAGAAGTCCAAAAATAAAATAAAATAAAAATTATGAATAAAGCTACTATAAATATCCATGTACAAGGTTTCATTTGGGCCTTAAATGATCTCCACCAATATTTTCTGAAAATCACATCTAGATATAGGAACTACCAAGTCACAACTACAGCTACGTAAACATTATTCCATATTATTTTAGAAACTCAGATAATTTATTCATTATTTATCAAATATTTATTAAACATCTACTATATAGCAGGTATTGTTCTAAGCACATGGATAAGACAATTGTCAGATACTAGCTCCCCCAAAATACCACCAAGACAACCCATTGGCGAAACCCTGTCTCTACTAAAAATACAAAAAAATTAGCCAGGCGTGGTGGCGGACGCCTGTAATCCCAGCTACTTGGGAGGCTGAGGCAGGAGAATTGCTTGAACCCGGGAGGTGGAAGTTGCAGTGAGCCGAGACTGCACCATTGCACTCCAGCCTGGGTGACAGAATGAGACTCTGTCTCAAGAAAAAAAAAAGCAAAACTGAGTTATTGTTCACTTCAATAAAAAAGATCACTACCTTAACACAGTCTCAGTAACATCTTTAAGGGGGAAAGCAAAGTTGGAATATTTATAAGGTTTGGGGATCTGATTTAAGAGAGTTTTTCAATTCAAGGGGCTTGATTACAACTGGGTAAGAATCATGATACATTGGGATTTGTGGACATAGTAAGGAAAGGTTTTTTTTGAGACAGAGTTCTGCTCTTGTCACCCAGGCTGGAGTGCAGTGGCGAGATCTCTCGGCTCACTGCAACCTCCGCCTCCCAGGTTCAAGTGATTCTCTGGCCTCAGCATCCTGAGTAGCTGGGATTACAGGCGCCCACCACCACGCCCAGCTAATTTTTGTATTTTTAGTAGAGACGGGGTTTCGCCATGTTGGCCAGACTGGTCTCAAACTCCTGACCTCGGGTAATCCACCTACCTCAGCCTCCCAAAGTGCTGGGATTATAGGCGTGAACCACCGCACCCGGCCAGAAAAGGGTTTTAAAGAGTCTGGGATAGTGTATTAGTTTTCTACTGCTGCAGTAATGAATTACCACAAATTTAGGGGCTTCAAACACCACAAATGTGTTATCTTACAATTGTGTCAATAGAAGTCTGACACCAGTCTCACTTGATTAAGACAATGTATTGGCAAGACTGTTGCTTTCTACAAGCTCTAAGGGAGAGTCCTTCCCTTTTCCAGCTTCTAGAGACTGCCCTCATTCATTGGCTTGTGACCCTTTCCTCTGTCTTCAAAGAAAGCAGTGGCTGGTTGTGTTCTTTTAAAATCACATCACTTTGACTTTCTATTCCATCTCCATTATTTATTTTATATATATAAAAATATATATTTGGCTGGGCGCAGTGGCTCACACCTGTAATCTCAGCACTTTGGAAGGCCGAGGCGGGTGGATCACGAGGTCAGGAGATCGAGACCATCCTGGCGAACACAGTGAAACCCTGTCTCTACTAAAAATGCAAAAAATTAGCCGGGCGTGGTAGCACATGCCTATAGTCCCAGCTACTCGGGAGGCTTCGGCAGGAGAATGGCGTGAACCCAGGAAGCGGAGCTTGCGGTGAGCGGAGATGGAGCCACTGCACTCCAGCTTGGGTGACTGAGCGAGACTCTGTCTCAAAAAAAAAAAAAAAATTAGCCAGGCGTGGTGGCAGGTGCCTGTAGTCCCAGCTACTCGGGAGGGTGAGGCAGGAGAATGGTGTCAACCTGGGAGGCGGAGCTTGCAGTGAGCCAAGATCACATCACTGCATTCCAGCCTGGGCAACAGAGTGAGACTCCATCTCAAAAAAAAAAAAAAAAACCATATATATATATATTTCTTCTTATTATTTTGGGCCAACTCAGATCATTCAGAATCTCATCTACTTGTTTTAAGGTCAACTAAATAAACAACCTTAATTTCATCTGCCACCTCAATTCCCCTATGCCATATAAAATAGCATATTAGGGCCGGGCGCGGTGGCTCATGCCTGTAATCCCAGCACTTTGGGAGGCCAAGGCAGGTGGATCACAAGGTCAGGAATTCGAGACCAGGCTGGCCAATGTGGCGAGACTCCATCTCTACTAAAAATACAAAAATTAGCAGGGCATGGTGGCATGGTGTCGGGTGCCTGTAATCCCAACTACTCAGGAGGCTGAGGCAGGAGAATCACTTGAACTTGGGAGGCAGAGGGTTGCAGTGAGCTGAGATTGCACCATTGCACTCCAGCCTGGGTGATAAGAGTGAAACTTCATCTCAAAATAAAATAAAATAAATAATAAAATAGCATATTAGGTTGGGTGGGTTGGCTCATGCATGAAATCCCAGCACACTGGGAGGCTTAGGCAAGAGGATCACTTGAGCCCAGGAGTTCAAGACCAGCCTGAGCAACACAGTGAGACCCCATCTCTTAAAAAATTGAAAAATTAGCCAGATGTGGTGGTGCACGCCTGCAATCCCAGGTACTTGGGAGGCTGAGGTAGAAGGATAAATTGAGCCTGGGAGGTGGAGGCTACAATGATCCATGATCCTGCTGCTGGGTGACAGGGAGAGATCCTGTCTCAAAAAAAAAAAAAGCATATTAGTATATTCACAGGTTCACAAGTTCTAAGGATTAGTACATGAACATCTTTGGGGAAGAATTATTCTGCCTACCACAGAGCATAAAGTCACTTGAAGTCATCTATTGAAAAGCTGAGCAGTTAGATGTTCTTTTAAACATTTATATGGTTTGGATCTGTGTTCCCGCCCAAATCTCAAGTAAAATTGTAATTCCCAATGTTGGAGGTGGGGCCTGATGTGAGGTGATTGGATCATGGAGGTGTTTCTCATGAATAATTTAGCACCATCCTCTTAGTTCTGGTCTCATGATAGTGAGTTCTCATAAGATCTGGTTGACTAAAAGTGTGTGGCACAGCTGGGCATGGTGGCTCATGCCTGTAACCCTAGCACTTTGGGAGGCCAAGGTGGGCAGATCAATTGAGTTCAGGAATTTGAGACCAGCCTGGCCAACATGGCAAAACCCCATCTCTACAAAAATACAAAAATTAGCCTGGTGCGGTGGTTTGCACGTGTAGTCTCAGCTACTTGGGAGGCTAAGGCAGGAGACTTGCTTCAACTCAAGAGGCGGAGGTTGCAGTGAGCCAAGCTCACGCCACTGCATTCCAGCCTGGGCAACAGAATGAGACTCTGTCTCAGAAAAAAAAAAAAAGTTTGTGGCACCTCCCCCATTATGCTCTCTTGCTGCTACTCTGGCCTCGTGATGTGTGTGGTCCCTCTTCACATTCCGCGATGATTGTAAGTTTCCTGAGGCCTCCCCATTAGCCGAGAAGATGCTAGTATCATGCTTCTTGTACAACCTGCATAACTGTGAGCCAATTAAACCTCTTATCTTTATAAATTACGCAGCCTCAGGTATTTCTTTATGGCAGTGCAAGAACGGACTAATGCCTGTCATTCCAGCTACTCGGGAGGCTGAGGCAGGAGAATCACTTGAACCTGGGAAGCAGAGGTTGCAGTCAGCCAAGACCCCGCCATTGCACTCCAGCCTGTGCAATAGAGTGAGACTCTGTCTGAAAAAACAAACAAACAAACAGACTAATACAAACACGATTTTGAAAAGTTGCTGAAATTGTTAGAGGTGTTCCAACAGAGAGACTCCATCTTGACTACGGGCTGGGTGAAACAAGGCTGAGACCTACTGGGCTGCATTCCCAGGAGGTTAGGCATTCTTAGTCACAGGATGAGATAGGAGGTCGGCACAAGATACAGGTCACAAAGACCTTGCTGATAAAACAGATTGTAGTAACGAAGCTGGCTAAAACCCACCAAAACCAAGATGGTGATGAAAGTGACCTCTGATCGTCCTCATTGCTCATTATTCCTTAATCATAAATCATTAGCACGCTAAAGACACTCCCACCAGCACAATGATAGTGTACAAATGCCATAGCAATGTCCTGAAGTTACCCTATATGGTCTAAAGGGGGGAGGAATGCTTAGTTCTGGGAAATCCCTGCCCCTTTCCTGGAAAACTCATGAATAATCCACTCCTTATTTAGCATATGATCAAGAAATAACTATAAGTATACTTAGTCAAGTGGCCCATGTCACTGTTCTGTCTATGGAGTATCATTCTTTTGTTTCTTCTGTAATAAACGTGCTTTTACTCTACCCTATTGATGGACTCCCCTGAATTCTTTTTCTTTGTCTTTTTTTTTTTTTTTTTTTTTTTGAGAGGGAGTCTTGCTCTGTGGCCCAGGCTGGAGTTCAGTGGTGCGATCTCAGCTTGCTGCAACCTCTGCATCCCGGGTTCAAGCTATTCTCCTGCCTTGGCCTCCCGAGTAGGTGGGATTGCAGGCACATGCCACCACGACCAGCTAATGTTTTTTGTATTTTTAGTAGACACGGGGTTTCACCATGTTGGCCAGGATGGTCTCCAACTCCTGACCTCAAGTGATCCACCCGCCTTGGCCTCCCAAAGTGCTGGGATTACAGGTGTGAGCCACCATGCCCGGCCTAGCAAACTTTCTATGTAAGAAACAGATAGTAAAATATTTTAGGCTTTGCAGGTCAAGTGGCAAAATCAAAGATTTTTTTTTTTTTTTTTTGAGATAGGATCTCACTCTATCACCCAGGCTGGAGTGCAGTGGTGCAATCTCAGGTCACTGCAGCCTCCATCTCTCAGGTTCAAGTGATTTTCCTGCCTCAGCCACCCAAGTAGCTGAGATTACAGGCACCCGCCACCACACCCAGCTAATTTTTGTATTTTTAGTATACAATTTGGTTTAACCAAATTGGCCAGGCTGGTCTTGAACTCCCGACCTCAAGAGACCTACCCACCTTGGCCTCTCAAAGTGCTGGGATTCCAGGTGTGAGCCACCATACCCGGCTAAATCAATGATTTCATCGAGGTACTTACATAATAATATAAAAGTTTCCATAAATATTTTATTGGTAACATTTACACTTTTTATGTGTGTGTGTGGAAAACACAGTCTCACTATATTGCCCTGGCAGGTTTCAAACTCCTGGGCTCAAGCTGTCCTCCTACCTCTGCCTCCTTAAGAGCTGGGATTACAGGGTTGAGCCACCATGCCTAGCTTATTGATAAAATTTAAAATATAGTAGTTAAGTTTTCAGGCCTGTTAATAAGAATAAAGCAATTTTGGCTAGACGCAGTGACTCACGCCTGTAAACTCAGCACTGTTGGAGGCCGAGGCAGGAGGATCACTTGAGGTCAGAAGTTTGAGAGCAGCCTGGCCAACATGGTGAAACCCCATCTCTACTGAAAATACAAAAATTAGCTGGGCATGGTTGTGCGTGCCTGTGATCCCAGCTACTTGGGAGGCTGAGGTAGGAGAATAGCTTGAGCCTGGGAGTCGGAGGTTGCGGTGAGCAGAGATCGATCACACAATTGCACTCCATCCTGGGCTACAGAATGAGTCTCTGTCTCAAAAAAAGAAAGAGAAGAAAAAGAAAATATCTTTTCACACAGATACGTACTCTTAAATATGTTATCAATCCACTGTCATATGATATTATTTTAGAATAATCATTGCTGGAGAGAAATTTATAAAATTTTATTAGAGGTTGGGCCCAGTGCCTCATGCCTAAATCCCAGGACTTTGGGAGGCCAAGGCGGGGAGATCACTTGAGGTCAGGGGTTCGACACCAGCCTGGCCAACATGGTGAAACCCCGTCTCTATTAAAAATACAAAAATTAGCCAGGCGTGGTAGTGCTTACCTGTAATCCCAGCTACTCAGGAGGCTGAGGCAGGAGAATCGTTTGAACCAAGGAAGTGGAGGTTGCAGTAAGCTGAGATCTTGCCACTGCACTCCAGCCTGGGTGACAGAGTGAAACTGTCTCAAAAAAAATAAATAAGTACATTGTATTAGACTGTTCTCTTAATATATGCCTTTGAGCATATCATTACATTGAAAAGTAATCACCTCCAATTGAAGATTAGATGGGAGATCCTCAATTGTACATTTAAACTGATTTTGAAATATGGAAATTTCCAGCCGGGAATGGTGGCTCACACCTGTAATCCCAGCACTTTGGGAGGCTGAGGCAGGCAGATCATGAGGCCAAGAGATCGAGACCAGTCTGGCCAACATGGTGAAACCTCATCTCTACTAAGAATACAAAAATTAGCTGGGTGTGGTGGCGTGCACCTGTAGTCCCAGCTGCTCAGGAGGCTGAGGCAGGAGAATCGCTTGAACCAGGGAGGTGGAGGTTGCAGTGAGCCGAGATCATGCCACTGCACTCCAGCCTGGTGACAGAGTGAGACTCCATCTCAAAAAAAAAAAAAAAAAGAAAAAGAAATACAGAAATTTACTTTATACGTGAGAGCCAAAACATGCTGTAGGCACTGTAGTTCAAATCACAGAAAAGATGTATGCTGCAAACTTGTGCAATAATGGACATCTCAGGTCTTCTTTTAACTTTGACACCAGGCCAGGCACAGTGGCTCACACCTGTAATGCCAGTACTTTGGTAGGCCAATGCGGGCAAATCACCTGAGGTCAGGAGTTCCAGACCAGCCTGGCCAACATGGTGAAACCCTGTCTCTTTTAAAAATACAAAAATTAGCCAGGTGTGGTAGCGCTCACCTGTAGTCCCAGCTACTCTGGAGGCTCAGGTAGGAGAATCGCTTGAACTTGGAAGGTGGAGGGTTCAGTGAGCTGAGATCATGCCACTGCAATCCAGCCTGGGCAACAGTGAGACTCTGTCTCAAAAAAAAAAAAAAAAAAAATTGACACCATAGGACGTGCCTAAATCAACCTGACATTTCTTGTGATTCAAACAACGTTATGTATTGCCCAAAACGACTTTATCACAGTAAGAGTTTCACATATCAATACCATTTTAATTGATAATTTTAGGTTGAATGTATTAAGAAACGTTATCACATCTTCAGCAAAAGCTAATCTCTAAAACCACTTAGTATTCAATAAAACTGGTTGAGGGCAATTCTCATTCATAAGAATTTCCATCTCACAGAATTATTCATCATAGCCAAAGGTAAAAGCAACTGACTGTTCAACAATGAATGAATGGATAAGCAAAATGGGGTATAGATGTATATACAATGAAATATTATTCAAACTCCAAAAGGAAGAACAGCTGGGCACAGTGGGTCACGCCTGTAATCCCAGCACTTTGGGAGGCTAAGGCAGGCAGATTACTTGAAGTTAGGAGTTCGAGACCACCCTGGCCAACACGGTGAAACCCCATCTCTACTAAAAATACAAAAATTAGCCAGGTGTGTTGGCACATACCTATAATCTCAGCTACTTGGGTGGCTGAGGCAGAAGAATCCCTTGAACCTGAGAGGCAGAGTTTGCAGTGAGCCGAGATTATGTCAGTGCACTCCAGCCTGGGCAACAGAGTGAGACTCTGCCTCAAAAAAAAAAAAAAAAAAAAAAAAGGAAGGACAAGTGCTAAAACTTGGATGTACCTTGAGGATATTATGCAAGATGAAATAAGACAATCAAAAAAGACAAATACTATATGATTCCACTTGCATAAGTTACCAAGAGCTGTCGAATTCACAAAGACATAAAGTAGAATGGCAGTTCCTAGGGGTTGGGAGTAGGGAGGTAATGAGGAATTATTATTTAATGGGTATAGAGCTTGAGTTTTGCAATATGAAAAGTTCTAGAGATGGATGGTGGTAATGGTGGCCATGGTTTCACAACATTGTCAATATACTTAATACCATTGAACTGTACACTTAAAAATTGTTAGGATGGTATAATGTTATGTGTATTTTACCACAAGTTTTAAAAATTTCCTTCTCAGCTGGGCACCGTAGCTCATGCCTATAATCCCAATACTTTGGGAAGCCGAGGCAGGTGGATCACCTGAGGTCGGGAGTTCGAGACCAGCCTGACCTACATGGAGAAACCCCATCTCTACTAAAAATACAAAAAATTAGCTGGGCATGGTGGTGCATGCCTGTACTCCCAGCTACTCAGGAGGCTGAGGCAGGAGAATTGCTTGAACCCGGGAGGTGGAGGTTGCGGTGAGCTGAGATTGTGCCATCGCACTCCAGCTTGGGCAACAAAAGTGAAATTCCATCTCAAAAAAAAAAATTTTCCTTCTCAGCCCTGAGCTTAAATAAAATAGTAAGTTACAACTGCTAAGCCATCAAACTGCTGTATAGTAGATCAAGTCAGATATTCAGCTTCATTACTGAAAAAAATCCTGGAATTCATAATGATTAAGTCCAGAAGAGCAAATAAAGTTCACTGTTGACACTGTTGGCTCAATAACACATGATAAATTCAAATATTTCCTGCAAGGGTTTTTTTTTTTTTTGAGATGGAGTCTTGCTCTGTCACCCTGGCTGGAGTGCAGTGGTGCAATCTCAGCTCACTGCAACCTCTGCCTCCTGGGTTCAAGAGATTCTCCTGCCTCAGCCTCCTGAGTAGCTGGGACCACAGGTGCACGCCACCACACCCAGATAATTTTTGTATTTTCAGTAGAGATGGGGTTTCACCATGTTGGCCAAGCTAGTCTCGATCTCCTGACCTCGTGATCCACATGCCTTGGCCTCCCGAAGTGCTGGAATTACAGGCATGAGCCACTGTGCCCAGCCCCCTGCAAGGATTTAAACATCTTACATTGTCACAAGCTTAGTGAATCTGCCCAGCTAAGTTTCTTCTGTCCCACAAATATTGGTAACCCCATAAATTATAACACATCTTAGCAGATTCCACTTCAGGTTGTACTGAATTTCAAATTCTTTGAAAATATTCTCACATGTACTTATTCCATAGAGACTACTCTTTGAAGCTAATTCTTCAGTCACTTCCAACTTAACATTGCTCATTGAATAAACAACTTAACAGTTTTGCTAACATCCATCACCTTTTTAACAGTCAAAGACATACAGATGAAAAACAAGAAAAGTCTCCAGAAATAAACACCTCTCATTTATAAGTAGTTGATATTGAACAAGAATTCTTTTTTTTTTTTTTCGGAGACAGAGTCTTGCTCTGTCACCCAGGCTAGAATGCAATGGTGTGATCTTGGCTCACTGCAACCTCCGCCTCCCATGTTCAAGCGATTATCCTGCCTCAGCTTCCTGAGTAGCTGTGATTACAGGTGCCTGCCACCACACCTGGCTAATTTTTGTATTTTTAGTAGCAACAGGGTTTCACCATGTTGGCCAGGCTGGTCTCGAACTCCTGACCTCAGGTAGTCTACCTGCCTTGGCCTCCCAAAGTGTTCAGATTACAGCATGAGACACCTCGCCCGGCCCAATGTTCAACAAAATTTCTAAGACAATTTAATCCAATCGCCACTGCACCCAATGACAATTTAGTTTGTTTGTTTGTTTGTTTTTGCAACAGAGTCTCGCTCTGTCGCCCAGGCTAGAGTGCAGCGGTGTGATCTCGGCTCACTGCAAGCTCCACCTCCCAGGTTCACGCCATTCTCCTGCCTCAGCCTTCCGAGTACCTGGGACTACAGGCACCCGCCACTACTCTCCCGGCTAATTTTTTGTATTTTTAGTAGAGACGGGGTTTCACCGTGTTAGCCAGGATGGTCTCAATCTCCTCACCTTGTGATCCACCCACCTTGGCCTCCCAAAGTGCTGGGATTACAGGCGTGAGCCACCACGCCCGGCCCCTGACAATCCAGTTTTTAAAAAATGGTCGCTGGGCACAGTGGCTCATGCCTGTAATCCCAGCACTTTGGGAGGCTGAGGCTGGCGGATCACCCGAGGTTGGGAGTTCGAGACCAACCTGACCGACCAAGATGGTGAAACCCCGTCTCTACTAAAAATACAAAAATTAGGTGGGCGCCGTGGTGGGCGCCTGTAATCCCAGCTACTCAGGAGGCTGAGACATGAGAATAGCTTGAACCCGGGAGGCGGAGGTTGCAGTGAGCCGAGATCATGCCATTGCGCTCTAGCCTGGGCAACAGAGTGAGACTGTCTCAACAACAACAACAACAACAGCAAAATAAAAAATAAAAAATTTTTTTTAAAAAATGGTCAAAGGGGCCAGGCGCAGTGGCTCACACCTGTGATCCCAGCTCTTTGGGAAGCCGAGGCCAGTGGATCACGAGGTCAGGAGTTCGAGACCAGCCTGGCCAACACAGTGAAACCCCATCTCTACTAAAAATACAAAAATTAGCCAGGTGTGGTGTTACGCCTGCAGTCCCAGCTACTCAGGAGGCTGAGGCAGGGAAATCACTTGAACCCAGGCAGTGGAGGTTGCAGTGAGCCAAGACTGTGCCATTACACTCCAGCCTGGCTGACAGAGCGAGACTCCATCTCAAAAAAAAAAAAAAAAAAAAAGGTCAAAGGGCCACAGCACTTTGAGAGCTGAGGTGGGTGGATCACCTGAGGTCAGGAGTTCAAGACCAGCCTGGCCAACATGGTGAAACCCGTCTCTACTAAAAATACACAAATTAGCTAGGCGTGGTGGTGCACGCCTGTCATCCCAGCTACTTGGGAGGCTGAAGCAGGAATTCGCTTGAACCCAGGACATGGAGGTTGCAGTAAGCTGAGATCACGCCACTGCACTCCAGCCTGGGCGACAGAGCAGGACTCCATCTCAAAAAATAAAAATGAAAATAAATAAAAAATGGCCAGAGGATCTCAAAAGACATCTTTCTTTTCTTTCTTCTTTTTTTTTTCTTTTCAGACAGAGTCTTCTCACTCTGTTACCCAGGATGCAGTACAAGTGGCATGATCTTGGCTCACCGCAGCCTCCATCTCCTAGCTTCAAGTGATTCTTGTGCCTCAGCCTCCAGAGTAGCTGTGACTACAGGCGTGCACCACCACGACCGGCTAATTTTTACATTTTTAGTAGAGATGGAGTTTCACCATGTTGGCCAGGCTGGTCTCAAACTCCTGACCTCAAGTGATCCTCTCGCCTTGGCCTCCTAAACTGCTGGGATTACAGGGGTGAGCCACGGTGTCTGGCCCTCAGTAGGCATCTTTCCAAAGAAGGTATACAAATACAAATGACCACTAAGCACATAAGAAGATACTCAACATTATTAACCATCAGAGAAATGCATATCAAAACAGTGAGGTATCACTTTATGCCCCCTAGGATGACTACGATCAAAATGACAGATACTTGATTTTGATTATAGTACTAGTGTCTTAGTCTGTTTGTATTGCTATAAAGGAATATCTGAGGCTAGGCAGTTTATAAAGAAAAGAGGTTTATTTTGCTCACAGTTTTACAGGCTGTACAGGAGGCATGGTGCTGGCATCTGTTAGGCTTTTGGTGGGGTCCAACGGCTGTTTCCATTCATGACAGAAGGCAAAGGGGAACCAATGTGTGCAGAGATCACATGTTAAGAGAGGAATCAAGGGAGCAGGGGAAGTGCCAGGCTCTTTTAGAAACCAGCTCTTGTGTAAACTAATAGAGTAAGAACTGACTCACTCCCTGACCAGTGAGGTGATTAATTTATTCATAAGGGATCCACCCCTATGACCCAAACACCTCCCAGTAGGCCCTACATCCAACATTGGGGATCAAATTTCAATATGAGGCTTGGGGATACGAGCATCCAAACTATACTAGTTGTGAAGATGTGGAGAAATTGGAATGCTTATAGATTGCTAGTGGGTTTACACTGTAAAATGGTATAGCTGCTTTGGAAAAGAGTCAGTTCCTCAAAACACTAGATCCAGAAATTCCACTCCTGATAATATACCTAAGTTAACATGTGATCCAGAAATTCCACTTCTGAGTATACACCTAAGAAAATTCAAAACATATTTTCACACAAAAACTTGTACATGAATGTTAACTGCAGCATTATTCAAAAAACCAAAACGTAGAAAACAACCCAAATGTCCTTCAACTGATGAATCCATAATGAAATTGGTATGTACATACGAAATATTATTTGGTAATAAAAAGAAATGAATTACTGATATATGCTACAATATGAACAAACCTTGAAAACATTATGCTGAGTGAAAAAAGCCAGCCACAAAGGAAAATATATTTTATGATTCCCTTTGTATGAAATGTCCACAATAGGCAAATCTATAGAGACACAAAGTAGATTAGTGGTTGCCTATGGCTGGGTGGTTGGGGGGTGGACACTGGAAATGGGTAATGACTGCTAATGGGTACAGGGTTTTGTTGTTGTTGTTGTTTTTGTTTTGAAACAGAGTTTTGCTCTTGTCGCCCAGGCTAGAGTGCAATGGTGCAATCTCAACTCGCTGCAACCTCCGCCTCCAGGGTTCAAACGATTCTCCTGCCTCAGCCTCCCGAGTAGCTGGGATTACAGACATCCACCATCACGCCCAGCTAATTTTTGTATTTTTTAGTAGAGACAGGGTTTCTCCATGTTGGTCAGGTGATCCACCCGCCTTGGACTCCCAAAGTGCTGGGATTACAGGCATGAGGCACTGCGCCCAGCTAGGGTTTCTTTTCATGGTGATCAGAATATTCTAAGATTTATTCTGGTGGGCCAGGCACGTTGGCGTACACCTGTCATCGCAGCGCTTTGGGAGGCCAATGCAGAAGGATCCCTTGAGCCCAAGAGTTCCCGAGCAGCGTGAGCAATACAGCAAGACACTATTGCTACAAAAAAAAAAAAAAAAATTAGGCCAGGCACGGTGGCTCACACCTGTAATCCCAGCACTTTGGGAGGCCGAGGTGGGTGGATCACCTGAGGTAACGAGTTCAAGACCAGCCTGACCAACATGGTTAAACCCCATCTCTACTAAAAATACAAAATTAGCCATGCATGGTGGCACATGCCTGTAATCCCAGCTACTTGGGAGGCTGGGGAAGGAGAACTGTTTGAACCCAGGAGGCAGAGGTTGCAATGAGCCAAGATCACGCCATTGTACTCCAGCCTGGGCAACAAGAGCGAAACTCTGTCTCAAAAAAAAAAAAAAAATTAGTCGGGCATGGTGGTGCGTGCCTGTGATCCCAGCTACATAGGAGGCTAGGGTAGAAGATCTCCTGGGCTTAGGGAGGTCGCAGCTGCAGTGAGCCATGATCATGCCACTGCACTCCAGCCTGGGCAACAGAACGAGTCCTTGTGAGTGTTTCAAGAGACAAAGCAGAAGCTGTAATGCCTCTTATGACCTCACCTCTGAAGTCACACACTGTTATTCTTGTACTATTCTATTGGTCACATAGGTTATCTCTGATTCCATATGGAAAGGGACTATATAAGGTCATAAGTAACTGGAAATTATTATCATTGGGAACCATCTTAAAGGCTGGTTATCACAATCCAAACCATAATTTTAAGCAATTTACACAGGAAAAAAATGTTAATGAACACTAAAGTCTGATTTTTAAAATATTGACTCAATTTTATTTCCAGTTCGTATCTATATGTATACCCTACATATACATTGCTCACTGTTTGAAGTTTATTCCCTTTAGGTGTATAAATTTATTTGCTTGTTTTTTCTTTTTATTTTGAGACGGAGTCTTGCTTTGTCACCCAGGCTGGAGAGCAGTGGCACAATCTCGGCTCACTGCCACTTCCGCCTCCCAGGTTCAAGCGATTCTCCTGCTTCAGCCTCCAGAGTACTTGGGATTACAGGTGTGCGCCACCACGCCCAGCTGATTTTTTTATTTTTAGTAGAGACAGGTTTTCACCATGTTGGCCAGGATGGTCTCAAACTCCTGACCTCAAGTGACTCACCCACCTCAGCCTCCCAAAGTGCTGGGATTATAGAAGTGAGCCACCACACCTGGCCTGTTTGTTTGTTGTTTGTGTTTTTTGTTTGTTTTTGTTTTTTGAGACGGAGTCCCACTCGGTTGCCCAGGCTGGAGTGCAGTGGTGCGATCTCAGCTCACTGCAACCCGTGCTTCCTGGGTTCAAGGGATTCTCCTGCCTCAGCCTCCCGAGTACCTGGGACTGCAGGCGCACGCCACCACGCCCAGCTAATTTTTGTATTTTTAGTAGAGACAGGTTTTCACCAAGTTGGCCAGGATGGTCTCGATCTCTTAACCTTGTGACCTGCCCGCCTCAGCCTCCCAAAGTGCTAGGATTACAGATGTGAGCCACAGTACCTGGCCTTGTTTTTTTTTTTTTTTTTTTTTATTGATCATTCTTGGGTGTTTCTCGGAGAGGGGGATTTGGCAGGGTCATGGGACAATAGTGGAGGGAAGGTCAGCAGATAAACAAGTGAACAAAGGTCTCTGGTTTTCCTAGGCAGAGGACCCTGCGGCCTTCCGCAGTGTTTGTGTCCCTGGGTACTTGAGATTAGGGAGTGGTGATGACTCTTAAGGAGCATGCTGCCTTCAAGCATCTGTTTAACAAAGCACATCTTGGACCGCCCTTAATCCATTTAACCCTGAGTGGACACAGCACATGTTTCAGAGAGCACAGGGTTGGGGGTAAGGTCATAGATCAACAGGATCCCAAGGCAGAAGAATTTTTCTTAGTGCAGAACAAAATGAAAAGTCTCCCATGTCTACTTCTTGCTACACAGACACAGCAACCATCCGATTTCTCAATCTTTTCCCCACCTTTCCCCCTTTTCTATTCCACAAAACCGCCATTGTCATCATGGCCCGTTCTCAATGAGCTGTTGGGTACACTTCCCAGACGGGGTGGTGGCCGGGCAGAGGGGCTCCTCACTTCCCAGTAGGGGCGGCCGGGCAGAGGCGCCCCTCACCTCCCAGACAGGGCGGCTGGCCGGGCGGGGGGGCTGACCCCCCCACCTCCCTCTCGGAAGGGGCGGCTGGCCTGGCGGGGGCTGACCCCCACCTCCCTCCTGGACGGGGTGGCTGCCGGGCTGAGACGCTCCTCACTTCCCAGACGGGGTGGCTGCCCGGCGGAGGGGCTCCTCACTTCTCAGACAGGGCGGCTGCCGGGCGGAGGGGCTCCTCACTTCTCAGACGGGGCGGCCGGGCAGAGGCGCTCCTCACCTCCCAGACGGGGTCGCAGCCAGGCAGAGGCGCTCCTCACATCCCAGACGGGGCGGCGGGGCAGAGGCGCTCTCCACATCTCAGACAATGGGCGGCCGGGCAGAGACGCTCCTCACTTCCTAGATGGGATGGCGGCCGGGAAGAGGCGCTCCTCACTTCCTAGATGGGATGGCGGGCGGGCAGAGACGCTCCTCACTTTCCAGACTGGGCAGCCAGGCAGAGGGGCTCCTCACATCCCAGACGATGGGCGGCCAGGCAGAGACGCTCCTCACTTCCCAGATGGGGTGGCAGCCGGGCAGAGGCTGCAATCTCGGCACTTTGGGAGGCCAAGGCAGGCGGCTGGGAGGTGGAGGTTGTAGCGAGCCGAGATCACGCCACTGCACTCCAGCCTGGGCACCATTGAGCACTGAGTGAACGAGACTCTGTCTGCAATCCCGGCACCTCGGGAGGCCGAGGCTGGCGGACCACTCGCGGTTAGGAGCTGGAGACCAGCCCGGCCAACACAGCAAAACTCCATCTCCACCAAAAAAATACGAAAACCAGTCAGGCGTGGCGGCGCGCGCCTGCAATCGCAGGCACTGGGCAGGCTGAGGCAGGAGAATCAGGCAGGGAGGGTGCAGTGAGCCGAGATGGCAGCAGTACAGTCCAGCTTCGGCTCAGCATCAGAGGGAGACCGTGGAAAGAGAGGGAGAGGGAGACCGTGGGGGGGGGGGGGAGAGGGGGAGGGGAAGAGGGAGCGGGAGAGGGACGTTTTTTAAGACAGAGTCTCACGCTGTCACCCAGGCTGGTGTGCAGTGGCACAATCTCCACTCACTGCCACTTTAACCTCCTGGGCTCAAGGAATCCTCCCACCTCAGCCTCCAGAGTAGCTGGGACTACAGGCATGCGCCACCATATCTGGCTAATTTTTGCATTTTTTGTAGAGATGGGGTTTCTTTCACCTTTTTGCCCAGACTGGGCAAAATCTCAGCCTCCCAAAGTGCCGGGATTATATGCGTGAGCCATGGCGCCCACCCCCATCTGTTTATTCTTAAGTGAACCTTGGTAGTTTGTCTTTCAAGGAATTTGTCCATTCATCTAATTTATTTATTTAATTTTTAAAGAGACAGGGTCTTGCTCTGTTGTTCAGGCTGGAGTGCAGTGGTGCAAACACAGTTCACTTCAGCCTCAGACTCCTTGGCTCAAGCAATCCTCCCACCTCAGCCTCCCAAGTAGCTGGGACTATGCACCACTAAGCCCGGCTAATTTAAAAAAATTTTTTTCTAGAGACAAGGGTCTCACTATGTTGTGCAGGCTAGTCTCCAATTGCTGGCCTAAAGCAATTCTCCAGCCTCAGCCTTCCAAAGTGCTGGGATTATAGGTGTAAGCCACAGCACTCTGCCTATCTAATTTATTAAATGAGTAAAGTTGTTCATACTGTACTCTTAGTGTTCTTTTAATATCTGGGAATGTGTTGTAATAGCACCTCTCTCATTCCTAATGTTGGTAATTTGTGTCCTCTTTTTTATCCTGGGCAGTCTGGTTAGAGGTTTATCAATTTTATTAATCTTCTCATAGAACCATCTTTTGGATTCACTGAATGTATTGTTTTTTCATTTTCTATTACATTGATTTCTGCTCTGATCTTTATTTTTCTTTCCTTTCTTATATTTCTTTCTTCTGCTTATTTTGGGATTTTTTGCTCTTGTTTTCCTAGTTTCTTAAGATGAAAGCTGAAGTCATTGATTTGAGACTTTTCCCCTAATATAAATTTCCCCTACGTATTACTTCAGCAGCATTTCGCAAATATTAATATGTTTTGTTTTCATCTTCATTCAGTTAAAATGTCTTCTAATTTTCCTTTTGATTTCCTCTTTGAGCATGGATTATATGGAAGCATCTTGTGGCCGGGCACAGTGGCTCACGCCTGTAATCCCAGCACTTTGGGAGGCCAAGGCAGGTGGATCACGAGGTCAGGAAATCGAGACCGTCCTGTCCAACATGGTGAAACCTCATCTCCACTAAAATACAAAAAAATTAGCCAGGTGTGGTGGCGAACACCTGTAGTCCTAGCTACTCAGGAGGCTGAGGCAGGGGAATCGCTTGAACCCAGGAGGCAGAGGTTGCAGTGAACCAAGATTGCGCCATTGCACTCCAGCCTGGTGACAGAGCAAGACCCCATCTCAAAAAAAAAAAAGAAGTGTCTTGTTTAGTTCCATATAGTGGGGGACTTTCCAGAGATGTTTCTGTTATTGATTTCTAATTTAATTCCACCATGGTCGAAGAATATATCTTGTATGACTTGAACATTTTCATATTTATTGAGACTTGTTTTATAGCATAGAATGTGGACTACCTTGGTAAATATACATTACTAAATATTCTGGGTACACTTTAAAAAGAATGTATATTCTGCTATTGTTGGGTGGAGTAGTTCTGTAAGTGGCAATTATGTCAAGTGGGTTTATTGTGTTGTTCAAATCTGCTGTGTCTTCACTGATTTTTTTTGTCTATTGTTCTATTAGTTATTGAGTATGAGTATTGAGATCTCTCACTATAATTGTGAATTTGTCTATTTCTCATTTTATTTCTATCAGTTTTGCTTTATGCTTTCAAGCTCTGTTATTAGGTGTATTCATGTTTAGGATTATTATATCCTAATATATGAATTGTCACATTACCATACAAAATTATGAAATAGTAATAATACAAAAATAATATGAATATGAAATATGAATATAAATGAAAATATGAATGTGAAATGTGAATAATGCAAAATATATGAATGATACAAAAATTATGAATTGCCACATTATCATACAAAATGACTTTTTTTATCCTTGTTAGTACTCTTTCTTTTTTTTTTAATGGAGATAGATAGTAGTCACAGTTTTTTGTTTTTGTTTTTGTTTTTTTTTGAGACGGAGTCTTGCTCTTTCGCCCAGGCCGGAGTGCAGTGGCGCAATCTTGGCTCACTGCAAGCTCCTCCTCCTGGGTTCACGCCATTCTCCTGCCTCAGCCTCCCGAGTAGCTGGGACTACAGGCGCCCGCCACCGCGCCCGGCTAATTTTTTGTATTTTTAGTAGAGACAGGGTTTCACCGTGTTAGCCAGGATGGTCTCAATCTCCTGACCTCATGATCCGCCCGCCTCGGCCTTCCAAAGTGCTGGGATTACAGGCATGAGCCTCCGCGCCCCGCCAGTACTCACGGTTTTAATTATAGTGGCAAGTCATGGGAGGCAAGTCAATGTTTACCAGTGAAACAGTAGTTAATAAATTATGATACAACCAAGTAGCTACTAAAAGCTAAGTTTCCAAAGAATATTTAAAAGTATTTTTTAAATGTTCACAGTACACGGGAAAAAAAAGGGTTAAAGAAAGAACTGCATACATATTCTGATCTCATGGGTGAGGGTGAGAAATATACACCCAAAGAAGCCTGGAAAGACATATCCCGAAATGTTAAAATTGATTATTTCTGGGAGTAGATACCAGGTGATTTTTGGCCTTCCTTTTACTTTTTGGTTTCTCTCAGATATTTTTTTGCATGTATTGCTTTTATACTTGGGGGAGAACAATAAATGGTATTTTGTGGGGGGGAACCACAGAAGATAGAAAAATCTAGTTATGCTTTTTCATTCTTCCCATTTTTAAATTACTAAGAATCAAGATGCTTAAATCTATGCATGAAATAAAAAAAGAAAATGTCTAGGGGATTCTTTAGTAATAAAAATATTTATCAAATCTAAAAGTGTAGAAATACTGCTTTATTGGATAAACTTACTTCCAAATTACTTTCATGTTTTTTAAGAAGTCCTAATGAGCATTCAAGAAGAAAACATGTACTGCTTCCACAGGAATAAGGACAAATAAAATGAGGTTGACGCTTACCACAAATGATATTTCCTAAAAGAAAAAAACGTAATATTTAACTTTTCTTCTGTTGAGGCAAGGTAAGTGAACTGCATACATCATAAATAAGATTTTCTTGGCTGGGCGCTGTGGCTCATGCCTGTAATCCCAGCACTTTGGGAGGCCAAGGTGGGCGGATCACGAGGTCAGGAAATCGAGACCATCCTGGCTAACACGGTGAAACCCCGTCTCTACTAAAAAATACAAAAAATTAGCCGGGCGTGGTGGCGGGTGCCTGTAGTCCCAGCTACTCGGGGGGCTGAGGCAAGAGAATGGCGTGAACCCAGGAGGCGGAGCTTGCAGTCAGCCGAAATTGCGCCACTGCATTCCAGCCTGGGCGACAGAGCGAGACTCTGTCTCAAAAATAAATAAATAAATAAATACATAAATAAAATAAAAATATTTTCTTGCTTTACAAGAAGGAAGAACTGAGATCCTGTTTTTTGAATGCAAGTTAAATACAAAATCCACTCTCTGACCAAGATGAGGGGAAAAAATCATTCTTCAACATTTCAATTCTCATGCAATGAAATCCAAAGGTCTGTGGAATCCACCTTTTCGATTCATCTACTGCCCGTACTTCCTCTTCTGAGAGACAATTATGGCATAGGCATTTACAGAGCAATCCACCTTCTCACCTTTTGTGGAGTCAAAGGAGACAAATTCCATTAACTTCATCATTTCTATTTCTTCCTCTGTTTTGCCCTCTAAGTCTTCCTCAGTAATTTGCCATTCTTTGCTCTTTGTTTCTTTCTTTTCCTCATCTCTTCTTTCGTTCGGCTGAGAAGGGGAAGGAGATGTGGATTTATGTCGTCTTGGAGATCGGGAGCGTCCTAGGTGCGGGGTTGGCGAGCGGTTCCTTCTCCCATCTCTCTCCCGAGACCTGGACCTTTCTTGGAGCCTGCGTTCTCTCTCACGGGATGTGGACCGGGAACGCCTACCTTTCCTCCGTGGGGAGCCGCTGCGACTGCCACCCATTTGGAGTCTCGCTCCCCGGAAACGACTGGTTTTTTCATGTTTGTTTGTTTGTTTTTTGGAGACAGGGTATTGCTCTGTCACTAAGGCTTGAGTGCAGTGGCAGGATCATGGCTTACTGCAGCCTCAACCTCCTGGGCTCAAACGATCCTCCCAGTTCAGCCTCCTGAGTAGCTGGGACTACAGGCACGTGCTACCACATCCGGCTAAGTTTTGTATTTTTTGTAGAGATCGGATTTTGCCATGTTGCCCAGGCTGGTGTCCAACTCCTCGACTCAAGCAATTCACCCGCCTCGGCTTCTCAGAGTGCTAGGATTATAGGCATGAGCCACCCTGCCTGGCCTCTTCTGAAATCTACTTTGTCTAATATTAATATAGTCTCTCTAGTTTTCTTTTGATTAATGTTAACATATCTGTTTGTGCCTATCTATTTATTTATTTGAAATGGAGTTTCGCTTTTGTTGCCCAGACTGGAGTACAATGGCGGGATCTCAATTTACTGCAATCTCCGCCTCCCGGTTTCAAGCGATTCTCCTGCCTCAGCCTCCAGAGTAGCTGGGATTACAGGCATGCGCTGCCACACTCAGCTAATTTTTGTATTTTTAGTAGAGAGGGGGTTTCACCATGTTGTCCAGGATGGTTTCGATCTCCTGACCTCGTGATCCGCCCACCTCGGCTTCCCAAAGTGCTGGGATTACAGGCATGAGCCACTGCTCCTGGCCAAAAATACAAACTATTTTATAGTTGAAGAATTTGCGGGGCGCAGTGGCTGACGCCTGTAATCCCAGCACTTTGGGAGCCCGAGGCCGGTGGATCACGAGGTCAGGAGTTCAAGACCAACCTGGCCAAGATGGTGAAACCCCATCTCTACTAAAAATACAAAAAATTAGCCTGGCGTAGTGGCACGCGCCTGTAATCCCAGCTACTCCGGAGGCTGAGGCAGAGAATTGCTTAAACCTAGAGGGGCGGAGGTTGCAGTGAGCCGAGATCGTGCCACTGCACTCCAGCCTGGGAGACAGAGTGCGACTCCGTCTCAAAAAAAAAAAAAAAAAAAAAAGAAAAAAAGAATTTATGTCTGTAGTTGTCTGAGGATTGGTTAGGGGTAGAGTAAGCAGGGATGAATGAGTAGAAAAGATTACAAAGGGGCACAAGGAAGCTCTTGGGGGCAATGGTTATGGTTAATTACCTTCCTTGTGGTGATGATTTCATGAAAGTATATATATGTCAAAAATTATTGAATTGTACTATTTAATAATGTGCAGATTATTGTTAAGGTTGTAGGAAATAATTGGGAAGTAATGAAAGAAAAAATTGATCTACAGCCCTGGCAACATGGTAAAACCCGTCTCTATCAAAAAAATACAAAAAAAATTAGCCAGGCATGGTGGTGCCCACCTGTAATCCTAGCTACTCGGGAGGCTGAGGTGGGAGAATCGTTTGAACCCAGAGGCAGAGGTTGCAGTGAGCTGAGATCATGTCACTGCATTCTAGCCTGGGCGACAGAGTGAGACCCTGTCTCAAAAAAAAAAAATTGATATATAATCTTACTACCCAAACATGAGAATTGTTAGTAATTTGATCACTATCAAACTCTACAGACACATTTTCAAATACCCAAGTGTTATCTGAATTTTTTTTTTTTTTTTGAGACGGCGCCTCGCTTTGTCTTGCCCAGGCTGGAGTGCAGTGGTGTGATCTCAGCTCACCGCAGCCTCTGCCTCCTGGGTTCAAGCGATTCTCCTGTCTCAGCCTCCCAGGTAGCTGGGATTACAGGTGTGTGCCACCACATCCAGCTAATTTTGTGTTTTAATAGAGATGGGGTTTCACCATATTGGCCAGGCTGGTCTCGAACTCCTGGCCTCAGGTGATCCACCCGCCTCAGCCTCCCAAAGTGTTGGGATTAGGATTATAGGTGTGAGCCACCGAGCCCAGCCTAAAGTTATTATTATTATTATTATTTTTTGAGACAGAGTCTTGCTCTGTCTCCCAGGCTGGAGTGCAGTGGCACAATCTCGGCTCAGTGCAACCTCTGCCTCCCGGGTTTAAGTGATTCTCTTGCCTCAGCCTCTTGAGTAGCTGGGATTACAGGTGCCCGCCACTATGCCCAGCTAAATTTTGTATTTTTTGTAGAGATGGGGTTTCACCATGATGGACAGGCTGGTTTTTAAAAAATTGTAATATTTTATTGTGTTAATAAAAATAGTTTGACATTTCTCACATTGCTAAGGTCAGTTTATATTTGTCATATAGTAGCCACTATTATTGCAATTTTACTGAAATGTGTATTTTTATTTTAATATTCACCCAGTCATCCAAACAACAGAACTTGAAACTTTTCCAGTATATCTCTCTCACTACCATAATCAACTAATCACAAAATTCTGTCATTTCTACCTTCTCGTCTCTCATATCTGTTACCTCCTTTCTGGTCTCATTGTTAATGTATTAGGTTAGACCCTCATTTCTCTTCTGGACAATTACAATAATGTGTCCCATTTTCTTTTCTTATTGCTAAAGACATAAAGCCAGGGAAGGTGAGGTGGCTCAGGCCTGTAAATCAGCACTTTGGGAGGCCAAGGCAGTAGGATCACTTGAGGCCAGGAATTTAAGGTGAGCCTGGGCAACATGGTGAGATCTTGTCTCTACAAAAAAGTTTTTAAAAAATTAGCTGGGGACCAGGCGCGGTGGCTCACGCCTGTAATCCCAGCACTTTGGAAGGCCCAGGTGGGTGGATCATGAGGTCAGGAGATCGAGACCATCCTGGCTAACATGGCGAAACCCTGTCTCTACTAAAAATATAAAACATTAGCCGGGCGTGGTGGCGGGCGCCTATAGTCCCAGCTACTCGGGAGGCTGAGGCAGGAGAATGGCGTGAACCCGGGAGGCAGAGCTTGCAGTGACCCGACATCAGGCCACTGTACTCCAGCCTGGGCGAGAGAGCAAGACTCTGTCTCAAAAAAAAAAAAAGTAGCTGGGCATGGTGGTGCATGCCTGTAGTCTGAGGTACTCCAGAGGCTGAGGTAGTTAGGAGCACTTGAGCCTGGGAAGCAGAGTCATCTGCAGTGAGCTGTGATTGAGCTAGTGCACTCCAGCTTGGGTGACAGAGCAAGATCCTGTCTCAAAATAATAGTAAGCCAATAAATTTAATAAAATATGAAAAGACAATTTTCCTTGAATATTTAAATGTTGATTACAAGCTGATCAGCTATGTATTTTGTGATTGTTATACATATATGTTTACAAATATATATAATGTGTATTTAAAATATTTCTTTCTTTTTTTTTTTTCTTTTTTTTGAGACGGGGTCTTACTCTGTCACCCAGGCTGGAGTGCACTAGCTCAATCACAGCTCACTGCAGACTTGACTTCCCCAAGCTCAGGTGATCCTCCCACCTCAGTTTTTGTATTTTTGGTAGAGACGGGGTTTTGCCATGTTGCCCAAGTTGGTTTCGAACACCTGGGCTCAACCAATCTGTCCGCCTGGACCTCCCAAAGTGCAAAGATTACAGGAGTGAACCACCATGCCCAGCCTTCTGTATTTATATATATATATTTACAAACACCATTAACATCAAGGGTTTTATTAATTTTATCTTTTTTTTTTTTTTTTTTTGAGACGGAGTCTCGCTCTGTCACCCACACTGGAGTGCAATGGTGCGGTGTTGGCTCACTGCAACCTCCGCCTCCTGGCTTCAAGCGATTCTCCTGCCTCAGCCTCTCAAGTAGCTGAGATTACAGGCACCTGCCACCACACCCAGCTAATTTTTGTATTTTCAGTAGAGACGGGGTTTCACCATGTTGGCCAGGCTGGTCTCGAACTCCTGACCTCAGGTGATCCGCTCGTCTCGGCCTCCCAAAGTGCTGGGATTACAGGCATGAGCCACTGCGCCCAGTCTGGTAATATTATTTTGATGCTTTCTCAGGATTACATTAATATTACAGACCCAAAAGAAAAGTAATACCATCTCACACAAACTGAGATGATAAAATCTGGGTCACAGATAATTTGATTCTTGGTTGAAGTATAGGGCTTGGCTGCTTCTTATAGAGTCATTTGATTGGTTTCTCTATTTCTAGTCTTGACACTCTTGACAAGCTTTTAAATGTTTCTTGAATGTAAGATTTTCCTGTCATCTTCCAAATAAAATACAAATTCCGTAGCCTGACCTGTAGTACCCTTGATAATAAAACAATTATCACCGGCAGCCTCAACCCCGGCTAGTCTCCCATACAAACAGGCTTCCCACCAGGCCCAACAGCTCTTTCTCAGCCAAATCCACCTCCCCTGGAGGACTCTACCAAACTTCCAGCAATTGTTTAAGACTCTAGGCACTCTAGCAAGACTTTTGCAGCACTTACATCTATAATTATTTATTAATAGCCTGTAAACCCTCAAGGGACAGGGCCAGGAACTTAATAACAGTTGTTAAAGTTTGCTTGAATTAATAAGTTTTCTCTTCTGTCCACGGGCACAGTGACCCTTCAAGATTGCTAACTAGAGAGGATTTTTCCTCGTGCAGATGTCTCGTGGTTTTGGTTTACATGTTTTGTGATCCTAGATTTTGTTATGGATTTGCCTAGTACAGGAATCACCTTTTCAGAGTCCCCTCAGGACTTTTATTTATTTATTTATTTATTTATTTATTTATTTATTTATTTATTTTTTGAGATGGAGTCTCACTCTGTCACCTAGGCTGGAGTGCAGTGGCATGATCTCAGCTCACTGCAAGCTCTGCCTCCCAGGTTCATGCCATTCTCCTGCGTCAGCCTCCCCAGTAGCTGGGACTACAGGCACCTGCCATCGCGCCAGGCTAATTTTTTGTATTTTTAGTAGAGACGGGGTTTCACCATGTTAGCCAGGATGGTCTCGATCTCCTGACCTCGTGATCCACCCACCTCGGCCTCCCAAAGTGCTGGGATTACAGGCGTGAGCCACCGTGCCCAGCCTATTTATTTATTTATTTATTTATTTATTTAATTTTAGCTTAATTTTAGGCTAGCCAAATGAAACAATGGGAGTGGAGAAGGAACAAAGAAATCTGTAACTGGTTGTGATCAATTAGTTGTAAACACCACTGGACTTGGACCAGCCTCCCTCGGGACTTCTTAAGGAAGTGAATCAGTTTATCGAGTAGATAGCACAGTGTCCAAACACTAAAAAGTTACCCAGCAGTTCTATGATTTTTCATTCTTGATTTTGTCCACAATTTTTGTTAGAGAACTATCTGGAGCTGAAGATTTATAAATGAGGCCCAACATTACTCATTGTCTTTATTCCAAGTGGTTCTTAGCATATGGCAACTTGTATTGTTTCTTATTTAATTTTAAATTAGTCATGGGCTGGGCGCAGTGGCTCACGCCTGTAATCCTAGCACTTTGGGAGGCTAAGGTGGGTGGATCACTTGAAGTCAAGAGTTCAAGACCAGCCTGGCCAACATGGTGAAACCCCATCTCTACTAAAAATACGAAAATTAGCCAGGCAGTAGTGGTGCGCGCCTGTAATCCCAGCTACTCGGGAGGCTGAGGCAGGAGAATCACTTGAATCTGGGAGGTGGAGGTTGCAGTGAGCCAAGATTGCACCACTGCACTCCAGTCTAGGGAACAGAGTAAGACCTGTCTCAAAAAAATAAAAAATTAATTAATTAATTAATGGAGTACTCACTAATCATGGCAGACGGTGTCTCACACCTGTAATCTCACCACTTTGGGAGGCTGAGGTGGAAGGATAGCTTAAGCCCAGGAGTTCGAGACTAGCCTGGGCAACATGATGAGACCTCATTTCTAGAAAAAATACAAAAATTAGCCAGGCATGGTGGCACACACCTGTAGTCCCAGCTACTAGGGAGGCTGAAGTGGGAGGATCGCTTGAGCCTGGGAGGTCAAGGCTGCAGTGAGCTGTGATCATACCACTACACTCCAGCCTGGGCAACAGAATGAGACACTATCTCCAAAAAAAACAAAAACAAAACAAAACAAAAACATAGATGTTCACTACTGTTCACTTGCAAAATTTCATGATAAAAAAAATAAACCCACTAAGACAGCATGAACAGGAGAGGAGTGCATAGGGGTGCATCTCCTTACATAAACTTTCTACCAGTCTGCTTTCAAGCCCTCCTTGTGCCTTGGCTGGCAGAAGTCTGTGGTGCCATCAAGTTTGGAAGCTTTTCAGAGTCTGTGGCTTGCTTCCTGTTGTCTTTTACTCACTGTGGGCTTGGGCTTTGGCTTTCTTTGGTTATTCAAGTCAACATCTGCTTTTCAGCTTCTAGTATAGTTGTCATTTCTCATCTGTTACATCTCCTATGGTGAATAATTTTATGTGTCAACTTTACTGGGCTAAGGGATGCCCAGATAGCTGGTAAAACACTATTTCTGGGTGTTTTGGGAAGAGATTAGCATTTGAATTAGTAAACTGACTAAAGAAGATCCATTCCCCTAGGCATCATTCAGTCCATTGAGAGCCTATATAGAAATAGAAAAGGCAGAGGAAGAGAGAATTCTCTCTTTATTTATTTATTTTTTTTGAGACAGAGTCTCGCTCTGTTGCCCAGGCTGGAGTGCAATGGTGTGACCTTGGCTCACTGCAACCTCCACCTCCCAGGTTCAAGCAATTCTCCTGCCTCAGCCTCCTGAGAAGCTGGGATTACAGGCACCCCACCACCACACCTGGCTAATTTTTGTATTTTTAGTAGAGATGGGGTTTCACCATGTTGGCCAGGCTGGTCTCAAACTCCTGACCTCAGGTGATCCACCCACCTCAGCCTCCCAAAGTGCTGAGATAACAGGCATGAGCCACAACACCTGGCCTTTATATGTCTTTGTATAGTACTTTCCAAAGAAGAGTTCTGTTAATGTTTGTGGTTATTACTGATTAGCTTGAATAGCAGACACAAATGCCCTGGGGGGTACACAAAAAACTTTCAAGAACATTGAAGTTATTAAAGCGATTCTCCTGCCTCAGCCTCCTGAGTAGCTGGGATTATAGGCATGCGCCACCGTGCCTGGCTAATTTTTGTATTTTCAGTAGAGATGGGGTTTCACCATGTTGGTCAGGCTGGTCTTGAACTCCTGACCTCATGATCTGCCTGCCTTGGCCTCCCAAAGTGCTGGGATTACAGGCGTGAGCCACTGTGCCCAGGGGTGCCTGGCTAATTTTTGTGTTTTTTGTAAAGATGCGGTTTCACCATGTTGGTCAGCCTCGAACTCCTGAGCTCAAGCAATCCGCCTGCTTTGGCCTCCCAAAATGCTGGGATAACAGCCGTTAGCCACCGCGCTCAGCCTGGAACCACCTTAATCAAGTGATCAAGGTCAACATTGCCAGTAATAAATAAGACACATGAACATTATGAATCTCATGATATGATTGAGGACATTCCATTTCCGTAATATTCTTCCAAAAAGCATAACCTCAGTTCAATCACAAGAAAATATCAGACAAATCCAAATTTTTTTTTAGACAGTCTGTCACCCATGAAGGAGTGCAATGGCACAATCTCGGCTCACTGCAACCTCCACCTCCCAGGTTCAAGCGATTCTCCTGCCTCAGCCTCCTGAGTAGCTGGGAGTACAGGCGTGCGCCACCACGCCTGGCTAATTTTTTTGTATTTTTAGTAGAGAGGGGGTTTTACCATGTCGGTCAGGCTGATCTTGAACCACTGACCTCAAATGATCCAGCCACCTCGGCCTCCCAAAGTGCTGGGATTACACGCGGGAGTCACCACGCCCGACCAAACAAACCCAGATTGAGGGGTATTAGACAAGATAATTCTTCAAAAGTGACAAGGGCATGAAAGACAAGGTAACACTGAAGTATTGAGACTGTAGTAAAGGTAGAACTAAAAGTATTTCTGGGTAGTATTCTGGAATATAAAAAGGATATTAGTGGGAAAATGAGCAAAATATGAATAAGGTTTTCAGTTTAATAGTATTTTACTATGCTATAATAGGATGTCTTTAAAAAATAGTATTTTACTAGATGTTAAATTTCTTGGTTCTGGCAATTGTGACATGGTTATGTAAGACGTTAACACTATGGGAAGCTAGATGAGGTTTATAAGGAAATTGTACTATTTTTGCAACTTTTCTATAAATCTACAGTTCAAAATTTAAAAAGAATAAATATGGCTAAGAATATGAAACACCCTCTCTGCACTTTTTCCACTTCCAGCGTTAACTTATGGCTAATGCTGTATTTTCATTCTAGGGTAAAATTGCTATATAAAGTCTATTAATATAAACAAAATGTGTGTGGAATGAAAACCTATGATCTAACGACTCCTTTTGATATGAATGTGGTTAAGTAACATACTCACTACATTTGCCAGGGACTCAACTTCCAGAGTCCTGCCTTTAGGCAGGACTAAAAATAAAACTCTCTAGAAGTTAGTCTCCACTTTGCCATTGATTCTGTTTTTTGTTTTTTCTCACTCTGTCACCCAGGCTGTAGTGCAGTGGCACACTCATGGCTCAGTGCAGCCTCAACCTCCTGGGCTCAATCTATTCTCTTGCCACAGCCTCCTGAGTAGCTGGGACTATAGGGGCACATCACCATGCCCAGCTAATTTTTTAATTTTTTGTAGAGACAGAGTCTTACTATGTTGTCTAGGCTGGTCTCATATTCCTGGACTCAAGTGATTCTCCCGTCTTGGCTTCCCAAAATGTTGGGATTACAGGCATGAGCCACTGTGACCAGCCTGATTCTGTCATTTTGAATGAAATGTGTGACTAGAAGAACTGAGTTCCTGCTCTCTGTACCTCTGCAGTCATACTTTTAACAGCCATAATAGTAAAACTTTAAAATTGGAATTTGTTCAAATGTCTTTACACCTCAAATGGAATAACTGACATTAAATAAAACACTAAAGAGATAACAGAAGTTTAAGCTTGTGAGCACAAATTGTGAGTTTTATTTAACTGCAAGTGATGCAACCTATGTAACACATTCTTTTCTCATCCGTGTTCTTTAACTGCTAATATTACCTTTACAGAGACAAACATTATAAAATGTGCCTGATTGGTAATTTATTAACTCTATCTGTCAAGTGATAATATTCTGTAGGCAGCCTTTGAAATGATGTTTTGAGAATTTATTTACAACCATTGAACACAGATGGTTTTGTAAAACTGACAATTACAGGCTCCTTAAACTCACAACATACATATATTTCAATATTTAAATAGCCTGTTTTCTTCAAAAGTAATTTTCTACTGCTTTTTCATAAAAATATAAAAAAGACAACATTTATAGTTTTAAAAACCTATATTTAACCCAAATCAAATTTTTTCTACAAATGATACCTCTTTCCAAAAAGTTAAAAAGACATCACAGAATACTGTGATGTTAAACCAAAGACTCATCACAATAACAGCATTTTACTTTTAAGAAATATTGTGCAGTATCTCCTTTTTAACCTTTCATGCTAGATTTCAACTATGTATATCCTATGTAAACACACCAGATTAATCCTAGTCATTCATATATATGCAGTAGACTGTCATATATGACCAGTTACCATACAAACTATAATACCATATTTTCAAAAATAGCAAAAAGCAATCTTTATGAAAGCTTAAAAAAAGCTTTTAATAAAAGGCGACCAACATTGCCCTAATTTTCAGTAAAAATTACCTCTTCTTCCTACCTTTCCCCCTGCTTTGAATGGTACCTTTTATTGCATGTTAATACACAAAGATATTTCTAGCACTTCTATTTAAGTTAGCCTCTTACATGGCTGCTTTCTTTTCTGATACACTGACTTTTAACAGAAGGCACCAAGATTAGACTCCTAAGAAGTTTCAATTTTTTTGTCCCTTTTTAGGTTCCTCTAGAATAATTTTCCTCAGAAAAGGATAACTTGAAAAACTTAAGGAACCAGAAGAAAATGAATGACGTAACACAGCAATTTGAAACTTACAGCATTCAAAAACTATAAATATATTAATAGGCTCCTTGAACATACCACTTAGGACAAAAAGTCAGATAACTTTCTGAACATAAATGTAAAAATAGAGCACATTTATTAATAGTAGGAAAACTCCTAAGCTTACAGTAACAACATATTAAATCTTACATAACATACAGCCAAAAGCATTAGAAATCCACTGCCAGATATCCTGACGCACCATCCTGAAAATATGTCTGATACATACCACTAACATATATAACAAAGTATGGCATTTATTTCACAGAGAGAAAAGATAGTTTCATCACACAAACAGATTTGCAGATTTCAGCTTTAAGTTCTAGAGATATATTTTAAAGATAAAAAAAACAAGATTCACCCTTCAAATAAAAGTCTCTCTCTATAAGCCATTATTAATATTCTCTATGCTCTTACAATGTAAAACATTTAGAAACTTTTGAATTCTAGAAATGTTCACCAGTTAACCTACTTGGCCTTAACATATTCTAAATTCCCTTTCAAGAATCACATCAATGTTTTCAGTCCATCAGTCCAATATGAATGGAGCAACTCTATTTCTTTTTCTTCTTCTTTGGTGGTTCATCGTCAGAGCTGCTATCTGTGCTGGTGCTACTGCTACTGGAAGAGCTGGAATCTGAGTCTGAATCAGAGGAGGAGGAAGAGGTTGTGGAGGAGGCTGAGGATGAGGAACTAGAGGAGCTTTCATCAGTGTCACTGTCCTCTGAGGAGGAAGAGGTAGATGTTTCTTCACTCTCTGATGAAGAATCACTGGCAGAACTGTCACTGCTACTGCTACTGGAACTGGTTACACTCTTAGACCTATTAGACAATACAGAGTTATATACATGGGAAGGTGACATGTAATAGAATGTTAAAAGCAATTTCATTTTTTTTTTCTTTTCGAGACAGAGTCTTGCTCTGTTGCCCAGTGTGGAGTGCAGTGGCACAATCTCAGCTCACTGCAACCTCTGCCTCCCAGGTTCAAGAAATTCTCTTGCCTCAGCCTTCCAAGTAGCCAGGATTACAGGTGCGCACACCGACGCCCAGATGATTTTTGTATTTTTAGTAGAGACGGGGTTTCATCATGTTCACCATGTTGGCCAGGCTGGTCTCGAACTCCTGACCTCATGATCTGCCCGCCTCAGCCTCCCAAAGTGCTAGGATTACAGGCGTGAGCCACCGCGCCCAGCCAAAAGCGATTTCATATGATTCCATATATATGCTTATATATTGAAGCTTTGCTAGCATGTTATCCTTAGGTTTGATATTTTGGAGATTGCCTGTTGTAAACCACAGTCCCTCTCTTTACAAGGCATTGTTACTTCAGCAACTTAATTCTCTTGGATGGAATTCAAGATAAGCATATCTACTATATTACATTTCAGAGGGAATAATGTCAGAATAAAGCTGCAGTATAACAATTGGGTCTATTTAAACCTCACGTAGCTTAGCTGGTGACTGTTTCATCATCTTTATTTTAACTACTTCAGACCAGATATGGCTGGCCAACAATTTCTTACCAGTCTATTAACACTTCCTATTCTAAGCCAAGAGAAGACAATTATTTATTGTTTCCACGTACAAGGACTCTAGAAAGTTGGAGTAAAAGGAGAAATGGAAGCAATGCATTTCCAGACAGGTTAAAAAAAGGAACTTATCAGAAAATAGGATGATTATTTAATTATAAATTGCAGTAAGAGGCTTCAGATCCAAATCTTATAGCTATTTTTTTTTGAGACAGAGTTTCGCTCTGTTGCCCAGGCTGGAGTGTAATGGCATGATCTTGGCTCATGGCAACCTCTGCCTCCCAGGTTCAAGCAATTCTCCTGCCTCAGCCTCTCAAGTAGCTGGGATTACAGGCATGTGCCACCACACCCAGCTAATTTTTCTATTTTTAGTAGAGACACGGTTTCACCATGTTGGACAGGCTGGTCTCCAACTCCTGACCTCAGGTGATCCACCCACCTTGGCCTCCCAAAGTGCTGGGATTATAGGCATGAGCCACTGCATCTGGCATAGCTATTGTTTTAAAATCACCTTTCCCATCCCGCCAATTAGTATTACATGTTATCTATAAAACACTGCTAAAACCACACATACCTTTTTTTCTTGGCCTTTCTTTCTACATTGGTTTCTCCAATGCTGATAAACACGAGGGGGAAAAAAGCTCCTGTTAATAGAGTGATTATACACAGCTCAGACAAGCCCTTCTACTATCCCCCAAATCATTTTACTCTGGAGAAAGATTCTGTGTTTTTATCACATACAGAGTACAGTATTTCTTATTATAAGCAAGTGGAAAGTCTGCCATTGTAGGCTGTATACGGTACATGCAGTCAACTTAACCAGCATTTAAGCAAGACAATGCATCTTAGCACGTGTATAAAAGTCAGGTAGGTTAGTAGTTAAGATGATTAAATTTTTTTAGTCTGGAACTTAGGCTGATATAGCTGTATCACTACCTCCTGAACAACAGAACAAAGCTAATAGCACAATAGCCCTAATTTGTAGTTTGAGTTCTCAGAATCATACAAATAGCCATTTCATAATTTTTCAAAAGCAGCCCTTTAATTTAAAATAACTATTTCTTTTTCTGCATGTCCCGTTATTTACTTTTTTTTTTTTTTTTTTGAGACAAAGTCTTGTTCTGCTGTCCAGGCTGGTGCAGTGGCGCGATCTTGGCTCACTGCAACCTCCGCCTCCTGGGTTCAAGGAATTCTTCTGCCTCAGCCTCCTGAGTAGCTGGGACTACAGGTGTGTGTCACCAAGCCCGGCTAATTTTTACATTTTTAGTAGAGACAGGGTTTTATCATACTGGCCAGGCTGGTCTCAAACTCCTGACCTCATGATCCGCCCACCTTGGCCTCCCAAAGTCCTGGGGATTACAGGTGTGAGCCACCCTGCCTGGCCGAGTTATTTACTCTTTAAAGACCAGAAATGTAATACTTCAAAACTATGCTCACTCACATTAGTTATAAAGTCTGGTAAATTTGAATGAAAGGGACAAATAGCTTGCTGCTATTATTCTGTCAAACAACATGCATACTAAATCAGGTTTTTAAATTACACAATTAGGCCAGGTGCGGTGGCTCACACCTGTAATCCCAGCAGTTTGGGAGGCCGAGGCAGGCAGATCATTTGAGGTCAGGAGTTCGAGACCAGCCTGGCCAACATGGTGAAACCCTGTCTCTACTAAAAAAAACACAAAAATTAGCCAGGCTTGGTGGTGCATGCCTGTACTCCCAGCTACCCAGGAGACTGAGGCAGGAGAATCTCTTGAACCTGGGAGGCAGAGGTTGCAGTGAGCTGAGATCGCACCATTGCACTCCAGTTTGGGCGACAGAGCAAGACTCTGTCTCAAAATAAAAACAACAACAACAACAACAACAAGAAAAAAACAATTAATTCTATCACCACTGTCCTGTAAATTTAACTTTTTTTTTTCTTTTTGAGATAGGGTCTCACTGTTACCCAGGCTGGAGTGCAGTGGCATGATCTTGGCTTACCGCAACCTCTGCCTCCCAGCCTCAAGCAATCCTCCCACCTCAACCTCTGGAGTAGCTGGGACTACAACACGCACCACCATGCCTAACTTTTGTATTTTTTGTAGAGACGGGGTTTGACCATGTTGCCCAGCCTGGTCCTGAACTCCTAAGCTCAAGCAATCTGCTCACCTCAGCTTCCCAAAGTGTTGGGATTACAAGTGTGAGCCACCACACATGGCCAATGTTTTTATATCCTGGCCTTCTCTATATTTCCTAGATAATGCTTCCATCATTGTTTCCTGAGTCTCCAAACATAAACATGTATTTATGTAAAGTTTTTTACACAATGGAATTACTTACTGAATTGTCATTTTGGGCATAAAATAAGAGGGTGAAGTATACTTATTAAATTATAACTGAATCAAAATTCAGCAATCTTTTTTTTTTTTTTTTTTTTTTTTTTTGAGATGGAGTCTCCCTCTGTCGCCCAGGCAGGAGTGCAGTGCTGGATCTCGGCTCACTGCAAGCTCCACCTCCCGGGTTCATGCCATTTCCTGCCTCAGCCTCCCGAGTAGCTGGGACTACAGGTGCCCGCCACTATGTCTGGCTAATTTTTTTGTATTTTTAGTAGAGACAGGGTTTCACCATGTTAGCCAGGATGGTCTCGATCTCCTGATCTTGTGATCCACCCGCCTCAGCCTCCCAAAATGCTGGGATTGCAGGTGTGAGCCAAGGTTCCTGGCCAGCAATCTTTTTTAACAGAGCCAGATTCATGTAATTATATATATTTTTAGACCAAAATACTTGTGAGATACAATTAGAAAAACAAAAGTAAATGTCAAAATAAAATTTTATTTATGTATTTATTTTTTGTAGAGGTGAGACTTGCTATGTTGCCCAGGCTGGTCTCAAACTCCTGTCCTCAAGTGATCCTCCCACCTTAGCTTCCCAAAGTGCTAGGATTATAGGTGTGCGCCTAAACTAGAATGAAAATTTTCATAACCCGTATTTCATTCTTTAGGACAGGGGTCTTCAAACATTTTTTTGCTTACATTCCTAATAAAATAATTTCTGGAAAACTCATACTTGCAATTCTAAGTTTTAATATTTGCAAAGGGCATATTATATACATATTATAAAAAGTTCTACAATAATTTAATACCTATTATTCACATAAGAACATATGAACATTTTTAACAGCTGATACTTTTTCTTTTTTTTGAGGTGGAGGCTCGTTCTGTCGCCCAGGTGGGAGTGCTGTTGCATGATCTTGGCTTACTTCAACCTCTGCCTCCTGGGTTCAAGCAATTTTCCTGTCTCAGCCTCCTGAGTAGCTGGGATTACAGGTGCCCGCCACCATGCCTGGCTAATTTTTGTACTTTTAGTAGAGATGGCGTTTCACCATGTTGGTCAGGCTGGTCTCGAACTCTTGACCTCAGGCGATCCACCCACTTCGGCCTCCCAAAGTGTTGGGATTACAGGTGTGAGCCACCACGCCCGGCCTTTTTTTAAGAAACAGGGTCTTGGCAGATACTACTTAGCCCAGGGCCTGGTGGCTAGGCTGGTTGTCTCCTTTCCAGTTGGAGGCTTCTGCTGCAAACATTCTCCGCCAGATCATGGGTCAGGCCAAGAAGCATGCGAAGTTGATCCCCCTTTTTGTATTTATTGGAACTGGAGGTATTGGAGCAGCACTGTTTCTCTCGCCTCTGACATTGTTCAATCCAGATGTTTGTTGGGACAGAAAGACTAACCCAGAGCCCTGAACAAACTGGGTCCCAATGATCAATACAAGTTCTACTCAGTGAATGTGGATTACAGCAAATTGAAGAAAGAAGGTTCAGATTTCTAAATGAAATGTTTTACTATAAAGCTCCTTTAGAATGAAGGTCTTCCAGAAGCCATCCGCACAATTTTCCACTTAACAGGAAATATTTCTCCTCTAAATGCATGAAATCATGTTGAGGTAATCTACTGGAGATTACACTGATTAATAAATAACTGAAAGTTGAAAAAAAACCCAAAAAACCCAGCATCTTGCTATGTTGCCTAGGCTGTTCTTAGACTTCTGGCCCCAAGTGATCCTCTTGTCTTGGCCTCCCAAAGTGCTGGGATTACAGGCATGAGCCACAGCATTTGGCTGATAGTATAAATTTTAATAACTATTACATTAAAACAAACTTATTGGTAATGTGTATATATATATATTTTTGGCGAGATACAGTCTCACTGTATCACCCAGGCTGGAGTGCAGTGGTGTGATTTCAGCTCCCTGCAACTTCTGCCTCCTGGGTTCAAGTGATCCTCCTGCCTCAGCTTCCCAAGTAGCTGCGATTACAGGGTGCACCACCGCACCTAGCTAATTTTTGTATTTTTAGTAGAGACAGGGTTTTGCCATGTTGGCCAGGATGGTCTCGAACTCCTGACCTCGAGTGATCCACCCACCTCGGCCTCCCATAGTGCTGGAATTACAGGCATGAACCACTGTGCCCAGTCCGGAAATGCATTTCTTAATGACAGATTTTTTTCTAGTTTATGTATCTATAAATAAATATTTCTTCATGGTAGAATGTGACCAGGTTTGGCATCAATTAAATTCCTATTTTTAAATTTTATTTTTTCAATAGAGATGGCTCCTTGGGAATTATTTCTTATTTTTAATTTCTTTTTTTTTTTTTGAGATGGAGTTTCGCTCTCGTTGCCTAGGCTGAAGTGCAATGGTGCAGTCTCGGCTCACCACAACCTCCGCCTCCCGGGTTCAAGTGATTCTCCTGCCTCAGCCTCCCAAGCAGCTGGGATTATGGGCATGCGCCACCACGTCTGGATAATTTTGTATTTTTAGTAGAGACGGGGTTTCTCCATGTTGGTCATGTTAGTCTCAAACTCCCAACCTCAGGTGATCCACCCGCCTTGGCCTCCCAAAGTGCTGGGATTACAGGCATGAGCCACCGCGCCCGGCTTAGTTCTTATTTTATTTTTATTTTTATTTTCTGAGACGGAGTCTCGCTCTGTCACCCGGGCTAGAGTGCAGTGGCGCGATCTCGGCTCCCTTGCAAGCTCCGCCTTCCGGGTTCACGCCATTCTCCTGGCTCAGCCTCCCGAATAGCTGGGACTACAGGTGCCCACCACCACGCCCGGCTGATTTTTTGTATCTTTTTAGTAGAGACAGGGTTTCACTGTGTTAGCCAGGAAGATCTCCATCTCCTGACCTCGTGATCTGCCTGCCTCGGCCTCCCAAAGTGCTGGGATTACAGGTGTAAGCCACCGTGCCCGGCTTAATTCTTAAGTGTTACATATTTAACCTAGAGAAACCCTAACCTAAATAGATTGATTGGAATGGAAAGACTTTTGTTATTTCCATGTCACTCGATTCTCTGCATTCCATCTGTTATATGCCACAAGTCACATAATAATATTCCATTAAAATATGCTTTTTAATTGACAATTCAATTAGGTCATCTTCAATTTTGTTGAGGGAAAAACCTTAAAAAAGAATTTACTCTCAGCTGGGTGCGGTGGCTCACGCCTGTAATCCCAGCACTTTGGGAGGCCGAGGCGGGCAGATCATGAGGTCAGGAGATCGAGACCATCCTGGCTAACATGGTGAAACCCAGTCTCTACTAAAAATACAAAAAATTAGCCAGGTGTTGTTGCACGCACCTATACTCCCAGCTACTCCGGAGGCTGAGGCACAATCACATGAACCTGGGAAGCAGAGGTCGAAGTGAGCTGAGATCGCACCACTGCACTCCAGCCTGGGTGACAGAGCAAGACTCTGTCTCAAAAAAAAAATTTTTTACTCTAAAAAATTATGGCCAGCTGGGCATGGTGGCTCATGCCTATAATCCCAGCACTTTGGGAGGCTGAGGTGGGTGGATTGCTAGAGCTCAGGAGTTTGAGACCACCCTGGGCAACATGGCAAAATCCCATCTCTACCAAAAATACAAAAAATTAGCCAGGCGTGGTGGTGTGCATCTGAAGTCTCAGCTACTGGGGAGGCTGAGGTGGGAGAATTACTTGAACCCAGGAGGTGGAGGTTGCAGTGAGCTGAGACTGCACTCCAGATTGGATGACACAGTGAGACTCTGTCTCAAAACAAACAAACAAAACTATTATGACCATTCACTTTCTCAGCACAAACACCACTATTCTGCCATCTAGGTTTTTATACGTGAGGACAATACACTAAGGTATGTTAGAGATGGGTGAGAGGTATACCTTTCTTTTGTGAGATTAGAGAAGCGTTGTTAGAAAAGGGGAAGTAGAAAAGGAGACCAGTAGGCAAGTTCTCATCAGATTTGTTTTAGGAAGAATTGTATATGAATGTTGATAATCTAGAAATTGGTTATCTATTCCTGCATAACGCTTGAAGAACTTTCACGTCACAAATTGGAAGACTGTTGCCTTGAAAGTCTAAATATTTAAGACACTATTATACAGCTAACAGCCCTTAGGAAGATGCTGCTTTTTTTTTTTTTTTTTTTTTTTTGAGACAGAGTCTCCCTCTGTTGCCCAGTCGGGAATGCAGTGGCACAATCTCAGCTCACCAAAACTTCCACCTCCCAGGTTCAAGTGATTCTCTTGCCTCAGCCTCCTGAGTAGCTGGGATTACAGGTACCTGCCACTATGCCCGGCTAATTTTTGTATTTTTAGTAGGGATGGAATTTCACCATGTTGGCCAGGCGTCGGCCTCCCAAAGTGTTGGGATTATAGGTGTGAGCCACCCCGCCCAGCCAATTCTTCTTTTTATAAACATAAATCATAGCATATTATATATTCTGTTCTCTACCTTAATTAATATACCTGGTACTTCTTGGATAGCTTTCCATGTCAGCTCATATAATCTATCGGTTAATTCAATTGTCATTTCATTGACAGTTGAGGCAAAAAAGCAAAATGATTAAGACCATGAATCTGGGGGACAGGCTGCATGATTTAACACTTACTTTTTCTTCTTACTAGCTGTATGACAATGAGTAAGTTATTCAACATCTCCTTGCTTTAGTTTCTTCATATGTAAAATGAAGACAATAATACTACCTACCTTAATAGTGTAGATATCAGGTTTAAATAAGCTAATACTTATAAAGACCCTAGAATAGTACTTGGCACACAGTAAGCATCTATTAAACATTAGTAACATTATAATTAAAATCTGGAGAACCACCATGAAACGTTTGGTCCTTTAATAAATTCTATATACACATTAAAAAAATATTCCTTTGGATACCACATGTAAACCTACCTTTGTTGCAATAATAATCTGTTTTCTTTTTCTTTTAAAGCTTTCTTTAGTTCTGCTGTCCTTGAGGGCCTATGTAGGTATTTTCTTTTTCCTGTGCATTCATAAGTCCAATGTCCAAATTCCAAGCATTTCTGACATCTTACATGTTGCTTATTTGCTTCACTACAGAACAAAAAACAGAATACAAGCCTTAAAATTCTGTCTTGTGACTTTCACCCTAAAAACTATAAAAAAATATAAAGGATAAAATTATGTTTACTCTTATGGTCCAATTCATAAAAATCAACATTTTACCCTTGTGAGATTTAATACAACAAAGTATAATAAGTGTAATGACATGGTTTGGCTGTGTCCCCATCTAAATCTCATCTTGAATTCCCACATGTTGTGGGAGAAACCTGGTGGGAGGTAACTTAATCATAGGGGCAAGTCTTTCCTGTGCTGTTCTTGTGATAGTGAATAAATCTCACAAGATCTGATGGTTTTAAAAATAGGAGTTTCCGGCTGGGTGTGGTGGCTCACACCTATAATCCCAGCACTTTGGGAGGCTAAGGCAGGCGGATTACGAGGTCAGGAGATTGAGACCATCCTGGCTAACATGGTGAAACCCCATCTCCACTAAAAATACAAAAAAATTAGCCAAGCGTGGTGGTGGGCGCCTGTAGTCCCAGCTACTCAGGAGGCTGAGGCAGGAGAATGGTATGAACCCGGGAGGCAGAGCTTGCAGTGAGCCAAGGTTGCACCACTGCACTCCAGCCTGGGCAACAGAGCGAGACTCCGTCTCACAAAAAAAAAAAAAAACAAAAAACCACAGGAGTTTCCCTGCACAGTCTCTCTCTCTTTTCTTGCTGCCGTCCATGTAAGATGTGACTTGTTCCTCCTTGCCTTCTGCCATGATTGTGAGGCCTCCCCAGACATGCTGAACTGTGATTCCAATAAACTTTTTTGTTGTGTAAATTGCCCAGTCTTGGGTATGTCTTTATCAGCAGTGTGAAAATGGATTAATACATATAATAAATGGTTAAAAGCATAGACCTTGAAGTTAAGATACAGTTGAATTCAAATCTTGGCTCCTCAATTCTGTTCCAGTTATGTGAGACTAGGGCATTCAGACTACTTTCCAGCTCAGAACTAGAAAAGACCGTCAAAACATTTTTAACAAGCTTCTTTAAGAATCGGAAAATCAGCCAGGTGTGGTGGCTCACACCTGTAATCCCAGCACTTTGGGAGGCTAAGGCAGGCGGATCACGAGGTCAGGAGATCGAGACCATCCTGGCTAACACGGTGAAACCCTGTCTCTACTAAAAATATAAAAAATTAGCCGGGCGTGGTGGTGGGTGCCTGTAGTCCCAGCTACTGGGGAGACTGAGGCAGGAGAATGGTGTGAACCTGGGAGGCAAAGCTTGCAGTGAGCCGAGATTGCGCCACTGCACTCCAGTCTGGGTGACAGAGTGAGACTCTGTCTCAAAAAAAAAAAAAAAAAAAGAATCAGAAAATCAGGCCGGGAGCAGTGGCTCACGCCTGTAATCCCAGCACTTTGGGAGGCTGAGGCAGGTGGATCAGGAGGTCAGGAGTTTGAGACCAGCCTGGCCAACATGGTGAAACCCTGTCTCTACTAAAAATACAAAAATTAGCTGGGCGTGGTGGTGGGCACCTGTAATCCCAGCTACATGGGAGGCTGAGGCAGGAGAATCATTTGAACCTGGGAGGCGGAGGTTGCAGTGAGCCGAGATTGCGCCATCGTACTCCAGCCTGGGCAACAGGGTGAGACTCCATCTCAAAAAAAAAAAAAAAAAATCAGAGAATCAACAAGGGGGTCAAGCTGACCAGCTGAAATGGCTCAGGTCTGTAATCCCAGCATTTTGGGAGGCCACGGTGGAAAGATTGCTTGAGGCCAGGAATTTGAGACCAGCCAGGCAGGACAACACAGCAAGACTCAATCTCTACAACAAATTTTGAAAAATTAGCCAGGGCCAGGCCTGGTGGTTCACGCTTGTAATCCCAGCACTTTGGGAGGCCAAGGGAGGCAGATAACTTGAGCTCAGAAGTTTGAGACTAGCCTGGGCAACATGGTGAAACCCTGTCTCTAAAAAAAACTACAAAAATTAGCCGCGTGTGGTGGCAAACAGCTGTAGTCCCAGCTACTTGGGAAGCTGAGATAGGAGGTGCAATTGAGCCCAGGAGTTTGAGGCTACAGTAAGCTATGATTGCACCACTGCACTTCAACTTGGGTGACAGAGGGAGATTCTCTTTTTTTTTTTTTTTAAAGATGAAGTCTCACTCTGTTGCCCAGGCCAAGAGTGCAGTGGCACGATCTCGGCTCACCACAAGCCTCCCAGGTTCAAGCAATTCTCCTGCCTCAGCCTCCTGAGTAGTTGAGACTACAGGCATGCACTATCACGCCCGGCTAATTTTTGTATTTTTTGTAGAGGTGGGGTTTTGCCATGTTGGCCAGGCTGGTCTCAAACTCCTGGCCTCAAGTGATCCACCTACTTCGGCCTCCCAAAGTGCTGGGATTACGGGCATGAGCCACTGCACCCTGCCTGATTCTGTCTCTTAAAAAAAACCAAAAAAGATGGCCAGGTGCGGTGGCTCATTCCCATAATCCCAGCACTTTGTGGGGCTGAGGTGGGCGGATTGCTTGAGGTCAGAAATTCGAGACCAGCGTGGCCAACATGGTGAAACCCGTCTCTACTAAAACAAAAATTGCCAGGCTTGGTGGCACACACCTGTAATCTCAGCTACTCAGGAAGCTGAGGCAGGAGAATTGTTTGAACTTAAGGAGGCAGAGGTTGCGGTGAGCTGAGATCATGCCACTGCACTCTGGCCTGGGCGACAGAGTAAGACTCCGTCTCAAAAAAAAAAAAAAAAAAAAGAATAATCAAAACAAGATATGGAAGAAGATAGAAATCTAGAATTAAGTCAACTTTTGTGCTGGGTGTGTCTGTCCATCGCAACAGGGTAAGCATCACATATTACAAGCTAGGGAGATAAACTCTGTGTCAGAGTTAAGACGAAGGGCTATACCCTACAAATAAACCCAAGTTCTTAGAAACTTCAGCCAACTTCTAGTTACCTAGAAGACTGAGAAAAATCCAGTCCCTGAAATTGGACTGAGATACAGCCAAGGAAGAAAAAGAAGTAAAAGAATTGAAAAGGAAGAAATAAACCTGTCATTTCTTATCGATAAAGTGTTAGGTACACTGTAAATCCTAATGAATCTACAGATAAAATATTTTGAAATAATTAGAATTAAGTGAGTTTAGCAAGGTTTTAAATTTGGGTCAGCAATTTTTTTTTTTTTTTTGGAGATGAAGTCTTGCTCTGTCGCCCAGGCTAGAGTGTAGTGGCACGATCTTGGCTTACTGCAGCCTCTGCCCCCCAGGTTCAAGCAATTTTCCTGCCTCAGCTTCGGGAGTAGCTGGGACTACAGGCACACACCACCACGCACGGCTAATTTTTTTTATTTTAGTAGAGACGGGGTTTCACCGTATTATCCTGGCTGGTCTCGAACTCCTAGGCTCAGGCAATCCACTTGCCTCAGCCTCACAAAGTGCTAGGATTACAGGTGTGAGCCACCGTGCCCAGTACAGGTCAGCAAATTTTTCTGTAAAGGGTCAGGTAGTAAATATTATAGGCTTTGTGGAACAAGAGGCAAAACTGTGGATGTTATATAGGTACTCATATAACATGAGAGAAAACAAATTTCCATATTTTGTGGATGAAATGAAGGCTCATATATAAACAACATTCTTAGCTTATGAGCCTCCAAAAACAGGTAGCAGGCAGGATTCAGTGACCATGGTTTGTGGAACCTTATATTAGCTATAGAGACACCATATAAAGACGAATTGAGTTTCTATATAACAAAAAACAGTTTTCGTATTTTGTTTGTAGAGATGAGGTCTCCTTATGTTGCCCAGGCTAGTTTCAAATTCCTGAGCTCAAGTGATCCTCGCACCTTGGCCTCCCAAAGTGCTGCGATTACAGGCATGAATCACTGCACCCAGCCACAAAAACAGTTTAAAAGGAACTTTTTTTTTTCTTTTTGAGATGGAGTTTTGCTCTTGTTGCCCAGGCTGGAGTGCAATGGCGCAATCTCAGGTCACTGCAACATCCACCTCCCGGATTCAAGCGATTCTCCTGCCTCAGCCTCCCAAGTAGCTGGGATTACAGGCGCCTGCCACCACACCCAGCTAGTTTTTGTATTTTTAGTAGAGATGGGGTTTCACTATGTTGGTCAGGCTGGTCTTGAACTCCAGACCTCAAGTGATCCACCCACCTTGGCCTCCCAAAGTGTTGGGATTACAGGTGTGAGCCACCGCACCTGGCTAAAAGGAACTTTTTAATTTAAAAATATTTTTTTTTTCTTTTTTAGAGAAGAGGTCTCACTAAGTTGCCCCGGCTGGTCTTGAACTCCTGGGCTCAAGCAATCCTCCTGCTTTGGCCTCCCAGATTACAGACATGAGCCACTGCATAAGTGAACATTTTAAAAAGATAATATTTATAATAATCCTAAAAACTACCAAATACCTAGAAAACAGAGAAAAGAAGTGTGAGACTTTTATGCAAAAACAAACCTTAGGCCAGGCATGGTGGCTCACACCTGTAATCCCAACACTTTGGGAGGCCAAGGCAGGTGGATCACAAGGTCAGGAATTCAGGACCATCCTGGCCACGATGATGAAACCCCATCTCTAATAAAAATACAAAAAAATTTAGCTGCGTGCAGTGGTAGACACCTGTAATCCTAGCTACTCGGGAGGCTGAGGCAGGAGAATTGCTTGAACCTGGGCAGCAGAGGATGCAGTGAGCCAAGATCATACCACTGCACTCCAGCCTGGGCAATACAGTGAGACTCCATCTAAAAAAAAAAAAAAAAAAAAAAAACCTGACTGAGATAAATTAAATACCAATAAAAGTAGCTAAACAAATAGAGAGATATACCATGTTCATAGACTGGAAGGTTCAGTATTATAAAATGTCAGTTCTCCCCAAATTCCTGTATAGATTCAAAGCAATTCCAATAAAAATCCCAAAAGTTTTTTTGGGTGCAGAACTTAACAAGCTCATTCTAAAATATGTACACAGCCAGGCTTGATGGCTCTCTCTTGTAATCCCAGCGCTCTGGGAGGCCAAGGTAGGCAGATCATTTGAGGTCAGAAGTTCGAGACCAGTGTGGGCAACATGGTGAAAGCCCATCTCCACCAAAAAAAATTTCTAAAACATTATCTGAGCATGGTGGCAGGCACCTGTAGTCCCCAGCTACTTGGGAGGCTGAGGCAGGAGAATTGCTCAAACCTGGGAGGCAGAGGTTGCAGTGAACCAAGATCATGCCACTGCACCCTAGCCTGAGCGACAGAGTGAGCCTCCATCTCAAAAAAAAAAAAAAAAAAAGAAAGAAAGAAAGAAAAAAAGAAAAAAGTGGGCCAGGCTCAGTGGCTCACGCCTGTAATCCCAGCACCTTGGAAGGTTGAGGCAGGCGAATCACCTGAGGCCAGGAGTTCGAGACCAGCCTGGCCAACACAGTGAAACCCCATCTTTACTAAAAATATAAAAATTAGCCGGGTGTGGTGGTGCATGCCTGTAATCCCAGCTACTTGGGAGGCTGAGGCAGGAGAATTTCTTGAACTCAGGAGGCAGAGGTTGCAGTGAGTCAAGATCACACAACTGCACTCCAGCCTAGGCAACAGAGTGAGACTCCATCTCAAAGAAAAAAAAAAAGTGTACAGAAATTCAAAAGGCCAGTAACAGACAAAATGCCCTTGTAAAAGAACAAGTAGGGAAGATTTTAATTAAAAAAAAAAGAAAGATGGATAACAGAAAAATAAGATGAAGTAGAATATGAAAAGATAGTACAAAAATGGGACTAGGGGCCGGTCACAGTGGCTCATGCCTATAATCCCAGCACTTTGGGAGGCCAAGGTGGGTAGATCACTTGAGGTCAGGAGTCCAAGACCAGCCTGGACAACATGGTGAAACCTCATTTCTACTAAAAATACAAAAAATAGGCCGGGTGTGGTGGCTCACGCCTGTAATCCCAGCACTTTGGGAGGCCGAGGTGGGCGGATTACAAGGTCAGGAGATGGAGACCATCCTGGCTAACACGGTGAAACCCCGTCTCTATTAAAAATACAAAAAAATTAGCCGGGCGCAGTGGCGGGTGCCTGTAGTCCCAGCTACTCAGGAGGCTGAGGCAGGAGAATGGCGTGAACCTGGGAGGCGGAGCTTGCAGTGAGCCCAGATAGCGCCACTGCACTCCAGCCTGGGTGACAGAGGGAGACTCCGTCTCAAAAAAAAATTAAAAAAAAAAAAAAATAATAAATAAATAAAAATAAAAATACAAAAAATTAGCTGGGCATGGCAACGCACACCTGTGGTCCCAGCTACTTGGGAGGCTGAGGCAGGAGAATTGCTTGAACCCGAGAGGCACAGATTGCAGTGAGCCGAGATAGCACTGCTGCACTCCAGCCTGGGCGACAGAGTGAGACTCCATCTCCAAGAAAAAAAAAAAAAAAAGGGACTAGGAAACACAAATTAACAATAAACATATGAAAAAGTATTCATTAGTAATCAAAGAAAAGCAAATTAAAACCCCAACAAAACACCACTACACAACTCCCAGAAAGACTAAAAATAAAAACTAGTAATAGCAAATGTTAGCAAAGATATGTAGCAAAAGAGGCCAGGCGTGGTGGCTCACACCTGTAATCCTGGCACTTTGGAAGGCTGAGGCGGGCAGATCACGAGGTCAGGAGTTCGAGACCAGCCTGGACAACATAGTGAAACCTCGTCTCTACTAAAAATACAAAAATTAGCTGGGCATGGTGGTGCGCGCCTGTAGTCCCACCTACTTGGGAGGCTGAGGCAGGAGAATCGCTTGAACCCAGGTGGCGGATGCTGTGGCCAGCCAAGATTGCGCCACTGCATTCCAGCCTGGGCAACAAAGCAAGACTCCATCTCAAACAATATATATATATGTAGGAAAAGAAACATCCATCCACTATTGATAAGAATACAAATTGGTACAACTATTTTGGGAAAAAAAAAAGCCTCAAAAACAACCATTTACTATAGTTGAAAAGATATGCTTACTCTATGGCCCAGCAATTCTACTTGTATGCAATAGAAATCTATGCACAAGTATACCAAAAAATATTTACAATATTGCTTTTCCTTTATGTATTATAGCTTTTAAAAATTTTCAGTCACAACCTTACAGAAAAGTTCTAACTCTGTTTCAAATAATTATTTTTCCTGAATCATTTGTAAGCTGCCCACTTGATTCCTCATCAACCCAGAATATTTTCCTGCATATTTTCTGTAAACTAGAACTTTCTCCTATATATCAATCAAAATCAAGAAATTAATGTTGATACATTCCTACTATTTACTCTTTTTTTTTTTTTTTTTTTTTTGAGACGGAGTTTTGCTCTTGTTGCCCAGGCTGGAGTGCAATGGCGCGATTTCAGCTCGCTACAACCTCCGCCTCCCAGGTTCAAGCAATTCTCCTGCCTCAGCCTCCCCAGTAGCTGGGATTACAGGCATGTGCCACCACGCCTGGCTAATTTTTTTTTGTATTTTTAGTAAAGGGGGGGTTTCCTCCATGTTGGTCAGGCTGGTCTTGAACTCCTGACCTCAGATGATCCGCCCACCCCAGCCTCCCAAAGTGCTGGGATTACAGGCGTGAGCCACCGCGCCCAGACCTATTTATTCTTTAGACCACACCTAAGTTGCATCAAATGTCTTAACGTCCCGTATAGCAAATTCAGTTCAGCACCACAGTTGCACTTGTCACATTTCTTTAGTCTCCTTCAGTAGGGAAGAGTTCCTCAGTCACGTCTTGCTTTTCATGATCTTGACACTTTTAGAAGATTGCAAGCCAGGTATCTTCACAGTGTGCTTCAATTTGAGTTGGAAAATTTGCTTCCAAGCCCACTCATGTGGCTATTTGCAGAAGGCTTTAGTTCCTTGCCATGTTGGCCTTTCCACAGTGCTTACAACACAGCTTCGCCCAGAGTGAATGACCAAGACCATCAGTTTTGCTGTATTCTACTGATCACACAGACCAACCATGGTATAATGCGTGATTACACAAGGGTGTACCAGGAGACAGAGATCATCATAGTCCATCTTAGAGGCTGGCTATCACATCTGATATCTCTGAGTATCTTTGGCAGGAATAAAACAGAAGTGATGCTGTGTACTTCTCATTGTATCCTATCAGGTTAACATAAGATTTCAATTTGTTTTATTACTGATGATGTTCACTTTGATCCCTTGATTAAGGAGTGCCTACCAGACTTCGCCACTGTGAGGTTTTTTTTTTTTTTTTTTTGAGACTAAGTCTTGCTCTGTCACCCAGGCTGGAGTGCAGTGGCGTGATCTCAGCTCACTGCAGCCTCTGCCTCCTGGGCTCAAGAGATTCTCCTGCCTCAGCCTACTGAGTAGCTGGGATTACAGGTGCGCACCACCACACTCAGCTAATTTTTGTATTTTTAGCAGATACAGGGTTTCACCATGTTGGCCAGGATGGTCTCGAACTCCTAACCTCAAGTGATCTGGCTGACTTGGCCTCCCAAAGTGCTGGGATTACAGGCAGAAGCCACCGCGTTTGGCCTGTAAAGTTACTTTTCATCCTTTTGTAATTGTGGCAGTTTTAAAATATGTTCACAAATTTTGTGGAATTGTAATTCCCCTCTCCTTGGGTGTGGCTTGGACTTCACAACTTGCTTCCAACTAACAGAATGAAGCAAGGTGAGGGAGTGTGACTTTGAAGACTAGGTCAAGTAGCTGCCATGTCATGAAGTTACTCAAGCAGCCTCCACAATGACCCATGTGGCAAGGAACCTTACCCTGCTGTCAATAGCCATGTAAGTGAACCATCTTGGAAGCAGATTCCCAGTTCTGGTCAAGCCTTCAGATAACTGCTGCCCCTGCCAACATCCTGATCACAACCACATGGGAGAGACTGAGTCAGAACCACTCGCCTAGGTCACTCCTCAATTCCTGACCCAGGGAAACTGTGAATTGATATTTATTGTTATAAGCCACTAAATTTTAGGAGTAATCTGTTACACAGCAATTGATAACTAATAATTATTTTGTGGGCTAATACTTGAAAATCCATAAATATCCTACTCCTCATTAAATATTTAGTTCCTTTATTCATGAGTGTGGATTAATGTTTTTCCATTTTATTCAATGGGTTATAATCCATCACCATCTTTTAGTCTGAGGCTCAAATTGTCACAGTTTTGGTCAGTGGGAGCTCCTTCAAGCTGGATTATGTGTTCTTTTGACATGGCTCCTTTATTATTTGGGTATTTCCTTGATTTCTGGTACAACAACAAAAAAATATAGGCTCAGTTTGTATTTTCCCTGCTCCAGCCTGAAACCAGCCATTTCTCCAAGGTGATCTGATAATGTTTGGAGCCAACATGGGGGCACACACGTGCTTGCTGTTACTGGGACATTGCGCTCCAGTTAGTGTCAGTGGACAGAGCTAGGGAACACACACACCTACTCACCTGTCAAATATACATACTTACATCTATATTTAATATTTTGAAAACCATGATTTCACACTGATAATTTTAATTCTAACCCAATTTCACAGATTTTTAAAATTTTTCTCCGCTTGATCTTAGCCAAAAAGCTGAGAAGCAATTATTATTTATTTTTCTCTTTTTTTTTTATTCTGAGACGGAGTTTTGCGCCTGTGCCCAGGCTGGAGTGCAATGGCGCAATCTTGGCTCACTGCAACCTCCGCCTCCGGGGTTCAATCGATTCTCTTGCCTCAGCCTCCCAAGTAGCTGGGATTACAGGCGCCTGCCACCACACCCGGCTAATTTTTGTATTTTTAGTAGAGGTGGGGTTTCACCACATTGGCCAGGCTGGTCTTGAACTCCTGACCTCAGGTGATCTGCCCGCCTCAGCCTCCCAAAGTGCTGGGATTATAGGTGTGACCCACCGCGCACAGCTATTTTTCTCTTCTATACTTCCTTCTTCAGGAAGAAACCTGGCTCCCACTATCCTTAATAGATTACTTATTTGGTCAATTCCCCTTATGTAACCAATTGCCCATTGTTGCCACTGCTGCCTCCTCCCCCATATCCTCTTAACTTCACTTGGAATCTGCCCTGCACCCCCACCCACGACTCCCATTGCCAGGCAGGCCCCCCCCAGACACATTTCTCTTTATACACAGGCTCTGGTACCCTATACCAAATTATACCTACTCACATACCCTGTGTGGATATTCTCTCCATGAGGAAACAACTTTTGTTAAACTGCCTCGTGTGGATATTCTCTCCATGAGGAGACAACTTTTGTTAAACTGCCTCGTGTGGACACCTTTGACCCAGCTTGGGATCTGACACCCTGCATTGGACTTCCCCACTACTGGATGACCTCTGCAACCTGCTGACATCACAAGCCAGTTCAAGCTCCTCTGTAGGTGCTCTCCTGACCCCACATTCAGCTCTAATATTTCAAAGCCAAGTTGACCCTCTGCATAGACACCTAGTGTGCTCTATTCTACCCAATACCTTTAGGATTGCATTGTTCAGGAAGGGAAGAGGAAGAACTATAAAAATGTCCATAGCATGATTTTTTTTTTTCATTTTTGAGACAGTGTCTGACTCTGCTGCCCAGACTGGAGTGTGATGATGTGATCATGGCTCACTGCAACCTGAATCTCCTGAGCTCAAGCCATCCTTCCACCTCAGCCTCTCAAGCAGCTGGGACCACAGGTGCGCACCACCACACATGGCTAATATTTTTAGTTTTTGTAAAGATAGGGTCTCACTATGTTTCCTAGGCTGGTTTCAAACTCCTGGCCTCAAGCAATCTTCCCACCTCAGCATCCCAAAGTGCTGGGATTGTAGGCATGAGCCACTGTGCTTGGCAGCATGATTTGCAGTATTCTCAAAATTGGAAATAATATGAAAGTAGAACAGAAGTTTGTGGTACAGAATACAGAGGAATACTTCATGGTAATAACAAAGAATAAATTACAGCTTCATTTAACATAAGATATAAGATAGACTCAAAACAATCCAAATTGAACGATTGAACGATTCTATACAAAGTTTAAAGAGACAGCCAGGTGTGGTAGCTCACTCCTGTAATCCCAACACTTTAGGAGGCCAGGTGGGTGGATCACTTGAAGCCAGGAGTTCGAGACTAGCCTGGCCAACATGGCAAAACTCTGTCTCTACTAAAAATACAAAAAATTAGCTGGGTGTTGTGGCACATGCCTGTAGTCCCAACTGCGTGGGAGGCTGAGGCCTATGAATTGCTTGAAACCAGGAGGCGGAGGGTGCAGTGAGCCGAGATCGCACCACAGCACTCCAGTCTGGGCAACAAAGTGAGAATCTGTCTCAAAAAAAAAAAAAAAAAAGACAAAATTAAACTCTAGTGCACAGATAGTAAACAAACCAAGGCCAGGTGTGTTGGTTCACACCTGCAATCCCAGCACTTCTTTAATGTTTTAAAGAAATCTTTACTCTTTTACTACATAGCTATATGATCTTCAGCAAGCTGATTTTTTTTTTTTTTTAATTACAATAGAGAAAAGGTCTCACTATGTTGCCCAATCAGGTCTCAAACTCCTGGGCTGAAGCAATCCTCCCTCCTTGGCCTCTCTCTTTTTTTTGAGACGGAGTCTTCCTCTGTCGTCCAGGCTGGAGTACAGTGGCGCAATCTCGGTTCACTGCAACCTCCGCCTCCCAGGTTCAAACGATTCTCGTGCCTCAGCCTCCCAAGTAGCTAGGACTACAGGGTGTGCCACCCTGCCCTACTAATTTTTGTATTTTTAGTAGAGACAGGGTTTCGTCATGTTAACCAGGCTAGTCTTGAACTCCTGACCTCAGGTGATCCTTGGCCTCGGCCCACCTTGGCCTCCCAAAGTGCTGGGATTACAGGCGTGAGCCACCACGTCCAGCCTGCGCTGCATTTTTATGGGCAAGAATCTTCTGCAATACTGTAAGTTTCCTATGACTTAAAGATTTGAGAAACAGTGCAAAGACAATGAAAGAAGCAGGCCCTCATAGAGTCACATAGCCAGGAAGGTTGGACTAGACAGAGCACTCAGTAATCGTCTTTTCTTTCTGTCCATTTCAAAGCCTTTCACGATTTTCCCTAAAAATGAAAATATGTGAGGGTGTTGGCGGTGGGGGTCCATAGTCTTCTTTTCCAAGCTTATAGGTTGTTTTCTCCATATTGAGAAACTGGTAGCTTGGGACCCTAGTCATTAAAAATATCCACCAGACATTCTGGAGTTTGTTTTTTATTGTTATAAATACGACATTCACAAATATCATCTAAAGCTCAGGTATGAGGCTGGACGCAGTGGCTCACGCCTATAATCCTGGCACTTTGAGAGGCCAAGGCAGGATCACCCGAGCTCAGGAGTTTGAGACCAGCCTGGGCAACACTGTCTCTAAAAAAAAAAAACAGAGAGAGAAAACAAATGAAGCCCAGGTATGATTAACATATTTTATATGTATGTTTTAAACACTCACAACTCACAAATCACCCCTAAAAATACTAATTTTCCATAAAGATTGCTGAGTTAGACAAACAAAATTTCGAAACAAACAAGATTACCATTTCTTTCTACCCAAATGAATTATCTATTCAAACAATATTTCATTTCTATTTGCTAAGGTAAGGCTGAGGGATGTATTGTAACGGTACAGGCTTTTTACGTGAAATGACGTTCTTTGATACCAAAAATACTAGGACACACTTGCCATATTGGCAAAGTTGTTTTTTTAATGCCTATTGTTGGCAAAAGCAGGGAATAGCCACTCTGTAAATGGACACCGCTGGTAAGAATGTAAAGTGGCACAAATTTTTCAAAGGGCAACTTGTTAATATGCAACAAAAAAATTTTAAATGTGCATACCAGCTGGGTGCAGTGACTCAGACCTGTAATCCCAGCACTTTGGGAGGCGAAGGCGGGTGGATCACTTGAGGTCAGGAGTTCAAGACCAGCCTGGCCAACATGGTAAAACCCGTCTCTACTAAAAATAAAAAAATTAGCTGCGTGGGGTGGTGCATCTGTAGTCCTAGCTACTTGGGAGGCTGAGACAGGAGAATTGCTTGAATCCCAGAGGCAGAGGTTGCAGTGAGCTGAAATCGTGCCTCTGCACTCTAGCCTGGGTGACACAGTGAGACTCCAGCTCAAAAAAAAAAAAAAAGAAAAGTACATACCAAAAAGAGAACATAAAAGATGATCATTTATCTAGAAAATACCTAAGAATCCAAACAATAGAGCAACTAGGCCAGGCACAGTGGCTCATGCCTATAATCCCAGCACTTTGGGAAACAGAGGTGGGAGGATCATTTGAGCCCAGGAGTTCAAGACAAGCCTGGGCAACATAGTGACACCCTGCCTGTACAAAAAATAAAATTGTGGCCAGGAGCGGTGGTTCACACTTGTAATATCCCAGCACTTTGGAAGGCCAAGGCAGATCACTTGATACCAGGAGTTCAAGACCAGCCTGGCCAATACAGCAAAACCCCAACTCCACTGAAAATACAAAAATTAGCCTGTAATCCCAGCTACTTGGGAGGCTGAGGCATGAGAATCACTTGAGCCTGGGAGGCAGAGGCTGCAAGGAACCGAGATCACGCCACTGTACTCCAGCCTGGGCCACAGAGCAAGACTCTGTCTCAAAAAAATATAAATAAAAAAATAAAATAAAATTGCTGAATGTAGTGGGTTGCAGCTGTAGTCTCAGTTACTCAGGAGGCTGTGGTGGGAGAATCATTTGAGCCAGGAGTTCAAGGCTGCAACGAGATATGATCATACAACTACACGCTAGCCTGTCTGACAAAGCAAAAGCCTGTCTTTAAAAAAAAAAAAAAAAAAGAGCTATTAGAACTAATAAATTAGTAAGGTCAGAGGACATAAGATCATTAGACACAAGACTACCAGCAACAACTGAAACTAAAAATTTTTTTTTTTTTGAGACGGAGTCTCACTCTGTCACCCAGGCTGGAGTGCAGTGGTGCAATATTGGCTCACTGCAAGCTCCATCTCCCGGGTTCATGCCATTCTCCTGCCTCAGCCTCCCGAGTAGCTGGGACTACAAGCGCCCGCCACCATGCCCGGCTAATTTTTTGTATTTATTATTTTTTTTTTCTGAGACAAGTCTCGCTCTGTCGCCCAGGCTGGAGTGCAGTGGTGCAATCTCGGCTTACTGCAAGCTCTGCCTCTCGGCTTCACGCTATTCTCCTGCCTCAGCCTACTGAGTAGCTGGGACTACAGGCACCCGCCACCATGCCCGGCTAATTTTTTGTATTTTTAGTAGAGATGGGGTTTCACTGTGTTAGCCAGGATAGTCTTGATCTTTTGACCTCGTGATCCGCCCGCCTCGGCCTCCCAAAGTGCTGGATTACAGGCGTGAGCCACCGCGCACGGCCTAATTTTTGTATTTTTAGTAGAGACAGGGTTTCACCGTGTTAGCCAGGATGGTCTCGATCTCCTGACCTTGTGATCCGCCCACCTCAGCCTCCCAAAGTGCTGGGATTACAGGCGTGAGCTACTGCGCCCAGCCTTTTGAAACTAAAATTTTTAAAAAACACTATTACAATACTTAGGGACAAATCTGACAAAAGATGTGCAAGACCTCTGAAAACTACAAAACACTGCTAAGAGAAATTAAAGATGACCTAAATAAATGGCGAGATATACATAAGCACGGATCAGAAAACTCAATACTGTTAGGATGTCAATTCTCCATAGGTTGATCTGTACACTCAATGCAATCCCAGCTGAAATCGCAGCAGCTTTTGGTAAGCTAATTTAAAATTTATCTGGAAATACAATCTAAAATAGTCAAAATAACTCTGAAAAAGAGCAAAATCAGAGGACTAACACGTGGATTCAAGACTTATTATGAAGCTACAGTAATCATGACACTACCATAGACTTTATAAATACTGTACATTAGGCTGCCCTAAATTTATAATTTTTTTAAATTTCAATAATAAATTAATCTTAGCTTACTACAATTTTACTTTATAACTTTTTTTTTTTTGAAACAGAGTCTTGCTCTGTCACCCAGGCTGGAGTGCAATGGTGTGATCTCGGCTCACTGCAACCTCCGCCTCCCAGGTTATAGTGATTCTCCTGCCTCAGCCTCCCAAGTAGCTGGAATTACAGGTGCCCGCCACGACACCTGGCTAATTTTTTGTATTTTTAGTAGATATGGGGTTTCACCATGTTGATCAAGCTGGTCTTGAACTCTGGACCTCAGGTCATCCACCCACCATGGGCCACCCAAAGTGCTGGGATTACAGGCATGAGCCACCGCACCCGGCCTACTTTATAACTTATAAATGTTTAAAACTTTTTGACTCTTTTGTAATAACCATTAACACACAAACACATTTATAGCTGTACAAAAATTTTTTCTTTCTTTATATCTTCATTCTATAAGCTGTTTTCTATTAAAATTTATTTTTCTTTTTAAACTTTTTTGTAAAAAACTAAGACACACACACATTAGCCTAGGTCTACACAGGGTCAGGATCATCAAGATGTCACTAGGCAACAGAAATTTTTTTAGCTCCATTATAATCTTATGGGACAACCATAGAATTAATATATGGGATCTGTTATGTGGTGCATGACAATATAGAGAGAGATCCAGTTATGGCCTGCATGGTTTGGTATTGTTCAACTTTTTTTTTTTTTTTGAGACAGACTCTCGGTCTGTCGCCAGGCTGGACTGCAGTGGCGAGATCTCGGCTCACTGCAACCTCCGTCTCCCGGGTTCAAGCAATTCTCCTGCCTAGCCTCCCGAGTAGTTGGGACTACAGGCGCATGCCACCACATCCAGCTAATTTTTGTAATTTTTGTAGAGATGGGGTTTCAACATGTTGGCCAGGATGGTCTCGATCTCTTGACCTTGTGATCCACCTGCCTCAGCCTCCCAAAGTGCTGGGATTACAGGCATGAGCCACCACGCCCCGGCCTTGTTCAACATTTTTATAAATGCCTTGTATGAGGACACAAATGTACATATTTATCAAACCTGCAGTTGACACAAAGCTGAGAGGGATACCTAATAACGATGGATGGCTGAATCAGGATCCAAAAGGTCTTGACAGGCTGCAACTCTGTGTCGAATCTAACAAGATGAAATTTAACAAGGACAAAGGTAAGTCTGACACTTAAGTCCAGAAAATCAATACAAGGCAGGGGAGGTCTGACTTGATGACAATTCAGGTAGAAAACAAGGTTTTTTAACTGACTGAAATCATAGCAAGGTTCAAAAACAAGGGAGTAAGAAAGAAATGGGGTTTAACTTTATAAATATTATTGTTTTTCAGCTCAACATAAACTTTTAGATAGATTTGAAAACACAACAGGCCACTTCAGGAGGTAAGTACACATTACTGGAAGTCTTCAAGCCAAGTTTGATGACGACTCTGGATGTTGAAGAAGGAGTAGTGGAATCTCATATAAGGTTTAATAGAAGAAATGACCCCAAATAATGCCTAGACTCCATAATTTACTTAATATAGGTAGATGTAAGTACAGTTTACAAGGTAAAAATAATTAAATCAATTATTTCATTCCAATTGATTTAGTAGACTGACTAGTTAAGTCTCCGAAAGATCTACTGAATGAGGAGTTCGTATTTAGACTTTTTTCCCCGTCTTCTTCTATTAGTCCAAAGACCTTTTTTTTTTTTTTTTTTTAAAGAACGATAAAGCCAGGTGCGGTGGCTCACACCTGTAATCCCAGCACTTTGGGAGGCTGAAGTGGGCAGATTACCTGAGGTCAGAAGTTCGAGACCAGCCTGACCAACATGGAGAAACCCCGTCTCTACTAAAAATACAAAATTAGCCAGGCGGGTAGCACATGCCTGTAATCCCAGCTAAAGGAGGCTGAGGCAGGAGAATCACTTGAACCTGGGAGGTGGAGGTTGCGGTGAGCCAAGATCATGCCACTGCACTCCAGCCTGGGCAACAAGAGCAAAACTCCATCTCAAAAAAAAAAAATTGATGATAGTGCTTTCTCATTTCTCATTACTAACTTAAAAACTATTTTAAATTTGTTGTTATGTAAGTAATATATGCTCCTTGTAAATAAAATTAAACCTTTTTGATGAATATAAAATGAAAAGTAAAGGCTCCTCTCCTGCTTTCCCCCCAAATTCTCTTGGACTTCGCAAGCCTCTAAAGGCCCTCCTTTGCTGAATCCCTTGGAGACTTACACTCTGTATACCACAACACTTTTTATAATATGCCACATGTTTGCTTCCCAACAAGACCAGAAGCTCCTTAAAGGTAAGATTTGTCTTTTACAAATCATGTAACTCATGTACCAAATACAGACATATTGTAGATATAAAAATTTGTTTAACTTTTGATACTTCTGAAACAAGAAATAGCAGTATTATTCAGATGCTAAGTCTTATTTTCACTTCATATTTAAAGTGGACATTGGTTTTGCCAATCCTGCATTCATTTAACTCCTCTGACCTATCCACCCTGGTTATCATTGGCTTATGGTCATCCATTCAATTGTACTGAAAGGAGAATAAGATCTCTAAATCAATCAGAGCTTCACAATCCCACAGGCATGGTTTAGCACTGGGCATGTAATCCAATCTAGACCAAAGAACTGCAATCAACTTGAAGCTGAGAGAATAGATAGGACCCTGGATACTGCAGCCATCTTGGGAGCAAAGAATAGAGCCTATCCAAATATGGAGCCAACAACGAAAGAGCAAGCATGAGAGACAGACAGGGAGAAATGGGATCCTGGTGACATCATTTAGCACTCCCTTTAAGTATCACCATCCCATTTTTGATCTCAGAATTGTCTGACTTAATGGTGGGCGCAGTGGCTCATGCCTGTAATCCCAGTACTTTGGGAAGCTAAGGTGGGCAGATCACTTGACATCAGGAGTTCGAGACCAGCCTGACCAACATGGTGAAACCCCGTCTCTACTAAAAAATACAAAAATTAGCAGGGCATGGTGGCGGACGCCTGTAGTCCCAGCTAGTCGGGAGGCTGAGGCAGGAGAATCATTTGAACCAGGGAGGCAGAGGTTGCAGTGAGCCAAGATCGCACCACTGCATTCCAGCCTGGGCAACAGAGTGAGACTCCGTCTAAAAAAAAAACAAAAAAAACCTGTCTGACTTCGAGCCTTCTTCCTTCACCAAGCTTACTACTCTAACTCCCTAAGTCTGTCTGTACATTTGAGGAACTCTTCTTATCAGGCCTGAAAGGGTAGATGGAAAGGAGAAGAAAAAGGGATTATTTGAATTAAAAAATATAAAAAGATATACAGATAAACACACATACATATACTAGCAGACTCTGAGCTACATATAGACATGAAAATGGAGATGGCATGAAATATTTATGAAAAAGAGGCAGATGTCTGGATGTGCAAAGGCTGTTGGAAAAAAAAGCTTTATAAGAAAGGGGTTGCCGCGCGCGGTAGCTCACGCCTGTAATCCCAGCACTTTGGGAGGCCAAGGCGGGCGGATCTCGAGGTCAGGGGATCGAGACCATCCTGGCTAACACGGTGAAACCCCATCTCTACTAAAAATACAAAAAACCAGCCGGGCATGGTGGCGGGCGCCTGTAGTCCCAGCTACTCGGGAGGCTGAGGCAGGGGAACGGCGTGAACCCGGGGGGCGGAGCTTGCAGTGAGCCAAGATTGCACCTCTGCACTCCAGCCTGGGAGACAGAGCAAGACTCCGCCTCAAAAAAAAAAAAAAAAAAAAAAAAAAAAAAGAAAGGGGCATCTGGGGTGACCCTTGCATTATTTGTCAGCTATGAATCTCTTCTGCCACTCTCTCTTGTTCATTAGGCGTAATGGCTATCTTTCAGTTCTGTAAAAAGTAAGTTTCAGGCTCAAAGCAATTATGCCACTATCCGGATGCTCTTTCTCAAAATCCTCGTATGACTGTTCCTTTTTCATCCTTTAAATCTCTGTTCAAATTCCACCTCTTCAGAGATGCCTTTCCAGTCCAACCAACCTAAAGTGGGCCTTTCCCTCTTTCCATCACAACAGCTTACTTCCTTCAAAGCTGTTATCACCAGCTGTATTTACAATTTGTGGTTTATCGACTGTTTCCATCACTAGAATGTAAGCTCTCTGAAAGCAAGGATTTTGTCTTGAACACCTCTATTTATACCCAATGTCTGGCACAGAACGGTAGGAACTAAATAAATTAATATTTATTGAAAGAGAGAATGAGTAGCAAAAGGTGGTAAGATAGCCTGGGAAAGCAATCGGCATTGAAGGCAGGGTGTTCCTAAGGAAGGCGCTAGAATAAGGAAGTAGGAAAAGGCAGCTGGGCTGGACACTGAATAGGAAACTGAAGGTTTACGTCGGCTGGAATAAAGGTGTCGGACCGGGGCTTCAGGGCTCCCCTGTCCACGCGTGGGGTTGGCGGAGGGGCATAAATCACTGAGTGACCAACTGTGGGCGTTCCTTTCAGAGAAACCAAACGCGACAGTTGTCTTCAAACCCCGCTCTGTCCCGTGCCGCAGACTTTACGCGGCTGTCTTCCGCGAAATCGCTAACCCCCGGTCACCAGACTTATCGCCCGGGCCCGAGCCCCCCGGGAGCCAGAAGAGTGTTTGAGAAACGGACATTCTCCGCCGGTCCCAATAGGGGTCCGACACCAGCCCGTTGACGCGCGTTTCCCCGCTCCCAGCCCTCCAGTGGACCCGAACCGGATCCTTACTTACGCTTGTCTCCGGGCTATTAGCCGATGCATGGGAGTCGCCATCTTAGCGCGGTCAAAGCCGGCCGCGCAGGGTTTTGGGAAACTCCTCGGAAGGGCGGGGCTTCCAACCGGGAGGCCGTAGACGTAGGCGGGGCCAGACAGGCTTCTAAGGGGAGGTATCTTAGTGCCGGCTGGTGGGTCGGGAGGGGAGGGGCTGGAGGGTCGGGAGGGGAGGGGCTGGAGGGTCGGGAGGGGAGGGGCTGGAGGGGCTGGAGGGTCGGGACGGGAGGGACTGGTGGGTCGGGAGGGGCCGGTGTCTCCAGTATGGGTCTCGGGTTCTCGGGCCGAACAGGGTTTCAAAGGATGATTACAGGCAAGAACATTATCTGTGGAAAATGAGGACAACATTCTCGAACGAGGGATACACATACAAAGACAAAGAATGAAACTTTGGTGTTCAGAAAACTAGAAGTAGTCTGGAGAATAGAAAGGAATTAGTTGACCAGGATTGAGACCATCAATTGAAAGAATGACTTTAGCAAGCCATGGAGTGCAAACATATACGTTATTTCTGTTTTTTATGTATTTCACAGCGTTGTTACGAGTACTAAATGGGACTGTATAACTAAAGCTGCTTTATCAAGCAGAAAAGGACTATACAAATATTTTAGAATATTTTAGCTGCACCTACATCTAATGTCAGCTCACGGAGCTATTATTCTCTTAAAACCCACGTTCTCTGAAATATATATAATTTTCTGAAGTGTGTGTGTGTTTCTGGGTCATCCATATTTTTTCCTTTTTTTTTTAATTTGAGACAGAGTCTCGCTGTGTCGCCAGGCTGGAGTGCAGTGGCGCGATCTCGGCTCAGTGCAACCTCTGGGTCCCTGGTTCAAGAGATTCTCTTGTCTCACACTCCCGAATAGCTGGGATGACAAGCACGCGCCACCATGCCCAGCTAATTTTTGTATTTTTACTAGAGACAGGGTTTCACCATGTTGGCCAGGATGGTCTCGATCTCCTGACCTCATAATCCGCCCGCCTCGGCCTCCTAAAGTGCTGGGATTACAGGCGTGAGCCACCGCGCCCAGCCATATTTTTTCAATTAATAATTAACACTTAAAATGTTTTAGGAGCTGAGGACAGAGCATTTGAACAAATAAAATCCGTGTACACATGGAACTTTCTACAGACAATGAATGAAGACTATTCTCATGGGCATAAGTACTCTAACGAAAAATATTTCAGAGTAAGGGATTAAAGAGTGATTAGGAGTTAGGGAAGGTGATGATGTGACCTTTGAGCACAACTTGTTCTTCAAAAAAATAGGCTCTTACATGTTGTGTTCTCCAGCTTGATTTTTTCATTCCTCAGTGTACTTATGAAAATGTTTTCCCGGCCAGGCGCAGTGGCTCACGCCTGTAATCCCAGCACTTTCGGAGGCCGAGAAGGGCGGATCACCTGAGGTTGGGAGTTCAAGGCCAGCTTGACCAACATGGAGAAACCCCATCTCTACTAAAAATACAAAAAAAATTAGCCGGGCGTGGTGGTGCATTCATGTAATCCCAGCTACTCGGGAGGCTGAGGCAAGAGATTCGCTTGAACTTGGGAAGCAGAGGTTGCAGTGAGCCGAGATCGCGCCATTGCACTCCAGCCTGGGCAACAAGAGTGAAACTCCATCTCAAAAACAAAAAAAGAAAAGAAAATATTTTCCCATGTCTGCACATACAGATCTAATTCATTCTTTTTATACATTATGTTATGGATTACATGGATATTCCCCAAGTATCCAGCCAGTACCCTATTGCTGAACAATTAGATCATTTACCACAACAACAGAAAGAGTAAATCCCCCGTGTTGCTATAAGATGACATCCTAGTAGGATTGCTGGGTCAAAGGACATGCACCCTGTTTTTCTTTTTTTTGAGACGGAGTCTACCTCTATTGCCCAGGCTGGAGTGCAGTGACACTATCTTGGCTCACTGCACCCTCCGCCTCCCGGGTTCAAGTGATTCCCCTGCCTCAGCCTCCCGAATAGCTGGGACTACAGGCGCCTGCCCCCGTGCCTGGCTAATTTTGGTATTTTTAGTAGAGACAGGGTTTCACCATGTCGGCCAAGCTGGTCTCAAACTCCTGACCTCAGGTGATCCGCCTGCCTTGGCCTCCCAAAGTGCTGGGATTACAGGCATGAGCCAACGCACCGGGATGGCGCTATTGTTTTTTTAAAAAATGTTTTTACCCTTTATGTTTTACCATTGGTTATTGTAACTATTCAGGAAACCTCGGTGCTGTAAATGGTAAAATTGGAATCTGGTACAAAAATCAAGTGTAGGTTTACCCTTCATATGCCTTGGCATAGAACAACAAGAACTCTTCTTCCAGTAGCATAAAAGAATTTAACTAACTTGGCTGGGCATGGTGTCTCACACCTGTGGAATGCAGTGACATGATCTTGGCTTGTGGATCACTTGATGTCAGGAGTTCAAGACCAGCCTGGCCAATATGGTGAAACCCCGTCTCTACTAAAAATACAAAAATTAGCCGTGAGTGGTGGTGCGTGCCTGTAATCCCAGATACTGGGGAGGCTGAGGCAGGAGAATTGCTTGAACCCAGGAGGCAGAAGTTGCAGTGAGCCGAGATTGCACCGCTGCACTCTAGCCTGGGTGACATAGCGAGACTTGTCTCAAAAAAAAAAGAATTACCCAGGCATGGTGGCACATGCCTGTAATCTCTGCTACTCAGGAGGCTGAGGCAGGAGAATCGCTTGAACCCAGGAGGCAGAGGGTGCAGTGAGCCAAGATTGTGTCACTGCATTCCACACTCTAGCCTGGGCGACGGAGCAAGATTCCATCTCAAAAAAAAAAGAAAGAAAAAGAAAAAGAATTTAACTAACTTGGCTAAATAAGGGAGTGGTTCAGAGCAGGGTGACCATTCATTTTGTAAAGAAGAGTGGCTATGCAAGGGGATTTGAGAGTGGCCATTCTGGGCCTCTGTGAGTAAGAAGCTCTGATTCTCCAAATGAAAACAGGATTGGCTCTTTCATCCACCTCTGGGCATGAGGGCATGAGTAGTGCCCGAAACTCCCCAGAATGAGGTGAGAGCTGCTTTCCTTAATTTATTTCCACTTTCCAAGAAGACCTAAAAACAAAATGCTCAATAGTTGTGTCATGTTTCCTTATCTTCAGATGAAGCTGCTTGGGTTCCTTAAAGTCCTCAGGCTTTGATGCAACACTTTGCTGTGACATAGATCATAAGGCTGTGTGATTGTGAGTCCAGGATTTGCTGGCTCCTCTGGTGATTTAAACTAGTCTGCAGTAGAAGAGAAGGAAATTGACATGCCAAGAGAAACAGAGATGAGAGACAGAAAAAGACCTACCTAGACTTGATTCGCTTTTCCTTCGATTATTTGGGGTTATCTCAGCTTCCTCAGTATATTCCTTTTTTTTTTTTTCCTACGAAGTCTCACTCTGTCACCCAGGCTGGAGTGCCCCAGCATGATCTTGGCTCACTGCAACCTCTGCCTCCCGGGTTCAAACAATTTTCATGCCCCAGCCTCCCAAGTAGCTGGGATTACAGGCATGCATCACCATGCCTGGCTAAATTTTTTGTATTTTTAGTAGAGATAGTATTTCACCATGATGGTCAGGCTGGTCTCAAACTCCTGGCCTGAAATGATCTGCCCGTCTTGGCCTCCCAAAGTGTTGGGTTTACAGGCGTGAGCCACTGCACCCAGCCTGCATTTCTTTTTTTATTAAGATAGTTCAAGTTAGGTTTCTCTTTCTTGACCCCAAAGGATCCTTGACTTTATCACCACAGGTAGGGTTTATCCTCATTTTACAAATAAAGGGACTGAGACTCAGGCATGTTAAGAGATTTGTCCAAGGCCCACAGCCTTGAGCTTTTTCCATTACACATCTATTTCTCCCTTCCAGCCAGTTTTGTTTGAGATAACACAGAACCAATTTCCTTATGTCAATTCAGATTCAATTGCAAGAAAAACAAAACAAAACTCTGGCCACATAAACAATGAATTTATTGGAAGTTTATTGGCTAGCTCATAGTATAGAAGTAATTGAACACCCAGGCCTTGCAAAGATCTTGAATCAGAAAAGTTCAGATCTCAGGACTGGGAACTTGTGTGCTTCCTCTTTAAACAATTGCCAGCAGATCATCAGGTTCAACCCCCTGCAGTATCTGTGTACCTAATATTGCCTCGGCTTGAGCTGAGGTCACACCACTGCACTCCAGCCTGGTAGACAGAGTAAGACTCTATCTCAAAAAGAAAAATACTAAATCAAGATTAAGTTTACATGGTGTGTAATGCAAAATAAAACAGTAATTATAATTTGTTTTATGAATAAGAATGGCAAGATAGCCTGTCTCCACAAAAAGCAAATATAGCTTAAGAACACTTTAGGGCCAGGCATGGTGGTTCATCCCGGTAATCCCAGCACTTTGGGAGGCTGAGGTGAGTGGATTGCTTGAGCCCAGGAATTTGAGACCAGCCTGGGCAAAATGGCAAAACTCTGTCTCTATCATATATATATATATATATATATATATATATATATATATATATATATATATATATATATGATAGAGCTATATTACATATATATAATTTTTAATTTGTTTTTATTTATTTAATTTTATTTTTGAGACAGTCTCACTCTGTCACCCAGGCTAGAATGCAGTGGTGCGATCACAGCTTACCGCAACCTCTGCTTCCCAGGTTCAAGCAATCCTCCCACCTCAGCCTCCCAAGTAGCTGGAACTGTAGGCATGTGCCACCATACCTGGCAAATCTGTGTGTGCATGTGTGTGTGTGTGCACGCCCAGGCTGCTCTTGAACTCTTGGGCTCAAGTAACCCACCAGTCTCAGCCTCCCAAAGTGCTGGGATCACATGCATATTAAAGCTTGCTGCAAATTTCCAAGTATTGCCAGCATTTGTAAATGTGTCCACTTTAGGTAATACAGTACACTTGTCCATTTATTATATGTTGGACCAGGATTATTTCTGTGACAAAATATTCATGTTCTGTCTCTGCATTTAAAAACTACTGTTTCTGGCCAGGCGCAGTGGCTCATGCCTGTAATCCCAGCACTTTGGGAGACGAGGCGAGCGGATCACCTGAGGTCGGGAGTTTGAGACCAGCCTGACCAATATGGAGAAACCCCATCTCTACTAAAAATACAAAATTAGCTGGGCATGGTGGCACATGCCTGTATTCCCAGCTACTTGGGAGGCTGAGGCAGGAGAATCGCTTGAACTCAGGAGGCAGAGGTTGCGGTGAGCAGAGATTGTGCCACTGCACTCCAGCCTGGGCAACAAGAGCAAAACTCCATCTCAAACAAACAAACAAACAAACAAACAAACAGTTTCTTTTCCATTTTCTCCAATGAAATTTTATTAGCAGTCACTTAAAAATCGATGTTCTGGCTGGGCGCGGTGGCTCACGCCTGTAATCTCAGCACTTTGGGAGGCCGAGGTGGGCGGATCACTTGAGGTCAGGAGATCAAGACCATCCTGGCTAACACAGTGAAACCCCATCTCTACTAAAAACACAAACAATTAGCCGGGCGTGTTGGCAGCTGCCTGTAATCCCAGCTACTCGGGAGGCTGAGGCAGGAGAATGGCTTTAACCTGGGAGACGGAGCTTGCAGTGAGCCGAGATGGTGCCACTGCACTCCAGCCTGGGAGACAGAGCAAGACTCTGTCTCAAAAAAAAAAAAAAAAAAAAAAAAAAAAATCGATGTTCTGAAGGGCTATTTTTTTAAATTTTAATTTAATTTAATTTTTTTTGAGATGGAGTCTTGCTCGGTCGCCTAGGCTGGAGAGCAGTGGCGCGATCTTGGCTCACTGCAACCTCAGCCTCCCGGGTTCAAGCGATCAAGCAATTCTCCTACCTCAGCCTCCTGAGTAGCTGGGAATACTAAAGAGCAGTGGTGCATTCATAGCTCACTGTAGCCTCGACCTCCTGGGCTCAAGCCATCCTCCAGCCTCAGCCTCCTGAATAGCTGGGATTACAGGCATGTGCCACCATGCTTGGCTAATTAAAAATTTTTTAGGGAGGGGGATAGAGACAGGGTCTTGCAGGTTCACGACCACATAGGCTGGTCTTGAACTCCTGGACTCAAGTGATCGTCCTGCCTCAGCCTCCCGAGTAGCTAGGACTACAGGTGCTCACCACCAGATCCAGCTAAAGGGCTTTTCATCATTGATAAACCCTCAAAGTATATTTTAATCCCTGGCATTTTTATGTGAACATACCTACTGCACTGCATCATGAATTTTATATGTGGTAGACTGATTCGTTAGGGCTCCTCAAATTGCAGGTGAACCAAAATCCATGAAAAAAAAGTGTATTTAAAGGATGGGAAGATACTGCAAGACGCCAGAGCAGGGAAACTAAGCACCTCAGCCCAGAACCAAGGATGTGATGCCTTTTGTCAAGACAAACTAGCCTCTGCTTTCCTCCAAGTAGTGATCTATTTCCTTCAGGCCTCTCTGGCTGAAAGTATGGCCACTGAAACCTTGGGAACACATTCTTATGATTCCACAGCCTGTCAAAGACAAAACCCAAGCAAATAAGGAAATTGATTTTATTCAGGCTGTTGTGATAGGGCAAGCACCTTAGATCTGAAGGTCAGACTCTTGACAGGGTATGTTTGTCCGACACTTATAGGGAGGAGTCGGTAATTCACAGGTGGGGTGTTTTATAGTTGGAATTGTTTTTGTGATCAAGCTGAATCTCAATCAGCTGAACAGGAAATATCTCTATGGCTAGCTAGTCTCAGAGGGACAAACAGTTCCCCTTATGAGACAAATAATGCAAATTTGGAGAGTCTGTGTCTGGTCTTGCCATAAGTAAACAGTGGTATCATCAGTGGTCTTATCTAAGTCCTATCCAGAAGAGTGATTCTTTGTAGTAAGCTGGGACAAAGAGTGTGTGTGTCAGCGTGGGGGTGAGGGGGGTTGGGGGGGCAGGTGGTTCTTAACCATCTCAGTTTTCCAGAAGTGTAGGACTTACACAGAGTTCAATGTTATGAAAACAGGAGAAAGACTATTCCACCAGCTGAGACACTCTGAAGAGAGCGCCATGTGCTTGGTCACATGTTTATCTGCTTATCTCTCCTTCAAATCATTGTGGTCCAGTGAGAGGAGGTGCTGTGAATAATTCAGCTTGTGTTATGCCCACTCCTATTGTTAGCATAGTAGAGAGAAGGGGGCCCGGGAAGATCAAGAAAAATCACCACCACAGTGGGCAAACTGTCAGAATTTAATTCCAGTGGAACTTAATTTGAAAACTTTTTCTTTTTCTTTCTTTTTTTTTTTTTTTTTGAGACAGAGTTTTGCTCCTGTTGCCCAGGCTGGAGTGCAATGGCATGATCTCAGCTCACCGCAACCTCCACCTCCCGGGTTCAAGTGATTCTCCTGCCTCAGCCTCCCAAGTAGCTGGGATTACAGGCATGCATCACCACGCCCGGCTAATTTTTTGTATTTTTAGTAGAGACGGGGTTTCTCCATGTTGGTCAGGCTGGTCTCGAACTCCTGACCTCAGGTGATCCGCCTGCCTTGGCCTCCCAAAGTTCTGAGATTACAGGTGTGAGCCACCATGCCTGGCCGAAAACTTTTTCTTATAGCAGAAAAAGACACAAACCTTTGTTCAAAATTAGATACAAAAATAGATAAAATTAGATAGTGGCACTGTAATGATGCTCCTAAGTTACCATGAATCTTTTTCTTGACCTTTAGACAGTCCAAGAAGTCTCACGTGACATCCCACGTTTCCTTCCTCATTCAAATCGCCCCTCCCTCTTTCAAATCTCAATTCTATAAAATTGAGATGGCAAGGCCAGGCGTGGTGGTTCACGCTTGTAATCCCAGCACTTTGGGAGGCCGAGGCAGGCAGATTACCTGAGGAGGCGGGCGGATCACCTGAGGTCGGGAGTTAGAGACCAGCCTGACCAACACGGAGAAATCCTGTCTCCACTAAAAATACAAAATTAGCCGGGGGTGGTGGCACATGCCTGTAATCCCAGATATCCAGGAGGCTGAGGCAGGAGAATCGCTTGAACCTGGGAGGCGGAGGTTGTGGTGAGCCGAGATCATGCCATTGCAATCCAGCCTGGGTAACAACAGCAAAACTCCGTCTCAAAAAAAAAAAAAAAAAATGAGACGGCAAATGTTAAGAAGCGTTGGTAATATTTCAAGTTACTCTGTTTTTGACAATTCTTTTGGCGGTACTTCCTAATTTCCCATCCTACCTCAAGGTGTAATTTGGCTTAATGTGAGCTAGAGGTCACAGAAATCCCTGTTCCAGAGATCCCTGTTCCCAACACCTAAGAGCTTTAAAGCCTCAAGATATCTGAATCAGTAAGGTGGGAAAACAGCCTATTGCAATAATGCTCCAGGGAAATTGGATTCCTTGGGCCAAAATAAGCAAATATAGACAGGAAGTCTTAGAGCTTAAGAAACACAGAAGAGTTTTTAAATCCTCACCTTTCCATTCCAACCAGCGAAAATGCAAACAGGGAAAAAGAGCTCAGAAATCTCTTCTTGTGAATAATTGGATTTCCAACCAGTAGTTAATTGGGCTTAATGTAATCACAGGTTATTCAATCAGGCTGCTATTGGTGAAATCTACGTGGTTTTCTTTTTTTGACCCTTAAAATTGTAACCCAGGTGTTACCTAGGGGCTTTGTTGAACTTGGAGAACTAGGTAATCTTGGCTACAACATCTAGGGTCTAAGGTAGTTGAAAGACGACTCTATACTTTTAGTGGTTTAATTTCACGTAGGCTTCACTGTCTCTGTTCCTGCTCCAGGTCACATCTGAATAAGAGGCTGCATCTCATTTGTGGGTGCTCACTAGAAATCCCACTGCACCAAGCATCTCATGATTTTATTGAAGGCTTGTGGGCTGCAGTAAAGGGTTGTCACATGCCAGATGATGTGACCACTGTCTCTCTGGCTCTCAATGACTTTCCTCACTTCCTCTCTGATCAGGACCCCTTCCAAAATCCCACAGTCCCTACATATTGCCTTGTGAAACTCCCTGGAAAGTTATGTAAATAAGTGTCCCCTCCCCTATATAATTTAACTCAAAGCCCACCCAGGCCTATTTGGATTCCTCTGCTCACTGGTACTCTGGTACCAACTTTTCCTCTAATTACATCAACACTGTGAGATATCTTTTAGGGTATTTTTTTTTTTTTTTTTTTTTTGAGATGGAGTCTGGCTCTGTCGACCAGGCTGGAATGCAGTGGCGTGATCTCAGCTCACTGCAAGCTCCACCTCCCAGGTTCATGCCATTCTCCTGCCTCAGCCTCCCAAGTAGCTGGGACTACAGGCGACCACCACCACGCCTGGCTAATTTTTCTATTTTTAGTAGAGATGGGGTTTTACCATGTTAGCCAGGATGGTCTCGATCTCCTGACCTTGTGACCTGCCTGCCTCGGCCTCCCAAAGTGCTGGGATTGCAGGCGTGAGCCATGGCACCCAGCCAGGGTATTTTCTTTTTTTTAGATGGAGTCTTGCTCTGTTGCCCAGGCTGGAGTGCAGTGGTGCGATCTCCTCTCACCGCAACCTCCACCTCCCAGGTTCAAGAAATTCTTCTGCCTTAGCCTCCCAAGTAGCTAGGATTACAGGCACGTGTCACCATGCCTGGCTAATTTTTGTATTATTAATAGAGATGGGGTTTCACCATGTTGCCAGGCTGGTCTTGAACTCCTGACCTCAAGTGATCCACCCGCCTCAGCCTCCCAAAGTGCTGGGATTACAGGCATGAGCCACCACGCCTGGCCATTTTAGTGTATCTTTCTAGTTCCTGATGATAGTTCTCTAAAAACTGGATGTTGGTGACCCTGTACCCCTAGCCACACTTGACTGAACTAGTTTGACTGATCTGAGCTGGGTCAATCAAGTCCTCTTACCTGAGAATTTTATGTTAGAACTAACGGTCTTTACTTTTCATCCCTGTGTAGGGCTGGTCCTGAAGCATGTATATTCAGAGCTGAGGGGCAGCCAGTGTCTGGAGAGAGAGAAATCTGGTCTACAGAGAAAGAAGGCTGAGGCAGGTGGATCACTTGAAGTCCGGAGTTCAAGACCAGCCTGGTTAAAATGGTAAAACCCTGTCTCTATTAAAAATACAGGGCCAGGCGTGGTAGCTCATACCTGTAATCCCAGCACTTCGGGAGGCCAAGGCGGGCAGATCATGAGGTCAGAAGTTCGAGATCAGCCTGGCCAGCATGGTGAAACCCTGTTTCTACTAAAAATACAAAAAATTAGCCAGGCATCATGGCACATGCTTGTAGTCTCAGCTACTTGGGAGGCTGAGTCAGGAGAATTGCCTGAACCCAGCAGGCGGAGGTTGCAGTAAGCTGAGATTGCGCCACTGCACTCCAGTCTGGGCAACAGAGTGAGACTCCACCTCAAAAAAAAAAAAAAAAAAAAAAAAAAAATTAGCCGAGCATGTTTGCACATGCCTGTAGTCCCAGCTACTTAGGAGCCTGAGGTGGGAGGATCTCTTGAACCCAGGAGGTGGAGATTGCAGTGAGCTGAAATGGCACCACTGCACTCCAGCCTGGGTGACAGAGCGAGACTCTGTCTCCAAAAATAATAATAATAAATAAATAAAAATAAATGTTTTTTGTAGAGACAGGGTCTCACTATATTGCCCAGGCTGGTCTCAAACTCCGGGGCTCAAGTGATCTGCCCACCCAGACCTTCCAAAGTGCTGGGATTACAGGTGTGAGCCACCGTGTCCGGCAACCATCACTACTACCTGTTTCCAGAACTTTTTCATTATCCCAAATAGAAACTCTGTATTCACTTAAAAATGATTCCCCAATCTGGCTGGGCACAGTGGCTCATGCCTGTAATCCTAGCACTTTGGGAGGCCGAGGCTGGCAGATCACAAGGTCAGGAGTTGGAGACCAGCCTGACCAACATAGTGAAACCCCATCTCTACTTAAAATACAAAAATTAGCTGGGCATGGTAGTGGGCGCCTGTAATCCCAGCTACTCAGGAGGCTGAGGCAGGATAATTGCTTGAACCTGGGAGGCGGAGGTTGCAGTGAGCCAAGATGGTGCCACTGCACTCCAGCCTGGGTGACAGAGCAAGACTCTGTCTCAAAACAAACAAAAACCCCATCCATTCTGCTTAGCCCCTGGTAACCTCTATTTTACATTCTGTCTCTGTGAGTTTGCTTATTCTAGGTACCTTATATAAGTGTAATCATATCCTATTTGTCCTTTTGGGTCTGGCTTATTTCACTTAGCATAATAATTTCAAAGTTCAGCCAGGTGGTGGTTCACACCCGTAATCCCAGCACTTTGGCAGGCCAAGGCAGGTGGACTGCTTGAGCCCAGGAGTTTGAGACCAGCCTAGGCAACATGGCAAAACCCTGTCTCTACAAAAAATATAAAAATTAGCGAAGTGTGGTGGCATAAGCCTGTAGTCCCAGCTACTCAGGAGGCTGAGATGGGAGGATCACTTGAGCCTGGGAGGTGGAGGTCTCAGCAAGCTGAGATTGTGCCACTGCACTCCAGCCTGGGTGACACAGTGAGACCCTATCTCAAAAAAACAAACAAACAAAAAAACAAAATAATGTTTTCAAGGTTTATTCATGTTCTAGCATTTATCTGGATTTCATTCCTTTTTATAGCTCAATAATGTTCCATGTATGGCTGGGCATGGTGGCTCCCACCTGTAATCTCAGCACTTTGGGAGGCCGAGGTGAGTGGATCACCTGAGGTCAGGAGTTCGAGACCAGCCTGGCCAACCAACATGGTGAAACCCCGTCTCTATTAAAAATACAAAATTAGCCGGGCGTGGTGGTGGGTGCCTGTAATTCCAGCTATTTGGGAGGCTGAGGTAGGAGAATTGCTTGAACCCAGGAGGCAGAGGCAGAGGTTGTAGTGAGCAGAGATCGTGCCATTGCACTCCAGCCTGGGCAATAAGAGCGAGACTCTGTCTCAAAAAAAAAAAAAAAAAAAAAAGAGTCTATGTATATAGCACATTTTGTTTACTCATCTGTTGAGGGACATGGGTTGCTTCCATCTTTTGGCTATTGTGAATAATGCTGCTATAAACATTGGTGCGCAAGTATCTGTTTGAGTCTTTGCTTTCAATTCCTTTGGGTATACAGGCACTTGTGAGTGGAACTGCTGGCTCATAGGTAATACTATGCTTGGCTCTTTGAGGACAAAGTATAATTTTTATTTTTTTGTTTGTATTTTATTAAGGAAATGTCTGAATCATAAAAGTATAAGTTTTAAAAAGTTATGAACATGCAAATATATAGTGAGGGTATGTCAGTGATTTATTTAACTGACTCATGAGACAGCCAGCAGGAGAACAAAGCTGATTCAATAGAGAATTCAAGAGACTCGTGAAAGAAAGAATGCTGAAGTTAGATTTCAAAATTAGATATAAAACTTGTTATTCTACAGAGCATAAAAACATACTTTTGGAGAATATTTTATCTTTTTCTTTCTTTTTTTTTGAGACGGAGTCTCACTCTGTAGTCCAAGCTGGAGTGCAGTGGCATCATCTCAGCTCACTGCAGCCTCCATCTCCCAGGCTCAAGTGATTCTTGTGTCTCAGCCTCCCAACTAGCTGGGACTATAGGCACGCACCACCATGCCTGGCTAATTTTTTGTATTTTAGTAGAGACGGGGTGTCACCATGTTGCCCAGGATGGTCTCAAGCTCCTGAGCTCAGGCTATCCACCTATCTCGGCCTCCCAAAGTTATGGGTTAACAGGCATGAGCCACTGTGCCCAGCCTTTTTTTTTTTGAGACAGAGTCTTGCTCTGTCGCCCAGGCTGGAGTGGAGTGGCACTATCTTGGCTCATTGCAACCTCCACCTCCCGGGTTTAAGCGATTCTCCTGCCTCAGCCTTCTGAGTAGCTGGGATAACAGGTGCTTGCCACCATGCCCAGCTAATTTTTATATATTTTTTTTTAGTAGAGATGGGGTTTCACCATGTTGGCCAGGCTGGTCTCGAACTCCTGACCTCAAGTGATCCCCCTGCCTTGGCCTCCCAAAATGATGGGATTACAGGCGCAAGCCACCACTCCTGGCGGGGAATATTTTTTTCTACCAGACACAAATAATTTACATCTCAGCTGGACATGGTGGGTGAGTTATGCTTATAATATTAGTACTTTGGGAGGATGCGGCAGGCGGATTCCTTGAGCCCAGGAGTTTGAGACCAGCATGGGCAAGATGAAGAAATCCTGTCTCTGCAAAAAAATAAATAAATTAATTAACCGAGCATAGTGGCATGAGCCTGTAGTCCCAGTTACTCGGGAAGATGAAGCAGGAGGATTGCTTGAGCCTGAGAGGTGGAGGCAAAAAAGAAAAGAAAAAAAAAAGAAATAATTAATATCTCTACCATACAAAAATTATTTGCTGCCAGGTGCGGTGGCTTACGCCTGTAATCCCAACACTTTGGGAGGCCGAGGCGGGTGGATCACAAGGTCAGGAGATCGAGACCATCCTGGCTAACACAGTGAAACCCCGTCTCTACTAAAAATACAAAAATTAGCTGGGTGTGGTGGCGGGCGCCTGTAGTCCCAGCTACTTGGGAGGCTGAGGCAGGAGAATGGTATGAACCCGGGACACGGAGCTTGCAGTGAGCCAAGATCGCGCCACTGCACTCCATCCAGCCTGGGTGACAGAGCGAGACTCCATCTCAAAAAAAAAAAAAAAAAGAAAAAAATTATTTTCAATTTATCAGTCTTCTATAAGTTAACATCTAATTTTATAGTCCGAGCCTTAATCAGTAGAAAACAGCAAGTCAAACAGTTACATTTTCTTTGAGAAGCACATGCCTATTAGATGGACTTATTAGACAACGATTTAGTATGATATTGAAAGGTCAAGCAAGCCAGGCGCGGTGGCTTATGCCTGTAATCCCAGCACTTTGGGAGGCCGAGGCAGATCACCTGAGGTCAGGAGTTCGAGACCAGCCTGACCAACATGGAGAAACCCCGTCTCTACTAAAAATACAAAATTAGCCGGGTGTAGTGGTGCATGCCTGTAATAACAGCTACTCGGGAGGCTGAGGCAGGAGAATCGCTTGAACCCGGGAGGCAGAAGTTGAGGTGAGCTGAGATTGCGTCATTGCACTCCAGCCTGGGCAACAAGAGCAAAACTCTGTCTCAAAAAAAAAAAAGAACTTCCATTGAAAGTCCTAGAAAAATACACTAACTTAAGGAAGTTGAAAGCAAAGCAAATGCTGAGTGATTGTGTGTGTGTGTGTGTGTGTGTGTGTGTGTGTGTGTGTGTGTGTCTAGGTGGGGAGAGATAGAATCAGCAAACCTGTGTACTCAGAGAAGGCAAATAAATGAAATCCTTGACTTCAGTGGTTCTCAAAAGAGGAGGCCTGGTTCTTTTATGTACGTTTCCCTTTAATTGCCACTTTTCTTTTTCTTTTCTTTTCTTTTCTTTTTTTTTTGAGATGGAGTCTTGCTGTGTCGCCCAGGCTGGAGTGCAGTGGCATGATTTTGGCTCACTGCAACCTCCGCCTTCCAGGTTCAAGCAATTCTCCTGTCTCAGCCTCCTGAGTAGCTGGGATTACAGGCGCCTGCCACCACGCCTGGCTAATTTTTTGTGTTTTAGTAGAGACAGGATTTCACCATCTTGCCCATGCTGGTCTCGAGCTCCTGAGCTCAGGCAATCCACCTGCCTCGGCCTCCCAAAGTGCTAGGATTACAGGCATGAGCCACCTCACCCAGCCACCATTTTTCACTCTTGCGCTTCTTAGGCCATATTCCTTGAACTGAGGCTGCACCTCCTCCTCTTCATCCTTGCATGCAGTGAGGTCTCAGGAACAGGCATGCAGGGGCCTGCCTACACTAGGAAAAGAATGGCCTGTTTCTGGGAATGATCTCCCAGAAGTTCAAGATGTGAGTTTATGGGATTTTAACTGCCAGGCAGAAGTGTTAAGAGCAGCCTTCCAAAACCAGCCAGGGACCACAGGTCTTCATTCTTTGTTTTCTGATCTGTCCCTTCCTTCTCCAATCTTCTTAATTTATCCCCTCCTCCCTAGGTCAGGCACGCAGGCATTGTCTCTCCCTATGTTACATGTGCCTGCATGCCCACACACCCACAATTGGGCTTGTAACTTTAAGTTCATAGTACCTTTGCAATCTGGCTTGCAACTTCATATTCAAAGTCCCTTTGAAGCTACTCCATGTACCCACTGAATACTGAGTTAAGATTTGACCAAATCAGACCCAAACAAATGAAGAGTAATGATGCACCTAGAGGAAAGTTTGGTTGGTCCAGGTACCCTGTATTCTATAGTTAGGCTATGGTATTCAGAGTCCTATCTTTTGATTCCTTCTTATCTTCTCATGGTGTGTGTGGGTTTTTGTTTTATTATTTTTATTTATTATTATTATTTTTGAGACGGAGTCTCACTCTGTCACCAGGCTGGAGTGCAGTGGCATGATTGTTTTATTATTTTTAGGTGGTTTCACTTCATCTCCCAGGCTGGAGTGTAGTGGCATGAACAGGGTTCACTGCAGCCTCCATCTACTGGGCTCAAGCAATCCTCCTGTCTCAGCTTCCAAAAGTGTTGGGATTGCAGGCATGAGTCACTGTGCCCAACCTCCTGGTGGTTTTGAATTAAAACAGCAACCTGATTTGGCCTATGGTAGGATCTCTAGAGGGATTCAATATGCTGCCACATAACTTTCCATTCCTTTAAAAGGGTTCTGTTATTAATGTTAAATTATTTTCGCCACTCTCCAAAAACAAGCCTACCCTAATGGATTAGATAGTGCACAGTCAGCCCCTTCAACAGAACAGTAAAGTTGGTAAGGTTTGTCTGCCTTTGCCCCTTTGAGCCTTCCTTCTTGTGCATGTGACTGTATTACATACTTCTTCCTAAACTCCCCTCATTTCTGTGGTTATCATTTGTCTTCATTCACGGGGAGATCTCAGACTGTTACTTTGTCTCCTAACCTTGGAAAGGAATTTTACTTTGAGAGAGGATGCCCTTGGAAAGAACATGAGAGAGAAGCCCTAATGGAGATATTTCAGGTACTATTCTAAAACTGCTAAAAGTGACTTTTTAATTTTATGTATGTGTGTGTGTGTGTATGTATGTATGTATGTATTGAGACGTAGTCTTGATCTGTCGCCCAGGCTGGAGTGCAGTGGCGCAATCTCGGCTCACTGCAACCTCCGCCTCCCGGGTTCAAGCGATTCTCCTGCCTCAGCCTCCTGAGTAGCTGGGACTACAGGGGCGCACCACCACTCCTGGCTAATTATTTTGTATTTTTAGTAGAGACGGGGTTTCACCATGTTAGCCAGGCTGGTCTCGAACTCCTGACCCCAGGCAATCTGCCTGCCTCGGCCTCCCACAGCGCTGGGATTGCAGGCATGAGCCACCGCGCCCGGCCAAAAGTGATCTTTTTAGTATAAGTAGGACCCTCATATATATATAAAGAAGAGTTTATTAAGTATTAACTTAAATGATCACAGGGTCCCACAATAGACTGTCTGCAAGCTGAGGAGCAAGGAGAGCCAGTCCGAGTCCCAAAACTGAGGAACCTGGAGTCCGATGTTTGAGGGCAGGAAGCATCCAGCACAGGAGAAAGATGTAGGCTGGGAAGCTAGGCCCCTCTCATCACTTCATGTTTTTCTGCCTGCTTTATATTCACTGGTGGCTGATTAGATGGCGCCCACCATCTAATTCCCAGCCTGCCCACCATCTACTTCCCTAGCCCACTGACTCAAATGTTAATCTTCCCAGGCAACACTCTCACAGACACTCAGGATCAATATTGCACCCTTCAATCCAATCAAGTTGACGCTCAGTATTAACCATCACACTGATCCTTTATCAAATTGCAAATATTCACACTCTGGGCAGGGCGAGGTGGCTCACACCTGTAATCCCAGCACTTTGGGAAGCTGAGGTGGGTGGATCACCTGAGGTCAGGGGTTCGAGACCAGCCTGGCCAAAATGGTGAAAACCCATCTTTATTAAAAATACAAACAAATTAGCTGGGTGTGGTAGTGAGCGCTTGTAGTCCCAGCTACTTGGGAGGCTGAGGAAGGAGAATCGCTTGAACCCGGGAGGCGGAGGTTGCAGTAAGCTGAGATCATGCCATTGCACTCAAGCCTGGGAAACAGAGTGAGACTCTGTCTCAAAAAAAAAAAAAAAAGTTTTGTAAGTTGCAGGAATGAGATGGCAGCTGCTATTACTGCAGTACAGTTCCCTGTAGGGGCCTCTATACTTAGGGACAGGACAGGGACAGGCCAGGCTAGAGCAGAGCTGGGCTGAGGAGGAGTCATGTTGGGCATCAGCAGACTAGGCCAATAGGGAGGACTTGGGGGTGGAGTTGGAACGTTAGCTGCCAGAGGTGGAAAAAAACCTAGTCTGGGGCTAGGTGAGGAGTGTTGGAGCCAGTGAAAATGTGAGTCATGTCAGGAAAATCACTGGTGATCAAGGGGCCTAGACGGAAGGTTTAAAATTTCAGAATGTCAGCTTATATGGCCCAGAGAAATCTGTGCAGTGTTCCCCCAGCACTTTTTTTTTTTTTTTTTTTTTTTTTTTGAGACGGCGTCTCGCTCTGTCGCCCAGGCTGGAGTGCAGTGGCAGGATCTCGGCTCACTGTAAGCTCCGCCTCCTGGGTTCATGCCATCTCCTGCCTCAGCCTCCCGAGTAGCTGGGATTACAGGTGCCCGCCACCACACCTGGCTAATTTTTTTGTATTTTTAGGAGAGACAGGGTTTCACCATGTTAGCTAGTATGGTCTCAATCTCCTGACCTCGTGATCTGCCCGCCTCGGCCTCCCAAAGTGCTGGGATTACAGGCGTGAGCCACTGAACCCAGCCTCCCCCAGCATTTAAAAGTTACAAAGAGGGAAAGCACTGGGACTACTAATGACGCTGCAAGCCATATACATTAAGTGAACCAGCCTGAATAAGGACAAAAAAATAGGGCTTAAGAGAAAAGGCCACTGGATGAGATCATAGTGCTGTTATGTAAGCCGACAGTTTGATAGCCAGAGTGGAGTAAAGACCCTGGGATTTTAGCCAATTTGGAGTTAGAAGTGAATTGTGAGGCCGGGAGCGGTGGCTCATTCCTGTAATCCCAGCACTTTGGGAGGCCGAGGTGAGTGGATCACGAGGTCAGGAGACCCAGACAATCCGGGCCAACATGGTGAAACCCCGTCTCTATTAAAAATACAAAAATTAGCTGGGCGTGGTGGCGCGTGCCTGTAATCCCAGCTACTCAGGAGGCTGAGGCAGGAGAATCACTTGAACCAGGGAGTCAGAGGTTGCAGTGAGCCAAGATCGTGCCACTGCACTCCAGCCTGGCAACACAGTGAGACTGCATCTCAAAAAAAAAAAAAAAAAGAGAAGTGAACTGTGATGGTAGTTTTTGTATCAAAAGAGCATTATGGGCCTGGCATGGTGGCTCATGCCTGTAATTCCAGCACTTTGGGAGGCCAAGGTGGGAGGATCACTTGAACATAGGAGTTCAAGTCCAGTCTGGGCAACAAAGAGAGACCCCCATATACACAAATAATTACAAAATTAGCTGGGTGTGGTGGCATGCACTTGTGGCCTGACTACTCAGGAGGCTGAAGCAGGAGGACGGCCTGAGCCAGGGAGGTTGAAGTTGCAGTGTACCATGATCAAGCCATTGCACTCCAGCCTGGGCCACAGAATGAGACCCTGTGTCAAATAAAAAAGCGTTATGCTTAGAAAAATGCTTGAGTGGCCATGCGAGGTGGCTCAGGCCTGTAATCCCAACACTTTGGGAGGCCAAGGTGGGTGGATCACTTCAGGTCAAGAGTTTGAGTCCAGCCTGGCAAAATAGTGAAACCCTGTCTCTACTAAAAATACAAAAATTGGCCAGGTGCAGTGACTCACGTCTGTAATCCCAGCACTTTGGGAGGCCAAGGTGGGTGGATCACCTTAGGTCAGGAGTTTGAGACCAGCCTGACCAACAAGGAGAAACCCTGTCTCTACCAAAAATACAAAATTAGCCGGGTGTGGTGGTGCATGTCTCTAATCCCAGCTACTCGGGAGGTTGAGGCAGGAAAATCGCTTGAACCTTGGAGGCAGAGGTTGCGGTGAGCTGAGATTGTGCCATTGCACTCCAGCCTGGGCAACAAGAGTGAGAGTCCGTCTCAAACCCCCCCCCCAAAAAAATTAGCTGGGCATGGTGGTGGGCATCTGTAATCCCAGCTACCTGGAAGGCTGAGGCAGGGGGAATCGCTTGAACCCAGGAGGTAGAGGTTGCAGTGAGCGGAGATCACGCCACTGCACTCCAGCCTGGGCAACAGAGTGAGACTCCAACTAAAAAAAAAAAGCTTGAGTAAAAAAAGCAGAAGACTAAACTATGTTCTCCCAGTATTTTTAACCCGGTATTTCTCTTTTTTCTTTTTTTTGTTTGAGAAGTCTTGTTCTGTTGCCCAGGCTGGAGTGCAGTGGCACGATCTCGGCTCACTGCAGCCTCTGCCTCCTGGGTTCAAGCAATTCTTCTGCCTCAGCCTCCTGAGCAGCTAGGACTACAGGCGCGCAGTGTTACACCCGGCTAATTTTTGTATTCTTCATAGAGATGGGGTTACACCATGTCGGCCAGGATGGTCTTGATCTCTTGACCTTGTGATCTGCCCTCCTCGGCCTCCCAAAGTTCTGGGATTACAGGCGTGAGCCACTGTGCCCAGCCATTAATCTGGTAGTTGTGTTTTTTTTTTTTTTTTTTGACAGAGTCTTGCTCTGTGTTTCAGGCTGGAGTGCAGTGGTGCGATCTCAGCTCACTGCAATCTCTTCTTCCCGGGTTCAAGTGATTCTCCTGCCTCAGCCTCCTGGGTTGCTGGGGTTATAGGTGTGTGCCACCACGCCTAATTTTTGTATTTCTGGTAGAGAAGGGGTTTCACCATATTGGTCAGGCTGGTCTCGAACTCCTGACCTCGTGATCTGCCCACCTCGGCCCCCCAAAGTGCTGGGATTACAGGCGTGAGCCACTGCCCCCAGCCCCCAGTATTTCTTATATTTCTATTTATGATTATACAAAGTTAAAGAGGTTTCCCACAGGACTTCTCAGAACCTTAAACATGGTAACATTAACCTATCGATATCTCCTAGAACAAACGCTGTCCTGTGAAACACAGTTTGGGAGGCCGAGGTGGGAGAACTGCTTGAGGCCAGGAATTCAAGACCTGTCTGAGCAATGTAGTGAGACCCCCATTCATTTCATTCTTTCTTTCTTTCCTTCCTCTTTTTTTTTTTCCCCAGAGTCTTGCTCTGTCGCCCAGTTTGGAGTGCAGTGGCGTGATCTCAGCTCACTGCAAGCTCCGCCTCCCAGATTCATGCCATTCTCCTGCATCAGCCTTCTGAGTAGCTAGGACTACATGCACCCGCCACCATGCCTGGCTAATTTTTTGTATTTTTAGTAGAGACAGGGTTTCACTGTGTTAGCCAGGATGGTCTCGATCTCCTGACCTTGTGATCTGCCCACCTGGGCCTCTCAAAGTGCTGGGATTAGAGGCATGAGCCACTGCGCCCGGCCTCTTTTTTTTTTTCTTTCTTTCCTTCCTTCCTACTTCTCTTTCTTTCTTCCATTTTTCCTTTCTCTCTCTCTCTTTCTTTCTTTGAGACAGAGTCTCTTTCTCTCACCTACGGTTGGAGTGCTGTGGTACCATCTCAGTTCACTGCAACCTCTGCAACCTCCACCTCCTGGGCTCAAGGGGTTCTCCTGCCCCTGCCTCCTGAGTAGCTGGGATTACAGATGCGTGATATCAGGCCCAGCTAATTTTTCTATTTTTAGTAGAGAAGGGGTTTCACCATGTTGGTCAGGCTGGTCTTGAACTCCCAACTTCAGGTGATCCACCTGCCTAAGCCTCCCAAAGTGCTGATGAGAGGTGACAACGTGCTAGCAGCCCTCGCTCGCTCTTGGCGCCTCCTCAGCCTGGCGTCCACTCTGGCCATGCTCGAGGAGCCCTTCAGCCCGCCCCTGCGCTGTGGGGGCCCCTCTCTGGGGCTGGCCGAGGCTGGAGCAGGCTCCCACTGCTCGAGGGGAGGTGTGGAGGGAGAAGCACAGGCAGGAGCCGGGGCTGCCCGCAGCACTAGTGGCCTGGTGTGGGATCCGGGTGGGAGTGGGTTTCGCGTGGGCGAGGGCTCAGTGGCCTGCACTCAGCGCTGCCGACTGGTGCCTGCTGGGCTTGATGGGGGGATGAACTCCCTCTGGGCTGCTGGAGTGCCCCGGCTAGATGCCACAAAGTCCCATGGTGAGTGCCATTGAGAGGTGAAGCCGGCTGCGCTTCTGGGTCTGGTGGGGACTTGGAGAACTTTTCTGTCCAGCTAAAGGACTGTAAACGCACCAATCAGAACTCTATGTCTAGCTAAAGGTTTGTAAACGCACCAATCAGCACTCTGTGTCTAGCTGGAGGTTTGTAAATGCACCAATCTGCACTCTGTGTCTAGCTAATCAGGTAGGGTACTTGGAGAACTTTTGTGTCTAGCTAAAGGATTGTAAATGCACCAATCAGCACTCTGTGTCTAGCTAAAGGTTTGTAAAGACACCAATCAGCACTCGGTCAAAACGGACCAGTCAGCTCTCTGTAAAATGGACCAATTGGCACTCTGTAAAATGGACCAATCAGCAGGATGTGGGTGGGGCCAGATAAAGGAATAAAAGCAGGCTGCGTGCCCCCCACCTTCCCCAACAACCAGCAGCGCAACCTGGTCAGGTCCCCTTCCACACTGTGAAAGTTTTGTTCTTTTGCTCTTCACAATAGATCTTGCTGCTGCTCACTCTTTGAGACTGCGCTGCCTTTAAAAGCTATAACACTCACTGCAAAGTTCTACAGCTTCACTCCCGAAGTCAGCGTAGAACACGAACCCACCAGAAGGAAGAAACTTCAGACACGTCCGAACAGCAGAAGGAACAAACTCTGGACACACCATCTTTAAGAAATGTAACACCGCGAGGGTCTGCAGCTTCATTCTTGAAGTTAGGGAGACCAAGAACCTACCAATTCTGGACACACTGGGATTACAGGCATGAGCCACTGTGCCTGGCTAAGAGATCCTCATTTTTACAAAAAAATGAAAAAATGAGTTGTATGTGGCAGCACATGCCTGTAGTCCTAGCTACTCAGGAGGCTGAGGTGGGAGGATTGTTTGAGCCCAGGCTGCAGTGAGCTATGAACGTGACACTGCACTCCAGTCTGGGTGACAGAAAGCGATCATCTAAAAGAAGAAATAGAGAAGCAGTGTAGTTGTGAGAAAATTGTGTGACCTTGAACAAGTACCTTAACCTTATCAGGTCTCTATAAAATAGGAAAAATATCACCTACCTGATGGGCTTGCTATGACGAGTAAAGGAATTATATTGGTATCAATACAGTGTCTGGCGTAATGCTAGCATATGCTGTAGGAATGCCAGAGACATGGTAATTACCATTATTATTGAGTTATTGGAGTTTTGGTGTTTAAGAAAGGGTTGTTGCTTTGACTAAAAGCATTGCTCCACTCACTGTAAGATCAGGGAAGTCAGAAAATCACCATTATCTGAGCAGGTAGTTTCCTTGTGAAGCAAAAAATTGCAGAAGCTGCTCCAGAGCGTAGGGCAGGATTCCACTGGACACTTGTCAGGGAGAAATATGAGTCCCCAGCTGATGGAGAACCTTTTGTCTTTTGTTGGGCAGCCTATGAACACTGTATATTTAAAAACAAACACTTCTGTGATTGCTTAGGACTAAATTTAATCGTTGTATTTGAGAGTGGCATTTAACAACTTCCTGCTTTTAAAATACTTAAATACCTAAGATACTCTGCCAAATGGAAAGAATTTGTTCTCCGAACACAGTGCCTCCAACATTAAATATTCTGGACACTTCGTTGGTTCGCAACTGTGATACTTGGAAACTTGCCACGTTAGATTCTTCAGGATTCTAAAATAACCTTTTCCTGACTTCATTTATTTAAATATCCCAGAATAATCTCTTAAGCTATAAGTTTGATGATCCAGGAAACTATTTATAGGAGGATGAGTACTCTCTGTGACTGATGGTAGTTATGTTTTATTTTGAGAAGGACAAATCATTAAAAAGATTGATAGGGCTGGTGGTATTTTAAACTGAAAGCAGTACCAAGGCAAACAAGGCAGTTGAGGTATGAAGTTGGAACATAATAAGATATGGGTGTAATTTTCATCAACTTAGCTAAGACCTAGGGAGGTCTTCCAATAGAAGGAAGGCAGAAACAGGCAGTAACACAGACAGTGATCTTTTAGGTCCACTGGACACTTTAGCTTAGGCAGCTCGGGTTGTTTGCTCAGTGATTAACAACTGAGATAAACAGATGGAGACAGGACTCTGTCATAATTAAGGTCAACAGTGTGCTTGGTATTATTGATATTGCCCCTAGGTAGGAGAAAAACAGAGGAAGGAAGGTCAAGGTCAACCTAACTTAAAAAAACTTTAAAAAATTGTGGTGAAATATACATAAAATTTACCATTTTCATCATTTTTAAATGTACAAATCTGTCACTGATCATGCACATTGTTATGCAACTACCACCAGCATCTATCTCCAGAACTTTCTCATCTTCCCAAACTGAAACTCTGTATCCCTTAACTCTCCATTTCACTCTACTTGTGAAACCGCTTTTCTGTCTTTATGTAGTTTATTGTAGGTGCCTGATACAAGTGGAATCATATTAAATTTTGAATATAAAATTAAAAATTAAAAAAAATTAATTTTGATTTGTTTGGCTTTCCACTTAGCGTATTTTCAAGGTTCATTCATGCTGTAGCATTTATCAGACTTTCATTCCTTTGTCTTTTCAAAGCTGTATAATGTACTGTTACGCGTATACACTAAATTTAGAAAACTCATTCATCTGTCAATGGACATGTGGATTGTTTCCTCCTTTTAGCTACCGTGAATAAACTACTATGAACATGGGTATACAATGTACAAATATGTCCCTGCTCTCGTTTTTCCAAAGGCTGTTCCTGGCTGCCTCTACTCTTTTTATTCCCAGTACCCTTTTACAGGTAGCACCTGGTACTTGTCTTTGAAGAATTAACAGGTTTTAGTTAGGCAAAATGTGAGAACAGTGTGGCCATTTGCAAGTTTTAATGGTAATCAACCCGGGTTTGGGGTTGCTCCTATAGAGTGAAGTACCTCCGGAGGTGGCAGGAAATGCAGGTATTTAAAGGGAAGGGCATACCAGGGCAATGTAATTTCTTCTTTGCTCATTCACTTTTAAAATGGCTGAAGGGCAGGTACTCTAGCCTTGAGACCTTCAACTCATGATGTACCCTCCAGCAACGGAGAATTTCTTTTTAGTCCTTAAACTATGGTCTCTATTGCTAGTTTTCCAAACTTGAACACAGCCTTTTCCTTTTCTGGGAAGTTGTCCTAGTCTCCACCATTCTGTGCATATAGCACTCGCCATTCTGTACTGGGGTCACCTTTACTTGTTTAGCCACCCTCATGATGGGGATGATCCAGGTTTTGCAGAGGTGAAACTTATATACCATTGGGGGGCCCTACAAATACACAAAACAAATAATTAAAACGACAAATCACAACACATTACTAGAGACTTGGAGATTCAGATTCTCCTTAGATCTCTCTGGGTAATTTATTAGAAATGCTTACATAGATTTGCTTCCTAATCTCAAGCTGGCTTCCCCTCTCCACAACTCAGCAACTATCTATTCTCCCAGGAGGCCATACAAGCGAGGGGCCCTGAAGCTTAACATTTATTAACTTCATGTAAAGGTCTGAGCGGACCTTTCAGGCCAGGCAGCGTGTCACTTGCCTGTGTTCCTTGTTAGGGCCTACCACCGGGTAGGTGCTTGGAATGTGCTGTGGATTAAAGGCTTAAATCCTGCGGGCCCCTCAATCTGATCTAAGGACATGAGTGGCTTAGAGAACGGCGCAACAAGGCTAAGCGAAAGAAAACAAAGCGGTGTGGCTGGGAGTGGGCTCCTTCCCTCCGCTGGTGAGGGTGCGATCTTAGACTCTTGAGAGAACCCGACATAAAGGCCGCGTTCCAATGGCGGCCTTCTCCCCTACCGGCCAACCTGCCCCGAAAAGAGCAGAAGGCACCCTGCGGGATCTGCAGATCAGCTTGCGTCTCATTCTGGGGCACCGACACGGTGGAATGCAAGACACCCCACTACCGGAAGTTTCTTTGATGTTAAGAAAAACGGCGGAAGTAGGCCGCAGCGCTTCCTCAGTATAGTGCCTCGAGCTGGCTCGCCTACTTTCTACGGTAAAGGGAGGTGCTCCACATCTCTATGCAGCTGTGCAGCGCCGCAGGTTCCATGCGCAGGCTCGGTTGGCTAAATGCGCTTTCCAGCCATCTTTCAGCCACCCAGTCCTTTCCCAGGTTCTCGAGCCAGGACGTGACGTATTCAGACGTACTGGGGGCGGGGCCTCAAGGGGAAAAGCGCCTGAGCCGGGATATCGCGAGAACATCCCGTTCTTTCGTAGCTCTGGTGCTGCGGCTCCGCTCTCGTCGCAACGAGATCTTTCGAGATCTTCTCCGCCCCCGCTACCGGCGCCTCCTCTGCGGCCACTGAGCCGGAGCCGGCCTGAGCAGCGCTCTCGGTTGCAGTACCCACTGGAAGGACTTAGGCGCTCGCGTGGACACCGCAAGCCCCTCAGTAGCCTCGGCCCAAGAGGCCTGCTTTCCACTCGCTAGCCCCGCCGGGGGTCCGTGTCCTGTCTCGGTGGCCGGACCCGGGCCCGAGCCCGAGCAGTAGCCGGCGCCATGTCGGTGGTGGGCATAGACCTGGGCTTCCAGAGCTGCTACGTCGCTGTGGCCCGCGCCGGCGGCATCGAGACTATCGCTAATGAGTATAGCGACCGCTGCACGCCGTAAGTGTGGGCCGGGCCTGCCGCGTGCACTGGGGTTAGGAGATAATGCTTGTTCCAGTCTGGGACCCTCGCTGCTTGGGGAACGCGGGCCGAGGAGTCGCCTCCGTTCCGAGCCGAGGTCCCGGTAGGTCAGGGACCCCCAGTAGGTATTAGGACACTAGGGGCCGCGGCCCACTATGAGCGTGGGTGTGTGCTAAGCGCGAGGGCCTTTTCCCCGGTGGCCCGTCGGCCGAAGAAAGGCTTCTGGCCGGTACTCGGACCAGCGGAGGGCACGGGTAGGAACTGGAAGGACTGCAGGCCTAGGATGTAAACGGATCGCGGTCCTTTTCTTGAGGGCAGAGACCAGGCCCAGGTCGTACTGAGTCTTTTGAGTCCAACAGAAAGCTCAGAACTTTGCACACAGCAGGCGCTTAATAATAGTTGAATCGAACGGGTTCTGGGGCTTGCCAGCCGCGAGACCGTGGAGCGGTCAGCGTCCCACGTGAGTGGGGGCGGGGCAGCGCCCGGAAGAGAGCGAGCTGGAGCAGCCTCAGGCACGGGTTCCGGATGGACTCGGGGTCTTGAGATTGGGTTGGCACGGATAGGAATTTAATAAAATCGGTGCTCTTATGATAACTTTGCAATCGCTTTTGTTTTCCACATTATTTCGGGATATTGTGCTATATTGGGTCACTCTCTGTTTTGTGCGCGTTAACCCCTCAATAGGGTTGCACTTTAACGATAATGCATTCTAACCAGTGTGTTGGCCACAATTGTTAGTGGCTCAAGGGCCCGCCTTGACTTCTAGAACCCATAGTAAGTTTTGGGACCAGCATAGACACAGTTCTAAAAAATGGTGGGTCACTCAGGTCTTTCACTGGTTACAGTGTCTGCCTTTTGAATACTTGTAGATACATTTTAATCCGTTGTCGTGTTCTTAGACAAAATCTTGTAAGAAGTTCTGTATTATTTGCCATTCAGGGTCTCTCTTCTTTTTTTTTTTTTTTTTTTCTTTTTTGAGACAGACAGGGTCTCACTCTGGCTGCCCAGGCTGGAGTGCAGTGGTGCGATCTTGGTTCACTGCAGCCTCGACCTCCCTGGCTCCTGGCTCAGGTGATTCTCCCACCTCAGCCTCCTGAGTAGCTGGCGTTGCAGGCGTGCGCCACCATGCTTGGCTAATTTTATTTATTTTTAGTAGAAATCGGGTTTCACTATGTCACTCAGGATGGTCTCGAACTTCTGGACTCAAGCAGTCCTCCAGCCTCGGCCTTCTGGAGTACTGGGCTTACAGGCATGAACCACCGTGCCCTGCCCAGGGGCTCACTTGTTATTGATTGATTGAGATGGAGTCTCGCTCTGTCGCCCCAGGCTGGAGTGCAGTGGCATGCTCTCGGCTCATTGCAACCTCGGCCTCTGGGGTTCATGCGATTCTCCTGCCTCAGTCTCCTGAGGAGCTGGGATTACAGGCGCGTGCTACCATGCCCGGCTAAATTTTGTATTTTTAGTAGAGACGGGGTGTTGTCGAGTTGCCCAGGCTGGTCTCGAACTCCTGACCTCAAGTGATCCTCCCGCCTCGGCCTCCCAAAGTGCTAGGATTACAGGCGTGAGTCACGGTGCCCGGCCCCAGGGGCTCAATTCTAAGGTCCATTATTTTCACCCTCAATTTTTGTCACATTTCTTCAGCAGGTTTCAGCGAAACTAGATTGTTCAGAAGTCTCACATTTCCTTTCCACTTGTCAAATTTCCGCACCCCCCACCTCCTAACCCAGGTGCTTCCCCTGAAAACTCATCCCAGAAGCCAAAACGGTAGTTTGCTGTCCCTTTGCTGAGTTTAGTCTTGTTAACAGCCCTATTAAGGTTTATTTATTTATTTATTTATTTTGAGAAAAGGAGTCTTACTCTGTTCCCTACGCTGGAGTGCAGTGGCGTAATCTCGGCTCACTGCAGCCTCCGCCTCCTGGGTTCAAGCGATTCTCCTGCGTCAGCCTCCCGAGTAGCTGGGATTACAGGTGTGCGCCACCACGCCTGGCTAATTTTTGTCTTTTTTAGTAGAGACAGGGTTTCACCATGTTGGCCAGGGTGGGCTCGAACTCTTGACCTCAAGTGATCTGCCTGCCTCGGCTTTCCAAAGTGCTGGGTTTACAGGAGTGAGCCACCGCACCTGGCACAGCTTTATTAAGGTTTAATTCATATACTATACAATTTAACCAGATGAAGTGATCGTTTTTAGTGTAGTCACAAAACAGTGCAACCATTACTGTAATCAATTTTAGAACATTTTTATCACTCCCCCAAAGCCCTGTGCCCTTTAGCAGTTTATTTTCCCTATTTGTACTTTTTAACAATGGGTAGTCTAACTTGGCATCTCCAGGGAAGTGTATTGTGCCCTGAAGTTTTTTTTTAAGCATTAAAGTTTGTTTTTAAGCATTTTAGTATTTGAGAATATCTTTGTATCCGTGTTTTCTTGGTCTATAAAATGTCTCCCCTAAGGAACTGAAAAGGCTAAAGCGCTGAGTTAATGTATTTAGTGTTTTGGTCCTTTCCTGCCCTGTGATTGAACACGCTTTAGTTCCAAAGGGCGCACAGGAAGAGAATCCCAAGTATGGGGAAGAACAGTGTTCCTATCCTTTCTTTTAGATTATTATCACATGCTCCTGTTTTTCTTTTAGAAAGACAATAGCTACAACAATTATACCATGAATTCTATTTGAAACTGAGTTGTTGCAGATAAAAAATTTGCCTCAAAGACATTGTGATATATATGACCCCATACACCACGGAATTGTGATAAGAAAATTCCATTTAAATAATTTTCCTTACATGTTTTCTTTATATTTTCCTTCATAGTTTTCATTAACTTACAGGCATGCCATACATTTCAAGTGATTTCTGAACTGTATGATTTTGATTCACTTTGATTACTCTGTTTTGGAGTCTTGGGCTAAATAGAAAATGGTAGCAGGAAGGTTGATTTTTTTTTTTTTTTTTTTTTTTTTTTTTTTGGTAGCGGTTATGGAGGAATGGATTTGGAGCTCATATGTAAAAAAGACTGCATGTTGTGGGTTTGTTTTAACATGAGAGTGGAAATGAGATGCAAGTCTTAGAGGGTTTATGATGGTGGAAGTACCTCGTTTCAGATATGGGTGTAACAATCTGGATTAGGTTTTTGAGGAGCCAGTGGAGTCTCATCCAGAAGAGACCCTTGATTTTCCACCCAATTTAGGCTTCCTTCATTTTATCAGATGTTGAGTGCCTCTGATGTGGTAGCCATTTTTCTAAGCACTGGAGGTACTGTGGTGAACAAATAAGGTCATGCCATTATGGACATGGCTGGTGGATTAAACCAAATACTAAACAAAAATATGTAGTAATTACTAACTGTGGTAAAGGGCAAGGTGGAAAAGTACAGAATACAGTGAGAGTATAGAATAAGCGGGTCTAATTTAAATTGGATGGAAGGACCTGGCACGATAGCTCATGCCTGTAATCCCAGCACTCTGGGAGGCTGAGGTAGGAGGATCGCTTGAGGTCAGGAGTTCGCAACCAGCCTGGCCAACATGCTGGAACCCTGTCTCTACTAAAAATACAAAAATTAGCTGGGTGTGGTGGCGGGCGCCTGTGGTCCCAGCTACTCTGGAGGCTGAGGCAGAAGAATCGCTTGAACCTGGTAGGTGGAGGTTGCAGTGAACCGAGATCATGCACTGCACTCCAACCTAGGTGACAGAGCGAGACTCTGTCTCAAAAATAAGTTGGGTAGAAGGTGCTTTGAAAGAAGTACCATCTGAGACCTGAGGATGAGTAGGATTTTACCTTGGAGGTCACAGTAGGTTTGAGGAAGAGTTGTTCCAGGCAGAAGGAACAGCAAGTGGGAAAGACCTGAGCAAGAAGAGCTGCATCCTTGATACATTGAAGAGCAGCCACGACTCTTTCAGCTGCTTGAGAGAATGCTGTGAGATGAATCTGAGGAATTAGGCAGAGCCTTGTAAATAATAATAATGATTTTTACCTAGGTGCAGTGGGAAGATTATTTTTTGACACGGAGTCTGGCTCTGTCACCCAGGCTGGAGTGCATTGTTGCGGTCATGTGCATACATGCGGCTAATTTTTGTATTTTTAGGTAGACGTGGTTTCGCCATGTTGGCCAGGATGGTCTCAAACTCCTGGTCTCAAGTGATCCGCCCGCCTTGACCTCCCAAAGTGCTGGGAATACAGGCGTGAGCCACCGCGCCCGGCCTGTAAAATTCTTTATTATGGCTCTAACACGTTTTCTTCAAACAGGTTATTTCTAACTTTTTGCTGTTACAAATAGTTCTTCAATAAGTAGCCTTACATATTTATGTTGTAATGTTAATGCTTTTATTTTTATTGTATAGATTTCCAGAGGTGAATTTGCTAGGGTAAGGGATATACTGTATATACTTAAAGTTTCAGTAATATTGCCAGAATTCTTTACACAAATATAACAGATTAATTTGCAGTAGGAACAGATGTGATTTCTCTACTTCATTGGAGATTATGAGAATTATAATGAGTTAAAACTATAACTTATACCTTTTTTTTTGCCATAGTGCTCAGAATAATGCCTGGGATTCAGTAAATACTGCCAAAGTATTTGCTAATAATACTATTACTTTTTGTATTTTTTATTAATTTTTTATGAGATTAGGACAGTAAGATGAAATCTATGGAAGTTTACCTTTTGGGTTCTACAACTGTGTACTTTTAAAGTGCAAAGGTTAATTACTGAGGAATTTGCTGTGTTTTTAGGAACAGCAAATCTCAAAAGTATGAGTTGTTTGGTCTGTTGGGTATCAGCTCTTTTTGGTACTTTCTAGTCCATGGCTAATGCAGTAACCAGAGAGTACTCTGATTAATGTCTCTATTTCCATTCTAGTTTTGCCTATCAGTTGTATGTGATAGTCTAATTATTGCGGTTTCTCTGAAAAGCTCATTTTCTCCTATTGTTGAAGAAAGTGAATTAGAGCAATGGCTGTTGTAATATCCTGAGAGTAGTTCTGCGTACCTTTTTTTTTTTTTTTTGAGACAATGTCCCACTCTGTTGCTCAGGCTGGAGTGCAATGGTGCAATCTTGGCTCACTGCAACCTCCGCCTTTCAGGCTCAAGCAGTTCTGGTGCCTCAGCCTCCCGAATAGCTGGGACTACAGGTGCATGCCACCGCGCCTAGCTATGCATACACTTATAAAAATGAAACTATACCTTTTAAAGGACCTATGCCAATTGCAGCTGTTCATAATATCCTCTCAGAATGTGCATAAATATTCGGTCAGTAGTTTCTTTTAAGAAAAGGAAAACAGTGATATTGTCTGGCTGAAAAAAGAAGTAATTTCTAGGACTTAAAGATTAGAACAGAGGGATCTTAAACTTGATTTGAATTAACTCCGTGCAATTTGGAATGGAGGAAAAGCAATGTCAGTCAAGCAGCAAATGTGTGAGTACTTCTTATGGATTAAGCAGCATTGACTTGGCATTGTGTGTAGTATAGAAGAAGTGTAAGATAGAGATTCCTGCTGTCTAGTTGTAATCAATGTGGTTAAAATATGAATAACATAAGCAGCAGTAAATAGAATGAGTCCAATTATGGACAAGGCTGTGTGATACAGACCTAAAATACCATGTTCAAAGGAGATGTAAGCAGTGGAGGCTAAACTGATGAGGAAAGGCTGGAGTGAGACTTGAACAAATAGGATTAGATAATACATGGAATAAAGGATTCAGATAGTTTGAGTGAAGGATGGAAGTAGGAATGAATTAAGGCTGGCTGTGGTGGCTCATGCCTGTTATCCCAGCACTTTGGGAGGCCGAGGCAGGAGGATTGCTTGAAGTTAGGAGTGTGAGACCAGTCTGGGCAATATAGCGAGACTCTGTCTCTATAAAAAATTTAAAACATTAGCAGGCTGTGGTGGCATGCCAGCTACTTGGGAAACTGAGGTGGGAGGATCACTTGAGGTTAGTGATCAAGGCTGCAGTGAGCCGTGATTGAGTACTACACTCCAAGCCTGGGCAACAGAGTGAGAACCATCTCTTAAAAAACATAACGGGGCTGGGCACAGTGGCTCACGCCTGTAATCTCAGCACTTGAAGAGGCTGAGGTGGGCGGGTCGCCTGAAGTCAGGAGTTTGAGACCAGCCTGGCCAACCCGGTGAAACCTTGTCTCTACTAAAAAATACAAAATTAGCTGGGTGTGGTGGTGCATGCCTGTAATCCCAGCTGAGGATGAGGCTGAGGCATGAGAATTGCTTGAATTCGGGAGGTGGAGGTTGCAGTGAGCTGAGGTCATGCCATTGCACTCCAGCCTGGCCATCAGGAGTGAAACTCCATCTCAAAACCCCAAAAACAAAACCAAAACAAAATAGGGCCGGGTGTGGTGGTTTACATCTGTAATCCCAGCACTTTGGGAGGCCGAGGTGGGGGGATCACTTGAGCTCCGGAGTTTGGGACCAGCCTGGACAACATGGCGAAACCCCATCTCTACAAAAAGTACAAAAATTGGCCGGGTGTGGTGGCTCACACCTGTAATCCCAGCACTTTCGAAGGCCGAGGTGGGCAAATCCCCTGAGGCCAGGAGTTTGAGACCAGCCTGGCCAGTATGCTGAAACCCTGCCTCTACTAAAGATACAAAAATTAGCTGGGTGTGGTGGCACGCGCCTGTAATCCCAGCTCCTCAGGAGGCTGAGGCAGGAGAATTGCTTGAATCCAGGAGGCAGAGGTTGCAGTGAGCCGAGATGGTGCCACTGCACTCCAGCCTGGGTGACAGAGTGAGACTCCGTCTCAAAAATAGTAATAATAATAATAATAGAATAATAAAAGAGGCTGGGTGTGGTGGCTCGTGCCTGTAATCCCAGCACTTCGGGAGGCCAAGGCGGGCGGTTCGCCTGAGGTCAGGAGTTTGAGACCAGCCTGGCCAAGATGGGGAAACCCTGTCTCTACTAAAAATAAAAAAATTAGCTGGGTGTGGTGGCAGGTTCCTGTAATCCCAGCTACTTGGGAGGCTGAGGCAGGAGAATCACTTGAACCCGGGAGGCAGAGGTTGCAGTGAGCCGAGATTATGCCATTGCATCCAGCCTGGGTGACAAGAGTGAGACTTTGTCTCAAAAAAAAAAAAAAAATTAGCTAGGCATGGTGGTACACACCTATAGTCCCAGCTTCTTGGGAGGCTGAGGTAGGAGGATTGCTTGAGCCTGGGAGGCGGAGGTTGCAGTGAGCAGATATCGAGCCACTGCATTCCAGCCTGGGTGATAGAGTGAGAGACCCTGTCTCAAAACCAGAAAAAAAATCCAAAATGTGTGTATACGTGGGGTTTGGAGTCTGATGGTCCTAATTTTGAATCATAGACTCTAATACGTTTCTGGGCACACTGACTTGACTTGAATCAGCTCTTCCTGTATACTAATCCCATTTCTCAGAGAATATAGGATTATCAAGTGTAGGATGCTTAGCACACCACCTGGCACCAGAAGGCTCTGTAATGAGAACTATGAAACAAGGGATCTTGACCTGCTTGGATGAGAGAGGATTCCTGCCATGGATAGGGATCAGGGATGTAGACTGCAAGATTTGAAAGTTCTTGTTGACTGGAAAGTAGTAGGTATATTTCCTTTAAATATTCTTGTCTTGCTTATTCCGTGTCAAAATCCTCAATAATTCAGCCATTGAAGACTTTTCAGAGCATTTGTTGAGGAGAAGCAAACTGATTGTGGTATATCAGTTTTACTTTTTTTTTTTAGGACTTACTAGATTTATTAGGATTACATAGGAGTATTTACCTAAATGTTAATAGTGGCCCTCTGTGGTGGGGGGAGGGTTGTGGAAGTATATATAATTTTTATTTTTTTCTTCATACTTGTCTGTTTTCTAATTTTCTACAGTAAACTTGTACCAAGAAGCATTGACCTATGTTCTAGTGCTAGCGCTAATATTCAAGTTAATCTTTTTGAGTATTCATATCATTTAAATATTAGGTTTCTTTATGTAAGCCTTTAGTTTTCAAAATCCTTCAATTTGTGCTGTTATACTTTTTTTTTTTTGCGACGGAGTTCGCTCTGTCGCCCAGGCCGGAATGCAGTGGTGCAATCTCGGCTCACTACAATCTCTGCCTCCCCGGTTCAAGTGATTCTTCTGCCTCAGCCCCCTGAGTAGCTGGGATTACAGGCGCGTGCCACCATGCCTGGCTAATTTTTGTATTTTTAGTAGAGACGGGTTTCACCGTGTTGTCCAGGCTGGTCTCAAACTCCTGACCTCAGATGATCTGCCCACCTCGGCCTCTCAAAGTGTTGGGATTACAGGCCTGAGCCAGCGCGCCTGGTGCTGTTTTACATACTGACCCAATTCAGCAAATTGATCATATTCTGTTTTCAGTTGTCGTTTTTTAATGGAAGTAGGACTTTTTTTTAAAATCCCACATCAATAGATAATTTTAAAGGTAGCTGACTAGATTTCAGTTCCAGTAGGTGAAACAGGACTTTTTTTTTTTTTTTTTTTTTGAGACAAGGTCTCGCTCTGTCACTCAGGGTGGAGTGTAGTGGCATGATTTTAGCTCACTGCAACCTTGACTGCAAGAACTGAGTTTTAAATTTTATTTAATTTTAAATAATTTAAATTTAAATAGCCACATGTGGCTAGTGGCTACTTCATTAGACAGCATGTATCTGTAACTGAAGACCTCAGATTTTACATTTTTCATTAAGACTTGGTACGTGCACACACACAACTGAAAAGCTTCATTAAACAACAGTACTTTCACATGCAGTGCATACATGTGTTTTCTTTTCTTTTTTTTTTTTTTTGAGACGGAGTCTTGCCCTGTCACCCAGGCTGGAGTGCAGTGACGTGATCTCTCCTCACTGCAAGCTCCACCTGCTGGGTTCACGCCATTCTCCTGCCTCAGCCTCCCAAGTAGCTGGGACTACAGGCGCCCGCCACCATGCCTGGCTAATTTTTTGTATTTTTAGTAGAGATGGGGTTTCACTGTGTTAGCCAGGATGGTCTCGATTTCTTGATCTCGTGATCCACCCGCCTTGGCCTCCCAAAGTGCTGGGATTACAGGTGTGAGCCACCGCGCCCGGCCGTGTTTTCTAAGTTGCTGTTCATGACTTCTTCCAACCCCTGATTGATTTTAGACCCACACATGGGTTGTGACTTACGGCTTATAAAACATTGTTTTAGCAAGGGAAATAAATGTGTTAGTATTGATAATGTAATTCGGTTTGTGGTTGGTGTTAAGTAGAAATTAAACCAAGTCCAGTTTTAAGAGGTAAAAAGGATTACCACCCCTCCCCACCACCCGACTGAGTCTTGCTCTCTTGCCCAGGCTGGAGTGCAGTGGCGTGATCTTGGCTCACTACAACCTCCACATCCTGGGTTCAAGCGATTCTGGTGCCTCAGCCTCCCGAGTAGCTGGGACTACAGGCGTGTGCCACCACGCCTGGCTAATTTTTTTGTTTTTTGTTTTGTATTTTTAGTAGAGACAGAGTTTCGCCATGTTGGCCAGGCTGATCTTGAACTCCTGACCTCAGGTGATCTGCCTGCCTTGGCCTCCCTAAGTGCTGGGATTACAGACGTGAGCCACCGTGCCCGGTAAACGATTACTTTTTATTTGGGGGCTGGGGTGGGTTGAGAAGGCTTTACAGACAAAATAGGTGGAATTTCTAGAGAATACGTGAAGGTACTAAGCATTTCAGACGTCAAAAGTGACATAAGCAAAGCAGGAAGATTGGGATACTTTATTCAACTTGTGTTGATTGTGTGGATGAAATACAGCTGGAAAATGGGATTGGGTTGGGAGAGGCCTTAGGTTCCATATTAAGGAATATAGGTTTTATTTGTTGGTAGTTGGTTTTGTTTGGAAGGTAATTAGAAGCAAGACAGTTTCAGAGTTACTGACATAGAATAGGAAATTAACCCTTCAGCAGGATTTGCAGGAAAGTTGGGGATTGTAATTATTTTGAGGAGATAAAGGTTTGAAAAAGGGCTGCAGGAAACAATGGAAGATGAGTAACATTGCCTTTTAGTTATGTTGTGATTGGGGTCATGGTGGGATATACCTTAGAAATTTAGATCTGGTGGTATTTAGAAAGATGGAGGTGTGCCAATTATTAGGCTTATGCTAGGCAGCCTTTTTGAGGTGGAGGAAGTGGGTAAGATTGCCTTGGGCAATTTCCTAAAGGGTAATATGGGCTTTGAGAGGAGAGACATTTACGTGGTAGTGAGGATTTTTTTTTATTTATTTGCATCTAGTGTCTAAAACAGAGATTTTATTTGTTTTAGTGATTGGTGGCATAGTTGCAGAAAGGCTGAGCTTGACACCTTTGCTTTTGAGGGGCTACTCCCAGCACTTTCTAGGCCCAAAAGCTTAGGATTTGGAGGAATTCTGATGAGGTCCTAGGGTGTACCATGTTTGTTCTTCCTGTCATTTAATAGAAGTCATGGCTTCCTGTGGCTGCCCTGGGAGATTGGCTTACAGGGGTTCTTAGCCATTGGTTGTGAAGGACCACTGAAGCCCAGGGAGGCCCAGCATTCTGCCAGTTTCCACAGGGCTCTTAAGTTTATGTTTCTACCAAATCAGTAGTTCATCTAATTTAGTCAGATTTGGACCAAGGCAGTATGGTTCCAGAGCTCTTATTTACTCTGTTGACTTGGAAGAATTAGGAGTTCAGGGAGGATGAGAGTCAAAGCTTCAGACATCACCTAGAGTCCTGACTTCATTGCTTTCAGGTTGCATGACCCTGGATAAATTTATTTACTATCTTTTTTTTTTAAGGCAGGGTCTTGCTTGCTCTCTTCCCCAGGCTGGAGTGCAATAGCATGATCACAGCTTACTGCAGCCTCAGGCTCCTGGGTTCAGGTGATCCTCCTGCCTCAGCCACCCCCACCCCGTGACTGCCCCATAGCTGGGATTACAGGTGCTCACCACCATGCCCAGCTAATTTTTTTGTATTTTTTTTTTATAGAGACAGGGTTTCGCCATGCTGCCCAGGCTGGTCTTGAATTCCTGTACTCAAATGATCCACTTGCTTTGGCCTCCCAAAACGTTGGGATTACAGGCTTGAGCCACTGCGCCCAGCCAAATTTACTCTTTTTTTTGTTTTGTTTTTGAGACGGAGTCTCGCTGTTGTTGCCCAGGCTGGAGTGCAGTGGTGCGATCTTGGCTCACTGCAACCTCCGTCTCCCAGGTTCAAGTGATTCTCCTGCCTCAGCCTCCTGAGTAGCTGGGATTATAGGCGCCCGCCACCATGCCCAGCTAATTTTTTTGTATTTTTAGTAGAGACGGGGTTTGATCATGTGGGCGTGGCTGGTCTCGAACTCCAGACCTCAGGTGATCTGCCCGCCTCGGCCCCCCAAAGTGCTGGAATTACAGGCATGAGCCACCACGCTCGGCCAAAATTTACTTATACTTATTAATGCCCTTTTTTGTTTGTTTTGTTTTTGAGATAGGGTCTTGCTCTGTTGCCAGGCTGGAGTGCAGTGGCACAATCTCGGCTCACTGCAACCTCCGACTCCTTGGTTCAAGCAATTCTCCTGCCTCAGCCTCTTGAGTAGGTGGGATTACAGGCACATGCCACCACGCCCAGCTACTTTTTGTATTTTTAGTAGGGACAGGGTTTCACCATGTTGGCCTGGCTAGTCTCGAACTCCTGACCTCAGGTGATCCGCCTGCCTCAGCCCGCCAAAGTGCTGGGATTACAGGCGTGAGCCACTGCACTTTTTAAGCGTAAGCACAGAGTTTTTATTTAACCTTCAAGCAGGTTTCAGTTTCGCCTTTCTAAAAGAAGCAGTAAATGGATTAAATCAGGAGATTGTGTATGAATTGGTGATTTAGAAGAATGTTCAGAAGTGGGGTTAAAGTTCCTTGTCAGAAATTCTGAGTCCTGGCCAGGTGCGGTGGCTCACGCCTATAACGTCAGCATTTTGGGAGTCCAAGGTGGGTGAATCATCTGAGGTCAGGAGTTCGATACCAGCCTGACCAACATGGTGAAACTCCATCTCTACTAAAAATACAAAAATTAGCTGGGCGTGATGGTGCATGCCTGTAATCCCAGCTACTTGGGAGGCTGAGGCATGAAAATCACTTGAACCTGGGAGGCGGAGGTTGCAGTGAGCTGAGATAGGGCCACTGCAGTCCTGCCTAGGCAACAGAGTGAGACTCTTGGAAAAAAAAAAAAATTGAGTGCCTGGAAACTAGTTGTAGAAAAATTACTTTTTTACTTATTTAATAGGGCGAGAGTTGTTTTCAGGGTTTGTAGACTATATTCTTGGTGAAGTTGTGAGCTGTCTTAAAAATGTTAATTGATACATTGATGTGAGGGTACATTATTTTATACTGGGATTTTGAACAGGAGACTTGAAAAGTAATTAGAGGATGGTAGAGACTGTCTAGCCCACCTCTCTAGTATTCTAGACAGGTAGTTATCACATCAGATCTGTGCTCCAGCATGTAAATGACAGGACTCAGTTGTAAGAGGCAACCTGTTCCATGGACAGATTTACTCAATAGAAAGGTCAAAATCATAGATTTGTACCATTAAAATATATGGCATTTTAGCTGATACTCAGATCTTGCCTGCTATGCTTTTGGATTTATTATTGTAGTAAGATTTAATTCTTAAGTGCTTTTTTTGTCTTCTAGGGCTTGCATTTCTTTTGGTCCTAAGAATCGTTCAATTGGAGCAGCAGCTAAAAGCCAGGTAAAGTTTCATTTTTTTCCTAAAATGACTTATTTCTCCTCTTCATCCATGTGTTCAGCAAGTAGTTGAATGCCCATTATGTGCCTAACACTGGTAGGCCTTGGGAATACAACTGGCAGATACAGACCTCTTCTCTGTTCCCATGTACAGTCAGCCCTCAGAATTCCATGGGTTCTGCATCTGTAGATTCAAACAACTGTGGATCAAAAATATTTTTGGGAAAAAATACAACACTGGAACAATAAAAAATACAAATGAAAACAATCCAGTGTAACAACTACTTACATAGCATTTACATTGTATTAGGTGTTATAAGTAATCTAGAGACAACTTCAGGTATACAGGAGGATGTGCATAGGTTATAGGCCAATACTATGTCATTTTGTCTAAGGGACTTGAGCATCTGTGGATTTTGGTCTAATTCAAGGAGTGCCCTGGAATCAGTCCCCTGCAGATACCCAGGAACCACTGCTTCAGTGAGAAGCACCTGGCCTTAAAATAGCATTAGCAGTATAATCTGTTTAATGCAAACTGCCAGGGTGTATTTTGTCCAGATCTTGTTAAGCAAGGCTTGCTTGTTCCTTGATATTTTACATGCTCCTTAAGTCTGTCTTGTTGGGCCTTTCATCTTACTCATATATAAGGTAAGTGTTGATCTTGTTAAACAAGTTTCTCAAGGAAGGAAAGCATACCTCTAGAAATACATTAAAGGACTTGCTTTTAGTTTACTCTGTAAACCAGGAACCTGACGTAGTTGCTGGTTTCTGAATAACCAGAGCAGCAGAACCCCAAGAGTTCTGTTATTCTAAGTGTCTGAGATATCTGTAAAATTAAGGAGTTGCATGTTTGACCTTCTTATGGTTCAGCCTGGAGCAACCCTATAGGGTGAATCTGTTTTTGAATGGGGCAGGGCCTAAAATTTATTAGCCTAAAAAAGTGGTGCTTGGCCAATTGGTTTTTAATTAAGTTGGATGTTTTATAGTTCATTTTCACAGTGTTCGAGATCTTTTAGGAGACAGCAGGTAGAAAATATTGGGCCATTTTGAAATCTCTTCCTTCTAAAATTTGAGCAAATCGCTCCTGTTTTTTAAACCTGCTTTTCATGATTGAGAGACAGTTACTATACTAAACTGGCTGCCCAGTTCTAGGTTGATACAGTTATTGTGTTACAGAGTTTCTGTTTGGCAGCTTGCTCGAGGAAGGCATGATTTGGGTGGCCTCATCTGTTTCATAAAAGGACTTCTGTGTGTTCCCTTTCATCTAGTTGATACAGGAGCTTACTACATCTCCTGCATTGGGAGGAGCAGCCTGTAAATCTTAAGCAGAAGGTCATTCTGGAATTTTTTGAATATTTTTGTCAGCATTTTCCCCTCATAAATTGTGATAGTTTATTCTAGAAGAATTAGAAAACATAGATAAAAAAGTGTAAGTCACCTGTTCAACCATTATCCAAAAATCATATAGACATTTGTCTTACCACCTTCTGAAAACTTTACCTGTTGATATTTCATTGTATGAATAGCCCATAATTTAAGCATTTCCCTGTTATTAACCATTTAGGCTGTTTCTAGGCGTCTGCTACTACAAATAATACTCTCCCAATATCCTTTTGTGTTCATTTTTGTGTACTTAGTATGATTTTTTTTTTCCCCTTTATGAGAAATTTGTTTCACTGGAATTTTTTTTCTTTTCTTTTTTCTTTTTTTTTTTTTTTTTGAGAGTGCAGTTTTTGAGAGTGCAGTGGCCCTGTCAGCGCAACCTCCACCTCCCAGGTTCAAATGATTCTCATGCCTCAGCCTCCTGAGTAGCTGGGGTTACAGGTGCGCACCACCATGCCTGGCTAATTTTTTGTATTTTTAGTAGAGACAGCGTTTCACCATGTTGGTCAGGCTGGTCTCGAGCTCCTGACCTCAAATGAGGCCCTGGCTTCTTTCAAAGTGCTGGGATTACAGGCGTGAGCCATGACACCCGGCCTTAACTAGAATTTCTAAATCAATTTATGTATTGCTGAGTTGGTTCCTGGAAACTTTCAACCATAAACTATGGGCAATTTTTAAAGGCTAAAAGTTATTTTATGTAAATGTTTATTAGAAGTTTAAGAACAGAAAATACTTATGCAAGTATAATGACCTGACTTCATGGGATATAGGAAGAGCAGGGCTCTATTTTTAGCCCTGCCACTCTGAGACCCATGCAAATCCCTCCTCCCTCACTTCGCATGCTAGTGGGCACCATTTAGAAAAGTTTAGGGTCTGAAGAAACCAAAACCAAGAAGGAGACTCTATATAAAGTTAAAATGTTGCTAATTTAATCTGAGGCTGTTGAAATAAAAAAAAAATTAGTAGTAGTCTTTCCACTCTTTGATATTCTTTCTCTTAGGTAATTTCTAATGCAAAGAACACAGTCCAAGGATTTAAAAGATTCCATGGCCGAGCATTCTCTGATCCATTTGTGGAGGCAGAAAAATCTAACCTTGCATATGATATTGTGCAGTTGCCTACAGGATTAACAGGTATAAAGGTAAGGTTGTCAGGTTAATGCCTTTTAATTAAAATGCATTATTATATTTTATCAGTTCAATATCTATCTGTACTTTTCTGATGTCAGATTGCAATGAAAATGCTTACAGTTGCTTAGGGAAAGCTTTTTTCTAGTAAAGACTATTTGACAATTTTTGAATGATCTGGATGTTGGTTGGGAGCCATGAGTGGTGCTCTTAATATGGGTTGGAGACCTGGGTAGTGATGGTTTGAAGTTAATACTGCCATTGCTGCTTGTTTTGCTCACTGATGCAGTGGGCTTTTTAGCATGATTTTAGGGAATGACTTCTGGAAGAGCAGGCAAAGCAATCACAGTTTTTTTTTTTTTTTTTTGAGATGGACTCTCGCCTTGTCACCCAGGCTGGTGGGCAATGGTGTGATCTTGGCTCACTGCCACCTCTGCCTCCTGGGTTCCAGCGATTCTCCTGCCTCAGCCTACCAAGTAGCTGGGATTACAGGCACGTGCCACCATGCCTGGGTAGTTTTTTGCATCTTTAGTAGAGACGGGGTTTCACTGTGTTGGCCAGGTTGGTCTCGAACTCCTGACCTTGTGATTCCCCTGCCTCAGCCTCCCAAAGTGCTGGGATTACAGGCGTGAGCCACCGCACCTGGTAGGAATCACAGTTTTAAGTCACTAGCAGATAGATGGACATACTCTTGGAGATAGGATTTAATTTAGAAAGAGATGTTCTTTTGGGGAAAAGTGAGTTTGGTCTTTATCTCTGGTACATCTAGTGGAGTCTCTGTGAAGTATGCAGTGAACTGATCACAGAAAAAGGGTAAGAGGCTGGGAGATGGATAGGGTGGACACATTTGCCTTTCTTGCACTCAGAGGTAGTAAGAGGAATCCATGAGGGGGGGTGGGGGCGTGATTGGCTTTCCAGGCAGGTGAGATTACGGAGAGATTTGGTTTTGGAGGCCAAGAATCAGGAGAACAGGCTGGAAAGCCAAGAGATGTTGAGAACCATGAGAAAAAGGTAGTCTGCTGTTGCAGTGTAGCTGATAATTTAGTTGTATTTAGAAGTGAAAAATTCTGAAAATTAAAGAATGATGACTGGGTTTTCTTAAAATATCTGTGGTAATTAAGGACAGTTTGAATGGGATAGTAAAAGATGAAGCTGAAGCACAGGAGAGAGAAAGGGGTTAAAAAGGGAGGTGAAGAAATGTGCAATACTTATTAGAAATAAGAAATAAAGAAATAGGATAGGTATTGGCAGATTTATTCATAAGCATTGCAAGAAGCAAAGGAGAAAAAGACTAGGAAGAAGATTTGGGAAACAAGTAGATGCAAGTCTAAAAGTGGTGGAATTGACCTCAGAATTAGGCAAATAGCAGGGAAGAAAGAGATAATTTAGAAAGGGCACCAGGAGGGATATTTCCCCATCTTTATCATGCAATAAAGTAAGAACTGTTCAATTCTAAACCATAATAAATTGTGGTTGGGCTGGGGAGTCAGAAGGTGGCACGCAAGCTTGAGTTAGGGCAGCAGCTAAAAGAAGAGAGCAACATGTTCTATTCTGGATTGTAATTTGGGAATATGGGCATGTAGGATGGGTTGGGATTGTTTTAGGCAGTCCTTCAATATTTAAAATTCGTAACTGTTATCACATTTGCAGACTTTTATCTGGAATAGGGCTTTATCTTGAAGCTTTGTTCATTATTGTTACTTATTTAAAATTTTTTTTTTTTTTTGAGACAATATCACTGTGTCACCTAGGCTGGAGTGCAGTGGCACGATGTAGGTTTACTGCAACCTCTGCCTCCTGGGTTCAAGCAATTCTCATGCTTCAGTCTCCCTAGTAGCTGGGATTACAGGCATGGACCATCATGCCCAGCTAATTTTTTGTGTTTTTAGTAGAGATGGGGTTTCACCATTTTGGTCACGCTGGTCTTGAACTCCTAACCTCAAGTGATTTGCCCGCCTCAGCCTCCCAAAATGCTGGGACTACAGGTGTGAGCCACTGCACCTAGCCCATCTTTTATTATTTAATTCAACCAGTATATATTGTGCCAGGTCCTGTTCTAGGTGCTGGAGCTATGGCAGTGAACAATCAGACAAATGCATGTCCTCATATTAGATTGAATCCTAATTGTGGAGATGGATAATAAACAGTAAACACATTAAAATACACATAGTATGTCAGATAGTAAAATAGTTTCTACCAGCAGCCTCTTTATGGAGGGACAGTGTGGGTCATGGTGAGCTACACTGATTTGTCTTTGCAAAGGAAGTTGTCTTAAGATTTGTTGTTTTACACTGTGGTCCTTCATCTCCAAGTATCGTGTTTGGTTGAAAGCTAAAATAGGCTATGCGTGGTGGCTCATGCCTGTAATCCCAGCACTTTGGGAGGCCGAGGCAGGAGGATTCCTTGAAGCCAGGAGTTTTGAGACCAGCATCGGCAACAAAGCAAGAACCCTGTCTCTGCAAGAAAAAAATAAATTAGCTAGGTATGGTGACATGTGCTTTTGCTCCCCGCTACTTGGGAGGCTGAGGCAGGAGGATTGCTTAAACCCAGGAGGTTAAGTCTCCAGTGAGCTGTGATCATGCCACGGCGCTCCAGAGAGAGAGAATGACAGAGAGAGAGACCCTGCCTCCAAAATAATAATAATAATAAAAAAAGAAGCTAAAAGTGACCTTCAAGGTATTACTTCGAAAACTAGCTTTTTTTTTTTTTCAATCCCCTCTTGAGATAATGTTGCATTGATAATGGGAAGCATTGTTCATTTTAGCTTTTAGGACTAGGACATGAAGAAAGAAATATAATAAGTCTAGGCCCCTTTGTTGTTTTCTTGCAGGTGACATATATGGAGGAAGAGCGAAATTTTACCACTGAGCAAGTGACTGCCATGCTTTTGTCCAAACTGAAGGAGACAGCCGAAAGTGTTCTTAAGAAGCCTGTAGTTGACTGTGTTGTTTCGGTGAGTTTGATCCCTATACATTATTGGGAATTTGCATGAAGAAGCAGAGAGAAGAAAGCTGCTAATTTCAAGTAAACTTGTTTTTTTGTCTCAGGTTGTAATGGTTATTTAAAATGTTTGTCAGGCCGGGTGCAGTGGCTCACGCCTGTAATCCCAGCACTTTGGGAGGCCAAGGTGGGTGGATCACCTGAGGTCAGGAGTTCGAGACCAGCCTGGCCAACATGGTAAAACCCCGTCTCTACTAAAAATACAAAAATTAGTTGGGCGTGGTGATGGGCACCTGTAATCCCAGCTATTCGGGAGGCTGAGGCAGGAGAATCACTTCAACCCGGGAGGCTGAGGTTGCGGTGAGCCGAGATCATGCCATTGCACTTCGGCCTGGGTGACAAGAGCAAAACTCTGTTTCAAAGAAAAAAAAAATTTATGAAACTAGTCTTCATTTTCTTACTCTCTTCTGCTGCTTAGCTTTTGCTCAGGCCTCCTTTGTTATTCTGCCTATTTAAATCTCTTCTGTTTTTCAAGGTGCATTCATCTCAGCCTGCCCACTTCTTCCTGTATTTTTTTCATCGCCTAGCATAGCACAGGGTAGCCACTCATTTGTTGAATTAGTTGGATACCCCTAATTGTAAATGGCACTTGTTCTGTATTTGTATTTGCTGTTGGTATCTAGCGTTAAAGACAAAGGCAAGGACTGGGCATGGTGGTTTAATCCCAGCACTGTGGGAGGCCAGGGCAGGAAGATTGTTTGAGACCAGCCTGGGCAACACAATGAGATCCCTGTCTTTACCAAAAAAAAAAAAAAAAAAAAAAAAAAATTAGCTGGGCATGGTGGCACACACCTGTAGTCCCAGCTACTTGGGAGGCTCATTCGAGCCCAGGAGTTTGAGGCTGCAGTGAGCTGTGATCACACCACTGCATTCTAGCCTGGACAACAGACTGAGACCCTGTCTCAAAAAACTTATCCAAAAAACAAAGACATGGCAGCAGTTGACTTTATCTTTTGCATATCCCTGTTAAGATGGAAGCCTGGCTACTGTAGTTTTGTGCTTTAGTTTGGTGGAATCCTTAGGGACTGTTGAAATATGTGTGGTTACATTGGCTTTGCCACCGAATCTCCTCATTCTGTAATTGTTACCTGATACTTTAGTTTCATGGCCTCTTTTGTCTTAATGTTGGTGCATTGATTGGCAAAGCAAGGACTGTTAGGTGGCTTTTTCACCCCAGAGTCTGTTGCCTGGCGGATTTCTTGGTCCTTGGTTATTGTAAAGTAGAATTGACATTTGTCAGAAAGAATTGGATTATAGTTGTGTACACCATTCTGGGGGTGGGCTTTATTCTTTATAGAAGAATGAAAATTCTGTGTTCCTTTAAAAAGCTCAGATTCAGTGACCTTGATTCCCCAGTGGCTGATACACCAGATCCTGTATTTCTTAGATGTTTCCTACCTTTCCTCAGCTCTTCCATTGGTCTCCCAGATTTGTTTCCATTCCTCCATCTAGTGCCCCTAGCTTTGATCCTGCATAACACTCTGTGTGGGAGTAAAATTTATGTAAAATATTGGAATGCGTAAGTGTCTTCCAGTTTTGGGTATCAAGTTAAAAGGTGATAGTGTTGAGTCATGTTTGGGTGGGGCCTCAAGATCACACTGGAGTTTTGGTAATTTGCTTAGGAGGGTTCACGGGCCCTAGCGTATAGCTATTCTCATGCTAAGATTTATTGTAGTGAAGGGATACAAAGCAAAATCAACAAAGGGAAAAGGCACATGAGGCAGAGTCTGGAGGAAACCAGGCACAAGCTTCCCAGAGTCAGCCTGTGCTTAACTCCAGCAACAGGTTGTAACAATACGGGTGAAATGTCCTCTACCACAGGAGTTCTGCCTAGCCTGGTCCAGGGTTGTTTTTTTTTTTTTTTTTTTTTTTGGAGACTGAGTTTCGCTCTTGTTTCCCAGCTGGGAGTGCAGTGGCATGATCTTGGCTCACTGCAGCTTCCACCTCCCAGGTTCAAGCCTCAACCTTTGGAGTAGCTGGGATTACAGGCATGTGCCACCACACCCAGCTAGTGGTTTATTTTTTTTTTTTTTTTGTATTTTTTGTAGAGATGGGGTTTCACCATGTTGGCCAGGCTGGTCTCAAACTCGTGACATCAGGTGATCCACCCACCACGGCCCCCCAAAGTGCTGGGATTACAGGCGTGAGCCACCACGCCTGGCTAGTCCATGGTTTTCATCAGGGGTCTGTCACATTGGTACCCTATACCTAGCATGAACCAAAATTCCAACTCCCAGAAGGAAAGCCGGTAGTCAGCACAAGCTGCATGTTTATATAAACAGTTTAGGTACAGTGAACCACTCTTAATCATTTAGGGAAATTTTTTCTATTGATTTAGTGAACTGTTTGCAAATCAAGGTCCTAGATGCCAGGCAAGGACCAACATGCAAGCAGGTGTTTTCTAAGGATAGCAGTTTCTGGCCTTTATATTAACTCTTCTCTGCAGTCACTACTTCAGCTGTTGGTATTTTGGTCTGCCATGTAATGAGTATATGTAAGGTAATGGTACGGCTATTTGTTTATCCTAACACTGCTTACTAAATATTCTAACTTTTCCCTACTAGTTTGAAATATTTTCTTGATCATATACAGAATAAATTGCTGTAGGTATTTGATGGTGTTCCTGGATTTTACTAACTAAAATTAGAATCTATAATACAGTAAGCATTCTTTTTTTTTTTTGTAGGTTCCTTGTTTCTATACTGATGCAGAAAGACGATCAGTGATGGATGCAACACAGATTGCTGGTCTTAATTGCTTGCGATTAATGAATGAAACCACTGCAGGTAAGGAGGACCGTTGATTATTTTTTTGACTTGGTTAATCTTGAAGATTGTGAAATTTTAAAACCCTGGGGTTTCTTGCTCTTTATTTTGCTTTCAGCACTGCTGCTCTTGCTTACCACTGTGGTCATGGTGTTTTTGGATACTGTGTCACTTGTGAAGAATTAATCTGACCAGTGCTTTTTGTGTACCTTTATAGCATGCATTTTGGTATTTAAACACATGCTTGTTGGGGAAGGAGAACACTTAGCGTGTGGAGCAGTGCTTTGGGTTAAAGACTGGTCTTCTCTTAGACTTGTGGACTGGTAGAGTCAGAGGAATGGGACATTAAGCAGCATCTCATGGACAGAACATGCGGGGATGTTAACATAGCATAGGGGTAGAAAAGATCCAGGAAAATATATTTGGAAAATGGGGGAAATGGCTTGGAGAAAATTATGCCAAAGTCCATTGGCAACTGTAAGGAAGTCTAAGTGAATATCAGTATTTAACTCTTGGAAGATAATCTTTTTCTTGAATAAATTATACAGTGCTTATAAAGAATTTGATTTCTAAAACATAACACATGTAGTTGCATTCGTTATATATAAAACCTCTTTTTTCCTGCTTAAATGAATTTTATTTACTTAGACGTTATTTTTAATTTTTGTGTTTTTTCTTCTGTAGTTGCTCTTGCATATGGAATCTATAAGCAGGATCTTCCTGCCTTAGAAGAGAAACCAAGAAATGTAGTTTTTGTAGACATGGGCCACTCTGCTTATCAAGTTTCTGTATGTGCATTTAATAGAGGAAAACTGAAAGTAAGTATATATTTTTTTTCCAGAAGACTGTTAGTAGTATGGTAATTATGAAATTTTGAGAGACAATGATTTTTTCTCATCTACAATATGGGAGAAACAATGCATACCTTACAGGGTTATTCAGAGGATTTTTTTTCTTTTCTTTCTTTTTTTTCTCTTTTTTTTTTTTGAGATAGAGTTTCGCTCTTGTTGCCCAGGCTGGAGTGCAATGGCGCGATCTTGGCTCACCGCAACCTCCACCTCCCAGGTTCAAGCGATTCTCCTGCCTCAGCCTCCCTAGTAGCTGGGATTACGGGCATGTGCCACCACGCCCGGCTAATTTTGTATTTTTAGTAGAGACGGGGTTTATCCATGTTGGTCAGGCTGGTCTCGAACTCCCGACCTGAGGTGATCCACCTGCCTCGGCCTCCCAAAGTGCTGGCATTACAGGCGTGAGCCACGGCGCCCAGCAGGAGGATTTTTTAACATGTAGTTCCTTGGTGAATTTTACACTGGGGATTGAGAGGGTGGTACAGGTGCTCTGTACTCTTGCTCATGAGGTTTTGAGTGTTCTGGAAAAGGGGTTTCTTTTGGATGCCAAAACAAACTGGACTAGGAATTATAGATTTCTAGAAAGCCTAAAGTTTAAGCAGTTTTGTACACACAGAAGTATAGAAGGCAAGGAGGGGCCAGAGGGTGATTGATCTCTGTCATAGTTGAGTTTGCTGGTTTATGCTAGTTCCACAGTAGGGTATAAAATTCTCTGTCTAGATGATTTTATCTAGAATTTGGTGAAGAACCAAGGATTTCTCAAGTGTTTGCTTTAATTATTTGAATTGTATATTAAAATTGTTGGTGCCAAGGTCTGAATTGACTGCCTTGTACCCATTGGAGATTGGTGGAGAGGGATTACCCCAAACTAAATATTTGGTAATTTTGGAGGCATTTTGAGACTTCATTTGTTATGGTCTTGTTTCTTTGAAAAATAGACGTTTCCACTTTATTTTCTGGTTTTATATTGTTTCTAGGTGGTTTTGTTTTTAAATAAAAAGAAAGCGAGTCTTTTAGATAATTGGGAAATGAGAGATTTGTGATTTTGCTTTTTGACAGCTATAAATGGTGGACCAAATGTAATTCTCAGTGTTTAAACTTTAATCACTAATAGAATTTCTAAGATCTATGCTATGCTTTCATCTTTTTAAACGGAAGACTCTGGTTATAATTTAGCCTGGCTTTGGATCAGAACGATGTGTATTAGTAGCCATCTGCTTCTGTTTTTCTAAATTGTCCTTCTGTGTTACCTGTCACCTGTCAGTTTTGCAATCCTTTTGATTACTTTTAAATTATAAAAATATTCATTACAAAAATCTCCCCAAATTGGAAAACATTTATGTGTAAAGACAAGTCTGGGCAACATGGTAAAACCCTGTCTCTACAAAAGTTAGCTGGGTGTGGCGGTGTGCTTGTAGTCCTAGCTACTCTGGAGGCTGAGGTGGGGGGATTGCTTGAGCCCGGAGTTTGAGAACAGCCTGGGCAACATGGCAAAACCCCGTCTCTACAAAGAAAATACAAAAATTAGCTGGATGTGGTGATGTGTGCCTGTAGTCCTAGCTACTTGGGATGCTGGGGTGGCGGGATTGCTTGAGCCTGGATGGTCGAGGCTACAGTGAGCTGAGATTGTGCCACTGCACTCCAGCCTGGGCAACAGAGTGAGACCCTGTCTCAAAAAAAAGAAAAAAAAATAAAGAAAAGTTACTTACAATCTTACCATTCTTAACAGCTTGATGTATTTCATTCTAATTTTCTAAGAAAACAGAATTGGAGTCACTATATTTAGCTCTGTGTCCTGTCTTTTTTTAAGTTAACATACTAAGAAAATTTCCCCCATGACGTGTAGCATTCTTTGAAGAGATTGTTTTTACTGGTTTTATTCCTTCATAAGGATGTCATCACTTATTTAGCCTAACTTCTATTACTGAATCTAATTAGATCTAGTTTGCTTCTAATCTGTTAGAGATTTGAAAACGGGTAACCCAGGCTAATTAGACTTCCAGGTTAAATAGAAACACATTGCGGTGAGCTAAGGCTTTAAGGAATCCTTTGGTAGTAAACTGCAGAGAGTTGAGCCTTTGGTATTACTCAGTTTTGTGATACTGAGTAGACTAGAAGTATGTACATGACATGTTAGTATATTTTACCTTGGACATGTAACTGCTATTGGTTGTCAGACTGGTGTAGTGGGGAGGGCATGGACTTTGGAATTAAGGAGATTTGGCTTTGAATTCCACTTCTACCACTTAGTAGCTTTGTGAACTGCAGTTTATCTCATCTGTCTAGGTCTGTAGCATTATCTGTAAATTGGGGATTATAGTGCCTATTTTTACAGTGTGGGGTAATAAGGATTAAATGATGTATACATTGCTTTGTTTTAACCTTAATGTAACCCTCCCTCTTTTTTTTTAGATAAACAACTTACCAGGTAAATATATATCATCTGTTTCAAAATCGATTGGTTAATTGTTAGATTAATTCTCATTTTTTCCTTAAGGTTCTGGCCACTGCATTTGACACGACATTGGGAGGTAGAAAATTTGATGAAGTGTTAGTAAATCACTTCTGTGAAGAATTTGGGAAGAAATACAAGCTAGACATTAAGTCCAAAATCCGTGCATTATTACGACTCTCTCAGGAGTGTGAGAAACTCAAGAAATTGATGAGTGCAAATGCTTCAGATCTCCCTTTGAGCATTGAATGTTTTATGAATGATGTTGATGTATCTGGAACTATGAATAGGTAAGTATATTACTATTTCGATGTTAAAGTGAAGAGTGAGTTTTCTCCACATATATTAACCTTTAATTGGCTAATTGTTAAAATAATCACGGAGGTTATATGATAATTTTGGTTCTATTTTAAAAATTAGAAGCCATTCAGGACCCTGCTTTTTATGTAAAGTTGGGTCTGGTTAATAATGTAGACTAATGTTTTTGTTCTGATAAATTGAATATTCCAACATGTTGATAGTTCTTTACATATGCATTTGTTATACACGAGATTTCAGTTTCCAAAAAATCAGGGCAAAGGGCTGTAATGCAGAATTAAATTGAATTTAATTTACCCAGTGACTAAGAAATTGTAATTTTTTTTTTGAGATGGAGGTTTTTGCTGTTTTGCCCAGGCTGGAGTAAAGTGGCACAATCTCAACTCACTGCAACCTCCACCCCCAGGTTCAAGCGATTCTCCTGCCTCAGCCTCCTGAGTAGCTGGGGTTATAGGTGCCTGCCACCACGCCCAGCTAATTTTTGTATTTTTAGTAGGGACGGTGTTTCGCCATGTTGGCCAGGCTGGTCTCAAACTCCTGACCTCAGGTGATCCACCCACCTCAGCCTCCCAAAGTATGAGGATTACAGGTGTGAGCCACCGTGCCTAGCCCGAAATTTTTCTTTTTGAAATATTCGGGTTCACTTGAGGGTGACAGCTCTTTTTGTATAGTGCTGCAAGAATTCTGGGTAATTGACATTTCGGGGTTATCCTCAGAAACTACCCAGAGTGTTATTGTTGCCTGGTTCAGTTGCTTGGATGATGGGAGTAAGATGTTCTTTTGGCTGTGAACTCTACTGGTAGAATTCAGGCAAGACTGATGGTGTATTTGGAGACATGGGCCTGAGCTATCCGTAAAAAAATTGAAATGGTGTTTATTGTTGCTTTGTATCCAAATTTTTAGTCACCTCTCCCCCTACTTGGAAGAGATGGCTTTCGTTTTTGTTAAGCAGCAGTCTTGTGTGTGTGTATGTGTGTTCCATGAAGTCTGGAGGTAAGCCAGTATGTTTAAGAAATTGTTAGTGAAATGTTACGTGTTTGTAAGAGCTAAGTAGATACTTATTAAGTAGTTTAAATTTTTTAAAAACTGAATTTGCCTGTGTGCTGTTGTTTGAAAATAGTTGTGGCCTGGTACGGTGGCTCACGCCTGTAATCCCAGCAGTTTGGGAGGCAGAGGCAGGCGGATCACGAGGTCAGGAGATTGAGACCATCCTGGCTAACATGGTGAAACCCCGTCTCTACTAAAAATACAAGAAATTAGCCGGGTATGGTGGCGGGTGCCTGTAGTCCCAGCTGCTGGGGAGGCTGAGGCAGGGGAATGGTGTGAACCTGGGAGGTGTAGCTTGCAGTGAGCTGAGATCGCACCACTGCACTCCAGCCTGGGCGACAGTGAGACTCCGTCTCAAAAGAAAAAAAAAAAATAGTTGTACTGTGATGGGGCATGGTGGCTCACTCCTGTAATCCCAGCACTTTGGGAGGCAGGTGCATCACTTGAGGTTAGGAGTTAGAGACCAGCCTAGCCAACGAGGTGAAACTCTTTCTCTACTAAAAATACAAAAACTAGCTGGGTGTGGTGGCAGGCGCCTGTAATCCCAGCTACTTGGGAGGCTGAGGCAGGAGAATCGCTTGAACTTGGGAGATGAAGGTTGCAGTGAGCTGAGATCGTGCCACTGTACTCTAGCTTGGGCAACAAAGTGAGACACTGTCTCCAAAAAAAAAAAAAAAAAAAAAAGTTGTACTGTATTTACATCATCAGAATACGTAGCTCTTATATGTTCTATATTATAGCCTTCATTTAGTGTGATTATTGTTGTTGTTATTTTTTTGAGACAGGATCTTACTCTGTCACCTAGGCTGGAGTGTAGTGGTGTGATCTTGGCTCACTGCACCCTCTGTTTCCTGGGCTCAAGTGATCCTCCTGCCTCAGTCTCCTGAGTAGCTGGGACTACAGGCACGTGCCACCACGCCTGGCTAATTTTTGTATTTTTTGTAGAGACTGGGTGTCACCATGTTGCCCAGGCTGGTCTTGAACTTCTGGACTCAAGTGATCTGCCTGCCTTAGCCTCCCAAAGTACTGGGGTTACAGGCACGAGATACTGTGCCTGGCCCCCTTCATTTAGTCTTTTAACATTCACCTTTGTTTAAATCGATGAAACCAGATTATTTGACATTATATTTCTTTTAATTAATGGTTTCTTCACTTAAAAACTTGAGGTGAAATTCAAGTATCATAAAATTAAGCATTTTAAAGTAAACAATTCACTGGAATTTAGTAAATTCACAGGGTTGTGCAATGGCCACCTCTATGTAATGGAAAAACATTTTCATCACCCCAGAATAAAACTTCATACCCAGTAGGTGATTATTTCCTGTTTCCCCTTACCTCTGGTCCCTGGTGATCAACAGCCTGTTTTCTGTTTCTGTGGATTTATCTATTCTGGATATTTCATATAAGTGTAATCATGTAATATGCGTCTGGCTTCTTTCGTTCTGACTTCTCAGTGTAATGTTTTTGAGGTTCATCCACATTCTGTATCAGTACTTAATTTGTTTTTTTGGGCAGATATTATTTTCTTGTATGGATATACCATATTTTATTCATCCATTCGTTTGCTGATGGACATTTGGGTTTCTACTTTTTAGCTATTGTGAATAGTGCTATGGACATTTGTGAACAAGTACTTGTTTTCAGGTCTTTTGCTTATATACCTAGGAGTGGAATTGCTGGCTTATACAGCAATTCTATGTTTAACTTTTTGAGGAATCTCCAAACTATATTTCTCAGTGATTATCCCCACCAGCGCCCTACTGGGTTTCAGTTTCTCCACGTCTTTGTCAACACTTATTTTCAATTATTTGGATTATTTTGGTAGATTACTAGTAGCTTTGTGTTAATTCATCGTTTTGATGGTTGGAAGTGCATTCTCCTGCAGATTCCTAAGGGATAGCACATGTGAATAGTGTTCCTTAAGTTCCTGCATGTTGATGACAGTTTGCCATGTTTATACTTAAAAGTCACTTTAGCTGGATAGAACATTCTTAGCTTTTCTTTCCTTGTTGAGGATCTTAAATGCAGTAACAATCTATTTTCTTTTGGTGTATAATATTGCTGTCAAAGTGTGACAGCATAGTTTTTAGATATTTGTCACTTGTTCTTTTTGCTTAGATGCCCAAATGTTTTTGATTTTTTTTTTTCTTGAAAGTCCATTTGGGTGTGGTGGCTCACACCTGTAATCCTAGCACTTTGGGACGTCGAGGTGGGCGGATGGCTTGAGCTCAGGAGTTCGAGACCAGCCTGGGCAACATGGCAAAACCTCGTCTCTACTAAAAATACAAAAAAGTAGCTTGATGTGGTGGTGTTCGCTTGTAGTACCGGCTACTCGGGAGGCGGAGGTGGGAGGATCACCTGAGCTTAGTAAGTCGAGGCTGCAGCGAACCATGATCACACCACATTGCACTCCAGCCAGGGTGATGAGAGTGAGACCCTGTCTCAAAAAAAAAAAAAAAAAAAAAAAACCCAATAATTTTACTACACTATATTTTGATGTTGGTTATTTTGCATCAGTTTTTTTCCAGGTACGCAGTGTGCCTTTTCATTATATAGTTTGACATTACAAATTTAAGTTTAATTAAAATTTCTTAAGTTTTCTTGAATTATGTTTTCTAGTATTCTGTTGTAGTGCTGTGGTTTTCTCTTTTGGGAATTCCTACATAATTATGTTGGATCTTCCTTGCCTATCTTACATATATATATATTTTTTTTTAGTTTGCCTTTTTTTTGTATTTGCCATTTTTGGTCCAGTCCTTCATGGCATTTCTCTTGTGTACTGTTTAGTTTTCATTTCTGACATTTATTCTTATACTTCTAATTCTGTTCTAGGTCTTTCTAATTCTGATTTGTTCTTTCATTTCCTGTATCACTTTTATTGAGATATAATTCACATACCATAAAACCTTACTATTTTAAAGTGTACAATTCCAGGGTTGTGCAACTGTGACCACTATTTAATTCTAGAATGTTTTTATCACCCCAAAAAGAAAACTTGTACCCATTAGCATTTACTCTCCATTTCCCTCCATACCCTAGGCAATTACCAATATGTTTTCTGTCTCTATAGATTTGCCTGTTCTTTTTTTTTTGAGACAGAGTCTCAGTAGGTCACCCAGGCTGGAGTGCAGTGGTATGATCTTGGCTTGCTTCAACCTCCACCTCCCGGGTTTAAATGATTCTCATGCCTCAGCCTCCTCAGTAGCTGGAATTACAGGTGGGGGCCACCACGCCCAGCTAATTTTCGTATTTTTAGTAGAGATGGGGTTTCGCCATGTTGGCCATGCTGGTCTTGAACTGCTGACCTCGAGTCATCCACCCGCCTCTGCCTCTCAAAGTGCGGGGATTATAAGTGTGAGTCCCTCTTTTGTTTTTGTGAAATATTTTAAAAATGTGGCTTAACTTTCTGAGATGTTTTCCCTCCCTCTTTTGTGTTTACTGTGTTGTTCTGCTTAGTTTGGATTTTTTAATCAGTAGTTTTTCTTCAGTGAGTTCTTTTTTCTTTGAAGATAACTTTAGGTAGGGCCCAGTTTGCTGTGGTTCCTGAATACCTTATTTGAGGACCTTTTATACTTGTTTTGGAGGATGCCAAACCCCTGCTGATTTCAGCTGCTGTTTTCAATTTGGCTCTCTGAGTTAGGTTATTCTGGAGTTTTCAGGTCAATTATATACCCTTTTGTTTCCTTCTGTTTATTTTGTACAGAGCTGATACTAAGCAGGAATTGTAGTTGTGGGTGGTTTGTCTCTGCCTATATGTATTTTGAGGTTTGTGGGCATATTTCATTACCTAGTTTTGTTGCAGGATTGTTTAAGCCCAGGAGATGGAGGCTTCTGTGAACCATGATTGTGCCACTGCGCTCCAGCCTGGGTGACAGAGGGAAAGCCTCTCAAAAACAAAACCAAAAAAATCTGCATCAAATTATCACATCATTCAGCAGTTGTATTTCTAGATACATATTCAAGAGAAATGGAAACACATGTCCACAGAAAAACTCATATGTGAATGTTCATTGCACTACTCATAATAGACAAAAAGTGGAAACAACCCAAATGTTCATCAACTGATGAAGTGGGTAAATAAAACATGCTATGTTCATACAATGGGATATTTTTGGTACTTGAAAAAAATGTAATACAGATACATACTAAAACATGGGTGAACCTTCAAAAGTTCACGCTGCTGAAAGAAGTCACAAAAGGCCACATTTTGTATGATTCTATTTATATGAAATGCCCCGAATTGGCAAATCTATAGAGACAGAAAGTAGATTTAGTGATTGCCTAGGGCTGTGGGAGTTGAGGAAAGTAACAGTTAAGGGTGATGAAAATATTCTTTTTTAGACTGAAAATGTTTTAAAATTGATTGTGGCGATGCTTGCACAACTCTGTATATATGAAGTCACTGAATTGTATACTTTAAAAATATTTTTGTACCAAAACCTCATGCCCAAAAGTCAATAATTACATACTTTATTTTTATCTTTTTAATTTTTAAAATTTATTTCTTTTTGAAACAAGTTCTCACGTTGTCATGCAGTCTGGAGTGCAGTGGTACTATCTCCGCTCACTGCAGCCTCACTCTCTCGGGTTCTAGAGATCCTCCCACCTCAGACCCCCAAGTAGATGGGAGTATAGGTGTTCACCGACATATCTGGCCAATTTTTGTATTTTTTGTAGAGACAGGATTTTGCCATATTGCTCAGGCTGGTCTCAGATTCCTGAGCTCGGCCACCCTCCTCAGACTCCCAAAGTCCTAGGATTACAGGTGTGAGCCACCTCACCCGGACGGGAATTATATACTTTAAATGGGTGAATTCTATAGCATGTAAATTATATTGCAATAAAACTTTTTAAAAAGAAACTATCAAAAAACCTCTACTGTCCAGGCATGGTGGCTCACGCCTGTAATCCCAGCATTTTGGGAGGCTGAGGTGGGTGGATCACCTGAGTTCAGGAGTTTGAGACCAGCTGGCCAATATGGTGAAACCCCATCTCTACTAAAAATACAAAAATTAGCCGGGTGTAGTGGTGGGTGCCTGTAATCCCAACTACTCGGGAGGCTGAGGCAGGAGAATTGCTTGGACCCGGGAGGTGGAGGCTGCAGTGAGCCGAGATACTGCCACTGCACTCCAGCCTGGATGACAGAGCGAGACTCCATCTCAAAAAAATACAAAAAAAAAAAAAAAAAATTACCCGGGCTTGGTGGCGTGCACCTGCAGTCCCAGCTACTCCGGAGGCTGAGGTGGGAGAATTGCTTGAACCTGGGAGGCGGAGGTAGCAGTGAGCTGAGATCGTGCCACTGCACTCCAGCCTGGGTGACAGAATGAGACTCCATCTCAAAAAAACAAACAAACCCCTACCGCTGTTGCCATCTTCTTAACAATCTTTTCCTTTGCTTTTCACAATTTTGATTTCAGATAGTTTCAGACATGCAACAAAGTTGGAAGAATTTTACAGTAAATGTCCTCATCCCACCACTTAGAGTCTACTGATAACATTTACTGTACTTGTTTTATTATATATTTGTTCATATATCCTATAAAGCCATCAATTTTTAATTTTTTTATTATTATTATTTTTTGAGATGGAGTTTTGCTCTTGTTGCCCAGGCTGGAGTGCAATGGCATGATTTCAGCTCACCTTAACCTCCGCCTCCCGGGTTCAAGTGATTCTCCTGCCTCAGCTTCCCAAGTAGCTGGGGTTACAGGCATGCACCACCACACCCAGCTAATTTTGTATTTTTTGTAGAGATGTTGTTTCTCCGTGTTGGTCAGGCTGGTCTTGAACTCCCAGCCTCAGGTGATCCGCCCGCCTCAGTCTCCCAAAGTGCTGGGATTACAGGTGTGAGCTACTGCGTGGCCTGGCCTCAATTTTGTTTTTAGCATATCTCAAAGTAAATTGCATCTGTATACTTCTTGCAGAAACTTAAATTGCGGACATCTATAAATGTAGACTTCTCCCCAAATACTAAGGTTTGCATATTAACCAGAATTCATTGTTTTTTGGATATATTTTTATATGACATACTCAGGTTTTAAGTGCTCATTTGCTGAGTTTCAACATACACATATATCTTTGTAACTAATGCCATTATTATGAAATAGACCATTATGTTGGAATGTTTCCTCAGGCTTCCATAACCACTGATGTGCTTTTTGTATTTTTCAGTCCCTAGATTAAGTTTGCCAATTCTGTAACTTCTTGTAAGTGGAATCATGTATTATGTAGTTTTTTGTGTAAGGCATTTTTTAGTCAGCATAAAATTGAGATTCATTTGTTTGTTTCACATGCCATTTGTTGTTCTTCTGTATTGCTAACTACTGTGCCATTGTAGGTTTGTTGTTATTGATGGACAGTGACTCTTTAGCTTTTTTTTCTATTAGAAGTAAAACATTTTAAACTTGAACATGTAAGATCTCTGGTTGCTACACATCTCACCAGTATTGAGGTTAGCAATCCTTAAGTTTTGCATGCTCTGGTGGGTGCATTCTATACTTTACTATTCTTTTTTTTTGAGATGGAGTTTCACTCTTTTCGTCCAGGTTGGAGTGCAGTGTCCTGATCTCGGCTCACTGCAACCTCTGCCTTCCAGGTTCAAGCGATTCTCCTGCCTCAGCCTCCCAAATAGCTGGGATTACAGGCATGCACCACCACGCCTGGCTAATTTTGTATTTTTGGTAGAGACGGGCTTTCTCCATGTTGGTCAGGCTGGTCTCAAACTCCCGACTTGAGGTGATCCACCCGCCTCAGCCTCCCGAAGTGCTGAGTTTACAGGCATGAGCCACCGCACCCAGCCTACTATTCTTTTTTATTGAGATGTAATTTAATAAAGTTACCCACTTTTCCCTTTTTTTTGGAGAAAGGATACCTATTGCCCAGGCTGGAGTGCAATGGGTTGATCATGGCTCACTGTAGCTTCGACCTCCCAGGCCCAGGTGATCCTCCTGCCTCAGCTTCCTGGGTAGCTGAGACTACAGGTGTGCGCCACCATGCCTGGCTAATTTCTTGTATGTTTTGTAGAGATGGGGTTTTGCTGTGTTGTCCAGGCTGGTCTTGAACTCCTGGGCTCAAGCCTTAGCTTCATGATGTGTTGGGACTACAGGCGTGAGCCACTGCACCCAACTAGAAGTCACCCTTTTAACGTGTATAATTCAGCGATTTAAAAAAAAATTTTTTTTTTTTTAGTATGTTCGTAGAGCTCAGCAGCCATCATCACAACTAAATTTTAGAACGTTTTCATTACTTCTTAAACCCTAAATGAGTGAGTAATCAGGCTGTGAAAAGACATTGAGGAACCTTAAATGCATATTGCCAAGTGAAAGAAGCCAATTTGAAAAATCTGCATACTGTAGGATTCCAACTATATGACATTTTGGAAAAGGCAAAACTATGCAGACGACCGGGTGCGATGGCTCATGCCTGTAATCTCAGCACTTTGGAAGGTGAGGCAGGTGAATCACTTGAGGTCAGGAGTTCAAGACCAGCCTGACCAACATGGTGAAATCCCATCTCTACTAAAAAAAAAAAAATACAAAATTAGCCGGGCGTAGGTGGTGCATGCCTGTAATCCCAGCTTCTCAGGAGGCTGAGGCAGGAGAATTGCTTGAACCCGGAAGGTGGAGGTTGCAGTGAGCTGGGATTGCGCCACTGCACTCTAGCCTGGGCAACAAGATTGAAACTCCGTCTGAAAAAAAGCCCTGCCGCCCCCGCCCCCCAAAAAAAACTATGCAGACAATAAAACAGTCAGTTACCTGGAGTTTGGAGCAGGGAGGGATGAATAGTTGGAGCACAGGGAGGGATGAATAGTTGGAGCACAGGGAAGGATGAATAGTTGGAGCACAGTGAAATTATTCTGTATGTTACTGAAGTGGTGAATACTTACACATTGTTAAAACTCATAAAACACTAATAGGAACTATCATTTATCAGCATTGACTCATTAATTGTAACAAATGTACCATACTAATGCAAGATGTTAATAGAGGAACTGGGCTGGGAGTGAGGAGGGGATGTATGGGGATTCTTGTTATGTTCATTTCTCTGTAGACCTAAAACATCTAAAAATGTGTATTAATATAAAAGAAAGAGACATGGTTGTGCATGCCTGTAGACCCAGCTACTTGGGAGGCTAAGGTGGGAAAATCACCTGAGCCTGGGAACTCACTGCTGAGGTTGCAGTGAGAGTGAGCCAAGATCGTGCCACTGCACTCCAGTCTGGGCAATAGAGTTAGACCCTGTCTCAAAAACAAACAAACAAAAAACAAACTCTGTACTCATTAGGTGTCCTTCCCATCTCTTCTTCTTCCCTTTTGTCATTGGTAGCCGCTCGTCTCCTTTCTCTGGATATACCTATTCTGAATATTTCACATAAATTTTTGTTCTTGTTTGACTTTAACCCAGCATAATGTTTTCATGTGTTGTGATATGTATTAGTTCCTCTTATTGTATTCATTCATTTGTATCGCTTTATACAGTTGATAGGCATCTGGGTTGTTTCAGCTGCTTGTGAACGTTGATATACCAGTTTTGTGTGTGAACATGTGTTTTCTGTTCTTTTGGCTATATACCTAGAATGGAATTGCTGAATCATATGCTAACTCTCTAACGTCTTGAGGAACTGCCAAACACTTTTCCCAAGTGGCTGCACCATTTTCATTTTCTATTACCTGGGAATGTATGAAGGATCCACTGTCTCCACATTTTGCCAGCACTTGTTGTTACCTGTTTTTTATTATAGCCATCCATTCCACATAAAAGTGGCATGTGATTTAATGTACTGTGTTTTTTGTTTTGTTTTGTTTTTTATAGAGGCAAATTTCTGGAGATGTGCAATGATCTCTTAGCTAGAGTGGAGCCACCACTTCGTAGTGTTTTGGAACAAACCAGTAAGTATTTTTGTGATTGAATTTGTTTGCGTATCTCAGACTGTTTGGAAATTGTTATTTATTATCTTACTTTTGCAAGCAGTGATAGAAATTTTTATTGTATGAACTAATTCAGTGGTATATATTAAACTTTTTTTCAACCTGTATCTTCCCCCTGCCCAAAGTAATCTTTTGAAATGTCTAGGGAAATCTAATAAAAGTTTCTCCAAGAAACTGAATTCAGACTGAAAGTTGGATATAAGCCTCACAATTATTTAATGGTGGTAAAAATTGTCTTTTGCGATGCTGATATGGTAGTCTTATAAGCTTTTCTGTCAGTGAATTCTTCCCTAGCTGGATGAGAGCTACAGCAAAGTGGGAAGGTAGGATAACCACATACTTATTTAACAAGATGCTTTAATTTTGTCTCAGGCTAAAAGGTGACTGTTTGATTTAGGAATATATACTAATTTTCCTAAAATCTTTCTTTGACAAACCATTTACCTGGACTTCACTGTTGTGTTGATTGCTATTTCAGAGTGTTGGGATATACTGTCAGCTTGGCACAGGCTTTCCTCTTTAGTGATGATGGCAAATGGGCTTATTTCCACACTGGGAAAGCCCATTTCTTTAAATAGCCCTTCTCAAGAAGTTATCAATGGTTGTTAGATAAAATGTGACCAGGAAATCAGGTGATATTAAGAAGTATTTTATGAGCAATAGCAGATCCTTTGATACACACCTTCTTTCTGATACGAAGAAACTGTACCTGTAGTTTATTTTTTATTTTATTTTTATTTTTTGAGATGGGAGTCTTGCTCTGTCACCCAGGCTGGAGTGCAGTGGTTCAATCTCAGCTCACTGCAACCTCCACCTCCTGGGTTAAAGCAATTCTCCTGCCTCAGCCTCCTGAGTAGCTGGGATTACAGGCATGCGCCACTACTTCTGGCTAATTTTTGTATTTTTAGTGGAGACGGGGTTTTACCATGTTGGTCAGGCTGGTTTTGAACTCCTGACCTCAGGTGATCCGCCCACTTCGGCCTCCTAAAGTACTGGGATTACAAGCATGAGCCACCATGCCTGGCCTCTACCTGTGTTTTAACGTGGACTATGTTTATGCCTTGGATTAGAACACTGGAGTAGCTGGATGTGATTCTTCTTTTTTTTCCTTTAATGTCAGGTCAGAATAACTCAGTGGTTTGAGGCCCTCTTATTTTCCTGATGGCTAGCGTGTTTGAATGTTTGGTCTGTTGATGTTTTAACACTTGTTTGTGTGAGATTGTGTGAGAAATTCAGGACCTGTACACTGCAGTACATTTGAGGATTCCTGGCCCTCACCTCCTAAATCCCACTAGCTACCCTTCCCCCATTATTTTGAGAATTAAAACACCTACTTGTTTCCAGATGCCACCTGCCTCTGTGAGTGTGGGCATGAGTATGTGTGTGTTGCGGAGGTGGGTGAGGGAGTTGGAGGAGTTTTGTTACACATCTGAGTTATTTCATCATGGTAAGATGTTATTGTTCTTTCATTTCATTAAAAAAATCTGTCTAATTCTTTAAAAATAGAGTTAAAGAAAGAAGATATTTATGCAGTGGAGATAGTTGGTGGTGCTACACGAATCCCTGCGGTAAAAGAGAAGATCAGCAAATTTTTCGGTAAAGAACTTAGTACAACATTAAATGCTGATGAAGCTGTCACTCGAGGCTGTGCATTGCAGGTGAATATTCTTTCTTTTATAGGTAACCATTTATAAATCATTGTAACAAGATGGCAGTGGTTTATGTATCTAATAACCTGGGATTAGCTCAGGGTGACTTCAGGGTGTTGAGATTCCAAAACCTTTGTTTTAAAATAGAGGTGATGTTCCTAAAAATAATTGTACTCTATAGCACATAAGATGAATTAATTGACTAGAAACATAGGTAACTCTGAGCCTGAAGTATGACTGGAAGTTTGGCCTGTTATGTATGTCTGTATGAAATAGTGTACATTAATTAAATAAGGGTTGGGGTTAATAGAAAAATAAGGAATAGCTAGATTATATAGGTAATTGACATGATAGAAGTTTGTAAAACTGTTCAGACACCATTAAATTACTAATATAAATATTTTAAAAAGACCATTGATTTTCTGAAGTAATTTGTATGTTTAAGTGATATTATCAGTTTATATTGTCTATACTTGTTAAACGGAATTTTTGAAAATTATTATTCTAGTGTGCCATCTTATCGCCTGCTTTCAAAGTCAGAGAATTTTCTATCACTGATGTAGTACCATATCCAATATCTCTGAGATGGAATTCTCCAGCTGAAGAAGGGTCAAGGTATCATGTTTATTAATCATTTACATATCTAAAGTTAATTGACTATTAGGTCTGAGTAATATGTTGCTTTTCATTTCAGTTTACATAAATCTGTAACATTTTATCATAGTGCATGAAGGAAGTGGTCATTTATTTTAGTCAGAATAAATTTGTGTCCTTAATTAGTTTCTCACACTTGATTCTGCTGAAATCATCAGTGCCTTTTATGTGCAGATTGACGTATATTCCTTTTTTACTGACTTTATATATAAAGATTCTTGGGAACTCTTATAATCTGGAAATAATACCAATTGAAAAGAGAGAGAAACTAACACTGTACAATAATTACAAACCTAGAACACATGGGTAAAAGTGTTAGGAATATCCTGAATTTGTGTTTTTGTCTTTTTCCTCCATTCAGTGACTGTGAAGTCTTTTCCAAAAATCATGCTGCTCCTTTCTCTAAAGTTCTTACATTTTATAGAAAGGAACCTTTCACTCTTGAGGCCTACTACAGCTCTCCTCAGGATTTGCCCTATCCAGATCCTGCTATAGGTAAGTAAAGAGTTGGAAATTAAAAAAGAAAAAAAAAAAAAAGCACAGTGGCTCACAACTGTAATCCCAACACTTTGAAAGGCTAAGGTGGGAGGATCACTTGAGCTGAGGAGTTCGAGATCAGCCTGGGCAACATAGTGGGACCCTGTCTCCATTTAAACAACAACAAAAAAAAGCTTATCTACTTGGAGAGTTCGCATAGTAGAAAGAACAAGTATGGTATTCTGAAATTTAGGGGCTTTAGATTGCAAAAGAAAACCTCTTCCAGTCTCGTTAGCAGGTTTAGAACCAGCCAAATGGCTGTTATTTAATTGGATCTCCCATTGTATCGGCAGTTTTTCTTGGTTAGCGCACATTGTAATTATAACTTATGTATAAGGTGGTGCTATATACTATAAGGAGTTAACGAAATTCAGTTTGGACCCTAACATACAGTTATAAGATGTATATAGAAAATAGCCAGGTGCGGTGGCTCACGCCTGTAATCCCAGCACTTTGGGAGGCCAAGGCGGGCAGGTCAGGAGATCGAGACCATCCTGGCTAACATGGTGAAACCCCGTCTCTACTAAAAAAATACAAAAAAAAATTAGCCAGGTGTGGTGGCGGGCGCCTGTAATCCCAGCTACTTGGGAGGCTGAGGCAGGAGACTGGCGTGAACTCGGTAGGCAGAGCTTGCAGTGAGCTGAGATCACGCCACTGCACTCCAGCCTAGGCGACAGAGCGAGACTCTGTCTCAAAAAAAAAAAAAAAAAAAAAAAAAGGATGTATATAGAAAATCATTAGGAGATGGTGATACAATATCAAAACATACTAGGTTTCAGAACCGTGTTATCTAGAGTAGTTATAGACTCTGGGAAACTCTTATCTGGAAATAATACTAGTTGAGAAGAGATAGAAACTAGTTATAGTATAAAGACCTAGAATATATGGGTAAAGAAATTAGGAGTATCCTGAATGGCATTTAGAAGCTGTGGAAAGTTAACCTATTCTTTTTTCCCCATCTGTAAATCTGTAAAACCAGGAATAACAATGATAATTCATACTTTGCAGAGTTCTGGGAATGAAGAAAATGTAAATAAAAACCTTGTACAGTCACTGGACCTAGAAATGGCAATTTACTGATAAACGACAAGCAGAGTGGAATCATTTTTTTTTTCTGTTTTGTTTTTTGAGTAGAGAATGTGACAAATCTGTTTTAGGAATTAATCTGAAAGTAGCATATAAAGATAAATGGAAATAAGAAATTGGAAGAAAGGAAAGAATCGGGAGATATTTGAGTTCTTAATTGGGGCAGGATAAGATAATAAGAGACTGTGAAAGAAGAAAGAGAAATCTGATGATTTAATAAGATTCTAAAAGGACCGATTTTGCTTATTTTAAGCATCATGTTACTGAGCTATCATTGAAAGTAGACATAATCTAGCAATGTAGGCATATATTCATGCTTGAATTCATCCTCTTAGGTTATGTGTTCTTTTGTCTCTCGTATGTCCCTAGCTCAGTTTTCAGTTCAGAAAGTCACTCCTCAGTCTGATGGCTCCAGTTCAAAAGTGAAAGTCAAAGTTCGAGTAAATGTCCATGGCATTTTCAGTGTGTCCAGTGCATCTTTAGTGGAGGTTCACAAGTCTGAGGAAAATGAGGAGCCAATGGAAACAGATCAGAATGCAAAGGAGGAAGAGGTAATCTAGACATTGTATACCACTTGTGATGGCCCAGAGGTGACTTGTCTAGAAATTGTAGCAAGCAGACTTGGTGGCAAGGCCGGAGCATTGTGACAGAGCTGCTGAGTGAGAGTGGGTTTGTATGTTTGCCCTTCCCCCAATATAAGTGAACCAGCAGTAGATTTTTATGCAGAATTTGTATAGAAGTGGAACACAAGTTGATTTCTTCTTTCAGATCATACACTTCTCAACTTGAGTTATTCCTGATTCTGGTTGTTGAAGAGTGCTCTGAGTCTCAGTTAATTATTTTCAAAAGTAGAATTGATTGTACACTCATTTGTTGGAATTATGCACTGGGTCTTGTCTTCATTGTGCATCAGAATCAAAGCTTTACAAAACTACAAATTACCTATGATTCCAGCACTTTGGGAGGCTGAGGCAGGAAGATTGCTTGAGCCCAGAAGTTTGAGGCCAGCCTGGGCAACAAAGTGAGACCCTCATCTCTACAAAAAGTTAAAAACAACAACAACAACAACAAAAAAACTAGCCAGGTGTGGTGGCACACACCTGTGGTCCCACCTGCATGGGAGGCTGAGGCAGGAGGATTGCGTGAGCCTAGGAGGTCAAGGCTGCAGTGAGTCCTGTTTGCGCCACTGCACTCTAGCCTATGTGTCAGAGTGTGACCCTGCCTCAAGGAAAACAAAACTACAAATGCTTGGGTTTCATCCCCACAGATTTTACTGAAGTTGGTCTGAGCTGAGGTAGCAGTAGTTTTAAAAGCCTCTCAGGTCATTCTAATATGTTGCAGGCATTGAGAAGCCACTGGTTCAGGCTCTCCACAAACCTTCTTTCATTGTTATTTTTAGGCTTTGTAATTTTAACGTGTTCGCCTCCCCGAGCACATGCAGTGGTCATACTTTTGAGGATGAAGAGAGGCTGACTTAGGAACTATTTGAAAAAGTTGGAACTTTTGAGAGAAAATACCTTTGAGGAAGCCTGGAGAAGCTTATGCTCTCTTCAGGTTGTATTTTGTAGATTGTATTAAATGATGCCACATTGTGAACTGTGAGTACTTAATGGTGTACAAAGCAGTTCCACAGTTATTCTTGTGTATGTAAGGGTAGGGCAGGGCGAGTGTTATCCTCATTGTACAGATGTATTAACTAAGATCCAGAGCGGAAAACTTCTGTGTCCTAGGTAATGTGGCCTACCTGGAATTTTAGCATAGGCCTTCTGATTGCTGGTAATTCAGCAGGAATTACATAACTATGTGACTTTGTCAATGTGTAATGAAGGTTGTTTAGTCTTCCTAATTGCAGGATTTAATTTGACCTGTTTTTCAGAAGATGCAAGTGGACCAGGAGGAACCACATGTTGAAGAGCAACAGCAGCAGACACCAGCAGAAAATAAGGCAGAGTCTGAAGAAATGGAGGTATGCATTGGGTGGTGTTTTTTTTTTTTTTTTTTTTTTTTTTTTTTTTGAGACAGAGTTTCAGTCTGTTGCCCAGGCTGGAGTGCAGTGACATGATCTCGGCTCGCTGCATCCTCCACCTCCTGGGTTCAAGTGATTCTCCTACCTCAGCCTGCTGAGTAGCTGGGATTACAGACGCCCACCACCACGGCAGCTATTTTTTTTTTTTTTTTGTATTTTTTAGTAGAGTTAGGGTTTCACTGTGTTGGCTAGGCAGGTCTCGAACTTCTGACCTCAGGTGATCCACCTGTCTTGTCCTCCCAAAGTGCTAGTATTACAGGCGTGAGCCACCACACCCGGCTGAGTTGTGTTTTAGAGTATGCACTGCAGTCTTTTTAAAGTACATGGTTTTGGCTGAGGGGCAGTGTCTTGAAAGATAGTTATACTAGAAACTCTTAATTTATTTGAACAATTTTTTTAGGAAGATTTTGTAGTGATTTGTAATGTGCTATTTGCAAGATGGCCTTTAAACTCTCTCCTGGTTGATACATGGGAAGAAAGCACTCAGGAATCCTAGTTTTACTAGGCTAGTGATTTATTTATGCTAGTTTCTGAATGGCTTATACTAAGTCTTTCTACCCATAATTTAATTCATTACTGATAAACAATAATGAAACTGAAAAAATTTTCAAAATCATCAATGATCCATGCCTTTTACTTTTTAATCTTTTTATTTTTTTGAGATGGACTCTAGCTCTGTCGCCCAGGCTGGAGTACAGTGGCATGATCTCGGCTCACTGCAGCCCCCGCCTTCCAGGTTCAAGCGATTCTTATGCCTCAGCCTCCTGGGTAGCTGGGACTACAGGCGTGCACCATCACGCCCGGATAATTTCTGTATTTTTAGTAGAGACAGGGTTTCTCCATGTTGGCCAGGCTGGTGTTGAACTCCTGACCTCAAGTGATCCTCCCACTTCAGCACCCTGGGATTACAGGCATGAGCCACTGCGCCCAGCCAAAATAACAACTTTTAATAAAAAGGCATGGGGCCTGGTTCAGTGGTTCATGCTTGTAATCCCAGCACTTTGAGAGGCCGAGGTGGGTGGATCACTTGGGGTCAGGAGTGAGACCAGCCTGGCCAACATGGTGAAACCCCGTCTCTACTAAAAATACAAAATTTATCCCAGTGGGGTGGTACACGCTGGTAGCTCCAGCCACCCAGGAGGCTGAGGCATGAGAATTGTTTGAACCTGGGAGATGGAGGTTATGTGAGCTGAGATTGTGCCACTGCACTCCAATTTGGGCGACAGAGCAAGACTCCATCTTAAAAAGTTATTTTAAATAATGGAATAATGGATTTAAATATATTTTGTGATTAATGTAAATAATGTATTTATTTCAAAAAGAGTAGTAACATTTTTGAATCCTTTACAACCTATTCTTTAATTTTGAGTTGTCATGTTTAAATTTTTTTATCATTGAAAATATCTTTTATTTATAAAATTACAATGTATAATCTCACCATCTTAGGAGTTTCTAATTTTAAAAAGTTTCTAATTTTTACAAATTTCTAATTTAAAAGTGACATTTAAAAAAGTTGGACAGAACCTTAAAGTGGCTTAAGTCCGTTGTATATTTTCATGTCAATTAACAAAATTTAATTGCTTTTCTTTAGCTGTGCAAGTAATATTAAAAAGGAAAATGGACAGGAAATGGTGCTTACAGATTCTTTAGTTGGGTCAGGCCTTTTTCAAGATGGAAGACCCTTTATGTTGTTGGGTGGGATGGGGGCAGCAGTGGCAGAGACAAGGACTTGTTCTCCTATATGTTTGTGGAAGGTGGGTGAAGAGAAGGGAGAAGTGACGGCTGCTTCCCCAATGCCTTTGAGCTGTGGGAGGGGGTTTTAGAGGTATTAGTTATCTAGGCTTCCTTGGGATGGCTCAGAAACTAAAGTGCCTTTTGCATAGCATTGCTTCTAAAGGCAAATGAAATAGAAATGATAGATAAATTTCAGCAGCCGACTTAAGTTAGTTATAGGAGGTGGGAAATGACATTAAGGTTTTGCTTTATCATAGAACAAATTGAATTCCAGATGAATTCTAAAGTTGAAAGTTGAAAAAGCTTGAAGTGAATATTTTTCTAATCTGTGGATGAGGAAGGGCTTTCAGAGTATGAAAGCAACATAAGTAATCTCAAAGGAAAAGATGGATAGATTTGACAGTCAAAACTTATATGTAGACAAATAATACAGTTAGAAAAAACTAGAAGAGTCGCTGTGGCTCACACCTGTAATCCAGCACTTTGGGAGGCTGAGGCAGCGGATCACCTAAGGTCAGGAGTTCGAGACCAGCCTAGCCAACATGGTGAAACCCCATCTCTACTAAAAATACAAAAATTAGCTGGGCAGGAGCCTGTAATCCCAGCTACTCAGGAGGCTGAGGCAGGAGAATCTCTTGAACCTGAGAGGCAGAGGTTGCAGTGAGCTCAGATTGTGCCATTGCACTCCAGCCTGGGCTACAGAGCGAGACTCCATCTCAAAAAAACAAACAAAAAAAACTAGAAGAGTCAGTTGTTTGTGGGGGAAAGAAACACTGCAATCCTAAGAGAAGAGTGGATAAAATATTACTAGGCAGTTTGAGGAAATAGTTACATATGGCTTGTAAGTGTCTGAAAAAGGTTAAAAGAAACTCATACTGAATAACAGTGAGATGATGTTAAATGAATTCTCATTTGTGGACAGGGTGCAGTGGAATGAGTTTTTTCCTTGTGAGAATATAAATAGTTACAGACATTATAGAAATCAAATTACCAATATGTTACTACTGATCCATAGATATTTCATACCCTCCTCCTCACTAACTTCATTTGAATGTCTATATGTTTAAATAAAGGTAGAAAAATTTTTAATAGTAATTATATATTGATACGGGATTGTAGGAGATATGTATTTTATAAAATTTACCATCTTAACTGCTTTTAAGTGTACCATTCAGTAGTGTTAAGTAGATAGACATTGTGGTGTAACCAATCTTCAGAACTTCATCTTGAAAAACTGAAACTCTATACCCATTAAATAACTTTCCATTATTCCCCTCCCCCATCCCCTGACAGCCACTATTCTGCTTCCATTTTTATGAATTTGACTGCTCTAGATACCTCATTGTATTTACTTATTTTTTATTTTCTAGATGTTATGGTAGTCCTAAGTTACTTAGATCATCATCAAAAGAGAACGAAGTAAAAAAAGCAAAAACAGTTTTCCAACATGACTCATTTTGAAGTTTAAGGTAGTCTGTATATGTGTTTGTTCTTAATGATTTCTATTGTTTTAGACCTCTCAAGCTGGATCCAAGGATAAAAAGATGGACCAACCACCCCAAGCCAAGAAGGCAAAAGTGAAGACCAGTACTGTGGACCTGCCAATCGAGAATCAGCTATTATGGCAGATAGACAGAGAGATGCTCAACTTGTACATTGAAAATGAGGTTGTTATTTAAAGTCTATTGGAACAATGAGCTAACAAATTAATGTTACCATAGTATTCAGACTCTGTGTCTAGTGACTTTTTGCATTTTTGATTGTTTGGACTTAGAGAAAATAAATTAGACTTTTGTGTGGTATTGTAAGGGCAAGTTGAAGCAATAGATCCCATGTTATGTCAATTCTTTTATGGTGGTACTAAGATGTCTGTATTGCTAGAAGCTCTGTTATGAAAATTTTGACATATAATGTCTTTGGTGTAGGGGAGGTATTGTTCATTTTTGAATACGTGGGTATATTTGTTCACTAGAGATTGGGATATTTGAGGTTGGTGGTCATGGAAGTTATTCAGTAGGAGAAATCGTATGGCATTAATGGTGGCAGTATTTTGCTTATTCCTTTCCGTTGCCAGTCAGTATGTAAATATAGTAACTCTTACTGAGTGATGCAAGGTTTGGGATTTGTGAGCACATTTATTGAATTAATTTTTGTCTATGAGGTTTCTTACCAGGTTTCCACTGGATCTTAGAATAGTTTTGTCTTATGGAAACTTCAGCATTTATACTGCGTGAATGAATTTGATTTTTCTTATCTCATATTAATACAGCAGAGGATATCACTTAGTGACATTGAACCAATAGTTTTTTAAATTTCTCTTGTCTTAAATTCTTTAATTTTGCTTTTGAGTGTCTACACCTTGATATTTCTATTGTTCTTTTTTTTAATCCCACCTACAAAACTCTTTTTGATATTCAAAGTCTGTCAAGGATTAGTCTTCCCACTTACCTTTGTTATGTGACTTGCAGAACTAAAAGGATTTGGGGAAGAAAGAGTCTCTACTTTTATAATTATATTGGTATTTAAGAGGAAATTAGTTGTCCTAATGTCTGATTTATACATAATATTTATTCTCAGGGTAAGATGATCATGCAGGATAAACTGGAGAAGGAGCGGAATGATGCTAAGAACGCAGTGGAGGAATATGTGTATGAAATGAGAGACAAGCTTAGTGGTGAATATGAGAAGTTTGTGAGTGAAGATGTAAGTCTGCCACAATATGCCTAACTACTGTGTGTCTTCTGTGAACATCTTTAAGTGGGTTAGAAGGGAAGTGTGCAGCTATATGTGTATAGTAGAATTATTAAAAATGGAGTTTTTCTGGGGGGGGCAAAATTTTATATTTTTTTATATATTTCTCTATTAGTACAGTGTTTAGTAAGGTTTGGTCTTTGTGCATCACGTTCACAAATCACTTTTGACACATTCGAATATTGTTATTTATCTTGTATCTTTCTTTTCTTTTCTTTTTTTTTTTTTTTTGAGACAGAGTTTTGCTCTTGTTGCTCAGGCTGGAGTGCAGTGGCGTGATCTCGGCTCACTGCAGCCTCCGCCTCCCAGGTTCAAGCAGTTCTCCTCCCCCAGCCTCCCGAATAGCTGGGATTACAGGCATGTGCCACCAAGCCTGGCTAATTTTTGTATTTTTAGTAGAGATGGGATTTCTCCATGTTGATCAGGCTGGTCTCTAACTCCTGACCTCAGGTGATCCGCCCGCCTTGGCCTCCCGAAGTGCTGGGATTACAGGTGTGAGCCACTGCGCCCAGCCTGTATTTTTCTTTAAATTGTTAAAGCTCACTTTTTCCTGTTTATTGTAACTCAGAATTTTTAGTTTTTTTTTTTTTTTAATTTGAATAGCTCTTGGGTACAGGTGGTTTTTGGTTACATGGATGAATTATATAGTGGTGAATTCTGAGATTTTGGTGCACCTGTCATCCACGTCCTGTACATCATACCTAAGATGGTAGTTTTTTTATCCCACACCCCACTTCTGTCCTCCCGCTTTTGAGTCTCCAAAGTCCATTATATTTCTGCATATGCTCCATAGCTTAGCTCCTACTTATAAGGGAAAACATAGCAGTATTTGGTTTTCCATTCCCAAGTTACTTCACTTAGAATAATGGCCTCCAGCTCCATCCAGTTGCTGCAAAAGACATTATTTTGCTACTTTTTATGACTCAGTAGTATTCCATGGTGTGTATATACCACGTTTTCTTTATTTTATTTTTATTTTTTATTTATTTATTTTTGAGACGGAGTCTCGCTCTGTCGCCCAGGCTGGAGTGCGGTGACGCGATCTTGGCTCACTGCAGGCTCTGCCTCTCAGGTTCACGCCATTCTCCTGCCTCAGCCTCCGGAGTAGCCGGGAGTACAGGTGCCTGCTACCACGCCTGGCTAATTTTTTTTTTTTTTGTATTTTTTTTTAGTAGAGATGGGGTTTCACCGTGTTAGCCAGGATGGTCTCGATCTCCTGACTTCGTGATCCACCTGCCTCGGCCTCCCAGAGTGCTGGGATTACAGGCGTGAGTCACCGTGCCCGGTCTACCATGTTTTCTTTATTTACTCATTGGTTGATGGGTACTTAGTTGTTTTTATTTTTTTATTTTTTTGAGATGGAGTTTCGGTCTTATTGCCCAGGCTGGAGTACAGTGGTACGATCTTGGCTCACTGCAACCTCCACCTCCCTGGTTCAAGTGATTCTTCTGCCTCAGCCTCCCTAGTAGCTGGGACTACAGGCATGCTCCACCATGCCTGGCTAATTTTTGTATTTTTAGTAGAGACGGGGTTTCACCATGTTGGCCAGGCTAGTCTGTCCTTACCTCAGGTGATCCACCCGCCTCAGCCTCCCAAAGTGCTGGGATTACAGGCGTGAGCCAGTGTTCCCAGATGCACTTGCTTTTACATGCAGTTTTTATTCTGAAATTTTTTAACTTACCGAAAGCCCTCCACGGCAGGGAGAATAATATAATAAAACTCCCCATACCTATCAAGTAGACCAACATTTGCCATCCTTGTTTTCTGTATCTCCCATCTCCTTACTCCCCCTGTATCTTATCTTATTTTTTTTGAAATGGAGCCTTGCTCTGTTGCCCAGGCTGGAGTGCAGTGGCCCCATCTTGGGTCACTGCAACCTCCGCCTCCTGAGTTCAGGCAGTTCCCCTGCTTCAGCCTTTGTAGTAGCTGGGATTACAGGTGTCTACCATCACGCCCGGGTAATTTTTTTTGTATTTTTAGTGGAGACGGGGTTTCACCATGTTGGCCAGGCTGTTCTTGAACTCCTGACCTCAGGTGATCCACCTGCCTCAGCCTCCCAAAGTGCTGGGATTACAAGTGTGAGCCACTGCACCTGGCTGCCCTCTGTATTTTAAAGCAAATCTCAGATACATCATTATATTCTATGCCTCTGACTGTATTGGGGATGTAATTTTTGATTGACCTAATTATAATATTTTCTTTATCATTAGGATCGTAACAGTTTTACTTTGAAACTGGAAGATACTGAAAATTGGTTGTATGAGGATGGAGAAGACCAGCCAAAGCAAGTTTATGTTGATAAGTTGGCTGAATTAAAAGTAAGTGACTCTTGAGAGCAGAGGTATCCAGAACCCTTGTTGAAGCTTCCTCTGAGGAGCTCAAATTTGGGAGGAATTCTCAAGTAAAGACAGACTGAAAATGATGTTTGATGAACTAAAATAAACCCTTTATGACTTAGGCTCATTATCATTCTCACTTTTAGAACCTTGTAATAACAAAATGATTTTTCTGAAAATTGACTTTAGGTTTGTAATGTTTCACTGAACTGGATGTTTAGTGCATTCTTGGTGTCAAGAGATAAAATGACTGCAAGACTTAGTACCTGCCCTAAAGGCACAGGGAATGCAGCTGGAGCAGGGCTGTTTCTGTTTATGTAGTTTGGATTCTTGATAAAAGCAAAGCATCTGGTGGTTTATTTTTTATTATTTTATTTATTTATTATTTATTTATTCATTTATTTATTTTTAAATACACAGTCTTGCTCTGTTGCCCAGGCTGGAGTGCAGTGGCGCAGTCTCGGCTCACTGCAACCTCTGCCTCCTGGGTTCAGGGGATTCTCATGCTTCAGCCTCCAGAGTAGCTGGGATTACAGGCGCGTGCCACCATGCCTAGCTAATTTTTGTATTTTTAGTAGAGACAGGGTTTCTTTTCACCATGTTGGCCAGGCTGGTCTTGAACTCCTGACTTCAAGTGATCTGCATGCCTTGGCCTCCCGAAGTGCTGGAATTATAGGTGTGAGCCACCATGCCTAGCCAAAGCATCTGGTTTTGTATTTAAAGCATCTGATCTTTTTTTTTTTTGAGACGGAGCCTTGCTCTGTTGCCGAGGCTGGAGTGCAGTGGCGTGACCTTGGCTCACTGCAAGCTCCGCCTCCCGGGTTCACGCCATTCTCCTGCCTCAGCCTCCCAAGCGCGGTGGCTCATGCCTGTAATCCCAGCACTTTGGGAGGCCTAGGCGGGCGGATCACGAGGTCGGAGATCGAGACCAAGGTGAAACCCTGTCTCTACTAAAAATACAAAAATTAGCCGAGCGTGGTGGCGGGTGCCTGTAGTCCCAGCATCTGATCTTTTAACATTAGGATTAAACATGAAAGAATTACATAAAATTGAGGCCTTTTGTTCAGAAAAGGTTGCAGATGCACAAGAATGAACTTTTTACATTTCTCTTTAAATTTAGCTCTGGATTACTTGGTTTCTTGTGGAACTGGGCCATTTTGAATCTCACTCTGTCAGTCGGGCTGGAGTTCAGTGGTGTTATCACGGCTTACTGCAGCCTCGACCTCCCATGCTCAAGTGGTCCTTCTGCCTTAGTCTCCCAAGTAGCTAGGACTACAGCTGTGCGCCATCACGCCTGGCTGTTTTAATTTTTTTTGTAGGGAAAGGGTCTCCCTGTGTTGCCCAGACTGGTATGGGTACTCCTGGACTCAAGCAATTCTCCTGCCTTGGTCTCCCAAAGTGCTGGGATTACAGGCATGAGCCACCGAACCTGACCAAGCACATCTTAATATCACTGTTGTATTAAGTTTTCAAGTTCCAGTTATTTCATAAATGATTTTTTTGTTTGAATCAGTATCCGTATAGGGCTCATAGATTTTATTGATGTCGCTTATAACTGTGTCTATAGTTCTTCTTCCGTTATTTCCCCATGTCGCCCCACCCTTTCCTTATTTAGTTTATGAGGAAATTGGATCATTGGTCCTGTAGGATTTTCCTCTAGTTGGATTTTGCTGATTTTCACCTCCCTGGTGGTATTTAACATTATTTGTTAAATTGATGGTTACATTTAGAGGCTCCATCAGATTCAGATGTTTAAGATTTTAAATTAAAACATTTTTTATTTTTGGCAAGTATACTTTATATTTAGTACTGTGTATCTCCATTAGGAGGCACCTAATTTTTGGTGGTCTCCCTGCTGTGTTTTGAGGGCTCAGGTGACAAATTGAAGCGATTCCAGATGGATCAGTGTTGAGGTATAGTTTCATTCCCCTCCTGAAGTAGCTTCATATTTCCAAAGGCCTGGAGAAATATATTTAACTTCTTATATATAGCACACGGAGATTAAATGTACTTTATCACTAGTTTTAGTGGAATCAGTACTCTGGATCGTTGAACTGCCGTATGAAGACTGTGTATTCTTCTGTTAAGAATCTAGGTCAACCTATTAAGATACGTTTCCAGGAATCTGAAGAACGACCAAAATTATTTGAAGAACTAGGGAAACAGATCCAACAGTATATGAAAATAATCAGCTCTTTCAAAAACAAGGTAACTTTTTTCTTTGTCCTACTCTTATTTTAGTAAAGTTAACTTTTTTTTTTTTTTTTTTTTTTTGAGACGGAGTCTTGCTCTGTTGCCCAGGCTGGAGTACAGTGGTACAATCTCGGCTCAGTGCAACCTCCACCTCCTGGGTTTAAGCAATTCTCCTGCCTCAGCTTCCCGAGTAGCTGGGATTACAGGCGTGCACCACCACGCCCAGCTTATTTTTGTATTTTTAGTAGAGATGGAGTTTTGCCATGTTGGCCAGGCTGGTCTCGAACTCCTGACCTCAAGTGATCCACCTGCCTTGGCCTCCCAAAGTGCTGGCTGGTATTACAGGCGTGAGCCACTGCTCCCGGCCGTAAAGTTAACTTCTGAGGCATTTACATAGCATTTTTTTCTCTTGTTCTCATTAACTTGTTTAATAGCACTTTTTATTTTGGATATTAATGTAATGTGTAATGTTTTATAGCGTCTTAATAAGAACCATAGGATTTGCTGTATCTCTTTAATAGGTGGAATCTGGAATTGAACAGTGTTGTTCAGTTTCCTTTTCGTTGGTGTTTGACTTAACATGCACTATCCTGGTCTTTCTAACACCTGAGGCCAGTAATTATCCACACAGTACCTTTATAAGGTAGGGGGTGGTATCAACATTTATAGATAAATTCCAACTTATTGAAGCCTCACTTTCCTTAAGCAACATTCAGGGTCACTAAATTGGGAGAACTGTCATTTAGCCAGAAGTCTGACTCCAAAGTTCAGACTTTGGAGTATAAAGTTCCTCCATTATACCCCAGGTTCTTGACATATTGTTAGTGTAAGAAACTTTGAATGATAAATTGAGCTTTTGTGGGTTTTTGTTTGTTTGTTTGTTTTTGTGTTTTGACAAGTTCTCACTTTGTCACCCAGGCTGGGGTGCAGTGGTGAAATCTCGGCTCACTGCAGCCTCAATCTCTCTGACTCAAGCAGTTCTCCTGCCTCAGCTACTTTCTAAGTAGCTGGGACTATAGGCACGTACCACCACACCCAACTAGGGTTGTCTTTTTTTTTTTTTTTTTGAGATGGCATTTCACCATGTTACCCAGGCTGGTCTTGAACTTCTTAGCTCAAATGATCCACCCACCTCAACCTCCCAAAGTGCTAGGATTATAGGCATTAGCCATCAGGCCCCTCCTTTTTTTGTTTTTTTTTCCTCCTTCTTTTTTGTGAGACAGGGTCTCAGTCTGTTGCCCATGCTCTAGTGCAGTGGTGTGATCGTAGTTCACTGCATCCTCAACCTCCTGGGCTCAAGTGACTGTCCTGTCTCAGCCTCCTGAGTAGCTGGGACTATAGGCACATGGCCCTCATGCCTGGCTAATTTTTGTATTTTTTGTGGAGATGGGCTCATTGTGTTGTCCAGGTCTTGAAGTCATGAGCTTAAGCGATCCTCCTGCCTCAGCCTCCCATAGTGCTAAGATTACGAGCGTGAGCCACCACGCCTAGCCCGAAAGGCCTTCTTCTTCTTTTTTTTTTTTGAGATGTAGTCTCGCTCTGTTGCCCAGGCTGGAGTGCAGTGGTGTGATCTCGGCTCACTGCAAGCTCCGCCTCCTGGGTTCACGTCAAAGGCCTTCTTTTAAAAATAGTATTCATTATAGTTTTGGTTCCGAACTAGCATGCTGAAACTTCAGCTCTCATATCTAATGTAATTTTTTTGCATTGTGAAATTATCTTCCTAAGATTTTGTATAAATCGGGTGCTGCTGTTTATCTTGTTGAAGCCTTTTAATTGATACCTTATGAATTTTCTTGACCTTTAAAATTTAAATCTATCCTGAGTGTATTCAAAAATTGTGGTTAGGTTTCTTTTGAATAATTCTGTTCAGATTGTGAGGCTAAATATGCTTTATTTTTTGAAAGATTATAAGTTTTTGAAAAATGGCAGAAACTAGACAGTAGTTGCGGGGAGGGAGGGTATCACACTTTTAGCACTTGTTTGACTGTCTCCTGGTTGCAGGAGGACCAGTATGATCATTTGGATGCTGCTGACATGACAAAGGTAGAAAAAAGCACAAATGAAGCAATGGAGTGGATGAATAACAAGCTAAATCTGCAGAACAAGCAGAGTTTGACCATGGATCCAGTTGTCAAGTCAAAAGAGATTGAAGCTAAAATTAAGGTAATTTAAGACTTTTTTTTAATAGTCTTTTCTTGACAGCCTTATTATTAATAGTCCTCAAGTGACACTTAGGAGGGAACTTTATTATAGTGTTTTAGCTTCTAGGTTGAGGATTGGGTGGTGGGAGAGGGCGGATTTGGGTTTAGCATGGCTTGTAAAATTTGTTAATTTTATAAGAAACCAGTTTTCTGTCTTACCCATTCCAGGAGCTGACAAGTACTTGTAGCCCTATAATTTCAAAGCCCAAACCCAAAGTGGAACCTCCAAAAGAGGAACAAAAAAATGCAGAGCAGAATGGACCAGTGGATGGACAAGGAGACAACCCAGGCCCCCAGGCTGCTGAGCAGGGTACAGACACAGCTGTGCCTTCGGATTCAGACAAGAAGCTTCCTGAAATGGACATTGATTGATTCCAACACTTGTTTCTATTAAAACAGACTATTATAAAGCTTTAAGTTGTCAACTTTGTTCTAAATATCAACTAGCGCAAGTGAATACTGAAGATTTCTTAGTCAGTTTTTAGGGGATTTTCGGGGAGGGGAAATAGGTAATGTATGGAGCATTTTCACTTCTAAATAGTTAGATACAGAAATTAAGTGCATTGTATCTTTTTCATAATGGTACTATTTAGAAGCCCAGTTAGTCTTACTGAGCTTATGCTTCACTCCTTTATGTTTAACCATGTGTCTACAAGAATAAGTTTGTTTTGGAAAGTTGAGCTATAGCTACAGCTCTAGCTATCCAGCAGACTTTTCATTATGACTTACATGGCAGGAGCTCTAATTATGCTTTAAAAATCTGTTGTGGAGATTGCTTTAAATGCTCCCTGCCTGGTGTGGGGATGGGGTCCCCCTCTTTGTGAGGGCTGGAGCATGGCACGGCATGGATTAACACGGCAGAGGAACAAAGGTGTGCTCTGAGCTTCTTCATATTTCACCTTCACCCTCACCTGTGTTCTCTTCCCTCTCTCCCAATAAAAGGGCTCCCATTATAAATGCCATGTACTTCTCTTGGGAAAATAGACCCCCTTGCCTAGAGTAAGTTGTTAACTGAGGGCTTTAAACCTGGAGGCTCTTCCTGAAAGTATGTTCATGAATACCCCAAGCATCAAGGTCTAAATAATTTTCAGAAGATTAGAATTGGGTAGATATACTGTTGGATATAGCCATGGTAAATTTAACTGAGGAATTAAATCCTTGTTAATTTTGGTGTAAAGATTTGTATCCTGGCCTGTTTATTCAGGTGGGAGATGTTCTGTATAATTTTGAGGTATAGCTTGAACTCCTAGAACAAGAGTTAAAAGTTCTTTTTAGCTCATTCACAATCACTTGTGTGTTAAGTGTTAATATCTGTCATGAACCTGCCAATTTGTACGTGTTAAGCAGCTGACAGATGATGCAAAAAAAACTAAGATACACTGGATTGTACTGGATGAGTCTGAAATTAGTGTTAAAGAAGTGTGGTGCCTGATGTTATAACAACACCTCATTCTTAACTGTGTGGCCAATGTCAGGTATACCAAAGCATTCCTCTGACTGCTTTTTGGGGCAGTGTTGACAGGAGTGAGGCATTTTGGAAACTCCAAGGGAAGCCTGTGTTTGAGGCCAGAGTTGGTACCTGCTTTAAGAAACTGTTACAGGGCTTGTTGGTAATGTTTTGAATCTTTGTAAAAATTGATATTCTGTATAACAGAGTGCCTCTCTGTTACTTTTGGCCTATGTTGTTAGAAATAAGATGCTATCTTGCATAGTTAGAATTAAGCGTTTGTCCATCTCTAGATAACATTGAAAAGTTTGAGTGTTACAGGCTCTAAAGTGCAATGGAGAACAATTGCTTAGGAGGAGGAAGGGGAAAGTATACTTATGTTGGTGTGTAAGCATGCATGGAGGCCTCGAGGCACCACAACAAGGCCAGGTTCTTAGCACATCCTCTGTTCTCTACCTGTCATGCTTCAAGAGTTCCAGCTGGCCTGCTGTGAAGCCAGTAGCTATTTTAAAAGTGCTGGCTGCAGGATTAAGCCAACCCTTTACAACTGGCCCAGACCGTAATGGCCATTTCTTCTTAAAAAAAAAAAAATTTTTTTTTTTTTTTTTTTTTTTTTTTTTTTTTTTTTTGGTGTGTGTGTGTGTGTGTGTGGGGAAGGGTGTGGGTGCTGGGATGGGGGTGAATTTCAAGTTGAAACACGATGATGTGGTCTGCTTGCTCTCTGCTTAGACAGGCTTTAAGACCAATTGGATTTTCATGGAGGCCAGGACAGAGAGTGGTAATTGATGGCTTGTGTACAGACAAGCATTTATCCAGGTTGCGTTATCCAAACTGATTTGTTAAAGCTCCAGGTCACGTTCTTACACTAAGAAAATCATTCAGTAAACATGAGACAAGTTTAGGAAAAACTAATAAAATAAACCTGTCTTAAACTTGAATGGTTTCCTTAATTCCATAATGAAGGCTGCTGGGTGTGTGTGTGGGGGTGTGTGTGTATGTGTGTGTGTCTGTGTGTATGTGTGTGTGGGGTGGGGGCGGGGGGTGTGTTTTCAATAAAAATGTTCTCTAGGAGTAGGAACCCTCTGAGCTAAATTTCACTTAACATCCGTTGAAGACTTCCAGTCTGAAGAGTGACAGCTGAAGCACACTGCCTACTTTGTGAGAAAATGTTGCCTAATTTTTCTGTACTCAAACTCTCCAGTTGAGTCTTGGCCCAGTTCCTTTGGTGTTAGGAATCCTTGTCTTGCTCCTGTGACTGGGCCTTACTTTGAGGGTTTTGTTAGCAGAAGGCGGGGGTTATGGCATAAAGGTAAGTGCTAGGACTTACACCTGGCCAAAGAACAGCGCGGTCCAGAGTGTGCTAGAATAGTTGGCGCCACTGGATGTGTGGTGTGGCTGCGTGGAATGTGTGTTGGTGTATGTATGTGGTGGTGATGGGTGTTTAAAGGGCACTAAGCCAGTGAAAAAGACCTTAACTGGATAAGGCATGGGTCTAGACGAGGAGGGGTCAGGGGTCTTGTTCCCTGGGTCATGCCCCTTGCACAGTCCTAGTCCTCTGGCTGTAGGAGCAGCTTACCTGCCAGGGCCTACCCAGGGCCTATTGTAGCCACGTGTCTGAGAAACGTGTGTCTAGTAGGTTTGGTTTCCTCCTGAGCATGTAAGTGGTTTCTGTAGGGGAATTGTTAGATGTGGTAGAAAGAGCTGAGATAGCTGGGTGTGGTGGTGTGCACCTGTGATTCCAGATACTTGGGGGGCTGAGGCAGGAGGATCACTTGAGCCCAGGTGGTCAAAGCTGCAGTGAACTGAGATTGTGCTATTGCAACTCCAGCCTGGGTGATAAAGTGATACCCTGTCTCCTTAAAAGGTGGGGGCCTGAGAGATCAGGGTTCTGTTGTGGGGCAGTGGGAGCTGCTTTGCAGGGGCACAGGGGGCCTGGGGGTTGTTGGAGGTAGTGGGACTTAGTCCACCTTTGAGGGGACAGCCAAATGAAGGGGAAAATTGCTGGTTTTGGTACCTGCAGGAAGAGGGAAGATGTAAGCATGGTTCCAGCTGAAAACCATGCTTTAGAAGTTGGGATAGTAGTTACTCTTTGTGGAGTAGTGACAACATGATGTGAGGCTTGGTGATGCTTGTTTTTTGATCTGACTTGATAGTGTACTCATGTACACTTGATCTATTTCAATAATTTTAAGTGGCTTTAACAGAAAGGTGTGTATTTTTTTTTTTTTTTTTTGAGATGGAGTCTCGCTTTGTCACCCAGGCTGCAGTGCAGTGGCGGGATCTTGGTTTACTGCAACCTCTGCCTCCCGGGTTCAAGTGATTCTTCTGCCTCAGCCTCCCGAGTAACGGACTGGAGGCGTGCGCCACCACGCACTGCTAATTTTTGTATTTTTAGTAGAGACAGGGTTTCACTGTATTGGCCAGGCTGGTCTCGAACTCCTGACCTTGTGATCTGCCCACCTTGGCCTCCCAAAGTGCCAGGATTACAGGTGTGAGCCACCATGCCTGGCCTACATTTTTACACACACAATGTAGGTTATAAAACTACATAGCCTCTCATGTTTTGAAAGAACATTAAATGGGTTTGCAATAAAAAAGCCAGAAGGATTTTCCCAGATGAAGTGGTTTTTAGGGTGGGATTGTGGGTGATTGTTTATTTTTGCTTGTTTCTGTTTTCAGAGTTTGCTACAATAAGCATTTAGGGCCAGGCATGGTGGCTCATGCCTGTAATCCCAGCCAAAGTGGGAGGATCTCTTGGGTCCAGGAGTTCAAGACCAGCCTGGGCAACATGGGGAGACAAGCCCCTACCCCCCACCGCCTCCTGTCACTAATAAAAGCATTTAGGAATTTTATAATGTTAAGAAAACTAGAAGTGTGTTTTAAGAAGAATGGCTCCAAGGTTTCAAACCTAGAATACGGGATATGATTGTACATGTGGAGCTTCTAGTCTTGAGTCATTGGAGATGTGGTGGGAGTTTAGATTGAGAAGTTTTCCTGGGTGGGGTTGAGACATCGAAGCTCCAGGTGGGTGTGGATGGAAGCTTTTGGGGCTGGAGTCGTGTTCCTCATTGACGGGATGAAGGCTTGTGTTGAGATGTGTTAGGAAGAGGAAGTAAAAGCTTTGAAAGAAGGAACTGCCAGAGAGGAGTTATGATGCATAAAGCATGTTGGGAGGAAGGGAGCTAGAGATGTGAGATGTGGCAGTGGCCAGCAGGGTTAGATGCTTCAGTAGGGTGGGAGCTGGGTGGGGTGAAGGGGCTTGAGGTGAGGCTGCAGGTGCTGAGTACTTGGTCAAGAAGCTTGGCCTCAGCCGCCCCGTCCGGGAGGGAGGTGGGGGGGTCGGCCCCCCGCCCGGCCAGCCGCCCCGTCCGGGAGGGAGGTGGGGGGGGTCAGCCCCCCCGCCCAGCCAGCTGCCCTGTCCGGGAGGTGAGGGGCGCCTCTGCCCGGCCGCCCCTACTGGGAAGTGAGGAGCCCCTCTGCCCGGCCAGCCGCCCCGTCCGGGAGGGAGGTGGGGGGGTCAGCCCCCCCGCCCAGCCAGCCGCCCTGTCCGGGAGGTGAGGGGCGCCTCTGCCCGGCCGCCCCTACTGGGAAGTGAGGAGCCCCTCTGCCCGGCCAGCCGCCCCGTCCGGGAGGGAGGTGGGGGGGTCAGCCCCCCCGCCCAGCCAGCCGCCCTGTCCGGGAGGTGAGGGGCGCCTCTGCCCGGCCGCCCCTACTGGGAAGTGAGGAGCCCCTCTGCCCGGCCACCACCCCGTCTGGGAGGTGTGCCCAACAGCTCATTGAGAACGGGCCAGGATGACAATGGCGGCTTTGTGGAATAGAAAGGCGGGAAAGGTGGGGAAAAGATTGAGAAATCGGATGGTTGCCGTGTCTGTGTAGAAAGAAGCAGACATGGGAGACTTTTCATTTTGTTCTGCACTAAGAAAAATTCCTCTGCCTTGGGATCCTGTTGATCTGTGACCTTACCCCCAACCCTGTGCTCTCTGAAACATGTGCTGTGTCCACTCAGGGTTAAATGGATTAAGGGCGGTGCAAGATGTGCTTTGTTAAACAGATGCTTGAAGGCAGCATGCTCGTTAAGAGTCATCACCAATCCCTAATCTCAAGTAATCAGGGACACAAACACTGCGGAAGGCCGCAGGGTCCTCTGCCTAGGAAAACCAGAGACCTTTGTTCACTTGTTTATCTGCTGACCTTCCCTCCACTATTGTCCCATGACCCTGCCAAATCCCCCTCTGTGAGAAACACCCAAGAATTATCAATAAAAAAATAAATTAAAAAAAAAAAAATAAAAAAAAAAAATAAAAAAAAAAAAGCAAAAAAAAAAAAAAAAAAAGAAGCTTGGCCTCTGAAATGAGGCATCAGTCTGCGAGAAAGGAGGTTGGGCAGTGTCCTGTGTGTAAATGGGGATGGTTCCCACCACTTACTTGAGACCATTGGGAATCTTGGAGTTGCCAGTACATTCCTTGGATGTACTTGGCTTTGGCTGGGGCAGCCCTGGGCCATGACCCTCTAACCTGGAATGCCACTGTTTTTGTGAACTGCTATTTTGAGCAGATATTGCAAGAAGTGTAGAAACTAAAGAGGTGACTTCTTAAGCATCAGTCTAGGAGGCAAATAGGGAAAATGGCCAAGTTGAGGTACAAGCAACACATCTGGAAAGATAAAGGAGGGTGTAAATTTCTGGAGGATCAGGGAAGGAAAGACCTCAGAGTATTTAAAAAAATACAGAATGCTTTCCAGATTTGCTCAATATCCATGGGCAAGTGCCAGGCTAATCCTGACCTTATTCCTCCAGTTTCAGCACACGTCATTAGGACAGGGTGAGTAGAGACTCTTTACTCTCCCTTCGTAAGTGGCATTCGCCAGCTTCAAACACAACACAGAAAAGACTACAGAAAGCTGTGTTTTTATCGGGCCTGTTCACTAGTGTGTCTGGGTTTACATCCTTCAAGGGCGAGATGGACTATTAGATTTGGAGTCCTGGATCAGTTGAGGGAGAGAAAGCACTGCAAGTACTTTATCACAAGTAAGCAGACCTTTACTCACCACATACTGGAGGTCTCCCATTTTTTTTTCTACATGAACTTTAAAATGTATTTTAAAATATCTATTATTTAAATTAGACTCAGCTAATGCTTGCAGAAGAGAAAGCTGGAAACAGATGGTCTTGGAAGACCAGTCAGTGGCCCAGCTTCCAGGATGTAAATCCCAGCAAAGGATTTCTAAGGATGAGCTGGGTCAGTATATATTCCACAAAAGGATGGTTCCAGTTATAGGGTACCTTTCAGGAGTGCCAGTGGGGAGCTTTGTAGGACCCGTGTAAGGCTGCCATGAGGAGCCGGTGAGCTGTCTGGGTTAGGAAAGTTGAAAGGGCCCATGCAGTGGTAAAGGAGGCCGCAGCATGAGTGAAGGTCTTTCCTCTGTGACTGGTCCTGTCCTTGTCTTCTACATCCCACAACTGAAGGAGGGACTCTGCCTGGGTTACAGCTGCCTCCGTGCAGCCCGGCAAGAAGCAGGGAATGGAGAAGGCGCTCAGTGAATACTTGAAGGCAGAAATGCAGTATTTTACTGTTTTCTATTATTTTCAATGAGGGGAAAAACGGTAAAACTCTTTTTGAAGTCATCAGACCTTCCATTTTTGGGGATGAGGAAAGAGTCTCACAGAACGGGTGGATGGCAGAGCCAAGAATTTTAATGCCAGCTGTTTTGAAGAGTGCTACTTTTCTGGAAAGTTGTATGGCTAGACTATGGGGCTTTTGCCTTCCAAGAAGTCGCCCTGAGTGTAGCATTAGTTGGAGTAACACTCCCTAAGAATCTGACGTTCCCCTCCGGCCAATTCTGATTTGGTCTTGTGTGAAATCGCAGTGCTTGTGTTGCCACATGGGGGCGCCATCGCTCTTCCTTTGCCGTGGTGGTTGGTTCCGTGCGTAGATCAGACTTCACTCCTTGAGGAGTCCCAGAAGTTTGGAGAACACAGACGGCCACCTCCTCTCCTTCTGGGTAGCTAAAAGCAAAATAAGTATGGTTTAACAGAGTCCTCAAGCTAGCAAGCAGGGGCTCAAGCAAGAAAGTAGGCCTTTTGCTACTAATCTCTTAGGTCCTTACCACCCAAAGTATGACATCACTGTTAAAAAGAAGAATCTTGGACTGCTCCCAGACCTCAGGTAGATCCCAGCCCAGTGCTTCTCAGTATACCTGGGGATCTTGCTAAAATGCAGATTCTGATTCAGCAGGTCAGAGTGGGGCTGAAGAGTCCATTTTTTTTCTTTTCTTTCTTTCTTTTTTTTTTTTGATGGAGTCTCACTCTGTCACCCAGGCTGGAGTGCAGTGGCGCGAGCTCAGCTCACTGCAACCTCTGCTGCCCGGGTTCAAGCGATTCTCCTGCCTCAGGCTACCAAGTAGCTGGGATTACAGGTGCCTGCCACCACGCCCGGCTAATTTTTGTAGTTTTAGTAGGGATGGGGTTTCACCATCTTGGCCAGGCTGGTCTTGAATTCCTGACCTCGTGATACACCTGCCTTGGCCTCCCAAAGGGCTGGGATTACAGGTGTGAGCCACCATGCCCGGCGAAGAGTCCATTTCTATCAAGTTCCCAGGAGATGCCTATCATGGACTGTGCTTTGACTGAGAAAGACAACCTATAGGAGCCTCAGTTCCTTCGCCTGTAAAACGGGGGTAACACCAGGCCTGTCCGGCATGTGAGATGATGCATGCGGAAGGCACTGAAGACAGGAAGAACAAAGGTATTGCTCACAACAGGTGTGCAACTTGCCCTTTAAAGTGCAGAGTAGCTGACCCAGACATAAGTAGTCCGAGTTACCATAGCCTCCTGGCCTTTCTTGTCCTTACCCCACCAGGAGCCCAGGCTCCAGAGGAACAAGGTAGAAAGTCAACCTAAGAACCAAAGATGTACCGCCCTCCCGTGTGACATGGTCATAGTCCCCGGATGGGGAGGGAGTGCTGCTTCCTGCCCCTGGGGTGACACGTGAATCCATCCCACCTGGATGGAGGAACGGAGGTCCCTCTTTCCTTTTGACTTGAGCCAGTCCAATGGACTCAGCCTCGTGTGATCCTATTAGTAGCTTCAGCAAGGAGCAGGAACAACACACTGACCCCTGTTCAAGGTGGAGTTCTGTAGCTGTGGGTAGAGACTCCTAGAAAGCAGCGATTTGCCTCTGAATCCTGGACATCTGCTGTAGAAAAGTGAGGAAGAGCTTCAGAATGCCTGGGCTCCGTGTGAGGCTCCTGAGGCCCAGTTTTATTTCCTTGCCTAACTTGTGGTGGAGAGGCCAAATATGCATGGCATAAAAGAGACAAGAAGGCCGGGTGTGGTGGCTCATGCTATAATCCCAGCACTTTGGGAGGCTGAGGCAGGTGGATTGCCTGAGGTCAGGGGTTTGAGACCAGCCTGGCCAACATGGTGAAACTCCGTCTCTACTAAAAATACAAAAATTACCCTGGTGTGGTGGCGGGTGCCTGTAATCCCAGCTACTTGGGAGGCTGAGGCATGAGAATTGCTTGAACCTGGGAGGCAGAGGTTGCAGTGAGCCATGATTGCACCACTGTACTCCAACCTGGGCGACAAAGCGAGACTCTGTCTCAAAAAAAAAAAAAAAGACAAGATTTCTTGGTGTATGAGGGTTCCCCCCTTCCTTCAAAGAGGATTGCCCCTTGGCATTCATCACTGTCTACAAGTTCGGTCTTGGTCATCTTATTTTGCAGATTTCTATAATGCCCAATCTGGAAAATGGGCAGAAGAGACAACACAGGAGAGGTGGAGGAGAAAGGGTGGGAGGAATCTCCTTGTGGACCAGCTCCCAGGCTCTCCTTTGAGGTAAAGCAGTGGCTCGAGTGTGCATCTGAATCCCCTGGGGGCCTGGTTACACAGATGACTGGGCCCGCCCTCCAAGTTTCAGATTCCATAGGTCTTCAGTGGGGTCCTGGAGTTTCATTTCTAACAAGCTCCCAGGTGAGCCTGCTGCTTTTGTTCTGTGGATAGAGAGTCCGGGTGACGGGTAAAGGAGAAATAACTGGGGCTGCTGATTCACATCACAAACAGCTGCGGGTGATGGAGGTTGTGGGCGGGAGGTGGAAAGAGCGAGGCTGAGTACAATGGTGAGGAGTAGGAGGAGAGGGAGAGGCACAAGCGTTTCTGAAGAAATGCCAAAGAAAGTTTGGTATCTCTCTGGAACTGTTTCTGAACACAGGACATTGTGTCTTGTGGGCTATGTGACTTGGCCCTAGCTTGGTTGTGGCCAGTGCTAGTGTGTGGAGCAGCTCTTCTCCGGGCGGCTGGCTTATCTCCATGATGCTCCTGGCTCCCTGGCCTCGCTGAGTAGTTGGCACGTCTGTGACTTCTTTATCCACGTGTGTCTTTTTCCTGGCCAGGTGGAAAGCTTCCCCAGGGTGGAGGAGATGTTTGCCAGGTTAAGGTCCCTTCTCTAATGGTACCCACAAGCCAAGCTGCACCCCTGTCTGCCCCTCTCCACCCCTGTCCTCAAAGTGGAGAATGGCTCTGTGGCTTGGAGGGGCCTTCACAGCCCAAGGGAAAGGCCTCAGGGTCTCCGATGTACCCGAGTGAGACATGCATGTCAGTCAATTTCCATTAAATCAGATCCAGCGCTTCAGCTTGCTCCACACAGCTTTTAAGGACACTAAAAATAAGCCCTAAATTGGAGCTCCTCAAGCAGCACTATCTGTTAATGAAATTGCTTCCTGTTAATTTGAGTTTACAAAATAAGTATCACCTGACAATCTGGCGTGGCTGTCACGGCATCCACCCCCAGGAATGGGCAGCTGGTGGAGGACTTCACCTGGGAGCTGAGGACTTTCTGGCCTCAAGTGCCATGGCAACCAAAGGGGACCCGGCGGTTACAACAAATGGGGAGACTGGACTTCGTTTGTTGGCTTGTTTGTCCCTTTCGTAACCATTCTCTGAGCGGTCAGCTCTTCGTCTAGCGGGGCCTACAGGTAAATAGATAATTAATAATCAACGTGCAAGGTAGCAATAAGAGAAGTACAAGGAGCTAGGGAGCAGCCTGAGGTGGTAGCCAGGAGCGGTGCGGGGGTAAAGGATGAGTGCATGTCGGTTGCATAAGTGAGTAGAGAGAGGGTTTGGTGAGGGAGCTGGAGGCAAAGGGGACAGCTGGACCACAGACATGCAGGGAGTGACCAGTAGTTGGAGTAGAAAGCTCAGGGCAGAGAAAGGAGAGAGATAAGGCTGACAAGATGCTAGCTGGGGCCTGCAGCACAGATGCTGTCAGTGGGTGAGGTCACATAAAAGGCTCCCCCGCCTTCTTTTTGCAGTCACTGCTTGATATAGGGGTTAGGAGGATGCTGCTCTTGAAAAGGGAGCCTTGTGATATTCAAGATGATAGACACCATCAGAGATGGGGTGGTGACAAGCAAAGTCAGATTCTAGGAAAGGGCAAAGGGTCCCTGGCGGGGAGGAATCTGGCCTCATGATACAGGAGGGAGGAGGGCATCCTTACCCCAGCCCCTGCAGCTTGAAGGCATCTGGGTGTGGGCATGGAGAGAGCTGGCCCCTGAGTCACAATGCCTTAGGCCCAGGCACCCTTGCTGGGGGGCACTGCTGCCTAAGTGTGGCATGCTTGAATAGGCAGGAGAGTGGGTCAGGAAGTTCAGCAGGTGTAGCACATCTTGGGGGCTGCTTGTGGCTCTGGGGCCTGGCTATGGAACCTGCTGATGCCTGGTGCCCCTTGTTAGACAGCAGCCAAGTCATCCATGTAAGCAACATCTCAGGGAGGCCTGAAATATTGGATGGAGGGAATTCCTGGGGCTCAGAACACTTGTATCTTTCATATTGAGACAAATGAGGGCTTCATTTGTACCTAGACAAAGGGCCTTGATTTTTTCCTTAGGGTATTGGTAAACCATGTTGAGTTTTTGTTTGGTTTTAGAGGTAGGGTCTCACTCTTTTGCCCAGGCTAAAGGACAGTGACATGATCATAGCTCAATGCATCCTCAAACTCCTGGGCTCTAAGTGATCTTCCTGCCTCAGCATTCTGAGTAACTGGGATTCCAGGCATAAGCCACCACGCCTAGACAGCCATGGTGAGTTTTAAAGCTAGGACACAGCCCTTCTCCTCCAATGCCTGGCCCTCAAGGGACAGGGAGTTGAGGGTGAAGGGGAAGGACTGGGTGGGTTTACAGGAAGAGAGGCTTTTGTGAGGATGCAAGTGGTTTGGGATGAGGGCAGAACTAGGGGGCTCAGACCCCAGTGGGCTCTGGGAGTGCTCACTATAAGACATGCTGGCTGTTATCCTCGTTCAACTAGCCTCTCTAATGTCTCACATTCTGTTGTAAAATAGCTCTGTGGCTGAGCTGCCCCTGGAAGGGTTGGCCCCCATTTATAATAGCAGTGATCAAGGCAGTTCCCAGATAATGTGTGACCTCACTTTTTCTCTGAAGCAAGTGGGAAAGAAGAATAGGTCCCTCCCGGGTGGCAGAGGATACAGTCCAGCAGGGTCAGGGCCCAATAGCAGGGCTACAGTTCTTAGGAAGGACACATGGGGCCAGGGGCGGTGGCTCACACCTGTAATCCCAGTACTTTGGGAGGCTGAGGCGGTTGGATCACTTGAGGTCAGGAGTTCGAGAACAGCCTGGCCAACATGGTGAAACCTCATCTCTACTAAAAATGCAAAAATGGAGTTGTGATGCGCACCTGTATCCCAGTTGCTCGTAGGCTACTCATAGGCTAAGGCATGAGAATTGCTTGAATCTGGGAGGTAGAGGTTGTAGTTAGCTGAGATCATGCCACTGCACTCCAGTCTGGGCAACAGAGTGAGACTCCATCTCAGGAGAAGAAAAAAAAAAAAAAAAGTACACACGGACGCTGCTCTTTCAGGCCAGTCCCTTGTGTGTCTTCTACTTAGCGCCCGCTTTGTTCCTAGTGGACCTACATGTGCTATCATTGGTCATTTTCTCCTCCTGGTGAAAACGTGGATTGACATCCCTACCTCCCTTTCACACTGGGCCCTTGGGGGACAAGCTAGGCAGTGTGTTAAAGGGTTTCTTTAGAGGTTCTGGGGATGTCCCCTTCATGCTGTTTTCTTGGGCCTTTTTCTTCTTTCATAGGCAGAGCTGATGGTGAGTAAACTTCCCTTTTCTTTAGCTCTATTTGTGTTAAAATGGCCCAGTTTACACTACACCAAAACCATGGAATCATGTGGATACTTTGTTAGGGCCCCTCCTGGGCCCTGGAGGTGGAGCCTCATGTTAGGGTGGATGCGCCTCTGCCCTGAATCTGCAATGGGCCAAGTGCAAAGCTGTGTTGTCAGTGCCAGATGGCCCAGTGATAGTGAGTGTACTGGTTTCGCAGGGCTGTCATAAAAAAGTACTACAGCCTAGGCAGCTTAAACAACAAAAGTTTGTTCTCTCACAATTCTGGAGGCTGGAAGTCTAAGATCAAGAGGCCAGCAGGGCTGGTTCCTTCTCAGGGCTGTGAGAGAATTGGCTTCACACTTCCCTCCTGGCTTCTGGTAGTCCCAGGCATTCCTTGGCTCATGGAGAGCCATCTCCCAGTGTCTCTTCACATAGTCTTCCCTCTCTGCAGGTCCCTGTGTATAAATATCCCCTTTTCATAAGGACGCCAGATTAGATTAGGGCCCACCCTAATGACCTCATTTTAACTTAACTCTAAAGACCTTATTTCCAAATAAGGGGATATTCTGAGGTGCTGGAGGTTAGGACTTCAACATATCTTTTTTAAGGGGACAGAAACCATTACAGCCCCCTTTGCCTGTGGGTTTCTTGGGGACTTCCAGGGCACACATGCTCAGGCAGGGCCGTGTTGGCTGAGGGTTTCTAGGATCGCCCTTGGAGCAGGCACAGCAGCTGGCCTGCCAGGAAGGGCTCTGGGCTTGAGGAAGAATGCCAAGGAACTGCGTTGAGAATTGTTGGGGCAGACTCTTCGCTGTTCTCCCTACCTCTGTGTCTCCCCAGTTCCTCAATGGGCAGTTGTGTAAGGAGGCTTGGGAGCAGAACTGGTTGCATGACTGGCTTCCTGGAGCCTCCACTATGGGAGTCCTGGGAAAGTTCCAGAGAACCTGTAGGCAAATCACATCCAAATGTGCATGAACCCACCCTCCTACTTGGCCTGTATATACGTGCCAAGAATCAGGCTGATCTGGGTTCTGGAGGGATGGGAGGGGCCTTGCCTGCTGGTCCAGGTTTGCATCGCTTGACCTGTAAATTCTGAAAGACAGGGGCTGGCGACCCCCTCTACCTCTCCTCCCAGGACCCGGGTGGTCAGGGCTGAGCCCCGGGTGGCCTGGGCTCTGCTGCATGTCTGTCCTCTGCTGTGTGTCGTGCAAGGTTCTTTTCTGCATGTTGTTCACAGGAGTTGAGTAAATTATGAGGACATCAACTCTAAAATGTAGCCTTGGCTTCAGAAACGTGGGACAAAATGGCAACAACTGAATTTCAGATGTAGAGCTCATCGCATTTAACATTTATGAGTGGCAGTAAAAGGGAAGGTTGGAATCGTATCTGCAGTTCCCAACCACAAGCCATAATTTTACACGCTCAAACATCTGTTTTAAGATTGTAGCAGAGAGTGTTGGGTAATTGGCTCCCTTTTGTCCTAGGCCCATCAGTTAGGCCCCATCAACTTTATTATAAATTCTCGGGGATTTATTAGTAAACAACATTTGGGGAGGCTGATGCCGCCGCACTGTAGCCAGGGAGCTTGAAGTGTCTGAGTTAGGGCCTCTGCATCAGTGCTTTCCTGGGCAGTCAAGAGCTTCTAACCCAGGGAGCCTCTACTTCTCAAGAAGCCCCTGGGGCAGGAGGGAGAGGGAGAGAAGCTAGAAGGTGCAGCTTCCTGGGAAGGAGGTTTGTTCCCACAGCCTGACCTGCCCTGGGGGCCGGTCTTGGGAGATTTGGGCACAGAGCTGTGCGATGGGACAAAGGTGGTCTCATCCTGGCTTCACCACACGTAAGCTCGGTAATGACGGGCAAAGCGTTTATGTTTTCTGTGCCTCCGTTTCCATATCTGTAAAAATGGAGATAATACTCCTATTTCCTGAGGTGATTGTGGAGATTAACATGAACACGTGTGAGGGCTCAGCACTGTCTGGGCACACGGAGAGACCTGGCAGGTGGGATATTAGTACCAGGGAAGTGAAAGGAGAAGGCGGAACTAAATAGCTGGAGAAGGAGATGGTTGTCTGCAGGAGCACTGGGGGGCCCTGGGGAGCCAACAGAGCTGCTTCACCCACAGTTCCATGTGGCTTCCAGGTGTGGGCCTATCAGGAGGGGGAAGTTGCTGACTGTACCTCCGTGTCAGGGCTGGGAGAGTGGGCGGTGTCCCTGCACTGCCTGGCCCCTGCTAGCTCTGCAGGCCTCATTCTAGCCCTTAGGTGGTCCTGGTGCATCCGCAGCCCTTTGCCTGACATCTTGTCCACCTGCCGGCCCACCACTCTGCCTCCACTCCTTTGGGGGTGCTGAGCAAGGCCTAGTGTGGGCTGTGGTTGGCTGCAGGGGACTCCCATGGGTGGGTGGTTCTTCTTAAGGAGGGCTGGGGGTAGGGTCTGGCCCAATTTACTTCCTTATTTGTATGTTGGGTCACTCACAGGACAGGAGGATAGTGGGAAACCAATTGGTCTGCAGGCATGAACATCAGGGTTTGTGTGGAGGGATTGCCTGGCTTGGAGCCTCTCTTTTGGGTTTATTGGCCTTGGCACAGCCTGGCTGGCTGGCCTGCCTGGAAGAGCTGAAGCTGGAGCAATTTCTCTGGGAGGTGCATGTCCCAGGATGGCTGCTCTCAGCCTGGGCCAGAGACAGGCTCAGCTTTCCTGTTCATGACCAAAAGCTCCAAACTGGCCTCCCTGGGTGGGGTGATGAGGAGTCCCAGTCTGCCCCAGAGCACCTGAGGGTAATGGGATCCCAGCAACAAACACACAGCCTGGCTGTGTAGCTCAGACAGCCCTGAGCCTGAATCCCCACTCCCCTGTGACCCAGCCCTGGAGCCTCTAATTAACCTCTCTAAACCTCAGCGTCTTCATTTGTGAACTGGGGGGTAATAATAGAATCCACCTGTGAAGATTGAGCAAGCTAATGCGTGGCAAATGCTTAGTGCCACACCTGTCACCTACTAAGCCCTAAATCAGTGTTAGCTGTTCTTGTTCATCAGGTTACATGAGGCGTTGGCATTCAGTGGGAGATAAACCTAATCCGGGCTTCTTGGTGAGGCATAAAGAACACAGCCTCTTGAGTCTCATGAGGCCTGGTTCAAATCCTGCCTCTACCGTCTGTGTGACCTTGGGGAAGTTACCACCTCTGGGGCTCCATGTCCTCCTCTGTAAAGTGAGCGTAAAAATATGACCTATCTCATAGGGTTATTGTGAAGATTAAATGAAACTGTCTCAGTAAATATAAGTTTTGTTGTTATTAATAGTATTATTCACATTCAAAGGAACTTTTTTTTTTTTTTTTTTGAGCCTGCTTCTCCAGCCCAACATGCCCTGGCCCAGTGTCCAGCTACGTGGGGGGTGTGTGGGGGCAAACCCTTTCAGTGTTTGGCATGAGAGGTGAGGATCCCCTGAGGCCAAAAAATTCACCCACAGTTTCCCTGGGATCAGCATGTATCCATGTATCCTCTCGCCCCCAACTCCAAACTGCCCAGGGAAGCCTTGAGTCTCAAGGCACAACCAGAAGCTGGTGTAATTTGCATTCAGGTCCTTGCAGGTCCAGGAGGGAAACGATATTTTTTTGCCCCAAATAGGAAATTAGTGGCAGGAGAGGCCAGCTTGGCAGAGAGCTTGTGCCACGTTGTCTGCCAGTTGGATTCAGAGGCATTCTCACTGGCAGCTAGAGCTCTGGTCTCACCCAAGAAATAAACCTGCGTGTCCCCCCCCCACCCCAGGGTGAATGCAGTGCTGCCTTCGGCCTTTGGGCACCCCTGGGAGTGACTACCCTGAGAGGCGCCAGCTTCTTCCTGTTACAGCCCAGGAAAGTGCACCAGGCCTCTGTTTTCCACCAGCAATAAGACTTTGTCTTGTGTGATCTCAAAGGCCTTGGAACAGGCCAGGGCCTCATCAGTAGGTGAGGAACAGTGACTCGGTGTCTGAGGTCCTGCCCCAGCCCACCTTCTACCCAAGTGAATCGGAGCATGCTCCCCAGTGGCTTCTGGTGTGCTTTGAATCAAACCCTCCCTCTTCACCAAGGAGATCTGGGTCTGGCCTCACCCTGACCCACTGTCTTCCTTCTCCCCTGGACTCCGGCTCCCCGAGCCTGCCTTTTATTCCTTGAATGTGCCCATGATTGGTTCTGAGTCAGGGGCTTTGTGTAGCAGTTTCTACTCCCTGGAAGCCTCCCCACACACACTGTCCTGCCTCCCTTCCTCACTTCCTTCAGGTCTCTGTTTCTTCCCAGAGAGGCTTTCCTTGATTTCCCTCTGCAAGAATGGCCTCACCAATCGCTCTTTTCTATCACCCCGTTTCCTTTACAGGTCTTATCACAAAAGGTGCAGAGTGAGGGGATTGAGAGGAAGGCCTTAGACCTAGACACACCTGGGGTGGCTGTTCTTGATCTCCCCGTTCACTGGCTGTGTGACCTTGGACAAGCTACTTACTCCCTCTGTGCCTCATACATAAAGTGGAGATAATAACAGGACTTTCCCTTAAAGGACTAGGTGAGTTAATCCATGTGAAATGCTGAGAATCATGCTTGCTGCAGAGTCAGTGCTCAGGAAATAAGAGCTATTATTATCACAGTCTATACTTCGTTACTGGTATTGCAGCTGCTGGACTATAAATTCTAGGAGGAACCACATCTAACCGGTTTATTGCTGTACTCCAGGATATCAAGGGTGCTCAGTAAATGCTCACTGAATAAACCAATGGTGCCAAGGTGATCACAGTGAATAGCAGAGCCTGGCCTTAGGTGCAGAGAGGCTTGTTCTGGGGCTTGAACTTTGTTCATTCCACACTGACAGCCCTGGGTCAAAACATTTCAAATTATTTTGACTCAAATACTCTGGTTCAATTTTATGCTTTCCCTCAGAAAAATGATTTATAAAACAAAAGGGTGTCCCTCCTTCCCACTCAGGCTTGGCACCGAGCTCTGCTGTAGCAGGAGCGTCTTGGTCACAGTGGTGGAGGTGAAATGGGGCAGGGGGCAGAAGTCAGCCTGGCCTTCCCTTGCCCTTCACAAAGGCTATCTGCCATAAAAGGCTATCCGCCCCGGTGTGCAGGGTGGGGAGTGCTGGGGACTGTTGGCTCTGCCTTCTGGTGCTCGGATTCCCATGGGGGTCTGCACAATGGCCTGGACTTTGCCCCTGGTGTCCACTGCAGCCCAGCCTGGTCCTTTGGCCCTGGGAGATGAGTAGAGAGGGGCCTTTGGGGCAAGGATGGCAAGTGCTTTGGAAGATGGGCCCGTGTCCAGTTTTCCTGAGGGGCGAATGGGAGAAGGGGCTGGCAGTGTGGCCCTCAGGGTGTGCCTGGCCCACTGAGCGGGAGAACACTCGGAGGTGTTGGCGTCTGCCTCCTGAGCAGCAGGGAGACAGGTGGCTGAGCCCACTTTGCTTACCTCATCTTGGACACTTCATGTGACCTCTGAGAGCCTCAGTCTTGTGTGGAAATAGACATTTGTCTTATTATCTCCTCTCCCCTCTGCATCTGCCATACTTTTAGGCCTGCGGCAGCACCAGGACTTAGAATTCCACAGTTCGGAAACCATCTAGGCAGGTGAACTGGAGTCTCCCCTCTTGGTGGCACCCCTGCCCGTCACGAGTGGCACTCAAGCCCCACATAGGTGTGGGAGCTGCACCCCTTTTCTTGTCCCCTCTGGGAAGGGACACTCCGCAATACTCTGCCCCTTCCTAAGAATTCCCTTTTCATAACGTAAGTGTTAAAAAGGCTGGAGAGTGTCTCCTCCAGCCTCTCTTCTACAGGCAGGAGGGGTGACAGGGTGGCTAGATGAAGGGCCCACTTGGCCACATCTTAGTAAGTTCTGCTCAGGTTGCCTAGGTGCTCTTTTTAGAGTGGGACTTTCCTCCCAGTGTCCTGAGTTTTGGGATTCAATCCAAATTCCAAATCAGGAAAATCCCATCTACCATCATTGACTGCTTCGTCAGGAGATCAGCCTGGCCAAGTAACAATTTATTGGAGGGGAGGGGCTTGCCCCTCTCCCACTTCCTCGCTCCCCTTCTATCTTCTCCCCCTCTTCCTATCTCCCCACTTGGCTGAAGTGTCAGAGCATGCAACTACTAGAACACCGCATTCACTCCACAAACATGTACTCACTACCTGCTGTGAACAAGACTCCCATTTCTGCCTTCTTTAGCTTGAGGTCCACTGGCAGAGGGTTTGGGGAGAGCTGCGTTAGGAGCCCAGGGGAGTGGCGCTCAGGCCCTCACCCTTCCCTGTCTCTTCTCCCCCACTCTGAACTCAGTGTCCATAAGACTTAGGGGCTGCTGGCCCACGTCCAAGCCTCCTCATTACTAATGGGACTGCAGCTTCATTTGTTTGATTTATGTTTAATATTCTACTGGTTTATACCTTTTCTCAGCAGCTTAATAATGATCCACAAACCTGTCTCTCTGGACTTAGATTTGGAAGGCCTGTGTCTCTGGGGGCCATTTTGATTTTACAAAATTTTTAAAGTAACCAGGGGTCTAAACCCTATCCTGGCTCAACATATTCACATCTGTTCCCTGACACTCAGCCCCATCGGGAGCCAGTGCCCAGCACACTCTCCCCCAACATTTTATGATTCCCTTGTATGTTCACGGGCAGGCTGAGATGGGGACCATGGTGGTATCTCAGTTGTGTTCTTTCTCCTTGCTCCAGGTCCTGTCTGCTGGGCACTGTCAGGTCCCATGGGCCCTGCTGACTCTGGCTCCTGTTCTGAAGGGCACTGTCATCTCTCCCTGGAGCCACTTTCTAGAGTACTTCAGGTTTACCCATGTGGCCCTGAGCTCATGCAGAAGTAGAAAGGTACCTCTTCCTTATTTGTGTTTGACTCAGCTGTGCGGTCCTGTAGTCAGGTGTTTGGGGTCCTTTAGCACTGCAGTGTTTGCATGAGAGAGGCTCTCAGGTTTCAATTTCTAGCTCTCTTCTTTCTTGCACCCAGGTTGAATCACCAGGGACAGAGCTGGCCATGCCTCCTCTCTTACTGCCAGGTTTGTCTCTGGGTCCAGTTCATCGTGCCTGGCCCTTTTTGTCTCAGGACAAGTCCTCTCCTGGGAGAGGCCTCAGTGTCTCAGCAGGTGGATACCTGGGGGCTGTCATTCCAGGCTGTGAAGCCTGCCATTCATGAGCCCAGCCAGGGTCACCCTGAAACATCTCTCCATATGCTTTAGGCTTTAGGGGGTTGTTTAGGGATGATATTTTTCTCTGAAGAATGTTGAGGGGCCTGTAAGATGAAGGCTGCATGTATGGGTGGGGACAGGTAAGGGAAGATGGAGCTGCCCATGGGTGGGTAGGTGATTCTGGTTTAGCGGACCCCAGATTTCTTAGAGAAATGCCTAATGCTAATTGTCCTATGGTCACTGGTGTTCCTTAGAGGGGCCTCAAGACTGTGTCTGGGAGAGTGCTGGGATGTACGTCCCTGAGGATACGGATAAGTGGCCCTGAGCTATTGTATTAGGATTCTCCAGAAAGACAGAACCAGTAGGAGATAAGGAAGGGAGAGAGAGAGAAAGAGAAAGAAGAAAGAAATGTGGGAGGGAATTTATTAGGGGGATTGGCTCACATGATTATGGAGGCTGAGAAGTCCCACTCCAGGCTGTCTGCAAGCTGGAGACTCTGGAATGCTGGTAGCATGGCTCAGTCCGAATCTGAAAACCTCAGACCAGGGGAGCTGATGGTGCAACTCTCAGCCTGAGGTCCAAGGCCTGAGAAACTGGCAGGCCACTGGTGCAAGTTCCAGAGTCAGAAGACCGGAGAGACTGGAGTTCTGATGTCGAAGGGCAGGAGAAGACAGATGTCCCAGTTCCAGTGGGGAAAGAGGGTGAGCTCCTCTTTCCTCTGCCTTTTTGTTCTCTCCAGGCCCTCAGTCATTTGGATGGTGCCTGCCCACATTGGGTGAGGGCGGATCTTCCTTATTGGGTCCATTGATTCAAATGCCAATCTCTTACGGAAACATCCTCACATACCCAGAAATAATGCTTTACCATCTGACTATCCCTTAATCAGTCAAGCAGATACCTAAAATCAACCATCACAGGCATCCAGTCTCACTCAAGGGAGTTATAAATGAAGGGTTGGTGACAAGGGTCAGTCTTGGGCCACTGGGGACTGACTTAAGACAGGCTGTCTTAGGGAGAGCATGTGCTGCCTCTGAGAAAGGCTGCTTGACCTATGACATTAAGACCCTGATCTTGTCCTTGTTCATTGTTTATTTATACAATAAGTTTTTACCGAAGGTGAATGATGAGCAAAATAGATGCTATGGCTCCTGGACTCTACTGGGGACAGACACTTAATAACCACACATATGAAAGCATTGCTGTAAACTGACAAGTGCTGTGAGGAAAATGTACATGGGCAGGGAGTCTTGCACCATGGGAAGGCATGTTTAAGCTGAGAACCTGAAAGATGACCTTGAGTTAATTGAGCAAGAAGGGTGGGGTGCGTGTGTGGGTAACGACGAGAAAGAACACACACATCCAGGCCTCAGACTCAGCCAAGAGGACTTGGGGCTTCCTTTGGGCAACAGGAATGATGAGGGGAACAGTTTCCTTATGCAGTGTGACCCTGTTCACTCCCACTCACCCTTTTGGGTGGGCTGTGGCTTCTCTGGAAATGATGCCCAGTGTTTTGCTTATGGGAAAAATCATTAGTGTTCAGAAGAAGTTTCTTGGCCGGCTGAAGATATCCTTTTTGCTTTGCTTTATTCATCGTTATGAATTGCAATCAAAGACATTTTAATGGGGAAATTGCTATAAAATGGGAGAGAAAACATTTCTTTGGATATTAGTTTTGTTTTAGTAAATTACAAAGTAGTGATTTAACTTGCCATCTTCAGGATTATTTCTGCCTCTCAGTGGGGTAATATAATCAGCGAGATCTACTACAGCCCTCATTTTCTAGAGAACACAGATAAATAATCTCCCAATATTCTCTTGAGCAAATTAAATTACCTGTGACATTTGATATCCCCCATACAGAACCAAGGGATGTCACTTGGAGCGTGAGGGTGTTTGTGGAGGATGCTAGAGATTCATGGGAATTCTGCAGCAAAGGAGACAGTGGATTAAAGATGGAAATTGGATCCCAATGGAGAATCACTTGAAAAGGATCCCTGCATGTGTAAATATATGCAGGAGTTTCCCAATGGCATTGCTGCACCAAGGCTGGGAGTCAAATTTAGCTATGTCCGCAGTCACATGGGAGTCCAGAGAAATGGAAGGAGGCTGGAGCACAGCCAGCCCTCTCATGATGCAGGCTATTTGCGCATCACGAGCTTTCCAGCTGACATTTTAGTAAATGTGCTGCCATAGTGACCACATGGCTGTTTATTTTTTTTTAATTTTTTTGAGACGGAGTCTCGCTCTGTTGCCCAGGCTGGAGTGCAATGGTGAGATCTTGGCTCACTGCAACCTCCGCCTCCTGGGTTCAAGTGATTCTCCTGCTCAGCCTCCTGAGTAGCTAGGATTACAGGCGCCTGCCACCATGCCTGGCTAATTTTTTTTTATTAGTAGAGATGGTGTTTCACCACATTAGCCAGGCTGGTCTTGAACTCCTGACCTCAGATGATCTGCCCGCCTCGGCCTCCCAAAGTGCTGGGATTACAGGCATGAGCCACCATGCCTGGCCCCACATGGCTATTTAATACACATTTTCTGAGTCTCTACTATGTGCCTGTTGGACACTGCTGGGGTAATAGTTTCCACATCTGTCCTCTGCAGAGCTCAGAGTGTGGAAGAGCAGTGAGACTTGAGTACCACCAAATATGTTGTTCATAGGACAGAATGTGGGCCAGCGATCATTCTGCCTGGGGCTCTCAGGGAATGCTTCACTGAGCTAAGGGTCTGGCTGAGCCTTGAAGGCTGTAAGAACTATTCCAAGCAGAGAAGGGAAGGGAAGGAAGGACAGTCCAGGCAGAAGGGACATCATGGGCAAGGGTGCAGAGGTGTGAAGTCCTGCTGTTGTTGAAGGCAGTGGGCAGGTGCAGTTTCCAGAGGGTGCTCTTTGAGGGGGAGAGAGTGGGAGGAGGGTGGGACCCAATGGTGAGGGGTCTTGAATGATAACTCAGACTGGGCTCCTCCTCATGGGCCTGTCTTCAGGATGGAATAGTTTTTGGGATTTTGGAGGAACCCATCTGAGACCCATTTCTTCAGCCTAATTCCATATCTAGAGGGGCTGCCTGTGGGAAAGAGAGAGAGGAAATGGGCACAGAGTGGGCAGTGGGCAACCTGGGACCTCATCTACTGCATCACTTTTACTGATACCCTATGTGTCTTTGGGTAAATCACTCAGCCCCTTTGAGCCTCAGTTTTCTCATCCCTAGAATGTGACAGTAACCCGCCTCTTCCCTGCCTGTTGGCTGCTGTGAGAGTCCGATGAAGTCACAGGAGCCCCAGGTACACAGAATGAGGCAGTCTCTGTCCCAGGGATAGGTATCTCTGTGTTTTCCCTGCCTTCTCTGCTGGTCCTGGGGAAGAAAAGGTTTGCCTGAGAGAGGAGCTCCACCTGAGCAGTGGTGAAGCTAGTGAAGAGGCAGGCTGGCTGGGTGGTGTCCTGGAGCCTCACTGCTGAGAGGAGCTAACACTGCCTGGATCGTGTGAGAAGTGGAAGAAGACTGCGGTGACAGAACAGCTCTCTCTGCAAGTGGCTGGAACAGATGAACTTGAGGGGCTTCTAGGGAGGGGGATAGCCTTCTGAGGGGCAAAGTTCAGTACACAGAGGGTGACTAGAATGGTTGGAGGAGGCCAGCCTGGCAACCATGGGGCCTGGGCTTTGCTGAGAGGGGTGTGCAAATTTGGGGCTAGGCCTTATTTGCTCAGGACAGTGGAGGTCCTGTGAGTCATCTTCAGTACCCTTTGCTTTCTGTCCTTGCCATGGTGCTTGGCTGTTCTTCTGAGTAGCTGCTAAGCAAATAGTTAGCAAATGTCAATTCGAAAAGGTCCCACATGGTTAGGGTGGCCTCATGTCTTGGTCTGGACTTAAAATAATGGTGGTAGGGTCTAGAACCGCACTGGCCAGTGTGGTAGCCACTAGCCACATGTGGCTATTGAGCATGTGGAATGTGCCTGGACTGAATTAAGATATGCTGTAAGCATAAAGATACACACTGGATTTTGATGACTTTGTACAAAAAATATAAGCTGAGTACATGGTGAAATAATATTTTAGATATATTGGGTTGAGTGAAATGAAATATATATAAAATATAGTATTATAATTTCACCTGTTTCTTTTTACTTTTTAACATGGCTACTAGAAAATTTAAAATTAAATGTGATTTGCACTATATTTCAATTGGACAGTGCTGGTCTAGAGGCTGAAGGGAGGAAGCATTGTAGATGAAGAGCTCTTTGCATCTCCAAAGAGGACTTTCTCCTGCCTAGACTGGCCACTTGAGTGGCAGCTGCTCTGGGAAGCTGCGCATTCAGTTAATAGCAGCCCCACATGGGTGGTTGTTCCCCTCTTCTGCTTTCTGAGCCTTCTGGGAAACTGTCTCTGGGCCAGGCAGTGATGGGGCTGGGATAACCAGAAAGTGTTGAGGATCCCAGACAGAGAACATATTCAGGCCTACAGAGGAGGTTACTGCATGGCCATTATTCATAAAGGCTCCTATTCATTAGACAGAGGTCTCTCTGGATGGGGAGCAGCTCATATTCATTCCTATAGCCACAAAACCTGGCACAGATCCTTCATACAGTAGGCTGACTGGATGGATAGGTGGATGGTGGCAGGATGGTTTTTTAAGGACACAAATGAAACATAGAGACTAAAGACAGTGCAGCTGGATGAATGGTGGCTGGATAAGGCTCAGAGAGATGGACAGTTGGGTGGCTGGGTGAAAAGATGAATGAATGAAGGGGTAGATGGAGATAGAGGGTGTTGAATCTGGGGGTGGATAGATGAAAGGGAGATGGATGGATGGATGGATAAATAGATGGAATGGGTAAAAGGAAGATGGATGATTAGGCAGCTAGATAATTGAATGGTGGGTTGATGGAGGATGGAAAAAGAATGAAGGGGCTCATCCCAACACAAGCAAGCATTGGTCAAGGTTTGTTGTGGACATTTTACCTCTTCTGCCCAGTGTGCAGCACCTTTCCCTAACTCTTTTTGTTTTGCTCAGACATGTCTGGAGCTTCTCCAGGCTTTCATTGGATTCTCTGGAGAGTTCTCATTGCTATGGCTGTGCTAGTCAAGTCTCTCTCCCTAATTAGAACTGTTAGCTTCCTGGTGGGCCACCTCTGTCATTTTGAGGGTTGGAGAGCAGGTTGGCAGGCTGGGACATGTGTATGAGGGTGCAGATGATGTGTTTGTTAGACTGTCTGGGAAATTCTTTATGACAATCATTGTTTTATACAAACATCATAGGATTCTCCAAATAATCAAGGAGTCAAGAGTGTGAGAGAGGAAGAGAGAATAGAAAGAGACCCGAAGGATTCTGAATGAATAGGATAGGGGAGAGAAGATAGAGATTTCTTTTTACAACCCTATTCCTGATGCTTGTCGGAGTATAATAACTGCCTTCACATGTACAGACATGACTATGACCTTCCAGAAAGTCCTTTCTCTGTAGCCCATTCTCCTTTTTCATGTCCTAGAAGGCCACATGGAAAGCCTGAGTCTCAGAACAAAGTACTGCCTTGGTATTTCTGGATTTGAGTGGTTTCTCTGGAGGTGGCAGGAGTGGGTGCTGAATGGGAAGCTCGTAGCCTCTCTAGTGACAGGGATCCTAACAGTACAGAGGAGAGAGTAGTCATTCATTGTCAGCTAGTGAGGCTGCATCACTGCCCAGGACAGTGGGTGGGGGCGCCTGAATTTTCTGCATCCGCAAAGGCTTTAATCTTTGTGATCAGCAGTCAACTCATCACCATTAATTGAATTACATTTCGAACAAGCTTCCTGGAGAGGTTCCACTGCAAATGGTGCAGAAGGACGGCTGGAGCCCTTCTGCACACCACAGCTTGTTCTGCATGCTGGGGAGTAGTCTGAATGTGTAGTTGCCGGCAGTACTTTTCTCAGGAGATGTCCAAACCTTCCTCTAGCTCCCTTTCCTCTTATTTTTAAGATTAAAAACCACCAAATATCATCCTCAATACCCTAAGTAGCAAATAAATCACTTTCCCTACTGTATAATTGAAAGAAAACTGGACCTCCTTTTATTAATACAATCTCAGTACAATTATGCATCTAAAGGAAATGCACAAGGCCCTAGAAGCCTTGTGAGGGTCATGAACAGAGTTGCTGAAGGTTTCCTTAGGGGGGTTGCCAATGGGGAGTTATTTGGCAAATTTCCTAAATGTTCTCTCTTACCCGTTTATTTCCCTGATGCCTGGATTTTCTAGCAACTGCTGAGCTCTCTGCTTTCTCTTCAAAATGCTCAATCTCTGGGCTGGCTTTCTTCTCTCTGGCTCTGGCCAAGACCATTTAAACAACTTCCAGCTCCAAACTTTTGTTTTCCTTCCAGCAAAGGCAAGCCCATCCTTCTGCAGATGATTTAGACTCTGGCTCATTCCTGTTCTCTTCTGGTTTCTCACCCTGATCAGTATGATGAAGGGAGCCCGCCAAGCAGTTTTGGCCAAACGTGCCTGGGGTAATTCTAGCTTTTGGATGTGCAGACTGAGCTATGAGTGGCAGCCTCTGAAAGATGAAGGCTGAGGTGGAGAGAAGTCAGGGATGCTGAATGAGGTGCCCTCAGAGTGCTCCTGCCATCCTGAGATTTCACCTTTAGAAATGTGTTAGAAAATTGTCCTTGAGTAACAGAAGCCCACTTATACTAGTTCATGGCAAAAATTATTATAAAGACATAGGAGTTGATTTCAGAGCCTGAGACCAGGAAGGAAGCTGGAGCTCGGGAATGGGCGGAGACTAGAACCTGGAAAGTTGTCAATTTCCTCACTTCCTCCCTTGCTCCCTCCCTCTCCTCCCTTCGATTCTTCTCTCTCCCTCCCCCCTTCCACTTCCTCTCTTCTCTCTCCTCCCCTCTTTTTTCTCTGTAGACCAGCTTTCTCTGGCCATAACGGGGAAGATGGCCACCCCCACACTCTTTGAGCTTTGCTTGGCTCTCAGTTCCAGTCCCACGAGGAAGTTAATAACTGAGTCTACCTGGAGAAGATTCTCACTGACCCACCTTGGGGCAGGTAATCTTCCCAGGTAATAGGTCCTGTCACCTCTGGCCAGGGAGATGTGCTTCTGAGGTGCACACATGGCTGCCGTGACCCACACTTGTGGTGTGGGAAGGCAGTTTTCAGGACAATGGGATGACCCATGGGCTGGGTGAGTCATCCCTTTAAGGTGTTTCCCGCAGGAGGCACTTATGTGACAAATCCATCACCCAAGTGGGGGAAATGCTTATGGGGCTCCTGTTGCTATTAATGTGGCTAATCAGACGACATAGGATTTTGCACTATTGTCTGAGCAGTTTTCCATGTTATTACAAACATTTTATAATAGAGACTTTAAGTGACTTTATTACAAATTACTTAATAAGAATCTCATTGTGGGACAGGTTTTAATTTTGTTTCTACTATTGCAGGTAAAACAACAGTAGTCATCCTTATGCATAGGCCTCTATCTAGGTTTTGGATTATTTTCTTTGAAATAGATTGCCAGAGGTGGAATTATAGGTTAGAGTTTTTATTTGCAAATGAGAGAATCCACTTTCTCTAGACCTTGATGTTTAAGGAGAAAGGAGTCTTTATAGAAGATACTTAGCCACTTTGGGGGATGGGTGCAAAGAACCAGGTTGGGATATGACAGCAAGGAATGATGTTGCTAGGATCAGTGCTCTGCCCCATTATGGGACTTTCCAGTGAAATATCGGTGCTGCTGCGGCCTGCTGACTGGCACAAATGACCCCAGGGCTGGTCTTCAGAAGCTCTGCCATAGATTCTCTAAAAGGACCAGTTTTCTCCAACAGCATACTACTAGAAGACTGAGCTGCTTGCACATGGCTGTCAATTCATCTCCCCTTCCATCCATATGGTTGGGTCTGATTGGCAGAACCCGGGACACATGTCCTCAGTGTAGAGTGAGGATGTCTGATAAGTGGGCTTTGGCTTTGTAGTACAGGAAGGTAGGACACATGAGACTGCCAAAATATCAAGCGGTTATTAAAAAGATGCCAGTTGTCTATGAATGGTAGATACCTACTATGTGTTCAGATGTAAGTTTAGAGGAAAAACTATACAGGCTGGAGCAATGGCTCAGTGATATTGTTAAAAGCTCAGGTGCTTTCTCTCTTCCAATGTGTTGACAGAGTGTCCAAGGAGGAAAGGAAGGTATGGGAGCAAAGGGGATTTATTCTTAAGAGCTCTCCCTTTCCAGGAATCAAAGTCTCCAGCAGGGCCGGGCACAGTGGCTCATGCCTGTAATCCCAGCACTTTGGGAGGCTGAGGTGGGAGAATCATTTGAGCCCAGGAGTTTGAGACCAGCTTGGGCAACATGGTGAAACCCTGTCTCTACTAAAAAAAAAAATATATATATGTGTGTGTGTGTGTGTGTGTGTGTGTGTGTGTGTGTATGAATATATATATGTATATGTATATGTGGTAGCCAGGCATGGTGGCGCACACCTGTAATCCCAGCTACTCTGGAGGCTGAGGCAGGAGAATCACTTGAATCCAGGAGGTGGAGGTTGCAGGGAGCCGAGATCGCACCACTGCACTCCAGCCTGGACGACAAAGCGAGACTCTGTCTCAAAAGGGAAAAAGAAGTCTCCAACAGACTTTCTTGTAATGGTCTAAGTCAAGTACCCACTCCTAGACCTATCTCTGGCAAAGATAACGGGACTACCCTGGTTGCATCAAGGCTGGGGACATTGCCACCCAGGCTGGAGTGCAGTGGTGTGATCATAGGTCATTGCAACCTCAAACTCCTGGCCTCAAGTGATCCTCCTGACTTAGCCTCCTTAGTAGCTGGGACTACAGGCACATGCCATCATGCCTGGCTATTTCCATTTTCTATTTTTATAGAGATGAGTTCTCCCTATGTTGCCTAGGCTTGTCTCTGACATTTGGCCTCAAGTGATCCTCCCGCCTTGGCCTCCCAAAGTGTTGGGATTACAGGTATAAGCCACTGTGCCTAGCCTCAGCTGCTAGGTTCTGTTAGCAGGAACGAGCAGCTCTTGGGAAAGTAATAGTATCTGCCACAAGGGGTATTAACTTTTTTTGTATGAACGTTTTAAGACTCTTGATGCATATTGCCAAATTATCTTCAAAGTGGTTGTACCAACTCAAATTCTTATGAACAGCATATGGGTCTATATGTTTTACCACATCCTTGCCAGCTAGTTTCACATATTTATTTATAACCATAGTACTGAACTCTATTCTTAGTAATTCTGATAGTTTTTTAGATTAAATGACCTTGAATTTTATAGAAATACAATCTTATGAATGAATAAGTAGAAATGATTTTAGTCTCATTTTTAATGGTTACATTTTATTTATTTATTTATTTATTATTATACTTTAAGTTTTAGGGTACATGTGCAGAATGTGCAGGTTTGTTACATATGTATACATGTGCCATGTTGGTGTGCTGCACCCATTAACTCGTCATTTAGCATTAGGTATATCTCCTAATGCTATCCCTCCCTGCTCCCCCCACCCCAAAACAGTTCCCGGTGTGTGATGTTCCCCTTCCTTTGTCCATGTGTTCTCATTGTTCAATTCCCACCTATGAGTGAGAACATGCGGTCTTTGGTTTTTTGTTCTTGCGATAGTTTGCTGAGAATGATGGTTTCCAGCTTCATCCATGTCCCTACAAAGGACATGAACTCATCATTTTTTATGGTTGCATAGTATTCCATGGTGTATATGTGCCACATTTTCTTAATCCAGTCTATCATAGATGGACATTTAGGTTGGTTCCAAGTCTTTGCTATTGTGAATAGTGCCGCAATAAACATACGTGTGCATGTGTCTTTATAGCAGCATGATTTATAGTCCTTTGGGTATATACCCAGTAATGGGATGGCTGGGTCAAATGGTATTTCCAGTTCTAGATCCCTGAGGAATCGCCACACTGACTTCCACAATGGTTGAACTAGTTTACAGTCCCACCAACAGTGTAAAAGTGTTCCTATTTCTCCACATCCTCTCCAGCACCTGTTGTTTCCTGACTTTTTAATGATTGCCATTCTAACTGGTGTGAGATGGTATCTCATTGTGGTTTTGATTTGCATTTCTCTGAGGCCAGTGATGATGAGCATTTTTTCATGTGTTTTTTGGCTGCATAAATGTCTTCTTTTGAGAAGTGTCTGTTCATGTCCTTTGCCCACTTTTTGATGGGGTTGTTTGTTTTTTTCTTGTAAATTTGTTTGAGTTAATTGTAGATTCTGGATATTAGCCCTTTGTCAGATGAGTAGGTTGCAAAAATGTTCTCCCATTCTGTAGGCTGGCTGTTCACTCTGATGGTGGTTTCTTTTGCTGGGCAGAAGCTCTTTAGTTTAATTAGATCCCATTTGTCAATTTTGGCTTTTGTTGCCATTGCTTTTGGTGTTTTAGACATGAAGTCCTTGCCCATGCCTATGTCCTGAATGGTATTGCCTAGGTTTTCTTCTAGGGTTTTTATGGTTTTAGGTCTAACATGTAAGTCTTTGATCCATCTTGAATTAATTTTTGTATAAGGTGTAAGGAAGGGATCCAGTTTCAGCTTTGACATATGGCTAGCCAGTTTTCCCAGCACCATTTATTAAACAGGGAATCCTTTCCCCATTTCTTCTTTTTGTCAGGTTTGTCAAAGATCAGATAGTTGTAGATAGGCGGCATTATTTCTGAGGGCTCTGTTCTGTTCCATTGGTCTATATCTCTGTTTTGGTACCAGTACCATGCTGTTTTGGTTACTGTAGCCTTGTAGTATAGTTTGAAGTCAGGCAGCATGATGCCTCCAGCTTTGTTCTTTTGGCTTAGGATTGACTTGGCAATGTGGGCTCTTTTTTGGTTCCATATGAACTTTAAAGTAGTTTTCTTCCAATTCTGTGAAGAAAGTCATTGGTAGCTTGATGGGGATGGCATTGAATCTATAAATTACCTTGAGCAGTTTGGCCATTTTCATGATATTGATTCTTCCTACCCATGAGCATGGAATGTTCTTCCATTTGTTTGTATCCTCTTTTATTTCCCTGAGCAGTGGTTTGTAGTTCTCCTTGAAGAGGTCCTTCATATTCCTTGTAAGTTGGATTCCTAGGTATTTTATTGTCTTTGAAGCAATTGTGAATGGGAGTTCACTCATGATTTGGCTCTCTGTTTTTCTGTTGTTGGTGTATAAGAATGCTTGTGATTTTTGCACATTGATTTTGTATCCTGAGACTTTGCTGAAGTTGCTTATCAGCTTAAGGAGATTTTGGGCTGAGAAGATGGGGTTTTCTAGATATACAATCATGTCGTCTGCAAACAGGGACAATTTGACTTCCTCTTTTCCTAATTGAATGCCCTTTATTCCCTTCTCCTGCCTAATTGCCCTGGCCAGAACTTCCAACACTATGTTGAATAGGAGTGGTGAGAGAGGGCATCCCTATCTTGTGCCAGTTTTCAAAGGGAATGCTTCCAGTTTTTGTCCATTCAGTATGATATTGGCTGTGGGTTTGTCATAGATAGCTCTTATTATTTTGAGATACGTCCCATCAATACCTAATTTATTGAGAGTTTTTAGCATGAAGCGTTGTTGAATTTTGTCAAAGGCCTTTTCTGCATCTATTGAGATAATCATGTGGTTTTTGTCTTTGGTTCTGTTTATATGCTGGATTACATTTATTGATTTTCGTATGCTGAACCAGCCTTGCATCCCAGGGATGAAGCCCACTTGATCATGGTGGATAAGCTTTTTGATGTGCTGCTGGATTCGGTTTGCCAGTGTTTTATTGAGGATTTTTGCATCAATGTTCATCAAGGATATTGGTCTAAAATTCTCTTTTTTGGTTGTGTCTCTGCCAGGCTTTGGTATCAGAATGATGCTGGCCTCATAAAATGAGTTAGGGAGGATTCCCTCTTTTTCTATTGATAGGAATAGTTTCAGAAGGAATGGTACCAGCTCCTCCTTGTACCTCTGGTAGAATTTGGCTGTGAATCCATCTGGTCCTGGACTTTTTTTGGTTGGTAAGCTATTAATTATTGCCTCAATTTCAGAGCCTGTTATTAGTCTATTCAGAGATTCAACTTCTTCCTGGTTGAGTCTTGGGAGAGTGTATGTGTCGAGGAATTTATCCGTTTCTTCTAGATTTTGTAGCTTATTTGCGTAGAGGTGTTTATAGTATTCTCTGATGGTAGTTTGTATTTCTGTGGGATCAGTGGTGATATCCCCTTTATCATTTTTTATTGCGTCTATTTGATTCTTCTCTCTTTTCTTCTTTATTAGTCTTGCTAGTGGTCTATCAATTTTGTTGATCTTTTCAAAAAACCAGTTCCTGGATTCATTGATTTTTTGAAGGGTTTTTTGTGTTTCTATCTCTTTCAGTTCTGCTCTGATCTTAGTTATGTCTTGTCTTCTGCTAGCTTTTGAATGTGTTTGCTCTTGCTTCTCTAGTTCTTTTAATTGTGGTGTTAAGGTGTCGATTTTAGATCTTTCCTACTTTCTCTTGTGGGCATTTAGTGCTATAAATTTCCCTCTACACACTGCTTTGAATGTGTCCCAGAGATTCTGGTATGTTGTGTCTTTGTTCTCGTTGGTTTCAAAGAACACCTTTATTTCTGCCTTCATTTCGTTATGTACCCGGTAGTCATTCGGGAGCAGGTTGTTCAGTTTCCATGTAGTTGAGTGGTTTTGAGTGAGTTTCTGAATGCTGAGTTCTAGTTTGATTGCACTGTGGTCTGAGAGACAGTTTGTTATAATTTCTGTTCTTTTACATTTGCTGAGGAGAGCTTTACTTCCAACTATGTGGTCAATTTTGGAATGGGTATGGTGCTGAAAAGAATGTATATTCTGTTGATTTTGGGTGGAGAGTTCTGTAGATGTCTATTAGGTCTGCTTGGTGCAGAGCTGAGTTCAATTCCTGGATATCCTTGTTAACTTTCTGTCTCGTTTATCTGTCTAATGTTGACAGTGGGGTGTTAAAGTCTCCCATTATTATTGTGTGGGAGTCTAAGTCTCTTTGTAGGTCACTAAGGACTTGCTTTATGAATCTGGGTGCTCCTGTATTGGGTGCATATATATTTAAGGTAGTTAGTTCTTCTTGTTGAATTGTTCCCTTTACCATCATGTAATGGCCTTCTTTGTCTCTTTTGATCTTTGTTGATTTAAAGTCCGTTTTATCAGAGACTAGGATTGCAACCCCTGCCTTTTTTTGTTTTCCATTTGCTTGGTAGATCTTCCTCCATCCCTTTATTTTGAGCCTATGTGTGTCTCTGCATGTGAGATAGGTTTCCTGAATACAGCACACTGATGGGTCTTGACTCTTTATCCAATTTGCCAGTCTGTGCCTTTTAATTGCAGCATTTAGCCCATTTACATTTAAGGTTAGTATTGTTATGTGTGAATTTGATCCTGTCATGATGATGTTAGCTGGTTATTTTGCTCGTTAGTTGATGCAGTTTCTTCCTAGCCTTGATGGTCTTTACAATTTGGCATGTTTTTGCAGTGGCTGTTACTGGTTGTTCCTTTCCATGTTTAGTGCTTCCTTCAGGAGCTCTTTTAGGGCAGGCCTGGTGGTGACAAAATCTCTCAGCATTTGCTTGTCTGTAAAGGATTTTATTTCTCCTTCACTTATGAAGCTTAGTTTGGCTGGATATGAAATTCTGGGTTGAAAATTCTTTTCTTTACGAATGTTGAATATTGGCCCCCACTCTTTTCTGGCTTGTAGAGTTTCTGCTGAGAGATGAGCTATTAGTCTGATGGGCTTCCTTTTGTGGGTAACCTGACCTTTCTCTCTGGCTGAATGGTTACATTTTTAAGTATTATTTTTATCTTATATGTATTGATGAGGCCTTTCTGAACAGTGTTAGATAATGGTGGTGATGAACTCCTTGTGTTTTCCTGATTTTTTTTTTTTTTTTTGAGATGGAGTCTCACTCTGTTGCCCAGGCTGAAGTGCAGTGGCACAGTCTCGGCTCACTGCAACCTCCACCTCCTGGGTTCATGCCATTCTCCTGCCTCAGCCTCCCGAGTAGCTGGGACTACAGGCGCCCGCCACCATGCCCGGCTAATTTTTTGTATTTTTAGTGGAGATGGGGTTTCACCGTGTTGGCCAGGATGGTCTTGATCTCCTGACCTTGTGATCCGCCCACCTCGGCCTCCCAAAGTGCTGGGATTACAGGCGTGAGCCACCGTGCACAGCCGTGTTTTCCTGATTTTAATGTCAAAACTACAGTGTTGTTTTGGTAGGTTTGATGTGAGTTGTTCGTTTGAGATATTTCTTATTTTCTCAAATTAAGCTATTGCTTATAAGATGCACCAACTTAATAACAGCTTTTGGAGGATGGAGTGGGGAGAGGAAAAAGCTACTTAATATTAACCTTACACATTGAAAGATACTCTTATTGCAATGAAGGTAAATGTGAAACAAACGTACCTTAGAATAACTAAAGGAAAAATTATATAAAAAATTTTCCCTTCCATTGTTAGTGTCATAATTAAATACACACTCAATTGATGTAAGCAGTATCCTCACAGAAGGTAAGTTCTTTTTTTTTTTTTTTTTCCTGAGTTGGAGTCTTGCTGTGTCACCCAGGCTGGGGTGCAGTGGCACGAACTCAGCTTACTTCCACCTCCGTCTCCTGAGTTCAGTCTCCTGCCTCAGTCTTCCAAATAGCTGGGATTACAGGCGCCTGCCACCACACCCTGCTAATTTTTGTATTTTTAGTAGAGACGGGGTTTTGCCACTGTTGTCCAGGGTGGCTTCAAGCTCCTGACCTCAGGTGGCCCGCCCACCTCAACCTCCCAAAGTGTTGGGATTACAGGCATGAGCCACTGTGCCTGGCCAGATAAATTCTTTATACAGTATATACTTTATGATGTTCAGCAAGTATCATTCTATTCTATTTTAGAATTTTCATGAGAAATGGATGTTGAATTTAACAAGAGTCTAAGCGTAAGGCTATCATTAGAAAGACTGATGCCCTGATATGAATAATTTCCTAATGCTAAACCATTTTTGCGATCCTGGGATAAACCCTACTTTATTGCTCTGTATTATTCTTTTAATAGTATGTTGAATTGTATTTCTGGTATTTTATTTAGGATTATTACAGCTATTTTCCTAAGTGAGGAGGATCCATGGGATTTTTTTTTTTTTTGCCTATTCCTGTCAGATTGTGGTGTAACAGTTATGATCATTTCATTACATAAACTCGATGGTTGTGCATCTTTTTTTAATGTGGTAGAACAGTTTATATGACAAAAATTAGCAGTTCTTGAAAGCAGATTCAACATCTGGACCTAGAGTCTTTTACGGAAGTAAATATTTGGTAACGTCTTCAACTTTTTTCTTGATTATTGGTCTTAAAAAGCCTTATAGGGTCAGTTTTGAGAATTTATATTTTCCCACAGAAATTCTTGTCATTGAGATCTTCAAATTCGTTAGCAAATAATAGCGAAGTATCTTATAATTTTTAAGTCTTCCCTTTATCTGTTTCATTTATTTATTTTTATTTTTTATTTTATTTATTTTATTTTGAGACGGAGTCTCGCTCTGTTGCCCAGGCTGGAGTGCAGTGGCGTGATCTAGGTTCACCGCAACCTCCGCCTCCTGGGTTCAAGCAATTCCCCTGCCTCAGCCTCCCTAGTCACTGGGATTATAGGCATGCACCATGATGCCTGGCTAATTTTTGTATTTTTAGTAGAGATGGATTTCACCGTGTTGGCCAGGCTTGTCTCAAACTCCTGGCCTCAAGTGATCCACCCACCTCAGTCTCCCAAAGTGCTAGGAGTACAGGCGTGAGCCACTGCGCCCAGCCTGTTTTATTATTTTTGAATTAATTTACTTAGCTCCTCTCTGCTTTTACTGAAGTCATCTGATGTTCTCCATCCAATCAGTGTTACGTCTCATCTCGTCTCATCTCATCTCTTTTCTTCTCTTTTCTTTTCTTTTTTTGATGGAGTCTTGCTCTGTCTCCCAGGCTGGAGTGCAGTGGCGCAATCTCGGCTCACTGCAACCTCCGCCTCCTGGGTTCACACCGTTCTCCTGCCTCAGCCTCCTGAGGAGCTGGGACTATGGCTGCCCGCCACCACACCCGGCTAATGTTTTTTATATTTTTAGTAGAGACAGGGTTTCACCATCTTAGCCGGGATGGTCTCGATCTCCTGACCTCGGGATCCACTTGCCTCTGCCTCCCAAAGTGTTGGGATTACACGCGTGAGCCACAGCGCCTGGCCTTTTTTTTTTTTCTTTTTTTTGACAGGTGGCGAGAATTGGGTTCCTACTTTGACCTGTGACTGTTTTGCTGCTGAGTTTCAGTGTTTCGTCATTGTTCTGTGAGTAAATGCTAAGGGGAAAGGGGCTTTGTTCTTTCACTCTCCGATGTTTCCTGAGCATCTAGAACACTTCCTGGCCATAGTAGTGGTGCAATACTTATTCATTGGGCAAATGAGAAAATGACTGTGGGGAAACAGGTGAGAAGCTGTCAGAAGCCTCCTTTTCAGGGAAGACCTCATAAGGACAGAAAGAAGTAGGCAACAGGTCTTCTCCTGTCTTCAAAGGTGAACTTTTGCTATGACCACTCCCCGCCTCACCCACCCACAACCACCGACCACACAGTTCGAATGGAATTCTTTCTTGGAGTTGTTGGTGGGTGACTGGTGTAAGGGACCGTTCCCTCTGAGCTCCCTGCTCCCAGGCCTGAGCTTTCAGGGCAGTGAGGCCTTCTGATCACAGAGATGCGCAGGCAGGAGCATGATGGTGGGGAGACAGGCGGGCTCCTGGAGGTGGAGAAGGTGACCGCTAGGGCAGGAGATGAGTCACTTGGATGAGGGGCTTGATGGAGGAGGTCTTGGGACAGGGGTTGAAGTAAGAAGACAGTTACTTTAGGTAAGGTTTAACTAATGGTCCTGGAAAGCTCTGAGCTTGAGCCCAGAATAGCTGAGCTGTGGCTGCTGACCATGAGGGTGACTGCATCAGACTCTGCCTTAGGGATGAGCGGGGCCCGGTGGGCTGGTCAGGAGAGGCCCTGAAGGTGGACACCTGCCTTCACTTCATCTTCAGCTAGAGTTGCCAGATAAAATGCAGGATGTCCAGTTAAATTAGAATTTCACATAAATGATGAGCATATTTCTTTAGTATGAGTTTGTCCCATGGATTTGGGACCTCTTGATTTACCCATCTCTGAGGCAGGGGACTCCCAGGACCTGGGAGGGGCTTCTCACTGGGAAGGCAGGAAGGCGCCTCCCTCTACCCTATATCCCCCCAAAATATTCCCAGCAAAAGGGAAATCTTTAGCCGCCAATGAGCAATACCCCTCCTCCCTCATCCACTCTTGCTTCTCAAATGGAAGCATGAACTAAGCACACTCTCTACACCCTCCTCTGCTTGGGGGTGGCCTTCTGGCCAGCTTTATAGGCTCTCCTGGACACAGAGAAGAGCGTGAGGAGTGCTTACCTCCCAGCAAGCCACAGTCAGTCAGAGCAAGGTGAGGCATAGGCCCCGGAAATAGGAGTCTAGGCAGGCTGGTGGGCTTCTGTAACCTAGGGTGAGGGGCATAATCAGGATGGTGGGCTGGAAGATGAGGTGGGGAGGAGGGGCAGGCAGGAGGTGACCAGAGGCCGAGGGGAGCAGCCCGATGGTGTAGAGTGGCAGGGGCAAAGCAGGAAGGTCCTGAGCACCCCCTCCCTGGTACTTCCTCGGTGCTATCTGCTCCCAGGTGCTCTGGAAAAGCTGAAGGTCAAATTCTAACCTTCTGGGCTAGAAAGTAAGCTTTGGGAAGTAAGTGTTGTGAAGGAGACAACCTCTAGGTATTGTCACAAAGTTTGTGTTACCCTCAGATTAGCCTCATTTATTTCTGGCAGAAGGTTAAAAACTACACAAATAATTTTTATGGACATAATTATGTTCTCATCCCAAAATAATGTGGCACAGTTCCATAATTACTCAGAAATGATAATTGTGTGAACAGCTATTAATTAGTGAATAGCTTTGGAAAAAAGTTTCAGTAGGTTTGGGAAGCATTGCTAATAACCCATTATGATATGTCTGGGGGTCAAATCACCATGTCATGTCAAAGCGTAGATTTATAGTTCCATTTTAAATCATTTCAAAATAATTAAGAATGTGCTGTGCATCTGAGTGGGCAGAGTTGAGGCATAAAAACCATATATCTGCATTAGGAAGGGAACGGATCATTTCCGGCCAAAATGGAGATCAAAGCTCTTTCAACATCCATTTGGCAAGAGCACTCACATTTTATGGCTTCTCAAGAAGTATCAGTGATTTTAGATAAATAGCATTCAGCTCTTCTTTCCCTTTCCCCATGGCCTTCTTGCAAGCCAAGAGAGGAAAATTACAAATCACCAGGAACTTCTGACCTTGACTTAGAATTTCAGGTGGGAGTCCAGCCATATGCGCTCTTCCTGGCAGAGTGGGGATATTTCTACATTACTCTTTGCTGCCTTCTAGAGTGGGTCTGGGGGAGACAGCTCTGCTCTTTCCTCTGAGACAACATTCTCTTTTTGGGGTATGTGTGCTAGAATACCTTTAGCCCAGCAACCTTCCTGCCTCCCTGGAACGTTAGGGCACCTCTAGTCTTTTGGAGCCGCCTTTCCTCCTGGGCATCCTTGGAGCCCTTGTTGGGGAGGGGAAGGAAGCTGTTCCTTACTGAGTGCGGATGTGCTCCGGGCCCTCTGCTGCACACTTCATGCACATGATTGCAGCCTCCAATTGGGCAGGTACTGTTATTCCTGTGCGGCCAGGGAGGAGATGGAAGCTCAGAGAGATGAGAGGATTTCTGCAAGCTTGGGAAGGAAGCCTACAGCTGGAGGGAATCTTTAGGTTCAATATGCCATATACCCTCAGATGTTCGACCCCTCTCCCCCACTCCCTTTTTTTCTTTTTTTTTGAGATAGGGTCTCATTGGGTCACCCAGGCTGGAATGCAGTGGTGAACAAAGCTCACTGCAGCTTTGACCTCCTGGTCTCAAGTGATCCTCTCACCTCACCCTCCTAAGTAGCTGGGACCACAAGCCTGTGCCATCACTCCCAGTTTATTTAAAAATTTTTTTGTAGAGACAGAGTTTCGCCATATTACTCGGGCTGATCTCCAACTCCGGGCTCAAGTGATCCTCTTGCCTTGGCCTCCCAAGGTGTTAGGAATCCAGGTGTGAGCCACGACACCTGGCCTGGCTCCCTTTGGTGACTTACCCATGATGAGGTCATCTAGTCCAGGCTTAAACACCTTTTGTGGAGTGGTGCTCACTGCCAATGACGTGTTCCATTCAGCATAATTAGTATACACCCATTGTTTAAACCAAAAATGCATATAAAGTAAAAGATGTTGGGTTCTCCTATGCCCCTGCTAATCCTATTCCTCAGAGGAAATCACTGTCAGCAGTTGGGTGTGTATCATTCCAAATACCTTCCTACGCTATATATATGTACACTGAAAACATATCAGTAGAATCATACATACTGATGTGCTTTTTCACTCAATAAATTGTGGATGTTCACTCAGGTGTATGTATGCACCTACATCATTCTATCTATTGTCTGTTGACCTAGCTCTCATTGACATGTCTTTCATCTCTGTTTTATCTCTTTCTATTTATTTGTATAGTTACTTCTGTCTTCCAAATATGATCTTCAAAATAGATCTTACCGTTTCTCTCACCTTGTCCATCTCTGATGTGGACTATTATCATAGCCTCCTACCTGAAATCCCTGCTTCTGCCCTGGCCCTGCCCTATAGCCTGTTCTGAACCCAGCAGGTGTAGTGGGCCTTTCAAAATGCAAGTTGCATCATGTCACTTCTCTGCTCAAACCCTCTTATGGCTTCCCTCCCATCAGAGTTAAAGCCCAGCTGTCCCACAGCTTGGAGGCCATCCATGCCCCGTCCTCCTGCCGTCCTGCTCCTTGTCTTTGGCTTCGTCTTCCCATTGTTTTCTCTGCCCCTGCTGTGCTGGCCTCATTGGTGTCCTTTGGACTTGCCAGGCCTGCTGCTACCTCTGGGCCTTAGGACTTACCATTCCTACTGCCTGTAAAGTTCTTTCCAGAAATCCAGGTGGCTTGCACTCTTACTTCCTTTCAGATTTTTGTTCAAATGTCAGTGAAGGCCTTCCCTCCCTACCTCTCTGTAGACTGATATGATTTCTTAAGGTGAGTTTAAAAAATCATCTACACATATACCCCAAGTCAAAGCTGGCATTATACTTACTGATGAAACAATGAAAGCATTCAAATTAAATGAGGTACTTACGTACCTGCACTGATAGTCTGGGAAGAAAGAGAAAGGACAAAGAACTGGAGGGTCTGGAGTGGTCAGTGATTGTCCAGTGTAGCAGTAGTCTAACAAGCTGGAAAGGGAGGGTGTGGATATGGTTTGAATTAATGATACTCATAGGGGAGTATTATTGGTGGATGACAAGGTCCAAGATGGGATGCTGAGCAGCCAAGATGGAGTGAACAAGGACACTGGAGTGAGGTGGTGATATGGTTTGGCTCTGTGTCCTCACCCAAATTTCATCTTGAATTGTACTCCCATAATTCCCAGGTGTCATGGGAGGGACCCCTTGAGAGATAATTGAATCATGGGGGTGGTTCCCACCTACTGTTCTCGTGGTAGTGAATAAGTCTCACGAGATCTGATGGTTTTATCAGAGGTTTCTGCTTTTGTGTGTTCCTCATTCTCTCTTTGCCTGCTGCCATCCATGTAAGATGTGACTTGCTCCTTCTTGCTTTCCACCATGATTGTGAGGCTTCCCCAGCCACGTGGAACTGTAAGTACAATTAAACCTTTTTCTTTTGTAAATTGCCCTGTCTTGGGTATGTCTTTATCAGCAGCATGAAAATAGACTAACACAGGTGGTGAAGGAAGTGAAGGTCAGGGTGCAGGTTGGGCCGTCCATGTGGATGTTGGTTGCCTAGGAGGAAGGAAGGCCTGAGGGTGGAGGGGAAGATGGGCACTAGGTGCCCAAGTCTCAGATGAGTTGCCCAACCTTGGTCAACACAGTGAGGAGGGTCCTGGTGATGGGGAAGTAATGATGTAAGAGCAGAGAGGACAGGGACTCCACTTCCCATCCCTGAGGGCCCTGGGGAGGTGGCATCCACTGTGGAAAGCCAGGTTTCATTCAAGGCAGAGAAGGCCTGAAGGCTGGTGATATGGAAGGGTTTTGACTAGAGGCTGGTGATATGGAAAGGTTTTTAAGTTGTGGAGCTGCAGCTCTGGAAGGCCCAGTGGAAGGCTGGGGTGTTAAGAGAGCCTGTCCTACAGACTTGCAAATAGTAAAAGTCTTAATAGAAAATTTCAGACATCCTAGGCCAGGTGCAGTGACTCACGCCTGTAATTCCAGCACTTTGGGAGGACAAGGTGGGCAGATCACTTGAGGTCAGGAGTTTGAGACCAGCCTGGCCAACATGGTGAAACCCCATCTCTACTAAAAATACAACAAACTAGCTGGGTGTGGTGGTGTTCACCTGCAGTCCCAGCTACTCAGGAGGCTGAGGCAGGAGAATCACTTGAACCTGGGAGGCAGAGGTTGCAGTGAGCTGAGATCGTGCCACTGCACTCCAGCCTGGATAACAGAGCGAGACTTGGTTTCAAAAAAAGAAAATTTCAGACATCCTTAATGTATTTATCATATTTATACTTATTTTCCTTCACAGTTTATCAATCTAAGTATAATTAGCATCTGATTGAGGCCAAATTCCTGCTTTCTATATACTTTATGATTCCACTGTTGTCTCAGTTGGCATGTCACCTTCCAAATCTGAGTAAAAGTACCTTCTGCTCTAATTGCATCCCCTCTTTCCATAAGTTCACACCCGAATCCATGAGCCCAGCTGGGGACCAGTATCCAAGACAGCTTCCGGCTGGATTCTCCCCAGCCACCATCCTCCTGAACAGCAGGCCCGGGGCATGGGCAGCTGTGGCAGGAGTGAGGCGCTGTCATCCACAACACTCCCAGAGAGGGCTGTTTGACCTCACGAGTGATTGCCCCAGAGACCCCATTTTTACTCATATTTCTGGGGAAATCTTACTTGAGGATCAAATGGGAGAGAGCCTATAAAAATGTTTAGCAAGTTGCTTGGTACATAGTAGGTTGTGTGTTTTGCTAGTCGAAGGCATTCTTCTGGCAGTGGGATGTCCGAGCAGCTTGTCTAGCCTTCTTGTTGCACAAACACTGCTGCTGCAGGCCCTGTCTATCAGAACTGTTGCTGTCATGGAAGAAGTTGCCGATGCACAACCATGAATCACAGTGTGAGAACTGCTCATAATTGCCTCATGTGTGTTTTCAGTTCTCAAATTTAAAACCATTTACTGCTGGGAACAGATGTTAAATTCAGGACGCTTGTCAATTGTTGGCGCGATACACAAAAAAAGATGCTTAAAATTAGAAGCCTGATTGAATTTTAAGTACAGTGATCACAGTGGTTGGAATGAAAATAATTGAAAGGGTAAACAGCTTATTGTGAGAGATGGAAGTACGCAATGGAAGGAGAAGCTGAATTTGAAATTGGAAAACTCATGATGTGGAATTGTAATAGGGATTCTACGATGATCATTAAGTTAATTAACAGTTAATTGTAATAGAAACTCTCTAACAGCACTTAAGGAACATTAATACCAGATAGACTCATTCATAACTTAGGTGATCACAAGAAAAGCCATGTGGATTCAATAATGATAACAATGATTACTCTTATGTGTTGTGCACCTACTATGTGTCAGATAATGGACTTGAACCTGTATCTATCTGATTAGCGTTTAGACCACTGATTGTTCTTGGAGACCACGAAGAACTGGCAGTCCCTTGCTTTGGCCAATTGAAAAAAATCATGCTAAAATGACATAAAATTTACCATTTTAATTATTTTGAAGTGTAAGATTCAGTGGCATGAAGCAAGTTTACAACACTGTGCAACCATCACCACTGTCCATTTCCAGATCCTTTTCATCATTTCAAACAAACTCTGTACATATTAATATTAAACAGTAAATTTCCAGTCTCCCTCATTCGCTGGTGGCCTCTACTATTCTTTCCATCTCTATGAATTTGCCTGGGCCAAATTTGGTAACACTAATGTCACCTCTACCTCACCCCAACTCCCAAACTGCTCATTGATGACAAGGTCTGCTGTCCTCATTGTGCTGATCCCTCATGGCATGCAGAGCTGGGCAGGCTGGCTGGAAACACCTCTGGACCCCCAGAACGTTCTCAGAGGCATTAGAACCAGAGCAACTTCATCTTGAATAGGAGCTGGGTAAAATAAGGCTAAGACCTACTGGGCTGCATTCCCAGACCGTTAGGCATTCTAAGTCATGGAATAATATAGGAGGTCGACAGGAGATACAGGTCATAAGACCTTGCTGATAAAACAGGTTGCAATAAAGAAGCTGGCCAAACTCCACTAAAACCAAGATGGCGACAAGAGTGACCTCTGGTCGTCCTCACTGCTACACTCCCAGCAGCGCCATGACAGCTTACAAGTGCTATGGCAACATCAGGAGGTTACCCTATATGGTCTAAAAAGGGGAGGCATGAATACTCCACCCCTTGTTTAGCACATCATTAAGAAATAACCATAAAAATGGGCAGCCAGCAGCCCTTGTGGCTGCTCTGCCTATGGAGTAGCCATTCTTTTATTCCTTTACTTTCCTAATAAAGTTGCTTTCAAGATGGACTTGCCCCGAATTCTTTCTTGTGCTAGATCCAAGAACCCTCTCTTGGGGTCTAGATTGGGACTCCTTTCTGGTGACAACATCACAAGGAGGTCGTTCTCAGAGAAGCCTGGACACCTGCCATCAGGCTGCGGTAGGCCTGCTTCCCCTGTGAAGGCCACGTGCTGGCTGCTGGCTGCTGGCTGCGTTCCTCATCCTGTCAGGGCTCAGGATGGAGCGAGCACGTGGAGGGTAAATCCTCCCATATTGCACACCAACTGCAGCAGCTGCTTCTAGTTTTGTGAGTGGGCTACAGCCTTCCTGGCTTCCAGGCATTTGGACATGTTGATGCTTCTTTCAAGAACACTGGCCCCTCACTGTCTCTTTTGCTTTGCAAAGCTAACTTATAATTCTTCAAGTCTTGGCTGAGAAGTTCTTCCAGGAAGCTTCACTGCTTCTGCCAGGGTGCCCCTCCTCTGCCTGGTATGGTGTCCAGCATCCTCCCAGGGTGTTCTGTGTGTCTTGTACCCCAGGTCTGATCACACTGGGCTGCCGGCATCTGCTCACCGGTCTGTTTGTCCTCCTAGCTCAGGGGTTGTATGAGGAAGACCCAGGTCCCATTCACGGCTGCAGCCCCCATCATTGGCACCAGGCCTGGCACATAGTTGTTATTTGGTAAGTGGGATGAATCCCCTCCATAGCCTCTGCACCCCGGAGAAAAATCACAGTACGTGGCCCCTTCTCTGCCTGTTTTGACTGGCATGTGCCCGAGTTCCCATGCTCCTGTACTCACAGGGTTGCCCAAACACATGGACTTCTGGGAATAGATGTATATGGAGGGTCCATGGAGAAGTGACAGAAAGGGGAGGAGGCTGCCAATCACCCCTGCTCAGAGGCTGCACTTTGGCTCCCTGAGGAGTAAGTGTATTGTGTTGCATAGAAATGGGTATTTGTTGAAATTCAGTGAGTTCAGGTCACGACTCAGTTTGTTTCCTTCTGAAGTTTGCTCCTCAGCTGGGATTCCTGGCTGCACATGTGAGCTGTGAGTGTCACAGTCTTGCTTGCTTCCTGTTGTGGTTGCTGGTGGACTGTGAGCAAAGTGAATTTTAATTTTCCTAAACCTACAAATGTTATTTCAGTTTGAAATGAAACAGAGATATCCTATTTCTGCCTTGTTATCTGTTTTGTGTGGTGGGTGAGAAAATTATGATGTAAATACTGTGTGTCAGGCCTGGATCTTACATAAAGAACTCGATGAAAAGCACCAAGAGGGTGCCAGCCATCCAGGGAAAGTTCTTGGTGATGTTGCAGAGTCCGAGTTCAAGTCTCCATTGTGAGGTCTTGACATGGAAGAAGCATGGCCAGCACTGTCCATCAGTGTGAACAGAGGACTGACATGCAGCTTGGGAAAGTCAGAGCCCCTCACGTCTCTTTCCTTTACTGAGTCCTTTCCCAAAGGTGCATCTTAGACACATGTGTCCATAAATTTGTAATTGCCACAAGGCAGTGAATGATTAAGATAGAGTAGATTTGAGTTCAGGTTCTGTCACTTATTAGCTCTGTGACTTAGGGCATGTTACTTACCTATTTGGGCCTTAGTTTCCTCATCTGTAAATTGGAGGTGACAATTCCAGCCTCCTAGAGTGGTTGTGAAAACAAAATGAGACAAAGCAAGTGCTCACCACTAGGCCTGGCACAGCGTGAATGTTAAGTATAGGGTAGGTATAGTTTTAGTTCAGTTACGACTTAGAATTGCTAGCACACATTGAATTTGGGTTGCAGTCTCCCATGTGCTACCAGACGGACTGGTTTCTATATTCTTTCTTCTTTCCGGAGTAGAATCATCCGTGATTCCTATCCTGAGACTAATTTATTCTGTGATTGAATAAAACATCTTCAGGAGGGTGTTCCAGGCAGCTGTGTGCCTCCCTGCTTAGGGAAGACTCTTCTGTCTCAGGTTATTCCTGCTTAAGGTGTTTGGCAATACAACCATGAAGGAGAAATGTTTGGTGTGGTTGGGGCAGGTAACAAAGGACTTCTTGTGGCAAGTCTGGGTGTCCCTATACTATCAATTGTGTGCTCCTCAGCAGGGGAGGGCTGTACGCACATGGGCATGTGCGCGTACATGGCCACGGAGGCCTCACTGTGCCTGCTGGGGGCCTGGGATTTGCCCAGCTGTCTAATGTTGACTAAAGCTGCTGCTGTGACAGATGTTCTTTTGCTTAGAGATTCACTGTGGAGTATTTAGTACAAGAACTTGGGGTAAGCAGTTACTGCTTGAAGATTCATACTCTACATTAAAACTTCTTTATTAGCAATCTGATTTAATGGGCAGATAATCCAGAGTCCTGGAGACAGTCATCTGCCACCGTTTGAACACATTTTATCAGATAATGGTGTGAGAACTGTCTGGGCAGCAGCCCTGCGGGGGCTCAAGTTGCTCTCAGAGCTCCCAGGATCTAGCAGAGGTTGTTCTTTTTTTTTAAGTGTCTAAAGGTATCCTCCGTTTCCACTTTATCTCAGTCCTGCTAGTTTTTATATGCAAAATCCCTGGTGAGTAGAGTCAGAGGGAAAGAGCTGGGCCTGGAAGTCAGGCTCTGCTGCTTATTTGCTATGTGACCATTTTGCCTCTCTGGCCTGGCCTTGTGACCATGTCACTACCTCTCATAATACAGGTTATGGAAAATTCCCTCACAGCCCCTCTGATGCAGAGTTCTGGTCTCACGGAGGAGAATGGGTGATCACTCAGCTCTCACCACCCTTGATGAAAGTGCTCTAAGCTCCCAAAGCTTTCCATTTATCTTCCAAACAGCCAGGGTTATAGGTCTCTTGAGAGGGTTGCTGCATGGGCCTGGCTATTCTGGGGTTAGGAAACTGTTAATGGAAACAAGATGCAACGTTTGTCAAACTCCCCTTGTGTTCTGCCTCCTGGGGTCTCTCTCATGGGTATTTTGTTCTTGGTTCTGGAAAAGTCTGAGGGATGGTAACAAAGGCAGCTGGAATGCCCATGATGCCAACAGATATGCTTCCTGCTCAGGACATGGGAGCCTGGTTTGCTGGTTAGCCATAGAATTCTTTTCTCTTTTATATTTTCCATGGTGTGTCTCGTATATTGCCTCTTTTCAAAAGCATTAGTAGGTAGTTTTCTTAAAACAAGAAAAAGGGGCTGGGTGTGGTGGCTCATGCCTATAATCCCAGCACTTTGGGAGGCAGAGGCAGGCAGATCACCTGAGGTCGGGAGTTTAAGACCAGCCTGACCAAGGTGGAGAAACCGTGTCTCTACTAAAAATGTGAAATTAGCTGGGCATGGTGGCACATGCCTGTAATCTTAGCTACTCGGGAGGCTGAGGCAAGAGAATTGCTTGAACCCGGGAGGCAGAGGTTGCGGTGAGCCGAGATTGCGCCATTGCACTCCAGCCTGGGCAACAAGAGCGAAACTCCATCTCAAAAAAAAAAAAAAAAAAAAAAAAAAAAAAGGAAAAAAAAAGGGAGAAAAAGAAAAATAGATTGAGCCAAAGCAGGAAGAATATTGAAAAGTAAGATCCTTATCTAGTTTGTCTAGCTTTGCAAAATCTTATTTATCTTGACTAATATTTCCATATTTCATCTTATTCTTCCTTATGTATTCATACATTAAATCAATGTGCTGTGACTTGCTCTAGTAAAGTGGAACTGAAGGTCAAGAATTCAATTGCCCAGTAGCCACAGGGATACTCTTTGGTGTAACACCTGACTGGTTAACAGATGGATTTCCGGTTATGGAATCCATCAGGGCCTTCAGTGGTCCTCACAGTTAACTCTCACAACAGAAGCGTGGCTGCTCATTTGTAAAGCCTGTATCTGCGTTTAAGTGCTTCCTCAGGCATATCCCCAGACTTGAGGGAATGGTGGCACATGTGTGCATCTGGCTTTCCATTCTCCTGCGAGAACCCCCTTCCTGGTGTCAGGAGCCATGTCTTGGTCCATAGGGCAAGGAGTGGGCCTGCAGGGCAGGCAGTGCAGGCTTATAGCAGATCACTTTGCTAAAGCTCAGAGAGCGTTGTTGGCCTGGAAAGAAGTTGTACCCAGTCGCTAGCTTTCCTCTTTCACCTGGACCCAAGCCTATAGAGGTACATGGCTCTTTGTGGTGGGGTTTGCAAGGGCATCAGAAAAGTCCCCCATTACCCTGAAACACAGGTAATTTCATTACCCTGAAACACTGTCCCCACCAACTTGCATTTGTGTTTGACATCCTAGGGCGCTACCCTTTTTGTGTTAAGACACTACCCGCCCCCATGAGGGAGTATCCATATAACTATGACCATGGTGCTGGAGGACACTGGTGGTTCAGCTCCTTTCTCCAAGGTCAGGGCTGGGCCCTGGGACCGGTGAGGTAGAATCTCCAAAGCCATATGGGGCCTGGGAGCTTTGTCCCATGTCACACTGTCAGTTTGTTTCAGAGTGATGCAGTCCTCGCCAGCCTGGTAAAGAAGAACTTAGTCACTGAAGTGAAGGTGTTTCCTGGGGCTGCTTGACTTCGGCCCTGGGATTCAGTAAATTCTGGGATTATAAGAGCTGAAAGGGAAACTGACAAGGCTGGGTGCAGTGGTTCATGACTGTAATCCCAACACTTTGGGAGAGGCAGGAGGATTGCTAGAGCCCAGGAGTTCAACACCAGCCTGGGCAAGATGGCAAGACCTCATCTCTACAAAAATTAAAAAAATAGCTGGGGTAGCCAGGCTTGGTGGCTCATGCCTGTAATCCCAGCACTTTGGGAGGCTGAGGCAGGAGGTTCATTTGAGGTCAGGAGTTCAAGACCAGCCTGGCAAACATGGTGAAACCCCATCTCTACTAAAAATACAAAAATTAGCTGGGCATGGTGGCGGGCGCCTGTAATCCCAGCTACTCAGGAGGCTGAGGCAGGAGAATCGCTTGAACCTGGGAGGTGGAGGTTGCAGTGAGCTGAGATCATGCCACTGCACTCCACCCTGGGTGGCAGAGCAAGACTTCGTCTCAAATTAAAAAAAAAAAAAGCTGGACATGGTGACACGCACCTGTAATCCCAGCTACTCGGGAGCCTGAGGTGGGAGGATCACTTGAGCCCAGGAGTTCGAGTCTGCAGTGAGTTATGGTCACACCACTGCACTCTAGACTGGGTGACAGAGTGGGACCCTGTCTCCATTAAAAAAAAAAATAGTGACATGGATTTAGCTGGTCCAAGTTCCTTGCAAGCCCCAATCTCAGAGAAGAGAAGGTGATTGGAAGAAGGTGATTGCCAGAGGCAGGTGCTGTGTGGAGATGGCCGGCCTCCGCTCCCTGTGTCCTCGTTGAACTTCCTATACGGCCAGCTTCCCCAGTCTCCCTTAAGAGGATGCCCTTAGCAGTTGGGCCCCTCTCCTTCTTGGTGTCCTTCCCTCCTCTGTAGCTCTGTATTTGTCTTTGCCAGCTCCTTAGCTTCTCTGGCTCAAAAAAATCTCTCAGTCCTATCTGTGCTGTGGTAGCCCCACTTTTTTCTCTTGGAGTTTTCTGGTGGCTCTCTGGGGCCTTAGGTGGGTCTCTGTATGCAAAGGGGCTGAGCTTCAGGCAGACGATTGGCTCGGGTGGGAAGGCCCAGCTTTCCTCAGTGTCCTTGTCCTGGCTTAGTGTCTGTGAGGGGCAAGGCCGGGGCTCCTGAGCCCTGACAGGAGGCCAGAGTGTCTAGAACAGGGTGGCTTGTAGGGATGGGTGTTCCTAACCCTAAGGAACTCTTCTGTTGGGGGCTGCCAGGGCACCCTCCTGAGGAAGTTGTGTTCCAAGCTCTGCCTGAGCTCCTCCAGCATGCATCTCTCCTGTGTTATGTTCCTGTTTCCGGACTGGGAACGACAAAGCTTGGGCCTGTGTGCTGGTGCCTGGCCTCTTCCAGGGGTTAACGAAGGTGCCAGGTTGGGGATATTTGAGGACTGGGTGCAGTGAGGGGGATTTTCTCTTGGAGCTCAGTAAAATGATCATGGGTAGAAAGAAAATGTTCCCACAGCCACAAAGCTGAAAACAAGGGGAGCATAAATAATTAAGACAGAAAATCCTTTGGGGCTCATGTCTGAGGTGGGAGATACAGATTTGATAATCAAATTTCATCAAAGTGCCACATGCAGGCTGGGTAGCCAGACCAGTGGGCAGCAGAACCAGGATGTCTCTCCAGCCTGGAGTGTGGCACCATCTGATGCAGGGAGTACAACAGAGATTCAGCTAATACCTGTAATTTCCAGAGAAATAATTTAGGTGTCACAATCAGAGCATGGAATTGGAGTGAAGAAAATGCCCAGGAGCTGATGAGTGTCTTCAAAAGGAATTGGAATTTCGTGCACATTTTTTTTTTTTTTTTGAGACGTAGTCTCACTCTGTCACCCAGGCTGGATCTTGGCTCACTACAACTCTACCTCCTGGGTTCAAGCAACTCTCCTGCCTCAGCATCCTGCGTAGCTGGGATAACAGGCACCTGCTACCACGCCCGGCTAATTTTTGTGTTTTTAGTAGAGACAGGGCTTCACCATGTTAGTCAGGCTGGTCTCGAACTCCTGACCTCAGGTGATCCACCCACCTTGACCTCCCAAAGTGCTGGGATTACAGGCGTGAGCCACCGCATCTGGCTCAAGCACAAATTTCATATTCACCGAAGATGAGCAGAGGGAGCCCAAGGAGGAAGATGTTTCTTAAATGTTGAGTCCCAGATCAGGCCCTGGGACTTTGCCTAGAAGAGATTGTGTAGAGGATCCTGATGGAGGGGTCATCTTTGTGGTCACACCCCAGACACTAGACAGAGAGGTAGGCCAGTTCTTTAGCCAGGAAAGAAGTGTGTGAGGAATGAAGTTCACTCTTGACTGCATTTGTTCAGGTCAGAACCATTTTGGAGGGCTCTTTCTTGGTCTTTTTGCCCTTTGCAGGCAAGGTTGTCTAAGGCAATGACTGTCCTTCCTGAGGGTTGGAACCATGAAAGCCTGGGAGTTGCCGCAACTAGGAGGGGACAGAGGCTCTTAAATACTGGACAGAGCTCATGGCTAGTAAAGACAACAGGAAACCAGCAGGTGCTGGTAGGTGTCACTTCCACCCTTAAAACCTCTCCCAGGCCGGGCGCGGTGACTCACGCCTGTAATCCCTGCACATTGGGAGGCAGAGGTTGGTGGATCACCTGAGGTCAGGAGTTTGAGACCAGCCTGGCCAACGTGGTGAAACCCCGTCTACTAAAATACAAAAATTAACTGGGCATGGTGGTGCGTGCTTGTAATCCCAGCTACTTGGGTGGCTGAGGAAGGAGAATTGCTTGAATCTGGGAGGTGGAGGTTGCAGGGAGCCGAGATTATGCCACCGCACTCCAATCTGGCAACAGAGTGAGATTCCATCTCAAAAAAAAGCCTCTCAAACATATATACAGTCATGCACCACTTAGGATGGGGATGCATTCTGAGAAATGCGTCCTTAGGTGATTTCATCATTGTGCAAATATCATAGAGTGTACTAGCACAAACCTAGATGGTACAGCCCAATACACACCTAGGCTATATGATATGGCCTGTTGCTCCTAGGCTACAAACCTGTACAGCAGGTTACTGTACTGATTACGGTAGGTACTTGTAAAACAATCCTAAGTATTTGTGTATCTAAACATAGAAAAAGTACAGTACAAATATGGTATTTATACATATATACATATATGGTATATTCTATGTATCTACATAAATACAAATATACTCATTGAAAATTCATAGTACTTGTGGGTATGTTTATGTGTGTGTTTAAAAATAGGAGAGGTAATAAATACATTCTACAAACTTGCTTTTTTCATTTAACAAAATTTCTTGGCTATCCAGCCACATTATCAGTATCTAAAGGTCTCTTATTTTTTAAAAACAGCTTCAGGATTGTGGTAGGCAGAAGAATACACTCTGCCCCCCAGCCCTCACCAGATGTCCACTGTGAATATATTATCTTCCATGGCAGAGGAACTTTGTAAATGTGATTATGGGTAAGGACCTTGAGAGGAAGAGATTATTTTGGATTATGAAGGTGGGCCCAATCTAATTAATGGGGGCATTAAAAGTGGAAGAGGGAGGCAGAGGGTAGGTCACAGAGAGGCGATGGGAGAAGGACCTGCTGTTTGGAGGGTGGAGGAATTGGGCCATGAGCCAAGTGATGCAGCAACCTCTAGAAACTGGGAATGGCTCTCGGCTTGCAGCCAGCAAGAAAAAGAACAAATCAGTAGGAAATGAATTCTCCCCGCAAGCCTCCAGAAAGGAACACAGCCTGGAGACACCTTGATTTTAGTCTGGGGAGACACACGCTGGACTTCTGAGTACCAGAACTGAAAAGGAATAAATTTGTGTTGTTTTAAGTTGGTAATTTGTCATGGCAGCAATGAAAAAGACCACAACAGTGTTCCTTGGGGTAGCCTCCCCATGGTTTATTTAGCTATTCCCCTGTTGGTGGCAGAAGTTTACATTCCTTATTTTCTTTAATGGAATGCTTTATGGGAAGTGTGTACACAAGGAAAGGTGTTGTTCTAGGACAGGGTTTTCTAAAAATATCTTTGATAATCTCCAGTAAGAAATACATTTTATGTAATGATCCAGTGGACATACCCACATATAAAACAAAACTTCAAGAAACTATACTTGTCCTCAATACCTGTGTTACATTCTGATTATTTCCTGGGCTACTCTATTCTATTCCATTCAGAACAAATGCTGGTTGCCAGCCACTAACTTTATTTCACAGTTCCTGAATGGATTTCAACCGAAAGTTTAAAAAAATACTACTCTAGAAGCCGCTTGGCTAGGCTATCATGTGGTAAACTAAGTGAACGTGTGCTCTGATCACCACTCAGCCTAGCAGGGACACCAAAAAATGAGGATTCATTTTTTTTTTGGTTCTTAATTTTGAGGATTCATTTTTTGATAACATAATCTACAATTCTGCCATCAGAAAATTTAGAAATAAGTGATTTTAGCATATGTTTTATGGTTTAGTATTGCTCTTATTCATTAAATTTAAAAACTTTTTATTTGGAAATATGGAGTCCCAAGAAGTTACAAAGACACTACATAGAAGTCCTGTGTGCCCATCATCCAATTTTCCCCAATGGTTACATCTTACATAATATTTTTTTGAGATGGAGTCTCACTTTGTTGCTCAGGCTGGAGTGCAATGGTGTGATCTCGGCTCACTGGAATCTCCGCCTCCTGAATTCAAGCGATTCTCCTACCTCAGCCTCCCAAGTAGCTAGGATTACAGGCACCCACCACCACGCCTGGCTAGTTTTTGTATTTTTAGTAGAGACGGGGTTTCACCATGTTGACCAGGCTGGTCTGGAACTCCTGATCTCAAGTGATCCACCCACCTTGGCCTCCCAAAGTCCTGGGATTACAAGTGTGAGCCACCATGCCCAGCCACATCTTATATAATTATAGAACAAGATTGAAACCAGGAAACTGACATTGGTATGATGTATTGTATGGTTAATATCACTTTATCAGTTGTGTGGATGCCTGTAGACAGTGCAATCAAGATACAGAACTAGTATCTTCCTGTAAAGATCTCCCTGGTGCTACCCCTTTAGAGTCAGACTCATGCCTCTTCCTCAGCCATTCCGAACCTCTGGAGCCACTAATCTATTTTCTGTCTCTATAAATTTGTCATTTTGAGAATGTTATATAGATGGAAAAATATGTGACCTTTTAAGATGGGTTTTTTTTTCACTTAGCATAATGTCCTAGAGCTCCATCCAAGTTGTTGCATGTATGAATAGTTCATTCCTTTTCATTGATAGTAGTATTCCATGGTATGGGTGTTTGACCATCATTGTATTAAAGGAGGTTTTTATTGTTTCCAATTTTTGGCTATTGTAAATAAAGCTGTTATGAATAACCATGTTCAAGTGTCATATGGATATATTAGTATTCCTCATTGACTTCTGGGTCATACGCAATTGCCAGTCATATGATAAGTATATATTTAATTTTTTTTTTTTTGAGTTGGAGTCTCACTCTGTCGCCCAGGCTGGAGTGCAGTGGTGCGATCTCGGCTCACTGCAAACTCCGCCTCCCAGGTTCACGCCATTCTTCTGCCTTAGTCTCCCAAGTAGCTGGGACTACAGGTGCCTGCCACCATGCCCAGTTAATTTTTTTTATTTTTAGTAGAGACGAGGTTACACCATGTTAGCCAGGATGGTCTCGATCTCTTGACCTTGTGATCCACCTGCCTCGGCCTCCCAAAGTGCTGGGATTACAGGCGTGAGCCACCGCGCCTGGCCGTATATATTTAATTTTTAAATAAATTGCTAAGTTGCTTTCTGGAGTGGCTATATCAGCAGTGTGAGAGAGATACAGTTTCTCCACTTCCTTGTCAGCAGTTGGCATTGTCACTATTTATTTTAGCTGCTCTAACAGCTATAGTGATAGCTCATTGTAATCTTGATTTGCGTTTCCCTAATGGCTAATGATGTTGAACATCTTTCATGGGCTTATTTGCCATCTGTGTATTCTTTTCAGCGAGATGTCTCTTCATGTGTATTGTTTTTTATTTTGAGAGTTTCATGCTAGTCTGTTGGGAGATGCGGTAGAAGCACAATATTTTTTGGTGATTTTTAGTGCTGAATGGATACTAAGCTTTGAAATTTCTGGTCTTTGAATAATCAGACATAGACAAAGTGACTATAGTAGTTTATACTTCTAGCACTTTTTGGGGTTCCTGTTTCCACATACCTTCATAAATATTTAATGTTGTTAACCTTATTCTTTTTTTTTCCAACTTGATGTGTCACAATTGATCCAACTATTTTAATCTGCATTTGACTGAATACTAGTAAGGATAAGCATCTTTTTATAATGTTTTGGACATTTGTATTCTCAAAAATGATCTGTTTGTAGCTTTTGCCACTTAAAAATGAATCTTTAATCACACAAATAAATTACATCTTATTTATTTATTTATTTATTTATATTTTGAGACAGAGTCTGTCTCTGTTGCCCAGGCTGGAGTGCAGTGGCAACATCTTGGCTCATTGCAACCTCTACCTCCCAGGCTCAAGCGAATCCTCCTACCCCAGCCTCCCGAGTAGCTGGGATTACAGGCCAGTGCCACCACACCCAGCTAATTTTTGTATTTTTAGTAGAGATGGGTGATTTGATTTGGCTGTGTCTCCACCTAAATCTCATCTTGAATTGTAGTTCCCATAATCTCCACATGTCGTGGGAGGGACCTGGTTGGAGGTTATTGAATCATGGCGATGGTTACCCTCATGCTGTTCTCATGATAGTGAGTTCTCATGAGATCTGATGGGACACTTCTCCTTCCTGCTGCCTTGTGAAGAAGGTGCCTTGCTTCTCTCTCACTTTCTGCCATAATTGTAAGTTTCCTGAGGCCTCCCCAGCCATGCAGAACTGTGAGTCAATTGAACTTCTTTCCTTTATAAATTATGCAGTCTCAAATATGTCTTTATTAACAGTGTGAGAATGGACTGATAACAAAGGGGTTTTGCCATGTTGTTCAGGGTGGTCTCGAACTCTAGAGCTCAAGTGATTTACCTGCCTTGGCCTCCCAAAGTGCTGGGATTACAGGCGTGGGCCACTGGGCCTAGCTTGTCTTATTATTCTTAATCATTTTTTTTAAAAAGGAAAATTATCGGTAAGGCTAAAGTCCCTTTGAACACCATTCTGTCTCTTAACATATCACCCCAACACTTAGTTGCTTAAAATGACAATCATTTATCCATGAGTCTACAGGTTGGATGGGTAGTTCAACTGATTTGGGCTGACCTTGCTCAGCAAGCTGGATGCCTGTGGTGTAGTTGGTCTGATGGCCTGGACTGGAATGACTTTGCTTTCCTGCTGTTATCTTTCATATCCTTCCATTAGGGTATTCTGGGAATATTCTCATCATGTGAGTCCAAGAAACATTCAAGCACTTTTTGAAGACCCTTCTTGCGTCAATTTTGCCTCTGTCCATTGGCCAAAGCAAGTCACATGGTTAAGTACAGAGTTAGTGTGCAGTGATACTACTAAAAGGCACAGATAGAGGGAGGCGTGAAACTTTGGGGCCACTAATGTAGTCAGTCTACCATTGTGCACTTTTGGCCACAACTAACCATATCCCTCCCATATGCAAAATATGCTCACCCCCATTCTAGGATCCCCAAAAGGTTATCCAATCACATCATTATGTTTGAAGCCTAGGATCTCATGATCTATATCAGCTCTGCTTGTGGCTCCTTGGATGAAATTTCTCTTGATCTGGGGACCTATGAACTAAAAAGATAATTTATCTCCTCCTCCCAACATACAGTGGTAAGACAGGGACAGGAAAATTGCAATAGGTACTCCTACTCAAAAGAGTGGGAGGCACATTGCATCACTGTCGGTAGCAATTCTACAATCCAGCTTGGAAAACATTGTCAGGTTCCCCTGTTTTGGGAAGAACTTCACTTGCAGATACCCCTTACCACAGGGGTGGTGAATATCCCTTGATTAACACCCAATTCTGCTCACTCAGAGTGGCTTTCTTTTCTTTTCTTTTCTTTTTTTTTTTTGAAAGAGGGCTTCTGGTTTCTATGAAGTTTTCAAATCCACTATTTTCCAAGGCCCTTGGCTTCACCCTTTGAGGTGTCCTCCTTTTTCCATTATCCTCCTTGGCCACTTCTGAAGACAAGATGTGCCCTTTAAGCAATGTCCTTCTCAGCCTTCTTCCTGTCCACAGACCTTTTTTTCATTTTGAATAATTTCTACTCAGACTGGGGGCATTTATGACAATGGAACATCCTCAAAAACATTGTGGGTTTTCTAGGCTTCTCATTGCATTTAATGCCATTTGTCAAAAGCCACACCCATAATTTTTTGAGAGCTTTCTTTTTTAGACTTAACCACTGCTGCTCTGGGTATGTCAGACATGTTTTAAAGACTCCTAGGTTCCCTTTCTTCAGGGACAAGAACTATAAGGCAATACCAAGTGTTCATTCAAGCTTCTGCTTATGCCAAGTTTTCTATTGCTCCATTGGCCAAAGCAAATACATAGCTAAGCCCAGTGTTAGTATGGGCAGGCAGTGCAAGAGGGCATGGATTCAGGGAAATATGAAAAATTGAGGCTTTAATGCAATCCATCTATCATAAAAGGTAATTTAAAAAATTTTGGTGTGATTTCTTGGGTGTGTGTGCACATAAATATTAACTGTATATGATTCTGCATCTTGCTATTTTCACTTAGTAATATCTTTTCTTTGATAAATTTCTTTTAACTGCTACAAGAATTTCATAGTACAAATGTATAGTGCATTTTACTGAGCCATTTCTGTGATGAACGAACATTTAGGTTATTTCTAATTTTTTCACTATTACTTTATACAGTCTGAGATGTACTTTCCCCCCCTCATTTTATCATCTCTGATATTATTATGATACCTTACAAGTATTTGGAAGTTTTATTCTTAGTATGTAGAATAACAATGCATCTTGTAATCAGTGTTGCTTTAGGTTTGATAAAATGTGATACAAATGTTTATGAACATTCTGCTTGGACTGATTGCTGAATCAGTTTAACCATTTATACTCTCAGCACTGCTTTCCATCCTGCCAATAATTGGTTCATAGTTAGTTTTTCGTGATTTGCCAACATGATAGATGTGAAATGGTATCTCACTGCAATTTTAAATTTACTTTTCTGATTATTAGTTAGGTTAAACATTGCTTCATATTTCTTGGCCATTTAGGTTTTCTTTCTGTGAATTATCTGTTTAGATCTTTTCCACATTTTTAGGGTTGTCTTTTTCTTACTGATTTGTAGAAATTCTTTATATATTATAGACACTAATCTTTTGTTGGTGTGTTGCAAATATCTTCTTCCATTCTGAAGTTTAACTTCTTTGTTTGTAGTGTTCTTTATTATACAGATAATTTGAGTTTAATGGAGTTGAATTTTAAAAATTAATTTTTTAATGGTTTGAAATTTTTGTGTCTTGTCTAAAATATTCTTCACTACTGTTACTACTAGTAGTAGCAGCTACTATTTCTCCAACAGTTACTATGTGCCAGGCACTGTTCTAAGTGTATTAACTAATTCAATTATCATAACTCTTTTGGATAGTTTTTATTATTAACCTTACCCTACACCTAGAAAACTGGGTGAACCAGTTTGTGCTAGGTTAAATAATGCACCACCCCAAAGATAACCACATCATTATTCCTGGAACCTGTGGATATTACCTAAAGGATGGATTTTATATGGCAAGATATATAATTGAGGTGAAATTATCCTGAATTATTTGGGTGTGCCTCCAGTGTAATCATAAGTATCCTCATGAGAAGGAGGCAGAGGGAGGTACCACACAGTAGAAGAGGAGAAGGCAATGTGGCCACAGAGGCAGAGGTTGGCATGATGCAGCCACAAGCCAAGAAATACCAGTACCACCAGGAGCTGGAAGAGGCAAGGAACATGGAACATACTTTCACATTATTGTCTATGGTGTTTTTCCTCTAATGAATTGCCTGTCTATCCACTTTCCCGTTGGGTTCTCTTTTTTCCTGGGAGATCTTCATATAGACTGGATACCTAGTTATGTGTATGATACATACATATTTTCCAGTGTGTAACATGACTTTTTGTGTTGCTTATGTTGTTTTTTGCCAAAATTTTACATTTTGATTTAGTCAACTTTATTATTTTTTCTTTATATACATCTGTTTGTGATTATTATGTATGTTTCTAGTGACAGGGTCTCATTCTGTTACACAGGCTAGAGAGCAGTGGCCTGATCATGGCTCACTTGAATCCTAGTCTCAGGCGATCCCTCCATCTCAGCCTCTGGAGGAGGTAGGACTATAGGCACCCATCACCACAACCAGCTAATTTTTTTTTTTTTTTTGAGACAGAGTCTCGCTCTGTCACCCAGGCTGGAGTGCAGTGGCACTATCTTGGCTCACTGTAACCTCCGCCTCCTGGGTTCAAGCGATTCTCCTGTCTCAGTCTCCTGAGAAGCTGGGATTACAGGTGTGTGCCACCATGGCTGGCTAATTTTTGAATTTTTAGTAGAGGCAGTGTTTCACCATGTTGGTGGTCTCAAACTCCACCATGTCAGGCTGATCTCGAACTCCTAACCTCAGGTGATCCACCTGCCTTGGCCTCCCAAAGTGCTGGTGCGAGCCACCACGCCCTGCCTAATTTTTAAAGTTTTCTGTAGAGGTGGGGGGTCTCACTGTATTGCCCAGGCTGGTCTTGAACTCCTGGCCTCAAGAGATCCTCCTGCCACAGCCTCCCAAAGCACTGGGATTACAGGTATGAGCCACTACACTTGGCCTGTTTGTGATTTAAGAAGATTTTCTCAAACTTTATATTGTCTTCAAAGCTTTCACTTTTTGGAATATTTAGGTTCTTTCATCTATCTGGAATTTAATTTTGAGAATAGTGTGTAGGGGCATAATTTTATTCAAAAATAGAGAGTCAGTTGCCTCAATACCATTATTAACACATCCAGTTTTCTCCCACTGACTTGAAATGATGCTATCTACACATGAACCCATTTCTGAGCTCTCAATTACATTTCTTTGGTCCATCTCTCCTTACTCTAAAACCAAACAATATTAATACCTGTAGTTTCATAACATGTTTTGATACTTGGTAGGGCAAGTTCTCCTCTTTTCATTTCAAAACAGTTATTTACTACGTTCACATATTTACATTTTCGTGTGCATTTTAGAATCACCTTATGCAAGTCCTTGCAAATCTTGTTTTGGTATTGGGATTGTGTTTGCATTGAATGTTTAGATTATTGGAAGGGAGCTGAAAATGTTATTATAAAAAATCTTACTGTTCTCGAAAATGGTTTCTCTCTCCGGGTCATTTTCATTATTGTTCAGTTAAGTCTTACAGTTATACTATTTCTTGCACATTTCTTATCAGGTGTATGCCAAGGCACATTATGGTACTGATATCTTTCCTTTCCTACTATAAAACTGGTTAGTGCTAATATATAGGAGCAATTGATTTTTTGCTATATAGAAGTTTGACTTGGTTGTAGTTGTAGTCGAATTTATGATTTTTTTTTTAACTTTAACAGCTTCTAGATTTTAAATTATATGAAGGAACGTTCTCTCCCAATCATGATGTTGGATATTCACCTGTGTTTTTTTCTAGTACTTGTATGGTTTCAGTTTTTAACTTTTAGGCCTCTGATCTGTTTGGCATTTATTCCAGGGTTTGGGTTAAAGGATGGACCCAGTTTTATCTTCTTCTCCATGACTATCCTAGCGCACCAACTCCATTTTATCCCTAAAGCCTATCTTTCCCCACTGATTTGAGATACTGCCCTAATGTAAACTAAATGTTCTTATTTCTGAGTTTTCTCTTCTGTTCCATTAATCTGTCTAGTCATGCACAGTACTCTACTGTCTTAACCATAGAAGCCTTATAATGAGTTTTCATGCCTAGTAGGGCTGGGTGTGTGTGATTTATTTATTTTGGCATTTAGTGGGCCCTTTCATTCTGCAGACACATGTCTATCTTCTGTTATGGGAGGTGTTTATTTTTCTTCCTTCTTCTTTTCCTTTGCTAATTTTCTTGTGTAGTTTCTATCATTCTATTCTTTGGTGACCATTTCTGGAAGAGCTCTGGGCCTCTGATTCATTCTTTAGATGTGTTAATTCTGCAACTCAGCGCTTTTATTATCTTCTTAATATCAACAGTTCAATTTTTATTGAGACTGGTTCTTTTTTCATTGCCTGTTCTTTTTACTTAATGGATGTGGTATCCTCCCATATTTTTCTAAGTATATAAAATATTCTTATGGTAAAAGATTCTGTTCGAGTCACGCTATTGACCCTGTTTCCTTTGAGCTCTCCTGTTTGGTGAGTTTGTCTCTCCCTCATGGCGTAGACAGTCCTCAAATGTTTGGAGATCTGTCATTGTGCGCTTATTTTTAATGGAGAATCCTTTAGCGCCTGTCTGTTGCCTGTTATGATAATTGCCCTATTCAGTCACCTCTGACCCAAGCCTTCTCTAGCTCTGGGTTTCTACTGTGAGCATGAAACATCTTGTGTTTTACCATCCTTTTCTTTTCTCCTCTCCTTTCCCTCTTTCTTTTCTTTCTTTCTTTCTTATCCTGGCCAATGGCATTCCTTTGCCGCTTTTTTTTTTTTTTTTTTGTCTTTCAGGGACTTCTCATATTTTGTGGTCAGCCAGAGTGTCCCTTCTTGTTTTGAGCATGAGTATATAGTAATTATTAAAATTTTGCCCAGTATTTGAATAGATTTGTTGCAGGAGTGGGAGACTATCCTTGATTCAGTTCATCATCTTGAAACTGCAACTTCATCATGTTTTCTCTTTTCTTTCCTTTTTAAAATTTTGAAATAATTTTTTTCAGGATTCATGGTAATTTTCCCCCAATTAAAAAATATGTTGGAATATACATAACATAAAATTTACCATCTTAACCATTTTAAAATGTACAGTTCAGTGGTATTAAATACATTAATAATGTTGTGCAAAGATCACCACCATTTTTCTCCCAGACTCTTTTCATCTTACAAAAGTGAAACTGTGTACCTGCTAAGCTACTTCCCGTTAGCACTCCCTCCAGCCCCTGGATGCCACCATCCTACTTTCTGTTTCTATGAATTTCACTACTCTAACGACCTCATATAAGTGGAATCATATAGTATTTGTCTTTTTGTGACTGGCTTATTTCACTTAACATAATGGCCTAAAGGTTTATCCATGTTGTAGCATATATCAGAATTTCTTACCTTTTTTTTGTTATTGTGTTGTTGTTTTTGAGACAGAGTCTCGCTCTGTCACCCAAGCTAGAGTGCAGTGGTGCCATCATGGTTTACTCCTCAACCTCCCAAGTTCAAGCAATCCTCCCAGCTCAGCCTCCCGAGTAGCTGGGACTGCAAGGTGCATGCCACCACACCTGGGCTAATTTTAAAATTTTATTTTGTAGAAACTGGGTCTTGCTATGGGCTCAAGGGATCCTCCTGCCTTGGCCTCCCAGAGTGCTGGGATCATAAGTGTGAGCCACCGTGCCTGGCATTCTTACCTTTTTATGGCTGAATAGTATGTGTATACCACATTTCATTTATTCATTCATCTACTGATGAACGCTTGGGTTGTTTCCACATTCCAGCTATGGTGAATAATGCTGCTGTCAACATAAGTGTACAAATATCTCTTTGAGACCCTGTTTTCAATTCCTTTGTGTGTATCCTCAGAAATAGAATTGCTGGATCATATGGTAATTCTATTTTTAATTTTTAATTTTTAATTTTTTTTTTTTTTTGAGACAGACTCTCGCTCTGTCACCCAGGCTGGAGTGCAATGGCGCGATCTTGGCTCACTGCAGCCTCCACCTCCCGGGTTCAAGCGATTCTCCTGCCTCAGCCTCCTGAGTAGCTGGGACTACAGGCACACGACACCACACCTGGCTAATTTTTTTGTATTTTTAGTAGAGACAGGGTTTCACCATGTTGGCTAGGCTCCTCTCAAACTCCTGACCTTGTGATCTGCCTGCCTAGACCTCCCAAAGTGCTGGGATTACAGGTGTGAGCCACTGCACCTGGTGTATTTTTAATTTTTATGGAAGCCTCATACAGTTTTCCACAGTGGTTGTACCATTTTACATTCCCACCAGCAGTGCACCAAGGTTCCAATTTCTCTACATCCTCTCCCACATGTTATTTTCTTCTGTTTTATATATTTTTTGATAGTACTCATCCTAATAGATATGAGGTGATAACTAATTGTAGCTTTCATTTGCATTTCTCCAATGATTACTGGTATTGAGCATCTTCTCATGTGCTCACTGGGCATTTGTGTATCTTTAGAGAAATGTCTATTCAAATCCTTTGCTTCTTTTTGAATCACGTTTTTGTTTTTTTTTGTTCTATTTTGGATATTAATCCATTATCAGATATATGGTTTGCAAATATTTTCTCCCATTTTGTGAGTTGCCTTTTTACTTTGTTGATATACAATTGTCTTCTGATGCACAAAAATTTTAAAGTCCAATTTGTCTATTTTTTCTTCTGTTGCCTGTGTCTTTGGTGTCATATCCAGGAAATCATTGCTAACTCCAGTGGTGCAAAGTTTTTGCCCTGTGTTTTCTTCTAAGGCTTTTATGGTTTTAAGTCTTACATTTAGGTCTTTGATCTATTTTGAATTAATTTTTATTACAGTGTTAGGTAAGGGTCCAACTTCATTATTGCACATGGATATTTGGTTTTCCCAGTATCATTTCTTAAAAAGACTGTTCTTTTCCCATTGAATGGTCTTGGCATCCTTTCAAAAATCATTTATTTGACTATGAGAAAGTTTATATCTGGGTTCTGTACTTCTTTGGCCTGTATGTCCATCTTTCTGTTAGTATCACATTGTTTTGATTACTGCAGCTTTATAGTATGTTTTGAAATCAGGAAGTGTAAATCCTTCCACACTGTTCTTCTTTCTCAAGATTCTTTTGTCTATTTGAGTTCCCTAGTGATTCCATAAATTTTAGAATGGGTTTTTCTATTTTCGCAAAAAAAATCATTGGGATTTTAATAGGGACTACATTGAATCTGTAGGTTGCTCTGTGTAATATTGATATCTTAACAATATAAGCCTTTCAATCTATGAACATGGAATGTGTTTCCATTTATTTATGTTATCTTTAGTTTCTTTCAGCAATATTTTATATAATAATTTTTGTTGTTCAGTCTTTCACCTGCTTGGTTAAGTTCCTAAGTTTTTATTGTTTTTGATGCTATTGTAAATGGAATTTTTTTTTCTAACTTTCTATTCAGGTACTTCATTGTCAGTGTATAGAAATGCAATTGATTTTTGTGTGTTGATTTCATATCCTGTTACTTTGCTGACTCATTTATTAGTTCTAATACTGTTTTTGTGGAATCTTTAGGGATTTCTACATAAGACCATATAACCTGCGAATGGAGAGAATTCTACTTCTTTCTTTCCAATTTGGATGTCTGAAAAGATTTTTTTTTTTTTACATTCCATCAGTACCTAGTTTATTGAGAGTTTTTAGCATGAAGGGCAGTTGAATTTTGTCAAAGGGCTTTTCTGTATCTATTGAGATAATCACGTGGTTTTTGTCATTGGTTCTGTTCATGTGATGGATTACGTTTATTGATTTGCATATGTGGAACCAGCCTTGCATCCGAGGGATGAAGCTGATCTGATCGTGGTGGATAAGCTTTTTGATGTGCTGCTGGATTCGGTTTGCCTGTATTTTATAGAGGATTTTCACATCGATGTTCATCAGGGATATTGGTCTAAAATTCTGTTTTTTTGTTGTGTCTCTGTGAGGCTTTGATATCAGGATGACGTTGGCCTCATAAAATGAGTTAGGGAGGATTCCCTCTTTTTCTATTGATTGGAATAGTTTCAGAAGGAATGGTACCAGCTCCTCTTTGTACCTCTAGTAGAATTTGGCTGTGAATCCATCTGGTCCTGGACTTTTTTTGGTTGGTAGGCTGTTAATTATTGCCTCAATTTCAGAGCCTGTTATTGGTCTATTCAGAGATCCAACTTCTTCCTGGTTTAATCTTGGGACGGTGCATGTGTCCAGAAAATTATCCATTTCTTTTAGATTTTCTAGTTTACTTGCATAGAGGTGTTTATAGTATTCTCTGATGGTAGTTTGTATTTCTGTGGGATTGGTGGTGATACCCCTTTATCATTTTTTATTGCGTCTATTTGATTCTTCTCTCTTTTCTTCTTTATTAGTCTTGCTAGTGGTCTGTCAATTTTGTTGATCTTTTCAAAAAACCAGCTCCTAGATTCATTGATTTTTTTGAAGGGTTTTTTGTGTTTCTGTCTCTTTCAGTTCTGCTCTGATCTTAGTTATGTCTTGTCTTCTGCTAGCTTTTCAATGTGTTTGCTCTTGCTTCTCTAGTTCTTTTAATTGTGGTGTTAAGGTGTCGATTTTAGATCTTTCCTACTTTGTCTTGTGGGCATTTAGTGCTATAAATTTCCCTCTACACACTGCTTTAAATGTGTCCCAGAGATTCTGGTATGTTATGTCTTTGTTCTCATTGGTTTCAAAGAACATCTTTATTTCTGCCTTCATTTTGTTATTTACCCAGTAGTCATTCAGGAGCAAGTTGTTCAGTTTCCATGTAGTTGTGTAGTTTTGAGTGAGTTTCTTAATGCTGAGTTCTAATTTGATTGCACTGTGGTCTGAGAGACAGTTTTTTGTGATTTCTGTTCTTTTACATTTGCTAAGGAGTGCTTTACTTCCAATTATGTGGTCAATTTTAGAATAAGGGTGATGTGGTGCTGAGAAGAATGTATATTCTCTTGATTTGGGGTGGAGAGTTCTGTAGGTGTTTATTAGGTCTGCTTGCTGCAGAGCTGAGTTCAGGTCCTGGATATCCTTGTTAACCTTCTGTCTCATTGATCTATCTAATATTGGCAGTGGGGTGTTAAGTTTCCCATTATTACTGTGTGGGCGTCTAAGTCTCTTTGTAGGTCTCTAAGGACTTGCTTTATGAATCTGGGTGCTCCTGTATTGGGTGCATATATATTTAGGATAGTTAGCTCTTCTTGCTGAATTGATCCCTTTACCATTATGTAATGGCCTTCTTTGTCTCTTTTGATATTTGTTGGTTTAAAGTCTGTTTTATCAGAGGCTAGGATTGCAACCCCTGCTTTTTATTTTGCTTTGCATTTGCTTGGTAGATCTTCCTCCCTTAATTTTGAGCCTATATATGTCTTTGCACGTGAGGTGGGTCTCCTGAATACAGCACACTGATGGATCTTGACTCTTTATCCAATTTGCCAGTCTGTGTCTTTTAATTGAGGCATTTAGCCCATTTACATTTAAGGTTAATATTGTTATGTGTGAATTTGATCCTGTCATTATGATGTTTGCTGGTTATTTTGCATGTTACTTGATGCAGTTTCTTCATAGCATCGATGGTCTTTACAATTTGGCCTATTTTTGCAATGGCTGGTACCGGTTGTTCCTTTCCATGTTTAGTGCTTCCTTCAGAAGCTCTTGTAAGGCAGGCCTGGTGGTGACAAAATCTCTCAGCATTTGCTTGTCTGTAAAGGATTTTATTTCTCCTTCACTTATGAAGCTTAGTTTAGCTGGATATGAAATTCTGGGTTGAAAATTCTTTTCTTTAAGAATGTTGAATATTGGCCCCCACTCTCTCTGGCTTTTAGGGTTTCTGCTGAGAGAAATGCTGTTAGTCTGATGGGTTTCCCTTTGTGGGTAACTTGACCTTTCTCTCTGGCTGCCCTTAACACTTTTTCGTTCATTTAAACCTTGGTGATTCTGACAATTATATGTCTTAGGGTTGCTCTTCTCGAGGAGTATCTTTGTGGTGTTCTCTGTTATTTCCTGAATTTGAATGTTGGCCTGCCTTGCTATGTTGGGGAAGTTCTCCTGGATAATATCCTGAAGAGTGTTTTCCAACTTGGTTCCATTCTCCCCATCACTTTCAGGTGATCAAATCAAACGTAGATTTGGTCTTTTCACATAGTCCCATATTTCTTGGAGGCTTTGTTCATTTTTTTTTACTCTTTTTTCTCTAACCTTGTTTTCTTGCTTTATTTCATTAATTTGATCTTCAGTCACTGGTAACCTTTCTTCCACTTGACTGAATTGGCTATTGAAGCTTGTGCATGTGTCACAAAGTTCTTGTGCCATGGTTTTCAGCTCCATCAGGTCATTTAAGCTCTTCTCTACACTGTTTATTCTAGTTAGCCATTCATCTAATCTTTTTTCAAGGTTTTTAGCTTCTTTGAGATGTGTTCAAACATCCTTCTTTAGCTTGGAGAAGTTTGTTATTACTGACCTTCTGAAGTCTACTTCTGTCAACTCATTAAAGTCATTCTCCACCCAGCTTTGTTCCATTGCTGGCAAGGAGCTGCGATCTTTTGGAGGAGAAGAGGCGCTCTGATTTTTAGAATTTTCAGCTTTTCTGCTCTGGTTTCTCCCCATCTTTGTGGTTTTATCTACCTTTAGTCTTTGATGTTGGCGACCTACAGATGGGGTTTTGGTGTAGATGACCTTTTTGTTGATGTTGATGCTATTCCTTTCTGTTTGTTAGTTTTCCTTCTAACAGTCAGGTCCCTCAGCTGCAGGTCTGTTGGAGTTTGCTGGAGTTCCACTCCAGACCCTGTTTGCCTGGGTATCACCAGCGGAGGCTGCAGAACAGCAAATATTGCAGAACAGCAAATATTTCTGCCTGATCCTTCCTCTGGAAGCCTCGTCCCAGAGGGGCAGCCGCCTATATGAGGTGTCTGTTGGCCCGTACTGGGAAATGTCTCCCAGTTAGGCTACACGAGGGTCAGGGACACTTGAGGAGGCAGTCTGTCTGTTCTCAGAGCTCAAACGCCATGCTGGGAGAACCACTGCTCTCTTAAGAGCTGTCAGACAGGGACGTTTAAGTCTGCAGAAGTTGTCTGCTGCCTTTTGTTCAGATATGCCCTGACCACAGAGGTGGAGTCTAGAGGCAGTAGGCTTTGTTGAGGTGTGGTGGGCTCCACCCAGTTTGAGCTTCCCTGGCTGCTTTGTTTACCTACTCAAGCCACAGCAATGGCAGATGCCCCTCCCCCAGCCAGACTGCCTTCTGGCAGATCCATCTCAGACTGCCACAGTAGCAATGAGCAAGGCTCTGTGGGCATGGGAGCTACTGAGCCAGGCACGGGAGAGAATCACCTTGTCTGCCAGTTGCTAAGACCTTGGGAAAAGCACTATATTTGGTCGGGAGTGCCCCATTTTTCCAGGTAGCCTGTCATGGCTTCCCTTGGCTAGAAAAGGGAAATCCCCTGACTCCTTCAGCTTTCCGGGTGAGGCGATGCCCCGCCCTGCTTCAGCTTGCCCTCCGTGGGCTGCACCCACTGTGCAACCAGTCCCAATGAGATGAACCAGGTACCTCAGTTAGAAATGCAGAAATCACCCGTCTTCTGCATCAGTCATGCTGGGAGCTGCAGACTGGAGCTGTTCCTATTTGGCCATCTTGGAACGCCCTCCTTTTTTTTTTTTTTTGAGATGGAGTCTTGCTCTGTTGCCCAGGCTGGAGTGCAGTGATGCAATCTTGGCTCACTGCAACCTCCGCCTCCTGGGTTCAAGCGATTCTACTGCATCAGCCACCTGAGTAGCTGGGATTACAGGTGCCCACCACTACATCCAGCTAATTTTTTGTATTTTTTAGTAGAGATGGAGTTTCGCCATGTTGTCCAGGCTGGTCTTGAACTTCTGACCTCAGGTGATCCACCTGCCTTGGCCTCCCAAAGTGCTGGGATTACAGGTGTGAGCCACCACACCCAGCTGAAAAGAATTTTTTTTTGAGACAGAGTCTTGCTCTGTTGCCCCCAGGTTGGAGTGCAATGGTGTGATCTCGGCTCACTGCAACCTCTCCCTCCCAGGTTCAAGCAATTCTCCTGTGTCAGCCTCCCAGGTAGCTGGGATTACAGGCGCTTGCTACCAAGCCAAGCTAATTTTTGTATTTTTAGTAGAGACAGGGTTTCATCATGTTGGCCAGGTTAGTCTCGAACTCCTGACGTCAAATGATCTGCCCGCCTCAGCCTCCCAAACTGCTAGGATTACATGCATGAGCCACTGTGCCTGGCCACTGAAAAGGATTTTTATTTATTAAAAAAATTAGAAAATTATATCCAACATCCAGAGTTACATTTGTATGTGTGAATAGATGATCACAATTTATGGTATATACTTATTTATTTGTACTTTAAATAATAAAAAGTATAGCAATGAGTTAGTTGTTTAAAATATGAAATACAGTAAAGTATAAAAGTTGGAATTCTCTCAAGTTTTTTTTTTAAATATATCAGTTATTTAATTAGGTTCTTTGTAAGACATTTAATTTACCAATTTGTGAGATAAACTCCTTTCCTCAGGGCAAATAGATCACAGGTAGCCCTGGAGATGAGAAATAGCTTTGATTTTTGATGAAATTTTCAAGTCTACATCTTTCTGATCAACCCTGCACTGCTTTGTAATCTCATATTTCTCTTTGTGTGTCAAAGATCTCACCTTCCTGGCTTCTGGGCTTTCTCAGCTGCTGCTTGACGTAAGCATCAGTGAGATTATTTGGGATTTTCACATTGCTGATATTAATTTTTATGGAGGTGGCAATGATAATTTCTGGTGTGTTCTATAAAGAGGAACTTGCTTGAAGACCAGAGGTCTAGTCACAAGTAGCTCAGCTGCTTCAGAAAAGCCACCCTCTTGTGTCTGTAGTGCCCAGTGATGATGGTCAGAGGGTCTCGGGAGCGATGCTGGCTCACAGTTTTCTTGGATGTTGACTGAAGGGTTTTTGCCGTGGCTTGGCAGCTTTAAAGGTACATCTTCAGTAGGGTAATATCTAGGCATTTTGCAAAGTTTACCCACCTGGGTACTACCATTCTCATCACCACCAGTTTTTTGGTTGTGTGACAGTGGCAAGAACCTTCTCCTTTTTCTTTTCAATCCTGGATTTAGTGGCTGAGTATTTCCTTTTTTACTGGAATACATAGCAGATAGGGAATATCTGCCAGTTCCTCTGATGAGGACAGGATTTCAGCTGTCGTGGGGCTTCCCCTTCTTGGGATTTTTGGCCGTGAGTTTATCCTTTTTCACCTTGCCACCAGCATCAGCCTTCTTGGCTTCACATTTCTTCTCTTTAGTATCTGGCTTCTTGACTTTTTACCTAACATCTTGCAAGAGCTCTCTCAAGATTCTTGAATTATTTACAGGATGGGTTTAACTTAAAATTTATATTCATTATGTAGAAAAGTACAGAGGAGTGTATAGCAAATACTGATGTGTAATCATCACTTACTCTTTGCTACTCTATCAAATGTCAATGCCATATTTATTTAGGTTAATTTTATTTAGATTAAAAAATAATAGAAAAAGTCTTATAGATACAGTTGAATTCCATTACACATCCTTCCCTTCTCCTATTCTTTTTACTTCTACTTCTGAGGTAACCATTAATATGGATTTTTTGGTTGTCATTATCATGTATATTTCACTGCATGTAAATGTAGCAATGGACAATGCATAGTGTAATATTTTGCATATTTAAAAACCTATATAAATGGCATATTGTGCACATCTTTATAAAATTTCCTTTTTGTTTTCTTTTTCCTTCTTTTTCTTTTTGTTTTTAGACAGAGTCTTGCTGTCACCCAGACTGCAGTGCAGTGGCATGATCATAGTTCATTGTAACCTCAATTTCTTGACCTCAAGTGATACTCCCACCTTAGTCTCCTGAAGCATTGGGATTACAGGTGTGAGCCACAACACCCGGCCTAATTTCCTTTTTAACCTTCCTTGACATTTATCCATTAATACATGTAAATCTAATTCATTCATTTAATATTTCATTCTGTAAATATACCACGATTTATCTGTTGCTTTGTGATGGTCATTTAGGTTGTTTCCAGCTTTTCTCTATTACAAACAGTGTTACTGTGAACCTTCTAAAAATGTTTCTTTGTGCATATGTACTAGAGTTTCTCTAGGGTATATACTTAAAAATGTTACTGCTGGATTGCAGGATGTACACATCTTTAACTTAATTAGATTTTGCCAAATTGCTCTCCAAAGTGGTGGTGTCAATTTGCACTCCACTAGAAGTGTATAAGATATTCTATGTTTCCAAGTGCTCACCAACACTGGGTGTTATTGAACCTGTTAATTACTATCACTCCTCTGAGGGTGAAATTGTATTGCAATGTATATTTAAACAGCATTTTCCTGATTATTAATGAGATTGAGTAACCTTTCATTTGTTTACTGGCTATCAAGTTTCCTTCTGTGATCTGCATGTTCATATCTTTGTCCAGTTTGTATTAGATTATCTTTTTCTTAAGAATTTCCTTATGTAGTCTGGATACTAATGCGTTATTTATTGTATGACTATAAATATCTTGCTTCAAATTATATGCCTTGTGTTTTTACTTTGCTTATGGTGTCTTTTGAAGTATAGACTTTAAAACACTTGTTTGTAAAATAGGTAGTATAATCACATGGTTAACACTATTGTAATTACTTAATTCCACTGGTGTACCTTTGTCTGTCCCTACAGCAATACAACTGTGTTTTAATTATTGTAGCTTTATAAGAAAACTTACCTGGTAAGATTAATTCTGTCATTCCCTGTGCCCCAGATTGTCTTGGTTATTCTTGGCCTTATTGGCATTTGATTGGATTTAATTGGAATTAGGCACTGCATAATGATGTTTCAGCCAATGATGGACCACATATGTGATAGTGGTCCCATAAGATTATAATGGAGCTGAAAAAGTGCTTTTCTATGTGTAGATTCGTTTAGATACACAAATACTTACCATTGTGTTATAATTGCCTATAGTATTGAGTACAGTAACATGCTGTACAGGCTTGTAGCCTAGGAGCAATATGCTGTACCATATAGGCTAGGTATGTAGTAGGCTATACCATCTAGGTTTGTGTTAACTATGATGTTCACACAATGATGAAACCACTTAATTATGCATTTCTCAGAACATATCCCTGTCCTTAAGTGGTGTGTTACTGTACATAACATTTATGGATTAATTTGGGGGAAAATTTCTATCTTTAGGATACTAGGCCTTCCTAGTCATGAACATAACATATATCATCATTTAAAAAATTTTATTTATTTATTTTTTTGAGACAGAGTTTCACTCTTGTCGCCCAGGCTCTAGTCCAATGGTGTGATCTTGGTTCACTGCAACCTCCGCCTCCCTGGTTCAAGCGATTCTCTTGCCTCAGCCTCCCAAGGAGCTGGGATTACAGGCCCCTGCCACCACGCCCGGCTAAGTTTTGTATTTTTAGTAGAGACGGGGTTTTGCCATGTTGGTCAGGCTGGTCTCAAACTCCTGACCTCAGGTGATCCACCCACCTCAGCCTCCCAAAGTACTGGGATTACAGGCGTGAGCCACCATGCCCGGCCATATCATCATTTATGTAAGTCTTTATAATGTCTTTTATAAACATATAATTTTCTCCATAAAACACCTGCGTACTTTTTGGTTAGATTTATTTTTTGGTATGTTGTATTTTTGTGCTATTATATATTATGTATTACTTAAAAATTACATTTTCTAATTGTTACTATTATATAAGATCACAACCAACTTTTCTATATCTATTGGCAAAGTTACCAAACTCTTATTAGTTCTTAATAGTTTATCTTTAGAAACTCTTGGATTTTGTATGCATTTACATCCACTGTAAATAATGATACTTTAATTTTTTCTTATGCAGTTCTTATGCTTGCCATCTGTCTGTCTCTCTACCTTACTACACTTGCTAGGACCTCCAGCTCCATACTGAAAGGAGGGAGCCATCCTTGATTTGTTGTTGACTCTAAAGCGAATGGGTTTAACATTTCACCTTAAATGTGATGTATTGTTTCATTACCTCCGTTAATTAAGATAATATTAATAGCGCCTATAACAAGCATCAAAATCTCAGTGTCTATAATAAGTTTATTTCTTGCTCAATTAAATTTCAAAACATGTATTGCTGATGGGTGGCCAGTCTCCAAAAGATCACTTAAGTGGGCTGGGTGTGGTGGCTCATGCCTATAATTCTAGAACTTTGGGAGGCCAAGGTGGGTGGATCACTTGAGCCCAGGAGTTCCAGAGCAGCCGGGGAAATCCTGACTCTACAAAAAAACACAAAAATTAGCTAGGCATGGTGATGGGTAACTGTAGTCTTAGCTACACGAGGGGCTGAGGCAGGAGGATTGCTTGAACCTGGAAGGTCGAGGCTGTAAGTGAGCCAAGATTGCGCCACTACACTCCAGCGTGGGTAACAGAGTGAGACCCTGTCTCTTGCAGAGTAGGATTTCATGGGCTAGGTCTGGAAGTGGTGTGCACCACTGATGCCTGCTTTCAAATCAAACTCCAGGTGATGTGCAGGCCTCTCCTTTAAGTCCTGATGTAGTTTCTTGTCATGTGGGGATCCATGAACTCAAAAGACAAGTCCCAGCCCCGCTACCCCCCGTGCCCCCAGTGAATGACCGGTGGTGTTGCAAGCACAGGAAAAAGCACAATAAGAATTTGTATTCAGAAAAAGGAAGAGGAGATACATAGCCGTGCCTGGTCAGTAGCAATGATTAAAAGCTGCCAGGTAGGCATTGGGAGGTCGCTCTGCCCGCTCAGTTTCAAGTGCCAGCAGTCTCATCCAAAGATCATTACTAGAGGGAATTCTCAAATCTGACTTATTTCCTAAGGAAATTGCCATCTATTCCTAATTTATTAGGAGTGTGTGTGTTTTTATTAAGCGGGGGGGGGGTCTTGCTGTGTTGCTCAGGCTGGACTTGAAGTCCCAGGGTCAAGGGCTCCTCTTGCCTCAACCTCTCGAGTAGCTGGGATTACAGGTGCATGCCACTGCACCTGGCAGGAGTTTATTTTTTATTTTTGTTTTTTTATTTTGTGACAGGGTCTTGCTCTGTTGCACAGGCTGGAGTATGGTGGTGCAATCTCAGCTTACTGCAACCCCCTCCTTCCAGGCTCAAGCAGTGCTGCCTCCTCAGCCTCCTGAGTGAGTAGCTGGGACTACAGGTGTGTGCGCCACCATGCCTGGCTAATTTTTTAATTTTTTTGTAGAAACGGAGTTTTGCTATGTTTCCCAGGCTGGTCTTGAACTCCTGAGCTCAAGTGATCCATTGGTCTCAGCCTCCCAACATGCTGGCATTACAGGTGTGAGCCACCATGCCTGGCCCAGAGTTTTTTTTAAACGATGAATGGGTATTGAATTTTATCAAATGTTTTTTCTGTATCTACTGAGGTGATCACAAATTTTTCTTCTTTAATGTGTTAATGGAGTGAATTACATTAATAGATTTTCTAAAGTTGATCTACACTTGTATGACTGGGATATTCCCTTCTTGATCACGAGGTATTCTAAAATCTGACTTGCTAGAATTTTATTTAGAATTTTTCTATCTATTGCTCTTGAGTGAGATTGGCCCATAATTTTCATTTCTTTTACTGTTCTCATATGGCATTTGTTTCAGGGTTTACTAGTGTCATAAAATGAATTGAGGAGCTTTTCCTTTTCTATTTTCTGGAACATTTTATGTAAGATAGAATTGCCTCTTAAACTGTCTGGGCCTAGTGCTTTTGTTTTTGTGTGTAGATTAACTATTGATTTGCTTCCTTTTGTAGACTTACCTGGGTTTTCCATTCCTTTTTGAGTTTGTTTTGGCAAACCATTTTTTCTAGGAAATGGTCCATTTCATTTAGGTTTTTATATGAATTGCATAACGTTGTTCATAGTGATCTTTTGTTTTAAAACATCTTTGCTTAATCTGTGAAAACTGTGTCTTCTTGTTCATACTTAATATTGTTTATAGTCTTTTTCCTGATCAGTCCTGCTGTGCATTTGCTATTCTATTAGTTTTTGTAAAGAGTCAGCTCTTGTTTTTTTCAATCCTTTTTATAATTTGTTTTCTACTTTTAAAATGTCTCCTCTTCCTACTCTATTTTTGGCCTTCTACTTTCTTTGGTTTTACTCTGCTGTTCTTCTTGTGATTTCTTGAATTAAATGCTCAGATCTCTGATATTTAACCTTCTATTCTTTTCTAATGTAGGCATTCTTTTGTAATGTATACATTTCTATTACTTCATGTGCAGTATAAAGCTCTGATATATATCTCTAATATATCAACTAGTATATTTATGATTTGATATATCTATGCATATCAAGATATATGTATGTATATGTATAGTTATATCTCTGGTAATTTAACTGGAAATATTTTCTAATTTCCATTATGATTTCTTCTTTGAGTTCTGGATTAATCATACCTTTTTTTTTTTTTTTGAGATGGAGTCTTGCTTTGTCGCCCAGGCTGGAGTGCAGTGGCACGATCTCGGCTCACTGCAGCCTCCACCTCCTGGGTTCAAGCGATTCTCCTGCCTCAGCCTCCCGAGTAGGTGGGACTACAGGCGCATGCCACTGAGCCCAGCTAATTTTCATATTTTTAGTAGAGATGGGGTTTTACCATGTTGTCCAGGCTGGTCTCAGACTCCTGACCTCAAGTGATCCGCCTGCCTTGGCCTCCCAAAGTGCTGGGATTACAGGCATGAGACACCGCGCCCAGCATAATTACACATTTAAGTCTCCAAATGTATGGAGATTCTTTGGTCAGCTTTTTAGTCACTGATTTCTATTTTATTGCATTGTGGTCAGATAATATGCTCTATGATTTTGATTCTGTGGTAGTTATTGGAAATTTTCTTTGGCATTGTACCTAGTAAATGGTTAGTTTTTTGTATAGTTTCATGTGAGTTTGAAAAAAAATGTATTTTTTTCTAAATTCTATATGTAAGGTTCTATATACATCTATGGATCAAGCTTATTGTGTGGCTCAAATATTCTGTATTTTCATCAGCTTTTTAAATTTATTTATTTATTAAGTACAGTGGTGTAATCTTTGCTCAGTGCTCTGCCTCCTGGGTTCAAGTGAATCTTGTGCTTCAGCCTACTGAGTAGGGATGCTACTATTACAGGCGCATTAGGATTACAGATGTGCCACCACACTCAGCTAATTTTTGTATTTTTAGTAGAGATGGGGTTTTGCCATGATGGCCAGGCTGGTCTCGAACTCCTGACCTCAAGTGATCCACCTGCCTCGGCCACCCAAACTGCTGGGATTACAGGCATGAGCCACTGCGTCTGGCCATTTTTATCAGTTTTTATTTGTTCAAGACAATTACTGAGAGAGCTATGATGCTCTCTCTCTCTCTGCTGTGATGATAGATTTGTCAGTTCCTCGTAACACTATCAATTTTGCTTTATATATTTTGAGGCTATGTTTTTAGAATTTGTTTTATCTGCCTGATGAGTGGACACTTTTATCAGGTAGTAACTGTCTTTATTCCTGCTGTTTGCCTTAAAGTCTATTGTCAGGTATTAATATGACTACAACAGTTTGTTTTTAAAAAATTATTTCTTGGTGTGTATTTCTAATCCATTGTTTAAAAAATTTATGTATATTTTATTGAGATATAATTCACATACCATAAAATCTATCATTTTAAAGTATACAATTCAATGGTGGTTATAGTTTATTCACACAGTTGTGCAATAATCACCACAATCTTTTTCCAGAACATTTTCATCTGCCAAAGAAATACTATAGTTAGCTGTCAATCTCCATTTTCCTCTCCCCCAGCCCCTGGCAGCCATGAATCTCTCTGTCTCTATAGATTTGCTTATTCTGGGCATTTCATATAAATGCACTCATATGACACATGCCCTACTGCTGTGCCTGTCTTCTTTCACATAGCATAAGGTTTTCAAGGTTCATTCAGGTTGTAGCATGAATCAGTATTTCACTCCTTATTATGGCTGAATAGCAGTCAGAGTTTTTTCTGATACTTTTTCATACTTTTTCTAGTTTCCCTGAGCTAATGGGTAAATTTTTCTCCAGATCACTGTTTCTCTGAAGATAAATTCCTTTGAGTGTCTCAGGTTTATTCAGGAATCTCAGTTGACAATGTTTCACCTCGCTTGGGTCCGAGGTTTTATCTCTGTTCACACTTGTGTATCACAACCCAAGCCCCAATTTGTCCATACTTTCTCGTATTTATCTTTTTCTTTATTGTTTTTTTGTAGTTTTTCTTTTTCTTGGCTGTACAATTTTAAAGGTATTTGTTTTCTTTTCTCCAGCATTTCTGGGTAGTAGTGGATTTTTTTTTTTAAACATGGTTCATGATATTGCCAGAAACAGAAGTCTTTTAATAAACATTTTAATATAAGATATAACATAATGCACAAAGTACATATAACATAAATGTACAGTTCCATGAATAATTATAATCACTACCAGGCCAAGGAATAGAACATTGTAAACACCCAAGAACCTCTCTTTGTGCCTCTTCTTTGTAGTAATCTCTTCTCTTTTCTCCTGATTCTGACTTTTGGGATAACCATTTTCTTGTCTCTCTTCATAGTTTTATTACTTATATGTGTCTGTGATAAAGGACAGTTTAATTTAATTTTGGCTGTTTTTGAGCTATGTCTACCCTTTTGTTTGACATGTTTGTGAGACTTATTTGTAATGTTTTGTGTAGCTGTACTTAGTTCATTTTCATTGCTGTATTCCATTATATAAACGTATCATTTTTTTCTTTGTTCTGCTACTGAAGGATATTTGCATTGTTTCCAGCCTTTGCTATTACAACAACTGCTGCAATGACTATTCATGAACATGTACCCTGGTGTATGTATTCCAGCAACATTTATTGAAAAAGTTTGTCTTTTCCCCACCAATCTGGAGTGCTACCTCTGCTATAGATAACATTTTCATATATACATATATTTATTTCTGATTCCTATATATATTTTTTTCTTTTATTATTATACTTTAAGTTTTAGGGTACATGTGCACATTGTGCAGGTTAGTTACTTATGTATACATGTGCCATGCTGGTGCGCTGCACCCACTAACTCGTCATCTAGCATTAGGTATATCTCCCAATGCTATCCCTCCCCCCTCCCCCCACCCCACAACAGTCCCCAGAGTGTGATGTTCCCCTTCCTGTGTCCATGTGATCTCATTGTTCAATTTCCACCTATGAGTGAGAATATGCAGTGTTTGATTTTTTGTTCTTGCGATAGTTTACTGAGAATGATGATTTCCAATTTCATCCATGTCCCTACAAAGGACATGAACTCATCATTTTTTATGGCTGCATAGTGTTCCATGGTATATATGTGCCACATTTTCTTAATCCAGTCTATCATTGTTGGACATTTGGGTTGGTTCCAAGTCTTTGCTATTGTGAATAGTGCTGCAATAAACATACGTGTGCATGTGTCTTTATAGCAGCATGATTTATAGTCCTTTGGGTATATACCCAGTAATAGGATGGCTGGGTCAAATGGTATTTCTAGTTCTAGATCCCTGAGGAATCGCCACACGGACTTCCACAGTGGTTGAACTAGTTTACAGTCCCACCAACCGTGTAAAAGTGTTCCTATTTCTCCACATCCTCTCTAGCACCTGTTGCTTCCTGACTTTTTAATGATTGCCATTCTAATTAGTGTGAGATGGTATCTCACTGTGGTTTTGATTTGCATTTCTCTGATGGCCAGTGATGGTGAGCATTTTTTCATGTGTTTTTTGGCTGCATAAATGTCTTCTTTTGAGAAGTGTCTGTGTCCGTTCATGTCCTTTGCCCACTTTTTGATGGGGTTGTTTGTTTTTTTCTTGTAAATTTGTTTGAGTTAATTGTAGATTCTGGATATTAGCCCTTTGTCAGATGAGTAGGTTGCGAAAATTTTCTCCCATTTTGTAGGTTGCCTGTTCACTCTGATGGTAGTTTCTTTTGCTGTGCAGAAGCTCTTTAGTTTAATTAGATCCCATTTGTCAATTTTGTCTTTTGTTGCCATTGCTTTTGGTGCTTTAGACATGAAGTCCTTGCCCATGCCTATGTCCTGAATGGTATTGCCTAGGTTTTCTTCTAGGGTTTTTATGGTTTTAGGTCTAACATTTAAGTCTTTAATCCATCTTGAATTGATTTTTGTATAATGTGTAAGGAAGGGATCCAGTTTCAGCTTTCTACATATGGCTAGCCAGTTTTCCCAGCACCATTTATTAAACAGGGAATCCTTTCCCCATTGCTTGTTTTTCTCAGGTTTGTCAAAGATGAGATAGTTGTAGATATGCGGCGTTATTTCTGAGGGCTCTGTTCTGTTCCATTGATCTATATCTCTGTTTTGGTATCAGTACCATGCTGTTTTGGTTACTGTAGCCTTGTAGTATAGTTTGAAGTCAGGTAGCGTGATGCCTCCAGCTTTGTTCTTTTGGCTTAGGATTGACTTGGCAATGCGGGCTCTTTTTTGGTTCCATATGAACTTTAAAGTAGTTTTTTCCAATTCTGTGAAGAAAGGCATTGCTAGCTTGATGGGGATGGCATTGAATCTGTAAATTACCTTGGGCAGTATGGCCATTTTCATGATATTGATTCTTCCTACCCATGAGCATGGAATGTTCTTCCATTTGTTTGTATCCTCTTTTATTTCCTTGAGCAGTGGTTTGTAGTTCTCCTTGAAGAGGTCCTTCACATCCCTTGTAAGTTGGATTCCTAGGTATTTTATTCTCCTTGAAGCAATTGTGAATGGGAGTTCACTCATGATTTGGCTCTCTGTTTGTCTGTTGTTGGTGTATAAGAATGCTTGTGATTTTTGCACATTGATTTTGTATCCTGAGACTTTGCTGAAGTTGCTTATCAGCTTAACGAGATTTTGGGCTGAGACAATGGGGTTTTCTAGCTATACAATCATGTCATCTGCAAAGAGGGACAATTTGACTTCCTCTTTTCCTAATTGAATACCCTTTATTTCCTTCTCCTGCCTAATTGCCCTGGCCAGAACTTCCAACACTATGTTGAATAGGAGTGGTGAGAGAGGGCATCCCTGTCTTGTGCCAGTTGTCAAAGGGAATGCTTCCAGTTTTTGCCCATTCAGTATGATATTGGCTGTGGGTTTGTCATAGATAGCTCTTATTATTTTGAAATACGTCCCATCAATACCTAATTTATTGAGAGTTTTTAGCATGAAGCGTTGTTGAATTTTGTCAAAGGCCCTTTCTGCATCTATTGAGATAATCATGTGGTTTTTGTCTTTGGTTCTGTTTATATGCTGGATTACATTTATTGACTTGTGTATATTGAACCAGCCTTGCATCCCAGGGATGAAGCCCACTTGATCATGGTGGATAAGCTTTTTGATGTGCTGCTGGATTCGTTTTGCCAGTATTTTATTGAGGATTTTTGCATCAATGTTCATCAAGGATATTGGTCTAAAATTCTCTTTTTTGGTTGTGTCTCTGCCAGGCTTTAGTATCAGAATGATGCTGGCCTCATAAAATGAGTTAGGGAGGATTCCCTCTTTTTCTATTGATTGGAATAGTTTCAGAAGGAATGGTACCAGTTCCTCCTTGTACCTCTGGTAGAATTCAGCTGTGAATCCATCTGGTCCTGGACTCTTTTTTGTTGGTAAGCTATTGATTATTGCCACAATTTCAGATCCTGTTATTGGTCTATTCAGAGATTCAACTTCTTCCTGGTTTAGTCTTGGGAGAGTGTATGTGTCGAGGAATTTATCCATTTCTTCTAGATTTTGTAGTTTATTTGTGTAGAGGTGTTTGTAGTATTCTCTGATGGTAGTTTGTATTTCTGTGGGATCAGTGGTGATATGCCCTTTATCATTTTTTATTGCGTCTTTTTGATTCTTCTCTCTTTTTTTCTTTATTAGTCTTGCTAGCGGTCTATCTATTTTGTTGATCCTTTCAACAAACCAGCTCCTGGATTCATTAATTTTTTGAAGGGTTTTTTGTGTCTCTATTTCCTTCAGTTCTGCTCTGATTTTAGTTATTTCTTGCCTTCTGCTAGCTTTTCAATGTGTTTGCTCTTGCTTTTCTAGTTCTTTTGATTGTGATGTTAGGGTGTCAATTTTGGATCTTTCCTGCTTTCTCTTGTGGGCATTTAGTGCTATAAATTTCCCTCTACACACTGCTTTAAATGTGTCCCAGAGATTCTGGTATGTTGTGTCTTTGTTCTCGTTGGTTTCAAAGAACATCTTTATTTCTGCCTTCATTTCGTTATGTACCCAGTAGTCATTCAGGAGCAGGTTGTTCAGTTTCCATGTAGTTGAGCGGTTTTGAGTGAGATTCTTAATCCTGAGTTCTAGTTTGATTGCACTGTGGTCTGAGAGATAGTTTGTTATAATTTCTGTTCTTTTACATTTGCTGAGGAGAGCTTTACTTCCAAGTATGTGGTCAATTTTGGAATGGGTGTGGTGTGGTGCTGAAAGAATGTATATTCTGTTGATTTGGGGTGGAGAGTTCTGCAGATGTCTATTAGGTCTGCTTGGTGCAGAGCTGAGTTCAATTCCTGGGTATCCTTGTTGACTTTCTGTCTCGTTGATCTGTCTAATGTTGACAGTGGGGTGTTAAAGTCTCCCATTATTAATGTGTGGGAGTCTAAGTCTCTTTGTAGGTCACTCAGGACTTGCTTTATGAATCTGGGTGCTCCTGTATTGGGTGCATATATATTTAGGATAGTTAGCTCTTCTTATTGAATTGATCCCTTTACCATCATGTAATGGCCTTCTTTGTCTCTTTTGATCTTTGTTGGTTTAAAGTCTGTTTTATCAGAGACTAGGATTGCAACCGCTGCCTTTTTTTGTTTTCCATTTGCTTGGTAGATCTTCCTCCATCCTTTTATTTTGAGCCTATGTGTGTCTCTGCACGTGAGATGGGTTTCCTGAATACAGCACACTGATGGGTCTTGACTCTTTATCCAATTTGCCAGTCTGTGTCTTTTAATTGGAGCATTTAGTCCATTTACATTTAAAGTAAATATTGTTATGTGTGAATTTGATCCTGTCATGATGATGTTAGCTGGCTATTTTGCTCGTTAGTTGATGCAGTTTCTTCCTAGTCTTGATGGTCTTTACATTTTGGCATGATTTTGCAGCGGCTGGTACCGGTTGTTCCTTTCCATGTTTAGCGCTTCCTTCAGGAGCTCTTTTAGGGGAGGCCTGGTGGTGACAAAATCTCTCAGCATTTGCTTGTCTGTAAAGTATTTTATTTCTCCTTCACTTATGAAGCTTAGTTTGGCTGGATATGAAATTCTGGGTTGAAAATTCTTTTCTTTAAGAATGTTGAATATTGGCCCCCACTCTCTTCTGGCTTGTAGGGTTTCTGCCGAGAGATCCGCTGTTAGTCTGATGGGCTTCCCTTTGAGGGTAACCCGACCTTTCTCTCTGGCTGCCCTTAACATTTTTTCCTTCATTTCAACTTTGGTGAATCTGACAATTATGTGTCTTGGAGTTGCTCTTCTCGAGAAGTATCTTTGTGGCATTCTCTGTATTTCCGGAATCTGAACGTTGGCCTGCCTTGCTAGATTGGGGAAGTTCTCCTGGATAATATCCTGCAGAGTGTTTTCCAACTTGGTTCCATTCTCCTCGTCACTTTCACGTACACCAATCAGACGTAGATTTGGTCTTTTCACATAGTCCCATATTTCTTGGAGGCTTTGCTCATTTCTTTTTATTCTTTTTTCTCTAAACTTCCCTTCTCGCTTCATTTCATTCATTTCATCTTCCATTGCTGATACCCTTTCTTCCAGTTGATTGCATCGGCTCCTGAGGCTTCTGCATTCTTCACGTAGTTCTCGAGCCTTGGTTTTCAGCTCCATCAGCTCCTTTAAGCACTTCTCTGTATTGGTTATTCTAGTTATACATTCTTCTAAATTTTTTTCGAAGTTTTCAACTTCTTTGCCTTTGGTTTGAATGTACTCCCGTAGCTCAGAGTAATTTGATCGTCTGAAGCCTTCTTCTCTCAGCTCGTCAAAGTCGTTTTCCGTCCAGCTTTGTTCCGTTGCTGGTGAGGAACTGCGTTCCTTTGGAGGAGGAGAGGCGCTCTGCTTTTTAGAGTTTCCAGTTTTTCTGTTCTGTTTTTTCCCCATCTTTGTGGTTTTATCTACTTTTGGTCTTTGATGATGGTGATGTACAGATGGGTTTTTGGTGTGGATATCCTTTCTGTTTGTTAGTTTTCCTTCTAACAGACAGGACCCTCAGCTGCTGGTCTGTTGGAGTACCCTGCTATGTGAGGTGTCAGTGTGCCCCTGCTGGGGGGTGCCTCCCAGTTAGGCTGCTCGGGGGTCAGGGGTCAGGGACCCACTTGAGGAGGCAGTCTGCCCGTTCTGAGATCTCCAGCTGCGTACTGGGAGAACCACTGCTGTCTTCAGAGCTCAGATGGAAATGCAGAAATCATCTGTCTTCTGCGTCGCTCACGCTGGGAGCTGTAGACCGGAGCTGTTCCTATTCGGCCATCTTGGCTCCTCCCATCGATTCCTATATTGTTTCATTGACCTGTTTGTCTAATGTTGCTCAGTTACATACTGTCTTAATTACTATAACTTTATATTAAGTCTTGTATTTGATAGAGTAAGTCCTCCCAAACTTTCTTTTTTTTTTTTTTTTTTAGATGGGGTCTCACTCTGTTACCCAGGCTGGACTGCAGTGGTACAATCTTGGCTCACTGCAACCTCTGCCTCCCAGACTCAAGCGATCCTCTCATCTCAGCCTCCTGAGTAGCTGGGACTACAGGTGCACACAACCACACTTGGCTAATTTTTGTAGTTTTGGTAGAGATGAGGTTTTGCCTTGTTGCCCAGGCTGGTCTTGAACTCCTGAGCTCAAGTGATCCACCTGCCTTGGCATCCCAGAGTGCTGGGATTACAGGCGTGAGCCACCGTGCCCAGCCCTTCCCAGACATTTTTCTTCAAGAATTTCTTAACTATTTTTGACATTTTAAACTTCCATATAAATTTTAGAATTAGCTTGCCAAAATCCTTTCTTAAAATTGTAATTGGGCGGGCAACTGTAGTCCCAGCTACTCAGGATGCTGAGGCAGGAGAATGGTGTGAACCTGGGAAGTGGAGCTTGCAGTAAGCTGAGATTGCATCACCACACTCCAGCCTGGGCAACAGTGCGAGACTCCATCTCAAAAAAAAAAAAAAAAAAAATTGGGATTGCAATTATTCTCTAAATCAGTTTGGGATAAATTAACATTGTTATATTATTAAATCTTCCAATCAACATGGTATATCTTTCAATTTAATGTTTTTAATGTCTCTCAAAGTTCTAGAATTCTCTTTAGAGAGATCTTATATATCTTTATTGATTTTATTCCTATTAAAAATGTTATTATAATGGTATTTTTTTTAAAAATGCATTTAAACTGTTGCTGTTATGGAAAAATATAATTATGTTTGTTGTATTAATTCTTCATCATCAACCTTGCTAAACTCTGTTGCTAATTTTAATAATGTATCTTGTATATTCATTTTAATTTTCTTTTCGTAGAGAGAGGGTTTTGCTGTGTCGCCCAGGCATGCAGTGGCACAATTATAGCTCACTGCAGCCTCGCTGGGCTTAAGCAAGTTTTCCAAGTAGCTGGGACTACAGGCATGTGCCACCATGCCCAGCTAATTTTAAAATTTTTTGTAAGACTGAGTCTGGCTTTGTTGCCCAGGCTGGTCTGGAGCTCCTGGCCTCAAGCAATCCTCACGCCTTAGCCTGCCAAATTGTTGGGACTACAGGCATAAGCCACCTAGCCCAGCCCCCTCATTTGAATTTTTTACATATACAATTATATAGTCTTGTTTCTTTCCAATTCTTACACCTTTTGTTTCTATTTCTTACTTTATTGATCTGGCTAGGACTATAGTGTACAGTGTACAGTGCTAAGTCAAAGTGGATCCTTGCCTTATTCCCTGTCTAAAAGGAGGCACTCTCAATGTTTTACTTTAATATTTTTACTTCAGTGAAGCATGTTTGCTATAGACCTTCATCTCTAATAATTAAGACAATTTCTGTTTCTACTTTGCTTAGAGGAAATCATGAATATGAATGAATTTGGGATTTTCTCAATGCTTTTTCTACATCTCTTGAGATGCTCATATGCTTTTCCTTTAAGCTGATAATGTGAATTACATCAATTTTTTTTTCTAATGTTAAATCAACTTTGCATTTCTGGGATTCATCCAACTTACACATAATGCACTATCCTTTTTTCTAAATTGCTGGATTTAGTTTGCTGATATTTTGTTTAGCATATTGGTATTTACATTATGAGTAAAATAGGCTTGTAATTGTCCCTTTCTGGGGTTGTTCTTATTTTCTAGTATTGCAACCTGAGTTGGGGATTTTTTTCATCCCTTTCTATTCTCTGGAAGAGTTTGTGTAAAACTGGTGTTACATCTTCCTTAAATGTTTGATAATATTCACTGGTGACACCATCTGGCCCTGGAGGTTTTTGGTTTTTCTTTTGAAATAATTACAGATTCACATGCAGTTATAAGAAATACTATAGCAAGATCCTGTGTACTTATGCTCAGTTTCCTCCAAAAGTAACATCTTGCAAAACCATAGTACAAGATCACAGCCAGGATACTGACATTGACACAGTCAAGATACAGGGCATTTCTGTTGCCATAGGATCTCACATGTCATCCTTTTATAGCCACACCCAGGTCCCTCCCACTGCATCCCCCTTCTGCATCCCTGATGATCATTAATCTGTTCTTCATTTCTACAATTTTGCCATTTCAGGAATGGTATATACATATATACAGTATGTAATCTTGGAATGGAATCATGTACAGTTTGCAATATTTTGGTATTGGCTTTTTCACTCAATTTAATTCTCTGGAGAGTCACTCAAGGTCGATGTGTCTATCACTAAGTCATTCCTCTTTATTGCTGAGTAATATTCCATGGTATGAATAGACTGCAGTTTGACTCTTCACCCATTGAAGAACATCTAGATTGTTTCCCATTTTAGTCTGATATGAGTAAAGCTGCAATGAACATTTGTATAGAGGTTTTTGTGTGAAGGTAAGTATTTCTGTGGGATAAATGCCCAAAAGTACAATTATTGAATCAAATGATAGTTAAATGCTGATTTTTAAAAAAATTGCCAAACCGTTTCTCAGAGAGTCTGTACCATTTTTTATATTCCCATCTGACATGCATGAGTGACCCAGTTTTTCTGCAGCCTCAGCAGTGTTTTTTGTCACTATTTATTTTATCAGAGTAGTATTTTCACAATTGTAATAGGTGTGTAGTGATATCTCATTGTGTTTTTAATGTGCATTTCCCTAATGGCTGATAATGTTAAATTTCTTTACATGTGCTTATTTAACATCTATATATCCTCTTTGGTGAAATATCTGCTTAAGAATTCTTTTTGCCCATTGTCTTTTCTTTTCCTTTTTTTTTTTTTTTTCTGAGACAGGGTCTTGTGCTTTCACCCAGGCTGGAGTGCAGTGGTGCGATCTCAGCTCACTGCAACGTCCAGCTCCGGGGTTCGAGCAATTCTCCTGTCTCAGCCTCCCAAGTAGCTGGGATTACAGGTGCATGCCACCATGCCTGGATAATTTTTGTATTTTTAGTAGAGATGGGGTTTTGTCATGTTGGCCAGGCTGGTCTTGAACTCCTGACCTCCAGTGATCTGCCCACCTCTGCCTCCAAAGTGCTGGGATTATAGGTATGAGCCACTGCACCTGGCTTTTTTTTTTTTTTTCCGCCTATCTTCCAATTGAATTGTTTGTTATTTTACCATAAGTTTTGTGAGCTCTTCATGTATTTTAGATACTAGGCCTTTGTTGGATATGTGGTTTGCAGATATTTTCTCCTAGAATGTTGTCTTTCTGTTAACAGGATCTTTTACAGAGCAAAAATGTGAAATTTTGATGAGGTCCAGTGTATCAAATTTTCCTTTTATGGATCATGCTTTTGGTGCCAAGTGTAAGAACTCTTTGCCCACCTGTAACTCTTGCCCCCATTTCCCTGTGAGGCCACTGGAAGGAAAGCCCAAGTGTGTGTGGAGAGACAAGCGCTGTTGGGAGAGAAGCAGCTCCCTGCCCTGCCCCTGTCTCTGGGCGCTCACTTCTCCATTCTTTCCTCACCTCCTGTATGATGTTCTTTAACATTTTTTATTTTTAAAAAATTTTTAAAAGTGTTTTTAGTGGTAAAATTGTTCTGAATGATTTAATCTTCCCCCTGAAGAGGAAGGGAAATCTGACCATTGTTTCTGAGGTAGAAGTTGGTGAGGCACTTACATACTTGGTGGTAGCCCAAGGGGAATTCTTGCCTGGGTGTAGGAATGAGTCCATCTTCTTCGGCTCATCTGTTTTGTTTTCCTTCCCTCCTTTGCGCAGGAAGGAATAGGTAGGATCTACAGGCTCTGTAATCGTGTCTCACTCTTGGGAGATAACAGTCTCCCCTCAGGGTGCCCCTGTTCACCAAAGACATGAGTCCTTGTTCCTGACTGCTGCAAAGGGAGCAAGGGTGGACAGGGAACCATGCTGTCTGTGTTGCACCTGTACCACTCACGAGTGAGTGTCAGTGTCAGATTTCTCTTAATCTTGATCACAGAAGTGATATAAACAGTTTACTGTAGAAGTTCTAGACAATAGAAATAAACATGTAGAGGAAAACCAGATCCACTTATAATCCCACAACACGGTGTTTAACATTTTGGCCTATTCCCACTTGCCCCTGACCCCCGAATTCTACTTTTTTTTTTTTGAGACAGGGTCTCACTCTGTCACCCAGGCTGGAGTGCAGTGGCGTGATCTCGGTTCACTGCAACCTCCACCTCCTAGGCTCAAGTGATCCTCCTACCTCAGCTGGGACTACAGGTGTGTGTCACCACACCCAGCTAATTTTTGTATTTTTTGTTGAGATGGGGTTTTGTCGTGTTGCCCAGGCTGGTCTCCAACTCTTGGGCCCAAGTGATCCACCCACCTTGGCGTCCCAAAGTAGTGCTAGGATTACAGGCATGAGCCACCAGGCCACCCACCCCCAACTCCGCCCGCCCCCGCACTCCAGTATTCTTTTATAAAATGAGAATATACAGCATGCATTTTCTTATATCCTGAAGAAATGTGAGTGAGCTTACCTAGCAGTGCATCAGGAGATGCTGATTCAGATTGCCCTGCAGGTTCCAGAGAGCCTGATCAGTGGGAGCACAGGGCCTGGCTCCTTTTAGGGTTCCCCAAGGGTCTGGTTTATAAGTCACATTCTCTGTCTTGTGCCCCAGGGATGCTGAAAGTCTCCCTGTTGTTGCTCTACCTGGGAGTGCATCCTCCCCATTGCATACAGGGTGGGTCCTGGGGGTCGTCACTTCCCATCCCTTCTTCCTGGGCCGCCCAGTTCCACTGGTCACTGCTGACCAATATCTCCTGCTTGGTAACTGGATTTCACTTTGGCAGGAGACTCTGGTTCAAGGGGAGGAACTCTGAACATGGGGATTATGGCCAGTGGCCTTGGATAAGTGAGAGTTAAGGAAGCATAAACTAATTTTCTTTGGATGGAAGTTTACACATAAAGATGATACTCACCTAGACTTGCAGATAATATGATGTACTATTTATTGCATAAATACATTTGATTTTAAAACAATATTAATTTTAGCTCTGGGCATATCCAGCCTTAGCTAACTGAAAATTGTAGCTCTGGGACCATCTGCTGGCTACTCTCCAGACTGCCACACTGGTCTGGGAAGCTGGCTCTCTTGGGATGGAGGTTAGAGCAAAGCCCCTGCTATAGGTAGCTTTTGCTTCCCGGGGTCTGCAGGGAAGTGAGGCTGGAGCAGCTGCAGTTCAGACATTTTCATGGTGGTGGATATCTCGGGCAGCAGGATCAGCAGTTACAGTATGCGTTCTGACCACAGACATAGATTCGAATTCTGGCTCTGCTGCTCTGAGCCTCAGCTTCCTCTTCTGTAAAGTGGGGATAATAATAACACGTACCTTGTTGGGTGGTTATAAGGTTTAAAAACAGGTGCTTATTAAGTGCTTATCACAGGGCTAGGCACATGTAGTAGTTTACACCTCCAGGAGAGATGGGGAGCAGTACCTTGTTTATGTCACTGTGATGATTAATGTTATGTCAGCTTGGCCAGGCCACTGCTAAAGACTGAATGTTTGTGTTCCCCACAAATTCATATCTTGAAAACCAGCCCCCATTGTGATGGTACTTGGAGGTGGGGCCTTTGCGAGGTGATTAGGGTATGAGAGTGAATGGGATTGGAGCCCTTAGAAAGAGGCTCCTGGAAGCTCCTTTGCCCCTTCCACCACGTGAGGACACAGTGAGAAGATGGATGCCTAGGAACCAGGAAGTGGCCTCTCACCAGACACCAAGTCTGTTGCTGTCTTGATCTTGGGCCTCCCAAACTCCAGAATGATGAGAAATAAATTAGTTTATAAGCAACAAAGTCTGTGGTATTTTGTTATAGCAGCCTGAACAGACTAAGACAGCCGTGGTCTCTGGTGTCTAGTCAAATACTACTCTAGATGATTCTGTGAAGGTATTTTAAAAATGAGATTAACATTCATTTCTTGGTTTTTATTTCTTGAGACAGTGTCTCACTTTCTTACCCAGGCTGGAATGCAGTGGTGAGATCATGGCTCACTGCAGCCTCAAACTGCTGGGATCAAGGGATCCTCCCACCTCAGCCTTCCAAGTAGCTGGGACCACAGGTGCCCACCACCATGTCTGGCTAATTAATTAATTAATTTTTTTTTTTTTTTTGTAGAGATGGAGTCTACCTGTGTTGCCCAGGCTGGTCTCAAACTCCTGGGCTCAAGCGATCCTCCTACTTTGGCCTCTCAAAATGCTGGGATTACAGTCATGAGCCACCACGCCCAGCTCAGATTACCACTTAAATCAGTAGACTTGGAGGAAAGCAGATTACCCTCTGTGATGTAGGTGAGCTCCATTCAATCAGTTGAAGGCCATAATAGAAAAAGACTGGCCTCCCCTTAAGGAGGGGATTCTGCCAGCAGGCGGCCTCTGGACTCAAACTGCAACTCTTCTCTGGGTCTCCAGCTGCTGCCTACCAGGCCGATTTTGGCCTTACCGGCCTCCATAGTCACATGAGCCAATTCCTTAAAATAGATCTCTCTTTCTGTCTCTTTCTTCATATATACACACGCACCCTAGGGGCCCTGCCTAATACTGTCATAGCATAGCCGTCTTTAAGCTCACTGAAGGCAGGTGCTGTGTCTCCTTTGTTCAGCCCTCTGTGGGTCATACCCGGCACAGTGCTGGCTCCCCGTTAGTAGCCTGGTGATTACTGGGCACTTCCCACTTTCTATGTCTCAGTTAGAAGGTCTGCCCCAGTGAGAGCCAAGAGTGGGCGGGGTAATGGATTAATGTCTGGAGCTATAGTGAATTTTTAGTGCCTGCCAGGGCAGATGGTGGGCACTTTTGAACCGGATGTGGTTGTGCATTTTGGGAGCTGAAACTTCCACATGGAGAAGAGAGACTTCTGGGTCCAGATGCCTGCCTTTGTCGAGCCACTCTTTGGACTGGGCCAGAGCACGACTATCGCACTGTGATGAGCAGGAACCTGCAATTGCGATGGAAAGGTGGGAGAAGGACGCAGAGTGGTTTTGCCTTAATCAGTTCTCACTTTAACAACTGCAAACAGACTGGCACCAGAAAAAGGTGACTTTTCTCAAGTTTTATTGTAAAATCCTCAGAAAAAGAGCATTTACAATGACAATAGTTTATGATAATTTGGAGTCATGGTTATACCAAGTGGTACTGTAAATACACCATGTGTTCAATACTGTGTAATAGGTCAAAGTAAACACAAACTTATTTCAAATGCCACATACAGTTACTGTGTTGGTACAAATTTCTACTAAAGTTGATGTATTAAAAATAATTTATATATATTTTATAAATAAGGAAAAATTCACATGTATAATAATTACAGGAAGCCTTTTGAGAAATACAGGTGATTACAGAAAATATATTTTGGAGGCTAGACAATGGTTCAAAATAATGTAATCTGCCTTGACATGAGAGATCCGAGAGTTTTCTGAGGTGGGGAAGCATGAGACTCGAATAGGACAAATGATGTGTGTGGCTTCACATCTTGAGGGTCACTCAGCTGCACTACAGCATGAAATGGTGTGTGTGACCACGCCAGCAAAACTCCATGCCCAGTTCTGCTTTGAGATAATCTCACACAGCCTTTGGGAAGCATGAGAAGCAAGGGAAAGGTAGGAAGCCACAGGGCCAGGCTAGGAAGGATGAGGGGGCCGGCCAGCCGCGGGAGCCAGGCAGGGAGGGAGTCGGGAACTGTGGGTCTGTGGTATGCGGCTTGCAAACCTGTTTCTCTCACCTGTCCCAAGTAGCACAGGACCCACAACGCTTCAACCTATGGCAGATGTCATGCTGGGCAGTGGATAAAGGTTTAGATTTGGGGCATTTTCTCAAGTTAGAGCTCTTGGGCCTCACAACCCAGCCAATACTGGTTGCTCTTACTCAGAAACAAAGCTCTGATCCTGAAGAGGGTGCCTCTGAAGGGCAGCAATCTCTGATCTGGCCGAGCACATGTCGCCAAGCTTGGTGTAGGGGTAAGTCAATGGTTATTGCTTTGTGGAGTGCTGGCTGAGCCCTCGAAAGCCCTCTAGGGCATGGCCCATGTTCTCTGGGGCCACATGAGCAAGGGCTGGTTCCATATATGTAAAGATGAGCTTGGAAAGAAGCGTGCATGAATTGTGTGTGTTTTTTTTAAAGTGCATGCTAAATACTCTGGTGCTGGCTAAAGAAGCCTCGCTATGAATTTTGGAGGATAATCCCCACTCTTGTATTCTCCATAATTTCATACGTTGTTATTTAGTTAAATTAGGCTTCCCCACTTGCTGCCCACAGCTCCAAAGGAGGATGTGGATGCACAGGACAATGCTTGTTGGTGTCCCAGGGTCTGCTGCATGGCTGCTGCCTAAAGCATGCAGACCCAAATAAGATGCTCAAATCCTCATGTGACTTAGCAGGTAACCTGGTATAGATAAAAGCAGGGAGTGGATTGCATTCCACTGGCTACCTGGGGTCTTGTAGTCACACTCTGAAGATAGGCACTGTATTTTTTTTTTTCCCTTGAATTTTTAAGCATCTCTGTTTTATGATCTCTATAATTTTGGAGAGAAACCAAGGCAGCTAGTGACTTTCTTGAACAAAATTTCTTTGCCTACATGCCAGTTTGGGAGGACATAGTAGTATCTGGCCTATGAAGGACTTCTGGCTTGTACCCCAAAGCAGGAAAGCGGCACGGGCAAAGACCACGGGGTAGGGGCTCGTGTAGCGGTCAGGTCAGTTGCTCCTTGAATGGTAGGAGCTGTTGTGGAATGGCTCATGAGCAGGGGGCCTGAGACACAGGAATGGAACAGGAAAGAGGGGAGAATAAAAAGGGAGTCGGAGGGAGGCTGCGGGGCTTGGGTCCTCTGAGAGATGATGCTTGGCTGAGATGTCGTGGTCTCGCTATTCCTGCTGGACGACACCTGACTTCCCTGATGGTTTCCAGCCAGCTCTCTCCAGTCTTGGTCATCTAACTCCAAAGGTCTGCAAGCGAGGGTTTGGAGGGTGTGATTCTGGGCAGCAAGGGGCTGTGTCCCTATGGGTTCTGGCTGTACTTGGAGTGGAACCTGGGGTCCTGGGTGGGGGAGGCTGTCGAGGACTTCTGTGGCAGTGCTTCAATCTTATGTTACCTGCCTGGCCTCCTGGCTGGGGGTGGAGGGGAGTAGCATTCCGGGGGTGCTGGGTGCAGGGGCAAGCGTGAGGTAGATTGGTGGATGCATAGGAAGGAGCTGGGAGTGGTAGTGTCAACTCTCCTGGAGGCTTGCTTCTGAAAAGGAGGTTTGAAGAGTGGGAGAGAGAGTTGTGGGATTTGCTAGTGAAGACGGTTTGTTGTCTGTAATAATGGAATGAAACACATCATGATAAATGATCAACTATACTTTTTAAGCCCCTTGTAGAAAAATATATCCAGAGTGAATCTGTTTCACATCTCAGTTCTGAAATCTTCTTTAGTTCACAGGTTATTGGTCGACAGAAAACAAGATGTGGCCGTACAAAGCCAACTCCTGGCTGCTTTCCTAAATGAAGACTCAGTGGTTGCAATCTCTATGGCAGCAGGCCGTTCTCTCCTTTATTTGGGGTTGAAAGCCGGCTTCCAGTGCCTACCTGGAATGGGGAGCCTTGTCTGGACAGATGGAGATGGGGAGATGTCTGGGTTGGGGGTGGGAATTGTAGGGGTTGAGTTTCTGTCTCTGGTGATGCTATCTCTAGGTCAAAGTACCTGAAGTTTGGTATTAGTAGTTGGCTCCAGCCAGGATTTACAGGGCTCTTCTAGCTTCTTCCTGGAGCTTGGGGAAAAGTAGGACACTCGAATGACTTGGAGACTGAAGAAATAAGCCTGGGCCAGCCCCAGGCAGGGTGGGCTGGGTCAGTGTTGGTGAGGCTGGGATGATAGCTTTGGCCGTGGGTGCAATGCCCATCAACCCTCCTCATGCAGGCAGGTCGTGCCATCGTCCCGAAGCTGACAGTCCCCCTTCCTGCCATCCGTCTGGGGCTGCCTGGGTGGGCTTTTGGACCCGGAGCCTTTATGCAAGGTTCTGCCCACTGGAGCAGAAGAATGAGGGCCTCTATTTCAAAGCCTTCCTGTCACCACAGGTGCAGATTTTTTGTCATTTTGGGAAAAAAAAAACTATCGAATTTTTGTAAAATTAATTTTATTTCAAAATGACTGAGGGGGTTTATATAAATAGCTTTCTTGATGATTCTTTTGGTAAAGTCAGTACTTCTTTAATAGCTAAGATATCAGTTGTGAATTGACCTTGTGGGTTCATTAGGAGGATTACCGGCTGGGCTTGCTACAGGAGGCCCCCCTGTAGTGAGGCATTTCCTCCCAGTGGCTTTCCAACTGTGTCCCATGAACCTCTGCTGGGGTGAAGTATGGGAGAAAGGGCAGGCCAGTCTGGCCTTCCTCCTCTTCCTCCTTCTCCTCCCACCCCTGACTCCCCACCCAACCAACTCTATTGGTTTTCCTGCCAAAAGGCATTTACCTCCCTGCATTGGTGACTTTGCCTCCTGGGGCTGGACTCCTGAAACCCTGACCTAGGCTTCAGGCCTGCTTCGATTCAGTTGTGTCTGGCATGCTGTCAGTGAGACCTAAGCCTGCCGTCTCCAGGAAATGCACTCTGAGGACAGCAAAGGGCAGCTATGCTTTTTTAGACACATTCCAAGATGGAAGGGACAGTGGGGGAGAAGCAGGTGCTGCAGAAGTTGACTCTGTCACTCCTGATTATTTTAAAAGGCCAGTTTGGGTCAAACTGGTCTTTGACTTAGGAATCCTGCTGCCCAGAGGGGCTCGTGTTCTGGTCTGGTAGTTGGTGGGACTTTTCCTCCTTTAGGCTCAGAGATCCTTTTTCTGTCAGGGGCTGATACAATGGAAATTTTTCCAAAAAAAAGTTTATGAAAGTTGGAGAATTTTAGTGGTAAAAATGGGAGATTGGGAGTAAACATAACATATCAAGATATTGAGGCAGGAAAAAAAAAGGGGTGAGATGGGTCATCCATGCATCCCAGCTACTGTGAAACTGCATTCTAGGCTTTTGAGGTGAGCTTCCTCAACTTATATCTACATAGCATATCTTTTAAAATAAAAAACAGACGTACCTGTCTAGGCGCACCCCTAGGAGTTACAGGGGACAGGCGTTTGGTGGACCAAGTTGCGTGAGACATACAAGTGATTGATCTCATGAGATCTGGGGCGGGGGATGCAGGTGGCTTGGCAGTCAGGCAGGAGTGAAAGGAGCTGTGTGTGTTGAGAGTGACACAGAGTCTAGGGTTTCCTCTCCTTGAAAGAGTTCATTCCTTAATGGCAAAGGAAAATCCTGGTCATGTCAGTAGGTGAAGGTGGCCAAATTAGCAAAGACGTCTGTGGTGAGACCACCTCTCCCAACCCGTGTGGCTTGCAAAATGATCATTCAAACCAGGACACATGTAAGTTCCACTCATATGTGGGAGAGGGAAGGCGAGCCTGTTTTTGCTGAGTCTCTGATCTAGGCGGTCTCCAGAGGGCTATGTGGGTTGTACTTCTTCGATGCCCATGTGAGAGTCACCACAGCCTGAGACACATAAGGAGAATGCAGTAGTGCCAGCCTGTGGCCTTCTGTTCTGGGTTCTGCAGTGTGTGTGTATTGATTGGGGAATGTGGGTAAGAAAACCCTCGCCGAAATGTGTTCTCTCTGCAGTGCTGATGCGGGGATGGGGTACCAGAGAGGAGTGGATGGGCCACAGGTAGGAAAACAAAATCTGTTTTGAAAAGGTATAGCTTCAGGAACTCACCTGGCCCCACTCGTGTCCTTGGGGTTTCTGCATTGAGCCTGGAGGCCACCCATACCTTGCCAGGCAAGCCCAGTCTGCCCTGAATCTGGGGTACCAGACCTGACTAATGAGATGTCTCCCTTCTGTGCTGAAAGGAGGCACACAGAACTTGTTCTGGTTTTTTGGGGTCCCAACACAGAACCGAGTCCTTACGGATGAGGTGGCCTGGTCTGCTCTTGGAGAAGCAGGGTGGCAATAGTCGACAGGGCCAGTATTCTCAGATGACCATTGTTCTTTCTGGCTGTGGGATGTGGGGTTGTGACCACCCCCGAGACTCGGCCTAAGGCAGGGAAGGATATAGTTGGACCTCGGAGAGCATCTTTCTGCTTACTAGCATTTGAGATTATAAAATTTTTTTTTAATCAAAAATTTCCAAAATAAAGTGAGTGATTTCCCCATCCCCCAAGATGCAGTAAGTCTTGTTGGCTCTCCCTCAGGCTTACAGCAAGTCAAATGGAAAGAAAAGCAAGAAGCAGCTGCGAGGGAGAAGATGCGGTCCCACGCGAGGACGGATGGGCTTTCAGTTCGGGAGGGAGGCCCCTGCTCCTGGTCGGCCTCTGCTTCCGGGCCACTCCGTCAGGGCAAAGTCTGGCTGGGTCTGGCAGTAAGGGACAATGACTATGTGAAGGCAACTGACAGAGGTGTCTGCTTGGAGAGCAGGATCCCTTGGTTCCATGATGTCCCCAGGTCACTCGGTGTGCAGCTTGGCACAGAAATGATCCCTTTACACAGCAGCATATGTTCTCATCGTAGCTCAAGGCATAAATCATACTTCCTAACGAAAAAACCCCAATCTTGGTAGCAGCGCATACCTTATACTAGGAAACTTGCAAGGAGACCAGTGTTGAACCACAAAGCGAGTACAGGTTTTTGCTTTTGTCTGTAAAAATGTACAGCGTACCTGCTTGAGGCTGCAGTGTCAGGACTAGGGGGTGTTCCTTGGCCCAGGGCTCTGCTCTGGGCCCTTCATACCTCACCCACCCACACCACTGTGGTCCCCCCCTTTATACCTGACACCTCACACCGCAGCGTGTTTTGTCTCCCATTGATGAGGAACAGTGACTCTCGGGCTGGTGTGAGGAGGTACTGTCCAAACAGCCCACTGTCCCTCATGATTCTGTGGGTACCCCCCCAGGGCTGAGCTGGCCCTGCGGGTGGCTCCTTTAAGTTCTTCAGCATGCCCACCTTCCCCGTGGACAGCTCCAGGAACAGCAGGTCCGGCTCCGTGTGCAGAGCCGCGTAGATGTTGTATTGATTGCTTTCAGTGAAGGAGCGCTGGAAGGCCAAGTCTGAGATGCCCGAGTTTATTTGCAGGTCATACAGGGTCTGGATCTCGCCCCGCACTGTGATCTCCTGCACGTGCAGCCAGGGGCTGTCAGCTGCAGCACTGACTATGAAGCGCCCGTCGGGGGATGTGTGTGGGGTGCCTGTTACATCACCATTGGGGCCAAGCACAGAGTCTGTGACACTGTCAACGAGCAGCTGTCGGGCAGCAGAGGCGGGGCTGTCCTGTCGGCACTGGATGAAGAAGTAGCCGCCCAGGTGGGTGTGTGCCATGGCCTGGGGCACGCAGCCATGGTGGTGCAGGCCGATGGTCTTGAGGGGCATCATTGTTTCCAGGTCCACCTTGTGGACTGCAGGATCAGACTTGTTGAAGATGAAGCCAAACCTGGGAGGGGAAGAACTGAGGTCAGAAGTTGCCTCCAGGGGTGGGGAATCTGTCATTTGTCTTAAACAATTACATCCTCTGCCTTTTCCCTTTATTATAATCCTTCAGTGATCTAATAGCCTAGTAATAAGATCTATCATTCTGCAGGGGATGTCTTCATAAACAAATAATCTATGATCTCAATCCAAACGCAGTGGAGTTACAAATGTTCCTGGATTTATGCTCTTGTAACATGCACTCATCGTTGGAAATGATTATGGAGGAAGGCGAGAGGCGCTTCAACTGCTTCTCCATTTATAATACTTATGAACTGTTTCCCTGAGGCCCATGCCAGCTAGAAAGGGGAGAGTCTGTGTCTGGATGGTGAGCATGGAGGAAAAGGGCAAGAGATCCCTGCCCCGATTCTGCCTGTTACAAAGATAAGAAAAGAGTTCTATATCCTTGCTGTTTTCTAGACTAACTGGCAAGTTAGAATTTGAGGATGCAGATGCAGCTGAACAAGTGCAGATGTCCTGTTAGTACCCTCTTCCCCTGGAAGGGAAACATGTAGGGGCAGTCTCTTCTCTGACCACATTGGTGATGCGGGTAGGAAGAACCCTGGGCATTGGGGTTGAGGACAGCTTTTCCCTCCGGAGCCAGATGGCCTGGTGCCGGCACACTGCCCTGCTAGCTGCAGAGCCTGGGGCAGGCTGCTTGCCTCTCTGAGCCTCAGTGACTGTAACCAGGTTAGCTCCTTCCTAGGGCTATTGGGAGGATTTGATCTAAGAGGGAACTTTAGCAGAGGGACTCAGGTAGGTGGGAGTTGCTCAAATCTGGATTTTCTAAAATTCCTCTTTGGAGGCTGGTTGGAAGTATGGAAAAGCCTGACTCCAGGCAGGACTTCCCTTTGATCTTGAGAGCCTGTGCCTAAATCCCTTGCTCACAGAGGCCTTTTGGTGCTGTGTACACCTGCAGGAATAGAGCAGAATCTCTTCTGTAGTTTTCTCTAGAAAAACTGTACCCCAGAGTAGAGGAAAATACTCCCTCCAAGGCACATCTTTAAAGCATCCTTAAAGAACCAGAGCATGGAAATAGCAAGAAAGAAAACTCTGCTCTTATAAGAAACTTTAAGTTAAAAGCCACACACAGGAACTGCAGAACCTCTGAGTGTGCCCGACCCTCAGCTGAATACAGCTGCTTTATGAGGGCTTCATCATTTAATATACTCTTAGAGGCTCTTGCACAGGCTCTCTCTGCAGTGGGAGGGTTCATAAAGTGGCTTTCTTCCTTGGGTGAGGGTGAATGGGTGCATCTCCAGCAACAACTTGCAAAAACGAATCATTTCTTTCTGCAGAGAGGTGCTTGATGGCGGATTATAGAAAGGTATAAATAGTGCTACAAGACATTTGGGGTCTTGATGGCTTAGAGACAGGCTTGGTCGTCTGGCAGTGGTAAGTTTACAGAAGATATTGGGGGCTCTCTGAAGTGAATACGGATGGGGACTGACCATGCTGGGCCGAGGTCTGCAGTTGAGGCCATGGCTCTTATTATTGGGTGGTTGTTTTAGGTAGTGGCAAACCATGGCAATCAGGAAGCCTTGTCTCGTTGTGGGCTCCCCACACAGATGCTCTGGGGGTTCCTAAAGTATTATGGGCTGTGGTTAGATGGGAATGTGGAAGAATGGTGCACTGAAACAAGACTTGGCTTTACATTTAGTCTGACTTTGCCAGTTCCTAGCTGTGTGACATTGGTCAGTGTCTTCACTTCTCTGATCCTCATCTATAACATAGGGGTTAAGACCACTGGGACTAGATTTTTGTGTCTAGCAAGCAGAGGGTGCTCAATTTACTGCTACTGTTTCTTTCTTTCCTCTGCTGTCTTTACCTTAAGGATGGGACTTCCTGACCTTTCTGGGCCACTGAGGGCATTAGGAGCTGGGTGCCTTCAGTATAATAGAGTTATTGACCCCAAGCAATGAGGACTAGGCTCTGGGTCTGTTTTACTGGACCTTCTCTGTTCCTTCGTGATGGGGTCCAAATCCAGCATGGGAGTGGAGGAGACAGAGAAATGAGCAGGTCCCATGCTGGGCAATGCTGCCCCTTGCAGGGCTGAGCTGGAGCGGGGAGTGCCTTAGAGGCATCATGGGCCAGTCTCACCTGATGTGGTTGATGATGAGGTTTGTTGGGGGAATGAAGAAATCATCCACTCCTGCAAAGGGTGTGCGGATGAGGTGCTGGCTCTGGCCGGTGCTGGCTTCTGTGATCACCTACAACACAGAGTGGGAATCCTAGTGAGGGCCCATGCAGGTGGGGGCTGAACCTGGAGACACCTGTACGCTCAGGTGGAGTCACCCCGGCAGAGGGGTGCTTGGGAGAGAGATGACTAACAAACCTCAATCTCAGGGAAGAGGCAGGAGCAAAGTGGGAGCAGTTCAGGCACATCCTAGGCAGGGACCCATTCTTCCTGAAAGAGGAAGTGGTGGGACAGGACTGATTGCCCGAATTGCTTCTGCCCCATGGTTAAGCCTGCCTTGCTGCACTTTGTCAGCCACCATGATGGCAGAGTGAGAACCTGAGGGGTGGTGGTGGGGTTTCCAAGGGAAGTAAGTCTCCAGAATGGAAACATCACTGTGGTTGCTCAGAGACCACCTCCTCTCGTAATGGGGAATCCTACCTTCTCAACATGTAAGCCAGGCTAGGGAAAGTGGGAGAGGGCTGTCAATCATGAAAATGTCACGTGGTGGAACTGTCTACTGGGAGTTCATTTTTCTCTGGTGCCAGATGCCTGGGCCAGTTTGTTGGTAGTCTCTGTCGGATGCTGCTCACAGGCATTCTCTGAGGTGCGACTCCAGGACTGATGAGAGAAAGCAGACATCCTACGGGATGCCACTCTGACATGCTGGGCTGTTGAGATGTCTTGCATTTAGAATGCTGGGAAGAGGTCCTGGTCTCACACAGGAGACTTGCTGTAGAAAGTCAACAATTAGGCCCTGTGCCTTGTACAAATTGGTAGTGACAGAGCACGGCTGCCTCTGTTTCCCTGGAGGTAACGCTTTCTCCCCTGTGGACTTGGCAGGAGACAAGAGCCTTTCCCTGGTGTGTGTCCCAGCTGCACTCATGTCAGGGAAGGCACAATGGCAGCTCTGAGCAGAAGCCAGGTGGTGTGTGAAGTCAGATAGGATGAGTGAGTGGTCTGGAGTCCCTGCCATGAAACCCCTGTGGTCAGGCTGGGCAGCCCCTCTGTCAGCTAGTGAGGCCCAAGCCAGCCAGACTGTGTCCTCCTGCCTTCTGCATATGCTCATCAGCCTTGAAGTTCTAGGCCACTGCCCAGAAAGCAGCAGACCAGTGGTCCGATGAGGGGCTTAGCCAACTTACAGGCCCCGAGAAGCCCAGACCCTCTGTGCAGGAGAGGAGGCAGATGCTGGGCCCCTGAACGGGAATGTGAGACACTTTTTCTAATCATGATATTGTGGCCACATGTGTAGAAAGGAGGGTCTAGATTTCTGCAGCCTGAGGCTTGGCCTGCAGGGTGAGAGCTGACTCTGGTGGGGGCTTGTGACTCCCATGGCTGAGAGCTCTGGATGCTTCTACTTTTTAGGAATGGAGCTGCCTTCTGGCTTTTACTTTTATGACAAAACAAACAGCACCTGGCCTGCCTCCTCAGGCAGGCTGGAGGCTTGTGTCTTTTTTCGTCTTGCTTTCCTCTGCAGTCAGCAGGCAGAGTGCTGGGCTGGAGTGATGCAAGCCATGATTTTCAGGTTTGAGGCAGTCCTCATGTTGCATTAGGTTATTTCTCTGTGATTTTTTTTAAGAGGCCAAATGATTACTTCTATGGTAAGCTCATAGGAAAAAACTCATAGAAGTGGGTGTTAAGAAAATATCAGCGTTAGGAAACTGGATCTTAGAGAGTCTGAAAAGAAAATGCCAGGGAATTCCAAGAAGCCATGCAATCATTGCTTGGTATCAGGCCTGTCATTTTAGCTCATAGTAGAGATGGAAAATTACAGGCTGTCATTGGTCAATGTCATTCACGCTTCACTGCTCTGACACCCTAGATTCAGAGGTTACTTCATCAAAACGCAGTGCCATGGGCCATTGAACTGATGTGGGCATGTCAGCCTCGTTTCTCTGAGTCACGAGTTCCTCCTCGGCTTTTTCTTGTGTCCTGACACACAGCTGGGCCCACAGTGCCCTAAAGATAGATAACTGTCAAGCCCCTCACATTTGCTGCCGTATGGGCTTGGTACAGGAGATGCATGTATGTGTCTGAATCTCAGGATATGCCCATCAGTTGGCAGGGTGGGGACAGCAAGGCTGGGCATCTCCCTCAGAGGGGTGTATGAAGCCAGCTGGGAAGTGGCATGTGGAGGGGTGGGAGAGAACATGGTATCCAGAGGACAGGCTGGGAGGCAGCTAAAAGCTGGCCTGAGAAAGGGGGTGGGCCAGAGAGTGCTGGGCAGCATTGGAAAAGATGCCAAACCTTCCAAACCTGGGTGCTGAGGGCGGCTTTGGTGGAGGGAGCCTCATTTGTACAAACACGTTCATGTAGTCTTCCCAAAGTGTGTTCAACAAATCCTTCAGTGTTGGATATTTAGAAACAATATTAGGATATTATTTTTAATCTCTTGCAAATACAAACAATGCAGTAACAAACATTGTATTTGTGAGAGATTAAAAATAATGTCATAGCTCAATTTTTGTCCACATCCATGATTATGGCCTTTGGAAAAATTCTGAGAAGTCAAGTTGCTGGATCAAAAATTACTCTTTCACTGGCCAGGCATGGTGGCTCACACCTGTAATCCCAGTACTTTGGGAAGCTGAGGCGGGCAGATCACTTGAGGTCAGGAGTTTGAGACCAGCCTGGCCAACATGGTGAAACCCCATCTCTACAAAAAATACAAAAATTAGCTGGGTGTAATGGCATGTACCTGTAATCCCAGCTACTCAGGAGACTGAGGCACGAGAATTGTTTGTTTGAACCCGGGAAGAGGAGGTTGCAGTGAGCCAAGATTGTGCCACTGCACTCCAGCCTGGGTGCAGAGTGAGATTCTGTCTCAAAAAAAAAAAAAAAAAATCTTTCAGGCTTTTGGTTAACACTTCCCAATGGCTCACCACAAAGACTATGCCAGTTGAATTTCCAGGAGCAGTTTTTGTGAGCAATGGTTTCTTTAATCCTAGCCCACAGTGATGAAGGTAGGTTTATTCAAATGATTTCATACTTTTTTTTTGTGATAATGCATATCCTAGACTTTCCAGTTATGAGAAGGGAAGCATCATGCTGTAATTCCTGGTATTATGCTTTCAGTGTTTTGCCATTTAGGCAAAGGTAAACTATTGGTTATTGGTTTTGGAGAAGTAGTCTTTATTATATTTAAAGAATTTCCTTCTATTCCTATGTTTAGGCTTTTTATTAAGAATGCCTGCTGTATTTAATTAAATGTCTTTTCAGTATTTATTGAAAACGTCCTACATGTTTTCTCTTTCAATTTGTTGGTGTTATGAATAATATAGACTGATTTCCTGACAGTGAACCATCGTTGCATCCTGGGAATGTGTTCCCTGCTTGAGCATTTAGACACATTCCTGGATTCTATGTCTTTTTCTTTGCGTGTGTGTGTGTGTGTGTGTGTAGTGTTTGTTTATACACATGCGTCTCTCCTGTGAAACTCCCTTTTTAAAATAAATTATCCTTGCATAATATTCCTGGATTTGTATGTTAGACAAGGACATGGGTCCAAGTCATCTCTTGGATTCCAGTCATTCCTGTAACCAAAACCAATTCTTCACAATTTATTCCTTTAAAAAAATCATAAGCCATGTGGTTTCAATGCGCTTTAATTTGAATTCAATTAAAAAGAATTTAACAAGTCAGCTTTTCCCAAACAAAACTTTATATTCTATTTTCTTTAGGAGCTCAGTGAATCTAAACATTAAGTTTCAATATAAAATCTTTAGAAACACCGTAAAACTATGTAAACAGTGGTAGTTTGCATCTCTTTGTTTGTAATCAATCACTGAGCCCATGAAATTCAAAGCCAGACAAATCCTTGTACTACTAAGGGTCATAAGCCAGAATGTCTTAAAAAATATCCTCAAAGCTTTGGAATCCAGTAAGAATTAGGAAATGAGTCGGAGTCAGACACCCCGAGCACAAACTAGCGCAACCCCACAAAACATGTTTGAGTTTTCATCCTGGACTCTATTTTTAATAGTATGTTAGAATTAAAAACAGAATTCTGCCTCTGTATTTATAAGTGAGATTAGTCTACAGTTTTATTTTTTATACTATTTTAAATCAGGTTTTATAATCACAATAACACTGGCTATTTAAAACAAACTGTGCATTTTCACCCTATAGTCTTGGGATAGTTCAAGTAAAATTATCTATATTTTGAGGACTTGACAAAACTCAGCTGTACATTTTTCTATGGTAGATTTTTCTTTAAAAAATCCATGGTAATTGCTCTAGCTCAAGTTTCTCTTTTCATAAGTCAGTCAGTTAATTTTTTTAAAACATTTTGCAAGCATTCACTCATTTCCTCTAGGTTCTAAAATTTGTTGCCTCAGAGTTGCAATGTAGTGTTATTTATTTTTTGAGATAAAATCTCATTCTGTCACCCAGGCTGGAATGCAGTGACACGATCTCGGCTCACTGCAACCTCCACCTCCACCTCCTGGGTTCAAGCGATTCTCCTGCCTCAGCCTCCTGAGTCGCTGGGATTACAGATGTGCACCACCACACCCAGCTAATTTTTGTATTTTTAGTAGAGACAGGGTTTCACCATGTTGGCCAGGATGGTCTTGAACTCCTGACCTCAGGTGATTCATCCACCTCGGCCTCCCAAAGTGCTGGGATTATAGGCATGAACCACTGCGCCTGGCCTATTTTTCAAGTCTTTTCATCCTCCTGTATCTGGAATAAAATTCCCTTTCTCATTCCTCATTTTGTCTATTTTTGTTTGCTTTTTTCTTTATTGGGGTTGTGAAGGATTCATCTTTTTTGTTTTGCTTTCTATTAATTTTAGTCTCTATTCTTTCTTGCAAGTTTTGTTCTCTTTCAATTTCTTAAATACTTCCTTTTCAGGCTTTTAAGACCCAAGAATTCCTTGGTACAGCTTTCTCTGTATCCTGTAAATTTTGATATGAAATAATTAATAGTCTCTTTTTCTTTGCTTTTGAGACCATTGGTAGTTTTCCTTTTAATTTCCTCTTTGATCCAATAGATATATCCAGGAATGTTTTCTTAATTATCAGAAAATATAGCCTACAACATCTACTTTTACAAAAATTTAAAGTTTCTTTAGTGATATACTTTTTTATATGGAGACATACTAAAAAATTCTATTTGACTGATGAAAGGCTTTCTATGTTTTTATTAAACCAAACTTCTTGTTTATATTCAATTTTCCTGTCATCTTGTCTCTTCGTATATTTTAAATCAAGCTCTTCTATGTTAATCACTCTTGTTTTACGTATTCGTTACGTTGTTTGTTTGATATAGATCAGCTGTTCAGCACCTACTGTCTCTCAACATGCTTAGTGCTCTTAACCCTAAATTCCACATTGCCTGACGCTACCATGCATGCATGCTTTTTTGTTCACCTGTCATCACTATTCTCACCCCTTTAAGGGCAACCTTTTATTATCACTTTATGTGTGTTTCTTGGAAAAAAGTTATTGCTAGTTTTTAAACCCAGTCTGCTCATCTCTGCTTTTAATTGGGGAATTCAGTCATATTTGATACGAGATATTCACTTCTCAACTACCAATTTCAAACAACATTCTCTGTATCCTCTCTTATCCCAATAAAATGAGGTTTAAAGTGAAGTTTTGAGTATTTTTACTCCCCCTTTCTGCATACTCCCTACTTTTGTTTATTTTTTGAAACAGGGTCTCACTCTGTCACCCAGGCTGGAGTGCAGTGGCATGATCTCGGCTCACTGCAGCCTCCACCTTCTAGGCTCAAGTGATTGATTCTCCTGTCTCAGCCTATCAAGTAGCTAGGACTACAGGTGCGTCAGCACACCTGGCTAATTTTTTTATTTTATTTTTTGTAGAGATGCGGTTTTCCTAGGTTGCTCCTGCTGGTCTCCGACTCCTGAGCTCAAGTAATCCTCCTGCCTCAGCCTCCCAAAGTGCTAGGATTGCAGGTAAGAGCCACTGCACCTGGCTCCTACTCTTTTTACTGAAACAATTTATCTTTAGTTACAGCTTGGTATCAGAATTTCTTTCATTGTCTCTCTCCTCATTCAAATGTCCTCACCTGGCACTTATTGTACATTTCTAGATAGCCTCTCCTCATCCATTTTACTTTTAATTTTAGATCTTCCTCTCCTGGTTCATTACTTGCCACTATCTCTGTCCACCTTGATGTCTCTAATCTGGCTCATCTGATGTTTGTCTAGTATCTTTCCTTAGGTGTGGCCCATGAGTGATGGGCTCCCTGAGTTCCTGCGTACCCGTATATCTTTCTTTTGTCCTGACAGGTAAATGATGTCTTGCTTGGGAATAGAACCCTTGGAGCGTGTAGATGGGATACCACGGTCTTCCAGCTCCTATTGCAGGTGAGAAGTCCACTGTCAATTTGATTAGTTTTTCTTAAAACTTGGAGTGCTGGAACTTTATCACTAGTGAAGAGATGTGTCATTTCTCATCAGTTTAGCCTGGACTTGTAGATTCCTTTTAATCTACAGGATTAAGTTTCTTCAACTTGAATATTTTATTGGAAACTTATTTAATGTTTGACTCCGTTCTAATAGTTATCTTTTCTTTCTAAACTTCTGTTCTTCCCACTTCACGGCTCAACCTCTTCATGGGTTTGCTCTGTGATTTGAGAGAGCTTTTCTTGTTCTTTATCTTTCAGACTACTATTTTGGGTCTCAGTAGAAACCATGCATTTTTCTTTTTTTGTTTTTTGAGACAGAGTCTTGCTCTGCTGCCCAGGCTGGAGTGCAGTGGTTCCATCGTGGCTCACTACAACCTCTGCCTCCAGGGTTCAGGCGATTCTCCTTGCTCCTGAGTAGCTGGGACTACAGCTGTGCACCATCACGTCTGGCTAAGTTTGGTATTTTTAGTAGAGACGGGGTTTCACTATGTTGGCCAGGCTGGTTTCAAATGCCTGACCTCAGGTGATCTGCCCACCTTGGCCTCCCAAAGTGCTGGGATTACAGGCGTGAGCCACTGTGCCTGTTCACATTTTTCATCTATTGCAGTTTTAAACTGGGAAATCTTTTTTGTTCTTTTTCTAGTGGCCCCTCCTCTTGAATTTTCTGAAGTGCTTTCTTATTTTTTGTTGGTATTTCTGGCAGCTGTATTTCTTTGGGCTGGTACTCTGTTCTGAGTGGCCTTTATTGTGGTGTCCAGGCTCTCTGATAGGTTATTACTATTTTTTGTCACCTCACTGGACCCAAGAATGGTTGGTGGCTTCCCCAGTGTGACAGTGGCCTCAGAGTATAGAAACTGAAGTTGTGAGTGATGCAGAGGTGCAGGTAGGTGGTCAGTCCCTAGAAGGAAGCTTCTCCAGACCCTGGTCTTTCTGCCCTCTTGCCAGTCTTGGTTCCAGAGGGTTCTACAGGGGAGTTAGCTCCATTTGCAGCCCTTCTCACCTTGGGTTCTGAGAGAGAGAGAGAGAGACCCTAATCTCCAGAGGCATCCATTATATGTAATGAATTAACTTTTCTCCTGTGCACCCAGAATGGTTCTTTGCACCATCTTTGGGAGAATTGAGAAAATGGGCATTCAAATCACTTTACAGGGCTCATTCCTCTTATGGATCCCTGATGGGCAAGGCTGGGCAGGGCATACTCAAATTGCTCAAGTCAGGGTTGCTATTGACCTTTCTTGGCTGATGGGGGAAGGGATCCCACGGATCTCTGGAGCCCAAGCTCTACCCAAGGGAGTGCTAGATGTTTGGGCTCCAGAGCCACACTGTCTAGGGTGGACTATAGGCAAATTATGGAAATTTTCTGTAACCTAGCACACTGTAAGCACTTGGTAAGTGGGCTTTTGTTTACAGATATAATTGCTGCTGCTTCTCCTTCTTCATTGGCTAACATCTGCTGCTTGCTTTGACACTATTCTTCAGCCTCCCTTCTGGACCCCAGAGCCTCATTCTGTTGGGACCCAGGAGCTATTGGCTCAAGAGAGGCAGGATTGTGGGGCTGGATGGGGATTGGGTGCCACATTCTGATTGTTGTGATGTCAGAATCCTATTCATCATCATTATTGCTGTCATCAATTGCCTGTGAGGGGCATTGGCCTGAGGCTGTTTCCTACTCTCTCCTTGAGCCTTTATGGATATATTTTGGATAAATGTAATTAGCTACCCGGGGAAGCAGGAGATACTTATTTTATAGGGAGAGAGTTCTTCTCTCAGTGGAGTGTGGGTATCAGCCTCCATGTGCTCAACATACCTGGAGACTTGGTCGGGACTTGTGCACGTCCCCCCAGCTCAGGACCCACACTTGGTCATGTGACTTGTCATAGGACAGCTTAGCCGGCAGAGGGTCCACACCTATGGACTTGAAAAAAAATAGTGACATGTTGTGAAAGCTGACATGATGGTCATTTCTGGGCGTTGTATGCATGGGCATCACTCCTGGGCGAGGGGAAAGCCAGTCTAGAAGCCTTGCCAATGGTTCCATTTGGGAACCCAGGGCAGAAGCTTCCCCTCTGTCTTTTTTCTCAGAGGCATTATTATTATTATTATTATTATTATTATTATTAATTTTTGAGACGGAGTCTTGCTCTTGTTGCCCAGGCTGGAGTGCAATGATGTGATCTCGGCTCACTGCAACCTCCGCCTCCCAGGCTCAAGAGATTCTCCTGCCTCAGCCTCCCGAGTAGCTGGGATTACAGGCATACACACCACGCCCTGCTAACTTTGTATTTTTAGTAGAGATGGGATTTCTCCATGTCGGTCAGGCTGGTCTCAAACTCCCGACCTCAGGTGATCCGCCCACCTCAGCCTCCCAAAGTGCTGGGATTACAGGTGTGAGCCACTGTGCCCGGCCCAGAGGCATAAAATTAGTGGTCAATAATGTTCCTTATTTTCCTGCATGTTACTTAAAGGGACCTAGACCAACATGGCAAAAGTCTGAACACAGAGGCTAAGTTTTTCACTCAGGAACCAGCTCCAGGGTTCCTTCGTTCTTCCTGAAAGTCTTGGACCCTCAGCATCCTTCCCTAGACTACTCTGTGGCCTAGATTCTGGTGAGTTGGTCCTTCCTCCTAGGTCATCTGAGGTGGACTTTGAGATCATCCATTATCACCCCTCTCTATCTATCTTTGTTCTACTCTGGGCAGTTTCTATCTTGCACAGCCTTTGACTGGCGCCTCTGGGTCTCAGACTATGGCATCAGCAGACGTGCTCTTTTTTAACTGCAGTACTGCTATCCCCTGATGATATAGCTTCTCCTATGGCCCTGTCAAATGAAAGCTGTTTTCTACTTCTTATAGATTACAAGCTCAAAAACTCTGTTCTATAATGCTCATGCCACTAGACTATGGCCCCCTGCTCTTCTTCTTGTCACTGGTCAACATTCTAGTCCTCCCTTTGCTGTCTTCCTCTCTACTACTCACTTGGTCACTAAGTTTGGTGCCTTCAATCCACATGGAAGAGTCATCCAAAGCCCTCCTTTTCTTAGTTCCTTCTTGGTTTCAATGATCTTTTCCTCCTCCCCACCTCAGCCACCTTATACTTTGTTTTATTTCACCCACTCATATTCTAGTATTCTAGTCTCTCCGATGAGGGGGAGAAAAACTGCATCATCTCTGCCTCCACTGGTCAAAACTTTTCTAAAGAAGTAAGCATTTCTCCTTAACTCACTTTCACCAAGTTTCTGAATTCGTGCCGAATTCAGAGACCATTCTGTAATCCTATTTGACATTTCAGTAAGATTCCACATGATTAAACCCTTACATACCCTTCCTTACCTCACGTGGCCTCCCGCCTCCCTGGCTTCTCCTCTTCATTCTGACTTCATCTTTGACTGTCTTCTCTCTTTCACTGGAATGCCATGGCTTCTAATAACCCTCTATACTCTGATGACTCTAGAATTCATTCATCTGTTGATGATCTCAACCTAACGTATAGAGAATTGAACTCTTGATTTTTCCCACCCTGCTGAAATATATCTCTTCTCCACTCATCACCATCTTTGAAGTCTCCCTTTACTCTCTTGCTTTAATTACTCTCTTGCTTTAATTAAAAACTCTTGTCCCCTGAGCCTTAAGTAGAGGCTGCTTTTTATTTTCTAGACTTTACATACCCCGAGGCCTTTGTAGCCTCCAGCTACCTGTATTTGTTCCTGCCAGTTTCTCTTCATTCACCAAAGGCTTTAGCACCTGACACTGTCTTCCTCTACTGAGAGCTTCCTAACCCATCAGTAATGATACCATCTTGACAACACATTCTCCTCCAGCTATCCTGTTAAACTTCCCTCAAGTTTGGACTTTAGCTGTTCTCTCTCCTTTCTGCTTAACCTTCTCCCATTGGATTTCATACTCTTATTCTAAGGTGGTATGGAGCAGGAGTCCAGAGAACTTAAGCCAAAAATCATTTAAATTGAGGACAGAATTTTTCACAGTCTCAATGTGCTGAGCAGCAAGGCTATGGCAGCCAAGAGATCTGATCCTGGCAAACAAGCCCCAGGATTAGGGGCAAATCAGAGGCAGGCTGAGCCCTACAGAAGCTTCAACTCAGTCTCTACTCTCTTTGCCTAGCAGAGGAAAGTGTAATCTTCTATATAGAGTGTTTGCCATTAAAAGGTTTATTAGAAACAGAAGATAGGTTGATAGAACATATCCAAATTGAAGCAGAAAGAGACATGTGAGACCCAATGGAAAGAATGGAAAGTCCTAACTTTTTTTTTTAAACAGAGTTCCCAAAGAAGAGGTGAGAGAGAACGAGGCAGCAGAATATATGAAAAAATAGTGGCTGACATTTTTTTTCAATCTTTTGAAAGATATCAGTATACATATTCAAGAAATACACATATTCTTTGTAAATCCCAAATCATAATACAAAGAATGCCATATGCACACACATAATAAACTGCTAAAGATCACGGAGAAAAATCTGGAAAGTAGAGAAAAATGATACAGCACCTTCAAAATAGCAACAATAAGACTATCAGCAAAAATAACTGAAGATAATGAAATGATACCTTAAAATGCTGAAAGAAAAGAATCGCTAACATAGAATTCTATACTCAGTGAAGAATAGAAAGTAAAGATTTTTTTTTTTTTTTTTGAGACGGAGTCTCCCTTTGTCACCCAGGCTGGTGCAATCTTGGCTCACTGCAATCTCTGCCTCCCAGGTTCAAGTGATTCTCCTGTTTCAGCCTCCCAAGTAGCTGGGATTATAGGCCTGCACCACCACGCCCAGCTAATTTTTGTATTTTTAGTACAGACAGGGCTTCACCATGTTGGTCAGACTGGTCTCGAACTCCTGACCTCAGGTGATCCACCTGCCCTGGCCTCCCAGAGTGCTGGGATTACAGGCATGAGCCACCGTGCCTGGCCTGAGAAATACAAAGTAAAGTAAAGATATTTGAAAAGAAAAACTGTGAGAATCTGTTTCCAACAGATCTTCAAGCAAAGTTGGTGTTAGAACTATTCAGGAATTAATGGCAAATGTGTGGGTGAATATAAATTAATGTCCTGTGGGGTTAAATTACATATACAGATAAAATTCATTACCACAACAATGCAAAAGTAAGGGGGAGGAGGGTTGAAGGAGTTGAAGTGTTTTATGGTTCTAGCATTATTGGGGATATTAAGTAACAATTTGTATGAGACTGTATTGATGCAATGATGCATGTTATAATCACTATTATGTTAACAACATAAAAGAGTGCATCGTCAACAACAGAATAATTAAAATGTTTGGCAAATCCACAAGAAAGCAAAAAGGAGAAAAAAGCAACATAAACAGGTAGGTCAAATAACAAAAGTAACATAGTAGATAAAAATCAACTATATAATTAATTATGTTAAACATAAATGTATCAAATACTCCAAGTAAAAGACTAAGATGATTAAATTAGATAAAAACCCAACTACACGTGGCTTTATAAAAGAGGACCTTAAATATAATGACATAGAAAGGTTGAAAGTTAAAAGGAGGGAACAATTATACCATGAGAAAACGAATTAAAATAAATCTGATTTAGCTATACTAGTGTTAGACAATAGATTTTCAGGCAAGCAGCATTACCAGAGATAAAGAGGGATATTTTGTAAGAATAAAAGGAAAATGATATAATTTTAAAGCAAAAATGAGTAGAACTTTGCGAAATATAGTGGAAGATGTTAACACACCTCTCTGCAGCTGATGGACTAAGCAGACAAGAAAATCACCAAGGATAGATCTGAACAATACAATGAACCAAGTAGACATAATTGACACATATATAGAATACAGTATCTAACATCAGAATGCACATTCTTTTAAAGTACACATGGAACATTTACCAAAATTGGTCATAAACTCAGTCATAAAACAAGCTTCAATAAATCTCAAAGGATCGATATTATTCAGAGTATGTTCTCTGGCCAGGGGAATCAATAACAAAGAGGCAGTTGGAACATGTCCCATTGTATTTGCCAAGAGAAACACGACCCTGGCTATTTCCAACTTTCTTCATATAACAAGCCTTTACTGGGGAAACTGAGCATTGTTGAAGAGATCCAACTCTGGTCTCACTTTAAATTTATACCCACAATTCTTAAGTGGGCCCTCATTGTTGCCCAGCAGTCCTATCAGATTTGCCTGGCCAGTTCAGTCTCATGTTGAACTTTTACCTCTCTCTTCAAACCTCCAGGCTTGACTGAGAAAAAACAACTCAAAAAGAAGTTCATCTAACTACCACCCATTGCATCACCTATTGTACTTGTGCCTGGATGTAAGATATTCCACTTCCTCCTGTTATAATGAAAGGATGTGATTTTATCTGGGGCTAGATCTCCACTTGTGTGCTTTGGATTTCATTGACTCCTGCCTAGAGTCAATGCAGGATGAGGATGCAGGAGAGAAAGAGAAGAATTGTGGGAGTAGTTATTCTCAGTAGCATATAGTGCTGTAATGTCACCTACTTTAAAAAGTTCTTTTGTCATTCCCTTCCAGGCATTGCCTCATTTCTTTACATTTACTCACCTTTACAGCAAAACCCTTCCATATGATTGCCTGTATTCACCATCTCCATTTCCTCACCTACGATTCTAACTTGAATCCACTCCAGCAGGCTTGCATTCCACCATTATCCTATCTGTTCCTGCCAAGGTGATCCATGACTCTATTGTACCAAATCCAATGGTCAGTCCTCAGTCTTCATAACATACACATGCTCATCACAGCACAACTCCCTTGAAACACACTCTTCTTTTAGCTTCAAGAATATCTCTCTTTATCCTAATTTTTTCCTATCTTTCAGGTTATTCCTCCTTGGTCTCCTTTATTGGTTTCTTCTCTCCTTACTGATCTTTAAATGTTGGAGTGCTTCAGGACTCCAATCTTGACCTCTTCTCTGTCTATACCACCTCTTGGTAATTTCATCCAGTTTCCTGGATTAATACAGTTCATATGGTGACGATACCCAAATCGATATCTCTAGCTTAGGCCTCTCCTTTGACTCCAGACCTGTTTATCTAACTGCTTACTTGACTTCTCTACTTACACATCTAACAGTATTTTAAACTTAAATCACCCCCCAATCTGCTCCCTGCCTTGCCCGAAGTCTCTTCTCTTCTAACAGTATTTTAAACTTAAATCACCCCCCAATCTGCTCCCTGCCTTGCCTGAAGTCTCTTCTCTTGTAGTGCATTAGTTTCATATTGCTGTAGTAACCAATTATTAGAGATTTGATGGCTTAAAACAACACATTTATTCTCTTACAGTTCTGGAGACCAGAAAGCCAAAATCAATTGAAACCAGCACTCCTTCTAGAGGTTCTAGGGGAGAGTATGGTTCCATGCCTTTTTCCAGTCTCCAGAGCTGCATTTCTTGTATCCCTTGGCTTCTGGCCCCTTCATCCCATCTTCAAAGACAGCAATTCAGCATCTTGTTTCAGTTCTCACATTGCCTTTTTCATCTTTGCAGTCAAATTTTTCTTTGCCTCCCTCTTATAAGGACATTTGTGATTGCATTTAGGGCCCATCCAGGTAATCCAGGATAATCTCATTTAAAAATCCTTAATTGAAACACATCTGCAAAGTCCCTTTTGCTATATAAGGCGACATCCACAGGTTCTGTGGATTAGGATGTAGACATCTTGGGGGCTATTATTTAGCCTACCACACATTGTAAATGGTATCACCCTTCTATAGTTGCTTAAGTTAAAAGACAACTTAAATCCTTTTTACCTCAAGCCTTATATTCAATCTGTCAGAAAGAATCTATCAGAAAGTCTTTCAGGCTTCATGTTTAAAATATGTCAAGAAACTGATCCTTTTTCACCACTCCCACTGCTGTTGTCATCTCTTGCCTGGATTACATCAGACCAGATCCCTGCTCCATCTTCCTGTTCTTTTGAGACAGAGTGTTGCTCTGCTGCCCAGGCTGGAGTGCAGTGGTGTGATCTCGGCTCACTGCAACCTCCACCTCCCGGGTTGAAGTGATTCTCCTGCCTCGGCCTCCCGTCAAGTGATTCTCCTGCCTCGGCCTCCCGTCAAGTGATTCTCCTGCCTCAGCCTCCTGAGTAGCTGGGATTACAGGCACCTGCCACCACGCCTGGCTAATTTTTTTGTATTTTTAGTAGAGACGGGGTTTCACCACATTGGCCAGGCTGGTCTCAAACTCCTGACCTTAGGTGATCCACCCACCTCAGCCTCCCAAAGTGCTGGGATTATAGGTGTGAGCCACCACACCCAGCCCGTTTGTTAACACAACCACCAGGTTGATTCTTTAAAGATCTAAGTCAGATTGGATCAATCCCCTGATGAAAGCCCTTCTGTGACTTTCTCACTGAAATGTCCTCACTTTGGGCTTTGTTTTAGCTCCTGACTGGCCTCCGAGGCCCTGTGTGAGTGGGCCCTTGCTTGGCCTGACTTCATCCTCCCACTCTACCCTTCATCACTGTGCCTTCTCTCAGAGTCTCGGTCCTACCTGGCATCTCATTCACCTTGAGGGAAAAGGCCAATTGAAAATAGTCTTCCTGTTCCTCTTTTGCTTGGAACCTGGTTTTTCATAGTCCTTATTACTTATAGTTCTCTAAAATTCTGATTTATGGTCCCCAACTAGAATATGAGTTCTAGGGAAATTATTGCTCATTCATGGCTGTTTCCCTACATAGTAGACAATCAATACTTCACGAATAATTACACATGAATCTTTTCTCCCTTCAGTCTGACCACCTGGCACAGGAGCTGGGGAGTATGCAGAAAGCAAAGAAGAATGTGGCAGGCTGTGCCCCAGAATTTGAAGTTTTCCTCACTCCATTAAAGAGGTGTACCTGTAGGACTTTCTGGGCTTGGATGTCGACCACAAGGACTCTGCTCAGTGCTGGCTGGGCCACATAGATGTACCGGTTCCGGACATTGACTGCAGATACCCACTGGCAGGGCTGGGTTGCATTTTTTTCTCTTTGAGGACAGATTTCTTCCTGCAAAGGAGATAGGCTGTCATATATCTTCTTAATTGCCCTTTCCCTCCAACATCTCTAGGTACTCTCTCCCCTGACCCTCCTCTGTGCCTTTCTTCCTCTCTCTTAGAATCCTTTGGATCCATAGAACAGGGCACCCAAGCCCTCCAACATCACTGACTTCTCACTTAACATTCCTTTAATCTTTTGGGGCTAAAACTCCCTTTGCACCCGCTCAGTTAGCAGCTTCCAGGTTCATGTTCTTCTATTCTTACGCTATCTTCTCCCTCTCCTCATCTTCATTTTAAAAACTTCTGTTCATGGCCAAACTTCTGAAAGAGTTGCCTATACTCCTTCTCCACTTCCCACCTCTTGCATGCTCCTTAACACTCTGGCTCTAGTCCTCAGAGCTGACGTTGTTCTCCCCAAGGTCAACATGGACTCCCCACTTATTACATTAAACCTGTGTTGACTCCCTCTGTTCCCTCCCCTCCATCCTCCCTCGGCGGCTGATCCTCTGTTGCTGGACTCTGCTCAGTGTGCTGATCTCTATATGCTAGGGTGTCCAGGGTTCACGCCTAAGTTTCTTCTCTAAAATCCACCCCCTTGTTAATCTCATTGAAACCTATGGCTTTAAATACATTCTATGTGCTCACAACTCCCAATTCATACCTTTAGCCCAGGCCTCTTCCCCGAACTCTAGACTTCAATAACCAACTGCCTAGCTCCACTTGGTTGTTCAAAATCAACTCTTGATTTTACTTCTTAATCCTGCTCATTCTACTGAAAACCTGGCAAGTCTGCTGTTTTACTTCCATAGGCCAAAACCTTACAATCTAGTGAAGTGAGGCCATCCTTGATGCCTCTAACCTCAGGCCCCATCCAATGTCTCACAAGTCATTTCAGATTTACCTTCACAATATATCCAGAAATAGGCTCTGACCATTTCTGCTCCATCACCCTGGCCAGGTCACACTACCTGCCACTTAGGTGACTGCTATAGCATCCGTGTATGCTCCTGGATTCCACCCTAGCCTCCCAACCTGTTCTTGACCCAGCGGCCACAGGGATCACTGTAAAATTCAAGTCAGATCATGTGACTCCTCTTTCTCAATTCCCCCTCACTCCCAATAACATTATTTCTTGTTCAGAATAAAATCCCAAGTCTTTCCTACAAGGCCCTCTACATTCGGTCTGCTGCTTTTCTCTCTTACCCACCCTACTCCATGCCATGGGCGTGCTCAGCACTCCTCAATCACGCCGCTCTCCTGCACCAGGGCCTTTGCCTTGGCTGTTCCTTTTGCTTGGAATGTTCTTCCCCAGATATCTACAGGGTTTATTTTCTCATTTCCTTCAGGTCTCTGCTTAGTATCACCTTATTGGGAGGTCTTCTCTGACCTCGTCTATCTCAGCTCTCCTTGTACCCTTACTCTCTTACCAGCTGCATTTTCCATTTACCACTTGACTTTCTGCATTCATTTGTCTACCTGGGCACAGCCTTTCCTCCTTCACTAGATTGTAAGTAAGTTCCTTGAGGGCAGGTCTTTGGTTCACTGCTATATGATTAGCACCTAGTACAGTGCCTGGCACAGAGTCAGTGCTTAAAATGTATTTGCTGACAGAATAAATGAGTGTAAAAGGGGACCTTCTTTTCCTTTGTCTTACATGATATACAGTCTCATGGTTTTCCTTGCGATTGTGGCCCAACTCTGTCTGAATCTTCTTTGTGGTTCCTCTTAGTCTGCCTGTCCCTGAACTGTTGGTGACTCCAGGGTTCTGTTCCAGATACCCATCTCAAATCACTTGCACATGCCCTTGTCTGTCCCATTTGGCCAACACTCACATGCTAATGGCACCCAGATCTGTCTTTATCTCAGAACCTTCTCCAGCTCCTGCTTGGTTCTCTCATGCCACCCCCCATTCTCTCCTAGGTGACTGCAATAGCTTTGAAACTAGTCTCTCTCCTTTTACTCTTGTTCTCATATTTAATCCTTATATAATCCCAACTTGCCTATGAGACAACTGCAGCTTAGAGAGGCTAGGTAACTTTTCTAAAGCTACTTAGTCTACAGAGGTGGGATTTGAACCCAAGTCTACCTGACTCTGAAGGCTATGCCTTTATCTGTGACATCACGCTGCCTCCTTCTGGAAAAAGTAGACATCTAAGCCAGCAGAGAGGCCTGACGTGGGATGCCCCAATCTCCTACTCACCAGCCCTTCAGGAAGAGGCTTGTCCCATTGTAATTCTCGTTAGGTGTTTGAGCATTTTCTAGATGGAAAATCGTTCTTTGGGATCATTCCCCAGCTCACCACAGTCTTATATTGCCTGAAACACCTTCAGGACCTCTCTGTGTCTTGTGTCTAGCTTCTTATCCAGGAAAACTGAATCCCGGTTAGGATTTGAGAGAGTCCCTCCAAGTTACAGGTTAGGTTACTACAAATATATGAGAAATTTGTGCCAATGTGATGGAGTGCAATTATTTAAACCTAATTGCTGGAACTCTTTCTAACTGGCTTCATAGCTGTTATTAATATATGGAAGGAACATTGATGGGAAATAACACTTCTAAAAAATAATGAAATAACTCAAATGAAACAGCCTGGAAAACAGCTTTTCCCAAAGCCACAAATGAGAGAAATGGAACAGCCTGAGATATACCAATAGCTAGCACAGCAATGCTTTAGGAACTTGCCTGGGCCAAGCCCACTTCCTCCATGGGCTCCAAGCCCGTAACTATTCACTGAGTGAATTGTGCACAGTTATTTCATTCTGTACAACTGAGGACACACTGTATCCTCAAGGGGAAGGCATATGGGGCATTGACATGACCCTTTGGGATTCAACACTATAGTCCTGTCCTCAAGGAGCGCAGGGTATCCTGCAAGGCCAAGTGGGAAACAAGCCAGAGGAACAGAGGCCTGGTGTGGGGGCCACAGCCCTGGGGGAGGCCTCCTAAGGCTATCCTGGAAGGGCTTTCCTGGATCCTCTATCAGCAATCATGCTCCTGCCTCTGCCCACTGAATGTTCCATCGTTATTTTCTACCTGGCCTTAGTTTCCTGAAGGCTACTGAGAAAACACATGTTTGGCAGCTGTCTGTTCACATTGCTGTCTCCATCGTTTGACTGTGAATTTCTGGAGGCCAGAAACCCATTTGTACCACCTGGGCCTCACCTGAGGCTCAGTGCAGAGAAGTGGCTTCTGGATGAAGGAATGAGAATTTTAAATTCTCAGCCTCATCTATTCCTCTCTTAGCCTGGGAAAAAATTTGGAACCACACCACATATAGCAAATGGAATTTTAGAAATCAAATGGCATGCCTGGTTAAAGATAGACTTTTAGGATTTTGCCTGTGTATGATGTAGAAGCTGCCCCAGGCACAGTTACTTACATAGCTCATGAAAATCTTTTCCGTGGGTTTGAGGTGCCTCTGGATCTCACAGTCCACAGGATGGATGACGATGATACCGTCGTCGGAGAAGACATAGAACATGTTTCCCACGCTGAGGCCTGGGAGGAGCAAATGGAATGGGCATGCCCTCCAAGCAGTCGGCCCCTGGGCAGGGTCACACGCAGCATTGAACACACAAGAAACCGGCCACGTGGATGCATCTGGTGCAGGCACGAGATGCAATTCCTGGTCAGGGTGGGGTAGAATGAGCAGCCAGCTTGTAGCTGGATGGGTGCAGAGAGGGCCCCCCAGGACTATGAATCAGTAAAGCATGTCACAGGCTACGTACAGCTGCCCTAAGTCATCTAGAGTTGGCCACAGGTTTTCAGATAAAAGCCTTGGCTTTGATGTACATTTGACCTTTCCTGTTCTGAAAGGGAAAGCCTCCCTTGATTGTTTATAATATACTAGTCACATCAGGATGGATCAGTGGATGCCAAAGTAGCAAAGGCTTTCATTTGCTTTTTTAAACCCATGTATGTACAGTGTCACTTCCTGGAATGTGGAGTCTAAGAATGCTGCCCTTTGCCCAAACTCTGTCCTGGCTGTGCTGGCCAACCCCTCTTTCCAGACAGCTTGCTCTTACTTCTGTTCCCTGCCCCCCCACCGCCCCCCACCGTTTCTCTGGCAGCCCGTGCCAGGCAGCAGAACCTACACTCCAGTCATGCCCCCCTGACCCCGGCCCAGGGCTGTAGCTGTCTGGGGAGAAGGTCTAAGCAAACCAGCTGAGAAGGGGCCTTGGGGACCAGCTAGCTCAGCCTCCTTATTTTAAAGACAAACTGAGGTCCAAGGAGGGAAAGGGACTTGTCTGAGGCCACCCGTCTCTGTGCCAGAGCTGGAGCTAGACCCTGGGCCCTGCATTCTGGCCTCTGTCCCTCATTCTGTCTCTATAAAGGGGGAACAAGGTACAAGGAGATGTAAGCTCTAGAGTGCTCCTTCCCTCTCCCTGTCTTTCTGTCTCCTCCCGACTCTGTCTCCTTATTTCTATCTCCCCTTTCCCTTCCTTTCTTCATTTCTTTTAAATCTAGAACATTAAGATCTCTGTAAATTCTAGGGTAAATATGTAGAAAAATCTCTTTTCTAGTTTTTTTTTTTTTTTTTTTTTTTTTTTTTTTTTTTTAGCATGCTGAGAAAACTGGTATGCTGGTTTAATGGACTATCTGGGCAAGTTTTTAGTGAGTTAGAAAACAACAAAACAGGAATCACTGTTTTACTTTTTTCCAACAACTCTGCATGCAGTTTTCTGGGCCTTGGGTCCTTGGCACCCAGAGGCACTAATGTGAGTGGTCCTTGCTGTTGAACAAGGGGCTGACTCTATGATAAACCTCAGCCGCCTCCAGCGTCTGTGCTGAGACAGGCTCTGGGCAGGAGGGCTCCTGCCACCAGAAGCAGCTGGAACCCAGCCTCTCAGAAGCTGTGAACACCAGGGAGTATCCAGCATAGCTCTCCATAAGCAATCCCGGGGGAATCAGGGGCGCTGGGCAGCCTGTTTCTCAAAAACCAGATGAAGCTCAGCTCCCGCCAAGAGTCAGTCTTAGCTCCACAGCATCTCAGTGTTTGGAGCCAGCACTCCAGCACACACCTGCCCTGACCCCATCTATCTCACCCACAGCGGGAACTTCTCTTCTGTACTCTTTCACCTGACAAACTGCTTCCACGCAAACCTAGGGGCCAGAGGGGTCAAAGTCCCCACTAAGCCACAAACTCCAGGAACAGCCTCCCAAGTCTGCTTAGAAAATCGGTAGTTGGAAGAACCAACATAAGATTGAAAGCATAATAGAGCCCACATGGGGTTTGTGGCTGTAGCTACATTCTGGGCTGAGTGCAGTACCTTGGCCTTGCTCACAGTCGGCCCTGGAATATGAGGCTCAACAAACAGTCATTCAACAAGTAATTGACTTCACGGGATACCCAGCCTCCTGATCCAGCTCCCTGGAAGCTGCCTGAGTGTAGCTTCTGCTAAGAGGGCCCGAAGGAGCTGTTTTTGCTTTTGTCTGTTCTCCTCTCATTTCTCCTGTTGAGACTTGTGTGTCCCCTGAGGCCTACTGGCCTCTTCATTTTGGCTCCTTATCCCTATCTCCAGACCTTGAGTTTCAGGAGTGAAGGGTACAAGCTACCCAGGCAGTATTGAATTTGTTCACTGCTCAATTGTTCAATATACCTACCAACCCTATGCCCCAAGGCGGCTGTGGGTCTTTAGCGGGCACTGGGGTCTTTGTAGCTGATTTCACATTCCATGGGGCCTCTTGCATTCGTGGTAGGTCTCTACTTCTGAAACTTGAGACCCTTTGTAGTAACCTCCCCTAAGGAAAACACCACCTCTTAAACACTTGAGTGACTGTGCATCTCAGCCTAGATGCTGCTAGTTCAGCAGCTGTGAGAGCCTAAGGGGCCGCTGTGATCAGCGACTGTTGCTATTGACAGCAGTTCCTCGTTTTCTGGGCTCTGCCTTTGTTTTGTTCCCAGACTTATCATGTCAGCTTTAGTTCCTGACGTTCAGGAAATTGTTCTGAGTATGTGTCTGCATGCATATGCCAGACTGCAGGTAACACCGTGTGAAGTTCTTGAGGAAAAAATGAGATGGGAAATGTCTTGGTTTTCAAAGAGGGAGATTTTGTGCTTAACCCATCAATCACATGGTACCTCCTGCTGCTGCCCACTGAGCTGGAGAATGAGTTGCCACAAGGGGATTTGGACTCAGATCTGGTTGTGGGGACACAGTGGGGACTGGGACCCGGGCATGCACCTGCACCCCACACAGTGACTCAGGCTCTGCCACCAGCTCCCACACATGCCCACTATATTTTCAGCCATATGAAATTGTCAATCTTAGACCACTTTGATGCACAAAAATGGCAACTTCATATGGCTCAACTTACTAAAGATTTGCTTGATAAATATGTTTCTAAACATCTATACATTTAAAAATATACATTGGCAGAAATCATGGCAGCTTTTTTCCTCGGGTTTTCCTCAATCAAAGCATATTTAAGGTACAGTGACTATCTAGTAGAGATCTACAACTTGTTTTGTCTTTTTAAAACCACACAAGATAGGCAAAACACTAAACCCAACACCAGTCAGCTACTGGAAAAAAGTTTAAGGCCCAGATCTGACCAGGAACCCTTACCAACTGTTCTGCTTCAGCAGAGGTTACAAGCCACTTTTAATGAAAGCTTTGCATTTAAAAATTTCTCATTAAAGACAGGAGTACATTTTAAATTTGATTCAATGCATATGCCACTTGAATTTGACATTGACTTCCTGCTCCCATAGGGCTGCTTTGTGTGGGAAAGCTGGTGGCAGATCATGGAAAGACGGCCCATCATAGAACCAAACACACGTGATCACAGGCATGACGCAAAACAATGAAGCTTGGTACCTTCCTCTCGCCACAGGATGTTTGCAACTGCAGCAGCAGAGAATGAGGAAAGCAGGAGTGTGATGGAGTCAAGGAAAAAGAAGAAAGCAGTGTTAAACCGTCACTGCAGTGATTCCATTTATGAAGATCCTGGTACCTAGTCCATCACTTACAGAATCTATACCACTCATTGCCCTAGGAACAGTATCTTGGGGGAAGCTCTGGACATGAACAAATGCTTTCAGGTCTCCAGACCCTTTGATTCTTAAGTGAATCTTTGAAATCATGCCCTAGGACCACAGAAGCTAATGGAATTTCTCACATTTCATGGATGATCAAGAGTAAGCAACATCTCTCCCAGATTTCCTGGACAACCAGCAGGAGAAGTGACTTTCAACTAGGATTCTCCTAAGATGACCACGTGAAATACTTCTGATTATCTACTTTGATGAAAATGGCTTAGCCTGGAGTCTTTGACCATGATTAACACCCATGTCTATGAAATCACACCTGCAGGCCTACCTGGGGAGCAGTGGTTATGAGGAGAGCACGCTTAGCACACCGATGGGCTGGACCCCTAGTGTAAAGGCTACCACACTCCCAATGGTGTGCATGTGTGCACAGGTCAGGTTCTGGGCCACTGTGGGACATCACGTGGATGAAGGGCAGAGGTTCAGGGCATACAGCAAGTAAAAAGCAGAGCTGGGACTCGACTATTTGGGTTTCCTTGTGTTCCTGGGCTCTGTCTGCTGTCCAGGGAATCTCCCTGTCTGTTTCCAGAGTTGTCTAGGTTGCCAGGGAAGGCCTGCTCACCTCTGGGTGCCCTCCAATTCCAGCTTTATGCAAAGAGGGATATGAGGCTTACCCCTGTCTTCACGGGCTCATGGTTGGCAGCTGTGGCCCTGGTCAATTGGTGCCCTCCCTTGCCACCCAACACCTCCCAGCCAGCTCAGTGAGAAGCATAAACGCGTGTCGACTTACGGGTCTTTCTAGCTGAGTCTTCAATGAAGAGCGAGGAGATATCTTCATCCACACCCACTTCATTTTTGGCAATGCAGGTGTATGCCCCTGTGTCTTCATACCGAACACTGCTGATGTGGAGTTCGCTCCCATTGGCTGCAGACAGGACAGTGCTCAGGGTGGACTGCTCAGCTGGAGACCCACTCACTTTCCTTTATGGGGCCATTGAGAGTGTTAGGGCTGCCCAGCCCCTGGGCAGCCAGCAGCCCTGATTATACGCCCAGGAAGGGCTGGCACATCTGAAATGCACTGAGGGTGAGCTGGACCTGAGTGACAGCTTCTCATCATTGCTGTCAGAAAGCCCCAAAAGATCTGTGTGAGCCCAGATAACAGGGAAATTTGGGAGCCATCTGTTCACTCCTAACCTGTCTGACTTATAAACAAATTATACCTCTCGTTTCCATTCCTGGAGTCTCAGCTTGATTTGAATGGGAATATCGCATAGACGTCTACCAAGGGCAGTTCTTACCTAAAAGGGAGAGCTGTTTGGACATCTGAGTTGAGACATCCACGCCGTTTTTCAGCCAAGTGATTCTGGGCATGGGAATGCCCTCAGCATGGCATCTTAGGCTGGCTGCCACTCCAGGCTCCTGTGCCTGGCTCTCTGGATAGACACGGATGACTGGCGGCACTGTGGGTGAGAGTCAGTGCTGGTGAGAAAGAGACGGCCCTGACCTGGACTTGGGCCTGTGGCCCAACCTGAGACCCTGCTCCAGAGGGGGTGAACCCAAGTAGGTGACTGGAGTTCTGTGTTTAACCAAATTATAATAATCCTGTCCAGCAACGCAAGCTCTAAAAGAAAGGGCTATAAAATAGATTGCAGATAATAAACATGTCAGACTTTGTACCCTATGACTCATGGCTTTCATCATTATTCTAAATACGATCAGAAGGCCATCCAAATATTTAATGCTGTTCAGCTGCTACATGTAAAGAGCAGCAGCCACTGAAATTTATTTCTGAATAAAATTTAGATACATTCCCTTTCTGTTATCAGAAAGCCATTGGATAGGGGTTAATTTCTTGCAGGAAATGTATCAGAAAGCACTTATGGCACTGACTGGCAGGGCCTCTGTTCTGGGGAAGTTCATTCATTTTCCAGTGGGCCATTCTCATTTCTCCACTTCTCAACCCCTGGAACATGGGTGAAAGGCCAGGTGTGCCCTCCTCAGCTTGGAGTGACTCAGCCATGGGCCCTGGCAGTCAGGTTCAGGGTTGGGGGTGTGAGCCTGCCCACTCACCAGACGAGCATGGGTGGGCAAGGCTCCAGCACCCTCCACAGAGCTCTGGCCCTTCCTACCCAGCCTGGCTGTGGGGAGGGGCCTGGAAGAAGCAATGAGGGTCTGGAGGACCCTCCCTCTTACCCCTAGCTCTGGGTCCAGGAGATAAGTATCATTTTTAGTGGAATTGAGGGTTCTTCCTTATCTATAACTTTTACTTTACACACTTTCAAAAAAGATTTGTGAGATGTAAACATACCTGCATATTAAACTAAACTAAACACACTGTCCCTGGAGATGGGGGAGATGGATTCTTCTTGAAGTGGACAGCTACATTTTCCTAGAGTTATCTGGAACTCCCTGTTGTTCAGTTAAAGAAAGCATCCCAGTACTTTAGAATAGAGAAGATTTTTCTTGGAACCAGAGCATAGAACAAATTGGTACTTATGTACAAAAGGCAATGGTGTGGATCCCGGGACCTGAGTGGGGTAGAATTTTTGTGATGCATGTGGGGTGGGCAGAGGATAAAAGAAAAACTCCACGGCCTCCCTGTGAGAAATGAACTCTGTAGCTCCTGTCACAGCTCCTCAGGGGCTGCTCATAATTCCATCAACTCAGTCTGAATTTCAAATCTTTTCTTGATCTGTGGGACACAGTTGGAGGCAGAGGTGAAAGCTAAATGGACAACTGCCTAGGGAGACAATCCCATCCTCCAATGGTCCAGAGCTGTTTCAATAACATGAGCTCAGGGCACCCAATGCCAAACCACACAGAGACCCAAAACAATAAAGTCAGAGTCCTTGCCTCAGTTTTTCTTTGTTTGAAGCCCTGGGGGAGAATGCCAGGGAGTGGCAGAAAAGCCTGTCACAAGTCAGGCCACTAGGGGTGGAGGAGGTCCACGGAGCTCCAGCGGAGGCATGTCTGGAGGACTGCTTCCAACATAAATGTGTAGCTCTCTTCTCTGACCCGTTTGATCCAAAGAGGAAAGAAGGAAACTTCCCTGCTTGATTCAAAGAGGAAAGAAAGAAACTTCCCTATACCTTGCCTTGGGTAGAGGGAGGAGTGGGGTTCCCTTTGAATAGATAGAATTTTGGTCGGAATTCAGTAACGCAGAGAGAGAACCAGGAGTACTGGCCTTGGGGGTGGTTGGAGAAGGTGGTAGCATAGAGCCACCAGAGTTCTAGAATAGGAATGGCCAGGACCTGGGGTTAATAAGCTTGGGTTCTTACTAGATCACTGTCTATTTCTACAAGCCTGCCTGGCAACCACAGAATAAACTTAAAGAAAGAAGAAGAATCAATGGAGACAGAAGCATAAATGAATGAATCAACCAGAAAGCTGAAGAACAGAACTGGTAAAGAAATCTAAGAGCTGTTTGTAAAAACCAACAAAACAGCCAAATTCCTGGGATGTTTGATCAATAAAAAAATAGAAAAAGAACACAGAAGGGATTAAAAAATATGAGAATGCTGTATTCAATTATTGGTAATAAATGTGAAAGTCTCAGTGAAATGGATCATTTAAAAGGAAACTTTAGGCCAGGTGCGGTGGCTCATGCCTATTATCTCAGCACTTTGGGAGGCCGAGGTGGGCAGATCCCTTGAGCCCACATGTTCGAGACTAGCCTGGGCAACATGGCAAAACCCCACCTCTATCAAACATACAAACATTAGCCGGGTGTGGTGGCACACACCTCTGGTCCCAGCTACTCAGTAGGCTGAGGTGGGAGGATCCCTTGAGCCCGGAAGGTTGAGGCTGTAGTGAGCCATGATTGTGCCGCTGCACTCCAGCCTGGGTGACAGAGCAAGAACCTCTCTCAAATAATAATAATAAAAATAAAAAAAAGGAAACTTGGAAGTACCAGCATTGAGTTAAGGAGAGAATATTTAAAACAACTGTAAAGTACTACTAACTCAAAAGGCACTCTGACAAGTTTTATCAGACAATTCCTTCATTCATTTAAGGAATGAATAATCCCTAGAGCATGGAACAGGGAAGATGTTCCAAATTACATCATGAAGGTAGCATAACCTGGACACCAAAACCTGGCAGAGAATGCAAAAAAGACTACACACTGATCTCACTTAGGACGTGATACACCAAAATTCTAAGTAAAATATGGACAAGTCAAAACTAGCATGGTATTAAAAGAACATACTGTGGGCAAGGGTAATATGTTTCAATGGCTAACTATTAGGAAATCTACCATTAATCATTCCAAAGTCAAGGAGAAAAACCATTTGATTCTCTTGCTAGACACTAGAAGGGCCTTTGAAAAAAGTTCAAAATCAATTTCTTGGGGAAAATCCCTCAATAAAATAGGAACAGAATGATATTTTCTTCGTGCAATGCAGAATATCTCTATAAAAAGAAGAAACGACACCATTCTTTTTCAAATGGTGAAACATTAATTTGGGAAAAAAGAAAAAGGACAAAGGAAGAGAGGCAATACCAGACTCCCAATGTCACACTGGATGTTGTCAATGGAAGGCAAGAAATGAGAGGCACAAATAGTACAAAGATGGAGAAAAATCATATGTAGTTATATCCAGGTAATGCACCAATAAAGTTATAAGGATTAATTGGTACGTAACGAGGCCAGTACTAAAATATACAAAATTAACAGCTTGCTTATACACCAGCAATGGCCAGACAGAAAATATAATGGAACTCAATGAAGAAAACAATATAACCTCACTGATGACATTAAAAAAGGCTTGGATAATTGGAGAGAGATGCTCTTGGATAGAAAGACTTAATATCGTTAGGAAACAAATTCAAAATTAAGCCATATGTTTAATCTAACTCCAATTAAAAAATCAGTTGGTAGGTGCCAGGCACCGTGGCTCATGTCTGTAATCCCAGCACTTTGGGAGGCTGAGGTGGGCGGATCGCTCGAGTCCAGGAGTTTGAGACCAGCCTGGGCAACGTTGTGAAACCCTGATTCTACCAAAAATACAAAAAATTAGCCAGATATGGTGGCATGCGCCTGTAATCCCAGCTACTTGGGAGGCTGAGATGGGAGGATTGCTTGAGCCTGGAAAGTTGAGGCTGCAGTGAGCCTAGATCATGCTATTGCACTCCAACCTGGGCAACTGAGGGAGACCTTGTCTTAAAAAAAAAAAATCAGTTGGTCAGGGCTTGACAAAACAATTCTGAATTTAGAAGAAAAAATATCCAAGAACAGCTGAGGAAATTTTGAAAAAAGGGAGTGATTGTCATTTTGCTATATCAGATATTACAAAGTTAGATAATACCAAATGTTGCAAAGTGGGGTGCAGGGAGAGAGGACTGAGGAAGAGCTGAGGGCGTTCTGAGTGTGGCACCGCCTTAATGATCTTGATGCATTTTACAAAGCTGTCAATTCAATACTGTGCAGCCAAAGTTTACTAAATGCCAGCCAAGTGTCAGGCAATGTCACACATAGAAGTGGGGAGATAGCCTCAGGCCCTACCCTCATGGAGCTTTCTGTCTGGGGGAAGTGATTCAAGAATGAACCATGAGTGAGACAGTCACTTCCAGAGGGAGCTTTGGGAGCACAGGGACAGTGGTCCCAGAAAATTGTCAGAATAGGGAACAGACTCCACCCTCTCACTTCACCCAGGAAGTGCTTCCTGATGTCTATGGTGCCTGTCCTTTTACTGGCGGTGGGCTTGTCCAGTGAACTGGAAACTCAAGGAATGAGCTTGCCTCTGTATGGTGGGTGGTACACCGGCCCCTCAGTGAGGTGGCCAGCACCAGGGCTGGACACTGGCCTGTGCCTCAGCCCTGGCCTCTGATAGGAATCCTGCAGACCCACATGAATCGCATAGGGGCAGGTCGGGGGAGCCTGGTAAAGCACGATGCTGGGCTCACCCCCAGCGTCTGATTCCTAAGATCTGAGATGGGGCTGGAGGATGTGCATTTACCTAACAGGTTCCAAGGGAGACCCTGAGTCAGTGGTGACTTGGAAGCTCTCCCAGACCAATTCAGGGCTAATTTTGAACCGAAGTGCATGCCAGTGTTCTAGAACAAAATGAAACCTGCCTGCAAGTCAAGGGTGTGGAATGAATCATTCCCTTAAAAATACATGACTAAATGCAAGACACCTGGGTCTCCATTAGCAGGGGCAAAAAGATGGCTCACATGTGCTTAGAGTGAGATGCACCCTCTGCTGGTCTTGAGGTTTTTTTGAGCCAAAGCGGGTAAGATGACTCCTCACTGGCCTCCAGCCCTTCAGCAGGACTAAAGAGGGGGCCTCAGATCTGCCTGCTCCACCTCCGGTGCCCCTGCGTCTCCCCAGTTTTGCCCCAACTCTCTACTGGGGATCACTAGGCCTCTTCTCCTCCTGCGCCTTATCCCAGATCATGCCAATCTCCACTAGAAGCCTAGGCCTCTGGGGCATCCCTCCTCCCCAGAACCTTCTGTCGTGCCTTCTGGAACTCATGTTCTGTCATTAGCAACATCTCCCACATCCTCAGACTCTTCTATGAGCACTCCTTCACCTTCTTGCTCTAGTGGAAACCTGGCTTCCTCCTGAGGACGCAGCTTCTCCTGCAGTGGCTTCAGGGGCGGCCCCTTCTCTTGGTACCACTAGGGTGGGAGGTGGGGTAGGCGTCCTCCTGGGCCCACGTTGCCACTTCTAGATCATTCTCGTGTCACACCCACCTCCTACCTAGACACCACCCCAGCTCGGACATAGCTCCCACGCCTCTCACTCCTGCATCCTGGTCCCCTTTTCTACTGGATTTTTCCTGTTAGCCCACAGAATGCTTTTATTTCTCCTACCTTGGAAAAAAAAAAAAACCCTTCTCTTTATCCCAGTTTCTCTCTCAACTATGCCCCATTTTTCTCCTTGAAAACACCCTGAAGTGTTGTCCATACTCAAAGTTAGAGCCAGCTCTGGGCAGCTCCTACCCGTGCCAGAGCTCTGGATCCAGCCTCCCACCAGGAGGATGGAGCAGTGTGGACAGGGAGGGTCTACGTGGGTGTGTGAAGTTCCTGGGGCCCTGCCAGGAAAGGTGGAGACCAAGCTCTCTGCCAGCAATGTGGCAGAGACCCAACTCTTTCCTTTGGCCCTGATATCCTCTTTTGCTTTTGTGTTAATCCACACATTAAAAATAATGTGAAATTAATATATCCTAGGCACACACATTCATTTTCTTTTTTCTTTGAGATAGAGTCTCCCTCTGTCGCCCAGGTTGGAGTGCAGCAGTGCTATCTCAGCTCATTGCAAACTTCACCTCTCCGGTTCAAGCAATTCTCATGCCTCAGCCTCCCAAGTAGCTGGGATTACAGGCACGTGCCACCACACATGGCTAATTTTTGCATTTTTTGTAGAGACAGGGTTTCACCATGTTGGCCAGGCTGGGTTCGAACTCCTGGACTCAAGCGATCCAGCCTCAACCTCCCAAAGTGCTGTGATTATAGGCGTGAGCCAGCACACCGGCCTCATTTTCTCTTAAATTTGAAAATCTTCAAGTGAAAATATTTGCATCCATAACACAAAGGCCCGCTGTCTTTGGGAAACACCGACCATTCCCAATGTGAAAGGCAGCGTAAATAGATCCTTAAGAGGCACAGTCACGAAAGTAGCATGCGGGAGTAATAAACAGATTCAGGAGGTTATTATTGTGTTTTTGGGAATGAATCGCTACTTGTCTGAACTGTGGGGAGGTCAAGGGTGTTTTTAATTTAATGGATTAATCATTTATGTCTGATTTCTTTTTCCTTCCTATGAAAGCAATGCAAGAGGTTTACCCAAAGTTATAAATCACGTCAGTGCTCGGGCCGCATCTCTGGGAGGTCTGGGCTATGGGCAAGTTATACTAATAATTTGAGAGAGGAAGTAGTTGCTGGAATGGTTTCTTTAGTCAACCAAATCAGGGCAGAGTCATGGAAGGGGAAGTCCCAGAAGGTGGTGGCCCCGCCTGTGCATGGAATCTTGACCCCACTGCTGGCAGTGTGGCAGCTCCAGGGAGAAGCAGCCTATATTCTATTCTTGGCTTGAACGTTTTCTCTGGGTCTTGATTTTCCAAACTGTATAATGGGAAGGAGGCTCTCTGAGGGGCCACCAGCTCTGACCATCTGTGTCCACCAAATATAGCTAAATTTGGCTTGAGTTACACCAACAATCACCCCCGTATCTACCCTACCTTGGACTGTGAACTACATCCTCTGCCAGGCATTTCCCAAGCATTATATACATATTCTATTTCATCAGACGAGGTTGAGGCAGCCAGCAGTGTGACCTAGAGGTCAGAGTATGGGGTCTGGATCCAGAGCAACACCCAGCAGTTGTGTGACCCCAGGCAAGTGACCTTTTTTAGCAAATCATCCATGAACTGGATTAAGATACGTGGATGGGAAGGTCCATGTGAAGGGCTGAGTACAGGGACTGACCAAGGCAAGTGCTGGGAAAACCCTGGCTACTGTCATCAGGAGGCAGTGAATTCTTCAGTTTCTGGGACTCCTGGCAACACAGGGCCTGTGAGAATCAAGGAAAAGCTTCCAAGCCTCAGTTTCTGTCCTGGCTTGGCTAAGATGAGGCTCATTGGGCCTCCTGGGGAGGGAGACGGACACAAGCCCTTGTCGGAGGAAATAGAGCCTCCTAATTGAACAAGTGATATGGTTCCATACCACCTGGAAGGAGTGGTGGATTTCAGTTTCTGCTCGCACTAGACCCAGAGGCCACAGCGGCTCACCAGCACTGTGTTGCCTAAGGGGCATGCTCCATGCTCCACACTGTCTGTGGCAGCCCCAGCTGCTGAGCGTGACTGGCCTGAATGGCTCACGCCATGGCACTTGGATTTGTTTCACCTGTGGAGGCTTTGGGTGGAGCCAAATATGAAAATTGGTCAACAGACTTTGCCCTTTCCACACGGTTCCCCTTTACTTATAAGAGAGATGATATATTTTGGGGTTAGATATTTCTTTAAGAAGACAGAATACAGGAGGGGGCGAGGGTTGATCTGAGCAGCAGTTTGGGGAGGCTATGAGGGGACAACATGCATGGAGCCATTTACTAACCATTCACCTGCAGGACGTGGGTCTGGAACAGCTGCTCGTGGCCGGAAGCATGGCAGGTGTAATTGCCCATGTGGATGGTGGTCACCTTGGTGATGTACAGGGAATCATCCTCTCCAAAGTCCTGCACAGGGCAAAGATGACGATGAGACTGGCCTCTTTATTGAACGGGCTGGAAACCATAGCTGTCTCCTGGTTTTCCAGAAATCCTGCAGCTGGGAGAGAGTTCCTTTCTGCCTGGCCCTTGCTCAGCCAGAGCTGTCTGCAGGGGTGAGCCGTCCTGGGCAGCAGCAACCCCATCTTGCCTCCACATTGTGGGCCCAGACCTCTGCATCTGTTTAAGGCCTTGTGTACCTGGCCCCTCCTCCACGAGGCCCGGTTTGAACACATCCCCCAGCACACGCCCTCTCAATTTCAAGCAACTAGGCCCACGTGTCCCCCCATTTACCGGCTGCCTGCTTGATTCTCAGGGGTGTTGCTCACCTGATGAGCAGCTCTGTTTCCGGAGGCCAGGCCTTGTTTAGAGCGGGGGTTAGCTGACTTTCTTAAGGGGCTAGCGAGCAGATATTTTTGGCTTCATGGGTAGCACAGTTTCTGCCAAATACCCAACTCCGCCACTACAGCATGAAAATAGCCTTCAAGACACATAAATTAATGAACGTGGCTGTGTTCCACTGAAGTTTTATTTAAAGTTGGTGGCCTGGATTTGGCCCATGGGCTGCAGTTGGCCTGCCTATGGTTTAGATCCCACCTCAATCCCAGCATGATTTCAGGCTGCTTGCAGAGATCTTGGTAACCCAAGGGAAGGGAAATAGAACTAAAGGGAAAATGGGGCAAACAAAAAAACCAGGGCAGGAACATCAAAGAGCACTAGGAAGGGCGGATGCCCATGGGTTCCACAGGAAATGGCTCAATAAGCCTCAGCACTGTCATCTCTGCAGCCTCACACGATGGGGTCTTACTGGGCCAGTGCACAGAGGAGGGATGGGCAGGAGGGGCTTTTGGCTGCATCAGAGTCCCCTGATGAGCACTGGGCACCAAGCACTTGCCCAGTCAGCTGCATTCCCTTTTGCAGACCTGTGCCCAATGCTGGCCCTTCCAGGCACCAACTACAGACATGCCAGGAATTGGAATTACCCGTTTTCTACAGAGAGCCCTCATCAGGTTGGGCCTTGGCTACCAAACATTTCCCAGGATATGGTGCTCAGAGCTGATGGTACAGAGAAGGCCCAGGCTCACTAATGAGCAAGGGGGTTGTGCACTGTCATCTGTGGGGAGTGATGGGAACTCAGGACATCCAGGATTTAGCTTGAGCTCTGCCATTGACCAATGTACCCAGTCTCTCTGGGCACTGGCTTCTCCACCTGTAAATTGTGGACAATATATACGGCCTGCCTGCCTTATGTGGTGTTGGGAGATCCGGTGAGAAAATGCATGTGAGTGTATTTTTGAATGTGGGATGCATGATATACACAGGGGATGTTATTTTTCTTGTTATTATTAGCAGAAGATGCAAAACTCCTCTTGACCCCTGGAGAAAACACCAAATCATCCCTCCTGCCTTTCCCTGGCCCTTTCTGAGCTCCCTTTTCCCACAGAAGCATTCTGGTGGCAGGAGAGAAGGCCGTGGTGGCATGAGGGCTAAAAGCAGCTGAGGGCAGCTCCCTGGGTCCTCCGCTGATACTCATGTGAGCTCCTGTTCCTGAAATGCTGATGTTCTCTCTTGCTAACACTCCAGAGGGCCCGGCCACAATGGTCCCGAAACCCCTTAAAGACACTTTCTGAGCCGGGCATGGTAGCTCATGCCTGTAATCCCAACACTTTGGGAGGCCGAGGCAGGTGGATCACTTGAGGTCAGGAGTTTGAGACCAGCCTGGCCAACATGGTGAAACCCTGTCTCTACTAAAAATACAAAACAAACAAACAAACAAAAAAATTAGCTGGGCGTGGAGGCGGGCGCCTGTAGTCCCAGCTACTCAGGAGGCTGAGGTAGGAGAATTGCTTGAACCTGGGAGGCGGAGGTTGTAGTGAGCTGAGATTGTGCCACTGCACTCCAGCCTGGGTGACAGAGCGAGACCCCACCTCCAAAAAAAAAAAAAAAAAAAGACACTTTCTGGCTAATTAGCTGGATGAAGGGGTGCCGGCCCAGAGTGAAGCTTGGGGTAGGGCAAAGGCAGGAAGGTAGATGGTGAGCACATGCAGCCTGCTTGCAGGGAGGGTCAGGATAAAAACTCCTAGCAGTGCTCTCAAAGAAGTAAAATGTTGCAGAGGGCTGCGGAAACCCTGAGAGTTTGTTGTGAAACACTGCTCTGCTTCAAAGAGCCCTTTTCTACCATTCTGCGGAAGCCTCCATGATAAAATAAAACACCAGATAGCTGATTTGTCCTGTATCATAAGAGTCATAAAAGGTTCATATCTAAGTTGTTTATGAAAAGTTAATGACTAGTCAATTCTGGGACCGACATATTTCTAGTCTAAGCTGTTTCCTGTGTCAAAACTTAAGTCTGGAGGAAAATCTGTTTAGCTTGGAGTCTCAGTGGTGAGATGGCATCCTGAAATGGTACAGCCATTTCAAAGGGAAAAGGGTGGCAGGGCTTGGAAACTCCTCAGCGTCCCAGTTGGTGGGTCCCAGGGCAGACACCATCCGAGAGGGCAAAAACCAGAGCTGCTTGCAGGGAGCCTGGCGCTGTGGACCTGCTGGCATTTTCCCTCCAAACTGCCTTCCTGAGCCTTCACATCCACAGCCCCTTCTCATGATGGCCCTTGAAGCTGGCCTCAGGCTCTGGCAGGCCCTGCCCTCATCACCACCTGTGTGGTGGTGTTTAGTCATCAGCACCACCACATTCCTCAGGTTGAGATGGGCCCTGGGCTCTGAGGGCTGTCCCAAGGCCACTGTTCCCAGATATCAACCTCAGGTTGATACCCATTAATACCAACATACGGTCTTCAAGAGGTTACCGTGTGCCGGGAACTTACACGTCACCTTGTATGTATTTAATCCTCAGGAAAAAAAAAACCCTGAAAACCCCAATCCAGAAAACAAAACAAAAGCCCAGTTCCCCAGGGGCTGAGACACTAGGCTCTCCTTGCAGATTCATTCAGAGTGGGGTCTTCTCTCACCACCTCCATCGCTCCTGCTCTGGCCAGCTGCCACCTTCCTGGGTGATGCCAGGGACCCCGGCTTCCGGCCCACAGACTCTGCCCTGAGCCAGCCACATCACGCCCCTCATACTCAGAGCCTTGTTTGCTGGGGGCCAGCCCCTCTCAGACCCTACTGCCTCGCACACTCCCCTTGCTGTTGCTCTAGTGTGCCAGGCATGCTCCCCTCCTCCCAGGCTGTCTGTCTGTCTCCCTCTCCTGCAAGTCTGCTCCAACCTTGTCTGGCAGCCCCATTTCTGGAGCCTAACCTCTTCCCCACACCCTGCTTGGCGCCTCCTGTGGACGCACTGCTGTGCCGCCTGCTGCTTTCTGTACTTACCTTGTTTGCTGTCTGTCTTCCCCTGCAGAATGTGAGCTCTGCAGAGGAGGGCAGGGAGGCTTGTGCCCTGTGTGCCTGTCACAGTCCTGGTGCACAGTGGGCCCTCAAAAAATAGCTGTCGAGGGGACTGTACAGGGCACCGAGCTAGGCTTTCTGAGGGGATTCTTTCAGTTTGACAGCCGAGGTGCCCACCTGCCTTCCTGTCCACTCAAATATTACCCAGCCACACAGGCTCAAAATGAGGCAGCTGGCGGGAGGAGCAGAGCACTGGTCTCAAGTCTCGTCCCCACTTCCCCACTTGTCCCCTTCTCCGTCCTGCAGCCCTCGGGAGAACTCGAGGCTCTTTTGCACTCCTCAGGCTGGGGCACGCTGGAATTGACCAAAGCTCAGAGCAGCAGGAAGAGATGGAAAAGCCCATCGCGCATGGATTCCCACCCGCTACTGATGACTTGTGCTGTGCCTCCAACACAGTCATTTAACCTCACTGTCTGTTTCTTTCCTGCTTACCAAGTACACATCCCTGCTCCCCAGGAGCAGAGACTTAACTCTTGGGCAATCACTCAGGTGCTGAGGGGTGTGTGTGTCAGCCCTTGGAGGACTTGAGGGGCTCCTGGGTGTGTTATGGCTCTTCCGTGAGAACCTAAGCATTACCTGTCTGTGGCTTCAGCTCGGAGGAGAAGCTGACTCTGTAATAAGTAAAATAACGTCTCTGGGTGAAAATGATAGGCATCATATAATTACAGAACAAAGCGCATATTGTTTTCTGGATATGAATACTGGCTACAGAAATCAAATTTACCTCATTGGATGTGAGAAGAGAAAATTACTTTAACAATTGATTTATAAGAAGCTACATAAAACTAAGCCTGCAATCCTTCCTCTCCTGAATGTTCTTTGAGATGCATCTGAATACTGCTATCAACGCTTGATTGCATCTCTGTACTTGTCTCTTTATGGATGGCTTTTTTTTTTTTTTGCTCTGATGCATAGAACTGTATTAGCAAAATCAAGGTTCCTTACAGAAATAAACAGATGTCAGATTAGACCATTCTTTGTATTGATGCATATCTGTTTTCTGGGAAAGAGACAATTTTAAAGACATGGTTCTCACCTTTTAAAAAGCGATTTTCTAAGTATCTGCCCTTAATAAAGAACACAATTAAATGAGACTTAAGTATTAAACAATAGTTAAGCAGAGATGAGATGGGGGATGTTGTCATAGTGATCCATGGGAGTCAGGTATATATGGAAATGAGTCATCAATACTGAATATTTAGAGACTAAATGTTCAACGCAAGGACTCCAGAGTAATATTAGAGTTTAGGTTAATGATACTGTCAATGTTACAAGTTCAGACTCAGTTGAGAAACAATTATTCAGAGCTTTTCCGACATTGCCCTCCTCAGGAGCACCCCTGGTTCTCTTTGTGGGAGGAGGGAGCAAAGGGGGGGTCTCTCCCCCAACAATCCTTCAATTCTGGCCCCCAGAATGCCACTAACTGTAGCATCTCACCTGCACAGTCAAATGCAGCAAACTTAAACACAGAGTGACATGTGGTGCCTCGGTGATGGCCATTCCTCGAACACGTCTAGACTTCCCTGGCCCTTATCCAGACCAAGCCAGGACCACATGCACATGTGGGTGAGCACACACAGGCATCCACATGGACACATGCAGTACATGCGAGTGTGCACATGTGGGTGAGCACACACAGGCATCCACATGGACACATGCAGTACATGCGAGTGTGCACACATGGGGGAGGGAGCGCACCCAAACATCTACATGGACACGTGGTACACATGATGATGTACACGCATGAGTGCACACACGTACCAACATACTGGCTCCCTAGTGCTGACCTTCCCGACCAACACTGAGGTTACGGCGACATTCACTTCATTCTAGTCCCTCATAGTGAGAGATGACAGCATGCTGGCAGCCCTCGCAGCCCTTGCTCGCTCTCGGAGCCTCCTCGGCCTTGGTTCCCACTCTGGCCATGCTTGAGGAGCCCTTCAGCCTGCCGCTGCACTGTGGGAGCCCCTTTCTGGGCTGGCCAAGGCGGGAACTGGCTCCCTCAGCTTGCCGGGAGGTGTGGAGAGGCGCGGGCGGGAACCGGGGCTGTGCGAGGGGCTTGTGGGCCAGCGTGAGTTTCGGGTGGGCATGGGCTCGGCGGGCCCCGCACTCGGAGTGGCTGCCAGCCGGCAAGCCCCGGGCAGTGAGGGGCTTAGCACCTGGGCCAGCAGCTGCTGCGCTGGATTTCTTGCCGGGCCTTAGCTGCCTCCCTGCGGGGCAAGGCTCAGGATCTGCAGCCCGCCATGCCTGAGCCTCCCCCACCCCCACCCCCCTCCCTGCCAACGTGGGCTCCTGCGCAGCCTGAGCCTCCCAGAAGAGCACTGCTCCCTGCTCCAGGGCGCCCAGTCCCATCAACCACCCAAGGGCTGAGGAGTGCGGGCGCACGGCACGGGACTGGCAGGCAGCTCCACCTGCAGACCTGGTGCAGGATCCACTGGGTGAAGCCAGCTGGGCTCCTGAGTCTGGTGGGGACTTGGAGAACCTTTATGTCTAGCTAAGGGATTGTAAATACACCAATCAGCACTCTGTCTCTAGCTCAAGGTTTGTCAACACACGAATCAGCACCCTGTGTCTAGCTCATGGTTTGTGAATGCACCATTCGGCACTCTGTATCTAGTTATTCTGGTGGGGACTTGGAGAACCTTTATGTCTAGCTAAGGGATTGTAAATACACCAATCAGCACTCTGTATCTAGCTCAAGGTTTGTAAACCCACCAATCAGCACCCTGTGTCTAGCTCAGGGTTTGTGAATGCACCAATCGGCACTCTGTATCTAGATACTCTGGTGGGGACTTGGAGAAACTTTGTGTGGACACTCTGTATCTAGCTAATCTAGTGGGGACCGTGGAGAACTTTTGTGTCTAGCTCAGGGATTATAAACGCACCAATCAGCACCCTGTCAAAACGGACCAATCAGCTCTCTGTAAAACAGACCAATCGGCTCTCTGTAAAATGGACCAATCAGCAGGATGTGGGTGGGGCCAGATAAGAGAATAAAAGCAGACCTCCGGAGTCAGAAGTGGCAACACGCTGGGATTCCTTTCCACGCAGTGGAAGCTTTGTTCTTTTGCTCTTTGCAATAAATGCTGCTGCTCACTCTTTAGGTTTACACTGACTTTATCAGCTGCAACACTCACCCTGAAGGTCTGCAGCTGCACTTCTGAAGCCAGCGAGACCACGAACCCACCAGAAGGAAGAAACTCCAAACGCATCCGAGCATCAGAAGGAACAAACTCTGGACACGCTGCCTTTAAGAACTGTGACACTCACTGCGAGGGTCCGCGGCTTCATTCTTGAAGTCAGTGAGACCAAGAACCCACCAATTCCGGACATAATAGACGGACTTGCCATCCTGCAAAGACCTGAGGAACCATCCTTTTTCTCAGAGTCCTCTCAAGAAAAAGAAGTCTCTGCAACTTGGAGCAATCTCTAAGTAGCTGTCTGAGCCCCCTGGAAGAGGGCTGTTGTGGGCAGCTGCATTCAGTGTGAGCAACCTGGAGTGGGCCTGTCCTCCTGCTCGTTCCCAGGTTCAGGCCTGGAAGAGGGAGTTGGAGGCATGAGAGAAGCCACTGTGGGGAGAGCACCTGGTTCTTCCAAGGCTCGGGGCATGTGTGGTCCCTGGCTGACTTGGGTGTCCTCTGGTGTGTGCGGTCAGTCTTCTTCTGACTGTGGATGCCAAAGGGGAGGCCCTTATCTCTTAGCGCATGACTCATCTCTTCGCGCATGACTCATCTCTTTGTGCATGACTGTATTATTCTCAGCGTGTCATGTGGTTCCTGTGCATAACTGAGCTCAATGAATATTTGCTGATTTCAGGGAGTGTGTTAGCCTAGGATGCTACCTCCTGGGAAGCCCTGAGAGGAAGGATAGTTAAGAATTCATATTACCCAGGGAGGTCTGGCCTTGCCCTCTTTGGCTACAGGGAGGCAATCTCTAGGCTCTGGAATGTCATGCCTCATAGGGGTCTCTTTATTTGCCTGGGGTCTTTGGGCCAGGTGGTACCAGTTCTGTCTCTAGAGGGGCTGGGGACGAGAGGGCAGCCATGTGGGCAGTATTTGAATGAGCTCCAGCAAAAGCTTTGGACACCGAGGCCTGGGTGAGCTTCTCTGGGAAATTGACACTGTGACAGTGACATGTCTGTGACTCCACTGGGAGAGGAGAACAGAGATTCCACGTTTAGAGCCCTCCTGGGCTCTGCCCTTTGGGCTTCATCACTTGGCTGACTTTAATCTGTACTCTTTTTGCTGTATTAAACTTTAACTGTGAGTATAACACTTACAATGAGTTCTGTTTTTCCAGCAAATTGTTGAACCTGAGGGTGGTTTTGGGAACCACCTGACTTCCAGTTTATGTCAGAAGTGAGGGTGTCTTCTGTCGAAGAGCCAACTTCAGTTGGCTCAAAAACTCAAATAGGGAAGTTCTGACCTAGTGGTATGCGTGTTGAAATTGCGTATAGGGACAAACCTGATTATCTGGGTATACACAGAGGCCCAGGCACCTGCAACAGAAGGCTCATGCCAGAGACATTGCTCTGAGCCCTCCACTTGTCCACCCTTAGAGGCCAGCAGGCAAATACCTCTTGACATGCCAGGACTCCAGAGTGTTATGTAGTAGGGGTGGCAGCTAATGGGGCCCTCTGGTGAGGTGCAGGCCTGAGCCCTTGAATGGGGCTTTGGCTCCTTGGCTAATTAGCTTGGCATCCCCAGCTGGGGCGGGAAGGGACTCAGGTTCTAGACTGCACTGTAGCAGTCATCTGAAGTTCCAGACCACCTCACACCTGCTGCTTTCCTTTGGGAAACCTGCAACCCTCTTCCTGGGGATCCTTGGATCCTGAATCCCCAGGCTGAGAAGGCCTTACCAAGGGTTTCAGCTCCTGACTCTAACTTGGACCACACTCACAGCCATGACAGCTGATTCCTGTCGTTGAGACACTCCAGAGAGGATTTAAATAAATTTCCTTCTATGGCTCATTTCAGGGACCAAGACGACTTTCAGTTAGGAATTTCCTCCTGACACTGTGTTCAAAACTCTTACACATTGTTGGAGAGGGCGTAGACTGGTGCAGCCATTTTGGAGAGAGATTTGGCAAAACCCATCAAAACTGAAAATGCATCACTTCCGAGAACTTATCTTACACGTCAACTTACACACATGTGCAAAGAGGTGGGTATAAGGATGTTTACTGCAGTCTTGTTTGCTGTAGACAAAACCTGAAACAGCTGCATGGGGCTGGGGAGGGGGAGTCCAGGAAGAGCAGTGCTTGGGCATGGCTCATGGGCTGCAGGACCTCCTGGTGACTCCCTTGTCCTTGCTTAGTGCAGAGAGTGCCTTGGAGGGGTAGGCTCCAATCTGTAGTGGCCAAGAGAGGCACCAATCGGCCTCCTTCATTGACTGGGCCTCTGTAGGGAGGCAGTGAGGCTCAGGGAGGAAGAGACTCTGTGGGGAGTTCCTGGGTTCTGCAATCAGGGTATAGAAGCTGAATCAGAACCTTCCTGTGGGACCCTGTACCTTGGAGATGGGGCCGGAAGTGGTCACTGAGTACAAGTCAAGCCCTGAGGCCAGGGCTTCCCCTAAGGCTTTCCCCTAAGAGGGGAAAGAGGACCTCGAAAGAGGCACTGAGAAAGCAAAGGCCAGAGGAGACACTTGGCAGGGCAGAGTCACCCCACAGGTTCCACAGGCTGGAGTACCATAGGCCCCGGCCCCCATATCTTGGAGATCTCTGGACACTACTCCCAATGGTTTGAGCACATTCAAAACTCTAAAGAACTGGATGTTCAGATGTTTTTGACACAAGCTACAGAGAATTGGCCAAAGCCTTTAAGTGCTTCAAATGTAGTGTTTTCTAAGATTTTAAAACAAAATGTACCCAAGCATTTAATGAGATTATTTTAATGCAGAGCCTACAACCACTGTCTATCGTGGTGCAAACAGCTCTCCATGCTAATCAAACGCCTCTCATCTTTTTACAATGAATTCATGACTGGTTCATATAAAGACAATAAAAATTAAATGAGTCATGAGCTCCTAAATCATTTTCTTTTGGTCTTTTTAATAACTCCCTTCCAAAGAAGAGCTAGCTGAGAGCATACGCTTCATTAGAATTATTTGTTCCTGGTTTTATACCATTTAGGTATGGGGAGAAAAGTGAACATTTTAACACATCCTTCAAACACTGCCACAAATACTTTCTTCTAATGGGTTTTGTTTTTTGCTTTTATCACCGTACTCTGCCTGCCGACATTAGAAAGCCCCAAATAGCGAGATTCAGTGAAAAAAAAACCCAAAACAAAAAAGAGTGGCTCTTTCAAGTCATTTGAAATATACTGAGTTTGTTGTAGGCCTTTTTGTTTTTTCTGTTTTTTTAAAAAAGAATACAATAGAAAAATGTTTTCTCTCCCTGAGAATATCCTGGCTAAACAATTCCACGTGCTGGTCTCAGAGCATGTTGCTTCCTTCCTTGCTGGGGCCAGAGGCCAGCAGCCAGTAAGAATAGGAGCTCCACACACAGGGACCCATATCCAATTTGATACATTCCACTGGGGCCTGGGAACTACAGACAGCCCCACAGCAAAGATTTGGAATTGCTGGGGGCTAGATATTATGTCCCACAAGCAAGAAACCCAGAGAGCTCTGGGCCAGGGCATGTAGGTGGCTGTAGGCCCATGGGCAAGTTCTCCACTCATCTGAATGAGTTAACCCCACGTGCCTCATGGGGCAGGGGTATGGGATGAGCTGATGCTTATGACCTCACAACCGGCACGGAGCCTGCACCGTGTATGAATGGTAACAACACTGGCAACAACACTTGTGATGGTTCAACCCAACAGCCATTACCTGTGACTTTTGAGATGCCCTGTCCCTGTTTCTGCCCGTTCCTGTCTCCTGGCCCTCAGGATCATAAAGGACAGTGAGGAAGACAGTTATGAGATGAAGGGTGGGTGACATTGTTGAGGCAGGATGTGCCGACTAGGTTTGGGGACAGTCACTTCACCCTCCGAGTGGCCGCTGTGCAGGCTGGGTGGTCAGAGAAGCAGAGGGCTGAGGCCCAGAATGGGTTTGCATGTTCTGTTTCTGCAGAAAGTGAGGCAGCACCCCATCCTTCCCAACCCCAATACCTAGAATGGGGGCCAGAGTAGGGAGGGAATGTGTGGATCTGCTTCTGAGATGGGTCTCACCCCAGCCCCCAAAGCCTGGACCTGAGTCCCCAGGAGACAGGGGCTACAGGGGAATCTCACCAGGGAATGGCCCCTTGTGGGGGCCCCACAGCAGGGGCTGGGGGCAAAGTCTCCCCTTCTACCAGACACAAGCACAGGCACACTCCTGGGGGCCGCCTGGCCCAGGCCCAGGTCATGCCGAGCACAGGGTGCTGCTGGTGGCCACGCCTCTGCTTAGCTTCTGAGGTGGGGGCAGTGGGCTGTGCCTCCTCAAGGACTGAGGTGAGTGGGGACACAGGGCCAGGTCAGAAGCACATCCAGACACACAGCTGCTTCAGTAACGAAACCCACAGTCAGCCAGGAAGTAAACAAATTACAGGCTGCACTTTGTTAGCTCTGGGGAACATGAACGTGAGCAGACACTACTGATTTCTCATCAAACAAACAGAAGGCGGCGTCATAATCCAGAGACCCACTGCCAGGAGGGGCTGCAGCATGTGCCCTGGGCTGCTGATCTGCTGGGGTGCACCTGTCTTTGGGGGCCTTACACCATTCGTCCATAATTCTAGCCTCTGCTCAGTGGTGGATTTGTTTTCCCTCTTACAAGCTGGGCTGGGTAAGGCTAAAGCCTCCTGCAAGGCAGTGGCTCAGGTGTCCTTAGGAGACATACCAGGTCCAGGCCCAGGCTGAACTTCCTGACAACCTTAAGAAGGCAAAGGCCAGGTACGGTGGCTCACACCTGTAGTCCCAGCACTTTGGGAGGTCGAGGCAGGAGGATCACTTGAGCTCAGGAGTTTGAGGCCAGCCTGGGCAACATAGCAACACCCCTCTCTACAAAAAAATAAAAAAATTAGCCAGGCATGGTGGTGCATGCCTGTGGTCCCAGCTACTCTGGAGGCTGTGATGGGAGGATCGCTTGAGCTCTGGAGGTCGAGGCTGCAGTGAGCCAAGATCATGCCACTGTGCTCCAGTCTGGGTGACAGAGAGAGACCCTACTGCCTAAAAAAAAAAAAAAAAAAAAGGCAAAGTGAAGACATCATGAACTGAACCACTGCCCCATCAGGGGAGCCTTGGGTGGAAGCCAGGGAGACCCTGGGGCACTGCTGCACTCCAGATGTGCCATTGGGGAAGTTAGAGAGGAGGAAGACTCAGAAAACATCAACAAGGCTCCCCTCACTTCTGGACCCTCTGTTATGTGAACTCCCTCTTGGATGCATGTTTAATCTTAGGCTGGAAAAGGCGCTCCAGACTCTTGCAGCACACACATCTGACCCTGTCACTCCCCCATCAAACATCTGCGCTTCCCCACTGCCCACAGGGCAATTGCTAAGACTCTTAATGTTAATATTCAAGGACCTTTATGTTCTAGCCCCAGTCTGTCCCTATACACTTCTTTCTCACTCGCTTATTCCTGTCTCCTGAAGCCCCAGTCAGAAGGGCTCCTTTCTCTTGCCCCCAGAACAGTTGTTAGTGGTTACTTCGCCTCCCTGGAGGCTGCGGACAGTGTCTTTGTTCTCTACTCTGGTACGGAGCTTGTGACTCTCAGGCACTTAGCAAGTGAGTCAACCCAAATGATGACTCCCCATGTACGCCACCTGGATGGGCCACACACGATTGGGTGACTCATAAGTGCTTCTGAGAGCAACATTACTCGCTGCAAAATCTGACTGGCTCCTTCTTACTTGGCTCCAGGCGAGAGGGGTACATTTACTTTCTGATCAAATATTATTCTGATGCTCAGGGCATGCTTGATGTTTGCAAGTCAGAAAAGTTTAATTACATGTGTCATTAGAATGGCATTCTGTAATAGCTCTGTGACTGAATTCATTAATAGAATTCTTAACAGATAAGACAAATTAATATTTTGTTGCTCACGAAAGCTTCTCATTAAGAGAGTAGTGAAAAAGTGGTTAATATTTTGTTGCCAATCAAGATGTCTCATACAAACGACAAAGAAAGGAGGCCCACGCTCCTTCGTGCTCTGTGATCTCCCCGCCTTGGGTTTTGAAGGCCGATCAGCTTGCCCCCGTGCAGCCGTGTTTGGGAGTCACCACTGATTACAATGCCGGTGATCGTATTTCATCTCCCACTGCCGTGGGGTGAACGTGGCCACTGAGACACCTCAGGCTGAGGGACTCTGGGAGCCTCATCAACCCCAGAATCTTTGCTGCATCAGTGTTGCACTCCTGGGCTGTTCTCCCCTAATTCTTGCTTCAAAAATGCAAGTGAATCCCGATGACCTGGCTTTAGCCCCCTTCAGCCTGATTTCTTCTAAGGTTTGCTTTCCACACCGTCCCAAGTGGGCCTACTGCTTATGAGCACCTCTTGTGTGCCAGGCACTGAGCTGGGTCCTTGGTACACTTCAGCCTGAAAATGCCCATGTAAGGAGCACATCATGCTTTTTCTCCACAGGCTCAGAGAAGTCCAACAGCTCACCCGAAGCTGCTCTGGATTTGCTGGAGGCAGAGAAGCAGTGCCTCCCTCCCTGCGTGAGTCAAGGCTGACGTGGACAGTGAGACCTCCGTCCCCACTGCGAGCAGCGGGGGGCATGCCAAGGTCCTATCTGCCTGACTAGGGAGCCTCACCCAGCTGTTGCTGGCTGCTTGGTGGGGACTCAGGCTGCAAGCTGCTGAGAATATTATTTAGCAGCAGCAGGAATAATAATACAATAATAATATTAATGATAGTAACAATAGTAATGATGACAGTGATAATAGCATTTATAGAACACCATACGTGAAGAGCCTTACATGCATATTGTCATTTAGTCCTTACTGGAACCCTATGAGGCTGGTACCATTATTTATCCCCATTTCACAGAAGGGAAAACTGGAGCTTAGAGCAGTCAAGGTTACTAGACTAGTAACTTTCCAAGGTTCTAGTTAGTAAGTGGCAGACCCCAGGCTCATGCCCTTCCCTAGGAAGCTGTGCCGCCTCCTTCCCTCAGGTAGGGGAGGTGTGCGTGTGTTTTGTGTGTTTGTACACATCGGGCTTGGACCCCTGCGGGGCTGGTGCTGCCCTGCTCCCTCGTGTAGGGGGTTCTGAGAAGCACTGGGCCCTGCCTATTTGCGGGCTACTGACTCAACCACGAGCAGCAAGTGTTTCCTGGGAGATAATGAGGGGCCATTCATCTCTGGTTGCACCCACAATTACCCAAATTGCTAACCTTATTGTGAAAAGTAGAAATGCAATTGAGTTGGTGCTGGAGGCATGTTTGAGGGAGAGGAAGACCACTCAAAGTAATTTAATTAACTGATGGCAAGTACATTAAGTGGAGTTTTGCCTCTGCTTTTATTTCTGATGTCTTTCAGTGGAGCGCCAAGTAATGCACATGAAATGCTCCCACAGACACAGGTGGAGCTGTCCCAGTACTGATCAATCTTTCCTGGCCAAACATGTTTAAAAGCTGGCACTGCACCTTGTGAGCAGGTACAGTAGAGGACATCACACTCACAAACATGCACCCCAACACAGTCCAGTCTTTACAGATAGGACACTGCTCTTTCTTGCTAAGTTCTCAGACAAGCCCTGGCCATCGCAGGCCCAGAAAATGAAGGGTTCTGCCCATCCAGCATCTGTCCAGCAAGCACCCACCAGGATTGTGCTGCATTGACATTCAAAATTGTATAGGATACTGGCTATGTTCACCATGGTGGGAAATCACAAGAAAACAATCCTGTCCAGTGTGACAAGGCTAGGGGAAGGGCACTCCTTGGCAGCTCTGCCCAGGGTAGAACCTCCAGAGTGGCCCCCTCTTTCCATCTGCTTCCCCCATGACCCCCAGGGTGTAGCTGAAGGGGCCTAGAGAGTAGGAGAGGACTAACTTTGGTGGTTCCTGCAGCATTTCATGCTGGGTCTCTCTCCCCACAAGTCTCAGAGTTGGAAGGGACCTCCAAGGTCACTGGGTTTAGCTGCCCTCTTGTGGCTAGCAGCATTGCTGACCACAGTCCCTGCCTGAGCTTGCATATGCCCCTTGGGATAAGGAGCTCAGCGCCTCCTGTGGCGGCTCTGTCTCCATGGTGGGGCAGGTTTGATGGCTGGAATGGGGTTCCATCTAAGGAGCCCAAATTGATCTCCTTTTGAGGTGCACCTTGTGCTAGTCCAACTCAGGGGGTCACACAGCCCAGGTCAGCTCCCTTTGCCCCAGCCCCTACCCCACCACCTTCGAGATGTTAGCAGGAACTGACCATTCATCCCATGGGTCTTTCTTTTCTGGGCAAGCATCCCACTGTGGACCAGCTGTCCTGTCCTGAGCCAACAAGGCTAAGGCTGCCCTCTCTTCTGCATGAAAATTATATTCCAGTTACTGTAACCTAAGACCCGTCAGCTGTCCTGGCAGCTCACTACATGGGTGACATCACTCTGTCTTCTCACATGAACTTCTGGGAAGCCACATCACCTCTTGTGCCAAACCTGGACCAATAAATATCCTTGAATTATGCCACTTCTTTAAGTCTAATAGAAGGGAAGTATTGCTAACGTTTTTCTTATAGATTAATTCATTGAGGATCGGCAGGTTAAGAAATTACTCAAAGTCACAAAGCTGACGTGGGTGATGCTGGGACCCCAACGGAGGCTGCCTGGTTCCTCAGGGCACAGACGTACCCCCTGATGGCCACACTAGGCTGCATGAGCTCAGTTGCTTTCTTCTTCCACACAGCACCACTTAACTCATCACACCCTCATTCCCTTACCCAGCAATGAACGTCCCCAAGGTGGGTCCCCTCTGGCCTGACCTGGTTTCCCTCTACCTTCTCATCTGGCACCTGGCATTTGTCTTCCAGCCAACCCAGCCCAGTGGCTCACCTCTGCCCTCCACAGGGACCACCCCTTCCCTGCACACAGCTGTCTACAGCCTACCCAGCACTAGGGCCCAGAACCTCCTCCTAAGGTCCCCCAGCCCACTGTTCTCTCAGCTGTGGAGCCTGCTGCTCTCTCTGCTGGCCTGTGGTCCATCTCTCTGAGCCCTGTGAGCAGGCCCACACAGTCTGTTCTCAGGGTCACCTCCAGGCCTTTGCTAATGCAGCCCCGTTCAGAGGCCTCCTGTCCCACCCATCGCATCTCTCTTCTCTTCCTTAGCCGGACATAGCATGGCCACCATTCATCTATTTTCTGCTGTGGTGGGACTTGGATTTTCTGATACTGCCAAGCTGACAACAGGCTAGAAAAGCACCAAACACAGGATGTTAAACTAAAACTCTCCCGTCCTGCCACTGTCTGTGGCATCTTACCCAGTGTACTCTCCCAGGGAGGTGCGCTTGAGCTCAGAGTGAATTCCAGGTGACTTACATTGATGTCTTCCAAGTCCAGGAAGTTCAGGGTGAGCCCGTTGCGCTTCCAGATGATTGGTGGCCTCAGGTCTCCATGGACGGCGCAGGTCAGCACTGTGCTCAGCCCCACGGTCACTGTGGTCACACTGACCCTGTCCTCGGGGGCGAGGCTGAGCTGAACCACTTCTGCAGAGGGAAAGGAGGAGGCACGGTCAGGTGCAGGCCCAGGGATTGGAGTCTCAACTCAAGGTGAATAGCCATGAATTTCCTGGGTGGAAGAGGCCCAGAAGGGCTTCACGACTCCCTGAAAATTGTTTACAATGTGCTGACTAAATGTAGAGATAGACACTTTTGCTGGGCGAGGAGCCAAGACTTAGGTCAAATGCCCAAAAGGCTATGTGAGTCCAAACAGGTCAAAAACCATAAGTAATGTGCTGAGGACAATCTGGGCCATAGATTTGTGTCAAGCCAAGAATGTGGGCTGCGAAGGCCAGGGGGCCCACCACAGAGAGACCGGGGGGCAGGGGTGCAGCGCCCTGCTCACAGCTCCCCTGGCCTATTGGAGTCTGGGCCTTGCTAAGTGCAGACAAGGTCTGCTGAGTGAGCTAACAAGTTTCTCATCCATCTGGGGTCAGTTTTAAAGGTTGCGCTGTCTGAAGTCTGGGGAATGAACTGGCTGATCTTTGAAGGTTTGTTTCTGTCTAAGGATTCGCTGAACTTGGATTTGGATTTCTGTCCTATGAAAATGCACTGTAGCTTTTAATTTTTTGAAGAATACTTCAGGCTGCAGAAACTATTAATCCTTGCCATTTTGAACTTGATAACTGGCATTAGGACTGATCATTCTTCAGGCAAATGGGAAGAATCTAAGATAGTTCTCTGCAATCACAAGCTTTTTGAAATTCTCAGGATTTATGAAAAAATTAATCAAACTCAGGCTGCTCAAATGACCAAATGGGATCAGGCTTTGGGGGACAGTCAGCGGCCCACTGATGGGACTGGCTCCCTTTTGCTCTTCCCCCAAATCTGTGCACTCAGGGAGGCTGGGGCAATAGCCAGAGGTGGCATGAGCTGAGGGAAGCAGGCTGGCTCTCGGTGCAGTGGGTACTATTTTGTCTATTCCCTATTCATGCTTACGACTCTATTGGGACCTGGGGGACCCCAACAGATGTATCCCCCTGAACTGGAACGAAGCAGAGTTGGGAGCTGAGCTCTGCTATTCTGCGGGACGCTTGTGAGCTGTGACCAGGCAGCAGCAGCCCCGCAGGCAGCACATCTGTGCTCACACCCTCTTGCCCGTGTGTGTGGGAGAGGGGAAGAGGGAGCGAAAACAGCCGCAGGTGCAAGGCACAGCAGAGCAGCTGAATTGAAACAGGGTCCTGAGGTCAGACCCTGAGCAGCAAAGCCCTCCTTCTTCCACAGATGCTGAGTGGCTCCGCCCTGGGCTCACAAAGATGAACAAGCTACGCTAGGTGCTTCATCAGTGCTGTTGGATGGATGGATGAGAAATGGAGAAAATGAAATAAAGAAGTAAAAGAGCCAATAGGCCGGTGGGGAGGGGACAATCACACACAGGAAAAATGTGACTAACGGTGAAGGAACCCTCAAGGAAAGATGAGCACCCAGTGATGGATGCAGACGCAACTGGCATAATATTTTACCAACAATAAAGTGATGCATTTCAAGTTCCCCCTTAAATCAAGTTCTGCTCACTACCCTCCCATCTCCGAGTCATGAGGCTTATTGCCCAGGGCAGGAGAGAGAAGGCACTAACTCTGTAGCATGACCCGGCCTTTGGAGAGGGGAAAGAGAGAGAATGAGAATTTGCTAAAATGGTTTAGCTCCCACCGTACTCTGCGGGTCTGTAGGACTCAGACCTCAGCATTCTCCCCAAGAGTAGAGGAGGCATCCTTTCCTCATCAGATGACCACGAGGCTCCCCTGGGCCACGAGGCTTTGTGCCGCTGCTCCTGCCACCTGGGGCAACCGCATGTGTCTGGGCAGAGAGCCAGAACCACCTTGGCTCCTGGTATGGAAACAGGCCCAATTTTCCCAGATAACTGAAGCTTGAGAAACTTAAATTTGTTTCATCTGAGTTCTTTTAACAGGAAACCAAACACCAGGCCTCCTAGATCACTGCATCCGGACAATGAGACACACCTGCTGCCTATTGACCATCTCCTGTCTTACCCCTCCCTAATTCCCTGCTATCTAAACCCCGAACTTTAGTCAGAGAGATGGATTTGCAACCGGTCTCCCATTTCCAGGCTGATGTCATTGAGATTAAAGCCTTTCTTCCCTGGCAATATTCCATCCACTCAGTGATGGACTTTCTGTGAGGTGAACAACCAGACCTAGACCGAACCCCTGGTGTTCAGCAACATAATATCTGGACCTGAGAACTGCCTTGGGCTGCCAGACCAAGGTCCAAAGGGAAGTGCTCCTGGCCTCAAGGGGCATGGAGGCCAGTGGTGGCTGTGGGAGGCCTTGCTTGGGGGAATATCCTGACCCGCGAGTACACCAGACTGTGAGCCCAGATCATGAGCACACCCAGGGCTGAGCTCAGCTTCAAGTGACCTCAGACAGGGCAACTCAGAGTCCCTTGCCGTGGGAAGTGAGGCCGCAGTGCACCACCACGCTGCTTCCCTGGACACTCAGAAGCCAGCCGGGGAGAGCAGCTGGGACGTGGGGTGGAAGCTAGAGACACAGAGCAGTTTTTAGACAGAGCACTACTTACGTGGACTGTTAAAATCGTCAGCTCGTGCTAATCTTTACAATGGATTGAGCATTTAGTTGTGCTTTTCTCCCATTGGGGTGAGGCTTGTAAAGTCAGGTTAGTTACAAAAGGAATCAGATTTTCCCTGCACGTCTGATCTGTGGTCAGACTAGAAGGAAAAGACCAATTGGGCCATCGGGGAGGGGCTCTTGGAGGCAGCAGCAGGGCTTCCCCTGGGCCCTAGAGATCCGCTTCTCAGGTGCGGCTCCCCAGCCACCTGTATCATATCTCTGGGGGTGGGTAATTAAAACACAGATTCTTGCCCCTCTGCCTCAGGCTGATGCAGATGCTCTGGTGGGCTGGATGGACATCCAGATTTTAACAAGTGGGCTGGGTGGACATCCAGATTTTAACAAGCATCCCAAGGGGTTCTATGATGGCCTGAGAACCACTGTGTTACAAGATGAGAAGGGCTCTGGGTACATAGAGAGGGGGAATGCAGGTGGGAGACAGGGAGACGAGGCAGGTCTGGTAGGCTGGGGTTTCCTGGGGCTCTAGATACAAGGCTAGGAGCATGGCCCCTCATTTGGAACATAGGACTGATGTGAAAGGTAGGATCCCTTCCTCCATGTGGCCCCAAAGTCATATATTCCAAGCGGCTCTAGAGAAAGGTCTGCAGGAGCCTCAAACATGGGGCTAATAGGAAACAAAAATCCAAGTGGGAGACGGAAGTCTTCTGTGTCCCTCCGGTCCTCTGCTGGCTGGGATAACTGGCTGCTGCATCCTCCCTGAGTTATTCCCAGCCATTTGCATGTAGAAGATGTGCACTTTGCGCAGGAAAAACTCGTGCAAAATTAGAATGTGTGAATACTGATAGAACCATCGTAGTTCTGCTCCTGTCAGCTACATGAATATTAACCAAACAGCAAATATTTGGATCACTTAAAATTTAATTAAATGAATGTTTTATTGGATTTAATTTGTGTCAATATTCCCCAGCTCCTTTCACAGTTCTGAAGGGATTTATGGCTACTGAGCCCTCTCCTTCCACCCTCACTCCCCGTTATTTCCTGGTCAACAAGCCTCCCCCTGGCGGGTCCTCCTTCCTTGCTAAATGGAAAGAGTAGGACTAAGTGGCTTCCCAGGGTGACTTCCAGGGAGAGTAAAAAATGAGACAGCATCATGTGCTAGGCCCCGAGTGAGCAGGGCAGGCCACCTGGCCCCCAGGCCTGGCTCTGCTGCTGACAAGCTCAGTGGCCTTGGCAGCTCCCTTCCTGTCACTGGGCCTCAGTTTAGACATGGATACAATGAGGGCTTGGGCCCCCCTCGCTTTTGACTCGGAGCCGATTATTCTATGTTCATGCCCCTGGAGACCCCCTGAGTCTTGCAAGTGCTCCCACTGCATCTTTTCTTGCCCCTAAGTGTCATCTGCCCCTGTTCTTTGCCCACTTACCCATGATGGTAAAAGTGACGCCTCAAGTGGCAGCACCAATGGGTGCCAAGTCCCACTAAGGCTTCCCTCCCGATACCCTTTGAGGACTCCCCTGCCCCATCCCAGGCCCCCTATAGCCTCCTTCATGGTCACCCCTCCAGTTTGCCCCTGCTGCCTGCAACTGTCTTGTTGCCACTGGCAGAACAAGGTACATCTCAGCCCTGCTCAACAGCTGTCAATGGCTCCCTATTACCCACAGATCACCACATAGAATCCAGAAGAGTCCCCAGTCTTGACCCTGCTGTGTCTCCAACATTATTTACCACTGTGCCAGCTGGCTCCCCATGGCATTTGTGTCTTCAGACCTCAGCGTGGGCCTGCTTGGCACCTGCTGCTCATCCATTCTGAGCTCCTCACACTATTGGCCCCTACCTCCAAGATGACCTCATGGGATGTTTCTGGGACCCTGAAGTTTTAATGTAAAGAAACACTTGGACAGATATTAGGTGAAGAAGATTGAAAGAGACTGTCCTGGTGAATTTATCAGAACTTTTTCAGGCTTAGTAACAGAAACACTCAGAAATGCTCAACTATTAATAGCTTAGGGGGAAAAAGGTGGTTTAGTTCCCACAATGGGAAATCTAAGGGAGGTGGAAGAGGTTGCAGGCATCCAGGGCCTTCGACAGTGGCATTCTCTACTTGGTTGCAAGATGTCCATTGGTGGCCCCACACTCACATTGTTTCTGTATGTGGGATCCCAGAGGAAGGGAACAAATCTTGCCTGAGAGCCCTGGAAAAAGCATGGGGGAGCTCTGATTGGCCACATACAGCTCCTGTGTTCTTCCCTGAAGCAAACACTGAGGGCAAGAGGACTGAGTATTGTGCAGGTGTGGGACTGATTGGCCCATCAGGCCTGGGCCGTGTGGCCACCTCCAGGGGCAGGGACTAGGTGTTTGGGCTGGGGTAAAATGGCTAATGGAAAGGGTATATTGGGCAGATTGACACCCTATGACCATCATAGGGATGCAGAGAGGGCCCCCTCCCTTCCCCCTATCTGCATCACAACTGCATCGGGAAGCCTGGGCATCGTGCGTGATCAGGGCAGATAGCCGCAGTCATACAGTGAAGACGGTAAGAATCGTCAGAACTGAAACCTGATTTAGGCTACTACAGTCTTGCCTCCACCCTGCGCCTTCTCTGGAGAGTGATGGGGGCAGCTTTCACAGGGAGGAGATGTGGCCCAACTAAGCAAACCCCATCATCCTGTTGAGCCTCACATCCTGATGGCGAGGGTCTGGAATTTGTGGAGATGGCCTTCTGTGTTCAGTGATCACACATCTCCTGAACCTCACCTGCGCTGGCCACATCTGCAGGGCTGTGGACCAGTTAAGCCCCAGGCCTGGTCTCTGCTCTGGTGGGGAGCCAGGCCACATGAGAGGAAGATGAAGATGCCACATGCAGCCCTCTAGGGGGCAACGAGTGGTCCTTCTGGCTCCTGGCTGTGGCTCCAATGCCCCTGTGTTGACTGACCATCTGTGGGCTCATTAGCCACTATGTGGGAAGGTTTCCAAGGTCCCTGGACGACCAAACGTGATATGCCCAGCACTCAGAGTGTGATCAGGGGTCAGTGAGAGAGGGCTCAGCCAGACGCTGTGTCTGGGGTGAGAATGTGTCTACACACTGAGGCTGGTGTCTTTGGAAAGAGAGGGCTGGGTTGGGGGTCAGAGCAGCCCATCAGGGAGCTTGTCTGGCACTACTGGGCAGAAGTCTGTGCCCACAGAGGGACTGACGCCCTGCTATGAGAACTGACATTGGAGAGCTGCTCTGCAAGTAGGGAATCTGAGGAGGGCAAGGGAGTTGGGGGGTTCTCAAAGCTCAGGGCTTCCCATGATATCCCCCTGGGATGAAAACAAATGGGTCACACTGCAGTGATGGCCCAAGTCAGTGTGGGTTGGTTGGCACAAGACAGAGCTTCCTGGACCACTAGCTAGGCTGCGTGTCCCACAGTGGGATTCTGGGCAGGGCTGTCTGGCACTCTGGTGCCTAGCACAAGGCATGGCACACAGTAGGTGGGCTCAAGGCCATGACCTATCTCTCTAGGCCCTTCAAACCAGTGCAGTAGCATACCCTTGGTTTTCCAGACATGAGATGCCACAAACACCCGTCCTCACCTTTCTCCCTGAGTCTTGGAGCTTGGAGAGAAGAGGCAGTCACAGGGAATTAATGGGCTTACCATAAGCAGGCTAACAAACACCCTTCCTGAAAGCAGGAGGCCATAACATTTCAGTTGTTGGAGAACTGGGTTTTAGTTCCTATTACAGGTTTCCCTTAATCTCAGGCGCTATTTCTCACACTGACTTGAACTCGATAAGACACTCATAAACCCATCAGCACCCTCTCAAACAGGATTCTGGTGCTTTGTAGTGATAGAAATTAAATTTCTCAAATTCTTGTCAAGCTGGTGTTAGTTTTCTTATGTCAGAAACACACTAATGGAACACATTCCTACTTGGATATTTGCCATTTTTCAAATGATGCCATTGGTGAAAAAAACCCTGTCAAAAGCTCAGTAACCTGCCTGCACATCAATATTTTTGACTGAGCCTCGGAGGGCAAACTCAGGCTCAGGGGCCTGCTTGGGAATGAGGGCAATTTGGAGAGAGCACAGGCCAGGCGCTTAGACACATCTCTCTAACTGCGGCCTCTTCCCACATTATTCTCCTTCTAAATTAATGTGCTTTCCTGAAACAAACCCCTCAGGTGACCTAGGTGCCACCAAAGAAGCTGGGGCATTGGAGTGACAAAGTCTATTGATCTGGTCCCATCCCTGTGACCAGAGTCACACTGTGAAGTTGGCGAGTAGGGGAGGAGCCAAGGGGGAGTGCGCATGCCCAGTGTCTCCTGAACAAACAGGGCAACATCTCCCGGACCTTGTGACTTTGGCTGGTGTTTACAGAGTGAAGCTGCTTTGGCGTATCCTGGTGAGCCGGGCAAGGCGGGTGGGAGGGATGGTGTGCTTTTTGTCTCCTCTGTTCCGTCTACCAGAGATTGTCACTCTGGGATCCTTTCAAATAACTGCTGAATGTTTGTGGATGGGAGGCTGGGGACAGGATGTCTTAAAGCCTTTCATCTTGACATTCCTGTTTAGAGCACCAGGGTGCATCCAGCCTGCACAGGTGGCTCTGTATTAGCCAGACTTGCTCCAAAGCCACACAAGAGAGCACTTGCATCTGTCCCAAATCTCCTGTTTCCTTACGTGTAACCAGATTCAATCTTCCTGCCATTGTCATTCCCTCTTGCTTGCTTCATTTTGGGGATGGCAATAAAATTACTAGTTAATTACCTGCGGGTCAGTGGGTAATTTACTTTTTCAACTGGCCTATGTTGCTTGATGTTGCTTCAACTTTTATTACAGTTTAGTTATCAAGTTCTGCTCTCTGGTGTGAACAAACACCTTTGTAAGCTGCATAAAGGCAGAGACTATATCTGTTTTATTTATGTTGTATCCCCAGCACCTAATACAATGCCTACCACGCAGAAGGGACTTAATAAGCAGTTTTAAGCAAGTGAACTATTAGGCTAGTGCTCAGTCAACAATTATTTATGGAGCTGGTACCAGGAGCCAGGATACAGTGGGAATATACTGGCAAGAAAAACAGGCCCAGTGCTTGCTAACCTGGAGCTCATGGCTTAGCAGAGAAGACAAGTGTTAAGTGGGGAGGGAGAGCAGAGGCCTGAACCTGTCTACAGACCCCAGGTTAAGGGCCCGTGACTCCTGTAAAGCCTGGTTGCCCTCTTTCTTGGTAGAGCCCTCCCTGTGTGCCTGGCAGACCTGTGTCCTGCTATCGAGACATCCTAGTCTGATGTAGTATCCTCCTTGTTTGCAGGAGGGGCCGGCCTGTGCAGGGGCAGGGTTACCTGGGCATCCCTCTAGGCTCTGGGGTTCCATTTAGCCTCCTCTGGCCAATACACCTTTTTAGTTTTGAGAAAACTAAACCTCAATGTGACTGCTGTGTGCAGACGAACAGGAAGTTAGAGCAGAACTCAGTGCCCAGGGGCTGTGAGATCACCATTCTGGGTATCATGGGGTGCCACAGTGTGGCAGGCAGGAGAGGCATCCATCAGAAGGAGCAAAGGGTCCTTGCTGAGGTGGAGAGCACAGGGCCTCCTGGTCAGCAGGAGCATGGCTGTCACAGTGCTGCATACCAGCTCTTCCACCTCCGCTGGTTCCTGTGTGTGGGGTAGCCTTGGTCAGCTTGGCCACTCTATGGGTCTCTCCCACCCTACTGAGTCTACACCCAAAGATGATGGGCATACCTCTGCTCAAGATATTTGCAAAAGGAGAGTATCCTAACTGCCTATTACTTTGGTGTCTTAAGGGGGAAAAGAATGTATTACCTTATGTAATTATACAGAGCTACTCAGAATTTACAAAAATTCATACAGATCTCTAAGGTTGGATCCAGAATCTCCTGAGCAAGTCAGTGGAGAAGAGCAAACAGTTTTTACCTAACTAGCAAGAGGGGGCCATGCTGTGTGTTTCCAAATGCCAGCTCATCTTCCAATTCCTGTGCACTCATTATGACTATTTCGTGGCCTCTCTTGGAGCCAGAATGGGGCCATGTCATTGGGTTTGACATGGTAGGTGATAGGAGGTGACCAAGCCTGGCCACACAACCTCTGTGTCATTGTCTTGGTTAGTTTTATGTGTTACCTTGACTGGGCCACAAGGCACCCAGATATTTGTTCGAGCATTATCCTGGGTGTGTCTGTGAGGGTGTTTCTGGATGAGATTGACATTTGAATCAGTAGACTGAGTAGAGAAGATTGCCCTCCCCAATGAGGGCAGGCCTCATCCAATTCGTTGAAGACCTAGATAGAAAAAATGAGCCTGGGTAAGAGGGAAACCCTCCTGTCTCACTGCTGAGCTGTGACATTGGTCTTTTTCCTGCTTTCAGACTGAAACTGAAACACTGGCTTCAACAGAAGCCAATGTTTTATTGGTTCCGTAGAAGACATATACATCTTCTGTTGGTTTTATTTTTCTGGAGGATAACACAGTCATCATCCATGCTCTCCTCTCCTCGTCTTTGGAGGTCATGCATTTGATGAGAGTGAAGAACATGGTCTAGTCACTGTTTAGGGAGAGCTGCCTGACCCCATCGGACTTGATGAGGATGGGAAACCAGCCTTTACTATACTACACTACTGAGATTTTGGGATTTCTATAGCAGCTGGTGTTAATTACATAACACACCCCCTCAGAAGGGAAAGAAATACCAGTTAACGTATTTCCACTGAAGAAGTCATAAGGAAATGGGAAACAGTCTTTTGACAGGCCAAGTCATCCAGGTCAGGAACCTTCTGAGAATGTTCTAACAAGAGTAGGTCCAACTTTGGCTCCAATCCCCAGAATACCTTCTGTACAGGGAGCTCACTCCTTCACTCCACATCTGTATCTGTTGCTACAGCGTCCAAACTGCTGGACTGAGGGAGCAAGGGCTGGGGGTGGGGGGTGTCTCAGAATAGGCTGGCAGAGAACATGCAAACAAATTACACAGTACAATAAGCATTACGGATAGAAAGAACAAGATGAGAGAATACCAAGAGAGTAGCAGGGGAGGGCTATTAAGGTGTGTGTGTGGGGGGTGGGTGCTGGTGTGGCGGAAAGCCTCTTTGAGTAGAGAATATTTAAGTGAAGATCTTTAAAATGAGAAGAAGCCAGCCAGGCCAAGAATGGGAGCAAGGACATTCTAGTTAGAGAAAACAGCCCATACAAAGGTCTTGAGGCAGGGTGGGGGCTTGGAGTGCTCTGGGAGCTGAAATAGACCAGTGCAGCTGAAGCACATGGCACAAGGCAAGGGCATGTGGCACAGATGCGGTCAGAGGCAGGAAATAGCTAGTTAGAGCAGGCAGAGCAAGGTAAGGACTGATGGCTGTAATTTAAGGAGATGAAAAGTGATCAGAAGGATTTTTTTTTCTTTTTTTTTTTTTTTTTTGAGGAGGAGTCTCGCTCTGTCACCCAGGCTGGAGTGCGCGGCACGATCTTGGCTCATGATCAGAAGGATTTTAAGTCAATCAGGGATGTGACATGATTTGCATGCTAAAGGGTCACTCCGGCTGTTGTGCAAATAACGGACTGGTGGGAGAGAGGGAAAAAATGCAGGGGGACCATTTAGGAGGCCAAGGCAGTAGTTCAGGAGAGAGACAGGTGGTGACTGTGGAGATGAAGAGGAAGGGACAGGGCTGGGAAATAGTTTGGATGGGGTGGGGATAAAAGAGGTGTCAGGAATGACTCCCGTGTTCCTGACTTGATCCTCTTGCATAATACGGTGTGATTTCCTGTGGTGAAGCAGGCTGGGAGGGGAGGTCCAGGGACCCCACACAACATTGAGGTCCCATCTTTGTCTTGATGATAACCCCCTAACCCTCCCAAGGCATTTGATTTGAAATGTAATTTGGGATCACTTTCTTGGCCTCCTCCAGTGAAAGAGATTTGAAGATGATTTCTAAACTGTGGCATTCTTGTTACTAAAAACCCTCCTCCAAGGAAGCAGAATAGATGCAAGTCTTTATCATCTGGGTCCCCGTCGTCCCAAGTTTCCTGGGGTTGGACTGTGTCCGGCGGGCCGCTCGAGCAGCCGAAGGCAGACACAGAGCCTCCCCTACTGCATCCCTTCACCATTTCCACCCCACAGCACAGGCTGTGCCCTCTCCAAATGGGGGACTGTGCTTCACATGCAGGGAGGGGAGAAGCCACTGGGTCCTGAAAGAACATGAATAAATATAACTTGTTTTCTGTTTAATTATCCAGTCTCCTGAGAATGCTCTGTCATGGCTGTGTTTTGTAAACAGGCATCTGCAGACCATTTTGAACGGTTTACATCAGTGTATTTGTTTTTGATTCCAATTTCCTGAGCGTGCCACAGTGGCTGATGAACTCCTGATGAGGGGTTCCTGTGCCAGCCGTCAGCTCTGCTGCTCCCAGGGACCACAGAGCTCCTGCTGCCTTCTTTTTGTAGAGGAAACATTGCTCACAGCCTCCCGGCCCCTCTCTAAGCACGGCTCCCAGGGACCTCCGCCCTCCACCTCCTGGTCCAGGGGAAGCCATGATCAGACTCTGTTTCCCACTATGAGAGACTCCTGGTATCCTGTTTTCAGGGCTCACCTGAGAAGCTCTTACAGCTTGTTTGCTGAATATTTAGTAACATGGCAGGGAGCTCAGCTGAGCCCAATTGTTGGAAGGGCAGGGGCACTGGCCCCTGATGGCCTGATTTGGACTTTGGCAGAGGGGTTCAGGAGTGGGGTTTGGAAGAGCCTCATCCCTCTCCAACTGGTGACACTGTGGGCACGAGCAGAAAGTGGAAACGTGGAGTAAGGAAGCCCTCTGGGGGCAGTGGTAAGAAAGGAGGCTGGAGATGTTGGGAGGAGGGCTGGCGGGGCCTGTGGTCTGGTAAGGAGTCTATGTTTGATTTTCTAAGAAGCTGTTGTAGGATTCTAGGCAGGAGACTAAAATGGTCTGATTTACACCTTTAAAGACCATCTGTGTATTGGTTGAGATGGTCTTCAGCTGCATTAACAGAAAATCCTGACTGGAAATGGGGCTGGCTAATTCGGAAATTCTATCTCCATCACGAGAAGGCCCCACTGCATGTTTCCTGGGCAGGTTAATTCCATGGTTCCCGAATGTCACCAAAGCCTCAAGCTCTCTTTTCTGCAGTCCTCAGAACGCTGTCTTGATGCCCGTCGGGGTTACTGGGAAGCCTACAAACAGGTGGAGGCATCACACGTAGGTACATATCCGGTGGAAAGGATGTGAGTTTTAAGAACTATAAACTAAAAATAAAATCCTAAGACATCCCCCAAATGGATGGACCCCCCTCTTAGCCGAGAAGACCCCAGAAAACTCTTAAAAACTGACTTCCCAGCCATGATGGGATAAAAGGTTGGACACGCCTTGTTATATCCACTCCGTTTTGCAGTTTAGACACAACAATGGACCAGCATTCATGTTAAAACAGAGCTCATGAGAGTGACAGGCCAGGCGCGGTGCTCACGCCTGGAATCCCAGCACTTTGGGAGGCTGAGGTGGGTGGATCATTGAGGTCAGGAGTTTGAGACCAGCCTGGCCAACATGGTGAAACTCCGTCTCTACTAAAAATACAAAAATTAGCTGGATGTGGTGGCACACACCTGTAATCCTAGCACTTTGGGAGGCTGAGGCAGGCGGATCACTTGAGCTCAGGAGTTCAAGGCCTGCCTGGACAACATGGCGAAACTCCATCTCTACAAAAAATACAAATAATTAGCCGGGCATGGTGGTGTGTGCCTGTAGTCCCAGCTACTCAGGAGGCTGAGGTGGGAGAATTGCTTGAGCCCAGGAGGCGGAGGTTGTCGTGAGCTGAGATTGCGCCACTGGACTCCAACCTGGGCAACAGCAGAGTGAGACCTAGTCTCAAAAAAAAAAAAAAAGTGACAGAATAGACTCTTTGTGGTAATAAAATACCCAATTATAAATGGGACCTAACGCCATGTCAGGCAAAGGTTAAGTCTCGCACCCCCTATGCTTGAATAAACTGCGCTCTACCTGCCACTAGGCTTTTCCTTTCCTCCAGCAGCTAAACAAGCACTGGCCTTGAGATAAGCAATGCTGGAACAACTGCAGCTCCCCTGGAGGCCGACTCACTGCCCCAGCCCCTGTTCTACAGGTCGCAACTACAGCTTCGACTGGATGAGAGACTGATTTCAGTAACTTTCTCCTGATAAGAGGACCACTGACCCTGGACTGATTCTGTCTGCTTTACACAGGCTGCACACTTGAGTGCCTTTGCATCCTGAAAAGACCTTTTCACCTAAAGGGCCTAATTGTAATAGAGTGAAATGTTAACTTTCCACTCCAAAGTGAAAATGGGTCATATGTTACATGCATGCTTGTTCAATACCCATGCGCCAGGACCACCTTCCTAAATGTCCACAGCTCCTCCTGTAACCTGTAGAATATGTCTACTTGGCCAACCACATTCAGCATAAAGCTCCGACCACAATCCCTTCTCCTTCCAAGCGCCTGTCTCTGGTCTTTGCTGCAGGCTGCACTGCCCAGCCTGCGGGATGGTAACCTTGCAGGCTGTAATCCTTTATAAGAAAGAAAGTCTCCTTTTCTAAATTGACACTTATGTGATTTTTTTTAAGTTAACAAAACAAAGAAGCTTCTCCAAGAGGCCCCCAGCTGACTTCCCCTCAGGTTCTTTGGCCAGATCCGTGTCACATCACTCCTAAACAAATGTGGAAAAGCCACCCTGACTGGCATCAGGTGGTGTGGGGGGAGGTGGGCAAACAGGTTCTGTCAGGAAGGAGGGTGGGGCTGAGGGTGTTGGGACAACACTCTGTTGGTTTGGGTGTCGGGGGGTGGGTGATAGAGGAGGCTGCCACCCAGGCATGGCGCTCTGGACCGAGCATGGCTCTGAGAGCAGGTGCTGGGGGCAGACTGATTGGGCCACCTGCTGGAAGAGGGGCCAACAGGCTTGACTGGATGGGGAGATTGAGGGAAAGGGAGGAATCCAGGATGAATACTGGGGTTTTGGCCTGAAAAACTGTGTGGGTGTTGGTTCCATTTGCTGAGAGGCTGAGGGTTAGGGTAGACATTTCAGCTGAGATGCAGAGTTCTGTCTTTAACCATGGAAGGTGGGCTGAGGGGTGGTCAGTTGGATATGGGAGTTTGGGGCTCAGGAGAGTGGCCTAGGCTAGGTGTGCAACCTTGAAATTTATTGATGCATAAGTAATACTTAGAAACACAGGATCACATGAGATCCCTGGGGAGAGAGTGTGGAGTGAGGAAAGAGATCTGAGGGTGGAGTTCTGGGACCCCCAATGTTTAAAGGCGAGAGGATGGGCAGGGGCCAGTGAGGAGGGTAGGGCTGAGGAAGAAGGGCCAAGGAGGGTGTGGCTCACTTGTGCCCAGTGTGGCCGAGAGCTCTAGGTGGATAAGGAGTGAGATTTGACTGTGGGCTTGGCAACACAGAGGTCATTTGGGACCTCTAATGTTTCGTTAGAGCACTGGGGAATGAAGCCATCTTTGGAATGGGTTGGACAGAGAACGGGAGGTGAGAAGGTGAAGAGGCATTCTTTAGAAGGGTTTTGTCATGATAGAGAGCAGAGAAATGGGATGGTAGACAGAAGGTCAAGGATATTGGCTTGTTATGTTTTTAAGGTGTTGTGTTTGTGTGCTAATGGGAGTGATTGGATAGAGAGGGAGAATTGTATGCTACAAGAGAGAGAAGGGAGAATTTCAGAAGAAAAGTCTCTGAGTGGGTGAGGCAGGGGCACGGAGCCTGAGTGGGGGCCCAGCCTCTGATGGGGCAGAGACCTTGTGCATTGTGACAGAAGGTGGGCAGAGCCTGGAGTATAATGGGGATGTGGGGAACTGAACCCAATGGTGGAAAGATTGGGTAAAACCCATTTGGTATACATTAGTGCCTCTCAAACAAAGTGAGTTTTCTCAAGAGACATTTGGTAATGCCTGGAGGTATTTTTGGTTGTCACAACTTGGGGAGGGGGTGGTTTCTTACTGGCATCTGGTGGACGCAGCCTGAGGATGCCATGGAACAGCTCAAAATACACAGAACAGTCTCCATGACAAAGAATTAAATGGCTCCAAATACCAATAGTGGCGCTGTTGAGAACTGTGCTATATATTAATAACCACAATGCTAGCAATAAAAATGTGACTTGCACACCCTTAAAATAAATACTTATTTTTCGTATGTTGGGAGTGGCTGCCCACCCACTGCCCTGCCCGAGGCAGGGGAGATCACCTGTGTGGATACATCCCTGTCCTAACTCACCCGTGTCTTGGTGGTTACACTCTGGGGAGGCCCCCTGTCATTCCTCATCCTGAGCTCGACAAGCCCAAACCTTGCCCGGGGGTGTGGCTATCACACTCTCCTGCAGACACCAGGCTTGGGGGGCTCACCTGCCGTTCCTGGTGGTGGAGGGTCTCTGTGCAGGCAGCTGACTGGGAGGGAGACTCAGAAGAGTGGGTGTCACCACAATTTGCCTTTGCCAAAACCTTTTCTGTGTTAGGCAGACGCATGGCAGCAAAGTTTTAAAGTATTGGGATGCGAGAAATCTCTTTCCCTTATATGGGACATTTCTCTCTCTCTTCGTCTTGGGTAGGTTCTTTAAATTATCTTGCAGTGAGAACCCTATCATGTCATGTATGCTTTGTCCAAGGACAGGTCTTGGTAAGAAAAATGCCTCGTTTCCTCTCCAAAGACTCCTCTGCCATCTGTCAGTTTGGAAATCTCCACATCTTGACCCATGGCAAATTGCTTCTCAGCAGCACTGATGTGGGGCTTGCCTTAGGAGGCACAGGCAGAGGCTGCCAGCTGGCTGAGTGAATGGTCCATTTTAGGGATGAATGAACCAAAATCTCGTCCACTCTCCCCATCTTAACAATTACAGCCAGGCACCCTCCCACTCCTCTGAAGCCACACTTTTCTCTTCATCCCCTCTGTGCTGCTTCCAGTAGGGACTGCAGCATTTGGTGGCAGGAGGTGGCCTCTTCCCTGGGAATGCTGGCCATAGGGTGGGTCTGTGCAGCACCACCTCCTAGGCCCCGTCCCCCCACATCATCTCGGAGGGAGCGGGCTCCTCTGCCTGGCACTGAAGGCCTGCCAGCACCTGATTTCCAGCCTCATCTCCCACAACTCACACTGAGCTGGACACAAGCGGAACTGCCGGCCACTCTCCAAATGTCCTGGGCCTTCCCCCGTCGCTGGCCACCAGGGAGGGCACCACCTCACAGAGGAGCTCAAAACTATGCAAATATGCCCAGATCATCTCAACTCAAACTTGGCAGCTGAAAGTCAATGTGAAAGTTCCAGGCTTTAGTGACATCTCTGCCCTGCCCTTACCCCACCCTGCCTCTGGAGGTGACACAGGTGTGGTGACTGCCCTGCACCCAGTAAGGATGCCTGTCTGGGGCCTCTGGGGCAGGGGTGGGGCAGGACACAAACCCACAAAAATAAATTTCAATGATCACAAAGGTAGGGGTGAAACTAAACGTTTGAAAAAGTATCCTTTGACAAATTTGCCATGTGGTGGGTTGGGTTTTGGAGAATTGGCCTGTAGTCTGAACGCAGGGGAGTCACTCCCCCTCCCACTAGGGACCCACAGGCTGGCAGGAGATGCTCCACAGGCTGCCCCTCCCCCAGCACCCCTGCACGGCTGGTCATGCTGGACCTGATGCCACTGACAGGCCTGTCCCATGTGGGGATGTGAAAGCGGAGACCCAGAGAGGTACTGTGGTACTGTGGACACTAGGGTGGGGGCCCTCTCCTAGGGGCCTCATTTGCTGTGCTGAGTGTGGTTGGGACTTCACAGCCTACCACCCACACGATGGGGGATTGTCAAATGGCTCCAACCAAAAGGTACTCTCCCTAGAGGCTGGTGGCAGCCCTACAAGTCCTGGTCATGTTGTCCGCACCCAGGCCCACATAGAGTGGCTAAGCCCTCGCTAAGGGTGAGCACACCATGACTACACAGCTGGCAGCCCCGAATCCCACTGCCTGAGCCTGAGCACTCCCAGGAGGCCCTCACTGGACATCGTGAGCCCAGCCAGCGCTGGCCAGACAGTTCTGAGCATGCAGAGCACAGAGCCCAGGCGTGGGGGCCCCTGTGGGCAAACCCAGGGTACACAGACCACAGCACGCACACCCAACATGGCTGCTGACTATTTTCAAGGTCCTGACCTTGGCAGCTTCTACAGACGGATTAGGAAGTTGTGGGCAGAACGGCTTTGTGCTGTCCTGAAACAACACTCTGGTTTAATGAGCTCCTTGTACACGCAGGGCAATTGTCAGTGAAATCTGCCCATTAAAATGCATGTGGTTTGGAAGGAGGCTTGGCCCTCTCCCGGCTGAGGCCGAGGCCCTGCCCGGCTCCTGCCTCTCCACCCTTCCCCAGGGCTGCCGTCCACATGGGCTCGGAAAGAAGGTGGTGAGCCAGGAATGCTGTGGAGCAAATCGCTGCATATCAGCAGAACCTGGGCTTCAGGATGCCTCTGTCCCTCTGTGAGAAGCAGGTGAGGCAGCTGCCTAGCTCTGCAGTCTCTCACTGATTAAGGAGTGGGGGAGTCTGTGGCAGCAGATGGTAAAGGACACTGTCCACTCCTGTCCTCTGCTTGCCTGGTGTCCTGGGAGCCAGGAAAGCTGGATCAGGCCTAGGACTCCCTCTTGGTCAGCCTGCAGCAGACAAAGCAGCCTCTGCTGCCCTGCTCAGAGAGAAGCCTGGGCAGTGGAGGTCCGGAGCAGTGACCACAGCTTCCCCCTTGTGGGCTCCTCACTCAGTGTCCTCAGCTTTGGGAGGGTCCTGACGTTTCTGGATCTCCCCCATGGGAACCAGAAAAGGATGTGCACGTCGCTGCCCCCAGTGCCTTCTAAGAGCACAAAGGTCCCCACAAGTCACACAGGTGGAGGGTCTGGCCTGCCAGTTGGGCAGGGTGGGCTCCTGTGCTGTGTCTCCACACGTGGAGTCTTCCCAATCCCATGTCTCAGGACCACTTTTCCCGGGAGGAGGAACGGTAGTAGGAAAAACTGGGTGATGATTCAACAGGTTCTGGGGATAGGGGAAGAAAAGGGAGGAGATGGGGTCTGGGAGGAGGAGGTGCAGGATTCTGGTAGGGGGTGGTGAGGAGGCGGGCACAGGACAGGCCCAACACCTGCCATCTGAAAGCTGCAGACTGTGTTTGCATGGGGCTGTGAGGGCCTGTCCCTGAGCCCTGGCTTAGGAGGGCCCCAGGACCCATGAGAGGGCCTGGGGCTGGGGTTAAACAGGCAGGGGCAGTAATGACAACCTGTTCTTCACAAAGCACGCTCATATCCACAGCCGCATAAGCCCCACAGGGAGGCCGGGTGAGGAACATCTGCCCATCACACAGATGAAGAGGCTGAGGCTGAATGAGGTGAAGCAATTTGCCCCAGGTCTCAAGTGGATCCTCTCCCCTGATGCCCAGGCTGGTCAGAGCAAGGGAAGCACCATGGCCATAGTGCTCCTGGGGTGCCCTTGCTAAAGGGGGGACTTGGTGTTGCTCTCCTGCCAGTGGATACCTGAGTCCATCACTGAAGATGTGTTTCAGAAACTGAGACACACCTGGGAAGGAACTGCCTGCCATGCTGTCAGTCATTAACACACAGGCAGAAGAGACTGCTAGATAGGTTCCAAGTGGGGGAGGTGTGATTTGCTTGGGGCAGAGGTCAGGGTCCAGAGAACAGGAAGAAGGTCATGAGACATAGGAGGCAAACCCTCCTGACCTCCACATTTCACTGGCTTGGCTGGGGCAAGAAGGGCTGCATTTAGAAGGCACGTGAGCTACACATTCAGGCTCAGCAGAAATGAACAGTATCATTGAGGAGCTGTGTCTGCCACTGACTCTGGAGGAATTTGCTTTCAATAGCATTAGCCATTTAACTGAAATTTTACCTTAAAAAAATGCCAAAACTAATGGGCTCAAATAAAATGTTAGCTATTATGTAGTAGTTTCTGAAAAATCCAGCTGGTCACAACTCAAGCTTTAAAGGGAGTTCACTTGGAAAATCAAGGAGCCAGAGACATCAGGTAATCAGAACAGAACTGATAAACCCACTCAACAGGCTTTAGCATGAGCACTGTCTTCACCAAGAGCGGAGGCTAGATTCCCCTTCCTGGGAGCTTCATCTATTGTCGCCCAAGCTCCCAGGTCATCAGTTTACAGCACAGAACACTTTGGGTCCGGTCAACTTTGGTCTGTGCCTTCCCACACCACATGATGGAGAATTCTATGCTGACTCCCAGGGCTCCAATTCCTCCCTGGCCTGTGTGCTGTCCCCTACTTTGAGTGAGACAAGTCACTACCCCCCTACATGGGTGTTGTTTGAAAGGCTGGGCTAATGCACATTTGAGTTCCTGGGTGACTGAGGAGTCCTGGGGAGTTCTGAGGACTTTGCAGGTCAAATGGGAGGTGGTGGAGGCCCGGCTCATTTGTCTTGGTAGCCCGGCTTCTGCAGGAGCATGGTCCAAGTGCAAACCTCACCTGCCTTCCTGCTCATCCTGAGACAGGGAGGAGGGAGTGAGCTGTTTCATTTTTTTTCCTAACTTTGGAAACCATAAAACATGGAGACAAGAGCCAGTCACTTTTGGAAGAGTTGTCAGGAAGCCTCTAGTGAAGGTATCCGATGGTATACTTGCACAGATGTGCAAAGATATCTGTGACCAACGACGCCAATTGCAGTATTATCTAGTGAAAAACTAAGAACAACCTGAATATCCATCATCAGGGGATTGGTTATTATGTTTTGGTTTCAAATAGAATTTGAAAGAGCCAGGCAGGCTGGGCGCGGTGGCTCGTGCCTGTAATCCCAGTATTTTGGGAGGCCGAGGTGGGTAGATCACCAGGTCAGGAGATCGAGACCATCCTGGCTAACACGGTGAAACCCCATCTCTACTAAAAATACAAAAAAATTAGCCGGGCATGGTGGCGGGCGCCTGTAGTCCCAGCTACTCGGGAGGCTGAGGTAGGAGAATGGCGTGAACCCGGGAGGCGGAGCTTGCAGTGAGCTGAGATCGTGCCACTGCACCACTCCAGCCTGGGCGATGGAGCGAGACTCCATCTCAAAAAAAAAAAAAAAAAAAAAGAAAGAGCCAGGCAAATCTATTTGTACTGACCTGAAATGGTTTTAAATGAGAAAAGCAAGTTGCAAAACAATGTGTGGAGTCTGATCCCAGGTCACAAAAATACCTGTGTGGTGTTTGTACATGCAGGAGAGAAAGCCTGTGTGGGTCCAAGCAAATTGCCAGTGGAATTTATCCATGAGGCGTGAGACGGGGGATAAGAGAGCAGTGGGATTTGGGAGGGGTTATCTTTCAACTTCTTATGTGCAGTAGTGTACAATTAGCATGTATTACTTTGAACAAAATATATTCCAGAAGAAAGGAAAGAAAACCGAGGAACATCCGTGTCTCAGGGTCTAACGATGGCCACATACAGGCAGCTGGACTTGAAGGATATGTTCTTAGGAACTCATGCTCACTTGGGTTCTGGAGTTTTTCAATCAGCCCAATGCTCTGGCCCAAGCCCTCACTAGAGATGGTCCTTTGTCTGGTCCTTTGTCTGCTCCATGTAAGGGGTGCTGGACCTGTTAATCCTGTTTGCCTTTGAGCTCACTTTGGTTGGGGTCTGGAAAGTTCTACCAGTCCCATCAGTGTGTCTCTCTCATCTTACATGCTGACTGCAGACTTCACTGCAGCTCGGACCCTTATGAATATGGGTTTGGTGAACACTGTGCTTGTAAAGCTTAGAGAGGAGGTCTCAAATTTGACGGCATCTGTTGCTGCCTATCCAGTTCCGATGGAAGCCTCCATGCCCACGCACCTGCTCTGCTTCTCTCTCTCTCCTTTCCTCTCAAGTTTCTTTAATTCAGATCAACCTTCCCTGGTAGCCCCTAACTCAATAAAGTACGTGTGCCTAACATGGCCCTTCCTGCAGGGTTCCACTTCATTATCTCCATAATCAAACCTGGGGCTGCATAAGAAGAGCACAACCACTCTCCAAGTGATTTAACAGGATGCTTTAATGATGTATTGAGAATGAACATTGATCCCAGGTAAGAGGTGCTAAACTGATACTTTAAAAGCACACCACCCATTTCGCTCTGATGGACTCTCCTCCTTAAATCACCGTGTTGTCATTTTTACGATGCAGATCTAGCTATTGAGGCTACAGGACTGTGAAATGTCATATAAAAAAGCCAATAAGAAAAAAATAAAATTAAGTTGCGGAGAGCGTGTATTAGCATTTCAAAAATGTTCTGTTGCATTATGCTATTATTCTCTCTCTGTCAAGGGGCACTGGGATCCTTTCCTCCCCATAAAGAGACTGTGCCACAGAATGTATTAGCGCTCCGTTCCTGAAACGGCGTGGCAGCTGAAGGGCATAGTTACAATAATGGCAAAATACATTCCGGACTAAATTTGATAGGACGTGGGGGCAGTCCGCCTCCTCTGATGACAAAGTCCTGATTGCTTCTCTCCTTGTTGGCTCAGTCCTGTGGCTTTCAAAGTTTTGACAAATGAATGTTTTCAGCATTTCTGCCCTGCAAGAAAGTGAGGAATGAGATCTGCTGAGGTGAGGGTCTGACTCTTGCATTTCAGATGACAATGCGGGGACTGGGATTTTGTAAAGGGCAGGTCACCCCTACTCTATGCTCTCCTGCCCCATAGCTTGTATGATAACCCCCACATTATCCAAAGCCCAGAACTACTCCAATTGCTGGGTCTAGGGTTGCATAGTCATAATCCGCTGTGCCATCTGGAAAGGACGAGTTTAATAACTCACAATGGGCCTCAGTCTTCAGGACTGGAAGCCTTTGAAAAACTTTACCTCCATCCTTGGAACTCAAACACTTGGCTCTCTGAGGTTCCATTGTAAGTTGGAGTTCAGTTAGAGCTACTTCCTGAGCTCTGCTTCCAGGCCTGAGTTGGGCCAGATGGAGGGAAGTGGCTGCAGCAGGAAGAGGCTCTGCTTGCCCGTCTTGAAGGGCCCTCTCAGTCTCCTGGGTAACTGTGGGAATGTGATTCCTTTCGATGGCTCTTAATTTGCCCAATTGGGGAAGATGAATCTAGTGCCCCTGGTAGGTGATTACATTAAGCCATTGAGACAATTGTAGTGCTTTATCTGGGACTTTTCAGAAAGCTGACTTGTTCTTTAGGAGCCATCGGCTTAATGGAATTCCACTGTGTTATTTTCCAGTGTGATGTGCTGCAAGATGGGTTTGATCAGCACTTTGGTTTGGGGAATATATTTTCATTTGAGAAGATGCCTCTGCTGGGCTTCTTGTGGCATTGGTTTTGGAAGCACAGATTCTCAGCCCAGCCGAGGGAAGGCCACGACACATACAGGGTGTGGAGAGCACAGACCTGCTTTAAACTTCTTGCCAGGAGTGGCTAGCCTTTCCTGCCCCCCACCGCCCCAGCATCAAGCCCAGCTAGTGAGATTCTGTTCTGAATTGAATTTTAGCCTTAATGAGATACCAAGTCCCTTCTGTTCTCAGTAACAGAGACCTTGAGAGTTTTTATTAGAGAGTGAGTGAGACAAAACTTTTCACTGTTTTTCATGTTCCTAATAACAGCCTAAGTCGTAACCTGAATTTTTATGTAACTAATTATGACTGTGACTTGGGTATGAAAGATTTATACAATCAGAAAAGAAATTACCTGGGTTATCTCTGAGCAGGCGGGGGATGAACTGCATAAGGAAGTTAATCAGTTTTCTAGGTCATACAAAAGGCACCTGCACGGTGCTGGGTGGCATGGCCAGTGGCAGAGGGAGGGAGGGATGCAGGGGATGCCCTCCTGGGACCTCAACAGAGCTGCTTTTCCTCCTCCACCCTGAAGAGCAGCCAGCTTTGACCGGGGGGCTTTGGAATCGACACTTTCTCCCAACATGACTTTCTCACCCCCAGCTTCCTAAGAGCGACTCATGGTACGCAACAGTTCCAGGGAAATTAAAACACAGTGAGGTGAGTGGCTTAATGGGAAACAGGAGACATCCCAACAAGGGGAATGTACCAGGAATGTCAATTCCTACAATCAGAAAGGAAGCCAGAATTCTATTAATTTTTGCACCTTAAAGTTTCATTTCAGTTAAAAACAGGGACTGAAAATTAATGACACGGCCATTTCTTGAAGCCAACAACCAAAGGAATGAGTGTTTGCCAAGAAGCAATAGCTCTTGTAACACTTACACTCACTGCATTCTTAACGCATTGTTTGTCTGTGGAAAAAGCAGTTTGCCCAGCGTGGTGGTAAGGAGGGCATGATGGAAAGCCGGCGTGGAGGGAGAGAGGAGGCACGCGCGTGCAGCGCCGTGACGTGCATTTAGTTACACGACGGCTTCTGGAGGCCCACAACTGATTAATATACACGGGCTTGTTCATTTACTCAGCATTATGTTTAATCATTTAATTTCGCAAGAGTTTTTAGATCTTTTAATCATCCTAATATTCTTCTTATTGCAACATATTACTAAGCTGTTAGTTCAGTTCAATTAAAAAGTGTCATCCAAAAGTAATTTATTCCATATGCGTCATTAAGTGGATACCCCAGATATGTCTGCATTTTAAAGGAATAATAACTCTTCCGATTTTATTAGTCTGTAAATGAGTGCGCTGCATTAGCACTAAAGGCAGCATCGCGAGTGGTGAATGTTTGTAGGCATTGATGTGGCAACAGATCTATAACTGTTTCTCTGGATTTTGTACTAAAACTCAGAAGAGAAGATGAAAACTTGGGCCATCTGTTAGGACTTGTAATTCTCAGGTGGCCCCTGAAACCCAGTTTGACTTTCTGATGCTGATAATATTTGTCATAGAACAGCCCTTCAGTTCCCCTTCTGGGAGCTTCTTGCCAGGGTTTGCCATCCCCTGCAGGAGCAGGACGGATTGGGCCATCAAGGGCCAGAGTTGCATGTGCTGGGGGCCAGCGCTGGGCATAGGGAGAGGTTAGTCCCTTGTCACAGTTCTGACCTTCCTGGTTGACTCTTGTGATATTTCCTCTGTTCTCTCCAGGGAAGTGCTGTCCAATGGTATGGCAATGCAAGCCACATATCTGATTTACATTTCTTGTAGCCAAGTAAAAAGAAGAAACAGCTGATAGTAATTTAATAATATCTAAACTACTCTTTTAACATAAAATCAATGTAAAAATTAGTTAATGAGATATTTACCTTCTTTTTCCACAGAAGGCTTTAAAATCTAATGTGTATTTTATACTTACATCTCAATTTGGACTAGCCTAATTTCAGGTGCTCAGCAGCCACACATACCTAGGACTTGTAACATAGCCATGTTGGAGACTTAGCTCTAGAGTCCTCCAGCCTGGGGCCCTGTGTGGCCTGTGGCTGTGGCTTACCTGGGCCTGTGGCTCCTCTTAATGGAGGAGGGAGCTACTTGGGGTCAGGGTTACCTGGGGGATCTTACTGAAGAAGTTGGCAGCCCTGTTCTTCGAGCTTCTCCCAAGGGGTGCAGAACAGTGGATACTGGCTACTGATGACCTCTGAGGCTTGACTTACCCTGAGGTTTCAGGAACCCAGCAGGCCCCAGGCTGGTGGAAAGAAACAGCTGCAAAGATGCTTGTGACCACGTATCTGTGTTCACAGGCCTTTGCGTAGCTGAAGGGAAACCTACGTTTGCAGGCAGCGGAAGGAGTAACCCACTCCAGGGATAACAGGGAGCTCTGCCCAGGGAGGGTCCATATCCGCCTCTCACTCCACCGTCCTTCCCCCAAGCATGAGTCAGGGCATGCAGGAGGTGCTGACACACAGCGGAGTTCCCTTCTGTGCCTCCAGCAGGAGACTAGCCTGATTACTGAGCTCAGAGAGTCAGCTTGGTCCTTAGCCTGCTGCATCCCACAAGGAAAGATTTACTCTCCTTGGGGAACAAAGTCTTCCATGATGAGACACTTAGGATATTAATGCCTGCACTTTGAGGCCCAAGTGTTCATTTTTCTTTGGCAAACTCTCAACATGGCCAGGGCGGTGGCTGGGGCTGATGGAGTTGCTTGCAGAGATGTCCTCTGGGCAGGCAGGGATGTTATTTAATACTTGAGTCTGGTGACAGCAGCCAAAGGTGGTTCCCATTTCCTGAACTTTAAGCAGTTAATCCCCTCAGCCTGTGTCCTATTTGGGCCAGCAGAAGAGCCTTGAGAAGTGAGGGACAAATAGAGAGACCTTGCAAAATCTTAATGCCCTTCTCTACTTTTGCAAAATGCTGTGCTTATTAATATCTCATTCTCAGAAAAAGGGCAATCTGTGCTTTTTTTTTTTTTTTTAGGAGAACAGCAATAAAAAAGGAAAATTAAATTAGCAACTCTGTCTGAGCTTCTCATCCATTCAAGTGTCTTCAACTTCATAACCTGTTAACTTACTTAAACTCTGGCCACCTATTTAAGAGGTTTCAAGAAGACAGCAGTATTCTGCCTGACCCCATTGGAATGTCAGCCTAAGAGACACAGGTCTGAAGCCTAGGGGCTGGTCCCGAGTGAGAGGGCTTTGGTGGGGTGGTGTGCTCAGACCGCCCACGTGACCCAGAAAGCTAATCCTTCCGTCAACACAGCAGTCCTCGCTCCAAAGCACACACTCAACTCCAAGAATTAGTCAAATACAATTACACACATGAGGTGGCCTCTCCACCCCTATTAAATAATGGGAAGATAAAACTGTCATCAGAGGAAAACATCACAAAGAATCTGTACTTAGTAACCAGGACAAGGTACCAGTAATAGCTGCTAACAGTTATTGGGTGCCAACTGTATACCTGACTTTGTCCTATGCATAGGACCTGCTACATAATTTACAGGGCCTTGTGTAATATAAAAATGCAGTTCCCTTTGTTTAAAAAATTATAAGAATTTAGGCTGGGCACAGTGGCTCATGTCTGTAATCCCAGCACTTTGGGAGGCCGAGGCGGGTGGATCACTTGAGGTTAGGAGTTTGAGACCAGCCTGGCCAACATGGTGAAACCCTGTCTCTACTAAAAATACAAAAAAGTTAGCTGGGCTTGGTGGTGCACGCTTGTAATCACAGCTATTCGGGAGGCTGAGGCAGGAGAATCACTTGAACCCATGAAGTGGAGGTTGCAATGAGCTGAGATTGCACCACTGTACTCCAGCCTCGGTGACGGAGGGAAACTCTGTTATGAAGTTCAAAATGTGGCCAGGCACAGTGGCTCATGCCTATAATCCCAGCACTTTGGGAGGCCGAGACAGGCAGATCATCTGAGGTCAGGAGTTCGAGACCAGCCTGACTAACATGGTGAAACCCTGTCTGTATTAAAAATACAGAAATTAGCCAGGCGTGGTGGCGGGTGCCTGTAGTCCCAGCTACTTGGGAGGCTGAGGCAGAAGAATCGCTTGAACCCGGAAGGCGGTGGTTCCAGGGTGCCGAGATCGTGCCACTGCACTCTAGCCTGGGCAACAAGAGAAAAACTCTGTCTTAAAAAAACAAAAAAAAAAGGAATTTCAAGATGTCGACAGCAGAGCATTAAAGCAAGCATGGGCCCCTTCTGAGTGTGGACCCCTGTGTGACTACACATGTCTCAAGCCAGAAGGCTGCATTGCATCAACTGGTTTAATTCTCGTAACAAAATACATACGAATACCCTCTCCATTTTACAGATGAGCAAAGCAAGGCTTAAAGAGCTAAGGAGACTGTGGGAATGAAGGTTTCGAAGTGGTCTGAATGGAGAAAGAAGCGGTGGGAGAGCTGAGTCATCATGCAGCACACGGCAAGGTAGCAGAAAACCCTGGAGAACAACAGCAGCCTGCCCCAGAGTCAGCCGTGAGCGCTGATTTAGTTTCAGGAAAACAATAACACTTTGTCCCATTAAATTAATGTTGTTAATTTGAAGTTTATTGGTTTTGCAGTTTGCTTTTATTTCATTTATAAATTTGTTTTAGCTTTATGGCTGTGAGAGAGCTCCCTGCATAAGGAACGTGTACCTGGTTTTATGTTTGTACATATTTAAGTAACATTATACTAAATATAACTCAAGTCAACAGAGAGCAATCACAATGTTTCCCCTCTAAGTGGGGTCTGCACCTTCCTTAAGGAGGGAAATACATCTCTTGTCCCCCAGGGTGGAAGCCATAGAGGGTGCTCACAACCCTGTCTTCAGCTGGCTGCCAGCAGGGCTGTCCTGGCTTGCTTGGGGCCTGTGATGCTGGACCCCAGTGGAGAGGGAGGGCACGCGTAGGTGGCTCCTCTGAGCAGGTGGCTGTCTACAGGCTGGGGATGGCAGGGCCCCGGAAGGTCTGTCCCGCCCTGGCCTCCCTCCTGGCTGCTGCCCTACATTCCTTTGTCTTGGCCCAGGGAGCCCTTAGCCTTATGGCAAATTCTTGAAAAGTGTCCCTGACCCAAAGGCAGGGAGGGCCCTGTAGGAACACCCAGGGTCTCAAGGCCATGGTGGGGGAAATAATAATGACCCCTCAAGACTGTGTCCCAAGCTGGCCCTGAATGGGTACCTTGGGGCCAAAGGCCATCCCTCCCCACTCCCCACCATGGTTAAGTGTCTACTCTTATAACAGGAGCATGTTTAAAACCAGGCATCAATATCTTGTTACTCTGTGCATATTCTCCACCAGCAATTTGATGCGAAGAGATAGATTTCTGACAGAGATGCATACCAAAGGCTTGCACAAGAACATTCATAGGACCATTATTTATAATTTTCCCAAACTGGAAACAAGCTGGTACATCAACCCAGGTGGCATATTCTTACAACAGAATATTATCATCAATGAAAAGGAACAAACTCCTGCTATAAATGAAGTGACAATAGGCAAATCTCACAGACATAGTTTGAAGCAAGCAGCCAGGCACACAGAGGTCATTCTGTATGAGTCCGTTGATACAAAGTTCAAACATAGGCAAAATTACTCTGTGATATTAGAAAGACAGGGTAATAGGCTGGGCGCGGTGGCTCACTCCTGTAATTCCAGCACTTTGGGAGGCCAAGGCGGGTGGATCACCTGAGGTCGGGAGTTTGAAATCAGCCTGGCCAACATGGTGAAACCCTGTCTCTACTAAAAATGAAAAAATAAATTAGCTGGGTGTGGCGGTGTGCCCCTGTAATCCCAGCTACTTGGGAGGCTTAGGCAGAATTGCTTGAACCTGAGAGGCAGAGGCTGCAGTGAGCCGAGATTGTGCCATTGCACTCCAGACTGGGCAACAGAGCAAGACTCGGTCTCAAAAAAAAAAAGAAAAGAAAAGTGGGATGATAATTGTGTCAGGTAGGAGGACGGGTATGGGGATTGGGTGCAGGCAGGAAGGAGGGCGTCTGAGGTGCTGGCGGCACTGTATTTCTTATGGGGACAGTGGTTGCACAGCATGCTCTTGTCTGCTTCATTGAGCTGTGCACTTTTCTATGTATGCTGCACTCCACTTACTATCTAAAAAATAACTGAAATATTATCATAGAAAACATAGGGCTAAACAGCAAATAGAATCTTTACAGAGGAAAGAATGTATTGCTATTCCCCATCAGCTTCCTTCTCTCTGCCCCTGGGCAAGTCCTGGGAGGAGCCTGCAGGAAGGCTGGGGCCCTCCTAGACCTGACTTGCCCCTTGGGGTGGCCCCTGATGCTCTGGATAAAGCAGCCTCACGAGTGGGGCTGACTCTGGGGGATCCTGGGGCCCTGGGCTTTCTTCCCCCACCGGCATGATGTAGGAGGAAGCCCTCTTCTGAACTGTTTTTGGGGGTTCATGCCAGGGACACTTGGTGCTGATGTGAAGCAAAAGATAAAGAACAGCCAGTCCGGAGTAGGTGGGGGCCTCATAGCAAAGACGCCACGCGACAAGGGATTTCATCACCCTCTGCCCATTCTTGTGACCAGAGCCGTGTGCTCTTCTGAGCTCAGTCCCGTGGCCTGGAACATGCGGCCCTCACCACAATAGCAGGAGGGTGAGCCTAATTCACAGGTGGGAAAACTAACCCCAGGAACCTTAAAAGATTTGCATGGGTGCCCCCAGGATCACCCCCAGCACATCAGAGGTGACTGGTCTCATGGCCTGTACAAAGGGCTGCTGGGCTGACACAGTGACATTCAGAAGCAGAGAGGTCCCATGACTGGCTGCAAGAACGGCCAGTCTATAGGAGGGCTAGGCATCCTGTCCAGAGGCCTGTCTCCCTAGAGCTCTGGGGTTCCATGTGGCATGTCTGTTTGGAGCAAAGGGGTCTTGTGAAGCCCTGTGTAACTCTCTCAGCTCCCCAGGCCCTCTGCCACACCTCGGCTGCAGTCTTGGCTTGTGTTCCCAAATCCTACTTGTCCTCCAGCCACATGGAGAGCCCTTCCATTTTCAGGAGTCCCAGCTCCCAGCAGGGCTCTGTCTGTGCTGGAACTTTCTTTCCCACGTTCTGTCAGGGCTGATACCAGCGTATGCTTCCTGTTCTCTCAGGAGTTGGGTGTGTCTTAGTGATGACTTTTTCCCTGCAACACAGTCTAAGGGAGCTCAGACCTGGTCTCCTGCCTGTCCCAGAAGGCCATACCAGGTGAGGTGGCATCAGGAAACCTCTTGGCGGACATGAGAGGTGCAAGGAAGACCTCAGTGGAGCACTGGACCCTAGGAGCTGAGCTCAGAGGGACATGTTCCTCCCTAGAGAGGGTTCCAATAGGTCTGCAGGCCACTGCCATCTAGAAAACGCCAGCCGCTTCCTCACAGCTATGCAGGGGCATTTCTTGCTCCAGACCAAGATATTAGGCAGGCATGAGCCCTTCAAGACAATCTGATCCCCTGCTCCTCCCACAGACGAATCAACTAAAGCCCAGATGGCAAGGTAGCCTCAGGTATACAGGGTAGTAACAGCCTTCCTGGGCCTGAGTAGCTGAAGATGTAGCTGCACATGTGTTTTGCCCGCCCTGCACTGGGAGGCCCCAGCAACTTGCCAGCCCTGGCCAGCAGGCTTATACTGTGTGGTTGCAACTCAAATGCTGCTGTGAAGCTGGGGGTTCGTGCAAAAGAATGTCAGTTTCTATAGAGAAGTTCTTTAGAACTGACTGTGTGTTCTCTGTACTCCTAGTGCCCTAGACCAGGGGTTCCCAATCTCTAGGCCGTGGATGGTCCATGGCCTGTTAGGAGCCGGGCTGCACAGCAGGAGGTGAGCGGCGGGCACTGAGTTCTGCCTCCTGTCAGATCAGCAGCAGCGTTAGATTCTCAAAGGAGCACAAACCCTATAGCGAACTGTGCATGTGGGGGATTTAGGTAATGTGCTCCTTATGAGAATCTAATGCCTGATGATCTGAGGCTGAACAGTTTTGTCCGAAACCATCTCTGTTCTGCTCCCCCACTCCCAGTCTGTGGAAAAACGGTCTTCCAGGAAACCAGTCCCTGGTGCCAAAAATGTTTAGGAATGCTGCCTTAGACTGTTGCCAACAGGTGGGGCCCAGGAGCCTGGCAAGGAGATGCAGGCTGAGTCTGGGTTGGCCACGTGCACACATCTCCTAGGATGGTCCAAGGGGAATGTGAGCACGGGGAGGGTGGAAGCCACAGGATCGGAGTGGTCAGGTGGGGTGGAGGGGCCACAGGGCTGGTAGGCCTATGAGACCCACGTCAGGGCATGAGGCAGGGTCATGTGGCAGGGGCATCCTCCTTGGGGCCTATGGTGGGTTGAGTAGTGTCCCCAACCCCTCACCAAATTCATGTCTATTAGAACCTCAGAATGTGACCTGATTGGAAAATAGGATCTTTGCACATATAATTACTTAAGGATCTTGAGATGAAATCATCCTGGATTTACTGTGGGCTTGAATCCGCTTACTGGTGTCCTTATGAGACGAGGAGAAGACATGGGGGACAAAGAAGGAGGCCCTGTGAAGATGGAGGCAGACACTGGAGTTACATTGCTGCAAGCCAAGGAATACCAGGAGCCACCAGAAGTGGAAGAGGCAAGGGCCTGGAGACTTTGAAGGGAGTGTGATCCTGCCAGCACCTTGATTTCTGGCTTCTGGTCTCCTGAGTGGTGAGAGCACACGTTTACGTGGTTTAAAGCCACCATGTGATCATCTCTCATATCAGCCCTAGGAAACCCATGGAAGGTCCTTATTGCACTCAGGGAGCAAATCAACCTCTAGTACCCTCTAGGCCTCAATGTGGCCACCTGCTCTGACCCCTGGCCAATCATTTCATTGCCAACCCCAGCCTCATTACATGGACAGGATTTAGGTGGCAAGTGGCAGGTGGGTATGGGGAGGGGGTGAGGGGAGAGACCTTGAAATGGCAGGTTGCAGGCTCAGTTGGCCCACTCAGACCCTCTGCAGTTAGCACAGAGCTCGCCACCTCAGAGCCCAGGCATAAATATTTGTGAGTTGAGTTATTCCCAGTCAAGACTGATGCCATTTGGGACATGGACTGGGCCAGGGGTGTGCAGATGAGGCATAAAAGTCATCCCCAAGCTGCTCTGAAAACTGCTCTCAAAATGTGGCAGCACCAAGTCCCCAGCCCCAAAGCAGGTCTCCAAGATACTGACCACAACTGGGAGGCTCCCCTCAGCTGCCTGGTCTTGCTCCTGGTGTTTTGCCAGGGCTTAGCAAAGAGCCTGGGAACACACATCCTCCAAAACCAAGGCCCACTCAGAGCCACAGGGTAGCCACTGAACACAGAGTAAAGACCACCCTCCTTCTGTGATGGCCTCCCCTACAGCTTCCCTGGCCCTCCACATTCCAGCCACGCTGGCCTGCCTCCAGCCCTTGATTACAGCAAGCGCCTCCCTGTCTCCAGGTCTCCTGGACATCTGGCTAGTTCCTCTCACCTCCCTGTCTCTTCCTTTACATTATCCCTCAGACAGGTGCCCTACCCATAACTACCCTATCTAGAGTAGACTGCCGCTGTTTTCCTATCTTTCTCCCTAGAACTGTAAGTTCTCCAAGGGCAGGAACCACATCTGGCTTTGCTTACCATTAAATGCCAGCAGCCTGCCCAGTGCCCCACACATGGAACGTGCTGGGTAAACAGTTGGTGGGTGAGCAGTGAGCCTGCACACCGGTCCCTGTGTCTGGGACACCCCCTGGAGTTGCTTTTGTCCTGCCCCTTCCACCAGCCCAACCTCCTTGGAGCCCTGAGCCAGCTGGTTCTCTCCTTTAGCTCAAATCCTGGGCCTGGTATTTGTGATCTGCATTAATGGCCTTGAGGGACACTTCAAGGTCTTGAGTCCAGAGACCTCAGAAGGTCCCTGCTGACTGTTGCCTGAAACCCTTTTCCTAGGAAAATATCTCTGAAATAGGTGGGACTTAGGAGGCAGATAATAACAGTAATAAAATCTGACATTCCCTGAGCACCCTGCCTCGCACTCTGCTAAGCCCTTTACACACATTTTCTCCTTGAACCCTCAGAACAATGTTTCTGTACAATTACTTCCATTGTACAGATGAGAAAACTGAGACTCAGAGAGGTAAATCTGCCCAGCTCTGCAGGATTCCCAAGCTGAGCTCCCTAAAAGCTGCTGCAGTCCTGGGCCAGGACTCTTCTATGATTTGGGCTGAATAGCTGGAACCAGAGAATAAAAGTGGAAGGCTGTGATGGACAAGCAGACGGAAGGGGAGTGGCCAGGGAGGGGTTTTCTTTTCTCCTGAGCTACCAGTTGAGGGTCTGCACTGGCAAGGCCCCCTGTTCTGGACTAGGGCAGTCCCAGCCCCCAGGACATGAAGAGGGGATATAGATTTTGGAGGATTTGGCTTTTCCAGGGCATGGGTTGGGTCTCAAAGGAGCAGGTCATGGGGTTTGGGTCAGGACTTCTGGGGAGTGTGGTGGCTGAAATTTCACTAGATGAGTTGTTGACAAACCTGGGTCTGAAATCCAAGGTTCTAGGCTCCCAGACTAGAGACCAGGCCAGAGCCTGGCCTATCAGGTGGGTGGAACTGGTCAGGAATCTGAGCACCTATGTTTTCCCCGAAGCATGAATTCATAGAGCACTCATGATGTGCCAAGCCCCATGTAAGCTCTTGGGAATGGCGGATGAGTGAGTCCAGGGGAGGCAGATGAGAAGAGACATGGGAAATGCTTGGTGGGCATCTGTGGTGTCCTTAAGGCCTCTCTGAGCAGGGGACACTTGAACTGAGTCTTAAAGGAGTTTGCCCAGAAGATGGGAAGGTAGGGCCTGAGGAGGGGCTTCCAAGCAGAGGAAACAGTATGTGCCCTTCTGTGGGCACACATGAACACGGCCAGGAGCACCAAACCACATGCTCAGGCAGTGGTAGAAATTCCTGAAACACTGGGGCCCCAGAGGAGTCTTCCTGGTAGATCCTTGCATGTTCCAGGGTAGGAAATCTGTGGCCATTTGGGGGAGAAGCCACCAGTTCTGGTTTCTGGCCAGCTCACAGTTGCATTGTTGAGTTCCAATTAACATTCACGGAATAATTGAAATATGTAATTGGAAAACTCAAAATGCATTTTAATCCCATTAGCAGCAGGATCATTTCTCCCATACGATTCTTCTTGGGGGTGAGCTGGAGGTGCAGCAGTGGCTCCTGTGGGTGGGAGCAGAGGTCTTCCGTTCTGGGAATGACAGCCATCCCCTCTTCGTGCCCTGGGGGCTGGGACTGCTCTGGTGTACCCTGAACAGAGACCTGAGTTGCTTCACCAGTGAGTGAAGCCTGCTGACTCCATCTGGTCAATGGGAACTGCCCTGAACCCTCACCTGGGCTCAGCCCCATTGAACCAGGGGTTTGTCACCCTTGCCCTAGTTGTCTGAGGCCCTGAACTACCGCTCTGAAAGGGTCTGTACTGACCTTGTTACCACAAAGAGCAGAAGCCCCTTTCCCAGGAAGACAACTTTCTCTAAACAAATACTACAGTCTTGCAATGCTCATCTGACACTTGTCTCTTTCCAAAGAGATAGCCATTAACACTTGTTAAGTTCTGAGAAATGATTTGGGAGCAGAGGGGCATGGAATGTCTGTTAGCACAAGGTTGGGGCCCTGGGCTGGAGGAGATGTACCCCACCAAAGTAAACATGCCATTGTTTTCTCACCAGGCACAAGGGAAACCTGCTGCTCACCTCTGAGAGCTGCTCATTGGTGACAGAGATTTTCAAGAGTGGTGGTGGAGAAACTGGGTGTCCTGAACCGTTTGCATCCTAAAGGTGTGCTGCGCTTCCTGGGGTCCTCTGGGCCTTTAAGCCTAGCGTGTGTGTGTGTGTGTGTGTGTGTCTGTGTGTGTGTGTGTGGCAGTGTTCTCCAAGGCTCTAACGGGGCCATGCCGTGCCTTGAGACTCCATCTGGTGGGGCTGGCCCTTGTCCAAATGGTGGACAGTGACCTGGGCCCTGTCTTGGAAAGATGTGTCCATTGGCAAGTGACAAAGAAAGCAATACAAGAGACACAGCTGGTGAGGAGTCTATTACATGGTCCAGATCCAGGGGGACAGTCTGCTTTCCACTTCTCTCTCTCACCTTCTTGTTCATCCCAAATAATGCCAGACACATGGTGGCATTCCTTCCTATACAGACCTGGGGCAGCAGATCCCCAGGGGTAAGGAAATTCTAGTGCTGCTTGGGGTAGAATTGAGAGCAGGCCCTGGAGATGTTTGACCATAAGGTGCATTTGCCAGGGGCAGTGGCTCATAGAAACCATTATGAGGAATTGGACAGTGGGCTGTTGGCTCACAGCACTGCATGGGTGTAGGGCAATATATTGGTCTGTTCTCACACTGCTATAAAAAACTACCTGAGACTGGGTTATTGATGAAGAACAGAGATTTAGTTGATTCACAGTTCCTCAGGCTGTACAGGAAGCATGGCTGGGAGGCCTCAGGAAACTTACAATCATGGCAGAAGGCAGAGGGGAAGCAAGCATGTCTTAATATGGCAGAGCAGGAGAGAAAGAGCAAAGGCGGAAGTGCTACACACTTTGAAAACATCAGATCTTGTGGAAACTCACTATCATGAGAGTGGCAAGGGGGAAATTTGATCCCATGATCCAATCACCTCCCATCAGGTCCCTCCCCCAGCATTGAGAATTACAATTCAACATGAGATTTGGGTGGGGACATGGAACCAAACCATATCAGGCAAAGACCAGGAGACACATGTAGAAGGCAAGATGTTATCTCCACAGATGTGGGAGGGGGCTGCCCAGCACTGTCCCTTCTCTCACGCTGATCCAGCCCCAACCTCAGAGAGACCATCTGCAAATTTGGAACTCCAAGCACATCATAAGGAGCAATTCTCACAAGTCCATGCTCCCAGGTCAGACTGCTGCTAATCAAAGTGTTGCTTCCTCTAATTAGAGTGAGTCAAGTCATTAAAAACACTATCCTTCAATTGTTGGAGTGTGACATTTCTTCTTGATCCTAAGACAGATGCCCCTCAGGGCAGAAGTGGGACTGGAGGGAGGGGAAGGAGTGGGCAGAGGGCAGCAGTAGTTTTGCTGCTGACGCCCTGCTGATGTGAGCAGTGCCTGCCCGGGCAGTCTCCTCCCTCTACATCCTTGCCATTATCCTCTTCCTCTTCCCACTCAACCTGTGCAGACACAGCCCCTGGCATGTGCTGCTCTGGAACCACTCCTTGGACTCTGCCTTGGACACTCGCTCTTTTTCTTAAGTCCTTGGGCAACCCTCCTGGAGAAGATTCAGGCATCCAAGATTTGGATGAACCCCCACAGGCCAGTCTTCTTGGCATTCTCTACTTTGAAATGATTATAAACTGTCTCAAGTTGGAGAGGATGCTCGGTGTCAGATGCTGGAGGATATCTGACATGGTCCTTGCCTTCCTTAACATATTAGCTTTTTGCTTGGAGGAAGTCCTGGGGTAGGGTAGGGGAGTAAACAGACCCACGGGAAGAGACAGGCTGAGTAGGGTGTCAGGGTGCTGTGAAAGGACTGGCTAGGGCACGAGACCTAACGAGCAGGCAGAGGTGCTCAGACTTGGTGAGGTGGGAAATAGGGAGCCAGCGAAGGCTCTGGAGTAAGTGGGCACAAGATGATAGGTGATGCTATGGAAGCCCCACTGGGCGGCCCTGAGAGTGGTCAAAACATGGCATTGAGTCAATAGGCACACCCTTGGTGTTGCCCCTTCTATGCCTGGCTAGTTCATGAGGGAACAGGGAGATTTGCACAAAGTTTATTTGTCTTCTGATTATAAATGGGCAGGGCACTGTTTGAAAGAAGAGAGAGAAGTCAAGAAATATTTGTAAACAATGAGAAGAGAAGCGAGAAGACAAATGGAAATCTTGATGGAGGTGGCACTGCTAAAATCTTGTAATAGTAATAATATTTCAGCTTTGACCAGTGTCCTGGCAGAATGAGGGGAACACATACAGCTCAAGTGAGGTTCAGTCAGGTGCCAGCTGGCTGGGACCCTAGCCTTTCCCTGAAGGCTGCCTCTGGTACCAAAGGTTCTCTCTGACTTGGGCAGGAAAGGTGCCCCATTCCCTTGGCCCTAAAATATTACCCTCAGAACTGCCATGGAGTAGGATCTGAATTCTCACATTTTCCTCTTAACAGTTCCAAAGGAATGATTTCCCTGTTTCCTCCAAGGCCAAGGGCATGTCCTGCCACCACAAGGAGCCTCCCTCACTCATCTCACGTGATCTTCCTCTGTGAGGAAGTCACACAAAGCTCCCAGCTGTGGAGTCAGTCAGTCACACAAAACTCCCTGGCGAGTCAGTCTCTGAGGATCACTCAGACTATGAGGTCCAATGGCTCCTTCGCTGCCCCAGCTGCACCCAGCTCAGCACCACCTGGCCCGGTTTGGTGATTCACTTTCCATAAACCTCAGGATGGGCCTGCAGGCTAGGCCACGCCCAGGCATAGACTTTGCCAAGACCTGTCCACTGGGCTGTCAGCACTCTCAGGGTTGACCACTTGCCCAGAGCACGAAGTCCTAGGAAGGGAGCTGGATCGGTGGCCCCACCTGCCAGGGCACCAATAACTAAGCTCTGTGCCAAGCCCTGTCCTGGGTGCCTGAGCACAGCAGAATCTGACCTGCCCTGTGTCCATGGCACTTGCAACCTAGGTGTGTGTGTGACATGGTCACGACACAAGGCTGACCTCTAAGCATCCCTGGGTGTGATGTTGTGCAGTGCTTAGGAGCCTGGGTTCTAATCCCAACTCCACCATTTACTGACTATGCAACCTTGGGCAAATTTCTTAACCTCTCTGGACCTCAGTTTCCTCTTCTTTAAAATGGGACTCAGAATCTGCCTCATAGACTTTTAGTGAGGACTGAATATGTGAAAAGTATTTAGCATGTATCAGGCACACGGTTAACACTTGCTAGGTACTAACAGAGAGGGACAACGGACCTTAGAGCTTTGGAGGCCCTACCCAGATCTCCACATTCAGGCATGTAAAAACACTTGCAATGAGACCTAACTTTTTCTGAAGAGATCTTGTTTCTGTGGAGCACGTTTTTGATGTACATCCACCCGCTACAAGTTAATCGCCTCTTCAATCTTGACAAAAACCTTTCTTCTCACCCATAGGCTATGGTTCAAAAGGCTTAAAAAGTCAACTCATGACCCCTGTGGCTCTCTGGAGCCCATGGATGTTGCCCCAGCTGGAGGCCACATCATCACATTGGGGACCCTCCACTATGCATCTGAAGCAAGGTAGGACTGCAGGCAGGGGACTTAGGGAGGGCTTCCTGGAGGAGGTGGCATCTGAGCTGGCCCACAGTGGACTGCAAGGATCCTAACAAGCAGATCAGCCTTCTTTGCTGCTTTTTGGAAACAATTTTGTTTCTCTCTGTTTTTACTTTAAGTGTCTGTGAGCGTCTGGAAGTTTTAAGACACACTGATCGCCTCAATGCTGCCCTCAGACCACATCTCTCCATGGGGCTTGAATGGAGAATTTTCAATCCCATAAAAAGAAAACCTAATTTGAGAAGTACTGATTGTAAATATCATTCTGTCTCTCTTACTTAAAAACAAACCCTTGACTCTAGGCAGCCCCTGCATTGCCTGGTTGCATTCCCATCTTTATGTTCACAAGTCCAAATACCAGTGCTTTTCAGGCAGAAATCCTCTGCTTTCAGTGTGTTAAAGCTTTGTAGGTTGGCCGGACGCGGTGGCTCACGCCTGTAATTCCAGCACTTTGGGAGGCTGAGGCGGGTGGATCACAAGGTCAGGAGATCGAGACCATCCTGGCTAACATGGTGAAACTCCGTCTCTACTAAAAATACAAAAAATTAGCCAGGTGTGGTGGCGGGCGCCTGTAGTCCCAGCTACTCGGGAGGCTGAGGCAGGAGAATGGCATGAACCCAGGAGGTGGGGCTTGCAGTGAGCTGAGATCGCACCACTGCACTCCAGCCTGGGTGACAGAGCGAGACTCCATCTCAAAAAAAAAAAAAAAAATGCTTTGTAGGTGACTATTCTACCGAGGAGGTGAACACTATTGCTGGGAGTCTGTGAATGACAGCTGCATGCACATCTCTTAAATCAGCAGTGGCTCAGGATGCTACCTGGGTGCTGGCCTATGATGGAGGCCGCAGTTGGGTCATTTCATTTCCTAAGATGCAGGCATAGGCATCCCAACCAGCTCAGCCCTGGATCTGCTTCTCCCCTGCCCAGAGCTTTGGATGGCTGTTCTTGGCCTCTCATTCCAGGCCTCTATAGTCTGACTGACCTGACACTGTGGTCCCCACTGCCTCCTGCTGCCCGCACTCTGCTCTAGGATGACAGCAGTGCCGTTTCTTGAATGTATTCTGTGTCCTCCAGCCTCAGTGTCTTTCTTTGCTCCCACTGTTCTTCCTGCCCTTTACTCCAATCACACACATCCTTCTGGATGCCATTCAAATGCCAAACACCACCTCCTCCAGGGAGCCTGCCTTCCATGACTGCCACATCACAAGCACTCTGCATCTCTCCCTCATGCCTTATCCCCAATCTCCTGCCTCAGGAAAGCAGAGAAAGGCTGTTTGTTTTGGACTTGGACTTGCCTGGATTTAATCCCAGCTGTGCTATTGCCCAACCTCAGTCATCTCATCTGTAAACTGGGGTTACTAATAGTACCTGTTTGAGGACTGAACTACATATAATATAAATGATTTAACGTAGTGCCTGGCACAAAGTAATGCCTCAGTAAAGAACAATTATTATTTTAAAAAATGATTAATGTATTTTGAGTATTCCAGCCCCACCTCTTACTAACTAGGTAGCCCTGGGAGTGAGTGACTTAACCTTTCTGAGGGTGGGGCTTTGCGGACTCTGCAGGCCTTAGATGAGAGTTTTGGAGACAGGCTGCAGGGGCCCTGTAGTAGAGGCCCCTCTGTCCCGGGGGTCCCCCATGGTGGGACAGGGAGCCCCAGGCACCCTCAGCAGCACAGCCAGGGAGAGGCTGCTGCCTGCCCCTCCCAGGCCTGTCTGGGTCTGCCCAGGCCCCACTCCTGGCCCGCTCACTGAATTGAACTGTTTGGAGCGATGTTGCTGTTCATCTGGAAACAGCTTCATATTCAGTACCCACAAGACCAAACACAGACCCTGCCCAGCCACGAGGGGCTCAAAACCTGTCACAGTCACAATGCTCAGAGCCCCCAGCAAGAAACTCATCAAGATGAAGCACCAAGCTTTTAAAGAGCCTCTGCCTGAGCCCCTTGGCCCTGGATGCTGGGACAGAGCCTGCCTAGGGAGAGCCTTTGTGTCCTGGAAAGTGAAGGTAGACCCAAGGCCCCAAGGTGCCTGTGAAAAGGGCTCTGGCCTCGCTTGACTGACCTATCCGAGTGGCAGCCCCTGTCAGGACAGCTGGACAGCGCTGGAGGGGGCATCTGGGGACTAAGCATCACTCCATTTTTCTGGGTCGCATGTCCACCTTGAGAATTATTCCTCGGTTACAGGAAAACTGTCTGCTCTCTTTCTACAAAGACTGAGGTGAGGGTCTGTCAGAGGCTGCTCTCCATACCCTAGAGGTGGTGCTGTGCCATCCTCCCGTCTCTGCAGCCTGGGCTCAGAGGCACAGCCTGGCCTGGAGGAGGCCCTTGGGCAAGGGAGCTCCACAGAGTGTATGCCCCTCTTTCATGCAGCATTTCTCAGGAGCAAGGTCAGATCCCAGCTGCCCTTGGGAACTGGGATAACAGTGGGAACCTTGGGGGCTGCGAGGTCTGGAGCCTCAGGGCAAAGCAGGGCAGAGCTGAAAATGAGGTCACAACCCCAACTGCCCCGCTATTGATCTGCCCACCTTTAGCAGGTACTTAATACTGAAGGAATTATATTCTTGAATCCCCACTCCTAATCCTTCTTCTGAGCCTTTCTCTTGCCTTGAAGTAGAGCCCTTTCCTTCTCTATCTGTCCAAATATATCCCACCTTCATTCTTCAAGATCCAGCCTAAGCCCATCTTCTTCCAGGAAGCCCAGATGGTTCCACAGCACCTATCATCCCAACCCTGTGGTTTAACACTTGATATTTACATACCTCCTTCTTGCCTGGGAGCCCCACTTCCCTAGATGGGTCAGGAGCTCCTGAGAGTGGGGCCTTGGCTGCCACTTTCTCCCCTTCCTGAATGAATGACTGCATGTGTCTCCCTTCCCCAGGATCCATGCTGAAGGAAAAGGCCTCTAAGACACAGGGCAGAGGGGCAGGTGTCCTGCTGTGGTAGGCACCTGTCTTCCAGCTTGCCCAACTCTGGGACTAGTCCTGCAGCCTGTCCTGGCACAGATGTAGCCCAAAGCCTGACATTCTGCCTCCAGAGCTGCCCAAAGACCAGCACCAAGCCCTTAACTGGTAACACAACCTGATGGTACCATGTCTCAGTGATGGGTGGGGGGACTTATTTCATCTGGCTCAGCCAGGCACAGAGTTGTTTATTTCAACTCTCTTTGGCTGTCAGTTCACTTGACGAGAAACAGAAATGAAGCAATGACTTCTGAAACAAAAAGAATCTTGTCTCAATTGCATTTGTATTCAAATGGGCAAAATAAATTCCAGGGCCTTTCTGAGAGTGTGCCGGGAGTGAGGCCTGCGTGCAAAGTGGGTGCTGATGGCTCTCCATCCCCGAGAGAGTGGCCAAGATCAAGAATTCAGCCTCAGAACAAACCTTCGGCAGCCAATCTGTTAGGCAGCTGCCCAGGTGCAGCACCAGCAGGGTGTGGCCCCTCGCAAAAGCAGCCTGATGATTAATTACTGTGTCTTGCCATCCAGGACTGTGAGGAGGAGAGTGAATAAACAACAGGGAATTTTATGTACCCATGATGAGCAGGAGACAGGTGAGACTGTTTGCTGCTCTAAGTGAACAGAATGTTTGGAGCTGCATCAGAGGGCACTCGCAATGCCTGCACCTCTGCTGATGCCCTCTGCCGCCAGCACTGGGCGAATGAGGAAAATGGAGCTGGGGGCAGAGCTCCTGTGAGGGCCATCGGGGAGTCCTTGAGCCTCTGTGGCATGGAGATAAGGCAAAGCTTCCAGCCTGGGTCTTCCCTCTTCATCTGGCATCCCTGCTTCCCAGCAGGCCAGCAGCCTTGGGGAGGGGTCCCACACGGGCGACTGGGGCCCCAGGGAGTTGTACTTTCCACTGGGTCTGTGGATTATGACATGGCTATCTGAAGCCCCTGAATTTTAGCTCTAGGCATTATGCCTAGGCTGTGTGGTCTCCTAGGATGAGGTAAAGCAGGAACCACAGCAGAGGGTGGCATGTGGCCTCCAACACAGTCCCCGCCCCTGGAGCCCTCTTGGATGGCTCTAAGCACTGCCCTCAGCTCAGTGACCTCAGCACACTTGGGGATGGACAGGCCGGCAGACAGGGGCCCATGGCTCCAGGCCACCTGCCTTTGGCCCGCGGTCCCTCGCCTGCAATGTGGGCTGCTTCTTTTCAACATGACCCCCTGTGGGACCCCACTGAAATGACAATACAGCTGAATGCTGGCCAGCCCGTCAGGGAGGAGATCGAGCCCAGTGAGTCCGCAGTGCTGGGCTTCCCACTCTTGTGCCGCATCTCCCAGCCCCTCAGTCTCCCTAGAGCCTCCGTCTCCGACTCCCCACCCATCTCCTGAGCCTGCGCTCAAGGTCACGTGCAGCTCTCAAAGACTCAACCGCCCACTTGGAAGCACTTAACAATCCGATTACAAAAGAAGTACAATGGGAAGGGGGAAAGTATGTTGGTGAGACAGGAGACACAGGAGGGGAGGGGAGTTTGGGGGAAGAGCGGGCCGTTGAGTCACACTAAGTGTGTGGTGCCTCTAAGTAATGACCCTTGGACCTCTTGGTCCCCTTGGACCTTAGGGACTTCTGAAGACCTGGTGCTGGAAACCTCATGTCTGGAGGCGTGGGTGGGACAAGACCCTCCCCAGGGCAGAGTAAATTGAGGGGAGCAGCGCACCTGAGTGTCTCAGACAGGCCCTCCATCTGTTTTTGTAAATCAGGTTTTACTGGAACACAGACACATTCATTTGTTTACATTTTATCTACAGCTGCCTCACGTTGCAATGTCAGAGTTCAGTGGCTGTGGTAGACACTGTATGGCTTACAAGGCCTAAGATGCCTACATCCTGGCTCTCTACCAAGAAAGTGTAAGGGGCTGGCAGGGGAAAGGAGCTCACTTTCAAATAAGATGGAGAACAGGTGGCCAAAAAGGTGGAGAGCAAATGAGCGTCTCAAGGAGGGAGAGGTCCGGAGGGCCTGATCTGCAGAGAGGTCAGACTGGATAAAGATAGGAGTGTTCTCTGCCTAAGCCAACCGCAGGGCAAGAGTGACCTGTTGCAGGCCTCAGTTCCTGTACAGGTGTAGGGGAGGTGGGGAGGGTGTGGACGGAGCACAGAGGGAAGCCAGGGGTCAGGATGAAGGCCATGGAGTTGATGAGAAGAGCCAGCCTTTCTGAAGATGCTTGGCTAGTTCAGTGGGAGGGGAGAGGGCTGTGGGCCATAGGGTACATGTTTTAATCAGCAAGCCCTGCGATTTCAGACCTAAGCCTTGAACACTTTTCTAAAATATCAGAGACTGCTTTCCTACCTTGGTTACAACTGTCCAGCAGCTTCCCAGACTTGGCCCTGCCAGGCCTTGAGTCTCCACCCAGCCCATGGAGATGGGCACTGGCAGATGGAGGATCGCAGAGAGAGGGGAGTGGCAGACCAAGGGCAGACCCTTGGGGTCGTGCTGCCCTGGTACTTCCCGAGCCTGGGTCAACTCGCCAGTTCTTTCTCCATCTCTGACCCCTTTTCCACACCAGAATGCAGAAAACAAGTCCACCTTGCCATGCAGCCTTCTCTGACCCGTGGCTCCCAACCCTTCCTCCTGGGGCTGCACTAGCCTCTGGGTTCTCTTTGTGGCACAAGAGCTCAGACCACCAGGCCTGCCTGGAAGGGGCCAAGGGGTGTGAACCATGCCCTTTCCTCCAGGCCCCAGTCCTCCTGCCTCTACATGCTACCTCCCAAGGCTGTGCCTCCCTGCCCCTACCTCGCACAGCTTGAGCACAGTGGCCGCTCCAGGAGGGGTTGAGTCAGCCCACTGGCCTCCTGGGGTGTGCCATCATGATTCATCACAGTGGTGCCACAGCTAGGCCTGAGGCCCACCTGTGAATCAAAAAAAAAAAAAGAAAGTGTGAAGTAGCAAACTCATCATTTGAGACTCTCATGCTTCCTGAGATGAGATGATTCCCATTAAAAAAAACCTTCATTTTCAGAAAATCCATGTTCACAGCTTGCTCTGTAGAGCCTGCCCCCACAAGTTATGATTTATATTTTATTATAAGGTGAAAAGAGACAAAAAAAAAATCCTCACAAGGGAAAAAAAAAAGCCCACTGACTCTTTACAGCAACTCCCAGGGCATTTGATTTAAAGGGACATTGTCATCTTTAATGTTTTCATTCCGAGGAATTAGAGAGCGCCACTGTGATAATTTAGAAGCTCCTGATTTAAGGGGCAGCCTTCGTGGTCTAGCTTCACTGTATTTCCCTTTTTATGATTCCAGAGAGTATTTTCTGAGAGATAACAATGTTGGGTGATATTTCTCCTTCGTCAGGTGGAGGCCTGAGAAGAAAATTAAAAGAGATCCTTTCTTCTCCCCTCTGTGGGGCCAGGCTATGGACTGCGGAGGACCGTCACAGCCACCTCCCGCCACTCCATCTCCACAGGGCCTGACCCTGCCTTCCGGCACCCCCAGAGCTAAGAAGGAGAGGCAGGCGGCCATCTTGGCCCTGTGGCGAACTCTCGGAATGGTCTTCACTGTTCAGCTCCTTCTCTCCCAACCGCCACCCCACGCAAGGGCCACAAGAGCCTCCCAGAATCATCTTTCTTTTTGTGCCCTTTTCTGTTCCCACTTTTGCATCTGTGTTCAGGTCTTCTACAGTCTCTGGAGTTTCCTAGTCCTCACTCTTCCCTGTGGGTGTCTACAGGTCGGTCCTCCTCAAACTGACTTTGACCACACCCTCCATGCTTCCCTGGCTTCCTTGACATGCCCAAACTCTGTGGCCTGCATGTCTTTGGCAGAGAATGCTCTGTGTTCACCTCAACCTGCATCCATTCCCTCCTGTGGACACAGCTGGACTACATTTCCCAGCTCTTCCTGTAGTTGAGGCATCCATATGACTGAGTTCTGGCCAGTGGAATGTGTCAGGAGGGATGGGTGCAAGGGCTTTGCTGGGCTCCAAAACAGCTCCTGCAAGCCTCTCTACTCTCTCCATCCTACTGTATACCGGCCAGATGCAGCATCCAGTAAAGGAATCTGAGGCCCCAGGAGACGGAAGAACCACATCCTGAAGGTGTCCGAGTCCCCATGTCACTGTGTGCACAGAAACTGAACACCAGCCTTGAGCTGTTACAGGAATGGAGAACAAATCTTTGCACTAATAAATATTGCACTAAGCCCCTGAGATTTGGGGGTTGTGTGTGATTGCATTTAGCTCCCTAACACACGCCCTTGCTGTTATCGTTCTAATCCCTCCCTCCTGCATCATTTCTTCTCTTTTATTTGTCCATGGCACGGGACGAGTTGGCCATATTAGATGGTCTGGAGCCTTCCCATCTGTTCTTACGCTTAGGCTGTTGCCTCTGACTGGGATGCCTTTTCCCACTCCCATACCTGCCTGTGAAATCCCATCGTGCCCTCCTTTGTGAAGACTAATAGCATTATTTTGCTTAGCTGTGTTACACCCTCCTCTCAGTTTCCATGGCGTTCTTTTGGCAACCGTCCCACAGCCTTTTGCCTTGTTTTTGCACACGTCTTGTTTTCCCATAGAAGAGTGGACTCCCTGGGGCCAGGGACCAAATCTTACTCATGGTCAACCTGTCTGTGTTGGAAGGTACTCTGTGTGGTGTCCAGGGTGTTAATTTTGGAGGACATCCCCTGATTTGAGTTTCATCTCTACCACCACGTGCAACTTTTTGATGCCTCCGTTCCTCTTCTGTAAAATGGGCATAAAAAGAGACCCTGCCTCAGAGAACCTGCTCTCAGGGAGAAAGGGAAACCCCCGTGCATGCTCCACGTGCCACCCACCGCCCCTCTTTGCTGCAGTCACCTGCTGACTCTGGGTTATGCCCCACCCCATTTCCTGTGTTGTAGCCTATGGCTAACAGCAGTCTCCCTTATATGCCACCTGTGTAAGTGCCAGGTGATTTAAACATCCAAGTTGATTACCTGCCAACTCTCCACCTTACAGGTGGCCATATCCTGGAGTCCAGACACTGTCATTACAAATTATAGCAGCCTGAAAACTCATATCTACAGGCATCCTACTCTCTGATCACCTCCCATCTCTTCTGGTTTATTCTGTCTGGTATCCAGACTCCAAGAATTCTTCAGCCCCACCGGGAATCTACTGACCAACTGTATGCCTGTCACCTGTGGTGATGTTGCTTCCTCCTTACCATGGAATTCCATGGAATTTAAATCACTGGAATGATACTGTTGCACACACTCAATTCCCTTACCCTCTCTTGACAACCCTCCAGCCCTGGTGAAATCTGTCTGGGTGCTGTCTGCTTATACCCGGGTAGCTGAACATGCTGGGGAAACGGCCACCCTGCTGACTAGTCTCACTTTGGATTCAGGACTAGGGCCCTCAAGTGGGTCCCGAAAGCTGCCCAAAGATCACTCCGCCTCCTCTGCATCTGTCCCTCTTTCACTCTCCTACACAATCGTTCCCGACCTTCTTCTCCCTCCTCAGACTTCCACATCTCTTCCCTTATCCTCACGCTCAGCCATGACCTTGCTTCCTGATTCACTGAGAAAACAGACGTCTGCACACGCACCCACCACACCGACCCACCCATCTCTGTCGGTTCACACTCTCAGGCTTCTTTCCTGTTAACTGGGTCTGCCGCCCATCCATCTAAGACAATCCCCAACCTGGGCCCTGGATTCCACCTCCCCTCGCCTACTCAAAGAAGTCATCTGGTTGTACTGCCTCTTCCTTCCACAGCCTCAGTTTCCCCTTTCTACTTGACTCTGCTCATCCACAGACATGCCGGTTGCTCACGTGTGTTTGCAAAAGCCTTCTTGGCCCTGCTATCCTTTTAGCTACTGCCCTATTCTGTTCTTTGCTGCAAAACTCCTCAGAAGATTTATCTTCATTTAGTTTCTCCAGTTCCTTTCTTCCCACTCCATCTTAAACCCAATCCAATGAGACTTTTGTACCCTCTCCCATCCCACTGCGTGGAAACTGCCTTTCAAGCCGAAGACCTCCAAATGACTAATACAAGTCTCTTTTCTTTGTCCTCATCTTAACTGAGCTTTCAGCACTTGGGACAGCTGACCGCTTCCTGACTCACTCTTCTCTTGGCTCCTAGGACATTGCACTTGCCTGGGTTTCCTCCCACCACTCTGGCATCTTCCTCTCATTCTCTTTTGGGGCTCCCACTCCTCTTCCTGACCTCTTCCCATCAGAGGCTCTTAGGGCTCTGTCTTGGCTTCTCTTCTCTATCCACATTCACCTACTCAGTGATCTCATCCAACTCAGAGCTTTAAATGCTGTCAGTATGCTAAGGGTTTCCAAGTTTCCATCTTCAGCCTAGCCCTCTCCTCGTCTATCCAACTGCCTGTTCAACACTGCCACTTGAATGTCTGATAGCATCTCAAACTCAGTATGCCCCCAAATTAACTCCTGATCTTCCCTCCCAAACCTCCTCCACCCATGGTCTCCTCTGTCTCAGTTAATGGCAACTCCATCCTTCCAGTCCTCATGCCCAAAACCCTGGAGTTATCCTGGACTCCTTTCTTTTCTAATAACCACATGCAACTCATCAGCAAATCTCTTTGGCACCGCCCTTCAGAATATACCCATGATCCAGCCTCTCCTCACCACCATCGTGCCCATTAGCTGAATTATTGCAACAGCCTCCTAACTTGTCTACATGCTCCTACTTTTGCCCTGTAACAGTCTTTTCTCAAAACAGCAGCCAAAGTGCTTCCTTTAAAATATAAAGTCAGATCACATCCCTTCTCGACTTGAAGCCCTCCAATAATCTAGTTTCACCCATTGTGAAAACAAAAGTGCTTAGGTTAGCTTCCAGGGGCCCCCAGGACCTTTGACCCTGCCCCCAGCTTCCCATACCACTCCTACCATCAGACCTATTTTTACCTAGGGGGCTAGGACACATCTTCCCCCAGTGACTGCGTGGCGAGTGCCCTCACCCCTTCAACACCTGGCTCACATAGCCCCTCTGGATGAGGCTTTCCCTGGGCTATCGTATTTAATTTTGCCCACCCCTGCCCTGCCCTGCCCTACCCTGCCCTCTGTGTTGCTGTTCTCAAAAGTACTACCCACGTTGTAATCTACGCATCCATTGTTGTTTATCTGTGTCTCCTCCCTGTAATACAAGTTCCGTGAGGGCAAGAGTTTTTGTCTGTGTTGAAACCTGTTGAATTTCTGCAGCCTAGAACAGCTCCTGCCAGGAAGTATTTGTGTGAATGACCGCACACTGCCTCCAGGGCTAAGCACTTTTCACCTGCAGGCCTGCCTTGGGGGCTGGGGCTGGTGGGCACACTGCAGCCTCAGGTGTAGGTTCTGAGGGGGCACCTCTAAGGTCACATGGGCAGGGAGTACCTGCCTACCTTGATGGTATCAGGAAGTCTTCCAGAGTTCATAATTGCACCCTTTGATGGAAGGCATTTTGAAAAAAAGCTCTCTACAGGAGAAAAAAGGACAATTTTTCATGTCAAATAGTGTTACCAAAAAAACTGATTTTGCACAAATGGTATCCTACGTGCAGGATCTCAAAGCATTTTGCAAATGCGTATTAATTGGTTATTACAACATCCCTGCCAGACAGAGGAAGAATCAACCTCCTGAATAAGAAGAGAACACTTGGTTTTCATGATTAAATCAGGCACAAAGATGGAATGTGTGAGCCCCAGGGTTCCAGGGGCAGAGGAGGGTGCTCCCACCTGTCCTCAAGCCAAGGCTCGGTGGGACTCGTGGGTGGCAGGTGGCCTCATCAGATGTGCTGATGGAGTGCTGGAGCCATCATGCATGGGTTGGAATTTTTGGTCTACTGGGTAACCGCAGGCAATGACTTAATCTCTCTGTGTCTCCGGCTCTTCACCTCTAAAATGAGACACGTGGTATCTTTTCATAAGGATTGAATGTCACTAAATGAGATAATGTTAAGCTGCTTAACACTCAGTCAATGTTATTAGTAATAACAAATGTCACAGCACAGCCACCAGCCACAGCCTCCTGCTCCCTGCCTCCTTCATGAGAATCCTGTGCACCTGACTGGCCCCAGCTCTCACAGAAATCTAGAGTGGGCATATGAAGTCTCAAGAAGTGCTTGCCAAATTGGGTTTAGGACCCCTGAGGCCTCACTGTAGTCCCTCCTGGACTCTGCTGGGTAGCACAGATTCTAGAAGCCAGGGTGTTTCTGATGGGCTGGCCCTTGTGGGACAGGATGCCAGGTGGGGTGTGCAGCGTCGGGACCAACAGTCCCCCATCCCTCATCTGGACCAGCAGTCCTCTATCCCTAGCCACTGGTACCTGCCAAGTTTGAGGCACCCAAGGGGTCTCCCGAAACAGACGCTGGTGACCAAGATTGTCTAGAATGACTTGAGAGGCAGCATAGCTTAGTAGGTAAGAACACAGGCTTGGAAGCTGAACTCCTGGGTTCAAACCCTGCCCTGTAACTCTCTAGCTGAGAGGTGGGCAAGTTACTCTAGCATGGTGCCTCTGGGCCTCATCTATAAAAAGGGGATAACGATAGTTCCTCTCTCATAGATTGCTGCAAGGATTAATGAATTCACTTAGAACAGCTTAGCATCAACTATGAATGCTGTATGATTACCTGAAATTAATTATGTGGCTTCAGAGGCAAGCTCTGCAACACATGGTGAGCCCTGCAATGCTCTGCTCCTTAGGTGTGTGATACCTGTACACCAGGTGCTGGGCAAGTGTCTGCCCATCCAGCCAACACTCCATCGTGGGTGGGCTTCCCCACTGTGGGCCCTGGACTAGTTTCTTAGTAATCAACTTGCAGACAGGATGACAGGGCCAGGCTTGTCACATCACCATTCTTTTCCCAGGGCTCAGTCCAGAACTTGCCTGGGGCAGATGGTAGGCATGAATGGATACATAAGAGCAAATATTCACCTGTTGTGTTGCTTCAATTTGGGGCGTTTCCTTAAACTCCTGCCTACTCAGAGCTGAAGCCCAAAAGCTTCCTAACCTGTTGGCTTTGTGACTTCAAAGACCATGTCTGTCACATCTGAGAGCAGGAAACTCAGCCATGGTGCTGATTCATGTGGCACCTGCGGGGGTGTCTCAGTTCGCTCTGGAAGCTTACTGCCCTCTGCAGAGAACTGAGGGACAGCCACTTGCCAGGCCATTCTCCCTGGAAGTGCCCATGGCATCAGAACATCTTCATCTGAGGATCAGGAACCGGGGCTGGAGACCAGGAGGCCAGTCCCTTTGGTGAGACTGAGGCCCCGGCCAGAGCCTTTGTGGTTGTGCCATTGTAAGGACCGCACTTCTCCCCTGGGATGAGGGCTACTCCCTGCAGCCTGGGCATCTTGGTAGACATTTGAGGTTACAGAGCTTGTAAGGGCCTGAGCCTTCTGAGACACTGTTTTCAAAAGGAACAGGTTGGGTGCAGTCAGTCTAGTCTAACACAGACTTTTTAAAGTCACACTGCTCACTCTGGGGCCTGGGAATATTTCATCTGCTCAGCTGCCTGGCCAGGGCTGCTTACAGAGGGGCTGGGGCCTGTGGTCTCAAGGGCAGGGATCATAGGCTTGGGCTGAGTCCGGCAAGATCAATTACCTCTCCTGACTTCAAAGGGAGGTGCACACATGAGTGTGAAGGCTCAGGAAGGGCCTACATGGCCAGATGTCCCCAGTCTCTCTCCTTATGTCCATTTAATGCTGAGTTCCTCCCTCCTCTCAAAAACCACTACTTCCCAGAGCCCTTAACCAGCAGCACATCCAGTTGCTTTGAGTTTCCCCCACCCTGTGCTGTCTCTGCTTCCCCTTCACATGGGCTGCCTTCAAATTCTAACCAGGCGGCGGCTGGCAGGTGGGAGGCAGGGAGGCTGTGGAGAGTCTGGCATGAATTTTCCAAAGTGGACAGTCAGCCTCTGAATGATGGAGAGCTGACTCTGGGTCTGGGGGCCCTGCTCAGCCCAGGCCTTTATTGTTAATTTAGAGAATTCGAGGGAAGCATCCAGAGGGGAAGCCCACTGGCATTCCTTTCCAATTAGAAGCAGCTACCAACTGCTTCTCCAACCAGCAGAAGCCAGAGCTCCCTGAAAGGCTGCCCCATCACCGCTCCTCCTTGTGTCTGGGAAGGTGTGTGCACATCTTTAGTTGAAGGCAAGGGGAGATAGGTGCTCTGTGATTGGGGGGCTGGGGAGGGTGAGACCCAGGAAAAATGAGCAGAACTTTGAACTGCATGGAATACAATTAGTCGGTACACTGTCTACAGGGCAGACATCTGCATTTAGCCTGAGACACACTGGGTTGCCTCCAGGGCTGCCTTTAAGGTGTGGCCACTATTGCTCCTTTTCCAAAGCCCCACCTTCCTCACAGCTGGCCCTTCTGCCACGGAACATTCCATATTTTCTGTGTTTTCCCAAACTCAGAAGCCCTTAGCTTTACCAGGAAGCTCTGTCCATCGCTTGGCCACCATTCACAGGACAGGCATTCTGTAAGTGCCCTAAGCCCTCAAGCCTCAAGGGTGTTGGTGGAGGCCCGGGATGCAGGATGGCCGGATCCAGCTGTACCTTGCACCTACTCTGCTCCCTCTGCACTAGGGGACATGAGGAAGGAGACATGGTGGCCACATCTCCCACAGGGACACAGTCTGCTTGTTACCAAGTCTGCTCTTTCACTCAGCACCTCCAGGTGTCAGGGGTGGCAGGGCCCTGGGCTAGCTTTGTTCTAGAGCTTTCTAGATGCTGAGTTATTTAACCTGTAGTACTTTTAGGCCCCGTTCCCCACCCAACCCTGTTTGTTCTGTCTGAGCCAACCAGGAGTCGACTCCACTGCCCTTAAATCCCCTACTGTGCCCTGAGCATGGAGCAGTGGCCTCCCCAGCTGTGGCCTGGTACAGTTGGCCTGGACAGTATTCAGCCTGGGGCTTCCTGCGAGCTCCTCCGAAGGCTGTCAGCCTTCACCAAGGTGTCAGCAATTTACCGAGGGATGGGTGTTTCGAACACCCATGAAAGGCAGGGATGTGACTTCTGTTTCCAAGCCATCGTTTCCCTGATGTTGAACCTGCTGCCAAGCATCAGCACATTTCCAAGCACCATGGCACAGAGGTAGACTATTGAGGGTCAGGACCAACACCAGGGCTGGAAGTGGCTCAGAAGAGGAGTCTCTGGAGGTGCATTTATTTGTGGGAGCTGAGAAGGAGTGGATATTTGATGGGGTTTGGGTTTGAGAGAAAGCAGCCCTCCACGGGACACCTGTTCTGAATAACAGCTCTGCTGCTCGGGCCCCGCTTTCTCTGTGGAGCCGGAAGCCCTGAGCTTTGTCAGGAGGTTGGAGGCGTCAACTGCTATGGTTCTGCAGGACAGTAATCCTGCTCCTTTCACACTGTCATCTGAAAGGGACCCAGGTGAAATGTGTCTGAAAACACCTGTGGCACACGGACTTCAGGACTCAGAAAGGATGCCACTTCAGGGGCCCTGCCATCTGCCGCAGCACAGGTGAACAGCTCCCAGAGAGGGTCTGTCTCACTGAGCCCACCCTCTGCCCACCCCAGAGTCACACATCATGGGGGAAGACACAAAGACTCCAAAGAGTCGTGGCTGGAGCAGAAGTGCAGCCAGCATCCTGCCAAAGTGCGCAGGTCTAGAACTGCCACACCTCGCTGTGAGTTGGGCTCTGCAGCCCCAACCTCTTTGGGCCTTGGTTTCCTTATTTTTGGAACTCGGAGGTCAGGAGAGGTTCTGCCTGCCAGATGCCTCTCATGGCATCTGGCACGTGGTGAGCACGCAGCCTGCAGTGTTTGCTGGGAAGCAACAGGCTCTGGAGAGTCATCAGCAACTCGCTAGTGGAGGCTCTGTCTGAAGGGGATAAGGAAGATGAGTAAGCCCAGAGACGCCACCCAGATGGAGAATGTGGGGTGGGCTTGGAAGTGCCGCTCCATACACTGCCCATCGCACCACCTGTGGAGGGGGAGAGAGTCCTTTGGGGCCCATTCCCACCCCACCTGGATGCGTTTTGCAGTCCCAACAAGTATATAAACAGTTGTTCTGCCTGAAGCACCGTCTGACGAAAAATTGCCCATGCCATCTGGAGAAGAACGGCTCTCCAAGGGCATAGCTTGCAGGCTGCCCCAGGCGGCTCGCACAGAGGCCTCCTTGCACCTTCCCTGAGAAGATCTAGATGGGGAGTGGGGCACGGGATGGGACTGTTGCTGCAGTGTTGGAATTCTAGTGGAAGCCCAAAATGGAAAGCCATTACCAAGTACCCCCAAGCTAAATAGTGACAGAAAGCCACCTCGTGTTGGCGACCAAACTGCTGAGCGGTCCTCAGCTCATCACCCTCCTCAGCCCACAGCCAGGGGAAGATTTGGATTCACCGGGAAGTCTGAGCAGAGGAGAACAAAACTCTTCTGCTTGTACCTGTGCTGAGTCCAGCCTATAGTTCCACAAACTAGTTACGAGCGTTCGCTTGTCCCAGTCAAAATCAGGATCCCAAGGGTCCAAAGATGCTATCAGCCTTCATATGTAAAGGCAAAAACCTGGGACCTCCAGAACCCCACCAAATCCTGTGTGAGCTAAATGAGAACTCGGGGCTCTGAACATATGGCCGTTACATGTGCCCCCTTCTACATAGACTCAGAACATCTGCTCCTCCATCCACGGGGAAGATCTCCCATTGGTTTATTTCCAGGCTGCACTTGTGATGACCTTTCTCTTCCTGCTTATCAAGAACACAAATAAATACCCAGAAAGATCAACTTCCACAGCCTCTGCCATCCTCTGACTTCACAGGTCTTCGAAAAAGGGAAATCAGATAAGACTTGGGTACAAACACTTTACTGCAGGGCACATTTTAATCCCACTCTACCTCTTACCTCGGGCCTCCTTATGGTATCCAGGGAGCCTCTGGGAGGCATTTGGTAAGGACAGATGCTCTGTTATAAAGGGTGCTAGGGTGGCTTGGCACTGTCCCGTGGAAGGCCAGCTTTGGGGGAAACAGGAGTCCCACCAGGACAGCAGTGAGTAAACGGGAGCATGGTGCCAAACCGAGGGGTGACTGCAGGTTCCATGTCCCCTCTCTGCCCCTCAGCCATCAGCTCACAGACCACTGTGTGGAACCATGGTGAGCTGCTCACCCGGCGCATGCCACACGTGGGCAACAGGATGATTCCACCATCAAGGGGAACCCTCAGGTCTGTTCTTCATTCTCTCTGGGAACTGCCACAACAGCTCTGAACATTTTCTCTTTACTACAACTTTTAAAAAGTCCACCATGGTCTTTAATCCTGGTGACAAATGTTTGTCAAGCACCTACTCTGTGCCAGGCTGAATGCCCACCACATGGAAAGTGCTAGGCTCCTCTTCCCTGCTCTGCTGGTCTTGTCCTCCCGCTGGAACAAGAGCCTTGGGCCATAACCACCCTGCCAGCTCTTCGAGGTCACCCCTACTTTCCCTTTGTCCTTTTGTGCCTCCTGCGTTTGTTACTGTATAGCCCTGCTGCCGTCTTTGCATACACTCATTAGTCCTGTGGCCTCTGACTATATTTCAACCACCTGGCGACTCTCCTGCTCTCAGCCTGCCTTGGTCCTCAACCCAGAGTGAGGGTGTGGGGAATGGCTGGCCTCTGGGCTAGAAGAGGTGCTCCTTAGCCTTTGGGGCTAAAGAGCTGCTCAGGAAGGGCCACGATAAGTAGGGATCAGTATTGCTGATGCTGAGAAAATCTCAGATGGGGCACTGGCTTATCTTCTGGGGGTTTCCAGCTCACTCCTCATCTGCTGCTTCAGGCAGGCAGTAGTAGCTCAGGTGTCCAATGCCTCTCTCTGCCTAGCCAGGGACTGTCTGTCCCCAGGGTCTGGCTCTCCAGCCAGCTCCTATCAGGGGCCACTTTGGTGCCAAGGCTTCTGAGTGCCCTGGCCCTGAGTGTGGCCCACAGCTCTTCACCCAGTCAGTCACTATGTCCCGTGTGAGTGGAGTTCCTCTTACATCCCCACCACTCCCTAACCCCAGGACACAGCTTGTTCCCGTGCAGCCCACAAGCTGGGCCTTGTAGTAGTGGTGGTGGGGTTCTGCAGGGCACTGTCATGGAGCCTGAGAACAGGTGACCAGAGAGGAAGGAAAGAGCAACAAGCTAGAGAACTGGTGATTGTGCCCTAAGCATCCTTCCTAGGCTGGTACAACCTCAGGCAAGGTTTACCTTTCAGAAGCATGCCAAGGTGGGTCTTCTCTACACCTCAGTACACCTGGTTATCACTAGGTACCTCAGAGCTCACACCACCCACACTCACGCTGAGACAAGGGCAGTGCTGGCAGGCCAAGGAGGCAGTGGGCTTGGGGGCACTCCCTGTTACCCTCAGTTTGGTTTCTGGGCTCCTGCCTGGAGCCTGGGAGGTAGCCTCGGCCATGCAAAGATTTCCCTTGAGATGTGAGCTCTGGAAGGCTCAGGCATTCACATCCTAAGCCCGTCAACACCTCCAATCCAAGGGAGCAAGCTGAGAAATCGGGAATGTGACCTTCAGTGCTTAATTGCACATTGAAGTCCTCACAAAAGCTTTGCAAAAACATGGAGATTTATGAGGACAATATGGTGCTATCCTGGTAAAAAGCTGACATTTAAATTGTTCTCATTTTATATCTTTGTAATGAAATTCTTTGTTTCCTCTGCAGCCATTTTTGAGTATTTACTAACATTCAGAGAGCTCTCTCCTGCATGCAAAATTTCGAGCTTTATGATGTCAGGCTGGGCTGTGTGACACATGAACATGAGGCTGTTCTGCAGCTCCTGGGGGAGTTCTTACCCCAGGAATAATGAAGGACAAGGTTTCCAGCCACCCCGTTCCTGCCTCTCCCTCCAAGAGGAGGGTTTAAAAAAATCACCAAAGCTTCATATTTTAATGAGTTTTCTTTGCAATTTGTATATAATAGATTTTCAATAACAACCTGTAATTAGTTCATTTTCTGCTATTCAATTGCTCTGCACGGAGGCCATTGACAACTTCCAGCTGGGATCTTTAAAAATGGAAAGTGCTGGAAGACTCAGCTCCAGACAATGACTAGAAAGTGCCCGGTCCCACCATGCAGCTGTTAGAAGTAAACGATTGAGATGGGAAAGGGGCAGTCTGGGTTTGAAACTTCCAAGTGTGGGAGAAGAAGGAACTGGTGCAGGGTGCACTGGCCAGCAATCATCAGTTCTGGTTCAGAATTGAGCCCTCTGTGGTGTAATGGGGGACAGAGATTGTTCCACCCAGAACCCCAGTGCACAGATGGGGGCCCCATTCCTGCCACCCCTGTTCCTCATGCAGATGAGTCACTCATCAGACACTTGCCAAGGGGCTCCTGACAACTTTTCCTGCACAGCAGGGGCAGGTGGAGGCAGATGCATGCACTCAGCTGTGTTTCTGTCTTTATATAGCAAGGGAGAGCCAAAAAGGACAGAGTCCAGACCCCAGAACATCAGGAGGTCTTAGATAACAGCTTTAGGTCCTAGGAGGTCTTAAATAACAGCTCTGGTTGCATGTCTGTCCCAACAGTCATCACCGGAGGCCTTCAAAGGCCAAGTCCAGCTCTCCAGCTGATACTCAGTCCCCTCTCCAGCGGCTTGCAGGCTGGCATACCTGCAGTGATGGGGACTCACCACTCACTGGGCAACTCTGGAGAGGCTGGGGAGGGTCCCCCTCACAGCCGAGCTAAGCTGGCCTTCTCCAAGCCCTGGCCTCTGAGTCTGAGTTCTGCCTCCGGGGCCCTAACTGTGGTGGCGGCCTTTCTACCCTGGGTATTGCCTCCTCCCTCAGTCAAGCCCCTTGTCCCTTGGGATCACATGCTCCCCTCACCTGCCTGGGACACCTTTTTCCTCACCCTCTGCCTAGTTATCTCTAGCTCGGCGTTCAGGTATCCACTCCGATGTCCCTTCCTGACCTCTTGGGACAGTTGGTCCTCCTGCACCCAGGACGCTCTCTCTCAGCTCCTACTTTGTTTATTGGGTCATCTTTCTGCCTCTCTACCCGCTGCCTCTCTACCCAGGTGGCAAGCTCCCCATGGGCAGGGCCTGCTGTGGTCTTGCTCACAGCTGAGTCTCTGCCCAGTGCTTCCCCAAGAGTGAGCTCTGTGTGCGTTTGCTGACCTAACACCACCTCATCTTTCATGGTTCTCCTCCTCTTATGCTTCCCAACCTCAATTCCTCACCCTTTCCCTGTGCTGCTCTCCCTGCCCTGGTCAGGTTCCTCTGAAAGGCTCAGGTTGGTGGCCTGCCTCTTCCATGCCACTCCACGCCAAGTGTACAGATGGGAGATGAGACCGGGCCTGTCCCTCCCTGCCCAGGAGCTCACCCTGCTTTCAGAGAGCCTCAGCCTACGGTAGCTTCAGGGCGGACCTGCTGGCCTTCCCACGGTGGTCTTCCTTCCGCATTTGTCCTCACCTGCAGTGGGGAGCTTGGGTATTTGTGGCTGACGGTTTTGCTCCAGAGGCCTGCCTTGCCAGCCTGCCAGGGCCCAGCATGGAAATACAAACCCATATTCTATGCCTATAAATTATTTAGAAGGTATGCAGATTTGCACAGCCAGCAAAGCTGACCTCCAGGTGAGGTGGCAGGAGTTGGGCCGGGTGGGGCTGCTGGTCTTGGGCTGCTGAAGCCAGGTTCTGCTGCATCACGAGGGATGTGGCTGTAGGCCAGCAGGCACGCAGGGCTGAGGAGCGGGCTAAGCGAGAGCCCTCCTCTGCATACGTGGCTGCCGGAGGTAAAGGTAATTACGCAGCCTGCCAGCCGACCAGAGCACTTACTCTGAGGAGGGTTGAATGGCCAGTTAGCGGCCCTCTGGTCAGGATGAGAGCTTTCTAGTGTGAGTTACTTTCATCTTCAATAAGGCATCATTAGCCCATGTGAGAAGCAGGGGCTTCCCTCACACCCAGTTGCTCATCCAGTGATTAGGGATGTCCAGGCTGGGGATGTCCAGCTGGCCTGCTCCAGCCAGGCTGATGCTTCTCTACCAAGGGCTCCAGCTGTGGGGCCCCAACAAGGCACTTCCTCTGCCCCTGTTTTCTCAAGGCCCCCTGGAGGCATGCAGAGACCCTCTGGGATCGCTGGCCACAGCTGCATGTCTGGACTCCTCTCCTTGCCCGATGTATTTCTCCATGTCCTTCATGCCCTCAATGAGCAACTCTGACCAAGGCCTTCCTGGGTGCCATACCCCATGCTGAGCAGGAGTGCAGGATGGGTGAAGCAGCCTCTATCCTCAGGGAGCCTGTGGTCCCTGAGGGGGAAGGACAACAATGGCATGGCACAGGGTGATGGGGCACACACAGAAATCTTCATCATTACCCTCACCGCCGCCATCATTGACCTGGTTAATGTTTGCCTAATATTTACTATAGGCAAAGTCTCATGCTACTAATCACTTTACATTAAGTAGCTCCTTTAGTCCTGAATAACTCTGTGCACGGTTGTTATTCCCATTTTACAGATGGGAAAATTAAAGCCCAGTTTAACCTCTGGTAGGGAACTGTCCAAAGTCACACAGTTAGTCAGTCGCAGAATAAAGATTCAAAACCAGGTCTAGCTTGGACTCTGGAGTCCACACTCTTAATAATCAGGCCACAGCCTTGTTAACCCAGGGCTGTGGGCACACAGAGGAAGGTGTGTGGGGCTTGGTGGAGGAAAGAGAAATTGAGAAAGACCTCCTGGAGGAGAAGACCATTGAGTTGGGGCTTGAAGTTTAGGGAAATCACTGTGAGGACAGTGAGATTCTCTTCAACGGAGAATGCAGATGTGTTGCAAAGTTTGTTTAAATGCATGAGAAAGTTCTAGAATCAGACACGCCCACTAAATCCTGACTCTGCTACCTGCTGACTATGTGATCTTGGGTTAGCTACTTCTCTGAGTTTCAGTTTCTTCATCTGTGAAACTGGACATAGTGTACAGTGCTGACACATGTTAAATGCTGGGTATCACTTTATACAACTGGAGTACTAAGAGCCTATTACTAACTACGGCGATATTGACAAGCAAAGTCATTCAAATGGAACACTGACTGTGAACCCTGTCCTCCAGCGCTGGCCTCAGGAGACTCACGTGGAAGTGGGCTTCTTGAAGCCCTCTCTATGTACTTGAAGTCAGGACAGCACCCCCAACTCTGTCTCTGGGAGGAGGTGGTGAGACTCACACCTTCTGTCTCCCAATTTTCTTTTTTTTTTTTTTTGAGATGGAGTCTCGCTCTGTTGCCCAGGCTGGAGTGCAGTGGTGCGATCTCCACTCACTGCAAACTCTGCCTCCTGGGTTCACGCCATTCTCCTGCCTCAGCCTCCCAAGTAGCTGAGACTACAGGCGCCCACCACCAAGCCCGGCTAAGTTTTTGTATTTTTAGTAGAGACGGGGTTTCACCATGTTAGCCAGGATGGTCTGGATCTCCTGACCTCATGATCTGCCTGCCTCGGCCTCCCAAAGTGCTGGGATTACAGGCGTGAGCCACCGTGCCCGGCCTTGTCTGCCAATTTTCAATTCCTCCCTTGGCCACTCCAGCTTTAACTGTTTTGTGCCCTTGAGAAAATGAGGGACCAAGGGCAGTGAATCAGTTCTTCGGCCACTTTATTTGCAAATCCTGTGTGGGAAAACCAGTGTCTTCCTTTGGGGTAGGGGGAGTCACTGGCACCCATGGTCTTGGCTTCAGCCAAAACTGAAACCAGCCCATAGGCATTGCTTGCTCTCCAAATTCAAGAGCCAAGTAAATTCAGATAAAATTTTTGATGAACCCCATGCTATTTAAAATCTTGTTACTTACTATCCAAAACTCAGGAATGAAATGGAGTAGAACAAAGCAGTATCCTTGCCATCTAAGCTCCTTGTCTGAACTCACCCTACCTAGATAAAGAGCCAGATAGATCTGGGTAGTGAGGATGCTTGCGGTTGCTTATTTTACCATCCTGCTCAACACAAGGTGGGTGTGAGGATTGGCTGAGATAGCATGTGTGGAAGTCTGGTATGGGGCCAGGCACTATTAGTTCCAAAGGATAGTGGTGTGGTAAACGAAACTGCACCATCCCTTCACTTTGCAACAGAGATGGTGAAAAAACAGATGTAAATTCACCAGGTGACCATATCATCTGTTTCATAGAGTTGCCCTGGCTGTAGTGGTAGTGCTGTAGATGAAAACACTGTTTTCCTTTCTGCTTGCCTGGAGCTTACACATGTCAGAGGTGAGGAAGGGTGTCTGGCTCCCCTACATTCAGCACCCCAGGTCCTCCTGACACCCTGCCTGTGTGGTCACCGGACCTTCACACGTGAAGCCCTTTATCTGCTAGCTGCTCAAAACCTTCCCATGCATCCAACACATTCGTGGGCTTTGATCTCATAGGAGTAATTAAAAGGACAACTATTTTCTAAAAAGCAGAAGAAACTTGCAATGAATTTGAAGTGAGAAAAATCCTTGTTTTAGCAACGTGTTTTCCCCTGATCCCAACCTGAGCACTCAGAACAGTGCAAAAACCATGCATCATCAAGAAGCTTTTTAGATGAGCAACTTTGAGGTTAATTTACTGTGATGAACAGACAGGGCCAGCACACACCTTGCTTATGGTGACCCTGGAGCCTGGGTCTCTGCCATGGCAGGGACAGGTGGCACTACTCCTTGTTGGGGTGGTGGGGGGTGGCGTGGGGAAGGAGAGGCAGAGGGCACTGCTGGAGAAGGACACTGAGCCTTTAGTTCCTAGATCAGCCTGTGGTTTGGGAAGCCAAAACAATGCAAAGAGAACGTTTAGTTGACAAAAGGAGGAAGTGGGGGCACCCTCATATTTCATTCCTGTCCCTGTACAGAGAGAGGCAATTGGGAGCCTTGGCTCCATCTGACAATCAGAAAGAGACTTAACTGACTCCCATGACTAGGCACTGCCTGCCACCCTGGAGGAGAGTCACCTGTTCCTCAGAGCCAGGAAGGGGGTACAGCCCCATCACGAACCAGCTCAGCACAGACATCCACCAGCTGTGGGACTCCTAGCATCACCCTCCACCAGCTGCAGACTGTGGCAAGCATGGCCCAGCCAGGGCCAGGCCAGCTGCATGGGAAGACATGATTCAGGAGACCACCCCCACAAACCTCAAAAACTGATAAATACAACTTCCTTCTCTGGGTACAACAGCCCCAAACCCATCATCCTTTAGTAAAGCGATTGACTCCGCATCGGTAGGCTACTGAGCTGGAGTCACCCCACAGACCTCACCCTGCCTTATACCCAAGGACGCCAGCAAAATAGAGACTAGAAAATAAAATGCTAATGCCTCAACCTCTGCCAGCCCATCAGCTCTAGTTTTTAAAATTAAATCCAGAATGTTGTTGCTGAAATGTTTGAGATATTACTTTCTGGGTTTTAGTGAGATTTCTTTAATGCCCATCGATTGCTGGGTAATAACTTGTACCTATATGTCTCATTTCAATTACCTATTTAAAATTCGCTGAACCATAAATCTATTACCAGAGCTATGGGAATTTAGTTTAGAGTTCCTGTGACTTTGAAAAACCATTGATCCCCATATGCTCCAAGTGGCTGCATGTCAAGCCTTTATAGTGGGGGTTAACTCATTTTGCGGCTTCCTTAATGGCTGTGAGTTTACGTTTTATTGCATATCTATTATTTGGGCTGGGCTGTGATGAATGGTTTGGCTGTCTGGTTCAAAACAAGTCCAAGGCGACAGCAGAATCTAATTTGCTTTAAAAATGATGATTATAAAGCTTTCCAAATAATAATCCAGGAACGAAGGGAGCTGACACCACATTGCTCTGTATGAGACATGTGGCTGGAGGTCAGGTAATGACGTCCTTCCCTTTCCAGGGTAGCTCATGTTTACAATGACCTTACTAGGGAAGCTGGAGAGGCCTTCTCTTTCATCATAGGCAATAGGGATGCTTCCATTTCCTTGAGAGCAAAGCCAAGAGCATGCTGTTTGGCCCCAGACCCACTCATGGGAACTGTGCTCATAAAGCAGAGGCTGCTATGGTACCAGGCACCAAGATGGTGCCCAAGCAGTGCTATAATCTGCTTGATGACGGCATCTGGGACATTAAGTAATGATGCCTGGTATGCCCCACAAATCCCTGAAGTCCAGTCTTGGCCTCTGGCTCTAAAAATGCACTGAGCTTTTCCTTCATAACTCCTTTGGCAGAGGGGTCTAGGCTCAGAGAGTGTTTTTGGGAATGTCTTGGAACTATCCCCAGAGAACATGTTGCTGCTTTCCTGACTCAGAGAGCTGCTGTTCCTGTAACCTGCCCTAGCTGCTCGAGCCTACTGTTGTTCATGTTCCATGGAATCATCAAGGAGTCTCAGTGAGGGGAGGTGGGTGGGGAAGATATTGCCAGAAGTGGACTCCGAGGGCAGGAGAGAGGGTCTTGTCCAGTGACATGCAGGTCAATGTATAACAACCGGCTCCCTAGAGAAGAAAAAATGTCCCCCCTTCCCCTTTTTGGTAGCATATGTGTGGTGTGAATTTCTATGATGTAAATATTCTCAACGTGGCCAATTTAAAGCGACCAAGTGTCTAACTGTTTGCTTGTAAAATTCCTGAAAATTTAACAATGAGCTCTCATGAACCAGGTGTGGGGAGTTGTGGATACTTCCACACATTCCAAATGCATTTCTGGAAATAATCTCTTTGGCCCACAAGACAAACACCTCCGCAGCAGGATAAGCCTACCAGTCACTCTCACCTTATTATGAACCAACATAGGCAGGTATGAGTTTGACTAGTGGGCGGGGAGGAGGATGACGGGGACCCTGCACAGTCACAGTAAATCAAGCAAAGCTCTGGAACCTGGGGTGGACTTTGGTACTAAGGATGATATGAACTGGAAAGGCCCCTGCAACCACGTCAAGCTCATGGACACTGCCCATAGGGAAGAATCATGCTTGCTTCTCTCCTCTTATGTCATCCAAGTACCTCTCTATTTGCCACAAGAGCCCTTCTTGCCAACAAATCACAAGGATCCCTCTTCAGGCCTTGTGAAGGTGTGGAATAGCAACAGCCCAAAGAGATGTCACTCTGAAGCAGGAATACTTTGCTGGAAAACGGGAGTCCAGGTAAAGGCTGGGGTTGAGGGAGGATACCAGGCTCTGTGGCTCAGGGTACTCAGTGCCCCTGGGGGTGGGGTGGGCTTGCACCCACCTCTTGAATGCCAGGGCTTGCACTTAGGAACTGTGAGCTGGCAGGTCACACCCAAGGGTATATGCATTGCCCACTTTAAGCAGAGCTTGAACATCTTCTAATGTAAGGGGCTTCATCTCTTTTGGGCCAAGGATGTCCCCTCTAGTCTCCAGCGTGGGCCCAGCACTGCCCTTTCCTCTCCTCTCTGCTGACCCCTGCCTGGAGCTACGAATGGCTCTTGTATCTTGCATTTCTTGTAAGTCCTGTCCCAGCACCACCTCTGGTTAATGTAATCTCTTGGAAGATCACCTCAAGTAAAAGATACAGGTCCTGAAGGCATCCCATCCACTTGCATATGCATGAGGCACTCTTTGGAGGGGCACTCAGAGTACCTCCTCTGTTTTCAAACAGCACCCACTTTCCCTTCTTCTCCAGGGATCCCCTGCCTCTCTTCACATTGGACCCTCACTCTCCATTGTCCTTGGGTAGTCACTGCTCCCTGCCGCTGCATGGCCAAGCCTCCAGGCCCTCCTGCAGGGTGTTTTTCTCCAGGTAGGGCTCCCCACATGGCCAGGCCCTAGCCTGAGGATAGCCCTAAAATCTGCTTCCTTCTCCTTCAGTCATAGAACCCCCAAAGGGTGTTCACAGTGCCCTCACAGCTATGCTTCAATTACAGTCCTGGGCCCCTCAAAGAGCGAGAAAAATCTTTATTAAAAAGGAACAGGGCAAGCCCTCTCTGGCCCCATCCACTCTCCGTTTAGTCTTTTCTTAAAGCTCAGGCTTGTTGCAGAACAAATTCACCAGCTTTCCTCTGTATAAGAAACCAACCTGGGAGACAACTGAGGACAGACTCCAGGCACCCAACAGCATTTTGGTGCAGAAGCACCTGCAGAAATAAGCCCTTTTCCCACTGGGACCCAACTTACGGAAGGCCATGTAGAACTCGCGGAGGGTCAGGGAGCTGTCACTGTTGTAATCGTCAAATCGGAGGAGGTCACCTGGTGAGCAACCAAGTAAGTCTTCATCCAGGTCCTGCTTCTTCAGCACATGCTGTGGGGTGAGGAGGAGAACAAGGCCAGAATCAGATGAGTTTAGAGTCATAGGCATTGATGAAAATGACTCAGGCCAAGAGGGAATCCAGGGACAGCTCAGTGGGCCTTGAGGGGTACCTGAAGCTCTTTGATTTTGTCTTGTCTGACTCCTTCATTTTATGGATGAGAAAACTGGGGTTCAGAGAGGGGAAGTGGCTTCCCCAGGTTCACACAGTGCTTGGGGCAGACTCTAGACTAGAGCTCAGGTGTGTCTTTTCCTTGTCTAGGCAGACAGACCCAGACAGTCTAAGATGGGAATCCTTGAGGCCACCTGCTCTACTGCTGTGTGCTATAGATGGGGAGACAGGAGAGAAAAGACCCCATCGGATAAACCCAGCAAACAGTGGCTGAACTCAGTGTGGGGACAGAGGTCTGCCAGCTTCCAGCTGCATAGAGCTGGAGGTCACTGCTGCATCATGCACCCACCCATCAGCCCTTACCCATGGCAGGCAGTGCTGCCTGGACACAGCACACTCCCAGACCCCTCCGTTCTATCCACCTAGACCTGAGCTTCCCCCCTGCCTGCCTTGTCCTGCCCAGGACACAGATGTCCACCCTTGTGACTCTGGCACGGAGGCTACAGACATAGGCTCTCGTAAACTCCTCTCTGGTTGTGGTCTGAGCCATAGGACACAGAGGCTGCCCAGCATGATCAGCCACACGTCCCAAGGTAACTAAGGGTAGAAATTCTAGGCACCCTCACTCAGCTGGAGCTACAGCCAGAAGCCAGTGTGCTCGGAACTGAAGGTCTTGCAGGGAAAATGCTCAGAAGGAAATCTCAGAAGAAAGAAAATGATTTTATTTTATTTTGGTGTGGGGGGAGGGGGGCAGAGGCATTTTCTCTTTATTTAACATTCTCAGCTTGGTCTGCTGTATTAAAGGCAATTTAATGTGATAATGTTAAAAAAATGACCCTTCACCAAGCAAGTAAGAGTGTTCGATAAAAGGGAGATCAACCATAATGCCTGAGATCAATCTTCCAAAGATGGAAATTTCCCTTTGTCTATTTCTGCATTGGAAATTGATTAACTTTTTATAGGACTGACAAGTTCTTCCCCAGCACCTTTGATTCAGTGTCAAGGAAAGGCCCACTTTAGCCGGGCTCTGCTTGGCAGATTTATGAAATGGACTTTAACTATATTAAATTTTAAAGAGGAAATCATTGTCCAATTACCACGCTTGTTAATGGCTTCAGGTGCCTCAGGCCACATATCTGCCAGGTTAGAATGAAGTGCCTGGTAAGGCTCTGTTTACCTGGAGCCATGTGGGCCTGGATACCAAGAGCTCATAGCAGCTTCTGTTCAAGACAAGCTGATGCCACCTGCCCTTGGTGCTCCCTGCTCGGTAGTTTGAGGAATTGCCAGGTGGTTCTTCCTGCAAGTAGCTGTAACTATCAGGACCTGGGATTTTCCCAGAGCAGCCTGAGTCACCTGCAGGTCCCTGGCCCTGCCCCTCAGGGTCTTAGCCAGAGCTGGGGCCTAGTGCTGATGGAGGTGGTGACATGCTGGCAGGGCGGTTGCCCCGGGGGCCATGGGCAGCAAGCCTCCTGGGATGCAGGCCTTGAATGGGCTTGCGCGAGCCACTCAGGTATGAGTGAACAGAGCAGAGTCATCTGAGATTCCCAACGTGCTTCCTGAAAGCAGGCTCAGGACTGGCTGGGACGGAGGGCCTATGTTCCAAAGCTTCTGGTGGCTACTCCTTACTAGGGTTCTGGAGGTACTTGTTGTCCCTACAGACCTTGAAGGAACCATGTGGTGCCTCTTGGTGGGAGCCATTCTCTCCAGGGAGATTCCAAGTGCCCTGAGGAGAGCAGGTGCATGCAAGTCAGCCTGCCAGGGTTTCATCTCAGTTCCATCATGTCCCAGGCAGTGAACAACTCAGGCAAGTTGTCTGATTTCTTAGAGCCTCAGTATCCTCATCTGAAAATATCTGTGAAGTGGAATAATAGTCGTCCCCTCCTTACAGCAGAGGATGGTCGAAAGATTTAAGGAGGAAATAATAATAATAAAAATGATGATGATGGCAACAATACTGATGACCTCTCTATTGAAACACACCATGTGGCCAGGCACAGTGGCTCACACCTGTAATCCCAGCACTTTGAGAGGCCAAGGTGGGCGGATCACCTGAGGTCAGGAGTTTGAGACCAGCCTGGCAAAATGGTGAAACCATATCTCTACTAAAAATGCAAAAATTAGCTGGGTGTGGTGGTGTAAGCCTGCAATTCCAGCTACTTGGGAGGCTGAGGCAGAAGAATGGCTTCAGCCTGGGAGGCAGAGGCTGCAACGAGCCAAGATTGCGCTACTGCACTCCAGTCTGGGTGACAGAGCGAGACCATGTCTAAAAAAGAAACATACCACATGCCAGGTACCACTCTAAGCCATTCACTATCTTAGCTCATTTAACCCTCATGATGACCCTGTGAGGTTCACAGCTGAACACAGAGGCACAGCGAAACGACATTGTCTCCCAAGGTCCACTAGCTCATACATGCTGGACGCAGCACTTGACCTTAGGCAGTTTGACTCTAAAGTCTGCATTCTTTGCCACTATCCTACATAACAACGAACTCTTCTGTGTTTATTAATCATAGGTCAAGGGCCTAGCTCAATGTCAAGCACATGGCTCAATGAATGTTAGGGCACTCCCCACCCCACTTCTTCCCAATGACCGGGCCACAGCCTTGAGAAGGTCCCTGTGCCATGTTTAAGATATCTTTAAATTGGCATCAAAGGTGGGAACCTGTCTTTATTATCCATCCACTGGGTGGACAGTCTGTGGTCACAAGAAAAAGGCTGCCCACCGCCCCCCACCACCCAACTCAGGGAGGCTGATCTCACTCTCCTTGCAGATCTTGTACCTGCCTGGTGCAGCTCTAGGGCTACAGACCCTTAGAAACAAACCAGTAAGCAGAAGTAGGAATGCAGGCCCCTCCAGCCCACCCCAGCTTTTCTACCATCAGGACCCTACAGGCTCCTCCCTGCAACTGGCAGTGGCTGTGGCCCCAGTGAGTGAGGTCACTCTTTCCTTGCTTTCTATGTTGCAGACACTAACTACCCCTGCTCCACCTTGTAGCTCGACAAAGGACATGTGTGCTGTGTTGAACACTGCAGTCTCAGGGGAGGGAGGCAAACCTCAGGGTGTAATGCAAGTGTTTTCCCAAATGAGAGCAGGGCTTGGTGGGGGTTGACGGGTAGACACAGGGCTTTCTGCAAACAAGCAGTCCGAGGTTTGGGTTCTTGATCTTTGGATACTAAGGAGCAGTGATGTCCTAAGGTAGAAGACTTGGGGACTTCCAGGTTATAGCTCCAATGGTGTTCAATGGAAACCAAGCACTGCTTCCTTGTAACTTTTCTGCTGAGTAACTAATCCTACTCAAGGAAGAAAAGATTGATTTCCTAGTCAAAACATCAGAGACCAGGCCCTCTGAAGTGAGTTTTTTGCCAGATAGCTGAGAGGGCCTGAAAGCTTGTTTGTAAATAGAGGCTAAAGGTGGCTGGTGGGAAGAACCTGACCTCATTTTGTTTGTGAGATGTTCTCAGAGGTATTGAACACATGCTCTTAGACACCAGGGGGCCGGGGTGGGAAATGGAAAACTGGATTCCTCCATCATGTGACTTTCACTGAACACGATGCCCACCTGAGCCAGTTCGGAGCTGCTGAGGTGGCCATTGCCATCTGCATCTAAGTCCCTGAACAGAGATTCCACCAGGAGGCGCTTCTGGGAGGCAGGGTCTTGTCTGCTGTCTCCTTCTTGGAGTGGCTGCAGACGGGTCTGGAGTGCCAGAAGGACATTCTTCAAGCGGGCGTAGCCGGCCATGGTGCACGTGTCACCTGAAAGAGAAGGTGAGGTTATTATTTTGAGACTTATCCCGTGGTCTTGAGAGAACATTCTTGCCGCTGGTCCATTCATCTCACTCACAAATAGCCACCAGGCGTTCACTATGTGCAGTGCACGGTGCAACTGTCGTCGATGGGACTTGTTTGTGTTCTGCTCACCAATCCATCCCATAAATATTGATGGAACATGGAATGCATGCTACACATGATGCAAATGCTGGAGGGAATCTGTCCATCTGACAAATATTTGTTGAGCACCACTACAAGCCAGACTAGAGTGACTGCCAGATGGAATGGGAAATTCTTCCAGCGGAATATATAGCGGCAGCCCCACAGAGGCTTTAGGAAAGCTACCCCCAATTCCATTTTGTAATCACTGGTTTTTGCCTTAATCCTACCTTAAAGGCTGCTTTTGAATACTTGGCCTCCTAGATTAGGGAGTTTTAGTTAACAGGACTAATAAGCCCTGCTTATGTTAATTAGGCACCCTCCCAGAGCTGGATTACTTCAAAACAAACATATACACAAGTCTATGACCAAGAAACAAAAAGAAGCTTTACAACGTTAAAACCGAAGCACACAGCTCGTTTTATCCCAGGCGCGCTTGCTGAACAGCATCAGAACCATGCAGTGTTTGGGGAAGTAAAGCCTGGGATGCATTGCAGCATGGCACAGTTTATCTTGCTGGTGACGGGCTTCTAGGATGGACATCACGCAGGGCAACGCCCATACACTGGGATTGCAGGAGTGTCAGCGGAGAGGGCAGCCCCTCCAGCCCCACTTCCCGACTCCCTGGGGGATGAGTACTTCCAGCGCCTGGCTTTGCTGAATCCTGGAGAATACGCATGGGCTCCTCACTGACCATTCCAGGTTGAAGGCCAATGGGTTGCTGGAGCCTGGGGCTCTTCTCCTTAATTCCAAGGCCAGTTTAGGGCCTGAGATAATATCCCAGAGTTGGAGAGTCAATAGAAAGAAGTGTTAGAGAGCATGAGCTCTGAGGTCCCCTGGGTTTGAGCTCTAGCTCTGCTGCCATCAGGCATGTAGCCTTGGGCAGGGTGCCTCAGTGATCTCATCTGTGAAGCAGAGATACCAGTGCCTCCCACAAGGGGTTGTTACGAGGATTAAGTAAGATGTGCACATACAGGCCTTTGCACCAGCATGGCACCCAGTAAGGGCTCATAACATGATAGCTACTCTCTCCCTTGACATTATGGGAACCACATTTACTGAAGAGCAATCATCAGGGAAGCTACTGGGGGGAAAGGGATGATGGGGAAGTCTGTCTGTCTGTTTCTCTCTTCCTCCCTTCCTCTTTTCCTCCCTCATACCCTCCCTTGATAAGCCTGGACAGCCCAACCACTTTTTCTTGTGCTTGTTTGTATTTCCAGATTTTCTTCCAATTTGGGGTCAATTGATTTCTGTCAGAAACAGATGCCCATTGCCATTTCCTCCTGCATGTTTATTTAGAAAAAAATCAATTGTTGTGTTCAATATAATCAGATCTATTTGCTCTCTGGGAGTCTTCATGCTCTGACAAGAACGCCTCTCTCCCACACCCTCACCTTGCTTGCATCCCTCTTTTGCCTGGTAGGATATTGATTCCTGGGGGTTCTTGGGGCCTCCAGTTGGCAAACCCAATTCTCAAGTCTGTAGAGCTACAGGGCATTGAAAATAGTGGCTTTGTGCCCCTACAAAACTTGATGGGTTTTTCCTTTTTCTGGGCCTGGATAAGGATAAGTTTTGGGGAAGAGGAGGAATAGTTTTGCCTGAGTCTAGCTCCTCACTCCCTGAAAGAGGCTGAAATTTTGTCCTGGCAAATAGACCAGAAGTGGGGGTACAGAATGAAAGTGGAGGTGGGGCCAGCTGCTGGGGTAAATGGAGATGGATGTGTGCCTGTGTGGAGGGTCTGCAGGAGCCAGCATTTCTGCAGCCCCCAGGACTTCCTGGAGTGGGGGGCATTTATACCCAGATACTGAAAAATTGATGTACACAGCAGGTGGATATGGTGTCAGGAAGAGGCTGTACTCAGAAACACCGGTGGACAATCAGGCTCCGAAGAACATGCTGCAGCAGGGCCACCTGAAGGTGAGGACAGGCTGGGTCAAAAGGGCAGGATGCCCCATCCTTGCAGATCCCCCCAACCTTCCTCCTGGACCTTGGTGGGGCGTAAACCACTTCTGAGCTGCCTGCTGCCCTGGGCAAGATTCCTTTCTGGGAGCCTCTTATTTCGTCTCAGGACCCCAGTGGCCAGGCTGGCCTAAGCATGGAGAGCGCCCTGGGAGTTCTTGGGGTCACCAGCTGGCAAACCCATTTCTCAAGTCTGTAGAGCTACACGGACTGGCGTCCCCCTGTGAGCAGGGGTCTGCAGCTGGACAACACCTCCAACACTGGCAGGTGGGGGAAACCATCCAGGTGGGTCTTGCTGGGATGGAAGTGGGGTGCTGCAGCATCCTCCCCAGGCTCGGCCCCACCTCACATCCTCACAGCTGCCTGTGAGCGCAGACTTCTGGCTGCTTCACCCTGGCAACTGCCCAACAGACACCTTCTGGTCAGGAAGGTATGTGCAGGTCTAGAAGTCAATCATCTGGGGGAAAGGGGTGGGCCCTCCAGGTCTCCAGCATCAGCTCCCTGAGCCCACGGTCCCACCCCCTGCTAGGGCCCACACTGTCCAGGCCACTCCCATCCTTTTACCAGTATTTATTTACATACTGTGTGCCCGATGCTGGGCAGCCTCCAGTCCTGGGCACTGTGGGTGCCTGTGGTGGGAGGCCAAGGGAGGGATGTTCAGGATGAGACCTGTAGGAGGAGGAGTTGTGGGAGGAAGCAGAGGGAAGAGCAGGCCAGGAGCAGGACTGCGCGTGCAGGAGCCATGGTGGGGCACGTCTGGAGACTGGTGAAAGCTGGTGTGGCTGGGCTAGAGGGGCTGAGTCAGGTGGAGAGTGAAACAAGACAGGCAGGAGAGGGCAGTGGGACAACCCAGGCAGAGCCTCCAAGGCCTTGGGGAAGTGTGTGGCACCGTACATCATGCTGTTCAAAACTTCCTTCGTCATTTCTTCCCTTTACTGAGGGCACTCCATGCCTGGGCCAAGCTTGCCACTGGGGTCCTGAGATGAACCAAGGGATTCCAGGAACAGAATCTTAAATCCTTCTTTACCCCAGGAGCAACTGTGCTTTAATGAGTTGCAAGAGAGAACTTTGCCCAAACTTAAATCATGAAGTCATTTGTCCGAAATTACTGAGCTCCTCTGGTGCCCGACAGCACTGGGGAAGGGCCATGGACCCTGGAGGAAAGGCAGCCTGATGCTCAGAGCTCTGCTTCTGTGCAGATGATCACTCGAGATCCCAAAGTCCAAACTCGCTTTTTGGGAAGGCTTTTGAGCCTTCATCTCCAAGGGCTGCCCTCTTGGTGGCTCCCTGCCTTCACTCCCTGCCTTTGTCATCCGAATTCCACAGGGCTTGAGGTGGAGTGGGGGAGGGAAAACTTCCTTCCTTGCCTTCTTCCAGCCCCCAGAGGCAGATGCCCCAAAGCTGCAGCCTCCAGCTCAGTCTCCCTGGATAGATTTCCTCCTTCACAGCTGGCCTTGGCTTCCAGGATAGATATTTTCCTAGCAAGGTGTGTCAAAGTCATAGGTTACCAAATTCCAGTTTTATTTTTACATTCCTGCCCCCTGCTGGTTTCACTGTGGGGTCAGATAGGAGTGACTTAGCTGTGTGAAGCACTGGGCATTTTGGACACCACCGGACATGTCTTCAGCTAAAGGCTCCCTCCCCTCTTCCAGCTTCAAACATTTGTCTAATTCTAGAAGAAATACATGCCCATCAGAGAACCACTTGGAAAGTGCAAATAAAAATAAAGAAAAAGAAAATAAATCATCCCGAAATCCACCTCCCAGATGCAGGTGCTGTCAACACACTGCTGGCCAGATGTGAAGCTGGGCCCTCTCCATGAGTGACACTGAGCCCATTATTGAAATGAGCTCTTTCACGTAGTCCAGCCCTCGTCTGCTGTGCGGGCTCCGAGACCTGTTTTCTGATCTTCCTCCTATTCTTCTCAAATTCCAATCATTGGCTGGGCGTGGTGGCTCACGCCTGTAATCCCAGCACTTTGGGAGGCCGAGGCGGGCGGATCACGAGGTCAGGAGATTGAGACCATCCTGGCTAACACGGTGAAACCCCGTCTCTACCAAAAATACAAAAAATTAGCCAGGCATGGTGGCGGGCGCCTGTGGTCCCAGCTACTCGGGAGGCTGAGGCAGGAGAATGGTATGAACCCGGGAGGCACAGCTTGCAGTGAGCCGAGATCACGCCACTGCACTCCAGCCTGGGTGACAGAGCGAGACTCCGTCTCAAAAAAAAAAAAAAAAAAAAATTCCAATCATTTTGGGCAAGAAAGTGTCAACACCCAAGGTTCATGTCTTTCTTATCTTCACCCCAGTCAGCCCTGCCCACCTGCCCAGCAATTCCACACAGGTGACTACAAGAGAGGTGGGGGGTATGGGGGGACCAAGGGGACTTCAGCAGCACTGATCACTGGGCATGCTCCTGCCCAGGGGCCTGGCATTGACTATCCCCCTGGCTGGAGTGCTATTCACCCAAATCTCCACCTGGTGTATTCATCTTGGCCTCTGCTTAAACATCACCTGATGTAAGCTGGCACCCCTTACCTTCATCACTCTCCGTGCCCTGACACTGTGTGTGTTGGGCCTGGCTCCCAGGTAGGGAGGGAATCAGATCTCTCCGGACAGGGGCAGGGTCCAGTCTTAGCCTTAGCCTTGATCCACAGGATACTTTACTCCTTCGGAGGGAAGGTCCCTGGGGTGTGTGGCAGAGGCTTGGGGACCACCCCACTCCTCCCTGGTGCCCCTGTGGGTGATGGTCAAGATGATGTTGAGAATGATAGTGGCAGGCCGGGCGCGGTGGCTCACGCCTATAATCCTAGCACTTTGGGAGGCCGAGGCAGGTGGATTACCTGAGGTCAGGAGTTCGAGAGAATGGTTCGAGAGAATGCCATAAGGAGCCCTGAGCTGGGGCCCGGATCCCATTGCCAGGGCCTCTCTAACTCAGCCTGGGATGGGGAGACTCAGAATACAGTTGAACTTCAGCATTGATTAATCCGGAGGCATGACTCTTCCAGAGAAAAGGTGGGATGCTTGCATATAACCTTGACGTCCATGCCTTGAATGAGGCTCAGCAGGGGCTGCCAGGTTGGGACCCGCAGGGGACCTGCTTCATGAGTGGGCAGGACCGCCGTGATTTGGACTGCACAAGTTTCTGCCCACATGTTTGGAAAGTCATTTCAGTGTTTTCTCTGAGTCTTGCTGGTTTCCAGGTAAAGAGAACTTTGTGTTGTTCTAAATAAGGGGATTTTGTCTTTGCCTTTGTGGTAACCTTGGCTAAGTCAAGCCTTACAGTGAGGTTTGGAGAATTTCAGGGAAGCCCCCTCCATAGCTGGAAATTCCCTATGCTCTGAACACAGCTGCGCTTTCTCATGCTGCCCCACCCCCTTCCTGTCTTCAGGCCCAATCCACCTCGTCTGTAGGAAGCTTGTCCACTTACACACACACACCCACACACACACACACCCCCACACCCACCCACACCCACCCACACCCACACACCCACACACACACACACCCCCACACACACCCACACCCACACACCCACACACACCCACACGGGACTGCCTTCTCCCTCAGCTTTCCTTTCTGCCTGCTATGAAATCCTTTCTGAGTGAGGCTTGCCCCAGCCTTAGTTTGGGCTCCCCCAAAGCAGTCCCTGAGATGAGGATCTAGGGGCAAGCAGCATATTTGAAGATGATCCCAAGAAGTGCTGGAAGGAACAGGAAGTAGACTGGGAAGGGAGAAAAGCCAACAAAGGGTTCACTCATGAGTGGGTTGCCGCCGTGGGCAATGGGGGTTCAATCCCATGGGGTCCTCAGAGGGACTGTGTAGAACACACCGCAGAATTGCTTCACTGAGGTGGGAGGGAGCCAGGATATTTTTCTACTGACTTCCATCCCTATTAGCTGAGGTTGCTCTTGGAGGAATTCACCACCTCCAGCTAGCAGTTCTGGACCTCCCAAATGAGGACTGAGTCCACGCCTGAGACCGGAAAATGTCCTCAGGCTGAAGCTGCAGGTGCCTGGGATTGGATGCTCTTGGCAAGTGTTATGGGGAATCGTCCATCCAAGCTGCACATCACCTCTGGGGTTGACTGAGGGAAGCTGGATGGGCGGCTTTCAGCATCTGCTATGTCCCCTTAATGGGATTACATGTTCTGAGCAGGCAGGAGTTGAAGTGGACAGCTCCCCATGCAGCATTACAGTATGAAATGCTTGTTGAATGAGAGGACCAGAGTCCTGTGGCTCCAGGGCATTTTCATGAAGCTGGAGCCAGGGTGATGGGCTCACCCTATAACAACCTTGTCTAAGGTCTTCAGGGGGACACAGACTTCATCTTAGGCTGCCGTGTCTACCTGATATTAACACTGCTAATGACAGTCACCACAAGGTCAGACAGAACACTGGGTGGAGGATCAGGAGACCACCTGACTTCAGCTGTGAGACCTTAGGAAAGGCATTCACTCCCCTGCCCTTCCTACTCCTATTCCCTATCTTCACATGGGGATAATAATAGCTTCTTACTGCCTTCCAGGGTCATAGCATACAAGGAAATGTGAGGACTTAGCAAGTGGTTGGCGAGGCCTGGGGTCTTCTCTTGGTGAGATGGGCTCAAAGCCCCAAGGGAGGGGTATGGCTCATTTGTCTTTGTCCCCTTTACTGTGGGGCCTGGGACAGGTTGGCAACTAAATCAGTGCTCATGGCTAAACAGAAGACAGAAGATGTCCTGATCCTCTCCCTCCCTCCTGACCGCCAGTGCACATGCCCCATCTGGGGCTTCTTGGGGAGAGAGGCTGCATGTCCTGGTAAGCCTGACACTGACAGCGTCATTGGCAGGCTCTGTGAAGGGCTCAGCCACCTTCCTGCCAGCCTGGGTGCCCTCCATGCCACAGGGCTGGCCTGGCCAGCCCCTGGCCCTGGCCTCAGGCTCCTTGCCAGCACATGCGTGGGGCTCCTCCTGCTCCCAGACCAGGCCTGCTTTGGCAGATAAAATATTGATCAGCTTGCCGAGGAGCCCAGAGTGTGATCCTATTTTCATGTCAGAACTTGGTAATGAACTACATTTATCAAGCCCGTTCTCCATGAGAAAGGTCAGTCGCAGATCCGGCTAAGTTGTTATGACACCTCATTAATCTAGTTCCCTCAATAATTGTCCCTCTTTGAAGATTCTAATGTTCTCTCATTCCCACTGCACTCCCTTCACACAGAGGAAGATGATTATAGCAGGAGAACAGGCACATCCACATTTAATTTTTGAGCAAAGGGAGATAGGTAGCAGGTAGCAGTCTCTGGAATTAAATGTCCATCAAAGAAACACTTTCTATTGCAAAACAAAGGGAAGCAAGGGAGACATTGTAAATATTCCATCAGCCACTTGTGCCCCTGCCAGACTGTGCTCAAAGGGACCATCTTCATTCTGTGGCAGGTGAAGCTCCTGTAAAAGGCGTGGGTGGGGCTGGGAGACTCCGAAGAGTCAAGGGGAGGGAGGCGTTGTGTAATGTGGGCAATGTGGAAAGTGCTACACAGGCTGTCGGGAGCTCAGATTCTGAGAGGGAGACAGGCCATGTGGTCAAGGCCCAAGCCTTGGATCCCAGGGGTGAGGCACCTGCATGGTGGTGGGGCGGGAAAGTGGGCTCTCTCTTGCTGCCCCGTCCTACTCTCTCACTGCAAGGTGTTTCTTCACCAACTCCTTCAGCCTCCCTCGCCTAACACACCAATCCTGCCTAACGGGCACCCTCGTGTGCTGCCCTGTTCTCTCTTGCCAGCCTTCTCCAGCCTTCAATTTCTGTGACTTTTTCATCCACTGTGGATCATCAGGCTCCCTGTTAGACTGTGAGCTCCTCCAGTGCAGTGGGGCCTTGCTTACAGGTGTACCCCCAGCACCTGGCCCAGCATCCACACATAGAAGGGGCTCATTCAGTGTCTGTTACCGGTATGACTGTGGAAGACAGGTGGCAGGTGGGCTTGGAGAGTGGCTACGGCCCTGCCCTGAAGAGGAGACAATCCCAGCCACCCTGCACCATGGTGACGGGTCTGGATCTCTGAAGGGGGCTAGTGCCTGTGTCACCCATCATGTCAGTTCCTTGGGGGGCATGCTGACCATGTGGTACATGTGGCCATGCTCACTGAAGCCCAGACCTCCATACCTCACCCAGTGGGGACAACCCAAAACCTGCAATGCTGTTCCCATGGAGTGAACTCCAGCATGGCCAGGCTAGGGGTGGTGGCAAGGTGGTCTCTGGACACTAGGTTGCATAGAAGTGTGGTGGGCACAAGGCAGCTGCCTGGGAATTGCTTCTGGAGAGGAGGAGGAAAGCTTCTGCCCTCTTGTCTTGGCATTGCTGGTCAGGAGAGCCGTGGATCACCCTGTGAAGAGGCCAGCTGAGCGCCCTGTGCTTGAAACAGCCACCCAGGTAAGGAGGCCTGTGGATGAATTTGGCTATGGCATAGCTTCAGGAAAGACCCTGTTTTTTGCCCCGGCTCTGATCAGTAAATGAACAGAGCCGACCCTGTGGACCATCTGTGTTCTTGGGGACAGCTTTATACACAGGCAGAATGTGGGGTCAAGGTGGGTGGGGGGAATCCCCAGGCCACTATAAGACCACAGCCCCATGAGTCTCCGGGGTGCTGGAATCTCCCTTCTTGGGGTCACTCTACTCTCAGGAGTCCCCCTTTGAAGAATATCCAAAATGTACTGGAGAGGGGAACGCAGGACATGGCTCAACATCATGAAAGAGCTCAGCTGCCACTGCTGGAAGCAATCCCTTTGGGGAAGGGGGCGTGGACCTAGGGGCAAAGGCATGGGGAAGAAAGACTTGCCTGGGTGGGGGATGGTGGGTCTGCTCTGAATGCCAACAAATGGGGTGAGGATCTCTCTTCCCAAACCAGACACAGGCCATCCCTGCAGAAACCACATAGTAACCAGCCACTCTCTGGAGCTGCAGTCACTGGGCTCCAGCCCCTCTTCAACCTGGCAGGGTGGCTAGAGCTCAGATCCCCAAACCTCACCTGAGAACCCCCCCAGAGAGGCCCAGGGGAGAGACAGGACATGCCCCCATCCTCTTGGCTGCCTGTCCCCCAGACATTAGCAACACTGGTTCCCACACTTTCCCCATTAGCCTGGTAAGTCATGTCATGTGCTGCCCCAGCAAAGCTTCGATCTTCACCACCAAAGCAAAAACCTGGCTTAATTGTCTGGCACCCATGTTATATAGCTCAGTGCGGCTGCGTTACAGGGGCCTCAGTTGTGATGTGTCATTCTGAGGTCTATTTTGAAACTGCTAAGCTGCGCAAAGAACAAGCAGGATTTTACTCCCAGCTCTAATTTAGGAGCTGCCGTAACTTTGCTGGAGTTTAGCTTAAGAGGAACAGATGTTTAACTTGATGTAAATTCATGAACATTAACAATCTTTCTGCTGCCATTTCTGGGAAAATTCAATTAACAATAAATGCCAAAACCAATGGGCTTATCTTTAAGATATATTTTAGCTAACATGATGTCGTTTCACTGACAGTGTTGACTGAGCCACAAAACTCTGAAAATTCCAAGAGACTGTTACACACATATGATACAGTCTTCTCACAATCCCCAAACAAACATGGACAGGTGTACTGGAAGTCGTGCCACTTGGTAACCCACTGCCGCTGTCCCCTGGGGTCTGTGACTTCTAAGTGAGTGGGTCACTATCCCCTTCTCTCAGCACCCTGTGGCGGTGTTTATGCCTGTCATTGGCCTAAAACCACTGGCTACTCTAGCCTTGAAGGCCCTCCCAGTGGTCCCAGTCTGGCTCCACTGACTTCCCACTCCCTGCCAGAAAGCCCGCCCGCAGAGCTTGCTCCCAGGTGCCCCACTCCTGGCAGACCCTCTCTTCAAATCTGACTTTTCTGCCAAGGCCCAGTTCCACAGAGCTGTTTCCATCCATTCCAAACCACACACTCTGGACCTTGGCTCTGTGAGCCTGGAGGGGTTTGTCCTTGTCCTATCTCCTAGACTGAGCTTCTTAAAGCAAAGACTGCTCCCAGCATCTTTGTATCTCTTGGGTGAATAACTTCACGTTCTTAGAGAACACTGCTAACAGGGACCTACGGTGGGCATACCTTCACCAGGTGCTGCAGCCTGCCCATGGCCTGGAGGAACTCAGCCTGCCTCCTGTCCCTTCCATCACTTGGAGCTTTCCCTGGAACACTCCTCACTCCTTAGTCCCAACACCAGAACCAGCAATGAGCCAAATGCAGTCATTAGACAGATGGGAAAACTGAGGCCCAGGGTGGGGAAGGGACGTGGCTGGACCACGGGGCAGACTAGTAGCAGATCCAAGATCAGAACCCAGATCTCCTGACCCTGGTCTTTCAACCACATAACACCAGGGCCTCAGGAAACTCAACGAAGAACCTGTTTACTCTGGCTTTCCCTAGAGGAAGCCCAGGACAGGCCTAGCTGAGGAAACGCAACGGTATGGGAGAGCTGCTATAGATTCTCACCTCTAGAAGGTCTGCAGGTCTGTTAGAAACAAATTTTCAGCTTCTAGAAGGGTAGCAAGTATGGGGTGAGGCCCGGAAAGCTGCATTTTAAGAGTCTGCTGATTCTAGCACAGATAGTCCACTGAGCACGCTTTGGGAAACACAGTTTTAGCAAACATGCTTACCTTCCCCCTACCTGACAGGGCTCACTTGGCCACCTTGCTTGAGAGCTGACTGGCTCTCAGGAGGGGCCTGGAAGGGAAAACTACCAGGGATTAAATCAGAAAGAGAAACTGGGTAATAGCTGGAGGGTGCCCGCCTCTCAGCCAAGACCCAGAGACAGAGCCGAGCAGTTCCTTCCAACATCCTGGCTCTTGCTTCCCGGTAAGGCATGGATGTGCTGGTTCCTCTAATTGGGAAACAGAGGCCAGTATAAGGGCTTCAGGGGGAGGAGGGCATGGCTACAGCACTGGGTCTGTCTCTTGTTGAGCTGAGCTGACAGCCATCACAGGCAGCTGAGTTTGCGGCTGAAAGGGTTGGTTCTCTCAAAGGTCACCTGCTGGCATTTGGCCATGCCAAGGTCCTGGGATCCTACATAAGGATTTTGGCGTGTGGGTACTCTAGCATCCAGGGACTGGCTGAGGGAAATCAAGTGGTTACAGCCTCTTAGATTTAGCCCCTCATCCTCCCAGGATTCAAAGAGGGCCTTGCATCAAGGCTGCCAAACTATTCTCAGTCAGTTTCCATCTGGTCTTTTCCCTGGAGTGTCCATATTTGTCATCTCAGCTAATTTTGAATTTTCTAGGTTGAAGGTACAAGGCTCACTTTGGAACCACAAACAGAATCTGCATGTCTAAGGCTTGACATGGCCTTTTACCCAGGGTTAAACACACACGAGGCCATGCAGACCTTGCGCCTGGTTCCCCGGCTGTGCTGCACTGGAGCAGATCCAGCCGACTCCAAGGCTGGTGGCAATATCCACCTCCACTTGCACCTGAATACGCAGACAATGCCTCATCTCAATTTGCACCCCAGCATCAGGTCATTTAAATTAACAAAACCACCCAGACCTTTGTTAGATAAATGGTACATTTGCTTATGAATGCCTGGTTCAATTGATGTTGCTATACAATCTGCTGTCTGACATTTACAATCCTCTCTTTTATTCCTATTAGAGAAAGCAAAATTGGTTGGATCCCTGGGAGAGGGATCCACATATACTTTTTATGGTTGACTGGCAGATCTGTCAGGTGGCCCCAGAGTGAAAGAGCACTGTATGAAAACATGAATAAATGCTAAAGCTCTCCTGGTATTAAGAACTTTATTTTTTACTATTGTGTTAGTGGAAAACCTCCACCAGCTAGATTCCCTAACAGGTCAGCATTCCTTGTGGAAGGTGGGCAACAGCTTCTTATGAACTCCGGCTCCCCCTTTGCCCTGTCCAGCAGCTCAGCCCTCCTCCCACTCTCCCTGTCACCAGCCCCAAGAGCAGAAGCAGTAGTGCTGGACTAGAGGTCAGTCACCAGGCAGGGAAGTCGGAGGGGATATGGGAGTGTGGGTGCCTTCTCCACCTCCTGTTTAATTTTATTAATTTTGTTTCCAAGACTTCCTTGGGAGGCTGCATCCTCCCAAACATCTAACTAAGGGGAAAAGGCCGGCTGTGGAGCTGGCAGTAACTTTGCTCAGCGTCAGCGAGGCAATGGCGTCAGTGATGTCCAGAAATGTAGCTGCTTTGAGCTTGAGCTACTGTGGCCTTTGAGTGGCCACTAGACTGAGTGGTGGGCACATCCATAGAGACACGGCCGGGTCTGAGGCTGTCGCTTCCTCCGCGAGTGATCAAGATGAGGGTTACTGGCTCCAGACTGAGGCTGATGGGTCAGGCAAAGGGAGCACTTAGCTCCCACATGGACTCATCGCACATGCAAGGAGTCTCTATAAACGGTCTCAACAAGGGCAGTGCTGTCCCCAAGAGGCGTTTTGGAATTTTGTGGGGATGTTTTTGGTTGTCACAATGATTGGAGGGCCTTGGTAGCACTTAATGGGTGGGGCCAGGGGTCCTAGCGATCCTGACCTTCACGGTACCATCCTGCACAAAAACTTCTGCTGGCCTGGTGTATTAGTCGGGGTTCTCTTAGAGGGCCAGAACTCAAAAGAGAGAGAGAGATATATATATATTTATTTATTAAGTATTAACTTACACACCTGTAACAGGTTCTGTTTGCAGCTCTCACAAGGTCCCACAATAGACTGTCTGCAAGCTGAGGAGCAAGGAGAGCCAGTCCGAGTCCCAGAACTGAAGAACTTGGAGTCTGATGCTCGAGGGCAGGAAGCAACCAGCCTGGGAAAAAGATGTAGGCTGGGAGGCCAGGCCCGTCTCTCCTTTTCACATTTTCTGCCTTCTTTATATTCGCTGGAAGCTGACTAGATTGTGCCCACCAGATCAAGGGTGGATCTGCCTTCCCCAGCCCCCTGACTCAAATGTTAATCTCCTTTGGCAACACCCTCACAGACACAGCCAGGCTTAATACTTTGTATCCCTCAATCCAATCAAGTTGACGTTCAGTATTAACCATCACACCTGGCATCTCATCTGAATTTTTAAATGTCTCACTCACGGCAGCAAAACATCTGGTTACTATTACTTGAGCCTAGAATCTAATGTGTTACACGACATTCACCCCCTTTGCCCCGGGTTTGGCAAAGGCATTCCAAGGATGCACCTCTGCTGTCAATTGTAGATTCTGTTTACTATTTTATCAAGAATCATTCACCATTTTGGAGAATCCCATCTCTAAAGCGACAACACTTGAATATTCAAGTTGTCAACATAACAGACGTGTAACAGGTTCTGTTTGCAGCTGTTGTATTCTTAGGGTTCCACGTGTAGGTGCTGACATCTGGCCTCCATGAGTGCAGCTGGTGCCCAGATATTTACATACTGAAAGGTTTATTTTATGCTCATCACTTTTCCTGCATTTCTCCTTTTTATCACATTGTATTAGGCTGTTCTTGCATTGCTATAAAGAAATACCTGAGTCTGGGTAATTTATAAGAAAAGAATTGGCTCACAGTTCTGCAGGCTGTACAGGATGTATAGCGCTGGCAACAGCTTCTGGTGAGGCCTCAGGAAGCTTTTACTCATGAAAGAAGGTGAAAGGGGAGCAGGTATCTCACAGGGCAAGAGCAGGGGCAAGAGAGTGGGCAGAGAGATGCCACACCCTTTTAAACAACCAGATCTCGCAAGGACTCACTACCGTGAGGACAGCCGTGAGGGGATGGTGCCAAGCCATTCATGAGAATCCCACCCCCATGATCCAATCACCTCCTACCAGGCCCCACCTCCAACACTGGGGATTGCATTTCAACATGAGATTTCAGGGTACAAATATCCAAAGAATAATACACCACACATATATGGGATAGAACTTAGATATATCCCTCATATCAAATATATGTCATATTTGATGACATGTATCCATTTCAAGATAATAAAGGGGGGCTTTACAAAAGATTTGCTATAAAAAGGTGGCTTTAGGTCTGACAGGGGGTAAAGACAAGTGATTTACAAGAGCAACCCAAATCTGTGGCCTTACTTCTTTTCACACTCCCAGGTACTGTGATTTTTAAAGAACAGCGGGAACAGTGTGGGAGTATGCCTGTGTGTGCATATGTGCTGAAGTGTGAGTGTGTCCCTGTGGTTATGCTGTGGACACACGTGCACCTGTGTGCAAGCTCTGCCAGCATGGTCAAAAACAGGGGGGCAGGGGATTCAGGGTCATGCCTGGGGGCCATGGAGGCTCCTGGCCTCTAGGAAGGCAGCCCACAGCAGCCCCAGAGGAAGAGGCATCACCTCTGTGCACTGGGGTAGAGACAGCAAGCCCCGCTGAGAGGGAAAGCAGCCCCGCATAGGTCCCGGCAGGGCCTTCTCCAGAACTGGGCTCTCTCCTGTCTCTGTTCTCCCAAGACACCCCCAGGCAGGGCAGGTGTGCCCTGAAATAACAGGTGGGGAGACTGGGGCAGTAGCAGTTTCTGAGCGGGCGTCTCACAGGCCTGGCAGCTCATGGTGTTTTTCTCTCCTCTGTGTTGATCTTCAGCTTCTGAGCCAAGCCAAAGAGTCACTGGGTTTTCAAGACAACAAGCAGAGATTCTGGTCCTCTGATGTGAGGGGTGCCTGGACTGCAAATCAATGCCATTGAACTGCAGTCTCCAGGAAGGAACTCCCCAAATGTTAACACATTCCACATTCACCTGCGGAAGGGGCTCCTGGGGTCATTTACTTTAGAAGAAAAGGTGTTACAGGGAAACTGCCTCAGAATGCTCTCAGAAAACGGGTCTGCTATAAGCCGGCGATACGTGCTCTTACATGAGCTTGGCAGGAAATGGCATTTCAGAGAAGAATGACCCAAACAGAGGGTTTTAGACCTGAGACGGCTCAGAGAAATTTCCTGAGGTTTGAAGATTTATCTTAACCTCTCGGACTTGAACGATTGACAGTAAATCCCTGGTCAAAATAAAACAAAACTCCACAACTCTGAAAGCGAACACCAGCCATTTCGGGAGATCTTTGGAGTATTTCCAGGGCTTGAGCCTCTGGGAGGAGAGTGAGAAGGCTCTCCTTCCCCGTCACCTGCACTGCTGTTCTGAGGATTATCTACACGGGAAACTTATCAAAATGTGGGCAGCCCGTGGAGGGAGCTGCAGAAACCCTCATTTCTGTGAAAGTCGGTGCCAGGCGGAACGTGTGGGTTTTTCAACCTGAAGCTTCTGAGCTGATGCGCAGGCTGTGGTCTCAGCTCACATCCAGAATGCAGGGCCTGGCAGTGTGAGAAGCCGGGGCTGCCGAGGGAGGGTTGGCAGTGGGGATAAACAGCAAACCAGGTGTGGGTCCTCCGAGCGCTCAGAAAGCCCTCCTCTTCCAGCGATGGAGTTTGATTCCAGACACATCTCAGCCATAATGCATCTGCACTGCTCACTCCCTGAACACCGGGAAAGGAGCGAAAGCAGCAGCCTGATGGGATTTGGCAGATGTGCTGGCTCTCACTAGACTCACACACTGCGCAATGACTCCAGCCTGCTCTCTGCCTCCATATTTATCAGTTCCCAGAGCCTGAGAATGGCCTCCTGGCTGCCTTGTCTGTCATGGTAATGGATTCAGATGCTTTGAGAGGTTCAGGATCCACAGTTGATGGGAGTGACAGGGACCCTCTTGGATTCTCCAAAGAAAAGTGTACACAGCTCAGAGAACACCTGGGGCCGGAGAGGCGGAGCCAGTGGCCTGCAGCCTGAGGGTCTTCCCATCTGAGATCCCAGCAGGAGCCCTATGCACCTGTGTCCCTGTGGATATGGTGCAGATCACGTGTCACAGAATTAGCATGTTTTGCTTCAGAATGTGTTAACCTGTCTTCTGACTTATGCTTTGAAAATGTGGTTAAAATATTCATAAAGAACTTTCCAGGCAGAAGGGCAAATACTGAGAAATCATCTGGTAAGTGAGGCTCAAGAAATGCCACTTGATGATGTCATGGCTCCTAATAAAAACAGGAGCCATCAGCTAAATAAGCCAATCACACTCTCACCTCCATTTTTGTTTTTACCACGAATGGTGCTCTGTGTTTGGTGAGGATAACACTCTGGTAAGAGTTTCACAAGGCTGGGGTGAGAAACTCTTTCATTTCTTTTGGAGGCTCATGGCACCCAGTATAGGCTCAGGTGCAGAGAGGACACTGGAGAATAGGTCCTTGCACGTGCAGGTGTCCTCTCTCTCTCTGTCTCTCTCTCTCTGTCTGTCTCTCTCTCATGCACACACATACACACACACTCACTCACACTCTCACACACAGCTGTGGATCTGGGTGTGCATCCCAGTGACACTGCACATGTGGCGGCAGCTCAGCCCCAGCCCCATCCTGCACCCTGTTTGCCTCTTGGAGGCTCCTATGCAGCTGGCCCATCACAAATCCCAGGTCATAGTGCCCAGGAGCAGGGATAAAGGTTTTGGAATGATGTAGTCCAGGCTCCTCATTTATTGATTAGGAAACTGAGGCCAAGGAACAGTGAGAGGCCTGGGGCCCCGGGCAATGGCGATGCAGCCAGGCCGTTGCCTGCCTGTCCTTTTGTGCCCCACATTCTTGTTTTGTTTTTCTGCCCATCTCCACCTCCTTTCTCTCCTGCTTCCAGCCTTCCAGCTCTAACTGTGATGGGAGAGGACAGGAATCTCTATAGCACAAGGACCACGTTGAAACCCTGCCCAGGCATAGGGGCCCCTTACTGGGCAAATCTTATTGTCACTAACACACTGGCACATCCTGCCTTTTACTGCCCACAGCTGTGGCTCAGAAATCCAGACGTCTGGGCTGGTCATCTATCTCATCCAGGGCTGAGAAATGTAGGGAACACAAAGATGGGATTTCCAGGTCTTTTAACTGACAGGAATGACCTGTAGCCGATTCCCAGAGCAAGGTACCCTTTGGAGCAAGCAGAGTCACACCCAGCGAGGGCATCTCCACGTCAGGCAGAGGCTGACCTGCACTGCGCAGGGCCTCCTGCATCAGGCAGAGGGTAGTGTCTGAGACTGAAGGGAAAGGAAATCTGGAAAGATCTATGTTGCAGGATGTTCTTCAGGGCCCTCAGACACAGAGCCATGAGTACAGCTGCTCTTGGGAAGGGCAGAGTGAGCTGGACCCCAGCCTGAGCCAAGAGGGCCCTTCAATGCCCCATGTCTGACCTCTGAGGCATTGGAAGGGCCAGGCCCCACCCAGGTCCCGAGGTCTCACCTAGAGCAGGAGGAAGCCTGAGTGCCAACAGGAGATCTTTGTTTTCTGCTCCACAGGTAATTTGTATCGCTTCCACTCAAAAGTCTGTCTTCCTTTGGGCGTAGAGTCTAGAAATGGTTCGAGTTCCAAACTGATATTGCAGCCGAGTTCCAAACTGATAAAGCATCTGAATCCATTACCATGACGACAAGTTCCTAGGTGATTGCTTCAAGTTCTACATGCAGCTTCCAGTCACAGTTGGCGAGGGTCCTGCCACGCTCACTGGGTCGTTCTCTTCCACACTCACATGAAGCTTTTCTTTACCTCATGGCCTCTGCTCTCTTCCCTGTTTCCCCTCTACCTGGGCACCCCTCTAAGTGGCAGTGCTGGTGTTAGCCACCCTTCTGCTTTGTCACAGTCATGCCCTCTCCTCTTTCAAAAGGCCACCTGAGTAGTGGGTATGCTTGGGTGGGTCACACTGGAATAGAGCATGGTGTGGGGTGCGTCTGGGCACTGGTAAGATTCTGTCTTTTGATCTGGGTGCTGGTTACGCAGATATGTTCTCTGTGGAAGTTCACTGAGCTATACACTTATGACTTATTCATTTTCTCTCTGTGTTATGCTTCAATGATATGTTTATTTAAAAAAGGTAACCTGATGTTTCTCAATATGTCTGAAAGACAGCAGTTGCTTTGAGTAGACAGTATTTGTCCTCAGCCAAGCCCAGGCCTAGGTACATGGGGGAGGGGTGGGAAGGTGCGGGGCTCACAGGAGAGGGTCACTGATATGGAAGTGGCGGCAGCTCATCTGGTCCCTGAGACTCTGCCATCCTGGGCTGGGCATCCCTTCAACCCAGGGCTGCCAGGAGGCCTGGGGTCTCTGGGGAGGAGGCTGGGTGGGGGTGTGGGTTTTGCCAAGCAGCCTTAGGAGAAGAATACAAGGCCTAAGAGTCAGGGGATCCCCACTGCCCCAGGGCGTCCTGGCCTCACCCAATACTCAGCTCCCAGAGGTATCTAAAGGAGGCTTAGTCCAGGAGCTAGGACACCTTGGGGTGTCCTACACAAACACTGTGAGCAAGGCTCCCGAAACACCTGGCGGTCTGTGCTGACACGGCACCACCTCCTCATGTTGAAGGCGTGGCTGGCCGTGGCTCCTGGCTCAGAGGTATCGGTATGGAGGCAGGTGCTCAGTTAGTCTGTTCTTGGTGAGGGTTTGTCATGGGCCCTGACATAAAACTGGGCCTCCTTGGAGACCTCTGAGCACACAGGGCCAATGTGTAAGGCCTGAGGAGCCTCTCACAGGCCATGCCCTGGCCTCGTCTGCCCTGCTCTCCCCTCCTAGGCTTCTCAAGGGTTTGAGGACTGAAGTATGGACTCAGGCACGGCTGGGACTCGACCTTCACGGCCCTGGCTGTTCAGCTCACGTGACACAAAAAGAGACGTCAAGGGTCTCCTGCCCAGGAGGAATCAAGATGGACTTTTCTGCCCCTTCCCCTCATGGTCCAGTCATGCCTGACTGGCCAGCAAGCCACCCCCGGACAGGCCCAGCCTCCCTCCCTCCAGGCCTTGCATGGTTGGCCTCCTCTACCTGAAATGTCCCCCTATCAACCCCTAAACTGTCCCCTGGGGACAGCTTCAATTTCTTTTTTTTTCTAGAAAGCCTTCCCTGAACAGCTCTCCCCTCCCCTTTCTTGGGGGGGGTGGCAATCAGAGTCCAAATTCTGCACTTGACTTTCAACATTAACTGCCCTATAAAGCTGATTCTTCCTCCAGCATGCAGTGTGATGCCCACCAAGAAGATGGGCCCTGATGCACCAACACTGGGATCCTTGGGACAGGAAGAGTTTTGCCTTCTGAATTATTATACCCACCACACCCATGAGGGGTGCTTCTTAATTATTTGGAATGAACTAATGGATCCCAAGCTATGTGGTTTGCATTGAGGGAGCAGAGGGACCTCTACTTGACAGTGGGAGATATTTATAACCATTCCAAATATCTGGCTTGGCAGAGATAGGCAACCCATAGCTTACCCTGCTCTGTGAATTCATGAGCATGTGAATTACTACCGGGACTTACTGTAACTCTAGATCCCAGATTGAACATAGACCAAATAGGCACAAGGTGAAGAGCTCCAAACCATAACCACGGGACAGCAGCCCTCATCATTTTGAGGCCCTGGAACTGTCCCTGACCCTTGCCGCATCCTCCCCAGCAAAGCTGGGCTGTCCAGCTCGGGGAGGAGGCAAGGGTGGGGTGGGGAATGAGCACAGCCAGCCCTGAACAGTCCTCATCACTCAACAAACAAGCACTGACCCCACCCTGCCTTCCACTACGCTGAGGTGTGAAGTGGGTGGAGAAGGGGGCGAGGCTCGAGCCCTGCTCTCCAGAAGCCCATGCCCCAGGACATGAGAAGATGTGGGCACAGCTGGCTGAGCGACTTCCCTTCTGGCTGTCTCTCTCCCATCCTGCTCCCCTCTCCTGACCACAGCCGCCTCTGCAGTCAGCGTTGAGTGCTGAGAGCTGTGTGAATGCTCTTCTGTTAAGGAGGGTGAGAAAAGGATGGTACGGATTTTATTCCCTGCCCCCATTGACCCAGGGCAGGGGTGAGAGGCTGACTGATGAAGTCACTGCCTAGACTTGTCATCAGGGCCCCCACATCTTCTTCAACACATCCTCCTGCCCACTCCATCTAAACAACCCTACAGCCAGTTCTGTCCCATGGTTCCCTGCAGGCCTGACCCTGTGTGCCTGTCTTTCTATTGAGCCAGCCAGGTCCTTCATCCTCCCTGGGGCCTTTTCTGATTCCCCAGCCTGTGCTTGTCTCCCTTGAGCCCTTCTAGGCATGTAGCATCTAATGCTTGAGGAGAGTGAGCACCATTTCCATGACCACACTGTGTACCCCGGGGCAGGGGCTGTGTCCACCCCTTCCCAGGCCTCTCCAGATCCATGGGGATGGAGGGCTCGCAGTATGTGCTCAAGACCTGTGACCACTAATGGAATGATGAATGATTTGCCCTATCACAGCAACACACCCCTGTCTCGGGAACGGGACACCTCTGGCAACTGGGCACAGGCCTGTGTTCGGGGATGGCGGGCTGCAGGCCCACAGTGCTCGATTTGGGATATCGTCCTCTCCGGTAAGGCCCAGAGCCCCCAACCTGCCCTTGCACCAGCATGGGGCTGTGGTGGGCAAGCTTACTTCCAGACAGCGTGCACCAGGATGATGAGGCAAACCATTGAGGGACATCATGATTGCATTCTAGGTGGGGGCTTCTTGCACCTGTGACCCAAATGCAAGGCCAAAGGTACATTTTCCAACTAGGAAGCGGGCTGTTAAGCGTCCTCTGCAACGGACTCTTGCCCACACTTTCCCTAGTTTTTAAATGCAGATGAGGTAGAACTCACGGGGGCAGCTGGCTCTGCTTGTTTAATTGGGGTGCATTAGCGCTGAATTGGAGCCCGAGGCTTCTTCGAGGAGTGGATCTGGGTCCATTTATCTGGATTGCATCCACCTGAGCAAAGCGCCGTGATTATAGCTTTTAAATGACTTCCTAGAGCTAATGGATCACAGAAAATAGTGTGGGACTAAAAGTAAATATAAAATGAGGGAGTTGGCTGGCTTGAAAGCTGGGCTGCCAAATGGGAATACCAGCAATAATTACATTTGAAATGCCACCCATGTCTTAGGACATTTTCCCAGCTTATGCCTCCAAGTTTCAGGCTGGATGTTACAGAGTCGATGCTGCACACCACTCAGAGCTTTCAACATGCTCCAAGTAGCTAAGGCTAGTTGTCCCCTCCATCAGAAAGCAAACATAAGAGCTGGAGAAGCATCTTTTAAAAAGTGAGCCAACTCAGTGGAGTTGATTTGACTTTTAAGGCGCTAGGTAGTGAGCATTTTGGAGGATAGGATACTGTTTGAAGAAATGGAGATCAAATGTGAAGACAGTCATGGTTCTTGCCTACAGATCACTTAAAATTGTGTGGCCTTAGATGAGGGGGTTTGGGTGGTGAGTATGCGTGCGGAGGGCTTCTGGCAGGAGAGCTCCAGGGGTGTCTTTCCATCACAGGATGTATCCGAGTGTGAGCTTAACTCTCTGGGTCCCTGGTGTGCACATAGGTCTCCCAGGTCACCCATGGGGAGATGTCTGATTGGCAGGTGTAAATGTCGATTGAGTCATGTTTCTAGATGACTCGGGTCACTCACTGGCCCTGGCCCTGATGACCCCCCGGGTGTGTGCCCCTATTCCTGTCTGCTCCATGCTTAGAGGCCCTGGTGGGGTGTGCTGACCCATTTATGCCAGTGCACACTCTGGACTGGCTCCTGCGGGAGAACACAAGAGTGGCCATGGAACTGGCCTCCACCATGCTCCATCTTCCCACCCTGGTGTTCTCAGGCCCTTTTAAAGGTGGTCGTTGCTGAGAGTATTTGGCTGCTTCTCCTGCCCCATGCTTTTCTAGGTTCCCAGAAGCTGTGGTTCTTTGGGACGTGGAGTGGCATAAGCTATACAGAAACTTCCCTCTGCTCCCCCATGGATACTCGGTTCCCTCAATCGAGGCTGGTGCAGGGGAAGCTTGGAGCGGTGTCTACTCACTATCCAGCCCAGTATCCACTATCCTCTCTTGAGCTCCTGATGTCCCACCCCACTGTTGGCCTGACATTTCCCCACATTGTCCCACAGGCCCCTCAACTCAACATGGCCCAAATGGAACTCACCATCAAGACTGCTCCTTCTTTCACATCCCAGCCTCAGCCGACAACCCCTCCACCCAAGCCCCCTGCTTCCCAAATCGCACACCTGGCACTACCTCACCATCTTGCCCATCCCCAGCCAATCAGTCCTGGCTCAGGTCATTTCTACCACTGTGTCTCTTAGGGTGCCAGTTTCCCACCACTCCTACCACCTCTGCTGTAGTTCAGGAAGCCATTAACACCCCCGGATGACCACTATGCCTCCGATCATGTCCCCACCAATCCTCCCCCACTCAGTAGCTGGAGGAATCTTATGGGGGCTCCCACTGCCTTCGGGCTGGAGCCAGGCAGCGCCCTCCCTGACTTGCCCTGTTATGTCTCCAGCCTCATCCTTCCCCACTCACACACCCGTTCTGGCGACCCTGCGCCACCTCAGTTCCTTAAACATGCCTACCATCACCTTGGGGCTACAACACCACAGCTAGAATCTTGCCCCCGCCCCTTTCCAAGCCTCTTCAGATCGGTGGGGCTGTGCAGAGGGCTGGCTTGCAGCATCTGCTCAAGACACGTGGTCACTGATGGAATGATGACTGCTTTGCCCTATCATGGTAGTGCAACCCTGAATAGGGAGCAGGAATAGGACACCTCTGGCAACTGGGCACAGGCCTGCTCTCAGGGAGGGAGGGGTGGAGGGCTTTGGGTCTTAGCTGGCACGTGGCTTTCCTGCATGTCACTATCCTGACCACTCCTGGCTGGGTTCAGTCTCCTGTGTATTCTGAGAGCCCTGGACACCCCCTCAGAACATCGATCATCTCTGCTTCCTCTACTTGTCCACATGTCCCTCCCACCATCGACATGAGCCAATGGGGGTCCTGGCATACAACTAGCACTCAACAAACATGTGCCAGATAAACAAAGGAACGAACACATGGCTTTGTCCAGAGTTGCTTCTACTGAGACATGCATGGCCTCTAAGTTTCCTTTGACCCTGAGTCCAGGCTGCCATAGGACAGCCCCTTGGTAAACTGAACAAGAATACTCCATGCTCACAGGCTTTCCCTTTTGCTTCCTCTGGAACTTTCCTCCAGTGAAATCCAACCCCTTTGCCTAGGTGAGAGCAGAAGAGAAACCATGACAAATAAATCCAAGTGCGAGGTGCTCTAGCTGAGAGCTCTGCCCCTGGCTAGGACCAGGCTTGATGACCTGGGGTCTGTTCTCCTCTTCAGAGATGGGGAAGGGAGCTCCACTCAGTGTGAAAAAGTATGGGGATTGGAGTCACTGTGGTTTGAGAATCCTCCCAGTTCTCTCTTTTGCTCTTATTTCCCTGCATGAGTGCTCACAGGATAGGCCGGAGGGCGTGGGGTGCTGTTTCCCCCCACACTCGTGTTCCAGGCATGGGGAGTCTCAGAGCAGAGCAGCACCCACTTGCTTGCTTGCTGGAAGCCCAGGGCTTCTCTCCCTGGGCCTCATTTCCTCATCTGTCAAATGGGGCTGATAACCTCTGTCCTGTAATTGCTATAGGAGTCAAGGCCCAGAATGGCACCTTGCCTGGCCTGGCTCCAGGGGAGGAGCACCCCGGATGGCAGAGAAATACTCTTTGAATTTTAGTGGTCAGATTTTCATCCCTCTGAGGCATGGGGTGAGTGTGGGGTGTGTGGAAGGTTCTGGGGGTCAATCTCTCTCCAGAGGAAACCTCCAGGGGTTTGATCCCAGGGAGTCCACAGGATCCAGGGTAGATGTCCCCTCCTGGCAGAACTGTGTGTGTGGGGTGCTCATAAGGTGACTGTAATGGAAACATAAATTGTCCTGCTTCAAGGCAGCCACTTCAAAATGTTGTAATAACCATTATAAACCCATTCTCTGCACACCCACTAATAAATACCTTAGTCCCACGTCACATTTCCTGGTATCTCTAAAGCCACCAGGAGAAGGCAGGAAGGCCATAAAAGAAACACAAAAACACAGTTGCAGATGAGCCTAAAACCCATTTCTTTGAAGCTTAATTGATGGGAAAACTTCTGGCCCTAGAGAACTTAAAGGCCTATCGTACAGATATTTGATTAAGTGTCCTCATATCACAGACCAAGCTAAACTGGAAATCATTATGCAATAATTGGAAATACACTAATAAAATGAGGATGTGGGTTTGCTCAGGACATAAAAAGGAATAAAATAATTCACTCAGATAACTCAACAAAAATGAGCAGGCTGCCCCCGAGACAGCTAGAAGAGAGCCTCCTGAGACAGTGCCTGGCCCTCTATTGTCAAAAGCTTTTAGGGTAAGTGGATGCATAGCTAGGCTTCAAAACCACCCCAAGGCCCAGGTGCGGGGTGCCTGAGGGCGCTCCAAAGTCACTGCCCACAGCAGGGGCCGCCAGCCCACTCTCATTCGCATCACACAGCAGGGAGAGACCAGGCTCTAAAGACAGTGTTCCTTAGACGACTTGTGCAGACATGACCTCCCTTCGAAACTAAGAGCTCAGGAGAGAGTTCACATTAACTTTACTAGTTAACGTGAATATGTTTGAGTTCCTGCTCACATTTTTTTTTTTTTTTTTTTACTTAGGGGAAAGTAAAAAAAAAAAACGTGTGCAGGAATTCAAACATAAAAAATATGTGCAGGAATTCAAACACATGCACATTAACTAGTTAAGGTCTCAGACAAGGTCAAGGTGACTCCCTAACCATGAGGTGGCTTCCCACAGGACGTGAGTTGGGCTCAGCGGCTGGCTCTCATACCCCAGAACACGGCTTCTCCTGGCATTTCCCTTGCACGTGGTCCTAGGAATTCCCACCAAGCCCCTGTGTGAGTGCATGTGAAGGAAGCAGCAGAGGATGAGGGACAGGCCGGTGGAGACCTCTCAGACAGGAACCCTTCCCCCTCTCTGTCTGGTGCTCTTTTGCCAAGGGAGCACAGCCACCTACCAACACCTCTGTTCTAACTCCAGGGCCTGTCACCTCTCTGTGCCATTCTCTCCAGCCCCCGCTCTCTGCTTCTCCATATCCCATATGTCCTGCCAGGCCCACCTTGAAGAATTCTTCCTTTAGGAAACCCTAGGTGTCAACCTTGAATGTGCCACTTATAAGCTATGTGACCTCTGGTAAGTCACTTACCCTCTCTGAACCTTAATTCTGTCATCCATGATGCAAGAACACTAACAGTATCTTATTGATGTAGCTGTGGCCCTCCAATGTATGACAGTCAACCCCCACCTCTCCAGCCTATAAGAGAGCTAGTAGCTTTGCCACCAGGCCTAGTACCTGCTCCAGCACTGTCTCCCAGGCACTCAGGGCTTCCTGTGTGATTTCTCTGAGGCTAGAGCCATCTCCTCACTGGCTCTGGCAACTCGCACAGACCCCACACAGGGTGGGGTCCACAGAGGCCCCAGGAATGGACAGGGAATCAGGCAGACGAGTGGCAGGAAAGGGAGCTGGAAGGAGAGCCTTCCTGTTGACAGGAGGGGGCACTGAAGGTCTGTGGTGAGGTCGCTTGAAGTTCAGGGAATGGCAGCATTGGCAGGAGGGAAACAGGCGCTGGACCCCCATGTGGCTGCAGAGAGAGGCGGCAGAGGTAGGAGGAGAAGCTGTGGGGTCAGGCTGGTCAACACCATGGAGGGGCTTAGAGGGCACCAGGGGCAGGTTGCAGAGAAGGGGCAGGGGAAATTTTAGCTTGGAGTCAAAGAAAACAAAACTGTGCCTCTGCCAAAGCAAGGAAGTGGAAAAATCCTGTGTCAATTATCTCTGAACAAGCAGCACCATTCATCTTCTACTTACAGCACTGCAGTGAGGAGGCAAGCTGTCAACCTGCTCATCCACAGCGCTTTTACCCCAACACCTGATGAAGGAGGAACATTTGGAGTCGGCCTCTGCCTGTCTGCTCTGGCCAGGGCTGTGTGTCCCATGAGTCTTTCTGGAGGGCCTACTATGGACGTCCAGCCTGAATCAGATGCTGCAGGTGAGCTGAGCAGAGACACCCCAGACACAGGGCAAATGTCAGTTAAAAGCAAATTAACATTGTAACCCTAAACATTCCCCTTTCATGGGGACTATGAGAAAACTTGGGAAAAAGAAAAAAAGAATGACCAGTGATTCTCAGACCCCTAACAAGGCCACATCGATTTGTGCATACCCCCTTGGTCGTTTGCCTTCACGCTGTGTGTGTTTGCACATGGCAGCCATAGAACCCATGGTACCCAGAGTATGCCTTTCCAATAATCTCCCAGAATACCCTGGTTTCTGATTGCTCACGGATCCTTATACCATAAGGGGAGCTGCTTCTCACCATCTCTAGAAAACCCACCTGCCTGTGATTGTCCTAATGACTGTGGGAGTTGAGGCCTTTCCTTCTTCCTAGAAGCAGGCCAGGGACCACCCCTGCCGGCCCATCGAGATGAAGGATGCTCTTGTCGCACGGGTGATTATTGTGCATCATCACAAGGGCTCAGGCCACTTGTCCTGGAAAACTTTTTTATTTCAGTTAGCAAGAGGTAAAGCAGGGTGCGGATTCCCTTAGCAACTCTGGAAGAAGAGAGAAAGTTCTGAGTCCTCTGTGAGGAGGACAGAGGGAGGGTTGACGCTAGCTCTGATGTGAAATGTCTCCTTAGGGCCACTAGCGGTGCCAACAGAAAGCAGACATACCTTGGCTGGGCTGGACACTCAGCACGGGTGTGGAGACAGCCTGCAGCCAGCATCTGGGCTCCCTGGGAGGCTGGCCCACGGCCACCTCTCTGTTCCTGGGAACACCTGAGCAACTTGGCAGCTTCATACAGAACGTGGAATACAGAGGACTTTTCAAAACACTGCGGCATCCTTCTGAACCCTGGGGCTTGAGAATCTTAGGTCTTCCAAAACCACACATATCAGAAATACACGTTTTGGTCAAACTGCTTAGCGCAGTTGAAAGAAGACTCTGACCTTATAATTGAAAAAAAGTTTTTTATAGCCGGGGGCTGTGGTTTGGTGATGTTTGGTTGTATTCAAGGCAGTAAGAGACATTTTATCAAGGGTGCAGTTCCCATCTACTGGGTTTCTGTTTACTCTGCAAGTCCTAATTCTGTATTGTCATTCTGTGAGCAACACCACTTGAATTCAATTGCTAGATTTTGAATTTCCTTAAGCAAGTTCTATTTAGTTGAGGCCAGAATCTCAGTGGGTGGTAATAAATATCAAAGCACAGGATGGTCGAGGGAAACAAAGTAAAAATCCCAAATCAAATACGATTATTGATCAACGCTGAACTGCTTTAATCATTTCTATGCTAATTCCAGATATATACACACATATTGGCATTTTCATTACATAAATACATTGATATTTTCAACTGAGAAAATATATTGAGCAATTTAAAATTGCAATCTTTGAAGAATGGCAAATAAATAAAAATATAGTAAAAGGCACAGAACAGAAAAGGCAGTGAATTCTTATAGGCCTGAGACAGCCTGTGAAACACCTTCAGATATTTAATATGGCACCACTTTCTTGAAAATTTTTAAAAGCAAAATATGCATACCATAAAAAACAAAAACTGCAAATAATACAATTGGACAAATTAAACACCTTTCTTGCCCCTTCACTATGGAAAAAATCAATTCCCTGATCCTTCCCTGTTACTTATACAGTCTAAAACATTAATTTTTACCTCATTACATTCTGTAACTATAAGTAATAAGTGTAAGTTTCTATTCATTGACTCTAAAAGTGAAAATGAATAAAGAACATTATCAACATTCTGATGATGTAACCCTCATCCATGGCAGAAAGATACAGTGAACCTCACGGCAGGGGAGATGTCAGCCCAGGTGACTCACCTGTGCTGTTTGAAGGAGATTATTTTAAGCTTCATAGTTAAATTGTTCTCTTTCTTCATCTTCCTTTAATTGCTCAAAATCGTGACATATTTTAGTTTGCTTAATATTTTATGATGTCTTTCTGGTTTAGCAATTTGCCTTCTCCAGAATTTTTAACTGCCTTAAAAAATTTATTGAGGGATAGCACATACGTATTCTTCATCATATCTCTGAGGTCTTCCAGTTTCTTCATCTTATTTTTGTTCAATGGAATTAACTTTCTTCTTGAAGACTTGCTTTTCAGAACCTTCTGACTTTCTGTTCTAACTTGAATGGATTCTCTCCCAGGTTTCTTACACAGTTGTCCCACAAGTCCTGCCGGGGTTTTGTTTCACTGGATACCTGGCTTAGCTCTTCTGTTTCTTGGACCAGCTCTTCTTCTTTCTAGGTTCCTTTTCTGTCTTGCTGGATTACACTCCTCACCCTCCATGCCCCCACTTTTTTTTTTTTTTTTTTGAGACGGAGTCTCGCTCTGTCTCCCAGGCTGGAGTGCAGTGGAACGATCTCCACTCACTGCAAGCTCCGCCTCCCGGGTTCACGCCATTCTCCTGCCTCAGCCTCCCAAGTAGCTGGTACTACAGGGCCCCCACTTTTTAAATCAGAAAGATATACAAGAAATCTCATTTCTTGTATACTGAAAATGTTTTTATTTGGTATAGAAGTCTAGGTACAAAATTGTTTGCCCTTAGAAATGTGAAGGCAAGTGTCTGTTCATATCCTTTGCCCACCTTTAGATGGGGTTGTTTTTCTATTATAAATTTGTTTAAGTTCCTTGTAGATTCTGGATATTAGCCCTTTGTCAGATGGGTAGATTGCAAAAATTTTCTCCTATTCCGTAGGTTGCCTGTTCACTCTGATGATAGTTTCTTTTGCTGTGCAGAAGCTCTTTAGTTTAATTAGATCCCATTTGTCTATTTTGGCTTTTGTTGTAATTGCTTTTGGTGTTTTAGTCATGAAGTCTTTGCCCATGCCTACATCGTGAATGGTATTGCCTAGGTTTTCTTCTAGGGTTTTTACGGTTTTAGGTTTTACATTTAAGTCTTTAGTCCATCTTGAATTAATTTTTGTACAAGGTGTAAGGAAGGAGTCCGGCCAACAAACATATGAAAAAAAGCTCATCATCACTGGCCATCACAGAAATGCAAATCAAAACCACAATGAGATACCATCTTACACCAGTTAGAATGGCGATCATTAAAAAGTCAGGAAACAGATGCTGGAAAGGATGTGAAGAAATAGGAACGTTTTTACACTGTTGGTGGGAGTATAAATTAGTTCAGCCATTGTGAAAGACAGTGTGGCGATTCCTCAAGGATCTGGAACCAGAAATACCATTTGACCCAGCAATCCCATTACTGGGTATATACCCAAAGGACTATAAATCCTATTCTACTATAAAGACACATGCACATGTATGTTTATTGCGCCACTATTCACGATAACAAAGACTTGGAACCAATCCAAATGCCCATCAACGGTAGACTGGATAAAGGAAATGTGGCACATACACAACATGAAATACTATGCAGCCATTAAAAAGAATGAGTTCATGTCCTTTGCAGGGACATGAATGAAGCCGGAAACCATCATTCTCAGCAAACTAACACAGGAGCAGAAAACCAAACACCACATGTTCTTACTCATAAGTGGGAGTTGAACAATGGGAACACATGGATAGAGGGAGGGGAATATCACACACTGCGGCCTGTCAGGGGGTTGGGGGCAAGGGGAGGGAGAGCATTAGAACAAATACCTAATGCACGCCGGGCTTAAAACCTAGATGATGGGTTGATGGGTGCAGCAAACCACCATGGCACATGTACACGTATGTAACAAACCTGCACGTTCTGCACACGTATCCCAGAACTTAAAGTATAATAAATAAATAAAAAATAAAAATAAAAGAACTGTGAAGGCAATTACCTCACTGCCTTCCAGTGTTGCTAATGCCAATCTGCCAACAATGATTCCTGATCCTTTGTTGATAACTTGTCTTTTACCTCTGGAAGCTTTGAGAATCTTCTCTTTATCCTAAATGTTCTGAAATATCAAGAGGATACGCAACTATACAACTGTGGGTCTTTTTTCATTCCCCCCTGCTTCTGTCTCAGTGGGTCATTCTTTTTGAAGGTCTATATCTTAGCTCAGCTCTGGGGAGTTTTCTTCTGTTATTCCTTTGGTAATTTCCTGCTCTTAAGTTTCTTTGTTCTCTCTTTCTGGGTTGATATTAGTTAGATATTGGTATTGCTAGTCATCTGTGTTTCTCAGTTTCTCTCTCGCCTTTTCCATTTCTTTGACTTTTAATCTAAGTTGTGGGATACTTCCTTGACTTATTCTTCGGCTCCTTCTATGGAAGGTTTAATGTTGGTGACTGCATTTTTAATTTCCAAGAAATACTTCTTGGGCTATTTTCCTTTCTCATAACAACCTGTTCTTATTTTATGGAAATGTTTTATCAAGTCCCTCTAAAGGTTTTTTTTTATTAGATTTAAAAATTTAAAAATTTTTCCTTTGTTCCCTATCCCCCACAGCCAGTTGCTCTTTTCCTTCCTGTTGGTTCTTCCCTTTTGTGCTCTTGGCTTTCTCAAAATGTCTCACGATCCCCGTTTGTCTGCTGCATTGTGCATGATGGGTTGATCAGTGCAGGCAGTAGACACCGGTGTGCATTGCCTGTGGCTGTGTAGGTCTCTGTCTCTTCCCCTGGGAGGGCTGCGTGTGAACTCCCTCTGTCGGGAGGTGTGTCACACAGCAGGCTCAGTTTAGTATGCTCCCTGGGCAGCGTACAGGTGACCCCACCCAATCCTCTTGACTTCTAATCTTTTTTATTTTTACTTTTTTGATACAGAGTCTCTGTTGCCCAGGCTGGAGTGCAGTGGTGTGATCTCAGCTCACTGCAACCTCTGCCTCCTGGGTTCAAGTGATTCTCCTGCCTCAGCCTCCTGAGTAGCTGGGACAACAGGCGTGTGCCACCATGCCTGGTTAATTTTTGTATTTTTAGTATAGATAGGGTTATAGATGGGGTTTCACCATGTTGGCCAGGCTGGTCTCGAATTTCTGACCTCAAGTGATCCACCCACCTTGGATTTCCAAAGTGCTGCGATTATAGGCATGAGCCACTGAGCTCAGCCTTGACTTTCAATCCCTTGAGGTCAGATGAACACCACGTATTTTCCTTTTCTTAGTCCTCAAGAGGACCTTGAATAAGACAATGATTAATAAAAACAAAAACAAACAAAACCTCCCTTACTATTCATTAATGGCCCACTCTGAGCCAGGTATGTTATAGCTGCATTATTTCTATTTATTTAATTCCATAAATAGACCTAGTTTCCACTTTAGAGATGAGGAAACAGACCCAAAAAGTGTAAGACACCTGCATCATAGCCAGGAAGAACCTGAGAGACTAGCATATCCAGCCCCTCACTCAAAAGACAAGGAAACTGAGGCCCAGTTTTGTCCAAAGCCATAGTTTGGTGAGGATAGTATTTCAGAATGATGGCCAGTGGTTTTTCATTTTCAGTGAATTGTTTTTTTCTCCTAAGTTCTTCCACCATTAAAATAAGACATGAGGCTGAATGTTATGGTCTCAGAGAAAAGTATGGTGCACAGAGCATAAAGGTATCAAACTCTTGGCTCTTGAAAATCATACCAGAGACCATTTTCTGAAAATGAAGGCTTTTGATTTGCAGAAAACAGGCTTTTGAAAGGTAATTTATGTCTGAAGCTGCAAAATCTTAGCTTTTCATAGCAAAGAATAAAGCTATGGAGTCCATAAAGTTTAGAGTCTAAGCAGAGGCACTGGGGAGAATGTGTAGGAATTTCAGAGCTAGTTTTCCCTCCCAATGAGAGATCAAGTCACTTGTCTGGGAGGGAGAGGGGAAAGGAATTTGGAGATGAGAACAGTAGAGACAGCCACTAGAAGGGGAGTCTACATCCCATTCTCCTGGGAGGAGCAGATCATAACCCCATAGGAGTTGGTGGGGGTCCCAGGATGCCATGGGAAAGGGGCTGCAAGCCTGTGAGAGCCCCCAAGTCTGGCCAGGTGCAGGAGCTGAGGGGCAGAAAGGGCAGGAGTGCTCACGGAGGTGACTGGGCGGGAGTGGGCCACTCTCAGCTGTGTGTCCTCCACTTCGCAACCTGTGCCTCTCTAGTCCAGCTGCTCAGAACTCATAGCCGGCTACCTCTGCTTCCTTGTGGAGGGACTGTTGGCTACTTACCTGTGCCTCAGTTTCCTCATCTGAAAAATGGGGATACTAATAGAACTTGCCACACTGGGTAGCTGTGAGGATTAAGTGAGATGGTGTACGGAAAGTCCCCAGCATGGAGCCTGGAACAGAGAAACTGCCTGGAAAATGCAGCTCTTATAAGACCAGGTTTAAAATCTACCCGCCTGAACCAGCAGAACTAGGGTACTCCTGCATGGAGGCCAATTAAAACAGCTAAGTCATCACCATCTTTTCAATAACTGCCACTTAGAGTCCTGACACCAGGGCTTGTGTGGTTTCTAATCGTATTCAGTGAGATCTCAGAATAGTTCTCTCAAGTACACAGACCCCGTGTCCTCGTGAAAATAAATAAAACACATCTTGTGACAACTTCAGTCCTCTTTGCAGAGGGAAGGCTGGGATATGGACCCCTGCCTATGTGTGAGACCCACAAACCCAGAGATGAGCAGTGGGTAGTCCTGGGGGAAGAACACCAAACACTCTTTTAATTGCTAAAAGATGGAGTGCAAGGGTGCTCCCCTGTTGAAAGCCTCTCTCTCTGTGTGTGTGTGTGTGTGTGTGTGTGTGTGTGTGTGTGTGTTTCTCCATGTGTCCTCTTCCCTGTAGCCCCATCTCTCTGAGGAGCTTCCAGCGGTGCAGAAGTCATTGACCCACAAGGCACAACCTCACTGCACCAAAGAAGCTAAGAGTGCAGCCAGCACAGCAGAATACTTCCAAATGTCATGCTGCCATGTGACTGTAAAGGATCCATAGGATGGACTTTATGTTTGTCATGCTGCCATGCGACTGTAAAGGACCCATAGGATGGACTTTGTTTGTCATGCTGCCATGCGACTGTAAAGGACCCATAGGATGGACTTTGTTTGTCATGCTGCCATGTGACTGTAAAGGACCCATAGGATGGACTTTATGTTTGTCATGCTGCCATGCGACTGTAAAGGACCCATAGGATGGACTTTATGTTTGTCATGCTGCCATGCGACTGTAAAGGACCCAAAGGATGGACTTTGTCATGCTGCCATGTGACTGTAAAGGACCCATAGGATGGACTTTATGTTTGTCATGCTGCCATGCGACTGTAAAGGACCCATAGGATGGACTTTGTTTGTCAGGCTGCCATGTGACTGTAAAGGTCCCATAGGATGGACTTTATGTTTGTCATGCTGCCATGCGACTGTAAAGGACCCATAGGATGGACTTTGTTTGTCAGGCTGCCATGCGACTGTAAAGGACCCATAGGATGGACTTTATGTTTGTCATGCTGCCATGCGACTGTAAAGGACCCATAGGATGGACTTTGTTTGTCATGCTGCCATGCGACTGTAAAGGACCCATAGGATGGACTTTATGTTTGTCATGCTGCCATGCGACTGTAAAGGACCCATAGGATGGACTTTATGTTTGTCAGGCTGCCATGTGACTGTAAAGGACCCATAGGATGGACTTTGTTTGTCATGCTGCTATGTGACTGTAAAAGACCCATGGGATGGACTATATGTTCTTTCTGTTCTTGGAGATAGTGTCATACACTTACCAAGAGTGATGGTTATTAGAGGCACTGAGACAAACCCCTTCTGGGGACCAGCACTGCTGTGCCCGCTGGGGCCCCAGTCTGCCCCTCTGTGTCCAGCCCCATGAGAACCCGCTGTTGCACGAAGGGCCCACACAGCATGGGCAGATCTTCCCTCCAGCCTCAGGCTCTCAGGGTTGACTACCTCCCCTGGTTCTTCACTCCCTCTCTTCCTTCTTAAGGTTTCTCTCAAGGTTTAGGTTCCTGTTTTCTTTCCTACAATCAAAAGCTCTTTGGTATGAGTGAAGATTAAATTTTCTGTAACAGGTACGATCCACATAATGGATTAAACAAATGATAAGTTTTGCTGTCTTTATGTAAAAGAATACAGAGGCGGGTGATCCAGAGCTGGCATAGTGTCCTCCATTAACTTGTCAGAGACCCAGGGTCATCTCAGTTCATCATTCTGCCATCCCCTGGGTGTGGCCCTGGGCTCCATGGTCCAGGATGAAGCTAGCCAAAATATTCTCCTTCCAGGCAGTGACAGGGAGGAAAGGAAGAAGGAGGACATCCCCTCTCTTCCTTAAGGTGGCTTTCTGGAAATTTCACATAACACTTCTGCTCCATCTGATTGAAAAGAACATGGTAGGAAGGCTAACTTAGCTATAAGAAAGGCTGGGAAAGGTAGTTTCTTATCTGAATGGCAATGTGTCCAGGTAACTTCAAGATTTTGTTACTAAAGGAGGAGGTGGGAAGATGTTTAGTGGAAGGCAACTAGTAATATCTGCATATGTAAATTTTTTTATTTTGGCCAGCAGAGGGAAAGCGGCACAGATGTCTCCACTGCCCCTTTGCTGCATTTCCAGTCCCTATACCTGAGCCCTTCTCGTAGCTTCTAATATTATTCCATTGTGTTCTGGCATCTGTTGTGTTTTTTTTCTGTCTATATAATTGTCCCTTTGTAGGTAATGTCTTTTATCTCTGGTTGCTTTTAAGTTTTTCTCATTATGTTTGACATTCTACAATTTTACCATTAAGTCTTGAATCACTTTTATAATTTTGCCTGGAACTTATTATACTTTCTCAATCTGAAGATGAAAGTATTTTTCAATTCTGGAAAATTCCCAGCCATTATCTCTTCAAACATTACTTTTTCATTCTTGCTATTTTCACCTTCTATAACTCCTATTAGATGTATATGGGTTCTTGTCATTGTCACCCATATCTTAGCTGCTGTTTTATGTTTTCCTTTTCTTTTTCTCTCTATGCTATATTCTAGGCTATTTCTTCAGCTGTCTTCCAAATTTTTAATTCTCTCTTCAGCTGCCTAATCTATATTTTTAATTTTTATTTTTTTTTGAGACGGAGTCTTGCTGTGTCTCCCAGGCTGGAGTGCAGTGGCATAATCTCAGCTCACTGCAACCTTCACCTCCTGGGTTCAAGCAATTCTCCTGCCTCAGCCTCCCTAGTAGCTGGGCCTACAGGCATGCACTACCTTGCCCAGCTAGTTTTTTTATTTTTAGTAGAGATGGGTTTTTGCCATGTTGGTCAGGCTGGTCTCAAACTCCTGATCTCAGGTGATCCACCCACCTTGGACTCCCAAAGTGCTGAGATTACAGGTGTAAGCCACTGCACCTGGCCTTATATTTTGAATTTTTAATTAAATAGCAATTAAATTTTTCCTATAAGTCTAGTATGGCTCTTTTTTTTATTTTTGAAGAGTATTTAGATCTGTCACAATTTCTTATTGCTTTAAATATTTTATTTTGCTTTTTTTTGTTGTTCTCAACTTTTTAGAATTGGGGGGTACATATGCAGGGATGTTACAAAGGTATACTGTGTGATGCTGGGGTTTAAAATATGACCAAATCCGTCACCTTGGAAGTGAGCATAGTACCCAACAGGTAGTTTTTCACCCTTGCTCAGTGCCACCCCTCCCCATTAGTCCCCACGTCTTTTGTTCTCACACACATATATATATACACACATATATATATACACACATATATATATACACACATATATATACACACACATATATATATACACACATATATATACACACATATATATATACACATATATATACACACACATATATATACACATATATATATATACACACACATATATATACACATATATATATATGGTTTTCTTTGAGACAAGTTCTCGCTTTGTCACCCAGACTAGAGTGTAGTGGTGTGATCTTGGCTCACAGCAACCTCAACCTCCTGGGCTCAAGTGATCTTCCCACCTCAGCCCCCCAAGTAGCTGGTACTACAGGGACATGCCACCATGCATAGCTAATTTTTACAATTTTTGTAGAGACCAGATTTTACCATGTTGCCCAGGCCGGTCTCAAATACTGTTCCCATCTTTATGTCCACATGTACCCAATGTTTAGCTCCTACTTATAAGTGAGAATATGTGATATTTGGTTTTCTATTTCTGCGTTAGTTCACTTAGGATAATGACCTCCAGCTGCATCCATGTTGTTGCAAATGACAGGAACTCCTTCTTTTTTATGGCTGCGTAGTATTCCATGGTGTGTATGTACCACATTTTTAAAAAATCCAATTCACTGTTAATGGGCACCTGGGTTGATTCCATGTTTTTGCTATTGCGAATAGCTTATTGCTTTAAATATTTTAAACACTCTTTAAAAATTATATTTTAATCAAAGATACATAAGCCCATAATTTACAGTCCAATAATTATTTAAGGTTTTTAAATGGAAAACAGCAGATCTGTCCTCTTCTTCCCATTTCTCTCCCCTTCCAGCCCATTTAGTTGGTTCTTTTGGAATTTACCTTAAAATATCCTACTTGTGCATTTGGCATCTATTAACTTCCCAGTATAAAGATGAGAATTTAGCTCTCTTTTACACACTTCCCCTACCCCCTTTACAAATAAACACCCTCCTGCTCCTCCACCCCTTCAATAAAGACAGATAGCATTTTGGTTAGCTCCGTGTTTATGTAATTGGGCCTTACAAATGCCATTCACAGCCAAGCCAGGAAATGCACTGTGAAAAGTTCTTTTCTTGAATGGCTTCTTTTCTCTCCTACCTAATTTTTGGTGATGAACAAATAACCCCTCTGCAGAGGAGGAAGCAAAGGTCTGCATGTGGGCTGGAGCCAGACTGCTCCCCGGTCTGAAGGGGCGTGCGAGGGGTCCCTTCCACACCCCCAAAAGAGGCCCCAGGCGTTCCTCCTGCCCTCCCCTGGAGTTTGGCAGGAGAGTGTGTGGGGCACCATTTCTCAGATGGAAATAACTAGGAGTGAAAATGAGGGAATGTTGTAGAAAATGAGGGACAGAGCTAGGTGAGGTGGGGGTGGGACAACCAGAGTCATACAATTTGGATCAACATTTTCTAGAAGTTTTTCTTAAAAAGTTGCCACCTGACAGTGTTATAGCAGAGGCCATAAGGCCAAAGACAAAAATAACTGTACACAAGCGCACACACACAGTTGCCATCTGAAATAACAACCCCAGAAGCAGGAAGGAGGCATGCTGCCTGCGGGGCTTTGTTCACCACGGGCCTCTGGGTTGCAGTGGCACTTCCCAGAGGCCAGTTCTTTGAGCAGCGGCAGGAGCCCTGAGCGTGCTGGACAGCGTTCTGGACATGCGGGGGCAGTGCTCATCCTGCTTGGCTCTTCCCTGCTGAGGACAGGCAGGCCAGAGTTACTGAGACTGGGGCAGAGGTCAAGGGGTGGGCTTTTGAAAACAGGCCCCTGCAGCTATTCTGCACTGGCCGCAGGGTCAGGAGCTGCATCCGGTCTTAATTCTGCTCCTGCTATGTGGCCTCAGAGAGGTCACTTATCCTCCCAGAACCTTAGTTTGTGCATCTGTAAACTGACCCCTATTATACAGGACTATTATAAGGATGGAGAGATAGCCGCCAAAAAGAAAAAAAAAGCACAGGGAGTTGATGATGCTACGGACCAGGTGGGAAGCCCTTAAGGCCTTACCAGGGTGGAAAGAGACAAGGGGCTAGAATGACACACGCATGAGCCAGCGCCATTTGGCCCTGCGACAGAGGAGCGCACAATCCCTATTGCTGAAATGGGAATGTGATCAGCTGGTTCTAAAAGGGGTTCCATGAATGTTTTCAAAGATGGATGGAGATGACTGGGTAGGCCTGGAAGCTCCTCCAGCTCAGCCCTCGTGGTTGAGTGTGCATTGAAGTTTTGACATGCAGAGGACATCCTGGAGAGCCTTGGTGGCCCAGGCCCAGGTCTCACTGAGGAAGTAAAGTGAATCCACACCCAGCAGTAACTGGCAGTTCCTTTTACTTCCTCAATGAGACCACGTAAGCTCCTTGTGAACAGAGTTTGAACTCATCCCTCCTGTGGCCTCAGAGAGTGGGCAAAGGGCGGGGCACTGGGCAGGGAATCCATGAGACCAATCCATAGATACTGGTATAACTAAGGGCACAGCACCAGTCCTCTAGCTGATGGCCTTGAGACAATCTTATAATTCAAAGGCCACAGCTGTGCCCATGCAGATCTCACGTCACCTACATCACACCTGCAGCCCCGGGAGCACCATCTTTCCACCAGAGAGTGAGACTGATGGCACCCAAGTGATGACAGTAATGTACATGCATGTGTGGGATGAGGAATGTCACTGCCGTGCTGGCCTGGGCCTAGGCCTGCTCTGTGCCTGCTGGCTCCTGTCATGCTGATGGTGGGCTCTGTCTACTGCTAATTGAGTCTAGGAAGCCCTGCTGTCAGCAGCGGTCTCTGGCTGTGGTTGATGCTGAACTCCTAAGGGCAGATTTTATCAGCCCTAAGCAGTTGTTGGTATGTAGTTTGCATGTTAAAAGAGGCGTAGCATCCTGACAGGTGCTACTGGAATTGCAGAATACATATTCACAGGTGCCAGCCACCTGTGCTAGACGTCTGTGCAGCCTGGCTGAGGAAGGCAGTGCTCTAGACACTTGAGTGCTCTCCTCAGCTATTCCCAGACAGCTTCCCAAGTTTTGAAAACAAATAACACTTAGCATGAAGCTAAATTGAATATGACTGAATGTTTCTTTGGGTTCAGAAGACACACTAAGCTCTAGCAGAAACTTAGGACTAGCATTAACAATGTCTAGTTTTGGGCTGGGCATGGTGGCTCACGGCGGTAATCCCAGCACTTTGGGAGGCCAAGGCGGGTGGATCATGAGGTCAAGAGACCGAGACCATCCTGGCCAACATGGTGAAACCCCATCTCTACTAAAAATACAAAAATTAGCTGGGTGTGGTGGCGCATGCCTATAGTCCCAGCTACTCAGGAGGCTGAGGCAGGAGAATTGCTTGAACCTGGGAGGCGGAGGTTGTGGTGAGTCGAGATCGTGCCACTGCACTCCAGCCTGGGCGACAGAGTGAAACTCTGTCTCAAAAACAAACAAACAAACAAAAACAAAAAGAACAAACAACAACACAACAATGCCTAGTTTTGTTTTAAAAGAAAGTAGGAAACAAATCTTCTAGTTATTTAGGTTTTAATGGCCAAGAAGGGGTTTCTAATCCTTTATTTCAGACTCAGAATTCTGTTTTTGTGCTGGTCCGTGCTCCCCTTCACACTCCTGAGAAACTCCTTGAAACCAACACCCATGGCTGTGCCCTGGTCCCATGGGAAGATGGATCGAGAACTGTCTGACTCTTAGTGAGGACCGATGTCCAGGCATCTCAGGAAATCCTCGCATGGCTAGTGTTTTATCTTTTAAGAGGAAGAGGCTCAAGGCCTCTTACAGAGGCTTGGGGGCCTGGGTCCCAGGGGGCCTTCTGGGTCCTGGAGGCCAGTTATAACTGCTGCCCAAACCTCCCCCACAGCCAAGGGCTAAGGGGGCTGTGCTGTAAGAAGTCCTGATCATGAAAACATAGTCTTTTCATGCAGACAGCTATGTACACTACGAAATAATTCTTATTTGCCATAGATTCAATCACAAACACATACTGTGTGCCCACTGTGTGCTAAGCCCTGGGGACACCACTGTCATCACCAATCAGCCCCTTCATTCATGGGCTCATGGCTTGTGGGCGCCAAGACAAATTTGGGCATGCCCAGGTAGTCCACTGATCTCTACCTGGATATGCCACTGAACCTGGATTTAGAGATGAAGTCTGGGAGGGACTCTAGGAGGAGGTACTGGGAGGGGGAATTTGAGAGGAAGAAGTATGTCATGGAGAGTTTTGATGGCCAGGGCCAAGTTTTAGACCCAAGGTCCAGCCACCTCCCCTGGGGAGAGGCCAGGCTGAGAAGGACAGGTAGACGCCCCTGCAGCATGTTTCAGGAAACCTCTCAGCTTTCTTCAGATGGGACTGGTTACCAGAGAGGCCCCAGGAGCCCGTTGATGAGTAAGTATATGGTAGTGACAAGTGAGCAGAAACCACTTTGTAAGTGTCAACTGCAGGGTTGCCACAAGACTAGAAACTTAAAGGGAAAAAAAGCATGAAAGACCCACCTGTGTGGTGTGAAGCATGGCTGCCTCCTGGCCTGCCTCGCAGGGATCCCTCAGGCCCACGCAGTCTTTTTGGCAGGGGACCCCTCACAGCTTCCTGCAGGACTTTTATGGGGACAATGCTGGGCATGCAAACGAGGCCCTAGGCCACATCACACAGCCCCTTCCCTGCCCATCAGGAAGAGCCTGTGCTGGAGGCTGAGCTGGTAAAGGGCCATGCCACCCACTTTTCCATTTCAGGTTGGTTTTACAGTCCAGGGCCAGAGTGGGGCCCAGCACCCAACTAAAGGTTGCAGTAACTCTGGAGTCTGAGAAGTCCATTGGGCACAAGTGTGGAGCTGGGGCGGACTGCAAAGCCCTGGACAGACCCCGGGCAGGGACCAATATAGCCTGCTGGTCAGTGTGGCTAGATCAGATCCCTGGCAAGTGGGACAGGAAGGACAGCATGTTTGAGATTTGGTGTGATTCACCTCAGCTGGCCTTGGAAGAGCAACTCTGATCCTTTGGCAGAGTCTCAGTCCCCCTCCTGTTTGTGCTGTCCCCGTGCCCTGCCCTGCCCCTAGGAGAACTCCCCGTTGGCCTCTCTGTCTCCTCCTCCAGACTGGAAGCACTTCCTTCACTTTCTTCCCTCTCTTCTGCCCCCAAGGCAGAAGCTCCTCTCTCTAGCTGCATCTTCAGCCTGGCTCACAGGAGATGCTGATAGATATTCATACAAACAACAAACTGGCAGTAAGGAAAAAAGGGACAGGGATTGGGAGCCAGGGAGCCAATTTCTAGTTGTGTTTGGCCTATCAATGTCTGTTTACAGTTTAGAAGGGGCTGATTTCAGCTAAGGCTTAAAGCTGACATCATCCCTTGTAAAGCAAAATGGAATTCTTCCCAAGTAACTTAACCGTGAGAACGGCCATTTGCTTCCAAACCTACAGGGCCCTTTCATTGCTTCATTGGCTTCTGCAGGCTCTGCAGACCCAGGTTTCTTGCCTACCTCATTTCTTAAGATTTACTCCTTCTGGCCTCTCTCCCTAGCACCCCCCACACCCCCTAAAATGAGGCCAAAGTAGTTGACTTGGGCTCGGAGACACCCATGCTGAGGTCCCCAAAGGAGAAGTGTGCTAGGGCCACAAAACACCTGGGGCCTTCCAGAGGCCTCTGCCGCCCCCAGCTTCTCAGCCCACTCCTGTTCTAGCTGAGTCTGGGCAGAGGCAGCACAGTCAGTGCTGGTGCCCACTCAGGAGGACCAGTCGGCTTGGGCTGGGCATAGAACTCCAGCCATGCTAGCCAGTCTGTGGTCAGCTCAGCCTGGCAAAGTGTGCAGTGGACCCAGGGCCACCTGCTATCTGCTCAGCTTGTCCTTGTCTGCTGTAGGATGCCACCTGGCCTGACTCATTTCAGCGCAGCATCCTCAAATTTCCTCTGACTGACCCCCATTCACATAGCAGGAACCTTATGATTACATGGAGCCCTCTCGGATAATCCAGGATAAACTCCCCTGGGTCTAGAGCCTTAACTTCACCTGCAAAGTCCCTGTGCCATGTAAGGGGACATACTCATAGTTTCAGGAAATTGGCTATAACTATCTTTGGGGAGGAGGAAGCAGCATCCTGACGAACACACTGGCCAATTCAGCCCGTCAGCTCCCAGCATCAACCTGGGAAGGCTGATTAGAGGAATGACGGCCTTACGTGTTGTTCTCCCAGTGAATCAAGCAGCAGGGGCAGGACTCTGAGAGCAAAGGCAGCCCCCAGCAGGGAGGGCGAGGGGGCCTGGGCTGGCTATGCCAAGTGCTGTCCTCCCCAGGCCCTGAAGCCCGTGCTGCTGATACCTTGTGTTCGCTTGCACGATGGGGCCCATCCCAGCCAGGGTTCTATTTCTTTTTTTTTTTTTTTTTTTTTTGAGGCGGAGTCTCACTCTGTCGCCCAGGCTGGATGGAGTGCAGTGGCGCGATCTCAGTTCACTGCAACCTCTGCCTCCCGGATTCAAGCGATTCTCATGCCTCAGCCTCCTGAGTAGCTGGGATTACAGGCGCCCGCCACCACACCCAGCTAATTTCTGTATTTTTATTAGAGATGGGGTTTCACCAGGTTGGCCAGGCTGGTCTCAAACAAGTGAATCACCCGCCTCAGCCTCCCACTTCTTTTAAGTAAAATGCTATTTCCCGATTGCAAAACAGCACATACTCCCTGAAGACAAACTGGAATATAAAGGAAAGAACTAAAAAGGAAATAAGTCTCCGATGATCCCAACATGCAGAGTGAGCATTCAGGTCTGGTTACCCATGTGGAAATTCTCACACGGTGGGGTCTTTCTGTATACCCTAACTTTTGTGCTCTTAACCTGTTGGCATTTCTTTTGCCATTGGCCGCTCTTCTAGCTAGAGCGTGATGTGTAACAATGCATAGGATTTGGTCCTTCCCTTCTCCTATAAATGACTTAATCTTTGGTGGCCATTCTGTGTGCCTTTCTCACTAATATTGGTAATGCTGCCACCTACATCTTTTTGTATCATTGTGATAGTTTCCTTGGGACAGATTCCTGGCAGTAGAGAAGCTGCGTCAAAAGGCGCATAGTAAACTCCAAGAAGGCAGGGACTGTATCTATCATTTTCCTGGTTTATTCGCAGTGTGAATTCCTGTGGATATGTGAAGACTGACTGACTATGGGAGACTGATGAATAAAGGTGATGAATTTCAAAAATATTCAGCCAAGGAAATGAGGCCAGACACAAAAGAGTACTTACAAGAAGTTTTAGAATAGGCAAACGAACTTATCATATTAGAAATCAGATCAGCAATGGCCCTTGGCAGGGCAGTGATGGGGGGACTGACTAGGAAAGCACCGGGAGGAAAGTTCTGGGGATGACAGCAATGGTCTGTATCTTGATTGGCATAGTAGTTACATGGGTGTGATGCCTTTGTCAAAATTCACTGAATTTAGCCACTTATTGTTGGCAGTAATATTAGTGTCTTGCTTCTTAAAGATTTAGAGTACACTTGAATTAATGAAAGGCCCCACATCTGCCCCACCCTCATTCAGCTTTTAAAAGCATTTCCTTTACTCTTCTTTGGCTTAATTGAAACTCTTCTCTGAGCCCCTTTTCCTACCCGTTCTGCTGCTGGTGATGGCCTCAGTTGTCCCTCACGGGAGCTTTCCCGGGGAGCCAAGGAGGCCAGGGCAGGTGTGGAAAGGCCTCTACCTGACTCCCCGTGCTGCTGAGACTGCCCTGGCAGACCAGGGAGCCAGTATTCTGAGCTCCAGCCTGCCTCAAGGCTCTCTGCTTTGTAAACCCCATAAGTGGGTTCCAAGAGAACAGATTTCCTGAAGTGCTGCCCAGGAATCAAACAGCCCTAACAGTGGACCCTCAGCGTGGCCTCCCTTCCCTGCAGGGCTGGGGCCTTCATGGGAACACACCCTGTCCCTCTCCTCTTCGTCCCCAATCGGGTACCTATAAAGTACACTCCAAGTACAATCTTCTCAACGTTTACTCAAAATAGGAAAGAGAAATTCTGGCGATTTTCCTCCCACCAGCACCTCGCTGTTCCTTGACCTTTTAAAGCCCATTTGATGATGAGAAAGAAAGAACCCACTGTTGAATTCAAAGCTGGCTCTAAGATCTGACCTTAACACATGAAAATGTGTTCTGGTCCAATGATCATTTTGCAGAATCTAAGTCTGAAAATATTCCTGCTTCAAATCTTAAGTTAAAAAACATAAACATCACTATAGTGTCTCTTAGAGTTTGTTTTCAGGCAATAATTTTTTTTTTTTTTTTTTTTTTGCAACAAGTCAGCTTTCATTATTTGTGAACAATCTTTAAATTTACCAAGTTTGATAGGCTGGAAAAGGAACCTAGACAAAGCAATAAAATCTCAACAGCAAAGTTCCTATTGATGTGATTACAGTTTTAAAGAAACAAGAGATGACACATTTAAAAAGTAAACTTTTTATATTGTCCAATTATGCTCAGTAAAAATAAAAATAAGCTCATAGAAGGGCTATGTTTTCAACGTCCACTTTAATTTCAGACAGTTAAGAGCGGCAATGCATTACCCTTCAAAAATAATAAATAAAGTTCCAGAGTAATTGAAAAGCCTCTTCGTCTCTTCTGAGATGGCGCGTCCCATTCTCTGTCATGTTTCCCAATTATCACCGTGAGTGATACTCCCTAACGCAGGGAGCTTAATTGCCATCTTACCGTGTGTTGCATTTACCGTGTATTCCTAAAGCAAAATTTGGGAAATTAAATCTTTGAGAATAAAACTGTTCAATCACAATAACACAATTGTGTAGGACCTTTTTTTCTCTTCTTGGAGTTTACAAACCTCGAAATTCTGCTCTGAGCAAGAAACCCATTTTAGAAATGAGTTAAATGACCCAGAGTCAGGAGAACATCAGATTAACTTTTTCTGAGCCCTTGAAGCCGAGAGCAAGTCTGAAACATGATTCCCGACCTCTTCTCGCTCTAATAAACTTTTCAAGGAGGGGTCGCATTCCGACCCTGCAGTGCTGGCTTCTTTCCAGAGCTTTCTAATGACTTGGTATTGTCTCTGGATGAAAACCATCCTGGGAGTGGGAGACCCTTACCTCTGCCCCTTTGTATGTTATCTTGAGATTTCGCGGTTGACTGCGATAATCCTTTATAGTTATTTACTATCTAATTGAGAAGCACCCTTTCTGTCATCTGCAGTTTCTTCTACAACAGCAGCAGGCCCTCTCTTGCTCTGCCTGAGCTCCAATCTTTCCTCTTTTCATCCTTATCTGCCCAAGGATCTCAGGGCTCCCTGGAGCATCAGACCAGCACATCTTGGCCAAAACGCATAGGTATCTCTTTCAGAGTCTTCTGCTCTTGCTTCCAAATGTCCCTTTTTACCCCAAAAATTTCCCTAAAAATTTTGAGACTGGGAATGTATAGCCATGAGGAAACCCAAAGGAGGTGTCAAATGCCTTCTAGTCCTGACAAGTTTCTCCCTCTAAGACAGTGGTTCTAAGTGGGGCAGAACTGCCTTGTAGTGGTTTTTTTGGCAATCACTGGGGCATTTTCAGCAGTCTCAATGATTGAGGTGGGGATGGGGTTGCTGTTAGTATTGAGTGAGCAAGGACCAGGGATACCAGACATTTTGCATTGTATAAGACAGTCCTTCACAACAATACATTGTCACATGCCCCCATTTTTTGGATATCCCATTGGATATTCACGTAGTTGAAAACATATTTATAATTATTTGAGCCTAGAACCTAACTCTAGTTATCCATGAATACAAAGTATTTTGTGCATGGCTTAATATACTTGGAATTTCTCTGGGATACAACTACTATAAAAACCAAGGAATGAGTACACATTATTTTGTTCAGAACTTTATCAACAGTTGTTCATCATTATCTCGTTGCCAATGGCAACACAGTGTTGTGGCATATGAGTTGCCAATTCCATAAACCTGTATCAGTTGTATTTGTAGAGGCTGCCTTCATGCCAGCATCTGGCTACATCATTATGAATTCCACTGTGGTCTTGCATATTGAAATATGTAATATTTTACTACAAATTACTTCCTTTGTATTTCTCATTTATATTTTAATTAGGACATCATATTGTGAAATTAAGTGTGGAAGTGGATTACATTGTCTATAATTTTCGTTTCAGGGCAATACATGGGGTGTTATTAAATATTTGTTCTAAAAAGTCGGCACTGGATCTGAAAGAGTTGAGAACCAGTGTTTGAAGATTTGGCAGTGGAACCCAGTCACTCCTCCCAAAAGAGGGCAGGAGGAGCCTTTGTTCACTTGCGTTTTTTGATAAGTTTTCACTCACCCAGCACGTAGCCTGAGCGCTTTCTCAGTGCGTCTGTGGGGCTCCCTGTCTATGCGTTCAGGATTTCTCTGATAGGTCTGGGGGCTGAGGCCTCTGGGCCTGCTGTGTGCCTGTGCACATGGGAAGGCAGCCCTTGCCCATGGAGACTGGAAAATGCTCCCTGTCCAGAGCAGGCAAAAGAACACAAGGGCGAGGCTGAGCACAGGAGGTGCTTCCAGGCCTGGCCCCTGCTCTCCGGGAACTCCTTCCCATAGTCTCAGCAGCCATTTCTAGATCCTAGTTAATTTCTATTTTAAAAGCATCATCTCATACTTTTATTTTAACTCATCAATTACTATGCCTTTAACCTATCTCCTTTTTAAATCACTCATTTTAAAATTCATTTTTTTCTTTCTTTCTTTTCTATTTCATCTTAAGTTTAATATCTGAGATTTAAATTCCAGGCTAATTCCTCCTCTCCTGTCTCCTATAGCTGTCAGCCCTTTAGAGCTCTTATTTTAAACCTCTTCTGTTTTATTGATTTCTCTCTCTCCTAACTTCTTCCCTTTTTACCTCCATTTGGGGTTTTATGACTGCGCTGTCATTCTTAAAGAAAAATAATTACCCTTCTTTATTTTCTCTTTTTGAATAATCTGCATACTTCACAGAGAAAAAAAACATACAAACAAAACCAGGTGTACAAATTACCTCATGGTTAAGCATGTGGTGGGGGGCAGCAGCGACAGGTACCAAGTGCCCACAGAAGCTGCCCACATTTCCATGAGTGGGGGTGTTCCAGGAGGCCCTCAGCTCTAGTACTGCTTTTCCTTTGGGGGATATCAGGTTATGGGGGAGTCATTTACGGTAGCCCCCTCAATCCTTGTTTTCCCCCAGCAACTCTGGAAATTCCCACCCTTAATGACTTTTCTTCTTCTACTTGTCACAATCACGCCTTCCCCCAAGCTTGGTCACTAACAGGAAGGTCTTCCCTGACCACCGCAGCCTGAAGTACTCCGTCCAGCCCTGAATTTGAATGGCCAGCCGCAATGTAGGTCTAACTATATTAAGTGCCTTTTCATTTCACTTTCCTTGCTCTTGCCTTAAAAATAACATTTAGCATCCACGTGGGAGGCCAACAAGGCTGCTCCTGAACCTCCAGCCAGTGTACTTGGCAATACAGCCAGGATGAAACCTGGGCTGAGGGCATCTCAGAGCTGGCAGGCCGTGGACCACAGGGACCAAACTCCTGCTTACTACCTTGGTCGAGCTGCAATTTCACATCCCAAGGGTTGTCTAAAATGAGGGCTGCCCACACCCTGCCCACCCCTGTCTTTCCATCAGCCTTAACAGCTTTGTGCAGGCCCTCTCACCGCTGAGCTGGCCTCACACTGAGCTAACTCTAGTGTTCTAATGGCTGGGTTAATTCATAGACGGCGGCTCAGAGGGCACTGAATTAACACTTGCCACTTTGCAATAACTCACCAGCCTTCCCGTAGATGCTTTAGCCCACCTCTGGGCCCTGAATGTGCTGCTGGGGACAGATCTTTAAATAATTCCCTTCTCACTGAACAGGGCAGCCTGGCTAAGGCAGGACACGCCTGACATTCCAGCATCAGCAGGCGATTGACAACTCAGAAATATGGAACCAAGAGTGCCCATGGGGTCAACAGTTTCCAACACTGCTCAGCAAGGGACATGTTCAAAGTGCATCTTGAGCTAGGCTCTGTTTCTGAAAGTCCAGGTCTCCAGACTGCTTGTAACAACTAAAGCCCGGTTCTGTTGGGGGTGTGGGGGTGGGTGGTGGTGGTCACAAGTAAAGCCTGCTGTCTCAAGGCCTGAAACTTCAGAGGGGACTCTGAGTGTACTCCCAGTGGGCACCTAACCTCCTGATCGAGGTGGCAGCAGGCCACCGCAAAGGAGGAATTGGCAGGGGCTGCCCCATGCCAGGGGCCTCTTACACCTGCTGAGCCCTGATTCAAGGTCCTATGATGAAGACTCCCTGCTCCTCCTGCAGGAATCATCCCTCCTGACACATTAGCAAGCAACGTTTGGGAAATTGTGCAGTTATGAGGCAGGCACCTAAATGAATCCTGAAGGAGATGGTACATTTTTTAAGCCACTTAATTGAATCTGTGCCAGTAAATCTTTTAGTCTTCTCTTAGCATGTAGAATTTCAATTTTGTCCATGGATTTTTGTGCTCAGCCCCCAGTGAAAATGAACATTTGTGCTGAAAAGCTTTTTATCAACCGTTCTCAAAATGTCAGTCCCCCTTATCTCCAAAGCCCACCGAAATCTTTGTGCCCGTGGTTTTAAAAATATATTCTGTGTATGCTGTTTCTCCCTTTCAGATTCTAGCATTCTTTATCTTGGCTTAATCAGAGTCATTTTTGATGTTCATCCCCCTCTTAATCTCCTTAGATTTCTTTTTAAGGTGAGCTTTCCACTTCAATCCAGCTTCACTGATCTATTAAGATTCTCTGAGGCCGCTGCCTCACAGATGAAGACACGCTTCTGTGGAAAGCCCTCAGAAAGCCCTCTATTTTAGCGCACAGAAGGTTAATTGCCCAGTTTTTAATTAAATCAGTCATTTTTCTTTAATGTTGTTTGTGGAACTCTGTAGTAAATTAAGCCATAAACCTGTCCTCCTTTTACGAGGAGTTTGAGTTTTGACTGTTGTTGCTTGCAGTCAAAACTCAAAAAGGCTGGTCATGGCAAAAGTTAATTTCTAAAATAATAATAATAATAATAATAATAAACCTTAATGGAAAAAGAACACAAGATATCCTGAAAGAGATCAACTTTTAGGGATTTTAATGGCAAATGTTTTATTTGGGGAAAGCTGCTTTTTAATAGTTTTCTGGTAAAATGGTAACAATCTCCAGCCAAGTTGCTGAGCCAGGGGGACCACCCAGGCAGGTCCAGATGGGACCTCCCCTCTGGGGTCTTTCAAATGCGGCTGTCATTTGAGCGGCCACCAGGGGACAGCATGCCCCCACCTGCTGATTTGCTAATCAGCACCCCTGCTGCCCTGAACCCCTGCACGAGGCAGGATGTTCTATCGATTTCTCCCTGGCCCTCTGGTTTCCCATGAGCCTAATCAGCGGTGCAGTCTTCAGTCCTTGCTCCTTGATTTGTCAGGAGAATGAGTTATCCGAGCTGACGCTCCCTGTGATTTGTAGGTTGGAGAACTCAGCCGTACTGCTGTGACCTTTTCAATATTCTGTTATTAGATGGGCTGGCCATTTCAACTTCCTCCTGAACAAAGTATCTTCAACATGTGCTGAAGAGGGAGAATGGCCAGTTAATCAGAACACCGAATGCTGAAAAGGTCGGACCAGGGCCACGGGTATTAACATTCACCATCTGCGTCAGCCTCCTGCAGCCTGCAAGCCTCACGACTGGCAGGGGCTGGTGGTACCCGACAAAGGGATGAGGGCTAGCCCTCAGCCCTTCTTCCACCCCTTGCAGACAGGGACTGCTTCTCCCAGTATTACCCTCCTCTAATGGGCAACCCAGACTCTTGTCATCCACAAGGCCCCACCTGCCTGGGCTTCTGGATCCTTCTCCAACATCATCTCCTACCACCCTCTCACTTTTGATGCTGCAACCACAGTGGCCTTTGTGTGCCACCTTGAACGTGTCAAGCTCCTTTCAGGTTCAGGGCCTTTGCACTTGCTGAGCCTTGGTGTGGGTCTCTCTTTCCCCTGATTTTTGGATGGCTGACTCCATCTCAAAATGCAGCTCTCATCTCAAATGTCATTGCACAGAGGCCTTCCGAGGATACCCCAGCCATTGAAACTCCGCATTGAAACATCTCCCTCAATGCTTTTCTTTATGGTCTTTACCACCTGTCATCCTTGTCTGTTCATGTGTTTATTCTCTGTCTCTATTCAAATGTGAGCAGCTTGAGGGCAAGGATACCGTCTGACATGGTCACTGTTGTATCGCCGGTGCTTGACACAGCACAAGTCCACAACAGGTCCTCAATCCATGTTTACTGACAGAGTGACAGTGACATGCAATTTATTTTTTTAAAAATCCGTAACTCTGACTCCTCTCTGGTCACTGAAAACTTTCTTCTGCCTGCTTCCCCATGTCCCTTTCCTCACTTTCTTCTTGGAGGAAACCCTCTGGTGACTCAAGCACACCCTCTGGTGACTCAAGAAGTCAGGTGAAACCCAGCACTCAGAATCTGAACTCACTGCAGCTCTTCAGTCCAAGGAACATCAACGGACCAATCCAAGATGGAAGCGTCTCACACAAGCACAAGGCGGCATCCTAATTTATAGTAATGGGACCATTTTCAAGACTCCAGTTTTGAACTGAGGTCTACTTAAAATACTAATAGCTTGAAAAGGCCAAAAAAATTCCTACAATTCCCTTTGCTTAATTTTTTGGTGCAGAGCATTCTAATGCTGTTAAATGATATATTTAAATGTTGAAGTATTTTAAATGAATATTTAAATGTATTGAAATGTTGAGCCAAACAACAGCAGGATGAGAAGGCATCCCCAGCCATTCAGGGTCCTCCCCTTGAAGGTCTCTCCTGAAATAGTGACTCTGTTAGCTGCTTGGGGGCAGACTTTGGTGGAAGACAGCTGTTCTTCTTTCCTGGAAGAGCTCAGCTGGGGACTAGGAAAGGATGAGACAGAGCCAACTGATCTGCTTAGGCAGCAATGAGAAGAATGGACACCAAGATGTCCATAGGCCCTACAGGGAATAAAGACTCAAGTCAGCCAGTAATCCCTGTTCCAAAGGCCTGAGATTCATGTCTATATCCCCACAAAGTGGAACAAGACTGGTTTTTAGCACCACAAAAATGTGTGAGGTTGGATGTGTTGTCTCTGAAACAATGTGGAAGATTTCAGTCCAGAATGTCTCTCTTTAGCCCCAAGGTAAACAAGAAAACAGCCATATGGCAATGCTTTATTCTCAGAAGTTTTCTAGGAATCCAACCAAAGCATCCCAGAAAGGCCTGCGTTTTTAATTCCTTTCCAATTAGACCCTGGGATTTTAGGACAGCAACATGGGGAGGCTTCACTGCCACAACATGTGACAAATTTCTGCTTTCGCTCCAGATCTTGGTCGGCAGCAGGCAGAACCATTTGAACAGCTGCAGCTTGGCCACGCTCTCTCTCCTTGGCTCTCCCGCACCTCAAGGATGAAAGATGTTAAGAAGTGCAAGGAAGCGGGTTTCCCTGCTACTGTGGGGTTTCTGCAGTAGGCCACATCAGGAGTTGGAAACAAAGATCAGGAGAGTAGAAAAGGAAATGTAAGCTAATGGTTTTAAAGAGCCTGCCAGCTATGATCCTTGGGAGAGAACAAATCAAACACAGTTCCACAGGTGACACAGGATGTACCTGAATAGAAACCTAACACAGTTTCACATTTCATTTGGCTGGAACTTTGTTCTCCATGTTCTGCTGTGAATAAACCCAGATCCAACAGGCAGGATCAAGATCCCAGAGTCTAAGACTTTGGTGGAACCAGGAGACCATCTCATCTAGCCTCTGCATAAGAAAGATACCCTTGTCCAAGGGGAGTTCTGGCCTTTGCCCCCTGCCCCTGGGAGGGGATTGCTAAGCCCTTGGACTGTGCTGCCTGATAAGAGCATCTTTGTTTAGCTGGGGGCTTTGGGCCATGACACAGTCTATGCTAACAATGTGATTTATGGTGGGAGGCCACGGACCATGTGGTGTCAGCTCAACCTCTGGAAGGCCAGACACTACGGTCAGCCATGCAGCCAGCCAGCCAGCCATATCCATGTGACTGAGTCCCAGTAACATCCTTGGATGCCAAGGCTCAGGCAAGCTTCCCTGGTTGGCAGTGCTCTGAGTGTATTGTCACACACCAGTGCTGTCTGCACAACTCCACTGGGAGGGGACACTGGGGAGTTATGTGCTTGGAACTCTTCTGGGCCCCATGCCCCTCTTCCCTCTGTTGATCTTAATGTCTCCTTGTGCTGTAATAAACCATAACCATGAGCATAAAGGTTTTTGTGAGCTCTGTGAATCCTTTTGGTGAATTATTGAGCAGCTGATGTCAGAAGTGAGGGTACCTTAGGGGACTGCCAACCTCTGTAGAAACTAAGGTCCAAAGAGCAACAGGAAGAGCCTGGGAGAACTCAGGTCTCTTGATGCCCAGTTGAGTTCCCTAGCACGGGAGGTGCATCACACACAGATTCCTGAGCCAGGAAACAAACGTGCACCAGAACAGAACCGGTGGGTAGTCATTCCTGTAGTCTAGCCCCATGGGCAGCTGTGCCCTTGGCCTTGCTGTCAGATGTACTTGGACCCTCCAAGCCAAAGTCTACTTGGTCCCCTCTTTGTCCCCCAACTGTGGACATGTTGGTTTGTCATCTAGCCCATTCTAATAATTCTATTTCACTGAATAAAGATCAGCTGGCAGGCCAGGACTTTTCCTAGTGCCAACTGGCTTTTTCTGCATAAAGGGGATTTTCCAGCAGACGGTGCTTCAGGGATTCAGTTTGTCTTATGCTGGGAAAAGTCAGTCTTGAGCCAAATGTAGGTACCCATCCCAATAGACGAAGAAGCCTCAGGGATGGACTTCCAAGGCTGGCTTGGTCTCCATGCAGGGTTCTGGCAGGCACACCCACACATGGCCTGCTGAATACCACCAGCCTCCAAAGCTACCCAAGTCTGTCCTTTTCTTGTTAATGTTAATCTCTGTATCTTCCAAAGTTTAATGCCCATCTGGCATTTGAGGCTTGGCTAAAGAGAATCATGCCTCTTAATAAAACAAAAAGCCAATTACACAAGTTGTTACATTTGGCAGCTGGTATCTTGCTAATTTGCAGCATGGGCGGTCCCTCTGTTAATCCCCTCCCTGGGCTCATTGCTCCTGTGTCTCCTCAGCAGGACCTGGGTGGAGAGCCACACCGAGACATCTCATGCCACTCACAGCAGAGTCTCAGAATATCATGATGAGAAGGGGACTGAGAAAACAGTAAGGCCAATCCCCTCTATTGCACAGAGGGAGAAACTGAAGCCACCTGGCAGGGGGTTGGGTGGGAGGACCAGGCTTGTTCCGTCACAACCTGGTGAGGTTAGAACACCAAGTCCTGGCACCCAGCCTGACACAGCCCCTCCCACTGCCCAGGCACCTACTTTCTTATTCTCCACAAAATGCTCAGCTTAGGTGGGCCCCATTCTGACAGGTGGGCGCCTCCTACACAGTGTGATTTTAGAGACTCTAGCAGGCTCATTTGGCCTCAAACGACACCATTAAGGGCAACACACTTGTGCCATTTGATTTACTGGGTGGGTTCTGTCACCTGGCATCAGCAGGGCTTAGTTAACCCATTAGGCACCCCACTCCAGATAGTCTCAGAGCTGAGGAATCCCTGGTGGCAGAGGACACAGGGCAGCTAGCTATGACACAGGTAGAAGAGCACCTCCCTCCCTCCCTCCCCAGGTGCCAGTGAGGCGCTGCTGATTTGATCCCTTTGTTGGGGTTGGTCCTATCTAGCAGGGCTGCCCTCCACCCACCCAAGCCAAGAGCATCCTACTGGATTCCAATCCCCCTCCTCCAGGAAGCTTCCTGGCCACCCAGCTCTTACTGTTCTAGCTCCTTTGAACTGTCACCGTGCATGTGGTCATAGCCCCACAACCTTCATCTTCAATCATGCCCTAATATTTTCTGTCTGCCCTGATGAGACCCAGAGTTCTCCAGGGCAGAAGAGGAACATGATTTCTGCCCAGAGTTCTCTGCTTGTCGCTGAGGAAATGACAAGGTCGCTTGGAATATGGCAGCTGTGGTTGGCAGGCTGGGCTGTGGGCAGGGAGACAGGCTGAGACTGAGATGGCCCCTCACTTGGTATCTGCCTGCAGGCCAGCCTCTCTAAAAGTGAAGCATCTGGATCCTATTTAAGGAGCCTCTCCCTGTGGGAGAGTCCTAATTTTTTTTTTAAACATTAGCCATGGCTGGGCAGGAAGCCTGCTGGAGGATACCCAAAGTAAGACAGGGGTCCCAGGCCTGAAGGGAAACAGGACAGTAGTTCTCCCAGGCAAGCCAGCGTGCTCAGGGTCCTGTGTGGTCTGGCTTCCTAGGCAGAGTTGTGTGAGGACAGGCTCGGGGAAGGGCAGCATGGGTCCTGAAGCATGGTCTTTGGGCAGTCTTGGGGTTTGGACTCCTGTCCCGCCAGCTGGAGAGAAGGAATGAGGGATGAGGCGGTGCTGTGGGAAGTGGGGAGAAGGGGTAGGCAGGTGTGAGGCAGCAGTGAGTCAGAGGCTCAGGCAGCCTCGCCCTCAGAGCAGAGGGGGTGGTTTCAGGAATGAGAAGAAGGAAAGAAAGCCAGAGTTCAAAGACTCATTAGGGTCTAAGGCAACTGGCCCCATGGAGCAACAGGGAAAGGCAGGTTGGGGTCATCGAGTGGGTGCTGGGGTGCTGAGTCAACCCAGGGTAAGAGATGGCTCTCCCCTGCCATGACTGGCTGCAAACTGGGTTCCCAGCACAGACGTGAGCTTGGACATCAGGCCTGTGATGACAGAGGCCCTGGCTGCCTCCCTGGCCAGTACCAGCCTGGTTCTCTGAATGCCTGGGTAGTTCTGGGCAATGCTGGCAAGCAGGGCCCATGCAGGGATGGGGCATGGAGGGACAGCGCACAGAGGGCCAACGGTCCCGAGGACTCAGAGGGTCACCAACCCCAGGCCATCAAGACCGGCCAGCTCTGGGACTTAATGGAATGAGCCACACAACCTACAAAGGGTGTCCACTCCGAGACTCTGACCACGTAAGCTCTGCCCATGTTTTGGGGCTGCCCAGAAGCCAGCACTGCTTTCCCAAGGCCCTCACCGCAAGAGGCATTCCTGACATTTAACATATCTACTCTTGAGGGTTTATCCCATGTAGGTCTCGTGAAATTTAAAATCATGGCTAGTGTCCCTAAAACTCCCAGGATGGGAAAAAGCAAGCATGAGGGAAGAGGGTCTACGGAAAGTGTGGGCCTGACTCCTGGTGGCAGGACGGACCTGTCTAGGGTGTGAGAGCCGCTGAGTGTCCCTACAGGGCCTCCACTTGTCTGGCACAACACAAGAGCTCCCAGGGGAAAAGCCTCCATTTGAAGTGCCTGTAAAGTAATGCGGAATGTGTCAGATGATTCATGTGCGTAAATATCAGTTGGCAGACAAGGAAATGTCATTTTCACCTTTGTTCTCAGATTCTTTTGAAGTGTGAAAAAAGATGGTTTCAGCGATCACTGGGCATTGTTTGTTACAGGAGCATCATTAAAGAAACTGATTTGGGGCTTGAAAAACACTGAGGTATGAACACTGTCTGTTAGAGCTGGAAGGACTCCTCATCGTCAGACCTCGCTCCCGGGGCAGAAATTCCTCCGCCTCTTCCCCAACAGCCTCGGCTGCTGCTTGTCCACTCCCAGGGACGGGAAGCCCACTTCATCACCGGGAGGCCCATTGCAAAGGCAGCCCCAGCTGTTGGAAGGCTCACCATTTTATGGTGGAAACTGCTTCCAGGAGAGAGGAATTGAAATCCATGACACTGACAAGCAGGGCATTTGAAATTGGCCTCCCTGTCACCCACCCACAGGCCGAACATGTGCCTGCTGGGGCTGCCAAACACACCTCATCAAACTTCCAGGTAAAGGGCCATCAGCTTTGGAGACAGTTTTCATGTTTCTCCCGCCAGGGAGATAATGCTTCATGCTGAGATTTGAGGACTGGCAGGGGAATTATCTATCTATGTATCTATGTATCTATGTATCTATGTATGTATGTATGTATGTATGTATCTATCTATCTATCTATTTTTTAAAATTTATTGTCCTGTGGAATAAAGTTTTTAGACTGTGTGTGATCCTAGTCTTTGCCCCCTGGAGGTCACCTGTGTGTCAGAATCCCCCTAAGCACGTGACACCAAGGAGAGAACACATAACTGAGCTCAGTGTTTACCTTGGTATTAGGACTGGGTCATGGCCCAAGGCTCCTAGTCGCCAACCTTCCAGGCCTTTCCACAACGAGCCCTGGAGTCAGCAGGAAGCCAGCCAACAGGCTTCTGCAAAGGATCTTTTAAAGGTAGTAAAAAGCCAATGAGGACAACCACAATTCCAAGCAACAGTTGGAGTGGGAGCCATAAAACCAGCCCGATGAAAGAGAGCTGTTGTGTTTTAGTGTTAACATCACTTATGGGGGAATGGATCCAGACACATTCTGAACAGCCTTTGTTTCCCCTTGGGTAGCCAGCTCCTCTCTGGAGAGTTCAGGGAATCTGCATATCAAATGTGGCATTTTATGGTGCGAACTGAGCCTCCAGCGGGGAGGAACTGAAATTTCTGGCATATACAGGCCGGGCACTCTGCTTTAATTGTGCCCAGAGGGAGGGTGACTCCTTGTAACAGGCTTCTTCATGTTCTTTGTCACAGCTGCTTTCTCAGCAGCTCCCACCTGTGAGAACATCATGGCTGGCTGCTATGGACCGAATGTGTCTCCCCAGAATTCATACATTAAAGCCTAAATCCCCAACGTGAAGGTATTAGGAGGTGGGGGGAGCCTCATGAATGGGATTAGTGCCTTTCTCAGAAGAGACATGAGAGAGGATCTCTCTCTGCCATGTGAGCATGCAACAAAAAGGTGGCTAAGAAGCCACCCCAAAAAGGTGGAATAAAATTTTCATAGTTGTCTAAATCACCTATTTGGTGCTATTCTGTTAAGGAAGCCCAAATGGACTATTCTAATCCCTGCCAGGAAGGCCTGCGGCTATTACGAAGAGCCCCCAGGGCTCTGCAGCCAACAAGAGCTGACATGACACCACCAGCCCACTGCCTTTTGGGGTGATGCAGGAGGTGGGCGGTCAGCACCTTGAATCTTGGACTGTGGGAATTATAGGGATTGGAAGAGTTTTTTCCGAGGGTAACTTCCTTGAAACACATCCTGAGAGTAAGAATGTGAAATCCATGAGTAACACCACCATGTGGGAGGGTTGCACAATGAGCTATATGTAGAAGCAGAGATCCACTGGATGCACATACAAGAAGGAACCAGTGTGAACAGGCGGCAGCACCAATGTGAAAATGAGTGAGCTGGAATATACTGCTTCATGGCCAAGCTGATCCATAACTTAACACCAGGTTGGGTGTGTGGGATGCTGGCCCCACACTGAACAACTGTTTGGGGCAGACCCCACCAAACCTACCCTCCCTTCTTGGGAAGCCTTGATCATAACCTAGTCCATGTAGACTGGGTTGGGGCCACAGTGCACCCTCCATCTCCCTGGGTGGGGCACTAAGATGGGTGAACAGCACAAGCACCTGAGCAGCAATGGTCCCCAAAATCTCAGGATGAAGCATCACTTGCCTCTACCTTCAGCAGCATGATGCCCTTCTCTATGTTGGCTTAAATAGAACTGGTCACAGAGCTTCAGAGTTATCCCCACCCCTCAGGAAGCATGGGAAGTTTCTTCCCTTAGACTCCAGCTCTCTCCTGCAGTAACCACACTCAGCAGCACAGATGTGAGGGCTAAGCTGCTTGCCTCTGCCTGACCTGAAATGAAGTCCCTTGGGCAGGGAAACCCTGAGCCCCACATTAATCTAGCTAGCCATGTCCTGAGTGGTAACTTAGAAGGGTGATTTCACAGGATCTGGGAAGGTCCTCCTGCCCCCTCCCCTGGCTTCCCTATCCTCCTCCAACTGCCCACACTCAGACTTACTGACCTGGGCACAAAGGATTTTATTTGATAATTACAGGTGGTTAGATGTGCAACTTTCTCCTATTCGGTCATTATGGAGGCAAATTTATTCACGAGAAGTCCCTTTCTGGACAAGGGTCCATTGTACTGGTGGAGCTGAAGGGAGGAAAGGGGTCCACACAGGGGTTCTGGGCCCAGGGCACACAATGATTTTACCAGAGACAAGCCTGAGTTCACCATCTCTTCTCTGTGGAATTGAGCTGTGCAGATGAAATGGTCTTTTAATATTATCTCTTCTAGAAAGAAATTGTGACAGTACTACCATCTTGGTTAAATATGAACTTTCCAATCATATTCTTGGTGGGCAGTTAAACAAGCAAACCAAAAACCCCTAACTATGCACTGAATGTTTGTGTCTCCCCAAATTCATATGCTGAAGCATAAATCTCCAATGTGATGATACTTGGAGGTGAGGTGTCTGTTAGGTAATTAGTTCACAAGGATGGAGTCCTCATGAATGGGATTAATACCCTTTTAAAAAAAAGACAGGAAGAGATGATCTCTCTCTCTCTCTCTCTACCATGTGAGGTCACAGCAAGAAGATGGTCATCTGCAAACCAGGAAGAGGACCCTCACCAGACACAGTTCTGCTACCACCTTGATCTTGGACTTCCCAGCCCCCAGAACTGTGAGAAATAAATTTCTTTAAGCCACTTAGACTATGATAATCCGTTATAGCACCAGACTGACTAAGCACCCCTCATTTCAACAACTCAGGCCTATGACAGTGTTAGGTGACATGGGACCACAGATCAGACAGAAATCTTGGAGTCCCAAAACTTTAGAGTTGGATGGAACCTTGAGAGGCAATCAAATTCACGTCAGCCATCTAGAAATCAGTAGGTGGTATTCGAGGAGTGAGCTGGTGCATAACCTGGTTGGCAGTCTCAACTTAAACACCTCTGTCTCTCCTGAAGGGATTCTCTGCACTTTCCCTGCAGCACTCTTGAGCACCCATTACCTGCTGTTTTCCAAAGAAAACAATGGTTTGACTTACTGTTGTATAAAGAGATCCATTTATAAAGAGCTATTTTGAAAAAAAACCCAAAACATAGGGTGTGCATGGCATATATATATATATATATATAAAAGACTCTAAAGTTACATACCAAAATATTATCCCTGGTTCTCTCTGATGGTAAATCACTTTTATTTTTCTCTTTTGTGCTTTTCTGTATGTCCTAAATTCTCTGGAAATAATACATAATACCTTTGTAATCAGAAAAACAACAATAAAAGGAAAGCAACAGCAGTTACTTTTAAAGACCCCTAATCAATATTTTCCTGCCTTGATTGAAATAGCCAAGCCTCATGCTAGTTCCCCATTGTCAGAAAACAGCTGGAGTGTTGGTGAAAGCATGAAAGGAAATAAACTGGTTAGTAAAAAGCAGTGGAGGAGCTTTAAAGTAGGTGCTACTTTGTGATAAAAATGTACCTTATTCTACTCTCACTCCCGTTGGGTATAGTTGATCCATTAGAGGCAACTACCAAAAATATCTACTTGTCTAGAAATCTGGCTTTCTGTCACATTGGGATCAGTAATAGCCTCTAAAGTTAATTTGTTCTTCCCACATTGACATGATTTAAAGTGATATGAACCCTTGTGAGATGAGTGGAGAGAGTAGAAAATATTACAAGTTTCTGGAAGATCCATGGCCTTAGAGAGCACACATACTGCTTGCATCAGTTGATATTTATACTTAAGTAATGGAGAGATATACTATGTTTACGGATGGAAAGCCACAGTCTTGTAAAGATGTTGATTCTTCCTGAATTTACCCATAGACTCAATGCGATACAAATCAAATTTCCAACAGGTTGTGTGTATACACACGTGTGCACTTGACAAGCTGAATCTACAATTTATAAACATATACAAAGTCCTGAAGACAGCTTCAGTGCTCTCAAAGAAGAAGGACAAGGGCTTGTCCTATGAGATATCAGAACTTACTATATAAAGCTTTTATAATTAAGACATTGTGGTATTGGTGCAGGAATAGATCAACTGAACAGAAGAAAGAACTCTGCAATATGCTCCTGCAGAAACAGACATTTGCTACAAGACAGAGGCAGTATTGTAGATCTCTGGGGGAACAGATAGACTTTTCAATAAATGGAGTTAGGGCAAATTGGAATTGGAATTCATGTGAAAAATAATAAAACTAGGCCTTTGCATTATACCATTCACAACACATTAAATCCAGGTAGACTAAAAAAATAAACATTGGGTCCCGCTTTTAGAATTATGGCATAACGAACTCTGTAGACATGCTCTTCAGAGAAATAAATATAAATGGTGAAATGATGATTTTGATTTTAAAAAAAACACACACACTCCAAACCCAACCGGTTAAAGTATCTGGAAATTTTCCTAAGTACCTATAGCACATGAAGAAACATTTATTCAAGAAAATCTACTTTTGGGAGGCCAAGGTGGGTGGATCACCTGAGGTCAGGAGTTTGAGACCAACCTGACCAACATGGTGAAACTCCGTCTCTACTAAAAATACAAAAATTAGCCAGGTGTGGTGGTGGGCACCTATAATCCCAGCTACTTGGGAGGCTGAGACATGAGAATAGCTTGAAACTAGGAGGCGGAGGTTGCAGTGAGCCGAGATTGTGCCATTGCACTCCAGCCTGAGAGACAGAGCAAGAGTCTGTCTCAAAAAAAAAAAAAAAAAGAAAATCTACTAAATTCAGTAAAAACAGCAAGAGTCTTACTTGAGCCATGATCTGCTTGCTCCCTCTCTCTTTGCCAGCTAAATGTGAAGGAAGCTTCATTCTGGATGGAAGTGCCAAGGAGACAGGGTTCCCTCTTCCCCAGCTTCCAGTCAAGGTATATAATATTTCCCTGGGAGGTCAGGATGCCAGCACAACTAATCCCTGCCAGCTCCAGGCTGTGGAGACTAAATTCCAGGCAAATGCAACTGAGCAGTCTGGGGCTCTCATCTTCCACTCAGCTCTGACTCATAAGATGGAGACTCTACTGCTGGTGTGACAGGGCAGTAACACTGGGACCCGAAGTTCCCTCACCCCAGTTTACTCATAGGACAGAGATTTCATGCTGGGAGAAGTGAACTGAGAGACCAGAGTCTACCATGACAACCAGGCTAGAATTACAACTAAGGGTGTCATTCTAAGAGAACTGGGCCATTATGCCCACACCAAACTCTGGAGCAGTGGCTTGGAGATTTTGGCCATGGGGCGAGACAGGCCATTAAAATGGAGAGCTCTGACTGAGAGGAATTTGGAACAGAGTATGAGGAAGTTTGAGCCTAAAAGTACTCTTAAAACAATGAACATTTTGGTGGTAAGTAATTAAGAGGAGGCTGGTAGCTCCATGAGAGCAACAAGCTAGACTGTAGGACAGCTAGTTTACTAGGGAAGAAAATGAACCAAAAAAAAAAAATGAACAAAGCCTCAGAGAAATGTGTGACACCATTAAGCACACCACCATATGTGCAGTAGAAGCACCAGAAAAAGAAAAGAGAAAGGAACAGAAAATTATTTGAAGGATTAATGGCTAAAAACTTCCTAAATTTGATTAAAAAATTAATCAGTACATCCAAGAAATTCAACAATCTTCAAGGAAGATATACACAGAGATCCAGGTGCACTCTACTAAAAATATAGAAAACAAAGACAAAGAGAAAAATTTGAAAGCAGCAACAATTTTTTTTTTTACTCGTGTACAAAGGAACTTCAATATGATTAACAGCTGACTTTTTGTCAGAAGCTAAAGAAGCCAGCAGACAGTGGAATGACATATTCAATGTGCTAAAAAACAAAACTGTAAACAAAGAATCGTATATCCAACAAAACCACTTTTCAAAAACGAAGGCAAAATAAGGACATTCTCAGATAAACAAAAACAGATAATTCATTGCTACATACCCACTCTACAAAAGGTGAAAGAAGCTTTTTAGGCTGAAAGCAAGTGACCCCAGATGGTAATCACATCTACACCAAAAAAAAAGAGCACTGGCAAAGATAACTATGTAATTATAGCAGACAGTATAAATATACATTTATTCTCCTTTCTTGTTAGCTGATTTTAAAAGCAATTGTATAAAATAATATGTTTATAACTGTACAATTGTGCCTATAACATACAGAAATATAACATACTTGAAAATAATAGCACAAAGGATGTAGGTGGGTGCAAAACTGTATTGGAGTAAGGAAATGATATCAAATGATAACTTGAATCTACAAAAACACTGAAGAAAACCAGCAATGGTAAATAAGAAGGTTAACATACAAATTATATAACTATATACTTGCTCTCATTTATTCCCTCAGCTTCAAATGACAAAATTATTTAAATCAGTAAATTTAAAACATGTATTATTGGGTTTGTAACATATATAGTTTTATTTTGTGTAACAGTAATAGCAGAAAAATGTAAAGTGTAAAATACATATAGGAATAACATTTCTATATCTCACAGAAATTAAAAGTTTTAGTATGAATTTGAAGTAAATTCTGATAAGTTATGATGTATATGGTAAACCCCAGAAAAATCACTAAAAACACCCTCCAAAAATGTAGGAAAAGTATCATTAAATGACTTAAAATGCTACAACAGAAAATGTTCAGTTAATACAAAACAAAGCACTGAGGGAGAAACAGAGGAATAAATGAAATGAGACATATAAGAAGCAAAGTAAAATTTCAAATATAAATCCAACTATATCAATAAACATATTAAATGCTAATGAATTAAGCAATCCAATCAAAAGGCAGAGATTTTCAGACTGGATAAAAAAGTAATATTCAAATATATGCTGGCTGTAGAACACATACTTTAGAATTAAAGATATAAATAGATTGCAAGTAAAAGCATGGAAAAAGAAACTATAAGAAAGCTGAAAGAGTTATACTAATATCAGACAAAATTAACTTTAATATAAAACAATGCTACTGGAGATAACCAGGTGTTATATAAACAGATAATAATAAAAGGGCTAATCAATTTGAAAGATTTAATAGTTTTAGACATATACACATCTAACAAGAAACCCCAAAATACACGAAGCAAAAGCGACAGAACTAAAGAAAGAAATAGATGACAATAATAGATGGAGGCTTTAATATCTCACTTTTAATAATGAATAGAACAACTAGGAAGATCAACAAGAAAATAAAAGACTGACAAAACTATGATACAACTAAACCTACTAGATCCCGCTGGAACACCCTATTTAACAAAAGCAGAATGCACATTTTTCTCAAGTGTACATAGAACATTTTCCAGGACAGACCATATACTAGACCAGAATAGAAAGTTCAATAAATTTAAAAGAACTGAAGTCACACAAAATATGTTCATCTACCACAAGACTGAAATTAAAACCAGTATCCAAATGAAATCTGGGAAATTCACAGATACGTGGAAATTAAACAACACACACCTACATAACCAATGGGTCAAATAAGAAATTACAAGAGAAAATACACTTTGATATGAATGAAAATAAGGACACAACGTAACAAAACTTACGAGATGTAGTAAAGGAGTGCTTAGAGAGAAACTTGTAGCTATTAATGCTTACATTAAAAAAGAAACAGGCCAGGCACAGTGGCTCATGCCTGTAATCTCAGCATTTTGGGAGGCTGAGGCAGGCGGATCACAAGGTCAAGAGATCGAGACCATCCTGGCCAACATGGTGAAACCTCATCTCTACTAAATATACAAAAATTAGCTGGGTGTGGTGGCTTGCGCCTGTAGTCTCAGCTACTCGGGAGGCTGAGGCAGGAGAATGGCGTGAACCTGAGAGACAGAGGTTGCAGTGAGCCACTGCACTCCAGCCTGGTGACAGAGTGAGACTCTATCTCAAAAAAAAAAATAAAATAAAATAAAACAAATTTCAAATCAATAACCTAATCTTTCACCATAACACATAGTAAAAAGAAGAGCAAACTAAACCCAAAACAAGCAGGGCAAGCAAGTAGTAAAGATTAAACTGGAAATTAATGAAAAGAGAATAGAAAAGCAATAGAGTAACTCAACAAACCCAAAAATTGGTTCTTTCAAAAAAAAAAATCAACAAAATTGACAAAACCTTTAGCTAGACTAACAAAAAAATTTTTTAGAAGTCTCGAATTACTAAAAATAGTAAGGAGGATGATATTACTACTGACTTTACAAAATAAAAAGGATTATAAGGGAAGAGTATGAACAAGTATATGCCAATAAATTAGACAACTTTGATGAATTGGACAAATTTGTAGAAAGACACAGACTATTGAAAGTAACTCAAGAAGAAATAAGAAAACTATATAAGTAAAGAGATTTAGTTATTTAAAAATTTCACACAAAGAAAAGCAAGGGACCAAATTAATTCACTGGTAAATTCTATCAAACATTTAAATAAGAATTAATAACAATTCTTCATAAACTCTTCCACAAAATAAAAGAGAAGGGAAGATGTTCCAACACATTCTGTGACTTCAATATCAACCTTATATCAAAACCAGGCAAGACAACACAAGAAAACTACTGACCAATATCCGTTATGATTATAGATATAAAAAAATCCTCAACAAAATACTAGCAAACCATATCCAGCAATATATAAAATATATATCATATATATATATAACTTATAAAATAAATTTATACCTAATATCAAATCCAGGGTATAAAAAGGATTATACATCATTACCAAGTGGGATTTATCCCAGGAATGTAAGATTGGTTTAACATATGAAAATCAATTACCGTAATAAACAATAGGAAAAAGGGCAAAACCCTCAGTAGTTGCAGAAAAAGCATTTTGTCAAAAAGGGGTTTTATAGTCACAAGTGTTAGTAAGAATATGAATTATGGGAACTCACACACTGTTGTTTCCAAGGAAAGCTGGTCAACAATTTTGGGAAAGAGTATGGTGATATCTAGAAAGGAGAGTGAAGTACAGTGCCTAGAGTACACGCTAGAGGAACACTTTCACAGGTGCACAGGAAGACATATCCAAGAATGATTCCAGTTGCACAGCTTGGAATATCTCCAAATGGGAATTAACCCAAATGCTGGCTGTCAACAGCAGAATGGATACATCGTGGCATAGTTATACAAGGGGATATCCAGGAATGAAAAGAACAAGGTATGACTATACCCCATATGAACTAGTCTTACAAATCAGATACTGAGTGTAAGAAATAAATCTGAAAAGAACACCCGCAGCATGGTTCCATTTATATGGAGTTCAAAAACAAGAGAAAGTAAACCATGTTGAGACACATTTATGAATATAAATTTAGATAACTATAAAGAAAGCTGGAAGATGATTATCACAGAACGGACAGTGGTCACCTCCAGGCAGGGAGGAGGACGTTGAGTAGGGAGGGGCACGAGAGAGGGAGCATTTCTAAAGCACAGCCTAATTCCTAAAACACGGCTCTTGTCTTCACGATCATTCTTTCAACTGCATGTACACATTTTCATCCCACTGTCTGTATGCCATACGTCATAATAGAAAATGAAGAAAAACATTTCCTTTTCACCAAGTGGTTTCCCTTCCAATTCTATGAATATGCCAGTAGGTCAGCCTTGCACGTGGACACAGCTATGTGCAGGGTTGTGTGTTCAAGCGTTCCTATGAGCACTCAGCCCTCACTCTAGTTAAACACGCTGGCCGGGATGCCGTGGACTGAGGAGGAACATGAGGAAGCAGGGCCTCTGTCCTCCAAGGAGAAAGTTAGCCAAGTTAGCTGTGGCTGTGTGACTTACTTTTCCAAGGAAATGGGGGTTTAAGTGAATGTGTGTCAATTCCAGGCTCTACCTTGGGGTTTTACTCCCTCTTCACATCCCCTTCCCCATCCTGCACTTCCTCCCGGTCATCTCAGAGCCCAGACCATGGTGGGCTCAGCAGGGTCTGCCCAGATACCCCCTGAAGAGGTGGGGAGAGACACCCTCTCACGGAGGAGGTTTGCTCAGCCTCTCCTGCCAAACCCTCCTGCCAAAATCCTCCTGGTTCTCAGATGCCTGGCCTTCCCTACATCACTGACTGCAGAAGGCCATGTGGGCCTGGGTCTGTGAGCTGAGCCCCTGCGGACCCATGCTGGATGTACTGCGTGAGTGAGAAACTTTTACTGGGGTGCCGAGGTTTTGCAGTTGTTTGTTACTGTGGCATAACCTAACACTCCTCTGAAACCTCCATTTCTTTACGTGGGTAATAATTTCCACCTACTTGTGATGATTGTTAGTTCTCATCATTCCCTCCTCCTCCTCCTCCTCTCACTTTAAACTGGATGCAAGAATACTGAGCAATAACTCATTTGTTGAATTAGTCATTTACTTATAATCCAGACTGTGATTGTTTGGAAAATTGGAGAGAGGGATTTCTCCAATAAAAGACAAACTTGCTGGCTCATGTGGGGTTGACAGCATTCACAGGACCATGAACGGTCAGATGGCATGGTTCATCCCCTGATGCTGGGGAGCATGGGTGATCATCTATTTCAGACTGTCTCAACTCTGCTAGGGAAACTGCTTAATTCCCTCAACATAGAACTAGTAGCTTGCACCATGTAATACATACTCCCAGTTAACTGAGAAACACATTATTTCAGTCACTTGTTTTAGATATGTGTAGGCACACTCAAGTCAGACCTCACAGGGAGGGCACGGAAAGGGAAAATGAAATAGGAGGTGAGAAGATGAGGAGGAGTACAGGGAAAGAAAGAGGGCACAGAGAGAGACAGGGAGAGAGAGAGAAGGGGGGTGGGAGAAGGAGGAACAGAGCGTGCAACTGCCTGGTGGATATTCAGGTGGCTGGAGCAGGCTCTGCGTGCCCACATGGACTTTACTGACATGTTACTCCTTGGCCCATTTTGAAATGACCTCTCCATTGGCATGACCAGCTACTCCCCAGCTGGCCAAGCCCGGCCCACCCTGATTTTGTCCTACCCTGAGTTTCAAATGTCTCCCAGTCACAGCTCTTCCTGTGGCCCACATCCTGCACTTCCTCCTGGCCATTCCAGAGCCCAGACCCTGGTGGGCTCAGCAGGTGCTTCCCAGGTACCATCTGAAGGGGTGGGGAGAGCCACTCTCTCAGGAAGGAGGTTCGCCTTCTCCTGCCAAAATTCTCTTGGTTCTCAGATGCGCAGCTGTGCTTTTTGGCTTTGAGATTCCTGGGGCTAGAAACTCCCAACCAGAGAGTCTCAGTGGTGGTGCTAGGGTCGGGGGAGAGGAGAGCCTTTCTGAAGGACGTGTCCTTTCCTGGGTCAGGCAAAGGTACTTGTCAAAACCAGATCTCCATCCCATTGAATGACAAACCAGTGCCCACTTCCCTGGAAGGAGTTTTTCTCCAATTAACTTAAGTCATGTACCTGCCTGTCTGACTGACAGGCCCCAGGGCCCTGGGAGAAGACAAGACATCCCATCACTCGGCGGGGACACCTCAAACATTTGCTCTGTTAATTGGCTGCTGCCTTATTAAGAGGCGGGTCTCCTGCCGCAGCCTTCATTACCGATTTCCAGGAGTAACTAGGCTCCCCCATGCTCCAGTCACCAAGGCGGTTGATTAAATACCCAGATTCCCATGTCTTTGAACTCAGCAGCTTGCTGGTCGAGGCGTGCATTTCTCAGACAAAAGTATCCTTAGAAAGGAGGCACACTTGGATCTAATCAGCAGCCTCTGTGCTCTGCCACTCCTCTCCCTCCAATTGTGGACTGTTCTTTTGTTCTGAGAAATCCGACACCTAAATTCCCCTTTGGTCTTTCTCCCCTTAAGTTTGCATCTTACATTGTTTAAGTGTTTAAATATAATTTCAAATGGATATTGTTTAAATTATTAAGCTTTTGGAAGAAAAGAAGACTGCTGGGAAAAATGTGATTGGCAGAAAGCACCTCTGAGGCTGGTGGATGAGGAGAGGTAAAGACTTCTGGAATCAAGCTGCTTCCCCACCCTCCTGCGGAACCCCTGCGTACTGGAGGTGGAGGTTGCAACTCAGGAAAGGAAGGTGCAATGACCCTAGAGTGCAACACTCCATCCATCTATAGTCCAGGACAGGGACTGAGCCACAGGGTAGGAGAATCACACTCTGACTTCGGCATCCAAGCCACATTTCCTTTCTGAGTCAGTGGCCCGCTTTCCAGACGGGGTGGTGACAGGGTGCGCCCTGACGAAGGGCTGACACTTTCCCAGGACTGTTCAGGGCCCAGCCCAAATGGGAAACTTGGCTCTTGTCAGTTGAAGGATTTCACTCAGGCCTCGCTGAGATGACTTGTACTTCTGCTTAGACGAGGACTGGCTAAGGATGGAGGAAGGCAGTTAGAACCATCCTGGGGTGGGCAGGTGTGATGGTTAATTTTCACAATCAGTGCCTGGTCCTGCTGACTGTATTTTTCCTAAGTGATTCTCCGGTCTGCCCACTCCCCCGATTCAGGCTTCTGTGTGGCTTTGTTGAATGTCCTCGATGCCTCCTGCTGGGCCCCTGCCTCCAGGGTCACTCTGTCCCAAGGGCAACACAGGTGATCTTTCTGAACACCAGGCCTATGGTTTAAAACCCTAGAATGCTGCCTCCCCTTGCATCCAGGAGAAAGTCCACACTCCTTAACCTGATGGTCCAGGTCTGGCCCCAGCTTGGCCAAAGCTCCTTTCCAGGCTTGCCCTTGCTGCTTTCTCTCTGCCCTAAACTCTATATTTGGAGAAACACCAATTGGCTTGTGGCTCCCCATGCTGGCTTCATATCCTAACCCTTGGCCTAGAAGACTCCCCTCCTCTTTCTCTAACCCATTTCTCATCATTTAGTACTCAGTCCAGATGGCACCCCCTTTTGGAGGCCTCCCTGTTCCTTCCATAACAGACTGGACGTGCTCCGTTGTCGCGCTCCCCACCCTGGTTTACAATAGGCAGGGGGTGTGTGTCCCCTCTCAGCTCCCCATGGGCAGGGCCCTCTCACACTCCTCTTGGACCCCCGCCACCGGGCCCTCGACTAGGCCTGGTACACAGCAGGCACTCAGCACTGTTTGTTGAAGCAATGAAATGCGGAATTGCAGAATCCTGCCAAGGTATGAATGGCCCAGATGCAAGAATCACAGATCTTTCTATGAAATCGTGAAACACAAGAATGAAACTTGATCGGTGCAGTGTTGAAAACAGGGACCACTACTTTACTATCCTCAGGAGTGTGAACAAACAGGCAGGATGAGGTTTAGAGCACATGCCGGTACCACTCATGGGTTCCTGTGTGATGTACACTAGAGAAGCTCTATCCCTGATCACACCCACCCTGAATTCCTTTTCCAAGACTGCCATCTCGGGCTGCCCCACAGGCTCCTGGTCCCCCTAGAACCCAACATGGGCTGCACAGAGGCTGAGTCCACTGGCAGCAAATCTAGTTAGCAGCTCGGTCCTGAGCCCACCCTGTCCACTGGCTCCTCTGAGGTGAGCCATACATAGTCCCCGGCTTTTTGCTAATTTTGAAAAAGGGAGAGACTGCGCAGGTGCTCACTGCAAGGCCTCCTTCCTTTTTTAATTACAGGAATCATTATATACATAGACAGTGTGGCATAGTAGAAGGAACAAAAACAACAAAGAAACAAAGATTTTCAAAAACCATCACAATTTCTTTGTCGAGTCAAGAGTGGCTAACAACACGGGCACATGTCAGCTACACGTGCAGAAAGTTGCCTTCAGAACACAAGTGAGAGTGCAGGCACAATCTGCCCAGTTGCTGAATGATAATCACTATGTGTGTGTGTTTTTTTTTTAAATTATACATGTAAGAGATGTGGCAGAGCAGACAGAGCAAAGACAACATTTAACATTTCAAATCAGTCTTTATTGCAGCTCTCCTCCTCACCGGTTGAGTGGTGTTGGGCAAGTCATTAAACCTCTGTGAGCCTCAGTTTCCTCACCTGCCAAGTTAGGGGTAATAACAGTCCTTACCCTGAAGGGCTGTCACAGAATTAAAGAACAGAAAGTGCACAGAATGCTCAGCCTTGGACCTGGCATGTCACATGGGCTCTTTGAGTTAGTTGTTACCCTGCCCTCCATTCTCATCCAATCTCTGGTTTTTTAAAAAGGGTAGGATGTGTAAAATCACAATCATTTGCTGCAAAGCTTGATGATTATAATCACAGCCAGCAGAGTCTCCGTGGGGCTATAGCCACAGGAATCCTGGTGGTGCCTTCACTCAAGTTCTTTCCTTCCCAGCCTTCTAGACAGGCACGCTCAACTGTGCATCTTGTTTTGTGCCAACTGTTTCTCTAAATTAGTATATGGGCTTCTGTCAGCATGTTTTACAGAGAGAAACCACATTTCTCAGCAGTGGACTTTGCCTTCCTTTTGTATAGATTCCCCATTTCTTCAGGTCTTCCTGATACCCACAGTTGTTTACCCTGAGAACCACAAAAGTTTTTAATATGGAAAGTTTGTTCCTTTAAAATTGCTAGGAGAATGTTTATTGAGACAAGCCTGGCACATAAACGAGATCTTCATGTCACTGAAATTTGGCAGGGGGCAGAGGTGGGGACACTGGCGAGAAGGAACCCAGGCAGAAGTGGAGAGACAGAAAGGTGTGACCGAGAAATATGGACGTTTTTCTTCCTGTGCAACGAAGCCCTCACCCTGTGTTTCACGTGGCATTGGCGGGGACTTTCTTCCTTTGTAATGTGCTCACTGGGGTTGTCACGTCACATAGCCACGTGGAGACAGCCACTGAAGTTCAAAGACAAGATGGGTGTAAATGTGATTCATTTCATTAAAACAACTGGATATACAATATTTGATGTCTGCGGTAACTCTAACTTCTCCTCATTTCCCTTTAGGGGAGTGAGAGTTTTTAGGTACCTGCTGTCTGATCAGTTGCAAGTGCCAAGTCTGGTGGAGGAGGAAGGAATGCAGCCATAACATCAGCAAAGCTGCATGAAGTCTTTCCCTCTGCTGCTGCCCCTGCCCTGTACCTGGTTGTTCATGTCCCACCCACCCACTCTTCCAGGTTCAGGTCAAGCCCCACTCCCTGACAAATATCTCTCCTAATCATGGGAGTGGCCACTGACACACACTGAAAGGGGATGGGCAGGTGCCAGTACTGGTGCCGTCATTTACAAGTCCAGTAACTGGGAAAGTTATCTGGCTTCTCTTTGCCTCTCAGTAAACACCAACTAGGAAAAGGAGTGCATGAGATGACGTCCATACAGCCCCTGGCGGTGGGCTGGCAGCCTGGCACATTCTCCGTGAATGAGAATGTGTATTTCCCATGATCCTATCCACCCCACCCTGATGGCCATTCCTTCTTTTCTGCAAGGCTGTGTCCCATGGTGGCCCTTTATTGCCTTGGGGGTTGAACTTCTACCTCTATCTCTTAACAGGGCAGCTCTTCTACCTTCTTTGCCTTTTCTTGGCAACAGAATTTGGCTCTTATGCATTTCTCTCTAATTGGTTAATCACATTGTATTGACTGCAACATTAGAACCAATAGTTCAGGCCTTCCCAATTGTCCTGACCATGTCACTGGCATACTGACACACGCCCATGAACAAAGGCTTCATCACACAAGGAAGACACACTATGACCCGCTGCGGTTTTCTTCCACTTCAGTTGTAGCCCTGCATGCTTTCTGGGGAGCACACTCTAGCCACCGAGATGAAGGCACGGGGAGGCCCGACCGTAGGTCGAACACGTCAGTCAGTGGCTGATCCTTCCCATGGTCTCTGGATACACCAGTGAAGGCAGGAGGTGAAGTCTCCCAGATCACCTGGGAACAGCCATGGACACTTGTCTGGGGCTGCATGAGGTTTGTTCTGGGCTCTGATGGAATATTGCCCTCATGTATGCTTTTTAACATACCGAGTCAAGGATTATGCAGGATCTGTTGAAATTCCAATAAGTCAGTCAAGAAAATTAAGCGCACTTAACCTCATCATTTACCCTTTGCAATTTTTGGTAACTATATTTGAAAAAGTTATTTAGACACCTTCTCATTTCAAGAGCCTCTGTGCTCACCTAAGCCTTGAGTTCCTCTTTGTCAGATTCTCTGATTTCTCTGTAGAATGTGAAGGGTTCATCTTTCACTTTTTTTCCCAGCCAAGAGTACACGGATGGTGTATTATTTGAACCCTTGCCCAGCAGAAAATACTTTTTATTCTTTCCATACATGGATCACCATTTGATAAGTGTAGAATTCTTGCATCATGGTCTTACCACCCCAAAATTCTACCAATGTTCTTCATTGCCTTCTTGCTTCTTAATATCGCAGAAAAGTCCAAGAACAGAATGTTTTTTTTCCTTCCTACCAGACAGTGTCTGAGACTCACCTTTGACACAAATGTAACTGAAGGGGAGAAGCTGCCCCTGGGCAAGCCGGTCAGCTGAAACCACTCAAGAGCCCCCAGTGCAACACCAGGTAGGACTTTTTTTTTTTTTGTCTGCTTTGTTTTTCTCTCTCTGGATATTTCAGATCACTTTAATTTTTTTTTTCAAAACCTAAAATGTCAGCAATTATATTTTGACTTATTTGATAGATCTTTCAGTATAGGGCACTTATTTTTTTGGATCTCTCTTTGCTTATTGTGTCCATTTGAATTGCTCTGAGGTCTTTAAGATAACCAATCACTATTATTTTAAATCTTTTATCTCTGTCTTACATAACTATCATCCTCTCCCACAGTATTTTTTAAATCTTCTTCTCATTCTCGGTGTATTTGGGGAGCGGTTTTCAAGTTTGTTCCCTGTATTGGAACAACTATGATTTCTGTATGGTTAATCTTTCCTTTGACTGCTTGAAGTGGAGAAGGAACTTCTGCAATTGTATTTCAGGTTCTTTATATTCTTTCCTTACCTCCCCCAGCTTCCATTTTATTTTTGACTGTGGCTCAGCCAATTTACAATCCCATTTTTTATCTCATTTCAGAGTTCATGTTTTCTTGCATTGGGAGTAGAACACAGTTGCTGTCTAAAATGAGCTTCTGTTTCTTGTAATAATTTTTCCCCAAAGCATGCTCTTTTGCTGCATCTTAAGTGTGTGCTCTCCTCCTCCTCTGTTGCAGAAGCCAGCTTCCCTTTCATTCGTGTTCAGACAGGTCTGTTCAGGCTTCACCTCTGTTTACTCTCACTGCAGCCCAGTGAGATTGACCAGACTGGAATTACAGCTAAATCCATGGTCACTGCCACGACATATTGCATCTGGAGAGGGGTCTTAACTTCCCTGTAACCAGCATTCATGGCTAAACAGTTGAGAGACGCCCTTGAAAATCTGGAGTTCTGCAGGTGGGTGGGAAGGAGAACAAGCAAGCTCACTCTCTGCGGAATTAGGATGATGTGTCACTGACCCTTTCTGACACCCCTGCCCCTACCCTGGTGTCCCCTTCTGAAACCTCCTCCTTTGTCTAGGGTATTTCTTCTTTTGTAGCTTTATAAGAGACATCTTCCTCGCCCCTGCTTTCCTGTCCATCACCCACCTATCCAGAAAGGTTCTGCCCTTCATATCCTCTGATGTCTCTAATCTCGGGTTCCCCAAATCATTGGACAAGCTTGCACGGGGAAAAGACTAAAGTCTCAGCTATGAGGACTCATGCAGACCTGGGTCTGTACAAGCTCCACCTGACTGGATATAAGTAAAGATCTCTGAAAATCCCTATAAAAATACCTTGGGTTTATTATATTTTGATGGAAATATGGATCACTGGATGAGCATCTGAGAAACAGAGACAAAGATGGGGTGGAGGAAGGCAGAAAGAGACAGAGATGTACAGGTGTATTGGAGGAAAAGTCAGAGAGCTAGCCAGGCCGAATGAGTGAGGGAGGCAAAGGCTCAAAGAGGCATTTGCTGGACCACTGTAGACCAGGCCTTTGGGCATACCTTAGCCAACTGAAGGGGGCATGGAGTGCACTGAACACAAGCAGTGGAAGAGAAAGCACAAGTTCCCTAAGGAAGACAAGAAAAGAGACATGGCTGCTAAGTCCCTGGATGAGCCCTTTTTTCCAGCTACAAAGAGAAGTGCACAACTGAGATCACCCTGCTTATAATAAGTGGACGGAGTTCACTGCATCTGGCTATTTTAATTACCTGCAAGCAAAGTGATTTTGCTACTTTCCTTTAGAGGAGCTTTTTGAAAGTAGTTTTCACTCTGATTACTTTCATTAACAAGTGATCAAAATGCATCAAAGCAGAAATGAGCACAACAAGAAGAAAAGCAGAGGGAAGAACTCTCTAGGAGATGTCCAAACTCAGTAGTCACTGTTAAGCTCTGTCTTCCCTCATTAGCCTGGAGAATACATGTGTTCTGGATCTGGCCCTCATGAGGCACCCAGGTGCAGGACTGGGCACAAGCTCACCTACAATCAGGAAGCATGGGTGGTTCCCGGAGACCCAGGATGCTGTACAGGGCTGGGCCCCAGCTTTCTGTAGTTCTGTCCCTCAGTTCTCCTGGCTGAGGACTCAACTCCACAGACCTTACATTCAGTTGTTTGGTGTGGTCTTGTTCCTCCTTCATCCAATGAGCCTGCTCTGCTGGGAAGTGTTTACTCCTGAAGACACTCTCTGCTGATGGAGATGAGCAGTCATTTACTCTCCCCTGGGTCACTGCCTCCTGATCCCCCTCATTTATTTCAGTTAACTTGACACAGTGGCAAGTGCTCCTCCCTCTCTTTGGAGAAGATGGCCCAAACTGGGTCACTGCTTCCCTGTCCAGAAAAGCAGGCAGAGAGGCTGAGTGATCATGCGAGGCACAAGGGCTGGGGCGAGGGAGGGAACAGCCGAGCCCCCAGGCCTCTGCTCAATTCTTGTACCCACTGTCCTCCCAGCCACTGGCCCCTTCAATGCCTTATATCACTAGGCAGCAGAGGAACCTGAAAGGGATCCCATATCTAGAAAAGAGCATGAAAGTCCTGTCCTTGAGCTTGCTAGTGGGCATAAAACACTTTGAGGCAGGCGTACAGAGACCACGTATTTGAGTTGTGGCTGGTCTGACAGCTGCTGAGTCTATCACACAGATAATTAGACAAACTGCTTGAGCACAGAGATTCAATACATGGTGTCATTTAGCGGCTGCTACACGGGGGCCTTGATCTTAATTGAAGGCACGATAGGGGAGAACCTTAAAGGAGTCCCAAATCAACTTCTTCTTGCTCCAGTAATTAAACATCTGGCTCCTGGTGATCATCTGAAACCTCTCGAGTGTTGGGCATAGGGTCCACTCACATGGATCTGAGCACCTGAGCCACCGGCACCCCTCCTGTCCACACAGGGCCTTCCTCAAACAGCCTCCTGCGGAGAAGCCTGGGGAGGAGGCTCCATGTCACTCCCTCCCCTCATCAAGGCCACTTTTGGGTGGGCCTCACGGAGTAATGAGAAGGGCAATATAGCCAAGTGGCAAAGAACTTGGGCTTCCAATGGCCGACAGAGCCCTATGGGGAGATCAACCCCATCAGCCCTCCGACTTGCTCAGTTTCTCTCTGCTTACTTACCCTGGTCCAGCAACTCTGGCCCCCTTGTGAGCCCCCAAACACGCTAGGCAAGCTCCTACCTTAGGATCTTTGCAAACTTTGTATTGCCACTGCCTGGGATACTCTTCCCCCAGATATTCAAATGCCTCACTCCCTAACCCCCCGGCCTGCTGCAGACCTTTGCCCAAATGTCACTTCTCATATCAGAGGCTCTGGCTAACTGCCCTCCTGGCTTTATTCTGCTCCATGGCACTTGTCACCATCACATAGACTTCATCTCTTGTTTACTGTTTGTTTCTCCCACAAGACTGTACCTGCCATGGGGACTGGGCTCTGTTTTGTTCCCTGCTGTGTCCCCACATCTCCAAATAGTATCTGATGCATAGTACATGAATATTGCTGAACAACTGGACAGAAGGGTTCGAGCAGGACAGCACCATGGTCAAAGTTCCATCTTGGAAAGCTTACTCTAAATGCCATATGGAAAGTGGATTTGAAGAAGCATCTGACCCGGGGCTCAGAGAATAGCTAGGAGGCCATAGAGGTCATCCAGCCAGGAGATGATGGTGGGATGGACCATCCCAGGTGGAATGAGAGGTAGACTGAAACGTGAGGAGAGGTCAGGGATGAAGATATGGTTGGGTCTTTGCTCGTGGGACAGTCTGGGTCTTTGAGGCATGGCTGGAACTGTGAGAAGAGAGCCCCAGGGGAAATACCTGGAAGCAGCTGCAAGAGAAGGAGGGATCTACGGAGAGTCAGAGGGATGGGGGCTGGTCCCTAGAAGACAGTGGAACAGGGTTGCAGAGAGGATGACAGAGCTCACTGCAGGAAGGATGCATGCAGCAAGACCAGGCCTGGAAAGTGCCTTCTTGGCATTTAGAAGGGTAAGGTGATCTTAGCAAAGTCAGTGGCAGGGGTAACAGGACAGGAGCTAGGTGCAGACCCTAGAGGGCAGAATTCAGGGAAGTTGCAGAAGTGGAGACAGCCAGTGCAGAAAATGCTCTGCGGCCTGACAGGGAAGAGATGAAAGGCTACCTAGGAGGATGCTGGGACAACAGCTTGCTCCTCTGGGCTTTAGGATGAGAGAGACTAGGCCGCCAGCAACCAACGGGACTGAGGAGTGCACAGCAAAGGAGGGGTTGGAGAAAGAAGGACAGGATGCCAGAAAACAGCAGGAAACAATGTGGGGGACTCGGAGGCTGTAGCTTGTTTCCATAAGTGAAATCAATGCACCACGAGACTTACTCAGCTCAGTAACTTCTTAGCAATTTTTAATTACTGGAATGTAATTAATTCATTCAAAGTACAGCAGTTCTGTGGAGCACACCACACATGCCGAACTGATAATATTCTTGCACATTTGCGGGGTGCTCACACCAAGACAGTTCCTTGCATAAAACCTGGAGGAAATATCCAAAGAACACACATATTTGTTTTAGGTCACTTTTCTTGATCCTGGAAGCAGATACTGTAAATGGGACAACTGAGCTCCCAGGGATGCTGGACTACGGGGCTATGAGTGAACTGTCAGTTCAGTGAAGTCCTAGTTGTTTTCACAGATGCTGACAGAATCCGCGGAGGAGTGAGGAGAGGGTATCCAACATGAGAGACAGTCCGTAAAGATTCCCGTTTGTCCTTGAGGTCTTGGAGGCATCTCTGGCTAAAGCAGCTCCCAAAGGATAACCCAGAGGGTGGAGATGTGTGGCGTTTCTTTTGGCTATAAATTCCTTGAGGTCAGGCCCGGTGTTCTGATCATACTGGTATCCTCAGGTCCTGGCACAGCCTTAGCACCAAGTGGGCATTCAACAGATGTCTGTGAAGGTGAGTGGCTTGGCAGAAAACAGCCAAACCCTCTTCTGTGGAGCTTAAAGTGAAGGCCAGGAAGAGGGCTGGGGACAGAGAGATCCCTTTGCAAAGACTGAAAGAACAACAGCGGCTACTGGACAGAAATGTGGGTAGGCCCAAAAGTGGAAGGGCAACTGGAGGGACAGGAAAGGGAGTCTGGAGAGAAAGTGGAGGCCAGCTTCCAAGGCCAGACCAGGCTGAAGGTAGGCTTGTCCCCAGAGGCTCTGCCTGCTTTTGACCCCAGGTTCCCCTGGTAACCTTCTGGGTATCCCTCAGTTTCCTACTCTTTCCTTAGAAAGGAGACAAGGGTCTAGTTTCCTGATGTCCAGAAGCTCTGTGAGTTTGGGATGATTGAGCCAGCTTTCCCTGGAGAAGGTGCAGCTGGCTTCTTAATGACCTGCGGAGCAGGGAAGCCCCGCCCAGCAGTGGCACACGAGGCCCTTTCCACTGCCCATGGCTCCTGAGCCTTCCTTCTGCACCAGGAGGTCTCCTGGGGAAGAAGCATAAAGCAATTGCATCTGTTAGGGACATGCCTTGCTGAGCCCTAACTAAAAACAGCCACAAAGCTATGGGTGCCTTTGAAGGGCCTGCCACAGCAGCAAAGGCTGGGCCCTGGCTTGGCTCTGCCTGTGTGACTTGGGACAGGTACTAGCCCTCTCTGGGCTTCACGGTCCCTCTTTGGGAAATGAGAATGTTGCAGTAGCTTATCTGACACTGAGAGGTGACAGCATGCTGGTAGCCCTTGCTCACTCTTGGCGCCTCCTCAGCCTTGGCGCCCACTCTGGCCATGCTTGAGGAGCCCTTCAGCCCGCCGCTGCACTGTGGGAACCCCTCTCTGGGCTGGCCGAGGCTGGAGCCAGCTCCCTCTGCTTGCGGGGAGGTGTGGAGGGAGAGGCACCGGCGGGAACTGGGGCTGCGTGTGACGCTCGTGGGCCAGCCTGAGTTCCAGGTGGGCATGGGCTTGGTGGGCCCTGCACTCACAGCGGCCAGCTGGCACCACTGGCCCCGGACAGCGAGGGGCTTAGCACCCGGGCCAGCAGCTGCGGAGGGTGCGCCAGGTCCCCCAGCAGTGCCGGCCCACCGGGCTGTTCTCGAATTCTCGCCGGGCCTCAGCTGCCTCCCCGCAGGGCAGGGCTTAGGACCTGCAGCCCGCCATGCCTGAGCCTCCCCACCACTGTGGGCTCCTGCGTGGCCCGAGCCTCCCCAACGAGCGCCGCCACCTGCTCCGTGGCACCAGGTCCCATTGACCGCCCAAGGGCTGAGGAGTGCGGGTGCACTGCGCGGGACTGGCAGGCAGCTCCACCTGCAGCCCGGTGAGGGATCCACTAGGTGAAGCCAGCTGGGCTCCTGAGTCTAGTAGGGACTTGGAGAACTTTTATGTCTAGCTAAGGGATTGTAGATACACCAATCAGCACTCTGTATCTAGCTCAAGGTTTGTAAATACACCAATCAGCACCCTGTGTCTAGCTCAAAGTTTGTAAATGCACCAATCAGTGCTCTGTGTCTAGCTAATCTAGTGGGGACTTGGAGAACTTTTCTGTCTAGCTCAGGGATTGTAAACACACCAATCAGCACCCTGTCAAAATGGACCAATCAGCGCTCTGTAAAACAGACCAATCAGCTCTCTGTAAAATGGACCAATCAGCAGGACGTGGGTGGGGCCAGATAAAGGAATAAAAGCAGGCTGCCCCAGCCAGCAGTGGCAACCTGGGTCCCCTTCCACCCCGTGGAAGCTTTGTTCTTTCGCTCTTTGCAATAAATATTGCTGCTGCTCACTCTTTGGGTCCGCACTGCCTTAGGTCTGCAGCTTCACTTCTGAGGCCTGCGAGACAACGAACCCAGCGGGAGGAATGAACAACTCCAGACGCGCCGCCTTAAGAGCTGTAACACTCACCGCGAAGGTCCGCAGCTTCACTCCTGAAGCCAGCGAGACCACGAACCCACCAGAAGGAAGAAACTCTGAACACGTCCAAACATCAGAAGGAACAAACTCCGGACACACCATCTTTAAGAACTTGTAACACTCACCGCGCGGGTCCGCGGCTTCATTCTCGAAGTCAGAGAGACCAAGAACCCACCAATTCTGGACACAACACTGGTCAGCTTGAGTTCAGACTTCCCTGCTTGGCACACAAGGCCTTTCCCCAGCTTGCTGTGATCCACTTGTCTGCCTTTATCCCCAACTATGCTCTCCCCTACACCCAGGATCCCATAATCACTTGCTCTTCCCGGAGACTGGAGGTACTTCATGCCTGTACTCCTAGAAAGCCTTCCCCACACTCTCAACCTAGCAAACCTTCCCTTGCTCTTCAAAATCCACCTTGAAGGTCCCCTCTCCTCCAGCACCTTCTCTAAACGTTCTCATCTTCAGGCAGATGAATTCTTACCCCAGGCTCCACTGGCATTTCCTGAGAGCCCGGAGGTACATTCTAGGAGCTTTGTCCAGACTGGGGATCAGAGATACCTGATTCTCCCCTTGCTTTTCTACTAACCTGCTAGATGAACTTGGGTGGCTCCTTACATCTCTTAGCAAGACAGAGAAGGTGATCATTAACTTTGATCAACTGGAGGTCAAATTCTAGTCATTCATTAAATAAATATGGAGGGCCAATGTTCTTCTCTCCCCTCATTCACAGGAGGACCCACCACCCCTGACCTCTTAGCTCATTACAGAGTTGTCACATAAATGGGCAAGGGTCTTACAGCTTGTTGCATCTGCTCCTTGAATAAGCCGTGATGTTACAACGGCACCAGCATCATCCCTAGTGCTGTTGACACTGCGTAGAGAAGAATGCTCACTGCATGCCAGGTGCTGCTCCTGTCATACTCACAACACTCTATGAGGTAAGTGCTGGTATTATCCCCATTTTACAGATGAAGTAAATGAGGCACAGAAAGCTCACGTGCCAAAGCAGTGCCCTTGAGCACGTGCCACATTGTCCCATCAGCCTGGGCCTCCCTGATGCTTCCACAGGCCCCAGCACCTCTTGCTATAGGGACTGCTCCAGCAGAGTTACACTAAATCCCCTATCAATGCCTGACAGCATCACAGCCCTGCAGCTGGATCTCACACATCCCAGGAAGTGAGTCTCCCGCTGAGAGCTGGACTGGGCTGACAAAGCTGGGGATGTAAGAAGCTTTCCCTGGCAGGACAGAGAATACTTGTGGAAGTATAGAAATGCCCCTGGAGGTGTGGGGCCCAATTTAAATTCCTAAAGTAACAAGACTCAGAGTAACAACAACAGCAACAAAATAACAAGAAGAAGAAGAAAAAAATGGCTCTTTGGCAGGAAGCTCTATTTGCTCTGCTAACTTGCAACAAAATACTGAGTTTTTATGTCTGCTTAGTAACAAGTAAGAAAAAAAGATTTCTTAGTGAGCCTGTAGTATGTTTAATTTGTTTCCAAAAATGGAAATGATTTCCTGTCTTTCATTAGGTTGGGAACTCCCCTCTGAAGCACCCAAATCCACCTGCAACCGCCCGCAGGCTGAGGAAGCTGAAGGGGCCCCTTAAAACAGAACCTCTAACAGTCCCCTTTCTTCCATAATTTCATGGTTTGTTTGGAAAACTGCCCAACTATGACATTGTATCATCTGGTATAATACAACGCTGGCTTGGTGAGTGATTGCTGAAAGGGAAGCTCATCTTCGTGAACAGCGTAGGAGATAAAGCGTGAATTCAAAACCAAGAAAAATGAGTTTAAAAGTGCCAACTAATACACAAATAGGAATGCGATGTCACAAGATAACTTTGAAAACACAAACTCTATAAGAAGTTAAACAGTGAAATCCACCCAATATCTTGGCATTCTCTTGGTAGGATTTGGTGCTGAGGAAAAATGTGACTCTAATTTTGCTACAAGAAGAGATACATCTTTCCCACACCTCCTTTTGTCCCAGACTTTCAGTGAGACCCTGCTTGTGACTCAGGAGATCTGGGATCAAAGCTGTAAACTCTAGCTGCAGCAATCCTTTTGAGTCTGGTTGATTTCCCGTACATGCTAATGATCCCTAAATGATATATTTCATTTTATATTCACAAGGAATCCCATTGCCATAGCAACTGGAATGTGATACCAGAAGTTTTCTTGTAAATGGGTTTAGAATGCTGCCTCTTCTCCCTTGCAGGGTGGTGAAGGCTATGTGTCCCCCCACCAGTCCTCAGGAGAACCCCCTCCCTGACAGGAAATCAGGGCCTCTGGCCACAGACGGGAGCTCTGAACTGTAGCAGCTTAGCCCAGCACAACCCATCACTTCTCTCCTCTTGCTCCACACACTCCAGCTGCACAAGGACTTGTCCTAATATTGATTTCTGGGGACAGATAAAGTCCCAGAGAATGAAGTCACAACTTCTTCTTGTAAAGTCTGATAGAAATAGAGAATGAAAGATGGATGATTTTAGAATTTTTGCTTGCATGAAAAACAAGGTATTTTTTTGTTTCCTGTATTAATAACTCCCTGGAAAATTGGGACAAATGACAAACTGTCATTCGTGGACCTCAAGCTGTTATTAAATATTCTGCTGCCATTGTGGGGTGGGGACTGTAGGAACTTGTTCTTTATATCCTCCTTTGTTCCAGGACCCTCTGTCCCCACAGAGGTTCCCGACAGAGCCTCTGTCATCTATTTCGTTCTACTCCCCCCTGGAGCCATGGTTCTGGTGAAGGTGACGTGCTCACCCCAAGGCATTCACCTCAGGGCTGGCCTGCCTTCCATCCGTCAGGCTCCTGTGAATCAGTGCCCAGGTCTTTCCTGTTTGCTGGGCACTCCCTATGGGAATGATCGAGGAGAGGCAGCCCAGCTCTTCTGCCCTCCCACCAGGACTACAGCTGACCCTGAGGGTGAGGCACTGAAGGCTTTCCACTGGAGTCCAGACCCAAGAGGCCATCTGCAGAAAGAGAAGCCCTGGCTCTAGGTGGACATTGCTGGGAGAGGCCCCAGCAATGAGTGTCTGCCTGACACTCATGTCTTCCTTACCCACTCTCCAGCTACCATTAAATAATCTGGGCCCAGAAATCTCTCCCCAAACCTCCCAGACAGAACCCTTGCTCCTGCCTCTGCGTTCTTCACAGTTTGTGCATCTCTCTACTCTCGGCCTGTGGCCACGCTGGATTAGAATAAATAATGATGGCAGGTCTCATGAACACCAAATCCATGCCATGCACCAGGCAGCGTGCTAAGTGGTGCTTGTGCAGCCCCTCCTTCACTTCTCTCCATGGCTGCAGCAGGTGGGTACTGCCATTAGTCCCATTTTACAGTCGAGGAAAAGGCCCAGAGAAGCAGAGTGATGCAACCAACACCACACAGCTGGGAAGTACCAGAACTGAGATGCCACCCTTGGTCTTTCTGGGAGCTCACAGGCACCACTCTCCACCAAAAAGGGGTCCTTAAGAGAGGAGCACTGCTATACCAAGTGGGCGGCAACTCACAATGTGTGAAAACCTCAATGAGTCAGAAGGATTCGGTGGATAAATTCAATCAGCATGAAGCAGAACTGAGCCCTGATCTGCTCAAGGCTGCCTGCCCCCCGCTCCACGCCAGCTTGTCCCCATCACTCCTCACCTCGGTGGGTTTTGTGGTGGCTGGTTTTTCCCTCCCATTAAATGAGAAATGTTGTTTGAATAACCAATGGTGAGGGAGGGTGTGCACACTCTGATGCAGAAATAGAAACCTTTAGGAAGATGCAATTTGAAGGATATTGGAAACCAGAGAATGGAACATCAGTCTATAAAATTCAACACGGCCAATAAAGCTGGAGCAACTGGTCAAGTGTTTTAGTGTGCACGGTTGCAGAGGAACTGGCGGCACGTGGCTGGGCAGTGCTTCCAGAATGGGGACGTTTTTCCTAGGCTCATTTTGGCCTCATTTCCATAATGTGTCTCATGATCTCTGAAGCACCTTGGCATTAGCATCATAAGCACAGCTGTGAAAGTGTCCAAGACTATTGTCATCACCCGGTAAAGGCACATTTCCCAAGCCCTGCCCTGCCTAGCACTCTATGCTGCCACGACTGCTGAGTGGAGTGGCCCATTAGGTGGGTGCAGGTGACACAGATAGATGTAACAGAGGCCAACACACCTTTGCTCCACCACCTCAGCCATGAATCCGCCTCCGCTCAGGTGTGTCAGCATCATACCATCCTCAGTGGGGTTCTGTGAGGGTGAGGCAGGAGCTCTGCCCCTTCCCACTTGGTGCCCAGGCCTTTACAGCCTGGACTGCTCTCACGCCTTTGTCTTCTAGTGTTGCAGGCACTTGGCAGGTGTCTAGTCCAAGCCTCCTCCTCTCCTCCCTGTGCAACCTAAAGCACATTCCTGACCTCACATAACTCCAAGTGGGCTCTCGTAGCTCAGGCTATGTGGGCCTGTTCCCATCTGCCTGCAAGCTGCTTCTGTCTTCTACACACTTCCTAATTCATGTATACCCATTTTGTACACAAATATTTGTATACAATAAATACTTCCACAGGCCATGGCATGTACTATTTACCAGGGCCACATCAATCAACCCAGGATGTGCATTCTGACCCTTGTATCTTCAAGCATCTGGGAGCCATTGAGCATTTTCTTGGTGCAGGGCACAGTGCTAGGTGCTAATACATAAGCGCATAAGACAGCCATAGCCGCTGCCCTAATGGTTCTTACCGTCTAGTGGGAGCTGGTACTTCCCTTCTTTTCTGACTCAATCTCAGCCTAAAGCATGAATCCTTGGCCCCAGCTCCACAGACATGTTCTGATGTCCATGCAGGGGCTTCCTTGTCTTGCTCAGAGGTGTTCTGGACAGGCAAGACATGGGATGCCTTCCCATCAACAACTGCCCCAGGCCAGAGTTTGTGTCCTTGTCACGCTGGAAGACATTGCGCTGGTGTCTGCCTGACCACATTCTATGCACAGCACAGCCTCCTGATTCATGGGACTCTGTGCAGAAGGGTAAACATGGTCCTTGTCACAACCTTGCAAAGGCCCGTCCTATGTGGAGACCTGGGTAGTGCCCTGTTGCCTGGTCCCTAGTGAACCTGTACCAGCCAGGTTTTAATTTGACCTGCCTGGATTCTACTCCCCAAGGAGCTTCCTCTAAGGGCAGGGGTCTCTGGAGGTGGGACACAGAGTATGCATCACCAAAATGCCACTGCTGCTATTTTGTTACACACCAGTCTTTGTCTTTATTTCCTAAACATATGTAACTTGTAGACTCAGCACCCAGGTCACTTGTCAAAAAGGCATTGGAAGACCCATCACAAAACCCAAAACCACAGGGCAAGGGCCCTGTTCCTACCTTTGAGGAAACAGTCCTTGCTGTGGATGACGGTGATCCTCTTTCCCAGGAGGCAAGCAGCACGGTGGAGCTTACAGTGGTTTTCATAAAACCTCCCATCAGAGCCGCACACAGGCACGTAGCTGGGCCTGCATGCCTCCAGGCACTGGCATTCGGGCTCCCCTGTCTTCCTGCTGAGCACGCACCGGCTCCCTCGGCTGCAGAACTTCTTCCCGCAGGAGGCCAGCAGCTCGTTGTGGCTGGAAAGCCCTGCCAGACACACAAACACAGAGGGTCAGCTGTAAACACTCAGAGGGTCTGGGGTCGAGGGCTTCCTTTGTAGCTCACAAGCACAGACTCCATTTGCCTGTGCAGCCAAGCTACTCAAGGTGGGGCCTGGGGGCTTGGGGTCTCCTAGGGAGTCCCTGTCCCTCCATGAGGTGGTCATTGGTGCCAAGAAGGGTGTCCTGCCTTGCAGAGCTCAGGTTTCATGGCTGACTCACTCTGAACATCTGAAACACAACACCTTTCCAACCTAGGACCCAGCTGGGGGCTTTTGATCAACTCTTGGTTCTTTCTTAGGCTTACTTTTCCTGCTTCCAGTTGAAAAATGAAAACACCCAGCTATTCCGTGCTCACAAAGAAGCACCTTGCACAGAAGGACAAAGCCTGCCACTACTGCTCCCAGGCTCACAGTCAGCCTCCTGGACTAGAGGCCTATTAAAATCAATGACTTTTTAAAAAAGTGGTCCCCTCCACCCCCTGCCTGCAATACGTTTTCCTTCCTTCCTTCTTTTCCTTTACTATGTCATGACTTTGGACCAGGCTGTGTCTTAGGCACCTTAGGGGTCTCAAAGATGAACAAGTCATACCTTTCCCTCTTTCTGACTTTGTCATTCTGTAAGGTGGTGACATGTATGCAGATCAGGCAAAGAGCATGGGAGCCAGGGAGCTAAGTTTGGAAGAAGTAACTGGGAGTGGCGGAGATCATGGAGCGGGTGATGTGCCAGTGGGCCCTGCAAAGGAGAGAAAGGTTTTCCCAGAAACACAGCAGGCTTGAGCCAAGACTCCCCCAGCCGCCCTGTGGGTGGCATTTGCAGGTCTCAGGTAGAAGACTAGATGTGAGTAGGAGTTTTGTACAGTGGTGGGGTTGGGGGTCAAGGTGTGATTTCTGGGAGACTTGGAGAGCCAAGCAGAGAAATTTAGGTACACTACTGTAGGCACTGGGGAGTCACTGCAGGGAGGAAACGTGGCATAAGAAGAAAGTCATGCTCCAAGTGTTCAGGATGGGGGTGGGGGTAGCCGAGGTAGGGAGACCAGAGGCTGGCCATTTCCTTGGGGGAGAATGTGGTTCTCCATGACACACGTCATCAGGGGAGACACCAGCAGCCTTTCCCCACAGCCCAGTCCTTTCTAGCACAATGTTGCAGTTATGGGCAAGAAGGCTGAGCCCCTGGAAACGGGCGCTGCCACATTGCTTGAGTGTCCCCTGCACCCTACAACACCCACAGTGATCTCAGGCAGCAGCACCCAGAGCTCACACACCAAAGAGGTCAGGGCAGCTGGAAAGGGCACGTTTAAGTGAAAGGCGAAACAGGCGTCCATCACCAACATCACACTGCATTCTGGGAGTCTGGAAATGAGATAATCAGCACATGTCACTAAAGGTACAGATGGAAAGTTGAGAATTACACAGGGACACCAAAAGACAACTGAAATGTGAATACAGATTTTTACAGCCTCAGAAGACTTTGCTTTAAGTGTTAATTAAATCTCCATCAAAATACTCAGCAAGACAGAATGGCCCTAGTAATCATGACCAAACTTTTAGCCCCGGGTCCTACCCATGGGATTAAAATGTCTAAGCAAAAAAGAAGAAAAAAAAAAGAAAAAAATATATTTTTCTTGTTTTTGGTTAAGTCTGCTTTTCATCATTACAGATTTGAAAGGAAAAAAAATCAGTTATCGGCAGATTAACTGCTTGATTCAATAATTCATTTAAATTCCTCCAGCCTTGGCAAACTAAGAAGTATTGACTTTTTCTTGAATCATAATAAACTAGAAGGTCAAATATCTCTGAGCAGTATAAAAGTGCAGATCCTAAGGAGGCGGGAATCTCTTTTATCCACTTTGCTAATTGTTCGCATGTCACCATGAAGGCCCAGTGGCATTCAGCGGCCCCTCTGCACGCCTTCCTGTCAAGGTTGATGGTGGCGGGGAGGGAAGGAGGCGGAAGGCAGGCAGGCGCCTGGCAGGGAGGCTCTGGGCTGGAGGCCCCCCACTCACGGTGTTTATGGCCGCTTTGCCATGGAGCATATTTGATTAGCGTGATTCTCCTGGGTTGTTGGAAAATGGGTTACCCTAGAAAGTGCTGGCGCCTACTAGAAGAAACTAACAGCTCTGAAAATATCAGCCTTTGTTTCTCTCCCAAGACAGGGCCAGGACGCAGAGCATTGCCATGGGATCACTGTTTTAATAACCTTCCCATGCAGATAGGATGCAACCCACTAATTGCCCATTTTGAAGAAACAAGAGGCAAAGTCTCTGTGCCCTGGCCTCTCCGAGCCTGCTTCAGAGCGTGTGCCCTGGCCCCCATTGCTTTCTCCCTCTGGCTAAACCAGCTCCAAGTCACTGTTGTAGGCATTTTCTCTATGAAGTGCTTGCTACCAGCCCAAGTCCAAGTGTCCCTCTCTGAATCCTCCTACCCCAAAGTGCCTGCCCTGCTCTGGCCTCAGGAGGTCCCACAGGTGCTAGGCCTTGCTCCTCGTGTGGCCCCAGTATACTCAGGTTTTAAGAAATGCAGAAATTTTCAGAACTGATCTCCTGAAGGCTAATTCAGTGCAGTTAAGAAGCCAGGCTAGGGGCTCGGATGGGGAGGGTGGTGAAGCCTCACATGTGTTGACCCGGTAGGGGTACATTTTCCCTTGCCTTCTCCAAAGTGGGCAGGAAGGAAGTGGAAGGATGGAGGTATGAGGGGAAGATGGATGTCCGTGGAGGTGGGTCTTCTGGAGTAAAGAGAACTAGAATCCTGGAGAAGCAGAGTTGGAAGGGGCTTCAGAGACCACCTACTCCATCCCAGGCAGGCAAACCAAAGCCAGTTCATGGGGGGCTGGGGGGAGAAGCTACTTTCCCTGACCCCCTCCTTTGAAAGCTGTGTGTCCAGATGGTAGTGAGCACCTCTGAGGCCCAGCGTCACACAGGGCAGCAGGCACCTACGTTTGCTTAACTTGCTGGGGAGGCTCCCATGGCCTTCCCTGCAGGCTGCACTCTGAGGGGTCAGTGTTAAGGAAACACTGGTGCCAACCTGTGGCTGCTGAAGTTGTCAAGAACACTCAGGTTCTCCCTGACATGGAAATTGGCTGTCGGCAAATATTTGATTCCTGATTACTTGCAATTAAGACAAAAGTAGCATGAAGGCCCTGCATATGCCCTTCACAATGGCCCCACAGAGGGCTGAGGATACCCCGGGCGGGGTAAGGCCCAGAATCTGATCCACAGCTACACAGATGCTGACCCAGGGGTGGGCTCCTCATTAAACAAGCCCCTTGTTACCACTTCCTCCTTGTCATTAAAACAGAATGAATTCCCCACTCCTACCACAATGATGATAAAACAGTAATGGGAAAGGTAACCAAGTGAGACTACCAGCAACTGCCTATAGTATTTATGAGGACAACCACAATGCATGAAAAGTACAATGGGCTTAATTTATAGTCATCAAGAAAGCCATTTACTCAGGTTAAAAACTGATCATCTTGCCAAATAAGCTGCTTTCCAACACAAATTAAATTTACTGAACATGGTCAGAAATGGGAACAGTTACATTAACATTATGGCGGCAGGAGAAATGAGTCTATTGGTACCAGTTGGTGCTGAAGACTCCCTCTGTGATCTGAATAAGGATTTTCAATAAGAATGTCACAGACCCAGGACTGCCATGAACTGGGAGCATAGATAGGTACAGGTGGTGTAATTGAGCGGTTGTGGAAGGCAAGCCCGTCTGACCCCGGTGGAAGGCATAAAAGGAGGCTGAGTCCTGAGATGGGCCCCAGAGAGAGTGAGTCTACATCCACATGGAGCAGGAAGCCCCTCCGTTGTTCTCCCACAGCCAGCCACAACCAAGAGCACAGACAGTTGGGTAATTTTGCTTCCAAATACTGACTCAGCCTCTGTAACCGCTTCCTGGGCCCAAAGAAAACTAACGAGTGCTCCCTTCTCAGGGACAGTGCCCCAAGTGGCAGTGAGGGAAAACCCACGAGCTCTTCCACTCTTGGATGCCAGCGGCCTGCTGGCACGTTCTTCCCAACACAGCTTTTCTGTGTCTCAGACCTCATCTCCAGCTTGACTATTGATGACAGCCCTGTCTCTCCTGACCAGGCCTTGGGAGCTCCCTGCTCCCATCTCAGCCAGATGTTCTGCCTAGGCCTGCTCCTGAAGGCTGTCAGTGCCCCCAGCACACGACCTAGCACTGAATTCCACAACCTCACCCCAACTCACTATGAGGCCTCAATGAGGTGATGGCTTGGCTCTGAGGAGGCAGTCACTGGAAAGCCCAAAACTGGCTGAAAAGAGCAAGGCGTGAATGCAGAAGACCAGAGGCAGTGTGTGCAGCATCAAGAACCTCAAGAACCTCATCTGCCACCTGCCACGAACCCTGGCCCAGTACAGCAGCTGTCTCCACCTTCTGCAGACAGAGGTACTTGTCCAGCCAAGTGCCTGCCCATGGGCAGATACAGCCCTTACACATGGCCTTATATACTTTATCTTCCAGGTACTGACACACCAACACACAGGGGAGCGGCAGCCCTCGCCTGGGGTCATGGTTGGGTTTCTCAATGACCCAGAGCGAGGCTTTGCCTGCGGAAGAGCCATGTACATGTAGCCATGTGCAGATATGTGGGGTGCGCATCCAGGGATTGGACATAACGGTCCCAGTATTCTTCCCCGCTTTAAGATAACTTATACCCTCACACGTGGCAAGGTGGTCCAGGGACAGAGAGTGCCTGTCAGTGTCGACTCTCTCATTGCAGAAACCACCCAAGTGCCTGGTATGCAGCTGCAGAATTCAGGTTTGTGTGAGAACCAGGCAGAGGCCCGACGCTCCAGTCCCGTGCCATGTCTACCCTAAGATGGGGTGGGTGGTAACAACGGGGCACTTCCGCAGTTCCTGCCTGCCAGCTCCTCCCCTATCTATCCACCCAACAAATATTTACTGAGCACCTGCTATGTGCCAGTCCCGATTCCAGGTGCTGAGGATTCAGACAGAATAGGCTCCTATCCTCAGGGCACTAACATGACAGTGTAGGAAGACACACAAGAGGGTGAACTGGCAAACAAAAAAACAAGACAAGTGTAGATGGTGTTAAATGCGAGGAAGGAAATAACCAGGGTGCTGCAGCGGGCACACTTTACTCTGGTCAGGGAAGCCTCTTTGAGGAGGTGAGATTAGACCTGAGACCTGACGGTGAAGATGGCAGAGACCTGGGGGAAGGAGAGAGTGGAGCACCCTTGGGTGCCCTGGAACCTGGCATGCAGGGAGAGGAGGCCTGGTATAAGAAGAGGCCTGGCTCCTAAAGCCCTGCTCCAAGGTAAACATCACCAGGCAGACTCAGTCTGCAGGGAGCTGTGAGGCAGATGCAAAGTTTCACCCTGCCCAACTGTCCCACCTGGGAAGTGGGGTGAGGCCCTGCCATCCCACCACTCAGCCCTCCCAGCTGAAAGAGGTCTATCCTCTTAGAGGCCAGAAAACTCTCGGCACCCCTCAGGGCTGCTGGTGGGAAGAGAGCAGCCCTCTCTGAGCTCTGACTACAGGCTACCTTGGTGAGGGCCTCCACACTCCTAGATGCCCTGGATGCCGGGGCTGCGTCAGGTCCACCTCCACCCTGTAACGCCTCATTTATATTCAAGGGTTGGGATGAGAATCTGTAATTCCTCCCAAGGACATGTGTGTGTTAACACCCAGCCAGAGAAGGCCATGTGTAAAGTGACTATTATTTACTGAGGCAGGCCCACCAGGCACCATGCTAAACTCTTAGAATCTATGAGCTCATCTGATGCTCATTTAATCCTCCTTAAAGCTCTATTAAGTAGACACAGAGGCCCTACTCAGCACATATTTGTGGCATGAATATATGCCCATTTTACAGATTAGGAAACATGAGTCAAGTGACTTGCCTATGGTTAGACAGCAAGTAGGTGGTAGAGCCTAGCTTTGAATCAGTCTCACTCCAAATCCCTTGAACTTGGGATAATCTGCTCAGCTGGTGATATGGTCTCTGCTTCAAGTTCAAGGAACTCATGCCTGGAGGATCTAGATGTCCATAGTGTGAGCTTCTCCAACATCAGGATACATCCACACATCAGCAACCCTGGCCTGCAGGATGGCTGCTCCTCACCCACCTCAGGGACACATAGCTTAGAGGCCTAAGTAGCAACTTCTCTAAAGGCTGGAGGTTTGCAGGGCTGCAGAAGGAAGCCCTGCTTGGATCTGTGAACATCACAGGCCCAAACCCACTCCTTGTCATGCATGGACACCTGGCCATTAAGCCCCTTACCTCCCACTATGATGTTTCCATCTTCATCACCTCCCTGTCTCCTCTCCTGCTATTTTGCCTGAAACTGGACAGGTGACTGCTGGGCAGATGTGATGTATTCTCAGTGACCACAGGTGATTTCAAACTCAACCGGTGAGCACAGCCTGTATGCTGAGGTGCTTGTGCACTTGATGAAAGCAGTTTGACCAGTTCTGAAAGACTTGACCACATTCTCCAATCCCAAAGCTCAACAGAAACACATGGTTATCCATTGCTGGAAGGTAATGCAACCTGCCATGCATAATGTTTACAGATCCTAACCTGAGGTCTGACAAATTGACTTCAAAGTCAGAAATGCCTGGAACAAGAAGAGAGAAGGAACACCTTTCATCTGTCAGGAGGCCTGTCAATTCTGCCAAAAGAGTTTCTATGTAACCAATTTGTATGAAACCAAAGCACAAATAGGTTTCTACATATTGTCTAATGTCCCTGGGCACGGCTTTTGGAGGTGGTTATTTCTGGTCACAGCTGAAGATCAAACACCAAACACAAGTGCCAAAGCATACTTTTCAAAAACTTAAAAATGTGACTGTCACGATAATCTAAAGTGAGCATATGTTAAAGCTGTGTTTGCTTTCTTAATGAGAGAGCCCACAGTGCAGACGCTGATTCAGAGGAGGACTTGAGGAGCCACATGGGCACTGGAGAAAGAAGGTTGGGATGAGATGCCTAGGCTAGGCACACAGTAGGTGAGTGATCTGCAGGGTAAGAAAACCACAAACTTTCGGGTTCTCTTTTCCACCAAAAAGAACCATGTGCATTTTTACTGGGAACAAATGTGCAAGTTAACATGTCACTGCACAGTCTGGGCCTTTAATCAGCGGCAAATTGTGAGTTGAACAAAGACGTAACCCTCTAGCCTGGATCAGTAAGTAATCCTTGGGCAGATCTAGTAAACAAGGTCCCAGAGGGAGGACTTGCCACCCTCTTTTTCCCTTATTCCCAAGTTTTGGATAATTTTCTCAATACCACCCAAATCCCTGCAGTAACCAACGTCACCTGAGGGAGCTGCCAAGGTCTCTCATCTCTTTCTTCTGCCTGGGGCATCTTCCTTCAGAGCCCCCAGCCTCACAAAAAGACCCCAGAAAGGCAGGAACGTGAGGCTCCAAGCCACTTAACTGAGACTTACTGAGACAGAGAGAACTTTCTCCTGGGAAAGTCCCCTGGTGGAGCAGAGGGAGAAGGGGCTGGAGCCAGAGGCCACGCTGCTGTGGGGGAGCTGACCGAGCTGAGGATGCAGCTCCTCTTCACTGAGGCGGGGGTGGAGCGGGGGCGGGGTGGGGTAGGGGGAGTGCTGCAACAGAACTTCCTACGGTACTTGTGTTGATCCCGCTGGGTCTCAAGTAACACAGTAACACAGTAAAACCTTGGCCTCCACCCAGTCCTGTGCTCCTTCACAGCTGATAGTTGTGTGAGCCCAGGCAAGGTTCCACCTTCTTTTCCCTATTTAAAAGTGACGATAACAATGGTCCTTACGGGATTGCCCCTTACAGGATTGCTTTGAGGATTACATGAGATAATTCATGTAGAGAGCTAGGCACTTAGTAAGTGCTCAATTCGGACACTGAATTGGTGAAAGGTTGAATAAATAGGACTGGAAAAGTAGTAGCCATTTGGTTTTACTGATTCAAGTGCATGAACATGTGGGGTAGTTGCTGTCTTCGGGAGGCCAGCCTTAATGGAAAGGTGAACATATTTATACTGAAAGTATTGAATGGTTTTTAAAAAGGCAGATGCAAAATAGCATGCTTCAAAATACCCAAAGGAAATGCTTCCCTTGCAATTTCCCTTGCGCCAGGGCTTCACTGGACCCTTATAAACTCCGCCTGGCTTCCAAGGTAGGGGAGTCTGAAATTATACATTCTTAGGGCAAAGTGACTGGAACTAACTCACAGCACAAACTGCAGGCTCTACTCAACACCTAAGGGCAGTGTCAGGTAGTCACCAGGGCCGCTGGCCTGCCAGAGGAACCCTGGTGACAGTTTCAAAGGCATCCCCTGACCTGGGCCCAATGCCAGCGTATCTTGCAAACCTCTCAGGCTCACCTGCTACAGACAGGTCCTATGGTTTCTCCTCCTTCTGGGAGCCCTTTGCACTGTGTGTCATCTCCCCATCTGCTGTCTGTGACAATAGTGAAGCTACCTGACTCACCATTTCCAGAGCTTTCCCCCCAGCCCTCCCAGATCTCCTCCACCTAAAGGAGGCTGCCAACCTGCTGGCCTGAGGACCCCCGCTCCTGTGGTTCCTTAGACGGAACAGCAGGCCCCGAGGCAGGGCCCCAGCAGCGCCTTCACAGCTGCTCAGAACTCCAGGCTGGGCATCAGGCAGTGTCTGTGGTTTCAGGGTTGGGACCAGGCTCCACTTCATTCAGAGCTCAGCACCAGGCCTGGCACAGATTGGGCTGGGTGGAGGACTGAATCTGATGAAGATGCTGCAGAGACCCAAGACTGGCTGGATAGAGAGCTGAGTAATCCATCAATGGTTTTACAGAAACAGACATGGTCACAGATTGAGTGGAAAGAGTGGAGACTGTAGAAAGCCCTCGGTGGGAGAATAGCGACCTGGGATCTACAAGGTGTGTCTCTTTCACATGCAACCCTCAGTTTCCTCGTGGGTACGTGAGAGGGCTGTATAGAGATCCCTGAGATGGAAAAAATTATCCCACATCTGTGAATTGAGGATGTACATCAGAGCCTGTGTTTTAACTTGGATGTCTTTTGGCTACAATAAAACTGCACAAACCTTTTTCTTTTCCCTCTATTTGTCCTATCAAGTTATCTCAACCGGCTTTTGAAGGGTTATTTTGGAGACCTTCTTGGGAAGAAAAGCTGCATAAAAATGTCAAGTACAATACGATTTCTGCCCTTGGGAGAGTTTCTTTTACAAAACGGCTTTGTTTTAGACACTTCCTCCAAATATATTCCTACCCCCGAGTTCCTTTTCTTTGCCTAAAGCCTCTTCAGCTCGCATCTGTCTTATTCCCTGTCACCGGCCCTCATTTTTCCTTCAGGTACTTAGCTCCTTTGTCACTTTCCCCAGCTCCTCTGGGCTCCCTCCGTCTTGGAGCCAAGGGGACCAGATGTTGCTGCTCTCCACGGTCTGCACCGTCTCGCTGATGCGCCACTACGTGGGTTCCTTCCTGCTTTTCCACCAACTAATGATTCAAGGCCGTGACACCCCAGGCTGCCTCCAATTATTTCAAGAATCACTGTGGAGTTACTCTGTGAGCCGCCGTGATGCTCCTTGTCACTTTATCCTTGGAGACTTGCCAGCACAGATGGGGAGCTAAATTCTTCCAGGGCCCTTTACCTGCCATACAAGGGCCGCCCCGGTCCGCACCTTGCCTTGGTTGGATCACTTGTCATAGATGTGTCTCACAATAACAACATGCTTTTCTCCTTCATTCTACTTTTAAAGAAAAAAATGGCTCAGTTAAAATATCTAATATTAGCACAGAAAACTACCATTTTCTAATCAGGAGCATTTCAATTTCTCCTCTCAAGGATCTGCCCTTGTCTCTCAACGGGATTATCAGCCATAAAAACATGCACTGGATAATATCAAGACAAAGCTTAGTAACAATATCGGACAATCTGATTTCATCTATTCTCAACTTCAATCCCCTGGCTCAACCGAGCCAAGCAGTGGCTGAGGCCTCTGACAGGTGGGCCTGAGGGTTCTGGGAAGCTGGCTTTCCTGAATGCATGGGTGGGCTGGTCTGCTCTACCCCTGAGTACAGAAGAGCATGTGGAGACCAGGGGTCTCCACTGGGGCCTGACAACCTGTCTACTTCTATGAGAAGCTCACAGGGTCAGCAATTGCCCTATCAGGTACTCTCTGTGAGACCACCACTGCCTTAAGGTACTTCAGTGTTGCCTTCAAACAGGCTATGGAAAAGAACCATATACACTGGGAGCTCCAGCCTCTGAAAAAATGACTAGAATTACAGCTACTGCAGAGGAGGAGTGACACCTTAAATAGTGACAACAAAATACCAAAATGCCACGAGAATCAAGCACAGCACAAAGAAGGCTTTTGGGGGAACTATGATTTTTGAGCCAACAAGAAAATCAGGAGAATTTCAGGAAAGAATTTAAGGAGATAATGGTCACTATTGAGATGTCAAGTCTTCCAAGGTTAAGAATATCAGGGCAATTTAAGGAGACAATGGTCACTATTAAGACTCCAGTCTTCCAAGGTCAAGAAGAAGACATATCTCAAAACCTAGAGTGAAAATAGAAATAAAGAAAGTCTTAAAATACAGTAATAATTCCATTTAAAACTCTAAGGACAAAGAAATAGAAGAAAACTCCTTAAATAGCCAATCACTAACTGTTTCCAATTAAAATCAGGAGCCAGACAGGGATATTTGTTATCATCATTCTTATTCATAAAGGAAGTATAATAAGACAAGACAATGAAATAATCATTAACATTTGGAAAAGAAAGACAGCTAACAACGATCTCTTTTTGATGATTATGTATCTGTATACTTAGAAATCCAAGAGACTCCAGTGAAAAAATATTAAAATTATAAGAGAATTATGAAACTAGTTGGACAGATGATAAATATGCCAAAATTAATCATTCCTCTCAACAGTAGCAATAAATAATTAGAGGTGAAAAACGGAAAAACCACCTACTCATAATCATGGTAAAAACCATAAAATATTAGTAAACAAATTTGACAAGAAAGCCATAGGACCTATATAAAAAATGGCTGTAAAACCCTATTGAAGGTCATAAAATAAGATTGGAACATTGCTTATTCGTGGGTAGGAAGACATTCTCATAAATACACAAATTTAATGCAATCATTTTAGACTTAGATGAAATGATCTTAAAAAGTTCATTTGAAGTAATAAGTGCCCCCAGATAACCAAGGAAAATAAGAGAAAGAATACTGTAGGGGGATGTGCCTTCCCAGATACTAGAACATTCAACCCAGAAAGCTGCTGTGATAAAATCAATATGAGATCAACCTAGGAAAAGGCAAATCAGTGACTGCAGATTTGGCAATAAAATAGAAAACAGGATCCAGAAATAAATGCCAATGTATATGAAAATTAGATGTATAATAAGAGTTACCACTCCAATGGGAAAATGATAGCTCTCTGATAGATGATGCTGGGGCAACCTGCTATCCACCTAGAATGAAACAACATTGGAAACCTATTTCACACCACACAAAAAATCAAATTTGAATAACTATAAATGTTTAAATTATTTCTATTAAATAATGAGTAGACAGAAAAGAACACTTATCCACTCTATGGATGGCTTAAGCATTATCGTACAACAAACGGATGAATCCATTCATTTAAAGAAAAAGAACGGTGTCTTTCATTTTGAATTTTCCCATGTGTCCCTCTCCAGTTCTATTCCCTCATTGCCACACAGAGACCGTCATTAGCCTGAATTTTGTGTTTATCATTCTTTTGGTTTATCTCACCTTTGTATTTCTATGCAGTATGTTGTTTTCCATGTTTTTGAACTTTATATAAATGAATCACACTCTATGTACTCATCAGAGACTTTCTTCTTTTGCTCTCCCACGATATTTAGTTACACCCATGTCTGCATATAGTGGTGATTCATTCATTGTCCTTATAGTACCCCCACATAAACATGTTATTTATTTAGTTTATATTAGATTGTTTATTTGCCTTTTTCTGTGGTCCTCTTTCTCTCTTTTGGTTCCTTATTTTGAATCAAATACTTCACCCTGATTTTCTTCTTCTGCTCATATAAAAATTAAATATCTCTTTTATTCTTCTACTGTTTATCTCAAATTTTAAAATGTATAATTAAGCCAAAGTCTATAATCAACACTTTAACCCTCCCCATGAAGAACCTTAGAACACCTTAGAACCTTTCCTGACGTAACTATATGACAATACTGTATATTGTGAGTCTGTCTTTATTCCTCATAATTCCTTCTTATACCTCAAATTCTCTTTATGTTTGTCTAAAATGTCTATTTTATCCTAATTTTAAAGAGTTTTTTATGCTGTGTAATTACTCTTATGTTCGTGTATTTTTTTTCTTTCAACTTGATAAACCTTTTGTTCCCCTGCCCTCTGGCTTTGTTGAGATGTTACCTGATAGCCTTTTCATTCCCTTATAGGTAATCCATTTTTGATGTCTGGATAATTTTAACATCTTCTCTGGTTTTCTGCAATTTCTCTGTGATGCAAACACACATATTTCTTTGCATTTATTCTGCTTATAATTCATCAGGTTTCCTGAAAGTGAGGATTTCTATCTTTCATCAGTTCTTGAACATCCTTACCTATCTTCCATTAAATGGTATCTCTATTCCATTATTTTTCTCCCTCTTTTCCAGGTATTCTAATTAGAAATATGCTACAAATTTTCATTCTATTTAAGTATCTCTTATCTCTTTCGCATTTCCCATCTTTGGTTTTTCTATGTTGCATTCTGTATAATTTTTCAAATCCGTCTTCCAGCTCTTAAATTAACTCTTCAGCTATTTCTAACCTACTGTTACACTCTTCCACTGAGTTTTGAATTTTGAATTTTCAGAAGTTCTTTTTAGCCATTCATAAAGATGATTGGCCATTTGTATAATCTCTTGATTTTCAATCATATTTTTAATTTTTAAAAAATATTAAATATACATATTTTATATTCGGTATCATTTTGTTATTCACAGATTTTGTTGGTTCTTACATGGCATTCTCCTTTTGGTGTTTTGATTTCTTTTTAAAAGAGCTCACATTTTCTGGAATATAATCTGTGAAAATTTTTTGAGATATAGTTTGGATATAGGCTCTTCTTGATTGTGCCGGGCACCCAAGGACTCCACCATTCTGGGTTAAACTAAATTTTATGTTTGAGATTTTTCAGGTTACTCAGGTAGTTTGCATATGAGCTACAATTCCTTCTGGCGATCAGTCTATGGTTATACATTTTCAAGGAAATTTCTCTCTGTCTACTCAGTGCCAAGATTTGAGGCAGGAACATTTTCTTGCCAGTCCTTGGGACTGGGTGGATTTCTTTCTTTCTTGTTCACCCTTACACTGCAGATATAGCACTTGAGGGGCCCAGGTGTATATATATAGGGGACTGGGAGTGGGAACCTTCCACATATGCCTACCTCGGAAGGACCCTGGGATTTGTCCTTGGTATCCTGAGCCACGGAGGGTATGTAAACCAAAACCAACGTTCACCTAGTTTGGCAAAAGCCCTCAAGGTAAAGTCAGTCTCACAGCTATCTTACCTCTCTGGATTCCTGATTTCACTTGTATTTTTAGCCTCTAGGTAGTCCTTATTTTCTTACCAAGCACATCAGTGTTTAAAAGGATTTTAAAAAATATTTATCTGCTATGTTGCCAGAGGCAAAAGTCAGATTATGACTTTTAAAAACAGAATCCAACAATTAAAGAAACACTTCGAGGTAAATACCGGGGTATTATTTTCAACACGGCACCATTTAGCCCTTTGGAGAAGAGACAAGAACAATTCCTATTGCAGAAGAACCCTAGGAGCCTGGGTTATTGCCAGACAGCCTATTTTCATTTTCCTGAGCCCACCTGCATGTTAAAAGCAAGTTTAAACTCTCCTGCCACCAGGAATTTAAACAATAAAGAGAAGCCTATTAATGGGATACAATGGAGGAAAAAAATGGACACATTTGTTACCAATAACCTATGCACCTCTCTTCCACCTCCAAACCCAACTTAGAAGCCCTTAGCATCAGTACTTTCTTTCTTCGATATGTAGATGTGGCTGGCTACAAATACAAGGTCAGTGACTAGTTCCTTTTGAGCCACTTCTGATAGAAGAAATCAAAAGACTGAGTTGAGTTTGAAGTATCTTCTGAGCAGGCAATGCCTTGCTTTAGGCAGGCCCACCACAGTGTGGGTCTCGACCTATAATGTCATCTGATCTCTCATCTATGTTGGTCAGGACAAGCCTGTTTGACTGTCCGGCTCTCCTGAGATGGTAGCATCCGAAAGTGAAGGCTTTACCCTCCACTGTCGTTGATGTATTTCCACCTAAAGCTTGGACAAAAGTCATTCTAAGTACTGGCTCAGTCTTACTTATGGTGGCAAAATTAGACAATCTTAAAAATCAAAATATTCTTCTGAGCAGGTCACATTAACCAAAACTAAATTATTTTTGATTCTTGTTAATATACTTAGATTTCAACTCTAAACACATAAGAATGACTTTCACCTTTTTTTAATTCCAAGGAGAGGAGATTCTAACTATGTTTTATCTTCAAAAAGTCATAGTAAAGAGGAGGTGGCAGAGCATGGTGGTGGCCAAGTGGGGGTCAAAGCCACCACGAGGAAAGGGACATCACAAGTGGGAGGGTGGCTTTGTCGGTCTCCGGTAGCAGCTGAGGCAGGTGGTGGCAAGGTGGGATTAGGTGCAGGAAGGTGGCTGAGTGGTGCGGCAGCGTGGCAGGGGCAGGAGGTTATCTTATATGCAGGAGAATCTAACAGTATATAAATATATTGAGGACAGTGGGAACTAGGTTTTTCATGGAAGAAGAGAATTACAAATATGAAAAGAGGGAACACTAGAATGAACTCTGTGGTTGGACTGGCATTGGAGGTATTGAAGTGAACTCACAGTTTATAGCTCAAGATACATGTGTATGTGTCTATGTATACATAGGTCCTTACCCCGCTTTCAGAGAGAATCTGCAAGCAGCAAAACCCCAATAGCAAGGAGCACGTTTAACGCTCACATCTTTGCTTCTCAAAATAGCTCACCACTAAGAAGAACCAAGGCTCTTTGAAAAAATGGTTTGTTCCAGGGAAGGGGCAGGGAAAAAATAAGAATAGCCTAGAACATCTTGTACCAGAAAGTAAGGAATCACTTAAAGAATCATGAGATGCATCAAAAAGGACATAAAAGGCAGTCTGAAGAAGCTCCTACTGGCCAAGTCTGGGACATTTTAAGCATGAAAATCGTAAGGTCGTAATGGGTAATAGCTTTCTGTTAATTTGGTGGAACTGATTTTTAAAAAGTGAACAAATAAATGGGGACAAGAGAAACTCTTCTTTACAGTAAATTTTAACTTGTAAATATAGAAGAAATGATGGAACTGAACATTTTCATTTGGCAATCACAGTACTAGTTAATTCTGATTACAGAATTGAGACATGTTAATATTAGCGGGTGAAAGAGAAACAACAGGATATTTACATAGTCTCAAAGTATCTCATCCGAAAACATTTATTACTTTTATAGACTTTATTAATTTTAAAGAAAAACAGGACAAGTTTATAGTGGAGAAAGCTGGCAGATATCATTTTACTCAAGTGATCAAAATTAACATTACCAGTGGTGTCACCAGTTGACATAAATTCCTACTTGATGGGATGTGGGGAGAAGAGCTCGGCATAATTTCAGTAATATTCTTGCCAAAAGTTCATGAAGAAACATCAGACAAACTCTAATAGAAATAAGTGGCCTGTAATTTTAAAAACTGCTAAGGACATAAAGATCAAGGAATGACTCAAGCACTGTTCTGAATTGAAGTAGGCTGAGGACAGATGACAGCTAAGTGCAATGAGTGCTCTGGTTTGAATCTTCTTTCTATCGAGGACATATTAAGACAGCTGGCAACATTTGAATGAGGTCTTTGGGTAAAGGATGTGGGGAAGTTCTGTGTACTGTACTTGCAGTTTTCCAATAATATTGAACATACTTGAAAAAATAGGGCATCCAAAATTGCGTACACAGAATTCTACTTCTAACTAGGATACAGAAGTTTGAAAAAGATTGTTGTTCTCATAACAAAAAATGCCAAATAAACTAAAATTCATATCTTTTTAAAAGCCATGGGGCAGTAATGAAGGAATATATGTCTAAGTCAATCATATTCCAGAGAAGAACAAGCCTTTAGTAGAACTGATATATACAACATCTGAAATAAAGGATTAATGGGCTTCGATAAGATTAAGAGCTGACTGGACATAGCAGAAAAAGGGATCAATGAATTCAAAGACAGGTCAATAATAAAAAAGGCCTGTACTGAAGCACAGAGAGAAAAAAGAATGAAAAAAAAAATTAAACAGATCATTAGAGAACTGTGGGACAATAAGAATAGGACCAACATACATGTAATTGGAATTTCAGAAGGAGAGGAGATAATGAATAGGGCAGAAGGAATATTTGAAAATATATTGGCTAAAAATTTACAAAACTGAAGAAAGACAACTCAATATCTGAAGCAAGGAATCCTCAAGCAAAATAAATACAAAGGAAACCACAAAGGCAAATTATTATCTAACAACTGAAAACCAAAGATAATGAGAAAACATAAGAAGCAGCCAGAGGAAGAAAAGACACATTATTTTCAGGGGAACAATAAGAATGAGGTTTCAGCTGGGTGTGGTGGCTCACACCTGTAATCCCAGCACTTTGGGAGGCTGAGGCAGGTGGATCACTTGAGGTCAGGAGTTTGAGACCAGCTGGGCCAACAAGGTGAAACCCCCATCTCTATTAAAAATACAAAAATTAGCCAGGCGTGGTGGTGCACAACTGTAATCCCAGCTACTAGGGTGGCTGAGGCAGAAGAATCTCTTGAACCCGGGAGGCGGAGGTTGCAGTGAGCTGAGATTGCGCCACTGCACTCCAGCCTGGGTGACAGAGTAAGACTCCATCTTAAAAAAAAAAAAAAAAAAAAAAAAAAAAAAGAGGTTTCACTTATGATCAGAAACAACAGGAATCAGTAGACAGTGAACTAACTTTCCACCTCAAGAATAAAGAAAAAGGAAAGAGTGTACCAAAAGGAAGCACAAACAACAAAAGTAAGGAAAAGACATCACTAAACTAGAAAACGAGTAATAGAGAAAAATCAGCAAAGCTAAAATGTGGTTCTTTAAAAAAATTATGAATGTATAAATTCTTAGCAAGTCTGATCAAGAAGAAAAAAGATGGATATTATAAATTACCGATATCAGGAGTGAAAGAAAGAGTATTTCTATAGCTATTACAGACATCAGAAATTATTAGGTGATATTAGAAATTTTACACCAATAATTTGACAAATTAGATAAAATGAAAAATTCTGTAAAAAGCATAATTCAAGAAACAGGTCAATATGCTCACGGATTAGAAGTCTCAATATATCTAAGATGTGGATTCTTCCTAAATTTACCTACAGATTTGACACAATTTCATTCATAATACCACCAGACTTCTTGAAAAAAATCGACAAGCTATTCTAAAAATTATATGGAAATGGTTATAGAAATAAGGAAATAAACTTTATATAGAATATGCAAAACAATCTTGAAAAAGAACAAGCTTGGAGAACAAATGCTACCTTAACTCATGAATTACTATACAGCTACAAAAAATAAGACCATGTGGTACTTGAATAAGGAGAGTGACTGAGAGGATGGAAATAGCATTATACTATACAGTCATTTGACTTTTAAGGACACACCTTCATTGAAGTATAATTGACAATTAACTACACCTATATACAGCATACAATTTGAAAGGTTTCGACATATATGTACACCCATGAAACCATATCACAACCAAGACAACAAACACATCACCCAAGATTCCTCATGCCGCTTTGTAACCCTCCCTTTGCCCCTCCCTGTCCCTCCAACCCAAGTCTGATCTGGCTTTTGTCATCAGACATTAGTTTGGATTTCCTATAATTTTATATAAATGGGATCACGTAGTAGATGCTCTTGTTTTGTGTGGCTTGTTTTACTCAGCATAATTATTTTGAGATTCGTTCATGTTATAGAATACATCGATAGGTTTTAGCTTCATTAAAGTTTGCCATGTGTCAATAGTTCATTCCTTTTTTTATTTTTTATTTTTATTTTTTGAGATGGAGTCTCACTCTGTTACCAGGCTGGAGTGCAGTGGCATAATCTTGGCTCACTGCAACCTCCCAGTTTAAGTGATTCTCCTGCCTCAGCCTCCCGAGTAGCTGGCACTACAGGCACGTGCCACCATGCCCAGCTAATTTTTGTATTTTTAGTAGAGACAGGGTTTCACCACATTGGCCAGGATGGTCTCAATATCTTGACCTCATGATCTGCCTGCCTTGGCCTCCCAAAATGCTGGGACTACAGGCGTGAGCCACCACACCCAGCCAGTTCATTCCTTTTTATTGCTGAGTAGCATTCTACTATATGGATATACCACAGTTTGTCTATTCATTCAACTGTTAATGGACATTTGGGTTGATTCTAATATTTTACAATTTCGAATAAGGCTGCTATGAACATCTATGTACAAGTATTTTTATGGATATATGCTTTAATTTCTTTTGGGTAAGTAGGTAAGAGTAGAATGGCTGGATCATAAGGTAAAAGTAAAAGGTTTACTTTTTAAAGAAACTGTCAAACCATCTTCCAAAGTGGTTGTACCATTTTACATTCCCGTCAGCAGATTATGAATGTTCTGGTTCTCCCAGATCCTTGCCAACACTGGCTATGGTCAGTCTGCTAACTTTCAACCTGTTTAAATTTAGTGGCATATTACTAAATGCGTAGTGGTATATCACTGTGATTTCAATCTGTATTTCCTAATGACTGATGATCTTGAACATCTTTTTATGTGCTTATTTGCCACTCATAGGTATATATCCAAGAGAAATGAAAGACTATGCTCACAAAAGGACACATACAAAAATATTTATGGAAGTTTTATTCATAGTAGTTCCCAAATGGAAACGAACCTAATGTACATTAACAGGAATCACAAAACAAACTGTGATATAGTCATACAATAAAATACTACTTAGCAATAACAGGAACGAGCAATGGATTTTCCCAGCTACATGGATAAAACTCAGTGTTATATTGAGTTTGAGTCAAAGAAGCCACAAAGTTTCCTTACTGTATGGTTCCACTTACATAAAATTCAAAAATAGCTAAAACTAATCTACGATGCTAGAAATCAGAACAGTGCTTGCCTCTGTGAATGGGAGGGTTGACTAGAAAGATCATTTTCTAGGTTGATAGCAATGTTTTATATCTTGATTGAGTGATGGTATATACATGTGCTGAATATCATTGACAAAAATCTATGCATTTAATTGTATGTAAATTATACCTCAATTTTAAAATAATTCATATTCAGGTTTTACTTTTTGTTCAAACCACACTTGTGATTAAATAATCTCAAGTGGAAATTTAAGAAATCTTTTATTCCTCCCAAATCTTAACAAGCAATCCAGGGCTTCACACCTGTGCAGGCTGGCTGGCAGGGGCTCTGACCCACTCTAGGCTCTGAAGATGAAGGGGGCTCTCAGGCAGGGACTACTGTGCAAATTCCCTGACCTCAAATGATGGTGCCACCATAGCAGCAGGAGCAAGAGGACAACAGGGACCTGGTGTGGTCTGGAGCTGCTCAAACTGCAGAGATGCTTCTAACACAGGAGAGGGTCACACACCCATGCTGGTGGGCCCTCTGTTCATGGCTGCAGCCAGGGCTGGCCCACGGGTGCATGGCTGTAGAGTAATACAGGGTCCCACACTCAGAAGGGCCTTGAGCTTGGGGCTTACTGCTGGGGTTCTTGTCTTGAAATGCTTGCTGATCCTCTTTGAATTTGTGTTCTATACGAGAAGGGTGACGGGACAGTGGAGAATGTGCCAGGGCTTGCAGCCTCGGCTCATGTGTGGCCCTGACTCTCACCTCCTCCTCAGCATCCCAGGATGGCTCTCTGCTGCCTGCTTCTCACCCCTATCCCCTGGGTGGTCTCCCCCACTCACCCCTGCTGCTGCCTTCAACCTTGAACAGTGACCTGGTCACATTGAGGGAGGGAGCATTCTGCCATTGCCCTCCACCCCTGGCAGGGGCCTGGGTGTGGGTATGGGTGAGGCAATGGTTGGGCCCACACCACCAGGCATCTCAGGGCGGGGCAAGGGTATGGCTGTCACTGCCCAGGCTGATAGCACCATGGTGCATACAGTGGGCCTCTTGCTCACCTTCAAGTCAGGTTTTGAACACATCCTGGTACAGGGGTTGCAAGCTGTTGGATGTTGTCTGTCTGTAGAGGGTTGGGCAGTGGGCCCAAAGGAAACCCCTAGCTGAGGCTCTACATTTGCCTTCTGCAGTGGGTCCTACAAATTATGTGGCCAGTTCTGGCTACAGCCACTGTCGGGGGACTCCCCTGCCTGCTGTCTGTATACTTTCCCTTGCATGATCCCAGGCCCGACAGCTGAGCATATGGGATAAGAGTTTCCCCATTCGCTGAGCTCTTCGCTTGCCCTTGTGGTGTGCATTCCACGGGGTGGCCATTGCCCTAACGGTGGGTAACACTAGCAAGCTGGTCCAGGAGGGGGAGCCATTTCCAACGCCTTATGTGCTGTCTTCAGAAATGATCTCTAAGTGCTGCTCTCAGGAGGATAACAAGTGAGCCCATCCCGCCACCTTGAATGACAGCCCATAGGACACAAAGATTGGCAGCAAGCTGCTTTGGGTGGGCATCATGCTCACTCATTCATTCATTCATTCATTCAGATACCTATTGAGTGTGTGCCAGGCCATATTCTAAGTGCTAGAGATATAGCAGTGAACAAAACATACAAAAATCCCTGCCTTTATGGAGCTTATATTTGAGTGGAGGAGACAGGCGGGAAGTGATAAGTACCATGAAGAAAAAGAAAACTAAAAAAGGAGATGAGGAGTGAAGGGACAAGGGATATTTAGATAAGGTGGTCAGGGAGGGCTTCTTGGAGGAGGCAGCCTTTCAGCATGGAGTGAGGGAACAAGCTGAAGAGGATCAGAGTCCAGACCGAGTGCCAAGTCCCTCGGGTGGGAGTGAATTTGATGTTTTCAAGGAAGAGCAAGAAGGATGATTGGGATGAAGGAGAGAAGAAGGACGTGGGCAAAGATGGGGTTAGAGGCGAGTTGGGGACAGAGCAGCAGGGCTGGGTGGGGAGCTCTGGCTGTGTCCTAAGTGTAGTAACAAGCCACTGGTGGATTTTAAGCAGGAGAGTGGTACGATATGATCTATGTTCTTTCAAATGCATGCTGGCTGCTGGGTGGAGGATTGACAGAAATGTGGCAAAAGGAGAAGCAGGGAGGCAGCCTAGGTCTGAGCAAGAGAGCCGGGCCTGGACTGGGGGGCACTGAGGAAGAGCGGAGGGCTTGGTGAGACAGTGGAGGGTAGTGTGAGTGAAGGAGGCGGGGTAAGAAGGACTGTGTAGGTTTGCAGCTGAACAATGAGGAGGATGCTGTTTACCGTTTACTAAAAGGGGGAAAACGTGTCAAGACCAGGTTTGGAAGGAAAAAAAAAAATCAAAGAATTTGTTCTAACTACTTTAAGAATGGGATGGCTATTACGTGTCTAAGTGGGGAAAATCAAGGAGGGAGGTGTCCCTGGAGATGTAGAAATGGAAGATTTTAAAGTCATGGGACTAGAAGACATCACCTAGGGAATGAGAGTAAATAGAAAACAGTGTCATCCTACACAAATTACTCTTAGACAATTATCGAGCATGGTAATTTGTGAAATTTAACAATTCTATCTCTACATTAGGAAAGGTGTGTTTGACTTGAAAATATGTGTTTAATTGGGTCATTCAGACCACTTCAAAACTCTTGCCACGTTTATTTCATTTTTCCTTTATGGCTGCAAGTTGTAATGTCTTAGAAACAACACCCAAGCCCCTCTGGGCTGAAGTGATTGTTCTGATGAATGAGGCTTTCTGTCTTCTGAGAGAATGAGGCTAAATGAACAAGAAACAGGTCAGTGCTGTGCAGGCTCTGAACGGCCGAGCTCTAGTTTTGAAGTTTCATTTGTACAGTTGCTGCCTGGGGGAAATGGAAAGAAAAAGAAAAGATCCCCTGGTATTTCTGTCACAACAGGTTGGAGCTGGCCCGCTGGCTTTGTTCTTGGACTGCACGAATGAATGGGCGGCTTGTTTCCTGGCCCCTTTTGACTGCTCTGCACTGCTCACCTGGATGAGGCGCAGTCCTGAACTGGGGTCTTGGGACATTTCCAGCATTCGTTGACATCAGCAGAAACTTCAGTCCTAAATGCATCCAGGCGGTACCTCGTGCTGTCCTGTCTGCCAGCTAGGAGCTGGAGAAGGCCCATCCTCCCTCTGCCTTGCTCTCTTGGGTCCTTCCTGCCCTCCTTCCAAGAGCCTTTCACAGCACTCTCTGTGGAAGAGGCCCTCAGCCTCCCTCCTGGAACCTCAGCGGGCAGGGCTGCCCAATTCTGCTGCTATGTGAGGAGTTAGCCCCTGCTACAGGAGCGACAGAGTGCATGGGGTGACAGTAGTAAAGGCACAAAGGTGGCTGTGGTCATCGAGGGGTGGTGGGGATGATGGCGGTGAGGCGGTGGTGATGGCTAACGGTGGTGGAGGCAATGGTAGTGGTGACGGCAGGGATGGTGGTGGTTGATGGCAGTAAGGATGGCGATCGGGGTGGTGACGATAGACGTAGTTAGAAACAGCTCATTTTCTTCCCCTCTGAGAATGAGTACAGACAAATGACTCATGACTGAGGCCACGGGACTGCTCTCTGCACAGAGCAGGAAGAAGACATACATAACTGAGTATAACTTTGTCACAACGGAGTACTCGGTGGTGCACAAGACTGGGTGTGCACGTGCCAGGACAAGTCCCTCGGTGCACACAGCGCACGTGAGCTGGAGCCCAGCATGGAGCTGAGGAACAGCGCTGGGGTCCCGGCGGTTCACCAGCTTACCACCAGGTGTCGCTGTGTGCACGAGGGCAAAGGGCACCCGCAGACCAGCAGGGCCGAGCCGGGCTCTGCAGAATCGGACTGGGCTCCCTGTGGGGAGACCACATTCTGTCTGACGCCAGCAGAAGAAGTGCCTGTCCCCAAGATTTCAGGGGACACCTCAGACCCGAGTCATGCAGCAGCTCCGAGGCAGGTGGTGCCCCTGAACTTTCTAGCCGTTCAAAGTCAGTGCACATCCAAGCGTTTGCTGAGTGATTCTGCTGCGCGGGTAACCACCCAGACCCGTGAACAGTGCAGGAGGCCAGTTCGGAAGTTATCATGAGATGATCACCCAGTGTGATGGAAGCATCTCCTGGGACCGGCTGACAATTTGGGAAGTTTACAGAGCACTTGAGAGAGACACAACCCGAGGGGACTGTTTTGGAGATGGGAGATAAAAGGAGATGATATTTGTATTCAATACCTTAGAGACAGGAAATGACATGTTTTGTGAGCTTTGCATTTCCGAGCAGTCTCTCAGATGATGGTCTTTAGAATGTCCAGGGGCACCTGGGTTCTCTACGACTTCCCTGGTTGTGCTGTCCCACGGCGTCTCCAGGTTGGTGACACTCAAGCACTACAGGAATACGTGATGGTGTCCTCTGAGAGGCACTATGGCACATCTCAGGCCAAGGGAAGGCTGGTCTGGACAGGGAAGCTGGCAGTGACCATGTGGTCACTAGGCAGCATTCCCATAGCTGGGCTCACTTCTAAATACCACGTAAAGGAGAGAGTACTGGCTTTGGAGTCTAACGATCTTGAGATCTTGAGTCTAATTCTCCCATCTGGAAAATGGGAGAATAAGCCTTTCCCTGAAGCCCATAGAGAGAAGCACATGCCATAGTGAAATGTAAGGCACTTAGCATGGTTCCTGGTGCACAGTGGGTGCAGAAAATGCTAGGCCTTTCCTCCCTTCCCATCAAATAGATAACCTAATCAAAAGAAAATCTGTAAAAACAAAACAAAAGATATAGCAACATTTCTTATGCGCATCAGACTGGGTCTAACTATTAGACTGTGGATTAATCTATTTCAAGTGAGTATTGATAGAAAAGATCTACGGGCTCACATGTATTGCACATTTATTATGTTCCAGACACCATAAGGACTTGATGTAGATTTTGTTACAGATTTTTGACAACACTTTATTATAAAGTTTTTAGTTTGTAAATCTTTTTAACATTAAGATTTCTTCAAAGTGACCTAAAAAAAAAGGTACCTTAGCTAAGTCCGAGGTTTGTCTTAAGAGCTGCTCTCAAGCTGTTTGAATGGCCTGTCCCAGCCTGGTCTTGTCTCCCAGCAGGAGACCCAGAGCAAGTCAGCTAGAGGCTGGCAGAGATAATGCCATCCCCAGGTGGCAAAGCTGTTAACCGCGCATCGCCAAACCCTCCAGGCCTGAGGTTTAACAATGCCCCACAGCAGGAGTTGTGCTGAGATATTAAGAAAGAGACAAAAGGGAAAGCTATGTCGAATGTGAGTTCAAATTGTTCAGCAGAAAACCTGGAAAAGTAATTAGCAGACTCTTGTGAGGAAAGAATTAATGCCCAACTGACCTCCCAAGACTCTGTAATATCTGAATTTCCACTGTTGGATATTCATTTCTTTGAATAGCCCTTCTGGGTTCCTCTCTGAAACTCTACATTTGAACTTTAAAGTTAAAGCATTAATTAATTAATTCACTCATTGAATAATTCTGTGTTCCTACTGTGGGTGAGATGCTAGGTCCTGGGACACAGCAGAGAATAAGGGAGATATGGATCCTGCCCTCAAAGCTTATGATCCAGTTTCTGGCTGTCAAGTGTAGCCGTGTGGTTTGTCCACTGCACGATAAGCCAAGTGGCGGAAGAAATCCAGAAGCTGGCTGGGTCCAAAGGGAGAACAGGGACATAGGATAAAGAGCCTGCATTTGAAGTTAGGGTGAGGAGAAGGGAAGCAGGAATGACGTGGGGGGCTCTAGTCTTCCTGTCTAAGTGCTGGGGACCCCCCCTGAGCAAGACCCTTCTCTCTTGGCCTTGGTCTTCTCTTCTTCCACATATGGGGAGCTGGAAGTGGACCAGTCTTGACTTCCTCTGTAGCTTTCACCTTCCTCATTGCCCCAACATCCCTGAGAGTGTGCCTTTGATCTCAAAAGAAGTCATCTTTCCCAGTTAGGAATTTTTAAAGCACAGAGTGTGCTAGCAGAAGACAGAGTGTTGTCCTTCAAGCCTGACCAAAGGAAAGTCTTTGCCATGAAGGGAGGACACAGGGAGCAAAGGATAGCCGGGAGTCTGGGGAGGTGAGAGGGGGAGACCTGCCTCCGTGGCTCTCCTGGGCTGTGCTGACCCGCAGGACCAGTGGCTTGGGTCTCCTGCATAATGAGCCCATGTCACTTCATGGGGGTTCTGGGCAGATGAATAGCGCTGCCCTGCCCCCTCCGCACTCCCTAATTGGAGAATGTCATGAAGTTGGTCTCCAGACAGAGATCATTAGGAAGAGACTAACAATTCTGATCCCTCATAACGGAGCTCTCATGGCCAATTAGCAGCAGAGGAAACTGAACTGTACCGTGGGTTGGGGAATGATCAATGCCGGCATTGTGCATTCTGGCAGGGTGGATCACTGGGTGGCTGGGGAGTGGAGGCAAAAGTAGTAGAAGCGGTGGCAATGGGGGCTATGGAGGAGCAATCTCTGGCTGGAGGCACAAGCCTCAGTCCTGTTATTTCCCAGGGAGACAGTCAGCCAGTTCTGCTTTAATAATGCACTGATAGAAGCTCCAGTTCCCTTCTTTAGTTTAGCAAACACCACTGCTACTGCAATCCAGAACCCAAACCAGGCTAAAATGTTTCCTTTTTCCGAAAGTCAGCACAAGTTCTGGGAGGAGTAAGCTGAGATTTCAGGTTCTAAAACAACCTAAATCTCAGCATGTCTTATGTTCTCAGTGTTCCGTCTCTCAAATGCCCAACGGCCCAGAGGAATTTTGGTTTATCAAACCTTGAAATACCCCAACATTCCTCACAGTACTCTTCCATCCTATGAACTAGCTCACACTGCCCCCCAAGACTACCCCAGCAATGTCACCACTGGAGAACACACAGGCTCTGGAGTCAGGCAGCCCTGGGTTACAATCTCACTTCAGCTGTGTGACCTTGGACCAGCCACATAACCTCTCTGGGCCTCAGTTTCCACACCTATAGAGCATGGATAACAACTACTATCTTCCCCAAGGACGAGAGACGGCTCATGTGCAATGCCCAGCACAGTGTGGGCCACCAGAAGGTGCTCAGTAACTGGAAGGGTGCCTTGTTTTATCAGCTCCCACAGCTGAGCCCTGTTCTCAAGGAATGAACCCAGGGGCCTGAGAGGATGTAGCCCCTTTTGGCAGTAGAGATATAAGAGTCCACTTCCGAGGCTTGCCTTTCTCAATTTGCAGGGCTACTGCCTTCTCCAGACCTCCCAAGCCCAGGAAACTGTTGGTAAGTGAAAGGGTGAGTGAGTGTGTGTTGCGGGGGTGGGAGTTCTACACAACACAGGCGGCTCTCCTCATGAGTGCTTCCAGCAATTAGTGCACGCAATGGCGGGGGGAAGGGCGGGAATGGCGGGGGCGATAGGGGTAAAAATGCAGATTCCTGGACTCCACACCCAGTGACTCTGTTCAGTAGTTCTGAGGCAGGGTCTAGGAATGTGCCTTTTTAACTAGGACCGTGGCTGAGTTAGGTTACAAAGCTGTGGTCTTAGATCACATGTTGAGAAGCCCTACAGGGTTGCAACTTCTGCCATCAGGACAGACAAGGCTTTGGTTCCTTCTCAGAGGTTTCATCTGGCCATGTGGCTCCAGAGAAGTGTGAGGGTTTGGGTTTCTCTGGGGAGGTGCACACAGGACCTTTGCTGTCTATAGTTGCGCCTTCTGGAAACATTGGGCAGGCACAAGGGGTGAGAGGTGGAGCTGGGGAGGCAGCTATTTCAAGAACTCTTCTGGAGTCCCTAATGGGAGAAAAATCACACTCTATACCCAGATATCAACTTGTGTGAGTTGGGAGGTCACAAGTAATGTGTGAATAACAATACCTCAGGTGTGCTGAGTTGGAAATGAGTTGTTTTATGATAATGAATTTCAAGTGGATTTAAATTTATCCCTGTAATAATATCATTGCCATACACTTACACGATGAAAAACTGTGTGTGTATAAAAGGGATTGCAGCCAATGTGTGGAACTGGCAGGACTCTTGATCTATTTTACCTGGGTATGCCAGACAGATGATGTAATCTGTCATACGCATCATGGCAGAAGTAGGGCCTGCTGCACCATCTGGGCTGTGATCTCTGACTCTCTGGCTTGCCCTAGCTGCCCTAAGCTGGTGCCTTACTAAGCTCACCTTGCTGCCACCTCCAACTGGACCATGGGTAGGGGCTGCCCAGGGCCTTGCTTGACATGCTTGTGGAGGGTACCCTGTCCAGAGCCAACAGGACACGAACAACAGAAGGGTCAGGTCCATTCTGGGTTCCAGCTATCCACTGTGAGGCATCTGCTAAGGACATCCTGGGCATGAGACCTGTGTGAACTGGCACCTGTGCTGTTCTCAGCATGGCAGCAGCTGCAGAGACCGAGGCCCTGAGCACCAAGTGGTCACACAGCACAAGTGACTGCCCAGGTGCAGAGGTGCTGCATATAGGGGCTCCTGTCCTCACTCTCTGCAGAAGCAACCTCGACTCCAGATATTGAGGGCTCTCTCATCCTGGATGCTCCTTGCTCTATGGCCACTAAACTTAACATGACTCTTCCAAAGGGTTTTTCTGTTAATTGTCAATGCCAGCCCAGGGCTGGCATGTAGTGGGCATGCAATGCTTCATTGTTAAGAGTAAACTACGACACACAGAGGCACCATTTCCGTTATGGTGTGAAATGCAAATGTCATCATCCTAAGCAGCTTCCCCAAGTCTCAGCTGTAGTTTCCAGAAATAAGTGACTGCCTTCTTATTCACATGCAGGAACTTCAGTTATTTCTTCCTGGCCCTAGTAGTGGGATCCTAAGGATAGCATAAATCAGGGGAAGAAACCCAACACTAAAGTTTCCATAGAGCATTACCCTGTGAAAGCCTCTTCTCCGGAGGGCCCTAACCTGGGTCCCAGATGTGGTTAAACTGATTTGCCCCTCGTTGGCTCACATCAGCAGAAATCTGCTCGTAGGACGCCCACAGCCCATGGAATCATGAATGCCGAGGAGCTGCCCCCTTCATCTTTAATTCAAATGAGCCTGAGGATGACGATGGCAATGGCACTGATGTGGGCTGAGCTCTTACCACATGCCAAGTTCTGCTTAAAGTGCCCTCTGGAAATGATCATCTCCACAACAATCTCACAAGGGAGGTAGAAATAATACAACCTATTTCTATTTTCTTGGTGGGAACACAGGCTGAATGAGGATTCTACCCCAGGACTGCCTGGTACCAGGTCTATGCTCGTGACTCCCCCACCCCAGGGATGAAGGGAAGAAACCACATAAGCTGGAACAACAGCCAAGCCAAGAGAAGATATCAGGAATGGGGGCTGACTTTAAGCTCACTCTCCCTCCAGAACCTGCCTTCCTCAAAAGTAGGCCTGTCCTCTTGATTGTGAATCTCCAGGCTCCTAAAGACTTATCAGGTCATTTGGATTCCCTGTACTATGGGTTTCTGGACTCTTGGATGCACCGTACTATGGGTTGCTGGACTCCCTGGGTTGTCTACAAGAAGAACAGAGCACGGTAAGTTTAGGAATCCATTCCCCGTGAGGCATCCACCTTCAGCATGAGGCCACCATCCCTCAGTGACCTCCCAGAATCCATCAGCTCACTCCACCTCAAGATGTAACTCAATTAGAGGATAAAGTCCCTTCTCTCCTATTTCAGGTTAATTGGGTCTGTGCCAGAGTTCACATATTCTTGTTTTCGCATCTCTATTGATTAATGGGCAAATCATTGGTAATAGACACACACTGCATACTATGAGTATTTGAGACGTGAGCTGTAAATAAATGCTCATAATTAGTACTTGAGAAAGATTGGACAGCCATAAGATATACAAAGCACTTGGAAAATGTGAGGTGCAATTTTTCCTTGTCCAAGCAATTTTCAAACTCTAGATAGAAAGCTGCTTGGGTGTGGAATGTAAGTTGAAAGTGAGACTTTCACACTAGGGGCAAACTTTGCAACAGAGGAAACAATTGTAGAAAAACCAATTTAGTTAATTGTCTTTGTTTCACCTGCTGTTCATGTGTACCTGGAGCTTGCTGCTCCCCTGAAGCCTAGTCTTGCTCCAGTTTGAGTGGCCCTGTGGGGTAGGTCTTGCTGCTTCTGCATGGATTTCCACATGTCTCAGAGGTTAGGGTTAATGAAAAAGTGGTATTTGCAAAGGGTTTGAGGAGTGGCTCTAGGACAGTGATGTTTGTTGCCATGGAAATGAATACAGTCTCCAATTCATCACTATCATCTCAGCAGGACTTGGGAGAGGAATAGCCAAGCCAGAGACCTTACAAGTTTGGTCACAGATGCACCCATGAACTAGCAAGAGAAGTGGAGGAAAAACTGTTCAGGCATGCCTCGGCACCACCCGTGTCTTTTTAGCCAAATTAATACCAAAATCTTACTCCACAGAACAAAAGGGTAAAATATGACTTTCCAAAATAACAGATTGGCTTGCTCTTCCCTCCCTCTTTCCCTTCCTCAAATTCCTGATGTACCTTAGACACAAAACACTGGTGATATTCACTGACTGTTTTTTGAAGAATGCACCCATAACTGGATATTGAGATGCTTAGCTGGCTGTGCTTAACTCTAACTTGGCAAAACTATACAGGGGGGTCAGCAGAGTCTTCAGTAAAGGCCCCGCAGAGGAGGCTTAGAGGAAAAGGACACCTTATACAAACAAGAATTTCCCCTTCATTCCTGCAAAGTGGTGGTGAACAATAAAGTGTTCTATTAAACTTCCTGGTGGACAATAATTAAATGCAACCAGAATGGACTTTTGATGGAAAAAACAGCACATACATGTTGATAGGAAGAAAATAGGAGAGACCTAGAGGGGTGCATCATGAGGGAGAAATTTCTAAGTCAAAGTTTGCAAATATAGGGCCCCCAGGCCCCCATTCCCCCAGCAGACAGTGGTAAACATCTGGCACTTTCCCACTGAACCCAGGTGTGGCCTTCTTATTTACCTCTCACATCACTCCAGGCAGCCACTACCAAGAGAACTGTGTTACCACCTGTGGTAGATTAAAGATGGCAACACATTCTCTGATGCTCCTTCCTCTGAGACGTAGAGTACAATTTTTCTCCTCTCAAATTAGGTGTGGCCTTAGTAACTTGCTTGAACAATAGAATGGAACAGCCAAGACTTGACTTCTGAAGCTAAGAAGGCTTGCAGCTTCCACATGAATGTCTTGGAACACTCACTCTTAGACCCCTGAGCCACCATGTAGGAGATCTGACTACCCTGCAGGAGAGACCGGGAGGAGATACTCTGAGACTACAAGGGGTGGAGGAGTATAGCTAAGCCCAGCCTTCCAGCTGACCCTGTCAAGATGCTAGATGTGTGGGTAACACTGGATAAGGCCCTCAATTATAGCCCAGCCAGCAGCTGAATGCTACTGACACTACTGAGTAACCCCAGTCAATGCCACCTGAAGCAGAAAAATCACCCAGCTGAGCCCTGTCTTAATTCCTTATTCACACAATCATGAACTAAAATACAATGGTAGTTGTTTTAAGCTGCTAGGGTTTGGGGGTAATTTGTTACACATCAGTAAATAACCTGAATACCACACAAAACAAAACGCATTGGCCACCTGGGTCTAGGTAAAAATTGTATTCAGGGTCCAGAATGAATCCTTGGGGTTTTTTTCATTAATAATTACAATAGTGATACTAGCATTTATTAAGTGCAAGATACATTGGAACCATTTTATATAGAAGAACTCATTTATATGCAAAATCCAAGTACCCAAGGGTAGACACAAATCCCCATGAACTGAGCCAAACACTGATGGACCTACCTCAGTTGAGAGTTAAATAACAATTCAGTAAGACAGAGGGTGTAAGTATAAGTTGTCAATCACATCTGTTCTGTCATTGCACTTCACTATACCTCCATTCAAGCAGGGCAAGACTGGTTTCATTATCTTTAAAAAAAATAGATTAGAAAACAGAGGCTCAGAGAGGTTGTGATTTGTTGAAGTTCACACAGGTTAGTGAAGGAGGTAAATTTGGAATCCAGATGTGACAAGTCCAGGACCAATGGTCTTTTTGTATGTCACAATGCCTCTCTAAACATTAGCTAATGGAGAGAAATTCTCTTCATAATGACATTTCTGCCTCTCCCACAATATCTACCCAATGCCATGAACATCAGACAATAACCTGCAAAGGAAATAAACTTTCAAATAGACATGCACTGCACGAGAGATTTGTAGTACCTAATTTCTCAGGCTCCCTTCTGCCAAACCTACCTTGTGGGGGTGGTGTGAGAATTAAGAGTTCGAGCTGCTATGAGACTTGAGCCAGGTGAGGCACACAGTGAGTGCTCAGTAAATGGGGAAAATATTACTTCTCCTTTAACTTATTCAACAATTATTTATTGGGCATCTGCTATCTGCATGTGCTGTTCTAGGCACCAGGGATTTGGTGGTAAACCAAATAGGCAGAAATCTGCTCCTTACAAATCTTATATTCCAGTGTCAAGTGGAAACCTATGGAAGATAGGATGCTGGGTGGGTGGGTGGCTGGCGAGGCCCACTCACTTGGTAACTGACTGATTTTCACACAGCAGCATTGGATTACACTTGATTCAAATTTATCCACAGCAACATAACAAATCTCCATCTTTAGAGATCCTTGCAGTACACCCCAAGCCACAAGCACTAAATCTGGCAATTTTTCATATGCTTCTGTGCCTTGCTATGTGTGGCATGGCCCAGATCTTTTAAGCAGTACTAAGAAATGGCTTACAAAGAGAGTGCAGAAGGCTTCTTGGGTTCTTTCTCATTAAAAGGCATCTGGCTCCTCTATTCTCTCTGCCCCTGACTCCTCAGGCTGTCAAAGAAGGAAAGAGAAATTTCAGGAGTTGCAAGGCAAAGAAAATCTAAGCTGTTCTCTTTTTCAGTGAACTAAAAGCCAGAGCTGAAATCCTGCATGTTTAAAACTAGAGCTCATTGGAATTCACCAAAACCTGGACAAGTTCCCCAGAGACCTGCAAAAGCTTAATAGTCCTATTTGTTTTTGAAGTAAGGGATACTGTGCAAATCCATTCCACCTGCCTGTCCATATTAGTGTCATTTTCTGGTCTGGTGGGTTAGACGGGGGAAGGATTACCCACTAACTGGCAACGGGGTACCCACGCAAGGGTAGGGCACCCCTTCAAGCCTGGAGATTTTCCAAAGTATTTGATTTTTTTGAGCACTGTTAGTAAGTCAAGCTGTTTGGCATGATTTACCTTTTTCAGTTTCAATGAAATGTTTTTGGTTTGATTTCTATTTCATTCATGTGGCAAGCATTTATTGCCTACTAAGTGCCAGGCAGTGTTCTAAGTGAATATAGCAGCCTGCAATGGAATTTATATTCTCATGGGCAAAGCTTAGACAATACAGAAAGGAGTCAGTTAAGAAAAAAAATCAGATGGTCGTGAGTGCAGACAATTAAAATACATTGATTCGATAGGTAAAGTCAGGGTGGCAACTCTGGGTGATCAGGAGGCCTCTTGGAGGAGGTGGATTTAAGCTGAGACCTCAGGAGAAGTCAGCTCTGTAAAGAGCTGGGGGAAGCACGGCAGGCAGAGGGAAGAGCTGGTGTCAAGGCCAGTGCAGGTGTCTGGGCCAAGAGGGGAGGCTAGAAAGGCTGAAGCAAGGCGGGAAGGGAGCGTGGCAGGAGATGAGGTCAGATAGGGAGGCAGCAGTGGGATTCCAGGGGCCTCCGAGCCATGGCAAAGGGAAAAGCTTAGGATTTTTTTTCAAGGTGTGATGGGAAAGCCCTGGAGGGTTTTAAGCAGAAGGTAATACAATCTGATTTACATTGAAAACAGATTACTATGGCTATTGCATGGAGATTGGTCTGCAACGGGGCAAAAGGGGAGGGAGGGAGACCAATGGGAGGCTTCTAAGTTTCTAAAGATGAAAGATGATGGTGGCTTTGACTAGGGCATAGTAGTGGTGATGAGAGAAGCAGACGAGACTCAAGGTGCGCTTTGGAAGTAGAGTTGATAAGACTTGGTTTGATGGATTAGATGAGGAGCTGTGGGGGAATGTTATAAAATAAATGGAATGTTTTTCAGAGAGAATAACTCCACATTTTACTATATTTCACCTTAGTCTTTTCCAGTTACATAAATATACATATGTACTTTATAAAATTGGAATCTGGAAGTAGTTTTATATCATGCTTTTAAACTTAACATTCTTTTTGTGACTATTTCCACAAGTCATAATTTTTAATGACTGAATAATATCTCATCATATGGGGCACACCATATTTCCTTTAACCAGTCACTGCTTGACATTTGGGCTGCTTCCAAAACTTCTGCTTTGACAAACAAAGCTACAGTAAACATCCCTGAACATAAATCTTTAGGCAATCTCTGATTTTTTTCCTTGTGATAAATTGCCTGAAGTGGAATTACTGAATCAAAAGCATGTTTAAAAAGAGACTTAATAAATAAGTACTGCCAAATTACTGGCCACAGAGTTGGTGCCATTTTATATTTTCATTGGCTACATTTGAGAGTCCCCTTTCACTCTATCCTTGCTAAAACTGAATTTTATCATTAAAAATTGCTGATTTCATGGCCAAAAATATATTGTTAACTGTTTTAATTTGCCTTATTTTGATTATTAGGAAGGTTCAGAATCTAATATTTAATAATGATGTGTATTTGGTGGATGGATGTGAATGTCTGTGTGTGTGTGTGCCCTCTGTTCATGTTCTTCACAAACTTTTCTATGTGGATGGTCATCTTTTTTATTGATTACTAGGAGCTCTTTCTATAGTAAAGTCATTCATAACTCCAACTATTTTTCCCCAGTTTTTCATTTGCCTTATGATATACAGAAGCTTAAAGATTTTATGTCATCAAATATATCAACCATGTCTCTAATTGTATCTTCCTTTTTTATGTGGTTTAGGAAAGCCCCACTCACCTTAGTAAAAGTACAAAAATATCTGCTCATATTTATTTGAGGTCTTTTATGATTTTATGTGTTTTATTTAACTTTTTAAGCCACCATTTCCCAAGTGATTTCTGCAGAACATGAAACACCAGTCTCACAAAATACTCAAGTAATTCTGGGAATAGCATGTGCTATAGTTCCCTCTTGGGATTGTAGCATGCACAGTAGCACCAAAGATGGTTAAAAGTCCTGCAATAAAAATATCTGCTTAACTTTGCTTACCATGGTGTTTTGCAGATGTATTTGACTCCAGAATCCTTTTCTTGTTATGTTTATTAATGTCGTGTAAGAGCGTTTTGGGACAAGTGCTTTAGAAGAGCCACCATATCCAACTGCAATATGAAGTCATCCACCTTATTAAAACAAATACTTAATCATTTGGCCCAGTACCATTTGAAAATAACTGATGATCCTTTTTCTCACAGTTTTGAAATGCTGTGTTAGGTTAGCACTATGTTCTAAGGTTTGCTCCTGGCCTTTCTGTTCAGTTCTACTGGTATGTTAAACTCTCACACTACGATTGTGCTCCTATTTTTCCTTTTATTCCTAACAGTAATCACTGATATTGTGTTATTTGGTACATAAAGCTCCATGACCACAGCATCTTCTTCATGGATTTTATCACCATAAAATGGCATCCCTTTTTCTCATTTAGTGTTGTTGCCTTGAATTCTACTTCCCCTCTAAATTGCTACCCTTGCTTTCTGTTTTTGTTTTTGACAAACAGAACTTCGCCCACTCTTTTTCCTTTAATCTCCTTATGCCATTTGGCTTTAAGTGTGTGTCTTTTCATTCTCTCATGCATCAGAAATGTATTAATACTTCCCACATGCCAAGTGTTAGGCACTAGAGAATACAGTGGTAATCACAAAAAAATACAATGCTTACCCTCTTCTGAGGGTATTCTAAGTATAGTATTTATTCTAAGTATAGTATAAAAGACAGACATCAGCCAATAGTTTCATAAGTATATGTAAAATTACAATGGTGGCCTATGTTTTATGGTATATGGCATTATGAGCTAAGTGCTACAAAAGTTTACAATGGAAGGACAATTTAGTTTGGTGGAATTGGCTCAGGAAAGGCTTTCCTAAGGAGGGGACACTTGGGCTCAGCTCCAAAAGATGTGTTTGTTAACTAAACTGGGTAAGGGGGAGGCAGTGGGAGTGCTCCAGATGGAGGATGACCTGTGGCAGGAAGGAGTGTGTTGTCAGTTAGTGGGGTTAGGCATGGAGAACAAAGAGAACATGGTGTGAGTTGAGGCTAGAAAGGTTAATAGGGTCAGACCATGCAGGATCTTTTGGATCCTGCTGAGAATTTGAGCCTTTATTCTAGAAGCATTGAGAAGTTATTAAACAGTTTTAAGCAGAAGTTTTACAAGCAATGATATGCTGGAGACTACTATTTATAAGGGCAGATGATTCGTATCTCTTCCCGACTCTGTGTTCCATGACATCACTGGACTGGTCAACTGAAGTCATCCACGGTAGTAGTATTTACACTACGGAAATTGGCAAATGCTATAAATTAGGACTTTTCCCACCGAGAACCGGTTGTTAAACATTTATCAGCACACCACTGATTGACATAATCACCAATTGTGTTTTGAAAAGAAATCACTCTGGTATTTGGGTGGAAAACAGATTCCAGGGGAGCAAGAAAGAATGCAGGGAGACTGGTTAGGATGTGATTATGAGAGTCTTGTTGAGAAAAAACTGTATTTTGAATTAGAGTGGTGGTATTGGAGATAGAGAGAAGTGAATGGATTTGAGATGTGTGTAATATTTAGAGCCAAAAATATTAATGATGGATTGGATTGAGTTGCTACAGGAGAAAGAGGTGACAAAGATGGCTCAAAGATCTATGGCTTAGGAAGATGGATGAAGGGTGGTACCAATTACTGAGATAGAAGCACTGGTTGGAGAATGGTGCTTTTTTGGGTTGTTGTTTATTTGTTTTTCTGGCAGGAAGGTTAGTGATGGGGAAAGACCATGAGTTTAGATTTGGACATTCTGAGTTTTAGTTGCCGGTGAGGCACTCAAGTGCCTTTGTCAAGTAGGCAGTTGGACATATTGGCCTGGAAATCAGAGCAGAGGTCTAAGTAGGAGCCGTCAGTGACAGTCACCGCACTTGGGCACTATTTCAACCTTTGGGCATGGTTGAGGTAGCTTGAGAAGGTAATATGGAATCAGAACACAGGATTGCTCATTTAATCTCTAAGATTTGAGCTTGAAGAAAGAATATTTAGTAGCCAACATTTAATGCAAACTGTATATAGTATATAGTAAATAGGTGTTTTTTTTTTTTTTTTTTTTTTGAGATAGAGTCTCACCCTGTTGCCCAGGCTGGAGTGCAATGGTGCAATCTTGGCTCACTGCAACCTCCGCCTACTGGGCTCAAGTGATTCTCCTGCCTCAACCTCCCGAGCAGCTGGGATTACAGTTGCTCGCCACCACACCCGGTTAATTTTTTGTATTTTTAGTAGAGACGGGGTTTCGCCATATTGGCCAGGCTGGTCTTGAACTCCTGACCTCAGGTGATCCACTCACCTCAGCCTCCCAAAGTGCTGGGATTACAGGCATGAGCCACTGCACTTGGCCAGTAAATGGTTTTTTTTTTTAGTCAGTTTGGAGTCTTTGCATTGTCATTGAGAAGTTGTTCTCTTCACTTTCTTTTAAACATTTTTTCATTATTTATGTTATTGAGCTTTCTCCTTTTGTCCTTTTCCTTTTATTATTATTATTGTCTTCAGCTTTGTGGGCCAACTTTTCTTTCTTTGGTTGGAATTTATAGCTACTGAATTGTAACGTATTACTCTAATTATATATACTTAATTCTATAATTGACTTGTTTGGAATCTCATGGCTCATTCTTTTATGATACAATATTTTGATTCATTTATCAGTTAGGTGGAGCATGACTTGAAGTACTTCTTTTAAAAAATAAGAAAAAGCAGGAAGATGGTGTATATCTGAACTCTTGCATATCTGAGAATGCCTTTCTTTTGCCTTCGACATGAACAACATCTAGGCAGAGGACAAATTCTTGGATCATAATCTTTTGTCCTTGAAACATTCCAAATACTGCTCCATTATCTTCTGGCATTCAGTGCTTACAGGCAAGAAGTCATGAATTGATTTAATTTGTTCTTCCAGAATGCTAGTAGAGTTTTTTGGTGTGGGTATTTCAAAACCCTTTCCAGGATATATCCATGCAGCAGATGGTATTGGTTGGAAGGAGAATATATGATATTGGTGGTAGGAATTATATTAGGGGTTGTTAATAGAAAAGAATATATGAAGTCCCTGAATTTAGGGACACATGTACATGTCGTTAAGATGTAGAGAAATAGATACAGGGTGTGGAGGAAGGAGGTGGATCTGGTGGAAACTGCAGAACCTTTACATTCACATGATCACAAGTGTGGGACGAGTGAGGAACACAGTGGGAGTTTGACTAAGTAAAGATTTCAGTGAAGGCTGAAGTGCAAATTCATCATCCGGATTGCCCTGACAATGGGGCTCACACCTCATGGAAATGACATTATAATGAGGAAAACCCACATGCAAGATATAAATTTGATTTTGAGGATGAGCAGAACTGATCTAGTTAGCTCTGCCTTTGGGGAAGGTCTGAGGAGGAGTTAGGGAGGTATCTGGCTGCAGGCTAAGAATGGGGTTATGTGAGAAACAACTTGCATTATATAAAAAAGGGCTGGGATGAGCGCGGATGCTCAAGATCTTCTGGAACCTCACGCGCCTTTGATTCCTCCTGCCCACTTTGGTGGAAGTCAGTGTAGGTAATAAAGCATGTACCTGTGAAGTCACATTGTCTTGCTCTTATTCTACTTATTGTAACACTGTCTAGAAGGAAACTTGGACAGAGAAATGGCCAAGTGTGTTCCCTAATAGCTTGGGATGAAGTGATGGGCTGTAGGGATTTTCTCCCAGCCCTTGCTAACATCTAAGCAGTTTGGGCCACCTGAGGATGGGGTGGGGTGGACAGGGTGGACAACGGGAATAGAACAAGAGTGTCTAGGCCTATCTTCCTTTTTATGTTTCTAGAACTCTATGAGACCTTTGAATCTATTATTTATTGACTTTAAATAAAACATTCTTTTTAGAAGCCTTTTGACATGACCGGGCCCAAACTTGCCAATATTTGGTTACTCCTGGAGCCATGAATTTCTACCTTCAATCAGGACAAAAGCTATTTGAGGCCTCTGGGTGGGACTGCGATTGATACCACACATTAAATTTTTCATTCTGTTGTTGTCAGGTGGGAGGCTGGCTGTCCTTTCTACCGCTAAAAAGAAACAGCTCTGGAGGACCAGGTTGCTAGCTAACTTAAGAAAACGCCTTGCCTTCATCCCTCCTGCTTCAGAGGTCTTCAAGTGCCAGCTCGTGGGGGTAACTGGGAGAGTCCCTTCCCTCTTGGGGCTGATCTCTCCCTTCGTCTAAAACAGGGCTTAGAATAAGAGGTGCTGCAAGCTCTGGTACCAATATCTATGAGGGCAAAGAGAGGGTCATTCTCCAAAGATGGCTGTGCCTGACAGCGTGCAGGCTCCAGATGCACATGGGAGAGCAGGCCACACCACTGGGAAGGCTTTGCCGAAGGGGGCAGGTACGGGGTTTTCATGTACTTAGCCCACCCCCACCCTCTTCCCCACACCTGGCACCATCAGTGCTAGAAATGCCTTCATTAGGAATTCACTTCCTCAGTAGTAGGCATTGTTTTATTCAGGGCGTGGACACCCTGGGAGGGGTCAGACGTTGATCTGTGTTAGCTGTAAGCATAGAGGATCTGTTCAGTCATGCTGCAGACCCACAGTTCTTAGTGAGCAGAGCCCTGGGGGTGGGGGACATGCTGGGGTCGGGAGGAAGGAAAGGAAGAGTCACCCTGGAGCACAAGCCCTGGCTGTGGAAGAATGGCAGGTCCAGCTGGGCGAGTAGTACAGGAGAGAGCTCTGGAACCCGGGGCTACACCCATTCACTGAATAATTTCTGGGCGCTGTGGAGGGAGAGGGCCTCAGCGGGCAAGGTGGGCCGCTGACAAGGTGTCTTGACAGGAACAAGACACATCATTTGGGTGGCTGTGGGCAGCTCAGGGGTGCCCGTAAGATGCCTCACCAAGCCTGTTTTTGGCAAGGGTTTGGACTTCAAGGCCCTTTCTTGTGGAAGGCTCAGCATCTGTCAGCTTCTGCTCCACAGGCCCATGGGGAGCTCTCAGCAGCCAGCCTAATGTGGGGCTGCACTGAGCCCTTACATCTGGCTGGCCGACCAAGCTGCTTATGGCAATGTCAGGCTTGAGCTGAGACTTTAAATTCAACTTCCTGGGAGAAGCAGTCGGTACTGGACTTAGCTTATCGCCTCCCCAGGATGGATGTGCCAAGGAGGGCTAATAGTTTTCCATGGAGCTGGGTCACCTCCCTGGAGGCACAGGGTAGTGGCCTGAGTCATTCCACTGGCAGAACACAACCTCTGAGAGGCCTGGGAATGTCCAAGCAGGGGGAAGAGAAGACAGTGGAGACTGCAAGAGGCCTAGCCCAGACACAGCGTGGAAGACACGTTTCAGGCAGGACATGAGAACCACGCCCCCAGCCCTCACCCACCACTTCTCCACACCTCCACTGGGCCCACCTCAGCACCACACAGAGGAGGAATGTGTCCTAGAGGCTCAGATACAGTGGACTACTGCCTCCTGCACTTGGCCTCCTGGGTCTGGGTCAGGGCCAGCCCTGCTCCTGAGGATAGTCAGAAAAAGGAAGAAAACACTCCCGGTGTCAGGGCCTGCACAGCACAGGGCCTGGCTTGGGGCAGTCTTGATGTGGTTCCTCTGAAATCAGACTCTGAGTAGGAATTGAATGCAAATATATTGGGAAGTGATATCCTAGGAAGCACTGGTAGGGAGATGGGGAAATGAAAGAAGGGAGAGAAAGAAGCCAAGACGGGGCAAATTAATGAGCAGGTTATCACTGTGGGCAGCTGGGATTAAGCCTGCCAGGAAGGCACCTGGGAGATGGGGCAGGATGCCTTCCTGCACCTGAGGGGTGCAGAGCTGGTACTTATCCAGCAACTCTTGCTCATTGTTGGTTGAAGGCTACTCCTGGACACATGAACTCCCAGCACTCCTGGCTTGCCCTGTGCACTGACCAGACATGCCCCTGCATCCTGGTAGCACCCCGAGGGGAGACAGAGAGTTGCAAAAGATGCCTTCAGTGTGTAGGAAACAATGAGAGCACTGCCAGTATCTGCTACAGTGGCCGAGAAACGTTTAGTGCAGATAGGCAAACTGTGCCTCCAGCCCTCACCCATCACAGTGACAGAGGGATGCAAGTGGAAAATCCACCAGCACGGAGCACAGGACAAGGGAGGGCCACCTGCTTGGAGGCCTGAGGCAAGCAAGTGATAGACAGGGCTACTGAACCCCGGAAAAGTCCAGGGAAATTGAGTCACTTCCATGAGGCCCTAGAGATGGCTGGTGGCAAGGTCAGGACTAGAGAACTCAGATTTCCCCACTCCAGCAATGTTGCCACCAGAGCCCACTCCCTCCCACAGGCATGCTCCAGTGCAGCAGGGTCGGCTGACACTGCTCCGCACATGGTAGCTTCACACAGTAAGTGACTGGCTACCTGGCAAGCCCAGCTTCTCTCTTGCATGGATTTTAGTCCAGGCTGGCAGGGCCTGGGACAAGTGGATGTTCACTGGTGGAGCTCTTTTCATGCCTCTGAATGGGTATGGGTGGCCATGCTGCCAATCAACCAGTGAGTTGCTGGCATTGTACCCACAATGGTGAGAAGCTGGGCTGGTAGGGACAGCCCCTGTCACATGGCGAAATCCCATTCTGTGGATTTGAGCTGTCAATAAATTCTCAGACATGCAGGTCAGAGGCAGGGCCACACAGCATCCTCCAGGAGGAGTGAGGATGAGTCTCCATGCAAAGGTCTCAACTGATTATCTGAGGTGGCAATCACCTTCCAATGGCTAATTGGCTAAGGATAAACTACTCAGTGGTTAAATCCTACATGTCCGTGCCATGGGATAACAAGATCCTAGCTATCAGTCTCCTTCTATTAGGTTACACGAAGAGACAACAGGACTGAAAATTGATGACACAGGCATCCCTTTCAGCTCCCAATAACTTCTCTTTGTTGCTAATTGTATAGTTGTGGTATCTGGCCATTAAGTCATTAGAATGAAAGATGCTAAATAGAGCTATGCTTGCATGGAGTCAGATCCATTTTTATTGAGCCTTCTCTTCTGCAGCTTTTCTTGAGATGTGATGTTGATGCTTTTTATCTACTATTCATCAAGGTTAAGGAAAAAAAAAAATCCTCATCCGTTTTTGACCAGAGTCAATAAAAGCATGTTCAGCAAAACCAATATAATATAGCATGGTGTCATTCTTTTATTTAGTTTTTTAAAAATGCTCACGCAGTGGTACATAATCTTGAGCCCTGGTAGAAGTGAGAATTAAAAATATGGAGGCATCTGTGGTATGACCCCCTGGGTCACAGAACCCCTAAATTTCATGTCCTCCCTTCTCCTGAGTCATAGAGGCTCAATCAGGCTTTTGGAGTCAGCAAAACAAAAACCACTCAGTGGCAAAGCCTGCATTATACAACTGACCCAACACCATTAGCATCTCTAGACTTTATACCTGATCTATCTGTTTCATTTTCATCGTATCCAAGTACACACACCATACCTTCTTCAAAGCAACAACAGGTATCCTGTATATCTTAATAAGTTTAATAAATGTGAGCAAAGCACAATAAGTCAAATCTGGTGATTTTTAAAGAATACTTCTGAAGATTCCATTTATCAGAAAATTGTTACCTCTAAATACACCTGCAGAAATATCATTCTTGTTCCATATGGACCACCTTTATTTCTGCGCATCCTCAACCTCCTTTGGAGAATGTCTTCTGCACGACACCTTGTGTTCATAAGGTAAGTGTCACATTCTAATTAGAAATCAAACATGGGTGGTGGAGTCTAAATGTGGAATTTAAATTCACTCAAGGTCCAAAAATAGCCAATCATTCCTATCTGAGATTTCTTCCAGGTGCAAGAAAGTGATAAGCGGAGCTCGATTCCTCTAATTTGCCTTAAAGAAGAAATTGCAACATTTAAGGATTCCCATCTGGGAAAGCAAAAACTCCAATGTTCTAAACATCCAAGCTTGAACTGAAATTGTCACACTCTCTAGTGTTGGCGCAACTCATTCATGGTGTTGGGAGGTCCCCAGACCCTTCTGCTAGGACATCTGTTTCTTAAAACCAGGGCAAATGGTTAACCCTTCAGGCCCATCCCTCTGGAAAAGGGGAAATACTGAGCTTTTACCTAACGTGGCTGCTTTTTAGATGATGTTCTCCAATCTGAGCCTGGGTGTGTCTGGACCTGGAGTGCTTTGGTGGTGCTCTGACTCCTCCTAGTCAAGAAATCCAGCTCCTCTCAGGCCAGCCTGTCTGTGGGTTCAGCCCGATATTCTGAGGAGGGCACAGACTCACTCACTCACTAGTGGGTCAATTACTGCCCATAGGGACCCTCCAGCCTCATAGGAGGCCCCATCCCATCTCTGCCCCTTGCACCATATTCCAGCCACACTTCACTGTCTGCGGAAACCCACTACCCCATATGGGGCTCTGTCTGGCCTGGGCTTTCACCTACGCAATTCTCAGTTCAGAATACTCCCCCTCACTCTCTTGCTTAAGACCGTGGTGTGCTTTCAGTTTAGACATTGCTTGGTCCTAGGCACCCATCCTATCTCTCCATTTTGGGACTTGGGGTTCCTCCTATATGCTCCTACACACCCCCTTCTTTTCCTCCTGGGCACTTGTGCTGGGCTGCAGTTGCTCACCCACCATGGCACATGGAGGGTAGGAGCCACGTCTGGATTGGTGACTGCTGTATTTCCAGTCCTTACAGTGTCTGGCTCAAAGCAGGCACTCAACCAATGTTTGTTAAATGACTAAACAACTGAAAGGAAGGAAGAAAAGAAAAATAAAAACATAACGACAGACAGATAGGTAGGCACCTTCTTGCCCACAGTCCCCATGGGAGGATTCGCCCTCCAGACCGTTCATGATTTCATGATGGTTAGAAGCACTGAGCACAGTTGGGCCACCTGGCTTCTCCAGGGCCCATGACCAATGAAGGCCAGTCCTGGGAGCTCCAGCACCCTCCTTACCTACAGCCACCCTGCCTGGCAGTGCCCGGCCCTCTTTGGGGACCATACTGGCCCTCTGTTCTCTCTCTTGCCCAGACATGTTGTGCTCAGACTCAGTTAACTCTGTTCCATGCAGGGTGATCAAAAAAGGTCTGTTATGTCTTTTCATTTTTTCTCTCTTGCTAGACCAACGTGTGCCCCCAGTGCTGCTCTATCCAGGCCCTGGCCAGCTTTGAATCAGAGGCCTTGAGCTGCTGGGCCCTGGCTTCCCCTCTCTGAGCCCAGCTATAGCCTGTGGGCTCTCAGGGACCAGGCAGGAATGAAAGTGAAGTAGGGGCTTCTGCAGGGAGCTGGATGGGCCTGTCCTTGGGGTAACTCACTCTTTCCCCAGATACGTGGTGCTTATTAGCTGTGGGCCCATGGCACAGGGAATGAGATGAGCAGACACGAGGGCTCAAGCAGCCCCTCACCCACTCCACTAAGCCCATGGCATCTCTCCTTCCAGCTTCCATTTCTGGGGCCAAGGGAGGAGGGCGAGATGCCAGATTGCTCCTAGCCCCTGTTTAACCCCCACTGTCTCCTACTGCCGCCACTGACCTTGGTGCATAGCCTGTGGAAAGGTGGAGGCAGCCTCCAAGCTGGGCGCAGATGGAAACACACACCTTGTAGCCAGCATGTGTGAAAATACATTAAGCCCTGCACCTAGCACATAGCACCTCTTGAAGGGTAAGGACTGAAGACCCAGCAATCCAGACCTGCTTCTGCTCCCAGTGTTTTCACATTCAAGCGAAAGAGCAAGTCTGCCTTCTTTTGGCATGGGAGGTGCCATTTACTTTCAAAAATCGAGAAGCAGAGGGGCAGCTTCCAGCTAAAAAAGCCTTACTGGTGAGGGTCCATCTATGGGGATTTCCAGGTGAGGGACTGGCCTGGCTGCAGGAGTGCTCCCTCAGATCACTGCTGCGGGGCAGCACAGGCCGGGGAGTGCTCCCTCAGATCACTGCTGCGGGGCAGCACAGGCCGGGGAGTGCTCCCTCAGATCACTGCTGCGGGGCAGCACAGGCCAGGGAGTGTGGGTCTGGCCTCGTCTGGGTCACCTATGGGCCGGCTGCCACCCCATCGGCCCTGCCTGCCCTGACACCTGGCTGCAGTGCTGGGGTATGCTGTCTCACCCAGGCCCTCTGTTCAAGGACTCCCAAGGATCCTTGTGGAACCTGGGGATGAAGCGCCACTCCTGGGAGCCAGTTGGCCCCACCTGGGAGTCTCTAAGATACCAAGCTGAGAGCAGACTGGGATGGGTAGCTGGGAGTATGCCAGGAGGGGCTTCAATCGGGGGCTTTCTTCCCCAAAACGTGCACAGGCCCTCCCGGGTCCCCAGGCCTGTGTATTTGCCTGTCAGAGCTGCAGCAATATTTAACAGAGAGAAATTCTTGGGGATTATTTAAGTGAGTTTTGAATTTATACTTGAGTTTTAAAGGAGAAAAAAAAAAGACAGTCTTCTTTAAACAACTTCCATGAAAGGTTATAAAACACAGATAATTTACATACAGGAGCAGATGGCAGGCTGGGTGCCATTCTAGGCAAACCACGTGTCCCCTGGCAGTTCTTTTTAATGGATACTACAAGTTTATATGTGGTTTATAAACTCAAGGGCTAGCCATTTCCCCAAGTGATTGATTGTAGGGTATAAAAATGATGGCAGTCATGACCTTCATTTCATCTGAGGAGACTTCTCCACCCCACCCCTATTTGGGGGCAGCCAGAGCTATTTGAGCCCCACCAAAACCTGCAGGCTCTCGGGCCAGGCTCGGTGGCTCACGCCTGTAATCCTAGCACTTTGGGAGGCCGAGGCAGGCAGATCACTTGAGGTCAGGAGTTGGAGACCAGCCTGGCCAACATGGCGAAACCCTGTCTCTACTAAAAACACAAAAATTAGCCGGGCGTGCTGGCAGGCACCTGTAATCCCAGCTACTTGGGAGGCTGAGGCAGGAGAATCGCCTGAATCCAGGAGGTGGAGGCTGCAGTGAGCCGAGATCGAACCATGCCACTGTGCTGCAACAGAGCGAGACTCTGTCTTAACAACAACAACCCCTCACGCTCTCGTCCACTAGTGGGTTCTGCTGGCTACCTGTTCCACACTGTGGGGCTCTCTTCTGCTCCCAACTTGCTGACACTGGCACTCCCCCCACTCCTCCAAGTGTTCTCTTTCGAGTGGTTCCTAACCAACTATCAGGAGAGCCTGCCTGGAACACACTGGGGCTCCTCCCTCCCGGGGCCCTCCGCAGGTGGGAATCAGGAGCCGGTCCTCTTTCAGGCAGCCGTATTCCCACAGCCCAGCCCCCTCCCAAAGTCTACAGCAAAGGTTCCTGTTTCAGCACAGGCCCCTAAGAGGACATGTCTGCACACCGCTGCTCCCTCTTCTGATGGTGGATCCAGGTTCCAGGCCTCTCCCCGGTCCTCCCCAGCTCTGTGGCTCCACTCATCCTGTCCCCTCTGTGGACCTCAGTCTCAGGCACTCTGACCATCCATGACTGGGCTGGTGGCTGAGGGGGTTCTGGAGGCAGAGGAAGAGAGCACAGGTCTAGGGTATTCAGACCACAAGTGGCTCCTGTAGGCTGAAGAGAAAAGACAGCTCCTACAAAGTACATCTTTCAGCTCTTCAGGACCCAGGAGACTGTTCACGGTGGGCTCCCCTGCCGATGCTCTGAGGCCACCCATGTGCTGTGATGTCAGGGCAGCAGAAGAGGCAGTAGGAAGAGCAGTGATGCTGATATACAGGAGGACTTGTGTGCCAAGCCCTGGGACAAGCCTCTTGGTGAGGTGTCACCACCAGCCTGTGTGACAGCCGGGGAAGTCAAGGCACAGAGTGTGGGCACCACCTGTCCAAGCCTCTATATGGCCAAGTGTCCAGCCCAGGTCACCTGATGCCCAAGTCCACCCTTTAAACCACTCTACTATTCTATCTTTTCTTAAGGCCAAACTTTTATCTGATGAATCAGAATAGTACCTGATGCATCTCCCAGAAATTTCCAAATCCTGTGCTTTTGAGAAGCACCTGGCTGGCAGATCAGAAAGAATGACCCGCTTCATAAGATGGTAGGTCTGGTTCCTGCAGCTCGAATTCCATAAAGTTCACCGAAACACATGATAAGCAACCATGTATGTGGGATTATAATTTCTTTTTCTTCTCTTTTTTTTTGAGACTGAGTCTCACTCTGTCACCCAGGCTGGAATGCAGTGGCGCAATCTCAGCTCACTGCAACCTCCGTCTCCTGGGTTCAAGTGATTCTCCTGCCTCAGCCTCCCAAGTAGCTGGGACTACAGGTGCCCGCCACCACATTCAACTAATTTTTGTATTTTTAGTAGAGACAGGGTTTCGCCATGTTGGCCAGGCTGGTCTTGAACTCCTGACCTCAAGTGATCTGTCTGCCTTGGCCTCCCAAAGTGCTGGGATTACAGGTGTGAACCACTGCACCCAGCCTAGGATTATAATTTTCTAAGATGTCATTTTAGTGCAAGCTACATAATCCCACCATTCTGATGGAAATTTCCTAATTTTTCAGCAGAACTCTCCTTTTTTTTTTCTTTCTTGGAACAGATGGCAAGATTTTTTAATTTCAGGTACCTTCAAGGAGGAAATTGTCATTTCTCCTCTTTGTTTGCATGTGTGAGTACACCATGTTTCACATTTAGCATGAAAGTAGCCGTGGTTTAGTCTTTGCTCACACTTGAGATGCTGAGAACACACTTTAAATTAAGCACTATCAGTAAACAGTGATCATAAAGTAGGAGGAAGATAACATTCCGTTAATTTGCCCCTGCTGAAACCATATGCTGCTTCCCTCCCCAGGGCTGCCCTGCCGAATGGTTTCTGTTCACTCTGTAGTCACAGTCATGGCTTCTAGACTTCTCCCTGCACCTCTATTTTCCACAGGCCCAGGGACCGTCCTCAGTGGCTCAGGAGATCACCAGGCCCAGCACCCACACCGTCTGAAGGAGAGAAACAGGGGGGCCCCCGTATGCTGCCAGTGGCACAGCCCAGAGTGCAGGTGTGTGGACGGCTCTTTGTAACCCATCCCTTCCAGGTGCCACCCTTGGCTTTTCAATGCGTTCCCTCAGAGCACATGATGTCAGGTGTTCCCTGCTCCCGGGGCTCACAGTAGAGGGCACACAGAAGTTAAAGGGCGGTAACAACAAAGTGAACGGCAGCAGTGGGCACTTGCCTCTGTCAGAGCTCAGCTCACTGTCACTGTCCTCACCATGACACCATTGGGAACACACTAACGTCCCCACTCTCGAGACAGAAGACTGAGGTTGAGAGGTCGCTGACAGCTCCCAAGGTCAGACAGTGCGGCTTCAGAATCCCCAGGGGTGCGGGGGCGGGGGGGGGGGGCGCTCAGAATTTTCCGCCTTTTGCGCAAACTCCCCAGATGCTTCTTAAACACAATGAAGTTTGACACCCAAAGGTGATAAGATGGGGTTTTAAATTCAGGTCCCCAAATCTAGTTCTCTTTTGAAGCCACAGCTGCCACCAATGTTTAGGTAATCAGCTGACTAATTCTCACCCAGATGTTTAATGGCGATTGACTAATTTATACTGGGGAGGTAATTCTGACAACTCCCAGATAACATTTCCATTTTAGTGGTAGCCTTCAGGCGCATATATATATATATTATATAGACAGGGGTTGAAAGGGAAGGGAGCATCTCTGCAAACAGCCCCACTCCTCTGATCCCCTGAAGATGACCCCAAACAAGCGCTGAGTGTTCTACAGAACGATCCGCCCCACGTGCCCCTGTGCCCCTGCGTCTGTGCACACCATAGGCCTGGGGGGTAGGGTGGCCTCGCCCTGCACTGCCCCTTCGCGCCTCACCTTGAACCTGCTTGCCAGGTGGATTCCTGGCACTGAGATGACCCCGACACCCCTCTTCAGAACGCTGGGCCTGGTGCCTTGTTTGGGGGACATCTCAACCCCATCATGTGGAGTTCCGTGGCATCAGGCACCACACAGAACCCTTTGGGGTTGTGAGAGGGAGGCTGGCATGACACTGTCAGCTGAAAGCTAGCAAGGCCAAGGTAAACCATGGCCAAATAGTCTAACACGCGCGGGCCTCTGAAAGGCAGGAGCTGTGGCTGGGGTTGGGGCCTGGAGACAAGCCCGTGGTTTGGGACCCAATAAAGCAACCAGGAGTGATCTCCATGTGGGGAAAACCTGGAAAACAGACAGTGACTGAAAGGGCGGATTACAGGGAGAGCCTTCCTCAAGCAACCACCCCAGGCGGGGTCCGAGGTGAGGGGTGAGGTCTGCGTCCCTCCCGTGTTTCAAGGTCCATCACAGCAGTTCCCAGACTTCTGTCTGAGATGGCGGGTGTTCCCTGTTGGGTGCGCTCTTTTCCTCTCCCTTCCAACACCACTGTGCAATTCATTTTCCCTGCGGGTCTTTTAAGTATTGGCAAATGCAGGAAATTTTTTAAAAAAATGAAATGGAGGGCAAATTGGATTTCATCCTGAGCAAAAGGAATCTATAGAATTGATCCCCAGGACCTCTGCTCTTGGGGTCCCACTAGGCCTTTACTGGGGACACACTGTGGTCAGTTGTCTAGCAGAAGTTACAATCCAGGCTTCTCTTTCTGGGTTTAGGTCAAGTTTGCTTCAGAAATGTGAAAGGGCTTTTGTGTTGGCAGCCCCTGTACAAGTGGCTTTGGAATAGCCACTTACCAGCTGGCTTTGAAAGAATTCTTTTTGCTAAGAGCTTTACTTAGGTTCCTCACCAAACACAAATACTAGTCTTTCCTCCATCTCCATGCCCAAGGAAAAAACAGCCCATGATGCAAACCCACAGCAAGCAAGATGATTTCTATCAGGGGAGACTTTTACAGGCAGACCAGCTGTAGGGTCCATTCTCTTTATGACATGCATTATGGATCTCCCCAAGAGAAGAAGGCAGAGGAGGTCACCTGAGGGTGAACCTACTGAGCCCAGAGTGATGGGCCCCTCAGGAGCTGGGAGGCTCAGCCAGGACTGTGCCCTAATGGCTGGGGGAGGCTATGGGCTCCGGCCCTGCTGCTTCCTTTTAGCCATCTGCACACACACCGAGCACTCACGGCCCACAGGGCCCAGGGGAGCTCTGAGAACCACCACTGGTCTTGTCCATCTTTCATAATTCAGAAGAATCAGGGTTAAAAAAAGTGCATGAGCAATCGACATAATTTATATGTTGCAAGTGGACGAGCTGGCATCCTCTCACATCATAAAGTTTAAATAACGGTGGTTTAACACCAGATGTAAGTGCAGCTGTCCTGAGCGGAACGCCATTAACTCCATTACAACAGGAGATGGTACTTTTCCCAGTTCGGCATCCCCAGGAAAACATCACACCTGTCATCTTGGTGCCACAAGCAGCTGACTTAATGCAGAGTCTACCGGCACCTTTTCAGATCAGATCCATCAGGGAGCTGGAGCATTCACAGAGGAGGGGAGATCAGGGCTGCAGACCAATGGGGGAGAGCCAGGTGATGCCAGCCCTTAGTACATGCTGGACAAGACCCAGACCCCAGGTGTTCCCAGGTAGCCAGACTCTTCACCCTGGAGGGGGAATGGGGTGAGTGGAGGGAGACAGGGACAGAGGAGGGAGAGGCATGATGGGAGGGAGGAAAGAAGGGGAACTGGGAGAGGAAGAAGAATGGAGGGAGAGGAAACCAAAAGGATGGGAGTTAGATCTGGGCCTAAGTAACTCGGAGAAGGAAGCTCTTTCCCAGTTATGGCAAAGTCCCTAGAGGGCAGGTTGAATTGATTTAGGCAGGCAGGGTCTGCACACATTGATTTGTTCCACCTGCATTGGCTGAGGGTCACTGTTTCCCTTCCAATCAGGAAGCCTTCTGAGGGCCTGCTGTTTACGAAAGGAAAGTTTGAGAATGTTGGCCAGGCACGGTGGCTCATGCCTGTAATCCCAGCACTTTGGGAGGCAGAGGCGTGCGGATTACCTGAGGTCAGGAGTTCAAGATCAGCCTGGCCAACATGGCAAAACTCTGTCTCTACTAAAAAAAAAAAAATTAGCTGGGCATGGTGGCAGGCACCTGTAATGCCAGCTACTTGGCAGGCTGAGGCAGAAGAATCGCTTGAACCCAGGAGGGGGAGGTTGCAGTGAGCTGAGATCATGCCACTTCACTCTAGCCTGGGCAACAAGAGCAAAAGTCTGTCTCAAAAAAGAAAAAAAAGAGAATGTTAACATCAAGAAAAGGCCAACAGGACCAAAACACAGCAGAAACACATGTGTGGAGCAGAGCCACCACCTCTGTCTGTACTTGGGCTAAGCCAGGGTCCGTGGAACACTTTGCTGGGTACAGAGCAGCCTCATCTCAGAGATGAGAAACTGAGGCCTGGGGGGAGGGACAGGAACTTCTCCAAGGCTCCTGAGGCATTTGAGAAGGAAACAGAATTGTTCAAGTTGGGCGGAAGAATTGAATATTTCTGTTTGTCTGGCAACGGATTTGCTGTACCTCTCCACCAAGGGAAGAGAGCATCGAGATTGCGCATGAGCTATAGGCACCAAGGTGGCCACAGCCAAAGAGAGAAGGAGCCATTTGTCCTGCTGTCTGCCTGCCTCCTAATGCTTCCCTGTCAGGCACTGTAGATGCAGATACAAAAAGTATGGTCCCTCTTCCCCCAGGAGCCCACACCTGGCTGGGGAGATAGACCTACAGAGTATCTGGGGCTGCCGTGGAGTTCCACACAGCAGGCTGTTGGGGCACAGAGGATGGAGCCCTCCCAACTTGGCAGAAGAGCCTTGCCAGGAGAAGGAGAAGCTGGCTGCCTGGCCTCACTCCCATTGGAAATATAAAAACTCTAGCTGCATGGCAGAGTGTCACTCTTGCCTTTCTGATTACCTGGGGAGAAGCATGTCTAAGAAGATATAGACTATTCTTGTTGTATCATCCTTTGCTCATATCTCTCAAGTACCAAACCAAACAACTGAATTTTTTAAAGGCGACAAAGGTATTTGTGTTTCACTGAGCAATGAGAGGAAAACAATGCAGGAATTCTTAGAGGGATCTGCAGCCAGAGAAATTTTCCTGAGCTAAGAGATTTCTGTGCAGGCAATTTCCACAGGCACTTCTCATTTAAATGGAAATTCCTCCAGAAACACCACCACCAACAACAGCTAACATCTAGTGCTTTACTAAGTGCTAGGCTCTGAGAGGTGCACATGTATTAACTCATTTAATCCTCACAACTTCCTTATGAGGTAAGTGCTCGTATTAAATGTACTGTGTAGATGAAGAAATTGAGGCTCAAAGAGGTTAAGCAATCAGTCCAAGATCGCTCAGGTTGTAAGTAGTAGAGCCAGGATTTGAATCCAGGAAAGCAGGAGCTGTGCTTGGGCAGCCCCAGTGGATGCTCTTCCAGGGACCCCAGGCAGCTGAGTGGAGTGTCCTGTTGCTATTCCTGCCAGAGAGAACACACATGGCACAGCTCTGCTGTTCTCAGACTACATCTAAAAGACAGGATGATGACAGTTCTTTATTGCAGGCGCACTCTGTGCAGTGTCCCATTTAGTCAGAGTCCTACCAACAACTCTATGAAGCAACTGAGGCACAGCAGTGAAGTCACTTGTTGGAGGTTATACAAATGGTGCATTATGAACTTGAATTCAATATCAGTGCCTAGAACAATGCCTGTGCACATACAGGCTCAAAAATGAATGAATGAATGAATGAATGAACAGATGAGTGACTCCAGATCCAAGCCCAGGCCACCCCTCAGTGTGCCATACTGTATCTTCTATGTCACTCTTCTTCTACATCCAACGACAACACAGACAGTGAGAAGGCAGTAACAGAACATGGAATTTTTTCTCCTTCCTGAAGGGCCCCATTCATGCCACCTTCTCTTGAAGTCTGTAGTTCTTCATCATCACCATCATCATCATCATCATCATAATTCCCACGGTCTTCATATGACATCTGAGTGTACACAGACTGCATAATAGCTTTTCCAAGATCTTGTATTCAGACTAGATGAACTTCTGAGTGGATGCTCCCACCCCCAGGCAATGGAACCTGTCCCTGGGAGTAGCACTTCACTACACCTGGGCAGAGGGGCCTCACATAGGGACCTATGCTGTCTTATCTTGGGCTATCTCAAGGCAAGTCCCTCCTGGACCCAGGCCAAGGAGCTGGGGACCAATATCTGCCTGAGCTTAGACCTTGGGGCCAGCCCTGACTCTTGCCCACCCAAGGCTGTCAACTTGGAGAAGGAAATGGAAGAGAAGGAACAAGCCACCTTCTTAGAAACCTCCTAGTGGGTCTGTGGCTGGGAGCCACAGCACGCCCCAAGCAAGGGCACTGATCCCCATGAAGGGCCACCATGTCCAGCACGGAGTTGGTGTCCAATAAGGACTCTTAGGTCATCTCATGACTAATCAGGAAGAGGGGGCCAGGTTGAGGGGATGGAGGCTTTGGAGGAACAGTGGCTGCCCAGCCTCTAAGGCAGTGTTTTCACAGTCCTGAAAACATTACAGCATTTTTATATTTCCTAAGAAGTGGAAACAACTAAGTTGGGTTGGGATGAGGCATCCCAGCAACACAGCAGCTGTCAGAAGAGAAGCACAAACCATTCTCAGCAATATAAATATCACATTTCCTCCTCAATCAGCGAGTTTTAATTTATTTATCTAGCTGAGCCATGATGGACACAGTCTGCCCAAATATATTACATGAGGATAATGCAATCTCTTATCCAGAAAACCACCATATTATAGATACTATCACGCTACTTTCTCAAAAGCATTTGGTACCCTAGCAACCAAAAAAGAAAAAAAAACAACAACAACTAGGACATAAAAATTACATTGCATCTGCAATACTTTGTTGAAATTGGTTTTGCAATAAAGCATGTATTGTAAAAACAAAGGTTTAATGATATATCAGTTTGGTGAAAATCTGAGTACAAAGCAAAAATACCTACATCTGAGTAAAGTTGCAGAGCTTTTAAAAATGAAACTTGGCAAGGAAATCCTGGACAAGCTTCAGCTGGAAGGGTGCTGGATTTTAATTTTTTCTGAATGGTGGGTTTGCACCAGCGATACCCCTTCCTCCACACACAACTTCGGCATCAATCCTGAATCTGAACCTTCAGCAGCAGTCGCTGGATCTCATAAGCTCACAGAGGTGGCAGATGGCTGCCTGGACATAGAAACTATTTGTCAAGAAAGGAAAATATCTCTGCCCTCAAAGGCGGCATTTCTCTCACCATGGAATCACACGTTAGCTGGGAACATTTGAAGGGAATTCATGAGGCAGCCGAGCGCGAGTCACGATGGCTGCCCCGCTCTGTGATAAGCCACCACCCACATTCTGTTGACCTAGAATTTGTCTGTTCTGAATACCACACAAAGTTTGCCAGTCACCCTCTGGGGCTTGAAGGCTCTTTTTCTTTTCTGTGGGGGGTGGTCCCTCAGCAACCAGACCAGGCCTGCAATTTCTGAGACCCCAAGATGTGTGGGCTCCTAAAGCATTCTCTCCTATCACAGGGGTCTCCTCATGGCATTTCATTTTAGAGTTTTCTCTGTTGACAATCTCCTTCACAAACTGAGATCGCCTTGAGGGCAGGGCCTTGTCTTGTTGACTCGGTGCCCCACTCCCAGCCCAGTACTTGGTGCAGAGTAGCCCTCACTCAACATGGGTTGGTTAAATGAAGGCATGAGTGTCAGGCTCCATACTAAAGGAGGAGGGTAGAGAGATGAGGGAGACGTGGCCCCTGCCTTGGGAGGTTTGTGGTTGAGTTGAGGAAGAGTGGAGAGGGAGAGGTGCACATGGCACATTCAGTAATCTCCCCATGTTTAGATTTCCTCCTCTTTATTCCTTCATCTACCCAGGCTCCTCTTCTTGGTACTTCCTAGCCTTCCTGCTTTAGAAAAAGGACAAACTCATCCTATGAAAATGCTGGGCAATTATCTTGAGAGGTATTTTTATTTCCCAAGAAAATAATAGGCAAGGAAACGCTGAACCCATAAGAATGAATGAGAGCATTTCTGGCATAGTAACTTCTGGGCGAAGGTAAAACATTGCAACTGCTACCGATAACACAGCAAAAGATAAAATAAATTTGTTTTTTAAGCATATATATATATATATGTGTACCTCATTGATTACATTTCTTAACATACATTGATTGCGTTTTCAAATACCTGCTAGAAAGGCCCAGGCATGCAGACTTAGCCAGCTGAAGCTGACAAGAGAGGGTCTTTGAAAGAGGCCTGCAAAAGAGAAATGTCTAGATGGAGAGAAAAGAAGGAAAATCCCAAGGGAAGTTTTATGTCAGCTCAAGACCATATTCAAGGAGGCTTCAAGAGCAAAATGATACTTAAGGTCTTAGAAGAGAAGTGAATGGTCAAAAGGCAAAGGGTTGGTGACATGGAATTATGAACAAGACTCCTGGCCTGGTGCCCACACTCCACCACAGCCTGAGGACATGGACTTCTGCAAACCTGTGCTGGCCTCCTGCTCCCTTGCCAGGAAGGGAATGCCTCCAGCCTGGGCTAGCACCCAGAAGTTCATGTGCATGCTCCCTCTGAACCCACAGGGAGGCTCCTGGAGGTCTGACAGTCGCCGAATACTTCTAGGTTCCCAGCTCTCGTAGTGTCTTGTCATCAGCAAGTTCTACTTGCTACGTGTAAGGCAGGGGAGGGCGTTCTGGGGATAGTAAGTTAGCAATGCAGGTATTTCCTGTAAAGAGCCTCAGCCATGTGGATCAGTCTTTTGGGCATAATGTCCTGGTTATATTAGGACCCCAGGGACTCTTGGAGGAGCTCCTCAGGGTCCTTCTGTATCTCTGATTTCTGCAGCACATCATTCACTGACTCACACATGCACATACACACACCCTAGCCCAAACCTCCTGGTGGGTGGAGATGAAGCCCACTGGCTGTGAAGCTGGCCGTCCTGAGACAACAAGTGGGCCATGCTCGGACTGGACGCCAACTTAGGCCTTGTGATAGCTTTGGCTTCTACTTTTTGCTTTAGCTTTGATGTGCTCTGGGTTACACACTTGGCTAGTGAGCCCTGCTTTTGGGGGATGGTCACCCTCCCCTTTCTTCAGTGTAGCTTACGCATTAGTCCAGCTTAGGGAGGGGGAAAACCAGCTGATTCTCTGCCTGCTGCCTACACTGCCTTCAAGACCCAGACACAGGCTTTCCCTGCTGAGGCCAACAGCCCTTGGTGGTCACTGGCACTTTGGGTTAGGACCCAATAGTATGAAGCTTTCTTTCTTTCCTTTTTTTCTGAAGACTTGTCAATGGTCAAGGCACATCATACAAAGTTGTACTTAAAAAAACAAAACAAAACAAAACAAAACAAAACAAAAAACCCTGAAGCACAAGTAACACACCACATAAGCATGCAATTTTCTTCACTATGGTTTTGCCCCAGCATAGGAACGAGCCCCCAACTATCTGTGACATGAATGGTTCTGAGTTGAGAAGAGCTGGGAGCACACACAGCCTGGCTGCACCCAGAGGATGCCCCAGGAAACCTGTCTGCTTCCTACCTCTGGTCCATTTGTGCCCTGCTGACTTTTTGAATTTTTGCCCTTCAGATCTCTACACAGTACAGGAACTTGCTGAAAGACCTCATGAAATATGACTGGTGAGATTCCATTCCTCTGACCCTCAGCAAGGATGGAGCTAAATGCACTGGGTGGAATTTACAACCTATAATTTTCTGTAACATTTTTCCTGGAGTGGGGAGATAGAGAAAGAAAAAAAAAAAGAAGAAGAAAAAAAGAAAGCTAAGAGAAGGAAATATAATTTCAATTCATTCATGATTTATCTATTCCCTCCCTGTGGCTGCAGGGGAATTTTAACTCGGTTGCAAAATGGCCTGGTTGTGCAAGATGCCACATGCCATGGAACTGCAAACAGCATGCGCACGTTAACCTTTCCTTTGCTGGCTGCTTCCAGCCTTTCACCCTGCTGCTACCTGGCCTGACATTTTATAGATTTCAGCAACTGGGCAGGATATCACGGGCCTTCTGGAGCACACAGGTGGGTGGTACCTGGTATGCATAGACTCACCCCTTTCCCCGCACAAACAAAACTCTGTAGCCAATGTGAAACAGAATGTTTGAAATCTGTGTCCTTTCCACTTCTGCTGCTTTCTCCTTTATCCAATGCCTTTCCTTTGAAATGCTGTGAAGCCCTGAAGGGATGCGAGTGAGCTGTGAAGAGGAGCCTCTTAGAATTGTCAGTTTCATGTTAGCCAGCCAAGGCAGCGGGGCCAATCAAACGCTTCTCAGCTGCCTGTGTCATTTGCACTGATGGGCTCCACCTACAAAGGAGTCGTCAGCATCTCAAGTCTGCATTGCCCCACTTGGTGTAACAAAGCCCTTCCCCATACATTTCCCCATTCAATCTGCTTCTGCCATTTAATCAAGCATTCTTTAACTTCCAGAAGAAAAGGGAACACAGTGACCTTGGAAGGAGTGGATGAGGCCATTAATCAATGGTCTCTGCATGTAAATGAGGAGCAGCCAATTCCTACAGCTGAGCATCAGATTCCAATTAGTGCACAAGACCGAGTCCGGGAGGAAGGGGTTAATGTCAAATGTCACCAGGCAGAAGAAACACAGGAAAATTCATTCCCATAGCCTGGCCTCCGACAAGCATCTATCTATCTATACGTTCAGCTGAACTTTCCTTTCCCATTCTGCGCAGTGAACAGTCATTGTTTAAAAATGTCATGATAATAATCAGCTTTTGCGGCAAAGATATGAAAAATGTATTTTAAGATCAAAAGGATGATATTGTCTTCCAGCAGATTACACATTCCGCCCACAGAAAAGGCTAATCTGATGTCCTCAGAGAGGAAATAGGTAAACATTTTCAACATTATCACCATCTGTGTTTCATTTCTTTGGGCCTGCTCAAGAAAAAAGTTATTTATGTATTAATAAAAAAGAATGATTTTGTCCTTCAGAAAATGGTAATGGCAGCCTTGAAATATCTGCCTTGGGTTTTACAATCCCAGCTGTGTATGCCCAGGAAGAAACAGGGATGCCATCAGCTCACCTCCTTGGGTAGTGAGCCTCCTTCCTCCCCGTTCTCTGTCTTCATCCCAAATTGAAGTTAGGTCTGGCATTGGCCAAGGCAGCATCTCATCCCATGTATTTCATGAGGAGAGAATAGGCTTCCTTAATGGGAATGCCAGAGAGGTGCCCTGGGGTTGGAATCCCCGTCCTTCTGCATCTGGCAAGCCACATGTCCTCTCTGGGCCTGGGTCCCATCTGTGGACTGGGGATGGCCTGGCCTCATGGGAATGCCCCCAGATGATGGGCAACTGTTTTCCAGTTACCAGGGCCTCACAGACACAAGCACTGGCATCACTGTTGTCTGTGGGAGTATTATCACCAAACACAAGGTGGGAGAGGAGGAGGGAAGGATTGAGTGCTGTAAAACCTGCAACCTTTTAGATTGTTTCAAGCGTTGGCTTGGACAGCCTCCTGTGAAGGCCCCATCACATCCTCCAGGAGCTCTGGAGCAGCAGGGGGTAGGGTGCACACACACCTGTTGTAGACGGGGACGGAGGAGAGGCGCAGCGGACATTAGACACCCCAGCTCCCATGGCCTCTGAAAGTCAGGCTGGTGCTGATGGATGGCTCAGACCTCTGCCTTAGAGGTATGGTGTCACTGCCCCCACCTCCAACAGACCCCACCTGCCTCTGGAAGCAGGAGGGCATGTGTGGGGCTGAAGGCTCTCGGGAAGCTTTCAGCCAGCAGTCTTCCAGAAACTGCAGAGATTCCACTGTTTTTCCCCATTTCCTTGGGCCTGAGAGGCTGAAGCAAAGGGCACATATGTTTATTCTGAGGCTAAAAACAAAGAGCAAAGCAAACCCACCGACAGTCCCCGAGAGTGCTTTCCCTTTCCACCACCCTGGGGTCCGTGCAGGGCAGCCCTTCCTCCAAAGCAGTGGAGAGGGAAGCCCCCATCAGCCACCACCCATGAAGAGTCTGCATGTGGAATTAATAGCATACCAAGAGTCACTCAGTATTTAGGACAATTAAATATGACGAGGATTAGATTTTTTTAATTCCAGGTTAAAAAAAACCCACTTATTTAGAACTTCAAGTGTCAATATAAAATAATGTTTTTTTAAAAATTGTTTTGCTCTCAAAAATCTACCTTAGAGTTGAGTAAATTAAATATTCAATTAGCAGATATTATCAAACATCTGCAGAGGAGACTGTGGAGAATTAACAACAAAGCAAAACCAAACAGACAGTCCTTGTCCTCCAGCAGTTTGTAGTCTGAGGCAATGGGGTCACACAGGAGAGGAAAGAGGCTGTGGGGGCCAAGGCTACCTCTCTCATGGGAGAACAGGAGACCATAAGCGTCAACTCAGGCTTTGGGAAGTGAAATGCTGTGGCGCTGAGTTTTGGGTTATCTTTGATGAACTCTGGCTTATCCACACTGGACTAGTGAGCTGTGTGTCTCACCACCCTCCCCTTTCCCTAGGCAAAGAATCATGCCACACTCTCCCCCTGCCCCTGTCATGGACACAGGGTCCTCCTTTGAGGTAGGAAAATAGGATCTGGAGGCAGGAAACACATGAGGCTGATTCACACTTCAGCTACGAAAGGAAATATCCTCCCCATAGGGTGTACGCCGAGTAAATGACTTTGTAACTTTACTTCATCCTCTTCATTTAAATAGGGTGTAAACCAAGTAACCAATGGAATCCTCTAGAGGGTATTTAAGCCCCCATAAATTCTGTAACGGGGCCCTTCAGGCCCTATGCTCAGGCCCGCTCCCACACTGTGGAGTGTACTTTCATTTTCAGTACATCTCTGCTTATGTTACTTCATTCTTGCTTTGTGCGTTTTGTCCAATTCTTTGTTCAAGACACCGAGAACCTGGACACCCTCCACCGGTAACACCTTCCCCAGTGCTCTTTCCAAGGGCAGCAACCAAGCCACCGGGGGGATGACAGCGCCACCTAGTGTGCAGCTGTCTGTCCGCCATCTGATTTTGGGGTCCCCGCTCCTCCTTGCAGGGACCACACATTTTCTGCTCCTGGTCTTTTGCAGTTTCCAGCTCAGTTAGTTTCACCTTATCATTGCTTCTCGCATGAACACACATTTCTTTTCTTTCTGTCTATGAGCTCCAGGGCTCTATTCCTAGAGAAGCCTAATAGTCGCAAGCCTCATCTCCGTTTTAAGAAGTAACAGGGCATGTTTTATAGTGAAACTGAAAAAAAGTCGACTTTCCAGTGGGGCCCAACGCTACCTAGGGGATCTGATTGTCTCTTTGGAAACTTTCTACAGGGAGTATTCACTGGGTCAGGGCAGGCCTGAATGCTAGTCACACTGCTGGCTGTGTGACTTTGGGCCAAACACCAAATTTCTCTGAGTCTCAGTTTCCTCGTTTGATAAACAAGGGCTTGAATTGAGCTCTGGCTCAAACGCCTTCCAACTCTTGCATGCTCTGAGGCTAACTTCTCATCCTCTTTCAGTTAAATCTGTTTCCTTCAGGTTACGCCAAGCAAGAGAAAATAAAGGAACAATTTCCCTTTCAGTGCTACAATTTTTCTTATAACATTGGATTCCATGATATTAATTGTATGTATAAAGTAGTTTTTAGCAACATTGAAGGTTAAATAAAGTTTTGGACACTAGTGCAGAAGTCAAACCACATTCAGGAGAATACTCCTGTGGAAAAAAATGCATTTTTGTTTTCAAAGGTCTAGATGACTGCCTAATGCTAAACTGCTGGGAGCAAAACTCTCTTGTGAGTTGTGGACTGCTTGCACAAATCACTTACTCAAATTCCATCTGTCAATGTGGCTCTGATATTAAAATTGCCAATCTAAAGGGACAATACCCTAACTAGCATGGGTTTCAATCCACGACACAATATTGGGGCCTCCATCCATCCTCCCCTGTCATAACAGACTGATTACCTCCAGAAGTGGTTCTTCAAGAACAGGGTGACTGTCACATTTTTGGCATTTTGGCCTCTTGCAAGGGACTTAATTACATTTCTAGGTAGTTTACTGGAGCTTTAAACATTTTTCTGTTCCATATCCTAACTCTACAGTGCAATCTCCCAGTTTTAGTTCACCAATGTTTGTTGCTGTAAATCTGTCCTTGAAACATCCTGGGATGAATGCAAATTTGATTTTTACTCCCTAAACAAACAAACAAACAAACAAACAAACCCTCCGAATTAGCAAAGAAATTCTACGGAAGTTACAAGCTAGGCTCTGTTGCTGACTGACTGGACATATCTGGGGCGCCCAATAAGATATTTTTCACTCCAGTGACCTTGGAGAAGGGTTGGATGCTTCATCCTTATTCACTATTCTGCTATTCATATCAAAGCATTTTATACCATTTATATGATTTATCATGCCATTTGATCAGCCTGCGTAATAAGTCTCATAAGTTATCTTCATTTGAGAACTTTACTCCCCCAACACATTTAAAAAGAAAAGACCGAGACCTAGGATGTTTAAATAAGAAAATAACTACACATTCTCACAACCACACCTCAGAACCTCCTGGCTCTCAGCAAGGATGAGACAAGCTCTAGGCCTATGCAGGTTTAGAGGAAGAGTCCTGCCAAGCACAGGCCCTGCTGCCAGCCATGATATGAGAAGTAAACAATGGTCTCAGGCAGCAAGTGGGGGCCATCTGCTTTCAAAAACCATCTGACCTCACCTGAGTCCATCACAGACACTGTCCAAAGAAGGGGCATTGGGGAGAGAAAGGTAGACACAGATCTCAAGACCACGTCCTCACTGAGGCAAGAGAGCCACGACAACTGCTTCTGTGACATGCCCCGATGTCCCCTCTGGCCCCCCAGATGATGTCTTCTCAAACAGAAAGCTGGCCAGGTGCTCACACACAGGCTTGGCACTCATAGCCCTTGAGGGGCAGGGCCTGGGAGCTTGGTCCTCCCTCTCCCCACACCCTGGAGAATTCCTAGGAAATATGCCAAGCTCTGTGTCCCTTTGGTGCCAGGGCACATGCGTGCTCTTGTTCTCACTCCAAGATGTAGAAAACACCTTAATTATCTTTCAGCCCATTAACACTCAACTCTGTGGCCCAGAATTCAATTCAACTCAAGTGGACTCAAAGTAGCACATGTGGAGGATGCAGGGGTTGACTCTGGAGCCTCCACTTCACTCCTAACGATTAATCAAAGACACTCCTGAAATCCCACTTCCATGACAACGATTGGTTCGGGAAGGAGCCGGTAGACTACCCTGGCCAGTGAAATGTGAGGAGTGCTAAGAAGGATTCTGAAGAGATAGTCTTTTTCCTTGGATGTGGGTCTGTGAGTGACTCTGCACGGTCCAGCTGGAAGGCTAAGCTGGCCCACGAAGGATGATAGAGTGGAAGGAAGCCGGCGCTTGATACTGATGATGGTTCTGAGCCTGGGGCCTGCCCTATTCATGGACTTGGCAATGTGTAAAAATAATTTTCCCTACTATTTGAGCCAGTTTGGGGCTTTCTGTAACCTAGAGAGCAGGTGACCTGACACCACACTCAGTTTCTGAGCTGCGCCTGGGCCAAGGTCTCAGAGATGGGAGACTTTGTGCTCCTGGAGTTCGCAAGCAACCAGAGTCTGGCTTCATCTTCCTTCCAAAGCCTGGCTGAGGAATGCCGTGCGAGGCAGGAAGTCTCTTCTAGGTCTCAGGGATTTGACCATCTTTACTATGCATGAAGCACCAGCAAGCAATCACGGCAGGCCCAAGGCCACGCCAGCATCCTTAGTGACTGTGTGTCAGGCCTCACAGACACTCCCTGTCCTATGAGTACCTGGTGACAGAGATTTGAACAAATTTTAGTCAGGCTTTTTTGAGCCCTCTGCTTTGCAGGGCCTAATCCTTGGTCTACTGGGCCCAGTTTTAGCAAAGAATCCTGAGAAGCCAATTTATCCAGGATCCTCCACTCTTGATATCCAATCAAGTGTCTCTTCCTCCACCTAGAAGTCTAATCAAGTTCCCCACCCCCTACACCAAACTAAGCCCTCTTGGTAATTTTCCATCCTTTCCCTTACTCCACCAGCTGTAAATCCCTACCTGTCCCTGTCGTATTTGGACTTGAGTTCAACCAAGTGTTAGAGCAATTTCTCTTCACCACTGGCCATCCATTTTCCCCTTGTACCTGTGCTTTGTGTTTCTTCTCTGGGGTGCAAACCCAGACAGCAAGGCAGGGGAAATGGTCTGTTCCCTAAAGCACACTCTCCTCCCTCATCTTTTCCTGGCTTCTCAACCTCCTAGGACAAATTTCTTACATAATCAGAGGACTGGGTTTTTCATACAGCTATGAAGATTAAAGTACAATATCCTGTGTCAAGGAGTTTGACTTTAATATATCCTGGCATAGATGACTGATAGCCTTTCCTGAGAGCAAATGAGGAGAGAGAACGAATACAAGTGACTGCATGAATGAATCAATTACTAAATGAAGGTGCTGAGCACCTGAAGGCAGGCTGGAGAATAGGAAGGACCAGCAAAGTTAGGTGGAGGCTGGGGAAGCCAAGGACTGGCTTCTTCACTGGCATTACAAATTTGGTGCAGAGCAGTTCCAAGCCTTCTTGCCAAACTATTCTTCCATGTCAGTATCGATTCATTGTTTTGAATTCAGTCTCAATCACCTCCCAAGGTGACAGTCCCTGAACCTGGAGTGTGTACTCACTGACATATCACAACTGTGATGGATCAACCGTCTCACGTCTCAAGGTGCCCTTGGATGTTCCACCTAGAAGCTCTGCTTCTGAGATGACACTTACACTAAGCAGTGTTGGGGCCGCCCCTCCCCGTCTGCACAAGACATCTGTAGCCCAGCCCTGCCTTTGCTCTATCTGAGCGCAAATCCACCAGGCCAGGTGCGGCAGTGGAGGTGCCCAGAAGAGCCCAAGTTACTAACTTGAAGGCTGCTACATTTTCCCAAGAACAAAATCACTCTTCATTGCTGAGTCCATATGCAGGTTTTTCTGGTTTAATAATGAGAAAGACAGTCCCACCCCCACACCACCAAATACCCCAAACAAAACCATAGCCCAGGCTTAAAAGGTTCCAGTTGTTCAAGGGATATCTCTCTCTCTCTTTCACAAAAGGAAAACCTTTACTGGTTTTACAAACACAGCATCAGCAGAGGGGCCGGCCTCGTGGGGAAAAGTTCATTTGACTCCTGTGGCACAAGCAACTCTCCCAGAACAGCAGCTTCCAGCACTGAGCTCATACTCCTACCTTCCCCCCATGGAGGGGAGAGGTGCAGGTCAGCCATGAAGGAGGGAGAAAGCTGCTGCAAGGAAGCCTGGGGAAAACTTGGTCCCTGGACCTGGAGGCCACACAGAGTCGAGCCAGGGAGTTGCTCACCCAGCTGCAGGATTTGATCGGGGAAATTCTCAAAGGTTATGCAAAAGAAGAGGCTGTTTTCATACTTTTTATGTATGTATTTCATACAAAATATAGCGGACTCAACTAGTAATTTAAGTGGGACCTTTCTGTGACCTTCCCTGATAGGAGCAGTCTCTACTCAACCACATCTATAATACATCCCCAAGAAGTCAGTGCTTGGCTTCCCCAACCCCCACCTACCTTTGCTGGTCCTTCCTATTTTCCAACCTGCCTTCAGGTGCTCGACACCTTCGTTTATTAATTGATTCATGCATGCAGTCACTTTGTATTTACTCTCTCTCTCTCCTCATTTGTTCTCAGTAAAGGGTATCAGTCATTTATATGAATGGTAATTTGCACATAGGGCAGTCCGGCCTGCTATCTTTGCTAGTCCCTGAAAGGCGTTGCCACATTGGTCTCCCCTGGCCTCTGCCCATGCCATGCTCACTCCTTTCTTTGCCTGGTGTTCCCTCCATTGGGAGCACCCATTCTATTTCTTACCCACCCTTCAAAGTCAGGCTCAAGTTCTTATGGCCTCTCAAAGTCTTTCCTACCTGATTTAACCCATATTAGTCTCCTCTGAGCTCCTCTCATCCGTAAGACCGTGCCACAGAAATATGAACAGGATTCTGTGCTGTCTTGTATTATCTTGTTACTTTCCCCCCAAATAGAGAATAAGCTTCCTGAGGCCAGGTCCCATGCCACATATTCCACGAAGCCCCAAGCAGGGTGCTGAGCCCAGCCCATGGTGGGAGCGGTGGTTGTTCAGGAGTGAGGCAGACTAGCTCTGGGTTCTAGTCCTGGGTGGGTGACCCAGAATCAGTTCTTGCTCTGGGCAGGGGGTGGGGAGGCCACTCCCCACACACATGGAGGAGCACAGTGGGGTTGGGCCAGTGCTCACTGTCCTGGTAAGGGAGCAGTTCCTCTCAGACTTTGGTGAGTGGCAGCACAGCTGCAGGTGGGCCTGGGTGACAGCGACTGTGTGAGCCTGAACAGAGGGTCAGTGCTGTCTAAGGTGGGAGGAAGAAAGTCTTAATGAGGACCCTGACAAAGCAGCATGCAACATGGGCACTGAAACCAACTCTAACAGGGATACTGGATTTCCAAGTGATTTTATCGATGGTTGAAGGCTCAACATCGTGGCTAGCTTATCGTAGAGACCAGACCTCTAATCCCTATGCCAACAAGCTTCCAGTGCTTATGGGAGAGATTAAGTTAGGATTTGTACATTTTCCTGCAGTGGGGCAGGGGGAAGGAATAATTTGTGCCCCTCACTTGGTTGTGAGTGGAAGGAAACGGGACATGGCCTCTGCCATCAAAGTGTTTACCCACTTCTTGAGCAAGTTTCTCACCACATCCTGCTCCCCATATGGGAAAGGAGGGGGCAGGGTGGGGACAGAGTCCCTGATGAGCCAATCCATCAATCTCTCTCTTCCCCAGGGTTCTCATTTTGAGTGGAGTTGAGGTAGAAGAATTCCTTGGGACAAGAACACTTACCGGCCAGGTGCGGTGGCTCAAGCCTGTAATCCCAGCACTTTGGGAGGCCGAGGCGGGCAGATCATGGGGTCAGGAGATCGAGACCATTCTGGCTAACACGGTGAAACCCCGTCTCTACTAAAAATACAAAAAATTAGCCGGGTGCGGTGGCAGGCGCCTGTAGTCCCAGCTACTCGGGAGGCTGAGGCAGGAGAATGGCGTGAACCCAGGAGGCGGAGCTTGCAGTGAGCCGAGATAGCGCCACTGCAGTCCGGCCTGGGCGAAAGAGCGAGACTCTGTCTCAAAAAAAAAAAAAAAGAACATTTACCAATCCTCAGGGTTACTCATTCATTCAAAGTTCATCCATCCACCCATCTACCATGTATCCGGTCAACATTTATTGAATTCCCTCTGAGTAATAAATAGACCCTTTGCCACATGACAGGAGTACAAAGTGAACAGGGCAAGGCCCTGCCTCTCTCAGGCTGCTCACAATCTGGCAAGGGCAACAGAGAGACAAATGGATGCAAGACAGTGTGAAATTGAGATAAGTCCTAAGCCCAGCACGCTGGGGAAGGCTTCACAGGGAAGGACGCCTGGCCTGAGGAATGAGGAGCAGTCTAGGGTCAGAGTGTGAGTGTGTGTGTGTCAGTGTGAGTGTGTGTGTGTGTAAGTGTGAGAGTGTGTGTGAGAATATGAGTGTGTGAGTACGAGTGACTGTATGTGTGTGTATGTGTATGAGTGTGAATGTATATGTGACAGTGTATGAGTGTGTGAGCATGTGTGAGTGTATGTGAGAGTATGATTGTATGAGTATATGTATGTATGTGTGCATGTGTATGTGTGAGTGTAAGAGTGTGTGTGTATATATGTCTGAATATGTATGTGGGTGTGTGTGTGTATATGTGTATGTGTGTGAGAGTGAGTGTATGAGTGTGGGAGTATGCGTGTATGTGAGTATATGAGTGTGTGAGTATATGAGGGTGTATATGAGCATGTGTGAGAATGAGTATATGTGAGTGTGTGTGTGTGTGTGTGTGTGTGAGTGTGTATGTGTACACCACTGCATTCCCTGGGACAGAGGCTCAGTGGCATGACAGAGTGAAGGTGTGAGAAGCCAGGTTTCCCACGGCTGGGCCTGCAGGAGGAGGCTGGCTCTCCCCTCCCTGATGCCAAGGGTTGTCTGATACGTTGTCTCCTAGCTTACAGGAAGCCACAAAGCCATTAAGAAGTGGCAAATTATGATCTGATTGTGTTACTTGTGTCTTGGGCCGCCCCTACTGCGACTGAAAGGAGGGCAGCTGGGAGGAAGACAGTGACCTCAGCAGGGGCTGCTGCAGAAATCTGGGTCACAGAGGGTGGGCCTGAGTCAAGGCTGTGACGGAGGGGATGGGCAGAAGACAGAATCCATAGGTCTTGCAGGCAAGGGGGAGAGAAGGGCAGGAGTTCCCTCAGAGAAGCCAGGAGTAGAGGCTTGCACCCCCACCCCGATGGAGCACACGGCTCACCTCATAAAGGCCTCAACCTCCTGAGCAGCCTGTGCTCCCTGGTGACTGCTTTCTGGCTGTTTGCTCAGACACTGCTGGCTGTGAACTAAACACTCCTAAAATGTTTCTTATACATTGCAGACGTTTTTCTACCTTGAAACACTCGGGTGGTTTAATTTGTTTTCTGAAATAACAAAAGCAATTAGAGTAATTGTCTTCAGAATGGGGCACTCCTAGGGAACAACCTCAACCCCACACAGGAGGCGCCTGGCAGATTCATTCCAGGTTCATAATTTATGGAGCAATTTGCCTGTCCTCTCACAGGCAGGAGCCTCTCAGCAAGGGGAAGGTGTACCAGGCACCAGGTGACTTACTTGGTAGCCTGTTTGTAGCTCCTCTTGCTGGGAAGATGAAAATAAGAGATAGTTACTTCCCACCATGGGGAAGGCTGGGGGAGGCAGGCAGGGGGAGGCCTGCCCACCCAGCACAGGACCTCTGGGCACCAACAAGGGCTCTGTGGGTCTTGTCTTAGTGCCCTGTGGGTGTCCCTGCCCCAGGGCATCGCTCTCCTGGTTTGCAGATGACTCCATCCCACTGAGCTAGAACCAGACCCTGGGTGCCACAGTCCAGGATGGGTGGGAATGATAAGCTGGATGTGGTTTGTGGCTGTCTGTATTTTGGTTCATTTCCAAGACAGGTGATCAGCAGTATTAGGGTGAGTTAAGAATGGAAGAAGGTGACTGTGGCTTCATCTCTTCCTCTGTTTTCTTATGAAGGCCGACTCGAAGTTTCTCTGAGAGAATTACTAGACCTGCCCTCTAAGGCAGAGGAGCCCAAGCCACGGAGCCACTGCCTTTTCTCCCTCTAGCCATGTCAGCATTGTATCAGCAGCACCACCATTCAGGCCGCAGGTCAGCTGCTCAGCAAGCCACACCCCAGCCTAAGGTCCAGGTCCCAGACCTGAGACTCAGTGTGGCAGCACCGGGCAAACTCCCCCAGTTGTTCCTGTGCTGCAACCTCTGCCAAGGGACTTCTGACAGGCAGGCCAGCTATGACCAAGCTCACCTCCAGGACTTTCCAGCTCAGTGCGGGAAACAGACGGCTACCCAACCAACATGCAGAATGACCTATACGTTACACAATAACACACACGAGGGAAGAGCTGAGAGGGTGGAGGGGGTGAGAGATTCCCTACAAGTGCAGGAATCATGAAACTTTCTTGAGAAATAGCATTTAATCCAGGCCCTAAAGGAAGGGCAGTATTTGAAAGGCAGGTATAATTACTCTTAATTGCAAAAACCACAATTACTTTTGCACTGACCTCACAGAAGTCAGTGCATCTCAAGCTGAACAAATGCACAGACATGTGAAAGCAGAAGATGTGTCTGAGAGGGGACTGCTGGTCTCACTTGGCCAGAGGGCAGGAGCCAGAGGAAAGCAGAGGGAGGTAAGGTTAGAAAGACCCCTCAGGACCGGATTGTGAAGAGGCCGAATGGCGATCAAGGTGATAGATTCTCCTCTGTGTGCTGGGAGACCCAATGCCGCCAATTCTGAAGACCGTGGGCTGCATTGGCCAGGGATGCAATGGAGCCAGGAACTCTGTTGGCAAGATCTGCTCAAGGAGAAGAGAACAGTCCAAGAGCTCATAACCAGAGCTGCATTGAGATGTGGCTTTGGGAAAGGGATGAATGACAGATGACCCAGTTTTCCACTTTAAGCAAGTGGGTGAATTTTGGTGCTGTTCCCTGCAGCCAGCATGACTGGAGGAGATGCAGATAGTGTTGGACCTGGCAGAGGGGATGGAACAGCTTTGCTTTGGGCATGTTAAACTGGGAATGCCACATACTAATATTAGAAAGCCAGATGTTTCAAACATTTTAAAAACAAAAGGAGAGGGTTCAAAATGACAGGGTAGGTACATGCATTTCTTTCGCCTGCTGAGACTCAATTACAATGTCTTTAAAAGAGTAAATTACAACAGTAAAGATAGTGGAAGAGGCACCCTTGGTGAGCAAGGGATTTAAGTACATTTCCAGAACATTCACTGGCGCACAGGACAGAGGACACCTCAGTCCACAGCCCACAGCCCAGAACATATGCAGAAGAGGCAGCCGCCGTACAGGGAGCCCACCTCCAAATAACACCTCCCTCAGAGGCACAGTCAAGATAAGGATGGGGAAAAATTGAAGCGCTATATGTGGAAAACTCTCTTATGCAGAAAAAAAAAACAGAAGAATTTTTTGCCTAAAGAAATGGAATCCACAGCCCGCAGAGAACCACGGTGGTTCCTGTGGGTGTTAGCACCTTCCATACTCTGGAAGGGCATTGCGTAGGGGCTGCTCACGTGACACCCAGCTCCCAGCCTGCTCATCCTAAAGTGGAAACTGCCAGCTGACAGGCCCTGCCCTGGAATAAGAGCTTCCAGTCAACCCTTGTGCTGTCCTTACTTCCGTATTGGAGTGGACAACCAAGAATTGCCAGACCCGCAACAGAAAACACACAGAGCAGTACCACAGATGAGCTGAAAACAAACAGATGAACAAACAATGACAGCTGACTAAAAATAAAACCCAAACAGAGATAATCCATGTGACAGAAGAAAACTAAAAGTAAAAGCATAATTCCCAAAGAAAGCCAAACACTGCAAACTAGTATCCTCAGTCGGTTTCAACAAGATGCCACTTCTAGGAATCAGAAAGCAAGAAAGTGTGCTTGAAAATTAAAAGCATGAGTCTTAGGCTGGGCGCAGTGGCTCACGCCTGTAATTGCAGCATTTTGGGACGCTGAGGCAGGCGGATCACCTGGGGTCAGGAGTTTGAGACCAGCCTGGCCAACATGGTGAAACCCCGTCTCTACTAAAAATACAAAACTTAGTCAAGAGTAGTGGCGCGTGCCTGTAATCACAGCTACTCAGGAGGCTGAGGCAGGAGAATCGCTTGAACCCAGGAGGTGGAGGTTGCAGTGAGCCAAGATTGCACCACTGCACTCCAGCCTGGGGAACAAGAGTGAAACTCTGCCTCAAAAATAAAATAAAATAAAATAAAATAAAATAAAATAAAATAAAATAAAATAAAATAAAAATAAATAAATAAAAACATGAGTCTTGAAACAAAAAGTTCAATACTCAGATCAGATGATAAAGCCAAGAGAATTTTCCAGAATATAGAATAAAATATATAGAACAGACACTTTAAGAGAAAAGTAACAGAAAATATTGATACAGGAGGTCTCACATGCAATTAAGATTTTTAGAAAGACAGAAACCTGAGAAGAGGAAGTTGCTTAAGAAAATTATAATTGCTTTTATTTGAGGAAGGATATATGTCTTTAGGCTGAAGGACCCACAAAAGGAACCACAAAGTCAGACACATCATTGCAAAATTTTATAACATCAAGGACATTAATGTTATTTTGTTCATCATGGATTTTTTTGCATTAATTTTGATTTGTAAAATATTGCATTAAAATATTATTTGTTTTAACTACCGCGTCTTTGTGTTGGAGGCACGCACCTCAATTGCCTCACTCTGATCCTCGCCCTGTTTTGTGCCAGGCATAGAAACTGGAGATAAGTGAGTGAATCAGCTTCTACTCTCATGAACCTTAAAGGGTTCATGAAGGGATTGCTCTGGTCCCAATGCTGTGTCCCCCTCAACTCATATGTTGAAATCTTAACCCCCAAGGTGATGGTATTAGGATGTGGGGCCTTTGGGAGGTGATTAGGTCAGGAGAGTGGAATTCTCATGGATGGGATTGGTGCCCTCATAAAAGAGACCCCAGAGAGGCCTCTGCCCCTTCTGCCATGTGAGGACACAGCTGAAAGGTGCCATCTATGAACCAGAAAGTGGGCCCTCACCAGACTCTGACTTGGCCAGTGCTTTGATGTTAGACTTCTCAGCCACCGAAATTTTAAATTTCTGTTGTTTATCAGCTACCCAGGCTATGCGATTTTGTTATAGTAGCCTCAGTGGACTAACACAGGGATGATCCTAATAGCTTCCAGATAGATTAAATGGGTCACCCACAAGGAATAAGGATCAGTCTAGCATTGGACTTTTTACCAATGACACTGCTTGCTTAAAGATGATGCCTTTAAAAGTATGACGGTGTGGTTTTTCTCTCCTGGATACACAGTTAACACTACACTTTTCATCCCCCTTGCTCTAGAGGGGGCCATTCCACTAGGTCTCACATACAGGGTGTGAGTAGAATGATACGTCACCTCTGGGCTGGATCAGTTAAGAGCTGCTGGGCCTTTTCCATGTTCTTTCAAATCTCCCTCTCATCCTTGTCCATAGTGACCTTGGGGGCCACACTATAGAAGGAATCTGGTTTCAGAATTACCGTGTGGAGCAGAGAACTCCTGCACTCCATCAGGGGAATGAGCAGGCTGTGCTGTGAGTATACAATAAACTGTATTATACTACTGATATTTGGGGGTTATATAGCAGTTATACTATCTTGACTATTAGAAGAAAAAATTTCAACCTGGAATTCTATATCCAGCCGATCTGTCAATCAAGTACAAGTACAGAATGAAAGCATTTTCAAATATGTGAGTAATAGAAAGTGGAACTCCTGTGCACACTTTCTCAGGAAATAACATAAGGGTGTACCCCAGAAAAGAGAAAGTGCAAGCCAAGAAAGGAAATTCAGGATAACTTGGGAAGGAGAGTGCGAGCAAAAAGAACATTCTAGATTAGAATAAGAAAAAGAGGCTCCAGAAGAAAGGACTCCATAAAAAACACAACTGATGATAAAAGAAATCATATTAGTGAATGCCTAGAAAATGTGAGGATATGTGGAAGGCAATTGATGGAGGGTAAAAAAGGAGAATTTATTTCAGCCTGATACCAGAAAAGAGTCTTCACTGAATGGCTCAGAGTTGGTATGCTGGATGCATAGAGAACTAAATGAAATACTAGGACATGATTTGACTCTCCAACATTGGCATCTCACAGTCATACTAATGTAAATGCGATTTATTTGTCTTCAACTTTCAGAATCAGCTTATAGACAAATGATAGAAGACCATCCAAATGCTGACATGGCAAGGACATCTTGGTCATCAAGTCTAACCCCAGCCTTGAAAGATGAATACACCAGGGTTTGAACAGGGATGTGATTTTCCCAAGGTCCCTGAGTGTGTAGCAGGGGTTGGAGGGCAATGGCCTTGGTGCCTGTACTCCCAGTCCCACTGTGCCCTGACTCTTGTACTGTTCACCTTGCCTGGACTCACACTCACAAGCCATGGCAGGGGGAGCTCCTGCCCATGACCTTGCTTTCTCAGCAAAGGCTATTGTGACTCCTGCAGGGTTTATCACCTAGTTCCAGTTCTGACACGCCTTCCCCTCCCTGTTTCTTTAGACACTTTTCCTCCCAGTAGGGGCAGCTGTTGATTTCTTCTCTAGAGAAGATAACCTTGCCTGTCCAATGTGTTCTAATCTAGTGCTCTGTTTCTACAGTTTTCAGATGCTATTGGAGAGACTCTGATTTGAAAAGAAAAGAAAAAAAAAATCAATGGTGTGTTTTGTACAGGTGACACGTCAAAGCATGTCAGCTGCTTGGCAGTTTGACTCCTAACCAGCTGGTCTGCAGTATCAGCGACAGGGTAGAATGCTTGGCCCTTTGGTCGTGACTGGACAAAGTGGCTCCTAGCTGCATGCAGTGTGTCCCTCCCATGGTCTGAGATCAGCACCGACCAGTCATGCTTGACCCCGTAACCACTTCGACAGCCATCAGCACACGCTGCAGCACCACACATGCAGTGTGTGGTGAGGGCTGCCCAACTGCTTAGGGGGTCAAGAGGTTATTAGGCCAGACCTCTGCCTCCGCGTCAACACATTACCTACATATGCTTGAATAGAGGAGTCTTCCACATTTGGAATCTCTAAGAAAGGTGTAATAACAGAGATAGAATCTCTAGAGAAATCTTAGGTATTAGTCTGTTCTCATGCTGCTGTGAAGAAATACCTGAGACTGGGTAATTTACAGAGGAAAGAGGTTTAATTCACTCACAGTTTCCCATGGCTAGGGAAGCCTCAGGAAACTTACAATCATGGTAGAAGGCACCTCTTCACAGGGTGGCAGGAGAGACAATGAGTGCAGAGTGAAGAGGAGAAAAGCTCCTTATAAAACCATCAGATCTTGTGCGAACTCACTCACTATCATAAGAACAGCATGGGGGAGCTGCCCCCATAATCTAATCACCTCCCATGAGGTCCCTCCCCCAATACATGGGGATTGCAATTTGAATTACAACTCAAGATGAGATTTTGGGTGGGGACACAGCCAAACCATGTCATCTTGCTACAGGGATGGTATGATCTAACCCACAGTAAAGAAAACAGATTCTAAATCTCACCTCAACTCCGCCTGCTGTATTTTCTTTCCACCTTAGGCTCATCTTCAGGGGGAGCTGAGACATGGGGAGTGCAGCATCTGGGGTGGCCTCTTGCATACAGGTGGTGCCTAATAACCAGGGAATGGGACATTCACACAATCCCTCCATGCCCCAGTTTTTGACCCCTGCATCACCCTCTCTCATCACGTCCTCCACGCATGCTGCCCAAGAATGAACAAACGGGAGACAGGGCCAGGCTCTTGCTGAGAACTGCAAGTGCCAGTGCCCAGCTAGAGAGCACAGCACCCCCCGGAACACAGGTTCAGGCTGGGCATTTTCATCTGTAGCCCCCGTGAAGGAGTGTCCCTAGCTCCATCAGTGCACTGAGAAATGCACAGGCCAGTGGAAAATGCCAGGATTTGCTCATTTCTGTTAATGGTTCTATTCTGTAGCTGTCATTAAAGGCATTCTGTGCTCAAGGATGGGCAAAACTCCATGGCTTTCGTGACTTACAGGCAGGCACTGCAACATTAAGCAGCTACTTGTGAGGAAGAGCCTTCATTTTCTGCTTCCCTACCCTGGCATTAATAAGGAAAGCACATCTAATTGCCAAAAATGGTTGATGCAATGAGAGAAAACTCCGAGCACCAGGGTCAGTGGAAAGGACTGGCTCACCAATGATTACTCTTAAATTATCTCTCCTCTGTCTTAGCAGCTTCCTTTAAACGCAGTAAACAAACAGCAACTGCTTTGCAGTTTTGACTGATAAGTATCTCATGAACGAGGCCCGTAATTTTAATTGATGGCACCCACTTCCTCCCGGTGCTCCCAACACCCATGGGGGAACTCAGCCTCACAGTGTTCGCGGGGAAACCCAAGTCATTCCGTGGCCCCGAAGTCATCCTAATGTTAGGTTCCCAAAGGCTGTCCTCAGCAGAGAGAGAATAAAAAGGAATGCCTCAGCTCATGTGTCACAAGCAGGCTGTGAGCCTCGTGTGCAGCCCAGGCTGGCCCCAGGACATGGCCCGGGCAGGCATTTAAGTATGGGAAGCAGGGGAGCTGGACGTCCGTCACATGTCTCAGTTAGGAACTAAAACTAAGCTTCAGGCTCCTGTTCCCGAGAATTTGCTCCGTCCTGACAAAAACCGCATCAATTTTCCCAGTTAACTACCAATAGGTGGGAGAGAAGGGCACACACCAAAATGTCATTTATAATTTAAAATTCATTATTGAAAAGGGCTCTGCAGTAATAGTTCAACCTCAATCATTTCAAAGATGCTTTCACAAAGGCGGCGTCCGACCGTGGGAACGGGGAGGCCAGGAGGGTTTTCCAGGGCTGCCTTCCCTGTTCCCTGTACCGTGCCTCCCCCTCCCCTGCCACAACCCTCCTGTCAGAAAGCTATTTTATCTCTGGAGAAGTTTTATGCCAGGGATATATGACCAGAATACATGAAGGTCTTTTGAATTTATTTTCAATAGCCCTGCTACTCTCTTCTCTATGAAATATTTAGCACTTAACTCGTTATTTCTGCTGCTGGCAAAGTCTCAGGTGCAGGTGGCTTTGTAGACATGGCAGAATGTCACACCAAGGTAATTGTTTCTCTTTATTTCCTCTAGATAAAGAATAAGTAATAGGCAAGTCGGAATTATCGGGTGGTGCTTCCATCATGAGCTCCTGTGATAACATAAACTGGGAGATTGAATTTGGAGTGGTCTGCATAATCAGCCCTCCCCGCTACTTCAACAATTTGCCTGTGAGTGAATCTGCATTCGTGAGCCACCTCTGCTACCCTGCTCTCACGCGTGTGTGAGAGTTCCTGCCTTCTAGGAGCTCTGAGTGGTGGAACTGGCTTTTAATGTCCACCCTCCAGAGGAGTCTGGGCGAATAAGGCTTATCTTGTGGGGCTCTCTGAGAAGGTGGCAGGAGGGTAAGGTGGGTGAGGGGTGCACAGCAGAAGCAAAGTTCAGGAAAGGAGGAGGACGAGAGAAAAGGAAAGTAGCAGAGGCAAAGAAAGGTGCTGAGGCCAGCAGAAAGGTGTGAAGAGAGAGGCTGCTGGGGCAAAAACGGGCAAAAATGAGATCATCACTCCCGGATAAGAGGCTTGCTGAACAGCTAAACCAAATGGAATCAGTCTCCAAACCTTTGGAGGCTCTGTCATTCAGCTTGAGGCAAATTCCATTAAGCTCAGTTACAAAAAGATGAAGGAACTGGGCGGCTAGTGAGTGCTACATCTTGGGCAACGAGCTTATGGCCCCTCGACCGCCTTGTCTTGTGTATACCACATTGCAGTTTGGTTTTCATGCATGGCTGACATGGGCTTGACATGAACACTGGTCAAGGCCCTCAGTTTAGCAGCACATTGTTATACCAATGCTTTCATAGCTCTCAGGAAAATTTAAGACTGAGAACAAAGTTTGTTCCTCCAATCCCCAGCATTTTAAGCAGGTGTAAATATTCATGCATGATGGGAAAGCTAGTTAGAGAGAAGTTGTTGTGGAGAATGGTTCTGTGAATTTTTTATAGCCTAGCCACTTACCTCCTTGGTAAACTCACACAGAAAAAAAGTGCACAGATGTCAAATTTCCACCTTCACTGACATATGTCCATTCTCTCAGGATAGAGGAGAAATCTCTGTCCATGTCCAACATGTCCTTCTGAGCCCTATTTACCCAACTACAATTCCCCTATTCAAGGGTCAGAGCTTGTCCTTTCTCTGTAGAGTGGACCTCACTGACCCCGAGTCAGTGAGACACTCATTGAGCCATCTTTATATATACATATATGGTGGTCATGGGATCCTTCTTCACCTGAAGAAGGATCAAGCCAATCAGAATGAATCTAACTGACCCACCTAAAGTTTACACCCATGACCTTGGCCTCTTAGGCAAAGTGCCTCAACATCTGGGGGTGGGGCTGCATCTGGCACACAGTACGTCCTCAGTAAATCATTTTCTTATTGAAGACTTTTGTGCCCCTGCAGCCTTATTCTGCTGTCAGCATTTTGCTTAAGAAGCAAGCAAACTAATACTATTGACATGAAGATGTTTACCTACTATTTAGGTTTAAAATTTGGTTTAAAATATGTTTAAATGATTCAATAATTATTAGTGAGTAAAAATCTAGAAAGAAAAAAGAAAAAGAAAAAGCTTAAAATATATTCTTCAAATCTGCAGATAGCTTAGTTGGCTTATACAAATACTACTCTGATTTCTAAAGGAAAGGAGTCAAATTTCTCACAGATAACCAATAAGCAGTTCAGCCATTTTCTCTCTCATTTGCTCTACTATTCTAACAAATTCCATTCTTTTTAGGTCTTTTCAATAGACTACCATTATGTTGGGCATTTACTTTAGGCCTGCTAGTCTGTGTTCAATGATTTTCATACAACTCATTTAATCCTCCTAGCAAACCTATGGAGACAGGGTTTAACTATGTTCCCAATTTACAAATAAGGAAACTGAGGCTGGAGAGCACATGTGGCTTGCCCAAGGCCACCAGAGTTGCATATCAAACAGTGCTGTGTGATTCCCAAAACCCCGCTCTTAATGGACTCAAGTTATTCTCTTCTCAGGAAGACACGGGGGGAAAATGACCCTTTAATGTTTTGTCTGCTTCTCTTCTCTTAGAGAACAACCTGCTGAAATTTTATTTGGTTTGGGCGGCAACTTTTCTGAAAGCATCTTCTTCAAACTTTATCTTCAAAACTCTGCAAAAAATGTTTTTTTTTCTTTTCCTGAGAAGTGCCAATTTTCCAGAGAATTCAGACAGAAATTTGCCCAAATAATTAAATTAATAACTCTGTCTTAGGTACTGAGGCATACCTCTTGTTGGGGACATTTCATGTCACTTTATGCTTCAATTACTGGAAAGTTCCCATTGTCTGGCCAGTGTGGCTTTGACAGCGATGACATCTGAGGGAGACGCCAATCATTAATGCCAGCCATACAAGTATCTCTTCCTGATTTTCACTGTGGTACATATCGTTGTGTGAGTGAGTTTCATTAGGAGGCAAATTATGTTCTTCTACTGAAGGTCCCCATTGAACCAAGAACCACTTTTGATGTTCTTCCAAGATATTACTAATGAAAAATGTGTGGGAATGAGCCACATAACCGATTCCCTGATTTTTTTTCTCTTAATAAAATGTATGCTGCATAAAGCCCACATTGTGGCCCCATTTGGATTTAGGCTCACTCAGCTACCTTCATCTTCACGATTTATGGTGTGGCTATACACACAAACAGTTTAAAAATATCTTGACTGCTCATCTGAAATTCTAACTGTATTGGTGAGCAAGTCGTCTGTCTCTGGACTGCTTCCATAACCCACTCGGGTTCAGACCACAGGAAGGAGCATCCGTAGCTGTGGTAACAGGCGGGGATAAATAATGCATTTTCAGGAGAGAGCCTTATTTTGCTGTAGTTGTTAGAATGCATTCCCCATATTACAGGCTTGCAAATTTAATCTTAATTTCTTCTGTGAGTTTCTCTCTAAGATTCTCCATTGATCCCCTGAGTCAAGAAAATGTGTAGTTTATCATCTGCCTGATCAACAATAGCTGAGTTCCTCCAAGTTGCCTCATCCTTTTCCTTACATCAGATCAGGACAAGATTTTAATTTTTCATGAAGAGTAAAACTGTAGCTTTCTACATGGCCAGATAACTGGGGTAATTTGCTCACACACACGAGTGCAGTTTCTGCTTGGGGCTATTGAGGCCTCTGCGATGACCCGGATTGCTAAATGGAAAGGAGGGTGCCTTGTTAGGCAGGGGTGGCAGAGGGAAGCGAGGAGTCCTTCACTGACCCCACAAAGTATGGAGAGAAGCCGCCCCATCCACAGCAGTGTCTCAGTCCCTAAAGCATACAGATAAAAATGATTTCTCACCTCTCAAATCTTTGCACATTTTCCATGTAAAGTGAAATGTATTTGGATAATTCTTTAAGTAAAATAGAAATGTCTACTGCCGGGGAGAAATTGAGAGAAGTTTAACTAAAATTAAAAAGCAGAAAAATTCTAAAGTCCTTATTATATGTCTCCACATTATCTTATTTGATTTCCTTCCCAGCACTCATCACTACCTAACACTCACCTGCCTTGATTTGCTCACTTACTGCTTGCCTGCATGACAATCCCATGAAGGCGGGGACCATGTGCGTCTTACTTGCTGCAGGGCTCCCAGGGCTGAGCCCAGTGCTGGGCACAAAAAAGGAGTAAATAGGTGTCAGTTTCGACACCTATTTTGAGTGAATCAACCAGAAGGCACCGGCCTGGGCCAGCCAGACTCCACTGATGATGTCTATACCGAGGCCGTAAGACTTCTCTAGGATGCAGTTCTTTTTCCATCTAAAGAGGGTAATACAATAGCCAAAGAGTGGAAGCAACCAAGATGTTCATCAGCCGATGAACGGATGCACAAAATGTGGCACATGTGATGGAATATGATTCAGCAACCAAAAGACATGCAACAACATGGAAGAACCTCAAGAACACTGTGCCCAGTGGAGAAAGTCAGAAACAAAGTGACACATTGTGTATGAGTCCATGTGAGACATGCCCAGAGGAGGCAAGAGTACAGTGACAAAAAGTGAGTTAGGGGTTGCCTAGGGCTGGGGTGGGCATGGGGGTGCCTGGATATCGGCATCAAGTTTCTTTTGCAGGTGATGAAAATGTTCTAAAATTAGATTGTAGTGACAAACTAATTTTAGAAAATTCTGCAAACAGACCAAAAATCATTGACTTGTACATAAAATGGATCAGTTTTCTGGCATGTAAATTATATCCCAATAAAGCTGTTAGAAAATGAAATACTATGTTAATGCCATGAGTTTTTGAGTTTTTTTCCTGTGGTCTTTGGGAAATGCACAGCAGTGTGGCTAATGTGTCTTTTATCTGCTTAAACAAAATAAATTGAATAAAAACTCCAAAAAATTAGAAAAGACGGGGACACTCTACCCTCCCTATAAGGATCCAATGGGACAATGTTTGTGACAGGACCTAACACCGAATGCAAGGGAGAAAGGCAGATGTGGACCCCAGGCGAAGTTGACCCTGCTGGTCATACCACCCCCGCATGCAGTAGGCAGATGGGGAGGGACTCACAGGCTGGAGCCAGACTGCCTGGGTTCAAATCTCAGCTCCACCACTAACTGGCCTGATGCCCTTGGGCAAATTACTTCACCTCTGTAAGCCTCCGTTTCCTCATCTGCAAAATCGGGACCATAATATTAACCTTTCACCATGAGACCTGTACCTGGTGCAGAATAAGCCATATGTAAATATTTGCCATTACTACTATTTGAGTTTCTCGCAGAAACCGAGGCACTTAAAATACCACCAAAGTGCTTCATGGTCATCCTGCGGCACTGAAGGTGAGAGGTGTGGGTATAAGAGACCTCTGGAATAGCACACATGGCTTTCAAAGTCACCAAGGTTTTGCCTAAGGGGACATTCTCTGATTCAACCCCAGCCACTCCTTGTCCTGGTTATACCTGGCTTGGATCAACGTGAAGCCGGTTCTACTTGTGGGCCCAGCTCCTGGAGAGAGGGTGACAGAGCCCTGGTATGGACGCGGTGGGAGCCAGGATCTCCTCTGCCTCAATGTTTTCCACTGTATTCTCCCCAGCGAGGCCTCTGGGCAGTCCCCTTGCAATCTAACATCTAGACCTTAAACCTCTGCTCCGGATGCTGCCACCCCAGCTGAATAACCTTCTTCATGATCCTGAAGAAATGCTTTAGTGGATGATAGTTCTTCTGTTTCTCTGGGAAGTGGAAACTTGATTTTTAAATGAGATTTCTCCCTAAGGCTTCACCTACCTTTCAGCAAAACTTCCAAGAAAAGAGCAGCTCCCGACACCAAACAGCAGGTGCCGCACATCACATTTACGGCCCCGTGTGTGGAGGAAGGCAGGCCAGCCCATGACATAGCAGCGGTCCGAGTAACCCGCTGGGTTCCAGTGGAACCCAGGCTGGAAGGGACCGTGGCTGTTGGCCTAATAAGCCCTAACAAGCTAGCCTGCCAGGGGCTGTGCACTGCGCTGTTTACCAAGGATGTCCTGAGGTCAGTACATGTGACTCCATGAGCAGTGAGCATGTTGCTCTCTGGCCTTGAGATGTTTAACTCTTGGTTGGCGTTAATCTGGATTGCAAGTTTTATTTCTGAGACTGATCATTCAAGAGCTATCAAGCATTGGTCAGGCACGGTGGTTCACATCTGTAATCCCAGCACTTGGGGAGGCTGAGGTGGGTGGATCACTTGAGGCCAGGAGTTTGAGACCAGCCTGGCCAACATGGCAAAACACCTATCTGTACTAAAAATACAAAAATTAGGTGGGCATGGTGGCACACACCTATAGTTCCAGATACTTGAGAGGCTGAGGCAGGAGAATCACTTGAGCCTGGGAAGCAGAGGTTGCAGTGAGCCAAGATTGCGCCCCTGCACTCCAGCCCGGGTGACAGAGTGAGACTGTCTCAAAAAAAAAAAAAAAAAAAAAGCTATTAAGCTTTTTTAAGGGAACTCATCACAGGTAGTCAGCTGCTCAGCTTGAAAGAACATTCTATTTATTTGTACATTCAATAAATGTTTATTGAGTGCTCACTATGTGCCAGGCTCTGGACCACTGTCTGGGTTCACAAGGGTGAACAAGTCAGACATAGACCCTACCTACATGGAGCTTACAGTCTGATGAAGAAGCCAACAGAGCAACCCGGAATTGACCAATTGACCTGTCATCAAAAGGAAGAGGTCTGCTGCTGGGACAGCAGCTCAAGTGCAGTCATAATAAAAAGGGCTGTAAATCTCCAATGCCTCTCTGTGCCATCTAAGGCATTCATACCCCAACAAAAACCATGAGAATAGGCAGAAAGTGCTGGGTCCAAGCTTTGGGGAATTTATCTTGAGAAGGAGGGAAGGAGCAAAGGAAGCTGCCACCAACATGGAAAAGGAAAACATCTGAAGATGAACTGTGCTGCGGTCTGGCGATGTCTGCCTGCAGATGCAGTGCCAGTTTCACTAACAGCTAATGCAAACTGATGCAAAAACGTCCATATTGCAAAGGAAAAGTGGAATCCCAAGACTGTTGATGGAATCTGCTCAGTATGGAAGGAAATGCCATGCAAATGTGTGTTTGAAAGATAATCAGGAAGCCAGACTGCAATGCCAAGAAAAATAAACCCAGTCTGATAATCCAGACTATCCTGGGCCAAAGAGCCAGATCTGAGCATTGCACAGGTTTCTGGCTGGCACTACCCTAGCATCAATGCTGCAGAGCAACATTTACTACAAGCAACTGAAACAATAGGAGAATCTGTTAAAAATAATCAGGCTCCCATGAAACATAACTGGCAAGGGTAGGGGCTGCCCAGAGGTTAGTCTGGGCTCAGCCATGGTTGTTGCAGGCCCTCAAGAGTTCACAGAAATGGACTGCTTCCAGAGAATGCTGTAGGGCTTACAGAGGCTGACCCCTCACCTTGCCCATGGTGCACTTCTCCCTGCCAGAGAACTAGCCAGGCCACCCACAGCACAGCCTCACAGCTCCACAGCAGAAACAGACGCCAGGGGCCCCAGCTATGGTGAGAGTGAGCAGGTGGCAGGGGCTGTCTCACCACAGCACATGGCTTGCAGGGTGTGCAGGTAAGGAGAAGGTGTTGGTATGCACGAGAGTGGGGATCCCAAGGCCTCCCAGGGAGGGCAGGGGCTCTGAGATCCCTCAGCTGTACAAATTGGCAGGAGGGAACTTCAGAGCAAGCCTACAGGGAAGCTCTGCATTTCCTGGGAATGATGACTCCTGGGCCCCTTGCTGATAATCCAGACTACCCTGGGCCAAAGAGCCAGGCCTGAGCATTGAAAAGGAACTTGCAGGCTGTCATGGACCAAAGCCACCTATGGAGAATGATATGGTTTGGCTGTGTCCCCACCCAAATCTCATCTTGAATTGTAGCTACCATCATCCTATGTGTCGTGGGAGGGACCCAGTGGGAGGTAACTGAATCATGGGGGCAGGTTTTTCCCATGCTGTTCTCATGATAGTGAATAAGACTTATATGAGATCTGATGGTTTTATAAAGGGCAGTTCCCCTGCACAAACTCTTGCCTGCCACCATGTAAGATGTGCCTTTGCTCCTCCTTCACCTCCCACCATGACTGTGAGCCCTCCCCAGCCATGTGGAACTAAGAGTCCATTAAATCTCTTTTTCTTTGTAAATTGCCCAGTCTTGGGTATTTCTTCATAGCAATAAGAAAATGAACTAATACAGAGATAGCACAAATGCCCAGCAAAGGGCATGTGACAGAAGGCCGGCCTTGTTCAGGGATGCAAGTGTACATGCCCCTACATGTGTGTGGACTGCAGAAGCCCATTCCTAGCACCCATCCCAATAAAAGGGCTAGGATAAGCTGGCTGGGGCTCTGACTGGACCCTCTTTAAAGCCTGACCATTTAAGCGCACTCCAGTCCCCCGTGGATGGGCTAGTTATCATCTATTCTTTCATCACAGTTTACCCTCTGACACTGGCTTCAGAGTTGCCTCATTATTTAGCCTGGAGGCCAAGGCCAGGTCATGATCCAGCCTTTTCCTTTTGGTGCTTCGGAGCTTCTCATGATAAGTCTTTGTGTTTCAGTAAGGCACAGGCGGGACATGGTAGTGGGAGACATCAGTAGGTCTCCAGGGCAGGTAGGGGCCTCTGGGTAGGGGCAGAACATGCTCAGCAGGAAATAAAATCCTTTCCTGCTGCCAGTTCTGTTATACAGCTCCCAGGCTGCCTCCTTGGCTCTCACCCAGGGCAAGGCCTTGCCCAGCATTCTGCACTACAGAGGTGCTGGCTATAAAGGCTTTCCTGTCTGTGGCTCCTCCCTGCAGCCTGCCAGGCCTCCAAGCGAGAATGTCCACTCCTGCTGTCTTTCTCTGGACTCTTCTCTCCCTACCCCCACCTCAAATCTCCAGCTCTCCTCATCCTGGCTCCAGCCACCTGGCTGCCTTTCACTTCCTTCTACCTTCCTCCACATACACCTCTGCCTAAGTAGGAGGTCCATATAGATTCTCTCTCCCTGGGTGTGGCACCTTCTCTGCTGTACAGCAAATTGGGCAATGTCCTCCTCTCCCAGGCATGGACTCCTGAAGCAAACGGAAGGCCCTGCACAAGTGGCACCATCATCATCTCTGAGCCCTCTCTTTGCAGAACATTGAAATGGAGGAAGAAAAAAGCTTTAAGCAGCATTTCATTGAAAGGCTTCTCACACAGAACTTTGACGATGACACTGGGAGAGGCTACTTATAAAAATAAAACTTTTTAAGAAATAGAGTTTTTCTTCACTCGGTTTTCTTAAACCAAGATTTAAGAAATCTCGGTTTTCTTCAGTAGCCCAGGAGGAAGGAAGAATAGAAGATATCTACTAGCCCACATGAGAGAAAAGCTTTATTCTCTTACATTTACAAGAATCATCATGTGTCAAAGAGAAATATGCTATTCTATAAGGTTTAAAACAGGTCATCTTAGAATTCTCATCCTGCCTTTGCCAAAACATAAAGAGAATTTCTCCTGCTTTCTAGACCTCCACTGCTGTATCTGCACTTGGTGGAAGCCCTTTCTACACGCTGCTCAGCAACATGGTCTCTATCGTCTCTTAAGTAACAACATAACACAGTGAAAAGAGCCTAGTGTCAGCGGTCAGGGTCAGGACACTTGAAATGTAGCCACACTTCTGCAACCGATGTCAGTGTGAGGGCTTCATATTCCCCTTCTGTAAAATGGGGATTCCTTCCTTCTTACTTTGCATAGGTGTCATAGAATTAGTTGAGATCGTGAATGTGACAGCTCAGAGCTTTCTAAATGTAAGCACCTTGTATTTATTAGGTAACAGTTCTTATTATTGCTGCAGGGAAAGGTGCCATGCAGTTCAGAATCAAGCTCAATTCAGGCATGGTTTGAAGGGTAACTTCAGCCAAAGAACTTTCTAGCTCTTCTCCTTTTTCTTTGTCAAGGATTTTAAAACATTAATATTACCCTTGACAGTAACCATAAATTTTGGTTTAAAAATGAAATGTGTCTGCCCCAGGTAGTGCCATTTCTCTGTCCAGAAAATAATTTCATGAGACATTCTAAGAGTTTCTTTCAATGGCCACAAAGAGGACACTTCAGCAGCCGCTGCTGTAGGAAAATTTGTTCTCTTAAGCATGTGCTTCTGAACAACCAAGGAGGCAGAGTTCACATTCACAGCCAGCTCTTGGGAGCAGATGCTGAAGAATATCTGCCTGGAGACTCACAGAGAAAGCAGGAGGGAACCCTTTATGGGCAGGTAATGGCGCAGCTTCCCATGCAGGCAGACCTTGCTGGTTCAGGCTAATTGGGAGGACAGCCAGCCTGTGTTGGCAACAGCTGAATTTGGGAACATTGAAAGTGAAAAGTAATTTAATTTCAGTACATGCAGCAACTCAAATTAGGCTAAGGAAGCATGGCCAGGACTTGCTGCTCAGCAGAGGTCCTTTAAACCCACTTTAAGAGAGGTAAATGATTTATAATCAGCACATTCCAAGCAAATATGCAAATAGCAGGAGCCATTGCAGCTGCAAACAAGCTGCGGTCCTAAGTGGGCTGGCAGGGCAGGCAGGAGGCACTCCTTCAGGCTGCAGCAACGTTCGGGTCCTCGGCAAGCACTCTGGCCCTGGAAAACTCAGCCCAGCTGCTGGCTAAAGAGTCAAATACTGTACAGGACCAGGGCTGAGTTGCTGAGGTTTGCCTCGAGTGCCTGGGAGCATCTTACCCACTGTACATGGACATGTTTTGTTCCTGATCCACAGTTATCTGACACATTACTTGTCACAGTGGGCTTCTTCCAGAAAACAAACTCTCCTTCAAGTGGCAAATCCCAATTTTCTCCAGTTCGGGACTATGGAGCCTGTCTTCCCATTGGTAAATGGGCATATTCCCAAGGGAGCAGGAAGTACAAAGGCCCAGCTCCTGGGGGAATGGCACTCACGGTGAGAATGGCTCACACTCATGAACATGTGGCCTTCATGCGACCATCGGTAAAAACACGGGCTCATGGAGGAGAATAAGCAAGGTGTGGGCAGAGGCGCCTGAGAGACAGAGACAGGATTGGGGGAAGGAAGGAGAGAGAGATCGGGAGCAAGAGACTGACACACACAGACACACTACGAGAGTATCAGAGAGAGACGTAAAGAGGAGGACAGGGTACGAGGGGCGGGGAGAAACAGAGACCAAGAGAGGGCAAGGAAGAGAGATACACAGAGACAGTGAGAGACTGAAGGAGAGTGATGAAGAGCGGGAGGGAGAGGAGGGGAGAGACAGGTTGGGGGAGAGGAAGAAAGAAAGAGAGACGGCAGAGGAGGGGGGATTGATTTCTCTGAGGAACAGGAGAAAGGGACATAATTGCAGCAGGCGTTCCCTCTCCTGTTCTGTCCTTCATTTTCTTTAAAACTAGCTTAATCATCAACCACATCTGAAAGCGCATTTGAGGAGATAAGTTGAAGAAAAACGTGTTTCCCTATGAAAAATCCATCACCCGACACAAGCTACTCTCATCTCTTGTGCTAAGAAAGCCAAAACAACCCTGGTGACCCTTTACAGTTGTGTTACTGCAAAAACCTAGAAACGGCCCCCTCTTCACCCTGCCAAACCCCAGCTCCTGGTCTGAAGTGATGGTCTCACAGGGGTCAGTGATCCCAGAGCAGGAGCTGGCGGTGGGTGGGCGGAGCAGAAGGAACTTTGAACCACACCTTCTTAGGCACAAACATACATATTGAAGCGCCACAAAACAGAGCAAAGTAGTGTTATCCCTGTTTGACCTATGAGGAAATTGAGGCCCAGAGAGGATAACTTGCTCAAAGTTATGCAGCCAGTAGGGGAGAATCCGGGTCCCACCTGACATGTGACACTGGCAGGAGGCCCCTGACCCTGGCTTCTGAGAACTGCACACCCTTACAGCACACAGCTTTGCCATGGAGTGCCACTTACTTATATTACCCTTGCCAGCAGCTGTATCTGGGGGTAGTGGGTCTGATTCTGGAATCCCATACACCAATGAACTGCATAGAAGGACCCTGTGAGCACATTGCTCAAGAGGACGCTCTGATGTAGGCATTTTCCTCTCTGAGCACGTGGAAGGCCTGACACAGAGCTCCTGGTCTCACTGCCCAAGTCATGCCCTTACATCTCCCTGCACTTGGCACGTGGCTCTGCACTCCTCCCAGGGTGACTGGGTTCAGGATGATCACACACAGCAAAGAGAAGGTGCCTGTGACGTATGTTGCTGCTTGATATTCACTTCCTTCTGCAATCTGAGCTGTCACCATCTTTCCTTGCAGATGATGGAGCATGAGCCACTCTGAGGTTCAGCATCACTCACAAAGTCCCTGCATGTGCAATGGCAGAGTCCTTGTCTTGGTGAACTGTTCTGCTGTTCATCAATCTCTGTGACCTCAGGTGAGCTCCTGCCTCTGAGCCTCAGGCTTTCATTTATTAAATGTAGAAGCTGTACCCCATAGGGTTGTTGCCAGTGTCTCCCAAGTTGATGTACATTTCAGCACGGTGCCTAGTTGATGACGAGTCCTCTCTCAGTAAAGGAGGGTTGGCCATGGAAAGCTTCTCCCTATGCAGGTGCTTCTCCCTGTACAGGTGTGGCCAGGGACTGTGTTCACCTCACCATCTCAGGATGGTGCTGACCACCCCCAGCAACTGCCCCACTGAGCTCATTTCCAGCCCTCCACTGAGCCACAGCTAAGGACTAGCATGAGCACTTCGTGACTGTCTCTGAGCTACTTAAAATCCTGCAGACACCGGGTCTGGCTCTAACTCTGCTGCTGAGGACACTTGGGCAAATCTCCCCACTGGTGTGGGCCTCAGTTTTGCCATCTTTAGAACCAAGCGTAGATCATCAGGTCTGAAAGAGACCAACCAGTCAAACACCAGCCTTTTGCAGATGGGAAAACTGGCATTCAAAGAGGGAAGTGCTCACTACTAATACAAAGATAGTGAAGGAAATAGAATTCAGACCTCTTCCTGAACAGCTGATGCTTTAAAGGACTGGAGCTAATTTGAATATCTGCTACCATATACACATATGGTTTTTAACTGGCATTTTATAATTTTGATTTTTGCTGATATAATTATCCTGCATTGTTTAGGATTATTTTAAAAAAGAAAAGCCAAGATAGCTAAGATAATCTTTGCGACGAGCTCTCTTTTTTTGAGATGGAGTCTCACCCTGTTGCCCAGGCTGGAGTGCAGTGGCACAATCTCTGCTCACTGCAACCTCTGCCTGCTGGGTTCAAGCGATTCTCATGTCTCAGCCTCCTGAGTAGCTGGAATTACGGGTACCCACCACCACATCCAGCTAATTTTTATATTTTGGTAGAGATGTGGTTTCGCCATGTTGGCCAGGCTGGTTTCTAACTCCTGACCTCAAGTGATCTGCCCACCGCGGCCTCCCAAAGTGCTGAGATTACAGGCGTGAGCCACTGCACCCAGCCAAGCTCTCTTTTTATGGTAAGAAATCTACACAGATTGATGACGGGACATGTCCTTTCATGTGTAGGGTAGAAATCATGTTTATCTCTAGATGAGAAATATGCTATTAAAAATGTAGATTTGGAAGTAAATTCCCAAACCATTGTCAATTTTTATTCTTGAGGAAAATGAAAACATAGTAGTAAGAGCTTCTGTGGGATGGGAGTGGGTATGGGGGTGTTGGCTGCAAATGAGCCATGAGTGCTTCAGAGGGCCACCCTCACCCCAATCTCATGGGCCCCATGATGCCCCTCACCCCTCCCACTGCCTCTAGATAACTAATCCTACTCTCTGGCATCTGGAGACTGCCCGTGAGAGATTCACAGAGCCTGAAAACTCCAAAGCTCCTGCTGTAGGACCTATCCAAAAGGCCATCTTGTCAACCCCCCATTGGACAGAGGGTAGGGGTACTGAGAGGGGCCAGGTAGCAGGGGTTAAATGAGCACAATCAATGCTATTAGATGGTTGACTCCTCCTTCCTCTGGGTCCTATCCTGGCACGGGGTGCCACTACTAATCAGGCCCAGAAGCATCCAAAATTCTTAAGATAAATACCAAACTCTGGACCTCTGAAGTGATAGGGCAGACCCTCTGGAGAACCCGTTTCTCGGCTAACCTTCTGTGGGGCATCTGCCTGGCCTAGTCCACTGCAGAAACCTGGTTCCTGTTCAGAGATGTTCATTGCACTGAGTGTTGGGATGGGGCCAAGTGTCATGAGAGGCGAGGAAGAACTCAGTCAGCTAAATAATGTAATAATCCTACACATGTGGCAGTATATGCAAGTGACTTCCATTGCCACCACCTAAAGTAGCACAGAGGGCCTCCATTTCTCTTTTCTTTTTTTTCTGTCACATGTCTATCCCAGGGGCTTCCATTTTTCAAGTGAGAAATGCTAGAATGCCTTTGAGGTACTATCTAGAAGGTTCTGCTAGCAGATATCGCCTGTAACATTCAGGAGAACTTGGGGCTAAGACTCTCAAAATATTCTTAAGAAGACATGCAAAGAGCCAGGCTCAGGGACCAATGCCAGTTCTGGTGGAGGAAAGTTCCCTTTTAGCACATAGACAGCACACTGAGCTGTCTGAGCAATGGATACATAGTATGTCACCCCCAAAATAGCCCCAGCTTCTCCACTCCATGTTGACCAAGAGAGCTCCTTGGCTCTACCTGTAGGGCCCTGATGCCCTCCCTAGGTGGTGACAAAAGACAAGGAGACACTTATCACTGACATTTGAACAGATGCCCATGAACATTAGTGAGATCAAAGGCTTACCTCTAGCCCTGAAAGCCAGCCTCCAGCCTGAAACCAGTGACATCATCTCCTACAACTGCAACCAGTGACATCATCTCCTACAACTCGTTCCTTTTGCCAGGAAATACCTGTTTCTATGCTAACCTTGACTGCCAGGAAACATCTCATTCCAGGTTCTCAGTACAGGACATTCTCCTCTTTGTCAAATCAGTTTCTTGCCTTTATAAACTTAATTTTACCTGCTCTGGTTTACATGTATTTTCCTCATAAGTCTCCCATCTTTGCCTCATTGTTTTTTTTTTTTTAAATCTGCAGGGTGCCATGAAAAATGCCGGAATGTCCTACAATAGAAGTGTTTTGTTCAGGTGTCACAGAGTACTAGTAGCTGTGTGGTGAAATTAATAACAAACTGATCTACTTCTTAGGTCATTTTGACCTTTGAGTGAATTAAAACATAATTCACATAGAACAGTCTCTGGCACATAAGCGTTTACTGCCAGTCTTGTCAGAGTTTGACAATTTTAAAAGTTTTTTTTTTTTTTCCAGGGGGCCAGATTTTGATTTTCTTGATCCTCACTATTGCTTCTTTATTTTCTATTAAGGCACGCTCTTTTCTTTATTATTTTTAAAGTTTGAGATGAACTACTGGCTCTAATTTTCTAAAATTATACTGAAGGCTATAACTTTTCCTCCAAGTATTGCTTTAGCAGCATCCTATATACTTGAATATGTAGTGAATTCATTATTGCTTGCTTCTAAACTTTCAGCGATTTCAGTTAGGACCTATTCTCTGATCCTTGAGTTATTTCAAAATATGTTTTTAAGTTTCCAAGTGTATGGGTTTGTAGTGGGCTTTTTATTAATTTATGATTTTGGTGCAAATTAGTTAAGGAATATGGCCTATCAATTAGTTGGTATTTGTTAAAACTTGTTTTGTGGCCAAGAATGTGGCTAATTTTTGTATTGTGCATGCAAAGAATGTGTATTAGGTGTGGAGTTTTACATATAATGAATGGATTAATCTTATTAGTCATCATTTTCAAATATCCAGTTTTTATTGAGTATACACGGACACAAAGAAAGGAACAATAGACACCAGAGCCTACTTGAGGGTGGAGTTCAGATGAAAGGAGTGTAAGGACTGAAAAACAACTATCTTTACTATGCTGTTTACCTGGGTGACAAAATTATCTGTACACCAAAACCCTGCAACATGCAGTTTACCCACATAACAAACCTGCACATGTACCTCTGAACCTAAAATAAAAATTGGAAAGAAAAAAAAATTGTTTTTAATAAATTTTTGTTTGCTTGACATCATTTTATAAAAATATGTGTCACAATATCCCATTATTGTAGATTGTAAATTTGTCGATGTTATTGTATAAGTTCCTAGGCTTTGCATTATGTCTGTTTAGGAGCTGTGTTAAGTGCATATAGGTTTATGATTATTATGTGTTCCCAGTGAATTGTTTCTTTTGTCACTGTGCAGTAAACCCAATAATGCTTTTGTGCCTTAAACAATACTTTGATATTAATGTTACTACAAACAATTTTTTCTTTTTTTTTTTTTTTTGAGACGGAGTCTCACTCTGCTGCCCAGGCTGGAGTGCAGTGGAACTATCTCGGCTCACTGCAAGCTCCACCTCCCAGGTTCATGCCATTCTCCTGCTTCAGCCTCCAGAGTAGCTGGGACTACAGGCGCCCGCCACCACGCCTGGCTAATTTTTTTGTATTTTTTTAGTAGAGACAGGGTTTCACCATGTTAACCAGGATGGTCTCAATCTCCTGACCTCGTGATCCACCCACCTCGGCCTCCCAAAGTGCTGGGATTACAGGCATGAGCCACTGCGCCTGGCCTAATTTTTTCTTTTAGTATTTGTTAGCATATATTTTCAATTAATTTCATTTCAAATTTTGTGCCATTATATTTAGACATGATCTTTGTAAATAGCACATCCGTGTATTTTAAAAATTCAATCTGAAAATTGCTATTGACTAACAGATAAATCCAATCCACTAAAACATATTACTGATATATTCAGTTTTTGCCAACTTAATTTGAGTATTTATTTAATATTATTTTTATTGCTATATATTATTACCACTTATGATGCCTTTACTTTGCTTCATTTTGTCTACTTCTCTGCTGTCTACTGAACTGCAATCTACTGAGCTGTCTGAATGTTATTTATCCAACTCTTTTTTTCCAGACTCTTCTGTTAGAGGTTATATTCTATTTCTTTTCTTTTACAGGTTACCCTTAAATTTTCAATATACATTCTGACTTAACGCCTAAAGTTTTTTAAGGCCTAGTATCTTCTCAAATAACACAAGAAGCATAAAATTCTTTAGTACTGACCATCATCACCATCTCTTGTTTCATATTTTAAATGACCCCAAATTAGTCATTTTATTATCAATGCTTTTCTTCAGTCAACACTTACTTATAATTATGCCTATGTTTTTGCCTATTCCCTTTCTCACTAGCAATTATTGTATTACATTATTTTCTTCTGGGGTCAATTGCCTTCCTCCTAAAGTATATATACCTTTAGTTCTTTCAGTAAGAGTTTATGTAACCTCTTCAGTAACCTCTTAAATCTTTATCAGAGAGTATCTTTGCCCTTCACTCTCAAACAGAATTCTAAGTTGACTATTTTACCTCATTGTTTAGAAGATATTATTCAATTGCCTTCTGGCTTCCATTGTTGCTAATGAAGTTTGCAATTAGAAATTGTTCCTTTGCAGAGAATCTTTTTTTCTTCTTTGGTCACTTTTTATCTTTGGTATTCTGCAGATCATTGTAACATAATTTGTATTTATACTGTTCATGATTTGGAGTGCTGCTTTTATCTAGGCATTTATATCTTTAAAAAAATTTTGGAAAAGGTCTAGCTATTATCATTTCCAGTGTTTCTTCTCCCTCACTTCCTCTACGCTTTTCTTATAGACTACCCTACTTGTTCTTCAAAACTCTTAATAATATCTTTTAACAATATTTCTTAATATTTCAATATCTTAATATTTTCTCTTAATATCTGTTTTATATTTTCTATCTTTGTGTCTCTCTGAGCTCTTTCCTGAGTAATTTCAGAGCTATCTTCCTGTTCAACAATTCTCTCTTCAGCTGTACCTAATATGTTTTTAAATCATTTATTGTATTATTAATTTAAATAATGTTAATTTCTAGAAATTCTACTTTTCCAAATTTGCTTGTTTTTCCCCTACAATTCCTTCTTTATAATTCTCTTCTTTTTATTATTCTAATAATTTCAAACATAGATTTTTAAATAGTTACTTTTACATTGTGTTTTATTACGTGAAGATTCTGAAGGAGCTAACCCCAGTGTGTGAGTCTGGGGTTAACTCTTCCCGATGGCAAATTAGTTCCTTATGATCTGCAATTTTATGTTGTAGGTTGAGATTTTCTTTTTCCCATCGGCATCCTGTATATTCTGGTGTGGAGATTGTCCTTTATAATGGGTTTGCATGTATTTCTCTAGGAGCTCTAGTGGTTTTACTGATCTGGGACCTATCTTTAAGTTTATTTCTAGGTTTAGAATTTCTGTAACGTGTAAGTAGTGTAAATTCAATGTGGTTCAAAGTCTAGGCAGACCACAAGCTACTTGCCACATTCCTTGACCATTAGGTAAAATTTTCTTAGTCCCCATTTTCACAGAGAGGGCAGTCCTCCCAGGTCTCAGCCTTAAGTAGAATCCTTTCTGTATTGTGCAGGCCCAAAGTACACTTGCTGTCCTGGGATGGAGATAAAAGCCTTTGCCACTAGCCCTGAGGTGGCCCGTGCTGGGTCTGACGCTGCCCCCTCAAACCTCAGGGTGCCATGACATTGGCTTGCTCACTCGTCACTGCCTTTGAGAGTGGTTTGTTCATTTTTGTACCTAGAAATTTCTCTAACCTTCAAGTCCAGTCATATATTTAGAAAAATAAACATTTTCCCCAGTAATATTTTATTTTCTATATGTTTGGATTGAGGAGAATGGAGGGGTCCAGGGTCAACTCAGATCGTCCTTCTGCCGGATATTGAACCTTCTAGCCCCTTTCTTCAATATTTATTTTCTTCTGAGACAGAAACCAGCCCCCAGCCAATCACTGCTTCAGACTACACAAGGTTATGAGAAAGAAATCCCAATAGTGAATTACAGAGCTTCAGCATGTGTAAAAACAATAGCATATTTACTATGTGCCAGAAACTGTTTTAAGCACTTTAGCCATACTAAGATATCTGGTTCCTATGACAGCCCTGTGAGGTAGGTATTATTATCCATTTTACAGTTATGGATACTGAGGAACAGAGAAGTTAAACACACCTACTGCGTGCTTAATAACATGTAAACCACAGCAGAAAGAAAAAAGAAAAGGAAGAGATTTCCACTTCCCCTGGAATCTGGGATGATAGAGGACTTCATGTGTGATGGTTTTGCAACTTTTACCTGCCACTGGGGCCTTAACACTATGTTATCCTGCCTAAGATGATACTTGTGATATCTTTTTTTTTTTTTTTTACAACACTGTGTTGTATGAATGTGTAATTTAATTTCCTTAAAAGCTTTCCAAGTCTAGCATCACACAGGAGTGAGCTCACTGAATCACTGGTGTTGTTACTAATGTCCCCAGCAGACATTAACACAAACGGAGTCCTGCGCTGAAAGCACATTTTCAGGCATTTTTGGATATCCTGCCACCACAGAATACACTGAGAGGCAGTAATTTTTGAAGATAAAATGTTCAACAACTGCGTCTTTTGACCTTCTGGGATTCCTATCATAGGTTTTGATCAACTTAGTCTGAATTCCATGGGGCTAAACTGTATGTGAGAAAATGTGAAATCCTGATATCCCTTTGAAGAGTATGACCTGGTTTATGTGCACATTTATTTCAATATGACATTTAACAGAAGAGGGCCTGTGGCCCGGGTGTGCTGAGGAAACCCCGCTCCTGAGACTCTCACCTTGAGCACATCCCTCTGGCACACAGAGGGGCACCGGCTTGCATTTTAAGGCATCTTATGCAAATGTTTTTATCAACATGGAAAGTGAACTGTGTGTTTTCCTTCCTCTCAATCCTGGAACTGTAGGTTACGTTTAGTAAATATTTTGACTGGTGAGGCTGTAAACAACTGTCTCCATTCTGAGGCAGAAAAGCAAACATATCCATGTTGAATCAACAAAGCGGATGGGATGTCTCATGTCTTGTCCCATAGCATCCTGACAGGAATCCATCCGGGGAAACGAGCAGCCAGAAACATTTGTGAGAAGGATCCACACACATGCTAGCCCACTTACACACCGGTTGGGAATGAGGGATTGTAGCCAGTATGAGAGATGGGAGAATCGTGCTATTAATGAGCAAGGCCAAAACTCGACCAGGCCTCTGCGGGGAAGGGCTGGGTGGATAAGTGGGTAACTCTGAGCTCAGAGAAACTCTGCAACTCATCTCCAGGCCACTCACTGTGATTGCTGGAGAAAGGAGCAAGGATCCCACGATGTGGCAGGCACACCCAGGAGGCAGCTGTTCTAACAGTGGAAGAAGTAAGTGCCACAAATCATTCTCTAAAATTGGTTCATTTGCGGACATCTCTAAGGGGATGAGCGATAATCCAAATAACTGAGCTTAAGGCCTTTACATGACAAAATATGTTTTATTCTAAGTGTAAATATTTTGGATGGAGTTCCTGCTCTGGGGTATAACACACTTCCACACCTTCTACAAAGAGAGAACTGAAAAGTCTCTGGAGCTTGATGGGGAAGTTAGGATCATCACAGTGAACAGCAATGATGAGCCCATGCTCTGCTCCGGGGACCACTCCGGGGCCTAACGAGAAATTAGAGGGAGGTTTGAGGCAACCTTGTGTAAACTAGTGGCCTTCTGTCCACTTTTGCAATTTGCATTTGGGTGGCCACCTGTCCCCTGCACTGTGACCAAAATCTGTCTCTGAGAGCTCCTTTCCTGCATCTAAATGTCCATAGGCCATGAAATCAGATGATCAAGGTGGTTAGAATTATGTTTAAAGCAGGAGACACTAGGCTGTGAGGACATCAAGTGGGGTTCCTCCACTGAAGTAAGTAAGAGCATAAACGCAGGGACAGTGGCCTCAGCATGGGTAGCTTAGGGGTCTTTGGGGCTCCTGCTGGGTTTGAGGATGTTCAGAGGCAGAGGAGGGCAGATGTGTTGTGCTGCAGCTCTGACGCTGGGAGCAGAAGGACCAATGCCACCTGCAGCACATAACCTGAGATTCCATCCTCCGATCGTTCACTTCTGACTATGCCACTACACTCCACAGCATGTGCTCTGACATCCAAGCCCACCTACACCCAATTCCTTTAAGTAGAATGTATGCAACTCTGTAAAATAAAGCAGGGAGATGTAGCAAATGCTCTGTAGGTATGGAAACAGTCAAACAAACAAAGAAAGCAATCTTGTAGATAAAAATGCAGGGTGCTTTCCAAGATGTTAACTTGGAAGAGAAGAAACTGCCCAATTCCGTGGTCTGACACTCAGCTCTCTCTCTCTCATGCTAACCCCCTTCAGAGGGCAGGTGTGCAGACATCTAAGATTTAAGACAAAAAAACCACAGTTGACTTAGCCTCTCCACTAAACCTGGCCACATGGCCCTCCCACCAAAGGAATCAGGGAGCCCTGGGACCTGTGTTGTAGGCAAAGATCTGCATTCATGGCATGAGGCTTTGAATCAACCCAGGACCAGGAGAGGAGGCTCCTGCATTCCCTGACGTGGTATCTCTGGCCACAATACCCTCGCAGATGCCCCATGATGAATGTCATGGGAGGCTCCATAGGAAATGCGGACACGAGGACAGTGAGGGAGGTGATCCTGGCCTGCTCTTCCCCTGCCTTTGCCCCATTCTGAGACTGGGGCTGTCCCAGGAGGGAGGTTCTAAGGGACGCTCAAACCACTTGCAACCAGGCTGCACTGCCAGTCTTTCCCCACCAAGCCATCGTAAGCCACTGTCCCGCCCTCTCCCACTCAGCAGCTAGTCTTGCTCTTGTCCTCCCTGTACGTCCAGTTGGACTGCCCAAAGCCCTGACTCCCCCTTACTGCCTCCCGCCCATCTTCTGGTCTTAGCCAGCCCTACCCCAATCCTCTTCCCTCACTTGTCCCCTAGGGGTACCTGGGCTCCCCAAGAGCCTCTGCCCACCTCAGCCCAGGGTCTGCTGTTCCTTCATGGGTGCCGTGCTATAAACATACTTATACTGACAAAGAAACCAGAAATCTCTTCCCCTGGGCCCATCCTCACTGGCACTGCCCACGGTGCCCAGCTCTGAAGCAATGGGTCTACCACAGCATTAGCTGAGACCCCCACTTCCACATGAAGAAGGAGCCTTCCCTGGAGGGAGCAGGTCACTGAGCTCTAGGCTCAGGCACATCTGAGTTCCAATCCTGGTTCTGTCACTCAGGTGGCTGTGTGACCTTGAGATGGTCACCTTCCTTGAGTTTCCTCTCCCGATGGAAGAAGATGGATAATAAAGCCTATCTCATAGAGGGGTTGGGGAAATCAGAATAATATACATAGAGCACTGCTGAACACATAGTGCATGCTCAGTAAGTGGTAGCCATAGCTGCTGAGAGTATTTTTGCTGTTGTTTGCCTGAGGGGCAGGAGAAGCCTCTGCATCCCCTTCAGCCCAAGCTCAGGCAGCTCCTGAGGCTTGTTCCTTATCCTCACTCATCAGGCCTCTTTCTGGGACATCAGATCCTGAATCTGTGGGGGTCACGCAGGCAGACAGGGGTACTGGGGCTGAAACCCTCTGACCTGGCACTGGGGGATTGGAGTCTATGATGCATAGACATCCATCTCTGATAAACTTAGAATATGATTCAGACCCAGATGCATGAACTTGCTGCTTCCAGAGAAGCCCTGCCTACATTTTCCCCCTTGCTCTTTAAATGGCAAGCATAATAGAACACGGTTATACAACTAAAAAGAAAAATGTTTTCTAAGTAGGAGATGCTCTCAAGAAAGACCAGATTTAGGTGAAGGTTTACAGAAAGGAAATTCGCATGAAAGATTTTATCTAGAAGGTGCTTCTGCTGAACGCATACTAAGTGGTCAGAAGGGTTTCTGAAGGCCCAGCTCTGTGCACTGGGCTTGTCTGTGACTTGCGGGGTCTGTCTCCATGCATGGCACCCAGCCTACACACTGGTGGCACTGAGGGGCAGCTGGAGAGAGGGAAGCCTCTGCTATCCCATAATATTCTTTAGCACCCCCCCAATAAATACATACTGGGAGTTGGAGCAGTGGGTGTACTGTGCAAATGAGACTTCCAGATAAATCCTCAGGTGCCTCACCGCACGGTGACTGCCTCTCCAAGCTCTTCTCCTTAGAGCTTCCAGAGCTGCTGTTGGGGCTAATCCCACATTCTCTCATCTCTGTCTTCAGTGAAATAATGTTTGAGAAAGTTTCCTCTCCCCAAGACTCATTATTCATGGTCTTGCTTACTAAGAATTGCAACACAGAGGTGGATAGAAGCCAGGATTATTATTACAGACTCTATACATCTATACATTATTGATACGTCTATACATTTAAAGTTATCCTTTAAAAAATAATAGATCAGCCAGGCATGATGTCTCACACCTGTAATCCCAGCACTTTGGGAGGCTGAGGCAGGCAGATCACGAGAGGCTGGGAGTTCGAGATCAGCCTGGCTAACATGGTGAAACCCAGTCTCTACTAAATATACAAAATTAACTGGGCATGGTGGCACACACCTGCAATCTCAGCTATTCGGGAGGCTGAGGCGGGAGAATCACCTGAACCTGGGAGGTGGAGGTTGCAGTGAGCCAGGATTGCACCACCACACTCCAGCCTAGGTGACAGAGTGAGACTCAGTCTCCAAAAAAAAAAAAAGGATCATGCCTTTTAAGCCCTTTCCAACTTTCCAGAGTACTTTTCAGTTCTCATAAGTGACCATATTCTCCCCTCCCTACATATTCAATCCACACCAACTCACTCACTTTTTATTGAGCACCTGCTGGGGCCTGTCTTCTGTGAGGTCTGTTTTAGCAGAACTAGAGATGGGAGTAGGAACAGACACAGACCCTTGTCCTCAGGGAGGCTCTTGGGAATCAATGCCTGGAATCCCAAAGGCCACCATGTTTTCATCAGCAACAAATTACACACACACACACACACACACACACATTGCACTCGCAGGTAATTTTCTAAATATGTAACAACGGATATAGCATGAGCAGTGACCAATCAGAATGAATCCAAGTCATATATGCCCAGTTCGACCACACAGTTGCAGACTGAGTGAATAACAATTCTTCTCATGACCATGTTTCAAAAACTACACACAGGAGATCTGCAAAGCAGCTTTCACGCCATCCCTGTCTAATGTCCTGGGATGGCTGGTTTAGCTCAAATCTCTGGAGGGATCTGACCATTTGAACAGAGCCCTCTCATGGCTACACACATCACTGGGTCCTGGAAGTGCCTGGGAGATGTGGTAGGATTCCCCTAGTAAGTAACACAAGGGGAATACACACACACACACACACACACACACACACACACACACACACACACAGAGTGTGTGAGTGTGGATCTAAGCAAAAGTCAGACATCTATGAATCTGTGATCCGGGCTCTGAGGGTGGCGCGTCTAGTATCAGCTTGCACAAATTGGAATTACCAACTGCTTCCCCAAATCCAAACCCAAGAATCAACCTCCTAGGTTGCAGTTCAGCTGAAATGTGCTGTTCATAACAGTGACAACTCATATTTGCTTCAGTGAAGCACACTCTTACATGATTTTCAATTCCTTCTGTGACTGAGCACAGGCTCAACTGATTAATCCTGTGCTGGGGATTTGGGGCCTCTGACATGCTGCCAAGGCCATGCCACCCAAGCCTCTCTCTCATCCCTTTGAAGTCCTTGAGGCAGCAATGATCTCTACCCATCTCTACCTCCGACAGTACACATTTTAGCTTTATTATGAGATCCTGGAAAGGTAGAGCCTAAATCCTGCCATGTCATATTTTGCTTGACATTCATTTATTCGATCAACCAATATGTATTTAATGGCCCGCTCTGAGCACTCTCATCTTTACCACTAGACCAGACGGGCTGCAAACCATGCCGCATATTTCCTTTTTATCACCTCTCATGGGCCAGGAAAAGGCTGGGGATGTATAGGGCGCTTCATAAACACTTAGAGCATTGAATCAATATTTGCTCTGCTACAGGAGTAGAGCAGGAGTTCTAAGAGCATGTCCTGGGCCCCATTTCAAGTTGAAGGCTTACGTTGAGTCTTTTTATTGCCTGGGCCTGGCTCACCATCCTCCTCTTCCCTGAAGTCTTTACACTTTCATTTCTGTGAACTCATCTGATCCTTGAGTGTCCCTGGAAGAGAAACTGAGCTTTCATTTTGCAGACAAAGAAAGTAGTTAGCTGATTTGTCCCTGGTTTTGTATGCCAACGACCCTTAGCATTGAGACTGGAGCTCATGCTTACTGAACTCTGAACTTGGGCCTGTCACCCTGCCTGACTCTGCCTTTGAACAAAAGGTAATGAGATCTAAGGTATCGGTTCAATTCCTTCCTCAGAAGGAACGCCTCATCATCCTTTCTTCACAGAATGCCCCACAACACAAAGCTTTGGTTTCCATGGGTCCTGTTAGACCAGATATGCCTGGAACTTTACCTCGGCAACAATAAGACCCAGCCTCCTGACTCTAGGGGTGTCATGTCATCTTGGGGGTACAAAAATCAACACACATACCCACAAAATAATGAAGGTGTTAATTTTCCAAGCTTGCACTCTCAGGCTATTTTACAAAATAGTCATGTCAAAAAAAATTAAACTGATTAACATATTAACCTTTGAGAATGTAAAAGCTGATAAAATAGCCAAACCTATTTCCAAAAAAGATTTCCTATGACTAATTCTACCTCTAACCTTTCTGGATAGAGTAGATGATCATATAATAATTTAGCACAATTAAATTCTCCAAAGGAAATTGCCCAGAAGAGAACAAACTGGACACACAGTGGGAAGCCATTCAGTTTTCAACACTCTTGTAAAGCACAGAAACTGACAAGACTCCTGTTTGCTTCATGAAAAAAAAAAAAGTCATCTGCTTTAACTTTTGAATTTGCTTGACATCTGGAGGAAGGGGAGATAAAAGGGAGACTCTAAGTGCCGTGCAATTTTAGCCAGTTGCAGATGGAACATGGCTATCACTCATGGTGGGAAATGTGCTTCTGGGGAAGATGAAAAGAGAGGGCAGATCACAAGGTGGCCATAGAGATGACTCCAGCCTGAGCCTGAGTGTGCTAAAGAGTGAGGTACAGCAGACGGCTGGGGAAAGGAAGACATCTTCCAACCAAAACCATGTGAGAGAAAATGCAGAGCAATTTGTTATATGCCTTACAATTTTAAGAAAAAAAAAAAATAAAAAGCAAAAGCAAACTTTCCTTTGCTGGGGATTGGAGCACAAAATTGGTCATGTTTGAAGGATGGAAGAGTTCTTCATTTTCACTGTGTCTTGTACCAAATATCGTAATCAGCTCAGGCACTGAGTTTCTAGGAGTCTGTCCCTCTGGAAGGAGAACAGTGCAGTCCATGAGAAAGTCCTGTTTGTTAGGCAGACAATACTCAAAACTGGAGGAAGGAGGAACAGGTATAAACTGAGGTCATTCAAGGAGGCACCATGGATGACATGGGATCTATTTTTAGGTAAGTCAGCAGATGAGACAATTATTTAAAGGGCACCTTTGAAGACTATGGTAGGCAGAATTCTAAAAATGCCTCCTCACCACCCAATATTCCATGCCGTAACCCCTGGGACCAATGAATATGATGAAGTACCATTCATGTGATTATGTTCTATTTTGTTACATGGCACTGTTATGGGTTGAATTGGGTCCTTCAAAAAGGTATGTTGAAGTCCTAACTTCCAGTGCCTGTGAATAGGACTTTATTTGGAAATAAGGTCTTTGCAGATATAATCAAGTAAAGATGAGGCCATTGGTGTGGGCCCTAATCCAACATGATTACTGTCCTTATAAGAAGTGATAAGTTTGGACACAGACACCACAGAGAGGAGAACGCAGACACACAGGGAAGAGACCATGTGAAGACAGAGGCAGAGATGGGAATGATGCTGCCATAAGGCAAGGGACACCTGGGGCTTCCAGAAGCTGGAAGGGGCAGGAAGGCCTCCTTTCTTAGAGGCTTTGGAGGGAGCACAGCCCTGAGGACACTTTGATTTTAGACCACTAGCCTCCAGAACTGTGAGAGAATAAGTCATTCCCAATGCTTTAAGCCACCCATTTTGTGGTACTTTGTTACAGCAGCCCTAGGAGACTAACACAGGCACGGGTGATGCAAAGACAGAAAGGTTATCCAGGTAGGACTGATAGAATGACACAAGCCCTTCAAGCAGAGAGCTTTGTCTGGCTGGTGGCAGAGGAGAAGTCAAAGGGAATCAAATCCTGACAAGGATCTAACATGCCACTGCCAATTTGAAGATGGAGAGCCACACGGGAAGGGAAGAATGCAGGTGACTTTTAGGAGCAGAGAGCATCCCCTAGCTAATAGTCGGCAAAGAAAGCAGGTGATATGGTTTGGATCTGTGTCCCCACGAAATCTCCTGTGGAATTGCAATCCCCAGTGTTGGAGGTGGGGCCTGGTGGGAGGCAATTGGATCATGGGGGCAGAGTTCTCATGAATGGGTTAGCACCAACTCCCCAGTGCTGTTCATGTGAAATGAGTGAGTTATCATGAGGTCCAGTTGTTTTAAAAGCGTGTAGCACCTTCTCCCTCCCTCTCTTCCTCCCACTCTGGCCATGTGAGACGTGCCTGCTTTTCCTATGCCTTCTGCCATGACTGCAAGTTTCCTTCTCCTCAGAAGCAGAAGCCACTATGCTTCCTGTAGAGCCTGCAGAACCATGAGCCAATTAAACCTCTTTTCTTTATAAATTACTCAGTCTCAGGTATTTCTTTATAGCACTGTGAGAGTAGCCTAATACAGCAAGGATCTCAGTTCTACTCTCACACAGCACTGAATTCTTTCGATTGATTTTAACTTTGTAAGTCCCTAAGCAGAGAACCTCATTAAGCCCTCATGAGGACTCCTAATCTCCAGAAACTTTAAGACAATAAATTTGTGTTAAGTTGCTATGTTTGTGGTAATTTGTTACAGCAGCAATAGAAAACTTATACAGAGACTGAGGAGGTTCACTGTATCAATGTAAAGTCATTTGCTTACTCGCTCATTAGCAGAAAGGGCTGGTAATTTACGACAAAATTAGAGACTTTCCAGAGAGATATAGAAATGATCACAGATCATGCTTACTCCCAGATTCCAAGGGAAAGAACCCACAAAGTTGCACTAGAAGCAAAGATGAGTTGGTTAGAAACGGAGATATGATGGTAAATGTTAAACAACCAGCACTCCAGGAAGAGGGAAAAATAAATTTAAAACCTTGATTAGTAGAATTTGACAATTTCCATGTGTGATTGCTCCTAACATGGCCAGTATCAAACAAGCGGCTCACAAAATTCCTGCAAATTTAACAATAAGCTCGCATAAGCCAGTGTGCACTGGCTCCGGCACACCACCGGGATCATAAAGCAAATGGAGGAAGTTGTCTTGAGGGAATTCAGACAGGCTTGGTGTAAAAGAGACAAGGAGACTCAGCCTCAAATGCATCCACCTTCCCATGAAAGAGGTCAGTGGCTCTGGCTCTCCAGGCCCTGTGGTAGACCTTCTTCTCTTCAGATTCTACCTTCTTGCCCCAGACAATTTTAGCCACTTATGGCTTCTTTTGCCATCCACATGCTGATGACTCCCAAATCTCCATATTCAGCCCAGTTCCCTGTGATGCATTCCAGCCCAACATAGCCAACAGCCTATGTGCTCTCTCCTCTCCCATTGGCACATCTAACTTAACACGTCTAAACCAGAGTCCATCATTGTATTAGTCCATTCTCACACTGCTATGAAGAACTGCCAGAGACTGGATAAATTATAAAGGAAAGAGGTTTAATTGACTCATAGTTTCCCAGGGCTGGGGAGGCCTCAGGTAACTTACGATCATGGCAGAAGGGGAAGAAAACATGTCCTTCTTCACAATGGTGGGAGGAATGAGAAGAATGAGAGCCGAGCAAAGGGGGAAACCCCTTATAAAACCATCGGATCTCGTGAGAACTTACTATCACAAGAATATCATGGGGGAAACTGCCCCCATGATTCAATTACTTCCCATCGGGTCCCTCCTACCACACGTGGGGATTATGGGAACTACAATTCAAGATGAGATTTGGGTGGGAACACAGCCAAACCGTATCAATCATTTACCCCCAAAAGACCTGGTCCTCCCCCCGAAACTCCCTGTATTAGTGTTTAGTGCCTCTGTCCAGGTGAAAAAGGCAGGAATCTAGGAAGTATCCCTGAAGCTCCTTTTTCACTTTCCATATCCAGTAAGTCACCATATCTGATCAAAACGCTCCTCAAACATAGGGAAAAATAGGTAGAATCCATCTATTTCTCCTATGCCTACCATTGTACTATTCCAAACCACAAGTGTTGCTCTTCTAGGTTATTATAGTAGTTTCCTAACTCAGCCTCCATAATCCCCATTTTTTACAACAGAATAATCCTTTAAAACTATAAACCTCATCAAGTCACAACCCTGATTACAACCTATTGATGCTTACCACTGCTTTTAGGATCAACTCAACATTCTTCACTGGGACTCTGAGCGACCTAGTCACTGCCTACCTCTACTGCATTACCTTGTCCCATGTATCCCCTCACTCCCTAACCCATGCTGGCTCTTCTCAGCTCCCAGAGCTCTCGTCTTCCTCCCACTCCTATCCTGGGCTCTCTTTTTCTAGATAACTTTTACTCAGCTACCAGCTCTTGGCCTTCATGCCACTTCCTCAGGGAAGCCTTCCTGATTTCCCCAGACTAGTCAGGTGCCCACAGCCCTCTGTTCTTTTCCTTCATAGCTCTTATCACAATTGCAATCAAATAATTACTGGTACAATTATTTGTTTAATGCCTGCTCTCCCCCTGTGAATATGAACTCGAGTAGGGTCAGGACTCCTGTAAGAGACTGGTCATTGTTGTATTTTCACAGTTCAGATGTTGTCTTTATGCAGAGATGCAGAATATATTTTTTAAGTAACAATAAAGAAAAAATATAGTGCTAAGTGAAAAACCTCAGGTCATAGAATAGATTGTACAGGAAGATTTCAATTTGTACAAACAACATAAATGCATTAACAGAGAATAGGCTGGATATAAATCAGAATAATAACAAAGACTATTTCTAGGTGGTGGTATTACAAGTAATTTTTGCCTTCCTCTCTCTCTCTATTTATATATTCAATTTTTTCTAAAAAGGACAAGTTTTGTTTTTATAACCAGAAAAAAACTATAAAAGGTATTATTTTTAAACATAGCAGAACAGGCATTGTGTCTGAGGTTAAAGAACAGAGGAGGTTCCTGTCCTTCTCCATTCTCCAGTCATCAGCAAGTCACTGAATAAATGAGCACCCTCAAAGCACATCTGTGGCAGCAGCAGGTTTCACAGGCAGATGTCTGTGTCCCAGAAGGTGCCTGCCCCAGTAGGTGCCGAAGACAAGATTCTCTTCCTAAAGTCTGATTAGCCCAGAAGACAAACAGTAAGAGAAGAAAAGCCCATCCTTACAAGTCCTTCTTAATCAAAGCCCAGGAGATATTCTGAGCCATTAGACAGGATTTTTATTTCCACTGGGATGAAGATATTTTGGAATAAATTCTCTGTCTTATTCCTTAGAATGAATTCTTTAAAAGAAGGGATGCATTCCCTACAGCTGCCCAATTTTTTCACAAGTGGATGAGAAACTGCAACTCTATCACCTACGTGATAAATTAAGGTTCCTACTAGCAGATGAAGCAACGGAAGGTTGTTTATAACGTTACTGCTCCTGAGGCCTGGAATCACAGCATCAGGGTTACATATCAACATCTGGCAGAAACAAATCAGTTGCAAGATAAAATCCAATCAACTACACTTCTTCTCAATCCCCATCAAAAATACCCATCCTACTTGCTTCTGAATATATTCTTCAAGTAGGTTTATTTAAGGAAAGACAACTATAGAATCCCAGACAGTGGGCAAGTAGGCTGCCTGCCAATGCTGGCAAGGTGGGAGTCTCTTTTGGAGCTGGGGAAGGACCTTCACCTTCAGGAAGTCTTCATTGAATGGAAAATCATCAGAGCTGTCACCCAAACCCACCTCTTACAGAAAATGCTGGTAATTGTTTTGTAAAAAAATAACGACTGTCAATTCATTTGATTGTCCAGGGATTTGTGACATGGCAGAAATATGCTCTTACCTCGTTAGGAAGTTTTAGTCCATGTGTTTCCCTAACTCTAGCTAACACAGGATCCGTTGGAGCCAAAGGCAGGGGATTTGTTTGACAAGCTGAGGACCTTGTGCCAGGATAGCAGCGAATGCACAGCAGGATAATATTAAGCCATTATTAGCTTCCCAACCATTCACACAGATGAGTTGATTCTATCAACTTGTCACTCTGAAAAGTCAACAGCTCCACTCGAGAGGAATGAGAAAGGGGACAGATTTGGTCTGATGAGCAGGGAGGAAACAGAAGAAAGATTGGAAGCTCAAGTGGGTAGACAAGACAAGCAGGACGAATAAAAATTCTGGGTTTTTCCACTTATTCATATGGTTCATATAACCGCTACACAGTCTTAAGCTCCATTTGCTCACCTCTGTAACGGGGGAATAATTTGCCCAGCATTGTTATGAGAGCAGATGTGACACAAAGTATTTCATGAATTTGAGGGTTAAGGCAGGGCACAAACAAAAGTGAGAATTAGGTTGAAAACAAAGTTGTCTAAGCATCCATCTTGGCTCTCAGTGCTCAGATCAGTGCCTGGCAAAAGTGAGGTCATTCAATAAATATTTGTTGGATAAATATTTGTTGGAGGAATGACTGGCTGGCTGAATGAATTAACAAACAGCACGTATTTCTGAAAGATTCACCTGAAATAAATTAGACTGGGCCTTTAAAAAGCAGGCAATAGGCCAGGCGCGGTGGCTCAGGCCTGTAATCCTACCACTTTGGGAGGCCAAGGTGGATTACCTGAGGTCAGGAGTTCCAGACCAGCCTGGCCAACATGGCAAAACCCCATCTCTACTAAAACTACAAAAATTCGCTGGGCATGGTGGCACATGCCTGTAATCCCAGCTGCTTGGGAGGCTAAGGCAGGAGAATCGCTTGAACCCAGGAGGCAGAGATTGCAGTGAGCCGAGATCACGCCACTGCCCTTCAGCCTGGGTGACAGTGAGACTCTGTCTCAAAAAATAAAATAAATAAAATAAAATAAAAAGCAGGCAATATAAATATTAGTTTAGTTTAATTTTTTAAATAAAAATGAACAGAACAATGCAGCATGCTGTACCAGCTCTTGATAATCTCCCCAAGCAGGCTGAAAGTGTTTGAGCCCCTTGGGTCCTTTCTGCAGACGGATCAGAAAGATGCTTTGGAACTAGCTCAGAAACTACCTTCGCCATTTCCAGAGTCTACTGCTCTTTTTTGAAAGTAACTACGTACAGTCGGCCCTCTGGATCTGCGGGTTCCACATCTACAGATTCAAACAACGGAGACTTGAAAGCATTTTTTTTTTTTTTTTTTGATACTGAGTCTCGCTCTGTCGCCAGGCTGGAGTGCAGTGGCATGATCTCAGCTCACTGCAACCTCCACCTCCTGGGTTCAAGAGACTCTCCTGCCTCAGCCTCCCAAGTAGCTGGGATTACAGGCGCCCGACACCATGCCCGGCTAATTTTTGTATTTTTAGTAGAGATGGGGTTTCGCTATGTTGGCCAGGATGGTCTCAATATCCTGACCTCATGATCCGCCCTCCTCGGCCTCCTAAAGTGCTGGGGTTACAGGCATGAGCCACTGCGCCTGGCTGAAAGCATTAAAAAAATAATAATAATAAAATAAAATAAAAAATAACATAACCATAAAAAGTAGAATTTTTTAAAAATACAGTATAACAACTATTTATACAGCACACTGTGTGAGGTATTACAGTCACAGATTGCTTAATGATGGGATCTGTTCTGAGAAATGCATCATTGGGTATTTTGCCGGATGTCATCATTGTGCAAAATTGTATTATGAAAGGGAACAGCAATGAATTTTTCTTTTAGCTACACTGGTCCCTGGTTGCATGAGTGTGGGCCCTCTAATTATGTTACTAAGTCTCTTTGCACCTCACTTTCCTCATCTGTTAAATGGGGATTAGAATAGCACCACCCCCTCAAAGTGATGAAAATTAAATTGCAGGTAGGATTGGTGCCTGGCACTCAGCAAGCATGCAGTGAATGTTAGCTAACTGTTATTAACTATTATTCTGCCATGGGGATGGGTGGGAATCATCTTAAATTGCAAGGATTCTAAAATAGCCCTTTCCTTTGAGGTCAGGTCTCATGTGTCAAATGCTTGGCTTTCTATCTTGAAGGTCTGAGCTACCTTTGGGAGGGTCAACTATGGATAAGCTAAGTACTCCCCAGCATATTTTGCAGTAGGTTTGTTTACACCAGCATTGCCACAAACACGTGAATAAGGATTATGCTGTGATGTGATGACAGCTATGACATCACTATGTGACAGGAATTTTTCAGGTTCAGTGTAATCGTACAGGACTTCCACTGTACATGCGGTCTGTTGTCAACTGAAACATCATTATGCAGCACATGACTAAGTAATCCAGAGATCATTTAAAGTGTATGGAAGAACGTGTGTAGGTTATATGCAAAAACGACACCACTTTGTAGAAGGGACTTGAGCATCTGAGGATTTTAGTATCTGTGGAAGTCCTGAAACCACATGAGTGAGAAGCAAATAGCTTTAAAATAGCATTAACAGTATAATCTGTTTAATGCAAACTGCTAGGATGTATTTTGCCCAGATCCTGTTTAAGCAAGGCTTGATATTTTACATGCTCCTTAGAGTCTGTCTTGTTGGGCCTTTCATCTTACTCTTATATAAGGTAAGTGCTGATCTTGTTAATCATCTTACTCATATATAAGGTAAGTGTTAATCTTGTAATCCTTCCTTGTTTCTCAAGGAAGGAAAGCATACCTCTAGAAGCACATTAAAGGACTTGCTATTGGTTTACTCTGTAAACCAGGAACCTGACATAGTTGCTGGTTTCTGAGTAACCACAGCAGTACAACAAATGAAAGGAAATAAATCTAGTTTTGATTTTCAAAATGCAGGCCTATTCCAGCCACCCCATCACTTTCCCATCCCTGTGTTTAAGCCTCCTTCAGACCACAGCAGAGCTGCCCTGCTACACTGGGTGAGCCCTTCTCCTGCAGTTTTGCCCTGGCTACAGAGCTGCAACCCCCACACCTCATCTCCTCTGGGCTCTGGATTCTCAAGAGACAGAAACCTCCTCTTTTTTACAACACAGCAAAGACCTGGCCAACCTTCTCCGTCTCCTCTTTTTCATGGCCTGTCCAGATTTTTGCTTTTCTAATTTCCTCTTCTGATTCTTTATCAGAGAGGAGCCTTTGTGGTCCAGGGCCTGCCTCCTCCTTGCTCATTTCAGCCAGCACCCAGAATACCCTCACAGAGAAGCAAATCACTCAGCAAGCACCAATTTATCCCAAGAAAACCTTTTAAGGGGTTGAGACCAATGAGTGTTCACTCTCGCTATTTAAATGGTTATTGCTCTCAGCCCAGGAGTATGGCTGTTGGAGCTTTCACTTGTTTTCTCCTGGAAATGATTCATTTCATAACAACAGAGTCCTTCAGCGAAGGACTGCAATAGCTTCTGGGTTGCTAAACACTCTGAATGTTTCATTATGGATAATGGGCCTAACACGATAACATATGTAAGCAACCAGGAAAGGAGAACAGATACAAAGACAGCCATGAAGCTGGGCAGGCAGTGTGACAGCTCTGTCTCTCCTGCTGCCCTGGGCAGTGCCCACTGACCCAGAGCCTTGACCCTGAAATGCTTGCTCTGAACCTTGGCAGGAACCTCAGAAGTCATGCACGTGTTCACTGACCACAGAGCTCTAGGGACAAACATCTGGTTTCCGATATGGAGTGTAGGCAAAAGATCTGGTCCACTCACTCATACTTCATAATCATAACCAATGATTTAGTGCCCACTGTATGCTAGGCCCTGTGCCAAGGTATTTAGTACGTTATATCCTTTAATCCTCAGAATAACCCTATGAGGAAGGCACCAGCATTATCCCCATTTTACAGTTGAAAGAACTGAGGCATAGTGTGATTAACTAATTTGTCTAAGGTCACAGAGTTAAGTGGCATGGCCAGACAATGGAACCTCGTTGCCTTACCCTCAATGCTGTGAAACAATAGACAACAGCCCACAGCAACACCCTCTACACAGTGGTTCTGGGCAAAACACCTTGTTGGCATCATATATTAACAAATCCACTGACCCCCAAAAGACCATGTGGTAAGTTAAATGAGCTCCTGCTTATTTCTATATAAAAAATTACCTTTCAAACCCCAAGGACTGTGCATGGATATTCCCAGGTTGGGCTAAAGCTCATGTTGTCCAGGTGGTACCTTCCTGTCAGCTCTCCACGATTCATTTATGAGTCTGGAGTTTGCTACTGGACCTACCCAACAATGTTCCCAGCCTTCCCTGAGAACAGACCATGCAAGCTTTCAGGAAGATCAATTTTTCCAGCAGAAGGAGAAACCACAAACTTAGCTCCCTACCCAGATTTTATCTCCCACTCCAAGAGAACTGGGGGAAAACAAAACATTTTAAAGGCAAACAGGAACAAAATGTAGTGTAAATGTTACTGAGAGCGCTCTCTTCATGGAGCCCCAGGGAGTCCTTTCTGGAAGACAGGAGCTTTGCGATCCTGTCCTCTGCCTCTACCGGTGAGTCAGCAAAATGGATCTGAGCGCAAGGCTAGAGCCACAGCCGTGTCCCACTCGATAAGGTTTCCGCTGGTTCTCTCCTCTGACGTCAAAACCCATCTGTGAGATGGGGACATGAAAGCCAGCTCTCGCTCAAAAAGGGTTTCTGTATAGCTCTCGGGCTGGCCCCTGTTTCAGAAGCCATTCTTACAGTGATTTTGTAGCAACTGATGTTTCTCTTGCTTGGTCATCTCTCACCTCCAGCTCAAGGAGTTTTTGCGAGCTCAGTTTCTGGGCCTGAGATGAGATGTATCCCCTCTGAGTTCCATCAAGGCCACAGGCCATGCCTTCAAGGGCACCCCAAGCACAGCCAGACCAGCTGTGGGCCAGGCTCCTCTGGGTCCCTCAACCTAAGCTGGCATCTCTCTGTGGCACAAGTGGTCTGCCATGGGCCTGGGTCCCTGGTTAGGACATGATCAGCACCCTGAGATACTCAGGATCATTCAGCGATGGAGTTGCATGTGCTCTTCTTCTTTCCAGCCAGACCTTAAGGACAAAGAACCAGGCTTCTGGATTTGCGCTGTTCCCTCTTCTCCTCCCCAGTAGCCAGCAACATCATACCAATCCTGTCAACCACGATCCTTACCATACCCACAGCCTCTTCTAAGGAAAACTGTCTTGACCGCAGACCCAACTGAATAAGTAGCTCCAGGCAGCCATATTTTGTACCCCACAACTTGCTGTGACCACGTCTAACTGGAGCAAGGGGCACACGTGACCCAAAGGCTGCAACTCCAAAGACTCTCCCGTGACACATCCTAAGAGGTGAGCAGAGCCAGCTGGACAGAACTTTTTGAAAATTTACACTGAAAAAATGATTAATTTTTCAAGTGATTAATCAGTTTGCCCCAATAAAAGTGAGACTTGGAGGAAGCTTCAAAATGAGGTATGCCAGGAACCAGAGGGATCCAAGCCAAGCTGAGTTAGGAGGAGGCAGAAGCCAGGAGTATTCAGAGGCTGAGAGGCAGAGGAAAGAGACAGGGCAGCAGGGATGCAGCCAGCTGACATGGCCATGGTGGGTGGAGCAGGCAGAAGGGGGCCAGAAGTGAAGACAGAGCTGAGCGTCATTCAAGGTGGAGTGATGGAGTGGCGGGTGAGCAACCACAGCTGCATGGTGGGAGCCAAATGCTTTGGACCAGTTCCAGTTTCATGGCTCCACCATGTTTGTAGTGTTCAGCATTCTGCAAGGTCCTTGCTCCCTTATTGCCCCTCATGTAACCCACAGTACCCTCCTTCTACATCCTTCACTGAGGAAGATTCTACAGGACATGCATGCAGGCCCACACTGGGCAAGGCCATTCCTCCCTCCTCCAAAGCCCAAAGCCCACGCATCACCCTGCCTCGCCACAGCGTCACTCTTTCCCTGGGGCTGTAGGCGGCAGACCGTGCTTCTCACCTGTGTCCTACCCACCTCTCTCTCTGCCACATGTAGTCCAACACACAGTTCAGACTCGATACTGATCATACAAATCTCCCCACAGCTCACTGGATTCTCTTCAAGACCCTCAATAGGTGCTGCAGATTCCCAAATGACACAGTGAGCAAACAACTATGATCTGTGATCTTACTTAGAGGGCTTGGATCTCAAATAGATTGGAGATTTGGAGTTGAAAATCAGCTACTGTCCAGTGAATTTTTCCAGTTTGTTTTTTAACAAGAGATTTGACATAGAATAATGTGGGTAATTCTTTAAAGAATTTTACACATTAGACTTTTATAGTACATGTCCTTCAATTATACTGCTACATATCCCAAGCAGTATTTTAGGCACTTGAATGTGTTTTTCAATCTCTTTTCACTCTGCATCATAAATTATGTAGTATATTCTGTAATAAGATAAATGTGTACCTTCACACATATGTATATACCCAGATACCTGTACACTCAGAAGGAAGAGCAATGGCTTATGCATATGATGCTGCAGTAGCCTTAGTTGCCAACAGGGAGGTAGGACTGGGTGGAAAGGTGATGCCCAGAGACTGGATAAGATTTTCTTCCTTTTTTTTTTTGAGACAGTTTTGCTCTCTCTCGCCCAGGCTGGAGTGCAGTGGCGTGATCTTGGCTCACTGCAACCTCCACTTTCCAGGTTCAAGCGATTCTCATGCCTTAGCCTCTTGAGTAGCTGGGACTACAGGCATGAGCTACCATGCCTGGCTAATTTTTATATTACTTTTAGTAGAGATGGGGTTTCCCCATGTTGGCCAGGCTGGTCGTGAACTCCTGACCTCAAATGATCAGCCCGCCTCAGCCTCCCAATGTGCTGGGATTACAGGCATGAGCCACTGTGCCCGGCCTGGATAAGATTTTCTAGTATCTCACAGACCTCCTCCAGAGAGCTGCGCCTTTGCTAATCCTCTTCTGTAACAGGCATTTTGCTTTGATGACGCCTAACTCCAAACTATAAGCATGGAATATCTTGGTATACTTATATTCACATCATATATGTTCCAATAGGGCAGAATTGTTTCTTTTTACAAATATGCATATTATTAATTGCTATATGAGGAGAAACGTTGAATTGTATTCTTTGGTCACAGAGAAGAATGGTTACCACTAGGACAAGCAGGAATACATGAAATTCACACCGACACAGTGGGTAAGAGCAGAGACCCCAGCAGCAGTATACACTATGAACTGCAGTGTGTCCTGTGCCCATCCATGTGTTCAGCAGGGCAGAGCAGCAGCCAGTGGGGCTGGAAGAGGAACTGCATGAAGTGGATTCTTCCTATAGAATTCTTCCAATTCCAATTCTATGGAATTGGATGCTATTAAACCTGTCTTCAGCCATCCACATGGACAGACGGCAAGGACAAAGGCTTCTAAACATCCTGACTATTGGTCAGCAGTGACTGGGAATGGATCACTTCTTTTTCAGTGGTAAGTACACGAGATTTAAACCCAACATGAGGCCTGGTACAAAGGAGTGGGGATAGAGGTGGGAGTAGAATCTGTACATTGCGACAAACAGAACATTATCCTGAAGGGTCCTCTCTGAGAATGATCTACTTTAGAATTCAGAAGAAAACGTAAGAGAACTTCGGCACCTCAAGAGAATTAAATAAACTGTCGGGGCCGGGCGCGGTGGCTCATGCCTGTAATCCCAGAACTTTGGGAGGCCAAGGCCGGTGGATCACGAGGTCAGGAGATCGAGACCATCCTGGCTAACACGGTGAAACCCCGTCTCTACTAAAAATACAAAAAAATTAGCCAGGCGTAGTGGTGGGCGCCTGTAGTCCCAGCTACTCGAGAGGCTGAGGCAGGAGAATGGCGTGAATCCGGGAAGCGGAGCTTGCAATGAGCCGAGATCGAGCCACTGCGTTCCAGCCTGAGCTAAAGAGCAAGACTCCGTCTCAATGATAATAATAATAATAATAATAATAATAATAATAATAATAATAAACCGTTGGTTCAGGGAGAACAGGAGGAATCTCTAGAGAAGAGGAACAGATGAAGAAACAAGAGGGTGAATCAAAGGCTCGAGAGAAGAGGATAAAGGAAAAACATGAGGAAATGAGAAGTGAGGTGACTTAGAAAAAGGAGTGCAAGAGGTGGAAAATGCATTTGCATAATTAGCATCCACATAGGAACCAGTAAAGAGCAGAACTGAAATGATACAAAACTCAGTCAATGACATGTTGGACAAACTTTAGAAGCTGTCCCAGAGTGCAGAGAAGAAAAGGAGCAGATGTGCAGGGCAGGCAATAGAGTTTCCACTACACACAGACAATTTCAGAAGACAAGGCTAGAACAAATAATCAAGACAAAGACATAGTTGTGGGAAATGTTCCTAAAGACTGAAGCATAGATTAAAAGCATTCATCATGTTCCAGAAGAAAAAATGGTAAGAAATCGATACTACACTTACCCAAATAAACATTTGGATAATGAAGACAAAGGACAAGTGGTTCTAGCATTTTAGCCAGCAAACCACAAAACAATTTATTTTTTAAACAAAGGAAACAAACCAGGCCTCCCTTAGACTTTTATTCTGGAATACAAAATACTGGAAGATAATGGACCAATGTCTACATAGTTGTAAGGGAAAGTACTTTTATTTAGGAAGTATAATAAGGAAGCTCGTCTTTACTATATAAAAGTAATACTTTGTATTCTTGGACATGCAGTATTCAAGACAATATAACACCCATGCATTCTTCATTCAAAAACATCGCTTGAAAATGTAACATTAATATAATTAACCTAAGAAAAGAAAATTAACATCTGAAACTATAATATAGAAGAATCCCCGATAAGCCATGCAACCAAATAAATAACAGATAAATCTAAATAAATGCTATAATGTTGGTTAATAAGCTGAATAAATTGTCAGCATGTTTTAGAAAGAAAAGACTAACAAAAAGTCTTTCATTGGTTGGCTCCAAATTCCTAATAATAATAGAAACTAAGAAGTGGTACAGGGCTAGGCATGGTGGCTCACACCTGTAATGCCAGCACTTTGGGAGGCTGAGGTGGGAGGATCACTTGAGGTCAGGAGGTCAGGGCTGGAATGAGCCATGATCACACCACTGCACTCCAGCCTGAGCAACAAAGTGAGAACCCCATCTCTTAAAAGGAAAGGAAAAAAAAAAAAACTTCCAAAATTTTTAAAGGTAACCTATGGGAGATTTAAGATTAGGGAATATATGAGGCACTGAGAGATGATAATAAAATAACAACAGTTTATAGAGTACAATACAGGAAACAAAGAAAAAGAAAGCATAAATTCAGAAAACAAAATAAGCTGCAAGAAGCAATTCTGATCATAACACATATTATAATAACTATAAATAGGTTAAATCTTCCTGTGATAACATAAATAATTCTCAGATTGGCTCAACAAATATCACCTGCTTTTTTTTTTTAAAAAAAAGCAAAACGTACAAAAAATATAGATTAAATGATAAACCAGTAAAAATTAGTATTTAGAACATAGTATGCACTCAAGAAATATTTGTTGGCAAAGTGAATGTCAGAAAAACCAAATGACAAAAAAGCAAGGTTGGTAATAACATCAAAGTACTTAGGAGGGCAAACAATATTCAACAATTCCGTATATTGAAAAAATTGAGTTTCTTAACTCATTTTCAAAGTGCATCAGCCACCATATGAGAAATGAAATGTAAAAACTAAAATCTACAGCTCATGAAAAGTAATGCAAAAATAAATAAATAAAAACCTTAAGTAAAGAATACCAAATCAAACCTAGCGCTATTTTTTTTTTGAAAGACTAACGTGCCATGACCAAGGAGGACTTATTCTAAGAGTTCAGTGATAATTTACCAATATCATTTTAATGAACCACTTAGGAGCAATCCTTTTACTTTTAGAATTAAGACAAAGAAGCTCACGTACTATGTACTAAGACTTTGTTTCCTGGAAGGTCTAGACCCTGCAGTTAGACAAGAATACAAGATAATAGTCAAAAAACATTGAAAAGAAGAGGAGAAAATTATCATATTTTCTGGAAAAAAATCTACAGTTCACAAAATTACTATTAGAATTTGTAAGAGATTTAGTAAGGCACTGTTTACAATATAAATTAATACAAACACATACACAAAACCAGAAAATTATAATGACAAAAAATCCAAAAGCAACCAAAAATATAAAATGTCTATAAAATGTGCAAAACACCTATGAAGAAAATGACAGAAATTTATTGAGAAAAACAGGAGGGTTGAGTAAACGGAGAGACTCTGTGTCCCTGAATAGGAAAATTCAGGATTGTAAAGATTTAAATTTTCTCCATATTCCCCTATAACAGTAACACAATTCCAATAAATTGTGAATGGGATTTCTTTTGGGAACATAACAAAAATTATTCAAATTCACTCATGTGGAAAACATTTCTAAAAAAAGATTCAGAAAAGGCAGTCTGAGGTGTTGACTTCTCTAACATTAAAGTGCATTGTAAAACTAAGGTTACCAAAACAATGGGGTATGGCAGCAGGAACAGGCAGATCAAAACAACAGACTAAAAATCTAGGAAGATACATGTAAATAGGGTGTCATTTCAAGGAAAAAAAGAAAGGATATGTCATTTAATTTATGGTGTTGGAACAATTAGTTAACCACATGGAAGATAATTAAATCAAATCTCTGCCTCTCTGCCTTGAGGCTGGGCTCCTATAATCCCAGCACTTTGGGAGACTGAGGCAAGAGGATCTTTGGTCCCAGGAATTCGAGGCTACAGTAAGCCATGATTGCACCACTGCACTCCAGCCTGGGAGATAGAGTGAGACCCTGTCTCAAAAAAAAAAAATCGGCCTTATAGCAAACATTGAACTCTCAACCGACTAAAAAATGTACAAACTGGCCAGGGTCAGTGGCACATGTCTGTAATCCCAGCACTTTGGGAGGCCAAGGTGGGTGGATCACCTGAGGTCAGGAGTTTGAGACCAGCCTGGCCAACATGGTGAAACCTGTTCTCTACTAAAAATACAAAAATTAGCTGAGCATAGTGGCAGGTGCCTATATTCCCAGCTACTCAGGAGGCTGAGGCAGAAGAATTGCTTGAGCCTGGGAGGTGGAGGTTGCATTAAGCCGAGATCATACCCATGCATTCCAGCCTGGGCGACAGAGTGAGACTCCATCTCAAAAAAAAAAAAAAAAAAAAAAAAAATATATATATATATATGCACACACACACACACCACACACACACACACACACACACACACACACAAACTGAAAGCATAATAATACTAAAAGAAAATATAAATAAACATTTACATAATTTTTGGCTGTATATTATTAGAGTTCTATAGAGAAATAGAACTAATTGTGTGTGTGTGTGTGTGTGTGTGTAGGGTGATTGAGAGAGAGGGAGAAATAGATCTTTTTTAAGGAATTGGCTCATGTGATTACAGAGGCTGGCAAGTCCAAAATCTGCAGGGTAGGCTGGCAGGCTAAAGTCCCAGAAAAGAGTTGATGTTACCACTCAAGTCCAAAATCTGCAGGGTAGGCTGGCAGGCTGAAGTCCCAGAAAAGAGCTGATGTTACCATTCAAGTCCAAAGCAGTCTACTGGCAGAATTATCTCTTCTTTGCGGGAGCTAAGTCTTTTTTCTACTAAGACCTTCCACTGACTGGGTGAGGTCCACCCACATTATGGAGGGTAATCTGCTTTACTCAAAGTCTAGTAATTTAAACGTCAATCTCATCTGAAAAGTATCTTCACAGAAATATCTAGAATAATGTCTGACCAAATATTTAGGCACTATGGCCTAGCCAAGTGGACATACAAAATTAACCATGCCAAATTGGAAAGCACTTTATATGCATATAAACGAATGCTGATACCATAAAGGAAAAAAGTTAAACATTTTTGACTAAATAAACATTACAAACCTTCTGTTTATCAGGCCTACCATAAACAAAAGACAAACGACAAATTGGGAAAATACTTGCAAAATGTTTGCTGAAAAGTCAATGTCTTTAATATATAAAAGTGTTATTTTACAAATCAATAATAAGAAGAAATACATCAATAGAAAAAAGACAAGGAGTAGTCAAACTACAGAGAAATCAATACAACTGGTGAATAAACACATGAAAAAAATGTTCATCACCAATAATCAAAGAAAGGCTAATTAAAACAATGAAGTACCATTTTTATACTATCAAATTAGTAAAGATGTTTAGAAATGTTAGCACCCAGCAAAGGACAGGTGGGGAAGGGGGCAGCATTATCTTCAATTTCTGGGATGTGAATTGAATAACCTTTCAAAATGGCAGTTTGACACTATAGTTCTAAAGATCTGAAACTCTGCATATATTCTGCTCTACACTCCAACAATTTTACTACTAGACTCTATGTTAAGGACAAAATTAGGAGTATATGGACAAGGATATAAGAACAGAGATGCTGAATGCTTGTTTTTCTTAACCCGTGCATAGGAAAAAGCTTGGTTGGGAGATACATGCCAATGGTAATGGTTTTTAATGTCTGGATGATAATTTAAAAATATTTTTATGTGCTTTGCTATATTTCCAAATTGGCTACAATGCAAATTTATCCATTTTGTAATTGGGGGAAAAATTTAAAATCGTTCTTAAAACCAAATTACAAAGGATATTTATTCCCTGACCCCCCATGGAATGCATTAAATTAACAATAATCTTTGTATGTGGTTAGTACTTGAGTCTTTCATCAATCCAGTGAAAGAAGAAAGACTATTATTAGCACCACTTTACAAATAAAAGTATGAGACCTGAAGGGAAGAAAAAACTTTTGTAAAACCAAGCTCTCTGTTTTGAGGCTCACTTGTCAGGCAGAGTACAAGGTGCTCCATGCAAGGAGGGGGTCCCCTCCTGCCTCTGACCCTTAACATTCCATTGCTTGTCCTTATAATCTAACATTGCTCATGGTACTTTCCAAAGGCCACCATTTGTTCTGACTGTTGTAAAAACACACAACACATTTCCACCCCAGGGCTTCTCTTCTATAAGCTGGAATGCGCCCCTGCTTTCTGGATGTACACTGACTAATTGGGCACTAGAAGTCACACATATGGCTGGCTTCCTCCCAGATGAACACCTCTCAGACAGGGACCAAGTCCCTTCTGTTCCTATCCCAGCACCTGGCACCTTGTGAGGTGCTGAGCTGGCCTCAGGAAGCAGGTGCTGGGTTAGTGCCTTGAGGCTGTCATGCCGCCAATCACCAACGTGCACGCTTCTTTCTGTCTGCTCGCTCCAAAGCAGCAACATAAAGGAAAGCCGGGATGGCCACAGTTGATTTCAACACGTCAGCCTTTCCGAGAAGGGCAATAGCAGTAATGATGGTGCCTGGGCCCCTTTGGTATTTTTCATGCAATAACTACCTGTACTTTTCCAACCAGGTATTATCCCTCCTTCCCCAGCAAGATGCCTTTTATAGAGAATTTTGTTGTTTAGCAAGAACCATTTCTGCCCTAAGAGGCACAATCAGGAACAAGAAATCAAAATAAGTCATCCTAAGATCTTCTAATCGGAGAGCAAGGGCACTGAGCCTTTGACCCTGCAAGTCACATGCATTTCATTTTGGGTCTAATGACAATACTTAGGCAGGAGATGTAGGTGTCACCCTAGCAAGGCGAGCTACAGAAGATTGAGGGTAAATTTTTTACATGAAATTACTTGGGATAAACAAGTAGCTAGAGTAGACCGTGGGCAACTCTGTATTGAAAGAGTAACAACATAAAACAGATGCACATGAAAAGAACCTGCAGGTGGCAATTGCAGGTGGGTTTCCGTATTTCTTTTCTCAATTTTTCTTCTGCTTTTTTTCCTCTTTTCTTCTCCTTTCTCAGGACCCTCCCTTCTCCTTCCCTCATTTTCTTGTTTTGCAATGTGGCTGCATTGCTTATGTACTTAAAACCACAGGTTTGGGGAAGAAGGTGTGGAGTGGATGGGTGGAGAGCTCTCAGAATTTGTCACAGGACACTGGAGGAGGTGCAGTGAGCAGTAGAGACGGCCCTGTGCCCACTCCTTCCCTTCCATGCTGCAGGCCTCTTCTCTTCATCTCGAGAAAGCCACTCCACTCAACCATCCAGAGCACACCACGGAGGGCTGTGGGGAGCACCAAGATGGGAACCCCAGGGCTGCCCCCAGAGATATTTGGCGTTGGGGTGGGGGTGGGAGGGGCCAGAGGAGAAGCAGCCAGTGATGGACAGCACTTTCATAGGACACAAAGGACCTGCCCTGGAGTGTAGCACTTCAGGAAGAAAAAATGGTGCATTCTTCCAATGGCAAGGTGCTAAGTGTGAAATTAGGGGGCTGGTGGGTTCCTGCTGTCAGCAAGTGTAATCTTTGCCTGAGATCTGTCAGAAGGCAGGGGAGGGTGAAGAGTGTTCACAGAAGGGGTTTTTAAGAGCAGGGTTGCTTTTATGAAAAGTCACATATATCATCCAGACACAGGTATGTGTGTGTATTCTGCATACATATATTTCTCACTGTGCATAATATAGAATGATGTAGCATTTGGGGCAGCACAAAGCTAGGCACTGAGAAGGAGGTGTGGGCTAGATGGGTTCTGATGGGATGGAGGGGTGGGTCTGAATCACTGGAAAAGCTGATGTGGAGGAAGAAGGTGGTTCTGGCAGCGGGGACTAGGCAAATATTTCTCCTGCTGCTTCCTGAAGAAGCACCATGTAAGGAAAGATGTGGGTTCGAAGTCCCTGTGTGGATTAAACTTTCTGAAGTTTGTTTAAAAACTTTAAAAAGTAACTACCTTAAAGAAATTTTTTTTTCATCAAGCATTCACTGTTCCTTCCTAGGGCAAGCATGTCCTGAGCTTGCTTTAGCAAAATGACCCCAGCCCCACTCTTAGGGTGAAGCTGACCCCCCATCCCCAGCAGCAGGGGGAAAACATGTCTCCACTTAACCTTAGGTACAGCAGTCTTTCCTTCTCTATATAACTGGTGTTCAGGGATGGTCCCAGGACCCAAGCTGGTCCAGCAAGAGGAAACCTCAGAGATTCAGCTGAGCAGTCGGGCAGGCTGTCACTTGCTTCCCTGCTGAGCCCTGAATCCAATCCAGCAATAATATGGAACCAGTGATCACTAGTCTTCCCAGTTACAGATCCTTTTCTCCTGGCTTAAAGCACTTTGGGTTGCATTTTTGTCACTTGCAGTTGGAAATCCTAATTCATGAGGACTTGCAAGCTCACCAAGGCAGGAGCTTTGTACTGCCTGCCACCCTATCTTCAGCACCGGGGAGAGTGCCTGGCATCTAGTTGGCTCTCAGAAATCTTTGAGGAATCATCAAATGAATGATTCCAAAATAGCAACTCCTTTGTGAACCTAATACATTTTAACAGAAGAAATGATTCTCAATAAACATTATTTCCTTTTCTATTTTATTGCCCATTATCCTATCAACTCTTTCTAAATTAACTCCCAGAGACGAACCCTATTAACTCTTTATTTGGCTATTAATGTCTTGTGAGAATTTTTATTTAGTTTCCTCTCATGGAGAGGCAGAGTGAGCAGCCATGACACTGCACCCATCTTTAATTTCTAAGTAAGAAAGCCGCTAGATGTTTTCACCACAAAGGGGCTTCACAGGTCATCTGATTTGATCTCCTGCCTCCAGGTAGATGGATTTATAAACTGCAGGGTTGTCCCAAGAGCACTGTGATGCAATTGAGAAGAGATGCCAGAAGGCAGAATTAGATGATGTAAAGCTCTCTAAGTGCCAAAGATGTGGAAACTTCAGGAGACACTGTGCAAAGCAGAATAAGGGTATAGATCCCCAGGCCCTCAGAGTTCCCCACAGTGACATATAGCTGTGGGGAAAATTATCTATGAGGAGCAAGAATTCTACCAGGTGGGAGAGGCTTGAGTCTATGCACATGAACCATTCCAGACAAATAGCTGTCAAGACAGGACCACCGATAGTGCAATTCCCTTGCTGGGAATTAATTCAGCATTTAATCACACTAAAAATCAAAATGATTGCTTCTTTGCCCCCTCCACTTCTCTTATGCTGGACTTGAGCCCATGACTCCTATTAAATTTCCCAAGAAAATATTAAACAGTTGGTCAGCATTCTTCCTTTAACGACCCTAGAAGATAGTAATTACCTATGTGCCACAATCTCTTGGGCATTGGGATTTAAAAAATAAAAAATGCAACTCTTATCACCTTTTCTCATAGCATTATTTTCTCTCCCTTAATTCATCCTGTTGTTTATTTCTGGACCTTCTCCAGCTTTCTCACATTCTGCCTAAATTCTGGAGGCCAAATCATGATATAATGCTGATGCAGACATCTCTCTGATGTGACTTGCAGACTAAACAATTTTCAGTAGCATCTTTCACATTTCCTATCTCAGTGGCTGCCACTTTTTAAATTAAGCTAATTGATTATCCAATTGACACGTTCTTAGCATGTGTCTGCCCCAGTGGCCCTTCAGGGCTGAGGGGCTTCAACACGGGCATCCAGCATTCATTCTAAAAGCCCCAATTATCATTAATAAAGCACACAACTCAATGAGTCCGAGATTTGAAACGCTAAGTGCCTCGGGGGCAGGGATCACATATTTCAATGTTTTCTAGCCCTCAAGCACTGATTGGGAACTGTTAATATTACTTTTGTATTTTAATCAGTTGGGTATAATTAAGGCATCGGAAAAAGTGTTTCCACAGAATGTGTAAGGGACTGAATTGTGCCCCTGCCACCCCCGAGTCCCCCCTACCCCACATTCATGTTAAAATCCTAACCCCAGTGTTACTATATTTGGAGTTAGAATTCTCAAGGAGGTAATTAACGTAAAATGAGGTCAGGAGGGCAGGGCTCAAATCTGATAGGACTGGTGTCCTTATAAGAAGAGACGCCAGCCGTCTCTCTCCCGGCATGCGTGCAGAGGAAAGGCCATGTGAGGACACAGCAAGAAGGTAGCTGTGTGCAAGCCCAGGAGAGAGGCCTCACCAATCCTCCCAGTACCTTGGCTCAGACTTCCAGCCTCCAGGACCGTGAGAAAATAAACTTCCGGTGTTGAAGCCACCCAGTCTGCAATACTTTGTCATGGCAGCCCAAGTAGACTAACACAGGACAGACATAGGAGAAATCTGAATGGACTGGCATCCATGCCTGGAGCTGCGTGGGTGCAGAGTGGGAGAGAAAGGGAAAACCAGCCAGCAGGGAAAACCACCAGATAGTGGATGACATAGCAAGTTACCTACTTCTTCTTTAGAGAAAGGGCATGGGTTTCTGAACCAGTCAGACCTGGGCTTGAATCCAGGCTGTTACGCCTATTACAAAAGTGAAAATCATGTAACATTTGTGAATCTTGGTTTTTTTTAATATGTTTTTATATGTAAAGTGAGGTTGACAGCACTGGTCACTTGGGTTTGGTGTGATGATTAAATGTGGAGCCTGACACATAACAGGTACTCAATAAACAGCAACTACTCCTATCATTGTTGCCATTCATTCATTCAACAGCAGTCCAGGGACCTAATATACAATTTATTATTTATTATGTTACCCATTTATTACAATTGTAAATTTGAAACACATTTTAAAATACCAAGTCTGAGAGGACATTTTTGTCTTAGAGCCGACATCCTAGTCCACTGTACAGACATTAAACAATAAATAAGACAATTTCCCATAATAACAATTGCTGTGAAGAAGCTAAAACAAAGTCACAGGTGGGCAGGGAAGACGGGTGTCCTTGTGACAGGAACGTCAGTGGTGGTCTCTCTGGGAAGTTAACATCTGGGAGACACCAGATGAGACAGCAGCAGTCACAAAAGATCCGAGGGGAGCCGCTCAGGGAGAGGGGACAGCACAGCATGTGCACAGGCCCAGGGTGGGAGCAGGTGTGTCCTGCTTGAGGGGCAGAAGGAGGACAGGTCAGCGTGTCTGGAGCATGGGAAGCTGGAGAGAGAGATGGACGGGCTTGAACGGAGACAGGCAGGCAGAGGTGAGATCACACAAGCCCTTGGAGGCCTGGGAAGAAATTGGATTTTATCCTAAGCCTAATGGGAGATCACTGACAATTTAGGAAGATAAATCATTTTCATGACTGTGGGTTTTCCAAGGTCTGACATGATAAAGGGAAAAGGCTTTGTGATGACTGAAGAGTGAAGAGCCAGAGTCACAGCCTCTGGCAATGCAAGAAGAAAGGCGAGAGCGGTGTCAACTCTGAGGAGTTTGTAGGGAATACACACCATTTGCCCGTGTGTCACTTTGCCTCATTCAAGATGCTGTAACTTGCAGAACAGAGGGCTAAAACAACTTCGCGCAGAGAAGCCTGCTGTAGACAGGGGCACCACAGAACGTGTGCTTCTTCCAAGCTGCGTCTCTTTGGACCCGTACTTGCAATACTAACAGGTGCATAGAGGGCCCTCCAGAAATGCACCCCCCACCCCGCCCCTGGGTGGGTTGTACAATACTGCAGTGATTCAAACGTATAGCGCTAAAGCCAGGAAAATCACAACCAACAGACAGCCCCCATGGGCCTCTGCACACAAAAGGCAGCCATCCCGCTGCCTGGCCCAGCTAGTGAGTGAGGCCACCCACTGGGCACCCACTCAGATGCACTGGCAGATGTTAGGTTTCAGGACTGAATTTGGCCTCACTGTACTCAGTCCTCCTCACAGCCCTTTGGAGTCACCTAATCTTGCTAATATGTCTGTAAATGCTTTAGATGAGGAGTCCCTGAACAGACACATGCACCACTAACTTCATGGATCAGAAAGTCCTCTGAAACTTTACCTTTTTAACCCTGTTACATGGAGTCTTCCCAGCAGACGGGTGCCCCAGCCTTTCCGCTGTTCTGGCAAAACAGGCCCACAGTCGATATGTCAGTTTGATGTCTCAAGAGCTACCATTAATTATGTATCCCTTTGGTTAGAAATGCAAATGACCCTTGGCAGTCATTTAGATCTCCATGTGAATTCGCTTATCACGCACATTCCACCCCAAACAGAGCTGGCCAAGCCAAGCGTGATGCTTGATGAGGGCTGGGTTGTTTCCCCCTGCACTGCCCAAGTCCATGTCTGGTTAGCCTGTGCCTGACTTCTACCTCACAAGGATACACAGAGTTCCCACTCAAAGGCAGCTTCTTTGTTTCCCACTGAGAAAGAGCTGCTTAGGGAGAATTAGAGCAAGCTAAATTAGGGGCATTGAAACCATCCTGCCCAGTGGTGTTCCCCAGCTCTGGATCCATAGCTTTCTCATTTGATGGTGAGTGGGGGGAGTTTCTTATTCATCTTAAGCAGTCTCCTCACGGTCTCTGTTCTCCTGAGACTGGCAAATGATCATCAGAAACCGTCCTGGCCTTGGCAATGATGCCGGCCTCACTAAACAAGCTATATCGCAGCAGTGTAATTGCCAGTTAAAGAGCACTTCGTCCTAATTAACCTCTTCAGGGAATGAGTAAAAGCATCAAGAATTCCAGAGTTCACAGAACCTGTGCACAAGCCCTTGTCATGCAAATGAAGAAATTGAGTCTTGGGGTGAGCAGGACCCGAGGTCCCTCAGCTGACCAGTGCAGGACTCGGACCAGAATCTGGACTTCTAGACTGACTCCTGAAGCCCTGGTTTACTCCATCAGCCAGTGGGAACTGTCAATATTCTCCTAGCTCTTTATGCCTTCAAATATGTCTGTCAAAGACATATTAGTTGAGCATGTATTACATGCTCAGCACTGTGCTGGGTGCTAGGGTCATGGGGGAGACGGAGCAGCTTGTTATTCTCTCAACTGTCTACTGAGCACCTCTCACGGGACACACACACTGAGGGCCCTGAGGAAAGCACGACTTTAACAGATGAACAGCTTTGATACCTAGCACTGTGATTTTCTAACTACAATGAGACATTGATACTTATCACACACAGTTATTGGACATACTAAATGCCATGATATTTATGAGGCCTACGGTAAATGATCAATACACTGTGGCTATTTTTATTCTCTTCACTATACAGCTGGGGAGATGAAGCAATTCATGAAACCAAGGGGGTAGCCTCATTATCAAGCACTGGACAATGAGGGGTGGGTTTTGAGTGTTGAGGGAAAGAAGGTGAACAGGAGGGAACTGAGAAGTCTTTGCAGAGATGAGATCTCAGCTGGGTCTTGGAGGAAGAGGAGAATCCATTCACAAATAGGGAAAGCCCAAATGTACAGCCAGAACGAAGGGGACTTGCTGGGTTAGGGTGCGACTCCTATTGGAGAGGTAGGGTAAGGATCCCCCACGGATGGTCTTGAAATTTGGGCAGAAAAAAAGTGAGGGTTCCTAATGACCCCTGGAGGCCATTTAGATCTCCACGTGGATTAGCTTATCACACACACTCCAACCCCAACTGAGCTGGCCAGTGGTGAGAAGATAACATTTGCGGACGAGTTGTGAAGTGGCGCTATGCAGGCAGGGTCAGGGAGGCTCATGGGGAGGCCTTTGCAGGGAGCTGGGGATGAGGACTTTGACCACATGGGAGTAGCAGGAGGAGATGGGATGAATGCGAAACAGGAGAAGGAGCAGAACTTGTCGGCCAACCTGGACAATTCAGACTTGGACCAACAGGAGCTGGTGAACGGGCTGAAGTTTTGAGCTTGAGTGGACAGAGTTGCCAGCCAACTTCCTTCACCTCCAAAAGGCTCTCCGGAGGCAGTTTCCAAGTCCTCCTTTTTCCTACCCAACAGAGCGGCAACTGGCAGCAAGCTGCCAGTTGTGTAAGTCCACACAGCCACAATCACTGTGGATGAGGATGAATCCTGAGTGCAGCCCTCTGTCCTGAGAAGCTCATCAGGTCTGTGTGGGTATCTCCAAAAGACTGCTAATGCACTCATTCTCAGTCCCCACATGTCCTCTCGTCTCTTGTTTTGTTTCTACATTGCTGGAAAATGAGAGGTTTCAGCAGAAGATGGAAAATTATCCTTTATTTTGATTCTGTGTTTGAACACCTTCCACTTCTCTGCAAATTGAGGGGTATATTTTAGTATAATGCTTGGCTCATGGAACCAGAGAATCAAAAATTAGTCAAGGTTCCAAGAAGACTGGTGAAGCTTTATGCCTCAAAGAGACATGCTACTTTCACTAGAAACTGCTTCTGACTCCTCATGAAGACCAGGGTTCACCCCCAAATCAGGCAGGGCTAGCCAGTGTCTGTTCTCTCAGCCTCTCAGTTGTGATCTCTTTTGCTCTGAGATGTGCACGTGTACACACACACACACACACACACACACACACCCATAAGTGCATTCACTGCATAACTGACCGATGTTATAAGCATTCCAGACATAAAATGCTGTTAAACAGCCAAGCATCATCCCTGGAAATGCAGGCCTGAACTGATCCTATAAGAATTATAAACTGAACAGCTGAGGGAACTCAGAGTAGCAAGAGTCATTCACATTATAGAAATATTCTCCCCTTCTCTCCATTGCACTTTTCCTTATTTGGAAACATGAAGGTGAAGGTGCAAAAGACACATCACACACAGACTGAGCTATGGAGTGATAACCAGCAGGGTGCCTGGCCCAGACAGCTATGTCAATTCTGGGCCCAGACAAAAGAGTCCAAGTAACCCCCCTGATATCCAGGGGTCAGCCACCCCACATGGCAGCCTTGGCCTTGCTTGGCTTCCCACCCCCAAGGAACACTGGGCACTCACCTGCAAGTTATTAAGACACAAATCTTATTAATTTAGCTCCTCCAAGCCAGATGCCTATGTTGGGAAGGAGGGTGAACCTGGTCATCAGGGTTAGCCCAAGCACCACAGAATAACCTTGATAAGTGTTATCATTTCAGGGATTTGGTTCAGGTGTACACAGTGGAACAGGTGGAATGTGGTTGCAGGTAAAATGCCATGTCCCCTCTTGCTGTTTCCGTAACAATTTCAAAGACACACTATTATGGCTCTAAGAAATAAGTCACCTTTAACAAAGGGGGGATTTCCCACAGAAAGGTGAGCTGCCCATTAGGCCTCACTATGGCCTACAAGCTCTGCCAACCTTTCTGGTAACTCTTGGCTTCTTCTCCTCCATTTAACATCTGCTCATATTGAGTTTTTGTTCCTAACTCAAGCCATGCTCTCTTGCTCTCATGGAATTTTCTCTGCTTTAAACACCCTCCCTCCACCTGGCCCCTGCCCCACCCTGCCCCACTGGGCCATCTCCTTCTGTTCTCTGGTTAGATGCCCTGTCCTTGGGAAGGATGTCCTGACCACCGCGTCTGGATTCGACACCACATGCAAGCTCTCATGCTACATGTCACGCTGAACTGTGATTCCTCCTCCCTGAGCTTGTCATGGGATGACTACATCCCTAGCACCCAGGGCAGAGCCTGGCACGCTCCTCTGTGAACACTTTTTGAATTGAGTTGTGCTGCTGAGACACCAGCAGAACCCCTGCCCCACTCTTCTGCAGGCCAAGGCCACTGTTCCCAGCCAACAACTCCCTTGTCCACACAGCTCCTTCCATCCCAGGTGACTTGATATCCATTATAGTGCATGGTTCCCCCAACAACCCGTGTAAGTCAGCATGGCAGGGATACCACCTCATATTTTAGAAATAAACAAATTGAGATGTCTAGTAAAACCTGTTCTTGTTTGGACACAGAGCTGTTCGCTATCTCCAGCCTCTCTTGCCATTAGATGTGGCCATGTGATTAAGTCTCCTCCATGAGAATGTGCATGGCAGTGAGCAGTGCCACCTCCAGGTCTGGCCCATGAGAACGTCCCACAGGCATGGGGGAGCCTCCATGCTCTTGCTCCGGCTGCCTGGGATGCTGATCCCCAGGGTAATCTTGGAAGCCATTGTCAGCCTGGATCCACGAATGGCCATGTGGAAGACAGCTGCCTTGACAATCTGAACACCTGCTCAGAATTGTTCCTGGAGCAAGAAGTAAATGTCCATTGTGTGAAGCCACTGAAATCATGGAGACTATTTGTTATTGGAACCTAGCATTCCCTGTGAATACCCAAAGGCTCAGAAAAGATAAATGACTTGCCCAAAATATTAACAACAAATGCCAGCACCAGAATCCATGTTTTAATTAAGAATCCTCACATGACTCTGTGGGGAACTAGCATTCATCACAAGGTATTTTATTCAGGTGTCTCCTTCTCTGTCTTCCCTATGAGACAAAAACCAACCCAGACACAAACAGTCAGCCCAGGAACCTACCAAGCTAGCACCAGGCCTGGTACATTGCAGGCTCCCAATGCTTTCTTGAGCACACACTGACATAATGCTTACTATGCACCAACCTCTGTTTTAAGATTTTCATAAATTTTAATTTATTGAATTCTCCTAACTTTATGAGGTATGATTATTATCATCTCCATTTTATAGATGAGGATAATTAGACAACACTGCCTCCCTGGTGCCTGATCAAGGAGCTAAAAGATCCCCAACCCAGACAGGGCATTTCTGGTTCTAAACCCTCTCCTAAACAGAGGCTCAGCAAATGGTAAAGTTCTGCTTCGTTGAAGACTCACCCTTCAGAGTTGCTGGTTCAGAACTCTGTTGAATGGTTTTTTGTATATTGCTATTCATCTGTGTAATATTTATTTTCTATGGGAAAGGAAAATAAAGCAATAAAATGTTTCGGGTTTTTTTTTTTTTAAGCGTCCTGTCTGATTGGATTTGTGCAGCAGTCCTCAGAACACGGATCCAAACCAGTACATGAAGACGTGACTTTGTGTAACCATTTCTCTTTTCTAAGGCAGCGAGTCCAGCTTTTTGGAGTGTGACACCCAATTTGCTTGTTTGGATTTTGTTAGACTTTTTTTCTTTCCTGCCTCCAAATTCAGCTAAAACTGCTGTATTCTGTGTATTTGTTTTTTGTTTGAAGCAAATGGTTTTGAGACTTCTGTGCCAGCCCTTGAGACAGCTGGAGACACCCTGGGGTGCTGTAAAACCGACGGTGGGAATCACTGATCTCAGAGAGAAGAAAAAACAGTTCAGGGAAAACTAGCAAATCAGCATCTTCTGAAGCTGCAGCATGAGCCAAGAGCACTGCGGCCCTGGATAGCACCGTTAGGAGCCGCAGAAATGCCTCCCCACTCATGCTGGAATTCAAGGTTACAGCAGGTTAAAAACACCTTGCTGGACTCCAGGTGCCCACCTCAGCACCTTCGCTGCCTGCTCAGGGACATTCACAATGGAGCAGTTCTCAGGGCCCACGTGTAATCCTCAGTCACGTGACATGCATTGTGTGCTCAACACTAGCCTAGGTGCCTTGAAGACAAAGACAAGTAAATAAGCTTAAATGAAGCAAATCTAGTTTCTGCCTTCAAGGAGATTGTGGTGAGGAAGAAGATAAGACACAGGCATAATATCTTGCATGTGTCCTGGAGAACATATGAGTTTAGCTAGAAAGAGAACCTCATCTCCTCCAGCTAGAAATTGCTGTGTGGCTGTGCCACTTTTAGGTGGACCTATGGCCAGGGACCCTGCCCCGACAACAGGGACCCTTCACCATGGAGCCCCAAGATAAACAAGGCACATTGACAGAGGAGGGCCAAGAAACCCCTAACTAAGGGCTATACCCAGGCCCCACACCCCAGTGCAGAGACCTGGCAGGCTGAGCTGGGCCAGAGACTCAGACTCACACAGGCCCTGAGTGGGCTCTCCGTGGTCTTTCCCTCTAACACCCACAGACTCTGATATGGGATCTTGCCCCAGTGCCAAATGCTGCGCAAGCCTGGACCACAGTAGGCTGTGCCCAGACTGGACATGGGCCAGACTCACATCTAGAAGGTGGGACTGAAGATGAGGCTCGGCCCTGGATAGGGCCGATATTCTTCTTTGCCGGGAGAGCGAATGCAGAAAAGGATGGGCTCAGACACACGGACTGACCCCTCCTTGTGTCTCACTGGCTGATCATTGATGGGATGCTCTCTTCACACGGTTTCTTTCAACATCTTTCCATCGAAATCTTAGCAACCTTCTTGTCAACATGTTCCTTTAAAGCAATTGTTACAAGGCACCTCTTTGGAAGAATGTGCTGACCCCGTCCCCCAGTGGTATGAGTGAGGCATGAAAGGGGAGGAAGTGAGATGTCTGGGGCCCTGACTTTGGCCCTAATCTCTGTGGTCACCTTGTCAGAGAGGGACCCACATCATGAGTTTCAGGATTATTCTTACCCATGACTCATGAGGCCTTAAGCGTCCTACTTCTGCCGTGGAATATCCCCTGGAAAGACTGAGGGCCAGAGCTGAGTGTGGAGTGTGGATCCCTCCACACTGGCAGCAGCCAAGCCCCTCCACACTGCATTTGTTCCCTAAAAGAACATTTTTCTAAGCAGGCCTCTCAGCTCTGGGGAATGAACAGCGATGGAGTGAGCAACAAATTGTTTCATTTGCTAAGACTGTGAGCTACAACTTGCAATAAATCAGTGTGAAATGAGAAAGTAGAAAGGGAAAGATGATCCTTCTCCAATTGCCAGTCAAGCTTTAGTTTACAGCACCACAGGTTTGGTGATAGGGCGGAAATCATCAGACTCCTCGCTCACAGTCATATTCTCAAAGGAACCATACTGAAAGCATTCCAGTGAGCTCATTCCTGGCATCCATCCCCGTAGGACACAACCCTTCAATAATCTGCATGCCTTTACTGTGGGAAGGAAAACCAAGTACACTCCAGGTCAGGGATGGAACAGGGCATGCCTCACAATAGATGGAATAACGGCCCCACAGATATCCACATCCTAGGCCTGGTACCTATACATATGTTCTCTTACACTGCAAAACGGACTTTACAGAAGTGAGTGAGGTAAGGATCTTGGATGGAAAAATTATCCTGCAAGATCCAGGAGGGCTCAATACAATCACAGGTCCTTCTAAAAGAGAGGCAGGAGGGTCACAGTCGGAGAAGGAGACATGATGACAGAAGTAGACAAGTAGACGTCAGAGTGATGTGGGGCCACAAGCCAAGAAGGCAGGTAGCCTCCAGAAACTAGAAAGTGCAAGGAAATAGATTCTCCCTTAGAGCATGTAGAAAGAAGAACTGCCTCTGCACTTGTTGGCAGCCCCATAGGCCAACTATTATAAATAACTTCCAGGAATCTACAGTCACCACAAAATGCCCCACATTATCCCCTCCATGCTGTGTATTTTCTACATTCCTAACATAGAGAATTATGTTCAATATCATCTCCAGATCTGATTGGGAATAGAAACAGCTTCCTTTTTGGTTGTGTAGGCACACGGCAAAGCCTCTATTGTAGAACAAGGCCAGGGAGGGAGGTATTCCGGTTAACCCAGGACACTGGTTACTTAAGAGCTCCCAAGGAAGACCCTGCTAGACAGAACAGAGGCCCCTCTCATGAGCCACTCATAAACAGGACTCTGGGCGTCAGAACCAGGCCTTATCTACCCCATAAGGACTTCTGATTCTCTGAACACAACAGGACAAAAATGTACATTGCACGGTAAACATACGCTGGATTTGCTCTGATAACCAAGGTCAGAGCCTCCTTTAACAACATCAGTAGGGGCAATGTCACCTGTGGCCATCCTGGCTCAGAAAGGCCGGTCACAGATGGGCTGGCCAGCCAGAGTCCTAGAGTACCAATCCTGAGTCTCCCCTTTGGTCAAGGGCCCTGGAGTCTCCCCTTTGGTCAAGGGAGTACCTGGAGAAAAACCATTCAGAGGACAAAACACAGCCAGGGCAGGTGATCTCCAAACCCCAAGCATCCAACCAGAAATGAACCCCAGAGACCCTGTCTCAGCTGTGAAACTTCTAGGGCACAGTTCCAGGGATTCCTGCTCAGCAACAAACAGCACTTCGTGGATTCTACGAGTTTATGCAAGAAACAGAGGGGACTTGTGGGCTTTATCATGGAATTAGAGCTACCAAAAATAATCCTCATGGTCATGATGTAGCTTTCACAATCTACATGATGTAGATTTTAGCTTAGTGAAACTGATCTCAACTTCTGACTTCCAGAAGTGAGATAATAAGTTTCTGGGTATTTGTTGGGTTTTGTTTGTTTGCTTGTTTGAGACAGGGCCTCCCTCTGCTGTCCGGGCTGGAGTAAAGTGATGTGATCTCTGCTCACTATAGCCTCAAACTCCCTGGAATCAGGTGATTCTCCCATCTCAGCCTTCTAAGTAGCTAGGACTACAGGCTTGTAGCAACATGCCCAGCTATTTTTTTGTATTTTTAGTAGAGGCAGGGTTTTGCCATGTTGGCCAGGCTGGTCTTGAACTCCTGGCCTCAAGCAATCCGCCCACCTCAGCCTCCCAAAGTGCTGGGATTACAGGCGTGAGCCACCATGCCTGGCCAGTAAGTTTATACTTAAGCCACCCAGTCCGTGGTAATTTGTTACAGCAGCAATAGGAAAACTAAGCCAGGCTCTCCATGTTCACAGTTATCTCCACCCTGCTTTGGGCAGGACAGACCTTCAGCAAAACCTAGTGAGGAGCGGAACAAACATTCGCTTCATCAGCAACCTCATCCCACATTGGAAATGAGTCACCCTGAGTGCCCACCCCAGAGCAGATGGACTGTGAGCCTCAATAAGGAAGAGTGGGTGGTGGATCTAAGTGCCCCTGAGGAGTCTTCATCCTGCCCCATCACCCTTTCCTGCCCCAACTTCTCTCTCCAGGTGCTCCCACAGCTCTGGCTCCCCCGAGTCCTTGCTCCTGCTGCAGTGCTCCTCCTGCAGTGCTCCTCATCTACATCTCCTCCTGAAACCTCAGGCCTAATACTGTACATTGGGCCTAACATTCTCCTGCAGCACCTACTTGTCTTCATCTGTTTTGTGCTACTATAACAGAATTATCTGAGACTAATTTATAATAAACAGAAAGTTATTGGCTTATAGTTCTGGACTCAAGGAAGTCAAAGAACCCATCACCTGGAAAATAAACTGGTTGTATTAAAAAAAACCTGATTGTAAAAAAAAAAAACCAAATAAGTAAATTGAGTCTCCTATGAAATAGTGGAGACTCCATGTTAAAGCTAACAAATCATCCTAAACTATCAGATGCACATTATTTTTCTGTCACTTGAGTTTAAGAAAAGGTCAGTAAGAAATTCCCTCTGCTGTTTTCCAGTGAGTCGAGGCCTTCTCTGCCTTCTAGAATTTGGTTCTAACTCTGGGACAAGTCCAGGCACGGGGCAAACTGAGTTCCAGGATAAAAAGTGGATCTTTTCTAATACATTTAACTACAGTAATGAATTCCTTATATTCTGATGTATTTCTTCACACTATTCCTGTTACTTTTATGCCTAGTGATGAAGTTTCAGATAGCTCTGCCCTCCATGTGCCCATGATGACTATTATTGTGGAACCATTAAATTCAGAACTCATAAGGTCCAGCCTCAGAAGAATAATGTGGTTGAAGGAACATAGCCCCAAGGTCAAAAATAATTTTAACAACACAAATTCTTTCCTTGCTTTTTTCAAAAATGGTTACTAGGATACAAATACCTAATTCATGGAGACATTTGATAACATCCCTTCTTTTCTCCCCCAGTTCCCTCACACGCCCAGCTGTCCCCAGCATCACATCCCCAGCTGTCCCCAGCATCTCTCCCAAAATTGTCTTAATCTCTTCACTCCCAGCTTCTCTGCAACTCCCTTCCTTTTTTCCATGCAACCTCCTTTTCATCCTTTTAATATGTGAGCCAACCTGCCTCTTAATGAGAAAAGAAGGAAAAAGGGGTGCTATGAACTGAATTGTGCCCCGCCTAAAATTCGTATGTTGAAATTCTAATCCCCAATGTGACTATATTTGGCATTAAGACTTTCAAGAAGGTAATTAAGGTTAACTGTGGTCGTAAGGAGGGGGGTTATCTGACAGGATGGTTGGCCTCATAAGAAGAGGCACAGAGAACTCTCTCCCTCTCTCTACCATGTGAAGACAGAGCAAGCAGACAGCTATCTACAAGCCAGGTAGAGCACCCTCACCAGAAATCAAGCTGGTCAGCATCCTGATCTTGGACTTTGCAGCCTTCAAAACTGTGAGAACTGTTGGGAGCAAGCCCCCCAAAATCTGGCCATAAACTGGCCCCAAAACTGGCCATTAAAAAAATCTCTGCAGCAATGTAACATGTCCATAATGGCCATAACGCCCAAGCTGGAAGGTTGTGGGTTTAAGGGAATGAGGGCAAGGAACACCTGGCCCGCCCAGGGCGGAAAACCGCTTAAAGGCATTCTTAAGCCACAAACAAAAGCCTGAGCCATCTGTGTCTTAAGGGCATGTTCCTGCTGCAATTAATTCTGCCCGTCCCTTCGTTTCCCTTAAGGGATACTTTTAGTTAATTTAACATCTATAGAAACCATGCTAATGACTGGTTTGCTGTTAATAAATACGTGGGTAAATCTCTGTTCAGGGCTCTCAGCTCTGAAGGCTGTGAGACCCCTGATTTCCCACTTCACACCTCTATATTTCTGTGTGTGTGTCTTTAATTCTTCTAGCGCTGCTAGGTTAGGGTCTCCCCGACCGAGCTGTTCTCGGCAGAGAACAAATGTCTGTTGCTTAAGCCACCCAGTCTATGACATTTTGTTATAGCAGTCCAAGTAGATTAGGACAAGGGGGATAGAAATTGGGTTAGAAATTATGGGATTTTCTTTGGTGGACTGAAGGAAGTGAAGAGGAAGTAAACATTCTCATACTAATGAGTGTCGTCGTTTTGTGTCATAATAGTGCATATGGCACTAGGTTATTATTTACACAGAGACTGAGAGACTGAACTGCTCCAGAGTAGGGACAATGCCTTGTTCATCTTTCTTTCGCTATCACCAAGCAGAGGGCCTCTCACACACAGTAGATCCTCTGCAAATACACACGGAATGGTGAATAAGCAAGTGAATGAATGAATGAACTGAGCACATGACGGAAAGGCATGCACTGGTCTCTGGTTAGCATCAGATTTTACCCCCATTATAAAAGTAGTATCTGTTTATTGTGGGAAAATATTAGAAAATACAGATAATAACGAAGGAAAGAAAAATTATTCCAACTGACTAGTCAGAAATAAACCTCAATTTTTAGTCTATATTCTTCCATATTTATCTCATTTATTTATTTATTCAGATTAGAAACTGGAAACCTACAGTACATTCTATTTTTAGAACTTGCTTTCCTCCTCCCTTAACAGCATATTGTGAACAACTTTCTATTTCAACAAAATATTTGTAAAGGTGTAACATTGTTTTAAATATTTGTTTAGTATGCTATGACATGATTGTATTGTCATTATTTCAGTCAATTACTTTTGGGGGACATTTAAAGGTACTTTATTATTATAATCAATGCCATAATAAATATTTAAAATTTCTTTAAAATTATTTAAAATTAACTTATGAATAGAAGCAAAGTAGTTATAAAGTATATGTGGCATATAAAATAACAATACAGTGATTATCCATGTATAATTTATGTATAATAATTTTACTTGTTTTTGTCATTGCTTCTTTTTGCCAAATATTATGTGCCTGAGACTCATCAATTTTATTACATGTAACTGTAATTCATTCATTTTCACTCTGGGTATAGTATTCCAGATCTATCTCTTTATATTCTATATATTATTATAGGATAATTGCTATATTCTTTATCACTGTAGACTATATCACAATTTAGAATTTATACATTCCTCTGTTGCTAGATCTTAAAATTGTTTATAATTTTAAATTATGAACAGAGGTGCTAGAACTTTCTTGTTCATGTCTCCCAGTGCAAATATGGAAAAGATTCTATGAGAGGTTGCTCCTGGGAGTGGGGTGTCTGGTTCCTAGAGTACGGCATTTTCAGCTGTATTAAATAAAGCCAAACTGTTTCCCAAAAGAGTTGCACAAGCTTCTGCTCTCACCAGCAGTGTCTTGTGCTATTTCTTTAGGGTGGCCATCATTATTTCTGGTCCTTTGGTTTCCACATAAATTATAGAACCTGCTTGTCAAATTACACACACTCATTCATATACTTTCTATAACAAGTTAATACACTGTTCATTTTGGGGGAGAATAAACTCCTTTACAATACTGACCTTCTTATTAATTAATTAGCCCCTTCAACAAAGTTTCATAATTTTTTCTCCATGAGGACCTTACACATTTTAGTTATATTCATTCTTGCTTTATATTTTTGATGCCAGTAGTGGTATCAATTTTAAATTACATTTTCTCTTTGTTACTGTTATACAGATAAGCAATTACATTTTGCATGTTGATTTTGTATTTAACAACCTTATTAAAAGATATTAGTTATCCTAGTAATGTATTCACAGAGCATTTGGCTTTTCTACACAACCATATCATTTGTGAATAATCACAGTTTTGTTTCTCTCTTTCAAATTTTCATATTGTTTATTTCTTTCTCTTGCCTTACTGCACTAGCTAGGACCTCCAGTGCAATATTAAATAGAAGTGAGATAGCAGGTGCTCTCATCCTGCTCATGTTTATTTTGATATCATTTCAAACTCACAGAAAAATAGCAAGAATAGTATAAGGATCTCCTATACTTTATCTCAGATTTAGCATTTTGCCCCATTTGCTTATCATTTCTCTCTCACATATATATATATATACACACACACACACACACACAGAGACACACACATATATAGTGTGTGTGTATCTATATGTACACACATATATATATAAATATATAGGCATACATGTATATATTTATACATATATAAACACAGTACATACATGTATTTTGGGGGGAACCATTTGAGAACAAGCTAAAGCCCCATGTGCCTTTAATCCTAAAGCGTATATTTCCTGAGGTCAACACAGCCTCCTACAGTATAACTGTAGAAATCAGCATTGTTATGATGCTTTTACCTAATCCACAGTCCATATTCAATTTTTGTCAATTATCCCAATAATGTCTTTATATCTATTTTTTTTTTCCTAGTCCAGGTTCGAACCCAGGATCACAGATTGCATTTAGTTGTTATGTCTCTTTAGTCTCATTTTATCTGGAACAGTTCCTCAGCCTTTCTGTCTCTTGACCTTAATATTTTTGAAGGGTACAGGCAAGTTATTTTGTAGAATGTCCCTCAACATGGATTTGTTTGATGTTTCCTCCTAAGATTCAAGTTATAAATTTTTCACAGGAATACCAAAGAATTGACACTTTGTCCTTCTTAGTATATCACATCAAGAGGCATATGATGTTGATTCATCCCAATATTGGTGATGCTAGCTTTAATTGCTTGGTTAAGGTTATATCCACCTTTTGTAATTAAAAAGTAATGTGTGGAGAAACACTTGCAGAATATGTAAATATTCTGTTCCTCATCAAACTTTGACTGTTGGTTTTCCGTATCTGCTGAGACTTTTTTTTTTTAACTCCATCTTTCCTTCTATATTTCTTATCTGGCATTCTACCAGGAAGAGCTTTCCTTTATGTCCATCTACTTATTTATTCATTTATGTATGTAGGGACTCATGCACTCCTATTTTATTCAGTGTGTTATAATTATTTTCCAGTTATGTTTTGTTGTGTAACCATTCAAAAGCCTGGGAGTTTGACACAACACTTATTTTATTATCTTTCATGGTTTCTGTGGGTTGGGAATTTGGGATGGACTCAGCTAAGTGATTCTGGCTCTGGGTCCCTCATGTGGTTAGAGTCAGACAACAGCCAGAGCTGGGAGAGCGGGGGGCTAGCCAGCTGGGGGCTTGTTGAGCGTCTCTCTTTCTCTTCGTGTGGCCTCAGAGCATCTCCACGTGGTCTCTACATGTTGGCTCACTTGGGCTCCTTCACAAGATGGTAACCTCAGGGCACTGTTTATATGGTGGTTCGGGGATCCACCGTGAGCAATCTAGCCGGCAAGGTGATGATTTGTCATTTGTATGACAAAGCTTTAGAAGTCATATAGAATCACATCTGCCACAGTTACAACCTGCCCAGATTCAAGAGGGGAAATAGATCCCATCTCTACATGGAAGAAAGGTCAAATTCATGTTATAAGGATATGCGTGATGAGAGATATTGCTGCTGCCATCTTTGGAAAATCAATCTGCTATGATCCACCCTCTGGCCACAATTCACATCCCTCCCATATGCAATAATCCTCTCTCTAATATCCCCAAATCTATTAGTGCAGCAGCACAAAATCCAGGATCGAAATCAGGTTATCTGTTATCTAAATCAGGTCCAGGTTCAGACAAGACTTCTCATGTGAGGTTCCTAGGATTCAGCTCCTCGCACACCATTCCTCTGAATCTGAAGACCTGTAAACACTCACTCCACAGGCCCATGCATAACAGTGGGGCGGCACAGGACAACTTCTACAGATATTTTCATTTAAAAAGGGAGAAAATGTGAGGCACACATCAGGTGCTGATGCATAGCAGTTCTGCAATTTAGCCAGTACTTGTTTCTAGTCCCTTGATTAGGGCTCCGGTCGACTCCAGGAATAATTCTCCAGGGCTCTTGGCTCCACCCTTTTGAGTCTTTCTTCCTTTCCATACAAAGTAACCCATGTTAAGTAGTTTTCTCAGCCTGCTTCCTTCTTGTAGAAGTTAGGACATTCAGGGACCTCTTCATTTTGCACTGTCTCTATCACTTACAGTTTAAGCTTGTATAATTTTTGAAAAAACAAACTTGCATTCTTTTAGTGTATCAGTTTACAATGTACTCTGTGGTGATTAGTGTGTCATCTTGGCTGGGTCATAGAGCCCAAATATTTCATCAAACATTTTACTGGATGTTTCTGTGAAGGTTTTTTTTTTTTCTTTGATGAGGTAAACATTTTAATAGCGACACTTTGAGTAAAGCAGATTATCTTCCATAGTGTGGGTGAGTCTCATCCAATCAGTTGAAGGCCTTAATAGAACAAAAATGGACCTCCCCCAAGCAAGAAGGAATTCTGCTAGCAGACATGGCCTTTAGATTCAAACTGCAACCCTTCCCTGGGTCTCCAGCCTGCCAGCTTACCCCATCAGATTCTGGATTTGCCAAGCCTCCACAATTGCAAGAGATAATTCCTTAAAATAAACACATTTTTAAACACACACATACACACACACACACACACGCACTCATTCATTCTCTCTCTCTCTCTGTTGATTCTGTTTCTGCAGAGAACCCTAATACATACTTTTTCCAAGAAAAGCCAAACTCACAAATCTCTTCAAGATAAACCCTACCATTTCCTGGGCTCCCTATGGGACAATGCTCTTAAGATGCTAGAAGCCCTGTTGTTCAGCAGCAAGGCACACCTTAAGATCTGTAAAAGTCCTCCTTTTTTTCCTGGATGGAAGAGTCTATGATACCTTGAATATTTCTGAGGTTTTTAACAAAGAACCTTATAGGTACCCCTCATGGATTTTCTTTTTGACCTGAAATCTTTTCTTAATTTGACAACTTTTCACCACCTTTGAGAGGCTGGAAATGGAACAAGTTTGACTTTCAAGCCTGGTGAGTCTTGGCTCCTTTATATTTAACAGTTTGTCCTCCAGCTCACCTCTCCCTCTCATGTTTTAACATAGGCAAAAAAAAAAAAAAAAAAAGAAAGAAAAAAACAAACAAAAAAACTAATCTGGTGGTACTTTCTAAGTTCTGTCTGATAGCCTCTTTAGTGGAATCATCAAGTTTATTTAGCATATTTCCTATCTTACTGCATTACCAGAGGTGACAATATTATTAAACCACCCACTACCCCACATCCAGGGTTCTTCCATCCAACTTCTTGGAACATTTTCCTCCCTTGACTTTAAGTGCCCACTGAGAGCCTCCTCAGGACTCTGCCAGCCCGCTCTCACAGCCCCTGCAAGCTTTCACCAGCAGTCTCAATGCCTCCTGCCACCAAAACCAAAGTCAGGTGTTTTGAGGTTTTGTCATGGTGTCATCTCATATTTTTGTCCCCAATCTATTATGATTACCTATTGCTATGCAAAGAATTGCCACAAAACGTAGTGACTTAAAACAACAACAAGCGTTGCATTATTTCTCGATATTTCTGTAGGTCAGATATCTGGGGAGGGTTCAGCCAGGTGGATTCAGCTCAGAAGCCTCTCACACAGTTGTTGTCAGATGGTAGCTGAAGCTGTTGGGGGCTGATGTGGCATTCTTCTCTTTTCAGGCTGTCTCAGGCTCTTTCCATGTGGTTCTTCCACATGGACTAGTTTGCACAGGGACCTCAGGACAGTTAGACAGTTGACATGGTGGCTTAGGCTCCAGCATGAGTGTTCCAGCCAGCATGGTGGAAGCTACCCTGTCATCTACGATTTGGCCTCGAAGTCCTACAGCATCACTTCCACAAAAGTCCCCAGGTTCAAGACGAGGGGACATAGACCCTGCCTCTCAACAAGAGGAGGGTCAAAGACACATTGTAAGAAGAATATGTGAAATGGAAGATACTGTTGTGGCTAGCTTTGAAACATACAATATGCCACAAATCCATTAACATGTTTTTTTCTTTTTAAAGCTCAAATTGTCCAGATGTGGCCAGCATGAGTCCTTTAAGTTGACTATTGTATCGTTTTGACAAGTCCCCATGATGTTTTGAGCGCTGCTTTATTTTTCTGACACCAAATAACCTTCCAGATTCATTGTATACTTTTTCTGCTCCATTTCCCCACTTCTCAAGGAAGCTTAGTTCCCTTCAGTGGAAAACCTGGCTGCTAGGGGTGTACATTGCTACTGGAGTATCACTGCTTCTGTGCCTTCTCAGCACACAGAGCTAGAGAATGTTACAGACACACACACACACACACACACACTCTTAACTTTAAGCAATACTTAACTGATACTTCCAACTCCCATCTGAAAACAAATGTACCATTCTAGACTTCCCACTTTCCATATCTGTAAAACCCTTTCCTAACAGTGAAAAACCTTGCTCGCATTATATACTAAATACATTTATTATTTGCTACTGGTTTAAAAAAAATGGTGTTTGAAGTTAAAGAAGTTCCCTTCTATTTGGTTCTCCTAGTGTAAGAATTTTTTCTTACACTAATAAATGAATGGATATTAGATTTTTAAAATACTTTTCTTATATCTATTGAGATGATTATATGACTTATCCACTTAAAATTGTTCTGTGGTGAAATACATCAAGAGACTTCTAGTGGCAAACAAATATAGTTTGAGATAAATCCAAATTGTTATGGTTTATCTTTTATTAATAGACTGCTAAATATAGTTTGCTAATTTTTGCTTAGGACTTTTGTATTTATGTACAAACTGGCATTTAAAAAAACATTCTTACCAGGTTTTGGTGTCAAGTTTATGTTATTCTCATCAATATACCCACTTTTTCTGGATTCTGGAGTAGTTCATATGAGATGAAAATTGTTGTTGTTGGAAAATTTGTTAGTACCCACTGGTAAAATATCTGGATCTGACATATTCTTTGTGGGAAGATTTCCAGTTAGAAATCTGATTATATTTCTTGAATGATGCTAAGACTGATTAGGTTTTTTATTTCTACTGAAGTGAGTTTGGACAAATTTTTTTTTCAGGAAATTTGACCAGCAGAGCTTTCAAATATATTGGTGAAATAAGATTCTATTATTGTTTTGATTTCTGCAGCTTTAATTATTACATCTTCTTTTCATTTCTGATATGTGTATTTATTCCCTCCTCCTCCCTCTCTCCTCTTTCCTTTATTACTCTTGACATAGTTTTGTTAGATTTATTGGTTCTTTCAAAAATCAGCCTTTGGCTTTGTTGAACCTTTCTGTTGTACTTTTTTTTTTTCAATTTTATCCATTCCTTTTTATTATTGTTCTTTATTACTTCCTTCCTTCAACTTTATTTGGGTTTACTCTGCTACTCTTTTCCTAACATTGTGAGGTGGAGATGTTTAACTCATCAACTTTGGTCCTGTCTTATTTTTTCTTTTCCTTGCTCTGCCACCAGGCTGGAGTGCAGTGGTGCCATCAGAGCTCACTGCAGCTTCAAACTCCTTGGCTCAAGTGATCCTCCCACCTCAGCCTCCTGAGTAGCTGGGACTTCAGGTGTGTGCTATCATGCCTGGTTAATTTTTTTATCTTTTTGTAGAGACAGGGTCCCACTGTGTTGCTCAGGCTTGTCTCCAACTCCTGGCCTCAAGCAATCATCCCACCTCAGCCTCCCAAAGAGTTGGGATTACAGGCATGAGCCACCATGCCTAGCCTCTTTCTTCTCTTCTAATGGAATTATTTAAGATTATGTAATAGCTCCCATTGTGATCATGAGCTTATCTATTTCTCCTTATAAGTCTGTCAATTTTTACTTTACATGTTAATCTGATCTTACTCGGTAAATACATACTTGGAATAGTTATTATCTTCCTGGTGAATTTAATCTATTATTACTTAGTGGTCCTCTTACTCTCTAGTTATGCTTTATGCCTCTATTATATTGTGTTTCACTTTATTATACCTATACCAGGCTCTTTCTGCTATTTTTCTGGAATATTGTTTTTCATCTTTTATTTTCAGCCTTTATCCTTGTATTTTAGATATGTTTGTTTGTTTGTCAAATAGCTGGGCCTTTTTTTTCTATTCTGATAACTATTATCTTTCAATTGGAACATTTGGTTTGTTTACATTTATTGTAATTACTAATATACTTGAATTTAAAGCTAATATTTTGTATTTTCTATTTTTTCTGCCTTTTCTATTTTTCATTTTCTCCCTTGAATTCTTCCTAGATTTTTTGAATATTTTTCTCACTTCATTTATTGTCTACTACTAAACTTGAAAGTTATGCTTTGTTAGTGGTTTCCTTAGACATTTTTACCCTCTATACTTATCAAAATTAAGTTTATAGGTATCTTTTTTCTTTTTCTCAACTATACAAGGATTTCAGTACAAAAATTTGAAGTTGTCCTTTTTTGACTGATCTGCTATATTTTCACATATTTTCTGCCAAACTTTTAAAGTTATGAGACATTATTATTTCAAGCAATTAATACTTAGATTAACACAAATATTCCCACTTTTAATTAATTAATTAAAATTAAATTAATTCCCAAATATTAACCCAAATATTGCCACTTTCTTTACTCATTATTGCTTCTTATATCTTAGACTTTCCATTCTTCCTGTTGGAAAACATCCATTAAAATTGCCACAAATGAAGGTGTGTTAAAAATCTTTTATTTTTTTTTCAGAAATGTCTCCATTTTAAAATTTTATTCAAAGATATTTGATGGTATAAAGTTCTATACTGAGGAAACATTGGCAACTTATGGTTCTGGCTTCAATAAAATAGCTGTTGTTTGACTTAAAAATCACTGTACAGCTGGACTAGAACAGTAAAACAATTCTTTCTAGGCCCTGGAGGCAGGCATCATGTGCTGCTATTCTTGAAAGAAAGAAAACACACGAGATGAGCACCACACTCACCCCCGTTTTCTTCCTGAGGGTAGTTTTTAATGGGTTCACGGCCCAAACCTTGTCACAGGGAAATGGAGCTCAAGTAGAGAGCAGCAGTCTTACTAGGCAGAAGAAAAAGATGTCAAAGTCTGAGATTTCTGAGACTGGAATTGAGCTCAGGATAAGAGCAACTTACAGAAAAGGAGCCCCAAAAGCCTGAATAGGGTTTCTCTTTGGTCCCGGACTAAATCCTAAGCTGTAGGAACAGCAGCAAGATTTCAGGGGCCTGGAAATATTTGGGGAGCTAAGAGCTCAACAGAGATTTTACAGGTTGTATAGCACTGAGTAGGTGAAATTCTGGCCCAGTCAAAGTATAGAGAGCTTGGTAAATACTCTGAGCTTTTGGGCAGTGGAGACCCAGTGGTATAATAAAGAATTTGACTGGTATTTGTCCCTGGTTTCTGAAAGGGAGAAAATCCTTGGAGTAATAGGAGTATCTTTATTATTTATCACACCTTATATCACACCCTTATATCACACCTGAGTTTACATTAAGAGATGAGATGGCTCAGGACAGGGGCTGGTCACCAGAAATATCAACCATGTGAGTAGAGGGTTAGGTCTTAGAGCTAGCCTGACTTCTGGACAAAAAGAGCTCCCATATATGGTTTGAGAGTGCTCCCCAAGATTCCAGCGTGAGATCTGGTCCCTGGTGTGGCAGTGTTGGGGGTAGAGTCTTTAAGAGGCGATTAGGTCACTAAGAGGGATTCATGCCACTCTCGCAGGACTGGATTAATTCTCGAGGAAGTGAGTGAGTCCTTGCTCTCACAGGACTGAATTAGTTACAAGAGTGTGTTATTATAAAGCAAGGCTTCTCCCTGAGTTTTCCCCTTTTCACACCCACCCACTTCCCTACTATATTATGTCATGATGCAGCATGAAGCCCTCACCAGAAGTCACCCAGATGTGGCTGCCTGATCTTGGACTTCTCAACCTCCAGAATTGTGAGCCAAAACAAACCTCTTTTCTTTATACGTTACCCACTATCAGGTATTTAGTTATAGTAACAGAAAATGGACTAAGAGAAAATTGACACAAAAAGTGGGGCTACTGCTATACAAATACCTGAAAATGTTGAAGCAGCTTTTGGAACTAGACAATGGAACAATTTTGTGAATTGTTCCAAAATTGTTCCAAAAAAGTGAATGCTAGAAAAAGCCTATATTGCCATGAATGGAGGATTTAGGGTAATTCTGGTGAAGGTGCAGAAGAGAAAACTAGGGATAGTCTAGAACTTCTCAGAGATTATCTAAATGGTCATGACCAGAATGTTCACAGATATGTGGACAGTAAAGGCCACTCTGACAAGGTCTCAAATGGAACTGAAGAACAAGGTATTGGAAACTGGAGTAAAGACTATAAAGTTGTAAAGAACTTGGCTACATTGTGTTCATGCCCTAGGGCTCTATGGACTGTAGAACTTAAGAGCAATGAATTAGAATATATGGTAGAAGAAATATCTAAGTGTCAGCAAAGTATTCAGGCTATTATATGGCTACTTTTAACCACTTACATTAAGTAGTGAGAGAGGAAAAAGTGACTTACAGATGAAACTCATAATCAAAAGGGTAGCAAAGTGGAAAGACCTGGAAAATTCTCAGGCTGGCCACATAAAGAGTGAAAAAGTGGCTGGATGCAGTGGTTCATGCCTGTAATCCCAACATTTTGGGAGGCCAAGGTGGGTGGATTACCTCAGGTCAGGAGTTCGAGACCAGCCTGGCCACACGGTGAAACCCCGTCTCTACTAAAAATACAAAAATTAGCCAGGCGTGGTGGCACGTGCCTGTAATCCCAGCTACTTGAGAGGCTGAGGTAGGAGAATTGCTTGAGCCCAGGAGACGGAGGTTGCAGTGAGCTCAGATCATGCCACTGCACTCCAGCCTGGCTGACAGAGCGAGACTTTGTCTCAAAAAAAAAAAAAAAAAAAAAAAAAAGAGTGAAAAAGTGTGTTCAGGAGAGGAAACCAAAGATGTGGTCCAGCAATCTTTTGTTAAGGAGATTAGTATAGACAGAAGGGATAAGCAAGACAATAGAAGACAGATCTTGAAGGTATTTCAGAGAACTTCAAGGCTGCTCCTTGCATCATACACCCACAGGCATAGGAGAGCAGAATGGTTTCAGGAAATGAGCCCAGGGCACCCTCCACAGGCTTGCTTCCCAGGGCCTCCTGAGGTCTCTGTTCCCCACATTCCAGCGTAGCACTCCTCTGCCAACCCAGCCACAGCTTCAGGTATAGCTAGTGCCACTGCTCTAGAAAGTACAAGTTGACCTTTGTGACATTCAAGTGGCATCAATTTTGCAGGCATGAAGAATACAAGAGATATGGGGGCATGGCTTCCTCCCCCCAGATTTCAAAGGATATTGTGAACACCCTGGGGGCCCAGGAAGAGACTTGTCAGAAGGATTGAGCCACTGCAGAGAGCCCCCATTAAGTAATGCCTAGTAGAGCCATGGGAATGGAATCACCATAAAGACTTCAGAACCATGGAGCTACAGCATGCAACACCATTCTGGGAGAGCTGAAGTGTGAGACATGGAGTCAAAGAAGATTATTCTGCAGCCTCAAAACTTAATGTTGTTCCCTGTAGGGCTTTGGACTTACTTGGGGCCTGATACTCCTTTCTTCTTGCCTGTCTGTCTGTCTCTCTCTCTCTCTTAGAAGGGAAATGTCTATCTTATACCTGTCCATTCATTGTATCTTGGAAGTAGATAACTCATTTTGATTCCACAAGCTGCTCATAGGTAAGACTTTGGATTTTTGAGTTTGTGCTGGAACAAGTTAAGACCTTTGGGACTATTAGAATGGAATAATTGTATTTTGCATTGTGAGAAGAACATGAAATTCTGGGGGGCAGGTGTGAAATGCTATGGTTTCAGTGTGTCCCCCAGAATTCATGTGTTAGAAATTTGGTCCCCAGTGTGGTGGTGTTGGGAGATGGGGGCTTTAAGAGGTGATTGGGTTGTTAAGAGGGATTAACACTGCTCTTACAGGACTGGGTTAATTCTTATGAATGTGGGAGTCCTCCCCTTCATGGGACTGGATTAATTACCACAAAAGCGAGTTGCTATAAAGTGAGGCTGTCCTTGCATTTGCCCTTTTGGCAAGCACTCAGCTCACCCCCATGTTATGATGAAGCATGAGACCCTCACCAGAAGATGATCAGATTTGGCAACCTGAGCCTCTGGAATCATGACCCAAAATAAACCTCTTTTTTTAAAAAAATAAATAAATTAACCAGTCTCAGGTATTCCCTTATAGCACCAGAAAATTAACTAAGACAAGAGGGGAAGCTGGATTACATGGCCAATCATTAAAGTTACCCGGCCAATCATTAAAGTGATAATACCTACAAAATAAAATCCCAATAAAAGCCCTGGACACCTAAGCTCAGAAGAGTTTCCTGGTTGGTGAACACACTGATGTGCCAGGAGAACAATGTAGCCTGATTTCATGGGAAGTGGGCATGGAAGCTCTGCATTTAGGACCCTCCCAGACCTTGCTCTATGTATTTCTTCATTTGGCTTCATCTGTGTCATTTACAATAAAATGGTAGTCAAAAATATAGAACTTTTCTGAGTTCTGTGAGTCACTCTATGAATTATCAAACCTAAGGGTGTCATGGAAAGGATTTATGGTCAGTGTTTATAGTCAAGAATTTATAGTCAGTAGGTCAGAAATGCAGGTGACTTGGGGGAACCCTGAACCTATGGTTAGCGTTTGAAGTGAGAGCAGTCTTATAGAGGACTGAGTCCTTAACTTAGGGTGTCTGCTAACTCCAGGGGGTTAGTGGCAGAAATGAATTGCAGCATACTAGTTGATATTCAGACTACACAAAAAGGCTTTGTCCTATGGGTAAGAATCATATCCTAGGAATAAGGCCTATACATTACAACTGAGGGAGAAACCAAAAAAAAATCTCCTAACAAAGTCTAAACATGAACAGCAAAAAATGGTAACCTGTAATCATGAGATAAAATCATCAGTTGAGGTAGACCTAGAGATACTAACACTACTGGCATTAGCAGACAGAGGACTTCAAAATTACTATCATCTGTGTGGCAAAGAAAAGAAAGAGTAGCTCAACGGAGAACTGGAACCCATAAGACAGAATCAAAAGGATCTAGAACTGTAAAATATTATATTGAATTTTAAGAATTCACTGGCTAGAATTAACATAAAAAAACTCTGAAGAAAAGGTTAATGAACTCAAAGGTAGATTGAAGCTTGAAGGGGGAAAAAAGAAGGGAAAAAACAGAAAATAAGAGTAAGAGTGTTGTGGAACATGGTTAATAGGTCTAAAATTCTAGATTGACCAATGTTTTCTCTTAGCATATTAAAGATATTCCAATGCTTTCTGATTTCTACTGGGAAATAAACTATAAGTCTCTCATAAGTAATCTGTTTTTTCTCTCTAGCTACTTTGAGGGTTATCATTTTGTCCTTAGTATTCTGCAAGTTTTTGTTGTAGATAGCCTTACGTTTCTTTTTGTTTATCCTATTTGGGATTTACTGGGCTTCCTGTATCTGAGGATAGCTGTCTTCCTTTAGTTTTGCAAACTTTTTTCAACCATTATCCCTTCCAATATTACTCTTCCTGTTTTCTCTCTTTAACCCCAATTACAAATGACTGAGTCCTCCTTATCCTAGTCTCCTTGCCTCCTAACCTTGATAGCTTTGTCTCCTCCTTGCATTCTGGTTACATTTTCAGATGTATCTTCCAGTTCTCTTCAGTTATGCCCTGTTTGCTCTGAAGTCTATCCTTTGATTTTTAAAATTTCAATTACCTTTTTTAATTTCTAGAAATTCTATTTGGTTATTTTTCAAATAATCAAGATAGTTTCTATAGGTTTATTCTTTGTTTATATTTTCAGCTCCCTTTTTATTGCTTATAACACAGCATGCACAGTTTTTTAAATGTTAATTCTATTATCTGGTCTTCATAGTTCCTTTCTGCTGGCTCTTCTTTTGGTGTTTTGCATCCTTTCATTTTTACAAATTTTAACTGGGAGCTCATATTCCTTGGATGGAAAACTGTCAAAATTATTTGAGGCCAATACTGAAGAAGAGTTCTTTTACATAGGATTTGTGTTTGCTCTACCATGTACCTAGGAACACTATCAACCAGGACTGTTTCAAGCAAAATTCTTGGCTGAGGCTTTCTCAGACTAGTCTGTTATATGAATTCTACTGAAAGCTTAGCTTGTGGTTCCTGTTCTCAGAGGAAACATTTTGGCTCCCACTCAGCATCAAGGTTTAAGGCAGGCAATTTTCTTCACACATCCTTGAGAGAAGACAGGGCATGTTTATTTTTATTTCATCCTTACACTAGAGAGGTAGCCTACTGGGGTCTGTTGGGGTCTCAGCTTTTATGTAGAGGAGGTTTTCTAACAGACTGATCTGCCCTAGGCTTGACTCCTGTCCCCATATCTCTTGAGGTCGTAACAATCAGAGTTCAAGGTCACCTGCATTGGGCAAATACTCTCAAAGCAAAAGTCTGCTTTAGAACCCAACTTTCTCTGAGTTTTTGGCCTCTTATGAATCTTTAGTTCCTGCTTTCTCACTGAGGTATTTAAAGGATTGCTTAAATGTTTTATCCATTATTTAAAATTGTTTTAAGTGGGAGAGTCAGCTAAGTTATCTAGCCTCCCATATAGCCAGAAACAATAAGCTGCATAAATAGTTCTAAAATTTTCATGTTATTAGTATCTACTCTTTCTGAAATGGTGGATAAATGTGATTACTCAGTTTTGAGGAAAGAAAATAAATTGGTCCAGTTAAATCCAAGGCTTTCTAACCCAATGCATTTCAGTAAGTATTCACCAAAGACATCCTAGTCCCCCATACTACAGGCCCACTTAGAATTAGAAGTCACAACCCCAGGCAACCCCAGCCCCAACTGTGGGTGAATAATAGCTAACAATGATGGCTAATATAGAGCCTACTCAGAAGGTGGGCCAGTGCTATGCTAAGCTTTTTAATATGCATTTAATCCATACAACTGCCATAGGAGGTAGATAGAACTATCACCACTATTTTAGATGTGAGAAAACCAAAGCACAGAAGTTTAAATAACTTGTTCAAAGTAATATAACCAGTACATTGGATCATACTCAGAATGTCTGGCTGTATAATTTTGAAAAACTACACTGAATAGTTAGAGAACACAGAAGGAGACAACTCTCAACTCAATGAGATCATATGAGTAATAAGAGTAGGATAAAGTCCCAATGTAATGGTGGCTGGAAATGTTATAGAAAGCCAACTTTTAGGTAGAATGGAGTTTGGCTTCTTTTCACTGTATGAGCGATGATTTTCTTGTCCTTTTATATAGTGTGCCATATTATGTGGTCATTGTACACTTACGATGCCTGCCCCAAGCTGGAAAGACTCATCTTGCTCCTCTCCTCCTTTAGGGAGGGAGGTTAGAGTTTCCATGCAGACCCTGTTAATCCAACTTTCTTACTATTACTTAGAACATGTTTCTAATAAACCTCCTGGGATTCATATAAGTTCTTTCATAGCAGTCAAGCAATTGGGAATGAACCATCCTAAAGACAACGGGCGAGCCACTCAAAGCAACCAACAATACCACCAGCTTTGTTTGCCTGGGTCTTGCCTCTGTTTACGATACTTGGGGGAACAGCAAGTGTGGGAGGGAGGATAAATCACAAGATAGCTTTTATAAAATGACTAATAAAGAAATAATGGGAACCCAATAACGACCAATTACAGAGGCAAGAGAAATAATAAAAATAATAAAGCAGAAAATGTACAAAGCAAACAATTAAGACTATTTTATCAAAACAATACTGCGACTCAGAAAGCATTAATTCTCACTGCACAAGGGCAGTAACTGTTTATCATCTGAATTTTGTACATTAAGAAAATGACACCAAGGGAGTTAATAAGTTCCTCCAAGCTCTAGAACACTTCGGAGCCCGGATTAAAAGTTAGCCATGCTCATGCTCCGCTGAGATGTCATCTCTCATTAAAGTCTAAATCAGCTCAGAGAACACACCACATTTATTATTTTTTATAAAATCGTGTGATTCTGGAGGAGCCAACAGTATCTTTGGGATAAACACACTGATTAAAAACATACTTTTAAAATGTCTCTTTTTCTAACCCAGTGGACCAAATATATAAATTAGAGCTATTCTGGTCTACTGAGTACTGTAAATGTATATTTAGATGTAACAAAATATCAGTTGGAAATATCTTTGGAAAGTAATTACTCTGCAATATACGCGGAATGTCTTAAATGCTTAAAGCAATTGCCTCATTTTAAAGACATAACTTACATAGAGAGGCACAAATATTAATTACCAAGCTTGAACCTTGCTTGTAAATTTACTGCCTAGAGTGAATATTTATAGATTAAGGCACAAATATCAAAAAATAAGATAGAATGATGGAAGATTTAACTGCCTAAAGCAAGGACCCACTTCTAGACACCAGCATCATTAGAGACATTCAAGGAGGGCTGAGGAGGTAAAGGGTTGCTTCAGCCTTTACTCTAATTTTCCCCACCTTCCCTCCTGCCCTCCACTTTCCTCTCTCCCCCATCTCCTTACTGACATCTGACTCTACTGGTCCATAATTAACAAGTTCTATACCTTAGTACAAAACAGGGATTGAAAACTCAAATGTCTATGGAGGCCACACAAGTAATTTAAGGAGCATGGGTCTTCTGGAATTTCTACTTGGTCATATTTATTCTACAGAACTGTATCTAACACACTTAGTCTCGCTATGAGGAATGCACTAGGGAGTGGTGAGGACTGTGGAAAAGCAGGAGAGCATGTATTCCCTTCAGAGACACGGCTGCTCTCACCCAAGCCTGTTGCTGCCATGAGGTCATGTGGGCCCAGGGTTATCAAAGCATTTTGCTTTCCAAGATCATCTGTATATTTGGATATTTGAATCTGTTGGTAAAATGCCCTTATTTTCAAACGATGGCAACTCATTCATATTGAAATATTTTTATGTTTACAAAAAACCTCTGCAGGCCAAGATGGTATAAATCAAAATATGGCTGCAGGCTGAATCTGGCCCACGAGCCACCAGTTTGAGACCTGTCATATGAAACAAATATGGAACAGAAATCGGGCTCAAGGGTCTTAGGAGAAACCTGTCTTACTTTTCTTATGAAGAGGCAGACAGGCTTGGTGAGTTTCCAGGTAGGAGATGATGTGGCTCAACGAAAGTTCAGCTGTTCTTTCAGGACCCAACGTGACTTTGGGGGTATTCATAAAGAAACAGGGGATGAAGCCCTAACAGTGGGTGTTCTAAGAATTAGCAGCAGATAGGAGAGATATATGTGTGCAAGTCTTTTCTGGACACTTGCACATGGTAGAAGAGCCACAGAATTCTCAACTGTAGGGTTCAGGGCAAGCGACCTCTGGGTAAAGTCTCCTGGTCCTGCGGTTCCCTGTGCTCCAACTGCAGCGGCTACTTAGTCTCTTGCCATCAGGTCTCTGGGCCTGGAAAACGTAACTCTCCCTCTGACCTCCAGGGGGCGCGGGAGAGAGGGTGAGTCCCGCGGTACCCGGAACCCACAGTCTGTATCAAGAGGGAGGAAGCCTAGGCTTGTCCAAGACTAATAGCCTGGACCAGCATCTTCCCCTCTTTTCCGAGGCATGGCAGCATCTTCTCAGTGTCTTGTCTCGGACGTTTCTTTTCCATTTCCCTCTGTCCTCCACATGTTCCCCTCCCATCAAGCACAGCTATGGATGCGCCTGCTCTTCCTAAGCTTTTCAAGGACTGTCCATTTAGAAGTGACCTTGCAGACTTGCCTTAGAGCTGAGAGTCCTCAGGACAAGGGTCCTAGCAAAGCTACAGTAGCAAGACACAGGGACATCCCACCACAAAGGAATGAATATTTAGGTACAGTGAGGTCAATAAATAAGTCACCAACTTACTGAAACGCCCAGCAAACCAAATCACAAATCCTTTCAAAGCTGTGTCTTCTCATTTCTAAAACAGAATATCACACTATCTGGCTACATTGGACTATTGTGAGTGTTAAAATAAGTGAACTTAGCATAGCATATGGCATATGGTGGAGGCTTTAATAACAACAGTTGTCATCATGTGCCCCCTCCCATATAATCTCCGATCCCCTAAGGCAGGAAAACAAAACACTTAGAAATAACTTAAACGAAAGTCAAAACATAGAACTTAACTAGAAAACTCAGTTAGCCAGGACCCCCATCACTAGGATATGGCGGCTAAGTCTCTGGGATATGTTGGACACTGTGCCACCCTACAGAGAAGGGAGAACCTGGACTCAGGGGTGGGAGGCAAGGAAAGGAAGCAAGAAAAACAACCCAGAGAGCCCTGAGAACTAAGAGCACTGGCTTAGAGCCCCAAATCCCTCCTCTGCTACTCACTAGCCCCCTGGGACCTCAGGCACGTCACTGTACCTGTTCAAGCCTACCTCATCTATACAAATAAGGGGTGACCCTGTGGGGCCTTTGATCTGGAGTTGGATCATTTGGATGATTCCATGAATGGTAGAGACTAGAAGCAAGCCCGACCTTGCAAGGAGGGAATGGTCACCGCCATGCCCAGCATTCAGGCAGGCTGCTTGGTGGACAGAGTGCAGTCGTGAAGACTGGCTACGCAGCTGACCTTTGGGAAATCCAGACAGAGAGCCTGGGGAGATGGGGGGGAGGTGCCTGGACCACAGTGGTGGGCACATCTAGTGCTCTCTCAAGTCATCTACATGGGCCTCTGCTGCGGGTAGCATGTTTCTCGCTATATTTCAAATGTCTCTGATCCATGACACTCGCGTCCTAATGGATCCTGCTGTCAGCAATGGATGAGCATTGAGCTAATAGATGTCAAACAGCATTTACATTTCTGAAATGGCTTCATCTGCTCCCTCTCCCAGGACTCTCCAAAGTGAAATTTGAAATGTGGACAGACGGGTCAGCTCTGGACAGCTCCACTTCCAGAATTCTCGTGGGCAAGAAACAATTATTTATTTTTTCCTAAACAGACAGACAGTGCTGAGCTTATTCAACAACAACAAGCTGCTTTTCAACCTTGTCTTCTTGGAAAGGCATGCAATTTCCTAAGAGGCACATGGAAATATCTGTCACCTTGTAGTTTAAATAGCATTCATTCATTCATTCAAAGCACACTCACAATGAATTATCTTGTTCATTAGAAATTCTGCAGAAGACCAGTGAGAGGTTTGGATTGGAGAGAGCATGGGGGAGTTTAGCATCTGCGATGCGGTACGAGAATCAAACCGCGCTGCTAGATTCACCCAAGCACCCTCTGCATATTGACGGCAGGGTCAGAATGGTATTCTCAGTCTGGGTTTCAGTAGCAGGGACATCTGTAGCTATCAGAAAATGCTGCAGAATCATCTGTCTAGGGACCATCTGTATTTGGGGGTTATTCCAATGTAGCACCTGACACATGATAATGAATGGATTTTTCTGGCTCTCTCTGGCTCTATTTTAAACTGTCATCATTTTAAACCATGAAATATGTCAAGTGATAATTAAACCTCACCACAGACAGGTACTGTGAAAATGATTAACTTTTACCATTTCCTCCATACACATTTTGAATATTTTGAATACCCCAGGTATGGGATCATTACATTGACAGATGAGAGAAGTCATCTTTACAATAATTTATTTTTAAAAGAACCAAAACAGGACTGAAAATTCTGTGTTTTCCCATTGGGTCTTAATTTGAAAACTTCTGCCATAAACTCTTATTTTCAGAGGAAGCCTTGGTGGGAGTAATACAGAACTGGACGCTATAATCTCCAACTCTGCCTCAATTAGCTGTGTGACCCGGGGCAAGTCCCTTGCCATCTCTGAGTATCAGTCTCCTCCTCTGTCAAATACCAATGACCATATCTTCACTCTTCCCAACTCACAGGCTTTCTTGAGCATATTAAATGAGAGGACAAATGGGAAAGCTCTTTGAGAGCAAAAGGCACACCGGTTACACTATTTGAATGTAAGGTATTATTTTAAATTCCGTATAAAGGGGAAAAAAGTAATATGCCAGCACAGCTTTACAGGCCTACTGTTTTTAAAAAATAAACACACACACACAAAACAGAAACCTCAACTCATTTTATTTTCCGCTGAAGTTTCTGAGCAGGAGATTAGATCTGACCCTATCAAATCAACGTCCCCTCTGAGCCACAGGACTCCCATTTTGTGTCCAAACATGCAGGGGCTCACACAAATGATAAAAATTCAAATGAAGCAGCCAAGCAGCTGGATGGGAATGTTGCTTCCAGCAAAAAGGGAGAGCAAATAACTGCTAAAATTAGTAAAGCGAATAGACTGAAATATATTTTTACCCCCCACAACGCATTGCCCAGACCCGTGGGTTTTTTACAGGCCTATTTCTTCTGAAGTTGGGGTTCTCTACTCCCCTTTGGTAGCAGCAGCAAGACACAGCTCCCCGAGATGGGAGGTTGGGGGAGGTCCCAGGACCTCTGACTCTGCAGGCATGCTGACTGTAGAACAATGAATCCACATTTTTGAATACGAATATTTCAATCAGAATTACACAAACATTATCAGATTCCCACAGAATGTATCTTCCTGAATGACCTCAGTGAAGCCCATTTTAATTCTTTGATCAATTTCCTACAGAGTACAAAAGGTCCTCATTTTTTAAATTTACAAAATAAGATTGCAATGCCTATCTCAGAGGTTGTTTATGAAGATTAAATAAGAAGTTGAATGTGAAAATGTTTCCATTTCCAATCTACAGAATTTATAGTAAAGGACTAAAACTTTTGCCTCTAAATTGTCTTGAATGTGTGGACACATAGGAAATTACTTACTAAAAAGTGGCTCCTGGCGGGGTGCGGTGGCTCATACCTGTAATCCCAACACTTTGGGAGGCTGAGGCAGGTGGATCACCAGAGGTCAGGAGTTCGAGACCAGCCTGGCCAACTTGGTGAAACCCCGTCTCTACCAAAAAATACAAAAATTATCTGGGCGTGGTGGTGCATGCCTGTAATCTCAGTTACTCTGGAGGCTGAGGAAAGAGAATCGCTTGAACCCAGGAGGCAGAGGTTGCAAAAAGTTCAGGGCTCCTGAACAGCAGCCCTGGTTATAGGTGAGGTCCATCCCCCATCCTGTGTTCCTGTCTGCCACCCCATGCCCATTTAGAAGCAGCCAGCCCAGCGAGCCTCCACCAACCCCTTCCCAAGAAAGAGGGTGATCTCTTAGGAAAAGTGGAAAATAAAAGCTTCTGACAAACATCATCAAGGAAAGGACTGAAGCCACTGCCAGGTGAGGGGCTTGCTCATTCACTTTTCTCTCTATTTTGGGTGATTTCATCATTTGATGTTCATTTGCTTTTCATCCTTATGTGCTTTGGCTAAAGTGCTAAAGAAAGGATGTCATGTTTGGGGTAAAACCCCTCTCAAGTTTCGGCTGGTGAATGCTTGATGCACCTCCCCAGGTACCTCCTGCAGCTACCCTAGGGGACAGGGCAAAAGAACAAGGTGAAAGAACCCAATCGCTGGAGGCAGCTGTGATTTGAAACAACAAAAAAGTGCCCTTTATTTGTCATCAGGGACTTGAGTTCAAACTCACACTCTGTTAGAAGCTTCTGTGACCTTGGGTCAACTGCTTAATCTCTTAGCCTTGGATTCCTTCTGAAGACAGAAGAGAGCACCTCCCCCCTGAAACGCTAGGTGAATGTTTGCTGATTCTTAGCCTGCTTTTCAGGCACTCAGAATCCTTTTAGGGGTGGAGAGTGAGAGACACCCAGATGTGAAATCATTAAGTAGACGTTAATATGCTTAGAGAATTTCCTTTTACCTTCCTGCTTCTGTGTCCCTTATTCAGACCCAATTGCCATTTGGGGATCCACCTTCCTCCCACTCTCACTTCATGATATCCTGACCAGCGGTATGGCTGGTGACTTCAGGAAACCCAACAGCACACAGCATTAATTAAGTGCATGAATCACATGACCTGAGTCTGTCCAATCCCAGTGAGCTTTAGCACTTTTGTGGGATACACTGGACTAGAGGCCATCTGTCTTCCACTGGACCTGGAGCTGTGAGGAGGGGAGGCTGGCACTCACCATGAAGGGGAACCCCCAGAGAGGGGCAAAATGGAGGGAGAAGCCAGGTCCTTACACTCCATATCAAGTATATCTGAAGCCCAGCACTCCTCACCTTCCACCCTCACTGGACTATCCAATTACATAAGCCATAAGTCCTCTTTTTGTTTGAGCTAGTTGGGTTGGGGTTTGTTATTTGCAACAAAAACGTCACCACTGGTACAGTGTGCCCTTAAAAGTCAAAGGGGACCCTCTGCTGAGACAGCCATGCTTTGGAAAAAAGATCCTGAAACTTCACCTCCACCAGAACATTCAGAGAGTTGTTCTCCCAGATTCCAACATCAATTACACTGAACAAATGCTCTCTCTATGTTGCGGACCCAACTGAGAGGTGGCTGGCCATGGTGCAGGTACACCAGGTAGACATCTGTCTGCAGGACGCTTGGGCATCTTCTCAACTGACTCATCTATAAGGGCAGGGACTATGCCGGGTCATCTCTGCACACCAAACTCCAATCAGCCCAAGGAAACTTCTATAAGCAACCAATAAAACCTCAACAAACTCTGAGAATCGTATTCACCTTTCCAGAGGAGTCATTTCTCCAATGCAAGTAGTAGTTATCAAACTAGAGTCCCAGATATTGTTTTTGAGGCACTGATGAGGTGAGAGAGCCATTGAGGGGCAGAGAATGGAGCTGAGAAGCTGGAGCCCCGAAGAACAGGGTAGGGGCAATCACTGGCTTGCAGTACATGGGAGAACCAGCTCTGTGCACCATCCAACTGCACTGACTGCGCTCAGACCCCGGCCCAGGTCTCCCCACTATTGGCTGCACTCTTATCCCGGAAGGCTGTGGGTCACTGTCTCCATGGAGCCAGTGCCCATCCTACCTGCTCATTTCTGGGACACACGCTCCCTGACTTCCTGGAGAGTTCAAAGCAACATTCAACATTTTGTGAAAAGGTTTTTGTTTTTTTTTTTCTTTTTAATGCAGGCCCTGACGCATTTCTTGGAACCCAATGGCAACCTTGGCCAAGAAATATAACCCAAATAAGAGCATGTAGAGACCAGTGGGGTGCGTTAGAATGCACAGGATTTTCCAACCCTGGTTGCCTGATCTGCCAAGACACTGTGGCTTATTCACCAAGCCCAACTTGTACACCTTGGAAGCCCTCACCACAGCCACAGGAGAGAAATGGGCCAAATGCAGAGTGAGTGAGGCCAATCAGGAGAGAGAGTGTTGGCAGGTCTTGCTGATTTAGAGGAGAGGTCTCCCCTTACAGATTATTTCCAGTCCTGGCTCTGCTCCAGCTGAAGCAGAGAGATTAAAGATTTGTTAAAAAAACAACACAATCTTAAAATAATGAAAAGACAGGTTTGTTGTTTTTTACAAAAGAGCTTTAAAAGATGAACTCATTTTGATGAAAAGAATAGAATTAGAACATAATGGTCAGTTGCATCCTGTACTTCGTTTCCTAATAAAGAAAGATTGCCAAGCAGCAATGAGATAAAAGAGACAGAAACAAATGATTTTAACTCACAGATAATTAACCCCAGAGGCTGGTGGATAGCACATTAATATGCTGGGGCAAATAGCTTAATGAGGTTTGAAAAGGGCTTCAGTGTTTATATGAAGAAGATAATTTCAAGGGTTCCTGAAAAGCAAAGAAATGCCTCTGGCTTGGGGACTGGTCAAGTAACGAAGATGACAAATGTCAAGCTTAACTTCTGCTGGGATCTGAGAGATGAGGGTGAGTCTCCTGGGTAGGGTGGGGACCTCAGCAGGTATACAGGGAGCACCATCATCTCTCTCCACTTGTCCTGGAGGGGCAGGATCAGCGTGCTTCAGGCTGGCTGACACCATCCTGTCTTTTGGTCCTTAGGAATGTGCAGTGGTTCATACCCTTTAGGGGTCATGACCTCTTCGACAATGTGACTCTTCCCCACAAATTCCAGATAGTGACCTATGCCCAAATATTGCAATGCAACCTCTAAGGAGACCGCTAGGCAAGCACGAGTGATTAGGGGTTCATTATCCTGCCCACACCGACCTATAGCTTGCCCGTCATAACCACAGAGGTTTAGCTCATGTGCATGAACACAGTTTAAGCTCCTTCTAGCAGAGGGACCCACAAGTTGTTAGAAAGGGCAGAGGAGCTCTCTGAGGATGGTAGTTAAGGAAAGTGAGCATTCCCAGGGACTGGTGGGAAGAGCAAGCTCAGCAAATAGGACCAGGTATCCTGGAGCTATGGGGTTCACAGTCAAACAACCTGGAAGGCCCTGTATCTGTGATCTGACCTTTGTGAGAAACGGAGAGATGACATAAAGCCAAGTCAGCCCTGGGACATGCCAGGCATCTAACACTTTTTCAGTGCCCACTCTGTGTCAGGGACAGGGGACCCTGGGAGGCAGACATCTGACCCCTGCGTTTCCAAAACTTGTGCCTGCACAGCAGCATGAGAGCTGTCCCAGGGCAAAGGCTACAGGTACCAGGTGAGTGGCGCTGTGGCTCTTGGGGAGGATTTACATACCTCAGGTTCGGATAGCATCACTGGCAGATCCATCGTGAGCCCTGAGCTATCCACCACAAGGTCCTGCTGCCTCCAATCCCTGGAGAGAGCTGAGCTCAGCCAGAGGATGGGATGGTTTATATCTGTAATGCTTAAGGATGATTTCTGACACCAGTGCTCAGAAAGCCCCTGATCTTGGGAGAGAAGTTTATGTTTGTCTTTAAGTCTCACTCTATCTCCCAGGTTGGAGTGCAGTGGTGTGATCTCGGCTCACTGCAACCTCTGCCTCCTGGGTTCAAGTGATTCTCCTGCCTCCTGAGTAGCTGGGACTACAGGCATGCACCAACATGCTTGGCTAATTTTTTGTATTTTTAGTAGAGACGGGGTTTTCACCATGCTGGCCAGGTTGGTCTTGAACTCCTAACCTTGCAATCTGGCCACCTCGGCCTCCCAAAGTGCTGGGATTACAGGCGTGAGCCACCGTGCCCGGTCGTTTGTCTTTAAGTTCTTAAAGGCACCATCTTAAAGGCTTAGTTCTTCTGATTGTAGAAAGAGAGAATTAGAGCATAAAGTTAAAGAAAGACTCTGACAGAGGAAAGGGACCAGAATAGGCTAAGTTTAAGATAATTCTTCGGCCAGGAGTGGTGGCTCACACCTGTAATCCCAGCACTTTGGGAGGCTGAGGCGGGCAGATCACGAGGTCAGGAGATAGAGACCATCCTGGCTAACACAGTGAAACCCTGTCTCTACTAAAAAAATACAAAAACTTTAGCCGGGCATGGTGGTGGGCACATGTAGTCCCAGCTACTCGGGAGGCTGAGGCAGGAGAATGGCGTGAACCCGTGAGGCTGAGCTTGCAGTGAGCCGAGATCGCACCACTGCACTCCAGCCTGGGTGACTGAGTGACACTCGGACTCAAAATAATAATAATAATAATAATAATAATAATAATAATAATAATAATAATAATTCTTCATGGAAAAGTCAATAGGCCACAACATCCAGAGTCTCATGAACACATCTTGGAGACAGAAGAATGAACTGGCTTACTTGAGAAAGGCCTCTATGTCTATGGCCAGGCCTGTAAGAGCTCTAGTAAAAATTACCCATGCACTGAGCACTGCCAACATTGCCTGTCCTGTGCCAAGGCGTCTGCACACACAGTCACCCCTCCCAATATGTCCACGAGGCTGTGTGGACACCGAACACATCCCTGCACAGAATCTTCCTTTGAGGACCAAACCATTGCCTGTGGTCTGGATGAGGATGATTTTGCAAACCCTGAGGGGATTTTTCTGGTGTCATTCTGGGGGAAAAGTTTCACCCTCTGAGACGGTGAGCAGGCAGGACTCTGAGCTGCAGCTGCTTGTGGCCATCCTGGAAGGCTACCTGGAAGAGGCCAATGTGCCAGGAGAAGGAAGGACAGGATGAGTGTGAGAATCCTTTTATCAGCTGTTCTTGAAGCCAGATCCACCCTTAGATTCTGCAGCTTCATAGGCCTTTCAGGCTTCAGCCAGCACAAGTTGGGTTTCTACAACTCAGAATTGGGACTGATGGTTTGTACTATTACTATCCGCATCCTTTTTCAGGTAAGGTTGAGTAACTTACCTGAAGTCACACTGTGAGTAAGCTGCCTACCAATTGGTCATGATCAAAACTGGGCACCAAATCACTACTTAAGCAGGACACATCGGCTAGGTGCACCATGCACTTCCCATTCAACTTCAGGCAACTAAGCACAATATAGTTTCCCAGCAGCTGAAACAAGGCAACGCAACCCAGAAAGAGCCAATTTCTGTGAGGTTGGGAGACAGGAGATAGATGTCACTCTCAACTTCTTTGAGCCCAGTGACTGTAGAAGAACACTCAGTGCCTCACTGCATGTGAGAGAGGGTGGCATGGGGGAAGGAAAAGCCATCTCTTTCCCCAGATGGCAGTCTTGAATTGAAAAAGACCCACGGCTCCAGGCACTGTCAAATCTGGATGGCTCCCTTTTAAATTCCCTACATCTGCAGCTATTAAAGAAGTTACCCCAAAATAACCTAGGAGTTTATTAATCTGTTTCATTGAAGACAGTCAGCCACTTCACATTATACCAAGATAGATTAGGCAGGGAACTGAGAGATCCAGAAAACATCTGCTACACAAAATCAAAATTAATGGTAAACAGAATGCAGTTCTTGATAGCTGAAGTTCACCCAGATGCAGAGAACTATAAAGGGGCTATTGGAGGCAGCTGCCAATTAGGGACCGATTCCACGGGTTTTCAGAAAGTGAGGCTCTAGTTTCACACTCGGGACTGGCAGGTCATGTTTGCTTAGGAGATCTGCACTGCAAAGGAGCCAGAGCCATGCTGAGTGTGCACGTGATGGTCACCCCCTTTTTTCCTTTTCCCTGAAGACAGCAGCAGCCCTCCTCTCCCGGGTTCCCTCACAGCCTTGCTAGAAGCCAGGCCAGGCTGGACAGGGCTGGAACATGTGCGGGAGCCAGCGCTGGGAGGTGGGCAATGCAACATGACATTGGTGCTCATCCCCAAACTCGCAGCCCCTAATCACAGCACAATCACGGACATCTGGAATAGCTTACAGATCGTCCTATGCTCCTCAGAGATGGCTGACAAGGGCTGAATTATCCCAGCCATTTGCTCAGCTTACTCAAGTGTTCGCTCATGGCTGTAATTCAACATGATGGGAACAGTCAGAGAAAAGTACCGGTTTGAGTAGATGAATTTTGGCAGTCGCAATCAGCATTGGCCCTCACAGTGGACACGGGAGTATCTTAGAAAGGTAAGGGTGGCACCTTTTGCTGAAGCTTCAGAAAAGGGTGAAATTAAATTTTAGATGTCTGGAGGGAGTTATAAAAATACCTGCACTGGAAAGCACAGAGAGATGCAGCCATCACTCTTTCCCATGCAGCTCATATAGGGAGGTCCCAGGCATGAATATCCAGGGTCATACGGAACTGTCCTGAAGGAGGAATGGCTCTGTCTCCCTTGGGGAGGCATGCACCCTTCCCAGAGGACACCCTATCAGTCTCGTAGTCCTGCCACAATCTTTGCTACTGTGTCTACCTTCAAGTCCCACAAATCTAACTTGGAAACAAAGCACCCCCAGCAAGTCCCTCTCAGCTCTCTGGGCTTGGCAGCCAACATAAGGTACAAACACCCTTGGATGTGATGAAGCAAGATCAAGTCACTTAAGCAACCACCACCCACTAAAGAGAGGTTCAGGGCATCAGAGAGGCACCAGCCCAGAAGCATTCCTCATCCCTACTAAAAATTAACATGAAAAGGAAGGAGTCTCATGTATGCAGTGCTATCTGCTCTGTGTCACAGGTTACTCAAGGGAAAGGGAGGTAAAGAACGTGAACATTCTCTGAAAACATCAGAACAACCAAGAAGATATTCTTATTATTGCTGTCACACTGTTCTGTACATGCACAGCCCATGGAGCACAGTCTGGTGCCTGGGCACTCTGAGGAAGCTCTGCCTCTTCCTGGGCTCTCTAGGGCAGGGTTTGCAAAAGGCACTGCATGGAATGCCTGCCCTGAGATGGTTAAAAACAACACAATTAATTTTGTTAAATCCCACAGAAAACCAAGTTTGGAAAATGCTGCATATTACATTCCCTGTTGAGAGTGACATTTTGTCTATGAAAAATCATGAGAGATTCTCCAGTCAAAATATCATCATCATCAACAACAATGAAAACTAAAGTTTACTGAGTCCAACATTTTCCAAGTGTATTACTGTCCTAGGGCCACCATAATAAACCACAAACTAAGTGACTTAAAACCAGAGAAATGGATTTTCTCCCAGTTCTGGAGGCTGGGAGTACAAAATTAAGGGGCTGGCAGGGCTATGCTCTCTCTGAAGGTTCTAGGGATGGAGGGTCCCTTGCAACTTGCCAGCTCATGGTGTTTGCCAGCAATTCTCTGCTTCCATCATCACACGATGTTCTCCTTGTGTGTCTGTGTCCAATTCTCCCTTTTCTTGTAAGGACCTCACTATTGGATTAGGGCCCACCCTAATCCATTATGACTTCATCTTTATATCTGCCAAAACCCTATTTCCAAATAAGGTTCCATTCACAGGTTCTGGTTTAGGACTTTGACATGTCTTTTTGGGGAACAAAATTCAACCCATAATACTAAGCTTACTTGAATTTTCTTCAGTGCATCAGCCAGGAAAATCTAATGATAGCCATAGAACATTTCTTTAAAGGTGCCTTTCCAGAACCAAAGGGCCCAGTGCCTCACTTGTATATTACTGGGAAGGGCCAGAATGAAAAGGCAACACCCACAAAGCAAATGTGTAGCTTGCACTTACTTTAAGAAACAATTGTTGATTAACTACTGGCCCTGGGCTAGAGCTGTGAGGAATGTGGGGATGAAGAAGGCAGGAGGGTCTCTGATCTCAGGAAATTAACCTGATAGGAGCCCTTCCCTCTCCAATTAGATAGGGTAAGCTAAACACTTCAAGAAAGAGAGTTGGAAAGGATGAAGGGGAGGTGGATTTGACAAGGATGAGGGACAAGGCATGCAGGAATAGTCTAAGGCCAGAGGCAAGAAAGCTAGACAGCATGACATCTACGGCTGGAGGGGAAGAGGGGGAAATAGGGCAGAGGACAGGTTTAAGGCACACAATGCATTCACTTTGCCCCTACTGTCGCTAGTTCCCACTATGATTTGGCTTGGACTCGATTTCCACTGCTAACATTAGCCCCTCTCACTTCTCAACACACATACTTAGTCAAGAGTTTCCAAAAGTCACATAATGTGAAGTTGCAGTTGGTTAGCCATTTGTGGCCCTAAACCTTCAATGGAGGGGATGCTCCTGAGTCAGGTACAGTATTGAAATAAGGCAAACCAAAACAGGAAACCTCCTCAGGTTCTGTGACTGGAAGCTTCCTCTCTAGACCTGAAGACTTTCTAGACTCTCCTGGGCCTTGTAAGCTGTGCAGAAAAATCAGCTATTACTCATCTGTTCCTCTTTCAGTCCGGGGTCGAGTCAGAGCTGGGAACCAACCCAGGTGTTCATTGCTAGACAATATCTTACTTTTCTTTGACAGAAAAATAGTTTACTGAAGCACCATAGTGCTTCTATTCTTTTTATACTTGTACACTGTTCTGGAGAAGATTAACAACCCCACAACCCAAGTCAGTGAGTCAGTGAATTCCCAGACCTAAAAATACTTAGAACCAGCCGGCAAGGTCCCACTCCTTTTCTTCCTGCCAGGTTGTAAGCATTGACGTTACAGCACTGGGCTATTTCAGGAACTCTCAAACATTCAACTTTGACAGAAACAAGCAAGAAAGACATCAGTGCACAATAGGAAGAAAAAAGTTTCTGTGATGTTAGAACAAATTTGCTAGTACAAACCCACAGTGTATGTTCCTAAGTCAACCATTTGCGAAGGCTGACACTTCCAGCGGTGGAGAGGTTACAGATGAATGGAGTGCAGCCTGACTACACCTTCACTCCTCCTCTGGACACTCTCATTCTTCTGGGAGTTTGAAGTCATAAGTTCACTCAGACCTTTTTCATGCATTTGAATAGAAATACATGGCTCTTTTATAACCCCAGCCTTATTAGAGACATTTTCAACACAAGGACAGTAAGATTCCAAAAAGGTTAAGTTTATATGTGATTTTACAATGCAAATCAATTCCAAACATTCACAGTCGGGATTCTGGCATAAACAGAATATTATTCAAAGCCAAAGTTCATGTCAAATTCTCCTCTCCTTATGGCTATTTCTTTCCAACTTACATGGTCACAGTACCCATTGTGAACACTACTTTCCATAAGAAACCTCCTTCCCAGCTCCATCAACCTTCATCCATTTGGTTTTGATATTCAAACAATGCAGTTTGCTTTACATATTGTCCTATAGTTCAGAGGACATCGAGTCCGAAGCCGAAGATAATGGCAAATGGGAATGTAAGCCAGAAAGTTCATCTTAGAGTCAGATTATCCAGATCCTATGACCCTAGGGATCCAGCACCATGGACAGCAGCACACTACCAGCTGGACTCAATATAGTGTGAAAAGTTTGTGTTACCAAGGTCCCAGGCATGAATATCCATGTATCAAAGCATGTTGATAACATAGCCATTCTATGTCTTTTGCTGTGTTGCATAACACAAGAACTAATCAGGAGGCAAAGCAATGTTAGATTTAGTAGTCAATATAGAATTTGCTAATTTCTTTTAGATTGTCTCCCTCTTTGGAGACAGTACCACAGAGAAGGATGTGGTGAAGGGTAAAACCAAAGCCACATTCTAGACCAGGAACTCATTTTCGTTTCTGATCTCATCATTCTATCCATGTAATAAAAAGATGATTGTTAATGATTCCACAAATCATACAAAAGGCATCCCTTATTAGAGACTAGGTATTACTGAAAATGAATAAGGGAAACTTCAATTTCCACTAAAAGATTTCTGAAAGTAACACCCATATATGTTTACCTCAGAGACCATAAAACAAATGTGCTACAGGAACTCTGGCAGGGGAAACAGAACATCATGGAACTGTTTTCAAAAGGAAAATTAATTAGTTATTTCTATTTCAGCTTAGCTGAAGCTGTAAGAAATCTATTCAGAAATATTTTTCACAGTGGCATCTCTTCCCAGATATTGAAATACCACAAACCATAGGCCATTTTTTGTGTTGTTCACGTTGCTTTGCTGGGTAAAACTAATAATTATTCCAAACTTCACTCAAGAATGAGGCTTCTCTTAAGAGACCAAAAACATGATTGCGAATGAGCCAGTTCTTCAAGTATCCCACCTCTGGTACTTGAAGGTAGAAGTCATAGTTTTCACAAGCAAACCTGGCCTTCAGTCCATGCAGTCCCTACAGACAAGTGCTAAGCAGTCAGCACCCAGAAAAGGCCGCATGAAATTTCAAAGAATGAGCTGCCCACAGTCTGAAGTTCATCTTAGTTTCAGCAAACTACTTCAAAAATGTCAACACTGAAAATAAAATGGGTATGAGTGCATTTTTCCTACCTTCTCTTCTTGTGACTTCAAAGCTTCTGGGCTCCTGCAAGAAAAGAAAGACTTTGTGTTTTCTGAAGAATAATTCATATGTACAGATACTTGCAAATATCTCCTCTCTTGTTAGTCACACATTTATGAAAAGGTGAACAATCTACGAAGAACATGACACTGAGCAATGTTGGTCTACTAAACTCTCAACATGTACATCTATAAATGTAAACAACTTGTTGCTTTGAGGGCTTAGGCAAAAAAAATCCTGTTAATCACAAAGTTTTTAATGAGCACAGCTCATTCTCAGGGCCTTCCTTATTTGGAGTATGGGCTGGTACCAAGTGTTAAGGAAGACCCTCTTCCAGGTTGATGACCCACCCTCTGCCTGAACTGTAGGTGCTTTTAGGGACTGAAGAAAACATAAGCAGATGGGCTAAAATTATCTGGCCAGCAGCAGGTTCTGTTTTGTGGTGCTATGGTGAAGACCACCACTGCTACTGGATATGTCACTGACATCACCTGATAATAGATTAAACACAATTTATAGTTTCCAAAGGGTGAGATCCTATGAACAATTTGGATAGCCAGTTCATGCCACTGGACTAAATTAAGCCCTTGGGTTTTCTTAATTCAATCCTATCTTTATTGATGCTTACTATGCGCAGGGCAATAAGCAAAGTGTTTCAGAAGTTACCCAGGTAAAACTGAGTACCTGCATTGATATTCACAGTTGATTAGGGGGCCACAGAACAAACACAAATTACTGAGAAATGAAAGGGTGATTTGTCTTGTAAATACCAGCATTTCACATTCCAGTTGGAAACATAAGGAAAAGTGTTTTTAAAAGAACCTTTGAAAATAGCACTGAAGAACAGGCAGATTTTCAGACAAAAATGGGGGAGGGAGGGTGGACCAGGAAGAGAGAATAGCATAGGAAAATGTTGGGTGGTATGAAAATTCAGGGTAGCTCTAGAAGAATGAAAAGTCCTGGTGAGAACTAATGGGGGGAAAGACTAGAAATGCATATTGCAGTTTCATAACTAATATAAAGTATCTCCAATTCATCATAAACGACATGTTTTGGATAAAAAGCCTAAGGTTAAAAATAAGCTGAAAGTCCATACTAGCAACTAAAGAAGAGAAGAGAAAACACCAAACTGGGACTACCACCTCAACACCGCAGCCAAGAAGGTAATTCAGCAACAGTGCTTTTTAAGGTAATAGCATTGTCTTTCACACCTTAGCATTCTTGTCTAGCATCCTCTTGTCAGAAGGGGGAGGCAATATTAGAGATGAAACTAAGAGGGCACTGGGAAGGTTGTCCTACCCAAATTACATTCCCTGACTGCTACCTTTCTACTGAGCAAAAAGCCCTGGTGGAGATCAGTGGAAGATCCATGTCACATGCCAACAGCCCATCACACAAACCAAACTCTGGTTCCTGAAGGAGTACTCATCAGGTAAGGGTTCAGAGGAGGCGGCATAGAGATGACAGGTTAAATGCAGGAAACATAAGCCACAGAGCGTATTTTGCACAAAACAAACCCAGCTCCTCCCAAACTGTTCCTCAGTAACCTGCTCCAAGGCCTGGCACCTCTGTTTCTTGAAACAACTAGTATTCATGGAACAGGAGATATTCATAATCAGCTCCAGAAAAAAACTATGAAATTTTTGTTGTGGTTACATAAAATTTATAAATTAATTTAGGGAAAGCTGACATCTATATAATGTTGCATGTTCTTATCTAATAACACAGGATTTTAATAATTGTTTGAGTCTACTTTTGCTTCTTTCAAGAGTATTTTATAGTTTTCCTTGTGCGTATTTTGAATATTTCTTTTTTGTATGTCTTTTGTTATCATAAATGGGATGTTCTCTTATTATTTCTTCCAGCTGATTTTTGTTTGTATATTTGATGGCAATTTAAAAATATTTTTTATATTTATTTTATAACCAGCTTCTTGGTTAAATTTTACTGTTTGTAATAGTTTTTCCATTGATTCTTTTGGGGTTTCCATTTGAGTATTTATGTAATTTGCAAACAGCAATTATCTTATCTCTTCTTTCCAATTCCTATACTTCCAGGTGTTTTCTCTTGCCTTAGAGCTTTAACCAATTCTCAACCCATGTTAGGCGTTGTGTTCATACTGCGCACCCTTGTCTTGGCTTTTGCTTTCAGAAGAAAACCTTTAGCATTTCCCCATTAAGTGACAGGCTGGCTTTTAGCCTGAGATATGTTTATTATATTAATGAAACCAATATACATTTTACTGAGTTTTAAAAATAAATGTATGTGCTAGTTGAAAAACAGCTTGTTCCTTTACTCATTTGTTTATTGACTGTTTCCCTCTAGTGGAATGTGGGTTGGGATGGCGCCAGTATCTTTTTCACTCTTGCATCATCAGTGCTGTAGCAGAACAGATGCTCAATACATATTTGTTGAATAAAAAATAAAATAAAATAAATGTGTTGGATTTTATCAAGTACTTTTCTCTGGCATTTAAGGAGATAATCATATGATTTTTCTCCTTAGTTCTATTAATAGGATGACTTACATAGTAGATCTCATAATATTCCACTACCCCTGTATTTCTAAAACAAGCTTTTCTTAGTCATAATATACTTTTAAAAATATGCTGCTGGATTCTGTTTATTATTTTAAATATGTTTTACATTTATTGGTCTATAATTTTTTGTACTGATATTCATAAATGAGATTGGTCTACCAATCTCATATTTTTCTTATCAGATTTAGAAATTGCCCGGGCGCGGTGGCTCTCACCTGTAATCCCAGCACTTTGGGAGGCTGAGGCGGGCGGATCATGAGGTCAGGAGATTGAGACCATCCTGGCTAACACGGTGAAACCCCATCTCTACTAAAAATACAAAAAATTAGCCGGGCGTGGTGGTGGGCGCCTGTAGTCCCAGCTACTCGGGAGTCTGAGGCTGGAGAATGGACTGAACCCGGGAGGTGGAGCTTGCAGTGAGCCGAGATCGCGCCACTGCACTCCAGCCTGGGAGACAGCGAGACTCCGTCTCAAAAAAAAAACAAAAAACAAGAAATTAAAATGAAACCAACTTTATGTAATGAATTTGGAAGTTTTCCTTTTATTATACTCTGAAATAATTTAAATAAAAATAGGATTATCTTATTTTAAAATTTTTTTATTCTTGAGACAGAGTCTCACACTGTGGCCCCGGCTGGAGTGCAGTGGCACGATCTCGACTCACTGCAACCTCTGCCTCCCAGGTTCAAGTGATTCTCCTGCCTTAGCCTCCCAGTTCTTCCACTTCATTTCTCAGAGACTGACTGAAAGGGAGGAGAGGTTAAACTTGTCCAAGGTCTCATATTTTGGTCGGTGGCCAGCTAAGATTTAAATCCCAAAGTCTGATTCCAATGCCTATGCACACAGCATTCCAACTTTAAAAATAGTCATGATAGTTAATTCCTAGGGACATTGTGAAAATTTTATGAGATAAACTTCTTCTTTGTGCCATAAAAAAGTAGCTTGTATGAGACTAATCCTTCTGCTATCAACAATTATAAAAGTGGAATTAAAAAAAAGTTTTTGAAGGCATCCAACAGCAACAAAAGCAGCCAGAATTTAAAGGAAAGTTATGAGAGAAAAGTCCATTGAGATGAGCCCCATATTCACTGCCACATTTCCCCTTTGCGACATTTGCTGTTTTGCATAGAAGCCAAACAGAATATAATATTCTAGAACTTAGAGAAGTCTCTCTGAGATGGGAAATAAACATCAGAGTGCAAGGCTACCAAAGAAGCCAGAAAATGAGGGTCAGAAACCCTGGAAAAGGAAACCAGAAAGAAGTGAGCTCAACATTTTCGGCTTCCCCTTGAGTTATATGATTATGCCTGAGCTACACACATAAAGGGCAAAAGGCTGAGAAACAAGTTAAAAAGTAGCCTTGAACAAGAAAAAAAAAAGCCTCAAATAATAAAATCTAAGTATAGATTTTGAAAGTACATGGTACTAAAGAGACAAAAATTAGGCTTTCCAAGAAATAGTCGCCCTGACAAATGCAGCAGACTTACTGCTAAGACCATATATTCTCAAATTATTCCTATTCTTGAGTAGATAAAGATGATATTCCAGGACTCTATCTGTCTAACAAGGAAAAATAAATCCTCTGTGGAAATCTATAAAGTGATCCACAGGCTTTACAATTTTTCATATATAATCTCCAGCATCCAGTCTAAAATTACCAGGCATAGCACGAAATGGGATCGAATGGCTAAAATCCAAGAAAACAGACCACAGAAACAGAGCCACATGTTATCCAGATCTTAGAATTCTTAGGCACAAGCTTTAGAATAACTATGGCTAATATGTTTAGGAAAATAGGAGAAAAGATGCTGAATTTCATTATAAAACTAGAATCGAATAAAAGACTACACATTGGGTACACTGTAAAATGCTCAGGTGATGGATGCACCAAAATCTCCGAAATCACCACTAAAAACCTGTAACCAAACACCACCTGTTCTCCAAAAACCTATTGAAACAAAAATAAACAAAAAATAATCAAACAAAAATTTCATAACTGAAAATGAAATAACTGAAAAATTCAATAGGTGGATTTAACAACAGATTAAACACAACTGAAGAAAGGAATAGTAAGATGGAAGCTAGATCAGTAAAAATTAACCACACAGAAGATCTGAAAGGAAAAAAGATAAAGAATGAAAAATACAGAAAAAGTATGAGACACTGTAACATCATGAAGAGTTCTAACAAGCATGTAATTAAATTTTCAGAGTGAAAATTCAGAGAAAATGGGCAGAATCAATACTGAAAGAGACGCTTGTTGATACTTTTCCAAAACTAATGAAAGACATCAAGCCAGAAATTTGGGAATCTCCACAAGCCCCAAGCAAGATAAATACAAACACAACCATACCTAAGTACTCAGTAAAATAGTTGAATATTCAAAGACAAATAGAAAATCTTTAAAACAGCCAAAGGGTGGGTGGTAGAGATGGGGAGAACATTGCCTATAAGGGAGCAACAGTAAGTGGGATAGCTGATTTTTCAGTAGGAAATAATGGAACCAGAAGACAATGGAATGCCATCTTTAGTTTTTAATTTTTTTAACTTTTATTTGAAGTTCAGGGGTATATGTGCACATTTGCTATACAGGTAAACTGCATGTCTTGGGGATTTGGTGTAAAGCTCACCCAGGTAATAAGCATAGTACCCACCATCTTTAAAATTTGAAAAAAACATTAGAATCCAATGAAAATATGGGTATTCATAAGGTAAAATAAATGAAGGTAAAATACAGATATTTAGACAAAAAAACCCTGAGAGAATACATTGCCAACAAATTAACACTAAGAGCAATACTTTATAGCGAACTTTTAAGGCAAAAACGCAGAAAATTATTCAGATGAATGTATAGCTATGCAAGAAGAAATAATGAGCACCAACAAGCATTAAAAAAACCATAAAAATACATTTCGGCTACTTAACACAACAATAATGCACTGTAAGATAAAAATATTTGTAGAACTAAAATACATAGTAATATGATTTTTTTAAAAAAGATCAGGAGGTCAAATGAGATTAAAGTGTTATAATGTCCTAGTACTGTCCCAAAAATGGCAAAATTAGTGCTATGACACCAAAGGAATGAAGTAACCAAAACTGTCTCATCCAAAAGAAGACATGAAAGGCAGAAGAGAAAAGGAATATAGAACAGAGAAAACATGGGTTTATATTTAAACCTATTTAACTATAAATTGGCTGAATAATCCCATTAAAACACAAGGATTGGGCTGGGCGAGGTGACTCATGCATGTAATCCCAGCACTTTGGGAGGCTGAGGCAGGTGGATCACGAGGTCAGGAGATCGAGACCATCCTGGCTAACACAGTGTAACCCTATCTCTACTAAAAATACAAAAAATTAGACAGGCATGGTGGTGGGCACCTGCAGTCCTAGCTACTTGGGAGGCTGAGGCAGAAGAATGGCGTGAACCCGGGAGGCAGAGCTTGTAGTAAGCCCAGATTGCGCCACTGCACTCCAGCCTGGGAGACAGAGTAAGGCTCTGTCTCAAAAAAAAACAAAAACAAAACAAAACAAAAAAAATAAATAAAAAATAAAACACACAAGGATTGGCATAATAGAGAAAACAATATCCAACTATATGCTGCCTACAAGAGACATATCATAAATATATGTTTACAAAAAGGCTGAATGTAAAGAATTTAAATGATAAACCATATTAACTTCAACCAAGAAAACATGGCTATAGATAAAGTAGGCAAGAATTATTATCAGTGATAAAAAGGGATGGTTCATAATTAGAAAAGGAACAACTTAACAGGAATATATAGCAATTCTAAACTTGTACATACCTAGTAGCATAGTCTAAATATATGCAAAGCCAGAACTCAAAGAACTAAGAGGAGAATTTTTTTAACCCACAATAATGGTTGGAAAATTTAAAAAATCTCTGTCTTTAACTGATAGAACAAGTAGAGGAAAAAAGCATCAGTAAGGATATAGAAGAGTTGAACACTATAATTTTAAAACTTGACCTAATTGACAGACATCAAACACTGTACCAAATAGCACTTCATTTCAAGTGTCCATTCGAGATTTATAAAAATTGGCCGTATGCTGAGCCATAAGCAAGTTTAAACACATCATGGCAACCTCATGGAAAAAATGTTGGACGTATCTTAGAACATACATAAAAATCATTTCCTGATGGATTGTAGAACTACATGTGAAAAGTAATGCAACTAAGTCTCTATAAGATATCAAGAGTATCTTCATGACTTTAAATACATAGGTGAAAATTTCTTAAAGAGGATGTGAAAAGCAAACCAAAAGAATATCTCAGACTTTATTAAAATTAGGACTTCTGTTTATTAAAAGATAGGATCAAGACAATGAAAAGGGAAGCCATTAAGGAAATATATTTGCAATCCATATATCTTACGAATGACTTATTGAGAATATATAAAATACTTTTGCAAATCAATAAGAAAAATACAAATAACCTAATTGAAGAATGAGTAAAACATTTGAATAGGCACTTCACAAGTTGAAACCACAGTGGGATACTGCTATAAACCACATATAATAGATGACATTAAAAAACTGTTAATAGTAAATGTTTACAAGGATATGAAGGAACTATAATTTTTATACCCTCAGAGGAACCAGCACCAGCAAAACTTTCCTCATTGGTCTGAGTCCCAGTATGGAGAGGCTCCTCCCCTGGAGACAGTAGTGATAAAGGTATTCCTTCCTGCAGGTACTGCTCTTAACTATTGCAGTGTTTCCTTTTCCACCTTCTTAATCCTTTAATATCTGTTTAACCAATTTCCTGTAATTAAATTATGTTAAAATAACTATTGTGACATCTATGTTCCTGACCCAACAATTTAACTCCTAAGTAAATGTCCAACAGAAGTACATTCATGTGAGCACCAAAATGCATGTATAAGAAGGCTGAATGCAGCATGATATGTAATGCAAATGTCCACCAATGGTGGAACAGATAAACTGTGGCATATCCATACAATGGAAAACTTCACTGCAGTGCAAAAGAAAAAACTCTGCAACATGTGATAATGTAGCTGAATCTCATTGTCATAGCGCTGAGGGAAAGAAAGCAGAAACAAATAGTACAGTTTATAAGATTTTATTTTTATAAATCTCAGAAACAAGCAAAACCAATCTCTGATGACAGATGAGTAGTAACCTTTGCGAGGATAATGACCGGGGGACACAGAATGGTTTGTGGGATGCTGGAAATGTTCTATATTATCATCTTGGTGGTGGTCACATAGATATGTTCACTTACAAAATATTAACCAAGTGCTACACTCAGAATATGTGTCTTTACTATATATTTGATATGCTCCAGTAAAAATTTTTAAAATAAGACAAATTACCCAGGAGTAATCAGAAGTTTGTTAAATAGAGGGAACAAACCCCACTTTTAATTTACAGATGAAGAAAGATGTACTGAGGGAAAGACTGCAACTTGCTGAATTTCACATGAGAAGTGGCCACATCAGGACTAGACTCAAACCTCTGAGGTCCTACCACTATACTCTACTTCCTCCAAGGAAATGCTCAACACACATTCGTGAAAAATATGACAGGGATTAAGAGTGGGGGCCAGCTGTGCCTCTGTCACCTTTGTTGAATTATTTAACATTTCCTTAGTCTCTGTTTGTTGATCTGTAAAGGCAGAAATAGCACATTCCACATAGAGTAGTTGTGATGATCAAATGAAATAATAAGCTTGTCCCATGCTTAGCATGGTGTCCAGCACACAGGCAGTCCTCCAACATGTGCCACCATCATCAACAACATTACCATTCATGAAAAGAGCTAAGAGAGGGAGACGATCAGATTATTTTTGGGAGGTAAATGAGTTCAACGGCTTCCTCAATTATTGAGGCTAAATAAGAATCCATCTTTCCAGTGCTTAAAAAAGCAACCCCTCAAAAGCTGTAGCAGAAATGTAAGGAGTGAAATTCATTGACATAATGACACCAAGGCCCTGGATGCATTGTCTAAGGAAGAAATTATTTTCTGCAGAAGCTTCAAACCAGATGGTTATAAATGAGACTTAGTGCATGGGCATTACTTAATGACTAAATTTCTTTAACTAAAAATCTAATTTTATTATAGTATAAATCACACTTTCTTGAAGCAGGGAATTAATTTTAGATTTTTCATTCACTGCTCATAACCTTTCTACGAGTTTGACAGCCAAATCATTTAAAATGTCATTTAACCAATACAATACAACAGCTTTATTCCTCATTGTGCCCTTCCTGAATCCGTTATCTCTCACTATAATGTAGAAGAACTTAAATAAAAAATTACCATTCTATAAAGCTGTATTTTACTATGCAGTTAAACTACACAATCCTTATTTTTGAATCAATATAATATGAGTGCTGAGCAATATTTTTCATAATCCAAAAGCCGATTACAGTTTCTCAGCTACCAAAAAACAGTTTGAAGGCTGCTGAAAGAGTATAAATGAGCACTCTCAAATTCTACCCCTAGGTCCATCCCATGTCCATCTTGGGCACAGGGGGTGAGGCTCTGGAAAAGGATGGTGAGGCCCTGCCCCAGATCATAGTCACGCCTCTCCATCTGTGCTCTCAGAGGTCTTTGGTTAGGGAGTAAGCCTCAGTCTGTCACCCAGAATATTATGGGATTCACTGGGAAAATATTGGCTATGTGGGTTACGAAAGTGGGGGATCAAAAGCAACCACACTGAGAAGAGAATGCAACGAAAAAGTAAATGGAGTGGAGCTCCATGTGACCAGATCTTCGTAGACAAAGCAGAATGGAGTGGAGCTCAACGTGGCCAGATCTTCATAGACAAAGCAGAAAGGAGTCCGCTGTACAAGGGGCCCGGCCTGAGGAGGTCCCTGTGCCAGTGTCCTGAAGATGGGCCCCTGACTGGCAGCACCTCCATCCAGCAGCAGAGGGGCTGAGGAAGCTCCTGGCTTCAGAGTTCCTCAGGCCTCAACTTCCTGAAGACACACAAAAGGAAGCCCACGTGTCCAATTTATGAACCAATTAGTACAGATGAGATGGAAGCTTTGCCATGGGATTCATCGCTACTGAAATTCTGACATCTAAGTTCTAAGTTTTTCATATCTGAGATGTTCTTAAAATGAATGCTTCTTTAACAATCTTTCTTACAATTTTTCATTTATTCACTTGAATTTTAAAAACTTGACTCTAAGCAGGTTCATTTTTGCTAGCAAGACACTATTCTGCAATTAAAATCTTCACTTGGACTGACAAAATACAGCTAAATAAAGTGGCGCCTTATGTAGCATGTATTCCACTGCTGGCTCCCACTTACTGTGCACACAGTAAGAGTTTTGCACACTTTATCTCATTTATATGGCTGAGTTAAAGGCAGAAGGAAAACTATTGAGTTGTTGGATTTCTCAGCACACCATGTCTGGGTCTTCAAAGCCAGAGAAGGTGAGAGAATTAACCCTAAACCCGGGGCTAGTTTGAAAGCCAAGCTGAATAATCCAGCAAAGAACAGGATATTCTGGGGGAGGGTCTAAACACCCCCTGCTTCCTCCAGTTATGCAGAGCTTGCTGCAAGTGCTCATGAAAAACACCGAAGGGGTGCTGGCTCTTGAGAAATGCCACTTAATCGAGGGGTCAGTGTTCCCCTCCTGCACCACAGAGAACAGTGTCAGATGGCTCTGGGGTTAGAGAGAGGTGTGTGTAGCCCTGGTAGATGGGCTTACTGCCTTAAAGAACAGTCAAAGGTGGGGGAGGCACAGCTGCCAACACTAAACCTTTAGGGGCTTAGATAGCTGAGGGAGTTTGATAAAGGCCAGGGGTCCCTGCACCTTTCAGCCAGCCCTGCCTAGGAGTTGCCCAATCAGCAGAGGCTGAGCTTGCCTTTCTCATCTTCCCAGAAGACCAGATGTGAAGGGGAGAGGGCTGGGCATGGCCATATAGGCAAAGAATGTGCAAGTCTCCTTTGAGCCCACGAGTTCGAGACCAGCCTGGGCAACATAGTGAAACCCCCCTCTCTACAAAAAAATATGAAAATTAGCTGGGCATGGTGGTGCCTACCTGTAGTCCCAGATACTTGTGAGGCTGAGGTGGGAGGATCACCTGAGCCCAGGGAGGTAGAGGCTGCAATGGAGCGCCACTGCACTCCAACCTGGGTGATAGCGTAAGACTCTGTCTCAAAACAAACAAACAAACAAACAAAACAGTGCAAGTCTCCAGCACTTTGGGGCTGAAACAGAGATAGCACAGCAAGCAAGCTCGATGTCCCCTCTATTGCCTATCTTACAATAAATGACAATAAATGGATCAATGTAAGGAAACCAGTATTACATGAGGCTGGGAAGTCTAAAATAACTAAGCCAGAGAGTTTAAAGGGAGGTTTATCAAGACAAAAGGAAGAGATCATGTCACATGACTTTTTAAAAATACCAAGGAAATGTCTTTACTATTAAGGTACTCTTTTACTTTACTAATTTAAAAAAGAATCAACATGATAAACCCATCAATAGCTTCTTGTGGGCAGACCTGGGAATACCAACTTTATTATGCCCATGAGGGCAAAGCCTCCAGTAGATCTGAATCACCTGATTGTTTCAGTAGCTGCTCCACCAGCTGCAGGCCTGAGGAAGCCACCCGGATACTTCCCACTCCAGTTTGCCCATCTGTAAAACGGGCAGACCCGACAGCCCAGCCAGGACAATTGAGGCGATATCTCAGAAACATGGGCAGAATCCCACAGAGAGTTCTGTCCAGGGCTTTCTGACAGGAAGCAAAGGGTGGTCAGTGAAGGAGAAAGCTGTGATACTCTAAAAAGAAATGGAATTAATGGTGATTACCAGACACTAGACAGAAAAGAAAGCAAAAGGATAGGTGCCCATCTTCAGAAATTAAGATGATTTGGAAATATTATATGAGGATTTAGTGATTTTAAATTCTAGATATCATTTAAAGCTTTATGCTAAAGGTTATTCATTTACAATTTAAAAAGAAAAGTTAGCCCTGAATTTAAGACAGTCTTTGGTAGCAAATCCACCAATATGAGTAAACATTCAGTTACATTTGATGAAATAAATGTCAATAACTGATTGATCACTGCTCCTTGTTAAACATAATCGCCTGCACACAGCCAGATTAAGGGACCAAGAAGGCAAGAGGGGAATTTTCCAGTTGTATCTCTCAGACAACCCAACAAATTAAAAACTAATTAACTTTTTGATTTGGAAAGTAATCCACATCTCTCAGAATGAGCAATCACCACGTCCAAGACCATCACAACAGTTAGCAGCATGGGGCTCTAACTCAGCACCCTGAGGAACAACCTCATTAACATGTCATTGCTATTTCCACTGACACTAGCAGGGCTCAGCCTAACACAGGCATTATCTGCAGAGCTGCTTAACCCCAAAAGCAATGGTCATACTGGACTTTAACTACAAGAGGGGTGTCCATCTCCCCCAGGGTCCACGTCTCCTTCATGTCTTACTGCAGCACAGCGCCTGGCGTAGCGTAGGCCCTAAACACATTCTATTGCTAGAATGAAATCAGATTATCCCAAGATCTCCTGGTAAGAATATGGAGGTGAGTGCAGTTTCCCAGCTGGCTCACGGAACATACTGACTGTCACTGAAGCCTGACGTGCTCTATTTTTCCTTTTGTAGGTAAAGTTTCTACAGAAACACAGGGACAGCCTGTGATGCGTTCCTCATTCTGAGACGCTTCATGTCTACCAGCTGTCGATCGAACAAGCTTCTTTCCTGCACTGACTTCATTCCAGCAGTCCATGATCCATAAGAAAATCATGACAGTCTTGTAGGTGTCTGGGGGAGGAGAGAGGACAGCAAGGACAAGTGGCTCTTGAGAGGAAAGGGGGAAGGAGTTCATGTTTAAATTATTTATTACACCCTCCAGGAACCATCCAATAAATGATACAACTTAACATCCACCTGTTTAACATGATATTCCAATCTGCTACTTTTCTTTCTGCCAACTGCAAGCCCAAGATGAGGTTTAGAATAACCTGTGCCTAGAAAATTAAAAGACAAAAAAGGAAGAAAGTGTGCCCTCCAGTACAGTCCTCATGTCTGAGTCTATTTTTCATTCTTTGTTTTGCACAGAATTAGGGAGTCACAGATACAGACGGTCTGACATAAAGATGCAAAATGTGCCAGAGTCATGGTGGGGCCAGCGGTGATTGATCAGGCTGGAGCCTCTGAGAAGGTGAGCAAGCTGGGAAAGGGCCGGCTGGGAGCAGGACTGGGTGCAAGTGGCGTCTGATTGGGATAAGCTGAAAACACCCAAAGTGGCCAGTGCTTAAGGTCAGGCACACCCTCTTCTCCAAAGGGACACTTGAAGATCCCTTAATCCAAGACTTCCAACCAGAAACTGTCATCTGACACAGCAATAGGTCCCCTCCCCTTGGATCTTCCTGCTAGCTAGTGTTCCCTCTGTCCTCCTGAGCATCTCCTCTGGCCCCTCTTCACTTCCACTCCCATCCCTCACAGCCTCTGTGGCTCAGCTTTGTGGATGCCTTCCCATCAGGTCCTAGCTTGCAATTCCCACCTCCTTGACCCTCCCCAAGACCCTCAGCCCCATCACCCAGGTCTCTCAGCAGAGCTCTTGACGGGCCTCCTGAGCAATTCATTTCATCATCCCTTCGTTTGTTCATGTGTTCACTCATTCAGTAGATATTTATTGTCCTGGAGATGTAGCAGTGCCAAGGCAGCCCCAGCCCCAGTCCTTATGAAGCTTAGGATCTCACTGGAAGAAACGGGCAACAAACAAACACACAAACAAAGGAAATGTAGAGAATATCTCATGCTAAGAAGTGCCACGGTGCAAAATGAAACAAGGAAGGGGGATAGACTGCCACAGGGGAAAGGATTTGCTGTGTGACATCAGGCGGTCAGGCCGTGCCCCTCCTGGGGGCTGGCACTGGAGTAGGTCTCTACTTCAATACCCAATCTGAGCACGTTTGTCTGCTCAGGACTGTTCAATCCTTCCTGCCCACCAGGGGAGCCTCTCTCTTCACTGTCATCTCCCTACTTTGTAGCTGTGGCACCAGCAGTAAGAACTAGCAGGGGAAGCAGCGGAGGTCCTAGGGATGGCAGTAGCATCCCAGTAGCAGCTTCCATTTACTAAGCAATTACCCACGCCAGGCTCCATGCTAAGCCCTCTCCACACCCGCCTCCTTCAATCTGCACAGCCCCCAGAGGAACTTCCGACTCCTACCCACACTCATGAACCTCCACCATGTGTGCCTCACTCAGGGTCTGGTGATTTTGGATTGCTGTCTGAATAAATCATTGGTTTGGGCTCCCACAGGCTTTTTGTACAGGGAGGTAAATCCCCATACACACTTTGATTAGAAGGCACTTTCATTGTACCACTATAACACTTATATTAAAAATGGAACTTAAAGTAGTTTAAATTAAATGAGTTATATTTAATTAAAAAGGCTTTAAGGCACAATAAGACCGTTTTTCAATTTTCTTTTACAACAGAGTCAAAAGGAAGAAAGGCCCCCAGTGGTCAGCAGAGCTAGATTGGTGTTTACTTAGGACCTGGCCCATCTGAGAATCCCAAGGAAAATCCAGTTTTATTCCCTGTCCTCTTTCTGTTCCTCACGTAGGATGCACCATGAACTTCAGTTTCCTCGTCTGAAGAGGAGATTGAAAGGTGCTACCTATAAGATTGTCGTGAGAAAGGAATGAGGGAGCATGCAGACGGCATGCAATGTCACTCCTCAAGTAGAGAAATACCTGCCCCACACGTGCCACATCAGGAATCACGCCAGCCTTAGCCACCCACACCTCCCAGGAGGGGCCTTGTGCCTGGGCAAAGGCACAGGGAAGCTTTGTCCCCTGCAGCCTGAATCAGTTATTTCCCTTGAGGAGTAGGTGCTGAGAAAGACAATGAGGACAGAAGTGGGCATTTTGCCCACACTTCTCTCATAGGCTAACCCAGCAGTTCTCAAATGGGGACATTTAAATAATCCAGAGTATAGGCCATACCCTAAACCAATTAAATCACAATCTCTGGGGGTGGGACACAGGCATCAGCATTTTTTGAAGCCACCCCAGTGGTTCTAATGTATGGACAAGTTTGGGAACCACTGGGTTAATCATGCATCTTAACACCTTACAAACTCTTGCCCCAGTGGGCCTGGCCAGTGCTCTGCACCATGGTGCCCAGCTGCCTCAGACAAACCTCTGCAGGTGCCAGTGGGCTGGCAGGGTTCTCCAATGAGGGTGCCCTGTTACTCCCACATATGGGGAAGGGTGTCCCTTCGTAACAGAGGGTATCAGCTGGGTGTCACAGGCACAGAAACTAATGTAAACAGTGGTGCCAGTTTCTCTTCCCAGCAAGTCAGTGGAGCCAGAGGATGGCTTGGGCAGGCCCACACTCGCCTTCCATGAGGACCGATGCCAGCTCAGTATCCAGAACTCACTGGATGCAGGTGGGAAGAGTAGGCTCAAGCAGCCAGGACTGAGAAGCCTCCTGGTGACATGGAGAATGGGGCCACTGGGCTTGCAGTGCACGAGACACAAAGGGGCTCACCTGCACCCCAGACCCCCGGCACTGGGTCACCATATACATGGCATTAACCTCCAGGAGCTTCAGTTTCCTCATCTGCAAAATGAGGTAGGGTAGTGTCTATGAGACTGCAGTGAGAGCTGAGAGAGGAGGGCAAAGAGCACTCAGTATCTGGTAGCTGCTGTCCACTTGCCAATTTCCACCCACAAACAGCATCCTGGTTGTGCCCCCAGCAATCAGCATAGCACCCAGCCTGAAAGAAGTGCTCATCATTGTTTCTGAGACTCTGGAGTGGGGAGGGGTCCACTAGTTCTACTGTGGTCAGTAGGCAACAGCTGGGAGACACAGGTTGGGGGAAAGGCATCTGTTGGTACAGTGTCAACCCATGGGCCATGGCCAACCCCTGTCAACACTGCTCCCTCACACCTCTTCTTCCTTCCATGCTAGGCTCTTACCCATGACTTTCTCTCAGCCTTTGGGGCTGCCCATTGGCTCATTTGTTCCAACCCACTTGAATGCCAGGATGCCTTCCACTTGGTCTTCTGCAGGTATAGATACCTCATCTGTCCTGGGCCCTGTATGTCCCTGGGCTATCCCTGTCCTGCCCTTTGAGATGCCCTCCTCTCCTCACTCATGGGCAGCTCTGACCACTCACTAGCCATGGCCATCCCATAGCGCAGGGGTGCTCATCCACCTAGATGAAAGGGGCATACTCTGAAGGAGCCACCACAGCTCAACCAATCTTTAGTACTCAGTGTGCCTGGGGGTGCCTGACACTTCCACCTCTAAGGAGGAGGCTGTCCCTCCATGGCAGCACCTCCAGCAGAAGTACATGAGCTTGCCTCTGGCCTCATCTCAGCAGCAGCCCTGCTGCTGTCTCCAGCGGCCAGTGGAAGAGTCAGCAAACACCAGCACATTCCCACTGGGTTTCCTGACCCTCCAAAAGCCCTTCACAGTAACCACAGTTGGTATCACAGTAACCAACTTGGCTGCCAATGCTGGGAATCTTACCTCCTCCTTAAGATCAAGGCCCCAGGAGGAGCCAAGATGGCCGAATAGGAACAGCTCCGGTCTACAGCTCCCAGCGTGAGCGACGCAGAAGACGGGTGATTTCTGCATTTCCATCTGAGGTACCGGGTTCATCTCACTAGGGAGTGCCAGACAGTGGGCGCAGGCCAGTGTGTGCGCACCGTGCGCGAGCCGAAGCAGGGCGAGGCATTGCCTCACCTGGGAAGCGCAAGGGGCCAGGGAGTTCCCTTTCCGAGTCAAAGAAAGGGGTGACGGACGCACCTGGAAAATCGGGTCACTCCCACCCGAATATTGCGCTTTTCAGACCGGCTTAAGAAACGGCGCACCACGAGACTATATCCCACACCTGGCTCAGAGGGTCCTACGCCCACGGAATCTCGCTGATTGCTAGCACAGCAGTCTGAGATCAAACTGCAAGGCGGCAACGAGGCTGGGGGAGGGGCGCCCGCCATTGCCCAGGCTTGCTTAGGTAAACAAAGCAGCCGGGAAGCTCGAACTGGGTGGAGCCCACCACAGCTCAAGGAGGCCTGCCTGCCTCTGTAGGCTCCACCTCTGGGGGCAGGGCACAGACAAACAAAAAGACAGCAGTAACCTCTGCAGACTTAAGTGTCCCTGTCTGACAGCTTTGAAGAGAGCAGTGGTTCTCCCAGCACGCAGCTGGAGATCTGAGAACGGGCAGACTGCCTCCTCAAGTGGGTCCCTGACCCCTGACCCCCGAGCAGCCTAACTGGGAGGCACACTGACACCTCACACGGCAGGGTATTCCAACAGACCTGCAGCTGAGGGTCCTGTCTGTTAGAAGGAAAACTAACAACCAGAAAGGACATCTACACCGAAAACCCATCTGTACATCACCATCATCAAAGACCAAAAGTAGATAAAACCACAAAGATGGGGAAAAAACAGAACAGAAAAACTGGAAACTCTAAAACGCAGAGCGCCTCTCCTCCTCCAAAGGAATGCAGTTCCTCACCAGCAACAGAACAAAGCTGGATGGAGAATGATTTTGACGAGCTGAGAGAAGAAGGCTTCAGACGATCAAATTACTCTGAGCTACGGGAGGACATTCAAACCAAAGGCAAAGAAGTTGAAAACTTTGAAAAAAATTTAGAAGAATGTATAACTAGAATAACCAATACAGAGAAGTGCTTAAAGGAGCTGATGGAGCTGAAAACCAAGGCTCGAGAACTACGTGAAGAATGCAGAAGCCTCAGGAGCCAATGCGATCAACTGGAAGAAAGGGTATCAGCAATGGAAGATGAAATGAATGAAATGAAGCGAGAAGGGAAGTTTAGAGAAAAAAGAATAAAAAGAAATGAGCAAAGCCTCCAAGAAATATGGGACTATGTGAAAAGACCAAATCTACGTCTGATTGGTGTACCTGAAAGTGATGTGGAGAATGGAACCAAGTTGGAAAACACTCTGCAGGATATTATCCAGGAGAACTTCCCCAATCTAGCAAGGCAGGCCAACGTTCAGATTCAGGAAATACAGAGAACGCCACAAAGATACTCCTCGAGAAGAGCAACTCCAAGACACATAATTGTCAGATTCACCAAAGTTGAAATGGAGGAAAAAATGTTAAGGGCAGCCAGAGAGAAAGGTCGGGTTACCCTCAAAGGGAAGCCCATCAGACTAACAGCGGATCTCTCGGCAGAAACCCTACAAGCCAGAAGAGAGTGGGGGCCAATATTCAACATTCTTAAAGAAAAGAATTTTCAACCCAGAATTTCATATCCAGCCAAACTAAGCTTCATAAGTGAAGGAGAAATAAAATACTTTATAGACAAGCAAATGCTGAGAGATTTTGTCACCACCAGGCCTGCCCTAAAAGAGCTCCTGAAGGAAGCGCTAAACCTGGAAAGGAACAACCAGTACCAGCCGCTGCAAAATCATGCCAAAATGTAAAGACCATCGAGACTAGGAAGAAACTGCATCAACTAATGAGCAAAATCACCAGCTAACATCATAATGACAGGATCAAATTCACACATAACAATATTAACTTTAAATATAAATGGACTAAATTCTGCAATTAAAAGACACAGACTGGCAAGTTGGATAAAGAGTCAAGACCCATCAGTGTGCTGTATTCAGGAAACCCATCTCACGTGCAGAGACACACATAGGCTCAAAATAAAAGGATGGAGGAAGATCTACCAAGCCAATGGAAAACAAAAAAAGGCAGGGGTTGCAATCCTAGTCTCTGATAAAACAGACTTTAAACCAACAAAGATCAAAAGAGACAAAGAAGGCCATTACATAATGGTAAAGGGATCAATTCAACAAGAGGAGCTAACTATCCTAAACATTTATGCACCCAATACAGGAGCACCCAGATTCATAAAGCAAGTCCTGAGTGACCTACAAAGAGACTTAGACTCCCACACATTAATAATGGGAGACTTTAACACCCCACTGTCAACATTAGACAGATCAACGAGACAGAAAGTCAACAAGGATACCCAGGAATTGAACTCAGCTCTGCACCAAGCAGACCTAATAGACATCTACAGAACTCTCCACCCCAAATCAACAGAATATACATTTTTTTCAGCACCACACCACACCTATTCCAAAATTGACCACATAGTTGGAAGTAAAGCTCTCCTCAGCAAATGTAAAAGAACAGAAATTATAACAAACTATCTCTCAGACCACAGTGCAATCAAACTAGAACTCAGGATTAAGAATCTCACTCAAAGCCGCTCAACTACATGGAAACTGAACAACCTGCTCCTGAATGACTACTGGGTACATAACGAAATGAAGGCAGAAATAAAGATGTTCTTTGAAACCAACGAGAACAAAGACACCACATACCAGAATCTCTGGGACGCATTCAAAGCAGTGTGTAGAGGGAAATTTATAGCACTAAATGCCTACAAGAGAAAGCAGGAAAGATCCAAAATTGACACCCTAACATCACAATTAAAAGAACTAGAAAAGCAAGAGTAAACACATTCAAAAGCTAGCAGAAGGCAAGACATAACTAAAATCAGAGCAGAACTGAAGGAAATAGAGACACAAAAAACCCTTCAAAAAATCAATGAATCCAGGAGCTGGTTTTTTGAAAGGATCAACAAAATTGATAGACCGCTAGCAAGACTAATAAAGAAAAAAAGAGAGAAGAATCAAATAGACACAATAAAAAATGATAAAGGGGATATCACCACCGATCCCACAGAAATACAAACTACCATCAGAGAATACTACAAACACCTCTACACAAATAAACTAGAAAATCTAGAAGAAATGGATACATTCCTCGACACATACACTCTCCCAAGACTAAACCAGGAAGAAGTTGAATCTCTGAATAGACCAATAACAGGATCTGAAATTGTGGCAATAATCAATAGTTTACCAACCAAAAAGAGTCCAGGACCAGATGGATTCACAGCCGAATTCTACCAGAGGTACAAGGAGGAACTGGTACCATTCCTTCTGAAACTATTCCAATCAATAGAAAAAGAGGGAATCCTCCCTAACTCATTTTATGAGGCCAGCATCATTCTGATACCAAAGCCGGGCAGAGACACAACCGAAAAAGAGAATTTTAGACCAATATCCTTGATGAACATTGATGCAAAAATCCTCAATAAAATACTGGCAAACCGAATCCAGCAGCACATCAAAAAGCTTATCCACCATGATCAAGTGGGCTTCATCCCTGGGATGCAAGGCTGGTTCAATATACGCAAATCAATAAATGTAATCCAGCATATAAACAGAGCCAAAGACAAAAACCACATGATTATCTCAATAGATGCAGAAAAAGCCTTTGACAAAATTCAACAACCCTTCATGCTAAAAACTCTCAATAAATTAGGTATTGATGGGATGTATTTCAAAATAATAAGAGCTATCTATGACAAACCCACAGCCAATATCATACTGAATGGGCAAAAACTGGAAGCATTCCCTTTGAAAACTGGCACAACACAGGGATGCCCTCTCTCACCGCTCCTATTCAACATAGTGTTGGAAGTTCTGGCCAGGGCAATCAGGCAGGAGAAGGAAATAAAGGGTATTCAATTAGGAAAAGAGGAAGTCAAATTGTCCCTGTTTGCAGACGACATGATTGTTTATCTAGAAAACCCCATCGTCTCAGCCCAAAATCTCCTTAAGCTGATAAGCAACTTCAGCAAAGTCTCAGGATACAAAATCAATGTACAAAAATCACAAGCATTCTTATACACCAACAACAGACAAACAGAGAGCCAAATCATGAGTGAACTCCCATTCACAATTGCTTCAAAGACAATAAAATACCTAGGAATCCAACTTACAAGGGATGTGAAGGACCTCTTCAAGGAGAACTACAAACCACTGCTCAAGGAAATAAAAGAGGACACAAACAAATGGAAGAACATTCCATGCTCATGGGTAGGAAGAATCAATATCGTGAAAATGGCCATACTGCCCAAGGTAATTTACAGATTCAATGCCATCCCCATCAAGCTACCAATGACTTTCTTCACAGAATTGGAAAAAACTACTTTAAAGTTCATATGGAACCAAAAAAGAGCCCGCATCGCCAAGTCAATCCTAAGCCAAAAGAACAAAGCTGGAGGCATCACACTACCTGACTTCAAACTATACTACAAGGCTACAGTAACCAAAACAGCATGGTACTGGTACCAAAACAGAGATATAGATCAATGGAACAGAACAGAGCCCTCAGAAATAATGCCGCATATCTACAACTATCTGATCTTTGACAAACCTGAGAAAAACAAGCAATGGGGAAAGGATTCCCTATTTAATAAATGGTGCTGGGAAAACTGGCTAGCCATATGTAGAAAGCTGAAACTGGATCCCTTCCTTACACCTTATACAAAAATCAATCCAAGATGGATTAAAGATTTAAACGTTAGACCTAAAACCATAAAAACCCTAGAAGAAAACCTAGGCATTACCTTTCAGGACATAGGCGTGGGCAAGGACTTCATGTCCAAAACACCAAAAGCAATGGCAACAAAAGCCAAAATTGACAAATGGGATCTAATTAAACTAAAGAGCTTCTGCACAGCAAAAGAAACTACCATGAGAGTGAACAGGCAACCTACAACATGGGAGAAAATTTTCGCAACCTACGCATCTGACAAAGGGCTAATATCCAGAATCTACAATGAACTCAAACAAATTTACAAGAAAAAAACAAACAACCCCATCAAAAAGTGGGCGAAGGACATGAACAGACACTTCTCAAAAGAAGACATTTATGCAGCCAAAAAACACATGAAGAAATGCTCATCATCACTGGCCATCAGAGAAATGCAAATCAAAACCACTATGAGATATCATCTCACACCAGTTAGAATGGCAATCATTAAAAAGTCAGGAAACAACAGGTGCTGGAGAGGATGTGGAGAAATAGGAACACTTTTACACTGTTGGTGGGACTGTAAACTAGTTCAACCATTGTGGAAGTCAGTGTGGCGATTCCTCAGGGATCTAGAACTAGAAATACCATTTGACCCAGCCATCCCATTACTGGGTATATACCCAAAGGACTATAAATCATGCTGCTATAAAGACACATGCACACGTATGTTTATTGCGGCACTATTCACAATAGCAAAGACTTGGAACCAACCCAAATGTCCAACAATGATAGACTGGATTAAGAAAATGTGGCACATATACACCATGGAATACTATACAGCCATAAAAAATGATGAGTTCATGTCCTTTGTAGGGACATGGATGAAATTGGAAACCATCATTCTCAGTAAACTATCGCAAGAACAAAAAACCAAACACCGCATATTCTCACTCATAGGTGGGAATTGAACAATGAGATCACATGGACACAGGAAGGGGAATATCACACTCTGGGGACTGTGGTGGGGTCGGGGGAGGGGGGAGGGATAGCATTGGGAGATATACCTAATGCTAGATGACACGTTAGTGGGTGCAGCGCACCAGCATGGCACATGTATACATATGTAACTAACCTGCACAATGTGCACATGTACCCTAAAACTTAGAGTATAATAAAAAAAAAAAAAAAGATCAAGGCCCCAGAACCTTGCTTCTGAAAGGGAGACTGCTGTGGTCAACCCTTAGGAACTTCCCAAGGCCAATTCTTAAAAGCAGAAACAGAGACCACCAAATATCACACACTTAGTCCTCCACCCACAGACACTGCCCTCACTGTCCCATGTGAGGGCAGTAGCTGCCAAGTCCCCAGTGGAATCCTGGAAGAAGTGCAAGGAAATAGCCAAAGGAATGTTAATATGTTAATTCTCAGAGGTTCAGTGGCTGCCTGATGGTGAAAGAAGAGAAATTGTTGGGGAGGAGGGGGAATAGGGGCAGAACTCATCTCTCCCCACAGAAGGTCAAGAGGCCACCCACCGCCCAGCCCCAGAAGACCACCTCAAACTCTGCTGCCCTCCAGGAGGAGGGGATGCCTCCTCTGATGTGACGTTGTCTGCTTTGGCCTTCCAAAGCTCAATGTCATCAAATGTCCTTTCCCTAGATTCAAAAATATGTCCTTGGGGATAAGAGCACAATACTGTGGTTAGGAATACATGCTAGATAGTCAGAAAGCCAGATGCAAACCCTGGCTCCACCACTTACTATATGGGAGATCTCAAACAGCTCACTTATCTTGAAGCCTCAATTTCTACATGTGTAAAATAAACAAATTAATAATACCTCATAGACTCTCTTTGAGAAGTCAATGAATTAATCTACTTAGTGCTTTGGCAAAATGAAAGCTGTTTATTAATTCTATCATATCAATAGCTATGGAATTAAGAAATTCATATTAGGAATGAGAATTCCTATTGGGAATCTCCTCTTTATTTATTTATTTATTTATTTATTTATTTGAGACACAGTCTTGCTCTGTCGCTCTGTCACCAGGCTAGAGTGCAGTGGCATGATCTTCCTCTTTATTCTTATAAGAGAAGGATAAGAGGAGCCATTCAGACTTCCAGCCCAGAGCTCCAGATGACACTGCCCCCTTTCATCCTCACCCTAGAGATGTCCCTGGTTCCCTAGCCCTCTCTAACTCTTGGCTACACAGAAAGAGATATCACAACAAAAACCAAATTTTTAATGCAATAAGACTTTGTATCTAGCTGGGAGCAAAGCTGAGATTCAGAACTGGGGAGGTGGGGAGTGCATCTATCTCATCTTGTCTTCCATGATGACAGGCCAAATTATCCCACAGCAGCTCAACTATTTTGCTTGCTGGATTTGGCAGGGTGGTGGACCTTCTAAGAAGAGGCATCTGGTCAAGCCATGACTCCCCTCCCATGTAACCCCTCTTTCTTTCCAAGAATGATTCCAGCTAAACCTCAAAGCAGCTGCACTAAGGAGCTCCCTACAGCCACAGGATATGTATCTCTGGAGTCACAGGGCCACAACTGAGCACCAAAGCCTGCTCCCCTTTAGTGAGTTTGATGGGTCAGGCGTGGACACAGGCTGCCTTAGTCCATTTTGTGCTGCTATAACAGAATACCTGAGACTGGGTACTTTATAATGAACAGAAATGTATTGGCTCACAGTTCTGGAGTCTGGGAAGTCCAAGATTGAGGGGCTGGCATTTTGCAAAGGCCTCCTTGCTGCATACTCCCATGGTGAAAGGTCAAAGACAGAGAGCAAGAGATCCAATTCCCAGTCTCAAGCCCTTCTGTAATCGGCATTCCTGAGGATGGAGCATGGAGCCTTCGTTACCTAAACACCCCCATTAGGCACCATCACCCAACTTGTGGCACTGGGGATTAAGTTTCCAACACATGCTTTTTGGGGAACACATTCCAACCATAGTACCCCAGGAGCCAAGGGCACTGGCACCAGGATGGAGGGGAGGACCAGGGTAGTGACTGGCAAAATGCAAGTCGGCCTGTGGAGGCCAAGCCTGTTTTACAGCCTGTCTGCAGGGACATCCTAGGAATGGATAAGTTGGGCTTCTGAGCTGCCCAGCCACAGACAGGCCGGGTTGGTGAGGTAGGGTATGGCGAGGGTGCTGACAAGACAGGGAGAGGAAGGCAGGCAAACAAAGCAGGGGAGCAAAGATTTAACAGCACAAGGCAGGCCTTACTGCCAGGGCCAACCCCTGCTCTGAAGATCCAAAAATGCAACTCCATAAAATGCCCCATGTTTATACAAACTTGGCTCACGTTTCTCTGTGTGCTTGCTGAGAGGTTTGAGGCTGGCTCTGCAGCCTCACCAACTGTCCTCCACCCACAATAACCTCCTGCCACTCCTTCACAAGAGCCACCCAGCGCTGCACCCACATCCTCCCCTCAGAGCCCCTGGAGGGCCCCTCACCCACTGGGACCTGCCTCCTGGCCACAGGCAAATGGATCTGGGAAGATATTTCCCCAAGCTGAGCCAATAAGGCTCTGCCCCTTGAGAACCTGAGGATACAGACAGAACTCAAATGAGACAGTCTGGGGCCCAGAGCTGCAGCAAGGGCTACACTCAGAGCTCTCTGGAAAGACCAGTCTCTGGAGAGAACAGGCAGAGGAGGGAGAAATGGAGAAGGGAGACAGTGTGGCTCAGAAGGGAGTTGGGAGACAGACTTCCAATGCCTCTAAGCCTGAGCCCATGAAGGCATCCTGCCATTGGCTTTGGGAGAAGGTCTGGGGCCTCATGACAACCCTTCTTTGTACATGAGCATGTTAGCAGGCGATTCTGCTCCTGGCCACCAAAGCGTCCCTGATGAATCCCCTGGCTCACAGACCCAGATACCCACCTTAACCAATCTGTTCCGTTTTCCCCTCCTGACAGATATGGCCCTATTCCACCCTACACCTAGACTCTGAGGGTTACTCCTCCTTAAATACTCTAATACTCTGCCCACCCAGATCCTGGTCTTCCTCTCCAAGTACCTCTGCCTCCAAGAGGTCCTTCCCAATCCCACCTTCCACCCAGCGCATTTCTGTGCTAAATTCTCACGTCACCCACGGTTTGGCCTGTGCTGCTAACTAAATATGCTTTGTGCTGCATTCGCCGCTCACCATTGTGCTCACCACATTCTTAAAGCTGTTTGTGATGATTCTTTCTTCTTTCTCATAATCCCACGGTGAGATATCAGATAAGAATTTCTTGTACAGTGCAGTTCATGATCATCTTTACTTGTAACACAAGAACAGTCATTTTGAATAAATTCAGATTTAAATTATATATACCATTCTCATCTGGAATGGATAACGAATCACAGATAATTTTGTTCTAGTCAGCATGGTCATAAAAGTGTTTCTGTTCCTAAGAATTACTGGACAACTGGTGCTATGGTTTGGATGTTTGTCCCCCGCCAAACCTAATGCCAAAATTTGACCCTCAGTGTTGGGGGTGAGGCCTAATGGAGGTGTCTGAGTCATGGAGTTGGATCCCTTAGGAGTGGCTTGGTGCCATCCTTGCAGCAATGAGTGAGTCCTACCCTACTAGTTCCCAAGAGAGCTGGCTTTTAAATAGAGCCTGGAACCTCTCACTCTCACCTTGCTTGCTCTGTTACCGTGTGATCTCTACACACACCCATTCCCTTTCACCTTCTACCAGGAGTGGAAGCTTCCTGAGGTCTCACCAGAAGCAGATTCTGGGGCCATGCTTCTTGTACAGCCTGCAGAGCCATGAGTCAAATAAACTTACTTTCTTTATAAATTACCAGACTCAGCTATTCCTTTATAGCAACACTAAATGGGCTAAGACAATTGGCCACAATCAATTGGACCAGGAAGGATACCTGGACCAAGGTGCAACTCTACAGCAAGGAATAAGACCTCCAATAGGACAGTTTTGGCCACCGGGGTGGTAGTGTCACATGCTGCAGTACCCTAAGCAAGATGAAGGACGACAGAGGAAGCTGGGAGTCTCTAAGTGTCACCCACATAGGATAGACACAGTGCTGAATGTGGCTGCCCTGTGGGTGTCCAGAACCTCAACAGCCCCTTTCTTCACCCTCTTTCAACACCACCCCTGGCCCTGAAACTTGTCCACCACTAATAATGAGCACCCACATCCTCTACACTGCCAGCCCAAGTCCTCTGAGGAGAGCTTAGGTGTCACTGAGCCAACAAGAACACAGCCATATCAGGTGGAACCACTTCAGGGGAGAGGTCCCAGAGCAGTACAGGCTCTGGTGGATAAGTTTTGGGAGGGAGTGTTGAAGGACGGTAAAGGAGGGGGCTGGTGGAGGTTCTGGACACCAGAGGGCTGCTGCATTCAGCACTATGTCCATCCTATGCAGGTGACACCTAGAGACTTCCGGCTTCCTCCAGCCCCCAACCCGCACTCTTAAGGACTTTAGAACAGCTGAGCCAGGGGCCAGGACAAACCTGTGATACCAGATCTGCTATCAGCCACATGCACCTGGACAGGGAATGTCTGGACTATGAGCACAAGTGTCCTGGGACCAGGCGTGGGGAATCCGGGAGGCAGATGGACTTCTTTCTTTATTAAGATGTACTTCTTTCTAATAAAGATGTACTTCCTTCTTTATTACTTAATAAATATGCCCACTTTTCTTTAGGCTAAAGTTGAGATCTTAATTTCGACATTATATACAGACTAGAAAAAGATCATTAACTAATGTAGGTGATTCCTTCTGCTAACTTGGAATCCATTCTGAAGCAGCTGATTGCTCCTACCTCCCACCCCCACCCCAATGGCCCTCAAGCCTCAAGGATAGAATCACAAATCCCATTTCTCTTCAACCACTTAGCCAGCCTTAGTACAGGGCCAGGCACACAGCTAGGTGCTCAGTGGGTGTCTGTTGATTACTAAGATTTAAGTCAACCAGATGTCCCGATTGGCCAAGCCAGCCCAGGGCTCAGAGACCCTCTAGGTAGGGATAAGAGAAAGTCAAATGGGAATTTCTGCTTCAGGACACAAAGATATGATCCTAAGCCATACTGCCAGGCATGAACACTCAAGCATGAAGCAGAGAAGCCTACTTTGTTTTTATTGAGACAGTCTCACTCTGTTGCCCAGGCTGGAGTGCAGTGGTATGATCTTGGCTCACTGCAACCTCCGCCTCCTGGGTTTAAGCGATTCTCCTGCCTCAGCCTCCCAAGTAGCTGGGATTACAGGTGTGTGCCACCATGCCCAGCTAATATTTTTGTATTTTTGGTAGAGACTGGGTTTCGCCATGTTGGCCAGGCTGGTCTCGGACTCCTGACCTCAGGTGATCTGACCGCCTTGGCCTCCCAAAGTGTTGGGATTACAGGCATGAGCTACTGCACCCGGCCAGAAGCCTGCTCTTCACTCTTCAAATGCTAATATGAGAACAGCAGTAACAACCAAACAGAAAATAGCAGAGGAAGAAGAGGAGGCACCATGGGGCATATTTTAGAGCCACTCTAATTAGAGTATCTGCCTGGCAGGCCTCTCCCGTTTGACACCTCCCAGCATCCCCACATGAAAGCCTACTTACCTGGAATGGACATTCAAAATGTGGCATCAGCAGAACCAACAGAAATTTGACATCTTTTCTATAGAGACCAAAGTTTTCAAGGACGTTTAAATGCAAGGCCAGAAAGAGAAATAAATGGAAAAAGAGTTCTGTTCTCTTTACTTAGAGAGCAAGCTTTAAATGATAGCAGAGCTCAAACAAGCTTTCAGTTCAATTGTCCTAAGACTGGCATTAAGGAAAGCCATCAGGAGTCTTATACCTACTTAATGACATTTTAAAAGAGTAGTTCTGCTCCTTTCTGCCCTCTGTGAGGATGGCTGGCAACCACCTACCCCGGAGCCACAGACTATTTCTACTGACCCTGAAAATTCTAAGCACAAACAAAGCATCCTGCATTTGTTTGACTTTACATTTCACTCTCTGGATTCATGGTTTTGGCAAGGGTCTGGCTGCCTGCCAGTGATGCTGGCCTCTGCAGAGGAAACAGTCAGAGCCAAGCAGGCCCTCAAAGCCATTCTAGGAAGGGGATGGCAACTGAGTCAGGGTCCCACCTGTTCCTACACACATCCCATACGATTCTCTGAAGCCTCTCCTGGTTCAAGAAGAAAGTTAAGAAGATTTGAAACTGATGGGATTCTATCAGATGTGGAAGCCCAAGGGAGTCCAGTGACTATCTCCTGGGATTTCTTATGTAAGGAGTCCCAAAACTCAAGACACCTTGTCCAAACCCCATACGATGACAAAAGGAATAGTAAAAGATGGCTGACTCGTTCACTTATTCAACAAATATCTGAACATCCTGCTGTGTGCCAGGCTTTCTGGACACTGAGGATATGGGGCCCAGTCCCAAGATATTTACCACTCCACTGGAAAGAGGACCCTCCCACTCTGAGGGCTGCCTTGCTACGTGATATGTGGCCATGGCCAGCAGTGACAAGAACTGCAGCAGCTGAAGTTGACACATCAGACTGTGGCTCAGGAAGGGCGCACAGTCTTCTTGACAGCCACTGACTGAGGTTCTGGGATGACAAACACAAAACCACAGCTCTGTCTGTTGTGTTCTGTGGAGGCAATCTGTGCCGGGCACCTCATGTACCATCTTAGTGCTCATGACAACCCTGAAAATGGTATTGTTATATTGCCTGTATTTCACTCGTGGCAAACCTAAAGGCTGGAGAGGGCGATTCCCTTAGCTCCAAAGCTGGCTAGGGAACAAACAGATTTTAGCCTCCGGGGCCCTCTGAGTTGAGGGTGCACTTGAAGCAAAGGCAGGGCCGGGGATGCCTTAGGCGGCAGCACAGGCAAGAGGCAAAGTGATTTAGCCCCAACAGGAAAAACCAATTGTGGGGTTTTAAAACAACAAACATCCTGGAGGAGAAAGTGGCAACATGAAACACACAAGGTGAGAGTTAACAGGGTTCTATGGTGGGGGAGGAGGACAGCAGCCATTTCTCCCAGGAGCCTAGAGAGCCGTGCACATCAGCCTGCCTATACCAGCAGCTAGCCCTGCCACCAGCCAAGCAGGCCACCAGAAGCACTGAGGACTTTCAGCCTGAGCAGGGGAAGAGACGTCCTCTGAAAAAGCAGGCCATGCTTCAGGGGCCCAGGCCCCTGGCTGGGGCTGAAGCGTGGGTTGTGCTGGAGGCGTCTGTCACCTCTGAGGCTAGGCCAACTCCCTCACAGGTGGGGAGGCGCTTCTGTCAGCTGCATCACAGACTCACTGGTGGTCTCACTGATTCTCTGGAAAGGGCTTTTGCAAGAAATAGAATATGACTTCCATTCTCAACTCTTAAAAAGAAAAATACACACAGTTTTCAATCTAGATCCCAAATAACACAAAACCTTAACCTTCAAAGTATTTTAACAAAAGCAACAATGGCAGCTTCCGTCTCCAGCTAAGCCCTCCAGAAGGGTTTCGATTTGCACCCAAGGCCCTCTTGGAACAAAGGAAGAAAAGCCAAGGGCTCAGTGTCTAGACACAACATCAAGCAGGTAGACAGGTGCTACCTTAGCCCGGTCCCACCGACCAAGGGAAGACAATGCTCTCAGAGTCTCCTAACCAAAGCAAGCACCAGCACCAGCTCTCCCAACCCCAACCCCTGTGCAAGATCAAACTGAAACTCACCCTGTGATTGAGGGAAGACCTCAGCCCCGCAGGCCACTCACACTCATTCTTCACCTCTGCCAAGAGCACACACTCCTGGCAGGAGTAAAACAAGGCTGATTTTTATTAGGAGGAAAGACATTGGGTTTCTCTTGTTCCAGACCTTCCTGACTGAAGGGAATGCCCCAAAGGATGGCTACCCATCAAGAGAGAGGCGAGGCTGGTGGACAGATGGCTTCTCAGCCACCTGGCCACACTTCCTCCCCCCAACACCAATGTGCCAGCACCCACCACAGTGTTCTCGGTGTCGCCTGCTCAGAGCACTGGGCCCATATCCTCCCACATCCTCCATGTCTAGTTCCAGTATGCTCCACCTCCCAGGTGGCTGGTGACAAGACAAAGCCCAGGAGCCAGTGGCAGAGACCACAGCCATGGAGGCAGAAGGACAATGGCTCTGGCTTGGCAGGCCTGAAGAGTAGAGCCCACTCATTGGGCCTTGTTAGAGCCTGCCTGACACAAGGACGACATTTACTTCCATCCAAATGGGAAGCAAAAGCAACAACCCACAGGGTGTAGGGGATAAATCAAGCAGATGATTGGGACTTGGCAGATCTGTGCTGCCAACTCCCCGAAAAATAGAAATTGGAGCCCCATTTACAATGCACAGCCTGATGTCTTCATTACAAGGGTGGGAAGTTTCCTACAGGAGTATAGATAATTTAGCAACAGAGGAATAAATAAAGTAGTTAGACAAGTAAATGCTAAATTAAGAGGAAGAAAAATAATGGGTTTCTGTGAACTCATAAATGCTCATTTTCCTGGGTCACAGAACTTTTCAGGGCCAATTAAAATTGTCAACTATGATCTCAAAATACCAAAGAGGCACACAGTGCACTAACTGGTACAGTGTGGAAGGGCTGGCTGGGAGCAGTGGAGAGGACACAAAGAACAAAGACAGTGACTTTCCCTGTTCAAGGATAAAGAGAAAAACAAGACTCCAAAACAGCTCACCAATGCAGCAATGCTCATCCCCAAAACAGGCTGGCTGGGCCTAGGGACAGAGATGGGATAGGACACCAGAAGGGGAGCCACGGTGGTAAGCAAGAAGTGAGTGCGCTGTTGGTCCTTGGAGCAGGGGGTGTGGGCTAAGCCTCAGCATTTAAAATCACCTCTTTCAGAATTTAAAACCACCTACAGACAAGCCAGGGAGGAGCCACGGGTTCCAAGAGTGAGAGTTACCTGTCCAGCTGCTTGAAAACAGGTGCAAATGACCCTAGAACCAAGGTTGTTTAAGTTCATCTTTCCCATCACCTACCTGCCCACTAAGCTAGTCTCATCAAGCTATTTTCCAGCATGACTGCAGCCTGCCCATTTCTCTCCTTTCCCTGACTGCAGTCAGCATCATGTCAGCAAGAACTAAAAAAAGGCCAGAGTCAATCCAACTGGGATTCTCCTTGTGTGTGTGCATGCGAGGAGGCAGGGGGCTCCTCTAAGGCTTTTCTTCCCAGTGTCCCCCAGGATCTGAAGTATCAGCATCACCTGGAGCTCAGAATCTTGGGACCCACCTCAGATTTGCTGCATTAGAATCTGCATTTTAACAAGATCCCAGACCGTTCACAAGCACATTGCATCTCAAGAGGTGCTGGCACAGGTTACAGCACACCCCATTCTGCAATTGGGAATGGGTTAATCCCAATGCCCCTGAGACCTTGGGAGGTTCTGCCACCATCATTTGCCTTGAAAATTATAAATGTACTGATAACGTCTATAGGTGGGAGGTTGTGCCCTCCCAGTTGTACCTGAAAAACGAATATCCACATCCTCTGACTCAGAATAATCAGCAGAAAGCCCTGGCTAAGTGTTAGGGGCCCAGAGAAGTGGCCCCCACATCAACCAGCACCGCACCTGCAGAGGAAGTTCTGGATCCTTTTGAAAGGAGTACGTGGTTCGGTTATCCCAGGGTCCACGGCCCTGGGGAGACCATTCTCGCCTCTTGCTGAGAGACCTTGCCCAGGGTCTCATCTTCTTTGAAAGCAAGTCAAGTACTAGAATTTGCAATGGTGAGTATCACAAGGGTGATGTGGCAGAAAAGCCATGAGAGATGCACACGTACTGTAGGTGAGGCTTAAGAAAATGCGAACGTCCAGCTTGGACCCCCGTTGGTTCACCGGGAAGAGGGAGTTCCTTTTATTTATGCCCACAAACCAGCTGAGGGCCAGGGTGAGTACAAACACCAACGGGCAGATCTCAAGCCCTACAGACGACCAGCTGTTCTTCCCCAGTAATCAGTCAAAGAGCACAGTCAGGGTTATGGGTGGTGGGGAGAATTTTATCAGAAAGGGTGGTTGGGGGTGAGGGACACTAGCGTTAAGACAATGAATACATAAGAACAGTGAAAGTGTTTTTGTAAAAATCAGTGCTCAGTCTTAGCAGCCCAAGTACTACTGAATGCCCAGCCAAGGCGGAACGAAGCCACGGAGCATCTAAGGGACTCTGCAATTTGAGGTTGCCATGCCTCGCGGGGACAGGAGTGTCATGCCTGCCATCAACACTTGTAGCAAGGGGAAGGGGCCGGTCAGTCAGGGTAGGATCAATGCTGTCTTAGGCTGACCCCTGAGGTTAGGGAGGCGGGGAATCATGTTTAAGTTAGCTGACACCACTCCACATATTTCTTCTGCAAAGACTTTACTTTGAGAGAATTTGCAAATACTGAAAACCCATGGTGTCTGAGCTCAAAACCTATCTCTGGTCTATAAGCACTGAGGCACATGAGGTGACAATTTAAGAAAGAATCAATATTAACATGTACAGGTATGTAGTACGTGACTATGTATATGCCATGGGTAAGAGTCGTTTAGAAAAAGTTCAGTAAAATGCATGAAAGACGTATAAGACCATGTAACGCCCACCATTCAATCTCAGAGCCCAGCAAATGGGTGAGATGCTGGTGCTGGAACACGACACCCAGGCCCCAAAAGTGGGAGGCTCCCACCATAGCACCCAGGCCCCAAAAATGGGGTGGCTCCAATGGCAGCACCCTAGCCCCAAAAGGGGAGGCTCCCGCCACAGCACCCAGGCTGCAAAAGTGGGGGGGCGGCCACTGCAGCACCCAGGCCCCAAAAGTGGGGGGCTCCCACAAATGCCTATTTCTCAAAAGCAGGTATGCTCTCTGGAGGCTGCTACCATATCACTTCTCACCCCTTCCTGGTTCCTTGGTTCCCCCTCAAATACAGAATTCTATCAATATTGATTTTACTACTATATTTATCTTGACCAGTGTACAGACAGTCCCTGACTTAGGTTTGGTTTGACTTAGGATTTTTCAACATGAGCATAGTATGAAAATGATACACATTCAGTAGAAATCGTACTTTTAAGTGCCCATACATCCCTTCTGTTTGTCACTTTCAGTACAGTATTCAATAAATTACATAAGATATTCAATATTTTATTATAAAATAGGCTTTGTGTTAGATGATTTTGCCCTAAGTGTAGGCTAATGTCAGTGTTCTGAGCATGCTGAAGGCAGGTCAGACTAGGCTACGATGTTTGGTAGGATAGGTGTATGAAATACATTTTCGACCTATGATATTTTCAACTTACAGTGGGTTTATTTGGATGTAATCCCGTCATAAGTCAAAATGCATCTGTGTAGGATAAAGGGGGGGGGGATATAACAACATTTCATTATTTCAATAAATTGTACCTCTCAGAATTGTTTCCTCTGAATTCAGAATTCCATTAGTATTCTAGGGCACGTTCTGCCACTCCACTCTTATGAAAGAGGCACTCCACCCAGCTGTATTTCTTTTTATCTATGTCTGTAAAATGGTAAACTCCTTGAAACTATTTCCACTGCAGTCTTTGTACATAAAACAATAATTTAACACTTGCTATAATTGCTTTAAAAATATGTGCACACACACGCGTTGGTCATTTAATTCTTATTTACCCTTAGGTCAATCAAGTAATTGGTATAATAACTTTAAAGGTAAATCAAATCTTATTAACGCTTTCTAAGTACTTTAAAAATCTTAAGTCAATGAGTATTTGTGTGAAGTACTACTACTGGGAAGAAATGCAGAAACATTTTAATATCTGGTTCCTGAAAAAGGTTTTTCACTTATTTAGAGTCTCAGGAAACTCTGCTGGTTTTGATTCTTCCAGGAAATAAGACTGTCTGCAGAAACTGCTAGAGGAGTTTAATATGGTTTGGACTGTGAGTTATCGATACATTAATAGCTACAGTTCAAATAATAAACTACCCAGAAACTATAACACGCAAGGACTATCTTGGATATTAGGATGCAAGCCTGTCCGGCCTGCAGGCTGCTCACAGATTTGCTGGGGAAAACCATCCACGTCCCCACTGGGAATGAACCTGCTGTGCAGGGAGGTATGCCCTGCGCTGAAATACCTGATGGTCTGGTCTGAATTTTGGAAGCACCAGAGTGACTTTATGACCAGGACCAAAGGTCACATAAATATCGATTGGCTTAAAAATGCATCAAACCTCTATTTTGCTTATAAAATTATTAGGCACTGTAAGGAAGAAAAGATAAATAAGACAGGCTCCATCCATATGCTAACGTAAAAATAAAAGAGTAAGAAAACAAAAAGAGAAAGGAAGGACTAAGAATTCAGAAAAAGAGACCAGGTGTGACCAAGAGTGGTCAAAGAAGGTTCTAAAGAAAAAGTAAGAACCAGAGCTGGGCCCTGAAGGAGGAGGAGAGTCAGGTGTAGAAAGCAAAGACATAGAAAGGAGAGACAGCACGCTCTGCACGAGGCCCCTGGTGGGCAGGGGCATGGGGGTGCATGGAGGGATGAACAGAGTGTGAGCAAGGGCTGCAAACAAACCGATTAAAATAAATGTTCTGCTCTCTGTTTTCTTTTTTTTCCTTCGAGTTTTTTCTTTTTCTTTCTTTCTTTTTTTTTTTTCTCAGACATGGTCTCACTCTGTCACCCAGGCTAGAGAGCAGTGGCACAATCATGGCTTGTTGCAGCCTTGACTTCCCCAGGCTCAGGTGGTACTGCCACCTCAGCCTCTCGAGTAGCTGGGACTACAGGAGTGCACCACCACACCCAGCTCACTTTTGTATTTTTAGTGGAGACAGGGTTTTGCTATGTTGCCCAGGCTGGTCTTGAACTCCTGGGCTCAAGTGATCTGCCCACCTCGGCCTCTCAAACTGCTTGGATTATTAGGTGTGAGCCACCGTACCTGGAAGTGTTCTGTTCTCTGCAGCTAAACCTTTAACCTAGGCCATCCTAAGCCCTAGGCCCATTCCCATTATTATCATCTCATTTAATCACTGATAGAAACAGTTTCAATGATTAGAAGTTATAATACTGCAAAAACAAAAGCTATAGCAAAAAACTATATATATGATCAATAGGGCAATAGTTCTTGTGGTGCAGAATCTACACAGTCATCACCTCCCTTTCCTGAAGCAGCAACATTCCTGGACTTGGAAGACAAAAGCTACCCTGGAGCAGGGGTTGCAGGGGAGCAAGATAACAACCCCCAAAAAGCGTTACTTCCTCCCAATGACCAGCATCTGCTCCTTCTTGTTGGCACACAAAGAATTAGGGTGTTAACAGCTAAGATAAAGAGGCCCTGGGTTGATATTAACTTACCTTCAATTTACCTCCAGCTAAATCCCACCTTAATTGACTTGATACTTTTATTTGAAATAAGTGGTTTAAAACAGTGGGCCGATGAGCCCCAATAGTAAGAAGACTAAGCTTACCTGTGTGTTTGTCTGTTTGCTTTGCTATTAAATATTCAACAATATATGTGTAGGATTTAAGTGATCATTTTCTCTTGGTATGGATATGAGTGTACTGATAAAGCTGTTCCCATAAGGGAAATGCTGTTCTCACCAGCAAGCCAGCCTCCAGACTCTTTCAAAAGAGCATTAAATTGCGTCCTTCATGGATTTAGACGGCAGAGATAGCGTTTCTGTTTAATCATCTGCTCACCACAAAAGGAAGGCACACTAACTTCTGCAGGAAAAGTGTACATTAAATTACTTCTGAGGCTCCCCAAAGATTAAGGCTGGTAGGTTTGGGATTGCATTACAATTAAGTAATAATGAAAGAGAAATCATGTCTTTTGATCAAATAATGCATTAATCCTACCCTACACTGAGTAACCTTATTCACTCTCTGGGAATGTTGACTTTTTGAGGTAATTTTTATTTCTCATTCCGCAGGACAGGAAACAGGGACAAAGAAAAAGAGAACGGCAGGCATCAAGGAAGACAATGGGAGGAAAAGTGCCCTGGAAAGCTGCCTATTAGGAATTAGTATTCATCACAGCATAGAGAAAATCCCAGGTGGTTTTAATGGAAGGGTGAAGTCATTCCTTAAGAGTCAGCACACACAAAGCATTTTCTGCAGAAAAATACATTTTGCCCATGAACCCCAAATTCATGGGACCTACTACCTTGGAGAGGGCCAGGTTGCAGTTTATGGATCCTCTTTACTACATAAGACCAGGGTTCACTAAGCAATTAGCAGAACATCCAGACTCTCCAGGGAGGTATTTGAGGACAAGTTTTTCAAGCACTTTAGAAGCATTTATATATACCTAACATGCCATTAATCATTCTTATCTGTTCATTAAAGCACTCTCCCTTAGGACCTCCACTTGCCAGTTCTTTCTCAGCCTGGTGCTTTCTATCTATATACCTGAAAAGTAGTCCATTTCTTTTCAAATATATTTTATAATTAAAATACTTCACTAATTCACATGGGTGTGCTCCACCAATTACTCTGCATTTTCAGAGTTTTATTAAATATACAGAAAGGCCATTCTCCTGAGGGTCTTTGTAGAGACTAACCAGGCAATTCAAGCTTGGTTTCGGAATACACTTTCAGCATCTGAGAGGTTTTAGAGCCATTACTCACATCGTGTTATCAACCTCTTGTCTGTATCCACACAGGTTGCCTTCTTCTGTCCCCACCAAAAAGGAAGTGCAATTTTAATTCACTTTGTGATCTAACTGATCTAAACTAAAGGTGGAGGGGAAATCAGATACTGTAACATCGGAAAGCAATCAGTTTGAAATGTTATGTCCGCAGGGATTTGACTATACCTCTGCCTGTGACTCCCCCACACCCACATCCGGGCCTCTGCTGGTTCCTGGGTCCATCCATCCCAGCGCAGCCGGCAGGGAGGCTCCGAGCAGTGTGAGATGCAGCCAAAAGCCTCCTGGTTTCATTTTGATGAGTCTGTTGAAGAAATGACAAATGCTGAGAATAAAACATTATGAGATGGATATAATAAGTCACAGTGAGTTAGTATGTGTTCCCCAGAATCAGATAAGCCTGGGTTTAAATCCTGGCACCAAACTTCTGTTCTACCTTGGAGAGGTTATATTACTTCTGAGCCTTAGTTTACTTATTTCTAAAATGGCAATAATATGTACCTCGAAAGGCTTTTGTGAGGATTGAAGGAGTTAGTGTCAGGCATAGAGTAAGAACTCTATAAATGCTGTTACGTGGAAACCCATTTGAAATGCCACCTACCGTTACATCTATAAGAACAAACCAGGGTGAGGCAGGTGGGTCACCTCTATTAGGCTGCCATATAGCCACGCCTTAGTTTCCTGAGAAAGCATTTGGGGCTAGGCACACAATTAGTGCTCGAGAAACTATGATTATGGCTGGGCGCAGTGGCTCACAACCTGTAATCCCAGCACTTTGGTAGGCGGAGGTAGATGGATCACTTGAGGTCAGGAGTTTGAGACCAGTCTGGCCAACATGGTGAAACCCGGTCTCTACTAAACATACAAAAATTAGCTGGGCGTGGTAGCAGGCACCTGTAATTCCAGCTACTCAGGAGGCTGGGGCAGGAGAATCGCTTGAACTCGGGAGGCGGAGGTTGCAGTGAGCCGAGATCATACCTCTGCACTTTAACCTGGGCGACAGAGTGAGACTCTTGTCTCAAAAAAAGAAATGATGATTAAGAATTATGTTACATCTCTGGCACCTCATTTGCAGCCGACACCTCAGTTTATAAGACAGTGAGCTTCAAAATGGCATCATAAGGTCTAATATCTTAGTTTCAAGACCAACCATTTTTTGTGGCAGAATCCAAGCATCCAATGATTCAGAATTTCAATAACCTTTGAGGTGTTTCCTGAGGCTCACTTGATAACATTACTGTATACAGTCCTAAAAGACAAGAAGTGAGCAATTCAAGGTAATCAAATAATCACATGGATGAAAAAACTAAGGATCAGCTACAACAAATATTCAAGTCCAAATCATGTGCTAAGCATTGTGCTGAGGAAATGAGGATACAGACTATCTTACTTGTCCAATAAGCTGTACTTTTTTGGAAAAAGTTTTCCACTGTGAACACAGTCCAACCATAATTTCAGTATTCTGATTATGAAACATAACCAGATACAACTCATTATGTAGTACTTAGAACCCCTACTCAAGGAAACTTTAGGGGTTATTGATTTCTGCTTGTACCACACAATTTAGTGCTTAATCACATATGGTCCACACTGCATCCTGATCTAGGCTGGTGAGTTAAAGACACCGGAGCTCCTTGGAGGCCAGCATCCAGCATGAACTGGCTTAGGGCTGGTCCAGAACAGACATCCAATTCAGAAAGAAGTGGGTGCTTGAGGGACCTGGCAGTCCATCCCTGCTCACTGCCATAGGCAACAGCTTTGGAGCATCCCTACTTTAGACAATGGGGTGGAAGTTGTCACATAGTCACTAGTGCTGAGTCCAGGGCTGGCAAACAATTACACTCCTGCCACATTCCAGGTTTTGTTTGGCTGCTATCCACATCCAAATAGAGCTGCCTCTCCACATCTGCTTTATGTCTCCAGCTGGAGACAGAAATGCCCACAGGGAGGAGAAGTCAGACTCAAAATTGTGGGCCTATGGCACTGGCCTATGAAAAGGCAAGGTTATAAGGCATGACTGTCTTTTAAGAGAAGGTGTCTGCTTGTTTTAAAAAGAGTCCATAAGCTCCCACTCTTATATCTGTTTCTTCGGTCACTCATCTTTGACATCTGTTGACAAAGCTGAGCTACCAGGAAAAGAGTCTGGGTGGTCAGTAAATATAATCTGAAGGTCACAGTCTCACCATCAGCACCTGCCCCACACTCTGAAGAAGGCAGAGTTGAGTGGAATAATGCCGCTTCAGCTGCCACCCGGGAGAGGACTGTGAGGACTGCGGCAGTCACGGCACTCCCTCCCCTGCCCCCCAATGGCTTCTGCGCTCTTGATCCAGTGATCTAGCTAGGGTGTGTGAAATCTTACAGGGAGAAGGAGCAGGAAAAGAAAATCATATTCGGGACTAAGAATAAAAATGTCTTCCCCTAACTGCAACCTGTTTTTATTGTTTTCTTGAGATGGAGTTTCACTCTTGTAGCCTGCGCTGGAGTTCAATGGTGCGATCTCGGCTCACTGCAACCTCCGCCTCCTGGGTTCAAGTGATTCTCCTGCCTCAGCCTCCCGAGTAGCTGGGATGACAGGCATGCGCCACCATGCCCAGCTAATTTTGTATTTTTAATAGAGACAGGGTTTCTCCATGTTGGTCAGGCTGGTCTCGAACTCCCAACCTCAGGTGATCCACCTGCTTCGGCCTCCCAAAGTGCTGGTATTATAGGAATGAGCCACCATGCCCAGCTGAGCTGCAACCCATTTTTCTAAAAATAAACAAGGTAACTCCCTATTCTCCATAAGTAATCCTCTTCTGAATGCAGAGCCACTTTCCAGAGACTGCAGAAAACAGCGAGTGGATTTTTGGAATTTTTAAAAACCAGCCATAGAAATTTAAGCTAGAACTAGAAAGACATTGCTTCTTATTCTCATTAATTTTGTCCTACTTATCTACTATCAAACATTGCTCACAGAGTAAACACACAGAGCAAGGTCTACTTTTCTCCCTTTCCATGTCTCCTAGCTCACATAAACGAAAAACAGCAAGATAATCCAAATCTATTCTAGTTAATGTACAGATGTCAACTCTTGGAGTTATGAAATACATAAGCCACAAAATCTGGTATTTAACTTTTAATCTGCTTTGTAATCTAAGATCAATTATGTTTTATGTTTTGGTACTAATGGGTAGCATTAAAATAAAATATATTCATTTCAACTGTGATTTTGGCAAGCGCCAAATCAGTTCATAAGAGGATGCACCAAGACTGCTGGTTTCTGGGTTGTGTTTCAGAAGGCCCAAGATCCAAGCCTGGAGCTTGGCCTGGAGTTGCCACTGGTTTTATCTGGTTTGTGTTTATATTTCCTGTAAGATTGTATCTGGAAACAGGAAAACTCTGGAAACAGGAAAACACATGAGCCAGGCCAACTACTGAAATACTCCTGGGCAGCTTGTTTGTAAAGTTTAGCTCAGTCTGTCTACCACTAGCTGTGATTTCATTTGCACTGTGGATGTGTTTTAGATGTCATTTTATACTTAACGGTGATTGACAATTCATTATATCTACAGCACCAACAGCCTGGAAATTTACAGCTCAAGTTTTATGACAGTTCAGTTCATAAAAAGGAATTAATATTGGGTCTAAATCAATTTTGATTATCTGTCTAATAATCAAATAGAGACTATCTATTTGGTTAACACTTATATAGCAATTACGATGTGTCAGGCACTGTTCTAAGCACTTCACAGGTATTAACTCATAACCCTCCTTTTTCTACTCCATGATGGGGGCAATGATTATCCCTCAATCAGATGAAAGAGGAGATGGGGTCACAGAGAGGTTAAGGACTCTGCCAAGGCCATGTGGCAGACAAGTGGCAAAACTGAAATTCCAAGTCAGGCACGTAGACCCACGACATCTATTCTCTTAACTCCCACCTGCTGCCGCCTGTCTGTTTTGTTTTGTCCTGCCTGTTTTGTTTTGATAAACAGTTGTTTTTAGTATAATGGGGAAAATCTAGAGACAGTAAGATAGGAGGCCCTGGCCCCGAGACTCTCCTTTCCTCTGAAAGCTGCCACGAGCTACTCTCCTCCTCATGGCTCCAACCAAGGGCAGAGAGCCAAGCTGCTCACCCTTAATTCCCACATTCTACCCCGGGATGGGGGCCCCTGGGCAGACTCTCCTCAGTCCTCACTGCTGCTCTATTTATGGGCTAAGAAAAAATACGGTAGAAGGAAAGAAGGGAGGGAGGGAGGGAGGGGAACCATAAAAAGATGCACAGAATCCCAGGCCGATGCCCCTCAGCTCACGGAGAGCACCAGCATCATAAGGCTAGTCACTCTGGAGAAGTAAATCTGTTAACAAATTAATTACTCCTCAAATTCAAATAGTCCTACTGGCCTTCAGATAGAGGCAAATGCAAGAATCTCCCCATTATAGAATTGGGAAGGTGCCATCCATAAGGTCACAAATCCCCTTTTAAACCTAGAGCTCCTTTTGAGATCAATTTAGATTAATAAGTTTCATTCAATCCTTGCTAAGCCCTAAGTATTAATTATAAATCTACCTAGGACTGTCCCCATATAAAGAGCTGAGACTACCTTTTGTTCCAAACAAGTCATAAAGTACACTGACTTGATGCTTTAACCATCTTGTTTGGAAGGGAGGTGTTTCATTGCTTCCCCTGTGGTTTCCTACCAGAGCTTCAACAGACATTCCCCCAGTCAGGAGAACCTGGTGCTAACCTGGCTGCCGCATAGATAGGACACCAGAAGACCAGAAGGTGGACGAATCCACCCAGGTTCAAGGACAAATCAGTGGCTAGGCCTAAACTGGAACCCAGGCATCCTGCCCCCAGGGCAACTGTTTGGTTCCTTATATTATGGCACACTTACATCTAGAGTGGGAGTTTGGATTCTTTGTTTAGATAGGCAGATTTTGCTTTTCTCAATGCTGAAGGACCTCCACTAGATTGTCTACCTCCTTGTGAAAACCACAGGATTTTCAGGTGTTCTAAAATAAGCTAATATCTGTGCTATTATTTATCTGTATTTAGAATTACAGAGGTATTACAGGTTAGTATGATGTAACATTCCAAATACTGACTTGCTTTTTGAAGAAAGCTGAAAAAGCATGAAATAGGAATGCAAATTGTTAGGGAGAAATAGGTATTCATATGAAAATACCAAAATCTGCCCCACCCAGAGAACGCACACAGGCATGTAAGCTGTCTTTATTGACCAAGTTCATAGGCCAGAGAGAAGCAATCCCATTAAACTGGCAATGGGTTTAATACAAACTTCTCTTTCTATTCCAGGAAACAGCCCTGTTGGGAAGAATGGGAATTCTGGCCCTCAGAGTTTCGGTGGCATTGTTCATCCATTCTCTCTCTCAGCCTCTCTCCCAGAACTTGGTAACTTTACCAGACTAGCCATTAAGGATTAGCCATACAGAAATGGCTTCTTTTTGTAATCAACAGGACCAGAAATTACAAAGATGATTTGGCAGAACCAAGCAATGCCACCCAGCCTTGAAGAGAACAGTCAGATTTGTGACCCTGAAGCATCTGCATTCTCAACCTTTCCAAATGAAAAAGTGTCTGCCCTACACACACTGTAGGTGTGTAGCATTTCATACATGGCATGTTGGCAATCAACATATAAAAATCAACTGGGATTCTGGAATTCCAAATACTGACTGAATACAACGTGGAATTCTCTTCTGCATGTCTGCTCAAATTTAAAGGGGGAAAAAAAGCCACATCAACCCCAGCGTGAAACCAGGAGGCTGTACGGGAACCTCTCAAAGGCTTACGACCCTAGTTTTGATATGTGAGTGTTTTAGAAAAAAAGAAAGTGGTACAGATTTCCTAAGACAGTCCCTAAAACACCAACCCAGGGAAATTAGGCATGGAGATATAGCAAGCTAACGTTGCAGCAAGCCCTAATGAAGTTAAATTGCATTTCCTATTAATTATCTACTCTATATCATTAGTTAATTCTTCCCCAACACTTGATAAATTAGATGGCTACATTATTCTATGTGCCATGTATAAATCTCTATTCCTATTTACTCTGACGTTTAACACAGACACACATGTGACTTCCAATAACCTTTATCCTTACAACCTTCAGCTCATACCTCTTAAGAACCACATGCTCTTGATTGCAGTTCTATTTTATTGGAAATTCCATGCCTTATGTTATGCATTGAGACAGAAAATGTAAAGAAAGATGTGCTCTTGAAATATCTAATTGCATTAAGCTAGGAAGCACACAACTAACCGCACATAAGCAACTCAAGAAGGTTGAGTTTGCAGAGAAACACTCAAACAAGGCAAGGTAGGAGTTAAGGTAGTTTTATGAAACAATGACTATTCAATGCTAGTCTCTGAATATAGTGTTAAGTCAAACAAAAGATCATAACGTGAAGGTCACATTTAAAAAGTCCTACGGCCCTTAGTAAAAGGAAAAAAAGTCCTCAGTGACTGACTGGTCATGGTGGAAAAATCCAACCTCCTCTTCCCTCACCCACCTCCAGGGCACAGCCGAAAGGATAAAAGTTCTCCTAATACCCAGAAAAACAAGCTGGCCTTTTCCAGAAGAAAAAGAGCTTTCCTAGAATCAACAAAAATTGAGGATGATCATAAAAGTCTAAGAGAGAAAAAAGCACTAGGACAACTCTAACGAGCAATTTAAATACATTACATCAAAGTGGACTATTTTCTTATGTGAACTTTGGCTCAGTCTGAAGTCTTTGGAGAGGGTGGTGCCTTTTTTTCCTAGGATGGGAGGGAAAAAGCGAACATTTAGCAGAGTATGGCAGAAATGGTCTAGTGATGCTGCAGTGCCTCCTTCTCACAACGCTAAGATGGGAAGCAGACACGTGCCCTGTAGGGCATCTGCTCGTATGTCCGGCTTGAGCTCCTGCCTGAGAGTTGCTGTGGCTCTGGAGTCTCAGAAGCTGCATCACTCACACCTCCGACCATTCCCTTCCCAGGTGGACCCCCCGCCAACCAGACCCAGAGTCTGTCCTGGGGGCCAGAGGGGCAGGCACAGAAACTGGCGCCTGGCTCCCAGGATTAAGAAGACACTATTAAAAAGCATCGCTGGTTTCCCCTAAATTTGGCAGTAGGAAAATAACTTAGGACTTTCAAGAAGAGTCCTAGTCGCTCACTGATCCGTCTTTTCCCCTCACAGATTGTGACACAGGCCCATTCCCGGTGAACATTTTGGCTGGCAGTTACTTCACCACCTATTGAAATTCTGTTTACGTTTGGCCCAGAGAACCTGGACGGATGTTTGTATCTCGGGGGCCCCATCTAGTACAATTCCTGGTGCACAGGCTTGCAACAAATTTACGAAGGTAACAGACCAAGCTGCCGGCGCTGTTTTTCACTGGAGGAAAGCTCGGCGGAAGCGACACCTAGAGGGGAGCGGCGGGCTGTGGCCGCGCCATTCATCAGTGTCGGCGGCCCGCGGCCGCGAGCGAGGGCTGCTGGACAGCGCCCCGGCACCCGCTCTCGAGCCGCGACACCGACCTCGCCGGGCCCGCCCCGCTGACCCGCGCACTCCTAGTGCACTTGCCGCGCCGCGCGGAGGCTCGCCGCGCTCTGGAAAACAAGAAACCCCACTGCCTCGGCGGCTTTCCGCTCCCGCAAGAGTTGCGGGCACAAAGTCCTCAGGTGGCAGGCCTGGGGTTGGCGCCGCTTTGTCGGCTGCAGGGAGCCCCAAAGACTAGCGTCAGCTCGTCCCCAAACTCGAGGCGACAGGCGCCGAAAGCAGAGTGCTGTGCCTGCCTCGTCCAGGTCCCTCCTGAAACTCAGAACTCGTCTTTGTTTTGCGGGCGCAAAGAGGGCGGAGATCATCCACAGTGCAAGCTCTCTTAGGACCAAGCCCCCAGCCCGAACGCTGAACGCCCCCAACACACTGCTCCCTAGACACGTTCAAGCGGGTACCCCGGGCCGCTCACTCTGGACCGCGGCCGGCTACGCACAAGCAGCGCCGCAGGCTGCCTGGAGTCGGGTCGTGCCCTGATTCCTTCCTCCCCAGCCTCACATGCGGCGGACCCCGGGGAAGCCAGGGCCAGGCGAAGCGCAGCGGGCCCTTTGGGCTGCAGCGAGGAGACGCAAGTTTCCCCGCAAAGCCGCGGGGAGGAGGTGCTGAGAATGCCTGCCCGGCGCCCCAACCCGGAGCCAAGGGCACCGGGCCCGGGCCGAGGGGCCGCGCTCGCCTGGCTCCGCCGGGGCCGCTCGGGGTCCTGAACCCAAGAACGGCGCCTGCAGGATTTCGGAGCCGGGCGCGAGCTGCGGGCTCGGCCCGAGCGCTTCTGCGTGGCGCCCCGCGTGCCAACCGGGTCACTCCGGTCCCCACCGTAGACCCCGGCCACGAGCCTCGGCGTCCCAGCCTCTCCTCGAGTCCTGGCCTTGGCCGGGGTAGCCCTGCCGAGCCCTGGCCCAGCGGTCCCTTCCCCGCGGGCAAACTTGGCTTTCCCGGCGCGGGCAGTAAGGACAAGCAAGCGCCCGCGCCGGGCCCTGCAGCAAGATGCGGGGCCGCGGGCGCCAGGACCCCAGTGGGGTGCAGCGGGACCGGCTGGTGGCGGCGCCAGCGACATGGCACCCTCCCCGCGCCCGCTGGGAGCTGCGCCCGCGTACCTGAGACGGCCGGGGCCGAGGGGAAGACCAGGTGGCCGGACTTGGGCGGGAGGGAGGGAGCACCCCGTGGCGGCGGCGGCGACCCCGCCCCGCGTCCTTCGGCTGGTTTCTCGGGCTGTCGGCGGGTCCCGGGCTCGCTGGAGGCTGTTGAGGCTCCAGCTCCCTGAGCCGCCGCTGCCCGCTGCTGTGCCACCGCCGCCGCGGCTGCCCTATTTCTGCCGCCGGGACCGGAGCCCGTGACGTCACCCTCTGGGCCCCGCCTGCCCAATCGCCGCCACCTGTGCGCGCCGCCCGCCCGCCAGCCGGTCAGACCCGCGCGGCGGCCACGGCAGGTGCGCGGAGCAGGCGGGCGCGCACGCGGGGCGCGATGACTCCGGAGCGCTGGGGCCATCTAGGGCCCGGAGGGAGGAGGGCCAGCGTAGCGCTCCTGCCTCTGGCTAGCGTGGAGCTCGGCAAGTGACAGCCCCTCTTCACCTCTGCTCTCCTCCAGGCTCCTTTCCGGGCCAGGTTCCCCAAAGCTGTGCTCTCCAGGCGCACAGGGGGTCTCTGAATCCGCGGCCATTGCTCGTGGAGTCCAGGCGGGCCGGTACACCACAGCAGGAGAGCTGTCCCTGGGGACAAAGTGGGTGAAATCCCCCGCCGTTGAGACCCAACAACCTGGGAAACAGCAAAGGTTTTCTCTTTTCTGAATCTTCCCTCTTCCAACTACAGAATCTTAAGACATTCAGGGCATACAGGGGCAATCCCAAGTGACATTTGCCTACCTGACCTAGCTGGGCCCAGAGGGTCCCTTCTCCCTTAGAACAGGATATTTCCCCATCCTGATCCCATCCCCAAGCCTGGGGCTCCCAAACTTTTCTGAATCCCTCTTTAACATCAGCAGCTTTTGAGATCAGTCTTCCTTCCCGAATGAACTGGAAACACCTTTGTAACAACTAGGGGCCCATAAATGGTCATACGTAGCCTCAGTCTGGCAGGAAACTTAGGAGGGAGCCCCTACCCAGGCCAGGCTGATGGCCAGGAGACTTTCTGAGGGCCTGCCTCCTGCTCTGGCTGCGTGGGCACCAGGGGCCTTCCTGGCTTAGGTGAACAGTGTTCTGTCCATGCCTCTGTAATCTCTCCTGGCCGGGGGGAGGTGACAGAGGGGATTTTTCTGAGGATGAAGTTAGTTAAATATAAGGAAAAGGGGAAGAATAATGGAAGGCTGACCTGAAGAAAGAGATATTACGTTTGTTTTTTCCTTCCACAGATTTTCCTGCCGCTGAACCCCTCCAATGCAGCAGGCACTGTGCTATTAATAGTTGCTAGAGATACAGCAGTGAATGGGCCAGCGCGGTCTTGGCATCACACAGTTTTGGTCTGGGGTCCAGCTCTCCCTCTATCACTGCCAAGCTATGTAATGCAGAGCCAATCGTATCTCTACTGTAGGTATCAGTTTCCCCACTTGTAAAATGAGGGGTTGGACAAAACCTGGTTGACTTCCCATGTGGATACCATGATTTTTACTCAGAAGGATAAAGGCTACTACATCCTCAGTGACCCTGGGCCCTAGCCAGTGTGATCCTCTCTCAGATTTGACTATGAATCTTTGCCAAGGCCACCATGACTGAACTTCTGGGGCTGGCTAGGGGCCAGATTCTCCATGGCAGGACTGGGGAAGGGATGGCACTTTTCATCTTGGGAAACAGAAAAGAGAAAATGAGTATAAAAGGAAGCAGGGAAGTTTGGAAATGTGCTGTGCCTCCCTCTGAAATGTAATTCTAAGTCTGTGGTCAGGAACGTACACCATGGCTTAGAGGCTGGATTCGGCTCTCCTCTAAGACATGAGGTATTTGGAAAAGCAGATTTCTATTCTCAGCTCTGATCACAAAGTCCCTGAGTCAACCTAGTGGCCTTATTACATAATCAAAGCAGGACTTTGTGTATTTTTTGTTTTTTAGTAACTCAAGGTCATATGTAAATCAGGGTCTATAGGTTGACCAAGATCAGAAATAGCTCTGTTTAATGCAGTGAACAGGCACTGAACTTCTACACGCTTCCCAAAGAAGGAGAAGAAGGTAGTTGCTGCAAACCAGATGTATGGAATATTCCTTAGAGAGAATGCTAACATCTGAAGTGAGCTGTTTAACTACTGTGCATAAAATAAGAGTGAAATTAAAAGTCACCTCGGAATGAGAAAGGTGAAGTGTGAATGACAAAATAAAACAAGGCTCCAGGGAAGCAGCATCAGATGCCAGTAACCTTGACACCTCTTTGAATTGCTCTGTGCTTTTACCTCTCAGTGTAATTTTTTGTTTAATAGTACACCCCAAATTGGAAAATAGGCTAGATTTCACACTGAGAATTTCAAAATTTGCCTGAAACCCTGTTTCAGAACTTGCAAGCATACTGATTCTCAATAGCCAACTAGGATTCTTAGGGGAAATAATGGTTAAGTTTTGAACTTCATGTAATTCAATAAGCTTGGAATAGGGGAGCTAAAAGGAAACATAAATTCCAGTTACTGCCCCCCAGCCCCACTCTGTTTTTGGTGAGTGGTTCAGCCAGAGACACACATAAAAACATTATTAATATACTTTTACAAGATCAAAAAGTTTAAGCAACCCAAATATTTTTTTACGTTGCTGGTTTAAAATCTTTTTTCTATTTCTAATCCTTACCAAAAACACAACAATATAATGAAAAACTACTGCCAAATGATGTGTGTCTCTTAGGACATTTCAGATTACACCTGCATATCAGGATACTCAGAGATGACACATAGCCATGGGAATCAGGAGGAAGCAAGGCACTTTCTCCAGATCCAACCAAAAGTATCTGCATCACTAACTGTGGGTCAGCTTACCCTTGGGAGTCCCCACTAGGCTGGTCAAACAGTGCCTAGAAATACCCATTAGAAGCCAGACTGGGAAGTCATGTGAGAAGGTGGGAAAAGGCAGGAAAGAGTCTTCCTTGTCTTGCATAATTTAACGTTCTGCTGCCTGTTCAAAAAATGTTTTTGTAAATCTTCAAACCAAACCATGCAGTTTACTGAAGAGCCAGCCCTGTGCTTAGGAGAGCCCTGGATGGGAGGCACAAGGATGGGGTCTCTCTCCCGCCTCAGCCTCTAGGGCTCAGTGAGCCTGGGAGAGTCACACCTTTCCCAGAACTTGTTTTCTCTTAAGTGGGAATTGGGAATGGGTACATGGGAGGCAGTCATACTAAACGACATGTCTAAGGCCATTTTCAGTTCTAAAGGTCTATGCCTTTATTTTGCCTGTATTTATAGAAGTTCAGTTATTCTGATCTAAACAGAGCTATGATGTTGAAGTTTTCCTCTAAGTCTAATATTAATGCTTATTTTTAAGATGATAATTCATTAATCACCTAGAAATTAAGGGAATGTAGGCAGTAAGTTCAAGATCCTAGACTTAAGATTACACATACATAATTGTTTTTAACTTTATTTCAGGGAGAAAAGTAGCTAGCATGGAGATAAGGTATTCATTCAAGGGACAACTGTGATTGGGGAAATTTTTCGAGACAAAGAAGAAGTGGTATAGAGTAGGAATTTTAATGAAGAAGTTGGGATAAATGAGAAGATGCAGTGATGGAAAGGGAATTGTGAATGGTAAAAATGGAGGGAGATGAACATAAAACCCTCACCATGGCATTGTTACCAAGGCAAATTCCCAGCAAACTCACAGGGGCTGGATTGATGGCACAAGGGGACCAAGAAAGGTGCTGATAACAGGAGGAAACTGAAGTCTGCTACTCTTAAGAATGTATTGTTTACAAGGGATAATTGGGGATGAGATGGCCAGGCCTACAGCCACAAACTATCATACCCTACTGAGTATAGGCAAAAGGGATGAAAGAGGGAACATATTAAGAGGAGAGTGAAAAGAGGGGCCAATTTCCTTTCTTTGAAAGGGACAACATAATTTTTATCATGACCCTGTTTTCCAACTCACCAGTATAGAATCATAAATAATGTGAAAATCTAAATCTATCTATCTATCTATCTATCTATCTATCTATCTATCTATCTAATTTTAAAGGTGAACTGCTACCTTAGGGAGCTTCCATTCTTTCTTTTCCTCTTCTTTTCTTTTTGAGACAGGGTCTTACTCTGTCACCCAGGCTGGAGTCCAGTGGTGGGATCACAGCTCACTGTAGCCTCAACCTCCCTGGGCTCAGGTGATCCTCCCACCTTAGCCTCCCAATAGCTGGGACTACAGGCATGCACTACCATACCCAGGTAATTTTTGTACTTTTTGTAGAGACGGGGTCTCCCTATGTTGCCCAGGCTGGTCTTGAACTCCTGGGCTCAAGTAATTTGCCCCACCTCGGCCTCCCAAAGAGCTGGGATTACAGGCATGAGCTACCTGGCTGGCTGAAGCTTCCATTCTTCTAAATAAACGTTCCTTTCAAATGAATATGCAGTATTATGATGGGTCACCTCAAGGGCTATGAAGACAACTATCCAACCTTCAGGGGTATAAGATGGTACTGGACTTAGTTGATAGGCCACCCTAGATCTGAGCAGCCATTCTGACCTCTTTGACCCTAACCTGGACCAGGGCTTTGGACACTTACTTGTCTTGCTTCCTAGCAAGAGTGGCCCTATTAACTGTTCCATGCCATCTCCACAGTCTTAGAGCCAGTTCCCCTCTGCTGTTACTGCCACTACTTCAGATCAAGAAGTCCTGTCTGGCTGGGCATGTTGGCTCATGCCTGTAATCCCAGCTCTTTGGGAGGCCGAGGCAGGCGGATCATGAGATCAAGGGGTCGAGACCATCCCGGCCAACATGGTGAAACTCCGTTTCTACTAAAAATATAAAAATTAGCTGGGCATGGTGGCACGCGCCTATAGTCTCAGCTACTCAGGAGGCTGAGGCAGGAGAATCACTTGAACCCGGGAGGCAGAGGTTGCAGTGAGCCGAGGTCGTGCCACTGCACTCCAGCCTGAGCAATAGAGCGAGACTCCATCTCAAAAAAAAAAAAAAAAAAAAAAAAGTCCTGCCTGAGGCACCAAATGATAGCGAGAAACTGGCCTCCATGCCTACGCATTTGTCAGACTCAAGACCTGGGGCTCTGGCTTCCCCAGAGACCTCCTGAAGAGGCTACTCAATACAGCACAGTTAATGCCCTGAGGGCTGGACTTTGACCAGTGGGAGACTGGGCACAGGAGGAAGCCAGCAGACAAATTCCCCCTTGTTTCCCTGGATGGTCTCTACGGAGATGCAGTGCCCCAAGTCTTCTTTGAAGATACTGTGGAGGCCCAGCACACACACAGCTGCACTTGTTACAAGGCTGTGGCCTGCTCAGCATTTGAGCTTTCCCCTTCCCTGCACCTGCTTCCCTAGGATTTTCCTTCTCCTTGATAAAGTGTTAGCTTATAAACTTTGCCTCCAGTTCTGTATTCTAGAGACCCCAGACTGATAGAAGTAACTGGAAGTAAGAGTGGTGACTTTTCAAGAGGGCAGAGGACAAAGTTCTTTCACAGGGGTGCTTAGGCAGAGATACGATTAGATGAGGGCGTGGCATACGAGAAGATCTAGCTGGGAGGGCATTTAGGCAGAAGGCCTAGCAGGCATAAAGAAGGAACTGGCTGATGTAGCTAAGCAGAGGGATCCAGGCAAAGAGTTGCAGAAGAAGGAGAGGGCTAGGCAAGGACCAGATCACACAGGGTCCTGACAAATGCAGTAGCCCTTCGTTATCCACGGGGATATGTTCCAAGACACTTAGTGGATGCCTGAAATCATGGATAGTACTGCACCTGTATATACTGGTTTTTCCCATACATACATACCTATGATAGTTTAATTTATAAATTAGATACAGTAGGAGATTAACAACAACAATAATTCATAACATATAACAATATATTATAATAAAAGTTATGTGAATATGATATATATATCTTCCTCTCAAAATACCTTATTATATGTAATGTTTCAGATTGCGATTGACTGCAGGTAACTAAACCTGTGGAAAGTGAAAGTGAAACCTCAAATAAGGGGGAACCACTGAAAGGACTCTAGATCTGATGTTAGGTGTAAGGAAAGCCATGGAGGGGAGGAGGGTGAGCAAGGATCTATAGTATGTTTTTAACAGATGTCTCTGGCTGCTGTATGAAGAACAAACTGGATAGAGAGGATAGTGACCAGATGCAAGAGTGAAAGCAGGAAAGACCAGATGCTCAGTTGTCAAGAGGTGCAAAGTGATGTCTAACCCATTATCGTCATCACTACCATCCAACCAGCACCTAAGGTTTATTGATTGCTAACTATGCCTTGGACACCAGTCCTAGCCCTTTATATGTATTGTTTTTCCTAATCCTCATGACAACTCTGTAAGATCCTTATTGCATAAATTAAGCTCAAAGAAGTTACCCAGTTTATCTAAGGCAATTTGGCTGGCAAATGGCAGAGCTAGGATTTGACTCAGAGCCTGTCCTCATAATCACTACACAATTCTGTATCAGTTACACACTGTGTGTGTATATGGCAGCTATCACATATCTCAGGATTTACGTACTACAAATAGGTGCCTAGAGAACCTTCTCTTCTGAATCTATTGGTATATTTAATTAGTTGTCCTCATCATGAACCCTTGTCACATAAAATCAAAACCAAACATGTAGTCTAAGAAATTATGGTAGACATTGTTGATTGGATACTCAAAGTATATTTCTCTCTTCTTTTCTGCATATAGAATGTCAGTTCCATTCAGGTGTCTCACCTTCAGCATGGTCTAAGCCAATCATGAAGCTCTTTTCCAGTGGTGATCAGGGAGCCCAGTGCTGGCTGAGGAGAGGTGAGAGAGTGTCAGCTGGGGAGACAAAGAGGTACACAGGAAGAGGTGGTACCTCTTTTCCCTCTTGATACTTTCATTAAGTATAAGACACCCCTAGACCCACAGCCACCAACTTGTGACCCTGTAAATGGCTAAGTTGGCTCATGGAGGATGGTGGAACAGGGAGAGAAAAAGAACCTAGGTCCTTAATGAGCTGCGCAAATAACCCATTCTAAAGCTGTCCTACCTCAGGATTTATTTTCCTTCCTACTTAAATCAATTGAGTTGGGTTTTTCTGTTACTCAAAGTTGAAAACACATCAAATGAAAAAGAAGTCGAAATGTAAATAAAAACCCGATGCATTATTTGAATGGCTTCAGGCACACAGCATGGGAGGCAAATGCTATTAATATGGGCATCATCCCCACTTTCCATGTCGAGATGCGTTTTGTACATTATTTGCCAAGAACCCCAAGCTGGTCAGCAGTTGAAGTCTCCTGACTCCAACCCAGTGCTGAGACATATGGTAATTTTCAGTTATGGAGAACATTTAATTAACTAAGACCCTCCATTTCCTAATTGCAGTAAATAAAAACAGTGGGCATATAACAACTGACATGAACAGGATGCTTTAAAGCTGACAAATGCATGCACATACATCAGCATTGCCTAGCCATATGTGACCTGCAAGCCTTTCACTACAACCCTCTTCAAAACATTTTAAAATAGTCTTACCATTTTGGTGTAGTATATAACAAATAAGTGATTTGAAGTTTAAACAAATTATTTCAGAGTATCATATTAAATGTTATCTTCTAAAATTGGCTTTAATGCAATCATTAATAACATTCTTAAAATACAGTCATTACAGATAAGTTCCATTTTGTATCATTTAACAAGTATATAATATTTAATTTCTATTTAATTAAATGAAATAAAGCATCATTGTCTGACGCATATGCTAAAAAATGATGTCATATCTAGTTAGGGGATAGAATGTATACAAAAAAGTGTTTTAGGACTAAAATCCTTGACAGTGCCTCAAGTGTAGGCAAAAAACTGTCTTTCAAGAATTGGTGCCTAAAATTCTGGAATTTCATGCTTTAAAACACTGCCATTTTATTTATATATTTTCTATGTTTTGTTTATAAATGGCAGGAGGGGAAAGATTTCAGGCCACTATTTCCAAGCACTCTGCAAATAACATATTGTGGGTGTGGATACAGCCTTTATTCTCAACACATGAAAAACCAAACTGAATATAATTGTCACTCTATTTTTCTCTTTTTAACACTGTTTTTGAAGTATGAAAGACAGCTTGATAGTCTATATATAAGGATTTTTATCAGATGAATGCAATTTACAGATTGGTGAAGGTAATTTTGAAGCAAAATTGTAGACTTAACATTTTTTGCTCTTAATTAGCTTGTATTTCATCATCAGGTTCCTTATGTTTCTAGTCTTTAAACACAGCCTATTATGGGCACAAATCAAAATATATGACTAAGAAAAACACCAATTTAAAATTATAACAGTCTCAAGCATCCCAGCAGTCAGTGATGTTCAACCAAGAGATAAACTGAGTAAAGGAATCATCAGTGTCCTCATCTGCCTTCCTCCACCTAACCACTGTGTGTGCTTGCTTGTTACATACCAACAGGCTTTCAGTCTTTTATTATAAATGGAAAAAACTGTGGTGATCAGGGAACACTTCTACACTGCTGGTGGGAATGTAAACTCGTAGAGCCACTATGGAAAACAGTGCGGAGATTCCTTAAAGAACTAAAAGTAGAACTACCATTTGATCCAGCTACAGGTTATCTACCCAGAGGAAAATAAGTCATTATTCGAAAAAGATACTTGCATATGCATGTTTATAGCAGCACAATTCATAATTGCAAAATCGTGGAACCAACCCAAATGCTCATCAATCAAAGAGTGGATAAAGAAACTGTCGTATATATACACGACAGAATACTACTAAGCCATAAAAACGAATGAATTAAGAGCATTTGGCCGGGCTTGGTGGCTCATGCCTGTAATCCCAGCACTTTGGGAGGCCGAGGTGGGCGGATCACGAGGTCAGGAGATCAATACCATCCTGGCTAATACGGTGAAACCCTGTCTCTACTAAAAATACAAAAAATGAGCTGGGCGTGTTGGCATGTGCCTGTAGTCCCAGCTACTCGGGAGGCTGAGGCAGGAGAATGGCGTGAACCCGGGAGGTGGAGCTTGCAGTGAGCCGAGATCATGCCCCTGCACTCCAGCCTAGGCAACAGAGCGAGACTCCGTCTCAAAAAAACACAAAAAACAAAAAACAAAAACAACAAAAAAAGAGCATTTGCAGTGACCTGGATGAGATTAGAGACTGTTATTCTAAGTGAAGTAACTCAGGAATGGAAAACCAAACATCGTATGTTCTCACTGATATGTGGGAGCTAAGCTATAAGGACACAAAGGCATGAGAATGATACAATGGACTTTGGGGACTTGGGGGAAAGAGTTGGGAGCGGGTGAGGGATAAAAGACTACAAATATGGTGCAATGTATACTGCTCGGGTGAAGGGTACACCAAAACCTCACAAATCACCACTAAAGAACTTACTTATGTAACCACATACCACCTGTATCCCAACAACTTATGGAAAAATAAAATAATAAAAATAAAAATAAAAACAAATGGAAGAAAACCAATATATCACTTAGTGATTTTTTTATTTTTTTAATTTTGAAATAATTCTAGATTCACATACATTTGTAAGAAATAATACAGAGAGATCTTGTGTACTCTTTACCCAGTTTCCTCCAATGGTAACAACTTGAAAAACCATAGTACAATATCACAACCAGGTAACTGACATGTATAAAATGAAGATACATGGCAGTCCCATCACAAGAATCCTTTCTGTGGCTTTTTTATGCCCATCCCACCTCCCTTCTCTCTCTCCCTCCCCCCTTATCCCTAATCTCTGGCAACCTCCATTTTTTTTTCTCAATTTTATAACTGTGTCATTTTAAGAATGCTATGTAAAGGGAATCATACAACATGTAACCTTTGGTAGATTGGCTTTCTTTGCTCAGCATAACTACCTTGAGAATCATACAAGTTGTTTCATGTGTCAATAGTTTTGCTCCTTTGTATGACTGAGTAGTATTCCATGGTATGGAAGTGCCACATTTGTTTAACCACCTGGCTTTTTCTATTTTTTGGTGATTACAAATAAAGTTGCTATAAATATTTGTGTACAGGTTATTGTGTGAACATAAATTTTCATTTTTTGGGATCTATGCCCATGAGTACAATTGTTGGCTTGTATGATAGTTACATGTTTACTTCTTTAAAAAAGTGGCCAATTTCGAATAAAAATGTTACACGAAAAAGCCAAAAAATAAAAGAACCAGCAAAATTATTTTTCAGAATAGCTGAATGATGTTACCTTCCTACTAGTAATGTATGAGTGATTCCATTTCTCTGCATCCTTGCCTGCATTTGGTGTTGTCACTATTTTTTATTTTAGCCATTCTGACAGGTGTGTGATTTTAACTTACATTTCTCTAATGGCTCATGATGTTGAACATCTTTTCATGTGCTTATTTGTCATCTGTATATCCCCTTTGGTGAAATATCTCTTCATTCTAATTGCATTGTTTGGTTCTTTTACTGTTGAGTGTTGAGAGTGTTTTGTACATTCAAGATGCTAGTTCTTTGTTGGTGTGGTTTAGAAATGTTTTCCTCCAGTCTCTAGCTTGTTTTTCCAATCACTTAACGGGTCTTCTGCAGAGCAAAAGTTTTTAATTTTGATGCAGTCAGACTTATCATTTTTTCCCTTTTGTGGGTCTTGCTTTTGGTGTCAAGTCTAAATACAAAATCCCAAAGATTTTCTCCACTTTTTAAATAAAAGTTTAGTAGTTTTATGTTTCACAATTAAATCTGTCTCCATTTTGAGGGAATTTTTATACAAGGTCTGAGACTTAGGATGAGGTCTTTTTTTTTTTCCTACAAATGTCCAGCACCATTTGTTGAAAAGCCTATCCATTGACTTATTTTACATCTTTGCCAAAAATCAACTGGGTAGAAATTGCAAGTGTCCCTGAATAGCCAAAACAATCTTTTAATAGAAGAACAAAGTCAAAGGGCTCACACTTCAACGCTTACTACAAAGCTGCAGAAATTAAAGTATGGTACTGGTATAAGGACAGACATATAGACCAATGGAATAGAATTGAGAGTCCAGAAATACACATCTATGGCCAACTGATTTTCAACAAGGGTTCTAAGACTATACAATGGAGAAAGAACTATCCCTATGACAATTGGCCCTGGGATAACTCAATATCCACATGCAAAAGAATGTGTTTAGACCCCTACCTCACACCAAATTCAAAAACTGACTTAAAATTGAATTATGACCTAAACAAAAGAGCTAAAAACCTAAACTCTTGGGGGGAAATCATAGGAGTAAATCTTCATGACTTTGGATTTGGCAATGTATCCTTAGATATAACACAAAAAGCATGAGTAACAAATATAAATAAGTTTGAGTTTATCAAAATTTAAAAACTTTTGTGTATCAAATAACCTTATCAAGAGAATAAAAAGACAACCCACAGACTAAGAGAAAATATTTGCATATATATCTGATAAGGAATAAGAACTTGCATGACTCAACAACAAAAAGATGAACAACTCAATTAAAAGCTAGGCAGAGGACTTGAACAAACATTTCTTCAGAGAAGATATACAAATGGCTGAATATTTGCATTAAGGAAATACAAATCAAACCACAATGATATACCGCTTCATACCCACCACAAGGAAGGCTATAATAATATATATTTTAAAGGAAAATAACAAGTGTTGGTGAGGATATGAATCACTGGAAGCCTCATACTTTGCTGATGGAAATGTAAAATTGTTCAGTCGTGGAAGACAGTGTGGTGGGTCCTTAAAAGTTAAACATAAAATGGTCATATGACCCAGCAATTCCACCCCTAAGTATATGCCCAAAAGAATTGAAAATAAGTGCTCAAAAATTTGCACATGAATGTTCGCAGCAGCAATACTGACAACAGCTAAAAGGTAAAAATGACTCAAATGTTCACCAATGGAAGAACTGATAAATGAATTGTGGTATATGCATACAATGGAATATTATTTAGCCACAAAAGGAACAAAGTACTGATACATGCTACAACATAGCTGAATCTCAAAAACATGTTAAGTGAAAGAAGGCATACACAAAATGTCACATATTATATAATTCTTTTAATATGAAATATTCAGAATAGGTAAATCCATAGAAACAAAGCAGATTGGTGGTTGAAAGAAGGAATAGAGAGTAATTACTTCCCATAAGGTATGGGGTTTTATTTTGGGGTAATGAAAACGTTTTGAAACTAGCTAGAGGTGATGGTTGCGCAACATCGTGAATATGCTAAATGTCACTGATTTGTTCATTTTAAAATGGTTAATTGTATATGAATTTCACTTCCAAACAAAAAAAAATACTCAAGCACATTTAGTGGGTTTATTTCTGGGTTCTCTATTCTGTTCCACTGATCTATGTATCTGTGTCTCTAACAATATCACATAGTTTTGATTTCTATAGTTATGTCTTGAAATCAGTGATTCCTTACAATTTTTCTTTTTTTTCAAAATTATGTTAGCTATTCTTGGTCTTTTATCTTTCTGTATAAATTTTATAATCATCTTGTCTATATCTACAGAAAATCTTATTTTAATTTTGGTGGGAATTTTGTTAAACCTGTGTATCATTTTGGGGAGAATTGACATTTTACTATGTTGAGTATGTCTCTTCATTTATTTAGAGCGTCTCTCATTTCTTTCATTACTTTTAGTAGTTTTCTCTTTATTTCTCTTGGTATATAATTCTTTTTATATTTTGTTGTATTCTCTGCTAATATTTCCATTAAGAATGTTTGTGTCTATATTCATGAGAGATATGGGTCTTTAATGTTTTTTTTGTAGTGTTTTTGTCTGGTTTTGGTATTAGGGTAATACTAGCTTCATAATATGAACTGAGACATATTCCTTCCTCCTCTGTTTTCTGGAAAAGATAAGTGTAGAATTGGTGTTAGGTCCTCAAACATTTTGTAGAATCCTCCAGTGAAACCATCTGAGCTGAAGATTTTCTTTTGGGGAATTTTTAGTTGTTAATTCAATTTTCCTAATAGTTATAGGACTATTTAAATTACTTTAATATTGGAGGAGTTGTGGAAGTTTATACATTTTGAAGAATTATTTCATTTAATTTTAGTTGTCAAATTTGTGTGTATAGAGTGGTTAATACTACCTTATTCTTTGTTTGATGTCTATAGAGTCTGTAATAATAGTCCTTGTTTAATTCCTGGTATTGGTAATCTGTGCCTTCTCCCCTTTTTATTTTTGTCAGACTTTCTTAAGGTTTGGTGTCAATTTTATTGATCTTTAAAAATAACTCTTTGTTTCATTGATTTTTCTCCATTGGGTTTTTGTTTTCAATGTCATCAATTTCTTTTCTTATTTTTATTACTTCCTTAGTTCTGCTTGCTTTGGGTCTATTTTAGTCTTCATTTTCTAAGCTCTTGAGGTGTGAGCTAAGATTATTTGAGACAGTTCCATATATATATATATATATATTCCATATATATATTCCATATATATTCCATATATATATATTCCATATATATATATATTCCATATATATATATTCCATATATATATTCCATATATATATTCCATATATATATATTCCATATATATATTCCATATATATATATATTCCATATATATATATTCCATATATATATATATTCCATATATATATATTCCATATATATATATATTCCATATATATATATTCCATATATATATATATTCCATATATATATATTCCATATATATATATATTCCATATATATATATTCCATATATATATATATTCCATATATATATATTCCATATATATATATATTCCATATATATATATATTCCATATATATATATATTCCATATATATATATTCCATATATATATATTCCATATATATATATTCCATATATATATATTCCATATATATATATTCCATATATATATATTCCATATATATATATTCCATATATATATATTCCATATATATATATTCCATATATATATATTCCATATATATATATTCCATATATATATATTCCATATATATATATTCCATATATATATATTCCATATATATATATTCCATATATATATATTCCATATATATATAATTTGTGCATGTGTGTGTGACAAAGACAGGTTTCTCCCTGTTGCCCAGGCTAGTCTTGAATCCTGAGCTCAAGCAATTCACCTGCCTCAGTCTCCCAAAGTACTTGGATTACAGGTGCGAACCACCGCACTTGGCCCTCTTTTCTAAGGTATGCATTTAGTGCTATAACTTTCCCTCTCAGAACTGCTTTATGTCCCATAATTTTTGATATGATGTGTTCTCATTTTCGTTCAGTTTAATATATTTTTTTATTTCCTTTGAGACTTCCTCTTTGACCCATGGATTATTTAGAACTGTGTTGTTATGTTTCCAATTGTTTGGAAATTTTCCTGTACCTTTCTATATGGATTTCTAGTTTTGTTCCTTTGTGGATGGAGAATGCACACCACGTGATATAAATTCTTTCAAAGTTAGTGAGGTTTGTTTTATGGCCCAGTATATGGTCTATTTTGTTACATGTTCTGTGCACACTTTTAAAAATGTGTATTCTGCTGTTGTTGGGTGGAGTATTCTGCAACTATTGATTGGATCCTGTTTGTTGATGGTGTTCTTGAATTCTTCTTTACCTTTGCTGATTTTCTATCTAGTTGTTCTAACAGTTGTTGAGAGAGCAGGTATTGAAGTCTCCAACTATAACTGAATGTGTCTGTCCCTCCTTTCATTTCTTTCAGTACCTGCTTCACGTATTTTGTAGCTCTATTTATGCTGCATACACATTTAGTATTGTTATATCTCCTTGGTAGACTAACCCTTTTACCATTATATGATGTTCCTCTCTGTGTCTCTTTTTTTTTTTTTTTTTTTTTGCTATGAAGTCTACTGTATTAGGCTGTCCCCACACTGCCAATAAAGACATTCCCAAGACTGTGGAATTTATAAAGAAAAGGGGTTTAATTGACTCATAGTTCCACGTGGCTGAGGAGCAAGGCACAATCATGGCAGAAGAGCAAAGGATGTCTTACATAGCAGCAGACAAGACAATGAGAGCCAAGGAAAAAGGGGTTTCCCCTTATAAAACCATCAGCTCTCATGAGACTTACTCATACCATAAGAACAGTATGGGGGAGATCACTTTCATGATTCAATTATCTCTCACTGGGTCCTCCCATGACACATGGGAATTATGAGAGCTGCAATTCAAGATGAGATTTGTGTGGGGACACAGCCAAACCATATCATCTATATGATCTGCTGTTAATATAGGTACTTTGAATTCTTTTGATTAATGTTTGCATACTTTTACATTCAACCTGCCTATAATGTTATATTTGAAGTGAATTTCTTACAGACAGCATATAGCAGGATTATGTTTTTTAATCCATTCTGAAAATCTCTTTTAATAGCCTATTTAGACCATTTACGTTTAATTGACATGTCAATGCTTAAGCCTACCATTTTATTTTTTGTTCTGTGTATGTTTTCTCTTTTTCATTTCTGTTTTCTTTTTCCTGCCTTCTTTCACATTAAACTTCTAAGATATATTTATATATAATATTTTTGCATTATTTATATTTATTTTTATTCAATTTGTATTTATCTGTAGTGTTTTTGAGTATATCTCTTTGTATCACTTTTACCTGGCTGCTTTAAGAATTACATTATATAAAACTCACTCAAAACCACACAACTACATGGAAACTGAACAACCTGGGTAAATAAGGAAATTAAGGCAGAAATAAATAAGTTCTTTGATACCAATAAGAACAAAGACACAACCTACCAGAATCTCTGGGACACAACTAAAGCAGTGTTTAGAGGGAAATTTATAGCACTAAATGCCCACAGGAGAAAACAGGAAAGATCTAAAACTGACACCCTAACATCACAATTAAAAGAATTAGAGAAGCAAGAGTAAACAAATTCAAAAGCTAACAGAAGACAAGAAATAGCTAAGATCAGAGCAGAACTGAAAGAGACAGAGACACAAAAAACCCTTCAAAAAAATCAGTGCATCAGGAGCTGATTTTTTTTGTTTGTTTCTTTTCTTTTCTTTTCTTTTCTTTTTTTTTTGAGATGGAGTTTTGCTCCTGTTGCCCAGGCTGGAGTGCAATGGCATAATCTCAGCTCACTGCAATCTCCACCTCCTAGGTTCAAGTGATTCTCCTGCCTCAGCCTCCCGAGTAGCTGGAATTACAGGCATGCACCACCACACTTGGCTAATTTTGTATTTTTTAGTAGAGACAGAGTTTCTCCATTTTGGTCAGGCTGGTCTCGAACTCCCAACCTCAGGTGATCCACCCACCTCGGCCTCCCTAAGTGCTGGGGTTATAGGTGTGAGCTGCCGTGCCCAGCCACCAGGAGCTGTTTTTTTGAAAGGATTAGCTAAATAGATAGGCCGCTAGGCCAGACTAATAAAGAAGAAAAGAGAGAAGAATCCAATAGACACAATTAAAAAAATGAATAAAGAAATGAATAAAAAAATAAAAAAATAGGAATTCTTGTGATTTTTGCACATTGATTTTGTATCCTGAGACTTTGCTGAAGTTGCTTATCAGCTTAAGGAGATTTTGGGCTGAGACAATGATGTTTTCTAAATATACAATCATGTCGTCTGCAAACAGAGACAACTTGACTTCCTCTCTTCCTATTTGAATATTTCTTTCTCTTGCCTGATTGCCCTGGCCAGAACTTCCGATACTATGTTGAATAGAAGTGGTGAGAGAGGGCATCCTTGTCTTCTGCCAGTTTTCAAAGGGAATGCTTCCAGCTTTTGCCCATTCACTATGATATTGGCTGTGGGTTTTTCATAAATAGTTCTTATTATTTTGAAATACGTTGCATCAATACCCAGCTTATTGAGAGTTTTTAGCATAAAGAGGTGTTGAATTTTATCAAAGGCCTTTTCTGCATCTATTGAGATAATCATGTGGTTTTTGTCATTGGTTCTGTTCATGTGATGGATTACATTTATTGATTTGCATATATTGAACCAGCCTTGCATGGGGATATCACCACTATTCCCACAGAAATACAAACTACCATCAGAGAATACTATAAACACCTCTATGTAAATAAGCTAGAAAATCTAGAAGAAATGGATAAATTTCTGGACACATACACCCTTCCAAGACTAAACCAGGAAGAAGTTGAATCCCTGAATAGACCAATAACAAGTTCTGAAATTGAGGCAGTAATTAACAGCCTATCAACCAAAAAAAGCCCAGGACCAGACAGATTCACAGCCAAATTCTACCAGAGGTACAAAGAGGAGCTGGTACCATTCCTTCTGAAAGTATTCCAAACAATAGAAATAGAGGGACTCTTCCCTAACTCATTTTATGAGGACAGCATCAAGCTGATACTAAAACATGGCAGAGACATAACAAAAAAAGAAAATTTCAGGCCAATATCCCTGACGAACATCAATGCAAAAATCCTCAATAAAATACTGGCAATCCAAATCCAGCAGCACATCAAAAAGCTTATCCACCACGATCAAGTCAGCTTCATCCCTGGGATGCAAGGCTGGTTCAATATATGCAAATCAATAAATGTAATCCATCACATGAACAGAACCAATGACAAAAACCACATGATTATCTCAATAGATGCAGAAAAGGCCTTTGATAAAATTCAACACCTCTTTATGCTAAAAACTCTCAATAAGCTAGGTATTGATGCAACGTATTTCAAAATAATAAGAACTATTTATGAAAAACCCACAGCCAATATCATAGTGAATGGGCAAAAGCTGGAAGCATTCCCTTTGAAAACTGGCAGAAGACAAGGATGCCCTCTCTCACCACTTCTATTCAACATAGTATCGGAAGTTCTGGCCAGGGCAATCAGGCAAGAGAAAGAAATAAAGAGTATTCAAATAGGAAGAGAGGAAGTCAAGTTGTCTCTGTTTGCAGATGACATGATTGTATATTTAGAAAATGCCATTGTCTCAGCCCAAAATCTCCTTAAGCTGATAAGCAACTTCAGCAAAGTCTCAGGATACAAAATCAATGTGCAAAAATCACAAGAATTCCTATACACCAATAATAGACAGACAGCCAAATCATGAGTGAACTCCCATTCACCGTTGCTACAAAGAGAATAAAATACCTAGGAATCCAACTTACAAGGGATGTGAAGGACTTCTTCAAGGAGAACTACAAACCACTGCTCAAGGAGTTAAGAGAGGATGCAAACAAATGGAAAAACATTGCATGCTCATGGATAGGAAGAATCAATATCGTGAAAATGGCCATATTGCCCAAAGTAATTTATAGATTCAATGCTATTCCCATCAAGCTACCACTGACTTTCTTTACAGAATTAGAAAAACAACTAAATTTCATATGGAACCAAAAAAGAGCCCGTATAGTCAAGACAATCCTCAACAAAAAGAACAAAGCTGGAGGCATCACGCTACCTGACTTCAATCTATACTACAAGGCTACAGTAACCAAAACAGCATTGTACTGGTACCAAAACTGATATCGACCAATGTAACAGAACAGAGACCTTGGAAATAATGCCACATATCTACAACCATCTGATCTTTGACAAACCTGACAAAAACAAGCAATGGGGAAAGAATTCCCTATTTAATAAATGGTGTTGGGAAAACTGGCTAGCCATGTACATATACAGGGAAAACTGACACTGGACCCCTTCCTTACACCTTATACAAAAATTAACTCAAGATGGATTAAAGACTTAAACGTAAAACCTAAAACCATTAAAAACCCTAGAAGCAAACCTAGGCGATACCATTCAGGACACAGGCATGGGCAAAGACTTCATGACTAAAACACCAAAAACAATGGCAACAAAAGCCAAAATTGGCAAATGGGGTCTAATTAAACTAAAGAGCTTCTGCACAGCAAAAGAAACTATCATGAGAGTGAACAGGCAACCTACAGAATGGGAGAATATTTTTGCAATCTATCCATCTGATAAAGGGCTAATATCCAGAATCTACAAGGAACTTAAACACATTTACAAGAAAAAAAAAAACAACCCCATCAAAAAGTGGGCGAAGGATATGAATGGACACTACTCAAAAGAGGACATTTATGCGGCCAACAAACTATGAAAAAAAGCTCATCATCACTCGTCATTAGAGAAATGCAAATCAAAACCACAATGAGATACCATTTCACGCCAGTTAGAATGGCGATCATTAAAAAGTCAGGAAACAACAGATGCTGGAGAGGATGTGGAGAAATAGGAACACTTTTACACTGCTGGTAGGAGTGTAAATTAGTTCACACATCCTGCAAGACAGTGTGGCAATTCCTCAAGGATCTAGAACCAGAAATACCATTTGACCCAGCAATCCCATTATTGGGTATATACCCAAAGGATTATAAATCATTCTACTATAAAGACACATGCACATGTATGTTTACTGCAGCACTATTCACAATAGCAAATACTTGAAACCAACCCAAATGCCCATCAATGATGGACTGGATAAATAAAATGTGGCACCTATACACCATGGATTACTATGCAGCCATAAAAAAGGATGAGTTCATGTCCTTTGCAGGGACGTGGATGAAGCTGGAAACAATCATTCTCAGCAAAGTAACAGAGGAACAGAAAACCAAACACCGCATGTTCTCACTCATAAGTGGGAGTTGAACAATGAGAACACATGGACACAGGGAGGGGAACATCACACACCGGGGTCTGTTGTGGGGTGGGGGTTAGGGGAGGGATACCATTAGGAGAAATACCTAATGTAGATGAAGGTTTGATGGGTGCAGCAAACCACCATGGCACATGTATACCTATGTAACAAACCTGTACGTTCTGCACATGTATCCCAGAACTTAAAGTATAATAATTAAAAAGAATTATATCATATATACATAACACTACACAGTCTTACTAGTTTTATAATTTCACCAGTTCAAGTAAAGTATAAGAATATTACCTCCCTTTACCCTCCCCTGTTTATAATATAAGGGTCTTAAATATTTTCTCTACATACATTTATAACCACAACAGATGGTGTTATAATTTTTGCTTCAAATATCAAACATAATTTAGAAAACTCAGGAGGAAAAGGAAAATCTGTTGCATTTACCCATATTTCTGCTTACCATGATTTTTCTTCTTTCTCAATGTTCCAAAATTCCATTTTTATTTTCTTTCTTTTTAGAAAACTTCCTTTAGACATTCTTTCAAGGTAGTTCTGCTGGAGACAAATTATCTTAGTTTTCCTTTTCCTAGGAATTGTCTTAATTATCATTTTATTCCTGAAGAATATTTTCTCTAGATGTGGGATTCTGGGTTGACAGTTGTTATTCTTTCATCAGTTGAAAAACGTTGTGCCACTTCCTTCTGGCCTCCATAGTTTTGTGTTTTTTGTTTGTTTTTTTTGTTGTTGTTTTCTTTTGAAACAGGGTCTTGCTCTGTTGCCCAGCCTGGGGTGCAGTGGCATGATCATGGCTCATGGCAGTCTCAACCTCCTGGGGCTTAAGCAATCCTCCCAATGCAGCCTCCCAAGTAGCTGGGACTGGAGGTACACGTCACCACACTCAGCTAATTTTTTTTGTATTTTTGTAGAGATGGGCTTTCACTATGTTGCCCAGGCTGGGCTTGAAATTCTGGGCTCAATGATCCACACAACCTGACCTCCCAAAGTGCTGGAATTACAGATGTGTACCACTGTGCCTGCCCAGCCTCCACAGTTTTTAATAACTCCTCTGTCATTCACATTATTTTTGCCATATAGATAAAGTCTCATTTCTCTCTTGTTGCTTTCAATATTTTTTTATTTGTCCTTAATTTTCAGAAATTTTAGAAATTATCTTGGTGTGGATTTATCCTGCTTGGAGTTTGCTAACCTCCTTGAATGTGTAGATTGAGTCTTTTGTTACATTTGGGAAGTTTTCAACCATTATTTCTTTGAGTGCTTTTTCAGCCCTGCCCTCTTTCTCCCTTCCTTCCAGAACTCTAATAATAACATAGGTCCCACAGGTTCCTGAGACTCTGTTAATTTCAGTCTATTTTCTCTACTATTTTCAGATTGGGCAATATATTGTTCTATCTTCAAACTCACTAATTATTTCCTCTGTCCCCTCCAATCTGCTATTGAACCCATTCATTAAATTTTTTATTTGTTCCTGTATCTTTCAGCTTTTACATTTTTATTTGGTCCTTCTTTATATCTTTTATTTCTTTGTTGAGACTTTCTCTTTTTTTCATTGATTTCAAGTGTGTTTCTAATTGCTTACTGAAGCATTGTCATGATGCCTACTTTAAAATCTTATCAAATAATTCCAACATCTCTGCCATTTCAGTGTTGGCATCTGTTGATTGTATTTTTCATTGTTTGATATCTTCCTGGTTGGTTGTATGATGATGAGTTTTGAATGAAACCTGGCCAGTTTGAATATTATGTTCTGAAACTCTGGATCTTATTTAAACTTTCTGGTTTAACCAGCTTTCTCTGACATCACTCTAGTAGGAGAAGGGACAAAGGTGTCATCTGTTACTCCCCAGTGGGTATAGAAGCCCAAGTTCAATACTTAGTGTCCGTTGAACTGAGAAGAGGGAGAGGCTCCTTCTTGGTGGTTGGCAAGGGTAGGAATTCAATCTTCCTATTAGGCCTTCACTGAAACCTCCCTGGCAGGGAATGATAGGAGTGGCTCATTATGGCTCACCACATGGCTTCCACTGACATCATGGGGTGGAGAGAGGTGGTGGGAGAGTGGCCTTGTTACCAAGGGACAAGTAGTGGTGGTAAAGGTCCTGACTCTCCACTAGGCCTCCTCCAATGCTACCTCAGTGGCAAAGAGAAAGGGTGCCTTCTTCCTGCTGGTGGGGTCAAAACCAAACTCCCTATTTGGCCATCTCTGACACCATTGTGGTGATGGTACTGGGGCACATTGTTGCAGCCTGGCAAGTGTGGTAGTCTAGGATCCCTACTTGGCCTTTGTTGGTGTGTGTAGGGATGGGGTCACAGGTCTTTCTGGGATGGTTGGGTGAAGTAGACTGGTTAATGTCTAAAAGTTTTCTGTCTTGCTAGGCTGCCTCTTTCCTGGTCCTTTGGCTAGAGAAAACAGGCTTTTCTCTCTCTCTCTTTTTTTTTTTCCTCTGTACCTGTTGGCATTTCCAGATTGCTGCCTCTTCAGCTCCAAGTCTGGAACATATGAGGCAAAGAGAAAACCCAGAGAACTCATCTCTGTGACAATCTTTGGGTCCTAAATTCCCTAATGAGTCTGACTTCTTCTCCTCACCTTATGTCTCTTTATAATGTCCAGAGATTTTAGCTGTATTTAACAGGAAGAATGGGGTGGGGGTGAGGAGAAATGTCTACTCCATCATCCTAGAAGTGAAAGTTCATTTGTTTATTGTAAAAATAGCAATCTGTACTCTCTAGAATATCTCCAGTTATGAGGTACTTACACAGATGACATCAACTGAGATTTGTGATATGTCAGACATGTTACTAATTGAGAAAATAACTACATGATAAGGTTCTCATGCCTGTTCCCCCACCGTTCTTTGTCTAATCTTCTCCAGAGAGTACCCTCATAATCTACAGCAAATAGCATGGCAATTAATTTCCCCCAGGATTCAGACACAATATGGATTGGAGAGTACTGCCTTGTTCATCCAGAGCTTAGTTATAAATATATTGTTTTTAAAACAATAGACTCCAGACAATAGGATCTCTTATTTATTGCATCCTTGGTGGAAGGTAAAGGAATAAATAGTTCCTCTACTTGGCATTTTATTGATCTCTTGCCTATTTTATTCTTTAAAAAAAAAAAACATAGACACTATAATGTCACCCCATCTGTTCTTTATGTCTAAGTTGGAGTGGAAAGCAGGCCCCTGCTAGTTTACATATGAAGGCAGTTAGGAAGAGAGGATACATTGGTTTCAGGAGGCTTCAGTGATGAGTCATATGCATGATGTACTCTGAGGATCAGACTCCACAGGGAGTGAATGATTAAAACTCAACATGACTACTGTGGTCAGAGAACACAAGGTAGCCTCCAGAGAGCACTGCACTTACATGCTTAATAACAGTAGGTCTTGATGTGAAGTAATCCAATTGCTTCCACAATAAATGTGGAAAAGGATGACAGCTACATCCCTGATATATGTATATGGGAAAGTACGTGGACCAGAAGTCTTACCAGTTCCTTAAAACTGCCTTGGCGGCTGGGCACAGTGGCTCATGCCAGTAATCCCAGCACGTTGGGAGGCCAAGGTGGGCAGATCACCTGAGGTCAGGAGTTCGAGACAAGCCTGACCAACATGGAGAAACCCCATCTCTACTAAAAATACAAAATTAGCTGGGCGTGGTGGCACATGCCTGTAATCCCAGCTATTTGGGAGGCTGAGACAGGAGAACTGTTTGAACCCAGGAGACGGAGGTTGCGTTGAGCTGAGATCACACCATTGCACACCAGCCTGGGTGACAGAGCGAGACTCCATCTCCAAAAAACAAACAAACAAACAAACAAAACTGCCTTGGCTCCTACTTTCTGTGTTTGCAAAAACAAAGAGTGAAAATATCATCACTCCTTTCTCTTCCCCTAGAAAAATCCAACCCAGTTCAACTTAAGCCCAGTGGTGAGAGGAGAGGTCCTGCCGTGGGCACGAATGACCATGAGTATGAGAAGGAGGCAGTAAAATCACTATAGTACAGTGTCACCTCATAGTGCATGGCATCACGTGAGCAGGGACTCTGTGCTGTCATCATTATAACCCAGGGCCCAGGTCGGCACCTGGCCTATAATAGTCCCTCAATAAATGTATGTTGAATGAAAGAATAAACAACCTTAAGGGGTTGTTAGGACAAATGGCTGTTTCGTAGAAGATATTTACTGGCTTCTGGTTATATTCAAGGCAAGACCAAGAATCAAAGACCCAGAGGTCCCAGAACAGAAGCCTGATATTCACTGGGGAGTTTATAGTCTGGCAGGGAGAGAGGCTGGGCTCATCTGCCACAGTGAAACTCAGCAGCCTGAGAGCTCCACTCTCTGAGTGGGATAGAAAGGAAGGGCTGTGGGAATTCCAAAGTTGTGTTTTAGGACTCAGCGATCAGGAAGCCCAGCCTGTGGGCTCTTTGAGGACATAGGCAGGGTCTTTTACATGTCTAAACCCCTTGGTGTCCAGTGCTGGGTCTGATTCACAGTAAACACTCAACAAAGGTTTACTGAATAGTGAATGAATAAAATGACCTGGCTCTTCCACCTATGAGCTGTGCAACCTGAGACAAGGCATCTAACCTCTCTGTGCCTCAGTTTTCTCTTCTACAAAATTGCAACAATAATAGAACCTACCACTTAGGGGTTACTATGAGGATTAAATGAGTTAATATATGTAAATTACTCATTTAGTTGAGAGTAAGCACTATGTAAATATTTGCTGTTATGATTATTATTGTTGTTATGTCTAAATGAATGGATAGTTTTTAACAGGATCCTAGAGATGATTTTAATAGATGGACTATGGTGCAGGGTGGTAGAACTAGTAAAATCAAACATGAAAAAACAGGAATAAAAATTATTGCTATGTTTTGAACAACAACTGAACATTGGTGCTTAACAGCCCAATGAGGAAAATATAATTATCCATACTATACAGATGAGGAAACTGAGGCTCAGAGAGGTTAGGCAACTTATTCATGGTTACACAGCTGGTAAGGAACATAGCTGGAATCTGCACTGTTTGGCTGGAGTGGAAGCATAAGTAGAGGGATAGTAAAAGGCAAGGTCAAAGGATAGACGGCAGCTGGATTATGGCAGGAGAGTTTGGAGTTTATTCTGTAGTGGTGTAACAATGACAACATGAAACCCAGGCTCTTGAAAGATTACCCTATTTACGATGTGACAGGACAGACTGGACTTGATGTCATAATTCTTCCACCTAGAAGCTCACTTCTCTCTTCTCTGTCTTGTGCTTGCCCTTTCTTCTCCCTGAAACCTACTCCAAACAGGCTTTCATTGTCACCACTCCACTGAAACTCATCTTGTAACGTCATCTACGACCTCCCCATTGCTATTAATACATCCAATGGCAAATTTTCAGTCCTCATCTTATTTGGCTCCCTTATTCACTCAATAAAAATTTTGATTGAGCATCTACTATATTCTAGGTCCTAGTTTAGGGGCTGGAGACTATGCATAGAATAAAATAGAAAAATGTCCCTGTGCTCATGGAAGTTGCAGCCCAGTAATGAGTAGAACTAGACACAGCTGTTCACTCACTTGTCTTAGAAACTTTCTCCACTTGCTTTCTGGGACATTGCACTCCTGGTTTTCTTTCTATCTCCTTGGCCACTTCTTCTCAGTCTGCTATGCTGGTTTCTCCTTATGTCTCTTCCATCTAAAAGTTGGGATGCTCTGGGTCCTAGTCCTTGAATCTCTTCTCTGTCTCACTTGTATGGAAGAGCTCTTCCTCTTCATGGGTTTTGTCACCTTGTATAAGATGGCAACTCTGAAACTTACATCTCCAGCCTGGACCTCTCTCTTGAACCCTAGACTCCTACATCCCATCACCTGAGCACTTCCACTTGAATGGCAAATGGGCTGTTAGCTGACTTAATGGGCTCCAGTCACCGAGATTGTGCCACTGCACTCCAGCCTGGGTGACAGAGTAAGACTCCGTCTCAAAAATAATAATAATTAATAATAATAATAATAATAATAAATTAATTAATGGGCTCAAATCTGAATTTCTGATCTTACTCTCTGCAAAACTGTTCCACCCAAACTTTCTGAAATCACATCACAGCAGCTCCATCCCTTCAGTTAATCAGTCTGAAAGCCTTGGAGTTATCCTTGGCTCTTCTCTTTCTCTCACATCCCAATCCAATTTATCAGCATATCTTAGCTCCACTTTCCCAATATAGCCTAAATCTGACAGCTTGTCACTGCCTTTACAGCCACCACTCCCTTACAGGCCACCATCAACTCTCAGTTGCATCCGGAGCTCCCTTCTTCCCCTCCTCACTCCCCAGGACTATTCTCAAAGCAGAAGCAGAGCTATCCTGTGAAATAGCTGTTGGATCACAGCACCCATGTCTTGACTCCCTCCTTCAGGACTTCTCATCTCACTCCAAGGAAAAGCTCAAGTCCTCGCAGGCCCCATGCAACGAGGCCCCTGTCATCTCTCCAACTGGGGTCCTACTTCTCTCCCTCTGCTGCAGCTCCACTGGCCTCCTTGCTATTCCCAGGATACTCCAGGCATGCTCCTGCCTAAGGACGTCCCTTCCCAGGTACCCAGTGGGCTCACTCCCTCCTCTTCCAGACCCTGCTTCTCAATGAAGCCTTTTCTGACCAGCCTCCCTAAAATTTCAGCTCCTCCCACCCTAGTATTACCTGTTGCCTTTCCCTGCTTTTTCTCCCATAGCACTTACTGTCTTTCAGCATACTCTATATTTTGCTTATTTCTTTTGTTTTTTTTCTGTATCTTCCCACTGACATATAAGCTCCACGAGGGCTGGACGTTTTTTCGTATACATACACTGCATACAATTTGTAAATTACTTTTTTTTCACTTAAAAGTATATCGTGAACACTTTCTCATGCCCCTACATACTCATAGCTTAGCTCCTGTCATTAAGTATTTCTCTATTGACATGTATTTTAGGTTTTTTTTAACCTTTTAAAGTGTGCTTTATTGGAACTTTTATTATTTATTTTATTTTTTATTTTAAGTTCTGGGATACATGTGCAGAATGTGTAGGTTTGTTACATTGGTATACATGTGCCATGGTGGTTTGCTGCACTTATCAACTCGTCATCTAGGTTTTAAGCCCCATATGCATTCGGTATTTGTAGTTCTCCTTCCCCTTGTTCCCCACTCCCCGACAGGCCCCAGTGTGTGTTGTTCCCCTCCCTGTGTCCATCATTCTCGGCAAACAACACAGGAACAGAAAACCAAACACCACATTTTCTCACTCATAAGTCAGAGTTAAACAATGAGAACACAGGGCTGCACTTTTATCTATTGGGTTCATTACTACGTCCTCAATACGTAGACTCATATGTGGCAGTAGTCGGTGCTCTATAAATATTCACAAGTGGGATGCTGAGATTCAGAAAAGGGGGGTCTGTGGACAGCCATCAGGTTTTTCCCAAACTCAAGTGAACAAAGAAACTGTGTGAGGCCCATGGGGTGAGCTTGGTGAGACACAGGATTTCCCAAGCAGATGAGAAAGCCTTTGCTCCTTCCCTGAGAAGGGCCCTTGCCCTGTCCTCAGAGCTTGCCTTGCTTCCAAAGCAAACCCAGAGCTTTGAGTCAAGTCAGAAGGTTCCAGGCAGGGCAGAATCCCCAGAAGAGGAAGAGGAGGATCTCCTACTCTCGGGCCATCTGTGGAAGCCCCATGGTGGGCAGGGAAGGGCAATGGGTGCAGAGGAAACTTGGGGGGAATGCTTTCTCTCTCTACCACGTTACCTCTGCCCATGTTCAGGAGGTCCCATAACAAGTGGGACAAGCAAGCTTTTATCCGCATCTTATGTGCTACCAGCTCGGGGTTGAGCTTGCATGCAAGACAAATGTCTTCACCCCACCCAGAGTGATCTTTCCCACAAACTCCGAAGGGTCAGCAACTGAGACAGGGACAATCTCCAGGCCCACACTCTATGAGCCAAGAACAAAAAAAGAGTCAGAACTGACTTCTTAGAAAGAAAAGAAAGACTCTGCACTGGTTTTGATTAACACTGAAATACAGATCCCATTCACACCCACCACAGTTATGTTAAGCAAACACAAAAGTAACAATAGGCATGGTGCAATGACAGAGGAGCCTACAGTTATCACAGTGACAGGGTGTGCCTTGCCCACAGGCCATTCTTTAAGGCTTTTCACTCTGATGATGCATGAAATTACCCACCCTGATGGAGCTGTGCCTACATTCATGCCAACTAGCAAGATGGCATCTCCTCATTAGCCCCTTGGTCACAAATCCACCCGGAGAGATGTGATTAATGAGAATCTCATAAAACCTGGGAGAATGGGCCATCTTAGATGCCTTGGAAGGGAGACATTGTCATTCACAGCCACATAAATCACCATGTGTCAATCCCTGCTTTCTCACTGTCACACTTTGGTGAGCTGCCCTACCGCCTCCAAGATGTGACATGGTTTCTAGGACAGCAGAACCTCCTGCTCTCTGGGACACCGTGTACCTAGCTTCAAAGCAAGGTCAGAGTTGAGCTCTAATTATCCCAGTACACTCCTGGCTCTGAGACCTGCTAACAGGGTGAAGGAAAGGAGCAGGATGTTAACATCAGGAGAAATACCAAATGTGGAGTGCTGGCCTGATTCATTTCACAGCTGTAGTCTTTTTTGATTTGTTTGTAATTTTCTACACTACTGCTTCCAATTTGATACTGTCTGGGCCTGGGATGAAAATAAGAATGGGATAACAGATGATGAGTTCAAAATACTGAACACAATCATACTCACCCTGCATGTATGTACAGCCAATATGTCATTTGGAAGAAGGGACCATTGGCCGCTGGGCAAAGTTGAGAATGTAAAATGTCACAGAATTTAAGATGCATTTCTTATGTACTTAGGAGCTGTCACCAGAGCTGCCTCGCTGCTCTGGAGAGGAAACTAGGCTTCATGTTTCATAATCAGTTACCTTACACAAATGGATTAAAAGTCCAAAAGGAGTATTGGAAGAATTTCCATGTGACTGCTCTTGCTTTCCTTGGCAGGGGTACCATGTACTGTTGTGCAGGTTGTGTACTGCACTATTGAATGGGGCACAATTCCCATAGACTACATCTTCAAATAGCACCTCCTAGAGTCATGAAGTCATTACCCTACAACCATATGCAGCAGCCCTGCTGCTGATTGAGTAACTTGGAGTATTCCTAAGGGCTCATGGGAATGTCACAAATAGATCACAAAGACCCAACCATATAGTGCCCACACTGATAGCCTAAAAAACAAAACAAAACAAAACAAAACACACACACAAAAACAAAAAAAAACACGTACTGATTCATGAATTACTAATACAGTTGGCTTACTGTTCTCAGGCTCAATAGGACAAGGGGCCATTCCATTTATTCTAGATATTCTGGAATAATACATTTTTTGTATACTTGAATATTTTTAAAACTCCCTAAACTTAACAACTGTTTTAAAAATGATCTTTCTTTGCTGAGAGGCACTTCTGCAAACTTTTGGGAAGACAATGTTATAATAAGTATAAATATGTTAGATTTCAAATACCCTGGGACCAACACTTCTACTCCAAAGAATTAATCCTATAAATAAAAGTGTATGAATATATTTGCATGTTTGTGTATATATGTGTATGTGTATATACACATACATAGGCAAAAATGTTCACTATAGTATGGCTTTTAGTAGCAAAAAATAAAGGAAATTGTTTGAATTTGTACTAATAAGGGATTTGCTAATTACAATATATGCATACAATGAAATACAATGCAGTCTTTAAAAGAATCCACATAGCTACTTGTACTTGTAGAAGACTATTCTTCTTTTTCTCCTCCTCTTCCTCCTCCTCCTTCTTCTTTCCTCTTTCTTCTTTCTTCTTCTTCTTACCTTTCTTTCTTCTTCTTCTCCTTCTTCCCCCCTCCTCTTCTTCTTCCTCCTCCTCCTCCTTCTTTCTTCTTCTTCTTTCCTCTTTCTTCTTTCTTCTTCTTTTCTGGATTCCTAACAGCTCTTGAACTCTCTTCTAATGTTTGAGAAATTAACTGTCTCTCAATACCTTCTTCCCAAGGTAGAAGGCAGACATCACACTTCCAGGCTTCCTTTGCCACTAGGTCCCAGCTGTGTAACCTGATTTCACCAGTGAAATACACCACATAAGACTTCAAAAGGGAAGTGAGGAAATGGGATCAGAGAGGGGCAGGGTTTTTCTGGCAAGAATAGTGCTTGAAACAACCTCTTTTGGCACTTACAAGGCTAGCTTCTGAGATAGAAGTGCTACCAGCGTTAGTGGCAGGGGCAGTTTCAGCAAAGATGAGTCCCCAACAGAGCCAAGCACTGCATCTGAATGGCTTACTGGTGGCAGCACTGGGGTTTTCTCATCAGTGCAGTTCTGCAGTGTGGGTTTGGCCACTGTTCCTCAAAGCAGAGCTCCAAACCTACTTCTTTGTCCCTCCAACACTTCTGTGAGCTGTCTGATCTTCTTTTGGTAAGCTTCTTTCTTTTTAATGAGCTGAGTCAACTGCCTGCAAAGACATCCATGATACATGATCCTTAACTTTTGTTAATCCACACTTCTGTACACCGCCCATGGAGACCCTCCAAGCCAACATTCAGATGCCAGATTTAGACCTTCAGAACTCAGCAGAAGAATGCATATGCAAATTTTGCAGGGTGGAACTGCCAGCCTGTCCCCAACCTAGGTTAAGGAGCATGACCATCTCTGTCTGCACAGCAGGACAGAGTTGTACAATTATGCTCAAATATTTTATTGCATTATGCTCTTGTTAGCTTAGAAAAATAATAAGAAATTTAAATGTTGACATGTACAACAAGAAGACAAGGTCTAGTATATGCTTAATAAAATTGAAACAAAGAAATCACAGGGGTATTACAAGGAGGAAGTCTTTGGCCTTGATTTGCTACTCGTCGAACTTGAGCTGGTGGACTTGGTGTTCAACCATAAAGCACAAGAACAAATTGCAAGAATGTGAATGAGATGCCAAGATAATTTAGATCTCTGAGACTGCAGTAACCTTAGAAAATGTATGTCTATTATTCACTTTTGCATATTTAACTTCCAAACATCTTTTCAGAAGTGTATTATGTGTGAAAGTCGGAGACTGCCTATATATTCTAAAGTAAAATAAGTAGGATGCAGAAGAGTGTGCATAGGTTTGAACTCAGCTTTAAAGCATACGTATATGTATATGTAAGTATTTTATATAGGCATTGAACAAATCTGGATGTATACCCTGCAAACTCTGAAAAGTTGTTAACTCTGTGGGTTGAGATGGTAAAGAAATTTCCTGTGCTATTTCACACAGCCTTGAATTATTTGAAATTTTGCAATAAGCAAGTTTTTCACGCTGTTATAATCATCAAAAACCCTATAAGGCATATCCATTGGGAAGAAAAGGCACAGTGGCTCTTCAGAGCTTCCTGAGGCCTGAGGCTATTGTGTAGGGATGGGCCTCAGACCCTAGGTCTCAGGAGGCCTTTGTCCTCCTCCAAACTTCCTTCAGGCTGATGTGTGGTTGGGTGCCTGCCACGCCACCACTCTAGGCCTTATGTCTAATCCCTAATATTAGCGGGTTGGCACACACTATCACGGTGGTCCTCTGGAGTTCTTCACAACAAACACAGGACTCAATCCACCAAGCAGGTCATCCACCCCAGACAGATGCTCCTTGCATAAGCAGACAATAAACACAAGAACTATGTCCTGTATTAACAGATGGTGCCCCGATGATGTAGTGTGTTGTGAGCAAGACTGATTGACTATCCTGCCTAATAAAGTGAGATCCTGCCCTGAAGGGGGCATAGGCCACAGAGCTCACAATGATCAGAGAGAAAATCGAATGAAGCCAGTATTACCCCATACGTACAAGGAGGAAGGTGAGAGCCTCGCAGCAATTCGGGAGAGGATGAAACAGCATGCAAAGAAGACATAAGGATGGGATGAAACTGTTCTTATGTTAGTGCTTTGAGGGAGGCCATTTACACTTTCTAACACTTCTAATACTTATTCTATTCTTCTAGTAAATAAAATTAAAAGATTTCCTAAATTCAAGTGGTTATCAAAGTAAAATGGTGGTGGGAAAAGGGTAAAGGTATTTTACTTGGTAAAATGTGTCCTTCCCAGGGCCACAGGGATGCACTGTGCTAGGAGAAAAGAAGGTTCACTGGACACACAGAGGAGATGCGTAATCTGTGCTTTCAGCTGGAACAGCCCTTCTGGTCGCTAGAGTCCGAGCTTGCAGCTGTGCTAAAAAAGACCATTCCATTGCTCATCCTTTTCTTTGTTCCAACTTCTGAGTAAAAAACTAAAGTCTTTTTTGTGTGTGTTTTTTTTTTCTTTTTAACCCTGCGGCAGGGGCAGGAACTGAACCGTGAAACCCACAGTGGAATTAACTTGCTGAGATTCCTCTGCCTGGTCCTTGTTAATGTCATGGTGGCCTTTAGCCCCTGCTCTCTGCAAGCCTCTCCCTCTGCTGTTGGTTCAGCATCTTCATTCCCAGTGGCCGGGCCCCAGAGTGACAACAGTAGTGTAATTGTTGGGATGAGGATACAGGGAAACCACCGTGATGGTCCTGCCTGCTGACCTGGGAGGACAGCTTTGGTGGAGAAGACATGGAAGGAAAGACCAACTGGAAGTTTCCTACTCATTGTTCACTTACATCAGACCAAGTGACAGCCCGATTATTTGAACAAAGGCATTGCTGGGAACCTGTTCTGCTGGTTACTTTCCATTCACCTCTCCCCCAGACCCATACCCTGCCCTCTACCTGGGTCTGTGCTTTAAGAGGCTGACCTCTATGGATTGTGGTCAACATCCACAAGCTCCCTTTTCCTCTGGCTCTAGCTGGGTTCTGCCAACTGCTTACACCAGTAGATCAGAGGCTGGAAGAACAGATTGGGTATTACTTCATTGGCCCCTCCCTGATTTGGCCCATCTCTCAGTGACTATAGCTCCCGACAGGCAGCTCCCCTCCACAGCCTCAGTTCTCATAGGGCTCTGTGAATGTTATTTCCTCCCCTGTCCCTTTGGTCCTAATGGTGGTAATAACTTCCCACCGGAGACCTCATGACCCTTTGGTTTTTTTCTTCACCTCTCCACTATAGAGTATTGTAGCTCTCTTATTGAAATCTCTTCATTTGACCCATCTGCATCAATTCTGTGTCCTTTCGAAATCCCGATACATCTGCCATTCTTTTGCTTCAGGGGTCTGCTTTTTCCTCCCCAGTGGGTGATGCAGAGGGTCTCTGAAACTGGGGTATACCTATATGAAACTATACTATGAAACTGAAACCTTATCTGTAGTTCTGAAGTAAGAGAAGCCCCAAGAGGTGTGCATGGTTCTAGGATGGTGAGTGAAGCAAGTGCCTCGAGTGTGTGGGCAAGTGTTGATGCAGGATGGCAAGCACCTCTTGGAAAGGACACCCAAGGTCAGGCATTTCTAATCAAGGGTAAGGGCCTCTGAGGAAAGCTGGCTGGTTTCTCTGGTACTACCTTTTTTCATTCATTCGACAAATGTTCTTTGAGAACTGACTAGGTGCCTGGCACTTCACTAAGTATAGTAGGCTGACTGGTAACCTCCCAGAAGGATACATCCATGTCCTCATCCCCAGAACCTGGGGATGCTGCTTTTATGGACAAAGATGTGATTAACGAGTTGGAGAGGAAGAGTTTGTCCTGAATTACCTAGGCAGACCCTAAATCCAATGACAAGTATCCTCATGAGAGTGAGGAAGAGGGAGATTTGACAGGCAGCAGAGGAGGAAGCAATGCGACCATGGGGACAGAGATTGGAGTTATGCAACCCATCAACTAAGGAACACCTGGAACACCAGAAGCCAGAAAAGGCAAGAAAGTTTCCTCCTCTAGAGCCTTTGGAGGGAGCATGGCCCTCCGAACACCTTGAACTGGGACTAACTGGGTGGCTGCAAACAGCAGACAGAACTGTGCAAGAATAAATGTCTGCTGCTTCAAGCCACCCAGTTAGTGCATTGTGTTATGGCAAGCCCAGGAGATGAATATACCAAGTACTGGGGATCCAGTCATGATCAAGAAAGACATGGTCCTACCCTCCTAGAGCATGCAGTCCAGGAGAGCAAACAGATAATGATCAGGTGGACAAAAATACACAATTACAAACTAATAAGTGCAATGATGTGCTTAGATAGAGAAAAATGCAAGAGACCTTATTTAAACTGGGGGTCAGGGAAAGCATCTTTGAGGAGGTGACCTCTGAGCTTGGACCTAAAGGATGAGAGAGAACCAGCCATAGAAATCTCTCAGGGAAAAGTGTCAAGGCAAAGGAGAAAATAAGTCAAAGGCTCTGAGTGAGGGAACAGACTAACATGTTCAAGAAACTCAAAGAAGTCTAGTATAGTTGGAATGAGGTCAGAGAGGTAAGCAGGGCCAGGATGCACAGAGATTATGGGCCATGGTAGGGTCTTGGGATTTTATTCTGTGATGAGAAGACTTCGGATGGTTGAGAGCAATGGAATGCCGTGAGCTAATTTAAGGTTTTACATCAACCCGTCTGGTTACTGGTATGGAACTGGTTGGAGGGAAATTGAGAGAGAGCAGGGAGACAAGTTAGTAGACTGTCACAGCTTTCCAGGGAAGCGGTAAAGATGAACTAAGGTGGTTCCTTCAAGGTGCAGAGGAGATGGATTGAGGACATAGTTTGGAGATAGAACTGTCAGGAATTGATGGATATGGGATATGAGAGAAAGACATGAGTTAAGGATGACACCAAGATTTTAGGCTAGAGTAACTGGGTGTATGTGGTGCCATTTATTGAGTTGAGAAGATAAGAAGGGGTGAGGAAGACCCAAGAGAACGACATAACTGGGAAATGTCCCCACAATCCCTTTACATTTGTTATCAAAGTCTTCTGAGTTAGAAAAAGCTGTACCATTTTCGTCGTTTTAGAGGCCCAAGAGAAAGTATCCTGGCTCCTGCAAAGGTGTTACTGGAACCATTGGTCACCTAGATTTAATCACTCTAGCACCACAAAAACAACATAATAAGGAGCAGAGAAAAACCACAGAAGTACAAAGCTGGGTCTTCTAAAGGCAATGTTTGTTTTGTCTCCTGTGCTGCATGAAGAGCGGCCCAATGTAAATTGTGGGTTCCATGGATTGGGATCTAATCTAATAAGCACCACACCGCACCCAGCTCTATCCACTCACTGTGGTCTTGACTCCATTGGTGGCATCAGGAGAAGATACAGCAGAGGGAGTAGTTGAGAGATATATCCTGAATATCTGAACAACCCACCCCTTACCAAACACTCCACTAAAATCACTGATGTTTTAGCCAAATGTTACCTCAGTATATTGAGTTCCGTAAATTGACTACCCTTCTCCCTCAAACATAGGATTATGAGAAAGTGGCCCTGAGAAGGAATAAAATACCCACATTATCTAAACCTTCCTCAACTACTATTCTGCCTTCCAGGGAGCAGAGACAAAGCAACCTGCAATGATAGAGCCTGCACAGGGCCTACCAGCAAACTCTGCAGTCTTATATTGAAGTCCTAGATAAGACCCTTTCTGGGGAAGTCATCTGAAGAATAATCTCCCAAATCCATAGGTTATTTCTTCATCCCTTTCCAGGAGATAGCACACAGCTAAGAACCAGGAAGAAGGAAAGATGCACACACAGCCTCAAGCCATAAGCTAAAGGCTTATGCATATTTCTCATCGGAAATCCAGAAATCCATTCACTGTAGTCTCTTTACCCTTCTTAGGGTTTACTTAATTTCTTATTTTAAGGTCATGCCCAACTCTAACATTCTTGATGATCTGATTACTCAAGTTAGATCTTAGCAGTAATAACTGTGAAGGGAAGTGATATGGTTTGGCTGTGTCCCCATCCAAATCTCATCTTAAATTCCCACGTGTTGTGGGAGGGACCCAGTGGGAGGTAATTGAATCATGGATGCAGGTCTTTCCCGTGCTGTTCTCATGATAGTCAATAAGTCTCTTGGGATCTGATGGTTCTATAAAGAGGAGTTTCCCTGCACAAGCTCTCTTTGCCTGCTGCCATCCACGGAACATGTGACTTGCTCCTTCTTGCCTTCCACCATGATTGTGAGGCCTCCCCAACCATGTAGAACTGTAAGTCCACTAAACCTCTTTTTCTTCCCAGTCTCAGGTATGTCTTTTTCAGCAGCATGGAAATGGACTAATACAGGAAGAAAAATAAAGTACAAACCAGTGAGTGACACCTAAAAGCATGAGAAAAAAGGAGGTGATAGAAAATACAAATTAAAAACCAGAAACAAGAATTGGAAAAGCTTAGAGCTAAATAGTGCCAGAGCAAATGTTCCAAATCAGTTTAGTAGCCCAAGGGGGCAGCTTTGAATTGCTGCATGGTTTAATAATTGATTCCAAGCACAGCAACTGGACAAGGAGGGTATCCCTTGACTACACTTGTCAGGCCCAACCTTTCCAGGGCTGGGCTCAGGGTAAACTGTCTCTCTCTGGGCTACCCCCATACCTGACCCTCAGCAAGAGGGGGTCACATAGCCCATAAAAGTAGGCATTCATCAACCCCCTATGGTACATCCAACACAATTCTAAGCCTGGGAAGAAGCTTAATGCAGCTTCCTCCAGAGTCATGGGATGCTTATCAACCACAGTTCCCCGGGCTTCAAAGGGTCTGTTGAGCACTGACACTCTGCAGGGCAAAGAAAGGGACCCAGTGCTGACTTTTAAAAAATGGACGACTTTTTAGAGCAGTTTTTAGGTTCCCAACAAAATTGAACACACAACACAGAGATTTTCTACATACCCCCACCTCCCACATGCATAACCTCTCCTACAATCAGCATCCCCCACAAGAGTGGGACATTGGTTACAATCAATGACTCTACATTGACTCATCCTCATGTATGTGTGTCTATAGTTCACATTAGGGTTCACTCTTGGTGTCGTACATTCTATGTGTTCAGACAAATGTAAAATGACATGTATCCACTATTATAGTATCATACAAAGTAGTTTCACTGCCCCAAAAATCCTCTTTGCTCCACCCATTTGTCCCTCCCTTCCCCAACTCCAGGCTACCACTGATCTTTTCCTGTCTCTATAGTTTTGCCTTTTCCAGAATGTCATATGGTTGGATCATGTAGTACATAGCCTTTTCAGGTTAGCTTCTTTCACTGGGTAATATGCATTTAAGTTTCTTCCGTGTCTTTTCATGGCTTGGTAGCTCATTTGTTTATAGTGCTGAATAATATTCCATAGTCTGATGTGCCACAATCTATCCATTTGCCTACTGAAGGACATCTTGGTTGCTTCCAAGTTTTGCCAAATATGAATAAAGCTGCTATAAATATCCATGTGTAGGTTCTTGTGTATAGAGTTTTCAGCTCCCTTGAGTAAATACCAAGGAGTGTGATCACTGAATCTTATGGTAAAAGTTTTTTTAAAAAAGATATGTTTAGTTTTGTAAGAAACTGCTAAACTGTTTGCCAAAGTGGCTGTACCATTTTACACTCCCACTAGCAGTAAATGAGCATTTCTGTTGCTCTACAACATCAGCGTACTGGGTTTTGACCATTCTAATAAGTGTGTAGTGATATCTCATTGTTGTTTTAATTTGTATTTTCCTGGTGACACATGATATGGAGCTTGTTTTCATTTGCTTATTGCTATCTACATCTTCTTTGGTGAGATGCCTGTTAAGGTCTTTGGCCCATTTTTTAATTATAATGTGTGTTTTCTTATTGTTGAGTTTTTAAGAGTTCTTTGTGTATTTTGAATAAGGGTCCTTTATCAGATGTTTCTTTTGTAAATATTTCCTCCCAGTCTGTAGTCTGCCTTTTCATTCTCTTGAGAGTGCTGTTTCCAGAGCAAAAAAGTTTCATTTCAATGAAGTTCAGTATTTTAGTCCATTTTGTGTTGCTATAAAGAAATAGCTGAGGCCAAGTAATTTATCACAAAAAAAAAAAGGTTTATTTGGCTCACAGTTCTGCCAGCTGTATAAGAAGCATGGTGCTGAAATCTGCTTGGCTTCTGGTGAGGGCCTCAGGTTCCTTCCATTCATGGTGAGGGCAAAGGGGAACCAATGTGTGCAAAGATCCCATGGCGAGAGAGGAAGCAAGAGAGAGTGGGGAAGTGCCAGGCTCTTTCTACCAGTCAGCTTTCATAGGAACTTACAGAGTGAGAACTCACTTACCCCAAGAGAGGGCATTAATCTATTCATGAAGGATTCACCCCCATGACCCAAACACCTCCCATGGGCCCCATCCCCAACATCAGGAACCAAACTTCAACATGAAGTTTGAGGGGACAAATATCCAAACCATAGCATGTACTTAATCAATTATTTCTTTTATGGGTTGTGCCTTTGATGTTATATCTAGAAAGTTATCACCATTATCACCAAACCCAAGGTCATCTAGATTTTTTCATATGTTATCTTCTAGGAATTTTATAAATTTGCATTTTAAATGTATGTCAGTGACACATTTTCAGTTAATTTTTGTGAAGAGTGAAAAGTCTATGTCTACATTCATTTTTTTGCACATGGATGACCAGTGGTCCTAGCATCATTTATTGAAGAGGTTGTCTTTACTCCATTGTATTGCCTCTGCTCTTTTGTCATATTTATATGGGTCTATTTCTTGGCTCTTCATTCTGTTCCATTGATCTATCTGTCTGTTCTTTCACCAGTAAAACACTGTCTTGATTACTATGGCTTTATAGTAAGTCTTGAAGTTGGGCAATGTCAGTCTTCTGACTTTGTTCTTGTCCTTCAACATTGTTCTGGCTATTCTGGGTCTTTTGCCCCTCCATATAAACTTTGAGATCAGTTTGTCAATATCCACAATCCATATATCAAGTTGGACAAAACTAACGTCTTGACTATGTTGAGTCTTTCTATCCAGGAACATGAAATATCTCTTCATTTAGTTTTTTGATTTCTTTCATCAGAATTTTGTAGTTTTCCTCATACAGATCTTATATGTACTTTGTTTTATATGAAAAGCATTTTATTTTTTGAGTGCTAATGTAAAAGATATTCTGTTTTTAATTTCAAATTCACATGTTGCTGGCATACAGAAAAGCAATCGACACTTGTGTTTTAACCATGTATCTTGCAGCTGTGATATAATTGCATATTAGTTCCAGGAATTTTTTTTTGTCAGTTCATTTGGATTTTCTACATAGATGATCATGTCATCTGCACACAAAAATAGTTTCATTTCTTTCTTTCCAATTTATATAACTTTTATTTCCCTTTCTTGTCTTATTGCACTAGCTAGAGTTTCAGTACGATGTAGAAAAGCAGTGGTGAGAGGGGACATCCTTGCCTTGTTTATAATCTTAGAAGGAAAGTTTCAAGTTTCTTGCTAAGTATGATGTTAGCTATAGGGTTTTTTTGTGGATATTCTTTATCAAGTTGAGGAAGTTCCCCTCTGTTCCTAGTTTACTAAGAGGTCTTTTTATTATTATGAATGGGTGTTGGATTTTGTCAAATGCTTTTTCTGCATCTACTGATATGATCATGTGATTTTTCTCCTTAGCCTGTTGATGTGATGGATTACATTAATTGATTTTTGAATTTTGAACCAGTCTGGTATACCTGGGATAAACTTCACTTGGTCATAGTGTATAACTCCTTTTAAACATTGTTGGATTTGATTTGCTTATTTTTTTTTTGAGGCGGAGTCTTGCTCTGTCGCCTGATTTGCTTATATTTTGTCAAGAATGTTCTCATCTATGTTTATGAAAGATATTGGTCTGATTTTCCTTTTCTTGTAATGTCTTTCTTTGGCTTTGGTATTGGAGTAATGCTGACCTCATAGAATGACTTAGAAAGTATTTCCTCTGTTTCTATCTTCTGAAAGAGATTGTAGAAACTTTATATAATTTTTTCCTTAAATGTTTGATAGAATTCACCTGTCATCCATCTGGGCCTAGCGTTTTCTGTTTTCTTTAATAGATATAGGCCCTTTCAGATTGTCTATTTTGTGTGTGTGAGTTTTGGCAAATTGTATTTTTCAAGGAATTGGTTCACTTCATCTAGGTTATCAAATTTGTGAGCTTAGAGTTGTTCATAGTATTCCTTGATTATCCTTTTAATGTCCATGGGATCTATAGTAATGTCCCCTCTTTCATTTCTGATATTAATAATTTGTGTCTTCTGCCTTTTTTCTTAGCCTGGCTAGAGGCTTATCACTTTCATTAGTTTTTGCAAAGAAGCAGCTTTTAGTTTTATTGATTTTCCCCATTGATTTTCTTTTTAATTTTATTGATTTCTGCTCTAATTTTTTATTTTTTCTTTTCTTCTGATTACTTTGGATTTAGTTTGCTCTTCATTTTCTAGTTTCCCAAGGTGGAAATTTAGCTGAATAACTTCAGATCTTTCTCCTTTCTAATATATGCATTCAGTGCTATACATTTTTCTCTTAAGTGCTGCTTTCATTGCATCTCACAAATTTTGATAAGTTGTGTTTTCATTTTCATTTAGTTCAAAATATTTTAAATTTTCTTTTGAGATTTCTTCTTTGACCCATATGTTATTTAGAAATGTGTTGCTTAATTTCACAGTATTTGGGGATTTCCTAGCTATGTTTTTATTTACTTTTACTTTTTGCTTGCTTTAATTCCATTGTGGTCTGAGAGCAGACATTGTATGATTCCCATTCTCGTAAGCATGTTAAGGTGTGTTTTATGGCCCAGAAAGTAGTCTATCTTCATGAACATTCCACATGAACTTGAGAAGACTGCGTATTCTTCAGCACTGACTTTTTAAAATCAGAAACAAGGACCACACTTATTCTGGTTAACACTGATATCCAGACAGTATTGTAATCAAGCTATAGATGTATTAAATAAACAAAAATGTGACAAAGAGATGATCAATTAAGAGAAGTAACTGTACCCATCGTGGTAACAATGGGTGTCTTGCCCACATTCCATCTCTTGGGGGTTTAATTTTCATTATAAAATTATCCACAGACTGAGATCCTATGTCCCTGCCAGGACTAGATTCATATACCCAGAAAATAGTCTATATAGAAGTGCTCATTCCTTGTGAGTGTCAGCCAAACGCTGCATTAGGTTTTAGACAAAACAAGACATAACACATACACCTACATGCACATACACATTCACACCACAGAGCCCAGGCATGCTGAGTCAGGCTGTAGACTGTTAATGCTAGAAGGAAGGGCCTTTAACAATGATGTACCTCTGCCTCCTCCTGAGGGAAAACTCAGGTGAAGGAAGGAGAAATTCTAAAATCCCCTCAGTTCAAACATGTCACCATCCTGACTCACAGATGTATGTAGTTCACATAGCGTTTGTCCCTGGGGCCTCATCTCCTCAGCAGATGATGAACTTTCTGAGGTGAAGTACAACCCACAAGGCACCCCAGCCAATTGGAGGCCTCCATAGAATCCTAACCACTCTGGGTCACAAAGAGGCGCCCCGTGTGAAAGCTAGCTCTGGGTATCTCCCTCGGGACTGCATCCCTCCCTGCTCCAACTCAGGCCCCTGCCTAGCATCTTCTTCCTCCCGCTGAGGATTAACTGTTCTGCATCTTCGGCAGGAAATGAGTTCTTTGCTGTTTATTGTGGTCAAATCCTAAAATGAAGTCAATCCAGCAGTAAAGGCTGGATAAGCTGATGTCTCTTTATTAATGCACGAGGCACTTTGCAGTCCACCACTGTCCATGCTGAGATTGATGGAAGCTGAAAAGGAAGTGTAAGTTAAATTATGTCTTTGATAACTTCTGCTTAACTTGCCTGTCAGGGTCCGAGAAGATTAGATATCTGTGATTTATTCCCATGTTAATCTGAATAAACACATGCACACACTCACACACTCACGCACATGCACACATGGCTGCTCATGAGAGACTGCACCGGGCTGCATTGTTAAAGGCAGTCTGCAGTGGTCTGCACTGACAGGACAGAACAGAAGGTTCATTATTCCTTTCTTTATTCCTTCATTCCTTCGTTCATTTGCTCATGCAAGCTTTCCTCATCGGCTTCTGTTCTTGCTATGAAGGGCCTTGTGCTGGGCAGGAAGAAAACTCTAGGGGCCCTAAAGTTTGCCAGTTTCTAGGCAAATGGTCTGGCAGTAATTAATCTAGAGGCTTATTTGAAGCAATTCCTAGCAGCTCCAGCCCTTCTCTCACAGGTGAGGCTGTCTGCAACCAGCTCCCTTTCCCCAGTCATTCTTTCCTCATGAGCAAACGGTGAAACCAGAGTGCTTCATAATCATCGCAGCCACCATTTACTGATGCTCATTATGCATGGGGTCCTTTACATGAATTATTTTAGTTAATCCTCCCCACAGTCCTCTGAAGGAAGCACAGTTGTTTTGCTCTTTTTACTATCTGAGGCTCAGAGAAGTTACACAACCTGTCCAAAGCCACCAAGGCATGAAACAGGGATTCTAAGCGCAGAAGGTAAGACTTCAGAGTCCATGTTCTTAACCCCCACATCAGACTCTTGAGTACAGTCCTCATACACTAGCATCAAGGCCAGGTGGGTGATCTTACAGGTCTTTGGACTGCTCTGGGCCACAAGTGCTCATTGCCTGCATTCTCTATGGTTTTCCAGGGATCAGCTTGCTACTGTCTTTGAGTGATGCCTTCATGCTACCTTTTCTTTTCAGACTTCTGCTGATGATGCTGGTCATGTGGAAGGGACTTGTCCTAGCTTGGCCTTCAAGGACTCCCAGGGCTGAGTTCAGAGCCATGGGGATACCAGGCAAGGGTGGAGAAAGAGGACAAAGTGATCAGCATCCTTGATGGAGAGCGCCTGACACAAGTGCAAAGGGACCCACAGGGATCCACGAGTTCAGGTCCTTCCCAGAGGTAACAAAAGCCTCAGGGCTGCCCTGGCCACCTCGAAATCTCAGGAGAGCCCTCTGGTATTGCTTGAGATTCTCCTTGGACATAAGTTGGTGATCACATCTCCTTCCACTGCTTCAAACTTCCCTATGCTACAACACATCCATGAGTTGATGTCTCCAGTCCCCATCTTACTCCTAAGCTGCAGACCAGAATATCCAACAGGATACCAACATCTGTCTCCACCAGGTGCCCCCAGAGACTTTTCCAACCCAATATAGCTCAAGCTAGATTCAATGTCTTTCCCCTACACCTATTTCCTCCTGTGCTTCTTTTAACTCTCCATCTAGTCTGGAACCAGGCTCTAGACCTCAGGTTCTTCCTTCTTTTCACCTTCTCCTATCAGCCTTTCTCTTCTTCCCCATAATTACTATCTGTGTTCAGAATCTCTGCATTTCTTATCTCTTCACCTTAGATTAAGCCAGAGCCTCTGGCCCCACCAGCCTCTAGCTATCCCAGTCCATCTGCACACATACTGCCAGAATGGGCTTCTGGAAACATAACCCTGAATCAAGTCACTTCTCTGCTCTAAGCCCAGCAATGCTCACCCCTGCCCCATGCCTTCACAGCAATTTTCAAATTGCCATCTTATTGGGCAATGACAGGTACACAGAGAGGAGAATCTTTAAGAAGCTTTTAAGAATGGTGTTCATTAAGAGTCATTTACTAAACAAATGTCTCTTGAGTATCTCCTATCATCCAGGCCTTGTACTAGGAACTGGGGATGTATTGGTGAACTATACATTGAATACTTGTGTTCATGGACCCAGAGGCCCATGAAGGGAAACGGAAAACATAAAATGAACAAACAGCCTTGAATATAATATCAGATAGTAATATTTTCAGTGGGAAAAAAAAGACAAGGTAAGGGAAGAGAGAGGAACAAAGCCAAGACTTATTTTAGTTGGGGTGTTCAGGAATTGCAAAAGATGTTTATGGAGTGCTTACCTCATGTCAGGCTGTATTCCAAGTGCATCATATTTATTAATGCAGTTACTAATCATGGTAAACCAGTGAGATAGGCCGTTATTATTACTCCTCGTTTTGCAGATGAGAAAACCGAGCATAAAAGCTCAAGTTCACAAAGCTAGTGACTAGTGGAATCACGCTTTTACTCCAGGCAATTTGTTCCCAGAGCCCGCCCTCCAGGTCACTATGCTGTGCTGATTCTCTTAAGACATGATGTTTAAGTTGAGGACTGACAGGGTAGGGGCTACCTTAGTCTGCATTCTCCTAGAAGCAAACCTGAGACAAGGATTCATGGGCAGGTAGTTTATTTAAGAGGTACATCTCAGGAGGCCCTGGTAGGGGAGTGAGAAAGTGAGACAGGGAAGAGAAAGAAGCCAACAAGGACTGTGTTGTCAAGCAAGTTACCACTGTGGGCAAATGGAGCTTAATCCCACTGGGAACTCTGGGATCTAGTATAAAACACATGTCTCTAAGTCTCCTTCCCACCCAAAGGGTTGAGGGAGCTGGAGTGTTTATACAACAATTCCCATTTCATTGTTTGAGGGCTGCTGTCAAGGGCAGTAATTTTCTGGACTTATGACCTGCCATTTGCACAGGCAGTGGCAGTTCTCATCTGAGAAAGCCCTTGGGCAAGGAGGCACAGGTTCTGGCAGGTGGGAGTCTGGCTGAACACATAGAAATGTTGAGACTCAGGGGGAATACAGCCAAGGCACCAACAGCTTCTGCTTGAGCGTTCTGGGTGGAAGGGACATCACACGTCAAGTCTCACAGGAGAGAACAGGCTTGGTGTGCTCAAGGAGCAAAGAGAAGGCTCTGGCTACTGGATTGATGAAGGCAGTGTGTTGAGAATGGCATTAGAGGCCCAGCCAAGTAAGGATGTGTGTGCCTTGATAAGGAATTGGCATTTTACTCTAGGTGTGATGGGGATGCAGGAGAGTGACTTTGATTTGTGTCTTTAAAAGATCACTTTGGTTGTTGGATGGAGAATAGACTGCAGGGTGCAAGAATAGAAGAAAGAAGACCAGGAAGGAGACTGACAATAGTCTAGGTGACGGATACGTTGACTTGCACTAGAGTGGTGTTTTAGTTGTGGTTGGATTCTGGCTATTGTTTAAGTTTACTGTTGGTAAGAATTAATGATGGAATGGTCAGGGGTTATAAGTGAAAGACAAGAGTCATTGACTAAGATGGAGAAGATGAGAGGAGATTCAAGTTCAGAGCAGCAGGTGGGGAAATTCAGAAGTCAGGTTTGGACATTTGGTAAGTCTGAGATGCCTATTAGTAAGTAGATTGTTAAATACAGGAGTCTGGGGTTCAAAAGAGAGTGATGAAGTCCGCTACGCTGTGCTGTAACCCCTCCCACCTTTCCTTGCCACTCAAGGAAAGCCCCCGCTAGACACACAGGGCAGTCTGTAGCACGTGTGGCATTGAGTGGCACATAGTTTGCAAGAAGGATGGTGGACTTAGAAACACGGTGGAGAGCTGTGATGTAGGAAGACCAATAACTCTAAGATGACCAGGAAAAGAGTTAGCCCCAAGAGATAGTAGTTACCATAGCATCCAAGTGACCATGTTATATGAGGTGGACAGGGACTTCTTTTCTTCTTTTGGTCCTCAGGTGCACAGAGTTGAGTACATCACATTGCTCACTTCAGTGCACACAATGTCCATTGGTTCATGAAGGGCTCTTCTCTAGTTTTGTTATTTTATTATTTCTCCTAGTTCCCTGTTTCCATATCTGTTCTTTTCTGCCCATAGGCACCTTCTCTAATGTATGTATTAATGTTACTAGATATCTGGGTATCCTTGAAAAATATGTAGTGTTGTTTTACATGTTTATATAATTCAAAATGTTATACATTTCATTATCCTTTTTTACTCAACACTATTTTAAGATCTATTTGCATTACTAAATGTAAATCTAGCTTACTGTTTTTTGTTTTTTTTGTTTTTTTTTTTTTTTACCAATTTCTGTGTAGTTTTTTTCTAAAACAGATGTATAGACTACATTTTCTCCTAGGGACACCTGGGCTCCCTTAAAGTCCTCCTTCATAAATAATGCTACAAGAAATAACATTTTAAAAAATTAGATTTTAGTAAATAGCCTTTGTTAAGATTGGAAATTTTCCATTTATTCTGGTTTCCTCTGAGTATATTTTAAAATAATGAATATGAATAGGTGTTGAACTTTCTCAGGTATTTCATTTGCATCTCCTAAAATGATCATGAGATTTTTCTTTTATTCCATTAATAGACTGAATCACAGTTATAGATTTTTTAATGCTTACACTTTCTTAAATTCTAACTTGATTGCATGTTTTAAAAGATAAACTGTTACATTTGATTAGCTAATACCATATTTAGGATTTTCACATCTATGTTCATAGGAAATTGACCTAAAATATTCTTTCACTGTATTGTTTTTATTCATTTTTAGGATCAGGTTTATACTAACCTGACAAAGTTATGTGAACAGTGTGCTCTTGATTTCGGATGGTTTGTAGCAACATTTTCAGATTGGGATCATCTATTCCTTGAATGTGTTGCTGAACATAGCTGTAAAACTATATGGAGCTGGAAATTTTTTGGAAAAAATGTGAATGATTTCATTTCAGTTTAAGAGTTATAGTTATACTAAGATCTTTTCCAGAACTTTATCTAGTTCCTCTTTTTATCTCACATTTTTAAAAATTTGCATTTCCTCTTTTATTAGTGTCACCACAGGCTTATCTATTTTACTAGTCTTTCTGAAGAACACTTCCAGTTCATTTCCCATTGTTGTTATTTTCTCTGCATTTATTAATTTCTGCCTATCTTCTTATTTACGTTTTTCTTGTTTATTTGGGTTTACTCTGTTTCCCCTTTGAATTTTTTAAGGATAAAGCTTAACTGTCTTACTTGCATTCTTTCTTAATTTCTAGTAAATTTATTTAAAGCCATAAATTTACCTGAGTGCTGCTTTGAACATGACTCACATAATTTAGCATGTGCTGCTTTCAAATGGTGAATTTTCATTCACCTCTAAGTATTTAACAACTTCTCTTTGGTTTATTGTATAGCCCAATGCTATTTGGGAGTATTTTTAAAATTTCCAGACATATAGGGTTTTAACATTTAATTTAATAGCATCATGGTCAAGAACATTGCATGCATGATGTTGATTCTTTTAAACTTATAAAGCTTTTAAATCTAAGCAAAGCTTATTTTGGGCTTACCACATTATAATTTGTTTGTGTTTGTTCTATATGCATATGAAAAGAAAGTATTTTGCTTATTGGGATACATATGAAGAGATAAATTATATTACTCTAATGTTCCATATCCTTGCTTATTTTTGTATGCTTCAAGTATTAGTTTTTGAGACTGTGTATTAAAACCTGCAGCTATTTTTTAAATTTATTTCCCACCCCAGCTCTGTCAGTTGTTGCTGTATGTCTGTTGATGACACATTATCAGAGGTGTACATATTCGTTATCATTCTATTTCTTGACATATTACTTGTTTTACCAATATATAGCATCCTCATTTTCCCTTTCTAATAGTTTATGCCTTAAATTACTGTCTTTCTGATACTAAAATTTCTATTCTGGCCTATTTCTGGTATATCTTTTCCTATCTTTTCTGTATCCTTTTGTTTCTAATCTATTGTTTGGTTTTTATCTTGATTGCTTGGTTTTTGTCTTTTAAATTCACTTAGAGAGTCATTATACTTTGATTAATGAATGACTTTAAATTATTTACTATTATTGTAATTCCTATTATAAATACATTGTAATATATTAATGTTAATATTAATTATAAAATATATGAACATTTATTTCTGCTTTTTTTATGTTTTCTATTTTCCACATCTTCTTCTTCCCCTTTCCTTTCTTATATTCTATTAAATAGATGGGATTTTCTTCTGCTAGCTTAAAAGTTAAATATTTTATTTTTATTCTTCTAGGAGTTGTGCTTAAGCTATCAAGAACTGTTTCCCCCCTATCAATTTCTTAAGCTATCAATATCTATTAATATTTTTCCTCTAGAAAAATAATTCAGAGAAATAGACAAAAACAAGCCCAAGTTATAGAGAGAAGAAAGGGATTAAGGGAAGGAAATAAAGGAGGGAGAAAGAGGTCAGCAAAGAACAGAACAAAAAGAGACAGAGAGAAATAAGTTGACAAAAAGAAAGAGTTAGGGGCTTAGAGAACGAAGCCAGGAGTTTTGTCTACCCAATATGCTCAAATTCAAACAGTGAGGAAAAAACACTAGGCTTCATTGGTTTCTTTCATGTAATGTCCCTAAATCATTTTCTTTTCTTCTTTTGGTTGGGAAAACATTCCAAATTATTTAATGTTTATTTACTAAGCAGTCACTGTGTTCTTGGCCCTCTTTCAGGCCTGGAGACAAAGCAGTGAAGAAGGAGACCCTCTCCTTTCCCTCCTAGAGCTCACAGTCAAGATCAGCAGCTTAAAAAGCAATTACAACAGAGTAGAGGAAGCATAGGGCACCTTAGGAGCATCCAGCAAGGGAAACCCAGCCCGGTCCATGGGAATTAGGGAAATCCTCCTGTACAAAGTGACAGCTAAGCCGAGATTGGAAGGACATAACTTCTTCACCTGTGGTGCCAGCAGCAAAGACTGGCCTTACCTGCTGCCCTCCTGCTGGCCACAGGCCCCCTGCATCCTATGGGGCTATGGGCAGAACATTCCCAGATGTGAGTAAGACCATGGTGCTTGTGCTCAGCATGGAGTTACGTGTCTACAGCCTACAGAGAACTGAAGTTGTCTCGGTTCAAATGCCCAGGATTCATAAGGTGCCCACCCTGTCCCTCTCCCCAGCCTGTGCCACTGGGTGACTGCAGACTGATGTCATTTTGTTCCTGAGGCCTACTACTTTTCTACAAAGCCTGCCTACCTATTTGCTCAGTGTCTTAATTTTCTTTTACACACAGTCATAGTCACTAATTTTGATAGATTGAGGAAGGAGTCTGTTAAGAAATCTTTGAAGGAAAAAAAGCAATTATTATTGTTTCCAAGGAGTAAATCCAGTGAGGCCTGCCTTGACTGACATCCACGCTGGTTTTAATGAACAGACAGACACTAACCAGTATGGAAACAGGAGAGGAGCTCGTGAGCTCTAGCTTTAGAGACAGCCAACTGTGTTCAAAACTTTATTTTTTTTTACTTTTGTTTTTTTGAGATGGAGTCTTGCTCTGTCACCCAGGCTGGAGTGCAATGGCACGAGCTCAGCTCATTGCAACCTCTGCCTCCTGGGTTCAAGCGATTCTCCTGCCTCAGCCTCCCAAGTAGCTGGGATTACAGATGCGCGCCATCATGCCTGGCTAATTTTTGTCTTTTTGTAGAGATGGGGTTTCACCATGTTGGCCAGGCTGGTCTCGAACTCCTGACCACAGGTGATCCGCCCGCCTCAGCCTCCCAAAGTGCCGGGATTACAGGCGTGAGCCACCGTGCACAGCCTTAAAACTTGATTTTACCGCTTACTGTCACTATGACCTTGGGAAAACCACCGAAGTGCTCTGAACTGCAGGCTCCTGGTTTGTAAAGATATAGTAAGAGCTTCACTCGGTGGCGGTGAGGATTAAACAGCACCATGCCTGGCACACACTTAGCACAGAGCTGGTACTTAATAAAAGCTCAAAAAGGTAATTGCTCAGCATTTGTATTAGTGTAAGTAATAGATGTAGTGTCAGCATTAAACATTAGTATTAGTTTTAATATATTACAGCCTAACCTCATAGTGGCATGACATCATCATGAAGGAGATGATGTCACTATTTTCTCCAGTTAGAAAGGTATTTTGAATAGAGGCTGCCTGTTGTTAATCAAAGCATGGAAAAGTATGAAAAGTGGTTTCCAATGGATGTATAATACCCAATCTACAGTATCTCATAATCATTTCTTAGAATTGGTTTAAACAATAAACAAAGCTCTTGTTTATAAAGATAACTCTGTAATTAAGTGAGGGCATTACAACAGATTCTTTACAAACTTCTGTGTTGTCCTTAATTGGTTTAATTTAAGAATCTAAGGCATCTGGTCACATTTTTATTAACTTGTCCTTATTCATTTATTTAGTCACTCATCGTGTATTCAACAGATATTTGTTGGATTCCTATCAGAGAAGCATATGCACAAAGTAGGCATTCAATTAAAAAACAATTTTATTACCAGAATCCAACCATACATATATGCTTGATTATATTTAAAAATAGAATCAAGTTTGAGTTTTACTTTGCTTAAACTTTACAATAAACTAGCTGAACTATAGCCAGTACATTTTTACTTCTTGAGGATTGTTTTAGAAAATTTATATTTCATTAAACTTTCCAGATTTCTAAAAAGGCTTTAAAAAAATCCAAACTCCCTATATAGTGGCAATGCTATAAATAGATAAGCTCACTAAATAATCATTTCCATTCCTAAAACATGAGCAGCTTTCTTTTCTATCTAATCCTCAATTTTTACATATTTTACTTTTCCATTTACAGTTGAAATGCTCTGCAGTGCCATTAATATTTGCCAAATTACAGTGGATATTTTCACTCTGTAGCTAATCACTTCTGAGTTTACCAAAGTTGGAATGCAATTGGAATTTGTACAGCTTTTCTCCAGATCAGACAACCCTAGCATACAGACCCCCTATGAAGGCATACACCGTGGAGGGAGGAGGGAACGTGACAGCCTGTTGTCCCTGCCAAAATGTTTTCCTAAAAAAAATCTATGGTTTGACAAGTTTAATTACCCTTGATTTTTATTCCTGCCTTTTGGAAACACTGAAATCTTCAGGCCATGAAAAACTTTAGTGTTTGAAATCACAGAATCATTAGAAGAGGACGGCAGAGAGTCAGGTGTGTCCCATTCACAGTTCCAGAGCCCCTGGGAGCTCCCCAGGGCTGTGCTTACTGTGAACGCTCCTGTAGGGTCACCTGGCTCAACGTGGCTCAGGCTGCCACCTCTTCAGGTACTGGCTGTGGGGCTGTGAGTCACTCTTCCATCCTAAGCCAAAGGTTTACTCATTTAACCATGTGCCTTGGAGAGGCTTTGTCACATTGCTCAAGTCTAAAATTTAACGCCATCCAATAATTTAAGATCAAGAGTACACATATGCAAAAGATTCCCATGAGCATTACCCTGAGTTAAAAAAAAAGGCAGTCTCAAAAGCTTACATATTGTACAATTCCAACACTCTAGCATCCTCAAAGTGACAAAATTATAGTAGTAAAGAACAGATCAGTGGTTGCCAGGGATTAGAGTTGGGAAAAGATTTGATTATTAGGGGTAATGTGAGACCATTTCTTTGGTGACTGAACAGTCTGTAATTGCGGTGATGGTTACTTGAATCTACACATGTAGTAAAGTATCATAGAACTACACACACACACACGAATACATATCAAAACTGGTGAAATCCAAATAAGGTCTTTCACTGAGTTGAAGTACTGTCCCACGCACAGTTTAGACACTGGTTTAGACAAGGTATTATAGTTGTGTAAGATACTGCCACTGGGGGAGGTTTCATGAAGGGAACTAACTCTACATCCTGTTCTTGCAATTTTTTGTGAGCTTTTGGTTATTTTAAAATAAATTTTTAAAAAAGATATCAATGAGCCTTTCTTCACCAATAACTTTTCATGGGACCAAGAGAACAGCCATTGGTTAACTGATGAGTGTTTTTGTTTGAGAATAGAAGTGCTAACACGTGCCTCTTCACGTGCCTCATCTACATTACTGACAGCATGAGGAAAGGGGCGTTCAATTGCTGCACACGTGGTCTCATTGTCATGACATGCCTTTCTGCTAGAGTTGAATGATGTAGGAGTGAGATTCAAAAGGGGATCTTTCCAGTGACTTCACTGTAGGATAGAGAAGTTTGAGCAAGGAGGCTTTTCAAGCCAGAAGTGCTCCCCCATGGGCTCTGGGCTGGTGCTGTGCCTTGAGGCAACATGGCAGCCAGGGGAAATGTAAGCTGCGGGGTCCTCAGACCAGGGCCTTTGACAACTTGAACAAGCCAGGGAGGCCATCCGGGAGGTGAGGGGTCTGGAAGCCTCTCTAGGGAATCTTCCAGTGCTTCTGTGAGAGACTCAGCCTGGAGAGCCAGTGTGGGGAGCCCTGTGTATATGGGTGGGGGGATGTACCCTGAATGCTATGAGCAAATGTCCAAAGAGCTGTTGAATGGGAGACCAAGTGGGCTTGTACTGTATGAGTGTGGGGGCACGCTGATTATCTGCAGGCCGCAGCTACATGAAAGCAGGTTTCAACTCAACACAAAGAATTATCCAGTAGGCCTTCTTTGACAGGTAATAGGTTTCCAGACACTGGAAATATTCGAACACAGATCAAATGATCACGTGTCAAGGAGGCAATCAGGGGACCCATTCAAGGGACCCATTCTACTCTAAGAGGATGACACCAACAGTGAGGATGCTGTGGGCGGCAGACCCTGATCTGGAAACATGGCGCAGCATAGCCTGCTGATTCTTTTTTTTTTAAAAAAAATTCCAGTAGAATTTCCTAGGCACATTAACTCTTCAGTGGTTTATAGTGTCCCAAAACGAATCTCACCCCACCACAGAAGATCTATAGGCCTCTTGATGAGAGGAACATCGCTTTTACTGCTCATCTTCCCCAAGGGAGGCTGGCACGAGGTGAGTCAGAAGCAAAGCTCTGTAAACACCTGACTCCAAATGAATGATAGCTCTGGCATGCCTGAGGCAAGAAGCCAGCCTGGCTGCCCACTCAGCATCCTCTCACCCTGCAAGTCCATATATTTTATGACCCCACTGTGCTTCCTGGCCCAGACTCTCCAATGATGATTCATCTGTCCTTTGCAGCTTTGTCAGTGTTTGGGTTTTCTACTTAGTTCTCAATGAACTAGCTATCATAGTTATAGCTCCCTAGAAAATGCCATACAGTAACTCTGTCAGGGGTTTTATTTGCTTAGATGGATCATTTTATTTCAGCAAGTTGTTTTACTAGCTTAGAGCATCATGAATCACTTCAAACATAGATGAAAAATGACTCAGTATACATGATTTTATGTGGAATGTGGTTCTTTCTATTGAAGATCATGTCTCCTTGATTAGGATATGAAATCAATTTAATTTCATGCAAATTATGAAAAATAGAACCATATCAGCATTTCCATGCACCTACCCAGCCGGAGCTAAGAAGTTGACTCCAACACGCATTTGGTGGCCACTGCTCAGAAAATTGTCCATGAGCATAGGGTTATAATGGCCCCAAATGAAGCAGTATGAGGCTCCTTCTCTGAAGCATATGCCTTCTTGGGCCCAAACCACACCAACGACTAAGACCCCCAAAAGTATGAGTGGGACTTTGAAAAAAGAATTGCAGTATTTAGGATAGACTCTGCCATGCTGCAGTAACACCTAAATTCCTAAACCTCAGTGGCTTGACCCAGCACAAGCTTATTTCTTATTCTCATCAGGTTTCAATGAGATTTGGTCAGGCCATGTTCCATGGTGACCAGGAATCAATTCGGTCCTCTTCCATCTTGTTATAGAAAGAACAAGAAGGAGGATAAATAACTCTACGGAGTTTTAAATGCCTGGGCCTGGATGTTAACACCCATTGCTTTTCCTCACAGCCTACTGGCCAGATCCTAACTGCAAGAGTAACACAGAAGTAAGGGAGCACCCAGATATTCTAAGCCCGACATGCCTCTGCCACGGTGCTTGCCCCTAAGAATAACTTTCTCAGCACCCAGATATTGCCTTGACCTGTCACCCTGGTGGCTACTGGCATCAAGGTTTGTTCAGGTGTGTATGCTGGACTGAGAAAGCAGCCTTCACTTCTGTGCCTGGAGAAGAAGGAGGCTGCACATCCCAGAAAGCCTATTCTAGAAGCAAAGGCAAGGGTTAAATGTGCTGAACCTGGGAACATCTGGCTGACATAGGGGTACATAACAGAGGGGGCTGAGGGTCTCTTCCCCCTCCTCTGTATTCTAAATCTGAAAGCACCTAACCATCAGAAAAAATGCGGAGCAAGAGAGCCCAGGCCTGTCTCTACGCAGCCCTTGCTCAAAGGCTGGTCCTGGGGAGCACCTCTGTTTGAAGCCTGCAAGCTGGGCCACTGCAGAGTCCGGAGCATCACATACCTGGGCCACTGGGGATTGGCAGCTCAGCTGCAGTACTGTCCCTAGGCCCTGACCTCACTGGCTTAACCCCGATTAAAGTCCCCTTCAGGAAAGTCAAGAGTGGCAGTGTCCACATATCCTATCACTTGCCAATTTAAAAAAAAAAAAAGGATAATCACCAAAGGAATAGCTGCTAAGACCCAGCAGAATCTCATCTGCACACGAACCTGCCAAGCTGCTCAGATATTATATTATACTACTATGGAACTCATGTTATAATATCTTCAATGTAAAGAATCATTTCAGTGAGCGAAGCACTTTTTTTCTTTTCCAAATCCTGTTTTAATTAGAAAATTGATGGCAAATATGGAACTACCACCCCATAGTTACTTTAAAAAAATCTATTTGGAAGCCTTGAAAATATTGGTGAATTATAAAAGAAATTGAATTCTGATACTTTTCTCCCATTTTATTGTTCCCTATTCCCTGAAAAGCCTCCAACGTTGTATTTCTGTAGTTTGGAATAAGGACATATTTTGCCCTTAGAAACTGCAGGTATTCTAATTATATGTAAATCAGTTCACAGAAATAAATATCCATGGTTAAAGGATATTTAAAACGTTAAAGCTTTTTCTCAACTGTTCTCTGTTTAAAAAAAAAAAAAAAGTCTGTTTCCAGAACCCTGGTGGCTTTAACACCGTTTTCCTCTTTCATGAATGCACACAAGAACCTGCTCGTGCGATATAGTTTCTGAGGTGTTCTCCACTCTGAAAAAGCAATTCCATGTTAACTTCCCTTTCCTGACAGTTAAAACTTTTTTCTCTCTTATTCAGAATCAAAATATTTAATTGGACAATGAAACTGAATAGAAATTAAGAAGGTTGTTCCCATGTTGAAAAAGGTTTCTTAAGTGTTGTCTTTTACTTTCTGAAAACATTGCCACAGTTGTATTTTTAAAGGATCATTATTTCCCTGGTATCTGAATTATATTTTAGTCTAGTCTCCTGGCTATAAACACCATCAAAATGATGATGATCCCCAAATTTCTATTTCCACCCCTGAGTTCCAGGCTCATGTAACCAACTGCCTATTTAATATCTTCACTTGGTTGTCTAATAGGCATTAAAAACTGAGCCTGTCCAAACCTAATTCCTGATCTTCTGCAAATCTGCTCCTCCCTAACTTTCTCCGTCTCGACAAAAGGCCCACACCTTGCTTCTAGGTTCTCAGGGCAAAAGCCTTGCAGTTACCCTTGATTCTGCCCTCTCTCTCATAATTCACTTTCAATTTATTAGCTGAATTCTGCTGGCACCCCTCAACCTATGTCCAAAATGTTACCAGTTGTTATCACTTCCACCATTATTACCCTGGTACAAGCCACCATCATTGCCTACCTAGATTTTTGCAATGGTTCTCTCTTTGATTCTGCCCTTGTCCTCCTACAATCTGACTTTAACACTGCAGCCAGAGTGGTCCTTTTAAAACATAAAGATGATGTCATTTCAATGCTGTAAATCCTTTGTGGCCTCCCATCCCAACCAGTGTTAAAACAAAGTCCTTTAAATGGTCCATAAGACCCTGTTTAGCCTCATCTCCTGCAACTCTTTCCTGACTCACTCAGCTCCAGCTCGAATATATCAGACCCACTTCTGTCCCAGGGCCTTTGCACTGGCAGCTCCTCTGCCCAGAAGGCTCCTCTTCGGATATCTGCAAGGCACTCTCACCTCATCAAGTCCCCACTCCAACATCACCCTGACTACTTACAGTGGCAACATCCTCACTCCTAGCCTGCCCTCCCATCCCTGCTACATCTTTCTTCATATTACTTAGCATCATCTGACATACTTTATATTGTACTTATTTGTTTATCTGTTATTTTCTTCTACTAGATTACAGACTCCATAGGGACAGGGATGTTCATCTGTTTTATCCACTGTGATGTCCATGCAGAATGGTGCCTGGCACACAGTAGACAATAAACATTCGTTGAATGAATGAATAAAATTGCATTCAGTGGTGAATCAATGTGTTTGGCTAAATTAGGGACTCATGCTTACTTTTCATGCCTGATAACACTTCTCACTCACATGTTTGTGGTGATTGAACCAGTGGCTGCCCCAGGAAGCTCTTGTGACAGGACTAGCAGGTGCTAAACCTGTGTCCAGACTTTAGGGATGATTTCAACATCTGAATGTTCTCGTGTGCTGCACACAGCATGCTGGAATACACTCCTGGGCTCGCTGCACAGGGTCAGTCACTGCAGGCACGCTTATGGACTGGTCAGCACAATTCTCTCATATCAGGAACTAAGAAACCCTCAGGAAGACCACCCATCCTGCAGGGAAAACAGAGCTTCAGGGGTCAGGGGGTATGGGTGATTTAGAAGAAAGTCACATGGAACCAGGAAATCAGCCTCTCTCACACACTCTTGGCTGGTCAGGGGAGGGATGTAAGTAAAAATGGAGACTTATTTCACTAAATGATAGACTACCTGCAGACAGGTGTATGACAGAAGAGAGAAGTACCTTCTCAGATACCATACCATGCATCTCTATTTCCTCTACATTCTGCGAGCTGCCAGAGCGAATGGTCTGTGAGCTCAAGAGATACTCTTGGGGTATATTACAAAAACATGCAGGAAGGGCTGCAGGCCTGAGTGGCCAGCCTTGTGCTAGACCTTCTGACACTGGTTTCTGTTGCTAACATGACCTTGCTAGTAGCCAGAGATTGGCTGGGTCTGGAGACATTTGGGCCCCTTTTGGATGGCAGTTCCAGCTCTGATGCTTGCCTGGATACTGTCTTGTGACATCGTCAAGCTGGGGGTTAAGGCTGCCCATGGAGGGGTGATTTCGGGTGTGAGATCAGACGTCACCAAAACAAATGAGCCCAGGCCCATCAGGCATAGTGCATTAGATGAATTCTGAAAAATTCTGAGATGTGGAGAAATCTGATGAAATATGTCATAAGCAGAAAGGGCAAGAAATGTTTCCAAGTTTCATTCACTCTTATGAAGTGACATCTAGAAAGAAAAGGAATCAGATAAAAAGGAAAAAGCAAATTATGATATTAAAAATTCATTCCCATTTAGCAAATTTGCTATTAGCATCACAATTCAGGATATTTTAATAATTCCAGCCTCACAGAGGTAGCATAATTGGATGCTTCAATGATGGGATTTAGGGAACACCAGAAAAATCCCTTCACCAAAATCACTTCTTCAACAGCCTGAGCTCACCCACTACAGCTGGACATGCCAGGTTCTTCCCTGGCTTCTCTTCTAAAATCCACATTCCCCAAGGGGTCAGCTACGGAGACCCAGCTCTTCCTGGTGAGCAGGTGGGGCAGATGAGGGCCCCAAATCCTGAGATGGGGGGGCAAGAGGGAGCATGAGGTGGACAGTCAGGCTCCAGGCTGGCCACCCTGCACCCCGGGGGCTCATCCTCCCTGAGCACTTCTTCACAGCCTGACCAAAAGTGCTCAGGAGGGCAACATGCTCTGTGTTCTTGTCTAAATCATTGAAAACAGAAGAAGTTCACAGGAAAATGACATCCTTCAGCCAGGGAGGTGTCTTGCCAGGTTCCGGTCAGCAAGGGCTGAAGTGTGCCCTGCCCCCAGCAGCTCGGCTTGGCAGCACCAGCCTGTGGTGTGGCTGAGGACCCACCTGCCTCCTTCAGCCAGGCTCCTTGGGAGCATCTGGGACTAGCAAAGGATGCTGCTATTACGTTACCTCAAATATCCACCCTCACACACCAACTGAGAACCAAGCGAGTCCAGAGGAGATAAGCCCTGGTGGAGTCAATAATTCTGAGGCTGCGAGTGCCTCTGCCTTCTACAGCCCAGCTCAGGGAAAGTGAGTTTATTCCCAGGACCACAGATCCACCCAGCCCATGCCCTAGGCTAACCTCCCCGCACTGCAACCAGAGGGACTTCTGAAGTGCTAGGCTGAGCCTCTCTGCTCTCTAGCATAAGAGTCATTAAGAGTTTCCATGAACCTCAAGATAAAGACCCAAATCCTAGCCTGGGGTCACTAGATGCATGAGATGTGAGTCCTGCCCCTGTCTCAGGCCTCCCTCACCACATTCCCTCAAGACCCCTGTGTTTGCTACACGCTCCGCTCCCAAGATGCCCACACTGCTGTAGGACCCATGTCCTTCCCTCCGACAACACACCCTTTTCCGTCGTCAACATAGCAGTAAATCAGCTGAGAGAGAGGGATATTTGACATAAATTGTGGATGTGCCTTTCTGAGCATGAGGTGGCTATCATAAAATACATAGAAACTCCACAGTGTTTTTAATATGAATTGAACTGGTAAAAGTACTGCCAGGCTGGGCTAAAAGAAACTGAGTCTGTTCAAATTGCAAAAGGACCTCTGGATCCTTAATTTTCTATGGCCAGAAAACAGGCTGAGAAAACTACTAAGCTGTCTACATCAACCATGTCTTCAGAAGTAGCCATGGAGTGTGACACAAAGGAAAGCGTGGGCAAGGCCAAGAGCCCGGGGAGTGGAACCAAGAACTGTGGACACACTGGACTGGGGCATCATTTCCAGGGAGTAGAACAGTGGTCTAATCAAGGAATACTTTTCACCCCAGAGTTGGGGGCCCCAGCAACATTTCCACCCTGTGGGATTTCAGAATTATTATGGAGTAGTAACTAACCTGTTTCAAACAGGAGAGTTTATTGCTATTATGCTGTCCCTGTCTCATCAGCACATGCTGAGGGTGTGGGAGACAGATTACTTTGCTCTCTCATTCACTGGGTCTCCAGAACAAAAAGTGCTCCATCTGGATTTTTATGTAGATTTTATAAGATCCTGAATGTTAAGCATTAGGCCAGGATGGGATGAGACTTTGAGGGTCTTCAGAGGGAGTGAGTACATTTTGCGTGTAGAAGGATGTGAATAATTTTGATCAGAAGGCAGACTGGTATACTGGTTGTACAAATGGCTCCAATTCCATATCTACACCTTTTGGGTGTGGCTTCACATCTCTACCCATCAGGACCTGGATTCCATCTCCAGATCCTTTGAATCTGGGCTGACTATGAAATTTCTTTGGCAGATAGAATGAGGAAGAGGTGATGTTGTACCAGTTCCAAGCCTAGGCACATCAAGGCTACTATTCTTTTGCTTTCTTGGTTTCCTGCCTGCTCCATGAAAATAAGCCAATACTAGCCTGCTAAGGGGCGAGACCTTGTGAAAGACAGCCGAGGTGCCCCAGCTGATGGCAGACAGCCTCTGGGAGCAGAGTTCCCTTGATGACAGACAGCTGATAACCCAGGAATGAGACAGCCCCACCAAGACCAGAAAAACTGTCCAGATGAGCCCTGCCTAAATTGTCAAACTGCAAACAATCTATGTAAATGCTTGTCATTTAGGCCGCTCAAGTTTGGTATGGTTTGCTACACAGCACTACATAACAGATACACATGCACCATCTCTTTTAATCTTCACAACAACCAAAGAGATAGATGCTGTTATTATCCTTATTTTGTAGGTAAAACTAAAGGTTAGAGCAAGTTTCATGGGTATATAATGTTACAAATGCTTGTTCCTCAGTGCCATAAAGAAATAGCACTTGAACATAAATTTAATTTCCTCAGCAAGGCCATTTTTACTTTCTGCAGAAAGGGTACACTCGCCAGCAGTTTTGCCACAAGAGTACACCGAACAAAGGAGACAGGGTCATTTATAACCTGATGCATCCACTCTACTGCTGTGTCCGGTTTCCATTGGCTGGAATGGGACCTCACATTCTATATTTGTCCTGATTGGCTAGCAACTTAGAACATTTTAAAAGAGGCAAAGGCAGAGGAAAACAAAGGAAGGAGGAAGTAACTTGTGGAATGCTGAGAAAGGTAAAAACATGTTCAAATAAGGAAGAGGAACAGGCTATGACCTAATGCTTGCTTGGACCAGTATAAGCATGCCAGGGCAAATATTTAGGCTAAATTGTGGGGGCTAAGAACGTAAAGTACATTGATTTCTTTATTATGGCTAGCAGATATTTAAGAATGTTACCACAGGTCTTTGAATAAATTTTGCTTCTAAGAGAAGTTACTATTTATTCCTAATTAGATGGGGAGGAAAGCCTTTGAAGAGGAACCTCTACTTTACTTTTTACACTAAGGTCGTACAACTAGCAATGGCTTTTAGTCAGCAGAGCTGTTTGTTAATATCCTGGTTCTCCTTCCAGGCACTTGGTGAGGTTAAAGTTGAGGAGAGAGTCTTGGGATGTGCTTTGGACGATAAAACTCAAGCGGAAGCAATGTGTATTACTTCCAGGAAAAAGACTATTATGAAATGTATTATTTGCAATGTTTGCTTTCTCTTGCTACTGTACTCAGTGGTGCCGTAGATAGTGATGGCTCCTACAGCCCAGGTCTCTCAGTGTGACTTGGAGCACAGCCCCCAGCCACCTCATGATGGGCATGAAACATGATAGTGAAAAAACCCATTTTTGGTTTAAGCCAGTGCGATTTGGGATGATCACTGCAGCATAGCATAGACCATCCTGACTGATACAGTGGCTGAGTTAGAATTAAACCTCATATCTATCTGGTTCCAAAGCCCATGCTCTTATTCATGAATGTATGAGTGAATAAATGAACTTTGTCCAAAGGACAAGACCAACAGTGCTAACTGAAGTAAAAGAAGGAGAGAGAGAAAAGATTAAAGACAACAAATCAATGCAATTGAGACAGCAGAGGTGAGGGGAACACATTTTCTGTCCAGGGTTCAAAGCATCTATGGAGGTGTCAAGAAAGGAGGTTGTTCCTGCCACAGCTCTCCAGAGCTGTGCTGCAGGGCTGTGAAGAGAGCTGGCTTCTGCTTCTCATCCCAAGAGATTTGGAAGAATCAGCTTGTGAACCCAGGAAATCTGAGACAGATTTCAGTTAATTTAGAAAGTTTATTTTGCCAAGGTTGACTATGCACCCATGACACAGCCTCAGGAAGTCCTGACGACATGTGCCCAAGACGGTCAGGGCACAGCTTAGTTTTATACATTTAGGGAGACATGAGACATCAATCAATATATGTAAGAAGTACACTGGTTCGGTCTGGAAAGGCTGGACAACTTGAAGCAAAGGCAGGAAGGCTGGAGGTGGGGAGGGAGCTTCCAGGTCACAGATGGGTGATACATAAACAGTTACATTCTTTTGAGTTTCTGATGAGACTTTCCAAAGGACACAAATCAGATAGCATCTATCTCAGTGAGCAAAGGAGTGACTTTGAATAGAAAGGAAGGCAGGTTTGCCCTGAGCAGTTTCCAGCTTGAGTTTTCCTTAATGATTTTGGGGGCCCAAGGTATTTTCCTTTCACAAACTGAAAGCAGGCACTACAGGGCTTGCTGTGAGTACAGGTGTGGCACCTCCAGCCCTTCTCCATGATGCAGGAAGCTCAGCAGTCACCAGGGCAGAGCAGCCCCAGCCTGGACCACCCAAAGTCCCTCCCAGGGCAGGGGTGTTCCCTCCTGGCTCTGCTATCCTGGCTGTTGCTCACTGCCGGATATTCCTTCCCTAAAATTAGGTGGAACAGGGTAGCTTGTCAGCACACCTGTCACTCAAACCGCTTCAACTCAAAGGTAACCAAGATTGCCTAATTAACCAGCTCAGATCCCTAATTTGACATCTCACGATGCCTGCCAACCATTGTGGATTCAAATTCAACTCATCTGCTTCTACTTTGAATTCTCCAATTTAAGTGACATTTCCAGATTCCAAACTTTAATTCTATGCAAATCAACACATGCTTATCTAGAGCCTATTATATGCACAGAGCTCTGGCCAGGAAATAAATAAAACATCTTCTCTGCCTCCAGGGACTCACAATCTAGTGAGGGAGAAAGATACAAGTAGAAGAAACCGCAATTCAAAGCAGCATTTGATAGGGGCTGTAATGGAGGGACAAAAGCAACAAAGAAGCCAGGAGGGCAAGACTCAAACTCTCCAAGTTCCTCTAAGTGCCAGAATTAACTTCTCTGTTTTTGTTCTTACTATAATTTTTCACATTGCCATTCTTATTGTTTTTGCCTTAATAATGAGTAGTCTTAGGAACATATTTAAACTTTTGTGATGACCCTGGCAATCACTGAAATGATAATTACAGTGCACGCTGTGATACAGCAACAACAGAGGCCCCCACCATAGCAAAGGTTGGGGGCCTGCACGGGGGCTCCAGGTCACTACGTTGTGAGAGGACTGACAACCCTTCCTCCACCAGCGAAGGGCTCCCCACACTGCTGTCTGTGAATCACTGTTTTTATCCTGCCAACTTAAATCATTCCCAATGATCTGGGTGCTGAAGGCTGTTCTGCCTTTCCACCGAGTAAAATGCATCAGCTGTATGACAACAATTTCCCCCTCTGCGAGATATTTGTTCCCACCTACTACAAAGCTTTTGGCTATCTTCTTAATGGTGGAGGTCACTGCAGTTCTGGCCTTTAGATAAATGGGGATTGTAGGATCATTTCTAATACTACCAGTAACCATGAGGATATACCCTTCACACAAAGTAACCAAAAGAGAAAAAGGATCTTCATGTACTATAATAAATAGGAAAAGCTAACTTTATTAATTTAGATCCCATTAAGATGAAAAGAAACCTTGAGAAATCCCGTAGAGAACGAGACAGGCATACCAAGGAGACTTCCATATGTGTGTGTGTGTGTGTGTGTGTGTCTGTGTGTGTGTGTGTGTGTTAATAAAAACCGAACCGATGCATGAGAGCGACCTTTTTTGGTTCTGCTCCCTGGGGATCATAGTGTATGTCAGAATACCATGCCTGGCACACAGTGGTGCACAATAAATTCAAATTGAATACATCAGTGCAATCACATGAGTTGTGTGGGTAATGAAAGGGGAACGTGCTCATAGGCGTTAGGGTAGGAAATTGAATGTTCTTCTTCACATAAGCTGGTAGATTTCTCATGATAATCACATATTCATTAATTTAGCCAAGAAACCTATTCAATGCACTTGTATTGAGTTCATCCTATGTTTCAGGCGCTAATTTAGGTACTAGGCTCATTGCAGTGAATAAGTGCTCGTGGAGATTGCATTCTAGTGGTGACACACAATGAAGAATCAAACAAACAAACTTAAAAATCAGGTCGTGATTTGTTCTCTAAGAAAATAATCTATAAAACTGTGACCTGATGGTGTTGGGGCAGGGGGGTCCACGGGGGCTCATGAAGGCCTCTCCGAGAAAATGGCATTTAAGTAGAGACCTGAGTGATAAGAAGGCTCTTTCCATTCATGTGACAGGAAAAGCACCAGGGCAGAAGAAACAGCTAGCACAAAGGAGCTCGTGTGAGAAAGAGCTGGGCATGGAAATGGGAACACAGAGTAACTGGAAAAGTGGGAAGTGTGTTTTTAAATTGACATTTTAAAAAAGAGATTTGTTGCCAATATCTCCAAATCGCAATTTGAAGGAGTCAGCAGAAGCCAAAGATTTTTAAACCAGCCATTCTTTGCTACCGATGGCCTAGTGTGGTGGCCAGAAGGCTGTGGGTCTGCACGGCTGGGCCTCTTGTTCCCGTGGCCGTCAGGCAAGCCACTCACCACTCTGCCCCAACACCAGTGCCCACAGGGGTGTTTATGAGGATCCAATGAGAGAATCCGCTGTGTCAACGTTAGTGCTGGTGCCAATGCCTAGCGTGGTGCAGTCCCTGGCAGCAGGCAGGACAGTGCCTGAGTACCTGCTGGACTGGGTCACATGAGGGCTTTCTGCCAAACCAGGCCCCAGGACTTGAGATTTAACCCTTCCTGGCTAGCTTGTAAAATATGTCCTTGTGACCACCCTAAATTGACTGGGATTCACAGTACACAAAAAATGGGGGTTAAAGTGGGAAGAGCCTACTAATTTCACCCGGGCAGATCTTAGAGAACCTCTCAGGGGATTGCAGAAGGGCAGGAAGGAGTCACCATCACTCCTGAGGCTAGCCAGGGGAAGCCTTGGTCTCCGGGCCTGGCAACAAGGCAGAGTCAGCCTAGGAGAGTCTGACAGGCCCTGGGACCAATGGGAATGCTCCAGGGCCCCGCCCTTTGTGACTCTGCCACCTAGACACAGGCCCTCCCCACCCTAGACTCCATGACCAGGTGCCAGGGGGCTGGGAGACCCTCAGACGTATGAATGAATTAGAATGTTTACTTTCTGCTGGAGTAGAGGATTTAAGAGGCGTCGTTAGAGACCACAGCAAAACACAATATGGGGTGGGAGGATTACTTTCTGCACATTATATTTGTTTTCTAAGAAATATCTTATCTTAAGAATTTTTAAAAAGAAGTTTCCAACACTGAAATTAGTATGGAAAAATAAACGAGGTCTACACATTTCTTCTATCTTATAACCCTATGGACTAACACTGCCTCTGGGATTTTTCTGGTTACTTTTCAATCCCTTTCAGATAGATGGAGAAAACTCATAACAATACCTTTTGTTAAGAACACTTTAAATTCCAAGTGTTCTTCATTCTCTTAAAGTGATCCTGTTTCTAATAGGGCTTTTTACTAATTAGTTTCTTCTTTCAAAATTTCAGTTCTCCAAAAATCCTTTGAAATGTAGCTGTTCTCCTTGCATTTTTCTTTTTCTTAGAATAGCCTTCTTCTCAGCCTTAGAAAGAGTTTGATAATAACCAATTTGGAGCTTAAAAGCAAAAAACATTAGTGCTAACATTGCCAATTTTCTATTACATGAAGATGTAAGAACACCATGAGGTTTTGCTTTTCACTAAATCTACAGGCTCAGATATTTAAAAGATAGATTGCTCTTTTGGCCTTCTTAGAATAAAACTGAGTCAATTTTGTGTCAGCCTGAAAATTAAATTGTGAATATTGTTATAATGGAAATTTCTTATATTTGCAGACCAGTCCCTTCATCAGAAACTGGGAAAAAATGTATATTTCTTTACTTCTCTTGTCTAATTCTGTATTCTGTTGAGTCTTTTGATGTTAATAGTTTAAATTACTCTGAGTACTTTTCCACCACGAGGGTTTTAATCCTGCTTTCAAACATCTATAGATATAATGATGTGCTTCCCCAAATGCCATAAGAAATTTTATGAACTCTTTTAAGAACCCTTCCCCGGAGAAGATGCATGTAATAGACGAAAATGTCATGTTTCATTAGTACATTCGTGCTCACACAAATTTAGTCTTTGGAAAAGATAGTGCTTGTAAAACTGAAACCAAAATTGACAAATTGTGCCTCTGCCTCTGTTTAAAGGCTGAAATCCTCAAATACAGGATCGTTCACACACACGTCAACCTGAATCCATAAAACATTTACTTTCCCCTGGAATGAAAATTCTTCTGCTAAGACTCTTTTCCTGAGAGGCAAATCTAGAGGGCCCGAGTCCTGGGCCCTGGAGGTCATTTAGCTGGATTCCATGGGATCTGGGCAGCTTTATCCATGGTTTAGCCCCTGCATGGATGTGGATATGGAATTGGGAATGCCTTATACTCTCATTGTCCATGCAACAGCACATTAAGGACTTCTGAGGTCTCTACTGCACTTTGCCTCCAGCTATGAAACCAGAAATGCTTTGTGCAGAAAGACCATTAAGTTAAGAAGCAAAGTCGATTCCATCCACAGGAGATACTAACGGAAGGATAGTAAAAATGTATCCTGCAAGTGAATAGACTTAATTTCTGATCCTAAGAAAATAGTCTCTCCAAGCTTTAAGCAGCCTAGAAAGAAAATACGACATGAAGAGTCTAGCAGAGCATTCAGATCTGTAACTTTGGACTCAGTAGATAATTTAAATCTGGAATCTGCCGTTAATAACTCAGGGACTTTCGTCAAGTTGCTTAACATTTCTGAGTCTTAATGTCCTCAAGCAAAGGATTAAATAAGATGCTGTGTTTATTCATTTATTTATGGACAAATAACTACCAAAAATACTACAAGGGCCAGGAATTATTCTAGGTGCTGAGAAGAATGCAATAAACAAGCCAATAAGGTTCCCACTCTCATGGAGCTCACATTTTTTAAATCATTTTTTAATTGACAAAATTGCATATATTTATCAAGTGCAACATGATGTTTTGAAATACATGTATGTTGTGGAATGGCTAAATTGGGCTAATTAACATATGCATTATACCTCACAGAATTATCATTTTTGTTCTGAGAACACTTAAAATCTACTCTCTTAGCATTTTTCAAGAATATAATATATTGTTATTAACTACAGTCACCATGTTGTGTGTGGAGCCCACATCTTAATGCAAGGAGACAGATAATAAACCAATACATGTAGATGATGTTGGGTGGTGATAAGTACTAGGCAGAAACATTTTAAGAGCACTATTCTTGCTGTGGTTGAGAACAAACTCTAGGGAGACAGAAAGAGAGACCAGTTAGAGGGCTGTTGTAATAAATAATTCAAGCAAAAGGTAATGACAGCTCAGACTTGGGGAGTGGCAGTAAAACAGTGAAAGCTAGGCAGATTCTGGAATTACTTTGATGGTGAAGATGATGGAATTTGCTGACAGCTTGGAGGTGGAGTATAATAAAAGCAAGCCAACAAGGGTAATCCCAAGATTTTAGATCCAAGGAGCCATTGGATCAATGTTGGTAGCATTAACCGAGATGGGGAAGCCTGGGAGAGGGGCAGGTCTGTGTTTGAGCGTGTGTGTGTGTGTGTGTAGGAGGAAATCAAGAGTCCAGTTTTGGACATGCTCATTTTGAGATGCCACTGAGGCATACAAGTGGAGCTGTTGAATATGGAAGTGAATGTATGAGTTTGGACTTCAGGGAGAGAAGTCGGGGATGGAGTTACAAATATGAGAATCATTGCCGTCTAGCTGGTATTTAAACCCCTGAGACTAGATAAGATTACCTAGGGAAGGGAGTGCAGATCTAGGAGAAAACAGAGCCCAGGATTAAGGCCTGGAGAAGTCAGTATTTTGAGGCTGGGAAGAAGAGCAGGAGCCAGCAAAGGAGGCTGAGAGAAGTGGGAGGGTGGGCGTGGCAGGATACGGACAGAGAATCCTTCTGCATCATCACGTTGTTCCACACCACATTGCTGTCGATCAGGGATCTCATTTCACAGCAAAAGAGGTATAAAAATCTGCTCAGCAACATAGCAAGGCTATATCACTGGATCATGAGCAGGGAAGACACAGACAGAACCTGGAGGAATCTGTGTGCAGGCTTCCCTATGCCCTCTCCCTCTCAGGAGAGGACACACAGAGCTCACTCTTCCCTCAGCAACATGCATGCAACATTTCTGCCCAGGGAAGCTCATTAGAGCCCAAGGTTTTAATCATAGGCTGGTCACACAAGCACCCTCTGCCTAGCATGTACCCAAATTCCAGACTCCCAGGAGGAAAGCAGATGTTCAGCATAAACCACATTCTCGGTACAGTTTAGGCACAGTGAGCCACCCTTATCATTTAGGGACCAGCCAAGTTCCCAGACACTGGCCAAGCACAGCCTTGAAAGAAACCTTTCTGTGGGTAGCAGTCTCAAGCCTGCCATGCTAACTCCTTTTTGCACAGTGGGGATCGTGCTCCCTCAAGCATCTGAGGACTCAGTGCTGGTCTTGGACCATTTCCTAGGAACCTGGGTACCCAAACTCCTGAAAGGCCTCAGAAGGTGTGCCCATCACTTCGGGGAAGCCAAGAAGGGACCTTCTTGGCATGGACTCAGAGAGCTGGAAAGTAGTTGGATTCATTCTAGGCCTCACCTGGGAATTCCTGAAAGTAAACTCTGACAGTGCCTGCAAACAGGCCACAGCCAGTCATCTATTTGCAGAACAGGCTGTCTGCTCATGTCCTGAGCATGTGGGAGCTTCCCTTCTCCATAGGAGGTCTCTGCACATGGCCTCCTGCTTGTTCCTTAGTCTTCTGACCTCATCCTATCCCAGGCCTACCCAGATCTCAGGCTGCATTTTCCTGGACTATGGCAATAGCCCCTTATCTCTACCCCTGGCACTATACCTCCCTTTCCCTCCAACCAGGTAGCTTCCTGTCACTACTCTCCCAAGAAGTCCACCCCATACTACCCACAAACAGATAGGATGCACATGTGGCCATGGATAAGACTGTACTAGAACTCAGAAAAGTCAAGATGGTGAGAGGAGCTAGGATGTCAGAGCGATGGGCAGGTGTCTTCTTTTATTTTGTTTCTGTAAATCATAAAACCTGATCATGTCAAACAACCTCTGCTGGCTCCCCAAAGTCTACATACTAAAGCCCACATTGCATTCCACAGCATGGCATGGTCTTCCATGCCTTCTCACTCACTCATTAATTCATACTTTCATTCATTTGCTTGTATGTTCATTCATTTATTCAACACTACTGAGACCTACTATGAGGCCCTGTGCTGAATTCTGGAAATACACAAACAGCACACCATCCTCCGCACTCTATAGCATGCGGCTAAGAGAGGGGGCACACCTATGATCCAAGGATTTCCACCAGACGTGTAGCACCTGAGCCAGCTCCAAACACAGGATCCTTTCCAAGGTGGTGGGCCCTGCCCTTCCAGCCCACTCTCATACCCCCTCCTTCTGTGGGATCCACATGACCGAAAGTAAGCACTCCCTCTCCAGGGTTCCACAATACAAGGCCTCCACTTCTTAGAGGATTACTGAATTTTACCCTCTGATCTCCTCTTCTTGATGATCTCATAGAGGACAAGAAACAGCCCATGTTCATTATTGCAGAAGAACTTGCCTCCCAATGTGTCCTCAATACACACCTGCCAAATGAAAACTCCTTGTCAGCCCCATGAGACAAGGCTCTTCCTTATAGGCACCCTGTCCCCACCTTTTGGCAGAGGGGAGGGGTAGACACGAAAGCCCTGCAGTTATCTGGTTACAGCAGAATGAATACTGACTGACCTCACAACAGCTGCCATCTGCAAGGACTTAGAGCATTGGGGATTCCATGTTAATGACTTCACGTGTGTTCATTCTTGTTACAGGTGAGGAAATTGGAGCTCAGAGAGGGGAATGCCTTGCTCTAGGTGATGCAGCTCATCATGGGCACAGTCAGAACTGAACCCAGACCTGTGGGATTCTGGGGCCAGAGTCCTTCTCCATCATGTGCAGTGGCCTCTCTACTCAGGCCTGGATGTCTGAAGGCTGGACAGAGCAGAGGCAGCCAGGGCAGCTGAGGTGTGCATGGCACAGGGCTTGTTCTAACGAGTGTGCAGTGAGCAGTGCAGCACCAATCTCCTGGAGGCGGACAGGCAGGCAGGTGGGCAGGCAAAAGCCCCAGGCTTGGCCTCCTGCTTCGTTTCCAGATCCTCAGTTGTCCAGGGAGGGCAGACCCCGGGCAGTCCTTGGCAAGCGGTCATTCACTCCCTTCTTTCTCTGAGCTCCCCCTAAATAATGTGAGGCCTGGGCCAGAAGCGGTGAGTGAGGCAGGGCAGACCTCTGCCACACGGGCATATGCGCTCCTGCCTCAGGGGGATTGGAGGGGACTGCAACAGCCCTTCTTCACTCCAACAGAACTGAATCAGATGTTTCCCATCTGGAGCTACCAGACGGACTTGGCTGCGGCCCCCATGGAGTCTGTGATCCAGTCCTAGATACGTTAATATATTCTAAAGCCAAAATGTAAGAGTGATTTACTCATTGAAAAATCAAAGGGGAGAATGTCTGATCATCCTCTCACTGAGGAAAAAGAAAAAAAAAACTTGACAATTGTCATTGATAATGTGATGTACTTGACTTGCATGTTTCTGGGGCTCATTATTACAAAATGTGATTTTAGAAATGCTGCTAATCAGGAGGAATTGGACCCCCCATGAGAGAAGCAAGGCTGGGAACATTCCAGCTGGTGGAAGCTCTGTGTGATGGGAAAGTAGAAATGACCCATCATCAGAGCAGGGTGGGCCTGGTCTCTGAAGGACCCAGCATTCCAGACTCGTCCTTGGGTCCCTCTTGTATAGAAGAGACTGCTGAGAGCCACCCTTTGGCCCCAGCCTACCCTAAAATCCACCTCTAAATGAGACCCGGAGGATGCAACCACCAAGCCACACTCAGGAAATGAGCTCCTGGCATGGAGAAAGTGGGCTGTTGCTGGTGGTTCCACAGTGGTTTCGTTCCATTGCAGAGATTCCCCAGGCCTGCTTGCAGAGGGTAGGCTGGGCAAGTGAGGCTCTCAGTGCTTTGTGATACAGTAAGAGGAACCCCAGTGTGGCACCCACCCTCTTGGCCCAACTGACATCCTCTGCACAAGGATAGCCCCACCCACAGTCTCTGTCTGGAAGGGAGGAAATGCAGCAGCTCAGACCCTATTCAGACATGACATCCATCAGAGTGGAACTAAGGGGCTCTCTGAAGCAGAGAAAACTTGCCAGGGGCAGAAGTGTGAGTTCAGCCTCCCAGGTAATGTCAGAAGCACTTCCTTACTCTCATTCCCAATCCCCCTAGTCTGTCCCAGATCATAGCACCCATCTCACTGCATTGTTATTTTCTCCTGTTTTACTCCTCGAACGCAGGGACTGCCTTGAATTCATGCTACCTAGAATAGCATAAAGCCCCCATGTGTAACCCAGTGGGTATGGAAAGGACTTACTTGCTAAACTCCAATGCTGGCAATATGCACAGCTATCTACTACAGGAAAAGTCTTTAAGGAAATGATGCCGCCCCTTTCCAGGCACCTGGATGATGACACATAGCAAGGGGCTGCCCTGGAGACAGAGCTTCTGAGAACAACCCAATTTGTGCACCATTTGTCACTGCAGCCATGTGACTGGGAGTCCTGAATGGCTATGGCCACAGAGCAGCCTGAAATGCTCACACATTCCACCCAGCTGAAAGGAAAGGAGGGCTGGTGGGTGGGGTGGCCTCCTGCAGAAAGAGGATGCGGGGTACAAACTCCTACGGCAGTCTTGATGTTCAGGTTGAGAGGCTGCGTCATAGCCTCCCTTCCTTAGGATCCATGTGTTGATGCTGAGGCCTGTGTTGGGGCAGTGACCCCAGAGAAAACTACCAAGTTCTCCATTGTAGCAGAGTAAGGCTTGTGTACAGTTACCCCGCAAGATTTGCTTTGGACACCACTGAGCCATCTTGGTGGGAAACCCAAGTGACTAATATCAAGATATCTTTGGAAGAAATATTTATTTAGCCTTTGGGATGTGGTTGAAGCCTTTGCACATCACAGAGAAGCAGAAAAAGAGATTTGACATGGTCCATATTTTCCCGAGTATTTTCTAGGTGTGTCTGCCAAGGGGTGTTGAAGCACAAGGTGCAGATCGGCAAGGTTTGCATATTTTGAGACCAGCTACAGGCAGAGGGAAACCCTAATGAGAAAAGATGAATATTATGTTTGGTATGCAGGGAGGGCACCAGTGGACAGTTACATCTGCCATCCCCTAAATTAGAGCTATTTGTCCTCATAGAATTAATTGCAGAAATAAATAAAATTTATCTTCAATGTTTGGCATGCTATCTTAAAAATTAGAATTCATGAGCTCACATTTTCAATAACTCACATAATAAATATAGACAAACGGATGTTTTAATGCAAATTTAATACACAGTAGTTAAATTAATGATTTTTCTCCACTCGTTTTTAATTGAGAAAAAAATCCTCAGAGCCACACCATATAAATCAAACTTGCCAAGCATGTTTGCGTGATAGAGAAGTCGGCACGTTCACAGGCCATGCATCAAGATCCGATTTGTTTAAAATAAATGGCTCCTGTTTCCAGCTCCAAACGCAGCATCATGCTAATACATATTCCTAACTGGCCATTTATTTCCTTTTTCCCCCTCTCTTCTCAGTTTTATATTTTCTGGATTGAAAACATAACCAAGGACGTTGATTCCCAGAGGCCACGTGGGTCAGGAATGCTGTGTTCGGTAGGATTAAAGAGGTGATGAAGCTTCTCCCACCACCTCAAATGCAGAAAGGCAAGGCACCTGCTTCAGAACTGGACTTGGGCTGCTGGATGGTGCCGCAGGAGCCCTCCCTGCTGGGGCGAAGGTGGGTGCGGGCACAAGGAGATGGTGAAGGACGGGACCCTGGACGTGGGCTCTGCTAATTGCTGCTGCGTGTAGCTCATCTTGCCTCATCCGCAGTGATTGCCTCTTGATTTCATGCTAGATGGCTATACTGCTATCAGGAGCCTCTTGGTGAGTTTGTGGACCATACCAAAAAGGCATTTTTATCACCGACTTAATGCCCCATGGCTGACAGGGAACAGGCGAGAGAGAGAAGTGATGCTACTGCTCGGGCATTAAAGGGATCATTAAGCTCTGCGTTCGGAAAGGTCTTGTTTTCAGTTAGATGTCAAGCTCAGGGCTGAAAGTGACGGGTAAGCAAAAGATAGCAGGCGGGGATGCTCACCTTGTCTGGGCAGCTTCTGCCCTGCACCCTCACCTTCCTCTGTCCTCCCCGACCCTCGCAGGTCAATGGCTGGGGAGGGAGGGTGCAGAGGGGAGAGCACCCGTGAGACTCCAGCCTAAGTCCACTTATTGGTTGCATGCCTCTAGGCAAGTGATTCAGCCTGGACTCCCTCCCAGTACTTGTTGCTTCTCTCTCTCCTGAACCTCCCAAGCGCAGAAAGGCAGCTACTGGCACTGACCTTCTCCCTTATCCCAGGCCACTTCTGCAACCAAGACTTCACAGTTTTCTCCCTCAAGTACCCATTGAGGCCTTTCTTTAATGCTTGGCAGACAGAGTTCCATACAGATTCTCTGTCAAACCTAATCCCTGGTCTTTCTGCCTTCGAGTATCCAGGGACTCATCATTGAGATATAGAGTTTGTGGAACATAAGCATTCAACCAGGGGACTCGAAGCATTTCAAGAAATGGGAAATTGTCCTCATGGTACAATTAACTGGTGCATGGATATCACCCACGGTGATGGCAGTCTGGAGAGATGGCTCCATGTAAGGAAGAAATCAAGCATAATTGAGGGCTGCATAAATTACGGATGACCTGGGGCAGCTGTAAATAATGAACATCCCCAAATAATTATTCATTGTTTTATTAGGCATCCTGCTTCTTTCCAAAGAGAAGCTCCAGGGATTGAGATGTATTTGTGACAAGATTTAAATAGCAGACATGCTTCACTTTAGTCTACACCCAGAGGACCTGCTCCAAACAGCCTATAAATTCTTCTCTAGCAAATGGTTGGTAGCATCGAACTCTAGACTAAGTGAACAGGGCCTGTCCAGCCTTGGCAGGGTCAGCCAATCAGTGGCAACAGAAACACACAGTTCTAATTTTCAAAGGGCATGGGCAGCATCTCCTCTGGTGCAAAGGACTTTCAGGAGCCTGCCCCTGGGGCTCAGCATCTCTCCTGGGATGGGGCCCATCCACTCTTTTGGATGGTCATTGGATTTCTTTTGCTAGAAATCTGTCTTTGAGATGACAAACCCTTCCCCATTCGATTCAAGGTTTGTGCGCTTTGAATATGGCTCCTCGGAAGAAACATGACAGCTGACATTGAGGCACGGTCCTTGGCCAGCTGCGTTGGGAAAGGGAAGCTAAAATGGTCCAAAGAGAAAATCTCCGTCCATATAGCAGTGACCATCAAGAGCCTAGCACACGCTGTGTCTACAGAGAGGAAAACACCCAGATGTGCAGAATGTAGTGATGAAACAAGAGATATGTGTGTGCTTGGAGACAGTGAAGTGCTGCATTCATGTGAGGGATGCTCACCCCTGTGGCTGCCAGAACACTCCTGCTGCTTTCTAGCACCTCCGCAGGCCCCACCCAGGAGGGAACTGCCTCACCCCTCTCAGTGGGATTCTTGAGCCCTCTTGGGCACCCACAACATGATAGTCCTGGAAGGCTGGGACAACTAGCCAGGCATGAGCCAGAGGGTATGGGCTTATGGCCAGTGCTGGCAGGAGGCAGGCAGGCCCCAATTCTCTGGGGACAGATGCCTGTGAAATCAGTCCCAATGCCTCCACTGGCAACTGCCTTAAAATCGCACACCCTCACTGTGTCCCAGCCGTGTCCCTGAGGCTTATCAGCTCTGACATACTCCCGATTCATTTATTTTTCTTATTCGCCACACAATCTCTTCTAGAGGGGCATCATTTCCCTGGCAAGTGGCACGGTTGTCAGATCACCTGATTAAGAGGTCTGCATTCATTACTGTGAAACTGCCCAGCCCTGCATCTATGAGGCGCCCACAGGACAGCACAGGGGACTCTGTTCTGGGATTTTTGTTTTCTCCCCTGATGTCAAATAAAAATTATAATTATGAGCATCCTACATGTCTTCTATGACAAAGCTGTCATCCCTCTGGCCCTTACTGGCCTTGGGAAAATAATCTGTGTAAAAGTGAACAGCCCAGACCCCAGAGTCAGACTGCCTGCTTTCAGACTCTGTTCCTCTACTCACTAGCTCTGCACCTTAAGCAGTGTCATCAAACTCTCCTCAGTTCTTCCATCTGTAAAATGGGGATGAGAGAAATGCCCACCTCAGAGAGTGGCCAGTAGGGTCACATGAGGTAGTGTTACATGAGGTAGTGTTATAAGGTAATATTATAAAATGCTCACATTGTGTCTGGCACATGGTCAGTGCTTTATAAGAGTTACACGAATCAGTCAGGCCCATCCTTTGGATAGTTCATTTTATTCAGTGTCAGAATTAATTGTGTTTATTGGATGTGGCTCAGAAGCCACCCCATTAACACAGCATGGATAACTGACGTGTATGCCCATGTCTGTGCAGAAGCTTCCCCTTATCCACACACGTTCTGTCAATACCTGCAGGCCAGGTGGGATAGGCAGCAGAGGTATTATCATCCCCATTTCACATACAAAGGGACTTCAGGTCAGGGGATAAGGGAAATGACTTATTCAGAGTTACAAGGATAGAATAAAACCAGGATCACTTGACTCATGTGTTACTTTCATTGATGTTTACTCTGATCTGTGCATCAGGAATTAAGGTGTAGGCAACCCAGGCTGCCAGAGGGGAAGACTCCGGAGAACTGACCTCTGCAGAAACACATTTTGCAATGGAAGTAAGATTGTGTGGGGAGCAGCCAGGCATGGAAGACTGGTCCGTCTGGACAGTGGTTGGTGGGAAGAAGCAAAGGCTTAGTCTTGGAGGGTGAGATGTTCCCCGGGTGAAGGAGGCGGGAAGGGCACTGCAAGTGTGCACACAACAAAACATACACAGGCACCAGAGTAGGAAACAGTGGCATGCCTGGGAGCCACAGGTTGCACAGTGGGACGAGCCTGTGGCCCAGGGCAAGTGTCGGGGGAACTGGGACTGAGGACCCCACATGTCACAACTCAAGGAGTGTGGACTCGATCCTGTGGTCAGCAGGGAGCCACTGAGAGGCTAAATAGGGGGGGCATGGGTTGTATGGTAGGATCTGCGTGATAGAAATACTAAGAAAAGTGATTGTGTGGACTGGACTGGGGAGGAGGGCAGTGAGCCCAGCGGCAGGGAGGCCAGGTTGGAGCCTTATGTCTTTTAATTCAACCAGCCCCTCTTATCTGCCAAACACTCTGTGGCGTGAGGCTAAGTGGTAAGCAAAACAAAGCCGCAGCCCTCTTGGAGTTTACCTTTCAATCCCGCAAGAGGTGATAAGCTCCTCAGCCCGGGTAGTGATATTCCAACACAGAGAGGAGGAGAGAGATCTGAGGAACACCCAGGGGGGCTTTACAGGGCGTCAGTTAAAACTCATTGCACACTGGAAGGGCTTTGGAAAGCCTTCCATTCTTCCTACTCACTAAGGAATGCCTCCAAATTCAAACATGTTTTGGGTTGCCAAAACCAGAAGGTGGTTTGTTTAGGCACGTTCCTTATTCTCCAAATGCATACATTCAACTTTCAAATTAAGAATTATAATTGATGATCTAGATGTGGCTGCTATGAATAGAGATCCAAAATAGTAGTAGCCTAAATAAGAGAGACGTCTATTTCTCTCTTGCACCACAACTTGGGCACCATCAGTGCAGGCTGGCGCCATGGCTATTGCACACAGTGTCAGGAGCCCAGACTCCTTCAATCTGCCTGCTGCTCCCATCCCCAGGGAAGCTGCCTCCTCCCCAGGTCCCAGATGGCTCACCCCCACTATGTTTGCATTCCTGACAAAATGGGAAGGAAAAAGGGGGAAATAGAAGGCAGACCCTTTAAAGGAACCACCTGGAAATAGCTCACATCACTGTGCTCAGCTTGGCCGGAACTCAGTTAACTGGCTAAACCTAGCTATCAGGAAGGCTAGGAAATGTAGCCAACTAAAAATTGGTGGTTCTAGGCCGGGCACAGGGGCTCACGCCTGTAATCCCAGCACTTTGAGAGGTCGAGGCAGGCGGATCACTTGAGGTTAGGAGTTTGAGACCAGCCTGGCCAATACAGTAAAACCCCGTCTCTACTAAAAAATACAAAAAAAATTAGCCAGGCGTGGTGAAGTATGCCTGTAGTCCCAGCTACTCAGGAGGCTGAGGCAGGAGAATTGCTTGAACCCAGGAAGCGGAGGTTGTAGTGATCCGAGATCACACCATGGCACTCCAGCCTGGGTGACAGAACGAGACTCCGTCTCAAAAAAAACAAAAGCAAGCAACAACAACAACAAATGGTGGTTCTAGAGAACGAGAAGAGAATAGATGTTAGGAGACAACCAGTTCTCTCTGGCATAAAAAGTTTTGGTGCTTTGTCATTGACTTGAAAATGCTTTATGACTCAGCCTCGAAACAGTCCTTGTCCTCCACTGTTCTCAACCCAGTCATTCTGAGGACAGAACAGAGATTCTGTAGACAGAGCTCACACAGAAGATAACTGAATTTAGCCTCCAAGGGAGATAAATAGGTCTCGCTCAGGACTCATTTTTTTCTAAAGTCAATGATTCTGACTTCCTCAGTAAACATGTGACTGATGGGAAATATGACAGGGCCCACAGTTCTGATGACCTGCAAGGTGGAAACTTGTGCTTAGCTGCTGACTGTCCCGGACTTTCTGTTTTGTCCCTACCACGGGGCCAGGGATGTCATCTGCTGGAGCCCCACGCCAGGCGAACTAAATTTCAGAGCCTGGAGAAACAAAGTCCTGTAGCCTCCTCACACGACTTGGTCCTTTAGCTCCTGGGTGTGGGTGGCAGCCGCTCACTCAGGGTGACAGGAGTCCTTGCTGCAGGCAGAGCGTCGCTAAGACTCTGGTGTCATTGCTTGGGTCCCCAAGCAGGGCCCTGCAGCCAGCCCCTTGCCATCTGCCCTCCCCGTGGTCCTCAGTGTTTTCCCCTGCTCCATATCCTACTTTTCTAACCCCTCCACCCAGTCTCTCCACAGTGGCCCGGTTGGCCAGCCAGTTTCTTCCTTCCCACCTCTTCAATCTGCCCTTGCCTTAGTTCCACAACAATCTCCTCAGGGCTCATCTTGGACCACTCCCTTCCCTTGTCCAGATAACTCCCAGCTAACCACACCTGGGGCATGGTACCCTACTTCTGAGGCAGGAGGTCCTCGTCAACAGCACAACTGAACCCCAAACTCGAGAGCAATTATATAAGTTTAGAAAACATTGCTTGAGGCAATCTACAGTGCCAAGCAGCTACTTCAAATTCAGTAAGCCTTTTAAATACATTTGCATTTTTTTCCCACAATAGCCTCAATGTATTCAGGTACAGTAGTGGGTATATGTGTGAGAAAGATTATTTATTTGGTCTACAGATAGTTGCGTATGCTATGCTGGGCACAGGGATGGGAAGATCTCCTGCACAATCTCTGAGCCACTCAAGGAACCACAGTACCCTGAATAAAGAGAAAACTCTTTCCTTTGGGGATCCAGGTTCCTGTCCTTTTGACCCTGCCCTACTTTTTCAAGCTTATTGTTTCTTATTCCCCAAAATTCAACCCACAAACACAATCAGACTAGTGGTCTCAGCACTCTAAGTGCCCCAATAAAACTTCTCCACCAGGCCAGGCACGGTGGCTCACGCCTGTAATCCCAGCACTTTGGAAGGATAGGCGGGTGGATCACCTGAGGTCAGGTGTTCGAGACCAGCCTGACCAACATGGTGAAACCCCGTTTCTACTAAAAATACACAAATTAGCCAGGTGTAATAGCAGACACCTGTAATCCCAGCCACTCCGGAGGCTGAGGCAGGAGAATTGCTCGAACCCCGGAGGCAGAGTTTGCAGTGAGCCCAGATCACACCATTGTACTCCAGCCTGGGCAACAAGAGCAAAACTCCATTTCAAAACACACAAACAAACAAACAAACAAACAAACAAAAACTTCCCCTGACCTCCCCACCGGAACTTCCCTTCCACAAATCAACTCATCCTCATCTCCATACCTGTGCCCTGCTGGGAACATGCCTATCTCCTCTCTGTCACCTAAAATGACCCCCTCCTCCCATTATTCCATTAATAAGATCAGACATAGATCTAGTCCCCACCTCCAAAAGGGCTATCTGCCTGCCCAGCCTTCTCTGGATCCTATCTCATATCCAGAAAGGACTCCGTAGTTAGGACAAGAAAGAGAACCAAGGTGGAATTATGCCATGCTTGCTGACTTTGTCTTGCAAGCAAAATGCCACTTTCCTTAAATGAAGAATCATGACATATATCTGCTGCACCTCAAATATGCTTGGCATAAGAGATCAATAAATACCTAATGGCAGATTATAGTTATTGAAAACCTAGCAGTTGATCACAGTTCTTAGAGAAGGAATAAACCATTTTCAATTCCTGCCTGCATGCATATAGGACCCCATGTAGGGACTATCAAGCATCTGGGTGAATGATAAATTCCACTGATGCTCCAGATGTTTCTAAATATAAAGATGCAGGGCAAACACGCAGGGGATGAACTGAATTTCTGACTTTTGATGTGAACGTTTTGTGGCTATGCATATACAACCTAAAATCTTTTTTGTAAACCTTTGCCTATAGAGACAGTGACTTGCACATCCTCTGTCCAGCCATCTCCAAATTCAAAACTTCATATTTGCTTCTTCTAATAATTTTCCTCTGCCCACCTACCTGCTGCTCCGTTAACATGGGATGACTCAGAAAGAACAAGCCCTCCTTTGCTGTCACGTTTCCTCCACCCTGGCAGGGGCATCTCAGGATTTATGCTGTCTCCCAGAGAGCTCCATAAAAGATGAGCTAACTAGCGGGGAGAACTTTGGGAATCAGGGAAGCTCTGAGCTCGCAATCATAATCCTGCCATGCTTTGGATCCGAGGACACTGAATTAAACCTTTCTTCCCCTTTACCACATCGGTTTTTCAGGATGTCTCTGAAAAATCAATTTGGAAAGGCGTTTTGGGGAGAAAACAAATAAAATTTTGTTACTGAATTTTATTTAGAGAAAAATGCAGTACTTTTCTATAAAAATACAATTTGATTATATTACAATTTCATCCCTAATATGTGTTTCCTATGCCAAAGCATTCTTTAATGGATCAGAAATACATAATTGCCAGCCATATACTCTGTTGCAGCCTCCAGAAACAATGTATCTCTAATGTCTTCTCTCCAGGGTCTGTATTCTTGGCAACACTCGGCCCAGACTCCCACCAGATGGATGCCCCACCCAGCTGGCAATGTCCTGCCAGCCAGCCCATTATGATTACAGAGGTGGCTCTGACCCACATCTAAATTCTGAGCTGCCCAGAGCTGAGGGATCATTAACTTGAAGGCGTGGACCTCCCACATCATTTCCCTATTTATTTCTGAATTCCTTGCTTCTATCCCAAGAAGGGTTCGAGGCTGAGTCACCACTGAACTCTCCTTTGGTCCAAGTCTCACACTGAACCCCGCTCTTATTCATCCCTGTAGGACTGAATGCTCAAGACTGGGGTGAATGGAGGGAGGGTTACCTGGCCTCCACACTGACTCACTCAACAAGCAGAGAAATGGCACACAAGAGGTGCTCTGTAAATAGTGTCAACAGGAAGCCACAGCCTGCACAGGGATAAGGGTCCATGTGAACTGTCCCAGAAGACAAACCCTCTTAAGTAGCTGAGAACATCTCAGTGACGGCAGGGGATGGGACACAGCCACCTGGAGCTGTATCTTCACCACTCACTGGTTTACTGAACACCTACCATGTGCAACCTATTATATACAAATTAATAGCACACTACACTATAGATAAAACAGATGTGTGCTTGGTCTCATAGAATTTACAGTCCAGAGGGGGAAAACAAATACTGATCAAGCATCTATAGTAAAATGCAATGGAGAATTACAGCAAGGAGCTGGAAAGAGAGGTGCAGCAGGAGTGATGGGAAGCTGCCCTGAAGAGGTGTTTTAAACTGAGAATGGAAGGAAGGGTAGGAGTCTGCCAGATGGATAAGAGGGCAGAGTCCTATTGGCAGGAAGTGTTATGGGGAGAGTAAGTGGTTTGTGCAAAGACTCTGAGGACAGCATGAGTAGGGCACATTCACGCCCCCAAGATGAGCCAAGTGCCTGGAGTGGACGAAACAGAGGCCACAAGGATCTTGGAGGAGGTTGGAGCCTTAGCGTGGGTTTCATCATTTGGTTACGGGGAACCACTGGGGGTTTGAGCAGGGGTGTGATGTGATCAGATCTCTCCCTCACGAAGATCCCTCTGGCTGTGAAGCATGGCATAGTGGCTGTTGTTAAGTAAGGTAAGACACAGTAAGAAAGGGCAGTGGCCTGGGCTTGTACAAGAAGAGCTAGATTCAGTTCCTGGAGGCACAGCTTGCAAAGCACAGAAATTGACACGGAGAACCCCTTGAATAGAGTGTTGGTGGAAGAGGCTGGGCTGTGGGGGCTCTGCCCTCTCCAGCAAAGGTACAAATTCCATGTTCTCTGAGATGAGATCCTTACCTGTCTGGCCACAGGAGATGTGAGAGGAAGAAGTGGTGTCTTCCAAGAGTGAGCAGAGAACAGGTCAGACTCCCTCTCACTTCCTGCTGCTCCCTTGACTTGGGGTTCCAACCTCCCCATCCTGCTTATTATCCAATGACTTCCTACTCAACCTTCACAGCCCAACCAAATATCACTTCCTCAGGGGGCCTGCTCTGACCTCTCCCATTAGGTCAGGTCCACTGCCATCTGCCTCTGCTGCACTGTGTACCTTGCACCACTGCTCACATCACAGCTGCGATGTTATGCTTCTTAATAAGAATATTTGAGCCACATATATCTCACCCTTATGTGGGTGCTCCATGATGGCAGAACTACAACAGTGCCTGGCACAGAGTAGGTGCTCAATAAATGCTTTTTGAATGAGTATGAACTAAACACAGCCACATACTGAGGAAGTTCTCTCACTCCTGGCTCACCCTTCTGGGTGGACAGGGTCTTGACAGGGCCATTGCCTCTGCTTTGCTGATCCAGCCCCACTGAAAAGCATATAGCTAGCAGAATCCAAACTTTACACTGACTCTCTCATAAACATTTAAAAATAAGAAAACTTTTAAAGATGGGCCATTCTGGAGCTGAAACAACATCCTCTCATAATTAGAAGATTAGGGAGCCTTTTATGGGAACAGAACTATAATCATCACACTTTATTACAAGAAATTATATACAAATTATACAATTATGAAAAATTTTTTGCATCCTCCCAAATTACAATACCCTATGCATCTCCTGAGGAAAATTGTACTCTGTTCCCACCCAGAGGGAAGGAGCGATTCTGATTTGACATTTTGAGAAGAACTGGCGTGGATTAGTGTCAGCAGCCATATTTTATTGATAAACTGATTTACTTGGTTGCTGCAGCCCTGACCTCCCAAGGGCTCCGACTGCCACCTTGATATGGATAAGTGCTTCCTGTGCCAGACATTATGAGCTGTCTTAGTACATTTTGTGCTGCTCTAACAGAATACCTGACACTGGTTAATTTATGAACAATAGAAGTTTATTTGGCTCACAGTTCAAGAGGCTGGGAAGTCCAAGATCAAGGGGCTGCATCTGGTGTAAGTCTTGGAGTCTAAAGGTTGGAGACCCTGGAGTTCTGATGTCCAAGGGCAGAAGGAGAAGAGTTTCCCAACTCCAAGGTAGTGGGGGGTTGCTATTTCTCTGCCTTTTTTGTTCTGTCTGGGCCCCAGCCAACTGGTTGTTGCCCACCCACATTGAAGGCAATTCTTCCCCATTCAGTCCATAGACTCACATGCCCATCTCCTCCAGAAACCTCCTCACAGACATGCCCAGAAGGCATACCTTATCAGCTCTCTAGGTATTACTCAATCCAGTCCAGGTAACACCTAAATTTAACCTTCCTATAAGCCTTACCTGAATTCTATGTGGAGGTGCAAAGACTTCAAATTCCAGACTGAAATATTCCCTCCCATCCCCAGCAAAGCCATGAAAAGCATCAACTGATGCAATTTGTGCCTAGCATGGGGACAGGATCTGGGAGAGGAGATCAAGAACCTGCCCTCCAAAGGGTGCTGCCTCTGGACTGTGCTGTCCTCCCAGGCCCAGAGTGGGCCCCATCTGTGAGTGCCACAAAGGCCCAGATATACCCGAGGGCCTAAAACTGAGTTTGCCTGGGCGATCTGCCATGTACCTCCTCTACACCTCCACTCCACAGAAATTCTTTAGTCTCCTCCTCTCAATCAACAACATTCACCCACAAAACATTAACTGAGCATGCGCTATGTGCCAAGCACTTTGCTAGGTGCTAGGGCACCGTGGACTGTGAAACTCAGCATGGTTCCTCTTCTCCTGGCGCTCACAGCCTAGCCTGGGAGACAGAAGCTGATCTGCATGCTCCCACATACACACATAAGCATGAGCTCTGTGTGGGAGCACACAGTACCCTCCTAGTGCTCTGGGTTCCTGCTTCTAGCACCTGTGACCATTCATCTTATGTCTTAGTTTCTTCAGGCTGCCACAACAAAAATACCACAGACTGGGTGGCTTAAACCACAGAAATTTATTTCTCATGGTTCCGGAGGCTGCAAAGACCTAGGTGTCAGTAAATCTGGTGTCTAGCAAGGGTCCTCTTCCTGGTTTGCAGATGGCCATCTTCTTCTGTGTCCTCACATGGCAGAGAGCAGAGAGAGCAGGAAGCAAGCTCCCTTGTCTCTTTTATAAGGGCACTAATCCCATCATGAGGGCTCTGCCTCCCGAAGTCCCCACTTCCTAATACCATCAGCTTGGGGGTTAGGGCTTCAACATACAAATTGGGACTGAATACAAACATTCAGTCCATAATGCCTTGTTTTCAGCCACTGTGTTGTGGCATCAGATGAGGGCTAGGATCCTCAGGTCCCTCCCATCCCAGAGGCTTTCCAGCAGATATAGGGAGTGAAACAACAGACCTGCCAGGCCTGCCATGTTGCAGTTGACTGCAACCCTCTTTATTAGCCACTGCTTCCTCATGATCGTCATCATCAATGCCATCATAGCTACCAGCTTCTGAGCACCCACCAGCAATGAAGCTTCGCTAGCACATTCTCAACTTTCCCTCATGGTTGCAAACAGTTAACCTCAACTGTGCATACCAGGTTCTGGCTCACATTCGTGATCTGTGGTCCCAGACACCCAGCACAACAGCAAGCACCCTCACCCACACTATAAGCTCAAAGAGAACTCCACATGTCAAATGTCAGAAGGGAAGGCAGGTTTCCCTTCTCAAATGTCAAAGCAAGCAGAACCTTTATTCCCCTTAAATTATCATTTTCTTCCAAGGGATTTGTACATAAACATAGTTCCCACTCAAGCAGTCCCCTCCCCAAGGACCAAAGAGGTCATAGCTGGAGACCTTACACCACTGACCTAACGGGGACAGCAGCCACAGTAAGGAAGATGCCCGGGATGCCACTGAACCCAACATTCAAGTCCAGCTCCTGCTTCAGCCAAGCTCTTTCAACTTGTCATCATCAGGATCCTGAGGCAAAGCTCAGAGCCAGGTACTGCTCCTCTCCTCAGGGGGCCCCAGACAAAGCCAGGACAGCTAGAGACCAAAGGCAACCCCCTCCCCTCCCTGCAAACCAGGAGTATGTAAGAATGTGGGAAGGGGAGATGGGACAATATGGAAGTAAAGATGTGAGTGACCTCCATGGAGGCCAGCCTTAGTAAGGTCTGTTCTTCCCATGAAGTGGAGCCCAGGTTCCAATGTCTGCTTCTGCTGGCTCCGTTCCTGATCAGGCCAGCCCACCTCCCTCATTCCTTCTGTTCTGAGATAAAGCCACACTTTTCCCAGCACTCCATCTCCATTTAAACTCTGGGAAAGAGTCTGTGCTCAGTACTTTGTATTCTTCACACACACAAACCCTGTGAGGTGGCTCTTATTCCCACTGTGTCGTCTAAAGAAGTTGCAGAGTAGCCTTTTCCCATGGCTGGTCCGTAGAAGCCTGCAGGGAGAACGCAGGGCTGCCCGGCTCTGAAGCCTACGCTCCTGACTTCCATATTGACCTCCTCTCTCCTCCTTCTTTGCTCACTCCTGGTTTTCAGGGCATGCAGGGGACTGGGGGGTATCTTTGGTCTTCAGCTGTCCTGGCTTTGTCTGGGGCTCTGAGCTTTGCCTCAATATCCTGCCGAAGCCCTGTGACCATCCTCTGGGCATCCGCCCCATCCACCAGCCTTCCTGCAGGTCCTTGGGGCCCATCCCAGGCCTGTGCCCTGTGCCTCTGCTCATGTTCACCCTGACCCTAGAATTCCCCTGCCTGATCTCCCTGTCCTCGAAGCCCCAGAGCCCTTTATCTGGGCTCTCCTCTGGCATGTCGTATCTCATTTTAATGAGTCGTGTCTCTCTCTCCTACCAAAAGGTCACCTCTGATCATTTCTGCATTGCACACTTCTCTGACATGTGGCTGGCCCTCACAAAAGTATCTGTTGAGTGAATAACTACATGTGGATAAGTGAACAGATGGACAGATAGACAGATTCCCCAGGTGGCTCCAGTTCATCTGGATTAGGCAAGAAGGGCTGTGGGGAAGGAGGAGGGGAAGCCCCAGTGGGCAGCCCCCATGAAGACACCCACAGCCTCTGTGTTAGGTATGCGAGTGGGTACAGGGGTGTGTGCATGCTCTTGTGTAGATAGGGGTCTGAAAATTATGCTGTGAAATCATCAAAGTGTGAGGCTGAGAGGTTGTCCTTTCTGAGCCATGGCCTGAGGCCCACGAAGCCTAAATGGACCCCAAGCTTGCCTGTAGGAGAGGAGCCCCAACACCCTAGCGTCAGGTCCTTGGACCAGACAATGCAGCTACCTCAGCCGCAGTGCCCGAAACACAGGGCGATTAGGAGGAATGAGTGGAGGGTAGGGGGAGGGCTTGGAAACCACCATGGCAACTGTGGGCACATCTTTTGTGTGGTGCTCCTCTTTGTCTCTGCCAGTGACTAGCAGGGATATTATATAAGCAGCAAATGTGCTCTCTGTTGGTGCTGAGCCCACACTGCTGGCAGGCCAAGGGCTGGGAGGCACCACATGAGAATCCTGCTGTTCCCATCTACCACCCTGAGGAAGGACTCGGTGGGGCTACAGCCAGGATCAACTCAGGCAACCCCGGGTGAAACACGGCCCTGCCCAATTCAGCGCCCACTCTCCAGATGCAGCCTCTCCACCAGCCACACTGGGCAGCCACAGTATGGGATCAGCAGGTTCCTCCCCCTGCCCCAGACCATGCTGACCTCTTCCCAATGACAAATATACACATTCATCCTCTCTGTCTTGGAAGCAATGGAAAAGACAGTCTCTACCCCACCTTCTCCATTTGCATGAATTTCCCAAGAAAACCCAAGACACATCAACAGCTAATGAGGAGTGAAAACTGAAGCCCCACTTGCTAGAATCTCTTTATTTTTAAGAGGCTGAATTTATAAAGTCAATCTGAAATGGGCCCCTTCTGGTATGACAGAAAGCTCCATGTAGATGGCAGGCTTCAGCAGTCCCCTCTGCAGGCTCTGGCCCTCAGAGGCAGGGGAAAGTGAGGGCCCGTTGCCATGGCCCAAGGAAGGGTCACCACTTTCCCAACCTCACGTGAGACTATCCACCAGCATGGCCTGGCAAAATCAGCAAGGTGCCAGGACCCGTTGCAATTCTCAACAGATAATTTCCTGCTGGAGGGCACGTGCCCGCTGTACTCCCCCAGTGTCTGTCCCTGTCACCAGGGGAAGTACCCCCAAAAAGATAGCTCCCATAGATGAGGGCTTATCTCCAAGTCTTTATCCTCAATAGAACAGCTTTATTTCTACTTGGGTTCTAGCATTTTCTGGAGGGCAGATTCTTTTTTCCCAATTCAATTCCATGAGGATTTATTAAGCATCACTGTGAATGTGTGGCTTTCATAAAAGAAACCAGAGCAAGCTTCCTCTGACCCCTGACTATCAAAGTCAAAGCCACAGGGAGGAAGCAACTACTTCATACCCTTACTTAACAACCCACACCCTGCTCGCGTCGAAAAATCATTCAGGCAGCAGCAAGCAGCACCCCCAGAGACAGGAGGAAAAGATCCAGAAGCCAGGGGCTGCCAGAAGCTTCCAGAGATGGCAGGAGAGCATCTGTACTGAGGGCTGAGCCTCACCAGACAGACTCCAGGGAAAGAAGGAAGGACAGACAGACAGGGACAGTCATTGTGGCAATGAAGAGTACAGTGTGAATCACAGACCTGAGTCCAAATCCCAACTCTGCCACTTATCAGCCAGGTGACCTTGGTGGGGTGGGTGGGGAGCACTGTCTCTGTCAGCCTCCATTTGCTCTTCTGTCAAACATGATGGAGCCGTTGTGACTATTACATGCGATAATGCATGATGATTACGTGCAATAATGTGTGACCATTACATGCGATAATGCGTGACCATTACATGCAATAATGCATGACTATTACAAGTGATAATGCGTGTAACGTGCTTGGCACAGCATCTGCAAAGATACAGGGCTCCATACATGGGAGATGCTTTCCCTGTTAGGTAAGTGAGGAGATCTCAGGACCGTCCTAAAAGGCTCCTTGAGAATCTGGAGCTCTCAAGCGTCTCACAGCAATGGCCAAAGTCCCCTCTGGGCTGGAAGGGCTGACAGCTACAAAATACAACGAGACCTCGGGAGGCCGGGCAGTGGTTCTGTGAGACCTGGTGGGTTTCCCTCAAAGGAGACAGACCCACGGCTCTCAGGTACACCACCTTTGCTTTCTATTCAGAGAAGCAAATTTATTCCTGAAGCCACAGTATGAACTGCTCTGACCTGTCGCTTATAGGATGACAGTGACAAGCCAATGCCTTGAGGGACAGCATCTCAATACAGCCAGAAGGAGAGGCAGTCAATGGTGTCCTGGAGGTCAGGGCCCACTACAACCCAGGCCTCTGGACTCCAGCCCTCTCACCAGCCCCTCCTTTCTGAGGGCAGAGTATGACATTTAAAACAGCTAAGAGGAAGGAAGGTGCCCTCACCATGAGACTTGGTATGATGTCACTTAGGCTCACCAGTGTCCACACAGGGCCTGAGGAATCTGTGCTAGATTCCACTTGCTTCAGCCAGTCAGGCCATTTGGAGCTGGGAAGCCAGGAGGAAACAAAACTAGCCAGAATCAGCATCTGCCTAAAAACCAGGCACTCCCCCTCTGCTATAAGGACCATTTGCATCAAAAACCACCCCGAGGAAACTCCACCTGCTCAGAAATGAGTACTTACTACACACCGAGAACTGTGCTTACCTCAGCTAACCCTCACAACTGCTCTACGAGGTTGGTGTTAGTGTTTTGATTTTATTCATAAAGAAATGGAGGCTCAGAAGAGTTAGGTACTTCCCCAGGGAGTAGTGCTAGTCTGTTTTCACTGTATAACCAAAAGCTTCAAAAACCCCAGTGCCATGGCCGGGCGCGGTGGCTCACGCCTGTAATCCCAGCACTTTGGGAGGCCAAGGCGGGAGGATCACGAGGTCAGGAGATCGAGACCATCCTGTCTAACACGGTGAAACCTCGTCTCTACTAAAAATACAAAAAATTAGCCAGGTGCAGTGGCGGGCACCTGTAGTCCCAGCTACTCGGGAGGCTGAGGCAGGAGAATGGCGTGAACCCGGGAGGTGGAGCTTCCAGTGAGCCGAGATAGCGCCACTGTAGTCAGGCCTGGGTGAAAGAGTGAGACTCCATCTCAAAAAAAAAAAAAAAAAAAAACAACCCAGTGCCTTACACAACATTCATTCTTCCAGGTCTGCAGGTTGGCTACAATTTAGCTAATCTAGCCTGGGCTCGGTTGTACCAGACTCAACTCCAGACTTCTTGTCAGATTCACATTTGCCCGCGGTCTTCATTCAGGCCCCTGCTGCAGGATCAACAGCCAGGTGGGATGAGCTTCCTCAACCACACATCGAGTAGCATCAGAGAGCAAGCCACACCAAACCACCACACCAAAACATCACACTGAACCACCACACTGAACCACCACACCAAACCATCACACCAAACCACCACACCAAACCATCACACAAAGTCACCACACCAAACCACCACACCAAACCATCACACAAAGCCACCACACCAAACCATCACACCAAGCCACACACCAAACCACCACACCAAAACATCACACCAAAACATCACACCAGACCACCACACCAAACCATCACACCAAAGCACCACACCAAACCACCACACCAAACACCACACCAAACCATCAGACCAAAGCACCACACCAAACCATCACACCAAACACCACACCAAACCATCACACCAAGCCACCACACCAAACCACCACACCAAAAGTTTCTGCTCACGACAGGTCTGCTCATCCTCCAACAGGCAAGGTGAGTGTGCCTGATGGGGCAGGTGCTCTGCCTATGCCAAGGGCACAGATGTATCACTGTATTCCGGGATGGAGTGCAGCCCCAGGAATGATACCCAAACCTACTGCAAACAGCCCCCAAGGGGCAGAGCCAAAAGAGGTGAACCCAGGCAGCTCATTCTCATTACTGCTCTGCCATCCCAACCACCATGTGACCTCTCAGGGCCTCGGGTTTCTCATCCACTCAGGGGGTAACACATGACCTACCTCACTGGGCTTTCTAAGGCTTAAATGGAGTGTGAAGATGAGTCTTTGAAGGGACCCAGGTATACATTTAGAAAGAAGTTATTCCCGGCCTTCATTTGGAAGTTCCATAGGACTCCAAATCTTCCATGCACAGATAATGTCGAATGACAAAAAGGCAGAACTGCCCCCACGGACTTGAGAAGGACGGGCCTCTCTCTGCTCATTCAGACGCAGGCGGAAAATTAGGTCCATTTTGTGTAGATAAGAAATGACAGTGTCTTTATCATAATTTTGACAACTGTCCAGGGTTGACCAGGTTGACTGCCCCAGGGGGACATTCCATATTGAATAGAAAAACCAGGTGAGAGCCAGGCATGGTGGCTCATGCATGTAAACCCAGCATTTTGGGAGGCCAAGGCAGGCAGATCACTTGAGGTCAGGAGTTCAACAGCAGCCTTGCCAACATAGTGAAACCCCGTCTCTACTAAAAATACAAAAATTAGCCAGGCATGGTGGCAGGTGCCTGTAATCCCAGCTATTCCAGTGGCTGGGGCAGGAGAATCACTTGAACCCAGGAGTCGGAGGTTGCAGTGAGCCGAGATCACGCCACTGCACTCCAGCCCGGGCAATAGAGGAAGAGTCAGTCTCAAAAAAAAAAAAAAAGAAAGAAAGAAAAGAAAAACCAGGTGAGAACCTAGTCAGAAAGACACAGAAACACACACACACACACACACACACACACACACACACACACACCCCACAGGCCAGCCTCAGGTTCCCTGAATGGCATTGCTGAGGAATGCAGGTGACCATGGTTGGAGGACACAGTTCAGTACTGCACAATAATCTGTTACTGTTCATCGCTGGTTCTTAGTTCTTCCGCACACACCTTCTGATTGGTACCTTTTGATATTTCATTTTCAGATCAAAGTAGCAGCAAGGGGTCAAGCTTAGAAATTGTAGCAGGAACACAAAAAGCATAGGGTTCCTTACAAAATGCACACAGTAGAACACGTTTGCGTGTTTTCCCCAATAAAACGCATGAGTGTGTGCCCCGTGCAAATGCCTGAGCTCATCCCACTCAGTTCCACAGAGAACAGCCAAGAGAACAGGTCCTGTGATAGCCCTGCCTGGGTTCAACTGATGCTGTGAGCATTCCATAAGGAAACCTATGTAGAGCACATAGCTCATGTCCTGGCGCCCAGGAAATCCTCAGTAAACTCTACCACTGTCATGAATACCAATCTGCTCCCTTGACAGGCAGCCCCTGAAACCATCCCCCACCCCAGACTTCTCTCCAGCTTTTGTACAGATTCTGGGAAGCAGATATCCACATGTCCCTAAGGAACACATTTTAGTACTGAGCACACATCACTGCAATCTGATTTGAAGCATCGCTGTGTAAACATACGACCCTTTAATTCTATTTCAATTCAATTATGCAAATGTCATCACACATTCGGCATCAAACCATTTTTCTTTCCTCTCAAAATCTGTCCACCAATAGCCAACTGAACCTAGTATCAATCCTAGACTCAGAGTGAGCAGAGTCCCAGCATCTTAAGCTTAAGCTCTAGAGAAGGCTATGGCTCCTCGGCCTGAGCACAGGGCCAGACCAGCGGCAGGTGCTGGACAAATGAGCCAATAACCCTGGAACCTCAGAGCATTGGGGCAGGAGGTAGGACCAAGAATACCCCTCCAGGCCTGTTCACACTGTGCTCCATGGGGCCCCCGGAGTCCGGGGGCTTGGGGACATCTCTGTGTTGGGGAGCAAGAGGGGTGAGTGGGAACAGGCAGGAATACAGGGCCCATCCTCCATCATCCTTCAACACCACTTACCACTTGCCTGTTCTCTAGACTGGGGCTCCAGGGAAACCTTGGTTTGGAAGAAAGTATGCTTTTATAGATATAAAAGAAGTAGTTAATTAGCCTTATTCTAGAATCCTTCTTCTAGAAGTGGAGAACTGAGGACTGAGTTCCAGGGAAGGAAAGGAGTTAGGTAAAATCTTGGAGAGCCTGGGAGCCAGAGCTGAGAGCAGATTCCAGGGCAGGGCTGTTCGTACGCAGAGCCTGGCACTCACTGAAGAGGCAGGGCACTGGAGCTTCCTCCACAGGTGCCAGGCACACAGCTGCAAACAGGGCAGCACATACCCATCGCTCTCTCTTCTCCCTACATGGGGACAGAAGTGGAAGATGCTGTGGACAAGACACAGCACAATGCTGCCCCACCGTGATCTGTCTGCTCCCATGACAGGGAGGCCCTGTGGGCAGGAGAGCCGTGTCACCTACTGTGGGGAGCACAAGAGGCCTGCAAAGTCTTAATATGACCTGTCTTAGCTTATTAACTGGAGATGGATAATATCTGACAAATGACAGGAGATAAATTGTTAAGCAATATGCAAATATGCCTGCAGCAGGAATGGAAAATTACTATACAGTAAAAACCTTTTATGGCTGCGAGAGAATTCAGAGGTAATTTGTCTCTGCATCTCCTCAAATTCCAATCTCGCTGTTAGCTGTGGCAGAATACTACATCCGTTACCATTCCAATTAGATCATTTTAAAGGGGCTCCTGCATAGCCATCAACTTTGAAGGGCTGGGAGGAGAAAGCATTTACAAAGCCAGGGTCGGCTCCTCCCAGGGCTCTATCTCTCTGTGGACTGTCACTTAGACAAGAGCCCAGATTAGACACCAGGACTGTCTCTGCCAAATGCATACCCATCTGGGCCATTAACGATCACTGCAGCAGGCCCAACTGACGGTTCTTTGCGAGACACTTCCGTAGAATGTCAGATAGGTTGTGCAAATGACCAGTCTGCCCTGGCTGAAGAGAGGGGCCAGCCAGGATGGAAAAGTCTTTGTACCTGAGGAAACTTCCAGAGAGGAAATGGAGCCATCTGTGAAAGGAGCACCTGCAAGAATGCCCAGGCTCAGCCTGCTGTAGAAACAGATAATGAGACGAGGCTCTGCAGGGTCCCAGGCAGGAAGAGAAGGCCAGGAACTCGCTGAGGGCACAAAAGTAGGCCCCTGAACTGCAAAGCCTAGTGAACCTCCAGAGAGGAAAGCCTCAGAGAGAGGAGGGGACTCCAGGGCCGAGCAAGGGATGCTGCTCCTGCCACTCCAGGACATGCAGCTAGCACAGGCGGCAAAGCTTGATTTTCATTTCGCTCAGGCCCCTTGATTTTCCATTGAGAGGCAATATAGGAGAAAACCTCTGAAGGAAAATTGGTGTGTTCAAAACACACTTGTGGATACCTGCTACTCACCACACGGATGTGAGGCTGGGCTGTCCTAGGGGTGGGAGGGTGGAGGGACAGGGAACAGGGCTGGGGATAGGAAGAGGTTATCATCTCCACACCATCAGAGACAAGATCTTGACTGGTAGCAGAGGGCCCTCTCTGGAGTTCTGCAAACAGCTGTCTATGTGATGGAGGAGGAAACTGGGAAATTCAGTCCCATAACTAATTTGTTTCAGCTTGTTTCCACTTTAGTATTTGATTATTTTGGCTAATTGTTCTAAGAAATTGTTTTAACAAACAGCTTCATGGAATTGACTGGCAATTGTGAGAAGCTGTGGGCACAGCCCTAGTGAAGGATCTAGAGCAATAAGCAGAGATCCAAGAGACCAACTTTATGGTTCCCATGTCTCCCTACAGGCCAAGGCTGGGGTCAGTGACCCAAGGGTTCAGGCCCCCAGGCAGAAAGCAGACCCACAAACATTCAGCTCAGATTGAACTAGGAAATGGAATGCCAGTCCTAAATCCTACATCCTCATCAAAGGGGCTCAAAGGCACCGGGTTGCCATTGTTCTTACAAGGTAAGAAGCACCCAGGTAACACCTGGATATGGCCAGGGGCATGTCTTGATTCAAATTTACAGCAGCTCAAGGATTCTCTTCCTCTGTGAGGCTCCCCAGCCTGGGCATGATAAGATACTGTCAGCAGCGTGGGCTTCACTCCACCCCCTGGGGTGTACCCAATGCCTGTCATCACTACTTCAGGTGACTGCCTGAGGAAAAGGCCAGTTCTGCCAGCAGTAACCTCTGCTATTTTCAGGCATGGTGTCAGCTGGGTCACACACCAGATCCTAATGGCACACCCACTACTGCTCTAAGATGCGACACCAACAGAATCAAGGTTCATCTGTGATATGGAAACATGAAAACGCATTTGCCTGTTCCCTGGGAATTATAACTGCAGGTGACAAGACATTTCTTCCATGGAGCTAAATGGCACAGGCATTTGGATACTGGCTAAGTGCCTGATGTCTGTGGTGGGATGTGAAAGTTAGTGGAATATATGTTTTTGTTGTTGTTGTTGTTTTGAGATGGAGTCTCGCTCTGTTGCCCAGGCTGGAGTGCAGTGGCACAATCTCGGCTCACTACAACCTCTGCCTCCCAGGTTCAATAAATTCTCTGCCTCAGCCTCCCAAGTAGCTGGGATTACTGGTACCTGCCATCACGCCCGGCTAATTTTTTGTATTTTCAGTATAGAAGGGGTTTCACCATCTTGGCCAGGCTGGTCTTGAACTCCTGACCTGGTGATCCACCTGCCTCGGCCTCCCAAAGTGCTAGGATTACAGGTGTGAGCCATTTTGCCCAGCCAGAATATATATTTTACAGATTAATTCTAGCCATAGTCAGGGAAATGGCACAGAGGCTGCCTGCAGGCTCCACACACCTCCTTCTGGAATGGTGGGACCCTGGCTCTCCTCTGCTCTGGCGTCCACCAGGCCTCTGTGCAGGTTCCTGCTCACCTCTTGGCTCTGGGGCTGCCTCAGTTGGGCCATAAATCCTTCTCACAGGACCCCTGACAACCACAAGACCCAGGATCACCTTGTGCGTTCCTGTGATCCTGCAGGGATCTTCCTAGGGGATTCATCAGGGACAACCCAGCAGCCTAGGGGCATGGGACTTGGCAACAACAGAACCCCAGTACCTGCGTGAGCAGCATCTTCAAATCTCTCCATCCCTGTGATGGGTCCTCTGAGTTCCCATCCAGAGCCCTTTCCCCTCTACTCATCCTCTCCCTCACATTATTCAGGATCCAAATCAAGTTGCTTCTTTTCCAGAAAGCCTCCTGCAACACACACACACACGCGCGCACACACACACGCACACACACACACACACACACACTGTGGCTCTAGCACTTCTCAGCTATTTGAATCATGTGAATGGCAAGGAAACTTAAGAACCTTGTTTGCATTTCCTTTCTCCTCTGTGTTTGACCATCTCCCCAACTATGCTACAATACATGGGCTGAGTGCATCCCTGCAAATGCTCCCATAAAGTCTGTCAACAGTGTAGGTGTCCAATAGCACCGTAATAGGAAGGAGGTGAGCACAGAAATGGAATCAAGTCTATCCCTGTCCCTTGGTCTGTATGGTCTTGGATGCACTATTTAATCTCTCCAAACCCTATCTGTTAATTACGGGCAATAATACCTACTTAATAGGGTCATTGGAACAACAAAACAAAATTCATATCAATTATTTAGCACACAGGGCCTAGTTCACAGTTGGCATTCAAAAAATGATACCTATCATTATGCTTTAGTTACTTGTATATCACCATTATGATCAATACTGGAAAATTGATGGATGATACCTCTTTTACCAAGCATGGTTAGCAAAAGGATGTTCTGGTTCATTAAACATCTTAGTTAAAAGAAAATTACCAGAGTTGCTTAACTAGAATTACCAATTTTTTCAAGGAGTAAAATAAAATACACTACAACTTAATAACTGATGAGACTGAAGGCATTTAAGACTCTTAGAAGGCTTTCAGTCATCATGGTGAATGCTGACCATCTTTTGTACTGGGAAATTTCATAAATGCCATGTGACAGACCTTTCCAACTGCTAGAAGGATGTTTCATCCACCCTTTACTGTGCAAATTACAGACTTGCATATTCATAAACACTCACAAGCATGTACTTCTGACCAGCCCACTTCCACGAGGCTCTTCCACCTCCAACCAACACAACAGAAACAGGATGGTTTCATCCCATCCCTCCCTCCTGCTATACCAGAGCCCTTGAATTTGGAAACCGTGCAATACTGCTCAGGGACAGGATGACATGGAGGAGGAGCGGTAAGGCAGTGCAGACGGGCCCCACCCAATAGCAGCTTCCATGATTCTCTGGCAGCTCATCATGTCTCCACTGGGCTCTCGGGAGGCCACAGCCCACACCCATGCAGATGGCGAGGTAAAGGCACTCTCTCACACTGCATCATCATGAGGTCATAAGCACAACGTTATTCCTTTTATCAGGGGCTAAGCATCCATGAGAATCTAAGGCTTGGGTGAGTTTCCCTCTTCTACAAAGAGGAGTGGTCAGAGGACCAAACTAGTGCCTGGCTAAGGAGCACTGGGCAGCTCCCTGACTCACCTCTTCCCTGCTGCTGCTCTCCCATTCCCTAACAATCCTGTGGCAGGATTTGTTTATATGATAGGTATGATTTCATGGCCCCGTTCCTCCAGGATCCTGCCCACCAGCAGTTGCCAAGCTCCACGGCCTCTGGACGCTCCCCTCTCACTGATGTCTTGCCTATCACATGGTCTAGGAGGCTGATGAGGCCCACAAAATCCTCTGGAGCCTGCCAGCAGTGGCTGTTGACATTTCAAAAGGTCAATCAATCACTCCATTTCATGGAACATAATCATCTTCTGGGACCTAAATGCAACAATAAAACCAAATAGCGCCAAACAATTGGGGAAAACGAATGATGCACATGAAGGAGGAAGGCTATAGCTGGCTTGGAAAGCATCCCTGTAGCCTGGGTCAGGAACAGGAGCCTGGAGCCCAGAGCTCTGCATCTGAATCCTACTCCTTCCATTAGCCCTGAGAAAGCCCTTTCCTTTTCTCAGCCTCAAGGATGAAGTGAATTGGCTTTGGGATGCTGTGCTCTGAGGACTAAACAAACCTTTCTTCAGAGGAGGAAGTATAGGAAGCTGGTAAAGTTTGTAAGGCCCCATAGGGTACCCTGTGGGGTGAGGGCCACCAGGCTAGAGCAGCTCTCCAGAGGCTGCAGCCATCCAGTTGGGTTGCAGAGAGGGCTCCTCTCATGCCTGCCTGGAGCCCTTTCTGCACAGTGCTTCCCTTAATTCCAGGCTTCAGGTGTTGCTTGAGGCCCGGGCACTGGGGAGGCTTCCTTGCATTTCAGGGCCCTCCCATCTGTACTCCCAGGAGGCATGTTTAATTACCAGGTTAGAAATTCGTCTATGGATTCCTTGAAAGCTGAGCATGTGTAACTCCAATGCTTGGAACAGAGCCTAGTACATGATATTGTCAGTAACTAGCTGTGGGGTAGAAAGAAAAGAGGGAAGGAGGGAAAGGGGGCAGGAAAGGGGAAGAGAAAGAGAAGGGGGAGGGAGGGGGCAAGGAACGAAGGAAGGAAGGGAGAGAGGGAGGGAGGGAGGGAGAGGTGGGGAGGGAAGGGGAGGGAAGAAAAGAGGGAGGGACTCAGTTCATTAAAGACGTCCAGTTGCCTCCTTCTCTCTAGAATGAGGTGGCTTGCTTGTATTTGGCTCTGGCTACACAGCTTCCAAGGTAGGTTTCCTGGCAACGCCCTTTTCATCTCCTCCAGGACCCGCTGTGGGTGGGTCTCTGCCCTATTTTGTCATGGTTGAGGCTGCTATACTAGGGCTACTCCCCAGGTGGTCCCTGACCTTCACTATGTGACCTGATTACTCTCCAGCCTTATTACTCTCACTGCTGGGCCTGAGTCATGAACCAGAGCCACTGGACCTGACCGTTCCTCCTCCCAGACCCTAGCTTGTCCTGCTCCATTAGAGCAGATACAACCTGCCTCACAGGCTGTGTATGGCCCCAGTGGCACAAGGAAATCCACAGAGGAGGGGACAGTCACAACCCCGGCCATGTGTTCCCTAGGCACAGAGCCAAAGGAGCTGCAACTCTATCTCCTGACATTACCTTCCCCTCTGGTTATTCTCTCCTTTTAAAAATTTGAGAACCAACCAGTCAATGTGGCCCAAATGTAGGCCAGCCCAGGGAGTTGCCTATGATGTGGGGGCTATTGCCTTGGTCTAGGTCTTCCTGAGATGGGGTTGGGAGAGAAACATAGCTGGCCTTAATTTACAGGGAATAGGAGAGCCGGTGAAGTCTAACTCCTCCACCAGAAAACCAATTCCATGAGAGCAAGGGACTTGATGGCTGTATTCTCCACTATATTCACACCAGGCAGTCTCTGGCACATAGTAGGCATTCAATAAATATCACCTATTATGACTGATTATAATAACAATCCATAACAAACTTCCCCAGGGCATTAAAAAGAGATCTGAGTTATAAATTATTTTATACACAAAATTGTAGACACATGGACTGTGTCAAAGTGAAGCACAGCTGTCACATACAGGCAGGAAGGCCATCTCTTCAGATTACAGACCACCCCCGGGTCATATCCATTTTGATCACTTTAGAAGGAACTAAGAAGATGGGGAGGAAATGAAGGATTTTTATAGTGATTGGACCAAACGTTTCCCAATCAAGAGCCCATCTATTCACTGGAATCAGCTCCAATCTTGAGACACCAGCTGGCAGTGTTGTCAGATAAACCACATTCTCTCCTGTATGTGCAAACTCCACATTTGACTTCTATAATACTTGAGAGATGTGCTCTACAAGGACTGGCTTCACTTATTCTGAAAACACTGGCTCCTTCAGTATATTTTCTTCAGTCTATTTTTCCTGCCTTGGCAGCAGGAAGAGCACTTTCAGAGATGTTTATTTTCCCTAATGAAAAACAGCCATCAGCTGCTCTTGGCATGCTGAGCAATGGCTCGGGCCACTCTGCAGCATTTCAGAGCAGGCTACAACTCCTAAGTCCACCTTCCTGGAACAGTGACTTGTCCTAATCATACCATCTTTTCCTTCTTCTTCTCCCTCACTGCCAAAATGACCAGAAAAATGATGGTTTCATCTCAAGCCACCTGAAGGGCCAGAGACTCCACTGTAAATATTAATAGTTTCCAGACGTAGCATAAGGCTCATCCAAATGCTCATGTCCCCAGCCAGTTCTAAAGGAGCTATCTGTGAGGATAGATCTCACTTTTATGTTGGAGATTAATATTATTTTTATTGGCTTGGAGATGAAGGGGCTCTGACACATCTCTGTAAACTTGCAGAAGCCCAATATGCTCTCCCTGGGCACGCTGGGCAAGAGGACTGAAAAGACACTGAGTTTAGGAAACTACCCCTGCAGAGCCTGAGATGTGTCTTTCCATGCTCTGCAATCCAGAAAGATCTGCATCCAGAGGATCTCAGCCAGAACTGACGCTGGCATGGATGGGCTCAGGGAGGAGTGCCATGAGGCAGGGGTCAGCCCACTGCACGGGAAGATGGTGCTTCTCTCTGCCCTGGACATGAGCCATCAGCTATCAGCCATCAGCCCCCCACAATGCCTATTCCTTGGATAAGGGAAAAATGGACTCTGCAATATGCTCACCATGACAATCATTGGTTGCATCTGACCAAACCATCCCTTCCTGGGAATTTGCAATCTGAATACAAGCCCGGCCCTCCACCAGGCTCAGCCCAAGAGCACCTATCTTCATGAAGCCTTCTCTTGACTCAAGTGAACCAAATGTCCCATTTGCCAGGGACAGCCTGGGTTTACACTTACTGTCCACTCTATTTATCAGTAGTACCCCCTGTCACTCAAGCATCCCAGTTTGGATGATAACTGGGATGAGTGTCCTCTTACTTTCTTACCCCAAATCCTCAGATGCATGCACCCATCAGAATCACACTGTTTCATGGGGCACAAACCCACCTTCCTGGGATTTGGCAGTTACCCAGGGAATGGAGGCCACATCTCCTTTCTTTTCTCCTGGGTACTCCACAGCCCTTGGCCCCAGCCTGGCCATGCAGAGGTACCCCTAGAGCTGGTTAAAAAGCATGACCCTGGCCTAGGCACTTGGCTGTGCAACCTGGTTGTTGTATAAAACTAGTCAAATCATAAGTAAATTGGCAAATAACCAATATTTGAAGACAGTTTCAGCATCTGTGGGTTGGGAGATAGTGGAATGGCTCAGAACATCCTCATCATATGAGAAAAGAGTAACCAAATAAATGTTCACACAATACCATCACCGTGCCACCTTTGTCCCAAGACTTAAAATAAATACTATCAGGAACAGTAAAACTTGCAGGATGAATGAACAAATATATGCACAAATGAGCAACTGAACAGGGGAAACCTCCGTCTCTAGTTGCACTCTGCGCTCACAGAGCCTCTCTCTTCTGAGCCTCATGGCCTCTCCAGATTCTGGTTGGATGTGCACCTGGTCGTGTTCTCAGTCAGAGAATTTAAGTACCAAAGAGCAGTACAACCCCTGTTGGGTCCCAGTGCTGGAAAAATGGAGGCCCAGGTTCCCAGAGAGCTCTGTCTCTGGAGGAAGAAGGAAAGCATTTGGGATGGGATGCAGCTTGAAGACCAACCAGTTTCTCTGGTTGGACACTTCATTCCATGGACTTTGGGCACATTGGGCAGTTTCTAATACACTGTGTGAGGCAGAGGCTAGATGGAAACCCAGCCCCCATCTAAAAAGAGCAAGAACAGCCTGACTCAGGAGCCTGCAGTACAGAAGGAAAGGCACTAACTGGAAATCCAGAGAGGAGGGAAGGAGAGCCAGGAGCTCTTACCCAGGTGGCCGCTGAAAGGGCCAGGGATGGAGGGTGTGAGGGGCCCCACCAACCCAACAGACTTGCTAGCTAGCACCAGGTCTCTTCCCATGGGAAAAGGCCACTGTTCCTCCCATATGTAGGAGCACACAGTGCTCAGAACTCCAGAAAGAAAGGACTGTTCCTTTGTACTCTGCCAACCTACTGGTGACAGACACAGAGCTGAGCACTGTGATTATAGAGAAGAAACAACCGTCCTTGAGAACTTCCTGATCTGATGTAGTTTTCTAGGTCATGGACTCTTTGGGAAAACACAAAAACCATGATCGCTGCCCCCTCCAAAATACTTTCGTGTGATACAAACCCCTTCCTGCATTCCATTTCGTGGACTGACCTTCCAAGGCCCAACCATGGGTGCTGGGTGAAGAACCCTTGGGCTTAGAGGAAAAATGGTGGAAGGACAGGAGTGCTGCCATGTGCTGGGCTCAGGGCTTTAACTCTTCTCACAACAGCACACAGAGATGTTGGCTTCATTTCACAGATGGGAAAACTGATGACAGCTCAGAGAGGTGACATAACTGACCCAAGGTCACACGGCTACAAAATACCCCGCCCAGGGCTTTGCACTATTCTCTCCATCCCCAGGCCGCCCAAGAACAAGTGCCATACAAGGGGCTATGTGACAACCAGAAGGATGAGCTATCCTATTCGGAGCAGGCAGTTAAAGTCCACTGAGGCCAACTCAGAGCTGTAACTCCCCATCACCATGCGATTTATGCAGACGTTTCCCATTAGCTCTAATGGATGTGGGGAGCATAATTCCAGGGCACAACTCCAGACAGGCTCTTGTGATCTGAATGCCACTAAAATCAATGGCATCGTCCAGGACTGATATGGCAATTGTGGTGCTTTATAAGTAGGCCTGTGGGGTTGGAAGGAGAAGCAGCGTGGGCCCTCCTGTCTCCATGGTGCCCCATCTGGTGGGAATGGTGCCCCTAGATAGGCAGTCTGGAAGAGTGGGTCGAGAGCTGATTTCAGAGCTGGGTTGACTGGGTTCAAATCCTGGTCCCAGCTCTTTCCAGCCACGTGACTTGGCAAGCTATTGAAGTGCTCTGAAACTCATTCTCAACATCCGTAAAGTGGGGATTAATGAGTTAACACGGGTAACCCCTGAGAACAGTGCCTGGCTCCAAGGTAAAATTTCACTTTGAGAAACACAAAAGGCCTGCAAAGGTCACTTCCAAGGGAACCTCCCCACTGGGTTACAAACCCAAGCTGAGGCTAGAGCTATCAGGTTGCTCGTGGATTTGTCCTGGAGACCTTCTAAGCAGATGTCAGCACTGAAGTCCAGTTGGCTTAAGGGCCAGGATTCCCAAGGGGGCCACTTTGAAGGCCTATGCCCACGATGCTGTGTGGCATCTGGAGGGTCAGGAGGGAGAGTGAATGGCCGCCCAGCTCAGCCCCTGCAGGAGGTCCAGGCCGTGTGTGATTCTTGTAGCCATCCTACTTCTTTCTCTCCCCTGCCACGGGATAGATGAGCACGTAAGAAGCTGGTGCTGAGCCCCACTAGAAGGCCAGAATTCCATCCTACTCTTGACAGCATAACCAAATCAACATTTCAATCAATATTTTGAAAAAGAAATATACAAAGAGATCCTGTTATCCTAGGATAACAGGTACCAGAAACAGAGCCACAGCAAATCCACACAAAACAGGTACAAAACCCATAGTGAAAGGTGAAGAAAAGTTTTATTGAGACTTTATCTTAAAAATTAAGATAAATTTATAAAGATATGTTTACTTTTATATTTTAAAATCTATGTGATAATTGCAACTCTGCTAATTATTAGAATGAATAAAGAATAAATTATGAGTTGGTATAATCATCTAACATTTGCTTTAGACAAACCCATAAAAAAGCAAAGCAAATTGCATGATCTGATAGGAAGGAAATAGCTCAGGACCTGCCTTGCCTGGCTTCAGCTGCCCTAAGGCTGCCAGGCTACCCCTTGCTGCAAGATCCAGATCTGACTGATGGTACCTTTGCACTGTAGAAAGCAAGCACCCAGTGGTGATGCAGAGAACTTGAGATTGAAAGAGGGACAATAAAAGTTCCCAGGATTCCCAAAAAGTAGGATAGATGCACTGAATCAAGAAGCCATGAGGTCAAGCTAGCTACCAGACAGCTTTTGGAGGATCCTTCCATCTTCCCAGGATACCCCCTGTTTGGGCCAGTCCAACCCCCAAATAGGGAGCTTCATCTGGCTATGCAAACCAAGCCACTGGGTCCTGGGTGGGAGGGGATGGGAAGTGTCAAGTCCTTGATCTCTCTGTCTAAGCAAGATCTCAGAATTTTGGAGAAGAGAAACAACCAGACTAGAAGAGATGGGATAGCTCATTTTCTTCCAACGTTGAAACTAGGGAAGTAGCAAGAGTGAAGTCATTTCAATCCATCATACACTGTAGTGTTGGGCAATGCACAGCCACACATCGGCTCTCCCATAAACCTGGCCACAAAGGGAGCCCGGACGCTGAACCCTTCTTACAGCTAGAACCCTGGAGACACAGAGCTGCAGCCAGGGTTTTTCTCACAGCAACAAGGCACTCTCCAGGAGGGAGACCCTTGCTTTTCACAGACCCTTGTCCACTGACCCACAGAAGAGGTGAGAAACTAGACACAGCACCAAGGGCTCGTCTGGGCGCTGGGTTTGAATCACACAATAATGATCTGGACAGAGGCTGCTCCACAAAGACATGCCTCCAGCTCAGCCCAGCCCAGACACACATGGAGAGAGAAAAAAATAAAATACCAGATGTGGCTGTTGTCCAACATGGCCCCCCGTCTCTGGCAATGTAAAATAACCTTTGCTTATCAAGCCCTTTCTACAAACCAGGCCCTGGGCTCCCTTTAATCTTCTCATCAACTCTATGACTCACGTACTCATTTGACAAATGTGAGAGCTCAAATGCACGCCTGGACAGTGGTGTAGCCCCAGATTCTAACTCATGCCAAGCCCACGCTCTTAACCCTGAAGCCCGGCGATCTCACCAGGAAGATGAGAGCTCTGCAGATCAGATGCCTGGAACAGTGTCTGGTACAGAGGAGGTACTCAAAAATACTCGATGCCTCTTTGCTGCGTCTTCACTTCACAACAACCTGGAGAATTGAAAAATCTTGGCAGATAATCTAAGCTTCGTAAAACTTCTGCCAAGCTGTGATGAGTGAGTAAATCTTGACTGTGGGCTCTTGAAGGTAGGAACTGAGTCAGATCCTTTACTCTCCCAGAACACCATATGCCTCCCCTGCTCTGCGTGGAAGTGTGGTCCTGTGATTAATTAAGTCATGCCTGTCTCCTCCACTGGGATATGTGTTACCCCAGCGTCATTTCATGATTGACACACAGTGGGCAACAATGGATATTCCTTGAATGAAGAGGCTAATAACCGGCAAGGAGGCTGGTGTGGCTGGATCTCAGCCAGGAAGACAGTGAGCTCCAGAAATGAGACTTATGCACCAGCTGGGTCCCCCAGACATCCCTTACGCCCTTGAGTTTCCTCATCTCTTCAGGATCTCTCCATGGGATCAGGGCAGTCTTGGCTTCCTGGTTCAGCCACCTTCGGCATAGACATTACTCAGTCAAATCTTCAAAATATTCCTCAGTCATTTAAATATGAAAATTTTGTCCTGAACTGAAGAAAATGCTCTGAAAACTTGTGTTGTCTTTCAAATGAGCAGATTCCCTAAATTATGAAAGCAAACAAATTAGGATAGAAGATCTCCAAATAATTGCATAAACTCCAATTTCCTATGTTTTAATATAAACATCAAAATAATAAACTCACACATATACAGGGAGAAAAAATATCCAGCTTGATGCTGTTGCAGTCTTTAGAAGCTGAAACCTAAATGACTAAATTGGCAGTTTATTAACAGGAAAATTATGCTAAGTAGCTTCATGTTGATGTCAAGAATTTTATGCAGTGAGTTATGGCATGGTACCCTGAGTGCTTCATTTGCATTTTCTCATTTAGAGAGAACAATGGCTCCAAATGAGTGCATCATGTTCACATTACAAACCCAAGAACATTTGCACAGACAGAAAGGCATATCTTGATACCATAGTGATTAAGCCTTTTGTTCATTATGCTTCAGCATAGACTTAGGGGAAAGAGGGCAGATTAACTTTACTTAGGCTGGTAATGAAGGGACCTGGGCCAGAGCTCTTAAACTTCTCAAAGGACAAGCAGCCACAGCCCACAGGACTCTTTATTTTTCAGGACTCCCCTGTTTGATTTTGCTCAATGAGGACTGGGAGCTGTGTAATAGGTAAGTAAATGCACACCCTACTTCACATCGTGGAATGCCTTGCGAAATCCCAAACACTGCGAAGAATAGGAAGGAGACTCTCATGCAGCCCACACCTGCTAAACCTGGGCTGCTTTGCTTTCCCCACTCAGCTCCACAGAGTGGGTACTTCCCAGGCCCTGGCTTGTTCAACCAATGCTTATTGAAAACACACATTTATTGAGTATCCTCATTGTGCTTAGTCCTCGGCTGAGTGAAGGAGCAGAAGAAAGCACCATGCCGGCTCCTTAAGAGTTCAAGAAAGAATTCTTAGATGTGCAGCACTGCTAGAAATCATGTGGTCATCGATAAGCAAGTACTGGTTCAAATGCTGTTAAAATGTCCAAATGTAAGTGCAGTTAATCAGGCCATGTACCATGGAAGAATCGTTGGAAGAAGTAACACTTGACTGAGTGTCTAAGAATGGATCCAATTTTTAGCTCATCCAGCAAGAAAATGGAAGGTATTCCAGATGGAAGAAACTGCACAAGCAAAAGTACAGAAGGACAAGTGAGCTTAGAATCTGATGTAGACCATCAGGAAGAGTAGTGTTCATTCATGCAGGCTTATTTTCTCAAAACCACAGGCCATCAGCAGAGATGTGCCTCATCAGTTTATATAAGTTTATATAAGAATATATATATATATATTCTTATATAAACTTAACCTGTTCAAGACTTAACATGGCAGAAATAATGCTATGTGTTTGCCAAATTTCATTTCATACCCCTCCTTAACTGGGAACATGTTAAACTGTGTTTTAAGCTTCCCTGCAGTCAGGCAGGACCACGGAACTACTTCTGTGTAAAAGATATTAACTTTTGTCATTTAATCACATGGAGATTTGGAGGGTGCTTGTCACTGTGGTATAACTTATTTTATCTTGACTAATACATTGGAAAAACCATATTCATTACTTGAATTCTGACGTCATAAATTTATACAATCATTCAAAAAATATTTAAGAGCCCACTGTGTGCCAGGTACATTAGGCATCGGGAACACAGGAGTGAGCAAAACAATAGTCTCTTATAGTTAAATGGAAATCATTCCCAAATATTAGCTTTTATGAATCACAGAAACAAATTCCATTTTTAGAAAAGGGAAACTTTAGACACAACATTTCTTAAATTACTGAATTGGAATAATAGCCTCCAACCCAGTATTTCATTCAGTCCAAGTATTTGTCCCTTGGCCAATGGCCAGTTGGACTTTTGGCAAATCCCTTATCTGGTTCCTAAAAATCAGGAGTCTGTCCTGAGCCAGAATGACCCATCAGGCTGCACCTCTCTGGCCTGTAAATAGTTTCTTCTGACTCCCATCACAGAGCAAAAATCTGGGGGTTTATCATCACAGACAACTATTCAAACTAGTTAAACGTTAGAAGCAATCCAAATAGGAATTGACTATTTCTGACTTTTAACTAGTTTGAACAGTTAAAATTCCAACAGTTGAGTGGATAAGCAAACTGGTATATCCATATGATGGAATACTATGCAGCAATAAAAAGAGCCCTTATACTCCTTATAGGGTCCTAATTTTAGAACTTCAAAAGAGGCCTGTGAGAACAACATTTGTTTTCTCCAGGACAATACTAGTATTTCATTAGGATGGCAGAAATATGCTGATTGTTTTAAATTTGATTGGTACTATTTTGTTTTTTAGAAGTTCTTTATTTGGGTGTAATTTACATGGAGTAAAATGCACATATTTTAAGCATAATGTTGATGCATTTTGATAAATTTCCACTCTCGAGTAACCAGCAACTGCAATCAAAATATAGAAAGTCTCCATCACAGCCAAACGTTCCTTAGTGCCCCATCCCAGTCAATCCCACCAACCCCAGGGCAAACAATAATCTGCTTTCTGTGGCCATAGATTAGATTTGTCTTTCCCAGAGGTTCAGATAAATAAAACATTACAGTGCCTATTCTTTTATGTCTAGCTTCTTTCATTCAGCATAATGTTTTTAAGTGTCGTCCATGTCATTACATCTATCAGTAGTTCATTCCTTTTTATTGCTGAGTAGTACTGCATCATGCAGATACACCATACTGTCTATTCATTTATCTGTGCATGGACATTAGGATTGTTGCCAGTTTTTAACTATGAATAAAGCTGCTATGAACTTTCATGCATACCTTTTAGGGTAAACATGTGTTCATTTCACTTGGGTAAATACCTAGAAGTGAAATTGATGTGTATTTTTAACTTTATAAGAAACTGCCCAACTGTTTTACAAAGTGGACATATCATTGTACATTCTCACCAACAAGGTATGAGAATTCCAGTTGCTCCATATCCTCTCCAATATTTAGTTTGTTTGTTTGTTTGTTTTTTGGTTTTTGGTTTTTTTTTTTGAGATGGAGTCTCACTCTGTCACCCAGGCTGGAGTGCAGTGGCACAATCTTGGCTCACTACAACCTCCGCCTCCCGGGTTCAAGCGATTCTCTTGCCTCAGCCTCCCGAGTGGTGTGTGCCACCATGCCCAGCCAATTTTTGACATTTTTAGTAGAGACAAGGTTTCACTATGTTGGCCAGGGTGGTCTCAAACTCCTGATCTCGTGATCCGCCTGCCTCGGCCTCCCAAAATGCTGGGATTACAGGCATGAGACACTGCGCTTAGCCAGTATTCTTTTCATTGTAGCTACTCTAAAGAGTATGTAGTGGTCTCTCCTTGTGGCTTTATTTTTACTCATGCATAGGTCTTCACACACTACACACATGTAATTTATTGTATAATGTCTGAATGTTCCAAACTTTAGAGTTTAAATACATATACTCATGCAAGTTTATTTTCTAATGTCTTATTTTGACGTAGAAAATTTTATTCTTGATTGACAAAGAAAGCATTTAATTACCTGACAGGGAGAAGAGGGAAAAAGGAAATAGAGAAAGGGAAATATGATGATGTCATAACATCATTTTTATTAATTGTCTTCAACCACATTTTGATTTTACAGATTTGGCCTCTGAGTGATTTTGGATTTCTATGTGACAGCCCTAACGGCCACAGATTTTCACATAATTAGCAAGCATTTACTCTTGTGACTTGATTATTACCTCCTATTCAAGTAAATGTATTACTGCCATTGAAACCATGTACATACCAATAAGCTATTTGCTGTTCAGTTTTAGTTCTTTTTAATTGCTAAATGTAAAGAATAAGCAACATATATTCTACAAGCTATATTAGTTCAAAATATATAAATAAAATGTAATCCAAAATAAGTCATTTAACTTTATGATAGATATAAAAATATTTTGGGGGGAAAACCTGGATGACTGCTTCACTTTTGAATTTTTGGTTTTATACATATAGTGAAAGTAATCTTCTGTTTTTGAATATCTCTTATGCTTTGGCTACATTTACAAGTCAGAGTAGTAATTATTCTTACTTACAAATCCAATCTGACACTGCTAAGAGTTGGACTTAAGAAAAAGCTGCTAAATTACATGCTTAGTACACACATTTGAAGTAAAAAGTTTCAGTGATTCTGTAAAGGATCCCTTAAAATTATTTAAATGAGTTCTTACTTGAACTGTACACAGAATATTAAATATATAGAAAAATAAATCTTTAAGGGGTCTACAGTCTGCTATGGCCAATAATAATACATTATAAAAGTCCATTTGAGGCCAGGCGCGATGGCTCACACCTGCAATCCCAGCACTTTGGGAGGCCAAGGCAGGTGGATCACCTGAGGTCGGGAGTTCGAAACCAGACTAACCACCATGGGGAAACCCCATCTCTACTAAAAATACAAAAAAAATTAGCCAGGCGTAGTGGCACATGCCTGTAATCCCAGCTACTCAAGAGGCTGAGGCAGGAGAATTGCTTGAACCCGGGAGACAGAGGCTGCGGTGAGCCAAGATCACGCCATTGCACTCCAGCCTGGGCAACAGGAGCAAAACTCCATCTAAAAAAAAAAAAAAAAAAAAAAGTCCATTTGATTATATTAGCAATGAAATAGTTCCTTATTTATAAATATAGGCATTAATACTATATCTTAATACTCTGAAAAAGAAAAGTAGTATGCCAATTTTCAGTTATTTTTATAAAGCTCCCATGTCCTATATTACATTTAAATTGAAGATGGCAGTATTCATGAGCTTTGGAAATACAGGATAAGATTGGAGTCAAGTCTTCTGACTCTAAAGCTATTTTTCTTCCTAGAGTTGCCACTTCACTTTCTTTATGAACTTTGAAATAACCTCATGAATATCCATATTCAAGCTTCATTATGGGAGAACTGGCTTCACACGTATCCACAAAGATTTCTAATTTAAGTTTAATGACCATAGAATTGGAGATAGGTGTATAACAGGCCTATAACTTTAGCAGCAAGAAATATCATCTGTTAGATCAGAAACTTAGTAACTATAAAGGAATGCAATGATACTGTTACCCACTAAAAAAGGAGATGCTCATAGTAGGAAAAAGAAAATTCTCATTTTGTATCAAGGAGAAAATGAAATAATAAAGTCCTTTGGAATGCACTAAATATAATTTGTAATTCAAGTTCTTTTTGTGGCAACCTGTAAATACAAACTATCAATACATGTAAATAACTAAATTAGTTTTCTATTAATCTGAGGTGGACTTTGCTTGACAATCATATTTTCATTGAAAATGATAGGGCTAACAACAATAGAATGTATTCCCTTGAATTGTCAAAGCTCAGATGGCCTCTCCTCACCATGTCCAAATACACAGGACAAGGATTCCAAGTAGTGAAGAATTTTACCAATAATGAAGAAGTTCTGTAATTAGTGAACATGTATCACAAGAAAATAGGTTAACTTCCTCTGCTTCATCCTTGGAAACACTGTGTTTTCTACCACATTGGCTACTTGGGGAAAAAGAGTCATCATCTTTTTTCCAAGGCACTTTTTCAAGGTATAGTTGAGCATCTACTGGTTCCATATTTCTTAGATCATCTTCATGCCACTGAGGATCATACTCTTTTTTTCTCTTCATTCCCTAGAATTTTCCACGCCTGATCAATTTCAATGAATTTCTGTATACAGTCCTCCACTATTCCTGCTGGCACATCTGTACTTTGTTAATCTGAATGCTGCTTTAATGTAAGTTTTTTATACTTTTGTTTTAGGTTTGACACATTTGGGTGTGCCCCCAAAAATGCTATACCAATTATTTTTTGGCATCAGCTCAAATGCCATTATCCATTGAATAAGAACTGGGCCTTCTCAGATGAGCAAGCTTCATCTAGCAGTCACCAGTGCCCACTCTTTGCCTGCCACTGGCCAGAACTCGAAACCAGCTTCTCCTCTCTGTGGTTTTAATTTGCATTTTCCTAGTGATTAATCCTGTTGAACATCTTTTTATGTGTTTGTTAGCCACTCACATATTTATTGTGTGTGAAACAATTGCTCAAATACCTTTTGCCCATCTTTTTTACCCTCTACCCACAACAATTTGTTTTTGATGTCACAATTTACATATTTTTATATTGTATATTCTTTAACAACTCATCGTAGCTTTATTTATTTTTGATGACTTTTTGACTTTTAACTTTCATAATAGAAATTTATATGATTTATACACCAGCGGTATTATAGTTTTCTGGATCTGGCTACACATTTACCTCTACCAGTGAGTTTTATACTTTCATATATATTCATGATGGTAATTATTGTCCTTTTATTCCCACTTTAAGAACTCTCTTAAGCATTTCTTGTAGGGCAGTACTAGTGGTGATGAATTCCTTCAGCTTTTCCTTATTTGGGAAAGACTTTACTTCTCCTTCATTTCTGAAGGACAGCTTTGCTGGGTATAGTATTCTTGACTGACAGTCTTTTTTTTCCTTTAGCACTTTGAATATATCATCCCATTCTATACTGGCCTGTAAGGTTTCTGCTAAGAAATATACTGATAGTTTAATGTAGGTTCTCTTATATGTGACTTGGTGTTTTCCTCTTGCTGCTTTTAAAATTCTCCCTTTGTCTTTAACTTTTGACAATTTGATTTTGTGTCTTGGAGAGGACCTCTTTGGGCTATATCTATCTGGGAACCTTTGAGCATCATGAATTTGGATGTTCATATCGCTCTGAAAACCTAAGAAGTTTTCAGTAATTATTTTATTAAATAAGTTTTGTGTCCCTTTCTCTGTCTCTTCTCCTGTAACTCCCATAATGCAAATACTTGTTTGCTTAATGGTATCTCATAAGTCCCATAGACTGTCTTCACTGTTTTTCATTCTTTTTTCTTCTCTGACTCAGTGATTTCAAAAGACCTATCTTCAGGTTCACAGATTATTTCTTCTGCTTGATCAAATCTGCTGTTGAAGCTCTCTATTGCAGGGATCCCCAACCCCTGGGCCACAGACCAGTACCAGTCCATGGCCTATTGGGAACCCAGCCACATAGCAGGAGGTGAGTGAGTAGTACGTCCTGAGCTCCACCTCCTGTCAGATCAGCAGGGACATTAGATTCTCATAAGAGTGCAAACCCTATAGTGAACTGCATATGTGAGGGATCTATGAGAATCTAGCCATGCCTGATGATCTGAGGTGGAAGTGTCATCCCAAAGCCATTCCCCCACCACCCAGTCTGTGGAAGAATTCTCTTCCATGAAACTGGTCCCTGGTGTCAAAAAGGTTGGGGACCACTGCTCTCTCGTATGTTTTTTATTTTATCAATTGAATTCTTCAGCTCCGTGATTTCTGTTTGGTTCTTTTTAATGATATCTCTTTGTTGAATTTCTCATTCAGACCATGAATTGTTTTCCTGATTTCATTAAGTTGTCTATTTATATTCCTTTATATCTCACTGAGTCTCCTTAAGATCATTATGTGGAATTCTCTTTCAGAAAACTCATACATTTTCATTTATTTGGGGTCAGTTAGCAGAGAATTATTGTTTTCCCTTGGTAGTATCACTTTTCCTTGCTTTTTCTTATTTCTTGTGTCCCTGCATAGGTGTCTCCACATCTGGTGGTATAATCGGCTCTCTCAAACTTTATAGAGTGGCTTTCAGAGGGGAAGATTTTCATCTGCAGATGGGCCTGGGGCTTTTGGTTGAGCAGGCTCTGGTGGCTTTCATTTCATGTGGGTGAAGGGATGTAGACTCCTTGCAACTTCTTCAGTTGTGATCAATATCAGTGATGAATGCAAGTGCCTCAATGGTCTGGGCTACAGAAGTTTGTGGCCATGATGGTGGCCACATAGGTATTAGGTCAAAGGCGTTAGTGATCCTCCTGTTTTTGTCTTCCCCACGGTTAGGAGTCATAAATGAGGTGATTTCTCTTGGTGTTGGGTCTTACAGGGTACACTGGCAGCTGCAGCAGGACTGGGATCTAATGCACAGGTGCACAGAGCAGCTGTGGAGCCAGGGTCTGGGTTTAGGATCTTGTGAAAATACTGTGGCACCTGGGATGTGATGTACAGTTTTACTTTTGAGGCACAAGTGGATACAGTTCTTCCACTAAGCAAGGGTCTTTGTTCTGAGTTATAGCCCAGATACTTGGGCCCACAAGGCTGGGATGTGGCTGTAGTTTTCACCCCAGGGCAGGAGGGCAGCAATTGCATGGCTCTGGAGAAGAAGACGTACTCCAGAGGCTCAGGCCTTGGAGAGCAGAACATAGCTGTAGTTTGGGATGCAGAATCCATATGACACAGCGGGAGCTTGGCCTTTGGGGGATGAGGTACCACACAGTGGTGACTCTGGGCCCTGGGGTAGTGGGACATGGCAGTAGCCCAGGCTCTGTGAGGCCAGGTGCAGGAGCAGCAAGGATCCAAAAGTGGCAGGCTATCACTATGGCTTATGAATCAGCAGGAAGAAAGCAGCTCAGCAATGACTCCACTCCTCAGAGAGGTGGCGTGCCTCAGCAGCTCACACTATGGGGCTGCAAGTCCAATTCCAGGTAGGCAGGGGATTGTGGCTGCTCAGCCAAGGCTCTGATTCCCTGAGAAACAAGGGCATGCATCTGCTTAGCCCCCAGGGAGTGTGGCTACATGGATCAGTGAAGCCTTTTGATCCCTGGGGGATAGGTCATCATGTCTGCTATGGCACTGGGGAACCCAACTACTCCAGTATGCTGGAGGCCTGAGGTCCACATTGGCTGGGGAACCACTTCAGCTCATCCCTAAAAGTGCACCAGCAACTGGGCTGGGGAAACGGAGAAGCTCCATGGTAGCTTGGCCCTAGGGGTTAGGGCATAGCAGCAGCTCAGCTCAAGGATGGTATACTGCCAGGTGGGCATGTTGCAGTGGCAGCAAAATTGGGCAGGCTGTGCCATCCTCAAGGATGGAGAAGTACAATGGCTACTTGCCCTAGAGCAGGACACACCCCAGCAGTGGCTCCCACTCCAATATGGCACAATGTAGTCACAGCAGGGGGCACAGTGGAGGTTGGGGAAACAGTGTCAGCTCCCTCTCTGGGGGTAACTCAGCATGTGGCCTTGGGAGAGCTCTCTCAGCTGGGCTTGAGCCTGTAAGAGTCTTTGGTAGCAAAGACTGCAGTGTCTGTGGAGGTGACAGAAGCTACTGGGATCCTTTTGCTTATCTTTTCCCTGCAGAAAGGAGTCCCTCTTGGTTCCAAGATGATCCTAACTGAGGAGATTGGGTGGCAGAGGCAAGGTGTTTCCTTCCTTTCCCTATATGACCATCCTGGGTTTCTGTGCTCTGCAAGATTTCTACTGCTTCTTTGCTGTTCTCCAGAGCTCTCCTTCAGTCCTTTTGGTTGAAATATAGGTGTTTATTCATTGTTTTTTGTTTTCCTGGGTGGGGGGGCGGGAAGAGCACTAGGAGCTTGTAGTCAGTCACCTTGTTGACATCACCTTTTTACCCATTTTTTAAATGGGGTTGTCTCTGAGTTATTGAGTTCTGAATATTCTACATTCTAAATACAAAATCTTTTTCAGAAATATGTATTGAAAATACATTCTCTCAATCTGCGGCTTGTTCATTTCCTTAACAGTATCTTTAAAAGAACATAGTTTAATTTCATGAAGTCAAATTTATTAGTTTTAGTTTTATCATTTCTATTTCTTGGTTTTTGTGTCCTAAGAATCTCTGCCTATCCGAAAGTCATGACGATTTTTCTCCTAATTTTTCTGGAGGTTTTATAGTTTTAGCACTTACGTTTAGGTTTATAATCCATTTCGAGTTGACTTTTGTGCATGGCATGAAGTAAAAGTTGAGGTTCATTATTTTCCTTATGAGCATTCAGGCATTCCAGCACCATTTGTTGAAAAGACTAACCTTTCTCCATCAAATTACCTTGACAAATTTGTTGAAAATCAATTGGCCACCTATGTAAGGGAGGATTTCTGGACCCTATTCCATTTCATTGATCTATGTGTCCATATTTATGCCAATGCCATGCCATCTTGATTACTGTAGCTTTATAGTAAGCCTTTCAATCAGGTAGTGTAAGCCCTCCAACACTGTTCTTCTTTTTTAAAGAAAAAATTGTTTTAGCTCTTCTCAGTTCTTCCCATTTTCATAAAAAATTTAGAATACCATCATTAAAAGGTATTTAGGAATGTGGTAAGTTTCACTGTGTTGACTGTAGCAGAAAAAAAGATGAAACTAGATCCAGAGATGAAAACTTAGATGCAAGTTGGAGGTTGGTTAGTTCCGTGCAGTGATGGGGAAAATGGCCTATTACCAGGATGCAGTATTATTCTGTCAGTAAATAACAGTTCTACACAGAGATGTGTTCTCCACGAGCCACCCACTCCCTTTCTTCAGGAGAGGAATGTCTTTCAGATACACATGCCACGCAAGTACATTGTTAATGGTAGAGACAATCAACCTTCAAAGTCCCGCCTCTATTTCACTCCTGTCTTTTACCAAATCTTCTCACCTCTGGGTGAGTTGACCTGGACCACATGGGGGTACTCACAGGTATGTGGAGGGTGGTAATAAAACGTCATGATGGATGAGGAGGTTTGAAAAGGATGAAGCTCTACACCAATATAAGGGGTTGTTATTAATAACACTCTTTATAATATTTGAAAGAGGGTGGGGTGTGTGTGGGACCAAAGCTGTCTTCATGACTCCAAAACTTCAGTCAGTCACATGAAAAGAGCAGTTTACCTTATGTTTGGCATCAGGTGGGTTTCCACTTGTTGAAACTAGGGACTCAGTTTAGGAAAAACAAGAGGGCAGGGTCTGGATCAGGAATTCTGTTAGCACCTTTGTCATTCTTGAGTTAAAGCGTGAAACAACAGTCACCCCTCACCAGCATTCTCCTGTGGTCTGAAGAGTGCCAGAGTCCAGATCAAGCCAGCTAAGAAGAATGTTACCATCAGACCATCCTTATTACATTTACCTTCTCCAGAACGCTGGGTGATCCTGCTGACTATTAGCTGAGAAAATATCGAGGCATGGCTGATAGCATCTCCTCCATATGGAACTGATTCCCATATGAGCAAGTCAGTGTCCCTATGCCTGACTCCTGTGCCTGAGCCCACCTCACCCACACAGACAAGGGAAGCCAGGCTAAAAAGTGGTTGCATGACTCAACTCAGCCATGCCACCTATCAAGACCTTACTGAGAACCCTAGATTAGGCAGCTATGCCGAACATTTATATACTTGGTATCCAGAGACGCCATCGACTCTGAGCACAACATGCCCCACAGTCCCTGAAACACTCCTCTTGCAAAAGTAGTCCTGAAGCTGGTGGGTCCCCATCTACAAGGAAGGGCAGCTTCCCCATCTGTGTCCTTTTTGGGGAGCTTTATCTCACCGAGGCACAGCCATCCTCACTCTCCTCCAGAAGATGTTACTGCTACTGAAATTATTCCAATTTCCTTTATCCCCATGAGCGAGCCAGGAGAAGGCACAGAGGGGGTTTTTGTGGCTCTAGGGGCCATTTCTTTCCATTGCAGAGTTTAACATATTTTAGTATTGTGTGCACTGAAAATAACAAAGGGATAGATTCAAGGGGGGCTGGGCAGGTGGCTTCAAATACAGCCCCTTGTATGGAAAAAGGATCCCGGCTGAATAATGCACCTTCAGCTTCAAAAAAGTATGAAGCGATTTAATTTGTAAAACCAATCAGACTTCAAATAATGAAAATAAAACCAGTTTGAACAATTCTTTCTTATGCTCCCATCCTTTGCTGAACGAAATTAAGATAGGCATATCGCCACTTCACATGCAAGATAAAGCTCTGTTTCACATAAAAGCATCTTTTTCATTTTTTTCAAAGTCTGGATCCTCCTATGTTAATGTTTGAATTATTCCTGAGCTGCAAATTGGAGACCGTGGCATGTCGGTGTATTAACTATGCATTGGAAAACCGGGTGGCAGGTGGGGAACCATCACTTTATTCTCAACCATGTCTTCACATCATACAAACCACATCCCACATCCAGAGCTAACTATGTCCCAGACAAAGAGAAGATGCAGGGACCCAGAGACCAATCAATGTTCAGAAGTAGCAGGACAGAAAATGAAATGGAAAAGCTCCAGCAGGCAGCAAACTTTGCAACAACAAAGGGCATTTTAATGACTATAAGATTTAGCTTGACCCTAGTGCAAGCTGAAATTCAGACAGCTACTTCCTGAAGGGTTAAAGAATCATTGCAGACAGACCAGAACACTAGTTTAAACTTAAAAAAAAAAAAGTTATCCTCTTCCATTGTTGAAGCTGTCATTCTTGCTGAAGCTGTATCTATATAATAAATGCATCCTGAAGAGCAGCAGGAGAAAATCATCAACATTCCACCCATCTTCCCACTGGGCACACCTGGGGACCAGTCACCAAGGGCTGTGGTGTGAGGCTAACTGTAAAGGGACAATTGATCAATAATTTCTCCAAGAGCCCAGGGACTGGGAGAGACTGCCCTACAAGGTTGAGGTAGGACAAGGAGCCTCTTCAGGGTCAAAGGAGTGAAGGCCCAGCCAACATCTTAGCTTCTAAGTCCAGGAAGACTGCAAAGCAGGACACAGATTTTTGCTCACATCTGAATCCTGGAACCATTCCACACTAGAGTAAAACAGAAAGTTCAGTATGAATCAGTGGCCATCCTGTTTCAGACAACTGAAATAAACCCTTGGAACACAGTGCCATGAAGACAGTGAAGAGCCTGGGAACAGGAAAGGATTCCAGGATGCAGCGTCAGGGGAGCCAAGAGCACGAGGGCTGTTGCTGGCCTGAGGACACCTATCACCATGTCTTGAAGCCCCACTAGGAACTGAGGGTAGTGGAAAAAGGATGGAAAGAGAGGAGCATCAGTAACTTACAGACAGGTTTTGCTGGCCCTTTGTGCATATAAGGAGAGAAGGGTGAGGTGAAAAGGGGCCAAGATGACAGTAGCAGCTGCCCAGCCTGACCCAGCACAAGGACAGGGCCTGTAGAAGAGATGGCATTCCAGCCTGTTTACAGGGACCTGTGCTTTACAGCCACTCAACAGATTTGTACTGTTCCAAGCCTGGGAGTAGCTATTTGAGATAGAAATGTGAACAAAAACAGGGATCATCACTAGCACATAGCAGATTCTGAGCACTCAGCAAATAACTGTTGCATAGCCAAATGGTCCCCAATGCTCAAGGACCTACAATGAGAACCTGCAGAAGCAAAAGTCTCCCAGGTACAGGTTCAGAGCTGCCATGTATCCCAGTCAGCACCTCTGTGGTTAGTACGCCTGGAGATCTGTGTACCTTCAACCAGGGAAGTAGCCTCCAGAAAACCTCAGAAGTACCCACACTAGCATACGATTTGGAAACTAGGTGCTGGGGGTAAATAAGGTCCATCCACCTTTATCACTGGAAGCTGGACTTCATGCTTCCTAAAGAAGACACCTCCAAATCAAGGGATAGGACTAAAAAGATGCAACTGGCAGGAGGATATGATTCCTAGATTCCTGAAGGAAAACTCTTTTGTTTAGAGGAACTGGAATCAGCCTGCATGAAATATGATAGTCCTCAATGTGGTACATTTCTCCTTGGAAATTGCAACATGGTATGAAGTGATTGGAGACAGAATGGTCTGTAGTCAGATCGGATGTCTAACCAAATAAAAGAGGTAGGGAGAGTATCAGATAGTGTTCTTTAATTGTGAGCAATGTATATCAGAAGGAAAGAAGGAAGAGAAGGAAGGGAGGGTGGGGGAAAAAGAAAAGAGAAAAAGAAAAGGAAAAAGAAAAGAAAAAGAGGAATTTATCAGAAGGATAAAGTGTAGCTCAGCTAGTCAAAGGTCTTCAGAAAGACAGGAATAAATCGGCCCAAGAACTGCCTTGAGTGACATGAGCTCCCAGGCCATGACCTTGGGGAACAGCTCTGAGGAAAACTGCATTCTACATTCCAAGGCCAGGAGACAGTGTCTGATAGGCCCAGTTCAGCCACATGCTGAAGCTGAGAGGAACAATTTCTGGAATTAGGTGGGGAAAGGTTCCTGAAAGGCAAGAGGGGTCCTCTTATCAAGGAAATAAAAGAACCCCATCACATACGACCCCTTGGTTGCCTGGCACATGAATTCCTGCATATGTAGATTTATGAAAACACACACACACACACACACACACACACACACACTCATACCCCTGTCCAGGCAGCCATATAACTGAAGGGCTTTGGAGGCAGATTGTCAAGGTTTGAATCCTGGCTTGACCAATGCATGACCTTGGGAGAGCTACTTAAACTTTATACGTCTCTTTCCTCATTTGTAAAACAGGTATAATATCCCTACTAAGTGTTGCTGGGAGGGTTAAATAAATAATGCATATGGAATTTTAGCACAGTATCTGGAGTGCCCAATAAGTATTAATTGTGGAGGTTTTCCACATATACTTTTTAAAATCCCCCCAACACCTAACATTGTATTACCATCTCATCTCTTCTCAAAAGGAAACAGCCCCAAACCATTTCTAGTTACTGCATTTAACTTCAAGCCCAAGATCTCTGGATAACATTCATTCCTCCCACCTCAATATTCTACCACCTACAGGCTAAATGGCAAATTTACCCACCACCAACCCACCTTACTAAATGAGGGAGAAGAGAAGAAGAAAAAGAAGGAAAATTTCAAGAGTATAAGATTCAGAAGGCAAGGAGATATCTAGAGAGTCCTGCCCTTTGTATTACCCCACCCCCCAATCCTGAGGAGAAGATGCCAGGTTCTGAAAACACCTGGCTCTGGGTTTGAGAGGAACGAGTCTCTCAAGCGGAAGGGCAGGCTCAGTGGGAAGAGCCCTGAGGACACCTGACACTCTTGACTCTCATTCTGGACTCACCAAACAACCTTCAGACAATTCAGGCAGTTTCATGGCCCCAGAAAACGCAATGTGGCCACCTGCCATCTGGTAGACTGCTTGTCCACTTCTCAGATAGTTGACTAGTAAATTGACTTTGATTGTGGGAGCCTGAGGAGACTGATGTGAGGTTAGCCTGGCTGAAGCAGTCCTTTTTGGACTTGATTTCCCATATATGGACAGACTGAAGGCAGATATTAAAGTCATGTGGGAAGATATAACTGTGCCATTCCTTATCTCTAGGGCAGTGGCCAGAGAGTTCCAAAGTGGAGGAAGTAAAATTTCTCATCTCTCAACTGTGTCCCCTCATCAAGATTCTCTGTATTCTTCTTAAAGAAGAGCCAACTATTTTTCTTCTCACTGTGTCTTATTAAGCCCCTTCTGTGTCAGGCTTCCTGACATGAATGAAAGTGAACTAGACGGGACTCAGGAGACCTCACTTTTATTCCCAGCTGTGTGATCCTGTCAGCACATTGCCCTCTGAGGCCTCGGGTCCCACAGCTGCACGATGATGGGAAGGATGACCTGGTATGCCAGACCCAGCCCAAATCACTCCTGATTCTACACAAGTCTAGAGAACTCACATCCCAGCTGGCCATACCTGGACAACGGTGTCCTTCATCAAGTCCAGCAAAGCTGCTAGACGCTTTCTGGAAGGAAATATGGCCAGGCCCAGATGGTTGATTAAAAACAGAAAGTTCCTGTGATGGCAAACCAGCCATCGAGGAGAGGCATGCAAAGTTAACTGACACATCTGAGCCTCCATTTACTTTGAGATGATTTTTAAATTTCATCTTGGCTAAAGAAACCAGCCCATCTGTCTGGCTTCTGGAGCAATTAGAGAACACAGTAGAACTTGGAAGGCAGAAAGTGAAACAAACAAACAAAAAAGAGTGAGAAATACAACCAAGAATGGGGTGCTTAATGCCTTGGATGTGTCCAAGAGAAGAAGAGAGATGGGAGGTAGACCCTGGGGAATGGATGCAGACTCTGGACCTGACTAGAACATTTTAGGGCCAGATGGCCGCTCTGATGCTGATCTGCTTGAGAAATCCCAGGCAGTCTGTATGTGGGGCAGGCAGAGAACTGGCCCATTTTCCCTTTATAGAATCAGCAGAGAAAAGGGGTAAAGAAACACTGGGCACGATTTAGGGTGGGCACTTGTTTCTTGCCTGATATCGGGGCCGACACTGGAAAGCTCTCTCGGGGAGGTTGTGATCAAGTCATCTGTGTCCATGGAAACTCCAATTATAACCCATTCGTACTGTGGTCTGGACAGGACTCGACTGGACGAGCCCTGGCCTGAAGACAGGGATGGAAAAAAAGCAAGTCATCTACACTCTGGAAAAGATGCAAAACCCTGTCTCAACCCATCTATACTGCAGCCTACATAAGAAACCACATCTCACAGGAGAAGGAGAGTAGGCTTAAGAGGGGAACATCACAGGGAACCAGATGTCAAGAGATACCCCAAGGCCACACAGCAAGCTAGAAACACAAACACTCTAACACATGGTCCAGTTCTCTTTTCATACAGAATCTGGAAAGTGGGAGGGAGGCTTCTTAGAGAGATGATAGGCTGGGAGTTTACACATATGCAGGAAAAAGACTAGGTATTTAGAGCTTGGCTTGGGTGGGGGGCCAAGGGAGTCAGAGGGTCACAGTTATCCTTATACTATGCCCTTGAAAGTAGCAATAAACAAAAAGGGAAAAAAGATAAAGCAGGACAGAGGGGCTGCCGGCCGGCAGTGGGATGCCTACTGAGTCACAGAGCATCCCCCAAGGTGCAAGGAGCTGCTGACCGGAGAGGAAGCAGACAGACACTGCTGGGGTGCTGGCAGCTTTCCTTTCAATCTGGTCAGAGACTTACTCCAAAAGAAATAAGCATTTTCTAATTATCTCTAAAATTGGCATTCCTTCCTCTCCCTTATTCTAAGATTCTAGATACTCAAAAGCTTCACCAGCCCCTTTTTTCCAGAGGGCAGGAGAGGTCCAGCTCAGGCATCATCTGATAAATGCCCACTCCCTCCAGCTGAGGATGGTCCCCAGTGACTCAGGCACAAGCAACCTGTGTGCTTCCCACCGGGCACTTGGGATTGATGGCTCTGTCCTAAGAGTAGGACCCTGCTAAGGTCAATCTAGAGCCAGGTATCTCTATCAGGCAGGCCCCACACAGGCTCTGAGGAGCAGGAAACCTGTTAGGTAGTCTGTGATCACCCAGGGCCCCCGAACTTGTTTACTAGAGTGAGAAGAAGGGGAGGTGTGTGGTGCAGGTACCAACCTGGGCCTGTGTACTGATCCTCACTGGGCCTGCACTGTGGGCCCCGAGGAAGATGGCCCTGCACAGGGGGTCAATCCACAATCAGCAGACCCTAGAACTCCCAGAAGAGACACTGGGCAGAACCAGAGGGCTGGAGACACTCCAGTAGGTGCCATCTAAATTACTCCCTGCACATCTCTGGAGCCTGTCTGTGCCACAGATGCTTTAATTGCCCTTCACTTCCCTAGTCCAGCCCTAGGAACAGGGTGAGAAACTTCCAGAAAGCCCATCCGTCAGCAGGTTTCGTCTCCCCACCCACACCCAGCGAAAACTACCATCTCACCAGTACTGCTGACTACCCCTTGCACAGCCTCCTCCCGGCCTCCCCTTTTCACCCACTTACATCGGTCACACACTTCCCACTGCCCGCCCAGCTCCAGATCCTGCGCTTGCCCACTACCACTGCTTTCCTCTTTGCTTTTCCACAGGTCCAGGCCCTCCGGCAGCAGTGAATTGAGAGCCCAGGCCTGCACGGCCCACAGTGCAGGGGTCCCCGGGCTCTCCATCCCCACTTCCAGTTGGCTACCCCTGATGAAGGGGCCACCTGAGGTGGCTCAGAGTAATATCCAGACCCAGCCAGTGAACAGGGAGATGGATGCTGCCGGCTTTGACTTCTCACTGTGTGTCACTGGTTCCAGGTCCACCAGACCCCTCATGCCACACATGGCTTCTCTATGCTCAAGTCCGTAATTGCATTCCTTCCTGAACAGTTCAAGTTCTGACCCCCACCTAGCATAGTGCTTCAGCCCATGGGAGTTTCTCAGATACTTGTTGAATTCACAAATAAATGGCACTTATCCTCAAGGTAGTTTTCCCCCAAGAAATATATGTGGTACATATCTCTGAACTTTTGTACATAGGAATCAGTCATTCTGTTGTCTTCACTCACATGTAAAAACCAGCTTCATTGGTTATAACACTCTTAGATTCCCAGTATATCTCATGGTGGGTAATCTAGTTTTTCTGACTACATGCTTGCAATGTAGGTAGAATTTTGCCCTCCGTCCTTGAAATTCAAAAATGTTGCCCGACCATCTGAAACCCACTGATCAACATTAACACTCCTATATGTGTTATACCTAGACATTGGGTACCTCCTGATATTCATAATCACATGCACAAAACACCCCCATGTGAAGTATTCTGGCCAAAAATACTGAACCCAAATCAAGGTTCTAGAGCAAACTTCCATTTTCAGGAAATAGAAAAGGCAGAAGAGCTAGTTAAATGACACTATATGGAAGTTAACAGAAAAATCCAGATGGTGGGACATTCTGTAAAACAACTGACTCTATTTCTATAGCATGAAAAAATAATAATAAAAGGAAAGGTGTTCTGTAGATAAAAACAGATTAAAATAACAACTCCATTAGTTATCTATCACTGCATGACAAATTACTCCAAATTTTAGTGCTTAAAACACAACAAACATTTATTAGCTCATGGTTTCGTGTGTCAGGAGCTTGGAAGTAGATTAGCTGAGTCACAGTGGCTTGGGTCTCTCATGAGGTTGCAGTCAAGATGGGAGCTGGGGCTGCGGACTCATTCAAAGGTCTGACCGAGGCTTGGATGCTCTTCCACGTGGGCCCACTCCCATGGCTGGAGCATTGATACTGGTTGTTGGCATGACGCCTCAGTGCCTCCCCATGTGGACGTTTCTGCAGGCTGCTTGAGAGTCCTAATAACATGGCAACTGGGTTCCTCAACAGAGAACTCTCTGAGAGAGCACAAAGTGTAAAGCCAAGTGTCTTCTATATCCTAGCCTTGGAATGCAAATATTGTTACCTCTGCCTTATTCTCTGATAAAAGAAAGTCACTAAATCCAGCCCACATTCAAGGGGAGGGGAAGGAGTCTCCATCCTCTGAAGGAAAGAGTGTCCAAAAATGTGAGAACATCTTAAAACCACCATAGCAAGCAAATGTAACATAGAGACTTTTGTTTGGATCACAACTAAGACAAACCAATTGTAAAGGCATCCTGCAGTCAGGGAAATTATATTATGGATAGGTCTTACACAGTACCAAAGATTATTGTTAATTTTACTAGGTATGATAATAGCATTGTAGCCATATGAGAAAAATGCCCACATTTTTACATATGTGTACAAAATATGTGGAGGTGTTATCTGAGATTTGCTGCAAAATACTCCAGCAAAAATTAAAAGAAAGAAAACCAAGGGAAAGGAGAAAAAGAATGAGAGAAGACAAGAGAATAGATGAAGCAAATGTGACAAAATTTTGATGACTTAAAATCTGGGTGACAGGCACACGATGGGGAGTCATTGCACTAACACTCTACATCTGTGTATGTTTGAAATTTTTCATAATTTGTTTTCAAATGCTAGCAGGCTATAGCTAGTTATGGATCTCATTTCACTTATCTTGCTTGGAGCGTGGTGAGCCCTTTCAATTTGTATACATGTCTCATTTCTCAGCCCAGTGTTTTCTTCTATAATATCTTTATTTCTTCTATTTCTTCTGCTCTGCTCTCTTCAGCAAGTTATCCTTGTGTCAGATCCTGGTTATCCGTGTGTCAGATCTCCACTCTCTGCCTTTCCATGTCTGTCACCTTTTCCCTCCAACTCCTTTGCATTCAGAGGGAGCATCTTGTACGTAAACCCTCACCATCATGGGTCAACAAGTGAGAATGAACAGCGGGCTGTGCAATGCAGGAACTCAAAGAACAGGGGGCCCCATGGGACTGTGCGAGGAGGCTCCTTATCACAAAGTGCCCCTCATGCTCTCCCTCTTCCCAACAGGCCTTGCAGCATTGAAGGAAAGTCCCTCTTCACAAACATCCATTAGAAGGGAGTCCCCTGGCAAGCCCCAGAAGCACCTCATGCCTGACCCATCCCACAACCAACATGAATTTAGAAAAAAAAGGCCGGCCGAGCACAGTGGCTCACGCCTGTAATCCCAACACTTTGGGAGGCTGAGGGAGGCATATCACGAGGTCAGGAGATCAAGACCAGCCTGGCCAACACGGAGAAACCCCGTCTCTAGTAAAAATACAAAAATTAGCTGGGCATGGTGGTGTGTGCCTATTAATTCCAGTTATTCAGGAGGCTGAGGCAGGAAAATCACTTGAACCAGGGAGTCAGAGGTTGCAGTGAGCCGAGATCGTGCCACTGCATTCCAGCCTGGTGACAGAGCGAGACACCATCTAAAAAAACAAACAAAAAACAGGCCACAGCTCATTCCTCACGATGGCTTTTTCTTTTCCTTTGTCATTCCCTTCACCAAAACACTTGCCTGTCCCCAAACAACCTTTGCCATTTTTAATCGCTGCGGCTGCCTTCCTGTTTCTGAGTCATAGTCTGTTAACAAGGGTCTGAGGATTTCTTTGCAACTATAGAAATAGAAAAACATATTTACCAACCTGCTAGCGTGGGTCTATTTTCTCACAAGCAATGCGAGGCCTCTGCAAGCTGAAGAGGGACCTCACGTCTCTATAACAATGTGGATTCTATTGTTATGACCCCTCCATTTGTATGGTCCTAAGCATAAGATAAATGTGTTCCTGAAAACCTGCCCTAGTGCTTCAGCTCTCCTGAAAGAAGGAGAGAGAAAACAAAACTGCATCATGGTAGAGTCGTGAAAACTAGGATTCACTTCTCCACTACCCATTTTCTGACTCAGTAAGACAAGTCTCCAGTCTCTGATGTTGAAATGCAGAGGAAGATGACAGTGGGTAGAAAGGTTTGTTACCTACACTTGACCATCCCTGGCATGGATGCTATCAGGTGACAAGGAGGCAGGATGTGCACAGTGCCTGGAGGATGGAGGGTACCAGGAACCAACTGTGCAGGGCCTTGCAGACCATGCCGAGGAGGCTTCCAAGGAGTATAGGCCTTGGCCTACGGTAAAAGGAAGCCAAGGAGGATGTGTTCAGTTGTATTCCAGAAAAACCTTTCTGTCCACAGTGCAGGGAAGGGACTAGAAGAGGCAGAACTGATGGTAAGAAGGCCTGTTAGAGGTTGTTTTCAAGTCCAGGATACCAGTTATTACTTCAATTCTGGCATTAATTACTTTCATGCACAACCCACTCCCATGGATACCTCTGAATCACAGGCTCTGAAGGAGGGAAGAGAGGCTGCAATTCCCCTAACTTTTCCTGGAATGGTACCTCTTGTCTTCCATTAAAGCAACAGCAGAAGGAACATGAGATTTAAAGCCACAACCTTGATTCTGCTAATCTGAAAAAAAGAAAATTATTTTGAAACACTGGTCCTTTAGTGGTCAGTCATTTGTGACTTGTGACCCTTTTTGCCACCAACCTGGATGCACAAGGAGCAGGTGGCAGCCTCACAGTCCAGACAAGAGACACCACGGGTCTGTGAACCAGGGGTGCACAGTGGAGAGAGAAGTGAGGGAGCAGACATGAGACAAGCTGAGGACGTACAGCCAAAGGCACTGGTGCCTGGGTCCCTGCTGAGCAGCCCCTCAACTGCATTGCAGCCTGCTGGTGTCCAACCTGCAGCATGGCTCCCCAGAACAGCAGGAGACAGGTTTGCAGATGGACTGCAGCCTTGTCAGCGTCAGTCATAGGTCCAGCAATGTGAGAGGCTGGCTGTGGGAGACGTGTGCATTCTAAAGCTGGAGACGTGCCCACAGAGAACAAGGGGATCTTTTTTAAAAAAATGTTTGTGGGTACATAGTAGGTATATATATTTATGGGGTACATGAGATGTTTTAATATAGGCATGCAATGTTAAATACGCACATCATGGAGAACAGGGTATCCAGCCCCTCAAGCATTTATCCTTTGAGTTACAAATAATCCAATTATGTTCTTTAAATTATTTTAAAATGTATAATTAAGTTATTATTGACCATAGTCACCCTATTATGCTATCACATAGTAGGTTTTATTCATTCTTTCTAACTATGTACCATAGTTAGAAAAAAATGGGTATATTTTTTGTACCCATTAACCCTCCCCACCTCCCCTAATCCCCCCACTACCCTTCCCAGCCTCTGGTAACAATCCTTTTACTCTCTATGTCCATGAATTCAATTGTTTTGATTTTTAGATCCCACAAATAAGTGAGAACATGCAACATTTGTCTTTCTGTGCCTGGCTTATTTCACTTAACATATTGATCTCCCATTCCATCCACGTTGTTGCAAATGCAGGATCTCATTCATTTTTACGGCTGAATAGTCCTCCACTGTGTATATGTGCCACATATTCTTTATTCATTTATCTGTTGATGGACACTTAGGCTGCTTCCAAATCTTATCTATTATGAACAGTGCTGCAACAAACATAGGAGTGCACACATCTCTTTGATAGGCTGATTTCCTTTTTTTTTTTTTTTTTTTTGAGACGGAGTCTCACTCTGTCACCCAGGCTAGAGTGCAGTGGTGCGATCTCAGCTCACTACAACCTCTACCTCCCAGGTTCAAGTGATTCTCAGGCCTCAGCCTCCCTAGTAGCTGGGATTACAAGTGACTGCCACTGTGCCCGGCTAATTTTTGTATTTTTAGTAGAGACGGGGTTTCACCAACTTGGCCAGGCTGGTCTCGAACTCCTGACCTCGTGATCCACCTGCCTCAGCCTCCCAAAGTGCTGGGATTACAGGCGTGAGCCACCGCGCCCGGCCTGATTTCCTTTCTTTTGGGTATATGCCCGGTAATGAACATGGGGATTTTACTGTGTGCAGGAAGGAGGGGCTGAGGACACCCTTGAGGCCTCCCCAGCAGTGCCTGTTTCTCCGGGCTCAGGGTTATCAGGTAGCTCTTGGGACGTGCTTGGACCTGTCTCTGGTTCAATTAAGTAGAAACATTCCATCAGCATCCTAGCCAGCCTGTCTTCATCCGTGGCTCCCACCAAGCCAGATGTAAAGAATCGCTGGACTTCTACCTCCCAACATCACTCTCTCTGTCCTTCACAATATGCAGTCCCAGAGCTCAGAGACTGACTGGATTACAGCCTTCCTAATTCAATTTCCTTGGAGTTTTCTCTCTGAGGAGCTCAGTGCTCTGAACTGTGAACTTACCAAGTTTTGCTTGTTTGTGTGTCTGTGTTTTTATAAGAGCATTTCATAACTCAGACCTCAGTCTCCACTTGTGAAGAGTGTAGAGCAGGACGTGGTCTGAGCCTTTTCCCTCTCCTCCTGCAACCTGAACAGGCCTGGCCAAGGCCACGTATATGATTCAGCACCTAAGGATGGACCACATGAATGAGCCTGTGTACTTGAACAGGCTCCAGATCCCCTCCCCTGCATGCACCACCCCACTCTGCTTGGCCATGGCAGTGGACACTAGAGTGGCTCTCCTTCTGACCCAAAGAACTTCTGTGGCCTCTCTAGGTAGTAACTCAGGCCCTGATGCTGTCTTACGGCTGCCCCTTGCTTGCCACCTCGTTTATCTTGGGGGAGGTAGTACACTTCCCCTAAGAAAGGATCAAGTTTTCAGGTGGGGCTGAGAGATGACGGGAGCAAGTGACCACAACATGGACAGCCAGAAAGACCCCAGAGTTCTAAGCATTGCGTGTAGGAGTCAGGGATGCCATTCTGGGCCCAGAGCTGCTGAAAAATGGAGATTTTACTTCAACAAGGCACCAGAGCCAAGGCTGGGGCCCCACAGACCTAACCCACACTTCCTCCTCATTCCTACTCTCACTCTTTCCATCCAGAACTTTGTAGGGGTCCTTGGTTGGGGGCTGCACAGGTTGCTGCTGTGGGCCTTACTAGGCTGGGGTTTACTGATCAATTGCCTTGAGCCAGTGCCACCCCCTCATGGAAGCAGCTGTGCCCCTCAGAGCCCACAGCTGCCAGGCAACAGGATGGCTACACAGCTGCCTACAAAGCACCTATGATTTTTTTTACTGAGCACCAAATCCAAATTCCTATTAGACTCAACTCTCAATTACACAGAAATACTCTAACCCAGAGGGAGAACCTCAAATAATCACAAACTGCTGATGATCCAAAAACCTGCCACACAGAGCCTAAGAAACCAATGAGGGCTTTGATTTTTCTTTTTCTTTTTTTTTTTTTTTAACACTAAGTGGTTTTGTGATTGAGCAGGCCTTGTGCTGTCATCAAAGTGAGCCCGCCAGGAGGCACCACGTAGGGAGTCGCAGGCGAGGAACAGCTACAAAGGAACCCACTGCCAGCAGAACATCAAGGCTCTGCCCAACTGGGTCTTTGGGAAAATCTGTGTTTATCTCACCCAATCAGAGGGAGAGTCAGATCTGAACTTCACCCACCCTGACAGGAGAATTTCTGAGATGAGTAGAAATCATGCAACTGGGTCTTTCTCCATCATTAAGCCAGCCATCCCACAGCGTAACCTAGGAGCCCGCCTAAATCTTCAAGGGTCCTCAGGAAAGGCCTAGGCCCTCGGAGGAAAAGCTCATGTTTACTGAGCACCAACCACGTCCCAGGCACTGTGCTAAACACGTTGCATACACAATCTCCTTTAATACACGATCTCCTTTAATCTTTACAATAATACCTTCCTTCTGTGGAGAAGGTACAAATTTGCTGCACAAATGAAGAAACTCAGGCTCAGAGAGGTTAAGTAGCCCACCAAAGAGCTCCCAGCTAGTAAGGAGGAGAACTGAGATCATAATGAAACATAAGCTCTGTCTTTTTTTTTTTTTTTTTGACAGTGTCTTGCTTTATCACCCAGACAGGAGTGCAATGGTACAAACACAACTCACTGTGCCCTCAATCTCCCAGGCTCAAGCAATCCCACCACCTCAGCCCTGCAAGTAGCAAGGACCACAAGGGTGCCTGACTAAATTTTGTATTTTTTGTAGAGACAGGGTTTTGCCATGTTGCCCAGGCTGGTCTCAAGAGTCGTGCACTCAAGCAATCTACCCACCTTGGCCTCCCAAAGTGCTGGGATTACAGGCATGCACCACCACACCCAGTCCGAAACATAAGCTCTTAAGTTCTAAGTGATACCCCCTTAGACAGGTGGAAGACAGTTGTTTCAAGTTCCTTACACCTGGGATTGACACATCAAACTCTAAGAGTGGGGCAGGCATTCTCTCCTATAAGCACATGTCTTAAGGCCTGCCCCTGGCCCCACATCTAATCCATAAAGCAATCCAGGCCCATTTTGTTAATCCCTCGATCTTGATATTAAAATACATATGACACTCAAACCCATACCCCCAGCCTGGCCCAGATAGTGTGTGCCAACCCGCCCCCACTCCTCACCGCAGGCCACGTGTTGTTGACCTGCTGATTGAAATAATGCAGTTAGGGGATACAGAAAATCCATTCCACGTGGTGCCATCTGCATTCTCTTCTGACAGCTAATTTGATTGGTGCTCTGTAATCAATAAAGCACTCACGCAGCAGCCAGATCATTCACCTCGATTTTCTCTACACCATTTATAAGAACACTCCCTCTCCTGCATCTGCCAGTGGCCAGGGGCAGGTGGCAAGCCTCTGAAAAGCAAGCTCATGAAATGGTGGAGAATGGACTAAAGGTGTGTTGGTGCTGGATCCACAGGGCCATTTCCTACTTCTGGGTGGCTGTTCTTCTTGGCTGGAAGCAACGGCATCCACCCTGGTAGATGCCAGCCTAGAAGGGTTAGGTAGCCCCGTGCAGGACCATCTGGGCAGAATCTGAATCCTAATCTTTCCTTTTATGGGAGAGTTTGAAGTCAGCCTCTGGATGGATGGATGGATGGATGGATGGATGGATGGATGGATGGATGGGAGGGTGAATGGATGAATGAATTGATGGGCAGGTGGGTATATTGCAAGCATATGAAACACCAAAGGAGAGGAAAAGAGAGCAAGGGTAACCAGGCAAAAAAGAGAATGGGTTGGCATAACTAGAATGAATAGAAGACACCCCCACCAACAACTGCTAATAGGTTTCCAGACACGCCTATGCCGATGACACAATCCTGGTCAACCAAGTGTCTTAAACCATATTCCCGGAAGCAGAACCTAAGGCAGGGATTTGGATTTATGTGATTTACTGAGCAAATATTATCAAGAAAGGGGGATGAAAGAGCAAGATGGGTAGAACAAGGGCATGGTTGCAGCTGGAGTCTGGCTGCAGCCAACTCTGTGGCATGCTCTGAAGCACAAACTGCCCCTCAAGGCCAGCCCCACCTTGAGGAAAGTGGCCTGGCCTTTTGTGCCTTCTTGTTATTCAGTCACTGGCTATGGACTGTCTCCCCATGCAAGAGTGCAGGAAGTGGGAAAACTTTCTCGGCAGAGGGTGATTCCTAGAGAACCGCAGCCTGTGAGCAGCAACCACCCATAGCAGCCAGGGAATGGGAGCGGGGGCAAGAAAAGTGGCCAAGACAAGACCAAGAGCATCCACTACATCACACAATGAACAGCAAGAGCCAGAAAGCCCTAAGAGAACACAGAGGCCTCTCTGCCCAAGTGGGAAACATGAGGCTCAAGGTTGTCACAGTAAAACTCATGTATCCACACTCCCCGCACTGTGCTGTGGCCTGAGGCACTTCCTTTGTCCACAGGCCATGCACTCAAAAGCTAACACAGAATGGCACAAGGAGTCAGTGGGGCCTCTCCCTGCCAGCTCTCATGACCGAGGGCAGTGTAAAACATGGTTTAGGAGATGTTTCTATCCTCAAGAAGACATTCAGCACCAGGCTTCAGAACTCAGATTGGTTTCTCACCACTTTGAAAGACTGCATGACTCTTCACCCACTAGAGGCATCACCTCCCCAGGACAAACAGCCCTCCATCATGAAGGACCAACATTGCATGAACTGGTGCTTGGCCCCACCAGAGGGAAATGCAAACGTGGCATTTAGCCCATATGGCTTTCTTGCATGGGGTCACTACATCAGTGCCATGGACCCCTGCACCCTCTTACCCTTGGCGGGTCCACATGGTGACACAGCAGCTCATTAATTTGAACACAAACATAGTCAATCATCCTGATGGTTGGCCACATGATGCCAAGAAACTAGCAGGGCCGCCCTGTGGAGTATGCTGAGCAGACTGACATGTGGCCAGGTACACCCAGCCACCATCAAAAGTGTCATCTCATGCCCCCAAACCCCAGCTTCCCAAAGCCCTGATGGCATCATTGACACTGGCTAAGCACAGACATTTACAACCACAAGGAAGATGTATACAGAGAGAGAAAAAAATCAATGTCCTTCAAATTAAAAGGGAGGTGATATATAAGGAAACAAAAGCTATTTTCAAGATTGGTGACAGAGACACCTACATAACTGGAGGAAGTGAAAGCTCAGATGTAACTGTCACTGGGCATCCTTTCAGCAGTAACACCAAGTTGGTAATACAGAGCAGTATACTGACGTATGTGGGTACCTGTTATCCCTCAACCATGAAAGGTCCTCAGCTCTCGGAGGGCTGACCCTAAGGAGACAGAGAGGTGGAAAGGACACCGTGGCAAAACCAGATAATAGGCAGAACAAGCTACTGAAAATTAAACTGTTTCCTCCTCTGGAGGCTGAGGAGGTGTGAGGGGGTTAGTGCTTTCATCTGATCCTATGAACTGGAGACCCATGTGGGCTCTGTGGTGTCCCTGAAGGAACAAGGAGCATAGCAGGCTGGGGGTGTTCAGGCAGAGTGCCTGCCTGAATGACAGGAGCGCGCGGTGGAGATCAAAGTCCCCGGACTGCCTGGTGACGTCTTTCAGGCAGATCTACCGTCATCCCGCCGGAAAGTCATCCCCGGGTGTGACTGTTTGTGGCTTTTCAATTCTCTGAGATTAGCAAAGAAAATATTTGAATATTTCTTTCATTTAGGGGAAAAACAAGAGCCTATCAAAGCAATCATCTCTCCTAGGAAGAAATATACCAGGGAAAAAAATTCCTTCTGCCTCTCAGGAGAAAAAAATCTAAGTACAGCTCAGACTCAGGGGGCCCTGGGCTGTTGTTGAAGGTGGGAAAGACCTGAGAGACTGCAGAGTCCAAGCTCTCATTTCGTAAGTGAGGCAGCTGAGACTAGGAGAAGGCAAAGACCCAAGGTCTTAAGGTGTATTAACGACAAGAACAGACCTGGAACCCAGGAATTTGGACAGCATTTCTTGAGAAAAACCTGTAAAAATATTCAAACTGTTTGTCATTGGAAAATCCTCACCTTGCAATATGTATAACATAGTGGTTCTGGTACGGTACCTTTAAATGCATGGATTTGGAGTCACAGACCAGGGGCTGAACTGCTGGTTCTACTGTTTGCTGCCTTTGTGACTCTAGGCAAATCCATTCACTTCTCTGTACCTTGGTTTCTCTACCTGTACGAAAAGATTGATGATGATGGAAGATAACAATTTCAGGGATTTGTGCAAAAACTAAATAATGCAATTCACATGAAGTGATTAACATATTGTCTTCTCTAAGATCTAATGGTAAATTCTCAAATAAATGGTAGCCACTGCTATTTAGGAACCTAAGCTCTTTTCATTATAATTATCTGTAAACAAGATACTAGCAGGCAAAGCTATGGGTAAACTCAGCCATGTCTTTTTTGTGATGAATATTCATTGCCTGCCTTTCTGAATCTAACCCGCTTTAACAGCTCCTGATTTCCATTTGGTTCCCATACCCCAAAGATGGAGCTTACGAGCTCCTTCTGTCCACCAGCAATTGGTTCAGGAATAGTCAGGTGACCCCAGCCAGTCCAGTCAAAGTGAATCTCAGGGACTGCTGGGAAAATTGAGATATAAATGTTTCTACTCCCTGCCAGACATAGAGGAAGAAGCCCACGGCCCTAGGAGTGGCTGGCAGCCAGCGGAGGCCCATCTAGGAAAGAAACTGTCTTTGGTGACATCATTCAGTTCCTGGATCAGTCCTCACCTGAACTTACATCTGGACTTTTTTATTCACTGAACCAGCACATTTCCTTCATGCTTTAAAGCCAGTTTGATTGGGAGGAGGGAGGGGAGTCACCTGCAACCCAAAGATTCATAACCATCATGATGATCTTAAATGCCAAAGCCACATCTTCCCCTTTTCTAAGTTGGAACTTCTGTAAGCACCGTTGAAACTACTGTGTTTATTAAAAACAAGCCTCATGGAATCCACTCGTTCCTCTAAGACCCCAGTCAGGACCATGATTCTGTGGTTTCTAGTCCTTGCGTCAGGGATGAGCCCAGCTCCTGCTGTGTGATAAGCGCCCCATGTAATCCAGGCTCTGTGATTCCGTAGCCCACAGCCCCCGCTGTGCCGCATGGTGCTGCAGACAAGGCTGTCACTAGGCACCACGACATCCCTTTGTAGGTCCTGCCCTGGTACAGAGTGTGTGGGCGATGACACCATTGAGCAGAGGCAGCTGTGACTAAACTCATCTCTTTGCTCCGGTGGAAATCAAAGCTCTGTCTGCTCACCCTTCTTCCCTGGAAGCATAATATTACACCACCCAGGACAAAAAGCCATATCATCAGCTTTACACATTTTCCTCCATCTGTATCCCCCTTTCTGCCATTCAGGTTGAATGCAAGCAGGCATGCACCGGACTAAGATGCACCCTTCCTGCTCACTGAAGTGTCGGTGGGACGTGGGAACTCGGAACAATTTCCTTAGAGTATTTTAAAGATTCCACTTGGGTTTCCATGGTGATTTTACAGAGCCAACACTCAGCAAGTGTTTGCTGGATTGAATGTATTGAAAAGTAAAGTGAATTGGATACTCCCATACCTGGTCTGCATCACCATAGAAAACTACCTGGTCCATCAAAGGGACAGGCTGGGAGTTGGAGGCAAGGAACTGCTATCAGCCATGGGATCAAGGCTGTTTGTTTTCAGGAATGAGGAGCCGGATCTGGCCTTCTTCCCGTCTGTGCCAGGAAGATGACATCCTGTCAGAAACCAAGGGTGCTTATTTTAGAAACAAAAACCTATTTTTAAAAAGAGACACTCACTGCTAGCCCATCCTGCCATGAGCAGAAAGGTTTCCAGAGTGAGGGCACTTGCTCCTCAGCACAGGCAAAGCCCTTTCAATGGAAATACGCCAAGGGCCTTCTATGGACCCAGCTTCCCTTCCCACTGGATGATCCTCAAGCTTTGCCTTTATTGGAAAATGTTTTAGACCCAGATTAGAATTTAACAGGCAAAACAGCTGAATAAGGGCAAAAGTGAAAAGCCACCAGCTCTAGCAGGGAATCAATAGCACATAATTCAATAAGCACATAAGAAGTCAGCCACAGAAGCTGCTGGTGGGGGGTAGAGGGCTGTGTAAAATTTATAAATCCACACATAGTGTATATATAGATTAATGTTCTTTTAGCCAGAGACCCAAATAGACACAAATGTTGCCTTCCCTAAGCGGGCCAAGTATAGCAGGTGGGCTGAATTGCAAATGAACTAGATCCTTGGCAGAAAAGTGGAATTATACAGGGATTCCAGGTTGCCCTTTGACCTCTTGGCCTCATCAGACTCATTCATAAAAACTTTGCCCAGGGCCAGAGCTGCCTGGTAGATTCATCCACAAACCAACTTCCATTCCATTTGCTAAAACTGCCACTTGTCAGCTTTGTTAAAACTACGAACTGTCATTTTGTCAATAGGTACAGCCCATTTCTGAGGTTAGATCGATTCCAGAACAAAGTTTTGAGTGACAACATTACCCCTGCAGGGGTTCCAGGAGCTTTTGCTTTTGCGTCCCCCTCACGTTAATGACAAACAAGTTCCCCGTGATGGATATACCTGCAATTAATATTGAAGGGACAGTTAATGATTTCAAGGCACCACGATACAGGCCTCATATTTCAAATTTAAAACTCTCCTTTCAAAGAAGGACTCATTTTCAAAGCCTAGAAATGAATGCTAATAAATTAGGCAAAACAAGTTTTTTAACGCCTGAGAAAATAAAACAAAGAAAATTAATATTAAGGACTCCACTCAGTTGAGACAGCCCTATTATCCTTGAAAACCTCACAATGAGGCTTTGTCCTAGAGGATGTCTTGTCACCATGTTTCAAAAGATTTGAGATCTGCAAATCATGGATTCAAAAGCAAACAATATATTACTCTGAAGATCACATCAGTTAGCAAGCACACTTTAGTACGTGTGTGATTCTCTTTCTCTTTTTTAGCCTAGTGGAGATTATAAACAAAAGTTCATGAAACTACGTGGTCCTGTCCTTCTCTCAGATGGGCATGAGCAGACAGCTATTTCTACATTTCTTAGGAAGGAAAACTGAAAACTTACAAAGCAAAAAAAAATGTACTTTATATCTGAATCATGTAAATCAGTTTGTCTTCCGAATCTGGAAAAGTGCTTTCCAGAAATAGTGAGCAGAAAGGTTTCCAGAGTGAGGGGACTCACTCTGGATAGAAAAAATAATTTTTTCTCAGACAGAAAAAATAATTTCTGGCTCAGAAAGCCAGACAAACTGCTCACAATGACCAAATGAAACACCAATTACAAGCTAAATGAACAAGAACCAGAATAGACAGAAACTGGTATTGCAAAAAAGACATTGCCACTATACAAAAAAAGCGATTCCATTTTCACCAAGAAAGCAAAGAGAAACTGGAAAGACATTTAGGTCTATCCTAATTGTCTAAATGTTTTTGCCTAAAACAGCAAATCTAACCATTGAAAATAACAGTAGCCAATCATTGCCCACTGCTAAACTGCCTGGTTTAGCTCTGAGAATACCGGGCAGATGAGAGAATACTCATTCAGGATATTTATCCAGAGGGATGAAGTAACAAGCATACTTAAGTATGCTTGCTAACTGGCCCAGGCATCCTGACGGGCTTGGAGGAAATGCCCCCAATGACTCCTCCTGGCCACCAGGGGCACTGTGAGGGGAGATGAGAAGCTTCTCTTCGGCCATAGAGCACCCAGCCTAGAGGCCATGGCTGATGGCCTCATGCCACCCCGCCTGTTGTTTCTATTGCTGTAAGGTGGACTTTCTCCTGCAGGCCTACTTTGGTGCCTGGGACCTCCTGCCCTTTGCAGCAGTGGGTACAGTGAAGGCAGGGCTGAGAAACCAAGGGCACAGGGGCAGATCAATGCACTAAATTTGCCAAGGAAATTATTCTTAATTAAAAAATTTAAGTTTTCCTTCCTAACTTCAGCTAGCTTTGGCAGGCCTGTGGAAGCTAAAGTACTACCCCAGCGAACCCAAATCCAGTGATTCTATCAGAGCTGTGGCACCCGGTAATTTAGTGACCCTTTATTGAAATGCTAATCAATCCTGATGGCAAATCCCATAACCCAAAGTAAGAACTGTTAGTAGCAACCTCTCATTGTACAGAGACCTCGGGTTCTCCCAGATTCAATGCTCACAAAAAATTGGCTCAGCCTACCCACCCCAGCTAGAAGTATGAATCCAACATGAGGCTCCCAAAGTCTATTATTGCCAATTAAAAAAACAGGTTAAGAGAGTATGTAAACCAAACTAGATTATGTAATCAGGCTCTAATAAGATCAGCGATTAGAGAATGAATCTGGGTTAATTTTCTTTTTATTTTATTAGCACCTAAAGAGCTGCTGGGAAACTTCTCTGTGTCCTTGGTTGTCTCCTCCCTCTTCTCCCTATCTTCTGACCTCACCTACGTCCTGAGGGCAGCTGGGAGTGGGGCTGGTGTTGGACTGGCTCTGGAGGATGGTTTTAGACAGTGATCCGGTGGGTGATGGGTGGGGATCAAATGGCTGATATACTCAGTTTTGAAAACCCAAACCCAGGCTGGGAACAGTGGCTCACGCCTGTAATCCTAGCACTGTGGGAGGCTGAGGCAGGCAGATCACAAGGTCAAGAGATCGAGACCATCCTGGCCAACATGGTGAAACCCTGTCTCTACTAAAATACAAACATCAGCTGGGCGTGGTGGCACGTGCCTGTAGTCCCAGCTACTCGAGAGGCTGAGGCAGGAGAATCGCTTGAACCCAGGAGGCAGAGGTTGCAGTGAGCCGAGATCATGCCACTGCACTCCAGCCTGGCGACAGAACGAGACTCCGTCTCAAAAAAAGAAGAAGAAAAAAAAAAAGCCCAAACCCTTCTTCAACCAACTGCTCCCTGCCCTTGTGAAGTCGCTGGGAGGAATTTAAGCATAGAGAGGCCAGGTGTGGTGGCTCACATCTGTAATCCCAGCACTTTGGGAGGCCAAGGCAGGTGGATTACTTGAGGTCAGGAGTTCAAGACCAGCCTGGCTAACATGGTGAAACCCTATCTCTACTAAAAATACAAAAAATTAGCTGGGCTTGGTGGTGTATCCCTGTAATCCCAGCTACTCTGGAGGCTGAGGCAGGAGAATTGCATGAACCTGGGAGGCAGAGGTTGCAGTAAGCCGAGATGGTGCCACTGCACTCCGGCCTGGGTGACAGAGCGAGACTCCATCTCACACACACACACACAAAATAAGACAAAAGAGAGTTCCTTAATTGCTAACTGGTGATTTGCAACCCCTCCCCACAACCTGCTCAGGGAGCTGGGCAGACTGGCTAGATTGGGAGGTTTTTGCTCTCGGCTGGAGGCAGCAGAGTCAGCCCTGAAGTGTTTCTTCTGAAATACAGGCACACTCCACATCGTGACTTGACCCAGTCAGGCCTTCCTAAGGTGGGGGCAGCAGCCCCAACCCCTTCTACTCAAGCATTTGGAAGGGAAGAGAAGGCAGAAAGAGAGAGAGAGCGTTGAGAATAGAAGCGAGAGAATTCCAAGAGCAGCTCTCTCATAACAGTCAGGGCCAGAGACACAAAGCCCAGAGATGCAAACCTAGGGGGATTTGGGTAAAGAGCAGATGCATGAAACTATGAACATATACCCACCCTCTCAAGGATAGGACAATTGGTGCCTCGGGCAGGAGGACATGCAGGTCAGAGGCAGAGGAAGCTCTCTGGGAGTGGGTTGGTTGTGGGTAGATAATAGGTTAGAAGAGTTGATCTTAACCAGTTAGTGCTCAGACAGAAGCCACTGACTGGGCTTTGAATCCCTTAAGGAATGCAGTGATGAATGAACATCAGAGAAGTGGCACTGGGAACCGGGGACAGGGGTACAGTTTAGGGAAGTAGCAAATGAGAAGCCAAAGTGGATGGAGTTAAGGCATGGGTACACTTTCTTGGAGGGATTCAGAAAGCATAGACTTCTGAGTGACCAGGCTTCACTCTGAGACCAGCCTGAGGGTTTCCAGCCAGTGCCACCAACCAGCCTATTATTTTGTATGAATCAGAAAATATGATGCCCCTAGGCAGATACAGCCCCAAGGGCACACAGTTGCTATTGCAGTGAAGACTGGATTTCAGCCATTTGCTCCCGCAGCTGAACCCCTTTGGGCAGTGCACAACCTGTTCAAGAGTCCAGCTGTTCAGTGAAATAACAGCCATGGGCTGAAAGCAAGAACCAAGGCCCACACACATGTTGCTGACACCTAATAACATGTTCACATTTTGCCCTTTCCAAAGCCTCCCACACCCTTATCTCCTATGGAAGGGATAAAGCAGGGATTACTGGCCTGTTTCACTGAAGAGGGGACAGAGCTGGAACCAGCCTTGTAGCATGTATCTGGCAGTCAAGCTCTTCCCTCCCACGATCACTGCCACCCTTCTCAGTCCTGTTGTGAGGTGGAGGTGTCAGAAATAAAAGCATCGCATCATCACTGAATCACCCTGAGCCTTAGAAATGACTTGAGTAGGGTTTAGGGCAGAAATGTTTAAGCCAGGTATTATAACAGCTCAAGTGACATTGTGAAAATCTCATAAGAAAATTTTTTTAATCCACTTCCTTCTTAAGTTAAATGTGTTCTGCAGAGGGGAACAGGCCACAGAATCCTCTTCTCTCCAGGGGGCTCCCAATCCAGATCTGTAGGAATTCACTCCACCATGGTGTGAGCTGACTAAAGGTTAATGGGAGGGGTGAGCTGGGGATGGGAGATGGATAAAATCATATTTTGAGCCAAAAAACAAGTCAGAGTTAGGTGACCTTTTCACAAAGTGGCACCAAGAGAGGACAATACTGGAAGGTGCAGGACCCAGAGGGACCCTAAGACATCATTTTTCTGGTAGGCAACCTGACCTACTATCTACGAAATCCAGGGCAAGTGCTTGCTCCATGAAGTAATTATTCAAAAAAGCCCAAAGCAGTGGTGAATTAAAGCAAAATGTTGGCAGAAGGTGCTTTTTGGAGAATCACTGCACACTTTCTGTGCCCATTTCCTCACTGCCCTGGCCTCTGAGGACATCTGCCATTTATGAAACAAAGAGATGTTCTGACTCCCAGCTTCCCTCCCTCCCATCACAGCCCAGGCCCCCCAGGGTGTGGCCCCAAAAGTGACAACCAGAGGATTGGGACCAGCAGGAGCATCACTGTGGGTGAGGGCAGACGTGCCTCTGAATCACAGGCTCGGGTCAGGGCCCGTGAGGAGAGAGGAGCGCGAGGGAAAACAAGTCCCTAGAGTGGGTACGAGAAGCCCACCTCCAGGGGCCCAAAGGAGCCCAGCCACCTCCCTGTCCCGGCTCCTAACATGGCCATTGGCCTTAGGGATTCGTCTACTAAAACACCCCCAGATGTGGGATCCACTGCCGGGCACAGGGTGGGCCTCAATAATGGTCACCCCTATGATTAGTCCTGGAAGCTCTCCCTCCATGGCTGCAGGGCTGGGGCACAAAACACCCCTGCCCTCTGCCTGCCACACGTGACCACTGATCTATGCTGACCAAGGTCAGAAGTCTACAGCCCTGAGAACGCATCCCTCCCTCTGCCCACTGAGCAGCCTCCCCCACCCAGTACTCCAGTGGGCCACTCTGCACTTCCACTGCAGAAAATAATTTGGATGTCTTCACCCTCCCTGTCCCCCCAGCTTGACTCTTATCAAGGCCCTCCCATCCTTCGCCACCCTACGTGCACCCCACCCACCTCTGCATGAAGCTTCTTCTGACCCAGCTCCCTCTCCCCCCAGCCCTCAGGGTTCTCCCCTACTCAGAAGCCCTACCTGCCAGTCATGCCTGTCCCAAAGGCCCCCAAGCAAGAGTTCTCACTCCATGCTTCTTCGACTCCAAGAAGACCCCAGGAAACAGGACACAGGCCCTTGCTTCTCACTGAGAGTTTGGCAGGCCTTTCGGGCTAAGAACAAGACATTCTGGAAGAAAATGTCACAGAAGGCAGTGCACGTTCATCAAAGTCAATACACAGTGTATTTCAGCACCATTTGTCATTCCAGTGGCCTAGTTATCAACTTCCCATCTTGTAAATATATTCCTCTGGAAGTAAGAACTGTTTCTTTTTGTTATCTAAGGAAATTGTGAAATACTAGTGTTCAATGGAAGAGTTGTCAAATCTGGCTTTGGAGTGCCCCATATAGCAGGAATTAAATGTTTTCTTCATCTAGCCATATTGAACAGCCAAGATTGCCATGGCCAGTCATTAGAGAGACAGATGCTCCCACGATCGGTGGGGCGTCTGCAGCAAGAGGCGCAAATTCCGGTAGCAGATGGAGGGGGAGGGAGCACGGATAATCAAAAACAAACTGGAATTATTGACTGTCTGAGAGGTGTCGGGCAAAATAGACTGCACCTAGAATAAATAGTCTTTTTACAAAATGCTTTTGGGAGGTGCAACAGCAATTTCTTCTTTCTCTGCCCAAAGCTGTCTGCCAGAGGGGCACAGACCAACTGTTTCTGATGAAGGCTTTTTGGAGTCATGGGTGGGTTTTGGATCTTTATCTTACTGAGTCTGATAAATCAGTTGCTAATGGATCAGACAAAGGAAGACTCACTGGCAGGTCAGCAACATCATCCCTTCTCCACCGTCTCTGCTGCTAATGGAAGCTGGATGGCAAAGGCTGCCAGAACGCTGGCAGGAATCGTGCAAGCCCCGCCCTTCCAGGCACACTGGAGATGCTGTCCACCTGAGATGCTAAGCCATAGAAGGTGCTGAAAGGGCAACCAAAAACCTAGACAGGCGAAGGGATTGGGCCTGCCTTTGCCCAACCTGCTCAAAACACTCTGTCAGGACTGGATCCTTGGTTGTGGGCCTCATTTTGGGTAGAATCTTAAAAACCAAAGGAGTTATCTATCTCCAGCTTCAAAGAGCGAAGTCAGCAGCTTATGATTAAGCCAGCACTATGGGCCCCTGGCTCAGACCCCTGGGAGTGAGAGAGAGGGCAGCAAAGGCAACGGGCACTATGGCTGAGCCTATAGGTTTTCCCAGTAACTGCCTGGCCACAATCCCCCTCTCATAAGGTCAGGAGTTTGAGACCAGCCTGGCCAACATGGTGAAACCCCGTCTCTACTAAAAATACAAAAGCTAGCCAGTTGTGGTGGCGGGTGCCTGTAATCTCAGCCACTTGGGAGGCTGAGAATCACTTGAACCCGGGAGGCAGAGGTTGCAGTGATCTAAGATTGCGCCACTGTACTCCAGCCTAGGCGACAGAGCGAGGCTCTGTCTCAAATAAAATAAAATAAAATTAAATTAAATTAAATTAAATTAAAGGGCTTCCTTTCCTAGCATTCGTGGAAAATAACTGAGATGTGGAATTCTGAAAGTCCTCTTCCACTGCCTATATAACAGTGATCATTTGTCACTGTGCAGGGGTCATAGGGGGCAGGGGGGTCAAGGGTCAGTGCTGCCAGCACAGACACCCCAGAATCTCACACAGAGAAAAGCTACCACAGCCTGTTACTGGTCGACCAGCTCTCTCCCCTTCTAATGAGGTCAAGTTGCAGTTATTTTCTTGCGCTCTGAGCCCCACACTTTCTTTCTTCATGTGAATGTGGATTTTCAAGAAAGAAAAGAAAAAACAAGACCTCTTTGTGATTCTCATACTATTTTGATTCTAAGTATAATGGTTGTTATGAAATAACCCCTTTAAAAGAAAACTACACCACAATGAACCAGCTACCCTTATATAATCAGAAAATGTAAATATGTTATAACAACAAAAAGAAAAAGTCTTTTTGTGGTCAAGACCAAAGTTACCTGTATGCATTATTCACAATAAAGGCAAACCAGACTTGCTCCCAGGCCCACAAACTGAAGGGGCAGCCTTCTCCTCTGCTCCCTGCTCTGCATCTTGCAAACAGGGAAATGAGATCTGGAGGGTTCTTTTGGCTCCTTATAACCAGAAAATGAAAATTGGACCCTGCTGAGAGTCACAAAAGCCCCAGATGGGCATGTGTCCACTGGCAGGCATGGTTACTTCTACTCAGTGACTTAACAGCCCTCATCACTGATGCTTGTTCTCCCAACTCCTCTGAAATAAGGGAGGGTGGGACCCAGGAGTCCCTAATCTCAGGTGGCTCACATTGCCTGGTTCCCCCATCAAATTGGCCACTCGATGAGCTGGAGAAGATTCACAGACACTTATATGGGAAACTGAGCTAAGCCAGGTGGTAACTCTCACTAGGGGCTGGCCAGGGGACTGGACACATGGTTCCAGCCAGCTGTACCACTCAATAACTATTTGACCCTGCCTGGACTTATCCCTTCTCTCCCCTGGGCCTTTGTGGGTCCACATTTGTTCTGTGTGTGTGTGTGTGTGTGTGTGTGTGTGTGTGTGTGTGTGTGTAGTGGCAGGGAAGGTCTGGCCCAGACATTCTGTGACCATAACCAACTCTCCCCATTCCTGCATAGCATCAGGTAGTGAGTGGCTGTCTGGGCACACCAATACAGTGAACCATAGTGCAGCCCAGTGTTTAAACTATGGACTTTAAATGCAGATAAGCCTAGGTTCAAGTCCCAGTTATGCCCCTTAACTTCTCTAAGCTGCAGTTTCAGCCTCTATAAAATAGGATAAAAAAGGAGATTGCAATAAGAAAATGGCTGTGAGTGTTAGCATAATGACTAATAGTGGGGAACCCAGGCAGGAAGCTCTGCTGTACCATTCGTGCCCTGAGGATATCCCAGCCCCATGTTCCGCCAACAGTGGAGACAACTTATACACAGCATACAAAGTAATCAGAGTCAGACAAGAGAATTTGACTTACAATTCAATCATCCAACTCTAGACAAGAGAGCAAACCGGAACCACCTCAGGGAGCCTAGTCTTCATTTTGTAATAAGTTAGTGAAGAAAATAAATACAAACTATCAATTTTTATCCTAGTCATAATGAAGTTTATTAGAAGGTATAATTGCTATGAAATAGAACTGACAATGATTAAAATTCCACACTGCACACTTTGTTAGAGCTAAAAGATATATATATATAAAAAGATCAAAATGTCCTAATAAAATTTAGATCTGCAAATATTTGTCCACGTAAATTGGATTTGAAAGAAACAATGGCCACACAAAAATTCACAATGGCAGAAGTTATAATGGATAGTTTGATAGATGTATTCAATCCTCCCTGTATAGTTTACACAAAACAGAATTAAATTCTTTGAAATAATTTTAGTAAAATTAGTATTACAAATAAGTTTACTAGACAGGATAGAAAACTGATGAAGGAATTAAACTAGTTTAATGAGGCTCACCTCAGAAAACCCACTATGTCTGCATTCATAAACACCAAGCCCAAGAGACCATGGTCAAAATACCTGTCAGGTCCACGCTCTGGGGACAAAATGCCCAGTGCTCACTAGAGGGCAGTATCCTGAGCCCAGTGGAGCTCAGACGTGTGAAGACAACATGTTGATTCTGCTCTAACTCTAGAGCCTACCGTTTAAGACAGACATTCCTGGACACCATCCACCTTTCCAGCCATCCCTCCCACCTTCCCCCACACCCTGAAGTCAAACTGGATTATTTTAGCCTGGGTTCCTTCGTGTACATTATCCCCTCTGTCTGGCAGGTCTTCCCATACCCCACTTCCCACCCTTCCTTCAAGACCCAGCTCTTGCTCCTCCTCCTCATTGCCTCCCACATGGCCTCCATCCCCCTGCAAGCCAGACCTCACCCTTCCTCATAGGCTCCTCCTGCCAAAGTCACCAATGACCTCTTCGTTGCCAACTCCATGGAAACTCTCAGATTTCCTTCTCTACCCATCACTCCCTCCTTCTGGCAACCATTTCTTTCTAAGTTTCCATGACCCCTTGGGCAATGCAGTTCCTTTTGGCCAAGGGCAATTCCTAGAAAGGGATGCAGCTGTGAGCTGTTATCAACCTACACCCAGGATAGCACTCTCACTCTGTCCCAGTTGCCTGGAAATATCATTTTTATTCTCTCTAAACATTCTGATGACCAAGAGCTGGTCCCGGGACAATAAAAGCAGCAATGAACCTGCCCCTCCACCTGCTATAGACAGGATACCACCATTATCCTTCCTCCACCAGCTCTCTTGGCTCAGAAATGGCCCTAAACCCAAAGCAGTAAAACTCAAGCACCTCTTCCATCAGACCCTCACATCCTCTCCTCCCCCTGCCCACCACCTCTCACACATACTCTAGACCTCACCCACATTTCAGCATACCTCAAATCTTGGCATAAATGTGCACTCCCCTTTTTCTGCCTGATGGGCTTCTACTTGCATCTTCAAAATCCAGCCCCAGCATCACTACCCAAAGCACCCTTCTCCATGTAGATCATAGCCAGCTCTCTGCTTTACAGGAGGACTGTTTCTTAGCACTGGGAGCTGAGACTCACCTTCCACAATGCTTTGGACTCCAAGGGGAGCACCTGGCGGGTATAAGCATAAAACAACCCTGTTCTTTCTCACAACTGTCTCTCTTCATCAAACTGTGTTCAGCCCATCTTCTCTTCCCAGGGAGAAAATCTCTGGCAAATTTCACAGCTGTTTGGTCACTGTCATTTATCCATTTCACAAATATTACTGAATGCCTACTATGTCCCAGGTTGCAGCAACACACAATGAACAAAACAAGAAGCAAAATGCAACACAACAGAAACAAACTTCTTGCCTTCACAGAGCTTACATTCTAGTGGAATACACAGGCAGTAAGCAATACAGTGCAGAGCATGTTAAGTAGGGAGGAGGCAGCTGGCAAGAGCGGGCTTATAATTTTAGTCAGGCTGAGAAAGTGGTGTTTGGGAGGAGACTCTAGGAGGAGAGGAAGGGAGATGCACAGACACCTCAGGCAAGGCATTTCGGGCAGGAGGAAGAGCAGGCACAATGTCCTGGGATGGGATGTGCCAGGACACCAGGGAACCTGGGTGGCAGGAGTGAGGTGGAGGGGACAGTAGCAGAAGATGCAGAAGGGGTCTGCAGGTCCAGTTCACATGGAGCCGTGCCATCATAGGACTGTGGCTTTTACTCTGTGTGGCAGAAAAGCCACTGGGGATTCCAAGCAGAAGAGGGACCTGATTTGACCCACATATTAAGGGGTTCAATCTGGCTGCTAGTTGAGAAGGATCATAGGGTAATAAGTGCATAGCCTTTTGGTCAGAGTTTTAAAGCTCTAAATTCCACCAGTTTAAGGTTTCCTTCCCCCAGTTCCAGCCCACCACGGGAAGAGGGGTTGTCAGGGGCTTCTGCATACCCCACCTTGGTCTTCACTTCTTCTCACACCCACTGAGTGCACCTGGCCCTCCGGCATGGAGGTGGGGGAGGAGGGTGCGGGATAGAGGCAGGGAGGGTAGAGTTGTGATTTGTCATTGGTGCTGTCTGGACATAGCAGGTGCTATATCCGGAGCATTTCTTCTATAGGCATTGTGGTGAGGTTTTTTTCTAACAGATCTTTCACCATCCCTGGGGGGTTGTAGTGGGAGGGTCTCTCTCTTGCAGTCCTCTGGCATGGATAATGCCTCCTCCAGCTGCCCACTTCAGAACCCCCTCAGTAACCAGTTTCTGGGAATCTACCATGTACACAGGAGTCAGCTCACCCCGCCCCAGACAATGGTCTCATGTGAAGCCCCTCTCAAGTGGCCCCCATCTAACTCTTCTCTTTCAGTGAGAGCCATATCTGGCTCGCCATGCTTACAAGAATCCTGGGCAATTCGCCCCCAGAGACTCTAGAATTGCCAGGCCCCTCCCATTTAGCAAAATCCTGCACAAATGGTCTAACCTGCACAAATGGTCCTGCACAAATCCTGCACAAATGGTCTAATCCAGTGAGCTTCATATGTAACTTCATATTTTCTAGTAACCACATTAAAGAATAAAAAGGTAAAAATAATTTTAATAATTTTTTTATCTCAGTATATCTAAGATGTTGTCATTTCAGTGTATAATCAATATAAACATTTATCAATGAATATTTTACTTTTTTTCCATACTAAGTCTTCAAAATCCAGAGTGTATTTTATGCCTGCAGTGCATCTCAGTTTGAACCAGCTGTATTTCAGTGCTCAATAGCACGTGGTGATTGGTGGCTACAATACTAGACAGCACAGGTCTAACCGCTTGCTTTAGAATGTGGGATACTTGGCAGCTGAAATTTTGTTATCCACCTCGGAAGCCTTAGCTAAATGCTAAGAAAACAGGAAAAGATGGATTTGGCGTCATGCTACATGTTTGCTGAGTTAACTGATTCCAGCAGCCCCACCCTCATGGAGCACTCGGCATGGTGGGGAGAACAATCTAGGGTGCCCTGAACTTCTCTCAGAGGAGTGAGTAGAAGGAGCTGGGAACACAGAGCTTGGAATGCGAGGCAGTGAAGACCTCAGACAAAGACACCCGAGGCTCTTCTAGTTGATTCAGGGATGCATCATTTGCATGATTTCCACATAAATTTGAATGTTGAAGTCAAGAGGTGGTAACTCCACAGATGTACAATATAAAATGAAGCTAACTAATTTGTACCACCTACAAGGATTTTAAATCCAAGGGCTTGACACGTGTGAAAGGCAGTCAATCTCACTGCTATGGAATGAGAGCAGCCTGGAGCCCTGTGAGAGCTAGTAAAACAACTCATTATATATGTTGTATGCACACACTCTTAATACACAGTTTGGTTACTTTGAGTCAAGGGAGTCGGCATAGGTAATGTTTGCTTTTATTTCCTTTGATTATGAATAAAAGCAGTAGCAGCAAATACTTATGGGACGTACTTACCATGTACCAGGCACTAAGGTCGATCCTTTACATCAACTATCTGATTTCATCCTCATCAACCACTCACTGAGGGATGTGCAATTATTATTCCCATTCTACAGACATGGCAGCTATAATTCAAAGAATTGAACTAGGAAGGTTGAGAATAGATATATCACTGAATTCATCAATTTTTAGTTACTGTTAAAGTAGTCTTATCATAAAAATCAATTAGAAAATACAAAAATAAATCTCATTCACAATATCAACAAAAAATATAAAATGCCCTAAGAATAAACATAAGGAAAGTGGGGAAGGGCAAGACCTAAACAAATAAAACAACCAAGTTTACTACAAAAGAATATTTCAATCTATGTTCCTGGCCAAGAAGAACCAACACTCTTCTCCCAAGTAAAGGAAAAGATGTTGCCTCTCCCCAAAATAAGTATAAATTCAATGCAGATTTAGTAAAAATCCTAAGGGATATTTGTGACATTTGCCTACAAGTAATTGATATTCATTATAAATAAAAAGCCCTTACAAGTCAATAGGAAAAGACAAATACTCTGCATTATTTATCTATTGCAGCGTAACAGATTACCTCCAAAATTTAGCTGTTTGAAATAATAAACATGTATTATCTCACACATTCTAGGGGTCAACATTTTGGGAGGAGCTTAGCTGGGTGGTTCTGACTCAGATCTTCCATAAGGTTACAGTTAAGATGACACCACCAGAGCAGTCATCTGAAGGTGTGGCTGGCTGGCAAGTTGATGCTGCTGCTGATAGCAGACCTCAGTTCTTCATAGAGCTGCTTGAATGTTCTCACAACATGGTGCATACTGTCCCCTCAAGCAAACTATTTCAGAGGATGGAAACTGCAAGTTCTTTTATGACCTAGACTTAGAAGTGACTTATTACTTCTACCACATTCTGTTCTTTAGAAGTAAATTGCTAAATCCAATTCACATTCAACGGGATGGGAATAAGGGTCCACCCTTTGAAGGGAGGAAATTCAAAAAACGTGCAAGGGTATTTTAAAACCATCACATACTCCAACAGAAAAATGAGCAAAAGACATAAACGGGAAATTCTGAAAAGACTAATAAATATATGAAAAACTTCAAGTTTGTTAATAACCATGGAGATGCAAATTAAGCAAGCAAATGCCATCAGACTGGCAGAGGTTAAAAAGAATGCCAATACTCAATGGTGGAGGTGGAATGGAAAATGGGCCCTCCTGTACATGCATAGTGAGAGCATAACTTGGCACAGCCCTTTCAGCGAAATGTGGTAATTCATATGCACTGATCTCAACATGTAACTACCTCTGACCTACTCATCCAATTCTGGGAATGTATACTGACCCAAAAAATTCAGAAATGTGAGCAAATATTTACCTACAAAGCTATTTATTATGGCAATGTTTGTAACAGAGAAAACTTGTTAATGGCCTTAAAGTCCAACAATAGGGCCCAGTACTATGTGATATATACAAATATAGCACTATACAAGTATACAAAAAATTTTAAGCAATATACAAAAACATTTGTACCATATAATCCTATTTCCATGTTTCTCTAACTGTGGACCAAGGCACCCCAGGTGCTGCAGCTATTCATGCCGTGGGATATTTTAGATTTTTGAAGGAAACACAGGTCTACTTAACATTGTTGGATGCCACATGAACTACTAGTTGAGTTAGTTCACCGTTTCAACACTAAATGATTCTACATTCTATTGTAGATGAGATGAGAGGTGATTTTTTTATTTCCCACTGTGCTTCTCTGTTTAATAAGGATGGCAAAAAACAAACAAACAAAAACACATACAATGAAAACACTGGATGCCAAGATGTGTTTTATGTCTGGCTGCTGTGGAAAAACCAAACAGGCTGAGCTCTTTTTCTCCAGTTCCCACTTCATCCCTACCCGGCTTCCCTGGTTCTTGCAGACAGTCTATGAGGACAGTAAGAGACAGGGCCTGTCCCTGGAGATTGTACAGGGCTTGCAAGGACAGGCTGGTCCTGAGAGCATCAGCCCTGTCGTGACTGTACCCCAAAGAGGCATCAGGCCCTTTGGGAAGTTGGACAGGAACACCAGAATGGCCAGCCTTGACTGCAAGTCCCTGGAGTGGTGAATGGAAGCCACAGAGTCACTAGATGTCTAAGGGCCACAGAGTCATTTCAGGGCTCCTGCTCTTCCAGTCTCACCAGAATTATGTGGTTCCTGGAAAGGGAGCAGAACCTCTACTTTCTAGGAGTCACTGACTGGCTACTGACTTCCTCATGGCCTTCACTGTCTGGTGCAACTGGTGGGTCTCTGCTGCCTCCATGCCATAATGTAAGAAAATGGTACCCCAGGGCTGAAGCCCCATCTCTATAGATGCACCATATTTGGGCCTTCTCACCTGACCTGGAGTGTCCAGACAGGGCGATCTCCATTTAAGGGTAATGGGGGTAGCTCTCTGCCTCTTCCTTGCCCAGTGCACTCTGTCGTTTTCCCAAAATCCCATTTATACCATGGTCTTGGGCTTTTGAAAAATAAAAGCCAACAACAAGTCAGGCAGGTGACTTCTGCTTGCAGCCTGGCCACGCAGTTCCGCTGAGGCAACAAAACCCCAAGTCTGCTGCCTGCTAGAGTGAGAAAAAGGAAGAGGGGAAAAACCTAGAGAGGAAAAAAAAGCAAGAAAAATGAATATCTCAAAATATGATTCAGCCCACAGGCAATATTTGCTCAGCCATGGTGGCTTGGTGTGTTAGCAAACCAGAAGAAGGTGAGTGGTATTTTATCCACTGACCTCTAGATTCAAGTCACACCATAAAATGGAGAACAGCATGGCCAACTCCAGGCAGAGGGATGTGGATAAGTGACCTTTGGGCCCAGCATGGCGGAAGCTCCTTGCACACAGACTTCATCCCGTTAGAGCTAAGCCGTAATTGATCACCGCAGCAAATCAATGTGAGTGAGGTCCCTTCCAAAGCTCTGTACAAACTGACTTCATAATGAAATATGAGCTTGTGAAGTTTCTCATTTTGTTCTATTCTGACATTTCTTGCAATGTGATTAAAATATAATAAGATCAAATAGAAAATACTATTTGCTCAATCACCTCCAAACCTAACACAGTCAATAGTCCAATTCCATCCAGGAAGAAGTCATTTCGAAGACTCCATAAAGAAGCCTACATTGAAATTTCATGTTCTCTGCTGTTACTGTGAAAAATTGCTTGTTTTAAATATAGGACAAATACAGGGTAGGCCAATTCTTGTTATAATAAATTTTATTCTAACATTCTCGGTAAATAAAATCTCCAAGCTCCAACCAATGAATGGCTGCTTCAAGGTTCATTCAATAATACATAATTCCAGTCCAAATAATGATTTGCTCAGTTCCTTTGAAGTCTAATTCAAGCCCCATTTCCCCTGAGAAAACCCAGATTCCCAACAATCGTTTGCTTCTTCCAGACTTCTTAGAACATGCACAGCCTTAAATGTAGCCTAGCTGTTAGGTTTGTGTACCTTCTCTTCCAAGATTGACACAGCAGCCCCTCAACGTCAAGGGAGGCTCTACCCTTTCTTTAATGTCATCCAGAATGCCTGAATTCCTGGGTACTTGGCCCAGTGTTGGACAGGCTGGAGGTGCTTGACAGCTATTTACTGATTGAAAGAGGCTGTAATGATGGCATTTAACCCATGGCAAGCTTTCTAGCCATCCATCTCCTGTGCTACTAGTCCGCATCACACCAGTCATTTCTAGTGAAGACATTATGTTATCCTCCGAGACCTCGACACACACAATCATTTTACACATTGTCAGCTGCATCTATTAATTTTCTTACTGTCAGAGACAGTTAAGGGAGCCTTTGTGGAAACATCTGAGGATTTGTAAAATGGAAGCCTGTTTGTTTGGCTTCCCCTGACACACAGGCTAAGAAACTGTGCAATTTTAAGTACCAGAGTGAGCTGTATGACTTACAGATAATTGACTCTGGGAGGCAAGAACACAACTTGGAAAGAGAATTTTCTCTCTTCACTAGTATTTTCCAGTCTACAGACCATTTGAAGAATGAACCTAAATCTTCAGGTTGGATTTTTCTAGATCTAGACCACCCTCAACCCCCAACATACCACAGGCTAGGCCAGCCTCTAGACCTGAGCACCCCAACAATGCAAAGAGGGTCTTTCCATGCTTTTAAAGGGACCTACGGTGACTGGACTAAACAAGGGCCCAGCACAGGTCAGCTTGTAGATTCCAACCTCTCTGGACAAGCAGAGAACTAGCCCTCAAGTCATAGCCCCAAACTTTCATTTTCACCTCCTTTGGAATGTAGTCCCAGAACATAGACTATAAAGTCAAATAATCAACTTTTAGGACTGAGAGGATCCTTAGAAACTAACGTGTCCTGGCCCTGTATATCAGTTGGAAAGCACTCGATGCAAGAATCAAAAAAGCCAAATCAAACTGACTTGAATGATAAAGGGATTTATAGACTCGTATATCCAGAAGGTCCAGCTCCATTTCCTTGTAATCCTCTCTGCTCTGCTGCCCTCCATGTGTTAATTTTATCTTCAGAGCAGGTTTGCTCATGGTCCCAAAATGGCCACCAATAGCAACCAGGACTCCATGCTTCACTTTTTACATCCAAAGGGAAAGAGAGTGTCATTTCCGAGACCACTGAACTAAAGCCCTAGACTTTGTTCTGACTGGACCATCTCTCCCTCTCTCTCTCTATCCCTCCAGCAAGTGGGAAGTGGGATTTCCCTGACTCACTTGGACCAATCAGGTCCACCCAAAGCATGAAGCTGCTGGACCTGGGGAGGGTGAGATGGATACTGGCAAGGCACCCATGGTGTCCATTTCCTCCTGCATCTGAGCAGGATGGCACTAAGCCCTCCAGCCTTCATCCTCTTCCTAACAGTTCTGTCTCCTTCCTTGGAAATGGCTTTGGGTCCAGGAGCACTGTCTGTGATGGCATTCAGTTTAAGCCAAACCTCAGGAGTCCTAGGAATGCTGAGAACCACTCATCTCCTCTCCAGGACTGTGAATCCTGAAATCACCAGTACTTTGGACATGAATTCCTCTATTCAGTAGGACATGCCCAATAGCCCTTGTAGGTGTGTCTAGAACTCTGGGATAGGCCACTGGCCATGTTTACCTACAAGAGTAGCCAATTACTGCTCTTCCATTGAGAGTATGTTAAGCCAGTCTTCTCATCTCAGCCCTTCAACATCTTGGAATTAATTAAGTGACTCTAACAACTGACTCTTATTCTCTAAAAAGGGCCAGATCATCAGCTTAGGGCACAGATGGAGCCCTAGCTCCTCCTTCCTTGGTTTTCTTGACAAATAATTCCCTTCGTGCATTTATCTGCATTACAGATGAACCTCTCATGACGGTCCCACAGCCCCTCTGAGCCTCCTCCATGCATTTTCCAGGCAGACCTGGCTCCCTGTGAGCATCTGCTGGACCAGCTGACTGCACAGACCCATAGCCCAGACAGCAGGATCCCATCCAGCACATTCATCTGGGCCTTTGTTTCCCCAAGTACCTTCATTTTATAGTTTATAAAGCCTCATCACAACTCCTCCCCACCTCCCCCAACCAACCCTGGGAAAAGGAAAAACAGATATAGCTAACCATTCTTCAAAAAGAGAGAGACTGAAATATGAAGTGAGGAGGCAGGTGATCTGAGGTACCCCAAGGGCAAGAGGCAGACCAAGACCCCAGGCCCCTGACCCTTCTCCACCTCTGCTGACTGCCTTGTTCAGGCAGCCCCTGGCAATACTTCTGGAACAGAAAAACATGGCAGCAGACGGGCCCGTGCTCAATTCACCAGAGCCCAAGCCAGCCCAAGGCAGCTGCTTCCTGCTACAGAGAGTCGCTTCAGAAGTGCTTTGTGCTACAGTCCCTGCCCGTGGCATCCAGGGCTGGCCAGAGCCCAAGCCCTCCCCAGGCTCAGAGGTAACTGTTCAGAGAGTGAGCTTCAGAAAAGCCAATTTGTCTTTCCTCTTGCAGTCTTTACTTTGCTTATTGCTTTGAGATTTCTTTTGCAGTGATGTGGGTCTTTGATTCACAGTTTGGGTCTTTGGTGAACACTGCCTTTTCCTTCCTCCTTCCTGCCCAGCTCCCAGCCCAGCCTTCCTAGAAAACCAAAGTAGCCTCTTTCCTTCAGGAAGATGCCAGGCAGAGGGCTCTGGGATCAGAGCAGCCCAGGTTCAAGTTCTGGTGTGGCCATTTTCTTCTTTCACCTATTGAATCACTCAGCCTACAAATACACAGCGGGCCCGTATGATGCACCAGGCATGATTCCAGGAGTGGGAACCTGGGGACCCAGCAGAGAACAAGCCAAAGGTCCCCTTCATGAGGCATCTCATCTCCTGAAACCATGCCATAGGCAAGCCAAAGAATTAGCTCCCCCAATTCCTTGCAAATCCAAAGAAAAGCCCTAGACTTTCTCCCCCAAAACAATGCACCTAAGCACAGGCACATAAAACCATGTGCCTTTTCAGAGGGCTGGTGGATCCCTGAAGCCCACAGGTGGACTCCTGGGGGTCTGAGAACACCAGGTTAGAAACCTCTGAGCAAAGAGAAAGCTGGTACAAGGCCCTCTTCAGTGGGCAGAGCTCTCTAAGGGTTCTGTTCAAATACCACCATGATCTGTCAAATTCCTTCCATGGATCATAGACACATTCGATCCGAATCTTCAGATCTTGACTTTCCTGCATTCCAAAGACAGATTCTTACAGGTGAGCCTCTTAAGATAAAAGAGTAGAAGAAATATGCATTCTGGAATGTGAACTAACTGCCCTGTGGGATTTGGGGGTAGAACATCCACATCAGACTTGCAAATTATCTTTTCCTCACATACGTGGGGTAACAATTTTCTCCAGGTGAGCATGAATATGCTGCGCTTTATGCCGTCCCTATGCTCTGGAAAAGTTATACCTGAATCAAAACCTTGCAAATAAAACCACTTAACATGCACTCAGGGAGCTTGCTACTTTATAAAAGCTGGCAATGAATTCTTCTGCGAAGCAAGGGAAACTTTGAAATGTGCAAATTATTTCTCCTCTTTGTTGAAGTGGATTTCTGTAGAATGGGTAACTATAAGTGAATAATGCCAGTGGGGAGAGGGGGAGGTTAAAGCATAAGGTTTCTATTTATCATGTATCTGTGCATCCAGGAAGAGTTTTTCATAGAAAATATTACTTTGTATTATCTGTTTCAAAAACCAAATGAACCAGTATACAACTAAATTTTTTGATGTGAAGAAGACAGACAGGATGTCCGGGGACCTAATTCATCATGAAGGCACCCACCATGGAGGACAGAACAGGAAAAGGGGCAGACATTCAAAAAACCTTGAGTCCAAAACAGCACTGGGTGCAGCCAGCAAGGGACACCTCACTGACTACTGACCAGCTGTGACCTCAGGCCAACATCAGGGCCTGTGCCCCTGCAGAGCCCAGGGGATCAGCAATGGAAGAAGTCTGGCTATCAGTGTGAGAGAGTCCATCAGTGATTCTTGGGAAGGCCCTTGAATGGCAGGAAGGGAGGAGAGGTGGGTGAACAGAGGCCGAGCACAGTGGAAGAGGGAGGCTACAATAACAAGAGACAGGCACCGGCAAATGTGGTAGGGAGGGGTAAAGGATTGGAGCCTATTAGGAGGTTAATATGGGGTGAGTTTCCAAAGGAAAAGCAGAGATAAGATTATGCCATTACCCTGAAAATTCATTAAGCAGCAGCAGCCATTTAGGAAGGAAGAGACAGCTGAATTCCAGCTGAAATTAAAATTGTAATCAAGTCAAGAGAGCCACACTGAGACAGCAGCCATGGCAGGATGGAGCAAGAGCTGTGCAGGAAAGTTTCCCCACCCAGATGATGGGCGCTCCCTTCAATCTCTCCGGCATATTTTCAAACACCTACCAGATATGTACCCACACTGAGGAGGGGACCCATAAGGAGGAGTGACTTTGCCAGATAGGTGCCAGGCAGAGTGTAGGTGCTCAATAAATGCTGGAGGGGTGAATTACTGCATAAATGCAGGGGTCAGCAAACCTTGGCCTATGGGGCCAAGTTCAACCCATGGTCTGTTTTTGTACTGCCTAAGAATGGTTTTTCCCTTTTTAAAGGGTTTTAAAACAGAAAAGAGGAAGGAGAGGAAGAAGAAGAAAGAGGAAAAGGGGAAAAGGAAAAAGAAGAAGAGGAGGAAAGAGGGAAGGGAAGGAGGAAAATACGTAACAGAGACCATATGTGTCCCACGAAGTCCAAGATAGTTACTATCTGACCGTTTACAGAAAAAGTGTGCCTACCACTGAACTAATGAGTTAACACCTTGAATTTAAGACTCAGCTTGTATTTTCCTATCCCCATAGACACTATCCTAATAAATGATTCACTGAATTTATTGGTTGCCTGGAGAATTTTAAGAGCCTTTCTTGGCCTCTAGCTTGGAGGACAGTTCTGAGGGGAGACTCAACTGGTCTCCATAGGAAGGCTGTGGGGTACTGTGCTACTGAGGCTCAGGATGAGTGCCTTGGCACAGTGAAAGGAAAGAGAGGGTCACGGTGACCTGGAAGAGCTGGGTGTGGAGGGTTAATGCAGCCAGCATTTGTTGAAGATCCAAGTGCCGAGTTCCAGGTTAGGCACTGCAGGAAATAAAAACATAAAAAGGCCTCATTCCTACCGATGAGACAGACATCAAATCCAACAAACAATATAATGTAGAGAAGAGAACCAACAGAAAGTGTTGTGGGAGTGCCGGGTGGGTTCTTTTGATGCTTCCCACATGAGGCCACCTTTCAGGTGAGCCTAAACATAGCAGGACTCTAGAAGGCATCCTAGGTGGAGGACAAGGCTTGAGCAAAAGTGCGAAGACAGGTGGAACCAGGAGATGGTCAAGGAAAGGCAGAGGCTCTGGTGAGGAGACAGAGTAGGAAAAGGTCATTTGATGACTTAATTTGGGTTCCTCTAGAAGCAGATCCTGAAATGAAGACTTGAGCAAAGGTAGTATATTTAGGAGGTGGTAACTCCTGAAGGCTACCAGAGTTAACCTGATTGGGGAACTCTGGGAGTCAATGCAGAACATGAACCTCAGAGTTATCCCACCCGAGGGAAAGGAAGCTGTAATGTATCTATAGCAACTCCCATCAGTCATTCATTTATCGAGAGTGGCTCTCAGGGGTGAGGGGGGCATCGATTCTAGCCTGTCATGTGCCCTTGTAGAGTGGGTTCTGCACCTGCACAGCTATGCCAGAGAGCCCTCAGGCACAGGGATGCAGATATTGGCACCTGGAAGGTGGAGGGTGGGCCTGCGTGTGCTGATATGGTTAGACATAAGGGATATGAGAGGGCATCAACAGGATCTGCTGCAGTTGGGTCCTGATTGTGGAGAGCCTTGAATGCATCTATGCTAGGGAGTTTGCTGGTCTATAGGCAATGGGAACCAACAAGGTTTTTGAGCCTGGAGGTAGCATGACTACCACCTAGAAAGCTACTTGACCATAGTACAAATGAGTCAAGGGACAAGTGAGCTCAGAGCTTCATGGAAAGATTCTGTAACTATCCAGAAGGATGAGAATGGGGGCCAGAACCAGGCCCCCATGATACTGAGGAAGACAGGAGGGAACACATGTACAGAGTGATGCCTGGATGCCATCAATAATGCTCCCATGGTTCTAGCACACAGGCAGCTGTGCAAAGAAGCAGAGAGAAAAGTAAGGTGGATGGGTCACAGGATGGATAGGGCTCTGCAGGGGTGCTGCTTTGTGCAGCATCTCCCTCTGTAGCAACTAGAATGGAGTCTGGAGCTTTAGAGAGAATGCAGGACTGAAAACTCCGGTGGAAAAACATTGACAAAGAGGTCAAGGCATGGCCAAGATTACTCAGGGAAAGGATTTTGAAAGAAGACTTGTATGAGAACTATGAAAAATATTTATGCTGATGGAAGAGGAGAGGAATGAGCCAATGAAGCAGAAGAAAAAATCTGGGAACCCAAGGAAGAAACGAGAGGATTTTTAGCAGCTAACTCTTTCCTACACGAAGGTATTCCTCCTCCTGGGGTCCACACCCAGGACCAGCACCATCTCTCCATCCAGAATGGAGCAGGGAGTGTACCCGGAGTTGTGACGAATCCAACTCTCTGCCATTCAGGATGATGGATGTTGTTATACCCCTATGTCCTGAACCTCAAGTGTATACATTTCTGGATAATCTGAACTTTCAACCACCACCACCGGAAGTGTTGGCAAAACCCAGTGTGCCTGTGCAGCGAGCATTTTGTGGAGGAAAGGATCTATCACTTTCATTGATTCTCAAAGGGCTCCATGAACCTATGAAGGACAAGAATCACAGGTCCAAAGAGCCAGTGAAGTAGCCACAATGAACACTCATTCAGCATTAGCCTGAGGTGGAATAGCAAGAGGGAGACCAGAGACCTCCCTGAATAGGCAGGGATGAAATTTTCCCTATACTTTGCAGAAAACTGTCAGAACCAAAAAACATCACCTGCCATTGCTTCAGGCACATCTACCAAGAGAGTTTCATTCTGTGTAAAGTTTGCTTTTGTGCCTGACCTCAAGACCACTGCTGACCTGGAAGATCTGCTGTGCAGGGCTGCTAACAGAGCCACTGGGCAGCAGAAAGGTTACCCTGAATTTTCCCTCAGAGAACAGAGAAGCTTCTGTTATGGAAAAAGGAAGAAGAATAAAGCTCCAATATTAAAAAGCTTTGAAAAGTGTTTCAATGCAAGGAAGTTAGCTCCACTGCTGGGGTACCTTGATGCTCAAGAAAGACAACTATTGTTTCCTGCATGTTACATCAGGTATTCAAGCCTCTTCAGGTCTGTCCTGTGGATCACAGGATTGTTGTGTGGAAAGCTACACTGCTTCTCCAAATAGGACACAGAGCCTGTTGCAAAGACATCAGTACATCTGAACTTCTGCTTGCTGGCTTTACCAGCAGCTTCTGGCTTCAAAGAAAGTTCTTTGGGCGATGTTTTCTAATTCCGGAAGAGAACCACATGTACCTAAATCTTCTTGATTCGCCCAGGTACACATCAAAAGACAGGATTTGAAATCATTTCTGGATTCCAGAGATCAATCCTGTCTTTACTGCTCACCCAAGCCCTGCTGAGCCAGAAAGCCATCATGCCTGCCACAGGAAAGGGGGATTGGTGATTCCAGTGGCTGGAAATGTGCCCAATAGCACACATTTTCCAGAATCATTTATAAGGAGAAGTGACAGTGCTTGGTCTCATCATGGCTCTGACACTGGTAAATCTCTGGGATTCTGTTTCCTCCTCGGTATACAATATTCAAAAAGATGTGGACCATATGACGCCAATGTCTCTTCCAGCTCTGACATGCTGGATATTTGACTTCCTGAACATGCCACTCTGTAGGGTCTGGTTACCCCTGCCCCACGTCCCATAAAGCTACTCTGGTCCATCAGTATCATCAGTGGCAAAGCTAGAGCAAAGGGGCCCCTAGCTCTGCCCAACACAGCCATCTACAAACCTTCTGTGGGGTTATAGATGGTAGCAAGGGTTCACCTTCATAAGTAAGTATTTCCATTTCCAGTCTTTAAAAAATTACATAAACTAATTCTTTTTAAAAAATCTTTATGTATTTAGGAGGTACAAGTACAGATTTTTTATATACATATATTGCATAGTGGTGACACCTGGTCTTTTAGTGTACCCATCACCTGAATAGTGAACATTGTACCCAATAGGAATTTTCCATCCCTCAATCCCCTCCCAACTTTCCCACCTTTTGTAGCCTTTGGTGTCTATTATTCCACTCTATACATCCATGGGTACCCATTGTTCAGCTCTCACTTATAAGTGAGAACATGTGGCATTTGATTTTCTGTTTGAGTTATTTCACTTAGGGTAATGGCCTCCAGTTCCATGTATGTTGCTGCAAAAGACATGATTTCATTCTTTTTGATGGCTGAGTAGTATTCCGTGGGGTGTGTGTGGGTGTGTTTGTGTGTGTGGGTGTGTGTGTGTATAACATTTTCTTTATCTAGTCCTCCATTAATGGACACTTAAGTTGATTCCATATCTTTCCTATTGTGAATAGTGTTACAATAAACATATGAGTGCAGGTATCATTTTAATATAATTATTTCTTTCCCTTTGGGTAGATACTCAGTTGCTGGATTGAAAGATAGTTCTATTTTTAGTTCTTTAAGAAATCTCCATATTATTTCCCATAAAGGTTGTACTAATTTACATTCCCACCAACAGTGTGTAAGTATACTCTTTTTTCCACATCCTTGCCAATATCTGTTGTTTTTTGACTTTTTAATAATAGCCATTCTGATGGTGTAAGATGGCGTCTCATTGTGGTTTTAATTTGCATTTCTCTGATGATTAGTGATGTTGAGCAGTGTTTTCATATGTTTGTTGGCTGCTTGTATGTCTTCTTTCAAAAAAGGTCTGCTCATGTCCTTTGCCCAATTTTTAATGGGGTTTTCTTGTTGAGTTGTTTGAGTGCCTTACAGATCCTAGATATTAGCCCTTTGTAAGATGCATAGTGTGCAAATATTGTTTCCCATTCTACAGGTTGTCTGTTTACTCTGTTGATTGTTTCTTCTGCTGTGCAGAAGTTTTTAGTTTAATTACATCTTCTTTATTTTTGGTTTTGTTATTCTTGTTGTTGTTTTGTTTGTTTGAGGACCTGGTCGTAAATTCTTTGCCTAGGCCAATGTCCAGAAGAGTTTTTCATAGGTTTTCTTCTAGGATTTTTACAGTTTCAACTTATGTTTAGGTCTTCAATCCATCTTGAGTTAATTTTTATATATGGTGAGAGGTATGCATCTAGTTTCCTTCTTCTGCATGACTATCCAATTTTCACAGCATCATTTATTGAATAGAATGTTCTTTCCCCAGTGTATATTTTTGTCAACTTTGTTGAAGATCAGTTGATTGTAAGAGGGTGGCTTTATTTCTAGGCTTTTTATTCTGTTCCATTGATCCATGTGTCTGTTTTTATAGCAGTGCCATGCTGTTTTGGTTACTACAGCCTTGTAATATAATTTGAAGTCAGACAATATGTTGCCTTCAGCTTTGTTCTTTTTGGTGAGGTTTTTTGATGATTCAGGCTCTTTTTTGATTCCATATGAATTTTGGTATTGTTTTTTCTGACTCTGAAAAACAACATTCATAATTTGATAGGGGTTGCATTGAGTCGGTGGATTGCTTTGGGCAGTATGGTCATTTTAACAATATTGATTCTTCTAATCCATGAGCATGGGATGCTTTATTTGTTTGAGTCTTGTACAATTTCTTTAATCAGTGTTTTGTAGTCCTCCTTATAGAGATCTTTCATTTCCTTGGTAAAGCATATTTCTAGGTTTTGTTTAGTTTTGTTGTTGTTGCTGTTGTAGCTATTGTAAATGGAATTGCTTTCTTGATTTGGTCCTCAGCTAGATTCTTATCAGTGTATAGAAACACTACTGATTTCTGTACATTAATTTTTTTGTATCCTGAAACTTTACTGAATTTATTTATCAAACCTAAGGATTTTTTTTTGTGGAGTCTTTAGGGTTTTCTAGATGTAACATCATATCATCAATGAACAGGGATAATTTGACTTCCTCTTTTCCAATCTGGATGCCTTTTATTTTTTTCTCCCGCCTGATTGCTCTGGTGAGGACTTCCTAAACTAATTCTTTAGAAATTAAAGATCTCTTTAATGTACATCAAGAGAGCAATAGCAGTTTGTGAAGATCAGATGAACCTGCAAACAAATCAGTTTTGTAATCAATTTGTAACTTAGCTGAACAAGTGCTAACTGCCATAGTGGGTTTGATCATTATACTGTTTTCAAATGTTCTTATTCTTAGTTATACATTATTTAATTTCTACTCACAATGGATCATTGGTTAGAGTCAGAAAGCATAGAAACACTGATGCTAACATACAATAAATTAATGAAGACTGCCAAAAAGGACAATAATTCTTCAAAATAACCCGGGATGATTTTTGCCAGGTAAGTAAGTTGCATCCATCTGATCAGAAATCACATATAATGCATCTAGATGTCTTTAGTACTGCAAAATTAAAATGTTTAAAGAAGAAAATATAGTGACAATTATATCCAATTTGGCTTTCCATTTGTTGGAAATAAAGATTGCTCATAGATGCCATATGTTATTTGTGGCAAAGTGTTTACAAAAAACAGCATGAGGCCATCTCTCTTATCTTGTCATTTAAAACATAATGCAAATGTTGTAAAAATAAACCATTTGTGTTTTTTAGTGCAAAATGCAAGAATCCAAAATACCAGGTCATGAAAGTAGTTTTTGTCCATTTGATGTTGAATCATGTAGTTAAATTTCAATCTGCATTTTAATATATATTCAGTCTCCAACTGTCTTAGTCCAGTTTGTGCTGCTATAATAAAATACCACCAACGGAGTAATTTATGATGAACAGAAATTTATTTGGCTCACAGCTCTGGAGGCTGGGAAGTTCAAGTTCAAGGGGCCATACCTAGAGAGAGCCTTTTTGCTGTGTCATTCCATGGAGGAAGGTAGAAAAGCAAGAGAACACATGTGCACGAGAGAGCCAGGGAGGGCCAAATTTACTTTTATAACAAATCCACTCCTGCAATAACAAACCCACTTCCAAGATAATGGTATTAGTCCATCATGAGGGCAGAATCCTCATGACCTAATCACCTCTTAAAGGTACTACTTCTCAACACTGTTGCATTGGGGATTAATTTCTAATAATGAACTCTGAGGGACACACACAAACCATAGCACCAACGAATGTCATAATTTCTTTGTTGGCAAAGCATGCTTTTCCTTACGTAACTAATTAAAAAGAAACTAAATTGACTAATGCCTGTAAAGCACTTAATATGGCACCTAATATATAAAAAGCACAAAATAAATGTTAACTATTATTATTATTATTAAATTATCAATTGTTAAATGGGAAAAAGTTTAATTTGTTCTAATACAGAATTAATATTACTAAATGCTATTTATGGGAAAAAATTATAACACAAACTTTAACAATATTGATCTCAAATTTTTAATTACAATTTTACCTTCATTATATACCATTCAAGAATGACTAAGTGATTTTTAAAAATTCTTATGGGGACTGGAAGATTAAAGTACTACAAAATAAGTTCATATGACCAAAAAAAAAAAAAAAGTTGAGAAAGAGCAATGACCCTGCTCAGCCACTGTCTTGATTTGTCCTCGATATTTCTTTCTGCTTTTCTCTAAGAAGAATGCTCTGCTCTGTGCCTGGGGAGACTGACCTGTATAGATTGCAAATATGGGTTTCCTTCACCTCTGGCTTCTAGTTCAGCCAACAGGAGGCACCAGGTGATTAGAGGGTAGACAGAGAGAGAAGACAGAGTATTTATTCCCTTACCTACTCTCCTTCTAGGCAGCAATTTAACAGGAGCCACATTTCTCTACCTAAGACTACAACAACGTGATAGACCTCTCTCCCTTGCGTACAGCTTTCTTTGGGTCCCAGTAACAGCTTCTTTCCTTTCCTCTTTCAGTTTAGAGAAGGTATCAGCTTACTGTTCTTACTAGTTCCTGCGTGCTTCATCTTCTTTTTGTTTGTTCCCTTCATCCTGCTCATGCCTTTATAAATAGTACTTGCATTAACCTCTCTTTAATTACTCTTTTGAGTGTGTCACTTTTCTCCTGACTTTTAAAATAATTGGTATTGGAACTGGCCCCAGGAAGCAGGCCTTAAAAATAGAATTTGAAGATTGGGTTACTCACCCATTTGTAGAGAGCAAGAACAAGCTTCTAAGGGTAGACGGGATAGTGATCATCTGTAGCATTACGATTAAAATTATCACTGGTCATGGCATATGATGGAGTGCAGGTGGAAGAAAAAGAAGTGTTGAGACCTGAAGTGGCTCTGGCACTTTGTCACTATAAGAGCAATGGTGATTATGAAAACCCTGGGATACGCTAACCGCTTCTGACTGCTCTAGAGAGAACACACACAGAGAAGGACAAAATGAAAACAGTGAATTCCTGAATAAAAGAATAGTTGGAAATCAGGAAGACTTTCTTGGCAGTTTTGAAGGAGTTTCTCATCATCTGTAGTTGCAGAACAGATACGGCTGAAGATCAAGCATAAAGCCTAAGTATGAGGATTACAGAGTTGTGGTACCAGTGAATATGCCTCTTTGCCAGGGCTCTTAGGCTAAGGTAGCGATTCTCAATCAGAAGTGATTTGCTTGTCAGGGAACATTTGGCAATGTCTGAAGACATTTTGGGTTGCCACAACTGTAGAGGGTACTACTGGTATCTAGTGGGTAGAGGCTAAAGATGCTGTAAACGTCCTAGAATACACAGGATAGCCCCCCATAACAATTATTTAGCCCCAAAAGTTAGTAGTGCTGAAGTTAAGAAACATTGTGCTAAGGTCATGTCACTGATAAGCAAAATCTAAGACACTGATACATGGGATAGGGACACTTACGTAGTTGAGAACATTGAATCCCTAAATCCTCTTAAAATTTGTTTGCTGGTTGAAACATACTCTTATCTTATAATAAAAGCCATTTGCTTTCACATGGCCGGGATGGCAGTATACCTTTGCCATCTTATCTACTTATAGATAAAGCTATTATCTACCCTCTTATTCTCTGTCATAGTATAGCCTTAATTGTTTTGCTATCTCATAGAAAATCACGGTAGTCTGTTACATTGATATTATTAGGCTAATTGTACCTTTTGAGCAGGACTAAGAACCATACATATTTTAGCAAGACATGCATGCCAGAAAATGGATGATAAATCTTGCACAAATTCAAAGACTTGACACATAAGTGAAGTTTCTAAGAATGCAATAGTCTAGAATGTATAGGTATATTTCTTCTAAAATGACAAAAAAAAAATGTTGCTTTTCCTTCCACCATTCACTACAAAGAAAAGCACAACTTGATTGAGCCTCTTGGAATTGCAGAGGAAACATATACCTTGCAGTTACCTCTTGCCAAATAATGGGTAAATCTCCTAGTTTGTGAGAGGTCTTGATCAAGACAAGTTTCTATAGAAGGTCCTGGCAATAAACTTCTCTATTATTTGGTGATCCAGTATATCCAGTTGTACTAGAAATATCTGTGGCAGACAGAGATGTTATACAGAGCATCTAACAAGCCTGAATAGGGAAATTACAGCATAAATCCCATGGTTTTAAAGTAAGAATTCTGCCAATAATTGTTCTCCATCTGTAAAGCAGCTTCTGCCTTCCCAGTAAGCCCTGGCAAAGACCAAACACCAGATCATGGGACACCAATCTAGTGGGTAGAGGCTAGAGATGCTGTAAACACACTAGAATTCACAGGATAGCCCTCTATAACAATTATTCAGCCCCGAAAGTCAGTAGTGCTGAAGTTGAGAAACACTGTGCTAAGGTAATGGTATTGACGACAAAAACCACCGATTACAGTGTTATGTGATTCACTGAATCATAAAATTGGAAGTACATAGCGGAACTCCATTTTCAAATGGAAATGATATTTATAAGATCAAGCCTGAGCAGGCCCAGAAGGTGGAAGAGTAGATTGTACAACAGGTGACTTAGACTCCTGTGGTACCTGCTCCTACTGATTCACCACTTCTGTCTTGACCCACACCTCATAGGGAACTTCCTATTATCAACAGGAGAAGAAAGCATGGCCTGGTTTACTGACATTTTGCACAGTGTGATGAAATGAGTCAGAATAGACAATATATTACAATCCCACTCAAGGGTGACTCTAAAAGACGATGGTGAAGGGAAATGCTCCCAGTGGGCAGAATCAATGTTAATTGTTTATTTTGTTCTCCCATTTTCCCCACTACCTTATATGAAGGACACAAGTAGAAGCTAATATTTTAAGCTGATTCCTAGGAATTGACATCATCCCAATAAGACCCAGTAGCTGATGAGACTCTGTGTTCCACTATGTTGGGGCCATGCTTTTTCCCTGACAAGAGAGTAGAGCAGGGGCTGAACATGCTGGAGAGTCCCTATTTGCTCTCCAGGTCTATGCTCCACCCATCTCTACCCTGCTCTGTGCTCTGGGTGGCAGCCTACAGAGACTATATCACCCAAGTTCCCTTGTCCTCTGGCTTTGTGGTTTAGTTTGTCAATGGGAGGTACCAGCAGCCAGAGGAAAAAGAGATTGGGGTGTTTATGTCCCAAGCTGCCTTTATGCCAAATCTTAGTTTACAATAATAGCTTAAGGCCACAGATTCTGTTTGGCAGCCTCTCTCTTATGGCTACAGCTCTCCTTGAGTTCCAGTAACATCTCCTTCTCCTTTCCCCTTCAGTCCTAAAGGTAGTAATGGTTTGCCCATGTTGCTAGTCCCAGGGTACAACAATCATCTCTTGCTGGTTCCCTTAATCCTGCCCACAGTATTCTAAATAGCCCCTTCTTTAACCTCCCTTAAATTGCTCTTTTGGGTTTTCTATCTTTTTTCCTGGTAAGATCCTAACTGAAGCAAATACCTTTATTTCTCAGAGCAGAGAACTGAGGCCTAGAGGAAGGATAGGTACAGCTTCTCCTTGACTGCCCATGAGAGGCACTCTGGGGACCTGATCACACCGAGTACTTACCTCCAGAAACCTCCTTTTCTGTATTCAGATAACAAAATGGTTTGCAGGCTGGTGAAAAAGGTTTTCCATAGAGGGAAACAGAGTTAGCACCAAGGTAGGTCTCTAACCCAGGGCTCTAGGGCCCCAGCTCTGAATGCTTCCAGGCCATCTATTGTCAATGATTTCACAGAGGAGGCCTGTATGTCCGAAAGGTCCCACTGACTTGGCTTACCCACCTCTGGCTTGAATGTATGGCCTACCCCTTTGTGCCTAAATGACCCTCAGGAGGGCCATGGAGAGCCCACCCCTAAGATAGTACCTCAGCTTCCCATCACTCATTCATTCACACACACGTGCACATGAACTCACTCCCCACCATGTACCAGGCACTGCACCAAGCATAGAAATAATGATTTTATTTGGCTCACAAGACAGGTGGAAGAGTTCCTAGGCAAATAGATATCACTTTTAAAATGAGAAGGAAAAATAGGAAATAGTTAAACATTCACAATGGAAAATTACACAGCTATTAAAGATATGTATATATATATACAATAGAGAGTTTAAAACAGCATAGAAAGTTTTTATGACAAAATGTTTAGAGGAAAAGTAGAATACAAAATGTTATACAGTATGCTTATGTAAAATGCATAAGGAAAAAATGGACTGGAAGGAAATGCACCAAAATGCTAATAGTGGGACGTAGCGTGACATTTCTCTGTATTTAACAACTTTCTTATAACAGATATCAATTAACTTATGTCTTGTTATGACCTTCTTAATTACACAAGTAGTTTTGAAAACTATTTTTTAGATATTCAAACTGTAGTTATGAAACAAAATCCCAGTTGAGAATGCCACTTCTAATCCCAGTCTCCTCCCAAGACAATCACTGTTTTCAGTTTGATTTGTCTGGTTTCTTATGTACAGAGAGAAACAAAGTTAATATTTATGGGAGGTTTTCAACATAAGTGGAACATTACACAAATTATTCTGCAACCTCACTTTTTTCACTTAATAATAAAGCTTGGGGATCTTTTCACAGATACTGTATACATATCTAGCTAAGGGTTTGAAGCATTAATAGTAGATCCTAATATGGCTATTCCACCACTTATTTAATATTCAGGCCATGAAGGTTGTTTCCATTTTGTCATTATTAAAAACAAATTGCAATGAACAGTCACATAGATGTCTATTTGCACATATGTAGGACTATGTTTCTAGAATGGACACTAAGAAGCAAACTTTCTTAGTTGAAGTTTTGGATATTTTAACTTTAAAAGCTTCCTTATAGAGATCCCATTCCCCCAGACACCACTGGCTACTTCTGGGAAAACTGGGGGTCTCAGCTTGTCAGTGGGGTCTCAGCTGGTCAGTGGGCCCCAAGGCTCTAGAGGTGGGGTTTCCCAGCATCCTCGAGGTCCTTGGGGTCACTGATGTGCTGCCTATCACCCAGGAACACAGACCTTCCACATCTGCCCCCCAGATGTGCCCTGTGGATCAAACCACAGGCCCTGCCTGGTGCCAGTCACCTGCAACATCCTGTTTAGATCATGAACAAATGAGCAACGTGGGAGAAAAGGCTTCTCAAAGAAAGCCCACCACCCACTGAAGCTTACCATCATTCTTTTTGCCTCACGCAGAAAGGAGGTGTTTCCTCTAAAAAAAAAAATGTCCCTTGGGGACCTGAAAGTCAGAGCCAAGTGTTTTAATATTCCAGATAATTAATTTCTGGAAAAAACATAACTTAGAATGATTATCATTGCTTTCTCAGGAAACATTATCTTTCTTTGCAGAGGCAAAGTGGACTCCAACTCAACCCAATTGCAGCCAAAGTGAGTTCATTCTGGCCCTTACGCTGAAAAGAGGGTCCTCAAGAGAGCTTGTGGGAACTCTGAGCTTGTGGGATGCTGGGTGACACACCGTCCACTCAGTTCACCTCACCGAGGCTGTGACAGAGCAGGTGCCTCTGGGAGAGAGGGAGCCTTTGACCTTTCACATCCCAGGCAAAGCTTTCTCCAAAACCTCCCTTTGAAAGGCCTCAGAATTGGCCTCAGAAGGGTTTCGGCACTCGCAGCGCTGACTCTCTTCATTCTAAAGCAAGGAACCAGGCCTCAAAAGGGGCAGAATCTGCCCAAGACCTCACCGTCCTGCCCAGGGCTCTTCCCACATAACTCCTCTCACAAGGCCCAAGCTGGGCACAGCCTGGCAGCAGGAACAAAGGCAGGGCATAAATAGCTGGGACAACGTACAAAGTGACCTGGTAAAAAGGCACCAACAAGGGCTTCCTGGGTTCAGAGGAAGGTTACTTCTTGTCTCTATGGTGGGGCAGGGGGAGGACCCATGGAGTAGGACCTCTGTGGGACCACCAGTGGCCCATAGTACCCATCTTGAACTCTTAGACCTGCTATGACTTTGGGAAAACAATAAAACTGAATCTGTATTGTCAATCATCTACCAATCCTCCAGAACAAATCCCAATCCCATCTCCTTGGCTCCCCTCCTAGTTCAAGCCCATCCTCTCTGCTGGGTGACTCCCGCAGCCTCCTTCCACTCCTGTCCCCTAATGGTCCATTCTCGACATGGTGACCAGAGAGATCTTCCCTTATAAAATAAGTGATGTGGGCCAGGCATGGTGGCTCACACTTGTAATCTCAGCACTTTGGGAAGCCAAGGCGGGTGGATCACAAGGTCAGGAGATGGAGACCATCCTGGCTAACACGGTGAAACCCCATTTCTACTAAAAATACAAAAAATTAGCCAGGTGTGGTGGCGGGCACCTGTAGTCCCAGCTACTCAGGAGGTTGAGGCAGGAGGATCACTTGAACCTGGGAGGCGGAGGTTGCAGTGAGCCGAGATCTCGCCACTGCATTTCAGCGTGGGCGACAGAGCAAAACTCCATCTCAAAAAACAAAACAAAAAAAGAAACAAAATAAAATAAGTGATGTGATGTAACTCTTCTGCCTAAAAACTTCCAATCACTCCCCACTGCTCTTGGAAGAATTCAAATCTAGCATAGCCTACAAGGCCCCAGATGACCCAGGCCCTGCCTAACTCTCCAGCCTCGGCTCTATCCCACCTCCCCAGCTCTCTGCTGGTCTTCTCACTGTTCATGTGACAGACCATGCCCATTCCTGACTCAGGGTCTGTCCCAGGTTTCCCAGAAGAAGAACCTGAGAGGAGGGGTTCATGTGTAAGTGCTTATTAGGGAAGTGTTCCCATGAAAAGCCAGAAGGGAGGTGAGCAAGATGGATCAGGAGGGGAAGGAGGCCAAGGAGGTGAGCACCATATCACCAAGGCCTACAGAGGGCGTCTGTGACCCAATACCTCTGGGGAGCCCTGGAAACAGCATGGGTCACTCCTGGAGCCATCCTCACCAGGGACAAGAGGGCTCGCAGGTGCACACCCATCAGTCATGGGTCAAGGGCTGCCCCGAAAGGGATGAAAATTCCCAGCTACCTCCTGCTATCTAGGGAAGGACAGCAGTTCCAGCAACCTGAGGCCAGTCCGCCAATGCAGAACTGCCAAAGAGCCGCAGATGTGGGCACTGGGAGGAGGGGTGTACACGAGCAGGGGACGCAGACACGTGGGGATATGGGCAGAGCAGCAACAGCATCTCTCTCCCTGCTCTTCCCATCTCCTTGCATGACTCATTCCCTCTTTTTCCTACAATGTCCTTTCTATTGTCACTGGCTCCATCTCTCTAAAATTACCCTCCCTCCCACCCTGTCACTCTGCCATCTTACCCTGCTTCAGTTATCTTCATGGCCCAAACTCTCTCTGAAATGATCCAAGCAAATCAGCTTGTCTCCTGTGTATTGTTGGGGTCTCCCACTGGACTGGAAGGGTGGGGACCTGGCCTGGCTTATCTGCATCTTGTATACCCAGCACTTAGCACAGAAGACATTTTGAGGACTTTATTAATACTGCCTGGAGCATAGCAGGGCAATTTACATAACTAAAACTTTTCATTTATTTCCATTTCACAAGCACCTGCATAGCATTTACTATCTAAATTCCTTACAACCCATTTAATCCCCAGAATAACCCGATGAGGTAGGTACTATTATTATCCTCATTTTCCTGTTGGGAAATTGAGACTTGGAGGCTACAGAACTTGCTCAGAGTCACACGGCTGGTAGGAGATGTGGGCCAGGGCGCCAAGCCCAGGCCAGAGGCTTCAGAGGATCTGTTGGCTCTAAACAGCCTGCTGCAAGGTGGCGATCATTATCCTCTATCCAGGAGAAAACACTCAGAGAGGTTCCATGACTGAGCTCAAGCCCCAGAACTCACGGCAAGTGGAGCAGAGATTCTGATTCCAAAGTCAACCCCCAACCCAGGTGCCGCCATGAGTGACTTTACGGGCAGCATGCACAGATGCCTCATCCCTCCTTCCTCTGACTCTTCACTGCATGCTCTTGGCCCTCTGCATTGGTCCCTGGTGATCACCTCCAGCCCACTTTCCAGTGAGGAGAGACATGCTGCCCCATGGCTGAGGAAGCCTTTTACCTCCCACCTCCTGCAAACTACGCAGGCTATTTGGTGGCCCAGCTGGGATAGTAACAGGTCCAGACATCTTGCAACCAGCAGCCCTCCCTGCAACACATTCAGCTGCCCCTGCCTAGAGGTAGAACACAACTCTCAAAAAGAAGCATTCCAAACAAGGTCACTGATTGTTAAGCGGTTGTGTGTGTGTGTGTGTGTGTGTGTGTGTGTGTGTGTGTGTGTGTGGCGTGTATGTGTGTGTATGCATGCATGTGTTGTCTTAGAAGGGGTAGGAAGGGCCAGAGGGATGTGTGGACAAGCAGATGAGCTGGCAAGGCTGGAAACTTCCCACCATTACCATTCACAGTGAGACTTCATTAACCCAGATACCACAGTGCTAGAGACTGGAGGAGGGTGCAGTGTGGCCCACCACATTACCCACCAGCAAGTCAGATCCCCTGAGGGGAACCCTCCGAACTGGTGAAGTGATTCCTGCCACACTGTGTGTACCCTGCTCAACAATCTGGCTTTGAAACAGACACATGTGCACCCCCGCCCCCACAATCAGCATGCCCACCTCCCAGCTGAGCTTGCCAACAATTACGGCAATTCCTAAATCACAGTAGACAACTCACTGGGGGTTATTCAGTACCTTCTAATTAGTGTTACACACTGATTATCTGAGGCTATTGATATTGGCTTTAATGGTAATTATAATTTTCACATAAAATATTTAATAACCATTCATAATACAAGAAATTTGATTAAGGAGACAGCATTTTTCTTGGATTTCCACATTGATCTCCTGAAGGCTCAGCTGGGTTTATTCCAAGCAGGAGTAAATACAGCTGACACAATTACCCATCAAAGGCTGTGGAAAACAGCAAACTCAGATTTACCCACCCCCACTGCTTCTCTGAAATACTCAACAACAGCTATGAAAAACGGGCTAAGGCCATAGACAGGAGATTCACAAAAGAAGCAATGTAAATGGCCAACCCATCTGTGGGAAAATATTTAGCCTCACTAATAATCAAGCAACATCCATTTAAATCAGACACCATCCCTTGTATCAAATCGGCAAAGACATATTTTATAACTACAACTGCTGCTGTTAACAAAAATATGTACTGGGCCACTACAGACTTGTCTGCCACATTCTTCCCCTTCTAGAACATGCACCCGCTTCCTGCAAATAATCACTTTTCCACCTTCTGCAATCACATGGTAGGAAGTGGGGCTGTCGTTTTCTGTCTGTCACCTCCACCTACTGTAAATGGCCAGAAGTAGATCTTTGACCTAAGATGAGCCCGTCACAGATGCCCACCTCACTGCCCTTCACGACTGGTCGGCCACAGGCATCTGACCCAGCCAGGCCAATGAGAGTGCTTCCCTGTGATCTTTCTTTCCATCTGGGAGCACAGACAGCTTCAGTACCTCTTAACAAAGGGGCAAATCTGGGAGATGGAAGCTGGGAGAGCCAGCAGCAGCCATCATCCGTCAAACTCTCTGTGACACTTAAACATGGAGTTGTACAACCAAGACCCAGGATACTGTAGAGCCGGTTAGTATTTTTGTCATCCACAACAGCAAACAGTACCCAAGCCACATCCCTCAAGTCCCTGCCTGTTTCCCTCAGAAACTATGACAATTTGCCTGAGTTCTCATCCCAGGCCATCATGAGGACAATCCAGGAAGCCCAGAGCAAGCTTGGAATCAGAACCTCACGCTGCTCTATGGGAGGGAGGAGGAACCCTGTCCACTACTTTCCTCTGTCAGGGACTTGCAGGTGGCGGCCTAGGGGATGCCCTTCTGTAGGCATTCCAATGATTGCTTTGCAATGTCAATTCTCAGCACCGTCACCAGCACCTCTTCCAACACATAAAACGCTACAAAGTTTACATTTCGTGAAGTGATTTCCAAACTTCTAGAAACCCCCTTGAGGTGACAGAACCCAAGTACACAAACTCCCAAGTGCTCACAGTTTTTGCAGCTCCCCACCACAAGCCTTCCAAAGACCTCTGTGGCTTCCCTCTTCCAAGATACCTACTCTGCGTCAACCTCAATGAAATTAGGTGCTCTCTCACGTGACTTCTAAATATGGACATGACTCCAACCAAACACGATCCTGCTCTTCAGAAGCCAGAAGGGCTGCTTTAATAAATAAATAGGAATAATTATGATTGTACCCAAGGACAATCCCAGCTTAACGCCTTTTGTCCCAGCATAATTATTAATAACACCTTTCCCTCTCAAAGGCATCCTGGTTTAGGTGATAAATTAGCCTTATCTATCAATAAATCTATAAGGCATCCAGCCCCAGCCTAACAAACACACGGCCTCACATGTCCTCCTGCTGCCTTCATCATAGTGGAAAACGGTGGAATCTCTTGCCTCATCTGAGCTCCAGGCAATATCTTTTAAACTTTCCTTCCACTGTGTGCAAAATGACTGAGAAGGAAAGTCCAAGTTCTCTTTGTCATCAGCTCACAAAATGGCTGAGCCAGCTGGGCCCTTTTCTTTGTGGGTTGTGCTGCCCCGTCATTTCCAGCATGCCAGCATCCTCAAGTGGTTTGGGGAAACGTTCCTTTCTCCAGACTGGACTGTAGTTCAAGGGAAGTTACAAATCTAAAAGAAAATGAATCACCTTTGTGAGGCTCCTTTTTTCAGGTTTGTAGAAAACAGGAGCAATTCCTTTCCACTGCCCCCGCCCACCCCCCAAACATAAGCAGAGTCTGCGAGAACAGTTAGCTCACAGGCAGGAGTTAGAATTCCTACCACATAGGCCTCCTTTATCTCTCTGCCCTGCAGTCATACTGCCTGGTTCAAACCCTGCCTCCTCCACTTACTAGTTCTATGACCTTGGCCACCTTGCTTGACATCAGTAGGTTCAGCTGCATCATCCACTGAGTTATGAGATTAAATGGGAGGATACGTACAGGGAATTTAGCCCAGTGCTCCCTAACATGAGAAGCTTTAGATAAATGTTAGCTATTGTCATTAATGATAGTAGTAAAGATCTATCAATCTTTACTATCAAGTAGTAAAGTTTAAAGTAGATGGGTAGGGTATGCTTTAGTGAGAAATTCACTCGGCATTTGAAAAGTTGACTTGCTGATATTTATGACTAATCTGACCACATATTAAGTCTATTTTATGGGTGCATAAACTGAGGCCAGGAAAAACAAGTGCTTGCCCCCAAACTCCACCCTCTAAAAGGCCAAGCAGGGCTGAAAGTCCCACACACATGTCACCATCCTGGGGAGAACACCCCATTCCTTGAAGAGTACTGGTCAGAGAATTCATGTTATAAGCATAATGTGAGGTGGACATCATTGTTATCCCCGTTCTGAAGTGGAGAAAACAGATCTACAGTGGTTAACTTCTCCAAGGCCACACACAACTTGTAAGTGGCAGAGCAGGGATATGATCTCTGTGTGAAAGTCCAGATCCTGTGATATTAAGGAGTAAGTTGCATCCCGGCTTCCACCACTCCAAGAAAAAGATTTTGCTCTTGCCTAGCAGTAGGGCAGAATTAAGTGAGACCTGTTAACATTTTCATTCCCTTAAGAAAAAAAAAAAAGCAGCACATAATAAATTGTTTTGGCACAAAGTTTGTTTTCAGGTTTCAGGGCTAGATATTCATATGGTCCTGTGTGTTTCTATGAGTGGCTGTTGGCATAAGAAAATTCTCCTCCTAGTTTCTTCTAAATGAAATTGTGAAATGGTGACTTTGGCCACCTTGCTTAACATCAGTAGGTTCAGCCGCATCATCTACTGAGTTATGGGATTAAATGGGAGGACTTTGGGGGAGAAGGAATAGAGACCCCAAGGGAATAAGGCCATAAGGAGGATGACAACCCAGCCCACAGGGACACATTCCTGCTCCTCTGAGCTCGAGAAGGAACAGATCTACTCCCGACAGGGCACACCCAACACCTGCTCTGCCTCCCCTCACAAAGCTCTCAGCCCTCAAAGCACACGAAGTCTTACAAACCATGCTGGGCTTACCCACTGAGGACATGCTGGTGAGAAAGCAGGCACCACAGCCCCTGTTCCTTCCTGATGGTCATGTGCAGCTGTGCTCCAAAGGACAGGTGGGCCTAAAACCAAGAGACCAACTCCAGATAGAAACATGCCCTAATTCAAAAAGGCACCTATAGGCCAAGAGTGACCTACCACAGGGAAGGAAAGCCCGGGAACGTTTGCCGAGATACCTTTAGCAAGTAACTCACCTTTACTGCCCCCATCAGGCTCCAGGGAACCTCTACATGCCCAGCTCAATACTCAGCTCAATGCCTCTGACCAGTACTCTTCAAGGATGGAGACATGAGTTTGGGACCTTCAGCCCTGCTTGGCCTTTTAGAGGTTGGAGTTTGGGGGCAAGCACTTGTTTTTCTTGGCCTCAGTTTATGCACCCATAAAATAGACTTAGTATGTGGTCTATGAAGAGGAGGAGGAAGAAGGTGCCATCTTCCAGAAGCACAGCACATTGTCCAGGTTCAGATGAGAAACACGGGGCCCTCAGTGGAGAACAGAATCGAGGGCCAAGTGGTGTGGCTCAGGGTGAGGTTGGGTTCTTTCAGAGATAGAAGTCATGGCTATGTCTGGGACAGCCATGGTTGCCGAAGCTCAGGGGAGAAAGGCACATAGACAATGTCTGCAGGGTCACAATCACCTGCCCGTTCTCCCAGATGCCCTAGTCACCAGCAGCATGCAGGCCAGGTGAAGCTGGCAGATGCCAGCCCATTGTCAGGTCTGTGCTGCTGTTAGCCAGGAGGTAGGACAAGTAGGACACCTTTGGGGGATTTTTGAGGACCCTGAAGTTAAAGTGTCTCTAACCATACACCCACGATGTGCTGGCATGCACCTTTTTGCCCTGGGTCAAAAGAGAAAAAACTTCAGCATCCCCAACTGGGCCCTTACCTGACCCCTGTACTCCCAGAGCCTCCGTGATTCTTCCCCACCCAAGCAAGCCCAGTTTTGTGTACTTTCCAAGTGGCCTTTTCCTCCCCAGGTGCCTACCAGCAAAGCAGGTCATCCTGGACTTTACAGCCTCCCTTGGGCCAGGCCTGTATCCTGGACCATCCCACTTTTCTGAAGAATGGAATGAGGGATGTTTTCTATTTTAACGGCCGCAGTTAAATGTTTCATGGGCCAAAACGGAGGCCAGATCACTTTATAATCATTCTTCTGGCCCCTGCATAATTTATGCCCCTTATGCACTTTTCATGATCTAATTTATCTACCTCCTAAAATATTTTGTAAAACCTGAATCCCATCTGTAATGATCTATGTCCTCGTATAAAGTCTACCAAAGAATTTGCCATATAAGCTGCAGTTGTGGATCTACACTCAGCTGCATTAGGTGAAGGCAGGACTGTTTCCAGGCAGGGCTGGAGGCCCGATCGGTCAAACAAGTCTAGCCTCGGCTTGGGAAACACACCCAGGGGAGAGGGATGCAGGGAGGGGGAATTCCCAAGACAGGCCAGCCTTGAGGATGGTGAGGAAGTGAGACAGGCATTGAGGGAGCAAAAAGGACTTCCTAGGGTCAACTACAGAGAGCCTGTGTGGCCCATCAGGTGGCAAAGATAACAACAACAACAACAACCATTATAATAGCAATAGTAACAGTGGTGACTGCTCTATCCAGACTGTTAAGTGTCAGGCACTGTGTAAGCACTTCCCAGGCATTAGTTCACTGATTCTCACTCATGAGGTGGGGACTATCACCATTCTCATTTCACAGATAAGAAAACTGAGGCTTAGAAAGAGGTAAGTGACTTGCTTGAGTTCCGGTAGTTAGTACATTAGAGAGATGAGATTCAAACCTGAGCAGGCTGACCTGAAGCCAGGTTCCCAACCCCTGCACCACCCTGTACTCCTAGGTGAGTCTGCCTTCTCAAACTTGATGTCCCAGGAACCTAGAAACCCTGACTTTCAATAACCAATCAGCAAGCATTTTAGGGTAAAGTTGCCAGATTTCATTAAAAACAAAAACAGGACACCCTGTTGTGTGGGCAATATTTGGGATATACTTATACTAAAATACGGTTCACTATTTATTTAGAACTCAAATTTAATTGGGTAGCCTCTATCTTACCTGGCAGTTCTATTTTGGGACCACTCACCATGTGTCCAGGACTGTGCTAGGATTGGGACTACAGGGACTGCCTTCAACTGGAACCCAGCCTGCCTGGGTTTAAAGGAGATGGACACCAGCACAAGGGACAAACATGGGAAGGGGCAGTCTGATCCAAGTCTGCCTGCTGAACGCCTAGGGTTGTTGGGGGTCAGAGGCTCACAAAACCATGTCTTCCTGGAGGAGCACGGGGCCTGAACTGAACCCAGGGATGGGAAGAAGAGCAAAGACAGGAAGGAAGGGAGGCCACCCTCCCCGCCCCCACCCCCAGTCCCACGCCCTGCTCCTGAGGCCTGCACTCCACTCCTGGGTGCAGCCAAAATCCTCACTGGAGTCCAACACTCAGAGCAACAAACTCCAGGGCAAGCCAAAACTTGGGCCAGGCCCATCAGAGGGGCCCACCTGCTATCCCATGAGCTGACTCAAGTCCACAGCTCCCTACACTCACAGCCCCAGCCTGTGCTCACTCTGCCCTTCCCACTTAGAGGCTGCCTGTCCTCCCCAGACCCTGCCTCTCATCAAGGGTCCAGCTCCACCCTCCCCTGTTCTACCTGCCAATCTCACGCCTGCTGGCCTGCCCTTAGACTATATCCCTTAGACCAAACATTTGCACATTGTTTATTATGCACCTAGCATGGAGCCTGGAACTTAGTTGGTGCTCGGTAAGTGGTCGTGAATGACTGAGAGTCACTCTGTCTGGCACCCTGCTTTCTATGTGTGTGGTTCCCCAGCAGAGGTTGGAACAGAGGGCGTGTCGGAGGAGATCCAGGGACAACACTCAACAGAGGAACACTGATATGTCTCCATATCCCCAGCGCCCAGCCCAGGGCCTGGTGTGGAGCAGAGGTAAGAACTGTTTGCTGGAGAAGGGGACGTGAGATGGGGAGATCAGAAGCACGGTGGGAGAGTCCAAGCCTGGGAAGTGCTGCCTCTCCTCTGCTTCCCTCCATGGCTTGTTCTAGGACTTGGACAAGTCACAGACCACTCTTCGCTTCGGTTTCCGTGGCTGGAAAATGGAACATGGACACATTGCTCTGGCTGCTCAGCAGCCGGTTGCTAGGATGACGGGACCACTGTAATAGTAGTACCTCCCTGCAAGGTGAGGCTCACACGAGGCCTAAAATGCAGTTGACTTGAGGCCCTGGACCTTGGCAAGTGCCGCTCACACCAGTAGCCTCCCAAGCCCCAACTGGCCACGGCCCTGATGGTGACAAACTCCCCCTCCACGAGCCCAGCCACACAGCACTGCCCATGTCTCTGTGGCTTCTCCAAGTCCAGCCTCTCTGAGCAGAGGCCAAATAAAGATGGATTTGCTCTCTCTCGCGGCAAACACAACACCTCCGTCAATCTCTGGGCACCCAGACCATGCTCATTGTTCTTGTGTGAATTCCACAGATGCTTATAAACACTTCCACTACTTCTGAAGTTTTATTTACGGTTTTTGTTAAACCTTTACTCTGAAATTTGCCATTTTAAACACTCCCTGACTGAGTAAGATTTATGCGGTTTCCTCACACAGAAGCTACCTATAATGGACAGAGCCAAAATCAATTTATAGGGCCTCCAGAGCAGCAGACAACTCGTTTTTATTGGAAGAAGGTGTTCTCAGGAAGGAGAAGAAAAAATACATTACGACCCCAGAAACATCCACTCCTCCAAGAGGCTGATTGCACTGGGCACCCCTCTCTGCTCCTCCTTCAAAATGAGCTCAATAAAATGGCATAGAACCTGCTCCCCTTCAGACCAGAGATGGAAACAAGGATGCCAGCCTCCTCAGGAGAGGTCCCTGCCCCTCAGTGGCTTGGGATATACAGGTAGGGCACATGCTAACCTGAGCCCAGTGATTCAAATGGAGCCAGGAGTGGGAGGTGGCCAGGGTGGTGGGGGAAGGTTGGCCATGTTACCAATTCATTCATGTTCTAAATCTGCATCCGAAGGGAACCTCACCCACATGTTTTCAGGCCTTGTCAAATAAATTAGGAAATCTCTTCCTTTGAAGATCAATGGTATGGAGATGACTTTGAACTCTTAATATCAGGCATTAGCAAGATAATGTTAGGTTTTATAAAGAATGAAAAGAATTTACCAATTTTCTTCCAGCAATTCTCTCTGGACTCTACAAGGAAGCTAATCACTAGATAATTGTTCAATGACTCTTCAGGTCCATTCAAATTCATTGAATTTTTAGAGAGGGAAAAAGTAGAAGTCCCTTAAAGGACCAATTACCAAACTGCTGGGACCTATACCTCTGCCAGAAAACACAGTTCTGGGAAAAGCCGGGATGCAAAGAGATTGGTGTATTAGTTGGCTCAGGCTGTCGTAACAAAGTACCACCGACTGGGTGGCTTAAACATCAGATGTTTATTTTTCTCACAGTTCTGGAGACTGAAGTCCAAGATCAAGGTTCTGGCTGATTCAATTTCTGTCAAGGGCATTCATCCAGGCTAGTAGATGACCACCCCTCACTGTCCTCATATGTTGGGGTGGGGGAATCTCTGATGTCTCTTCTTATAAGGACATGAATTTTATTGGATTAGGGCCCTGCCTTATGTCCTCATCTAAACTTAGTTACTTCTTCAGAGGCCCCATCTCCACATACAGCCATATTGAGGACTAGGGCTTCAATACATGCATTTTGGGGAGACATAAATATTTACCCCATAACGCTGGGTCTGCCACAACTTGGTTCTCCACTCACAGGATTCCATTTCCTACCCCTATGTGGTGGCCCAAACCTTCTCCATGCTCTCCACCTCTGGTCTCCGCCTCTCCCTCCCCAGTACCTTCTACAAGAGCCTCCAGTTCCCAAGCCACAGCTCAGAGTCCTTTCTCTGCTCAAAAACTTCAATGACTCCTCCATCATGCATATAATTAAGTCCATAAGTTAGAAAGCCAGTAAATGCATTGATCTAAAAATGAACAAACTTACTTCAGAGTCAGGCAGACCTATGTGAAAATCCTGGCTCTGACCTATAGTAGCTGTGTGATTTGGGATAATTTACTTAACCCCTCAGAGCCTCAGGTTTCTCATCTACAACATGGGGAAAATAACAGCTCTTACTTCATTGGTTTGTGGTAGAGATGAAAAGAGGGAATGCTGGGAAGTGCCTAGCAGAGTGCTTGGCATTTAAAACCAAATAAAATGTTAGCTCTGAGTGTCATTATGCTCTCTCAACAACCCACTGGTGATCACAGCCCCTCTTACGGTTTTAACACCATCTAAAGGCCAATCAATGGCTCCTACATTTCCATCTCTAGCCCTGACCTCTCTCCAGGACTCCAGATGAACGAAGCCAGCTGCCCCCTCAACATCTCCACACAGATGTCAACAGGCATCTCAGGATCATCACGTGTAAAACAGCTCCTGATCCACTCCAACCTGTTCTACCCACAGCCTTCCTAATCCTGACTGCTGAGGCTAAAACTGTGAAGTCATCTTTGATTCCCCGCTGTCTCTCACATCCCACATTCAGATGTTAAGAAATCTTCTGTGTCCAGAACAAAACCACTTACCACCTCCACGGCATTCGTCTAGCCCTCGCCTCTCACCTGGAGGCAGCAGCAGCCTCCTGACTGGCTCCCTGAGTCCACCCTTGCCCCAGAATGCTCAAGTTTTCACATACACACACAAAATAATACTTTTAAAACAGAAGCCCCCATCTCACTGATGGTAAAGTCCAAAGCCCTATACTGGCCTGCCAGGCCCCATTGCCTCTCTGATCCCTTCTCCTACCACAGTCCCCTCACTCACTCTGCTGTAGCCACACTGCCTCCTTGCTGGTCCTTAGCATGCCAGGCACACCCCTGCTTCAGGCTCTCCTGCCCTTGCTACTCCTGTCTGGAGTGCTCTTCACCAGATAGCCACCTGGTTAGCTCCCTACAGCCTTCTCAAATTACTCAAATATCATCTTCCCAGAGAAGTCTACTCAGCTACCCTTGGTGAAATTGCAACCTGCATGCACATGTGCGTGCACACACACACACACACACACACACACAGTTCCCATCCTATCTCATCCTACTCATTCTTGTTTCCTTGCACTTACCTCTTCCTAACATACTATATACATTACATGTATATTATATTTATTTGTTTATTGTCTGCTTCCCCTTGGTAGAAACTAAATTCACATAGGAGTGATATTTGTTTTATTCACAGCTGTATATCCAGCCCCTAACACAGTGTCTAGCACACAGAGGTCACTCAGTAAACGTTTGTTGAACTAATGAGAGCTGAGCCATTCACTCACACATTTATTTAACAAATACCTGCTGAGCATCTTCCAAGCCCATCAGGGCTCAGTGTTTCCAGCCACTTTCCCTGGATGTCCCTCCCCAGAACCTCTTACCAAACTGCCCTCGTCTGTCTACACACCTGCATTCTGAGTGCCCCTTCCCCTGCAGCCTTGTCCATTCCTATTCCACCTGTGGAAATCCTAGGCCTCCGCCAAGGGCAGCTCCCCTCCTCCTCCTCTGTGAGGTTTTGCATCGATGTGGGAGCCTGGCCCTTGAGTTTCCCCATGCCTTTCCTCTAGCCATCTTCCCATTCTGCTGGGCATCAGCATGGGTTATGGCCTGTCCTACATTCCCACTGATCGCATTTTGCTCCTCTCAATCTCACCCGTGGTTCCAGGCACACCTCAGCTGTTCCAGAAAGATTTAGGAGTGAGTTGGCATGCCTTTGCATCAACCTGTAAATTAAGTAGGCAAAAGCAAACCTTAGTTTTGGAGAGTCAGCTAATTTGGCCCCTTGAGACAAGAGTGGTACATAATGATATAATTACCTTCCTCCTGCCAGGTTCACAGCCCCATCAACAGCCCCAGAAGGAACATGCTGCCTTTCCCTCATGACATGTCTCCATGATGCAGCTGACCTGTGTCCTCCCACTAAATGCAGTTGCTGCACAGCCTGCCCTCAGGCCCCACCCCAGGCCCCATTAGGACTGCCCCTCCCAGCCCATGAAAAATACTGTGCATTCAGGAACAGAACAATGATACATTTGCTATGAACATGGGGTCTGCCAGGCACCACACTCCACTGGTTTTTATCCTTGAAGGAATGAGTTCTGTTGAGCAATTTCTTGCTCAAAGATGGAATAATACATATGATCAAAAGCATTATCTTCCAGCCCTGCCCTGCAACCTCATTCTCTGAGAAAATAGGTGACACACCACCCATGACATCCCAGAGTTCGTGTGTCCCCAAAGCTTGCTTCATCCATGCACATCCATGTAGAAATTAACATAAAAACAACATCCTTGTTTCCGTCACTCTGTCTGACTGTCACTGACTTTAGCTCCTGCTCCTAGCAGGGGTCTGAGGGCACCGAGGTTAGGTGGGGAAGGCGAGGCCTATGTTGTAATCACATTTCCTCTCCTTTTGCTCATCTTCCCAGAGGAGAATGCAGTGGAAGTCATGGAAAGTCGAAGGAGAGGAATTATATTAAATGAGACATCCCTCCTCAAGTCAGCAGTGATCCCATGGCCCAAAGCAGCAATCCAAGTTTTATTTGCTCATAAACATTAATGGGACCAAACCTCATGGAAAGGAACAGGAAAAGCCAAATGGCAGAGAGCACAATGATGCTGTAAAACTCGGGCTCAGAGCAGGAGGGGAAAGGTCAGAGCTCTGGGGAAAAGGGCGTTCAGAATCTCCCCTTCACAGAGGGACTGTCCTTGCTGGCTCTGGCGGGTAGATCTGGGCAGGTTTTTTAATTCCTTGGAATTCTATAAGTGCTTTTCTTGGAGAGGAAGAAAAAACTTAAAATACACGGTGTGCTTTTAATGGCCAACCTCTGCCAAAGAGCAGTGACAACTGAGGCCCACCCCTCAGGCTCTACATCCCTGACCAGCTGAGACCTGGGGAGGGACCACCCTCTTGGTGCAGGGACAGGACATCCTAACAGAATAGACAGATCCCAATCCCAGTCTCTGCCCTGTTAGTGACAACCAAAATGATTTTAGGTAAACTCATACAACTGCTCTCAGTCTCTGCTTTGTTATCCCCGCCATGGGCACATCCCCTCTGCCTGCTGCTGGGGCTTAGAGCTGGTGCAAAGCACCATGTGAGCAATGAAGGTGCTCCCAGGCACCCTGCTGAGCTCCCGCCCACACCAACTCATTTGAGCCTTTCAGCAACCCTGTGAGATAGGCACTACGTTCCCCATTTTACAGATTAGAAACTGAGGCTCAGAGGACCTAAGTCCCTGGTTCAAGGTCTCACAGCTGGAACATGGCAGCGCCAGGACTAGAACTCAGGTCTGTGTCAGGAGTTCGTGTTTTTCAGCCAGAAGCTACCTGACCTGATTCCACACTGCGGCAGCCCAAGACTAGCACACAGCAGCTGCTTAAGCAAAGCCTGCTGAACTTTGCTGAATTGATGCCCACTCCCGCGGTCTCACATCTCGCGGCAACCCCTCAGGGTCAGCACCACCTCCTCCCCTGGCCCTACTAGAAGCAGCCCCGGGTTTGTTTCTCCCTCTCTGATTTGGAGGGAACCACAGGAGCATGGAGGCCATTTCTGACCCTCCAGCTCTGTATTCAGGTTTTAACTTAGAGGGAGGAAAAGAGAACGTATTTTCTTTCCCAATTTCCTCTCTCATTTGAATATTGAATTCTGTGGGATTTGTAGACGCCCAGTTTCCTGGAGGAATTCCCTGAGAAGCCATCTGCTTGTGTGCTTCTGAGACTCCTTGGCAAATGAAAATGTAGGAGGCTAATCAATCATCCTGGGGAGCCGCTTGCCCTTTCCTGGGAGATGGGTGTGTATGCACGCCCTTGAACATGGGGCTGCACCTCTGGAGCTCCGGGCTCTGCAGATGCACTGCCATTCTGGGCTGATCTCTGACTTGGGCCAGGTCTATCCAACCCAGAGGCCAAGGCAGTGACAAGGCCAAGAGAGAGGGCCAGGATAGCTTTTAGAAGGGCTCATGCTTTGGGTCAGAAATGCCAGGGGGCCACCACTGTGTGTTTGCCCACAGCAGACCCCACCACGGTTACAGACAGCGATGCAGACATAACACTACAAGCATATCCATCAGGAGTCAAGTCATGGGGCTGTCCCCAGGAAATCAGCTCATTAGTGTGGCTGACCAAGGCCATGCTGGCCCTTAGAGGTGGCTGCTCCAGCTCCAGCAGCAACTCTATGGGCAGGAAAGCCTGGGTTCTGTTCAACCCACAGCAGACCACACTCAGGTGGGCCCTGTAAGTGAGCCCTTTCTTCCAAAATGGCCACTGGATCCAATTTCTCTCACTGGGAATCAAGGCAGCATTGGTAGGTAACAAATGTGTGAACAGACAAACCAGCTTCTGAGTAGAATCCTATTACATAAAACCTGACAAGCTGCAGAGGGCATCTGGTCACCCATGTAGTTCTATCAGTGGGCAAATCCAAGCACTCTGGAGAGGGACAAGTACTTGCCTAATGACTGCAAGACTCCCAACCCAGCACTGTATCCAAGCACACACCACAACCATGTCCTCCCAGACTCCTGGTCAGCAGTGCCCACCTTTTGCAGCTAGCAGGCAGAAGACGGGGGGAAGATCCATCACCAGCCACCCTTGAGCCATTCCTGGACCTCTCAAGGAAGCTCCACCTCTGAAGTGATTCCTCTTTCCCACTGGCCCTTCAACTCCTCCCTCTAAGCCTGGGGGGTTTTCTGTCACATGTCCAGGCTGCTCCTGGTGCCTTGACAAAAAGGTTTTCATAACCAGAAGAATTTCTTTCAATATTTCATCATTATATGCAAAACAAGGCAGTCAGAACAGCCCGGGGCCTAAGCAGCTGCAGGTGATTGGGGATGGGACAGATGGAGAGTTTCTGCACACATCCTGTCCCCTGCAGAGCTTCCTGGCCCCAGGTGAGCTTTATTTGGCCGTGAAGCTGAATGTACAGGCTGGCTATGGGGCCAAATGCTCCGATTGAAGCAGGAAGCAATCCGTCTGCAAACTCAGGCCGGCAAGGGGATAGTGGGGTGGTGCAGAGTGAGCAAATGCGCCTGCGCCCTGCAAGCTCAGGGGAGGCCACAGCAAGCCAGATAATAAATGCCCTGCCTCATGTTCACTGTGGAAGGAGATTTCAAGCTTGTAAGTCCACAAGGCTGTTAGCATGAGAATATAAAGTCATCAGAGTGCCCCAAGGTGTGCATGTCAACTTTCACAGCCTTTCTATGACAAAAGGGATCTGTGATCAAATAAGTTTAGGAAACACAGGATTTAAAAAAAGTTTAACAGGTTTCTTTAGCAGAAGGACTTCGGAAAGCTTTGGAATGCTGATTTTCATTGGGAATCTTCAAGAAGGAAGCACAGAATGGGACGTTTTCCAGGATTATTCAGTTGGCCGTAGGCAGCATTAACAGAGCATCTTAGAAGACTCTACCGCCATAAGGCCTTCTGAAATGGAGTGAAATCTTTTCTAAGGAAGTTCTGGAGAAAGACACAAGTGCTCACAGGAGCCGAGTCTCTGTGGTTTTGGGCAACATGGCCTCCTCTTCCATGCAGCCTAAATTCCCCATCTGGGAACCTCCAATGAGTAAGGGAAGCACCATGCCCAAAGCTTGGAGCCCAAGTGGACATTTAGAGTGTGAATCCAGGCCTGCGTGGGGAGGAGGTCACCTGGAGTCCACGGGGTCTCCCAAGCCCTGAAGACCCTGGCCCCTTGCTCAGTGTCCAACGTCCCTGCCCTGCACTTCCACCCTCTTTTCTCCCCTGGTCACTAGTCCTTCTGCTCTTCTTACCAGCCCCCCTCCCACTCCTCCAACCACTTTCCCATGTGCTCCTTATACAGCTGTCCCTCAGATAAGGACATAAGTCTTATTTGAAACGACAGAGAAATCTGTGCTACTGGAATGGGAGAGTTCCCTGAACCCCCACGCAGGACATGCGACAGGGGTGTAGCTCACCTGTTCAGTCACCGCTGCTGCTCAAATCCCTTATGGGAGGGGGAGCACACAGGCAGACCAGGTGCAGGAGCCCAGGTGGGCTTGTGTTACAGTATGCCCTTTCAGCCTTGCTGTCTGCGGACAGCTTGACTGTCAACCAGCTCAGTGGGCCCTCTGCCTTTCTGCAAGGGCAGAGGGCCAGTGTGACAGCTTCCTGTATCCCGAGCTCTGGTCCAGCATCCCAGAAAAATCAGGCCACACACAGACTCGAAGGATGAATGCAGGAGTTGTATTGAGTGGTGGAGGTGGCTCTCAGAGGGATGGATGAGGAGCCAGAAGTGGGGGATGGAATGGGAAGATGATCTTCCCCTGGAGCATGACTGTCCAGCAGCCAAATCCCTCTCCGACCACCCCCAACCAAACTCCCCTTGGCGTTCAGACATTCCTCCTCTTCTTTCTCTGCCGCGTCATTCCGCTGTTCTGCCATCTGTCTGTCTGCTTGTCTCATCTCCTCACCTACTCTGGAGCCTGTGGTTCAGGGCTTATATGGGGTACAGGATAGGGGGCATGGTGGGCCAAACGGCAACTTTTTGGGGATGAAAACAGGCATGGCTGTTCCCATTTAGGGCCTCGGGTATCCAGGCTTGAAGGTGAGGCCTTTGCCAGGGAATCGCCCTGGGTAGAAGTGTTTCCCCCTCCTGTCTGTGTCACTGCCAGATTCACCAAGTCAAAAAGTGTTATGAAATCTTGGAGATGAACAGTGCCCATCCTTGGCTCCACTGAAGAGTAGACTGCATTGAGCCCAGGAATCCTCAGTCCCCTTTACCACCCTTCCTCTTGTTAATGGAAAAAGCAAACTCTGTAAAATATTTTAAAGAGATTTATTCTGAGCCAATATGAGTGACCATGGCCTGGCAAAATACAATCCCCAGAGGTCCTGACAAAGGGCACCCCAGGCAGTCAGATTCCAGTTTGGTTTTATACATTTTAGGGAGGCAGGAGTTACAGGCAAAGACATAAATCAATACATGGAAGGTAGACATTGATTGGCCTGAAAAGGCAGGATGTCTTGAAGCAGGGGCTTCCAAGTTTAGGTGGATTCATGGATTCTTTAACTTGTAGTTGGTTAAAGGAGCAAGGCTCTGTCTAAAATTTGGAGTCAGCAGAAAGGAATGTTTTGAATTAAGATAAGGATGCTATGTAGTAAGACTGATGACCTGCAGGGTTGACTTAATCCTTGCCTTGCATGGCCTTAGATGTTGTTTAAAATTTGGCATTATTGCCACAAAGGCTCTGTTCCATCTGTCTTAGGATCTCTATTTTAGCATTAATGCTGGTCAGTTGTGCCTAAACTCCAAAAGAGAGGGGGTATAACCAGGCATGTCCAGCTTCCCTTCCCGTCATGGCCAATAACTCAGATTTTCAGATTTCTCTGGGGTCCTCTTGGCCAAGAGGGGGTCCGTTTAGTCCTTTGGGGGTGCTTAGGATTCCATTTTTAATTTACAGTCTTCTCAGTTCTCCGTAGGAGTCCAACTCAACCTCCTCCTTCCCCAGGACTGGGGTACCTTATCTGCATCTTCCATCATCAAATGCCCCTTGCTTCAAAGACCCATCTCATACCCTGAGCAGCGCTTTGCTCCCCAAACATGTCCTGAGGTCAACCAGTCCCGCCGCAGGGGACCCAGCCAACCTCCTGCTTCAAGTCTCAAGTCAGTCTGCTCTAAAAACAACCTCGTGGCCCCAGAGCACAGCCACGAAAACCCAGATATGCTAAACTTCTCCCCACCCCCACAAACACACACACACACACCATTGTGCAAGGACAACACTGGCCCACAGGCTCTTCCTTCACACAAGAGTCCAGCAACACCTATAGCTGAGCCAAAGCAAGTGCAACTTGGCTCATTCCAATCCTATGTGGCCCTCCACTCATCTGTGAGCACGGGCCCATCCCAGACCCTACTGCTCAGCATATTTGCTTTTTCTCAGGTGATTTTCTCCTTCTGAGGTTTCTTCCCCTCAGGCCAAAAATAAGTAAAAATAAAATTTTAAATCATACATTTTGAGTTTCCAGAAGATGGGTTCTAGAGGTTTGGAATGTTATAATCCTTGAAATTCAGCTACTTCAGCCATCTCGCTTCCCAGAGGAGCAAACTCAGGGTGAGAGGGATGAAGGGAGCTGTGATTCTCAGAGGGAGGTCTGTACAGGGAAGTTTTTTTAAAAAATGCCAGATTTTATCATTGTGGACAAATGAACTCTTCTCATATATTTGTTTCCTGGACATGGTTTTATGTTAGCTAAGCTGTAAGACTAGATTTAGAAAAAAAAACTTAAAAAAAAAAAAGACACCAAACTGCATTTAACTAAGGGAGAGCTGAAACAGAAACAAGGGACGCCATGTACAGGTACTGGGCTCCCGCTTCTCTCCCAGTCAATCCTCATGCACAGGGCTCTGACCTAGACAACCTCACGACATCCTGCGGTGGCCATACCCAGCCATAACCGAGAACATCAAGGGACAACCGAAATCTTAGAAAGCCTCTCGTCCCCGCTCAGTTCTGTGGGCTCCTACAGCCCTGTACTCCCCAAACCCATCACCCCCATGCCTACCAAGTAGCTGTCGGTTCTGTCTGCCTCCCCCACCCTGAAGGCACAGACCTTAGTCATTGTATCCCCAGCCTCCTACGGTGGGCCTAGGACACATTAATTAATTTATTAATGGAGGCAGGGGAGGGAGAGAGAAAGGGAAGGAGAGGATAAGGAAGGGAGGGAGGGAGGGAGGAAGGGAGGGAGGGAGGGAGGAAGGGAGGGAGAGAGAGGGGAAGGGAAGGAATTAGAGGGGAGGAGAGAGGGAGGAAGGTAGAGAGGAAAGGAGGTGGGGAGGAAAGGAAAGAAGGAGGGAAGACAGGGAGAAAGAATCTAGCCAGCCACCCCTGACTGGCGAGACACCAGCTTCCCTGGGTTCCACGTGCCCCTCTTCCCCTGGGCATGTAAGCTAATGTTCACAGGTCTTCTAACACTGGGATCTTCCCAGCACCCCGTGGGCACCAGGCCCAGAGATGAAACCTAGTGGGGGAGTCAACACCAGGGGTGAGCCATCCCTGCAGACCTTTCTGGTCTGGCACTCTGAAAATGGCCCACTGTGACCAGCACCCATTCAAGCTAGTTTCAGCAGAAAAGAACTTATGAGGTCACTAAAGCATCCCACGGTGCTCAGAGACTCAGGAAAATTCTAGAACTGAAGATGGGTTAAGCCACAGACACTGCTTCTCATCTCCATACCTCCGAGCTCCTGACAGGTGAGCCACTCTGCCCTTCCAGAAGTCCACCTGTCTGCAACCCCACGCTAGGTACAGGGCTCTGAGGCAGGCCCTGGGAGCCCACTCAGACTCAGAGACATGGGGTACCTGTGGCTGGCAGCCACAACGTCTCTCCTCCTACCCTGCCCCCAGCAGGAGATGGTTGTGTGCTATCTGCAAATTCTTACCCATCTCATCTCTCTCCCAGGCTGCAGCTGGTAACGCCTCCCCCTCCTGGCCCAGCTTGCCTAGCTGCCCTCACCTTGACAACCACAGAAAAGCCAAAGACTGCACACATGTGCACCACACTATTTATCCTCCTGCCTGTGTTTGCTACAGTAGCCCCACAAAAAACATAACAAGGCCACAACAGAGATGCGACACGTGCCATGTACCAACTCCCCACACTTCTCAAGGAGGAAAGGCACCTGGTGATGTTCTGCAGTTCATCCCCTGCAGCACCTGAGCACCCTTCTCTCTCAGCATACATCCCTGCCTGCTGGAGGAAAGCCAGGGACCTGCACGAAACATCAGCACGCGGCGTCCCAGCCCATGCAGTTGTCATGGACAACAGGAGTTCAGAGGAAAGTGTGGGGCATGTAGACCATATGGGCTGCAGGAATTCAGGTAGCTATCAGAGTCCAGGATGATTTAGGGAAAGGAGTTTACAAAACAGGCTTATTTTGGAAAGGTTGGTGCTGAGAAGCAGTCCTTCCAAATATTGGGGGGCAGTCAAAGCAAGGGCAAAGAGATGCAGATGGGATAGAGACAGTACTCAGGGAGGGGACAGGGAGGAACCACCTTCCTGGCCAAGGCTGGTGAGGCAGTCTTGCACCAAGGTTTAGGGCAGGGGTATCCAATCTTTTGGCTTCCATAGGCGACATTGGAAGAAGAAAAATTGTCTTGGGCCACACATAAAACACACTAACACTAACGATAGCTGATGAGCTTTAAAAAAGGTCGGTGCATAAATGTCATAATGTTTTGAGAAAGTTTATGAATTTGTGTTGGGCTGCATTCAAAGCCATCCTGGGCCACAGGTTGGACAAGCTTTGCTTAAGGGGAACAGGGACCAACCGCTTCCTCCTCCCACTGCCCTGCAAGCTGGCATTTTCTCCTTCCCCTCCCCCTGCAAATGACCAACTTTCTCAAAATAACTACTTCGCAGCCCTTTCTTGAGGGGCTTTTAATGGCTTTTGAAATATAAGCCCGGAGCTACAAATGCTGCCTGGCCAATTTACTCGAATGCTTCACCTCCCCAGACATTTTTTCTAAAATGACTTTCCTTCTTCCACCACAAACAGAGCCTTTGGAGCAATGTGCCTTTTAGTCAACAATTATAAGAAGTTTTAGAAGTCACTTTTAAAAGGCTGTCATGGCAAAGCTGCTCAGCTATATCTCTATTCCTGAGGGACTGCCTGGTGGTGGCAGGAAGCAGGCACCGGTGGGAGGTGGGGAGGTGGGGAGGTGGGGAGCAGCCTTCATCCATCACGCTGCCACGACAGGCCCTGGCACCCGGGGGTCCTCGAAGTACACATCTGCAGCCCGGCAGCACTGGCATGATTTATCGCAGGCAGGTTGTCGCCTTCACCTGGTCGGGTTTCTCCGTTTTCTGGTTGCTTCTCCTCTCACCGACCTCCAGATATTTCTGTTCCTCGGGCCCCAGGCCTGGTCCATCCTGACCCCACACATTGGTGCCCACTGCTGCGACTTTGCTCACTGTCTCTGAACCAACAGCTTCCATGCCTGTGTCTCCAGCCCAGACCCAGAGACCAACTGCTTTTCAGGCATCTCCTCAAACTCAATGCCGAAGAACACGTGTTTATTTCCTCCCAATCAGCTTCTTCCCAGCCTTCTGCACCTCAGCCAGTGGCACCACCATCTCCCCAGGCCACAAGCCTTGCCATCACCCTTCATTCCTCTCTCTCTCCACACCACCGTGTCCCAAACCAATTCCATCCATGAGACCAGTTGGCTTTACCTCTTAACCACATCCTGAATCTGACGCTCCGTACCACCTCTGCCGCTTCAGCCTCCTGTAGCAGCCACCATCTCTCACCTGCACAACAGCCTAGCCTCCTTTCTTTCTGCCTCATGAAGCAGTTAGGGAGGCCATCCTGCAGTGAGCATAACCACAGCGGTGTCCCCGCCCCACTGCCAGCCAGGGCCTTGATGCGAGGGGTTCAGCCCAGGTGCAGTTAGGGGAACCCCTTCCTCCCCTCCAAGTTATCTGGGGCTGAAGAGACAAGAGGAGGCATGGGGGAGCCAGACAGTACCCATTCCTCTGATCCTCTCCACTGAGGGCTCTAGTGGGACAGAACCAAGTTCATACTCCCAGGCGAGCTGGAGGTGGCAAGTGGAGACCCTCAGTCATTGCCCCTTCCAGCCAGCAGCCCTGTGCTCTCTGGTCAGAGCCTGGGCATGCAAACACACCTCCCTGCTCCCTACTCCTTTCATCTCATCAAGATCCAAAATCCAGCCCATCCTTCCTCTCTCAGCCTACTGTGCCCTTCTCAAGGGAGCCTCCTGCCCCACAGACTAGGTCAGTCCTGAGCTAATCTGAACACCTGTGCCTCTCCTTCAGAGCACTTAGCTCATTGCTGCTAAGTAATATGTTAACCAACTGGGTAATGTCTTTGGGTTGAACACTTGACTTCCCCGGTGGACTTTTAAACTCTGTAAGGGCCTGGACTGATTTTGTTTACAATTAATCTCCAGGGCCTGGCACACCGTAGGTTTTCAGTAAATATTGACCAAATCGATGCATAATTCTGCAATTCCTAAGGAGGAGGTTGATGGGAACTAAGGAATCAAGGAAAGAGGAGAGAGAGGGAATGTTTGGATCACTCCTGGATGGGGTGTTTTCAACATAAAACCCATGCAGCTGAAAGGTCGTTATCTTCAGACACAGTATCCAGGGAAAAACCAAATATGACATTGAAAATAAGCTCATGGCAAATACAACATCACTGAAGGAAGCAAGAACCTTTGTAATGCTCCAGGGAGGAGTCCAGCCGCCGTCATCCCCAGTCAGCCTGCAGGGCGCTGGCCAGCCTTACCAGAGCTGGGAAAGGGCCTGGCTGGACTCCCAGCTACACACATGTAAGATGATGCTGACCAAACTGAGGGCCTCACACGGCATTTGTTCTCTGCACAGAGCACCATCATCCCAGCCCAAGCCTCTTCCTGTTCTATTTATTTCTGAAAATAGATTGCTGTACCTGCAACTTTTATTCCTTTGGGGAACCATCCCTTCTGCTCTCCTTGTGGTCCTGTGGGACTACCAGTCACTGTTTCCCTCCTCTAGCCCCAGACTCTCACCACAGAGGTGGGCAGCTGTGCCCAGCTGAAAGAACTACAGTGCCACATCTCCCCAAACACAGTAACTGGTATAGGTGTACACAACTTAGCAAGGCGTCTCATTTCCAGGCGCATATACATAGGTGTGGAGAGGAGGCTTGCTTTCCACTGACTGCCAAGCTGGGGCCACGTAAGCCTGGAGTTGCTAGCAGCCATTTTCCCTGACTATATGAAGGAAGCCCACCTGTAGTAGGGGAGAATTAGACTCACACATGAACAAACAATCAGATAGAGCAGAACCAAGAGAAGGAGGAGAGAGAAAGACCATCATTTGTGTTGCTGGATCTGACCTTACCTGAAGGCAAGCACCCCTGAATGTCTCACTTTGTGAGTCAAACAACCTTTTCAGCTTGAGGGGTTTGCCTGTTGTGTACAATCAAGAATACCAATGAATATAGCTTTCTTCCTGAGACACTCCCCCAGATTGACCCACATACCTGAGCAAACTCACCTCCTCCAACTCCATGCCAAGTGTCTAAGGTGTCTAAGATTATAGTCTGCATGTAAGAGCTGGCCAGGCAACAGTAAGCTAGAAGAAGGGAAATCACAGTTGGGCCCCGCCTCTATACTTCAACCCAACCCCCAGGGATATACCTCCCACTACAGGCTTTTGTTTCCCCACCTTAGGAAGCTTGGAATACAAGAGGCACAACTGTCATCTCCCCAAGTCCAAGAGCACCTCCTGGAGTCCCAGACCGTCTCTCCTCCCAAATGGGAAAAAGTCCTCTGCAAACCCACTATTCACCCCACCCTAAGTGGCAGAAACATGGGGGCAGAAGCATGGTCTTTCTGGGTGGAGTAGGGATGCTCCTCTAAGTGGTACTCCCACCCACTCTTCATTTCTTCAAAAATTGTGTATTTAGTCCTTACCTTGTGCCAGGCACTATGCTAGGCACTGGGGCTACAAAGACCCTCATGCCAAACTGTCTGTTGTCTACCTGGTATCAGTGAGCCTTCTTCTACACCCTCTTCCACATCCCAGGAGTCCCATATCTGCAGGGTTCCAATTAGAGTATACCAATGAGAGGCGCTCATGTGAGATTTGGAGGGCAGAAGAGAAAGAGAAGCCCTGATTTTCAGGTGGAAGCTATGAGCCAATGAGTTGAGGTTTCACCAATGGCCTCCAGGTTTCCTCTGCGAATCTCCTGCTTCAAGGCTGGAGGCAGTTGAAATCATCAGCTAGCTTCCCACAAGATGCTTACATTTCCAAATCCTGAATGTAGCCTTTCTGAATTTTGCTTCCCCCATCCCACCTCCAACAATTGGATAAGCCTCTAAATCCCTATATTCAATCCCTTTCTGCTCAAAATGCCTGGAAAGGTTCCTGTTCTCCATGCCCTAAAGGACCTTGGCCTTATCCTGGATAAAGGCAACAAGACCAAAGTCTCCCCACAGTGGCCCAAAGGAAAAGTTGGGTCTCTCCTGGCACTTTGGAGAAAAGCCTTGCCTGGCCACATTGTCCTCAGGGCCTGCCACGATACTGCATGGCTGATATAGTGCAGTGCCCACTACACCATAGCAAGTCAGCACAGCCAATGACTGTACAGTCACTGAAAACCCGGCAAACCCTTATAGGATCACACCAAGCAAGGATAAGTGAACTTAACCTAGTGGGTATACTATGGCTGAAAACACACACACAGGGAGTAAAACTATATCTCTGACCCCTAAACATTGAAAAGGGCAGAATAGAACAAGCCATGAAACAGTCTGATTCCTTGTTAACTGATCTGCATGATACCCAGAAAGGGGTGCAGGGAAGTCATTTATGCCAGACCCAGTCACCCACTGTCACCTGTGTGGAGCCCTCCTTGGCTGGGGCTTCCACTCCCTTCCTGACTCTCAGAACTGCACATGTTGGGCCGAGGCAGGTGTATCATGAGGTCAGGAGATCGAGACCATCCTGGTTAACACGGTGAAACCCCATCTCTACTAAAAATACAAAAAATTAGCCGGGCATTGTGGCGGGCGCCTGTAGTCCCAGCTACTCGGGAGGCTGAGGCAGGAGAACGGCATGAACCCGGAAGGCGGAGCTTGCAGTGAGCCAAATCGTGCCACTGCACTCCAGCCTGGGCGACAGAGTGAGACTCCGTCTCAAAAAAAAAAAAAAAAAAAATAGAACTGCACATGTTGGGACCCTCTTCACAGCCCCTCAGGCAACCTTCTCCTAATGCCACCTCTCTCTTAGCCCCAACCCCACTGCCTCCTTGGTTTCTTAATTCCCTCTGCTTGCCCCTCCCAGAATCCCTCTCTTGGCCTCCTCAGTCTTCAGACTCAGTACTCCTTCATCCACTTCACCCACCTCCCCTCATTTCCCAGCCCATTTCCCCATTGAGCTTGAGAGCCAGGCCCCTAGGGAGGCAATGAAGGTCCCACATTCAAAAATGCACCAGACAATCATGCCCCTACTCTGCCAGGAGTCCACCCTAGGCATAACCCCATGCGCTATTACCCGGAAAGAGCCTCCGCCTCCACTCCCTCCTTCAGCTGCATCACTCAAGAGTCCCTTGAGCTATCCCAACTTGGTGTATGCCCCACAAGGAAGGTTTGTGCCATGCTCCAGCCAGAGGGTGGAGAAGAGGGAACAAAAAACTCAAGCTACCACATGTGCATATGAAAAGAAATGTGCAGAAATGTGACTATCGTATCCAGAGTGGTGAGAGGATGGGGTTGTTTCCTAAGATTCCCTGTTATTGCATGATCTTTTCAGTAAAAAGAAAATAAATAGAAAGAGATCACATGATCACTTAAATCTTCCTGAAGGTGTGTATGAGTGCTGAAATTAGCACATGTGGCACTGTGGGAGAAGAATTTTTCCAAGCTCTCCTCTCCCAGATAGCTGTTCCACCTCCAGGATGTCCTGTGCCCTGCTCTGCTCAGTTCTCCCAACATGCCTGAGACTTCCATGGTACTATTACTGGAGCACCATTTTGAGTTTGAACTGTTTGGAGACTGTGGGTGTAGCCCTGCACCAGCCCTCAGTTCCTTGCCAGACTTCTCAGCTCTGGGTCACTGTTGTGAATCTCAGTGTCATCATCTCTATGTGGCAGAATGTGCAAACTGAGTTAACACCACAGTCAGGCTGGGGCCAGACCCCCCAACCCCCGATCAGAAGGTTCCAGTTCACCAAGTTGCCTGCATCCCCATGTATGGGATACCGCCTAATGAAATTTGCTGGAATCACCCCAGCCAATACTGCTAACTTTTCTTTTATTTTCTATTCCAAAAATCTGTCAAACTCATCATCTCTGGCCCGCAAAACAAATTTATTTTTTGAGTCATGTAGCAAAAAATTGAAGTTGAAATGCTGCGAGGGTAGAGGCTTTTGTCTTGGTGTCGGACGTCTGTGAAATCTAATGGAGTCGTTCTTTGACAACATTATCTGTGTTTGGTTAATTTGGTGGAGTAGACAACGTCCTCCACTGAACAGGAAGAATAGAATGCACAGTCCTAGGAAAGCAGAGAGTTGGCCCATGGTAGATAATTTCCTTCCACTATTCATCCTGCAGATAGGCACTCAATTACAGAGGTGCTCATAGGTAAATTTCCATTCATTCTTTTATCACCTTGCAAATGAAATAGTCATTTTTTAAATAGCATGAGCAGAGATGCATGTCAGTAAACAAAAGGGCAGGCCTCCTTATCACAGTATATTTTGTCCTGATTATTTGTTCTTCTATCCCGCAGAAAGCTCTGCATCTAATTCACAGGTTTGGCCACCTCTTGCCAACTTGTTCTTATTAATGCAGCCCAAACTGGGTTGCTGATGCACAGTAACAGGAACAAACCTTTCCTGAGCTCGACGTTCAGGGGCCTCGGCCCAGAGCTGAGCGGATGGAGGATAGGAAGTGCCCCTGCCCCTGAGAACTGCCTGAGTGCTGCTGGGTGGCTACTGGTACCAATTACTGGTATTAGCTTCTGGTACCAACTATGCTGCCCCATAACTGCTTATTTTCTGAAGCAGGACTCGGAGCAACCTGGAGGGGGGCACCCTGCTCCGCATAAATGGAAAGACAAGTACCCCAGATGATCCTCCAGGCAAATGCCACCTAAGGGAGCCCAGTCTTTGCAGAGCCCACCTAGTCAGGGCGATGCCCATAATCATGACTGAAAGGACTTATGAGGATGCTCCAGGGAACATTTCAGGTGTGGACTGTCAATCACGCCCACATGCTATGAATATGCATAAGTTTCATGGATATTCATGAGCATTCCAGCAACCTCAAAGTTCCTCCTTACAACAATAGCACAATTCCTTTTGTTGTTAAACAGCCTCTTCACATTAAGCGGTCTGCTGGGTCAGAAGAGGAGGCTAGGAAGAAAATATACATCTCTCCTCTCTGTTCCTCAATCTCCCAGCCAGCCAGGGCTAATATTTACTTACTGTAGCTAAAATGCTTTGTGCCTCAAAGGCAAGTGGCTGCTTTCAAAATGCAAGCATGACCCCTTGAGTGTCACTCACCTCACCCAGTGCTATATAGGGAGACTGTGTTCAAACTCCATTTCTGTAAATAGAATTCTACTTCAGAGAGTTTTTTCTTAAAACATTCTTTTATGACCAGCTTATATGGGGTCAAGGGGGCTCCTCATACTTTAAACGGAGGACAAATGGCTTAATCAAAGAGGATGTTCTGCAAACAGATGTTTAACAGCACAGGAGGGTACTCAAATTTCAGGAAGCCTGTCATGCTGCTCTCCCTTGGAACTCTGTTCCCTCTCTTTCCACCAGCTGAATTGTGCCTCTGATAGTCAGTGAGGATGCTCTGTAACCAGCAAAGAGCTGTAGGTATGTGGGCCGTTGAGGCAACGCCCTGGAAACCAAGAGGTCTTTGGTAAACAGGATAGGGCAGGGAGAACCACAGGGTTATCTCTTGAAGCTGAGACGGCCAGTGGGTCATGTCCTCTCACCGCAAAATCCAAATGGAACTAAGGGAGACCCAAGTCACACATCTAGACAGCTTAACTTATGAGTGAATCTTGTCCCTGATGGTAGAGACAGTGTCTTCTCCTCACGCTTACGATGGTGCCTTCTGGGAGAACCTCCTTGATTTCCAGCCTGAATCCTCCCTGCCCTAGACTTCCTGCGCTCAGCTTCCCAGGCACTCGGACACTGCCTTCTGCTGCCTTGGATTTTTTCTGCTTCTGTCTCTACCCACCAAGCACTATGAACTCCTTAAAAAAAGGGGAGTTCATCTGCACGACCTGCAATAGATCCTTGTTAGATTACACAGAGAACTTCACGTTTCTAAGGCATGAAATGTGAAATCCTCCACTGAGGCTTTACTTTTTAATATAGTCAAATATTTTATTTTTCCCCAGAATTTAAACTTCTATCAAAGTTGTCACTGCAAACTAGAATGCATCTTTAAGACATAGTGCATCTCTAACAGAACACAACATGTGGCTTTTCTAAGTAGCCAGGGTGCTGAGAGCTCGTGGAGCCCTCGGGGCTAGACCCAGGGAGAACAGAGGAGGAGAGTGTCCCAGGACAGAGCAGGCTCAAAGGAGCGAAGCCATGTTGTTCAATCTGGGGCACATCTGGTGATGCTCAATCTCCAGTCCTGATGGTCCAAGCCAATTAACTGCTACCAGACATGACTCTTGTCATCTTGTCCTCAAACCCACCCAGGCTTGAGGGCTAGTGTGAAGCAGGAACTGAGGAGAACACCCGCAGCTGGAAGTCCAGATGTTAAGGGACTTCAGTGTGAACTTCGCAGTATTAAAAATAAAATCAAAAAATTAAAGAGAAAAGTTAAGTATGCTATCTTGGCTTGTTTCCTTCAGGATGACTTTGAAAGCCTGATGGTGAAACTGAGCCTTCCGAAATATTTTCCCTCACATCTCCCCCAAAGTCAGTGAAAGAGGACATCCGGGAACAAGCCAGCTGGGATTGCACTCAGCTGCCCCTCCATGCTTCTGTGCTGGAGGAGAAGATGGAAAAACCCAGAGCCAACCTGAAAACCCAAACACCACAAAGGGCAAATGTACCCTTCACTCACTCCCCGCCCCCCGCCACCCCCCACCGCCCCCGCACACAAACAAAACACAACTGAACCTGGAAAATAGAATAGAAAAAGGAATTCAGTGAACCACCAGGACTGTCAGGACGTGTGGTCACTAGCAGCTCAATCTGCTCACTTCAAGGGCAGTTCTTTTGGACAGGTTGTGTGAACTTGAGTATAAGAGCCAGAGAAAAGAGGGCCATTTCCTAGTGGTAGGTATAATAAGAGGACCTCAGGCCAGGTGCGGTGGCTCACGCCTGTAATCCTAGCATCTTGGGAGGCCAAGATGGGTGGATCACTTGAGGTCAGGGGTTCGAGACCGGCCTGGCCAACATGGTGAAACCCCATCTCTACTAAAAATACAAAAAATTAGCTGGGCATGGTGGTGCATGCCTATAATCCCAGCTACTCAGGAGTCTGAGGCAGGAGAATTGCTTGAACCCAGGAGGTGGAGGTGCAGTGGGCAGAGATCGCACCACTGCACTCCAGCCTGGGTGACAGAGGGAGACACTGTCTCAAAAAAAAAAAAAAAAAAAAAAGACCTCAGAGGGTAATGTGGTTGCTGAAGATGGTGTGGCAGACAGAGGAGTGCAGGAGTATCTTTTGCTACCCCCAAAGCTCTCAGTCTGGTGTGTCCCAGCATCCCCTCCTGGGCCTGCACCCCACTTTCAGTAGAATTGGTCTCAACAAACAAGATCTGGGGTTTCAAAAGCTCCAAGAAATAAAGTCCACCCCCCAAGTCAGGATAGCACCAAAAATGGAAAAAAAAAAAAGAAAAAAAGAACATCATATAGAAATAAATCCCAAACTACCATGTGGCCAGATGAGACTAGTTCACAGAGACAGAAGGAAGGAGTAAGGACCAGTGTGAGGACTATACCTGAAGCTGCCAATGCCATGCGTCCCACAGCTGTTAGAGGCTGCATGGAAACTGGAAGGTATGACTTCTTCTTCTGTGTGAGGTCTTCCCAGCCTGACAGTCCAGACCAGGAGGACACCACTGCCTTCCAACCAGTCCAGAGACATTAATTGAGCACCTGCTATTTTCCAGGCCTGGTGCAGGGGTCTGGGAATATCATGATGCACAAAGGCAGACCAGGGCTGCCCTCAAGGCATTCTGGCTCAGCTTGGGATATAGACATTCAATACACAATTACACAAAGAGGAGCAATGCACTGATAGGCGGGACAGGTGCTTCAAGGCTGTAAGTCTCTTTCAAAGACTGCCACATGTGCCACAGACTCGGCTCATTCTTGACAGCAGGGAGAGCCTGGGAATGACACCTAAGGACCTCCTCTGCATAAAACCTGCCCATGCAGATCTTCTGGCTTTTGAGGATCTGACTCCTGGAGCCACCACTAACTACTAGGGTTGCCCCTCTTACAAATGACACCTGGGGGCTGGCCCAGAACTTCCAGGCTATCAGAATCCTCCAGTTCTTCTGGCACAGCCTTCCCAGGAGCCTGTGTCCAGCTCTCCAGACATGATGGCTACAGGATTTGCATTTCGAAAATTCAGTTGCCTTTCCCATTGCCTCATGCCAAATTAATCAGCCTCAAACACCACCTTTATCTCATCATTCTGAAGCTGCGTTGTTGTCTGTGGTAATATCCAAGGTCCATTGTCTCATGCCAAGAAAATTAAGGACAGGGACACATACAAGGCATGAGTTTAGGAGCAGGGGTTTAACAAGCAAAAGAAAGAGAAAGAAGAATATCTCTCTCTCCTGCGAGAGAGAAAGGGGCGCCCAAGTGGGAATTCTGGCCCACAGCGGAGTGCACCAGATTTTATAGACAGGCTTGAGGAGGCAGTGTCTGATTTACATAGGGCCCAAAGATTCGTTGGACCAGGTGTGACGTTTACATAAAATGTGGGGAAACTGACTGCCCCACCTAACCTTATTATGCAAATGGGGTCTTTGCCCGGCCAGCACCATGTTGCCTGTTCCTCACTGCACATGTGACTGGCAAAGAGAAGGGAAGATGAAGCCACCATTTTGAACACACCTAGTCCCAGGTAGTCTTCTCTTATTGGCACAACTGCTGGCATTCACCTGCGCAAGCTTCCAGCTTGCTTGTCTATGCTTGCAGCTCGATTTTACAGGCTGCTTTTTGTTAGAAAAGAAAATTATTTGGGGGCTGCTTTTCGTTAAAAGGAAAACCTTACCAGGGGCTCCCATACCGTCACTATCTGCCTAAATAATTTCTTAAGTCCTATATCAATTCCACTCCTCAAAAGTGCATTATTTCCAAGCAGGCAGTCGTGGGCCTGTCCAGCTCTATTTCCCTTATGCACCCAAACAAAACCTCTACTTTTGAAGAAAAAACAAAGGTTATTGAGTTCTGATATAGACAATTAGCAAGCTGTCACACTTACCCTAGACCTCTTCATAATCCCTTTCCTCTTCACCACTTCCCCCGAGCACTTTGAGCTACTTCCACCTCAAGGTTTGGTTTCATACCTAGGGGGCCCTTTCATATCTTTATTCTCCCTGCCCTTCAAGGCTTGCTCAGGACTTGCCTCTTCCATGCAGCCTTCCTAGATTGCTCTCATAAATGGGTGTCTAAAATCCTATCCTGAACAAAAGCTCCCAGCATCCTGGGTACACCCTGGGACTCAGCCAGCAGGACTGCTGCCCGAGGCATCCCCAAGAAGCATGTCTTACACACCCAACCCTGAGCCGCCTTGGGCCTGAGAATTCCTCAAACACAAATCAGCAAAAGGCCAAAAACTGACAGTTCATGCCTGACACCACACAGGGCTAAGGAGTTTTAGACTTTTTCTGGTTTGGCTTCTGTACTTTTAATCAAGTTTACCTTCACCTTTGCTGTTCTCTTTCCCTGCTCAGCCTCTAAATATGGGAAGGCCCTAAAGCCTCAGGTTTCCAGAACTCTGCCATTCCCCATCTACCCTCACACCCCTGGGGAGCCCATCCAGATCTGCAGTTGTAAATGTCACATAGGTGCCCATGGCTTCCTTGTTTCTATCACAGGCCCAGACCTTTCCTCTGAGCTGTATCCTGGGTCATAGACTCAAGACCCTCCTCCTTGTCTTCACTTGGAATGTCTAATGTAAGCTTTAGCTCAACATGTCTGAAACTGCACTCTTAATAACCCTCTTAATTCCCACCTGTTGCAGAATTCATTTCCCCCACCCAGGCCTCTTCATCTCAGTAAAGGACACCATCATTCAAGTATCCAGCTGCTCAGGATAAACATCTAGGCATCGTCCATATGCCTCTCTTTCCCTCATATTCCACAGCCGAATAATCAGCCACTCCACACAGCTCTACCTCCAAAATAAATCTTGAATTCAACCACCTCTTTCCACTTCCACTGCGTCATCCTTGTTCACTTACTACCATGTCTTGCCTGGGAGGACCCTCTTCAGTGGTCTTCCTGCTTCCAGACTTGCACCTCTGTGGTCCACCCTCCACTAAGGGGCCAGAGTGGTCACATCACTCCCAGATTGAAACCCTGCAGGGTTCCCAGAGTCTCAGACTAAAATCGGAACCCCTTACCATGGCTACAAGTTCCCCCATGATCTGTCCCCTGACACTTCTCCATCCCCAGTTCCTATCACACCCTTCCTATGGGTCTTCCTTCTGGTTCTCAAACACACCAGGCTTGGTGAAGCCTTAGGGCCTTTGCACCAGCTGATCCCTCTACCTAAAACATTGATTTTTCACATTTCTGCATGATGGGCTTCTTCTTGTCATTCAAATCTCAACTCAAGTATCATCTCCTCAGAGAGGCTTTCCTAGACAATCCAGTTTAAGGTCCCCACTCCATCCCCCATCATTTTCTACTCAGTGTCCCCACTTTATTTTACATCCATGCAGCTATCACTGCCTAAAGGCATCTTGTTCATTTATTTACATACCTGTTTATTGTCTGCCTCCACTACAGAATGTAAGCTCCAGGGGTGTAGGAGCTTACCTGCCTCGTCCACCACTGCATCCCAGTGCTCAGGAAAGTGCCTAGCACTTGGGAGATGCTTAGTACATTCATGATTGTTGAATATTTCCCAACTCTATGACCTGGGGGCTCGGCTGCTTCCTTCATGGTAGCACTTCTGCTCTGAACGAAGAAAAAACATAAACTGGGCTGAGGTTTCCAAAAGACAGTTCAGTGGAAGATGGCTCCCTTTGGCCATCGTGTTAACATTCTGTTGATTGGCTTTCCAGGAAGAACAGACTCTGGCAAAGGAGAGGCTAATATGGGCCAGTGAGTTTCTCAACCACATGCCCACACTCATCTCCAGAAGTCAGCAGCCTCCTGTCCAATGGAGGAGAGTCCACTCTCCTCCACACTGTCCTACAGAAATGAAAGCCACGTATGTAGCTTGGAATTGTCCTGTGGACACATTTTTAAAAAGAAAAAAATAAACGTGAAATAAATTTCAATAATACATTTTACTTAACGTAACATATCTGAAATATTGCAATTTTTCATTGCTTCAGACAAATAATAAAAATAGTATAATTTCATCAATATACAAATTTTATTGAATATTTCACTTTTCTTGGTACCAAGGCTTCAAACACCCAAGTGTACTTTATACACATTGAACATCTCAATTTGGACTAGTCACATTTTACAGGCTCAGTAGTTACATGCGGCTAATGGCTGCTATATTGAACTGTGGGGACCTAAAATAACCAAGCTTCACACATGTAGATTTGAGGAAAGCATAATGTCAAATGTAGGATTCATTTTGTTCTCATATGTTTAATCTTTTTACACAATGCAGGTTTTCTTGCCATAAGACTAAAACACAAAGGCTGCACTGATTTTTCTTCTTTTCCCCTACATTTTTGCAATACTTTCCTTTGGCATGCCTTAAATTTGCTGCATGTGTAAATAATGGGCACCAGCCCTTCCCTGCCAAAAAACAGAAGCAGTGTTTCTCCCCATCCCCATGGCATTGCTACCATCAGGCTCCTATATTTCCTGGCTTTGAGTTCACTGAGAGACTATTATAGTTTATTAACTGACTTTAATAGGGATCTGCTTCTAATAGCAGAATTAATGAATCCTATAAACCAGTTGCACAGGGTGAGAGCAACTCCATTGCAAAGAGACAATATGCTTATTTGGAAATCTGAGCATGTGTAGGAATCATACACCTTCATATTAACAAATCTCTCCCCTGACTCCTACAACTCGCTAATTGTACTGGGCTAAACACCAGGCAACGGGGGCTGGGAAACCAGGGACTGTCACCAACAAGGACAGCAACAGCCTGCTGAAGTAAGAACACAAAACCTGACACTAATACTTCTCAGGCTTGCCTCTTTGGGTGGATCCAATGTGGGAAGAGTGAGAAATTTAACTGAATTTGATGCAGTGAGTTTTTCCTGAGGGCTGGCTGGGTCTTCGTGCAAGGTTCTGGGGAGGAGAAAGGGAGGAACTGGGCAGGATGTGCATCCTCCGGTTGGAGGTTGCACGGAAGCCACGTGGAATGTGAAAAGCCGTCTTCCAGTGCTCAGCATAACAAGCACGTTCCTGTCTTGGAAACTGAATCGGGCAGGAGTCCCTGGGTGTGGCTGGAGGGTGTTGGTGGATAATCTGTATTCCACACCAGTGCCCCTGACACATCACAGCAGAGAGTGACACCACCCAGCCCGGGAGCTAGGTCACACTGGAAATAAGATGATGGAGAAAAACACAAGGGATGGCTGCAGACTTCCTCCTACTCCTTTCTTTTGGTGTTCTGGAGAGAAAAGGTTCAGATGACTTAGTGGACCAGAAAGTTAATCTTGCCCTCACAAAAAAATAAGGGCCAGAGAAGGCACAGATGGTGAAAAGCAGCATTAAAGGCAAGCAGTAAACCAAACAACTATGTTGAGAGCGGAAGTCTGTCCAGTCAGCAAGCAGGGATCAGAGGGTGGCCACCGTCAGTGTCATTTTGAAACAAATTGCAACAATGAGAAAGATGTTTAAAATTATCTGGAAAATGGAGTAAGACAACTCAGTGATGAGAAATAACTAGAGTGTAGTAAGGGAAGTTCTAAACTGTGCCCTAAGTGTTTATATTTTCTCAAATTGTGCTCCAATTTGTTTCCTCTCATACTGCACACATGCATGTGAGCTACATGGCTTGTTCCAGGGGCTTCTCAAATCCAGCTCGCATCAGAACCAAGCCCAGGGCCTCACCACAGAACAACTGAATCCAAATCTCAGTGCAAGAGGTCTGGGTATCAATATGTGATTTTGTGGTACAGCCAGGGTTGAAAACCACCACTCTAGGATAAGACCCGTGGCCTAAAAGGACAGAGATATGGATACTGATCCTCTAATGAAGAAGATTCTAACAGGTCAGGCTGCTCTTGGAGTCATCAACATGGCAAAAGAGTGAGCTCCTGTAGCTGGAAGGGGTCTTGCAGGGAATAACTAGAGCAGAGGAGATTCTTGAACTATTTGGCTAAAGTAGCTTCCAAATCTTAGATAAGAGAATTATAAATCAAAGGCTTCATGATGATTTTTCTGGGAAGGGTGCAGTTTCCATTTCCTAACTCAGGACCTGAGGTCTGGACAATGCCTCCTGCCTGATTTATGTTTGAGAGGTGGCCTGAGAGATTCACGTTGGGTAAAAAGCCTGAGGCTTTCTGGACTATTTCCGTGGTTTATGGGAGCAATGAAACAGAATGCTCGAAATACGACTGTCCTCAGAAATGTAAGATGTGGCACAGTGGTAAGGGTAATTGGCTGGCTCATGTGCCAGGGTTCGCACACTGGAGATCAGAATTACCTGGGGGAATCTGGTTTCAAAATACACATCCCCAGGCCCTTCCTCCAAATCTACTAAAGCAGAATATTAGGGGTACGGTTTGGGAATCGTATTTTTAAATATTTTCCCCCAAGTGTTTCTGGCACAAAGTCAGGTCTGAAAATGTTTGGTGTATAGTTTTCCCTTATCCACAGGCGGGAAAGTTTAGGTGATTGGCCCACACAGCAATACCCTAAAAGCTCTGGCTTCTTGATACAAGTACCCAGAATTGTACCCAGGGCCCCAAAAGGAAGTCCAGATTCCCGTAGGGTTGACCAGGCAATCCCATGCATTATACAGACCAACAAAGACACTCCAGCCTGACATTTACAAAGACCTGGAGAATCATTTAAAGCAAAACATAATGACATGTCTATTATACAATACAGAGGAAGACAAGAAGGATAGAGTTAAGCGGGCTCTGGACAGCCAGGGAAGGTTCCTTAGAGCCTTACAGAACAAGTAGGATCTTCATTCATGGAGAGGAGACCTGAGTGAAGTAGCCAAAGACTAGGGGGCCATACTGAGCACCCTGGAAGCTGACCTATCTGAAGGTGAGGACGCTTGTGAGGCAAGTGGGCTCCCTGCAGTGAGGGCACATGGTAGAGTGGAGGCCTTGCACTCTGGGCTGCTGGAGCTACTCCAAATACATGGTTCCCAGCTCCAGCTCTCCAGGACCACCTGGGAAAAGGCAGGGTCTGACAGTGTGGAGTCAGGTGGGCAGTCTACACTGTCCAGGTGACCTGCTTAGGATGCAGGTTGTCTCTGCTGATTCGGATCCTTCCAAAGTTTGCACAGTCCTGGTTTGCTCAGCACGACTCTTCCCTCCTAGAGATGAAAAGCCCAGGGAAAGCCATTTACAATGGAGATGCTGACCTGTCACTCCACAGAAGCCTGAAGGATGGCACATCGATCGGCTCCCAGGCCCTGCAACTCCCAGATAACCCCCAGGTGAGGCCAACACCACCAATCCCCACTAGAGTGTCTAAGCGAGCAAGTGCTGAGAGGTTTGGCCATTGAGTAACAGATAAAATATTGTAGCTCTCCAAACCCCACGAGTGTCATTCTGAGGGGAAAATAACATTATAGGTTTGTTTGAGGTCATTGGCTAATTAGGTGAAATGAATAAGTAGATTTTAAAAGCCACACTGCCAGCAACTCTTCAGATTGAGGCACTGACCCTTCCTCTCTTACCTGAGCTCTGGAGACTTGGGGAAAAAGTCATGGCACCAGGTGGCCCCAGGGAGGGCCTAGCCTCTGCTGCTTAGCTGAAGCTCTGAACCAAACTGGGAGGAAGCGGCAGGGAGATCAGGGGTGTAAAGACTGCTGTACTCCAGGCAGCCCCCATTCAAGCCTCCCATGGCTCCTTGCTGCCCACAGATACCCAGGCCCAGGCCCACTGCCTCACTTGCCCTTCCCAGTGGCATCCCCAACACTCCTGGGCCAACCTGAGAAAGCAACACACACATCTAGAAACAAACTCTCATGTGTTGATGTTCACTACCCCGCTGTGTTAAGCTTTTCACTTCTATTGTTATCTTTTTAAATCCTCGCGACAGCCCTGCGAAGCTGAGTCTATTATCGTCCCCATTTAATGGATGCAAACACAGAGGCTCAGGTCACACTGCAAGTAAGGAGTGGAGCCAGGGTGTGCAAACCTTGTCTTGTCTGACTCCAAGGCCATGCACTTGTTATAACTAATGGGAGTTCCACTGTATCAGTCACAGTCCGGTCAAGGAAACAGAAGCCATTCTAGGTCCTTCAAATAGAGGAGCTTTCACATAGTGAATTGCTTACCAGGTGTGGTGACAGTAAGAAGGAAGATAGGGTGACCAAAGATTAGGTAATGCAGGAAGCCAATATCTCCCCAAGGGCTGGGAGTCACAAAGGCAAGAGATAATGTGACCTAGACCTGAAGTGTAAGAGGACCGGCTTCTGTCCCAGGAGCTGGCAGCATGGAGGAAGGGCCACAGCTGCCCCTGCCTCGGAGACACCCCTAGAAGAAGAAGACAAAGAGCAAGAGAATGAGGAAGAAGGAAGGCTCTTCTCTCTTCCAGCCCTCTGACCTCCCATGGGCAGAACTTGGCAGGGAGCCACCTGGAAAGGGAGCCCAGAAAATGCAGTCTGTGGGTGTTCTGGCCCAGAAATACAGAGTATGGAGGGGCAGGTGAAAGCTGGGACAGAGAATAAAGAAACAGCATGACCTGGCACAGTACTAAGTGCTTTCCATACCCTAAGTCACATCATCCTCCTAACAACCTATGATGCCAGCAAAAACAGTGGCCCCATTTTAAAGATAAAGAAAATGAATCTTGAGAATACACATGACATGTTCAAGGTCATCCAGTAGAATCTGGATTCAAACCCATATCTGCCTGGCTCCTAAGCCAGGGAACTGGGAGTAAACATGGCAACCTTATCCAAGAGAACTTCGATCCAAGAATCTCATGGCATGTGGCCCACCTGAATGACTCTCCTTCCACGTGGTGCAGCCTTGTCACCCCTTTAGGGAACGTGAGCACGGGGATGAATCACATCTTACCTCATCACAGCCCTCAGCATGCTCCAGGTCCCAGAAATTCTGATAGCAGCAGCAAGAGTCAACAATGGGCCGTGGATTAACAGCATTTACTCTGCAAGGAGCTGCCAGGACTGGGAACACACAGCATGGCCATGCAGGGGCTGTTGGCCAGAGAAGCAGCCCCATCACAGAGCCCAGCTGCAGGCCAGTACTGAAGGCCTGGGTCTTGCTGCTTTGGGTCACTCCCAATTTCATCCACATCCTAAACTCCACTAGCTCTGTGTGCTGCCTCCTTGCTGGATCCAGCTACTGGAGAGGGGAGCCGGCTGTGTCACTGGGGAACTTAACAAGGCTAATTCCACTGAAACCTCCATTAACTTTACTACTTCTGTGTAAGTGTTTCATTGTAAATAATGATTCCCCACCACAGAAACACACTGCCAGAATCTCCCGGCGGACATAAAATTAAATCCAGCCCCCACAGCCTACTCACGAAGTGCATTGTGATAGCTGCATAATCTTCCAAACCACAGAGGGCTGCAAGCACTTTCCACCAATTTCAGGGGAGGCTTGACTTTAATCTGCCCTAATGAACAGATCTATGCACCCCTACACCTTCCCCTGCCTCACACCAAATCCCCTTTCAATTCAGATTCCTTTTTGAGGATGAATTGTACCACAGTTCTGAGCACAAAAGAACCTCACTCATCTCAGACAAGGACTCAGCTTAAAGCCCCCCACCCAGCCCTTCTCTTCCAACAAAGTCCAGGAGAAGATGTTTTAGAAGATACTATATATATATATATGTACACACACACACACGTACGCATGCACACACACACAATTTCCAGGAAGATCAGCAGAATTTCTAGAACGAAGGAGATCTGCCCAGCCGTCCACCCACATGCCCACCGCCCACACACATAGCTTCCCCAATCCTTTCTCAATGCTGGGTCGGAACCTGCTGTTTCCCTGCCTTGCGTACACATGAAACACTTCCCTCCAACCCTGGAGAGAGACTGCACAAGGTTCAGCTAAAATAAGAACCACCTAGAACAAGAAAGTGAAGTCAACTTCACTTTGAAAATAAACAGGCATGCCCTCTGTCTCTCCCAGCCTGGGCAAGGGACAGGAACAGCTTTTGGGTGCAGGGCCCTTGGGAGGAAGCCTTCCCTTCTGAGTTTTTAGATGCAGGTTTCAGGAATGCCCGGACCACCAAGCCTCTGTCTGCTCCCTGCTCACACCCTGCTCCTCCACTCTGCTCAGTGGCTGAGAAGCATGGAGGTGTCATTGCTGAGCTCTCAGGAGCCTCTCTGACCTCCTGGAACCCGCACAAGGCTCTTCACCCTCTCTGTGCAACGACACTCAGCCTGAGGGGTGCACTGAACTGTAGGCTATAATTTAAGCATCTGTTTGTGTGCTCTTCACTTGCTAAACTCATAGCACCGTTGGAGGCGCAGGCAGGTTTAGGTGACCCGAGAAATTCACAATACATCCACAGATCAAGATGAAACCGGGCTGCCCACGCATTGTTCCAGATGAGACCTCCTGTTTCCACATTCAAATTTCCAATTCTGATTTTAAAGAAGAAAAGGAATAGTCTGTTTTTCAAAAACTAAAATCCTGAATGAAGCCTTGCACATAAAGAATATTCAGGCTGAGGGACCTCCACATCAACTGCTCCTGGCCAGCACCTCCTTGTTAATCAAATGACAGTGTGGCAGCCACCCTCCCTGCCCTTGGAGATGGGGCTGCTGCGTTTAGTCCTCACAGCAGCCCCATCGGGCATTAGTTTCAGCTCCATTTTTCACATGAGGAGGTGGCCGCTCATAGGTACACTGACTTGCTCAAGGTCACACAACTATAGAAAACGGCAGAAGGAAGACTCAAACTTGGGTCTTCTTGCTCCAAATCCTCTTCCCAGCACGGCACGGCGCAGGTTCTGCAGTGCCTCGTGTCAGCAGGCCTGAGGGGTTGCAGTCGCAGAGGCCTGTGTCCTCCAGGGCCCCTTTCCACCCATGCCTCCTCCCCCAGAAGTCCTTCCCCACAGAGCAGCACAGCTTCCCCGGGCCGGCTGGGAGGGTCCAGCTGTCACGCTGCATTTCTCTCCACTTATTTCTGCTTCCCTCATGACCTCCGTTTCAACAAGATGTGCCTTTAAATTAGATCCCAGAAGGAACTTCAAGGCAAATTCCCACATTTGTGACGTTTATGGAACTTGTCATTGTTTATGCTATTATAGTGCCATCAGCTGTGAGGGCACATTCTTCCTGGTTACAACATTGTTTTTCTTCCCTTTGGGAGGGAAGCACCCTTGAAACCAGAGGCTTGTCTGGTACCCGCATAACCTCCTTATTCCCTACTCCACTTATGTATATTTTTCTCTGTGGATCATGTACATGGTCTTTCAATTTCATGTCTGTGATTTATACATTGCAGTGTTTGCTATCCTCTGTACAACAGAGAGAAAATAGTTACTTTACAGGAAGAACAATGTGACAGGCTCCCAACTCTGCAACATTCGCCAAACCCGGAGTCAAGTGCAGCTTTAGCTTTCGTAAGTGTTGGAATTTAGGCTTCATGTTTCACTTACTCTTGCAGGCAACTGAAGAGCAGAAACCAACTGTTTGTGGCCAGCCCTGAGCTAGGGACCAAGGAAGAACCAAGACATGTAATATCTTATATCCTCTCCCTGGGGACTTCTCAACTTGTTGGAGGGAAAAAAGATACATTAAACTATTAGAAAACAATGCAATGTATGTTATTGATAGTGTATTCTAATAAATAAGCTGCTATTTTCAGAAAAGGGTGGTAATAGGAGATGTTTCGGATTTGAAGGGAAGTTATACAAGAAAACATTGATTGTGTTTGAAAACTATACATTTTCTGAAAACTTGTTATAATGTATCCCTTTAAAAGCTTAATACAAACTATCTCATAGGCTGTTGCCAAGCTTTGAAAAGTCCACAAGGAGGTAAGGAAAGAAAGAAATTATTAAATTGTAAAAATACTGATTAAAGGAAGAAGACCCTTTCTTTAGAAAAAATAATATTCTTCTGATTAGTCACAGAATTTCTTGAGGGTTTCATGCTAACATCATGCCTTCAGCAAAAGGTCAAGTTTTCCTTCTCATCTGGTTCTTGATCAGCCTGAGCTAAAGACAGACCCTCCCTGGAAATGAGCCATCAAGGATGAAAGAGACAGAAGCTGAATTTAGCAGGAGGGAGAATGAAGATGAAAAGTGAAAGCAAACAGGGGTAGGACGCAGCCCCAGTGACCACATGTCCTGGCTTGCTGGGACAATTCAATTTACACCCACTGTTCCAGCATTAATTATTAACAGTGTCCCTTTTCCTTACCAGAATAATCCTGATTGGGACAATAAGTAACATGGGCCACTCTAGAAACAGTGGGAACAAGAGTCCAGAGGCAGGAATTGGCAGTGTGTGTGCTCAGGGGTGAGAGGTGCTATGAAGACTCCAGCTCAAGTGGAGAGTTGAGCACATGTGGGGACAGGGAAGAGGGCACTGTGGAGGAGGCGCAGGACTGGATCCAACAGGGCCCAGAAGCCAGCAGGGAGGAGCTCCTACTTCATCCCATGGGTTTATTAGGGAGTCACTAAGGATTCTTGAGCAGGATAATTATGACCCCAGGCAACATGCTCAGAAAGGACAAGGAGTGAGATACCAGAGAAAAGGAGACTGGTCGGAAATTCAGTTGCCAGGAACGTAGCGGTGCAAGGAGGAGGAACACAAAAGGCAGGAGGATCAGATGCCAAGGGTCTTATGGGAGCCCAACGGGGGCACAGTGAGAAGGGAAGAATGAAGACAAGTGACCCTGGGGGGTCACACTCAGGCATATTTCTCAATCAAACCTCCTGCACTTCTTGAGTGACAAAGATGACTTGCCTCCAAGACTCTGCATTGCAAGAACAAAGAGAAAAGCTGATATGACAAAATGCTTAGAATTATGTCTTTGATGTATGAACACTCCTCGCCCCCTGGACCCTGATAAACAGAGTTCACCCCAGAATCCCTTGATGTATCCAAAGTGCACATCTTTAATAACAAGAGGTCTCTGAAGGTAGATTTCCTCTTCCATTTGTGGAGCTATTTCAATTTTTAGGGGCTTGGAGATGCTTCCGATTAATTGTTAAGTTAGCCTTTTGAGACCTCAATTTATATGCAGCATTGACCAGTGTCTGCAAATAATCTGAGCAGAGGAAGGAATAGATCCTTAGGAAATTAATGTAATCGTTTCAGCTCATTATTTGAAGAGCATATTCTCAGAGCCCAGAAACTTCATTCATTCATTCAAAATTGCTCTGAAATCCAATTAAAATCAGGGGTCACACACAGAACCATTGTTTATTTCTTCATTACTGAGATGGGAGAGTAGACTTTAAAACTGCAGAAATCTAAGGAAGGTGAGGGTGGAGCCGTGGGAAATCAGGGAGGGTCCCTGGTGAAGCCAGAAAGCTAAGGATGTGAACATTCCGGGGGCGTCATGGAAAGGCACACGCACCGATGCTCCTGGAAAGGCAACATTTCAACAAGAATATGAATCCCATCTTTAATAAATAGTTTTTAGTCCTTCAGCAGATATTAAACATCCTTTTTCGGACCCACGAACTCTAACGCCATGCAAAAGGAAGCCCAAAACCAAAAAACAAAGAGTAGAGAATTACCTCCCAGAGGTAATTCTGCCAGAAGTCTGAAGATATGTGGGAAGGAAATGTGATTCATTTATTCATGTGTCCTTTTAACAATATCCATAGAGATCTTACCTAAACTACAGCAGTGAACAAATCAGACAGTCTCTCTGCCCTGGAGTAGCTTTCATGTGGGGGCAGGAGGTGGGGTTGGGGGCATGGGCATGGAAACAGACCATGAACAATAGACAAAGTAAACAGGTAAAGCATATGGTACATTAGAAGGTGATCAAGTGCCATAGCGTTCAGGAGACAAACCTTCAAGGCAAGAAGTCAAGAACTTCTGGATGGGCAAGAACAAAACAGGAAAAGAAAGCAGAGCCCAGAGCTGGTCACCACCAGGTGCTCCTGGGCCATTCATAGGTCCCAATCAGCTCCTCTCAAAAGTAGCTTCAGCACCCCAGGAAATAAGTTGAAATTAAAACATCAGAAGAGGGTGTCCCACAGCAGCCCTGCTGGTCCCCTGAGCAACAATTACATTCCACAGGAAAGGACTTCAGCACAGCCCCAAATCATGCCCCTGTACCCAGAATCTCTCCCCAGCCCTGCACTCTCCTCCTCTCCAGGGGCTGGTTTGGGCCCCCTTGGACAGAGGGAGTGATGAGGCCTTAGTCTGAAAGTCAGTCTTAGGGGACTTGTCACACAGAGGGGAGATCTCACTGGAAGCCAGATCCTCAGGATGTCAGAGACTCAAACACCCAGCAGGTCTGAGAATAGCTCCCAGAGAGGCAGTATGGTGTCCCGGACAGAGTGCCCCTGTCTCCTTCCCCACTCCTCCACCAAGCTGGAAACCAGGGGAGTCCTGCTTGGCCAGGAGCCTGCTGGGACACATGGACCAGTCCACTCCCCTCTCTTGTCTCAAGTCCCTCTGTTGTAAAATGAGGAGGCTGATTGGGTGGCTTTCTGACCAAGGTCAGCATACCCTGGAACTGGGGCATGGGGAAGTCCTCATGCCCCCTCCAAAGCCAGCCTGCCCCTGGGGAGAAAGGGCCAGATGGGAGGGCTGCAACTCCCCGCTGCAGAACAGCTCCCCTTTTCTTTGTCTTACATATTGAGTTTCCTTCTAAGGTTTAATTTTTTAAAGAATGTTGCTGCTAGATAGATGTTTGAAAGCCACTTCTAGTGTTCTGAGACAAATACCTTTGAAGAGACGGGACAAAGACCAAAGTGTTTTTCCCTCTACCCCCACACCACCCAGGCACTCAAGACAATACTTCTGACACCAGATGCATGGGAGGGTTTTCTCACACACCACGCAATTCTGTAGGTGATTCTCTAGCAGACACCAGCTGGGTGTCCTCTTCTTCAATTCAGTTCTGACACTGTCTACCTGGAGAGAGCATCAGATCCCACAGGACTGCTCCCACTCCAGATGCCAATCATAAATAGTGGGTTGCCACCTATGCTTCTGATGGACCCACTATAAATGAGGGTTCCCACAGCCCCCTCCTTGGGTTCGATTAATCTGCTATAGCAGCTCACAGAACTCAGGGAAACGCTTTACTTACATTTACCAGTTTAATCCAGGTGAAAGAGATCCACAGAACAAGGCATGTGCCCCCATCCTGAGGCTATTTAGGGGCCACCAGCCATCTCAGAAGCAGACAAAAGACACTCATATCCCTCTAGAGATTCCAGGGCTTCAGGATCTCTTGCCAGGAAAGGGAGATGAAGACCAAATGTATATTTCACAGTATCAGAGTACCTGAGTATATTTCACCACCATTAAACAAGAGGTGATGCATGACTCAGCTCCATCAGAGAAGTAAGAAGACTCGGGGCGAAGAAGGCCCTGTGCCTTTCTCTGGCACACTGGAAGCACCTGCTTGTGTACCAGCTTCTCACCAAGACCCCTGTTGCCAAAGCAACCAAGTTTGGCTTTTCCTGCCCAAAGCACGCAGGCATCCTTGAGCAGGGGAGAGGTGGAGCCAGGCATGCACCGGGAAACCACCACATACCATGTCCAATGGCTGAGCCCTTTGAACTCTCAAGGTTGCTAAATGGTACCTGAGTCCAGGACTCCCACCAAGACACCCAACTCCACAGACAGACAAGTTAATAAATCACAGCGTGAATCCCCTTCAGAGGGTGGCTGTGTGTAAAAATAGAGAGGGCACCACAGCTTCCTGCCCACCTTTTCCTGGTGTCCCTGGAATCATTCATTACAACCACAGGGCAAGAGTCCGTGGTGGCAGAGATGAAGAGGCTCAGTGGCCTGGCTCCACCTCCTCACTTCACAGAGACACTGAGGTCACTCAGGGACTCAGTGCCTCGCTGCACTCACACAGAGACTCAGGAGTCAAAACCAGTTAAAACCAGGCCTCAGGTCTCCCTACTCCCACGCCACCTTGAAGGACACACCCCCCAGAAACCACAGCTCACTCCTTTTTCAGGACTTCATAGTCAAGAAACAAGCCCTGCCAATCCTATGCTCAAAAGTCCCCAGGCTGAGATGCAGGTCTTTCAGGTGGGCACCAAACTTTGGTCTGGAATCTTGAACTCATTTCAAAGTGTTTCTCAAGATGGTTCTTGTATAATTTCCACCTTAGCACAAACTAATAGCTCCTCATTGCAATTCCTCTGCCTCTGCAGCCATTTACCACTGCATTGACCTTTGCTTCTAGGTTAATTATCAATAGTTTTGTCTATTGAAGAAATTGAACTGAATTAGCTTAGTTTTAATCTCTCATCAGTAATTCAAATGACCATTTCCCACTGATGAAAAATAAAACTATCCGCGGGGGTGGGTGCAGGAGAGCCACCAACTCCTAACAAGGCTTCACCAGGCAGGGAGGGGCATGGCCCTCACCAGTAGGCATCAAAGCCGTTCCCCTGGCGTCCCATGCTTGAGTGCCCTCGGTCTGGACTGGACTTGTGCCAGGGAGCACGGAGGATGTCCCAGGTTGGTCCGGCCCTGTCTGACAGCCCATTAGCTCCAGCTGTCGGTGACATCTGCCTGCTCTGATTACCGTCAGAGCTGCGGAGAAGCAATGGCCCCCAGCATCGAGCTGTCTCCCCCTGTGCTCAGCTGTCATCAAGTATTGTGTTTCCACCTCAAGGCACTCAGAACCCATCCCCGGCTGCTATTTATAACCTTCCTTGAGGTCGCCTGCCGGTGAGGCTGCAGAAGGGGTGTGCCACTTCAGGGCAAAAGGCCCCAAACACCACCAACTTCCTGCCACTGCCTCCAGGTGAGAAGCAGGCAACTTCTGAGCTGAGCAAAATCAATTCACAAAAGTACATGCAGCATCAGGTCAGCTTCCACTGCGCTCCATGGCTGGGGACTCCAGGCTACATGAGAGGGACACTGAGACTAGGGCAGCTTGCGATGTCACCAGAGGCCTGGAGAGATGGATTCAGATGGCGCCACATGGCTCCATGCTCAGCCTGACAGGACTGCCTCTGATATCTAAAAAGATGCCACAGTGATTGCAAAGGGACTGAAAATCCCAGCCTTTGACTTGTGCTGAGCCACCCATGTTAGTTTCCTGTGGCTGCCATAACAAAGGACCACAAACTGGGTGGCTTATAACGACAGAAATGATTCTCCCACAGTTCTGAAGCCCAGAAGCCCAGAATCCTGCCACACCAGACTCCCTCCAGGGACCCTAAGGGAGAAGCTGCCTTTGCCTCTTTCAGCTTCTGGTGGCCATCAGCATTCCTTGACTTGTGGCCGCATCACTCCAACCTCTGCCTCTGTGGCCACACTGCCTCCTCTTCGTGTGTCTTCTCTGTGTCTCAAATCCCCCGTTGGCCTTTCTCCTACAAGGACACTTGGATGCAGGGCCCACCTAGGTAATCCAGGAGTATCACCCCATCTCAAGATCCTTAATTTAATTTCACCTGCAAAACTGTTTTTCCAAATAAAGTCACACACACTGGGCTCAGGGACGTAGATACATCTTTTGGGGGACCACCTATTCAACCTAGTCTATACCCCAACCTAAGGGAATAAAACAAGAGTCTGGCTTTTAGAGTCAGGAAGCACTGGGTTTGAATCCCACCACTGCCACTGACTTAATAACTAAAATTCTGTCTTTTCTTAGGATGTCACCAGCACCCAGTGTGATTCCAATAACAGGGCCCAGCAGGGCAGGGATCTGAGAACAGGCCTTGCCCTCCTCCCCTCTCACCACAGAAGGCCCAATGGCACGCCCAGTGACAGTCCCGCCCCAGGCCCAGATGGGAGCAGGAACTTTGTGGGTCCGTAAAGACGGCCTGCAGAGGAGCCATTTGCTTTCCCCACTCCAGGGAAGCAGCACTCTGTCACCTCTTATGATACCGCATCATCCTCGGCTCTGGGACCTGGCTGCCTGCCTGCTTGTTTCTGCCTCAGCGCCCCCAGCAGCACCAATAGGTCTCCATCCAGGCTTTGTTTGCTTTTAATTACTAAGCCAACTAAGTGAGCCCCCAGCACAGACACACCTGGCTGCCTCTGACAGGTAATGAATCGTTCAACCATGTTCAAGGACAGGCCTTCCTGACAGCAGCGGGGCGATCAACTGAACAAAGTCAGGGTGAGCTGGGAGGGCAGAGAATATTGACTAAGGAGTGTCGCGGATGCCTGCCTCCCAACACTGCCCCTGAGCTCAGCTGATATGGATGCAGATAGTCTTGGGACCACAAGTTTCTGACGAGGAGGATTGATTTCTCTAGGAAAATGGAGAGTGGACACTGTGCAAATACTCTCTTATATATCAGCACCAACATGGAGATCCTTTAAACATCACTTTTCAGTGACCAAAAGAAGAGTTTTTCTTAAGACCAGAGAGAAGACATCCAAGTCTGTGGACTCCTCTTGTATGATTTTCCTCCACAGGCTGAAAAGACCTACAAAGCCATGGGTTTCTTCCACACTATCTCACCCCAAATTCTGTACATTGCACACAAGGCTGGTCACACACCTCTCTGGAGCCATCCTCAAGCAGAAGAGGGTCATGTTCAACAACCCAGGGTTGACAAAGGACAGAGCATGAGGCATGGGCACAACTGGGGGTCTTGCAGGCTATAAGGATCAAGATTTGCCTCAAAACTTGAGAGGTCAGCCACACCCTGTGCGTCAGTAGCTATCCCAGCCCCCTGGGCAGGAGAGAGCTGCCAAGAAATGCTGAACACTTGGTATCTCCTGGGTCACAAAGCCATCGAGGGAAGCCAGAGGGTTGGCCACCCCAACTCCTGTCCCTGGCGGCAACATGGAAACTCCACCCCGGTGGACACAGACCATTGGGTTGGGGACATATGGTCAGTGTTCAGTCACCCTCCTCTGCTGTGTGTTAAGCTGGGGAAGATTCCCTAGGGGAGGACAAGGGCCAGGAACAAGGAAGGCTTCGTGTGAGCTGGTGGGTCTGGTGGCTTCCTGGGGAACCAAAGACACCAGGGCTGGGAAGGGAAAGAGCAAGTGCGCTCTTGACACCTTTCTTATAAAAATTCTAAGTACATATGTATAGGTATACATACACACATGTGCCTAGTGGATCCTAAAGTTTGCGCACTAAAGTGTTCACAATGCTTCACCCTCAGTGACAGGATTTTTCACTGTGCTTTGTCTCTATTTTCCAAATTTTCTACAATATACACCATATTACTTTTATAATGTGAAAAAGTGCTATTTTTTAAAAACTGTACAAATGCAAAGAATTGGCACTCTTAATCTCAGATCGCTACATCCGTTCTGTAGGAACGAGTGCCCTATTTGTCAACTTTTTGTAACAGACTGTGCCTAATTAAATTCTAGAGAAAACCCAGTCACACCCTCAGCCAATTCTGCATCAGGCACTATGGGCACCGTGATCCTCCAGGCCCAAGGGGGACACCGGACTGCTGGTTCTCTCCTCTGCAAACGCTGGAGCCCCAACACCACTATTTATCCCATTTAAGAATAACCAAAAGTACAAAATAGATTTCATAAATCACTTAGTCTTTACAGCTTGCTCCTCAAGGACATGCATGCAGGCTTCTAGCAAAGATGATGCAAAATAACAAGACAGATGTAGTAACCAATACGAAGTGCTTGCTTCACTAAACAAAGAGCTTTTGATGCTGTAACTCAATTTGCGTTGGCATAATAGGATCTGAGTGGGGCTAAGAGGAGCCACATAACAGCGGGCAGGCAGCCTCACCAGCAGAGGGGAGCATGGAAACACACGGCAGAGCCTCCCGGGGCCACGTGCTTCTCATCTGGGACCTCCGAAAGGCACCATTTCTTCAGGTAATCCTCAGAGGGATTGCTCATGTTCCTCCAAGAAAAGGCTCAAACAGCTTGGCATGGTGCCTCACGCCTGTAATCCCAGCACTTTGGGAGGCCAAGGTGGGAGGATCACCTGAGGTCAGGAGTTCAAGTCCAGCCTGGCCAAAACAGCGAAACCCTGTTTCTACTAAAAATACAAAAAAATAAAATTAGCCGGGTGTGGTAGCATGTGCCTGTAGTCCCAGCTACTCAGGACTTGCATCGCTTGAACCGGGAGGCAGAGGTTGCAGTGAGCTGAGATCGCGCCACTGCACTCCAGCCTCGGCAACAGAGTGAGACTCTGTCTCAAAAAAAAAGAAAAGAAAGAAAAAGCTCAAACATTTCATGGTTGTTTGTGGAACCAAAACCCAAACCAAACAGCTCTTCCTTCCCTGTGCCCTGCTCTCCCATTCATTTATTCAGCACCTGCTCTATATTGAGCACTTACTGTGTCCACCAAAGTGAGTAGGGAGAAGAATTAGACACAGTTGCCAACACTCAGGCTGACAGGTGCTTTCCTTGTGTTGTCAGGGGGAGAGAAAGGGTTCATGGTTTTGCTGCCCCTGCTGCTCTGAGAGTGGTAGAAAAGAACCAGAACTGCTGGCTCCCAAATGTCCCAGCCCAGGGAGAGATAGAAGAACCTCATGCCAATTCTTCTTATGAAGTCTCTTATTCTCAAAGAGGCTATTTCTAGAGCCTTGCTGCCAGCCCTGAGGAAGAAAGCCTCCCCAGAGACAAGGTCTCTGGGGTTTGCTCCAGGGCGGCCGGTCAGCTTCCCTCCACCCTCACAGCCATAGTCCCTCTGCCCTGAGAAGATGCTCTGGGTCTGGGAATCTAGTGATCTACCCTGGCTCAAGACTCCCATGAGGTCTTGAACAAGACCCTAGCCCCCACTGAGGGATGGAATCCCCCCGGTGACAGCCAAGGTTGGCCTGGATGAGGATGAGGGGTGGGCCCACCTCTGCCCTCAGACATGCTCTGAGGATGTTTCCCTGACATGCAGGCCCCAGTGACAAGATCAACAAGCATGTCCTCACATCAGTGGACAAATGGGCTAATGAGATAGTCATAGCCCTGACCCAGAACTGTGGGTGTTCATTTTGTGCTCAGACTTGAGTACCCCAGTCAAGGTGAAAGGATCAGAGGGGTGTGAGATCTGGAGCTGCCTCAGTGATGAGTTAACCCCTGGCTGAGCAGGCTTCTGGGCCATAAATCTGGATGTGCCTGTGTCAGAAGAGCCAGCCACTTGGCTCTCTGTACCTAGGGGTGCTGCCCAGCATGGCTAGAAGTAGCTCTCAGAGGCCCTGCCAGGGACAGGGTCTGGAAGTACCACCGCATGGAGGAAGTGGGGGGCCACCATTGCCAACAAGGGCACAGGGCTGGGGCAAGGCCCTGCCTCACTGTACTCACTCTCCCTCCATCTCTGCCCAGCCTCCCAGAGCCAGGGAAGGGACACAGAAGCACAAATGCTTTCTCAGCAAGCCTTCTATGTGATTCTCACAGGCACAGAGACCATCGGGACAGAAAATCATCCCCACTTCCCAGATGAAAAAACCGAGCCTCAGGCAGGGCCATGCTTGAAAGGACAGAGCTGGCACCTGTGCTGGCCTCCTGCCTCCAGTCCCAGCACTCCCTGCTCCGTGCTGCTCTGCCTCATTTAGGGGAGTCCTCGTCAATTAGGTGAACACCCCAGACTCCGCGGCACAGCCTGAAGCACCCTCTGCCTGACACTGGAGCTTCCTCTTTTCTCTTATCCATCCATTTAAAGTCTGGGCCTAGGAACTCAGAGAGACGGTCTCTGTTCTCTGCTTGGCCACTCATCAAGAACAGATCACCTCTGAGCCTCAGTTTCTCCATCTGTAAAGGGCATCCAGGGCCTCCCAGCTCTCCCCACTATAATTATAGGGGCATTTGGGAGATGTTCACTACCTGTCAGAGTGCTGAAAAACACAGGGCCGAGACGCTTAGCAGGTGGGAGGTGAAGTTGTTTCTGCCCTGGTGTTGTAAAAGATACTGAAAATGAAACCATGGTTCCACACAGCCCATGAGCCAAGGCTGTCCACCACAAGGTACATGGATTTAAGCCCCAGTGAGTGCTCTGAGTGTCCTAGAGGTAGCAAGAGAGCTGGACCCCATGGAAGGGTATGTCTGCATAGCCCCTGGTCCAACCTCTCAAACAGCAAGGTGCATCCAGGCCGCTGTATCTGTGCATATGAAGACTTTCCCTGAGCTACTAACTCCAAGAAGGACAAGGGCCCTACATCTTGAGGTTACCAAATTCCTTTTAATGACTCTTAAGTGCTTCCTTACAACTTTCTATAAATCCACCAGCTCATCCCCACCCGAGAACTCCACACGCAACCTCATTAGGAGGCAGTGAGTGGTGGAAAATATTGATACTTCTGGCTAATGGCGTTATTAATACCATTACCATTCATATCACCTCGTAAACGACTCTTATAGGACATTTAGCATGGCTAAGTCCAAATGAAGATAATATTGTTGCTAATTATCTCTCTATAAACTTATTTCATGGCAGGGAACAAGGGCCCTTATATCCTCTGATTACTCAGTTGCCAGAACCATAAGGAAGTAGGAAAGACTGCATGAAGATGTGCCCTCTGGGGATGATTCATTATGAAGAAGTGTGGTTTGCAAAAGCACAAGAGCTGTTTGGAGATTTTTAAAAAGAAAGGAATGCTAATTTGTGAGAGAGGGGACAGGGAGGAAACATCTCAGGGAGCCAGAACTGATCAAGGCTGACTCTCTGGCACCGCTGGATGGGATTCGCAAGCTGGCTCTCTCGGGTCCCTGTGTCCAAGGGTCAGAAAGTGGCCTAGGTAGGGCACGCCTGAGCTGCTCATTTTGGTGATAACTACACGGTGGAGCTCCAGGGAGGGAAGCTGAGCAAGTGTCCTCATCTCATGAGAGGGTTCTAAATCCAGCAGCCCTACAATCACATTTTGAAATGACTCGCATTTTCTTATTTACTCAGTGGCTTACTTAGCACTTGCGGACTTAACTGGGGCTTGTCTGAAGCTGGTGGAGGGGTTTATGCTGTCTCAGGAAGCAGTGTCAGCCTTGCGATTTCGCCTCCTGCATTGTTTGGGAAACATTACTCCCAGATAAGACTCCAAAGTGATTACTCTAAAGGAAGCTGTGAATAAGAAAATAAATGTTTTTCTTTTTCTCTTTCTAGCTGAGCTCAGACGATTTACAGTATTAAATGTCCCCTTGTACTCAGGAGAACTAGAATTGATTTTTTTTTCTTAAAACTGCTCATTGGGTTGCTTATAAATTTCTCTAGCTGTTGTTATCAAGTTGTAAATTGCAGTTATGAGAATAACCACAGATCGATGGCAGTCATTCTGAGGGAGGACCAGGTCTGTGTGGACGAAGGCAATTCAGGCTTTTAACAGACATTTATAGTCAATTATCTTTAGTCCAGATTTGATTAAGAATTGGTGAAATCTCAGCCAGATACTAGGTAGGAATTTACCTTCGCTCTGCCCATGGGCAAGTCCATATGGCCATTCACCAGATATTTCCAGCTTTCCTCCCTACATACATTTCTCCATCTCTTTTGCAGTTAGGCAAGACCATTAAACTTGTTTTGACCAACAAAATGTGAGTATGAGCATCACATATTAGTGCCTGGTAGGTGGTTTAAAACAAGAGGCAGATAACTTTTTTTATAAAAAGCCAGACATACATTAAGGCTTTGTGGTCATATGGCCACTGTCACCAACTATCCAACTCTGCCGTTGTGGCACCACCAAAGCAGCCATATATAATAGTATCAAATGGGTGTGGTGTATTCCCATAAAACTTTACTAATGGACACCAAAATTTGAATTTCATATGATTTTTGTGTCACAAAATCTTTTGTTTTTTTAACCATTTTTGAATGTTTAAAAAAAACCCTTATAGAATGCACAAAAAAATGTGAAAGGTCAGATTTGGTCTCGAGGCCATAATTGACCAACCCCTGCCATAAATAAAATCAGTGGATGATTTGCTATATCCCCTCTCCCTGCTGAGACAGCTCTGTCATCGGTCCAGGTCCATGAATGCCTATGAGGAGCAGAGCCCACAGTCAGTTCCCAGCAGACATGGAGAGTGAGCAAGAAAGAAACCTTGATTGTTGGAGTCACTGAGATTTGGGAGGTTGTTACTGCAGCAAACCTACCCTCTGAAATGGTCTCTGATGGGATTTTCTAAGATAACTAATGGACTAGACAAAATTGCAATATGAAGAGATTATTAAGAAATGATTTTTTTGAAACATACTTTATTTTTTGTAGTACCCATTGTTATTAAAATCATAAATTATGCATAAAGAATATTAATCTGTTCGTTAAAGCAGATCCTGAATATGCTGAAACTTGACAACATCTCCTACATCTATTTAGAATCACGGGGAAGTTTCAGAGTCATGACCTTTCTTTTCCTTCTCAAGGGTATTTACATTCATCCTGGGCTTTCTCCTCATCTGTCTCATCAGTGACACTGACCGTTTGGGAATCTCAGTCTCATACCCAACCTTTCCGTCTTTAACCCAAGAGATGAGTAGGATTCCAGACAGAATGAACCATTCCAGACATCACATTTTAATAATGAGACAGGAAGAGGCAGAAGCAGAAAGGTATGCCATGTGACTTCAAGTATGTCCCTTGTCCTTTCTGGGTCTTTTTTCCTCCTGTAAAACTAGGAGTTGGAAAAATAATATTTATAAGCTCTTTTAGTTTAGATATTCTAAGACTAGATATAATGTCCAACAATTTAAAACAAACCCTTTTGGATCTGACTACAGAAACAAACTAGAAAGAGCCTTTGGACCCACTCAATCTAGCTCTTTATCTAAGAGTCTTCTAAAGAAGTCAGACGTGTCCCTATTTTGATCCCACAGAATTAATCTAGAATGACCTGGAAACTGACCAAAGAAGAAACACAAATGAACAATGAACAATGAAAGTCTGAGAAATATTCAGTCATATTCAGTCTTGCTAGAGATTAGAGTAATACAGATTTAAAGATCAAGAACCATTTTCCATCTACTGGCTTTGCCAAGGTTCATAAGGAGGATCATATCCCATGTTGGTAAGAGGAGGGAGTCCAGAGACCCTGTGCTAATGGGGAAGTAAGCTGGCATGGTTTTTCTAGAGCAATATGTATTGAAAGCAATAAACATGGGCACCCCCTTTGACTAAGCAATAGCCCTACATCTACTGTTTTTTTCAAAAAAATGGATAAGCACAAGACAGGTAACACAACAAACAGATACAGCATCATTTCTAATGACAAAAAAAATTAGAAACAGTAAATGACTAAAGGTAAGGAATGATATAAATTAAAAATGGTACCTTGATAAAGTGAAATACCATCCTGCCATTAAAGATAATGCTGCCATACATTATATGAGCCTAATTTTGTGGGGGGTGGGGGGAGTAACAATTATAGACATACATAGAAAAAGGACTGGAAAAAGTATCAAGATGGAAACACCAAATATCAAAAATATCAAAATACCAAAAATGGAAGTAGTTATCTCTAGAGGTGTTAATTTTCTGAATTCTACTTTTCATTTTCCATATTGTTATAGAATCAGAAAAAATAAGCATTAAATGGAAGTAAAAACTAAAAAAATATAAATCTGTATATTTATTGATTTCAAAGGTGTTCTTGACACAATTGAAAAGTTATTTTTCTAAGTTAGCTATCAAATAACATGTATAGTTAGATCCTGTTTTGGAAAATGAGAAAAAGACTGAAAATATCTTTATGATATATATTATATATATTTTATGAAAAATGCATAAAAATTAAGTGATTTGTGGGGTAGGGTTATGAGTGAATTTTTTCCTTCTTGTCTTTTTTCTGATTATTCTACACTGAACATATATGTGTAAAAACAATAAAAAGGAAGCAAAACTCTTTAAAAATAAGTGAATTAAGAAAGATCCAGATGCTTCAGGCAAGTTTGCTCTCAATGCTAAATAAGTCACGTAGATCAGTACCCTCCTCCTACACACACACAAAGACAGCAACCTCCATGGTCTTCTATAACTTTCCCATGATTCTATATCATCACTGCATGGATGAACAGGCTGCCTTGAAGAGGCAGGCGGGAACATTGGGAGCCCAGCACACTTAAGACTAGGGACACACTTTTGATTCTTGCTACTGACTCTCAAGGGTCCCGATTCTGATAGTCTGTCTTTCCACTTTTGGGCATCTCACAGCCAATACCCATCAGCCCATGTGTGTTCTGTGTGTGAGCCTCAATTTGCTGACTGATATAAAATATTAGGCAGTAAGAAGAACATGGTTCTGGAAGAGCACCAAAATGGACGTTTGGCATTCTTTAAAGTTCTTACCTGTTCCTGAAATTTGTTCAGGTAGTTAGACACCCAGGAAGCAGGGCACTTACTATGTAACACTTGGATGTAGCAGTATACTTGATCTGTATCATATGAACCAGGAAGATCTCTCTTAGTGAGTAATCTCTACTTATATATACTACAGAAATCTCCATGAGCACATAAGACCACAGGTAAAGCAAGCTCTAAGAAAATGCCTGCCCTGCTATTATTTTCCAGTGATACTTGTTTTTATTTATTTTGTCATCTGCTAGTGCTAACTTCAAATAAAAGGTATCAGGACCCAGATATTTAAGAAAAAAATATATGGGAGAAAAAGTTGGGAAAACTCTATTAACTTGAAAAGAAAATTTCCTACCGTGATTATAAATAAGTCTATTTCTCCTTTTGAGTCTAACAATTTTTGCTTTCTATATTATGAAGCTATGTTATTAGGTGCCTATAAATTTGGATTTGTTATAGATTCCTAGTATGTTGACACTTTATCATCATGAAATGATTATTTTTATCTCTGGTAATGATTCTTGCCTCTATACATTGTGCCTCCGATTAATATTTGCATAGTAAATACACAGTAAAAGTTACTTTTTCTCCTTTTACTTTCAATCTTTTTGAATTATCACATATAAAAATATGTCTCTAAGAAACATAGTTGAGTTTTGTTTTTATCTAGTCTAACAATCTTCATCCTGTAATTAGTCTATTTACATTCAATGTAATTACTGATATATTTGAGTTTATAATCTTACTGTTTAATTTCCAGTTGTCCTGTCTGTTTTATGTTTCTTTTTCTTACCTCTTTTGGATCAAGTATTTTCACTATCTCATTTTTCTTCACTCTTAGCTAGTTAGTTATACATCGTTTTACAAATCTTATAGTGCATACCCTATATTGAGTGCATTCTTGACTTGTTAAAGCCTAAAGTAAATTAGTATTTTGTACTACTTCTTGGACAAATTTAAAATTTTAATTTCATTTGTCCCAAACCCACTGCCATTTGTACATTGTTGTGTATTTTAATTGTATATTTTTAACCCTAGAAGACATAGTCAGATTTTTACCCATACATATATGCACACATGTATGTGTGTGGATGTATTTATACTTTTTGTTGCTCTTCATTCATTCCTCAATTTCCATGTTTCCATCTGGGATCAACATCCTTCTGTCTTCAGATGTTCCTTTTTTTTTTTAGGGTGGATATAATAATTTCTCACAATTTTTGTCTAAAAATGTGTCTCCGAAGTTTTTCACTGGATATAGAATTCTGTGTTGGAGATTATTTTGTTTCACCATGGTTCTGATATGTGATATTTCAGTGCCTTCAAGCTTCCGCTGTTCCTTGGAAGTCAGTGTCACGCTCACTGTTGCTCTTAGAAGGAAATTTGTCCTTTTTTCCTCTGAATTTTATAAGATTTCCTCTTGTTCCTTGATTTTCAGTCGTTTTATCGTGATGTGTCTAGGTGTATTCCTTTTAATTTTTTCTATGTGGGGGTTCATAGTGCTTCTTGAATGTGTGGCTTGATGTTTTAGTCAGTTTGGGGAAATTCTTGTCCCTTATCTTTTCAAATATGGCTTCTACCCCTCCCTAAGACTCCAGTTACGCATGTTAGACCATTTTACCACCTCACATATTTCTCTTAAGCTCTTTCCTGTATTTCCTATCATTTTTTTTCTGTCTTTTAAACTGGAAGTTTTCTACTGATCCTTCTTGCAGTTCACTAATCTGCTCCTCCACTGCATCTAATATGCCATTAAATCCCTCTATTGAAGTCTCAGTTATTGATTTCTCAATTCTCAAATTTCTATTTGATTATATAGTTTCCAATTCTCCACAGAAGTCTCAATGTTGTTGCTCAAATTCTTGAACATATTAACCACAGTCATTTTAAAGCTCATGATGGATAACTCCAATTTCCAGGCTTCCTGTAAGTCTATTCTCCTACAGGCATTCTCTCTTGGTTTTCAGTCAATTATTGTCTTTGTGCACACCTAGTTATTTCTTTACTGGATTCCAGATACTGTAGAGATAATGTGAGTTTCTGGATGATGTGGCCTCATTCAAGAGAGGGTTCATGTTTGTTTCTGGTGGCAGTTAGAGTAGGAAGAGATGACCTTAATCCAGTAAATAACTGAGCTGATTTAATGATGGCCTTTGTGAGAGCTGGCTTATTTCAAGGTCAACTTTACTCTTATAAATTTCAACTCAAAGTTGGGGAGGTGTTTACCAGGACTTCCTATCTGGTAGAACCACAATTTTCCCCTGAAGTCCCATGAAAAATGCCAAAAGCTATGATCAACATCTCAGGCATTTCGAGCCACTTTCTGCTCAGCCTCTCAGCAGCTGCATTCACGTCAGCAAATTTGGGGTAAAAGTAGCACCAAGTATATGGCTCTCCCCTTGGGATTTCCTTTCTTTATTTTTATTTTATATATATATATATTTTAGGACAGAGTCTTGCTCTGTCACCCAGGCTGGAGTGCAATGGCACAATCTCGGCTCACTGCAGCCTCTGTCTCCCAGGTTCAAGAGATTCTCCTGCCTCAACCTCCCCAGTTGCTGGGATTACAGGCACCTGCCACCACACCCAGCTAATTTTTGCATTTTTAGTAAAGACAGGATTTCACCATGTTGGCAAAGCTGGTCTGGAACTCCTGACATCAGGAGATCCACCCCACTCAGCCTCCCAAAGTGCCTGGATTACAGGTATGAGCCACCGTGCCCAGCCAAGATTTTTCTTCTTCCAAGAATCTTGGCCCTTTGAGCCAAGCTCTTGTCACCTTGATAGCTTTCCGAAGACTTCAACTCATTTTTTATTTAATTTTGTAGAGTTGTATTCCAATTACTATGGCAGCAAAACAAATTCCCCTAAAACTTAGTGGCTTAAAACAAAGTCAATCATTTATTATCTCCCACAGTTACTGTAGTCAGGAATTCAGGAGCAGCTCAACTGGACAATTTTGGCTTGGGGCCTCCCGTGAGTTTCCAGTCAGATGCTGGCTGAGCTGGACGATTCTGGTTTGGGGTCTCCCATGAGGTTGCAATCAGATGCTGGCTTTGGCTGGGCTCATCTCAAAGGCTGCTTCACTCGCATGTCTGGTACCCAGTCTGGAAAGACTCAAATTGCTAAAAACTGGGCTCCTCCAGTGTCTCTAACTATCTTTATGTACTCTCTCCCTGTAACTTGCTACCACATGGAAGCTTCAGATTAGTTGGACTTTTACAAATTGGCTCAGGGCTACCAAAAGCATGTATCCCAGGGGAGAAAAGGAAAGGCAGGAGGTAATTTCTATGGCATAGTGTTGAAAGTCACACAGCTTCACTTCTACTGCATTCTGCTGGTCGTGACAATTACAAAGGCCTATCTGTGTTGAAGGGAAGAAACATAAAAGCCACCTCTCAGTGCAGGTGAGTCAATGTCTCCCTGTAAGGAGACATCACACGCATGGGCACACAGCATGGGCGAGCTAGTGATGTGGCCATCTGGAAAATACAACTGCCACAATGGCTCCAGTTGTCCTTGATAGGAGGTTGGTCTCAAACAAGTCAGTCTGCCATTTCCAGGAGTAGAAAATCCCCTCTCCGATAACTCGGAGTTTTCTGTCACTGAGAAAAGACTGCCGTGACTGTGTTCTAATGGAGATACCTCTGTGTTGGAGCCCTTGTGTCAGCTCAGCTGAACCCATCTTCTCAGAGACCCAGTGAGAGCTTTGGCACCATTTCAGCAAAGCTTAGGCAGACATGGCCTGAGTCTCCTGCTGCCCCACTCAGACTCACTCCCAAGGCTGGTTTCTAGAAGCCCAATAAAGAAAATCCACACCGCTCCTCATGGTCCACTCTACCTTTGCTTTATTCCTGCAGATGAGTACTGCACAAAGAATATTCTGTAAAAACGCTGTTTGTACAAGATAAGAATTCTGTTACAATTTCTTTTCAGAGAATGTAACATATTCTTTCCCCCTCTTCCAGATTCATAATGCATATTAGCGTAAAGCCTCTGAAAAGTCCTGTAGCAAGAAAACTTTGTTTCATCCCCATTTTCATGAATTTATTTAATGACAGAAAGTGGGTTGAGGGGCTATCTTTTTATTAGCAGGACAGAAATTAACACCCCATGAACATTGTACAGAACATGCAAACATTGTACAGAGCATCCTTAGACTTCTGATCCCACCATTGCTCTTGCGGGACTGTGGAGCTAAGTTGTTCATAATAAAACATTGTGTCTCAAATTGCCTTATGGGAGCTAAGTCATGGCTGAGCGCCCCTTTGCTGAGTGGTATGCTTTTTTGGGTGTTCCAAAGCAAAGATGGGCCATGTACCATTTTCCAAATTAGGCTGATGAATGCATCAACCTTTTCCACCTGCCAGTAACACAACAAGAAGTTTTTAAAAGGCTTTTGTTTACTGTCTGCCAATACACACGGGGCCATTAGCCAGTTGGCAGGTCTTGTGTGAGCTTCATTTCTGCCAGCTACAGTGAGCTGCCCACTCCTTAGCTGACAGCCTCGATCAATGCCCCTTCAATGCTAAAGGGCTGCAGGGGTGAGAGGTGGGGGAGAGCAAGTTGGTTTGATGAGAGAGTAAGAAACAAGGAGAAAGGGACAAAACCTTCCTTCTACCCTTCACATTACAGAGTCCTCCCACTCAAAGCCTCATTACAGGCATTGCTGCCTGTCTGTTCTACCAATCTTTTGATAATTTAGTTGTGCTTCCAGTTGAGAGCTGTGTTGTTTAATAAAACAGAGACAATCGACTCTTCCTCAGTGTTGTAATAGCCTCTCTGTGTGTTTACTTGAGAACAAATGCTGTTATAATTTCTTTGGGGAATCAATATCTTCCAGTGCATATGCACAGCCCTATTGGAGGTTCAGATTGTGTAAGGAGAGAAGGGGAAATTTATTGCCTTGTAAATGCTGGCAGAAGGTAGTAGGTTTAGTGAGAGCTGTAATTAAAGTTTTGCTGATAATAAAAAATGGAGGCAATAAACACTCCGATTTTCCAGTCCTCAGTCTCAGAATGGCTGAACCATCACAGGGTCCTGGACTCTTGCTGGTCTCTGCACAATTAACCTCTGAAGGTAAAGGTCCCAGGGCCCAAAGGCTGCCAGCTCCTGGGCCCTTGAGATGCCCTCCATGTGCTCACAGGCCCATCTGCTTTCTTCAACTTTAGCAGCAGCAAAGTCAACCTTTATTTTACCAACTGATTCTAAAGCTGGCTATTCAAGCCAGAGCTACCAGGCTAAAAGTCTACACAGGATTTGAGAATGAGGAGTTCAACCTGGAGGCAAGCACCCGTACTCCAAAAAGAACTGAAGTATAAGAGGAGATAAATCACTCGCTTGTCAATCTTTCTGCAGGGGGACCCCTCTCCAGGAATTCATTCAAGTCTTCCAAAATAGCACACAAAGATTTTCCAAAGGTGATTGCTTGTTTCTCTGCTAAGCACTTGCTGTGCAGGTTTGTGTGTGCTCCAGGTTTGATGGAGGCAGAGGAACTGCATGGTTGGGAAGGGGATGGAGACCTCCTCATGCCCACAAGGCGGCAATGTCTACAAGGTACCACTGACACCTTGCCACTGGCTAAGGACATCTGCATTGTCTTTTCCAACTGGGATGAAATCACAGTCACCTCTCTCCCTGCAATTCCTGGCTGTGTCCACAACAGTATCAGACTATGGAAGAAGGAGGCAATTTCTCTGACCCACTGGGATGGGGGCATCTTCAAGGCTTCTTTGGCCCTGGGTATCAAAGTAAGATCAACTGGCCTGGGAAAATCAGAAACTATCCTCACTCACCAGCCCCACTACCACCATCACCCCTAGGTTAAGTTCCCAAAGGGGAAGAACTTGTCTATAATCTCTGTAGCCATCCAGACAATAAATACCTACTGAGCACCTACTATTTGCCATGCACGGTATCACCGCACCCAGCACCAAACTCTTGCAGAAAGAACAAACAAGTGAGCAAATTGGCCTCCATATCCACCAGGAGGTTCCTCTGAGAATACAGGAGCCCGAGTTCTTCTAGAAATAATAAGATGCTCCATATTGACCACCTACTATGTACCAGATGGCCTACACAGCCCTTTACACATGTCCATTCTCTCTTTTGGTCCTTACAACCACTCCCCACTGTGAGGTAGAGATGGTGGTTGTTGTTGACAGTAGAGGACGGTAAGGCTCAGAGGGGCAAGCCATGTGCCCAGAGCCAACGCCACCCAACACACAGCACAGGGCCAGCAGGGAAGGCCCCAGCTGATGATGCTCCAAAGCCTGCATTCTTTCCATTATGCCATGTTCCCTGTCAACAATGTCACATGAGCCCCTCACCTGCCATCACTTGTCTTCTCCTCGCAGGGTCTGCTGAGAGAGGAGGTGGAAGGTGCAAAAAGAATTTCACTCCTGAGTCCTTGAGAGAGCTCAGCAGAAAAAGGGCTAAGCAGGGCTGCCAAGCAGCACCACGGGGAAGCAGCAAAGGGGTCTAGGGCTTACCTGTCCACAGGAGGCAGGCCTGGCTGGGACCACTGGCTGCCGGCATTTCTGGATTCTGTGCCTTTCTCTCCTGTCTCATCTTCCACCTTCCTTCCCTCCTCTAAAACGTTCAGAGGACTAAGAGCCTGCAGGGAATCTCAGTCCAGTCCCCTTGCCAGCCCAAACACCTCCCACTGGGTGGCCCTTAGCCCTGGGTCTCGTCCAGCCAGTGCCAAGCATACGCAGCCCCTTTCCAAGGCCGGGCACATGTGGTGCAAAACCAGCTAGGCACCAGACATAACAAGGTACTGGTGAGGTGCAGAGGCTGGCTGTCCCCAGAACACAAGACCCTCCCGGTGTGCAGCCCTCTCCTGGGCAGCTTCCCTTAGAGAAACAAAGCTCCCAGCAGCAAGTTCCAAGTCCAGGATGGTCCTGCACCAATTCCGATGCTGTCCCTGCAATCCCTTTCTTCAGATGCCTAGCACTTGCACAAACTTCAAGTTGCTCATCTCCAAATGGGTGAGGGACTCACTCTGTCATATCAGCTTCCCTGGATCTGCCCGCAGGGAGCAGCAGGCCCAAGGGAGAGTCTGGAGAAAGTGTCCACATTTGCAACTCTCCAACTCTGTGACTTCTCCAAGGTACCCAATGGCCCCACATGAGAGCTCCAGAGCTCAGGCTGCGGTGGGGACCCTAGGCCGCTGATTAGCCAATAACATCACCAGCAGGCATTAAATCTATCCTCAGTTAACCCAATGTCTTTAATAATAAAGAAGATTTTGCACTGGGGATAAATACTGTGTCTCATTTTCTCACTCTCACTGGTCTCCTGTCACTGTGCGCTTATTAATACAATCACTAACATATGGCTCCCAATCAGCCACTAAAATGCTGCTGTTATTCCTACTAATTCGACAATAAAATATGGCTGTGCCAGGCCATAAAAAGTAGGCTGCCATGTGACTGGGGGCTCTGTGGGAGGTAAGCCAGGGGGCCCAGAGCTCTAGACTGGCCACCGGGAACTGAGCCACCATGGCCACGGCCCTGCAGGCCCTGACTTCCAAGGGCCCAGACACCACCAGAAACTCAGAGGTGTTCCCTGCTATATTTCCATTACTGTATAACAAATTACCACAAACAGCAGCTTAAAACAACACCCATTAATCGTCTCACCGTTCTGTAGGTCAGAAGTCCAGGCGTGACTAAATTCTCTGCTCACAGGCTCACCAGGCTGAAGTCAAAGTGTCAGCTGGGCCACATTCGCAGTGGGAGGCTTGACGAGGGCGGAATCCACTTCCAGGTGCATCTCATTCAGGCTCTTGGCAGATTTCTATTCCTTGCAGCTGTAGGACTGAGGTCTCTGCTTTCTTGCTGGTTGTCAGCCGGGGCTCACTCTCTGCTCCTAGAGGCTGTCTCAGGTCCTAGCCCCCCACCCCTCCACAATATGGTAGCTTCCTTCTGCAAAGCCAGTGGGAGAGTCTCTTCAGTCTTAAACTGCATAATCTAATCAGGGCTGGGGGCGGGTGATATCCCATCCTATCCACAGTCCCACCACACTCAGGGGGAGGGGCATTCTGCAGGCCATGTATACCAGAGGTGGGAATCTTGGAATCCTGCCATCTCAGAATCCTGCCCACCACACACGGTATTAAGATCTTCCACTTGCCTGTCTTTGTGTGTAGGCAGCCTTTCTGCTGACAACTGGACCTTGGTTCTAATCTCACTCCCCTTCCCCCACACACCAGAGAAGAATCCTACAGCATCTGGCAGCTCTTCTCCCAGGCCAAGCCTCCACCACTGGCCAAACAGAGAAGAAAGCAGTGGGCTCAGGTAATGTGATGTGCAAGGGATGGACGGAGGGGCTCAGGAGCAGCCCCACCCTAGGCTGCACAGCATGGAATAGGTATTTGCAAAAGCATTCTCTTCACCAAGTAGCAATAATTCACTTCCAATCCAAAGAAGGCCCTTCCTCAGACCTTCTTACGGCTTCTCCTAAAAAAATCTCCTCTCTGTAAAGCTCCCAACTACTGAGGCAAAGCAAATCCCATTACGCCCCAGGTTATTTCCTCACCCTGGTTCTGAGCACCCAGATTCCTGGGCCCCACCCCCAGATCAGTGGACCCAGAGAAATAGGATCTGCCTTTGTAAAGCTCTCAGCCAGAGCTGCTGCCCAGGAGCTCTGAGGGAGAAGCAGGCCTGGGGCCCTGCCCTGATCCAGCTGCTTTCAATGAGCTCTTCAAGCCCAGAGAGGAAACAAAAACAAACTGGCTTTTGATTTTAAGAATCAGGTTTATATGAAAATACACTCATCGTAATTAAAACACCATAACCCCAAATGATCCCTATAGCCTTCCAGATAATGTCCACCTTCTTCCGGCTCCCCACTCCCAGGCCTGCACAGGGGGCCCCTCACCCTGTCTCACTGGCCTTCTCTACTCCCCATTAGTCTTCCTGAGCCTTTACTCTTAGGGTCCCCTCAGCTGGGAACACTTTGGGAGGCCGAGGCAGGAGGATTGCTTGAGCCCAGGAGTTCGAGACCAGACTGGGCAACATGGTGAAACCCTGTCCTTAAAAAAAAAAAAAAAAATTACTTAGCTAGACATGGTGGTGCATGCCTGCAGTCCCAGCTACTCGGGAGGCTGAGGGTAGGAGGATCAGTTGGGACCTGGAGGTCGATGTTACAGTGAGCCATGATCATATCACTTACACTCGAGCCTGGGTGACAGAGTGAGACCCTGTCTCCAAAAAAAATAAATAAAGTCAGATTTTGCAAAATCTGAAAATGAGAGTCAGACTCTCGGCAGGTGGGGACCTCATCTCAAGCCCTTATCCCACCCCCTAAACTCAGGTGGCAGGGGACAAAGACTTGAGGCATGGCAACAGACTATGACTTTAGAATAAAGGCAGCCACAGCCATCGGCATGACTATGAGCTGCTGGGCATCAGTGCCTTTCTCCTGGCAGCAAACAACCCCCACGCCATAGCCTTGGGGCAAATCTCAGAGAACAGGCTGGGCAGAGGGCCCTAGCAGGGGAGTCAGCTTAGGTCGTGTCCTGGGGATAGCTACATGCGGCAGTCCTGCCGCCGTCCCCCTGTGTCTCCACACTTTCCCTGGCGTCTGGGACCTGGAGACTCAGAGAACATGTTTGCATCTGTCAAGCCCAACAAGTCATTAATTACACCTTGGGGAAAGTCACAGAGGCAGGGTGTGGATGGGCAAACACTGTTCAAACATGCTGAGGCAAACCTCGAGGTTGTGTTTGACACTGCTGGGGTTATTGTGGTAAGTCTCTGTTTTGGTTGACTACAAATCCCAAAACTTTCCAGTGTTCCTTTTGGAAGATCTTTGAATTGAAAGATTCAAGCCTATACTGCTCCTTCCTTCCCTGAGGGAGTTCCCTCAGTCACTGTGACCTCACCTATGGTCCTTGAGGCCTGAGGGGTCCTCCCCAAGGTCCCTCTCCTAGCCCCCAAGGTGAAAATTCCCCCCCAGAGCTAATGCCAGGGGGTTGGAGCAGGATTAAACTTTGTCACAGCCCTCGGCCTGCTGTTGCCCTGACTCAGGATTCTAGGAAGGACTTTTGGGCTAGGAGCCTTGTTTGGTTTGTTGGGTTTTAAGATGGAGTTTCACTCTTGTTGCCCAGGCTGGAGTGCAATGGCGGGATCTTGGCTCACTACAACCTCCACTTTCTGGGTTCAAGAGATTCTCCTGCCTCAGCCTCCCAAGTAGCTGGGATAACAGGTGCACGCCACCACGCCCGGCTTTTTGTATTTTTAGTAGAAATGGGGTTTCACCATGTTAGCCATGCTGGTCTCGAACTCCTGACCTCAGGTGACCCACCCGCCTCAGCCTCCCAAAGTGCAGGGATTACAGGCGTGAGCCACCGCGCCCAGCCAGGACTCTTGTTTTACAAGTGGGCTCAGGCCCACAGCAAGCAGGATCCTATCTAGCTTCAGCTGAGCTCTGAGTTTCTCGAACTGTAGAGTCATCTAGGAATCCTGTTAAAGTGCCAGTTTGGACTCAGCAGGTCTGGAGTAGCACCTGAAATTCAGCATTTCCCACATGCTCCCAGGTGACACCCATGCTGCTGGTTCACAGACCACACTTTGAGTAGGAAAGCTCAAAAGTAGCACTGCCCAGCAGAAATAGAAGCAGAGCCACATAAGTCATTTTAAAGTGTCTCCTAAACACATCAAAAAGTAATTGTCATAATGTATTTGATTTAACCCAATGTGTCTAAAAGAGTATTATGTCAACATATAATGAATATAAAAAATTACTTATGAGATAGCTTACATTCTTTTTTTGTACTAAGTCTTCAAACTGCAGGGTGGATTTTACCCTTACAGCACATGTCAGTCTGAACTAGCCACATTTCTGCACTTAGTGGCCACATGTGGCTAGTGGCTGCTCTTTTGGACAGTGCAACTCAAGGGGATGGGAGAAAAGGAAAAGAATATGAGAGGAAAGAAGAAAAATCAAGGAGGAGCCACTGGGTGACCCACCTTGGGACAATACAGAAAGAGCATAGCAATGAGTTCTAGATGCAGCCCTGCCTGTCATTCAGTGTATTGCCTAAAGAGAGTCAGGTAAACTCTGGACCTAGCCCTTTCCACCAAAAAATGGGTACAGCAATGCCTGCCCATCACTAGCCCCAAAATCTGGGCGAGACACTGTTCCCAGCTTATGGGGCTTGTCAATATTGGATTCTGCCAAGCAGAAACCTAGAGTCTCCAGGCAATTAATACCTGGCTCTCCAGGGTGGGGCCTGAGCCCTCCAGAGAGCTCCAACAGGAGAGTCTCTATGTTCACTGTTCAACAGAGCCTCCTGGGGAGGGGGGTGGGCAGGCTGGCAGGGGCTTTACCCCCACTCCAAAACTACCCTGAACAATCTGGCGCTATTTAGGAAGGGCACTTTGCTGTCACTGTGAATCGAGGAAACGCAGGCAGATAGAATTAGTGCTGCCCACCCATCTCACACTGTCAGAGGAGCTATTTTCAGGTCCTTGCTGCTGAGTTCATTTTCACATCCTTTGCTCTTTTCCTGTGTTTCAAGAGCTGAAGCACCAGAGAGGCCGGTCCCGATGGGTATTCTGGTCTGGCCACTTCCTGGATCTCTGAGGCCCAATAGGGATTTGGGGGAAGTGAACTTTGTAGAACTCAGGAGCAGGGTGGGGCACGAGGTTTGAACACCAGCCTACACTAGTGAAGCACTGAATGCCACATATAATCTTAGTTACCTACGCTTTACAGACATCAAACCTGTGGCAGGAGGAGGAAAAGGAGCAGGAGGAGAAAAGTAAAGCCAGGCTAGGTGACAACCTAACCCAGCAAATCCCTAAGCCAGGACCTGAGCTTTCCAATTCCTGGTCCTGTGATGCTGCTGCACCAGCGGATGCCAGGTGAGCCAACTGCCCACCTCTGGCTCCCCTTTGGGGCACCAATGGGCATAGTGCCTGGCCCAGCCTCCAGGGAGCCACACACACAGCTCAAGGGCCTGGTTCTCTGAGAGGGCAGTGAACCTCCCACCAATGGCCCAGACTTTTCCAGCCCCTGGTCAAGAGGCAGTCTTGTCTCAGTCATACTAACAGAGTCTGAGTCAGGGGTCCTCGGCGCCTGCCTGTCTCACGTTCCTGAAGGAGGTACCAGAAGTCCTCCAAACCTCAGCCAGGAACCAACCATCCCCAGGTACTGGACGGAGCTTTTAGGTTAAACAGAGGCAAAAAGAACCTGTGGACTCCTTCCGTACCAGCTGGAAAGGGAAGGTGGGTCTGATGGCCATGCCATCTCCCAGCAATACCCAGATAAGGGTCCCAGCAGGAGAGGTCGCTGGCCCCTACATCACCCTTGATATGAGGGCACTCACTCATCTCCCTTTGGGCCTTGAGGAAGTTAACAAAAATAATTAATTCCCTACCCTACCTGCTGGAACCACCTCTTGGTCAAGTTCTCCTTGCCCAGTGATACAATACATACTATTTGTTCCCAGGCTATTTCGTTCCCCAACTGGTCCAAGGGTCTGAGGGTAAGAAACACTCCCAGGCTCCCCTCCCCAGCCTAAGACAACTTCATCATGCCAGGCGGGCCCTGGTGCCAGCTGCCCCTTGCTGTCACCTCCACAGTCCTTTGAGCTCCATGGGTCTGGCCACATGTGTCCCCATATCTCATAGCATTCCTCTCAAGGTGCCGGGCCTGCACATGGCAGACCCGGAGCCCCATGCTTCTCTCCTGGAGGAGGAAAGTGCCAGTAGGGTGACCTCTGCTCATCCGTCAGAGTTCAATTTAGACATCACCTCTTCCAGGAGGCCCTCCCCAGCTGAACCAGGTACCTCTCCTCCAAGCTCCCACAGAACCCCATCCTTCCCCATTCCCAAGGGAAACTGGGAGGTAACCTGGCATCTTTGTTTGACCAGTGACTGGTATATGCAGTTGGTACTCCAAAAATTCTGGCTCACGGAAGGAGCATGCTTCTCAACAAATCCAGCCAACCACATGGCCCAGGGCACTGATACACACAAATACTCACAGACTCAGCAAACACACCCTCCGGAGCCATGACCGCAAATATCCTGCTGAGAGCGCCTTTGAAGTTCAGAGAAATGCTGGGCACAGTTCCTCAGGCCAAGATAGGGGCAGCTGGGTGAAAACAGGCCCCCTGCCAGTGCCACTGCCTACCCCCTTCCCCCACCCCAAGAAACCTACACAGCACTTTCTGGGGGAAAAGCAACCAACAAAGACAGCAGCTGCCTCCCTCAACAGCCAGACCCCCAGAGAGTTTAAATGGAAATAAAATAATCTCACTTCGTCACCCCAACCACAGATAGGCACAGTCAGGGGAGAACAGCCGGCTAACTGCTTCTTTGAAGAGGCGAAGACTCTTTTACCCAAAAGCTATTTGTCCTCCGTAAATGGGATTTTAGAAACAGTGCTGAAAGGGAGGCTATGGCCGCAAGAGCCTAAGCTTGTATTATACATTAGACAGATATTTAGAAATAAAGCTTGATTAAAAGGAAAGCCATAAATGACAGCGGAGAGCTCCAGACCCTCCGAGGCCTTCATGCAAATGTCTGGCTACTCTGTCCATCCCAGAAATCTGGGCCAAACTGTAACCATTTCTCTGATTTTTTAAAAACTGTTGTCTCCCCAGCTGCTTTGAGGGGCTGTGTTCTGTCCCTGGTGGTAGGCTCGGATCTGAGGAGGGGAGGGTCTGAACAGGGACCAAGCACTTGTGCCAGGGGGCCCCTTGGAGCCGCTGTCCCGCAGAGGTTGGTGTGCATGCTCAGACTCCCCTCCGCAGGCTCCCCTGAACATCGCCTGGTCCAGGAGGCCTCCCCTCGTCTGTCATCAGGCTAGGTCGGTGTCCTCTTTTCACAACACTCATCACACCCTGTGCCACCAGGCTGTGTGTGGCTTCCATGGGGTAGGGAACCCTGCCCTGCTCTGGGCAGTCTGTGAGATTAACTAAAGAATAGTGTGTCCCACACACACACACTAAGAGGCATGTCAGGAAGGAGGCCAAACCCCGGCCAGTAGACACCTGTGTAGTCAGCCTCACTTGGTCTTGTTAGTTACTGCTGTTATTATTATCAACATTCATCAGTGATGGCTGCAGTTCCAGTCTTTGGCTAATGCCTCCATTTATGCCTAGTGTTCCATTAGTGGAAAGCTAAGCATGTGGGAGTTATTTATATCTTACTGCTCAAGGTCATCACCAAGGTCTGATTTTTCAAATTCAAAAAATTACAACCTCAGGCATAAATGGGTTAATCACTGTTAAGACCCCCTTAGAACTATCATAGGCTAAAAACTCTTCTGAGTCTTCCCTTTTCAGAGAAAATGAGCTTACTTCCCGTTCTTTTTAACTGAAGTCCATACTTTATTCAGATTTTAGTAGTTTTTACCTGGTGTCCTTCTCTTGTTCCAGGGTCTTCTCCAGGATCCCAATTACCCTTAGTTGTCACATCTGCTTAGGCTCCTCTTGGCTGTGAGATTTTTCTCATACTTTGCTGGGTTTTGATGACCTCAACCGTATTGAAGGGTACTGGTTGGGTTTTTTATAGAATGACCCTCTATCAGAATTTGTCTGATGTTTTCCTCATCATTAAACTGGGTTTGTGGGTGGAAAACCACAGAGGTGAAGTGCCATTTTCATCATATCATACCTGGAGTACATACTACTAACATGGTTTATCATTGTTGATGTTTATATTGGTCAACTGGCTGAAGTAGTGTTTGTCAAATTTCTCTAGATCTTTTAATTGAAATCTTTCCCACCTCTCTAAACACCACATCAAAAATCACCTCCTCCTAGAAGTCACCCCAGATTGCATGTGCACACACAGGCACACATACTCTATTGGCTCCTCTCAGGACTTAGCACACCTCAAAGTATTTCAGATGTCTGTGAACTTTCCAACCTTATTTTGACTGCATGCTCTGTGAAGCAGTGACCTAATGCCCAGCAAGCATCTAGCCTACGATGAAAACTGACCACACATTTAGTGCTCACTGATAGTACCTCACAGGCACTATCTGGCTATAACCCAATGAGGGAAGAAGGTCTCTTGTTATTGCCATTTTACAGATGAAGAAGGATCTTGTACAGCAAGTAACCAGCAGAGCCAAGATCTGGCTGTGTGGCTGTGCGATCGGTTCCTTCTTGGCTCTGCTCCACTCCTTCCCCCGGGGGTAGGTAAGCACTGTCAGCTTATCCTCCACAGCTGGTTCAAGGACATGCTGCTGTAATGGAGGCAGAAATGTTTGGTGGGCTGAGAGTCTGGGGCCTCCAACAGCAGCACCAAGGATGTGAGGCTCTGTCCCACCCAGGCTCTGTCCCGCTCCCAGCCCTGGCAAGTATGGACCATGACACCAGCACACCCACATCCCTATAAATCCTCAAACAACCACAGCTTTTTTTTTTTTTAACGTCAGATGGGTAATATGCTGATGTCATAATGAGGTTTAAGGGAGGCACACCTCAAGTGAGTTTGAAAACTCAATCATCACACTTAGGAAACACAAAAGATCAAGCCTTACCAGTTTTGACATCCAGAGACGGGAGGCCGGGCTGTGCACTTGCTAACATGCTGTGTCAGCGAGAAGTCAAATGATGTACGTGGAACTGGAACATCTCCCATAAATTTTATTAAATTTTAAACTTTAATAAAACAATGACACAATTCAAATGCCAGCTCTGGACTTCCTCATCCCCACCACCTACCATCATGGGTTCCCCAAGAACCCTCCCACTGGCAGAGTCTTCAGAGTGTTCAAGGCTTTCCTGTGGTGTTGGCATTGGACTCTGGGACCTGGACCAGGGAACCAGAAGACAGGGGGCCTAGTGGGAGTCGATGGCCTCAGAAGACCCAGGTGGGCACACAGCTAGATATGACCCAGGCAACCAATACAAGAGGTTTCCAGTCTCCAAGATGGGAGAAAGAGAGAACGGGTATTGTCAGCTCTGATTAAGGATGAGGCTCTCTGTTGATTCCCCAGGGACCCAGATTTAACAGTGTAGTTAAGAGCTAGGACCCCAAGTTTCCTAGAGTCAGACAGATGGTAAATCGGGCTCCAGAACAATCGCCCACTTCTCTCCAACAGCTACAGCAGAAGAGCAAATCGTCCCTTCTGTGCCCCTTCTCCTCCATCTTCCTTCAGATTCAGATAAAAGGTAGGGAACAAAGTAATCAGCATCCACTCAGCCAGGATACTTCTCCAAGCTTCACTTCTCCAAATCATGCCACCACCACTCTGGCTCTGGTCTGGGGAGATGAGAGGACTGTCCACGTGTCCCCACATCAGCCCCCTTCAGCAAAAAAGGAAGTAAGGAGGTCTCTATTTCTGGGGGCAGGGCATAGCTGAACAAAAGGCAGCAGAAACTTCCAGACTGAAACATCCCTGTCTGACAAGCTCTGAAGAGAGCAGTGGTTCTCCCAGCATGGTGTTTGAACTCTGAGAAAGGACAGACTGTCTCCTCAAGTGGGTCCCTGACCCCTGTGTAGCCTAACTTGGAGACACCTCCCAGTAGAGGCTGACTAACACCTCATACAGCTGGGTGCCCCTCTGAGATGAAGCTTCCAGAAGAAAGATCAGGCAGCAATATTTGCTGTTCTGCAGCCTCCACTGGTGATACCCAGGCAAACAGGGTCTGGAGTGGACCTCCAGCAAACTCCAACAGACCTGCAGCTGAGGGACCTGACAGTTAGAAGGAAAACTAACAAACGGAAAGGAATAGCATCAACATCAACAAAAAGGACATCCACTCCAAAACCCCATCTGTAGGTCACCATCATCAAAGACCAAAGGTAGATAAGACCACAAAGATGGGGAGAAACCAGAGCAGAAAAGCTGAAAATTCTAAAAGCCAGAGTGCCCCTTCTCCTCCAAAGGATCGCAGCTCCTCCCCAGCAACAGAACAAAGCTGGATGGAGAATGACTTTGACGAGCTGACAGAAGTAGACTTCAGAAAGTCGGTAATAACAAACTTCTCCGAGCTAAAGGAGGATGTTTAAACCCATCGCAAGGAAGCTAAAAACCTCAAAACAAGATTAGACGAATGGCTAACTAGAATAAACAGTGTAGAGAAGACCTTAAATGACCTGATGGAGCTGAAAACCATGGCACGAGAACTACGTGACGCATGCACAAGCTTCAATAGCCGACTCAGTCAAGCGGAAGAAAGGGTATCAGTGATTGAAGATCAAATGAATGAAATGAAGTGAGAAGTTTAGAGAAAAAAGAGTAAAAAGAAACGAACAAAGCCTCCAAGAAATATGGGACTATGTGAAAAGACCAAATCTATGTTTGATTGGTGTACCTGAAAGTGACGGGGAGAATGAAACCAAGCTGGAAAACGCTCCTCAGGATATTATCCAGGAGAACTTCCCCTACTAGCAAGGCAGGCCAACATTCAAATTCAAGAAATACAGAGAACACCACATAGATACTCCTCAAGAAAAGCAACCCCAAGACACATAATTGTCAGATTCACCAAGGTTGAACTGAAGGAAAAAATGTTAAGGGCAGCCAGAGAGAAAGGTCGGGTTACCCACAAAGGGAAGCCCATCAGACCAACAGCAGATCTCTCGGCAGAAACTCTACAAGCCAGAAGAGAGTGGGGGCCAATATTCAACATTCTGAAAGAAAAGAATTTTCAACCTAGAATTTCATATCCAGCCAAACTAAACTTCATAAGTGAAAGAGAAATAAAATCCTTTCCAGACAAGCAAATGCTGAGAGATTTTGTCACCACCAGGCCTGCCTTACAAGAGCTCCTGAAGGAAGCACTAAACATGGAGAGGAACAACTGGTACCAGGCACTGCAAAAACATGCCAAATTGTAAAGACCATCAAGGCTAGGAAGAAACTGCATCAACTAACGAGCAAAATAACCAGCTAACATCATAATGACAGGATCAAATTCACACATAACAATATTAACCTTAAATGTAAACCTGGGCTAAATGCCCCAATTAAAAGACACAGACTGGCAAATTGGATAAAGAGTCAAGACCCATCCGTGTGCTGTATTCAGGAGACCCATCTCACATGCAGAGACACACATAGGCTCAAAATAAAGGGATGGAGGAAGATCTACCAAGCAAATGGAAAGCAAAAAAAAGCAGGGGTTGCAATCCTAGTCTCTCATAAAACAGACTTTAAACCAACAAAGATCAAAAGAGACAAAGAAGGCCATTACATAATGGTAAAGGAAGTAAGGGGGTCTCCTGCACAGGAAGGGCAGTGTGGTCCCCCAGTTCCCCCGTCACACAGCAACAGCCTCAAGGACCCTGCTTCCTCATCCCCAGCCCACTTCTTGCCATTTGCTGGATTGCATGCCTTCTAAAATCAGACTTCCTGCAGAAATGCTTTCAGAAAAACATTACAAAACAAACTGGTGACTGTGAGTACAACACTGAGCTTCCTAGCACCCTGCCCGACATGCCCCAGTCCCTCCACCACACACTCGTGATGAAACCCCTGGGAGGCCCCCATGGAAGTTCAGCCTACTTAGCTCAGCACCTTTCAAGCACCATTTCCAGCCATCATCACTTTTTTCCAGGCCAGAAATCTTGTTGAAAGGATGGAAGAAAAGAGAGAGATCTGCTAGCCTCGGAACTAATCCATTGTCATTCCAGCCAAGGGGCCCTCCATCAGCTTTGTAAAGCTTTCACTATGAAGCAGCTTCTAAGTCCAGGCAAACAAACCAGCCTATGGAATTCCATCAAGAACCCAGGAATCCTTGGAGTTGGCACTACAGACCCTCCCCGCTGGTGTTGGATTTCAAGGGCCTCCAGGATTGCTGACTCTCCCTGCTGCAGCCGCTGCCTCTCTCACTTCCACACCAAGCCCATTAGGTTTTCTTCAATTCTTAATGCCCTTCAAGGATAAACATGTTTCCTTAAAATGAAGAAATTTTTTCTCCCCCAAAGGGTGAGAATGTTTCACACTAGGGAGAAGAATAGGAGAAACAGTTCAATTAGGTTTAAGGCATACGCCCACAAAACCCACTCTGTTGTAATTGAAAGTAATGAAGTTTAATAAAAAACCAGCACAGCCCCTTCAGCATCAGATTAGATAGATGTCACTGAAACTCATTTGAGCGCTGTCTTTCAAGGTTCCTTCCGCAGGGCATTGCAATGAGCAAAAGCCAAGGAGAAGGAGGACAGGTTAATAGTTCTGACTCCCTTCTAATCAGTCTCAGCTGGGAGGGGATTCTGGGATTGGATGCCTGCTGCCTGCCAAAGCCCCTCGCCAAGGACCTGTTGAGCCCACATCGGGGCTCAGCCTTCACGGTCACTTCATGCGTTGGCTAGGCTGGGAACACACAAATGTGCACACATGCACACATACACAGCGGGCTTGTGGAGGCCAGGCCACAGCGCCCCTCCCTGCCAGCACCATCTCTCACCCAGCAAGGGTCCTTCAATCAACTGCCAAGGGGCCCAGGGTCATCAACCCACCTGCAGAATGCTCATTCTCGCCCAGGGGCATTTTCAAGAGACAGATTCACAAATTCACTCCTTGAACTCTGACCCTCTTCTCCTAAATGCCGCGGGGCCTGTCACCTCAGCATAACTGAACCGAATCATCGAGCATCTTTCGCCCAAAACAACTACTCCCCCTGACTTCCCTAGTCTTCTCTTCCATGTTTTTATTACAAAAGTAATAGATGTTCATTATGGAAAATTCAAAAAATACAGAAAAGCCATAAGAAGAAAATGAGAATATCTCATAATATCACCACTCAGAAATCACATTAACATTTTGGTTTATAGTCTTCCGCGCATTTTTGTGTGCATATGAAGACAGGTTTTTCGTTTCGTGGGGGTGTTTTTTCTAAAGCAAAAATGGGATCCGAACATTGGCTTCCTTATCTCTGTTCCTATCAAAGTGCATTCTCTGTCACACAGACTCAGAATCTATGACTCCTGCTCCCCCAAAACCCACTTCTGGGCACTCACCAAGCTTGCGGCACCTCCTTCATTTGTCCCTTTATCTGCATTCTCATTGCTTTGTGGCTGCATTCAAATTCCCCAGTGTGGTAAGGCCAGGCTCTCACTATCCTCCTAGCTGTTCTTCCCTCCTAGCCCAGGAGGAGGGAGAGGTTAATTGGTTTTACTCACCATCTGTCTGTGTTGTAAACACATCTGAGCAGAGTTCACAATCTCCCTCTCCAAGGAACGGATTGCATCAGTCCCAGAGATTGGTCAGATGATGGTATATTCCAACCATGGAATACTACGCAGCCATGCATAAATGGTGCAGTGGGACAATGTTTAAGACTTGGAGAAATGTTTAAAAAGCAGCATACACAACAATATTTATAGTAAAATCTCAATCTTCTTCAAAATTGGGTACATTTATAAATATACACATATACCTATAATAATGAAGCGATATGCACTAAAAAATTAATACTAATCTGCAGATTATTTAAAATTTCTTCTTTGTGCTTCCCTGGATCTTCCAACATTTATATATTGAACATTTTTGCTTTGGGAAATTTTTATTTTTAAAAATGTAAAAGCTTGGGAGGATTTAAAGAAAAACTGCCTAGAGCAATGGTTCTCAGATTTTATCCACATCAGAATCACCTGGAGGATTCATTAAAACACAGATTTCTGGGCCCCGTGCCTGGAGTTTCTAACTCTGGATCTGGGTGGGAAAGCCTGAAAATTTGCACATCTAACACGTTCCAGGTGGGGCTGATGCGGCTGGTCCAGATCCTTTGAAAACCACTGTCCTAGAAGCTCCCAGCAGATGGCATTTAGGAAGAAGGCAACAGCACCGTGCTGAATCAATGATGGGGAAATACCTCCTCACTCCTGCAGGAAGCCATCAACCTTCTAGGGATCCCTGAGCTTTTTCCCACGTGGACAATGCGCAATAGACACCACTTGTGTCCCTGACTTGTGTCCAGAGGACACTGCTGCCCTCTCCTTTTCCCAGAATGGGCCCTTCAAGACCCATTCGCCTTGAACTTTTTTGGACACTGCTCTGTCCTGCCACTGTGCCCTGGGGTCCAAAGAGATGCTACAGGAGAGATGAAGGGCAGGTCAAGGAAGCTGCCAAGCTGTGAGCTTCTAAGGGCCCAGGAAAGCCCCACACAGAGATAGCCAAACACAGAAATCCAATGTCAGCGCATGCTCCTACGCATCAGGGAAGGACTCCTCATCCTGTGGCCCCATGTTTCCAGGACACTCTTCCTTAAATAGCAAACTCTCCTGAGCCCATGCCTTCATTCCTTACTTTCAGTTATCTGTCTTGTGCCTGGCTTGTCATCCTATCTAGCCGGACAGAGAAGAAACCAATTATGGCAGTGCAGGGAGGCCCATCCTAGGACCGAGGTGTACATGAGGGCCATCAGCACACCAAGGAGGGCCATTCAAATGGTCTGAGGACAGCAAAAGTGTTTAAATAATGTAGGCTCAAGAAAGCAAGACAGCAAAATGGTTAAGAAGGTGGGCTCTGAGCTCACCCAGGGCTGGATTCAAACCCCAGCTCTATCTTTTACTAGCTTAACCTCTCTGGACTACAGCTATCCCACCTGTAAAGTGGGTGGGTAAGCAGTTTCTAAAATGATCCCCAATGATCTCTGCCTGCTGTATTCACACCCCGATGGAAACCCCTCCCCTTGAGTTGAGTGTGGTTGAATCTAGCCACTGGCTTCTAATAAATAGAGTATGGTAGAAATGATAGAATGTCGCTCTTTTATTTTCTTTTTTTTTTTACTGGTTTTTTTTTTTTTTTTTTAGTATTTATTGATCATTCTTGGGTGTTTCTCGGAGAGGGGGATGTGGCAGGGTCATAGGATAATAGTGGAGAGAAGGTCAGCAGATAAACACGTGAACAAAAGTCTCTGGTTTTCCTAGGCAAAGGTCCCTGCGGCCTTCTGCAGTGTTTGTGTCCCTGGGTACTTGAGATTAGGGAGTGGTATGACTCTTAACGAGCATGCTGCCTTCAAGCATCTGTTTAACAAAGCACATCTTGCACCGCCCTTAATCCATTTAACCCTGAGTTGACACAGCACATGTTTCAGAGAGCCCGGGGTGGGGGTAAGGTTATAGATTAACAGCATCCCAAGGCAGAAGAATTTTTCTTAGTACAGAACAAAATGGAGTCTCCTATGTCTACTTCTTTCTACACAGACACAGTAACAATCTGATCTCTCTTTCTTTTCCCCACATTTCCCCCTTTTCTTTTCGACATAACCGCCATCGTCATCATGGCCGGTTCTCGATGGTCGCTGTCTCCTCGGAGCTGTTGGGTACACCTGTAGAAAGTCTGTCACTTCGCACTTGGAAGATTGCACAGCGGCCAGGCAGAGGCGCTCCTCACATCCCAGATGGGGTGGCGGCCAGGCAGAGGCAATCCTCACATCCCAGACGGGGCGGCCGGGCAGAGGTGCTCCCCACTTCCCAGACGGGGCGGCTGGGCAGAGGCGCTCCTCACTTCCCAGACAGGGCAGCCGGGCAGAGGCGCTCCCCACTTCCCAGCGGGGCGGCTGGGCAGAGATGCTTCTCACTTCCCAGACAGGGCAGCTGCTGGGCAGAGGCACTCCTCACTTCCCAGACGGGGCGGCTGGGCAGAGGCGCTCCTCACTTCTCAGACGGGGCGGCCGGGCAGAGGCGCTCCTGACTTCCCAGACGATGGGCAGCCAGTCAGAGGTGCTCCTCACTTCCTAGACGGGGCGGCCAGGCAGAGACGCTCCTCACATCCCAGATGGGGTGGCGGCCGGGCAGAGGCGCTCTCCACCTCCCAGACGGGGTGGCCGGGCAGAGGCGCTCCTCACTTCCCAGACAGGGCGGCGGCCAGGCAGAGACGCTCCTCACCTCCCAGACGGGGTGGCGGCTGGGCAGAGGCGCTCCTCACTTCCCAGACGGGGCAGCCGGGCAGAGGCGCTCCTCACATCCCAGACGATGGGCGGCCGGGCAGAGGCACTCCTCACATCCCAGATGACGGGTGGCCAGGCAGAGACGCTCCTCACTTCCTAGACGGGGTGGCAGCTGGGCAGAGGCTGTAATCTTAGCACTTTGGGAGCCTAAGGCAGGCGGCTGGGAGGTGGAGGTTGTAGGGAGCCGAGATCATGCCACTGCACTCCAGCCTAGGCAACATTTGTGCATTGAGTGAGCGAGACTCCGTCTGCAATCCCAGCACCTTGGGAGGCAGAGGCGGGCAGATCACTCGAGGTCAGGAGCTGGAGACCAGCCCAGCCAACACGGCGAAACCCCATCTCCACCAAAAATACAAAAACCAGTCAGGCGTGGTGGCGCATGACTGCAATCCCAGGCACTCGGCAGGCCCAGGCAGGAGAATCACGGGAGCCCGAGGCAGGGAGGTGCAGCGAGCCGAGATCACGGCAGTACAGTCCAGCCTCGGCAACAGAGGGAGACCACAGAAAGAAAGAAAGGGAGAGAGGGAGGGAGGGAGGGAGGGAGGAAGGGAGGGAGGAAGGGAGGAAGAAAGGAAGGAAGGAAGACTCTTTTATTTTCTTTTGAGACAGGGTCTTGCTCTGTTGCCCAGGCTGGAGTGCAGTGACATGATCATAGCTCACTGCAGCCTCCAGCTTCTGGGTTCAAACCATCCTCCTGCCTCAGCCTCCTGAGTAGCAGGCACTACAGACATAGGCCACCACACCCAGGTAATTTTTTATTTTTATGTTTTTGGAGAGACAGGGTCTCACAAGGTTGTTCAGGCCTCAAGCAATCCTCCCACCACGGCCTCCCAAAGCACTGGGATTGCAGGCTTGCATCACCGTGCCTGGCCAGGATGTCACTTCTGAAACTGAGGGCTGTGACTTTCACTTTGCATTCTTTCACTCTCATTCTCTTTCTCAGCATTTGCTCTGGGGGAAACAAGCTGCCATGCTGTGAGCAGCCCACTGGAGAAGCCCACGTGACAAACTGAACTGAAGCTTCCAGCCAACAGCCAGGGAACCTGAGTTGGGAAGTGGGCCCTCCACGAGTCAAGCTCTTGGATGACACCTTGACAGCAGTCTCATGAGAGACCCTGAGCCAGAACCACCCAGCTAAGCTTCTCCTGGATTCCTGACCCACAGAAACTGAGAGATAATACATGTGTGTTTTCTTGAGCTGTTTTTTGTTACACGGCAGTAGATAACTAATACGGTATAAATAGTAATGGTACCTGACTGCAGGCTCTCAGTAAGGAGCGAATAGGCAAGCGCAGGTAGAGCTCCTAGCACAGAGCACGGCACATAGTAAGTTCTTACGAATATTAATTACAATAGAGAATATCTGCTTCCCGCAAGTGCCTCTAAAGGAGCGAGTCTGGTGGTATCATTGTGGGCACATAGCAAGTTGTATGTAGAGAGTCGAGGGTGCATGTATCATTTTCCATAGCGGCTGTAACAAATTACCAAAAATGTACTGGCTTAAAATGACACAAATGTATTACTTTACAGCTGGGGAGGTCAGAAATCCAAAATGGATCATACAGAGCTAAAATCAAGGTGTCGGCAGAGATGTGTTCCTTCTGGAGTCTCTAACAGAAAATGCGTTCCTGGCCCTGTCCAGCTTCCACAGGCTGCCCACATTCCTTGGGTCTTGGTGGCACCATTCTGAACTCTGTTTCCATTGTCACATCTCCTCTGACTCTGACACTCTTGCCTCTTTTTTTTTTCTTCTTTTTTTTTTGTGAGACAGAGTCTCACTGTCACTCAGGCTGGAGTGCAGTGACGCGACTCACTGCAACCTCCACCTCCTGTGTTCAAGTGATTCTCCTGCCTCAGCCTCCCAAGTAGCTGGAACTACATGCATGTGCCATGACGTCCAGCTAATTTTTGTATTTCTAGTAGAGACAGGGTTTCACATGTGGCCAGGCTGGTCTCGAAATCCTGACCTCAAGTGATCCGCCCACCTTGGCCTCCCAAAGTGCTGGGATTACAGGCATGGGCCACCACACCCAGCTGCCTGTCTCTTAAAAAGACCCTTGTCATTTCATTGGACCCACCTGGATAATCCAGGGTAAGTTTCCTGTCTCAAGACTCTTCACTTGTTCACATCTACAAAGTCCCCGATGCTGTGTAAGGGAACCTATGCACAGTTCTGGGGATGAGGAAGTGGACATTTTGGGGTACATGATTGAGCCTACCATAACAGGATTCCTCCTTGGTCTCTGAGCCTTCTCTTCCCCAGTCAAGGCTGTTCCCTGTTCCTCCCACCAAAGAATTCCTTTCCAGGCTGGGCATAGTGGCTCATACCTGTGATTCCAGCACTTTGGGAGGTTGAGGGAGGAGGATTGCTTGAGCCCAGGAGTTTGAGACCAGCCCAGACAAAAAGGCAAGACCTTGCCTATACAAATTTTTGTTTTATAATTAGCTGGGCATGGTGATACACACCTGTAGTCCCAGCTACTTGGGAGGCTAAGGCAGGAGGATCACTTGAGCTCAGGAGTTTGAGGCTGCAGTGAGCCATGATTATGCCACTGCACTCTAGCCTGGGTGACAAAGCAAATCTCAGCTCAAAAATGAAATGAAATAAAATAAAATAAAATAAATTGATCTGAAGGCCACCTCTCCTCTCAAGGTTCTCCATGTCTCTGCCACCTGATTCTTTAAAACATCAGGCTGAGATAGGAAATCTTGACACTGTATTCCCACAGGACTGAATTTAATAAGTGAAGATTTTGGTTCTCACACATTCCGCAACACTTCAGGAAAACAAACAACATATCCTCCCCACATCTCTAACACTGATAGCAGCATGAAAATTCCTACTTCCTGTTCCAGTAGCTACGAAGTTGCTCACATGAGAAAAGGTGAATTATTCAGTGCGGTGTTTAACTAGCATTTAATATTTGATCAATTAGCAATTGATCCGTTTCCTAACAGTAGGATGTCCCTGGCTGCTGTCACAGGATGAATGAGGCTCGTTTCAGAAGGTGGCTGTGGGTGTGGGCTCGCGTGTATGCAAGTGTGTGCACATGCATGTGCAAGGGGAAGAGGTGCACACACACACCTGTGACCTGTGCATGAAACACAGAAGCACAAGCAGCCCGTGTTGAGAGTTGAGGAGAGCGAGGAGAGCAGGGCTTCACAACTTAGCAGAGTAGACGCCTCCCTGGGAATCCCCTGCCTTGCCAGCTGAGCACCCACAGGGCCACCTATGCCCAATCAGCTTGCATCACTGCCACCCCCACCATGGCTTTGGCAGCACCATGTGGGCACACAGCACAAAACTAGCATAGGATCAAAGCAACAAGTGATCCAAACTTGGGGGGCTCAGGGAAACCTCTACTCCCAGATGTCCTGTAGGTTTTGACTCAGGACCAGTCCTTGGCTCCCACCTGCAGCCAAGCCAGGACTGTGGAAGAGTTTAAGATCTGATGTAAATGTTCTTTGTCCCAACAAAGGAATTAATGAATCACCCTCAGATGGATTGTCTCCTGCTTTGCCAATTGTCACTTGTAGGAAACTGAATACTTGCTTTGATCTTCAGTTTCTAAAATGAGAATGTTACCTACAAAACCAGTCCCCCCCAGAAAATGAGGTCTTTCCCTCTTTGGTGCCACAAAGCCAATACACAGATCCAAAAGTGAGCATCAAGCAATACAGGCTTTATTTCATGGCTGTAGAACTGAGAAGCAGGAGGGGCCAGGCGCGGTGGCTCACGCCTGTAATCCCAACATTTTGGGAGGCCAAGGCAGGTGGATCACAAGGTCAGCAGATCGAGAGACCATCCTGGCTAACACGGTGAAACCCCATCTCTACTAAAAATACAAAAAAAAATTAGCCGTGCGTGTTGGCGGGCGCCTGTAGTCCCAGCTACTAGGGAGGCTGAGGCAGGAGAATGGCGTAAACCCGGGAGGCGGAGCTTGCAGTGAGCTGAGATCGTGCCACTACACTCCAGCCTGGGGGACAGGGCGAGACTCCATCTCAAATAAAAAAAAAAAAAAAAAAAAAAAAAAAAAGGCCGGCCGCGGTGGCTCATGCCTGTAATCCCAGCACTTTGGGAGGCCAAGGCAGGTGAATCACGATGTCAGGGGTCCGAGACCAGCCTGACCAACATGGTGAAACCCTGTCTCTACTAAAAATAGAAAAATTAGCTGGGCGTGGTGGCGGGAGCCTGTAATCCCAGCTACTCAGGAGGCTGAGGCAGGAGAATTGCTTGAACCTGGGAGGCGAAGTTTGCAGTGAGCCGAGACCGTGCCACTGCACACCAGCCTGGGCAACAGAGCGAGACTCCCATCTCAAAAAAAAAAAAAAAAAAAAAAGAATTGAGAAGCAGGAGCTTGGCTTACAAATCAGCTTCTTGACTAGTGAGGGGTGAGGGAGTTAAAATATAGACACCAGGTAACAAGAACACTGCAAAAAGAGGAATGCTACTCCTGACTCATTAGGGAGAAGCCTGGGCATCACACAGACACACAGGCACACATATGCACATACATACATATATACACGTACTCATGTATATATACACACATACACTTCAGGAATCTCTCCAGTTGAGCACAGCTCATCTTGGGAGCTAAGAGCCAGTAACTACTCTGAAAGAGGCTGTCTCTCACAGGTACCTTCCCAGCTTCAGCTCAAGGCTCCTAGATGGGAAAAGGGCTGCAGAGAGGAGGACTTCTGATCAAACATGGCCCAGGACCTGGCCACATTGTCAGAACCCTCCTGCCACCTTCCCCTATTTCTGAACAACAGCACAAGTCAAATGTGCTGCTTAACAAACCAAAAGTGGCACTTTTATATCAGAATGAGGCTTTATAAGTTTCTGTGCCTCTCCCACTGTGAAGCAATTTTGGCATATCCATTTACTTGTCCCAAACTGTGAAAAGAACTGGGGCTTTTGTTGGTTAGGTATTATTAAACACAACCATCAGCACCTCCCATATATGTCACTGATTGAGATAAATGACACTATTTTTTACTTAAAAAAAAATCTACACTTAATGAAGTCTCTTTGGTGCCAACATCTCAGCAGTAGAGATAAATGAGAAACAATTTCTTGGTATCTGTTATTTTAAATTACAGACATAAACCCTGATGCCATTTTCAAGGTTTATTGAATTTTCATAGACTATCATCAGCTTCGACATTCCACACATGTAGTAGAAACCTGATCTCAGACAGGTTTGATGGCCTCCTTTTAAAGCCTCAATGAGAATGAGCCTCATATCCTAGACTCCCCAAGAAACCTTCCGGAAACTTCTAGGCTCTCTTGGGCAGACCAGGAGAGAGATAGAGAGGGAGAAGAGAAATCTGCAGAAGGAAGAGAAGTGGAGGAGGGGAACAACCAGAGGGGGTCACTGCTTTCCTCAACTCTTTCCCCAGCATGGAGGCTCATCTGTCCCTCTCCAGCCTCCCAGCTGAGCAGGGCATCATTTCTGAGTGGCTGGCTGCCCAGCTGACTTCTCCCAAGCCTCACTTCCCTTTTGGATATAACTTCCATGGAAAACTAGACCCACCAGCTACTTGACTATAGCCTGGAGTAAACACTTAGTGAGAAGGCATTTTGACACCATAAATCCTCATGGAGTCTCTCTCCATCCTCACTCCTGGTCAAGTCCCTCCAGACTCCTGCGACCTTCCTCCAGCTGCCACAGCTGACCTGGCACATCCCACATTCGACACTGTGACCTCCAGGGGTCACCAACAGACCAAGAGAAGCTGGCGCATAAGCTCGTGGATCACCAAGGGAGGTGGTCACAGAGAAGGTACTGCTATCCCTGTGCAGGGAAGCTGAAGCCTAGAGAGGCTAAGCTGACACAGTGTGGCCACACTGTAGGAACACTGGTGGCTTCCACAAACTGGATCACAAATAAATGGAAGGAGGTCACGAAGTTCCAGGCACACTTGCTCAGGAGCAACCTCTGTTCCTAACTATCTGAAGGCCCCAAGCTGCCAGAGCCTGCAGAGACTTCTGGTGTATGGATACGTCTGCATGTACACCCAGGCTCGTGTCTGTAGGTAGGCACACATGCGTGGGTGTGCACGTTCATTTGACAGATGTTTATTGAACACCCTGTGTGTGCCAGATCCTGGGAATTCAGCAGTAAACCAGACAGTGCTGGTCCCCTCAGAATGTATCGTCTAGAACGGGAGATGAATAGTAAACAAATAAATTTAAAAGAAAAGTAGGTAGGAGTCCTAGTCAGAAAGTAATGGCACCATCAGACCTGCTACTTGGAGGGGGGGCTATTGATTAAAGTGTGTGTAAGGCAGTACTTAAGGAGGAAGCAGTGACCTATAAGCCTGAGAGTCAAGGGAAGGGCAAAGTTTCTGGAATGCTGGGAGGGGAACTGCATAGAGAGAACCCCCTGACGGGGGCTGAGGCCTTCCTCAAAGGGACACAGGGATCAATGTATAAACACGCCCATCTCTCTTTCTTTCCACCCTCCAGTCTCTGGCCTGTGCCCGCACTGAATGAACACAACAGGATGCTGGAGGCAAGGGAGCCCCGTGGTGTGGCCCATGCATGGGAGCTTCCCAGCCCAGAGCAGGTGGCGAGGGGTGCAGAGTCTGGAGGGATGAGTGGACAAGCCAGATATAGAAAGACAAAGTATTGCTGGGCAGCATGGGGCACAGCAATAAGATTAATGGGAGGGAGGTCAGGAAGATCTTTCCAAAGAGTGACTTTTTTCAGGAGAGAGGATGAGAAGGATGAGCTGAGGACCCTGGAGGCAGGCATGTGGTGTGTGAGGAGGCTCAGGGTAGGAGAGGGCTGGAGGCAGCGGCAGCAGCAGCTCCCACAGGCCCAGAAGAAGGTGGTAAGAGTCCAGGCTTCATTCTGAATGTGATTAGAGCCCACTGGCAGATTTTAGAAAGAGACAGTAAAAGGGTGACGCCCACAAAGATGTGAATGGGATAGGAGGCAAATGGCATCCAAATTTAGGCAGCTGGAAAGCAGATGGGTAAACAGTGACTGACATAGCCGACCAGGGAAAGCCAAGGCGAAGCCAGCAGTGGAGAAGTCTGGAAGCAGCTGATTTGCAACCTCCTCAATGCCACCCGGGCTCTGGAATGAGAGGCCCAAGTGCCTGTGAGAGGTGGGGGAAGGTGGCACTGCACAATGAGGGGCTGCTGGAAATCTGTGGAAGAAGCACTGGATCCCCAGTGCCCTCCTTGCTTTGTACAGCTGAGAGCTGCTCACCACACCCACCTCCCCACTTGTCTCTGGCAGGCTGGAAATTTGCCCTCAAGACAGGCTGGTCCCCAAGGGCTGCTTTCTGGGACCCCAGGCCCAGCTGAGTGCAGGGCTCATCCTAAAGATAAATGAAGTGGAAGTCTACTTACCAAATGGCAAGAGTCCCAGCCCCTCTCCTTGCCTAGTTCTGATAACCTTGGTGAACTGGCTCACAGGAAGATTACAACCTCAAGAAAAGAGACTTATAGATACAGACAGACAAGGGTCCCCCTTTCTGGTGGGTTGTCATGTCCACTCAGAACCTCAGAATGTGACCTGCTTTGGAAAGAGAGTCTTTGCAGATATATTAATAGTTGAGGTAAAAACCAAGACGGGATCATATTGGGTTAGGCTGGTCCCTAATCCAATGAGAATGTCCCTATAAGAGACAAAAAATGGACAGAGAGAGACATGGGGAAGGCAGTCGTGTAAAGACAGAGGCAGAGACGGGAGTTGTGCTGCCATGACCCAAGGACACTAGGAGCCACCAGCAGCTGGAGGTGGCGGCCCTGCCTGCACCTTGATTTCAGATTTCTGGCTTCCAGAACTGTTTATAGTCATTTGTTGCAGCATTTTTAGGAAACTAAAGATATGATACCCCTCAAATCCAATTACCCTCTGCAGTGAAGCCCACTGCTAGACAGAGCACAGGCGTGCACACACATCACACACACACACTCTTCTATTCCACGCTTTAGTGCCTCACTCTTAAATATATGCACAGCTCTGCAGAGCTGTAATTTAATAGGATACTCAACTTTTTCCCCAAGGGAGTGGGGCACAGAGTTCAGACAGCACTGAGGTCTTCTTCCTCCTTGCTGCGCTGCTGCCTGGGCTTGCTTCTCACCCGAGGAAGGAGAGAGAGCGTGAGCCTCCATAAGCAGCATAGCCTCTCTTCCCTGCCTCCCTCCCGTAAGAGCCAGGGACAGCACTCCCCAGAGCCCAGAAAATCCTGGCAGCCTACCCACTGGCTGCCACCCCTTACTGGCCCATCTCCTACAACACAGCCCCCATCAGGATAAGCGTACCCTGGCAGCTCTGTAGAAGATGCAGAGGCCATACCCTGGGGCCACAGGGATGTGAGGGACCCATGGGGTCTGCAGTATCTGTCCTCACTTTCCCCTCTTTGTGTACACTGCCTGGGCCTAGAGACTGCCCCGTCCTGGACTCACACAGATCCCGGAGGCCTGAGCTCCATCCCCGGCTGAGGGGGTGAAAGGCCATAAGGCAGCCCCTGGCCCTGCCGGAAACCCAGAAAGCCAACGTCACACTCCCCAGGTACTGCTTTTCCTTCCAGAATAAGGTGTAGTGTCCCTTTCAGCATCTGCAAGGTGAGAGGCTAGCCCTCCCTGGCTTCAAGCTTTAGGCTGGAGCCCCTTGTCCTCCAATCCCTTCTCCAACCGCTCAGCCCTCCAGGTGGGGGAGCAGCTCCAACCTCAGAGGGCTCCATAGTTCTGCCTACAGGATGCCACCCCCTTTTGGACATACCCTGCTCAGAATCCCCAAGCAGAGAGACAGAGAAGGAGCAAGTGCAGACACCTTGCTCTGGCCTCTCAGGCCCCCTGTGATCTGACCTCAAAGGCACTGGCCCCTCTTCTTGCACCCCATGCAAGACAGCCTGGATCACTCCTAACGTTGTCGTCTTTTCCTATCTCTGAGCCTTTGTCCTTGCCACTGCCTCAGCCCAGAATGCCATTCCCCTTCCTGTTTATCAACCCTGCCCATACTTCTAGTAAGAAGTGGCTCAGCTCCAGCCCCTACTCTTAGTCCCCAACACCCCTATGATTTTTCTTCGATTCACTGAGATTAGGACTTGCTGAGGCCCAAGCTGTGTACTTGGTCTGGGAACACAAAGACTTAAGGATGAGACTCCTGAAGTGGCGCTTGAACCACATAATCCCATGAGCCGATTCTGTTTCCTCCACTGGACTGTGAGCTCCTTGGGGGAGTTCCCTCCCTGCTCAGCACACACAGCCACCCTCAGGGAAATGCAGCAGCTACTTCATGACACACATGGTGAACACACAGGTGGAAACATGTCCACAGACTCCCTGATGGCCAGCACTACAGTCTGCAGAGACACAGCTGACCGCATGCCCTACTTTGCAGATGGGAAATGGTCCTTTGAGAAAGGAGAAGAGGCTCCTGGGGGGAGAAAAGCCCAAAGCACTCCTCCAAGGATAAAAGGGATGGAAAGTGGAGCCTTGAACTTAGATCCCTTGGGGCCCGGAAGCCTGGGTTCGCATCAAGTCAGGTTCTTCCCTGCCCTGCCCTATCCTCAGGCCTGCAACACACACCCTAATCTCATTCTTGCTCTCAGACTTTTCCCTCCTCTTCTTCATAACTTGCCCCACTTCCTCCAGAAGCCGTCTCCAGCTCACTCAGTCCCAGTCCAGGCAGATCTTGCCATCTGCTCGTCCTTACAGTAAGCTTTCCAAGGCCACAGTCCTGCCCTCAAGTACAGCCAGAGCCTGGGATCCTGTTCATGACCTCAAAAGGTGGCCCAGGCAGTGGGGGAGCTGCTCGCTGGGTCCCTGGGTGACATTTAGCCCGCCTCTCTGATCACTTGTCCTGTACATTAAATATTAGTACCTCGGCTCATCCAGGGTTACTGAGGCCTTTAGGTGTGCCAGGCACAGTGCTGGGTGCTGAGGGAACAGCAGAAACCAGACACGCTGCACCCTGTCCTCATGGAGCCAACAGCCCAGTTTGGAAGATGGCCAGTGAGCAAGTATGCAGAGCTCAGGGTGAGAGCCGGGCCAGTACCATCCTGGGGAAGGTAGCACCATTTCCATTCCATGCTCTGCCTGCTCCCCCAACTTTCTTAACATGGAAGGGAAGTTGTCTGGGACCTGCAAACTACAACCCGTCCCAGCCCCACGCTCTTAGCCAACTTGGGCTCTGGTAGGTGTGGGGCAGGGGGTGGGGAAGGGAGGGGGTATGTATGCATGCGTGTGTGTGTGTGTGTGTGTGTGTGTGTGTGCACATGCATGCATGTGCCTGTGTGCATTTTCAAATACTTTCAACTTTGCAAAATAATGACATCTCTAACATAAAAACAGAAAGCCCATCAGCTGCAATCTGCCATTATATTTTTACTGGGACCCTCGTTGATCAAGAGTGTAATCTGTAAGATAACATAAGTGCTAATAATATTTTCCAGGGAAGCATTTCTCACTGTTAAGAACACAAAATGCTATTAGGGGGTATATTTGTTAACATTGATGAGACATAGATTACCCAGCTTCTGCAACAAGATGGGAACAGGCTGATTCTTTTCCCCTCTAAGCTGTTCAACTTCCAAAAAAAAATTAGCATAATGTGCTGAACGTTCTATACAATTCTAAGTTAATCTTAAAAACTCCTTTGTGATTCCTCTCCCATTAAAGACTTTAAATATCTTTATTCTCTTTTAATAGAGCAATTCATCAATGTATTCCTCTCAAAGGTAAGTAATATAGAAATATTAGATGGGGGCGATGGGTGACATGTTACATAAAAAGGAAGGCTCCATCAGAATGAATACGCTAATTAATACCGTACCTGGCACTTAGTAGGTACTTAATAAATGGATATTATATTACTTGATTGATCGAAATTCCCTAACATTTATAAAATAAAGCTTTTCAATATCATGTCAAGATTTTTAAAATACGAAACGCTTTATCATCATTTCCTGTTTAATTTTGAAGTTGGGTAGATTCTCGAAGCCCTTGCGTGCGACGGGCTTTCCTGCCTGGGCTTGGATCTCAGACTTTTGACAGAGCGCCACCTACTGCCCGAGCCTCACCACCTTCTCGCAGACCCGCTATTAATAAAATCGCCACAAGAAAAAGTAGAAAACAGTGTGTTTTATTCTCAAGCATTCAGCCAGCCCTTACTCTGTATGTGGCAGACCCTGGGGGAACAGACAAGACAAAACGCATCCCTGCTCCGAGATGTTCAATCTGCAAGAGAAATGACCAAGGAGGCAGAGCTAAATGGGGTGACATCCACCATGGGATAAGTCACAAGACAGAAGCCCAGGTCAGCTACAGACCCCCAACACTTCCCACCAGATGACTGGCCATGAGCAGGCAAAGCCCTCTTCCTCATCCACTCAGATCTCTTTACACACCCAACACAGCTGCCAGGTCCCTCCTGGTCCTGACCTCTGGGTGAAGTAACGGTCCTCGGCCAGCACAGTGACGATGGCTGGTCACTCGGGACTTGGATGCTGGCCATTAAAGCTGCACTGTGTGCAGGAAGACTCACAAGGAGCAAACAAAGGCTTTGGCAGCTCTCAACTCAGGCCTGCTCTCTACATCGCAAACAGGTTGTATTCCCCATGTTGGCCCGAGATACAATTAAGCTATTGATCCTTGTGCAAAATGGGCATTGATAAATCAATATGGAGCTGATGCTGTAGATAAACAGCGCGAGTCATCAGCAGGCATGGCATGTGTAAATGATTCGATACAGATTGGTATCTGGGGAAATTCTCCCTCAATATGGCCGAGAATGCCGAACGCTGTTAGGATGTGCAGCAGCTGCTTTTGCCCTAATTTATTGCTGTTGTCTTATTTACTCAACAAGAAGAGACTGAGCTCCTTCTGTGAGCTTGGCCATGTGCTCAGTCTGGGGACACAGGGACAATTGAGCCTCCCCATCACCATCCCCCATGAGTTCATGACCCAGGGCAGAGCTGGTAGAATTCTCCCTGCCCTCTGGAAGGTGGAAGACCTGAGTCAGGGTGGTCCCCTGCTGAGTACTCACTATGTGCCAGGCCCTGGGCTGGACATGCTATAGACAAACCTCTCAGTCTCCTGATGAGGACTGAGATAGAAGTTCCTGGCTCAGTTTTACTACTGAGAAAATTGAGGTATAGAGAGGTTAAGCAGTCACATAGCTAATAAGTGGTAGAGTGGGGATCTGAACCCAGTCTGCCCAGTTCTAAAGCCTAGATTCTTCCCTTACCTGGTTTATACAACGAATATCTTAGATCTGATCATCAAACAGGCTATTTCCACAACCAAAAACCATTCTCTCATCACAGGCAGCCAAGTGGCATTGACCACATGAGAATGGGGACACCTAAGAGCAGCCTTGCCTGACCTTGGAGGCACAGGTTGGAGGCCAAGGCCCCTAGCAGGTGGGTAGAGCAGGAATACAGTCACAGACACACAACCACAAACCACATCTCCCTTGCTAACAGAACCCTGGTGCTGTCCAGGCATCCATGCAGCAAGAAGGCTGGCCTGTATCCCAGCCCCACAACAGGATGTGAAGCTGGATTAACCTTAAACCAATTAGGGCAGTTGCATTCCTTTTGCTGATGACTAGCAAAATTCTGGCCAAGGAGACACTGCTCAGGAGAACAAGTCTGCTAGAGAGGCTCCTGGGAACAGAATGGTTTCTTAGCTCTTAAATAGAGACACAAGAATCATTTTTCACCCACCATATTGGCAAGAACCCAAAAGGTTGAGAACACATGCTACCGGTGTGGGGAAACAGGCCACTCATACGTCGCCGATGGGAGTACAAACTGATATCAATCCCCATCTCCCAAAAAAATTCCTCTAAAATAGCAGTATCTTAAAGTGACAGAAACCCACAAGGACAAAGAAGAGAGAACATGGTAGAAAACAAGTTATATCAACAAGACTTTGGATGCTGAAAAGCAGACGCAAGAGCTGACTTAGCAGATCAGAAGGAGCTGAAACCTAAGCCTCAGTTTGCATGAGTGAGTCCATTCAGAATCCAGAAAACCCAGGAATTGAGAGAGCACCAACTTCCTCAGAAGGCAGAGACATAGGTGGGGCTGAAAACAGGAGGAACTTAACACTCAACAATAAGAAAATAAACAACTCAACTGAAAAGTGGACAAACGACCTCAACAGACACCTCATCAAAGCTATGCCAAATAAGCATATAAAAAGGTGCCCTACATTATATGTCATTAAAAAAAATTACAAATTTGGCCAAGCACTGTTATTACTTGGCTCTTGCCTGTAATCACAGCACTTTGGGAGGCCAAGGCAGGAGGATCATTTGAAACCAGGAGTTCAACACCTGCCTGGGTAACATGGTGAAACCTCATCTCAAAAAAAGATTTTTTTTTAAGTAGCCTGTAGTCCCATCTACTCAGAGGACTGAGGCAAAAGCATCATTTAAGCCCAGGAGGCCAAGGCTACAGTGAGCCCTGATTGTGCCACTGCACCCCAGCCTAGGTGACAGAGCTAGACCCTGTGAAAGGAAGGAAGGAAGGAAGGAAGGAAGGAAGGAAGGAAGGAAGGAAATTCCAAATTGAATCAATGAGATACCACACACCTATTTGAATGGCCAAAACCCAGAACATTAGCACCAATGCTGGTGAGGATGTGGAGTGCCAGGAACTCTCATTCATTGCTGATGGGAATGCAAAATGCTACAGCTACTTGGGAAAACAGCTTGGCAGTTCTTACAAAACAAAACAAAACAAAAAACAAAAACGAACAAAAGAACATTCACAAAAAAAAAAACGGTCTTGGAAATTAAAAATATGAGAGCAGAAATGTTTTTATCAATAAAATGTTTGAAAAATAGAGAAAATCTCCATTAAAATTAGGGGCAAAGTAGACAATAAGAAAGATAAGTAAATTCAAGGATAAATCTAAGAGGTCCATCATTCAACTAATGAGTTACAGAAAAAGAAAATAAAACAGAGAGGATGCAGTTATAAAAAATAATATAAGACACTGCTCCAGAACTAAAGGGACTGTATTTCAAGATTTTATGGATTCTCCAAGTGCATGGCACCATGAATTATACCTAAAAAAGAAAACAAAAATATCCCAAGGAACATAATCATGAAATGCAGAACACAGAAATGGAGAAAAATCCTAAAAGCTTCCAAAGAAAATAAGCAGCTCAAATACAAACCTTGGAATCTGAAAGGCATCTGATGTCTCAACAACAATGGAAACTAGAAGACAATGGAACAATGCCTTCAAATTTCTGAGGGAAAATGATTTACAATCTAGAGTCGGCCATACTGTCAATCAAATATGAGGCTAGAATAAAGACATTTCAGATAAACAAGGTCTCAAACACACTTACCACCTTTTCACCCTTTCTCAGGAAGTTACCAGAAATATTTTCCCCCAAAGAAGAGAAAGATCCAAGAAAAAGCATGATCCGAAAAAAATGGAATCCAGGGTCCAGGGAATGCCCTGGTTGATGGTGACAAAATTCTAGATTGAAAACCTGCTAGAGAACAGCAGTCTAGACAGAGGTGGGGCTGGGAGGCTCTGCAGGGCTGTCTGAAAAATAAGAAAACAAATAAAACAAGTAGACTGCCTGAGGTGTTTGAAATATTCAGAGATTTTCAGTTCTGTCATGGAGTTTGGGAAATAATTTGTAATTGGTACCTATAAAACAAACAAATGAAAAGAAATGGGGCAATTATTAACTTCTGAGAAAATTAAAAGTTGTACAAGAAAGAAAAATATAATCACAGTACTACATATGGCTCGCTGTGAATAATGGCTACATAGTCATAATAATGTAAACATTGAATATTGACTTAGCCCAAAATGAAGATTTAACATTCTCAAGAGGCCAGGGGAAGGGGAAGATTGCGGGGGCCATGGGGGAGGCTGTGCAGGTAATACCAGTAAAAAAGCCTTCCCTTCCACAAAGGGAAGTCAATTGATCATCTCTAAAGTGGAAAATAAAAAAATAAAAACATAGCAGTTACATCAAGTTTCATAAAAATACAGAGAAAATACAAGAAAAACTCAAACACTGAAAACAGGTGAAACCCGGGAGATGGGAGCAGGGGGTGAGGGGACGGGGCACTACCATCTTTCATTACAAGCCCAGTAGTTCTATTTTGGTTTTGTTTGTTTGTTTGTTTGTTTTCAGTATTCTGTTTTGATACCTATATACACAGAACCTGGATAGAATATTAAAGAAGAAAAAACCAGAAAGTGTTTGCTGATCTCCTGGCATGCAGTCAGATCTGCATCCCCTTCGAGGCTGAGAAACAGCCAAGGACCCAGCTCCTGGCCTCTGGAACTTATTAGTCAGCTGACAGACAAGACCAAGAAAGAAAACAGGCTGTTTCAATGGTGCACTGTTACAGTGCTACGGCAAATATCATGCCTCTTTGCTCATGTATGCAGGTATTTCTCTAGGCCAGAGATCTTGAAAGCTGAGTGGTTGGGACAATGGTGTACTTGATTTAAATTTTAATAGATACTGCCAAATTGCCCCCTCAAAGGCTGTACCAGCATACACTGCCACCAGCAGGGATGCAGAGTTCTCCCTTATCCTTGCTGACACTTGACAATAGCAATCTTTTTAATGTTTGCCAAACTGCCAGGTGAAAAAATTGCATTTCTTCTTTTTAAATTTGCACCTTCATGATTACTGGCATACGTTCTATAGTAAATACACAGGGAATAGTGTGCAACAGTTAAAAAGGGTAAGGTGTTGGCAGGACAATATCTCCAAAATGTATTGTTGTTATAGGACCAACAGGTTCCTGTGTTTGCTGCTCAGTAACAGACCAATATACTGAGACAGTAGGGTTTGTGGCAGAGAAAGAATTTAATGATCACAGAGCACTGAGTGAGGAGATGGGAGGAGACCCTCAAATCCATCTCCCTGAGGAGTTCTGGGCTGGGGTTTTTAAGGGGTTTTTTATGGAGGGTGAGGGGCTGGAAAATTGTAGTCATTGATTTGTCAGGGTAAGGGGGATTGAATCATCCAGATGAGGAAATTGCATACTTTGATGAGTCAGCTCCTGTGGGGCTCTTCACACCAGCTGACATCAGTATTGAAAGAATATCTCATTGAAAGAATATCTCAAATGGAAAACAATGTTTTATAGTGTTCAAGTTGTTGTCTGCAGAACAGTTAAGAGGAACTACACTCTTGTAACAGGATCTACATCATTCTAAGTCAATTGGCACCAAACAACTATGAAGAAGCAGGAGGTCAGAGAACAAGCTGACCTCATGATCAATCCTGGGTGTGCTGCAAGCTTGGTTTATTGTCATTTCTCCCTCTCCCTTCTTTTTTTTTCCTTTGAGACAGAGTCTCACTCCATCACCCAGGCAGGAATAAAGTGGCATCATCTCAGCTTGCTGCAATCTCCACCTCCCGGTTCAAGCAATTCTTGTGCCTCAGCCTCCTGAGTATCTAGGATTACAGGCACACATCACCATGCCTGGCTAATTTTTTAATTTTTAGTAGAGACGGGGTTTCACCATGTTAGCCAGGCTGGTCTCGAACTCCTGGCCTCAAGTGATCTGCCCTTGAGATTACAGGTGTGAGCCCCTGCACCCGGCCCTCTCCCTTTTTTCTTAATTTTATAAGGTTTATAGGCACAATTTTATTGTTCAGTGAAGCAAACAAGTTGCAAACAATATGTAGCAAATGATACGACTTATGTTCAAAAACACGAAAACCTGTGTGTGTAAATTCTTACGAAGAGGTATGAAACAAGACAGAACAAAGCATAACTGTGGCCCTCTGTGAGAGGGAGAGAGAGAGTCAGACTGGTGGGTGAGAGGCAATGTTCTCAAGAGAGACTTTCACCTTCTCCATAAGGATAGATGGAAGCAATTATACGGAAGGAAAATAATTTTCCTTCTACTTTTGTGAGTTCTTAGCTAGGACTGCTGTAACAAAAGACAGATCAGCAAGAGAAAAACAAAAAAAAGCTTATCAATATGTATATTTCATATACACATGGGCAAAAAGTCAGGGAAAGAGTAACTCTCAAAGAGGTGGTTTCAACTCTGGGGTATATAGCATCCTAACAAAGAACAATAAATTTTTAGAGACATGACAAGACAAAAGAAAAAAAACCTTGAGTCTCTAAAGGAGGCAAATTGTGGGAAGGCAAATATATGGGAAACAAGTGGTAAAGACTAATTACTAAATTTGGGTACATAGATTCCTCTGGTGCAGTCTCCTGACTAATCAAGGTCTAAATTGTATTTTGTGATCAACCTTTGTCCTTCCTGGTAGAGAGGGGAGGAGGGACACCTTTGTAAATGTATGTCCTGTGTTAGGCAAAGATGAGGAGGGCAGAGAAACTGTTTGTGTAAATTCATGGGAAAAGGTATGAAACAAGACAGACCAAAGTGTAACTGTGGGCTTCTGTGAGACGGGGAGAGAGTAAGACTGGTGAGTGACAGGGAATATTCTCAAGGGAGACTTTCACTTTCTCCTTAAGGATAAATGGAAGCAATTGTAGGGGAGGAAAAATAATTTTCTTGTATCTGCTTCATCTCAATTGCCTTTAGCTCAAAATAATCCTTATGCCAAAGTGGCATTTTGGTGGCTGGCATATTCTGTGACCCTTTGCAACATAGCATAGGAATCAAATGCATAGGCTCTGGCCTGCCTGGGTTCTAGGTTCAGCTGTGTGTTCTCAGGCAAGGGTGTCCATGTTCTCGTGTATAAAAGAGAAATAATACCTACCTCGTGGGATTATATGGGGATTAAATGTAGTATACATACACATATTCAAACACACAAATGTCTAAAATTAGGACTATATGTTAGTTTTTATCATTCATACTCTGATTTCTTATCAAGAATTAATATACTTATCACGTAATCTTTTCATCTTAAAGAAGGAAAAGAAAAAAGTGAAACCAAGTTCAGACAAAATATAGCAAAGAGCTCAACCAAGCCAAAAGTTCACACCCACAGTACCAATCCAAAAAGAGCCTGTTCAGCATGGCCACCACCACCAGCTGCCAGAGAGGACCAAGGTGAAGGGCCCAGCACCCTAGGGTTGGGGTCCAGAGCTTGGCCCTACCCCTTACCAGTTGGGTGACCCTGGCCTACACATTCCCTCTCAGAACCACAGTCTCCTAACCTGTACAATGCGGGGTGGGGAGGCAGGGCAGAGTGAGAGTCTAAATGGTCTTAGGAGTGTGGCTGCCTGCCATGTCAGCACCTCCCCTTCTCAGCCTGCATCTCTTCCTGCACACCAGCTCCACACCCACCTGGGTAACGTGAGCCTTGGGGTTCCAAGTTCAGAGCCTGTGGCAAGAACAGGTCCTACTGTCAGAGGCATTTGAACAAGAGCAACTCCGTCTTGAATAGGGGCTGGGTAAAATGAGACTGAGACCTACTGGGCTGCATTCCCAAAAGGTTAGGCATTCTTAGTCACAGGATGAGACAGGAGGTCAGCACAAGATACAGGTCACAAAGACCCTGCTGATAAAACAGGTTGTGGTAAAGAAGCTGACCAAAACCAAGATGGCAATGAAAGTGACTTCTGGTCATCCTCACTGCTCATAAGCAGTTATACTGCATTAGCATGCTAAAAGACACTCTCACCAATGCCATGACAGTTTACAAATGCCATGGCAATGTCCAGAAGTTACTCTATATAGTCTAAAAGGGGAGAGACCCTCAGTTCCAGGAAATCCTGGTCCCTTTCCTGGAAAACTCATGAAAAATCTACCCCTTGTTTAGCATATGATCAAGATATAACTATAAGTATACTCAGTCGAGCAGCCCATGCCACTGTTCGGCCTATGGAGTAGCCATTCTTGTATTCCTTTATTTTCTTAACAAACTTGCTTTCCTGTTACTCTAGGGACTCACCCGAATTCTTTCTTACATGAGGTACAAGAACCCTCTCTTGGGGTCTGGATTGGGATCCGTTTCCGGTAACACTGCCAAACCAGGTCTTCCTGGAGCCCACAACTCTAGACGCTCTGTCCCCTCCTGCAACCATCTGGAGGCCCCAAGGTCTCTTACCTCCAGGCCCAGACACTGCCTCCCTTTCTGCTGCAAAAGCCAAGCTGTCTACCCCAAAGGTGGGAGGATGCAACTGTTTCAACAAGCCCCACATTCACAGCAATGCTCTGTCGATCCCAGCATGACCCTGGGCCCTCAAAACAACTACTTCTCTGCCCACATCACACATAGTCTCTGGTGTGGGCCAACTGGGCAGCTGCCACCCCTTGACCACATATCCCTGCCACCCCCACCCACCTCACTGAGAACCAGGCTCCCTGTCCTGGCTGCAGCCAGAGTGGCATTTCAGAGCCCACAGGTGCCCATTCAGTCTCCCTCTCCTTAAAACACTGATACAAAGGCACTTTTATCTTGCTTTGAAAGCTTTAAAAGTCTTTGCAGTGGTTTCCCATGTTCTGGTCTCTTTCAGATGATAATAGTTTTAATTATAACAATCATTATAGCATAATACCTTCAATTTAGGCAATCAGTTCCATTCGGAATATTCAAATGGGAGGAGGGTGAGCTTGTGTTTCAGAAAGAAGCGCCTAGCCTATTGGCAGGTGCCAGCTACGGCCCCGGGGGTGGGAAGCCAGCTCTGAAGGGAAATGCCTGGACCTCCCAGGAACAGACCTAGAGGGAACACCCCATTCCAGCCCAGGAATCCCCAGGCCTCCACAGGAATAGCCCTGCAACCCTCAGAGACCTGTCGCAGCTCCCCATTGCCCAGAGAAGAAGGTGCTAATTCTTCAGTCCTCTCGTATCAAGCTCCAGGCTCATTTGCATAGCATTGCTGCACACACCTACAGCAGGCCCAGCCGTCTAGTGTTTCCACACTTGAGACACAACTTCCCCAGCCTGGTGCTAGGCACCGTGCTGGCAGCGTGACCAGTTGTCTGTCTAAATTTTAGCTCTGAAAGTCCTGTTACAGTAAGTAGTCAGGCAGACATGGGCAGGGCAGGAGAGAGCCCCCAACACACCCCCACCCTCGCCTCTGTTCTGCAACCAGGAATGTCAGATGACCATCAAGTGGTGGGTCAGGCAGCTGTTACACTGTCTCTCTAAAACAGTAATTAGTCATAGCTGGCAACAGGGAAAGGCAGTCTCCCAATAGACAGAAAAAATCCTGAAACTGGTAATCAGCAGCTTCCCAGTAAGATCTCAGAAGTTGGGTGAGTGGGCTCAGCATGCACACTAAGAGGCAAAATGGCGGAGTTTAACTGGTCTATGACTTTCTAGGAACGTTCCACTGGTAAGGGAATAACGCCTCAAGTGAGCATGCGTACAACTCCAGTAAACACACTGTACACGCTCCCCTCCCAAGTACTGGCAGGCCGCTGCACATGCGGACAGCCTACCCCAAGGAAAGAATAAGGGGAGAAGGAACACAAGACCCTGGAAGCATGACAACATATAAAACCCCACGTCAGGTTAAACTACACACTTGATCTTGCAAGTCACCCCTTTCACCCTCTTCTAAGTGTACTTTCCTTCCTTTCATCCCTGCTCTAAAGCTTTTTAATAAACTTTCACTCCTGCTCTAAAACTTGCCTCACTGTCTCATTCTGACTTATACCTTTCTATCAAAGTCTTTCTTCTGAGGAGGCAAGAGTTGAGGTTGCTGCAGGAACTTACACATTCACCACCAGTCACAGTCCTACCTGCCAGGACATCCCTCAGTCCTCATGCAAACCCGGATGCTTGGTCACCCCACCTGCTAGGCACTGGGCATCCAGCAGTAAACCAGACTTGCTCCCTGATCTGACCAAGCTCTTGGTCTAGAAAGGAGTGAGAGCTTACAAAATATTAATAGGGATTGTTTTCGTGCCATGGGGCTGCCATAAAAAGTCACCACAAACTGGGTAACATAAAACTACGGACACTTATTATCTCACAGTTCAGGAGGCCAGAAGTCCAAAATCAAGGTGTTGGCAGGGTTGGCTGTTTCTGGAGACTCTGAGGGAGAATCTGCCCAGTGGCTCTCCCAGCCTCAGGTGGCAGCTGGCAATCCTTGGCATTCCTTGGCTTTTAGATGCATTGCTCCAATCTCTGCCTCCACCCTCACAGGCCCTTCTTCTGTATGTACTCTGTGTCTTCACCTCTTCATATAAGACTAGTCATTGGATTCAGGCCCACTCTAAACCAGGATGATTTCATCTCAAGATGGTAACTAATTACATCTGAAAAGACCCTATTTTAAATAAAGTCACGTTCTGAGTTTCTGCATGGACATGAATGTTGGGAGGATACTATTAAACCACTACAGGAATGAACTCAATAAATGCCAGCTGGGGTTTGTAAAAATCCCATGGGACCTCCAAGGCTGGAGGGAGAGGAAAGTCTCATTCATTCATTACCCAGATATTCCCTAGCACCTACTACACACCAGGCACTGTTCTACACTCTTGGGAAACATCAAGGAATGAAGTCAGGAACCCTTGCTCTTGTGGAGCTTCTAGGGAGTGCAAAAGGAAGGACTGGGAAAAAGTCCCAAAGGGTGGCTGGAATTTGGCAGACATAGAAGAATGAGGGGTTGTTCTGGGTCAAGAACAGCCCTTGGTGGGTTGCAAACTATGCGAGCCTGTGTTCTTAGACATAGACACAGGAGAGAGGGCTGCTGTTGGTAAGCCTCCCTCAGCCCAGCAACGGCTTCAGACCAGACCCTGAGAACGGTGGCAGAGATCATGAGTGGCTGGGGGTGTCTTTGGGGCCACAGCTCTATCAGTGCCCCCACTCTTGATAGGACAGTTGCCCATGTTTCCCTGCACATGTGAAGCGCCACACAAACATAGCTAGTCCTCTAGCTCCGTCCTTGCACAGACCCTTGCCCTGAGCCTCTCCTTCCCATGGAGGAACTCTAGAGCTACAGGTAGGGAACCACTGCCCCAAAGCTTGGCCAGCAAGAGGAGAAGCCTGGACTTGGTCTCGAGAGCTGTTATCTCAACCTCAGCTCATGGAACCTCGTGAGGATCTAACAGAAGTGGGACCTTTCCCTAAGGTTGGGCCATTCTGCTGAGGCATTCAAGGTTTTAATGATCACTGTCCTGAGAGTCACGGAATCCAGCTCAATGCCTGCCTCCTCCAGGAAGCCCTCCTGGACTTACCCCTCTTGTGAACACCTATCATACTTTCTTATAGCTGGTGTGTTCACATCCTCTCACCTCCTCAACTGTACCATGGAGGTATTTCTATTTTCTTTTTTTGTTTGTTTGTTTGTTTTTGAGATGGAGTCTCACTCTGTCACCCAGGCTGGAGTGCAGTGGTGCGATCTCGGCTCGCTGCAAGCTCCGCCTCCCAGGTTCACGCCATTCTCCTGCCTCAGCCTCCCAAATAGCTGGGACTACAGGCACCCGCCACCACGCCCGGCTGATTTTTTGTATTTTTAGTAGAGACGGGGTTTCACCATGTTAGCCAGGATGGTCTCAATCTCCTGACCTCGTGACCCTCCTGCCTAAGCCTCCCAAAGTGCTGGGATTACAGGTGTGAGCCACCATGCCCAGCTGGTATTTCTATTTTCTAGGAAAATGTGTGTTGTACATTCCCAGCTCTCGACCCACTCTGGTCACTGAGACCCTGGCCTTCTCCTGGAGCTTGACAAAATAACACACCAACCAAAATCTTCCCCCAGAGAATCCCACTGTAGGGCAGAATCAGACACTTCCTCAGTCCCCATCTCCTTCTGCTTTAAGTGTGTGACAGTCACCAAGTTATGCACTGTAGCCTTTTCCTTTTCAACACCAAGGGGCACTTCCTTCTGTACTACAAATAGTCGTTCCCCACTAAGAGTCAGTGGTCCTGGGACTCATAAACTTCAGGTCATTACTAACCAATGTGTGTCTTTCCTCGGGGCTATAATCTTTCCAATAAGCCATGGCTGGGCTGCAGTTCCCTCAAAGATTAATGTGCATGCCAATGCTAATGCATTCACCAATTGTCCTGTCTCAGAAGGCGTCACACATACACACACACACACACACACACACACACACACACACATACACACACAGCTCTAGGGCTGGCTGGTCTCTCATCCTTCCTGCACACCACACCACCTCGGAAGGTGATGTGGCCAGGCTCTTCCCTCCCTCTTCAAAGTCTGGAAACGGACTGTGCAAGCCAACAGATGCTTGTGCTGCACCCAGACTGCCCTTGACTTCAATGCCCTCCCCAAATACCAAATGTCAATTTCCCAAGCTGATGGGGGCACAGAAGTGGGGGCAGGGCTCATCCCCTCACTGAGGAATTTCCTCAGAAAGAATGATCACTCTTGCCATTTCCCTGCTCAGAAATCTGGCCCAGCCTCCTGTGGCTTTTAGGATAAGGACTCACAGCTCAACAGCCCCAGGGGCCTCCGTGAAGGTGAGCTGTACCCCACTGGCCTGGCCTCCCAGCCTCAGCCCCAAGGAAGCCGTTAGCTCCCTCAAGGCACCCAGCTCTTCCCTTCTTGTGGTTTCCCCCACTCCCAGCTCCCCTCCTGGAACTCCCCTCTCCCTGCCGCCTGCACATGGCCAACTACTTCCCAGGTCCAGTGTGAGCATGCCCTCCGCTGCCAAGGCTTCCCTGCTTCCTGAGTAATCCTAGTTTACTTTTCTTCTGTAAGAGGCAATAACACACAGTGCTGGACAGCAGGGGATCTGGAGTCAGACTTCCTGGTTCAAATCCCGGTCTGTTGCTCACCTGCTTGTGGACCGTGGATAAGCTGCTTAATCGCTCTCTACCTGTATCCTCGTCTTAAAGCAAAGCTAATCCATAGAGTTGCTATGAAGATAAAAGGACAATGTCGTCCCCTCTAAATGTTTTGAATTGTGTGGGGCACGCAGCGAATAACCAGTGTCAGCTGTTGTTATCATTACCATCACTTCTAATCTCGCATCACTCTCCTTCTTTTGCCTGCCCAGCCCTTCTCGCACGTGGTGGCTGCGCATCTACTTGGTGGTGATTTGTTGACTGCTGGGATGTCAGCTCCAAGATGAACAGAACCTGAAGCCTGGCATGGTGCCTGGCATGCACAGGTGCTCTGTAATTAACACCTGTTGATTAAAAATCATCATCACTGGCTCTTCTGACTTTAAGCGTCACTGTCCTGGTGGAAGAGGGCTGTAGAGGAGAGAAGTGGTCAGGATAGATGCCGAGTGATGCGCTGAAGCCCCCACCGGGGACACAGATGGACAGGGCACCCTGGGAGCCGCTCTGCGGGCAGCTGGTGAAGCCAGTGCCTAATCAGGCTGCCCAGGCCTGTGGCCCAGCTCTGCCTCTCCTTCCTGTGTGGCCCTGGACAGGTTTTCTAAACTTTCTGACCCTCTGTTTCTCCACTCATAAAACTCCAGTGGGAGGCCAAGGCAGGAGGACTGCTTGAGCCCAGGAGTTTAAGGACTGCTTGGGCAACATAACAAGACCCTGTCTCTTAAAAATAAAAATAAAACACACACACACAAACAAACTCCAGCAGAAAAGCTTTGGTATCTAGTTGAGGCAGCATCCTCTACAGGAAGGGCAGAGAAAGGCCGGCCCCTCTTTCTGCCTGCTTCTGGCATGGCTCCTGGCTGTCCCCAGCATCTGCATTGCCATCTGTAGAGTATGTAAATCCATACAATTAATACTCTTCATAATCTTACCGCAACCATTTTTCTTCACGAATGTGTTCAGTTTCAGGAAACGCGGCATGTCCTGGAGGCACATTTACATTTCATTATCTCTAAAAGCTTAACTACCGTGACTAATGCTGGATTAATAAGCAGCCCCTTCGAACGTCGAACTACTTTAAACACCACCACTTACGCAGTCTCACTGGTGGTGGAAGAGGGTGCTTTCAAACAGCCGCTGTGGCTGAGAAGGGGTCAGTCCAGGAAGCTAAGCAGGTCTAATTTCTGGATCTCCCTTGAGAGACTTTATATTATTCTATCCAAGCAATTAAATCTCAGCCAAAGCTATCAATTTCCCGATGAGCCTGGGACTGAAAGAAAGTCCAGGTGGAGTCCATGTGGGTCACCTGGAGTGTTCCCAATCCCCGCACCAAGGGAGAACCCTGACTGGCCTGGACTCCAAGCACAACACCTAGCTATGAGGCTGTGTGTGCTAAGCACCAGGACCAGACAATGCTCATTTGCAGCTGGAAACCTCATGTACAGCCTTTAAAAGAAGAAAACAAGCCACCAAGTTGAGAGACATCAAAGTCAGACTCCGGCTGAAAGCCCTGGGACTGCCTCCCTAAGGGACAGCACACGAACCACCCCACTGAGGCAGCCGCAGGGAGCACACTCCCTCTGGCCCTTTACCAGCAATCCTGGCACCCGGAAGTGCATGCTTTGTAAATTCCAAGCACAACCATTTTGGGCAGATATTCGTTATTATTGTATTTTTGTGACACAAGTGAGTGCCGTGTCACAGTCAACTATCAGTGCAGGTAGACAGTGGTGTCCAGAAATCTCTCCCTCCAGACTTTCATCCCACCTGACACCTCAGACCCCCAGCATTTTAGCTCATGCAACTGATTTGGGTTTGGCTGCTGCAATGTCTCTGGTTTGTTCAAGATGCTTCTCCCACAAGGATGTGTTCTGCTCTGAGAACTTGGTCACAGATGCTGGTTGATGCAGAGGCCTTCATCGAAGGGACTGGGCTGCCCCTGCCCTCCAGCCACCTCTGCCCACTCTATGCATCACTGGCTAGAGACCCCTTGCTCACCTCCCACAAATGCTCTGGGCCTACCCGTGGCCTTCAGCATAGCAGACCCAGCCCAACTTGTAGGGAGTGGGCCCACCCTCAGCTTCAGGACTGGCATCCAGGGAGGAGGCTTGCTCAAGGAAAGCCCATCCTCTGCTCCCTCTGCTCCAGGAGAAGGGGCCGAGGCCCTCAAAGTTCTGGCTCTCTGACTGTCATCCACCTCAAACTGCAAAGAGGCCCAGAAGCTAAGCCATCTACTGTTTACCAACTCTCCTCCCCAGGACCATCCTGGATCTCCCTGGGCTCCGGACAGCAGCGCTAGCACCCATTGTGACACAGGTTACTGCTTGCTCAGTGGTGCCTAGAGTCTGCATGCTCATCTCCCCGGCAAGTAGGGTGAAGCAGGGCAGGCCAGAGCACCTGTGGGATCTTGCCCCAGCTCCATGGGGTGACAACTCCACCTCTGTACCAGGAATTATTCTGATCCCTATTATCCTTCTTCCACGTATCCCACCAAAAACACCCATTTCTCAGGAAGGGCTAAGAGTCCTGGACGACACTTCATGGGGAGTCAGAATTCCCCATCATGCCAGGTGACTGACTAGCAGAACCTGCTGCTGAAGGTCACATGGACAGGGAGGCATGCACAGAACACAGGAGGTCTCATCTCCTCCTCCCCCACACCATGACCCTAGAAAAGCTCACGAGGGCAGGAGCCAGCCCTGCCGGCTAGACTCCCCCTGCAGCTCCTCAGCCAGAAACAGGGAGGTTAATAAAACACAGGACGAGGGTCTCCCGAGGGACAACTCTTGGCTGCCTCTGAAGTTTACAAAAGCAGCGCTTCTGATGCCTCAAAGGCTGCCTGCCACGGCTTCCTGTGAATTATTACACTGCAGGTTTTCAGAACATTCTGACTGCAATGCCTTGGGAATGAGAGTAATTGTATTTTATCTGTTTGCCAAGAGTTTTCAGTAAACTCCTTTAATGTACTGTAAAACTCACAGCCCCAAATAGCAATGTGTGCCTTCTAGCTTATGCACCAGGCACTGAATAAACACAGGGTGATATATGGGGCTGGAGAGGACACTATTCATATATTTACACCCTTTACCAAAACACACATTCATCTTAATGACATTACTTACTACATAGCCCAACAAATGGAGCCCTCTGAAGGTCACAGTCACAGGCGTTCCTCCAAGATGGCCTCCTCAGCTTGCAGAAGACTTGCCCCAAGGCAGTCCTTGTTCCAGGGATTCCCCACCATAGAAAATCAGATGTCCCCCCGCTTCCCTGTGAGTCAGAACCTGGGGCAGGAAAGCCACCCAAGGCCTCTCCTCCTCATCCCCCAACGACAGGGCCCAGACAGCTGGTGGACACCAATTACCACCCCGTACACCCAGACTTCAGCAACAGGCTACCCTCAAATTGGCCTCAACTCCTTCTTCAACCAGGACAAGGGGGAGGAGAAATAGGAGGAGGAAGATGAAGAAGAGGAGGCAGAGAAAGGAGGGAGGGAAAAGCGGGGGGAGCTGACGGGGGAGGAGGGTGCCTCATTGTGAGGAGGAGGAGCTGGGGGGAGGCGAGGGCAACAGAGTGGACTTGGTCTTCGGGCCACACCCCCTATCCTCCAAAGTGAGGGTCCAATCGAGACCAGGTGTGGAAGAAAAGCCACCCAAGGGAAAGGCCTTGGGCAATGGTGTGCGAGGCCAGAGGCCGGATCTGGGGTTCCATCCAGCCACCAGCCCCTAGGGAGAGCTTGACAAGGGTTTCCCCTTATGCCCCCTCAGTCAATTTCCCCATCTAAAACAGAGGAAGTCAGACCCAGTGATCTCTTGAGGCAGACTTCACCCTCACGGCCACCATGGTCGGTCCAAACCACCACTGTCTCTCTCCCTCTGTGTGCCTCTGCCTTCCCACAATGTATTCTCCACACAGGAGCCACAGCAGGCCTACTAAAATGAAAATCAGGTCATGTCACCCCTCTGTTTGGAACCCTCCAATGCCAACCTCTCAACCAAGACCTACCAAGGCCCTCCAGGATCTGGCCCCCAGCTCATACCCTCTTCCTCACTTCCCCCACTCCAGCCACACCAGCCTCCTCCCGGGCTGGACCTGGAAGCCACCGAAGCCCTGGGTCTTTGTATCTGCTGGTGCCTTGCCTGGAATGCCCTTCCCTGAGATATCTCCAAGGCCTCCTTCCTCTCTGCCTTCAAGTCTTTCCTCAAGAGGCCCCTTCTTTACAAAGCCTTCCCTGGCCAGTCACCCTGAGGCCCCACCTTCCCTTCCTGCCACTTCTTCTCTCCTAGCACTTATGATTTCCTGCTGTACCATACATTTTACTTACATTGTCCATTGTTTCTTCCTGTCTACTCTCTAAGAAGAATATAAGCTCTGTGAGGGCAGGGATTTCATCTGTTTCGTCCATTGCTGTACACCAGTGCCTAGAATACCTGGCACAGGGCAGGCACTCAATAAATATCTTCTGAATTTTTAAGGACCAAGTCCTTATCTAACCCATCCAGAAGCCTTGTTTTATATATACATACATACATGCATATATATACACACACATGCACACACACATATATATATTTACAGAACAAAGTTCCAATTTACCTTCAAACCTGAAATAGAATACAAATCCCACATCAATTAACTAGGACCTGGCCCGGCACAGTGGCTCACACCTGTAATCCCAGCACTTTGGGAGGCCAAGCCACGAGGATCACTTGAGCCCAGGACTTCAAGACAAGCCTGGGCAACATCGAAAGACCCCATCTCTACAAAAAAAAAAAAATTTAAATAAATGAGCTGGTCATGATGGCACATGCCTGTCAGTCAGTCCCAGCTACCTGGGAGACTGAGGTAGAAGGATCAGGATCACTTGAGCCCAGGTGTTCAAGACTGCAGTGAGCTATGATTGTACCACCACACTCCAGACTGGGCGGCAGAGTGAGACTCAAAAACAAACAAATTAACTAACACCTACTTCTTTTGAAGCAGGCACACTTGGAGGCTGCCCCCACCCTGCCCTCATCCTCTGTTTTCAATACCATCAGGCACTCTCTCCATGCCAGGGGTCAGTGTCTCCTTTGATCATCACGTGGGTTCCAGCATTTTGGCAAGAGAGCTGTTTCACTGTTCATGTCATACAAAAGAATGGTGGAGCTTAGCTCTCTGGTGCAGACACACCTCCTTCTTTTGGGGGTGAGGAGATCCTACAGAAATCCATCCTGGCTCCCAAGTTAGCCATATGCATCCAGAATAAGGTCACCAGGGCCAGGCATTCTGCCATGTTGGCTGCCCTAGCCTGTCCAGCAGCTTTAGGAAAGAATTCCAGACGTGAGAGAAGGTGGACATTGGACATGGGCGATCTTGGACATCGACATGAGAGGCCATGGCAATTATGCATGAGAGATCATAGACACAGACACAGGAGACCAAGGATATCGGACATGGGGCAACCTGAACACTGGACTGGGGAGGCCACAGACATCAACTGTGAGAGAGGGCAGCCATGGCTTCAGGATTGGGTGGGGAGCCTAGGACTCTTCCTTCACAAGCCTGTCTTGTGGGTAGACCTCAGCTTTTTTCCCCTGGGTCCCCACTGTTGTGCTAGACCCCTGTTCACTCCAATAGTGATGGCACCAGGTTTAAGAGGCTGAAGAAGAGACCCAAAGCCAGCAAAAGAGACATAGGGTTTTATTTAGGGGAACTTACATACAGGGACAGTCCAGTGACTGTGGGCTAGACAGAAGAACTACAATTGCTTGCAAAAAGCATGCAGCTTGGCCAGGCATGGTGGCTCACGCCTGTAATCCCAGCACTTTGGAAGGCCGAGGCGGGTGGATCACTTGAGGTCAGGAGTTCAAGACCAGCCTGGCCAATATGGTGAAACCCCATCTCTACTAAAGATACAAAAATTAGCCAGGCATGGTGGCATGTGCCTGCAGTCCCAGCTACTCAGGAGGCAGAGGTGAGAGAACCACTTGAACCCGGGAGGCAGAGGTTGCAGTGAGCCGAGATCACATCATTGCAGTCCAGCCTGGGTAACAGAGCGAGACTCTGTCTCAAAAAAAAAAAAAAAAAAAGCATGCAGCTTATATAGTACCTTCATTTGGCACCCTCCCCACAGAAACCTCTTTGTGCAACTCTCATTTCTCAAACCACGCCACTGCTGTCAGGTACATCTGCCATCCAGGGTCATTCTCAGGGTATGGTTAAGTTATTGTTGTCAGGTGCATCTACCATCTGCCAGGACCAGATAATGCTTATTTGCAGCTGGAAACCTCATGTACAGCCCTTAAAAAAAAAAAAAAAAAAGCAGCCAAGTTGAGAGACATCAAATATATCAAAGTCAGATCTACATGGCCCTGGAGTCAGACTCTACAAAGCCACTATCTTGCCCTGGAAGTTAGCGTGTCCTGCACTTGACTCTAGTCTCCTCAGTGAGAGCTGAGTCCCCAGTGGTGGTTAGCTCCTGCCGCAGCGTTAAGCTGATGAGGTGAGTGCTTCCACGCCACCTGGCAGGTAGGTGCTCATCAGATGAGCTGCAGCCACAGTGAGCACTCTCCCTGAGGCTTGCTGGCTGACCCCTTAATGGTGTTCTCCATCTTTCTTCCTCCCTAAGTTTACATCAGGATTCTGCAAGAGTCAGGATTTCTTAGAAATCCTGATTCCCATCCTGACCCTGTAAACATTAAGCCTGCTCTTCCCACAGCCTTCCATTTCAGAGAGGGCCCACGCCATCCTTCCAGTTGCTCAGGACAAAATCTAGGAGTCATGTTTCATTCCTTCCTTTCTCTCGAAGACCACATGCTTGTCCAATCTGTCAGCATGTCCTGCCGGGTCTACCTTCAAAACACATGCAGGATCTGATCACTTCACTCCACCTCTATCCTACAACCCTGGTCCAGGCCACCACCCTCTCTGGCCAGATTATTGCCTTGGCCTCCTTCTACTCACCACCACCTAGTCTGTTCTTATGATCAGCAGAATGATGCCCCCAAAGACGCCCACCTGTTCATCCCTGTAACCTATGACTATGATGCCTTACATGGCTAAAGGGCCTTTGCAGATGGGGTTGAGGTTCACGACCTTGAGCCAGGGACAGCAGTCTGTATTACCCAAGTGGGCCCAGTCTAATCACTGGTGTCCTTAAAATCAGAGAACCTTTTCCGGCTGTGGTCACAAACGTGACAATGGAAGGAGGAGGTCAGAGAGAAGACAGTGTGAGGATCCAACAGCATTGTTGGCTCTGAGAGGTAAGAGGCTCCATGCAAGGATCCCAGCAGGGCCTGTAGGAGGCAGGGGCAGCCCCAGCTGACAGCAAGGAAACAGGACCTCAGGCCTGCAGCCCATGGAACCAAACTCGGCCAATATCTGAAAGAGTGAGGAAAACCGACCCTCCTCTAGAGTCCCAAGAGGAACACACTCTGCTGACACCTTGATTTTAGCCAAAGTCAAGAGCTTTTCAGACTTCTGACTTAGCACTGTAAAGTAATAGATTTGTGGTTTTTTAAGCCACTAAATTTGTGGTAATTTGTTACAGCAGCAGCTGGAAAGTAATCCAATTCCCCATCCAGCAGCCTGGCAAAATGGAAGTCAGATCATGTCACTTCTCTGCTCAAAACACTCCATTGGCTTTTAATCTGACCCAGGGTAAAAACCAAAGTCCTTACAAAGCTGGAAAGGCCTGTGGCTTGGGCCCTCCGTTTCCTGCCGTTCTTTCTCTCGCTTCCCCGCTGGATCTCCCCAGCTCCTCCTGGCTTTCTCCTTGCTGCTGCTCCAATGCACCAAGTGCATCTCTGCTCCAGGACATCTGCATGGGTTACTCCCTCTGCCTGGGACCTCTTGCCCCAGATGTCTGTGAGCCTCCTTCCCTCCCTTCAGTGTCTGCTCAATGTCATCTTTCAGAGGGGCCTTCTCTGACTCCTCCACATGCAAGTGCAAACCTTCCCCTGCCCCAGGACACCCCATCTCCCTTCCTGATTTGTTTATCTTCTTAGCACCTCATATATACGTATATTCATTTACTGTCTTTTCCTCTGTCCCACCCCACCTCCAACTAGAAGGTAAGCCCCATGAAGGCAGGAATTTTGATCTATGTTTGTTACTTCGCTATGTATTTCCAGACCCTAAAGCAGTGCTTTGCGTGTACCCAGGGCCCTGGAATATTTGGTAAGGACTGCGTGACCTCGCCCCTGTCTCATGGAGAAACAGTATTGTAAGGGAAGTGGGAGGCTGTCTATTCACATGGCCCACATCCCCAGCAAGTTTGCTTCTGAACTCTTTCCACCCTGTGTGATGACCCACGAGGGCCCCAGAACCTGGCCCTCTACCCACCCCAAGCAGCGGCCATGTGGGCAGGAAATAGCATGCACAAAGGCCTGAGGACTGGCCCATCACTGCTTGCTGTCCCACATCCCCTAACAAAAGGTAACAATGGATGATATGTGATCTGCCCTTCCAGTTCCAGGGACTCTCCCCTCTCTACTGTGGGCCCTCCCACACACCCACCTAGAACAGCTGGAGCTGTGCTGCCCAATACAGTAGCCACCAGCCACATGTGGCTTTTGAGCCTTGAACTGTGACTAATATAAACTGACATGTGTGAGCATAAAATATACTCTGGATTTCAAAGACTTTGTACAAAACAAGAATGTAAATATAGACTCTCATTAACAGTTTTATGTATTGATTACACATTGAATGACGGTATTTTGGAGAAATCAGATTAAATAAAAAGCATGATTCGAATTAATGTTACCATTCCCTTTCACTTTTTTCACGTGGCTACTAGAAAATATAAAGTTGCATGTGTGGTTCACACTGTATTTTTGTAGGACAGTGCTGATCTGGAGGGAAAAAGCCATCTGGGAAGCAATGCTGAGCACAGGTGGGAGGCTTTCCTCTGTGGTCCCCATGCTCCCTCCCCGGAGAGTTGCTTCTGCCTGTTCATCACAACAAATGAGAAAACTGAATCCTCCTCTGAAGCCAGGAAGCACCAGCCTCAGTGGTTGCTGATGGGGTTCCAAGTCCCCTGCAGCCTGGGCCTCAGACAGTGGCTAGAAAGGTCAGCCATGTCTGCTCCATGGGAGGCTCCTTTGCCAGATGTGGCCTTTGTGCCCAGAGGGCCCCAAACATGGTCATTCCCTTGGGTGAGTCTCTTGTGGAATGCATTGAGGTCAAAGAAGTGGCTGAGATGGGAGCTCTGCCTCTGCAGACTGGCATCTCTGTCCAAGCTGGAATCATATAGATTTGGAGCCCAATGTGGGCACCCCATTTTGGTTTCTGGCTGTATCTCCAGCACTCTGAGCCAGGGTCTTGGCCCATGAACACCAGGGGCATGGTTGTTGGAGGACATGGCCTGAGGTGTGGGCCGCAGCATCTGGAGATGTGGCACTTTGTTTTTAAAAATAAGATGAGTCCCGGGTTTCTGGCACTAATGACTCTCAGATCCTATCACCCTTAAAAATATCCTCCAAAGGTGGCTGTTGTCACTGCATTTTTAGCACATACTATTTCCAAGGCTGCAAACATTCTGGGGCCCTGCTGGAGTGGAGACTGCAGATGTGTGAGTCTGTGAAGGCAGCAGCAGCTGCGGAGGTGGAACCAGTCCCCTCTGAGGCTGGCAGGCTTGGGGACTGTGTTTAGCTGCTGCGGAGGAGGGGCAGATAGCAAGGTGGGGAGCCTGGCTCGGAGGCAGGGTGACCTGCCCTGGGAGAGCCACCTTGACCACCCAGACACGGAGGCTCAGGAACCAGCCATCAGCCTCCCCCAAATCCACCTCTCACCTCACCCTACATGCCCAGGTAGCTTAGAAGTCTCTTAGAGACACACTGAGGCAGATACTCAGTGGATCTGCAAATTCCAAATCTCCCAGTTTCCCACCCAGGATAAAAAGGTTGATGACAGAAGCCCAAAAAACCAAGGTCCACATTTATGATGTTTTTTGCTCTTTGGGAGATTCAGAGACATCAAATTGGAATAATGAAGTTTTAGAAACTAACACAGGTGTCTCCGGATTAAATCACAGGACTCCCTTTTCATTCTCTATGAGGCTGCCCCTTTACAGAATTTTGCCAAAGTTTCAGAGCTGTCACAGGCAGCTTCTCTCCAAGTGTGAATTATCTGAGTGAACATGCAACTTTCATCTGGTTTCTGTGTCCTTGGGCCCTGATCACTGCCCAGCAATTCAGAGAAGAAAAACTGACACAGGTTTTTGCCATCTATAAAAAAAATAGAAATAGAGGCCCTGGGTGTATCCCAAAGCCACCTGTGGGTATCTGGGGTGGGGGGGTGGAGTGACAGTCACTGTTTTGGATAATCTTTGGAAAGAATCCCTGATCAGTGGGCTGAGATGGAGAGAAGGCTTGCAGAGGAGCCATGGAAGCCATCCACCCACCCCTGCCCCTGGAATCAACTGCATGAATGGCCCTCAGGGATCAGGATGGAGATGAGCGGAGCCCTTGCTCTGGCCTCTGGGACATCTCTTTGCTCTCTGAGGATGGCTGGGTCTGGGGTTCAAGTGCAGCTGGAATATGGGAGTCTTGCAGGTAAGCAGCTCTGATGGGGAGCATATCACTGAGCCAGCCCCCACCTCTGGCCTCAAACCCACCAAGCTATTGGCCTTGAGGGGCAGCTGAACTTGATAGACATCTTCTTTCCTCTGAGCAGATCTGGCTGGTATAGAGAAAGGACTCAAAGAACAGGACTCATCAGAAAGGATCAAAGACTTGGCCTCCCCTCCAGCCAACCCCTCCCAATTGAGCAGTGGAGGACAGTGGATGCTTAACAGCACAGACTCTAGAGTGAAAAATGCATGGGTACTAATTCCAGTTCTGCCACTTTGTGGCTTTGAGACCCTGGATGGGTGACCTGACTTGAAAAATGGGAATAATACCACCCAGTTTATTAGCTGGCTGTGAGTCTTCAGTGAGATGCTGCAAGGAAAGCTCTTAGCTTCTCCAGAGGGCACCACTGGGGGCAGACCCAGGGCAGGCATGAAGATGCTGCCTCCAGAGGTGCACAGGGTAAGCCTGTGTGCCCTGGAGCAAGAATCCTTCTTGCAATGGAAGCTGCTGTTTCGCCCATATAGCTAACACTTCATGGACCACTCACCCAGTGCTCCTTTCAGAACATGCCCCATGCAGGGTCGTCCTACCATCCTCTGCAATGAGCCAGCCGGATGAAGCTCCTAAGACTGGGAGAGGGAGCCACTCTGCATCCTTGGGCCTCAGAAACACAGCACAGAGCCCCCAGGATTGGTGACTTATTTCTGAGTTCCTCACCCCCTCCCCATGGTGCTTCGTTTATGGACTTTTAGGGTCTCCCTGTCATGGCCATGATGACCAGATAAATAAACTTGGCTAAGTTAGAAATTCTAGTCCAGAGAAGCTCGTAGAGGACTTGGACCCATGGCTTCCATTAATAGAGCATATTTCAGCAAAGGCCTCTTAAATCTTGAAGGCTCCGGGGCAGGAGCTGTGGCGTGATGGATGCACTCACTCTAATGGCTCGATGGGAGCTGGAAATCAAAGTGAGGGGTGAATGTGTGCTGGTTGGAAGAAGGCCTTCTGCAGCCAGGGCACTGGTTGCTTTCAGGCTTGGCTGTCCCTTTGGGTATTGAGAGTTGAGTGACCTCTGAGGGCCATACCAATGCCCACCCAGAGGGCCAAGGGAACCCTGGCCTGCGAGTCAGGCCACCCACCACCAGCTCACCATGGGAGCTCAGACTGGGTCTTCACCACACTATGCCTCAGTTCCTTCATCTGTCCTGTGAGCTGGCTGAGCTGGATGGTCTCTAACTGGAGGCCCTCTCTCTTATGTTAGAGGCATGTGGCATCAGCTCACAAGGCACCGCCTCCAAAGAGGAAAACTGGTTGTCTTGTCCCAGAGGAATGCAATTTTCCAGGGACTTCTCAGTCGTGATGAGAGCAGAGGGTTTGGGGATCCAGCTCACTCAGGAGTTTGAAAACAAAGAACTTTGAGAACAAAGAACTATCAGAGCTGCTTTTAGTCTCCCCAAGGGCAGAGACAGTGGTTCAGCCAAGAAGGGACTTGGGACTTGAGAATGCTGGAAAGAGAAAGGTAAGATTGCCTGTGGCGCTAACCCCACCTTGGTCCAAATTACTTCTGACCCGTGGAACAGGACCAGGGACACTGCCTCTGAACTTCTGATTGCAAGAAAACACTTCTCTAAACATTGTGCAGCAGCATCCTTCAGGACCGTAAGACAGTGGCTGTGCAGCACAAAGCCCTCGTGTTCTTTGCTCACCTCTTGCCTCTCTTCCTTTCTGCCTCCCTTGTGTGTTTTCCTGTGTCTGCTTTTCTCCAGTGTTCACCACCTCTTTATGGACACTGACAGAGTGTTCCCTCTCTGCATCAGTTCTGGCAGGAAATGCACGAGCTGACCTCTTTGCTAAAAAAAGATCCACCACTGACAGAATTTCCTCAGGCTCCAGGGTCTATGAGCGCAAAGCTAGGGTAGTACGTCCCCCTCAGGGTCCCCAGGGCTTACCCCTGTGCCTGTACCCAATACCTCCACAATAAATAATTCTTGAAAATTTTTAAGAATAAATTCTAAAACAAAATCAGCACGTATATCTGCCTAGGGAACTGCTAATAAAAACCCTAACAAACCCTAGCTCTAAGTAGTAAAAGCTAAAATATGACCCTGATATTGTCTATACCAAAAAAATTAAGCAAGAGTCACATTGCAACAGATAATGTTGATTTGGTAGCAAAGAGAATTGTGAGATACACAAAGTTACAGCAGAATATTTTCAAAAAATGAAACAATAATGACAGTCAACACAAATAGGCAGCTCAAACACCATGACCACAAAATAGATGCAAGAAAGATGGACATTTCTATGCACCTAACTGTACGTTCTCCTCTCTAAGTGACAGATCAAGCAGACCAAGAACAGAGAAATTATAAGCCTGAAGAATGTGGCAAATGTGTTCTAATAGCCAACATATGGAGGGAACCTATATTCATTCCCTATGGATGCCATGACAAAGTATCATAGTTAGGAGGCTTAAAACAACAGAAATTTATTCTGTTGAGTGTAAGAGAAAATTATTCTGTTGAGTATTCTGTACTCTCCAGAGAGTACAGCTCTGGAGGCCAGAAGTCTGAAAGCAAAGTGTCAGGAGGGCCATGTTTCCTCTGAGACCCTGGGTGGAATCCTCCCTCACTTCTCTTTGGCTTCTCATGGTTAATTCTTGCTGGCTTTTAACTGCATTACTTTAATGTCTGCCTCTGACATCACATGGCATTCCCCACATCTGTCTGTGCGCAGTTTCCATCTTCTTACTAGCACATCGGTCATATTGGATTAGGGTTCACCCTGATGGCCTCATCTTAACTTGATTATACTTGCAAAGGCCCCATTTTCAAATAAGGCCACATTCACAGATGCCCGGGGCTAGGACTTCAACATATATTTCTGGGGACATGATTCAACCCACAACAGAACCCAATGACAAAGCAAGAAGATGCATTTTCTTTGCAAATGTGCTAGTGGCACCAGGTACAATGACTTGGACTCTGCAGATATTCTTCCACATCCACGTATTTATTCATATAAATGAAATCAATATTCTCCACAAATCTTACAAATCTCTTTTATATTATTTGTTGCAGTTCATGTTTTATTTCGGGTTTTATTAGTTTATGTTTTTGTTCTTTGATCAGTTGGACTAATGGCTTTGTAGATTTTTTCAAAGGCCTAATTATTGGTTTTGTCCATCAATACTCATTTTTTCCATCCTGTTTATTCAGCTTTATTATTGCTTGCTTTCCTAATTTTCTTGACCTCTTTCTCACATCTCTAAGACCTTTAAGGTAGAGACTTAGTTTACTCTGTGTGAAGGTGTGTGTGTGTTTAATCTTTCCTATAGACATAGGGATTTAAAATAATGCAGTTTTTCTTTTGCCAATATTCCATATGTTTTGATATGTTACACTTTTAAAAAATTATGATTTTTGTTCTGGACTTTCTTCTTGGCTTAGGCATCTTTTAAGGCAATTCTTTTTAATGTCCGTTAGTGGGGCACCCCAAAAGTACTTTCTGTTTATTTCTAACCTTCTTGTGCTATGGTTGGGAATGTGGTAAGTGGAATTTTACCCACAGTCCAGCATGCTCTAGGGGAAGTGGCACTGTTTGGGGTTCCAGGTGTGATGGCTGACTCAACTGCTGTGATTGCTGACTCAACTCCTGATCTCTTCTGCCCCTCCTCCTTCTTACAACAGTTTTTCTGCTTCCAACCTGTGTTTCTCTGGCCTTCCCAGTGTACATCTGCCTGCTGAACTGACCCTACAAAGACTAAAGTCCTCTCAGCCAGGGATGAGCTCAGGGAGGAGGTGAGAGAGGAAAAGAATGTGGGTGCTTCCATCCTGGTCACACCTGTGACAAGGGCCCTGCTCTCCCTATGTGAAGCCAGTGGCTGGATGCAGATCTGTGAAGTCAACAGCAGAGTTCTGGGGGCCTTTGATGCCAGGCAGACAAGGATGTGGCCAGGCCTTGGCTCCTTCGCTATCTCCAGTGACATCCAGGAGGCAAAGTCACCCTCCTCGGAACATCCCCTCCAGCCCTCTGAAGTGGCACCCCCTACCGCCTGATCAGGCCTTTCCTTCCTGAGGTCTCCCTGGCTCAGCCCCAACCAGCTACCATCACTGCATTCACTTGAGTGAAAAGGCCATCACTGCGTTCACTCCAGAGACTGGCTCTGAGCTTGTCTCGCCTCCCTCGCCACCACCACCCACTCTCAGAGGCAGGAGAAGGCATGCACCTTCCCTGTGCCAGTCCAACTGCTTAGAATATTCTGGCTTTGTTTGGCTCTTTCTTACTCACTTTTCAGGTCTCAGCTTAATAGCTGAGATTTGAGCACATGCTAAGTGACAGGCACTATGCTGAGTAATTTACATATATTAATTCATTAAATCCTCATAATAACCATATGAGATAGGTATATGTTATCTCCAGTTCATAGATGAAGAGACTGAGGTTCAGAAAGGTTAGCTGCTCATCCACAGTCCCTCAATTTGCAGAACTGGGGCTTACATCTGGGGCCAACTTCCTCCAAAGTCCCCACTCTCGAGCACCCTTCACTGACTCTGGAAGGCCTTCTCTGACCCCTGCCCTCTGCTCCTTCCCTACCCCATGATGGCCTGTGCCTCCTCTGGTCCCACAGCCCTGTGGCTACGCTGATGGGTAATTGCTTGTTTGCCTTCCTGCCTTCACCTTTAAGACAAGGAGCTTTTTGAAGGCAGAAATGGAAGGCAGGTTGTCTGCTGCTCTATTACCTGCACTTAGGAAAGGGCTTAAAGTCATTAAGTGTTCACTAAGTGGATTAATGGATAAATGGGTGGATGGGTGAATGGATAGGTGGATGGGTGAATGGATGGGTGGATGGATGGATGCATGGGTGGATGCAGGGGTGGATGAGTGAATAGATGGATGGGTGGATAAATGGGTAGATAGATGGATGAATAGGTAGATGAATGGCAAATGCTGGGGACACGGACAGTGCTAAGACACTGTACCTGCCCTTGGGGAACACTCAGTGTAGAAAAGACAAGCCAAGGATAAGGAGGCAGGTGACTAGGTGTGGGTGGAACATGTGACAGGCCGGTAGTATCAGTCTGCCAGCAGCTGGTTCACGGGGCACATGCTCAGTGAAACCTCCTGAGACAAAAGCTCTCATAGATGGGGCATAAGGGCTGCCAAAAGTTATGAACTCAATGCTGCTATGAACACCCTTCCTCCATGCATGCCTTATAGGATTAGGTGCGGTCTCTAAGCTGGAATGCCATGTGTAGATTCTGCTCTAAACCTGAGAAATAAAAGTATTGACATTATTGAGAAATCTATTGAGATTACCTCCTTCCAGATTAGTATTCTAGTCTCTAAAACAGGATCACATTCACTTAAGGGGACATGGACCCTGATGAACTTCGATGCTGTGAGTGAAGCGAAAGCACTGCAGCTGCAGCCACAGCAAAGCAACAGCACGGAGTGGGAAATGGATTCATGCCCAGCAGCCATGGGGGCCTGGCAGAGAAGGGCAGAGGTTATAGTGTTGGAAAGCTAGTTTGGGGCCTGTTGAACATTTCCAGAAAAAGGAGCTCGAACTTGGTTCTGCAAGCAAGGAAGGAACACTGATGTCACCAGAGCAGGGCTTGGTGTGCTTGCAGCGGTGCCTTAGAAAGCCACCTTTCTAAGGCACTCAGGAGGGCGATGTGTGCAGAAGGGCACCTTAGGGGAGTGTGTCAGGACATGGCTTCTCACGGGCTCTGGCTGGACACAGGGAAGCTGTGGAGGGTCAGGTGCCCTTAGTTTGGCAAGACTCAGGAATTGAGTCCCAGGAGCCGCTGCCATTCCAGGACAAGTCTGTGGAAGCCCAGTTGTGAGAAGTAGGTGAGGTGCGGGGAGGGGAATGCAGTGGGAACGGTGGAATGGTCTGAAAATTACAAGCTATCAGAGAAGTTTTCTGCCTAGTTACACTTTAGCGATTTGGATCTCCAACACTAATTTGAATATTAATTATTTTGAAAAAAGCATACACATGCAAATATTTTTCCTTTTAAACACCTGTCACCACCATCCTGATAAATGGCTTGCTCAGCAGCCCTGCTTGCATCCAGAAGCTCAGCCCAGCCATCCCCCTTTCTGCACAGTCTCACCGACTCCTCCCTCCACCAGGGCCTCATGTAGCACTCTGACCCCTCTTCCCTGGGTGGGTCTGGTCTCCCAACTCTGTCCTCAAGCTCCCCCAAAAGAGAGGACCACTCTGCCCTTCCACTGCCTCCCCCAGGACATTCTCCACCCACTCGGCCAGCACCAGGTGCTTCGGTGGCTGATCTCTCAGCTAAGTTTGCCAAGTGTCTCTAAGGATGTCATCCGGCCACCTCCTCCAAGCATGCCTGGGGGCATAAAGGCTGGGCCTGAGGGTCCCACCCAGAGAAAAAGAGTGAGGGAAAACCTGAGACAACAAGGAGTTTCTGGACTCCCAGGCAGCGAGTAGTGGGCGGTACCAGACAAGATGCTCACTTGGGAGCCTCTGGGGAAGTCGGTTAGAGGGTAGGCAGTGTGCACACCTCCTATCTCCAGGTCTTATTGCCTGCCTGGCTAGGACTGCAGGGAAAGTTCTGCAATCAGGGGCAGCTGAGATGTTCCTGGAAACCAGTGAGGATCACAATAGGTGCAATGGTCATGATAACGGCAGTGGTGGGAGTTGATGTTGACTGAGCCCTCCCTGCATGCCAGGCACTGTGCCACCTACTTTCAGGGCCTCACTTCATGTAACCCATACGACAGTGCCAAGAGATGAGTGTTATCATCTTCACCTTGCCTTTGAGAAAACTGAAGTCTAGAAAGTTCATGCCACTTGCCCAGAGGTGGCACCAGGATTGACCCTCTTCTGAAAGAAGCGCCTGCCTTATTAACCTCCTGCGCTGTGGTGCTCTTGGCCACCCCCACACCCCGCCTCTCCCTGGCATCTCATCTTTGTCCCTGTACTCTGGCCTCTGCTCTTCTCTCCTGTCCTCGCTGCCCTCCCTGGTACTTTCTTTCTCCCCTCCCCTGAGCAGGACCCCAGATCTCATCCTGACCTCAGCCAATAGCCCCAGCTGTGGATCCCACATCCACCTCAGAGGCCCCGGCCTGGCTGCTCCCATCTGCAGCCTTAAGCTGTGCTCCAGCTGGAATCCACAGGTGGACAGGGCCTCCTTCCCCTGAGTAGGAATGTGTCACTGAGCCATGCCTTCTGCAGGCGTTTGGTGAGCATGTGCTGTGGCCAGCGTGATGCCAGGCACAGGTGGAAATCCCACCAGACCACAACCCTTTTCCTCTGGCCTGTGGTTCTCAGGCTGCTCTCTGATGGAGCCTATAGGCACCCTGACACTCTGTCTTCACCAGTGAACCTCCTCAGGCATATGGTTACACCAGAGTCAGCTCTATGCCAAGAGTCAGAAGTATTACTGCCACTGACACAGGTGACCTCTTGTCCCAGCCAGAGATCTCCTGCGGATGCAAGAGACGGAGGTCAAAGGCAGGTGCCGGGCCATGGTGAGTGACTGCTCCATAAATGAGGGACCACGTAAGTTCTCAAATGCAAGAATGAGTATCAGGGAGAGGGGCCAGAATTGCCTTTTCTCGGGTATTTATTGAGGAGGAATGCAGAGAAGTCCCTTTCTTGAAGGAGGCAGTCACAGAGTAAGCCTTTTATCTCTGCAGCACTCTGTGATTTGCAAAGTTTTGCACGTCCATTATTTCATTCTCATCTCTCACAAAAACCCAGTGGATGAGGCAGTCCTGGGAATATTGTGCTGAATTTACAGATGAAGAAACTGAGGCTGAGATGGGAAGCAAATTCCTTAATATAACACAATTAGCAAGGGACAGAGACAGTGCCTTCCCTTCCCCACCACTACCACCACCACCACAAAAAAAAAAAAAAAAAAAAAAAAAAAAAATCAGGTGAATTTCTTAGGCCCTGTCTTCCTGAAGAGAGTACATGGCTGTGGGGAGGGGGTCTTTCTATGTCTAACTGCCACATGGCAGAGCTGGCTGCTTCACATGCAGAGGAAGGACACTTGTCTGCATTTCTGAGCTGGAGGGGTCATTGCTTAGGGCTTGGCAAGCAACCACGTGTATCTCTAATCCAGATCTGGGAGGGGGAGACTAATTGCCATTTGTGACCAACCAACTCTCAGCAGTGACCAAGCTCCTCCGTGACAAATTACGGTGCCTATTACTCCCTTGGCCCCGAGGCCTCCTTGGTCTCAAAGTAAAGTTCTGAGTGCTGTGGTGGCCGGCGCTAGGGCCCCTGCTGCGTGGCCGGCACCGCCCCTCCATGCCCCATGGGATGGAGACGCTAATTTATTCAGATATGTGACAGCTAACAGGCTTATCTAACTACAGTAAAATCATTTTCTGAATTATTCATGTGATATTTGAAATCATGATTGTAGGAACAAATTAGCTACCCAAAAACTGGAAATGAAGGCTGCCTCATTAATAATGCATTGGGCAGGGCAGGCAGGATAGCAGGAGCTCGGAGGACTTGGCTCTGAGCATACTGATGGGGGGAGCTCCATTTCCAGCAGGCCCTTCCAGGACAGGCATCACACATGCGGCCTCCAGCAAGAGTGCGTGAGTCTGGGCCACTCCACGCATGTGTTTCCTCTTTGAGGATGGGTGTGTTTGGCCCTCCCGGGGTCCCTGCTTTTCTCCTGTGGTGTCCCCAAGGCTTACCTTCATCTGGCCAGGAGTGCTCCATCTGCCCCTCTGACCCTCTGCCTGCCCAGGTCATGAACGAGCTGACTTCACATCACAGAGGTGAGGGAGACTTGACACCGGCCTCTGAGGGCGTCTGGCTGGGAGACCTAGCACCTTCCCTGATGAGCAATTGGATATCCTTCTCTCGTCCTGGGGAAATCTGCCTGTGGATCGTGGAATACACAAGACCTCAGAAGTCACAGGCAACTCAGGCCAGTTCTCACAGTGGTTGTGGTGAAGCAAAGGCAGCACCAGCAGCCAGTCTCTGTGACTTTTTATAATTGGAGGGTGGGAGGCAAGAGTCCAAACTTCCTTATCTGTGTTAGATCTGGTTTCTCAGGCTGTGCACCTAAGGTCTTGGACAGGGGGCTGTGGCACGTCAGGGCCTCACAGCTCTGCCAGGCCTGATGGGAAAACCTGGGCAAGTCAACAGCCTCTCTGGGCCTCAATTTCCGCCTCTGGCAAATGAGATTAGCAGGACCTGATGTCATAGGATCATTTTAGAAGGAAATACATGAGAGCCCAGTTGAGAAAACTCTTCAGAAAGTATCAGTGTGTCACAATGTGTCATCAATGTGGTAAATCAGTGCTGCCAATTCATTTATCCACCTAATTACACTCTAATTGTTCCACAATAATTAGATGATTATAACAGTAATATCAGTCATAATCTCTTTAGCCACATCTCTAATGCCAAGTTCTGGCCCTTTGAGATCTGGAGACCCCTCTGGGCTCATGTCCTAGGTCTCCCAGGCAGTCCTGGACTGGCAGCATTTGAGAGGGCTTCTCCCTCCAGAGAGGCTGCCTACTGGAGGTTGGTTTAGCAGGTTGGATGTTTCCATAAACAGAGGTAAGTACAGCCTCAGAAATAATAGGGGAGGTGACAGGTCCAGCTGTAACATGAAGTTGCTAAGGGCCAGGCACGGTGGCTCACGCCTGTAATCCCAGAACTTTGGGAGGCCGAGACGGGTGGATAACTTGAGGTCAGGAGTTGGAGACCACCCTGGCTAACACGGTGAAACCCCATCTCTACTAAAAATACAAAAATTAGTTGAGTGTAGTGGCAGGTGCCTGTAATCCCAGCTACTCAGGAGGCTGAGGCAGGAGAATCGCTTGAACCCAGGAGGCAGAGGTTGCAGTGAGCCGAGATCACACCACTGCACTCCAGCCTGGGTGACAGAGGGAAACTCAGTCTCAAAAAAAGAAAAGAAAAGAAAAGAAAAGAAAAGAAAAAGAAGTTGCTAGGACCCCACTAGAACCCACACTCAAGAGTAAAGCTAGAGCCCTGGCAACCCCTCCCAGGATAACGTCAGAGCAAGCTGGCTCCACGCCCATGACAAGAGTGCAGGGGTTAAGATATGGAAGAAGAGGAGGCACCACATGCTGACGGAGGCATTCAGACTGGAGGAGGGCCTGCAGCCTCCAGGTCTGACAGTGGCCTTCCAGAGGGCCCCAGGGGACAGAGGCTTTTGTGCTGCCTGGAGCGACTTCATCTTATCACTGTCTCCCACCCGCCATGTTCAGCAGCATCCCCCAAGCCTTCTGCCAGATGGTAGCTCCTATGCGCCCAATGGCCACCTCCTGGAGCCTCGTCAGGCCAGACCCAGCCACAGTGAGCGCGTTAGACACCCACAGACCTGACAGCAGTGCCATCTGCCAACACACAAAAGGGTGAGAAGTCAAGATCCACCAGGAGGCCACAGGCAGAAAGGAGCGGTTTAAATGCTCAGGCCCAGCTTCTCAATACATCAAGTAGGATGGTGCCCCTGCTCCCAAAGCACGCAAACAATTTCCTCATTTTTTGTGCAGGCAAACAAATACATTCCTTAAAACATTAATGGCAAGAATGTATTTGATAAGCAGATTTTAGCTACTCTTGTCACCAATATAAGCAACTATGTGAGATTTGTTAATCCGCTTCACTATAGATTTGTTAATCTGCTTCACTATAGTAACCATTTTACTACCCGTATGTATCCCATGGCATCGTGTTGTAAACCTCATATATGTGCAATAAAATTTATTTTTTAAATATACATATTATTACCTTGGGAAAAAAAGCATATTTGAAATCCACAGGGATGGGCAGAGATAGTGTGGGCATTTGCCACCAAGGTGACTGAAAGACAGAATGTAGGCCAGGCGCGGTGGCTCACGCCTGTAATCCCAGCACTTTGGGAGGCCGAGGCGGGTGGATCATGAGGTCAGGAGATCGAGACCATCCTGGCTACCACAGTGAAACCCCATCTCTACTGAAAATACAAAAAAATTAGCTGGCTTGGTGGCGGGCGCCTGTAGTCCCAGCTACTCAGGAGGCTGAGGCAGATGACGTAAGTAAACCCGGGAGGTGGAGCTTGTAGTGAGCCAAATCGTGCCACTGCACTCCAGCCTGGGCGACAGAGTGAGACTCCGTCTCAAAAAAAAAAAAAAAAAGACAGAATGTAGTCACCTTGTCAGCTCTGCCAGCCTCGACCAGACAGGTGATGCTGAGCTGTACTGTGACCTCAAAGTAGCTACATAAACCTTGGGGGCTTAAGAAGGTTGCTAGAAAAACAAAGAACTGTTCTTGAATTCAACCCAGCAAAGGCTTGCTGCACACCCACTGTGCACCCAGGTTGCTGGAAGCAGAGATAGAAAGGGAGAGGGTCAGGAGGAGACAGCCCCTCTCCACAGCCCTTGCAGACTCCAGTAGAAGCCAGATGCAGCTACGGTCAGGTGGTCTCAAGAAGGCCTCCTCGGCTGACCTTCTCTGCTCCAGGGTCTCTTTCCTGATACTGCCCTCACTTCTCCCACCTAGCTTACTCCTCCTCATCTTCAGAGCTCAGCTCCCTCGCCACTTCCTCCGGGGAGCCTTTCCTGACTTCAATGACTGAGTCGACCTCCACGCTAGGCTCTCCCAGCACCTCGTGTGTGCCTCTGTCTTGGCATTTACCACCACTATAAATTCACATGTGCTCAGGTGATGAACAGAGGCTGAGCTCCATCAGAGGAGGCTTCACATTTGCCTCACAGAACATACTCAGGATACACTTGCTGAACAAATGAGTGAAGAGTGAGTGAATATCTCTTGGGTGCCTCTCTGGGGTCCAGAGCCCAAGTGAAAGATTTCCAAACTGACTACAGATAATAAGAACAAGGGCAGCTGGGTGTGCTGGCTCACGCCTGTAATCTCAGCACTTTAGGAGGCTGAGGTGGGCAGATCACTTGAGGTCAGGAGTTCCAGGCCAGCCTGGCCAACATGGTAAAACCCCACCTCTACTAAAAATACAAAATTAGCCGGGCGTGGTGGCACATGCCTGTAATCCCAGCTACTTGGGAGGTTGAGGCAGGAGAACTGTTTGAACCCAGGAGGCAGAAGTTGCAGTGAGCGGAGATGGCACCACTGCACTCCAGCCTGGGTGACAGAGCAAGACTGTCTCAAAAATAAAAACAGCAAGGGCAAACGGGCCACCTCCTATGGGGCCCTCAGTTCCAGGCACAGAGAAAAACACCCGGGAAAGCCTCGTGCCTCACTCCAGGGAACGGACCACGTGGGGGTGGAGACGGAGGCCAAGAGGTCTCCGGCTCAAGTGCCCAGTGAGCCTGTCCTGTAGAGAGTCCTGCCAGGTGGACCAGGAGCCAAGAAGGCTGCAGCATTCATCCCAGAAACACACTGGTAGGGGCTTCAGACTTTAGGAAGAGCAACCAGCCAAAATCCGTGAGCTGTCTTGAATTTAAAAACAGAATAAGGGCCTGGACCTTACCCCTGACAACTCAGTATCAGCCCATGAGGTATAAAGTAGGTCACTTCCTCCCTGGTGCAGAGGTGCTGTGTATTTTTATAACTAGGTTTGATCATCATCAAGTGATGAGCTTATAACATTGTTGTCCCTTAGGGCATGGCCTCAATTTATGAGCCTTATTTTTAACTGGAATGGAACAGGGCTGGATCAAACGCTACTAATGTGTTAAGATCCCCTGGGCGTCACGTACGGTGTGGAGTGATCGGTCCAGGTGGGTGGTCTGGCCATGCAAGGTAGGGCAGCGCCTAATGACTCATGCCTGCTGGGTACCTGGGCATCCTCAGGGCTTTTCTGTGGGGCATTCTCAGCTCCGAGTCTACCTCCTCCTGCTCCTCTTCCCTTCAGGACTTTATCATCTCTAGGGGCCTTCATTGGCTCGAGAAGCAAGCTGGGCTTATCAAGTATTAGAGGCCACAAAGGATAAGAGGCCTCGCCCATGGTCACCTGGTGCCTCGGTCAGAGCTGGAGTCCAGCCCTAACCCAGGGTCCACTACTCAGGGTTTCTGATCCTACAGAGGCACTGGGGCCTCCAGCAAAGGGAGCATGCAGCCTGAGAGACAACAGCGTTCTGAGGCTGAGCACTGCATAATGCAAGGGCGATAAGAACAAGGACAGCAGGGCCCCATCCTGCTGGGATCTCAGCACCAGACACAGGGGAGGGAGGAAACGCAAATGCCCAGAAGGCCTCATTTCACACGCCGGTGGACCATGTGCACCAGAACTTGTTTTGCTCTCCTCCTGGGCCCTCAGTTGCAAGGCATTTCCCAGCTGCCCTTGTGGCTAGAGGTGGCCATGTACCTGGGCTCTGACCAGCAGAATGTGGGCAGAAGTGATGGGCTTGCCAGCCTGGCCCATCCAAACCTTCCACGGGAGATTCACCCTGCTGCTTTCCACTCTGGCTGGAATGGAGATGACCCCTTAGTGATGGGGGGATCACTAAAGTCAGAGGGGTCATGACACAGAAGGGGGCCTGGGTCCCCAAATCACTGCCTGGAGGAGAGCTGCCTGACCAGGGTCACTCTTACTAGACTGGGTGTGAAAAGGAAAGATACTTTATAGTGTTATTGAGCTCAGCTACGAAGATGGCAAGGATTTTCCATCTCAGCAGCAAGTATTTGCCCTGATAGACCCCAGGCACTGCAAGGGACTGTGACCAGTAGCTCCTGGTCTCCTTTCCCAGCTCAGCTGGCTGCAGGCCCAGCACTTTAAGTCACGTTTCCTTCACAGAGTGATAGTTGAGGATCAGGGACCTGGCGAGGGTCAGACATCAGCCACACAGAAAAGGAACAGACGCCCTTGTGGGCTCTGTCCTGGCCAGAACCTTCCCATGGGTAGAGACACTTTGGCTCCAGGTTGGGCCTCCCAGGCCCATGCACATCTCATGGCAATGGGAGGTGGGCGGTCCTGGTGGAGACTACCTGCCCCTCTAGAAATCTGGCTCACCATGCAGCATACCCACTAAGGGACGCTCAGAGTCCTCACCTATCAAAAAACAAGCCAGCCCAGAGGGCTGCTGATAGCGTTACCGGGAGAACTGAGTGATATGACAAAGGAGGAGATGGTTTGAAAAGTCAAATAAGGAAGGGTCTTTTTCTCTGAGGGAATCTCTATCCTGGAGGAAGGGATCTTGCTGTGGCTTCTGTCTTGGTGATGATGTTGACTCACTGCAATCAGTGATCAGCCTGAAATGTGTCTAAAGCAGGTGTCCCCTTGCTCGGAGCAGCTCATGGCTTTTCTGTGAAGGAGAGTGTGAGCACTAGCTGTAGGACTTCAGCCTTGGCCTCTCTGACCTCAGCCACAAAGGGGGAAGCATATTGGTGAGGATTAAATGAGGTGCTGCACAGAAGGTGCTTTGCACACAACAAGCACTTACTAAATGTTAGCTGACATGCTTAGAAGGAAGTGGAGAAGAGGGCGGGACCAGAAGACCCTGGCTGAGGCTGTAGAAGCCCCTGGACCTCTGTACTCTTCCCTCTTCCAAGCCACAGGGGCAGACTGCCGAGATCGAGCCCGCAGGCCTGGGGCTCGAGAGCTAAATCTTGTCAGACAAAATGACTATCCAGCCCCTGAGTCGTAGCTCTGAGCAGCCACGTCCACAGTGGGGAGCCTGCCTGCGCAGGGCTCCATGTGACTCCAACCTGCAGAAAGGGCCTAGTGGGGTCCAGCCAGGCAGATGGACTAGAGACCCTGCTCTGTGGGAGGCAAGACCCAGCCACAGGAGGTTGGGCACCAGCCACAGGAGCGCCAGACTGCCTCACAGTCAAGAGCTGGCGAGAAGCCCACTGTGCTGAGGGGAAAGCATCTGGAAGACCGAGATGGCAGGCCCTGAGCTTGGAGCAGGTGCAGGCTGCGCTCACAGGGCACAGAGGAAAGCCCAGAGGCCTTCCACCTTCCCCCAGAGGCCACGGCCTCACATAATCTCTGCAAATGGGCCACGGGGCCCCTAGCAGCATGCTAAACAGATGAAGGCCAGGCCAACGAGAGAGGCACCAAGGGCATCTTCAGAGGCCACCCTGGGAGCTGCACCAGAGGGACCACCATCTCCCTTAACTCCGCTCTCACTGAGCCCCAGCGTGGGTCACCCAGGGCCAAGAGTTACTACTCTGAATTGTTATTCTAACTGCTCCTTTGTCCCTAGGCTTTCGTTATACCTGGAGAACATCTCCATTTTGTGCAAAGAGCCTGACCCTCCCTGCCCTCCCTTCCCATGGCTCACACTTGCTTCTCCCATTTTGGTTCAACTCAGGAAATATTTCATGGTGCCCACATTCAGAGGCCTGGGAATTAGCGCCCCCTTCTCCACCTGGAATCTAAACCAGTTGATGAATAAGACACTAAAGCAGGTAGGGGACCAAAAGGTCACCTTTATTTCTAAATAGCCTGAATTAGAGACCATGACTTGTGTCTAAGGGCAAATGGCTTTCTCCTCTTCTACCTCAAAATGAAGGAGACTGTCCCATCGAGTCAGGTGAGGACACGCCATAGGACTGAGAACAGTTAGGAGCACACACTGTCGAGAAGCAGCCCGGCTCCCAGGACCAGGAGGAAAGAGATGGGCAGGTGTACATGCCCCTTCCTGTCCCACACCTGTCAGCCAGGAACAGCCAGAGTGGGGCAAGAGGCCAGGAGCGACCGGGAAAGCAGAGGTGTGGGAAGTGCTATTCCCCTAACATCATGGCATAGACAAACACAAACAAGCCGGGGGGAGGAGGCACAGAGCAGGGGTGGCTAAGAACACAGGCTTTGGCCGAGTGCGGTGGCTCACACCTGTAATCCCAGCACTTTGGGAGGCTGAGGCGGGTCAATCATCTGAGGTCAGGAGTTCGAGACCAGCCTGGCCAACATGGTGAAACCCTGTCTCTACTAAAAACACAAAAAATTAGCCGGGTGTGGTGGTGGGCACCTATAATCCCAACTACTCAGGAGGCTGAGGCAGGAGAATTGCTCGAACCCAGGAGGTGGAGGTTGCAATGAGCCAAGATCATGCCACTGCCCTCCAGGCTGGGCAACAAGAGTGAAACTCAGTCTCAAAAAAAAAAAAAAAAAAAAAAAGAACACAGGCTTTCCGAGTAAGGCCTGTGTTCCACTCTTGGCTTCACTAGCTGTGTGACGCTAAGTTTCTTAGGCTTTCTGAGCCTCAGCTTCCTCCTCTGTAAAGTGAGGATAGCCACACACCTGCCTCACGGGGATTCTGAAAAATCAAAAAGATAATCCACACCAGGCCTTAACCCAATGTCCTGTACGTGATGGTGGTGGCTGTTATGGTGGTCATTGAAATTATCTGAGCCTCTCCTTCAAGGCCTCACAGTCCAGGAGGCAGGTGGTCACAGACAGGACATCACCACACAGGAGCAGAGCTGGGTGGCTGGACCCATGCTCAGCTGGGCCCATGTGGGAGGTGCCATGATGGAGGGTTGGGTCTGGAGGCAGCAGCGTGGGGCAGGCGTCTGGGAGAAGCCATTATTTCAACTGGGCCTTGAACAGTAGATGGGAGCCAGGGGTGTGGTTGGGGCAGTGAAGGAGGTTGCAGGAAGGAGAAGGATGAGGGAGAATTCCAGGCAGGAAACAGCATGGACGAAATGGGGACAGGTTGAAATTAAGGCTTATTAAGAGCCTAGGAAGCAGCTGCTGGCAAAGGATGGGTTCATGTTGGGTGGGATAGAGGAAGCTATGGGAGAAGCGGTAAGAAGGTGGTTCTGGCCCACCTTGAGATGGGCCCCTGCTGGGATTCTGAAGCCAGGGGGAGCCAGTGCTGGAGGGGAGACATTCACTCAGTACGTGCCAAGCTCTCACCACCCTAGCACTGATGCACAGTGAACAAAACAGATGAAAACCCTGCTTCGTGGCAACTACACTCCAGTGGGACAGACAACAATGAGCAAAGCTAAGAGGACAAAACACGGATCATGTCAGTTACCATCGGAAAGAGAAAGTAGGGAAGGGGAGTAGGTGGTGTCGAGTAAGGCTCACAGAGAGGGTGACAGCTGAGTAAAGACATGGTCAAAGCTGCATGCTCAGGAGTTTGCTTAGGTGATGATATAGTGAATGAATAGGAGACAGGGGAAGCTGGACAACTGGGGCCACACTGAGGGGCTAGGGCAATGGTCGGGTTTGGGGAGCCCTGTCCCCCTGCAGGCTGAGCCCAGTGGCTCCCCAAGCTCACAGTGGCAGGGTGGGTGGGTTCTATTCTTAGACACACTCCCGGAACTGAGCTGTGAGGGTTACTTCTAGCAGGCCTGGAATTCATCTGGGCTGTCTTACTAAAATAAGGGCTGTACCTACACAGTGCTGAGCCCTGGTCAGGTTGAGAAACTTATGGATTAACAGTGTTGTTTTCCGGCCATGGAGCTGCAGGGCAGTTTGTACCAGCTTGATGCATTGTTTATTGATAACAGCGAGATTGATGACTTGCACCTGGTCTCAATGAGGCCCCCAAAGGGCACTTCCATTGGTGTGGTACCCTGACAAGAAATAGGCATATGTGACCAGCAGGATATCAGAAGCCCCGGCCAAGACTGCATTTCGGGTTTCCCGGTTCTGGGGCATTCCGTTCTCATGTCAGTGGTTCTTGATTCAAGAAATTGCAGCCAGGATGCTCTTTCACAGGGAGGACAATCAGAGTTCACGCCCGGCCTCTTCAGACTGCAATGAGGCATTCTGGCAGTGATACAATTCCTGACTGTAATGCTATTGCTGTCTTATATCCTCTTCTTGCAATAAACCATAAATGTGTAAGCACTGTCATTTGGGTCCTGTGCATCTTCTTTATCCATCGAACCCTGTCTAATTGCCACCCTCAGTGCTTTCTCTAGCACTCTTCATGTTTCAACCGCTGGGCAGGGTTTCTCTGCCTTTCTAAATTAGATCTTAGAACCAGGCCACCATTGCAGCCTCTTTTAAATTTGTCTTTCACTTTGTACTCCAGAACCGGTCATTGTTGGTGAGATGGGGCTCACTCAAAATTTGGAAATGTTTCCAAATTCTGTGGGGGAGAAAGTTTTTCTGAATTAAAACTTGTGGTAGTGGAGACTTGAATTTCAAATCAGATTTTCTAACTGAATTGAAGGCTATGCAATCAAGCAAATGAATGACTAATGAAATGATTATAAAGCACTTTGCAGAAATGTTATGTAAATGCAGGCAGAGAATAACAAATGTGATGACAGTCACACTGCCATTGCTTCTGATTTGGGAGAGTGCAGTTCCGAGTCCTCCTGCAGGGACGCCAGGCGTTGGTATTCAAAAACACCTCATTGTCTTGACAGCTCTGAAGCTGGGCCCTTTGGGAAAAGTTGGGTATCCTAACCAGAGGGCTTGGGAGTTGCCTGTAAGCCCAGGTGTACACTGTGTCCTACTCGGCAGGCAATTGAGACGGCTTCAGGCGGGGCTGCTGGGAGAAGTTCTGCAGCATGTCAGGAAATGGTCCCTCCAAGACCCCCCTTCCCCAGCAAAAGTGACCTGCGGTGGCAGTTAGACAGGGCTCAATGGCTAAACAAGACACACAGGACCAAAATGACAGTGCTTACAAGTCTACGGTTTATTGCAAGAAGAGGATATAAGACAGCAATAGCATTACAGTCAGGAATTTTATCACTGCCAGAGTGCCTCACCACAGTCTGAAGGGGCCAGGCATGAACTCCAATTGTCCTCCCTGTGAAAGGGCACCCTGGGTGCAATTTCTTGAATCAAGAACCACCAACATGTGCACTCAATGCCTCGGAACTGGGAAACCCGAGATGCATAGATTTTCAACCTCTTATGAAGCTCAAGAATATCTGCTCACATACCTGCGCAGGGGGGAGCAAGGACTCTGCTACCCATGTCCTAGGTTGGTCCACGTTCATTACAGAAATGGCCGAGGCCCATGGACTACAGGGGCATACAACACTGGGGAACTAGAACTCACTGAGCAGCCAGACAGAAGAGTGGACCAGGCATAGTCGTCCCAGTGGTTTTAACCAGAAAAGGCTTCCAGGGGAGGTAGGGGTCAAGGAGGGCCGGTTAGAGCCCAAGCCAGCTAAGCTTCTTGGAGGGACACTTCTAGGGGATGAAGGAGTGAGAGTGGAAGGTTTCATAGAGAGGGTCAAGCATCGCCCTGCCCACACTGCTTGTTTCAAAGTGCAAAGATCCCATGGCTGGAGTTAAATGCTCCCCATGGTTGGGATGCTGCCTGTCCCTGTTCTTCACAGTTCCAGGCTGGGGATCCACCTCTGCCATGTAAGATGGAATGTGGATCCGCATGGCCAGGTCTGTACACCATCAATCAGATATGAAGCAACTCTGGGGGCTACCCCATCTTACTTCCTTCCACTCTGGAATTATTTGTGCTAGAGGGTACCTTGGAGCAGTAATTTCATATACCAACAATGTCCAATCAAGCACTGTAGAACTGCTGTTCCACAATTAAACTCTGTAGCCATAATTTGTTTATCAATAAAATGTAGGCCAGGTGCGGTGGCTCATGTCTGTAACCCCAGCACTTTGGGAGGCCAAGGCAGACAGGTCACCTGAGGTCAGGAGTTCGAGACCAGCCTGGCTAACATGGTAAAATGCTGTTCCTACTAAAAATACAAAAAATTAGCCAGGCATGGTGGTGCACGCCTGTAATCCCAGCTACTCAGGAGGCTGAGGCAGGAGAATCGCTTGAACCCGGGAGGCGGAGGTTGCAGTGAGCTGAGATTGCGCCACTGCACTCCAGCTTGGGCAACAAGAGTGAAACTCCGTCTCAAAAAAAATGTAAGGCCAGGCATGGTGGCTCATGTCTGTAACCCTAGAACTTTGGGAGGTCCAGGTGGGAGAATCTCTTGAGCCGAGGAGTTCGAAACCAGCCTGGGCAACATAGTGAAACCTTGTCTCCACAAAAAGTTTTTAAAAATTAAGCGAGTATGGTGGCATGTGCCTGTCATCCCAGCTACTCAGGTGGCTGACGTGGGAGGGTCGCTTAAGCCCAGGAGGTCGAGGGTGCAGTAAGCCATGGTGGTGCCACTGTACTCCAGCCTGGGCAACATAGAAAAACCTTGTCTCAAAAAATGAAAAATGAAAAATTTTTTTTTGAGAAGGAGTCCTGCTCTGTTGCCCAGGCTGGAATGCAGTGGCGCAAACTTGGCTCACTGTAAGCTCTGCCTCCCAGGTTCACACCATTCTCCTGCCTCAGCCTCCCGAGTAGCTGGGACTACAGGTGCCCACCACCATGCCCGGCTAATTTTTTGTATTTTTAGTAGAGACGGGGTTTCACCATGTTAGCCAGGATGGTCTCGATCTCCTGACCTTGTGATCTGCCTGCCTCGGCCTCCCAAAGTGCTGGGATTACAGGCGTGAGCCACCAGGCCCAGCCAAAACGTAATTGTAATTAAGTTTACTTTCCAAAGAAGAAAAAACACTCAGAATCCAAACAGGACAGGTGGAATCAAAGGCTTCTTCACAAAGATGCGTGGGGTAATGCGGAACCCCTTTTCTTAAGAAAAGTTTCTGCTCAGAGGGGATCCTGGCCTTGCTGTTGCAGCTGTTATAAATCGTCCATGGGCATGAAAATGGAGATGGTCTTTGGAGGCCCGGGGAGAGATAAGGAGAGTAACAGACGCCACAGAGGCCATGCTTGGCTGTGGGTTGCAGAGATCTCCATCCCGATTGGAATAGTAATTGCTTCATTGGATCATTGCTTCGAAAAATAATGCGGTGGGGGAGCAGAGGCAGCCCGCTGTGAATTCCAAGCAGGAACATACTGAACTGCTCCAGAGAGAGGGAACTCTGCAGCAGGGAGCGCCTGGAGCCAGGAGTCCACTCACCCCAGCAGGAGGACTCTCCAACAAGAATTCGCCACTCCTGACCTGGAATGTGGAGATGGGAATGGCCAGACGGGCCCTGGACCTGGTGAAGGATGTCAGGACACTACAGCGTCACTGCTCCTGGTGGCAGCCACCATCTCTTAACCCCTCAGGGAGAGTTAAGATTCAGGTCAGCACCTAGAGCAGCTACCTCAGAGTACTTAATGCCAATCCCTGGGCAAAGAACTTCTACACTAAATTCCATTCTGTCGTCACCACGCTGGGAGGTGGACATTACTATCCTCATCTGACAGACAAGGAAACTAACACTACAAGGAGATTAAATAGCATGACAAAGTCTCCATCCTGGCTGAACTTTGGATAAGATCTACGTTTGGGATTCTTCTTGGTGATGGATGATGCCTAGACCAGCCCCAGACACCCTCCCAAGCCTAAGCTCCCCTCTCCTGTTCTGACATCCCCATCCCACCAGGAACCCAAGCTTGTGGCCATCGTGCCAGGAGGACTTCTTCCAGGTTTTAGTATAGCCTGAGTGACCTCTAGGAGTCCTTGGACCTGAGCTAACTCCTGTACAATTTTGGCCGGTTGTCTGGTTAATAAATTAACAATTGGTAATGATAACAGCTAGCCAACATTGTTGGTTATATGCCAGCCACTAAGGTAAGCATTATCTTATATGGCCCTCATAATCTCTCTATAAGGTAGAGTTATATAATCCCCATTTTATAGAGGGGGAAACTGAGGATTAAGCACGTGAGTCACCTGTGGGAAGGCAGAGTCTGGAATCCAGGGGGTTCGATTCCAAGGTCCATGCTTTTAACTCCTGTGTTTTTTTGCTCAGTTTCAGAAAACCCAGTTCACAGAAATCTGATACTTTAGAGATAAATTATTCACATAACAAAAGGATCTTTTACCTTGGGGAAGGATTCAGCTGGACTTTGAGCATAACTTCCTTCGTGCATTTAAAATGTGACCTGACTTAGGATTTTTGGTGTCCTGCCCATGACCTGATGAGAAACTATATTTGTCCCCAGGCTTCTTCAGCTGATATCCTTCTTCCCCTACAGGGAAGGAGGTCAAATCTAATCCTAGGCCTGGAAATGCTTGGCCAGGGCCTGGTGGTGCCCAAGCCCCTCTCAGGCTGGGCTTTGGCTTCTTGGGGCCAGGCCTTGGGTATAGAGGCCACTGCCCACACTCAGGCCCAGACAAGCTTGGTGACCTTGCATGGGCCACTCCGTGTCTCTTGCTCTGCCGCATGTAACCCTGGTCATGCTGACTTGCTCTTGCTGGGGCTCCCGGGTGTATCTAATAAATGATGTAAAGCACTTAGAGACATAAGTGCTCAACTACTGGGGCCATAAATTACCAGGGATGGATTCCTGAATGTTATGATTATGTGCTTGTGCTTGTTCTCAGTAATGAATAATTATCCTTTTAGTCCTGCAGCCACATCCAAACATCTTCACCCCACAGGACTAGAGGAGTCACTGACCCTGACTGCTGGGCTCCTCCGATGGTCATGGGCAACAACCAAATGCAAAGCTTGGTCCCTGATGGACACCAGTCTGAAGAACCTTTTCTATAAGGCACGTTTGGGTAAATTTGAACACAGGCAAGGTATTAGATGGTGTCAGGAAACTGTTAACTTTGTTAGGTATAATCATGGCATTATGATTATACAGGAGTTTGGTTTTTTTTTGTTTTTTTTTTTGAGATGGAATCTCACTTTGTTGCCCAGGCCGGAGTGCAGTGGTGCAATCTCAGCTCACTGCAGCCTCCACCTCCTGGGATCAAGCAATTCTCATGCCTCATCCTCCCAAGTAGCTGACATTACAGGCATGCACCACCACACCCAACTAATTTTTGTATATTTAGTAAAGCTGGGGTTTCACCATGTTGGCCAGGCTGGTCTTGAACTCCTGACCTCAAGTAATCCACTCGCCTCGACCTTCCAAAATGCTGGGATTACAGGATACGCCTGGCCAGGAGTATCTTATTTTTTTAGAAGTGCATGTTGAAATAGGGGTAAAATACCTGTCATTTATTTTTAGATACTTTAGGAAAAAAAAGATGAAGCAAATACTGCAAGATATATACATTAGCTTAATCTAGGGATAGGCATATGAGTGCTCACTACATCATTTGCTCTGCTTTTCTATATATGTTTATATGTAATTAAGTTTAAAAACAAAACCAGCAAAGCATGATGATTTCAGAGACGTGCTCTGGCTAAGTTACAATTCCCTCACAAGTAACAGGCAGAGGGAGATGAGCCATTTTCAGAGAAAGTGTATCCCGGCAGGGGCCAGAAGCATGGGGCTCACCCTGGTGCCCAGATCCAGGAGAACAAGCTCCTGGGATCTGTTTCTAGAACTATCCTCCCTTGTCGCACCCCAGCCACCACAAAATTTAAAATCTAATCCAAGACTAGTCACGCTACTTCTGCTCACTTTTCTACTCTTGATATCATAGGACTGTAGTCCCTCCTTCTGGAGGCTATTAATGTAAGCCAGGAAGTAGCTACTAACCATGCATTCATTTATTCATTTGTCATGGTTTTGTTTAGTGTTCCCTATATTCCAGGCCAGGTGAGGAATGAGAAATGGCATTTTAGTTAAGGTCTATTTGTACTACTATAACAAAAACACCTCAATATGTATAAAGACTCAAACACTAATAAATGGTGGTTTATTTCTTGCTTATAAACGAGTTTAAAGCCAAGGTCCCAGGTGGGTGGACAGCTGTTCTCCACTCAGTGATTCCGGGACCCAGGATCTTTCCATCCTGTGACTCTGCCATCTCCTAGGACCTTGTGGTCATCAGCCAGCTGATAAAAGGGAAAGAACTTGGCCTGGAAGCAGCATGTATATCACCTTTGTTCATATTCTATTGTTAAAATCTGGTCTCACACCCATGCTGAGATGCATAGGGATGAGGGTGCAAGAATAGAGGCTGGCTGGAAAATGCAGTTCCTGGATAGACTTTCCATCTACAACTCTTTGCCATGGCCAGAGGAGAATGGATTTTGGTAGGGAGTCAGCCATCTCTGCCACACATGACTTAAGCCCTCTAGAAGTTTACAGACTAGTGACAGAGTCACTGCAGTTTAGAGCAAGGTAATTTGTCCACTAGGGCAGGTAGAAGCAAGTCTAGTAGGACCCCCAACTCTGTGTCTGGCCCTATGCTCAGATGTGCTGCAGGGGAGACCAAGGAACTTCTGGGAACCTGCAGACTTGCTGGGACTCTAATGCATAAAATCAACAGAGACAGCCCAAAGCAGGGGGGTAAACACTGAACAGTGCCTAGAGCAAAGATGAGAGTGTATATTTTTTTGAATAGAGGAACTGTATCTCTGTGTTAACCACTAAGTCCTTAGTGCTCAGCATGGGAACTAACATAGAGCCAAACCTTAAAAGTTCCCTGCCCACTCGAGCTGTCTGGGAAGATGGGACACAGAAGGGGAAAGTGGCAGCCCTGAGTGTTCTGTGGCCTTCCTTAGAAAGAGTATTAGGGGGTGGAGGGTTACTAGATTATAAGGGAACTAGCTTAAATAAAGGCCTGGGGATGGGGGTGAATACATCAAGCACTAGGAACAACAGTGATCTCCCTGGTCAGAAGGTAGCAGGGGTGTTTTGAGGACCAGGGAAGGGACCTGGTCCTTTTCCTTCATGACATATCACCGGTAATTTTATATTTATTTCCATGCCTACTTCTTTAGAATCTCCTCCTGCTCTAGACTGTGCGCATCCTAACGGCAGCAGCCTGCCTGTCCTGTGCGCCACTGTGTTCCCAGAGTCCTCAGCAGGCCCTGGCCCACCTAGGTGCTCACTGAATGAACACACAAGAGAATGAATGTAAGGCCAGCTGGTGGGACAGTGAGCGTCTGCCTGCACAATGAGGCTGCCCAGGGGAGGAAGGTACCCCCTACATGTGTATCTACTCTGCTTGGAGCTTGATTTCGTTTCCAGCCTGACCTTCTTTTGTTTGCTCATTAATTCAATATTTGCTATGTTCCACCAAGGGACCTCAAGAGGCATAAAGGTTTTCCTTCTCCAGTAAAAGCAGCTTGCATTTGTCTTAAATTACCTCAATTACCTCATGGTGAACCCCATCTTTCTGTCCCACACTCTCCCCCACCTCCAAGACCCTCTGAAAGCAGCAACACGCTATGGTTCCCCTCCATGTCTCCAGAGAAAATACGAGGACTTCCCTGACATTGACTGGGGGAAAAGGGTGAGCAAGAAAACCTGGGGTTCCTCCAGGGACTCTGCTGCTGCCAGGTCTCCTTTAGGAGACATTTAGGCCCAGCTGTGAGCTACTCATCTGCTTTCTCATCCCCCAGAAAGCAAATGTTGGAACTTTGATGTATTTGAGAATCATTTTTTTACCTTAATTAGAAAATACACATTTGAACGGCATCAAACATTAATGAGACTTGCAGGGGGGTCGCTTATAAACAAACTTATTACTATGTTTAAGAAAAGCATGACTGAGCCCTCTCCTCAACTGTCTGACTTTGTTGCTCCCAGTCCTTCTGGGCTGGTCAATGAGGAGCGCGCCTGGCAGCCACATTCTGTAAAGCCAGGCTCTGGACAAGCCCCTGCTGATGGCTTTGCTGCTGGGCCAGGGACTTACACGCCTCTTTCCACTCTGACAGTGGACCTTCTTTGTTGTCCATTTATCCTCATATTGATTTTGCTATAAAGCCACACGGCACTCCCTCCCCGGCCAGAAGGAGAAACCTCCATTGATTGTATTGGAATAAGGTTTGTTGTAAAGAAGCGAAACGCCTAAAACATTGAAATGAAGTAAGCTCTTTGAAGGTCCATAAATCACCCAGGATAATGCCGCAAATGAACAGGGTTCCTTAAACACCTGGAAAATACAACCCCATAAAGCAGTTCTGACAAGAAATCACAGCCCCTCTCTCTCTGTAGCTGCCATTTGAAAAACACCATCAATAATGGTTATTGCTGTTTGGTAAGCAAAAGAGGGAAGTTGTGTCAGTCTCCTTGAGAAAGTTCCCTCAAAGTCACTTTGCCCAAATGGCAGCGTGGCGTTTTTCGCGCAGTAAATACATCCCAATTATGAGCATGTCATGTTAGCTTTTACAGTTCACTAATCACGAATTTTTTGTATGTCATTGCCAACCAGCATCTTTCCCTAATCGGAATTTATGGCTCTGTTTGGCAGTGAGTGGAGATAAGGAGGGTCATAGCAGTTTCATTTTTCCAGAGCTGGAGGCCTCAGCCAGGTTTGGGGCCCAAGGTCATGCCCCCTGCCCTCCTCCGGTCTGAAGGTCAGGGTCCTGCGCGCCTCAGGGATGGAGGTTGGGGGCTTCTGTGGAAAGCTCTCCTCTAGATTCCCGGCATCCCTGTGGCCCAGGCCGCAAGGCCGGACTTAGGTCCCCTGTCCTGGCTCATCTCTGTGGACTCACCTTCCCAAAAGTGCTAAATCACTAAGCGAGCAAAAATACTCAGCCAAGCCTGGAGCCAGACCCATCTCCACAGGGGATTCCCCCTGGCTCCTCTGAGCATCTCTCCCCTCGGTCAGACCCGGGCAGCCACCAGGGTGGGTTTGCCTCAAGGCCGCATTCTCATCCCCTCAGGGCTCACCAATCACGCCCTCCAGCAGACGCCCTCACCAAATCAGGTGGTACTCTCTGGGCCGCTCAGCGTCATACTCAGCATTCAGACTCTCCTGGCCTTTCCAGCCACCACAGGCATCTCCCTGGCCTTGCAGTTCGGCCTACAGCCCTGCCCTATGGGGGGCTGCCCACAGCCAGGCAGTTTCAGAACTGGCAGGGGCGTGTGTAGCTGTGATGGCCCCCGCTCCACACCAGCTCCTCGGCATTGCCTTAGAGTTGTCCCCAGGCCCCTCCAGTTATGTGGCCCAGGGTGTGCAGACCAGGGAATAGCGGACACAGTCAAGCACAGGGTGCCCTTCCACCTGGGGCAGGGGGGCTGTCAGGCTGGAGCAGCAACCTCTTGTGGAAAGCAGTCTCACAGACTCCTGGGTGCAGGGCTCCAAGCAGGCCACCCCAAATCTGGGGGCTGTGCCAACTATTCTCTGACCCTGGTTAACACCACCGCACTACAGCACCAGCCAGCAGGACACAGGGCTGCACTGGATGAAGACCTTAGAGGATCCAATGGTAATTTCAAATAAAAACAACAGCAAACCAGTTGTGTCAGCAGTCAACACCATTCTGATTTCCCCCATGGCAATGGCTTTGATGCTTTTTCAGTCAATTTTTTTCTTGGAGCCTGTGTAGGTTTTCCGGGCCTGCCATAGCAAAGCGCAGTAGCTCCCCCTCATTCACAGTTTCACTTTCCAAGGTGTCAGTTACCCACGGTCAACCACAGCCTGAAAATGTTAAATGGAAAATTCCAGAAACAAAAAATTCATAAGTTTTCAGTTGCGCACCATTCTGAGCAGCATGACGAAATCTTACACCGTCCTGCTCCATCCCACCTGGGATGTGAATTATCCCTTTGTCCCAGGTGGGACAGAGCAGGGCAGTGTACATTACTCACCTTTTACTGCATAGGAAAAGGCAGTGGATATAGGATTTGGTACTATGCATGGTTTCAGGCCTCCACTAGGGGTCATGGAACATGCAAATAAGGGGGGACATGCAAATAAGTCCCTGCAAATAAGGGGGAACTACTACGAGCTAGATGGCTTGAAACAACAGAAATTTAGCTCTCACTGTTCTGGAGGCCAGAAGTCCAAAATCAAGGTGTCGCCAGGACGTGCCCCCTCTGAAGGCTCTACAGGCGAACGTTCCTCGTCTCTTCTAGCTCCTGGCAGCTCAGGAGTTCCTTGGCTTGTGGCTGCATCCCACAAATCTCTGCCTCCGTCTTCATCTGCCCTTCTCCTCAGTGTCTGCATCTTCTCCCCTTCTGTTTCTTATAAGGATAATTGTCATTGGCTGTAGGGCTCACCTGGGTAGCCCAGGAGGCTCTTATCAAGATCCTGACTGTAATTACATTCATAGGTTCCAGAAGATGGACATGTCTTCTGAGGGGACCTCGTTCCGCCACCACAAAGCCTGTGCTTTGCTGGTACCTACTCCATGCTTGGTTCAACCATTCAGGTTGATGATTTGTGACTGCCCAAAGGTCATCTCTATTTGTCATGACCACCATCACCAGAGACACTACCTTCAAACAGTGAACAATATGGTGCAGAAGATGTCTCCAAAAAACCCATTCTATAAGAACTAGGTAGGTACGTGCTCTATGCCCAGCCTTTGCAGAGACAAAAGAAAAAAGAAGTAGGGCTTCTTGGAAAAACAGCTGAGTCTGGTTGTACAGCAAGTGAAGTACAGGTGTACCTGGAGTATCCCAGGTCAGAAAGCAAGGGAAAAATCAAAGACCAGGGAGTCATGTCTAAAAGACACATGTGCCAACAGAAAGGGGGTCCCATGGGCCAAACTTGGGACAACTGCCACATCAAAAAGAATAATGATAAGCATGGAGAGTCTAACATATTTAATGAAAAAAATAAATCTCTGAAACCACAGCAATACTCCACAAAAGGAGACCAGGGAAGGAAGAAAGGAGAAAAAAAGAAAAATCTCTTTTTTATCAGAGAACAGCAACCAATAAATGTAGAAGAAATGATCAAATTAGAAAACTGAGTCCATTAGGAATCATGAATAGATGCTAAGCCTACTGGGAGAAAGGATGCTGGGGAACAGGATCTCAGTGCACCACCCACAGATGACTTAACATTTATGAAGAGGAAAATGTGACTTTAGAGTGAAGGGATGTGGTGGTCACCACGCCAGGGTAAGGGTAAGTGTGTGGGTGTCAGAGTTGGAGCCCGGTCTGGAGCTGGGATCCAGGCAGGACAGGTTAGGTGTGGGATGGGGGACTAGTCATGGATCAGAGCTGGGACTCAGATATATTCTGGAACAGAGCCAAGGCCACAGGACCCCGGCAGGGACAACACTCACAGCCTCAAGCCCTACACCACAGCACTGGGCCCCGGCTGGCAGAGCTCTGACTTGGCCACCACCTGGTTTGCTCCTAGTGCTTCTTGCAGGGCTGCAGCATTTCTTTAAAGAGTAACGGGGCTGGGCGAGGGGACTCATGCCCGTAATCCTAGCACTTTGGGAGGCCAAGGTGGGTGGATCACCTGAGGTCAGGAGTTTGAGACCAGCCTGACCAACATGCAGAAACCCCATCTCTACTAAAAAAAACACAAAAAAATTAGCCGGGCCTGGTGGCGCATGCCTGTAATCCCAGCTACTCGGGAGGCTGAGGCAGGAGAATCACTTGAACACAGGAGGCAGAGGCTGCAGTGAGCCGAGATCGCACCACTGCACTCCAGCCTGGGCAACAAGAACGAAATTCCGTCTCAAAAAAAAAAAAGAAAGAAAGAAAAAGAGTAAGGGGCATTTCCCACCAGGCCTAGATACTGGGGCAGCTCATTCAGGGACTAGGAGTATTCATCATCTCTGATCTGCAGGGCAGCGAAATGACTCTTTGCAGTGCAATTTTCCTTAAGAAGGCCCAGGGGCAAGTGTCCTGTTCTGAGCCGGGAGGGAAGCAACTGAGGCACGTGGGGCTGGGATATGTGTAACCCCCACTGCCCAGCCACTGACCATGCCCCCTTCCCTCTAGGGCCCGCAGCACGTCTTCTCCTGGCTCTCCTCCAGGGAAGACCTCACCTCGGCTCCTTCCCTGCTCCATCCTCCCGGTCACAGACTCTCCCCTGCTGGGCATGAAAGCAGCCATCTGTCCTTCTTTGGCCTCTGAAAAGCTCAGGTGCAGGCAGTGTGAGGTCTGTGTCAAGAGTGACACAGGAGGTACAAATGCAGGTAGTCGGCTGTAGTCAGGTACTGTTTTTTCTGCCTCTTTTAACATTGTCTCAGGGCTTGTGACCAGCTCTGCTTCTTTCAGCCCTGGGGGCATACAGAGCTCTAGCTTTTAATAATTATCCTGAATCCACCCAGCCTCAGACAAAGGGAGCCGCTGCTATGATAAATGGGTCTGGATGGTGATCATTTGTGACTTGTATTAATATTTACAACAATAACATTTTTCATGGGTAGAATTTTTTTGTCACTGCAGGAAATGAAATGCAAATTAACAACTGTAAAGATTATAACATAATGAAATAGGACATAAATGATAAAGAACTAATGAATTAAGTGGCTTCAAAGCATGGAGGGAAAATGTCCTTCAAAAGCAAACATGTATATACAGCAGGAGATTAATAATATGGGGAGAGGCCTCGGGAGCTCAGGTCTGGATTTTCCCCTTCCCAGGCGCTGACCTCTCCCACCTCCTTTTCTGACTCTGGCTTTACCACTGTCCACCCAGTTGCTTCAGCCAAAAAAACCTCAACACTCCATTCTCCCCGCAAGCCCCTCAGATCAATGTCTTCCCTCTTGAAGATTTCTGTTTCTCTTGAACCCATCATGCTGCCTATTCCTGAGTTCAGGAGCTCATTCTAATATCTGCCCTCCAGCCCACCTTTCAGGAGAGCCTCAGCCCCTTCAGTTCATCCCCATCACAGCTCTTGGGGTGGAAGGTACAGGCATGGTCCTGTCATTTCCACCCCCCACCTTTTTATTTATTTACTTATTTTTTGAGACAGGGTCTTGCTCTGTCACCCAGGCTGGAGTACAGTGGCACGATCTCAGCTCACTGCAACCTCTACCTCCCAGGCTCAAGTGATCCTCCCACCTCAGCCTCCTGAGTATCTGGGACTACAGGCGCACACTACCACGCTGGGCTAATTTTTGTATTTTTTGTAGAGACAGGGTTTCACTATGTTCCCCAGGCTGGTCTTGAACTCCTGGGCTTAAGTGATCCACCCACCTTAGCCTCCCAAAGTGCTGAGATTACAGGCGTGAACCACCACCCCTGGCCCCCACTCTTTTAAATAAATAAGGAAAATAACAAACCATCAAAAAAAAACAAAATGTTAAATTAAGTTTAGCCTAAAGTTGCCTCCTAACATATTTTAAGTTTGGTCTAAAGATTTCTCCATACATAGTAAACTATTCTCTAACTAAATATATAAACAGACTATAGCCTATCTTATAACAAGTAGCCAGGTGTGAGCCAATCACAACAGCCACATGTCAACCACTCACAAATGGCCAATTGGCAAACCATGTTCAAATAAGGCACATGCAGGGCCAGGTGTGGTGGCTCATGCCTGTAATCCCAGCACTTTGGGACGCCCAGGTGGTCAGATCACCTGAGATCAGGAGTTCAAGACCAGCCTGGGCAACATGGTGAAACACCATCTCTACTAAAAATACAAAAAGTAGCCGGGCATGTTGACAGGTGCCTGTAATCCCAGCTACTTGGGAGGCTGAGGAGAATCACTTGAACCTGGAAAGTGGAGGTTGCAGTGAGCCGAGATCGCGCCACTGCACTCCAGCTTGGGCAACAGAGGGAAACTCCATCTGAAAAAAAAAAAAAAAACAACAACAAAAAACACAAATAACAAATAAGGCACATGCAGAGCTGTAACCAATCCAGCTGTTTCTGTACCTCCCTTTTCCAGTCACCTCTGTTTTCTTTACCTCACTTTCCTTTTTCTGTCTGTAAATTCTCTCCAACTACAGGACAGCGCCAAAGTCTCTCTAAGCCTACTCTAGTGCCAGACGCTGCCTGAATCACAAATTATTATTTGCTCAATTAAACTCTGATACATTTATCTAAAATGTTTCTTTTAAAACAAAAAAAATCCTCACCAGGGATTCTCCATTGTTTTCTCCTCCATCCCTCTTTGCACAACCTCAGATAAAGGCGACTGTTGTATGATGTCCCTATGGAAAGAGGAGTCAGTGCCACAGAGAACAGGTGTTCAGCTGGAGGGCACAGCCTCAAAATGATGGTGGGGGAGGTTCTCCCCGTGTGGATGTGGGTACATTGATGCTTTGGTCAGAACTGTTTGAGTTGCAAATGACAGACACCCAGCTCAAGCTGATTTGAGCAAAACTAGGAAATTATTGGCTGATGAAACTAAAAGACAGGGACTTGGGGCATGGTTGAATGTGGAGCTGAAATGGCCTGGGACTCTGCCTCCCTCTGTGTCTTGCATCTGGCAATTCTGATCTGGTGCCAGCTGCTTACTTGGACTGGGAAAATGGCTACCAACAGCTCCAGACTCATTCCTCTCCCCAGCTAAGCACGGTAAGACAGAAGAGAGCTTGCTTCCTGTGCTCTGTGACTCTAAGTACCCTGGCTGTGCTCTGATCAGACCAACATGGGTCCTGTGCCTGCACCATGGGCAACACAGTGGCCAGGGGTGAGAAGAAGCCAGGAGGTTCAGCCGCCAGCATGAAAACCCTCCTGGCTTTCCTCCCACCTCCCTGGCGGCTTCTTTCCAGAATCTTTGTGGATTCCACCTGGCCTGTGCCACTGCTTATCACTGGATGTCTGAGGATGCAAGCTTCAGGCTTCCTCTGCGTTTCACCAGCAATCATCAGCTTGCAACACTGCAGCTTCCTGACTTCAAATGTCCTTCATGTGCTCCCCAATTTTGTATCACCAGCCCCAACCCACCCTGAGCTGGAGGCTCACTTGACAGCCTCGCTTGCATTTCTAAGGGACATGACAAACCTCACGTTTCCAAGGGGGAAATCCTGTCTTTAGCTGCAAGGCTGTTCTTCGTACATTCATCTGCCTCTCGATCAGTGGAAATGCATCCTCCCATTTGCTGATGCTGAAAGCCTCCTCACTGCCTCCCTCTCTCTCACTCCATATTCAAGTGGTCAGCAAACATTTCAAAATACATACCGTGTCGGACTCCTTCTGCCCCCTTTACCGTTTCTCACCTGGATTCTGCTGTACCAGCCTCCAACAGGGCCCCCTCCCCGCAGGCTGTTCATCACAACACAGAGTGCTCTTGTCAAAATGTGGGTGAGACGGTGGCATTTCTCTGCCCCATACCCCTCAATGGCCTCCCATCACCCTCTGAGCACCAGCCAAAGGCCCTACCTCAGCCCCCACCTCCAAATCCTCTCCTCTCTGCTCTAGTCACAGCAGCTTCTTGCTGCTCTTCAAACCCACCCACCAGTGCTTCTGCCTCAGGGACTCTGCCCTCTCCATTCCCTCTGCCGAGTTCCTCTCTCCCCTCCTTCAAGTACTTCCTCAGGTGCCACCTCCTCAGTTCTCCCCACTTCCATTCCGCCCACGTACACCCTGTCCCCTCCTCACTGTATTGTCCTCCCAACCATTCCAACTTTCTAATGCAGTGGATATTTGATTTTTATTGTCTTTCTTCCTCCACCAACATGTAAAGTCCACAGCATGGGATTTTTGCCTGTTTTATTCACTGCTATTTCCCAGGCACTTGGACAGCACCTGCCATGTAGAAGGTGCTCAATAGGCGTTTACTGGCTTGGCCAGGCCTAGGTCTAATGCACTCCCGAAGGTGGGTTGGTATAGGTAGAGGGCCCCCAAACCATACAGCCTGAAAGGGATGGAGGGGAGGGTCCCCAAGGCAGGGCCTGCTCTGAACCATGTGGCAGAGTAGGACTCCATCTCCAGGGTGGACTGCCCCCATCCCCACCCTCAGGGGCCCCTCCCCAGCCTGGCCTTCCTTGGAATTCTCCGACCCTGACCCACTGGTACTGAGCAAGGGGTTTGGAATTTGGAGCTGCAGGACCAGACTGTGTGACCTGGAGCCGATGAACCTCCGCTTCCTGCAAGCTGAACTCTCACATTGTCTTAGTCAGCTCAGGCTGCTGTAAAAAAACACCACAGCCTGGGGGCTTAAACAACAGACGCTTGTTTCTCCCAGCTGTGGAGGCTGGGACTCCGAGGAGGCTGCCAGCATGGCCAAGTTCTGAGGAGGCCCTCTTCCTGGTTTGCAGGCTGCTGCCTTCTTGCTGGGTCCTCACATGGCGGAGAGAGGAAGCTCTGGTGTCTCTTCCTCTCCTTACAAGGGCGCTAATCCCATCAGGAGGGCCCCACTCACATGCCCTCCCCTCAACCCTCATCACCTCCCACAGGCTCCACTTCCTAATGCCTTGGCATTGGCGGTTAGCCTCTAACAGATGACTCTGGTGAGGACACAGGCATTTACTCGGTAACTCCCGTCCTGAAGAAAAACTCTGAAGGGAGGTGAAAGTGCTCTGTAAACGCTGAGTCCACGCTCCTGTAGGGTGTATCTGGATGGAAAAAGGTGCACTCGTGCCTAACTCCTCTCTTGATGTGCCGCACATGGCTCCTCTGTGCCTCCGTTACAGTCTGTGGCCCCAGGCCTCCCCACCACTGTTCCTGGCACAGCAGGGTCCCACCCTCTGGCCAAGCGCTCCACAGCACAGCCCGCAGCCCGGCGAGGGACAGCCCCACTCTGGACATAGGCTAAGAGATGGAGAGACGTTGCTGCAGTGTTGAAGCAGATGCTCCTGTGGCCCAGGAAGGCTCACCCGGGTCATAAATCCCAGCCCAATGGTGTCCCCTACCCTCAGAGGCTAGAGAAGTCCTGCCTGAGGAGCCTCGGAGCCACGTGGGTGGGTGCTGGCTGGGCAGATTGTCCCCCAGTGCCTGCTCACAAGGCAGCCTGAGCAGATGAGCCCTTACAAACACTGATTCCATTTCCATACAAATGTCTGTGGTTGTAGCAAATACACGATGGGGAGACAGCAATGTGACATAACAGCCAAGTCAGTTCTGTAGAAGATGCTTCCTGGTGTTTGGGGGGCTTCAGAGAGCTGTGTTAGCCACCTGTCAGGAATAGTGAGGGAACCAGATGGAGCTCTTTGGAGAGGCATCAAACAAGTTTGAGATAAATCTGCCTGGAAGGGGTAATGTAATCAGGCTCAGGGAGCTGCGGGTCGGGGTAGGCAGCGCTGTTCAGGAGAAGCAAATAATTAACCACAGACTGTTCCACTCAGCTCCAGGAGGGCAGCTGCCAGCTATGGGAGTTGGCTCCTTCCCCCAGAACGCCCATCCTGCTAGCGACACCCCAGGCACCCACCCCTCTAGAGCCCAGCCATCCTTCCCAAGAGGACCAGCCAGCACAAGAGCCCAGGAGGGTTTTGTTGCCAGGCCTGAGTCTTTAGCAGTGAGGTTTCAGCCCTAGGCCCTTCTCCCCTCCATGCCATCGTCTGAAAATGGTGAATGAGGGTCTTCCTTGTAAGGAAGATACCAAGGAATTGGATGGCATCCAAATTTCCCACTGCAGGATGTTTACTACTAGAAAGGAAAGAAGGAGGGAGAAAGGGAGGGAAGGGGGCGGCCTCCTAAAGTTCAAAACCAGAGGAAAACACAGGACTCGATGAAGTTAAATGGGCCCCCTTCCTGTAGGACTTAGAGATCCTGATAGATGTGTGTGGATCTATCAGGATCCTGATAGATCCTTCCCCTACATCCTCTGTGGGAGGAACAAAAGTTTGCAGATTTTTCACAAAGGATCTTGAGGACCTAGAGTCTTAGGATACATTTTGGAAAATGCTGGATCAGCCGGTTTTCTTTTTCAATGCCATGATTCAAATATAAATTAATAAATACCACTTTTACAGTCCACACTGATCCAGGGCATGGGACATGGACTCCAGGCAGGACAGCAGGGTTCCTGGCCCAGTGCTGTGTCACTATGAGCAAGTTATTTCACTCCACGCAGGCTCCGTTTCCCATCAGTGACACGGTGATCATAACGCCGACTCCAGCACTTTATACCTGTAAAGGTATTCTGGAGAAATTACAGGCACAGGCACTGTGAATATGTGGTTTGGATTCTTCTTCACTTTCAAGGAAAAAAGTGTGTGCCCTCCCTCTCTGTCTCCTTCCACGTGGATTTGAGATTACAGTCAGCACGTGTCTCCGCAAAGCAGCAATCTTTTTCAGATTAATTGATTCGATAAATATTTTCTGAGCACCCACTATGCGCCAAGCACATTCTACGCACTGAGGACACAGCAGTGAACAAAAGGAACAAAATCCCTGTCCTCCTGGGGCTGTGAGCAGACATAATAAACAACCATTTGCATAAAAAATGGACATCGGGGGCCAGGCGTGGTGGCTCATGCTTGTAATCCCAGCACCTTGAGAGGCCGAGGTGGGTGGATCACCTGAGGTCAGGAGTTCAAGACCAGCCTGTCCAACATAGTGAAACCTCATCTCTACTAAAAATACAAAAAATTAGCTGGGCATGGTGGCACGTGCCTGTAATCCCAGCGACTCGGGAGGCTGAGGTGGGAAAAGCTTGAACCCAGGAGGCAGAGTTGCAGTGAGCTGAGATCATGCCACTGCACTCCAGCCTGGGTGACAGAGTGAGACCCTGTCTCAAAAAAAAAAAGGGGGAGGGGGCGGGAATCAACAGCAATAAGATCTGAGCCCTGAAGGGGACTGAAGGATTTTTAAATAATGACAAATAAGAGAAAGGAGGGGAGGATTCAGGCTTCCACTCTGAACCGGGTCACTCAGGTTGCTGTCTGGCTTTGGGGAAGGGGAAGTTCAGCTCCCCGCAAATAAGCTTTTACCCTTGCTCCGGCCTATGCTGGATGAGGCTTTGATGGTGGCAGCTGTGGGTCCCCATGGACCCAGCCGGGTTTCTTCTCCATCAATACAGATGCTGGGGCGCTCCTCCCTCAGCCAGCTGCTCCCTATCTCCAAATTCACTTTGTGAATGAGAGAAAAAGGAAAGAATGTGAGAATCAGGTACTTTCCCCATTCAACTCTGACTCTCTGATTAACTATTTTTATCTTCCAGTTAAAATAGAGAAATAGGGGGTGGTAGAGAGTGATATAGAGTCCCTTGTGCTGATAAACAGACTTAAAATTCTAGTCAGAAACTTTTTAAGATGATTTAAAGGAAATCACTTTCTACTTTCTGGCTTGGACGTACAAAGTCCAATCTCAGTTTTGATCCCATAACACACAGAAACTTCTCAGCCAGACCAGTCCTCACACAGAGGATATGCACTGTCGGGCCCACACAGGCCCCAGAGCCTGACCAAACTGGGGAGGCCCCAGGGACAGACCATTGAGAAGGCCAAGATCACAGACTTAAGGGCCAAGCTTCGAATATGTTTCCTTCTACTTGGACTTTTGGATTGAAAATCCTGTCCTAACCCTTCCTTCCTCTTTTGAGGACATCGTTCCAGCCTCTAGGAATGGAATCTAGTGCCTCCGGGTGGGCCAAGCCCTCCAATTCACCCCCTATATTAGTGTTCATAACCTGGGTGGCTTTAAACAAAAGAAAGGTATTCTCTCAGTTCTGGAGGCCAAGTCCAAAATCACAGTATCTGCAGAACCATGTTCCCTCTGAAGGCTCCAGGTAGAATCAATTCCCTGCGTCTCCTCGCTTCTGGATCTCACCAATCTCCACCTCCATTGTCACATGGCCTTCTTATAAGGACACCAGCCGTTGATTTAGGGCCCACCCTAATCCAGTGTTACCTTATTTTAACAAACCTCATCTGTAAAGACCCTATTTTCAAATAAAGTCACATTCTGAAATAATGGGGCTAAGACTGTAACATGTCTTTTGGATGGCACAGGTCAACCCACGACAGTCCCCATACTGCCTCCAGTATGGGTACACATTCTCCAGCATCATCACAGTCTTACTCTGCTTTTTCCTCATCAGCACCTTAGACTTTGGCTGGAAGAACATTCTGGAAAGACAGGCTCAGGAGCTTTGCAGGCTCCTGGAACTGGGAAGAGTCCAGCGTATGTGGCAACTGGGCATTTGCATGTGTCACCCACAGTCTGGATCTCTCTCCTCAGCACATCCGTGGGTCCCCACTCCGCTGAGAGACCGTGGGAGGCGTTCTGGAAGCACTACACGGTGCCTCCTCTCTTCTGAGGTAGCTCAGGCAGGGCCTTGGGCCTGTAAAGCTCTGCTGGCCACATTGGCCTCCTTACCAAGAGAAATGTTTCCAGTGGCTCTGAGCCCAGCAGTGAGTCACAGCAGGGTCCCCCACCAGCAAATGTGCTGTTCCAGCTCCAATGACATTTTGAAGCTCCCTTCTCAAAGTTTCAGATGTGGTGGATGGAGGTGGACAGGAGCTTTGAGCCAAGCGAATGCAGAGGAAGTGTCAGGCTCAACAGTCCTGAATTGGAAGTGTTCAGACACCCACCCGGAAGATGGGGTGTGGAAAACCCAAGCAGCAGAGAAAGTGAAAACGCGAACGGGCATGTGGGAGTCAGCTAGTGACGATATGATTTACGTTTGTGTCAGAGCCGCCGTCCCTGCACTGCGGTGGGTGGTTTGCTTTTGTTTGTTTTAAGTTCCAGCATTGCCACTGACTATGGGATCTTGGGCAAGTAGTTAGCCTCTATCTGTGCCTCAGTTCCCTTGTCTGTCAACCAGGGGCAGAAATACTGTCACCTTAAAGGGTTGTGGGGAAGACTTGAACCCTTCAGGCAGGTAATTCAGGCAGGTAAAGAGAAGGTTAGCTCTAATCTGGCGCACACTACACCCTCGCTAAAGGGACAAGAGCTCTGAAAATGGGTGTTTGTGTCTAACTTTGGAGCTCTGGGTTGGGACACCTCCTTATACCCAAGCTGGGTCTTTGCACAGTGACTCGTGACAAATCACGTTATCAGAGACATACATAAAGACCAATATGCAAGGACGTTTCCAGCAGCATTACTAATAATAGCAAAAAAAAAAAAAAAAAAAAAAAACTGGAAACAACCCAAATAGCCCAAAAAAGGGGAAATGTATGATAGCAGATCCATGCAGGAGAATATTGTGCAGCTATTAAACAAAAGGCAGCAAACAGAACTCTCTCTACAGTGGAACCCTCATCCTGTAAACTGCATATATTCATCACTAAACAGGCAAAATCATGACTGGAGGGAAAGAGACCCGAATGGCAATAGTGCTTCCTCCTGGGTGGTGGGGTTCTGGGTAAGTCTGGTCGTCTTTGCATTCTTCCATATTTTCTAAATTTTCTAAGACGAATTGCTTTTATAGTTAGGGGGAAAAATGAGTAGGTGGTGTTTCATGAGCCACTTTCCAAGGCTGATGAGAAAGCCAGCATTGGTCAGGTTTTAGTGAGGCCTCTTTCCCTCCCTAGGGTCATGCAATATTCTTGGGGGTCCTGTACACAGCAGAACATTCAGGGAAGAGTCTCACATCACCCCTGATGTGACAGCAAGGGTGGGCCTCTGCCAGATACCCCCCTGAGGTCCTGCCAGGTCTTAGCAAGTGCCTAGGCCAGGTGTACCATTCTCTATTGCTTGCGAAACCTGCACACTGAACCACCAGCCCCTTCCCAACTTTAGGAAAAGTGTCCCAAATCTTGCAGTGAGACCAAAACAGATTCATATCCAAATACACTGTCCCCTCACTGGGGTCAGAAAAGTGTGACAAGGACAATGGACCACTGACCACTGCAGGAAGAAGCTCCAGCACCTACAGAATCAGGAAGCGTTGTGGAAAGGCCGAGGGAACCACAGCGTGAGGGCCAGGAAAGCAAGGGTGGGGTCCTGTGCAGCCCCTGAGTCTGGCACTGGGCTCAGAGGAGTAGCGAAGCCCAAGTGGAAGGAGGATACAGAGACTGCTGCGGTTAAGGGCACACTGGAGGGTTTGACCTGTCAGTCTGCAAAGATGGAGACAATGACTCCAAAGGAAACCATGGAGATCTGGAATGTGTGGCCCTGGGCCACATCTCCATCTTTCTTTCTTTTTTTTTTTTTTTTTTTTTTTTTTGCAGAGTCTTGCTCTGTCACCCAGGCTGGAGTGCAGTGGCGCGATCTCGGCTCACTGCAGCCTCCGCCTCCCGGGTTCAAGTAGTTCTTCTGCCTCAGCTTCCTGAGTAGCTGGAATTACAGGCATGCGCCACCACACCCTGCTAATTTTTTGCACTTTTAGTAGAGATGGGGTTTCACCATGTTGGCCAGGCTGGTCTCAAACTCCTGACCTCAAGAGATCCGCCCACCTCCGCCTCCCAAAGTGCTGGGATTACAGGCATGAGCCACCGTGCCCAGCCTGTCTCCATCTTTCTGATGACTCCCCAAGTCCATCCATGAGCCCAGATCTAGGGTTTCGAGGGGAGAAGGGGGACGGAAGATACTCTAGGGCTTCCCACATCCCAGGACCCTGATCCTGCACCTGTCAAGGTCAGTTTGCCCTCTTGGTGGCTGGACCTTGAGACTACTGGCCTGAAGACATTCAGTGTATCTTCATTCAATTCAACGTATTTCTTCTCCATCAGATCAGAAAAATGGAATGGTCCTCTACCAGGAATAAGTTTGATTTGGTTTAAGCACAGCAGGGGCAAGAATGTGCCAGAGAGCTTTAACGTGTCTTCCTGGGCGACCTCCTGGGGCCCTCGCAGTCCCCAACAGCCTCTCCCGAGCTCTCACTGAGCCCTTGACCATGCCGCCATCTGCTCCAGCTCCAGCCTTCTTCCTCTGCCCTGCACTTGAAGCAGGAGCTCTAAGCCCATTAGCTCATTTGTGCTATAAGGCCTAAAATGAAGGCCTACTATGTGCCACCGTGACAACTGGTAAAATTGGGAGGGCCTCGGATGGTCTAACCACAAGTTCCCCCTCCACCTCTGTTCCTGTGGATAAGGTCCTCTGGCCAGACAACCTCCTTATCCGGGAGACCAGATGCAGTTCCTGCTTCTCTCTGAGTTTCAGTTCCCTGCCAGCCCTCAGAACTATTCAGCCAAGTCAACCACGTCCTCCCATGGGCAGCAGGGGCACCTCGCCCTCTTGGTACTACAAAGCCTGCTTCCACAGCCCCAGGTGGTTCACATTGCTCCTGAGTGTGACTCCCCTGTGGCTGGTGTGGAGTGCTGAGTCCTCCCTGGGGCTGTGAGCATATATGACTGATAAACTGCTGTCAACATATCTGTCCAGTGCTGGGTGTCAAGTGTTCACGCATCCCGTAACCATAGGGTGACATCCTCCCGCACTAATGGGGTGAAAAAGAATTGATTAAAGCACCTTAAGTTCTCCCAGTGGTGGGGAGGCTTGGTGGCTGGCCAGGGCTTGCAGAGCCAGTGAGGTAAGACATCCAGCAATGTGTACAAGTGGGAACTGGGCCTAGGGCTCCCTCAGCCTGAGGCTCTATTCCCGAGAAAGGCTTTCCCCATGGGGCTGCCCCAGGCCCAGAGGTCTGGACCACATCCACTTACTTTATCAGGCCTCTTATAGATTAAAAACCAAAGACATACCAAGATGCGGATATAAATCCTGTGGCAGGTTTTAAATGCTTACATTTAACAAATAACTGCTCCTAACATTAAAACCTCACTTGGAACCATCCCCAACATCTAAATATAAAGAGGCAATTGTGAATGTGAGGCTTAGGCCAGGAGGCTCCCTGCCCCCGGCCACCAGGCTGAGCCCCGTGTCTGGAGGGGCAGCATGTGGGCCACACTGCCTGCACCAGGCCTGCCCAACGACCATGCGGCCAGGGCTCCCCTCCCTCCTCACCCCTTCCTTCATTCCTCTTCTTTCCCTGCTCCTCCCTCCTCCTTCTCTATCCACTTCCCTTCCTCCTCCTCATCCCCACTTTCTCCTCCCACCCATCTTTCTCTCTCCCTGTACCCTCCTCCACTGCCTCTCCCCTCCGCTCCCACCCCCGCTCACACATCTGAGCCCTGAAAGCCTGTGGGGACCTTGTGGTCCCAGGTGGGCCCAACTGCTCACTGCTGCCTAACCCTCTCCCTCCCACCTGGGACCTGCTGGGTTGTGGCTTGTCCTAGGGGCGCCAACCTTCCAGATCTGCATGACCAGGTCTTCACTTTAACGCTGCTGGTGTGGTCAGCAAAGCCTGGACTCGTCAGGAAGGGCTTCATGATGCAGGAACTGCGGCGAGTCCTGTACCTTCGCTGTGGCCTCACCTCTGTGTCTCCTGACATCCTGACACAGCCTGGAGCTTTGCCTCCCCACCTGACACTCCCGACACCCTAACAGACCACACTGCCCAGTTGCCCTTGCCCACGAAGGCCTCACCTCTCCACAACCTGCCTTGTAGAGTGTAAGGTGGCCTCTCTGTCCCCTGTGGCCCACTCCGGGTGACTGACACGATGGCACCAACCAGGATCCTGCAGGGCAGGCACCGCCTCTCCTGCCATCCCACTCCTGCCTGGCTAAAGATCACAGCCCAGTGCTCCCAGCTGTATGTCCTCAGGACACCCTGGCGCAAGGTCTGGCTGGCCCTTCCACTTCCTTCAGCTGGACTGAGTTGTGGAGCTTGCCAGATGTTTCCAGAGAGGTGAAGGGAGGTCTCAGCTGTTGGAGTATGGGTGCTTCTAGTTTTAAAGAGGTGTGGGCTCTGCTAAAGTTTCCGTCTTTCATTCAGTCACACTCCCTGCACACCCACGGTGTGCCAGGCCCCATGCTAAGTGCTAGGGATACAGGGAGCAACAGCCAGACAGTGCCCTGTCCTCAGAGCTTTCAATGATGGCAGGCATTCAGCCAGCAATGACAATGATACTCAACAATGAGTATATAATAACTATTAGAATTTGAGGGACACAGGAGTGTACACCAGGGGCTCTGATTTCATCCAAGCCAGGGATGGAATGATAGGGGAAAGCCCATCTGCACAATTTTGGTTGGGATTTGAGGGGCAGATAGAAGAAGCTGGTCAAAAGAGTAAGAAAAGGAGGTCCTGTGGGGTCCTGGCAGGCAAGGGACCCCACAGGGAACCTGGGTTTCATGCATATGAAGTCATGGAAGAAGGCTCCTGTGGCCACAATGTGGTGAGTGGGGGCGGCCAGCAGGCTGAAGTCAGATCCCCCAGGCCTGGGATGCAGACCACTACTTAAGGCTGAATTGCTTCAGGTGGAATCCTGGTGCAGGGTCCCAGGCCTGACCCCAGAGGCTGGCTCCTCCCCAAACTGCCCCCAGCCATGTGCTCTGTTCTTTCATGGTCTCAGAGAAGAAGCTGGTCAGGACAGAGGACCCTGAGGAAGGGCTCTCTGTTTAGACAGCTCCTATCCCACTCCTTCAGGCCAGTCCTGGTCATGCTCAGGACATGGACCAGGAGCAAAGCGCCATGCTCTGCCCCTCCCTGCATGTGCCAGCCCCACTGGTCACACCCCGATGGCCCTTACATACTTACAGCTGTGCCACTGGGTAATTTAGCTCCCAGGGGTATTATATTTAAGGTTTTGTCAACAGGCTATTTATAAAATGCCTCTCAGGCGTGGAGAGGAAGCTCAGAGGGAGTAGGGGATGGGCACACTGCTCCTCCAGAATTATAGAGCTGCTAGAGAACCAGCTAGGACTGCAGAGGCAACAGGAATGTGTATGGTCATCAAGGTGGCTGTGGTCCGAGGACACATGCCCACCATCCTGGCAGCAGGGTGGCAGGTGTATGTGCTGAGACTGGCCTGCACTCAGGCTGTTCTCTGCACTGGCCACCTCAGGCCCCTCGCCCTCCCCATCTTCAGTTGTTCAGATCCCACCATTCTTCAACATTCAGCCAGGATGACCCCTCCTCCCCAAACCCCCACTGATTCTGTGGCTCCTCCTCCAGTACTGTGGCTCCTCCCCTGGTTCTGGGCTCCTCCCCCGGTTCTGTGGCTCCTCCTCTGGTTCTGTGGCTCCTCCTCTGGTTCTGTGGCTCCCCTCCCGGGTTCTGTGGCCCCTGCTCCGGTTCTGTGGCCCCCTCATCAGGTTCTGTGGCCCCTCGTCCAGTTCTGTGGCTCCTCCTCTGGTTCTGTGACTCCTCCTCTGGTTCTGTGGCTCCTCCTCTCGTTCTGTGGCTCCTCCCCTGGTTCTGTGGCTCCTCCTTCGGTTCAGTGTCTCTTCATCCGGTTCTGTGACTCCTCCTCTGGTTCTGTGGCTCCTCCTCCAGTTCTGTGGCTCCTCCTCTGGTTCTGTGACTCCTCCTCTGGTTCTGTGGCTCCTCCTCTTGTTCTGTGGCTCCTCCTCCAGTTCTGTGGCTCCTCCTCCAGTTCTGTGGCTCCTCCTTCAGTTCAGTGGCTCTTCATCCGGTTCTGTGTCTCCTCCTCTGGTTCTGTGGCTCCTCCTCCAGTTCTGTGCCTCCTCCTCTGGTTCTGTGGCTCCTCCCCTGGTTCTGTGGCTCCTCCTCTGGTTCTGTGGCTCCTCCCCTGGTTCTGTGGCTCCTCCTCTGGTTCTGTGGCTCCTCCCCTGGTTCTGTGGCTCCTCCTTCGGTTCAGTGGCTCTTTGTCCGGTTCTGTGTCTCCTCCTCCGGTTCTGTGGCTCCTCCTCCAGTTCTGTGACTCCTCCTCTGGTTCTGTGGCTCCTCCTCCAGTTCTGTGGCTCCTCTTCTGGTTCTGTGGCTCCTCCTCTGGTTCTGTGACTCCTCCTCTGGTTCTGTGGCTCCTCCTCTCGTTCTGTGGCTCCTCCCCTGGTTCTGTGGCTCCTCCTTCGGTTCAGTGGCTCTTCGTCCGGTTCTGTGGCCCCTCCTCTGGTTCTGTGGCCCCTCCTCTGGTTCTGTGGCCCCTCCTCCGGTTCTGTGGCCCCTCCTCTGGTTCTGTGTCTCCTCCTCCAGTTCTGTGGCCCCTCCTCCGGTTCTGTGGCTCCTCATGACCTTGCTGTTATCACAGCTCTACAGCTGGCTCCCACCATGGTTTAGAGAAAGGCCTCAGCTCCACGAGGCAAACAGGCAAGAGCTTTTTTTTGTTTTTTTCCTCTCCCTGAAAATCCCATAATTTGGGGTCACTTTTGGCTCTAAGGATGATGTTATCTTCAGGTATTAAAGAGTCTTATCTAGTCCAGCTAAAATCAAAACTTTATACAGCACTGTGAATATATTATCCTACTGAGCTATACACTTAAAAAAATGATCAGTAGGGTAAATTTTTATCTGTATTTTACCACAATTTAAATTTTTAAAAATCTAAAAACACTTTACTCTCACAAGCAATCTTAGCCTTTTGTCTCCCTCACTCAAGCCTGCACCTCAGCTCAGGGACTGGCAAGGGGGGCCAGTGGGGGTACATTGTTTAATGACATGAGATGAGTGGCTGTACTAGTCAGAGTCCTCCAGAGAAACAGAACCAATAGCAGCCATATATACACATAAAGAGTTTGTGAACATGGCTACTGAGAGATGGCAGACAGATTGAGAGAGAGAGAGACTTCTAAGGAATTGGCTCACATGATTATGGGGTCCGGCAAATCCAAAATCTGTAGAGCTGATGTCCTAGTTTAAGCCCAAAGGCCAGAAGTCGCTGTGGAACCAGGAAAAGCCTATGTTCCAGTTCACAGGCCATCAGGCAGAAGAATTCTTAATTGGGGGAGGGTCAGCGTTTTTGTTTTATTCAGGCCTTCAACTAATTGGATAAGGCCCAACCACGTTAAAAAAGATAACCTGCTTTACTCTGTCTACTACTTAAATGTTATTCTCAGCAAGGTGTGGTGGCACATGCCTGTAATCCCAGCATTTTGGGAGTCTGAGGCAGGTGGATCACTTGAGTCCAGGAGTTCAAGACCAGCTTGGGCAACATGATGAAACTTACATCTCTGCAAAAAATACAAAAATTAGCCAGGCATGGTGGCACGTACCTGTAGTCCCAGCTACTCAGAGGCTGAGGTGGGAGGATCACTTGAGCCTGGGAGGCAGAGGTTGCAGTCAGCTGAGATCGCACCACTGCACTCCAGCCTGGAGGCTGGGCAATGGAGCGAGATCCTATCTCAAAAAGAACAAGGCCAGTCTGGGTAACACAGCAAGACCTCATCTCTAGAAAAATAAAAATAAAAACTTTGTTTGATGTGGTGATGCACATCTGTAGTCCTAGCTGTTTGGGAAGCTGAGGAAGGAGGATCACCTGAGCCCAGGAGTTTCAGGCTGCAGTGAGCTGTGATCATGCCACTGCACTCCAACCTGGGTGACAAAGCAAGACTCTGACTCTTGAAAAAAATAGTAACAAAAAATAAGAAAAGTTATTCTCATCCAAAAACACCCTCACAGAAGCACTCGGAATAATGTCTAACCAAATATCTGGGTGGCATGTGGCCCAGTCAAGTCAACACATAAAATTAACCAACACAGAAGTACAGAGTAGAGACAGTGGGCCCTGCCCTGTTTCCAGCAGCCCTCACTACTGGCTGGTGTCCCTGGGCCTCAACTTCCGCATTTCTTCAGTGAGATAAGGTCTGTGAACCCCTCTGTAAGCTACAAATGTGTGCTGTTGGAGTTGGAGTGAGTTGGAGTTGTTGGAGTTGTTGTTGTTATGATTATTTTAGCGACCTTAGTAAATACCCTGAAGGTTGCTGAGGAACTTGGCAGGGTTCCCACGAGCAGCTGAGGTGGGGGTGGGGGTGGGGTTGAAATAATTGCCAAATACCTTCCTGGAATGTTGATTTCCAAAGGGAATTTATGGTCCCTGGTAGTCATTATTTCAGGGCGACTTATCAGAAAAACTGCCCGCAGCATCATCATAAGCACTTATTCCACAGGAAAGTTGTTTGCAAAACACAACAAACATCAATAATGATGTTCACAGAGCTGTAAATCTTCTAAGCCTGCCTTCCCTTCCTGGGACTAAGACACTTGATTTGGTTCTCCAGGAGCTCAGAAGTTTCCAAATAGATAACAGAATATCAAAGTCCATTAAGCAAGGTAATTTACAATAGTGGCAGGCCAAATTCAGGGAAATACATTAGGGCATTTTCCCATTTGGTTTGTAGAAAAGACATTATTCTAAGCACACAAACAATGAATGCTGTTAGGTGACAATGAGGAAATCTGTTCACTCTCCTAACGAGTTTATTCATCCCCCTCACCATGCAGCACATTAATTTTGAGTGAAAGTTGCACCACCAGATAAGATTCTCAAAGCTCTGACATAAACACCTGAGACCTCATTTCCGACCCATTAAGTAAGCATCACTGGGCATTGTAACAAAGAGAAGCGGGGGCACAAAGGTGACTTCCTTTAGAGCTCTGACTCTTACCTCAAGCTATCCCTGGAGTTATGAAACAAAGAAGCAATTTCAAATTGTGCACTGCAGAAACTTTCAGAGGCCCTGAGAGTGTTTGGGGAGAGGAATAAAATGTAAAGTGATACTAAACATGAAGTGAAATTGCTACATTTTTTTTCATGTTTTAAAAAACAACCAAAGTTTGTTTCCATTCTCTGCTGCTCTCTCCAGGTTGCACTCCCCTTTGCCCCCACCCCACCTCAGAGTGGACTCCATTTCCAGGTGTAGTCAGGAACCGGGTCAGAATGGACCCTCTCACCCATAGAAAAAAATGGGAATTATTCATGCTACTCTGTGGCCCATTCATGGAGCAACCTAAAGAGATGGAAGAGAAACTAACTCACAATTTAGTAGTTATTGAGCTCCTACTATATATCTTTGTTGCAAAGGACAGGAAACCAACTCAAACTAACTTAAGCAAAACAATGAATGTATTGATAATCAGGATCAATCATCCCACTAGTATGGTGATATGGTTTGGATCTGTGTCCCCACCCAAATCTCATGTTGAATTGTAATCCTCCCTGTTGGAGGTGGGGCCTGGTGAGAGGTAACAGGATCATGGGGGGTGAAGTTCCCATGAATGGGTTAGCGCCATTCCCCTTGGTACTGTTCTTGTGATAGTGAGTGAGTTATCGTGAGATCTGGTTGTTTAAGCGTGTGTAGCTCCTCCCCTCTCTCTCTCTGTCTCTCTCTCTCTTCCTCCTGCTCCAGCCACATAAGACATTCCTGCTTCCTCTTTGCCTTCCACTATGATTGTAAGTTTCATGAGGCCTCCCAAGAAGCATAAGCCACTATGCTTCCTGCATGGCCTGCAGAACTCTGAGCCAATTAAACCTCTTTTCTTTATAAGTTATCCAGTCTCAGGTATTTCTTTTCTTTTTTTTTTTTTGAGATGGAGTTTCGCCCTTGTTGCCCAGGCTGGAGTGCAAAGGTGTGATCTTGGCTCACTGCAACCTCCACCTCCCAGGTTCAAGTGATTCTCCTGCCTCAGCCTCCCAAGTAGGTGGGATTACAGGCATGCTCCACCACACCTGGCTAATTTTTGTATTTTTAGTAGAGACAGGATTTCACCATGTTGGTCAGGCTGGTCTCGAACTCCTGACCTCAGGTGATCCACCCACCTCAGCCTCCCAAAGTGCTGAGATTACAGGCGTAAGCCACTGCACCCGACCTCAGGTATTTCTATATAGCAATGCGAAAACTAATACAAATGGTAAACACCATCTGTGCCTGTTAGCAGCCTAACATTAGAGGCTAGGTAGCAGTCTAAACTTCCAATTCTGTGGTGTCATTGTTGTGTTTCCTGGTTTCTCCCTTGAAAACCAAGACTTCCAAACTAGCTGAGTCCAAAGTTGCAAAGTCAGGAAGCAAAAATTATGAGTGTGTTATTAGGTATAGTAGTGAAGGAAGCTTTGCTCACTTTTACCTTCTTGATTCCAGGATCCCTGTATTTTGATGCTATTCTCTAAAATCCTCCCCCCACCCCCTGCCAAGGATGCAATATTGTTTTTAGCTTACTATCCTTGCAGGAAGAGGAAAATTCATAATAGCTCTCAGTCTATAGGTCAGGGAGCTAATGTGATGATTCTGTCAATTGCAGAGTATGTCTATTCCAATTAGATACCTAGAGACTAAGGAAGTATCACAAGAGTGAGTCCATGGGCCCAGTGTGAGATGAAGTTTGGTCAAAACTCCATTTATCAGCTCACCACCATAAACCTTTCCTTTGACTAGTAGACCAAGGGGGTAGTTTGAGTTCCCAGGAATTAGCAAAAATTAAAATCTAGTGTCTAGCGGCCCCTAAAAGGACTGCCTGTTTCCTCATTCCTCAGATCCAGTGTCTGCAGATCCCAGTGGTCAAGGCTTAGGAGTAGTTTTGCAGTATATATATGGATGTATTTGTGGCATTTTGCAGATTTCTTTCTCAAGAAGGCCAAGAACCGTGTTGATCACGTGGTTCCAGGACGTGAACCGGCTTAGGTCTGGGAAAGTGAAGGGGGGACCATGACTGCATTGTGGGGGCCGAAGTTGGCTTCTGGCCACAGATCGTGCTTGTCAGGATGGTTCAGTGTGCTGTCCACCCACTTCAATCCTAGAGGCTCCAGATAAAGCAGCTACCACCAAAGTGCCCCTCCATCAAGACATTCTGATTCCCACACTGGGTATGTGTGCAGTGGGAAAAGGAGGAGGGCAGGAACGGTATTATTTGACTGTTACCGGTGTCACCCAGCATTGCCTTTTTTTGCTCACAACTAACATTTAAGGCGGGTTTTCTCTGGCCTGAACTCTCCCCTCATGGGTGCTTTGTGGATTCTTTGGGAACCCCAAATGGAACACTTGGCTGCAGGTTCCTCTGTGTGGCTGCTGCTTTCCTCCCTCAATCTCCAGGAATTTGGGGGTCCATCTGTCTTCAGGGTCACCTTTCCCTTCTGGGCAGGTTTATGAGGCCAGCCCTTTGCCCCACGTGGCCCATATCTGTAAGAAACACTTACTTATGCATCAGTGGTCTTACTACTGGTAGAAGCACAGTTGGCTCCAAATGTGCCTCACACCTCTCTCTCTCTCGCTCTGTGTGTGTGTGTGTGTGTGTGTGTGTGTGTGTCTCTGTACCCCCTACCCTGTCTCTTCCCTTCCTCTCCTCCCCTTTCTTCTCTTCCCATCTACCCCCTCTGTCTCATGTTTAGAGTCTTCAGGTGAATCTCGGAAAACACGGCCTGTAACCCTGACACTTTGGGAGGCTGAGGCGGGCAGATCGCTTGAGCTCAGGAGTTCAAGCCTAGCCTGGGCAACATAGCGAAACCTTATCTCTACTAAAGGGGGCTGAGGCAGGAGGATCACTTGAGCCCAGGAGGTCAAGGCTACAGTGAGCAGTTATCACACCACTACACTCCAGCCTGGGTGATAGAATGAGACAGTATCTCAAAAAAAAAAAAAAAAAAAGAAAGAAAGAAAGAAAAAGAAAAAAGAAAAGTGGCCAGGCGCAGTGGCTCACACCTGTAATCCCAGCACTTTGGGAGACCAAGGCAGGTGGATCACCTGAGGTCAGGAGTTTGAGACCAGCCTGACCAACATGGTGAAACCCCGTCTCTACAAAAAATACAAAATTAGCCAGTTATGCTGGTAATCCCAGCAACCTGGGAGGCTGAGGCAGGAGAACTGCTTGAACCCAGGAGGTGGAGGTTGCAGTGAGCCGAGATCATACCATTGCACTCCAACCTGAGCAACAAGAGCAAAACTCCATCTCAAAAAAAAAGTTATATTATTTTATATATACTATATTCTATATAGCATCTACCTCATAGGGCTCTTGTGATAATTAAATTGAACAACCCTGGTGAAGAACCTAGTTAAAGTGCTCAAGAAATGGCAGGTATTATTAGTATTCCTATTAATATTATAAACCAGAGCACACAATGGCCCCAGCTGATCTACCAGGTCAGGAATCAGGGAACATTTCCTCCTCAGCTGCATCTCAGGCAGTGAAAGGCAAATCTCTCCAGAGGAGAGGCCCACAGATGCATCTGTGCTTTCCCACCACCATCGCGTGCCCGCCTGCACACAGGCAAGCAGCTTTTTGAGCTTTGGAACTTTACAGGGAGGACTGGATTTGGGATGAGGCCTGGGGTCGGGGAGCAAGAGGCCTGGAGCAGGGGCATTGGCCTCCAGCACACAGACATTTTCCAGTTTGCAAAGTTTCCAGCCTAGCAGAAGGAGGGTGGTTGGGGTTGGGGTTGGGGTTGGGGGAGTTGGCAGTCTGAGATGGATTAACATTTTCCTTCCTCGGGGCCTAGAGTAGTGGAGGAATTTGGAGAAGCCGCGAAGATAACTCAGGGCTGCTTTGAACATTTGAACCAAGGGCACTTCTGAAGCCAAGGGGTTGGGCGGCAGCATTGATTTTTAAGTTCATCACAGCTACAGCCTCAGATGTGGACTGTGCTGAGGGACCCAGGATCTGAACTCCTCACGGAGGCTGGTAGAAGAAATCTCCCAGGCTGTCTTTGCTGGGGACCATAACCAAAACTCTCTCCCCAAGATTTAAAAAAAAAAAATTCAGCCCTCAGAGTCCCAAGCAGGCCCTGGGGCTGTCACGAATTTCTGTGTAGTCCTTTCTGTGAAGTTCTTGGCTCTTCCCCAAGCCATGAAACCACTCCCAGAACTGGGTCAACAGAAATCATCCAGAGCAGAGAGCCAGCCACTACCTTACCTACTCAGGAGGCTCTGCAGAGGGCCAGGGCAGTCGGAGCCCTGTCCCACCAACAGTCTTGCTGTGGGACAACCATGTCCCACCAGCAGTCTTGCTCCCTTCTCCTTCGGCATTATACCCAGGGTGTGACTGGCTCCCAGCCTATGGGAAAGATGGAACTTTTTCACGGGTTTCTGGCTGAGAAGCTGCAGACATCCGAGGGACGTGCCTTCTGAGCCAGCTGCCCCAAATGGCCAAGCAGTCTCTCAACAGCAGTGCCCATTAGCTAATGCATATAACACATCTGGGGATGGGTGCACCCCATCTGTACTTCCCACCAAATGGCTCTCAGGTTGAGGAACCGTCTGTGTATCTCTAAGGAGGCATGTTGCCAAGGACCCTACCGTGGTACCAGCATTGTCCACTGAGGCCGAAGCCATTTCTCCAAGTTCATGCCTGCCCTTTGCCCTTGGAGGAGTCAGTGGAGCTGGGGACTGAACAACAAAGGACTTCAGGTTGGGACTAATGGACCTGCAGGTGCCCTGAGATTGGGGGAGTTATGACAATCGTACTTTCTTTTCTTCTTAATTTATTTTTATTTTATTTATTTTTATTTATTTATTTATTTATTTATTTTTTGAGACGGAGTCTTGCACTGTCGCCCAGGCTAGAGTGCAGTGGTATGATCTCAGCTCACTGCAACCTCTGCCTCCCAGGTTCAACCAATTCTCCTGCCTTAGCCTCCCAAGTAGCTGGGATTACAGGCATGCTCCACCACACCTGGCTAATTTTTGTATTTTTAGTAGAGACAGGATTTCACCATGTTGGTCAGGCTGGTCTCGAACTCCTGACCTCAGGTGATCCACCCACCTCAGCCTCCCAAAGTGCTGAGATTACAGGCGTGAGCCACCGCGCCTGGCCGATAATCATGCTTTCTTTTGCCCTCACTGTCGGAGATTTGGACTTACTGCCAGAAGCATCCTTCCAGCATCCAGCAGAAACTCGAAGATGCTTTTTCCTGAGAACCCAGGTAAAGAAGGAGGTCCCCTTTATGGTGTAGTCACACTACCCCCTGCTGGACAGAAGGCAGCATGGCGATGAGGGCCTGCAGTGCCCAGCATCCATGGATATTTGCCAAGTGTCGTGGGCAAGGTATTAGACACACAGTAAGCACTCAGTAACAGTCACTTATTGTTATCGTTTAGTTGCTGTTGTTGTCATAGAGTGAGGACCACCACAGAAGATCAGAGAAAGAAGTTACTGTGAGGCAGAGGGTCGCTATCGCCTTCTGGGCTCTGCCTCTGGCTGTCTATCCCAGGGGAGATGTACGCAGAGCTCTTGAGGGGAAGAAGCTGCTTATGGGCCATCATCACCTACAAGGGCACCTCCCACTTCCACAGACGGGCTCCGATCACCTGGGCCCCAAACGCCCTTGAACTAGCCTCTGTGTTGCCAAGTTCTTTCTGCCCGTGTTCCCTGAGCAGACCCTCTGCAACCTCAGCTGGTCCCCGCACTGCAAACATTTGCTGATCTATTCAGCTCAATTTAAGCTGCAGCAGACCGAAACCTCAAGTGAGCTAACATGACCTTGCTGTTTTCATTTTCATCGAGATAAGAAAATGCCAAGATAAGTAATTGTCAGAGTTAATAATTTAAAAATGCAATAGACCTTGTAATTAAAAATAAGCTGAAGGAGGCCACAAAGTGATTGTAATAATGTTTCAAGGGCCAATCACACAAAACCCTCCTCTGGCTGTGCCAGGAGAGCTGGAAGGAAAGAATCAAACTCTTGGAGGCTCTGAGCAGTTTATGTACCAGGAAAATCCTTTTCTTAAAATCTGGTCCATCAGAAAGCTTTGGATACATTTATCCAATACTGGCCACACCTTCATGAATTTTCCCTACTTATTCATGTATCTTTTCGTTTGTTTGTTTGTTTGAGACAGAGTCACACTCCGTCACCCAGGCTGGAGTGCAGTGGCCCGATCTCTGCTCACTGCAACCTCCGCCTCCCGGGTTAAAGCGATTCTCCAGCCTCAGCTTCCCAAGTAGCTGGGATTATAGGCACCCACCACCGCACCTGACTAATTTTTTGTATTTTTAGTAGAGATGGGGTTTCACCATGTTGGCCAGGCTGGTCTTGAACTCCTGACCTCAGGCGATCCACCCGCCTCAGCTTCTCAAAGTGCTGGGGTAACAGGCGTGAGCCACAGTGCCCGGCTATTCATGTATCTTTTATCAGAAGTAATTATGGACTCCCTTTCTCCCTGGCCTAACTGGAATCTGTGGACTCTGTGGCATGCTATGTTTTCTGGTTGGAATGGGATTACTGAGTCAGGAAGCTATACCCTTCTGGTACATTCCCAAAGAATCTAACACATCACTTTGAAGCCTCAGTCCCCTCCCTCTCTGGTGAGCCTTGGCGTGTTATCAAATGGTTTCCTTGTTTCATGCAGAAGGGCTGATGAGGAAAACACTGTGCCCTTCATTGATTGGCATTCATACTTGCTCTACTGAGAGAGCAAAGAGGCCTTATACCATCACCCAGGAAGGTTGCAGCTCCCATTTCTGATGGCCACTCAGTTGGTAGCAGATCAGGCTTCCCTCTGCCTTCTTAGCTTCCAGGGCAGGATACAGCTTCCCAACTCAGTAATCCCTTTCCAACTGAAAACTTAGAATGCCACAGCATTCACAGATTTCCACTTAGAGAACCTCCTCTACAGTGTATTTTCCAGACCCAATTGTTTTATTTTTAAATCCACAAACTTTTATTATTTCATTGTAACTAATTCTGACCATCATATCATAGACTTTTCCTCCCTTAAAACACACACACACACACACACACACACACACACACACACACACACACCTGGGTTTCCTCAAAAATCTAAGCCTGTCCATGGAAGGAACATCATCATCCTGCCAGTGACAATGGATACAAGGCAGAAAAGGACTCTGCAAGCTGGTGGGAGGGCAGAGAGAGGGGATGGTGGAATCAGGACAAGATATGGTCAAGGGTGTGTCCAGGCACACCATCCTACCTGGCCTCAAGGTATTATCCACCAATGTGGTCAAGCGAACCCCAAAAAACCAGACCCAGTAACCAAGGTAGCTCTGCCTGCTTCCCTTGTTCATGACCTTAGGCCCCAAAGCCAGAGGGCTCACAAGAACATGACCAAGAAAGGAAGTCAGAGGTATATTTATAAAACTAACAAAAGGAAGCCCAGAAATCATCTTTGGAAACCTAGGAAGTCTCTGGAATCTTAGAACCTGCAGAGACCTCCCCTTCAACAGAAACGGAATTTTCAGAGAAAACATCAAGACTTTAGGGAGGTAGATTCACTTATCCAAAGAACATACAGACCCCATAAATGTTCACCCTGGCCAACAGTCTCCCTGCTCAGGGCACCTGAAACAGAACTACCACATTTCTACCCATCACAAACCCAACCACAGACTATGGGTGCCAGAAGGGCAAGAAGGGAGGGTCCAGCCCCTAGAGTAACCCAGTGATGGATCCCAAAGGGCCATACCTGATCCTATAATGTGAAATTGGTGTCCTCAAGCTCAGACATCTGTTTCTGGGAGAGAAGAGGAAAAGGAGAGGATCAGAAGGAGTCCTCAGGCTTCCAAAAAGGATAGAAGTGTGTTCTTATCTTCCACTATGGAAATACAATTGGGTCTGGGTTCTTGAGAGCCTGTGGATGGGTTAGGCAAGGCCAGGGGTCCCCCTCCAAGCAATGCTCCTGAGCTCCAAAATGAAATCTCTGGGTTCCTTTCCAAAATATGAACTTGATTTGTATGTTCTTTTCTTCAAACGTGGAAAAGATGAGCTCACTGCAATATTTTTTCTCAATTTTCTTTGGAACCAAGATTTGACCCCAGGAGCCAATCCAAGCATCATGTGTTTGGTGAACCTTTCCCTTGCCCTGTATCCCCAAAACTCAGCACAGGGCCTGGCTCAGTACAGGCAATCACTAGATGTCTATTGAATGAATGAGTTGCTTGTGGGCTCCTAGAGCAGAGTGAGACACCAAGCTTCACATTCTTTATAGGCATAGCATATCTCAGGGTAACTTTCCTGTGCTGGTGTTTCATTTGGCCATGCCTCCTTCCTAATGGGCTGAAAGACATGCCTTGTGTGTCTCCCGCTGTTGGAACAGTGTTTACTACATGGCTTTCTGCCTACAGGCCCAAGGCCAACAATCTAGCCCATGAGTTAATGACTTTCAGCAGCAAAGAAGCCCAGTAGACCTTTGAAACGGTCTACTACTCTCAACCAGGCAGCAGGGCAACCTTAACTTTTTCACTGTAAAAGGGCAGACTAATATAGGCAGAACTGGATTTGTAATAAGAAATGAACACACTCTATCTGGTGGTAACGGTAAGATGAATCATTTCCAGGATCCGAGAAAATCTTACGCCAGTGTTTATGTAGTAGAAGCTCCTTCATTTGGAGTCTGCTAAAGGCAGGGGGTTGCAAGACATTACAGCTATGCACTTACAGAGCCTAACAAGTAGTTGCCATACTGCTCATAGAGACCTGACAAAGGGTCAGAGAAAGTGGCTAGCTCTGCCTGGCGTCTGTCTCAACATCTTTGCCAACACATGCTTCACTTCATCAAGAAAGAAAGAGGGAAACTTCTGCTTCCAGCTATGATGGAGTAGTTGGTACCAGTCTAGCCCTCCCACCACGTGTTAGTTTGCTATTGCTATAAAGGAATACCTGAGGCTGGGTAATTTATAAAGAAAAGAGTTTTACTTTGGCTTATGGTTCTGCAGGCTGAACACGAAGCATGGTGCCAGCATCTGCTTCTGGTAAGGGCCTCCGGATGCTTATAATCATGGCAGAAAGCAAGTGGGGAGCAGGTGCATCACATGACAAGAGAGGGAACAAGGGTGGGAGGAGGTGCCAGGCTCCTTTAAACAACCAGCTCTTGCATGAACTAACAGAGCAAGAATGCGTTCATTACCATGGGGAGGGCATCAAGCCATTCATGAGGGACCTGCCTCCAAGACCCAAACATCTCCCACCAGGCCCCATCTCCAACACTGAGGATCACATTTCAACATTAGATTTGGAGAGTCAAACTATATCAGGCCAGGCACAGGGGCTCACGCCTGTAATCTCAGCACTTTGGGAGGCCAAGGTCGGGGGATCACTTGAGGTCAGGAGTTCAAGATCAGCCAAGGCAACATGGCGAAACGCTGTCTCTACTAAAAATACAAAAATTAGATGGGCAGTAGTGGTGTGCCCCTGTAATCCCAGCTACTCTGGAGGCTGAGGCAAGAGAATCACTTGAGCCTAGGAGGCAGAGATTGCGGTGAGCCGAGATCACGCCACTGCACTTCAGCCTGGGTGACAGAGGGAGACTCCATCTCAAAAAAAAAGAAAGAAGTTATCATTGATAGAACCTGGGTAAAGTGTACATAGGACCCCTGTATTATTTCTTCCAACTGCATGTGAATCTACAGTTTATCTCAAAGTAAAAAGGTTATATATACTCATAATATTTTATATGTTAATTATTAAATATTAAAATATATGATTAATATATTAAAATGTTTATAATATTAAATTCATATATAGCTAGATCAATATCTGGAAACACCACCAACATCCATTAACAGGAGAATGGATAAACAAATTTTGGTTTATTCACTCAATGAATACTACTCAGTGTTATTGATGAATCTCAGCAATAAAAAGGAATGACTATTGATAATTCAACAATATAGATGAATCTAAAAATTAAAAGCAAAAATATTATATAGACCAAAAGAAGCTAGACAGAAAAGAACATACACTTTTGATTCTATCTATCTGAAATTCTAGAACAGGCAGAACTAATCTATTGTGATAGAAATCAGAAAGTAGTTACCTCTGGAAGATGGGTGAAGAATTGCCTAGAAAATGGCACTAGGGAATTTTCTGGAGTGATGGAAATATCTTTTATCTTGTTTGGGGGTGGCAGTTACAAAGATATATACAGTTGTCAAAACTGATTAAATGTTTAAAATCTATGAATTTATGTATGTAAAGTATACCTCAATAAAACAGAGCTGTAATTTCCTCAAAAAAAAATAACTGTTCATGAAAAGATACCATTCTGAAAGTGACAAGGCAAGTCACAGCATACAAGTGGCTGTTTATCGCATATAGAACTAATGAGGGCTTATATCCGGAACAGAGAACTCACACAAATAAGAAAAAGACAAACACCCCAATGGAAAAATAAGCAAGTGACTTAAACAAGCACATCACAAAAGAAGATATGCAAATGTCCAATCAACACATGAAAAATTATCAATATGATTAGTCATCAGGGAAAGACAAAGTCAAACCACAAGGAGAGGCCACTGCATATCCACCAGAATAGCTGAAATTAAGAACACTAACAATGCCAAGTGTTAGCAAAGATGCAGAGAGCAACAGGAACTTGCACAGGCTGGAAGAAATATAAATCGGGCCAGGTGCAGTGGCTCATGCCTGTAATCCCAGCACTTTGGGATGCTGAGGCGGATGGATCACTTGGGCTCAGGAGTTTGAGACCAGCCTGGGCAACATGCTGAAACTCTGTCTCTAATAAAAATACAAAAATTAGCTGGGCATGGTGGCACACACCTGTAGCCCTAGCTACTCGGGAGGCTGAAGGAGGAGAATTGCTTGAACCCAGGAGGTGGAGGTTGCCGTGAGCTGATATCACACCACTGCACTCCAGCCTAGGCAATAGAGTGAGACTCCGTCTCAAAAAAAATTTTTTAAAGAAATATAAATTGGTCCAATCACCTTAGAAAATTGTACGACATTAGCTATTCAAGCTGGACATACACATCCAGCAATTCCACTCAAGTATATACCCACCAGAGATGGAAATACCCCTGCAAACAAGAAAAGACATGTGTAAGAATATTCCTAACAGTATCACCCATAATAGTATGAAACTAGAAACAACTCAAATGTCCATCAAATGTGGGTTAGATAAGCACAGTGAGTATATTTTTATAATAGAATACAATGTAGCTATGAAAATGACTGAACTGATGCTACACACTCAACTACCATGATGAAACCCACAATCTAATGTTGAGTGAAAACAGCCAGCACAAACATGTATAATGCATGCAGTGTGATGCAATTTATCTAAAATTCCAAAACCTACTAAACGATGGTTTTACACATATATGCTTAGATAGTAAATCTAAAAAGCAGAGTGAAAAAATAATTGCCATAAAGATCAAAATGATAATTCCTTGTGGGGGAGACTGAAGGTAATAATTAGGAAGTGAGGATTGGGGGTGCTGGCAAAATTCTATTTCTCTACCTGAGCAGTGGCTAAACAGTGTTTACTTTATAATAATTTGTTAAGCTGTACATTTGTTTGATGTATTTTTCTGTAGTGTGCTATGTCATAACATAATAAAAGAAAGTTTAAAAGAAAAAAAGGAGAATACACACAAATGTTGAGGGCCTAAGGGTAGAGAACCTTTGAATAATTTCTTTTTCTTACCTTCTGTAGCTGTTTCATTTTCTAGAGTTATGGGGAATTAGTGATAGAGAGCAGGGAGTATGGAAACAGACCATGCCTTAATTCAAATCCCAGCTCTCTCTCATCAGCTCCATGACCTTGCGCAACTTGCTTAAACTTTCCATGCTCCTGGCTCCTTATCTGTAAAATGAGGATAATAATAGTAACTGCCTTATTGGGTTGGTTGCACACACAGAAATGGCAAATACTCAATCCGTAGTAAGCCCTGTGTTAGCTGTTATCAGAATGTCTAAATTACCTTTATAAGGAAAAAAAAGTAAAATGCAGTTTTCAGCCTATAGCATTCATCACACTTCACTATGATTCTTTTTCTTCTCTACCTGACAGTGGGCACCACAAGGGCAGAGACAGCATTTGCCTTGAACCACTCTGTCTTCCCAGCACGCAGCACAGGGCCTGAGTAGAAGAAGTCCAGGTGTTTTCCTTTTAATGCAGTGCCATGGTCATAGTAGAGTGTGGACCCCTGAGAGTGACCCTCCACGGCCCAAGCCCTGCCTCCATCCATGCTCCCTGAGGCGAGGCTGAGGCATACATACCGTGTAGCCTAAAAGTAGCCACCTCTCTGGGGTCCTCGGTCCCCTTGCCTCTCTGCTGTCTATTCTTGGGAACAGTCCAGGGAATGATGGGAAGGGCCCCTTGGCCTCTTTATTGGGAAAGGATGAGGCTGGAGAACAGGGAATGGGGTTGAGAGGCTCCAAAGGAGACCCACCTATTCCCTAATAGGACCATGCATGCCTGGATGGTTCAGGAGAAACCCAGCTCTGACCAGCTGTGTGCCTCAAGGTAGTCCCAAGGGGACTAGGGAAGGCAGCCTCAGGACTGTGGGCTATCCCTCCTTGGTGGACTCGAGGCTCAAGCTGGCTCTTCTGTGGTCAGTGACATGGTGAAAACTCCTTCTTATGCACAAAATCCTTCCACAAACATCAATCCATTTACTCTTCCTAACAGACTAGCGAGCTAATCAATCACTCATTTTATAAGGTAGGAGACTGCAACAGGCACAGCATGCTCAGACTATGGTCATCCAGCCCTGGCCTCAACCCATACCCTTCTTTCCCTCCATTTCTCCCTAGGTCTGTCTTCCTAGAAGACCAGGTAGGTGCCACATGGGCCAGGATGACCTCAGTCCCAGCAAGGTGCAGGACATTCGAGTTAGCCCTCAAGACCCTTGACCCTTCCTCATTTCCAAGGAACAGTCAGGAAAAATGGCCTGGGGAGGACGCTCAGCCTAGGGGTTAGGCCCAGAGAGGGATTCCAACCCAGGCCTGTATGATTTCATGGCCCATCCTAGCTCTGGCAGGGCCCACTGCAAAGCATGGCCTCCTCAGGTGGGAGTGCTGTCCAATCCACATGCCAAGGGGAGAGAAGCACAAAGGGCCCTATGAGAAGAAAGGCATCCAGGAAGTCAAGGATCCCCAGAACATGGCATCTCTGGGTTTCCCAGCAGAGAAATGAGGCAGTTTTGAGGTTGTGAGAGAAAGAGGCATAGGGTTTCAGAGTGGAACTGTTAGGATAGGTGGAGAAAGGCTTCCTAAGTAAGGAGTAGGGTTTTTTTAATCTAGAGCCTCATTAGATTAAAAAACCCCTCGGCCAGACGCAGTGGCTCACGCCTGTAATCCCAGCACTTTGAGAGGCTGAGGCGGGCAGATCATCTGAGGTCGAGAGTTTGAGACCGGCCTGACCAACATGGAGAAACCCCATCTCTACTAAAAATACAAAATTAGCCAGGCATTGTGGTGCATGCCTATAATCTCAGCTACTTGGGAGGCTGAGGCAGAGGAATTACTTGAACCCGGGAGGCGGAGGTTGTGGTGAGCCGAGATCGTGCCACTGCATTCCAGCCTGGGCAACAAGAGCTAAACTCCATCTCAAAAAAAAAAAAAATCCCTCATGGCATAGGCACTGCATTAAAAGCAAAACACCTGGATTCCTTTTACTCAGGCCCTGTGCTGCGTGCTGGGATGACAGAGTGGTTCAAGCCAGATGCTGTTTCTGCCCCTATGGTGCCCACTGGTACCAGCTAGTACAGATGGGTCTGGGACTCTTTAGGATGGAGTTAGAAGAGAGGTGGGCTTAGACCTCATGGGGTAGAAGCTGCTGCTTACTGGTCCAAAATCAGGCTCCCTTGAGCCACTTAAACAGCCTAGACAGCAGGCCATTACCACAGACGGCTACTGAGATGTGAGTCAGAAACAGCTCCAGCTCTGAGCTCCAGTGGTGCAATTGGTTAGCATGTGGTACTTACACAGAAATAGCCCTGGCTCCATTTCCAGAATCTGTCCCAGCAACTTCCGCTCCTAACGTCGAAATGAAAACAGAATCCAGCTAATTGAAGAGAACCACCCCAAATATCCTGGCTCAAGCTGTGCTGAGTCAGGCCAGACTGACAACCTCAGGACAGCCTTCTTTTCTGTTCCCTTGGAAGACATTTGGTCCTCGAAAGACTTTTAACCTTTTGAACTTCAGCTGGGAAGGATGAACTGCTTCACACTGAACCCAGAAGGGAGGCAAACTGCTGCACCAGCAAACCAGGCTGAAAGAAGGCCAAAGGGCAAAGCCAGCCCTGCTCACCCCACCCCACACACAGGATGGGGGAGAACTGGAACATCGGCAGCAGTGCCGGCAGTGATCTCCTTCACCTTCAACAGGCAGCACCTGCTCTGATGAGAACCTGGGATTTGGAGGAAGGGGTGATATCTCATACAACTATTGTGGGCTTTAGCTTCCCGTAGAATTGTGGATGTGCACATAAGGACTGACACGCTGTACTCGGCTCTGATCCCGCATTCATCTGTGTACCCAGGACGTTAGTAGTATTGGACTCTATGCAGACTATGTGATCTTGTGCAGAGCCTGAGTTGTCTTGGTTTTCTCCTCATCTAATTTCTCAAATACTTCATTGAATAACAATTTAAAGGGGCCTAGCAGGTGCCAGGTAATGAGCTTGGGGCTGGAGAGCAGTAAGAGCCAGTTCCTGTTCTCAAGCAACTCACTCGGTGGGGCAAACCACACATTCCGCAAGAGCTTGCACTCACGCTCAGGAGATCACATTTAAAATCAAGAAAGCCCAGTCAAGGTATGTGGTATGGTTTAGACCTGTGTCCTGCCCAAACTTCACGTCGAATTGAAGTCCCCAGTGTTGGAGGTGGGGCCTGGTGGGAGATGACTGGATCATGGGGGTGGTTTTCTCATGGTTTAACACCATCTCCCTTGGTGCTGTTCTCATGATAATGAGTTCTCATGAGATCTGGTGATTTAAAAGTGTATAGTAAGGCCAGGCACAGTGGCTCATGCCTGTAATCCCAACACTTTGGGAGGCCGAGGCGGGTGGATCATTTGAGGTCATGAGTTCAAGACCAGCCTGGCCAACATGGTAAAACCCCACCTCTACTAAAAAATAAAATAAAATACAAAATACAAAAATTAGCTGGGAGTGGTGGCAGGTGCCTGTAGTCCCAGCTACTCAGGAGGATGAGTCAGGAGAATCACTTGAACTCAGGAGGTGGAGGCTGCAATGAGCCAAGACTGCACCACTGCACTACAGCCTTGGTGAAAGAGCGAGACTGTCTCAAAAAAAAAAAAAAAAAAAAAAAAAAAAGAAACTGTGTAGTACATTCCCCCTTACTCTCTCTTGCTCCTGTTCCTGTCATGTGAGACAACTGCTCCCCTTTCGTCTTTCACAATGATGGTAAGCTTCCTGAAACCTCCCCAGAAGCTGAGCAGATGCCAGCATCATGCTCCCTCCACAGCCTGCAAAACAGTGAGCCAATTAAACTTCTTTTCTTTATAAATTATCCAGTCTCGGGTATTTCTATAGCAATGTGAGAACAGACTAATATAACATGCCTGCCTGACTGCCCAAATTCTAAATGTCTGTTTCTGTCTGCCCCACAAGTTCCAACACATTCCTTTTCAGCTAAGACACAGAAACGGGAGCTAAAAGGTAATCTATTATACCATTAGTACCAAAATCGGGTGCAGAGCTTCAGGTCTGACCAGAAAGTGAGTCTAGTCTAGGAGAAAGGAGCAGATAACACCACACAGGAGGAGGTGGCATGAGGTTGTGAGGCTCAACTGTGGCCCCTGCGTGCCTAGTCCCTAGCACTAGTTCCTAGTGCTCAAGTGCCTCTGTGAGACTCCAGGGGCATTTTTAATCAATGTATGATCTGATGCTCCAAAAGTCTGAGGCTACTTAATTGCAGCACTGTGACCTAGGTGGCTGGACCACCAGGAAGTACCCAAGAATCCCCCAATCCACTAAGGGGGATGAGCCTCCACACTCGGGGAGCCTTCCATCCCAGATAGTGACCCCAGGATGCTAGAAAGAGCACACTGATTTAGCCACTTTGCTTTTCTTTGCCATCCTACTTTGCTACAGTTTTCAATAAACTTCAGTACCTCGCAGTAAGTTGGACCTAAAGAAGAATTTAGCAATGTAAGTGGAATTCATAGAGGCAGAGTTGCACTGCTGAGAGGGACACCTGCAAGTGAATCAGGTTAGATTGCTCCCAGACATACACTACTCCCCGTCACCACCTAAATGTCATCACTGAAATGAAACACAGAAACACACTCGTGAAATCATAGATTTATATCTTTGCCATTTATTTTTTAAAATCTTATTCAAAATATTAAATAATAGTTTCAGATATGAAAAAAATTACTGCAATAAAACGGTTCAGGGGTATTTCCATTGTGCTTCCCTTCCCTATTAGGAAAGTACACTGTCCGCCCAAGAGACAGGATGGACGGCCTTCTTCCAGCTCTACATAAAGCGCAAGCCCACTGGCTCACCCGGGTCCTGCTTAACATATATTAGGGCTATGTTTTCTAAAAAGCTGTAGTGACACTTGTAAGTCAACCATGGTTCAAATCACATATTTACATATTGATCAATTCTTTATGATAGAAAGACAGACATAAATGAATCCCATAGTAAATACTTTCCAGTTGCCATAAAAAACAAAAACAAAGAAAACAAGTGTGGGGGAAAAAAGGTAATTGTACACAAATATCCTTTATGTATACAAACAACTTCATTCAGGTATAATTTTAATTTGAAAGACCTAGGTACAGTATTATTTAAGTGATAATGACCCCTAAGATTTATTCAAATTTACTGTAAAATAATAAACGAAGTAAACGAATCTGATATAATTTTAAACTCTGCCCATTGCTTGAAACCTTGGAGGAACCCATGCTACAATCAATTGCTAACTAAAAGCAATTGTACATGTATTTAACATTTTACCAGTTTCTGCTTCTAAATTTAATATAGTAATTCCAACCAAAAAAATAGTATCTCTGTAACATTTTATCTATGTCCACTGCAAGCTGCAGAGTCTCTGTTGCCAAGATTTCTTGACACATTTAATGTTTTACCTAAAATTGTGGTCAGATTGAGCAATATCATTATCCTAAATTATGTTTAAATTATCTAAAAATATCCAAAGCAGTTTTCTTGGAAGAAAAAAAAATATTACTCAAATCCAAAGCATTATCACACATATCCTTGTACATTACAGTTTGGGAACAAAAAAAAATGTGGATAAAAAATAGTATTTGAATGGCGGAGAATGAATGTGAGTCAGCAGTAACAGATATGTCAGAATTTAGTTACAAGTTTGGGATCTTTTAAAAGTAGCATCACTAATACTTCCAGAAGAAGCATAATAAATCTAAAACAATAAAAACTAACAGTGTAAATATAAGGTAATGTTTAACTCACATTTTGGACACCTGATTAAACTCAGCTCTAAAAGTACAGATAAAAAATTATATACTCGTTTGTGACATTTAATTTCCAAAGCACCAAGGCAAAAGAGAGACTCACCTCTCATTTAAGTACCAATTGCCTATGGCAAACATTTGCACAATATCATATAAAAAGTCAAGCAAATAAAATTACATAAGCAAATTCAAATCACAGTGCTTTAAAAAATATAATCATTGGTAATCTTCAAAGAAGGCATTGCCTCATTAACATTCTGATCTAGGCGATGGTATTCCACTGTTTTGGAACAAAGGCCATCACGCCATTTCCTGCTTTGAACCAGAAGAAAAATCTGGAAAACAGAAGTCATTAAATAGGCAAAAGAGAAAACAGAGAATATGGTAAACATTTTTATAACAAGTAAAATATCTCTCTTCTAGGTTTCTAAATATAAAACACAAAATATCAACAACAAAAAAGCTATTTTAGGCCGAGGCAGGCAGATCACTTGAGCCCAGGAGTCCGAGACCAGCCTAAGCAACATGGTGAAACACCATCTCTACAAAAAATACAAAATTAGCCAGGCATGGAGGCGCTTGCCTGTAGTCCCAGCTACTCAGGAGGCTAAGGTGGAGGATCACTCGAGCCCAGGAGGCAGAGATCACAGTAAGCCATGACAGCACCACAACACTTCAGCCTGGGTGACAAAGCAAGACCCTGTCTCAAAAAAAAAAAAAAACAAAAGCTATTTTGCTTTCCATCTTGTAAAGAAGGCTAAACAGTGCTTCTCAAATTTCAATATATATAGGAATGTTTGTTAAAGACTCAGATTCCTAGGCTCTATCTTCAGAGACTGAGTTAGTACTTGAGGTAGAGCCCAGGAACCTACTTGTTTAACAAGTCCCTTTGATGTTCATAATAGAGATGGCCAAACACTAAACAGTGGGATATAATATCAGCAGCACTCAAGGTTCTGTCTACCCATAAACACTTACAAAGCTAGCAATATAGCACTAAATACAAATAACCAGAAGAGTTGGTTGGTTTGCTTTTTTTTGAACTATTATTAGAGTCACTGATTCTCAAAGCAGGAAGGCATTTTGAAATTATCAGGTCCAGTTTCACTATTTGTCAGGTAAGGAAATCAAGGCCCCGAAGGGGAAGGTGGCTTACAGTGTTACAAAGCAAGTTACAATAAAGTCAAGAACTGAGACTTCCTGACCAGTAAGTATTAAAAAGGAACTGTGTGTTTGATCTCCCTTTAAGGATTTTAAAAGGCTTAACTATTCAGCTTTGGGACTGTAGAGTGCCAACATGTACCCTCACACTAAATGTGATGTATCCTGTCCTACAGATGTCTCTTGTGCCTCATGTAATCCAGCAAACTGGTAACAGCACAGAAATGTTCATCACAATATTATTTCTGAACCAAAAATTGTAAACCATGAATCTAGTATGTTTTTAGCCAGGCACAGTGGCTCACGCCTATAATCTCAATTACTTGGGAGGCTGAAGTGGGAGGATTACTTGAGGCCAGGAGTTCACCAGCGTGGACAACATAGCAAGATCCTGTCTCAAAAAAAAATAATGTTTTTAAAGAATATTAAGGATATGGAAAATGCTCATGATTGGTCAGGACATAAAACTCTATGAGATAGCTGGGTGCAGTGGCTCATGCCTGTAATCCCAGCGTTTTGGGAGGCTGAAGTGGGTGGATCACTTGAGGCCAGGAGTTTGAGACCAGCCTGGCCAACATGGCAAAACCCCGTCTCTACTAAAAATACGAAAATTAGCCAGGCGTGGTGGCCTGCGCCTGTAGTCCCAGTTACTCAAGAGGCTGAGCCATGAAAATCGCTTGAACCTGGGAGGTGGAGGTTGCAGTGAGCCGAGATCGCACCACTGCTCTCCAGCCTGGGAGACAAAGTGAAGCTCTGTCTCAAAAAAAAAAAAAAAAAAAAAAAAAAAACTCTGTGAGATAAAATTCCTTAAAAATCATTACATACACCTATATGTATAAATTATATGCACATTTATAGACCAGAAATACACCAAAACGTTAATGCTGAGAAGTAGTTTAAATTTTCTTTTCTAAACTCTTCTGTTTTCTGAATTCCCTAAAATAAATGTGTAACACTTTATAACCAGAAAAAAAATCAAAAGATTAAGTTCAATGTTAATAAATTAAAAGACAAATATTAAATTAACATTTTCTCCACAAGTATTCCTACTGAAGTAATGATGCCAAATTAAGACATAAACTCTTAAAAAAAAAATCACTGGGCTTTGGTATTACTCATTAAGAAATAGGACTATTTCTTTTTTTAGAAGTACATACATTCAAGCATTCTGTCTGCAGTGTGTTAAAATACACAATAGATTTACATGCTGATTAGACATCTCAATATTTTACTATGAATTTAAACTTCACTGAAAAAAAGGAAAGAGGGCTGGGCATGGTGGCTCATGTCTGTAATCCCAACACTTTGGGAGGCCGAGGCGGGAGGACTGCTTGAGCCTGGGAGTTCAAGAACAGCCTGGGCAAAATAGCGACACCTCGTCTCTACAAACAATAATTTTTAAAATTTTAATTTAATAATTTTTAAAAATTAGCCAGGTGTGGTAGTGTGAATCTGTAGTCCCACCAACTCGACAGGCTGAGGCAAGAGAATCACTTAAGCCTAGGAGGTCGAGGCTCCAGTGAGCTGTGATTGTGCCACTGTACTCCAGCTTGGTTGACAGAGTGAAACCCACTACACTTTTTTTTGCAAAAAAAAAAAAAAAAAAAAAAAAGAACCATGAATCATCAAAAGCATTATGACTGAAATAATAAAGGGCTAAAAAAATCCCAAACCTACCTTCCTTTTGTTGTGATATGTAATGTAAACAACAGCAATGCAAAAAGCAAAAATAATAAGATGAAAAAAGAAATGGCTGTCTTCCTCTTCTATATTTGAGGATGGCATCTTAAAAGATTTCACTGACTGTTCAATTTCCATGTAACCCCTGTTTTCTTCCAAGGTGTCATCAGACTCGTCGTCGTCCCTGGGGCCCGTGGTCCAGTCATAGTCTGGTTCTCCATAATCGCCATTGTCTAGAGTGTCTTTGGCTGTGGATGGAGAACTGTTCAGCATGAGAAGATCCTCCTCCTCTATACTAGGATCTTCATTGTTATCAGCTTCCTCTTGAGACAGAGGAGTAGGCGAGGGATGAGGGACCACAGATGCTCCTCCACTTTTCTTGGTACTCGTCGTGGGAGGGAGGGTGGTGCTGATTTGGGAAATAGAAGGTTTGGTTTGGTTTTCATGTGTTAAAGCATTCACATTTGGGGTAGAAATATGTGAGTTGAGTACGGTTGGGCTCGGTGAATCAGTCCGTGATACAACTGAAACAAACAAAGAATATCAAACTGAAATCTCCAACTTTATCTCCACCAAGCTAAAAGCATATTTACCCAAATTTTACACTAAGCATTTCTCTCTGCTACATTCCTATAACTTTCTCGAAAACTAGTTATTAAGTCTCAATAGCCAGCATTCAGTTACATTTCTTCTTAGTCAGTTATTCTTCAGATAATAATTGCTTTGCTAGATACTAACAATTTAAGCAGCATAAAAGACCTACTGCATCATACAGCCTGCCACCAAAAGAAAAGAAAAAGGGCTGACTTTAAGTCACGATGGCAAAGTTCACATACAGCCCTCACCCATCCCCTCTGTTTTCATTTCATAAAGGGTGTGGATTTCAGTTACCTTGTCCAGACTTTACCTGATCCCTAGAACAGACCAAAAAGTGGCTGATTCTCACTCAAGTAGGTCCCAAAAAAGATATGGAGTTTGGACCTAAATACTTTCAACACAACATAACAAATTCAGGGGAAGCTATAGGCATGCTGTAGATAGTAATTCTAAGTGATACTTGAACTAGAGGACTCCCTCTCCTAAATTCAAAAAAAAAGAAGGATCCTTACAAAGAAGAAAAAACTTCTAAAGGAGAAGCATCCGAAACGGGAACCTGAGAGCTAAGTGACAACTAGACTATTTTGAAGATGAGGGAAGGCATCTAGGTATAGCAAATGACACCAAATACACACACATTCTTATTTCCCTGTGCTGCTACCTACTCAGCATAGTTTACTAAAGGTAAAATTCTTTACATAAGAATTCTTACTATTCTTTTACCAAGAAGAATGAATAGAGGAAGATTCCAGAGGAATCCCTGCCGAAATTTAACCATCTCTAATTTATAATCTAATGTAGTATCTGTTGAAGAACTTCAAGGACCTCTACTACACTAAAAAAATAAAAAAAAAAAACCTCTGTCATGTAGATCTAAACATATTCAGACAATATTTTAAAGTCTATCACATTAAAGTAAAATATTTTATAGGGGTAAGATTAAACCAAGTCATTCTAGTGCTTTCACAAACATGTGCATTCACACAAGTTAACAATCCAACAGACAACCCTTTCTTCATGTGAATACACTCTGGTTTGTGTACCACAGTTGACATCCATTTTGTGTAGAAAAAAAAAGAAATAGCTGGTGTCAATTAGAATGAACAGAGGATCTCAGAAAAATAATGTAGTCAGTTAGTAAAAAAAAAAAAAAAAAAAAAAAAAAAAAAAGGCCAGGCCCTGTGGCTCACGCCTGTAATCCCAGCACTTTGGGAGGCCGAGGCAGGCTGAACATGAGGTCAGGAGCTCGAGACCATCCTGGCTAACATGATGAAACCCGGTCTCTACTAAAAAATACAAAAAATTAGCCAGGCATGGTGGCAGGCACCTGTAGTCCCAGCTACTCGGGAGGCTGAGGCAGGACAATGGCGTGAACCTGGGAGGTGGAGGTTGCAGTGAGCCGAGATGGCGCCACTGCACTCTAGCCTGGCCGACAGAGCAAGACCACATCTCAAAAAAAAAAAAAAAAAACCAATAAATTAGTAAAACTCTCTTTTTCCCTTTTTTTTTTTTGACAGGGTCTCACTCTGTTGCCCAGGCTGAAATGCAGTAGCACAAACATAGCTCACTGTAGCCTCGACCTCCTGGTTTCAAGCCCCCCATGTAGCTGGGACCACAGGCACATGCTACCCTGCCTGGCTTTTTTTATTTTTCATATATTTGTCCAATGCCATATGCAATTTTTTTTTTTTTTTGAGACAGCATCTTGCCATGTTGCCCAGGCTGCTCTCATATTCCAGGGTTCAAGAAATCCTCCCACCTTGGCCTCCCAAAGTACTGGGATTACAGTAAAACTCTTAAAACATTTTCAATAATTGAGTTCCTTGAAATTTTTTACTGGAAGAAAAGAGAAATAAACAGGACCTACAACTCAGTACATTACTCAGAAAACTACTAACAGGAATTTCTGAAAATAATTTTTGCATTTATCACTTCAACTTAGTTATAATTCAAGAATTTAAAAATTATTATTTTCTGATACATTTAATTTTCCTGCCAAAGTACAAAAAACATGTTTTAAAATAAAATTTAAAATTGAAATAAGTGGGAGCCAACTAACTAAACTTAACTTTTAAAAGAACAATTTTTCCATGGGTAAGTACCTTTAAAGGACACAAGCTGATAGGGTGGGAATAATTATAAAGAAATTTCCACCACGCAGTATAGAATTCACAGTCATCAGCAAATCCCTTCTTTCACCCTTTGCTTTCTTGTTATTACTGAAACCTGACTCTCCCTTAAGGACACATTTTCCTTTCAGCCTGTTTAAGTAATAGCTGTTTTTTCTCCCACATCCTTGAACCACTGAATCTCAAGGAGGCACAGTTCTCCTCCTCATTGCCCTTTTCAGACCATTCTCCCGTTCTTCTCCCTAAATGCCTCTAGCTTTGATTCTCTTATCTTAAGCTATAATGCACTAACTTACTTTCATCCAACTCCAAAGTCATGCCCCCTAATTCTTAATGATCTTTAGCTCCTGGCTCTAGAGTTCACTCCATCTAAGACAAGTACTCCTGCCTTGATTTCAAAATCTTTGACCTCCTCTCTTCTCATGAGCTAGCCCTCCTCTTTACCTCAGCCACTCACTCCCAGAGTCATTATTTATTATCACAATTCTTCCATAATCTCAATTTCATGCATTCTACTTGCTGGCAAGACCTCCTATCCTTCCAGTTCATTCCCTGGTATTCTCAATCCATAAACACCTACAACCCTCTAATCCTTTTCATTCCCTTACGGTCACCATCAAAACTTGCCCAATACACTCTCTTCTCTCTTTATTCAGATTCAATTCTGTGTCAGCTATTATAATTGCTTATAATCACTCTCTTACATCCATCTTCAATTCCCTTCCCCCTTGTCCACTTTGACCCATTCACTTGGTGAGACTACACTCATCCCTAGTTATTAATAAATCAAGCTCTCTGACTACTCACATCTGCACCCAGCAGCTGAACATGGCTAGAAAAAATATACAACCATGCCACTGTTTTCATTTCATTTTAAATTCAATGCCAAAGATTCAGGTGTATGTTTAAAGCTGTTGGCAATTAAAATTGTTGGCAATCATATTTTCCTAGTCCATTTACCCTTCTACTCTCTTAGGACACCAATCACATTTTCCTCTAACCACAAACTTCAAATGTCTTCTCTGTTATCCTCATTTTCAACTGATGACATCACTTCCTAACTTTTCTGAGAAAAATTAAAAGAACTTCCAAGAACGACCAGAATTCTAGACTCATAAATCCAACCACCTACTTGACATCTCCTCTTAGATGTCTGACATTCACATTAATATGTTCAAAATGAATTCTGGCTGGCTTTCAGGAAGACAAACACACTCTTCCCTGTTTCTCCCACTAAAAACAACTAAAAGCTCTGAACATTATGTATAAAATAACACAAGAACACTCTGAAAGGTGGAAAGAACTGGGTAGAACAGTTAGAGACCTCAGGATATGTGAAACAACATGGTGGTGACTTCCTTAGGTTTTTCTTTTTACCTCATATATCCCAGGCTAAAGACAAAAAATAAAAATGGCAGACTTCAGCTCTAACATATCCATAGTGCAGTAAATGTAAATGACCTAAATACATCAATTAAAAAACAGAGACTGGCAGACTCAACTACATGATGTCCATAGAAAGCTCATTTTATTTTTTTCTTTTTGAGACAGGGTCTCGCTTTGTCACTTAGGCTGGAGTGCTGCACAAACACATTCATAGCAGCTTTATTCATAATAGCCAAAAACTGGAAACAATCAGGCATCCTTCAACAGATAAATAAAGTGTAGTCTACCTATACCATAGAATATTACTCAGCAATTTAAAGGAACAAACAACCAGGACTGGTGGCTCACACCTGTAATCTGGGCACTTTGGGAGGCCAAGGCAGGTGGATCACAAGGTCAGGAGTTCGAGACCAGCCTGGCCAAAATGGTGAAACCCCATCTCTACCAAAAATACAAAAATTAGCTGGGTGTGGTGGTGTGCACCTACAATCCCAGCTACTCTGGAGGCTGAGACAGGAGAACTGCTTGAACCTGGGAGGCGGAGGTTGCAGTGAGCCGAGATCGTGCCATTGCACTCCAGCCTGGAGTGCAAGACTTACTCTCGAAAAAATAAAAGTTAAAATTTAAAAAGGAACAAACTATTGACACATGTAACAACCTAGGTGAATCTTCAGAGAATTATGCTAAGTGAAAAAAAGTCAATCCCAAAAGTTACATACTGTATTATTCCATTTATGTAAGATTCTCAAAATTACCAACTTATACAAATGGATAATTTGTGGTTACCAGGAGTTCAGGAGGGGTGAGGTAGGAGGGAAGTGGGGTGGCTTTATAAGGGCAATATGAGATATCCTTGTGGTGATGGTAATGCCCCGTATTTTGACTGTACCAATGTTAATATCCTGGTCGTGATATTGCACTATTGTTTTGAAAGACGTTACTATTAGGAAAACTGGGTAGGGGATATGCAGGATCTCTATATTATTTCTTACAACTGCCAAGTGAATCTATAATTATCTCAAAATAAGTTTAAATAAATTCCTATGCCCCACTCAAAAAACAAAAAAACTTGTTCTACTTAGTCTCCATCTCAATTAATGGCAACTACATCTTTGTAGTTACTAAAACTAAAAACCTTGGAGTTGTCATTTTTTTTAACATCCCACATCCAATCTGTTATTCTGACATATGCAGCATTTGAGGGCTTTTCACCCTCCACTGCTCCTGCCTCATCCAAGTAACCATTATCTCACATGGATTATTACAATAGCCTCCTAATTAATCTGCCTGCTTCCACCCTAACTTCTACTGTCTATACTCAACACAGCAGCCAGAGTCATTCTGTCAAAACTTAAATCAAATGTTACTCCTCTACTTAAGACCCTCTAGGGCCATCCATTTCTCACAAAAGTGAAAATTTTTATAATAGCCTTCAAGATCCTACATGATCTGGCCCCCATTACCTCACTCTCATTATCTTACTAATCTCCCTAACAGCTCTATCCCCATTACCTACTTAATAGATAGCAGGCACTCAATAAATATTTATTGAATATGCTCTCGATTCAACTCTCACCACAAATCCCACACCACATCCCACATAGCATCTATGCACCTACTGCACTCCCTCAAGAGCCCATGCCATGGTTCTCAGCAAAACGCCACTCATTCTTCTAAGGATACCCCCAGTATCACCCTATTCATTGTTTAACTCCAATACCTAGCACCAAGTAGGAGCAGAATGTCTTAGTCAAGCAGTAAAATCTTGGAAGTAATACACAAATACAGCACAAGAAAAAACAAATAATTGACCTGAAACATGTAATACAAAGGCTATCAACTTACTCAAACTCCTTCAAATCAGAGAAGTTGATTAAGTCAGATATGAAGAGTATTCAGAACAAAGGTACAACTCTGACTTTACGGATTTAACTGTTGACCTTCTATGAGCATATAAATAAGACTTCTAAATCTTCCCTTTCCTAATTGATATTACCTCTCTACTTGAAGCTTAACATTTTAAAAATAAAGCTTAGGCCGGACACGGTGGCTCACGCCTGTAACCCTAGCACTTTGGGAGGCCAGGGCAAGTGGATCGCTTAAGCACAGGAATTCAAGACCAGCCTGGCCAACATGGCAAAACCCCATCTCTACAAAAATACAAAAATCAGCTGAGCACGGTGGCAGGCACCTGTGGTCCCAGCTATTCAGGGGGCTGAAGTGGGAGGACTGCTTGAGCCCAGGAGGCGGAAGTTGCAATGGGCCAAGTTTGTGCTACTGCACTCCAGCCTGGGCGACAGAGCAAAACCCTGTCTCAAACAAACAAACAAAAAAGGCTGGGCACAGTGGCTCAGGCCTGTAATCCCAGCACTTTGGGAGGCCAAGGCGGGCGGATCACGAGGTCAGGAGATTGAGACCATCCTGGATAACACGGTGAAACCCCGTCTCTACTAAAAATACAAAAACTAGCCAGGTGTGGTGCGCGCCTGTAGTCCCAGCATACTCGGGAGGCTGAGGCAGAAGAATCACTTGAAACCGGGAGGCGGAGGTTGCAATGAGCCGAGATCACGCCACTGCACTCCAGCCTCGCGACAGACTCAAAAAAAAAACAAAAAACAAAACTTTATAAATTTAATTCTCCCCTTCTACTGGTCCCTTTTTAAAAACTGCCCTAAAATAAAACTATATCAGCATTTCTTAAACTTAAGAATGCAGAGGACCCCGAGAACTCATTCACACACTGGTTTGAGAAACAATGCCTTAAAAATGAAATGCATTATACATTAAGTTTAGGTGATCATTTGGGGACAATATAATGGCAAATGTAGAGAACCAGGCATTTTTGAAATGGCATGACCAAGAATTAGTCACCCAGTGATCCAAACTGCTTATGTTAATTTTTTAGACTTGATCAAAACAAAAACATAAAACAAAAATTCTTACAGACTGACGAGCATATAACCAAGCATTGACAGTTTTTAAAACCTAATATGGAACAAATTTAAATAAATCTAATGTGGTAACCTTCTACCTTTGTAAACTCACTTGAAATTTGGAACTCAACACATTCTAGACTAATTTTCTTATTACAGGAGTGACTACTTTGAAATTATAAGGTATGCTTACAAAAAATACTTATATCCCAAGCTACACTGTAGTGCAGTGGAGCTGCTCGCCTATTAAAGACATGTATGTTCGTTTTCATTTAGCTTCTTTTCAGGACAGAATAATCTGAATTTATGACATTTTAAACTGGTGTATGTAAAGACTTAATTTAAAAGATAAAGATTCTCTAAAATGTCTCAGTATAGTTAGAAAAATATTTATAGGGCTCTAACAAATAAAAGCAGAGACTAAAGGACACTTAACAGTCCACATTCTGCCTCACTTCTTGCCCAATTTTCAACCATCTCTTAGGGGAAAAAAGCTGTTTCTGAAACTACAGTTGCCAGATATATATCCCTTAAGCATTCCAGCAGGAAATATAAATGTTTGTGTTTTATTTTTCTTAGATGATTAAATGGCCAAAACAATTAAGCTACTTAAGTACTTTAGGAACGGGAATATCTGCATCAACCAGGGAAATCCTCATTACATTTCACTAATGATAAAAGGGCCTTAGGAAATGGACAGCAGTCCTTCCTCAGGGACTGCAAAGACTTCTGGGAGGGCGTCCAGTTAGCAACACTGAAATGTTGCTGAGGAAACATAAGTATGTACCCACAGTACTGTCGCAGAGGAATGTAGGGCTGGACAGGCCCTGCTGGCAAGAAAGAAAACACTATACCAGGTCACACTGTTTTGCAGCTGAAAATTCAAATTTAGGGAGAAACGCAGGACTGTGTCTTGGCCTGAAAGAAAAATGGGACTACTAAACAAAATACCGTTTAATCCTTACAAGTTCTTAATAGTGGATTTTTCCCACCAAGTATCAGGCACTGGTTTACAGATTTCCTAATTTCTCAATAAAAGCCTTCAATCTCTTGATTTCACCATGCAACATTTGCAAGAAATGAAATATTTTATCAATCAAATCCTACAGATGCATTAAAACGAGGCAGGGTTATCCTGGTTAACTCGGAACACAGGGAAGAGGAATCATGATCTCCCTTGTCTCCAAACTCCTCTCTGCCTCCCAAGCCTTCAGGGGCCCAACGCCCCAGTACTCTGAATCTTTATCAAACACCAGAACCTCCCAGTCTTCAAATATGCACCAGTACCCTAAGACAGCTCTTTCCCTTTCACTTTCCCTCTCGGAAATATTCCATTGGTTCAGTCCAGTCACTGGATTACTGCCCCTGCCCGCCTCGGTCTTTACCACTGACCTCTCCCATTCTGGAAAACCCCCACCTTTCCTTGGTCCTGCAAGATTCCTGAGTCCCCCAAACTCAGGACCCTTTCCAGACACCACACCCCCAGCCCCGGCCACCTCCTCAGCCCCTGTCGCCACCCTCTCTTCCAGAGTCTCCTAACTTTCCGATCCAAGAAATTTTGGAGACCCCACCACCGCCATTCCTTGCGGCAGCCCATTCTTCAACGATCTCTAGGCGCTAACACCACTCCTCCCTCCCCGCCCATCTACACACCCTGCTGCCTGCTCCCTGGGTTCCTGCATCTCTCAGGGACCCCGCTTCTCAGGCCCCTTGGAGACCCTACCACCTTGGACCCCTTCAGACACCATACCCTCCGTCCTCAGGCCCGCGGAGACCCTGACCCAACCAGACACCGCCGTCTGCTCCTGACACTTGGAAGCGCCCTTTCCCTGGCCCGGCCTGTCTCCTGCCCTGCGCCCGAGCCCTCCTAGCCTTCCTAAGCCCACACTGCCGCCCCCCTTTACCACTGGATAGAGCGGCGGACACAAGCAGGAGCGCCAAGACCAGCGGCCGCGCCAACCCCACAAGGGCTTGGATGGCCGACCCGGGCAGCAGTTTCGCTTGTGCTGGCCCCCTCATCCTCTTCGGGACGGCAGCGGCCATAACGGACTCGGCTGGGAGCCTGCGCTGTTGCTAGGCTCTACGCCATGAGGTCAGACGCCGCGGCCCTCGGCACATACGTCCCAGCGTGGTGACGTCGAAGCCTGGAGACGTGCTCTGGAAACCGGAATAAGAAGGAAGGATTGCAGGGAGGAGGGAGTTGCCGCTAGGCGAAAGTGGGGACCGCCACACAGTTGGCTGCGGATTAAAGGTAGGGTGTGACGTGCTGAAGAGGGCCAAAGCGAGCCCCTCCCTGCCGCCTGCATGATTGGGTACTATACAGCCAAAAATAGCGTTTTTAGCCATTTTAAAAAGGAAGATCCAGCTGTAGAACAGACTGATCACGAAAGCGAAGTAACTGCTCTTCCTCTCTCAAAGGCGAAAGAAACACAAATGTTAAGTAGTCCTATTTCGGTGATGGGATTATAAGTAATTTTTAAAAATCTTTCCCGACAGTCATTTATTTTTTTTCAACAAAGATTTAGCACCTCTCCCTATTTAAGATACAGCAGTGAACAAAAAGAACCCCCCACCCCCCCGCCCGCCTTGGCAGTTTATTTTCTTGTGAGGGCGAATATGGTGTAAAATACACACTATACAAGATGATAAAGATATTATGGACCGGCCCTAGTGCAGTGGCTCCCAGCACTTTGGGAGGCCGAGGAGGGCAGATCACCTGAGGTCCGGAGTTGGAGACCAGCCTGGCCAACATGGAGAAACCCCGACTCTACTAAAAATACAAAAATTAGCCAGGCGTGGTGGCGCGTGCCTGTAATCGCAGCTACTCGGGAGGCTGAGGTAGGAGAATCGCTGTAACCCGGGAGGTGGAGGCTGCAGGGAGCCGAGATGCCACTGCACTCTAGCCTGGGCCACAGACTCCGTCTCAAAAAAAAAAAAAAAATTATGGAGGAAAAGAAAGGAAGGTAGCTAGGAAGTAGAGGTGAGGGGCTGCCATTGAAAATAACTTTCAGATTTCCTAAAATAAGCTTCTCTTTTTAAATTTTGTTACTTGAAATCCCCAGTGTATAAAAATGCAAACTTACAAACTTCCAAGAAGTTCACCTAGGGCCCTGGCGCCATACTTTGCTCTGTGTGTACGTTCTGTAAATGTCTCCTTAATAAACAGATACAGGCTTCAATTCATAAAAGTTCCATTTGATCAATTTCAGGAAAATCAATGTGACGTTAAGCAAGACATTTATTGTGCCCACAGCTTCACCATTCTGGTCTCTATGATTCCCTGCGAAGATTGCTGTTATCCCCCAGAGACACAGCTGAGCTGTCTCTCTAAAGGGCCTGTGTTCTACTCCTGAATCTGGTTTCCCCTAAGCTTTTATCTCACCCTGGTGACAGCTCAGAAACACACAAACTCTGTGTTAAGAAAACTAAGAAGTCATTCATCTGCACATTTCCCGAAATCCCCCAGAAGCCCGTATTAGACTGAATGGTGTCCTTATTGCAAACTCTCCACTTTAGCCAAGGTGCAAAGTCCTCCCAGTCCCCCAGGAGCTTCCCTTCTCTGAGCGGTACTTAAGTTTTCTGTAAAACCACTCAGTTCAACAAATGAGCTTCTCAATCTTAGTTTCTGCTTGTTGACTTTAAAGTTAATCTATAATAAACACACTGCAGTCCTCTTCCCTGACTCATTGTCCACTTTGTCCATTTGTGTCCTCATACCAGATTGTCTCAATTCTCTTAACTGGTGAGATATTATGAACTCAAAGCATTTTGCACAATGATATTCCAACATGCTGCATGCAACAAGCAGACAATAAGTAACTAGTGAGGGAAATATTCCCTCATACTCAAGAGAACCCTTTATACATTTTTAAATATTTTAGGGCCAGGCTTATGCCTGTAATCCCAAGTACTCGGGAGGCTGAGATGGGAGGATCACAGGAGCCCAGGAGTTCAAGGCTGCAGTGAGCTATGATGATGACAGTGCACTTCAGTCTGGGTGACAGAGTAAGACTGTCTCTAAAAGTAAAATATCTTAATACTGTACCTGACATCTGACTAGATGTACCCAGCAACCACTATGTGCCATAATCTCTGGATAAATTCTATGAACATTCACTTAGAAATAGCTGCAAGTCCCTGAAGACAGTATGACAAATACTGAGGCCCACAGTTTTTGGGTGATCAGTTGCATAAAATGCTAAAATAGATGGTTCCTGTTTTGAATGTCACTTTCAAACATAGAAAAAAAAGGAATTCTGCTGAAAAATCATGAATGGAAAAAAATGTTCATATTTGTTGAAGCTGGATCATGCATAGAGTTTATTACTATTTGTGTTTCCACAATAGGCTGGATGTGGTGGCTCACGCCTGTAATCCCAGCACTTTTGGAGGCCAAGGTGAGCAGATCACCTGAGGTCAGGAGTTTGAGACCAGCCTGACCAACATGGAGAAACCCCATCTCTACTAAAAATACAAAATTAGCCGGGTGTGGTGGCAAATGTTTGTAATCCTAGCTACTCGGGAGGCTGAGGCAGGAGAATTGCTTGAACCCAGGAGGCGGGGAGGCTGAGGCAGGAGAATTGCTTGAACCCAGGAGGCGGAGCTTGCAGTGAGCAGACATTGTGCGCCATTGCATTCCAGCCTGGGCAACAAGAATGAAACTCCGCCTCAAAAAAAAAAAAATCCACCATCAAGTTATTAAAAACATATAAATATATGGGAGAATTCCAAAATCACCCCTTCCCATGACCCATATGGAGGGACCTACAAACATGAAAGGATATTACCAGTGATTAGGTTACTTTACCTGGCAGTTAACTTGAAGGGAGATTACCCTCATTGGGCCTAACCTAATCAGGTGAGTCCTTAAAAGAGTTGGGGCTCTACCTGGAGGAGACTGGAAGTGTGAGAGGGATTTCACATGAGGGAGTTTTTCTGTTTCTGGCTTTGGCGATGGAGGGGACCCCATGGCAAGGAATGCTGGCATCCTCTGAGCACTGAGAGTGGCTCAGCCAACAAAGAAATAGGGACCTCTGTCCTACAACTGAAAATAACTGAATTCCACCACAACCCTGAAAGCCTGGAAGAGGACGCCAAGCCCCCAGATAAAATGAGAAGACAGCCTGGTCGACACCCTAATTCCAGCATTGTGAGAAGCTAAGCACAGTCCAGGTAGGCATGCACACCTGCCTCGCTTTGACCTGCAGAACTGTGAAATAAATGAGTGTTGTTTTAAGCTGCTAAACATATGGTAATCTGTTGTACAGTGAGTGAAAACGAATAATATATAATACACAGAGCATGAAGACAAAATAAATCTAAACAAATGCCCTGTTTATTTATATTTTATTAATAAAGACAACAGAAGAAGGATGAGGTTTCAATATTTTATTCAAGTTTTTTAAGTGTTGTTAATTACAGCATTTGAAGGGGAGGATCTAATTCCAACAAAATGGAAGACTCTAAAATGTACCCATTAAACTGCTAAAAAACAAATTGAGTGGTGAGAATACAACAGAAGTCCAATTTAGATTCTGAGTGTTGTCACCATGTGATTACAATCACACAGACACTTCCAAGCTTATAGCTGGAGCTCCTGGAAGCTATTTCATACTCTGGTGCAAGGGCCAAAAAAAAACACAACACAAGAAGGAATAAGTCCTGAATTATTGGCTTCATCACATCCACCTTCTCCACCCCAAAATGGCACAAAAGAAACAGTTACCACACCCTGCAGACCTTTTGGTGTAAAAGAGATGATGATGAACTGGGGTGGGAACAGGTCATGAAGATCTGTCTAAAAAAGTCCCATTCAGGTGAGTTTGTACACACCATCAAGCAGCGAGCCTCTCATCAATTAGGGTTAGGGAACCAAGGTTCGATTCTCAGGAAATCACAATTTCATTCATTTACTCAATATGAATTTACAAAGTGCCTACATATTATCCGCTTCCACTTGCAGCCATTTCTAGATAAAAAAGAAACCTGGCATCTCAAAGGGGCCACCAAGTTCTCCCCGAGTCTACCACTGAAAGGACCTTTTTTGGAAATAGGTTTCTTCTGTACCTCTGGAAGGGTAACATCTTAAAGCTGAATCAACTTTAACCTGGAGGGCTAACATATTTAGCAATACTTGCATCCCAGACATACAACATTAAAAGATACACTAAATTCTGAAGGTAGCTATGCTGCAAAATAGTTTAAAATTAAACAATTGTACAGTATTCATTTATGCTTGAAATTCCAGTCCTAGACCAAGCTTGTGGCCACCAGCATTGACGTTCTTGCCATCCAGAAGAGCTGACAGTGTCAGTTTAATACCTGCAGGGAGAAAAATGAGGGAGAGGAAAGGAGGAGGAATGGAGGAAAGAAATGACAAGAAAGATTAACACCAAATTCAGAACCTGTTCCAGGTATTATCAGCAGGGTCCAAACTACATGGCCCTTCAATCCTTGTTACTTAGCACTATCTGACCAACAGGCATACTACAGTGGGCTTATAAAACAACTATAATTATCCCACCGCCCAGAGAGCCTACCCAAATCTACTTCTGGAACCCCACTTTCCTTTTTCCTCTCACTGTTCCCCTGGTACAATTAGTCTATAGCACTGGTAGCATGCAGTAAGCTTCTTTGGCAATCATCCCTTTAAATGAAACCTCAATCCTGAATCCAACCTAAGGTCTTACATGTTCATGTTCATAGTGTACACACATGTGTAGTGTGCATGTACATCCACAGATGCACACAACAAACTGACATTCCCTGGAATAACCTGATTCAGGGAGTAGCTGGTAGTCTTAGATTTCCAGGGTTCAAAAGTGGTTATACACTAGAACTATAATACGCCGTGGACTGGCCTAGCCAACTGTGCAGAGGAAACCTGCAAACCACTTTTCCTATTTCTTTGTCTTTTTACAGTGGGGCTGATTTATAAGTTAGTTTTGAGAATCTGCCAGAAATAAGTATCAAGCATTATGTCCACACTGGAAAAAAGGATGGAAGAAAATAGCAAAGAATATGTGTTAGCCTCAGCCTTTTTCCTCCTGCTTGCTACATCTCATATTCTCCAAATGTTTTATAATGACCCCATACTCCTTTATAAACATTTAATTATACTTTACATATATCCATTTATATATACCCACTGTATTATATAAACATTTTATAAGCAATGACATAAATCAGCAAACCAGCACCACAATTTTTTTAAGATAAAGAACCGATTTCACACACAAGCAACACATACCTGGCTTTAGAGTCTGAGTGTATCCTAAACCTATCAGGCTGGAGTTGTTCACTTTAGCCTAATCAAGGAAATGACAAAACAGAGAAAACATTAAGTATAATACTTTGCACTTCCATCTCCAAAATTAGAGCTTTTTAGTCAACCAACCTTGGACTTTAGAATCAAAATTTTTCATGACCACCTTGTTCATGAGATTCATTAAATTCAATACAAAATACATCAATTTTAGGTGCATACCTTTCTGTTCAAAGGGTGTGCTGAGATCTGACACCCCTCATAAGAACAAAGCAGAGAGAAGGAAGGCCTCTTAGGGGCCAGTGTCCTTTTGCTCATATAAATAATGAGGCTCCTTTTCTCTTGTTTTTAAGTGCTTGCTGTTAAGGGAGCCAAATTCGGTTCTAGTTTAGGAGACTTAAAAAGGGCTGTCCATAAATTACACAAACCAGTACAGACACCATTCTGCAACATGAGATTCCCTCATTTCACCCCAAAGAGATACAGCCGCCAGTGCCCTGTGACAACAGAAATGAGCCCAATAGGATTTACTGCAAAAACTGTGTAGTAGTTCGAGGGCCTGTGAGCAATGCCAGAGACTCTGCAAGATGCCAACTGACTATTGATTTCTTAATATGCAATGCAGGAGCTGAAAAGGAGAATGAAAAGTGAGGCGGGGCGGGGGGAATTATCAATTAGAACCCTAGATTTCAGAGTGCCCCTTTTAACAGTCCGCATGATAGAACAGGAACTGGTATTAATGGAAGAGGCTTAACAGTAAGCCAGTCTGGTTCAAATCCAGCTCCCAGCACTTTCCTGCTGTGTACCTTTGAGCAAGTTACTCACCTAAGTTTCTAGTTCCTCATTTGTAAAAACAGAGATGATTGGCCAGGGGCCATGGCTCATGCCTGTAATTCCAGCATTTTGGGAGGCCGAGGCAGGCAGATCACCTGAGGTCAGGAGTTCGAGACCAGCCTGACCAACATGGTGAAACCCCGTCTATACTAAAAACACAAAAATTATCCAGGTGTGGTGGTGGGTGCCTGTGTTCCCAGCTACATGGGAGGGTGAGGCAGTAGAATCACTTGAACCTGGGGGACGGAGGTTGCGCAGTGAGCTGAGATCGTGCCATTGCACTCCAGCCTGGGCAACAAAGGGAGACTCCGTCTCAAAAAAAAAAACAAACAAACAGAGATGATTGGCCAGGCATGGTGGCTCATGCCTTGTAATCCCAACATTTGGGAGGTTGAGGTGGGAGGACAGCTTGAGCCCAGGAGTTTGAGACCAGCCCAGGCAACAGAGTGAGACATTGTCTCTACTAAAAATTTTTTTTTAATTAGCCAGGCATGCTGGTGTGCCTATAGTCCCAGCTACTTGGGAGGCTGAGGTGGCAGGATTACTTGAGCACAGGAGGATGAGGCTGCAGTGAGCTGCAATTACACCACTGCATCCAACCTGGGCCTTGTCTCAAAAAAACAAAAAATAAAAAAAACCCAGAGATGATTAAAAAACCAAAGCACCTATTTCAAATGGGATTAAACACAGTAATCTACACAAAAGGCTCTGCACAGTGCCTGGTACCCATAAGAAGTACTAGTAGTATGATCACTGTACTCATTTGGCACTCTTTTCAAAGTGAGAACATCTCTCACTTTGTTTTTGTTTTTTTGAGACGGAGTCTTTTTTTTTTTTTTGAGATAGAATCTCACTCTGTCACCCAGGCTGGAGTGCAGTGACACGATCTCAGCTCACTGCAACCTCCGCCTCCCCGGTTCAAGCAATTCTCCTGCCTCAGCCTCTCGAGTAGCTGGGATTACAGGCACACGCCACCATGCCCGGCTAATTTTTGTACTTTTAGTAGACAGGGTTTCACCGTGTTGGCGAGGCTGGTGTCAGACTCCTGACCTCAAGTGATCTGCCTGCCTTGGCCTCCCAAAGTGCAGGGATTACAGGCGTGAGTCACGGCGCCCAGCAGCATCTCTCACTTTGAGTAAGCTGAAGCACAGCACTCCAGCAAACCTGAAGGATTCCAACATAAAGAGCAGATGGGCCTGCCTGTGAGATGCGTGATTCCACAGATACCCACCGAGAAGCAGGCGTCAGGGTCAATCTGATACTTGGCTGCTATTCCGAAGCGCGTGTTACTGTTTCCTGCTGTCCAGGCAAGATTGACAGCGGTCTCCAACTTCTTGTTCACTTTCTGGTAAATGGAGCCGCCAAACTCTGTCCCGTCATTCCTGCAAACAAGCACAGGACAGATGCTGAGCTTCCCAGGGAGGTGAGCTGCAGCCCAGACAGATCCACCCAAGTCTCCCAGAAGACAGGGATGACAGAAATGGACTGAACCAATACTGGTATTAAGGGAAGTCAGAAGTTCACCAAATTTCACAAAACAGGTACTAAATTACAGGAAGTCTGATAAGTATGGAACAGGCACCTAGCCAGGCACAGTGGCTCACACCTGTAATCCCAGCACTTTGGGAGGCCGAGATGGGCAGATCACTTGAGGTCAGGGGTTTGAGACCAGCCTGGCCAACATGGTGAAACCCTGTTTCTACTAAAAATACAAAAATTGACCGGGCTGGTGCCATACGCCTGTAATCCCAGCTACTCAAGAGGCTGAGGCAGGAGAATCGCTTGAACCTGGGAGGCAGAGGTTGCAGTAAGCCGAGATCGCGCCACTGCACTCCAGCCTGGGCAACAGAGCAAGACATTGTCTCAAACAAAAAAAGAAAAAGCCAGGGGAGAGGGGGTACGTGGTGACTCACGCCTGTAATCCTAGCATTTTGGGAGGCCGAGGCAGCAGGACTGCTTGAGCCCAGGATATAGCTTGGGCAACAGAGCGAGATCCTGTCTCTATAAGGAAAAAAAAAAAAAAGAAGCAGCAAGTAGAGCACTGAGATTCTGAGTGATTTATTTTTACTGCTACTGATGTTATTACTTTTATAAACGATTCTACCAGAAAAATGGCATGGAAGTCCGGGTGCAGTGGTTCATGCCTATAATCCCAGCACTTTGGGAGGCCAAGGCGGGCAGATCATTTGAGGTCAGGAGTTTGAGACCAGCCTGGCTAACATGATGAAACCCTGTCTCTACTAAAAACATAAAAATTAGCTGGGCATGGTGGCAGGTGCCTGTAATCCCAGCAACCTGGGGGGGTGAGGCAGGAGAATCGTCTGAACCCAGGAGGCAGAGGTTGCAGTGAGCTGAGATCTCACCACTGCACTCCAGTCTGGGTGACAGAGTGAGACTCTGGCTCAAAAAATAAAAGTAAAAATAAAAAATGTTATGGAAAGAGAAGAAAATGAGAAGAGAACACAGCCAGAAATGGCAAGAAAGGTGGGGCTGCACATATGCCTCAGAAGGCAAGTTAGAGCCCTTGGCACAACCTGCTGCAGCCACTGCTGGGGAGATACAGTTGGCACTGACCCAGCCTCTTGGAGGAGCAGCACTTCAAAAGAGCTTAATCCACAATTCATCTCGTCCACCTGTGCATACTCCTCACCCATGCTGCAACATCTAAGCCTGGCAGGATTTGAAAGGGAGCTTTTTGCTACATCATAAAATGTCTCCCTCTTTCAAAAACATTCAGAATGAAACCCCAGCTGGCCAAGCTCCCTCCTCTCTTACAAACACACTGAATGACTCCAGTTGCTGGGAATATCCCTTTCCCTTCTTCAGTCATTCAAATTCTCCTCTTCCTCTTTTGGGGCCCTGCTTAAGCTCTCAGAATTTGAAAGTCTGCCCCACCCAGCTGAACAGCCTATACAAACTCTGCAGTCACTGCCACCCCTAAAAAGGCATACGAAGAGCTCAGAGTCTACACTTTGTCCTCTGTCGGGCTGGGGTCGGCACAGATCATAGACTGTCTCTCATTACTGCTTTCAGATTGTTGTTTATACACACAGTGCATACTGGTGCCTGGTCAGAAGCAACCTTCTCCATGGAGGGAACCACAGAAAACAAAAACAGTTAAAGTGGCTGCCACTGCGGAGCTGGGATGAGCAGGCTGAGGCAGGCTGGAATCACTGCTTTTCATAGGCCCATCTGTACTGTTTGATTTTACAACCATGGGTTCAGACTCCTTTGATTAAAAAAATTAAGAAAAATTTTAATGCTGCAATTTTTTAAAAAGGAATGACCATCCTCCTTGCATCAGATGGTCTTCAAGCCTGCCTAGACCCTCTCAAACATCTTTAACATAAAATCAGTGTCTGAGTTCTGCCTCATCATTGTGGGCATTTCCAGTGGAAATGGCATTGGTTAACTGTGAGTCAGAGCCCACGTACTTTGGAATCCAGCAAAGGGCTTCAGGACCTAAGAACAAAAACTCTAGTCTTCACAAGACACTCTCCCTAAATCAGAGAATACATTCTAAATTTTCTTTTTTTTTTTTCCCCAAGATGGGATCTTGCTCTGTTTCCCAGGCTGGAGAGCAGTGGCAAAATCATAGCTCACTGTAACCTCAAACTCCTGGGCTCAAGTGATCACAGGCATGTTGCCACCATGCCCAGCTAATTTTTAAAAAATTTCTTAGAGACAGAGTATTTCTATGTTCCCCAGGCTGGTCCCAAACTCCTGGCCTCAAGTGATCCTCCCGCCTCAGCCTCCCAAGTAGCTAGGATTACACGTATGAGCCACACATTGTAAATTTTCGTTTCCCCATGAAATTCAGCGAGACAGACATTATGCTTCTAGAAAGTACAGGGAGACCCAGGCACTGCCTGATTCACAGAGAATCCTGTCTTCTGTAGACAGCCCAAGTATGCTACAATAAAACAGCAGCCTGTCAAAAATAAGATTTTTGAATGACTTTAGTAATATATTCAAATGGGGAAGTTTCTTGGGCTTACATGTTTTTAAAAAAGGCCAGACTTTTCAGAATATCCTAAAACCAGGAACACAATACTGCCTTCCTGTACAGAGCTTTCAAAACCATAAACAGAAGGCAGATGCAGTGGCTCACACCTGTAATCCCAGCACTTTGGGAGGCCAAGGCGGGCAGATCGCTTGAGCTCACAAGTTCAAGAACAACCTGGGCAACATGGCGAAATCCTGCCTCCACAAAAAATACAAAAATTAGCCAGGTGTGGTGGCATGCACCTGTAGTCCCAGCTACTTGCAAGGCTGAGGTGGGAGTATCACTTAATCCCGGGAGGTGGAGGCTGCAGAGATCGTGCCACTGAACTCCAGCCTGGGTGAGAGAGTGAGACCCTGTCACCAAAAAATAATAATAATAAATAAATAAATACACAGGTGGAACTGTTCAAATTCATCTATATGAAGCACAAAGAATTTCTGTTATGCATTTGGGCCCCTGCAAGCACCAGGGCAACCCAGATGAGTTGTGTCAGCTGCCTTCACGCTGGTTCCAAAAATAAACCATACCCACTTGTTGCTTATTTAAAATGCTGAAGCTCAGATATGTGGGGGAAATGGCTAACAGCCATTGTTCCTCCTAGAATTGGTACTGAAGAATTGGTGCCAATGCCCAATTTCAAACCAAGGAAAACACTTCCCATGCCAATCAGAATTCTACGTTCAAAAACATTTCTATGCATGTGGTATGTTTCCTATAGCTTTTTAGTATGTTTCACCTCTTCTTAATTAAACATATAATAAAATTGATATTTTCTTTGCTTTTTTTTTTTTTTTTTTTTTTTGAGACGGAGTCTTGCTCTGTTGCTCAGGCTAGAGCGCAGTGGCGTGATCTCGGCTCATTGCAAACTCCACCTCCCAGGTTCAAGCGATTCTCCTGCTTCAGCCTCCCAAGTAGCTGGGATTACAGGCACCCGCCACCACGCCCAGCTAATTTTTGTATTTTTAGTAGAGATGGGGTTTCACCTTCTTGACCAGGCTGGTCTTGAACTTCTGACCTCGTGATCCACCCGCCTCGGCCTCCCAAAGTGCTGGGATTACAGGCGTGAGCCACGACGCCCGGCCAAAATGGATATTTTCTTGGTATACATTTTTACGAATTTTAACACACGTACACAGATTAATGTAACCATGACGACAGTCAGAATATAGAACAGTTCCCTCCCCGAAACTCCCTCAGTCACTGCTTTGTAGTCATACCCTCCCCGCCCCCTGCCAACCACTAGATTGTCCATCTCTATAGTTTTCCTGTGACTTTTTAGCTGTAACAGATTCCAAATTAATGATAAAAATTCCTCAAAAAATTTATTAATGGAAATATTAGTTTACACATTAATATCACTGATTTGCCTTAAGTTTAAGAAGTTACTTCTTTAGTGACCTCTAGTGGAAAGAAATAAACATGGTAACTCTGCACCCAGCTTGTGCCTGTCACAGGTTAATTCCTCATGAAACTAAATAAAACAAGGTTTATGGATAAAACAAGATTCATGAATGAAATGTGTTTCCCTTAACTTAAATCATCAATCTACTTCAATTCTCAAGGGGCTCTCTCCTAACCTATAATCACTGTTTCCCTTCACCATACTGTCCAATAGTTACTTTTACATGCTTCACTGTACAGAGAAGATAGTTTGTAACTGAGATAATCAGCTCCTAAATTTGTCTACCATGTCTACATGTCATCAAGCCCAGCAGGCTAATCCTCAGGCATTAGACAGAGAAAGAGAGCTGTTTTGTTAACTAAAACAAAAACTGCAGGGAATGGACACGCTCTGGACTGACACCATGTCCCTGCTGTAATTAATCAGCCACTTTGTGTACCTGTGGCAATATATACTGTTCACAGAGTGGAAAGGATCTAAGACACTCCAGGAAATGGGTAGGTGGGAAACAAAAGATAGCAGCAGGCCATGTGGCTCATCTAATGCCAACAAACTCACTTTACAGTGGTTAAAAACTGGGCTTTCTTAAAAAAAAAAAAAAAAAAACAGTGAAAAGCAATCCCCTTACCACACATGCTCCAACCCCACCCCTCCCACCCTGCTGCCCCCATGTACACTTACACATTAGTGTGAAGCTGGAATTCATCAGTCTTGTAGCCAACTGCAAAGTTGCTCTGGGTCACTCGGGATTTTGCAGTCTCAAAATTCATCTGGTAGCCGGCCAGCCAGCCCTCGTAACCTAGCACCAGAGCACCCCGGATGGAAGGCCCAGCAATGTCGAAATCCATGTCGCAGCCCAGGTTAATGTGCTCCCGCTTGTACCCTGTCTTGATTTTAGCATTTTTTTTCCTGAAGGAAAATAAGTTATATTAAGATCAGAAGCTAACTCACCTTGAAATGCAAGTTGTCTTTTTTTTTTTTTTAATCCCAGGTCAAATAAAGGGAGTGGGGTGGGGGTGAAGTCAGGGCTCCAGTTCTCCCTTAAGCCACTGCTGTACCACAATGAGCAGGACACAACCTCTCTTCCACAGGGACTCAGTCTGCAGAAACCCCACAATAACGAAGTGAGAACACAGACAGGAAAAGCCTGAAAAATAAATACGAAGTAACTTTCTTCTCCTATCCTCTTTGTATGCTTAACGTAGCAGCCTACACAGGCATTCATTAGGTAGAAAGCCACCATGTAATTATGAAACAGATGCATCTTTGATATTTTCCAAACCTGTGGAAAAGATTTATCTGCCATGAAGGCAGCTACCTAAATAGCAGCTTTTAAAGAGACGGTTTTCTTCTTACTCTGTGGCTCACATGGTTAAGTAAGGAAACAAAGGCTATGTTCCCTCTAAGTGAGTACAACAGTAAAATGGATTTCAATTCCATATTCATGAGACCCCAATGAGTACATATTTCAGAGAACCGGGTACTGATGTAGAACCTGGAACTCTGCAGTCATGGGGGCCAGGAAGTGTTAGTTAGCCAGACAGTATCCCAGGTCCAACCTGATGATACCAGATGTGAGTCTATAAGCAGTTCAGTGTCTCTACTGCCGGTTCCTCAAGACCCAGCATCCCTTAGGAAGAGCAGGTGAATAGTGTCACCTGCAGACCTATTATTACCATGTCTTTTACCAAAAGTACACACTGGAGAACAAGATCACATCCAACAAATACAACATGGATCATTTTTATCTGATTGTCTCTATCATTCAGTTACAAGATCGACATCTCCCACAGGAAGCTGCATTCTCAGCAGAGACCACAGGAGGAACCAGATCCACTCAGAGCCTCAAGGACTACACAGCACTGTTCACTTCTAGCTTTATTCACATTGAGATTAATGCTTCATCCTCAGCACCTAGACCATTTCCTCCTAAATGGAACCAGTGCTCCTTGGAGAAATGGCCAACTACAGATCTTAGGCAGGAAATGTACACAGTAACCTAAAACATCTATCAAAGCTATTGAAGACTACTGGGGTGGAGGCAAAAGGACTTACAAGGTAACCTGAAGAGGCTCCCAAGGGCTTCGACAATGGAGCAATGTGAGCCTCAATAAGAAAAATATTAGCAATAGGCTGAAACATATTAAACAGTATGTTTATTCTAGGCATTATAATGACACTCGGGGCCAGGCGCAGTGGCTCATGCCAGTAATTCCAGCACTTTGGGAGGCTGAGGCAGGTGGATCACAAGGTCAGAAGTTCGAGACCAGCCTGGCCAACATGGTGAAACACCGTCTCTACTAAAAACACAAAAATTAGCTGGGCGCGGTGGTGGGCGTGTGTAATCCCAGCTACTCAGGAGGCTGAGGCAGGAGAAACGCTTGAACCCGGGAGGCAGAGGTTGCAGTGAGCCGAGATCGCGCCACTGCACTCCAGCCTGGGCGACAGAGTAAGACTCCGTCTCAAAAAAAAAAAAAAAAGAATTATAATAACGCTCAAATCACATAGCTGTCATCTTTAAAGACTAAAGAACCAACCTGTTATTTTAAAAACAGCAAAAGGCCAGGTGCGGTGGCTTACGCCTATAATCCCAACACTTCGGGAGGCCGAGGTGGGTGGATCACCTGAGGTCAGGAGTTCAAGGCCAGCCTGGCCAACATGGCAAAACCCCATCTCTACTAAAAATGCAAAAATTAGCTGGGTGTGGTGGCACATGCCTGTAATCTCATCTACTTGGGAGGCTGAGGCAGGAGAATCACTTGAACCCAGGAGGTGGAGGTTGCAGTGAGCCAAGACCGCGCCACTGCACTCCAGCCTGGGTAGCAAGAATAAAACTCAGTCTCAAAAAAAAAAAAAAAAATCATGAAACAATCATGTAAATTTGAACAGACTAGAGATTTGACAATATTAAGAAATGATCCACTGGGCGCAGTGGCTCATGCCTGTAATCTCAGCACTTTGGGAGGCTGGGGCAGGCGGATCACCTGAGGTCGGGAGTTCGAGCCCAGCCTGACCAACACGGAGAAATCCCGTCTCTACTAAAAACACAAAATTAGCCGGGTGTGGTGGCCCATGCCTGTAATCCCAGCTACTCAGGAGGCTGAGGCAGGACAATCACTTGAACCCGGGAGGCGGAGGCTGCGTGAGCTGAGATCGCACCATTGCACTCCAGCCTGGGCAACAAGAGTGAAACTCCATCTTTAAAAAAAAAAAAAAAGAAAAAGAAATGATCAACTTTTTTCAATATAATAATAATATCATGGTTATGCTCCTTTAAAATGGATTATTGCCATTTAAAGATACATAATAAAATATTTACAGCTGAAATTAAGTGTTGTTATTTACTTAAAATAGTATGTGCGTGGAGGAGTGTTATATTTATGGCTGTATAAATAAAACATGATTGGCCACAGGTTGGTAACTATCAAAGCTGTGTGATAGGAATAGAATGAGGGTTAAACATATTTTTCTGTATATTTTTGTATGTTTCAGATTTCTCATTAAAAAAAAATAAAGGTTAAAAATTCCAAATTCTCAATGAGACAAGAATTTTAGAGGTCACAGCTGAAAATAAAGCCAGCACCCCTCCCAAGTGATGTAGGAAAATAGCCTGTTCCATGGCAAGAGTGACACCGTCTTGAAACAAAATCACCACTGATACAGTTTCGATGCTGTATCTTCTGAATCTCATGTTGAAATGCAGTCCCCAGTGTTGGACCTGCTGGGTGGTGGTTAGACCATGGGGGTGGATCCCTCATGGATTGGTGCTGTCCTCCCAATAATGAGTTATGAGATCTGGTTGTTTGCGTGTGGCACCTCCCCACCACTCTCTCTCTCTTGCTCCTGCTCTTGCCATGTGATGTGCCTGCTCCTGCTTCATCAATCACCATGACTAAAAGCTTCCTGACGCCTTCCCAGAAGCCGAGCAGATGCCTGTGCTCTGCTTGTACAGACTGCAGAACCATGAGCCAATTGAACCTCTTTTCTTCATAAATTAGCTATCCTCAGGTATTTTTTTCTTTTTTTCAGACAAGGTCTCACTCTGTTGTCCAGGCAGGAGTGCAGTGGTGCGATCATGGCTCACTACAGCCCCTACCTCCTGAGCTCAGGTGATCCTCCCACCTCAGCCTCCCAGGTAGCTAGAACTGACTATAGGTGCGCACCACCAGGCCCAGCTAGTGTGTGTGTGCATGTGGGTAGACGGGGTTTAACCATGTTGCCTAGGCTGGTCTCCAACTCCTGGGCTCAAGCAATCTGCCTGCCTTAGCCTCCCAAAATGCTGGGATTACAGGTGTGAGCCACCTCGCCTGGCCAGGTATTTCTTTAGAGCAATGCAAGGACAAGACTATAGGCGCTCACCACAATGACCAGCGTGTGTGTGTGTGTGTGTGTGTGTGTGTGTGTGTGTGTGTGTGTGTGTGTAGATGGGGTTTCACCATGTTACCTAGGCTGGTCTCCAACTCCTGGGCTCAAGCAATCTGCCTGCCTCAGCCTCCAAAAATGCTAGGATTACAGGCGTGAGCCACCTTGCCTGGCAAGAATAGCCTAATACAGCCATGACGACCAAGGAATGCATCATAGACAATCCCATAAAAGAAACAATGCCAGCCGGGCACAGTGCCTCACACCTGTAATTCCAACACTTTTAGAGGCCAAGGCAGGTAGATCACTTGAGCTTAGGAGTTCAAGACCAGCCTGGCCAACATGGCAAAATTCCATCTCTACTAAAAATACAAAAATTAGCTGGGTGTGGTGGTGCACACCTGTAGTCCCAGACACTCAGGAGGCTGAGGCAGAAGAATCGCTGGAACCCGGGAGGCAGAGGTTGCAATGAGCCAAGATCACGCCTCTGCAGTCCAGCCCGGGTGACAGAGTGAGACTGTCTCAAAAAAATAAATAAATAAAAATTTAAAAAGTAAAGATGCTTATCTAACCTCCCTTTGGTCACAAGTTTTGCAAGAGTTTTCTGCAAGATGGTCTAAGACATGCACATGTCTTTACTCTAAAAGCTTGCTATATAAAGAATACTTTCTGGAGGATGAATGCAGGGATCCACTGTCTCTTGGCTGCTTGAGACATCGCTTCTATTTGTAAGTCTCTATTAAATGTTTCTTTCTGAGAAACTGGATTTGTCAGTCTCTTTCTTTGGCTGCTCAGCTCCCTCAGCAGTTGGGAGTAGGTGTGCACAGACCTGCTCACCAACAGAACAAGTGACAATGAAACTTATGCCTTGGAACCTCAATTTTGTTCAAGTTACTTCTGTACATTTTGGCAAGGTTTGAAGGAAAGGAGTAACAACCAAATTATCTCTCAATAAGAAAAATCCAAAACTGGTCAGGCGTAGTGGCTCACACCTGTAATCCCAGCACTCCAAGGAGGGCAGATCACTTGAGGTCAGGAGTTGGAGACCAGCCTGGCCAACACGGAAAAACCCTGTCTCTACTAAAAATACAAAAATTAGCAGGACGTGGTGGCATGTGCCTGTAATCCCAGCTATTCAGGAGGCTGAGGCACGAGAATTGCTTGAACCTGGGAGGTGGAGGTTGCAGTGAGCTGAAATCACATCACTGCACTCCAGCCTGAGCGACAGAGCAAGATGTCTCAAGAAAAAAGAAAAAGAAACCTATCTTCATCTGCCTGCTCTTTGGGGAAAGAAGTCTGGGTTTCAGCCAAGTATGTGATTGGCACCAGGCTGGTTGAGATGACTGATGATTAGACAGCTGTTGAGAGGCTGACATTTACAAAGGGAAAAGGAAATATAAAATCAGGCATCTTCTAACCATCTCCTTTTTCAATTTTTAATAAAAAGCTGCTGATGATCACAAACTATGATGCCTATGGCAGGGCCTCTGACCAGTGGTGTGCACCACCTGCACCAGTTGACATGGCACCCCCACCCACTGTCTCACTGGATTCTGGCCAGGGCCCACAATCCCCAAGAGAAAGGGCAGTGCTGGGGAGTGGCTCAGGCTTCTCTCCAGGTCTCTTTCTAACACTGCACACCATGTCTGTGGAGTCTTCCTCTTTCAGATATTATTGGGATTTATTTTTAAGCTATTTCAACAGTAGTGCTAATTTGACAAGCACCCGAGAGAGGCCTGACTGATTTGTGGTTAACAAGCAAGCTTTATTTGTGATGGATACTCAGCGTGGGTGCTGGTCCTTATTGAGGTCTGTGGCCTCATCCAGATGTGGTCTACACTCCGCTCCTCCTGGGAGCCAGGTGTTTTCCCAGGCTGTACCCTCAGTCACTTTGGAAAGCCAGCTTTCGTTTCTAATCTCCATGATGCACCACCAGAACTTTCCTCAAATACCCAGTAGCATTATGTACATCTAGCACCCAGAATTTTAGTTTTGTTTTTTTTTTGAGATGGAGTCTTGCTCTGTCGCCCACATTGGAGTGCAGTGGTACCATCTCGGCTCGCTGCAACCTCCACCTCCTGGGTTCAAGCAATTCTCCTGCCTCAGCCTCCTGAGTAGCTGGGATTACAGGTGTGCGCCACCACACCCAGCTAATTTTTGTATTTTTAGTAAAGACAGGGTTTTGCCAGGCTGGTCTCAAACACCTGACCTCGTGATCCACCTGCCTCAGCATTCCAAAGTGCTGGGATTGCAGGCATGAGCCCCCGCGCCAGGCCTACAATCTTAGTTTCTAAATATCATTCTCCAACATAAAGAACCAAGGCTCCTTGGAGAAATGGCAGATAGCAGGACTGGGGAAAAACAAGTACTAGATGAGCGTGGTACACTTTCTAAAACCAGAAATAAAGACATGCTCTGAAAAACGACAGAGGTTTGTCAAAAAGCACACAGAGTGTATTCTCCCAAAGCCCATATCTGGGACAACTTGAGCGACAAAATAAATGACACTGTGCATTATAGCCCATAGAGTAAATGTCCATGCATCTATACTAATATAAATAAATAATTGATTAAATAAATACATGGGGAAGAAGGAATAGCTCTTCCTTACGGTAGAATACCAATTAACAAGTGAAGGAAGGATGGCAATAGAAAATTACCATTTGAGGCCAGGTGTGGTGGCTCACACCTGTAATCCCAGAATTTTGGGAGGCCAAGGTGGGAGGCAGATCACTTGAGTCAGGAGTTTGAGACCAGACTGAGCAACATGGTGAAACACTGTCTCTACCAAAAATATAAAAATCAACCAGGGGTGGCAGCAGGCACCTGTAGTCCCAGCTACTGGGGAGGCCGAGGAGGGAGGATCCCTTGAGCCAGGGAGGCAGAGGTTGCAATGAGCCGAGATCATACCACTGCACTCCAGCCTAGGTGACAGAGTGAGACCCCATCTCATAAAAACAAAAAAGAAAAGAAAATCACCATTTGTAGCCAGGCGTGGTGGCTCACACCTGTAATCCCAACAATTTGGGAGGCTGAGACGGGTGGATCGCTTGAGCTGAGAAGTTCTAGACCAGCCTGGCCAACCTGGTGAAACCTCATCTCTACTAAAAATACAAAAATTAGCTGGGCTTGGTGGCACACGCCTGTGGTCCCAGCTACTTGGGAGGCTGAGGAAGGAGGATTGCTGGATCCCAGGAGGCAGAGGTTGCAGTGAGCCAGGATCACACCACTGCACTCCAGTCACCATTTGCCAAGCGTAACTGTTGCAGGCAAGAATCACCAATGGATGTTACTATTTTTGAGCAAAAGTATGATGAGAAATAGAATATCTGCATAATCTCAAAGTGTCTACCCACAAGATACTTACTAATTACAAAGAGAAAAATAGTAGCTTTACAATGAAGAGAGTTGGCAGACACCACTTCAAAACTGATCACCAAAAATGAGGCCTACTGATATATTCTTCCTAACATCAGGTGCAGAGAAGAATATAACACAACAACTACAGTTGCCAAAAATGCATAACCTAAATTTAATCATAAGGAAGCATCAGACAAATCCAAACTGAGGGACATCTTAACAAAATAATTGGCCACTCTTTTTCAAAAGTGTCAGAGTCAGAAAATATTCCAGATTAGAGAAGACTTAACAATTAGATGCAATTTAGGAACCTGAACTGGATCACAGATCAGAAAAAAGACGTCATTGTGACAACAGATTAATTAACTATATGATATCAACATTAACTTGCTGATTCTGATCATTATAGTTACGTAAACCATTAACATTAGGAGCTGGGTGAAGAACACAGGAGAACTCTGCATACTATTTTTGCCACATTTTTTTCTAAGTATAAAATTATTTTGAAATAAAAAGTAAATTAAAAAAAAAAGGGGGGCAGGTGCAGTGGCTCACGCCTGTAAACCCGGCACTTTGGGAGGCTGAGGTGGGCAGATCACCCAAGGTCAGGAGTTCAAGACCAGCCTGACCAACATGGAGAGACCCTGTCTCTATTAAAAATACAAAATTAGCTGGGTGTGGTGGTGCATTCCTGTAATCCCGGCTACTCGGGAGGCTGAGGCAGGAGAAACACATGAATCTGCCCAGCACTTTGGGAGGCCGAGGCAGGTGGATCACGAGGTCAGAAGTTCAAGACCAGCCTGGCCAATACGGTGAAACCCCCGTCTCCACTAAAAATACAAAAATTAGCCAGGCATGGTGGCCCGTGTCTGTAGTCCCAGCTACTTGGGAGGCTGAGGCAAAAGGATCACTTGAACCCGGGAGGAGGAGGTTGCAGTGAGCTGAGATCACACCACTGCACTCCAGCCTGGGCGACAGAGCAAGACTCCGTCCCCCTCAACCCAAAAAAAAAAAAAACCAAAAAACTTTCCTTTGTGTTTTATACTGCATGGCCTGGAGACCTCTGCAAAGCTCCCTAAGGTCATGGGAAGGAAATCACCTACAAATTCCAAAGTGTGCTATCCCAGGGCAGCAGGCAAAGTCCCAGGCAGCAAATTCAAGCATGTGGGCACATCCTCCAGCCTCTCATCCTATCCCAGGATCTTTCCAGATAACCGCTCCCTGATACCATGGCAGAGTTCCTGGGGGGAGAGTGCACAGCACTGCAAAAAGGCAGTGCTCTTGCAGGAGAAACTACAGCAGCGAAGAGGAATGAGAGTAAATCAGCCCCGTAACAATGGTCTCTTCAGATCATCTATAGCCAAGCTATAAGACGACATCTCCAGAGGATAGGAACCATGTGTGCCCAGTCACTTGTGTGCACTGCACACCCAGCACAGGTCTGCACTTGGTAGATCCTCCCTCTAATAAATATCTGTTGGAAAGGAAAAAAGGAAGAAAGAAAAAAAATGAATGGCAAAACTGAAAAATTCATAGTGCCATTTAACTACACACTTAAAGATGTTAAGTTTTATATGTATATCTTACCACAATTTTTTTTTTTTTTTGGAGACAGAGTCTCTCTCTGTAGCCCAGGCTGGAGTGCAGTGGTGCGATCTCAGCTCACTGCAACCTCTGTCTCCTGGGTTCAAGCGATTCTCATGCCTCAGCATCCCAAGTATCTGGGACTACAGGCACGCACCATCATGCCTGGCTAATTTTTGTATTTTTATTAGAGATGGGGTTTTGCCATGTTGCCCAGGCTGGTCTCAAACTCCTGACCTCAAGCAATCCACCCACCTCAGCCTCCCAAAGTGCTGGGATCACAGGCATGAGTCACTGCATCCGACTCTTTTTTTTTTTTTTCTTTTGAGATGGAGTTTCGCTCTTCTTGCCCAGGGTGCAGTGCAATGGCACCACCTTGGCTCACCACAACCTCTGCCTCCCAGGTTCAAGCGATTCTCCTGCCTCAGCCTCCCAAGTAGCTGGGATTACAGGCATGCGCCCACCAGGCGCAGCTAATTTTTATGTTTAGTAGAGACAGGGTTTCTCCACGTTGGTCAGGCTGGTCTCAAACTTCCGACCTCAGGTGATTTGCCTGCCTCAGCCTCCCAAAGTGTTGGGATTACAGGCGTGAGCCACCACGCCCGGCCCACAATTTTTAAAAACTGAAATTCAGTACATGCCCTTGACCCTAACATCACTATATAAAACATCTTCCCCAGGTTTGGAAGACCCACCAATATGAGTGGAAAAAAACAAGGGTGTATTCTAAAAGGGAATAATTCCTTCTAGGCACTTTGAAAAGCACCCAGGAATTGAGGCAGACTACCATGCTATCATGCCAAGTGATGGTCAAGAACTAACAAGCCTATTACATCTGTGGCCAGAAGGCCTGGGGAAAGTGCAGCCTCAGGAGCCACCTTGCAGTTACACCCACAGGGTCTCAGTGTCCCTAAGCAGCAGGAAGCTGGGAGAAGGACTTCCATGCCTGAAGAAATGAGGCTGGCAACAGTGACCAGTTAGGCCCTGCTTCCAAATGTCACCCACTCCCGTTTGGTCATAGCCACTTACATCACCAGCAGCCTAACTCACATGAAATGGCTATTACTGAACAGAAATCCTGCAACCTCCATGGCAGAAACTAGGAGAACACTAACAAAATGCAGAATCTTATTACAAAACACGGCTAAACACTGGTCTGAATCCTCTATTAGAAAGTGAGCTCCTTGGCGGGTAACAATCATGGCCTGGGCACCCTTAGATCTCCAGATGGGCACAGGGCCAAGCACAGGTGGCACTTAGAAATCGTTTGTTGGGTAAACACCAGTCCTGAATTAGGAAGTGCTCATTATAGCATAGTCTGTTAGTGCATAGATGTGGATACGACCCCTGGGACCAAATCAAAACCAGAGGACTTAAATCGCCAGGTCTCGGAGACCATATTTTAGGTGCTGTCAGCCCCCAAAACATTTTGTCACAAAGGGCTTCCACCACCTGCAACATCAGAGAACATCCTTGTGGAGAAAACAGATGAAACTCTTACCCAGTGTTAGGTGAGAAGGATGAATCGAAGGTCAGCTTCAGTCCACGTGCAAGCTGAACAGAAAAGAAATTTGCCACTAGATTTAGTCACAAGGCAGGCTGGCAGATGCGAATTAATAAATCCACATCTTTTCACAGCAGCCATTACCTGATCTTCCACAGTAATCTCGGTGCCTAGTGTATTGTCGGTATTCCATTTCTCTGTAAACGTCAGGCCGTACTCAGTCCATCTGTACTTGGTTTCCAGACTGCCCGTCACTTTGGTGGTCTCAGTGTTGGCTGAGCCTGAGCTTGTAAATTCCTTCAAAGGAGAGAGAAGAGTCACAGCCTGCACCATAGCACTCACTTGGCTTCACTTCACTCCTAAACACTATACTTGCCTTTCTGCAAGAGGCAAGACCCTGAATGTGGGGGGGCCAAGGCTAACTCTACAATTCAAATAGATATTTAAAGTACAGATGGGAGTAAAGGAGCCTGCTATGTAAAGAAATCTTATGGGGAATTTGTTGTCAGCAGACAGCTTCCTTCCTCCCTGTAACTCTTCAGTCTGGACAGGAAAGCATCTCCCTTCCATCCTGGCTCCAGGGCAGTACAGAGAAAAAGCACTGAGCTAAAGCTGACACAGCGGTAATTCAAACCCAAAACTTCTTTCTTCCAACAATTACTGCACACATAATTTCAAAGGGACTACTAAGATTACTTTAAAAACACTTATGTGGTTGAATGCAGGTGAATTTGAAAATAAGAAGCACAAGGAAAACTAAAACTGAGACCTGACCCATTCTCCTCTATTACCCGCTGCTGAACTGGGGGCCTACTGGCATGGTTCCCCTGGACCACCCATCATGCAGAAAATGGAATGAATGTGAAAACCACAAAAACTGCCAGAATAAAAAAAAAAAAGTACCTTCTTTTGGCTTTGCGGGCCAGGTCACGACAGTTATTTGTTGATCTACAACAAATTCCCACGTTCCATACAATGGTCACTATTTGGGTAATGGGTACACTAGAAGCCCAAACCTCACCATTACACAATACATCCATGTAACAAACCTGCACATGTACACCCTGAATCTAAAATCTTTTTTAAAAATAAAAATAAGCCAGGCGCAGTGGCTCATGCCTATAATTCCAGCACTTTGGGAGGCCAAGGTGGGCGGATCACCTGAAGTCGGGAGTTCAAGACCAGCCTGACCAACATGGAAAAACCCCGTCTCTATTAAAAATACAAAATTAGCCGAGCATGGTGGCGGGTGCCTGTAATCCCAGCTACTCGGTAGGCTGAGGTAGGAGAATCGCTTGAACCCAAGAAGTGGAGGTTGTGGTGAGCTGAGATCACGCCATTGTACTCCAGCCTGGGCGACAAGAGCAAAACTCCATCTCAAAAATAAATAAATAAAATAAAATAAAAATAAATAAATACTCATGTTCCATGTGGGTTGGACAACTTACCAATCCATTCTCAGATTTTGTTTTCAAATCAAGCTTTATTAAGCCAAATCCTAAAGAAAGAAGAAGACAACTGTCAATAGGTTAAATAACTAGAGAACAGCACCTCTGCCTCCCTCATGGTTGCTTCAGGATGCTTTTTTAAAAAGAAGCACACTCCTGCCACAGGGGCTGAGGGCACCCAGTCTCTGCTGCTGCTCGTGGGGGGAGCTCTCAGCTGCCATGGAACAGCAGCAGACAGAATGGGCACCCCCACCTGGGTCCCACCTGCACTCCCAGCAGGGTCTGATAAGAAGACACCTGACAGCTGGCAAAGACACAGTTACTGGGCCTCGTGGGCATGTGCCTAAGCACAGGCTAAATATAGAAGCCGCGCTCCACTGCAGCAGCTTCCACAGGGCTGCTCCACACTTGGAAAAGAAAACAAGAATACCCACTTGACAGCACCAATGCAGGAGCCTGTCCAACTGGGTGCACAACCAAAGTTGCTACAATTGCCACACAAATGAAAGCTTCTTTTTTCCCTCACGTGAAAGTTCAGAACAGCTGACCTACCCAGGTCTCCTAAACAGTTATCGGTAAAGTCTCAAACATGCCAACTCAGTCTGTGAGCTGAAAGGCACCCCCTCTCTGCAACACTCACCATAGCCCTTGGTGAAGACATCCCTGGCAGATTTGCCAAGATCGGCATACGTGGGTGGCACAGCCATCTTCTGCTATGATAAAAGAATCACCAGAATAAATGCATTGATAATTAGGGAAATTAGCTTTCCATCAATAACAATTATTAGATGTAATTAGCAACCAATAAAAATCACCTAGCACTAAGACTACCAGGTAGCTTATCCTCCCAGATGGGCCAAGAAGCCCTTGCTGTCTTGTCCTTCATTTTGTGGCCAGAGCTTGAGACACTCAATGAGTCTTTGTTGACAGATGATCAACAATTTAGACCTCTCCTCCTCAGCATCCCCAGGACTGAGCCCAGGCCCAGAACAGAGTAGGAGTCAGGAAATATTTGCTTAATGAATAAACTGTCAAAGACACATTCCCATGAGCCAGTGACTTTACTGAATTGTAGGACTGTTGCCAATAAAACATATCATCTTACAAAATGTCAGCTACTAGGACATTAAATGTACCGAATAGAAATCAGAGCTTTTCATGGGAACATCATTTTCCATGTGGCTCTGATTTCATTCATTCAACAAATATTTATGGAGTACCTACTATATGCCAGGATGGGCCCAACTTTTCACAAAACTTTTGGACTTTATGGGAACCCACTTCATATTTCTCATAGAGAATACAGTAAAACCAAACCAGTTTGGCAGCTCTTCACATGGAAAAAACCCAAATACATCCTCCAAATACATTAAACAAATATTTATTGAGCTCCAGTGTAACTTTATTTTTAAAACCAACCATCAAAGGACTACTTGGGATTGCTGCATATCACTAAGTCAATCAACAAACATTTATTAAGCACCTCGGTGTTCAAGGAAGGAGAGTAACTCAAATAGTCTTTGCCCTAAGGACCACACTGCATTCCTGGAAGGCTTTGCTTTGGCATGCTGTATATGCTGTGTACACAGGATTAATATCCTAATCTGGGACTGTACATGGTGTGCTCTGCCCAGGAGGAGAGGGGGTCATGCATGAGAAAGCCTCATCTCCTGCACCTTCTCCATCCCCAGAATCATTAGTCTCAACCAGAAGGACCATTCCATTCGTTTTAAAATACAGTATACCTAAATTATCAAAATTCATCTGCATATATACCATCTGAAGTTACATGTATATATATTCACACAAATAAACACATATATGACATGCTCCTGGCATGTCATATGACATGATATGCTTCCATATCATCAATGGAAGTTGCATTCTTGGCCAAAGCTTTAACTTCAAAGGCATTGCAGGAGGCCACAGACTCACTGAGTATGTTGTAAAAGAAACAGTATAAACTTCTACAATTTTAAATTGTGAAGTTGTGATCCAGGTCCTACTTTACTTTTTCCAGATGCTTTGTTAATTTTATCCCAGCTCACTTTTGTGTCAGAGCACAGACAGAAGAGCAGCGAGCTGTTTACTCTGTCCTATTTTTGTCGCTGCTGTGTTATTTCTTGCACATGATCAGGCTGAAACCATGGACAGGTCAGCCCACATTAGTATCAGGGTAGAGAGATGAGGGGGGAAGATCCATTTTACACTGCCCGCCACTGGCTCTTTCCAGTCTGGGGGCTCCCCTCTCCCCACTTGTTCCTCCCTCCCAAACTAACCCTGTAGGTGCATCCCCCCGGGATAGACCAGGAAACCACCCACCAGAACCTCAAGAAATACCCTTTACCTGACACCTTCCTAGGAGAACAACTCTGGATTGAAAGCTGAGGCAATGTAACCCCAGGCAGACACAGAACATAACAGTAACGGGCCCAGAACATTCTCCACCCGACAGGGTTAACAAACCATCAGTGAACCAAGTACCCCTCTTCAGTGCTATGCCTCCCAGGGGGGCCACAAACTCAGCCGGGGTGGGGGCTGGGGAAGCAGAAGGAGAAGCAGTCCAGTGGTAATATCTGTGGGTCACCTAAGACCTCCCTGGACCTTAGGAGCCAGAGCCTTCCCCACGACTCTCCCCTGACCCCACAGAAGAGACGCCTCCCAGACACAGCAGCCTTCACATCTGGACTGGTCCCCGCTCAGGATAAAGGCAGAGCACTCATCCATTAAATGTTCCCCAAATGCCCTCTCTCATCGCTAATCCCCAAAATCCAACAAGCACAGCCACCTGTCAAAAAACACCCCACCCACAGCAAACATCAGCCTGAAGTACAAGGCCACTAAAGAGATTACCACCCAAGGACAAGGCACTCAGAGAGCAGAGCTCAGAAGAGCAGACCGGACCCCTCCTGGGGCCTCTAGGAGCTCCGACACGGCCAAGCTCTTTTGGGGCTGTGGGGTTCCACAACACAACCATGTAGTTGGTACCAGCAGCACGCAAGTGAACTTGCTGGTTCACTAAAACATATCCCTATCCAATGCCTCACTGTAAACATACTGGATGCTGGCTTTCTCATCTGTGTCTTGCTCTCTTCCCCATCTCCTTGAACACCGACAATGAAGCATAATCTCCCCCGTTCTGGGCCCCCAAGTAAGCATTCTCCCCAGCATAGCACCTGGCAAGGAAGACTCACAGAAACCACTGGCTGAATGGAGTCAAGTCCACTCCTGGGCCTGAAGTGACACCACCGAGGACAGCAAAAGGATGACTCACCCTTTCACTAAAGGCCCCCAACTGCCAGGTAGTGGTAGCTTCCCCTCCTTTTTGTGCACTTCGGCCCATCCCCTGCTGCACTGATCTGACGGAACTAAGGAAGGCCCGAGACAGCTCTGCCGCTCCGAGAAGTTCAGCTTTCTTACAGCTACAGACAGCACCCCCAAAATGCCCATTTTTACACAGCTCTCGAACCCATTTCAGAGACAATTTTATGATAGAAATAATAATCTGCATTAATTTTCTAAGGCGAGGACTGGAGGAAAGAAAAGTCGGCAACAAAGCCTGCTTTCACTTAACACCCTGCCAGGGTGCTGACTTGAAGGCTGAACCCTGGCCCCCACCCCTCCCAGTCACTCCTTCCACCCAGATCTGCTCCAAATCGGAGCCTGTACAGTTAGCTACTGATACACAGCTGTCTCTGCAGCATCCACCCCCCAGGGGCCTTCACAAGCTGAGCCTCTAGAGGCTGCGCATGAAGCAGGGCAGTCTGGCATCGGCAAAGCAGCTAGCCCTGGACAGACAGAAGTCAGAGGGCGTCCTGGGGGAGTCAGAACCACAGGCCTCTCTGCCTGAGTGATGGCTTCAGGGCAGAGCCTGGGGGCTTTGTTCCCACTGGTTGGTAGGAAACAGAGGGATGGGCAGGGCCAGGCTGAGCAGACCTGCCTGCAGTCACTGAAGACTTTGAGAAGGACCAGCAAGTCACACCAGGATACAGGAGTCCCTGGTTCCCCTCCACAGCCTGCCAGTCTACCTACCCAACCTTTCCTTGGCTGACCTTGAACAAATTATGCAAGCCCCATTCCAGCTGAGGAATGAAAATCCGGCCCATACTGGAAGCACAGAGGGGAAGGATAGTGTATCTATCACCCAGCACAGTCTGCATAATACTTACGTAACCTCTGTCTTGGGGGTACACATCCTTCTTGGCTCATCAGCTGAATGGCAATGACAGCTGCTGTGCTCACCGTGCCCCCACCCCACCCTACCCCATACACCTACCCCCAAAATCACCTCTTTGAATTCAAAGCACCCCAGAGCCTGTCATGCATAAATTTATCCAAAATATGGAAAAAGTTACGTATATAAAGATGCTAAGCCCTGGCACATAATAGGCATTCAATATAAATGTGTTTGATGAGTGAATGAGCAATGAGCATCAAAGTATTATTTAGCAATGGGGAAAAAAGTAGAAACTTGGAATCTGACAATAGGAACTCATTACAATGCAACCAGGAAGTAAGAGCTCCCTCTGCAGGCTCACTGTTGCAGCATCACCAAGAGTGGGGGAGTTGGGGAGACCCTCAACTAGCAATGACCTCCACTCCCTGCCTGCTCCCACCTCGGCCTAAGGAGAGCTGATCTCAGGCTGAGGAGACCAAGTGCCATCAGAAGCACTGGTTGCTTCTGACCTCAATACCATGCATGGATTTTATTCTAAGGGCCACCAAGAGCCACTGTTGAGTGACTACCACATCTGTGTTTCAGAAGCTCACTTAACCAGCAGTCTGGCAAAAACGTAAATAATATCCAGTGTCAGTGAGGGTGTGGAAAACAGTCACTCTTGTTCACGCCAAGGGGGAGTACTACAGGTACACTCTTTTTGGAGAGCAATTAACCCAGCATTAACCCTAGTGGCAATTCCACTTCTAGGAACCTGCCCCACTGTAGCAACCAAGGCACTACTCAAAGATGTGTATATGAGGATGCTCACTGCAGCAGTATTTGTAACACAAAACCCAGAAGCAACCTAAAAGTCCATCAAAAGGAAAATGAATGAATAAAAATTAAGGTACTATACTTGCAAACTAAGGAGTACCATATGGTAATCAAAAAGAATAAGGTGGGTGGCTCATGCCTGTAATCCCAGCACTTTGGGAGGCTGAGGTGGGCGGATCACTTCAGGCCAGGACTTCCAGATCAACCTGGCCAACATGGCAAAACCCCGTCTCTACTAAAAATAAAAAAAAAATAAAAAAAAAAAATCACCCAGGTGTGATGGTGCACGCCTGTAATGCCAGCTACTTGAGAGGCTGAGGCACAAGCTTAAACCAGGAGGCAGAGGTTGCAGTGAGCCAAGATCATGCCACTGCACTCCAGCCTGGATGACAGAGCGAGACTGTCTCACAAAAAAAAAAAAAAAAAAAAAAGAATAAGGTGGATGTATGTGGTGGCATAGAAAGCTAGCTATGAAGCTACGATAGCCGTGCGCAGTGGCTCATGCCTGTAATCCCAGCACTTTGGGAGGCCGAGGTGGGCGGGTCACCTGAGGTCAGGAGTTCGAGACCACCCTGACCAACATGGAGAAACCCTGTCTCTATTAAAAATACAAAATAAATTAGCCAGGCGTGGTGGCGCATGCCTGTAATCCCAGCTACTCGGGAGGCTGGGGCAGAAGAATTGCCTCAACCTGGGAGGTGGAGGTTGTGGTGAGCTGAGATCGCGCCATTGTAATCCAGCCTGGGCAACAAGAGTAAAACTCCGTCTCGAAACAAAAAAAAAAAAAAGAAAGAAAGCTAGCTAGCTATGATACAGTTAAATGAAAAAAGTCAGAAAATTTGTAATTCCATGTAATTGGAGGAAAACCTTTTTACACATCTTTCTATGTTCATGAATGGATGGGAAAGCATGTGGAAGGATACAAGCCAATCTGCAAATTGGGGCTGGCTTAGATACGCTTCTGGAGAAGGAGGTTTAGGGAAGGAATGCACTTCAAATCGAATTTTCATTTTTTGTTCTGCTTCATTATTTAAGCTGTTTGTGTATACTAATAATTTGTTTAAGGATAAAGAATTTCAATACAAAAATTAGCCGGGCGTGGTGGTAAGTGCCTGTAATCCCAGCTACTTGGGAGGCTGAGGCATGAGAATCACTTGAACCCAAAGGCAAAGGCTGCAGTGAGCCAAGATCGTGCCACTGCACTCCAGCCTGGGTGACAGAGCGAGAGACTCCCTCTCCAAAAAAACAGCACTTTAAAAGCCAACCACTGTGCCTGAAATTGAGCTGTGTTGTGTCCCAAATCACGTTCCAAGGCTGCTGCAGTAGCAATGCCAGAAGGCTACCTAGAGTGTCCATACAGATTGCAAGAACAGATTTAAACTACACTGAGATGGAAGAGTTATCAGGCAAGGTCCGTCGGGGCACATTTCACTCCCAGGTGACCACTAGTGGCTTGGCCACCCTGCCAGAAATCATGAGCAGGAAAGAGCTCCCTAACTTCAGGGTGCACAAGAATCACCGGAGGCGCTTGTTCAAGAAGAGCCTGCCAGAAGAGATGGAACTCCTCCTGCCCTACCTCTCAGCCTGTGCCTAACAGGCAGGGCTGCCCCCAGGTGCCACTGAGAAGCAGCAGCTCAGGGCGGTTCCTGCACTAAGCACCTACCAGGCCCCCGCCTGGTAGAAATATGCTCTCTTCTCTGCAGAGGCTCCCTCAAAAGGATTCAGGCATGTGCCAGGCATGGTGGCTCACGCCTCTAATCCCAGCACTTTGGGAGGCTGAGGCAGGAGGATCGCCTGAATGCAGGAGTTCGAGACCAGCCTGGGCAATACAGTGAGACCCTGTCTCTTTTAAATAAAAAATAAAAAGAAATAAATAGTAATAATAGAAGGATTCAGGCAGATGAGCTTTGCACCCCTAGAGAGCCAACAACTACTGCAATGGTTGATACAGGGAGCAGGGTGGCCATGGGTCTCCAAGACTCAGCTAAAAACAGCTGGGAGGAAAGGCCTTAGGCCTAAGGAAGTTGTTACAAGGAATGAGTGAAACAGGCAGAACAGCAGAAGTATCTGGCATGGAGTAAGTGTTCAACAAATGGCAGTAATAACCATAATCCACTACACTGGATACTCTGTCTGCCCCTCCAGATCCATTCTCCTCCCTTCCACCCTGCTCTGTGCCCCCAGAACTGATCATTATGGACTGCTGTCCATGGGCTTATGATTGGGCTTAGCCTTTCAACGTGAGGTACTTGCAGAAGACGGGAGTTTAGGGAAGAATGAAGTCGGGGTACTCACCCCGAGTCTCCCTCCCTGCTAGGCTTCAGATGGGCAATGACTACCTTCCTCTACCCAAGGCCACAGCTCCTGCCAAGAAGCTCCCTCTCTTGTAGGCCTCAGGGTGTTAACAGACCAGACCTGACACCCCATCCACAGCTTTGCAAATGATGTCTTCATTAAACTCTCCTGGATTACCAAGTGTAAGTGTGCACCAGATCCCTGCAAAGACGCTAACCAACAGAGCAATCACAACCATCATCATCATCATTGCCATCATCTTATGATTCTGCCAAGGAAGAGAGTACTATGGAAAAGTCTCTGGCCCCGCTGTTTCACCAACACCATTCTAGGTGGTTTGTCAGGGCAGAACTAGGCCAGCCTATAGGAGGGGTATCAGACCAGCCAGTGATCACAGAAACAGCACCTCTTCCTAGCCCTGAGGACCAGGAAAAGCAACTTCCCCAGCAGAAGGCAACCCTAGCTCTAAAAGCCAACATGGGGGCGAACACAATCAGCAGCTCGCTCACACACATGCACGCATGCACACACACACACTCCAGCACTTTCTCTTTCTTGCCAGGAAGAAACAACCCAGGGGAACAGTTCCTGGTTCAAGCTCCAGGATGCTGGCAAAGGCTGATGGCCCTGTGTTCTGGTAGCAGGTCTGCGTACCCAATGCAGCTGTTCTCTCCCTCCATTCTTCCACAACAGTCTCGCAGTGGGCAGTAGAGCTTTCCAGGGGTAGCTTCTATTTTGAAACACCCTGGCAGCTGGGCCACCACCAGCACAGCTGAGTTCCATGCTGAGCTCCTGGGCTCAAGAGGTTGCTGACTCAGGGCAGCCTGCCCACCCACCTATCAAGGGGAGATGGCCTGCGCTGGCAGCCAGTACACTATGGTCTGGATCCCAGGCATACCTGGGGCTCCTACCTGACCTAAGGCACCTCAAGTTCCCTGGAGCCTCACTGCTTGGCTTGACCAGGTAGGGTTGAGACAGACAGTGCTTGGGCAGGAAGCCTCGGGAATCAAATAGACCTGAGTTCTAACCCACCCCACCACTTTCTAGGTATGTGACTTTGGGCAAGTCGCAACCTCTCTACTCCTTTTTCTTCAGCTCTAATATGGAGAAAGAGAGCCTGGATGGCGTCACTGTGAGGACTGAATTAGCTCGTTAATATACAACACTTGGTACAGTGGCTGGCGCTTGGTAAGCAGGGAATACACACAGTATTTTATCACAAGTTTTCATTTTGTATATTTATTATAATAATGGCTGCTAAGCATGTTCAAAAGGTCACCCTGAACCACAGGGTCCAGAGTCCTTCATGTCCACAATGAGGCATTGTTTAGCTGAACAGGTCCTGAAAGAATGCCTCCCACCAGATCCCAGGGAAAACGGACCCTTATAATAGACACTCAGCACCACTGTCCTTGCAAGAAATAGAGGTGACTCCATTGTCCACTGCCAGTTGGCCCGCACACAGCCATGCACAAGTTCACTCTGACTGGTGTGGAAAAATAATGTCTCCCATCTGAACACCAATTTTGACTTTCCAAAAGGCATTCACATCTGTTAGCACCTTGCAAGGGTCCCTTGGAGTGCAACTGCAATGTGAGAGCACCACCATTCAGACCAGGCCTTGAATCCCAACTCCACTCCTGCCAGGCTGTGTTACCTCACCTCTCTGTGCTCGAGTCTGCTGACCTGTGAAATGGAAACACACTATCTCTCTCCCAGGGTATAGGGTGGTGAACTCAACATCACAGAACATTCGTTGAGCCCCCAGAAAGGTGCTGAGCAAGCCCTCAATCAGCAATCACTGTAATGACGACAATCATACTTTTATAGCAGACAAACTCGGCCGGGCTCAGTGGCTCACACCTGCAATCCCCGCACTTTAGGAGGCCGAGGCGGGTGGATCAGGAGGTCAGGAGTTCAAGACCAACCTGGCCAAGATGGTGAAACCCCATCTCTACTAAAAAATACAAAAAAATTAGCCAGGCATGGTGGCAGGCGCCTGTAATCCCGGCTACTCGAGAGGGTGAGGCAGAGACTTGCTTGAACCCGAGAGGTAGAGATTGCAGGGAGCCGAGATTGCACCACTGCACTCCAGCCTGGGCAACAGAGTGAGACTCCATCTAAAAAAAAAAAAAAAAAAAAGAGAGAGAGAAACTGAGGCACAAGACAGTGACTTGACCTGTATGAGACCGACCCTATGGCTCACCAGACCTGTGTTATGGGCCTAAGCTACTCTCCAGTGCTCTTTCCAGCACAGTTCTGAGTAAAGAACTTAAAGTCCCACTCATCCCAAACCCCCTGAGTACGTGGTAAAATGGAGAAATGCGCCCAGACCCAGCTGAGGAGCCCACTGGTCAACTTTTCTCAGTGGCTACCACAGGACTCCATGGAAAACCCAAAGCCGCAGACTACAGAATCTCTGAGCACCAGGAGGGGCTGCCTCCAAGCTTCGGCTGGTCCTCAACCACACATGCGCCTCTTCCAGTCACTACCACCGAAGACACTACACCACGGGAAATTCCATCAAAGGCGAAGTGGACTTCAGTGCTTCAGGAGCATCTTCCTGGTAAGGGTAGAGGTTGGATGCCCTTCACCTCCCCAGCATGGAGTTCACTGTCCACACCTGCCTAGTGTTCAGCAAGGCCAGGGGCCCACAGGCACCTCATCCCTGTATGGTCCCCCACTTTCTGAGCTACGAATAACCCCTGCCTATAGCCCCACTCTAGAATAGCAAAAATAAAACTAAATAATCAACAAGGAGTAGTCCCCACTACCCACAGGCAGGCACCCTACTCAGGACAACCCCAGCACAAGCTGTCCATCCACCCACCATGAGGGAAGGGGTAACAGGCCCAACACCTTCTGTAGAATCCCAGTCACCCATGTCACCCTCCCTGCAAGCCCAGAAACACCAGTTCAACAAGTTTCCCTCGGGACTTGGAAAACCAGAGAATGAAGACGATGTGTTTAAAGCACTTATTTCAAGAGACTATACATACTGTTACAGTTCTTTAAATATTTGTGACTCTCTGCTAGGTGAGGCTGTTTTCCACAAGTGAGATGTCTGTGTCCCTCAAAAGGATGTCCAGGACCGGGCATGGTGGCTCACGCGTGTAATCCCAGCACTTTGGGAGGCGGAGGCGGGTGGATTGCTTGAGGCCAGGAGTTTGAGATCAGCCTGGCAAACATGGTGAAACCCCGACTCTACTAAAAATACAAAAATTAGCCAGGCGTGGTGGTGTGTGCCTGGGATCCCAGATACTCTGTGAGGCTGAGGTGGGAGGATTGCCTGAACCCAGGAAACAGAAGCTGCCATGAGCCGTTATGGTGCCACCGCGCTCCAGACCTGGCAACAGAGCAAGACCCTGTCTCAAAAAAAAAAAAAGTCCAGGATCAAAGGACTATGGTCTGGGCCTGCAGCCCTTCATATGCCCATTCAATAATTCCACAAATACTCAATAAGCACCTACTATGGGCCATGTACTGGAATAGTAAAACTCTGTCAGTAAAGATGGGTGGATTCTGACACAAGAGTGCATTTACCCCCACAGACCCTTCTCAAGCACCTACTGTGTGCCAGGCAGCACCACCCCAGGCACTGAAGACAAAGTAGCACAGGGCCTCAGTGCCTCAGTCTGACCCTTAGGAGCTGAGTTGGTCCAGAGCTGGGGTGGGCAGAATGAAGGCTGGCCCTCGGTAGTCTGCTCTGGCCTTCTCCTGCCTCAGTGGAGAAGTTTAGGCAACAGAGGAGCCCTTTCCCCTATCTCCCCAGGAGAGGGGAGGCTAGTCAAGGGGACAGGGACCCCGGGCGGAACGGGCTCTAAACCAGGGTCTGCTCCTGCATTCAAGATCTCCACATGCAAACTTACTGCTCCAGCTTGACAATGTCCATTTGTAAACTTACAAGATTTTTCATAAATTAAGCTGAAAGTTACTCAATACCTGGTATACAAATGCTTGTCAATAATAGTGAAAGAATGTTTAAAAACAGGAGCTACATTTATTGAACCCCTTCCACAACGCCACGTGTAGCAAAATGGTCTGCGGGGGATGGGCTGGATTCACCCAAAAAGCCCCAAGGGTGTCAGGGTTTCTACTTAGCCCTTCTCCACACCGGCACTGTTCTAAAGGTTTCATGCTAATTAATTCATTTTATTATTCCCCAAAACTCATCGAAGGAGAGGTACAATTGCTCCCGTCCTATAGATGAGAAAACGAAGGTATGGGGACTTCCCAGCTGTGTGACCTTGTACAAACCACTAAGACTGCGGGCCTCTAATCCAAAGTCAGGCTCCGAAACAGTTTCCAGAATGCACCGCCGCATTTGGCGAATGAATGAACGACCGAACCAGTAATCACTCCTAAGACCAAGAAGGCCACATCCTTCCCCGTGGGGCCTCCTTTTCCGAGGCCAAACCTTCAGCCCAGGCCCGAGCTCCGGCCTCTACCGCCTAAGTCGACTCTCGGCCGGCGCGTTCCGCTCTAGAAGGCTCTGGCACAGGCGGGCGGTGCCGGGCGCCAGCTTCTGCGGGCGTGGGCCGGCCAGGGCGCGTGGGCCTGGGGACTCGGGGCCACGGTCGTCACGTGAGCTCATCCCCGAGGCGGCAGCGTGGCCGGCACCCGCCCGCTGGCCTGGTCCGGCGAGCGTGGGCGGCGAACGGGTCCCCGCCGGATGCACGCTGGTGGGATCCAGGGCCAGAGGGCGCCGCCGGGGAAGGTCACCTAGACGCGCGGCCCGCCGGGCCTCCACGCGGCCGCCCTTGCACTTCCGCCCGCAAGCCCGGGCCGCCTCTCGCCGCCAGCCGCAGGCGTCTCTGGACCCTCGGCCTCGCGCTCCCCAGCCCAGACCTGTTCGGCACCCGCCTGTGCGGCCTTCTCTGCCCGCCCGCTCACCAGCCAGGCCCGCGCCGGCCGCTCGCGATCCCTCCCCGCGGCCGGGCTGCCGGGGCCCCTCGCCCGCTCCTCCCTCAGCGCCTCCCTCTCAGCTCCCCAGGGGCCTGGCCCCCGCCGTCCAGGGCGCAAGGAAGCCGGGGTCCTTTTCCGCTGCGCCTACCTCAGAGGATGTGGCGGCGGGCTCGGAGGCGGCTACGGCGGGGGCTGCGACGCGGAGGCAGGGAGCCGAGCCAGGGAGCGGAGCCGAGCGAGCGGCTGGGCCAAGGGCGGGGCGGCGCGGACGGCGGCGGCGCGGACCCGCCTCCCCTCCTGCGCGCCCGGCCCGGCGCGCTCCGCCCCCAGGCCCCGCCCGGGACAGCGTCCAGGCCGGGCCAGGGTCCCCATCCCGCTAGCGAGCCGCGTTCTTACCCTTCCGGGCCCCGCTGCCCCGGCAGCAGACACAGGAGCCTGCGGGCGTGTTGCGGGCGCGCGGGAGGACCTGCGTGAGTCGGGGCACGGGGAGGCGCCGGACTGACGTGTGCACCGTGTGTGCGTGCGCAGGGACACGCGGGTTCTTGCTGGAAACCTCGGCCCCAGTGGCAGCGCTCGGGAAGGGGGAGGAGGCCTTCCGATTCTCTGAGCTGTGGCCCGGAGGTCCCTGCGCTAATGGAAGACGCGCGGGGCTCCTGGGCCTCCTGCTTGGCCTCCGCGCTGCTAGATCCCCCGGGAGTTGATGTGGCCGGCGCTGGACCCAAGCCTCGCCTGGGTGGACAAAGTGGCCCCCGGCCCCCCATCAAAGCCCGCGTGGGCCCCATCCCCCGAGGGCAGTCCCAGGCCCAGCGCGGACACTGGGCGCCTGGGGCGGCGCAGATACAGAGTAGAGGCGGCGACTGTTGCTCCCGAGCTCCGCGCTCCGGATACAATGTGTCTGGCGCCTCCGACCCGCCCGCGCGGCGTCTAGACAATCTCAGAGAAAACCCCTGTGCGCCGATTTTGCACTACAGATTAGCGATTTTCTCCTGTAGCAAAGCTACTAGCAGCCAATTTCCATGCATTTGAGAGGCAAAAAGACAAAATAAAACAAAACGTGGATTGGGTTTTGCGAGGTCCCTGCTGGGTCTCTCGGCGCGAGGAGATCACGCCGGTTATGGCCGGCCGGCCGACTGAGGGCACCCCGGGTAACCCCCGCGACCAGCCGGGGCGTGTCCTGCGGGACCCAGTTAGTGTGTGTTGAGTGAACGGTCACCTCGCTGCTAGGCCTAAGCGAGTGGTCTCGTTCACCACTGAGTGTCCCCTGTGTTACGCGCGAGGCCCACTCGAAGCAGGTTTCGAGAATTAATTCGTAGATGGACGAAGATTCTACACATCCTTCGCCTTTGATCAACAAACGTCCTGGAAGGCTTGAGGCGTCTAGGGCCCTGTGGAGGAGGTGCCGGGTTACAGAATCAGGACACTCCTCACAGCCAGCTGCGACACTATCTAAAGCAGTGGGCAACTGGGGCTACGGAGGAGGCAATCAGGACTGGCTGCTGGGAAAAGGCGGCAGATTAAAAGTGGCGACTGGAGTTGGAAAAGGTGCTCCAGTGGGATAGGGTGCTGAGGAAGAGGGCAGCTGATACAGAGTGGGAGTGGGGTGCAGACAGGTTACCTAGGCCCTGTGTAGGGGCTGGGGGAGGGGTGACTGGGAATGTAAGGAAGAGCCCCCTTCAAGATCCTGAGGAGTGTAGGACGGATTCTATGACCCTCCCAGGCGCACGAGTTGCCTGGGAACTCTGGGCTTCCCAGCCTGGTGGTCCCCACCCCGCACACTGAGACTGGTGGGCAGGGGGAGGACAAGAACTCAGGGAGGCCGGGCGGGACAAGGCGGGGCTCCAGGAACCCCACAGGGCTAGGAACAGATGCCGGTGCAACCCAGTTTTGAGGCTGGGAGCAAATGTCGAAGGGCTTCCTCCCCTCCAGCGCCACCTCTCAACTCCGCTTTAAAGAACCAATCTGGGCCGGGTGCAGTGGCTCAAGCCTGTAATCCTAGTACTTTGGGAGGCCGAGACAGGCAGATCACTTGAGGCCAGGACTTCGAGACCAGCCTGGGCAACATGGCAAAACCCTGTCTCTACTAAAAATACAAAAACTAGACGGGCGTGGTGGCGCGCGCCTGTAGTCCCAGCTACTCAGGAGGCTGAGGCACGAGAATCGCTTGAACTTGGAAGGAGGAGGCTGGAGTCAGCTGAGATTGAGCCGCTGTACTCCAGCCTGACTGACAGAGTGACATTGTCCCCCCCCCCCAAAAAAAAAAAACAAAAAAAAACAACAACTTGGAAAGAGTTCTTCATGGCCTCTGCTACCCTGGGCCCCTTCGCCAGCTCCCCTAGGTGCTAGTTTCAGATTAACCACTCACTTAGTGGCTGCGTGACCCAGGCAAGAAGGCTGGCCTCTAAGAGCCTCAGCTTCAGAGTGTTGGTGTAAGTTTAAAATGGGACACATAAAGAGTAGGCACTCGGCCCCGTGCAGTGGCTCACTCCTGTAATCCCAGCACTTTGGGAGGCTGAGGCGGCTGGATCACCTGAGGTCGGGAGTTCGAGACCAGCCTTACCAACATGGAGAAACCCCGTCTCTACTAAAAATACAAAAATTAGCCGGGCATGGTGGCACATGCCTATAATCCCAGCTACTCGTGAAGCTAAGGCAGGAGAATTGCTTGAACCCAGGAGGCGGAGGTTGCGGTGAGCTAAGATCTCACCATCACACTCCAGTCTGGGCAACAAGAGCGAAACTCTGCCAAAAAAAAAAAAAAAGAAAAAAGAGTAGGCACTCATCAGTAACTGGGCCAGGCTCAGAGGCACATGTGGGTAATCCCAACTGTTTGGGAGGCCAAGGAGGTAGGATGGCTTGAGGCCAGGAGTTCGAGGGTGCAGTGAGCTAGCATCCCACTACTGCACTCCAGCCTGGACCACAGAGCAAGTTCCCGTCTCAAGAAATAGTATTAGTAATTTTTTAAAAAACAAAATCAGCTGAGATCTGCAGGTGCCATAATCACTAGAATCCATTGACCCACCACAACCCTGAGGGAGAGGGGAAACCCCCTGAGCCCCACCTCCATTCCATCTGCCACAGCTGATTGGGTCAGGGTTGGGCCCCTGACCCAAGCCAGGTCAATCAGATCCTCTCTTGCAAACCTGAACTGAGAAACCCAGGGATGAGTATGGCAGAGGGGAAAATGCGGGAGCTTTCAAGGCCCTTGGGGAGACCTGGGTCTGGCATCCCTGTCGGTGTTGCGAAGTTAACGAGGGCTTTTCACAGAACAGAGAATGGAGCAGCCGCTGCAGAGGGTGGCTCTGGGCCCCTGTTCCTTGAGTGCCCCCCTGTTCTTGCCATGCGTGGGTTTCCCTGTTCCACTTCAATAACCCCACTTGAGCTTGACCCAGCTAGAGCAAGTCCCTGGCGAAGACAGTCAAATCTTGGTGGGTGGAGAAGGAGGTTTGTGGGGACAGGACAATCCTAACCTCAGTTTTTCTCTGGGCGAATGACCCTGTTTCCCTCTCCTTTTGGTCAGCAAGCTTTCATGGAGCTGACTCCATCCCTGACTCCAAAGCCTTCCTGGGAGTGGCCACATGGCCCAGTCTGACCAATTAGAGCCCTGTATACCTCTCCTGCCCCCGCCTCTCCGCCCCCACATCCTGGCCTCCCACCGCCCCCGATCCCCGCCCCGCAGGGATGGACCAATGAGACCAGATGAGAATTCCTGGGGCTACAGGAATAAAGACTCCCTGAAAATGAAGTAAGCCCATAAGAGAAAGGCAGAGATGAGGTCCTGAATCTAGCCATGCCGGAGACTACACCCTGTACTTACCAGCTGCCTGAGCCAACGGCCTCCTGTTTTGCCTAGTCCAGTTTGGATTGTTTTCTTCCAGATGCTAACTCAGTTCCTCTCCTCCATTCAAGAAGAACAATGTAAAACATCCAGGGAAAATGAGATTTTTCTTTCATTGTTAATATTGGAATGGGTTACCAATGTAAGACTATTTCATTTTAGGGAGTTTTTGGTTTTTGTCTTATCTCTAACTTACAGCCTTAGGGCTTCTACTGTAGATATTTATCAAAGTGGAAAGCAGCCAATTTATGATCAGAATCATAAACCTATTCCACCCCCCTTTCAAGAACATAGGATGAAACACTCCCAACTCTTCTCTTTTCAGAGCCAGATGTCCCTGGATTTCTATGTGGTTTCTTAGCATTGTCTGTGCTAAGTACCAGAGCTTGAAGATGAAGTTCATGAAGGCAGAAATGGTAGTCATTTATGTAAATTAATTTTTAAAGAGAAAGATATTCTGCTTGTAACCAGCATCAATTAATTGGATTATAAAGTTGCATTGTCATAAAACCTAACTTTCCAATCATTTTCCAGTGAACTCCTCAGACTAGAGTCTGGGTAGGAAGAATCAAGATGGCGTGTTTGTGGTCAAGGATCTCAGGCCACACTCCCCACACTGTGCCCTGACACTCAGCATCCAGGGAAGGACCCAGCTGGGCCTCCAGGTTCTGAGTGACAGCAGTAATCTCTTGGGGAAACAGGACAGAAAGCATCCCAAGGTAAACACAATTGATAATATTCTCCTGCATATCCCAAAACATGAGGTGTCCTAGATCTAATCTAAAACAATTCCAAGAAGCTCCAACATCATAGCTATGATTTTTAAGAATTTTGTATATATATACACAGAGAGACAAATATTGGAAAGAAATGTATTAAGTATTAATGAAGTATTTATGGGAATTTATCAATTCTTTTTTTTTTTTTTTTTTTTTTTTTTGAGATGGAGTCTCTCTCTGTAGCCCAGGCTGGAGTACGGTGGCATGATCTTGGCTCACTGCAACCTCCGCCTCCCAGGTCCTGGTTCAAGCAATTCTGCCTCAGCCTCCCAAGTAGCTGGGATTACAGGTACACGACACCATGCCCAGCTAATTTTTGTATTTTTAGTAGAGATGGGGTTTCACCATGTTGGCCAGGCTGGTCTCAAACTCCTGACCTTGTGATCTGCCGGCCTCCGCCTCCCAAAGTGCTGGGATTACAGGTGTGAGCCACTGCACCCAGCCAGAATTGATCAATTCTTATAAATTGAAACATAATTATTAAGTTGTGTTTCTATTTATGAGACTATGAGTGATTTTTTCCTTTGGCTCTTTTTACATTTCCCAAATATTCTTTTGTTTGTTTGTTTTGTTTTGTTTTGTTTTTTGAGACAGAGTCTCCCTCTGTCACCCAGGCTGGAGTTCAGTGGCACCATCTCGGGTCACTGCAACCTCCACCTCCCGAGTTAAGCTATTCTCATGCCTCAGCCTCCCAAGTAGCTGTGACTACAGGTGCGTGCCACCACGTCTGGCTAATTTTTGTATTTTTAGTAGAGATGTGGTTTTGCCACGTTGGCCAGGCTGGTCTCAAACTCCTAACCTGAAGTAATCAACCTGTCTTGGCCTCCCAAAGTGCTGGGATTACAGGCATGAGCCACCAGGCCCAGCCTCCAAATATGCTTTAATGAGGACATAATACCTTGATTATAAAAAGAGCGAACTTTTTTCAGCTTTAAGAAAGTCATATGAGGTTCATCAGGAGATGTGTAAAGTGATACAATCCTTCTGAAAAGCAATTAGGCTATATGCGATCAGAATCATAATCCTATTCCACCCCCCTTGATGCTGGGAACCCACGCTAAGACCATCATTGTAAGTATGGGGAATGCCTGCTGCAGGAAAATGGACAGCAGCCCAGGACGGAACACAACCTGGTTTCCAGCTTGGGCATATTGAATCACTCACAACCTTGAGGAAATATGGTTACAAAAACTTCCTGTGGGGGTCCGGGCGTGGTGGCTCACACCTGTAATCCCAGCACTTTGGGAGGCTGAGGCGGGCAGATCACCTGAGATCAGGAGTTTGAGACCAGCCTGGTCAACATGATGAAACCCTGCCTCTACTAAAAATACAAAAATTAGCCAGGCATAGTGGTAGGCGCCTGTAATCCCAGCTACTCGGGAGGCTGAAGCAGGAGAATGGCTTGAACCCGAGATGCAGAGGTTGCAGTGAGCCGAGATCACACCATTGCACTCCAGCCTGGGGGACAAGAGCGAGACTTTGTCTCAAAACAACAACAACAACAACAAATTTCCTGTGGGGAAATATTTCTGTTACAATGTTAATGGAAGGCAATCTATGTTCAGTATTACTTCAACCCCAACATTAAAAACTGTGGAGGCAAACTATGGTAAGTACAACAATGGCCCCCCAAGGATATCCACATCCTACTCACTGGAACCTGTGAATGTAAAAAACAAACAAAACAAAACAAAAACTACTTCATTGGGATAGGATTGCATACAAAAAGCTGTACATATTTAATATATATATGTTGATGAGTTTGGAGATAAGTATATTTCCATGAAACCATCACCACCGTAAAGCATATAAACATACCCAACACCTCCCAAAGTTTCCTCCCCTACCCCCATTCCCTTTTTTTTTTTTTGTAGGGGCACTTAAGATCTATCCTCTTGGCAAATCTAAGTATACAGTGCAGTATTGTTAGCTGTAGGCACTGTGATGTATAGTAGATGATGATTAGTGATGATGAACATTTTTTAATATGTTTCTTGGCCACTTGTATGTCTTCTTTTGAGAAGCACCTGTTCATGTCCTCTGCCCACATTTTTTTCTTTGTTTTTAGTAGAGATGGGATTTTGCCATGTTGCCCAGGCTGGTCTCAAACTTCTGAGCTCAGGCAGTCTGCCTGCCTCAGCCTCCCAAAGTGCTAGGATTACAGGTGTGAGCCACTGCGCCCAGCCCCCTCTGCCCTCTTTTTAATGGGGTTATTTGTTTTTTTGCTTGTTGAACTCTTTAAGTTCCTTATAGATTCTAGATATTATACCTTTTGTCAGATGCATAGATCTCCAGAATTTATTTATCTGGCGTAACTAAACCTTATACCCTTTGATCATCACCTCTCCATTTTCCCTTCCCTCCAGCCCTGAAGATTACCATTGTACTCTCTGCTTCTATGAGTGTGATTATTCTAGATTGTACATTTAAGTGAGATCATACAGATGTTACGGATCTTGACATGGGGGGATTGTCCTAGATCATCCAAGTGTGCCCAATGTAATCCCAAGAATGTCATCACAAGTTCTTTTTTTTTTTTTTTTTTTAGACAGAGTTTTACTCTGTCACCCTGGCTGGAGTGCAGTGGCGTGATCTCAGCTCACTGCAACCTCCGCCTCCTGGGTTCCAGCAATTCTTATGCATCAGCCTCCCAAGTAGCTGGGATTACAGGTGCCCACCACCAGGCCCGGCTAATTTCTGTATTTTTAGTAGAGACGAGGTTTCACCATGTTGGCCAGGCTGGTCTCAAACTCCTGACCTCAGATGATCCACCCACTTCAGCCTCCCAAAGTGCTGGGATTACAGGCATGAGCCACCATGCCCGGCCTACAGTTCTTATAAGAGGAAGACAAGAGGGTCAGAGTGAGAGAAGGTGATTTAATGACAGAAGCAGAGCAGGGCAGGGGTGGGGAGAGAGACAGAGAGAGAAAGAAAGAAAAAGAGAAAGAAAGAAAAAAAGAAGAAAGAAAGAGAGAGATTGGAGATGCTACACCGCTAGCTCTGAAGATGTAAGAAGGAGCCATGAGCCAAGGAATGCAGGCAACCTATAGAAGCTGAAAAAGACAAGGAAACAGATTCTCCTCCCAAGGCCTCCAGAAGGAGGGAGCCCTGATGCCCACTTAATTTTAGCCCAGAGAGACTGATTTCAGACTCCTGACCTCTAGAACTGTAAAATGATAAATCTGAGTTGTTTAAACCACTGAGTCTGTGGTTCACAGTTACAACACAATAGGAAGTGTTACAACAGCAATAGGAAACTAATATACAACCTCTAAAAGACAATTCTAGAAATGATTTATTAGAATGGGGCTATAGTATGAATGTTTACTCCCAAAATTGATATGTTGAAATCCTGAGTCCCAAGATGACGGTATTAGAAGGCAGAGGTTTTGAAATGTAATTATCATTAGGGCAGAGGCCTGAGAGCTTGTTCACCCTTTCCACCATGTAAAGACACAGTTAGAAAGCATCATCTATGTGACACAAGCAAATGGAAAAACACTCCATGCTCATGGATTGGAAGAATCAATATCATTAAAATGTCCATACTGCCAAAAGCAATCTGCAGATTTAATCCTGTTCCTATCAAACTAACAACATCATTTTTCACAGAATTAGAAAAAAAACTATTATAAAATTTATATTAAACAAAAAAAAGAGCCAGAATAACCAAAGGATCCTAAGCAAAAATAACAGAATTGGAGGCATCACATTACCTGACTTCCAACTATACTAAAAGGCTACAATAACCCAAACAGCATAGTACTGGTACAAAAACAGACACATAGACCAATGGAACAGAATAGAGAACACAGAAATAAAGCCACCCTCCTACAACCAACTAATCTTCAACAAGTTGGACAAAAATAAGCAATGGGGAAAGGACTCCCTATTTAATAAATGGTGCTGGAATAACTGGCTATCCATATGCAGAAGAATGAAACTGGACCCCTGCCTATCACCATATACAAAAATTAACTCAAGACGGATTAAAGACTTAAATGTAAGACTTCAAACAATTAAAATCCTAGAAGAAAACCTAGGAAATACCCTCCTGGGCATCAACCGCGGCAAAGAATTTATAAATAACTAAGTCCTCCAAAGCAGTTACAGCAAAACAAAAATCAGCCTGAACAACATGGCAAAAACCCGTCTGTACAAAGAATACAAAAATTAGCCTGGCATGGTGGTGCACACCTGTAGTCTCAGCTACTCAGGAAACTGAGGTGGGAGGATCACTTGAGTCCAGGAGGTCGAGGCTGCAGTGAGCTATGATCGCACCTCTGCACTCCAGCCTTGGTGACAGAGTAAGACTGTGTCTCAAAAACAAACAAACAAACAAACAAAATTGACAAGTGGGACCTAATTAAACTTAAGAGCTTCTGCACAGCAAAAGAAACTATCAACAGAGTAAACAGACAGCCTGCAGAATGGGAGAAAATATTTACAAACTACGCATCTAACAAAGCTCTAATATCCAGAATCTATAAGGAATGTAAACAATTCAACAAGCAAAAAACAAAGACCCCCATTAAAAAGTGGGCAGAGGGCTGGGCACGGTGGCTCACACCTGTAATCCCAGCACTTTAGGAGGCCAAGGCAGGCAGATCACCTGAGGTCAGGAGTTCAAGACCATCCTGGCCAACATGGTGAAACCCCATCTCTACTAAAATACAAAAATTAGCCAGGCATGGTTGCGGGCACCTGTAATCCCAGCTACTCGGGAGGCTGAGGCAGGAGAATCACTTGAATCCGGGAGGCGGAGGTTGCAGTGAGCTGAGATCGTGCCACTGCACTCCAGCCTGGGTGACAGAGTGAGACTCCGTCTCCCATCCCACCCCCCGAAAAAAAGTGGGCAGAGGACATGAACAGGCACTTCTCAAAAGAAGACATACAGCCAGGCATGGTGGCTCACGCCTGTAATCCCAGCACTTTGGGGGGCCAAGGTGGGCGGATCACCTGAGGTCAGGAGTTTGAGACAACCTGGCCAACATGGTGAAACCCCGAGTCTACTAAAAATACAAAAATTACCCAGGTGTGGTGGCACGCGCTTGTAATCCCAGCTACTCAGGAAGCTGAGGCAGGAGAATCACTTGAATCCGGGGCGGTGGAGGTTGCAGTGAGTCGAGATCGTGCCACCACACTCCAGCCTGGATGACAGAGTGAGACTCCGTCTCAAAAAAATAAAAATAAAAAGACATACAAGTGGTCAACAAACATGAAAAAATGCTCATCATCACTAATCATCAGATAAATGCAAATCAAAACCACAATGAGTGCCACCTCACGCCGGTCAGAATGGGTATTATTAAAAAGTTAAAAAATAGTTGTTGGAAAGGCTGCAGAGAAAAGAGGATGCTTATACACTGCTGGTGGGAATGTAAATTAGTTCAGCCAGTGTAGAGAGCAGTTTGGATATTTCTCAAAGAACTAAAAATAGAACTACCATTCCACCCAAAGGAAAATAAGTCATGGCTGAGTGCGGTGGCTCACACCTGTAATCCCAACACTTTGGGAGGCTGAGGCAGGCGGATCACAAGGTCAGGAGTTCAAGACCAGCCTAGCCAACATAGTGAAACCCCGTCTCTACTAAAAATACAAAAATTAGCCGGGCATGGTGGTACACGCCTGCAGTCTCAGCTGCTCAGGAGGCTGAGGCAGGAGAATCGCTTGAACCTGGGAGGTGGAGGTTTCAGCGAGCCAAGATCGTGCCACTGCACTCCAACTTGGGCAACAGAGTGAGACTTCATCTCAAAAAAAGAAAATAAATCATTCTACCAAAAAGACAAATGCACATGTAGGTTTGTCACAGCGTGATTCACAATAGCAGAGACATGGAGTCAACCTAGGTGCCCATCAGTGGTGGATGGAATAAAGAAAATATGGTACATATATATGGCGGAATACTACACAGTCATAAAAAATAATGAAATCATGTCCTTTGCAGCAACATGGATGCAGCTGGAGGCCATTATTCTGAGTGAATGAATGCAGGAATAGAAAACCAAATACTGCATGTTCTCACTTATAAGTGGGAGCTAAACATTGGATACACATGGACATAAATATGGGAACAATAGACACTGTGGACTACAAGAGAGGGGAGGGAGGGAGAGAGGGGGGCAAGGGTTGAAAAACTACCTGTTGGGTACTATGCTCAATACCTGGATGACAGGTTCAATCATACCCCAAACCTCAGCACCATGCAATATACCCTTGTAACAAATCTGCACACGTAACCCCTGAATCTAAAAGAAAAATTGAAAAAAGAAAAATAAAGTGCCATCTATGAACCAGAGAGCAAGCCCACAACACACATTGAATCTTCTGGAACATTGATCTTAAACTTCCAGCCTCCAGAACTGTGAGAAATAACTTTGTTATTTATAAGCCACCCAGTCTATGGCATTTTGTCATAGCAGTCTGGATGAACTAAGGCAAATGGCAAGGTTGTAAGGAGCACCTGTAATCCCAGCTATTCGGGGGGCTGAGGCAGGAGAATTGCTTGAACGATTTTTTTTTTCTTTTTTGAATCACTTTTTTATTTTTTGAGACGGAGTCTCGCTCTGTCACCCAGGCTGGAGTGCAATGGCACCATCTCAGCTCACTGCAACCTCCGCCTCCCGGGTTCAAGCGATTCTCCTGCCTCAGCCTCCCGAGTAGCTGGGACTACAGGCACACGCCACCACACCCAGCTAATTTTTGTATTTTTAGTAGAGACGGGGTTTCACCATATTGGCCAGGCTGGTCTTGAACTCCTGACCTTGTGATCTGCCTGCCTCGGCCTCCCAAAGTGCTGGGATTACAGGCATGAGCCACGGTGCCCCGTCTACACCCAGGCAATTTTTGTATTTTTTGTAGAGATGGGGGTTTGCCATGTTGCCCAGGCTGGTCTCAAACTTGTAAGCTCAAGCAATCTGCCCATCTCGGCTTTCCAAAGTGCTAAGATTACAGGCATGAGCCCCCACACCTGGCCTCCAACTTTTAAAGGAGGCCTCCAACTTTTAAAGGAGGCCGGGTGTGGTATTAAAATCAAACGATCAGGAAAGAGGCAGGGATTCTTGCTGCATAAGACAGATTGCAATTTGGGGTAAGTGCAGATCTCATTATTATTGTACAGCAAACTCGGGCCCAGTGCTGGTACCTGTGACGTTCTCTGAGAGGGACTGTGTGTGCCTGTGCACATGGCTGTGATGGGGAGTGGGTGTTGTAAGAAGAACTGGCCTGGGGCTGGAATCCTACCAGAAAATTCTGAGTTGAGAAGGCAAGGGCTTCCCCCTTTGCTCAGCACACTCTGGTCCCTGATAAAGGTTAAAGAAAAGCAGGAAAAAATTAGGCTGAGATCCCTTTGTATTGCAAGGGACATGGAACCCCTTCTCCATACCCCACCAGTGAGTGGACCCAAGCAGTTTTTCCTCGAGCCGAAAATGGAGCTGTCGCTTCCACTTGACTTGCATTTATGCCTAAGTGGCTGGGACTTGAAGAATGTCCCAGTTTCTGTCACCATGGCCTCTGCTAACGGGCACCACTTTGTTTTTTATTATTTAAAATGTGGACAAATGCAAGGACAGGGAGCATGAAAAATAGAAAAATAAAAATAAAATGTGGATGAGGCCAGATGCAATTAAAATGGCCTGGCATCTTGGTGCCAGCCTGGTAGAGCTGCACAGGGTGCTGGCTTTCAGGCACTGTCTGTCCAAACCTGCTGTGTAGGGTTGTGTGGCTTACACACTGCATCAGCACAGGGGATGTGTACGGCTGAGACCCTGGCCATGCACGACTTGCAAAGCTTGGATCCTGACCAGACTATGTCAGCCACAAGGAAAGGGCTGTGTTTCTACTTTCACAGTCTGTAGGGGGCATGGCAGCAAGGCCCATGTGCCCCTCTCCTGGGCATGTTCTTCCCAGATGGCTGGTGCCTTCTCATTCTCTGGCCTCTGCTTAAACGGGAACTTCTTCAATCTACCTTCCCTGCCACAAAATCTAACACAGATTCTTTTCTCCTCTCTTTCCTTATTCTGAGCTCAGCCCTCTGTTTCCTTCATAGCTTGTAGCAATTTATAAGTATTTCAAGCCGGGCGCGGTGGCTCATGCCTGTAATCCCACCACTTTGGGAGGCTGAGGCGGGTGGATCACCTGAGGTCAGGAGTTCGAGACCAGCCTGACCAACATGGAGAAACCCCATCTCTACTAAAAATACAAAATTAGCCGGGCGTAGTGGCACATGCCTGTAATCCCAGCTACTCGGGAGGCTGAGGCAGGAGAACCTGGAGGTGGAGGTTGCAGTGAGCTGAGATCACACCATCGCACTCCAGCCTGGGCAACAAGAGCGAAACTCCATCTCAAAAAAAAGCATTTCATCATTGGTTTGCTCTGGCTTCCTTGCTAGAGTGAGGACGTGAGGGCAGGGACCAGCTCTGCTTTGTCCATGCTTGTGTTCTTTCCATAGTGCCTGCCATATCTTAGGTATTACTAATACTTAATAAATAATAAATGGTGAGTAAACAAATAACTGAATAGGCTGGGCATGGTGGCTCACGCTTGTAATCCCAGCACTTTGGGAGGCCGAGGTGGGCGGATCACGAGGTCAGGAGATCAAGACCATCCTGGCTAACACGGTGAAACCCCGTCTCTACTAAAAATACAAAAAATTAGCCGGGCTTAGTGGCAGGCGACTGTAGTCCCAGCTACTCGAGAGGCTGAGGCAGGAGAATGGTGTGAACCCAGGAGGCGGAGCTTGCAGTGAGCCGAGATTGTGCCACTGCACTCCAGCCTGGGCAACAGAGCGAGACTCCGTCTCAAAAAAATAAATAAAAACAAATAACTGAATAGATGATGAATGACGTGTGGCATAAAGGCAGGTGACTGACGTAGATGGGCTTATCACCCCTCTATGCAGGTTGCACACTGTGTTAGTCCGTGTTTGTGTTGCCATGAAGAAATACCTGAGGCTGGGTAATTTATAAAGAAAAGAGGTTTAACTGGCTCATGGTTCTTCTGCAGGCTGCACAAAAAAGCATGGTGCGGGCATCTGCTCGGCTTCTGGTGAGGCCTGTGAGTGTCTCCTAACGAGGAAGCTTCCAATCATGGCAGAAGGCCAACAAGGAGCAGGTACATCATGTGGCAAGAGCAGGAGCAAGGGAGAGAAGGAGGAGGACCCAGATTCCTTCAAACAACCAGCTCTAGCATGAACTAACAGAGCATGAACTCACTCATTACCTTGCGGAGGGCACCAAGCCATTCACGAGGGATCTGCCCCCATGACTAAAACACCTCCCACCAGGCCCCACCTCCAACACTGGGGCTCATATTCCAACATGAGATTTGGAGGAGACACATATCCAAACCATATCACACACCTGGGGGACAGCTATAGGAATCGTGCCTCTTGGGTTGTCAATCTGCCAGAAACAATGGACTCACAGCCTTGGCGTGGGCTGGGGACTGTTTAGTCTGCCTGTGGAGTAAATAATTTAACCTTGCCCAGGGAGAGGCCTGGACTTTGCCCTCAGCTTCCAGAAGGTAATCTCTAAGCCCTTGCAATGTCATGCCAGATAGGAGGATATTTAGGGCAGAGGCTGGCCACACCAGATAAACGAACAATGTGATTTAGGGTGGGGTTGGCCACATTGGATAAACTAATATGTGATTCAGGGTGAGGACTTTGAGTCAAGCATGCTCAGCTGGATCTCTGGAGAATGGAGACGATGTCAGCCCTGTGGGCATTTGACCAGGGAGCCCCAGTAAAAACTCTAGGTCCCAAGTCTAGGGTGAATTTTCCTGGTTGGCAAGACTCCATGTTTACCCCTACGCATCATCACCGGGAGGACTGCACACTCTCCATATGCCTCCATCAGGAAAGGACAATGGAAGCTCTGTGTTTGGAACCCTCCTTGACTCTGCCCCATGCATCTCGCATCTCCCCGCTTGGCTGATTTTAATCTGTATCCTTCCCCTGTAATAAAATGTGACTGTTAGGATAAGATCGCACTGAGTCCCTCCAGTTACTTATAAAATGTGTGAAGGTGTTGGAATGAAAATGGAGTCATTCGTGTTAACAAAAAACAAGCAAACAAAAAAAAACCCTACAAGTAGACACAGGGAAGGCCGTGAAGGGAAGGTTCTCCTGCATGTACACCTAATTACAAGAATGATCACAAAAGACTGCAAAAACCACAACTTTGGCCAGCCACAGTAGCTCCCACCTATAAACCCAGCACTTTGGGAGTCTAAGGGAGGCGGATTGCTTGAGCCCAGGAGTTCAGGACCAGCCTGTGAAACATAGTGAGACTCTGTCTCTATGAAAAATTAAAAAATATTAGCCAGATATGGTGGTGAACACCTGTAGTCCCAGCTACTGAGGAGGCTGAAGTAGGTGGATTACTTAAGCCCAGGAGATTAAGGCTGCAGTGAGCCATGATCGTACCACTGTGATGCAGCCTGGGTGACAGAGCAAGACTCTGGCTCAAACAAACAAACAAACAAACAAAAAATAGAGTATTTATTTCCCCACCTCCTATCCTTCCAGGCAGCAACATAACAGAAGCCACATTTCTCTACCTAAGGCTACAACAACTCTAAGGTTGCACTATCCCACAGCTGCCCCAACCCCCATCACATACGCACATGCACCTGAATGAGGACTGACTTCTCCTGGCTGACTGAGGCCTGGTATCAGACCAAGCACCTGGCCTGTCTGAGACCACACTGCCTATGTGCTCTTATTTCTCTAGCCTCCTCCTGAATCTGGAGAGGACTTGCTTCCTCACTGGCCCCACACCAACACCTCCTCCTCTGTCCTGGTTGCCAGGAACGACTTTCTCTCTGACATGGGCAATGACAGGTAGATACACAATTAATAGCCAGGTTGGCTAATGAGCTCGCAAGCGTCCCTGCCTTTGTCCTCACCCCATCCTTTCATACCTGCCCCCTGTGACCTACTCTCTAGCCTTTCCTGCTTGAAGAGAGACTGTGTGGGGAGGGGTATGCTGACCATCAGGATTTTCTCTGGGAATATCATGGCTTTCCTAAAACTCATTCAGTCCCACCTTTTTCTAATGCCACTGTTTCGCCAAGCCACAGATAAAGCCTTTCCTGCCAGAGCCAGCATAGTCAGAGGCAGCAACAGCCTCAGATGCCTCTCAAAGTCCAAAAGTTTCAGGTTCAAATCTAAACCTAGCAGCCTGCCACCCAACCTGTTACAAAACAGGTTCTTCCACGACTCCCCCGCTCACCCCTCCCCAGCTCCTGTTTACCCCTGAGGAAATATTTGCTTCCCCTTAACTGTGCTAAAGGCTCCTCCCCATCACCACAGCCAAGGACCCCACCCCTTGTATCGCTAAACCCCAAACATAAACTTCCCAATTCCGCACACTTAAATCTGAAGAGGGAGAGAATCCAGCTTTGCTTCCTCCCTACTTGGTGTGGCTTCAGTGTCATCCTGCCCAGTCATAAGGCCCTGGGCCATATAACCTCTCCACAAGCCTCAAAAGGTATATAAACATGCTGCATTTTTCAGGGATTATGGAACAGGCTTCTTTTTTGTTTGTTTGTTTGTTTGTTTGTTTGTTTGTTTGTTTTTTGAGGTGGAGTCTCGCTCAGTCACCCAGGCTGGAGTGCAGTGGCGCGATCTCGGCTCACTGCAAGCTCCGCCTCCCGGGTTCACGCCATTCTCCTGCCTCAGCCTCCCAAGTAGCTGGGATTACAGGCGCCCACCACCATGCCCAGCTATGGAACAGGCATCTTTACAAAGCCTTCTGGGGAGGCCAGTCACAGGGGCTCACTCTTGTAATCCCAGAACTTTGGGAGGCCGAGGTGGGAGGATTGCTTGAGCCCAGGAGTTTGAGACCAGCCTGGGCAACATAAGGAGACCTTGTCTCTACAAAAAATACAAAAAAAAAAAAAAAATAGCCAGGCACAGTGGTGTGCAACTGTAGTCCCAGCTACTCGGGAAGCTGAAGTGGGAGGATCACCTGAGCCCTGGGAGGATCACCTGAACCCCGGGAGGTCAAGGCTACAGTGAGCTGTGATTGCACCACTGCACTCCAGCCTGCGTGACAGAATGAGACCTTGTCTTTTTTTTTTTATTATTATACTTTAAGTTTTACAGTACATGTGCACAATGTGCAGGTTTGTTACATAGGTATACATGTGCCATGTTGGTTTGCTGCACCCATCAACTCATCATTTACATTAGGTATTTCTCCTAATGCTATTCCTCCCCCAGCCCCCCACCCTCCGAAAGGCCCTGGTGTGTGATGTTCCCCACTCTGTGTCCAAGTGTTCTCATTGCTCCGTTTCCACCTCTGAGTGAGAACATGTGGTGTTTGGTTTTCTGTCCTCGTGATAGTTTGCTGAGAATGATGGTTTCCAGCTTCATCCATGTCCTTGCAAAGGACATGAACTCATTCTTTTTTGTGGCTGCATAGTATTGAGACCTTGTCTTAAAAAAAAAAAAAAGAAAAAAGAAGCCTTCTGGGGAAATAAAGCTACCAAGGTCTTAAGAGACACAGGATGTCTTAAAGGAAAAACCAGCCCAAGAAATTTCCAGCTTAGAGTGTAGAAATGGGAAGGCAATGATACCTTACCACAAAATGTGGTGCACATGAGAATCACCTGCATGGCTGCTGGGATGTGCAGGTGGGGGGGCCTAGCCCCTAGCCCCTGGAGGTTCTCCATTAATACTTCTGGTGTGGGGCTGGCACCTGTATTTTTCACAAGCACCCAAGTAATACTGGAGCAGTAGGCTCAGAGAAAGCCTGTGATTTTTTTTTTTTTTTTTTTGAGACGGAGTCTCACTCTGTTGCCCAGGCTGGAGTGCAATGGCATGATCTTGGCTCACTGCAACCTCTGCCTCCCGGCTTCTCCAAGCGATTCTCCTGCCTCAGCCTCCCAAGTAGCTGGGGTTACAGGCATGTGCCACCACGCCAGCTAGTTTTGTATTTTTAGTAGAGACGGGGTTTCTCCATGTTGGTCAGGCTGGTCTCAAACTCCTGACCTCAGGTGATCTGACTGTGTCAGCCTCCCAAAGTGCTGGGATTACAGGCGTGAGCCACTGTGCCCAGCTGAAAGGCTGTGATCTTACATAATATCGTGAAAAGAAGTTCAGGATGTGGCTGCTCTAAACACCAGCTCCCTGGGTTGTTGAAAAAAATCAATTCAGAAAATTATTATTTACATCCATGTCTTCATTCATTTTGTCCTGCTATAATAATACCACAGACTGGGTAATTTATAATAAACAGAAATTTATTGGCACACAGTTCTAGAGGTTGATATTAAGATGCTGCCATCTGGCGAGGGCCTTCTTGTGTATCATCCCATAGTGGAAGAGTATCACTTGGCAGAAGGGCAAAGAGAGGGAGAGAGAAAGAGGAGGCCAACCCATTTCCCAAAATAACAAGATAATGGCATTAATCCAATCATGAGGGCTCTGCCCTAATGACCTAATCGTCTCTTAAGAGTCCTACCTCCCCGCAATGGAAAATTCCATCCCCTAACACATGCTCAGTAAGTGGAACAAAGCAATATGGAGAAACTCAAGGGCCCACATGAGCACTACGAGGATGGGGGTGGAGGTACCAGAAATTTGTGCCTTATGCAAATGAGACATCCAGACTTCATCAGTTTCTTATAAAAGTCTTTGCATTCAACTGTAAAAATGACAAGCCCTTCACACCAGTTAGAATGATTATTAAAAAGTCAAGAAACAACAGATGCTGGTGAGGCTGTGGAGAAATAGGAACGCATTTACACTGTTGGTGGGAGTGTAAATTAGTTCAACCATTGTGGAAGACAGTGTGGCAATTCCTCAAGGATCTAGAACCAGAAATACCATTTGACCCTGCAATCTCGTTACTTGGTGTATACCCAAAGGATTATAAATCATTCTACTATAAAGACACAGGCACGCATATGTTTACTGCAGCACTATTTACAATAGCAAAGACTTGGAACCAACCCAAATGCCCATCAGTGATATACTGTATAAAGAAAACGTGGCACATATACACCATGGAGTAACTATGCAGCCATAAAAAAGAATGAGTTCATGTCCTTTGCAGGGACATGGATGAAGGTGGAAGCCATCATTCTCAGCAAACTAACACAGGAACAGAAAACCAAACACCGAATGTTCTCACTCATAAGTGGGAGTTGAACAATAGGAACACATGGACACAGGGAGGGGAACATCACACACTGGGGTCTGTCGGGGGGCAAGGGGAGGGAGAGCATTAGGACAAATACCTAATGCATACCGGGCTTAAAACCTGGATGACATGTTGATAGGTGCAGCAAACCACCATGGCACACGTATACCTATGTAACAAACCTACATGTTCTGCACATGTATCCCAGAACTTAAAGTAAAAAAAAAAAAAAAAGACAACCCTCTTCTGGGCCCCCTCTCCATGGCAGATAAATAAATATGTAATTATGGATTTTGATAAGTGCTTTGGAAGAAACGTTCTTCGGAACATTCATTCATTCAACAAATATTTATTGAGCTCCTACCATGGGCCAGGCCCTCTTCTAGGTGTTGGAGACTCAGGAATGCACAAAATAAATGTGGTTCCTCCCCTCTTGGCACTTACTGTCTAGGGGGCAAGACTGACAGCAAAAAGAGTATGATGGCAAGTGTTGATAAGGCAGAGTGGGCATAAGGGATGAGGGCTACTCAAGACTGTCACGGAAGGCCTCTCCAAAGAGGTGACTTATAAGCAGAAATTAATGAAGTGGGCTGGGCACAGTGGCTCATGCCTGTAATCCCAGCACTTTGGGAGGGCAAGGTAGGCAGATCACCTGAGGTCAGGAGTTTGAGACCAGCCTGGCCAACATGGCGAAACCCCATCTCCACTAAAAATACAAAAAAAAAAAAAAAATTAGCCAGGCATGGTGATGCACACCTGTAATCCCAGCTACTCAGCAGACTGAGGCAGGAGAATGGCTTGAACCAGGAGGCAGAGGTTGCAGTGAGCTGAGATCATGCCACTGCACTCCAGCCTAGGCAACAGAGGAAGACTCCATCTCCAGAGGAAAAAAAAAAAGAATGAAGTGAGCAAGTATTTCATGGAGAGCCCTGACCTGACTTGAAGAAGGTGGGCATGGTGGATTGCCTGCAAAACTGGTGGCCAGGCCGGGTGCGGTCACTCACACCTATAATCCCAGCATTTTGGGAGGCCGAGGAGGGCAGTCACTTGAGGTCAGGAGTTTGAGAGCAGCCTGGTCAACATGGTGAAACCCTGTCTCTACCAAAAAATACAAAAATTAGCCAGGTGTGGTGGTGGGCACCTGTAGTCCCAGCTACTTGGGAGGCCGAAGCAGGAGAATTGCTTGAACCTAGGAGGCAGAGGTTGCAGTGAGCCGAGCTTGCACCACTGCACTCCAGCCTGGGCGAGAGAGTGAGACCCTGTCTCAAAAAAAAAAAGAAAAAAAAAAAAACCTGGCTAATTCCTCCCAACCACTTCTCTCATCAAGAGATAGAAACTTAAAAAAAAAAAAAGAGTAAATAAATAAAATGACTGCAGCAAAATAAAAATTTTTTAAGAGCTGGAGTCTACTCACCTCACATTTCACTGGGCAGCTGTGCTGCCCTCAGAGCTTGCTCTAACCAGTGGAATGTGGTTGCAGGAACACTGTGCCAGTGCTAGGCCTGGACCTTAGAAGCCAGGTAGATTCTGTTCTCTGCTCTTATAGCCCAGACCCACACTGGTAGTAAGAAGTCCAATTATTCTGCTGGAGAGAGAGGCTCAGCTGCCTCTGCACCCACTCCCCTACCCCCTAGCCAGCTGAGCTACCATACACGTGAGTGAAGCCATCTAGAAGATTCCAGCCCTGGCCAAGCTCCCAGCTGAAGGCAGCCACATGCATGGCCCCAGCCAACACCACATGGAGCAGCATGGTGAAGCCAAGCCACTGCCCTGTCCCAGGCGTGGGATGAGGGAGGCTGTGTTAGTCCATTTTGGTGTTGCCATAAAGAAATACCTGAGGGTGGGCAATTTATAAAGAAAAGATCTTTAATTGGCTCACAGTCTGCAGGCAGTACAGGAAGCATGATGCCAGCATCTGCTTCTGGCATGGCCCTCAGGAAGCTTCCACTCATGGCAGAAGGTGAAGGGGGACCAGGCACGTCACATGGCGAAAGAGGGAGCATGGGGTTGGGAGGAGGTTGTGGTCTCTTTTAAGCAATCAGATCTCATGATAACTCTTTACCATAGGGAGGGCACCAAGCCATTCATCATTCATAAGAGGTTCACCCCCATGAGTCAAACACCTCCCACCAGGCCCCACCTCCAACACTGGGACTCGCACGTCAACATAAGATTCGGAAGGGACAAATATCTAGACCATATCAGAGGCTCAAATTGAGGTGAGGGCAGCAGTAGGGGTGGGGGAAATGGATGAATTGGACTTATTTAGGAAGTAGAGCCAGTAGGATTCAGTGATGGAGGTGATGTTTCCCTCTCTCCCTCTCTCTTATTTATTTATTTATTTTTATTTGAGTTCTCACTCTGTCACCCAGGCTGGAGTGCAGTGGCGCAATCTCTGCTCACTGCAACCTCAAACTCCTGGGCTCAAGCAATCCTCCCACCTCAGCCTCCCGACTAGCTGGGACTACAGGTGCACACCACCATGCCCAGCTAAGTTTCTTTTCATTTTTTTTCATAGAAATAGGGTCTCACTATTTTACCTAGGCTGGTCTTGAACTCCTGGCCTCAAGCGATCCTCCCACCTCAGCCTCCCAAATGGAGGTGATGTTTCTAGCTGTGGAACTCAGGGTCTGGCCCAGCCTCTACTGGGTTGGAGGAGGGGCAGGTTTAGGGAAAGATGTGAGTTTGGATTGCCATGGGCAGTGCCAACCTTCTGCCTTTTCCACCGAGCCTGGCCTGGGGGAGGGAGTTGCCTGGAATCACCACCAGTCTGGCCACGGGGAGTCATTGCCGGGCAAGCAGCTAGACATGATTCCAACCCTCACACTCCCTGCCCTCATGCAAATCCGAACATCCAAGCCCTGAATTAGAGAGATTCTAAGGGAGAGGGATCTCTGCATCTGCAGGAAAAGGGAGAGGGAAATAAACAAAGTTGGCCCAACTTTTTTTAAACATCACTAAATGGCTGGGTGTGGTGGCTCACGCCTGTAATCCCAGCACTTTGGGAGGCCGAGGTGGGCAGATCACGAGGTCAGAAGATCAAGACCATCCTGGCTAACCGTCTAACACGGTGAAACCCTGTCTCTACTGAAAATACAAAAAATTAGCCAGGCGTGGTGGCGGGCGCCTGTAGTCTCAGCTACTCGGGAGGCTGAGGCAGGAGAATGGCGTGAACCCGGGAGGTGGAGCTTGCAGTGAGCCAAGATCACGCCACTGCACTCCAGCCTGGGTGACAGAGCGAGACTCCGTCTCAGAAAAAAAAAAAAAAAAAAAAAAACACTAAACATTTGATCAAAATGATAGAAAAATGTCCCATCCCCACTGACTCCCCTGGCTGCCACACACCCTAGCTGGCCTTATTTGCGGCTTCCCTGGCCCAGTCTTAGAGCCAGGGCTTTACCAGCCAAGCCAGCTGCATTCCACCTGGCAGGCAAGTTGCCTCCCTGTGGACTGGAGCTTAATGAGCCATGGGTGCACTCCCACCTACTCACCAACAAGTGGCAGCACTCTCCAAGCCCGTCACCCCAAGCCTGCATGGATCTGCACAAAGGTAAATTCTCAAGACAGATTTTCCCCTGTGTGAAACTGGCATCAGATTCCCTCATTTACAGATGTGGAAACTGAGGCTGCTGAAGAAATGCTTCTAAGCCTGAGCTGCAAAGATTTCATTCCCACTAGAGCGTTAGGCTGGTTTTCTGACCCAGTTCCAAGGGCAACCTGGCCCTGGACTCCCAGGGGCATTTGACAATATCTGGAGATGTTTTTAACTTCACAGCTTTGGGGAAGAGGTGTTGCTACTGGCACCTGCCAGGTGGTGGCCAGGGGTGATGCTAAGCATCTTACACAGGACAGGCCCCAACCCCGCCCTATAAAGAAATGTCTAGCCCAGGATATCAACAGTGATGAGGTTGAGAAACACTGATTCAATCAGATTCTCAAGAGTCAATGGCCTGCAAAGTGCTGAGACGTCCCTGGATCAGGGGCCCCTGGATAGGATGATCCCAGCCCTCCTCCCTCTCCCGCCCCATCAGCAGCCATGAGAGGGGCTCCCGTTGCCTCCTTCACCTGCAGGTCTCCCTCAGACCCACTGCTTCATGACCAGTTCCCGAGCAGCAAGGTGTGCAGGCGCTGTGCCGGGCCCTGGAGAGAACATGGGGGACAAGAGAGCGACAGCCCCTCCCTGCCTTCCTTCCAGCAGCTCAGGCTGCAGGGAGAGACAAAGTATTTGCAAATGTGACAAGTGCCAGGGTGGGACAAAAAAGGGACTGAGACACAGAATAATACAGAGGGGACCAACTTAAACAAAGAAGATTGGAAAAGCCTCTGAAAAGGTGACTGCTGAGCTAAGGTCTGAAGAACGAGCCACCCACATTAATTGAAAAGACAACACAACCAACACTAACTTTCATTTGTTTCAATTACCCGTGATCTTCTCCCTGCCCACCTACCATGACTGCAACTCTGTTATTTTTGGTATAATAAATTCATTTCCAGATCTTGCCTACTTTTTTTTTTTTTTTTTTTTGAGATGGAGTCTCGCTCTTGTCACCCGGGCTGGAGTGCAGTGGTGTGATCTCGGCTCACTGCAACCTCCGCCTCTCAGGTTCAAGCGATTCTCCTGCCTCAGTCTCCCAAGTAGCTGGGATTACAGGCGCCCACCACCATACCCTGCTAATTTTTGTATTTTTAGTACAGACAGGGTTTCACCATGTTGACCAGGCTGCTCTCAAACTCCTGACCTCAGGTGATCTGCCTGCCTTGGCCTCCCAAAGTGCTGAGATTACAGGCATGAGCCACTGTGCCTGGCCATGTCCAGGTATTTCTATAGCATTTTAGCCATCCTTTGAGTGTGTGTATACATTTATATATTTATTTATTTATTTATTTAGAGACAGAGTCTCACTCTGTTGCCCAGGCTGGAGTGCAGTGGTGCCATCTCGGCTCACTGCAACCTCCACCTTCCAGGTTCAAGCAATTCTCCTGCCCCCACCTCCCAAGTAGCTGGGAGTACAGGGACCCGCCACCATGCCTGGCTAATTTTTGTCTTTTTAGTAGGGACAGGGTTTCACCATGTTGGCCAGGCTGGTCTCGAACTCCTGACCTCAGGTGATTCGCCTGCCTTGGCCTCCCAAAGTGCTGGGATTACAGGTGTGAGCCACTGCACCCTGCCCTGAGTGTGTATTTTGTATTGTGAGTTTTTTCTTCCATGTTGCTATGTAGGCTTGGTGATCATCATTTATAACAGTGTTCAATGTTTCATTGCACTGAGGATTTTCTAAATGGTTCTCTAACTGTTGTTCATTTCTTCTGTGGGAGGGAACATCCAGTCATCTAACAATGCTCAGCTCACTAATTCCTCTGGCCTGGCATTGCTCTTCCTCCTCCTTCCCTCCCGTGAATGCCTCCTGAGGTAGGTGGGATGACCGTCATTTCACAGTGGGAAGGGACCTTGCGGCCAGCCAAACCACTGGTAGGCAAATGTGACTGTACATCAGGGATCATTGATCCCTCAGCCAAGTACAGATTCCTAGGCCCTGTATCATCTGCCCAATCAGATGGGACAGTATGGAAGGTTTAAAATATGTCCACATATTCTTTGACAATCCTCCCTTCAGAAGGCAGTTGCTAATTCCCCTGTCCTTGAATGTGGACCACAGCACTCTCCTGGATCCCTCATCCTAGGAAAAGATGGCGGCCATGTCATAAGGACACTCAAGCAGCCCTGGAAGAGGCCCATGTTGGGTGGAACTGAGCCCTCCTAGCAGCAGTAGGGTGACCAATCGTTCTGGTTTGTCTAGGACAGTTCCAGTTTTCACACTGAAAGTCCCACATCCTAGGGAACCTCTTAGTCCTAGGCAAACAGAAGTGGGTGCCCATCTAACATCTAGCACCAACTGGCCAGCCATGTGAGTGAGCCACCTTGGAGGAGGCTCCTTCTGCCCCAGCGAAGCCTTCAGATGGCTGCCCCTGACCAACCTCTTGATTGCAGCTTCATGAGAGACTCTGTGCCTAACAGCACAGCTGAGTCACCCAAGAACTCCTGACCTACAGAAAATATGTGGGGTAATAAAGGTTGATCATTGTTTTAAGCCACTGCACTTTGGGGTAATTTATTATGCCACAATATATAAGTAATACACTCAGGAATCTGTATTTTGTCACACTGTTGGGTAATTGGGCTTATGAATCAGCATTTGTGAACCACAGATCTGGTCTTATTCCCTAAAGCAGCACTTTCCAATAGAACTTTCTGCAATGATAGAACAGCCGTGCATCTGTGCTGTGCAATTTGATGGTCACTAGGCAAACGTGGCTATTGAGCATTCAAAATGTGGCTGATATGACTGAGGAACTAACTTTTTAATTTGATTTAATTTTAATAAATTAAACTTGACATTTAAATAGCACATGTGTAGGATTCCATTTATGTAACATTCTTGAAATGACAAAAGTAGGGAGATAGAAAACAGATTAGTGGTTACCAAGGGTTAGGGATGGTGGGAAAAGGGCGGTGGGAGTGACTATAAAAGGATAGCCTGTGGGAGGTCTTTGAGATGCTGGGATAGTTCTGTATCACGATTAGGTGGTAGTTACATAAATCTACACATGTGAGAAAATGGCACAGAACTATACACACACATTGTACTAACATCAACTTCCTGGTTTTGATATTGCGCTACAGTAATGTAAAATGTAACCCCTTGGGAAAACTGGGTGACAGGTACGTGAGACCTCTCTCAACTACTTTTTGCAACTTCCTGGAAATCTATAATTATTTCAATAGAAAAAGGAAAAAGGCCGGGCACGGTGGCTCACACCTGTAATCCCAGCACTTTGGGAGGCTGAGGCTGGTGGATCACCTGAGGTCAGGACTTTGAGACCAGCCTGACCAACATGGAGAAACCCTATCTCTACTAAAAACACAAAATTAGCCGGGCGTGGTGGTGCTTGACTGTAATCCCAGCTACTTGGGAGGATGAGGCAGGAGAATCGCTTGAACCTGGGAGGTGGAGGTCCGCGGTGAGCAAGATCGTGCCATTATACTCCAGCCTGGGCAACAAGAGTGAAACTCCATCTCAAAAAAAAAAAGAGAAAAAAATGTTAATATGAAATAAGCATTACATAGCACATATGGCTAGTGCCCATCATGTTGGACAGGGAGGCCCCAGTAATGCATAGAGCCTTCTGCAAAATCTCCTAGTCATTCAGAACTTCCAGTGGCAGAGAGCTCACCTCCTCACAAGGTTCTGTTTGAAAGCTCTAATAATAAGAAAGCTCAGACCAGCAGGTTTCAGTAAGGGTAGAAAAGTTTTCCCCTCAGCATTCTTTCTTTCTTTCTTTCTTTTTTTTTTGAGATGGAGTCTCACTCTGTCGCCCAAGCTGGAAGCTGGAGTCCAGTGGTGACAGCGATCTCAGCTCACCGCAACCTCCATCTCCCAGGTTCAAGTGATTCTCCTGCCTCAGCCTCCTGAGAATCTGGGATTACAGGCCTCTGCCACCACATCTGGCTAATTTTGTATTTTTAGTAGGGGTTTTTTAGGGGTTTTACCATGATGGTCAGGCTGGTCTTGAACTCCTGACCTCAAGTGATCTGCCCACCTTGGCCTCCCAAAGTGCTGGGATTACAGCCGTGAGCCACTGCTCCCAGCCTCTCTGCAGCTTTCTGTTTGTGCTAGAATCATGAATTATGCCTAGATTTGCTGGAACAAGGCCCCTTCCCTAGGGATCCCAAGGGACCCAACAACAGTAATGTTACAGCTACCACTTCCATTACCATCACTTGCCACTCATGAGACAGACTACAGGGACCTCACACTTTTGCCCTCAGGTGGTCCTGGATGACCACCTGGTGTGGGGATCATTAACCTTGGAAGAAGCCATTTGCAGTCCATTCCAGCTGATCAAGAAAGAACTAAATCCAACATAGGATTTTAGACAGTAAGGAACATTGAAGACCTCCTGGTTTTATCCCTACCTTTCATATATGGGAAAATGAAGACTTAGAGTAAGTCTACAGGGATTAAATTTACTTAGTTAAAAAAAAAATGTGTTACCTGTGGTAGACTAAATACTGACCCCCAAAGATATACAGGTCCTAATCCTCAGAATCTGTGAATGCTGCCTTGTATGGCTTAAGGGACTTTGCTGACACAAAATAAGAATTTTGAAATAGGGAAATTATCCCAGGAGGCCCTAAATGCAATCACAAGTCTGTTTATAAGAGGGAGACAGGAGATTCTATACAGAATGCAATGTGACCAGGAAAGTAAGATGCTACTCTGGGCCGGGTACAGTGGCTCACACCTGTAATCCTAGCACTTTGGGAGGCCGAGGCAGGTGGATTGTCTGAGCTCAGGAGTTCAAGACCAGCCTCAAAACCCCATCTCTACTAAAATACAAAAAATTAGGCCAGGCGCAGTGGCTCATGCCATAATCCCAGCACTTTGGGAGGCTGAGGCAGGCGGATCACTTGAGGTCAGGAGTTTCAGACCAGCCTGGCCAACATGGCGAAACCCCATCTCTACTAAAAATACAAAAATTAGCTGGGAATGGTGGCAGGTGCCTGTAATCCCAGCTACTTGGGAGGCTGAGGCAGGAGAATCGCTTGAACCTGGGAGGTGGAGGTTGCATTGAGCCGAGATTACACCACTGCACTCCAGCCTCGGTGACAGAGCGAGACCCCATCTCAAAAAAAAAAAAAAAAAAGAACAAAAAAATTAGCTGGGTGTGGTGTCATGCACCTGTAGTCCCAGCTACTTGGGAGGCACGAGAATTGCCTGAACCCGGGAGGTGGAGGTTGCAGTGAGCCAAGATTGTGCCACTGCACTCCAGCCTGGGCCACAGAGCGAGACTCTGCCTCACAAAAAAAAAAAAAAAAAAAAGCTACTCTGCTGGCTTTGAAGACACAGGAAGAGACTAAGAGCCAAGGAATGCAAGGAGTACAGCTCTAGAAACTGGAAAAGGCAAGGAAACAGATTCTCTCCTAGAGGCTCAGACAAACCCTGACAAACCTTGGTTCTGGTCAAGTTAAACCATTTCAGACTTGTGGCCCAAGAACAGCAAGACAATGAATGTGTGTGGTTTTAAGCCAATAAATGTATGGTAATTTGTTACAGCAGCAATAGGAAACCAATATATTACCTAACAAATCCACATCTGCACTTACCTTTGACCCACCAACCCACTCCTAGGATTTCACTCTGAAGATACACCTCCAACATTACAAAGCATACATGTGCAAGATTATTCTGTGCAAAATTGTTTATAATTGCTGAATACTGGAAATTATCTAAATGTCCATGCATGGAAGAATGGTTGAATGAGCCACGGTATGACCCCACAATGGAGTAGTATGCAGCTATAAATAGAAAGAGGAAACGAATACAAATTGATTCCCAAGAGATATTAACTGGAAAGAGAAAAATACAAAAGAGTATGTATGGTATGCTCCTTTTCATGTAAGAAAGAAGAGGATATAAAGAAATAAAGCCAGGAGCAGTGGATCACACCTGTAATCTCAATGCTTTGGGCAGCCGAGGTAGGAGGATCACTTGAGGCCAGGAGCTCAAGTCCAGCCTGGGCAACAGAGTGAGACTCTTTCTCTACAAAATAAAACAAAATAATGCCAGGTGCAGTGGTACATGCCTGTAGTTCCAGCTACTCAGGAGGCTGGGACAGGAAGATTGCTTGAGCCCAGAAAGTCAAGGCTATGATTGTACCTCTGCACTCCAGCCTGGGGGCAGAGTGAGAGCCCCATCTCAAAAAAGGAGAGGGGAGGGGACGGGAAGGGAGGAGAGGAGAGGAGAGGAGAGGAAACGAGAGAGAGGAGAGGGAAAAAGAGAAAGAAAATATACATGTATATGCTCAAGGAAATCTAGGAAGTAGAAACTAATTTTTTTTTTTTTTTTTTTTTGAGACGGCGTCTGGCTCTGTCACCCAGGCTGGAGTGCAATGGCGTGATGTCGGCTCACTGCAATCTCCACCTCCCGGGTTCAAGCGGTTCTCTTGCCTCAGCCTCCCAAGTAGCTGGGGCTACAGGCGCCCACCAGCATGCCCGGCTAATTTTTATATTTTTAATAGAGACGGGGTTTCACCACGTTGGCCAGGATGGTCTCGATCTCCTAACCTCGTGATCCGCCCGCCTCGGCCTCCCAAAGTGCTGGGATTACAGGCATGAGCCACCGCACCCGGCCACGGAGAAGCTAAATATAAATAAGGTTTCTTGGCCTAGAGCGGCAGGCAGGTGCTTATAGAATAGCAAGAATGAGGAAATGTGAATGGATAGAAGTCATGCTGGGGGAGCTCCACTTTTGTATTTCCGGGTCTTAAAACTATGGCAGTATTTCACGTACCAATAATACTAATTAATTAATTAATTAAAATCAATCAGGAAGTGGGTGAGCCCAAAATGGAAAAAAAAAAAAAAGTAAAAAAAGAGTCGAAATATAGGCCGGGTGCGATGGCTCACGCCTGTAATCCCACCACTTTGGGAGGCCAAGGCGGGCGGATCACGAGGTCAGCAGATCGAGACCATCCTGGCTAACACGGTGAAACCCCGTCTCTACTAAAAATACAAAAAATTAGCCGGGAGTGGTGGCAGGCGCCTGTAGTCCCAGCTACTTGGGAGGCTGAGGCAGGAGAACGGCATGAACCCGGGAGGCGGAGCTTGCAGTGAGCCGAGATCGCACCACCGCACTCCAGCCTGGGCAACAGAGCGAGACTCCGTCTCAAAAAAAAAAGAAAAGAACCGAAATATATTAGAAATAAATAATAGAACCAGCCACGTGAAAAAGGTGGGGAAGAAAAAAGCTAATCTATGTAACTTTGGGAAGCATTATTTGATTATGCATTGGTAAGACTAAAGACAAAAAGATCAAGGCACATGTTCTCAGGATCTCCTGAGGGCTGTGTCACGCGCAAAAAAAAAAAATAAAAAGAACTCTACACATATATGTTAGTATATTTGTTTTTCAGAAGAATATCGGCTAGCAATTTGAAGCTACTTTCTGTGTGGAGCAGATTGTGTCCCCCAAAAGACAAGCCTAAGTCCTCACCCCTAGAGCCTGTGAATGTGACCTTCTTTGGAGACAGGATTTTCACAGATACTATCATTAAGTAAAGGATCTTGAAACGAGGGTGGGCCCCTAGCTCCAGTGACCAGTGTTCTCTGGAGAGAAAGGAGATGCGTGACACAGGCCCTGCCAAGGTGGAGGCAGAGATCCAAGCGACGCGTCCACTAGCCCGGGAAGCCCAGAATGCCACGCGCCGGACGCTAGGAAGAGGCCGGGATAGGGTTTTCTCCCAGAGCCCGCAGCAGGAAACAAACACGCCTTTTCGGGCACTTTGATTTTGTACTGCTAGTCTCGAGGGTTGTGAGAAAATAAAATTTTGTGTTTGACGCCACCCAGCTTGTGGTAACTTGTGCGGCCCTGGGACACTAATGCAAGGTGCATGCTGGGACCGAGCTGGTGAATAAACATGGCGGACAGTGAGAGCCAGGTTTCCACTATGGAGGAAAGGAGCTGCGAGTAAGGAAAGGAGCTGCGAGTAAGGAAAGGAGCAAGGTTAAAATGAACCCTGTGGTGTTGAATTGGAATCTCAGGTATCGGTATACATTCATGATGTTTTCCTCTGACAACTGATCGTAGGGAGAAAAATTCATGGTTTTTATGGTAGATGGAGAGAGGGGGGACATGTAGAAATGGATATAGATGTGCATGTATATGTCTGTCTGAACATACACTTCCTAGCTCTGTCCACCGAGAGGGCCTAGGAGCAACGACACTCCCAACAATGAGGACATCTAATGCCCAGATCTCGGTTTCCAAGCACTGTGCTGCAATAGCAAGGACCAGGCTCTTGGAGAAATGGCTGGTCGCTGGGCTGAGGCAGGAGAAGTACAAGATGAACCTGGCACATCTTGCGGTCCTGGGAATTAAGGATGTGCTAAACAAAGTAATAAGCCAAATCTGGGACAATTTTTGTTGTGTTTTGTTTTTGAGACAAGTTCTCTCTGTTACCCAGGCTGGAGTGCAGTGGTGCCATCATCTCTTACTGCAGCCTCAACCTCACCAGCTCAAGTGATCCTCCCACTTCAGCCTCGCAAGTAGCTGGGACTACACGTGTGCACAACAAAACCCTGCTAATTTTTTAAAATATACGTTTTGTAGAAAAGAGGTCTCATCATTTTGCCCAGACTGGTCTTGAACTCCTGAGCTCAAGCAATCTGCCCACCTTGGTCTCCCAAAGTGCTGCGATTACAGGCTTAAGCCAACACACCAGCGAACATTTGAGCAACAAAATAAATAATAAAGGATGATAACCCACTGAATAAATGTCCATAAGTCCATACTGATGGAAATAAAAATCAATTAGATAAATGGAGAAGGGACAGCTCTTCCTTTCAAATTCCAACTAATAAATGCAGAAGGAATAATGCAAATAGAAAATCATCATTTGCCAGGCCCGGCCTTGTGGCTCACGCCTGTAATCCCAGCACTTTGGGAGGCTGAAGCAGGTGGGTCATGAGGTCAGGAGTTCAAGACCAGCCTGGCCAAGATGGTGAAACCCCGTCTCTACTAAAAACTACAAAAATTAGCCGGGCGCAGTGGCAGGTGCCTGAAATCCGAGCTACTAGGGAGGCTGAGGCAGGAGAATCGCTTGGACCCTGGCGGCAGAGGTTGCAATGAGCCGAGATCGCACCACTGCACTCCAACCCGGACAACAGAGTGAGACTCCATCTCAAAAAAAAAAAAAAAAAAAAATTCCCATTTGCCAAACAGTACAGGAATTGTTGCAGGCAGGAATCATCAATGGATGCTGAAATTAGTAAGCCAAAATATGACAAGAAATATAATATTTGGATCATCTCCATCTATTTCCTCACAAGATATTTAATTGATTACAAACAGAAAAAATAGTAGCTTCACAGTGGAGAGACCAGGCAGGTACCACCTTAACCAAGTGATCAAAGTTAATAACACCTGAAAGGAGGCACATAAACATCATGTGCTTCCTGATACCGTCCTCTGAGAATAGCACGTCACTGCTGTGGTATTTCTGCTAAAATGCATAACTTCAGTCTAATCCTGAAAAAAATCAAACACAAATTGAGGGACATTCAAAATATAACTGGCCAACACTCTTCATAAGTGTCAAGGTCATGAAAGACTGGGGAACTGTCCCAGATTGGAAGACACTAAAGAGACATGACAACTAAACATAATGTCGGATCCTTGGACTAAAACACCAACCAGAAAAAAGGACATTAGTAGGTCAAGTGCACTTCTAGTAAGATCTGTAGGGATCCCTTGAGCCCAGGAGTATAAGGTTGCAGTGAGCTATAATCACACCACTGCACTCCAGCCTGGGTGACAGAGCAAGACACTGTCTTTTTTAAAAAAAAAAAAGGCCGGGTGTGGTGGCTCACGCCTGTAGTCCCAGCACTTTGGGAGGCTGAGGCAGGCGGATCACGAGGTCAGGAGATCGAGACCATCCTGGCTAACACAGTGAAACCTCATCTCTACTAAAAATACAAAGAATTAGCCAGGCATGATGGCGAGCACCTGTAGTCCCAGCTACTTGGGAGGCTGAGGCAGGAGAATGGTGTGAACCCAGGAGGTGGAGCTTGTAATGAGCCTAGATCACGCCACTGCACTCTAGCCTGGGCAACAGAGTGAGACTCCGTCTCAAAAAAAAAAACAAAAAAACAACAAACAAACAAAAAAACTGAAGCAAATGCACAAACAGTTAATATGACATTATTAGCAGTTCCTCAGGCTGATGAGGATGCAGAAGGTGCCCTTTAACGAGTAACCAAGTGCAGGAGAACAGAGGAACAACCACAGCACAAACAGGCAACCATCCAGAGACCAGGGTGGACACTGCAGGACAAGAAGTGAAAGTCAGATGGAAGAAACGAGGCCCAATAAAGCAACAATCCTAATAGATTTGTTTTTCAGAAACCTGGATGCCCACCAGATGGAAAATGCCCATTGCTGTCATGTGGACCTCAGATAAGAGGGAACTGAGGACTGAACTCTGATCACTGCCCTGTGTTCTAAATTTCTTCCCGAGGTGCTTGGAGAAAGTGACACCTGCAGGCCATCAATTTGCTAAACTGGTCACTCTGACCTAGTGCATTAGGGCTTGCTCTGGTGACCTGACTGGCATAGCACCCCTGATGATTAATGGGTTTCCTGATCTTAACTAGCCTATATTAAGGCCAAATCTTAACATTCTTTTCTGCTGACCCCAAGTTTTTTAGACAAAGTCTTCCTTCCTCAACCAACTGCAAATCAAAGAATCTCTGAATCTACCTATGACCTGTAAGCCCCTGCTTCAAGATATCCCACCTTTTTGGGCTAAACCAATGTATAGCTTCCATATGTTTGTTTACACATTGGCCTGTGACTTCTCCTTTCCTGAAATGTACCCCTGCCTTTAAAAACCCTTGCTTGTAAGCCATCAGGGAGGTTGGGTCTTAAGCGTGAGCTCCCCATCCTCCTTGCCTGATGATGTCCTGCAATAAATGCCTCTTTCTCTCACTGCAAAAAAAGCCCCCAAAAACAACAAAAAACCTGTAGATTAGTGAATCGTATTGTATCAATGTTAACTCCTTTTATAGATCATTGTACTACAGTTATATATGATATTGACATTAAGGCAATCAGAGTGAAAATATACCATAACTCTGTAATATCATTGCAACTAAAATTATTCCAAAATACAAGAATTTGTAAAAGAATGCTTATTAAATAATGTCAATGTGCCAAAGACTGGGGAAATTATGGTAAATGCTAGATATGGCCTCTACCCTCAAGGAGTTACAACACATGTGGGTTCCCAAGCAATAAACAAGGAAACAAGCACATAAACAATACAATTCAAGCAGTGAAAAGTACAATGGAGAATACAAAATGGGGAGAAGAATTAGGCAGGGGTCCTAATTTAATGAGGGTGATTAGGAAAGGCCTCTGACATTACAGCTAAGGCCTGAAAGAACTCAGAAAGCAAACCACATAAATATCTGGGGAAAGAGTGCCCCAGGCAAAGCAAACAGCAGGTTCAGAGGCCCCTGGGATGAGAACAAGGTGGCATGTTTGAGAGGCAGCAAAAAGCCCAGTGTGGCTGGAGGGAAGCCAGTAAGCATGGAGGGTAAGAGCGGGGATTGAAAGGAAGGCAGAGGCAGAGCATACAGGGTTTTGCCGGCTCTGGCCAGGAGTTGGGACTTTATTTCCTATCCACGACCCCCTCCCTCAATCCCACCCCCCACAAATATCATTCAGTGTAATATGTATGGGACAGCATGGGGCAGGTACTTGTGAGTTCAAAACAGCTACAGCATTGTTTTGTGAACATGAAAATATTTTGAAAAGATAACTCAATTCTGCCAAGTCTTTTGTCTTTGCCTGGCTCAAATACATTCCTCACCAAGTGAATCCTTTTACCCTTTGCTAATTACCCCGTGACAATTAAAGTAGTTCTGCTTTGCAGCAATAGGATAGTAAATTCCAAAGTTATTTTGGACACCAAAACCAGGAGAGAAAGTCAGTTAACAGCCTTCCAGGTAAGCCAAGGTGTGTTTATATGTTGACTTTTAAATGTTATCATTGAGATAGACACAAAATGAACCCATTTTGTGTCTATCATTGAGATAGACACAAAATGGGCCCATAGAGGGCCCATGGAAATGCCCACAGATGCTAATGTAAAGGCCCAGTAATAGACACTTTATTTGCAATAGGCGCCTTATTTACAACATTCTGTATTGTGGCATTCATTACTCGCTGACCTCCATGCTTTCCAGAGCACCAAGTAGGTCCATGCAAGCAAAGTGAAACCAATTCTCCAGAAAGCCCTTGTAATTTCTCCTCCCCACCTCAATCGTCCTCCCTTGCCTGTGGGCCAAGACCAAGGAACCAACCTATTGCTGTTACAGTGATTCGCAACCCTGGCTTCACATTGATGTCATCTGGAGAGCCCTAATAAATACTGATGCTAGGCCCCAACGAAACAGATGATTGTTTCACTGGTCTGGAATGGCCCCCGACATGCGTGGTTTTTTATTTTTTTTATTTTTTTTGAGACGGAGTCTCCCTCTGTCGCCCAGGCTGGAGTGCAGTGGCGCAATCTCGGCTCACTGTAAGCTCTGCCTCCTGGGTTCTGGCCATTCTCCCGCCTCAGCCTTCTGAGTAGCTGGGACTACAGGCTCCTGCCACCACGCCCGGCTAATTTTTTGTATTTTTAGTAGAGACGGGGGTTTCACCGTGTTAGCCAGGATGGTCTCGATCTGCTGACCTCGTGATCCGCCCGCCTTGGCCTCCCAAAGTGCTGGGATTACAGGCGTGAGCCACCGCGCCCGGCAGACGTGCGTAATTTTAAAGCTCCCTCTGGTGGTTCTACTGAGAACCCTCTGTGCCAGAATGAGACCTGGCTGCTATTAGAGAATTAGCCACGAGGTGGCGCCAGAAGCTGACCAAAGAAGCGAGATGGGCCATCTCCCGGCTCCCAAACCCTGCAGTCTCCAGGAGGAGGCACAGTTCCCTGTTCTCAAATTAGGGGAGCAAACACTAGGCTCTGGCCACTCAGGTTTCTTTCACCTTAGGAGGGTGGCATGTCTGCCCACAGCCAAGTTTCCAGACTGCTCCTGCAGTCTGGAACGCAGACACAGCACATTCCCAAGCACCTATGAGCTGTCAACTAAGAAAAACCACAGGGTGACAGCACCCCCTTAGGCGCAGGAGCTCCTGGAACCCCAAAATTGGGCCCTTCCAGGGACAAGGACGGAGGCTTCAGTTCCATGGGTCCACACAAAAGGCATCTCCTCTTTTGGCACCCGAGAGAGAGACCCCTGAGGTTAGCACTCCCATTCTAAAAGGAGCAATTGGCTGGCACGGTGGCTCACACCTCTAACCCCAACACTTTGGGAGGCCAAGACGGGTGGATCACTTGAGGTCGAGAGCTGGAGACCAGCCTGGCCAACATGGCGAAACCCGGTCTCCACTAAAAATATAAAAATTAGCTGGGCATAGGCCAGGAGCAGTGGCTCATGCCTGTAATCCCAGCACTTTGGGAAGCCGAGGTGGGCGGATCACGAGGTCAGGAGTTCGAAACCAGCCTGGCCAACATAGTGAAATCCCATCTCTACTAAAAATACAAAAATTAACTGGGTGTGGTGGCACGTGCCTGTAGTCCCAGCTACTCGGGAGGCTGAGGTGGGAGAATCGCTTGAACCCGGGAGGCAGAGGTTGCAGTGAGCCGAGACCACGCCATTGCACTCCAGCCTGGGTGACAGAGTGAGACTCCGTCTCAAAAAAAAAAAAAATTAGCTGGGCATGGTGCCACGTGCCTGTGGAGGCAGGCTGAGGCAGGAGAATCGCTTGAATCAAGGAGGTGGAGGTTGCGGTGAGCCAATATCGTACTGCTGCACTCCAGCCTGGGCGACAGAGCGAGATTCTGTCTCAAATATAAAATTAAAAAATAAAAAGAGCAGTTGATTCTGTGTCTCTCCAAAACATCCTTTGAAGAACAACCCAGGCTATCCAATAGTGTCTCCTCCCCAGTTGGGAAAGGGGTCACTCTAGGAAGTCAGTTCTCCCTGAATTACTTTAACTTCCCAGGAATTACACATGGAGGGCTGCAAACCTTTTTAAATGTGGTTCAAAATTTTGTGTGTGTGTTTTTCCCCCAAGAAGAGAATCTGTAGCTTTCACTAAAAGGATTAATAATGCAAAAGATGAAGAACTGTCGGAACAGATGGACTTTAATGAAGAAATTTAAAATATTGTCCTTGGGATCCAGTTCAGTTGTTCTGGAATAAATGCACTCACTTTGCTCAAACCCCTGCTACTGATCCTACTCAAGGGAAAACATTACCAGCTCCTTCTCTTGATGCTTCAAAGACTTGGCTGACCCGCAGGCTCCTTCCGAACATCTTTGGTCACCTGCAGGCTCTGGGAATGACAGAGCTCACCTTGCTCAGGGGACTTCTTTCTTTGGGGGATGTCAGAAAAGAGGTTGCTGCTGAAAATTCCTTGACCTAATCTTTACTGCTTCAGGTACCTACACCCACTCTGGGAGGGGCCACAGGCCCAGGAGGGGCACATCCATGGATCATGTAAACCAAGCAGTGTAGGGGCCTCTGCTGACCAGTGGGAAGGCGAAGGAATGGGTCTGGGGCTAGAGAAGGCCAGCCCTGATGGCCAACGTCCTAGCAGAATATAAGGTGCTTATCCAATGGTCCCAGGACCAGCTGCTCAGGGAGCCCTGGACATCAGCGCTGTGAGTGGCATGGGACTCTGTAATGCCCCCTCCCCACTCCAGTGGGGATGGGAAAGATGGTGGGACCGAGCTGGTGGGCCTCATTTCACCAGACTCAAACTCAGAGAAACGCAGGCCTTGCCTAACATCACACAGCAAGGGGCCTTGGAGCCATGCCTGGGACTTGGGCCTCCTGCCTTCCACACAGGGCGCTTTGCATGGCCCCATGAGGAGCCCCCAGCTCCAGGCATCCCTGTTGGTGAGTGGCTCCCTGGGAGCAGGGCCCACCCAGGGTGGGCTGGCCAGTCAGTCCTCCAGAGTAAGGCGCCATCCTGGCCACCACCCCACACTCCCTGGCTGGCCTGGCCACCCTCGAAGCTCCTGAGGTGACCCATTTCCCTCACTCTCCTCTGCAGCTTCAAAACAAATCAAAATGCAGACCAACATCCTTTGTTTGTTTTGGGGGATCAGAGAAAGGGGAAAGCAGCTCTGTGGGTTTGCACTTGAAAACAAAACTGCTCTGAGCTGCCCGAGCAGAAACCAAACCAAAGGTGAACTTGGAGGCCAGAACCCCTTGTGGCAATGCTCTCAGAATGAGTCAAGGGGCAGCGTGGGAAGGTCGGAAGCAGGGCTGTCTACTGACCAGGCACTGATGGCCTGGGGTCAACAGCTGCCATGGTGGGCTCAGGGTCATGGCCACGCTCACTCATCCTGGGCACTGTGGGCTTGGGGGGGACCAGGCCCTGATAGCGACAAGCTTTCCAGTCACTGGTCTGGACCTCCTTCCTCACCATGGAGGAGTGTGGGGACACCCTGGACCTCACGGCCCCCACCCATCCTGTCTTGCCATCCCTTGCCCACAGGCCCATGCTGGGTGCCCAGGCTAGGTGACCTGCCCCGTGGTAACTTCTAGCCAGTAGGTGAGACCACAAAGGCCCATTCAGTACTGGGCATTTTTTGGTTTTGTTTTTCTTTTTTTTTTCTTAGACAGAGTCTTGCTCTGTCTCTTAGCCTCTCCAGAGTGCAGTGGTGCAATCTCAGCTCACTGCAACCTCCGCCTCCCAGGTTCAAGCGATTCTCCTGCCTCGGCCTCCAGAGTAGCTGGAACTACAGGCATGCACTACTGTGCCTGGCTACTTTTTCTATTTTCGTAGAGATGGGGTTTCACCATTTTGGCCAACTTGAACTCCTGGCCTCAAGTGACCCGCCTGCTTCAGCCTCCCAAAGTGCTGGGGATTACAGGCGTGAGCCACCATGCCTGGCTTTGGGTCTTTTAATGGGAGTTCGGCCAGGCACCATCTTACCTGCCTGTTGAACTTCTGCTTCTTAATGAAACTGGGCTCCCCCAGGTCCCCCACCTCCAGAGGAAAGCACATAGTGGGACAGAAACCAGAGTGCTCTAGACTTCTGGGGTTCCCCATTGGCACTGAGTATGTGGGTCGTGGGAGACAGGCTGGTGGAAACCCTGCCTGGGCCTTTCTTTTCCTGAGCTTGGATGAAAGAATGGGAGCAGCAGGGGCAGATCCAGGGAGGTCCAACTGATGTCACTGGATCCTGCCAAGAGCCTCAGTGAACACTATGATCCTGGGGCAGGGGTGGCAGGAGAAGAGTGATCAAGGCTTCAGGGTGAATGGTGGGCCTGTCGGCCTGGCAAAGTGATATAATCAATTTTGACTGTCCAAGGGTGACCAGAGATGCTCTCCTCTGAGTGAGGATTTCTCACCTCTCCGAATAGTTTCAAATGCCCAGTCTCATGTGAGCTTCACAACTATCCAGGATATATAGAAAAGGAGCTGCTGAGGTTCAGAGAAGCAAAGCAACGTACTCCAGGTCACACAGAGGCAGGGCTAGGACAAGGGCAGCGCTGGGCCACACCCCTCCCAGGAATTAGCCCAACCAGAGCGAAATTCTAGACTGCGGGACTACCTAAGAGGTGGCTGGAAAGGACTCTCACCTCCTCCTCTCTGGTTATTCTGCCCTAGGATGGGCTGGGTAGACTTTTCTTTTTTCTTTTTTCTTTTTTTTTCCCAGACAAGGTTCACTCTGTTGCCCAGGCTGGAGTGTAGTGGTGCAATCACGGCTCACTGCAGCCTCAACCTCCAGGCTCAAGTTATCCTCCCACCTCAGCCTCCTGAGTAGCTGGTACTTACAGTTGTGCACCACCATGGCCAGCTAATTTTTGTATGTTTTGTAGAGATGGGGTCTCATTATGTTGCCCAAGCTCATCTTGAACTCCTGGGCTCAAGCGATCCACCCATCTTGGCCTCTCAAAGTGCTGGGACTACAGGTGTGAGCCACCGCGCCCAGCCTAGGTAGACTTTTATCCAGTGCCTGCATTTTTCTTAAGCTCCCATTTTTTTAGTTCTTTGGTGATAAATGGAGCACTTGACTTCCATTCTCTCACCTAATCCTCACTCCAGCCCTGACAGGTAGGTGCCCTCAGTCGCCCATTTCAGAGATGCTGAAGCTGACGCAAAGAGACGTTGATCAACCAGCCCAAGGTAACCCAGCTGATGAGCACAGACTGCGACTCAAACCAAGCCTTTCCAACTCCAGAGCAGGCGATGTTTTTGCTCAGTACCCTGCCTCCCATCCCCATCCCTTCACCAATGGAATGTTGAGTTTACACCCCCTCATTTCCGTATAGCTGTCCAAAAGCTGGGCCTCCTCCAAGATCCAAGGTAGGTTATGATTGGCAGCCTGAACTTCAGAGGCCCATCTTCCCTTGCTGGGGGCCAACTCAGACATCTGTGCTCCCAGCTCTTTCCGCCCTAGCTCCAGCTCCCATCATATGCAGGTGTCTGCACAACGGCCCCTCCAACAGCAGCCAACACCTGGGTCCCCTCCCCATCAATGGGAGATCCGCCCCATCCTTCCTGTCGGGGAACCTCCTCAGCTGCTGGGAGGCTCCCCAGACAGCTAAGGGATTTTTATGGATTAATAAAAACTTCCAAGGCCCTGCTAAGCTAGCTGGCATTTCAGTTCCCTCAGTGGACAGAAGTGTCCTCTCTTCCTTCAGAATAGGGCTCCATGGCACATTTGCATATCTGTATGTGTCTGTGTGCACATACCCATTGGTGCACGTGTGTGTGCACATAACTGTGTGTGTGTGTGCATATTGCTATCTGTGTGTGTGTGTGCGCGCGCGCACAGGTATGTAAGTGCTTATCTGGGTATGCATCTAGGTATAGAAAAGACCGTGTGATGTCCCAAGCTGTGTGTTGTCTGTGTATGTGTGCTACTGAATTATTTATTCATTCAGCAAATATTTCTTGAGCTCCTACCCCATGTGAGGTACTGCGCCAGAGCTAGGGGCACAGAAGAGACTGGCTGCCTAGAGCTCAGAGTCTTCAAGGAGCTCATCACCATGTGAAACCCCCTCAACTCTGGCCATCCTGGGGAAGGGAGGCCTAGGCAGGGGCTGTAATTAGGCCCGGGAGCCAGAGGGCAGTTTTGGCCTTTTGGGTAGCTGGTTCCAAGACAATGCCCAGAGCAGGGGCCCAGAAACTCCCAACAAGGTCGGCCCTGTGAAGTTCCATTCCTTGTGCTTCCCAATCACATCACGGGTCAAAACCCTCCAAAGCCACAGTGGACAAAGCTCCTTCCATGGGGGAGGAAGAACAGCCAGAGAACTAGATTCCCAAAGAAAGTCCACAAAATCAGAAAAATTTTAGGCCCTGCTGGCCTGGACTCATCAGCTTCAGTCAAGAAAGCATAGTGTGTGTGGCCCATCTGGCCAGCCACGCCAGTTATCTACAGAGAGGACAGCTGAAGTCCAGTGTATCAGCTTCCTACTGCTGCTGGAAAAAGTGCCACAAACTTAGTGGCTTAAAACAGCAAAATGTCTTCTATTACAGTTCAGGAGGTCAGAAGTCCTAAAACCAAGGTGCCTGCAGAGCTGCCTTCATTCTGGAGGCTTTAGGGAAGAATCATTTCCTTGCCTTTTCTAGCTTCCAGGAGCTACCTACGTTCCTTGGCTTAGGACATCATCCTCATCTTCAAAGCCAGCAGCATCTCCAAATCTGTCTCTGGCCTCTGTTTCCATTGTCTCATCTCTTCTAATATGGACTCTTCTGCCTCCCTCTTTGAAGGGCCCTTGGGGTGACATTGGGTCTGCCTGAATAATCCAGGATGGTATCCCCATCCCAAGATTTTTCTTTTTTTTTTTTGAGATGGGGTTTCACTCTTGTTGCCCAGGCTGAAGTGCAATGGTGCGATCCTGGCTCACTGCAACCTCTGCCTCCTCTGCTTCCCAGGTTCAAGTGATTCTCCTGCCTCAGCCTCCCGAGTAGCTGGGATTACAGAGGCACACCACCACGCCTGGCTAATTTTCATATTTTTAGTAGAGGCAGGGTTTCTCCGTGTTGGTCAGGCTGGTCTCGAACTCCCGACCTCAGGTGATCTGCCCACCTCAGCCTCCCAAAGTGCTGGGATTACAGGCATGAGCCACTGACCCCGGCAATTCTTCTTTTTTTTTTTTTCCATTTTTATTTATTCTATTTATTTATTTATTTATTTTTGAGATGGAGTCTCACTCTGTCACCCAAGCTGGAGTGCAGTGGCGCAATCTCGGCTCACTGCAAGCTCCGCCTCCCGGGTTCACGCCATTCTCCTGCCTCAGTCTCCCAAGCAGCTGGGACTACAGGCACCTGCCACCACGCCCAGCTCATTTTTTTTCTATTTTTTAGTAGAGACGGGGTTTCATCGTGTTAGCCAGGATTGTCTCGCTCTCCTGACCTCGTGATCCACCCACCTTGGCCTCCCATAGTGCTGGGATTACAAACATGAGCCACCATGCCCAGCCTTTTCATTTTAATTTTTTAAAAAAATAGAGACGGGGTCTCCTTATGTTGCCCAGGCTGGTCTTGAACTCCTGGGCTCGAGTGATCTGCCTGCCTCAGCCTCCCAAAGTGCTGGGTTTACAGGCATGAGCCACCATGCCTGGCCCTAAGATTCTTAATGTATTCACATCTGCAAACATCTGCAAAGTCCGTTTTGCCATATAAGGTAACAACATATTCACAGGTCTAGGCATTAGGATGTGGACATCTTGGGGCAGGTGGACAGTGTTCTGCCTACCACACCAGAAATGGAGGAAAATGCCCAAGGTTTAATGGGCTTGACCAAGGGCCAGAACTCAGGCGGTGGGTCCCCCAGTTCTGGGTTGTTTTGGGCAGCACCTCAGGGGAAAGGAAAAGGACTACCCCACAACACACATTTAAGCTTGTCTCCTAAAAAATGTTGTACACAGAGTGGTCAATAGCACCTGGTTTGAGCTTCATCTCCACTCTACACCTACCAGTGGGGTGACCTTGGCCATGTGGCTTAGTGCCTCCAGGCCTCGATCTTCTCATCTGTAAAGTGGAGACAATGATAAGGAGCCATTATGTGGCCTGTTTTGAGGATACAAGGAGCCTGTTTTGTGGCTGCACTGTTAGAGCTTTGGCAATGTTTTTGCCACCCTGCCCAGAGACACACCCTAATTCAGGTAGAAGTGGGAGAAGTGAGGGCAGGGAGAGGGAAGGAACTATACTCGGACTATCAGGGCTGGTAACTGAGATAATGCCCTTGACCTTTCTCCTGCCCCTCCCAAAGCAGTAGACCAGAGCCAGGGGGGTCACTTTCCTGGAAACTCCCCAGTGAATGAAGCCTTTGATACCTAAGTGGGTCATAGAAAGGGAACAAAGGGATGCTTTTTGCATGAAAAGCCGCCTGCTGGGGGAGGGCAGGAACCCTGGTTAATAAAAGGTTGGGTGTCAAGTGATTGCAGAGACTCAGGTAGGTGGTACATTGAGGGAAGGGGCACCCACAGAGAGGCCACAGAGAGGGGGCCACTTCAGAGGTGCTGCCCAGGCATCTCCACACAGGAGGTGGGGATGGTTCCCGAAGGACTGGAAAGGCTTCCAGAGCCCAAGCCGTGAGTGGGGCCTCAGAAAAGGACCATTCCTATGGGAGAGAGGACAAATGCTCTTGTGTCCAACTCCAGACCCCAGGGACTCCATTCATCCCGCACAGAAGGAAACTGGCAGCAGAGGCTGCAGGGCCTCCTGGGCCCCTCTTGGTGCTGCCTCCCCACTGCCATATGCTAAGCAGTATTTTATCAGCTCACAATGCTGCAGGCACCATCCATAAGCTGCAACCCATTGGGGTGTTTCTTGTTCTGTTTTTTCTGTTTTCCTTTTTGATTCAGTGTACCTGTTTGTGCAATGTAGAGATGGGCAAAACAAATCTGCACATGGCCCAGTGCTGTCACCACAGGGCAAGTGAGGCTGGCACAGTGAAGGGGATGTCGCGGGGCAGGTCCCAGAGGCACAGTTCACCACAGTGCCCTGCTTTTCACGACATCCACATGAACATGACGGCATGACATTGCATCATAAGAGGCTAGTCAACAAGCGCCATCATTTTTCTCTTTTTTTTTTTTTTGACAAGCTCCGCCTCCCGGGTTCTGCACCACTACACTCCAGCCTGGGCAACAGAGTGAACCTTGTCTGGGAAAAAAAAAGAAAAAAGCTAGTTCTGCAAGCTCCGCCTCCCGGGTTCACACCATTCTCCTGCCTCAGCCTCCCAAGTAGCTGGGACTACAGGTGCCCACCACCATGCCCTGCTAACTTTTTCTATTTTTTAGTAGAGACGGGGTTTCACCCTGTTAGCCAGGATGGTCTTGATCTCCTGACCTCGTGATCTGCCTGCCTCGGCCTCCCAAAGTGCTGGGATTACAGGCATGAGCCACCGCACCAGGCCTTTTTTTTTTCTCTCTTTTGAGACAGTCTCGCTCTGTCGCCCAGGCTGGAGGGCAGTGGTGCAATCTTGGCTCACTGCAGCCTCTGCCTCCCAGTTTCAAGTGATTCTCCTGCCTCAGCCTCCCGAGTACCTGGGACTACAGGTGTGCATTAGCACGCCTGGCTAACTTTTGTATTTTTAGTAGAGATAGGGTTTCGCCATGTTGCCCAGGCTGGTCTCGAACTCCTACTCCTGGGCTCAAGTAATCCACCCGCCTCAGCCTCCCAAAGTGCTGGGATTACAAGCATGAGCCACCGTGCTTGGCCTGACTTTTTAAATGTATAGAAACTTCATTACTACTCATAAGAGAAATACTTATTAAAGAAAACTGGGCCATAATGAAACACCACCCAATGCCCTCATTATTCAAAGACAATCCAGATCATATAGTATCTTGATCTATGTCCTCCTAGCTCTTATCCCCCGCTGGACATCTTTCCTCTAGTCCTTATCCCCCGCCGGGCATTTTTTTTTTAAACATATCTGTGCTCACACTGCATGCATACCTTCTGTGTTTTCATTTGGCATTAATTTATTTACTACTGCAGCTCCAGTATGTAGAGCAGTACTTGGCACAAATGGTACCTCAGTAAATATTTGCTGAGTGAATGAATGAATGAACCAACATGGATAATGTTTCTATGTTACACAAAAGTAATAATAATCATGATATGTGACAGGGCTTACTCTGTGCTAAGTAGTTTATATGCATTATCTCACATGATGCAGTAATCCTATGAGGTAGCCACTACTGTTATCCTCATTTTACAGATGTGTAAACTTAGGCTTAGAGAGAGATTAAGTCCCAAAGCACATGGGTAGCACTGGGTTTCTAACCCAGGTCTAGCTGATGTCAAGACTGTTTTCCTAATAGTATGTATCACTGACTCCCTGTGAATATTTTCAGAAACAGCATTTAAAATGATTTCATACTATCCTTTAATTTAATTTTTAACTTATTTAAATAAATAGAGATAAGGTCTGTCTATGTTGCCCAGGATGGTCTCCAACTCCTGGCCTCAAGCAATCGTCCTACCTCCGCTTCCTAAAGTGCTGGAATGACAGGTGTGAGCCACCATGCCCACCCCTTGCTATTCCTCAATCACTGCAAATTTAGATTACTTTCTGGTTTTATTTTTTATTGCCATAAATAATTCTGCAATAAACAACTTGATGCATAACCCAACTCCATATTTAAGGGTTACTCATTAGCAAAAATTCCCCAGAAAGTGAATTACTAGTTCAATTGGTACAAACATTTCTAAAGTTTATTTTTTTGTTTGTTTTGTTTTTTAATACAGAGTCTCACTCTGTTGCCCAGGAGGGAGCGTAGTGTGATCTCAGCTCACTGCAACCTCCATCTCTCAGGTTCACGCAATTCTCCTGTCTCAGCCTCCCAAGTAGCTGGGAATACAGGCGCCCACCACCACATCTGGATAATTTTTGTATTTTTAGTAGAGATGGGGGTTTAGCCATGTTGGCCAGGCTTGTCTCAAACTCCTGACTTCAAGTGATTGGCCCCACTTGGCCTCCCACGGTGCTGGGATTACAGGTGTGAGCCACCCTGTTCCTGGCCTAAAGCTTTTGAGGTGTGTTTTTCCACTCAACTTTGTTTAGTTTAGCTTTTACATATGGAAATTTAGATGTACTAAATCCACCACCGCCCAGGCGCGGTGGCTCACGCCTGTAACCCCAGCACTTTGGGAGGCTGAGGACGGCGGATCATGAGGTCAAGTGATTGAGACCATCCTGGCCAACATGGTGAAACTCCGTTTCTACTAAAAATACAAAAATTAGCCAGGCGTGATGGTAGGCGCCTGTAGTCCCAGCAACTCGGGAGGCTGAGGCAGGAGAATTGCTTGAACCTGGGAGGTGGAGGTTGCAGTGAGCCGAGATCACGCCATTGCACTCTAGCCTGGCAAAAGAGCAAGACTCCGTCTAAAAGAAAATAAATAAATAAATAAATAAATGTGCCACCTTCTCTTGTTCAATATTATTCACTGTTTCCTGATTTGAAGTACTTTACCCTTCTACAGAAGTTAATAATTCTATTTTCTAGTGGTTGTACAGTTTGCTTTTAAATTATTCAATGCGTTAGTTCTTCAGCACACCCTTTGGGGGATGCACTGAAGAGAAGCCCCATTTACACTTCCAAGCCCCCCCAGCAACTGTTTCCTCTGGGCAGGGGGAGAGATGAAAGAGAATGCAAAATACTGAGTGTGAAATAGGGAGGCCGATGTCTTCCTAAATTACAGGGGAATGATTGCCCGTTCTTCTCCACATTAATGACTTTCTCTCAAAGTCTTCCACTTCTTCTTAGAAGCTTCCACAATGTACTGGTTGACTTGAAGTTAAGGCAGAATTCTCCTAATGGGAATTAGCCTAAGAAACTTCTTGAAAAACTCAAAGGATGCAAAAATTCTCAAAGTGGAATATTAAAAACATGTCAAATTGGAGATGAGGGTGTCACTGGGCATATCTGTGTTTGCTGAGTTGGCTTTGGGCGAGTGTGGTGGCAGAGTCAAGGTGGGGATGGAAGCAGGGGCTCAGGTGGATAAAAACAATCCACCCCTTCCCAGCAAAAAAGCCATCAGGAGTTTCTGGGGATAAGGAAGGGCCTTGCAAGTGAAGAGGCCTCTGGCGGTTCTTGAGGGCATGTGTGAACTCCTGGCTGAGGGGAGAGTTGGCAGTGTATTAGGCCTTATACAGTTGTATGTGTTGTGCCCTGCACAAGGGCACCTGGCCCGGGGAACCAGTGAGGCTGAAATCCACCCCATGCCCTCCAGCTAGAGGAGGACAGAGCACCTTCTTCCAGTTTCCTTGAAGGCACCCTGTGGGCCAACAGCTGTCTGGACTGTACAGACAGTGAGATGGAGAAGGAGCACTGCCCAGGAGCCAGGGGGGCCAGGCCCTAACTCCAACTCTCCCACAGCCCTCCAGATTGCAATGGTCCCAACCCAGCTCTGATGCTGAGCCCGCTCTCAGAGTCCACAGCAGCTCTGGCAGCACCCACAGTGGGCTAGGCCTGGGCTACAGTGAAGAAGGCGCCTTGGGATGCTTCTGCAGGTTAGGGCAACCAGACTAACCAACGTTCTTCAAACAAAAGACTGCTACAGAGTCACTTGCATTTTGGTTTGGGGCCAGAGCTTCTTCCACTGCCTTTTCCTTTCAGGCAGTGCCCTTCTGTGAGCTTGATCATTTGTGAGAACCTTGTTGAGTGAGTCAGCCAGTCCCCTTGCTCAATACCTGGATGTGACACCATCTGTTCCATATCTCTCTTCTTACAGATATTAAATGATGTTAATCATCAATACCAATCAACAGGGTTAAGGACACACTACCCCTAGTGCCTGGGCAGTTTGTTTTTTTTTTTTTTGGCTTTGTTTTTGTTTTTGTTTTTTTGTTTTTTTGAGATGGAGTCTTGCTCTGTTGCTTCAGCTGGAGTGCAATAGCACGATCTCGGCTCACTGCAACCTCCACCTCCCAGGTTCAAGTGATTCTCCCACCTCAGCCTCCCGAGTATCTGGGATTACAGGCACCTGTCATCATGCCCAGCTAATTTTTGTATCTTTGTAGAGACGGGGTTTCACCATGTTGGCCAGGCTGGTCTTGAACTCCTGAGCTCAGGTGATCCGCCCACCTCAGCCTCCCAAAGTGCTGGGATTACAGGGGTGAGCCACTGCATAAGGCCGAATATTTTAAGCTGAAGGAATCTGAGCAACAGCGGGTACAAGCAAGAAGGACTCTCTGACCTTCCCCTGAAGCAGGTCATAACCCCTCATTTGAAAGGCGCCCTCCCTCCACCAGCGGGAAAGGAAGATGCATCTTCTTACCTCTGAAGACAAAGAGAAATCTGAAGGGTCAAGCTTTCCTGGTTTTGCCCAGTTTGCTACTCTGATTGACCTCATTCTCTTTTGTCCTGTCACCTTTTCCCACAACTCTCCACTCTTCATTAAACCTGGTACAAAACGCAGGTTTAACTGTCTTCAGGTCTTCATTTCTCTATGAAGCCTCTTGTGTTATGTAAAACTTTTTTTTTTGAGACAAGGTCTCACTCTGTCACCCAGGCTGGAATGCAGTAGCTTGATCTTGGCTCACTGCAGCCTCGACCTTGCAGGTTCAAGCAATCCTCCCATGCTACCACGCCTGGCTAATTTTTGTATTTTTTTGTAGAGGCAAAGGTCTCTCCATGTTGTCCAGGCTGGTCTCGAACTCCTGGGCTCAAGTGATCCTCCCAAAGTGCTGGGATCACAGGCATGAGTCACCGTGCTCAACCAAAACTTATATTAAATAAGTTTGCATGCTTTTCTCTTGTTAAGCTGTCTTTTGTTATGGGTCCCTGCTGAGAACCTAGAAGGTTAAAAGGAAAGATGCTTCTCCCTCCCCTATTCAGTCCACTTCCTGAGCACTGCCATGGGCCAGGCGCTGTGCTAGGTGCTCTACACACATGCTCATTTAGCCCCGACACCATGCTGTGGGGAGCTACTGTTGCTCCCCCAACTTTGCAAAGTTAAGAAGCAGAAGCCCTGGCCGGGTGCGGTGGCTCATGCCTGTAATCCCAGCACTTTGGGAGGCCGAGGTGGGCCATCACCTGAGGTCAGGAGTTCTAGACCAGCCTGACCAATATGGTGAAACCCTGTCTCTACTAAAAATACAAAATCAGCTGGGCGTGGTGGTGCACGCCTGTAATCCCAGCTACCCGGGAGGCTGAGGCAGGAGAATCCCTTGAACCCAGGAGGTGGAGGTTGCGGTGAGCTGAGATAGCGCCATTGCACTCCAGCCTGGGCAACAAGAGTGAAACTCCGTCTCAAAAAAAAAGAAGAAAGAAATAAAAGAAACAGAAGCCCCAAATACCACAGTGCATAACTGAGCAGGGTTTGAATTCAGATCAGACTGACTCCAAATCCAGGCCCTGCTAACACCACTTTCTTTTTAAATGAGGAAAATGAAGCATGGAGTGGCCATGCCACTCGCCTGGTCACCCAGCAAGTCAGCAAAAAGATGGCTTTCAGTTCCTTCTGAAAAGCCCTCCATTCTACAAACAACCCCCTTCCAACCCGCACCCACCATGCCTGGGGATACTCTGCATTTTGTCAGTTTGCTGTGGGTCAATGGACCCATTGCCCAACCCTCCATCATTGTCTAGGGCTCCTGTGAGCCGTGCCAGGGGCAGGCGCCAGGAAGGAGGATCCTGCAGGAGGAAGCACTGAGCGCAGCCTGCATGGAGTCAGACCCGGAGGACCTCACCCCAGGGCAGCTGCTCTGGGAGGAAGCCTGGGGGGAAACAGAACAGGTTATGGACACCCCATCCTGTCCCCCTCAGCCCCATTCCGGGCCATTCCACATTGCATGGGTGGGACTTTCTCTCCAGCCTCCACTTTGCTGGGCAACTTAGTTAGCATCTCTGTGCTACCCAGTCAGGGCAGCCCACCCATACGGCAGTCAACCAGCGCCTGCCTTCACCTAGGGAAGATGCCTTTTTCCCTAAACCACAAGTCAACAAGTCAGAAACAGGGCTTCTTTCCATTCTCTATCTTTATGGTGGATTCCTCCCAGAGCTGGCATTTACTCCTACTCATTAAAAATGCAAAGAACCAAGTACAGCAACAGAGAAGTCTTACGTTATGACTTCCTGTGGGTTACAGGCCAGAGGAGGGAACAATCAGCTCCTTTGTTGTGCAAGCTGCTGTTTGTCACTGACAATGGCATTCTTAAGGAATTATGATATTAAGGATTTAATAACCATTTGGTATAAGCAGTAAAACATTTCAATTATGGCGTTTCTGGAAAGTACTGTCCTCATCTGTTGCAGGAATTTACAAGGTGTCTTTTAATTAAGTCGGTTCTAAATGAGACACCTTCTCAGTGTGGTAATTTTTTGAATGAAACTGCCCTGAAGTACTAATTAGTTTGTTTTTAATGCTTGATTTACTCTGCCAGCATGGTGGCTAGGGCGGGGCTGCCCTGCTGGAACTGGATGAATCTCCAGCAGGCAGGAACAAGGTGCAGCGGCTCAGGGCTCTCCTGGCTGGAGAAATGGAGGTAGTTCATTTCACCCTGGCAAGCTTCTAGACTCTCCCTGTTGAGAACTGACCATAGTCTGTCTTTCTTTTCTTTTCTCTTTTATTTTCCTTTCTTTCTTCCTTCCTTCCTTTTTTTTTTTTTTTTTCTTTTGATGGAGTCTCGCTCTGTTGCCCAGGCTGGAGTGCAGTGGTGCCATCTTATGTCACTGCAACCTCTGCCTCCCAGGTTCAAGCAATTCTCCCCCTCAGCCTCCGGAGTAGCTGTAATTACAGGCGCCCATCGTCATGCCTAGCTAATTTTTTTGTATTTTTGTACAGACAGGATTTCACCATGTTGGCCAAGCTGGTCTTGAACTCCTGACCTCAGGTGATCCGCCCACCTTGGCCTCCCAATGTGCTGAGATTACAGGTGTGAGCCACCTCGCCCAACTGGACCACAGTCTTTCAGCCAAACTGGGAAGTGCCTCAGTTACTGGCCCTCCTCCTGATTAACCTGACGAACCACTTACCACAGGAAGCGGCGACTGAGCTGCCTGGGAATGTGGTTACTGCCCCATTGCTAGAGGTGGCGAGCAGAGGGCATTTGGGCATCAGGTAGGCAAGTGGGCTAGGTGACCTCAGAGGTCCGTCCCCACCCAGTGTAACTCTGGTCGTTCCTTTATTGTTCAGTCATATGTCGATCACCAGACATTGATTGAGTCCCCTCTCTGTGCACATAAACGGAAAGCAAAGAAGGCAGGATGGCTGCCCTGGTGGTGCCCACAGCTCAGCTGCATGGGGTGGGGATGCTGGATAGACAGAGTGGGAAGCAGCCACAAAGGAGACAGGCTGGCAGCTCTGGGAGATGGGGCAGGTGGCCCCCAGGAAGCCACAGGGGTGGGGTGTAGGGTGGATATGGGATGTCTGTTTCTTAGGAATGGCAGTTGGACCCCGCTGTGGTGGCTATGGGGTGATTTGATCTGAGGAAGGGGGGCATGGGAAGAGTTTTCAGCCTTGGAGGAGATTTCCCCGTGTCTCAGGCGTGCACAAATACATGTACATGCATTCTGGTCCTCGTGACATGTGAGGACAAGTGCTTATTTTGTTTGTTTGTTTGTTTGTTTGTTTTGAGATGGAGTCTCGCTCTGTCACCCAGGCTGGAGTGCAGTGGCGCGATCTCGGCTCACTGCAAGCTCCGCCACCCGGGTTCTTGTCATTCTCCTGCCTCAGTCTCCCAAGTAGCTGGGACCATAGGCGCCCGCCACCACGCCCCGCTAATGTTTTTTTTTTTTTTTTTTTTTTTTTTTTTTTAGTAGAGACAGGGTTTCACCGTGGTCTTGATCTCCTGACCTCAGGTGATCCGCCCGCCATGGCTTCCCAAAGTGCTGGGATTACAGGCGTGAGCCACCGCGCCCGGCTGCTTATTTTGTTTTTAATTGTCTTTTTTTCTTTAAAAGTAAATACATGCCTGTAAACTATATAGATTAAAAAGTGAAAGTCTCCCATTATCTCAATTGTTATCAGCCCCTTCCAGAGACAAGCACCATTAACATCCTTCCAGACCTTTCCTATGGGCGTGCAAGCACACATGCATTCACACACAGAGAGAACTTGCTTACCTAAATAGATCATATTAAATCCAGAGATTGGCCAGGCGCGGTGGCTCACGCCTGTAATCCCAGCACTTTGGGAGGCTGAGGCAGGTGAATCACCTGAGGTCAAGAGTTTGAGACCAGCCTGGCCAATATGGTGAAACCCCATCTCTACTAAAAAGATACAAAAAGTAGCTGGACGTGGTGGCATGCACCTGTAATCCCAGCTACTCGGGAGGCTGAGGCAGGTGAATTGCTTGAACCGGGGAGGCAGAGGTTGCAGTGAGCCGATATAGCACCATTGCACTCCAGCCTAGGCGACAACAGTGAAACTCCGTCTCAAAAAAAAAAAAAAAAAAAAAAAGATCTAGGGGTCTGTGATTTATTTTTACCTTACAAGATATGATTTTTGCATAAATCAGTACATAAAGATGTGCAGCTATGTGTAGCCTAGTGTGTACATCACTGTATTGATGAACATTAAGGCTGTTGCCTTTTTTACTTTTTTACAATTGCCAACAAAGCTGCACTGAATTTTTTTTTTTTTTTTTTTTTTTGAGACAGGGTTTATCTCTGTTGCCCAGGTTGGAGTACAGTGGTGCGATCATGGCTCACTGCAGCCTTCACCTCCTGGGCTCAAGTGATCCTCTAGCCTCGGCCTCCCGAAGTGCTGGGATTACAGGCATGAGCCACTGCACCAGCCCCAGTGAACATTCTTGAACATAACTTTTTGTGTTTTGTGTTATTCTTGGGATTGCAAAATGTTTTTGTATTATTGTGTAAGTTTTTCTTTTTCTTTTTTGAGACGGAGTTTCGCTCTTTTTGCCCAGGCTGGAGTGCAATGGCACGATCTTGGCTCACCGCAACCTCCGCCTCCCAGGTTCAAGCAATTCTCCTGCCTTAGCCTCCCGAGTAGCTGAGATTACAGGCATGCACCACCACGCCCGGCTAATTTTGTATTTTTAGTAGAGATGGGTTTCTCCATGTTGAGGCTGGTCTCGAACTCCTGAACTCAGGTGATCCGCTCCCCCCTCTCCACCAGCCTCCCAAAGTTCTGGGATTACAGGCGTGAGCCACCACGCCCGGCCCAAGATTTTCTATATGAAGTGTTCTCAGAAGTTTACTGCTGAGTCTAAAGTATATGTGTCTTTTGGCTGGGCACAGTGGCTCACACCTATAATTCCAGCACTTTAGGAGGCCGACGCAGGTGGATCACCTGACATCAGGAGTTCGAGACCAGCCTGACCAACATGGTAAAACCCTGTCTCTACTAAAAATATAAAATTAGCCAAGTGAAGGCTGGGCACGGTGGCTCATGCCTGTAATCCCAGCACTCTGAGAGGCCAAGATGGGCATACCACTTGAGGTCAGGAGTTGGAGACCAGCCTGGCCAATATGGTGAAACCCCATCTCTACTAAAAATACAAAAATTAGCTGGCTGTGGTGGCACACGCCTCTAATCTCAGCTACTTGGGAGGCTGAGCCCGGAGAATTGCTAGAACCTGGGAGGCGGAGGTTGCAGTGAGCCAAGATCACACCACTGCACTCCAGCCTGGGCGACAGAGTGAGGCTCCGTCTCAAAAAAAAAAAATTTATATCTATATCTATATCTATATCTATATCTATATCTATATCTATATAAGCCAAGTGTGGTGGCTCATGCCTGTAATCTCAGCTACTTGGGAGGCTGAGGCACAACAATTGCTTGAACCTGGGAGGCGGAGGTTACAGTGAGCAGAGATTGCACTATTGCACTCCAGCCTGGGAAACAAGAGCGAAACTCCATCTGAAAAAAAAAAAAAAGGATATGTGTCTTTTGAATTTTAACAGGTACTGCCAAATGGCCCTTCAGAACAGTCTTGACCCCCTTGCCCCTGCCACATTGCAGTACCCATTTCCCTACATTCGCTTCAACACTGGATATTTTTAGTCCTTTAAATTTTTTGCCAGTCTGATGGGCAGACAAAAATAAAAGGTACTTCTCACTGTTTTTTGTTTTGTTTTGTTTTGTTTTAGACCAAGTTCTTGCTCTGTCACCCAGGCTGGAGTGCAGTGGCATGATCTTGGCTCAATGCAATCTCCACCTCCTGGGCTCAAGCAATCCTCCCACCTCAGCCTCCCAAGTAGCTGGAATTACAGGCACCCGCCACATGCCCAGCTAATTTTTGTATTTTTAGTAGAGATGGGGCTTCACCATGTTGACCAGGCTGGTCCAGACCTTAAATAATCTGCCTGCTTCAGCCACCCAAAGTGTTGAGATTACAAGTGTGAGCCACCACGCCCAGTTGCTTCTCACTATTTTGACTTCTGTCCTTGTTTTGTAAGCTGATGATGATAAAAAGGCTGAGTGAGTGGCCAGCGGACCCAGGTCAGCAGCCGGGCTGTCCCTGGCCAGCCAGGGACTCTGACTTTTGTTTTTTGTTTTTTTTTTGAGACGGAGTCTCACTCTGTCGCCCAGGCTGGAGTGAAGTGGTGCAATCTCGGCTCACTGGAAGCTCCGCCTCCTGAGTTCACGCCATTCTTCTGCCTCAGCCTCCCAAGTAGCTGGGACTACAGGCACCCGCCACCACACCCGGCTAATTTTTTTTGTATTTTTAGTAGAGAAGGGGTTTCACCGTGTTAACCAGGACGGTCTCAATCTCCTGACCTCATGATCCACCTGCCTTGGCCTCCCAAAGTGCTGGGATTACAGACGTGAGCCACCGCACCCGGCCCAAGGACTCTGACTCTTAAGGCCACCTGAGAGACCTTAGGCAGACCATGCATTGCACCAGCCTTGATCATGCAAACTGCATTCTAATCAGGGCCAGATAGGGAACAGAGCAAAGATGGAGCCTATCATTCCCAGGGACTGAGGGGACCTGAGCAAGCAGGGCCTTCCTGAGGCAGAGGGTGTCTGAACCTGACACAGCAACGTGACCGGCACTCCAAGGCCTCTCCACAAGCCTCTCTGCAGGGAACTGCAGCCCCAGCAGACAGTCCCTGGCCCCACCTTGCCCTCTCCCCAGGAGCTGAGCCCAACTCCACCCAGCCATCAAGGGTGGGCTTTACAATAACCGCCTCCTCATGCCCGCGTGCCAATGCAGAGGCTATGCACCCTGCATGCCAGCAGAACAGGCAAGCCAGAGTGATTCAGCACTGCCTAGATTGTGGCTTGCCAACCCATGGTCGGCAACAGGCCATGAGTCACAAATTACAGGCCTTCTGTCCTAGCAGGCTTTGCCAGCCTATGGGGTGGCAACGCTGGCAAGGAGCTCCAGAGCTCCAGGCTGAGGGCTGTAAGGAAAGAAAGGCCCAGACAGGAGCAGCAGACTGGGCACTCTTACAGCTTCCCTCCCCACCAGCCAACGTGAGGCTCCCAGGCTCCCAGGACACAGAGCCAAGGTACAGTTTCAGTGATGTGATCCCAGGAGAGAGGCTTGGACATGCTCTGACCCAGGGCTTCCTTGGCTCTAGACCAAGAGGAAGCGGCTGGCATCAGAGCCTAGCACACTTTCATTCTGCATCTTTCAAGTGAAACTATGGGAGAGCCTCCCACGTGCTGTAGGCAGTGGCCCCAGGGAAGTGGTCCTCTGCCCTCTAAGACATCCCCACACCCAGGGAGGGCCTGGAGCAGCCTTGTTCATAGGGCCAGGAAGCTAGAAGCCCGTCGCGCTGTTTCATGAGCTCCTACCAAACAGGAGCTGACCCCACAGGCCTCTGAGCATCAGCACACCCCCGAGCCATTTGGGCATCCTTGTCCATGACAACAGGGTTTCCAGAATTTTCAAGAGAACTGGGTCATTATTTTGTGCTAGTATAATGAAGCCAACCACACCCTATACCCCCCACCTCAATCCTGCCCCCAACAAAATTCCTTTCAGTTCAAGAACTGATTCTCAGCAACAGCAAACTTAAATGCTACCCAAATTTGATGTCTTGTTTGGGTTTCTTTGTTATACATGTTTGATTGTGTGGCTGAAGGTGACGCAGAGAGGCACAAACAGCAAGGAATGAGAGCCAAAGCCAGGCTTGGGCAGAGGCCCAGGGAGACTGTGTGTCTCCTTCAGGAGCAATCACACCCACCCCCAGGACTCTGAGCATCTCTAAAATCCACAGGCCTTCTGCACCCTGCACGCCCTCCAGGGCTGTTCCACAGAGATCCTCTCCCACACCCCAGGGCCCCTGCTAGTGATGCTGGCCTCATCAAGTACATGGAACAAGCCAGATACAGACTCTAATGAGCACATGTTGGGCACAGTAAAGCCAAGAGTCAGAAACTGATCCTGATTTCAGCAGCTGGAAACTTTGTGCCATTTCTTAGGAACTAATAATAATAATACTGGTCACCACTGAGTGCAACTGTGCTCCAGCTACCACGTTGATGCGCTGCACGCACCTCATCCCAGCCAGGGATCGACCACCCGTCCAATGCAGGTGTCTGCATCCCCAGCACCTGGCACAGTGCCTGGCACCAGGAAGGTGCTCAGGAAATATGAATGAATGAATAGTAAGGTCAGTACACATTAGGAAACCAAAAAGCTTCCTAGTCATTTCCAAACATTTCTTTTCCAATAATCGTGTTTCTTATTAGAGATATATGATACACTTGTGAATAGACATATTTTGCCTTTTTTAAAATTTGGAAGCATTTCAAACACATTGAAAAGTACAGAAAATAATATGATAGCTCAAACCCTATTTTAAAATATCAAAGAATTTATAACTGCAACATTCAGAATAGAGCTTGCTTGTAGGCTGGAAGACAAAGGATGGGGAAGGAGGATACAATAGTAAAATGGTCTTGGTAAAATTCTAGTTTTTAAGTTAGTTGTAAGGGTCATGAGGCTTATTTTGAAATTATACCTATAAATCATATATATGTTGCACATATCATTCTATATGTATTATGTATATTACATGGAAACATTCAACAAATGAAAACGATATAGTAGACATACTTGTGCTTTATTTGTTGCAGATCTCCTCCTCTTCTTCTTCTTTTTTTTTTTTTTTGAGACAGGGTCTCACCCTGTCACCCAGGCTGGAGTGCAATGGTGCGATCAGCTCACTGCAACCTCCAGCCAGGTTCCAGCAATTCTCCCACCTCAGCTTCCCGAGTAGCTGGGATTGCAGGCACACACCACCACACCTGACTCATTTTTTGTATTTTTAGTAGAGACAGGGTTTCACCATATTGGTCTCGAACTCCTGACCTCAAGTGATCTGCCCACCTCGGCCTCCCAAAGTGCTGGGATTACAGACATGAGCCACCACATCTAGCCTCCTTTTTTTTTTTTTTTTTCTTTTTAAAGAAGCAAACTATACCTATGGCTAAAGCCCCATCCTCCATCCTGTTCTTCCTGTTCCTCATCTTCCCTCCTGGATATAATTGTTAAATATTTTTATTTCACATTTGTATACTGACTTTATATCCAGCCACCTAACTAAACTGTTCTTAGTTCAAACAGCTCACTTGTAAAGTCCCTGAATTTGTTGTTATTGTTGTTTGGAATAGGTCTCACTCTGTTGCCCAGGCTGGAATGCAATGGTAAGATCACAGTTCACTGCTGCCTCAACTTCCCAGACTCAAGCAATCCTCTCACCACCACCTCCCAAGTAGCTGGGACTACAGGCACACACCACCATACCCAGCTAATTTTAAAATTTTTTTGTAGAGATGGGGTCTCCCTATGTTGCACAGGCTGGTCTTGAACTCCTGGACTCAAGGGATCCTCCTGCCTCAGCCCCCAAGAATGCTGGGATTATAAGCGAGAGCCACTGCACACAGCCCCTGAATTTTTTATGAAGACAATCATGTCTTCTTACACATAAAGTTGCAATTTTTTCTTCCATTGTAATTTTTATTCTTTGAATTTCTTTTTCTCATCTTACTATGCTAGCTAAAACATCTAGCACAATGTTGAGTGGTATCAGTGGTAGCAGGTAGATTTTCCTCATGTCAGATTTTAACGGAAATGCTTAAAATATTTTGCCATCAAGGATATTGTTTGCTGTAGGTATTTAGTAGATACCCTTTCTCAGGTTTGGGAAGTTCCCTTCAATTCTGGATTGGTCAAGAATTGTTTTTTGGGTTTTTTTGGTTTTGTTTTTTTTGAGACAGAGTCTTGCTCTGTCGTCCAGGCTGGAGTGCAGTGGTATGATCTTGGCTCACTGCAGCCTCTGCCTCCCAGGTTCCTGGGTTCAAGCGATTCTCCTGCCTCAGCCTCCTGAGTAGCTGGGACTACAGCAGCCCACCACCATGCCCGGCTAATTTTGGTATTTTTAGTAGAGATGGGGTTTCACTATGTTGGCTAGGATGGTCTTGATCTCCTGACCTTGTGATCCACCTGCCTCAGCCTCCCAAAGTGCTGGGATTACAGGCTTGAGCCACTTTGCCTGGCTGGTCAAGAGTTTTTACAAGGAGTGATACGGAATTTTTATCAAATGCTTTTTCTACTTGCATCTGTTGAGATGATTATATGATTGTTCTTCTTTACTTCATTAATTTGGCAAATTACTTTAGGTTTTCTAATTTTAAACTGTCCTTGTATCCCTGGTGTGTGTATCTATATACAGTTTGCTAATACATTTAGGAAGTTTGCCTTTCTCTTCACAAATGAGATTGCCTATAATATTCTCATATTGCCCTTGACCAAACAAGATTATACTAACCTCATAAAGTTAATTAAGAAGCATTCTTTCTTTTCCAATTTTCTGAAACAGCTTTTGTTTGTTTTTTGTTTTGTTTTTGTTTCTTTGTTTGCGATGGAGTCTTGCTCTGTTGCCCAGGCTAGAGTGCAATGGCGCAATCTCGGCTCACTGCAACCTCTACCTCCCAGATTCAAGCGATTCTCCCGCCTCAGCCTCCTGAGTAGCTGGGAGTACAGGCGCCCACCACCATGCTCAGCTAATTTTTGTTTTTTTAGTAGAAATGGGGTTTCACCATGTTAGCCAGGCTGGTCTCGAAGCCCTGACCTCAAATGATCTGCCCTCCTCGGCCTCCCAAAGTGCTGGGATTACAGGCATGAGCCACTGCACCCGGCCTGAATTTTCTGAAACAGTTTAAATAAGAGAGGGATATCTGTTCCTTGAATAATTTGGCAAAAATCACCCATAAAATTACCTAGGCCTATAGTTTCCCAGTATGTTGGAAAGTTGTTGCTTTTTTAAAATAAACTTTTAGTTCTGGAATAATTTTAGACTTACAAAAAAGTTTCAAAGATGGTGAACAGAGTTTCCCTATATCTGTCATCTAGTTTCCCCTCAAGTTAATATATGAATATATAACCATGGTATATTTGTCTAAATAAGAAATTAACATTGATATATTACTATTAACTAAACTCCAGTCTTTGTTTGGATTTCACCACCACCATTAGTTTTCCCACTAATGTCCTTTCTCCGTTCCAACATCCAGTGTGGACTACCACAATGTATTTAGGGAGGGTTGATTTATATGTTTACTTAACAGTCTTGGTTGATTGTTATAGTAACAGCCTCCCTACCCCCATCCCTGTCTCTATCCCTGTATCCTTACCTATGTATAATCCCTCCCACATTGATTCAGTGATTTGCTTTGGCCAAGATTTGTTATAATTTGGCCAATGAGACATTAGCAAGTGTGATACAAGCAGAGGCTTGAAAAACACTTGTGCACTGGGGCTTGCTGTATTTTGCTGCTTGCTGGGAATCCTTCTGCTAACACAAGAAGTCTGGAATAACCTGACGGAGACATGTGACTCAGCTGACAGCCAGCACCAACTGCTAGACACGTGAGGGAGGGCATCCTGGATTGTCCAGAGCCAGAAGAGCTGCCAGATGGTGGTCACTGCCAGAGTGTCCCTAGGTAAGACCAGCAGAAGAACTGTCCAGATGTGCCTGGCCTGAACTGCTAACCACAGAATCATGAGCAAATAAAATGATTGTTGTCTAATTTTTATTTATTTACTTACTTATCTATTTATTTTTAGAGACATGGTCTTTCTCTGTCACCAGACTGAAGTGCAGTAGCACAATTAGAGCTCACTGCAGCCTCAAACCCCCAGACTCAAGCGATTCCCCCTCCTCAGCCTCCCCAGTAGCTGAGACTACAGGCGCATACCACCTGTACTAATTTTTTTTTTTTTTTTTTTTTTTTTAGAGACAGGTTCTCCCTATGTTGCCCAGGCTGGTCACAAACTCCTGGGCTCAAGTGATCCTCCTGCCTCAGCTTCTCAAAGTGCTGGGATTACAGGCAAGAGCCACTGTGTCCAGTCCATGAATTTTTCATATAGACAATCATGGCATCTTGAATATAAAATTGCAATTTTTTTCTTCCACTGTAATTTTGGGCAAGTGATTCTCCTGCCTCAACTTCCCAAAGTGCTGAGATTACAGGCGTGAGCCATCATACCCAGCTGACTGATTATTGTTTTTTTGTTTTTTGGGGTTTTTTTTTGAGAGAGAGAGAGTCTTATTCTGTCACCCAGGCTGGAGTGCAGTAGTGCAATCTTGGCTCACTGCAACCTCCGCCTCCTGGTGCAAGCAATTTTCATGTCTCAACCTCCCGAGTAGCTGGGATTACAGGCATTTGCCACTGCACCTGGCTAATTTTTGTATTTTAGTAGAGATGGGGTTTCACCATGTTGGCCAGGCTGGTCTCGAACTCCTGACCTCAGATGATCTGCCCACCTCGGCCTCCCAAAGTGCTGGGATTACAAGTGTGAGCCGCTGGGCCTGGTCTGATTATTGTTTTAAGATACTATGTTTTGGGGGTGATTTGTTACTAAGCAATAGATAACTGATACAAGGGATATAGAACTAACATAAAACTATTCAATTTTTCTGTAACTTCTTTTTTTTTTTTCCTTTTTTGAGCTAAGGTCTGGCTCTATCACCCAGGCTAGAGTACAATGGTGTGATCTCAGCTCACTGTGACCTCTGCTCCCTGGGCTCAAGTGATCCTCCCACCTCAGCCTCCCAAGTAGCTGGGACCCACAGGCGTGCACCACCATGCCCAGCTATTTTTTTGTATTTTTAGTAGAGATGGGGTCTTGCCATATTGCCCAGGTTGGTCTTGAACTTGTGAGCTCAAGCAATCTGCCTGACTCAGCCTTCCAAAGTGCTGGGATTATAGGCATGAGCCACCATGCCCGGCCTTAGTTTCCTTTTTTATTTCCTTTTTTACTACTTTCTTCAGGCTATCCTGTTACTCTTTTTCTAATTCTTGAACTGGATACTCACCTTATTAATTTTTAGTCTTTTTCTTTCTCTAATGTATTCTTTAAAGGATATAAATTTCTCTCTAATCATTGTTCTAGCTGATTCCAAAAAAAATTTATATGATGTTTTAATGATCTTCACTTCCAAATGTTTTGTAATTTTCTCTGTGGTTTCCTCTTTTCCCTATGAATTATTTAGACACACATCCAAATATAATGGGATTATTTTGGCTATCTCTTTGGTTTTAATTTTAATTTTTTTTTTTTTTTTTTTTTTGAGACAGAGTCTCACTCTACCATTCAGGCTGGAGTGCAGTGGCACATCTTGGCTCACTGCAACCTCTGCCTCCTGGGTTCAAGTAATTCTCCTGCTTCAGCCTCCCGAGTAGCTGGGACTACAAGCGTGCGCCACCACACCCAGCCAATTTTTGTATTTTTCGTAGAGACAGGGTTTTGCAATATTGGCCAGGCTGGTCTCAAACTCCTGGCCTCAAGTTATCCACCTGTCTCAGCCTCTCAAAATGCTGGAATTATAGACATGAGCCACTGTGCCCTGCCTCTTTGGTTTTAACTTCTAGTTTTATTTCATTAAGATGAGATAATATAGTCAGTATGATAGCTATTCTTTGATATTTGTTAAAATTTGCTTTATGAATTAGTTCAGGGGTCATCAAACTTACTTTTTCTGTAAAGGGCCAGATAGTAAATTTTTTTTTTTTTTTTTTTTTTGAGACGGGGTTTCACTCTTTTGCCCAGGCTGGAGTGCAGTGGTGCCATCTTGGCTCACTGCAACCTCTGCCTTCTGGTTTCAAGTGATTCTCCTGCTTCAGCCTCCCGAGTAGCTGGGATTACAGGCCCCCGCCACCACGCCTGGCTAATTTCATATTTTTAGTAGAGATGGGGGGTCTCACCATGTTGGGCAGGCTGGTCTCGAACTCCTGACCTCATGATCCACTTGCCTCAGCTTCCCAAAGTGCTGGGATTACAGGTGTGAGCCACCGCGCCTGGTCGATAGTAAATATTTTTATCTACTTATTTTTTTGAGACGGAGTCTCGCTCTGTTGCCCAGGCTGGAGAGTGCTGGCTAATTTTTGTATTTTTAGTAGAGATGGGGTTTCACCATACTGACCAGGCTGGTCTCAAACTCCTGACCTTGCGATCCACCCACCTCAGCCTCCCAAAGTGCTGAGATTACAGGCATGAGCCACCATGCCCGGCCGATAGTAAATATTTTTGACGTTTTACAGTCTCTGTTGTAACTATTCAACTCTGGTAGTAAGGTGTGAATGCAGCTATAGACAATATATAACAAATGAGCATGTCTGTGTTTATTTTGTTTTGTTTTTGTTTTATTCTAGCCTGAAAATCACTGTCTTTTAAATAGTCTACTCCATTTACTTTTACTGTAATTTCTAACATAATTTATACCTGCTACATGTGTTAGTATATTGGTTAGCTGCTTTTGCAGTGAAATCAAATTAAAAGTGGCTTAAACAAGATGAAATTTTTAACTCTTACATAAAAGTCCTGGCTAGTGTGATAGCTCTTCTCCACAAAATTATCGGGGGCCCAGTCTCTTCCTTTCTTATTGCTCTGTCATCTTCAATACACAGCTTCCATCTTTTGGTGTGAGATAGATGATGTAGCTCCTGTTATTACACCTGAATTCCAACCAATTAGAAGAGGAAAAGGAGAAAGAGAAGGGAATAGAAGAGAATTTCCCCGTTTAATGGCAACACAGAAATTGCAATGTCACTTCTGGTCACATACCACTGGCCAAATCTATCTGTAAGAGAGGCTGAGGGATGTATAATAGATTTTAAATCTGCTTGGCAAAAAATATCCATTCCCCTGCTAGAAAGGGAGAACAGATATCTAGGGTTAAGTAATAAATTTTGCCACATCTGCCATTCTAGTTTGTATTTTTTGTTTATAATGTGTTTTCTTTGCTTCTTTTTCCCCCTCTTTTCCTGCTTTTGATTGTTTTGATCAAAAGTTCTTTTTTTTTTTTTTTGAGACGGAGTTTGTTGTTACCCGGGCTGGAGTGCAATGGCACAATTTCAGCTCACTGCAACCTCTGCCTTCTGGGTTCAAGCGATTCTCCTACCTCAGCCTCCCGAGGAGCTGGGATTACAGGCATATGCCACCATGCCTGGCTAATTTTGTATTTTTAGTAGAGACAGGGTTTCTCCATGTTGGTCAGGCTGGTCTTGAACTCTTGACCTCAGGTGACATGCCCACCTCGGCCTCCCAAAGTGCTGGGATTACAGGTGTGAGCCACCGCTCCCAGTCAGATCAAATGTTCTTATCTTTATTTTCCCTAGCAGGTTAGAAGTTACATATTCTAAAAAAAAAAAAAAAAAAAAAAAGTTATATATTCTGTTTTTTATACTTTTAGTAGTTGTCTTTACATTTTTAACTTATAGAATTGTCTTAATAAAGTCCAAATATGAAATATTAATGCTACCTCAGAGGCAGATCCAGGTTTTATGGGATCTGAAGCTTATTCAATTTGGAAGCTCTCTTTTTTAAAAAAAGAAGAAGGAGGAGGAGAAGGAGAAGGGGAGGCGGTGAGGGGGAGGGGGAGGGCGAGGGAGGAGAGGGGGAGGGAGAGGGAGAGGGAGAAGGAGAGGGAGAAGGAGAAGGAGACAGAAATTACTCTTGCAGCTTATACTTCCCTAGCTTCATGATCAGTTCACTTTCTGTTACACTCTCTTCCAAAACAACAAAAGAACCTTAGAATGCTTCACTTCAGTTGGGCATGATACCTCAGGCCTGTAATCCCAGCACTTTGGGAGGCCAAGGAAGGCGGATCACTTGAGGTCAGGAGTTCAAGACCAGCCTGGCCAACATGGTGAAACCCTGTCTCTACTGAAAATAAAAAAATTAGCCGGTCATGGTGGTGTGAGCCTGTAATACCAGCTACGTGGGAGGCTGAGGCAGGAGAGTCACTTGGACCTGGGAGGTGGAGGTTGCAGTAAGCAGAGATCGCACCACTGCACACCAGCCTGGGCGACAGAGGGAGACTACATCTCAAAAAAAAATACAAAACAAAAACAGAATGCTTCACTTCAATTACTCTACTCCATCTTCTTAATTATTGTTACCTATCAGTTTATTTTTTTTTCTCATTTTAAACCCTCCCAATTAGTTGCTATCATTGTTGTTGTTTTATACACAAGGATTATGAGATTTACCCAACATATATTCTTTTTCCCCTTAGTATTGTGTCTTCCGTTCCACTCCTATCAGTTTTTTTTTTCTTTTTGAGGAATACTCTTCAGCAATTTTTTCAATGAGGGGATGTATGTGAAAATGTTTCTCAGTGCTTTTTTTTTTTTTGTCTGAAACGTCATTATTTTGCACTCATTCTTGAACAACACGTATTTTAGTTTAGAATTTGGGGAAAACAATTATTTTCCCTCAGCCCTTTGAAGATATTATTCAGATCTCTTTTGTTGCTAATGAGAAGGCTGTTTACTTATGATTTCTTTGTAGGTAATTTTTCTTTTTTCTGTGGTTTCTTTTAGGATTTTCTCATTGTCTTTGGTGTCAAGAAGTTTCACTACAACGTGGCTAGGTATAAAGTGATTTATATTTTCTCTGTTCGGAAACCACTGTGCCTCTTCAGCCTGAGGAGTCACAGACCCAACAGTTCTGGAAAATTATTAGCTGTCAGCTCTTTGCATATTGCTTCTTCCCCATTCTCTCCATTGTCTTCTGCCGAAATTAATAGTAGAGGTGTTTCTTCCACTTACTCTATCCTCTGTGCATCTTGGTCTTCTTTTCTCATTTCTTTTCAGTGTTTTAAAAATCTCTAAGCTGAATCAGTACACTTATCTAAAGTGAATTTAGAACAGAAAAAAACTTCTCTGGGAGGTGACTGTGTGTGTGTGTGTGTGTGTGTGTGTGTGTGTGTGTGTGTGTGTTCACGTGCGCCTTTTAGTAAAAGCAAAGTTTACTTAGTAGCAGTCCTCTCTGGGAGTCCCAGCAAGACTCCCACCCACACAGCCACCCCCCATGTTTTACTGTGCTTTCAGAAGAAAAAAAATGAATGTTAAAGAAATCAGAAGCACAAAATGAATTACAGTAATAATCTGCCAAATTAGAAACAAAAACTTCAAAGGATCACCAGAGCTGACTAGAGATAAGGGAAATTTTTTTAGTGTTCTCTAAACCTTATGGTGCAGGATGGAGGGGCCCATTTCAATGGGCTATAGTCCCAACCCTCTGAATAAATCCTGGGAGAACATAGTTCTCAATACTTCTCCACCAGCCATCACCTAATAATTCAGGAGTGTTCTTAATCAGAGGAACATATGAAGGTGGAGCAGGGCAGGAGGAAGGAATGATGATCCCCTCAGAGGTGAGGGGTCTCTCCCATAGCCAGCTGATCACCACCTATTAGGAAGGAAGCTGAATGTCTGACAAGTCCTGGAAGCTTCCTCTACCACCCAGGCCTCCTGAATGGCATCGAAGAAAGGTTGAATCATCAGACCCGGAGCCTCTAGGAGACCACACTATGGCCTTTGGGGAGTGAGGGGGTCTCACTCCTGCTTCTCAGCGTTTCTCTTTATTTCTCTACCTTTGAGGGTTCGGGTTGGGTTAGGGCTGGTTTGCATGCTGATGGATGTGTCAAAAGTGTTTGAACCAGAGCAACTCCATCTTGAGTAAAATGAGGCTGAGACCTACTGGGTTGCATTGCCAGATGATTAAGGCATTCTAAGTCACAGGATGAGATAGGAGGTCGGGACAAGATACAGGTCATTGAGACCTTGCTGATAAAACAGATTGCAGCAAAGAAGCTGGCCAAAACCCACCACAACCAAGATGGCGACAAGAGTGACCTATCTTCATCCTTACTGCTACACTCTCACCAGCACCCTGACAGTTTACAAATACCATGGCAACATCAGAAAGTTACCCTATACGGTCTAAAAAGGGGAGGCATGAATAATCCACCCCTTGTTTAGCATGTGATAAAAAAAAAACAGCCATACAAATGGGCAACCAGCAGCCCTCTGCTCTGTCTGTGAAGTAGCCATTCTTTTATTCCTTTACTTTCTTATTTTTTTTGGAGGTGGAGCCTCGCTCTGTTGCCCAGGCTGGAGTGCAATGGCGTGATCTCGGCTCACTGCAACCTTTGCTTCCCAGTTTCAAGCGATTCTCCTGCCTCAGCCTCCCGAGTAGCTGGGATTATAGGTGCCTCCCAGCATGCTCGGTTAATTTTTTTTATTTTTGGTAGAGATGGGGTTTCATCCTATCTAGTCACCCTAGTCCAAGAGCTAGGCTGCTGTCCGTGATCTGCCCATCTCGGCCTCCCAAAGCGCTGGGATTACAGGCTTGAGCCACCACGCCTGGCTGAACTAAGGTTTTATCTAAACAACATTTATTTTTAAATACATGATTATGGCGTAGAGTATTAAACATTTCAGAAACGCCTAAGATAATCACAGTCATCCTTTAATCCCAGCACCCAGAGAGAACCACTACTAAGAATGTGTTGTCTTATTTCCTTCCAGTCTTTTTTCCATACAGGCTTATATAGTTATTGGTTAACAATGTCAAGAGCAATTTTTTTTGTTCATAGTAAATATTCTATGTCATCATTACTCATGATTTGAAGTCTCGGATTTTCCCCAATGCTGTCTGGCCGGTGGTAAACTATTAGTTTATTAGTGAATATAATAATCTCTACTGCTGAATATTCCCACGGTTTCCCAGTTCTAAGCAATGCTCCAATGCGTCATAGCACATACCTTTTTGCACGTATCTGCGATTATTTTCTAGGCAGCAAGGAGGTGCTGGATCAGAGGTCTGCACAGTTTTAAAGAACTTGTACAAATTTATTGCCAAAATGGCTCGTAGGATTTTCACAGGAAACCGGTCCAAGCGTCACCATCCCCAGCCGCTTCCCAGGGGCGTAAACCCCGCCCAGCAGAGGAACCTAGGGGTGGGGGCTCTGACGTCCCACCCTGAGTCCCGAGGGGTGACCAATCTTTCAGGCAGTGTTAGGGGTTAACCCAACACACCTCGACCCCGCGACCCCGGAGGCGGATTCCCCCGAGGGGATCCTCGGCCCAGCCTTCCTGGGGGATGAATTTACAAAGAGTTCCCAGCGGGTGCCACCCTCCCCTTCCCTTGGAAGGCGCTCAGCCACTGCCAAGGTGCGGACGCAGCGGGGGCGGCGCCGTGCGGGAGGGGGCAGCCAGCGCGGCCACTTCAAAGCGCCGCGTGTAGGGCGGCAGGGGAAGGGCTGGACTTGGAGGCCCACAAAGGGACTCGCCCCTTCCCCCCAACCCTGGGCCCAGCCGCGCCAGCTGTGCAGGTGGCGACATCCTCCTCGCCCAGCCTCGGGGGAGCGCCCTTCTCCACGCCTCCAACCCACCCTGTCATTCCCACCTAGAGACCCTCAGCCTCAGGGCTCTCAGCCTCCGGCACTTTTGGCTGCGTGTGGTAAATGCAGATGACCAGCTTCACCCAGACCAAAAGTAACACCTTAAGCTTTTCCACCACGCAGAATTCCCCTTAGCCTTGACTTTCGTTTTTTGGGTGAGGGGTGAGTGTCTTGAAAGAAATGAGAAGTTAAGTTTTGAGTCTGAAAGAATTAAAATTCTCTGCCCCCACCCCCACCCAGTTCCAGTATTAGTGCGGAGTTGGAGGGTGGCTGTGGGTTGAGGGGTGGGGTGCTGGATCCTGGACACAGCATGGCCTTGCCCTTAGCCCTTGTGGGCGGACCTGGGGTCTGCGAAATGCTGACATAATGGTCACAGATCCACTCCACCCCTCCTGCTTGGGAAGGGAGAAGCCAGTCTCCCCTCTCTGTACATGCTCCTCTGTGGTGGGCCTGTCCCAGGGTAACCCCTGGATAGGAGGCTGGAGTTTACCCCCAGGGCTCCTTTGGCATCTGAGGTTGTGTGGAAGTTGTTTCTGGTAGTGGAATCCAGTCCCCCACAGCAGCAGCGATGCAAAGGGGTTCTCAAGTAGCTGAGCAGCTCGCCCTAGGGTCCAGCCCACCGATTCCAGGGAATGCAAAGGCTAGTCCATCTTGCAGACACCTTCTAAGAACTTCATCTCATTATTTACTCAACAGGGACTGTTAGGCACCTACTATATATTAGATGTTGGGCTTACAACCATGAACAATAACCAGTCAAGAGAGACAGGACTTTATACGTTACCCAACCAGAGAGAGAGGGTACCCCAAATATTACTGCCCAGGATTAAAACTGGAGCCAGACTCTGTCCCACTGAAGGGGCAGGACCTGCTGCAGCTCTCAGGAGCTCCAAAGGAGCTTCCATCCATCTCACAGGATTTGTGGTCACTTTGTGGTAGGTAACAGAGCCTCCTTCCCACCTCCCTTCGCTACCTGCAACAAACAGAGGAACCTGCAGTTGACGGGAATCCTCTTTCTCATGATCAAGGTGGCTGATGTTCATGGACAGCACACTGGGGGGAAAGGACCAGGAGTTCTGTGAACTGCAGGGTGACACAGCTCTGCTCTGGGCAGAAACACCGGACAAATGCCCATTGGGTCTGACCATCAGCCTGCAACTGGACCATCCTCAGGTGCAGAAGTGTCCAAGCCACCAAGTAAGCCCAGGAAGGGCAGTAAGTCTTTCTGGATGGTCTTTAGTTCCAAGGGTCCCAGCTCCAGGTTCCTCCTACCTCTGCCCCAGTGATGGTCTCCTCCAACCCCATTGTGACCTCCTGCAGTCCAGCTGGGAACAAAGAGAACATCAGGGTCTTGAAACCTCAAGACTTTTAGAAGACCTTCTCTGGGGATGTGGTCTCCCGTTGTTTCTGTTATGAAAACCCCAGAGCACTTCCCAATCATGTTGTGTAAACAGCTCGCTGCCAGCCTCAGAACCCTTCATTTAGCTCCAAAGGGAAGAATGGGGTGAGTCGCTCACTGCACGGGGGTGGGCGGTTGGATGCCAAGAAAAGGACAGTCCTGCAGGCTATGTCAAGAGTCAAGAGGTCCTAGGCTTTTAGGCCTAGCTGGAACATCTGACCCGGCAGCCCTGTTAGCCAGACCTCTGGACCCATCACCAGTGCCCTGAAGCCCCTGCCTCCCAAAGGGATGCCAGGTAGGGCACCTACCTCTTAGTAGAGGGAGGGGCCCAAGATTAATTCTCCTTGAATATTGTCTTCCTAGGATGATGTGACTCTTCAAGTAAGTAGAGGCTGAGCAGCTAACACCCTGAGGCAGCAATTCCCAAAGTCCTTAAACCAGGGGCATCGCATGGGAACTTGCTAGAAATGCAAATTCTCAGGCCTCATCCCAGTCCTCCTGAATCAGAAATTCCAGGGGTCTGGCCCGCCAATGTATAGCTTAAAAACCTCTCCAGGTAGTTTCCATACCCAACAAAGTTTGAGCATCACTGCTGTGGGTTGAGGAAGACATATTATTTTACCCTTTACTTGAATACCTCCTCTGATGCAGACCTCATCGCCAAACAAAACAGCCATCCTTGAGTTGAGCTAAGCTGAGTCACACACAAGGATGTTTGCTACAGTGTTGCTTGTCATGGTGACAATCTGGAAACAATGTGAATGTTCATCAGAGAGAGGATGGCAAATAACCCATGGAATACACACTGGAGAATACTAAGCAGTCATTTAAAAAGAAGGAAGTAGGTTTATATACATTGATGTGCAAAGATCTCCAACATGTACCAGTAGCTGAAAAAGGAAGCTGCTGAATAATACATATAACTCAGACTTGTGTGTGTGTGTGTGTGTATATCCCAAACAAAATTATTTTTGTATCTACATACTTAACAATGAAAATGCATTTAAAAAAGACTGGAAGAAGACACATCCAACCAATAACCCTAAGTGGGGGACAGAGATGGGAGAACTCTAGCTTTAAAAATGTTATGTTTTTTCCCATTATTTGTATTATATATGTCACTGAAAGTCAGCCTAAGAATGAATAAAAGCTGGCTGGGCGCAGTGGCTCACACCTGTAATCCCAGCACTTTGGGAGGCTGAGGCGGGCAGATCATGAGGTCAGGAGATTGAGACCAGCCTGGCTAACATGGTGAAACCCCATCGCTCCTAAAAATGCAAAAAATTACTTGGGCGTGGTGGCAGGCACCTGTAGTCCCAGCTACTCGAGAGGCTGAGGCAGGAGAATGGCATGAACCCGGGAGGCAGAGCTCGCAGTGAGCCAAGATCCTGCCATTACACTGGGCCACAGAGCCAGACTCCATCTCAAAATAAATAAATAAATAAATAAATAAATAAATAAATAAATAAATAAATAAAAGCTTTGAAATGACATCTACTTTGAAAAAGGACATTAAACTTGGGAGCAAACATGCTAGCATGGGGGTGTTCTGTGACCTCATGTCAGACACAGAGCCTGGGTGGGAGTTGGGCCCCAGGGAACTGACCCTGACTTACCAATGCGAGATCACCCCGAGAAGAGGGAAGAGGGGCTCACAGTGTAAGTCCAGGGCAGAGGTTTGGTTGCCAGGTAGCAGCTTACAGGCCACCAGTCAGGCCTGGTCAACCAACCTATGAGGTACCCGTGGCAGCCTCACCCTTCCCAGGCCTCTTCTCCTCCAGGTTTAGCCCACCCAGCCCCAGTCACTCAGTGGTGGGAGGACCACTGGCTTCCCTTTCCCAATAGCACTTAGAGTTTTAAAAAGAAACCTGAAGAACAATGCTTACCCTGCCCTATATGGGATCATGTACTGATGCAGGGAACTCCAAGCAGATGAAGGGAGATTTGGTATTGATGGTCCTCACATGTGCCATGAAGACATCCACCACCAAAGGCTCCTTTGCCAGGAAAACCTAGACAGAGCAAATGGCACAGTCATGGATGCCACACTGACTGCCCCAGACTCCAGACCTGGGTCCTAGCCCTCCTCTCTACTCATAACTTTGCTCAGTGGTACAGCTCGTCCAGCCATTTGGACTCTCAGCAGGCCACAGAGCTTTTTCATACACTATGCACACAGTCTGGATACACTATTCACACTATGATTTGCACACAATTCACATGCTATTCATACTACCATCGCTGCTACTATTCACAGTACTGGCCACATACTAGTTACACTCCTATGCACATGCTATTTATATACCATTTGCACACAGTTCACACTACCATTCACACTTCTATTTGCACTGTTTGCACACTATTCATGCTATTACTATTCATACGATTCACACTGCTATCTGCATGCTATTCACACTGCCATTCACACTATTCACACTGCAATTCACAGTGCTATCCACACTGCTTTTCCCACTACTTTCACACTGCTATTTACAATACTATCCACACACTAGTCACACTCCTGTTAGCACACTACTCACACTACTATTCAGACTACTATTCACACACTATTTACACTGCTATTCACATGGTTATTGACACTATGTTCACAATACTTTCATACTGTTATTCACACTACTATTCATACACTACTCACTACTATTCACACACTATACACGATACTGGTTTTTTGTTTGTTTGTTTGTTTTTTGTTTTTTGTTTTTGAGACAGAGTCTCGCTCTGTTGCCCAGGCTCGAGTGCAGTGGCGCAATCTCGGCTCACTGCAACCTCCACCTCCCGGGTTCAAGTGATTCTCCTGCCTCAGCCTCCCGAGTAGCTGGGGCTACAGGCGCGTGCCACCAGGCCCGGCTAATTTTTTGTATTATTTTAGTAGAGACGGGGTTTCACCATGTTAGCCAGGATGGTCTCGATCTCCTGACCTGGTGATTCGCCCGCCTCAGCCTCCCAAAGTGCTGGGATTACACGCGTGAGCCACCGTGCCCGGCCCTTGCTACCATTTTCATACTATTCACAATACTCTTCACAACACTACTTATGCACTACTGAGCTTGCAACACTCTCTCTCAAACCCTCTCATGGTTTTTTTGTTTTTTTGTTTTTGAGATGGAGTCTCCCTCTGTCACCCAGGCTGGAGTGCAATGGCATGATCTTGCTAACTGCAACCTCTGCCTCCCGGGTTCAAGCAATTCTCCTGCCTCAGCCTCCCAAGTATCTGGGATTATAGGCACATGCCACCATGTCTGGCTAATTTTGTATTTTTAGTAGAGACAGGATTGCACCACGTTGGTCAGGCTGGTCTTGAACTCCTGACCTTAGGTGATCCACCTGCCTCGGCCTCCCAAAGTGCTGGGATTACAGGCATGAGCCACCATGCCCAGCCCTCTCTCACCTTGATAACTCCTATGCACCCTTCAGATCTCTGCTGGATCCTCACATCGTGTGGAGGCCTTCCTGAGTCCCCCAGACTCACAGGTCACTTTCTGCAAGGTCAGCCTTCACTGTCACCTCAGACATTTCCTTTGTTGCCATATGTGTTTCGGTGTGTCTAAAGTTTGTGCATGTCTGTCTCCTGATCTGCCCTCCCAGACCCTGAGTCCTGTACTGGCAAGGCTAAGTCTGTTTAGCTCACTGCTCTCGCCCGAGCACCCAGCACAGCCCAGTACCCAGTGGATTCAGGTCCCAGGAAGATCTGTGGTGTGTGCAAGGGACTCCATACCCAGGCAGGCTCATCCTTGGCTGACAGTTCTTATACCATACAGCCTTCAAAGGGCTCAAGACACGGCCCTCCTCCCAGTGGCTGTGTGCATCTAGTTGTAAGGCAAGGGGCTGGATCAGATAGAATATCATACCATCCAAAGACTCCAGAGGCCTTAGGTACAGGAGGCTGAAGAGGCAGGAGAGACAACCATCTGGCTCTCTGGGAGCTGATCAGGTTATTTTAAACATGTACAGTTTGCCTGTTCTTCACCTGATGTGGGCCTCTGTGGGTACCTAACAGGAGATCCGGAGGCAGGTCTAATTTAATGATCAGATAATAATTATTACTAATTAGCACTATCCTTGTAAATAAGCAATTTAAGTATTTCTTCATTTAAGAAGTCCAAGCACGGTAGCTCACCGCTGTAATCTCAGCACTTTGGGAGGCCGAGGCGGCCAGATCACTTGAGGCCAGGAGTTCGAGACCAGTCTGACCAACATGGCGAAACCGTCTCTATTAAAAATACAAAAATTAGCCAGGCGTGGTGGCGTGCACCTGTAATCCCAGCTACTTGGGAGGCTGAGGCACAGGAATTGCTTGAACTCAGGAGGTGGAGGCTGCAGTGAGCTGAGATTGCATCGCTGCACTCCAGGCTGGGTAACAGAGCAAGACTCCATCTCAAAAAAAAAAAAAAAAAAAGGGATTAAACATTCACCCTTAAACCTCTTTACTCTCCCAATTGCCTACCAAAGCCTTTGTTCCCTGGCACAGGAAAAAAAACTTCAGCTCAGCCTGGTCTGAAAATCCATTCAGCAAACTCTTACTGAGCACCTACCATGTGCCAGATGCAGCCTCTACCCTCATGGAGCCTACTCCTCAGGAGAGAGGGATCTATGAACTGTTCTCATGTGCATGGGATCTGACCTTCCCAAACTGTGACTTGTACAATTCCCATCACGCTGGCATGCCCCATAAACCATCATGATCGGAACTAATGTGTGTCCAACTCTGTTTAAGAGCTTAATGCATACTCGCTCATTTAATCATCACCATAACCCTATGAGGCAGGTACTTTCCATTGTACAGAATGAGAAAACTGAGGCACAGAGAAGAGCTAGGCCTCCCTTTTGCCCCCCAAGCATCTACCCAGCCTGGGGCAGGGAAGGCATTTCTCTAGGAGTCCAATAATATGTTCTTCAGAGCTCCACAAAAATGGAATGTGGGTTGCCTGAGTGTTTCAGCCTTGGCCACAGGTCAGCTCTCCTACTAAAGCCAGAGAAGGATATGAAAGGTATTCCATGTTCAGAGCAATTCCCTGAAAAAAGACCCTTCCCTTTGGGCCTGCCCACTAATTATCAATGCCACAGGACTTTTTCCTTATTAAAGCAAGCCGCATCAGGGAGCCTGGGAGGCAGGGGAGAGGTGGAGTCTGTCACATGCTACAAACTGCTTCCAGGCCCAGTCTGATCCCTTGAGGTTATGAAAGGCACAGAGAGGTGGCCATCTAGCACACACTGCCCAACACCTGCTCTATGCCAGACCGTCCTTGACTGAGCAGGGCTGGGCTGGGCTGGCCTGCAGACACAGAGCCAAATTGGACCCCTGCCCTCAAAGAGGCTAGAGATGCCCGTGGGAGGTGCATGCAAAACTGAGCTGCACACACAGACAGAGGAGGGAGACCCACTCCAGCTGTGGTCAGGAAAGGTGAAGTGGGTGGGGCAGGACAGGGGGGAGGCGAGGGATTCGGCTGAAAGTTGAGAGTTGGTGCACTGTGCGGTCCAGGGGCAGGCAGCAGCTGGGAGCAGGTGCCTATTCAGAGCACTACACAAGGCCCAGGAGGACAGGAAGACTTGGGGCTTGTTTAGGGACCCGCCACCGCAAGGCACCTGGGTGTTCACAGAATGAGCAAAGAGAGCACACTGGGGAGCAAGGATGAGTTCTGACAGATGGAAGGCCACCCTGAGCCCAGTAGGGCCTTTACATTTGCCACATAGCAGGTGTGCAAGATAGTAAGTAAGAAGGTCCATTTGTGATGTCGTCCCTCAAGCATCTTTTTTTTTTTTTTTTTTTTGAGACAGAGTTTTGCTCTTGTCGCCCAGGCTGGAGTGCAATGGCACGATCTTGGCTCACTGAGACCTCCACCTCCTGGGTTCAAGCAATTCTCCTGCCTCAGCCTCCCAAGTAGCTGGGATTACAGGTGCCCACCACCACACCCAGTTAGTTTTTGTATTTTTAGTAGAGATGGGGTTTCACCATGTTGGCCAGGCTGCTCTCAAACTCCTGACCTCAGATGATTTGCCCACCTCAGCCTCCCAAAGTGCTGGGATTACAGGCGTGAGCCACTGTGCCCGGTCTATTTTTTTTGACCCCCCTCCTTTTTTTTTTTCTTTTTTTGAGATAGGGTTTCACTCTGTGGCCCAGGCTGGAGTGCAGTGGTGCCATCTTGGCTCACTGCAGCCTCTGCCTCCCAGGCTCAACTGATTCTCCTCCCTCAGCCTCCAGAGTAGCCAGGATTACAGACACACACATGCCACCATGCCCGGTTAATTTTGTTAATCTTTTTGTAGAGTCCAGGTCTCACTATGTTGCCCAGGCTGATCTCCAACTCCTGTGCTCAAGGGATCCTCCTGCCTCAGCCTCCCGCAGTGCTGGGATTACAGGTATGAGCCACCACGCCTGGCCCCCTCAAGCATCTAGGACAGATGCTCTGGCCACTGTGTGGCCCATACGTGGAATGGGACCAGGCGACACAGTGAGGAGAGAGTGGCATCACCGTCTGATGGGGACCAGGGGTCTGGACTAAAACCATCACAGAGAGCAGAGGGAGGAGCGGGAGGATTTGGGAAACACTGAGGGAGAAGCATAGATGGACTTAGTCTCCACTCGGGGTGGAGAATGAGGGAACAAAAAAGCCTGGGAGGTGCCTTCAGGGTGTCTGGCTCAAGGGAGCAGGTGGAGGTGATATTTGCTGAGCCAGGAATCTGGGAGAAGTGGCATTTGTTTTGGGACAAGTTGCATTTCAATCTAAATTAGTTGGAGACCTACCATGTGCCCAGCCAGATCCTCCCTTTGTTTGCAAAGCCTTAGATTGCTAGATCATTTCCAAGGCCTGGCAGCACAAAGCCCCAGGCCTTCCCAGGTGAGTTGCTGCCCCAGGCCTTCCCAGGTGAGTTGCTTTTGGCGGAGGCATCTGCTGGTGGGGCCTCAAGGGCCACTGATACCCTAACTTTCACCCCAAGAAACCCACTCCATGAGGGAGCTCAGAGGCCAGAACAGAGAATACAGGTTGTTGTTGACATAAGAGGAAAAACCAGGCTTCCTGTTTGAACTTATGCAGGTACTGGAAGCTCTGAGTAATGCTGAATCTTGTCTTGCCCCAAAGGCGGCCTGCGGTGGGGGCTTCTCACAATTGCTCTCAAGAGTGGCTTTCAAGCATTTGCTTACAGGGGACGTGAGGCCCGGCCAGTGGGTGCTGCATAGAAAAACACTGCATCCATGTAGAGAGGCCACAAGATGTGTGACATCAAAGCCGGCTGAGCATTGGCCTCTCTCAGGCCACTCACTGTGGTCATTTGCCCTCGATAAGAACCCATCGTCAGACACGAAGGATTTCTCACATGTCCGGTGGCCACTTTCACAGTCCCTGGTGGCCTTTACTCCCACAAAACAGACTATTTCTAGGCCCTTGGACACTGGGATTGTCTCCTTTTGCCCGGCCTGGGGTCGAGCCAGTGAGAGATGCCAGGGCCCAGGACTCACTCTGGGCCAGAAAAGCTGGCCTGCATTGCGTGAACTCCCTGTGGGACCTGGGGCAGAGCCCTTGGTCTCTCCCAGCCCCAGACCCCTGTCTGTAATGGGACCTTGCAGTGAAACAAAAACTGCAAGCCTCCACGGAGGTACAGTACCACGGGCAGGTTAAGTCACGGAGGTACAGTACCACGGGCAGGTTAAGTCACCGAGGTACCATACCGTGAGCAGGTTAAGTCGCGGAGGTACAGTATCATGGGCAGGTTAAGTGTTGGGGCACCAACAACATGAGTTGACATTTATTGTGCTCTTACCACCCACCAGACTGGGCTAGTGCTGTATCTCATTTAAGTCTCACAACAATATTCCTGGACATGGTTCTATTCTAAAACAAACATTTGTTCATATTTTTCAACTTTATTGAGGTATAATCGAAGTCTACTGAGCTATACATATTTAAAGTGTATAACTGACAAGAGGTTTTTTCTCTAGATATTAATTTTAATTATTTTAAGACTACATAAATTTTTTATTTTATTTATTTATTTATTTTGAGACAGAGTATTACTCTTGCCCAGGCTAGAGGGCAATGGCGCAATCTCGGTTCACTGCAACCTCCACCTCCCAGGCTCAAGCGATCCTCCCACCTTAGCTCCCAAGTAGCTTGGATTACAGGTGTGAGCCACTATGCCTAACTTTTTTTTTTTTTTTGAGACGGAGTTTTGCTCTTGTTGCCCAGGCTGGAGTGCAATGGCGCGATCTCAGCTTACTGCAACCTCTGCCTCCCAGGTTCAAGTGATTCTCCTGCCTCAGCCTCCCAAGTAGCTGGAATTACAGGCATGCGCCACCAAACACGGCTAATTTTTTGTATTTTTAGTAGAGATGGGGTTTCACCATGTTGGCCAGGCTGGTCTTGAACTCCTGACCAGGTGATCTGCCCGCCTCGGCCTCCCAAAGTGCTGGGATTACAGGCGTGAGCCACCGCACCCAGCCCTAGATAACTTTTTGTATTTTTGGTAGAGACAGGGTTTCACCATGTTGCCCAGGCTGGTCTCAAACTCCTGACCTCAGGCAATCTACCCACCTCAGCCTCCCAAAGTACTGGGATTACAAGTGTGAACTACTGTGTCCAGCCAAAACAACACAATTTAGTACCAAATGTTTAACAAGCACCTATTTTAATTGCTAAAAACTGTGAAATAAAAGTATTATTTGTATTTGACCTGCTATACAAAACTCATCAATTTTTCTTTTGACAAAAGGTAGTAGAAATCCCAAATAAATAAGAGACTACTCATTAAAGGTCATGTTTACTAATCAAGCACCATAATTCCAGTCTTAGAACCTCCCACTCAGCTGGAAGAAGGATATGGTAAGAGGAAACATAATGATAGTTCTCAACTTGGGGCCCCATTTTGCTTCCTCTAAGGCAAAAACACAGGGTCTAGCAAGGAAGAAAATCACTGAGGCTGGAGATAAAAACAAAAGGCTTTGGTTGAGATGGTAAAGGAGGCCCTCAAGAGTGGTGGAATCAGTGTATCCAGAAGGCAGTGCTGGAGTCGGCCTCATGAACTAGGGGGTTTCTTTCTTCCCGGCATCAAGTCCTTTTTTTTAGCCAGGTTTGGTGCATCATAGTTCTGAGCCAGATACATTCCAACCATGTTGGCCAAAGTGAATCCAAGTAGTAACTGGAGCATGATCGTCAGCAGGGAGGGTAGGGAGGGCATGAAGGGTGGCTGCAGCTCTGCAGGCTGGTCTGAGCCTCCAGTCGATAAGTTTGAACATGTTTACACCCGTGCAGCTATTACTACAATCGATATGATAGACATCTCCAGCACTCCCAAGAGTTTTCTTGTGCTTCTTTGTAATGCATTCCTCCTTCCTTCCACCCCAATCCTCAGGCAACCACTGATCTGCTTTCTGTCAATATAGATTCCTTTATGTTTTCTAGAGTCTTGTATAATTAAATTATACACTATGAACTCTCTTTTGCCTGGATTTTTTCATTCAACATAATTATTGTGAGATTTATCCATGTTGTTACACATACCAATAGTGAATTCCTTTTGATCACTGAATACTACTCCATTGCATGGATATGCCACAATATCTTTATCCACTCATTTATTGGTAGACATTATGGTTGTTTCTAGCTTTGGGCTATTATAAATAAAGTTGCTATAAACATTTGTGTAGAAATCTTTGGGTGGACATGTTTTAATTTCCATTGGGTGAATATCTAGGAGTAGAATGTCTGGATCATATAATAGATACATGTTTATCTTTTCAAGGAACTGCCAAACTGTTATCCAAATTGGTTTTATATTCATATCAGCAATATAACTGCTTCACCTCCTTGCCAACACCTGGTATGGTCAGTTCGGGTTTTCTTTTGTTTCATTTTGTTTTTCAGCTATTCTAATGGATGCAGTAGTGGTACCTCATTGTGGTTTTAATCTGCATTTCCCTGATGACTAATGACGTTGAGCATCTTTTCATGTGCTTGTCAGCCATTCCTATATATATGTCATCAGGGAAATGCAGATTAATATTACATCTATATATATAAAAACTTTTTTGGTGAAATGTCTGTATAAATCTTAGCATCTCTGAAACTGAGATGCATCTTACAATTGATGGCTTTTATAGCTAAACTGGCAAGTAATGCCTTTCCTTTTGTGGTATGACATAAAATATGGTAACCTTGCAATGGATGCAGATTTAGATTTATGAAATACATAAGATTTAGATTTATGAAATACATAAAGTCACTTGCCTTGGGTCACACAGTGATGGAAGACAGAGTGTCAAACCCTGAGCCTGTGCTTTTCTTTTTCTTTTTTTTTCTTTTTTTTTTTTTTTTGGGATGGGGTCTTGCTTTGTTGTCCAGGCTGGAGTGCAGTGGCACAATCTCAGCTCACTGCAACTTCCGCCTCCTGGGTTCAAGCGATTCTCGTGCCTCAGCCTCCCGAGTAGCTGGGACTACAGGCACCTGCCACCATGCCCGGCTAATTTTTGTATTTTTAGCAGAGATGGGGGTTTCACTATGTTGGCCAGGCTGGTCTCAGACTCCTGACCTCAAGTGATTCGCCAGCCTTGGCCTCCCAAAGTGCTGGGATTACAGGCATGAGCCACTGTGCCCAGCCAAGCCTATGCTTTTAAATGTCGCATTATCCTGCATGGTTAGAAGAATCATGACCAAGTTTGTGGTCAGTGGGGAAAACTGTACTTCTGTGCTCTAAGCGCTACGTCAAAGAGCTCTGGAATGTCCAGGCTCCAGACTTCCAGGCCTCAGCTGGCCGTGGTACCCCTCTGCACAGATGTCTCCACTATGAGCCTTCAACTGGCAAGGACTTACCAAAAGCAACTATGTGCCAGGCTAGGGTGTGGAGCAGACAGGATGCAGTCTCTGGCCTGTAGGACTCAGAGTCCAGAGAGGGAGACAAGAGAGACCCAGAGGACAGACACTTAGCAGAGGCTGGGAATGCTCCAGTGAGGGAAGAGTGGCCACGGGCCTGAGCAGTCCTCCAGTGCTTTGTGACCAGGATAAATAAGTCGAGGTGGAGTGGTGCAGAGGTCCCAGGCTTTTTAAGCCCTAAGGTTCAATCCTGGCTCCAGCCCTTATGAGCTGTGTGATCTCAGGCATGTGGCATGAGCCTCATTTTCCTCATCTGTAAAATAGGGGGCAAATTATGCTATCAGCGGTATTTTTATTCTCACTTTACAGATGAGAAAACAAACTTAGAGATGATTAAATAAGAAAATGCATGTAGAGCACTTGGCTCAAACACAGTGTCCTCTGGCTTTAAAGGATAGCTAGGGATCAGGTTGGCAGGGAGGAGGAATGAGAGGATCCCAAGAAAGGAAACCTGTTGATCTAAGGCAGGGAGTGTGGACACAGAGGGGAGGTGCCGAGGTAGGAAGAGTCTACTGGAGTATTGATTCCAGGGCCTCCTCCTCTGAAAGGCCTTGTAGGGGCCTCCGGGAGCAGCTCCTGAATCCTGCCCAGTGTTCTATGTTGGGCCGAGAGCTGAGCTACTGGAGCTGCATGGGGTAAGGAGTCTCAGAGGGCCAGACACTCCAAGCCAGACCCTGGAACTGGCCCGAACTTTGGTCTAAGCAGGTGTCATGGCCATTAGAATGCTTGGCCCTCCAGGGTGGCATGGTTGGGGGGTCCCTGCTGATGGGGCTGCCCACAAGACAGTGGTCCAGAGGTCCCCACATGCCTGCTCAGGTCCTGGCTACCTCCAGCCTGCTGTGGTTCCCATGGCTAGCCACTTCAACTCTCTGTGCCTCAGTTTCCCCATCTCTCAAATGGGAATGGGAAAACATGGCAGGCCTGCCTGCCTTCCCAACCCACAGAGCTGTGGTGGGGATTGAATGAGCTGCTGAAAGCATGTGAATGGGCTTCAAAACCTGCCAGGGGTTAGGCTGATGCAAATCCAAGGCAATCCAGGGAATAACAGAACTATGAACTGTCACGCCTGGCAGAGACCCTAAAGAGATTTTACTGTGACACTGGCATTTTCCTGATGAAGAAATTGAGTCCCAGAGATCTAAAGTAGCTGACCTAGTGTCACACAGCCAGTAGGCCAGGATTCAACCCACGGTTTGACTAATGTAAGCCAGCTCTCACCTCTCTACCTCACAGGCCTGGGATCTCTGGGGTCCTTGGGCACAAGACAAAGTGAAAAATAAAATCAAGAGCCAAGATGATCTCTTTTTTTCTTTTCTTTTTTTTTTGAGACAGAGTCTCACTCTGCTGCCCAGGCTGGAGTGCAGTGGCGCGATCTCAGCTCACTGCAAGCTCCGCCTCCCGGGTTCACGCCTTTCCCCTGCCTCAGCCTCCCGAGTAGCTGGGACTACAGGTGCCCACCACCACGCCCGGCTAGCTTTTTGTATTTTTAGTAGAGACAGGGTTTCACCATGTTAGCCAGGATGGTCTCGATCTCCTGACCTCATGATCCGCCTGCCTCGGCCTCCCAAAGTGCTGGGATTACAGGCGTGAGCCACCGCGTGTGGCCCGAGATGATCCCTCTTAAGAAACCTGGGAAGCCACTGATTTCAGTACAAAGCTTGGAGGTCTTTGAACATGCCTGGTCTCTTCAGACACAATTATGGGACCTCCTCCAGAAGCCCTCCTTTGGCCTCAGGGTTCTTTCTGCAGCTGCTGCTCAAATCGTTCTTACCTTATCTGTAAAATGGGCAGAGAACACCTCAGGGGTTTGCATGGGCTGCCATATTGGTCAACCATCCCCACAGGGCCAGGCGCAGTGGCTCACGCCTGTAATCCCAGCCCTCCGGAAGGCAAAGGTGGGAGGATCACTCGAGGTTAGGAGTTTGAGACCAGCCTGTGCAACATAGCAAGACCCCATTTCTAAAAAAAAAAAAAAAAAAAAAAAAAAAAAAATTTCATTAGCTGAGTATGGTGGCACATACCTATAGTCCCAATCACTCGAGAGGCTGAGATGGGAGGATCACTTAAGCTCAAGAATTTGAGGTTACTATGAGCTATGATCAGCCTGGGTGACAGAATAAGACCCTATCTCTGAAAAACAGAATAAAAAGGCTGGGTGCAGTGGCTCATGCCTGTAATCCCACCACTTTTAGAGTCCAAGGCGTGTGGATCACTTGAGGTCAGGAGTTCAAGACCACCCTGGACAATATGGTGAAACCCTGTGTCTACTAAAAATACAAAAAAATGTAGCCGGGTGTGATGGCGTGTGCCCGTAATCCCAGCCACTTGGGAGGCTGAGGCAGGAGAATCACTTGAACCCGGGAGGCAGAGGTTGCAGTGAGCCAAGATTGTTCCACTGCACTCCAGCCTGGGCAACAGAGCAAGACTCTGTCTCAAATAATAATAATAAAAAATACTTTCTCCATAGAATGGGAGATGATAGACATGAAACTGCTTTAGAAAGAAAAAACAATCATTGCTTACACAAAGCAACACAGGGCCTGTTCCTACTGTGATGTAATGGCTCCAAGGGTAGGCAGCCCTTGGGAGATTGCAAATATTTATGAGCAAAGGGAAGAACTTAAACACAACCACAGGAGATGCAGCAGCTGAGGAACCTGGAACCTGGGAGGCCTCCCCAAGGGTGCTCGGATATTCACAAGCTCTTAGAGACTCTGGGCCACTTAGCATCAGCTTCGCAGAGTCTTTTTAATTAAGGAAAACAGATGGGCATGAACGTGTAGATTCTTGACAGCTTTTGCCAAAGGAAAAACAGCTGTTTCTAGGACGTTTCCCACCATTTTCCTCCTGTCCCAGGACCTCCTTCTGATCAATGCCTGGTGCTTTTTTCTTCTCCTTCTTTTTCTTCCTTCTTCTTTCTTCCTTCTTCCTTCCCCTTCCCCTTCCCCTTCTCCTTCTTTTCTTGGGTGTTGGGGGATGCCAAATCTCCAGTACAGGCAGCACAGAGGAGAATTTCACAGACTCAGCACATTCCCATCCCACTACTCAAAAATTCGGGTACCCGATTTTCCCTTGTGACGTTCATCTTAATGGTGAGCACAAGGTACAGTGAGTGGTTTTGAAGGCAGATTCCTTATCATGGAGCGTTATCTGCACCATCAAAGTACACTTGAAGAAAAAAGCAGTTTCAACATCAAACCTGAAGGTTTGACTGTTGAAAGGAAGAGCCAGGACAAAGCAACCACAGCTTTTATCACAAATTCATGAGGGCGGCGTGCGGTGGGAATACTACATTTTGGGCCTGCTGCTGAGAATGCCTCCACTGCCTTTGAACAAAAAACAAACCATGCTGTGGAAATTGCCAGTAATTGTCTTTACCTACGGTTTCAGAGGGCGCACACCGGGCCTTGTGGTTGTGGGTGCCGTTTCATGCTGGGGTTCGCGTCCCTCCTCTGTTTGGCATAAAGAGAGTGGAACAGATCAGGCCCTCAGATCTGTGTGCACCTGCGGTCGCTGCAAGGAGGGGAGGCGGATTGCTGAGATAAGGCAACAATGGAAAGTTTCTCACCTGAAAGGTCCGGGGAAGAGCCAGGAGGCCTGGGTGCTGGGGAGACTCATCTACCCCAGAAAAATAGGGAGTGGAGAGGAAGCCAGCCCACAGCCCAACCCCCTCCACTGAGGAACCCCGACCCCACAAGCCTCACTTTCTCAAATGGTTTCTTCAACATCAACACCCAGGGATTCCTTGCACCCACTGAAAGGCAGTACTCGCCTTCATGTATCCATAGTTCTTCTTAAAAACAAAAAGAGCGGCCGGGCATGGTGGCTCACGCCTGTAATCCCAGCACTTTGGGAGGCTGAGGCGGGCAGATCACCTGAGGTCAGGAGTTCAAGACCAGCCTGACCAACATGGTGAAACCCCCGTCTCTACTAAAAATACAAAAATAAGCTGGGTGTGGTGGCACGTGCCTGTAATCCCAGCTACTCAGGAGGCTGAGGCAGGAGAATGACTTGAACCCGGGAGGCGGAGGTTGCAGTGAGCTGAGATCGCGCCACTGCACTCCAGTCTGGGAGATAGAGTGAGTGAGACCCTAAAAAACAAAACAAGCAGGGCACGTTGGTTCACGCCTGTAATCCCAGCACTTTAGGAGGCCAAGGCGGGCAGGTCACCTGAGGTCAGGAGTTTTGAGACCAGCCTGACCAACATGGTGAAACCCCATCTCTACTAAAAATACAAAAAAAAATTAGCCGGGCGTTGTAGCGCGTGCCTGTAATCCCAGCTACTCAGGAGGCTGAGGCAGGAGAATCGCTTGAACCCAGGAGGCAGAGGTTGCAGTGAGCTGAGATCACGCCACTGCACTCCAGCCTGGGTGACAAGAGCAAAACCCTGTCTCAAAAAACAAAACAAAACAAAACAAAACAAAAAAAACAAGCAGCTCTGACAACTACTTGATGAGGGAAAAAGCAGAAAATCTCTGAGCAAGGGAACCTGTCCCCAGAGCCCCCAACAAAACCCATCACAGGTCCCAGTGCTGGACTAGGCACAGGGTGGGCCAGGTGCTACTGAAAAGGGGGCCCCCAAGGCCTACTGAGCTTCCAAGCTCTCTGGGGGTCAGGAAGCCCCACTAGCCTGTGACTCCATCAGTCTTAGGGCAGGCCTAGGCCTGAGCCAGGCTGGGAGAGACAGCTGGAAGGGGGCTGACCACAGGCATGGAGGAGGCAAGGGAGAGCATTCCAGGGGTACCAGTGGCCAAAAATGAGACAGAGAAGGAGGCAAACTGGGGAAGGTGCCAGGCTCAATCATTCAATGCCTGTTTTTGTTTTCTTAACCCTTTTTATTGTGAAAAGAAAAACACTCAGGAAAAGCACATAAAGCATAAATGTATAACTTAATGAATTATGACAAAGTGAACACTTATGTAGCCACCTCCAGGATCAAGAAATAGAGCATGGCCTGTCCCCTGGAAATGTCCCACCTACATCTTTCCCCCTTGCTCCTCACTGAAGGTTACCACTATTACCACTATTCCAACTTAGGGTAATTGCTTGCAACATTCCAAGTTTTCCCCCAAGCTTACCTCTCCCCTAACACCATGGAATAGACTGTCCGGTTGTGAACTTCATACGAATGGACTCAATCACACACATCCATTCAGCTTTTGCACCACATATTATGCTGAAGGTTCATCCACGCTGTTGCATGCAGCCATGGTTCCTTCATCATCATGGCAGCTGGCCCCTTTGCCTACTTTGATGCCCTAATTCTCAGTTTGCAAGAAGCTAAGACTGTGGGAGCCCAGAGTCCTGCCTTGCCTGCACCAGCCAGGGGTGCCCAGCCTGCCACAGGCTCTAGGGCTTTGCCTGGACTTGCTTTTCTCCAGATGGCCACCTGCAGGGACAGGCAAGGACAAAGAGCAGAGTGCTCCCAACCGTCTCTGCAAAGCTTTGCATAGGGGCACACCCCAGGCTCTGAGCTGCTCGCCCCAGCCTCAGCGCAGATGACTGATGAGGACAGTAATCTATGGCTGCTCTGCCAGCTCCGAAACCAGCTGGGCACTGGGACCAAGCAATAAACCAGGCACATCCCAAATGAGAAGCAGGTGGCTTCTTAGGACCATATTTCTCAACATCCTGCCCTTATGGTTTGCCCCTTATCCAATGTGGTTCCCATTTGAAGGAGCCTATAACCCATATGAAAAATGATAGAAATTACAGCTCGCCATCCCAGCCTGGCTGTTTAGGATATTGGAAGAAACATTAAGGCAGGGCTGCCCTGATTAAAAGGTAGAGGCACTGAGGAGAGGTGGGGGGAGCCAGGCAACCCCCCATCATGCCTTTCCCTGCTCCCTTCTGCATGCAGAGTAGCCAGTTCACCTCTCCCAGGTACCTTTGAAAATGTGGCTCATGGCCGGGTGTGGTGGCTCATGGCCGGGTGCGGTGGCTCATGGCTGGGTGCAGTGGCTCATGCCTGTAATCCCAGCATTTTGGGAGGCCAAGGCGGGTGGATCACTTGAGGTCAGGAGTTCGAGACCAGCCTGGCCAACATGGTGAAACCCCGTCTCTACTAAAAATACAAAAAAATTAGCCAGGCATGGTGGCGCATGCCTGTAATCTAAGCTACTTGGGAGGCTGAGGCAGGAGAATGGCTTGAACCTGGCAGGCAGAGGTTGCAGTGAGCTGAGATCATGCCATTGCACTCCAGCCTGGGTGACAGAGAGAAACTCTGTCTCAAAAAAAAAGAAAGAAAGAAAATGTGGCTCAGTAGGAATTAATGAGGTGGGCGCCAAATTGTTCATTCTCAGGCCTCGTCCAGTCTGGGGAGGACCCAAATTTCTGCCCCAGTTCCTCCTTCCATCAGTCCCCACATTCAGGCCAAGCTAGGTCCCACCTCCGAGCACTATCCATGCTGCCTGAATGTCCTCTCACCTACCCAAGGTTTGCCCTTCCCAGGCCCCAGGAGCTACTCTAATTCTTCGTGGAATATTCCTGGGTGGTTGGTTCAGAGACCCACTGATGTTCTGCCCCCAAACGCCTGGCGTTTCTCCTCTTCTGAACCACACCAATTAGCCTTGATTACAGAATGGACGCATTGTTCTCTAACAGTTTCATATGTGCAAGCCCCAAATCCCCAGATGGGAAGGGTGCGTGGATGGTGAGGGTGGAGCTAAGCCAAGCCTCTGCTTCTCTCTGGGCCTCAGTTTTTCCATCTCTGAAAGAAGGAGATGGCACAGAGACTCCATAAGCCCCCTTCCCCACAACCATGAAATGCTTTGGCCTGGTTCTCTGGTCTTCAGGAAAGATAAGTGATGATTGGCTGTCCTCCCACCCTCAGCCTCCACCCTTGGGCCCCGTGCCAGCAAACCTGCTCCCACCAACCTCCGCTCAAGGTCGCAGCCCTTGGCCTCCACCCCCAGCCCCACCCCCTGCCACTGAAAGGCAGCACTGGGGCAAACATCCTAAACCACCGAATGCTTCTAAAAATATGGTGTTTTTGTCAGAGAGCAACCTTCTACTTCCTTCAGGCTTTGATCTCCATGCAACCCACGGAGGAGAAGACACACTTACAATAACAGTTTAAAGCCTTCATCTTCCTTTGGGGTCTACCTCTCAAGGATTTTGAATCCCCAGCTGGGTGGTGGTAACCTATGGTCCTTCTGAGCATGCTCAGATCCAACTGCAGTGGCTCAGAGACTTCATACAGCTGGTCCTACCCCTGATCTGTGGTCAGGAAGAAAAGTCCAGAACAGAGAGGCTTCCAGGGCACAAAGTGGCCACGGAACACTATGCAAGTTTATAAGGCCCTTTACTATCTGCACTCTAGGGAGAAAAATTAAGGCCATAGGGTAGGGCAGAATAAAATCAGTGCTCAAGCACAGAAATGGGCTGTGAAAAAGGAATGGAGGGTCTAACTCTAGCACAGTCCCTGGACAGCACAGACAATAAGTATTTGTTGAACTTTTCATGAAGATCAAGAAATAGAGCACGGCTTGTGCCCTGGAAATGCTCCCTGTCCCACCCACATCCTTCCCCCTTCCTCACTGAAGGTTACCACTATTCCAACGTAGGGTAACCACTTAGAACATTCCAGGTTTTCCCCCTAACTTGCCTATCCCCTAACACCACAGAATCATCATGCGTGGTCAGATTATATATGACTAGGCAGATGGGGAAAGTTCTTCACACAACATTGTGAACTGGACATTGGAAGGATGTCGATCGATGGGGACAGAGAAGTAAAGGGATTTCCTGGCAAAGGGAAGAGCATGGGCAAAGGCTGGGCCACAATGAGCAAGAAAAGCACAAATGCACACCATATTTGGCAGAAATAGAAGTATGGAAACTCTCCCACTAGGTCTGCAGACACATGAGCTCTTGCTGCCCTGCTGGAAACACAGGTACAAGCAGAAAAAACAGAGACAGTGATAAAAGGATCATCTATAAACAGACTGTGTACCAGGCGCCGTTCTAAGCACTGACCACGTGGGTCCTGACAACAGAACTGAGTTGTCATTGTCCACATTTTTCCTAGAGGGAAACAGAGCTTCAGAGAGGGGATGTTCTTTGGCCCCAGATTAGTGACAGAGCCAGATCTGAAATCATGCAATCCAGCTCCTGATGAATAAGCCCACGCAGGCTGCACTGAGCCTTCATGCAGGCTGGGTGTGTGCTTGGTAAGTCAGATCCTGGCCTTCCTGCTTCAGCAGGTGTCCAGGGAATAACCCCAGTGCCCATGTACTCAGGTCTCCTTTGCGCCACTCTCTGCTCGTTGCTTCCTTTAGTCTGCCAGCAACCCTTGAACTAAGTCCTGGTGTTTGTTATCAAAACCAGATGAGGAACCAAGGCTCATTGTGATTAACTCACATAGTTACTAAGTGGTAGAGTGGGGATCTGAACTCAGATCCCTTAATCCAAATCCTGTGCCCCTAACTTCTGTATTCTAAGGCCTCTCTAAATTTCACCCCCTGCCTGGGAATTCCAGACTGTGAGTAATTCAAACATGTCTGAAAAAGTCAAAATCACTATAATTTCCTAAAGACTTCAATAGAGGCAGAACATCTCACTTCAAAACAAAAAAATTATCAGCAAAACTGCCAAGGGGGCTCTGAGTCACTGTCTTGGGCTTCTCCCTATTTTGGAGAGGGAGGTGTGTGGAAGAGCTCCGGGGCACAGGCCAGCCTTGAAAGAATAAGGGTGGGGTCCTCGCTTTGTCCCTCATGTGCCGTTGAATCCTGGGGTAGTGTCTTGACATTTCTGGATCCATTAAATTAGCCAGGCATGGTGGTGGGTGCCTGTAATCCCAGCTACTCTGGAGGCTGAGGCAGGAGAATCGCTTGAACCCAGGAGGCAGAGGTTGCAGTGAGCTGTGATCGTGCCACTGCACTCCAGCCCAGGCAACAGTGCAAGATTCCGTCTCAAAAAAAAAAAAAAAAAGATGTGTTGGTTTCCTTGGGTGACCTCTGACACTGATTCTGGAACCACTGGTGTCAGATTACCCCAAAACCCCAGCGATGCCCCACACAGAAGGAACAAAGGTATTATACTTATAGGATTGACACACAGTTCAGTAAATGCTAGGGCTTAGGTTACTATAGATTTGCACGCAAGTCTTCCCTCTCCATTGCAACCCTTGCCACTTCTCAGAGACCAGCGGAGCTGCTAGAATTTCCTTGTCTGGTGGTTCACAGCTTTGACCAAGGTTTGCCAAAGACACCTGCAGCAAAGGCCTCTTTCAAGCTAATGCACAATCATCCTTCCATGGGGATAAAGGTGATTTGTGGATTCATGACCCTGAGTCATAAATCTACCAGCAATCTGCTGCAGTTGGAAACAGCAGCTTTCTGGCCCTTGGCAAGCCTGCATGTACTTGTGAGTCATCTGAGCACAGGTGCATTTCAATTGATAGAACTGGATATGGGTCCTGAAAGGTTAGATGTAAAGAGAACCTCATTTCAAATGCCCTGGGGGAAGCCCTTGGCTTCCTAGAATGGGTAATACCACTGCCTGGCTTTTGAGTGCAGTTATATACTGATGTATTGGGAGTGTGAGGTATGGTGAGGAAGGTGTGCACAGTGGCAAGACTGACACACACGCATATAAGTGTGTGTGTGTGTGTCCAGAATGGCCCAGGTTGTGTTCCTTTAGAGCGGTGTCCCAGAGCTGTGCAACATGGTAGCCATGCATATGTTTATAGCATGTCCACAGGAAAACAGACCAGGCCATGCACTCCAGGCCAGGGCAGGCTGTCCCCTCATGATGCAAAGCAGAGAATCCCATCTCTGGCCAAGCCCAACAGACCTGTAATTTCCTGGCTGGCTGGTGATGTCTTTCCACAGGGTCTGACCAGGCTTCCCAGATGTGACTTCAGATGTGCACTGGTGTCAAGAGCGTGAGCCGGCAGAGAGAAGCATTCCAGATCTTCCGTCCAGGTTCTTCGATCAGGCTCAAAGCAGTGGGCTGGGTACAGGTCAGCCCTGAGCATACATGGCTCCACCTGCACCCACAGAGTTCTAGGGGGAGTGGAGGCGAGGGTACCACTCTCTGCTGCCCAGAGGACTGAGCCCAGGAAGAAACAGGTTGCTGAGCTGATACTCCCCAGAGAGGGATGGAAAGTGGCCAAGGCAGCCCCTCTCTTGTGGGCCTTTCCCTATTCTGGGAAGCACTGTGAGATACCTTTGAATGTCCCCCAGCTGTGAGTCTCCTGTCTGCCTCATCTGAGAGTAATTGTTACTTTCCTGCAATCTGTAGCATCAACCCCACTGAAATACCCCAGAGACCAGAGCTGTGTGATCCTGGACTCCATGAGGCCAGTGAGCGGTGAAGTGGGGGGCGGTGGGTGGAAGGCAGGTGCCCTGCTTCTTGGCTTAATGCAAAGTCAACAGGCTTGAGCACTGCCTCATCCAAGCAAGCACGAAGCTATTCCTGCCAGAGCACTTGGATCCTTCCTGCAGGTGCAGGTCATTCGCGTTCCAGGCAGCTCTGGGCCCTGGCCTCCATACTGCATACCTGGGCAGTCAGAGGGAGTGCCTGATGGATATCTGCCCTGCCTTGTCTGTCTTCCCATCAGGGTCCAGCCCAGGTAGCGGAACGACGACAGAGTTTCTTCCATATCAAACTCTGGTCGGTTAGAGGAGCAACAGAATGAAAAGACATGAAATGGCCGGGCGCGGTGGCTCACACCTGTAATCTCAGCACTTGGGAGGCCGAGGCGGGCAGATCACGAGGTCAGGAGATCGAGACCATCCTGGCTAACACGATAAAACCCTGTCTCCACTAAAAATACAAAAAATTAGCCGAGCGTGGCGGCGGACGCCTGTAGTCCCAGCTAGTCGGGAGGCTGAGGTAGGAGAATGGCGTGAACCCGGGAGGCGGAGCTTGCAGTAAGCTGAGGTCGCGCCACTGCGCTCCAGCCTGGGTGAAGAGTGAGACTCCGTCTCAAAAAAAAAAAAAAAAAAAAAAAAAAGACATGAAATGGGGCAGCTGCCTTTGTGCTCCCCAGTGAGAGGCCCTAATGCCAACGAGCAGCCTGCAGAGTAGGGAGGAGCTGCCCTGGGCCCCACAGCTGCCATGTCCAGGGCAAAGTACACACTGATGGGGCTGCCAGGGCCACTGCTGGGCTCCTGCCCAGACTGCAAAGGCCTGGGGAAACCCAAGGAAATGTCTTCAATTTAACCAAGAACTCTGAGTTTCCCACGTACATGCTGCAGAACCCAAGAGTCACCCCATTTGGGAGCATCAGTTCCTCCACATGTCCAGTTTCCTTTTCTAGCATTTCCCAAGGGGAACTCCACAAAATGCCAATAGACGTGCCATGTAAAAAAAGGTGGTGTGGTCAAATACATTTGGAAAATTTGAGATTAAATAAAACGGTTGTTTTCTAAGCAGAATATCTCAGTGCCTTTATTTAACATGCAAATATACGTCTCAAAAATCCAAGAGGAGGCTGGGCACAATAACACACACCTATAATCCCAGCAGTTTGGGAGGCTGAGGCAGGAGGCTCATCTGATGCCAGGAGTTCGAGACCAGCCTGGGCACTACAGGGAGATCCCATCTCTACAAAAAATTTTTAAAATTAGCTGGGTATGGTGGCTCGTGCCTATAGTCCCTGCTACTCAGGAGGCTGAGGTGGGGTGATTGCTTGAGCCCAGGAGATTGAGCCTGCAGTGAGCTATGATTGCATCACTGCACCCCAGCCTAGGCAGCAGAGTGAGACTCTGTCTCAGTAAATAAATAAATAAATAAATAAATAAATAAATAAATAAATCCAAGAGGAAGACAGAGTGGACTGTTTGCCAGATGTAATCTAACTTTTTCTCATAGACTATCACAAGACTGGGGTTTATTGGAATCCTTGGGTGGCCTTCCTCTATACCTAACGTTGCCATCCCCTCCCACTGCCCAATGATCCTAGTGAGCTGGGAGAGGCGAGCTGAGGCGCAGGACTCTAGGACTGCACTGCCCAGTTTAGCAGCTACCAGCCACACGTGGCTATTTACATTTAAATTCACTGCAACTAAATCAAACGTAAAGTGCAGTTCCTCGGTCACACCAGCCCCACTGTAAATGCTCAATGGCCACATGTGGCTAGTGGCTACTGTACTGGACAACACAGAGAACAATTTCCATCACTGCAGAAAGTTCTGGAGGAATGGTGCTTGTCTAGCTTCTAGAGAGGCTGGGAGACAAGCCCAGAGCCATAGAGAAATTCTAGGAAAGAGCCAAACCAGCTTCACCCTCCCGCTCTCAGCTTCAGAATCTGAGAACCAAGCTCCCTTGAGACCGATAAGCCATGGGCGCCAGCCACCGAGTCAGACTCTATCCCGCGTGCCAGAGGAGTTTCACTGAAACTGCAAGGAAGTGCGTGTTTCCTTTCCCCAGGGCCCGGGATTGTGCGGGGCAGCCCCTGACTCCCCCGCCTTGGTTCCCTCCTAGGGGCTTCCTCCTCAGCCCTCCCCAGGCCCCACTGACACTGCCGAGGGCAATGAGTCCTGGAAGAGGGAAGGGAGGAGTTGCGCTCCTCTCTCCAGTGCTCCTTTGTGGAGTCCCAGTCCCAGAGTGCCCTCACCCTCCATGCCAGGTGACAAGGCATCTAAAAGATTGCCTCTGCCCCCAGCCAGGGACCGGGCCCACAGCTTGACTGAGCAGCCCCGGCTGCAGGATTTAGGGCAGCTTCTAGGAGCTGTCTCTGCCAGGGCTCTCAGCATTATCCAATCCCAGTCTTGGGGAAGGGGGTTGTGGGCCACACGATCTCTCCTTTATCTAGCCAACTAAGGATGATCTGCTCTCACACCCCTGCCTTCCCCCTTTCTATGCTTATCTATATTTTCTTTTCTTTTCTCTTCTTCTTTTTTTTATTTTTTTTGAGACAGGGTCTCACTCTGTCACCTAGGCTGGAGTGCAGTGGCGTGATCAACCTTCACCTCCTGAGCTCAAGTGATCCTCCCACCTCAGCCTCCCAAGTAGCTGGGATTACAGGTGTGTGCCACCACACCTGGCTAATTTTTGTATTTTATGTAGAGAGAGGGTTTTTCATGTTGCCCAGGCTGGTTTTGAACTCCTGAGTTCAATCTGCCTGCCTCCGCCTCCTAAAGTGCTGGAATTACAGGCATACGCCACCGCACCAGCCCCATCTTTAGATGGACAGTTATGGGCTCTCCAGCAGGCAAACGAAGGCCTAGCTAAGGGGCTTGCAGCCCCCTCTGGGGAAGCCGTGGATTTCCTGGGACTTAGCCTATTGCTAGAGACTCGTGGTCCCAGCGCACATCCCTACCAGCGTCTCCAGTGTTGCCTCTCTCAAAGCACATGCCTGTCTCATAAAAAGATATCAGCATTAGTGCTGTCAGGACCCTTCACATCACTGCAATTAATGAACCCCACAGTCTCAAACATCCTGTTTCCAACATTTTGATAATAGTACCCTGTTTTCTTTTGGAAGGAAACCCAGGTTGGATTGATTAACAAATACAATCATTATTTAACCTCAGAACTTGGTTTTGAAATTAATTTACAATAAAAGAAAAACTCCTCACTAAATAATCTGTCTAATTACATGTTAAGGACTCAGAATGGAAAACATTCAGGAACACAAAAGACCCAACCAAGCTCATTAGCTCTGTTTGCCTCTAACTTATCTCTATGGCAACTCACAGAGGGTCCAGGGAAAAAAAGGTTTTTAAAATTAGATCATCAAGAACTTCATCCAGAACAGCCACAACACAAAACTCTTTCAAAAAGCCTTTGGTTGTTGAAATGGTGAGGGCATGTTTCCTGATCACAGATGAGCACAGGCGTAGGGGAGCCTCTTCCTGGAAGCCCTCGGCCACCTCGGTTCACCCTGTAGAGGTCATTTCAATGGCTGGAAGGTGCTTGGTCCCGCAGCCCTCACCCACGGTGGAGGGGCTGCTGGTGAAGGTGGTGAAAATGCTCCTCTGGACGTGGCGGGGAGAATAGAAGAGTGTGTGTTTTCTCAAAATGAGGCCCACAGACATAGAAGGAGCCAGACGTCTAATTTTGCCTGCAACTGCAGCTCAAGGTTCTGAAGGTTTTTCCACTGGGACCCTCACAGTACAAGTCTTGCCAACACAAGGATTCCTTTCTTTTTCTTTTTCTTTCTTTCTTTTTTTTTTGAGATAGAGTTTCGCTCTAGTTGCCTAGCTGGAGTGCAACGGCAAGATCTCGGCTCACTGCAACCTCTGCCTCCCAGGTTTAAGCAATTCTCCAGCCGCAACTTCCCGAGTAGCTGGGATTACAGGCGCCTGCCAGCACGCCTGGCTAATTTTTGTATTTTTAGTAGAGAACGGGGTTTGACCATTTTGCCTAGGCTGGTCTCAAACTCCTGACCTCAGGGGATCCACTAGCCTCAGCCTCCCAAAATGCTGGGATTACAGGTGTGAGCTACCATGCCCTGCTTATTATTATTATTATTATTATTATTATTATTATTATTATTTTGAGACAGAGTCTTGCTCTGTCACCCAGGCCGCAGTGCAGTGGCACGATGTCAGCTCATTGCAACCTCCATTACCTCTCAGGTTCAAGCAATTCTCCTGCCTCAGCCTCCCAAATAGCTGGGATTACAGGCACCCACCACCATGCTGGGATTACAGGCACCCACCACCATGACCGGCTAATTTTTGTATTTTTGGTAGAGACAAGGTTTCACCATATTGGCCAGGCTTGTCTCAAACTCCTGACTTCGGGTGATCTGCCTGCCTCAGCCTCCCAAAGTGCTGGGATTACAGGCGTGAGCCACCACACCCGGCCAAGGATTCCTTTCTTTCAGACCAGTCCTCTGCTAACCTCTGACAATGCTCCCCTCTCAACCTCCTGGACAGGTGGTGGTGTCCTGGTGGCCCTGACCACCAGCTCCATCTTTATAACATGAAGACCCTTGGCCCCAGGCCTCTAGGCCTTCTGCATGAGCTGGGCCTGATCTTTTCCTTGGGGCTGTCTGCAGCCTGCACAAGTGAGGGGACTAAGGCCACGGTGACCAGGGCAAGTCCAGCTCCTACTCTTACCCTGAGGGGCCCTCCCAGAGGGTTGAGTCACCTGGGGAGGGAGCAAAGTGCAAAAGGTCCAAGTTCTAGTCCACAATGGGTAGGAAAACAAACCAGCTCAGCTGCACCAGATCCAAAGTCATGTTTGAAGGCCTGTAATTTTGAAGGCCGAACCTGTTCAGGAGCAGTGGGCAAGCCAGGCTGGACTCCAGGCTCTGATCCTGAAGGAGCAATGAGAAGGGAGACCAGGCGCCGCTGGGGCTGCACAAATACTGGGTAAAATTCTGACACAGAGGAGAAACGGAGACTCATAGAGAGACACTGTAGGAGAGAAGGAAGGCGGGCAGAGAGGTGGACAGGCAGGAAAGGCAGGACTCATTGAAACTTACCAGCTCACAGCCTGTGTGCTTCAGGTCGAGCACAGACTCTTAAAAGTAGGGCTTTGGGTGGACTGTGATTTAGGCCATCAAAAAAAGCCAGCATCTGGTTGGGTCTGGCTTGGGGAGGGTGGCTCCGGCTTACCCTCTGTCACTGCAGAACTGCTCTTCAATGGGACCAGCCTTTTACATTCCCAGAAAGCCCCTCTGCTTCTCAGGGCCCTAAAGGTGCCGTTTGGGGATGCTAGAGGAGGCTGGAGCCCATGGGGTCCCTCTCACCCGCTTCCTTTCCACTTCCTCCTCTGGCTCATGCTCCTTATCTGACCAGCCTGGCGCAGTCCGGCACAGCTGCAGAGGGTCAGAGCATCACGTCTGGGGAGTCATAATGAACATGCTGCACGGCCTCCTGGAGGCAGCCTTTCTCACCTTTCTCAACCACCTTCTTTTTTTAACTTTTACTTTTTGAGACAGGATCTTGCTCTGTCACCCAGGCTAGAGGGCAGTGGTGCAATCACAACACGCAGCAGCGTTGACCTCTTTGGCTTAAGCAATTCTCCCAGCTCAGCCTCCCAAGTAGCTGGACTACAGGCGCATGCCATCATCCCCAGCTAATTTTGTTTTTATTTTTTGTAGAGACAGGGTCTCCCTAAGTTGCCCAGGCCGGTCTCAAACTCCTGGACTCAAGTAATCCTCCAGTCTCGGCCTCTCAAAGTGCTGGGATTGTGGGTGAGAGCCACCATGCCTGGCCCCAACTACCTTCTTTATCTCCCCAGAACCTATCGTCCAGGCCCAGGGTTGAGACAGAGTGGGAAGGGGTCCATCCCACATTCCCCAGGCCTCGCTGGTACAGCCTGGCCCCTTGGTTGGTATGGGGTCAATCCAAACACGCCCTGTGAGCCCAGCCTTATGTGGCTGGCCCTGTGCATAGGCACAGGCAGAGAAAACAGAAGCAGCAGGATGCTTTTTATTTGTTAATCTAGCTTTGATGCCCCACCTCCTTCTCACAAGGAGTGGAGGCCCCTCAGGGAGTACTAAGTGCCAGGAGTATAGACCCTAGCAGTGGCCTGGGCTGGTCTCCAGGAGGAGGAGGCAGTCAGGGCTCTCCCTGAAAGCAAGCTGGGGTTAAATATTTTTAGGGCAGAGGAGGCACAAACCAGCCAGAGCTACCTTCCTTTCTAATCTTACCCAGGCATTAAGCTTTGAGAGTATCCCCCTCATTTACATACATTCACATTTGATTTGCATACGATGCAAAGAATGGAAAATTCCCCCAGTGCTTAGCCCCAAGATTACAGTCTCTAATACTTTATTCCCACAACCGCGGCACCCCGTGACAGACAGGGGGTCCTGCCTGTGATCTAGATCTGGGCTCCCTGCAGCCTGGGACCCAGCCTGCAGCCTCCTGCCTAGAGGTAGCAGCTCCTGTGAAGGGGGTGGCAGCAGCAGACGCAGGCCTAGCAAAACAAGGTACTTTCACATGTGACTCACACCAAGGACCAGAAGCAGAATTACAGTGTGAAAAACCAGAGCCGGCCGAGACTCCGTCGGGGAATCCCCTCCAGCTCCCTCTCTGTTTCACTCCTTTAAAAAGCCCTGGCCATGGCCCAGCACTCTAGAACCCTCCAAGAAAGTGCTGTGCCTCCCATCCAGGATGGGCAGGGGCCATGGCACTTCAGCCAGGCCCCTTGACTTTCTCTCTGGGTTCTTGGGCTCAGAAATTACATCTAAGCAGAGAAAGAGGCAGAAGTGGATTCATCCCAGGGGCAGAGCTGGAACTGGACCTGGGAGCAGTTGCTGCCTTGCAGGCCCCAGGGCTCCATGCTCATATTTTTCTTGGCCTGGCTTCCTCCTTCTGATCCATTCTCTGAGCTACCCATACACATGCAGCAAACTATTCTGCAAGACCACCAGAGCTGATTTCTGTTGCTTGCAAGGAGTAATCCCAACGGAAACCAGACATTCTCTGTGATGGCAGGATGCCCTGAAGTCCTTGACGAAGGCCACCTTCAGCTCCTGACACATGTCTGGATTTTCTGCCACCCTCAAGGGACCAGCATGGCTTCAAATCCTGCTCCTCTCAGTTTCCAGGGGCCTGACCTTGGGCACTTCCTTTCTCCGAGCCCCTAATTCTCTCACCTAGAAGATGATGCTGTTAATTAAGAAACACAGGATTGGCCAGGCGCGGTGGCTCACGCCTGTAATCCCAGCACTTTGGGAGGCCGAGGCAGGCAGATCACCCGAGGTCAGTAGTTCGAGACCAGCCCGGCCAACATGGTGAAACCCCATGTCTATTAAAAATACAAAAAAATTAGCCGGGCGTGGTGGTGCATGCCTGTAGTCCCAGCTACTCAGGAGGCTGACGTTGCAGTGAGCCGAGATCCACCACCACACTCCAGCCTGGGTGACCGAGCGAGACTCTGTCTCAAAAAAAAAAAAAAGAGTCCTGGCCTGTGAGCTGTTGTGAGCTTCACCGGCGTCGGCACAGGAGGTAATCCGTAAATGTGAGTTAACATTGTTCCTGTCACCATTGTTATTGCTATTATCCCACCAGCCTGAGTAGCTGTGTCAGGGTAGGGTCGGGACTCCTGACTGCTGGATCACTCTCAGGGACACCTTGTGCCATCCCTCACTGGGGTCCTCGTCAGCTGTGTGTCACAGCTGTCACCAACACTGATGTGGGGCTCCAGCAGGAGTTTCAGAACTGCTGAGCAGCTGCCAGGGCTCAGATGCAGCCTGACCCTCCCATTAGGCCCCGTGTTAGAGACTTCATTCCAAGAGACACCCTTCTAGGAGTCATGGGAACCAACATGCTGGCCAGTAGGCCAGCTTCGGAGTCCAGGCGAGAACGCTGTCGCAGCTCCCTGGTGACTGGAACGAGACTGCATGCCCATCCTCCACTATTCAGCGGCAGCAGCTGTGATGGGAGGCACAGGGGAGCGGTTTCCTTTTGAGGGTCCCGGGTCCAAACATCACCCTGGTTACTTCCCACTCCTGCAGTTGAGAGGCACGGCCCCTTCCAAATCCAGCCACCAGGGGGGGTCTGTGAGCAGCCCCCGCCGCTCTGGGGGGACTCTGGGCCTCGCCTGGGCTGAGAGGGGAGGAGGCTGAGGAACGGGCCACAGGGTCATCCGGGGCCAGTGCAGTGAGTGCACTCGTGGTCTGAATGGAGCAGACTCCCCAGCCCATCCCCCCACCCTCTACCCCCCCCACCCCAAAGCTTTTATTTCCACCTGCATTTTAAAAATAATATTAGGCCTGGCGCGGTGGCTCAAGCCTGTAATCCCAGCACTTTGGGAGGCTGAGGTGGGCGGATCACCTGAGGTCGGGAGTTCGAGACCAGCCTGACCAACATGGAGAAACCCCGTCTCTACTAAAAATACAAAATTAGCCAGGCGTGGTGGCGCAAACCTGTAATCCCAGCTACTCGGGAGGCTGAGGCAGGAGAATCGCTTGAACCCGGGAGGTGGAGGTTGTGGTGAGCCGAGATCATGCTATTGCACTCTAGCTTGGGCAACAAAAGTGAAACTCTGTCTCAAAAAAATAAAATAAAATAAAAACATTAAATAATATTTTTTTAATTACAAAAGCAACTCATGGTCAATTCATGACATGGGTGCTCTGGGTTTTCTGGTTTGTTTTACTTAGCTGCATGCTTCAAGATTTCCTGAGTTTGGGCTATAGGGCAGAGGAGGGTCCCTGCCTCTGGGCCTCAGTTTCCCCTGGGTGCATGTCTGGAGGTCCTAGTGTTCTCCTGAGTCTCCCTGAGTTCTCAGGGAGTTGTTAGAGTCTCTTTCTTTGGTGTTCAAAGGTGGTCCCAGAGAAGGTGGGACAGGGAGGACCAAACCTCAGCCTCTGCTCCCAAGACCTCTGCCCCTCCCGCAGGAGCCCTCACTGTCCTCCCTCCCCTCTGAGGGCCGGCTCAGCTCAGAGTCTCTGCTATTTGGGGCACGTCATGACCCCACGCCCTGTCCAGACGGTGTCATTCTTTTATTTATTTATTTATTTGAGACAGGGTCTGGCTCTGTCACCCAGGCTGGAGTGCAGTGGTGCAATCTCAGCTAACTGTAGCCTCCACCTCCCAGGCTCAAGCCATCCGCCCACCTCAGCCTCCCGAGTAGCTGGGACTACAGGCATGTACCATCACACCTGGCTAACTTTTGTATTTTTTCTAGAGATGGGGTTTTGCCATGTTGCCCAGGCTGGTCTCAAACTCCTGGGCTCCAAGTGATCCGGCCACCTCGGCCTCCCAAAGTGCTGGTATTACAAGCATGAGCCACTGTGCCAGGCTGGTGTCATTCTTTAACTTCACACCAACTGACACCGTTGTTTCTCTGGGTGCTCTGGCACCTCCCATGGCAGGAGAGATCGACTCCCCTCTGCAAGGGCCTCATAGTTTAGCTCTCCGCCAGCCTTCAAGCTGGTGCCCTGAGTACTTCGAGACTTTCTGTGGGCACAAAGGAAAGGCCCAGACAGCATTTCTCACGCTTGGAAATGCAGACACACTGTGAGCCTGTCTCAGGTATGAGTCCCAGCAGCCAAAGGGTTGTTTTTAAGTGCTTCCCCCCTGCAGATTTGAATCTCATCCTCAAACATAAAACGAAATGTTTACCAGCGCCGCCACACAAGCGTGAGTAGTTCAGGCACAGGCCAGAACACCACACTATCTTGTAGCAGGAGGAGCGGGGGCAAAAAGCCTTGGGACTTCTGTCCCTCCCCAGTTTGAGGTCCTAGGAGCAGGGCTGAGCAAGGGGCACTAGGAGCGCTGCTCGGCTCCTAGGTGGAAGTAGAAAGGCAGGCTCATCTCTGAGGACCTGGGGCTTCCTCAGCTCCTCAGTTCCCACCTTCTCAGAACCAGATGCCAGGCACCAGCCCCAGGGGCAGATTGGAGGGACCCACCCGGCCCACCCTGAGCCCTGGCCTGGGTCCCGAAATCCACCATGATGGGCAAGTTACGTCACTAGGGCCCAGCCTGCTGCAAATGAGGAAACCCCCGCCCCAACCAAGGGGCTGTGAATTTCAGAAGGGGAGTTTTTGGCCACAGAACCAGTCCTACAATGAATCAGGGATGAGCAGAGAGGCCCCATGAAAGCCCTTCCCCTCATCCCTCATCTGTCTCTGCCATGTACCCATTTTCCCAGGCCACTACAAGCCCCAAGAAGGGAGGTGACTTGCTCACACTCAGTGGGTGCAGGGGTGCTGGCGGCTGCCCACAGTGGGTGGGCATCCCTGAGCGGGTGAGAATCCCGGAGGGAGGGAGAGTGGCTGGATCACTGCACAAAGGGTCTTGTACGTGCAGGGCGAGAGGCACCAAAGCTCCGCTTAGAACAGGAACAAGAATCTCCAGTTTATAAGGGTGCCCTCTGCCCGAGATGCTGCCCTCTGAGCTAGGTCCACCCTGGGGGCCCCTCAGGCCTGCTGGGGGTAGGGAGAGGGAGGCAAGGGATGCAGGGTGGGGTTGCTTTTAACCTCCCTCCCCCACCTACCTCCTGCTTCAGCTTTTTCCAAAACCATGGGCCAGGAGGAGAAAGGGGAGAAAAGGAGAGAAATTCTAAAATTCTAAAAACAAAAGACCAACTTGACCACGATGGGGAAACCCTTTAAGATGTCGGTAATAACAGAGCAGTGAACAAAGACTAAAAACAGCAAAGCTGACAAGGAAAACCACAGGGGCCCACCAGTGACCCCAAAGCGAGGGGATATACTTTCACCACTCACAACGGATGCACTCGGAGGAGCTGCCCTGCCACGCCCAATCCCAGACAGCTCTGAAGGCTGCAGTCATGGGGGCAGGGGGTCCCAAGCGGTTCCTTGATACTGTCTCCCGTAAACAGCATGCTATTCCCTGCAAGTGAGGCGGCACTCTGACGCCCCCGCCTTGGGACAGTGACTTGGACCCATCTAGCCTACCTCCCGAGAGCTCCTGAGAGCATGGCCCTGTCTAGCCCTGGTACCCAGCAGAGGCTGGGAAAGAACTCGCTCCGTGAATGGATGACCATCAGCAACCCTGAGATGCCCCACCTCCACCAGAAGCTCTGCAGCCCCAGGCTCTGTCCCCCTGCTGGCTGATAACACCACCCCCATTGATATCCCAGGAGCTCCTCTGTGTTAAAGGAGGCCAGGGGAGGCCTCCAATAACTTGGGGTTCCTGCTGCCCCCCACTATCCTCACAAAAGGAACAGGGCGAGCTCTCTGTAGGCTGCAGAACTATAGTCAGTTTGGAGCCCCAAAACTTTGGAGCCCAAAAGTTTGAGTTTTATGACCTGGGCGAGTCACTTCCGCTCTCTGAGCCGCAGTTTCCACGTCTGTAAAATGGGGTTAAAAGACCTACCTCTCTGGGCTGCTGTGAGGATGAGATGAGATAACACACAGGAAGGTGTTCTCGCTACATGAGTGTTCCCAGTCATTCTTAGGGCCAAGAGGTATTTACTGGATATCTGCTCTCTGCCAGGACCTGGCTCTGCCCAGGGGACCCAGTCATGAGCAAGACGGAGGAGTCCTGTTGGGACAAAACAGAAAATGAGAGTGAGCAAAACACCCTAGGCTGCAGCCACCACCCACACCCAGGGAAGCTGCATGGGGACCCGGGTCTCCCAGCTCCTGTGCCTTGCTCCTGGAGGCCATCTGGGGTGGCCCTGCTCCCTTGGCAGTGCCCCTGCCCAGGCAAACACAGCCAACCCCTCATCTGACTTTGGGAGGTGCCCACACTAGAAACTCCCTCTTTCTAGGACCCCATGATGGAGCTTACTCAGCTGGAGGGAACAGGGCTGCAGTTTGCCATCGAAGTCACTCAGCAAATTAGTCAGAGGAATCTCTCCGGCCTGAGAGGGAAGGGGCCCTTCTTGGCCCACCCCTCCTTCCTCTGCCGGCTGATGTGTTGTTGGTCAAAAGTGATCCAGTAGACGCTTCACCTCTGTAGAGAGGCTGCCAGCCCTGGAATAGGCAGGCCCGAGTGGTGGAGAGCCCCGGTCCTGGAGACAGACCATCCTGAGTTTCAACCTTTGCTCTGCCTTTTACTAGCTGTGTGACCTCAGGCAAGGAACTTGACCTTCTTGGGTCCACTTTCCCTAATAATAGTCATTCCAAGCTCATGTGGCTGTGGTGAAGACCAAACAAGGTAATTGATGTGAAGCCCCTTGCATAATACTAGGCATGGGTGAGCTGGGAAGTTAATTTGTGTATATTTAACAAACACAGGACCACAAACTCTTCCAACTACGTTAAAAACAGTAACCATTTAATCCTTACAAGATTCCAGTGAGACAGGCAGTGTTGTCATCCTCTTTTTTTTTTTTAAATGGAGTCTCATCCTGTCACCCAGGCTGGAGTGTAGTGGCATGATCTCAGCTCACTGCAACCTCTGCCTCCTGAGTTCAAGCGATTCTCCTGCCTCAGCCTCCCGAGTATCTGGGATTACAGGTGCGCGCCTCCACACCCAGCTAATTTTTGTATTTTTAGTAGAGATGGAGTTTCACCATGTTGGCCAGGCTGGTCTCCAACTCCTGACCTCGTGATCCACCCGCCTCAGCCTCACAAAGTGCTGGGATTACAGGCGTGAGCCACCGCGCCTGGCCCGTCATCCTATCTTACAGATGATACCAAAGAGGGTAAGTGACAAAGAGGGTAAGTGACTTACGAACCAAAAAAGGGTAAGTGACCTGCCAAAGCCACAGAGCTACCAAGTGGCGGGAGCAAAATGGAAACCCAGGCTCTCTTCTCTCCTATTTCTTCCCATCTTTCTCCTTCCAGTTCCTGGTTTTAGAAAAAGTTGAAGCCTGTGAGGGGTGGCTGGCTTAAGAATAATCCCTCCCTCTGGTCTCTGTCCTCCCTGGCCCCAGAAGGCCTAAGGCTACCAGCCACTCCACTAGGCTGCCTCTCCAAAAAGAAGGTGATGTTGTTGGTATGAGGCCCCCTTGAGATCAGACTCTTACAGAGACCACCCCTGCTCTAGCCTCCAGCCCCACTTTGGAGCCAGAGGTGTCCAAACCTTTGCCCTCACACTCACCTCAGAGCCTGCAGCTGGTCAGATGCCTGCAGTAGGCTCAACCGGGCCAAGTGATGGGCAAAGCCGCACAGGAAGTAGAAGGGACTGCTCACAGCCTCAGAGGGGCCAGGAGGGCAGACAGCCCCTCCGTGGCTTCCCTCCCTAGAGAGCCCCCAGCCTCTGCTCATACACCTCTGGTGACAGGGAGCTCACTGCCTCTGCTGCAGCCCGGCCGGGCCATGGCTGGCCAGCTCTGACTGCTAGACGTGCTTCCTCAAGCCGAGATGAAATCTCTCTGTGTAATTTCCTCCCATTAGTCCTGTCTCTGCCCCCAGGCCCCTACATGGCCAGCCGGCTCCTCCAACCTGCAGACATCTGGAGATGGCCATCTCTTGGCAAGAGGAGTCACCACTCAGGCTGAACGTCCTGGCAGCCTCAGCCTGGCCTCAGAAAGCAGGATTCCTGGTGCCCTCCCCACCCTGGTCCCCACTCTCCACCCATGACCCCTGCAAGATTGCAGGATTGCAAAGGCAGCTGCTTGCTCAGGCAACAGATGCTACGCACCATGACAGGCCTGGTCCTGAGCTCAGCCCTGCTGCCTGGGAACAATAAGTGACAACAGTCACCACTCAGCAAGTATCTACTCTGCCCTAGACATTGGGCTAAGTACTCTACAAGCAGGAACTCATCCCATCTTCCCAGCTCTTTGAGACAAATATTACTCTTACCCCCACTTAACAGATGAGAAAAAGAAGGCTCCAGGAAGGAGGTGGCTTGCCCAAGGTCCCGCTCACACTGAGTAAGTGGAGAAGCTGATTTCACACCCAGGCTATGAGTTTCAAGCTCAGCTCTTGACCAACAGAAAACAAAGACACAGTAGCAGAGGGACAGGAGACTCACTCACAGGAAACAGAGGCCAACAGCTCAGGATATGATGGTGGCTTCAATTCTAAAGGCAATGGGACTCCTGAAAGGAGAAAGTATCTCTGCAGACCTGGGGAGGCGGGGAGGCTTCCTGGATTAGGAAGAGACCAGGAATGGGCCTTAAAAAGAAAAAGACGCCTCAGACTGCAGAATGCCCAGCTAACAAACGAACTGGAAACCCGTCCGTCCCCACTCCCAACCCCCACCCTGGGAGCCTGAAGAAACACATTGGACCATTATGCAACAGCCCCATCCCCTGGGCAGAAAGCATTTATTAAGTGCCACAGTATGCTTGGCCCATGTTAGTATCCAGCAGGGCCACAGATGAAGGTGCCATGATCCCAAGAAGTGAGAATCCATTTGGGCAGGCGGGAGGCCTGGTTAGAGCTGTGGTGAGCAGTGACTACAGGATCTGGTACAGGTCCTCTTCAAATTTACCCTGCCCACCACATCCCGTTGCTCCTTCCCCTACTACCCCTGTTGTCCTGGGCTGGAGAGGGGTGAATATGGAATAAGAGGGTGAGCTTTCCTCGGGGCACTGAGCCAGGAAAGTCTTGAAGCCCCATGCAAGGCAGTGGGTCATATACTGGGAGGTAGTCTATTCTAGGAGAGAGGGCAGACAGGGAGAGCCAGTGTCCTGGGGAGGGAATACTTGGAGGAATTGTCCTAGGTGGCAGGGGTTGGAGGACTGCAGGAACTGAGACATGAAAAGGTGCCATTCTAGGCAAGGTTCAATGGATGGCCAAACTCTCCCCCAGGGCCTAGTTCACCTAGGTCCCAGGGACCCTATGGGGTCAAAGTCCACCATCACCCAGAGTGTGGCTTACTGCCCCACCCGGAAAAGGCCACATCCTCTTTAATCCCTCTTCTCTCCTAGGCTGACCTAGGACCTCCTTCCTCCAGGAAGCCCTCCCTAACTGCCATGTTGTGTGCCATGACATGCATAAAACAGCCAGGAGGGTTTCTGAACCCCTGGCTCCCAGAGCCTCTTTAGCGCCTGATGTCTTCCACAAGATGGTGAGTTGCCTGACGGCAGGTACGGGGCCTGCTAACTACTTCCTGGATTCTAAGTGATCACTGCTATGGATGATCGATCCATCCTTCCATTCAGCCATCCATCCAAAAACTTCTGAGCACCGCAGGTTGCCAGTTCTGTGCCAGGCCCTAGGGATAAGCAACAAAGCCCTGTATAGCCCTGTCTTAAAAAGCGATATTGAATAGTTCTTTCTCAATAAGACATTCCTCTCTCAGTGTGTCTGAGGCTGTCTCCCCAGGCCACATAGGATTTAGTGCAGGCGTATTCCTCTGTGAAGCTGCAGGTGACCCCCACATGAACACCAGGCCTTGGTGTGCTCCACCTTCTGCTGCATTTGTGACGCCGCTTGTCTCTCACCTCTGGTCTCAAGGCCATAAGCTCTTCATGGCATCCTTAGAACTTAGAGACACCTGGCCAGGTGCGGTGGCTCACGCTTGTAATCCCAGCACTTTGGGAGGCCAAGGTGGTTGAATCAGCTGAGGTCAGGAGTTCGAGACCAGCATGGCCAACATGGTGAAACCCCATCTCTACTAAAAATACAAAAATTAGCCGAGCGTGGTGGCAGGTGCCTGTAATCCCAGCTACTGGGTAGGCTGAGGTAGGAGAATTGCTTGAACCTGGGAGGCAGAGGTTGCAGTGAGCCGAGATCGTGCCACTGCCCTCCAGCCTAGGCAATAAAAGCAAGGCTCCATCTCAAAAAAAAAAAAAAAAAAAAAAGAACTTAGAGGCATCTGCAGCTTCCAGGTGAATTTGGGCCCAAAGAAGGCAGAGGACTGACTTGACTTCACTCGGCAAGCCAGTGTTGGGTCAGGGACTAGGACACAGGCTGGCACTCCCGACCCCTTGGACAACTGGTACACCCGGCAGCCTAGGACCTGGCACACAGTGGCCACTCCACGTTTGCCTTCGCTGTCGCCACCTTGGTGTCTCTGACTCTAGACTCCTTCCTGGGGAAATTCAAGCCTAATGTTTCCTTCTGGTGAGGGAACCCCAAACCCATTCATCAGGAACAATGGCTGGCACAATGTGGGAAAAATAACCCATGGGAATAGTCCTAACAAGCCCTGTGAAGCTCTGGGGCAGCTCTTCTCATAATTTGCCCATCACCTCTCAAGCCAATTTGGCCAAGTTTCCTTAGGATTTCATCAGGAAATATGAACTGCCAATTTTGTTATTAAGTCTTTATTTTAATAACAATTCTTGGTTATTGTATGAAGTCCGAGGGATGGAGCAGGAGGGGAGAACCCACAGAAGAGTCCTTCCTTCCTTATGAAGAAAGAACTGACCCCAAAGCCCCCTTGCTTCATTTTAAGGGCAGCTGCCTGGTACCTGATGCAGAGTAGCAGCATCCCAGCAATTGTGTGTGCTTGCCTTTCTGTAGGTCACAACCACCTACATGCACACACATGGACACACACGCCCCAACAAACAGTGAAACTACACAGAGTTTCCAGAAAGCAAACCGTGTTTCTAGTAACAAACCACAGTCTACCTCTAGGACCTGTAACCGGGTTTTGCCCTGAGAGGATGCTCCATGGGAAGTGCTCCTGCCGAGAGCCAGCAGCCCAGCCTCCCGGCGGCTTTGGGCAAGCCCCAACAGGATGCCAGGCGGGCTGGTGAGCAGGAAGAGACGCCGCTCACAACCTCTCCTTGCTGTAATTTACTAAATCCATCTGGGGCTCCTTTGAGACGTTTTCTGGAAATGCCACATTTCAAGGGTCTCCCTGTCAGAAAAGGTCAGAGTTCACGTGGGCCTTTCATGTTAAAGGAGCTTGAAAGAAAAGGAAAGGAAATGTATATTTTCAGCTCTAGCCATGATTAAGTGGGCTCAGGCCATGAGAACATTCAGATGATTTACATGACGTTACATGAAGAGCCAATTAGCCTAACAACTTCCGAAAAATATCTCGTTCAAGAGCACCCATTAGACACTTGGAATGCACCAGGCTGCTGTTCTAAGCTCTTCACTAGGGTACAGTGGTTCATCTCGACTGCACTCCAACAGAGCAGGGCAGGCCTGCGTATGACATCCATTTAACCTATGGGGAGACTGAGGCTCAGAGAGGGTCAGCAATCTGCCTGGGGTCCCACAGCTAGTAAGTGGCACGGCAGAGATGGAAACTTAAGACTGCCCAAATCTAAAGCTGGAGCTCATCTGCTCCAACAACCCTCAAGCCTTGGGAGTCCTGACTTAGTCCTGTTTCCAGCATCTGACTAGTGCAAGCTCATTTGCGTGAAGATGAAGCCTTATTAAATCACCAGCCCTGGCCTGGTCTGGATGAATCCAGAAGACTCTGGGGCCTCCTTGCAGCTGGTCCTGGTCCTGAAACTCCCCGGTCACCTCCAGGGGGGCAACCACAGCAGATTGCACTCACTACCCTGTGGAAGAACCCCAGTGTCTATCATCTGTGTATGTGATCTGAGCCAATTCCCAGAACAGGTGGCCTCGGGTGGGCTCAGCAGAGAGATGGTACACACTGAGATCTGTCTGGTTCAAGGGAGAGATTCTAGGCCCTCTCTGCCAGCAAAGGTCTTGGGCCCCCTATACAGACCACCAAGATGATTCCCTAATCCTGTTGATGGCCCCCTTCATGCAACATGAGCCACCCAGAAAGTCAGGGCTCCATATTAGTGACAGCTTATTTGTCAGCATTTGTCTGCCAAGACCACAAGGCAAATAAGGACTCCCTCTGGAATTTTATAATGGAACACTAGAGTGTGATAGTTAGGATGTGGGCTCAGGAGTCAGACTGCCTGGGTTTCAAATTCTGACACCTTCATTTTCAAGCTGTGAGAACTTAGGTGACTTCATCTCTCTGAGCTTCAGTTTCCTCATTAGTCAAATGGGGATACGAGTCCCTATGTCACAGGGTTGGTGTGATGATTAAATGAGATAATGTGTGTGAAGCTCTTGACAGGATGCCTGGCACATAGTAATCACTCAGTATATGAGGTTGGTCGTTGTGTAGACGATGGTGAAGGAATCAGTGCTGACTAGACCAGGGACTCCTGTGGGGCCGCACCAACTTCTGGGGAACAAATCAGAGCTCTTGTTCCTTTCCAGCTTTCCAAACCCTCCTAAGCCATCCAGGCCCACATGAAATCTACCTCCTTCAGGAAGCCACCCTGACTACTCTAGTCCACATTGATCTCACCATATCTGAGCTCTTTCTGTCCATTACCTGTATAGACTACTCTAGCACCTAAATCGGCTCTAATAACTCTTCAGCTTCTCAAAGCAGCCAATGGCTCCTGGAAGGCAGACACCTCTAGCCCTTCCCTCTCCACAGCCCAAGCCAGGGCTAGGTACACAGTAGATGATCCCTTAGCAAGCCTTCAGACTGATTTCAGTGTGGCTGTGGATGCCTGTGACTCAGCCCTTCTCTCCCTCACGCCTCCTCACAGTCCCACTCTCCCTACTCACCCACCCTCTCCTCTGGTTCCAGCCAGCAGGGTGGGGAGTTGGAGCTATGACCCCATAGGACAGTTGTTCCCAGACTATAAAATGTCCAAAGAAACTTGAGGGTGGGGGAGTTAACAGATGGGGAAAAAAATGTTCCTTATGTTCTTTCACCAAATAAAGACATGAAAAAAAACACTTGTCCCACCACCATTTTAGTAAAGAAAGGATGTTTTCACACCAATAAAGCAGTAAGGGCATAATCCTTGATTAAAGGCTAATACGAAGCTGGAAAGTTTTAACCTTATTGAGAAAACAAAACAAAACAAAAAGAACCTCACTGTTGTTGTGACTTTTCTCCTTTCTCCAAGGACTGGAGAACACTTCAGCCTCCACTGATCTGTGTCGGTGGAACTCATGGGTCTGGGGACAGCTATTCTGGAGGACGTTCCTGCTGAACCAGGGTTCCCTACAAACACATGAGGACCCCTAAAGCCATTGGGTTGGGCAGATCCGGATTCCCTTTCAGCTGTCCCAGAGGAGGCTCACCCTATGCCAGACCCTACCTATAACCTCAGGAGTTGAGGTGGCGGAGGCTCTGAACTCCCGTCCCTGTACCTCTCCCCTCCGGGCAGGGCCGAGCCCCCCCTTCCCCGCCAATCCGGAGCAGATGAGGCGAGACTAAGCGGCAAGCCCACCCTGGGAAGAGGCTGGGGAGACCTAATGGGCAGGGTCCCCCTCATCTCCATCACCAAGCTGAGCACTCGTGCCCATGCCACCCCCCAGCCCCAGCCTGGGGAAAGGAGGAAAAGTGGGCACCCTAGCCCGGAGGTGGCGGGGGAGGGGGGTGTGGGGGCTGGTGTCCGAGACACCCGGCTGGGCGGGCACAGATAGGATCTGAACACAGGGAAGCATGGCCTAGCTCTTTGATCCACAGCCAGCCACGCTGGGCCTGGACCCGGAGGGAGGCACGGCTGTCTTCCGGCCCGGCTTTGCACCGCTGCCAGGGGTCCTGTGGGGCCCTCAGAGGGAGAGGCGTCCAATACCCGGCCCTCCCCCAAATACCCTCTATCCCAACTGCTCTCAGAAGAGGCGTGAGCGTCTACAGTGAACCCAGCACAGAAACCTGCTAGGGGAGCTGCTGTTGACTGCATCGCGATCCAAAGGACCGGCGTCTTTTGTAGATGCAGGGGCTGAGCCAGGCCAAGCGCGCCGTGGAGGCCCGCGTGGACGCAGACCCGGGTGCCATACAGATGCGCTGGAATCCAGGCACTTTCCCGCGCTCCGCAAATCTAGATGTTTCAGCCTGGATCGAGCGAGGGTTAGAGGGTTAGTCAGGCCAGGGTCAACTTCAGAGTCATGGGCTCCCTAAATGCGACTTCTAGGGTTGAGTTGCTGTGGACGAGCGACCCATGTCGGAATCCCGCGCCCACGTGGCTGCCCAAAGTTCCGAGTCTCCGGGCTGCAGGTTCTAGTCACGGAACCGAGTTGGGAGAGTCATAGGGGCTGGGACTTGGAGGATCGGCTGAGGTCCGGTGCTCTTGGCTGTGTTCGCGGCTCGGAGCCGTCGCCTGACTGAGGGGCCCGTCACAGATGTGTGATGTATAAGCTCTGCACGCAACAGGAGCTCAATAAATGTGCGAAGGGGGGTATACTTATGTTCGCACTGTATGCAGGCGGCCTAGAAGGAAGTCCCTGATTGGCACAGGGATGGAGGATGGGGCAAGAGCCGCAACAGCGCCGCGGAGTTCCAACGCTGCCGGTTCCCTGGGGTACGAGCACAGCCTCAAGCAGCCTCAAGCCCTAGGAAGCCCCCAGTTCAAAGCACAGGGCGCATTGGAGCCTGGGCACGATACAGTTCACACCACGGCTGCGATGGTAAGCCACGCCCAAGTCCCAAGGGCCTAGGGGACCCCCGCCCTCCACAGCCGGAGGAGAAACCTGGGCGCAGAAAGCAGGGGGAATATCTGGTTGTAGGTGAGTAAGCGGGGTCAGGAGTTCCCGTTAGAGTCTCTGCGTTTCGGGAGAAGGGTGATCATTCCCAGGCTTGTCCGACGTCTCTCTCAGGGTGCGCTCCGGAAGAGCGAGCCCTTTAAGGCTATGCCGAGTGGGCGCGTCCCGGCCTCTCCCGGGAGAGGAGAGGCGGGGCGGACCTGTGTCCCGCCCCCGGCCCGGCCCGCCCCCAGTGCCCGCCCCGCCCCCGGCACTCGGCCGGCGGCGCCTTTGATGTTCCGACCCGCCAGCTCGCGGAGCCGCTCTGCCCCGCGCCCTAGCCCGCGCCTGCAGCCCGCCCAGGCGGAGTCAGCCCGCGCTCCGCCCGCCGCGATCCGAGCTCGGAGGTTCGGACTCCGGGCTCGCCGCCCCCCGGGCCGGCTCCGCGCCCCGCACTCCCGGCGCCCAGCGCCCCGCGCCCCGGCGGGCGGAGCGCACCATGCCGCAGCTGGACTCCGGCGGGGGCGGCGCGGGCGGCGGCGACGACCTCGGCGCGCCGGACGAGCTGCTGGCCTTCCAGGATGAAGGCGAGGAGCAGGACGACAAGAGCCGCGACAGCGCCGCCGGTCCCGAGCGCGACCTGGCCGAGCTCAAGTCGTCGCTCGTGAACGAGTCCGAGGGCGCGGCCGGCGGCGCAGGGATCCCGGGGGTCCCGGGGGCCGGCGCCGGGGCCCGCGGCGAGGCCGAGGTGAGCCCCCGCCGGCGCCGGCTCCTCCCCCGCGGTCGCCGCGCCGCGCCGCCCCAGTTGCGCGCGGCCCTCGGGGTCTCCAGCGCGCAGAGCGTCCCTGCCCCGGCGTCGGCCCCGACCCCCGCGGTCCCACCGCCCCTCACTCCCCTCCGGTTCTCCCTCCAGGCTCTCGGGCGGGAACACGCTGCGCAGAGACTCTTCCCGGACAAACTTCCAGAGCCCCTGGAGGACGGTGAGTTTCTGCCCGGCCCGGCTTCCCTTCGTCGCGCTCAGGCCCTGGCCTCGGTGGGACGGGGACGCCAAGGACCGCGGGGAGCCGGGTGCCTCCCCCACCGCAGCTCAGGAGGCGGCAGAACCCAGGGGTGGAGAGTGGGGGGCGGGCTTCCCGGGCGCCGCCGGGTCGAGTCACTTCCGGTGCCCTGACCTTTATAGGAGTAAACAGACCCCCGCCATCCCCGCCTCCCCTCCTGCCCAGGTGACTGACTAATCCGCCGCCTTCAGGAGACAGAATTGGCCAAGGTTTCTTGGTTGGAGGGCGGGGGGTGGGAGGTCAAGTAGGGGCCACCTCGGGGAGGCCTGCCCTCCAGGTCCTTCCCCTAAAACTTGGCACTGCCGATACTCCCAGCCCGTTCCTTCCCAAGTCAGGAACTTGCAGGGGACCCCTTGGCAATTCTTTTTCTCTCAAGAGCAGACAGCCTTCAGTCCCAGCCGCTGCCAGGGCTGGTGTGTCTGACCCAGCTGTGGTTTTTCCAGGCCTGAAGGCCCCGGAGTGCACCAGCGGCATGTACAAAGAGACCGTCTACTCCGCCTTCAATCTGCTCATGCATTACCCACCCCCCTCGGGAGCAGGGCAGCACCCCCAGCCGCAGCCCCCGCTGGTAAGTGGACCCCGCAGCCAGTGCCGCCCTGTGCTTGCAGCCTCCTTGACCAGGTAGGTGAGGCACCGGCAAGAGACTTCTGCCTGGAACAAAATAGACGAGACTCCTGTGCTGGTCTTTTCTCCCATACACACCCGGTGGGATCTGAACCAAAAGGAGAACTTTGCTGAAGGAAGGAGGGGCCGCCCTGGGGCACCCCCCTGCCCTCTGCCTCTTGGCTTTTGTCTTCCCAGCTTGCTCATAAGCAGGTGCAGGCTCTGTCCTGGTGCTGGGTGATGCCAGGGTGGGGTCTTCTTAGAGAACTTTTGAGCCGAGACCACCCTTGCTCCTCGCTGCTCTGATCTGAGCTCAGAGCTTTGCAATTAACTTTCTAACTAGCCCAGGAAACCCTGAGCCTCCTTGGCGCTTGGAGGAATGGGCAGGAAAGCTGATCTGTTCAGGTCCCCTGGTTGTGCAGGAGAAACGTGCTGTGTTCGGTCGGCTGTGTCCTGACGGGCGTGAGTGTACCGTTGCCAAAGAAGGACCCTGAACACCATGTGTGGAAAGTGGGTTCTTAGGAAACTGGCTTGGTCTCAGACATACCAGGAAGGGTTGGCAAAGGTGCTACAAATCAGTGATGTTGAGAAGGGACCAGTTTAATTAATTCGTGAATTAAATATTTTTAAGTCCCAGTGCTTTGAAAAGATTTCATGATCTTTACAAACCATGCCCATTGGTACAGATGACCTAAAGTGTGAAGAGCCTATTCTGAGTGTTTTGGAGCAGTACAGCTGCGCTTTTAAAGAAATTCCTATTCGTGTTTCACACTCTCCTCAGTTGGTCCAAGTTGGGGTGAAGGTACGTGGAAGGTTTGGAGGACTGTGGTAAGTGAGTGTTGGGTGTGAATGTAAGCCCAGTGCAGGTGGGGCTGGCAGGCTGGAGGCTCGCATGGCTACAGTGGGGTCACCAGAGGGAGGAGAGTTAAGTGCTAGGCTATTTCAGACCAGGAGTGAAGAGGGTGGTTCTGAGAGCTGCTGCATGCCAAGCCAGTGGGAATGAGAAGACATATAGGCTTCTTTCCAGAAGCCTAGGCTGGAAAGCCTATTCTATGGCTAGCTCTAGAAATGAGCTCCTTGCCCTTTGGGCCCTTATCTGTAAAATGAGTATGTTTTTCGAGTAGTCTCTGTATCCGACTTTCTGCTCTGGGGTGGCTTGGTATATGAGGTGGTTCACTTCCTTCCAAGTCTGTGAGATGGGGGGTGTGCCCCCCAGCATTCCCCCGCTGATGTAGTGACTACATCCAGAGAACTCACCCTGTGTGAGCCCATGCTTAACAAAGATGCGTTTTGGATCCCTACAAGATGTAAATAAACCCTTAGATTTGGGACTAGGTTGACATAACCCACCAGTGCCAAACTTCCAACAGGTGTGCCACTTGCATAGGGGCTGGGGTCACCGTGGAACCATGATTAGACAAAAGGCCTAGGCCCAAGGCTCTACTCCAGCCTCCCGGGGCTCCACAGCAGCACAGGGAAAAGGCTTCCTTTCGGAGGTCATCTCATGGTGTGGGCAAGTGCTGGGAGAGTATCTGGAGCAGGGAGGGCTTCGTTCTGCTGTCAGGGTATGGGTGATGGGACCATTTGGTGTCCTTTGGGCCACATGGGTCAAGAGTAGGCTCTAACAGGACAGTGGAGGAGGCACACCACCACTGGCCTGGGTCATTTATTTTTCACCTTTCAGTCTTTCTCAAGCTACAGCAGATACATTTCTATGTATCGCACCTGCTCCTATAGGTACAAATCCCCTTGCCCTCCTCCCCGCGCAGCCACAGTCTCCACTGTCTGGCTTCTGGCCACACAGGAGGAGGAAAAGGACGGGCTGTGACACTGGCTCTCTGTGCCCTGGCCTCAGCTGCTCTGTGGGGCTGCAGAAAAGGACAGAGGCAGAGGTGTAAGTTGGAGTGACACTCAGTGAGGAAGCTGTATGTGAATGTAGGAGAACCTCTTTTAAGCAAACCTGCCAGTTATAAACACATAGCAAGTCAGAGCATTTGCTTGCATTACCTGAAGACGTGTGGGCATTGAAAATGTGGTTGGGTTTTACCAAGCAAAGTGAATCCACCCCCACATTTTAGAAGCATATTTATTATTGGATTCAAGGTTCATGTGTCTGGAACCAGGAATGATCTTCTTTTCTTGGGTCAGGAGCCCCTTGCAAGGGCCCTGAGGAAAAACTGCCTTTGGAAGATTTTTCCAAAGCTGGTCACTTTCCCAAGCCCATCTTTAAAGGACAGACAGCTTGCTGCTCAGGCCCTGCCACAGGCCTTAGATCCAGGCCCCCTTGCCCTTTGCCCGGCCCTCTCTGAGGGCACCTATGTGGTCAACACTTATGCTGAGAGGCTTGAGGCCAGTCATTGCACCTCCCTCAAGAGCAGGGAAAGCCTATACCAGGGACCTGCTCTGCCCATGTGTGGGTAGGATGCCCATGTGGCTACTGTGTTAGAGACCTCAAAACAGGCCAGCTCGAACCTTGCCCGGAGCAATAGGCTGAATGACCACCCCACAGCCAACTGCCACGGGACACATTTTTTTTTTTCTTCCAAAAAGGTTCCTTCTTTTTGGTAGTTGGCTTCTTTTAAGCTTGTTTGAGGAAGAAAAAATTAGGTCAAAGTTTATTCCATGAACACTGTCAGGCACCTGATTGATGTAGGCTTGCAGGCAGTTACTGGCCTAGACCAGTAACCAGGGTTTTTTTGTTTTGTTTTGTGTTTGTGTTTGTGTTTTTTTAGAGACAAGGTCTCACTCTGTTGCCCAGGCTGGAGTGCAGTGGTGTGATCTTGGCTCACTGCAGCCTCAAACTCCTGGGCTCAAGCCATCCTCCCACCTCAGCCTTCTGAGTAGCTGGGACTACAGGTATGCACTACAATGCCCGGCTAAGTTTGTTTTTGTTTCTGTAGCAATGGGTCTCACTGTGTTGCCTGGACTTTGGTTTGGTTTTCTCTGCTCTGCTCTGAGACCTGAAAGTAGGTGGAGGTGGTGAGTGGGGAGATAGTGAGCTGATCTTAGGCTGTACTTTGGGGGGATTCTGGGATGGGTAAGGCATCATTCCTTAGGCAAACTCAGGCTCAAACTCAGTGTAGTCAGTCTTGTCATATCCAAAATTGATATGAGGCTGCATTGAGCTGTGGCTTCTTCTATGAGCTCTACTTGGAGTCTGTAGCTTAGACAGATGCCGAGCCTTTTGCCATTTTGATGAAATATCCAGAATAGACACATCCATAGAGACAGAAAGAGGATTAGTGCTTGCCAGGGGCTGACGGAAGAGGGGCCCAGGGAGCGACTGCTAATGGGTATGGAGATACTTTCTGGGGTGATGAATAGGTTCTGGAATTAGATCGTGGTGGCAGCTGCACAATCTTATGAATATACTAAAAGCCACTGAATTACATAACCTTTAAAACAGTGTATTTTATGATATGTGAATTACATCTCAAATTAAATAAAAAGGCTGAGGCCTTTGGCTGTTGCAGACTTGGGGCCATGTGTCCCTGTCCCTGATCTCCACAGTTGTCCAGGTGCCTGGGGATGCCCCAAGCCAGGGGGTCAGGCATCAGGTGTCAGGTCCAGCAGAAGGAGCCTCACTGAGGCAGTGGACTCATGTTGGGGCTCCCGGCAGGTCCAGAGCGTGCCTGGGGGAGCAGGAGGTGAGGGTATGAGCAAGGCTCCAGCAGAGGAAGGAAGTGCTGCTGATGCACGGCCAGCCTGTCCGAGGAGCTTTGCAGAGATGCATAGGTGCAGGAGCACCCACCGGCCTCCACACGCCCCAGAGCGAGCTGTGGGCCTTGCTGGGAAGCGTCAGTTATTGGTGTTGAGCACCAGCCCTGGTTGCAGTGAAGCCTGTTAGGAGGGAATTTGGCACCAAGCTTGGTACCAGGTACTGGGCCCCCAGACTGGAACCAGGCTCTACCCCGGGAGTGCCCAGCTGAGCCGAGGAGACAGATAGAGACCTGAAGCAGAGCTGGCGAGAGGAGCGCTGTCACTGAGGTGTCCCGGGCAGAGCCGGCCCCAGCCCTGGCTGTGAAGGGGGGCCCACTGAGGAGCACTCTGAAGGCCACAGGGTGTCCAACAGATGAAGACAGAGGAGGGACTGGCAGGCCCCAGGCTTCCCTCTGAACACATCCCAAACCTCCCCACTACTCTGCAGTCAGCACCCAAAGCCCCAGTCATCGCCATCTCTCACCCAGACAGCAGCAACAGCGTCCAGGGGACCCCTCCCTCACCCCTAACCCCCATCCTAAATCACAGTCCAGGCTTCACGTAGCAGCCACAGGGGGCCTTTAAAAACAGAGTCAGATCACATCTCTCACCTGATGAGACCCCGCATCAGCTTCCCATTGCTCTTGCAGTGAAGTCGAAGCCACTCATCACAGCCGAGTGCCTGGGTGGCCCCCGCCAGCCGCCCCTCATCACCTGCACCAGCCTCTTGCTGTCTCCCTGACAGCAGTCCCCTCCCTGTCCTAGGGGGTCTTACAGCCAGCAACTTCTTTCCACCCCAGGACTCTTGCACTGCTTCCCTCCGCTCGGAAGTCTCTTCCCCAGCCCTGCACATAGCCGCCACCTTCTCGTTCCTCACTCAGGGCTCAATTCAGATGTCTCTGCCTCAGGGAGCCTCCTCTGACCATTCCCAGTAGGACCCTCCTCATCCCTTGGCTCCAGCTGCCTTGCCAGCCCTGGCAACTCTTCGGGCTCAAACGGTTGGCACTGCTTTACAATGCACTCACCATGCTTAACCCTAAGAAAGGCCGGCTGTTCGTTTCCTCCTCTGCACAATGGGAGTGGTGAGCCCTCCTCCCAGATTTGGAGTGAGGACCAGCAGCAGTGCCAGGGAGGGGCCCAGGGAGGTGCCAGTGCGGCCTGGCCAGGGGGAGTCAGCCATGACTGAACCCTTGTCCCTTGCTGGCCTGGCTCCCCTGGGGCCAGTGGTTGCTCAGTTGTGGGCCCCACGTGGACTTGGGCACGGAGGGGTCTGGAGGTCTGAACCCTGGGACTGGGGACTCAGGTGTACAGGCCGCCTACTTACTGCCCTGCCTGACCCAGGATTCTTAGGAGGGGAAAGTGCTATCCCTGGGGCCAGGCAGGGAGCCACAGCCACTCACTGCATTCTCAGAATTCTATCCTACCACCCCAAAGATTGACCTGAAAGAGACTCCCCTTCCTCAGTCATGTAGAAGTCCTTTACATGAGATGTTAGAAGCTTAAGCTGTTTTGTTTCAAAAAAAAAAAAAAGATTGGCTGGGTGCGGTGGCTCATGCCTGTAATCCCAGCGCTTTGGGAGGCCAAGGTGGGTGGATCATTTGAGGTTAGGAGTTCAAGACCAGCCTGGCCAACACGGTAAAACCGGGTCTCTACTAAAAATACAAAAATTAGCCGGGCATGGTGGCACACGCCTGTAATCCCAGCTACTCTACTCAGGAGGCTGAGGCAGGAGAATCGCTTGAACCCGGGAGGTGGAGGTTGCAGTGAACCAAGATTGCGCCACTGCACTCCAGCCTGGGCAACAGAACCAGACTCCTCAAAAAAAAAAAAAAAAATGCAAAAAACCCTCATGGCCATCAGCCTGGGAAGCCGTGGCCACCCTGTGCGTGCCCCTCATTCTTGCCACGATGCCACAGGTGTGGGCAGCCTCCTTGCTTGCAGCCTCCCCTGTGGCTCTGGCTTGCTCCCGGGCTGCCTTCTTTCCCAGTGTGAATGATGTTCTGTACACATCACTCTTTCGTTTCCACCTTGACTATTTTCCTGAAGCATAATACCCAAACAGAATTATGGGGTCAAGAGGCAGGAAGAGTCGAGGCGTTTTGCTTCCCTGGTGCCCCAGTGCGCTGTAGGTTCTGAGCTGTGAGTGTCCCATGCTTACAGTGGCTCAGCACAGCTGATATGGAGTTCTGCCTTTGTTGCTCTGCATTGAATAGGTTTGTGGTGGGCAGTGCGACTGTGAGCTATTTTGAATTACCTTTCTTTCCTTGGAAGGCTGCGTAGTATTGGCTATCACATTTGGAAAATCTGCAGCCTCTTTTCTGCTGCTTCCAAGGTGGGACTTTGAGGGTGGCTCCCTCAAAGCCTTGATGCCTTTCAAAACCAGGAGAGCACCATGAAGGGGGCCGATCCTGCAGACCCCTGGTTAGAGCCAGGCTTCCTGCCCCACCCTGTCCTGGGGTCAGGGAGGGATGGCCGGGAATTTAGGGCGGTTTGCCCCTCCTCTGGAAAGTCGGGGTGAGTACTAGCTCAGCAGGGTAGGAAAGACCTTCCCAAGGCCCAGGGCTGGCAAAGAGCCCTGGATTGGTTGCTGAGACCTGGGATCCTTCCCCCCAGGCTCTACCAGGTTCCACCAAGCCAGTTTCCACGGCAGCACACGGGAATATTCATACCAGCACTGCCACCTCCTCAGCTACTCTGAGACTCAAGTGAGTGGGGCTGAAGCAGATGAGGGTGGCCCCCTTTCTGGGTCTCTGGAGACCATACCCCATCCCCAGCCCCTCCAAGGAGGGAGGTTTAGCTGAGCTTAAGCAGGGCTCTGGGGGTGCTGGTTTAAAGTCGCATAACTGCTGAGGTCAGGCAGGTCAGGGGTGGGCCCAGAGCCTCCTGGAGGTGCAAGGCAAGCCGCAGCCCCCCTGAGCCTCTGCAGGCTGTTGTGGTCCCAAAGCCATACAGTCACACCCCTCACACCTTGTGACTGGTGCTTCCTGCTGCTGTGTACAAACAAGGCTCTGGTGGAGGAAACAGGTGTTTTATCAGGTCACAGGGGCCCCCACCCCCAATGGTACAGTGCACAGATCCTCCTGCTGCAGGTGGGGACAGGGAGGCCAGATCAGGGAAGGGACTTATCCAAGGCCCCTTAGAGGAGTGGTCAGAGGGAAGGCGTTGAGTCTGCACGATGCACCCTCTGACACTGTATCTGCCATTCTTTGGCTGGGTGGCCCTGGGTGAGTTACTTAGCCCTCTGGGCCTTAGTTTTCTTATCTAAAACTGAGGATAACGAGGGTTCTCACCTGTATGGGTCAGTGTGGAATGGAAAGAGACAGTGTGTGAAACACCCAGCACACAGTAGGTGCCTCCTGAGTGGCAGCGGTGGTAGAGGGAAGGCCTCTACCAGGAGTGTGAGTGCTCCAAAAGCTGAGGTGGGACTGGGGCCTTGGCTGCACTTTCCTTTCCCAGCTCCCCTGGGGCAGTGCCCTCTGGCCTACCCTACCCTTGGGCCCTCAGCCTGTCGATAGACTACACATTCTCTGCTGTAATCTTGGGTCCATACCCCGACTGAGCCCCTTCTCTATACTTCGCCTGGCTCAGCATGTGGCGGGCTCCCTCTGCCCTTCCAGAGCTCAGTCCTGGGAGACAAAGAGACTTTCACTGGGAGCCTCTAAGTCGGCTCTGAGATTCTGCTGGAGTTGGGAAAAGGGCACAGAGGAGGGAGAGGCCAGTGGGGGCAGCAGGGGAGGCTCCTGAGAGAGGGGCCTGCACAGGTGAGAGGGGGAGAACACTCTGGGTGGGGGCCCCACTGGAACAAAGGAGGAGAGAGGCAGAGGCTGGCATGCTCCATCAGCAGAGGGGCAGACAGAGGCCCAGGGTCTACGAAGGATGTGCGGTGAGACTGGAGAAGAAGGTCCCAGCCTGTGACCTTGGTGCTGGGGCAGCGCTGGTTCCAGAGCCTGGGAGAAGCTGATGGGCGCATGCAGCATGTTGGCATCATGGTAGGGCAAGGCGGTACCCACCCACAGATGGTGTGAATTGGACATGGCGGACAAAGGCGGGGAGAGCCAGCTGCTGGGGCAGGGTGGATGCTAGGAGGCATGGGGATCATGGGAGGAACTCGAACAGAGCCAAGGGAGAGGTAGGCTTTGGGTGGAGAAGACCCAAGGGTGTTGGGCAGTGCAAGGCAGGGGTACCTCAGAGGTGAGAACTTTCCATTTTCCCATCCTTCCATTTGACCCTCATGCTCTCTCGGGGTTCGGGATCCTAGGGTCTGGCCCCCTGATTACTGAGGGGAACTCTACCCCAGAGGTCAGTGGCTCGCTCAGGTCCCAAGGCCCATTGGTGACTCAGCCAGGGTGTGGAGAGCATCTCTGACCAGCTCTGTCTCTAGCAGAGCTCCAGGGTCCCAGGGGCTTTGGCAGGGGTGGAGGGTGGGCATCTCTGAGAAACCAGGACATTGTCAGCTTCTTGGTTCAGGCAGTTTGCTGTCCTGTTTCGCAGACCTGTCATGCTTGGGGTCTGGACCTGGGAAACCGCCTTCCTCCCTTAAAAATGTGTGGCCTGCTTCTGCTGCTGCACACAAGCTGTCTACAGCCTGGGTGGGCTTGTCCTCCTCAGAGGGTTCCCCCTTCCCCTGCTTTCTGCTGGAACATGGGGCTCCTCTTGCCCAGTTCCCCAGGGAGTAGAGGGTCTCTGTCCCTTGCTGGATAGGGACTCTGGCCTGGGGTGAGCCTGAGTCTGGCCTTCTCCTGGGAGGAGGTCACCTGCCTGGGCTCTGCTAGCAGACTACTCTAGAGCCGGAGCAAGCCTGGGGACACAAAGCCCTCACCCCGCAGCCCCAACTCCATAGCTAGAACTCCCTAGAGATCAGAGGAGCAGACACTCTGCCAAATAAGCTTCCTCCTAACCCCCCCGCCCTGCCCCCCATTAAAACCACTAGCTTGCTCTTCAAGGGCAGGAAAGCTGTCTGGGCCCCACACCATGTGCTTCCAAATGATGAGTGTGCGGCAGAGGCTCCAGGCATGGATGGGCAGGACGTGGCCCCAGGGAACAGTGGGTGTGGACTTTGGGGGTTTACACGGTTAGGCCTGCCCCCACTCCACCATGTCTGAGCTGGTTTGGGTGCCAGTGGTGGCAAATCACCTCCTCCCAGGAAACCCAGTTTTCCCATGAGGGCAGGGAGCTGTGATGGGAAGGAAGCCATCCCTCCCCCTGCTGTGTGACCTCACGCAAATCTGTGAACCTCTCTAGGTCTCAGTTTCTTAAATGGGGTAGGAATCCCTGGCCATGGAGAGGCCTGTGTGCTGGGTGGGCCTCAGCCGGGGTTTGCTGGGCAGCTCCTTGCAAGCATTGCTCCAGAGCCAGCCTCCCCACCAGGCAAGAAGGGGTCATGGGGAGGGAGGGACAGGTGATGGGAGTCTAGGCCGAGGGATTCTGACTAACTCTGACCTGGCTCTGGTGGCAGCGGGCCCAGCCTCCTGGCCTGCTGGGCCGCCATCTGAAACGCATTACTGATGCTTTGTAAACTCCACATCATTTGGCCACATGAAAGCCTGGGACTTAAAAATAGCTGCTCCCAGAGGACGCCCCGCATTGGTGGGGCTCAGCTGACCTCTGCACGCACACCCACCCACCACCAGGCCACCTCCCTTGCCAGGGAGCCCCGACTGGCAGGGCCCCACCCACTCACCCTCCCAGTGTGGGCAGCCACTGCCTGGAGCCAATTTATCTGGGCACAGGTCTCACTCAGCTGGTGAAAGCTTCAGGCCCTGTGGCTGTACCCAAGGCAGAATGTCTGGGAGAGCCAGGAGGAGGCTGCTGAGGGTGAGGTGGTGGTCTCAGGACCCTTCCCCAGGCTTGTCATGCCTGGAATGCTGGTAGGAACCTTATTGGAAAGCTAGTGGAACCATCTTACAGAAGAGGACACAGTGGCCCCAAGGAGGGGGAGCACTGGGAGGGTGCTAGTCTGGTGTTTACTTGGCCACTGTCCAATGCTGGACGAGAGTCACTGCCAACATGTTTGTGAGAGTAGGGCAGGGCCTGCCCGGGAGACCCCGGTGTCCGGTGGAAAACCCGCTAAGCAGGAGGCAGGGCAGCACAGGCCTCTGAGCTGCTAGGGTTGACTCTTTGCCCTGCTGTGTGGGTTCCCTCTCCTTATGGTCTCTATGACCAACTGCAAACCACTCTTTTCCCTAAAAATAAACATGCTTATGGGACTGGGGGAAGCTTTGTAGCTATCAAAAGAAATAATAGGGTGTTTTAGAAAATTACATTGTGTTTTAAATAACCAGCATGAAAGTCATTAAGTTTGAAGTTTCATTCAAATCAGATGGCTCTGTGGCTGGCGTGGTGGCCAGGCAGGCAGAGGTGGGTGGGCCCTCTGAGATGCTGAGAGGCAGCCTGTGGAGAGCCTTGCGGCAGTGGCAGCAGTGAGGTCTCTGCTGGCTGGGTACAGCCAAGGTCCAGGCGGGCTGGCCACCGAGTGCGTGCCTGGCTGCAGCAGCCACCCCAGAGCTCGCTGGCAGCCTTTGAGGCAGTGGGCATCCCCATGGGCGGGGGTGTGGGGACAGATGAACCTGGGAGAGCCAAGGCCACAGGGTCGATGGCCATGTTGCAGGGGGTGGTGTTAGGGATGGAGTTGGGACCAGAAAGGGCCGGAGAGGATCTGTGGGGCCCAGGCCACATCTGTTCATTTCACCACTGGGTTCTCAGTGCCCACCCTAGGGCCTGGCACACAGTAGGTGCTCAGTAAGCAGTTGTTGAAAGAATAACAACAACTACAGTAGTTCATGTGTCAAGCACTTCCCAAGTGCCAGGCCTATGCCAGGGGCTTTTACTCATATCAAGATTGTACAAGTCGGTAGGGCACAGTGCCTCACGCCTGTAATCCCAGCACTTTGGGAGGCCAAGGCAGGCGGATCACGAGGTCAGGAGTTTGAGACCAGCCTGACCAACATGGTGAAACCCCGTCTCTACTAAAAATACAAAAATTAGCCGGGTGCGGTGGCACACGCCTGTAATCCCAGCTGCTCAGGAGGCTGAGGCAGGAGAATCGCATGAACCTGGGAGGCGGAGGTCACAGTGAGCCAAGATTGCACCACTGCACTCCAGCCTGGGCGACAGAGCTAGACTCTATCTCAAAAAAAAAAAAAAAGATCGTACAAGCCAAGAAAGTAGGTATTATTGTGGCCTCCCTTTTTGCAGATGGGGAAACTGAGGCTCAGAGAGGATAAGGAATGCGCTGATACCTGGCAGAGTCAGGATTTGAACTTTGGTCTGTTTTACCCTGAAACCCATGCTCCTCCCTGCTCTATCCCATTTGCTGTACAATGTGTGGAGATGGGGGCACTGCGGGCCAAGAAGCTGGGTGGTACCCCCAGCACACTGTCAGGTTCATAAGCTGGACCCAGCTGGATTCCTCTGGCCCCAGAGAAAGGCCATAGTCCTCTCACTCCCTCTCCAGGGGCACCTCATAGCTCTGGGCCTGGGTCAGGGATGACCCCTTTCCTCCCCAGACACCTGGCAAGTTCAGGGCTCCCAGGGCCAAAAGGGCTGTCTTTCTTACTTGAAAGGCAGGTGCCCAGGGCTTCTAGAAGGAATGTTATATGGAAAAGTATCCGTAAATGACATTAGGATTGATTCCGATTTGGTGCCTGATGGAAGGACAGTTAAGACCTGTCTACAGGTGGATCACTTCCTCTTTCTAGTGTTGGTCCTGATGCAGCTCAGTGCCTGCTGTTGGACTCCTGGGCCAGGCACCCTCCTCTGTGTGATCCCGGGCTGGGCTAGGGGGTTTCCTAGGCTCTGAGTCATGGGAAATGGCTGGACTGAGGCAGCTGAGGGAGTCTCAGGGTATGGGTGCGCCCGCCCACCTTATTCCCCCGTGGGAAAGCCGCTTAGGAACCAGAGCCGCTGCCAGCCCCACTGGGGCACGTTGAGGGCAGTTTCTTCTTCTCTCGCTGCCCCGCCGCCTCCCATCCTCTCTGGTCATTGCGGGCCAGCCAGGAGCTCAGTGATCTGGCCTGACAGGAATCAGGCAGTGGTCCAGAGGAAATCAAGGGCTGGCGGCCCCAACCTGGCACAATGCTGGCGTTCCTGAAAAGCCTTTGTCTTGGGACATACTTGCTTTTGATTTTTCTCCTTTTGTTTCATTTTGTTCTTAAGTAAAAAAGGAATATTAAGAAAAAAACCACAAATATTAGTTCATCTAATCCTCACAGCAACCCCATGAGACCTGGATGTTTTACAATGGAGACCCCCAGGCATAGAGAGACTTGCGCCTAGTGGGTACTGGAGGAGGGATTTGAGCCCAGACATCTGACTCGGCGTTCGCTGTCCCTCCCCTTACACTCCGTTGCGTCTTTGGCCGCGCACGTGTGTTGCAGCCACAGCTGGGTGCCTGGCTCCCCCGTCCCATCCCTTCCCACTCCTCAACCCCAGTTTGGTATTTCACTCTCTGCCCTGTTTGCGTCATGCTACACCCAGGTGTGTTTCTGAGAGTTGTCTGGGGCAGTTTTGTGTGACCCTCCCTCACTCGCCTCATGAAGGGCTCTCCTGAGGCTCCCATGCAGTTGGCACTGCCCAGCCTCCTCCCTCTGCTCACACTGGGTGTGAGGGCTCGGGCAGCAGCACCCCAGGGCCTGGTGCCTCCAGGAGCTCCTTTCCACGCCTTGTTTCCCTTTGGATAAATGGCTAGACAGTCCAGACAGAGCCCCAGGGGTCTTGACTGGCTATAGCTGGGGGAGTGAGCGCTTCATGACCGTGGCGGCCTCAGGGCAGGACTGTCCTCCTAGGGCTGGTGCAGGCTGCGGGACAGAACACATGACAAGACCCCTGTCTTGTCTTTGCTTCTCAGAGGCTACTAGATTAAATTGGGGCAAGAATGCAGGGCCAAGGCTGGGGAGGTGATCTCCAAGGCTCTCTCCCTCTGCCCTTGAGCCCCTGCCTTTCTGGGCCTTGCCTGGGCTCTCAGCTCTCACTCTCGGGCTTGGAGCTGGACAAGCCGTGGCGAGAGCACCCCAGCCTCCGGTGGCTGTCCCACCCCTCCTCACACATGGGGCCAGGGAGCACCAGCCAGACCCGGTGGGAAGGATGACCTCTTGCTTTTCTTTTGGTCATTTATGACTGAGAATCAAAATCACCTCCTTCAAGGACAGAGTGCCCTCACCTAGGGCCAGGGGGAGGTTCAGAGCCACACTGCTAGCCAATTTGTTTCAAGAAAAATTCTTGGTAGGCTGCTGCCAGCAGAAGTGCTGCCTGTTGAGGCCTGTCACTGAATGGTAAAGATCTGTGGCCAAGAACCCCAAAGGGCCAGATTCTAATCCAGATCCATCACTGCTTGCTGTGAGACCTCGGGCAAGATTCTTAGCTTCTCTGTGCTTCACTTTCCTCGTCTGCGAAGTCTGTATGCACAGCACAAAGTGGTTGGGAAGACTGGTGGGATTCCGGCAGGGGTGGAGCTCTGCAGACTGAGACACTCAGTTGGCTGTTACTAGTGGGGGCTGCCATCTCTAAATCTGCACCTGGTATTTTCCTGCCTTTTCTGCAAAGCCCCCAGGGAAACAGCCTCAGAACTCCTCAAACACCTCCCTCCCCAGATCCCTGTTTTCCATTCCCTACTGCCAAAGACAGCGGAGCTATGAGGTTGTGCCTTGCCTCGGTCCACGGTGGGCTCCTGGATGGCTGGGCACTGATGGGGAGCTGCATGAATAACTGCCTGGGCTGGGGGTTGCCCAGTCTCAGGGCTGCTGTGTAGTCTCCAGGCTGTGTTGGTAGCATCAACTAGCAGCTCAGTTGCAGCAGCTCCCGGAAGCTTATATTTTCCTCTAAAAACATCCTGTCCTGAGGGGCGTTCACCTCAAAGTGGAGGAAGGAAAACGCAAGTAAACGAATGCATAGAAACCACTGGAGGCCATGGGCCACGCCACTCGGCTAAGTGGGGCTCAGTGAGTTCCGAGGGTGCCTCGGGCCGGGTTGGGCCTAGAGCAGGCCTGTGGTTTGCCAAGGCTGCATGCAGGGACTCCAGTCCCCACCTCCGCTGTGGCAGGCCCCTTTATCTGATGTCAAGGCCAGGCGGTGGGTGGACTGGCCACACGCACCTAGCAGAGCTCTGTGCAACTGTGGCAACAGCCTTGTGCCAGCAGGTGAGACTGAAGCCTCTTGGTCCAGGAGGGTGTGGCCTTGCCATCCCCCACCCCTTCCAGCTCAGGTGGCCACGCATCCACACTCTGTGCTTTTCTGTGCTTTGTGGTGGGCGTCTGGCACAGGGCATCCAGCACGCTGTGGGCAGGGAGCTTGCGGGCCGTCCTTTGGAGAGCACCGTGTCCTGGGCAGTGGTGCCTGGAGCGGGGGCTAGGGATAAAAGGGCATGAGCAGGGGCGCCTCCAGCCTGGCTGGCGCACTCAGCCCTACTGGAGTATATCTGCAGAGATGGGGTCTGCGAAAGCCCACAAATCGAGGCCTGGTCCATATTGCAGGCAAGCCCTGTCCCGCCCCCCAGGAAGTCGATTGTTGTAGTCTGAGGGCTTGAGGGGCATCCTGCTCAGCAACTGGGCAGACTCCTCGGCACAAAGCGCCATTGATGCTGGACAGTGGGGCCCTAGCTCTAGACACAGACGCCTAGGGAGCTGTGGGGCTGACTGGTGGGCCCTAGCAGTGCAAAGAAGGAAAGTGAGAACCGGAGGGGCTGTGCCAGGGGAGCTGGGCCAAGGGCTGAGACCAGCCTGCACTGTGCTTCCCAAGCCACTGCCCTGGCATGGCATGGCCCAGGTGTCTGTCCAGAAGAAGGGGTGCTTTTTCTAATTAGCACAAATGCCCCATGTGAATTAATGGCAGCCCTGATGTTGACTGGTCATTCTGACTCCCAAAGTATTGCAGGCAGGAGAGGACGGGGGTAGGAGGAGGCCAAAGGGTCTTAGGTACCAGGTAGGATGTCCTGAGTCCAAGTAGTGGCCCCAGCTCCTCCCACCTTCCTAACCTGTATGCTGCAGTGACCCTGTGCCCAGCCCCAGCCAGGGTGCCTTATTTAGTGCAGTCACATTTTCCCTAAACACTGGCTTACACACGCCTCCCACCCCACCTGCACTGGACTCAACTTCAAGGGCCCAGCTCTAATACATTCAATATAAATAACTCAGGGCAAAATCCCAGACCACAGGAAGGGCAGGACAGATAACAGTCAACTATAGCACAGTGGATCGGTGCTACAGAAGGAGTTGGGGATGTGAGCATGGCAAGGGACCCCTTCCTCCTCAGATGAGGAGGATAGCATAGACTTCTAGGAGGAAGTCTCATTTATGTGAGTCCTGAAAGATGGATAGGAGTTTGCCAAGCCAAGTGGTGGAAGAGTGCTCCAAGCGGAGGGAATCATGGCCCTCAGAGCCAGTGATGTGGCTGGAGCACAGAGTGAGAAGGGGAGGATGAGGCTGGCACCACTGAAGACCTGGAGAGCCCATAAAGGGCCCTGGCACTGACCTGGTGGAGGAAGGGCTGTGGGGCCACGACTGACTTTCTCACCTTACAGAGCCTTGCTTCCCACATGTGCGAAATGGGAAGAATGTATCATGCCCACCTCAAGTGGGTTGTCACACGTGGCATTTATGTTACTCAGTGTCACCTCTGTGTGCTTGGCAAACAGAACAGTAACCATAGCAATAGCCCACCTTTCTGTCTGGTCAGCCTCTGCTCTGGAGGTAGCACAAGGCTCAAGGTGGAGATCTGCCCTTCCTTCCATGGGCTTTTCCCCAAGGCCTCTCCCAGCTCCAGACCAGGCTTCAGGAGCAGCCCTCTGCTTGAGGGACCTGAGGGAAGAAGTCACAGCCCTGTGGCTGAGGAGGGAGGCATGCACAGGTTCTGGAGGCACCGGGATTCTAGAGGCCTTCATGCAACAAGCCTGCTGAGTGCAGAGCCCAGACAGAGATGACTAACCAGCAGACCCTGCCATCCAGGACCCCCAGGCCAACCTCTCTGCCAGCTAGGCTGGTGGCACCCCAAGCCAGGCCACAGGCCTTTCCACAAAGTGACCCTTAGACTGAGGTCAGGATGAGAGTGGGCCAGACTGGCCCAGAGCAGGAGGAAGTATGGAACATTGCAGAGGGAAGGCACCTGGGCCGGAGGAGCAGGCTGACATGGCTGTGCCGTGGTGAGCAGGGGACATGGCTGGGGCCTTGGGGTCATGCTCAACTACTGCCACCAGGCAGGCTGCCAGTGTAGCCAGAACCCCCATCCCAGGGGTCCTAAAACTTGGAGCATTTTTCAGGTTAGGGAAGCACTGGTTCAGGTCACCCTGACCAGCCAGGCTGGGAAAGGGAGAGACTGTGTTTAGAACTGGGACAGTGTCCTGTGCACAATAACCATAGGCCCTTTGCAGTGTCGTGGGTGTCATCCCAGCTCTGCCACTTACTAGCTGTGTGACCTTGTGCCTCAGCTTCCCCATCTGTCAGGTGGGCGTAGTAGTTGTACCTAATATCATAGGTCTATGTTAGGAGTATCTGAGTTCAACTCTGCACGGTGCTCAGAACTCTGCCTCACACATGGGAAATACTCCGCTCACATTAGCACATGCTTTTCTCTAGGCCTGAAGCATTTTTTTGCCTGGCACATAATAGGAGCTCATAAATACACCCTGACCAAATGGTACCAATAGCGACCAGCTGAGCATCCTGATCTCTTGGGGGGCTGTTTCTGCTGGCACAGTCCCCTGCCACTGGGAGGCGTTCTTGGGAGGGCCTGAACAGGCCTCACCTATCCCCTACCCCCCACAGGCTTGAGGCCAGAGGAAACAGCAACTTTCTTCGCTGGGAAAGTGTTGTGGGGCTCAAGCATTTGGGGGTTTTCAGAGTCAACCGTCAGAGGCGAGGGAGTTTCTCTGCTGGCGGTGGCAAGGGCTGTCAGCGTGCACACAGCCTGCGAGCAGACCGCTGCGGTCTACAGGGAAAATGCCGACTGTGTTTATTTTTCACCTGAGCCTGCAGGAAGTTGGGGGGTGCGGGTTGGGGGGGTGGTGAAGGGGGATGCCAAGCCAGGCCCAAGCTTGACTTCAGAACAGAGGAGAACTACCTCAGGAGTCTCCGTTTCCATCTCCTCCTGCTTGGCCCTGCCTGGCTGTCTTCTGGGCTCCTGTCTGGTAAACAAGAAGGCACGCAGGAGCACCCGAATGAGGAATTCCTAGCCATGGGCTAAGGAAATAGTCCAGAAGGGCGAGGAGCCCCTGTGGGACAGTGGACTGGAGTGGTCTGAGGAAGTCTTTGAGCAGTAAGAGCAATGCAGTGGCAGGAAGGACCACTTTTGCTGGGAGTGAGCCCTGTCACCAGGCATCCAGTAGAAGGCTGGACAGGCACTGGTGGGACAGAGATGACTCTCAGGGTAGCCCTGGGGTGTCTGGGATGGTGGGGGAGACAGAGGGGCAAAGGCAAAGAGCATGGGTCTGGGGTTTGCTGATCAAGCAGTTTGGACTGCTGGTGAGGCATCAATGCATTTAAACATCCCAGCATGCTTTGAGCACTTACTGTGCACCCAGCTCTAGGTTTGGTACTCTGCCCTCAGAGGATGAGGGCAAGAGAGATGAAGGTGTGCCATTGAAATGCTCGGGGCCTGGTGGGGACAATCACCCTAGGCCTGCCTCTTTCCATTGAGGGCTGGGCACAGTCACCATCAGGGAGAGCAGGGGAGGGGGGCTTCAGTCACCAGGCTCCCCATATACATGCCAGGCCCCAGGTGACCCCACCCTGTTGTCTAGGCAGCCTGGCCCTGAGACAGCCTTGTGCTGAGGCCCTGGAGTGGGACGTTCCACTGGGCGAGGGGGACATGGGTGCCAGGCCCTGTGCTAGACGGTTTCCCCTGGCTCCTACCACCGGGCGCAAAGCGGGCTGGGGATTGAGGCTAAGAGGCAGCCTGCATGAATGTGGGAGGGACTGGCCAGGCCCTTGATGCTCTGCCCTGGAGCCCTGGCCACCCCAGGACCTCCAGCTGCCAGTGAGTTCTCTGCCCCACCCCTGCCCATCCAGCACTTCTCCTGTGGTCTGACAGTAGACTCCTGTTTAGTGCGTTTTTTCCCAGTTCCCAAGGAAGGCTGATAGACAGAATGAGCCCACAGCCTGCCAGGCAACACCCCGCAGCACTGCCCATCACATGCATATGTACCAGGCCAGCAGCTGTAGACTGGGCTGGATTCTTTTGGAGGTTTCCTAGGCCCAGCCTGAGCTGTGCTGCAACCTGGGGCTCAGGTGGCAAAGCTGGACCTGGGCCAGGCCCAGCATGGCCAAGGAGGGTCAGCTCTGGCCTCCCCACTCCTGGCAGGAGGGCTCTCCATGGCTTCCTGGCCAAAACTCCTGTGGGTAGCTTCTCAGTAAACCACCTACTCCCAGGGGAAGGGTAGTTTACTGAGAACCTCACCATGGAGCCATGCTCTCACTACCTTGGGGCAGAGCCCCAACTCTGGGCAGAGCAGAGACTCTGGGACTGTCTTCCAAGAGCTGGCACCGTGGACCCCTGGCTCAGCTCCTTAGGCTTCCCTGCCTATTCTGCTAGCCAGGCGCTCGGTCCATCCCAAGGGTCAAAGAGCCAGAGCCAAGGCTGGATGGCAAGGCCTCCTCTGAAGCAGGAGCTTAGACTCGAAAGCCCCCCATGCTCCAGGCATTTGTGCCCTAAGGTGGTGAATGGTGGAATGCTTTCTGGCAGGATCCAATGTTCCTGAAGGAGTAGGCCCTGAGGCTCAGTCTCCGTGCCCTCAGCTGTCACGAGGCCTGGTCAGGGCTGATGTTGCCTGGCTGGCTGGTGTTATTCTAGGAACCTGTTAGGATAAAAACACCCCAGGGGTTTCCAGGAAACTTCCTACTTTAACAGGCCCTTGGCTCCTTCTCCCTGGAACTTTAGGACAGAGGAGAACTTTTGCATCTGTGACCAATGAGGTGAGTAGGACTGGTATTCTCATCTCCGTTTTACAAGGAGAGAAAATGCAGCCCCAGAGAAGGATGAGACTGGCCCAGGATCCTCCAATAAAAGGTCAGTGAAAAGGTCAGCAAGCCTAGAGCCAGGCTTCCCAACCTACCTCACATCATGGCACACTTTCAGCATTATCACTGGAGTAAATGAAGAAGGATGCTGGAGGCTAAAGCACCCATGGGAAGCCCCAGGCATTGTGAACAAGGAAGAGAGTAGAAGGTGCTGGGGTTACAGAGGGAGCAGGAGCCAGATCACGTAGAGCTTTACTTATTTGAGACAGCATCTCACTCTGTCACCCAGGCTGGAGTGCAGTGGCACAATCACGGCTCACTGCAGCCTCGATCTCCAGGGCTCCAATGATCCTCCTCCCTCAACCTTCTGAGTAGCTGAGGCTACAGGCATGCACCACCATGCCCAGCTAGTTATTTTTATTTTATTTTTAGTAGAGACAAGGTCTCGCTATGTTGCCCAGGCTGGTCTTGAACTCCTGACCTAAAGCAGTCCTCCTCCCTCAGCCTCCCAAAGTGCTGGGATTACAGGCATGAAGCCACTGCGCCCAGCCCACAGAGAATTTTGTAGGCCCCAGGTCAGGAGATACCGTGGGAAGCCACTGGAAGCTTTAGGCAGAAGTGACACGATCTGATTCCTGTTGCTGCTGGATTGAGGACTGGCGGAGGGGCAGGAGAGAAGCATGGGTCTAAGGAGGGAGCTGCTGCAGTCATCCAGGTGCAAAGTGATGGTGGCTTGGACTGGGTGCGGGCAAGGAGGAAGTGGTGGGATTCTAGACACATTTTGAAGGTAGAGCATTAGGATTTGCTGACAAATTGGATATGGAGTATCAGAGAAAAAGGAGTCAAGGATGACTCCAAGATCTTTAGTCTGAGCAGCTGAAAGGATGGAGTTACCATTAACTGGGTAAGAAGACAGGGAGGAGCGTTTGGGGCAGGAAGTCAGAGGTTCCGATCTGGATATGTTGAGTTTAGGGGGCATTTCAGACCACCAAGTAGAGTTGAGTAAGCATTTGGAAAGTAGAGTTCCTAGAAGTGGGGCTGGAGAAGAAATGTGGAGTCATCACATGAAGATGTTTAAAGCTGTAAACCCAGATGAGAGGAAGATGGGAGCCAGAAACAAGGTCAGGAAGGAGTGGCCCATGAAGCTGGAGGAATATCAGGCAGTGTGGCATTCTGCAAGCCAAGTGAAGAAACTCTTTCAAGGAAGTGGGAGAAACCAATTGTGTCTGATGCTGCAGAGAGGTTGGATAAAATGAAGACTGAGAATTGACCATTGAGTTCAGGATGGTGGAAGTCACTGGGACTTTGACAAGAGTCATCTAGTGGAGGGATGGGGCAAGAGACTGTCTGGCTGGGTTGAAGGGAGAATGAGGGCTGAGAACTAGGGGCAGTGAATGGGGACAGGTCTGCTGAGGTTTCTGTAAAAGGGAGTGAGACAGGAGGTGGTAGCTGGGGGAGGATTTAGAGATGGGAGAAATGGCAGCCTGTTTGTACCCTGATGGGAATGAGACAGGGTTTACAAAGTGCATGACACAGTCCCTGGCATGTGGCAGGTACCAGATACCTGAAGGAGTGCACATGTGTCCACATACCCTGCAGCTGCCCCAGCCTCTCTTCTTCCTTGCTAGCCACCTATAGGGACATCAGCCCCTGTCTGCCTGAGGAAAGGAGGAAGCCTGTGAAGCCCTGTTATGTAAGGCTCCTCCCGGTGGGCAGATGGATGAGCAGGGCCCTGACAGGTGGCAGTGTCAGCACCTTCCCCAAGACCTGAGGGGAAGGGTGAAGGCTGTAGCCCGGAGGCAGGAATGTGAGGAAAGATGCCAGCAACAGGGCTGTTGCTGGCAGGTGTGGGAGCCTGTGCCCAGCTGGGAGCTTCATGTCTTGGCTACAGCAGGGCTTATACCCAGCCTTCCATCTAGGCTTGCCCTGGGCTTCCAATAACCAAGTGCCGAGGGACTGTGCCAGGCCTCCTCACCATGAGCCACCCTTCTCCAGGCCTGGTAATAAAGGGGCCATGAACCCTATTCACTACTAGGAGAGATGCCTGAAGCTCTTAAGGAGTCTGGCTAAATTCACCCAGTCAGGAATTGCACTCACAGAGTGGGGACGAACCCAGGCCACAGCCCCTCATTACTGACTTGCTCCAAAGATGTCCCGTTTCCTCTGTGCCAGGAGTCAGAGATCACTCATCCATGCTCCCAGCCAACAGCATCCTTGCAAACGGGCTTTTCAAAGTGGGAAGTTGAACCTTGGTTGCAGATGATGTCTCCAGGGCCCTGACCCGTGCAGATGTGCACTGAGGATACTGTAGAGCTGGGCCTTGGCCCTGGCAGTGACTCCCTGCAGCCAGGTCTTCCTGGGGAGCCCCTCCTTCCAGCCTGCTGACTGAATCGTCTCTTGATAGAGCAATGCAACTAGTGTTAAGAGTCTTGGCTGGGCGCAGTTGGCTCACGCCTGTAATCCCAGCACTCTGGGAGGCCGAGGCAGGTGGATCACTTGAGGTCAGGAGTTTGAGACCAGCCTGGTCAACATGGCGAAACCCCATCTCTACTAAAAATACAAAAATTAGCCGGGTGTGGTGGCGGGTGCCTGTAATTCCAGCTACTCGGGAAGCTGAGTCAGGAGAATCGCTTAAACTGCCAGGAGGCGGAGGTTGCAGTGAGCCGAGATCGCGCCACTGTACTCCAGCCTGGGCCACAGAGTGAGACTCTGTCTCAAAAAAAAAAAAAAAAAAAAAACAGAGAAAAAAGAAAAGTAAGAGTCCTGCGGTGCTGAGGAAACAGGAAGTACGGGGGCTGGGCAAGGATGGCCCTGGAGGAAGCCAGGCCCCATCTCCCCTGATTTAGGGGATTGAGGAGGGCCCTTCCCTGTGTCAGAAAATCCTGTTAGGCCTGAGCTAAGACAAATGGTCAGACTCAGAATCCCCAGACTGGGGGCTAGAAGATGAGGAAAGATAGCTGTGCTTCTTCCAGGGTGTGCTGGGGTAGGCCTGGGTCCTCAGGCCATGCCCTGCTTTAGGGGGCTGGAGGCTATAAGCAACCTCCCAGACAAGCCAAACCTGAGATGAGGAGGCCAATAAGGGTTTTCTGGACAGGGGAGACGCACCTCCAGGAATTGAGTGCCCAGAAAGACCAAGAGGCTTTCTAGGGGGTGGGACTGCTTGGGCAAAGTCTTGGGGGCTAGTGGGCGGGGTACTGGACACTGTGACTTGAGTGGTACCCCCTTCGCTGAGGCCTGTGGTTTTGGCCACCACTTTTCTTTGACAGCTGGGCTTCCTGTATACCCTCATCCCAGTGTCTTCCTCCCTCAGGACTCGCCACACTCACCCACCCTCCTTCTCATTTTTCAGCACAAGGCCAATCAGCCCCCCCACGGTGTCCCCCAACTCTCTCTCTACGAACATTTCAACAGCCCACATCCCACCCCTGCACCTGCGGACATCAGCCAGAAGCAAGGTACAAGCCTGGGATGGGGAGGGGCCCAGTGAAACCAGAGCCTAAGGGCCAAGACCCCAGCTTCTGAGACCAGGTAGCTGGGTCCATTTTATAACTGGAGAACCTGGGGCTGTGCAAACTAAGGGCCCAAAGAAAATACCAGAAAGATGGACTGGGGGTATAAGGGCATCAGAAAACTGGAAAAGGTGGTGCTAGGTCAAAATGTGAAGGCTTCAGGTTGAAGCCTAAATCCCATGGGTGACCCCGCTGCCAGTATGGCAGCATTGCTGAGAACTGTAAAACTGTAGCCTTTCCTCCTCTCAGTGAGAAAATGGAAAGTGGTGGTTGTGATGGCTGATTCACCTCAGCCTCAGGCAAAGTCATTCTGAAATCCCTCATTGTCAGCTGTGGGAAACCTGCTGACTCAACCCTGGGGGGCAGGTGGAGCCTTGGCTCCCCAGGCTGGGCTCCCCTAGACCAGGGGCCTGCCTCCTGCCCAGAAAGCTAGGCTGGAGTCCCCCGAGCAGAGATGCCCCAATGCCTCCATGCCTGAGTGACTTCAGCTCTGCCTACTGGCCCCCTAATGTCTTAGGCAAGTCACCCCAGCCCTCTGCCCTGGGTTCCCTTGTCTGTCAAAGGGGCACTATTATCACACTGGGATCCTCCTGAATAAACTAGTTTATGTCTGGTCCTCTAGCAAAGCTGGTGGGATCTTAAGGCCCCTGTAGGAGGTTCTAGGATGCAGTAACTGCTGATATGGCCTGCCAGGTCAGGCTAGCCCACTCACTCAGCTTCTCTCCTCTGCAGTTCACAGGCCTCTGCAGACCCCTGACCTCTCTGGCTTCTACTCCCTGACCTCAGGCAGCATGGGGCAGCTCCCCCACACTGTGAGCTGGTGAGTGTGGGCCCAATGGGAAAGGGGTACCGTGTGCTGGTCAGACCAAGACCTGCCTGCCCTTCCATTTCCTCCTCCATCCCTCTTGGCTGGCCACCCTGCTGCCAGCTCTGTTTAGATGCCAGGGGCTGGCCAGCAACTCTGTCCTAACCTGGCTCTGAGCTAGGGGTCCTCATGTACCCCGGCCTGCATTCCCCAGGGAGCCTGACATACTCCCTTTGGAGAGGCAGGAGAGCTGGTCCCTGGTCCCAGCCCTGTCTCCCTCAGTGTCCAAGAGATCCCCTTAGATGGGAGAACTCTGGGCTGCTAAGGGACCTCCAGGGCCATATGAGTAACTGAGGAAGAAAGGTGGGCCCGAGCAGGGAGGGGACAGCATGAGTGGCTACCAGAGAGGCTGCTGCTTCTCAGCTCACTGGCCTCAGTGCCTACTGCTTTTGGTCCTTTCCTTGGCTGAGCTGCTTGAGGGGCAGTGTCCCTCCCTGCCCCTGTGGTGCCTGCTTAAGCCCAAGCCTCTGACCAGCCTGCTTGGAGATTCTTAAGGCTGGACCAGGAAAAGGAAGCCTGGCCCCCTAAGCCAGTAGGCCTGACTATGGGCCAAAGGGCCTGTCCTCAGCTGGAGTTGGGCCTTGGCAGGCTACTTGGCCCTTTACTCATCAACGATAGTTTGAGCTGCGCAGGTCTCTAGCCTATTTCAGAGAGCTGGGCTGTGGCAGTCACCCAACAGCAGGAAAACTTGGCTCCCCAAGGAGATCGGGCAGGCCAGAGGCCCAACCTGTGGCCCACTTGCCCTTTACCCATGGTCAGCACCCTCCTCCGTTCCAGCTTCTCCTTGGACAATCCATTCTGAATACAAATTAAGACTACTCCCATGAATACCCCTAGGATCAAAGCGTGGCAAGATGCTCAAGAGCCCAGCCTTACTGGACTAGACCAGGGTTCCGTGGATGCAAATCTGTAGGCCAGCCTTTCAAAAGCATCCCCTAGGCCAGCAGTGCTGAAGACCAAGAGAGTTGAGCCTACAGCAGATTTTACCCACCAAGGCTGTAAGGAGGGGACTTCAGGCAGCCCTGTGCTCTCGGCTTCCACCCGGTGGCACTTGGCTGTGAGGAAAGAAGTAGGGGTATTTAAGCCATCTCTCCACTGAGCCCTATTGTGTGCCGGGCAGGGTTCTGGGCACCAGGGAAGTCGGCACTGCTGAAGCCAACTGATCGTTAGGTCCCTGCCCTCTCAGAACTCAGTCTACCTCGTGGGCAACCCAGGCAAAAAACCAGACAGTTACAGGGCACTGTTGGTAGTGCTCTAGTTAGGGACTGTAGGAGCCCAGAGAGGTACCTCATCCAGCTTGGAATCTCAGGGATTTGAGGAGGAAGGGTCACTTAGCTAAGGAAGACCTGAAGGATGACCAGGAATTGAAGCAGGCAAAGTGGTGCAAAACAATCCAGTGTTAACAGTGGCTGCAATGGCCCCAGGACAGATATCAGCCCTATACCGTCAAAGAAACAGAAGCAGGCTGGAGGGGCCCAGGGGCCTGCTAAGCTGGGTCCCAGGAGAAGGATACCATTTCCATCCCTCAAGCACCCATACAAGTTTATAGAGGGAAACCGCACAAGCTGCCCTCTGGTGGCAGATGCTTGAAATTCCAGCAGAGGCCCATCTGTCTCACAGGATGGGTCAAGGCCTGCCTAGCAAGGTAGGGAAGTCTTTCCTCGTGTCTGGCCAGCAGCCAGACTGCTAACAGCTATCTCTCCCAACCACAGGCCCAGCCCTCCTCTCTACCCCCTGTCCCCTTCCTGCGGATATAGACAGCACTTCCCTGCCCCCACTGCAGCCCCTGGCGCCCCCTACCCCAGGTGAGTCCCCTACACTGCAGCTAGGCTCCTGCTTCCTGTTGCCCAGGCTTCAGAGCCCACACAAGGCCATGCCCAGGCCAGTGCTTGCCCTGTGTTAGTCGTTTGTCCATCTGTCCGTCTGTCATTTTGCAGCCCCCTGCTGTCCTGTGCCTGAGAATGAAGCTAGTGCAAGTGCCAAGAGGCCTCAGCCTGGGCCACACCGTGCAGCAGAGCACCACAGAGGCCAGGACAGTACAGGCATATGTGGCTCAGCCCGTGTGCAGATGTGTGTGCACTCACCTCTGTTCTTCATCCCTACTTAGAAGGACTCTCCTGGGCATCCCCTGAGCTTTGCCCAAGCTGAGACAGCACCTTTTACCTAAGTCCCCAACCTCTGACCCTTAGGGGCTGCTGGCTCAGGGATAATACCTGTGCAAGCAGTAAGGGGCAGAATGGTCTCCACAGAATAGCAAGAAAGTGAAGTGGGAGGTGTGTGTACATGGATCCCTTCACTTAGGTCACTCCTTCAGTGACAGACTCAGTGCAAATATGCAATGGCAGGGGATTCCACAGACATTTGCTGCCCACTGGAGCTCACAGCCCAGTATAGCAAGTGTAGACATGGCACCGGCAGCTTAATGGGCCAGCTGAGTGATGGGGAAGCCCCAAGGAGACCTCACCAGGCCTGATGGGTCAGGGAGAGCTTCGCGGAAAGAGTAATAGATCTTTTGCGAGAAGAAAACAAGGGAACAGCCATAACTGGGGCTGCCGGGGAACGGAGAGGGACAGGAAGCAGAGGAGAAGAGAAGGGGCTAGCAACAGCAGCAGGATGCTCATGCAGGGCTGTGCAGGCCCTTGGGAGCAGCCTGGGTTCTATTCTTTGGACGCTGGGGGAATTTCAGCCGAAGCAGGCCAGGAACATTCAGGTGTCTCTAATGGTTACTCTGGCTATTGTGTGGAGAGAGGCCTGGAAGGGTCAAGCAGGAGAGGGATGAGGCCTCACAGGGCAGCCACAGGCTCCTGAGGCTGGGTTGGTAGGGGAAGGACGTGAGAAGGGGACAGATTCAAAAGCTACTTGGGACCTATGTAGTAACCATCTGAATGGCAATCTATGTAGATTTTTGCAGTGTGTCTGTGTAGTGTGCTGGGAGCAGGTATTTGTATTTATCTCTGTGTACTTATGTCTAGGCCAGTAGGATAGAGTATCTATCTGTTCACCTGTGTCCTCAAGTTATGTATTATGCAGGGGCCTCTGTGTGTGTCCAAAGGTCTGGCCCATAATTCTTGGCTCAGTGTTAACTTTCTTCCTGCCTCCAGGTTCACCCACCCATCCTTGATGCTAGGTTCTGGTGTACCTGGTCACCCAGCAGCCATCCCCCACCCGGCCATTGTGCCCCCCTCAGGGAAGCAGGAGCTGCAGCCCTTCGACCGCAACCTGTGAGTGAAAAGACAATGATGGCAGGGGGTGTGTCAGTCAGGATACACATGCCTCCCCACCAGGCCTGAGGACTGCCACGAGGTCCCTGCCTAAGCTGTTTCGTGCCTCTGGCTATGTTTTTGATCCTCAGAAGTAGGAGGGGGTGGGTGGGATGGGGAACAAGGATTTTTCTGAGCCAACAGAGGAGGGGCTCAGAAGTCCTTAACACATGCTTTTCCCACTTGTCTGTAGTGTTCCTATAAGGAACAGTTACTTAGCTGTCTGCTCACCCATTTGGGGGCAGCTAGGAAAGATTCCACTTAGAAAACTCTGGTATCATACACTTAGGCACACTCTAGGCCCACGCTAGAGGAGGAGGCTGCAATTAGGTGGGCACTCGGGGGGCTCCTGAACAATCTGGATTTGTGCCCCTCAGGAAGACACAAGCAGAGTCCAAGGCAGAGAAGGAGGCCAAGAAGCCAACCATCAAGAAGCCCCTCAATGCCTTCATGCTGTACATGAAGGAGATGAGAGCCAAGGTCATTGCAGAGTGCACACTTAAGGAGAGCGCTGCCATCAACCAGATCCTGGGCCGCAGGGTGAGACCATGGGCAGGTGGGCTGGCAGGGATGCTCCCCGACCATCTTCAGCCTGGTGCAGCCTGCTGACTCCCTGATGCACCCCACCTGCCCCTCTTCCCTGTTGCAGTGGCACGCGCTGTCGCGAGAAGAGCAGGCCAAGTACTATGAGCTGGCCCGCAAGGAGAGGCAGCTGCACATGCAGCTATACCCAGGCTGGTCAGCGCGGGACAACTACGTGAGTGCCTAGTGACACACAGCAGGGGTGGGCAGGGGACCCTTTGAGATACCATGCCCCAGGCCACAATCTCAGTAAGGAACGCAGAACTACTGTCCTGAAGGCACCGATGAGGAAGGGCACGGAGGGTCCAAGGCCTCCCATGGCTGCCTCAGAAGAGGACAAGCCCACATCCTATTCTCCACTCCAGAATATGCTCACACATGAGCTGTTACCCAACATTTGATTGGGCCACATGGGCAGAAGGGGAGAAAGGGGTCTGGAAGTCACCTCCTTCCATTCAAACTGGAGACCAGATTGGGGTGAGGGAAGAGCTTCTAAATGCACTCCATAGCAGCCTAGCAAGACCAGCAATCAAGAAACACCAGCACCCCAAGGTAGGAGGGGCCTGTACGCCCAGAATCCCAGGGTTACCCAAGCTAGGCAGCAGGCTGTGGGTATCCCAATGTCTGCCTCCCAGATCTGAGCATCCCTCCTTTTGTTCCCTGCAGGGGAAGAAGAAGAGGCGGTCGAGGGAAAAGCACCAAGAATCCACCACAGGTGAGACCTTCTCTCAGCAGCAGTGGAGGCTCCTCTCCATGTCCCCATTTCAAGAGCAGCCCTCCTCTGACCCAAAGGGAGGAACGCGGTACCCAGCTAGGAGCCTTCAGGGCCTGGGGCCTATGAAAACAAGGCCTGCATCTCACAAGTCAAATTCCCATGCAAGAAACAGCTATATTATACTAAGTCCCAGGGAAACCCAGCAGAACTGGCTTCTGCTGGGTAGAATTGGAGTAGATGGTGCGTTCCTCTGCCTTGCACCCACTACCTTTGCTAGCTCCACTCACCAGAGAAACCAGCAAAGAACTGACTGTATGGTTTGATGCTTAGCCCAAACAATGTCCTGGCTAGTTCTGCTGAGACTGGGAGAGGCTGAGCTAGGCCCCATGACTAGGCCCAGTAGACACACAGCCTACTGGCTGGAGCCTGGCAATTTATCACCCCCACTTCAACATTTTTCATGGCAGTGCAAAGTGCTCTATGTAGAGAAGCCCACACCCTGCTGCAGGCCTCCTTCCTAAGGGTGAATTCCTGCCTCTCTGGTAACTGAGACTCCACATCCCTGACCACCTCAGCCGTGCTGTCCCCACACAGGGAAGCTGGAGGCTAGGACTGGGACAGAGCAGGGCAGAGTTCCTAGCCCTTTTTCCAAGGCAAAGAATAGGCCCTTCCTTCCATCTGCAAGTGTGTAGAACAGCATAAGGTATAGCCTTCAGCCTTATCCCTTGAAGGAATGTAGGTCAAGAATGAAGAAAAACTGGATAAAATGGGTAGGGAGTTGGGGAGGAGGTGGGTGGCCCTAGGGCATAAAAGGCTGGATCTCCATGGTCTTCCTTGGGCCCCTCTGCAGCCTCCATGCTGCAAGGGCCCCACAAGCCACAGAGATGAGCCAGATTGACAGGACTCCCTCCCTCCCATTCTTCCCACTGCCTCTACTGCGTACCTGGGTGCCCACCTTTCCTGATATCTTGGCTCTGGGCTCTTGGGCTCCCACTGGGGCTGGCTGTGCCATGGAGAGGCCCACTCTGCCTATGGGGGCTGTAGGGTGTCTATAACTGGCTAACACTGATGTTACCTCTTCTTTCTGGGCCCTGCTCTGCCCCGCTGCCTGCTCGCCCTCTGCCCTGCTCTACCCCTCTGGCATGGCTGTGAGCAGACCCTGGCTCGCCTAAGAAATGCCGTGCTCGCTTTGGCCTCAACCAGCAGACGGATTGGTGTGGTCCGTGCAGGTGGGTTTGTCCCCACCATCGTTCTCCCTTTGCTTTAAGCTGCTTCCCTGACTCTGCACATGTTCCACTGGGCCTGCAGCCCACTCCTTTGGCCCCTCAGCCCACTAGCATACTCAGCAGATTGGGAGCCCAGGCCTCCTGAGAATAGTAGTAAATACTGAACACAGCGCGTGGAGAAGACCACTTGGGTCTAAGTGCAGGAGGATTGGAGAGAAAGACACAGAATGTTCCAGAAAGGAAGGACAGACTCAAGAAGGCAGCTCTGATGCCAGTGGGCCTAGCAGGTCCTCAGCAAACAGACAGCTCAGCCACCACTAAGGGGGCCTGGAGCCCATTCTACCAGGCCTCAAAGTCATTATGGCCCATGGGCTCCCTCACTTCCTCTTCAAGATGGGATCCCTGCCTGTACCATCCTGAGCCCTTAATCTGAAAAAGCAAGGTGACAACAACACAGAACCATCTGGTTGCCAGGTAGCCTTATGACTTGCTATCTTGTACCTACTGATACCAAAGGGCTGGAGAGGCTGGGGGAGAGGACCCAGGGGGTACCCTGGGCTGTCTGAGGGAAAGGGCTCATGTGTTTCACCATACAACAGAGAAATACTTGTGGGTGTGACAAGGTTTACCCAACAAGTGGTTAAAGTTTCCTCAGTCAGTTTCAGGCCAGGCCTGGCAGGGCTAAGATAGAGGGTACTCCAGGCAGTAAGGCCACTGGCTCTAAGGAACACTTGTCCAGCCTCTCAGTGTACCCACCACACTCCCTGTCCAAGGGCAAGGAGGAGTTTGGGGTGTGTCTGTGTATCCACATACATATGCACGGTGGGAAACAACCCTGTCTTCAGGGGAAGTTCTATTCCATTCATTCCATCAGAGACAAACTGGCCCAGAGAACTCAAGGATGGTAATGGACAAGAGTCACTGTCCATGTCTTCTTCCTCTAGCCCAGCTTGAGGACTGGGATGGCTGGGCAAGGAAGCCATAGGCATTGCGGCCCCTTGCCTTGGTGCAGATGTGAGTCCCACAAACACATCTGGAGAAGCTCAAAGGCCGGGACTGGGAGATGACTCCCTTGGAAGACAGGAGAGATGACTCCCTTGGAAGACAGATGACAGCCCATAGGCCTAGTGACAAAAGGCCCCTTTGCCACCTTGTGGCTGTTCTGGGAACTGCACCTGTCCTAGGTCTGGGCCAGACCAAGCAGAATGGCAGTCTGAGGACACTGACTTACCACCCAAGTCCCAGGAAGAGAGGACAAGGAATCAGCCAGGCCTGTGCAAAGGCAGCATTTTTTGGTTGTGGTGTATGACTATGAATTCACCCTCTGTTTACAGATAACTCTCTTCACTATTCCTAGGAGGAAAAAGAAATGCATTCGGTACTTACCCGGAGAAGGCCGCTGCCCCAGCCCCGTTCCTTCCGATGACAGTGCTCTAGGCTGCCCCGGGTCCCCAGCTCCCCAGGACTCACCCTCATACCATCTGCTGCCCCGCTTCCCCACAGAACTGCTTACTAGCCCTGCGGAGCCGGCACCTACATCCCCAGGTCTCTCCACTGCTCTCAGCCTCCCAACCCCAGGGCCCCCACAGGCCCCCCGCAGCACCCTGCAGAGCACACAGGTACAGCAACAGGAATCTCAGAGACAGGTGGCCTAGCAGGCACAGGACACCTGGCCGCCTCCAGGAGCCTACCCCCTGAAAGTGACAGAGACCCAGATCTCATGGAAACTGGCCAGGGGTCCTGTTAACGTCATCTCAGGGTCCAGACCCTGAAGATTTCAGAGGCTGCAGGACTTCTGCCTGAACCTGGGGTCATCGATTCAAACTGCTCCAAGTGGTGGGAATCAGATCTGTCTTGATGTGTCATCTAATTAAGGGAATCCCTTGTACCTATGGCTGCCTGCATCTATTCTTTGTACCATCTGTCTTGCCAGCCAGAAGCCTCTGCCTCCCTAGCTTTTCTGCTATAGGTCAGAGATGGGCTGAACTGAGCCTAGCTACCTTCTCTACCCATCTCCCCCATCCCCCACTGCCACACCCTCCCCATTCAGACACTTCATGGACCAAGAATGAGCTGGTTTGTCAAACAACATGTGAGCATGGTCACAAGCACAAAGCTCAAGATGACAGCTCTTCTAAGGAAATGGAGAAGCTCTGTTTATAAAAACAAAAACAAAACCAGCTGCTACTCATAAGTTGGACCAGAGGAAGCCCCTTACTATGATCTCAGGAGCTTGCAAGAAGCAGGAAGGGGAATGGAATAGGTTAAGTTTAGGCCTATCAACCTAAGCAACAGAAATAATCTGACACTACCTTATCAGGCAAATTGGGGAGGGGAGGGTGTATCTAGCTCTAGTTCAAATTATTTGGAAGTGTTCCCTGAGAAACCCACCAGCCTAAGAAGCTCTGGCCCCAGGCTTGTCACTAGCAGCTGCAGTCAACAGTTCAAAGAAGTCATGGCCCAAATCCAGTGTGCACCCCTCCCCATTCACAGAGCCTTTTTCACAATTCCATTTCCAGTTCATCTATGGCAGTCCAGCCAGCTCCTGGGCAGCTTGAGAGGGCAAACCCAAAACCTCATGACAGCCAGAGCCTGTCTTTCAGCATTCAGTCCGCCTGGCCGGCTCCAGTTTCCCCATGGGGCTGCGGGACAGAGGACCATTACAACTAGATCAAGGAGCCCAGAAAACCTCCAGTAGTGGACAACAGGTTTTCACCATAGCCTACGTTAACCCATTTTTGAGCCAAGCTTCAACCCTCAGCCTTGAAAAACAAGTCTTTAATTTAATTTTTGTTTTTTGCCTAAATCCAAAGAAAAAGGGCTGCCGGGCCAGGCGCGGTGGCTCACGCCTGTAATCCCAGCACTTTGGCAGGCCGAGGCAGGTGGATCACCTGACGTCAGTAGTTTGAGACCAGCCTGGCCAACATGGTGAAACCCTGTATCTACTAAAAATACAAAAATTAGCCGGACGTGGTGGTGCGCGCATGTAATCCCAGCTACTCGGGAGGCTGAGGCGGAAGAATCACTTGAACCCGGGAGGCGGAGGTTCCAGTGAGCCGAGATGGCGCTATTGCACTCCAGTCTGGGTAACAGGGAGACTGCATCTCAAAAAAAAAAAAAAAAAAAAAAAAGGGCTGTCCATGTATTCACACACCCCTCAAAAAAAGCCTTTAGTTCCTACTTTAGCCACTGGTTTCTCAGAATCCAAAGATCACATATTCTAGTGTAACACTGCAAGAAGTCTTGAGAAAAAGATTATTGTAGTGTTCAAAATATTTTTGTATTGTTAATGCATCATCATAGAAAAACTTTTAAACATGAGAATAAAGATACTTTTTACTGGGTTTGTTTTTCAAAGCCTGACCCTGAGGAATAAGCTGTTTCAGTAACAGAGCATGATATTCTTTCCTTTCCTTCTCCACAGTCAGGAAACTTGGAGTTTGTTTCCTATGGTACATATGTTCCCAAACCTCCAGCCTGTAGAAACCAGGGATTACACTTGTCATCTCCCCTAAAGGGGTGTGGGCCCTGCCTGCCTCACCTGAGAGCTATGCCTATACTCCCATTCCAAGCTTTGCTCTTAACCCCACAATGATGCAGGCCAGCCTGCTCCCCAGTGCTCATATAAGAATAAATGAGTTGCCAACTGCCGTCCATAAAGGCTGACAAGACAATTCAACCTGAAATAGGTACACATGACCACTAGGCTCCATTTTCCTCTGAGGGCAGAGAGAAAAGAAAACATTCCACAAGTGCATATCCTATTTCAAGGAAAACAAGAGCAAACGAGTCTTTTATAACCTATTAGCACCACAAAATCCTAAAGGAGGATTTTTTAATAGCACCCCTTCCTCCCAAAGACTGCATCTTTTTTTTTAATTATTATTATTATACTTTACGTTTTAGGGTACATGTGCACAATGCGCAGGTTAGTTACATATGTATACATGTGCCGTGCTGGTGCGCTGCACCCAAAGACTGCATCTGTTAAGACGCAAAGTATTTTTCATATTTTCACACAAGCCTTCAAGTTTGATAAATCTATTACCCACTTTTTAAAAAGTTACATACGCTGTTGGTGGACACGACAGCCACCATATCCACTTTATTTTTAGATTATTTGTATACATTTAGGGGGTACAAATGCAGCTGTGTTACATGAATATATTGTGTAGCGGTGAGGTCCGGGCTATTTTTAGATTATTTGTATACATTTAGGGGGTACAAGTGCAGCTGTGTTACATGAACATACTGGGTAGCGGTGAGGTCCGGGCTTTTAGTGTGCCTCTCACCCAAACAGTGTACTGTGCACGTAAGTAGTGTACATTGTACTCAACAGGTAGGATTTCATACCTCATCCCCCTTTCATCTCCCACCTTTTGAAGTCTCCAATGTCTATTATTCCATTCCGTATCCATATACCATGTGTACTCACTGTTTAGCTCCCTACAACCCACTTTTTACATGAGTTTCCACCAAGTACACTGCTGTCTTCCTGAGACCTATCATGAATGTAAAAGGTGTCATGAAGGCACCTCAATAGGTCAGTCAACAAGTAGATGATACATGTCAGGCAAGAAGTATTTCACATGGGACAGCCACTGGGCCACCATCATGCATTGTCATTGTCACTCCACTGAGTTCTATTTTTTGGATTTTGTGTTTAAAGTATAAAGTCATTTTCCAGAACAGCGTCTATTTAAAGTAGGCCACTGGAAGTTGTAACCCCAGACTTGCTTTTGCTTCTGAGAGAGTGCTAGAGGACACTAGCCATTCTCTGGACATCTGTCCCATTTTAAAGAATTCTGTTCTGGCTACTGGCCTAGTTGTTTAAAAAACCTACATTCTAACCAGGGCTTATGCAAGACCAGGTTGCTGCATCTGATTTGGTGTCTCACTTAGAGTACACAGGGTACCTGAACAATGCAGTCTTTGTGTATTGGCGGGGAAGTCTTTGGCAACTCTGTTTAAATCAGATCAGCTTTTTTTTTTTTTAATCTGACTTCATAAAGGAAACTCAGATCCTCCCAAATCACCCTGGTGCATTCCTGCGAGGCCAGAGGGTGACTTGAGATTGCAACCTCAAGTTCAACTGCTAATACCACACCAGTCCCCCTTCACTGCCAGCTGAGAACCAACCCTGTTTCCTGAGACATCATAAGACAAGATACCTTAGCCTCCCTTGAACATTTCCAGACAACTAGCAGACTGGCAACTTGGGTGAAAGACGTTCATCCCTCCCCTGGTACAGCTGCTCCCCATTTTGTTCTCTGTGGATATGGTGAGGGTTCAGCCCAGCAAGCAGACAAAGCCTATGTCTCCCAACGTGAAGGTGTCTACTTTAACAGAACCCCATGGATGGACTCTCTTCTGACATGTAATTATCTTTTGAATGGCTCCTGTGGTCTCCCATTCCTTCTGGCTGTGGACCCCTAACAGCTAGCTCAGAAGCACTGCACCCTAGCTTTGTTCAGTATACATAAGCCTGGCCAGGAAGGCCACAAGTAAAGGGAAGCGGAAGGGTTCTTTATATCCTGTTCCAGAGAGGAAGAAAGGGAATCAGTTCCTGCATCCGTTTCTCAGAAAACAGCACAGAACAGAAGGGGTAAGGGTAACAAGGCCATGTTAAACTACCTCTTAGGCCTATATGTCAAAGTAGAATTTAAGACCCAAATCTAGTTAATTGTATAAAAAGGCTAAGTTGGCTTTTCTTTGAGGTTCTTTGAGAGTCCTTAACTGCGACTCTCAGATCTCTTCAGAGCATTTTTTAAGCTCTTCAGGGCTTTAAGAGTTCACCAAGGGTTTCTGAAACAGCTGCCCACCCAAGCAGACCCTGGTTGTGTCAACTCCCCCAATCCCAACTTATTGTGATAACCTTGTTCCAAATCTCAAATCACCCTATGGGCATCTTTCAAATTCTGACTCCTGAGCTCTTCTCTAATAGTTTGGAGCTACTAACAAACCATTACTGGCAGTGAGCATCTGAAAATACTCAAAACGGCACCGAGTTTGAAAACAGGAAACATAGATGGTGGGGATGTTCACATACACAGTCCCTTAGAATAAAAGCCTAGCTCAGGTCAGGAAGGATTTTCAAGCTCTTAAAGATAGCATGGGATTAGGCATGTTAACTGGAAAGGGAAAACTTATGTCCTGGGGGTGGGAACTATACTATCACAAGCAGTCCTCACAAGTTAGGTCACTATTGGTAAGGGATGTTTCACTTCTGAAGACAAGATAGCAGCTGTGAATTATGCGGGAGATAGTCCAGGCCAATACTTCTTTCATATTCACCAGGGGCTCTGGACCAAGTCTTCCTTTTTCATTCAAGTGTTCTCATTCTTTTATCTGAAGCCTAGTTCTTTCAGGCATGTGCAATGTCAGGAAGCGGGGTGGGGCTTGGGGAGGGAAGAGGAAAAGCCAGGTTCCACTCACCAAAAATAAATAAATAAATAAATAAAAATTTTTACAAAGCCACTCTGGAAACCCTGCTTGAGTACTTGAGGATAGAGTACAGCTTCTCTATTTTCCCACCCCTTTCCGTAAGCTTCCTGGAACAGAAAAATCTGCAAAGCAACTGAAGAAGGCAGTTAGAGGTTGTGAAATGGTACATTCAGGAAAGAAAGGACAAATAAGAATTTTCACCAGATAGGTGGGAGGTATTCAAAGTGAGAGCACTTTAAGGAAATAAGCTGATCCTCAGTGTGCAATAAGAGGCTGCTATATAGCAGGTTGAAAATTTGAAGTTAAGAGATATCAGAAGGTCTGAATATACTTAAATACTTCCAGAAAATTTAAAGTTGACAGATATCAGAAGGTCGCAAGAACTACAGATGTGGAAGCAGACACTGTTATGAGCAACTACATTCCTCCCATAGAATGCTGCTCAATACTGGCACACAGACCAGAGGTAGCCAGCAGTACACAAGACTGCAAGGCAACAAGTACATTATCAATGAATTAGCCATCTATCACTCAAACTATGTCCCGCATTGGAAGTGTGTCAAGCAAGAGCACCTTCGACAACACTTTTCGGCCACCACTAATGATCATCTCCACTGATGCCTCAGCAGAAAGGATAACATTCAGCCAATCCTGCTTAGGTGTCCAAATGGCTCAATCTTGGGCCAAAGGACATGCTCTGAAATATTTCTTACACCATACTTCATCTTGATATGCACAGCCAGTTCTCTTACTCATTCTCTGTGACCACTGGAGGTAGTGATTTTTAACAACAGTAAACAAGAAAAAGTCATCAGGACTCTAACTGTAAAACCCCCAACATTCAAAAGACTGGTTTAGTTGAACAGCCAAAAAATAAATAAATAAAAATTAAAATTAAAAAAATTAGAATTTAGCTCACTCAAAAATTGCCCTGCCTAATGTGGGTCTGATGAATAAATGCTGATAAAATACTACTGAGTGTCAGCAAAGTACTGTGACTAATCCTGCCCTAATTTCTCTTTAGTCTATATTCTCAGGGAAATGTACCAACACCCAACCTTCTGCTGTTAGTTCCTGACTGTGCACTGCTTTTTCCTCACTTTGGCATCTGTCCACCCCCAAACAAATCCAACTTGATTCTTGAAACCAAATTAGTTTCACTTTACAAAACCTTTCGTAGCACCTTTCAGCTCTGTAGCCCCCCATTGGCTCATTAATCTGTTCTGTCCAGAAACTTTTTTTTTTTGAAACGGAGTCTCGCTCTGTCGCCAGGCTGGACTGCAGTCAGTGGCGTGATGTCGGCTCACTGCAACTTCCGCCTCCCGGGTTCAAGCGGTTCTCCTGCCTCAGCCTCCCGAGTTGCTGGGACTACAGGCATGTGCCACCACGCCCAGCTAATTTTTGTATTTTTAGTAGAGATGAGGTTTCACCATGTTGGCCAGGATGGTCTCGATCTCTTGACCTCGTGATCTGCACACCTCAGCCTCTGAAAATGTTGGGATTACAGGCGTGAGCCACCGTGCCCAGCCCAGGAACATTTTTATTAGAGTTATCCACTCCCTCCCAGCAGTATTTATGCCTTCTCTCCTGAACTACACCAAAAGCTCCCAGCTCCCTAGAGGGAAACCATGTCTAATGCTTCCTACCAAGGAGAAGCCAGGAGCTACACTTTAAGGATTCAGCCATTTTGTAAGCTTTCCCTTTGCTTGCAATCTTCTTATTCTTGACTTCTTCCTAGCTTAAAAAGTTATAGACTGGTTTCAAATCCAGATAATTGAAGATTAACTTTTCAAATCCTCAAACAACTTTGTAGGGAGAACATTTACTTGGTTGATTCCTTCCTACCAGAATGTACACTGAGCTTTAGAAAAGGAAAAATTGGTGGGTGCTGTGGCTCACATCTGTAATACCAGCACTTTGGGAGGTTGAGGCAGGAGGATCTTGAGCCCAGGAATTCGAAAACAGCCTGGGCAACATGAGGAGACCTCATCTCTATAAAAATCAATTTAAAAAAACAAAAACTAGCAAGGCATGGTAGCACACACATGTAGTCCTAGCTATTCAGGAGGCTGAGGCAGGAGGACTGTTGGAGCCCAAGAGTTCGAGGCTGCAATGAGCTGTGATCACATCACTGCACTCCAGCCTGGGGGGCAGAGGTGAGACCTTGTCTCTTAAAAGAAGAATCAAAAAGCTCTTCGGGCTACTCTGGGCACACTGCCTATGGGGTAGTCCTGCTCTGCAAGGAGCAGTTAAAAAAAATCTTCAAAAGCTAATGGTGGCAAGCAAAAGTTAAGCTTGTAAAGGGTGCTGAGAGCAAGAGGTCTGCTGCTCTCTCAATTTTCTCTTTTCTGGTGGAAAATCACCTTATATTCCCAAACTGCCTTATTGAGAGCCTAGGCAAATTAACTTAAACAAAATTTATGTTGGGATCAGAACACAGCCCATAGGATTGGTCAATTTTTACGTAAACTGAAAAATCAATGTGATTTGGAATATCTGCCTGCCCTAAGTGAGATGCCCACAGTGACTCACTGTTACTATCCTCCCTCCCCAGCTAGTTTTAAGATAAGCTCAGCATTACTATGATGTCATGTTACAAGGCTGCAGTTACCTGTCCAACCAAGTCACAATATAGTTCTTGCTTAATTCCAGGAGCTGGTGTATTCTGACAGTTGTAGAGTAAAAAGTCACAGCTATAATCCCACACAGGGAGCTACAGGATGATTTTGTGAATCTCTGAGAAAATATAAGAACTGTAAAGCAGTATCTATTTTGTATACCAAGAATAGATTAAGGCAAGCTAACACATGGCACTTCAAAAGAGTAACTTGCTTCTACAACTTAAGAATTATTAGGGCCGTGTGCGGTGGGTCACACGTGTAACCTCAGCACTTTCGGAGGCTAAGGCGGGCGGATCACAAGGTCAGGAGTTCAAGACCAGCCTGGCCAATATGGTAAAACTCCATCTCTAATAAAAACACAAAAAAATTAGCCAGGCATGGTGGCATGTGCCTGTAATCCCAGCTACTCGGGAGGCTGAGGCAGGAGAATCACTTGAACCCAGGAGGCGGAGGTTGCAGTGAGCTGAGATCGCACCACTGCATTCCAGTCTGGGCGACAGAGTGAGACTCTGTCTCAAAAAAAAAAAAAAAAAAAAAAAAATTATTAGAATTTGAGGGGGCACATCTTTAGCCTATGACAATGTTAAGGAGAAAATAATAAGCTAACATTCAGGAAGGTTTTGGTTTACTTTTAGATCACAAGTGACATAATCAATGAAAAGGTGAGAAGCCAAAGGACTGCCATGGAGTCCTTGAAAGGACTTCATCATTAAAAGCAGCACACTGCAGAAAGCAGCATGTTGTTTACAGAGGAAACCGACAAACATCCTTCAATCACCCAAATCTGCCAAATACCTTCTTCCTCTCATTCTCTTTCCTGGTGAAATAAAAGGCATTTCCTAATTAATCCCTAAGTTTACTTTATCAACAAGGGTTTTCTTTCCTTTACTACTATAACAGTAATTAGAGAAAGTCTTCATAATTCATCAGTAACCACTCTCCAAACCAAGGCTATTATCAGCTATTATCAAGCTCTCCCCTCTCATGCATTAAAACTACTCTTCTTGTTTTCATTATGCCCTGTACCTGCATTTCACAAGGACTTTTCACTTCTGTTACTTATACTGAAATTCATGGAGTAGTGCTGCTAAATACAAGTTAAATCCTGCTGTCAAGTGACTTCCAATGAAGTTCTGGAACTAATATAAAGCAGACTGCACTAGATCTATAAAACCGTAGTACCTATTTCCAACTTGCCCAAGGCCATGAAGACACTAAAACTCCAGCCTCAAGGTATGACTTAATGCCACAATATTAGTTTAGAAGAATAGTTGGGAAGTAAGAGAGTAGCCAGAAATGAGTGGAGTTTTGAAGACTGAGGTTTGGCTACTGTGATAATGAGAAAGGACCACTCACTCCAGGTGAAAGCCTAGAAAAGTTCTAGTAGATATATTAAAGGAATAGTGGGCATACAGCAGGGAACAGGAAAAAGAAAGGTAGGAAAATAATACTGCAACCAGACTGAAAAGGGCTTCTTAATACCATGTCTATGATTTATTTGGGTCCACAATGGTGAAAAATGGCTTATTTTCTCTTGGATCTCTATTAATGTAAAAGTTTAAGATTACTAGGATTTTTTGTTGTTTGTTTAGGGACTACAGAAAGTCAGGAAACAAAAATTTAAATTACTACTATATTGTCTGTCCATCCAATCTTTCTGAAAGATCTCATTATCCTTTAAATACGGATAGTGACGTTATTTACTCATATAATTCTAACTACTGCTGAGTATTATACAGATCAAGTGGTAATAACAAGCTCCAGTTTCTTAGAAGGTGATACTTCCTTTACAAGTTAAACATGGCATATGGCAGTAATCCTGGACCTTCAGTGAAGATTTGTTTGTCATAATACTGCTAAGGATACTTCTGGTTTGTTTTTGAGACAAGGTCTCGCTCTATTGCCTAGACTGGAGTGCAGTGGTGCAATGCCAGCTCACTGCAGCCTCGACCTCTCAGGCTCAAGCCATCTTCCCACCTCAGCCTCTCAAGTAGTTGGGATTATAGGCATGCACCATATGACTGCTAATTTTTTTTTTTTTTTTTGGAGAGACAGGGACTTTCTGTGTTGCCCAGGCTGGTCTTGAACTCCTGGGCTCAAACGATCCTCCTGTCTTGTCCTCCCAAAATGTTGAGATTACAGGCATAAGCCACCATGCCCAGCTGCTAAGGATACTTGAGGTGGATAAGGTTTTTGCAGAAGTTGATCTTATAATAGCAGGAATTGGTAGATGAGACAATTCAGCTAGGACTATACACCGCTACCTTCCCCACTAAAACCAGGACAAACAGAAAACAAGCTTATCTCCTGAGAGAGAGAGAGAGAGAGAGAGAGAATTTTAAATAACTCTTTACAACGTAAAAACCATTTTTAGCTCAAAGACTACAAAAACAGGCTATGGGCCTGATTTGACCCACACATTATAGTTTCCTATCTCTGGTACAGACAACAAATTGGAATTAAGTGAGACAACATATGGGACTTTATTAAATAAGGTGAATTTGGGACAAATGAAAGGTGAGATGAAGGCAAACTACTGTCAAGGGATGATCTGAGCCTGAACAACTCAGTGAATGTGAAGAGAAAACAAGATTACATGTGAATATAGATGTTAACTGGAAAAGCAAGGAGAAAAAAAGGGAGCACAAGGAAGAAAAAAAAATCAAAATTTGTGAGCCATCTCAAGCCATCAAAAAAACTTCATTCTATTGTAGGAGGGAAGCTGGAAACAATGGCAGAGTAATTTTGTGTTAAGAATTAAAGTACTAGCTCCAGTTAGGCATATAAATGACAATTAGAAGGGACAGAAGTTATGGTTATGTCAGCAGCCTCCAGTGAGCTAGGATATAAACTAAGTCTTTTCAAGCTGAACAAATATATACACATTCAACCCATTTAAGTGAAGAGACACATTTAAGTCCACAAAAGCAAACTTAACTACCTACTATATAACTTACTTTTTATTGAAAGTATCTTGCATTCATGATGGATGCTTTCTGGGTTTTACCACATATTTTAATGTTAAAAGTTAAATTATTCTTTACATGCAAGTAGTGTGAATAATTTTCTCCACATGGGAACACTAATTATAAAAAGATGACATCCCACATGGGTTAAGTGTCTTTTTAATTGAAAAGCTAACTGTCCAGTTACATTTCTCCCAAAAAACCACAAACTGGGTAGTAACTGAGTCTCTAGGCAATATATTTAAAACTAAGAGGATTAAAAATAAAGAAAAAGAAAACAAGTCCTCAGATGCAATGAAGGGAGCCCTGCTACATACAGGCTAATCAATACAGTGGTACTCCTTGACTGCAGGAGGCTGGAAGACATCCTAGTAGCTCCACTCAGAACATTTACTTCAAGAAGCCTTTTTCCAGTTTCCAACTCATGAATAAAGATAATATTTTGTTAATTCTATTCCAGAAAACTTTTTTGCAAGTTGTTTTATTTACAATGCCAACTTTTAAAAGGTCACTAAAGTTAACTGGACAATAAACTAGGCAGACATTGCTTTACAAAAAAGAGGGAAAGCCCAAAATGCCACTTATAGAGAACCCACAGTTCAGTTTTATTCAGAGCAAAGAAAAAAGAAACTTTCCATCATACTAGAAGAAACTTGGCCGTAAGGTTTGGGATCTGTGCTCAAACTACACATGCAATGAGGACAATATTCTGCTAATACAATTGACTTGCTGCTGCATTTGTCTACTGTTTGTCTAATATTAACAATTATAAACAGAGCAGTGCAACTAGTATTTGGAACAATCCTTACAGTGTTACAGTGTCAGGCACAACATTTCACTTCTCTTCACACCACTGGTTCTCTTTGCGTACCTAAAAGAGATGGATATAGGGAAGTACCTTAACTTGAGTAGTCTTTCCTAAGACTTATAAATACTACCTACTGATTCATCGATAGCCAGTGAGTTGAGTCAGAAGAACAGATGGAAAATTAGAACAACACCAGGTTAAGACTATATTTCCGGATTTCCTTTCTTTGCCTCCCATGGTTTTTATTCTGCCCTGCTGAAATTATGAACAAAGCAAAGGCAATGGGCAATTTACTAAAGTTGACAGAGCAAATTCAGTTAATTCATTCACATTATTTCAGTCTGTAGTCATGTCAACAAAATCATTCTGATCTATTCTTTCATTTCCTCCCCTCATTAAGTTGCTCTAAAGTACCCTAGTATATACTTCTCTCTAGGGCCTGCTTTTCTGATGTCAGATATGTATGGTCTATACAGAAAGTTGCAGGTGCCAAAACTAGTAACTGTTAATACATTAACAAGAGCTCTTCTCATTGAAAACTAATTGTTCTTATGCTTAAAATGCAGTATCATCTAAGTGTTCAGATTCATAAAGACAGAACAGTAAGAGTATGTTTAAGACACATTAAGTACATATTATCCCTAAAGTATCAAGACTACTTGATACAGTCACCTCTTTTGCTGGCATGTTATAGGTGTTACTCCCTTTTTAAGAGCATGTGATCAAAGACAAAACTGTGTGCTACCTACCTGGGCTTCCTCCTCTTCAGTAAAGTCATTTTTGATATTGAAGGTCTTGCGAATCTCCTCAGGAGTTTTCCCCTTGATCATATTGGCAACAGTCTTGCATGTAACATCAAGCAAACCTTTGATGTCTAAGTAGTTTGCAGCCTGTAAAGAGACAGTTGTTTTCCTTAAAGTATACTTGATGTTTTAAACTAAATCCAAAGTTAATGATTGACACTCCGTATCTAATAAAGCTTAAAATGCTAATTTTAAGAAATTAAAGGGAGAAGAATAAATCACTCCTAAGTTCTTCTGTGAAAGACTTTTATGTGACCTTCTTTGTTATACCTCTATAATGTTGAATCCTTCTGCTTCCTTAACCAAACTATACTAGCTCAAATGTGAAATAACGGCCACTACTGTTGTGTATGTGTGTACACATGCACACAAATACCACATCAGGTCTTGGCAAAAATATTTGTCCACACTTAAAGAGTTCAAACGTAAGCAGTTATAGCACTATATTGATCTCATTTTAAAAAACAGGTTTTGGTTTCATTGACTTTATTGTTTACCTGTTTTCTATTTCATTGATTTCTGCCCTTTAATATTCTCATTCTTCTGTTTACTTTGTAGTTAATTTCATCTTTTACTAGTTTAAGGTGGAAGCTTAGATCACCGATTTGAAACTTTTCTTCTTTTCTAATAATATAGGTATTTCATTCCATCAATTTCCCTCTAAGTACTTCTTTAGCTGCATCTCACCGATTTTTCATGTGTTTTACTTCCACTCAGCTCAAAATACTTTCTATTTCTTCTCTGACCCATAGGTTACTTGCAAATGTGTTAGTTTAAAAGTAGTTGCAGATTTTTCCAGATACCTTTCTGTTTGTGATTTCTAATTCCATTGCAGTCAGAAGACATACTTTGTATGACCTGAATCCTTTTACAATGGAGACTTTTTTTTTAAGACACCGTCTCACTCTGTCACCCAGGCTGGAATTCAGTGGCGTGATCTCGGCTCACTGCAATCTCTACCTCCTAGGTTCAGCCAATTCTCTTGCTTCAGTCTCCCAAGTAGCTGGGATTACAGGTGGGTGCCATCTCACCCAGCTAATTTTTTTTTTTTTTTTTTGAGACGAAGTCTCGCTCTGTCACCCAGGCTGGAGGGCAGTGGTGCGATATCGGCTCACTGCAAGCTCCACCTCCCGGGTTCATGCCATTCTCCTGCCTCGGCCTCCCGAGTAGCTGAGACTACAGGTTCCTGCCACCCCACCCGGCTAATTTTCTATATTTTCAGTAGAGACGGGGTTTCACCATGTTAGCCAGGATGGTCTCGATTTCCTGACCTCGTGATCCGCCCACCTTGGCCTCCCAAAGTGCTGGGATTATAGGCGTGAGCCACCGCGCCCGGCCTAATTTTCGTATTTTTAGTAGAGATGGGGTTTCATCATGCTGGCCAGGCTGGTCTTGAACTCCTAGCCTCAAGTGATCCACCCGCCTCACCCTCCCAAAGTGTTGGGATCACAGGCGTGAGCCACCGCACCCAGCTGAGACTTGTTTTATGGCCCAGAACATGGTCTATTTGGTAATATACACTTGAAAAGAATATGTATTCTGCTATCATTACATATAATGTTTTAGGCCAGGCGCGGTGGCTCACACCTGTAATCCCAACACTTTGGGAGGCCTAGGTAGGTGGATCACCTGAGGTCAGGAGTTCAAGACCATCCTGGCCAACATGGTGAAACCCCATCTCTACTAAAAATACAAAAACTTAGCTGAGCATGGTGGCTCATGCCTGTAATCTCAGCTACTCAGGAGGCTGAGGCAGGAGAATTGCTTGAACCTGGGAGGTGGAGGTTGCAGTGAGCCAAAATCATGCCACTGCACCACAGCCTGTGTGACAAGAGTGAAACTCTGTCTCAAAAATATATATATATATAATATTTTATAAATATCCATTAAGACAATTTGGTCAATAGTGTTATATCAAGTTATCCTGATTTCTGTCTAGTTATATTAATTGAGAGAGGTGCTGAAATCTCTATGATTGTCACTTTGTGGACTTCTTTGAGTTCTATTGGGTTTTGTTTCACTTCTTGGAAGTTCTGCTTCTAGCCAGATAAAAATTTATAATTGTTATGTCTTTTTAAAAAACTGATCCCCTTATCAGTATGAAATAATCCTCTTTAACCCTGGTAATATTCTTTGCCTCCAAACCTATTTTAATATAGTCACTCCAGCTTTCTTTTGATTCGTGTTAGTGTACCGTATCTTCTTCCATTCTTTAAACCTAGTTCTGTCTATATATTTAAAGCGGGTTTCTTACAGACAGCACAGCTAAGCTTGCTTTTCTGATCTGGTAATTTCTGCCTTTTAACTGTGTTTAGACCATTTACATTTAGTGTGTTACTGATATGTGGATTTAAATATGGCGTTACATTTGAATTTAGAGAGTATTAAAATTCAGTGTCAATGAAGTTAGCAAATTTAAATCTATAAGAAGTGTTTAAAGGCTCTAGAGTAGAGCTATCTTACACATTAAAAACTTACCAGAATGAGTTCAAAAAGTGTTCCTTGGTCAACTTTCAGGAATTCTTGGTCCCAAACAGGGATATCATCTGTTCGCTTTTCTTTGTTCTCATCATCTTCAGGAGGAGGAGGGTCATCCTTGTGGTGGGTGCACCACTGAATGACCTACAACAACAAAAGTTCATTCCTCTGTGGCACTTTGTCACAAGGTACTCATTCCACTGCTGGGACAACTTATCCCTATATTGGAATAATAACTAGCTAGAGGTTGACTTGAGCCATTAACAGCCAAGCTTGAAAAACAAAAATGAAGCTTGAAGAATCATTATAACCCTAGAAGGGAGAAGATCTTATTAGATAAAAGCAAGCCATGCAGACAGAGTACTGTACTTGACTACATTAAAAAGCTTCTATGCAAAAAGAAAAGTTAGGACAATGACTGGAAGATACCTGCAATATGTACAACAATGATTAGCTGAGAGAATATAAAATCTTTCAAAAATCATTAAAGAGAAATGGGTTAATATGTACAGCCAATAAATGAAATCTGAATAGCCAAACATAAGGAACGCTCAACTTTACTAGAAGCAAAACTAACACTACAGATACTTCTCTAGATTGAAAAAAAATCAAGAAACTGATACTAATTGTTGGGCAATAGTGGAAAGGAAACACAAACTCTTCTAGAGAGTATAAATTGGTATAACCCCTTTGAAAGCTAATCCAGCACTCCTCAGAAAAGCTGAATATGTACATATATTGTAACCAGCAAATTCCAAATACCCTAGACACATGTGTGAGACTATTTGGTGTAGGAACAAAGCAGGAAAAGCCCCAAAATTTCCTTAATAGGAGAATAATTACTCCATAAAGTTTCAGGAAGCTGATTACTTAGACTATACATACCAGCATAAAGACCAAAATCAATACTGAAAGTGTTTTCAGTTGTAGAATCTAGGCAGTGGCTACATGGTTGTCTACTGTGTAATTCTTTCCATTTTTCTGTATGGCTAAAACTTTTTCATAGCAAAATGTTGGAGGAGTAAACAATGCTGAGAGAAAATGGCAGAGCCAAGAAACATTGCCAGGATCCAAAAAAAAAAAAAGAAAGAACAATTTCAATAAGGAAAAGCCAAGCAAAGGGTTGTTTGTTTGTTTTTGAGACAAGATCTCACTGTGTCACCCAGGCTGGAATGCAGTGCCGCGATCATGGCTCACTCGACCTCCTGTGCTTAAGCGATCCTCCCACCTCAGCCTCCCAAGTAGCTGCAACTACAGGTGCATGCCACCACACCTGGCTCATTTTTGTATTTTGTTTTTGTAGAGATAAGGTTTCATCATGTTGCAAACTCCTGAACTCAAGCAATTCACCCACCTTGCCCTCCCAAAGTGTTGGGATTACAGCTATGAGCCACTGTGCCTGGCCAGCGAAAGGTTTTTGTTTTCGTTTTAATTTTGAGACTGAGTTTCACTCTTGTTGCCCAGGCTGGAGTGCAATGGCGCTATCTTGGCTCACTGCAACCTCCACCTCCTGGGTTCAAGCGATTCTCCTGCCTCAGCCTCCTGAGTAGCTGGGATTATAGGTGCCTGCCACAACACCCAGCTAATTTTTTTTTATTTTTAGTTGGCCAGGCTGGTCTCGAACTCCTGACCTCAGATGATCCACCCCCCTTGGCTTCCCAAAGTGCTGGGATTACAGGCGTGAGCCACTGCACCCAGCTAAGGGTTTTTAATGAAATAAATAATAGCTTTTTAGGAAGTATTCCAACTATATAAGAAAATTTAAAAACGTCAATATTTGCTTATCCAGGCATTTTTTAAACTCTAAACCTGGGCACAGTGGTTCATACTTGTAATCTCAGCACTTTGGGAGGCTGAGGCAGGACTGCTTAAGGCCGGAAGTTCAAGAATAGCCTGGGCAATATAGAGACACCCCGTCTCTACAAAAAATGATGATAATAATAATAGGCTGGGCACTGTGGCTCACACCTGTAATCCTAGCACTTTGGGAGGCCAAGGTGGGTGACTTACTTGAGCCCAGAAGTTTGAGACCAGCCTGGGTAACATGGTGAAACCCTGTCTCTATGAAAAATACAAAAATGAGATGGGACTGGTGGTGCACACCTATGGTCCCAGCTACTCAGAAGGCTGAGGCAAGAGAATCACTTGAGCCCAGGAGGCTGAGGCTGTAGTGAGCCATGATCGTGCCACTGCACTCCAGCCTGAGCAAGAGAGTGCGATTCTGTCAAAAAAAAAAAAAAAAAATCACTATCACTACTAACAAAAAATAAAAATTTAAAAATAAAAAACTCTTAAAAGGATATATAAAGAAACTAATGCCTAGGTTCACAACGGGTGGTGCCAGTAAAAAAGAAAAACAAAAAAATGCCACATTACTTTGTGGGGGGAGCAGTTTCCAATCAGATAAGAGACAGGGAAAGGAGATTTTATTGTACTTCCATAGTTTTGGCATCATGTAATTATTCTTCAAAATATGATATATATTCAATACAAACAGGCTTAAAAAAAAAAAAAACTTCTCGGCTGGGTGTGGTGGCCCACACCTATAATCCCAGCACTCTGGGAGGCCAAAGGAGACAGATCGCTTGAGCCCAGGAGTTCCGGACTAGCCTCGGCAACATGGTGAAACTCCATCTCTACAAAAAATACAAAAATTTGCCAAGTGTGGTGGCATGTGCTTGTACTCCCAGCTACTCGGGAGGCTGAGGTGAGAAGATCACCTGAACCCGGGAGGTAGAAGGTGCAGTGACCCATGACTGCACCACTGCACTCCAGCCCAGGCAACACAGTGAGGCCCTATCTCAAACAAACAAACCAAACAAACAAAAAAACCCCAAAAACCAAGCACTTCTCATTCTCAGAAGTGGCCCTACATCACCCAACCCTTTAACTCTGACCTTATCTACTCACTTCTTGCTCTAGCTTCCACTAAACTCCTTGCCTTTCCTAAAAAGGCAGGGCATGCTCTTGTCTTAAGGTCACTGTACTTGCTCCCAAATCCCAGAATTCTTTTCCCCCAAATATTCACGTCTTTGTTTAAAAGATTATCTTCGGCCAGGGATGGTGACTCAAGCCTGTAATCCCAGCACTTTGAGAGACTGAGGCAGGCGGATCACCTGAGGTCCGGAGTTCGAGACCAGCCTGGCCAACATGGTGAAACCCCATCTCTACTCAAAATACAAAAAATTAGCCGGGCGTGGTGGCGCGCGCCTGTAATCCCAGCTACTGAGGCTGAAGCAGGAGAACTGCTTAAAGCCCGGAGGCAGAGGCTGCAGTGAGCCAAAGTTGTGCCACTGTACTCCAGCCTGGGCAACAAGAGCAAAACTCCATCTCAAGAAAAAAAAAAAAAAAAAAAAAAAAAAAAAGATTATCTTCTCAGTAAGACATCTCCTGACCATCTTTATTTTAAAAACAGCTAACTGTTCACCTACTCACCCCTTTAAATTCCCCATTCCCTTCTTTATTCTCCATAGTTTTTCCATTTGATGTATTTCTAATGTTGCATATTCCCCACCCCTTCAGACCATAAACTCCATAAGGGCAGAGATTTTGTCTCTTTGGTTCACTGCTATACCCCCAGCTTTTGGATGGCATTTGAATGTACCAGGCATTCGACTACAAGCAAAGATCCTTTTAGAAACATTTTTCATTAGTATAAAATAGAATACGTTAATTGCAAGACATATTCAGAAGTCATAAAGAATGAGATCTAACTAGATAAAATAAAGCCTCTAAATCGTAACATGAATTAACGTAAGACAAGCAAACTGGTAGAAACTTTTAAAGAGTTCTTATAAAAAGCCTATTAGATAATACCACTGAATTGTCACTTAAAAATGGTTAAGGTGGTAAATTTTGTTATGTGTATTTTACCACAATTTTTTAAGCTCATTAGACAACAACATGGATGAACCTTGAAAACATTATGCTAAGTGAAATAAGCCAGATACAAAAGGACTAATATTGTATGATTCCATATATTATGTATCCAGGATAGCTAAATTCAGATACAGAAAGTAGAATAGTGTTTACCTAGCGTAATTTTTTTTTTTGAGGGGGGAGGGTGTACCAATTTTTTTTTTGAGGGGGGAGGGTGTACCGAAATTGGAAGTTACAGTTTAATGGGTACAGAGTTTCAGTGTGGGATGATAAAGTTCTGAAAATGCTTAGTGGTGATAGCTGCACAACACTGTGAATGTAATTAATGTCACTGAATGGTGCACGTTCAAAAAGTGAAAATGATCAATGTTATGTATATTTTATCACTATTTTTCTAAGACCATTAGGAAAACAGAGAAATGAAAACAGACAATGCAGAAAATGTAAATGGCCAGTAACACATGTAAAAACATTCACACTTTGGGAGGCCAAAGCAGGCAGATCGCCTGAGGTGAGGAGTTCAAGACCAGCCTGGCCAACATGGTGAAACCCTCATCTCTACAAAAATAAAAAAATTAGCTGGGCATGGTAGCGGGTGTCTGTAATCCCAGCTACTCGAGAGGATGAGGCGGGAGAATCACTTGAACCCAAGAGGCAGAGGTTGCAGTGAGCTGAGATCGTGCCACTGCACTCCAGCCTGGGCGACAGAGTGTCTGTCTCAAAAAAAAAAAAAAAAAAATGCCAGGCTCGGTGGCTCATGCCTGTAATCCCAGCACTTTGGGAGGCCAAGGTGGGCAGATCACAAGGTCAGGAATTCAAGACCAGCCTGACCAACATGGTGAAACCCCATCTCTACTAAAAAATACAAAAATTAGCCAGGCGTGGTGGCGAGTGCCTGTAATCCCAGCTACTTGGGAGGCTGAGGCAGGAGAATTGCTTGAACCTGGAAAGTGGAGGCTGCAGTGAGCCGAGATTGTGCCACTGCTCTCCAGCCTGGGCAACAGAGTGAGATCAAAAAAACAAACAAACACAAAAAAATTCAGGTTAGCCAGGCATGGTGGCTCCACCTGTAATCCCAGCACTTTGGGAGGCCAAGGCAGGGAGATCGTCTGAGGTCAGGAGTTGGAGACCAGCCTGGCCAACATGGTGAAAACCTGTCTAATATAAAAATTAGCCAGTGTGGTGGTGGGCATCTGTAATCCTAGCTATTCGGGAGGCTGAGGCAGGGAAAATTACTTGAACCCGGAAGGCAGAGGCTGCAGTGAGCTGAGATCACACCACTGCACTCCAGCCTGGGCAACAGGGCGAGGCTCCATCTCAAAAAAAAAAAAGATGCTATATATTAACTAACATAGACATATCACCTTTCATTTTGTTATATGGAAAAAAAAAAACATAGAAATGTATAGTTTGCTACCTTAAGAATGGGGGAGAATGCTGGGCGCGGTGGCTCACACCTGTGATCCCAGCACTTTGCGAGGCTGAGGTGGGCAGATCATGAGGTCAAGAGATCAAAACCATCCTGGCCAACATGGTGAAACCCTGTCTCTACTAAAAATACAAAAATTAGCTGGGCATGGTGGCGTGTGCCTGTAGTCCCAGCTACTCAGGAGGCTGAGGCAGGAGAATCACCTGAACCCAGGAGGCAGAGGTTGCAGTGAGCCGAGATCATACCACTACCCTCCAACCTGGCGACAGAGCAAGACTCTGGTCTCAAAAAAAAAAAAAAAAAAAAAAAAAAGAATGTGGGAAAAAAATATACTTACTTGTTAATACCTGTATTACAAAATACTGAAAGGATAAATTGCTACCTGAAAGGGGACTGGAATAGATAAGGACAGAAATGGGAACAAAGTGTTACATATTCCTTTGACTTTAGCCGTTTCAAAATTATAAATCTAAGAAAGACAGTCACGATTCAATTCCACCATGCTCTAGAAGTGGTATCTTTACAGAAGACTATTTAACAGTATCTATCAAAATTTAGGTATATAAGCCAACCTGCGATCCAGATATTCTACATGTAGATCATCCTTCCTAGGGAAGTGTTTGCATAGGTAGACACAGTACAGATGCCCAATAAATGACAATAGTCAACTGTGGCAAGAAAGCAGACAGAACTTTTTTCTGTATATTTTAAGAACATACAAACATCACTCAAGTAAGTGTTTAAGAACATTCAAATTTAAATGTAATTTTAAGCAGTAAATTATAAAATTCTAACATAGATTGTTGAATTACTTGTATTAATCAATTGGTGTTATATATTAAGCAGAATAAACTTAAACTCTTTAAAGACCTTACCTTTTTTAATATTGCTGCATTCACATTTGGTAGAGGAACTGGGTCATCATCTCCTTCATCATCCATTCCCAAATCTAAGAAAACCAGAAGAAAGTTTCTATTTCCTAATTCCATTATAATACTTATACCAACCAGGCTATGTCTCAAAACATAAGAGTCAGCCCCCATATCCATGAGTTCTACATCTGTGGATTCAACCAACCACAGATTAAACATATTGGGAAAAAAAATGGATGGCTGTGTCTTGCACTAAACATGTAGACTTGTTTCCTGGTCATTACTCCCTAAACAATACAGTATAAAAACTATTTGCATAGCATTTACATTGTATCCGGCATTGTAAGTAATCTAGAGAGGGGTTTTTTTTTTTTGAGACAGATTCTTGCTCTGTCGCCCAGGCTAGAGTGTAGGGGCGCCATCTCGGCTCACTGCAAGCTCCGCCTCCCGGGTTCACACCATTCTCCTGCCTCAGCCTCCCCGAGTAGCTGGGACTATAGGCACCCGCCACCACGCCCGGCTAATTTTTTGTATTTTTTAGGAGAGACGGGGTTTCACCGTGTTAGCCAGGATGGTCTCGATCTCCTGACCTCGTGATCTACCCGCTTCAGCCTCCCAAAGTGCTGGGATTACAGGCGTGAGCCACCGCGTCCAGCCATCTAGAGAGGATTTTAAGTATACACAGTGATGTGCATATGTTATATGCCAATACTACACTGTTTTATTATAAGGGACTTGAGTATTGGTGGATTTTGGTATCCACAGGGGTGTCCTGAAACCAATCCCCCATGGATACCAAGGGACGACTATAACTTATAAGACATGTCTGAAAGAATATAAAAAGTACTTTACTTAGAACAGCTCTCTTAGGAGCATTTAAAAATTGGTGGCTCCTAACGATGGAGTCCATGACCACCCAAAACTATATAAACTTGTGTGAGTACACAAATAAAGGAATATTACATAAAATAAGTTCTTAATTGGTAGGAAAAGTGATTTAGTAAGTTGGGCTTGAATGACTGGGTAGCCATCTGAAAAAATTAAAGATGGACCCTTTCCTTACCCTTTATATCAAATTCTCCAGATGAACTGTATTTTAAAAAGTAAAATAATGAAAACTATTACAGGTAATAAAATCTCAATCTATTCAAATCTGAAACCTAGAGATGTGTATACATATACACACTAAAAATACTAAAAATGCGCACAAACACGCACAAAACAGATCATGCAGCCACTGACAAAAACAAGGCAGGGAGCTCCAAACATAATGGTATGATCCTAAGATTAAAGTTTTTAAAGTAGGTTAAAAAAGAAAATTATCCGAATAAAAACAGAAATACACTTTTTTCCAACAGGATATATGAGGAACAGTTAACAATATTATGGGTAAGGAAGTTAAAGAACATGGGTTAAGGGACACAATTACGGGGCTATCAATAATCCAGGCACAAGATGATAGCCTGGACAAGGTTTGTAGCTAAGGAGGTGGTAAGAAATGACCTAATTCTGTCTGCATTTTGAAGGTACAGACAGTAGAATTTGCCAACAGATGGCAAGTAGAATGTGAAAAGAGTCAGGGTACACTAAGGTTTATGGCATGAAAAGGATGAAGTTGCCACCAATTGGTAAGGGGAAGGCTGTCAGAGGAACTATTTTTAGGAAGAGAGGATCAAGAGCTCTAGTTTCATAAATGTAAAATACTAGATATCCAAGGGCAGTTGTATGTTCAAGTCCAGAAATCAAGAGAAGAAATCACAACTGCAGGTAAGTTTGGGAACTGGTGTATAGATGGTTTATAATGCTATGAGACTATCATCAAGCAAATGGCTGTGTAGAGATATAGCGAAGAGGTCCAAGGATGAAGCCCTGGGGAACTGCAGGCTTTAAAGACTGGAAGACAGAAGGGTGTGAGGTAAGCAGTAAGTGGAATTTTGGGAACCAAGTCAAGAGGGGAATAATCAAGCATCAAATGATGTCAACAGGTCTAGATAAGAACTGAAAACAGACAATGCACTTGATGACATGGGGTTCACTGAGCTTTATAAGCAGTTCCAGTGGAGCGGTAAAGATGAAAGTAGATTCAAAAATAATTCATGTTATCTTGCATGGATGGATTCACTCATCTCCCCTCTCTTCTCCCTCCCACCAATGCCTATCCCTGATCCTATCTCAGCTTAGAGTGAAACTGTAAAATGACAATGTCTCATGTAAAGCTCTATGTAGAACAAGTCACTTATGTCTTTCCTGAACAAGTATGAAATCTTTTTAATCAGGTGAGAGAAAGAAGTTATAAAATGTAAAATACTTTTATCTTGAGAACTAAGATATTAGAGGAAACATACAGAAGACCAGCTTGTTTAGATCCAAATGTAATTTGGAACGAGGCTTAACTCACATTAAAAATTAGGCTTTTGGCCGGGTGCAGTGGCTCACGCATGTAATCCTAGCACTTTGGGAGGCCGAGGCAGGCAGATCACCTGAGGTCAGGAGTTCAAGACCAGCCTGGCTAACATGGTGAAACCCCGTTTCTACTAAAAATACAAAAAAATTGGCCAGGCATGGCGGCTCACGCCTGTAATCCCAGCACTTTGGGAGGCAGAGGCAGACGTATCACAAGGTCAGGGGTTCGAGACCAGCCTGACCAACATGGTGAAAACCCGTCTCTAATAAAAATACAAAAAACTAGCCGGGTGTGGTGGCGCATGCCTGTAGTCCCAGCTACTCAGGAGGCTGAGGCAGAAGAATCGCTTGAACCCAGGAGGTGGAGGCTGCAGTGAGCCGAGATTGTGCCATTGCACTCCAGCCTGGGTGACAGAGTGAGACTCCATCTCAAAAAAAAAAAAAAAAAAATTAGCTGGGTGTGGTGGCGCATGCCTGTAATCCCAGCTACTTGGGAGGCTGAGGCAGGGGAATTGCTTGAACCCAGGAGGCAGAGATTGCAGTGAGCCCGAGATTGCGCCATTGCACTCCAGCCTGGGCAACAAGAGTGAAACTCCATCTCAAAAAAATAAAATAAAATAAAATAAAGGCTTTTATGACTGTAAAGGATTGTAAAGCTAATTTTTTATTTTTTGTAAAGACAGGGTCCTGCTATGTTGTCCAGGCTGGTTTTGAACTCTTGGGCTCAAGTAATCCTCTTTAAATCCTCTAGCATTTAAAGTAAGGATGTACGATATTTTTTGCTTTCAGACTAAATGCACAAGTAGCAACAGTCATTCCTTTAAGCTATTTAGTTTCAGGGACTTCTGAAAGACACTTGTATCCTGATACTGTACCCTGGACCTGAACTAATCATTCAATCCACATGTAAATGTGCCAAGAGTCTCACTTCTGATTGTCCTGTGGATTAAAAGGTTTTATTTTTGTTTTCTAAGTCACATAAAACCCATAACCAGAGATACTGCAGGTGGAAAACAAAAAAAGCAGAAAGTTGCCAAATTCAAAAGACTCCAGCCCTCAAGAGGCTAGAATCTTATGTAAGCCATTGGTACTTAAGATAAAACCATTCACTTCTGATTCCCAAAGGCAACAGAGTAAAAGAATAACTTAATTGTTGCTAACTGCCTATCCGTCCACTTACTTCAGTGATCAAAGCTGGCATGGTAAGTCTTCAAGATGCCCTATGTTCTTAAAATTGGCAAATGCTTCCTTGAAGCAGCACAGGACAGATTAGTGTGTCAGGCACCAAGATAAAATAAAGAACACTTTCAATGCCAAAGCAAGTATTTAGGCAGCAATTCGGGTATCAGTTTCTACATCTTCTGGATAAAACCTTACTCACCTGCCTTTTAGGGACACTTGGATTGCTTTCAGTTTTTTTTAGTGAGCACAACATACTCTTCATTCAATAGGTACTTGATGAACAGTGACTGTGGGATGTACCAAGGAGTTTACAACTTAATAGAAGTTATCTTAAGTTACCAGAATACAGGACTTTAAAGGCCACTATGATTGGTACCAATTACTAAAGAGAATTCTAAGCTTTTATCAGAAAACAGAAGTCACCCACTTAGAAAACAAAACAGAAGACACATCCTCTGCAATTCAGCTTCTGCCTCTACCACACCTAAGTATCTGCTGCTAGAAGTCCTCTAACTTATTAACTATGAAATCCTAAGGACCAGTCTACAGTATATAAATCTGGCAATCACTCTAGTCACCTAGAAATGTCCCCTTTTCCCTTGGCTTCCACAAATCATACTCTACTAATTCTCTACTACTGATTTCTATACTCTTAGCACCCCAGCCCCAACATCATCATCTTCCAGAGTTAAACTCCCATAACCCAATATATAAAACAAGTCTACTTATCTCTAGCAGTCTAACTCTGGGGCCAATATCCACAAACTCAATCACCTAGTAGACTGCTACTAGTAGATCTTCTGAAGGAATCTCAAACATGGTTTAAACTCAAAGTCATTTTCTTCTCCATTCCTCTCAAACCCATTTTCAGCTCTACCAACTACAGTATCACAATTCCATCCCACCCCAACTAAAAACCGTATTTTCACTTTCCCTAGCACACCCTGTCTACTTTACTTCAGAATGATCTCCCAAAACATTCTAATTTTACTAGATTTGAAATATCACCTCGGCTGGGCTTAGTGGCTCATGCCTGTAATTCCAGCACTTTGGGAGGCTGAGGTGGGCGGATCACCTGAGGTCAGGAGTTTGAGACCAGCCTGACCAACATGGAGAAACCTCGTCTCTACTAAAAATACAAAATTTGCCTCGCATGGTGGCACATGCCTGTAATCCCAGCTACTTGGGAGGCGGAGGCAGGAGAAGTGCTTGAAGCCGGGAGGCAGAGGTGGCAGTGAGCTGAGATTGTACCACTGCACACCAGGCTGGGCAACAAGAGCAAAACTCAGTCTCAAAAAAATAAATAAATAAAAGAAATATCCTCACCAGTATTACATACTGCAATCTCTTCAAGACTCAAGAATAACACTAGCCAAGATGTTCCCACAGCGCCACTTGGCGCGCAACTTTATTAATGCACTAATTACACCATGTGACAAGTTTGCCTTGTTTGTGTCTGACTTCCCTCCTAGTTTATAAATTCTTCAAGGGCAAAGGCCATGTCTCACTTACCTTCTTTTCACCAGCACCAAAGCTTGGCACATAACCCTTCTCTTCGTTCAAGTATTTATAATCTACTGATCTTTCCCTACATAAAAAACCTCTGACATTTAAGTACTAAAGAACACTCAATACTACTAAGTTTTTTTCATCAATTCCAGACACTGATTTGTATCACCCCACTGGTAACACTAAAAAGAGATCCACATTAACTAGCGAAAGTTTCAAGACCTGTTTTCTAAGTCACTTCCTTATGCTGCATATATACTTTGTAGTAGTTTCAGAGGAATGACAAAACAGACAAAAGAGAAAGCTTGTTTAAAAAAAAAAAAAAAAATTCTGCCTGGCAGAGTGGCTCATGCCTGTAATGTGGCTCTTCCCAGTACTTTGGGGTGCCGAGGTGGGAGGATGGCTTGAGTCCAAGAGTGCGAGAACAACCAGGGTAACATAGGGAGATCCTGTCTCTATAAAAACATTTAGGCTGGGCGTGGTGTCTCATGCCTGTAATCCCAGCACTTTGGGAGCCTCAGGCGGGTGGATCGCAAGGTCAGAAGATCGAGACCAGCCTGACAAACATGGTAAAACTCCATCTCTACTAAAAAATACAAAAATTAGCCAGGCATGGTGGCATGCACCTGTAATCCCAGCTACTCGGGAGGCTAAGGCAGGAGAATCACTTGAACCCGGGGGGCAGAGGTTGCAGTGAGCTGAGATCATGCCACTTGCACACCAGCCTGGGCAACAGAGCAAGACTCCGTCTCAAAAAAAAAAAAAAAAAGAAAATTAAAAAATCAGCTGGGGCAGGGCGCGGTGGCTCACACCTGTGATCCCAGCACTTTGGGAGGTCGAGGTGGGCGGATCACCTGAGGTCGGGAGTCCGAGACCAGCCTGACCAACATGGAGAAACCCCGTCTCTAACAAAAATACAAAATTAGCCGGGCTTGGTGGCACATGCCTCTAATTCCAGCTACTCGGGAGGCTGAGGCAGGAGAATCGCTTGAACCAGGGAGACGGAGGTTACAGTGAGCCAAGACTGCACCATCGCACTTCAGGTTGGGCAACAAGAGCAAAAAAATCCGTCTCAAAAAAATCAGCTGGATGTGGTGGCACGTGCCTGTAGTCCCAGTTATTCGGAAGGCTGAGGTGGGAAGACTGACTGAGCCCAGAAGGTTGAGGCTGCAGTGAGCCGTGACTGCATCACTGCACTCCAGCCTGGACAAGAGTGAGACTCTGTCTCAAATAAATCAATCAATAAATAAAATCTACACAGCAATCCACAGAGCTCACTCCCTCCACTGAAATAAGGTGTTCTATTCAGCCACCATTATAGGACGGTATCTCTTTTCCAAAGACCTTAATTTCTATCACTGGAACTTATGAATTCAAATTTACTTGAACAGAAATTAACCATTGCCTAAGGCTTGGCAATCACTTCAATGTTTATTTTACCTTATGATTTTATCCATTTAATGAGAGAACGACCCTCACTAATTCAGACAATGCAGAAAGGATGACCTGTATCAGAAAAATGTAAGTTATAAAGAAAAAAATGTAAACTTTACCTCTTCATACTCTCAAGCACCTTATGACAGGCTGCTGCTCATATAAATTTGATATTCACAAACTATCTCAAATTACACATTTCCTCCCACCCAGGTTTTCCAATGAACTTACCTTCCAACATGGTCTTAATAGTCACAGATTGTTTGGCAATTTCCACATCAACTTCAAATATCTCTCCATCAGAACTCTGCAACTTAATTGAAGGCATCTAAAAAAAAAGGACATTAAATATAAAATTTAAGAGAGAGAGTTCTACATGACATTTCATCAACTACAGTCCATCAGAAGGCTCTAACTTATTGACCACAAAGTTCTAAGAACCTACAATACATAACCCTGTAAAGCACTGTTGTAAGCAGTTATTCACAAGTTAGTCTCCGAGTATTTCTATTAAAATTTTTTCAAAGTATAACTACTAGGAACAGAAGCTTTTAAGGCCTGCCCTACTGAACTCACTATTGGTATAAATTTAATAAAACATACATATTTGTATTTGCTTTCTGCCTGCCTTTCGTCTCCCACTGAATACTGGACTCCATCTGAACAGTTAACTGCCACAATTAACTACATGCGAACCTGAGGAAGGTCAGTCCAAAACAAACAACGCTACTAAATAAGATAGAAATTTTCCCCACAGTGAGTCCTACCTGTGAAGATGAGTTCAGATCCAAAGAGTACATCAGAATATGCTCATTTATGTCTGAGGCAATGCAAGACCATATACAAGAGAATAAAATGATTTAAAGATAAGCAGATGTGAGTACAATTCCCTAAATCTACTTAAAAGCTTCATTTCAGAGCCCTTTTTATCTTTCAGTACTGACTGTCCAGGTGACCAACTTTGAGATCTCTTGGCAAGATCTCCATAATAATAACCTATTACTTGCTCTGAAAACGCATTTATTAATTCAGATTAATTATGAGTCGTTAGGAAAAAGATATAATCTTACATAAAAAGTTAAGCATTTAATTTCAAAGGACTTGAGTTCTGGCAAAAAAAAAAAAAAAGGCATTTAAAATTAAAAGTCCAACAATTTCTTACCATCTTCAAATTCTTTTTTTAAAAAAGAAAACATACAAACAAGGAAAACAACAACAACAAAAAGAATAGCAATACCTGGTACAGATTAATTCAAGGCCTCTTAAAACTCACATACAACTTTTAAAAGGCCCATGCTTCTCAAGTATTCATAATCCGGTGATGTCACTATTAACTTATGGCACCTCTGAAGTTTTCTAGGTGTGTTGTATTACAAATCGCATATATTTTCCCAAAAGTGTATCATTTGGCATTTAAAACATGCATCACACCCATTTTATGTTCAAAGACTTATGACCCATTACATCGGTTAAAATATTCATTCAGCTTCTCTGAGACAATTGTCGCCAACCCCAAAGCAAACAGGTTGTTAGGCAAAGGAAGCAAAAAAGTAAAGCATGTTTTAAAACCAGCCACTGAAATATCCTACTCTCACTCATCCATAGTTGGAGAGAATCAGATTTCACTTTGCGATTCACAAACATGTCTGCTTCTCCATGTTGCTTAGCGCTTGCCAATAATGCAGTTGTCCCTGCTTAATGGAGAAGGATGCAGAGTAGAGGACCCTTCCTGTGACAAGACCACAACAAAAGGTATCTCCAAAAGAAAATATTTTAACCTGAGCCCAATTTTTAATTATAAAACATTTAAACATGTAATTTTTATATTAGATAGTACTGAAATGAACAGTGCAGAATCACAAATCTAACAATGCAGTTGATTAAAATTACTCTAAAAGCAAGACGACCGTTTCATATTTCTTTCAAATAACTCAAGATAAGTGCTTAGTCATAGTCAAGTTTGTGGATTGGGTTACTCTTAAGGGAGTTGAGACCTTACTAAATAGCAGCTGGTCAATCGGTTAATCTGTAATTCGATGCACTTGGTAATACTAAACTCAAAGATAAGTTTTAGTGTTACAGTAGAATAAAGTGCAAAATTTTTAAGTAATAATGGATGAAATATTTATTTGAAATGCTTTCAAAACAATTCCATTCTAAAGAAAGAGGCCTAAAGGCTCCTGCACTTGTAAATAATTCTCCATGGCCAGCATAAAGCGGGTTCTATCACATCATATAGAAAAAAAAACCCCTGCGCTTTAAGTGACCCGAAATTCTGACACTGCTTTTTAGACTGCACAGTGGAGGAGACGGTATTGTTCTATGAAACGGATACATTCTACTGTCACGCTCTAAAGGAAAAATGCATGTCCCTAAAACCCAAACGTGAAGTTTCCATTAAAAGTGAATCAAAGCAGGTAGACGTCCTATTTCTTTAAAAGCCAGATACCTAGAGTTAAGTTATACACAGTTAAGGCTCCTACAAGTCACACCACTCTGACGATGGTATCTGCTCAACGACTCCAAGTCATGGCAAAACAACGCTAAGAAATATTCAGATGGAGCAGGCGGCTATGTGCAGAAAGCCGGCGCCCGCACACGGTTAGCCAGGACCGACCGGTAGCTAGTGACGCCAGACACGGTGGAGAAAGGATGGGAGCCAAGAACCGGGCGGCCTCAGACCACCACCGCAGCTCTCCCTCCCGACCACAACAAAAGCCAGACACCGACACACGCCCACGCTCACGACAGCCAAGGGACCCCCATTCACAACCCCGCCGCCACCCCCGCCCTGGTCCCCGGGACAGCAGGCTTAAGACCAAGAGAGGCCCCCGGCCGCAGCCTGGGCCTTGCAGCCGAGCTCCGCGCCGGCTGACGCTCGGCCGGTGCAGAGAAGGCCCAGCCCGGGGTTCGGCTCACTTATGGAGCGCCGTGAGGACGCCCGGCCAGAGGAGGCCTCGCTGAGTCGGGGGCGGGGCAGGTGAACGGAACCTGGTAGGGTCTCCCGAAGAACAGGGTCGACAACGCGATCCACCGGGCCCGAAAGAAGGCCAGGCCCAGTCACCGCCCGCCGCGGGCAGGCCCAAACCGCAGCGGTGAGGCCAGCCGGCACGCAATCCGGTAGCCACGACCCTTTCCAGTTCAGTGGGCGGCTACTCACGGTGTTCGGTGTTAAGGAGACGGCCGGCGGGAGGCTGACGAGAGCCGGGAGGCGTTAGCGAAGGAAGAGAAAAACCGAAGACGAAGCCACTACAGCGTCGCAGCGCGGCGCGGCGTCTGCTTTATAGGAGAGGGCGCAGGCGCCGAGGACCCCGGGGCGCGCGGCGTCACATCGCGGCTGGGCTGGCCGCCGAGATCGCCTGACGGCAGGCCGAGAACGGCTGGGCGGGCCCAGGCCGGGAGGCGGCAAGGAGCTGCCGGGGGCGGCTGGCCGGGGGATCGGGGGGCCGGAAGAGTTTTCGCCTCTCCCCAGCTCTGAAAGCGCCGCGCTGTCTCGTCAACTGGGTGCCGGACCCCGACTGGCCTAGAAAGGTCTTTCAGGCAGCGGTGCCCTAAGCCGAGTGAAAGACCCCAGTTAAAAAGCCTGGAAAAAACAAAACCGGGCGAGTGTGTGCGTCTCTGTGTGTGTTCCTGGGAACAACAGAACGGGGCGTGTGTGTGTGTGTTCACTCCTGGGGGGGGCTGCGTGTGTGTGTACGCGCGTGTGTTCATTCCTGAGGTGTATGTGCGCGCGCGGGTGTGTGTGTTCATTCCTGGGGTGGGGTGGGGTGGGGGTGGGGCGCTTGTGTGTGTGTGTTTTACTACTGAACTGATACAGCTTGTCCAGCTTCCATTCTCCACGGTAACCCTCCGAGGTGAAATAGTGTTAGCCTTTTCGCCTCTGCAGTGAGGGAACAGGTTCGGAACGGTTAAGTGGCAGAGCTAGGATTTGAACCTTACTCCACAATTAGGTGCTGTTAGCCCTTATTTCCTACTATTGACTTCTAAAGAGGCTTCCATGCCAAACATAGCCATCGTTATAGGGAAACCCCAAGTCTAGAGAGATGGCTCCATCTAGCAGTAGGTACCTACTCCTTCACTAAACATGCTTTGAGCCCGACGTGCGAGGCGTGGTGCTGGGGATTCCGCCGTGAACCAGGCAGCCAGGGCCCGGCCTGGACGTAACTCTTCTCTAGGGTGCTCCCAGGAAGGCTTTGATGAGGTCGATGGAATGAAGCCAGCTGTAAAGGAAAGGGAGTAGTCTGAAAGCCCCACCCTGTTCTGCTCGGGAACATTACTCTCCCCATCCTAGGAGACTGGGCGCCGGGCTCGCCTAGCCAACAGGCACGTGATGATATCCCTGACACCAGGAAGACAAAAGATACTTCCACACAGGGCCCCCTGAAGAAACCAGAGATGTACAGTGCCTCTGGGATGGGACTGGGCAGGAAGGCCAAGCAGCTCCTTGAGTTACCAGGTCTTTGTCTACAAGCCTATCCAGTGTCTGCCAGGTGCCACAGCTGATGACAGAAGATGAAACGCCTGCAGCTCTCAGACATTTTCTTTGCAGCACAGCCCTGCCCTCAGCAGCTCTAGCTTCAGGCCTCCTAGGCAGGGCCCACTGGAGCCCCTTTGCTCCCCGCCTATGGCATAGAAGGTGGTACCTTATTAACTCTCTTTAAGCATTCTAAGCAGGACTGTGCAGTGTCAGGTCACACAGCCCGGGGACCCAGCACAGGGTCTGGCATAAAAGTAGGGATATATTTTTCCAAATATGTCTGAGAACCCCCTTTATTAGAATCACCAAGAAATGTCTGCTTTTAAAACAGATTTTGGGGCCGGGCGTGGAGGCTCACGCCTGTAATCTCAGCACTTTGGGAGGCCGAGGTGGGCAGATCACTTGAACTCAGGAGTTTGAGACCAGCCTGGGCAACATGGTGAAACCCCGTCTCTACAAAAAAACAAAAATTAGGTGGGTGTGGTGGTGTGAGCGTGTAGTCCCAGCTACTCTGGAGGTTAAGGTGGGAGGATCACCTGAGCCCAGGAGGCAGAGGTTGCGGAGAGCCAAGATGGTGTCACTGCACTCCAGCCTGGGTGATAGAGTGAGACCCAGTCTCAAAAAAATAAATAAAACATATTTCATTTGCTTGTATATGGTGCTATATGTATAGATTATCTCAGGAAAGATACACAAGAAATTGGTCACCTCAGAGGAAGGGAACTAGGTCACTGAGGGATGGGTTAGAATAATTTTTCACCTTATACCCCTTTGTATCTTTTGGGTATCAATTCACATGAATGTATTACATATTCAAATTTTTTAACTTTAAAAATAAATTGGCTCAAGAAAAATGCAGATTCCTGGGTCCACTCTCAATCTAATAACTCCCTGGGGGCAGGTTTTTCTGCCCTTTAAACCAGTTCTCCAGGTGATCCTCAAGCCCAGAGTAAGTGCATAAACCTGTGTAGTAGGGTATCAGTGGTGAAGCACTGCCAGGAAGGAGCCAAGAGTGTTCGTCAGAGGTGACTAGTTTAGCGCCATACTTTCTGGATCAACCCTACCTTCTCTCAAACCTCCACTCGGGAGGGCCAAGGTAGCTGTAGCACTGTGGGACAGGCTGGGAGTGACTCCTCTCCATTCATTTATCCATAGTGATCACCCCAGGTCAGAAAGGACTGGCCCCCACAGAGTCCCCTTGGTACGTGTGGATACATGTGTGGGTGTGAGGAGCAGGGGTACCTATGTTTCCAGAGCTGGCCCTGAGGAAGCTGAGGCTCCACCCTTACTCCAATCACTCCACATGCTCCACACCAAGGGGTATTCAGAACCCCTTGTCCTACAGAGGAAGGAAACAAAACCAAAGAGACTTTCCCAGCCGTCACTCCAGCTCCAGCTACGTATCTGCCATCACAGCCCAGGCAGTCAATCTTAGCCCCATTCCTCAAATGCAGGAACATTTTCTAATTTACAACTGTTCCCAGCATACTACCTCCAGGGAAACTAAAGCCTTGGATTCAAATATTCCAGATGGGAAAATCCAGTTTTTATGATGAATTCAGTTCCAGAAATGATCTTCCTTTTTAAGTCTTCATTGGAGTCTTCATTGCTATAAAGCATTCACAGGAGGATTCCTATGAGGAGCAACCCTGTCAGTGCATCTAAAACGGGACCCTCGGCTGGGCGCAGTGGCTCACGCCTGTAATCTCAGCACTTGGGGAGGCCAAGGCAGGAGGATCACTTGAGGTCAGGAGTTTGAGACCAGCCTGGCCAACATGGTGAAACCCCGTCTCTACTAAAAATACAAAAAAAAAAAAAAAAAAATTAGCCAGGCATGGTGGTGGGCGCCTGTAATCCCAGCTACTTGGGAGGCTGAGGCAGAAGAATTGCTTGAACCCAGGAGGTGGAGGCTGCAGTGAGCGGAGATCACGCCACTACACTCCAGCCTGGGCGGCAGAGCAAGAGTCCATCTCAAAGTAAACAAACAAACAAGACTTTGCAGCCCAGAATTCAGTTCTCATTCCATTTCTTATGCACCCATCCATGGGACAGACTGTGGACTTAGACATGTGTTCCATCCCATAGGACAGCATGTAAGCTAGAAGTATTCAGTCCACATGGTGAAGGGTCCCCTGGCTGCATCCTGCTGTGTGTCAACTCTCTCAGTCTTGGTCCTCTAATACAGGGGTAAGCATAGCCACTCTGAAGTCAGACCACCTGCCTCTGTTATGTGATCTTGGGTAACTTACTTCACCTCTCTGGGCCTCACCTTCCTCTGTTGAAAGAGTTGGAAAGAAGGTATATGCCAGGCTTGGAGTGGGGAGGAGAACACTGCATGCTGTTAGCTTCTAGTGTGGGTCTCTGAGAAGGGACTCTCTCTCATTCTCCCATCCCCTCAACCCAGGGATAGGGAGGGATTAGGACCCCAGATAGGTTTGGAGGTTCTGAGAGAGGGGAGAATCTGTCTGTGGATAAGGTCTAAATAATCTTCCATGATGAGAAAGTATGGTAGCAGTCAAGTAGAAATGGCAGCTGGGTATGCCTAAGCAGGGGGCCCTGGGAGCATCTCAGGCCCATGCCTAATTTGTGAGAATCCCAGGAAGCATTAGCATGTGTTGTGAGGCCCTAGAACAGCATGAAGTTGCTGAGAGGGGGCAGATAACCAGGAAAGAACTTCTGTGATAATAAACCTAATAAAGGGAGCACTAAAGCCACAGTCCAAGCCAGAGACCATGGCACGAATGCAGACATCTGTGGGCACAGTAGAAACCAGAGACGACAACCCACAACTGGCAGGGGTGAAATCTGCCTGCCTCCCTGAGCAGTAGAGGAAGATGACGATGACCAAGGACCAGACAACCTTAACCCCCTCACTTCCCACTCCATGCCATGACCACATAACCTCCACAGAATGCAACCATGCCCCTGGATAGGAGTGGAGGGACAGAACACTCAACTGAGTATTCCCTGGAATGACTGGGTGATCATGCACTTACTTGACTGAATTTGCCAGGAAGTGGCCAGATTATATTTCTGCTGTCAAATGGAAATAAGCGCTGTAGAAAGTAATTATGAAAATAAGAGATTATTTGACACACTCAAATATTCTGACTTTAAAATTTCATGCAGGCTGGGCGCTGTGGCTCATGCCTGTAATCTCAGCACTTTGGGAGGCCAAGGCAGGCAGATCACTGGAGCCCAGGAGTTGAAGACCAGCCTGGGCAACATGGCGAAACCCCGTTTCTACAAAAAATACAAAAATTAGCCAGGCGTAGTAGTGTGCGCCTGTAGTCCCAGCTACTCAGGAGGCTGAGGTGGGAAGATCACCTGAGTCCAGGAGGTGGAGGTTGCAGTGAGCCGAGATAGAACCACTGCACCTCAGCCTGGGTGCCAGAGTGAAACTCTATCTCAAAAAAAAAAAGTAAAAAATTCATGCAGCCACAGAGGCAGAGGAATCACACAGACCTGCTGTTGCCCACTTGCTGCTAACATCCTGTGTGATCTGGGATAAGTGGCTTCTCCTTGCTGAGCCCCAGCCCCCTTGTCTGTAAAGTGGGGATTATAACAATACCAATACATCACAGGATTTTTGTGAAAATCAGTGATTTTAGTCACCAGAATGGCTAAACTTAAAAGAATGACAATACCAAGTATTAGCAAGGATGTGGAACAATCGGAGCTCTCATACATTTCTGGTGGGAGTACAAATTGGCACACTTCAGAAAACTGGCAGTATCTACTAAAACTAAACATACATGTACCCAGTGGCCCAGCAACTCCAATTCTGGATATATACTCAGCAGAAATAAGAACTTATGTCTACCAAAAATATGTTTAAGAATGTTCATAGCAGCTTTATTCATAAGAGTCAAGAAAGAACAAATCTATCAACTATAAAATGAAAAAAAAACTGTAGTATATTCACTTAATGGAATATTAAACAGCAATGAAAAAGAACCTACTGATATACACAATGTGGATGGATCTCATGAACAATGTTGAACAAAAGAAGCTAAACCCAAGAATATTGATTGTTTAAGTCCATTTCAATAAAGACCAAAAAAGCCCCAGGCAATAACGAATCTGCGGTGAGAGAAGAATAGTTACCTTTGGCAGGTGACAAGTATTGATGAGGGAAGTTTTTGGGATGCTAAATATTTTTTTTCTTTTTCTGTTTCTTTTCTTTTCTTTTTTTTTTTTTTTTTGAGACAGGGTTTTGCTCTATTGCCCAGCCTGGAGTGCAGTGGCGCAATCACTGTACTTGACCTCCTGGGCTCAAGCAATCCTCCCACCTCAGCCTCCTGAGTAGCTGGGACTACAGGTGCACACCACTGTAGTATATCTGGGCTATTTTTTTTTTTTTTTTGAGACGGAGTTTCACTCTTGTTGCCCAGGTTGGAGTGCAGTGGCATGATCTGAGCTCACCGCAACCTCTCCACCTCCTGGGTTCAAGTAATTATCCTGCCTCAGCCTCCTGAGTAGCTGAGATTACAGGTGCCTGCTACCATGCCCAGCTAATTTTTGTTATTTTTAGTAGAGACAGGGTTTCACCCTATTGGCCAGGCTGGTCTCAAACTCCAGACCTCAGGTGATCCACCCGCCTTGGTCTCCCAAAGTGTTGGGATTACAGGCATGAGCCACTGCACCCAGCCTATTTTTTTTTTTGTAGAGATGGAGTCTTGCCATGTTGCCCAGGTTGGTCTCAAACTTCTGGGCTGAAGCAATCTTCTTACCTTGGCCTCCCAACGCTGGGATTACAGATGTGAGCCACCATGCCCGGCCAACATTTTGTATCTTGGTCCAGATGGTGGTTTCATGAGTGTATGTACATACAAAAATTCACTGAACTACAATTATGTTTGTATACTTTACTGCATGTAAATCATAACTCAGCAGAAAAGAGGGAGAAAGTTCGGGCATGGTGGCTCATGCCTGTAATCCCAGCACCTTGGGAGGCCAAGGTGGGCAGATCATCTGAGGTCAGGAGTTCGAGACCAACCTGGCCAACATGGTGAAACTCCCGTCTCTACAAAAATACAAAAAAAAATTAGCTAGGTATGATGGCAGGTGCCTGTAATCCCAGCTACTCGGGAGGCTAAGGCAGGAGAATCGCTTGAACCTGGGAGGCGGAGGTTGCAGTGAGCTGACATTGTGCCATTGCACTCTAGCCTGGGCGACAGAGCAAGACTCTGTTTCAAAAAAAAAAAGCGAGGAGGGAGTGACAATGTGTGAATGCATGTAACATTCTTAACATGATGCCAGTGTCAATTCCTGAAGGAAGTCTGAGCCCCTGGAGCCTTTCCTTCACATGGCTTCCCAACCCTTCAGAGCCAAGGCTGGAGGAATACAGGAGATGTTGGGAGGGAAGGTGAGGAATTTCTGCAAGGCCACAGGGAGGACTTACCTGCCCATGGGCCAAGAGTTCAACTAAGACCTTGGACAAAGCTACAGAAAGTTACAGCTTCCTTTCCTCTATCTGAGCCAGCCAGTGCAATACCTTCCCTGGTGGACTATGAACCTGCCCTTGGGAAGCTGCTGTGGAATCTCTAGGCAGAAGTGACATCTACACCTAAGTGGTGGAGGAAAACATTTCTTGACCCACATCTGTACCCTGCACCATCAGATTTCAGGAACCCCAGACTGCCTTGGGTCTAGGGTAGGTTGGAGAGTCTTGGCAAGCCAAAGTGGGCCTACCCATGAAGGAGGGACTGAACAGTAATCCTGCCCAAATCAGCAAGCCCATAAGCATAGCCACTAACATTCCTGGAGCATGGGCCTGCCAGATTACCGAGCTAAGCTCTTTCTTTATAATGTTTTAATCTCACAGCAACCCTAGGAGGTGGTTACTATTATAATCTGCATTTTACAGGAGAGATGCCAAGGCTGAGATGGGTTAAGTAATCAGCCCCAGGCCATAGAGCAGGAAAATGGGGAGGTGGGATTTGAACCTAGGTCTGGCTAACTCACCACAGATGAGTCTGACTTCACGGAAGAGCATGAGCTACACCCACCTCTCTCCAAGGAGAGAAGACCATAGGAGTGCACAGTGCCCCCCATGTGCTCAGAGTTGCCATGCTGGGCCCAAGCTAAGGCAGTGACAGGGACGGGATTGCTCTAGAGTCCGTCTGGTCCAGGTCAACCCCCAAGAACTACCAGTACTGACTGGCTCTGACCAACAGATGGCACCAGAGAGCCAGGTGGCTGTCCCAAGGGTGCATCTTCACTGAGCCTGCCCTCTTCCAGGCTTGCCCTCTGGCCCCTCCAAAGGTTGCCCTCTCTCCCCTCCAGGACGCAGACTCCTGTCCAGAAACCCAGTCTGGCCACCAGAGGCTGAATGCCAGTGCAACTTAATCCCATGTCCACAGCGTGACCATGGAAGTAGCCCCCAGCCATCTGGGTCACAGTGTCCCTCTGTGAAATGTAGAGTTTGACAGAGACCTGTGAAATGCAGGACCTGGTAGCAGGGCCAGAAAGACTCAGTTAGGAGCAGAGCAGTGCAGTACAATGCAGCGAGGACTCCTTCACAGATGAGAAAACAATGACAGGCATCACCTATCATCACCGGCTAAGTCTCCCTACCCCTCTGCCCAGAGGACCCCAGCACCAATATGTCGTCTGGAGCCAGCACACTGGGGCAAAGACTACCAGAGAGAAATTGCAATTTAAAAACTCTGCAAAGCCCAGCCAGTCAGCCACCCATGGAGCTCCAGGCAGGCCGACTTGCTGAACATCCCAGGAGCTAGACTGGGATCATCAGTGAGGTAGTCAAGTATGACGTGGGTATGTCTTGCAAGCCAAGTGCCTGACTGTTAACTGCGCAGTCAGGAAGGCCTGTCTGCCAAGGGACTACTGAGTGGCAGGGATTTCTCCAGGAAAATCTCTGAGTCTAGGCCCAGCAAGCTGCTGATATAGACCATGCCAGTCAGTCATTCAGTGAATATTTGTTTACCACCCTCTCCCCATCATGTTGCAGACAGTGGTAAAGAAGAGAAGGATTTTTGCCTTCAGGGAGCTTACCATCTAGTGGGTTCAATGTGATAAGCACAAATAAGAGAATGTTAGGTGGATAAATACTGAGAAGAAAACAAAGTGGGGTTATAAAGGGAGAAGAGGGCAATACATTTAAGCAGAAACCTGCATAAGAAGGCCCCAGCCACAGAAAGAGATGGAAAAAGTGTCTCTAAAAATGAGTTTGGTATGTCCCAGGAACAGTATGGCTAATATGGTTAGAGATTAATGAATGGGGGGAGAGTGAAAACAGATGAGGGCAGAAGAGCAGGTAAGGACCAAATCATGAAAAGCTCTGTGAAGAAAGTGGAATTTCATCCCATTTTCTTTTCTTTTTTTTTTTTTTTTTTAAGATGGAGTCTCATTCTCTTGCCCAGGCTGGAGTGCAGTGGTGTCTCGGCTCACTGCAACCTCTGGCTCCGGGGTTCAAGCGATTCTTCTGCCTCAGCCTCCTGAGTAGCTGGGATTACAGGCGCCCACCACCATGCCCGGCTAATTTTTGTATTTTTAGTAGAGACGGGGTTTCACCATGTTGGCCAGGCTGGTCTCGAACTCCTGACCTCAAGTGATCCACCCACCTCAGCCTCCCAAAGTGCTAGGATTACAGGCGTGATTACAGCCGCTGGCCACTTCATCCCATTTTCATTAAGTAGCCTCAGGTGATGGAAGGTAAGCAGCATGTGGCAGGATCCGCTTTACAGTATAGAAAGAGCGCTCTTGTGATTGTGTGAGTGGATTGTAGTGGGTGGAAGAAGAGAAGCCGCAAGACCTTTCAGAAGGCTTGGACCAGGACAGGGTTATTAGAGATAAAAGAGAAAGATGTATTTGGAGGTGTAGCTAATGAACCACATGTGGAGGATGAGAGAAACAGGTGTCAAGGATAACTGCATGAATGGTGGTACTATTCATGGTGGTACTAAGATAGGAAACACCAGGATTTGGGGTGGAAGGTGTTTGGGAGATCAGGAATTGTTTGAGATGCACGTTAGACATCTGAGTCATGTCAAGTAGGCAGTTGAATACTTAACAGGAGTGCAGGGGAGAAGTTGGGCTAAGGATACAAACTGGGACTCTTCAGCATATAGACAGGGCTAGATGAGATCACCTGGAAGAGGAGAGAAAAAGTCGTGTGAGTACTAAGCCTTGGGTCATTTCCATATTTAGAGGATGGGAAGAACTGGCAAAGGAGTCTGGAAAGCAGCAGTCAAAAAGGCAGGAGGGGCTAGGCGCCGTGGCTCATGCCTACTTTGGGAGGCCGAGGCAGGAGGATCGCTTGAGCTCTAGAGTTCACGACCAGCCTGGGCAACATTGTGAGATCCAGTCTCTATAAAAAATTTAAAAATTAGCTGGGCATGGTCACACACGCCTATAGTCCCAGCTACTCTGGAGGCTGAAGTGGGAAGATCGCCCGAGTCTGGGAGGTTGAGGTTGCAGTGAGATAAAATCATGCCTCTACACTCCAGCCTGGAAGAATCCTTCTCAAAAAAAAAAAAAAAAAAAAAAGTAGGAGGAAAACAAGCAAATGTAGTGTAATGGTAGACAAGGAAAGAAACTATATCTGGGAAATTGTTTTGGTCAATCATTTCAAATGCTAAAAACAAAATTAAAGTCAGAAAAAACATCTACTATACTTGGCAATGGGAAAATCACCTTGATAAAGCTGTAATTTCAGTGGGGTGGTGTGTTGAGAAAAGTGTGATATGAGAAGGTGGACAGAGGACACAGTTCTTTCAAAGAGCTTTGCTAAGAGCAGTATAGAAAAAGGGCAGGCACTTAAAGGGACTGTGAAGTCAAAGGAGTCTGTTTTTAGGATTGAAGATACAGAGCCATGTTGTATGCTGATAGGAATAATCCAATTGAGGAGGCCAAGGATAGAGGTACAGCTGCAGAAAGATTGCTGGATGTTGGCTGGGAGGGGTGGCTCACACCTGTAATCCCAGCACTTTGGGAGATTGAGGCGGGCAGATCACCTGAGGTCAGGAGTTTGAGACCAGCCTGGCCAATATGGTGAAAACACGTCTCTACTAAAAATACAAAAAATTAGCCGGGCGTGGTGGCGCACGCCTGTAGTCCCAGCTATTCAGGAGGCTGAGGCAGGAGAATCACTCAAACCCAGGAGGCGGAGGTTGCAGTGAGCCAAGATCATGCCACTACACTCGAGCATGGCAACAAGTGTGAAACTCCGTCTCAAAAAAAAAAAAAGATTGCTGAATGTGATGGCAGGAAGAAGAGAGACACTATCGACTGTGCCCTGAAGTATTAATATTGGCGAGGTTATAAGTGTTATAGAGTACAGAGAGGAGGTGGCAATTTGAGAAGAGACCGTGTTAATCAGTCCTTTTGAAGCCCAAGAATCTAAGGAAGTGTAGAGGACTATCCAGCAGTAACTGGTCCATCTGACATTTGTGTGAGTCCCACCAGTACAGCTGTGTCCATTCCTCTAGCCACATCCTGCCACTCAGCTGTAGGCAGCAGGCTCTGGTCAGAACAGCACAGCCTGGACTACAGCAGTCTCTCAAACAGCAGCTTCCCCACCGCTGCCCCAGATGGCGGAAATTTCTAGGAATGTTATCAGGTCATGGTCAGTGCTTTTCTACAAACTACACTTCCGCATTCTCTTTCAAAACAAGTGATTTTTCACCTTGTGATAAACAGCATCTAATGCAGATTGGTGAGAAGGAATAGCTCCTTCTCATCCTTTAGGTCTCAGCTCAGTGTCACCTCCTCAGAGACCACCAGCCTAAATAGTACGTTAAATTTACATTAAAACTTATTTTAAAAATTTAACAGCCATCACATCAAGACATACGATTGCCATCAGCCAAAAAAATTGTCAAAATTCACAAACTTGAGTTGGGCAGTAAGCAATGTGCACAACAGTATGTGGAAGTTTTGGCTAGAAGGGTACCTCCTTTTACCCTCTGGCCTCCTGTCTTGCTTTTTCTTCATAGTACATTATTCCTATTGGAGTTTTATATTTGTCTCTCTTGGGTGTTCACTGCACAAGGGCACTTTGTCTTGTACACCGCTTGTGCCTAATGCCTGGCACATAACAGGTGCACAGTAAGTAGCTGCTGAATACCACTCAGCTCAGCTGGTGCCTGGTGGTGGCTTACTTACCCAGTGGAAGTTACTCAAATACCATGGCAACATCTCTTCTTGCCCACTTCACTTGCTGTGCTCTCCCAGATGGCAGCAGCCCCTTACTACATACACCCTGGCTAAGACCTAAGCCCTCTTGCTAGAACCTCTCACCCCTCAACACACACCCACCTTGCTTCACCCCTTTCTTCCTATTCTAATAAATTTAACCCTCTGTTCTCCTTCTTAGATCTTTGCCTTCCTGTCCTTTGCCTTGAGACTTAAGAAGCCTTGGAGTCCTCACAAACGAGAGCATGTAGCACAAACCTTGGAACCTTGGGAGCTGGGGGTCTCAGTTATAGACTTAATGCAAAGACTGGTTCCTGTGGATGCATGACTGCAAGCCAGGCAGCAGGTAGTCTTAGAGCTCAGGTCTGAGTAAATTCGCCCAGTTACCACTTCCCCACCCCCAAGATCCCAGCTGAGAGCCAAAGCAGAGCCTGGATTTTGTCTGGTTGATAAGGGTGGGAAAGGCACAGAACCCACATTGGGGGTGACCAACTGTTCTGGTTTCAAAGCTCTACTGGCTGGGGCAGTGGCTCACGCCTGTAATCCCAGCACTTTGGGAGGCATAGGCGGGTGGATCACCTGAGGTCAGGAGTTTGAGACCAGCCTGGCTAATATGGTGAAACCCCATTTCTTCTAAAAATACAAAAAATTAGCCAGGTGTGGTGGCGTACACTTGTAATCCCAGCTACTTGGGAGGCTGAGGCAGGAGAATCACTTGAACCTAGGAGGTAGAGGTTGCAGTGAGCCGAGATTGTGTCATTGCACTCCAGCTTGGGCAACAAGAATGAAACTCCATCTCAAAAAAAAAAAAAAAAAAAGAAGAAGAAGAAGAAGAAAGCAAGATCTGCTTCCTGGAAAACCTTCAAGTTCTAAGCAACCAGGTCAACTGGTCACCCTATATTGGAGCTGTGCCCAACCGTGGCCACACATTAACAAGCTGGTGAGTTTACTTAGTTTTGCCTCCATGTTTAACTACTTCAGGAACCCATCATACTTCCACCAACTCACTACTGTTACTTTAAAAATAAAAGCTCACACTGGTTAATACCAAAGATGCTAAATGAAAATATGCTATGTGCGGAATGGTGTCTGTTACCATTTGTTTTAAAAGGGCGAGGAGTATTGCTCCCAGAGAAACAATTTAATACACATCATCATGAAGGAAGACTAGAGCACAACCACCCTACACACAGCAGACTTGCTGATATGACTGTGAAAACATCCACAACCATTAGTAGTAACCACCTCAGACCAATAAGGCTGGAGGGGAAACTTTTTTTGTATTCATCTCTATTGCTTTACTACAAGCATGTATTTTATATTAATACGAGTAGAAAAGATCCATTTTTTAAAAAGAATGTGCACTCATACAGATTAGAGATGGGCATTGTTCATAGGGTCAAGTCCTCCGTATCAGAATTTGTTAACTGGCCATCAGGACACCAGACAAGAAAGTAAGTTGGTCTTGGCTTCTGGCTCCTCTCAGATTAGAAGGTAAGGGTCTTCAGAAGGAGGGGAAGATGGTCAGGTGATGACAGGCTAGCATGAGATTTCATTCATTACTACAACTGTCAGCCTAAAGAGCTGACTAGTTTCCAGTAGTCTTGTACAGAATCCCAGAAGTTTATAAAAGAGTCTAAAAAACTCAGGTCATTCAAGAAAACCCACAATTCAGTTGGGAATTCAGATAAAAAATGGAGGAATTATGCCACTTAGATGAATTTTTAAAAGTTAGGGATGGGGTGCTCCACTCCATATATACTTTCTGGTTTTCCTTTAGTATTTGTTAATGCGGGTCCACTGTGAAAATTCTTTTATCTTCAAGAGCAATTGTTAGGCTGTGGTGGTTCAGCTGAACCTCACCTAACTCCCCTTCAAACTCTGGCTCAAATAAATGCCCTTGAGACACAAAGGTTAGTCCATGAACTCTTTTTTTTTTTTTTTTTTTTGAGACGAGTCTCACTGTGTCACCCAGGCTGGAGTGCAGTGGTGCGATCTCAGCTCACTGCAACCTCCACCTCCCGGGTTCAAGCAATTCTCTGCCTCAGCCTCCCGAGTGGCTGGGATTACAGGTGCCCGCCACCACACCTGGCTAATTTTTTTTTTTTTTAATTTTTAGTAGAGGTGGGGTTTCACCATCTTGGCCAGGCTGGTCTTGAACTCCTGACCTTGTGATCCACCCGCCTCAGCCTCCCAAAGTGCTGGGATTACAGGCGTGAGCCACTGTGCCCGGCAGTCCATGAACTCTTGAGAATGCTGTAACCAGGCTACCTGACTTGGGCCAACACTCAAAAGGCCCAGCATGCAAGCCTTCCTCACCACACACTCCCCAAAGGGCCCATCACACACCTAGCTTCCTGAATGGGGCTAAGCGACACATCTAAACCCTAAAGCTGTGTAGGCTATTGCCCACCCTTCAAACACCACTAATAAGAATTTCAGCAAAGGCAAGAGAAACCTAATGCTTCCTGAAAATCAGGAACTCTGCGATCAGAATGCCTGAATAGCAGAACCTTCTCTGCTCTTCTCAACAGAGTTGAGAAAACTCAATAATTCATGTAACATGCTTGGCACATGGAAATGCTCAGTGCTAGACAATATTCACTATAAGCTAATTCTGTCATTTCAAAGATTGAACATTCAGTAGCTACTACTGTCCTAAGTCATTGTGAATTCAACTCAACCCTTCACAGCAATTATTTCAGCACTGAGTGCACTGGAAACCCAAGCTGGTTCAGGATATGTCAGCTATTGCCTTTTCAAGACTGCAACGTCAAATTGATGTATTTCAGAAGCCATGAATCACTTACTCTATACTCTTTTAACATACCAAATGCTGTAGGCCATCTGCCACTCAGGTAGATAGCAGAAATGTCCAACTGCTGCCAAAAGGTGGTTTAAGCAAATACATTTTGAAAATCCAAAAGATGTCTACTCATATTCCCAGCCCTACTTTAAAAATCCTGGCTTCTCATTTCTAGAGTATGGTTATTTTTCCTAGGATCTGTGGTGAAACTAGAAAAACCCAAAGACCAACAAAGCTATCACAATACCCTAAAGAAATCCAGAGCCAAGACTAAAATTAAGGGCAAAACCTGGTGCGGTGGCAACAGGCCAAGAGGCCATACCAGGTCGGACATCACCTGGATCCTTCCAGAGGCCATGAGAGCCATACTGCCATCCCAAAAATCTTGACTCATATTTAAATTGCCTACATCCCTTTACCCTACAACCAGTTTCAGTGCAGCTCTGAGGAGGAGCAGTGGGCTAAGCCTTGGGTTTGTCTTTGCATCCTAATTTTAGTCATAGATCAATGAAAAGATGAAACTTAAAATGGTAGTTTTATACATTTCAACCAAGGTAGAGATGAATGTGGTTTTGGAAAACAAAGGATGTTCAAGACCAAATACATTATACAGTTTCTCCTCCCGCTCCTCTGCCTGCTGCATGCAATACATACTCAAGACCTTCACTGCAAAGGGACTTACATTGCAAGTTGGACTCAACAGCAGGAGTACATTCTGCAGATTTTACATCTGGTATATTTCACCACACCATGTAACCTACTTTCTGATATGTTTGGATATACCTGACCTTAAAGCTCCCCTTTGACCAGGCCTGCCAAACCCAATTACTAGCTCTTGCTCCTATCCCCAGGTTCCAATGCCATACTCAGAGCAGTTCTAGAACTGCAAAAAGCCTAATGATTAGTCTCCTTGCAGATCAGAAGGTATGCTAAGCCTTGAGGTAGAGGCACTCAACAGCTTTGGGCATTTCTAATAGCTTTAATTAGACATTCCATTGTGGTCTTCCATAGTGTTCTATGGAGCAAGCACTCTTAACTTCCTATCACGATTCTGGCCTTTGACTTCCACCATCAGTAATCTTGCTTGCTGGTGGCTACAGCCTACCACTGCACTAAGGAAGAACAGCTAAATTATTTCTTGGAAGAAAGCTTTTAAAAATATATTTTTTCGAGACAAGAGTCTCGCAGTCTGGAGTGCAATGGCGCGATCTCAGCTCACTGCAACCTCTGCTTCCCGGTTTCAAGCGATTTAGTCTCACCCTCCCAACTAGCTGGTACTACAGGTAAGTGCCATCACACCCAGCTAGTTGTTTTTTTAGTGGAGACAGGATTTCACCATGTTGGCCAGGCTCATCTTCAACTCCAGGCTCAAGTGATCCACCCACCTCGGACTCCCAAAGTGATAGGATTACAGGCGGGAGCCACTGTGCCCAGCAGGAAGAACACATTAAAGTCCTTCCCACTAACAACACTGAATGGTTGAGAAGATTGTACACCATGGCTGAGGCTATCTCAAAATAGATTCCGAAGGGACCCAAGTAGTAAAATAAGAGCAGTGGTTTGCAGCATTAGCAGCATCGTACGCAGAGTAGACAAAATCCTGGCTACTTCTCACAAGCCTGTTGAGGATACAAACTAGTCATCCCTCAGTAATCTTGGGAGACTGGATCCAGGACACCTCCCTTGGATAGTCAAGTCTGGAAGTCAGTCCCCTTTACCAGTGGGTTCTGCATTCAAGAATACTGCATTTTTTGGCCAGGCGCGGTGGCTCATGCCTGTAATCCCAGCACTTTGGGAGGCTGAGGCAGGTGGATCGCCTGAGGTTGGGAGTTTCATACCACCCTGGCCAACATGGTGAAACCGTCTCTACTAAAAATACAAAATTAACTGGGCGTAGTGAGCCACGCCTGTAATCCCAGCTACTTGGGAAGCTGAGGCAGGAGACTTGCTTGAACTCGGGAGGCACAGGTTGCAGTGAGCCAAGATCGTGCCACTGCACCCCAACCCGGGTGACAGAGAGAGACTCCGTCTCAGGGGGAAAAAAAAAAGAACACTGCATTTTCAATCCCAGGTTGGTTGACTCCATTGACTCATTTGATGCAAACTCTGTGGATACTGATGGCTGGCTATACTTTAAATTATGGATTACTCATAATACCTAAACAATGAAATTGCTATGTATATAGTTATACTGTGTTTTTTTTTTTTAGACAGAGTCTTGCTCTGTTGCCCAGGCTGAAGTGCAGTGGCTCTATCTTGGCTCACTGCAACCTCCACCTCCCAGATTCAAGTGATTCTCCTGCCTCAGCCTCCTGAGTAGCTGGGATTACAGGCACACGCCACCATGCCCAGCTAATTCTTATAGTTTTAGTAGAGACGGGGTTTCACCATGTTGGCCAGGCTGGTCTTGAACTCCTGACCTCCGGTGATCCCCCCACCCCTGCCTCCGCCTCCTAAAGTGCCGGGATTATGGGCATGAGCCACTGCTCCTGGCCACTGTATTGGTTTTTATTGGTTCCTTTTCCCAAAAATATTTTCAGTCCATGGTTGGCTGAATTCTCAGATGTGGAACCCTTGACTATGGAGGGCCGACTGCACTTAATTAAATTCAACCTCAGACATGAGGGTTTGTGCTTTTCCTTAAAAAACAAAAAAGTGTGACTTTTTCCAGCATTCACTCATTAGCTATAATTATTTCCTCTTTCACTCTTGGGAATGAGGAATTCTGGTCCAGGCATGACAGCAAATACAAAACAAACTGGGGTCTGTTGCCTATATCACTTACTTGGTTACCACTGATCTTTGTATGTTCAACTTTTAAACAATTCAAACACAGTCCACATTTTTCTTTCCTCAAATTTATATACCAGCTGATAAAAATACATTTCAATCTATTTACAGGACAGCACTGCCTACAAGCCAACAATGCTGTGTTAGCAACATCCCATTTTTTTCTAGACAGTAGTACTTGTGCAATTAAATATATATAATAAAAAGTAGAAATAAAATGTACTTATATTCCTAAAACATAAAGCTTTAAATGTAATTGGAAAAAATATAGAAATCACCAGGCATGCCCAAAATAATACATCTACAACCTTCATAAGGCTATTTGCTAAAACAGATGTATACTTGTGAAGGGAAAAAAATCTAAATTAAAAAAGTTTATGAAGACTAGAAATATGTCAAAACAATGTGTGAGGACGAAGGCTTTAATGCAAAATAGCTTTAGCTCACAGAACCAAAATCCATCTGAAAACAAACAAGCCTATTACCAAACTATAGGTTACTAAACTATAGGCCCATTTCTAAGAACACATTTATGGTTGGAAGCAAAGGAATATTTATACTAAACAGGTAAAAGTCACCACTGAAACAGAGAGTCGCACGGTACATTTTAATTCCTTATCAACATCCATGAACCACCACCATGTATCCCAATTTTCTTAAGTATGTACTTAGGAAACAGCAGTGAGGTGTTTTTGTTTTTTGAGATGGAGTTTTGCTCTTTTTGCCCAGGCTGGAGTGCAATGGCACGATCTGGGCTCACTGTAACCTCCTCCTCCTGAGTTCAAGTGATTCTCCTGCCTCAGCCTCCCAAGTAGCTGGGATTACAGGCTCCTGCCACCACACCGGTCAGTTTTGTATTTTTAATAGAGATGGGGTTTCACCACGCTGGCCAGGCTGGTCTCGATCTCCTGACATCAGGTGATCCACCCACCCCGGCCTCCCCAAGTGCTGGGATTACAGGCATGAGCCACCGCGCCTGGCTGTTTTTAACCCTAGATGTAAATTAGAATCACTTGGGAAACTTAAAAAATGTATGCCTGGGCCCTCCTCCAGCAATTTAAATCAGAATCTCTGTAGGCATCAAAGCTGAGAACCACAGAAATAACTATCCTTTTCCTGAGCTAAGTCCTTCTTGAAACTAATCTAATATTGACAAACTTCTATTTAAGAAATACCGACTACAACCAACAAATGTTTAATATGCAGCAAATGAAAAAATCATGTCTAGGATACTCAACCCAAGACATGAGCACATCATGTACAAATTCATTGTAAACTTACAAAATAAGTTTCAAAATTTCTGCAAGCCCTCACTATACAAACTCAGAATCCTCTTTATTTTTGAGACAGGGTCTGGCTCTGTCACCCAGACTGGAGTACAGTGGCACAATCTCAGCCCACTGCAACCTCCATCTCCTGGGCTCAGGCGATCCTCTCACCTCAGCCTCCCAAGTAGCTGGGACTATGGTATGCCACCAAGCCCGGCTGATTTTCATATTTTTTGTAGAGATGGGGTTTTGCCATGTTGGCCAGGCTGCTCTTCAACTCCTGACCTCAAGGGATCCACCCACCCTGGTCTCCCAAAGTGCTGGGATTACAGGCATGAGCCACTGTGCCAGGCCTGTTCTTAGGGAAAGCTTTTTAGGTTTATTAATGAAAATCCTAATGTTACTAATTGAGACATCAGTTAACACCCAACTTAGTGATTCCCATCCAACCATAATTATGTATTTTTCAAGAAAATACATAATTTACTAACACATTTTCCTTACCATAGCCATTTTCAAAAGAAGGTAGGGTACTAACACTTTCCAGTTTAGATGGCCAAAGCCCGGTCAGTCTCTATAATTAAACAATTATTTTAAACCCTAGTTATGCTAAAACCAAGCTATTCTTATCACAAGTCCCATTCTGCTAACCACAAAATTTAGAGAATTTGTACCTGGAAGATACCACCACGTGTCAATTACAATATACGTATTCCTTGGTCAATTCTGATATCACAGGACCGGAAAAAATAGCTGCTTGGTGTCTAGATTGTTTGGGTATTAAAACCACTGCACATGGATAAGCTATTTGTTCAGTCGGAGAGAAAGGGCATAGAGTGACAGAGCAACAAAAAGACACACAGAGAATGTATTTCTTGTGAAAGAAAAGAATGAAATGAAATGAAATGTAGAAACCCTAATGGCCTTTTGCTTTGGAAAATTAACTCCACAAGCCACTAAAAATACTATCAATTAGATCAGAAAAGACATTCGGTATGTATGTGTTCCTCAAGCATTTTAGAAAGGGGATATGCTATAACTTCCCTGTTGGTTCCAGATTCAACACAGCACAAAGCAAGAAAACTTTTATTTACTACACTCACAAGTATGATTAAGTGTTCCTGTTTACTCTGGTAGGTTAAAATATCAAATATTAGTTCCCACAGAAGAACTTTTTTTTAAACATCTAATCCTATTCGAAGGATAAAAGGGGAAAAACTCATTAAATGTTGAACACTGCCACTTTAAGTACCATTTTTGTCTTCGGGTGAATGTACATAAGACTAAATCATGATCCAACAATAGTTTTCTATTTGGTTTCACTAGTATCACTCAAAGAACTTGACACAGGCTAATGCTTTAACACTTTCTTATCTGAGACAAATTTAACTCTAAGAACATATGACTCAACAATGTACAAAGATTTAAGAATTTGCCAATCTGTCAATCATTTTAAAGAGTCCATATAATATACACATAGCAATATAATATTCATAACCAGAAACTGCACTAAGTAAACACATCATTTAGTTTAAGCTCTACCTGAAAACATGCTGTTTTATTAAAACAAAACCCAAAGACTTAAATCTCAAGTTATATGGTTTTACAATTAAGTCTTACTGAAGCAGCACAGATTTCCTTTCTTACAAACAAGTTAATATGCAGGAAGAACCCACAAAGTGCACACCAACAATGTGACAAATTGTAATATGTGAAATACAAATAAATCCTGAAGTTAATCTGAAGAATGTCAAGGAGTTACCAGAGAGGTTATGTAGTGCCCTTGATTTTTATTTTACCTACAAGTCTACAAATTCTAAAATTTACTCAATTGATTTAACTTTTTTAATAAACAGCACCAGTCTTGCCCATTGATACAATTAAAATTTGACCTTCTCAGTTCTTAGTTCACAAGTTTATTATGAAAAACACTGCAGTGCTCTTGTGCAGTCACATCGTCTTACAGGAAGGGGAAAAAACAGTTCTGTTCAAAACAACTCACCAGGTTCTGACAATAACAAAGAACAACATGGGGCTGAGATTTGAGTAGGGAATAAACTGAGTGCAGACAAATCATATAATTAAATTAAACGGTATCCCTGAAAATAAAAAGAACAATTTCAAAACTCACAAGTAGAAGGGAGGCCTTGGTAATTATTTTTAAAAATGTTCATTAAGCTCCAATGATTGTTTGCTGCTATCCTTATCTACAGTCATGCTGAGTAAAGCTATAGCTAAATGGAAGTTAAATTGTATTCACGAGGTGTTAATGTTTACATCTTATTATCTGCAGTCTCTCAGAGAAAGCAAAAGTAACTACAAATAGCGCTATGCCAGAAACTGGTTTCTTGACCAACAATGTCGCTTCAGCATGCAATGAACTGGTTCATTCTAAAGTGGTCACGGCTGTTGATGACAAGAGGCTTTGTATTTTTATATGGCACATCTTTTGGTCCATGTGAAAACAAGTTTTTTGAATGTTAACTATTTTCTGACACTTTGGAGTTACTGTTGCTCTTCCCATTTCCATTAGGTCGATATATGGTTCATGGCAATACTGTACAAGTTTAAAATTTCATTACAGGAAGTAGTCTGGGGTACGACGAGTAACATGTGGCTCGCCTCTACGAGGTGCTGGGTCAAACTGCAAGCTGAAAAACAAGACCGATTCATGGTTTATGTTCCACGACCTCCATGTAGTGACAATCAAGATCAAGAACATGAGTCTTCCAAACTTTACACTTCCTATTCAATTTTGGCTTGTCTTAATGTAACAGAACCTTAATGATAATGGTCTGTTAACTGTACTCCCCTTGAAAGAGTCAAGGCAACTTCAGCCACAGAGACTATGCTTTTATAAAAACATGGTTTTTACCTTGACTGAAATTTCAAACAAAACAAAACAAAACATGGTTGGCCGGGCGCAGTGGCTCACGCCTGTAATCCCAGCACTTTGGGAGGCTGAGGCGGGCGGATCACGAGGTCAGGAGATCAAGACCATCCTGGCTACCACGGTGAAACCCCATATCTACTAAAAAAATACAAAAAAATTAGCCGGGCGTGGTGGCAGACGCCTGTAATCCCAGCTACTCGGGAGGCTGAGGCAGGAGAATGGTGTGAACCCGGGAGGCAGAGCTTGCAGTCAGCCAAGATCGCACCACTGCACTCCAGCCTGGGTGACAGAGTGAGACTCCGTCTCAAAAAACAAACAAACAACAAAAAAACACAAAACATGGTTTTAAAAGTGAAAAACCTAGTAATTCATACGAAGATCTATATATAATAAGTTCCTGTTGGTGTGTTTCAATGTAGATCCATTAAAAAAAAAACAAAACTTAAAAATAAAAGTTGGAATCTGACATAGCATAATCCCTTAATAAACACTTTTTTGAGACGAAGTCTCGCTCTGTTGCCCAGGCTGGAACGCAGTGGCGCGATCTTGGCTCACTGCAACCTCTGCCTCCCGGATTCATGCCATTCTCCTGCCTCAGCCTCCTGAGTAGCTGGGATTACAGGCAGGCGCCACCATGCTGGGCTAATTTTTGTATTTTTAGTAGAGAAGGGGTTTCACCATGTTGGTCAGGCTTGTCTCGAACTCCTGATCTCAGGTGATCCACCCGAGCCTTCCAAAGTACTGGGATTACAGGCATGAGCCACCGCGCCTGGCCCCCTTAAACTCTTAAACCTCACATTTAAACTATGTATTCAGGCTGGGCACTGTATCTTATACTTGTAACCCCAACACTCTAGGAGGCCAAGGTGAAAGGATCACTTCAGCCTAGGAGTTCGAGACAAGACTGGGCAATATAGTGACACCCTCTCTCTCAAAATAAATAAACCAAAACCCTACATATTCAGTAATGCAAGAAAATGTTCAGGTAGAATTACTTACAAAGAGTATTTTAGAGTATCGTCAAGTTCCATGATTGCAGCTTGGTTACCACAACGATAACAATAGTTTGGAGCACTGAAAATCGTTACTACATTCCGGTCATGGCACCAGTTATATCCCTGCAAGGAAAAGGAGACAAAAATCTTACTTTACTCCCTCAATTCAACTAAATGTTACTTCACTCAAGAGAGAAAAAAATCTCTACTCATTCCCACCCCTGCCAAAGGGGCTTAAGAAATGTTAATGCTTTTTTTCTGGATGACTTAATAATCTCCTGTACTTTATACAACCTGTAAGGTACACATGTATTTATTTTCCCCCTAATTACAAAACTTGTTTTTTTTTTAGTACTTTAAAAAAAAAAAGGCTTTAACAAACAGCAGCAACCACCAAAGAATGAAATACTTCTCATGTATCTGCCTTGCTGTAAATGACAATGTCTCATTAGCCTCTTCTCTTGCAGTGGCCTTAAAACATGATTTAAGAATAAGTATTTAAGTGGCCATTCCCTAGAGAAGTAGATACTTAATCCTGGAGACCAGAACCTTACCAATTTTGTCAGTCACAGGTAAAGGCCTGTTAAGTTGGTCACTGCCCAGGAACAAATGCAATATGCCTCTAGGATCTCCAGCCTCATTTCCTCAAAGTCCATCCACCTGAATGCATGAGCTACTTTTGTTACTTTTTGTTTAGTATTGTTCACAATTTCTTTACCTTTAGCAAAGTCAGATTTTATTGATAACCACAGAGTTGTACTAGTATTAATCTAATTAGGACCTTATTTTAAAAATATTCTAATCAGTGTGCCATGTCAAGAACCTTTGCCTCTTTCCCTTCTTTCAAATCACCTGTAATCCTAGCATCCAAAGGACCACTTAAAACATTTTCGTGTATTTCTTTCCAGTCTCTCCTACATACATACATTAAATATACGAAATAACATTGGGATCATAAAATATCATACATGCACACCAACTCCCTATATCTTACTTTCCCACTCTTAAATCTCAAGTACTTCCTAGTCATTCAGATTTCTCTGAAAACATGTTAATGGATTCATTGTAATCAAAAGCTTGAGCTTTTAATTCTAGTAGTGTGCATCTACTGAAAAGGCTCAGGCTATAATGATAAACTCATCAGAAGGAATAGATGGAATTTCTCACAAATGTCATTAATTTAAAACTCCCTAATATCTTCTTTCCTTAAGTTTACTAAAAAAACAAGTCATATTTCAGAGAACACAGCATACCTCCATCACTAGCTGGTGAGCTCTAGACACCAACGTGAGGCCATTGGCATGATTAAATGTCTCAGAAATATCTTGCCCAAAGGTGTAACCAGCTCCTCGAGGAGATATACCCCAACCACCACGGTCATCTGGATCTGACCACAGCAAGTCACACATTGGACCCTAAAAAATAACTTCAAGTTATAAAATGCCTTTTACAAACATGGTTAACACATTATTTGAGTAATTCATCAGAAGCAGCACCCTAAGCCACCCTTTTTGAGTGATGTTTGTGGACAATGCTAATAGACTGTGCAGTTGAAGTCAAACATCTGCATCAAATAAGATGTATTTTCCAGCAGACTTTATGAGACACAGCTGACATCCATGGGACCCAGCAGCAACATGCCCTAATTAATCTGCCTATATTATGCAAATTTCAGAGTCTAAGACAGACAACCCAGGTCCTAATAAGCCCAGCTTCACAGCTGTTGTGATCTTGGCAGGTTTCTTAATGTCAGCTTCTTTTGAACAACAGGGCAGACAAGAGTGCTCACACCTCAAGTTGTTTTTGAGAATTATATGAGAGAATACATCTAATGAACTTACAATTAAACTTCTCCACTCCCTAATAAGTTTTCTGAAAGAATTTTATCAAATAAAAGTCATACCTCATGGGGAACTTCTTGTAGGCGATCAAGTGCTCTGATATGATCCAGTGTATCTATAGATGGCGAGAGACCACCATGTAGACAGAAGATCTGAAAAGAGTGGTTTAAAAGGTTAACCTCACCTAAAAAATTTGTAAACATTCTTGGCTGGGCACAGTGGCTCATGCCTGTAACCCCAGCACTTTGGGAAGCTGAGGCAGGAGGGCTGCTTGAGGCCAGGAGTTTGAGACCAACCTGAGCAACACAGCAAGACCCTGTGTCTCTACAAAAATTTTAAAAAATGAGCTGGGCACCCCCATCACTTGGCCCCTCTGGTGTTTCTGTGCTCTGCCTGAATGAGACTTGACTTTGCAGGGTTCATCTTTGCTCCAGCCCACTCTGAACTATTGAGTACACTCCTGTTCTTCCTAATAGACCATCGCTGTCACAACCAGACTCCACTTCAAACAGCTCCTTTGAGAAAACTTCTTGGATATCACTCCTGCCCTTTGCCAGAGACTAGTATCTTCATACTCATAAAATTTTATTGTAAGTTCTTTTGTGTGCACATCTACCTAGGCCAATAATTAGCTCCTTACATCTCCCAGACTTGTCCAAAAACAGTCTGAGAGGGTAAATGGGCTACATCACCCACCCCTGTGATCCCACCATACAGTTCAGTGCCTGATATAAAGAATAATGCACTTAAAAAAGTTGGACACATTTGTCAAATTAAATTTTTTTTAAGTTTGAATGAATGCTATCAATATCTATTAAAAAATATCCCCAAAGGGGTGTTAAGAGTGGAAAGAGTCATAAGCACCTGAACACTAAAGAAAGCAGATTCTCTGAAATAATCAGCAATGAGTTTTAGATCCACATACCTGCCCATCCACCAAGGCAGTGAGAGGAAGATAGTCAAAAAGATCTGTAAAATATTTCCAAACATTTGCATTTCCATATTTTCTTAAACATTCATCATAGAAACCATAAACTTGTGTGATCTGTCTGCTCTCATGATTCCCTCGAAGAATGGTGATGCGTTCACGGTAACGAACCTAAAACAATAAAATGCAAAACATAAACAACTAGCTCTTTCAAAAACCAATGAAAATTCAAGAAACTTTCTATAGAAAAAAATGCAGTTACAATTTTGTTGAAAAAACAGCACACATCCTCATATCATAGTGAACCAAAACCACAGCTCTACAGAATTTTTAAATGCCCATGGGGTGTTTGCCCACCTCATCTCAACTAAAATCAAACTCCCTCTACCACCAACTTTATACCAAACATAAATCAATGGGCTATTAAAACCCCATAAATTACTTTACGGTTCAGTAATTTTTCACAAATTTATAGTTATGCAACAATCACCACAATCCAGTTTTAGAACCTTTCCATTATCCCAAAAAGATCCCTCCTGCAGTCACTCTCCACTCCCACTCCAGCTCCTGGCAACCACTGATTTACTGTCTTGAGTTTGTCTTTTCTAGAAATGTCATATAAATGGAATACAAAATGTAGTCTTTTGGCTAAATATCACTTAGAATATTTTTGAGGCTCACCCATGTTCTGGCATAGATCAGTGGTTTGTTCCTTTTCATAGTTGCACAGTCCTTCACTGTATGGCTATACCATTTTTTGTTTCTCTATTCACAGTTAAGATGAACTGGCAATTATGTTACTGAGGTTTTTGGCTACTATGAATAATGTTGCTATAATCATATACATGGAAGTTTTTCTGTGGACATATGCTTTCATTTCTTTTAGGAAGATTCCTAAGAATATAATTGTTGGATCACCTGGTAACGTTTAACTTTTTGAGAAACAGTCAAACTGTTTTTCAAAGTAGCTAGACCATGTTATATTCCCACCAGCAATGCATGAAGAGTTTAATCTCCGGTATTAACCAACACTTGGTATTATCAACCTTACTGATTACAGCCATTCTAATAGATGTGAAGTAGTAACTCAGTTACTTTAATTTGCATTTCCCTGATTACAATTGATATCAAGCATCTTTTCATGTGCTCACTGACCACTCATGTATCATCTTCTTGGGTAAAATATCTATTCAAATATTTTGCCCATTTTACAATTATCTGTCTTGTTATTGAGCTGTAAAAGTTTTTTTTTTTTAAATATCTGAATACAAGTACTTTTTTTCTGGTGTCATCTTTTGAAAAAACATAATCTTAATTTTGATAAAGTCCGATTTTTCAATTTTTTATGGACTGTGCTTTTGTTATATCTAAGAATCTTTAACTAACCTGACAAAGATTTTCTGATTTATTCTAGAAGTTTTGTAGCTTTAGCTCTTACATTTAGTTCTATGATACATTCTGATCCATTTGCTTCAGCACCATTTACTGAAAGAAACATCCTTTCCCCCGGTATTCTTTTGCTAAGGCTGCCACAACAAAGCATCAGAGAATAGGTGGCTTAAACAACAGAAATTTACTTCCTCACTGTTCCAGAGGCAGAAGTCCAAGATCAAGGTGTCAGCACAGTTGGTTTCTTCTGATGGCCTCTCTCCTTGATTTATGGATGCTCATCTTCTCCATCTGTCTTATCTTCTCCCCATCTGTGTCCTAATCTCTAATAAGGATACCACTTACACTGGATTAGGGTCCAACCATGTGACCCCACTTTACCTTAATTACCTGTCCAAATACAGTCACATTCTGAGGTGCTGTGGGTTAGGACTTAGACAAATGAATTTTGGGGGCTACAATTCAGCCCATTAACCTCCATGAGTAAGTTTTTTTCCCCCCAGATAGGATCTCACTCTGTCGCCCAGGCTCAAATGCAGTGGAGTAGCTCACCGCAGCCTGAAATTCCTAGGCTCAAGCAATCCTCCCACCTCAGCCTCCAGAGTGGCTAGGACTACAGCACATGTCACCATGTCTGGCTAAAATTGTTTTCTGAAGAGATGGGGTCTCACTAGGTTGCCCAGGCTGCTTGCATACTCTTAAAGGTAGCACATTCATTCCTCTGAGCACTGGGATTCATCCTGGGTTTTTAGCACAGGTTAGCTCTTTTCATAGTATTTGGAGTCACCGCAGAAACCTTCCACCATCTAGTCCAACTCCTTCATTTTACAGATGCAGAAAATAACGATCTCCAAAAATATTTCGTAGGACTTTACACAATTCAGATATTAATCAAGAAAATTCAGCTCACGCTAAAACCACATCTCACTGCTTCTCTAATATTAGGAAAGTCTGTGACAGCCATTTATCATTTTGAATATTCTTTAATAATAAAAATCAGTCTGTTGCCTAGGGGGGAAAAAATCTCCCCAAGATTTTTGGGTAAAGGTAAAGTCAAACAATTTATTTAAAGGGAAAGGCGGAAGCCTGCCACCCTAACAGCTCTTTACCATCTTTTGCTTCATGTTCAGATCATCATCAGTACACTTTGCAAAGCTACAATTGGCATGTAATGCATGTAATTTTGGAACTTGCTTTTTTCGGTTATCATTTCTACCATTCTAGATTTTTGTTTTTTAAAGACACAGGGGTCTTGCTCTGTCACACGGCTGGAGTGCAGTGGTGCATCATGGCTCACTGTAGCCTTGACCTCCCAGGTTCAAGTGATCCTCCCACCTCAGCTTCCTGAGTAGCTGAGACTACAAGCATGCACCACTGCACCTGGCTATTTTTTTTAACTTTTTGTAGAGATGGGGTTTATGTTGACTACGCTGTTCTTAAACTCCTGGACTCAAGTGATCCTTCCCGCCTTCCCCAGCCTCCCAAAGTGTTGAGATAACAGGCGTGAACCACTGCACCCAGCCTAGTCTAGATTATTACTGTCATGGTTAATGGCTGGAAACTATTCAACTGAGCTAAACCATATGTACATACATAATGTATGTAATGTACATAATATTCTCTGTTAAATATTTACAGCAAATGTTTTCTTGAATTTCTCAGAAAAATTCTTTTTTTTCTTGAACTTCTTCCTCGATATTTTTTTTTTTTTTTGAGACAGGGTCTCATTGTTCCCCAAGTTAGAGTGTAGGGTGGCAAGATCAAGTCTCATTGCAGCCACGACCTCCTGGGCTCAGGCAACTCTGCCCACCTCAGCCTGAGTAGCTGGGACTACAGGCCTGTGCCACCACACTCGGTTAATTATTATTATTTTTTTGTAGACAAGGTCTCACTATGTTGCCCAGGCTGGTCACAAACTCTTGGACTCAAGCAATATGCTCACTTTGTCCTGTCCTCCCAAAGTGCTGGGATTATAGCCACGAGCCACCGTGACCAGCTGATTTAAAACATTTTGACATTTGGTATGTTTATATATTTATAATACTTCAAAAGTATCTAAAAACACAAATCTAATTATATTACCTCTCCATACCCCAATTTACTGAACTAAAATATCTATTTGACCAGCCCTCTAACATTTTTCTTTTCCTTTTTTTTTTTTTGAGACAGTCTCGCTCTGTTGTCCAGGCTGGCGTGTAGTGGCGCAATCTCAGCTCACTGCAACCTCCGCCTCCCAGGTTCAAGCAATTCTCCTGCCTCAGGCTCCAGAGTAGCTGGGATTACAGGCACCCGCCACCACCCCCGGCTAGTTTTTTGTACTTTTAGTAGAGATGGGGCTTCACCATGTTCTCCAGGCTGGTCTCGAACTCCTGACCTCAGGTGATCTGCCTACCTCAGCGTCCCAAAGTGCTGGGATTACAGGCATAAGCCATCACGCCCAGCCTATTTTTTCAAACAATCTGACTGAGGCATTCATTCTCCTCCTTTTGTTTTGATTCTGTACCATCCCCTTACTCAGAACGCAGACGCCTATGATTTTTAAGTCCAAAACCTGAACATATGCATTCCTAAATGTGGAATTTTGTTTTAACATTCAGATAGAGAAAATAACTGGGGGAAAAAAAACTTTCAAGAGGACTGTCTTACCCATTTCAACATGCCCCAACATAAAATTGAAATTACCTTAAGAGCTACAAGCAGTGTAACTGTTTCAACTGAATAATATCCTCTGTCAACATAATCTCCCATAAACAAGTAATTTGTATCTGGTGATTTGCCACCAATTCTAAACAGTTCCATGAGATCATGAAATTGCCCATGCACATCTCCACAGACAGTAACTGGACATCGAACCTCTTGCACGTTGGATTCTTTTGTCAGGATTTCTTTAGCCTACAGATGGGAGACAAAAATAAGGCAATACATTTGGCATTAAACAATATTAACAAAGATTTGTTTACTTACACTTAATGTAGCTTAAGGGGCAGACTCAGTCTAAGATAAAATTGCAGGCATTTATGAACCCATTAAAATAAGTGAGATATGATTATAATCCATTAGCTATCTCACCCTGTTACCTAGGGAAAAAATATGCATTCCTATCATCAATACCAGGAGTTTTTTAAAAACCTATCAAATAGCCATCTAATTAAATACTAATTGTTAGCTGTCACATAAAACCAATGAAAATCGAACAGGACATTCAGGTATCTACTTCCTTACCTTCAGAGTTCTAACTACAATGCAGCACTCAAAGATTCTTTTTTTTTCTTTTTTTGAGACAGGGTCTCATTTTGTCACCCAGGCTGGAGTGCAGTAGTATGATCATAGCTCACTGTAGCCTGGATCTTCTTGGCTCAGGAATCTTCCCACCTCAGTAGTGGGGACCACAGGCACACGCCACCATGGCTGGCTAATTTTCACAAACTTTTTTGTAGAGACGGGGTCTCACGTGATCCTCCACCCTCATCCTCCCAAGGGCTGGGATTACATGCATAAGCCACCTCACCTCAGCCCTGTTTGACTTTTTAAAAACATGTTTTTGGCCAAGCACTGTGGCTCATACCTGTGAGAAAATCATTTGCTCAACCATCTGTACCAGCCCCATGCTAGCAACTGGACATATAGTGGTGAACAAGATGGCTCATTCCCACTACCGTAGAGGGGAGAAGGACCACAAACAAGTAACCAAGCCAAAAGTACACTGTGTTAAGTGTCACAAAGGAAAGGGAGAGGGAAACTGGGAGAGACCACTTTACATAAGATACCAAAACAAATTACCAGAGAATTGTTGCTAATGAGCCATGACAACCACAGATGACAAGGACTGGGTTCAAAGCATTGGTATGCAATCTTAGCTGCACATTAAAAATCCCAATGCCCAGCCAGGCGCGGTGGCTCGCACCTGTAATCCCAGCACTTTGGGAGGCCAAGGCGGGCCGATCACTTGAGGTCAGGAGTTTGAGGCCAGCCTGGCCATCATGGCGAAACCCCATCTCCACTAAAAATAAAAAAAACTAGCTAGGCATGGTGGTGCATGACTGTAGTACCAGCTACTTGGGAGGCTGAGGCAGGAGAATTGCTTAAACTTGGGAGGTGGAGGTTGCCGTGAGCCAAGATCGCATCACTGCACTCCAGCCTGGGTGACAGACCAAGACTCTGTCTCAAAACAAAAACAAAAACACCAATGCCCATTCCTTCCCCTAATAAAGTCAGAATTTTGGAGACTGGAATCAAGCCATCAATAATTTTTAAGCACCCCCACCCCTCCTTTTCCCAGTGTGCAACCAAGTTTAAGAACCACTGCACTTTGGGACGCTAAGGCGGGTGGATGGCTTGACCCCAGGAGTTCCAGACCAGCCTGGAGTACAGTGGCATGATCTCGGCTCACTATAACCTCCACCTCCCAGGTTCAAACGATCCTCCTGCCTCAGTCTCCATGAACAATTGCGACCACAGGTGTGCACCACTATGCCTATTTTGCACTTTTTGTAGAGGTGAGGTTTCACCATGTTGTCCAGGCTGGCCTCAAACTCCTGAGCTTAAATGATTTGCCCACCTCTGCCTCCCAAAGTGCTGAATTACAGGCGTTAGCCACTATACTGGCCTGAGATACCTATTAAGAAATATGTACAACCCATTATTATCAAATCCTACTTCATTCTGAAATTTTTCTCTGCAGGGTAATTCCAACTTCCCATTTACTATCACTAAAAAACACAAATTCACTAGGCTTATTCCATTACCAAGTCTGTCTGGCATTAATACCACATCTAGTGTTTTTTTAACACCTATCATATATTAATGAAAATAACTAAATGAAATAAGTCCTACACTGAGAAGAAACTTGCAAAAGTTATTCAGAAGTTTTAAAAGGGCATGACATAAGCAAACAGATGGTTATATACCATGTAAATCTTGCCATGATGTAATTTTCACATTTAAAGCTATCAGAAGTTAAATGTTAATATACTTCTGTGAATATCTGTTTATCTGCAAAGCTATTCTCTGTATTAATAATAAAAAGTTGACTTTCAGGACTGCCTGAAGTTCCTTACTACAACTGACTCAAATTTTCTATTCAAATCATGAAGGAAAATTAAGTCTAAATGCTATTTGTTGCTTTTATTTCAATTTAGGCAAATCACACCGATAAACAGTGTTATCTATTTTTTAAACTATACAAATTAGTAATACATTCTTGTAAAAAATTTCGGCACAGATAAAATGAAATGTTCCCTTTGAGCACCCTACACAATCCCACCCCCTTTGGGCAAAGTTACCAATAAAATTTTGATGTACAGATGCTCCTCAATTTGTAACACAGCTGCATCCAGATAATCCTATCGTAAATATAATCGAGTCAACAGTGTGTTTTCAGCTTACAATGTTTTCAAGTTATGATATATTTATCTGGATGTAGTCCCATCATAAACTGAGGGGTATATTGAATAGCTATCATTTTCACACCATCATTAAGTCGAAAAATTGGGGAGTGTCTGTATATCCTTTAAAACTTTGTTTACAAAGTTTACACACATACTGTATGTCTACAGAAACAATAGTTTTCCTTTGCATTTTTAAACTAGAAACAATATTGTTCAGCAGCCTGCTTTTCTAACAATATATAATAATACATAACATTTATTGAGACAGCTGGTTATTTTCTCATAGTGGAGGCAGAGTATTCCCCTGACCAATTACAATGGCAGAGGGGTGTGAAACTACAGCAATATATATCCTCGTATTTTCTCCTCTGTATACATATGCAGGCACATTTCCTGAGAGAAGATACTATGAAGTGAACTTAACTAGTGTATCTAGTAGTTTGGTTTTTAAATGTTGACATTATCAAATTGTCCTTTAAAATAAAAAGAACAGTTAACTCTTAAGTGAAATTTCTAACTTGTCAATCTAGAAAAGCCAACCAGAGCTCTTTCTTCCCTTCCTACCAAACTTCACAGACCAGAACAAATATAATTAAATACTGGCGATAACAGTGGTATACAGTAGAAGCAACCATCCCTCAGACCGGAGGGGGAAAAAAAAAAAATCATCCAATCAACTATTAAGTAGATCTTAACAAAAATGCAACCTTGGAAAGAACCAGTTTTAAGCATGATTTTGGTTGTTTTGTTGTTGTTGTTTTGGTCTCAACTTACCAGCTCTCAGATAGTTACAACAATAAAACAGACTACACCAGAACAGTAGAACAATAAAAGCTACAGATGTTCATATAAAAGATCATTTTGGGCTGGGTGCAGTGGCTCACGCCTGTAATCCCAAATCCCAATACTTTGCGAGGCTGAGGCGAGTGGATCACTTGAGGTCAGGAGCTCCAGACCAGCCTGGCCAACATGGTAAAACCCCGTCTCTACTAAAAACACAAAACAGCTGGGTGTTGTGGTGTAGGCCCGTAATCTCAGCTACTTGGGAAGCTGAGGCATGAGAATAGCTTGAACCTGGGAGGCGGAGGTTGCAGTGAGCCAAGATCGCTCCACTGCACTACAGCCAGAGTGACAGAGCAAGACTCTGTCCAAAAAAAAAAAGATCATTTTGGCGAGTGCAGCGGCTCATGCCTGTAATCCCAACACTTTGGAAGGTAAAAGCGGGAGGATGCTCAGGAGTTCAGAGACCAGCCTGGGCAACAACATATTGAGACCCCTCTCTATAGAAAATAAAATAAAAAATTAGCCATCTGTGGTGGCACACACCTGCAGTTTTAGGTACCCAAAAGGCTGAGCTAGGAGAATCGCTTGAGCCCAGAAGTTCAAGGATGCAGTCAGCCATGATCACTTGACCCCAGGACGGTCAAGGATGCAGTGAGCCGTGATCATACCACTGCACTCCAGCCTGGTAGACAGCCATCTCAAAAAAAAAAAACTAAAAACAAAATAAAGATAAGCTGTGCTATCACAAGGACTTAGGCCTTATAAATCCTGAAAGCACCTAATAAGAGCGGCTTTATGGATCACCTCCAGAGCCTCCAGACCTTTAGCAACCATCATTTTCAAAGATGGTTATACAATCTCAACTGTCTAGTTTAATACTCAAAGTAAATGGTAGAACCAGACTTTTAAGTAACTTAATTTTGACATTTGAGGTTTTTTATTTTTAATAACCACCTTTTTACTCTGGCATTTTGACTTCTGTAAAGTCTCATATCACCTGAATTAAGAACTGAAAGACAAGCAAAAGCAAAACACGCATACCAAACCTTTTGCTTCCCCTAAAACATTTTTCCAGGACCTCAAATTTCTTAGCTAATATGGTCAACATCTGGGAAAAAAATTAAGATAAAGTTTTTAAAAGAATGTAATTAGGGCCGAGCACAGTGGCTCATGCCTGTAATCCCAGCACTTTGGGAGGCCAAGGCAGGTGGATCATTTGAGGTCAAGAGCTTGAGACCAGCCTGACCAACATAGTGAAACCCCAGCTCTACTAAAAAGCCAGGAATGGTGGCACACACTTGTAATCCTAGCTACTCAGGAGGCTGAGGCAGGGGCATCACTTGAACCCAATGGGCCAAGATCATGTCACTGCACTACAGCCTAGGTGACAAAGCGAGACTCCATCCCAAAAAAGAAAAAAAAGAATGTAATTAGTACCACACTGGTTTTGATTTATCAGAACCCTTCTGAAATTCAGTCAAATGGTATAGACTGAAATGAATGAATTTCAAGCAAACAAAAATTTGGTATAAACTTCCAAGAACAAGGTTAAAACTAGAATGAGGCGATTCTCTTAGTAAGACCTTATCACAAGTAACTGTGGGAAGTTAACATCTCATACTGTCCTAGAATCCAAAAATTTGCAGATTAACTTGAAGAAAAGCAATCTTTGAGGATACTTTTTAAAATCTTTTTTTTTTTTGAGACAAGGTCTTGCTCTGTTGTCCAGGCTGCAGTGCGGCACCATCACGGCTCACTGCAGCCTTGATCTCCCAAGCTCAAGTAATCCTCCCACCTTAGTCTCCCGAGTAGCTGGGACTGCAGGCATGCACCACTGAGGACACTATCTTATTACCAATGTCCTCTCAGCATTCTGGTTTGGATTCAGAAATCCCACAACCTTATTTCCAACCCACTATAAAATAATCAGCTATAAGATAAATGACCCACAGACTCAACATTCTTGAATACAGGCCATCATAACCACTGTAGTAACATGAAATTACAAACAAAGCAGGCTTAAACTAAAGCTCATAAATCATCCATGCTGTTTTTCATGGAAGACAATTTTTTTTTTTTTTTTTGAGACAGAGTTTCGCTCTTGTTGCGCGGGCTGGAGTGCAATGGTGCGATCTCGGTTCGCTGCAACCTCCGCCTCCTAGGTTCAAGTGATTCTCCTGCCTCAGCCTCTTGAGTAGCTGGGATTACAGATGCAAACCACTCCCAGCTAATTTTTTTTTTTTTTTTAGTACAGACAGGATTTCACCATCTTGCCCAGGCTGGTCTCAAACTCCTGACCTCAGGTGATCCACCCGCCTTGGCCTCCCAAAGGCTGGGATTACAGGCATAAGCCACTGCGCCCAGTGGAAGACAATTTTTAAAAGTACATGAACCAACAACAGATTCACTAACCACTTATTATTTTTGGCTGAGTGCAGTGGCTCACGCCTGTAATCCTAGCACTATGGGATGCCAAGGCGGATGAATCACTTGAGGTCGGGAGTTCGAAACCAGCCTGGCCAACATGGTGAAACCCCATCTGTACTAAAAATACAAAAAAATTAGCCAGGCGTGGTGGCAGGCACCTGTAATCCCAGCTACTTGGGAGGCTGAGGTAGGAGAATCACTTGAACCTGGGAGGCGAGGTTGCAGTGAGCGGAGACCGCACCACTGCACTCCAGCCTGGGTGACAGTGAGACTCCATCTCAAAAATAGTAATTTCCTTAAGAGCACACAATAACTACAGGCATGCCTCATTTTACTGTGCTTCTCTTTATTGCACTTTGCATATGTTGCATTTTTTTAATCAATCAAAGCTTCATGGCAACCCTGTGTGGAGCAAGTTTATCAGCACCATTTTCCCACCAGCATGTGCTCACTTCTTGTCTTTGTCACATCTTGGTACTTCTAAAATTATTTCAAACTTTTTCATTACTATTGTATCTGTTATGGTGATATGTGATCAGTGATCTTTGATGTTACTATTGTAATTGCTGTGGGGCACTACCAACCGTGCCCATAAGACAATGAACTTAATAAATGTCGTATATATTCTTACTGCTGCTGACTGGCCATTCTGTCTCTCCCTCTCCTTGGGCCTCCCTATCCCCTGAGACACAATATTGAAATTAGGCCAATTAATAACCCTACAATGGCCTCCAAATGCTCAAGTGAAAGGAAGAGTTGCATATCTCTCACTTTAAATGAAAAGTTAGAAATTATTAAACTTAGGAGAGGGCATATGGAAACTCCAGACAGGCCTAAAGGTAGGCTTCTTGCACCAAACTGCTAAGGTATAAATGCAAAGGAAAAGTTCTTTAAGGAAATTAGAAATGCTACTTCAGTGAACACACAAATAGTAAGTAAGCCAAACAGTCTTATTGCAGATACGGACAAAGTTTTAGTGGTCTGGATAGATCAAATCAGCCACAACATTCGCTTAAAAGCCAAAGCCTAATTCAGAGGTAGGTCCTAATTCTTCAATTCTATAAAGGCTAATAGAGGTGAGGAAGCTGCAGAAGTTAAGCTTAAAGCTAGCAGACTGGTTCATGAGATTTAAGAACCCATTTCCATAACATAAAAGGGCAAGATAAGGCATCAAGTACCAATATAAAAACTACAACAAGTTTCCCAGACGATCTACCTAAGATAAGTGATGAAGGTGGTTGCACTAAACAACAGGTTTTCAATGTAGACGAAATAGCCTTCTAGTGGAAGAAGATGCCACTTAGGACTTTACTAGCTAGAGAAGTCAATGCCTGCCCTCAAACCCTCAACGGACAGGCTGACTCTTGTTAGAGGCTAATGTAGCTGGTGACTTTCAGTTGAAGCCAAGGCTCATTCAACATTCTGAAAGCATTTAAGCCATTCTTTAGCACTTAAGAATTATGCTAAATCTACTACGCCTGTGCTCTAGAAATGGAACAACAAAGCCTGGATGACAGCACATCTGCTTACAGCACGGTATACTGAATATTTTAAGTGCATTACTGAGACCTACTGCTCAGAAAAAAAAAAAAGATTCCTTTCAAAATATTACTGCTCAGCCTGGGCAACACACCAAAACCCCATCTCTACAAAAAAATTAAAATATTAGCTGGGCATAGTGGTACACACCTGTAGTACCAGCTACTTGGAAGGCTGTGGCAGGAGGATTGCTTGAGCTCAGGAGTTCAAGATCAGCCTGGGCAATGTGGCGAGACCCTGTCTCTACGAAAAATAAAAATTAGCTAGGCATGGTGGTGCACTCTGTGGTCCCAGCTGCTAAGGAGGCTAAGGCAGAAGAATCACTTGAGCCCAGGAGTTCAAGGTTCCAGTGAACTATGATGATGTCACTGTACTTCAGCCTGGGCAACAACACCATCTCAAAATAAATAAATAAAAGCACAAAATGATTACAACCATGTCACAATTCTTTGCATTAAAAAAAGGCTGAAAAGCCCAGGCACAGTGGCTCACGCCTGTAATTCTATCACTTTGGGAGCCAAAGCAGGTGGATGACTTTAGGTCAAGAGTTTGGGACCAGCCTGGCCAACACGGTAAAACCCCATCTCTACTAAAAATACAAAAATCAGCCAGGTAAGATGGCACAGGCCTGTAATCCCAGCTACTTGGGAGGCTGTGGCATGAGAATTATTGGAACCCAGGAGGCAGAGGTTGCAGTGAGCTGAGATCGTGCCACTGCACTCCAGCCTATGCAACACAGTAAGACTCTCTCTCAAAACTAACAAAAAAAGGCTAAAAAAAAAATTAAAAGGTTAAGATTTCACTGAAAGCTTTAAGATATATAACTATCTTATTCTTACCAACCAGAACTCTTCTCATTTCTATTACCTTTCAGTTTTTACCCACACAGACCTCTTACTTATAATTGACTGGCATCTCATTTTGTGTCCTAAAGTTTCATACTAACTCGTTTCTACATTATAGTGATTTTTTAAAACTACATAATGCCCTTCTAAATAGACCTATACGTGTACAGTATTATTGCTCATTTGAATTATTTCCTTTCAAAAAGCTTTAATTGTGGGATTACAGGGCAAAATAGCATTAACTTTTTTTGTTTCATATGTACTATAAAACTCAATTATGCCAATTTGTTATACAATAATAAATGAAAGAATATACTCATTCTCAGCTATTTCAGATATACAATGTGGTATCACTAATTTAATTGGCATTTTTCATTTCTGAGTACAAACTTTTTATTCCATGTTTATTTACCATCAGTTATTTCTCCTCTTATACAAGTTGTCCATGAATATTTTTGAACATCTGATCATTAAGAGCTAGATGATGTTCTGAAGTATTTGTATAAACTATTTTAAACTGTTATTTTAAGTAACTTTTTGGCATTTTGTTTCTCTTATTTTTTAAATATATAGCCAGAAATTTTCTATGCCCATTTTTGCTTTGTAATTTTTCTCCTACAATTATTAAGAAAAGTTATCACGTCTTGCCATTTTCTAAGAGTTTTTCATTTTAAAATCTATACTTTAATCCTAAGATTACACGACAACTACTCAAGCTTCTTTTTATATCAGCATCTTAAACTTGCATCGTTAACATTATGACATTAACTTTAAATGTTTAATAATGACCTTGAAGTATTTTGGAATCCTGCATCCAAGAAAAAAAAAATCAATCAATTGGGACCTAGGGCTTGAGAAGTGTCTAATATTTATTTACTTTTTTTTTTTTTTTTTGAGACAAGTTCTTGCTCTGTTCCCCAGGCTTCGAGTGCTGTAGCATGATCACAGCTCATTGCAGTCTAGATCTCCTGGACCCAAGCAATCCTCTTGCCTCAGCCTCACAGAGTAGCTAGAACCACAGGTGTGCCACCACACCCAACTAATTTATTTTTAAAAATTATTCGTAGGGCTGGGTGCAGTGGCTCACGCCTGTAATCCCAGCACTTCGGGAGGCCGAGGCAGGTGGATCACTTGAGGTCAGGAGTTCAAGACCAGCCTGGCCAAAGTGGTGAAACCCCATCTCTACCAAAAAAAAAATACAAAAATATTCTGGGCATGGTAGCCCTCGCCTGTGGTCCCAGCTACTCAGGAGGCTGAGGCAGGAGAATCGCTTGAACCCAGGAGGTGGAGGTTGCAGTGAGCCAAGATCATGCCACTGCACTCCAGCCTGGGTGACAGAGCAAAACTCCATCTCAAAAAATAAAAATAAAAATAAAAATAAAAAAGTAAAAATTTTGTTGTAGAGACAGGGTCTCACTATGCTGCCTAGGCTGGTCTTGAACTCCCGGGCTCAAGATATCCTCCTGCCCTGGCCTCCCAATCTGCTGGGATTATAGGTGTAAGTCACCAGGCCTAGCCTCTAATTCTTTAAAGTCCGGTCACCAATGTTTAATGTATACAGTAACTCCTAAGCAGACTCTCACTCCCTTCACCATTGAAAACAGATAACATTTCCTGAACAAATGCTATCTCAGAGAAAAGATGAGACTGAGATAATAACCCTTATTCTTCAAATCTTAGGACTTGGGTACTCCAACGAAATCAGATTATGCCATTCAACAGCAAGGCCAGCTGAGAGCAGCAAGTGGCTCTGATGGACAACAGAGTACTCTTGCCACTACACTCCAGGGAAAACACCCAAGCACTGTTTTTAAGATAATTTCATCAGATGTCCAGCAAAATATTTTCTTAGTCTCAAAAACAGTTAATCACATAACAGTACCAATTCTGGCACTAAAGTATACCAAGAAATAACTTGCTTCAAAATACGAGTTCCAATATTTGGGGTTAATATTCATTTTTGTTGTTAGCTACATGAAAGGGATCATGATGTAACTAAAAGCATTCTCCTAAAGGTATATTACAAGTGGTTTCGGGTGGGCACGGTGGATCATGCCTGTAATCCCAGCACTTCGGGAGGCCAGGGTGGGTGGATCGCTTGAGGTCAGGAGTTTGAGAACAGCCTGGGCAACATGGCGAAACACCCCCTCCCCTACTAAAAATACAAAAATTAGCTGGGCATGGTGGTGCATGCCTGTAATGCCAGCTACTCAGGAGGCTGAAGCTGGAGAATCACTTGAACCCATGAGGCGGAGGTTGCAGTGGGCTGAGATTGTGCCACTGCATTCCAGCCTGGGCAACAGAGTGAGACTGCCTCAAAAAAAAAAAAAAAAAAAAGTGGTTTCCTTCAAAAGAAGGTAGTCAAACACCGAAGAACCCCAAGGTCTATACTGAGGAAAAAGTGTTTGGATTAATCACAGATCAATGATTTATACTTAACTAAAGAAACCTGTTTTTTGTTTTGTAGAAACGGTGGTCTCACTACATTGCCCAAGCTGGTCTCAAACTCCTAGTCTCGAGTGAGCTTCCAGCCTCCGCCTCCCAAAGCACCAGGATTGTAGGTATGAGCCACCATGCCTAGACAGAAATCAAGTTTCTGTATCATCAATTCTGCCCTTGATGAAAAACGTCAATGCAGGCCTAACCTGTCTTCTCTGTAGCATCAAACTCAAAATCAGACACAAATAACCTCTTTACAATCTTAGTACTAATAATAGTACTATTTGACAAAGGAATCTCCATTTTTGAAAGTAATTTTACTACTAAAAGTCTGATTATTGGCCGGGCGAAGTGGCTCACGCCTGTAATCCCAGCACTTTGGGAGGCCAAGGCAGGCAGATCACCTGAGATCGGGAGTTTGAGGACCAGCCTGACCAACACAGAGAAACCTCATCTCTAATAATACAAAAATTAGCTGGGTGTGGTGGCGCATGCCTGTAATCCCAGCTACCCGGGAGGCTGGGGCAGGAGAATTGCTTGAATCTGGAAGGTGGAGGTGGCGGTGAGCCAAGACCGTGCCACTGCACTCCAGCCTGGGCAACAAGAGCGAAACTCCCTTCTCAAAAAAAGAAAAAAAAAAGAAGTCTGATTATTAATTCTAATGTTCATTGTAACTCTAGTTCAAGTAAATTTAACATTTCACATCCTTACCATATAGTTGGACAGTTCTACCAATATAAAGACATAGAAGAAACACTGGAAAAAATGCAATTAATTTTTGAATTTTATTTTTCAGTTTAAGAACTGAAATCATTTGAAAATTCTTAATAAGTAAAATTACTAAATTCACAGGCAAAAAAAATTTTTTCAATATCCCAAGAGAATTTCATTTTGTCTCATACTGTTTTTATGTCAAGATGTACGGTTGGTTTGATATGTCATTTTGATAATTGTGCAAAAAAATCCAAGGTTTGTGATAAGTTAGTGTACAGGGCTAGAGTTTGAGGCGTGGGGTGATACATGATGTAGAACATATTACTAGCCCTGGAAGCAAATGAGTTTTGAGTTAATTTCCTTCAACTATCAAACCATTCTTCATACTAATCATGTGTTGCTTAATCGCAGGGATACATCAAATTATTTAGTTGTTGTGTGAACATCACAGAGTGGTCTTACACAAATCTAGATAGTATAGACTACTACAAACCTAAGCTATTGGATAGCCTATTGCTCCTAGGCTACAAACTTGTACAGCATTTACTGTACTGAATGCTGTAGGCAACTGTTAACATAATGTTAAGTATTTGTATAACTAAACATAAACAATATAAAGTGTTACACTATGACATTACAAGGTCACCAGGTGATAGGAATTTTTCAGCTCCATTATAATTTCATAAGACCACCATCACATGCAGTCCACCACTGACCAAAATGTCATTATGTGGTGCATGACTACTTGTCTTTCATTAACTACACTGAACAGATACCACTAATATTTCACGAAACATTTCAATCTTCTTTGATTAAAATCAGTATGGTTATATTTTAAAAGTTTAACCCTCCAGGTAATATTCTAGTAACTAGTATTTTCTGTTTGGCTCTAAGGCTTAGGACCTAAATAAAAGAAAAATGTTGGGAATGAGGGATAATTCTAAAAGTGTAATAAAAGAAAATATAAAATTTGTGAGTTTTCCCATCTGTTTCTGCAATATCACCTTTGCCTCTGACCAAAAGGAAAGATCCTTAAAGCCCTATGTCTCATATGCACAATAGACTAAACTCAACCTTTACCAACTAACCTACATATGTGAATGAATTAAACACTCCCAATCATTCCTGCATAGAAAAAGAAGTTTTAATCTACTACACAACTGAGAAATGCTGCTATATATCTACTTATTAAAAAATTGTCACAATAATACATCATGAACAAGATTCAACCACTCTGGGTCTCAGTTTCCTCCCTCATCTGTGTAAGATGAATTAGTCTAGATGGTTGTTTCTTTCTTTTTTTTTTTTTTCTTTTAAGATGGAGTCTTGCTGTCGCTTAGGCTGGAGTGCAGGGGCACGATCTCGGCTCACTGCAACCTCTGCCTGCTGGGTTCAAGCAATTCTCCTGCCTCAGCCTCCCGAGCAGCTGGGACTACAGGCGCCCACCACCATGCCTGGCTAAATTTTTTGTATTTTTAGTAGAGACGGGGTTTCACCGTGCTAGCCAGGATGGGCTCCATCTCCTGACCTCGTGATCCACCCACCTCAGCCTCCCAAAGTGCTGGGATTCCAGGCGTGAGCCACTGTGCCCCGCCAGCCTAGATGGTCTTTAAGGTTGATTCCATTACTAGAATTCTACCCCATCCTAAAGCATGTCTTAAGCCTATTTTATTAAGTAAAGCCAGCCAAAAGAAATAGATAGTGGGCATTATTGCTCATTTACAGATTAGTGGCAGAAAAATAAGTTACTTGATCACCACCGGCACAAGCATTCTAAAACATTCCCTATCTAGAATTAACTATAAAGTCAATCTCCTGACTAATCCAAAACTGTGCTATTAATTAGAGCAAAACCAAACTAAGAAATCCTTATACACGAGAATAAGGTAGTGCTTTTTAGACAAAGCTCAATAGTGACAATAATGCATACAATGAAGGTTTATTAAATACTGGTTCCAAAATCAAATGTACACTGTCACACGATAGCATCAATGACACTCCATAACCTCTGTGAACTACATTTTGCAGGCCTTTGGCCAGGTAAACACATGCTACTGCTTGTCTCCCATTCTACTCCTCGTCCCCATCTAGGACAAAGGTTTGCAACCTTCCAGCCTCAACACCAGCAGGGTAAAAATCCCCATCTGTAGTAGCAACTAAATGACTAAACTAAGGCAGAAGTGGCAACACAGGGTGCAAGAGGGACTGGCCAACTGGTCACATTTAGTTTAAAAAATACCCAGATTCAGATATACACGCATCTGTGTCACTGCCTTGTTCATCCATTCTAAACCACAATCCACAACAGACCAATAAACAGGCAATAATACTGCAATGTGAAGAAGTTAAGCAGTTAGCTGGGCACAGTGGCTCACACCTGTAATCCCAGCACTTTGGGAGGCTGAGGCGGGCGGATCACTTGAGGTCAGCAGTTCAAGACCAGCCTGGCCAACATGATGAAACCCTGTCTCTACTAAAAATAAAAAAATTAGCTAGGCATGGTGGCACATGCCTGTAATCCCAGCTACTCAGGAGGCTGAGGCAGGAGAAACACTTGAACGTGGGAGACAAAGGTTGCAGTGAGCCGAGATCATGCAACTGTACTCTGGCCTGGGCAACAGAGCGAGGCTCCGTATCAAAAAAAAAAAAAAAAAAAAAGCAGTTAATCTCAGGTTGTTCTTTACCATTCTTTCAAACCCCACCTCTCAGCCATTTACTGACAATAGACACCTCTCCCTTCTTCAGCCTGGTCTACCACTTCTGCCCCAGAAGCCAAAAGAAAATCTATTTAAAACAAAAACAGGTCTGGTGCCAGTGGCTCATGCCTGTAATCCTAGCACTTTGGGAGGCTGAGATGGGTGGATCACTTGACGTAAGGAGTTCAAGACCAGCCTGGCCAACATGGTGAAACCCTGTCTCTACTAAAAATACAAAAATTAGCTGGGTGTGGTGGCACACACCTATAATCCCAACTATTTGGGAGGCTGAGGCAGGAGAACTGCTTGAACTTGGGAGGCAGAGGGTGCAGTGAGCCGAGATCACACCACTGCACTCCAGCCTGGGCGACTGTGAGACTCTATCTCAAAAAAAAAAAAAAAAAAAAAAGCCCACAAAAACAAAAATCTTCCTCCTTCATGGTTCTCATCCAATTCAGATCTGCCTGTGTATGAGTGGAGGTTGACAGCTTTCTCAGGCAAGGATGATAATGAAGTAAGAGAAATGGGTCAAAGCAGAAAGAATAAATAGTGTCTCCCTGTTACATATAGCTTTGCCTCTCTCCTCAGTACCCTGATAAAAGACCCCACCAAACCCAGTCTCTTAGTTTTCCTAACTTACCCCTTCCAAACTAAGCAAAGGCTATCTCACAGGTAACTCTGACAAACCTGACTTACCATGAGATAGGGAACATATTTGCTGCCATAAAACAGGGCCACACCAGACTGGTAATACAAATGTTATCCCACATACTCCTGAAGGGTCCTTCATTCTTTCTACAGTACATGAGCTTCAACTTAGCCTTACAGCCAATTTTCTGAAAACATACAATTCTGGTCCCAGTGGAGAACGTAGGGAGGGTTGGGGAACCTGTGTTTCTGAATAGTGGGAATGTTCACCTTTTCTGTTTCCTCATGAAGTCAACTCCAAACTAACTGCATTACAGCTTCCTGCCTAGGAGACCATGAAACAAATACACACATGCATGACATTTGACTGTGGAAGCCAAGAGGATGAAAAGAGGCTTTTTTGGGGCCGGGGGGAATGGGGTCTCCCTCTGTCGCCCAGGCTGGAGTGCAGTGGCACAATCTTGGTTCACTGCAACCTCCGCCTCCCAGGTTCAAGCAATTCTCCTGTCTCAGCCTCCCCAGTAGCTGAGACTACAGGTGTGTGCCACCACGCCCGGCTAATTTTTTGTATTTTTAAGTAGAGACGGGGCTTCACCGTGTTAGCCAGGATTGGTCTTGGTCTCCTGACCTCGTGATCCGCCTGCCGTGGCCTTCCAAAGTGCTAGGATTACAGGCGTGTGAGCCACCTTGCCCTGCTGAAAAGAGGCATTTTATAAGTTGCAATAAACAATATAAAAAGTCAGTTATACTTTATTAGAATACTTTAGAGCTCAGTCTCTGGATCATGATTTATACTAAGAATACAAGGGAAATTATCTAGGGTTTTCATCTCACCAATCTCATTTGAGGGGCAAATGTTGTCAGCTACATCCAAAACTGAATAATAATTACTCTTTCCAAGACAAAGAGGAACAACAGTATGTAACATGAATAGGAAGCTTTCAAGCAATGAAAATAAAAATAATGTCTTGGCCAGGCGCGCTGGCTCAAGCCTGTAATCCCAGCACTTTGGGAGGCTGAGGTGGGTGGATCACTGAAGGTCAGGAGTTCGAGACTAGCCTGGCCAACATGGTGAAATCCCATCTCTACTAAAAATACAAAACAGCTGGGCATGGTGGTGGGTACCTGTAATCCCAGCTACTAGGGAGACTGATGCAGGAGAACTGCTTGAACCTGGGAGGTGGAGGTTGCAGTGAGCCGAGATTGCGCCACTGCACTCCAGACTGGGCAAAAGAGTAAGACCTTATCTCAAAAAAAAAAAAAAAAAAAAGTTTTATTTTATGAAAGTGTTGACTTCCCAATTTAGCTTGGCCCCAATTTACCTACATCTTTCACTACTAACACTACCTCTGAAAACAGAAGGGGATCTGTGAAGCAATACCAGAACATTAGGCTTAGAATCCACAAGCCTTGGCAATCTCACTTTTAGCCCCTTTAGTCAAGTCACTTTACCTTTCTGAGTCTTTGAGTTGCATCTGTAACTGAGAACAATATCTTATAAAAGTATGATAAAAATAATGTTCTGTAACATGCTTCCCCCACCTGCTTGTCCTCAATATTCAAATCACTTCTAGAGAAATGAGCCAAACACCCTTTAAAATGAAACGTACACACATACTCACAGCAACATATTACCCAATTCATATAAGAATGTCATCTTGGTCAAATATTTTTCAGCTCATCTAATTAGAAGGAAGCAGTTTGTTTTTTCCATACTCACGTAACAAATGTTAAAACTAACATTTTAATGACTAATGACTGCACTTTATTTATAGTGCTTGCAAAGCAATGGAAAACAGCATACCTAGGTAAAGAACTTCTTTGAAAAAAAAAAATCTGGCTATCAAACAACGTTCTCCACATGTTTGGTAAGCACAAAGCCAAGAAATCATACCCAAGCTAAAACAAAGCTGAAGTCACATAATAAAAGATTGTTTACTGTAGTCAATGCAAAAGCAAGTTGATACTATTTACTCCTTTCAATCTGTAGATTGAAACATACCCGGCCAGTTATACTGATGTAATGCTGATTATAGAACTGAGCCTGAGGCAAAGCTGCACACCAAATTATTAAACTATCAACAAATTATGATTCTCAAGATGACAAAGTATACTATACACTAACAACCTTGGCTTTTGTATAAGTCTTAATCACATCTTAAAATTCTTTTTAGCTAGTCAGTAACATAAAAACCATGTTCACTCTTGTCTTTTATAAATGCATACTTAGATTCTCTCAGTTCTGAACATGTAACACTGTTAATTGTTGATGGGTTAACAAAATAATGGCCTCAGGATTTTTTAGTAACAATGACCTCTTATGGTATACATCTATTTTTACTATTTAAATATTTCCCCTTCAAATCAGGCATTTAGGTGGGTAGAAGGAAGGCTTTTACATTATCATTCCTTCTTATGATTGAAGAAATTATCAACTATTAACAAGTATCTTTTTTCTCAAAAAATACTATTATTATACACTAATGAAAAAAATTAGCCCTCAAATTTTCAAAATTACTCTTTAGAAGGCAATCACACCAAAAAGCACATATGTAGCTTTCACCCAGAGATGCCATTGGCACACAAATATTAACAGTGAAAGACAGCTTTTGTTTTACTAGAAAGACTTGTACAAAAAACATCAGTTCATGGATTCTACATACCCAAAAAACTGTCTTCAAATTAATTTAGTTTGGAAGTTTAATATCATCCTGAAAGTTGAAATACTTACTTACCAGTTATAAACAGTATGAAGGTTGTATAATGATATCCACCAAAACGGATCCATTCCACAGAAACTTTTATATAACACCTACTCTCAAATATTATTTCCATCTTTTTTGGCACTCAGAACTAAAATTTGCGTAAGCAGCGCAAGCAATGGAGATTTACCTCACTACATCTTAGTTTTACAAAGATGTGGAAAGCAATATTAGATGCATCAGCTTCACCCACCCCACTCTAGCATCCAGTATTATCTTATCTTCTACAACAGTTTCCAACACAAACCCTCTACTTCCATGCTCCATCTCCCACACCTTTTCATACCATGCTTTTCTTTCAAACTAGATTCATAGCTCCTCGACAATAAGCATACTTATTCTTCATTGCTTTTCATTTCCCTCAAAAGAGTATGCAATCTTAGATATTCAATAGATGTTCAATATTAAACACACTACTAATTTAAAACGGAATTGACTGTATAATCTCAGAACACATTTTAGTTTATAGACAGGAAAACAAGGACAAGTGAAGTGGCTGTCCCAAAGTCTGTCACAATTACTCAAGTAAGAGCAGAAGGACTCATGTCCAAATCTAACTCGCAGTCCAGTCTTCCAGTTACGTCATTACCTCCCTCCTTTCCACGTTTTCTTCAAAAGACTAGTCAACTGGCCAACTACTGACTTAAAAGTCTTTCATATAATGCACTGAATTCCAAAAATCGGTAAGATCATCATGTACAGTACCTAGAAATTAAGACCTGGCAATATACATTCATTTTTAAAGGCCAATTTTAAACCTTTAAAATAAATACCAACCTCATTTGACGTGAGAGGGTAAAGAAACAGGAGATTCAATACATCGCTACCATTAAAAGGCATCTCCAACAGATGATGTGCCACCTCATCCACTAGTAGTAGTTTTGTTCAGGCTTGGGAGAAACAAATCTAAATCTGACTTACTTAAATTCCAATTGTTCACAACATGGTTTCTAAAAAAGCCTGTCTTGGAAACATATACGTCAAACTCATGAACCTAATTTTCACATCAAACCAGAAACAAATCAGGATAATAGTTCTCCATTAATTCTTTTCACGGATACAAAATGCTAATATGATACTCCACTATTCTGTACTAAAGTGACGTGCTGCAAAGTTAATTTTGAAAAGGGAAGTTAAAATGTTCACAGCAGAGATCAGCATTTTGTGTACTTTAGAAAACTGAGTTACAAGAATTTAAAAATACAACACAAAGCTAATAGCTAAATTAACTACCTGTTTCCCCAACCCCCAGGGGAAAACAAAAGGGAATTAGCTAATATAAAGTTTAGTGTTACTAAGTGGACTACAACATTCTATTTTCAGTGTATGTGAGACATTATTTAAACACTAAGCACAATGTCTGGAATACAATCTCAGTCGACAGTTATTATCACTACTACTACTTGCAGCCACAAAATACTATCAAGTAATTTTTGCAACAAAGATACAAAATTTACCGCTCTTCCATTTTATGTTGTTCATTTTAAAAATAAACGGCAAAATGCCAAGTGTGTTAAGCTTAGAGAAGGCTTTGAGTCAGCATATAAATCATATTCAACCGACACTTGATTTCCAATCCAAAAGCTCCTTATGTAGTATGACTCACCAAATTCCCGATTTCTTCCAACTATGAAAAATAAGTTACACTCCTCCCTTATAGCTACCACCATGACCTTCGTAAAAATTAGGTTAAGAGAATAATTTAAAAATTCTTAAAGACACCCCTTACCTTGATTTCTGGAGAAGATCGCTTGGTGAGTTTAATACAAACCACCAAGGGGTACTAAAGCTGTGTGACCTTTAGGTATGTTCTGGGATACGGCCTAACAAGACTGCCTTTGGGGGATCCTCTGGGCAGCTCTGGACCTAACTAGGCCTGGGTACCAGCGGCAAGACTCTTACTCAGCCCACCGGAGAGGCCCAGGCTCCATTCCCAAGCCGCAGAATCCAAGCCAGCTCACCCTCAAAACCGTCCCTGACGATGACCCACAGGGTCTCCGCTCCCCCTGCCACCTCGTCTGGCGCCAAGGCCGGCTGACTCAAAAGCCCAGGAGTCGAGTGAACGGCGCCATTTTAGGCGGCGGCGGCAACCAATCCCTGCGCGGGAGGCAGGGGGCGCCGGGTCGTTAGGAAGCCGCCGCCGGCCAGGATGGGCGCCGGTCTCGGAGACTCGGGGGGCCCGGACCGGCGGCCTCCGCCATGTTGCACCCTCCTCACGGCCGCCTTTTCCTCGGCGGGCTCGGCCCCGCGGCGGCTGTCCGCAGCCGTACTACAGCTCACCTTCTCGCAGAGGCTCTTGACCTGGGACTCGGACAGCTGCTTGCACTCGTTCAGCTGCTCGATCCACTGGTCCAGCTCCTTGGTGAACACCTTCTCGTCCATGATGCCACCCGCCCCAGCCGGCTGCCGCTCCGCGCTGCTCCCGCGCCGCCGCCCGCACACGGGCCTACACGCACACGCCGCCGCCGGTTCCTCGTGTACTTCTGGCGGCTGTTGAGGCTGGCGCTGGCCCGCTGGCTCTCACCGCAGTACTCGGCCGTCGGCCGCTGCGCCTCCTCCTCCGCTCGCTGAGGCTCCAGAGCTCGGCTCTCTGTAATGGCGGCCGCCGGGCGTGGTGACGTCACGCCCGGCGTCAGGAGGCGGCGGGGAGCGGAGGGGAAAAGGGCCGGGGAGCAAGCTGCGCAACTGCAGAGCCCTCCCCGGGCGGCCGCACGACCGGAGTTGGGGCGCAAACTGGGGGTCAAAGCGCAGGCGCGACGTAGCCGGCTGGTAACTGAAGCGCCTTGACTTTTTGGGCGTGGCTCCCGGAGGGCGGGGTGGTGGGGGAAGGGAAGGATGGAGCTGGAGCATGCGCAGTGCGCACAGCGGCGAACCGGACTAATCCCTGAGCACTATTCCAGGAGAGGCGAGGGCTTGGGCCGCGCGCAGGCGCAGACCGGATGGAAGCCGGGGCCACTGGCAGCCTGTAACTGGTTCCCCTGGGAAGGCCGCTCTGGTGATGAACTCAGCTCCTCACCTGGGGCCTGGCAGTCCGATCACGGAAACGAGAATTGCGACCCCGTGGCTCATCTGGGGTGCTGCGGCTCTGTAATCGTGTGGGTTTCCGTCATCTTTGGGGGCAGGAACGGGCAGCGAGTGGCCGCTTGGATTAACCACCCCCACCTCTGGGCGCGGCTGGCACCTTGTAATTAGGTCACTCGTAGGTGGAGGAGCGTGTACCTACCGGGGGAGTGCTGCGCAGTGCACCTGACTTCCGCGGCACACACCCGTCCCCGGACCTAGGTGTCTCGTCGGGCGCGATGGCGGGGGCGAGGCTTGGGCTTTTCTTTGGGCCTCGGACCGCGGCTCGCTTCCACGCGCCCCGCTCCTCGCCGGTGGTTGCTTTCCTCCAAGTTTAATTCTCTCTGGGAATGAGAGACCCTCAACCCCTGCGCGCCCTGGCCTACTTTCAAGAGGGGAAGCCCAGAGAAGATGGATGCACCTGTCCTGACCGCGTCTCGGTGGCGTGAGAAGCAGCTGTGATACGTGCTTAAAAGAGAGAGCTCGTATACCCTAGGATTGGACCTCTGTCTGGTTATGAATCGCTTTGGAGTTTGCGAAACGTTTTCACATTCCATTGTCCCTGCTTTTACATAAATATCTGGTTCCATAGAGCGCCAGCTATATGCCAGATCCGGAGGGGTCATCCAGACGGACCAGGGACCATGCCCTGGAGCTTGTATTCTCCCAACAGTACTGGCTGAAGATGGTTTGGGATAGGCAGAAGAGAGATCATAATGCCCCCAGGATTTGAAAGATATAGAAGCTTTCCAAAGAACATTTAACCATAAAGGGCAAGGCAAGAGCTGAACCTGATCGCCTGTCTTCCAGGAACCCCACCCTCAGTATCAGGCAACCCTTCCACACCCAAGTGCTCAGCGATGCTTGGGAGGAGACTGCTCACTCTGCGGCTCTGAGGGCATCATCCCCACCAACAGGCTGAAGAAGGCACTGGAGGCCCCATCAGCCAATAGCAGGACTGAAAATCCTCCTTTATCCAAGACAACGTGTTTGGCAAGGCCGACTGGCTTGGCCTCCCTAGGCTGGAAATTGCAATTCTGCTTTCCCTTCACACCTCCCATTAGTGTGCACAAAAGAAAGTACCTTAAATCTACTCTTCTAGAAGTCTTATCACATACTTAATTTACCAGACTGGGAAAAAGACCCTTTAGCCCAAATTCTGTCCCTGTTTTGCAGTTAACATCCCCAAACAATAGAAGGGTAAGAGTTAAGACCAAGTGGAATGAATAAGGAAAAAATCATCACTTAGTGCCCGTGATTATAAAGCCATACCCAGTGTGCTGTCTAATCTTATTCTTTACCGTTGCCATGAACCTGTGTGAGAACTGTCTGATGGGGCAAGAAGCAGACAGGCACTCAGAAAAGAGAAGGGACTTGCCTAAGATAGTGGTCAGGATTTAAAACTGCACACTCCCAAGTACAAAGTCTCAGCCACAGTCATGCAGTTGACCTTCCAAGGTCTGACATATGGAACAGAATCAACATTATTTCTCTTTGCCTAGATTCTCTCTCTTTTTTTTTTTTTTTTTTTTTTTTTTTTGAGCCAGAGTCTCACTCTGTTGCACAGGCTGGAGTGCAGTGGTGCAATCTCGGTTCACTGCAAACTCTGCCTCCCAGGTTCAAGCAAATCTCCTGCCTCAGCCTCCCAAGTAGCTGGGATTACAGGCACCCGCCACCATGCCCGGGTAATTTTTATATTTTTAGTAGAGACGGATTTCGCCACGTTGGCCAGGCTGGTCTCAAACTCCTGACCTCAGGTGATCCGCCTGCTTCAGCCTCCCAAAGTGCTGGGATTACAGGTGTGAGCCACCGCACCCAGCCTGCCTAGATTCTCTTACCTGGAAAGGGTGTGGTGATGTTAGTTTGATAGATGATGAAGTATTGAACACCCACTGTGTGCTAAAATTATGAGTTTTTCCAAAGTACTGTGAGCCCCTTGTTGGTAGCATTAATGTAGGTGTTATTTATTTTCTCTTGATGCAGATTACTTGGCTCACCACCATCACAAAATGGAGGGAAGATATAATAATTATATGTACTTAAAACATCCTGCCAAATAATTAAATGCCATGACTTAACTTCTTAAGGAATGAATTCTAGGAAGCTCTTAGCATCAGACAGTGAAGTAAAGCATACATGATCATAAACAATACAGAAGTAAATTAATCAGGATATATTTTTCTTTAGAAGAAATTCAGATTGTGTATTCTGTAGAACAAAATATCTAATGGACATGAAAATGAAAATTCATTTTGACTTATCTGGTCTTGACTAATTTGACCTCACTGACTCAATTCTAGAGCTGAAGAATATTTGGAACAAAAAATTTAAAGCAAACCAAAAAGAATTGTCTTTTTAATTTATTGGGAAACACCAGAGAGTAAATAAAGCAAATATGCTTTGAGAAAGAATCTTTGCTCTGATGGCAAATTCAATATACAGCAAGTCTGAGTGTTGCCCATGATGTTTAAACATAGCTATAAATAAAAATCATCTGATGATGGGGGCGGGGTAGGAGGAGGATAACCTTGAGCAAATAGCTTTATAATAGGCACCCTACCCAAGATACAAAAATTGACATTAAACATGGAGTAGGAATGAGATATATCTTGTCAGCAATTCTCTTGGCATTAAGTTAGGTTTATTTTTTTGTTGTTGTTCCTTCCAGTTCCCTGACTTCTAAACTTACTGAGACAGAAAGTAGACCAGTGTCAGAAACGACTCTGGAGTCAGATGGAACTGGGTTTGAATTCTGGTTCTGCAACCGCCTAGATGTGTGAACTTTGGCAAGTTACCTAACTTTTCTGAGTCTTGGTTTTCTCATCTATAAAGTGGGAATAATTATAATAGAAAAATAATAAGGTTATTCTGAGAATTAAATGAAATTATAAATAAATAAAACCAGGCTGGGCGCAGTGGCTCACTTCTGTAATCCCAGCACTTTGGAAGGCTGAGGCAGGTGGATCACCTGAGGTCAGGAGTTCGAGACCAGCCTGGCCAACCTGGCAAACCACCATCTCTACTAAAACTACAAAAAAATTAGCCAGGTGTGGTGGTGTGTGCCTGTAATCCCAGTTACTCAGGAGACTGAGACAAGAGAATAGCTTGAACCCGGGAGGCAGAGGCTGCAGTGAGCCAAGATCGCGCCACTGCACTCCAGCCTGGGCAAAAGAGCAGGACTCTGTCTCAAAAATAAATAAATAAATAACACCAAAATAGTATTAATTAATGTATAATAAGTGCTAGATGTTGTTATTTATTATTATAATTTCTAAGTGGGCTTGGATTTTAAATACATAACCTCTAATGCCAGTTGGAGTCCTTCATATCTGCAGTGAAATACATAGTGGTGTTAGGAAACAGAAATAGAGGTATCAAAAATATGTAGGCCGGGCACAGTGGCCTGTAATCCCAGCACTTTGGGAGGCTGAGGCGGGTGGATTACTGAAGGTCAGGAGTTCGAGACTAGCCTGGCCAACATGGTGAAACCCCGTCTCTACTAAAAATACAAAAATTAGCCAGGCGTCCTGGTGGGTGCCTGTAATCCCAGCTACTCGGGAGGCTGAGGCAGGAGAATTGCTTGAACCTGGGAGGCAGAGGTTGCAGTGAGCTGAGATCACGTCACTGCACTTCAGCCTGGGTGACAGAGTGAGACTCTGTCTCAAAATAAATAAATAAATAAAATAAAAACATCATGTAAACACAAAGCCATTGGATGAAGTGGGGATGAAGGAGGAAATTCAAGGAGAGGTAGAGATGGAATAAACAGAACAACTCCTCTCTTGCCTTGCCATCCATTTAGACTTGTTATATAGAGAAAAAGTTACTTAGGACTAAATCCAAGAATTAATACAATCGGTCCCATGCTCCTGTCAGCTCAGAATCTTACATCTGAAAAGGGTGCCATAGTTGAAAAGGATAACATGCTCTTTGTACCAAGGCCTTTTATGCCCCAGAAGCCCCAAAATGAAGTCCTGAGCAGTCAAAATCTTAGTGGCTTTGGCCATGGAAAGCCTGCCATGCTCTGGCCAACGACGCCTGCCCAGCTACCAGACGATTTCTGCACTCAGCTTACACAATGATGCCTGCAGCTCATTGGTATCTGTCTCTGTTCTTTGTAGTTTTCAGAAAAATTAAGTTTATATTCCCCTTTCACCTGGAATTAGAATTTTATAAATGTAGCCAAAATTTTGTGGCCAGGAACTTTGCCACAGATATACTGCCTTTTCCTCCAGCTTCTACAGTCCGGCTAAAGAAAAAAGAGAGAAATGACCATGTCCCCTGGTGATGCCCCTGATGTCTGGATAGTATTCTCAGTTACAAAAGGAGACATTTTTCCATTACAGGAAAAAAAAACTCTGAAATGGAAGGCAAAGTTCATCACTCCAGAAGGCTGGGAAAACCTTAATACTGTCACCAACTCTGTAGCTATGAAAAATCCTATCATACAAGTATGTTTGATATAGAATATTATTCATAACATATTAAGTGTTAAAAATACCTTATAAAGGCCAGGCGCAGTGGCTCACGTCTGTAATCCCAGCACTTTGGGAGGCTGAGGCAGGAAGATCACGAGGTCAGGAGTTCGAGACCAGCCTGGCCAGCATGGTGAAACCCTGTCACTACCAAAAATACAAAAAATTAGCCAGGCATGGTGGCGCGTACCTGTGGTCCAAGCTACTCAGGAGGCTGAAGCAGGAGAATTGCTTGAACCCAGCAGGCAGAGGTTGCAGTGAGCCGAGATCACACCACTGCACTCCAGCCTGGGTGACAGAGTGACACTCCGTCTCAAAAAAAAAAAAGAAAAACAAAAACAAAACCTTATAAAACAGTATGCATGATATAACCCCAATTTCATTAACATATATTGTAAATATATGTTTATAAGAAACTTTAGAAAGCCACACAGTGAAGTATTAATAGTGGTTACTTCCAGTGAGTAGGATTATTTTTTAGTTTCTTCTTTTTGCTAACTTGATTTTTCTGTAGTGAATACATAATGCTTTTATAATTATGAAAGAAGATGGCTGGGCACGGTGGCTCACACTTGCAATCCCAACACTTTGGGAGGCCAAGGCAGGCAGATCACCTGAGGTCAGGAGTTTGAGATCAGCCTGGCCAACATGGTGAAATCTCATCTCTATTAAAAATACAAAAATTAGCTGGGCTTGGTGGTGGGCACCTGTAACCCCAGCTACTCAGGAGGCTGAGGCAGGAGAATTGCTTGAACCCAGGAGGCGGAGGTTGCAGTGAGCCGAAATCATGCCACCGCACTCCAGCCTGGGTGACGCAGCAAGACTCCATCTCAAAAAAAAAAAAAAAAAAAGCCGGGGGGAGGGACAGGCATCATGGTTCACACCTGTAATCCCAGCACTTTGGGAGGCCGAGGTGGGCAGATCACGAGGTCAGGAGTTCGAGACCAGCCTGGCTGATATGGTGAAACCCCATCTCAACTGAAAATACAAAAATTAGCTGGACACGGTGGCAAGCGCCTGTAATCCCAGCTACTCAGGAGGCTGAGGCAGGAAAATCACTTGAACCCGGGATGCAGAGGTTGCAGTGAGCCAAGATCGCGCCATTGTACTCCAGCCTAGGTGACAGAGTGAGACTCCAACTCAAAAATAAATAAATAAAAATCCCAGCACTTTGGGAGGCTAAGGCAGGCGGATCACGAGGTCAGGAGTTCAAGACCAGCCTGACCAACATGGTGAAACCTCGTCTGTACTAAAAATACAAAAATTAGTTGGGCGTGGTGGCGCATGCCTGTAATCCCAACTACTCAGGAGGCTGAGGCAGGAGAATTGCTTGGATCCAGGAGGCAGAGGTTGCAGTGAGCGGAGATTGCACCACTGCACTCCAGCCTGGGTGACAGAGCGAGACTCCGGCTCAAAAAAAAAAAAAAAAAAAAGAGAAAAAGAAAATGTTGGATATGTGAATAAACATGACAAAGCATCTCTTGGGAGAATCACAGGCCCTAAGAACCAAAGAACATGTAGCCAATATAGCCAGTAGTTCTGCCAAGCATTCCACTATACCCTGCAATGTTACTCAAGGGCCCTCACTTTCTTATGGAAAGAAGTCTGAGCTCTCCTATGCCCTCTCACATGGCCTTTTCTCCTGCCTTCTCTCTCACTATAAGCTCTCCTCCTCAGCTTAGCTGGCCACCTCCCCAAACCAATTCTGTACTCATCCAACTCCATTGCTTCTTTCACCCTTTGCTCATCCTGCCCTGAATCCCTGGATTCCCCACTGGTATCTATATTAACCTTACCTGCCATTTAAGGTCAGTTGAGGTCGCACTTTTCAGAGAAGACTCTGAAAAGTCTTCTCTGGTGATTCTACGTCTCTCTTGATCAAGAGTACTTAGTAGATTAGCAGGAGACTCTTAGAGGAGGACTTGTTGGTGAGCCCATACAAGATGTTCCCTAGAGACTTACAGAAACACTGTGGAGGAGAGAGATGTTTTGCAGGGAGCCAGAGGGGAAATCTGTTTATATTTTATTCTTTATTTTCCAGATTAAGCAGTTTACCAGTGTTCTACCTTGATACCTGACAAAATTTAAAAATTAGATTCACCAAAGCAGGCGAATTTCCAAGCACAGAGGTATCTAAACAGTGCTATGAAATTCATTTGCAAAGATAGAAACATAGGTCCATACTGCTCTCCTGTCTGATGGAAGAAAAAGAAACTCTCCTCTCATAGGAGTGTTTGTTCTCTGGCCAATAGAGGGAACACCAAACAGGAAGACCCCTCCATTACTAAGTACTTCTATGCTCATGTTTAAATTGTGATTCTGGAAGATGGTAATGGAGTTGAGTCCCCAGGCAAAAGAAGGAACAGATAGTATATGTGAAAAAGAGAAACTGATGGGTGATTTCGTGTCTACAAGTTGATGGTTGGTTCTTAGAGGAAGGATGGCTAATCAGTTGTCTCCATCTTTGCAGGAACAGGCAAGAGAAAATGAGCCTCTGTCAAGGAGTAACAGTAATAAGGGCCAGCATTTATTAAGCACGTACTACATGTTAAAACTCTTCTAAGTGTTTTCCATGTATTCTTCCTTTTTTTTTTTTAGACAGAGTCTCGCTCTTGTTGCCCAGGCTGGAGTGCAGTGGTGTGATCTCAGCTCACTGCAACCTCTGCCTTCTGGGTTCAAGCGATTCTCGTGCCTCAGCCTCCTGAGTAGCTGGGATTACAGGAATGCACCACCATGCCTGGCTAATTTTTGCATTTTTAGTAGAGACAGGGTTTCACCATCTTGGCCAGGCTGGTCTCGAACTCCTGACCTCAAGTGATCCGCCCACCTCGGCCTCCCAGTGTGCTGAGATTACAAGCGTGTGACCCCACCTGGTCATGTAACTCATGTCCTTACAGGTTCTGACTTGGTGAGCAGCCTGTGGGCCAGCCCCACCACATAAGCCTTCTACTCCCTAAATACACTCATTCTCTCTTCCACTCTCTTCTCCCCATACCATCCTCATTTGCCCTCTTCTGGTGTACCCCCTTTCTTTTTCCTCTCCTTCTTTCCCTCCTATTCCCCAACATGTCCAGCTTTCTGGGATAACTCATAGGCACTATTTGGTTCCTCTTTTGGTACTCAGAATCAAAAGGGCTGCTGGTCCCTGACCTACACCTTTCTAAGCCACCTTTTTGTGAATGAGATCATCCACAGTCCACCACAGGCTGAGCACAGACAGCTTAGGAAGAAATGAAAAAAAATCCTAAAAACAAATTGCCGGCCGGCGCAGTGGCTCATGTCTGTAATCCCAGCACTTTGGGAGGCTGAGGCAGGTAGATCACGAGGTCAGGAGTTCAAGACCAGCTTGGCCAACATAGTGAAACCCCCATCTCTACTAAAAATACAAAAAAATTAGCTGGGCATGGTGGTGCATGCCTGTAGTCCCAGCTACTTGGGAGGTGGAGGCAGGAGAATCGCTTGAACCTTGGAGGTGGAGGTTGCAGTGGGCCGAGATCGTGCCACTCCACTCCAGCTTGAACAACAGAGTGAGACTTCGTCTCCAAAACAAAAACAAAAAACCAAAAAAACCCAAATTGCCCTGTCTAGACTCAGTGTTCTCTGTGCACATCAGGGAATATCAGTTGCCCTGTTACACTGGTTTGTCTTGCCTTTTTAAATCAAGTAAACAACACAATGTGGACAGCACTCTCTTCCTTTTAGCAACCAGTTGTAGAATAAGGAGAGCTGGGTTCAATCTCCTTATTCACCATCAATCTGAATGACTTTGAACACATCCTCTCCCATCAGTTTCCCCATCCAACAACGCAAAAATTGGTCTATATTAGAGAGTTCTCAATTTAGGATTCATGGGTAGGTTCAGCAGGGGGGTCCATCAACTCTGAAAAAATAATGTATGGAAATTTTGTGTTTTTTAATGGAAATTCTTATTGAGATTATTTATTTGTTTATTTATTTATTTATTTTTGAGACAGAGTCTCGCTCTTGTTGCCCAGGCTGGAATGCATTGGTGTGATCTTGGCTCACTGCAAACTCCGGGTTGCAAACTCACGATGCAAACTCACGGGTTGAAGCGATTCTCCCACCTCAGCCTCCCAAGTAGCCTGGATTACAGGCACCCACCACCACACCCTGCTAATTTTTTAATTTTTAGTAGAGACAGGGTTTCACCATGTTGGCCAGGCTGGTCTTGAACTCCTGACCTCAGGTGATCCACCTGCCTTGGCCTCCCAAAGTGCTGGGATTATAGGCATGAGCCACCGGGCCTGGCCAAGATTATTTTTATTTATTTATTTATTTAAGACAGAGTTTTGCTCTTGTCACCCAGGGTGGAGTGCAGTTGCACAATCTTGGCTCACTGCAACCTCTGCCTCCTGGGTTCAAGCAATTCCTCCACCTCAGCCTCCTGAGTAGCTGGGATTACAGGTGCATACCACCATGCCTGGCTAATTTTTGTATTTTTAGTAGAGACAGGGTTTCACCATCTTGTCCAGGCTTGTCTCGAACTCCTGACCTCAGGTGATCTGCCCACCTCGGCCTCCCAAAGTACTGATATTACAGGCGTGAGCCACCACACCTGGCCTTATTGAGATAATTTTAGATTCACATGCATCTATAAGAAATAATACAGAGAGATCCCAGTTTCTCAGTGGTAACATCTTGCAGTATTATAGTACCATATCACAACTTGGAAATTGATATTGATTCAATTCACCTATCTTATTCAGATTTCCCCAGTTTTACATGCACATAATTGTGTGTGTGTTAGTATGGGTATTTAGTGCTATGCAATTGGGAATTTTCTTTTGCATGTGCTTTTTTTTTTTCTGGGGAAAGTTTCTTAGCTTTCATCAGATTCTCTCAAGCATCAGAGATCCAAAAAGGGGTTTGAGTCCCAGCTCTGGGAAATCTAGAAGACCATTCCTGAACCTCCATAGCTCTCTATTTCAGCAATCAACATTTAATTAGCAATTACCCCACAGCAGGCATAGGAATGCATATGAAGGAGAGGTGGTAGAGAGGGGTGCTGAGAAAGGAGGGCAAGCCCGAAGTTGCATACTACACTGTCTACCGAGCTTATGCTCAGGGGAGACACACAGTCCAACAGGCAAACAAATTATTTATTAAACATGCACAGAAGAGGGATGGCCCTGTTGCTTGGGGAAGCTGGGAAGTATTTCCACAGAAGCTGATGGTTTAGTTACATCTTGGAGGATAATCCAGAATTTTTCAGCTGAGGAGAGAAGAATTAATTGTTAAAATCATTCCCTCCAATCAGATCTATTCTAGATGTTTTGAAGAAAACATAGGAAACCATGCCTACATTTGTTTATTGTACAATGTTAAGGTGTCAGATTCAACTCCCATGTGCTGGTGCTGAGGCCAAGAGATTTTTTCCCCCTGAGTCTGTTTTCCACTATCTTGTCCAAATTGGATACCAGAGCCTGTCTGCTTAGCTTGAGAAAGGCATTTTATCTCTGGTGCCTTGATGACATTAGAGCTTATATTTAAAGCATGAGTGATGAGAAGAGACCAAAGCTGAGACCTTGGCTCTGTCCCATCCATAGAGCTCTCTCCTCCTCTGCATCGAAGGCTCTAGAAGCCAGTCCTGCATTGTCTGGTGGGAGCCCGAGCTGGTCAGAGCCATGAGTAAAACATCTCTGCCCTCCAGTTGACTCTCCAGTCACTGGGATCTCCTATTCTCTCAAGAGCTCATCAGAAATCCTCAGGGGGGCAAGAAATAAACATTTAAAAAAAGAAAAGAAAACCTTGTGGAGGGGCCAGGCGCAGTGGCTCATGCCTGTAACCTCAGCACTTTGGGAGGCCAAGGTGAGCAGATCGCTCAAGCTCAGGAGTTTGAGACAAGCCTGAGCAACATGGCAAAACCCCGTCTCTACTAAAAATCCAAAATTTAGGCAGGCGTGGTGGTGGGCAACTGTTGTCCCAGCTACTTGGGAGGTTGAGGTGTGAGGATTGCTTGAGTCCAGCAGGTGGAGGTTGCAGTGAGCAGAGATGGCGCCACTGCACTCCAGCCTGGGCAACAGAGCAAGACTCTGTCTCAAAAAAAAAGGAAAGAAAAAAAAAGAAACCCTCAGGGGCTTGGGCACTGGGGCTCCTCCATGTCTGTCCTCTCTATATTCGCTGGTTAGCTGCCTTGTGTCGGCTCTGGCTCAGACACCCCAAGGGGGCCTCTTTCTCTGTGTGAATTTCAGGTTCCTCATCAGGCCATTCAGTTCCCAGTACTGTTCTAGGAGAAATCATCTGAGTGTAGCCATTTCTGGGTTTGGGAGACCAAGACTCTACCATTGGGTACCCTTTGAAGAACCCTCTAGAAGCCCGATTCTAGAGGGTACCATTTCTGCACCATTTCTTATCATCCGTGTCCTCATGCAAGCTGTTTATCCCCTTAAATCTTAGTATCTTCATCTGTAACATGGGGATCATAATAGTACTATCCTCATAGGATTATTTTAAGCTTTAAATTAATTTCTGTAAAATTCTTAGCATATAAGTACTCTATCTACATTAGTTATTACTAACATCTATTTTTATAATATGATTATTTTTGGTTATTAAAAAAACCTTCACGGCTGGACGTGGTGGCTCATGCCTGTAATCCCAGCACTTTGGGAGGCCTAGGTTGGCGGATCACTTGAGGTCAGGAGTTCGAGACCAGCCTGGCCAACATGGTGAAACCCCGTCTCTACTAAAAAAAATATGAAAACAACAACAACAAAAAACCTTCAACAAGAAAAAAAAATTAATCTTCACTATAGCAAATTTGTGAACTACTGCAAGTTTAAGGAAGAAACAATCATAACATCCAGAGATAAGTGCTATTATCATTTTGATGTACAGTATTCCCAGCTTAATTTTTTCTTGCTTTTTTTTTTTTTCTCTTTTTTTTTTGAGATGGAGTCTTGCTCTGTCGCCCAGGCTGGAGTGCAGTGGCGCTATCTCAGCTCGCTGCAGCCTCTGCCTCTGGGTTTCAAGTGATTCTCCTGCCTCAGGCTCCCAAGTAGCTGAGATTACAGGCACAGGCCACCATGCCTGGCTAATTTTTTTATTTTTGGTAGAAATGGGGCTTCATCATGTTGGCCAGGCTGGTGTCAAACTCCTGACCTCTAGTGATCCACCCCCCTCAGCCTCCCAAAGTGCTGGGATTACAGGTGTGAGCTACCGCTCCTGGCTGTCTTTTTGTTTTTGTTTTTTGTTTGTTTGTTTGTTTTGAGACATCGTCTTGCTCTGTCACCCAGGCTGGAGTGCAATGGCATGTTCACAGCTCACTGTAGCCTTGACCTCCTGGGCTCAAGTGATCTTCCCACCTCTGCCTCCTGAGTAGCTGGGACCACAGGCGCTTGCCGCTGCACCTGGCTAATTTTTGTATTTTTTGTAGAGATGAGGTCTCACTATGTTATCCAGGCTGGTCTCAAACTCCTGGGCTCAAGTGATCCTCCACCTCAGCCTCCCAAAATGCTAGGATTACAGATGTGAGCCACTGTGCCCAGCCCTTCCTTCCCAGCTTTTTTGGTGCATATATATACTTAGGGAAAATTAAAAACTGGGTTCATATTGTGTACTGTGTTATTCAACTGACATATTATGAGCATTTTCTCATATACTTAGATACTATTAGAAAATAATATTTTTAGAGAGTACCTAGTTTTCTAGCACATTGATATAACCCAATTTATATAACTAATCTATTAGTTTGGTATTAGATTATTTAGATTATTTCCTATATTTATATTTATAAATACTGTGGTAAATGTTCTTGTTCATAAATTTTTGTATGCATCTCTGCTTATTTCCTTAAGATAAATGCTTAGAAGTGAATTGACTGACTACACAAAATGCTATACCCTGTTTTTGTTTTTTTAATGTCAGGTATACAGAATTAGATTAACCAGAATGCTTGGTTCATGGTTCACTCTCATAACTGGCATATGGATGGCCTGGTTTTGTTAATTTAGGTGGTAAATTCATTAATAACGTAATCAGTACCTGTGAATTTATAACCCCAAACAAAAGCTAGGACCTTGACAAAACTAATATCTAACCATAGTTCCTCCTGCCCCCACTGCCCCATCTCCTTGCTCCCCACCCCAGACAATCATCCTGAATCCTGTGCTCATTTCCTTGCTTTCCTTTTTATATAGTTTTATTATACCTGTATATATTCCTTTTTTTTTTGAGACAAAGTCTCACTTTATTGTCCAGGCTGGAGTGCAATGGCATGATCTCGGCTCACTGCAACCTCTGCCTCCTGGGTTCCTGCCTCAGCCTTCCCAGTAGCCGGGATTATAGCTGTGTCCCACCACACCTGGCTAACTTGTATTTTTATTTTTATTTATTTATTTTTTTGAGACGGAGTCTCGCTCTGTCACCCAGGCTGGAGTGCAGTGGCATGATCTCAGCTCACTGCAAACTCCACCTCCCAGTTCAAGCGATTCTCCCGCCCCAGCCTCCTGAGTAGCTGGGACTACAGGCGCGCACCAACACATCTGGCTAATTTTTGTATTTTCAGTAGAGACGGGATTTCACCATATTGGCCAGGCTGGTCTTGAACTCCTGACCTCGTCATCCGCCCACCTCGGCCACCCAAAGTGCTGGGATTACAGGCATGAGCCACTGCTCCTGACAACTTTTGTATTTTTAGTAGAGACAGGGTTTCACCGTATTGCCTAGGCTGGTCTCGAACTCCTGACCTCAAGTGATCCACCCCGCCTCGGCCTCCCAAAGTGCTGAGATTACAGGCGTGAGCCACCACGCCTGGCCAATATCTGTACATATTCCTAAAGAATAGTTTTTAAATTGTTCTGAGTTTCATAAAAAAGGATATTATGTTGTATGTAATCTTTCAGGATTTATTTTATTTTTCACTTGATATTTTGCTAAAATCCGTCTGTATCATTGCATTTCACTGTAGTTCATTCATTTTGACTGATGTAAAATAATCCAATACATAAATATACCGCAGTTTATAATCTACTCTCTTACTGATGGGCAACTGCATTGTTTCTAGGATTTAGTTCTTGCGCACGCTGCTATTATGAACATTATTGTCAATGTCTCCTGTTGTACCCGTGCAAGCATTTCTCTAGAAAATCAATTGACGCTTCCCCCAGCCATGGATGAGAGAGCCTCTGGATCCATATCCTCTGGTATTGATGTTTCCATGGTTTGGGATCTATGTTGTCAAGTTGCTTTCCAGGTGGTTAGATCAGTTTGCCTCTCCTCCAGCAATGCAGGAGAATGCCCATTGCCCCAAACTCCTTCCAACACTGGGAATCTTTAAAAGATTTTTGACCATTTCATAGGAGAAAGATAACATCTCCCTGCTGTTTAACTTTGTGGTAAGGTACTGACTGTTTCAGAAGCTGAGCGAGAAGGGATTTGGTTCAGAGAATCGTTCCCAGTCTGATAATTTCAGTGATATTTCTGGAACTGATTACCCAGTGGCTCAGATGCTTTCCCATGTCCTGAAAGAGGTGACACTGTTGGAAGGAGGGAGTGAGGGGGGCCAGGATGGGAAACAAGCCCAATCACCACAGTGCAAGCTTGTCTTCTGGTCCCAGCCCCTGCCAATGTCAGATCACTTTTTCTCCTAATGAAATAGGCATTATCTCCCCCTACTCCCCACCCGAGAAAAGCCAGTATAATTCTACCCTTTGTTATTTGAATTGATAAATTTAAACCTCCTTCCCTCTCTGCAGTAAAAGAACTTTCTATTTTGGGCTCGGTGACATAGCCAACACCAAGCAGAGAGCAGCAGGCTGCAGCATGAGTTAATAGTTTTTCTTCAAGGGAGAGCGAATCCATAAGCAAACAGAAGGCCCTTCCAAACTGTGTCGTCTGCATAGCAACATGCAGCCCATTCGCCTGTCTTTATGCTGACGAATATATTTCTGAAAGGCTGAAAATTGAATACTACCTAATCTTCAGAGGAAGCTGGTGCATTAATTCTGAATTAATCAGGTTTCTTAATTCCAATCAATTTCCCTCCTCCCCACCCTGTGTACCTAACACTGGAATAGGTACTGTCAGGGAAGGGAATTCTGTTTTCAAGTGGATTTCTAGTCACCAAAGATTTAAGGAGTGCCCAAAACATTTTTCCTAAGAATATGACTTTCTCTGCTAGTCTGTTTCCATGCATGAAATCCCCCATATTGGGGTAGAATCCTGGGTCTTACAAGCCCCCAGGCATGCATAGAGGCATGTTCAGTTTTTCTTATGGGAAGTTTTCAATACTCACAAAAGTAGAGATAATAATATAATAAACACCCATTACCTATTGCTTGGCCTCAACGATTAACAATATATGGCAGTCTTGTTTTATCTATACCCCACCCCTCCCTCACCATCATTTTAAAGCAAATTTTAAAGCAAATCATGGTTATCTTCATATTTAAATACTATAAATTCTATAACAAATAAGGACTTTTTTCAATAACCACTATGTCACATATAAAACAATTAAAAATAATTCCTAATATCAACTGGTATCCAGCCAGAAATCAATTTGCCCTGACTTTCCTAAATGTCATTCTGTAATAGTTTATTCTAATCAGAAGCAAAACAATGTCATTTGTATTTGTTATATCTCTTATGTCTTTTTTAGTTTATAACATACATATGTGTGTGTGTATATATATGTGGGCATGTATATATGTGTATGTGTATTATTTTTCTTGTTGTTTTGTTTTTGTTTTTTGAGACAGGATCTCTCCCTGTTGCCCAAGCTAAAGTATAGTGGCACAATTATAGCTCACTGTAGCCTCAAATTCCTGGGCTCAAGCGATCCTCCCACCTCGGCTTCTCTAGTAGCTGGGACTACAGGCACATACTCCCATGCCCAGGTATTTTTTATTTTATTTTTTTCTGGAGACAGGATCTTACTGTGTTGTCCAGGCTGGCCTTGAACTCTTGATTTCAAGTGATCCTCCCACCTTGGCCTCCCAAAGTTCTAGAGATTACAGGCCTGAACCACTGTGCCCAGCCTTAATTTATAACAATTCTTCCTTTTTTTTTTATAGCCCTACTTTTTGGTGTTGTTGAAGATAATGGGTCTTTTAGTTATTATTGCTGTGTAACAAGCCACCCCAAACTTAGTGGCATAAAATAACAACCCATTTATTGTGTTTACAGAGTCTATGGGTCAGGAATTCAGAAAGGACCCAGTTGGGGATGGCTTCTCTCAGCTCCAAGCTGTCTAGGGACTCAGCTGGGAAGATTCAGCCTGAGGATGACTTCACAACTGGGAGCTAGAAGCAGCTGAAGTCTTGTTTACTCACGTGTCAGTGGCTGGGCCTGACGCATTCAAAAACTAGGACTGCTGACCACAGCGCCTACACATGGCCTCTCTCTGTGCCTTGGCTTTCTCACAGAATGGCAAGTTAAACTTCTTACATAGCAGCTTAGGTCTACAAATGCAAGTGTTCCAGCCACAAGGTGGATGCTGTATCACTTTCCTTTTTGAGATGGAGTCTTACTCTGTCACTCGGGCTGGAGTGCAGTGGCACCATCTCGGCTCACTGCAACCTCCGCCTCCCAGGTTCAAGTGATTCTTCTGCCTCAGCCTCCCGAGTAGCTGGGATTATAGGCATGCACCACCACGCCCAGCTAATTTTTTGTATTTTTAGTAGAGACAGGGTTTCACCATGTTGGCCAGGCTGGTCTCGAACTCCTGACCTCAGGTGATCCACCCACCTCGACCTCCCAAAGTGCTGGGATTACAGGTGTGAGCCACCGTGCCTGGCTGCTGTATCACTTTTTATAACCTAACCTCAGAAATCACAGAGTGTTAGTTTTGCTGTCTTCTGTTGGGTACAAGTCACAAGCTTCCCCAGACTCAAAGAGAGTGGAATCAGACTCTACCTTTAGAGTAGCAAAGTTCCAAAAGAGCACGTAGGGTGGGCAATATTATTGCCCCCATTGGAGATTAGGACCATCAGTTGAGCCTGCCTTTCCTCCACCAGCCAGGAAAGATGTTGCAAACAATGGAAGCCTGGTGGAAGAGAGAAAGGGTGGAGTTTGTTTGCAGGGCCATATCCTACAGTTGTACATACTGTGCCATGAACAGCCAAGGAGACGAGCTGAGATGAATCCAGCTCTACTTGCCACACCTGTGCCTTACTGTGGGACTGCATCTCCAGGATGAAGAAGCACCTTTTCTAATATGCATAGATACCATATAGGCAAGAGGAGTCCTCACATGGATGGTAAAAGGTCATTTAACCTAACTTGAAATTATTGGGTATCTATGGAACACATGCTACTTTAGAGAATACTAGGGCTTGTTTCAGCTTAAGAGGCACACACAAGTAGGCCAAGAAATATCTTAGAGTATCTCAAAAATGATGCTGGGTTGACTCAAATGTTGTTTTAAAATTGTGTAACTTTTTTTTTTTTTTTTTTTTGAGACAGAGTCTTGCTCTGTTGCCCAGGCTGGAGTGCAGTGGCATGATCTTGGCTCACTGCAACCTCCGCCTCCCAGGTTCAAGCGATTCTCCTGTCTCAGCCTCCCAAGTAGCTGGGACTACAGGTGCCTGCCATCACACCCAGCTAATTTTTGTATTTTTAGTAGAGTTGGGGTTTCAACTTTTTGGTCAGACTGGTCTCCAACTCCTGACCTCAGGTGATCCACCTGCCTCGGCCTCCCAATGTGCTGGGATTACAGGCGTAAGCCACCACGCCTGGCCCTAAAATGGTGTAATTTTTAGCACCAGGTACTTTTTATTTATTTATTTTGTTTTAGAGTTAGGGTCTCACTCCGTCACCCAGGCTGGTGTGTAGTGGCACAATCATAGCTCACTGCAGCCTTGAACTCCTGGGCTCGACTGCTCCTCCCACCTCAGGCTCCCAAGTGGCGAGGACTACAGGTGTGTGCCACCATGCCAGGCTAATTTTAAAATTTTTGTAGTGACATTGTGTTACCCAGGCTGGTCTTGAACTCCTGGGCTCAAGCAATCCTCCTTCCTCAGCCTCCCAAAGTGCTGGGATTACAGGCTTGAGCCACCATGCCTGGCTCCACCAGGTACTTTTTGATTGCATTGGTCTAGAATGTTCTAGACCTATCTTTGAAGAAGCTGAGGCACTGTATCTCAATGCCTGAGGGACTAGCCCTATCCACATATTGCCAGCCTTGGCTCGATGCAAAAAGTGGGCACAGGATTTCTAGGAAACCAGCCCAAACAGAATTAGGGGTTTTCTTTTATTCTTTGTGGTGCTTATTCCTCATTAACATAGCTTTTGCATTTTAGTTAGATCCCCAAGAAAGTACATGGTTTCATTTCTGTTTATGGGCATCAGGAAACTTTAAAAAACTACAGATAAAACGAGGTAACTTTCAAATATTTTAAAGAGCTGGAAAAGCCAGCACAGTGGCGTTCAGCTAGTAGTGCTAGCTACTGAGGAGGCTGAAACGGGGGGATCACTTGAGCCCAGGAGTTTGAGACTGTAGTGTGCAATGATTGTGCCTGTGAATAGCCACTGCATTCGAGCTTGGGCAACATAGTGAGACCTGTGTCTCTTAAAAAAAAAAAAAAAGAGCAAGATAGCAAAAGAGCAAGACAGCATCATATATCCCTGAGTTTGATAAAGGTCAGCGTGTTATAAGACAGCTCACAGAATCCAGGTGTAAATTTCTGTCAATAAGATTATTAAAAAGCTATGATCATGCTGTTAAAGCCATGCTAGTGGTCAACAGCTGGGTCGAGGAAAACGTCAAATGGCAAGGCCCAGAGCACTTAAGAAAAAAAAGAAATTATTAGGGCTCAGGTATAGAGTATTAAGTTAATCGCACTTTTCAGTTCATGGCTCATTATACTATGATCAGTCCATCCAAAGCCCCTTACTTTTCTTTTATTTTTTTTTTTAGACGGAGTTTTGCTTTTGTCGCCAAGGCTGGAGTGCAATGGTGCAAATATATACATATATATATATATATATATATATATATATATATTTTTTTTTTTTTTGGTTTGTATGTATGCATTCATGTGAAGTGTTGTCATGCCCAGGGTCAGGTTCTGGTCCATGCTGAGGTCCGAAGGCAGTGGGTGGATGGGTGGCAGATAGCTGAAAGAACACTCAGAGGGCTGCAGGCAGATGAAGTATGGTTTTATTCAGCGGCTCTCTTACACCGTCTGTCTCTGTCTTGGCTGCTTGCTCTGGCTCTGCGGCTCCTGCCGCTCCCACACACAGCTGCACAGCCAGCTCTCCCTATGGGGTCAGCAGCTTAACTCTTTCTCTCTCTGGGCACAAGTCAAGCCGAGCCCTGGCTCCCCTCTGTCCATCTACTAGATGGAGAGCTTTGGCTCTCTCTCTTTCTCTGGGTGTGTGCTGTATGCACAGTGTCAGCAAGGCAGTTGTACCTTATACGAACAATAGTGGCTCCGAGCTAGGTGATGAGCCTTCCCATGTTATGGCTACATAACTGTGATTATATTACAAATGGAGTTATGCACCGGCATGCCAATCCCACTGAGTCATGCAGGATGTTTACCTTGGTCTATCCTTGACCAAAGCACATCCATGTACCTTACAAGTGTGTTGTTTGGTTTGCATGTATTTTAATTTACATTAGTATTATTGTGTTATATATCTCATTCTGTCTTCCTTTTTTTCACTTCTCACTTTGTTTTTAAGACCTATGTATGTTAGGCCAGGCATGGTGGCTCATGCCTGTAATCCCAGCACTTTGGGAGGCTAAGGCAGCAGGATCACTTGAGCTCAGGAGTTGAAGACCAGCCTGGGCAACATGGTGAGACCCTGTCTCTACAAAAAATATAAAAGTTTGCCAGGCATGTGGTGCTTGCCTGTAGTCCCAACTACTTGGGAGGCTGAAGTGGGAGGACCAGGAAGTCGAAGCTGCAGTGAGCTGAGATCATGTCACTGCACTCCAGCCTGGGCAACAGAGTGAGATCCTGTCTTAACAAAACAAAAACAAAAACAAAAACAAACCCTATACATCTTGCTATGTAAACATCTAGTCCATGATTCTGACTGCTGCAGAGTACTCCATAGTGTGCACCCGCCACATTTGTCCTCTCTGCTTCCCCAGTACTGGGCACCCCCAAGTGCCTCCAACTTCCCACCACCAAGACAATGCTACCATAAGCAGCCACATGTGTGATTCATTTTGGGCCCATGTGGGAATCTTTAGGCAGTCTCTTGCTTATATGGTGTATTTATGTGCCTCAGAAAAGGCACCTTTTCAGCCAGGCATGGTGGCTCACACCTATAATCCCAGCACTTTGGGAGGCCGAGGTGGGTGGATCACAAGGTCAGGAGTTCGAGACCAGCCTGGCCAACATAGCGAAACCCCATCTCTACTAAAAAAAAAAATAATACAAAAATTAGCCGGGCATGGTGGTGTGCGCCTGTAGTCCCAGCTACTAGGGAGGCTGAGGCAGGAGAATCACTTGAACCCAGGAGGCGGAGGTTGCAGTGAGCCAAGATCGTGCCACTGCACTCCAGCTTGGGCAACTGAGCGAGACTTCTTCTCAAAAAAAAAAAAAAAAAAGGCACCTTTTCCTCCTGAAGGATGCAGCCCCAACAGTAAAGCTGAAGGTTCAGCAATGTGGAGCTCAGGTTGGGTTTCAGCTCCTACTCACTCCCTCAGGTGGAGCCTAGTTGAGGATATAGTCTGTAAAACTGTGGGACGTGGCCCCGCAAACAAACATCCCCTCATTCTCACTTCCACCAGGTTTCTGTTTGCAACATCTGTCCTGGTTGGTATAGGAAAGGGGAGGGTGTCAATTGACACAGAAATCTCATCATAGAATATGCGTATACTTAATTTGACCGATCAGTGCCATATTGCAAGAGCACTTTATACATGGGCAGACAACACAGTTTATGTGCGTTCCACAGGAACTGGAAAGTCAGGTATGGCTGCAGCACACTGGTGGTAGAGCAGATGTGCCTGCCTGAGGCCAAGGTACTGCACTCGCCCACTTTGTCTTGGAGATGACAGAGAAACATCTTTTCCCTTAACACTACTGTCTTCTCATGTGTAGAACACAAGCAATGTGACTGGCCTCATATACCCAGGTCAGCAGCTCTGAGTGGCTCTGCCACAAGTGGTGGAGCTCTGGTCCTGAGCCATCCTGCGTTTGCCCTTTGGTGAGCAACCTGTGCCAGACACAAATAGAGACTGACAGTTCCCACTGAAGGACACCAGGACAGGCATAGATTCAGCCATCCAGGACAGTTCTATTAAACTGGTAAGGTTTAAAACTCATCAGAAATTCTTAGAATTCTTGAATTGATCTGAATTCCATTCAGATACATTTAAGCTCTCTTAAAACAACCATGTATGGAGGTAAATGAAGCACCTAAATTATAAAGAGAGCTGTTACTCATTTTCATGCTGATGTTTTCTCATGTCAAATGAGGATAATCACAATGATAACTTCTATAAGAAGACAGAAGACACAATTCATGATGTTTTCGGAAGGAATCAATGAATTTTTCAGGTGATTTCTGAAAGAGGATCCCAGAAATCAAACAATGACTATCTTTCTTGTGCTCATGAACTTAGAATTACACCTCAGGACTTACAATAAGCCTGGGTAACAGCCCATTACGCAAGGATGTGAATCACTCTGAATACCACAGCTATGACCATTATTATGGGCAATTATAAGTAAGCAAGGAGGTGGGCTTTGTAAAACAGTATGAAGGAACAGAGGGAGAAAGGTATACACCAGTATGTGCATAAACAAACAATCAGAATCCAGAAGATATTTACTACCAAGGGGACCTAAACATAAAAACCATAATATAAGCTCGGCATGCAGAAAGATGAGCACAGGTTAAAACCTGGAGACGGCTGCTATGTGACAGGACAGACACAGGGATTCACAAATGGCCTGGATGGTTCCCCTAAGACAAAGACATCCACCATCCAGTGGTGCCTGACCTATCCTTTTTGAAGGGCTCAGCATGGCTTTATTCCCTTCTATCCCTTGCCCCAGAAATGCATCACCCCCTCAGGGTCCTAGAGCCTACCTGTTCCTGCAGTGTCTCTTGGTTAGATCCCCGTCCCTATATCCTCAGAGTCATTAACTAACTCACATCTTTGGGCTCTTGATGTTCCATTTAAAAAGGTCAGCATTGGCTTCTACTCCATGTGAATCCAGAGTCAGCATCTTTCCCTGCTGTGTCAGCCCAGGCCCTGCTCTTTTATCTTGAAGAATCGGCTCCTGTAGCTCATTGCAAGGTCTCATTTTGAGTTTGGATTCTCAGGCTACCTTTACCATCCTCCCTTCGACTTGATTCAAAGTCTAAAGTGTGCCATGTTTGTTTATTTGTGTATTTATTTATTGGATTTAAAATATCTTTCTCCTGAGAGGCTCAAAGCTCATAAAAATTTTTCAAGGAGCAGCTACTTAATAATGATTAAGAAGTTATGCTACCATATGACTAATCCAGAAATAGGCCCAAATTAAGGCAAGGAAGATTTGAGTTGGCTCCTGAGGAAGTATTTGACAAAAGAGGAAACACAAGGTTGGACTAGGCTATGGGCACAGGACTTGATGGGAACTTCATCTCATCCTGGAGTTCTTCAAGGAGACAGAGCCGGGGATCTCACATAGGCTATACTCGAGGATTGCCTGCCTGCAAGCAGGGAAAAGCCAGGGCTCCTTTTATATCGGGGAAAACTTCAGAAGGGTGGCTAGGTGTTATACTTTCAAGCTATAATTCTGTATTCTTAATGATTGAAAAGCACCTATTTCTAGAGTAATAATTAGGACTGAGAGCCTGCCTAGGATTCCAAGAGCTCAAATGACGGGACATGTCTGTCCTTCTGGGCCCTGGAGTGTGGGCCTGTTCACTGCTCATCTTCTTTTTTCTTTTTTTTGAGATGGAGTCTCCCTGTGTCACTCAGGCTGGAACGCAGTGGTGCGATCTCGGCTCACTGCAACCTCTGCCTCCCGGGTTCAAGTGATTCTCCTGCCTCAGCCTCCTGAGTAGCTGGGACTACAGATGCGTGCCACCACACCTGGCGAATTTTTTGTATTTTTAGTAGAGATGAGGTTTCACCGTGTTAGCCAGGATGGTCTCAGTCTCCTGACCTCATGATCTGCCTGCCTCAGTCTCCCAAAGTTCTGGGATTACAAGCATGAGCCACTGCACCCAGCCTCTTAGCCACTTTTATAGGGCCAAGGGAAGTGGAATCTTAAGTGCTAATGTCCATTTAGTTGAAAAAAACTTCCAAATAATCAAATCTTACCTGTTATATCCAAGCCACACTTGCCAGTTATCCATTCCCAACTACTATACAAGGTTTCTACTAAAGAAAACTTTCCAGAAGTATTGAACAATGCAAACAGAGAAGATCTGACATTTCTTTTTTTTTTTTTTTGAGATGGAGTTTCGCTCTTGTTGCCCAGGCTGGAGTGCAATGGCGTGATCTCGGCTCACTGCAACCTCTGCCTCCCAGGTTCAAGCGATTCTCCTGCCTCAGCCTCCTGAGTAGCTGAGATTACAGGCATGCATCACCATGCCTGGCTAATTTTTGCATTATAGTAGAGACGGGGTTTCTCCATGTTGGTCAGGCTGGTCTCGAACTCCCGACCTCAGGTGATCCTCCCACCTCGGCCTCCCAAAGTGTTGGAATTATAGGCGTGAGCCACCACGCCCGGCCATGAAGATCTGACATCTCTAGAATTCCCACAAGCTGCTCAGACTGCGCAGGTGAATGGGCCAGCCCCAACAACCAGCAGTGCTCCATCCCTTCTCAGCTGGGGCCTGAGAACACGTGAGTGAGAAAGTTTCGCCCTGTTGCCTCAGCCGAAAGCTAGGGAATCCTAGCTCACATATCAGGTTCCTTAAGCAATGATGAATCTTCTTCACTTCCTCCTTTATTTCCTTACCAAGAGAGTAGTTCCCAGTTTCAGTGTGGAGGCCAGAAAGGACAAGATGACATCACCCTTCCCCCACAGCAATTGGCTCGGTCATTTTAGCAGGTTGCTTAAGAGATAAGTCACCCTCTCTACACTTCTTTTTGAAAGCCAAAACTAGAGATTATAGTTCTCAATATAGGGCAGCTGTTAACCTATCCCTTGATTCCTATCAGCCTAAGATCCTCAAAATAGGCCCCCAAGGAATGTCTCTAGGACTTGGGTGGAGGCAGAGAGTTGTCTCATATACTGAACTGTTGAGGAGACCTGGCTTCTAGTCTGAGCCTCGGTGCATAACTATGACCTTGAGCAAGTTCCTGCACACTCAGAGCCTTTGGATCACCTTTAAAATAATGCTATGATCTTTCTCAACAATAACATTTTCTTTCTTTTTTAATTTTACTTATGTATTTATTTATTTTTTTGATACAGAGTCTCACTCTGTCGTGCAGGCTGGAGTGCAGTGGTGCAATCTTGGCTCACTGCAACCTCCGCTTCCTGGGTTCAAGCGATTATCCTGCCTCAGCCTCCCGAGTAGCTCGGATTACAGGTGTGTGCCACCACACTCGGTTAATTTTTGTATTATTAGTAGAGACAGGGTTTCACCATGTTGATAATGCTGGTCTCGAGCTCCTGACCTCAAACGATCCACCCACCTCAGCCTCCCAAAGTGCTGAGATTACAGGTGTGAGCCACCACACCGAGCCTAAAATTTCTTATAGAGATGTGAGGGTGGTCTCACTATGTTGCCCAGGTTGATCCTGAACTCCTGGCCTCAAGCAATACTCCCACCTAGGCCTCCCAAAGCATTGGGATTACAGATGTGAGCCACCACACTCGGCCAACAATAAAATTTTCTACAACTCTATGCTAAAAGAGGAAAATGGGCTACAGCTGCTTCAGAAGACTTATGGTGGCAAGTTCACCTACTCAGAAGACGCACACCAATAAGAGACAGACCAACAATGGTGGACACAGCCACCTGAGGATAGGTCCATGGTCCCCACCACTTGGGAATAACTGGGTCACTGGAAAACATGGCTGCCATCCCCAACCCTGTTTCTCTCCTATTTCTCTCCTCTCACTTCTCTACCCTGAGACTAGATTATTTCTATTTTACAGGAAGAAAAAGTGTGATACATTCTCCCGAGCTTCAGAGGGAATCACTGTCGGTGACTGAATTGAACTCAGATGTTTCTGACACATAAACCAACATTTACATAATCACTATCCCTTTGCCAGCCTTTTGAAAAATGTTGACTTACACTGTTTGATCTCATATCTTGTCTTTAACAATTTATTTTCTCATACTTGAGACATCATAGTACTTACAGCCATAGGGTGAGGGGCCAGTTAAATAGAAAGTCCTGCCGCAATGAGGTTACTAATCTAATGAAAGGGAAGTCAGAGGTAAAAAAGCTCTAAGAACACAGATAAAAGGCACAGACAAATGCATCCACAACTAATCACAGCTGTACAGAGTTAGTGCAGGCTTGGAGACAGTAGGTGGATTGAATAGTGTACTATTTATTAAGAAGAGAAATTACTGGCCAGGTGCAGTGGCTCATGCCTGTAATTCCAGCACTTTGGGAGGCCAAGGCGGGCGGATCACCTGAGGTCAGGAGTTCAAGACCAACCTGGCCAACATGGTGAAACCCCGTCTCTAGTAAAAATACAAAAAAATTAGCTGGGTGTGGTGGCACGTGCCTGTAAACCCAGCTACTCGGGAGGCTGAAGCAGGAGAACAGCTTGAACCAGGGAGTCTGAAGTTGCAGTGAGCAGAGATTGCACCACTGCACTCCAGCCTGGCAACACAGCGAGACTCCGTCTCCAAAAAAAAAAAAAAAGAAAGAAAGAAGAGAAATTATTGGGCATGCACATATTTCAAGAAACAATTCATTAGTATTTCACCCCCAAATCTAAACATTGCTAATTCTGTTCTATACCTAAACAGTGATCATTTTTAAGTTATTTATAATTTCAAACATAGACAACAGCAGACCTTTTGTAAAGCCAATAATTATTCACTAATTTTTAAATTATTTATTCATTTATTTATTTTTTGAGATGGACTCTCACTCTGTCACCCAGGCTGGAGTGCAGTGGCACAATCTTGCCTCACTGCAATCTCCGCCTCCCGGGTTCAAGCGATTCTCCTGCCCCAGCCTCCCAAGTAGCTAGGATTACAGGTGCCTGCCACCACGCCTAGCTAATTTTTTGTACTTTTAGTAGAAATGGGGTTTCACCATGTTGGCCAGGCTGGTCTTTAACTCCTGACCTCGTGATCCACCTGCTTCGGCCTCCCAGTGTGTTGGGATTACAGGCGTGAGCCACTGCACCCAGCCATTCACTAATTTATATAGTGAATAGTATAGTAATCCCCCATGTACCCATTATCCAGCTTCAACAATCATCAACTCATGGCCATTATTATTTTGTCTGCACTCCAACTGACTTCCTCCATCCTGTGTTGTTTTGAAGCAAATCTCAGGCATCGTAATTTCAACTTTAAATCTTTAATATTTATCTCTAAAAGATAAAAACTCATTTTAATGAAATCACTCCAATACTTAAAATTAATAATCCTATAATATCCAGATGATGTTTTAGGCAGCAAATGAAAAACGTTGGCCACTGGAGAGATGTGAAGTACTGTCACTCTCACAGGCTCTGCAGTTAAATGGGACATGTTTCTAGCTTCGCTGAGAAGACCCCATAAAGTGGGTGATGAGATTTCACAGCAAACCTAATTTTTTATTCTTTGTTTATTCTGCAACCTCTGCCTCCCGCGTTCAAGTGGGAAATCATGAGAATGAACTCTCCATGAAAGGAAGATTAGAGAACCTGCTTCCTCACGAACGACTCAAAGGTTCCCCTCTGGAGAAGTAGAGATTCCATGTCATGAGCCAATGCCATGGTGTCACACGTTGTGTCAGAGCTACACACATAGCTCAGGAATGTGAGTGAGCACAGTGGACAAGGGAAGTACTTGTACATCCAGAGCACAGTCCAGAAGCAACAGTCTATGGGAGTTTCCCCAGGCCTGATGCTGCTGGTTTCTGTTTTGTTGGAAATATTTTAAGAATTTGACTTTTTTATTTATAGGTTTATTTCACCTATTTAGTGCCATTCACAAAGGTTAGAAGAAAACATGGAGTCATGTAAAAAAAGGTTTTTTGTTGTCGTTTTGTTTTTATAGATTTAGGGGTACAAGTGTTGTTATGTTACATGGATATAGTGCATAGCGGCGAAGTCTGGGTTATTTCATGTAACCATCACCTGAATAGTGCACATCAGGCTCATTAAGTAATTTTTCATCCCTTACTCCCCTCTCACCCTTCTAAGTTTCAAAAAACAGTTTTAGTTATAAGGGATATATGGAAATTTGCCATATTCCTTTGTAACAATTGATTGTCAATGTTCCTTTAAAGAATGTTATATAGGCTGGGCATGGTGGCTCACACCTGTAATCCCAGCACTCTGGGAGGCTGAGGCAGGAGGATCACCTGAGGCCAGGAGTTTGAGACCAGCCTAGCCAACGTGGCGAAACCCCGTCTCTACTAAAAAATGCAAAACTTAGCTGGGCGTGGTGGCATGTGCCTGTAATCCCAGCTACTTGGGAGGCTGAGGCTGAAGAATCACTTGAACCTGGGAGGCAGAGGTTGCAGTGAGCCGAGATCGCACCACTGGATTCCAGCCTGGATGACAGAGCAAGACTCCATCTCAAATAAATAAATAAATAGTAAAGAATGTTATATAAACAGAGGTCAATTTATGCAGTTCCTAAAGATTCATGGGCAAAAAATTTTATAAACCAAATCTTATTTTAAAAGCTTTAATATAGATCACATAAAAAAATAAGAATTATTCCCTAATTTATGTTGTTTGGAGTCTAGGTTTTTGAACATAGCTTTTTTTTTTTTTTCCTTAAAATGAAACAATCTCAACTAGGCTTGCAGGATTACATATTCCTGGGGCTATGCATGCCTTTTCACTCCTGCGCCACTACTGCAATAGCCACCCAACTGGTTTTTATGCTTCTCATCCCGCCCCTTCATACTGAGTTGTCTTCCTAAAGTACATATCTAGTCCTGCCACTTCACTAATAGGCATTTAATGTTTCCATCACCTTCCAAAAATCTCCCAGTTCCTTAGCATAGCATGCAAGGTTCTCTGTGACCTGTCCCTGACTTACCAAACAACTTTATTTCCCTCTGCTCTGCACCCTCCATATACTCCATCCTCCAGCCATATCACTAGTAAATGCTTTTAGAACATAGTCCATATTTTTCCAAACACTGAACCACTGAATTCATTTCTAGAACTAGGGCCAGTATAGCGCAGTGTTTAAGAGCTACCCTAGGCCAGGCGCGGTGGCTCACACCTGTAATCCCAACACTTTGGGAGCCGAGGCAGGTGGATCACCTGAGGTCGGGAGTTCGAGTCCAGCCTGACTATCATGAAGAAACCCCATCTCTACTAAAAATACAAAATTAGCCAGGCATGGTGGCGCATGCGTGTAATCCCAGCCACTCAGGAAGCTGAGGCAGGAGAATCGCTTGAACCCAGGAGGCAGAGGCTGCAGTGAGCAGAGATTGTGCCATTGCACTCCAGCCTGGGCAACACGAGCGAAACTATCTCAAAAAAAGAGAACTACCCTTTATTTCAGACTGGGTAGAATCCTGGCTCTGTCACTTACCAGCTGTGTGACTTTGAGAAAATCACTTAATTTGCCTGAGCCACAAGTTTCTTCAGCTCTAAAATAGGATGATGAGGCTGAGCACATTGGCTCATGCCTGTAATCCCAGCACTTTGGGAGGCCGAGGCAGGAAGACTGCTTGAGCCCTGGAGTTCAAGACCAGCCTGGGCAACATAGCAAGACCACCCATCTCTAATTTATTAAATTTTATGGAAAACTAAATAAATAAAATGGGATAAGGGTATATTTCTCATGGAGTTGCTGGGAGGATTCAGTTGGATTAGGCATGTCAAATGCTTAGCACAATGCCTGGCACAGTTCAATATATGATAACTCTTATCCTCTAAATTTCAATCTGTTAAGGTCCAGCTATTTGTCAAGACCTAGCTTAGCTGATACCACCCTGTGAAGCCTTTCCAGTTCCTCCAGCTGAAAGTCATCTCTTCTCCTCTGGGATCCCACAGCTCATGCACCGTCTCTTTCTCATCCCTAACTACTTTCTTGTACTCTAATTATTTATATGCACATCTTTTCTGCTCTGCTTTAATGAATCCCTGCTACGTGCTAAGTGCCATAAGTTCCATGGGGGAATAAAAGATGAAGAAAACTTGGTTCCTTGCTGTACAACTGTTCACATTCTAGTTAGCAAACAGGGCAATTCAAATACAATTCACCAATGTTTGTTGAATAAAGTTGAGGCTCATGATCATCCTTATAGGTTTCTGTTCCTCTGAGGTTCTCTTTTACAGAAGAATCTCAAAGTGTAAGCTAGATTTTAGGCCCAGGACCATTTCCCTACTATTAAGCAGAATTTATCTCTTGAGGGCAAATACAGTGAAATATAATTTAACATAGCTGAGTTTAGTGTACTATCAAGGGAAAAGTAATATTAGCGATGTCAGAGTCAAGTGATACCATTGTACTATGACTTCCTGTGCTCCCAAAGCTTTTGCCAAAATAAATACACAGTATTGGACCTAAAATATTGCATAGGGCTATGAATCACTTCTAGCCTCCTTTTTCTGAGAAGGTAGTTGTGATGAGCATTCTTGGTATACTTGCAATTCAAGGCAGAGCAGATGGTGAAGGCTGCATGCCCATACTGCATCCTCTGATCCTGTCTGCAGATGCTCAAGGCCATGAGGTAAACAGCCCCTTTGGGCTTCCAATCCTAACTGCTGAAGGAGTCCTCTCTCTTGTACTAAATGACACTTTAAGTCACTGCCAGGTTCTGAATGTCATCAAGACTTCAAATGAGGCTGTTCAGGCTCCTGCATCACCCAAATACCAAAAGATGACACCTGTAGCGCCTACCACATGAGGAAACAGAGCAGCTGGACAGCATATTTTGACCATGTGAATGGGGCACATGTCATCAGGTTGGCCTCTCATGAAATGACTGCCCTGGGCTGCCAGAGAAAAAGTGGCTTGTTCTCCTGGGCAAGATACCCACCCCCTTTCTTCTCTGCCCTTCTCTCCAGGCTGGCTGAGAATGACAACCTTGTGATAGGTCTAGGCTGGTTTCCTCACTCTATCTCCAGAGTTGTAACTCTGTGGGTAACTATGAGAGAGGAAGTTTTACTCACATATGGGCCCTTCCATGTTTCTGAACATAATGTGTTTCTGAAACATATCAAAAAGACAAATGTATGAAAGTCAAACAATAGGCTTAAATGTGTTAAGGGCAGTTCATTCCCAGAAAGCTAAAAATATTATGAAATGCCCAATTATATTTCACATTTTAATCACCGCATTGAACAATGTATTTTTAGAATTTGTAGATATTGTTTCTTTTTCTTTTTTGGAGACAGGGTCTTGCCTCTGTTGCCCAGGCTAGAGTGCAGGGGTGTCATCACAGCTCCATGCAGCCTCAGCCTCCTTGGGCTCAGGTCATCCTACCACCTCAGCCTCCCAGGTAGCTGGGACTACAGGTGCACACTGCCATGCCCAGCTAATTTGTTATATTTTCAGTAGAGATGGGGTTTTGCCATGTTGCCCAGCCTGGTCTTGAACTCCTGGGCTCAAGTGATCCACCCGCCTCAGCCCCCCAAAGTGCTGGGATTACAGGCATGAGCCACAGCACCCAGCCTCCTTTTATTCTTAACAACTGAATATATGTCAGCTGGCACGTGACTAAGAGTTCAGATGAGGCTAAAAATTCATTGCTCTCAGTGCCTCTGAGGAGCTTGTCTTTGTCTTCTTTCAGCACACTTATGAGAGCAATGCTTCCAATCACTAGCACCAGCAGCCTCATTTTTTTTCCCAATTCTACTCATTTTTATTCTTACAAAAAAGAGGAAAATAGGACAGGCGCGGTGGCTCATGCCTGTAATCCCAGCACTTTGGGAGGCCAAGGCAGACGGATCATGAGGTCAGGAGATCAAGACCATCCTGGCCAACATGGTGAAACCCCATCTCTATTAAAAATACAAACAAAATTAACTGGGTATGGTGGCGCGTGCCTGTAATCCCAGCTACTCGGGAGGCTGAGGCACGAGAATTGCTTGAATCCAAGAGGCAGAGGTTGCAGTGAGCTGAGATCATGCCACTGCACTCCAGGCTGGTGACAGAGCGAGACTCTGTCTCAAAAAAAAAAAGGAAAATAATGAAATTGTCATTGAAACACCACTGTGCCAACAACACAGAGCAATTGGCAAGACTGCATGCATTAGACATGCATTGTCTAATGCCACGCTGCAGCAGCCTAAATGTTGGATGAGAGCCTGAATGTAAGACTAGGCTAAGAAGCTGTCAGCACTGTACAGTACCATTCAGGTCACAGTCTACTTACCCGGACATTATCTCATTTGGTTATTTCCTCACTCTTTCATCTCACCCCACACTCTTCACTTTTAAGGAAGAGCAATGATGGTAAGATTATGGAAATCAGTATTTGCTTAGCATGAATTATTAGTAAACAAGTATTATTTATTTTACTCAATATGGTAAATCCTGAGTAACTGCATAACCATCTAATGAGATGTTAAGAAGAAAGACTTTAAAGGAGCTCTTTATATAAGGACCACAGGAAGCATAAAAAAACCAACAACATTAAAGAGTTAATAAATATCAGTGATGAGGCTGGGCGCAGTGGCTCACGCCTGTAATCCCAGCACTTTGGGAGGCTGAGATGGGAGGATCACCTGAGGTCAGGAGTTTGAGACCAGCCTGGCCAACATGGTGAAAGCCCATCTCTACTAAAAATACAAAAATTAGCTGGCCATGGTGGCAGGTGCCTGTAATCCCAGCTACTCAGGAGGCTGAGGGAGGAGAAGCGCTTGAATCCAGGAGGCAGAGGTTGCAGTGAGCCGAGATCGCGCCATTGCACTCTAGCCTAGGCGACAGGAGCGAAACTCCATCTCAAAAAAGAAAAAGAAATTCAGTGATGTACAGACCAGGCATTTGTGGAAAATGCTCTTGGGTCCTACAAGCCACCTGAAGAAGTCTATATTCTTAACCCATCAATGGAGTGAGAAAACTGCGCTTCACTAGAGTGAGATCTTCAGCATGGGGTAGCATATCAGCAAGTTAAAAATAAAATAAAAATAAATAAATAAAACAAAGACTTGGCCAGGCACGGTGGCTCACGCCTATAATCCCAGCACTTTGGGAGGCCGAGGTGGGCAGATTGTTGAGGTCAGGAGTTTGAGACCAGAACTTTAGACTTTAGTAGAGACCCATCTCTACTAAAATACAAAAAATTAGCCTGGCATGGTAGTGTGTGCCTGTAGTCCCATCTACTTGGGAGGCTGAGACACAAGAATCACTTAAACCCAGGAGGTGAAGGTTGCAGGGAGGCAAAGGTTGCAGTGAGCTGAGATTGTGCCACTGCACTCTAGCCTGGGTGACAGAACGAGACTCTGTCTCACAAAAAAAAAAACAAAAAAACAAAAAAACAAAAAAACACAACAATAGCAAAACAAAAATAAAGACTTGATTCAAACAGAATGTGAAAAATGACACATGAGAAATTTGGGAATTTGAACACTGGATATTTGATGATATTAAGAAACTGTTGGCCGGGTGCGGTGGCTCACGCCTGTAATCCCAGCACTTTGGGAGGCTGAGGCGGGCAGATCACTTGAGGTCAGGAGTTTGAGACCAGCCTGGCTAACATGGCGAAACCCCGTCTCTACTAAAACTACAAAAAATTAGCTGGGCATGGTGGCAGACGCCTGGAATCACAGCTACTCAAGAAGCTGAGGCAAGAGAATCTCTTGAACCCAGGAGGCAGAAGTTGCAGTGAGCCGAGATCAGGATACTGTACTCCAACCTGGGCCACAGAGCGAGACTTTGTCTCAAAAAAAGAAACTGTTAATTATTTGTGGTGTGATAAGTGATTATATCTTTATAAAAAGAACCCTAAGCTTTTAGAAACACATATTGAAATATTTAGGAAAGAATTATGTGATGTCTGGAATTTACTTCAAAATAATACAAGAGGGTGGGAAATGAATTGGGTAATAGATGAAACAAAACTGACCACGTGTTGATAACTGTTAAAGCTGGGTGATGAGTAACAGGAGGAATTATGAAAATCTTATTATGAGATTCTGTTTACTCGTGTATATGTTTGAAATTTCCCATAACAAAAAGTTTGTAAAATGTTGGGGGATTGGAAACATAAATTAAAACTGGATACAAAGAATCCTGCCACATCAACATGGACAAACATTAAGAAAAATATTGGGGGCCAGGCATGGTGGCTCACACCTATAATTCCAGCTCTTTGGGAAGCCCAGGCAAGAGGATGGCTTGAGCCCAGGAGTTTGAGACCAGGCTAGGCAACACAACAAGACCCTGTCTCTACAAAAAAAAAAAAAAAAAAAGAAAGAAAAGAAAAGAAAAAAAAAGAAAGTAAAGAAAAGAAAAATTATCCAACCATTATCTGGACATAGTAGCACGTGCCTGTAGTCCTAGCTGCTCTGGAGGAGGATCGTTTGTGCCTAGGAGTTACAGGCCGCAATGAGCTGTAAGCATGCCACTGCACTCCAGCCTGGGTGACAAAGTGAGACCCTGTCTCTAAATAAAAATTTAAAAATAACATTGGGAAAAAGAGTTGCAGAAGGATAGGACCAAATGATGCCATAATTCCATGTATATAAAATGCCAAACATGCCTAACAGTGCAATACGAACCTTTAAGGGTACATGCATATGTCAGTAAAAGTAGGAAGACCAGCATAGAAAGGAGTGGTACAAATTTCAGAAATGTGGTTACTGGGGATGCAGGAAAGGGAATACAATGAGGGAGGGTTACACAAAGGGCTTCCACTATTTTTGTAAAGTCTTAGACCTTTTTGTTGTTGTTTTGGGGCAGAGTCTCCATCTTATGGCTCAGGCTGGAGTGCAGGCTGTGATCGTAGCTTACTGTAACCTCCAACTCCTGGGATCAAGCATCCTCAGTCCCTGAAGTAGCTGGGTCACACAGTGCCCACCAAAACTGGCTAATTTTTGTATTTTTAGTAGTGACCGGGTTTCACCATGTTGCCCAGGCTGGTCTCGAACTCCTCACCTCAAGTGATCCTCCCATCTCAGGTTTCCCAAAGTGCTGGGATTTCAGGCGTAAGCCACTGCACTTGGCCAAGCCTTACACCTTAAATTGGGTTATGGACACATAGGTGATTATGATATTCTATACCTTTCTGTATTTATGAAATATTTCATAAGAAAAATACATAACTAAAATTTTAAATTAAAAAGTGAAACAGAAGGTTACTAATCACCTAGAGGAATGAGTTAGAAGATTCTTGCACTTCTTGTATTGACTACTAACTAAGCCCATCTCTTCCCACTGCCTGCCCCACAACCCCTGTAGCTTGTAAGATTTGTTTTTGTTAAGATACTATTGTGAAAAATAATATCGACAAAAATACAATTAACATATTTAAAGACTAATAATAAAACAAGTTCCCTTGCACTTTTTTTTTTTTTGAGATGGAGTCTCGCTGTGTCGCCCAGGCTGGAGTGCAATGGAACAATCTCAGCTCACTGCAACCTCTGCCTCCCGGGTTCAAGCGACTCTCGTGCCTCAGCCTCCTGAGTAGTGGGACTACGGGTGCGTGCCACCACGCCTAATTTTTGTATTTTTAGTAGAGACAGGGATTAGCCATGTTGGGCAGGATGGTCTGGAACTCCTGACCTCAAATGATGCACTTTCCTCAGGCTCACAAAGTGCTGGGATTACAGGCATGAGCCATTGTGCCCAGCCTTCCCTTGCACTCTTGACTCAAGAAACATGACATTACCAGTAACACTGAGGTTCCAGGTATGCTCTCTCTGATCACATTCCCAACAGACAGGGCTGCTATGCTGAATTTTGTATTTATTATTCCTTGGCTTTTTTTATAATCAAATCATATATTGTGTATTTTAAAATATATTTAGTTTTGTATGTATTTAACGTAAATATGTGGAACCATAATGTGACTTGCTCTTCTTATGAAAACTGTTTGTGATTTATTCATGTTGGTGTATATAATTCATTCATGTTTGTGTCTGTGTGTATATATATTAATAATACATGACAGTTTATTTATCCAGTCTGTTATTGATGGATTTTGGACTGTTTCCAGATTTTGCTGTAACAAACAACACTGCTGGGAGCATCCTTACATGTCACCTGAAGTCCATGTGCAAGACTTTCTCCAGAATAAAAACCAAGGAGAGGAATGGTTGGTCACAGGATGTGCCCATCTACAATTTACTAGATAATGCCAGGTAGTCTTCCCAATTTACACTCCCACCAGCAGAGTGTGAACATTTCCATTGCCCCATGTCCTCACCAACACTTGGTGTTGACAATAAGCTTTTGCCAACTGGGTGAGAATGAAAACTAGAATCTGTGGTTTTAATTTCCATTTCCCTGCTTACTAATAAAGCTGAGGCTTTTTTTTTTTTTCATATTTTTGGCCATTCACTTTCTTGCTTTTGTGACATATCTATCTTTTGCTCACTTTTCTTTGCGGTATGTTGTCTTTTTTCTTTGTGGATTTTTAGGAATTCACCATGTGTTTGAGGTATAATTATATAAGTTATGTAAATTCTCTAAGTTCCCAGTTGTGACTTGCTTTTTCACTTTTTTACTCTTCTGGTATGAAGAGTAGTCCTAAATTTTAATATAGTTAATTTTTTTTTCTTTTTGAGATAGAGTCTCCCTCTGTTCCCCAGTCTGGAGTGCTGTGGTGTGATCTCAGCTCACTACAGCCTTGACTTTCCTGAGCTCAAGCGATCTTCCCACCTCAGGTGCTGGAGGAGCTAGGACTATAGACATGCACCACCGGGCCCAAGTACAGTTAAATTTGGTCACTGGTTTTTCCTTTTTGCTTTTGCTTTTTGTGTCTTATTTAAGAAAGATGGGCTGGGCGCGGTGGCTCACACCTGTAATCCCAGCACTTTGGGAGGCCAAGGCAGGCAGATCACCTGAGGTTGGGAGTTTGAGACCAGCCTGACCAACGTGGAGAAACCCCGTGTCTACTAAAAATACAAAATTAGCCGAGTGTGGTGGCGCATGCCTGTAATCCCAGCTACTCGGGAGGCTGAGGCAGGAGAATCGCTTGAACCCAGGAGGCGGAGGCTGCAGTGAGCTGAGATCACACCACTGCACTCCAGCCTGGGTTACAGAGCTAGACTTTCTGTCTCAAAAAAAAGAAAAAGAAAAGAAAAGAGATAAGAGGCTGGGTGTGGTGGCTCACGCCTGTAATCTCAGCACTTTGGGAGGCCAAGGCAGGTGGATCACAAGGTCAGTATTGGGAGAACCAGCCCCCAATATTTCAAAGTAGGTTCTTTTCTATTTTCCCTAAGTGTTGGCTGGTCTGAGAAATAAAGAGAAAGAGTACAAAGAGAAATTTTACAGCTGGGCCTCCGGGGGTGCCATCACATATTGGTAGGACTGTGATGGCAACCCCAAGCCACAAAACCAGCAAGTTTTTATTAGGGATTTTAGAAGGGGAGGGAGTGTACGAATAGGGAGTGGGTCACAGAGATCACATGCTTCAAAAGGCAATAAAAGATCACAAGGCAAAGGGCAGAGCAAGATCACAAGGCCAGGGCAAAATTAGAATTACTGGTGAGGTTCCATGTCCCACTGGGCACGCATTGTCATTGATAAACATCTTAACAGGAAACAGCGTTCGAGAGCAGACAACTGGTCTGACTAGAATTCGCTAGGCTGGAATTTCCTAATCCTAGCAAGCCTGAGGGCACTGCAGGAGACCAGGGTGTACTTCCTCCCTTATCTTCAACTGCATAAGACAGACACTCCCAGAGTGGCCATTTTAGAGACCTCCCCCTGGGAATGCGTTCCTTTCCCAGGGTTATTCCTTGCTGGGAAAAGAATTCAGTGATATTTCTCCTATTTGCTTTCTGCAAGAAGAGAAATATGACTCTGTTCTGCCTGGCCCCACAGGCAGTCAGACCTTATGGTTATCTCCCTTGTTCCCTGAAAATCGCTGTTATCCTCTTCTTTTTTAGGATGCCCAGATTTCATATTGTTCAAACACACATGTTTTACAACAATTTGTGCAGTTAACGCAATCATCACAGGGTCCCGAGGTGACACACATCCTCAGTTTACAAAGATGATGGGATTAAGAGATTAAAGTAAAGACAAGCATATTAAATTATAAGAGCATTGATTGGGGAAGTGATAAATGTCCATGAAATCTTCACAATTTATGTCATTCTGCCGCGGCTTCAGCCGGCCCCTCCGTTCAGGGGTCCCTGACTTCCCATAACAAGTGAATCTACCATTCTGGGGTCTGGAGGATGGTGGCCCTCTTCTCACAGCTCCACTAGGCAGTTCAGAGTCCCTGACTTCCCGCAACAGGTCAGGAGTTCGAGATCAGCCTGACTAATATGGTGACACCCCATCTCTACTAAAAATACAAAAATTAGCTGGGCATGGTGGTGGGCACCTGTAGTCCCAGCTGCTCAGGAGGCTGAGGCAGGAGAATTGTTTGAACCTGTGAGGTGGATGTTGCAGTGAGCTGCGATTGTGCCACTGCACTCCAGCCTGGGTGACAGAACAACACTCTGTCTCAAAAAAAAAAAAAAAAAAGGAAGAACAAAGTAGAAGCATGTGTCTAACCAGACGTCAGGATTCATGTTAAAGTTGTAATTACAAAGTAGAAGCATGTGTCTAACCAGACATCAAGATTCACGTTAAAGATGTAATTAAGACACCATTGAATTGGTGTAAGGGTAAAAGACCAGTAGAACTGAATAAAGAGCATAAAAAACCCACACATGTACAGAAACTTAATATATGATGGTATTGTCAATAAATGGTATTGACAATAAGTGGGGAAAGGATAGACTCTTAAATAAATGAGACTGGGACAATTGGTAAGCCACACAGAAAAAGAGGAACTGAATTCTTGCCTCATACCAAGCACAACAAATAATTTTATATGTATTATGGACTTAAATGTAAATGGAAAACTTTAAGACTTTTAGAAGAATATCTTTGGCCGGGCACAGTGGCTCATGCCTGTAATCCCAGCACTTTGGAAGGCCGAGGCCGGCAGATTACCCGAGGTCAGGAGTTTGAAAGAGTCCAGAGGTTAGTTTTATTTGTATTTGAACTTTATCTAACTGGAAACATATAGTAAATATGTAAATGGGGCCAGGTGTGGTGGCTCACACCTGTAATCCCAGCACTTTGGGAAGCCGAGGTGAGCAGATCACCTGAGGTCAGAAGTTTGAGACCAGCCTGACCAACATGAAGAAACCCCATCTCTACTAAAAATACAAAATTAGCCAGGTGTGGTGGCACATGCCTACAATCCCAGCTACTGGGGAGGCTGAGGCAAGAGAATTGCTTGAACCCAGGAGGCAGAGGTTGCAGTGAGCCAAGATTGTGCCATTGCACTCTAGCCTGGGCAACAAGAGCGAAACTCTGTCTCAAAAAACAAACAAAACAAAACAAACAAACAACAACAAAAAAACCCTAACTTTTAGTGATAGATGTCAGATACTGGTTTCCTTTGATGGGAGGCATTGGCTGAAAGGAGGATAAGGGGAGATGTAATTATTTTATATCTTGCTTTGGGTGGTGGTTACATGGGTATATTTAATTGCCACAATTCATAAAGTTAAATAGTTAGGGCCCTTGCATTTTATTTTATATAAGTTTATGCCTTTAAAAGAAAAAATATTGTTAAGAAAATGAATAGACAGACATACCACGAATTGTGAGATAATATTTGCAGTGCGTATGTGTGACCAAAAACTTGTGTCCTGAATGTATCAGGAACCACTAACAATTAACAACAACAACAAAAATCCAATTTAAAATGTACAAAGTATTTGAACAAACAAAAAAGACATAAGAATGGCCAATAAGCATGTGAAAGGGTGCTCAACATCATTATTCATTAGGAAAATGCAAATTAAAACTTCGATTTAAAAAAAGCTTCAATGGGGTACCATTATACACCCACTAGATTGGATAAAGTGATAATATCAGATGTTTATAAAGCTATGGAGCAACTGGAACTCTCAGTCTTTGCTGGTGAGAGTGTAAACAATTATCTCATCTTAGAGAACTGTTTGGTAATTTCCCCTAAATTTAAACATACATTTTCCCTATGACCACACAATTCTACTTCTAAGTATTTTTCCAAGGATAACGAAGGCATAGATCCACAAAAATACTTGTGCAAGGAAGTTCATGGCAGCCTTAATCATAATAATTGAAACAACTCAAATGTGCATCAACTAGAGATTGGATAAAGAAATTGTATTATAGTCATGCACTAGAACATGACATAGCTATAAGAATGGCAGTAATCTCAGCACTTTTGTAAACTGAGGCAGGATGATCACTTGAGCCCAGGAGTTTGAGAACAGCATGGGTAACATGGCGAGACCCCATCTCTACAAAAAATAAAAAAGTTGGTCAGGCATGATGGGATGCACTTATGGTCCCAGCTACTTGACAGGCTGAGGTGGGAGGATTGCTTGAGCCCAGGAGGTGGAGGCTGCAGCAAGCTGTGTTCATGCCACTGCACTCCAGTCTGGGTGATGCAGCAAGACCCTGTCTCAAAAAAATTTAACAAAAAAAATTTTAAAGAGGAAATTAACAAGTAAGTGTTAACTGCAAACCATGGATGGATTTTGAAAACATTACACAAAACTATATGTATTATATTTCATTTATAGGATTCAAGGTACATGAAGTCCAAGAACAAGAAAAACTAATCTATGATGTCAGAAATCAGAAAATGGTTGCATTGTGGGTAAACAGAAAATTGACTGGCAACCAGCACTGGGGAAATGGAAGTGTTCTATACCTTATTTATGTGGTGTTACGTGGGTGAATACAATTGTCACGACTCATTCAACTGAACACTTAAGATCAATTTAAAAATTCTTTAAAATGAAGGTAAAATAAAGACAGGTACGGGAAAATACAAATGACTGGATTTGTCATCATATAGTCTGCATTAAAAGAAATACTAAAGAGTATTTTTTAGACAGAGAAAAATGACCCCAGTGTAAGCTTGGAAATGCAGGAAGGAATAAATAGTAACAAAAGAGTAAATGTTAACTGTCTAAAACAATAATAATGTATTGTAGGATTAATATATGTAAAATTTAAAAATGACATCATTAGCACATAAGTAGGGAGAGAAGCAAATAGAGTTGAAGTATTCTAAGGTATTTTCATTGTCTAGAAGGAATAAAATACTAATTTTATTAAACTCTGGTAAGTCACAGATGAATGTGACAAAAATCTGCTTATAATTGTCAAATATATATATCTCATAACACACTGATAAAGGGAAATATTGAATAATAAAAATACTCAATAATTTTTTTAAAAAAGCAGTAACAGAGAAAGAAAGGAAAACAGAATACATGGAACAAATAGAAAGTAAATAGCGAGGTGGTAGATATAAAACCAAACATATAAGTAACTATATTAAATAAAAAAGGTTCCAAATAAAATGCTCCAAAAAAAGAAATAGATGGTCATACTGGATAGAAAATTTAAAACCTAACCATATATTGCTTATAAAATAACCATTTATATGAAATATAAATATGTAGGAATATTCAAAGTAAAAGAAAACAAAAATAGTTACTATTCAAACTCTAAACAAAACAGGTAGCTATATGAATAACACATAAAGTAGACTGTAATGTGAGAAGCATTACTAGAAATGAGACATATTTCATAATGAAAAAAAGGTACGATTCACCAGAAAAATGCAACAAACCTAAACTGAATGCACCTAATAACATAGCCTTAAATGTATATTAAAAACTGATAGAATTAAATGAAGAAGTAGACAAATCCACAATGATGCTTGAAGAATTTTAACACATAACCCTCAATAACAAATAAACAGGACACATGCCAAAGAATCAGATATGGTATAAAGATTTAAACAACACAATTAACACTCTTGAACTGACACCTATAGAACATTGCACCCAATAATTACAGAATTATTTTTCAGTTCAAAAATTTACTATATGTTGGCACATAAAACAAATCAATAAATTTCAAAGGAATGAAATAATACAGAGGGATTCTCTGACCACACTCTAATTAAGCTAAATATTAATTTCAAAATTCCCCACGGGCTTGGAAACTGAGAATTACATTTCTAAATAACTCATGGAATAAAGTAGATGTCATATTGGAAACTGGAAGAAAAGCTTACTAAATAACACTAAATAATACTACATACAAAAACATGTGATACAGCTAAAGCTGTGCTTAGAAGTAAATTTATGCATTTAAATACTTTGCCTTTCGCTGCCTGACCGCAGCCATCATGGGTCACATGCATGCTCCTTGGAGGGGCTCTGCCCTATCGCTGCAGGATCCCCACTCAGCTGAAGTTGATACCTGATGACATGAAGGAGCAGATTTACAAACTGGCCAAAAAGGGCCTGACTCCCTCACAAGTCAGTGTGATCCTGAGAGATGCACATGTGTTGCACAAGTACGCTTTGTGACAGGCAATGAAATCTTAAGAATTCTTAAGTCCAAGGGACTTGCTCTTGATCTCCCTGATGATCTGTACCATTCAATCAAGAAAGCAGTTGCTATTTGAAAGCATCTCAAACAAAACAGAAAGGATAAGGATGCTAAACTATGCCTGATTCTGACAGAGAGCCGGATTCACCATTTGGCTAGATATTATAAGACCAAGTGAATCCTCCCTCCCAGTTGGAAATATGAGTCATCAACAAACAGCCTCTGCCCTGCTCGCATAAATTTGTCTATGTACTCAAGCAGTAAAATGATTGTTTAACTAAAAACAAATTAATAAGTAAAATGCTTCCGAGAAAAGAACAATGGCTGATAATCAATGATTTAAATTGGAAAATAAACAGAATCTAAGGACATTAGAAGAAAAAAAAGATAGGAACAGACATTAATACCATAGCAAACAAATATACACTAGAGAAAATCACTTCATTGAAAAGGCAATTTAATAAATTATTGGTATAAAAAATTAGAAAAAACACAAGTTACTAAGTTCAAGAATGAAAAAGGGCTAAGGATGCTGGCTGGTGCATGTAATCGCAGCTACTTGGGAGGCTCAGGCAGAAGGCTCAGACGGGATGATAGCTTGAGACTAGGAGCTTAAGACCAGCCTGGGCAACATAATGAAACCCGTATCTAAAAGAAATAAGAAAAAAAAATCTGGGCATGGTAACATGTGCCTGTAGTCCCAGCTACTTGGGAGGCTAAGGCAGGAGGATCACTTGATCCCAGGAGTTTGAGGCTGCAGTGAGCTATGATAGTGCCACTGCACTCTAGCCTGGGTGACAGAGCAGGAAGTGGGGGAAGAGCTTCACTAGAATCTTATCAACTTTTACAAAATAGTAAGAGGGTGTCAAAAACAACTATATACTGATAAATTTTCAATTTTAAGTGAAATGTCTGTAGATTACATAGTTACATCTCTCATTTATTCCTGATATTGTTAAACTGTGTTTCTCTATTTCTTGACCAGTTTAGTAAGTTTATCTTTTTTTTTTTTTTTCTTGTGACGGAGTTTCGCTCTGTCACCCAGGCTGGAGTGCGATCTTGGCTCACCACAACCTCCACCTCCCGGGTTCAAGCAATTCTCCTGCCTCAGCCTCCCGAGTAGCTGGGACTACAGGCATGTGCCACCATGCCTGGCTAATTTTGTATTTTTTTTAGTAGAGACGGGGTTTCTCCATGTTGGTCAGGCTGGTCTCAAACTCCCGACCTCAGGTGATCTGCCCGCCTCAGCCTCCCAAAGTGCTGGGATTACAGGCGTGAGCCACAGTGCCCGGCCCCTAAGTTTATCATTTTTTTTTTTATTCTTTTCAATCATCCTACTTTTGGTTGTGTTGATTTTTCTCTAGTTAGTGTTTCCTATTTCATTGAATTATTTCCTTTATTATTTCTTTCTTTCTACTTACTATAGGTTTCATTGGTTCTTTTCTAGCCTTTTTTTTTTTTAACATTTTAAAGTTAAAGCTTAGGTCATTAAATTTAGATCTTTCTTCTTTTCTTTTTCTTTTTTTTTTTTTAAGATGGTGTCTCCCTCTGTCACCCAGGCTGGAGTGCAATGGCGCGATCTCAGCTCACTGCAACCTCTGCCTCCTGGGTTCAAGCAATTCTCCTGCCTCAGTCTCCTGAGTAGCGGGGACTACAGGTGTGTACCACAACGCCCAGCTAATTTTTTTGTATTTTTAGTAGAGACAGGGTTTCACCGTGTTAGCCAGGATGGTCTCGAGCTTCTGACCTCGTGATCCACCCTCCTTGGCCTCCCAAAGTGCTGGGATTACAGGCGTAAGCCAGCTTGCCCGGCCCTGATCTTTCTTCTTTTCTAATATAAGCATTCAAAGCCATAAATTTCTCTCAAAGCACTGCTTTGGCTGCATTCTAAAAATTTTGATATCTTGTGTTTTCATTATCATTTAGTTCAAAATATTTGCCAATATTCCTGGGTTTTTTTTGTTTGTTTGTTCTTTGTTTTTATTTTTTGTTTTTTTTTGTTTTTTGAGATGTAGTTTCATTCTTGTTGCCCAGGCTGGAGTGCAACGGCATGATCTCAGCTCACTGTAACCTCCGCCTCCCAGGTTCAAGCGATTCTCCTGCCTCAGCCTCCCAAGTAGCTGGGATTACAGGCATGCGCCACCATGCCCAGCTAATTTTGTAGTTTTAGTAGACACGGGGTTTCTCCATGTTGGTCAGGCTGGTCTCGAACTCCCAACCTCAGGTGATCCGCCTGCCTCGGCCTCCCAAAGTGCTGGGATTACAGGCGTGAGCCACCATGCCCAGCCATTATTCCTGGTGTTTTTTCTGTAATGCATAGATTACTTAGAATTGATTGTTTAGTTTCCAAATATTTGGGGATTTTCTAAACATTGTATTGTTATTAATTCTAATTTGATGCCATTGTGGTCAGAGAACATATTCTGTATGATTTCAATCCTCGTAAATTTATTGAGACTTGTTTTATGGCTCAGAATATGGTCTATCTTAGTAAGTGTAACATTTGCACTTGGAAAAAAATGTGTATTGTGCCATTGTTGGATATCACGTTCTATAAATGCCAGTTAATCAAAGTTGGTGGAAAGTATTGTTCAGCTCATCTATGTTTTTTTATTTATTATTTATTTATTTATTTATTTTTTTTTTGAGACAGTCTCACTCTGTCCCAAAGACCGGAGTGTAGTGGTACAATCTCAGCTCACTGCAACCTCTGCCTCTGGGGTTCAAGTGATTCTTGTGCCTCAGCCTCCTGAGTAGCTGGGATTACAGGCGCATGCCACCATACCCTGCTAATTTTTTGTATTTACAGGGCTTCACCATGTTGGCCAGGCTGGTCTTGAACTCCTGGTCTCAAGGGATCCACCCATTTGGGCTCCCAAAGTGCTAGGATTAATAGGCATGAGCCACCGCACCCAGCCAGATAACCTATGTCTTTTTATTTTTTAGATGGAGTCTCACTCTGTCACCCAGGCTGGAGTGCAATGGCGCAATCTTGGCTCACTGCAACCTCTGCCTCCCAGGTTCAAGTGATTCTCCTGCCTCAGCCTCCCAAGTAGCTGGGACTACAGGCACATGCCACCACACCCGGCTAATTTTTGTATTTTTTAGTAGAGATGGGGTTTCACCATGTTGGCCAGGCTGGTCTTGAATTCTTGACCTCAGGTGATCTGCCTGCCTCGGCCACCCAAAGTGCTGGGATTACAGGCGTGAGCCACTGCACCCAGCCACCTATGTCTTTACTAATTTTCTGCTTACTTGTTCTATCAGTTATTGAGAGAAGAGTATTGAAATCTTAACTATATTTGTGGATTGTCTATCAGTAGTTGCTTTATGTATTTTAAAGCTCTGGTATTAAATGCATACACATTTAAAACTGTTATATTTTCTTAGTGCATTGACCCTTTTATCATTATGAAATTTCTCTTTATCCCTGGTATACCTTGTTTAGAAATCTACTTCATGTAAGAATGTAGCCACTCCAACTCTCTTACTATCACTGTTGGCATCTTTTTTCTATCCTTTTAACCTGTGTATTCATATTTATAGTGTGTTTCTTGTAGCATATAGTTGGATATTGCTTTTTTTTCCCAGTTAGACAATCTTTGCCCTTGTCATTGGAGTATTTGAATCATTTATATTTAATGTAATTATCTATGTAGTTGGGCTGCAGCATCTGTTTTCTCTTCCCTTTCATGTGCTGCTTCCCTATGGATAGAGTACCATTCTGTCTCTACTGTTGGTTCATTATTTATACCCCTTTTTGTCTTTTGTTTTGTTTTGTTTTTTTGACAGAGTCTTGCTCTGTTGCCCCGGCTGGAGTACAGTGGCATGATCTCTGCTCACTGCAACCTCCACCTCCTGGGTTCAAGTGATTCTTGTGTCTCAGCCTCCCAGGTAGCTGGGACACAGGTGTGTCCCACCATGCCCAGCTAACTTTTGTATTTTTAGTAGAGAAGGGGTTTTGCCATGTTGGCCAGGCTGGTCTCAAACTCCTGGACCCAAGCAATTCCCTGCCTCAACCTCCCAAAGTGCTGGGATTACAGGTGTGAGCCACCACACCTGGACCCATTTGGACTTTTTTTTAAATATTCCATTTCTTTCCTCATTATGTTAATGTTGTCCTTTAAATTCTTGTTCTAAAGTTGTTGTAAAGCCCTTGCCTGCTAATTCCATTATCATTTCTTTATCTCCTTCTATTGAATCATTTAAAATTGTCATTGTGGATCACATTTTTTCTGGGTAGTTTTATTTTAATTTAATTTAATTAATTTCTTTTGAGATAGAGTTTCACTGTGCTGCCCAGGCTGGAGTGCAGTGGAGCGATCTTGGCTTACTGCAACCTCTGCTCCCAGGCTTAATCCTCCCATATCAGCCTCTTGAGTAGCTGGTACTACAGGCGTGCGCCACATGCCCAGCTAATTTTTGTATTTCGTGTAGAGACAGGATTTCACCATATTGCCCAGGTTGGTCAAGCAATCCGCGTGCCTCAGCCTCCCAAATCACTGGGATTATAGGGGTAAGCCACTGCATCTGGCTGCTGGGTTGTTTTAAAGTCTAGTGATTTTTTTTTTTTGAGATGGAGTCTCGCTCTTGTTGCCCAGGATGGAGGCAATGGCGTGATCTTGGCTCACTGCAACCTCCACCTCTTGGGTTCACGCAATTCTCCTGCCTCAGCCTCCCAAGCAGCTGGGATTACAGGCGCCTGCCACCACGCCCAGCTAATTTTTGTATTTTTAGTAGAGATGGGGTTTCACTATGTTGGCCAGGTTGATCTTGAACTCCTGACCTCAGGTGATCCACCCACATCGACCTCCCAAAGTACTGGGATTACAGGCGTGAGCCACCGTGCCCGGCTGTTTTTTTGTTTGTTTGTTTTTTGATTTTTTTTGTTTGTTTGTTTTATATGGAGCCTTGCTCTGTTGCACAGGCTGGAGTGCAGTGGTGCAATCTTGGTTCACTGCAACCTCCGCCTCCTTGGTTCAAGCAATTCTCCTACCTCAGCCTCCCAAGTAGCTGGGATTACAGGTGCCTGCCACCACGCCTGCCTAATTTTTGTATTTCTAGTAGAGTCAGTGTTTCGCCATATTGGCCAGGCTGGTCTCAAACTGCTGACCTCAAGTGATCCACCTGCCTCCACCTCGCAAAGTGCTGGGATTACGGGCATGAGCCACCACACCCGGCCAAGTATAGTAATTCTTTCATTGGGTGGCAGGCTTATAACACTTACATGATTGTTAGAATTTTTTAAATTTCCTTTAAAGAAGTTAGAATTTGTTTTGACAAGCCATTGAGTTACTTGCAGATCACCTTGGTCCCTAAGTGTCTTTTTTTTTTTTTTTTTTTGAGACAGAGTCTCACTCTGTTGCCCAGGCTGGAGTGCAGTGCGGCGCAATCTCAGCTCACTGCAACCTCTGCCTCCCAGATTCAAGCAATTCTCCTGCCTCAGCCTCTCAAGTAGCTGGGACTACAGGCACGTGCCACCAAGCCCAGCTAATTTTTGTATTTTTAGTAGAGACTGGGTTTCACCATGTTGGCCAGGCTGGTCTTGAACTCCTGACCTCATGATCCACCTGCCTCGGCCTCCCAAAGTGCTGAGATTACAGGCGTGAGCCACCATGCCCAGCCAAGAGTCTTGTTTTTAAGCTGTGTAAGAGCATATCTAAAAGGCCTTTTATTGTAAGATAGTTTAGCCCTACTACAAGATATGATATGGGGTCTCTACTAAATGCCCTGGCTGTTCAAAAATATCTCTACACATTAGATGGCAGAAACTTGAGTCGCTCCTAGCCCTGTGGGATCTCTGACAATTATTTTACTTATAGATCCCTGGGAGATATTCTTTGACTGGCCTTGTAAATTTCATCCTATATATGGCTTATCAGTTTGAGTACTCCAAAAAACAAATACCAAGAAGAGGGTTCTAAGAGATTATAATGTTGTAAGGAAAAATGGGAAGGGAGCCAGGGGAAGCTAGGAGAATCATATAATTGCAATGCAGGTCTGACCCTTTTGAAAGAGAAAAGAAAGGAAAGTTGAGTGGAAGACATTTAGACTGCACTGCAGTTCTGAGGAAGTTTGGAAATCTGATGGGGAATCCTCAAGCCAAAGTCTCCCATCAGAGGCATTCTGCATTTCTCAGGAATAGGCCTGCCTTCATATGCCTGAGAAAGTCATTAGCTGGGAGTTAACACATGGGAAGCATGGCCTTACTGCAAATGTGGAGATGGATTTCAGAGTGCAGCAGCTGGGCCCATTAGTCAATTATGCTCTTCACAGTTAGACACGTTACAGACACATTTTTTAGGCCACCAAATATTCACCCCTTGCATCAAACAGATATACATCTCCTCAAAATTCAGAGACAGGCTCCTCCATGATGCCTATTATCCTTTCTTCCTGGGGGGAAACTAAGAATAGAGAGAATAATGAGACAAACTACAGTCCTCATCACTGCAGTTGATCTAAGCGCTGCACCTGGTCTTTATCCTCTCCCTCCTCCAGTGATTCATTCTGAATTTCCTCACTCACAGCCATCATTTCAGCAGGTCTTGGTGCCTTACCTAGTGGTGTGATCCAAACCTCCATTCCTGGGAAATCTGAACTCTTAGTAATCATACCCTTTTCAGTCTCAGGTTGCCACACGTGTTCATTCACAGTTCCAGTGGTTCAAGGCACTCAAATGGATAATGGGTTGGACACATTTGCCACCCTTCCCCCTTCATGTAACAGTAGTCCTACTTCCTCCTGCTGATCAAGGCCAATTACCCTTCCCAGTATGGTGACTTCTTTTCTTGCCTGCTAGACCCTGGACACAAAGAATTCAAAATGCCATTGTGGAAATTGCAACTTTACGTTAAATGGAACTCTTGCTGTGTGCGACCTCTAGCAAGATTATGCCCCTTTTTGAAACCAAGAACTCCAATTCTGTCAAAGCCCAGGATTGCAGGGACGAGAAGTACAAAATCTCCCAGTTGGGACATGAATCCCCATTTTGGGAGTAATAATAAGAGGAGCCACTCCTGCTTCCATGCCCTGACTCCCAGACCCATGTGTTTTTTCCCCCTGGGGATATAATATCCTAAAAAAGTCTGCATATATATCCTGCATCCGGAAGATTGGCACATTATCTTTTCAGAATATTTCCTCTGAGCTAGCACTTCATCTGTACTTACAAAGGCTGATCCAGTGTTCTATAAGGCTGGCTGCTTTAGGATGGTACATGTGATATTGCCAATGAATCCCATGGTCATGAAACTACTCCACACCCTCTTCACTGTAAAGTGGTTGGATGCTATGTTGTGTGGAATTCCATGCCTATGAATTATTCTGTAAGCCCCAGAGAAGCTGAGAATCTTTAGGCAGGAAGTATAAGACCATACTCAGAATAAGTATCTATACCTGGTGAAGATAAAACTCTTGCTCTTTTGGGTTGAAAGAAGTCTGATATACTTGACTTGGCACCAACTAGCTGGTTGGTCTCTTCAGAGAACAGTGCTGTGTTAGGGGTTCAACATTAGTCTCTGCTGCTGTAGTTTTCAGTGTCCAAATCTTCAACCTCATTTCACCAGGCCTGTGAATGATGGTGAATGATGTGTCCTCTGGGTCCTCCCATGATTCTCTGGTTAGATGTCTGGTCTTACATTACACATCTATTCCAGCATGCCTACTTTCCTAAGCCTCTTTAACCTTTCCTGTGCCATCTGTAAGGGCAACTCAGGCCTTTCCATTTCCCTGAGTGTTAGCCACAGCATTTTCCAAGCTTCTAAAAGCCACCTCAGCAGTGAATTTGCCTTATCCCCTAAGGTCCTTGCAAGGGTGTTAAATCCCATGTCCTGAGATAGTACTCCTGAGTAAATTAATTCTTGCTTATCTATGCTTACATTCTAGTCCCCTTGATCAAACACCCTAAAAATCTAATTCCAAGGATACATCCCTGGCTCCTGCTAGTATGCTAGCTAATTCCTGCAATTCTTTTGATATAAGTCTCTTTTCTTCCCTTATCAGGCCCAGCATGTTTTCAACAAAGTTACGCTAGGATTTAGCCTAAGTTATTGACTTGGCAGCCAAAAGTTGGGGCAGCTACTGAGATGAGCACCTGCAGCATCATACAGCAAAATATTAAGTGTTAGTTCTTACAAGGGCTTACAAGCCATCTCTGCAAGCCCAGGGAGTGCAAGGGCTGCAGTGCTAGCATTCTTAGGGGCATTCGATGAGATGTCCCCATTCCATGTTTCAGGGTCCCAGGTTATCCCCACTAGGTCCTGACCTTTGTATAATAGGGCTGCTGGGCATTCAAATGTCTCATGTCTCTGAAGTTCTGCAACTCTAACAATTAGATCTTCATCCTACTGCTCACGTGTGTCTGCTCTTCCACTGCAGTACATAAGGAGCTCTTTGTAAGATGATACCACGAAACCATCTGGCTTAGCCATTAACTGCTCAAGAGCTTTCAGTTTCTGATTATCCCACTGCAAGGCATCAATACAACTCAGCAGTAACCAATTCACCCATCTTTGGAGGTAATCTCCTTCCTCCTCCAAAATCTTTCTCTGCCTGCATCATCACACCTTACACAGAACTTCCCTCTACCACATCATTTTCCAGGTTGCCACCTGTGAAATCTTTAGTTGCTGAGCTCTGGTTTATGCTAGTGTCTATCCATGTCCCACGTACCAGTCAGAATGATGTTCTCTTTGCCTGTCAGGAGGTGAGTAAGCCAGTCCCAGATCCCATCTTACTGCCTATTTTCTTGGACCATTCACTGTTGGTACCACTTGTGTTAGCTCAAGTCCCCTAAGAAACAGATGGCAAGAGATTAGATATACAAGAGATTTACTGGGAGAAATACCTGTGAGAAAACTGGGAAAGGAGCCAGGGGAATCTAGGAAAGGCATCAGACTGTAATGTATGTCTGACCTTTGTGAAGGAAAGAAAAGAAAGGTTGAGTGGAAGCAACTTACACTGCAGTGCATTTCTAAGGAAGTTTGGCGATGCCAGTGAATAATCTTTGAACCAAAATTTTGAGTTTTCCATCTTCCAAGAATGGGCTTTCCTCAGTATCCCTGTGCCTAGTCACTGACTGTAAGCAGCAGCCATGGGAAGATTCCTTAGTATGAACATGGTGATGAACAGGGCCCATAGGTCAAAATTACATTCCCTGCAGTTGGAGGTCTGAGAGGTCTATTTTCATGGCTGCCACAATTGCACAGATTAGTATTCAACCAAAGACTGGAAGGTAACCCATGCAGACTTTTGAGCACCTTCTCTACATAGCATTTCTCTTCTCTAGTACTCTGCCTTGCAAATTCTGGTCACCTTGGCCTCCCCAAGCTTCTATCCCTACCTCATCAACTCAGCAAAGCTGCCAGGCTCTCCTTGGGTTATGCCATCCTGTGCTGTGGTCCAGAAATTGCCTCTAAGCAAAAAGCCTATGTAATCATAGTGCTCACCTCATTCATTTTCCATCTATAAGGGACTATGGTCCGGGTTGGCTGTTGCCCAATGTCTAATGCATTGTTTCAGATACTTTTTTCCATTATCCTAGCTTTTACAAAGGAAGAGTAAGTATCATGCCAGTTGCTCCATCATGGACAGAAGTAAAAGCTCCTCCGTTTTCTGTGGTGTGTGTTTGTTTTAAATTTCATTATTTTTTACTTTTGTCTTATTTATTTCTCTCTGGGTTTAATTTGCTGTTCTTTTACTCACTTCTTGAGATACAAGCTTGGATCACTGATATTAACCTTCCTTCTTTTCTAGCATATGCATTTTACACATTTCCATCCAACCACTGTTTTAACTACATCTCAGAAGTTTTGATATGTCATATTTTCATTATTAGTTTCACATACTTTCTAATTTCTAATGTGATCTCTTTTTTGATTAATGGATTACTTAGAAGTGTACTGCTTAATTTCCATTTTCTAATTAGTTTTTATAATTCATTTCTACCTTAAGACTATTGTGGTCAGAGAGTACATTCTGAGTGCTTCCAATCTTCTGAAACTTTGTTGAAGCTGGCTTTACTGTCAAATTTTATAAATTCACCTGTATACTTAAAAACAGTGTATATTCTAGCTGGGCATTATGCCTCATGCCTGTAATCCCAGCACTTTGAGAGGCTGTAACGAGAGGATCACTTGAGGTGAGGAGTTCAAGACCAGCCTGGGCAACATAATAAGACCCTGTCTCTACAGAAAAATTTTTAAAAAATAACTGGGCATTGGTGGTGTGTGCTTGTAGTCCTAACTACTTGGGAGGCTGAAGTGGAAGGATTGCTTGAGCCCAGGAATTCAAGGCTACAGTGAGATGTATGATGATGCCATTGCACTCCAGTCTGGGCATCAAAGTAAGACCCTGTCTCTATAAAAAATTTTTTAAGGCCGGGCGCAGTGGCTCATGCCTGTAATCCCAGCACTTTGGGAGGCCGAGGTGGGTGGATCACATGAGGTCAGGAGTTTGAGACCAGCCTGGCCAACATGGTGAAACCCTGTCTCTACTAAAAATATGAAAAATTATCCAGGCATAGTGGTGCATGCCTATAATCCCAGCTACTCAGGAGACTGAGGCAGGAGAATCACTTGAACCTGGGAGGTGGAGGTTGCAGTGAGCCGAGGTCACGCCATTGCACTCCACCCTGGGCAATAAGAATAAAACTCCATCTCAAAAAAAAAATTTTTTTTAATATATATTCTTATCCTCAGTGCAGTGTTCTATTATGTCAACAGAGTCAAGTTTACTGTGTTATTTTGATTTTTATGTCTTTACTGATTTATCATGTGCTTGTTTTATCAACTATTGAAAGGTTGTGTTAAATCTACCTTATTAATGTTGATTTGTCTATATTCTCCTTTTAGTTCTGTCCATTTTTGCCTTATATATTTTGAAACTATGTTATTCAGTGCATATATATTTAGAATTGTTATATCTTCTTGTGAACTGGACTCTATCATTAGAAAATGTCCCTTTCTATCTCTAGTTATTCTTCTTGCCTTAAGAGCTATTCTCTCTGATAATAAACAGCAACACCAGCTTGAGTGCAGTGGTGTGATCTCAGCTCACTGCAACCTCCGCCCCCGGGTTCAAGTGATTCTCTTGCCTCAGCCTCCCAAGTAGCTGGGATTACAGGCATGCGCCACCATACCCAGCTAATTTTTGTATTTTTAGTAGAGATGGGGTTTCACCATGTTGGCCAGGCTGGTCTCCAACTCCCTATCTCAGGTGATCTCCCCACCTTGGCCTCCCAAGATGCTGGGATTACAGGGGTGGGTCATCGCACCCAGCTCCAGCTTTCTTTCAATTATTGTTTGCACACTATACTTTTTCCAACTTTTACTTTGAGCATTTCAGTGTCTTATACTTAAGATATTTTTTATATGCAGCATATAGCTGGGGTTTTTTTAACTTTTCTTTTTAGATTGGAGTCTTACTATGTTGGCCAGGCTGGCCTTGATGCCTAGCCTCAAGCAATCCTCCTGCCTCAGCCTTCTGAGTAGCTGGAATTATAGGCACATGCCACCATACCCAGGTTATAGTTAGATAATTTTTAATCCAATCTGATAATATTCATCTTCTATTTGGAGTATTTATTCTATTTGTTTTAATGTAATTACTAATACAGTTGGAATTATACTTACCATCTTTGACTTGAGTTTAATACAAATTACTATTTTAATATTTCCCTGATAATGCTAAAATCTTAGAACACTTTATCTCTATTTGCCCTCTCCTTCTTGCTTTATTGGAGTCATGAGTTTTAATTCTACATATATTTTAAGCCCTCATATTACTATGATTAATCTTTACAGTCAATATTTATTTATATTTACTCACACATTTCCCCCTTTTGTTATTCTTCATTCCCTTCAAATTTCCTGTTTCCATTTGGGACTATTTTCCTTCTGCCTTAAGAACTCTCTTCAGGCCAGGCACAATAGCTCACACCTGTAATCCCAGCACTTTGGAAAGCTGAGGTGGGAGGGTCACTTGAGGTCAGGGGTTCGAGACTAGCCTGGTCAACATTGTAAAACCCTGTATGTACCAATAATAATAATAATAATAATAATAGCTGGGTGTGGTGGCAGGTGCCTGTAATTCCAGCTACTTCGGAGGCTGAGGCATGAGAATCACTTGACCCCAGTAGGCGGAGGTTGCAATGAGCCGAGATTGCACCACTGTAGCCTGGGCAACAGAGCGTCTCAAAAACAAAACAAAACAAAACAAAAAAAAACCTCTCTTCAGCTTTTATCTTAAGGCAGATCTTCTGGCAATAAATTCTTTCTGCTTATATGTTTGCTTAGGGGGAGGTTACAGTGAGCCGAGATCATGTCATTGCACTCCAGCCCAGGCAACAAGGGTAAAACTGTCTTAAAAAGAAGAAAAGTCTGTATTTTGCCCTCATTTTTGTCACAGAATATACGATTCTAGCTTGGCAGCTATTTTCTTTCAGTACTTCAAAGGTGTCATTTCATTGTCTTCTGGATTTCATCATTTTTGTTGAGATCAGCTCCTTTAAAGGAAACATGACTTCTTGCCTTTTAGATTTTCTTTTTATATTTGAATTAAGCAGTTTCATTATGATGTGCTTAGGTGGGGTTTTCTTTCTTTTTTTTTTTTTTGAGACGGAGTCTCACTCGGTCGCCCAGGCTAGAATGCGGTGGTGCTGTCTCGGCTCACTGCAACCTCTGCCTCCCAGGTTCAAGCAATTTTCCCACCTCAGCCTCCCAAGTAGCTGGGATTACAGGTGCACGCCAGCACACCCGGCTAATTTTTTGTATTTTTAGTAGACATGGGGTCTCACCATGTTGGCTAGGCTGGTCTCACCTGGTCTCAAGTGATCTGCCCACCTCGGCCTCCCAAAGTGCTGGGGTTACAGGTGTGAGCCACCATGACCAGCCTAGGTGGGGTTTTCTTTGTATTTTTCCTGCCTGGGGTTTACAGAGCTTCTTAAATACATAAATTTTTGTCTTTCATCAGTTTGGTAGTATTTTTGGACATTCTCTTCAAATATTGCTTCTGCCTTATTTATTTATTTATTTATTTATTTTATTTATTTATTTTTGAGATAGAGTCTTGCTCTTTCACCTAGGCTGGAGCGCAGTGGCTCAATCTCAGCTCACTGCAACCTCCACCTCCCGAGTTCAAGCGATTCTTCTGCCTCAGCCTCCCGAGTAGCTGGGACTACAGACACGTGCCACCGTGCCTGGCTAACTTTTGTATTTTTAGTAGAGATGGGGTTTCACCATATTGGCCAGGCTGGTCTCGAACTCCTGACCTTGTGATCCACCTGCCTCAGCCTCCCAAAGTGCTGGAATTACAGGCGTGAGCCACCACGCCAGCGCTTCTGCCTTATTTTCTCTCTCCTCTTCTTATGGGAACCTAATTATACTTAGGTTAGATCTTTCCACTCTGTCTTGAAGGGGAAACAAACTATGTGTTCAGACTGTTCATGTCTCTGATGTTGTCACTCTAGCTGTATGAAACTACTAGAAAGTTCTGTTAGTTTCTCTGTACCGTAGTAGGGGCCCTCTTCCAGAGCTAAGTCTGAATTCTCAGTTTTTTTCTTGTTTCAAGAATCAGTCTATATTCCCCAGGAAAAAGCCACTGCAAACCATCAGCTCAACTCTCTGGAATTATCCCCTCAAATCACTATTACATCATCAGCTCTCTGCCTTTAAACAGAAATTTCTTGCATTTCACCTGGCTTTAGTGGTTCTCAGTGGATGTTTAATTTTGTTGCAAACTATCATATCTAGAAGCATAAGTATCTTACGCCATATGTTTTGAGACTGCATTTTTATTATCATTTTCTATGTATTATTTTATTATCATTTTCTATGTATTATTATATGGAAATTATTATCTAATTTCCATTATTATTTCTTCTTTGACACCTTCAGAAAGTATTTTTTAAAATTTCGTATATATGGGGCCGGGCGCAGTGGCTCACACCTGTAATCCCAGCACTTTGGGAGGCTGAGGTGGGTGGATCACCTGAGGTCAGGAGTTCGAGACCAGCCTCATCAACATGACTAACCCGTCTCTACTAAAAATACAAAAATTAGCTAGGCATCATGGTGCATGCCTGTTATCCCAGCTACTTGGGAGGCTGAAGCAGGAGAATCACTTGAATCCAGGAGGCAGAGGTTGCAGTGAGCCAAGATCATGCCACTGCACTCCAGCCTGGGCAACACAGCAAAACAGTGTCTCAAAAAAAAATCATATAGATGGGTTTATATGGGTTATTTTTCATATTGGGGCAAAGTGTTTTCTTATATATTAAATCAAACTTAAATATTGTGTTATTCAAATCCGCATCCATACTTTTTCTTTGTTTCCTTGTCAGTTACTGAAAGAGAAGTATTAAGAATATCATGCTATGATAATGGATTCTTCAAGTTCTCATGTTCACTAAATTTATGCTTTATATATTTTGGTGCAAAAACTTCTTGGCTTTTATGCCTTCTCAGTGAATTAAATAATCATATGTAGTGTCCCTCTTTATGTACAGTAAGTTTTTTGCTTTATAATTTGTTTTTCCTGATAATATAGAGCCACACTAACTTTTTTCCCTGTTTGCCTGTTATATCTTTTCTAACATATATTTTCACTATTTCTGTGTCCTAATGTATATACATGTTTTTTGAGATGGAGTCTCGCTCTGTCGCCCAGGCTGGAGTACAGTGGTTCCACAGCTCACTGCAACCTCCGCCTCCCGGGTTCAAGCAATTCTTCTGCCTCCTCTTTTTGAGGAGTAGGTTTTTTTTCTAATTCACTCTTTACTTAGGGTAACACTTTTTACAGGCTCGACTTCATGCACAGTCTCCAACATAACTTCCAAACTTGCTTACTAGGTTTATCTCCTTCCACCTGGGTGACCTGTTCAAACCAGTGCTCTAAACCACCAGTAACTTTGGGCCTTTGATGAGAGGTTTCACAATTGGAGTTTTTCAGGATATGCAGTATACATTTAATCAGATACCCACCACACATATTTCCAGAAATGAAAAAGTAGATTGCTTTTTCTTTCTTTCTTTCTTTTTTTTTTTTTGAGATGGAGTCTCGCTCTGTCACCCAGACTGGAGTGCAGTGGCACGATCTCGGCTCACTGCAACCTCCGCCTCCCGGGTTCAGTATTACTGATCATTTTTAACATTATTCCTTAATTCTTCAATAAGTCTCCAAACTACCAAGGTCATTTTGAATTTAAATTATTTGTTCCATACACATTAAGGTACATAATCATATAAAGGCACTGGGGGTTGGGTGATAACGGTTTGACAACTCTAACTTCCAAGAACTAATAGTTTTGTTGATGACACACACAAATTAAGAGGTAACTAGCATCACAAAGCAGGATGTAAAACATAGTATAAACAATGGAATATGGGAACCTAGAAAAAAAGGAGATTGCCTTTCATAGGAAGAGTCCAGGTCACGCAAGGAAGACTACATAAGCTTAAACATGAAAAATTAATACAATTTGGGAGGATCAAAATTTGTTAGAGTAAGTCAAGTAGGCCTGATGACTGAATGGCTATCAGATACATGGAAGCTGAAAAAATTAAGTTAATGCCAAGTTTCAAGCCAAGGAAAACAATAGTACTACTTTTAAAAACAAGAAAAGCTAAGAGAGAAAGATGGTTTGGGGAGAAATTAATACAGTTTAGATATGGTAAGTGTTTTAGTCTGTTTTCTCGCTGCTGATAAAGACATACCTGAGACTGGACAATTTACAAAAGAAAGAGGTTTATTGGACTTACAGTTGCACATGGCTGGGGAGGCTTCACAATCATGGTGGAAGGCAAGGAGCAGCAAGTCACATCTTACGTGGATGGCAGCATGCAAAGAGAGAGCTTGTGCAGGATAACGCCCCCTTGTAATAACCATCAGATCTCATGAGACTTATTATCACAAGAACAGCATGGAAAAAACCTGCCTCCAAGATTCAATTACCTCCCACCAAGTCCTTCCCACAACACATGGGAATTCAAGATGAGATTTGTGTGGGTACACAGCCAAACCATATCATTCCACCCCTGGCCCCTCCCAAATCTCATATCCTCACATTTCAGAATAAATCATGCCCTCCCAACAGTCCCCCAAAGTCTTAACTCATTTCAGCATTAACTCAAAAGTCTACTCAAAAGTCCACTTGCCTTATCTGAGATAAGGCAAGTCCCTTCCATCTATGAGCCTATAAAATCAAAAGCAAGTTATTTACTTCCTAGATACAATGGAGGTACAGGCATTGGATAAATACAGCCATTCTGAATGGGAGACATTGGCGAAAACAAAGGGGCTACAGGTCCCATGCAAATCCAAAATCCAGTGGAGCAGTCAATTATTAAAGCTCCAAAATGATCTCCTTTGACTTCATGTCTCACATCCAGGTCACACTAATGCAAGAGGTGGGTTCCCATGGTCATGGGAAGCTCCACCTCTATGGCTTTGCAGGGTACAGCCTCCCTCCTGGCTGCTTTCATGGGCTGGCATTGAGTGTCTGCAGCTTTTCCAGGCACACAGTGCAAGCAGTCAGTGAATAGTGGGGGAACCAGCCCCCAATATTTCAACGTAGGTTCTTTTCTATTTTCCCTAAGTGTTGGTCTGTCTGAGAAATAGAGAAAGAGTACAAAAGAGAGAAATTTTACAGCTGGGCCTCCGGGGGTGACATCACCTATTGGTAGGCTCCGTGATGCCCCCTGAGCTGCAAAACCAGCAAGCTTTTATTAGGAATTTCAAAAGGGGAGGGGGATACGAACAGGGAGTAAGTCACAAAGATCACATGCTTGAAAGGGCAATAAAAGATCACAAGGGCAGAGAGGCAGAGCAAGATTACAAGGCCAGGTGAAATTAGAATTACTGATGAGGTTCCATGTCCTGCTGGGCACACAGTGTCATTGATAAACATCTTAACAGGAAAGAGGGTTCAAGAGCAGACAACCGGTCTGACTAGAATTCGCCAGGCTGGAATTTCCTAATCCTAGCAAGCCTGAGGGCACTGCAGGAGACCAGGGCGTATTTCATCCCTTATCTTCAACTGCACAAGACAGATACTCCCAGAGCAGCCATTTTAGAGACCTCCCCCTGGGAAGGCATTCCTTTCCCAGGGTTATTCCTTGCTGGGAAAAGAATTAAGCAATATTTCTCCTATTCGCTTTCTGCAAGAAGAGAAATATGACTCTGTTCTGCCTGGCCCCACAGGCAGTCAGACCTTATGGTTATCTCCCTTGTTCCCTGAAAACCACTGTTATCCTATTCTTTTTTAGGATGCCCAGATTTCATATTGTTCAAACACACGTTTTACAAACAATTTGTGCAGTTAACGCAATCATCACAAAGTCCCGAGGCGACATACATCCTCAGCTTACGAAGATGATGGGATTAAGAGATTAAAGACAGGCATAGGAAATTATAAGAGTATTGATTGGGGAAGTGATAAATGTCCATGAAATCTTCACAATTTATGTTCTTCTGCCATGGCTTCAGCCGGTCCCTCCGTTCGGGGCCCCTGACTTCCCGTAACAAGTGAGTCTACCATTCTGGGGTCTGGAGGACAGTGGCCCTCTTCTCACAGCTCCACTAGGTGGTGCCCCAGTAGGGACTCTGTGTGGGGGCTCCAACCCCACATTTCCCTTTTGCACTACCCCAGCAGATGTTCTCCATGAGGGCCCCACCCCTGCAGCAAACTTCTTCCTGGACATCCAGGCATTTCCATACATCTTCTGAAATCTTGGCGGAGGTTCCCAAACCCCAATTCTTGACTTCTGTGCACTCACAGGCTCAACACTACAGGGAAGCTGCCAAGGCTTGGGGCTTGCTCCTCTGAAGCCACAGGCCAAGCTCTACATTGGCCCCCTTCAGCCATGGCTGGAGCAGCTGGGACACAGGGCACCAAGTCCCTTGGCTGCACACAGCATGGGGACCCTGGGCCTTTCCTCCTAGGCCTCTGGGTCTGTAATGGGAGGGGCTGCCGCAAACGTCTCTGACATGTCCTGGAGACATTTTCCCCATTGTCTTGGGGATTAACAGTCAGCTCCTCATTGCTTTTGCAAATTTCTGCAGCTGGCTTGAATTTCTCCTCAGAAAATGGGATTTTATTATCTATTGCATTGTCAGGCTGCAAATTTTCTGAACTTTTATGCTTTGCTTCCCTTATAAAACTGAATGCCTTTAATAGCATCCAAGTCACCTCTTGAATGCTTTGCTGCTTAGAAATTTCTTCCACCAGTTGGGTGCAGTGGCTCATGCCTGTAATCCCAGCACTTTGGGAGGCCAAGGCATGTGGATCACGAGGTCAAGAGATTGAGACCATCCTGGCCAACATGGTGAAACCCCGTCTCCACTAAAAATACAAAAATTAGGTGGGTGTGGTGGCACATGCCTATAGTCCCAGTTACTCAGGAGGCTGAGGCAGGAGAATCACTTGAACCCAGTAGGCACAGGTTGCAGTGAGCCAAGATCATGCCACTGCACTCCAGACTGGTTATAGAGTGAGACTGTCTCAAAAAAGAAAAAAAACAACAACAACAAAAAGAAATTTCTTCCACCAGTTACCCTAAATCACCTCTCTCAAGTTCAAAGTTCCACAATCTCTAGTGCAGGGGCAAAATGCTGCCAATCTCTTTGCTAAAACATAACAAGAGTCACCTTTGCTCCAGTTCCCAACAAGTTCCTCATCTCTATCTGAGACCACCTCAGCTTGGATTTTATTGTCCATATCATGATCAAGCTTCTGGTCAAAGCCATTCAACAAGTCTCTAGAAAGTTCCAAACTTTCCCACATTTTCCTGTCTTCTTCTGAGCTCTCCAAACTGTTCAAACCTCTGCCTGTTACCCAGTTCCAAAGTTGCTTCCACATTTTTGGGTATCTTTTCAGCAATGCCCCACTCTACTGGTACCAATTCACTGTATTGGTCTGTCTTCATGCCGCTGATAAAGACGTACCTGAGACGGGACAATTTACAAAAGAAAGAGGTTTATTAGACTTACAGTTCCACATGGCTGGGGAGGCTTCACAATCATGGTGGAAGGCAAGGAACAGCAAGTCATGTCTTACATGGATGGCAGCATGCAAAAAGAGAGGGAGCTTGTGCAGGAAAACTCCCCCTTGTAATAACCATCAGATCTCATGAGACTTACTATTATGAGAACAGCACAGGAAAGACCTGCCCCCATGATTCAATTACCTCCCACCAGGTCCCTCCTACAACACGTGGGAATTCAAGATGAGATTTGTGTGGGGACACAGCCAAACCCTATCAGTAAGGCTGAAGAAACAGCAAAATGATAAAGTGGAAACATTTAGCAAACATATAGAGACTGTAGCTTCAGGTAAATGTCTGTGGAAGAACTACAAATTTTGGAGAAATACCCTCAGAGGTGGTAGCCAAGCTATAAGAGTAACATACTTCTCTCAAGGAACAGGGAAGAGTGGAGGCCTTAAGAACTGCCAGGGAAACAGGTAGGAAGAAAAATTATCAGTAGAACAGAAAAGCACTTAGAATTAAGAAGAAAATGATGACATGTGACAAAAAAGAAGGCGCGCTTTGAGGAGGAAAAGATGATTCATAGTGTGAAATGTGACACAAAGATCAGGAAAAATAAGGATTTTTTAAAAGTCACTGAATTTGACAATTAGGTGATAACTGGTGCCCATCAAAAGCAAGTTTTTATTACTCTGGTGAAAACAGAACCCTGACTCAATTATTTAATGGATCGAATTTTAATTTTATTCTTCAAGGGGTGTTAAACACAAGAGAGTGTTCCCTATCCTTGTGACTCTATTCTGTGTTCCTTCTTCCAAAGGAAAGGTAATGAGTGCCACACAGCAGCAACCCACTGAGCAACCAGTTGTATCCCCTTTCACTTATGACAACTTCACGTGGTCAAAGGACTTAGAGCCAAGACTCCCAATCATCACATGGATGCTACCCAACAGATTTCAAGACCTAGCCAATTGATTGCCAATTCAGCTGCCCCTGCCACTGCCATTGCCATAACCTACTTGTTTGCATGAGTTTTGGTGGCTATGGAGAACCAAATAGGAGCAATCCTATCAGCAGAGGCATATTTATTGAAAGCCAATGTAGTCCCTCACTTGCACAGGCTGCACCCAAAGCCATGGAAACAGCCCTTCTAATTTTGCCTTTGAAATTTTGTGTTTCCTCCTCAAAAAGAGCCCTCATTTAAAAGTATCAGCTTCCATAAAACCTGGATCTGCCTAAATTAACCAGTAACTCATCTTCTCGACACCTTACCACAGCTATGTTTGTAACTTTACTTTTTTTTTTTTTTTTGAAATGGCGTTTCACCCTTGTTGCCCAGGCTAGAGTGCAATGGTGCAATCTCAGCTCACCACAACCTCTGCCTCCCAGGTTCAAGTGATTCTCCTGCCTCAGCCTCCCGAGTAGCTGGGATTACAGACATGTGCCACCACACCCAGCTAATTTTGTATTTTTAGTACAGATGGGGTTTCTCCATGTTGGTCAGGGTGGTCTCGAACTCCTGACCTCAGGTGATCTGCCCGCCTTGGCCTCCCAAAGTGCTGGGATTATAGGCATGAGCCACCAAGCCTGGCCTGTAACTTTACTTTTAAAACTCCACTAACACTCAAAAACTCTGAGAAAATCCAATGTAACCCCAAATGATAAAAGTTGGAAAGTGTTGAGCTAAACTTGCTTTTCTCAGGGTGGAAAAGAATTACAGTACTAGTATCTCTTTTTTGACATGGTACAACTCTAACTGGGTCTCCAGAGATTAATTTTCTTCCAAACCACAATAGCGGACACATTATACAGCTCTCTTTTAAAACTGTAAATGCCATGTTTTTTCTTGTATTTAATGAAACACTTTATGCCTGCAGAACAGATAACTCATGCCAACTTTATGTCTAAATAAATGGTGACCAGTGCACAGATACCCTAGGAGTTTCACAGGCAGTATGCAACAAGAGTAGAGGACACTTTCAGACCTAATTTATTCCCAAAGGGAATTAAGTCAGGATAAACTCAGATAACTCGCATAACAAAACTTAAAGACCATAATTCTTCATCCTTGAAGAAGACACAGAGACCCAGTGAACTACTAAATTTCATCACTACAAACCCACTGTGTCCTGTGTGTGTTAAACCTTGAGTCCTCACAATATCTCTAGGATAAGCTATTTTGTCCCCATTATCCAGCTGGGAAAACTGAGGCAGCAAAGCACCAAACAGGTTTCCAATGAAGAGGTGATAAAAGCATCTGCCTTCTAACTCAGGTAATCTGATACTAATCTGGACTCTCATAATATGTGACTTTAAATAAAAATGGAATGTTTGTTCAATAAACTTTTTTTTTTTTTAAAGAACCAGCCTGGCCAATATAGTGAGGCCCTGTCTGTATGAAAAATTTAAAAATGAGCCCAGCATGGTGGTGAACACCTGTACTCCCAACTATTCAGGAGGCTGAGGCAAGAGGATTGCTTGAGCCCAGGAATTTGAGGCTGCAGTAAGTTATGATCATGTTACTGTAGTTCAGCCTAGACAGCAGAGCAAGACCCTGTCTCATAAAAAAAAAAAAAAAAAAAAAGGAAAGAAAAAGAAAAGAAAAAATCCCCAGGAGTTTGCAGGTACACTTTCAATAAATATTCTGATACCATCACATTTTCTGTTTGAAGAATAGAGAGAAATTAAAGAAACCAATTTTCCAAACTCAACAACAATCCAAGGAATCCAACAATATTGATGGCAGAATTATTATATAATAAATCCTGTTGTTAAAGTAATTTCATGAGGCATCAGATGCTTTTAACATTATAATAATACTGTTCAATGTAATAATGAGTAGCCACAAAGAAATTACTCAGAGATGCCCAAGAGTAAATGTTGCCTGAAATGTGTATAATCTAGGTCTTGGTTTGAAATGTCCTGAGACTTTGGAGGAAACCAAATTCCTAGCTTGCACTTTTGTTGCATTTCTCATCTAGGGGATTTAGACCAAAAAGCACAGCTGTATTAGCACCCCATCTTCATACATTAGTTCGTCCAACAGGAGACCAAATGGCTTGTCCTCTGTTAGGGTCAGAGGGTGACTCCAGCTCTTGAAAATGCTGGACTGTGGGCTCCCTCTGGAGGAGACTATGATAATCTGACTTCGAAGAGAATTTCAGGATCATCCTCACTCTCTTGAGCAAGAGGGGCATACAGACCATGTAACAGCTACTGGAAACAATCAATACAAAGTACTGTTATCCAGAAAATGAAATTAATACTAACATGATACACAGTGCATATTCTACCCCACCGGTAAAATTATATTTCATTCTTCTGTTTTTTTTCCTCAAGTGACTTACTATGTGGAGTGCTTAATAAATCCATTCATTCGTCACAGAGCAAATGTTAATGTGTGCCAATATATGTTATGCATTGTTCTAAGCATGGAGAATACAGCAGTGAACAAGACGTTAAAACTTTGCCTTGGCCAGGCGCAGTGGCTCACACCCGTAATCCCAGCACTTTGGGAGGCTGAGGCAGGCAAATCACAAGGTCAAGAAATCAAGACCCTCCTGGCCAACATGGTGAAACCCCATCTCTACTAAAAATACAAAAATTAGCTGGGCATGGTGGCACATGCCTGTAATCCCAGGTACTCGGGAGACTGAGGCAGGAGAATCTCTTGAACCAGGGAGTCGGGAAGTTGCAGTGAGCCGAGATTGCGCCACTGTACTACAGACTGGTGACAGAGTGAGACTCTGTCTCAAAAAAAAAAAAAAAAAAAAAAAAAGGGTTTGTCTTGAACTGGAAGGAGGTGAAGAAAGAAATCGTGTAGATGCATGAGGAAAGAGATTTTCTAGGCAAAGGAAACAGCAAGAGCAAAGTTTCTAAGGCAGAAGCATAACCATTGTGCTGCAGGAATTGCAAAGGGGCCAGTGGGCCTGGAACAGAATGAGCAATAGGGAGGAAAATAATCAATGGTGTCAAAGAAGGGGAGAGGCATACTGTGTAGGGCTGTGTAAGTTATTGTGATGTCTGTGGCTTTTACTCTGAGTGAAGTGGGAAGCCATGAGGGTTTTGGGCAGAGCAATGACATCATCTGATTTAAGTTTTTTTTTTTAATTTTTTTGTAGAGATGGGGTCTTGCTATATTGCCCAGGCTGATCTCAAACTCCTGGCCTCAAGGGATCCTCTTACCTCAGCCTCCCAAAGTGTTGGGATTATAAGTGTGAGCCACCACACACAATCTGACTTAAGTTTTATTAAGAACACCCAGGCAGTGCATTGAAACTGAAGAAACTGAAGAACAAGAAACTGAAGGTTGAACAGAGGTGAAGGCAGGAGATCAGTTAGGAGACTTCTACAAAATCCAGACAAGAGATGTTGTGAATAGCAGTGAAGGGGTATAAGGTGGTCAAATCCTGGAAATATTTTGAAAATAGAGCTGAAAGGATGATGTAGGGTATAAGAAAAAGAGAGGAGTTGAGGATTACTCCAAGATTTTTCTCTTGAGCAATTAGAAGAATGGAGTTACCCTTAACTAACATGCAGAAAACACTCAAGGAAGCATATGGAGTGAGGAAGAGATCAGGACTTTAATTTTGGATATGTTAAGTTTGAGATACCTATTATATATTTTAATATAGCTGTTGAATGGGTAATTGGAAATCTGAGTTTGGAGTTTGTGGGTGAAGTCCAGGCTGGAAGGAGAGATTTCAGAATCATCAGCATATAAATGGTATTCAAGGTTATGTGTCTGGATAAAATTACCTGGGGAGTATAGACAAAAAAGAGAAGAGGTCTAAGAAGTGAACCCAAATGTGTGAACTACGAAACATCATATCTCTTGCTTTCCCATTGTTTACAGATTCATCAAACTATTATTAAGAGAAACTAACCAGGCTGGGGACAGTGGCTTACGCCTGTAATCCCAGCACTCTGGGAGGCTGAGGCAGGCAGATAGATCACCTGAGGTCAGGAGTTCGAGACGAGCCTGGCCAATATGGTGAAACCTCGTCTCTACTAAAAATACAAAAGTAGCTGGGCATGGTGGCGTACACCTGTAATCTCAGCTACTTGGGAGGCTGAGACAGGAGAATCGCTTGAACCTGGGAGGCAGAGGTTGCAGTGAGCCAAGATCATGCCATTGCACTCCAGCCTGGGTGACAGAGCAAGACTCCATCTCAAAAAAAAAAAAAAGGAACTCTTTAACTGAGCTTCTAGTGATAGCCATGTTGGAGTAACACGTATCAGCTTTACCTTAAATAATAATAAAACTGTATAAAATATATAAAACAACTGTTTTCAGGCATGTGATAACAGGTAAGGGTGAATTTTATCAGGAATATTATAGCTCTAAATATATATGCAGCTAATAATAGAGCTTCAAAATACATAAAGCAACTGATGAAAAGAGCAACAGACAAATCCACGATTATAATTGAGGATTTCAACAGTCTTCCCTCAGCAATTGATTCAAAAAGTAAACTGAAAATCAGTAAAGATATGATATTTAAATGCACCATCAACCAACTTGACCTAATTGACATTTATGGAATGCTACACCCATTTTCAGCAGAATATACATTCTTCTCAAGCACAAATATTCACTAAGATAGACCATATGCTAGGATATTAAACAAGAATCAATGGATTTAGAAGGATTAACATAATATAGAGTATATTCTCTGACCACATTGAAATTGAATTAAAAATCAGTAACAGAAAGATATTTGGAACACCTCCAAATAGATGGTAATTAAAAACAGATTTCTAAATAAATGGATCAAATAAAAAATAAAAAAGAAAGTTGGGAAATACTTTCACTGATGATAGGATAACAACATTTAAATTTGTAGGAAGCAGCTATAAAAGGAAATTTAAAGTTTTAAATGCTCATATTAGAAAAGAAAGGTCTCAAATCAATGACCGCAGCCTCCACCTTCAGAAGCTAGAAAAAGAAGAGCAAATTAAAACCAAAATAAATAGAAAGAAGAAATAATAAATATAAGAACATAACTCAATAAAATAGAAAACAAACAATAGAAATAATAAAACAAAAAGCAGTTCTTTGAAAAGATTAGCAAAGTTGATAAACCTCTATCTAGACTTACTAATAAAAAAAAGGAAGAGAGAAAACACAAATTATCAATAACAGGAATGATAAAGGGAACATCACCATAGATCCACCAACTTAAAAATGATAACAAAGGAAAATATTAAACAATTTTATGTCAATACAACCAGCAACTTAGTTGGGATGAATCTATTCCTTGAAAGAAGCAAACAAATGGATACAAGGAAGAAAAGAAAATCTGAATATCTCTATTAAATAAATGTAAGGAAATTAAATTTGTATATTAAGATCCTTTCACAGTGAAAACTCCAGGCCCTGTTGGCCTCACTGCCAATTTCTTTTTTTTTTTTTTTTTTTTTTTTTTTTTTTTTTTGAGACGGAGTTTCACTCTTTTTGCCCAGGCTGGAGTGCAATGGCATGATCTTGGCTCACCACAACCTCTGCCTCCCAGGTTCAAGCAGTTCTCCTGCCTCAGCCTCCCAGGTAGCTGAGATTACAGGCATGCGCCACCACGCCCAGCTAATTTTGTATTTTTAGTAGGCACGGGGTTTCTCCATGTTGGTCAGGCTGGTCTCAAACTCCCAATGTCAGGTGATCTGCCCGCCTCGGCCTCCCAAAATGCTGGGATTACAGGTGTGAGCCACCACGCCTGGCCTCTCACTGCCAATTTCTAACAAACATTTAAGGAGGAAATAAAATCAATCCTACACAAATTCAGGAAATGGGGGAGTGCTGGGGGGCAGGAGAATACTTCCTAATTCATTTTATAAGCAACATTAACAAAGATAATAAAACTAGACAAGGACAATACAAGAAAAAAATGAACCAAAATCCTTCATTAATATAGATGCCAAAATCCTTAATAAAATATTAACCATTTCAGTGCTTTGGAAGGCCGAGGTGGGAGGATCACTTGAGGCCAGGAGTTCAAGACCAGCTGGGGCAACATAGCAAGACCCTGACTCTACAAAAATAAAATTTAAATATTAGCTGGATATGGCGGTGTACACCTGTAGTCCTAGCTACTTGGGAGGCTGAGTTGGGAGGGCGGCTTGAGCCCAGGAGTTCAAGGCTGCAGTGAGCTATGATTGTGCCACTGCATTCCAGCCTGGGTGGCAGAGTAAGAACTTGTCTCTACAAAAAAAAATTTTTTAAATAAAATAGGCCAGGTACAGTGGTTCAGCCTATAATCCCAGCCTTTGAGAGGCTTAAGCAGAAGGACAGCTTGAGGCCAGGAGTTTAAGACCAGCTTGGACAACAAAGCAAGACTCCATCTCAACAAAAATAAGAAAATGAAAATTAGCTGGGCATGGGGCACATGGCTGCAGTGACTACTTGGGAGACTGAGGTGGGAGGATTGCTTGAGCCTAGGAGTTCAAGATTACAGTGAGCTATAATCACACTGCTGCACTCCAGCCTGGGCCACAGAGTAAGACTCTGTCTCGAAAAAATAAATGAAATAAAATATTTATCAATTGAATCCAATAATACATAAAAAGAATCAAATGGATTTTAATCCCAGGAATGTAGGGTTGGTTTAACATTCAAATTTCAATTAATATAATTCACATTAACAGAATGAAGGAGGAAAATCATAAGACCATCTAAGTAGATGAAGAAAGGGCATTCGACAAAATTCAACACCCATTCATGGTAAAGACTCTCAGGAAACTAGAAAAGAGGGAACTTTCCTCAATCTAATAAAGGTAATCTACATAAGACCTATAGCTAGCATCATACTTAGTGGAATAAAAATGCTTTCCCTCTGCTACAGGAAAAAAGCAAATGTCCACTGTCATGACTTCTGCTCAAAATTGTATCACAAATACCAGCCAGTGCAATAAGGCAAGAAAAAGTAACACAGGCATAAACACTGGAAAAGAAGAAGCGAAACTATTATTATCTGCAGATGTCATGATTGCCTATATAGGAAGGCATCCTATATAGGCCAATTTATATAGGAAATCCTAAGAATAAACAAAGAAGATGAAGGAGAAGAAGAAAGGAAGGTAGGAAGGAAGGAAGGGAGGGAGTCAGGAGAGAAAGAAGGAAAAACAGAAACTTACCAGAACTAATAAGTGAATTTAGCAAGGTCTCAGGATACAAGATCAACACAGAAAAACAAATTGTACTTCTGTATATTAGCAACAAATAACTGGAAGATGAGATTTTAAAAAGCAATACCATTTACAGCAGCATCAAAAACCAAAATATATAAAAATAAATTTAACAAATGATGTATCAGATTGCTACAGAAAACTATAAAATATTGAGGAGGAAAATTAGAGAAGATCTAAATAAAGAGTTTGTATCATGCTCGTGAATTGGAAGACTTGATTTTTTTTTCTTTTTTTTTTTTTTTTTTTTTGAGATGGGGTCTCAGTCTGTTGCCTAGGCTGGAGTGAAGTGGTGCAATCTCGGTTCACTGCAACCTCCACCTCCTGGGTTCAAGCAATTATCCTGCCTCAGCCTCCCCCAAGTAGCTGGGATTACAGGTGCCTACCACCACATACAGCTAATTTTTTAAATTTTTAGTAGAGTCAGGGTTTCACCATGTTGGCCAGGCTGCTTTCAACTCCTGACCTCAAGTGATCTGCCTGCCTCGGCCTCCTGAAATGCCAGGATGACAGGTGCAAGCCACCATGCCTGGCCTTGATATTGTTAAGATATCCATTCTCAAATTGATGCATAGATTTAAAACAAGCCCATCAAAATTCCAGTAGGCATTTTTGTAGAAATTGACTCCTGAAAATGGACAATCTTTGACACTGGAGTAAGGATCAACAAATATATGAATACAACAGGCAATCAGCAGATTTATACCTGTTGAACCTACCACAGGAATAACTCTTGATTTCCCTAGAGGAGCAATTACTTTTGCACCAACCTAATAGTTGCTGAGGCCACCAGGGAGTCTGTTAGAAAGGTATATTATGTATAATGTCCTCAGCTATCAATTCTAATCAAGCTTTTTTGAGATTAACAGAGATCACAATATTATAATAAGTTATGTTTTCCTTTGTTTTTCATGTTTCTTTAGTAAATATAAAATGAGGTAGAGTCCTGGTAAAACACCAGTTAATCCAATTTTATTATTTTTTGAAGAACAGGAAGATTCAGAATTTTGGTAGTGCTGGGTTGTACATTGTATACTTTATGAAATAGAACAAGTCTGTACCACATAGAAGGCATTATGAGATGGAACTAGGAAACTAGAAGAATGCTGACAATTTTTTATTTTTTATTTTTTTAGATGGAGTCTCGCTCTGTTGCCCAGGCTGGAGTGCAGTGGCACAATCTCAGATCACTGCAACCTCCACTTTCCGGGTTCACGCCATTCTCCTGCCTCAGCCTCCCAAGTAGCTGGGACGACAGGTGCCCACCACCACACCCAGCTAATTTTTTGTATTTTTTAGTAGAGACGGGGTTTCACCATGTTAGCCAGGATGGTATCAATCTCCTGACCTCGTGATCTGCCTGCCTCGGCCTCCCAAAGTGCTGGGATTACAGGCGTGAGCCACCACACCCAGCTGAGTGCTGACAATTATTTAAGAGAATATGTCATCCAAAAGACCACCAAGATGGCTAAATAGTAGAAAAAAGGAATTTTATTGGTGATACCAGTTTGCAAACCAGGAAAAGACAATCTCCAGCATGGACTGAAGGTGCTTTCTCTTCAAAGAGGAAAAGAGCAGGTTGGGTTTTATGCCTTACACGGCCTGTACAACACAAGACAGTCATACATATTCAGCAGATTTGCAGGGAAAGTTTTACATATTTATGAGAGGAACAGAGCACATGTGCAATGGGCAAACACATATAAATATAATATACATCCCATGTTCACTTTGGAATGGGACTTCAAGCATTAAGATGAGGTAGAATTTGTCTCTTTACATCAAAAGGTGAACTATAAGACATAAAGACAGTTTGTGCAGCCTCTATAAACTGGCTGAAACTTACTTAAGGTCTATAGTTGCTTATCAGGAAAGAATGTTTGCGTCAAGGCGTGCTGGCTCATGCTTGTAATCCCAAAACTTTGGGAGGCCAAGGTGAAAGGACTGCTTGAGGTCAGGAGTTCAAGACCAGCCTGGGCAGCAGAACAAGACCCTGTCTCTACACACACACACACACACACACACACACACACACGCACGCACACACACGGATCTCTATTCATTCAGAGGTGTAGTAGTCTAGGTTGTAAATCAGGATTAGGAATTTGCCTGACAGCTCCTGTTGTTAGGGAGTTTAGCAAGAGTGTGGTTTTTCTTTTTCTTTTCTTTTCTTTTTTTTTTTTTTTTTGAGACTTGGTCTCACTCTTGTCTTCCAGGCTGGAGTGCAGTGGCCCCATCCAGCTCACTGCAACCTCTGCCTCCCGGATTCAAGTGATTCTCCTGCCTCAGGCTCCCGAGTAGCTGGGATTACAGGCGTGCACCACCACACCTGGCTAATTTTTGTATTTTTACTAGAGACAGGGTTTTGCCATGTTGGTCAGGCTGGTTTCGAAGTCCTGACCTCAGGTGATCCGCCTGCCTTGGCCTCCCAAAGTGCTGGGATTATAGGCGTGAGCCACCGTGCCCAGCAAGAGTGTGATTTTTCTTACAGCCTAGGAATTTAGAAAGTTGTCATGCAAGCTGAGCCCTAAACCCTCAACCCAGAGGTAATTTTTGTTTCCTTAACGTTAGGGTCCATCTTAGTTGATAAAGTGGCACCTATTTTGGTCCCTCAGATCACAGATAAAACAATTTAACATTTGAATACCACATTATTTTTAAATATTTTATAAACATTATATATTTTCTTTATTTTTAGACCAGAGATGCTGCTAAATTATAAATAAGTGCTTTCATTGCTGACCAACAGAACATATTTTTAACCATGTAATGTAATGAATAGTTTTTTCTTTCTTTTTTTCTTTCTTTTTTTTTTTTGAGACGGAGTTTCACTCTCGTTGCCCAGGCTGGAGTGCAATGGCACGATCTCGGCTCACCACAACCTCCGCCTCCCGGGTTCAAGCGATTCTCGTGCTTCAGCCTCCCGAGTAGCTGGGATTACAGGCATGTGCCACCACGCCCGGCTAATTTTTGTATTATTAGTAGAGATGGGGTTTCTCCATGTTGGTCAGGCTGGTCTCAAACTCCCGACCTCAGGTGATCTGCCCACCTCAGCCTCCCAAAGTGCTGGATTACAGGCATGAGCCACTGTGCCCAACCATGAATAGTTTGTGTGTGTGTGTGTGTGTGTGTGTGTGTGTGTGTGTGTGTGTGTGTGTGTGTGTGTTTTGAGACAGAGCCTCACTCTTATCTCCCAGGCTGGAGTGCAATGGCATGATCTTGGCTCTCTGCAACCTTGGCCTCCCGGATTCAAGCGATTCTCCTGTCTCAGCCTCCTGAGTAGCTGGGATTACAGCTGTGCACCACCACACCCAGCTAATTTTTGCATTTTTAGTAGAGATGGTGTTTCACCGTGTTGGTCAGGCTGGTTTCGAACTCCTGACCTCAAGTGATCCGCCTGCCTCAGCCTCCCAAAGTGTTGGGATTACAGGCATGAGCCATTGCACCCAGCCATGAATAGCTTTTAAAACAACGGCTCAAATATTTTATTAAGAACTCATTTAAAGAGGCCTGTGTGTTATAGGAGATAACTGACTCGAAGTTATGTGGCTACAAGAAGGCAGAGATCATTAAGTATAAGTACAGTTTGTATCATGTCACGGCTTGTGTTATCCACTCAGTAATCATGGCAAAAAAAAGAAGTAGGCAGAGAAGAGATGACTTTATAATTCCAAATCAAATTATCACATCAACAGAGTCTTAAAAGGGAAAAGAAAACAGTAAATGTTTTGCTAACAAAAAAAGCTGGATGATGCTCATGCACATGGATGGCTGTCTTAACAACAACTCACATCACACTTCTATTGTAGATAAATAAAACGGGAAGAGTTGTCATCTTGTATTTTTTGGACTATGTAAAAGAAAAGACACTACCAGAAAAAAAACCTGTTTCTCTTCAAATTCTTCCCCTCGCAATGGCCATCTCCACCCTAAAATTAGAAACCAAGCTAGTAAGAATCAGGGACTGGAATGTAAATATATGCTACCAAAACTCTGACTTTATTAATGCTAAATTACATGTAAATTACTAAATTATAAACATGCTAGTCAAGCCAAAAGATTTGCTTCAATGCCTTGCTCAACTTCCATCTTTTTTTTTGCGGGGGGCAGCGGGATGGAGTCTCGCTCTGTGCTCAGGCTGGAGTGCAGTGGCGTGATCTCGGCTCACTACAACCTCCGCCTCCCGGGTTCAAGCAATTCTCCTGCCTCCACCTCTGAGTAGCTGGGATTACAGGTGCACGCCACAATGTCCGGCTAATTTTTTGCATTTTTAGTAGAGATGGGGTTTCACCATGCTGGCCAGACTGGTCTCGAACTCCTGGCCTCATGATCCACCTGCCTCGGCCACCCAAAGTGCTGGGATTACAGGCGTGAGCCACCATGCCCGACCAATTTCCATCCTTTTAAACAATCTTCATGATATGTTTAAATGCTGCTCCAGAAAGTTCAGTGTAAAGCCAAACCCATGTTACATGGTTATCAAGTATATTTGTTTGCTCAGAAATGTTTGGTGTTCCCAGACATCAGGATCTTACTTTATCACATATTTAGAAACTTTTCCTTCTGTAATTATAAAGCCCTAAACCAATGCTAAGAATGACCACTCATCAAGTATGATTGAAATAATAGGTGATCAAATAAAATTATATGACTAAATGTAAGCTGCAATTTTATTAGGATGTACCAGTCAGGTAGTTTTTATAAATTCATGTTCAAATTAAGAAAACATGAATAATTTAAAGATTAATAAATTTAAAAACAAATTTAGGTGAATGTACATATAACTAACAGGATTTACGATATACCTGTAAAATTATCTAGTTAGCATTTTTGTGTATGTAACATTAATAAAAAGGATTTTTAAAAAACCATACAGTGATTCTGGGATTCCCTGAATTTTCAGCTGCTGCATTTTCTACTCTACATCTGGCAAGTTCTTCTTCCTTTCAGTTTGTGCATTTCCTGTATTCTAAAAAGTAAATAGAAACAGGTCTTTAATTGAGGACATGGTGAGTCTTTGGCTAAGGAAATACAGCCAGAGATAAATACTTGTACTTTGCCCCTATGGGTTGTTTCATAAGGTACAGGGAAACTATTTAGCAATGTATTCCTTATCATTATCATCCAACAAAACAAAAGGTGGCCTTTGTATGGACTCTTTTCTCTCTTGCCTAACTCACTCATTCCCAGTAATTTAGTCTCTCTCTGGTTATAGAACCTATTCAATGCATGCACGCACATTTGAGATAGCTGAAAGAGTTTAAAAAGTAAACCTGGCAGGGCGTGGTGGCTCACACCTGTAATCCCAGCACTTTGGGAGGCCAAGGCAGGCAGATTACCTGAGGTCAGGAGTTCGAGACCAGCCTGGACAACATGGTGAAACCCCGTCTCTACTCAAAATACAAAAATTAGCCAGGCATGGTGGCAGGCACCTGTAATCCCAGCTACTCAGGAGGCTGAGACAGGAAAATTGCTTGAACCCAGGAGGTGGAGGTTGCAGTGAGCTAAGATCACACCACTGTACTCCAGCCTAAGTGGCAGAGTGAGACTCTGTCTCAATAAATAAATAAATAAATAATAAAAAATAAAGTAAACCTGAGAAGTGCTTGGATCTGATTGTATAATTCGAAAACCAAGTCAATACAGAGCCAAGAATAGAAAAAATAACTAGCAATTCCCTATCTTATGTTTTTAAAAATATGTCATATTCTTTCATGCTCTAAAATAAACTACAGGCTCAAAATTTAAGAAATGTTCTTAATTCTGACATTTATTAAAACCAGTTGTACTAGCCTTTTATGCAATTTCAGTCACTTGTCAGAGCTGCATTTGAATAAGCAGTACAAATAAACTATAATCAACACTGATGACTTCATTTTTTCTGGAGTTCTATATCATATGAACAAGAAGATGTTTTCCCTCCTTAATTTATTATTTATCCTAAAAATCACAGAAGGGTCTTTTTTCCTGCAGAGTTCCTTTTTTCCTGGACTAGAAAGTAATTTTAGTTCCTGGGGACTCTCACAGGACAATGGGATAAACACATGAGGCACATTAATAGTCTGCCTACCTCAGGAGCCCTAACTCACCCAATGATTGAAAAAATGTGCAAATGGTATGCTGTGCAACGTGCTGTGACATGAGTATGTCACCCAAATTTAAAAGTTTAAAGCCACCTTATTACTTTTTATAATGAACCGAAAGATGACTATTAATGGATTTTTTTTTTTTTAAACGGAGTTTCACTCTTGTTGTCTAGGCTGGAGTGCAATGGTTTGATCTCAGCTCACTGCGCAACCTCCGCCTCCCAGGTTCAAGCAATTCTCCTGCCTCAGCCTCCCGAGTAGCTGGGATTACAGGCATGAGCCACCACACCCAGCTAATTTTTGTATTTTTAGTAGAGAAGGGGTTTCACCACATTGGCCAGGCTGGTCTTGAACTCCTGACTTCAGGTGATCCACCCTCTTCAGCCTCCCAAAGTGCTGGGATTACAGGTGTGAGCCACTGTGCCCGGCCTAATGGCATTCTTGTTCTACAACATTTCTTCTCTGCAAAGTGGACTGTGGAGTTCTTAACAAGCTCTAGGCCAAGACTAAAGAGATAGCCCTAAATGTCACAGTGAGAATACATCTAATAGTGTCTGATAACCCTCTATCCAAATATTATAGAGATCAAGTAGCCTTGTTAAAATGCCTTCTTACAGAGTTTCAGATTTTTTAAAATATTTTTAATTTCTTCAAATTTTCTTAATAAGTATTTACTAATTTTATCATGAGTAAAACTGTAATAAATTTTATTTTTTAAAAAAACAGAAGTTGGGCCAGATGCGGCGGCTCACACCTATAATCCCAGCACTTTGGGAGGCCCAGGCGGGTGGATCACGAGGTCAGGAGATCGAGACCATCCTGGCTAACACAGTGAAACCCCGTCTCTACTAAAAATATTTTTTAAAAAAAATAGCTGGGTGTGGTGGCGTGTGCCTGTAGTCCCAGCTACTTGGGAGGCTGAGGCAGGAGAATTGCTTGAACCCGGGAGGCAGAGGTTGCAGTGAGCCGAGATCGCGCCACTGCACTCCAGCCTGGGCAACAGAGAGACACTCCGTCTCAAAAACAAACAAACAAACAAACAAACAAACACAAAAACAGAAGTTGATAAATCACATACAGAGATGACCTCACAAGTGTAGAATAGGAGGCCATCGATATGATTTAATTCAGTGGGTGCTCAGCACAATCTCTCTCTCTTAAAAGACTGTCTTTATAGAGCATTCATTTGGATATTACAGGCTTCAAGATTTTCAAATAAAATTTGAGAATCTCTCTGGTGGGTAGGGACTGGGAATATTTCAACAAGATTACCTGATAGTTAGCTGAGAGCAAATATTTGTGAAAATAGGACAGCAGGCAGACAGCAGAGATAAGGGAATAAACTGGAGAGAAAACGAAGGAAGGAAGAGGCTTAAAGGCAAAGACACACATGCTTGTGGCCATATAACCATATATTTATACCATTATTCATTTTCACTAGTCTGACTTACCTGCCTGATATCTGACACTACACACAATACAGATAATATTTTCCCTGGGTGCCATGCATTCTAATCATTCAACATTACCCACCAAAAAATAACTTTTAGAAACTTTTATTAATGGGTTATTCTAGGAAAATATAGATCTGTTTCTTTAGTTCAAAGATTATAAAATTTTGAATTTTTATATAGCTTTCCAATAGTAATAACTAAATTTATACACTGAGTCAAGTCCTCTAAACAACATGCCTTAGTAAAAGCTATATACAAAAAGAGTTACCTCTTGTTTTTCTTGATTTTGATCCACGTTAAGTAAAGTTGGTATCTTAGATGACTCTGTTTTCTTTGACTCCCTCTTCAGCATTTTTATCTGTTTAACTTTTGCAAAAATATACAAAACAATGAAAATTTGTTATTCCTACTTTGAAATTTTACTTTCCTTTCCAAGAATTTCAAATAGAAATCCACTAAGTCAGTTTCTCAGTTTATTACAAAGGAACAAAATAAATTATGAGTTGTAATGGTAAAATATGGTAAATTATTTGTTTTATAACTTTACAAATAGTCTACTAAGTATTAAAATAAGACATTTATTTTATTTTATTTTATTTTATTATTCTCAGTGTAACTGTTAAGTGGATCAGATAATTCCTCTTGAACTGTACAAGGATGATATTCTTGCTATTATATTAATTTTTCACAAGGTGTCACTGTTCTTCAAAGAAACATAACATTTATTCAAGACAAAAGTGCGTTTCATTCTGATATAAATCTTAAGTTCATAAATTTTTTTTTTTTTTGAGATGGAGTCTCACTCTGTCACCCAGGCTGGAGTGCAGTGGCGCGATCTCGGCTCACTGCAACCTCCGCCTCCCGGTTTCAAGTGATTTTCCTGCCTCAGCCTCCCAAGTAGCCGGGATTACAGGCATGAGCCACCATGCCTGGCTAATAGAGATGGGGTTTTGCCATATTGGCCAGGGTGGTCTCAAATTCCTGACCTCAGGTGATCCGCCCACCTTGGCTTCCCAAAGTGCTGGGATTACAGGTGTGAGCCACTGTGCCCAGCCTATAAATCTTATATATTTAATCCTTGGATGCTCAAAATACATATAAAATTTCTGCTACTATATGGGTAAATGATCATGAAGAAACATAGAAAGGCAATTTACCCCAGGTCATATACTAAACAAATTTCTCAAATACTATTCTAACATTTCAACAACATTGAGCTAATAAAAAATTTATCCTTTGCAGCCAGCTGCAATGGCTCACGCCTGTAATCCCAGCACTTTGGGAGGTTGAGACAGGTGGATCACCTGAGGTCAGGAGTTCGAAATCAGCCTGTCCAAAATGGTGGAACCCCCCCCCCGTCTCTACTAAAAATACAAAAATTAGCCAGGCGTGTTGGTGGGCACCTGTAGTCCCAGCTACTCAGGAGGCTAGGCACGAGAATCACTTGAACCTGGGAGGTGGTGGTTGCACTGAGCTGAGATTGCAACACTGCACTCCAGCCTGGGCAGCAGAGTGAGACTCTGTCTTAAATAAATAAATAAATAAATAAATTTTAATAATTTACCTTTTAAAGCTGTCTTAACCTCTCTTTATTTTTCTTTTTAATTAAAAAAAAATTTTTTTTTTTTAGAGACAGGGTCTCATTATGTCATCCTGGAGTGCAGTACAGTGGCGTGATCATGGCTCACTGCAGTCTCAACTTCCTGGGTCAAGCAATCCTCCTACCTCAGCCTCTGGAGTAGCTGGGACTACAGGCACACACCACCACACCAAGCTATTTTATTTTTTGTAGAGACAGGGTTTTGCTATGTTGCCCAGGCTTGTCTCAAACTCCTGGGCCCAAGCAATCCTCCTGCATTGGCCTCCCAAAATGCTGGGATTACACGCCTAAGCCTCTTTAAAATTATCTCCTTAAAATCATACCCCTTATTTGACAATGGGGAGAAAATCTCATCAGCTGAAATGTTTTCCTCACCAATTTACTATTTTCTACCTAAATCACACTATAAAATGTAAGTTATATTATGAAAAAATCTTATAAATGATATCATCATAATTGTAAAGCTATGCAACAAATGTGTACCTTCCATTCCTTTTGTATCTTTTGACTGTATTGTGACAGGCAATTCTGGAAAATGGAATTCTTTCCTGTCAGATCTGGAAAAATTCAGCTTCCTTTTGTTCTCATTTGCCATTTGGTCACTGTGACCTGTTCGCTCATTAAATATACCCTTCTCCATTTGGCTCTAAACAAACAAACAAGAGTTAGTTGAAGAAATGTGTCTAACTATTTGTAGAATGACAATCCTAGAATTGCTAGCCATTTGGATGGTATAAGATAGACATAACAATTAATTTAATAATTAAGAAGATTTAGAATAGAACACTATTGAACATATCAACAGATCAAACTCCAATAAAAGTTTCATAAAGCAAACATTTCTAGCATATTTAATATTCTGAGCATAATAGTCTTGGTCATGAGAACCACAATAATAATAATAATAATAATATTATTATTATTATTATTATTTTGAGTGCATTGGCATGATCATGACTCATTGCAGCGTCAACCCCCTGGGCTCAAGTGATCTTCCCACCTCAGTCTCTTAAGTAACTGGGACTACAGGCACATACCACCATGCCTGGTTAATTTTTAAATTTTTCGTAGAGATGGGGTCTTGTTAGGTTGACTAGGCTGATCTCAAACTCCTGGGCTCAAGTGACCCTTCTGCCTTGGGCTCCCAAAATGCTGGGATTACAAACATGAGCCACTGCATCTGGCCTTATTATTATTATTATTATTATTATTAAGACAGAGTCTTGCTTTGTTGTCCAGGCTGAAATACAGTGGCGCCATTACGGCTGCAGCCTCAACCTCTTGGGCTCAAGCCATAGTCCCATCTTAGCCCCCGAGTCTGAAACCACAGCCACATGCCACCACACACGACTAATTTATTTTATTTCATTTTTTGTACAGACAGGGTCCGTTATGTCGCCCAGGCTGATCTCAAATTCCTGGGATCAAGCAATCCTCCCAGCTCAGTCTCCCAAAATGCTAGGATTACAGGTGAGAGCCACTGTGCCTGGCCAGAACCACAAACTTAACTTTTCATTTTTAATACTATTCACTGCACTCTGACTTTGAACAAATTGCTTCAGTTCATTTTCTTAATAACTTCTTTATCTACCTAGAAAATGATATGCTTTGTAAACACTGGGAAAACCCAAAGGAAAAAATGTATTGCACATCCAGCATCTGGGAAACCTTCTGTGTTACCAGATTTTTGTTCATTTGAAAACAGATGATAAAATCTTGTCTAGATCAATGAACACTCTTCCACAATGTAATGTTTAGTATTCCACTGTATGAATGTACCCTAATGTACTTAGTCATCTGCTTTTGGACAGGTTTGTATTGTTTTCAGTTTTTTGTTATTATAATTAACATTGTGCTTCAATTTTGAATAAATCAATTTCCTATGTAAAAAGTTGTGAGGTCCCATTAGCGATGAATAATGCAAAATAAGCCAAAAACAAAACAAAACAAAAGTTGGGAGGGGGATGAACTACATCGATTATTTTGATTATTTTTTCTAGTGAAAATAAGTTGTGTTTATTTGGCAATTGTTTTTAATCCATAAAGATATTAAAAACATTTTTTGGGAGTGAAAAAAACAAAACTTCTTGTGACTTTCAAAGGTGGAAATCTTAACTTACTCTGCCTAAGTCACATGTTAAATACATAAATTAAGATATATGAACTTAATTAATTGTGATAAATTAAGATATATGAACTTAATTAATTGTGAAAGCACTTAGAAAATAATGGCCTATTTTCAACTCAGGAAGAAAAAAAGAAACTTAAAGCACATTTTTAGAAGTGTTAGAGGCTGGGTGCGTTGGCTCACACCTGTAATCCTAGCACTTTGGGAAGCTGAGGCGGAAGGATCCCTTGAGCTCAGGAGTTTGAGACCAGCCTGGGCAACATAGTGAGACTTTGTCGCTACAAAAAAATGAACAAAATTAGCTGGGCATGGTGGCATGTGCCTGAAGTCTCAGCTACTTGGGAGGCTGAGGTGGGAGCATTGCTTGGGCCCAGGAGGTCGAGGCTGCAGTGAGCTGAGATCGTACCACTGCACTCCAGTCTGGGCAACAGAGAGAGATCCTCTCTCAAAAAAACAAAACAAACAAACAAAAAAGTATTAGAGCCCTAAAGATAGAGAAAAGGAAAAAAGAAGTAATGTTAAAAGAGGCCATATTTTAATGTGTAGCTTCTTGCCTTACTTGAATAGGACCTGGATCCTCTTGCCTGCTATTAGGCATAACTTGTCCAATAGATTGTGAAGAAGTGCGTCTCTTTTTTGCTCTTTCAGTTAACCTATTATTTAAAAATGAATGAGAAGTTACTAAAACTCCCCAGAAATGCTTTTTTTTTTTTTTTTTTTTTTTTGGCAGATTCTCACTCTGTCACCCAGGCTGGAGTGCAGTGTCATGATCTTGGCTCACTGCAACCTCTGTCTCCTGGGTTCAAGTGATTCTCTTGCCTCAGCCTCCCAAGTAGCTGGGATTACTGGTGTGCTCCAACATGCCCAACTAATTTTTGTATTTTTTGTAGAGACAGGGTTTTGCCATGTTGGCCAGGCTGGTCTCGAACTCCTGAGCTAAAGTGATACACTCGCCTTGGCCTCCCAAATTGCTGGGATTACAGGCACGAGCCACCATGCCCGGCCGAAATGCCTTTGTTTTAGCTTCAAGAATGAATAAATTATGGCTTGGAAGTCTACTGTTTGAACACTGAGTACCAAAATGCAATAGTGAGTCCTTACCTACCAATTGCCCTTAGGAGAGAGGTGGTAACAGGGCAGAGAACAATTAGTGCATGTTTACATCAGTGGTGACAGGCATGTTGTGGGGTTACTCCTGCTGGCCTACTTGCTCCCTTCTACCTGTTCTGAATTTGGTTCTCTTAACTATCAGCTTTCTCAATTTATGAACTTACTGTCCAAGACTGACTGGCTTACAACCATTGTTACTGATACCATGGTTTTGGGATCACCTCAAGAACAACTAGGCTCTTGCAGTCTGTAACCTGCTGTACCTTTGGACTGACATGGACATGTCCACTTGCTCACCTCTGCAGACCACTGGGCTTCACAACCTGTGGCCCAAACCAGTCTGCTAGAATCCTCTTGGGCTAATGAACCCAGTCTCCTCCCCTAGAATGACAGTAGCCTCCCTAAATTTTGAAGTGGCCTTACTGCCTTGTTGGACAAACTCTCACCATCCATCACACTGCCCTTGATTAACCAGACTCATGGACCAGTCTCTCAATCTGTATCAGAGGTTAAATCTAAAACTGGCCTAATATGCTATTTTTCTCCCAAAATATTTCACCTTGAAAGGCTATTTGACTTACGAAAGATTATTTTTTTACTATCCTTTCTCCACTTAGAGAATTTGCTATGATACAGAAATAAATATTTTGTTATACCAAGGCACATTGATACCAGAACTTAGGACATACCAACTTTTTTTCTCTTCAAAAATAAAAACATTTTTCAAAGGGTCTTTTTTTTTAATAAGGTTTTTCAAGAAGACATTAGTGAAAATTTAAACATCTATATGGCCAAGAAAAGTTAATTTCTTCTACAGCATCCATAAGAAACACTCAGTAAATGGCCCATTATACAGCTTTAATTTCAATATATTTTCTTCAAGTTCAGTTTACATACAGACACTATGAACACGATTCTTTGAAATACCATTATACAGGAATGTTGTATTATTTAGGTTTCTTCTCTGTTACAGCTCACCTCACACTGGGGTGAAAGAGATTTGAACTGAGATTTGCAGCCATCAAATTACTGTTAGTTAGATTGATGGGTGGCATTGTCACAGAACCTCCGCAATGTGGATTTTCTTTCAAGCCATTACAGTTAGTGCTGGGATTGATAGGGTTTGGTGGTTCAATGGTTACAAGTTTTGTATCTGGAGACATAGGATGAACATTTTCATTTGCATCCTGTTGACCAAGTCCACCTTCATACTCTTTCTTTTTTGGTTCTGAGATATCTCCTCTTCCTCCTTTGACTTTAATAACTCTGACTTTGATCTCCTTGGGCTTTTTCTCTTTTTCTATTTCCTGGAATAGATACATCCAAAATCTGAGTCATCATAACAGTTATTTTTGTCATTAGAGTCTAACTATAATATAATTATACTGGCTGAAACAAAAACCAAAGTTCTTACCTTTCCCAAAACTGAACTACTTAGCAGTGTATTGGTATAAACTGTTTTTCTTTCATCTTTCCTGAGTTCATTTTCTTTAGAACTCTCTTTTGGCTTTATTAATGAATTGACTTTTGCTTCCTGCAGTAATTTAGCTTTCAGTTCTGGCATGAATCTGACAAAACAAGCAATATCAACGAGTAATCTTTTTATATATGCAGATGGAGTATTTTATCTTGAATAAACCATTTCATCAATTAATGTACATTTCAGCTACAGCATAAATAATGCTAACTATAATGCATGTCAAGAGATGGCCCAACATTTACCTAATAAAAATTGCTTTCTTCTAAAGATACATCTTTCGAAAATTATGCTATGGGAACCTACTATATAAAACTTTTACAAAATAGATTTATACTAATTAGATTCCTTCTGCGATGCAAACTTTACTCAGAAAAATATTGCTTTTAATTTTGATAAAGATACTGTTATTTTTAAGGAAGACTCAGACCACTTTGACCTTTTCTGTGGTTCTTCTTTTTTTTTTGAGATGGAGTTTCGCTCTTGTTGCCCAGGCATGAGTGCAATGGCACAATCTCATCTCGCCACAACTTTCACCTCCTGGGTTCAAGCGATTCTGCCTCAGCCTCCTGAGTAGCTGGGATTACAGGCATGTGCCACCACACCCAGCTAATTTTGTATTTTTAGTAGAGACGCGGTTTCTCCATGTTGGTCAGGCTGGTCTCCAACTCCCAATCTCAGGTGATCCACCTGCCTCGTCCTCCCAAAGTTGCTGGGATTACAAGCGTCAGCCACTGCACCCAGCTGTGGTTCTTTAAAGTAATAGAACTTTAAAAATGAACTAACTAACTTCTAAAATCTTACTCTAGAGAAATGTAACAGAATACCTTCATATTGGAGAGAGATTATTTTGGTTTTAGTTTGATTTCTTTCTTTTTAAAAGTTATTTTTGATTAGAAAGTCCATTCATGTGGTTCAAAGTTCAAAAGTCCATACTGAAAAGTTTCCTTCCCACCCCTTCCCTGAACTGCACAAGTCCCCTCCTTGAAGCAGCTACAGCTATCAGTTTGGGAAGGTTTTAAAACATCAGCCCATGAATGAATTCTTCCCTAGTCCAGCCCACTCTTCTGAGGATTCTATAAATTGAACTCAAGGTACTTTCACCCCACAATAATAGAAGCCTAATATCTAAATGTCCAAGAAAAATAAACTTCGTCTGTGTAGAAGTGATATGAAGCAACCTCTTAATTCAATAACTGGCATCTTTTCTTTTCAGACACGGTCTCTCTCTGTTGCCCAGGCTGCAGTGCAGTGACACACTCATGGCTCACTGCAACCCTGACCTCCTGGGCTCAAGAAATCCCCTACCTCAGCCTCCGTAGTAGCTGGGACTACAGGTATACACCAACACACCCAGATAATTTTTGTATTTTTTGTAGAGACAGGGTTTTGCCATGTTGCCCAGGCTGGTCTTGAACTCCTACGTTCAAGCAATCCGCCTGCTTCGGCCTTCCAAAGTGCTGGGATTACAGGCATCAGCTACCATGCCCAGCCAATAACTGCCACTTTTTATCAATGGCACTTCATTTTATTTTTTATTATATTTATTTATTTATTATTATTTTTTGAGACAGAGTCTCGCTCTGTCACCCAGGATGGAGTGCAGTGGCACGATCTCCACTCACTGCAAGCTCTGCCTCCCGTGTTCACACCATTCTCCTGCCTCAACCTCCTGAGTAGCTGGCATTACAGGGGCCCGCCACCACACCCAACTAATTTTGTTTTTTGTATTTTTAGTAGAGACGGGGTTTCACCGCGTTAGTCAGGATGGTCTTGATCTCCTGACCTCGTGATCTGCCCGCCTCGGCCTCCCAAAGTGCTGGGATTACAGGTGTGAGCCACCAAGCCCGGCCTATTCTTTTATTTTTTGAGACGGAGTCTGGCTCTGTCACCCAGACTGGAGTGCAGTGGTGTGATCTCAGCTCACTGCAGCCTCAGCCTCCTGGGTTCAAATGACTCTCCTGTCCCAGCCTCCTGAGTAGTTGGGACTACAGGCACATGCCCACGCCCAGCTAAGTTTTTGCATTTTCAGTAGAGATGGGGTTTCACCATGTTGACCAGGCTGGTCTTGAACTCCTGACCTCAGTTGATCTGCCCACCTTGGCCTCCCAAAATGCTGGGATTACAGACATGAGCTGCAGCACCTTGCCAATGGCACTTTAAATATATCATCTTATTGTTTGTTTTAGAGTAAAATTCCTGAAATGCGCAAAGTTCTAGTCACCCTCAAGGATTCTCTTCGCTTTTTTCTATTTAGTCTATCTCCAATAGCAGTTCCTGGACTCTTCCATATCTGACCTTAGCTCCATCACATTTTTAATGGATGTCCATCTTTCTAACGTCACGTCCAAAGACAAGCTGAATGGTTTTACAGTTAATGAGAAACTTTTCCTGTTTCTTTCAAAGCCCAAATAGAAAATGGTGTTTTTTTAGAAATATGGCTGATTCATGAATCTAAATTGTAATACAGATTATATGCTGGGCATGTCATAGGCAATGTGGGGCACAGAAGGGCCATAAGAAGCATGGCACCTGTCTTCAGGGAACTTCCAATTTCATGGGTAGGATACAACAACAGGCACTGCAGCCGGGCGCAATGGCTCATGCCTGTAATCCCAACACTTCGGGAGGCCAAGGCGGGTGGATCACCTGAGGTCAGGAGTTTGAGACCAGCCTGGCCAAAATGGCAAAATCCCCATCTCTACTAAAAATACAAAAATTAGCCAGGCGTGGTGGCATGTGCCTCTAATCCTAGCTACTCTGGAGCCTGAGGCAGGAGAATTGCTTGAACCCGGGAGATGGAGGTTTGTAGTCAGCCGAGATTGTGCCACTGCATTCCAGCCTGGGCAACAAAGCGAGACTTCATCTCAAAAAAAAAAAGACAACAAGCACTGCAACAGAGAATAAGTAGAAAAAAAATCATTTGGGAAGTGCATGCTAATTATGATAAATGAATGTCATCAGAAGAGGAAAAACCAGACTATTCTCTGAGTCAGAGGTCCAAACAGGAATAAAGCTAAGAAGTATTGATTGCTTATTTAATGTTATCTCTGGTCTATGATGACACTGAAACTGTAGTATGTAAAGAGCAGAGCACACTGCCTAGGACATGGTAACTGTGTAACGAATGTTAGTTGCAATTACTTTTTATTATTAGACTTTCTTTTTCTTTTTTTGAGATAGGGTCTCAACCTGTCACCCAGGCTGGAGTGCAGTGGTGCAATCTCAGCTCACTGCAACCTCCACCTCTGGGGTTTAAGCAATCCTCCCACCTGAGCCTCCCGAGTAGCTGGGACTACAAGCGTGTGCCACCACACCTTGCTAATTTTTGTATTTTTTGTAGAGACAGGGGTCTCTCTATGTTGCCCAGGCCGGTCGTGAACTCCAGGGCTCAAGCAATCTGCCTGCCTCAGCTTCGCAAAGTGCTGGGATTACAGGTGTGAGCCACTATGCCCATCCTATTATTAGGCTTTTCATTCGTGACACTTGTTAAGTCTGCTGTCTTCCTAGTCAATACCTGATACAATAACTCAATAAATTTTTGTTAAACTGAATATTTGTTATATAAAAGTAACCTATACAGCAATTTTCCTGCTAGTAAAATTTCCCAATACAAAATGCTTTTAAAAAACCCACATTCACTCAAAATGCTTACTTTTCAATAAATCCATCTCTAGTAAAATACTCATGATGCAAAAGATCACTAGATGATATCCTGTCAGCAGGATCAATTTGTAAACAAGCCTAGGAAAGGAAAAAGATTTTAATAAGTGAGCTCTCAACAGGGCTCCATATGGTAAAAATTAAATTTATTTGACAAATTAAGAAGTAAGTAATTATCCAGATCAAAAAGCCTTCTTGAAAAGATGGAATTAGACCTCAGGAACTTCTGGTAGTAAGTTCTGGCTGTTTATTTCCCTAAGGAATTTGCACTTGCAAAACATTATTATAGGTTAAATGTCCCATGATTCTAGCCAAAACAGAGGTCAGTCTGTTTCTGCTGAAATTAGCAAAAATTAATTAGCTCATTTTGATCCTCTTTTCTGCCCTGACAGGTGGAAAGTTCATGGATAATCATTTGCATTTTACAGATCTAGAAGCATGATTAGTAGTTTGCCAAACACGAGTTTTAACCCATGTTGTCTGACGCCTAATCCAGCACTCTTTCTATATCATAATACCATTTTGCAAATATTCAAGTCCCTAAATCTTTCAATAACCCATTATTAAATCAGCTCTTTTCTGTTTCCCTTTCTTGGTATAGAAACAAACAAACAAAATATGGAAGGTAGTTTTGAATGTTAAGTTGTACATAATAAATCTATATGTAGTTAAATAACAATAATTATAAATGGAACACATTTCTTTAATCAAAATACTGAAAACAGGTTTTCAATAAAAAGCATCTGCTTTATAATTTTCATTCCTCCTGTGAAAGGAGGTAAAACATTAATAGTTAACTTTTTTGTAGAGATGGGAGTCTTGTTATGTTGTAAGGCTGATGAACTCTTGAGTTCAAGCGATTCTCCCGCCTCAGTCTCCCAAAGTGCTGGAATTACAGAAGACAGCCACTGTGCTTGGCCTTTTAAAATTTTTTAGAGACAGGTTCTTACTCTGTCGCCCAGGCTGGAGTGCAGTGGTGCAATTATAGCTCACTGGAGCCTTGAACTCCTTGGCTCAAGATATCCTCCTTCCTTAGCCTCTTGAGTAGCTCAGACTACAGACACATGCCACCAAGCCTGACTAGTAACTTTTATTGATGCTTACTACATACCAGACAACGCTCCAGCTTTTTCTTCCTTCCATCGCAACAACAATCCTACAAAGTAAGTATTATTATTATCCTCATTATACAGATGAGGAGACTGAGGCCCAGAGAGATCAAGTAATTTGTTTAAGATCTCATAAGTAGAGGAGCCACAATTAAAATCCAGCAAATCCAAGATAATTGTATATAATATTATGTTTCTGTTTATTTCAAAATGCATATTTAAACTGATTCACAGAAAAAAATCTAGAGATCTGCTGTACTATAATGTGCATATAGTTAAAAATGCCATACTGTACACTTAATAATTTTGTAAGAAGGTAGATTCCATGTTATGTGGGGTTTTTTTTTTACCAAAATAAAAAACATTGATTCACAAGGAGAAATTATTTAAGTCTGTTACCTACTTAATGATGTGGCAATACCTAGGTCTTTAAGACTGCAACTAGTTGGCCAGGTGTGGTGGCTCATGCGTGTAATCCCAGCACTTTGGGGGGCAACAGAGGGTGGATCACCTGAGGTTGGGAGTTAGAGACCAGCCTGACCAACATGGAGAAACTCCGTCCCCACTAAAAAAAAAATAATACAAAATTAGCCGGGTGTGGTGGCACATGCCTGTAATCCCAGCCACTCGGAGGCTAAGGCGGAAGAATTGCTTGAACCCGGGAGACAGGAGGTTGCGGTGAGCCAAGATCACGCCATTGCACTCCAGCCTGGGCAAGAAGAGCAAAGCTCCGTCTCAAAAACAAAACAAAACGAAACAAACAAATTAAAAAAACCCTGCAACTAGTTAAAAATATGTGCTCATTTTAGAATATAATGGTAATCTATCACTAAAACTTATAAGAAAAATGCTAAAAGGTCTGACCAAATCATAGGGGCAGACAATTAGAGGCAGTCCTTCTGTGAATATAATTCAGTAAATTTAAATATATGCCCTACTTTGGAAAATGTAAAACATGACACTTTGGGAAACAGATTGGCAGTTTCTTTAAAAATTAAACATATGCCTACCCATGACCCAGCCATTCTGTTCTTAGATATTTCTGCAGGAGGAATGAAAATACAATGTGTGTTCCATACAAAGACAAACATGAATGTTCTCATGGCAACTTTATTTGTAATAGCGAAAAGTGGGAAATAACCCACATGTCCATCAACAGGGAAAGGATTTTTTAAAATGTGGTATAGTCATATAATGAACTACTACTCTGCAAAAAAGGAACAAATTGCTGATACATACAAAAACATGAATGAATCTCTAAACCATTATGCTGAGTGGAAGAAGCCAGACATGAAAGAGTGCCTACTGTATGCTTCTATTTATATAAGATTCTAGAAAATTCAAACTAATCTATGGGAATAGAAAGCAAATCAGTGGTTATCTGGGGACAGAAATGGAAGAAAAGATGAATTGTAAAAGGACACAATGAAATTTTGGAGAGTGATGGAAATGTTAGGTATCGTGTGTGTGTTTGTGTGTGTGTGTGTTAGGTATCCTGATTGTGGTGGTGGTTTCATGTGTGTATACATGCATCAAAACTCTTCAAATTGTACATTTTAAGTATGTATAGTTTACTGCCCACAAATTATACCTCAATAACATTGTTTAGAAAATTTATATCTAGGAAAAATATGTGCCCTACATCAGATATCAAAGTGTATTTTAAAGTTACAATAATAAATCAAAGTTGTACTACTTCTAGAATAAAGAGAAAAATCAATGGAACAGAAACAAACCCACACATGTATAAGCATTTTGTCTATGATAAATGTAGCATTCCAAATCATTGGATGATACTAGTTGTTAAAAAAAAAAGCATATTGCAAGTTTTGCAAACATATTGCAAAACTTATGACAAAAGATTAATGTGTTTTTTTTCACAAATCAATAAGATAAATATTTTAGTTGACAAATAGGTTAAGGATTATTTTTTTCTTTTTTTATACAGGGTCTTGCTCTGTCACCCAGGATAGAGTGCGGTGCTGCAAGCATAAATCACTGCAGTCTCAAATTCCTGGGTTCAAAGGATCCTCCTGCCTCAGCCTCCCAAATAGCTAGGACTACAAGTGGGTATCACGACACCCTATGTTTAGAGACCCTTTTGTTTAGAGACAGGGTCTCACTATGTTGCCAAGGCTGGGTCTGGAACACGTGGCCTCAAGCCATCCTCATGCCTTGGCCTCCCAAAGTGCTGGGATTACATGCATAAGCCACCACGCCTGGCCTAAGGATTCTTTAAAAAAAGAAATACAAATAGACAATGAATATTAGCATAATGTTTCTCTCTCCTGTAATGACATAAATACAATTTTAAAAAAGATACCTCCCAGCTACTCAGGAGGCTGAGGCGGGAGGATTGGTCGAGCTCAGGAGTTCAAGACTAGCCTGGGCAACATAGCAAGTCCTCATCTCAAATAACAATAATAATATCCAATGCTAGAGTGAGAGTGAGGATATAAATAAGAAAAATATTTCTGTGAAAAAAACAGCAAAATATCAAAAATTCTAAAAAGTATAAATCCTTTGGCTTACTAAATCCACTTCTAATATATATATTTTTTAAGACAGGGTCTCACTCTGTTGCCCAGGCTGGAGTGCAGTGGCACAATCACAACTCACTGCAGCCTCAACCTCCCAGGCTCAAGTGATCCTGCCACCTCAGCCTCCAAAGTAGCAGGGGACTATAGGCGCATGCCACTGTGCCTGGCTAGTTTTTTGTTTTTTGTAAAGACAGGGTCTCCCTATATTTCCCAAGTGGGTCTTGAATTCCTGGGCTCAAGTGATCCTCCCACCTCAGTCTTCCAAAGTGCTAAGATTATAGGCATGAGCCCCTGCCCCCGGACCACTTCTAGTAATTTCTCCTAAAAAAAATAAAACAAATGCATATAGACAAATACTAAAAAATTTTCAGCTGGATGTGGTGGCTCACGCGTGTAATCCCAGTGCCTTGGGAGGCCAAGGCAGGTGGATCACAAGGGCAGGAGTTCAAGACCAGCCTGGCCAAGACAGTGAAACCCCGTCTCTACTAAAAATACAAAAATTAGCCAGGCGTGGTGGAGTGTGCCTGTAATCTGAGCTACCTGGGAGGCTGAGGCAGAGAACTGCTTGAACCCTGGAGGCGGAGGTTGCAGTGAGCTGAGATCGTGCCACTGCACTGCAGCCTGGGTGACAGAGCGAGACTCCATCTCAAAAAAAAAAAAAAATTTTATTGTCACATCTTTACCAATAGCGGGGGGAAAATCGAAAATAATTCAAACGTCCAAAAATGCAAAAACAGTTAAATAAACTAATTGTATAGTCATACAATGAAATACTACGCAATCACTGAAAACTATCATGTAGTTCCATATTTATTAACATTATAGTATCTTTAAATGTACTGGTAAGTAAAAATAAACAGGTTACATAGCAATGTGTAAAGTAAGACACCTTTTTAAAAGCATAAATTTCTATGCATCTACTTGGTTGGGAAAACTTTAGAAGTTTGTAAACCAAATTGATAATAGTAATTTTTTCTGGATCATGTGAATTGGGAAAATCTGAACCTCTCCTTTTTGTTTACTGTGTATTTTATATTTTTTCTATAATTATTATGTATTTCTTACATTAAGTTGGTGCAAAAGTAATTGTGGTTCTTGCCACCACTTTCAAAATAAAAATAAATAAATAAATTTTGTACTAAATATGTTGGTATATGTATTACCTAGTTTAAATAAAACTTATGCTTTTATTTTTATTTATTTTTGAGACGGAGTTTCACTCTGTCACCCAGGCTGGAGTGCAGTGGTGCGATCTCAGCTCACTGCAACCTCTGCCTCCCAGGTTCAAGTGATTCTCCTGTCTCAGCCTCCCAAGTAGCTGGGACTACAGGTGCACGCCACCACGCCCGGCTAATTTTTGTATTTTTAGTAGAGACAGGGTTTCATCATGTTGGTCTGGCTCGTCTTGAACTCCTGACCTCAGGTGATCCACCCACCTCAGGTGATCCACCCGCCTCAGCCTCCCAAAGTACTGGGATTATAGGCACGAGCCACTGCACCTAGCCATTTTAAATAAAATTTAAATTTTGACCAGGCACAGTTGCTTATGCCTGTGATCCCAATACTTTCAGAGGCCAAGGAGGAAGGATCACTAGAGGATAGGAGTTCGAGGTTGCAGTGAGCAACGATCACACCATTGCACTCCAGCCTGGGCAACAGGATGAGACTGTAAAAAATAATTAATTTTTTTAAACAGGAACTGGCACTGTGGCACATGTGTGTAATCCCAACACTTTGGGAGACTGAGGCAAGTTAATAGTTTGTGCCCAGGAGTTTGAGACCAGCCTGGGCAACATGGAGAAACTCCATCTCTACAAAAAATACAAAAATTATCTGGGCATCCAGGCTACTCGGGAGGCTGAGTTGGGAGGATCAGCTGAGCTCAGGAAGTCGGAACTGCAGTGAGCCGAGGTGACACCACTGCATTCTGACCTGGGTGAAAGAGTGAGACCCTGTTTACAAAAACAAAACAGAACAAAAACAAATAAAGGCCAGGCACGGTGGGTCACGCCTGTAATCCCAGCACTTTGGGAGGCCAAGGTGGGAGGATCACCTGAGGTCAGGACTTCGAGACCAGCCTGACCGACATGGAGAAACCTCGTCTCTACTAAAAATTCAAAATTAGCCAGGTGTGGTGGCGCATGCATGTAATCCCAGCTACTTGGGAGGCTGAGGCAGGAAAATTGCTTCAACCCAGGAGGCGGAGGTTGTGGTGAGCTGAGATCGCGCCATTGCACTCCACCCTGGGCAACAAGAGCAAAACTCCGTCTCAAAAAAAAAACAAAAACAAAAGCAAAAATAATAAATAATAAATAAAAATTTAAATTTTAAAATAATAAAAAGGAGCTATATAATGTTTTTATTTTCTCCAGGTCAAGAAGGAATTTTGGCCTTGGTGTATCTTCAAACATTAAAACTACAGCTGCTCAGGTCCTGTAGATATTTTAGTACAAAAAATAGGTCCCTAACTGGGCTAAACTAAATGTTAAAAGGTAGTGATAAATACAGTAAGTCCTTAGAATTTCTCCAGTTTTTTGTTTGTTTGTTGTTTTTTTGAGACGGAGCCTCTCTCTGTCACCCACGCTGGAGTACAATGGCCCGATTTTGGCTCACTGCAACCTCAGCCTCCCAGGTTCAAGTAATTCTCCTGCCTCAGCCTCCTGCGTAACTGGGACTACCAGCACGTGCCACCATGCCCAGCTAACTTTTTGTATTTTTAGTAGAGACGGGGTTTCACCATGTTGGCCAGGATGGTCTTGATCTCCTGACCTCGTGATCAGCCCGTCTCGGCGTCCCAAAGTGCTGGGATTACACACATAAGCCACCCTGCCTGGCCCATTTCTCCAGTTTATACCTAATTATCATTAAAATAGAGATAAATTAAATATAATGAACATAATTATCTTAGGGGGCATTCAGCTCTGACAGTCTATGAATTTTAATTTCTCTGTACTAAAGACATAATTTTCTACAGTTTACATTACTTTAGGAATCCTTTTGGAATTTCATTAAAGTGATAATTAAAAACTGTATTATAATTTATGCAAATTTCTCAGATATAAATTCTTAATTTCTCAACATACATGAACTGCCTGGGTGCGGTGACTCATGCCTGTAATCCCAGCACTTTGGGAGGCCGAGGTGGGCGGATCACCTAAGCTCAGGAGTTCAAGAGCAGCCTGGCCAACCACAGCCAACACGGTGAAACCCCGTCTCTACTGAAAATACAAAAATTAGCCGGGCATGGTGGCAGGTGCCTGTAATCCCAACTACTCGGAAGGCTGAGGCAGGAGAATCTCATGACCTGGGAGTCAGAGGTTGCAGTGAGCCGAGATCACTCCACTGCACTACAGCCTGGGCGACAGAGCAAGACTCTGTCTCCGGGGGAGGAAAAAAAAAAAAAACATACATGAACTATATCTGCCAACAATCCATTAAGCTTTGGATATTTTTTTCTTGCATTTTTGGGGTGTTGAACTTGAGGAAGAACTACCCCAGCAAAAATGGGGCTCTTGGAAAAGATATTCTGCAAGTGAGGTGACAAATTGCCTGAAAAGAGAAAAAAATGTATATTTAAAAAACAGAGAAATAGTCTATAATCAAAACAATCAAATTGCTATGTCATCTATGTTAGATTACTAAAAACTGATACAAGGAAGAATGTGAATTATGTATTTTAATTTTTTGAAGTTGAATAAAAACTATCTGAACATGTCATAAAAAACTGAGGTTTCGTCAGTTATCTGCTGATAGCCCACAGGCAACAGAAGATGTAAAACCACCAGGTTTATTTGCTTTTCCCAAACTATAAGACATAATATGTAATGCTATCAGAAAATGCATATTCCAACTTTTACGCATTTCCATATGGGTATCCAAATGATTTTACTATTAAGTGTTCATCAGCAAAATACATTGAAACCTTACTCAAAACAGCTAAAATATTAAAGGTATGTAGAAATCAAAATATTGCAAAAAAAGAAACAAGGCTAGAGAGTAGTAGCAGAATGGAAAGAACTATAAATATGAGTGGAGGGAACTAAGTTCTAGCAGTTTTGCTATAACTAGTTCTGTGACCTTGGGTAAATCTCTTGCTTTCTTGTGCTTGGTTTTCTCATCTGTGAAATGATAGGATTAAACCCCACCATCTAAGGTTCCTTCTAATATTAATCTCTTAACTAGAACTTCTTAAAAGACACAAAAATGTGAGGTGTCTTAAGGCTCTAAACTATTTCTTAAATCAGTAATTATCCAGATTTCACTGTTTTTAGAATTGTTCATAGTATCTTCCTCATAATCCTGTAATTACAAATTTATGCATATCTTCCCCACCACACAAAGAGCTTCTCAAGCTCCTCATCCACAAATAATAAAAAACAAATCTTGGCCAGCCATGGTGGCTCACGCCTGTAATCCCAGCACTTTGGGAGGCCGAGTCGGGCAACATGGCAAAACCGCGGCTGCACTAAAAACGCAAAAATTAGCCGGGGATGATGGCACGTGCCTGTAGTCCCAGCCACTCAGCAGGCTGAGGTGGGAGAATCACCTGAGCCCAGGAAGTCAAGGCTACAGTGAGCCATGATTGCACCAGTGCACTCCAACCCAGGTGACAAAGTGAGACCCTGTCTCAAAAAAATTAAAATTTAGCCGGGCGCGGTGGTTCATGCCTGTATTCCCAGCACTTTGCGAGGCCCAGGTGGGTGGATCACGAGGTCAGGAAATCGAGACCATCCTGGCTAACACAGTGAAACCCCGTCTCTGCTAAAAATACAAAAAAAAGCCAGGTGTGGTGGCAGGCACCTGTAGTCCCAGCTACTCGGGAGGCTGAGGCAGGAGAATGGCATGAACCCAGGAGGCAGAGCTTGCAGTGAGCTGAGATCGCGCCCCTGCACTCCAGCCTGGGTGACAGAGCGAGACTCCCTCTCAAAAAAAAAAAAATTAAATTTAAAATTTAAAAAACCCACAAATCTTGAAATAGCACATTCAAGGCTAACCATCATAATGTTTTGGTGGCCAAAGCAGATCATCAAATAATTAAACTCTCATCAAACATATTCTTTTTTTTTTTTTTTTTTTTTGAGACTAAGTCTCATTCTGTTGCCCAGGCTGGAGTGCAGTGGCGTGATCGTGGCTCACTGCAACCTCTGCCTCCTGGGTTCAAGCAGTTCTCATGCCTCAGCCTCCTGAGTAACTGGGATTACAGGCACTCGTCACCATACCTGGCTAATTTTTTTTGTATTTTTAGTAGAGATGGGGTTTCACTATGTTGGTCAGGTTGGTCTCCAACTCCTGATCTCAGGTGCTCCGCCTGCCTTGGCCTCCCAAAGTGCAGGGATTACAGGTGTAAGCCACCATGCCCAGCCTTCATCAAATATGTTCTTGAATAAGTTATTTAGCTATCTGGCTGTCTATTATTGTTTTCTTTAAAAAGAAGGGTGGTTTCTGAGTAAATAATTACTTTTCTATTTCCAAGTGCTTTAAAAAAGCATCTGACTCAACTCTACTATTTAAAGTCCTTATATAAAGGTACAGATATTTGTAGAAGCCTAATTTAAAAACAACTTTTAGACAAATTAAAGTACATTCCTATTGTACTATTTTTCTTAGCATCAACCATCAACATATGGCTTAGCTATTTGCATCCTAGCAAAGAAAATATTATTTGCTAAAGCAGAGAATTTTCTGCCTTCTTTATCAGCCCAAGGAACCCATCTGCTGCCATCTATCAAAACAATATGCTTCCCTGTACTTACACAGAAAAGCTAAATTTGAAAATCAAGCAGAATTGATCTGGCAATATTTATTTTAGACATGTAACTCATGTTATTTCAGTAATACCTACCCACTTTCAAAACAATTTTATGGAGTAAATCCAAATCAGAACTACTAGGAAGATAGGGATTTCCAGTGGCCATCTCAATGATCATACAGCCCAAAGCCCAGATATCCACAGGTCTGAAACAGATCAGGGAAAAAAAAATCACTTTTTCATGTAGAAATTTATAAATATATTCTTAAAAATATGTTTAAAGAAGGCCAAGGCTAAAGAAACAAGTAGTATCATTTTAAGTTTTGTTTTGTTTTTTTTCGAGACCGAGTCTTGCTCTGTCACCCAGGCTGGAGTGCAAGTGCTGCAATCTCAGCTCACTGCAACCTCCGGGTTCAAGCAATTCTCCTGCCTCAGCCTCCCAAGTAGCTGGGATTAGAGGCGTGTGCCACCACATGTGGCTAATTTTTGTATTTTTAGTAGAGATGGGGTTTCACCATGTTGGCCAGGCTGGTCTCAAACTCCTGACCTCGTGATCTGCCCGCCTCAGCCTCCCAAAGTGCTGGGATTACAGGTGTGAGCCACCACGCCTGGCCCATTTGTAAGTTTTTATTGTAGATCATATACCGACTTTATAAGAATTGGTAATTGCTATATTGGTGAGGCTATAGGAAAGGAATAGTCCTAAGTACTGTTCTGGGAGTGTAAACTTATATGACTTCTTTGGAGGAAAAATTGGCAAAAGCCACCAAAATTTAAATTGTATATATTTTTTATTGTACAATTTTATTCCTAGGAATTTATCCTAAGATATACTCACATGTGTGCACAAATATAAATTATATGAGAATTTCACTGCAGCACTGTTCGTAGAAGAAAAAGATTGGAAACAACCTAGACCTCCACCTATAAGGGAATGGCTAAGAAAATTTTTGTACAACCCCACAATAAAATATTATTCATCTGTTAAAAATGATGAGGTCTGGCTGGACACTGTGGCTCATGCCTGTAATCCCAGCACTTTGGGAGGCCAAGGCAGGCAGATCACAAGGTCAGGAGTTCGAGACAAGCCTGACCAACATGGAAAAACCTCGTCTCTACTAAAAATACAAAATTAGCCGGGTGTGGTGGCACATGCCTGTAATCCCAGTTACTCAGGAGGCTGAGGCAGGAAAATCACTTGAACCCGGGAGGTGGAGGTTGTGGTGAGCCGAGATCATGCCATTGCACTCTAGCCTGGGCAACAAGAGCAAAACTCAGTCTCAAAAAAAAAAAAAAATTGATGAGGTAGGTCTATCTATATGTGCTGAAATGGAATGATCTCCAAGATAAACTGTCAAGTGAAAAAAGCAACATTCATGAAAGAAATAAAAGATCTAAATAAATGGAGAGATACTCCATGTTCATCAATAGGAAGACTCAATATTGTCAAGATGTCAGTTCTTCCAAGCTTTATGTAGAGTCAATACAATCCCAGACAAAATCCCAGTAAATTAAAAATTGATAATTATGTGAGGTAACACACATATGTAAATTAGCCAAATTTAGTCATTTCACAACGTATATATATACCTCAAAACATCATGCTGTACACAATAAATACATACAATTTAATCTGTAAATTTTTAAAAATCCTAGGAAATTGTTTTGTAGATATTGACAATTGATTGCAAAGTTTATATGGAGAGGCAATAGACCCAGAATAGCCAACACAATTTGAAAAAGAACAAAGACTGACACTACTTGACTTCAAGATGTTTTATACAACAAGCAAGATAGTATGGTATTGGTGAAAGAATAGATAAATAGATCAAGGGAACAGAATAAAGAACCCAGAAATAGACTTGCACAAATGTGCTCAACTGATTTTTGACAAAGGAACAGAGGCAATTGAATAATAAGATAAAAAAAAGACAGTCTTTTCAACAAATAGTGCTGGAACATACAAAAAACTGAATCTAGACACAGACCTTATCCCTTTCACAAAAATTAACTCAAGATAGATGATAGACCTAAATATAAAATGCAAAACTGTAAAACCTCTAGACAATCACATAGGAAAAAATCTAGATGGCCTTAGGTTTGGTAATGAGTTTTTAGATACAACACCAAAAGTATAATTCACAAAAGAAAAAATTGATAGTTAGAACTTCACTAAAACTAAACTTTTCTGCTCCATGAGAGATACTGTTAAGCAAATAAAAAGACAAGCCACAAACTGCGAGAAAATATTTGCAAAATAATAAAGAACTTGTATCCAAAATACATAAAACTCTTAAAATTCAATAAGAAAATAACCCAATTAAAAAATGGGCAAAATATAAGAATATACATTTCACCAAAGAAAATATACAGATGGCAAATGGGCATATTAACAGATGCCCAGTATCATATGTCATCAGACAATTGCAAATTAAAACAACGAGATACCACTACACACCTATTAGAATGCCTAAAATCCAAAATACTGACAACATCAAATGCAGGTGAGGATGGCAAACAACAGGTACTCTCATTCATTGCTGGTAGAAACACAAAATTACACAGTCACTTTGGAGGACAATTTGACAGCTTCTAACAAAGCTAAACATAGTCTTACCATACAACCCAGCAATTGCTCTCCTTGGGATTTACCCAAGTGAGTAGAACACTTCTGTCCACATAAAAACCTGGACACGAATGCTTATAACAGCTTGCTTCATAATTGCCAACACATGGAAGCAATAAAGATGTCCTTCAATAGGTGAGTGGATAAACAAACTGTGGTACATACATACAATGGAATATTATTTAGCAATAAAAGAGAAGTGAGCTGTCAAGATACCAAAAAAAAAGGAGGAACCTTAAATATATATTGCTAGGTCAAAGAAGCCAGTCTGAAAAAGCTACATACTATGTGATTCCAACTATATGATATTCTGGAAAAGCCTAAAGTATAGTAACAGTAAAAAGACCAATGATTGCCAGCAGTTCTGGGAGAGGGACGGAAGAATAAAAACGAAGCACAGAAGATTTTTAGGACCATAAAATTATTCTGTATGATACTATAATGATGGATACATGACATTATACATTTATCAAAACCCAGGAAATACAACACAGAGTAAACTCTAAACTATGGAATTTAGTTAATAATGTTCAATATTGGTACATCAATTGTAACAAATGTACCACACTAATACAAGATGTTAGTAATAGAGAAATGTGTGGAGTAGGGTGGAGGGGACATAAGGAAACTACACTTTCTGTTCAATTCTTCTGGAGCCTAAAACTGGTCTAAAAATTAAAGTCCCTGAATATAAACAAATAAAAAGTGGCAGGGCTTGGTGGCTCATGCCTGTAGTCCCAGCTACTTTGGAGGCTGAGGCAGGAGGATCACTTGAGCCTGGGAAATCAAAGCTGCAGTGAGCCATGAGTATGCCACTGTACTTCAGCCTGTGAGACAGAATGCGACACTGTCTCATAAGTAAATAAAGAAGAGTGGGGAGGGAAACCAAGATTCTATACTATGTATATAGTATGTTCCTATTTCTGTTCAAAAGGAAGGAGATGGAGAAGTATGTGTATGCATGTGTGTATACTGCTAGATAATGACCTAAGAAATAAAGGAATTAATTATAGTATATACAGTTTTTCAGATCTACATTATAACCATAGATGATATAATAGTAACTTATAAGCTTGCTTATTTCACAAGTTTTAAGAATTTAATGAATATTAGTAAGTTTTAGTGAGAATAAATAAAATTAAGACCAAGTTTTGGATCTTTTGGTGAATACACATATGTGTATGTTCAGCTTTAATTGTTATTTAATAACAGTTTTCCAGAGAGATTGTACAAGTTTACATTTCCCCACCAGTGTTATGTGAGTTCTAACTGCTCCACTTACACTGGTATTTACTGTCTTTTTTTCAATTTAACCATTCTGGTGGTTATATAGTGGTACCACTTTGTGATATAAGTTTGCATCTTTCTGATGTCTAATAAAGATGACCTTTTGCATTTAAAAAAAACTCTCAAGCTTTAAGTTAATTGTTATTATTATTATTTATTATTATTTTTTTTGAGATGGAGTCTCGCTCTGTCGCCCAGGCTGGAGTGCAGTGGCGCGATCTCGGCTGACTGGAGGCTTGGCCTCCCAGGTTCATGCCATTCTCCTGCCTCAGCCTCCCGAGTAGCTGGGACTACAGGCGCCCATCACCACGCCTGGCTTTTTTTTTTTTTTTTTTTTTTGTATTTTTAGCAGAGACGGGGTTTCACCGTGTTAGCCAGGATGGTCTCGATACCCTGACATGATCCGCACGCCTCGGCCTCCCAAAGTGCTGGGATTACAGGCGTGAGCCACTGCACCATGCCAAAGGTAATTATTTTTAAGTACTCTCTCCACAGAATGCAATTTCTATGCACCTCCTCCACTACCAAAAGAGACACTAAAAATATTCCTACACAAAGCAGTTCACTTTTCCCCAGCTTGACCTGAAATTTCACAGTACAATTTAGTAAGGTAATCCATTATCTGCAGAAATTTAAAGCATTATCTAGGCAGGCCTTTCAAAGAGCAATAGAAGACAGACCACGTCTAGTTAATTATCACTGCAGCAGTAATCTTAAAGGGATCCCCTATTTTCTGAAATACGAGCAAGTCCTAGTTAGCTATAGAGAAAACCTCTCCTCTTCACTTCAACCACAACATTTTGCAGAAAAAGAGCTGTCCAATAGGAAAAACGAAAACAAAATTAACCTACTAAGGAAAGTAAAGGTATTAGACTCGAGCCTTGATCAGGAAAAGTAGATCCAAAAAAGCTTAGGTCTAACATGTAGGGGTAAGGAAGGATTAAAAAAAACAAACAGAGGTATGAACTTCTAGCATGACAGAGTGAAGAGATCAGCTGACTTACTCTCTTATTAGTTTATCACTGAAACTAGTAAATTTTTTTTTTTAAGATGGAGTTTCACTCTTGTTGCCCAGGCTGGAGTGCAATGGCGCAGTCTCAGCTCACTGCAACCTCCGCCTCCCAGGTTCAAGCGATTCTCCTGCCTCAGAATTATTTTTTTAAACACAAATACTTAAAGCGTGTGTGTATATATATATATGTGTGTGTATATATATATATATATATATATATATATATATATATATATATATATATACACACACACACATAGTCCTTATAGTCCTGAGGCTAAGCATAAAATGAAGATTTATTTATCCTCTAAAAACTATGCAATTCAGTATAAGAAAGATGAGTCTGTGGCACCTAAACCAAGACAACTTTTTCCTTCCCCACTCTCTGCCTGGTGAGGCAAAGACTCCACTCTAGGGCTCCCTCTTCCTCCAGCTCCCAGTTGAAGAGCTTTCTTCCCAGGAGGAGTGGAACTTCACCATTTCTCATTATTCTCCCAGCTGCCTGTTGCTGAGGCTAAGTTCTGGGTGATTAGTGTCAAGAGGAGGGAGACACTCTTCCAACCAGCCCCTGTTCATGGAACAATGGTTCTACCTTGAATGCAGTGCAGAGAATACTGGGGCCCAAATTGCACTTGCCTCACCCATAAGGCAGAGGTTTCATGCCAGGAGAAGCAAGCTGAGGGGACCTCAGGTTGCTGCTCTCCATATCTCACTAAGTAGTCACCTCTTAAGAGCAACAGTATAACTTAGAGAGAAAATTGCCATGAATTCAACCCAGATCCAGAAACTGGGCTCAGAGATTTTGCCTGGGGGAAGAAGCAAGCCATAAATTAGATGGCTCCTAATCCCTTTCAAAGGAATTGACATCATTTGCAACAGAGTGTAGAGAAGTTCCAGCCTAAAGGTATTCTCAACCACAGTACAGAATGTGGTGAAAGACAACTGGGTGGAGATTTATCAATTTAATGAACCTGCAGTCTAGAGTACAGGCCAGCTAGCTTGTGGGAAAGAACCAGGGAATAACACAGTTAGGAGATGCTTTCCTGGGGCCAGGACAAATATTAAATATTGAGCACAGAAACTACTCCTTCAAAGGAGCCACAATTTGATTGGAACAGTTTGTAGAGCTATTTAAGCCCCAAGGCAATGTTGAAAATAATAGAGCACAAAGCTATCAACGAGTGGAGTTTAACAGCTAGGAGTAGCCAGGGAAAGAAAGGAAGATAAACCTATCAATACCACTGTCATCTCAGAGTGACTGTGAGCCTACCCAAAGCTGTGCCTCCCTGAGGAGCAACTAAAGAGGTTTAATACTGTGTGTGTGGGTTGGGGGGCTGGGGGTATTGGCTCCATGAAAATAATTTAGCCAGTCGCCATGATACAAACAAGCAAATAACAGTAACAAGTCCCAGAAGGAGGGGTCCCATACCCAGAGTTCCCACAGGATGTTATCTAAAATGTTCAAGTTCCAACAAAAATTACACAGCATGCAAAGAAATCTGTGAGAGATGACCCATACACCAGAAAAACTGCAGGCAACCCAAACTGCCTATAAGAGTAACTACATGTTGGATTTAGCAGAAAAATATTTCAAAATAACAATTATGAATATGTTCACAGAACTAAAGGAAAGCATGATTAAAGAAGAAAGGTATGACAGTGTCACATCAAATATTAGTAGAGAATATCAATCAAGAGATATAAATTACATGTATATATGTATAAAGAAGAACCAAGTGGAAACTCTGGAGTTGAAAAGTACAATAACTGAAATTTAAAAATTCACGAGAGGAAATCAACAGTAGATTTAAACAGGCAGAAAAAATAATTCATGAACTTGAAGACAAGACCAATAGAAATTATGTAAGCTGAAGGATAGAAGGTAAAAGGAATGAAAAAAATAACAGAGCCTCAAGAGAAATGTGAAACACCAAAATATGTATACTAGGAATATAAAAATGAGTGGGGAGAATAGAAAAATATTTTATAAAATAATGGAGAAAAACTGCCCACATTTATTGCAAAACAATAATCCACAAATACAGGAAGCTCAACAAACTCCAAGAACAATAAGCACAAAGAAATCCACAAACTAACACATCATACAAAACGAAAATCTTGAAAGCAGCATGAGAAAAACAAATCATCACTTACAAGAGAACTTTGGTAAGATTAACAACAGACTTCTTAATAGAAACAATGGAGACCAGTAGATAGTGGTACAACAATTAAAAGTGCTCAAAAAAGACCTCTCAACAAAAACGCCTATATCTAGCAAAGATATCTTTCAAAAATGAAGGTGAAAGTTAAGACTTTCCAAAATAAACAAAAACTGAGAGAATTTGTTGCTAACCAATCCACCTCACAAGAAATACTGAATGAAGTTCTTAAGACTGAAAGCAAGTGACCCCAGACAGTAATTCAAATCCACAGGAAGGCCAGGTACAGTTCCTCATACCTGTAATCCCAGCACATTTGAGGGCTGAGGTGGGAAGATTGCTTGAGGACAGGAGTTCGAGACCAGCCTAGGCAATATAGTGAGACTTTGTCTCTACAAAAAAATAAATTAGGTGGGTGTGGTGGCACATGCCTGTAGTCCCAACTATTTGGGAGGCTGAAGCAGGAGGATTGATTGAGCCCAGAAGGTTGAGGCTGCAGTGAGTCACGATCACTCCACTGCACTCCAGCCTGGGTAACAGAGTGAGATCCTGTCTCAAAAAAATAAAAAATCCACATGAAAAAACAAAGAGCACTGGTAAAGGTAATTATGTAATTATAAAAGGCAATATAAATGCAGAATTTTCTCTCTTCTTCTGTTAATTAATTTAATTTAATTTAATTTTTTATTTTATTTATTTATTTATTTTTTGAGACAGAGTCTCGCTCTGTCGCCCAGGCTGGAATGCAGTGGAGTGCAGCTCACTGCAAGCTCCGCTTCCTGGGTTGACGCCATTCTCCTGCCTCAGCCTCCAGAGTAGCTGGGATTACAGGCACCCGCCACTACGCCCGGCTAATTTTTTGTATTTTTAGTAGAGAGGGGGTTTCACCATGTTAGCCAGGGTGGTCTCCATCTCCTGACCTCGTGATCCACCCACCTCGGCCTCCCAAAGTGCTGGGATTACAGGCGTGAGCCACCACGCTGTTAATTAATTTTAAAAAGCAATTATACAAGGGGACTTCAAAAAGTTCATGATAATGGAATTAAAAGATAAAAATTAAAATATAAGCTTTATTCTCATTAGCCGGGCATGGTGGCACACACCTGTAATCCCAGCTATTTGGGAGGCTGAGGCAGGAGAATTGCTTGAGTCTGGAAGGTGGAGATTGCAGTGAGGTGAGATCGCGCCACTGCACTCCAGTCTGGGCAACAGAGTGAGACCCTGTCTCAAAAAAAAAAAATTAATAATAATAATAATGATACTCTAAGAAAAAATAAAAATATAAACTTTATTCTCAGTGTAAGATCCATAAGGTTCAAGATACTTTTGTAAGCAGTGATACAAGCCATTTAGTATGTCCCTAAAGAACTGAGTGTCTTGGGAATTTAACCATGTCAATGTAGTCCTTTTTACATTGTTAACTGAAGAAAAATGGGTGCCCTTTATAGATTTTTTAAGATTAGGAAAAAAAAGAATGAGGAGGAACTAAATCAGGACTTTAAGGTAGATGCCTAATAATTTCCCACCAAAATGTTTATAAAATTGCCCTCGTTTGATGAGAGGAATGAGCTGGAGCATGGTCATGGTGGAGATGGACACTCTGGTGAAGCTTTCCCAGACGTTTATTTTGCTAAATCTTTGGCTCACTTTTGGCCAGGTGTAGTGGCTCATGCCTGTAATCTCAACACTTTGGTAGACCAAGGCAGGCAGAGTGCTTGAGCTCAGGAGTTTGAGACCAGCCTGGACAACATGGTGAAACCCCATCTCTACAAAAAATACAAAATGTAGCTGGGCATGGTGGCACATACCTGTAGTCCCAGCTACTTGGGAGGCTGAGGTGGGAGGATTGCTTGAGCCCAGGAAACAGAGGTTGCAGTGAGCCAAGTTCCCACAACTGCACTCCAGTCTGGGTGACAGAGCCAGACCCTGTCTGAAAGAAAAAAAAACAAAAAAAGCTTTGGCTAACTTTCTCGAAACATTCTCACAAGAAGCAGATATTATCATTCTCTGGTCATCCAGAAAGTCAACAAGCAAAATGCCTTGAGCATCCCAAAAAAACCATTGCCATGACCTTTGGTCTTGACTGGACTCTTGCTTTGACCAGCCCACTTCCACCTCTTGGTAGCCAGTGCTTCGTCTTCAGGATAATGTTAGTAAAGCCAGGTTTCATCATCTGTCACAGTTTTTCAAAGAAATGCTTCAGGATCTTGATGCCACCTGTTTAAAATTTCCATTGAAAGTTCTGCTCTCGTCTGCAGCTGATCTGGTTGCAACGGTTTTGGCATCCATCAAGTGGAAAGTTTGCTCAATTTTAATTTTGCAGTCAGAATTGTGTAAGCTGAACCAACTGAGATGTCTATACTGTTGGCTACTGTTTCTACTATTAATCATCCTTCAATTAGGGCAATCGTCCCCTTCAATTAGGGCATGAACAAGATAAATGTTTTCCTCACAAGTTGATGTGAATGGTCTGCTGCTGCAGGCTTCATTTTTAACATCCTTTCCTCCTTTCTTTTTTTAATTTAATTTATTTTTTAAATTACTATAAAGTTCTAGGGTACATGTGTAAAATGTGCAGGTTTGTTACATAGGTATATGTGTGCCATGTTGGTTTGCTGTACCCATCAACTCGTCATTTACATTAGGTATTTCTCCTAACACTATCCCTCCCCCGGGCCCCCACCCACCAACAGGCCCCAGTGTGTGATGTTCCCCTCCCTGTGTCCATGTGTTCTCATTGTTCAACTCCCACTTATGAGAACATGTGGTGTTTGGTTTTCTGTCCTTGTGATATTTTGCTGAGAATGATGGTTTCCAGCTTCATTCATGTCCCTGCAAAGGACATGAACTCGTCCTTTTTTATGGCAAGATAGTATTCCATGGTGTATATGTGCCACATTTTTCTTTATTCAGTCTATTATTGATGGACATTTGGGTTGGTTCCAAGTCTTTGCTATTGTGAATAGTGCCACAATAAACATACGTGTGCATGTGTCTTTATAGTAACATGACTTATAATCCTTTGGGTATATACCCAGTAATGGGATTGCTGGGTCAAATGGTATTTCTAGTTCTCGATCCTTGAGGAATCGCCACACTGTCTTCCACAAAGGTTGAAATAATTTACACTCCCAGTGTAAAAGTGTCCCTATTTCTCCACATCCTCTCCAGCATCTGTTGTTTCCTGACTTTCTAATGATTGCCATTCTAACTGGTGTGAGATGGTATCTCATTGTGGTTTTGATTTGCATTTCTCTGATGACCAGTGATGATAAGCATTTTTTAATGTGTCTGTTGGCTGCATAAATGTATTCTTTTGAGAAGTGTCTGTTCATATCCTTTGCCCACTTTTTGATGCAGTTGTTTTTTTCTTGTAAATTTGTTTAAGTTCTTTGTAGATTCTGGATATTAGCCCTTTGTCAGATAGATAGATTGCAAAAATTTTCTCCCATTCTGTAGGTTGTCTGTTCACTCTGATGATAGTTTCTTTTGCTGTGCAGAAGCTCTTTAGTTTAATTAGATCTCATTTGTCTATTTTGGCTTTTGTTGCCATTGCTTTTGGTGTTTTAGTCATGAAGTCTTTGCCCATGCCTATGTCCTGAATGGTATTGCCTAGGTTTTCTTTTAGGGTTTTTATGGTTTTAGGTCTTACATTTAAGTCTTTAATCCATCTTGAGTTAATTTTTGTGTAAGGTGAAAGGAAGGGATCCAGTTTCAGCTTTCTACATGTGGCTAACCAGTTTTCCCAGCACCGTTTATTAAATAGGGAATTCTTTCCCCATTCCTTGTTTTTGTCAGGTTTGTCAAAGATCAGATGGTTGTAGATGTGTGCTGTCATTTCTGAGGCCTCTGTTCTGTTCCATTGGTCTATATATCTGTTTTGGTACCAGTACCATGCTATTTTGATTACTGTAGCCTTGTAGTATAGTTTGAAGTCAGGTAGTGTGATGCCTCCAGCTTTGTTCTTTTTGCTTAGGATTGTCTTGGCTATGCGGGCTCTTTTTTGGTTCCATGTGAACTTTAAAGTAGTTTTTTCCAATTCTGTGAAGAAAGCCAGTGGTAGCTTTTTGGGGATAGCATTGAATCTATAAACTACCTTGGCCAGTATGGCCATTTTCACGATATTGATTCTTCCTGTCCATGGGCATGGAATGTTCTTCCATTTGTTTGTGTCCTCTCTTATTTCCTTGAGCAGTGGTTTGTAGTTCTCCTTGAAGAGGTCCTTCATATCCCTTGTAAGTTGGATTCCTAGGTATTTTATTCTGTTTGTAGTAATTGTGAATGGGAGTTCACTCATGATTTGGCTCTCCGTTTGTCTGTTCTTGGTGTATAGAAATGCTTGTGATTTTTGCAGAAATGCTTGTGATTTTTGCACATTGATTTTGTATCCTGAGACTTTGCTGAAGTTGCTTATCAGCTTAAGGAGATTCTGGGCTGAGACGATGGGGTTTTCTAAATATACAATCATGTCATCTGCAAACAGAGACAATTTGACTCCCTCTTTTCCTAATTGAATACCCTTTATTTCTTTCTCTTGCCTGATTGCCCTGGCCAGAACTTCCAATACTGTGCTGAATAGGAGTGGTGAGAGAGGACATCCTTGTCTTGTGCCAGTTTTCAAAGGGAATGCTTCCAGTTTTTGCCCATGCAGTATAATATTGGCTGTGGGTTTGTCATAAATAGCTCTTATTTTGAGATACATTCCATCAATACCTAGTTTATTCAGAGTTTTTAGCAAGAAATGCTGTTGAATTTTGTCGAAGGCCTTTTCTGCATCTATTGAGATAATCATGTGGTTTTTGTCATTGGTTCTGTTTATGTGATGGATTACGTTTACTGATTTGTGTATGTTGAACCAGGCTTGCATCCCAGGGATGAAGCTGACTTGATCGTGGTGGATAAGCTTTTTGATGTGCTGCTGGATTTGGTTTGCCAGTATTTTATTGAGGATTTTTGCATCAATGTTCATCATTGATATTGGCCTAAAATTCTGTTTTGTTGTGTTTCTGCCAGGCTTTTGTATCATGATGATGCTGGCCTCATAAAATGAGTTAGGGAGGAGTCCCTCTTTTTCTACTGATGGGAATAGTTTCAGAAGGAATGGTACCAGCTCCTGTTTGTACCTCTGGTAGAATTTGGCTATGAATCCATCTGGTCCTGGACTTTTTTTGGTTGGTAGGCTATTAATTATTGGCTCAATTTCAGAACCTGTTATTGGTCTATTCAGAGATTCAACATCTTCCTGGTTTAGTCTTGGGAGAGTGTATATGTCCAGGAATTTATCCATTTCTTCTACATTTTCTAATTATTTGTGTGGAGGGGTTTGTAGTATTCTCTGATGGTAGTTTGTATTTCTGTGGGATCAGTGGTAATATCTTCTCTATCATTTTTTATTGCATCTATTTGATTCTTCTCTCTTCTTTATTAGTCTTGCTAGCAGTCTATCTATTTTGTTGATCTTTTCAAAAAACCAGCTCCTGGAATCATTGATTTTTTTTGAAGGGCTTTTTGTGTCTCTGTCTCCTTCAGTTCTGCTCTGATCTTAGTTATTTCTTGCCTTCTGCTAGCTTTTGAATTTGAATTTGTTTGCTCTTATTTCTCTAGTTCTTTTAATTGTGATGTTAGGGTGTCAATTTTAGATCTTTCCTGTTTTCTCTTATGGGCACTTAGTGCTATAAATTTCCCTATATACACTGCTTTTGCTGTGTCCCAGAGATTCTGGTATGTTGTGTCTTTGTTCTTGTTGGTTTCAAAGAACATCTTTATGTCTGCCTTCATTTCGTAATTTACCCAGTAGTCATTCAGGAACAGATTGTTCAGTTTCCATATAGTTGTGCGGTTTTGAGTGCATTTCTTAATCCTGAGTTCTAATTTGATTGCACTGTGGTCACAGAGATAGTTTGTTGTGATTTCTGTTCTTTTACATTTGCTGAGGAGTGTTTTACTTCCAATTATGTGGTCAATTTTAGAATAAGTGTGATGTGGTGCTGAGAAGAATGTATATTCTGTTGATTTGGGGTGGAGAGTTCTGTAGATGTCTATTAGGTCCGCTTGGTCCAGAGCTGAGTTCAAGTCCTGGATATCCTTGTTAATTTTCTGTCTTGTTGATCTGTCTGATATTGACCGTGGGGTGTTAAATTCTCCCGTTATTATTGTGTGGGAGTCTAAGTCTCTTTGTAGGTCTCTAAGAACTTGCTTTAAGAATCTGGGTGGTTCTGTGTTGGGTGCATATATATTTAGGATAGTTAGCTCTTCTTGTTGAATTGATCCCTTTGCCATTATGTAACGGCCTTCTTTGTCTCTTTTCATCTTTGTTAGTTTAAAGTCTGTTTTATCAGAGACCAGGATTTCAACCTCTGCTTTTTTTTTTTTTTTCCGCTTTCCATTTGCTTGGTAGATCTTCCTCCATCCCTTTATTTTGAGCCTATATTTGTCTTTGCATGTGAGATGGGTCCCCTGAATACAGCACACTGATGGGTCTTGACTCTTTAACCAATTTGCCAGTCTGTGTCTTTTAATTGGGGCATTTAGCTCATTTACATTTAAGGTTAATATTATTATGTGTGAATTTGATTCTGTCATTATGATGCTAGCTGGTTATTTTGACTGTTAATTGATGCAGTTTCTTCATAGCGTCGATGGTCTTTACAATTTGGCATGTTTTTGCAGTGGCTGGTACCATTTGTTCCTTTCCATGTTTAGTGCTTCCTTCAGGAGCTCTTGTAAGTCAGGCCTGGTGGTGACAAAATCTCTCAGCATCTGCTTGTCTGGAAAGGATTTTATTTCTCCTTCACTTAAAAGCTTAGTTTGGCTGGATATGAAATTCTGAGTTGAAAATTCTTTTCTATAAGAACGTTGAATATTGGCCCCCACTCTCTTCTGGCTTGCAGGGTTTCTGCCAAGAGATCCACTGTTAGTCTGATGAGCTTCCCTTTGTAGGTAACCCAACCTTTCTCTCTGGCTGCCCTTAACATTTTTTCCTTCATTTCAACCTTGGTGAATCTGACAATTATGTGTCTTGGGGTTGCTCTTCTCAAGGAGTATCTTTGTGGTGTTCTCTGTATTTCCAAATTTGAACGTTGGCCTGCCTTGCTAGGTTAGGGAAGTTTTCCTGGGTAATATCCTGAAGAGTGTTTTCTAACTTGGTTCCATTCTCCCTGTCACTTTCAGGTACACCAATCAAACGTAGATTTGGTCTTTTCACATAGTCCCATATTTCTTGGAGGCTTTGTTCGTTTCTTTTCACTCTTTTTTCTCTAATCTTGTCTTCTCGCTTTATTTCATTAATTTGATCTTCAATCACTGATATCCTTTCTTCCACTTGATCAAATCAGCTATTGAAGCTTGTGTATGCTTCATGAAGTTTTTCGTACTGTGGTTTTCAGCTCCATCAGGTCATTTAAGCTCTTCTCTATACTGGTTATTCTAGTTAGCCATTCGTCTAACCTTTTTTCAAGGTTTTTAGCTTCCTGGCAATGGGTTACAACATGCTCCTTTAGCTCAGAGAAGTTTGTTATTACCGCCCTTCTGAAGCCTACTTCTGTCAACTTGTCAAACTCATTCTCCATCCAGTTTTGTTCCCTTGCTGGTGAGGAGTTGTGTTCCTTTGGAGGAGAAGAGGCATTCTGGTTTTTGGAATTTTCAGCCTTTCTGCTCTGGTTTCTCCCCATCTTTATGGTTTTATCTACCTTTGGTCTTTGATGTTGGTGACCTGTGGATGGGGTTTTGGTGTGGATGTCCTTTTGTTGATGTCGATGCTATTCCTTTCTGTTTGTTAGTTTTCCTTCCAACAGACAGGCCCCTCAGCTGCAGGTCTGTTGGAGTTTGCTGGAGGTCCACTCCAAATCCTATTTGCCTGGGTATCACCAGCGGAGGCTGCAGAACAGCAAATATTGCTGCCTGATCCTTCCTCTGGAAGTTTCGTCCCAGAGGGGCACCTGCCTGTATGAAGTGTCCGTTGGCCCCTACTGGGAGGTGTCGCCCAGTCAGGCTACATGGGGGTCAGGGACCCACTTGAGGAGGCAGTCTGTCTGTTATCGGAGCTCAGATGTCATGCTGGCAGAACCACTGCTCTCTTCAGAGCTGTCAGGCAGGGACGTTTAAGTCTGCAGAAGCTGTCTGCTGCCTTTTGTTCAGATATGCCCTGCCTCTGGAGGTGGAATCTAGAGAGGCAGTAGTCCTTGCTGAGCTGCGATGAGCTCTGCCCAGTTCGAGTTTCCCTGCTGCTTTGTTTACACTGTGAGCATAGAACCGCCTACTCAAGCCTCAGAAATGGCGGATGCCCCTCCCCCCACCAAGCTCCAGTGTCCCAGGTAGATCTCAGACTGCTGCACTAGCAGCAAGCAAGGCTCCATGGGCATGGGACCTGCTGAGCCAGGCACGGGAGAGAATCTCCTGGTCTGACAGTTGCAAAGACCATGGGGAAAGCACAGAATTTGGGTAGGAGTGTAATGTTCCTCCAGGTACAGTCACTCATGGCTTCCCTTCACTAGGAAAGGGAAATCAATCCCTGACCCCTTGCACTTCCTGGGTGAGGCGACGCCCCTCCCTGCTTCGGCTCGCCCTCTGTGGGCCGTACCCACTGTCCAACCAGTCCCAGTGAGATGAACCAGGTACCTTAGTTGGAAATGCAGAAATTACCCATCTTCTGCATTAGTCTTGCTGGGAGCTGTAGACCGGAGATATTCCTATTGGGCCATCTTGGTGTTTTCTCACCATTTCCTCCTTTCTTAAAACAAGTTATCCATTTGTAAGCTGCTGGTTTCTTTGGAGGCACTGTCTCCATAAACTTTTCATAAAGCCAAGCCTGTAATCCCAGCACTTTGGGAGGCTGATGCAGTAGGATTGCTTGAGCCCAGGAATTTGAGGCTAGCTTTGCCAACACTGCAAGACCTTGTTTCTACATTAACATTTTAAAATTTTAAAAAAATTGGGAAAATAAAGAACTTTTCATAAAGCATCAATGCTTTCACCATTCTTCCACTCAAGCTTCATCATGAATTTGATGCTTGTTCTTGCTTCAATTTTAGCAGAATTCATATTGTTTTGATAGAGGCTCTTTTCCAACTGATGTATTATCCTTCTTAATGCCTCAAACTAGATCCTATTCAGACATGTTATAACAAGTTAGTGTGAGTTTATTTTGGTGCAAAAAAAAGTTAAAGCCATGCATAGTTTTTTCATAATATGCATTTCCATGAACTTTTTGAAGACCCCTCATACAAAATAATATGCAAGCCATTAGAGCTGCCTCTACCTAGGGAAAAAATAATATGCATGCAATACATTATTGGGCCTATAACATTACAAATGTAATATGTGTAATATATTTGCTAATGACATCAAAAAGGAAGTGAGAGGGAGTAAAACTATATTGAGTTTAGAGAAATGACTATAAAGAAAAAGTAATAATGGTTTGTAACATTATTAGATGTAATATGTACAACAAATATACCACACAAAGATGGAAAAGGGAATAGAATGACATAAGAATAACTTTTCTATACCTGTATCACTGGAATTAAACTAGTATAAATAGGAACTTATCAGTTGATTCTGATAAGGTGTAAACCTTAGAGCAACCACTAAAAAGAAAAAAAAGGAACAACCCTCAAAAATATAGTAAAGGCCAGGTGTGGTGGCTCACACCTGAAATCCCAAAACTTTGGGAGGCTGAGGCAGGAGAATCACTTGAGGCCAGGAGTTCGAGACCAGCCTGGCCAATATGGTGAAACTCCATCTCTGCTAAAAAAAAAAATACAAAAATTAGCCAGGCTTGGTGGCACACACCTGAAATCTCAGCTACTCAGGAGGCTGAGGCAGGAGAATCACTTGAAAAGAGGAGGCAGAGGTTTCAGTGAGCCAAGATTGCCCTGCTGCACTCCAGCCTGGGTGACAGAGTGAGACTCTATCTCAAAACACACACACACAGATAGTAAAAAAAATTATTAAAGAAATTAAAATAATTAGGAAATAATCATTTAATGCAAAATAATGCAGCAAAGGAGGAGCAAGAAAACAACATGAGACAAACACAAAAAACTAAAATGGCAGATGTAATTACAACTACGTCAATAATAACATTAAATGGGGTCGGGCACGGTGGCTCACACCTGTATTCCCAGAGCTTTGGTAGGCCTAGGTGGGTGGATCACTTGAGGTCAGGAATTTGAGACCAGCCTGGCCAACGTGGTGAAACACCATCTCTACTAAAAATACAAAAATTAGCCGGGCATAGTGGTGGATGCCTGTAATCCCAGCTATTCAGGAGGGTGAGGAAGGGAGAACTGCTTGAACCCGGAGGCAGAAGTTGTAGTGAGGTAGTGAGCCAAGATCGTGCCACTGCACTCCAGCCTGGGTGACAGAGTGAGACTCTGTCTCACAAAAAATAAATAAATAAATAAAAATAATAATGGCATTAAACGTTAACAGATTAACCAATCCAGCAAAAGGCAGAGACTGTCAGCCTGGAGGGGGAAAAAAACCTCATGATCTAACTATATGTTGTTTAGGCAAGATATACTTTATATTCGATATACAAACATTATAAGTAAAGGTTGTGAAAAAGATATATCATGCAATCAACAATCACAAGAAAACTAAAAAGACTGCCCTAATACAAGACAAAATAGACTTTTAACAAAAAAATGTTACTAGAGATGAAGAGGGAAATTTCATAATGATAAAGGGGGAATCTATTAGAAAACTGTAATAATGATAAGCATGTCTAAACCAATTAGAAAATCAAGAAGAGAAAATATGAACAACATGATAAACAAATTAGACCTAATAACTATCTTTAGAACACTTTACAGAACAACAATAGAATATACATTTATATATTGTTCTCAAGTCACATGGAACATTCTCCAGGATAGCCCATGTGCTGGACCATAAATAAACCTCAGTAAATTTAAAAGGGCAGAAATTACACGAAGTATATTCTCTTATTACAATGGAATAAAATTAAATATTAATTGCAGGAAAAATTTTGGAAATTTACAAATATGTGGATATTAAACTACATTTGACGAAATAACCAATGGGTACAAGGTGAAATCAAAAGGGTAATCAGAAAATACTTTGAGGCTGGGCACAGTAGCTCATTCCTTTAATCTCAAAACTATGGGAAGCAGAGAGGTAGGAGGGTCACTTGAGTACAGGAGTTTGAGACCAGCCTGGGTAACACAGTGAGACCTCGTCTCTGCAAAAAAATGAACAAAATTAGCCAAGCATGAGGGCACACACCTGTAGTCTCAGCTACTCGGGAGGCTGAGGTGGGAGGATCACTTAAGCTGGGGAAGTCAAGGCTGCAGTGATCCGAGATCACACCACTGCATTCCAGCCTGAGCAACAGAGCAAGATCCTGTCTCAAAAAAGAAAAAGAAAAAGAAAATCCTTTGAGACTAATGAAAATGAAGACACAACATACCAGCATTTGTGGGATGCAGTAAAGCAGAGAGGGAAATGTATAGCTGTAATGCCTATATGAAGAAAGATATCAAATCAGTAACCTAACCTTCCACCTTAAGACACTGGAAAAAGAAGGGCAAACTAAACCAAGCAAACAAAAAGAAGGAAATATTTAAAAAGCAAAAGTTCATTAAATAGAGAATAAGAAAACAGAGAAAATCAATGAAACCAAAAGCTATTTTTTTGTAAATCAACAAAATTGAAAAACATTTAGTTAGAATGACCAAGAGCAAAAGAGAGAAAACTCAAAGTATTAGAATCAGAAATGAAAGAGGTGACATTACTACTGACTTTACAGAAATTAAAAAGATTATAAAGGAATACATAATTGTTTGCCAACAGATTAGATAACTTAGATTAAATGAATAGCTTCCCAGAAAAACACAAACTACTGAAACTGGCTCAATAAAAAATAGACAATCTCAATAAACTTTTAACAAGTGAAAAGACTGAATTCATGATTTTTTTAAAAAACTACCCGCAAAGAAAAGCCCAGGCCTAGATGATGTCACTACTGAATTCTATCATTTAAAGAAGAATTAATACCAAGTCTTCACAAACTCTTTCAAAAAACAGAAGGAACACATCCCATCTCATTTTTTAAAACCAGTATTTCCCTGATACCCAAACCAGTAAAAAAGAAAACTACAAATATCTTTTATGAATGTGAACACAAAATTCTCAACAAAATACTAGCAAACTGAATCCAGCATCATATAAAAGGAATTATGCACTGTGACCAACTGGGATTTATTCTAGGAACACAAGGTTGGTTCAATATCCAAAAACCAATAAATGTAATATAATACATCAATAGAATAAAAACCAAAAAAATTTCTCATTTTGATCATTTCAATAGACAAAGAAAAAACATTTGATAAAATCCAACACCCCTTCATGATAAAAGCACTCAACAAACTAAGAATAAAAGGAAACTTCCCCAACCTGATAAAAGGCATCTATGAAAAATCATCTAATATCATACTTAGACTGAATGATTTCCCGATAAGATTAGGAACAAGACAAGGATGTCTGCTCTTGCCACTTCTGTTCAACATTGTACTGCAGATTCTACTCAGCACAATTAGACAGGAAAAAGAAATAAAAGGCATCCAGACCAGCAAAAAGGTAAAACTATATCTATTCACAGATGACATGATCTTCTATGTAGAAAATCCTAAAGAATCCACTAAACTACTATGAGAACCAATAAACAAGTTCAGCAAAGTTGCATGATAATGATATGAGTTAAGAAGAAATTATTTAGGCAGGCAGTGAGGGTACGGGATCCTCAGTAAGGTTTTCCTTTTAATGAAAAGCAGCCCCAAATCATTTTCTTTTCTAACAAAAAGCAGCCTGTAAAATTGTGCTGCAGACACAGACACGCAAGCTGTAAGCTTGCACAGGTGAATGCCAGCAGTTGTGCCAACAGGAAAAGGCTACCTGGGACTAAGCATGTTCAAAATGGTGGCTCCATCTTCCCTTCTCTTTGCCAAACCACATGTAGAGTAAGAAGACAATATGGCCCCAGCCAGGCAAAGATCCAATTTGCATAATAAGATTAGAGTGGGGCAACCAGCCTTCCCCTTGCAGTATGTAACTGTCACACCTGGTCGAACCAATCTGTGGGCCCTACATAAATCAGACACCATCTCCTCAAACCTGCCTATAAAATCTAATGCAGTCTGCTGCGGGCCAGATTTTGCTTTAGGAGGCCCCTCTTTCTCACTAGGGAGAAAGCTGTTCTCCTTTCTCTTTCTTTTGCCTATTAAACCTCTGCTCCTAAACTCACTCCTCATGCATGTCCATGTCCTTCATCTCCTTGGCACGAGATGACGAACCCTGGGTATTTACTCCAGACAATGACACCACTTCAATATGAACTCAATATACAAAAATAAGTTGTATTTTTATGCCCGTGCAATGAACAATTTGAAATCAAATTAAGAAAACTCCATTCATGATAGCATCAAAAAGAATAAGATACTTAAGAATAAATTTTACAAAACAAGTGCAAAATGTATGCTTTGAAAACTACAAAACATTGTTGAAAAAATTATGGAAGCCGGGTGCGGTGGCTCACGCCTGTAATCCCAGCACTTTGGGAGGCCGAGGCAGGTGGATCATGAGGTCAGAAGATCGAGACCATCCTGGCTAACACGGTGAAACCCCATCTCTACTAAAAAAATACAAAAAATTAGCCAGACGTAGTGGCGGACGCTTGTAGTCCCAGCTACTCGGGAGGCTGAGGCAGGAGAATGGCGTGAACCTGGGAGGCGGAGCTTGCAGTGAGCCGAGATTGTGCCACTGCACTCCAGCCTGGGCGACAGAGCAAGACTCTGTCTCAAAAAAAAAAAAGAAAAAGAAAAAGAAAAATTTATGGAAGATCTAAATAAATGGCAAAACATTCTAAATTCACAGATTAGAATAAGAGTTAACATTTTTAAGACAGCAATAACCTCCAAACTAATCCACAGATACAATGTAATCCATATCAGAATCTCAGATGTCTGTTTTGCAAAAATTGAGAAGCTGATCTTAAAATTCATATGGAATTGGAAGGGACCTAGAATAGCCAAAACAATCTTGGAAAAGTAAATAAAGTAGAAAGACTCACACTTTCTGATTTCAAACTTGCTACAAAGCAATAGTCATTAAGACAGTGTGTCGGCTGCGTGCGGTGGCTCCTGCCCGTAATCCCAATGCTTTGGGAGTCCAAGGCAGGCAGATTGCTTGAGCCCAGCCATTCAAGACCAGCCGGGCCAACGTGGTGAAATCCCGTCTCTACAAAAAATTTAAAAATTAGCCAGGCTTGGTGGTGCACCCCTGTAGTCCCAACTACTCAGGAGGCTGAGGTGGGAGGATTGTTTGAGCCTGGAAGGTGGAGGTTGCTGTGGGCCAAGATCATGCCACTGCACTCCAGCCTGGGCAACAGAGTGAGATCTTGTCAAAAAAAAAAAAAAGGAAAGAAAGTGCGTTGCTGGAAAAAGGACAGCCTTACAGATCAATGGAACAGAATTGAGATTCTAGAAATAAGCCCTTATGAAACCACCTTTGCAAAATTATGACTGAGACAGTGAAGGAGATCTAACTTAATTGACTCCATCTTGCTTCTAACCTCCAAGCTGTCCTCGTTCATTCCTGGGCGTAGGCTGGACTAACTTCAGGAGAAACTTCGTTTATAGTTTATAGTTTAACACAAAGACAGTAACAACCCTTTCCCAAAGCAGACTTCCTTCTTGCCTGGGGACCAGATTGCCTTTGTAGGACTAACATTAGCCACAAGATTAGAAATTATGGTTTAGGAGTCATGTAGCTGAAGGCTACAAGATTCTGACCCTCCATAAACTGCTCCTAAGATCAGTGCTTGAGATATTTTGCAAACCCTGTACTTGATGGATCAGCTGGCACCACCCATATTGCTAAACTGGCTTATCTGATCTCATGGCCGCCCCAGACCCAGGAAGTGATTCAGTGCAAGAAGACAGCTTCCACTCCCTATGATTTCAAACCTGATCAATCAGAACTCCCAGCTCACTGGCCTCCCTCTACCCACCAAGTTGTCCTTAAAAACTCTGCTCCCTGAATGCCCAAGGAGACTGATTTGAGTAATAATAAAACTCCAGTCTCCTGCACACTCACGCCGGCTCTGCGTGAGTTATTCTATCTCTATTGCAATTCCCGTCTTGATGAATCGGCTCTGTCTAGGCAGCGGGCAAGGTGAACCCCTTGAGCAGTTACACTTACATCTATAGTCAACTGAATTTCAAAAAGAGCCCAACACCATAATGGGGAAAGAACAATATTTTCATCAAATGGTGCTGGGACAACAACTGGATAGCCAAATGCAAAAGAATGAACTTGGACTCTTACCTTATAGCATATACAAAAATTAACTCAAATGGATCAGACTTGAATGTAAGAGCTAAAGTTATAACTCTTAGAAGAAAATGTAACTGTAAATCTTCATAACCCTGGATTTGGCAAACAATTTTGAAATATGATACCAAAAGCATAGGCAACAAAAGAAACAGATAAATTGGACTTCTTAAAATTAAAAACATTTGAAAATCAAAAGACAGAATCAAGAAAGTGAAGACACAACCCATAAAATGGAAGAACATACTTGTAAATCACATATCTGATAAGGAATTTGTATCTAGGATATGCAGAAAATTCTTACAACTCAATAATAAAAAGACAACTCATTTTAAAAATAGGCAAAGGATCTGAACAGACATTTCTCCAAGGACAATATACAAATGGCCAATAAGCACACGCACACACAAAAAGACATTCAACCTCAGTAGACATTAGGGAAATGTGAATCAAACCCACAATGAGATACCACTTCACACCCATTAGAGTAGCTAGAATAAAAAAGTCAGGCTTCAGCGTGGTGGCTCACACCTATCATCCTAACACATTGGTAGGCTGAGGCGGGAGGATCACTTAAGCCCAGGAATTCAAAATCAGCCTAGTCAAAATAGCGAGACCCTGTCTCTACAAAATAAAAAAGCCAGCCATAGGCTGGGTGCAGTGGCTCACATCTGTAATCTCAGCACTTTGGGAGGCCGAGGCAGGTCGATCACGAGGTCAGGAGTTCGAGACCAGCCTGACCAACATGGTGAATCCCCAGCTCTACAAAAATACAAAAAAAAATTAGCCGGGTGTGGTGCCATGCGCCTGTAGTCCCAGCTACTCAGGAGGCTGAGGCAGGAGAATTGCTTGAACCCAGGAGGCGGATGTTGCAGTGAGCCGAGATCACGCCACTGCACTCCAGCCTGGGCGACAGAGAGAGACTCTGTCTCAAAAAAAATAAAATAAATAAAAATCTATAAAGATAGAGAAGAGAGTAGTGATTGCTTAGGGTTAGGGAGGGAGTTCAGAGGTATAGGGGTGTCATAGATAAAGGGTATGGGGTTTTTACTGAGGTGATGAAAACTGACTGGTGATGGTAGTACATATCTGTGAATACACTAAAAACCACTGAAATTTACTTCAGATGGATGAACTGTATTATATAAAAATATCTCAATAATGCTGTTTTTAATAAAGACATAATATGGCTGATACCAGGTCTGGGGCAACAACATGTGAAAAATGAGCCTGGACTGCTATCTTGTCAGTCAGGTCACAAGGAAAGTATCAGAGACTACATACTAGGTCCTGTTAAAAGGACTTGGGAAGCCACCTTGAAAAGGCACCTTTCACTCGTGTCCGTGTGAAGAGACCACCAAACATGCTTTGTGTGAGCAACAAGGCTGTTTATTTCACCTAGGTGCAGGCGGGCTGAGTCCGAAAAGAGAGTCAGCAAAGGGAGATGGGGTGGGGCTGTTTTATGTGATTTGGGTAGGTAGTGGAAAATTACAGTCAAAGGGGGTTGTTCTTTGGCAGGCAGGGGCAGGGGACACAAGATGCTCAGTGGGGGAGCTTTTGAGCCTGGATGAGCCAGGAGAAGGAATTTCACAAGGTAATGTCATCAGTTAAGGCAGGAACAGGCCATTTTCACTTCTTTTGTGATTCTTCAATTACTTCAGGCCATCTGGATGTATCCGTGCAGGTCACAGGGGATATGATGGCTTAGGTTGGGCTCAGAGGCCTGACAGCACCCACTGATTTTGAACTTCAGTAATAATAACAATTGTGTCCAGGCTTAGACTATGATACCTGAAAGTATGGTGCTTTGGCATGATACATACTTTGAACTGAAGGAGATTAGAAGGGTCTCAGAAACAAAATCTCTCTGACCTTCTCCTGCTCTCCTTTCTCCCCCAAGGTGTATCACAGAAACCAGGATTCCTCTTCCGCCTGCCCACCTCCAGAGCGATTAGAATTCCTCTTCCCCAAAGCAAGCCATAAAACATAGAATGGTCACTCTCTGATCCACCTCCCTTGAAAGTAAGTCATAAGACCTTCATTCCAGAGAGGTCCTGCCCATACCTGGAAGGAAGGAATGCAAAACAGAGAGGCCAGGAAGAATCTGAACAAACAGGCCTTGCTGGGTTTATTACCATTAGATCATACTCCTTTTGCCCAATCATGTTTCTCTACACCTATCCACTCCTTTCAGCAAACAGCATAAAATCAGACAGTGTTCTCCCTGGGTCTTTGGGTTTTCATTTATGAAGGCTTCCATGTCACATTGAACTTTGTTAAATTTGTCACGCTTTTCTCTTGCTAACCTATCTTTTGTTATAAGGGTATTGGCTGTGACTCTTGTTACAGGTAGGGAAAAGGTATTACCTTTTTTTGTTTTTGAGACGGAGTTTCGCTCTTGTTGCCCAGGCTGAGGTGCTGCGGTGCGATCTCGGCTCACCGCAACCTCTGCCTCCCGGGTTCAAGCGTTTTTCCTGCCTCAGTCTCTCGAGTAGCTGGGATTACAGGCATGCACCACCACGCCTGGCTATTTTTGTATTTTTAGTAGAGACGGGGTTTCTCCATGTTGGTCAGGCTGGTCTTGAACTGCTGACCTCAGGTGATCCGCCCACCTCGGCCTCCCAAAGTGCTGGGATTACAGGCATGAGCCACCGTGCCCAGCCGGGAAAAGGTATTATCTTTTTGCCCCGATAATTGCAATGCATTGAAACCCATTAAATATGTTTAAGTCCATGAGTTCATAATGATATTTCTAAAAAAATTAATTAGTTGCTTTTGGAGGTCACCTGTTGGAGCCAATTCATCTTTAAAATTGATAAACAAATCAAGCATTTACCCAGTTTCTCTATGTGAACTATACCATTAGGTAACCAAATAAGGGGAAATGTCCATTTATAAAAGTATTCAAGTAATAAATTAAAAAGAGATGATAAAGTTAAACCTCCATAGTAATGAAATATGATAATATTAGGGTAAACAGAAACTGGGTGAGGACTATGGGGAAACTCTCTATACTATCTTTGTAACTTTTCTGTAAATCTAAAATTATCCCAAAATAAAGTTTACTTTAAAAAAAAAAAAGGCTAGGATGGCTATTAAACAAAAGAACATAATGGTAAGTGCTAGCAAAGACATGGAGACACTGAAACTCTCACACTCAGCTAGTGGGAATGTAAAATGGTACAAACACTTTGGAATACAGTCTGGCAGTTCTTCAAAGACTAAACATAGAGTTACTGTATGACCCACAATTCTAACTCCTAAGTATATACCCAAAAGAAATGAAAACATATGTCCATACAAAAACAAGTTACACGGACACCCATAGCAGCATTACCCATAATAGCTAAAAAGTAAAAATAACCCAGATGTCCATCAGTTGATGAATGGGTAAATAAAAAGAGCTCTATCCATTCAGTGGAATATTATTCAGCCATAAAAAGGAATAAAGTGCTGGCTGGGCACGGTGGCTCATGCCTGTAATCCCAGCATTTTGAGAGGCCGAGGCGAGCAGATCACTTGAGGTAGGGAGTTCAAGACCAAATGGCAAAACCCCATCTCTGCTAAAAAAAAAAAAAAAAAAAAAAAAGAAATGAAGTACTAATACATGCTATGTTAAGTGAAAAAAGCTAGTCCCAAAGGACCATATATTATATAATTCTACTTATATGAAATGTCCAGAATAGGCAAATCCATAGCGAATGAAAGCAGATAGGAGTTTATCTAGGCCTGGAAGGGTTGGGAGGAAACGGAGAGTTACAGTGGGTACAGGGTTTCGTTTTGGGGTGATAAATATGTTCTAAAATTGACTATGGTTATGGTTGTACAACTCTGTGAATACACTGTAAACCACTTAATTGTACATTTTAAATAGGTGACTTGTAAGATATATGAATCATATCTCAAAAAAGGCTAGATTAAACTAAATGGAGGCACATTTGGGTGACAAAACTTCTTTAAAATGCAAGGAAATGGCCAGGCCTGGTGGCTCACACCTGGAATCCCAGCACTTTGGGAGGCTGAGGCAAAAGGACTGCTTGAGGGCAGGAGTTCGAGACAGCCTGGGCAACATAGTGAGACCTGTCTCTATTATTTTAAAAAATGCAAGGAAATGATTACAATAAAAATCAGTATCGTGGTTGCTTTGTAGGGAAGGGAGCATGTTACAACTGCAGTAGGGCACACAAAGGGTTTTCTGGGGTGGTGGGCAAAATCCTATTTTTTGATCAGGTGGTGGAGCTATCCATTTGTTATGTGAGATATTCTGTGTCTGTGTTTTCTTTTACAATAAAAGTTTTCAAAATGGACTCACTAGCAAATTTGTTTCAAACACAATGTGAAGTCTCCTAGAATCCAACCTTACTGTGGGCCAGGCACCAAGTTTGGTTATGCAGAATACAAGAGATTATGCCTATCCTTGAGGAACTTAACTTTTAGTGGGAGGTTAAAAAAAAAAGAGCTAGAGAAAGAACTAGCCCATGTTAAATATTAACTGACACAAAATTTACAGATAATGTACTAAAAGATGTCAACTAGGATTGGGGGGCTAGGGAGTATATCAGAAAAGGAATTTAAGCTACATCATCAAATGAGGGTAAAACTGAGACAGAGAGATCTTATGCAGGCTACATTATGTCCAGAGGCAAAAAAGAAATAAAGAAAAAATTTTTGAGGACTTTGAGTAAGAGTAGATATTTATTGAGCATATATCAAATCATTTAATCCTCATCACAAACCTATGAAGTGAGTCCTATTATTATTTCCATTTTATAGATGAAGTAATTGAGGTACAGAGACAGTCTGTACAGGGTATCAACGGTAGGTACAGTTGAAAAGGTACCCAGGGGAATGGATTGTGAATCCTGACCACCTGGGTTAGAATCCTGGTTCAGTTCTGCTATTAAGCAGCTATGTGACTTCAGGCAAATTACTTGACCTCTGTGTCTTAGTGTTCTACTGTTTAAAATGAGAATGCTAATAGTAGCAACTTCATCATAGGGTTGTTGTAAGGATTAAATTATTTGATGTATCTAAAGCATTTAGAACAGTTTCTGGCAGAAAGTAAGTACCCATTAATATTACATATTATTATAATAACACAATAATAATTTCTAGGAAAGGCACAAGAATTATCCTCCTCCATGTATTCTATTAAATCAGGTATTAAATTACATACTTTTATCTCTTTATGCTCAAGATTGATTATTTATATTTTAGGCTGCTGTTTTATGTTAGACCGAGATCATGCTACTTTTGAAGTAATTCTCCTGTTTCAGCCTCCCGAGTAGCTGGGACTACAGGCGCATGCCACCACGCCTGGCTAAATTTTGCACCTAAAACAGTACAATTTAAAATTATTTGCCAGTCTTCACAAAGAGGGTACCATTTTTCCAGGAAATGGGAAACTCGGCAGTTCCTACTGCAACACTAGCAGAGTAAGGTAAATGATTTCAAATCTTTGCAGAATGTAGAGGCTAAAGATAAACAGAAGAGGGAACTCTGCCGAGGGCATGGCACAGCTTAAAGCAAATATAGATACACACTGAGGGATGTCTGCATAGGTCTTCTGGAGCTGTGTCCATTCAGCCTGTGAGAGCTGAGTGAGCGTAGCAGTAGCAGTAGCCAGCAATGCAGGTACCTAAAGGATCTGTTATGTTACCTTTAAAGGTGTCCCTCTTCTTAGCCCCAACCTAGATGCAGACGGCAGAATGTGTCAGTATTAGGGGTGACAGATATACAAGCACATACCAAGGGATAAAAGAGATACCTAGGAGGCTAGGCACACTGACTCACGCCTGTAATCCTAGCACTTTGGGAGGCCGAGGCAGGTAGATCACCTGAGGTCAGGAGTTCGAAACCAGCCTGACCAATATTGTGAAACCCCGTCTCTACTAAAAATACAAAAATTAGCCAGGAGTGGTGGTGTGCACCTGTAGTCCCAACTACTTGGGAGGCTGAAACAGGAGAATTGCTTGAACCTGGGAGGTGGAGGTTGCAGTGAGCCAAGATTGCACCACTGCATTCCAGCCTGGGTGACAGAGCAACACGCCATCTCAAAAAATAAACAAAAAAAGAGATACCTAGGAAAGGCTGACAGGATCCCAAAATACACATACTTTCCATAAGAAGTATCTTTTAATACTAATTCGGGAGCTCTATACCAGCGTGTGGCCACATAGTCCGTATAAATGTCCCCAGGAGCTGCTAGTGTTCGTGCAAAACCAAAATCACAGAGCTTAGTAATTCCTGACTGGGATACTAAAATATTCTCAGGTTTTATATCTCGATGAATGATCTAAAAAACAAACAGAATACAAAATACATTAAAATGAGATTTCATTATCCAGAATCTCTCAAAAATTATACTGAGAAAATCTAGCTAATTAAGATAGTAAAGCTATTTCCTTACCACATGCAAAGGATTAATTACACAATGCAAATATAGTTATATGTTTTCAATTCTTGCCCCATCCATCACCTCAAAATAAAATGAAGCTAAGAAAACAGACATAATACTAAAAAGGCAAATAACATTCCTGTAAGAAAAACCAAAAGAACTTAATGAGGCTGGGAGTGGTGGTTCATGCATGTAAACCTAGTACTTTGGGAGGCCAAGGCAGGAGGATCACTTGAGGCCAGGAGTTTGAGACCAGCCTGGGTAACAGAGTGAGACCCTGTCTCTAAAAAAAGAAAAAAAAGAAAAAAAAAAAAAGAAAAAAAGAAAGAAAAAAGAAAGAAAGAAAAATAACTTATTGAAATTTTACTTTCCTTTAACCCTATGTCTCACTCCAGTTCCTGCCCTTTCATGTCCTTCACAGCTAAACCTCTTGAGACATTATCTGTACTCAGTCTTCACTTTCTGACCCAGTCACTCAAGATAATGTAACCTTCTCTTTTGTTCCTACATTGCATTAAACTTCTCTAGCCAAAGCCATCTACATTTTTCCTACATCCAGTAGCCACCTCTCCACCCATATCGTACTTGATTTCATAGCATAAAAAAATGCCAACTATTCCTACATTCCTGGTTTCTGAGACCTAAAATGTTCCAAATCTCCTCCTACCTACCTGGCAGCTCCTCTTTCTCTGTCTGTTCCTAAAACATAGGGTCCTTGTCTTAGGCTTTCCTCTCTTCATATGTATCAAGTTTCCTGGTCAATCTCACGTACTCTCTTTTTTGTGGGGTGGGGGAGCCACTTTTGTCACTTGGTTATAGGGACAACACTCTTGGGCTTCTCCCCACTTACTGGCTGCTCCATCTCAATCTGATCAACTCTTTTTAAGAAATTATTTTTTAAAGAGATAGGGTCTTGCTCCATTGCCCAGACCAGAGTGCAAAGGCACAATCAAAGCTCACTGCAGCCTCAAACTCCTGGGCTCAAGCAAGGAGCCTACCACCTGAGACAATCCTACCACCTCAACCTCCTGAGTAGCTAGGACTATAAGCGCGTGTCTGTAGTCCTACAGCCTACAGTATTAGGACTACTGGCTAATTAAAAAATTTTTTTTGTAGAGACAGGGTCTGGTTATGTTGCTCAGGCTGATCATGAGTGCTGGGCTCAAGTGATCTTCCCACCTCAGCCTTCCAAAGTGCTAGGATTATAGGTGTGAGCCACCACACCCGGCCTGAATTATTTTTTAACATTGTTAATTTTAATTGATAAATTAAAATTGTATATATCATGTACATGTTGTTTTAAAATATGTATACATTGTAAAATTAGTTAAATCAAGCTAATTAACATTACATCACATACTTATTTTGTGGTGAGAACACTTAAATTCTACTCTCAGCAATTTTCAAGAATACAATCATTGTTATTAACTAGTTACCATTTTGTATAATAGATCTCTTGAACTTATTCCTTCTTTCTAACTGAATTTTTGTATCCCTTGACCAACATCTCCCCAACCACCCCCACTCTAGCCCCTGGTAACTACCATTCTACTCTCTACTTCTATGAGTTGCACTTTTATAGATTCTGTATGTAAGTAAGATCATGCGGTATTTGTCCTCTGTATGACTTATTTCACTTACCATAACGTCCTCCAGGTTTATCCACATCATCACAAATGATTTCCTTCTATTTTTATGGCTGAATAGTGCTCCATTGTGTATACATACTACATTTCCTTTACGCATTCATCCTTAATGGACACTTAGGTTGATTTTTTTTTTTTTTTTTGAGACAGAGTTTTGCTCTGTCGCCCAGGCTAGAGTGCAGTGGCACGATCGCAGCTCACTGCAACCTCTGACTCCTGGGTTCAAGAAATTCTCCTGCCTTAGCCTCCTGAGTAGCTGGGATTACAGGGACATGCCACCACGCCCGGCTAATTTTTGTATTTTTAGTGGAGATGGGGTTTCACCAGGTTGTCCAGGCTGGTCTCAAACTCCTGACCTCAAGTGATTCACCTGCCTCAGCCTCCCAAAATGCTGGGATTACATGTGTGAGCCACTGCACCCAGCAACCTTTGCCCATTTTTTATTTATTTTTTTAAAGACACATGGTTTTGCCATGTTGCCTGGTCTGGTCTTGAACTCCTGGACTCAAGCTATCCTCCCACCTTGGCCTCCCAAAGTGCTGGGATTACAGGCATCAGCCACTGTACCTGGTCCTTTGCCCAATTTTTAATCAGGTTATTTGTTTTCTTACTATTGATTTATTTGAGTTCCTTATATATTCTAGATATTAACCTCTTATTAGATGTATGGTTTGCAAGCATTTTCTCTAATTCTGTGGGTTCTCTCTTCTCTCTATTGTTTCCTTGGATATGCAGAAGTTTTTTTGTTTAATGTAATCCCATTTATCTATGTTTGCTTCTGTTGCCTGTGCTTTTGGGTTCATATCTAAAAAATAATTGCCCAGATCCAATGTCATAGAACTTTTCCCACGTTTTCTTCTAGTAGTTTAACAGTTTCAGATCTTACAATTAAATCTTTATTTTTAGTTGATTTTTGTAGATGATTCATCTATTCTTATAGCTTTAGTAACTGTCCATATACTACTGATAATTTCAACATTTCTACGTCTAACAGATATTTCTCCTGGTTTCCACAAGAAGTGAAAGTCCACAATAAATCCCACAAAACTAAGTACAGGCCCTTTAAATTCAGCAAATCTAAAACTAAAAGCGTCTTCTTCTCCCCCAAACCTACTGCTTCTCAACAATCTTCTATTCCAGTGAATGGAACCACCACTTACTCCATAACGCAAGCCAGAAACCAAGGGCATTTTTCTCCCTCCCCACACTCCCTTAACCTAACTACTGCTCTTCCTAGTTCAGGTCTCCCCAGCTGTCTCACAAAATTAATACACAAGTCTATCAACTTGTCTCCCTGAATTCACATTCGTGCTCTCCAATTCAGTCTCCACAATGAAGTCACAGTACTATTTTAAAATCAGATGTGTGATCATGTCACTTTTTTTTTTTTTTTTTGAGACAGAGTCTCGCTTTGTCACCAGGCTGGAGTGCAGTGGCGCAATCTCGGCTCACTGCAACCTCTGGCTCCCGGGTTCAAGCTATTCTCCTGCCTCAGTCTCCTGAGTAGCTAGGACTACAGGACTACGGGCATGCGCCACCATGCCCAGCTAATTTTTGTATTTTTAGTAGAGATGGGGTTTCACCATGTTGGCCAGGATGGTCTCGATCTCTTGACCTTGTGATCCGCCCGCCTCGGCCTCCCAAAGTGCTGGGATTACAGGCGTGAGCCACCGTGCCTAGCCTGATCATGTCACTTCTTTGCTTCAAGGATTCCTCATCCTGCAGGATAAATTTTAAACTCCCTGAAATGGCTTATAAGGCCTTGTGAGATTCGGCCCCTACTTACCCTATTAACCTCCTTTCCCTAGCCTATAGAATATTAGTTTCCCGATTTGCCAGGGTTTGTCTAATCTCTATGCATTTGTTGATGCTGCTCCAACTGCCTGGCCAAGCCAGCTATTTCCTCAGGACTCAGCTTATATGTTAGTATTAGATGCTCCTTCTATATGTTCACATCAATCTGCACTTCCCCCTTCATAGCATCTGTCATGCAGTACTGTTGTCTGTTTACTTGTCTGAAACCCCCACTAAACCATAAGCTCCGTGAGGGCAATATACACAACTGTCTTGTTCAATTAATATCTCGTGCTCAGTATAGTGCCTAGAACAAAGAGAAGGCATTTAAAAATTTTATCAAGTGAATTATAGAAGCACATACTCATCACCTGTAAAGTATCACAGCACAAGTAGAAATGTCTCAGTGACAGAAATCTGGGATCTTTCCTTGTTTATACAACTTACTACCATAAATCTTTGAGACTGGCTCTTGTTTTGACTCAGTCTCCCTCCATAAATAGCCAAAAAATTAATTTAGGGTAAGCCTTTCTAATTGAGCCACTTTAAAGTTGCCATCTGTCAAAATATATAAATCCTTTTTAACTACCACAATTTTAATTGAGGGCCTACTATATGCCAGGCACTATTCCAAGACCTAAGGATATAATGTGAACAAAAACAGACATTAAAAAGCACATTAAGATACCGCTTCAGGAGCCGGGCGCGGTGGCTCACGCCTGTAATCCCAGCACTTGGGAAGGCTGAGGCAGGTGGATCATGAGGTCAGGAGATCGAGACCATCCTGGCCAACATGGTGAAACCCCGTCTCTACTAAAAATACAAAAATTAGCCGGACATGGTGGCATGTGCCTATAGTCCCAGCTACTCACGAGGCTGAGGCAGGAGAATCGCTTGAACCCAGGAGGCGGAGGTTGCAGTGAGCTGAGATCGTGCCACTGCACTCCAGCCTGGTGACAGAGTGAGACTCCGTCTCAAAAAAAAAAAAATAGATACCACTTCAGGCTGGGCATGATAGCTCATGCCTATAATCCCAGCACTTTGGAAAACGGAGGCAGGAAGATCACTTGAACTCAGGAGTTTGAGACAAGCCTGGGCAACATGGTGAGACCTTGGCACTACTAAAAATTAAAAAAAAAAGTTAGCCCAGCTACTCAGGAGGCTGAGGCAGGAAAATTGCTTGAACCTGGGAGGCGGAGGTTGCAGTGAGCTAAGATCATGCCAATACACTCCAGCCTGAGCGACGGAGCAAGACTCTGTCTCAGGAAAAAAAAAAAAAAAAAAAAACAGATATAGTTCTTTACCATCACAGAACTCACAGTCAGTTGTAAGAGAAACACCTTACTTCATATAATCACACAAATATAAAATAACACAAGTGCTACAAAGGAAAGGAACATAGCATTATAACTTGAATGGAGACATCCCTGGGGAAAATTCCACTTTTACTAAGATCTGAGGGATGAGCAGAAGTAAACTAGGAAAGAGTGGAAGAAAGATAAATCCAGGAAGATAGACTAGTATGTGCAAAGGTATTGTGTTAAGAGGAAGTATGGTAAGAAAGGTATTTATTGAAAAGTTATATCGCAATTCTGAGATGATTTAAGATGAACTTTGATTATAAATTTCTTTTATAAACAGCAATTAAAGTTTTGATAATCTTTCTCTGTCATTTTCCTCTTCTAATCCCCTAATTCCATTTAACAAATTATGCATGCATATACACACGTGTATACATATCCATAAATATATGTTATCTGACTGCTTCCCAAACACAATAACACTTTTCTCATTCTGCGGTATTTCCTAAGCACAGGCCTTAAGAATTAAAGCTAAGCCGCTCCATACTAAGCTGCTGTGGAGACATGGCATGGTAGAAAGGAAAGCGTATGGACTGTGGAAGGAATCTAGTCCCCGCTTCCATCACTCATTAACTGTATTACAGCAGTCTCCAACCTTTTTGGCACCAGGAACTGGTTTTATGGAAGACAGTTTTTCTATGGACCAGGCTGGGGGATGGTTTCAGGATGCTTCAAGTGCATTACATTTATAGTGCACTTTACTTCTATTATTGTTACATTATACTATACAATGAAATCATTATACAACTTACCATAATGTAGAATCAGTGGGAGCCCTGAGCTTGTTTTCCTGCAACCAGATGGTCCTAACTGGGGGTTATGAGAGACAGTGACAGATTATCAGGCATTAGGTTCTCACAAGGAGTGCACAACCTAGATCCCTTGCATGCACAGTTCAGAGTAGGGTTCGCACTCCTATAAGAATTTAATGCCTCTGCTGATCTGATAGGAGGCAGAGCTCAGGTGGTAATGCGAGCAATGCAAAGTGGCTGTAAATACAGATGAAGCTTTGCCTGCTCGCCCACCACTCATCTACTGTGTGGCCTGATTCCTAACAGGCCACAGAATGGTATTGGTTGTGGCCCAGGGGTTGGGGACCCCTCCTGTATGGCATTGGGAAATTCACTTATTAACCTGTGAATTTATTTGGTTACTATTTAAAAACTCTCATTGGTGGCTCATGCCTGTAATCCCAGCACTTTGGAGCCCAAGGCAGGTAGATCAGTTGAGGTCAGCATTTCAAGACCAAAGTTAGTCAGCCTGGCTAACGTGGTGAAACCCCGACTCTACTAAAAATACAAAAATTAGGTGGGTGTGGTGGTGGGCACCTATAATCCCAGCTACTCAGGAGGCTGAGGCAGGAAAATTGCTTGAACCTGGGAGGTGGAGGTTGCAGTGAACCAAGATCATGCCACTGCACTCCAGCCTGAGTGACAGAGTGAAACTCCATCTCAAAAATAAATAAATAAAATAAAAATAAAATAAAAACTCTTATCTCACAATCAAATGGTTAGTTTTGTTTTACATCAAAAGCATTTAGCTCCACGTGGATGAGGGCAACAGCGGGCCATCCTTGGGAGTATCGTATTACTGGTATTTAGTCAGAAATTATCCTATTGACTTTCTTGCCCATCCTATGCTGTACTACTATATCGTTTGTGCCACGAAACTTAGCACTTCATCATCTACACTTTTATACTTATTGTACCATCTGTCTAAGCCTATTTTCTCAACTATAGTCTTTGAAGGCAAAATATCTACTTATTTTGTATCCCCAATATTATTTAGTATGGGTCTATCCAAACACACTGATTATTGTTTTAAGAAAATGTAAGCCGGGCGCGGTGGCTCACGCCTGTAATCCCAGCACTTTGGGAGGCTAAGGTGGGCGGATCACGAGGTCAGGAGTTTGATATCAGCCTGACCAACACGGTGAAACCCCGTCTCTACTAAAAATACAAAAATTAGCCGGGCATGATGGCACGCACCTGTAAACCCAGTTACTTGGGAGGCTGAGGCAGGAGAATCACTTGAACCCAGGAGAAGGAGGCTGCAGTGAGATCACGCCATTGCACTCCAGCCTGGGCTACAGAGCAAGACTCTGTCTCAAAATAAAATAAAATAAAATAAAATAAAATAAAAATACAAAAATTAGCCGGGCCTGGTGGCAGGAGCCTGTAATCCCAGCTACTCAGGAGGGTGAAGCAGGAAGAATCGCTTGAACCCAGAAGGCGGAAGTTGCAGTGAGCCGAGATCCTGCCATTGTACTCCAGCCTGGGTGACAGAGAGAGACTCTGTCTCAAAAAAAAATACTGTAATAACCTCTGACTTCACCCTTTGTTTTCATCCCTCTCATATCTAATTACTTCCCAAGTCCTGTGATTTTCCTTTTGAAATATTTCCATCCTATCCCTCTGCCATCCTTCCTCTCCTTCCCATTGCTACTTAGTCCAAACCGTTACCACCCACACATCTAGATTGTCACAACAGCTACCTGTCTGATCTCTCTGGGTCTCTATCTACTCATATCTTCTACTCATGTTAAAATAAAATTAGATTTTGTTTTCATCCAGTCACAGCAATGCTCAAGAACCTTCAATGGGCTGGATGTGGTGGCATGTGCCTGTAGTCCTAGCAACTTGGGAGGCTGAGGCAGGAGGATCACTTGAGCCCAGAAGTTGGAGGCTGCAGTGAGCTATGATCATGCTACTGCACTCCCATCTGGGCAACAAAGCAAGATCCTGTCTCAAGAAAAACAAAAATAAAAAAACAACAAAATCTTCAGTAGTTTCCCAGGATCTTCAGGAAAGAGTCCACCCTCCTGTGGGTAAATTTCAAGGTTCTGGAAAATCTCTCCCCTGTGAACCTGTGTAATCTTATCTTCCTCTATCTGTTGTTCCCTGTAACCTGACTTAACAGCACTCTCTGAAGTCCCCTGCTCCGGTCTACTTCTATTTTCACAATGGTACCCCACCTGAATGCATTTTCTCCTCTACTCCAACAAAATCCTAGCTACAGTTCAAAATTCTACTTACTTTAGTTTTACCTCATCTTGGAAGTCTTCTACTGTCAGTTTAGCCCAGACTGAGATCTCCTTTTATTCAAGAAACATTTTTAGAGTCTAATATAGACAAGGCTCTAAACAGATACAAAGATAACACCACTATTCTTGACTCCCTACCAGCTTTCTTTTCTTTTCCTTTTTTTTCTTTTCTTTCCTTAACACAACTATTAATATTCCTCACTCCAAACCAGCTTGCTATATTTATTTATTTATTTATTTATTTTATTTACTTACTTACAGAATCTTGCTCTGTCAACCAGGATGCAGTGGTGCAATCATAGCTTACTGCAGCCTTGACCTCCCAGGCTCAAACAATCCTCCTACCTCGGCCTCACAAGTAGCCGGGAGTACAGGATTGTGCACGATGCCTGATGCCCAGCTAATTTATTTTTTATTTTTAGTAGAGACAAGGTCTTGCTATGTTGCCCAGGCTGGGCTTGAACTTTTGAGCTCAAGTGATCCTCCTGCCTCAGCCTCTCAAAATGCTGAGATTAGAGGTGTGAGCTACTATAGCCAGCCTACCAGCACTATCTACTGAGCACTTAAAATGTGCCTGACACAGTTTAAATGCTTTATACCTAGTACCTAATTTGATCTTTTAAAAAATCTGTGCCAGGTGCAGTAGCTCACACCTGTAATCCAGCATTTTGGGAGGCTGAGGCGGGCAAATCACTTGAGCCCAGGAGTTTGAGACCAGCCTGGGTAACATGGGAAAACCCCATCTCTACAAAATATTGGCCAGGTGTGGTGGTTGATTGAGGAGGAGCACCGTCATCTCGGACAAACACCGAGATGTTTTAAGGAGAGGCAGGAGAATTGCTTGAACCCAGGAGGCAGAGGTTGCAGTGAGCCAAGATCATGCCATTGTACTCCAGCCTGGGCAACGAGAGCAAAACTCCATCTCAAAAACCAACCAACCAACCAAACAAAAAACCTGCTGAGCTAAACACTTACAAGCCAATGCTAAAGTCAACACTAAACATCAGAATAGCTGTGATCTTTCCTCTTCCTTGATTTTTCATAGGTTAAATGACAAGGCCTCAAACCGCTCCGCCACTTTATATCTCCTTTCTTCCCCTAAAGGCATCCACAATTTACTTACTATTCCCCCCGCCTTTTTTTTTGTGAGGCGGAGTCTTGCTAAACCTCCCTTTATATGAGCAACTCTCCATTAAGCCACAGACCTGACTTTCAATGTTTTAATATACTTTCTCTAATAATAGTGCTCCAGCTGACTACTGATTCTACTAAACAAAATTACTGATACTGCCTTTACCATCCCATACTTGGTCTGCCTTATAGTTGGAATTACTGAGTGCTCAATATTTTTTGGTTCTGCAACTAAAAGGTAGTGCCCCCTATTCCCTATCCCCATTTTCAGGATGTCTATTATTATTGTATAGAAAAAGAATGTTAGCCACCTTCATAAAAATAAAACAATGTATAAGGAGCACTTATGATTCATATTCATCCTACAAATTGGCTTATTCTGAAGCACTTACATTATTACTGTGAAGATAGTCAATTGCTCGAAGGATCTGGAAGAGGTATTTTCTAAGTCGCTTACTCTCTAGTCCATGACAATAATGTTGTAACTCATCTAATACTGTGTGGTCAATAAATTCAAATACCAAATGAATTTTCTTTTTCTGTCTAAAAACTTCAATCAGATTGACCAGGTTTTCGTGATGAAATTGCTATTGACAAAAGAAACAACACAAATTTTTAATTATTTCAAGCCTAACAATTTGTACATATAACGTGTAAATTTTGTAAAGAAACAGTCATATTCTTAGCTTTGTTCCATGCATTTCTTTTTTCTTTTTTTTGAGATGGAGTCTTGCTCTGTCGCCAGGCTGGAGTGCAGTAGCACAATCTTGGCTCAGTGCAACCTCCACCACCCTATTTCAATCAATCCTCCTGCCTCAGCCTCCTGAACAGCTGGGATTACAAGCGTGCACCACCATGCCCAGCTCATTTTTGTACTTTTAGTAGAAACAGGGTTTCACCATGTTGGCCAGGCTGGTCTTGAACTCCTGACCTCAGGTGATCCTCCTGCCTCAGCCTCCCCAACTCCTGGAATTGTAGGTGTGCACCATCATGCCCAGCCTATGTTCCATGCATTTCAACTGAAATTTCTCAACCAATGTGCTTCCATTCCTATTTTAAGAAAATGTAATCCATTTTATAATCAATATTTATAGGACAAAGTGAGATATATTACTTTATCTCAAGTTGGCATTTGGTTGCTTATTAAAATAATTTAATGTACTATAACTTAGTATTCTGTTGAAAGATATCCTGCTATTTTTAAACTTGGTTTGTGGTTAAATTTAACACCCAAAATTTAAAAGGCCCTTATGTTTTCAAATGAGCATGGATTTCAACACGATTAAGTATGTGATCTGAATTTATATAAATTAATTATTCTCTAATTTTAAACCTAAACTCTAGAAAGTAAACCATAAGTTCTAGGGAGCATCATAAATTCATTAGACTATAACAAAAGAACACCAAAATATATGCAAAATCTTCAGATATGTGAACTACCAATTTATAACCACAGAAACTTTACATAAATATGTAATTATTTGTGGGTGAACGTTTGCTCCTTGTCTGTACTCTTCTATTAAACAATTAACCACCTTTTTAGACTGGCAACAATTATTGCTAAAATAATTTTAAAATGTAAATGATGCCCATGTATCAGCTTAGGAAACAAATGAGATTTAATATTGTATGCTACTTATTCTATTTTTCATCACACTGACTTAATTATAATCAATTCTGAAATATTTAACCATTTTGTTCAAACTATCAAGAATATGTGTTCAATTAGCTAAAAATGAAGGGTTTTTTTTTGTTTTTTTTTTTAAGAGAACAAGTCTTGCTATATTGCCAGGCTGGTCTCGAACTCCTGGCCTCAAGTGATCTTCCTGCCTTGGCCTCCCAAGTTGCTAGGACTACAGGCATGAGCCACTGTTCCTAGCTCTAGAAAACTATACCTTTATGAAAATATATTTGCCTTCATTCCAATAACACAGTGTCAATTTTTCTACTTCTCTGTAACTAACGAAGAGACTAAAGTCCTTAAAACATGACTAGAGAAAAACATCCAAAATATAACACCAGATTCCTTTCCTTTTTGCTCCAAATTTCCCTGGTTGGCAAGATGCCACAGTGCTGCAGCAATAGCATATTGACAGCAGTGAAAAGAATTGACTGTTGGCTGGGCATGGTGGTGCACACCTATAATCCCAGCACTTTGGGAGGCTGAGGCGGGCAAATCACATGAGGTCAGGAGTTCGAGACCAGCCTGGTCAACATGGTGAAACACCGTCTCTACTAAAAACACAAAAATTAGACCAGCGTGGTGGTGGGCACCTGTAATCCCAGCTACTAGAGAGATTAAGAGAGGAGAATCGCTTGAACCCAGGAGGTGGAGGTTGCAGTGAGCCGAGATTGTGCCATCGCACTCCAGCCGGGGTGACAAGAGTGAAACTCCGTCTCAAGGAATTGATTGCTTTTGGACACTACCATATTAATCCTCTACTTAAGGAAAATTACTGGTTTCCTGTCCAGTCTTTATTTTAAAGGCAAAAGCAGTGAAAGTAGGGAAGGGGTAATATGAATAAGCATTGTAGAAGATCCATTCAGGGATGAGGAATTAGGTACAGTATTTACTCAGATAAACCATGAAATGAAATCCCTAGAAATGCTCTAGTACCCCTCTTCAAGTTGTTTAATTTTTTCTCCATTACTAGACAACTTTTCTACAGATATTCTCACTAATTACTCTAACTGTAATTTATTTAATGAAATTCTAGCATAAAAATTTAGTTTGGGTCAGGCCGGTGGCTCACTTCTATAATCCCAGCACTTTGGTAGGCCAAGGCAGGCGGATCACCTGAGGTCGGGAGTTCGAGATCAGCCTGACCAACATGGAGAAACGCTGTCTCTACTAAAAATACAAAATTAGCCTGGCATGATGGTCCATGCCTGTAATCCCAGCTACTCAGGAGGCTGAGGCAGGAGAATCGCTTGAACCCGGGAGGCCGAGGTTGTGGTGAGCTGAGATTGTGCCATTACACTGCAGCCTGGGCAACAAGAGTGAAACTCTGTCTAAAAAAAAAGTAATTTGAATTAAGTAATTATGACAAGTTTTTTAGACTAAGAATATTAACTAGTCCAAGAAATCTCTCCAGTGGAATTAGATTACATCAAATTTAAAATCCTATAAAAAGCCAGTGAGTGCCAGGTGCAGTGGCTCACACCTGTAATCTCAGTACTTTGGGAGGCTGAGGTGGGCAGATCACATGAAGCCAGGAGTTCTAAATCAGCCTGGGCAACATGGTGAAACCCCGTCTCTACTAAAAATACAAAAATTAGCTGGGCGTGGTCGTACGTGCCTGTAATCCCAGCTACTTGGAGGCTGAGGCATGAGAATTGCTTGAACCTGGGAGGCAGAGGTTGCAGTGAGCCAGGATCGTGCCACTGCACTCCAGCCTGGGCGACAGACAGAGTAAGACTGTCTCAGAACAATAACAACAACAATAACAAAAAGCCAATGAGAATAGTTAGGGTATCTCAAAATTATCTGCATAACAGTTGTTACAGTAAAACACATATTCAAGTTCATCTCTGTATTGTCACATACTGGTTAGTTTTCCAAAATGATTAAATAGAAAAAAAATAATCAATTTAAGTGCAACAGTTGAAGAAAGAGCAAGAGATACTGCCTTGGGGGAAAAAAATCTCCTAATCAGATTTTCATTCACAGTACACAATTGCCTTATCTATAGTATTATGTTTTAGGTCATCAGGACATGAACTGATATCTTTCACAAAATCATAACATCTTTACTGACTCACTTTTCATTGTCTAGAAATAGAGCTGTTCTATTTATTTATTTATTTGAGATGGAGTCTCGCTCTGCTGCCCAGGCTGGAGTGCAGTGGCGTGGTCTCGGCTCACTGAAACCTCCGCCTCCCGGGTTCAAGTGATTCTCCTGCCTCAGCCTCTTGTGTAGCTGGGATTACAGGCCCCTGCCACCATGGCCGGCTTTTTTTTTTTTTTTTTTTTTGAGACAGAGTCTCACTCTGTCGCCCAGACTGGAGTGCAGTGGCGCAATCTCAGCTCACTGCAACCTCCTCCTCCTGGGTTCAAGCAATTCTCCTACCTCAGCCTCCCGAGTAGCTGGGACTACAGGCACACACTGCCATGCCTGGCTAATTTTTTGTGTTTTAGTAGAGACAGGGTTTCACCATGTTGCCCAGGCTGGTCTCGAACTCCTGAGCTCAGGCAATCCGCCCGCCTCGGCCTCCCAAAGTGCTAGGATTACTGGCGTGAACCACCGCGCCCAGCGTAGAGCCATTCTAATAATCCACAGATGCCTAATATATTTCCTCAAATTAGGCCAGGCACAGTGGCTCATGCCTGTAATCCTAGCTCTTTCACAGGTCCAAGACAGGAAGATCGCTTAAGCCCAGGTGATGGAGGCTGCAGTGAGCTATGATCATGCCACTGCGCTGCAGCCTGGGCAACAGGGAGACTCCATTTCTTAAAAAAAAAAAAAAAAAAAAAGAGAGAGAAAGAAGGCAAATTGATCCATCATATCTCATATAGACTTACAAAGAAAGAAGAAAATATTATTTTTGTATCAGATAAAGCAAACAAGAACATCTGCTGCATATGAAACAGCTATACTATATCGTCAAGATCATAAACCTTAAAGGATGTAAATAGATTCCAATAAATAGAATACATACTTATTTAAATATTTTTAAAATCATTAATTTTCTACCCCAACCCTAAGGAATGTTAATGCTCCTTTCTCCACACTCCTCAGTTGTTTCTCCTGGGCTGAACTGTCACACCTACATAGGATTCTGTCTTCTTCCCTGATCTCTCCTGATATTGTTCCTCATTTCTAAAAGCCTACTGGTAATCTTTACTTAAATGTACTCCTGTCACCTCAAATTCAACATTTCCAAAATTGAAGTACTTCCCAAACCATGTCTCTTTTGAGTCTTTCGTATTTCTATCAATTGTATCAATCACTGAACCTCAGAGACCTTTGACTCCTTCTATAGTCTTTCTATAGTCTTCTACACTCTTTCATGTCTTTTTTTTTTTAGACAAGGTGTTGCTCTGTTGCCCAGGCTGGACTGCAATAGTGTGATCTCGGCTCACTGCAACCTCCTCCTCTTGGGTTCAAGCAATTCTTCTGCCTCAGCCTCCCGAATAGCTGGGATTACAGGCATGCACTACCATCCCCGGCTAATTTTTGTATTTTTAGTAGAGATGGGGGTTTCACTACATTGGCCAGGCTGGTCTCGAACTCCTGACCTCAGGTGATCTGCCTGCCTCAGCCTCCCAAAGTTCTGAGATTACAGGCGTGAGCCACAGCGCCCTTTTTTTTTTTCTTTTGAGATGGAGTCTCACTCTGACGCCCAGGCTAGAGTGCAGTGGCGTGATCTCGGCTCACTGCAACCTCCACCTTCTGGGTTTGAGCGATTGTCGTGCCTCAGCCTCCTAAGTAGCTGGGATTACAGGGGCGCGACACTATGCCTGGCTAATTTTTTTTTTTTTTTTCCTTTTCTTTTGAGACAGAGTCTTGCTCTGTCGCCCAGGCTGGAGTGCAGTGGCGCTGTCTTGGCTCACTGCAAGCTCCGCCTCCCGGGTTCACGCCATTCTCCTGCCTCAGCCTCCGCAGTAGCTGGGACCACAAGCACCCGCCACCTCGCCCGGCTAATTTTTTGTATTTTTTAGTAAAGACGGGGTTTCACCGCGTTAGCCAGGATGGTCTCGATCTCCTGACCTCGTGATCCACCCGCCTCAGCCTCCCAAAGCGCTGGGAGCGTGAGCCACCGCACCCGGCCTTAATTTTTTTTGTTTAATTTTTAGTAGAGACGGGGTTTCACTATGTTGTCCAGGACGGTCTTGAACCCCTGACCTCAGGTGATCCACCCGCCTCGGCCTCTCAAAGTGCTGGGATTACAAGCGTGAGCCACCGCACCCGGCCTCATGTCTTTTTTTTTTGTTTTTTACAATACAGCATGTTCTAACTTTACTTTTCATTCACATTGCTGCATTTTAGCAAGGGTCCTCAGACATTTTCCAAAATTCCTTAATTGAACTCCTAACAGACCTATTTTTACTCTTAGTCCTCCAATCTATTCTGCACAATAGTGGTAGATTAAAATTTACATTTCTTTACACTGAATTCAAAACCTTCACGACTTTCCACCTCTTACAAAATCAAGTTTTGACTCCTTAGCCTAAAAGACTTTAAAATCTACCTCCAATTTACTGTTCTAATATACCTCTTTCCAATTCTGCTCAGAAAACTCTACAGGCACATGTCTTTGCTCTTTGTCCTTTCCACTTTGCCCTTTATCCTTTGTCCTTCTTTAGTCTCTTTTGAGTTTATGTTGTTCCTCTAACCTAGAACACAACAGTTTCTCCCTCTTATCTAAACCCTCCACATCCTTCAAAGCCAAATTCATGTCCCATTTCCTCAAAAAAACTTTCCCTACCAGGGAAAGGACTTTGTGTTGATTCCTTGGCATTTATTATGAGCCACTTTTTATTCAGTATGATTTTCATATACTCTCCTTTCTGATTAAATTATAGAAGTCTTTAAGGGCAGGAACTATCTTTTACCTCCTTATAGTCTCAGTACCTAGCACCATGCCTTGCACATAGCAGAAATTTTTATTAAGTATTATACTTGAATATTTCTGAATAATTATTAAACAATATTGGTGTAGCTTTTGTTACATACCCCAAAACACATATATCTTGTATCACTATAAAATTACAAAATGTAGATAAGATAGAGTATTACACTTGTTTCTCCATAATATGAATCAGTACGTGTGAACTAAAATATTTTATGCAATTTTTTATTCCATAACAATTTTTTCTTTTGACTTAGATGATTAAGGCAAAAGAAGCAAACCTTTAGAAACTTTATTTCTCTCATCGCAATTTTGTTGACAGATTGTTCTGGTCTCTCATAAAATATCTTAATGGCCACTATCTGCCCAGTATTCTTATGTTTACATTTCATGACTGTTCCGTAACTTCCCTCTCCCACTTTTCCAAGGGTTTCATACATCTCCATTTTCAAGCTGGGCTTTTACTACTTTATAGAAATAAAGAAAGAAAATGGAAAATGTTAAACGTTTATACTTTTATTTATTAAAACTAGATAATGCATATCCACAATAAACCCACAGTCTCAAATATAGAGACATTAAAAAAAAAAAAGGAATCTTTTCCACTGAGCCTTTTTGTCTTTGGGAACTAAAGACAGCTTGAGTAAGGTGTCCTTCTGAGGCTCCACCTCTCACCAGAACTTAGGGGTACTCCTGCTGTCTCGGTCATGCCCATCAACACTGAGACTACCACACTATAAGTCACCATCCATCAAGCATGGGGTCCCTACACTTCCTGTCATGTTCCTGTCAAATAATAGGTTCCCGCACTACTGCAGTCGCCCACTTATCAGGCCCAAGGTCCTAAAAAAAGCCTGGTCTCGCCCGCAACTCAAACCACACGTCTTAGGATGCCGGACCGGCGTCACGCCCCACGTCCCGCTGTTGACTTTATCCAAACAGCCGCCGCCGCCTCAGCCCATTCTGTGGTCCCGCTGGTCTGGCTCTGCGTAGTTCCAGTGGAGCCACCGAACACTGATACTACTTTGTTGCTCAGCCCCGCAAGGAACCGGCCACTTGCCACCATGGAAACGCCGGCGGAGTTGCTGCGTTCTAGACTCGTGCGCAAGACCGGAACATGGGCAGGGTCCCGACCCGGAAGGGGAAGTGGGAAGAAACGGAAACCTACTCTGGGTAGGCGCAAGGTGGAAGAGTGCTGTGCTTGGGAATGGGGGAGGGGAGTACAGATTGCTGTCGCAGCTGAGCCTCCTCACAAGGTTGCTTTTGAATGTGGATAGGAAGGATCTGCATCTTTTTTTTTTTTTTTTTTTTTTTTGAGATAGTCTAGCTCTGTCGCCCAGGCTGGACTGCAGTGTCGCTGATCTTGGCTCACTGCAACCTCCTCCTTCCAGGTTTAAGTGATTTTCCTGCCTCAGCCTCCCGAGTAGCTGGGATTACAGGCGTGTGCCACCACGCCCGGATAATTTTGTATTTTTAGTAGAGACGGGGTTTCTACCATGTTGGCCAGGCTGGTCTCGAACTCCCAACATCAGGTGATCCGCCTGCCTCGGCCTCCCAAAGTGCTGGGATTACAGGCGTAAGCCACCGCCCCCGGTCAAGATGGTTCTTAAATCAAAAACTTTTCTTGAACACTTGCCATATGCCTTTTAATTTTTTCCAACTGCTAGTAATCTTTTTTAAAGAAAAAAAACCTCCCTCACCACATGTCAAACTCTAGGAAAGCAAGTAATTCGAAGAGTTCCACCATATACGAAATGATGTACAAGAGCACGGAAATAAAGAGGCCAGTGTCTAACTGCTTAAGTAGACATAGAGTTCAACTGGAATGACAGTCCCTAATGAATAACCACCATATCACTAGACCAAGTGCCTAGGGAGTGCTTTCTTTATTGAATAGGGCTTTCTTTGCTTTCTTCTATAAAATGAGTTAAATGTAAAAAAGCGAAATCTCGCTATGCTTCCGCTAAATAAGAGGAAAGGCATTATTTAATAAATCTAGTCTGGTGGGTCCCACCCAGCATGCATATTTAAATCACACCTGGAGAGCTTTTAGAAAGCATCCCAACCCCCACCTCCACACCCCTGCCCCAATGCCAGAGCACCTGATTTAATTGGGATAGCGTAAATAAATTAGTATTTTTGAAGCTTCTCAAGTTTTTTCTATGCTGCTAGGGTTTATATTGAGAGAAAGGAGAAGTGGTCATCGTTTTCATTGATCACCTAAAATATTCAGAATTGTCTTTTCTTTGAAGGTTATTCAGACGGGCGCAGTGGCTAACGCCTGTAATCCCAGCACTTTGGGAGGCCCAGGCGGGCGGATCACGAGGTCAGGAGATCGAGACCATCCTGGCTAACACGGTGAAACCCCATTTCTACTAAAAAATAGAAAAAATTAGCTGGGCGTGGTGGCGGGCGCCTGTAGTCCCAGCTACTCGGGAGGCGGAGGCAGGAGAATGGCGTGAATCCGGGAGGCGGAGCTTGCAGTGAGCGGAGATCGCACCACTACATTCCAGCCTGGGTGGCAGAGCGAGACTCCATCTCAAAAAAAAAAAAAAAAAAAAAAAGAAAGTTATTCAACCACAATATAAAATACCTTCTATAAATAAGAATGTCATAGTAAATCTTATAGTGGGCTCAAACTTGGTGTAAGCATATTATTTGTTGTGGGCTAAATATTTGCAAGGAGGCTGCGCACAGTGGCTCACACCTGTAATCCCAGGGAGGCCAAGGTGGGCAGATCACTTGAGCCCAGGAGTTCCAGACCAGCCTGGGCAAGAGGGCAAAACTCCATCTCTACAAAAAATTAGCCGGGCATGGTGGTGCACACCTGTGGTCCCAGCTACTTGGGCGTCTGAAGGAGAATTACTGGAGCCCAGAAGGTCAAGGCTGCAGTGAGCCCTGTTCACACCACTGCACTCCAACCTGGGTGACAGAGCAAAACTCTGTCTCAAAAAATAAAAAAATTTGCCCAGGACAAAGATGAACCAAACTGAGTCCCTGCCCTCAATGAACTCATAATCCAGAGCTACAGAACTGATAACAGCATACAGTTAATAGCTTTAAAATTATTCCTTCTACAAGTAGGTTATGGCAGGCCTGGTTAACAAGGACAGCCAGTGATTCTTGCTAATACACAGCTGTAAGACTTTATGATGCACATTCACTGAATCAGTTAAAAGTGTTATATCATTTTGGAAAATAATAAACTGTTTCCAAAACAATTATAAATCCCTGTAGTCTCTGAATTCCTTACCTCTATTGCCTCCAGTTCCCATCTTCAGGACTTCGTTGGTGGGTCAGGAGGACTCTGAGCACTTTTGTATCCATTCGTCAGCTCAACAGGGAAAGAGGGGGTAGGAGGAGGACCTCAGCATTGCCCTAATCTTGCCCATAGTTCCATGGAACCAGAAAGGGTTAACTTTTCCCACTTTCCTTGTACCTCCCTTTCTTCAAACCCTGAATTCTGTCTCTGCTTTCAGTGACTGCCTTGACTGATAAATTACAAGGGTTTTTTTGGTTGTTGCGGGATTTTTTTGAGGCAGGGTCTCAGTGGCATGATGATGGCTCACTGCAGCTTCAACTTCCTCGTCTCAAGCGATTCTTCTGCCTCAGCCTCCTGAGTTGCTGGGACTATTGGTGTGCGCCACCATGCCTGGCTAATTTTACTTTTTGTAGAGACAGGATCTCCTATGTTGCCCAGGCTGGTCTTCAACTCCTGGCCTCCCAAAGTATTAGGATTACAGGCATGAGCTAATGCCCCAGCTCATGAGGGATATTTTTAAGATATAGTTTCTCTTTACCATTTTTCTCCATGTAACCCTACCTGTGTGTCTTCCTCCTTTGCTATTGGAAGGGTTAGGACTGCAATGGCAGAAAGGCAAAAAAATTAAGAATATTCAGCTTTTAACTTAAAAAACACATTGCGAATGTCTAACAGGACCTATCAAGAGTTAGGCCTGGCTAACCTGATCACCAAGGCAGTCACTGGAAGCAGAGAGGGAATTCAGGGTTTGAAGAAAGAGGTACAAGGAAAGTCAGAAAAGTTAACTCTGCTTCCATGGAATCAGGGGCAAGGCTGAGGCAATGTTAAGGTCCTCATTCCACCCTCCCTTTACCTGTTGAACTGAACAGTTCCCCAAATGGATACAAAAGTACTCAGAGTCCTTAGTATAACAAAGTCCTGAAGGTAGGAATTGGAAGCAATAGAGGGAAGGACGGTGACCACAGAAAATATTCAAGGTCTTTGGGAGGTCAACACCTCTGAACCCCCTGGTGGTGGGGGGCCCTTCTGGCCCATTTGCACCTTTCTTGCTAGTGTAGAAAACCTGAAGTTATCTCAGGCTAGATATATAACCCTCACTCATGTCTGCCGGAGCTCTCCCCCAGAATATGAATCATATTTGTAGGTTTCTTTGACAACCAACCACTCATTGATATGCTTGGAAGACTGCACCCCCACATTCCTTAAAAATACAATGGTACTCCCCCACCATAGGCAAGTCCCCGGACTCTGACACATATCTTCAATTGAAAGCAGACCCAGAAAGGAAAAACTGCATAATACACCATCCTTTAATATTTGCCCAGAATTTCCAATACTAGAAACCCCACTGCAAAGCAGAAAGACTATCTGGTAGCTTCAAGGAACCATTTCAGGAGATTGTTGTGTGGGCCTCAGTATTCAAGGCTGCCTTAGAAGATCGTGCGATCCTCTCACTCTTCTTGCCCCAAGTACCAGAGTTAATAAGCCACTGAACCAACCAGAGGGGAATTATTTTTGGTCCCGGTTTAAAGAAAACAAAACAAGCTGTTGATTCTGCCATGACCTCTTGGGTAATGTTGTCTCTATACCTGTGATAAACAGAAAACAACTAATAAAGGTTTATCCCGCCCTCACCCTCTTAAACCCGCTTCACAGACCTGGCTGAAACTCACATCCAGGCGAGGCGCTCACGTGACCCGTTCTAAACGCGTCATAGGGACACGTGGTTCTAGATACTTCTCCCCCTCCCACTCAGGGGTGGATTGTTGACAAGGCCGCGGGCAGTCACGTGATCTTACATCATCCCACCTCCTTTCCCTGAAATCTCTGGCCCGGATGCGTCCCTCTTTCTCCACCCCGCCGAGCCTAAACTAGTGACGGGGAGGGAGACGGGATAGTGTTTCTGTTTCGTGGTCTTTGAATCCACAACCTCTAGTCTGAACACAGAGAACACAAATTTGTCTATTACTTCAGGAAGCCCAGGGGGAACCGCGCCCCGCTGAAGGGCTCGGGGAAGGCGCGCTCCCGCGTCCCGCCCCCTCCTCCCCCAGCACTCACACTGTGGTAGCGGCGGAGGGCGGAGGGATCCGGAGGCGGCGGAGGGAGACGTCATTGCAGGGTTGTTTGTCAGTCTCGGCGGCGGCGGCGGCGGCGGCGGCGGCGGCGATCCACAGTGATTCGGCCGCCGCGCCGGGGGGTGGGGGGGCTGCGCGGGACTTTTTTTTTTTCAGACTGACCGCGGGGCAGCTGCGGAGCATGTCGACCCCGGCCCGGAGGAGGCTCATGCGGGATTTCAAGCGGTAAGGGCCTTCACCTTCGCCTAGATGACGGCCCCTCAAAGCTGCGGGGCTGCAGGGCGTGGATCCCAGACACCTTCCCCTTTGTGACCCTCAGAGGGCCGGCTGTGGGCCCAGCGGGACTGGCGGAAGCCGGGTCCTAGCCTCGGCCCTACTCCCATAAGCTTTGCCGCTCGTTCTGGCGCCCGAAGAAATTTTGATACTGCTTCCCCTCCCCACAAAAAGTAAAACGGTGTCGATCGACTGGTCTAGGGTTCCCTGCTGCCCATTTCGGCCAGCTGCCCGGCGTCTCGCCCAGGCGATCAGACATTATCCGCCCGCCCCTGCACCCTGCGGCGCCCCCTTCTTGTCCCCTCAAAGTGAGCTCCTGCGGGAGCTTGTTCCTCTCCGGCAGCACCAGTCAGCTTTGTTTCACGGCCCCGCCGTCTTCTCCGAGGAGCCGTGTTGGGGCGAACCCCTCTCCCGACTCCTGCCAATCCTTTCCATTTGTGCCCTGAGGGTGGGGTCCAGTGCGTGAGGCCCGGAGGTTAACCCATCCCCCGAAACCCGACTCTGTCCCCGCCCGCCTGAAAGGACCTTGGGAACTGACTTAGAGATCTGGGACCTTAGAGCTGGCCACCCCGGCTGCCAGTGCTTTCTGGAACTCAGCTCTGGCTGGTGAAGAAAGCCCCTATCTATAGCCTCCCGAGTCTGGAAAAATGCCTTCCCTTAGACTGGCGCTAATCTGATACTCCCTGGGCCTCCTTTGGTAAATAAAATAGGGTTTTGTTAGGAGGTATTGGGGTTGTGAGATAGAAAATGATTATTCCGTTGTTTACCTTTTATTGGATACTTAGAGACATAGAAAAAATAAGTGAGAAAACATCATTTTGATACTCTGCACATTTTTCTTAACATTTTTTCTGGGGACACCTGCCCTAATTGAACAAAATATCTAGCATAAAAACTTAGATTTGTCGCTCAGGAAGTCACCTCTCAGCTATTATAAAGCCTATGTGAGGCACTTGGATTTGGCCAACTTATTTAATTCATTCGTAGCTTCTCTTAGCCATTTAAAGGTAGGCGTCAAGCAGTGCAGTTCTTCTAAGGCTTCTGTTCGTGGTGGCCTAATTTGCTTGAGATTGACTAAAAACCATTTTTTTAATGTGGACTAGTTGCAAATTATGATGCCCCATGAAAAACAACTGCATATGTATTTGTGTGTGTATATAATGTAGCATTTTTAATTGAGGTTACAGTCTCTGAAAGGAGATGCCCTTTTTGGTGCAAAAGTCATCTTTCTAAAGCTTGAAATCAGCGTATTTGATTAGCACTCATGACAAATTCAGATAGTAAACTAGTTCATGTCATTGTCGCCCTGGCTCCTTACTGTAATGCTCTGCTTAATTCTGAGTTGAATGCATGGCACCTTTTGTAGTTTCCAGAGATCTGCAGGTTACAAGAATTTGACTATGACGAATGTTGGAAAGCCTTGTGTTGAGTCTCCTGATCTGAGAGGTGGATTTGGTGTTAGTGCAGAGCCTTTAAAATAGGGACTGGCAGAAAACCTACTAATTACTTTTTAAAGCCATTGCTGTTTGAAGCAAAAGGAATAGAGTAAATCTGCTGCCTAATACTAGTTTCCTAGTTAAATTTAATGTGTTTTCAGTCATTTTGTGTTTACACTGAGGTTTGCTTTTTTTTTTTTTCTTGTAGCCATTTTGCAGAAGTAGCCTGGTTAGGATACACAGTCTTTGCATGTTTAGAGCAGCAAAATCAATGGTTCTGTAAAAATATTACTTGCTTTTGAGGTTTTAAACTTTTTTTGGTATAAGAGGACAGTCTATATACATCAATTCTTTTTTTTTAAATATATTTTAATTATACTTTAAGTTCTAGGGTACATGTGCACAACGTGCAGGTTTGTTACATATGTATACACATGTGCCATGTTGGTGTGCTGCACCCATTAACTCGTCACTTGCATTAGGTATATCTCCTAATGGTATCCCTCCTTTCTCCTCCCGCCCCACAACAGGCCCCTGTGTGTGATGTTCCCTTTCCTGTGTCCAAGTGTTCTCATTGTTCAATTCCCACCTATGAGTGAGAACACGTGGTGTTTGGTTTTTTGTCCTTGCGGTAGTTTGCTGAGAATGATGGTTTCCAGCTTCATCCATGTCCCTACAAAGGACATGAACTCATCCTTTTTTATGGCTGCATAGTATTCCATGGTGTATATGTGCCACATTTTCTTAGGCTAGTCTATCATTGTTGGACATTTGGGTTGGTTCCAAGTCTTTGCTATTGTGAGTAGTGCCGCAATAAACATACGTGTGCATGTGTCTTTATAGCAGCATGATTTATATTCCTTTGGGTATATACCCAGTAATGGGATGGCTGGGTCAAATGGTATTTCTAGTTCTAGATCCCTGAGGAATCGCCATACTGTCTTCCACAATGGTTGAACTAGTTTACAGTCCCACCAACAGTGTAAAAGTGTTCCTATGCATCAATTCTTGAAGAGATAATATTGAAAGAGGGATGATTCTCAAGCCCTTTCAATTTTTAGATAATTTGGAGAGGTATTTAATAAGTATATATACCTGGTTAATATATTTAAGTCATATGGTTCATTTTAGTTCACAATAACAAGGAAATGGAGTTAGTCTGTGTCTCAAAATAGATGGTATAGTGTCTGTAGGTGTTTACGTGGCCTCCTTAGTGGCCTTAATGTTCAACTTTTTAAATTACCACGCTGGATTTCCAGGTTACAAGAGGACCCACCTGTGGGTGTCAGTGGCGCACCATCTGAAAACAACATCATGCAGTGGAATGCAGTTATATTTGGGTGAGTTGAAAGGTTTAACAAATAATAGGTGTGTGCTGAATCTTTAAGAAAAGTAAACATATAACAACTGTCTAGGAAAAGAAACTGAGGTGGAATGAGAGATCTTAAGGACTAAAACTGCAAGATAAATTAGAAAAAAAAAATATTTCAATTAGAGTTTTGGCCCAGCACAGTAGTAGCTCAACGCCTGGGAGGATCGCTGGAGCCCAGGAGTTCACCAGCCTGGGCGATATAGTGAGACAGTGAGACTCTGTCCCCTCCCCACCAAAAAAAGTTTTGGCCCAGTCTGGGCAACATAGTGAGCCCTTGTCTCTACAAAAAGTATAAAACTAGCTGAGCATGGTGGTGCATACCTGTGGTCCCAGCTACTTGGAAGGCTGAGGCAGGAGGATCACTTGAGCCCAGAAGTTTGAGGCTGCAGTGTGCCATGATTGTGCCACTGCCCTCCAACATGGGCAGCCAGCAGAGCCAAGATCCTGTATCAAAAAAAAAAAGGAAAAAGTTTCAGCAGTTATATAAAGTTTATTTGCTCTTTGATGTTATTACATATGGTTTTATAATCTCTTGGGGTTTTACTTTTAAAATACTATTCAAAACTAAATGGAATGGAATAATAAAGGAGAAACAATAAGTTACTTTATATAAAACATATCACGCAAATGCTCTCATTCTGTTGGAGCTGTTAAAAGGTTTGGAACCAAAAATATTAAGAACTTCCACTGTGGCAAGAATTTAAGCGAAAATGATTCACAGCCCAGTGTGAAATAACAGAATGCAGCCATTTGAGAAGCAGTTGTAAATTTTACCTACTATGTATATTGCGTATATGCTTTTTAATTTAAAATTTCCTTATGCTTTTTCTTTGGTTTTTCTAGACTTGATCTATTTTTTCTTTCATTCCTTTGAAACTAGAGTTTTGCATTAAAAAGTAAAAGGAGTATGTTGATAAACAGAATTCTGACACTACAGAATCAGCTACAAGAGTCTACATTTAAAGACTAGTGGAAAATGAGTGAAGTTCATCCTCATAAAGTACTTCTGAATTTGAGTTGAATACATGGCACCTTCAGGATATTATCCTGCTGCTTTGAGATCCTGAATATGCCTTGCAAGTAATAATTAAACTTTATGCTCCATCCTGGCTAACACGGTGAAACCCCGTCTCTACTGAAAATACAAAAAAAAATTAGCCGGGCGAGGTGGCGGGCGCCTGTAGTCCCAGCTACTCGGGAGGCTGAGGCAGGAGAATGGCGTGAACCCCAGGGGGCGGAGGCTGCAGTGAGCCGAGATTGCGCCACTGCACTCCAGCCTGGGCGACAGCGAGACTCCGTCTCAAAAAAAAAAAAAAAAAAAAAAAAAAAAACTTTATGCTGCTGCTTAGGAAAGATGAAATTGGGATGTGGGGACAAGGATCTGAGCAAACAAATCTGGCTTTTTGGTGACAACTATGCTTAGCCTATTTGAACAAGAGTTATGGCTCCATTGGAAAGCAGGACACTTGGGTTTAGCATCATAACTAGAGTATTGCTTTACATCATATTGCTGTAAAATGAAAAGATGTCTTTTCCTCTTAAGAATATACATATGGGCCAGGTGCGGTGGCTCACGCCTCTAAATCCCAGCACTTTGGGAGGCTGCGATGAGTGGATCACCTGAGGTCAGGAGTTCGAAACCAGCCTGGCCAATATGGTGAAACCCCGTTTCTACTAAAAATACAAAAATTAGCCAGGCATCTGTAATCCCACCTACTCGGGAGGTTGAGGTAGGAGAATCACTTGAATCCAGGAGAAGGAGGTTGCAGTGAGCTGAGATCATGCCATTGCACTCCAGCCTGGGGGACAAGAGCAAAACTCCGTCTCAAAAAAAAAAAAAAAAAAAAAAAAAAATATATATATATATATACACATATGTACAAAATGACTGGTCAGTATTAATGAAAGTTTTTTTGTGCTAAAATTATGGGCAAGTTTTTTTGTTTGGTTTGGTAAAACCACCCTAAAAAGAAAGCTTAGAATGAAAGTTAATACTTTATGCCTGGGTCTATGAAAATCCAGGGCTAAGGTGTTACTAAACTCTATCTTAAAACTCCACAAATCATCAGAATGAGTCCCTCTTTTTCTGTTGAAGTTTATCCTTTCCATTCTTGAAAATCAAGAAAAAGCAGAATGAGAAACTTCTTTTAATCAGAAATCTTCTTGTTTTCAGACCAGAAGGGACACCTTTTGAAGATGGTAAGTCATACTCATTATGTTTTCTATAGTGTTATGAGGTTACTTTTTAGTAGAAAATTGTAACACCAACATATCTACTTGAAGCCATTTTCTATGGTTAATAGGCCAAGTTAAAAGTAAAGCTATGGAAAATTTATACTTCATAAGGGACTTCTTCCCACAGCAGCTTGGTCACCTCCATTGGTAACCAATATTAAAGGTTACTTTAATATTTTCCTGTATAACTGTAAGCCTGGATGGCAGTGTTTATGTTGAGAATAGTTTAAATTTAGGTGGCCTTAAAGATATCTCTGAGGTGAACACCAGAAGAGTAAATCATGCTTTTTTACTTTGTTATCTTTGATATTGACAGGGTGTTGAGCTGAAATTTTTCATAAACATACATAGCTGCCAGTAGTTTCAAGTACTACTAGCATTTAACACCCATAAGTAGTTATCATTTTGCATAATCTTTGGCATCTCAAGTTGGGTATTTTCATCAGGGGCTAGGAAAATGGGAAACTAGTTCTAATACCGAATTTATAATTGAACTTATCAAACTGATTTTAACCAGGAACTTAGACTTTTCCCAATTGTAGTGTTGGATTTTAAGAAATTATTAAACATCTTTGTTATCATTAACAAAATGACTTCAGAATTAATCCATCAAAAATATTTATCCGAGAATACTGACTGCAGCAGTTTGTAAGGACGTAACCTGAATGTCCAGTAGGAGAAATGGTTAAGCAAATTATGATGTATCTGGATTCTGGAATATGTACCTGTTAAAGAATAAGGTAGATTTGGACATACTGTCTTAAGAGGACAAAAAAACTGCACGATAATGTTTGTCGTAGCATCACATTTTTAGCAAATACATATATGCATGTGTGTCTATGTTAAAGGGTTATATATCAAACTGTTACCAGTGATTATCTGTGGGGGGGGTAAGGAGTTGAAGGAGGTACTTAAGGACGTTACCTTTTTTCTCTACATCAAGGGTTCTCAAGTGTGTGATCCATAAACCCCTTGGGGTCTTGGAGACCCTCTCGGGGGACCCATACGATCAAATCTCATCATACTAAGACTGTTGACCTTTGCATTGATGGTACAAAACCAATGGTGGCTATAACTACACCTAAGTAGTTTCGTATCTTAGAACAAATCAAGGCATTAGACAGTGGCACCAAACCATACTAATAGTGATTATATTCTTTGCATTTTAAAAGATGCCAGTTGGCCAGGGGCAGTAGCTCACACCTGTATAGCCAGCACTTTGGGAGGCTTAGGCAGGTGGATCATGGATCACTTGAGCCCAGGAGTTTGAGACCAGCCTGGGGGAGCCCTTCTCTACAAAAAATTAGCCAGGCATGGTGGTACATGCCTTTAGTCCCAGCTACTTGGGAGGATTACCTGAGCCCAAGAGGTCAAGGCTGCAGTGAGCCCTGGTGGAGCCACTGAGCTCCAGCCTGGGTGACAGAGTGAGACCTTGTCTTTAAAAAAGTTACCAATTTTTCTTAATTTCTTAATTTAAAGACATTTTTATTAGTATTAGGAAGCTCTGGACCCTTGAGTATCTATGTGGGTTTTTTTTGTTTGTTTTTTGTTTTTTGTCTCGCTCTCTCACCCAGGCTGGAGTGCAGAGGCGCAATCTTGGCTCACTGAAGCCTCCGCCTCCGAGGTTCAAGTGATTCTCGTGCCTCAGCCTTCCAAGTAGCTGGGATTACAGACATGTGCTACCATGCCCGGCTAATTTTTGTATTTTTAGTAGAGATGGGGTTTCACCATGTTGGCCAGGCTGGGGCCTTAAACTCCTGACCTCAGGTGATCTGCCCACCTTGGCCACCCGAAGTGCTGAGGCATGAGCCACACCCAGCCGAGTATCTGTCTTTTTAATATTCTGTATGATATGAAGTAGAATGTATGAACAAAGCACTTCTGCATGTCATAGTATGATAGTTGTCTGGAAGAAAAGCACTTCTACAGTTGTTTGAGTTGCAATTTGAATGACTTTTTTTCATGGAACATTTTTTACTTGAAAATACAGACAAGCTGTGGTTATTCAGGTTTGAATATATGGCAGACATATTCTCAGAAGTAATGTAATAAGCTCGGTGTGGTGGCGGGCACCTGTAATCCCAGCTACTCGGGAGACTGAGGCAGGAGAATTGCTTGAACCTGGGAGGCAGAGGTTGCAGTGCGCCAAGATCGCACCATTGCACCCTAGCCTGGACAACAGAGCAAGACTCCATCTCAAAAAAAAAAAAAAAAAACAGTGGGGGGATCTAAGTGGGTTGTTAGGTTAAGGATAGCAACTGAAGATATTTGTTGCTGTTGATAAAATAACAGCTTCCTGATACTTACTTTTTGATGAGATTAGTGGGTAGTGTTACCTGTTGTGATTTTTTTGATAGTATATAATGGAATATGGCAACATTTGGAGGATCTGTAAACTCGAGTCACCCAATATTTTGCAGATGTCCCATGAATAATAATACAAAACCATGAATGGGTAAAACACGTATGTGAAGTGAACAGATTTTAATGTAACTGAGTACAAAAAGTTGACTAATAATTTCAGATTCTATATTGCAGCAAACCTTTAAAAGAACTACCATTTCTTCTTTGGTATAATATCAAAACAGAATAGCTACAGTCACCTGAAAAAGCTATTCAAATACTACTTTTTTTGCTGGGTGCAGTGGTTCATGCCTGTAATCCCAGCACTTTGGGAGGCCAAGGTGGGCAGATCACCTGAGGTCAGGAGTTCAAGACCAGCCTGGCCAACATGGTGAAACGTCGTCTCTACTAAAAATACAAAAATGAGCCAGGCGGGATGGCACGTGCCTGTAATCTCAGCTACCCCAGAGGCTGAGGCAGGAGAATTGCTTGAACCCAGGAGACGGAGGCTGCAGTAAGCTGAGATGGTGCCATTGCACTCCAGCCTGGGCAACAGTGAGACTCTGTCTCAACAAAAAAAAAAAAAAAAAAGGAAGAAAGAAAGAAAGTACTCCTTTTTTCAAGTACATATTTGTGTGAGGCCAGATTTTCTTCATGTACTTAAACTAAACGGTATTGTAATAGATGGAGTGCAGAAGCAGATAAGAGAATCCAGCTATCTTCTGTTAAGCCAGTCATTAAAGAGACAGTTGCAAATATGTAAAACATTGCTTACACTTATCACCAACTTGGGGAGAAATATAATTTTAATTTATATTCTGTGTAATGGGTTTGCAGTTTAACCTACCTTTTTTTTTTGGAGACAGAGTCTTGCTCTTGTCACCCAGACTAGAGTGCAATGGCGCGATCTCTGCTCACAGCAACCTCCGCCTCCCAGGTTCAAGCAATTCTCTTGCCTCACCCTCCTGAGTAGCTGAGATTACAGGCACCCCCATACCCAGCTCATTTTTGTACTTTTAGTAGAGGTGGAGTTTGACCACGTTGGCCAGGCTAGTCTCAACTCCTGACCTCAGGTGATCCGCCCACCTTAGCCTCCCAAAGTGCTGGAATTACAGGCGTGAGCCACCCCACCTGGCTACAGTTATTTTTAATGAAGATTTTCTGAGTTAAAGTTTTTTTGTGTGTGTGAGACGGAGTCTTGCTTTGTCACCCATGCCAGAGCATAGCGGCATGATCTGGGCTCACTGCAACCTCCACCTCCTGGGAGGGTCCTTTGCCATGTGGTAGTCAGACCCTCTCAAAATCCTTTAACCAACTCCCATTCTAAGCTATAATAAACTATTTGTAGTTCTTCAAATATGCATTTTAAATCTTGGTAGCTAGGGCCTAGTTGCCTTCCAAAAATATGACAGTTAACACTCCCACCAATAGCAACATGAATGTGCTTGTTCCCCAACCGCTTGCCAATGCTGCGTGTTACCATTCTAACATAAATAGAGTATATTTAGGATGTTTTGTATGCCGAACCAACGTTGACATACTAACTTTTATGTGGTTGTACAAAAACCAGTATGCAGTTGAGAACTGATGAAGAGATTAAAAAGTCGTGCTTGTCTTTACTATAATTATTTTGTTTTCTCTCTAGGTACTTTTAAACTAGTAATAGAATTTTCTGAAGAATATCCAAATAAACCACCAACTGTTAGGTTTTTATCCAAAATGTTTCATCCAAATGGTAAGTAGCATTTTATAGATTTTGCAGATGATAGTGGGGAAAAGAGTTGTTTCCCTCCTTTTAGCTCTTTCACCTTACTTTTTACTGTTAGGGCTCACTTGTAGGTGTTGCTTCCATGTCCATGTGAGCCACGTATTTTGTTGTGGATTTTTTTTTTTTTTTTTTTTTTTTTTTTTGAGACGGAGTCTCGCTCTGTCGCCCAGGCTGGAGTGCAGTGGCGCGATCTCGGCTCACTGCAAGCTCCGCCTCCCGGGTTCACGCCATTCTCCTGCCTCAGCCTTGTGAGTAGCTGGGACTACAGGCGTCCACCACCACGCCTGGCTAATTTTTTATATTTTTAGTAGAGACGGGGTTTCACCATGTTAGCCAGGATGGTCTCGATCTCCTGACCTTGTGATCTGCCCACCTTGGCCTCCCAAAGTGCTGGGTTTGTTGTGGATTTTTGGTTTGTTTCTTATTTCTTCAGAGACAAAGTTATACTCTGTCACCCCTGCTGGAGTGCAGTGGTACAGTCACAGTTCACTGTTACCTCAAACTCCTGGGTTCAAGTAATCCTCCTGCCTCAGACTCCTAACTAGCTGGGACGACAGGTGTGGACCACCATGCCCAGCTAATTTTTTTGTTTGTTTTCTTTTTCTTTTTTGTAGACACAAAGTCTCTGTGTGTTGCCCAGGCTGGTCCTTGAACTCCTAGCCTCAAGCAGTCCTCCCACTTTGACCTCCCAAAGCACTGTGATTACAGGAATGGGCCATTTTTTCCAGCCTTTAGCTATGTTTCTGTAGCTAGACTCTTACAAAGCTTCCAAATTTGAGGTCAAGTTGTTTTAATAACTCCTGAATTAAAAGTAATACATGGTCGGGCATGGTGGCTCATACCTATAAACTCAGCACTTTGGGAGGCCAAGGTGGGCGGATCACCTGAGGTCAGGAGTTTGAGACCAGCCCGGCCAACATGGTGAAACCCCATCACTACTAAAAATACAAAAATTAGTCAGGCATGATGGTGGGCACCTGTAATCTCAGCTACTCAGGAGGCTGAGACAGGAGAATCACTTGAACCTGGGAGACGGAGGTTGCAGTGAGCTGAGCTCACAACACTGCACTTCAGCCTGGGTGACAAACCAAGACTCTGTCTCCAAAAAAACAAAGGTAATATGTAAGCCAGGCACAGTGGTGCACACCTGTAGTCCCAGCTACTCCAGAGGCTAAGGCAGGAGGGTGGCTTGAGGCCAGCCTAGGTAACATAGTAAGATCCTGTCTCTACTAAAAGAAATAGATAAAAGTATTATCTATTTATTTGTGGAATTGTGAAAAATAAGAAAAATCTGTTGGCTAAAATTAAGCTTTTCAAAAATACAATTTTGGCCAGGCGTGGTGGTTCATACCTATAATCCCAGCACCTTGGGAGGCCAAGGTGGGAAGGTTGCTTGAGACCAGGAGTCAGAGACCAGCCTGGGCAACATAGCGAGGTCCCATCCCTATAAAAAACAAAAAAAATATCAAGGCATGGTGGCGCACACCTGTAGTCTCAGCTACTTATGGAGGCTGAGGTGAGAGGATCACTTGAGCCCAGGAGGTCAAGGCTGCAGTGAGCCATGACTGTGCCACTGCACTCTAGCCTGGGCAACAGAGCAAGATTCTATCTCAAAAGTACAATTTTGCATATACAAAGTTGGAGTCAATGACCACACACAGTGGTTCATGCCTATTAATTCCAGCACTTTGGAAGGCTGAGGAGGGTGGATTGCTTGAGCCCAGGAGTTCAAGACCAGCTTAGGCAACATGGTGAAACCCTGTCTCTACAAAAAATACAAAAATTAGCTGGGCACAGTGGTGCGTACCTGTATTCCCAGCTACTAGGGAGGCCGAGGTGGGAGAATTGCTGGAGCCTGGGAGGTTGAGGCTGTAGCAAGCCATGATTGTGCCACCGCTCTCCATCCTGGGTGACAAAGCAAGACCCTATCTCAAAAAAAAAAAAGAAAATTGGGATGTTATATATAAAATAAGGTGTTTTTTTTGGTTTGTTTGTTTTTGTTTTTTTAATATACTGTGAACATTTTCCTTAATAAATATTCTGGGCTGAGTGCAGTGGCTCACGCCTGTAATCCTAGCACTTTGGGAGGCCAAGGCAGGTGGATCATGAGGTCAAGAGATCAAGACCATCCTGGTCAACGTGGTGAAACCTCATCTCTACCAAAAATACAAAAATTAGCTGGGCATGGTGGCGCATGCCTGTGGTCCCAGCTACTCGGGAGGCTGAGGCGGGAGAATTGCTTGAACCCGGGAGGCGGAGGTTTCAGTGAGCCAAGATCGCGCCACTGCACTCCAGCCTGGCAACAGAGCAAGACTCCATCTCAAAAAAATAAATATTCTGATACATCATTTTTAATGGCAAAATGTTCTGTTACATAGATTTATCATATTTTTAACCAGTGTCCAATTGTTGATAGTTTTCAGTTGTTTACAATTTTAAATAGCACTTTGAACATTCTTAAAAATCTTAAAAATTTTTTTGTTGTTGAGAAAAACACTTGCTGTGTCACACAGGCTGGAGTACAGTCGTGTGATCTCGACTCATCGCAACCATTACCTCCCGGGTTCAAGTGATTCTCTTGCCTCAGCCTCCTGAGTAGCTGGGACTGCAGATGTGTGCCACCATACCCAGCTTTTTTTTTTTTTTTTTTTTTTTTTTTGAGACAGAGTCTTGCTCTATCGGCCAGGCTGGAGTGCAGTGGCATGATCTCGGCTCACGGCAACCTCTGCCTGTTGGGTTCAAGTGATTCTCTTGCCTCAGCCTCCCAAAGCTGTATATCCAGCTAATTTTTATATTTTTAGTAGAGACGGGGTTTCACCATGTTGGCCAGGCTGGTTTTGAACTCCTGACCTCAGGTGATCCGCCTGCCTTGGCCTCCCAAATGTTGGGATTACAGGTGTGAGCCACCGTGCCCGGCCTCAAAATAAATCTTTTCAGATACTAATTATTATTTTGATTGAGTTTTTTGTTTGTTTTTTTAATTGCTGCATAACAACTAGACTAAGTTTTTTAAACGTGGGGATTACTGGGTCAGAGGCTTGTGTGTTTTTAAAGCTTTTAATGTCATTTTCCATTTTTTTCCTTCAGTGGAATTGTTCTCATTTTCACTTCATAGAGTAGTTTGTTACTATTCTTCACTAAACGATGGCTAATTCCTTTGTAATAAATTTGGTCTTCCTTGACATCTTGCTGTTTACATCTATTACATTTATATTTCTGTATTATAAATTACCATGTGAAAGACTTCTCCAAATTCTTGAAGCTCCTCTTCAGTCTCACAGCCTTTGCTCATTTAAATGTGGCGTTCCCCATCAGCCAACTCACTTTCAGGAAGAACATTTTCAGAGGTCCTCTTGGTCGTGTCTCTAGTACTGCAGAATACATTATAGAGCTCCCTACCCAGAGGAGAGATGTGTTTCGTTTGTGTCTGGAATCAAGGTGACTTTCCAGTAATAGATACTACCTTTGGCACTTCATTTCTGTGAAGTTGCTTTTTCCTTCTAGCTGCCTTTTTTGCTTTTTTTTTTGTCCAAGACAGGTTTAATTTTATTTTCTGTTTCTCTTTTTGGGGAAGTTCCCAGGTCATTTACCATTTATTCCACTGTAGCTTTATCTTGCTTAGACTTGTTATTGAGTCAAACCAAACCAATTATGATAAGGGGGTCTTTAAATAAAGGTGGGAAAGACTGTAGAATGAGTAAGGGATATAAATATAGGGTTATCACTTAAGCAAATTTTTAAGAAACCACAGTGTATTTGGTTTTCACATCTCTTCATATTTATAGCATGGTTTCCCTTTTATTCTGCTGAGTACTTTTTTATAATTTAACTTTCTGGTTTATTTTTTTAAAAACATTTATTGAAATATAATTTACACACCAAGCTGTTGACCCACTTAAATTGTACAACTCAAATGGTTTTTAGCATAATCATAACCATCACCATGACCACTTTAAAAACAACAAAAAGCCCCATAACTATTATCTTAGCAGTCAACTCTGTTTGTCTTAACCCTCCCCGCTTCAGTCCTAGGTAAGTGTTACCCCTAACGTGTTTTCCCTCTAGATTTGACTATTCTGGATATTTCATATAAATGGAATCTTATACTATGTGGTCCTTTGTGACTGACTTCTGTCACCCAGCATAAAGTTTTCAAGGCTCATCTATGTTGTGATATAATAGTATCTGTGATTCATTTTTTATTGTTGAATAATATTCCACTGTATGGATATTCTGTATTTTGTTCATTAGTTGATAAGATATTTGAGTTCTGATTTACTTTTGGATTCTCAGAAATAGTTACTCAGAACTTTAAAATTGTTTTACACTTTTATGGGTTTTACAGAGTTACTAATTTTTGCTTTGGGCAGCTAAGTTTGATGTTTCTGTGGGATGGACAGTAAGTTGGCTTTGAAGCTGAGAGATAGATCTAGGCTAAGGCCAATGATTGGGAATACTGAGCACATGGATGGTAACTGAGGCCACAGGAGTCAATAGGATTGCCCAGTGTGTGTGTAAAGGGTAAGAAGGAAAAGGGCTTAGGATAGAGTCTGGAAGAATCACAGTGTTTAAGTGTGATTTGCTCCCCACTCTCTGTTATGGTTTGCTCCATGAAATGGTATCTGTAACATTTAAATGAATTTACTCTTTGTTTTACATAGCAGTTCACTTCTAGAAATTTTTTCTACAGATAGTCTCACAATTGGGCAAATACTTAACGTTCATTGCTTGTATTTTCACAGAATCAGTCTAAAAAGGGAAGAACCCTCCCAGATGTTCAGGACTTTTGATACCTGTTAGTCACTTGATTTTTTTTTTTAATGAAAGGAATATGTATACTCATTGCACAAATAAATCATAAACACAAGGAAGGATAAAGAAAATAAGATAGGCCAGGCACGGTGGCCCACGCCTGTAGTCCCAGCACTTTGGGAGGCTGAGGCAGGTGGATCACGAGGTCAGGACTTCGAGACTAGCCTGGCCAGCATAGTGAAACCCCGTCTTTACTAAAAATATAAAAAATTATCCAAGCATGGTGATGTGTGCCTGTAATCCCACCTACTTGGGAGGCTGAGGCAGGAGAATTGCTTGAACCCAGGAGGCGGAGGTTGCAGTGAGCCGAGATCACGCCACTGCACTCCAGCCTGGGTGACAGAGCGAGACTCCATCTCAAAAAAAAAGAAAAAGAAAAGAGGATCATCTGCTGGGGGCGCTGTGGCTCACACCTGTAATCCCAGCACTTTGGGAGACCGAGGTGGGCAGATCACCTGAGGTCAGGAATTCGAGACTAGCCTGGCCAACATGGTAAAACCCCATCTCTACTAAAAATACAAAAATTAGCTGGGTCGTGGTTGTACATGCCTGTGATCCCAGCTACTCGGGAGGCTGAGGCAGGAGTATTGCTTGAACCCAGGAGGTGGAGGTTGCAGTGAGCCGAGTTCTCACCACTGCACTCCAGCCTGGACAACAGACTGAGAATCCATCTCAAAAAAAGAAAAAAAAAAAGGGCCGGGCACAGTGGCTCATGCTTGTAATCCCAGCACTTTGGGAGGCCGAGGCAGGTGGATCACCTGAGGTCAGGAGTTCGAGACCAGCCTGGCCAACATATGGCAAAACCCCGTCTCTACTAAAAATGCAAAAATTAGCTGGGCGTGGTGGTGGGCACCTGTAATCCCAACTACGTGGGAGGCTGAGGCAGCAGAATCCCTTGAACCTGGGAGGCGGAGCTTGCAGTGAGTTGAGATTGCACCATTGCACTCCATCCTGGGCAACAAGAGCGAAACTCCATCTCAAAAAAAAAAAAGGAAAAGAAAATAAGATCATCCATAACCCTACTATTACAAATATCCACTACTTACATTTTGACATTCGGTCTTAGAAATGTTTTTTGACTACATATACTTTAAATGAATTTATATAAAACTTTTTAATCAAAATAGGAAATTATAAATAATTAAAAACTTATTTTTAAGGTAATAGTCTGTGGATGTCTTACTCTATAAACAGTAGATATGTATCATTTCTGGTGATTGTGTTGCTATTGCTTATATGAATGTATCAGTTGTTTATTTAGCCAGTTCCCTCTTTTATGGACCACAAGGTAGAATTAGTTTTTCACTTTTTTTTTTTTTTTTTTAAGATAGAGTCTCGCTCTGTCGCCCAGGCTGGAGTGCAGTGGCGTGATCTGAGCTCACTGCAACCTCTGCCTCCTGGGTTCAAGCAATTCTTCTGCCTCAGCCTCCTGAGTAGCTGGGACTACACGCATGCACTACCATGCCTGGCTAATTTTTGTATTTTTAGTAGAGACAGGGTTTCACCATGCTGGCCAGGCTGGTCTCGAACTCATGACCTCATGATCCACCCGCCTCGGCCTCCCAAAGTGCTGGGATTATGGGTGTGAGCCACTGCGCCTGGCCTTCTACTCTTATAAGTAGTATTATAGTGAACATCCTGTAAGTAAATCTTTGTGCATGTCCACGTTTATTTCCTTAATTTCTAGGAGTGTAATTGCTATGTCAAAAATAAGCAGTTTTTTAAAAGCTTTAAGAATATTTAGAAATACGGAATTTAAATAGATTGCTAAATGATGTGTGTTGAAGAAATTTAACTCAAAGCCTCCTGATCATAACATGCTGTCTTAGTTCATTTTCTGCTACAACAGAATAGCAGGGACTGATAATTTGTAAATTTGTAAATAATAGTAGTTTGTTTGGCTCATGGTTCTGGAGACTGGGCAGTCCAAGAGCATGGCGCCAGCACCTAAGCAAGGTCCTTGGTGCTGTGACATCCCATGGTGGAAGGCAGAATGACAAGTGAGCACACAAGACATAAGAAAAGGTGCCAAACTCATCCTTTTATCTGGAGTACACTCCTGCCCTGAGCACTCATGACCTAAGCACTTCTTAAAGGTCCCACTTCTCAACAGTGTTACAATGGCAATTAATTTTTTTTTATTTAATTTTTTTACTTTTATTTTTTTGAGACAGGTTCTTACCCTGTCATCCAGGCTGGAGTGCAGTGGTGTGATCTCAGCTCACTGCAACCCCTGCCTCCTGGGTTCAAGCGATTCTCCTGCCTCAGCCTTCCAAGTAGCTGGGATTACAGGCATGTGCCACCATGCCCGGCTAATTTTTATAATTTTAGTAGAGATGGGGTTTCACTGTGTTGGCCCGACTGGTCTCAGACTCCTGACCTCAAGCAATCCTGCCTGCCTCGGCCTCCCAAAGTGTTCAGGACTGGCGTGAGCCACCGTGCCCAGCCTCCAGCAATTACATTTCAACATGAGATTTGGAGGGAACATTCAAACCATAGCAGGTGCAAAATAAGAGACCTTAGTTTTAAGACAGGTTATCCTGTGATACAGAAGAATTTAGTTATTACCTAATATTTAAAACTTCTAAGCCAAGCATTCTGTTTGGTAAAGATTTCTCTTAACTGTTAGATATGGCAGAGTGTGTAACTAATTTTAGTATTGTCTTTGCAGTGTATGCTGATGGTAGCATATGTTTAGATATCCTTCAGAATCGATGGAGTCCAACATATGATGTATCTTCTATCTTAACATCAATTCAGGTAAGTGTGTGTTAGGATGTATTATAATTTGTCAGTATTCTGTAGGATATAGTCAGCTCCTTAGCACACAGGTAACCAATGGCAGAGCTTGGACAAGAATCCATGCTTTTCAGCTAACTTTTCTCTTTCAGTAGTGCCTACTTGGGATCCAGTCTGCAGTCCCTTTCCTGATTGTGTAAGTTACATGTTCTCACAGGTCAAACCTAATTTGTGTCCATGAAGCATAGCCAAGGGTTGTGGAAAAGAAAAAATGGCTTGGAAAAACCATAGGAACCTAAAGAAACTGCCAAGTGTAGATAAGCATTGAGTATGTTACCCCATCCAAGAAATTCTATTTTAAAAAAAGAAAGGAAAACTAATGTAACCATTTGTCGAAGCAGTCTGGCAGAATATTTCAGAATAGATCTTTGAATGAAAATTTAGGAGGGGTGGAGTGAGGGGTGTTTCGGTTTTGTGGATTTGAGAGGAGCAGAAATAATATGTTGGTTTGTGATGTTCTTTTTAAAGTTTTTTCTCTCACACTTCTTTAATTGTTTTTTTTTTTTTTTTTTTTTTTGAGACAGTGTCTTGCTCTGTTGCCCAGACTGGAGTGCAATGGCACAATCTTGGCTCACCGCAACCTCTGCCTCCCGGGTTCAAGTGATTATCCTGCCTCAGCCTCCTGAGTAGCTAGGACTATAGGCACATGCTACCACGCCTGGCTAAGTTTTTGTATTTTTAGTAGAGATGGGGTTTCACAGTGTTAGCCAGGATGGTCTCCATCTGACCTCATGATCCGCCCGTCTGAGCCTCCGAAAGTGTTGGGATTACAGGCGTGAGCTACTGCACCAGGCCAGTTCTGGTCATCTTACAAGCGTTGTTTTTCAACCTTCCTATCTCATTCTCTTCCTGCTAAATGTATATGTTTTGTTGATTAAAGGAAATAAGACTTATCTCCCAAATTTACTGTCAAGACATTTGCAAAGTAACTGCAGTAATAGAGTTTAACCTTGGAAAATGTTGGTTACTGAGAATTATTGATATCTTAACCAAATTAAGCTGTTTATTTCCTTGGTTTAATGAGAACGTCTCAATATGCTTAAGAATATTCTTTTCTGATTTCTTTCAAATTATAGGTATTTTTTTCTTTTCTTTTTTCTTTTTTTTTTTTTTGAGACGGAATTTCACCCTTGTTGCCCAGGCTGGAGTACAGTGGCGCGATCTCAGCTCACTGCAACCTCTGCCTCCCGGGTTCAAGCAATTCTCCTGCCTCAGCCTTCCGAGTAGCGGATTACGGGCATGCGCCACCACACCCGGCTAATTTTGTATTTTTAGAAATTACGGGGTTTTCTCCATGTTGGTCAGGCTGGTCTCGAACTCCCTACCTCAGGTGATCTGCCCGCCTCGGCCTCCCACAGTGCTGGGATTACAGGCGTGAGCCACCACACCCGACCTCTTTTTCTTTTTTAATAGAAACAGGGTCTCCCTATGTTGCCCAGGCTGGGCTTGAACTGCTGGGCTCAAGGGATCCTCCTGCCTTGGCCTCCCAAAGTGTTAGGATTACAGGCACAAGCCACTGTACCCAGCTGAAATTATAGGTCTTAAGGCAATTGAGAACTTTATTTCAGAAGCTTAAGTTCCTTAGCAGCAGGAAACCCCATAGTATTTATCAAATCATTTCTAAAAGTATTTAGACCCAAAATTATATGACATGTTAATCTCTGAAGTAATTTGTTGTTTTGTATAACTTTTCTGTAATATATTCCATATCTGACCCCTGTTGGTATAAAGAACAACTATGCAAATCTGTTTTTTCTTTTCTTTCCTCCTAGTCTCTGCTGGATGAACCGAATCCTAACAGTCCAGCCAATAGCCAGGCAGCACAGCTTTATCAGGAAAACAAACGAGAATATGAGAAAAGAGTTTCGGCCATTGTTGAACAAAGCTGGAATGATTCATAATAGACAACTGGTCTGTTAATCTTTTTCATCATTGTTGTGTATAATTTACCTCTCATTAGAAAGGCTAACAAATTTTAAGTGCCACAGGTTTTAAGGATTCTGCAGAAAAAAAAGAAAAAAGTCCTTCAGTTTAGAACCTACAAAAGCTTGTGTATCTTGATTAATGTACTTTTTATTGCATGGTGTGAACTAAGTTATTGCTGCATAAATTTGTAATATATCCTGTTTGTATTTTTTTCCAAGTGTATAATGTTGGTGTGGAGTTTTCATGACAGAATATACACATTTTGTAAATCTGTACTTTTTTCAAATATTGAATGCCTTATTTTTGAATTCTTTAGATTTTTAAATTGGAGAAAAGCACTTAAAGTTTTTTATATATGAATATTACATGTAAAGCTGTTAAAATACATAACTTCAGTGCAAGAGACTTTGTCACTTATTTCCTTATGTGTGTAGGAGGGGTTAATAAGTCTCTAGCTCTCCATCTATTGATAGTTTCATTTACAATTTCAAAAGAACATTCTTATATTTTATCAAGGAAGTCTTCAAATTTGATTCTAAATAGCGATTATAATCTCCAACTTTATTTTGAATGTACCTCTATTAGTTTCAATTGAGTAATTCTAGACATAACTGGTTTGACTCTGTCCAACTCTGTATTTAGGCCATTTGTTACAGTTTCTTCATGCATTACTTACTGTTAAAACTGTACCTTTTGCGATTTCACAGTTGGCACTTCTGCCATGAGCAGAGAACTGATGCGACTTGTTTTGCTGCTTGGTAGCACTTTAAAAAATTTTTTGATTAATGAAGAAAGTAAAACCATAAACATTTGCCAAAAATTCATGCCCCAGTATTAGCAATGAATTAGTTGCATTGGTTTGAGAAAGGCACATATTGGAGGGAAATCTTGGTGTAACTTAAATATTTGAAAATTACCTTTAATGCAATGCATATCTGTTTATTCTGGGAAATGTTTTAATGCCAGGGCCTGCTGAGTTGCTTCTTCTTGTGGAGATTTTTTTTTTAATCTCCTGAGTTGTATAAAAGTTGTACTGCATCTTAGTTTACTGGATAAATTTAAAACACAGTATTGTAGAAAGCTAATACAAAACTATCCTATGCCTTCAAATAGTATAGAAAATGGAAAATATACAAGTAAATTCTGTTGAACCACCTGTGTAGTCTCTCTAGTAGTTAAAACAGCTATTTTAGTAACCCCAAGAGTTTCTTCTCATATCCATAAAATTGGATTACAGTATGGCAATATCTACAGCTTCTATTCATTATGCAACGTTTAACATTGATTGGATAAATGCTTATAGGCTGGGCCAGGTGGCTCCCACCTGTAGTCCCAGCACTTTGGGAGGCAAAGGCGGGAGGATCACTTGAGGCCAGGACTTTGAGACCAGCCAGGGCAACATAATAAGACTTTTCTCTACTTTAAATTTTTTAAAAAATTAGTTGGGCATAGTGGCACTTGCCTGTAGTCTCAGCTACTTAGGAGGCTGAGGTGGCAGAATAGCTTATGCCTAGGAGGTTGAGGCTGCAGTGAGCTGTGATTATGCCATTGCACTCCAGCCTGGGTGACAGAGCAATACCCTGTCTTTAAAAATAAAAGCTATTACTTGGCAAATTCTGAGGTAAGTGTATGATCTTAGGGAACTTTGATACAAATGGGAATTCACTCACTGGAATCGTGGCTCCCAAAAAGATGCTTTAATTGTGTGGTGCTTTTATAGTTTAGCTCCAAAACAAACTATAGACATTCACTCCAGTAACTCCTAGATTAAATATACAGTAGCTATGAGGGTCTGCCCTCTTATTTCATTAAATGCTATTTGGTTACTATTTCAACATCCATTTTTATCCTTGACCTGTTTTTGCCTTTCCCAGTTTAAAACAGGAAAATTTCAAGTATTGGTAGATAATTATAAAGAAGTTACATGTTACTTTACAGGGAGGTCAGTGAGTTCTAACTCCAAAATTCAACATATGCATAAAACTCATAGCATCCACATTCCTTTTCGAGAAAATCCTTAAGAAGGTTCAATCTATACATAACTCCTCACTTTTTTCTGCAGCCTTGGAACAGATTCCTATTTCTTTGGTTAAGTACCAGATATAAACCTTCGATTTACAAGGTTGAGTCATACAAAAAGTGTTTACTTTAAACTCTAGGTCAGTTTCATAAATGTATGGTAGGGCAAGAAGCTAGAACTAAAATGTTTATGTTGGTACAAAGTTATATTGATGGATTCATGTTAAAAAGTTTAAATGCATGTGTGATACAATTCCCTGTAACAATACCCCAGCACAGAATAATCTGTGAAAGGCACTATTCTAAGCACTTTTAACATATATTATTTCATTTCAAATTCACAAATACGGTGGCTCATGCCTGTAATCCCAGCACTTTGGCAGGCTGAGGTGGGCGGATCACCTGAGTTCAGGAGTTCAAGACCAGCCTGGCCAACATGGTGAAACCCCCCGTCTCTACTAATAATACAAAAATTAGCCAGGCGTGGTGGCAGGTGCCTGTAATCCCAGCTACTCGGGAGGCTGAGGCAGGCGAACCACTTGAACCTGGGAGGCAGAGGTTGCAGTGAGCCGAGACCTCACCACTGCACTCCAGCCTAGGCAATAAGAGTGAGACTCTGGCTCAAAAAAAAAAAAAAAGATGATAATGAAACTAGCCACAGATAGACAGATGAAGTGACTTGCTCAAGATCAACCAGCCAGTAAGTCATAGAACTGGGATTTGAACCCTATGTGGTCTTACCCAGAAATGTGCTATCTTTTAAGAGGTTGAGATTGGTTTTAGAAATTCTGCAGAACTTCAACATCCAAATTTGTGGAAATACTTTTAACTGATTTAGTTTTATACAGACTTGTGTCTACTCCAATGAAAAGGTTTCCTTTTTTTTCCGAGACAAGGTCTTGCTCTGTTTCCCAGGCTGGAGTCCAGTGGCTCCAGGCGGCTCACTGCAGTCTCAACCTCCCAGGCTTAAGCGGTCCTACCACCTCAACCTCCTGAGTAGCTGAGACTACAGATGCATGCCACCATGCCTGGCTAATTTTTTTACTTTTGTAGAGACAATGTCTCACTATGTTGGCCAGGCTGGTCTCAAAGTCCTGAGCTCAACTGATCATCCTGCCTCGGCCTCCCAAAGCACTGGGATTACAGGCATGAGCCACTGCACTCAGCTGAAAGGGTTTTCTTGACTACCATTTTCCACTGACTTTAGGAACATTTTCTGGTTTCTATATAAAGGACTGACTTATCAATAAGCCACATTTTTCCCCTTCCTGGAAATATCCTTGAGTCTGTAGGATTTCTCTCCTCCACCCACCCCCCACACCAAGTTTCATTAATATGAATAACTTTCCATGTTTCTTGTGTTCACAGAATGGCCTGGGAATTTTTAGTTGAGCCAAAAAGATGAATGAGCTGTGCCCATTACAAACCTTGTTGGTTATCTGACTGCTCCACAGCTCTAAATTCACACTCATGTAGGTGGAAGATAGCGGAGAAGTAAGTTATTAAAGGTGTGGTATTATTAACAGTTTGTTTAATGCTCATTAAACAAAGTTAACTGCCTACTTAGTTTATTCATTTAGTATTCTTTAAGAGATAACCCTGAGGATCATATTACACTTCAGAGTTATGTCTAAGGTGTTTCATATTTCAATTCTCCCAGGTTTTAAGAGGTAGGGATCAAATTTTGGAGTCTTGATGGTGTTTATGACAGTTCTTTTCCATTGCATTCAACAATGTAGAGTCCAAGTGGAATCTGAGTTATGTGAGAATCATGTATTTAAACAGAAAAGTGAATAGTTGGAAAGCTGTTCGCGGTAAATGAAATTATCCATAGGACAGAGGCCTTATGCCAAGATGGTAGCTCTATTACTTTAGTTCCCATCTAGTTAGGGGGGAATGAACTGTTACCAGATGGGGGAAAGATTAGTTATCATCAGTCATTCTAGCATATGACAGCAAAGATATTAGAAACTAAATTTTATTGTTGAAAGGACTTTTTCTTTATCGTTTCAACAAAGAAGACACAATTAAATGTGTGCCATTCTTCCTTCAGTGAATTCTCCTCACCATCACTACAGCTTTTTTTAAAAACAATTTTGTCAGAAATATCTTGAGCTTTCAGGGCTTCTTGTGTTCACAGGATGGCCTAGGAATTTTTAGTTGAGCCAAAAAGATGAATGAGCTGTGCACATTACAAACCCTGTTGGTTATCTGACTGCTCCACAGCTCAACATTAGTTCCTTGATGGCTGAAATCAAGAACTTTGGAAGAACTTGGGCTCCAGAGTTCTCTTTGGCATATGTAAGATTCAGACTTGTGTGAGAAACTTGCATATGAAATCTTTTGGGAAGTAAATGCTAAAGCTTGGCCACATGTTGCTTTTGTTCATCAGTGACTTGTGGATTAATATATTTGAGAAGACTCTAATATATAATAGAGTGGGCTCTGCCTAGAGAAAGCAAAGCCAATTAGAGAAAGTCTTCATATAATAGTAACAGTCTTGGTTACAAGTATGATCCTTCTGTAGTCTTTTAGGGGAGGTTGGCTCCTCTGAAGTCTTACTTGGAAGACAGATTCATAAAGTGCCACTGGGCTGGGAACTCCTGTAAAGGGAATCAAAGCCTGTCTCTGAAAAGATCCCCTGGGGTTCCATCAACCTGAACAATTTAGTCATTCTTCTGGAATGCAAGAGTTGTTCTCTACTGTGTCTTTAAGACTGCCAAAATGCAAACATAAAAGCACTTGAGGCAGATCCCCTTAAGAGCAAAGGGGGCTGGGTGCGGTGGCTCATGCCTGTAATCCTAGCACTTTGGGAGGCCGAGGCGGGTGGATCACCAGAGGTCAGGAGTTGGAGACCAGCCTGGGCAACATGGCGAAACCCCATCCCTAGTAAAATAAAAAATTAGCCAGGCGTGGTGGCGGGCGCCTGTAATCCCAGCTACTCGGGAGGCTGAGGCAGGAGAATCGCTTGAACCCTGGAGGCGGAGGTTGCAGTGAGCTGAGATTGCACCACTGCACTCCAGCCTGGGTGACAGAGCAAGACTCCATCTCAAAAAGCAAAGGGTTGGTTATGCTGCTTTATTTCTGAAGCCCAAGGGATATATTGCCCTCTTCCTTTCCACCTTTACAAACAAGATCTTTTGCCAATACCATAACCCACGAGTACAGGAGTGCTGGACTAGCAGCACTCCTGAAAAAGAGAATATCAAACAGAAAGGTTTGAAGTTCTTTGGCTGGCCCCTGTATAAAGTCATTGTATAAGATTGAATTGGAAATGTTATGTTTTTGTGTTGATGTTAGTACAAAGAAAACAACGGGAAGTTGCTTAGCTGTTAACCTCATTTTAAATCTAAGGGATATTTTCCCTTCCTATAGAAAAAGATGCTTTTGCTTGGCCTAATGACCATACTGGGCAGAGATCAGGGTGAAATCCAGAGACTTCAGCCCATGTTACTAGTTTCAGCTACAGGTGAGAAGTAGCACTGCAAAGAAAAGCTAAACTGGTAACCTTGCTGTGTAGCAGAGATCTTTGGTCATAGGAGTATTCCTGCATGGGCCATAAGGTTGTGGTTTGAGGTGGAAACTCCCTGAAACATCAGCTGGAAAGTCGCCTTTAGAATAAAGACAAAGAACCTTCTGCAAGCCAGCCAAGGCAATACCAGGACTTGGAGGTGGCAAGTTTGATAAACTAATCTGTAGGAAAAAGTTCCTATCTTAGTGCTTACACAGTTCTTTTTTCTTTTTTTGGTATAGACGGGGTCTTGCTACATTAATTCTTTGACTGGGGCTGGGTCTTCTTTTGCACAGGGCAGCTTGAGACTACAATCACCATGGCTTCCTCTCAAAACCAAGTCAGGGATTAGGCTGTAAGAATAACAATACAAGTACTAAAGACTGAAATTTTATTAAAGCCAAAGATTGAGAACTGGTTTCCGGACAGCTTCTAGCCATGCATTCATAGGCTGTGAGCAGGAGTCCTGTAGAATAACAGGAGACCTCTGGGGTCCAAGCTCTGAGCTTCTGGGCACATTTTAAATGGGTCTCACTTTATTGCCCAGTCTGGAATGCAGTCACATGATCACAGCTCACTACAGCCTGGAACCCTTGGACTCAAGCAGTTCCAACCTCAGCCTCCTGAGTAGTTGGGACTACAGGCACGTGCCACCTCAGCTAATTTTATTTATTTATCTTTTAGAGACAGGGTCTCGTATGTTGACCAGGCTAGACTCAAATTGCTGGGCTCAAGCAATCCTCGTGCCTCAGCCTCCTGAGTAGCTAGGATTACAGGCATGGGCCACCACTCCCGGCTTAAATAGCAGTTCTGTTTTTTGTTGAAAAAGTAGAAAATCATCATAAAACATAATTTGGTGAATACAAAAAGAAGGAATCTGAGTCACAGTCTTACCACCTGAGATGTTGAAAACAGCTGGTTTAAGGGGAATTGGGTTCTGTAGTGAGCTGGGGCCCAAAATTCACAGCCAGAGTGATAAGGAATGTAGCCACTTTGTAGGACAAAACTCCAGGACAGGGCGTGGTGGCTCACGCCTATAATCCCTGCACTTTGGGAGGATGAGGCTGGTGGATTACCTGAGGTCAGGAGTTTGAGACCAGCCTGGCCAACACGATGAAACCCCATCTCTACTAAAAAAAACAAAAAATTAGCTGGGCGTGGTGGCACCTGCCTGTAATTCCAGCTACTCAGGAGGCTGAGGCAGGAGAATCGCTTGAAACCAGGAGGCAGAGGTTGCAGTGAGCCAAGATCGCACCACTGAACTCCAGCCTGGGCACCAAGAGCAAAACTCCCATCTCAAAAAAACAAAAACAAACTCCAGGATAAGCCTCCTGCCACATAGCAAGTGCTGGAGCAAAGGCCATGCCCACAATGAAAGGCACATACCCACAGGCTGCACAAGCTCCAGACCTCCTAGATCCAGTGATACAGGGGTGACAAGGCACCTAGTATTGAGGTGCGGTTGCATGGGGGCAGGGTGCAGTGGTGACATGAGCTCTGGCCAAGGTTTGCCACCTGGTAACCCTTTCCCCTGGAGGTTTTGCTACTTCCCCCTACAGAACAACCTGACATTTTGGTTGGTGCTGCATTGTTCAGTGCCTGCCACCACTCATCAGTCAACGACATTTACCTAGTATCTAATGGGTGCCAGATTGCATGTTGGGCTGGGCACCACAAACTGAAAAGGTCCACTTCTGCAGCACTTTTGCAGGGATGGAGCCTGGTTGCGTGGAATGATTGTGGGCACCTGTTTTGTGTAAATCTTAGTTGAAAAGCTTTCCTATCTTCCGTCCTTGGGCTTAGAGGGAAACTAGGGCAGGAATGAAGCAGAGAGAGCCTACTAAGTGCCAGGTACTCATAGACATTCATTTTTCCACTGAATCCTCCAATAAAGTTTGAAGTAAGAATCATCCCCACTTTGCAAATGCCTACACTGAGGTAAAGTAACACTCAATTTGAAGGAATATCTACCAGCTCACACCTACTAGGGACAATTCAACATTCTTACTATGAGAGTGTCAGAGGGAATGGAAAATGCAGCCCTAGAAGGATGAGATTTTGGTGCCAACTTTCATAGCAAAACAAGAACTTTAGTCACTAGGCCCCCACAGCTCAAGGTTGACCTCTTTACTGTTCATTGCCTCTCTGTCATATTAGGTGAGGACCAAGACCTGTCTCAGACCCCTAACAGCAACATTCTCCAAGGCAAATGAGGCTGAAGGGGGCCACATTCAAGGATACTTTGGGTTCATTGGTTCATTAGTCTATGAGGCTGGGAAAGAAAGGACTTCGGTTAGGACCACTGGTTTATATTCTAAAGAGGCATCCCTGTTTGACACAACATCAAGGAAAAAAGCTCTCACTCTAGTGTAGGTAAGAATAGGGGCTAAATAGTGTCAATGTCACTCAATTTTTTTTCCTCTCCCCATCCTTCTTTTTGGAGACAAGGTCTCACTCAGTTGTCAGGCTGGAAGTACAGCGGCTCGGTCATGGCTCACTGCAACCTCAACCTCCTGTCCTCAAGCAATCCTCCCACCTCAGCCTCCCAAGTAGCTGGAACTACATACAGGTGTGCACCACCATGCCTATTTTTTTTTAATTGTTTTGTAGAGATGGGGTCTTACTATGTTACCTAGGCTGGTCTTGAACTCCTAGCAAGTGATCTTCCTACCTCCCAAAGTGCTGGGATTACAGGCATGGAGCCCCTGCACCCAGCCTCAATTTTTATTTTCTGTTCTTTGATTTCCAAGAAATCTGTTCAGATGATAGTCTTTTTACCCCACCTCCTCATTTGGTTCAGTGTGTGTTGATGAGCAGGGCTTCAGACCCACATCCATCACTGATAGGACCACATGCAGAGGACTCTGACCCTACTGCAGTCATTATGAAAACCTTCCAAACCAAAATAAGAAGGGTAGCCAACACCACCACCACCTAGCCCCAGGAGTCCTAACTTTAGAAAAGGCAGAGTGAGCTGTGCGCAGCATGCATCTGTAATCCCAGCCACTCCGGAGGCTGAGATGGGAAGATGGCTTGAGGCCAGAAGGTCAAGGCTGTAGTGTACTGTGACTGTACCTGTGAACAGCCACTGTACTCTAGCCTGGGCAACATACCAAGATCTTGTCTCTAAATTTAAAAGAAAGGGAAAAAAAAAAAAGAATAGGCAGAGTGAACTTTGGGGAAGAAACAATCTTGCCTGGCTTGCTTTTCATTACATATGTATATATATGTATGTATATACATACACATACACACACACACACGCAGATACACATACCCAATGACAGTAGAGATTTTTTTTAAGGGTGCACTCTTTGTTGAATGAAGTTTCCATATGACCAAAAGTCTTCAATAAGTTCTAAAACTCTTGCCTCTGAAGATCTGTGTTTACTCTTAATTCCTACAGAAAGGAATCCCTAAACTAGTTAAGAACGATAGCCATAACTAGATGTTATAGGGCACACAGGTCTCAGATACCAGAAGCTGACAGTCTCCTTCCAGACATAAAGGGATACCCAGCAGAGATTCTTTAGAGCTGGAGAGCTGGGAAACACCAAATTATCTGACATTTAGGGTAACACAATTCTCATTTTTTATATGGGACAGTATGTATTTTACTACAAACTACAAAGACTCAGAGGATGGACAGTGACAGTTAATATGATTCCTCTCATTGCCCATAGGTAGGCCACCGATCCAAATGGATCCTGAGTTCAGACAGAATCCTTACCTCCTGATAAGGTTGAGTGAGGATTATTAGGTGAGCCACAGACTAAGGAATGTTTCAGAAAGCAGTTTTCTAGGTGTAGTTTGGATTTACAAAAAAAAAAAAAAAAAAGTTCTCCAGGCCAGGCGTGGTGGCTCACACCTGTAATCCCAGCAATTTGGGAGGCCAAGGCAGGCAGATCACAAGGTCAAGATATCGAGACCATACTGGCCAACCAACATGGTGAAACCCTGTCTCTACTAAAAATACAAAAATTAACTGGGCATAGTGGCGCATGCCTGTAGTCCCAGCTACTCGGGAGGCTGAGGCAGGAGAGCTGCTTGAACCTGGGAGGCAGAGGTTGCAGTGAGCCGAAATAGCGCCACTGCACTTCAGCCCGTGCGACAGAGAGAGACTCCATCTTAAAAAAAAAAAAAAAAAAAAAAAGTTCTCCTCCTATTTATTACTTGTCCCTTCCTATGATCTCACTCTATCTTCACTCCAAGTCTTCAGCAAGACTGTATATGAACTATGTGATAGAAGGTACTGTTTCAAGGCTGACAGTGGGCCATTTTATCTATACCACAAGTATTGCTGAAATGCAAACATTTAGATTTCTTTGCCACTTTCTATTCCAGAAATAAAAGATGAAATTCTAAAATACTGGTTAATTTTATATGTGAGATAGCCACAGAAATTGTAAAAGATGAGAAGAAAAGCAGTTTAAGTGAGGAAACAATGAGAGAAAACCTATTAGAAAATTGAAACTTGATTTTGATTAACTAGGAAGTCTTCAAAAACAAACTAAAGGAGGCTGGGTTTAGTAGCTCCTGCCTGTATTCTTAGCACTTTGGGAGGAGGATCACCTGAGACCAGGAGTTTGAGGCTGCAGTGAGCTATGATTACACCACTGCACTCCAACCTGGGTGACAGAGTGAGAGACCCCGGCTCTGAAAAAACAAAAATAAATAAAAGCAATTGAAGGGAAGTCATTCCACAATTTAAACTTGCTTTATGCAGTGGATGCATTCCTGAAAGGCTATTATTATTTTATCAGGGCTTCATATCATATAAAGAAATGGAATTCACGATGACAAACCTATGGAAATGCATTTTCTTCTTCTCTTTTTTTCATAGCTTCCTACTCAAATTAGGAAAATGCATTTTCTTTTTTTCTTTTTTTTTTTTTTTTGAGATGGAGTTTCACTCTTGTTGCCCAGGCTGGAGTGCAATGGCGCGATCTCAGCTCACCACAACCTCCACCTCCCAGGTTCAAGCGATTCTCCTGCTTCAGCCTCCCTGGTAGCTGGGATTACAGGCACGTGCCACCATGCCTGGCTAATTTTGTATTTTTAGTAGAGACGGGGTTTCTCCATGTTGGTCAGGCTGGTCTCGAACTCCCAACATCAGGTGATCTGCCTGCCTCGGCCTCCCAAAGTGCTGGGATTACAGGCATGAGCCACCGCACCCGGCCTCTTTTTTTTAAAAAAAAAAAAAGACAAGAATCTTGCTCTGTCGCCCAGGCTGGAGTGCAGTGGTGCAATCTCGGCTCACTGCAGCCTCTGTCTCCTGGGTTCCAGCGAGTCTCCTGCCCCAGCCTCCTGGATAGCTGGGATTACAGGCACATGCCACCACACCCAGCTAATTTTTGTATTTTTAGTAGAGACAGAGTTTCACCATGTTGGCTGGGCTGGTCTCAAACTCCTGACCTTGTGATCTGACCACCTTGGACTCCCAAAGTGCTGGGATTACAGGTGTGAGCCACCACACCCGGCCTGCAGGGTCCAATGTCTCTTATTTGCCACTATCACTAGTACCAAGCACAGTGCCTACCACTGTTGAGTGACCCCTCCTGTAATAAACTTACACTACTGCCTCCCAAATGAAGCCCCTCTCCCAGTATTTATGCCTAGACCTATTTCCTTAATGGTGGGGACTAAACAAGAAAGAGGAGCAGAGAGGGGGTACAGAACAGACACTTAGCTGAGGAACATTAAGACCAAAATCACAGAGCAAAGCAGGACTGCAACAAGTATTTCTTAAGAGGCTATGTGCAAGGTGGCTCCTCAAGTCTAGAAGACCCAAGCCTCAGGCTTCCTCCAGAAAAGCAGTCTGGGAGACAGAATTTACAAATCAACTGGCTGACCGGACGAAGCCCCGGAATCCTGTGTCAATTCGTTTTAAACTAAGGCCAGATGCTTTTTGGTAGGCTGCCTCTTCCCGTGAGCTGGTGGGTACTTCAAGTCTATGATTTGATTCTCATTTCTTAAAAAAGGATGAGTATGTGTGGTAGTTGGGTATGGTATAGGTATGGTATAAATTTCAGGTGGAAATAGGAATTAAAGGATCTGATTTGCCTTGGTGGGGGAAGAAAAAGGCCATAAAAGAGAATCGCACTTAAAGGTACATTGTTGAAAAATCTAAACTATAAAATTAATTACCTGCCATTATTACATCAACAACAAAAAGGCATTTTATTTTATTATTTTTATTTTTTTTGAGACGGTGTTTCATTTTTGTCGCCCAGGATGGAGTGCAATGGTGCGATCTTGGCTCACTGCAACCTCCACCTCCCAGGTTCAAGCAGTTCTTCTGCTTCAGCCTCCTGAGTAGCTGGGATTACAGATGTCCGCCACCATGCCCAGCTAATTTTGTTTGTATTTTTAGTAGAGACGGGGTTTCATCGTGTTGGCCAGGCTGGTCTCAAACTCCTAACCTCAGGTGATCTGCTCACCTCGGCCTCCCAAAGTGCTGGGATTATTATGGGCATAAGCCACTGTGCCCAGCCCAAAAAGGCATTTTAAACAAAAATTCTGACGTTTAAAAACTGAAAATATATCGCGCCACTGCACTACTGCCTGGGCAACAGAGCAAGACTCTGTCTCAAAAAAACAAAACAAAAAACAAAAAACCCTGAAAATATGAGCCCAGGAGTTCGAGGCTGCAATGAGCCAATACTGCACCTTTGTGCTTCTGCCTGGGCGACAGAGTGAGACCTTGTCGATAAGAAAAAAAAAAACCTGAAAACAGAAAAGAGGGCTTTTACAATGTTGATGAACTCATCTTAGAGTGCATGATTTATAAATACATAAATATCCATGCATACTTTTACAGTGATAACTCCTGGGAAAATGAGAATGTTAAAAAAGCCAATCTAGACAGAGTCCTTCTCATTCCACCTGCCTCTTTATGTTGGTAATACCAGGAGTCTTAAGAGAGCTGCTGTGGTCTATGTCACATTCATCCCAGCCTCCTTTCTAATCCTGTAGCTGATGATGAAAATGTGATAAATCTTCTGGCTTAGCTTTGATGCTGGGAAAAAAAGAAAAGAAAAGGTTACATAACCATGTAGTCCAGTGAATCAAATTCATCTTCATAAATTAAAATATAGCAGTGATGTAATATTTATGTACTATCCAGACAGTAAGTATACTCAGAAATTATTAATATTTTACAACATACAGAAAATTCAGCAAAACATTGACCACAGCATCCATTTGGAAGCCAGAACTTGATTTTCCTGTCTTGTCACTTGCAATCTATAAATGTTCACAATTTAAAGTGATAATGGAAATGCTTAAAATACAACTTTTTCTGGCATGCTTTGCAGTGAAAGGTTCTAAAAGCAGAGTCACACAAACACTTATTGTTCTAAATTAAAAGCAGTCAGTTCAGGTAGTAATTCACAACATTTCACATTGAGTCAGGATATTTAGATGTGAAGGTTATATATTTCTGGATTTCACACTATTAGAAACTGTAAAAGCTTGTCTTCAAATAGTGGTGAAATGAAGCAGAGCTATTCTTTCTGGTTACTCTCTAGCACCTTTGGTAAATTTAAACTTGGCTTTAGACAACTTTTAAACAGGGTGTGAAAAAATCACTTTGGCTGTCACCTTGTATTTGAATGAATTTCCTTAACATTTAGCAGTGCAAGTGAATCAATCTGAGAGTCTTTTTAGTAATCAGAGATTTCAAGGTATGACCTATTTCCTAGTTAGACCAGTGAGTGCTTTTTCTTTTTATTTGAGACGGAGTCTCACTCTGTTACCCAGGCTGGAGTGCAGTGGCACGATCTTGGCTCACTGCAACCTCTGCTGCCTGGGTTCAAGCAATTCTCCTGCCTCAGCCTCCCGAGTAGCTGTGATTACAGGTACCTGCCACTGCGCCCGGCTAATTTTTGTAGTTTTTAGTAGAGATGGGGTTTCACCATTTTGGCCAGGCTGGTCTTGAACTCATGACCTCATGATCCACCCACCTCGGCCTCCCAAAGTGCTGGGATTAGAGGCGTGAGCCACTGTGCCCAGCCCCAGTCAGTCTTTTTCAGATGAAAAAACAAAATTCCTCAGCAAAAGCAAATTATAAGAAGACTTTCACCATTTAGGAGAATGCGGTATTACCTAAAGAAACCATCTTAAGTCCAAAGAGAAAAAAATCCCCTAAGCCATCTCTCAAATGACAGGACAGACCAAGGCTATGGAAGCGTACAGCTGCCGCCGGTTTGGGCTGCTGTGTATACCATCTTTTCCACAGGTGTTTGCAGGTGATACACTACTGACTCATAAGCTCCAGATAAGACTGGTCTGTGGGATCAGACACACCTTTTCTGGCTTCTATTTCTAGTGGATAAAGAGTAAAAGACAAGTAGCTCCAATGAGCGTTTATCTTGAGGTACAACTTAGACCTCTGATTTAACTAATCTGACAGGCTGATTTTTTTTAACTTTGGAGACAGGGTCTCACTCTGTCACCCAAGCTGGAGTGCAGTGGTACGATCATGGCTAACTGCAGCTTCAACCTCCCAGGCTCAAGTGATCCTCCCACCTCAGCCTCTCGAGTAGCTGGGACCACAGGCATGCGCAACTATGCCCAGGTAGTTTTTATTTTATTTTTTGTTGCAACAAAAGTCTCACTATGCTGCCCAGGCTGGTCTGGAACTCCTGGGCTCAAGCAATTCTCCCACCTCGGCTTCCCAAAGTGCTGGGATTACAGGCAGAGCCACTGGGCTAGGCTGATTTTTTTTTTTTTTTTAATACTCACCAACATTTGCACCATCTTAGAATCATGGCTGCTTCCACCAAGGGAGCGGCAGCTCTAGTACCTCAGAGCTTGCCAAGATGACACAATGCACAAAAGCAGGCACACTTGTTTTTCTAACTTTTCTTTCAAATTTCTTTTTCTTTCTTTTTTTTGAAACAGTCTCACTCCGTTGCCCAGGCTAGAGTACAGCGGTGCCATCTTGGCTCACTGCAACCTCCGCCTTCCAGGCTCAAGCGATTCTCTTGCCTCAGCCTCAAGAGTAACTGGGACTACAGGCAGGTACTACCACGCCCGGCTAATTTTTGTATTTTTAGTTGACGGGGTTTTGCCATGTTGGCCAGGCTGGTCTCAAACTCTCAACCTCAAATGATCCACCCACCTTAGCCTCCCCAAAGTGCTGGGATTATAGGCATGAGCCACTGCACCTGGCCTTTCAAATTTCATCGTCATTTTTCTTTTTTTTTTTTTTTGAGACGGAGTCCCGCTGTTTAGCCCAGGCCGGATTGCAGTGGCGCAATCTCGGCTCACTGCAAGCTCCGCCTCCCAGGTTCACGCCATTCTCCTGCCTCAGCCTCCCGAGTAGCTGGGACTACAGGCGCCCGCCACCGCGCCCGGCTAATTTTTTGTATTTTTAGTAGAGACGGGGTTTCACCGTGTTAGCCAAGATGGTCTCGATCTCCTGACCTTGTGATCCGCCCGCCTCGGCCTCCCAAAGTGCTGGGATTACAGGCGTGAGCCACCGCGCCCAGCCCATTTTTCTTTTTTTTAATTATTATTTTTTGAGACAGAGTCTCACTCTGTCGCCCAGGCTGGAGTGCAATGACACGATCTCGGCTCACTGCAACCTCCACCTCCCGGGTTCAAGTGATTCTCCTGCCTCAGCCTCTTGAGTAGCTGGGATTACAGGCACGTGCCACCATGCCCAGCTAATTTTTGTATTTTTAGCAGAGACGGGGTTTCACCATGTTGGTCAGACTGGTCTCAAACTCCTGACCTCGTGACCTGCCTGCCTCGGCCTCCCAAAGTGTTAGGATTACAGGCATGAGCCACCACGCCCAGCCTTCATAGTCACTTTTCATACTGCCATTTTCCCTCTTGGGATAAAAATGTTCTCAGAAAAAAATGGACCACGTAAATTAGGTTGACAGCTTCTTTCTTTGAGTCAATAATGATAGCTTCCTAGTCAATCACTCCTTTCTCCTTAAAACATTACCTTGGAAATATTAATTCTGACAGTCATAGCAATGACATCTTTCCTGAGTCAGCTGCTGCTCTTTGTTAATTATCGCTCATTAATTGGTAAGGTGAGCAACCACAAAGGCTGCCAGCAGTAGCCTAGGATGGCAGTTAGATAATCAAGATTGTTTACTCAATGTATGTGTGTTTGAATCCCCTTTCAAAAGAAAAAAAATCATATACTGCAACTGTCCAACAAATTCCACCTGTCAGAAACCAATGCTCATTTCTTTTCTCAGACTTAAAAAAAGAGCTGGACAGATTGCAGAGATCTACTTGCCTCAAAGCTGCAGAATAGCCATAAAGTATTTTTAAAATCTTAAAGAGCTTATGTCTCCAAATCATCATCACTGTCTGTCTTGAGATACCAACAATGCCAGGCAATTTACTTCCACTTGGTAGCTAGCTTTAAAACCCAACTAAACTCTAATTTTTTAGCTAAAGCATCAATTCTGGGCAGAACAACAACAGACGTTTTCAGGTGTATGGCTGGACATCAGGAGTATTTTGTCTATGGGCTGGCAATGTTGCCTAATGTTTTTCAGCATCCTCTGTCATGTGTGCAAAAACTGCAGGCAAAGGATGAAACTGCTGCAAAGTCCTCATGGCTCTCTTTCCAGTGGCATTCAATGGAGAGGGGACAGCCTTCAATACCACACAAATTTGTCATGGTACATAGATCAGATGACTCGTTCTCAGAATGGGCTTATCTGGAAGAGTCTTAAAGATTCACCAGGCACAGTGACTCACACCAGCACTTTGGGAGGCTGAGGCAGGTGGATCATTTGAGACCAGCCTGGGGAACATAGCAAAACCCAGTCTCTACAAAAATTAGCCAAGCATGGTGGTACACACCTGTAGTCCCAGCTACTGGGGAGGCTAAGGTGCAAGGATCACTTGAGCCTGGCAGGTCAAGGCTGCGGGTAGCCGTGAGCAAGCCACTGCACTCCAGCCTGAGCCACAGAGAGAGACCCCTGTCTGAAAACAAAACTGGCAAAACTCTATGCACCCTCTAAGTATCTCACTTTTCAGGATCAGCTGAATTTCACTTAGAGTGGCATCAACAGACTAAAGTTAAACCTGGCTACTTAGAAAAACATAAGTTTTATTTGAAGGAAGTTGCAACACACAATTCAAAAATGCTATAGAAGTATGGCCTCTATATAGGCTTCTTCCACATAGCTAACTGCTAATGATTAGTAAGATGGCGGCACTGGTTTCAAGAAGATAATTTCATGCCTGAGGACTCTTCTCTGTAGACTCACACTGTGCAATGACAGTGTCAAGAATGAACATCCCAGGGCAGGGGCTCTGTACATTTTTTAGGTATAAGACCCCTTTAGGATGTTTCAGAAAGACCCTTCCTAACACACACACACACACACACACACACACACACACACACACACTTCACACTGGTCTATAGATAATGTTTGGGACGTGCCAAACCTCCTTAGTCTCCTACTGGGGTCTGCAGCCCAATGTCATTAGGTGTTCTGATCTCTAATACCCAACATGACTGGAAAGAGTTCAGATACCTTTCAGAAAACATATAAGACAGAGAAGTATAATGGAGAACTGATATAAAAAATCAGAAAACCTTGCTGGGCACAGTGGCTAACGCATGTAATCCCAGCACTTTGGGAAGCTGAGGTGGGTGGATCACCTGAGGTCAGGAGTTCGAGAACAACTTGGCCAACATGGTGAAACCTCATCTCTACTAAAAAATACAAAAAATAGCCGCGCGTGGTGGCAGGCGCCTGTAATCCCAGCTTCTTGGGACGCTGAGGCAAGGGATCGCTTAAACTCGCGAGGCAGAGGTTGCAGTGAGCTGAACCATTGCACTCCAGCCTGGGCAACAAGAGCAAAACTCCATCTCAAAAAAAAAAAAAAAGGAAAATCAGAAAACCTCTTAGAAACAAAAAGGAAAGAATCTATCACAAGCAGTTAAAAAATAAAGGCTCGGCCAGGTGCAGTGGCTCACGCCTGTAATCCTAGCACTTTGGGAAGCTGGGCAGATCACTTGAGGCCAGGAGTTCAAGACCAGCCTGGACAACATGGCAAAACCCTTTCTCTACTAAAAATACAAAAATTAGCTGGGTATGGTGGCACCCGGCTGTAATCCCAGCTACTGGGGAGGCTGTGGCGCTAGAATCACTTGAGCCTGGGAGGCAGAGGTTGCAGTGAGCTGAGATCGTGCCACTGCACTCCAGCCTGGGTGACAAAGTGAGCCTCTATCTAAAAAATAAATTAAAAATAAAGGCTCACCTCATTCCCTGCCTACCTCTGCCCCTGCCCCTGCCCCATAAGGTATACTCCAGTAGCCAGAAACTATCTAGCTCCTCCCTGGCTGGGCCCCAAGAACCTTACTATAGAACACCCAAGGACTGCCCAGTATTTTTTTAAGTATTACATGAGAAGATCCAAAAAGCCACACACTCCCAATTCACACTGCTCCCTGGCTAAAAACAGTAGCCCCTTTTTAACAGCTGATTTTAGTCCTGGTGCGGTGGCTCACACCTGTAATCCCAGCACTTTGGGAGGCCGAGGCGGGCGGATCACGAGGTCAGGAGATCGAGACCATCCTGGCTAACACGGTGAAACCCCGTCTCTACTAAAAATACAAAAAAAAAAAAAAAAAAAAAATTGGCTGGGCGTGGTGGCAGGCGCCTGTAGTCCCAGCTACTCAGGAGGCTGAGGCAGGAGAATGGTGTGAACCTGGGAGGCAGAGCTTGCAGTGAGCCCAGATCGCACCACCTCACTCCAGCCTGGGCGACACAGGGAGACTCCCTCTCAAAAACAAACAAACAAACAAACAAAAACAAAAAAACAGCTGATTTTACTTACTGATTTTTTGTCAGGAGTACTGTGTTGAGGTAACAGCTGATTTTAAAACATAATAGCATCTCGAAAACCAACCTGAAGCTTTTCCCCAGGTTCAGATTAAAACTAAAAGAATACTTTTTTAAGAAAAACAAACCATCCTGAAAATCAAGTGGGGTGTACTATTTGGGACTGAAATACTTTATGAGCAACTGAGAATCTGATTAGTTCCTTGACACCCATATGGAAGAGGACCTCTATATGTGCCCCACCTCCCAAGACAAGACCTAAATGTGGAGGAATGGGCTTACCTATGTTTCTAAGGGCAGACCTAAAAAGGGGCCAGCAGCTTTTTACTCTACTGCTTCAGTCGATTTTATAAGTATTTTCTGAGTACCTTCTCTGGGGTATAAGTATACTAGGTTTGGGAGTTGTAAAGACTAAATAGAACTTTAGACACCATCTGTAAGGTCACAACTGCTTTAAAAGAGCCCTGGATAAAGTGCCAAAGGAACTTCAGAAGATAAGCGAGCAATTAATTCTGCTGCCTGAGCAGACAAATGTGAAACAAGCATGTTTTGGAGGTGATTCTGAAAAGTATTAATAGCTGGGATGCCCAGCTCCATATTCTGAGGTTCTTTCTGCCACATTCTGTAGCCCCAGCTCCAGTGTCCAGATTCAAGACTCTAGGCAAGACTCACTGTAAAAAGCCCATCGCCTGAGATCAGACCCCAAAGGGTAGAGAACAGCTATGCCATCGACATTGCTCCAGGCACGTTCTTATCAGCAAATCACAGAAGCCAAACAAGTCAGGTCGGCACTCACACCGGCACTCACACCTGGGGTAAGGATGAGTCTTACCAATGAGATTTTTTAACAAGTAGGAAACTTAAGTATTCTAGCCAACATCTTTTTAAACATCAAGCAAAAATCTCAAAACAATGTTCCTAAACAACCGGAAGAGGTTAAGCTTATGTGTTACCTCATCAACAATGCATAATTTACCACAGTGAGTTGTCAACTATTTATGAAAAGGCTTATACCAATTATGGGGAAATAAAAATGAAAGGGTATAGGTCTTTGGGGCAGTAAAGAGCATTCAAAAACAATATACTCTAATATAGTGTCATCAAGGCAGGGACTGTTAACTCTACACCATTTCATCACATGCACTTGGAAATCCTATTTACCTTTTTCATTAATTCACTTCTGGTAGTAAATTGTGGCAGGTCTTCCACTTCAATCCCATCGGCCATTTCCATCACCTTGTCTAAAAGGTCTTTATTGTAACTGCACAATAAAAAGTAGTAAGGTAAAAACCTTGGAACAATTGTCACTGTGGATTAATAAGAAACTGCAGGTTGCTCAACTATAAAATCAGCTCTCAGAGAACTGACCTGATACTGCAGGGCAAACCTATACATGTTCCCCACAAGGTTTTGAGATGGAGTCTTGCTCTGTCCCCCAGGTTGGAGTGCAGTGGTGTGATCTCGGCTCACTGCAACCTCCACCTCCCAGGTTCAAGCAATTCTCCTGCCTCAGCCTCCCGAGTAGCTGGGATTACAGGCGTGTGCCACCACGCCTGGCTAATTTTTTATTTTTAGTAGAGACAGGGTTTCACCATGTTGGCCAGGCTGGTCTCCAACTCCTGACCTCAAGTGATCCTCCTCCCAAAGTGCTAGGATTACTGGCGTGAGACACCGTGCCTGGCCCTGTGAACACTTCTTGCTTGTAGATACAGAAGTGGACTTCAGAAATACCAGTACAGCAGATGTTTCAAGATTTAGAAGAACAGAGGCACTGTACATCCAGCAACAGATATTCTCAGATACAGGATGAGGACCAAAATATTTTTATTTTTTAAATACATGGAATGTTAGTCTAACAAAAACATTATTTATTTCCCCAATTCTCTGACATTTGCCTAACCATGGAAAACCAGGATTTCCCAGGAGCACCTAGAAGGCAGGGAAAAGGGACGGGTGCCTCTGGCATTGCTTCCCTACGTACTGTTCTAATAAACCCCAATATGTGAAGCAAAACCAAGTGGCTTAGGCCTGCAGGGGCCAAATGACCAGAGTCAGGCAGCCATAATAGGTATAGAAACCAAGATCAAACCAAGTCACCCTATTTTCCTAACACAATTTCAGGAAAATCGAAGCTCTCTAATAGGGAGTCTCAAGATTTGCCACCTTCCTCATGGAGGGGTGAAAGGAATGCCTTATCAGGCACTTCAAAAGCGGGCCTTTGTCCTTTTGGTGCTGCAGCCAGGATGAAGTGGGCTTTGAGACCTTCACAAAAAGGCATCGGCCATTTTCATAAGAGGGAAAGCAGAGAGGTGAAGCTGGTTCCTACTTAGGACCCCGTGGGCTGTGGAGTGAGGAGAAAAAGCCATAGGATACAGATTACATCCTCTCATTAGTGATTAAAATCCATCAATCCTGCCAGAAGCTGCATGGCCCCAGGTATATCACTTCTCTCCCTAAGCTTTTTCATCTGTAAAATGGGGATCTCCGTTTCTCTCTCTGCACGTTTGCCATGTAGGTGACAGGGGCTAACGGACTTCGAATGCATACTGCAAAGGTGATGGTTTGAGCTAATAATAATAGTAATACAAATAACAATAGCAACCTTTGAACCCGCCATGTATTTAGCTCTTCACCCTTTAATTATTACAGCCATCATAACCACCCTTTTACCAGAAGAGAAAACTGAGGCTCAAAGATAAGGATCTTTCCAAGGGGCCTCCAGGGTGGGAATCAGTCTTCGGGCCGACCAATGCGGATGGAGGTTGGGCCCGGGTTCAGTCTGGGGCAGAGGTTCGGGTCAGGGGTGAGCCCTGGGAGAGGCCTTGAGGGTCGGAAGATAGGGGACAGGATCAGCCGGCCGGCAGGGGTCCGCACCTGCAGCCTAGGAAGAGATGGTTGGCCCAGACCATGGAGAGGGAGAGCAGCTGGTCCAGGCGGCCACTGCCGTCGGGCGGGTCGCGGTAGTCGGGCAGGTGGCGCAGGATGAATTCCATGCGGGCCTTCCATTGCTTCTCGCTCTCTGAGTAGGAGCGGAACTGCTCCGCGAAGTCGGCCGCCTGCCGCACCCCCGAAACCAGCTCCTCCACTGCGGCAGCCGCCTCGCCACCGACCATGGTGCCCGCCGCAGCCGAGGACCGGATAGCCCGCCGCCTTCCCGACGCGCACTGCGCCACCGCCTGCCGGCCAGAGGGGCCCCATCAGCGCACGACTGCTCCAGAAGACCAACCTGGAGCGCCCTCGCCCGGAGCGGCGGCCTGCGGGGGCACAGAGCGGCTCCTGGCTCCTCAGACCGCCGCAGCCCGTGGCTCCTGCCCTGGGTCTACCCAGGGCTACAAGGGTCTTTTGCGGTCGACCCTGCGGGGAACCGGTGGGAAAACTGAGGTCCCTAAACACAGATTCGGAGCGCCCTCTTCCAGTTGGCAGCTGGATGCCAGCCAGAGCTATGCTGTGCCCTTGCCCTGAGAGTTTCCCGGGCACCGCCTCATCCTGAGCGACATCAGGGGGCCCGGGTCACGGTCGACTTCCAGGGGTCTCCACAGCCACGAAGGTTGGGGCCCGCCTTCCTGGAGCGAGTAATCCATCCATCCCGTGAATACTTGCCAGGCACATTGCTAGGTGCTGGAGAGGCAATGAGAGCACATTCGGAGCCCTGCTCGCCTGAACTTTACCATGGAGTGGAGGAGTGGACATTAGTGACATAATTGCTCAAGTAAATGGAGAATTTCAGCGTTGACAAGTATTAGTAAAGAGAAGTTCAGCGTGCTACAACCATGAATAAGCAAGGGACCCAATCTAGTCTTGGGGTCAGGGAAGTGATCCTGGAGAAGTGAAGAATGAGCAGTTTTCTGAGTAAAGGGGAGTCGGTCAAAGCAAGAGAGAGCATGGCCTGGTAAGAGAATTGCAAGATAGGGGGTAGGAGGGGTTGGGGGGCGGGGCAGGGCAGGTAGAGAATGGAGAAGATGAAGTTGCAGAGGTCAGCAAGGCCAGTAGGCCAGGCAGGGATCCTGGCTAGATCCCAAGAATGGGGAGCCGCTGAAGGATTTTAACCAGAACAGTGACACCTGTGTTTACAAAAGATGCTGGAAGGAGCCAGAAACAATGTGTCCAGAGGAAATGAGCAAGTTTGGACTTGGTTTTAAATAGAGACAGGGTTTCGCCATGTTGCCCAGGCTGGTCTCGAACTCCTGAGCTCAAGTGATCCGTCTCCCTCAGCCTCCCAAAATGCTGGGATTACAGGTATGAGCCATCGTAACTGGCTGGACCTGAAAGTTTTTATTTAGCTGGCATGACTCTGCTGTCTGTTCGAGTCTCAGGTAGCAGACACACTGAGAGAAAAAAGAGCTTCCTTTTAAGTGGTGAATTTTCCATCCCTGGAAGCATTCAACTACAGTAACTGGGTGTTGGGGCTCAGAAACCAACACCCCAAAATGTATTTTGACATGCTGAACTGATGAAGAAGCCTCAAGGTCTCTGTGACCTCCGCCACCAACACACACTCCTGTCTGTCAATTCTTTGTTCCTCCCAAAGCACAAGATGAAGTTGTTCCCTTATCTGCCTAAATTTAGTCCAGAACGCCAAAGGAAACAATTATCTCTGGTTCCCTCCCTGAGTTTTCATTAAGTGAATTTGTTTTGCAGGAGGAAAGACTGAAGTATGGTCAACACACTAGGACAGACTTTTGTCACAAACCCTTGTCTCCTCTGCAGGCCCAACAGACTTTGTCCCAGGCCATTGCATGTTCTTCAAGCCCATTGAATTACCCTAAAAATCATTTACTACCCATCTAAAATATTCACACTCTGGATGATGGGGTAATCACTCTGTGATTAACTATGCACATTAATAAACTTGTATGTCTTTTCTCTTTTTTTTTTTTTTTTGAGAGCAAATTTCACTCTTTTTGCCCAGGCTGGAGTGCAATGGTGTGATCTCTGCTCACCGCAACTTCTGCCTCCCAGGTTCAAGTGATTCTCCTGCCTCAGCCTCCTGAGTAGCTGGGATTACAGGCACCTGACATCACGCCCGGCTAATTTTGTATCTTTAGTAGAAACGGGGTTTCACCATGTTGACCAGGCTGGTCTCGAACCCCTGATCTCAGGTGGTCCAAGCTCCTCGGCCTCCCAAAATGATGGGATTATAGGCGTGAGCCACAGTGCCTGGCTGCCTTTTCTCCTCTTAATCTGCCTTTTGTCAATTGATTTTCACTAACCTTCAGAGAGCAAAGGAAAGTTTTCCCTTCACACAAAGAGTCACTTGAGCCTTCACCAGCTTTGAGAGATTATTGACCTAATAGGCTTCCCCATTGCCCCCAGTCAAATGTGAGGTTGGGGTACAGAGGTGAGCCTAGAATCCACGATCTAGGGCTCCAGTGCAGGTCCTGTATTGTGAGTGTGGCCTGTGGGGAGAGCTGATTACATCCTGTCTGCTGCTTCTGCAGCTTCTTTTGGGGCATCAGGGTCCCCAGAAATCAGAGACTCAACAAAGCATGGAAATACAGGGCAGTCCGCATAGAATGAACCTGAAGACCCAGCACCAAGCTCAGTGATATGGCATAATGGTTAACAACAGGGAGGCATGATATTCATGCAAATGTGGGCAAGCAAAGTGTCAACAGGCCTGTGAGACCAAAGACAGAGTTAGCTACTCCCAGCAATCAGGAATTGGTGCACAGACCTAAAAGTCCCAAAAGTGAGTGCAGATCCCACGTCCTGAGAGGCTCGTTAAAATGACAGACTCCCCCAGGCTCACCATTGGATGTTCAGATTCAAGGCCCCAGGTAATTCTGCTTCCACCTGCCGCTGACCAAACTTAGAAAAACTCAAAGTTAGACTGGGAGTGGTGGCTCATGCCTGCAATCCCAGCACTTTGGGAGGCCGAGGCGGGCAGATCACGAGGTCAGGAGATCGAGACCATCCTGGCTAACACGGTGAAACCCCGTCTCTACTAAAAATACAAAAAATAACCAGGCGTGGTGGTGGGCACCTGTAATCCCAGCTGCTTGGGAGGCTGAGGCAGGAGAATGGCGTGAACCCAGGAGGCAGAGGTTGCAGTGAGCTGAGATCGCACCAATGCACTCCAGCCTGGGTGACAGAGTGAGACTCCGTCTCAAAAAAAGAAAAACTCAAAGTTGTTGAGGGTTCTCTGAGCTAAAGTCTTGGTCACCTGATTGTATAGTACAGAGGTTAGCTCAGAAAGTCTTGGTCACCTGATTGTATAGTACAGAGGTTAGCTCAGAAATAGGAACCCAGGCTCTGCAAATAGCAGCTGCAGTTACACAGCCAATCCTGCCTATGGGGTGTGAAAAAGCTAAAGGTCATGCAGCAACTACCTTATTTAGCATATCTGTGACAATTATGGAGCATATGCATATACATAACATACGGACGAACATATTCAGACATGCATACAATTGTAAACCCAAAAGTGCACAAATAGGTATTCTTTTTTTTTTTTTTAATACAGAATCTTGCTCTGCCATACAGGCTGGAGTGCAGTGCCACATCATGGCTGACTGCAGCCTTGACCTCCCAGGTTCAAGAAATCCTCCCACCTCAGCCTCCATGAGTAGCTGGGACTACAGGTGTGTGCCACAATGCCTGGCTAATTTTTAAGTTTTTCATAGAGTTGGGATCTTGCTATGTTATCCAGGCTGGTCTCAAACTCCCGGGCTCAAGTGATCCTCTTGCCTCAGCCTCCCAAGGTGCTAGGATTACAGGCATGAGCCACTACACCTGGCCAGGTATTCTTTCTTTAAAAAAAAATTGTGATGTTGTTAACATTATGCTTTCAAAATGCTAAGCAGTATAAAATATTGGCCAGGCACAGTGGCTCACAGGCCTGTAATCCCAGCACTTTGGGAGGCTGAGGCAGGCGGATCACCTGAGGTCAGGAGTTCGAGACCAGCTTGGCCAACATAGCGAAACCCTGTCTCTACTAAAAATACAAAATTAGCCAGGTGTGGTAGCACGTACCTGTAATCCCAGCTACTCAGGAGGCTGAGGCAGAAGAATCGCTTGAACCTGAGAGGCAGAGGTTCCAGTGAGCTGAGATCGCACGATTGCACTGTAGCCTGGGCAACAGAGCAAGACTGTCTCAAAAAAAAAAATTGTTAATGGCCACACACAGTGAGACCCTCATCTCTACAAACAATTACAAAATTAGCTGGGCATGGTGGTATACACCTATAGTTCCAGCTGCTTGGGAGGCTGAAACAGGATGATCGGTTGAGCCCAGGAGTTCAAAGCTGCAGTGAGCTATAGTAGCAACACTGCATTTCTGCCTGGGAGACAGAGAAAGACCTTGTCTCAAAAACAAACAAACAAAAAAGTTAATAATTAACACTTCACAGAACAATGTGGCAAGTCCAGTTATTGACCAGTTTGTTGTTTCTAACTTTTTTTCATGATTCAGACTTTTTTTTTTGAGACAGATTCTCACTCTGTTGCCCAGGCTGTAGTGCAGTGGCGTGATCTCAGCTCACTGCAACCTCCGCCTCCCAGGTTCAAGCGATTCCCGTGCCTCAGCATTCCAAGTAGCTGGGACTACAGGGACTTGCCAGCACGCCTGGCTAATTTTTGTATTTTTAGTAGAGACGGGGGTTTCACCGTGTTAGCCAGACTGGTCTCGAATTCCTGACCTCGGGTGATCTTCCCGCCTCAGCCTCCCAAAGTGCTGGGATTATAGGTGTGAGCCACCGTGCCCAGCTGTGTTTAACTTTTTGAACAAACTGTTTTCCACAGTGTCTGAACTACTCTCCACAGTGCTACTGGTAATGCATGAGGGTTCCAACTTCCTCACATTCTTGCCAACACTTAGTATTTTCCCTTTTTTAATTTTTAAATTATAGCCATCCTAGGGGGTACAAAGTGATACCTCATTGTTGTTTTGATTTGCATTTTTCTAATAAGTAATGATCCTGAGCATCTTTCTTGTGCTTATTGGCCGTGTGTATATCTTTTTGGGGACATGTCTATTCAGATCGCTTGCCCCCTTTTTTTCCTCTTTCTTTTTTCCCTTTGTTAGAGTTAATTTTTTGTTTATGAAATATTTCAGGCCAGGCGCGGTGGCTGACGCCTGTAATCTCAGCAGTTTGGGAGGCCAAGGTGGGCAGATCATGAGGTCAGGAGATCGAGACCATCCTGGCTAACATGGTGAAACCCCGTTTCTATTAAAAATACAAAAAATTAGCCGGGCGTGGTAGCAGGCGCCCGTAGTCCCAGCTGCTCTGGAGGCTGAGGCAGGAGAATGGTGTGAACCCAGGAGGCAGAGCTTGCAGTGAGCCACAGAGCTTGCAGTGAGCCAAGATCACGCCACTGCACTCCAGCCTGGGTGACAGAGCAAGACTCCATCTCAAGGAAAAAAAAAAGAAAAGAAAAGAAAAGAAAAAAAAGAAAAAAATATATATATTTCAAACATATGGAAAATTATGGAGAATAATGTAACAGACACCACATTACCTGCTCCAACAACATGAACCTTTCCCATATTTGCTTTGAGGTGTTGTTGTTGCTGTTTAATAGACTTTTTTTTTTTTAGAGCTGTTTTAGGTTCAAAGCAAAACAATAAAGGTGCCAGGCGCGTAGCTCATGCCTGTAATCACAGCACTTTGAGGGGCCAAGGCAGGAGGATTGCTTGAGCCCAGGAGTTCATGACCAGCCTGGCCAACATGGTGAAACCCCATCTCTACAAAAACTACAATAATTAGCTGGGAGTAATGGCACTTGCCTGTAGTGCCAGCTACTCAGGAGGCTGAGGCAGGAGGATTGCTTGAGCCCAGGAGTTCAAGGCTACAGTGAGCTATGATTTAAAAAGGACACTAAAGGATGTAAGATTTTACTCCTACTTTCAACCTAACAAGTATCCATACAACAATTTCAAAGGATACTGGCAAAAGACACAGATCTTGAGACAAAGACAAAGATCTTTATTACTCATAGCACAACAAACAGCATGAGCTTCATGTTTGCCCTGGTTCCCCTTGTCCACCAAGTCCCACAGGGGCTATGCTAAGGGGCCCAGTTAGATGAGATATACAAAGTGGGTTTGTATCACAGCTGAGGAACTCTAAATTGAAAGAACATCAATAATTAATAAAGAAGAACTACAAGCATATTTGCCCAACCTTTTCTCCAGAGCAATTACTTTTATCTGGACAGTAAATAAACCTGCACTTTGCTCTGGAGATAGAAACTATCTCTTTTTTTTTTTTTCATGTAAGTATCTAATTGCTCCAGCAGAGTTTGTTGAAAAGACTATTCTTTCACTCAATTGCCTTGGTAACTTTGTCAAAAATCAATTAACCATATATATGTGTGAGTCTATTTCTGGACTCTGTATTCTGTTCCACTGATCTATGTGTCCATCCTTTTGCTAATACCATATTGTGGCATTTGTTGTTGTTGTTGTTGTTTTTGAGACGCAGTTTCACTCTTCTTGCCCAGGCTGGAGTGCAATGGTGCTATCTCAGCTCACTGCAACCTCTGCCTCCTGGGCTCAAGCGATTCTCCTGCCTCAGGCTCTGGAGTAGCTGGGACTACAGGCGCCTGCTACCACGCCCGGCCAATTTTTTCTATTTTTAATAGAAACGGGGTTTCACCATGTTAGCCAGGCTGGTCTTGAACTCCTGACCTCAGGTGATCCGCCCACCTTGGCCTCCCAAAGTGCTGGGATTACAGGCATGAGCCACGGCGCACAGCCCGTTTTTGTTTTTGAGACAGAGTCTTACTCTGTCACCCAAGCTGGAGTGCAGTGGCACGATCTTGGCTCACTGCAACCTCTGCCTCCCAGATTCAAGCAATTCTCCTGCTTCAGTCTCCAAAGTAGCTGGGACTATAGACGTGCACCAGCACACCTGGCTAATTTTTTTTTCTTTTTTTTTTTTGGTAGAGTTGGGGTTTCTCCATGTTGGTCAGGCTGGTCTCGAACTCCTGACCTCACGTGATTTACCTACCTCAGCCTCCCAAAGTGCTGGGATTTCAGGCATGAGCCACCACACGCAACCCATATTGTGTTGATTACTATAGCTCATGAGTTTGCAAATGTAAAGGGTGGGCTACATATAATTCCTGCTACATACATTTTTATTGTTTCCTTTTTCAACCATTTAAAACTGGAAAAAGCAGTTTTAGCTTTTAAGCCCTGCAAAAACAGGCTGCAGGCTAACCTGTGGGCCACTTTGCCAACCCTGCTATAGATTTATGGCAAGTCTTAAAATCAGGTTGTATGAGTTCTCCAAATGTGTTCTTCTTTTACAAAACTGTTTTGGCTATTTTAGCTTTTGCTTTTTGATATAAATTTTAGCATCAATTTCTAGAAATAAATGTTGCTGGTATTTTAATTGGGATTATCTTTAGTCCATAAATCAACTCGGGGAGAATTAACATCATTATATCAAATCCCCCGATCCATGAACATGGTATATCTCTCCATTTATTTAGGCCTTCTTATTGTTGTGGTATATTTTTAAATCCAGTGAAACATTAGATCTTACATATATTTACCACTTTATTTGTTATCCATTCCTTATCTATCTCTTACCCTCCATCTGGTTTCATTTTCCTTCTACCTGAAAATTTTACATTAGAAATCCTCAGGCCGGGCAAGATGGCTAATGCCTGTAATCCCAGCACTTGAGGAGGACAAGGTGCAAGAATTGCTTCAGCCAAGGAGTTAAACACCAGCCTTAATTAATTAATAAAAAAATTAATTAAGCTGGGCATGGTAGCTCATGCCTGTAATCCCAGCACTTTGGGAGGCCAAAGTGGGCAGATCACCTGAGGTCAGGAGTTTGAGACCAACCTGGCCAAAATGGTGAAACCCTATCTCTACTAAAAATATAAAAATGGTGGCTCATGCCTGTAATTCCAGCACTTTGGGAGGGCGAGGTGGGTGGATCACCTGAGATCAGGAGTTCAAGACCAGCCTGGCCAACATGGTGAAACCCTGTTTCTACTAAAAATACAAAAAATTAGCCAGGTGTAGTGGTGCGTGCCTGTAATCCCAGCTACTTGGGAGGCTGAGGCAGGCGAATTGGTAGAACCCAGGAGGCAGAGGCTGCAGTGAGCCGAGATTGCACCACTGCACTCCAGCCTGGGCAGCAGAGGGAAACTCCGTCTCAAATAATAATAATAATAATACAAAAATTAGCTGGGCGTGGTGGCCCGTGCCTGTAATCCCAGCTACTTGGGAGGCTGAGGCAGGAGAATCACTTGAACCCAGTGGGTGGAGGCTTCAGTGAGCTGAGATCGCCACTGCACTCCAGCTTGGGCCACAGAGCAAGACTCCATCTCAAAAATAAACAAACAAACAAAAAGTAGCCAGGTGTCATGGCATGTGTCTGTGATCCCAGCTACTCAGGAGGCTAAGCAAGATCCTGTCTCAAGAAAAAAAAAAAAAAAAAATTCTGTAGTACAAGTCTGCTGGGGCCAAGTTCATTCACCTGTTGTCTACCTGAAAATGTCTTTATTTTGCCTTCTGTATTAGTCATATGACTGCATAACAAATTGCTCCAAAATGTAGTGACTTAAAATATAAATATTATCTCATAGTTTCTGTGAATCAGGAATTCAAGACTGTCTTAATTTGTTTTCTGGTGTTTCAGTTATGTGAAAGTTTGGCGCTGGAGGATCTACCTCTGAGATGGCTCATTCACATGGCTGTTTGCAGCAGATCTCAGTTCATTACTACATGGATCTCTCCACAAGACTGCTTGAGTGTCCTCACATGGCAGGAGGTCTTCCTTCAGAGTAAGTGAACTAAGAAAAAGCAAGGAAGAAGCCATGCTATCTTTTGTGACTTGGGGTCATAGGTCACATGCCATCATTTTTTACTTACTGTATTCATTGAAAGTGAGTCACTAAGTCCAGTACACATTCACAAGTAGGGAAATTAGGCTCCACCTTTTCTTTTCCATTTTTTTTTTCTTTTGAGACACAGTCTCACTCTGTTGCCCAGGCTGGAGTGCAATGGCACATTCGAGGCTCACTGCAACCTCAACCTGCTAGACTTAAGTGATCCTCCCACCTCAGCCTCCCAAGCAGCTGGTACACACCACCACGTCCAGCTGATTTTTAAAAATTTTGGCTGGGCGTGGTGGCTCACACCTGTAATCCCAGCACTTTGGGAGGCCGAGGTGGGCAAATCACAAGGTCAAGAGATTGAGACCATCCTGGCCAAGGTGAAACCACGTCCCTATTAAAAATACAAAAATTAGCTAGGCATGGTGGTGTGTGCCTGTAGTCCCAGCTACTTGGGAGGCTGAGCAGGAGAATCGCTTGAACCCAGGAGGTGAAGTTTGCAGTAAGTCAAGATTGTGCCACCACACTCCAGCCTGGTGACAGAGTGAGACTCTGTCTCAAAAAAACAAATTTTTTTTGGTAGAGTGTATTAGTCCATTTTCACACTGCTGATAAAGACATACCTGAGACTGGGAAGAAAAAGAGGTTTAATTGGACTTACAGTTCCACATGGCTGGGGAGGCCTCAGAATCATGGCGGCAAAAGGCACTTCTTACATGGCGGTGTCAAGAGAAAAATAAGGAAGAAGCAAAAGCAGGAACCCCTGATAAGCCCATCAGATCTCGTGAGACTTATTCACTATCACAAGAATAGCATGGGAAAGACCGGCCCCCATGATTCAATTACCTTCTCCTGGGTCCCTCCCACAACACATGGGAATTCTGGGAGATACAATTCAAGTTGAGATTTGGGTGGGGACACAGAGAAACCATATCATAGAGGCAAGGTCTCACTATGTTGCCCATGCTACAGCATGGCAACTCCTGTGCTTAAGCAATCCTCCCAAAGTGCTCAGCCTCCCAAAGTGCTAGAATTACAGGCATGAGCCACCGAGACCACCTTTCTTCTTCTTTTCTTTTCTTTCTTTTTCTTTTTTTTGAGACAGAGTACCGCTCTGTCACCCAGGCTGGAGTGCAGTGGTGTGATCTCGGCTCACTGCAAGCTCCGCCTCCCAGGTTCACGCCATTCTCCTGCCTCAGCCTCCCGAGTAGGGCACCCACCACCACTCCCGGCTAATTTTTTGTATTTTCAGTAGAGACGGGGTTTCACCGTGTTAGCCAGAATGGTCTCGTTCTCCTGACCTCGTGATCCACCCGCCTTGGCCTCCCAAAGTGCTGGGATTACAGGTATGAGCCACTGCGCCTGGCCTCTTCTTTTCTTTTCTTCTTCTTTTCTCCTCCTCCTCCTGCTCCTCTTCTTCTTCTTTCTTCTCCTTCCTCTTCCTCCTCTTCTTCTCCTTCCTCTTCCTCCTTCTCCTTCTTCCTTCCTTCTTCTCCTTTCTCTTCCTCCTTTTCTTCTTCCTCCTCCTGTTTCTCCCTCCTTCTCTTTTCTCCTCCTTATTCTTCCTCCTCTTTTCCCTCTTCTTCCTCCTTCTAAGATTACCTTACAGAATATTCCTTACTAATTATTTTTATTAAGGACCTAGAAACCCTAAGCTAATTATGGATATTCTAGCCATGAGTGGTGATGTACACCTGTAGCCTTAGCTACTTGGGTGGCTGAGGCAGGAGCATCACTTGAACCCAGGAACTCATGCTGCAGTGACCTATAATTACATTACTGCACTCCAGCCTGGGTGACAGAGCAAGACCCTATCTCAAAAAAAAAAAAAAAAAGAAAGAAAGAAAGAAAAGAAAAGAAAAAGAAAGAAATAGAACAAATATTTAATTTTGCATTCTCAGTATTTATAGATAACCATGTTTCCTATGTAGAATTATTAATATAATGACTTACATTAGTAGATTTTCTTATATCAAACCTTATTTCTATTCCTAGATTAAACTCCATTTGGACATAGTATATTATTCTTTCAGTATGTTTTTGGATTTTGTTTGCTATAATTTTATTTATGATTTTTAAATATTTATGAATTAGATTGGTCTATTTTTTCTTTATTCTTATAATTATTATTATTATATTTTGATATTGATGGAGTCAGAACATGCTACCCTAAAACATGGCACCTTGGCATTTGAGAAAGCAGCAAGAGGAAGGTCACTCTCACCATCCCTTCTCCTCTCCCTTCCCCCCAAAACAGGTCATACAACCTAGGAAGGCCTTTCCAGCCTAGAGCCGCAGAGATGTTGATGCCTAAGAAGAACTGGATTGCCATTTATGAACTCCTTTTTAAGGAGGGAGTCATGGTGGCCAAGAAGGAGGTCTACATGCCTAAGCACCCGGAGCTGGCAGACAAGAATGTGCCCAACCTTCATGTCATGAAGGCCATGCAGTCTTCCAAGTCCCGGGGCTATGTGAAGGAACAGTTTGCTTGGAGACATTTCTACTAGTACCTTATCAATGAGGGTATCCAGTATCTCCATGATTACCTTCATCTGCTCCTGGAAATTGTGCCTGCCACCCTATGCCACAGCCATCCAGAGACTGGCAAGCCTCAGCCTAAAGGTCTGGAGGGTAAGTGACCTGCAAGACTCACAAGAGGGGAAGCCGACAGAGATACCCACAGACAAAGTGTTTTGCCCCCTGGTGCCAACAAGAAAGCCGAGGTTGGGGCTGGGTCAGCAACCGAATTCCAGTTTAGAGGCGGATTTGATGGTGGATGTGTTCAGCCACCTCAGTAAAATTGGAGAGGATTATTTTGCATTGAATAAACTTACAGCCAAAAAAAAATTTAAGAAAACTAAAAACAAAACAAAACAAAAAAAAAAACCTAGAAAGTTACTCTCTGACCTTTTCCCCTGAAGCAGGTCATAAGGCCCTCATTCAAGAGGTACCCTTCCTGTAGCCAGAAGACAGGAATATCCTTATTCCTGAAGACACGGAGAAAAAGAATCTAAACAAACAGGCCTTACTAGGTTTCACTGAGTTTATTATCATTAGATCATACCTTTTTTTTGTTTAAATAGGGTCTTGCTCTGTCACCCAGGCTGAAGTGTAGTGGCAATCACAGCTCACTGCAGCCTCCATCTCCCAGGCTCAAGCAATCCTCCCACCTAAGTCTCCCAGTAGGTGGGACTACAGGCCGTGCCACCACACCTAGCTAATTTTTTATTTTTTGTAGAGATGGCATCTTGCTATATTGCCCAGGCTGGTCTGGAACTCCTGGGCTCAAGTGATCCTCCTACCTCAGCCTCCAAAATTGCTGGGATTACACGCACGAGCCACTGTGCCCTGCTGAGCATAACCCTTTGTCCTCCAATCACATTACTCCACAACTGTCCATGTTCCGACAAACCTAAGCATACAAGGCAGGCAGATTATCTGAGGCCAGGAGTTCAAGACCAGCCTGGCCAAAATGGCCAAACCCCATCTCTACTAAAAATACACACACAAAAATTAGCTGGGGGAGGTGGTGCACACCTGTAGTCCCAGCTACTTAGGAGGCTGAAGGAGGAAAATCACTTGAACCAGGGAGGTGGAGGTTGCAGTGAACTTAGATGGCACCACTGTACTCCAGCCTGGGCAACTAAGAGAGGCTCCATCTCAAAAATACAAAACAAAACAAAACAAAACAAAAAACCTTAAGCATAAAAATACACAATTTTACCTGCTTTTTGAGTCCTCATTTCTGAAGACTACTGTGTCATGTAAAACTTATATAAATTTGTGGGCTGGGTGCAGTGGCTCACACCTGTAATCCCAGCACTTTGGGAGGCCAAGGCAGGCGGATCACCTGAGGTCAGGAGTTTGAGACCAGCCTGGCCAACATGGTGAAATCCCGTCTCTATTAAAAATACAAAAATTAGGCAGGGCGCAGTGGCTCATGCCTGTAATGCCAGCACTTTGGGAGGCTGAGGCGGGTGGATCATGAGGTCAGGAGATTGAAACCATCCTGGCTAACACAGTGAAACCCTGTCTCTACTAAAAATACAAAAAAAAAAAATTAGCTGGACGGGGTGGCAGGTGCCTGTAGTCCCAGCTACTCGGGAGGCTGAGGCAGGAGAATGGTGTGAACCCGGGAGGCGGAGCTTGCAGTGAGCCAAGTGAGCCACTGCACTCCAGCCTGGGCGACAGAGCGAGACTCCGCCTCAAAAACAAACAAACAAACAAAAAATACAAAAATTAGCCAGGCATGATGGTGGGCACCTGGACTCTCAGCTACTTGGAAGGCTGAGGCACGAGAATCACTCAAACCCGGGAGGCGGAGTTTGCAGAGTGGAGAGTCTGTCTCAAAAAAAAAAACAAAAAACAAACAAACAAAAAACTGGATCCACCAAAGAAAACAACTGTTTTCCATCACCTCCCATGTATCTCATTATCTACTGCAAAAAAGAAGATTGAGGAATATAACCCTACCTGGACTGACCTTTTCACAAGATCATGTCTGTTTCTAAGGCTCACTCAACTGCAAAGAGGATCATTTACAGCTTAATTTCTGTTCTCCAAGGTCCATTCATTCTCCCTAATAATCATTTATTGCCCCTCAAAAGAATGACCTACATTTCCCCTCCTCTGTGAATAAAGTTATATAAGCATCTGGGGGCATCTGGGCACCATAGGATTATTTGGGTAATCACTTCGTGATCCCCAATTTCCCCCTCCCATCAATAAATATGTATGCCTTTTTCTCCTATTAATCTGCGCGTTTTGTCAGTTCATTTTCAGTGAATCTTCAGAGGGTGAAGGGGGAAGTTTTTCCCCCTTCACCTCTGAAAACTGAACTTCTACCGACATCTAGGGTTTTTCCTTTTTTTTTTTTTTTCTGCTCTGTTGCCCAGGCTGGAGTGCAGTGGCATGATCTCAGCTCATGGCAGCCTCTGCCTCCCGGGTTCAAGCAATTCTCCTGCCTCAGCCTCCAAAGTAGCTGGGACTACAGGTGCCTGCCACCACGCCCGGATAATATTTTTGTATTTTTTTTTAGTACAGTCAGGGTTTTGCTATGTTGGCCAGGCTGGTCTCGAACCCCTGACCTCGTGATCCACCCACCTCAGCCTCCCAAAGTGCTGGGACTACAGGTGTGAGCCACCACACCTGGCTTTTTTTTTTTTTTTTTTTTTTTAACTGGGGACACACAGCCTTTGGTGGAAGCTCACAGCAGCTTTGACCTCCTGGACTCAAGCAATCCTCCTACCTCAGCCTCCTGGGTAGCTGGGACTACAGGTGCGCCACCACGCCCGGCTAATTTTATTTAAATTTTTCATAGAGACAGGGTTTTGTCATGTTGCTCAGGCTGGTCTTGAATTCCTATGCTCAAGCAATTCTTCTGCCTTAGCCTCCCAAAGTTTGGGGATTACAGGTGTGAGCCACCGTGCCCAGCCCTCATGCACACTTTTAAAGTTTTTACTACGTTTTGCCAAATCCAGGTTTATACCTAAGTTTCCATACCTACGAGTTGCAGGCTTACTCTTTAAAGCTGGTGAACAGCTACAGCAATCATTACTCTCACATTCTTGAATTTCCAGACTCTTTTGAGCAGTCTCTTTCCTCTTTGTGCAGCCCCCCAGCTCTGTGGCTGATGTTCAATAGAAGTGCCTGGCCCAGAGGCCCTGGCACTGAAACGTGGGGCTGGAAAACAGCTGGTCCTTTTTTTATTTTATTTTATTTTTTTGAGATGGATTTTCACTCTGTTGCCCAGGTTAGAGTGCAGTGGCATGATCTCGGCTCACTGCAACCTCCACCTCCCTGGTTCAAGCAATTCCCCTGCCTCAGCCTCCTGAGTAGCTGGGATTACAGGCACATGCCACCATGGCCAGCTAATCTTTTTGTGTTTTTAATAGAGATGGGGTTTCACCATGTTGGCCAGGCTTGTCTTGAACTCCTTATCTCAGGCAATCCACCCGCCTGGGCCTCCCAAAGTGCTGAGATTACAGGCGTGAGCCACCGCGCCCAGCCTTCCAGCTGGTCCTTATTTATCCTCCAGCACTTTCAGCTGTTCTGTTCCGATTTTGATCCATGCAACGCGGGGGATGGGGGGACAATCCAACAGGTGAATCCTCTCCCACCCCCAGAAATGGCTCAAGGAGACCTCCTAGTGGGTTACAGGACCACTGAGCCATGGACCCCAGGGTCACCTTTCTTCCCACCACAGTCAAGCTCAGCACATAACTTAAATGCATAGTGGTCCCGGAAGTGTCAAGGAGAACAAAATGCCCATTTTTTTCCCTCCATACACAGCAAAACTGTTCTAATACAGCCAAATGAACTGGAGAAGCAGTTTTATTCTTGCCCTTCCTGCCGAGGAAAAACTGAAAATGCAGGTGCCGAGAAAATACTAAATGGAGGCCAGAGGCGGTGGCTCACGCCTGTATTCCTAGCACTTTGGGAGGCCAAGGTGGGTGGATCGCCTGAGGTCAGGAGTTCGAGACTAGCCTGGCCAACATGTTGAAACCCCATCTCTACTAAAAATACAAAATTAGCCAGGCATGGTGGCAGGCGCCTGTAATCCCAGCTACTTGGGAGGCTGAGGCAGGAGAATCGCTTGAACCCGGCAGGCGGAGGTTGCAGTGAGCCGAGATTGCGCCATTGCACTTCAGCCTGGGTGACAGAGCAAGACTCTGTCTCAAAAAAAAAAACCTAAGTAGAGAGTGCTCTTGGAGCAGGGTTTCCAGCCTTTCAGAGGAAAGTTGGAAAACGCTAAAAGTTTTCAAACTTTGGGATCTTCAGCTCTTACAGAAGTATCTAAATCCCAGCTACTTGGGAGGATCCCTTGAGCCCAGAAGTCCAAGGCCAGCCTAGGCAATGTGGCAAGACTTGTCTCTAAAAAAAAAAACAAAACAAACAAACAAACAAACAAAAAAACGTAAATTCTAGGTTGGGCACGGTGGCTCACGCCTGTAATCCCAGCACTTTGGAAGACCAAGGCAGGTAGTTTACTTGAGGTCAGGGGTTCGAGACCAACCTGGCCAACATGGTGAAACCCCCTCTCTACTAAAAATACAAAAATTAGCCGGACATGGTGGTGCGTTGCCTATAATCCCAGCTACTTAGGAGGCTAAGGTGGGAGAATCAGTTTAACCCCGGGGGCGGAGAGCTGCAGTGAGCAGAGATCGTGCCACTGCATACCAGCCTGGGCAACAGAGTGAGACTCTGTCCCAACAAAAACAAAACAAAACAAAACATAAATTCTGACTATTCCTTTCCTAGGGCTTCTCCAGCACCCCGACTCTCCAACAGCACTGGGCTTTCACAAGGACAAATAATATGCAAAACTTTTTGGGAGTCTACTTACGATAATTGCCTTAAATTAACATCACAAAGCAATGGAAATTGCATTCCCCTAAGGCTTCTTACTGCAGGAAGTTACCCAGCTCCTGACTGCAAAGGTAGTGACGATTAAAGTCAGGTTGGTTAGCTTCTGTCTTGCAAAGCTTGTCTGTTAATCCATTACTTGTGTTCATATAAAATGGCATTTCTATATCAAAATGCGTGAATGTTTTAACCTTTTGTAAATATAAGCTTATTTTTTTCTGTTGAATCAGACAAGTCTTTCCTCTGCCAGAAACCTTAAAACTGGTATTCTTAAAACAGTATTCTACTAGCTGCTTTTACTTTACTGGATCGATGTTCAGCTTTCAGATCACAGAAAGTCAGTCCTTCACTATTTTGCTAGCCTCAGGCCATACCAGGAGAATTTCAGTGTGAGTGTCTTATTTTAAGCCTAGCATCGGTGAACTAAAGTGCTCACAGGAAGATGGAGGAGAACTGCAGACCAGGTTACTGGAGGAGCAGAGGATGCAGTTCCAGAAGCCCTGTAATGTCTTCAGACCTTTGAAGGCTGTTTTGTAGAAGATGGCTTGTTCTTCCTTAATTTTCAAGGTAAGCATAGGGCCAAAGAGTGAGAGCTATATAAAGCTAGATTTCATCTTTAAATGGAAGACCTTTAAACAATTAGAGCTGTCTGAAAGATATAAAAACTTTCTGGGATTGAACTGAGCTCCTAAGTCATTGGGAGAATTCAAAAGAATGGCCATCTCACAGGTCTACAATACATGCATGATTGAACATGATTAAATATTTTACATGATTATTTTATAATTAAATATATATATATGGACACAGCCATTTGTTTTTAGAAAGCTTTGAAAATGTTTAAGCAAACTTAAACATTTTTATTTTATTTTATTTTTATTAAATAGAGACAGGGTCTCACTGTGTTGCCCAGGCTCGTCTCAAAACTCCTGAACTCAAGCAATTCTCCCACCTCGACCTCCTAATAAGCAAACGCTTGTTATTCTGACCACTAGTTTGTAGAATAGAGCCATGTGGCTAATCATCTTAATCCCACTTGGGTTTCTGAAACCCTTTGCCTGGCTGGCTGTTGTTGACACTATAGGGGCAAAGAAGGAAAGCTTCTGCCTTTACCTTCTGAAGGTTCACTGAAAATGACAAAAGGCAGGTAGGAGAAAAAGGCATACAAATTTATTTAACATGCAGAGCACAGGGGAACTGCATGAGAATGATTACCCAATAACCCAATGAGGCCTAGAGGTTTATAGACCCTTCTTCATGGAGGAAGGAGACATGAGGGTGTAGGAGTAAAAGATTTTTAGTGGGGAATGAATGGACCCAGAAGGCAGACTTTATCTTGTGAATGATTCTCTGGCAATTTAACAGGCAGGAGAACAAACAATGGTTTGGGAAGAAGTTTGTCTGGGCTGTAGCTATGGTGTTTAATGTTCAGTCTCTTCCTTTGTGATAGAAGTTTTAATTTTCTCTGGTTAATGAAATTTCAGGGAAGGGATCAAAGGCAAATTGTGTTCCTCTTTGGGGGTCCAGTTTCTAGGTAGATAAGGGAATTCAGAGAACAGCTTCATTCTGTGCTTTGGGAGAGACAGGATCAGAGAGAAAGGGAGGTAGGGGGAGGTCAGAGGGAGACCCTGGCACTGAGGATTATTTCTGAGGCCTTTCAATTTTCAAAGCAGTCAGCATGCCGAAGCATCATATTTTGGGGTATGGCTCTCTGTGCTCCAACATCTGCTGAAAAAAAGGAATAATTAATGTCAAAACAATAAAAATGCTTTATATTTGTATTCTTCTGTATTTGTACATATCCAGATTTTAGCTGTTTCTCTTTTACTGTATAAATTTATGTATTTCCAAATTACATATGTATATATTCCAGAGATGATTTTAGCTTTCAGGAGGACTCATCTGTTTCCTTAGTCTTAATTCTATTAACACCAAAGGATAGCTTCCTGAGCATAAAAGGGAGAAAATTATTCCATTCCTACCTTTAGTCACTGGTGATAGAGATCACTCCACAATTGAAGAACAAAATCCTCCTCTGAGAGTGAAACTCTTAAATAAAGCACATTTTAGACAAGATTAAGCAACTATGTAAGAAATTTGCCTAAAGAGATATTTTTTCCATAAAAAGCAAAAGATAGTGACATGGATGTCATCTCACTCCTGAATTTAGCTAAATGGAGGTCATTTCTCATCCTGCCCTGCCCCCTCTCAGGAGGAAGAAGGCAGCCCAGGGATGGTGATAACCTACAGAAGCCTTGGGCTCAGCTCCTAAGCCCTAAGGGACAGATGGAGAAAGGAGGACCAGAGGGAGGGGAAAGAGGTGGGGGAGGCGGAGTGTGCTGCTGCAGGTCGCAGGGCAAGACCTGCACTCCCTTAAGTATGTATGCTTCTAGGCTCACAGAGACTGGCCAGGGGCTGGTTGGCATCACACCATACACATCTGTACTAGATACCAAATCACTGCTCATCCTCGACCAGAATGTTTAGTCAGTTAGTTGTGAATATCAATTGCAGAAGAACGTTCTGGTTTCAGTATCTCTCTTTGGTCACAGTCCTAGTTTGTGTGGTTAAAGAAAAAAGAGTCCACTTTTTAGGTTTCCAGATTTAGCAAACAAATAGAATATAAAAATACAAGAGGACGAGTAAAATTTGAATTTCAGAAAAATAATAAATAACATTTTAATGTGAAAATATCCTAAATATATTTTATCTGGCAACTCTATCATATTTTCCAATCAAGAGTTAAGCCTTGGGGCCAGGCATGGTGGCACACACTTGTAATCCCAGTACTTTGGAAGGCTGAGGCGGGCAGATCACTTGAGGTCAGGAGTTCGGGACCAGTCTGGCCAACGTGGTGAAACCTCCTGTCTACTAAAAATACAAAAAAAATTAGCCAGGTGTGGTGGCACATGCCTGTAATCCAGCCACTCAGGAGGCTGAAGCAGGAGAATTGCTTGAACCCAGGAGGAGGAGGTTGCAGTCAGCTGAGATCACGCCACTGCACCCCAGCCTGGGCAACAGAGCGAGACTCTGTCTCAGGAAAAAAAAAAAAGAAAGAAGATGAGAAAGAGAAAAGTCAGCATAACGGAAATAAATCAGAGACATAAGTAATCAACGACTAACACTTTTTGCTATTTTGTTTTTCTCAATTTAAATTTTTTTCTTTTAAAAATTACCTTTTATTTTTGTGAAAATAATGTAAATACACACAAAAATTAAAAAGTCAAAAGGGACTGGGCACAGTGGCTCATCTGGGTTATACCAGCACTTTGGGAGGCCAAGGAGGGAGGATCACTTGAGGCCAGGAGTTCTAGACCAGCCTGGGCAACATAGTGAGATCTTGTCTCTCCAAAAAAAAAATTTAGCTGGACATGGCAGCGTGCACCTGTAGGCCTAGCTACTTCAGAGGCTGAGGTGGGAGGATTGTATGAGCCCAAATGTTCAAGGTTGCAGTGAGCTATGATCCTACCTCTGCACTTCAGCGTGGGTGACAGAGTGAGAACCCAACTTAAAAAAAAGTCAAAAGTACTAAAAGGTGTATGATGAAAAATAGCAGTGCACTGTTCTACCCAATCCCACTCAATCCCATCCCTGCTCTGATCCCCAGAGGTAGTCAGTTCATCCTTTTCCGTTGTTTTTCCCAGTTTTAACTGCCTCCCATATTCCTAAAAATGCCTATACTGCTATTTTGTTGATTTGTCAGCTTTGGACATTACCTACCTTCTTTTTCTTTCTTTTTTCTTTTTTTTTTTTTGAGATGAGTCTTGCTCTGTTGCCCAGGCTGGAGTGCAGTGGCGCTATCTTCACTCACTGCAACCTCTGCCTCCCAGGTTCAAGTGATTCTCCTGCCTTAGCCTCCAGAGTAGCTGGGACTACAGGCGCACGCCACCATGCCTAATTTTTGTATTTTTAATAGAGACGGGTTATGTTGGCCATAATTTTTAATAGAGACGGGTTTCACCATGTTGGCCAAGATGGTCTCAATCTCTTGACCTCATGATTGGCCTGCCTCGTGCTCCCAAACTGCTGGGATTACAGGTGTGAGCCATTGCACCTGCCCTGAAAATATCTTTTTACTGTACCATTCCTCTTGACTAATGGTTTGGGTTTAGATCTCTAGGCTGTAAATCATTCTCACTCAGAATTCTGAAGGCCTTGCTCCATTCTGCTCCAGCTTCCAGCACTGCTCCTGAGAAGCCTACTCCCATTCTCATTCCTGATCCTTTGGAGTCACCTGTTTTCTTTCTGGATCCTTTTAGAGTCTTTTCTTTATCCCTGGTTTTCTGCCAGTTCATGAAAATGAACCTTGAAATATAAATCTTATTTTATCTCCCTGAGGATTTTATAGCATTTTTAAAAGTTTTCTTCTTCTCTCTGATCATATTAAAGGATTATGTGCTGAAGAGATGACTAGATGGATGGCCAACCTGCTTGGGTAGAGCTTGACTAATGGGGGACTTCCCTGCGCGGCGTGGTTGTCCCTGAGCTGCTCTTTCATTGAGGGCCCCAAATGCCTGTATCTAAAGGTCTTCCCTTTGAGCCTGCTCAATTTCTACAGAAAAAGGTTCTTTCATTTTCAGGTGGTGGTCGTGGAGTAGGGGGTGGGTTGGGGTGGGGTGAAGGGGTGAGAAATGTGCCTGGCTCCTAGGTTATCTAGAAACAGGGTGAGGAAAAGGGGCTGAGAGTTTACCTTTTAGTATCTAGATTTCCTTTTGTTCCCCATATTTCCAGTTCTGCACCCCATACCTGCTCTTCACAGTACCTGATGTGCTGATCCAAATTCCCCAGGGAGTAAACCTCAGGTCTCCTTCAGGAGTGGGCAGGAGCAGACAGCCCACTGCCCACCTGGGCCTCTCACCTGGCTCTCAGGCAGGCACCACACTCCTGCCATTCACAGCGCGGTCCTCTGTCTCCCAGCAGTTCCACCTGCCTCTCTCCTCCCCTCTGTGGGATCAGGCCTCAGCTCCCTCCATGCCTCTGTGTGACTCACCACTCCTTCCTCTGCTTCCCACCTTACGAAAATGTGGTGACATCCTCCGTCTGCTGCTGCCTCCTCTTCTATTCTCAGAGACCTTGTCGGGTTTTTGTTTTTTTTTTTTTAACTCTTTTTTACTCCTGTATTGTTGTATTTGGTAGGGCTTGGGAGGGAGCAGAGATTCACAATTCACAAGAGACTCCTCTGCCACGTTTAACCAGAAGTTCTTTCGTGTAAGTTTTCACTCTGAAGCATTTTCGGGGGACACTTTCCAGGCCCTGTTCTGAAATCTTGCTTTCAGTCAACACAGTTGCTTTTTGTTTTGCTTTGTGGTAGATGTTTCTTTATGGGAAGTGGATCAAAGTCTAAACACACACTTCGTTTTGTTTTTGTTTGTTTGTTTTTCTTTTTTTTTTTTGAGACAGAGTCTCGTTTTGTCGCCAGGCTGGAATGCAGTGGCACGATCTCGGCTCACGGCAACCTCTGCCTCCCAGGTTCAAGCAATTCTCCTGCCTCAGCCTCCCGAGTAGCTGGGACTACAGGCATGCACCATAACATCAGGCTAATTTTTGTATTTTTAGTGGAGACAGGGTTTCACCATGTTGGCTGGGCTGCTCTTGATCTCCTGACCGCAGTTGATCCACTTGTCTCGGCCTCCCAAAGTGCTAGAATTACAGGCGTGAGCCACCACGCCGAGCACACACATTGTTTAATGGTATCGGTAAAACACTCTTGACCTTTTGAACAACAGCAACCAGACCCAAATATGTCTCTCTGCTTTTGTTTTGGAATGGGGATGGAAAAGCTGGAGAGGCGCTTGGCAGCACGGCCCTTGCCCCAGTGCTTGAAGGTCTGGTCCATCTCCTGTGCATGAATAAAAAGCAAGGGGAACGCTGAAATATCATCTCTTTGGAATTCAGCATGAGCCCCACTTCTCTACTCTCCTGTGTTGACACATTAGTGCTATTGTGTTGCATCTGCTGGTGGATCTCCTTTCATCTGCAGGCCACACAAAACCCCCTCATGTAAAGCTGCACACAAGGCTCTCAAATTATGAGGACACTTTAGCAGTCATTCCTCTTATAGAAGGGCTCACAGTCTTAGGGAAGGATTGCTGCCATTTCAGTGTGCTCCACTGTGCCCTGATACAGAAAGTCCAGACAAGCTAAGGCGGGAAAGCCAGGCTGGGAGCCCGTGACAGGGAAAAGTTAGCAGACGAGTGAGTAGACCAGATGGATAGGGCTTTGAATGCCACACCAAGGTCTTTGGATTTTTCTGCAGGCATTGGGAGCCACCCAAGGATTTTGAGCAGGAGAGTAACATGAGACAAACTGTGCTTTCAGAAAATTAAGTTGGCCGGGAGGAGTGGCTCACACCTGTTATCCCAGCACTTTAGGAGGCCGAGGCAGGTGGATCACCTGAGGTCAGGAGTTCAAAACCAGCCTGGCCAACATGGCCAAACCCCATCTCTACTAAAAATACAAAAATTAGTCGTGCGTAGTGTTAGGCGCCTGTAGTCCCAGTTACTTGGGAAGCTGCGGCAGGAGAATTGCTTGAACTCAGGAGGCAGAGGTTACAGTGAGCCAAGATTGCACCACTGCACTCCAGCCTGGGTGACAGAGCGAGACCCTGTCTCAGAAAAATAAATAAATAAAAATACAAAAATTAGCTGGGTGTGGTGGCAGGCACCTGTAGTCCCAGCTACTTGGGAGGCCGAGGCAGGAGAATCGCTTGAACGCGGGAGCTGGAGGTTGCAGGGAACGGAAGTTGCAGTGAACTGAGATTGCGCCACTGCACTCCAGCCTGGGCAACAGAGTGAGACCCTGTGTCAAAAGAAAAAAAAAAAGGAAAATTAAGTTGATAGCTGTAGCTCAGAAGGTTCAGAGAGGGAGAGGCTAGAGTCCAGGGGGCTCTAGATCAGATCACTGGGAGACCTTTGTAAAAATCCACACCCCAGGCCAGGCACAGTGGCTCACGCCTGTAATCCCAGCACTTTGAGAGGCCGAGGCGGGTGGATTATCTGAGGTCGGGAGTTTGAGACCAACCTGACCAACATGGAGAAACCCTATCTCTGCTAAAAATACAAAATTAGCCAGGCGTGGTGGCACATGCCTGTAATCCCAGCTACTCGTGAGGCTGAGGCAGAAGAATCACTTGAACCCGGGAGGTGGAGGTCGCGGTGAGCCGAGATTGTGCCATTGCACTCCAGCCTGGGCAAGGAGAGCAAAACTCCGTCTCAAAAAAAAAAATCCACACCCCAGCCTCTGCCCTTCAAGATTTTGTTTCAGGTGGTTTGGGGAGGGAACTAGGAATCTGCATTCTCAAAACATTCCACAGGTGCAGAGGTCATTGTGACAGGCTGCTAAAGGGGACCAGACCCCAAATATGGGGCTGGGAGTCTAGGGAGAGAGGGGAAATAGATGGGGATGCTACCCTGAGGCGAGCCCCACCTGGCCTCTGCCTGTTTAAGGGGCTGAAGGGAGGAAAACATGAAGAAGACCATCAAACTGGGCCAGGAGAGCTGCCTGGAGACTGGTGCCCGGCCTGCAAGGCAACCTTAGAAGAAAATCAGATTTGGGAGATGATGACATGGGACATTCCAGGTGACAAAGGGGCCTGGGACTTGGGGGATGGTGAATCTGTGAGCACCTGGCTCCTACTTACAGTCATGGAGTATGTGGAACTGGGAAGGGAAACTGTCATTCACATCTCTCAGTCAAAGATACGTAGGCACATGCATGGACACAAACATAGCCCTCTTCTGCAGGAGTCAGAAAGGCTGGTGATTCAGAGACTGGGCTCTGTAATCCAGCAGCCCTGGATTGAAATCCTGACTCTGTGGCTCTGGCTGAGTCACCTGTCCTCTGTGAGCAACAGCCTCCTCACCTATAGAAAGAAAATGTTGCCAGCAGTTAACTCAATATGGCTTTGTGGTGACTCGATGAGATGCTGCATGCAGAGGCTGGACACAGTGCCTGACACAAGGAGAGACTCTGTATGGAAGCTCTAAGGGTAATACTAAAAAATGCAATCTCACTTCTGAAGCCAGGGAGCCATAAAGTATTTCATTCAGAGTGCAAGGAAGAAAGTCCACAGGAAGACATGAAGCCTTTTTTTTTTTTTATACAGAGTTTTGCTCTGTTGCCCAGGCTGGAGTGCAGTGGCATGATTTTGGCTCACTGCAACCTCTGCCTCCCAGGTTCAAGCGATTGTTGTGCTTCAGCCTCCCGAGTAGCTGAGCTTACAGATGCACGCCACCACGCCCAGCTAATATTTTGTATTTTAAGAGAGATGGGGTTTCACCATGTTGGCCAGGCTGGTCTTGAACTCCTGACCTCAAGTGATCCACCGGCCTCAGCCTCCCAAAGTGCTGGGATTACAGGTGTGAGCCACCATGCCCAGCCAGCATGAAGCCTTTCATTTGCTGCTACCCATTCCGTATGGCTTTCTCTGGGTGTGTGTTTGGTGAGTCCTTTGCCTTTGGTTTCTAGGACTCATAGAGAAATGACAGACCCTTCCTACTGCATTTAATTGGAGAGGAGCACAGAGACCTGAGATTATAATGATGACGTCTTAAATGTCAAGTGCTTCAAAAGTCTGCTGTTGCACTCACTGTCACCCTAAACAGCTCTGGAAACCAAAACCCTGCAGCCACCTAAAGCATGCCCTGAGTCTCTCAGCCAGGTTTCATCTGGGAAATCTGAGTGACAGTGACGTGCAGGCAGCTGGAAGACGCACAGTAAACCGAGGAGCCTGTGATGAGCTCAGAGGAGGTGAGTTGATGATCTGCTATTTATAGCCCCACTAAGAGGCTCTGGCCGCCAGCTCCATGTGAGTCTGGGTGGAAATGATGCCTTCGCAGAGCTGAGAGCACAAAATGAAGTTGGTGATTCATGGGCAGCAGCCACTTGAAAATATGAACACTCCTGCGTCCCCAGCCCCGCCGGCCTTTCACACCCATTTGGAGGCGTGTTGAGCAGAGCTGCTAGCCTGCTGCATCCTAGTCTGCATGTGTTTGGGCAGGATGTGAGGACAGGCCGGTTCTACCCTGACAAGGAGCCTGCAAAGGGCAGCAGCACGCCTGGGAGCACTCCAAGAACGTCTGCCCACCCCCCGAGAGGCCTCGGCTGGAACCCAGGGCAGGGCTGAGTAAGAGGTAAGCCCCGAGAGGACCTGCGGTCACAGAGAAAGGACACTTCCTGCTCCTGCCCTCTGTCTCCAGGGGCGACGCTGGCAACAGAGCAGCTTTCTGATGACGCTTGTTCTGCTGAACATACAAAAATTTACAATGAGGAAACCCTTGCAGCTTGACATTTCCCCCCGCACAATTCCACAGCCCAGCACCTGTCACCTGAAATAGCTATTGTTTATTTTCCTCAGTAACATCTTGGCTTCCAGGCCAAAGTCTACTTGGAGGCCCAAACTCAACTCACCCTATGTGAGGAATGCCCTGGAGGTCTCTCAGTTTCCCACAACCAAACTGGATTTAAAGGGCCAAACCAGGATAAGGAGGCCAGCTGAGCTCTGAAGCCAGATTGTCTGGGTTCAGATTCTTTCTCTACACTTGCAGCCACGTGGCTTCAGTCAAATTGCCCTCTGAGACTCAGTTTTTCTCATTGGTAAAATGAGGATAATTACAGAACCTACCTCACTGGGTTGCGGTGAAGGGTGACATTTGAGTAGTGGTCAGCCCAGCATCCAGCACATGGACAGACTTGATACTGGACACTGCTGCTGCTGCTTTTGCTGTTGAAGTTGTTTTCACTCCTGGGTTTTGGTCCCTGTACTGATAGCACTCCTTTGCACACAGTCTATGGCACTGAGGTTCCTTGTGGAGGTGGTGCCCTGAGGCTTCAATAGAGACCCTCTGCCCATCACAAACAAACCCCATATCAGGCTGCCAAGCATAGTGGACTTCACCCCGGGGGCATCTCAGCCCCATGCTTGACCGGCCCCTGCCTTTGCCTAGGAACCAAGTGCCTTTCCCTTGGGGCTGGGCTTTGCCCGGGTTGACTACCCTGATGCTTCTGCTCCTCTATGTCCTGGGGTGGTCTTGGGGGTATTAACTGTCACCATCCAGTGGAGGGTTTCACCGAGGGTCCCAGGTGCTAACATGAGGTCTGTGGCCAGCAGGCAGCCTGGATGACTGGCCGGATAGGCAGCAGGGAGGGCCTGGATGACTGGCCGGATAGGCCCACCTCACCTATGGGCTGCACTTGCAGCACAAACTGCTGATTCATGGAGACTCATGAGGCCTTGGCTATCTGTACATTCTCCATCTCCAGCTGTCGGCCAAAATATAATTGTAGTTGTCACTTTGGCAGAGAGATACTATGATGTGTCCTATCTCCAAGGCAGTGAGCTTTTGGAAGATAGGAGGGATCTGCAGCTGCTCCTGTGGAGAGAACCATTCTGGAAAGTGGTCTGTGTGAAGTGCACCCAGGTGCAGTCCCAGGAGTGGTGTGAGCAGCAGGGTGAGGCCCTATATTAGAATGGGCACTGGTGTTGCCTGTGTCTGCATCTACAGTAATGCAATTCTGATGACATCAATGAATAACAGAGAGGCTGCCATTGAAATGAGGCATTGTTGGCAGCTATGCGGACTTGGAAAACAGCCACCAGGCTTATGCACAAGTCAGAATCCATCGTGTGTGGGGTAAATGAGTGGTTAGACCATGGGGTACATGGTGTAAGGGAGATGATGCCAGAGACATAGCTAGGACCAGACTGAGAAGCAAGGGACTCGAAGACCAGGCCATGCAGCTTGGACTTGATCCTGGACATAGGGAAAGTGATGTGATTAGAGGATGTGGGGGTTCTGGGCTCAAGCATCCTCGAAGGGTCGCACTAAGGGCAAGGCTCCCCCTCCCCACGGCAGTTGGCAAGCAGCGGCTTGCTGTTTGAGAAGGTGTTTACTCCTCTGGAGCATGAGTCCCACACTCAGAAGGTGCTGAGACTCTGCTCGTAGGGTAAGCATATGAAGGGCCGGTCCCAGCCAGGACAGCTGGGAGTGCGCAGTCAGCAAGGCAAAGCACCAGGCTTATGTCTTCCCTCTTCTTCCATCCTTCTTGGCCAGGAGTTTATTATTGAAGCACCTGTGTGCAGATGTGCTAAATGTAGATGACTGCACCACTCAGGTCAAAGGTCAGGGAGGCTCCTGGGACTGAGAGATGACCCCGCTGCCTGTGGATGTGGCCTCCCTCCCCACTAAGGAAACAGCAGAGGCAAACATCCAAGCTTGCCTGATGGAGGAATTCCTAGAAGAAAGGTTCTATCCTTATGTACTTAAATACTGATTTAGAGGTTGGTTAATGGAGACAGAAGAATACTAAGTGTTGGGAGCCGTTACCAGTGGAGGACCCACCCATGAGCACGGAAGCCAGAGCATATCTGGACCATCATGTAAGTCCGGAGGAAGACACGATTCAGTTGACAAAAATTTGTGTACCCTCCTCAGAAGTGCATTGTTGTGCAAGAAATGGTTTGGCAGTGACTCTCCCCTTTCAGCTGCAAGCCATCAAGGGCTGAATGCCTCTCCAGTTGCCAGAGGAGGAGTGGCTTGTAGAGCGGATGTTCCCAGTCTGGCAGAATCTTCTGTCAAGTGTTCCCTGAGTTGGGCTGCCAGGGGGCAGGTGTTGAACAGTGAGGAAGTCCTCTCACCTGAGCAGCTTCTGATGCAAGAGGGGTGTCGTGAGTGCCTGGAATCCTATGCCTGTGGGTGGAGCGTGAACTTAGCCTCTTCCCTGAGGGTAGGCAGCATGTCATAACCACTTCTGGCTGCCCATGGCTGGTTTGGGGCAATATGCCAAGATGTAGTTTTGCCTATTTGGTTTGCTTTTTCCTTTAAAATGTACAAAAGTTAATAACATGTAATGGGTTTTTAAAAAATTATAAAATATGAGATACAATCAGAAAAGTCCAAACAGACCGGGTGAGGTGGCTCACACCTGTAATCCCAGCACTTTGGGAGGCCGAGGGAGTGGATCACCTGAGGTCAGGAGTTTTAGACCAGCCTGGCAAACATGGTGAAGCCCCATCTCTACTAAAAATACAAAAATTAGCTGGGCGTGGTGGTGTGCTTTGCCTGTAGTCCCAGCTACTCAGGAGGCTGAGGCAGGAGAATTGCTTGAACCTGGGAGGCTAAGGTTGCAGTGAGCCAAGACTGTGCCACTGCACTGCACTCCAGCCTGGGTGATAGAGCAAGACTCTATCTCAAAAAAAAAAAAAAAGAAAAAAAAGAAAGAAAAGAAAAGTCCAAACAACTATACATACAGCTTAACAAATAATTATAACATGAATGCACTCCAGACTGGGTGACAAAGTGAGACCCTGTCTCAAAAAAAAAAAAAAAAAAAAAGGAAAAGGAAAAAAAGATTTAATTCATGAGTGAGCCAATAAAATATTACAACCAATTCAAAGGAGAACTCAAAGTATCACAAATAATAGTCAGATGAAGAAAGTTGATTTTAGAAATGGATGCAAAACTGGTCAATATCCATGAGGCAGTAGTCAGTTGCAATTCAGACACAATTTGCATTTCTGTGAACAGGAATTATTTGCATTGGTATGACGTTTCTACAATTTAATTTCTATCTTGAGAGGGTTGAGAAATAGTCTAGTCAAAGACAACAAAAGCCAGAGATAACCTGGATGAATAAGTTATTCAGGACACCCCCCAAGTTTCAACATCATTCACAGTTTCTTCTTACACTTGTAATTGGTTCCCTACCTACCTCCCTCCTAGAAATTCCCCTCTGCACGTTCCTACTGCCCTGTTTGAACCAGCTGACCCCACCCTTCCTCCCATGTTATGGTGATGGGCCAGGGCTGAAAGCCTAACCTGGGGGAACGTACTTATCACCTAAGCTGAGCCAAACAAGTGCTCCCAAGGCTTGGACACTGCTTCTACAGGGGTGGGCACTGACATTGTCAGACTCGGGCAGGCAGACTCAGGCAGGCACACCCAGGGCTGGTAGTCATAATGGGCCTTGTAAAAGATAACCAAGCATTTTCTGTAAAGGGTAACAGATTAGGAATACAAAGAGAAAAAACTGTAGTCCAGTGAGAAAGACAGAGTACCTGTCCAATGAGCTTGCAGTGCCTGGGATGACTTCCTGCATTTGGGTTCCATTAGAGTCCCCCTTTATGCCTGAATCAGTTTGGGTGGGTGTCTGTTCCACTAATTGCCTATCTGAAAGAATAGCTGACGTACAAGATGTATGATGACCTGCAGGGCTGAGGTCTTTTTCTTTTTCTTTCTTTCTTTTTTCTTTTTTTTTTGAGAGAGTCTCACTCTGTTGCTCAGGCTGGAGTGCAGTGGCACCATCTTGCTCACTGCAGCCTCTGCCTCCTGAGTTCAAGCAATTCTCCCACCTCAGCCTCCCAAGTAGCTGGGATTACAGGGGCCCGCCACTACTCCCGGCTAATTTTTTTTTTTGTATTTTTAGTAAAGATGGGGTTTCACCATGTTGGCCAGGCTGGTCTCCAACTCCTGACCTCAGGTGATCCACCCACCTTGGCCTCCCAAAGTGCTGGGATTACAGGTATGAGCCACCAGGCCTGGCCAAAAGTCTGGTGTTTCTTGAGAGTCAGGGGAGGGGTTAGTTGAAGGGGGCAATGTGGCCAATTACTTGGGGTCCTGGGGGCCTCAGAGGGAAGTCGGTGCTTCACTTGAAGAGTATGGGGTTTAAGAAAGTGAGTGCTGTGGTCAGATCTGTACTTTGGAACAATCACTCTGGCTGCTGGTGGAGAACAGGTGGGAGGGATAATGGACAGGAGGCATAAAGACCCCTCAGGAGGCAGCCACAGGCATCCAAGCCAGAAGCGATCACCTGAACAGAGGAAAGGGGTGGAAGGAACCGACTCAAGAAATGTTGGGCCAGAATTTCACCTGAAAAACAAGACAAAGAGAACCCTTAGGTTTTCAGTCAGGACCACCATGTGGTTAGAGTGTCACCATCATAGGAGAAAGAAACCATAACTAGCGGGTGGGCTGGGAGATGACGAGCTCAGTTTAAGACTTGGTGAGTGTGAAAGAGCTATAGGCATCTAGGAGGAAGCATCTGGCAGGCAGGTGGATACACAGGTCTGAAATGGAGGGAGGGTTTGGCCTGCAAGGCTGGAGAGAGGAGGCTGGAGTGAATGTGCCATGAACAAGTTTACATGAATGTGACTGGGGAGCAGGGAAGAGGGGGAAAGTGCAGGAACGTAATGCCTCTTGACCCTAAAATTCTCACTTGCTGAGAGTAAGGGTGAGGGGAGGGGCTGGGGGCAGGAAGGGGGAGTTTAGAACATTTATTATGGGAAACAGGAGAGAAGCTGACCCAGGCACAGCTATGACATCTAAGAGGAGTCAGGAGACTAGTTCTTGCCAAAGGAATGTTGATTGAGGATGACATGTCACTTCCAGCCCAAGAGAGTTAAGAAGAAGACGTGACTTCTCCACTCTTCCTTTCCCCTTCTCCCAGTTCGATGCCCCTTTGTTACAGACTGAATGTTTGTGTCCCCCCAAAAATTCCTATGTTGAAACGGAATCCCCAGTGTGATGATTTGGAGGTGGAGCCTTTGGGAGGTGATTAGGTCTTAAGGGTGGCGCCCTTAGGATGGGATTAGTGCCTGTATAATAAGAGGCCAGCGGCCAGGCATGGTGGCTCAAGCCTGTAATCCCAGCACTTTGAGAGGCTGAGGTGGCTGGGTCACTTGAGGTCAGGAGTTTAAGATCAGCCTGGCTAACACGGTGAAACCCCATCTCTACTAAAAATACAAAAATTACCCGGGTGTGGTGGCGCATGCCTGCAGTCCCAGCTACTCAGGAGGCTGAGGCAGGAGGATTGCTTGAACCCAGGAGTCAGAGGTTGCAGTGAGCGGAGATTGCACTACTGCACTCCAGCCTGGGCAAGTGAGTGAGACCCTGTCTCAAAAAAAAAAAAAAGGAGGAAAGAAAAAGAAAGAAAGAAAGAAAGAAAGAAAGAAAGAAAGAAAGAAAGAGAAAGAAAGAAAGAAAGAAAGAGGGAGCCAGAGAACTACCTTGTTCTTTTTCTTTTTTTTTTTTTTTTGGAAGCAGAGTCTCACTCTGTTGCCAGGCTGGAGTGCAGTGATGCAATCTCAGCTCACTGCAACCTCCGCCTCCTGGGTTCAAGCGATTCTCCTGCCTCAGCCTCTCGAGTACCTGGGACTACAGGTGCACACCACCACGCCCAGCTAATTTTTGTATTTTTAGTAGAGATGGGGTTTCACCATGTTGGCCAGGATGGTCTTCGTCTCTTGACCTTGTGATTTGCCCGCTTCGGCCTCTCAAAGTGCTGGGATTACAAGTGTGAGCCACCACGCCTGGCTGACAGCTTGTTCTTTTTCTACCATGTGAGAATGCAAGGAGAAGTCAGCAGTCTGCAGCCCAGAAGAGGGCCCTCACCACAGCTTGAGTGTCTTGGTATCCTGATCTCAGACTTCTAGCACCCAGAACTATGAAAAATACATTTCTATTGTTCATGAGCCACCCAGTCGATGATACTTTGTTATAGCAGCCTGAATTGACTAAGACAGCCTTGGAAACCACATGTTGGAGATGGTGAAGCCACAGTGTGGGAAGATCCTGGATTCTTGAATCATCACTTGGAGGACAAACACCACTGATCAGGAACACACATTTAGTTTTCTGTTAGCAAGAAATCAACTACATTGTAGGAGCCAATATACATTTTGGGATTGCTTGTTACAGCATTGAGCATTACCCTAGCTAATGCAGGGTTTAAGAAAATGCATGGTTGTTCAGATGGTTCAGAGGGGTCTGGGCTGGGGAAACACTCGAGGCCTCTAGGGTCAGAAGGTCTTTGTTAAGGCTGAAGAGCAGAAGTGGTGAGAGGACTGGAAAAATCTAGAAAGCAGATGTCAGGGCCTCTGGCAGAATGCAAGAAACTAAGATTTCAGACAGAAGCTATCCCACTGTGGCAAGAGCCAAATGCGAGAAGTTGGGGAACATTAAGCAGGTCTGGGAATTGTGATGAGTGAGGTCAAGAATTGTGTTGGCTGGTTAGTTCACAGGGATGTCAGAGTCTGTGATGAAGCAGAATGTGAGGTGGAGAGGAAGCCTCAGAGGGGCTGGCCATTGTTCTGCAATCAGGGACCTGGGAAGGACTGCTGTAGTGAAAGGCATGGGCTAGCAGGATTGCCATCACTCAGTCTGTCAGCTGCCATGACTGAGTGGATCTGAGCAGGGCGGTGTACGGATCGCTCAGGAGACCACCTGAGATGCTTACCTGAAGGCTGGTTCCTGAAGTGTCACCTGCAAATGCTGATGTAGGCCAACACTATCCAGAAACAGCCAGACCCACAGCAGAGCACTGCTGTCAGCTGGTAAAGTGTCATGGCACTGCCCAAAGCATCTTATTCACAAATCTGTCTGGGCCTCATGGACATCCCAGGGAGACCCATAAGAGAGTGGCCTCTCCCTGTACCAGGTAAGGTCACCTAAGTGATAAGAGAGACTGCACAGGAGAGGGTGGAGTCAGGGTCTCCTGATCCTTGGGCTGTGGTTCTCATTATAAAATGCCTTTTGCAGACATTTCTGACATAAACTGCCCATCATCTTAGGAAGATTTGGGCATCAACTTGCCATTGGCAGCAGGGACAACTGAGACAGCCTCCAAAAGGCACTTCCAGCTGGCGACTCTTAGAAGAATTTCTGAATGAATGGTGCCAAACCAGGAATAGGAATAGGAGTGTCAGAAAACCCAAAATAATAGTTATGAAAACAAGAGGAGTTTATTTCAAAAAAAAAAAAAAAAAAAAACCAGATGAGGTTGGAGGTAGGTGTCAAGGGTTGCTAGGCCCTCCACTGTTTCAGAAGGCCAAAGTTCCTTCTGTTTTATTGTTCTCCTCTATTGTTGAGTAACAAATTACTTCAAAATGCAGTGGCTTAAAACAACTGTAAACATCTATTATCTCGCACTTTCCGTGGTCAGGATTTGAGACTTAGCTGGGTGGTTCTGGCTCAAGCTGTCTCATGAGGTTGCAGTTGGGATGTCAGATGAAGCTGTGGTCATCTGAAGGGGTGACTGGACCACCACATTGCTGGCAAGTTAACCCTGGCTATTTGCAGCAAGCCTCGGTCTCTCACTGCCCCTAATCCTTCATTGGGTTGCTTGAGTGGGCTTCTGCTAGCCTAGAACGAGTGATACAGTGAGGGCAAGGCATACACTGCAATGTCTTTTATGATGTCATCTCAGAAGTCACTTACTATCATTTCTGCAATACCCTGTTGGTTACATGGATCAGCCCTATTGCATACAGGAGAGAACTGAATAAGGACATGAATCACTGGGGGCCATCTCAGAAGCTAGCTACCACATCTGCCATCCTCAAAGCATGTGGCTTCATCCTCATGTCCCAAGATGGCTGCTCGAACTCCGGCAATCACATCACAGACAGTGCATTGCAGCTAGTGGGAAGAAGGAGGAAAGGAAGCAGCGTGTGATTTCCTGAAGTTGGATGTACCATTCTATTTTAGTCTCACTGGTCAGAACTTAGTCATATATTGATAACTGCAAAGGGGGCTAGGAAATTTAGTATTTATTTTGGGTGGCCATGTGTTCAGCTAGACCAGATATTGGGGATAACTGGCCATCTCTGCCACATCAGCAGTGTTCCCGTGTGTATCACACAGGATGAGGTCTGAGGGAGGAAGCACAGAGAACATTACTACCTTGGGTTACTGACCTGGCAAATGACTTACAACCCATTTTGTCTGGGAAATACATGTGTGTGTGCGTGTGCGTGTGTGTGTGTGATGGGGATGGGGAGGAGTGCAAACTGTGCTTCACCCCGTAATTAGTGAATCTCACTTTAAAAAGAAAATAGTCCTTAGAGAAGCTTAGGAGACAAATAAGTGTAAACAACAGACCCAGTCCTAGAAGCCCAGCCAAGGGTGCTCTTAAAAATTAAGAAGCTCCAGAAGATGAAAGATCATCACAGGAGGCATAGTGAGGGCAGCCTCATTCTATCCCTAGACCTGCAGGTTTAAGTAAATTCCAGGCAGCCTGATTTACTGATCCAAATGCAGAAACACAGATGGGCGCCTCCACCAGCTGTGTTTTTAAAAGATCATATGATTCCTGATCAATGAACCAAAGAGACTGAATGCAGAAGTATTTAGCGCTGAGCTGAGGATTTGCCCAGAGACCTCTCAGAGAGCAGAGCCAAATCTTGAGCAGCCAGCTGAGTGCTGACTCAAGCTGGGGATGGGGGTAAGGAGGGTGGTATTGGGCGGCAGAGGCCTAGCTGAGTAGAAGATGAGCCATCAGTCAGCCAGAGAACTCTAAGGTGAGAAAAGTCCACAGGAAGAAAATCTGCCCTGGCAGAAGGAAGACAAGGCTCTGGCTTGGTCAACTGGCCAGTGACGGGGTACTGTGATCCTAGAGGAATGCGAAGTCTGGAGCAAGAAGCCTGGGGCTAGGGCATCCGAAAGGACAGCAGGTACTGCCAAGTTCCTTCTGGCAGGAGTTTGCTTTCTCCTTTCTGCCACATTCTGCCTGGACAGTGGAACCTTATCTTGGGCTGTGTGTGGACTAAGGACTCAGTGGTACTTGCGGCATGGAGGGTGGCTGGGGACCTCCCACCTGCCTGGCTGGTCCTACTCTCTGCCCATGGTTGGGGGTGTTGGCCCAAGTTGGATGAAGTCCTGTGTCCTGCATCCCTACTTGGCCATCTCCAGATGGGGCTGTCAGGACACCCTGGGCAGCTAGCGTGTTCACTCACTCAGGCCACAAGCCATGCTCCTTATTGCACATGGTCATCAGTCATCACTGCATTCTTGCTGTACAAGAGTCAATTTCCAGTGCAGTAAGGGGATCACCAGAATTCCCAGCCTTCCCATTGTGCCTTGGCCTGAATCTCAAGTTTACCAACAAGGCCTTGGAGGACCTCTGCAGACCCTAGTTTGAAGGCCCTTTCATGAGAGACACCTCCAGGCATGGTTGAGGTCAGGCCCCACCTTGGGCAGAGAAGGATGCAGGGAGTAGTGAGGAGGGAAAAATCAGCCCAAAGGGCATGGAATTGGCTCAGGCAGCCTGAGACTGTTTCGTGGCTCTGTTGCAGCAGTGTGTATTGAGCTCAATGGGGAAGACACTGGGCTATACCCTGGGGACACAGAGGGGAGGGCTCCTATGACATCACCCCGGACACATAAATAAAGCAAAGCAGCAGAGGGTGCAATATGCAGTGATGGGTTAAGGACAAGGTCCAGAAAGAATGTGGGAGGGGAGTTTGCTGGCAGAGTAGTAAAGGAAAGCTTCACAGAGGAGGTGACACCTGCAAGAAAGAACAGGAGGAGGAGGGGCAAATCAGGGAGAGGGAAGGGCAGGCTCAGAGTCCTGAGCTGGGCAACCACCTGGGGTAGAAATAAGGGAATCTCACCTGATGTGTTGACTGTGCTCTGAAATTTCTGGGCTCCTTCAGGGTGGAGTGTAGCCTTGATCTCTCTCCGCTAACTCAGAAGAGTCAGGGGAGTGGAGAAGATGCTCCCTCTGCAAGATTTGTTGCATTTCCTTTTATATTTGGGTCTTTGGTACCTGACCATGATGGTGAAGTTATCATAAATTAAGAAAGAAGAGGGGCCAGGTGAGGTGGCTCATGCCTGTAATCGCAGCCCTTTGGTAGGCTGAGCTAGGAGGATTGCTTGAGGCCAGGAGTTCAAAATCAGTGTGGGCAACATAACGAGACCCTGTCTCTACAAAAAATGAAAAAGAAAAAAGAAATAGCTGGTGTACACCTATAGTCCTAACTACTCAGGAGGTTGAGGCTGGAGAATCACTCAAGCCCAGGAATTCAAGGTTGCAGTTAGCCATGACTGCACCACTGCACTCCAGCCTGGGTGAAAGAGCAAGACCGTGTCTCCAAAAAAAAAGAGAGTGAAATTTCTTTGGTCTAGGAGAATCTGCCCAAGCCCCTCATTCCTTTTCCATGTAGGTTTCCAAGTGATTCTGGATGGACCGTTAGGCCTGATTGTCCCCAGAAGCCTCGGATGGGGCAGGAGGCAGGGCTGGGAGGCACACTGGGTGGGGCACTCTGCAACTCTCTCCACTGTTAGATACAGTCCCCTGAGGTCTCAGAGCTTCTCCAGAACCCAGGGGAACCCCCAGCGCCACCAAAGCACCCACCTTGCCTCTTGCAACAGGCCTTATAGCATGAGAAGAGTGATGTGGCTCATGCTGGCACATCATGTATGACCCCAGTCACAGTTTTTGTGGTGTGCAAACTTGCCTTTCCTCCAGGCCCCAGGAAAATGTGAAATGCAAATAAATCACCACGCAAATCTAAAACAAACATCAGCTCCAGAGCTGTTTTATGAAGGCAGAAGGAATCGCAGGCCCTGAGTGGTCCAGCAGGCCCCACTCTCTCTGGGTCATGGTGGGCAGGTGGGCCCAAGCCAGAGCCATGCTGGGATGGCACCCTGTCTCCAGCTACAGGTGGCCCAGGAACCTCAGGCATGGAGCTGCCAGTGCCCAGAAAGGCTACAGGAGAATTTACGGCGCAGATGGAGAATGGGGCCTGCCCTTAGTATCTAGTCCCTGGACAGCCCATCTCTTTCACCCAGGAATCTCTGTCTCCTGGTTGTTGCTCTTCTCACTGGGATGTGCAAATAACCTCCTGGCAGCCTTGGTCTCTCTCTTACCTCTGTCAGTTCCAGTCCGAAGGCCTAGCTCAGGTCACATCCCTCTGACTCAGATACACTTTAATTACAAACTCCTCAGTCTGTCATTTAAGGCTTCACCCACTACGGTACCAATTCACCACTCACCAGTCCTTCAGATCATCATCCCCCAGCCATGTATGTGCCCATCCTTTTTATAGTCTCCCTGCAAAGCTCTCCCATCTTCAGGTCCTGGATCTTGCCTTTACCTGGTCCCAAAGCCCCCTTATGGGGGCATTTGCTGTGATGCTTGGCCCACCTGATCAGGCCCCGCTTTAACACTGTCTCACCTATCAAGTCTTCCTTGACATTCTCTGCCCCCTGAACCTATGGCCTAAGGGATGGAGCTTTTTACTAGATTTGCATCTTTAATTATAGGAGTGATACATGCTTGTAAAAACATTCCCACATTACAGAAGCATACACAGTAAAATGAGTGTGTGTCATCCCAACTCTCCATTCCCTAGAACTCACTCCAGTTAACAGCTAAACCTACACACAGACCCTTGTTTTACCAGCATGGGAGGGGCCCTTGGGGACCTTCCGTAACTACTTAAGCTAGCAGTAGCAGAGTAGCGGTGAGGGGTGAGCAGACTTGGTGAAGGTTTTGGAGAGCGGTGACCTGGGTTGACTCAGAAAGAAAATCCTCAAGGTTGGTCTGTGGGACCCCTTAATTTCTTTTACAAGTCAGTTCAAAGAACAGAGCCCCAGGGAGACATTCCTAGTTGTGTGGGAATAGTCATTCTGTTCTCCCAAGAGCCAGAAACTCAAGTTCAAAAGGCAACCAGGTCTCTAAAGAATTCCCTTGGCCTAGCACAACCTGTCACTGCAAGCCCAGGTGGAGCTGAAGTCTGGCAGTCTTAATGGGGTGGTCACTCAGTCAGATGGAGAGAGTCAGAGCTAGAACCTAGGCCTTTTCTTCTCCAGCCTGGGCCCTTGCCTGTGCCCTGCGGGCCCCTGCCTGTGCCCTGTGGGCCCCTATGTTCTGGCTGGTCATCCTGGAGTACCCCTACCACCAAACAACAGAGACCCCTGTGTGCCCTGCTGGCAAAGCAGTGATTCTCTTTACAGTGTGGCCCAGAGAAGAGTCCACCTTCAGAAATAAATGACCCTGCCCTCCTTAGAATAGGATCTAAGTGAAGAACAGGGCTGTGCAGGCATCTCCTTCATGAGGGACTCCAGCCCATGTTACTAGGGAGTGTGAGGGGCAGGGGACACATGCCTTCCCCAGATAACCTGAGGGACTACATCCCTCCTCCACACTCCAAGTCAAATATTTATTGAGGCAAGAGAAGAGACTGGAGTGCTCCAAGTTGGGAAGACCTAACCCCAACTTGGAGATGTGATGGAAGGCTCTCCCAAGATGTCAGTATCTAAACTTACACTTGAAAGATAAGCAAAAGCCGGGTGCAGTGGCTCACGCCTGTAATCCCAGCACTTTGGGAGGCCGAGGCAGGAGGATCACCTGAGGTCAGGAGTTTGAGACCAACCTGGCCAACATGGTGAAACCCCGTCTCCACTAAAAATATAAAAATTAGCTGGGCGTGGTGGCGCATGCCTGTTATCCCAGCTACTGGGGAGGCTGAGGCAGGAGAATCGCTTGAACCCAGGAAGCAGAGGTTGCGGTGAGCTGAGATCGCGCCATTGCACTCCAGCCTGGGCAACAGAGTGAGACTCCATCTAAAAATAAAATAAAATAAAATAAAGATAAGTAAGAAGTGGCCAGGTAAAGCATTCCTTGCAGAGGGAACACCATCGGCAAAGGTCTGAAGGTGAGAGGAAACATTACTTTGGAGAAACTGAAACTTCACTGTGGCCGAACCTAGTGTGTAAGGGGGATGTAGTGGGCAGTGGTTGGAGAAGTCAACTGCCTGCATGTGCAAACCCTTCTCTGTCAGCCCAGAAGGCCAGGGCTTTGTCCCCATGGCCAAGCAGAGTCAAGGAAGGGTTAAGCAGGGGGGTGACATTTTAGACAGACTGAGATTGCCACATAGACCACGAGCTGGAGGTGATAAGTTTAGAGGAAGTGAATGTCTTTGGGTGAGCAGTATGGTGGCCTGGACTAGGGTAGACATAGTGGAATATAGAGAAGAAGTGGAATTCAACACAGCATGGGGGGAGGTGAGGGAGAGGAAGGCAACCCTGGCTTTGTTGTTGGGGATATAAATCCCAGGCCCACAGTTGAATTTAGCAAACAGTTGCTAACTGGTTTGGGCTCACAGAGTGGGGAGCTGGGGGTCCCCACGTTGTTTCACAGGTGAAAAATTGAAGGCCAGTAGCAAGTGAGAAGCCCTGACCTGCCATCTAACCTGCTGACATCAGTAAAAACCTGACTTGGCACCCAAATCTTGATTTGGCCAGGAGGCTGCTTGATACCTTAATCCTGGCACAATGGCCCAGGTACATAGCTGACCACCTCCAGACAACCCAGTGATCACCTGACTCACAGCCCCATATCCACAGTCAATCAGCAACCTGCAGAAACCTTGCTTTTTGAATACAGAACAGAAATAGCTCACGACCAACCCCATATCTTCCCCCTGTATCCCCAACCTCTGAGCCTAGACTCTGGATAGAATAGTTTCCCTGTTTGGCAGTAAAACTTTTTTTACTCAGCACTCAATCTTTGGCCTCTGGTCTTTTTTTAGTTTCTTTTTGGTTAAATAGTGATGGAGTCTTGCTATGTTGCCCAGGCTGGTCTCGAATTCCTGGGCTCAGGTGACCCTGTTTTAACATGCCAGAGGCTCCCACCAGCCACAGGGCCCTGAAGGGGCTTCAACAAAGTCAGACACACCCTCTATGTTATTTGCTCAATTCAGATATTCTGCACTCTCTGGTTTGCACTTTAGCCCCTCCTGAGTCACCTGCTGCACCAAGGAGTGCACACAGCAATGCTGTGGATGGTCCAGGAGGGCCTGGGGTGCTGTCTAAGGCCATGAAGTTTAGCCAAGTTTGGTGGTGCATGCCTGTAGTCACAGCTACACTGAAGGCTGAGGTGGGAGGTTGGCTTGAACCCAGGAGTTGAAGGCTGCAGTGAGCTATGATTGTGCCACTGTACTCCCCACCTGGGTGACAGAGTGAGACCCTGTCTCAAAAAACAAACAAACAAACCAAAAAAAAACCCAACAACTTGGATAAAGACTCTTGCTTGGCACAAGGACCTTACTTTCTGACACTGATCACATAGATGTGAACTTTGGCATGAAATTCAGGCAGTGTCGGAAACCCCAGGCCCCACTATCAGAGCTGGAATTAGACAACGCTCTCCAGGGGAGAATGAGTTTCCAGAAGCCTTGGCTGTGCCCCCTTCAGTCAGGGAAATAAAGACCCTTCTATTTCCCTGTGGCCAGCCAGGGAGGATGGGTGAGTATCACAGTGAAGAACCAGGAATTTTGCCCCTTGAGGGGCCCAGAGAGCTCTGCTCATCTATCTGTCTCCAGTGATAGGCATAGTGAAGGATTTTTCTGAGGCAGAGCCAGAAGTCTGGCTTAGGGCCCAGTGAGTCATCTTCCAAGAGTCTAGGCTGCACAAGAAGGCTGCCTATGGCCACCTTTGCTTTTGCTGCTGCAGGCAGAGCTCACCTACTGAGGCCTAGTTCTGCTGGTAAGATGCATTGAGACCAGGAGATCCTCTCTATAGTCTTCACCAAATGACTCTGCCCAGTCACCCCTCCCTGGGGGCTCAGAACTGCCCATTCCTATTTCCTTTAGTCTTGAGAAACATGCTCCTCCTGCAAAGGACAGCTGGCTGACTAGAGGGACAATCTGTCTAGGGACTAGGGTGAGACAGAGTGCCCAGCCACATCAAAAATAGTGCCAATGTTCCTAAGAGCCACATACGGAGCTATTGTCCTAACAAATCAACAAGGGGCATGAAAAAGCTGAAAAATCTGAATGAGAGAAAGGAGAAACCTTTTTAGTGGCTTAAGGATACAATGTCAATTATACAGATGGGTAAACTCCTGCCCCTGGGGACCCCCTCTTCTGGGGGAAGACTGGGAAGAGGCAAAGCTTTCAGCCTTCTAAAGAAGGGTAGCTCAGCCAGGCACAGTGTCTCACGCCTGTAATCCCAGCACTTTGGGAGGCCAAGGCAGGCAGATCATGAGGTCAGGAGTTCCAGACCAGCCTGACCAACATGGTACAACCCCATCTCTACTAAAAATACAAAAATTAGCCGGACATGGTGGTGGGAGCCTGTTGTCCCAGCTACTTGGGAGGCTGAGGCAGGAGAATCGCTTGACCTTGGGAGGTGGAGGTTGCAGTGAGCCGAGATCGTGCTATTGCACTCCAGCCTGGGCAACAGAGAAAGACTCCATCTCAAAAAAAAAAAAAAAAAAAAGAGTAGCCCCTTGCCCACACCCTTGGATGTGCCAAGTCAGTGCCTTTCCCTTCTGCTCAGACCACCATTCGTTATCATTGCACCACTGGTCCCTGGTCACCCTGGAACACCTTTGCCAGTACAGGCCCTCCTTAAAGTCACATGGGGCAATACTATCACTATTGAATCACTATCAAAATCCCAACAACATATTTTTTCAGAAATAGAAAAATCCATCCTAAATTCATATCATATCTCAAGAGACCTCAAGTAGTCAAAACAAGCTTGAAAAAGAACAAAGCTGGATGGAGATCCCACATTTCCTGATTTCAAAACTTGCTGTAAAGTTACAATAATCAAAACAATTGCCACTGGCATAAAGACAGAAATGTAGACCAACAGAATGGAATAGAGAACTCAGAAATAAACCCTTACATACATGACCAAATGATTTCCAACAGGATGTCAAGATCATTTAATGGGGTAGGAAAGGACAATCTTTTCAACAAACAGTGTCGGTTAAACGAGTCACCCATATGCAAAATTATGCAATTGAACCCTACCTTATACTACCTACAAAAATTAGCTCAAAATGGATCAAAGAACTAAACATAAGAGTAGTTCAAACTATAAAGCCCTTAGAAGAAAACATAAGAGAAAAGCCTCATGACTTTGGATTTGGCAATGATTTTTTAGGTATGATACAAAAAGCACAGGCAGCAAAAGAAAAATAAATAAATTTGGCTTCATCAAAACGAAAAACTTTTGTGCATCAAAGGACACTACAAGCAGAGTAAAAAGGCAACCATGGAATGGGAGAAAATATTTGCACATCTTTTTTTTTTGAGACAGAGTCGCTCTGTCACACAGGCTGGAGTGCAGTAGTGTGATCTCACTGCAACCTCCGCCTTCTGGGTTCAAGCAATTCTCCTGCCTCAGCCTCCTGAGTAGCTGGGACTACAGGCACGTGCCACCACGCCCAGCTACTTTTTGTATTTTTAGTAGAGATGGGGTTTCACCATGTTGGCCAGGCTGGTCTTAAACTCCTCACGTCAGGTGGTCCACACACCTTGGCATCCTAAAGCACTGGGATTACAGGCGTGAGCCACTGCACCCAGCAGCAAATCTGATAAGAGATTAATATGCAGAATATGTAAAGAATTCCTACAACTCCACAACAACAAAAAACAAACAACTGGATTTTAAAATGGGCAAGGAATTGAATAGACATTTCTCCAAAGAACATATGCAGATGGCCAATATTTTTAATATTTTAAAATTTTTATCTAAAGTTTTTTTTTGTAGAGATGGGGTCTTGCTATGTCACCCAGGCTGGTCTTGAACTCCTGGCCTCAAGCAATCCTCTCACCTTGGCCTCCCAAAGTGCTAGGGTTAGAGGCGTGAGCCACCGCATGCAGCTTGGATGGCCAATGAATGAAGGAAAAGATGCTCAGCATCACTAATTATTAGAGAAATGTAAATCAAATCCGCAAGGAGATACTACTTCACATCCATTAAAGTGGCTATTATTAAAAAGCAAGGCTGGGCACAATGGCTCACGCCTGTAATCCCAGCACTTTGGGAGGCCGAGGCGGGCGGATCACGAGGTCAGGAGATTGAGACCATCCTGGCTAACACAGTAAAACCCTGTCTCTACTAAAAATACAAAAAGATTAGCCGGGGGTGGTGGTGGGCACCCATAGTCCCAGCCACTCAGGAGGCTGAGGCAGGAGAATGGCGTGAACCCGGGAGGCAGAGCTTGCAGTGAGCAGAGATCGCGCCACTGCACTCCAGCCTGGGCAACAGAGCAAGACTCCGTCTCAAAAAAAAAAAAAAAAAGAGACAAAGGGAGAAGGAAATAAGCGTTGGCAAGGATGTGGGGAAACTGGAACCCTTGTGCATTGCTGGTAGGAATGTAGAATGCACAGTGCAGCCACTGTGGAAGAAAGTATGGTGGGTCCTCAAAAAAATTAAACATAAAGGGACCCAGCAATTCCACTTGTGGCTTAGAGCTAGAAGAATTGAAAACAGTGACTCAAACAGATATCTGTACACCCATGTTCATAGCAGCATTATTCACAATGACAAAAAGGAGGAAACAACCCAAATGTCCATCAATGGATGAATGGATAAACAAAATGCATGCAGTGGAGTATTATTTGGCCTTAAAAAGGGAACGAAATTCTGACACACGCACATGGAGGAAGCTTGAGGACATTATGCTAAATTAAAGAAGCCAGTCACAAAAGAACACATACTGTATGATCCCACTGATATGCAGTATCTACAGTAGTCAAATTTATAGAGACAGAAAGTAGAAGGATGGTTACCGGGAGTAGGGGAAGAGGAGAATAAGGAGTTAGTGTTTAATGACTAGAGTTTCCATTTGGGATGATGATAAAGTTGTCGAGAAGGCCAGACGTAGTGGTTCATGCCTGTAATCCCAGCACTTTGGGAGGCCGAGGCAGGCAGATCACGTGAGGTCAGGACTTCGAGACCAGTCTGTTCAACAAGATGAAACCCCCTACCTACTAAAAATACAAAAAATTAGTCGGGCATGGTGGCGTAAACCTGTAATCCCAGCTACTGTGGAGGCTGAGGCAGGAGAATCACTTGAACCCTGGAGGGGGAGGTTGCAGTGAGCCAAGATCGCGCCACTGCATTCCAGCCTGGGCGACAGAAGGAGACTCTGTCTCAAAAAAATAAAAATAAAAAAAAAGTTGTGGAGATGGATGGTGGAGACGGTTGCACAACAATGCGAATGTTCTTGATGTGACTAAACTGTACCCTTAAAAATGATTAAAAGGATACATTTTATGTTTTGCATATTTTCCCACACACAAAAAGTTGCATGGGGGTGAGGAGCTCCAATCCATAAATGTTCTTCAGAGGGAGCTTACTCAGGGCGCTGGGAGATAGTGGGGGTGCTGGGGAGAAGCGGGGGCCACCAACAGTTCTGGGATTATCTACCTCCCCGCAACACCAACCACCACTTCTTTTTCTCTCTCTAACCCCTGCTCATCCTTCAAAGCCCAGCTCTGGTCCTCTCCCACTTCTTCCAGGATGGGACCTCCAGCCCTCACTGCTCTCCCTCAGAGCATGTCCAGATGTCTACTCCCTGCTCCAACAGTCCTGCTCTCCTCACTCCAGGCTCTTTCCTCCAGGGACTGAAACCTCTCTGGGGTTAGTTTCTGCTGACCCCAGGATCAGTTTCTGCTCCTTGCCAGCCCTGGAGAAGCCAACAGTCAATGCTCAATCTCCTTGTCTTTTTTTTTTTGAGATGGAATCTCTCTGTTGCCCAGGCTGGGGTGCAGTGGCGCGATCTCTGCTCATTGCAACCTCTGCCTCCTGGGTTCAAGCAATTCTTGTGTCTCAGCCTCCCAAGTAGCTAGGACTACAGGTATCTCCTTGTCTTTAAGACAGGGCTATTAGCCAGGGGTGGTGGCTCATGCTTGTAATCCCAGCACTGTGGGAGGCCGAGGCAGGAGGAGAGCTTGAACCCAGGAGTCTGAGACCAGCCTGGGCAACAAAGTGAGACTCCACCTCTGTAAAAAATGTTAAAAAAAAAAAAAATAAGCTGGACATGGTGGTGCATGACTGTAGTCTCAGCTGCTTGGGAGTCTGAGGTGGAAGGATCACTTGAGCCTGGAAGCTGGAGGCTGCAGTGAGCCATGACTGCACCACTGCACTGCAGCCTTTTTTTTCTCAAAAAAAAAAAAAGACATGGCTATTGATGTGCACCTCTTAAGGTTGCTGCAGGCACCCAATATGATAATAAATATAAGATTCTCAAGCACAGCGAAGGGTACATAGTAAGTGCTCAATATATTATTATCATTATTGTTAGGGTTATTCTTCATACTGGCCTAGAATACTTCTCCCAATTCCATCTGCCTGTGGCTCCTCATCCCTCGTGCCCCAGCTCCACTCCTACCCCCACCACAAAGCCTTCTTGTCCACTTCAAGCTCCACTGAACCCCTATGGAGCATCTTAGAATTGAAGAAAAATCTGACCTCATAGGGTTTTCATGAAGATTAAATGATTTAAACCACGTGAAATGCTTAGAAGAGAACCAGGCATATAAAACGTGCTGAGTAAGAGTTAGCAGTGATGATGATGATGATGATAATGATGGTGATGACAGTGACGATGGGCTGTGGTCATTTCACTTGTCTGTTCTATGTGTATTGTCTCGATTGTGACTATCAGTCCAGTGGGAAGACTTAATAAAGAAACTGGTAGTAAGAAATGACAGGTGCTAGGGGGCTGAATTCAGGTTCAGAGGGGCTTTTCAGAACCTTGAAGGGGGTAGATCAGGGCAGTCTTCCTCATCTTACAGGATGAGTAATGGCCAGGTGCGGTGGCTCACGCCTGTAATCCCAGCACTTTGGGAGGCTGAGGCAGGCAGATCACCTGAGGTCAGGAGTTTGAGACCAGTCTGGCCAACATGGTGAAACTCCATCTCTACTAAAAATACAAAAGTTAGGGAGGGGGGAGGGATAGCATTAGGAGATATACCTAATGTAAATGACGAGTTAATGGGTGCAGCACACCAACATGGCACATGTATACATATGTAACAAACCTGCACTTTGTGCATGTGTACCCTAGAACTTAAAGTATAATAAAAAAAAATACAAAAGTTAGCTGGGCATGATGGCGGGCGCCTGTAATCCTAGCTACTTGGGAGGCTGAGGCAGGAGAACCGCTTGAACCCGGGAGGCAGAGGTTGCAGTGAGCCGAGATTGTGCCACTGCACTCCAGCCTGAGTGACAGAGAGAGACCTGGTCTCAAAAAGGGGGGAAAAAAAAGATGAGTGACAGTCAAGAGGCCAGAGAGATGGGCGAGTCCCAATGCAGAAGCTAGGGGCACACAAGAAGAGGTCACTGTGGCTAAGTGATGTGGTTGAGGTGGCAAGAGCTGGGGCTAGAGGCAGATGGGGCGGAACCTTTACCCAAGGTGGACCACAGCCACCCTGAAGGGTTTTCAGCAGGAGAGAGACCCTCTGACTTGCATTTTGAGGTGCTCACTCTGGCTTTGGGTGGAGAATGGGCAGCAGAGGGCATGGGTAGGAGGAGACAGACAGTGAAGAGGCTGCTGCTGGAGTCCAGAGAGAGGTGGTGGTGGCCTGGATGGTGGTGGTGGAGGTGGAGGGTTATGGACAGGTTGCAGAGGCGTTTTGGAGGAAGAGATGCCAAGGCCTGTGCCGGATAGGCCATGAGGCTGAGGGACTCACTACCCAGGGGCTTGGGTGGCTGGATGGATGGTATTACTATTTCCTGAGAGCTGACCAGTGGAAGAACAGGTTGAAAGGACAACACTGGCACATGGTTATTGAGAACTGTGTGATCAGCTCTCCTTCTCCCATCCTTCCCAATTACACATTCACAGCCGTCATATTCAGAATGTTCTTTGAGTCTAACCCTGTCCTCCCAGCTGCAGTGTGAGCTCAGGCCATTTCACACTGCCTTCGTTGAGTCTGTTTGGTGCTGAGAAGCCACGGGAATGAGGGATGGGCAGGGGGCCAAGGCCTGGGTGGCAGACATGCTTCTTGCATGTCCTCTATCAAGCAAGCCAACCTCTGGTGCCTGTCAGACTCAGACCCCGTGAGCCTGTGCCAGGGTGCGTGGGCTGCAGACGCGGTACAGGAGCCTCTTGCCCTAAGTGCTTCAGGTCCAAACACATCCCCCTGTCCTGCCTCTGGAGCCCTCTCCTGGATCAGAAGCCTCCCCCAGGGCCCCCAGATAGGCTCTTCCTCGTGATTCCAACAGAAGTGGGAGGTAGAGAGCAAAACCTCTGATCTGGATGCCACACATAAACTCTAAGAAATTATTCACCAGAGGGTGAGGCTTCAGAAACCCAGGAAAGAGGCCCCGACCCCACAGTCTGACCAGAACAGCTGGCCAGCAGGGCTGGGACATTGGAGTCTTCCAGGCTGATGGTTCCAAGGGTGGGGCTGGTTGGGGCCCTGCCTAGGTACAGCTCCTTCCAGGGCTGGGCTGTTCTATGCCTCATCTTGACAAACTGCAGGTGGGGACTGAGGACCCACAGGCTGAGGTTCCCCTAGAAACTGCCCATCTAGCTGACGAATCTGGGACCCTCAGATTGGTCCCAGACCTACCCAAGACTGACTCGTCATGTCTCTGGGGTCCCACTGGCTGCTTCCTGATCGCGATCCCGTCTTGCCTTTCTGGAGAGGGTCAGGTTGGGCTGTACTGGCCCCATCCTGGAGCCTCCTCCCTCACCACAAAGGGGAGTGTCTCATCCCTGGCTGCTCCTGAGCTCCCCATCGCCAGGAGCTGGGATCTGATGACCACCATGCTCAGGTTTCCATCTCCATTTACCCCAAAAAGACAAAAGCTCCTGTGCCCCAACCCGCTGCTCAGCTTTCCTGGGCCTGGCTCACAGCCAGGTGTGGCACAGTCACATGTTAGCCAGAGGGTGATGGGAAGAGCACTAGAAAGGGCATCAGGTGACATGGGTTCCAGCTGGCTAGGACAGAGCCTCCGCGGGAGAGGGAGGCAGGGCAGTTGTCCCATGCAGTGGCATTTTGGGGGATCGTGAAACCTGGAGGAGCAGGGTGGATTCACATGGCTGGTTGCTCTTCCTCACTCCCACACAGGAGTGTGTGTAGCCTTGACAGGTAGGCCTCTAGAGGAACAGCACTGTGGCAGGGAGCTCTCTCCCCATGACACCTCCCATCCTGTGCTTCTGCCCCTTGAGCGGTGAGGACCCCTTCCTTATAAGACTAAGATCTCCAGTATCCTCAACCCCAGGCCTGGTTCTGCCCCTGCAGTCACACAGAAACTCCTGTCCCTGATCCCCACCCAACAGTCCCTGAGCTCCCCTCAAACCACTCCCTCCTGGCTGAGTCACAGATTTGTACCAGAGGACTGGATGGGGTGAGAGGGGTCTCATAAAGTGTCCAGTGTCCACTTCAGGCAGGGGCTAGGCATGGCCAAATGCAGAAATGGGGGCTGCTTAGGAGACAGGTGAGAGGACCACCTAAGCTCAGAAAGGTCGAGGCTGCAGTGAGCTGAGATTGTACCACTTCACTCCAGCCTGGTCAACAGAGTGAGACCCTGTCTCAAAAAAAAAAAAAAAAAAAACGGGAAGGGGGCTGGGCGCGGTGGCTCATGCCAGTAATCCCAGCACTTTGGGAGGCCAAGGCAGGTGGATCACCTGAGGTCAGGAGTTCGAGACCAGCCTGGTCAACATGGCAAAACCCCGTCTCTACTAAAAATACAAAAATTAGCCGGGCATGTTGGCATGTGCCTGTAATCCCAGCTACTAGTGGGGCTGAGGCAGGAGGATCGCTTGTACCTGGGAGGCAGAGGTTGCAGCGAGCTGAGATCATGCCACTGCACTCCAGCCTGGGCAACAGAGCGACTCAAAAAAAAAGGAAAGAAGGAAGGAAGGAAGGAGGGAGGGAGGGAGGGAGGGAGGGAGGGAAGGAAAGAAAAGAAGAGAAGAAGAGAAGAGAAAAGAGAAAAGAAAAGAAAAGGAAAGGAAAGGAAAGAAAAGAAGGGGGGAGCTGCTGAGGCAGGTTGTAGGGCAAGGCCTGGTGCTGAGAGAGAGGCTGAGGGCAACCAGTTAGGCAGGCTACCTGGGTGAGATTCAGCACAGTGCCCTCCCTGAGCCATCACCTCTGTCGCAGACATAGGGAGTTCTCCAAGATGGATCCAAGGGGCTCCCCGTAATCACAGTTACCTTCATCTCCATTTTCAGCCATTGCCAAGAGCAGCAGACTCCTGAGGGTGAGTCAACGGGCAAGCCAGCTGAGCCAGCACTGTCCCTCCCTTACGCCATCCTTCCACCCCATGTCCTGGCCCATCCCCACTGGCCATTCCACTCCGGGGAAAACAGAGCAAGCCACTTGCCAGGCCCCTTCTGCCCAGAGTGCCATTGCCATGGCTCTCCTGGGGGTGTACCGCTCCCCGCAACTTCCGTATCAAGATAGGGACTCTGGCCAGGGTGAGCCCTTTGCTCCCAGGGAGCCACTTAGGGCTGCCCAGGGATCCAACCATTTGCCTCTTTCTTCCTGGTACTATGCTGTGACAGGAAACCCGAGTTCCCTGAACACTGAGGGGTCAGGGAGGGATGGGGAAGGACAGGTTATAGAGGGAGACAGTGAGTGGAAGGGTGCAGCCCCTTTCCCCCTTGCCAGTACTCACCACCCTCTCTGGCCAGGCAGGTCTCCCACCTGGCACCATAGCAGGGATTTCTGGGAAGAAAGAGCCTGAAACGTCCAGGGCAGATGGGTTCAGGGATGGGAGAACTGCTAGAAGAAACCCCCAGAGGGGGCACAGTGCCTCATGCCTGTAATCCCAGCACTTTGGGAGGCTGAGGTGGGCTGATTGCTTGAGCTCAGGAGTTCAAGATCAGCCTGGGCAACATGGCAAAACCCCATCTCTACAAAAAATCAAAAAGTTTGCCAGGTGTGGTGGCATGCACCTGTAGTCCCCGCTACTTGGGAGGCTGAGGCAGGAGGATCACTTGAGTCCAGGAGGTCGAGGCTGCAGTAAGCTATGATCATGCCACTGCACTCTAACCTGGGCAACAGAGCAAGACCCTGAAAAAAAAAAAAGAAAGAAAGAAAAGAAAAGAAAAAAGGAAAAAAGAAACCCCCAGAGAACAGCTGTGACCTTCAGGAAGTAGCTCCCAAAGGCCTGTCAGCCTGTTCTAAAATTGGATGATGGGGCAGCCTCCTCTGGGGCCTGAGGGACCCTCATTCTCCCAAAGGAGACTGATTTTTGCTGGGCCCTGCCTTGGGTATCGCCTCCCAAGCTACTTTTAGAAGATTCCCCCAGGGAGTTGAATACCTGGGTCTCAGCGTCACTTTGTCCACTTGCTAAATCTCCGTGAGTCTCTGCCCCTCTCTGAGCCTTAGTTTCTTCATCTATAAAATGGGTGTCATCATTTTAAGGGCTAAAAAGAAGATTATTTTATTCCCAAATATCTCCCTTCTCTGTCTGTTATTCATTCCAAAAACCCACCGTCTCCTTTGCGAGCTTTGGTTAAGCATTGTCCTAGTCGGATACACTTGAAAAGTAGCTAGGAAAACAATGAGTTTCTCATCTTTCATGGAGGGATGCATTTCTCTGATGCCACAGTCCCTGAAGACCCTTTCCCCAGAGCTGACCCTGCCCCATAAATTGAGACCCCCTGGCAGCACCCTTGCCTGCTGCCCCCAGTGCTGTGCCCAGATGATTCCAACCTGTTGGACTAAAGCCCAGACAAAGACATCAACAGACACATCCCATTGCTAATAGGAGCCTGAGCTGTCATTGGCCCAAGCAGGGACACTGACACTCAGCTATGCCGTCCCCTATTTTATCTGACACCTGTTTGCTAAACCCTTAACTATGTAGCAGGAACTTTGATAGGCTGGGAGGCAGGGAGTGGGCAAAGGAGGGTTAGCCATGTTATTGCTCCATAGGGTCCCCACAGGCCAGCAGCATCCTTATAGACATGGCCTTGGGGTTCCTCGCCAGCAAAATCCTCAAGGAGGGGGCTTGCCCTGGGGAGCCAGGCAAGGAGGGCAGATGGTGGGAGGTTCAGCCAGGCCTCCAGCACTCCCTTTACAACCTTAACAAGATGGCAGTGCCATCTGATGCCTGGTCAGACAGGCTGACCAGAGAGTGCAGTACTCTCAAGTTCAAGGGAAAATAGGATGTTGGGTTTCCTACCAGGCTCAAAAGCAGAGAGCTAGCAATAAATCAAGAACTGGAAAGTGATGTCAGTGCTTCAAACTAGATTTCCAAGCTTGGGAAACAATTGTGCATTAAAATCCATCGGAGGAAAAAAAAAACTATTAAAACTTCAGGAGAAATTCTTTGCTATAAATTAGATTTTTCTGCCAAGCAGGATAATTCAATAATTTCCCCTTGACATTCTCGAGATTGCTCTTTGAGCGGAATTACGATGCTTTGAAGTTGGGAGTGATTTGTTTCCAAGGAAAGATGAAGAGTCGACTGAGAGTGGAGGTGAGAGGGCAGGGATGGAGCTCTTCAAACCAAAGGGGATGGGGCCCCTCTTTGGGGTCTCAGTACCACTGCATGGAGGCTGGGAGGACTGCAATGCAGTCCATCCTCCAGGAGATGGCTCAGGCCAGACCACGACTCCGACATGAGAATGTGGGGGTCCTGAGAAGGCCTTGGCATCCTCCAGTATCATCTTGTAGCTGGGGCAGCCTCAGCCTTACAGCTTCCCTGAAAAACTGTCTAAAACCTTCCTCAATCCTTCTGAAACCAGATCTGGGTTCAGGTAACAGGGTAACAGACCCTCCCGGTCTTCCTTTGCTGTGCAAGATACAGCACCAGCCACAGGGCCTTTCCTACATCCTGTCTCCAGTAAGTTGGGGCCTTGATCCTAGTCCCTGTCAACCCTGCTCTCTCTGCACAAGACCCAACACAACCAAAGCTACCCTGGCCGGACAGGGCAGCTAGAAGGGGGAGACAGAGCATGTCAGGCAAAGGTGGGGATCTTGGAGGACTGGGCACAATTGGTCTGGCCATTGGGTATCAGCCTCCAAGACAACCGTGGGGGAAGGAGATAGGGCAAGGGCGAGGCACCAGAACCAGAACCTGGCAGGACAGGGCTCCAGAGTCAGCCTGCCTGGCTCGTCCACTGGCAAATCTCTTAACCTCTCCAAGCCTTGATTTTTGCATCTGTAAAGTGGGGGTAATAACAGTACCTGCCTTACAGACAGAGCTAAATGTGACAATGCGTGTGAAGCACTTCATGCTATGCCGTGTACACAGAAGCGGTGGCCAGTAGTATCTTCAGGACACAGGTCCCCTATTCCCAGACCACAGCCCCTCCCATTGCAAGAAACCCATCTTCTGTAGCCCCTACTCAGTTCCCTTTCTCTCTCCCTCCTCTCGCACCCAAACTTGCCTGTCCTTGGGGACTTACCTCCTCCACACAGAGCTGCCAAGTATGATGTCTACGTAGAGCTGGGCTGCCCACTGGGCACTGTCACTTATTTGACCATTTGCCCACCATGGTCACTGGTTGCTATCAACAACTCTCACCAGAAGGGTGGTTGATCTCGAGAATGTCAAGGGGAAATTCTTGAATTATCCTGGTTGGCAGAAAAATCTAATTTATAGCAAAGCATTTCTCTCATTTTATGGAAGCTCTGGGAGTGAAGCGGTATTTTTCAAAGTCACATATTTGGGAAAAGAGGTTGGAGCTAGGACTGGGGCCCAGGTCAGACCAACTCAACCACAGAGCAGCGTCTCATCTCAAGACTTCCTCCTCCCTCCCTCCATCCCTCCCTTCCTTTCTTCCCATGAATCAGAGCCTCCCAGAGCCCACGCACTGGTTACTGAGACAGTGGCAAACAGAGGCAGGGGCACATGGGAGTACCCTTATTTCCAATGTTTTCTGAGTCTCCAGGAGGAAGTCCACAGGGCCCAGCAGAAAGAGGTCAAAAGGGAAGGAAGTGGGAGAGTCTCCTTCATTTATTTATTTTATTTTTAGAGACAGGGTCTCACTCTGTCGCCCAGGCTGGAGTGCAGTGGTGCACTCTCAGCTCACTGCAGCTTCAAACTCTTGGTCTCAAGCAACCCTCCTGCCTCAGCATCCTGAGTAGCTGGGAGTACTGGTGCATGCCACTATGCTCGACTACCTTTTTTTTTTTTTTTTTTTTTTGAGAAGGAGTCTCGCTCTGTTGCCCGGGCTGGCATGGCACAATCTCGGCTCACTGCAATCTCCGCCTCCTGGGTTCAAGCAATTCTCCTGCCTCAGCCTCCGGAGCAGCTGGGATTACAGGTGTGCATCACCACACCCTGCTAATTGTATTTTTAGTAGAGATGGGGTTTCACCATGTTGGCCAAGCTGGTTTCAAACTCCTGACCTCAAGTTATCTGCCTGCCTTGGCCTCCCAAAGTGCTGGGATTACAGGAGTGAGCCACCATGTCCAGCCTTGGCTAATTTTTAAATTTTTTGCAGAGACAGGGTCTTGCTTTGTTGCCCAGGATGGTTTCAAACTCCTGGCTTCCAGCAACGCTCTCACCTTGGCCTCCCAAAGTGGAAAGTTTCCATCTAAGCAGTTGTCAGATAAGCCACTCACTTGTATACTGCCTGCCTCATAGAAGAGAGGAGTTTGGCGTTTGAAAGGTTATCTCATCCTCCCCTCTTTTTGAATTGTTTCTTTCATAGGTGCTCCCCCACCCCAAACGACAGACAGCTCACTACCTTGCAGAGCAGCCCTAGGGTGCAGGTTGCCCTTTGCTCCTTGACCCCTCCTGGGGCTCAGACTGGCTTTCTGTAGCATTGTCCTGGCACTGACCTATGGGCAGGGGCCAGCCAGTGGCAGTGGCAGCGACGAGGGCCTGCTGTTGCTCACTTGTCAAGTCCGCAGGTTTCAGGGGCTAACTTGTGAGCAAGCCAGGGGCTTTCTGGATGGAGACTCATCCCTCCAGAGGGCAGGGCTGGGTGTTGGTGTGGGCAGTATTCTGGAGGAGGGTCAGGGGGCCATCCTTGTGCCCAAGAGTTTCCCTCAGAGTGGAGGTCAAGGGGAGCTTAGAGCTGGGAACTTTGCCATCACCTAAAACCAGACTGGACTTGCCTCCAAATGACATACTTGCATTGAGTTAGCTCCCAGGCCAGGAGATGTCCAGGTTCTTGGTTTTGCCCAGTAAGGTACCACCAGGAGACCCACTGGCCCCTCTCAAAGCGGGACATAGGGGCTGGGAAGGGGCAGGAGGGGTCTGGGCGCTTGGAAGCTGCAGCCCCCACCACTCAGTAGCCGTGTGACCTTGTGCAAGTCACTTGGCCTCTCAGAGCCTGTTTCCTTGTCTGTAAGTGGAGGTCATATGGCACCTGCTTCTGAGGCTTGTTGGGGATAACAAACAAGTGACCTGTGAAGTGCCTAGCACAGAGCGAGCGCTCAGAAAGTGCCAGCCTTTGTTATTATATACAGCAAGCGGGGAAACCCGTGGGAAATCCGGGCGCCTCTGGGAAGCTGGGTGTGGTGGGTCGTCCTTCCCGGAGCGGGGGGCGGGGCGTCCCAGGCTCCGCCTCTGCCCATCGCCCCTCCTCCTCGTCCTGCTCCGAGGGGGCCGCGGAGCTTCCTTGCGGCCGGCGGGAGCTGAGTCACGGCGGCCCTGCAAGCGGTTGGCCTTATCTCCGGACTTCGCTGCTCCCGAAAGCCCTCAGCCCGCCTGCCAGGCTACACCTAACTTGCGCCAAGTTCCTCCAGCAGTTCTGGAAATACTCCCAGGGGCCCATCGGCTTGGGGTCCCAGGGAAGGAGGGAGGTCTCCTTCCTGGCTGGCTGGAGCAGTTCCAGAAAGCCCGAGCTTGTGGGCCCCTGGCGGCACGGTGCCTATCTTTCCACCGTTAGCTAAATTTTCCTTGGGGGTAAGGATTGTTTCTCCAGATCTGTCTCAAAATGCACATTCCCCAGGGGTGGAGTGCCACCCGACGCTTTGAAGAGGAAACCAGAAGACTGGAGAACTGGGGCGGATAGATCTTAGGAGCCAAGATGGGGAGAGGGGCTGATGGGGCCGCAGGGATTTGGCAGCCGCCTAAGCTCCCTCAGGCCCCGCCTGCACCTTTCCCAGCCCCCAGGACTCTAGGGGAAGTGGTGGGTGGGGGAGGGGGAAACAGAGCTGACAGATTCTGTAAACAGAGCCGGTTTGGGCCTCGGCCAAGGACGGGGTGTCCTGGCCCAGCCTGGGTGTGAGGCCCATCCGCGGCTCTCCAGGACACCCCGCCCTGCCCGGCTGCCCCGGGGGTGCCCGGCCCAGAGCCAGCTGTAGCCAGGATGTGTCTGACTTGGGATGTGGCCAATTCCCTAGTGGGGAATGTGCCTGGGATTGGGGCGAGGGGTGGGGGTAGCAAAGGAGGGAGCTTCTAAGAACTGTCATTGATCATTCATTCACCCAGTGCCCGGCTCAGCGAAGAGGGCAGCCTCTGGTCCCCGCCTGTGGGAGGTGCCGGTGCTGGATTGTCGCCCCACCCCCGTCTCCATCTCCAATCCTGTCTCTTGCTCTTCTGCTGCCTGAGGCAGAGTCCCCGCGGGGTAGGGAAGCTGAGAGTGGGGCCTCAGGTTCCGAGAGCTCTTCATTGGCCAGGCCTGTCCCCTTGGCTTGTTGCCAAATGTGGTGTTCCATGGCCTCACGATGGCAATTCAGAGATGCAGGAATGCCCTCAAAAAGGGGATGAGGGAGGACAGGCATCCAGGGATACTCAAGGACACTGTTAGAAGCAGGAGCTGTGGTTAGGAGGTGGGGAGAGGACACGGGTGGCCCCGGGACACTGGCACCCCAGCAGGTGGAGGCAGCTGTGGGCTATGCCTTTTAAGATATGGAGAGGAGTTCCTTTGGGAGGAGAGGAGATGGGTTGGCTGAGACTCGTAGGCTGGGGCCAGAGTGCCAGCTACAGATTCTGGACTTTATTGTAGGGGTGAGCATTTCCCAAAATGTGCTCCTGAGTGATCGTGGGTGGGGTGAACAAAAAAGGGTCCTGGGGGCAAATGTATTTGGCAAACACTCTTCAAGAAAGCCTGCAATCCCAGCATTTTGGGAGGCCGAGGCGGGAGGATTACTTGAGCCCAAGAGTTTGAGACCAGCCTGGGCAACATGGTGAAACCCAATCTCTACAAAAATTTTAAAAATTAGCTGGGTGTGGCCGCGCACATCTGTGGTCCCAGTTACTCAGGAGCCTGGGGTGGGAGGCTCACTTAAGCCTGGGCCCAGGTTGAGGCTGCAGTGAGCTATGATTGTGCTACTGCACTTCAGCTCACAGAGTGAAACCATGTCTCAAAAAAAAAAAAAGGAAAAAAAAGAAAAAGCTAAACACCATATACTCCAGGCTTTATCAAAACTTTTATTTCATATGCTAATTAATGAGCATCTTAAAAGAGGGAATAGGGTATTCAGAAGGCTTCCTCACACCTTAACCCTAGCCTCATGGGACTTGTGCTCTTCTGAAAACATTGGAACCCAAGGATTGATAAGTACTTCTTACTTGCTGGCTCTAGCTCAGGTGGAATGAGTGGATACATGTAGACACCAAAGAAAACATGGCTCTTCCCAGAAACCCAGGTTCAATCATCATTTCCTCAAAAGGAGGCCAGCCTGGACACACCTGGATCAAGGGCAGTGGTATAAGAAAATGTTAAATGAATCAAGTCTGGCAGACTTCTCAAGGTTCTGGGTCCCAGACCCCAGGCAATCTCAGGCTCCCTAAATCAGATCCTCAACTCAGCCTCAGTGAGTCCGGGATTCCTGGCCATGGTTGGGGAATCCCATGGTCTCTGCAGAGAACATACTGATCAGAGGTTGTGGCAGGGGCTGCAGCTTGAGGCTGAATTCAGTGTAGTTCCTACACTAGGCCAAATCCTCGGCTGAGCCTTATATGGCCTCATATCTGACTACAAAAAGCATAAGAACAAAGCTGGCCCCCAAACATGGGCTTTCTCATTACCAACTTGGCAAGGCAGTAGCACCCAAGCTGAGCTGCTCAGCGACCCTTCTGACAAAATGCCTCCAGCGCCAGCAAGTCCTGCACCTCAGCTGGGAGGCAGAGGATGACCAGAAGAGCAGCAGAGGAAAGACTGTAGACATGGTACCTTCTTGGACTTGTTCCAAAAATTGTGGCCGGGCACGGTGCCTCATGCCTATAATCCCAGCTACTCGGGAGGCTGAGGCAGGAGAATCACTTGAACCTGGGAGGTGGAGGTTTCAATGAGCCAAGATTGCACTGTTGCAGTCCAATCTGCAGAGTGAGACTCCATCTCAAAAAACAAAAACAAACAAACAAAAAACAGTCACCTGCAGCATCCCCTGGGGCTCCCAGAAATTCTTGGGATATCATGTACGGGGCTGCAGGGTCCCTGCTTGAGCAAGTGGGAATAAGAGTCAGGGACTTTATAGGCATAGGCCGGAACCATGCCTGGGTCCCCTTGTCCTCACAGTCTGGGAAAGCAGTGTGTACATGCCTGCATCCTCTGCATGCTTGCGAGTTACATATAGAAGCTGTAAAATATGGCAAGGTGATGCCCTCTCGTATGCAGTGTAAAAGCAGGCTGAGATGGGAGAGGTCAGTGGGAGCTGGCATCTCCAGGGAAGAGCTCCAAGACGAGGTGGGATGTGGTAAGCCCTTGCAAGTGACTAAGTTTTAGTGGTATAGACAAGAAGATTGACCTGGCCAGTCTGGACAGCATCCAGAGAGAAGCCTGGAGAGGCCCATGGGGTTAGCTTTACCAGCTTCTTTGAGGCACTGAATCTCAGGCTAAGGAATGCAATGGTGTCTTATGGGGGCTTGCAGGATAAGGACCTCCCTTCCATCAAGTCTCACTTCTGCCTCCGTGGCCAGCTGAGCCTCCTGAGTCTTCTTGTATCTTCCTTTTCTCCTTACTCCAGTGTACTCCTCAGCCTGCTACTCTCCGGTTCCCCTACATCATGCTGAAATGGCTGTGGCTGGCATCACCAGAAACCTCCTGGCTTTCAGATCCATAGATTTTTTTTTTATTATACTTTAAGTTTTAGGGTACATGTGCACAATGTGCAGGTTAGTTACATATGTACACATGTGCCATGCTGGTGCACTGCACCCACTAACTCGTCATCTAGCATTAGGTATATCTCTCAATGCTATCCCTCCCCTGTCTCCCCACCCCACAACAGTCCCCAGAGGGTGATGTTCCCCTTCCTGTGTCCATGTGTTCTCATTGTTCAATTCCCACCTATGAGTGAGAATATGCGGTGTTTGGTTTTTTGTTCTTGCGATAGTTTACTGAGAATGATGATTTCCAATTTCATCCATGTCCCTACAAAGGACATGAACTCATCATTTTTAGATTTTTTTTTAAATAACAGCTTGATTGAGATATAATTCACATATTATTCATCCAAAGTGTACAATTGAATGGTTTTTCAAATATTCAGAGTGTGCAACCATTACCACAATCAATGTTAGAACATTTCATCACACCCCCTCCTCAAAAAACTATACCCAGGCCAAGTGTGGTGGCTCACGCCTATAATCCCAGCACTTTGGGAGGCCAAGGTGGGCAGATCACTTGAGGTCAGAAGTTCGAGACCAGCCTGGCCAACATGGTGAAACCCTGCCTCTACTAAAATACAAAAATTAGCTGGGCATGATTTCGGGTGCCTGTAATCTCACCTACTCTGGAGACTGAGGCACAAGAATTGCTTGAACCCAGGAGGCAGAGGCTGCAGTGAGCCAAGATTGCACCATTACATTCCAGCCTGGGTGACAGAGTGAGACTCCATCTCAAAAAAAAAAAAATACATACATATATATAGATAGATATAGATATAGATATAGATATGTATATGTATATACCCATTAGCAGGTACTCCACTTTCCCCCTCACGCCCCACCTGCAGCCCTAAGTAACCACTAATCTACTTTCTGTCCTTATGGATTTCCCTATGCTGGACTTTTTTTTTTGAGACAGTTTTGCTCTTCTTGCCCAGGCTGGAGTACAATGGCACGATCTCAGCTGACTGCAACCTCCTCCTCCCAGGTTCAAGCAATTCTGCCTCAGCCTCCTGAGTAGCTGGGATTACAGGCATGCATCATCACACCCGGCTAATTTTGTATTTTTAGTAGAGACGGGGTTTCTCCATGTTGGTCAGGGCTGGTCTCGAACTCCCGACCTCAGGTGATCGCCTGCCTCAGCCTCCCAAAGTGCTGGGATTACAGGCATGAGCCACCGCACCTGGCCTGGACATTTTCTTTAAATGGAATCTTACAATATGTGGTCTTTTGTGACTTTCACTTATATGTTTTGAAGATTCATCCATGATGTAGCATATATTAGAATTGTATTCCTTTTTATAGATGAGTAATATTCTATTGTATGGATATACCTCATTTTATCTATCAGTTCACAAAAATTTGGATTATTTCTACTTTTTGGATATTACGAATAACACTACTATGAACATTAATGTATAAGTTTTTGTGTGAACATATGGTTTCATTTCTCTTGGGTATACACCCAGGAGTAGAATTGCTGGGTCATATGGTAACTCCATGTTTAAGCTGTGGGAGAACAGTTTAGATTGTTTTCCAAAGCACCTGCACCATTTTACATTCCTACCAGCAGTGTGTGAGGTTTCTAATTTGTATACATCATTGCCAACACTTGTTATTTTCTATCCTTTTGAATGTAGCCATCATAGTGGTATGATTAGTATCTAAATATGGTTTGATTTGCATTTGCCTGATGGCTAATGATATTGAATATATTTTCTTTTATTTATTTGTAAGTTTTTGTAGAGATGGAGTCTCACTATGTTGCCCAGGCTGGTCTCCAACTCCTGGGTTCAAGCGATCCTGCGACCTTGGCTTCCCAAAGGGTTGGGATTACAGGCATAAGCCGCCGCACCCAGGCCCTGAGTATATTTTCATTGGCCATTTGTATATCTTCTTTGGAGAAATGTCTATTCAGATCATTTGCCCATTTTTAAAAACTGGGTTGTCTTTTCATTATTGAGTTATAAGGGTTTTTTACATATTTTAGATACAAGTCTCTTGTCAGATACATGATTTGTAAGACTTTTCTGGATTGTCTTACACGTTCTTAGTGATGTCATCTGCTGCAGCAAATTTTTAATGTTGATGAAGTCCAATTTAACTATTTTTCCTTTTTTTTTTTTGAGACAGGGGCTCACTTTGTCACATGGGCTGGAGCACAGTGGCGCAACCTCAGCTCACTGCAGCCTCAGCCTCCTGGGATCAAGCAATCCTCCCACCTCAGCCCTCCAAGTAGCTGGGACTACAGGCATGGGCCACCACAGCCAGCTAATTTTTTTGTATTTTTTGTAGGGACAGGGCTTCACCATGTTGCCCAGGCTGGTCTTGAACTCCTGAGCTCAAGTGATCCCCACCTCAGTCTCCCAAAGTGCTAGGGTTACAGGCATGAGCCACCGTACCCAACCAATCTATTTTTCCTTTGTTTGCTTGTGACTTTGGTTTCATAGCTTAGAAACCATTGATGAATCCAGATAAAGATTTACATCTATGTTTTCTTCTAAGAATTTGTATTAGTCCATTTTCACGCTGCTGATAAAGACATACCCAGGACTGGGCAATTTACAAAAGAAAGAGGTTTATTGGACTTACAGTCCAACGTGGCTGGGGAGGCCTCACAATCATGGTCAAAGGAAGGAGGAGCAAGTCACATCTTACGTGGATGGCAGCAGGCAAAGAGAGAGCTTGTGCAGGGAAACTCTGCCTTATAAAGCCATCAAATCTCATGAGACTTATTCACTATCATGAGAACAGCATGGGAAAGACCTGCCCCCATGATTCATTACCTACCACCAGGTCCCTCCCACACATGTGGGAAATCAAGATGAGATTTTGATGGGGACACAGACAAACAATGTCAGAGTTATAGAGTTTTAGCTCTCACACTTAAGTCTTTGATCCATTTTGAGTAATTTTTTGCATATGGTATGAGACAGCGGTCCACTTTCATTTTTTTTTTTTTGAGACAGGATCTCACTGCGTCGCTCAGGCTGTAGTGCAGTGGTGCAATCTCGGCTCACCACAACCTCTGCCTCCCTGGTTCAAGCAATTCTCCTGCCTCTGCCTCCCAAGTAGCTGGGACTATAGGCATGCACCATCATGCCAGGCTAATTTTTGTATTTGTAGTAGAGACAGGGTTTCACCACATTGGCCAGGCTGGTCTCAAACTCCTGACCTCAGGTGATCTGCCCACCTCGGCCTCCCAAAGTGCTGGGATTACAGGCATGAGCCACCGCACCTGGCCCCAGTTTTATTCTTTTGCATGTGAATATCTAGTTGCCTCTGCACTATTCATTGAAAAGATTATTATTTCCCCCATTGAACTGTTTTGACATCTTTGTCAAAAATCAGTTAACCTGGCTGGGCACAGTGGTTCATGCCTGTAATCCCAGCACTTTGGGAGGCCAAGGTGACAGATCACCTGAGGTCAGGCATTTGAGACCAGCCTGGCCAACATGGTGAAACCCAGTCTCTACTAAAAATACAAAAATTAACCAGGCATGGTGGTGCATGCCTGTAATCTCAGCTCCTCAGGAGGCTGAGGCAGGAGAATCTATTAAACCCAGGAGGCGGAGGTTGCGGTAAGCCGCTATCGCGCCACTGCACTCCAGCCTGGGCAACAAGAGTGAAACTCCATCTCAAAAAAAAAAAAAAAAAAAAAAAATCAGTCGACCTTAAATATAAGGGCCAATTTCTGGATTCTTGGTTCTATTCTATTGATCTATGTGTCTAATCCTTCACCAGTACCACAAAGTTGTAATTACTGTAGCTTTGCTGTAAGTTTTGGAAGTGAGAAGTGGCAGTCCTCCAACTGTTTTTTCAGATTATTTTGCCAATTCTGGTTCCCTTGCATTTCCACATGACCTTTAGGATTAACTTGTCAATTTCTGCAAAGAAACCAGTTGGAATTCCATGGGTATTACATTGTGTCTGTAGATCAATTTAGTGAATATTGCCATTTCAGCAACATTAAGTCCTCTGATCCATGAACATTTCTTTCCATTTATTTAGATCTTCTTTATTTCAGAAATGTTTTGTAGTTTTTGATATATAAGTCTTGTACTTTCTTGGTTAAATTTATTCCTAAATATTTTGGTTTTTTGAATTGTTCTCTTAATTTGTTATTGGATTATATTGCTAGTATATAGAAATACAATTGATTTTTGTATATTGATCTTTCATCCTACAACCTTGCTAAACTTGTTTATTAATTCTAATAGTTGGTGGATTCTATAGGATTTTCTATATACGAGATTATGCCGTCTGTGAAAAGAGATCGTTTTATTTCTTCCTTTGTGGTCTGGATGACCTTTATTTCTTTTTCTTGCCTAATTGCCCTGATTAGAATTTCCACTACAATGTTGAGTATTTGTGGTAAGAGCAGATATTCTTGTCTTGTTCCTGATCTTAGAAGGAAAGCATTTAATCTCTCATCATTAAATAGGATGTTAGAGTTTTTTAGATGCCTTTTATCAGGCTGAGGAAGTTTCTTTCTAGTCTTAGTTTGTTGAGTGTTTTTATCATGAAGGACTGTTGAATTTTGCCAAATGCTATTGAAATTGTCATGTGGGTTTTGTCCTTATTTCTACTGATATGGTGTATCACATTAATTGATTTTTTGATGTTAAACCAACCTTGTATTCCTGGAACAAATCCACTTGGTTATAGTGTATGAAGCTTTTCAGAGATGGCTAGATTTGATTAGCTAGCGTTTTGTTGAGGATTTTAATGTCCGCATTTGTAAGAGATCCTGGTCTACAGTTTTATTCTCTTGTAATATCTTTATCTACTTTTGATACCAGGTTAATACTTGACCTTATACAATAAGTTGAGAATTGTTGCCTGCTGTTGTTTTTTTGTTTGTTTTTGAGACAGACTTTTGCTCTTGTCACCCAGGCTGGAGTGCAATGGCACGATCTTGGCTCACTGCAACCTCCACCTCCCGGGTTCAAGCAATTCTCCTGCCTCAGCCTCCCTAGTAGCTTGGATTATAGGCACACACCACTACGCCCCAGCTAATTTTTGTATTTTTTTTTTTTTAGTAGAGATGGGGTTTCACCACATTGACCAGGCTGCTCTTGAACTCCTGACCTCAGGTGATCCGCCTGCCTCAGCCTCCCAAAGTGCTGGGATTACAGGCATGAGCCACCACACCCAGCTCCCCAGTTTATCTTTTTAAATGACTTATTTTTCCATATCATAAAAACAAGAAAATATAGAAAAGTATAACTAAAATTAAAATTACTCATAATCCTGCTATGTAGAGGTAACCACTGTTAATTAATCAATTTTTTTTTTTAAAGACGGAGTTTCGCTCTTGTTGCCCAGGCTGGAGTGCAATGGCACGATCTCGGCTCACCACAACCTCCGCCTCCCAGGTTTAAGCGATTCTCCTGCCTCAGCCTCTCGAATAGCTGAGATTACAGGCATGAGCCACCATGCCTGGCTAATTTTGTATTTTTAGTAGAGATGGGGTTTCTCCATGTTGGTCAGGCTGGTCTTGAACTCTCGACCTCTGGTGATCCGCCTGCGTCGGCCTCCCAAAGTGCTGGGATTACAGGTGTGAGCCACCGCACCCAGCCAATTAATCAGTTTTTTTGAGACAGAGTCTTGCTCTGTCACCCAGGCTGCAGTGAAGTGGTGCAATCTTGGCTCACTGCAACCTCCACCTCCCGGGTTCAAGCAATTCTCGTGCCTCAACCTCCCTAGAGGAGGGTATGTGCCACCACGCCTCGCTACACTGTTAATATTTGGGCATATTTTCTTCCCACTTTTTTCTATGCTTATATACATGTTAAAATACAAAATTGACATCATGTTCTATATGGAGCTTGGTATGCCATTTTGTTGTTTTTTAATGTTAAAATTACTCTTGTAAGCTACAATGGAACACTAATCATCCATAAAAAAGGAATGAAGTACTGCTACATTCTACATGGATGAACCTCAAAAACATCAGACTAAGTGATAAGCCAGACACAAAAGGTCTTACATGATTCCATTTATATGAAATATCCATAATAGTAAATCCGTAGAGATGGAATGCAGGTTGGTGGCTGCCAGGGGCTCAATGGTGTGTGTGTGTGGGAGGGAGTGGAATGGAGAGTCAGTGCTTAATGGGTACAGGGTTTCCTTTTGCAGTGATGATAATGTTTTGGAACTAGATAGAGGTGGTGGGTGTATAACATCGTGAATGTACTAAAGGATACTGAATTGCTGACTTTAAAGTTTGTATATAAAGGTCAGTGTTACCCTGATATCAACATCAGACAAGGATATCACAGGAAAAGAAAACTACAGGCCAAGTGCCATGGTTTATGCCTATAATCCCAGCACTTTAGGAGGCCAAGGCAGGAGGATCCCTTGAGCCTCCAGGAGTTCGAGACTGGCCTAGGCAACAGAGACCTCGTCTTTACAAAAAATACAAAACAATTAGCCAAGCATGGTGGCCTATACCTGTAGTCCAAGCTACTCAGTAGGCTGAAGTGGGAGGATCCTTGACCCTGGGAAGTTGATGCTGCAGTGAGCCAAGATTGTATCATTGTACTCCAGCCTGGGCAACAGAGTAAGGCCCTGTCTTCAAAAAACAAAAACAAAAAAAGAAAACTACAGATCAACATCTCTTATGATTATAGATATAAAAATCCTCAACAAAACACTAGGAAAAAACAAAAAAACTTTTTTGAGATGGTCTCACTCCATCACCCAGGCCCACTGCAGCCTTGACCTCCCAGGATCAAGTGATCCTCCTGCCTCAGCCTCCCAAAGTGCTGGGATTACAGGCATGAACCACCACACCCAGCCCCAAATTTTTTTTATGTGAACCTCACCTCAATAAAAAAAATTACATTTGTGAGCATTACTACATGTGATTTAAAGCTCTTTAGAAGTATGACTTTAGCCAGGAGTGGTGGCTCACGCCTGTAATCCCAGCACTTTGGGAGGCCAAGGCGGGTGGATCACCTGAGGTCAGGAGTTCGAGACCAGCCTGGCCAACATGGTGAAACCCCGTCTCTACTAAAAATACAAAAATTAGCTGGGCGTGATAGGGCACCCCTGTAATCCCAGCTACTCGGGAGGCTGACGCAGGAGAATCGCTTGAACCTGGGAGGCAGAGGTTGCAGGGAGCTGAGATTGCACCATTGCACTCCAGCCTGGGTGACAGAGTAAGACTCTGTCTCAAAAAAAAAAAAAAAAAAAAAGAAGTGTTACTTTAAAGTATCTTTAAAATATCTTACTTGAGGCCAGGCGCGGTGGCTCAAGCCTGTAATCCCAGCACTTTGGGGGCCGAGACGGGCGGATCACGAGGTCAGGAGATTGAGACCATCCTGGCTAACACGGTGAAACTCTGTCTCCACTAAAAATACAAAAAAAAATTAGCCAGGCGTGGTGGCGGGCACCTGTAGTCCCAGCTACTCGGGAGGCTGAGGCAGGAGAATGGCGTGGACCTGGGAGGCGGAGCTTGCAATGAGCCGAGTTCCTGCCACTGTACTCCAGCCTGGGTGACAGAGTGAGACTCCATCTCAAAAAAAAAAAAAAAAAAAACTTATTTGATTTTTAAATTACAATACGTACATATGTACATATTTGTGATGAAGTGAAATAATAGTTAAGGATTATGTGCAATCTCAGAATCCCATAATAAATTCTCAATAGCTACAAAACATTTCATTATAAATATGTCTTATTTTACTATATATCTAACTCATCTAACATTTTTTATCATTACATGTTGTGGTTTAATGAATATCCTTATGATTGTTTCTTAGAAGTAATTATTATTTACTGAGAACCCTTTTTGGTTTTTTTTGTTTTGTTTTTTTGTTTTGTTTTATTTTGTTTTTGAGACAGAATCTTGCTCTGTCTCCCAGGCTGGAGTGTGGCAGGATCTCAGCTCACTGCCACCTCCGCCTCCCAGGTTCAAGAGATTCTCCTGCCTCAGCCTCCCAAGCAGCTGGAATTACAGGTGGTTGCTGCCACCACACCCAGCTAATTTTTGTATTTTTAGTAGTAGAGACTCTCACCATGTTGGCCAGGCTGGTCTAGAAGTCCTGACCTCAAATGATCTGCCTGCTTTGGCCTCCCAAAGTGCTGGGATTACAGGCGTGAGTCACCATGCTTGATCTGAGAACCATTTTCTTAGGATTGATTCCTAGAAGTAATTGGGTCAAAGTGAGGCAGGGGTCAGGACTCGACTCCGGAAGTAGAGTGCTGACACTGAAGCAAATTGAGGACTAGTTAAAATAGGGACTGGGTGGAAGCAGCTTTCCATAAGACATGCCCTGCCAGTGTGTCATGTCAGTTTACCACTGCCATGGCAACACCCAGAAGTTACTGTCCCTTTCCATGGCAACGACCCAGTGACCTGGAAGTTACCATCCCTTTACTAGAAATTTCTGCATAATCTGCCCCTTAATTTGCATTTAATAAAAAGTGATATAAATATGACAGCAGACCTGCCTTTGAGCTGCTACTCTCAGCATAGTGTCTATGGAGTATCCCTGCTCCACAAGAAGCAGTACTTCTGCTGCTGCTGAATATCACCACTTCAATAAAAGTGGCTGGCTAACACCTCCAGCTCACCCTTCAGTAAAAGTTGCTGTCTGGCCGGGCGCGGCAGCTCACGCATATAATCCCAGTGTGGGATTTGGGAGACCGAGGCAGGTGGATCACAAGGTCAGGAGTTCGAGACCAACCTGACCAATATGGTGAAACCCCATCTCTACAAAAAATACAAAAATAGCCAGGCGCGGTGGCTCACGCCTGTAATTACAGCACTTTGGGAGGCCAAGGTAGGTGGATCACAAGGTCAGGAGATCAAGACCATCCTGGCCAACGTGGTGAAACCCCATCTCGACTAAAAAAATAAATAAATAAATAAAAATTAGCTGGGTGTGGTGGTGCGTGCCTACAGTCCCAGCTACTTGGGAGGCTGAAGCAGGAGAATCGCTTGAACTCGGGAGGTGGAGGTTGCAGTAAGCCAAGATTGCACCACTGCACTCCAGCCTGGGGACAGAGAGAGACTCCATCTCAAAAAATTTTTTAAAATTAAAAAAAAAAAAAAAAAGTTGCTATCTAACACCCCCAGCTTGCCCTTGATTTCTTTCCTGGGCAAAGCCAAGAACCCTCCCAGGCTAAGTCCCAATTTGAAGGGTTGCCTGCCTTGCATCAAAACGGGAGGGGCCAACATTTGTAAGATTCTTCAAGCAAACTGCCAGTATTTTTCCCACAGTTTGAGCAACATTATGAATTATTATATTTCAAAAAGGTCTTTAGGCTGGGCAGAGTGTCTCACGCCTTTAATCCCAGCACTCTGGGAGGCCAAGGTGGGAAGACTGCTTGAGGCTAGGAGTTTGAGACCAGCCTGGGCAATATAGTGAGATCTTGTCTTTACAAAAAATTAAAAATTAGCTGAGCATGGTGGTGCTTGCCTTCTTGGGAAGCTGAAGTGGGAGGCTCATTGAGCCTGGGAGGTGGAGGCTGCGGTGAGCCAAGATCACACCACTGCACCCCAGCCTTGGTGACAAAGTGAGATCGTATCTCAAAAGAAAAAGAAAGGGCGAAGATATAAAGATTGATTGATTGATTGATTTTGATGGAGTCTTGCTCTGTCGCCCAGGCTGGAGTGTAGTGGTGCAATCTCAGCTCACTGCAACCTCTATCTCCCGAGTTCAAGCAATTCTCCTGCCTCTGCCTCCTGAATAACTAGGATTACAGGCACCTGCCACCATACCCAGCTAATTTTTTGTATTTTTAGTAGAGATGGGGTTTCACCATGTTGGCTAGGCTGGTCTTGAACTCCTGACCCTCAAGTGATCCACCCGCCTCGATCTCCCAAAGTGCTGGGATTACAGGTGTGAGGCACTGCACCCAGCCTTTTCAAAATTTTTTATTTTTATTTTTTAGAGGCAGGGTCTCACTCTGTTGTCAGGCTGGAGTGCAGGGGCACACTGATAGCTCACTGCAGCCTTGAACTCCTGGACTCAAGCAAACCTCCCACATCAGCCTCCCGAAGTGCTAGAATTACAGGCATGAGTCACGACATCCAGCCAAAAATAGAAAGCTTTTAAAAGGTACTATAGGAAAATATCTTTATGACCTCAGGATAGAAAAAAAATTATTAAACTAAACATGCAAAAAGATGCACAAATTGAATCATACTAAAATTTAAAATTTGTTTATCAAAATATCATTATGAGAATGACCCAAAGTAAGAGGAAATATTTATGAAATAACTAGTAAATGGCTTGTATCCAGAATGTAAAGAACTCCTACCATTTCATAAGAAAAATAACTGATGACGGTAATCCCCCCTTATCCATGGGGGTTACATTTCAAGAACCCCAGTAGATGCCTGAAACCATGCATAGTGTCAAACCCTATGTACATGATGGTTTTTCCTACATGTACACACCTATGATAAAGTTTAATTGATAAATTAGTCACACTAGGAGATTAGTAACAATAATAAAAAAAATAGAACAATTATAACAATATGCCAACATCACAACTTTTGTACTTTGGGGCCATTATGAAGTAAAGTAAGGGTTACCTAACACAAGCACTGCAAAACCATGACAGTCCATTGGATAACCCAGACAGCTTCTAAGTGACTAACAGATGGGCAGTGTATACAGTGTGGATACCCTGGACAAAGGGACAATTCACATTCCCAGTGGGAAGAATCAGGACATTGTGAGATTTCATCGCATCACTCAGAATGGCACGCAGTTTAAAACTTATGAATAGTTTACCTCTGGAATTTTTCATTTAATATTTTTAGGTTGCGATTAATTATGGATAATGGAAACCACAGAAAGCCAATCTCTGGATAACGAAGAGACTACTTAAATAGTAAAAATATTACATATAAAATGTTGTGGGTATAGCTAGGACAGTATTTAGTGAAAAATCTATAGCATTAAATGCATACATTTTAAAAGAACACTTGTTAAAAATGGATAAACCAAGGATATATTTCAGGAAGTTATTCTCAAAGAAAGAAGATGAAATAATAAATGTAAGAGAAAAATTTCAGGTAATAAAAAACAAACAAACAATAGAAATATTTTTTTTTTTTTTGAGACAGAGTCTCACTCTGTCACCCAGGCTGGAATGCAATGGCATGATCTCAGCTCGCTGCCAGCTCCACTTTTTGGGTTCAAGCGATTCTCCTGCTTCAGCCTCCTGAGTAGCTGAGATTACAGGTGCACACCACCACGCCCAGCTAATTTTTGTATTTTTAGTAGAGACAGGGTTTCACCATGTTGGTCAGGCTGGTCTCAAACTCCTGACCTTGTGATCCACCTGCCTCGGCCTCCCAAAGTGCTGGGATTACAGGTGTGAGCCACCATGCCTTGACAATAATTTTTTTTTAATATGAAACTTTGTTCTTCCAAAAGACTAATTCAAATGACAAAACTCGGGTGAGCTAACAAAGAAAAAAAGAATAAACAAATATTAGGAATGAAGAAGACATTACAAGAGATCACATATACATCTAAAAATTACTAAGAAGTTATGAACAACTTATTGCCAATAAAAACATATAGATGAAATGAAAAAATTCCCAGAAATAATAATTTACCAAATGACTCATGAAGAAGGAGAAAACGTGAATAGTCCTATAACTATTAGAGATTGAAACTGGCCAGGCACTGTGGCTCATGTCTGTAATCCCAGCACTTTGGGAGGCCTAGGCAGGTGGATCACCTGAGGTCAGGAATTCGAGACCAGACTGGCCAGCATGGCAAAACCCCATCTCTACTAAAAATACAAAAAACTATCTGGGCATGGTGGCAGGTGCCTGTAATCCCAGCTACCTGGCAGGCTGAGGCAAGAGAATCGCTTGAACTCAGGAGGTGGAGGTTGCAGTGGCCCAGACTGCGCCATTGCACTCCAGCCTGGGCGACAAGAGCAAGACTCTGTCTCAAAGAAAAGATTGAAACCATAATTTAAAATCTTCCCACAAAGAAAACTCCAAACCCAGATAGCCTAACCTGTGAATTACATTGAATATCCAACGGAAAATAAATTCTATTCCTACACAAACTCTTCTAGAAGTTCAGAAGTTTCTATTCCCAAAGAACTGGTGTTACCTTCCTCAACTTATTTTATAGAGCTAACATGACCCTGGTCCCCAAATCTGACAAGGTCAAAATGGAAAAATTAAAGACTGATCTCCTTTATAAACACAGATATAAAAACCCTAAACAAAGTATTGTTAAAATTTAGCAACATATAAAAAGGATAGTACATATGACCATCAGGTTATATTAAAAAAAAAAAAAAAAAATTGGCCGGGCATGGTGGCTCACGCCTGTAATCCCGGCACTTTGGGAGGCAGAGAGGCAGGCGGATCACCTGAGGCTGGGAGTTCGAGACCACCCTGACCAACATGGAGAAACCCTGTCTCTACTAAAAATACAACGTGGTGGTGCAGGCCTGTAATCCCAGCTACTCGGGAGGCTGAGGCAGGAGAATCGCTTGAACCACGGAGGTGGAGGTTGTGGTGAGCTGAGGTCACACCATTGCACTCCAGCCTGGGAAACAAGAGTGAAACTGTCTCAAAAAAACAAAACAAAACAAAAAAACAAGTTAATGCAATTTATCATATTAACAGATTAAAGGACTACAGTTATCTCAGTGGATGCAGGAAAAGTATTTTATAAAACACAACATTGAATTAAATGAATGAATTTTTTTTTTTTTTTTTTGAGACAGAATCTTGCTCTTTGCCCAGGCTGGAGTGCAATGGCGCAATCTCGGCTCACTGCAACTTCTGCCTCCCAGGTTCAAGCGATTCCCTGCCTCAGCCTCCCGAGTAGCTGGGACTACAGGTGCCCACCACTATGCCTGGCTAATTTTTGTATTTTTAGTAGAGACGGGGTTTCACCATGTTGGCCAGGCTGGTCTCGAGCTCCTGACCTCAAGTGATCCTCCCATCTCGGCCTCCCAAAGTGCTGGGATTACAGGCATGAGCCACCATGCCCAGCCTTGAATAATTTTGTATTTTGTTTGTTTCTTTTTTTTTTTTTTTTTTTTTTTTTTTGAGACAGAGTCTTGCTCTGCCGCCCAGGCTGGAGTGCCGTGGCGCGATCTCGGCTCACTGCAAGCTCCGCCTCCCGGGTTCACACCATTCTCCTGCCTCAGCTTCCCAAGTAGCTGAGACTACAGGCGCCCGCCACCACGCCCGGCTAATTTTTTGTATTTTTAGTAGAGACGGGGTTTCACCGTGTTAGCCAGGATGGTCTCCAACTCCTGACCTCGTGATCCACCCGCCTTGGCCTCCCAAAGTGCTGGGATTACAGACGTGAGTCACCGCGCCCGGCCTGAATAATTTTTTAAGGTCACTTTTATCAAACTGGAAATGTAAAGAAGCTTTCTTGATCACATAAAGGCTGTCTTTAAAAAAATAACTAAAACAAGGATTATACCTCGTGGTGAAACAATGAAAGTTTTCCCTTTGAAAATGGAACAAAACAGAGATATTCACTACTACCACTTTTTTTTTTTTTTTTTTTTTTTTGAGACTCCCGTCTCGCCCTGTCGCCCGGGCTGGAGTGCAATGGCGTGATCTCCGCTCACAGCAAGCTCCGCCTCCTGGGTTGGAGTGCAATGGCGTGATCTCCACTCACTGCGAGCTCCTAGGCTGGAGTGCGATGGCGTCATCTCCGCTCATGGCAAGTTCCGCCTCCTGGGTTGGAGTGCAATGGCGTGATCTCCACTCACTGCGAGCTCCTAAGCTGGAGTGCGATGGCGTGATCTCCGCTCACGGCAAGTTCCGCCTCCTGGGTTGGAGTGCAATGGCGTGATCTCCACTCACTGCGAGCTCCTAGGCTGGAATGCAATGGCGTGATCTCCGCTCACTGCAAGCTCCACCTCCTGGGTTGGAGTGCAAAGGCGTGATCTCCACTCACTGCAAGCTCCGCCTCCTGGGTTCACGCCTTTCTGCTGCCTCAGCCTCCCAAGTAGCTGGGACCACAGACGCACGCCACCACGCCCGGCTAATTTTTTGTATTTTTAGTAGAGACGGGGTTTCACCGTGTTAGTCAGGATTGTCTCGATCTCCTGACCTCGTGATCCGCCCGCCTTGGCCTCCCAAAGTGCTGGGATTACAGACGTAAGCCACCGCGCCCGGCCTGAATAATTTTTTAAAGGTCACTTTTATCAAACTGGAAATGTAAAGAAGCTGTCTTGATTATATAAAGGCTGTCTTTAAAGAAATAAAACAAGGATTATACCTCGTGGTAAAACAATGAAAGTTTTCCCTTTGAAAACTGGAACAAAACAGAGACATTCATTACTACATTTTTTTTTTTTTTTTTTTGAGACTCCCGTCTCGCCCTGTCGCCCGGGCTGGAGTGCAATGGCGTGATCTCCGCTCACAGCAAGCTCCGCCTCCTGGGTTGGAGTGCAATGGCGTGATCTCCACTCACTGCGAGCTCCTAGGCTGGAGTGCGATGGCGTCATCTCCGCTCACGGCAAGTTCCGCCTCCTGGGTTGGAGTGCAATGGCGTGATCTCCACTCACTGCGAGCTCCTAAGCTGGAGTGCGATGGCGTGATCTCCGCTCACGGCAAGTTCCGCCTCCTGGGTTGGAGTGCAATGGCGTGATCTCCACTCACTGCGAGCTCCTAGGCTGGAGTGCAATGGCGTGATCTCCACTCACTGCAAGCTCCGCCTCCTGGGTTGGAGTGCAATGGCGTGATCTCTGCTCACTGCAAGCTCCGCCTCCTGGGTTCACGCCTTTCTGCTGCCTCAGCCTCCCAAGTAGCTGGGACCACAGACGCAGGCCACCACGCCCGGCTAATTTTTTGTATTTTTAGTAGAGACGGGGTTTCACCGTGTTAGCCAGGATGCTGTTGATCTCCTGACCTCGTGATCCACCCGCCTCAGCCTCCCAAAGTGCTGGGATTACAGGCAGGAGCCAACGCGCCCGGCCCGTGTTTTGTTTTGTTTTGTTTTGTTTTTTACTGTGATGGCCAGAACCGTTAGTATAATGTTAAATAAAAGTGGTAGTAATGATGCCAGGCGCGGTGGCTCACGGGAGGTCAAGGCAGGCGGATCACTTGAGATCAGGAGTTTGAGACCAGCCTGTCCAACATGGTGAAACCCCACCTCTACTAAAAATACAAAAATTAGCTGGGTATGGTGGCAGGTGCCTGTAATCCCACCTACGTGGGAGGCTGAAGCAGGAGAATCACTTGAACCTGGGAGGGAGAGGTTGCAGTGAGCCGGGATTGCACCACTGCACTCCAACCTGGGTGACAGAATGAGACTCTGTCTCCAAAAAAGAAAAGAAAAGGAATAAGGATTGTAAAAAAAAAAAAAAAAAAAAAAGCAAAAATTATAGATGTTATGATTGTATACAGAAGGAATTTTTAAATCTATAATTAGAATTAATCTATAATTCAAGTTTCCTGGACTTCAAAAAAATCAATATACAAAAATCAATGTGTTTAACAGCAACAAAGGGAAAATTATATTTTAAAAGGACAGCCTTCATAATATAATTTTAAAATACCAAATTATTCAGAATTTAGTAACAGCTGAATAAGTCTCTAATGCAGAAAAATATATAGTATTATTGACAGAAACCAAAGAAGATCTCAGTAAATAGAGTAATATATGATGTTCATGGATTTGAAAACTCAATATTACAAACACTGTCAGTTCTTCTCACAGTGATATACAGACTCAATGTAATTTCTAATAAAAACCCATGTAGCTAGGTGCTGTGGCTCACATTAGTCTATAATCCCAGCACTTTGGGAGGCTGAGGCTGGAGGATCGCTTGAGCCCAGGAGTTTGAGACCAGCTGGGCAACATGACGAAACCACATCTCACATCTCTACAAAAAACATATAAAAATTAGCTGAGCATGGTGGCACACACCTGAAGTTGCAGCTACTCAGGAGGATAAAGTAGGAGGCATACCTGAGCCCAAGAGTTCAAGGCTGTAATGAGTTATGATCATGCCACTGCACTCCAGCCTGAGTGACAAAGCGAGATGGATTTTTTTCTAGAACTTGGTAAGATAATTTTTACGTTTACGTGGACATGTGAAAGACCGAGAAGAGCTAGGTCACTACAGAGGAAGAATGAAGTTAAAGAAATTGCTCTAAATTTCTGTAAGTACTAAATTACTATAAAGCTGTTGTAATTAAAAGGGGATGGCATTGATTTGGGGATGCGCAATAAGCCCAATGGAAAAGAGATGAGATCACAGAAATAGATCCACACATATTTAGATGCTTGATGTATGACAGAGATGGCACTATATAGCAGTGGCAAAAAGACTCTCAATAAACTTTGCTGGGATATCTGAGTACCCATATGTGAAAATAATAAAATTGGACCCCTACCTCACACCATACCTCAAAATCAACTCCAGTGTCATATGGCCCTAAATATAAAAGACAAAATTACAAAGCTTTAAAGTAATAATGTAGAAGAATATCTTCATAGTCTTGGATTTTAAAAGTTTTCTTAAGTAAGGTACAAAAAGTAATATCGCAAAGGAAAGATGGACAAAATTAGGAATATCTGTTCATCAAAAGACAACATTGAGTGAAAGGCCAGCCACAGAGTAATAGAAGATAATTGCAACAGATAAAACTGACAAAAATCTTGTTGCTAGAATATATACAGAATTCATATCAATTAGTGATAAAAGACAGGCAATCCAGCAGAAAAATGGGCAAAAGATAGGAACTTTACAAAAAAGAAATCCAAAAGTCAGTAACATAAAAATGTGATCAACTTCTTTAGTAATGTGGGAAAGGTAAAATAAAAGCATAATAAAGTACTACTACACACTTACCAAACTGACCAAAATTTAAAATTTTGACAATTCCAAGTTTTAGCAAAAACACTCATTCATGTAAATTTACACAAACTTGTATAACTACTTTAGAATACAGTTCAGCATTATCCAATTAAGCTGAAAATAACATACTCTATGCCCCAGCAATTCTGCTCTTAGATAAATATCCTACAGAAAAGTGAGCTTACGTGCATCAGGAAACATGGACAAGAATGTTCATAGAAGCATTGTTTGTAGTAGTCTTGTCATAGGTCAGGTTCTCAGGAAACATGCTGGGATAGAGTTTGGGGTACAAGATATTTATTAGGATCAACATTGATATGGTTTGGATATTTGTCTCCTTCAAATATCATGTTGAAATGTGACCCACAATGCTGGAGGTGGGCCTAGTGGTAGGCATCGGGTCACAGGGCTGATCCCTCATGAATGGTTTGGTGCCCTTGCTGCAGTAATGAGTGGTAATGAGTTCACAGGAGAGCTGGTTGTTTAAAGGAGCCTGTTACTTCCTCCTCTCTTGCTCCATCTCTTGCCATGTGACACACCTGCTCCCCCTTTGCCTTCCACCATGAGAGGAAGCTTCCTGAGGTCCTTCCATAAAGTAGATGCTGGCAGCATCATGCTTCATGTACAGCCTGCAGAATGGTGAGCCAAATAAGCCTACTTTTTTTTTCTTTTTTTTCCTGCTCTTCTCCCTCCACCTCTTTTCTTTCTTTTTTCTTTTTTTTTTTTTTGAGATGGAGTTTTGCTCTTGTTGCCCAGGCTAAAGTACAATGACGTGACCTCGGCTCACTGCAACCTCCTTCTCCTGTGTTCAAGCAATTCTCCTGCCTCAACCTTCCGAGTAGCTGGGATTATGGGCACCCACCACCACATTGGGCTAATTTTTGTATATTTAGTAGAGACAGAGTTTCACAGTGTTGGCAAGGCTGGTCTCGAACTCCTAACCTCAGGTGATCCGACCACCTAGGCCTCCCAAAGTGCTGGGACTACAGGCATGAGCCACCACACCCGACCCTCTTTTCTTAATAAATTACCCAGTCTCAGGGATTCCTTTATAGCAACACAAATAGACTAATACAAACATCTCTGAAGGGAAGGGAGAAAAAGCAGGATTGGGCAGAAGTTAAAACTGTGATGCAGGCCTAATGAAACCCAAGCCAAGCTGGCGGGGAACTCTGGTGCAAATAGTCTGCATCTGAGTTGTCCTGTGTTGGATGAAAATGGCCCAGCCTCCATTCACTTGCTTTCGTTGGATACTAGATGCAAAGTGCTCTGGAAAGGATATGATGTTGGGCAAGGCAGCTCTCTGCAGCTCAGGTGGACCCCAAAGAAGCTGTCATCTGAAGGTTTCTGCTGATCACACCCTCTACAACTGGACAGCAAATCCTTCCTTGAAGAGGGATCTGGGTGACACATCTCTCTGTCTACCACAGGGCCCAAACTGGAAACAACATAAATGCCTATCAAGTGAAGAAAGGTTAGACTCTGCAGTGTTCATATAATATACTCATAATCCCCTAGTGTCTCCTTGTGCCTCCTGATCCGTCACTATAGGTTGGTCTTTTTTCTAGAATCATATATTAATGGAACTATACAGTATATACTAATTATATTGAGGCTCATCTATGTTGTTGTATGTAACAGCAGTTCATTCCTTTTTATTGTTGAGCAGTATTCCATTATCTGGATATATGGCAATTTGTTTTTCCACTATCTTGTTGATAGACATTTGGATTATTCCCAGTTTGGGGCTGTTATAAATAAAGCAACTATGAACATTGTGTACAAAACTTTGTATGGACATATGCTTTCATTTCTCTTTGGTAAATACCTAGGAATGGAATGGCTGGGTCATATGATAGGTATATATTTATCTTTTTAAGAAATGATCTAAGTGTTTTCCGAAGTGGTTGTTCCATTTTGCGTTCTCATCAGCAGCATATGAGAGAGTTCCTGTTGTACCCTTCCTGGACTCCATCTTTGCCAATACTTGATTTGGTCAGTTATTTTGTTTTATTGTTTGTTTTTCTGTTTTGAGATGGAGTCTCGCCCTGTCGCCCAGCCTGGAGTGCGGTGGCAAGATCTCGGCTCACTGCAATCTCCACCTCCTGGGTTCAAGCGATTTTCCTGCCTCAGTCTCCCAAGTAGCTGGGATTACAGGCGCATGCCACCATGCCCTGCTAATTTTTGTATTTTTAGTAGAGACAGGGTTTCACCATATTGGCCAGGCTGGTCTCAAACTCCCGACCTCAGGTGATCCGGCTGCCTCGGCCTATGAAAGTGCTGGGATTACAGATGTGAGCCACCACGCCTAGCCTGGTCAGTTATTTTAAATTCTAGCCCTTCTAGGGGGCATGTAGTTTTAATTTGTAGTTGCCTAATGACAAACTGTGTTGAGCATCTTTTCATGTATTTATTTGCCATCTAAATATATTTCATTGATGAGGTGCATATTCAATTCTTTTGCCCATTTTTCAATTGGGTTATCTTTTTATTGAGTTTTAAGATATATGTTTTACAATTTTTTTTTCCAGTCTGTGGCTTGCCTTTCATAATAGCTCTTAATTTTGATGATGCCCAATTTATCGATTTTTATAGTTTGTGCTCTTTGTAGCCCATTTAAGAAGTCTCTGCCAAACCCAAGATCACTAAGATTTTCTGCTATGTTTTTTTCTAGAAGTTTGATAGTTTTAGCTCATACATATAGGCCTATGATCCATATCAAGTTAGCGTTTTGTACTGGCCTAAGAGTCAAGGTTCATTATGTTGCATATGGCTATACAATTGTTCCAGCACTATTTGTTGGGGAAAGATTGTTCACTCCCCATTGAATTGCATTGGTAGCATTTGTTGAAAATCTATTGACCATATATATGAGTGTTCTATCTTTACACAAACACTACATTTTTACAGTTTTTAATTCACATGAATTCATTTAGTATGAGATCTGAAGTAAAGATCTGGACTTATTTTGTCCCCATTAGTTAACCAATTGTCCCTGCAAAAATTAAAAAAAAAAAAAAAAAATCATGTTTCTTATCCCTACTGTTTTGAGGCCCAAGTTTACTACAGATTTATTATGCCATATATGAGTCTATTTCTGGGCAATTATTTTTCACTGATGTGTCTGTGGCTTAGTATTAGTTCTGTGAAGAGAGCTTTTTTTTTTTTTGGTGGGGGCAAGGGTCAAAGTCTTGCTTTGTTGCCCAGGCTGGAGTGTAGCGGCATAATCTTGGCTCACTGCAGCCTTCACCTCCCGGGTTCTAGTGATTCTCGTGTCTCAGCCTCCCAAGTAACTGGGATTACAGGCATGTGCTACCATGCCTGGCTAAATTTTGTATTTTTAGAAGAGATGGGGTTTCACCATGTTGGCCAGGCTGGTCTTGAACTCCTGACCTCAGGTAATCTGCCCGCCTTGGCCTCCCAGAGTGCTGGAATTACAGGCATGAGCCGCTGAGCCTGGCCTGAGAGTTTTGATTGACATTCCTACCTGGGAGTAAGGAGGGAGCCAGAGCCCCACCTGCTCTAAAAAGACTGCCCCTCCTCAGAGCTTCACAGCACCATCATCAGCAGGAGTGAAAAACCCCTCCACCTGCCAACAAGCCCAGCCTTGGGCCCCTCAGACCCTTTATCTCTGCTCACAGCAGTTCCCACAGGAGGCCCAGAACACTCAGGTAGCCTGCACCCCAGGACTCGAAGCCCTACCGGATGCTGTATTTTGCTTTGCTGACCTCATCTCCCTACCCCATCTCTAGAAATCCTTTCACGGGACTCTCTGAAACTCACCAGTATGGCCCTATATTCTCAGCCCCATTTCTGAATGTCCCCTTCACTTTCTTGCTTTAATGGAAACTGCCTCTCCTGTGTGGATTCTGCCCCCTCTGCAGCCTCTTAAGAGGTGGCCGTTTTCCCTCTGTGGCCCTTGTGGCCCCGGGTCTAGGGGTAAGGAGGTGCCCATTTTGCTCCTCAGTGCCACTGCTAGACAGTTTGCCACCCTCTTTAGAAACACCCATATTTGAATGTCATACTGTCAGACAAGATCACTGTTATTCCTCCTTTTTGTAGCAATTTACAAAGCCCTGGGTCACTTCCCTCATTCCTTGAGGATGTTTGCTCCTGGCTCCCAGTCCTCGTCTCCCACCCGACTCCTGCTGCAGTTTTCGATGTGAGCATTCATGTAGATGAATGCCTCTCAGGCCCTTGACCTCCTCTCCACGATCTTGGCTTCCCTAGTACCTCAGCCTCTTGCTCCCATAGCCAGATTTTGAACCCGCCATTATCTGTCAATGCAATCCCTTCGTCATCTCAATTTCATGCATCTCACACTCCAATAAACACTGCCTTGCTCTCCAGCTCACTCCCGCAGGACCCCAAAGCCAGCAATTCCTCCTGGAACCTACTGCTCCAAGCAAATATTCACCATTCCTCATCCTCATAGTGCCCGCCTTCCCTCCTTACCCAGCTTGGAGTTCATGATCCAATACTATACTCTCCCGCTGGCCACAGTAGTCACCTGGCAAAATCACAACCTCAGTTAAATTCAGTCCTCTGCCCCCTCCACCTGTGCACCTCCAGGCTGACCAGAACTGAAGAAAATCTCATAACTGGGCTGACCAGTCTCACTTTAAATTAATGACCACAACCCTCCCTGAGTGAGCCCTAACAGCTGCCCAGCAATCCTACTATATCTCCAAGCCTATTCACACCCCCTCTCCTAGACGACTGCTTCACACCTCCTCTTCCACCTCATTCTCAGCTGACAACCTCTTCCGATTTTGCTAAGAAAATAGAAGCTCTCAGAAGAGAAGTTCCACAGGCCCCACCACTACTCCCCCACCCACCCGCATCTGTGCCCTCCACTCTGCCTGCCATCCCACTGACATGGGCGAGCCGTCCGTGCTCCTATTTCAGGGCAGCCCCTTTTCGTGCACCAGATGCCATCCCCTCCCACCTACTCAAAGACTTCATGCCAACACCTAGCCCCCTTCTCACCCACAGCATCAAATTTCCCTCTCTCCAGGATCATTTTCGTCAGCACACAAAAAAGCTGCAATTCTTCTCAAAGAAAGCCCTCCTCTTGACCCTATTTCTTCTCTCCTCTTTACGGCATAACTCCTAGAAAGAATTCTTTGCTACCTTCAACTCCTCTCCTCCCTTCCTTCCTTTTTCTCCCCCAGCTCCCATCAGGGCGCCACCACTACAGCAGAACTGCCTTTTCAAGGACTCTCCACGTTAGATGCAGCGGGCAATTATCGGACCTCACCTTCCTTGCACCTCCGTAGCGTGGAACAGGCTTCTCCTCCCTGGTGTCAGGCTCACATCTCTGTCTCCAGTTTCCCTCCTATGTCTCTAGTTGCCTCTTCTCTGTCTCCTCGCTGACACCCCCTCACCCCCAAGGCTCAATCCTTGGGCCTCCTCTTGTCTCTCGTCTACACTCACTCTCTTCATCATCTCCTGCAGGGTCCTGGCTTTAAAGGCCATTCAGTTGCTGACCACTTCCACCTGGATATCCCTGGCCTAAACCTTTTTCTAAATTGCAACTCCTGTTGTTTCTAGCCAGTCTCTTGAAGCTGAGTCATGGCCGCCCCTTACCAATCAGTTTCAGCTGGCCAACTCCCTGCTGTCCATAACTGGCCCGCTTTCAGGTAGACATTTGAATTCTGACCCCCCAATCTATAGGGTACAAATTAAGACCTTTCCTCTGTACAGGCCTATAGGGTGAGAGCAGTGGGTCGGTGGACACTGTGGGCCAGGTGGTTCACTCTCCACTCTGAGCTGGCTGAGCCAGCCTGGTGTGGTCACTGTGGCTGCATCTCCGCACCTCACAAGTGGACGAGTGCCTGCCCCTTGGCACCTGTGTAGTCTGCCTGCCCTGTGTCTTCTTTCTGCCTTCCTCCACAGGTGAAGTGGCACAGTAACGCATTCCAGGAGGACATCGCTGAGGGCCCCAATTGTGAGGACATTGCCCATCAATCTTGGAGCCTCCACACCAAGCTGGGATTCTCTCTCTTCTGGACTTCATAGCCTTCTGAGACCGCACTGGGGAGAACAGTAAGAGAGCTTTGTAAGGCCACTCTGGCTCCTCACCCACCTTTTCTGGGCTCACTCTTCTGAAGCCATAGCTGACCTAAGCGACCCACCTGGGCTTTTAAGGTGGGCTACATTCCCCCAGGCCCAGGAACTACAAATGGGAGGCCAGGAGTGCTATATGCCGCAGCCAGAGGCGTCTGTGCTCCAAAAAGTCTTCTGAGTGGGCTTCTCAGCAGTGGATGGGAACGTAGGGCAGTCTTCTCCTCCCCACACCACTCAAAACTGCAATTTTACAAACCAAGAATTAAAGCCTGGAATACTCAGTGTCCTGTGGTCTCCCAAAGTGGGAGGATCCTAAAGCAGGACGGGCTTCCCTTAGAAGCCAGGCATATTGGCAGGAGGTACCCAGGTAAACAAGCAACCTTGGGGCAATGTTAATCTGCTTTTTCTCTTCTTCGGTGTCTGGCTGAGTCTAAATTGAATTATTAATCTACTCCTGTGTGCCCGTGTCATTTTCCAGACAACCAGTTTATTCATGACTCGCCCACTATCAATTTCAACATGCAATTTGCAATGAAATTTGACTGATCAGCAATACCATAATTAGTTGCAAATGTCTGTGCTTGTATTTGTTTGGTGTAGGGGCTTTTTCATTAAAGTGACGGAGGCCCATAAACACCATGACTTGCTCTGGGACACAGGACTCGCAACAGTTATGTCATGGGCCAGGATAGGAGCGCTGGCAAAGAGATTGTGGGAGCTTGAAGTTGCAGCACCAGGGGTTGTGTTGTCATCTTTACAGTCCTGTGTTCACCAAGAGTCATCCAGGTTGGGCAAATGGTGACATGTGTAATCCATGAGGAGGAAGAGAACTGGAGTTACCCTGTGCGGCCTCTCCCTTAAATCTCCCCAGATCCTGCTGGCACACCTGCAGTAACAGGGGGCTTCCTACCTGGTGAGGCAGCTCCCCTTGTGAGAAAGTTCTTCCTTGCCTGGGTTCCCACTTGCCTGTTGTAGGTCCGTCCCACCTAGTCCAGGGTTCTGGTCTTAACTCAGAAATCATTACATTGCCTGAGCTTGGGCCAGTCTCTAAGCCTCAGCTTATTCATCTGAAAAAAGTTGTCCTACCTCAAGGATTTCTAACTGCAAGTAACAGAAAATGGCTCTTAACTTAGGCAGATTGACTAGCTGACTTAAGGAGAAAAATAATAAAGATATTGAGCAGCTCAGAGAATCTCTGGACAGAGCAGAAAAAGCAGACCCAGGGACTACACAGCAATGAGCAAGGCCCCAGATCACACTGAAGAACTGGTTTAGTCAGGGCCTTGCTGCCATCATGGTCATCACCGACACCATGCTCTAGACTCTGCAGGCTAGGCTGCAGGGACCATGTCCGTGCCCTCAGGTGCCACCACCTCTACCACCCTGAGGACGCCAGCCTGCTACACCCACAGTAACCATTAAGGAGAGTTCTCTGTGTTCTCTGCTTCCTGGGGTCATTAGCTCTTGGGTTAGTCTGGAGCTTGTGTGGTTGATTGTGAGAGCCTAGGTCTTGTGCCCTTACCCAGCCACTGGGAGGCTGGCAAAAGAGTGCACATGGTACTTGCAGCCTCTAAAGAGGGAAATGGGCTCTGTCTCAGAGTGAAGGTAATTTCCCAACACAGGAAGAGGGCTCAGATCCTGGGTAGCCAAAAGAAAGAACAAAGAATCAAATAAGATATAGATGTTAAAGAGGTTTTAGAATATATTAAGCTTGGGGGCTGGACGCCATGGCTCACACCTGGAATCCCAGCACTTTGGGAGGCTAAGGCAGGAGGATCACTTGAGGCCAGGAATTGGAGGTTGCAGTGAGCTATGATCATGCCACTGCGCTCCAGCCTGGGCAACAGAGCAAGACTTTGTCTCAAAAAAAACAAGAAGAAAGAGAAAGAGAGAGAATATCAAGCTCTACACACCTGCCAAAGATTATTCTTATTCATTCATAAGTATTTCTGCAGATATTAAAAGGGCAAAGTTGTGGTCCTTACCCTCAAAGAAAACACAGTACATTCAGGGAGTAAGAAGGCATGGGTCAGATGACCCCCGTTCCAGGCAGAGGGTGATGACTCTTGTGGATTCTGAATGTCCAGATTACATGGTGATTAACTATGAAACACTAGGTCTCAGAGGGGTGGGCAGTATCTGGAGGCTTCTGGGACAGCCCAACATTTTCTTGGAGTTGGGTGGTATGTCATATGCTCTCTGTATCCTGTGCATCAGTACACCGATGTCCTATATAGACCCAGACCAGAAGAATCCTGCCCATACATGACTGTTTCCTATTGATAGCTGTTGTCATTTCTCTGCTTAGTACCCACTCCCCCTCTTCTGGTAATAGCACCCCAATTTTACCTGGGGAACTACTCTTGTCATTTTCAGCTCATGTACTTCAGGTGGAATTAATTCCATGGCGTAAGAGTCACAGGTGAATCAAGCCTGGCTAATCAGAGCTGTATAGCGCATTATGCACTATGCAGAGCTGCACAGTGGTTGGTTTAGGGATGGGCATGGGACCCAAGCCAAGCCATGAGGTCCAATCAGAGCGAATATCAGATATTCAAGTGGACAGAAAAAGATGCTCTTCTTTCTCTTGGACTTGGAGATGTGAGAGCATCAGCAGCTGCTGACAGCTGTCTTGCCACCAGAGTCTGAGAACAAGGCCAACTCTAAAGAAAGCAGAAGTGAAAAATGGCCTGGTCCAATGATATTTTTGAGCCCCTGGATCAAACTGTGCCTGAAGCCCCAGAATATTTCCATTATGTAAACAAAACCAACCAACAAATAAATAGGTCTCTTGCTTAAACCAATTTGGATGAGTTTTATATCACTTGCAGCTAAAAATGTTCTAATTGGCTCTCACCCACACACCCTGTCAAAGCACCAGCCTAGAGCCAACTCCTTGGGAATGTCCATAATGAAATCACCAGAGGGTCTTCTCTCTGGTCCAGTAGTTCTTCAGAGCCCCAGGGTAAGGCAAGTCCCCCGCTATCTTCCCACTATACAAAAGAGAAGACGGAGGGTCAACTGACCAATGGCCAGGGCTATTCAGCAGCAATCTAGAGACCAGGTGTCTGGATGAAGGAACTCTGGTACCATTCCCCAACCTCACCAAAGCTCAGGAATAAGCCCATGGAAGCCAGTCTGGGGAGGTTCAGCCTGCAAACAACCTGATCATATGGCTGGGGCAATGGTTGATGGGGATATCTAGCCAAGTACACTTGTTGGCTATGTGGAGCTGAAGAAACTAACCTGGGTCTATTATGAAATATTTCCTGGGTAAGCACAGGCCCAGAAAAAAAGAAATAAATAACTATTTCCTGGCATCATGGTAATACTCAAGCTGAGAGCCCCCACCCATTCTTGGCCCAGGACTCCTCAAAGACAGTCTCCAGGGAGACCAGTCCCTCACAACAATGATCCAGAACCCAAGGGGGCCATGGGTACTGGTTGAACTTCATTGCTCGCACCGGTGAATAGCAAACTAACCATGATTTTTTTTTTTTTTTTTCTTGAGACAGAGTCTCGCTCTGTCGCCCAGACTGGAGTGCCGTGGTACCATCTCGGCTCACTGCAAGCTCCGTCTTCCGGGTTCACACCATTCTCCTGCCTCAGCCTCCCGAGTAGCTGGGACTACAGGCACCTGCCACCACGCCTGGCTAATTTTTTGTATTTTTAGTAGAGATGGGGTTTCGCCGTGTTAGCCAGGATGGTCTTGATCTCCTGACCTTGTGATCCACCCGCCTCGGCCTCCCAAAGTCCTGGGATTACAGGCGTGAGCCACCGCGCCCGGCCCCATGATTCTTGCCCTTAATGTCCAGTCCTTCAAACTGATGGAAATAATTACCCAAACCTTAAGGGAGCCACTCTCTTTCCCAAGGAAAATACAGAGGCGAGTTTCTACTAGAGACGCAATCAGCTCCATCCCTTCTAGGGGCTGAAGACCTAGGCCAGGGAGACTGACATGAGGTCCCATGAATTAGAAGCATCTCAGAAAGGGACCAGATGGGGATTTTCCCTGCCTCTCTCTGAAAACAGCCTGCCAATCCCCCAGCAGTTCTGAGCTAAGTCAGTTACATAGGTGGAAGGAATTTGGCACAAGTAGAGAGGTCTGTTCAGTCGCAGGGCGGGCTGGGTTATGTTGTTGTTGTTTTCTCTGTGCCTATGCTTACCCAAGCACTGGTTATATTTACAGTACCATGTGATAACGTTAGCATCATATTGGAGCCTCACTGTTCTCATCCATTATTAGAAAAATAGGCTTCCCGACCAGGCGAGGTGGCTCATGCCTGGAATCCCAGCACTTTGGGAGGCCTAGGCGGGCAGATCGCTTGAATCCAGGAGTTCAAGACCAGCCTGGGAAATATGGCGAAACCCCGTCTCTACAAAAAAATTAGCCAGGTGTGGTGGCGCACACCTGTAATCCCAGCTACTTGGGAGGCTGAGACAGCAGAATTGCTTGAACCCAGGAGGCGGAGGTTGCAGTGAGCCAAGATCATGCCGTTGCACTCCAGCCTGGGTGACAAAGTGAGACTTCATCTCAAAAAAAAAAAGAAAAAGAAAAAAAAGAAAAATAGGCTTTCTGGCCAGGTAAGGTGGCTCATGCCTGTAATCCCAGTACCTTAGGAGGCTAAGGCTGGCTTGAGTCCCGGAGTTCAAGAGCAACTTGACCAGTCCTAACTATTTGGGAGGCTGAGGCAAGAAGATCAGTTGAGCCCAGAAGGCAGAGGCTGCAGTGAGCCGAGATTTCGCCACTGCACCCCAGCCTGGGCTATAGAGTGAGACCCTGTCTCAACAAACAAAAACAAAAACAAAAAAAAAAAAGAGAGAGAGAAAAACTGGCTTCCTAGGATAGTCCCAGCTTCAAATATCCTGCTTAGCTGTCAGACTCCATGTTCTGATTTGGGTTGTGAAATTGCGGGCCCCACTGAGGACAGTGTTGCCTTTCGGGCAAAGGACCTGGTATTGCATGTGCTCTGCAGGCCCCACACACTCTCAATAAGCCAGAGCTCAGCAGAGTTGATGTGCAGATTAAGAATAGGGCTCAGAAAGGACGGGCGTGGTGGCTCACGCCTGTAATCCGATCACCTGAGGTCAGGAGTTCCATACCAGCCTCGCCAACATGGTGAAACCCCATCTCTACTAAAAATACAAAAATTAGCCGGGTGTGGTGGTGCACGCCTGTAATCCCAGCTACTTGGGAGGCTGGGGCAGGAGAATCACTTTGAACCTGGGAGGCGGAGGTTGCAGTGAGCCAAGATTGTGCCACTGCACTCCAGCCTGGGCAACAGAGTGAGACTCCGTCTCAAAAAAAAAAAAAAAAAGAATAGGGTTCAGAAGAGGCTCCATGGGCAGCATTTCTGGACCTCTTTTAGAGTCGACATGGCAAGTATTTGCAGCCTGAGAAATAGGTTGAGATGTTGCCTTTCACCACCAATATAAGTAGTTCTAAAAACATCACCTGAAGTTTCAGCCTGTGCTGTTAAAAAAAATTAACCCCCGGTAAAATAACCTGAAAACTGTTCAGCAGTAGCCTCTAAAGTTAAACATAGGCATACCGTATGGCCTAACAACTCCATTCTTAAATACATATTCTCAGCAGAAAGGCATACATATGTGTCCCAAAGACATGCACAATTTGTAATAGTCAAAGCTGGAAACAACCCAAATTTCTATCAACAGTGGAATGAATAAATTGTGATATAGTCACAAAATATAGCTCTGAGACTGAGAAGAGTATTTTATGCTCAACAACATAGATAAATCTCATTGGGCAAGAGAAGCCAGACATAAAAATAGTATATACTATCTGATTCCATTGACATAAAGTTCACAAATAGGCAAAATTAATCTATGCTGTGAGAGGCCATGATACTGGTTATCTCGGGGGCGGCAGTGACTTGGAGAGGGCAGAGGGGGCTTTGATGTTCTGTTTCTGGTTACACAGGTGATGGTTACTCAGGTGTGATCACAGGAGCTGTGATTAGCTAATGATTGATGCACTTTTCTGTAGGTACAGTCCTTGCATTGCTCAATGATGGGGATACATTCTGAGAAATGTATTGTTAGGTGATTTTATCATTGTGGCAACATCATAGAGTATACTCACACAACCCTCAATGGTACAGCCTACTATGCACCTAGGCTGTAAGGTATGGTCTGTTGCTCCTAGACTACAAACTTGTGTAGCATGTTACTATACTGAATACTGTAGGCAATTGTAACACAATGGTAAGTATTTGTGTATCTAAACACAGAAAAGGTACTGTAAAAATACAGTGTAGGCAGGGCATGGTGGCTCACACCTGTAATCCCAGCACTTTGGGAGGGTGAGGCCAAGGTGGGTGGATAACCTAAGGTCAGGAGTTCAAGACCAGCCTGGCCAATACGGTGAAACTCTGTCTCTACAAAAATACAAAAATTAGCTGGGCATGATGGCGGGTGCCTGTAATCCCAGCTACTTGGGAGGCTGAGGCAGGAGAATTGCTTGAACCCGGGAGGCGGAGGTTGCAGTGAGCCAAGATCATGCCATTGCACTCCAGCCTGGGTGACAGAGTGAGATTCTGTCTCCAAAAAAAAAAGTGTAAAAGATTTAGGGCACTCATCATGAATGCAGCTTGCAGGACTGCAGGTTGCTCTGGGTGAGTGAACAGTGAGTGAGTGTGAAGGCCTAGGACATTGCTGTACACTACCATAGACTTTATAAACACTGTACACTTAGGCTACACTAAATTTATTTAAAATTTTTTTCTTAGGCTAAGTGTGGTGGCTTACTATGTAATCCTAGCACTTTAGGAGGCTGAGGCAGGAGGACTGCTTGACCCTGGGAGTTTGAGATCAGTGTGGGCAACATAGCAAAACCCTGTCTCTACAAAAAATACCAAAATTAGTCAGGCCTGGTGGTGCGTGCCTGTAGTCCCAGCTACTCAGGAGGCTGAGGTGGGAGGACTGCTGGGAGGTGGGAGGATTGAGCCTGGGAGGTTGAGGCTGCAGCGAGCTGTGATCACACCACTGCACCCCAGCCTGGGCAACAAAGTGAGACCCTGTATCAAAAACAAACAAACAAAATCCACATACTCCATAAAAAATAAAAATAAAATAAATTTTTCTTTCAGGCTGGGCGCAGTGACTCACATCTGTAAATCCCAGCACTTTGGGAGATCCAGATGGGAGGATCACTTGAGGCCAGGAGTTCAAGACCAGCCTGGGAAACATAGAGAGACCCTGTCACTACAAAAAATAAAAAATAATAGCTCAGTATGCTCAGCTACCTGGGAGGCTGAGGTGGGAGTGTGAGGTGGGATGATTGCTTGAGCCCAGGAGTTTGAGGCTGCAGTGAGCAATGACTGTGCCAGCCTAGACAGCAGAGCGAGACCCTGTCTCGAAAAACATATTTTCTTTCTTCAATAATAAATTAATTTTAGCTTACTGTAACCTTTTAAATTCTGTTTCAACTTTTTTTTTCTTCTTCAACTTAATTGTAAGTTCGGGCGTAGCAGGGCGTGCAGGTTTGCTACATAGGTAAATGTGTGCCATGGTGGTTTGCTGCACAGATCTTCCCATCACCTGGGTATTAAGCCCAGCATCCACTAGCTATTCTTCCTAATGCTCTCCCTCCCTCCACCATCCCCCGACAGGCCCCAGTGTGTGTTGTTCCCCGCTCCATATGTCCATGTGTTCTCATCATTCAGCTCCCACTTGTAAGTGAGAACATGCAGTGTTTGGTTTTCTGTTCCTGCGTTAGTTTGCTGAGGATAATGGCTTCCAATTCCATCCATGCCCCTGCAAAGGACATGATCTTGTTCCTTTTTATGGCTGCATAGTATTCCATGGTATATATGTACCACATTTTCTTTATCCAGTCTATCACTGATGGGCATTTAGAAAAATATGGAATGCTTCATGAATTTGCGTGTCAACCTTGCACAGCGTCCATGCTAATTTTCTCTGTATTGCTCCAATTTTAGTATATGTGCGGCTGAAGTAAGCACTTTAATTTTTTGACTTTTGTAAAAACACTTATCTTAAAACACACATTGTACAGCTGTGCAAAAATATTTTCCTTTCCCTTTTCTTTTTTTTTTTTGAGGCGGAGTCTCGCCCTGTCACCCAGGCTGGAGTGCAACAGTGAGATCTTGGCCCACTGCAACCTCCGCCTCCTGGGTTCAAGCGATTCTCCTGCCTCAGCCTCCTGAGTAGCTGGGATTACAGGCACGTGCCACCACGCCTGGCTAATTTTTGTATTTTTAGTAGAGACAAGGTTTCACCATGTTGGTCCAGCTGGTCTCGAGCTCCTGACCTCGTGATCCTCCCGCCTCGGCCTCCCGAAGTGCTGGGATTACAGGCGTGAGCCTCCGCGCCTGGACAATTAACTTTTTTAGTAAGTAGGAGTATACTCTAAAATAATGATAAAAAGTATGGTATAGCAAATACATAAACCAGTCACGTAGTCGCTTATTATCAAGTATTATGTACCGTACATGATTGTATGTGCTATACTTTTACACGACTGCAGTGTAGTAGGTTTGTTTAGACCAGCATGACTACAACTATGTGAGTAATGTGTGGCACTATGACATTACCACAGCTATGATGTCACTAGACAATATAAATTTTTCAATTCCATTATAATCTGGTCTGTTGTTGACTGCAACATCATTGTGCAGCACATGACTGTATATTATACTTCAACACAAAAGTTTACTTAAGAAAATAAATAGCGGCCAGGCTTGGTGGCTTACGTCTGTAATCACAGCACTTTGAGAGGCCAAGTGGGCGGATCACCTGAGGTCAGGAGTTTGAGACCAGCCTGGCCAACATGGTGTAACTCTGTCTCTACTAAAAATAGAAAAAAATTAGTCGGGCATCATGGCGGTTGCCTGTAATCCCAGCTATTCAGGAGCCTGAGGCGGGAGAATTGCTTGAACCTGGGAAGCGGAGGCTGCAGTGAGCCGAGATGACACCATTGCACTCCAGCCTGCGTGACAGAGCGAGACTCGGTCTAATAAATAAATAATTAAATAAGTAAATAGCTAAACCTGCTGACGCTACTGCATGAGAGAATTCCAGGGAGAGCTTGGAAACTGAGCATCTCTTTCGGTGGTATCTTCTGCTGATCCTTAGTTACTAGGTTTTCCAAAGTCCTAAAACCTGATGTCAGCAACCAGAGCTGTGGGGACAGAGGAAAAGAGGGAGGTGGCTTAGTAGGATGAGTGTCCCCAGGAGGGGCTGAGAGTGTCACTGGGCACACAGAAGCTCTGCAAAGGGATGGCTCTAGCCCTGCCTGAGCGGACCAAAGAGACCACTGTCTATGTTGAGCTGAGGTTGGCTCCCCACAAGCCTTCCGAGAACCTTGATCTGCTCAGATAAACCCCTTCCTTAGCCCTCTAGAATAAAAAGGAGAGAGCATCTTATTGTAGGCTGTAGGCAGGGGTGGGTGGAGGAGCTGAATTGGGCCCACTTTAGGCTGGGCATTGGATCCCAGTTTCACCAGTGTCTTTCTACATTGTTTGAGCTCTCCCAGATTGTCAGCTTCCTGCTGGCCAAGCTCAGCAACCCTCAGGGCATGGCTTGGCACTTGAGAAGTTTCCAGTGATGTTCACCTGAGTGGGGGTGGGAAGGCAGGAGTTAATGGCCCCACCTGCACCATGTCTCAGGGAGGAGAGCTCCTCACCCAAATGTCTGGATGAAAGGCAAAGAGGTATTCACTGGACCATTCAATGCCAGAGGGCCCTAAGAGTGCCTTGTACACAGTAGGTACTTCCACACCCTTGTTGAAAGTCTAGATGGAATGAAGTGTCCGGTCCTGGGTCTGCCTTAAAGCCAGGTAAGAACCTACTCTGTAGGGTGGAGAGGCCTCAAGGTTAGGCCCAGAGAAGGCAGGACCTGCCCTAGGCCACACAGAAGTCCCTGGTGGTGGCTGAGTTCTTGGAGAGGACAGTGGCAGCTTGAAAAACTAGTCCATGAAGTCAGAGAGAAGCACATACCTTCCTATTGCCCTGCCTTCTCCCCACGTACAGATGGCAAACTGAGTCTTAGAAGGCATAGGTGCCTAGTCCCTGCCTCACAGCTAATCTGCTGAATCTTGGATAAGTGCTGTGCTATCACGCCCACTCCTCTAATCTCCCTCTCCTTCCCCAGTCCTGAGTTTCTTCACAAAAGCATCACTGCCTACTCACACCCACCCACCCTTTGCATGCCTCTAGAATAGGGGTCAGCAAACTGTTTCTGTAAAGGGTCAGATGGTAGATCTTTTTGGCTTTGAAGTCCATAGGCCCATAGATTCTCTGCTGCAGCTCCTCAACTCTGCCTTATAATGTGAAAGCTGCCAGAGGAAACATGTAAATGAACAGGTGTGGCTGTATTCCTTTATTTATGGACGCTGAAATTTGAATTTCACATAATTTTTACATATCTGGCTGAGCGCGGTGGCTCACACCTGTAATCTCAACATTTTGGGAGGCCGAGGCAGGCGGATCACTTGAGGTCAGGAGTTTGAGACCAGCCTGGCCAACATGGTGAAATCCTGTCTCTACTAAAAATACAAAAATTAGCCAGGCATTTTGGTCCATGCCTGTAATCCCAGCTACTCGGGAGGCTGAGGCAGAAGAATCGCTTGAACCCGGGAGGCGGAGGCTGCAGTGAGCCGAGATTGTGCCACTGCATTCCAACCTGGGCAATAGAGTGAGACTCCGTCTCAAAAAAAAAAAAGTAAGAACTATTCTTAGCTCATGGGCTATACAAAAATGGGTAGTGGGCCAGAATTGGCCTTCAGGCCACAGTTGGCCAATTCTCTGTTGTAGAATGTGCCATCCTGGGGCTCAGATTCCCCATAATCACTGAGGCTGTAAGTCCTGTCCTACCATACGGGTGGTATGAATGGCGAACTGTTTGGTTTGCTCAGGAATGGGGGTTTCCTAGGCTTTAGATTTTTTGGTGCTAAAACCAGTACAGTCCCAGGCAAACCAGGACAGAACAGTTGGTCACCCTAGGTAGTAATCATTAACCCAGAGAGGGCCAGGCTTCAGGAGCCAGCTGGCCAGGGTTCAGGTGTGGCCCCCAGGGCCCCCTCCAGGCATTGCCTTGTCCTTGTGGTTTGTGGTAGGGCCTTGTCCCATTGGGGCTGGCCCTCTGCAAGGAGATGCCCCCTCCTCCATGCAGGAAAACCTCTGTGGTCTGGGAGCTCTCAAAAGGCAGGAAGTTGAATCATCAACTCCGGTAACGTCTCTGTCAGCCTGTGGGTCTGCCCAGGGAGCTCAGGGCTCCAGGCCCAGGGGGCTGGCTCTGCGCTTTGTTTGCTGCTTTCTCTGAACAGGAAAGCTTCAGAATGAGGCTTCTAGAGAAATGAGAGCTGTTGAGTCAGATGGGGAGGAGCGCTGGATGTTAGGTTGACCAAGACTCTCACCCTGCTCTGGCCTGGACTTGCTTTGTGGCCTTCAATGACTCTCTCGCGCTCTCTGTATTTTGGCTTTGGCTTCTACCACAGAAATGCTGATTCTTGAAATCCTCTTAAATTAGGAGTATGAATGATGACCAAAGTGGGAGCACCCCGGCTTCCGAAGACCCGTTTTATCTTTTCTACCAGGGATGCAGGCTGCTCAGACACACTTCCCTGCCTCCTGCCTGCCTGGGAGAAGGACCTGACCAGCCACCCCAGTTCTGGCCACAGGGGCTTTAGGAAGGTGACAAGTCTGGATTTAGGGAGATGGAGGAGAGGGGCAGAAAAGGAGGTCCAGGTTAAAGACAGTTATCCACAGATGACAATGATAACCATACCACCTGTTGTTTATTAAGCACTGACGACGTGCCAGCCTTTCAATGATCTCATCTGATCCTCACAATGACTCTTTCAGTTAAGGATTATCATCATTTTCATTTTATGGGGAAGGCAAATGGAGCCCAGAGAGGATAAGTACCTTGCCCAAGGTCACACAGCTACCATGAGGTGCAGTTGGCATTAACTCTAACTGTGTTAGACTGTGGCTTTGAGGGTTGAGGGCTCAGGAAGCCCACAGGTAGCAAGGGAGGGATGAGACTGGCAGAGAAGTCTAGAGTAGGGTCGGGGGAGAAATTGTTCTTTCTTCCTGGTGCTGCATAGGGACATCCAGAGAATACTAAGAAGTCTGGGGTTTGCTAGGCTTGGAGACCATGTTCCCAGACCAGGGATCATGAGGACACAGTCCCTAAGCCCAGCAAAGCCCAGACTACCTACAGTCTGAATGCTGAACCCCTCGAGACCATTTGGAAAATCTGTCGAGGGCTTGAGGAGGAAATTGGATACATAGCAGGATTTTGCTACAGAGCAGAAATGAGCATTTACTTTCCGAGCAAAGACAGCCCTTCTCCAAGGATGCCCCTGGGTGTCTCTGTATGTACCTCCCCAACCCAGCATGGGTGCCATGCTCAAGGTTCAGACAGAGGACCACAAGCCCCATGCTGCACCATGCATAATGTCCCTCTTCCCCTTTGACGGGGGGGACGATGGGAGCTTGGCAGAATTTAACCATCCTTAGCAGAGGACCACGCCTATGAAGGGCCAATAGGGCCAGTGATGGGCTGTGCTCCTGGGGTGGGGGCAACCCTCAACTTGCTGTCCTCAGTAACACAGCCGATAGATGTCTCTGAGAAAAGAGACCAACCCAGCTGTGCCAGGCAACTGACTGGACCCCTGACTTGGATTCAGGTCAGGTCTAAAGATGCCTTCTCCCCTATTAGCATCAGGTTCAAAGCCAGGCTTAGCCAAACCCTAAACATTCCTTACACTTTCTGGGGAACCACGAAATTCTTCATGAAGCCCTTAATTTAAAAAGCATCTTGTAGGCTGGGCACGGTGGCTCACGCCTGAAATCCCAGCAGCACTTTGGGAAGCCGAGGCGGGCGGATCACGAGGTCAGGAGTGAGACAAGCCTGGCCAACAGAGTGAAACCCCTTTTCTACTAAAAATACAAAAAACTAGCCGGGTGTGGTGGCATGTGCTTGTAATCCCAGCTACTTTGGGGGCTGAGGCAGGAGAATCGCTTGAACTTGGGAGGCAGAGGTTGCAGTGAGCCGAGATCGTGCCACTGCATTCCAGCCTGGGTGACAGTGCGAGACATAGTCTTAAAAAAAGAAAAAAAGAAAAAGAAAAGAAAAGAAAAGCATCTTGTGCTGGGCACGGTGGCTCACGCCTGTAATCCCAGCACTTTGGGAGGCTGAGGCAGGTGGATCACTTGAGGTCAGGAGTTCGAAACCACCCTGGCCAACACAGTGAAACCTCGTCTCTACTAAAAAAAAAAAAAATTAGCCAGGTGTGGTGGCAGGCACCTGTAATCCCAGCTACTTGGGAGGCTGAGGCAGGAGAATCACCTGAACCCAGGAGGCGGAGGTTGCAGTGAGCCGAGATCGCACCATGGCACTCCAGCCTGGGAAACAGAGGGAAACTCCATTTAAAAAAAAAAAAAAAGCATCTTGTTCTGTCTGCTATGTGGGCTCTAACTGGAATTGGTAGGGCTATGGGCTCCAGGAGGCTTCATTAGCCAGAGGACCTACTAGGACTGGGCCTGCACTGATATCTTGAGGTAGAGGTGGGGGCCTGGAAGCTGGGTGCAGGGCTGAGGCCCCTCACTGGGTCTGCACTGAACAGCTAGGCCCAGGAGCCAAATCATGGTTGCAGACATTTGGCTTCCATTATCTGACTATTTGGGACAGCCTCAAGCTAGACTTGATTACTGCAAACCTGAAATAGTTCCTTATTAGACAGGGCTAGCTCACCCTCCTAAATGAGTCTTGTTGGGACTCTCGGGGTCTTGCACTGAGCACACTTCCTCATCCTATCCTCCAGCCCCTCTGGCAGGAAAGTAGGAGCACCCCCAGGGCTTCTGCCCCGGGCCTCTGCACAGACTCCAGGGGCACCTGTGGGGCTGAGGGCAAGTGGCAGCACAGTGCCTCCGGCCAGGACTGGCCCAGCCCTCTTCCCTGTGCCCAGCTCCTCCCCATGGAAGAAAGGGGAGAACAGGACTGGCTACTTGAGGACACCAGGGACTGGGCCTGCCTGAGAGTGACAGTTCTGGGACTCTCCCTGCTCCCGGTGAATGCCAGCCAGGGTGTGGGGCCCAGGAGGCTCCAGTGCTTTCCCAGTCCAAAGGTCACTAACTGCCCAGCCGCTGGGAGTGTGTGCAGGGGGCGGTTCTCCAGCCAGGGAGGTGCAGGAATAAAGGGGGTGTGGGGAGACAGGAAGAGGCTGAGCTTGTGGGGCCTGAGAGCCTCTCCCCTGGGCAGGGTGGGGTCATTGGGCTGCCTTAGATTCCCCCCCCCACCTCTCAGCCTGCTGCCTCTGGACAAAGCTCTGCAGAGGAGCCCCATCTCCTTCAGCCCCCTCCTGCCTTTGGGGTGCAAGTTTCCTGAAGGACTTGAGTGAGATGTCACCAAGCAACAGGCTGTCAGGCTCTTGGCAGCAAGTACTGGCCCAGCGACTCGCGGCAGAGTCTCTCCTTGGGGCGTCTGTCCTTATCAGGGGTGGATGCTGTCAGACTTGCTAATGGTGGAATTTCTGGCATGTGGCAGGTGGGTAAAAGAGACCCCTGGGCTAGGGAGCCATTTGCAAGTCCCTCAGATGGCCTCAGGTGTGGGTCATGCTCCACTGCAGCCATGGTTACTGGGAAGCCAAGTGGACTCCATGGGGCTCCAAGCAGTGGGAGGGAGCTCCTGGGAGACACAGTGTGGCCCAGATGCCCTGGTCATGGGGACATCCAAGCACAGGTGAGAAACTTGGGCAGGGAGGGTGCAGAGGAAATTTGGAAATGGCTGAGAGGCTGGACTCAAGGTCTCTTGGGCTTGAACTGAGCTCAAGCAATCCACCCACTTCAGCTTCCCAAGGTGCTGGGATTACAGTCGTGAGCCATGGCATCCGGCTGGACTCAAGGTCTCTTGTTCCCTGATCCTGGGCTTGGCATGGAGAAGGGAGGAAGCTGAAGGGGGCAGGTAAAAAGATGCCTACCTGGGCACTGTAGACTAAATGAACCCTCAGACTGTGAAAGTCTCAGAAATCAGAGAAAGAGGCCTGGTGTGGTGGCTTGCACCTGTAATCTTAACACTTTGGGAGGCTGAGGCGGGAGGATTGCTTGCGCCCAGGAGGTTGAGGCTGGAATGAGCCATGATCACTCCAGTGCACTCCAGCCTGAGTAACAGAAAGAGACCCTGTCTCAAAAAAGAAAAAAGAAAAAAAAAACAGAGGAAGGGACTGGCACTTCCAAGTCAGAGAGAGCTCCCTGAAGAGGTGGGCCTGGTAATTGAGAAAGAAAGCAGTTGAGACAGACACGGGGGCTATGGGAGCAAGAGTCTGGAGGTGCGAGCATGCCGGGCAGGTGTAAGGACTGGTGAGTCACCAGGGGAAATGTGTAAAAAGGCTGTGGGTAATGAGGTGGCAAACGGTGGAGAGCTCTGCCCTGAGCTCCATACCCTTCCAAGCCTTTGCCCATGCTTATGGTTGAATTGTGTCTCCATGCCATGCACAACAAAGATATACATTGGGCTGGGCACGGTGACTCACGCCTATAATCCCAGCACTTTGGGAGGCCAAGGCAGGTGGATCACCTGAGGTTGGGAGTTCGAAACCAGCCTGACCAACATGGAGAAACCCCGTCTCTACTAAAAATACAAAATTAGCTGGGCGTGCTGGCGCATGCCTGTAATCCCAGCTCATCGGGTGGCTGAGGCAGGAGAATCGCTTGAACCCAGGAGGCAGAGGTTGCGATGAGCCGAGATCGTGCCATTGTGCTCCAGCCTGGGCAACAAGAGCAAAACTCCGTCTCAAAAAAAAAACCAAAAACAAAACAAAACAAAAATATACATTGAAATCCTAACCTCCTGTACCTGTAAAGGTGACTGTATTTGGAAACAGGGTCTTTGCAGATTTAATAGTGTTAAAATAAGGTCATTAGAGTGGGCCCCACTCTGGTATGGCTGGTGTCCTTAGAAGAGGGAAAGTTGTTGAGGTGATGGGTATCCCAACTATCTTGATTTGGTTTTATACATTGTATACATGTGTCCAAATATAACCCGTACCCCCAAAATAGGTACAACTATTATGCAGCAATAAAACATTTTTATTTTTATTTTTACTTTTTTAAAAACAGGGCCAAGTGCAGTGGCTCACACCTATAATCCCAGCACTTTGGGAGGCTGAGGCACGAGGATTGCTTGAGCCCAGGAGTTCATCACCAGCCTGGGCAATATAGCCAGACCCGGTCTCCACAAAAAAATTTTTAAAAATTAGCTGGGCATGGTGGCCTGTGCCTGTAGTCCCAGCTCTTTGGGAGACTGAGGCAGGAGGATCAACTTGAGCCCAGAAGGTCGAAGCTGCAGTAAGCCATGGTCATGCCAGCGGAGTTGAGCCTGGACCACAGAGCAAGACACTATAGGGAAGACAGCCAGGTGAAAATGAAGGCAGAGACCAGAGTTATGCATCCGAAAGGCAAGGAATGCCGGGGGCTGCCAGAAGCTGGAAGAGGCAAGGCAGGATCCCCCACTAAAGGCCTTGGAGGGAGCATGGCTTTAGCAGCACCTCAATTTGGGATGTCTATTTTCCGGAACAGCGGGAATAAGTGTCTGCTGCTGTAAGCCACCCTGCCTGTGGCACTTTGTTACAGCAGCCCAGGAACCTGACCCAGCCAGGCTGCTCCTGCTGCCCAGTGTGCCCTTCTCTCATCCCTCCAGCTGGTCTCTCACTGCCTTCGAGCCCCATCACCTGCTCGGGCTCCCCCTCTGTGTGTCCCCAGTTCTGGACACTTATTCAGCAGACCTGTAAGTTTTGCTGGCCAGCCTATCTCCCTGGCTAGACTGAAGGCTCCTTCAGGGCAGGCCTAACCTGTGCTAGGGCAGCATGATGCCTGGTACAGAATAGGGGCTCCTTAGATGTGGGGTAAATAAAGGAATGCTCGAAGGGTGATGGGCCCCTGTGAGACTGGGATGTGCCATCTACTTCTTCACAGCCTGGCTCAGCTCAGGCTAGGGACATGACAGTGCTCAGAGAGGTCACAGCATCTTCCACACAGACCATTCCCAGCTCCGCCACTCTCCAGTTCCCTCTTGGTGCCATATGAGTCTGAGGAACTTGGGGAAATTCCTAACCTTCCCTTTCAATTGAGCCATTAGCCCTTGGAGTTAGCCACAACGTAATTGCTCAGGTCCCTCCAACAAGGGGACTGTGTCTGTGGCTTGATGACTCATGCACACTGCTCCATTCCACAACCTTGGGCAGGACTTGGGGCTGGGGACAGTGCCAGCCAGCATAGGCAAGGAGCTTGGACATCCCATTACCCCAACCCAGTCCCCAGGAACAGAGTGTACTCAAGGTTTCAGGACAAAAATCTAGAAGCAAGGAGGCGAACTGAGTGAGATTTGAGTGACGAAAAGGAGCAGACAAAGACAACAGCGAGTACAAAGGCCCTGAGGCAGGAACGAGCTTGGCATGATCAAGAACTGAAAAGAGCACAGGGGAGGCTGCAGCACAGTGAAAGAGAGGTCAGTGATAGGACATGCGATTAGACGGGGCCCACTAGACAATCCAGGATAATCCCTCCCTCTCAAGGCCCTTAATTTAATCATATCTGCAAAGTGCCTTCTGCCATGTCGGGGAACGTATTCACAGGCTCTGGGGAGTGCAGCGCAGACATCTTTAGGGATGGGCATTATTGTGTCTACCGCAGTATCTCTCTCACCCTCTTGTCTGTCTCTCTTGCTCTATCGCTACATTTCTGTTTACCTATCTACCTATTTATTTGAACCTGACCATGGATCTATTGACCACAATTTATTTCTCTTCCTACCCCTTTATCAAGCTTCAATAAGTTATTTATCAATCTATCATTCCTCAGTGGCTTTGATCTTTTACTCTGATAACAGCATCACCCCTTAGCCATCTGTCTAACAAACTAAACGTTAAACTCAATCTATCATTTAGTTGTCCTCTGTCCATGATGAATTATCAATCATCTACCTCCATCTTTGCAGATGTTGTACAGATGTGGACATTTTTTCTCAATGTCTATTGAAAAGATCGATAGATATGAGTTCAGTAAATATCCACTGAGTGCTGGCCACGTGCCCATTGCTATGTCATGTGTGGGTGAAATAAGGGGCTGACACTCCCAGTAGCCATAGAGGGTCCTTTTTCATTTTATCATTATCCCCAACAATGCTGTGATCACCAATCCAGGCACACTGTCCAATTTTGTCATCCACCTTGGAATCTTTTTTTTTTTTTTTTGAGATAGGGCTCTTGCTCTGTCACACAGGCTGGAGGGCAGTGGTGTGATCACAGCTCACTGCAGCCTCAATCTCCCAGGCTTAAGCAATCCTCCCACCTCAGCCTCCAGAGTATCTAGGACTACAAGCAAGTGCCACCATGCCCAGCTAATTTTTGTATTTTTTAAGAGACAAGGTCTCACTATGTTGCCCACGCTGGTCTCAAACACCTAGACTCAAGCAATCCTCCTCCCTTAGCCTCCCGAAGTGTTAGGATTATAGGCATGAGCCACTGGCCCTGTCCAGGGACCATTTTTATATAAACTTTCCAGTGAAATCCAGGCTGCTCTAGTCTGCCTTTTGCCTACTAGCCTCCTTGTATATGCATAAATAATGCAGACTCATTTTAACTTGATGTTGATCTTACATAAAGTGTGGGTGGAAAAGTATATCTGCTGGGCAAGCATCTAGTGCATCAAATAACGAATCCTAAAGTTAAATGGAAATTATTTTTAGGTTGTCTGGGCAAATAGCACAGAAGGTGGGGGGAATCCAGAGATATGACCTCAGATGTGACACATGCAGACACACGACACACCACACATACACACACACACACACACACACACACACGCATATGGGTACACACAAATGCACCTTCTCTCTTCCTTCTGCCCCCACACTAGCAGCTCCTTCCTGGCTTCCTCCGCCCCTCACTCACACAAAGGGCCAAAGCAAATACTTCAGCACTGAGTCATGTCCTACCTCATCTTGTTTCCAGCCTAGGAATCTCACCTCCCCACCTGGGCTGTGAGGTCTTCTGGGGCAAAGATGGTGTCTGCTTCTCCTTAGGTGTGCCCTCCTAGTCTGATCAGCCAGAGGACTGGACACCTAGGAGCTGCTTGCCTTTCCTTGAGCTCCGAGGGCAGTTGAGGATCAGGGAGGCAAGGGAGCTAGATGTCCAGTGGTAGACGCTCTCTAGGGCAGCCTCTTTGCCCCCCCAGGAATCTGCCTCTCCTGCCCAACCCGGATGCCAGATAACATAGGTTTCTTTTTTCTGTAGCACTCTCCTAGAGGAGCTGTGTTAGGTAGATAATCTGCCTAGAGCTGGCCTAGCTGGGGATCAACTCAACAAGAATTTCTTGTTTCCAAGCGTCTCCTTCACATGGGCATCCAGTGCCAATTTGTGTCCAAGTCTCTTCCCTAGCACACGGGATGGAGGTCCAGCATATTTGGAGACAGCTCACTGTGTGCCAGAGCCACAGGTCCTAGAATATCCAGCAATCACAGTACCCAGGGCCACCCCAGCCTCACAAGTCACTGTGCCCAAGGCCCTGAGGGAAGAACAGCTTGCTCACTAGTGCCTGAAGGAGGCTCCCAAGGCAGCCACCTTGTACACTGGAGACACTCCCAGCAGTGGGAGGCAGATCAAGGCCAGGACACCGTTAATGAAGCTTTGACTAGGGTGAGGCATCTCAGGGCCAGCTGGCCTTGCTGCTTCTCACCCCACTCTAAGCCTTGATCTGTCCACATACTTGACCCTGTTAGAATCTGGTGTCTGCCCCTCCCCCATCCTGATGTAACACATCTCTGTAGCCTGAAGCCGGCCCAGTTCTTGGCTCAGAGCTACTGCGTCTGCAGCACAGATCTGTCCCTGAGCACAGCTCGCACCAGCTTCCCTGCAGGCCTAGAGCCCAAGCCCTGGCCTCAGGCAATCTCCGCTTCCCTTGAGGCCAGCCCAGAGCCCCAACTCAGTGAGTTCTCATGAACTGTTTAGACTCCACCAGGTAATGAATTGTCCCCACTCTGCTGTCTCAGGAGCCAGGCTGGGCCAGGTATTCTCAGATTGAATTTGTTGGGAAGAAAGGGCACTCCACCTGCTGGAGGAGGGAGCACCTCCTGGAGGCCATGCCGCTCAGAAACTTTCTTCCCACACAGCTTCCAGCCCCAGGCTGCCCACCCAAGTCTCAGCAGGCCAAAGGCCTAGTGAGGCTTTTCTGTGCCCCTGCTGGAGCCCAACGTCCATGAGAAGGCTCTAGAATGCATTTAGGATCTGAGACTGGTCCAGCTGAAACAGCCCAGAGAGACCCTAATCCTGGGGCCCAGAGAGAGCCAAACAGGCCCCAGGCCACACAGAGGGCAGCCCTGAGGCTAGCCTAGAGGGCAGGTTTCTTGCCCCTTCCTACCAGGAGAAGCGTGTCCTTGCCACACCAATGATGTTTCTGTCCCTGGGTGGATTCCAAGCACCTGCGGGGCAACCAGCACTGCCCAAATGCAGAGGGCTTCTTGGGTTCCCCCAGTAACCCCAAGGTCGACTCCTCCCCTCCATCTCCACAGCTCCTGCCCCTGCCCTTCCCCCCTTCCCAGTCTTGCTCCCTACATACTCCAGTACAAGCAAATTCATGAATTCGGTACATACATTTCCAGACCTTTTTTTCCCGTACAAAAATGCACATGTTTGTGTCTCTGTGTGTGTTCAGAGAAAAATGTAAACTTTCATTTTGTAGGGTTTTTTTTTTGTTTGTTTTGTTTGCTTTTTTTTTTTTTTTTACTATGAGTGGGATCATACTGCACATATTACCCTGAAAGTTGTCTGTCACTTAACACTTCTCTTTTTTTTTTTTTTTTTTTTTTTGAGACAGAGTCTGGCTCTGTCGCCCAGGCTGGAATGCAGTGGCCCGATCTCGGCTCACTGCAATCTTCGCCTCCCAGGTTCACACCATTCTTCTGCCTCAGCCTCCCGAGTAGCTGGGACCACAGGCGCCCGCCACAACGCCCGGCTAATTTTTCGTGTTTTTAGTAGAAACGGGGTTTCACCATGTTAGCCAGGATGGTCTCGATCTCCTGACCTCGTGATCCGCCTGCCTATGCCTCCCAAAGTGCTGGAATTACAGGTGTGAGCCACCGCGCCCAGCCAACACTTTTCTTAAGGTTCTTTTTACACCAGGTATACAAAACTGCACAATGCCACTTCTTTGGCTATCTTGTTCGTTTTTCTTTTCTTTCTTTCTCTCTCTCTTTCTTTTTTTTTTTTTTTTTTTTTTGAGACAGGGTCTCACTCTATTGCTCAAGCCAGAGTGTAGTGGTGCAGTCACGGCTCACTGCAGTCTTGGGCTCAAGTAATCCTCCCACTTCAGCCTCCCAAGTAGCTAAGACTGCAGGTGCACACCACCACGCCCAGATAATTTTTTTGTTTTTTTTTTGAGGTGGGGTTTCGCTCTTCTTGCCCAGGCTGGAGTGCAATGGCGCAATCTTGGCTCACTGCAACCTCCGCCTCCCGGGTTCAAGCAATTCTCCTGCCTCAGCCTCCCAAGTAGCTGGGATTACAGGCATGTGCCACCATGCCCAGCTAATTTTGTATTTTTAGTAGAGACGGGGTTTCACCATGTTGGTCAGGCTGGTCTTGAACTCCTGACCTCAGGTGATCCGCCCACCTCGGCCTCCCAAAGTGCTGGGATTACAGGCATGAGCCACCGCCCCTGGCCTAATTTTTTGTATTTTTTTATAGAGCCAGGGTTTCATTACGTTGCCCAGGCTGGTCTCAAACTCCTGGGCGCAGGCGATCCATCCACCTCAGCCTCCTAAATGCTGGGATTACAGGCGTGAGCCACCACGCCCAGCTGGCTGCTTTGTTCTATTTGCACTGTGCATTATTTAGTTAGTCCTTCAGTGAATGGACATTCAGTCTGTTTCCACATTTTCACTGTTACAAACAATGCTGTAATGGCTATTCTTAAACTGCCATCCTTGTGCCCACATCAGAGGGTCTCACAGCGGGGGGTGGGGGAGGGTTCCTGGATTTAGAGCTGCACGCTCTCATCTCCTTCCAATGTGAGGCAACTGCAGGGTCTCACCTTCACTTCAAGCAGCTCACAAATGTAGTTTCTGGAACAAAGGGCAGTTCCCTCCTCAGAAGGAGCCCCCAGGGGTTAGCATCATGCTCCATACCCCACTGCATGCTATAAACCAGGCAGACACCATCCATCTGTCTGACTTTGACTTCCCCTGTATCTTCCCACCTCCACTTCTCCCCTACCCCCAACCCCATCTCATATGAATCACCGTCACTATGCAGGTCCACCTCCAGGCCTTTCTCAAGAAACTCTCTTGCCCATTTCAACCTTCAGGATCCTCAGATGGCTTGTTGTACCTTGACCATCCTGCATATGCTTAAGGACCTGTCTTCCTAAATGGGCTTAAATCCAGTGAAGGGAGATCTGGATCTGAGGCTCACTGCCTTAGCGTAGAGCCTTCATGGTGTGTTTGTAAATGTATGCTACTTTTTTTTTTTTTTTTTTGGAGAGGGAGTCTTGCTCTGTCGCCCAGTGCGATCTCGACTCACTGCAAACTCTGCCTTCCGGGTTCACGCCATTCTCCTGCCTCAGCCTCCCAAGTAGCTGGGACTACAGGCGCCCGCCACCACGCCTGGCTAATTTTTTTGTATTTTTAGTAGAGACGGGGTTTCACCATGTTAGCCAGGATGGTCTCGATCTCCTGACCTCGTGATCCGCCCACCTCGGCCTCCCAAAGTGCTGAGATTACAGGCATGAGCCACCGCACCCAGCCCCATACTTTTTATTATTATTATTATTAGAGACATGGTATTGCTCTGTAACCCAGGCTGTAGTGCAGTAGAGCAATTCTAGCTCACTGTAGCCTCGAATACCTGGGCTCATGCAATCCTCCTGCCTCAGCCTCCCAACCTGTTGGAATTACAGGCATGAGCCACCATACCCTGCCCCAATGTAATGCTATTTCTAATATAAGCCAAGTTACCTCCAGGGTGACTGTGAATCAGTAAATACATGGGGCCAGGTATGGTGGCTCACATCTGTAATCTCAGCACCATGGGAGGCTGAGATAGGAGTATCACTTGAGACCAGGAGGTCAAGACCAGACTGAACAACATAGTGAGACCCTGTCTCTATAAAAAATAAAAAATTAGCTGGACATGGTGGCTCATGCCTGCCGTCCCAGCTACTCAGGAGGCTGAGGCAGGAGGATCACTTGAGCCCAAGATGAGCTTGAGACCACAGTGAGCTATGATCGATTGCACCACTGCATTCCAGCTTAGGTGACAGAGTGAGACCCCGTGTCTAAAAAATAAATAAATAACAAATAAAAATAAATCAGTAAATACAAGGAAAGGGTCTTTGTAAGACTATCAGATGTGGGGAGATTTGCTTTGATTGATCAGAAACCCTGGGAAAGGTGAAAGTAAGGGTTTTGCTTATACTGCTCAACTTGACTTAGAGCCAACACCTTCAGTTCTTGGTGGTCCTTGGATTGGGCCAGGCCTTTCAGCTCAGAATGGGGCGTGTCACACTTTGACTCTGGTTGGGCTGGCCCTTGACTTGGCTGGAGTTATTGGCTGCTGCCAGTTTCCGGGGAAGCGTTTGGAGGCCCCAGGGATCTTCATTTCCTTTTGCCATCTGTAGCCACCAGGCTGGATCTGAGAGTCTAAGAGGGACAGGTGGCCTGGCTGGCACATTATCCAGACATCTCCTGGGACTGGGCAGTACCGTCTCCGAACTGGCTGGCTAAGGCTCCAGAGGGGTGCCTCTCCCAGGCATGTGTTTGTAGTGCACCCCAGGAAGAGCCAAGTCTGGATCTTTCCAGGGCAGTGTCTTCAGCCATGAACACAGACCTGAGCAGATTTTCCCTCTGTTCCAAACCCAAGCTGCAATTTCTGCCTGGAGCCCAGAAGGCAGAAGCTGCTGGTTTTGTCCTCCCTGAATGCCAAATAATATGTTTTCTACAGAGTTTGGCACATAGTAGGCACATAGGAAATATTTACTGAATGAATGCTCATCCTCCTTTAGAGGAGGCCACCTCATCCCACTGGATACATGTGGCAGGGTAAAGATGGGATGACAGAAACAGAAGAAACAGAAGGAAGTGTGAGCAAACCTTACTTGGATCTGTGCAATTAGCAAGTCTTCCCACTCCATTCTTTCCCTTTAGGATTCCCAGGAATTCTCCAGGAACCCTAAGGTTACAGGGCAGGTATTGTGACCCAATTTTTCTAATCTCTAAACCTGTTCTATTTCAAGTGTGATCTGTGGACCAGCAGCATGAGCATCATCTTGAAGCTTGTTAAATATGCAGACTTGGCAGGGCACAGTGGCTCACGCCTGTAATCCCAGCACTTTGGGAGTCCAAGGGATGCAGATCACCTGAGGTCAGGAGTTCAAGATAAGCCTGGCCAACATGGCAAAACCCCGCCTCTACTAAAAAATAAAAATAAAAAAATTGCCAGGCGTGGTGGCGGGTGCCTGTAATCCCAGCTACTCGGGAGGCTGAGGCAGGGGAATCACTTGAATCTGGGAGGTGGAGGTTGTAGTGAGCTGAGATCGTGCCACTGCACTCCAGCCTGGACGACAGAGACAGTCTCAGTCTCAAAAAATAATAATAATAATAACAATAATAATTAAAATGCAGACTCTTGGCTGGGCGCAGTGGCTCACGCCTATAAACTCAGCACTTTGGGAGGCCCAAATGGGAGGATCACTTGAGGCCAGGAGTTCAAGACCAGCCTGGGCAACACAGCAAGATCTCTGTCTCTACAAAAACTTCTAAAAATTAGCCAGGCATGGTGGCATACGCCTGCTGTCCTAGCTACACGGGAGGCTGAGGCATGAGGATCTCTTGAGCCTAGGAGGTGGGTCGAGGTTGCAGTGAGCTGTGATTGCACCATTGCACTCCAGCCTGGGCAGCAGAGTGAGACCCTGTCTCAAAAAATAAATAAATAAATAAAAATAAAAAAGGCCGGGCACAGTGGCTCACGCCTGTAATCCTAGCACTTTGGGAGGCCGAGGCAGGTGGACTGCCTGAGCTCAGGAGTTCGAGACTAGCCTGGGCAACACGGTGAAACCCCGTCTCTACTCAAATACAAAAAATTAGCTGGGCATGGTGGCATGCGTATGTAATCCCAGCTACTCGGGAGGCTGAGACAGGAGAATCGCTTGAAATAAAATAAAATAAATAAAAAATAAATTTAAAAGAATGCAGACTTTTAGCTCTCCCAGACTTAATGAATCAGACTTTGCATCTGAACAAGATCCCAGGTAATTTGTGTGCATAGTGTAGTCGGACAAGCATTGCCCTAAGCAGTGAGTATGTGAATACAAGTCTAGAACCCAAATGAGGACTTCTCACCTGGCACAGAAGTGGGCTGCTGGGGAGTGTGGCTAACTACATCTGCGGCTTCTGCCTACCTTGATGACTCAAATTGTTGAGTCAGGTATTTTCTGTTTCTTTCCAACCCTTGTATACCGCCTTGAACATAGCAAGTGCCAGGTGTGGTGGCACGTGCCTGTAGTCTCTGGAGGCTGAGGCGGGAGGACTGCTTGAGCCCAGGAGTTCTGTGTGGTAGTTCATTATGTGGATTGGGTGTCTGCACTAAGTTTGGCATCAATATGGTGACCTCCTGGGAGCAGGGGACCACGAAGTTGCCTAAGGAGGGGTGAACTGACCCAGGTCGGAACATAGCAGGCAATAAATATCCTGGGAATGAATGTTGAACCAATCTTATACTATTCTCTCAGTTTAGGGTTTTTAGGGTATGCTGTACTTCTGCATCTGGACATGTACTGAAAGTTATTTGAAAGGATTTTTAGTCCGGGCGCAGTGGCACACGCCTGTAATCCCAGCACTTTGGGAGGCCGAGGCGGGCGGATCACTTGAGGTCAGGCGTTCACGACCAGCCTGGCCAACATGGTGAAACCCCGTCTCTACTAAAAATACAAAAAATTAGCCTGGCGTGGTTGCGGGTGCCTGTAATCCCAGCTACTCGGGCGGCTGAGGCAGGAGAATCACTTGAACCCAAGAGGCGTAGGTTGCAGCGAGCCAAGATCGTGCCACTGCACTCCAGCCTGGGCAACAAGGGCGAAGCTCCATCTCAAAAAGAAAAAAAAAATTAGCTGGGTGTGGTGGTGCACAGCTGTAATCCCAGCTAGTCGGGAGACTGAGGCAAGGGAATCACTTGAACCCAGGAGGGGGAGGTTGCAGTGAGCCGAGATGGCGCCACTGCACTCCAGCCTAGGCAACAGAGTGAAACTGTGTCTTAAAAAAAAAAAAAAATATATATATATATATATATATATGTATATATATATATATATATGTATATATATAAAAATATATATATATACACACACACATATATATGTGTGTGTATATATATATATATATATATATATTTTTTTTTTAGCCAGGTGGAGTGGCTCACTCCTGTAATTCCAACATTCTGGGAGGCCAAGGCGGGAGGGTTGCTTGAGCCCAAGAGATCGAGACCAGCCTGGACAACATAGCAAGACCCTGTCTCTACAAAAACTAAAAAAAGAATTTTTGTTCCGAACCAGGACCCCTGGAAAAATAGCTATTGTCTAATGAGCAATGACTGAGCGCCAGGCCAGTGCATGGAACCATGTGGACATGTTCTCAGTGTTTCACAAAGTGTGGTTCAATGCCATGTACATTATGAATGACCAAGTACTTGTTAAAAGCTGCAGGTTTTGGCTGGGCGCAGTGGCTTATGCCTGTAATCCCAGCACTTTGGGAGGCCAAGGTGGGTGGATCACCTTAGGTCAAGAGTTCAAGACCAGCCTGGCCAACATGGTGAAACCCCATCTCTGCTAAAAATACAAAAATTAGCCAGCCATGGTGGCAGCCTCCTGTAATCTCAAAAAAATAAAACACTGCAGATATTTTTTTTAATTGAAAAAAAAAAAAAAGTTGCGGGCCCTGCCCCAGACCTGCCTACTGAGAACCTCTGGGGATAAGGCTCAGATATCTGCAATTTTTGGCCGGGCACGGTGGTTCACGCCTGTAATCCCAGCACTTTGGGAAGCCAAGACGGGCGGATAATTTGAGGTCAGGAGTTCGAGACCTGGCCAACATGGTGAAACCCCATCTCTACTAAAAATACAAAAAGTACTTGGGTATGATGGTGGCACCTATAATCCCAGCTATTTAGGAGGCTGAGGCGGGAGAATCACTTGAACCCTGGAGGCAGAGGTTGCAGTGAGCCAAGATGGTGCCACTGCACTCCAGCGTGGGCGACAAGAGTGAGACTCCATCTCAAAAAAAAGGCTGGGGCCAGGTGCAGTGGCTTACGCCTGTAATCCCAGCACTTTGGGAGGCCGAGACGGGTGGATCACCTGAGGTCGGGAGTTCGAGACCAGCCTGGCCAACATGGAGAAACCCTGTCTCTACTAAAAATACAAAAATTAGCTGGGCATGGTGATGTGTACCTGTAATACCAGCAACTTGGGAGGCTGAGGCAGGAGAATCGCTTGAACCTGGGAGGCGGAGGTTGCAGTGAGCCCAGATCGTGCCACTGCGTTCCAGCCTGGGCGACAGAGCAAGAGTCTGTCTCAAAAAAAAAAAAAAAAAAAAAAAAAAAATCTGCATTTTTAACATGCATCCCATGCACCCCATCCACACTAAAGTTTGGAAATGATTGCATCCCTAGTTTACAGAGGAGGAGACTGAGGCACAGAGAAGTTGATTGACTTGTGCAAAGTAACAGAGCTGGAGAATGGTGGAGACAGGACTCAAACAAAGGATTGCCTGATTCTGGAATCCACAGTTTTAATCATATTGTCTATTACACTAGAAAAACTGATGTCCAGAGTGACTGTGTGTATTTAGTCATGTATATTGATTTGTGTGTATTTCGTGTGCCAACAAAGTTTGCTAGACTGTGACCCTTGGAAGGCAATTAATGTGTTTTATTTCTCTCAGTATTTGTAGCATCCATTACCATGCCTAGTACACAGAAGATCCTCAACAGAAGCTGTTTGAATTAAATTTCTACAGATACGTAGTTATCCATCTCTATAAACATTCACAGATAAATATATACAGAGGACATCTCATTTTCAGGTAGCATCTGAGAACAAGTTGTGACAACTAGAAACCTTCCCTCTCTATCTTGAACTATTTCAATCAAGCTTTTGCTAGCATTATTCCATTGACATGGCTCTTGTCAAGGTCACCAGTAACCTCCATGTTGATGATTCCAATGATCAATTCTCAGCCTCCAGCTTGTCTGACCCCTCCACAGCTTTGGACATAGGGCTTTCTTCCCTCCTGCAACTCTCTCTCACTTCCTTTGGCTTCCAGGATATTCCTATCTCTTTGAATGCTTTTTTTTTTCTTTAAACAACACTAACAACACTTTTGCTGATTCCTCTTCATCTTTCAGACATCTTTACCTTGCAGTGCTGAAGGGTACCATCCTTGAGCCCCTTCTCTTTCTATGTTCACTTAGTTGATGATCTCAAATTTAAATACCATCCATCTGCTCACTGACCACTCTCCAATGACATCTTCAGCCCAGACCTTGCCCCTGAGCTGAGGCTATCATGTCTAGCTGCCTGTCAATGGCTGCACTTGGATGTCAAATAGGCATCTCAAGCTTCATATGTCCAACACTGAGCTCCTAATCCCCTAAAACCTACTCCTTCCAGTTTCCTCCATCTCAGTTAAGGACAACTCCATCTTTCCATTGGTTCAAGGTAAAACACTTATCGTTGTCCTTGACTTCTTTCTTTTTCTCTCACTCCATCAGCAAATTCTGTCAGAGCTACCTTCAAAATGTAGATGACCGCTTTCCACCACTTCCATTGCTACCGCTCTGGTCCAATCATCTCTCACCTGGTTTATTCAGGTGGTCTCCCAACTGGCCTTCCTGCTTCAGCTTTGCCTCTTAAATCTGTTCTCCATGTAACAGCCAAGAGACCTGTTAAACCCAGGGTCAGATCATCTCAGTCCTCTGCTCAAAACTCTCCATATCACTCTAGCAAATGCCAAATTCCTAACAATGACCTAAAAGGCCCTATATAATCTCTTTCATTTACATATTAAGCATATTCCTGCCTCGGAGGCATTGCACTTGCTGGTCTCTTGAGACCTTGGTTCTTAACCTTTTTTGTGCATGTGCCATGGACTGTTTTGGCAGTCTGTGACACCTGTGGACTCCTTCTGAGTATAGTATCTTTAAATCCATAAAATAAGTTCCACAAATCATTAAGAAAACAAATTGTACTGAAATACAACTCTCGAAATATTTAAACATATATATGTGCTTCTCTATTAATTCATTAAATTATAAGAGTTAGCAGCATGATTTTGAAGTAGTGATGAGTAAAATGATACTTTTTCAATAAATTACTCATAAAGTGTAACGATATTTTAAGATATTTGCAACAACTCTAAAGTGATATGAAAATATCTGTGATTTCTACCAGCAGTAATGTCACAGGTGCTGCTAATATCACTGATTTGTTATCTGTATTCATAATTGAAGGACACGCTACATTTTAATTAGTGAAAATAAAGTTGTAATTTTTTTCTCACCTAAGGTCAAGATCCTCTGAATTCTATCCACAGACCCATGGAGAGGAGAGTCTATGGTCTCCAGGTTAAGAACGGCTGGCTTCTCTTCCCCCATGTACATACACACATACTCCCACATACAGTTCACTCCTTTACCTGCTCTTCTCAAAGACTGTCTTCTCGGTGAGAACTTCCCTATTTTATTTAAAATTGCACTCCCACACTGTGTATCGCCCTTTCCTTCTTAAGAGTTTCTCCACAGCACTTAATCACTTTCAAACATATAGTTATTTTTATATTTTAGAGTTTAGAATAAAATCATGTCCAATTTTAATAACCTGCTCACTCTAGCAGCTAACATTTTTACCTTTTTTTTTTTTTTAAGTTCTGGGATACATGTGCAGGATGTGCAGTTTTGTTACACAGGTAAACATGTGCCATGGCGGTTTGTTGCACAGATCATCCCATCACGTAGGTATTAAGCCCAGCATGCATTAGCTATTTTTCCTGATGCTCTCCCTGCCCTGCTCCTCATTTATTTTATTTATTTACTTATTTGTGTGTGTGTGTGTGTGTGTGCTGTGTCCCCAACACCAAGAATGGTCTCTGGCATACGGGAGGCTTGTTGAAAAACAATGAAGGATTACATCTCCAAGAACTCTCTTTCTTCTCATTTCTTTCCTGTAAAAAGTTAATGAATGATTACGTCCAAAGCAGAGATTGTGGAAAAAGGAAAAAAAAAAAAGTTAATGAATGATTTGTGAGACTTTTAATAAAGATTAAGGAGTTACAATTAGCTTTATCGTTATCATTCTGTTAAAGCTTCCAAGGTTAACCTTAAACAGCAGCAGAGAACTGTGGGAATCCAAGGATTTTGATAGGGCTTCCAGTCCTAAGCAAGAGGTATTTTCAAGGGCTCATTAGAAGGCCTGGGTCTCACCCCAAGTCAGGGAACCACCTCAGAAGCAAAGTGCTGCTCATAAAATTCTTTCTTGCCAAGACAGCAATCAGATCCCCCCATCCCCAATCAAACCAATAATAGTAATACTTTTTATTTCTGGCAGTGTGGTAAAATAGAAACTACATAGGTCTCAAGGTCAGCTAGACCTAGGAGCCAATTCTGCCAGCACTTACTAGCTGTGTGGCTGTGGTAAGTTACTAAACCTTTCTGAAAAGGGAGGAAGGGGTTTGGGGGAGGATGAGATAGAATGGCTCACAAAGTGACCAGTACACTGCAGGTGCACTTTAAATGGTCACACTTCCCTCATCCATCTCTGGAGGTCATCTCTTTAGACTGTGCCACTGTAAACTGGTACCCTCACTCCCACCCCGGAATGGACATCTGGACCTTGACCATCAAGCTTCAGAGAACAATTTCACCCTTCCAAAATAAAAAAAACCCACTTAGGTACCAGGCAAGGTGCTAATGAGCACTATGCACCCTGTGCCAGTTGCTGCTTTACACATACCACCTGTATATGTACGTACATACATATATGTGTATGTGCACACATGGCCTCAAGAACCCTCCAACCACCCCATTCTACCCAAAAGGAAAAAGCGATCCAGGGAGATGAATTCACTTGCCCACATCACACAGCTTCTGAAATGCAAAGCCAGGATTAGAACCTAAGTATTTAACTATTTTGTTACACACTCCAAGTCTGCAGCACCTGTTTCCAGACTCTGAGCTTGGCTAGAGAAAAATACCACCAATTGACCACTGAGAGCCACAGCCAGGTCTAACTGGAAGGTAATACCCAGACCATCCTCTTGCCAGACAATTCTCCTCAGACTTTGTGAATGAAGGCCAAGGAAGAAGAAATGTTGCAGTGACTCCCTTTGAGCTCATATTTCTTTCTTGTTGCAAAAACTGCTTATTTCAGCATTCATCATCTCCCTCTTTGTTGGGTAGACAATCCGCCCTGTCGGAGGATTTGTGCTGTTATTATGAGTTTGTTTATTATTAGATTTATTTCTCCTATAAGCAAATGTGTTCACAACATTCCATCGGGGAATCTTCTTAATTGTCACATAAATGTCATCTTATGTAAATTGAATATTTATCTTCCCATGGAAGGGGGTGGAGGGGAAAGGAAGAATAAACAATCTTCAGTCTTGGAGAGGGAAGGCGACTCCGGTGTCCATTCACAACTCACCCACGTGCCTTCAAAGCCAAAGGTGAGCTGAAAAATTATTGGATAATCTGAGGGGCAGCCGACCATGAGGGGGAAGAAAAAGTTGGCCACGATGCTTTGGGGATGTTGGGCCAGGCTCCCCACAACCTCCTCCCGAGGCCAGACCCACCCCCTCCCCAGCTAGAGGCATTCCGAGGAGGTTGGAGCTTGACCCCCGATTCCTCCCCAACCAGGAGGCCAGTCCTTCTCCTTCCTCGAGAGAAGGTGAGCTCGGCGGGCGCAGCGGGTTGGGTGGGTGTGGCCCGCGGCTCCGGGAACAGACCCAAGGCCCCGCCACCGCCGGCTAGCAGCCCGACAGCCCGCCCGCCTGGCGAGCGCAGGCTCTTCTTCCAGAAACTGCGAGGATCCGAGCGTACTGTTTGTGCACCACAAGGTCAAGTCGGGAAGTGGAGCCGGAGGAGGAGGGGCGAGGAGGCGAAGGGTGGGGAGAGGGGCGCCCCGCTTCCTCGCCATGTGCCAGCCTTTGGAAGTTACCCCTCGGTTTTTAACCCTTTCGGGGTAATGGGAAGGAAGAGCAAGGAGGAAGGGGTCGCCCCGGGGCAAAATCCTGCTGGGGCCAGGATGTGCAACCACCCACCCACCCGCTCATCACTGCCTTCTCCACCCCCCGGAAATGCGGGGCAGCGCTAGGCGCCAGGAGGCACCCGGGAGGGGGGAGGGGGCGACGAGCCCAATGGGGACCCTCTCTACGGACCGCCCCTCTTTTCTTGAGGTCGCCTACAATTTCAAGTTCCCCCGCCCGGAATGTTAGTTTTCCATTTGGAGTGGGTGCGGGGAGGAGGGCCGCGCCCCCTCCCCAAGACTCGCGTTCGCCCCTCCACTCCCCTCCTGCCAGCACTTTCTGCTCACTTCTGGTGCTGCAAAACGCCACGCAATTTATTCGATTCGCATTTTAAAACCAGCGATTCAGAAGCAGGGCCTAGGGCGAGGGTCTTCCAGCGCTGGAGCCCCGGGGGGCGGGGTGCTCAGTGCAAACCTCGTTCCCTCCGCGAGTGTCGCCTCCAGGCTGTTATTTGCAAAGAAACGTCTTTTTGACGCAGGGAGAAATGGCAAATTTTAAGTACGTCATTAATATGGCGCCAAAAGATTTTTTTAAGTATAAGCTCGCTTTTTTTTTTTTTTAAGGTTGCGGGGGGCGCCGCCCGGGTCTGGGGCGCGTAGGGGGCGGGGTGTGAGCAGAAAGTGTGAGTGAAAGAGTGGAGGGGCGGGGTATGTGTGTGAGTGTGTGAAGTGTGAGCAGACCTGATGGGACTTGCACGGGCGCAGCCGCCGCTCGGGCCCGGCCCTGGGGACAGGGCGGGCTAGGGGCGCCCCAGAGTCCATGGGGAGTCCGGGCCCAGGGTGCCAGCAGGCGTGGTGGTGGGGCTGCGAGGGAGGGCACCCTTCCCCCACGGGGCCCGCAACGCTACCTGGACTCCCCGCCGGAGCCAAACAACTGGGCGGGGGGTTGGGGGGGCGGCGACGGGGGTGTCGGGAGCGGAGATCCGAGTGAATAAGAAAAAAGTGGCTACTCCCCCTCCCTCGCTCCTCCTGCCCGCCCCCACCCCACCCCCACCCCAACACATTTTTTTTTTCTAAAGAGATCACAAGGAAGTCTTGGTTTAAAAAGAAACAGAAACATACACAGGGGGTTGGTGAATGGTGCCGACCGCGGCCATCGCAGTTGGAGGCTATTTTTTGGGGGGGGTGAGTAGCGTCCATGGAGTTACTTTGCGCCCACTCCTAGCGGCACCGGCTTAGGTCCTGCGGGCCGACCGTCCCCGGCGGGGGGCGTGGGGCCTGGGACGCCGCGGGCCCGGCCGCCTCCCTCGCCGCGACCCCGGATGGATGCGCGCCCCCCGCCCTCCCGCGCCGGCCCCAGGAGCTCCCGGCTTCGGGAGCATCCTTCCCGCGCCGGTCCCTGCAGCGGCGCGTAGCCGAGGGCAGCGCCCGTCAGGGGGGCACCGCGGAGCAAGGTAAGATCCAGCCCCCGGCGGATGGGCCCTGCGCATCTCCACGACGTTATTTGGCGTTTTTGCAACAGATCTGCCAGCGCTCTTCGCTCCCTCGCTCTCTCTTGCTCGCTCGCTCCCTCTCTCTCCTGCTGGCTGCCTGTTCTAGGAAGCCAGCGCGGAGAGGGGGGGGATGCACAGCACAGGGGAGAGAGATTGCGCATGTTGGTCAGTCGTGTTTTAAAGAGTACAGTGCGGGGAGGCTGAGAGGGGCGCATGCAACAACAACTTTTGGAAGGGTGAGCTTGGCGACCTTCTTTATTAATGACTGCGGCAAAGCGCCCCCGGGCCGGCGAGGGGGCGCGGGCGGGCGGGGGCGCGCCAGGGCTGCAACTTCCCCGCGGGCTCCGGCCGGGCGTAGGGGCTGCGGCGGGAGATGGGTACGGTGGGGAGGTCGAGCGGCCCGGGCGGGGGCTCCGAGAACCTGGAGCTATCTGCCCTCCTGTCTCCCCGAGTTTCATTTTGTTGATACGCAGCACGTCCGGGCGCCGAACCGGGCTGAGCCGGTGCACATGACCTCGCGCTGGGCTCACGTGCAGCCGGTCCGGTCCCAGACACCTTCCGGGGGCCACCGCCTCCGCCCTGTCGCCCCCTCTCCCGGCCCGGTGCACGCGGGCGCTGCACGCGGGGGCAGCATGCTCGGCTCCTGGGGTTGGAGGCTCTGCACAAATTAGACAGTTTTTTTGGAGGGGCGGGGGACACCCTTTCCAGGTGAGTGTGGAGGGTGCGGAGCCTCGGCGCCAGGGGTGAGGACTGGGGTCGGGGGCAGCCTCCACCTCCGGGGCCGCGCGGTAGTCCAGCTGGGGAGAGGCGCTGGGAGAGTGGAAATGTACCGGCGGCGGCCGGAGCGGCGGGTGCGCGCCCGCGGGGCGACGGCAGGGGGCGTGGCCCTTGTTTACCTTCTCCCAACTCTGCCGGTTCGCGTCCCGCTTCAGGGACGGATCCGCAGTCCCCAGCCCTCTGCCTAGGGCCCTGCACCATGGGTGGTACCAGGAAGATGCCGGCTTGTGGCGGACCCCGTTTGGGACGCACACACCTGACTCTCAAATGAGTGACATTGCAGCCCCCGCCCCCACCTAGCGCTGCTGCAGTCCCTTTGCCGGATCCCCGGCCCCGCCCCGCCCCCGGCAGTGGCATCTTCCCGGCCTCACCTCCTTCCTCCCTCTCCCTCCCTTCTTCCCACCCACTCGCCTGCGCCTGCGGAGCGGCGCCCGCCCGCCTCCTCCCCGCCTGGGTGCAGACTTGTGGCTCCCCATGGTTTCTTCCCGCCCATCCCTGGGTCCTGAGACATCCTCTCCTCTCGGCCAAGGGACGAGAGGGGTCAACTTGGCGATTCGCAGCTGTTCTGCCAGAGGATGGGGTTGCCTGCGAGACAGCCAGGAAGGCTTCACTCTAGCTTCCAGAGGCCCAGCCCTGTCCCCTACTACACACAGCTACCACCCCACCCGCCCCTGGGGCTCGGCTGCCCTTCCCGGTGTCTCTTAAACCCCTCCCCCGACCTGGGTGTTAAGCCCACCCACCTCCCGGCGCCGCCCCCGGTCGAACAGCCTCTTGCCCTTCCTTCGCCTGGGCCGGAGCCCCCCGCAGCCTCCTCCGGCTCCTCCTCCCGGCTCCGGCGGTCGGAATCACGCCGGCGCGCCTCCAGCCTGCGGTCCCGCGGACTGCCTCCAGGGGCGGGCTGGAGGCGCGCGCAACTCCCCTCCCAATCCCCTCAGCCACTGCCGCTGGCCTGGGCACTTTTTTACCAGCTTGGCTGCTGGCCTCTTGCTGGAGGCTGGGGGAGGTGAAGGGTCACTGGGTGTCTTTGCCGTATGCCGAAGGCACACTGCGGCCGGCGATTCTGGTCTCTGCAGATTTCCAAACCTCGCCGCTGCGTCTAGCACCCCTGGGTCATCTTCTGCAGGATCCCGAGGCACAAAGTTGTATCCCGGGTCAGAGTTTGTAGGGGGTCATCGAGAGGTGTCATGTTTCCATTCAGAGCGGTTCCAAAGCGTCTAGGAAGGGGCTGAGTGGGACCTGCTGCCTTGCCTTTGTTGGAAGGAGGACCCCTGAGCTCTGATCCCAGACAGGCTGTCAGGACGCCCCCTTAGCATTTATGTTTGCAAACTGATTCCTGGACCTGGGAGGTGGTAGGGCCGCCTGGCCCCTCCTCTCGGAGTGGCATTAACTCCCTCCCTTCACTGGTAAAATTCCCAGTAGGACATTTGGCAAAAGGGCTCGGCATGGAGCTGCCAACCGGGCCTGGCTTTGTTTCCTGGGTTCCCAGGGCTTCTCCCCTACCCTGACTTTCTTTCTCACCTTAGGGCCCCAGATGAACGCACCGTCCGTCTTGTCCCATCTTCCTTAGACGGGCTGGGACTCGCAGAGCCATCTAACAAGCAGAGGAGGAAAATAACAACAGAATAACTATAAGGGGGAAGGAATGAGTAATAAAGCTGACCCAGGCAGGGAGGAGGGCTTTCATGTTTAAGAGATGCTATTTGCTTTTTGGGTCACAGGCTGCAAAAACAGGCTTTGATCCGAAGTGGGCGAATAATTTATTGAGCAAGTTTGCATGGTAGAGGAAGGGATGTTTGTTTGATCTGGAGCCCTCTAGGTTGCCCCAAGTGCTGTTGGCTGTTGTTTTGAGTGGAAAAGCATTTGGTTCTGCAGCAAATGCCTCACAGAGGGAAGTCCTCGCCCCAGGCAGCAGGACTTGCAGTGAATATTGGTTTTGAAATTGTTTGGCCAAGGGTCCCCCCATCACTTTTGGAGATGAAGTGTTTAAGGATAGAGTTGTTTGGGCTCAGGATGCAGCAAATGTTTCCAGAATGTTTTCCCGTCCAAAATGCTTTTCCTTTCCCTAAATTGCCTGGCTAAAGGGCCAGTAACAGTGGTCCAAGAGGTTGTCAGAAATCTCCACTTAGCTTTCATGGACTGGTGAGGTGGGACTGCCAGTCCCCAGGTCCTAGATGCACCACGGAGTATTGACACTGTATAGGCCCTGGACACTGACCCCCACATCCTTGAGGTTGGGAGGCAGGGTGTTCTGGCTCTAACCTAGTGTTCCTCTTAACAGGAAGGCAGTTGTCTTATGCTCATGACACAGGTAAGAGGCTTCTAGTCCAAATTCTTCATGGCACATGCAGCAGGCTTTTTGGGACCTCACAGTTCTCCCTTTAGGTTCTCTGATGGGGAGAACAGGTCAGAGTTGGGGAGCAGGATACCCCTGGCTTGCCCTGTCCTCCAGATAGGACCCTTACCATGTGGCTCAAAAGCTTACAATTGTAGGTCTGCTCAAAGCTCCTTTCAGACAGCCCATAGGAATCTAGAATACCCATACCCTGGAACTTGTAGGCCTGTACACTTCAGCCCACTGGAGATGGGGTACACCTTCTGGAGTCAGACAGCCTAGGTTTGAATCCTGGCTGTGCAGTTACCAACTGTCATAATGGCTCTATACCTCAGTTCCTTCTGTTACAAGGAGCACTTTCTGCAAATGGGATTAATAACAGTACCTATCTCATAGTGGATGTATAGAATAAGTGATTACCTAAAAAAGACTAAGCCCAAAGCAGGCATGTGATAAGCACGTGATTAGTATTAGTCATCCTTATTATACCTGGGGAGGGTCCCCGATGCAGCTTGGACCTTTGATCTCTCACCTTTAGGCTAGGCCAGAGAGCCAGCTCGCTTCTCTGCAGAAGGGATCAGAAGGATCCTGCAGGTGCCAATAGGCAGCCGATATGGGAGCGAGTAGACGGAGCTCTGCCCTCTCTGGGGCAAAGAGTAGGGTGAGAAGGTTCTGAAGAACAAAGTAGACAGAGCCTTTTCATTCTCCCACCATCCCCTTGGTACGTCCCCAGAACTGGTCTGGAGGGTGGGTGTGGCAGCGTCTTCAAGGGGAGCTGAGTCCCCTCTGGGACACTTGAAGTTGCAGACAGGCAATGGCTGGTGTTGCAGGAGGGTTCAGGCTCCTCTAGACTTGGAGAAGCAGGTCCAGGAAGCCGACTGGAGGATCCCAGGCAGCAGCCCTCTACTCTGTATACAAAATCATTTTTGTAACTGCAATTACTGTCCCTGAGAAGGCATTAAAGTTAATGAGAGATAGGAAAGAGTGGGGCTGTGACCCCGGTTTAAAGCGGTTTAAGAGTGTGCAGCTCTTGTTTTCTGAATGTCTGGCCTTCCCAACACAAGGAGGCTCTGAGGACAGGTTTTCCAGCCGAAATATCATTAAATTGTATTAGCATCTTATTACACACACGCCTTAGCGGTCTGCCTCAGACAGGGAGAGTTTTTGTTTCTCTTTGAAAGATTGTGTCTGGAATGGTAAATTGCCTGCTTGAAAGCCCTTTTTTCCCCTTTTTTTAAAGAAGAGGACGAAATCCTGCTGTGTGGTGGCAGGCAGGCCAGGCCTAGTGGCCCCTGGAGAGGAGAGGCTGGAGGCCAGGTTGGGGTGTTTTAACTGCCCAGGGAGTGGCTGCAGTGGCAGGCCTGAAAGGCCCACTGTTCCCAGGGTCAGCTGGAAGGGCGTTAATGGAGGCCCAGGGTGTTTATTTGAGTTTATTTGCAGAGAGGTCTTTAAAGGGGGCTGGCATTGGGCATTGGTGTTTTAAGTCCAGACCTGAGGCCCTCACTAAGGCCAACCACTAGTGCTGCCAAGAAAACATCTGCCACCAAATTGCTGCCCTATTACTGAGTTGACATTGATCATTAGCCAGGAGCCCAACCAAATAAAGCCTCCTGGAAAATGTGTGAGGTTAAGACGGGGAAGGCAGGCTGTGAAAACAAGGGCGAAATCTTGGGCCAGGGTGTTTGTTCCTGCAAGCCACAGGCAGGCCAGCTGGACTGTGTGGTCCCGACACTTCTTGGGGGAGGGAGCGAGAGCACACTCAGCACTCCCTAGTATGTCACTGGGGTTCTGGCTGGAGTCTAAATGGAATGCTCCTTACTCTTCATGGAATATACATTCCCAAGGAGAACGACATGCAACAAGTAGCTCAACAAGCACAGCTGGGATGGGTATTCCGTGGACACTGGGTGGTGAATTTCTTCAGATAGTGTGATGAGCATAGACTGACATGGGCCACACTGAAGCTTAAACCTGAAGGTTGAAAAGTCAGACATGCATAGACCACATAGAAGAATATTCCAAACAGAGTGGAGTACAGCGTGTGCACAGGGCTCGAAGTATGGAATATTTGGCTTGTTCAAAGGAATGAAAGGAGCCCAGCATGGCTAGAAGGTGGTGAGGAAGGGGATAGTGGTCAGTATGAAGCTGTCCAGGTGGCAGGGGCCAGATTGTGTAGGGTCTTGTGGTCAGGAGCTTAGGCTTTGTCTTTTGATCTATGAAGCCTTTGAAAGATTTTCTTAGGGGCATGATATGATCTGATTTATGCCTTTTAAAATTTTTATTTTGTTCTAATTTTTTTTAGAGATGGGGTCTTGCTGTGTTGCCCGGGCTTGCCTTGAACTCCTGGGCCCAAGTGATCCTCCTGCCTCTACCTCCCAAGTAGCTGGAACTACAGGTGCATATCACCATGTCCAGCTTCTGATTTATACCTTTTTTTTTTTGAGACAGAGTCCCACTCTGTTGTCCAGGCTGGAGGGCAATGGCACAATCTCGGCTCACTGCAACCTCTGTCTCCCAGGTTCAAGCAATTCTCTTGCCTCAGCCTCCAGAGTAGCTGAGATTACAGGCTTCCGCCACTAAGCCTGGCTAATTTTTGTATTTTTAGTAGAGACGGGGTTTCACCACATTAGCCAGGCTGGTCTCGAATTCCTGACCTCTCAAGTGATCCACCCACTTTGGTCTCCCAAAGTGCTGGGAATATAAGGATGAGCCACCGTGCCTGGCTTTTTTTTTTTTTTTTTTTTTTTTTTTTTTGAGACAGGGTGTCACTCTGTCACCCAGGCTGGAGTGCAGTAGCATAATCACAGCTCACTGCAACCTCAACCTCCTGGCCTCCCACTTCAGCCCCTTCAGCAGCTGGGACCACAGGCACACGCCACCATGCCCAGCTAACTTTTGTATTTTTCATAGAGTCGGGGATTTGCCATGTTGCCCAGACTGATCTTGAACTCCTAAGCTCAAGTGAGCCACCTGCTTTGGCCTCCATAAGTGCTGGGATTACAGGTGTGAGTCACCGCACCCCGACTGATTTATGCTTTTTAAACATCACTCTGGCAGCTGTGTGGAGCCTGGACATGGGTGAATTGATACTGGAAGCTGGGAGATGAACAAGTGGTTCAGGCAAGAGATGAGATTGGCTTGGACCAGTGTGGTGATAGTAGGAAGAAAGTGGGTGTGTTCTGGAGGCAAAGCCTAGTGGACTTGGTGGGGCCGAGGATACAGAGAGGCTGTGGGCTTTTGCTTCATTGAGGGGACTCTACGACACCCACACTTTGAAGGAGAGCTTCCTACCTGTGTCTCCATGCTGGGGGTTGCATGAGAGGTGCCAATAGACTAGTGCAAATGGCAGGAAAATGAGATCTTTTCTTTCCTAAAGTCTCCTTTATAGGTAGGATTTCGGGAGCACTTTCTGTCCTCGAAAGCAAGTGCCTTGTGACACTGAAATCTTCTCCCACAGCAGACCTTGCTTTGGGGGAGATGGGGGAAGCCAGTGGAAAGGAAAAACCAGAGGCCAAGATCACATCTAAGCACCTCCACCCCCCAAGTGTGTTTGCAGTCCTGGATTTCAGCTTTGGGAAAGGAGTCCTCCCTGTCCCTCTTGCTGAGGTTGCGAGGAGGGTGATCCATGGGGCAAAAAGCTGACATAGTGCGGTCCCAGGCCTCATTAGCCACTGTGACAGTGGGAGCTCGCTGGAGCAAGGAGGCCTTTGGAAGACTTGGTTTAAAGGAAAGAAGCTGCACTCACAAAACAGTGGCTTCCTTCTCAAGCCTAGTTGTTATAACAATTAAGCCACCACAAAATCTGCTCCCTTAATAATAGCCTCCCATGGGACAGCCCTGACCCAGAATAATCCCTAGGCACTCTGGGGTGTTTTGTGGAGGACAGGGTTAGATGGGGAATTGGCTTGGTGCGGGGTGTAGGTCTGCATGCTGTCACCTGTTGGTCTCTGGGCAGTCAAGGAGTCCTTTCGAGGGCACCTTCCTTACTGTATAGGGTCACTGCCTCTTTTTTAGGAGCCCCTCCTCCAGGACTTTCCGACCTGGTCCAAGGCTGCCATGGTATTACTATCTGGCACCCATATGGATCTCTAGCCACTGTGCTGAGGGCTTTACACTGTTCTTATTTATTCTCACCAGCTGATTCTGGCCCACAGATGTGTTTAGTTTGGCCCTTTCAAAGTGTTGTAAAAATTCTGACTCAGTTGCCAACATTTTAAATTAAGGACATTTATGTAAAAAGCCAGTTCCAGTTTATCTCCTCTGGGAGGTATGTCTTTCCCAAGGTCCCTGGTCTATGAGGAGAGGAGCTAGGATTTGAACCCATCAACAACTTCTGCTTTTAATACTGTGGGAGATGCTGGCTCGGAAGTACCTTCTTTGCAGGAAATGAAGAGAAATGGAATTCGCTTACAGGATTGCAAAAGAAAATGGGTGGGTGCACTTTTAGCACCTCCCCCCCACTCCACCCACCGATGTCAGGACAAAGCTGGGTTGCGCTGGGCTGGGCTGAGCTGAGGAAGACGTAGGCTAGAATCAGGAGTCAGGATTCTGTCAGTCAGCCTTTGTCACACTCTCTCTTTTTTTTTTTTTTTTTTTTTTTTTTTTGAGATAAGGTCTTACTCTGTCGCCAAGGCTGGCGTGCAGTGGCACGATCATGGCTCACTGCAGCCTTGACCTCCCTGACTCAAGCTATCCTCTCACCTCAGCCTCCTGCATAGCTAGGACCTCAGGCATGTGCCACTACAACTGGCTAATTTTTAAATTTTTTGTAGAGATGAGTCCCCCTACGTTCCCCAGGCTGGTCTCGATCTCTTGGGCTCAAGAAATCCTCCAGCCCCGGCCTCCCAAAGTGCTGGGATTACAGGTGTCGCACCCTTGACACGCAGACTCTGGAAGGCAGTGAGGGTGGCAGCTGTGGGTTGCTGAGCTGTTTGTACTCTGCTGCGCAGAGACGGAGAAGTCAGAAGGTCAAGAGCACGGTCTCCTGAATCAAATACAGTCACTGACATCTTGGGCAGGTCACTTAACCTCTGAGCTTCAGTTTCCTCCTCTGCAAAAGGGAAGCAGCCATGATATATGCCTATAACAAAGGGCTGCTCTAGGGACTCGTTGAGGTCCCTGTGGACCCTGTGGAACCCCCTCCCGCTACTGTGAGCGCTTAGCAGTCTTAGCCATCCTTGTTCCTGCGTTTGTGCTGCTTGCACCACCAGTGTCCCTTGGAACCTCAGCCTCTGGAGGGCACTTTACCGGCATCTTTGAAGCTGGGCGGCAGGCAGCCTCAATGAGCCTTCCTGCCATCCTGGTCCTGCTGGTGGTGGGCACTGGGGTAGAGAGAAGCTCCCGGCTAAGATCAAGTCCAAGGCAGGAGGGCCATCCTGGTCAGCTGAGAGATCTGGGTGTTCACACCCACCTTAGAGAGCAGATGCTCACTAGTCTCTGCAGGGCTGCAGTAAGATGGTGGCATCCCAGGGCTCAGCAGGAATGGACTGGGGTTGGGGGCAGCTGGAGTTAGGTGCAGATGGGCTGGGCAGTGGGGCTTTCTCTCTACTGACACAGACTCCCTCCCTATCCTTTGCTGTGGGGAGTCAGTCAGGGAACACAGGGGAGCGTGCTCTGAACCCTGAGCCCCCAATGTGTTCCCACATTAGGACTCAGCCACAGGCGAGCTGTAAGACCCAGAGCAGGTTAACGCATCACCTGCTGTGCTCCCCTCCAAGGGGATGAGAGCAGGCTCTGCCACCTGGGACTCGTGAGGATTATAGGAAACAGTGGTGGGAAAACACTTTCAGCAGCCAGGAGCTGATGGAGGGTAAAAAGGCAGCTCAGCATGCGCCTGGGGATCAGACCTCATGGATTCAGTCCCATCTCAGCCACTTACTAGCAGGACAAGGTGCTGGCCTCACTTGTAAATGGAGCTCACAGCTCACCTGGTTAGGAACAGGAGATGATGTGGATAAAGGAAGACTCCGCGTGAGCTCAGTATGAGGCCCCTATGTGAGAGTTGTCCTTAATACCTTGAAGTTAGATGTTGCAGTTGAGGTAGAGTTTATTTGTACGTTTATCTGGGAAGGATGGTGGGGAGTAGGAGGGCAGGGTAGCCCAGCCCAGGACCAGTCACCCTGGGCCTGATGTGTCTCAGGGACCCAGCCTGGAGTGTCCCCCGCCTCTCCCCCGCTTCTGTACACTGCTGACCACCACTCGCAGGACTAGGCCCTCAGTGTTTTCTGTGCTGGCTTGTCCCTAACTTCCGACAGCATGGTCCTCCTGGAAGAATCAGTCTTGTTTGCTGTCCTCTACCCACCTACCTCCCTAGAGGACTTGTGGCTCAGGAGGCCTTTGCAGTGGTGGGCCTGAGTGTCCTTGGGTGGCAGCTGGGACTGGGCAGGTCATGGTCACTATTCAGTTTGGGCTTGCTGATGCCCCCATGTCCTCTCCCTCTACAACAGCTTTGGTTAGACCCTTGCTCAACCAAGGGCTCTGGGCTCAGGAGGTGGGAGATGCAGCCTTTTAGAATCCCAGGGCCTCTGTGGGTGGGTGGGAGAGGGTGGTGCTGGCAGAGAAGAAGGCTAGGACAGGGCTTTATTCTTATCTTTCTGCAGTGTCATAAGTGTGGGGAGGTTGGTTATGGGGTGATTTTCTGAGAGGTTGAGGATTTCCCAAGCCATCCGTGAGTATAATGGGCTTGCCTTTTGTTGCAGATGGAAGAGAAGAGGCGAAAATACTCCATCAGCAGTGACAACTCTGACACCACTGACAGTAAGGCCTTCCAGTTTGGGCTCCTACAGGGAAAGCATTTGAACAGTGATCAGGCCCACAGGCCCAGATGGGAGGAGGCTGCCCTGTGGTCTTAATTTCACTAAGAGGCATGTTGATGAAAGCATAAATCAAGTCAGGTTTCTCCACTCCTGCCCTTCCACTTCTAAAAAAGTCCCTGCACCTTCCGTGACCTCCAGGGCCTTGTTCTCCCAGCTGTACTCCCCCTTATCCTCTAGGTCCCAGCTCCATTTGTTTTGCTCTGGTTGGAACAGATCGGCTCCACTCTGGGCTTCTGCATATATTAAGTGAAGGTCCATATAGAAAGTCTGTATACAACAGATACAAAACCAGTCACCTTTTACCATAATTACCGGATAAGTACCATTTCCCAATCAGTGGTAAGCTCCTTGATAAGAGGTCTCTTGTCTTGCTTACCACTATATCCCCAGCTACGATCTGGCACATAGTAGATGCTCAGTGAATGTCTGCTGAACAAATCAATGAAGATACCCAACCTTCATAGAATCTTGGCAATAGAATCCCAGAGGTAGACTTGTGTATGGATTGGCATGTCAATTGGACGTGATGGTTGCGGGGAGGGGTGCGTGGATTGCACTATCAAGCAGCAGAAGAAGTTTAGGGAGCCCCCCTGAAATTTGGAGAAGAGAAGGGAGGTTTATGCAAAGTGAGGGCTCTGGTACTAGGTCATAAGGCAGCTCTTCTCGGGTGCCCAGAAAGCCAGGCCTGCCTGTGCTTGTTGGAGTAAGGAGTTCCATCTGCTGTGGGTAGGAGAGTTGTGCTGCCAGGAAGATCTCACCTAGCAATGATTGCCCTGCTGGAGGCCCAGGCTAAGGAAGAGGCTGCCCTGCCAAGGAGGCCGGGCTTGGAGCTGTGCAACTCTAGACCTGTTTCTTCACACTTATGAGCAAGTAAGATTAGGGGGCTTGCCAAGGCCCCTCCTAGCTCCCAGAGTTCCACAGCCCCCACAAAAGCCTAAGGGTAGATCCACTAGGATGGCCAAGGAGGTCTCAGCCCCATCCCTACCTCCAAGTCTCATTTGTTGTCCTTTGGGCTCTGTTTGCTCAGTTTGGCTCTGGCGTCCCACCTGGCCAGCCCTTCTTCCCTACAGCAGGAGATCACAGCATCTGGCCTTTTGTGGCTACAACATGCTGCCTGTGGCCTGGCTCAGTGGAACCAAAAACCACATCCTCCATTTCTAACTTTATTGCAGGCAGAGGAGCCCTTTGAGAGAGCCAGGTACCTGCAAGGCTCCCCACCAGCCCCCTCCACTGTGCCCACCCATGGCTGCTACTCCTATTCAGCCAAAACCATAGTGTTGCCCTATTTCTTGCTGCTCCTTTGATTCATAAGGGCGGAGGCCACAGCACTGTCATCCAGCAAGGGCCTTAGACCCTAATAATTATAGCTAATGTTTATTGAGGAATCACTCTGTGCCAGGGACTGTGCTGAGACTTTACAGGCATGATATCACTTATTCCTCACCACAGCCCTTTGAAGATAGTTATTCTTTTGCCCCCATTTTACAGAAGAACAAACTAAGGCTCAGCAAGATTGAGTCATTTGCCTGGGGTGACAAGCTAGTAAGTGGCTGGGTCAGGGCTCTGCTGATGACCTGGATCTGCTTCAGAGCATCTCTCTTCCCATTGCCCTGCTCTGCCTCTGAATACCCACTGGCATCATCCCAGAGTATTTGGACAGTACCTAACCTGGGGCAGGGTGGAGTGTGGGCATGAAAGGCTTATTCCAGCTGTCTTTGAGCAGAGTCCCACAGAGGGCCAAGGACTTGTCTGGGGTCACACATTAAACTAATACTGAGCCCCAGTAACAGCCTTTGATTTCTCCAGCCTTCTGGTTGGCGAGTAGAGGAGGCTTCATGTCCCCATTCATCAGTGGGGAGACTGAGGCCCAGAGCAGGGATACTAGGTCTCACAGAGGTTTCTCCCTCATGAACATTCTAGCCGGGGCTTTGCTTAGAAGCTTCCTATTCTTGGGCATGAGTGGGTGGTGCTCCTGGCCCTCCAGGACCCCTAATGGACTGTTCTCTCTCTGCAGGTCATGCGACATCTACATCCGCATCAAGATGCTCCAAACTGCCCAGCAGCACCAAGTCGGGCTGGCCCCGACAGAACGAAAAGAAGCCCTCCGAGGTGGGTAGTGATGAGCTTCCCAGAGATCTGTGGGGAGTGAGAGTGAGCTGCCCTGCGGAGACTGGGGCAGAGCATTCCTGGCAGAGGGCACGGGCAGTGCAGAGGGAGGCCAGCGTGGCCGAGTGGAATGAAGGGGAGTAGGGGCCAGTTTCCCTCAGCCTTCCAGGTTGTTGTGAAGATGTTCCTATTGAACTGAGCAAGGGGAGAAGCCTTTCAAGGATCTCAGACAGGGTAATGACACAGCCTGATGTTTTAGTGAAAGTTCCCCCTGGCCGCTGTGAGAGAAGGGAGAGTTGCAGTCATCCAGCAGGGAAATAGTGGTGGCTTAGAGCTGGGTGGTAGCAGTGGAATGAGAAGCAGCAGGGTTTGTGACATTTTGGAGGCCGAGCCAAGAGTGATAAGGATTTGCTGGTGCAGGGATAAGGGGTGGAGTCCTCAGAGCCATCCAATTAGTCATAGGTTCCTTATACCCATTTCACAGGCATCTGCATTTGAAGCCTTCCTTACTTTGACCTGGGATGTTTCTTACAGCAGGTAGAGGTTTATGGCCTCTGGAACTGAGAAGCGCACTGGGGGTGGGTAGACTCCTGGACACCTGGACCCTCCTTCTGGGGTCCCTGAAAACTCCCACCCTAGGGCCTTATTGCTCCTTCTTGTAGGTCTTCAGTGCTAATGCCACAAGGTATTCATTGCACTGACCACAGAAGAAGCCTTTGGCACAGATGGGGCTGCAGAAGCTTGGAGAGATGGAGAGATGGAGGGTCTTAATCCTGGCTCTTTTTTTTTTTTTGGAGACTGAGGTTCTCTCTGTTCCCCAGGCTGGAGTGCAGTGGCATGATCTCGGCTCACTTCAACCTCTGCCTCCTGGGTTCAAATGCCTCTCCTGCCTCAGCTTCCCGAGTAGCTGGGATTACAGGTGCACACAGCACACCCAGCTAATTTTTGTATTTTTATTTTTATTTTATTTATTTATTTATTTATTTATTTATTTATTTTGAGATGGAGTCTTGCTTTGTTGCCCAGGCTGGAGTGCAGTGGCGTGATCTCGGCTCACTGCAAGCTCCGCCTCTTGGGTTCACGCCATTCTCCTGCCTCAGCCTCCCGAGTGGCTGGGACTACAGGCGCCCGCCACCACACCCGGCTAATTTTTTGTATTTTTTTAGTAGAGACGGGGTTTCACCGTGTTAGCCAGGATGGTCTCGACCTCCTGACCTTGTGATCCGCCCGCCTTGGCCTCCCAAAGTGCTGGGATTACAGGCATGAGCCACCGCGCCCGGCCTAATTTTTGTATTTTTAGTAGAGATGGGGTTTCACCATGTTGGCCAGGCTGGTCTTGAACTCCTGACCTCAGGTGATCCACCTGCCTCGGCCTCCCAAAGTGTTGGGATTACAGGCGTGAGCCACCGCGCCCGGCCAATCCTGGCTCTTAAGTAGGACACTGTACTACAGCCAAGAAGTAGCCAGGCACTGGGGCTGGACACTCCTTTTTAATCATTAAAACTAGCCCAGAATTTCTCAGTCCTGTTGAAAATAAGGAAAGTGAGGATCGCAAGGTCATTTAGCCAAGACCTTAAATCCTTGGGGCTCACAATGCCAAGGGCAGAAAGGCCCAGAGTTTGGTGGCGGGGCCCTCGTCATGGGTTGGAGAGGATGTCTTTGCTCCATGCTGGCCCCTCCTCTATGCTACCTCACCACAGATGCAGTCCTGGCTCCACTGTCTTTAGCCAGCCCTTGGAGGGGGGCTTCTGCAGAGGCTTGCATCTGAAAAAGGACTCCGCCTTGCCTCCTCCAGGAGCTGCCCTCCTCTAGGACTCTCCCCTGGGGAGGTGGGGCTGGGATTCTTTGAGACCTGATGCCCCATCCCCCAAGCCTGACTTCCATGGCCCCATGGTGGGTAGGGTATAGACAGTGTTTTCTCTGGGAATGCTGTTAAGAGAGGGGAATGCAGTGCTGGAGGTGAGGTGGAGGTGGGGGTGGGACAGTGTTGAAGCTCTCACTGCCCTCCTGGGGTAGCCCTGCTTGGTAGGGGGATGGGATGTGCTTAAGCGCAGCCAAGGAAGCAAAAGGCAGGTGGGGCCTTGGGGAGCCCTGCTGGCTCTTGGTTGTTTGGGACCTTCCCCACCCTCGGTCTTTTTTTTTTCCTTTTTACTTTTGAGACAAGGTCTCCCTCTGTCACTCAGGATGGAGTGCAGTGGTGCAATCATGGCTCACTGCAGCCTCAAACTTTCAGGCTCAAGTGATCCTCCCATCTCAGCTTCCCGAGTAGCTAGAACTACAGGTGCACACCACTATGCCTGGCTAATTTTTTTTTTTGTCTTTTTTTTTTTTTCAGTAGAGACAAGGTCTCACTGTGTTGCTCAGGCTTGTCTCAAACTCCTGAGCTCAGGCGATCCTCCCACCTTGGCCTCCCAAAGTGTCAGGATTACAGGCATGAGCTACTGCGCCTAGCCTCACCCCAGTCTTGAGAACTACAGGGACTCCCCAGTTGCTGTGGTTGAAGTAGTAAAACAGTAGCTACCTTTATGTGCCTTCCTGGTCCTGGAAGGCAAGAATTGTCGTGCCCATTTCAGACATGAAGAACCTGTCTTTCGAGAATCCCACCTATCTCCTGTTTGTTGTAGCTGTTCAAGTTGAAGTGGGATGGGGAGTTTTGGGGAGTTCCTAGGGTTGGCTTATCTCCTTGACTCCAGGGGGAACTTAAGCCAGTCTCCTGCCCTTGCTCTGCTTCCTCCAATCTCCAGTGGGAGGATGGGCCACCTCCCAGGCGCAAGGCTGCCATCTGCACCAAGGATCAGGCCTGCCTGGGAGGAAACAGGTGTCAGCGGAGGCTGAGAAGAAAGAGCAATTTGCATGGGGCAGAAAATTCCCCTGCCTCTTGGGTTTTCCAGCCCAGAGCCTTTGTACCTTTCCACACCTAAAAATAGTCAAACCCATTGTACAAGTATCGATGCCCAACCCTGCTGGGGACTAGCTCCACGTGGCCCTGGGTCCAAGCCCAGGAGCCTCCGCAGGCTCTGAGGTCTGCCTGGGAGACACCTCCCCACCTCAAGTCCTGGGCTCTAGAAGGGCCAATGAAGTCCTCCCCGCCCAGAACCCTTGAACTGTTGCCCAGCACAAGCTTTTCCTCCCACAGTAGGCTGGAGAGCAGCCTGAGAGGTTTTCCTAGTCCTCTAAGTGACAAGGTTGAGCCGTGGCCGGCATAAATTCCAACTTATCTTGGGGCAGAGAGGAAACCATCAATGAACGCTTCCAAGTTATTTGGCTCATGAGAGGGCAGAGATGAAAGCGAGGATTTGGCGGCAGAGAATGTTTGCACTAAATCTCACGGACTGCTCTCTTCTCTTTCTGTGAATGGCTTGGGCGGGGCCTTTATGGTCTGCTGAGCCTGGGCCTTGGATACCCTGGTGAAAGGGGTTCTGGGAGCCCCATCTACTCAATCCCCTGGAGTATGAAGCCTATGGGGTGGCTGTCAGGCTGGTCATGTGGTTTGCTTAGTGTGGCAGGAGTCCCCAGTGGGAACACTTACGGAGTGATGTGTGTGCTGTGGAAAGCCCCTCCTTGGTGGCTGCAGAGCCATGGAACTCGTGGTTCACTTGTCTCCTCATCTCTAAATGTGGGCAATGATGGGGTGGGGGACACAGTGAATCCAACAGCTATGAAAGGGCTGGGGTTGGGTTTGGGTGGGATAGGCAGGGATGCCCTTTGATGACCTCTCAGGGGCTGCCCTTTCCCAGTGCACCCTAAGGGCGCAAGCCAAGGGGCACTCTACAGCAAGTGAGGTGCCTCAGGGCTGAAGAAAGCACTTGACCAGGAGTCAGGACCCTGGACAGGGCTAAGGCCTGGAGGCCCAGCTTCCCATCTGGCCCTTGCCCAATGGCTGGCCCTTCCCTCAGCCAGAGTGAAGGGGGAGTGAGTGCGGGCCTCCGAGCTGAGAGCTGAAGGCATGGGCCCTGGGATTCTTGGGAGGCTGGGCTAGGATTTTTGGTGGAAGTGCGCAAAGCCTGAAGTCTGCCCTGGGAGCTCCTTAAGGCAGTAGAAGGAAAAGGTGGAGCTGCCCCTGAGAACTCAGCCTGCTGTCTTCTGCTGCCTATGGCATCCCAACAGAGCTATCTATCTTTTGGCCCTGAAGTCCTGAGCCTGGCCTAGGGAGCTAGTATAATAATTTACACAATGAGTTTCTGGCCTTGCCTGGCTCACTAAATGGTGTAGCCATTGTTAGTGCTTAACCCTTTGTGGAACACATCTCTGAGAATCTAATGGAATTTACAGAGCAGAGATTATTGTTTTAATACCACCCCACCCCAGGTATTCTGACTTACATGGTCTGGAGTAGCACCCTAGGTACCTATACCTTTTTTTTTTTTTTTTTTTTTTTGAGATGGAGTTTTGCTTTTGTTGCCCAGGCTGTAGTGCAATGGTACGATCTCAGCTCACTGCAACCTCTGCCTCCTGGGTTCAAGTGATTCTCCTGCCTCAGCCTCTAGAGTAGCTGGGATTACAGGCATGTGCCACCACGTCCAGCTAATTTTTGTATTTTTAGTAGAGACAGGGTTTCTCCACGTTGGTCAGGGTGGTCTCGAACTCCCAACCTCAGGTGATCCGCCTGCCTCGGCCCCCCAGAGTGCTGGGATTACAAGCGTGAGCCACCATGCCTGGCCTTTTTTTTTGAGATGGAGTCTCACTTGGTTCCCCAGGCTGGAGTGCAGTGGTGTGATCTCAGCTCATTGCAACCTCCACCTCCTGGGTTGAAGAGATTCTCTTGCCTCAGCCTCCCGAATAGCTGGGACTACCGGCACTTGCCACCATGCCGGGCTAATTTTTGTATTTTTAGTAGAGACGGGGTTTAGCCATGTTGGCCAGGCTGGTCTCAAACTCCTGACCTCAAGTGATCTGCCTGCCTCAGGAAGTGCTGGGATTACAGGCATGAGCCACCGCACCTGGCCAGTACCTGTACTCTTTTTTTTTTTTTGAGACGGAGTCTCACCCTGTCGCCCAGGTTGGAGTGGAGTGGTGTGATCTCGGCTCACTGCAACCTCCATCTCCTGGGTTTAGGCAATTCCCCTGCCTCAGCCTCCCAAGTAGCTAGGATTACAGGTGCACGCCACCATGCCTGGCTGATTTTTGTATTTTTAGTAGAGACAGGGTTTCACCATGTTGGTCAGGCTTGTCTTGACCTGCCCTCGTGATCCGCCCACCTCGGCCTCCCAAAGTGCTGGGATTACAGGCGTGAGCCACTGTGCCCCCTAGTACCTGTACTTTTTTAACAAGACCTGCTATTGGGATCCAGGGTTAAGAACAACTGCCATAGGCCCGGTGCGGTGGCTCATGCCTGTAATCCCAGCACTTTGGGAGGCCAAGGCAGGCAGATCACTCTAGGTCAGGAGTTCAAGACCAGCCTGGCCAACATGGTGAAACCCTGTCTCTACTAAAAAAAATTTTAAAAATTAGCTGGTCATGGTGATGCACACCTGTAATCCCAGCTACTCAGGAGGTTGAGGCAGGAGGATCACTTGAGCCCAGGAGGCGGAGGTTGCAGTGAGCCGAGATTGCACCACTGCACTCCAGCCTGAGCTACAAAGCAAGACTCTGTCTCAAAAACAAAAAAAAGCAAAAAAAGCAAAAAGACAACTGCCATAGACTTTTCCCTTCCCTTTGCCTAAAACAGGAGTTCCTGGCTTGGTTGTTCCCTGGAAGCTTCTTTGAGTATTTTTGAGGGGGTGGGGAGTGGAAGCTGTGGCTAGGTTGAAGGAGAGGGAGGGAGGCTCTCCAGCCTGGTTCAAAGATCTAAGCAACGTCAGGGAGTGTGGGTGGGGGCAGTCCACCACTCCATGTCCTTCCCACAGGGGCTGGGGAATTAACAAATTTTTGCCCCACCCCGGACTTGCCGGAGGTGTGAAGGACAGTTCTGGGAGAGACCTGGAGGCCAGCCGCATGTTTTGGAGGGCTACTGTTTGAGGTAGTGTCCTCCTCTGGCCTGGGCAGAGACACAGGCGGAAGGGCAGGCCAAGCGGTGGGGGTTTCCCCAAGCAGGCTGTCTTGAGGTAGAAAGCTGCATTTTCAGGAAGTCAGAGTCCCCAGAAGTCAGCCAGTGGGCAGAGGCCTGGGTCTCTGGACCGGGAGCTGCTGATGCTGATCAAAATCAGCAAGTGCTTAAGAGTACCTAGTGGGCCTAGCTCAGTGCTGGGGACAGAAAGCACAGGCCCTGTCCCTGGGGAGCTTGTCCTTTGTCAGCAGGATGCAGGTGCTACACAGGAAGGTGTCTGTTATGGGAGGTGCAGCCTGGCTTTGCCAAAACACCCAGGCTTTGCCCGAGGACATCTGTGACCCCAGGCGAGTGAGCCTCAGAGCCCTTATCATAGAGTTCTGCCCTGGGTCCTCCCAGGGAGTTGATGATCTGTAGATGTGACTCCTTCCCGAGACTCATGGAGCCCTGGGGGGTGAAGGGAACCCCAGAGGTGAGTGGGGCAGGAGGTGGGGAGTGTCGGGTAAAGCAGGCCACCCTGAGCTGGAAGCCTGGATGGTGGGAGTGGGGATTCAGCTGTCAGCTCCTCTATAGGCTGTGGTGACAAATTAGTACATCCCTAGTTGCATGTACCACTGAGGCCCTTCACCAATGTGTAGCACTTAGTCCCTGGGGAAGGGGCCTGAGAGAAGCCTCTGCTGCCAGCAAGAGGGTGTCCCCCAGACCCAGTGTCCTTGAAAGTCCCTCTATATGGAGTGCCACCCCCCACTCCCCCAAAAAACACAGCGAGTGGAGATGCAGCTTCTTAGCTCAACCCATGCTTTTAAAAATGGAATCCTCCTTCTACCCTGGGTGAAGGGTAAAGACAGGGGTGGCCAGATTGTGTTGGGGCTCCAAACCACAGGATAAATAAGATGCCTTCTGAGGAGCAGAGGTGTTATCCAGATGTTTGAAATGCCATTTTATAGTAGAACAATGAAGGCGTATGGTACAGTAAAATGCAAAATGCCCATAATTTGATAGATAAAACAGGAGAATCCAAAAAAAGGTTTTGTGCTTGCCCTTGTGGTTTTGAGCCAAGTTTCCAGCCCACCAGCAGTTCCTTTGCTACCCTGTGAGGCAGGCGGGTTGGGGCGAGCCCTTCCGCTAGGCTAAGTGCCTGCTTTCTGAGACTCACACTGCCTTTCTCTGGGGTGGGGGGCAGGATCCACTTCTATAGTTGGAAACGTTGCTGCTCCGCCAGCTGGAAGGGCCTCCTGGCCTCTGGGACTTGTCTTGCAAAAGAAATGTGTGTAATAAATTCTCTTTAAGAGCAGGAAGTGCTGTTATCCTCATGAAAATAAAAGAAAGAGACGTTGAGTGGGGTTTTTTTTTTTTTAAGTGTCTTACGAACTTAGCCTAGTGGTAGCTTGCAACACAACTGGGCAGGGGGTAGCTATTCTCATAGCCCTTCTTTCGTGTTTTATACTGAATTTTAACTGCATAAGTTTGCTCTTGGCTGGGAAACTCTTTATCAGGTTCCGGCCCAGAAAAGATTTTTTAAAAGAAGAGCCCTCTGTGTCTTGCAAGCAGTATTGCTGTGGTTAAAGGACAGTGGGGACCTCACACAAGTGGTTTCACCTTTCTGAATCTCAGTCTCCACATCTGTAAAATGGGGGTAATATGAATTAGGAGCCACGATATATGTAAAACTTTAACATAATACCTGACATGCCTTAACAGGGCAATTACCTTTCTCTGTTAGCTGTCATTTCTAATGAGATGAGGTGCTCAGAAAACAATTGTGATGAGGTTGGCTCTTTAAGTACAGACCTTCAAACTTTCCTTGAGGGGTGAGGAAGAAGGCACCACTTCCAGCTCTACGTTGGGACTTTTGGTGTAGACAGATGTCCAGGAGAGATTGTCCTGGCCAAAGCCATTTTAATTGGCTTTGGGACAGTGACCAAGACCAGTTTCTCAGTTTCACCTGGAAGAATCCTGCCAGCCTCCTGCCTCTTCTCTCCCTGCTAAGACAGGGCAGGAAAGTTTAGTCATACTTCATACAAATCCTGGGATTCATTCATTCATTCATTCACTGACTCTTTACACAAGCATTTCGTTTTTTGTTTTTTTGTTTGTTTGTTTGTTTGTTTGTTTGTTTTGAGACAGGGTCTCCCTCTGTCACCCAGGCTGGAGTGCAGTGGCATGATCTCAGCTCACTGCAGCCTCTACCTCCTGGGCTCAGGCAGTCCTCCCGCTTGAGCCCCCCAGGTAGTTGGGACTACAGGCAAGCCACCATAACTGGCTAATTTTTGTTCCACAAGCATTTCTTGAGTACCTGCTGTGTGTCAAACACTGTGCCAAAAGCAGGCACAGTGATAAACAGGACATATGCAGTCCCTGTCTTCTTGCAGCTTGACTATTAGAAGAGATGGACATTAAAAATATAATTGCACAAATAGGCTGGGCGTGGTGGCTCACACCTGTAATCCCAGCACTTTGGGAGGCTGAGGTGGGTGGATCACTTGAGGTCAGGAGTTCGATACCAGCCTGGCCAAGATGGTGAAATCCTGTCTCTACTAAAAACATAAAAATTAGCTGGGCGCGGTGGCCGGTGCCTGTAATCCCAGCTACTCAGGAGGCTGAGGCAGGAGAATCGCTGGAACCTGGGAGGCGGAGGTTGCAGTGAGCCGAGATCACACCACTGCACTCCAGCCTGGGTGACAGAACGAGACACCGTCTCAAAAAAAAAAAAATGTGTATATATAATTACACAAGTAATTATATTTTGTAGTGTGGTAACTGCTGGAGCTTTTCTCTTAAGTAACTAAATTTCCTCTTGGTGCCTCTTAGTTTGAAATACTCTGTGATACAGTAGTTCACCCCTTGAGAAAAGGAAGCAGAGAACCAAAGTCCCAGGATGAAGTGTTCAAATCTTAGCTACAAATCTTGAGATTGTATATTAAACCTTGTAGCCTGGTGTCTACTGGCCATGTGGTTAGTGCACAGTGAAAGTTGCCTTTTGTCACTATCTTTATTTGCTCTTGGAGGTCACTCATGCTCTGCTTTCTTGCAGAGTTCTTCCTAGGGAAATAGGTACAGAAAGCTAGACTTTTGAATGGTTGTGATCTGCAGTCTCAGAAAAAGACGTGAAGGCAAGGCCATGTGATGTGTTTCTGGAGAAGCGTCCCTACATCTGGGCAGAGCAGACTCTTTAGCCCCCTCCAGGGCTGCATTGGCACCCCTAGCACTCAGATTGGTGATTCAATTAGAGTTTGAAGCCTTTAAACATTTCTTCATACTGTTTGAAGAAGCTACAATTAACATCTCCTAAGCAGCTCAGCAGAACTTGGTTGCTAGGCAGCAGACCTTTAAAGACAATTTGTCAATTTCTGCCAAAAGAGAGAAAAATAGTAAACATTCACATTCTAAGAAAATTGCTTGTTTTCCAGCTTCCAACTTTCTTGCCACAGCAAGGCTTCTCGTTCATCAGTGTCCATTTTATTCTTTATTTAGTTTTCATAAATCATTCAAAGGAGTTTTAGGAGAACATTTAAGCCTTTTCCAAGCCTGCCTCCTGGAAATTCAACACAAAATGATGTTTAGGTTACAATTGGCTGCCATATTTGTGGGCAGTTTTTATATAAATGCACAGAGGCTCTTTTGGAAGGCATGGAGTACCCAGCTGTAGTCTTGGACAGCAACCAAAGAAGGAGGTGGCTGGCCCATGGAAGGATCTTGAGTCATTCAAGATTTCTCAGCACCTAGCATGTGCCAGACCCTGCTTGCACTGCTGGGCTCCAGCCCTGCGGCTCAGCCAGACCTCATTGAGCTCCCCTTCTAGTGGGGAAGACATGGCAAAAAACCAGGAGATTCTAACACAGGGGCCGTAGAACTTCAGACAAAGCCCAAAACCCAGCCTAGGATTGGGGAAGCCTTCCTAGAGCAGATGTGGGCTGGACTGAGACCTTAAGGATGAAGTGTGCCAGCTTTACTCTGGCAAGGGAGTAGTGTCCCAGGCAGCGTTCTCCCGTGTGCAAAGGGTTAAATGTGCTTGGGAGACTGCAAGTGCATCCGTGTGGTCACAGGGCCTCATTGGCTCTGCAGTTCAGTGTGGGCACAGTGGGAGGACAGTGGAGAGCGACTGGAGGCCTCGGAACTTGCAAAGACCACAGTCGGATTTGCATATTTCAACCCTTGGAGAAGTCACCTGATTTGGCATCAAGTTAACTCAAGGGCATTAGGCAGTGAGCACATGGCCAAAAGGGGCAGGAGTTGTGTTGGCCTGGGTTCATTTGCCACTTCCAGCACGCACACCTTGGGTGGGTGATTTAATTAACCCGAGTCCCAGGTTTCTCAACTGTAAAATAGGGATGATGGTAGTACTTACCTCACAGAGTGGGTGGAGGGGCTAATAATAGATTAATTCAGGAACAGCGTTTACACTGTCACTCTGCACACAGTCTCTGCAAGCATGGGCTGACACCATTAAGACAGTGCTGCCCTCCCTGTGCGTCCATGATTCCTGCCTGCTAGAGCCCGTAGTGTCCAGTCTGCCACCTGCTCCCTGCATGACCCAGGATGAAACGTGGAACTCTCTTGGAACGAGACTCTTTTGTCTTCCCACAATCTCCCTAACTGTAGTGGGAAGGGACTCTGAAGTTGACCCTGGGAGCCCTTCCTGCCCTGAGTTCTCAGTGCCAGGCCTGGTTCTGGGTCTGGACCACATCTTACCAGCTGGTGTGGTGGGACACTCTGGTCTCACCCACTCCAGCCTGGGCTGAATGCTGGTCCTTGAGCTTAAAGCCCAGCAGAACAAAGGCTGCCTGTTGCTCAGAGGCGCTTGTTCAGGTCCATGTGTTTGGGGATTTTGGCCACTGGGTATATCCATGAGGTATCTCATCCTGCTTATGGGGGTTCAGAAAGCACTGCCAGGAGCCAGCTAGGGGCCTCAGATTCATCAGAAAATTCCCCAGAGAGGCCCTCGTATGCAGTGCCAGGCACTGAGAATATAGCCGACAGCAGGACAAGGCATGGCAGGGGAGATGACAAGAAACCAGCAATGTGAGTCGACCAGGTACTTTTCAGGAGTGTAAGTGCTGGAAAGAAAATGAGGCAGGGGTGAGATGGAAAGTGGCTCAGTCAGGCAGTTGGCACTCCCTCAGTTGGTGATCAGGAAGGAATCCCTGAGGAGGCGACAGTTAAGTTACAGCCCAGGGCCGGGCGCGGTGGCTCACGCCTGTAATCCCAACACTTTAGAAGGCTGAGGCAGGCAGATCATTTGAGGTCAAGAGTTCAAGACCAACCTGGCCAACATGGTGAAACCCTGTCTTTATTAAAAATATAAAAACTAGGCCAGGTGCGGGTGGCTTACACCTGTGATCCCAGCACTTTGGGAGGCCAAGGTGGGTGGATCACTTGAGGTCAGGAGTTCGAGACCAGCCTGGCCAACATGGTGAAACCCCGTATTAAAAATACAAAAATTAGCCAGGCAAGGTGGCGGGCACCTGTAATTCCAGCTACTTGGGAGGCTGAGGCAGAAGAATCGTTTGAACCCAGGAGGCAGAGGCTGCAGTGAACCGAGATTGTGCACCTGCACTCCAGCCTGGGCAACAGAGCAAGGCTCTGTCTCAAAACAAAAAAAAAAAGTTACAGCCCAGGATGAGAGAACAGCAAAAGGTTTCTAACCCACCTATGCCTCTTTAGAGGGCACATAGTGACACTGGGCTATTGTAGGGTTGATTTCTGGGGCAGAATGATGCACTGTCCCAAGTGTGTGGTTCTCCATGGCTTCAGAGCAACAGGGCTTGGGATGATGCAGCACTTGGCTTGCTTGGGTGGGGAGAACGTTGAGGTAGTTATGAATCACTTTGGGGTCAGTTCTTCCTTGCCAGGTCCTGTGCTGGGGCCCACAGGGAAATAACCCAGCCCCAGCCCTACTGAGCTCAGGAGAGTCTCCAGAGGCCTTCGCTGGCACAGGCCCCTACTGAAGGGCCCCCTAAAAGCACGCAGTGCCTGAGTGTGCCCTTTTGCATTAACTGTCTTACTACTTGCTAATAAGATATGCAAATTATCTGGGCTGTGAAATCTTAGCCACATTCCATCTTCTGTTTAATTAGCATTTAATTGTAATCTGGTTTTAATTTTTTCACACTGGCACCCTAATTAAATGTTAGGGTGTTAGTCCTAACAATTAAATTATATTGGCAAGTAAAGTCTTCAAGAAACTTGACCTTTTTCAAGCCAGGGCTGTCTCCATCTAGATGCAGACGTTAATTAGATTCTGCAAGATGCTGCTTCCAGGCCCCTCAGTCCATCCATTCCAGTGTTCTCCTTGTGGTTTTGGACCTAGATTCAAATGAGGTGCACATAGCAGGCAGAGGTTACTGCTGAATCTGTCTGTCATGAGCCTTCAGAAGGCTGAGTGAACTGACTTAGCACCGGGCACAGCGGTGGATGCTGACTTTTCCAGGGAGGAATGTGGGGTTGGAGTTTGGTCTCAGGCCTGGAGTACTCCTTGAAGTGGTTTCTCTTGTCTCAGTGATGTGAGTTCTTCTTTAACTTGTGATTCTCAAATGACGGTGATCACTGGGAAAGTTGGTACCTGAGCAAGTCACATGGTGTCTAGAGGTGCCACCACATTCCACAATAGCGCTTTGTGGGGGGATCACGCAGTGGGATCAGGTGACTGGGGCAGGAGGCGTTGCCAGTGCCAGCCCAGGCAGAGTTTAGAGCTTGTTCTGAGGTGGAACTGGGGGTGGAGGTGGGAGCAGCAGACAAAACTCTGGCAAGAGCAATTTGCCCCAAGTGAGCAAGTGCTCAGGGTGTGACCACTCATGGCTTTGCTCTGAGGGGTTTGGATGTGCTTGATTAAGAACAAAGACAACCCTCTCCTTCCTGCCTTCCTACCCCCCCTTCCCCAACACACACAAAGCCGGTCGAGTTAGGAGAGTGTCCTTGTTCTTGAGGGACCTTGGAAGTCCCAGCTCATGTGAAGCCACTATCTAGGCTGCCCTAAGCCCCGGCCGTCCCCCAGCTGTTTGCATAAGGTTTGCATAAGGCCTTTCCTGGGGTTGGCGCCCTGTGCTGTTTTATACCTCCACTTGTGTCTGGGGGTGCAGATAGATAACATGATTGTGAACCTCAGTGGAAATGTCTTGAACAGTCACGTAATGGCAGTATTTTTTATTTTATTTTATTTTATTTATTTTGTTTTGATCTTTTGAGACAGGGACTCACTGTCACTCAGGCTGGAGTGCAGTGGTGCAATCATGGCTCACTGCAGGGTTAACCTCCTGGGCTCAAGCAATCCTTCCACCTCAACCTCCAGAGTAGCTGGGACCCCAGGCATGTGCGACCACACCCAGCTACTTTTTAAATTTTTTGTAAAAATGAGGTTTCACCATGTTGCCCAGACTTGTCTCAAAATCCTGGATTCAAGCAGTCCTCCCTCCTCAGCCTCCCACAGTGCTGGGATTACAGGTGTGAGCCACCTTGCCTGGCCCTTTTTTTTTTTTTTAATTTTTTAATTTTTAGTAGAGGCTGGATCTTCCTGTGTTGCCCAGGCTGTCTTGAACTCCTGGCCTCAAGCAGTTATCCCACCTCAGCCTCCCAAAGTGTTGGGATTACAGGCATGAGCCACCATGCCCGGCCATCAGTATTGCTTTCACATTAGCCTCTCTGTCCTCTGAGGTTTTCCTCTTTTTATTTTGATTTTTGCCTTTCTCTGCCAGTCTTTCTTTCTCTCATAGGTCCACTCCCAACTATCCCTCAAACTCTGTCCTTTAATAGGTCAGAGCAGTGTGAATTCAGTTAATCACATTTATGGAACGTCTACTATGTGCAAAACATGTGCAGAGTTCAGAGCTATGTTATTTATTGTGCTGATTGCTTTTATTTCGTCTTATTTCTAAGTGCGCAGGCAGAATGTCCACTTGAGTTGCATGTATCTGCCTCTTCCTCTGGCCTGTGGGGCAGACTGCCCTGAGGCAGTCTGAAGTCACTCTTTCCCCTCTTGCCCCTCACAGGTTTTCCGGACAGACTTGATCACAGCCATGAAGATCCCGGACTCATACCAGCTCAGCCCGGATGACTACTACATCCTGGCAGACCCATGGCGACAGGAATGGGAGAAAGGTGTGCAGGTGCCTGCCGGGGCAGAGGCCATCCCAGAGCCCGTGGTGAGGTGAGCCAGGCAGCCCAGGCTAGGGGGCCATTGGGACAGGGGAGGAAGGGGAGGCTGCTTTCCAGGTTAGGTGACCTGCCAGTCCTGGAATTCCTTTCTAGTCCATCTCTATTCTGTATTCCATTCCCTTTTCCAACAAACCATTGAAATGTTCCAGAAATACTGGTGGTTTAACTGAGAGGCTAGGGGGTTGGGCTCGGGCTTGGCTATAGAGCCAGAATGCTTGCGTTCCTGTTGACACTCATATTCAGTGTGGCCTTAGACCAGAAATGTAATCTCTCTGGGCCTCAGTTTCCTTATCTATGAAATTGGAATGCTAACAATAACTAACCTACTCATGCAGTTGTAATGTTGAGATAATGGAATGAAATGACGCATGGAAGGCACTTGGCACCAGGCCTGGCAGACAGCAAGCACTCTGTAATGTTGATCCAAACTGGGCCCAACAGCAGTTCTTTTTTCTTTCTTTTTTTATTTGTTAGAAATAGGGTCTTACTCTGTCCCCCAGGCTGGAGTGCAGTGGTGCAGTCTTGGCCCACTGAAGCCTTGACCTCCCAGGTTCAAGCAGTCCTCCCACCTCAGCCTCCCAAGTAGCTAGGACTACAGGCTCATGCCACCACGCCTAGCTAATCTTCATGTTTTGTGTAGAGATGGGGATTTGCCATGTTGCCCGGGCTGATCTTGAACTCCTGGGCTCAAGCGATCTGTCCACCGCCTTGGCTGGCCTCCGAAAGTGCTGGGATTGCAGGTAGCCAGCCGTAAGCCTCTGGGCCTGGCCTTTTTTTTTTTTTTTTTTTTTTTTCTGACAAGGTCTCACTCTGTTACCCAGGCTGGAGTGCAGTGGTGCAATCTCAGCTCACTGCAGCCTCGACCTCCCAGCCTCAAGTGATCCTCCCACCATGGGCACATGCCACCACACATGGCTAATTTTTTTGATTGTTCGTAGAGACAAGGTCTTGCTATGTTGCTCAGGCTAGTCTCTAACTCCTGGGCTCAAGCAACCCTCCTGCCTCAGCCTCCCAAAATGCTGGGATTACAGGCATGAGCCACCATGCCCAGTCCCAAAGCAGTTCTGATGAGGGAAATCTCCAGACTTTTCACTAGTCTTTAAGAGAGAGATATGGCATGCTTTTTTTTTTCTTTTATTCTTTTCTTTTTTTTTTGAGACGGAGTCTCGCTCTTTCGCCAGGCTGGAGTAGAGTGGTGCGATCTTGGCTCACTGCAACCTCCGCCTCCCGGGTTCATGCGATTCTCCTGCCTCAGCCTCCCGAATAGCTGGGATGACAGGTGCGTGCCACCACGCCTGGCTAATTTTTGTATTTTTAGTAGAGGTGGGGTTTCCCCATGTTAGCCAGGCTGGTCTCGAGCTCCTGACCTCATGATCCGCCCTCCTCGGCCTCCCAAAGTGCTGGGATTGCAGGCGTGAGCCACTGCGCCCGGCCGTAAGCCATGCTTTTGACATCTTGAACCTTTTACGGGAGTTCTTAGAGGGGGAGTCAAGTGCCTGGCATACAGCAGATGTTCAGGAAGCCATTGCTATTACCGGCCTCTGGGTAGGTTCCCCTGCCAGGGCTGGTTCAGAGATGAGTCCTCTGGGCTTTATACTCTTCTGGTCTCATGAGGCAGAGAGACCCCTGGCCGCTCTTGTCAGGAGGAGGCCACATGGCCCTGGGTCTTGCCTCCAGCTACGGAGTTCAGCCAAGTGCTTCTTTATGCAACCTGGGAAACCCTCCAAGTCATGTCTCAGGGCAGAGGGGTCTTGTGTCCTGGCCTCCCCCACCCACCAGTCTGCCTGGTCTGGGCAGCTTGGGGTTTTGGCTGTCTACTCCTGGCCTTGGCAACCTTGTGGCTCTTGCTCGATCCCATGTAGACCAGGCCTGGGGCAAAGATCACAGCTGTTACCTCCCCTGACGTTGGCACCCTCATTTCGTGGCAGCTGCATCTGATTGGATCATAGGCACAGCAGACTCGAAGCCCCAATAGGGTGATCTGTGGGGATTGGAAGGGGAGGGGTCAGGCAATCCTGTTCCAGTGACTCCTGATGGCTGAGTGTTTATTAATACTTGTCTGGGGTCTTCGGAGAATCAGGGGTGCCCCAGGCCTCTCCAGAAGTGAGAATATGCATGCCAGGTCACTGCCACACATACCAGTGCCTAGGGTGAAGGGGTGAAGGTCAGGCCACCAGGTGGGCACAGCGAGGTCAGTCTTGATTAGGCTTGGCCCAGCGGTCTGTCCTCTCTACTTGATGTCAGTGTCATTTGGTTCCGGAAACATCTCCTGGCCTGGGTAATTAATTGCAGATGTTTCCACACCAGTAGCTTGGCTTCAGTCTGCCTGTAGGGTGCTTTATCTGTTGACATCAAGAGGAGGGCACGTGTTCCGGCTGCTTTGACTTTACGAGGTGCATTCCCAGCATAGGCATGGCTGTGCTAAGCTGACGTGAGCTGGGCACTCCTGGCCTGTCCGTGATCTTTGGAGAGGATGGACTGGGGGTGGGGAAGTGCTCCCTTAGAGACATCTCCACGCCTCTTCTGTTGCTATCTCCCTCCGGCCCAGCCACTGCATCCTCCTGGCACCTCCCACTGCACAGCCCTCATCTGGAAGGCTGCCTGGTAGCTGCCCGGGTCAGAATTGTTAGAGAAACCCTGTTCTTGAGGACTTGCTATGCTGAGCCTGTGTTCATCTTTTCATTTAACAATCATATTAGCTTTACAAACTGCATGTAACTGTCCCCATTTTATAGATGAGGAAGTCGGGAAATTCTGGGGAATTCCCTGCATGGCCACCGGGGCCTAGTGGGCTGGGCCAGGAAATCAAAGGCCCCGAGAACAAGCCCTGGGCTGCCCCTGTGAGGCCCAGAGACAGAGCCCTGTGCCCCCGTCATCCCAGCATGCTGGTTCTGGCTGCCCTCCCCCAGCTGCCACCCCAGGCCCCCTCTGTCCCTCCCTCCCTGGCCTTTGGGTGGGTCTGCCCACCTCATGGTCTGAAATCTGTCTGAACAATGAGCACTTGTCTCGCCCCTCTCCAGACTGAATTGAGTGAGGGCCTGTCCTGCCCCTCACTGGGGCCAGAAGTCTCAGCCAGGGCAGAACCCACCTCTGGTGTGTGTCTGGTCTTCTAGGGTAAAGACCCCCTCCCCTCCCATAGATCCCAGCCAGCTGACGCCCTCCTCCCAGCTGACCTCCGCCGTCCTGGCTACAGCTGAGGGTGAGGCCTTGGCCTAGGGTCAGGTCAGTCCATGCCTGGTAGGAGAGCTTCCTTCAGAGCCAGAGCCAGAAGGGGGCAAACAGATGAAGAGGAGAGACCCAGGAAGGACAGCAGATACCTTCTGATTGTGAGTCCCTTCACCTTGGCTCTTCAGAAGGAGCACAGTGATCTTGATCCCAAGAGGCTTGGCCAGGTGGCCGCTGACCAGGCAAGCAGATGTGGGTAGTTATGCCAGGAAGTGGTGGGCATCCGGACACCCCCACTCAGCATGTGCTTAGGGCACAATCAAAGCTGGTTCACAACCAAATTACAGGCTGCATTTTTAAAAGAATGTGTTTGTTAAGTAACAGTTTCATGGGGAAAGGCAGAATTGTGTTGGACCGAGTGTGTTAGTATTGCTTCCATATGGAATCACCTGTTAGTGTGGGGTGTGGTCATACCCTGATAATGACCTAGAACCTTCCTTCATGTGGGCCTCTTGTGTGGGAAAAGGTGGTGCCAAGCCCCTTCCCCTTCTCCGTGCCCCCTCGACCTTATATAGGCCTTCCTCCTGGCTCGGAGGCCATTCTCTCTGCCGGGTTGGGCCCCTGCCTCCCCGTCTCCTTCATCCTTCCTGCCCTTTTTGCTGACATTGGGTGTGGTGATGGGGAAGCCCAGGAGCCCTCGCCACAGCTCTGCCATGTCTCTGTGCCATCTAAAGCCCTGCCCCTTCCTCCCTGTCAGCGCTGAGTCACAGCTTCTGGCAGCCTTGCCCCCGACCCCAGGATGCCTCTCAAGTAAGGGGCCTCCCCGCCCTGGCAGAGCTGGCCAGATGGAGGCCAGGCTCCGAAGCAATAACCATGGCAACCAGCGGGGGGTGGGAAGAGCTGGCTTTTTGAACTGGCATCAGGAACTGAGGGGCAGCACACAGCTGAGCCAAGGGGAAACCGTGCCCTCCTGAGGCAAAGTGCCCCCTATATTCCATTTCAGGAGAGGGGTAACATCCCAAGGTCTCAACACACACACACACATCACACAACACACACACACACCACACACACACCTCACACATCACACAAAACACACCCCACACATACCACATGCACACACACACACATCACACAACACATACACACACACCACACACACACCTCACACATCACACAAAACACACCCCACACATACCACATGCACACACACACACATCACACAACACATACACACACACCACACACACACCTCACACATCACACAAAACACACCCCACACATACCACATGCACACACACACACATCACACAACACATACACACCACACACACACCTCACACATCACACAAAACACACCCCACACATACCACATGCACACGCACGCACACCACACACACACCTCACACATCACACAAAACACACTCCACACATACCACATGCACACACACACATCACACAGCACATACACGCACACACCACACACACCTCACACATCACACAAAACACACCCCACACATACCACATGCACACACACACATCACACAGCACACAACACATACACACACACCACACACACACCTCACACATCACACAAAACACACCCCACACATACCACATGCACACACACACATCACACAGCACATACACACACACCACACACACACCTCACACATCACATAAAACACACACACACCACACAAACACACACACACACACAGTGATTACTGTGTGTCAGGCATTTTCCTAAGAGTTTTGCAAACTTAATCCATTTAATCCTCTCACCAACCACATAAAGTAGGTATTATTATTGTTGTTATTATGATGATGATGATGATGATTATTATTTTTTTTGTTGTTGTTGTTTTCAAGCTTTTATTTTTTTATTTTTTTTTTTATTTTTTTTTTTTTCAGACAGAACCCATGCTCTTTATTAGATTATGTTGCCTATGTTTAAAAGTGTTCAAATTCAGTCTTTTACATTGAAAATAACTTTTTTTTTTTTTTTTAATTATACTCTAAGTTTTAGGGTACATGTGCACATTGTGCAGGTTTGTTACATATGTATACATGTGCCATGCTGGCGCGCTGCACCCACTAATGTGTCATCTAGCATTAGGTATATCTCCCAATGCTATCCCTCCCCCCTCCCCCGAACCCACCACAGTCCCCAGAGTGTGATATTCCCCTTCCTGTGTCCATGTGATCTCATTGTTCAATTCCCACCTATGAGTGAGAATATGCGGTGTTTGGTTTTTTGTTCTTGCGATAGTTTACTGAGAATGATGGTTTCCAATTTCATCTATGTCCCTACAAAGGATATGAACTCATCATTTTTTATGGCTGCATAGTATTCCATGGTGTATATGTGCCACATTTTCTTAATCCAGTCTATCATTGTTGGACATTTGGGTTGGTTCCAAGTCTTTGCTATTGTGAATAGTGCCGCAATAAACATACGTGTGCATGTGTCTTTATAGCAGCATGATTTATAGTCCTTTGGGTATATACCCAGTAATGGGATGGCTGGGTCAAATGGTATTTCTAGTTCTAGATCCCTGAGGAATCGCCACACTGACTTCCACAATGGTTGAACTAGTTTACAGTCCCACCAACAGTGTAAAAGTGTTCCTATTTCTCCACATCCTCTCCAGCACCTGTTGTTTCCTGACTTTTTAATGATTGCCATTCTAACTGGTGTGAGATGATATCTCATAGTGGTTTTGATTTGCATTTCTCTGATGGCCAGTGATGATGAGCATTTCTTCATGTGTTTTTTGGCTGCATAAATGTCTTCTTTTGAGAAGTGTCTGTTCATGTCCTTCGCCCACTTTTTGATGGGGTTGTTTGTTTTTTTCTTGTAAATTTGGTTGAGTTCATTGTAGATTCTGGATATTAGCCCTTTGTCAGATGAGTAGGTTGCGAAAATTTTCTCCCATGTTGTAGGTTGCCTGTTCACTCTCATGGTAGTTTCTTTTGCTGTGCAGAAGCTCTTTAGTTTAATTAGATCCCATTTGTCAATTTTGGCTTTTGTTGCCATTGCTTTTGGTGTTTTGGACATGAAGTCCTTGCCCACGCCTATGTCCTGAATGGTAATGCCTAGGTTTTCTTCTAGGGTTTTTATGGTTTTAGGTCTAACGTTTAAATCTTTAATCCAGATGATGATGATTATTGAGACGGAGCTTCGCTCTTGTTGCCCAGGCTGGAGTGCAGTGGCACGATCTCTGCTCACCACAGCCTCCGCCTCCCGGGTTCAAGCAATTCTTCTGCCTCAGCCTCCTAAGTAGCTGGGATTACAGGCATACACCACCACGCCTGGGTAATTTTGTATTTTTAGTAGAGATGGGGTTTCCTCATGTTGGTCAGGCTGGTCTCGAACTCCTCATCACAGGTGATTCACCCGCCTTGGACTCCCAAAATGCTGGGATTACAGGCATGAGCCACCACGCCCAGCCTGGTACTATTATTATTAACCCATTTTGGGGGATGGGAACACTGGGGCCCAGAGAAGTTTAGTGGCTTCCCCAGAGTCACACAATAAGTGGTGAAGCTGGGCTTTGAGTCCACACCCTGCGGGCAGGCCTCTCCAAGCTGCCTCAGCGGCAGAGCTGTGGCCACAAAGGAAGGCTGAGCTGGGGAGGGATCCTGGGACTGCAGCAGGCACATCTTTGTATCCAAGGGATTTGGCCTCTGTCTTGGTCCTGGGGCCGGGTAACACTGTGTAGCAGGACACTCACTGCTCACATGACATTGTATCTGGGAGAAGGGCAGGGTGGCATGTGGACCTTTTGTCTGGAAAGGGTCACCCTGGGCCGCAGCCGTGTAACCAGGTAGGGCTCCTCCTGACACCAGAGGAGACGTGGCCTCAGTTCTACTCAAGTCAATGGAGTTTTCAGGCTGTTGGTAAGAAGGGGGCTTGGGCTTCTGAGAGTACGTAGACAACCCCTGCCTTGTCCGCAGCCTTGAAGGGTATGCCGAAGGACCTAGAATCCAGCTGGCACTACCTCACTTGTTGCTGGCACAGGGCATTGCCCATGATGGCACATAGGATACCTCTTACAGGCCCTAGCAGTGTTAGATCCAAACTGCTGGGCTTTAGCTAAGGCCCCGCTACCCTGATGGCAGGAAGTGGGATGAGCTCTGGGCAGGTGGATGTTTATAGGGTAAGCAAGGCTGCGGATCAGCCCTGACTCCCATCCCCCACTGTGCCCTACTGCCCTTTGGGTTTTCTGTGTACTGCCTGTTCACCCACAGTCATCTGAGTCTCTGCAGGGTGGGCAGATGGTGGAGGAGGAAGTGAAGGAGGGGGTGGAAGGAGGTGGGCCCTGTGTGGTGTCAAAGCACACTTGTCCATCAGCTCCTGAGCTGGACTGGTCAGCTCCCTGGAGCCCCTATGGCGGCAGGCTGAGGGCCCCTCCCTTCATGACATCCTGTCTTGATTTTCTAGGATCCTCCCACCACTGGAAGGCCCCCCTGCCCAGGCATCCCCGAGCAGCACCATGCTTGGTGAGGGCTCCCAGCCTGATTGGCCAGGGGGCAGCCGCTATGACTTGGACGAGATTGATGCCTACTGGCTGGAGCTCATCAACTCGGAGCTTAAGGAGATGGGTAGGTGACCACTGCATTAAGAATGGGATCACGGCTGGGCAGGGAGGGTTTTCTCCCCATCCCGAGAGGGACAGTGGCCCAGGCAGGGCTATGGTATGGCATGGATCTGGAGGGAGTCTCCATACTGCATTACTGAATGGGGACCTCACTGGTTAGTGTCTCTGTGCCACCTGAAGTTTCTGCAGCTATCAGGTGGGGGCAATAATAGCACATCAGTTACAGGGCTCTTGGGACTATAGTGGTAAGCATGAATGTTACATGAAGAGTTAGTGAGCATGCAGGGGAGGCTAGGATGGCACATGGGGCTAGGGTCAGGATGGCAAATGGGGCTGGGGTCAGGAGGTGTGGGCCACCTGGCTGGAGCCCAATAATGTGTCCCAGGAAGGGTTAACTCGACCCTATTCAGCCACACTCAGAGGTCCCCTCATACACACAGCACAAGCAGTGCCTTCTCCGTGGAGCTGGCCGCATCCCAGAGACACTTCCATGTTAATTGTACACATGTGTCCCTGTGGTCACAGGCAGGCTGTCTAAAGTCAGAACTCCAGGACAGGTCAGGGGCCTTTGAGATGGGATGGTCCAGACCATTCAGTTTTCAGAGGATGGAGCTGCTTCTCCCAGGTCCAACAGTGGGTGGGCAGAAACCCTCCCAGACATCTGCCCTGAATTCCTGCAACTCCAGGAGCCAAGTCCTCTTCAAAGCTCAAAGGAGGCTGGGCTCCTAACACCACCATGCCCTGCTGTCCTCCTCACAGAGAGGCCGGAGCTGGACGAGCTGACATTAGAGCGTGTGCTGGAGGAGCTGGAGACCCTGTGCCACCAGAATATGGCCAGGGCCATTGAGACGCAGGAGGGGCTGGGCATCGAGTACGACGAGGATGTTGTCTGCGACGTGTGTCGCTCTCCTGAGGGCGAGGATGGCAACGAGATGGTCTTCTGTGACAAGTGCAACGTCTGTGTGCATCAGGTGGGCAGACCCCCCAGTCACCCTCACCTGTGCCATGTATACACACGCTGCCTGGCAGCGACCCCCACTTGGCTCTCCAGGGGCACTGTGGACAGAAGCCCTTAAGAAGGAGGAGGAAGGGAATGGTGAGGATGCTTCATGGTACCATGTGCACCCAGGGCCCCTTGGCTTAGACTTGCTGGCCAGACTCAAGCCAGAGCCCATTGGCTTTCTGCACTGTCCCATCAGCCTCCCTCAGACCCTCTCCACCTTGTGCCCTGTCCCTGCCCCTCCTCCTCTGCTCCTCATGTCCTGAATTTACTAAAAGGCAGCCCACTGCTGTGACTGAGAGCAAAGCTGCCAGATTTCAAATCGTGGCTCTGCCCTTCACAAGCTATGTAACTTTAGGCAAGTTTTGTAACCTCTCTGGGCCTGTGTTTTCTCAGTTATGCATAAATAAGAGTGGATTGTTGCACGGATTAAATTGTTTACTGTGGGTCTTTGCTTAGAACAGTCTAGTAAGGGCTATATGTATTTGTCACCATTACTGGCTTTATGTGCCAGTGCAGCCTGGCCAGGCTCCCCTTGGTTTGGGGCCCAAGGCTCTAGGTCTTGAGTATCTCTGGGCCTTGACTGCAGACCTGACTGGGACCTAGTGGACCCACTCTGGCCCTGATTTTGAGGCTGCCCTTATGCACCATCGCTGGAATTGACCCTGGGGAGCTCAGAGGTAGGGACTTTGCCAGGCTGGCAGGTAGGTGGGCAGTGCAAGTCTCATATAAACAAACACATCCCTTATACCCAGCAGCTCTTAGGTTCATGTGTCTCACCCAAGCCATAGAGGGGTGCAACCTTCTTCATGGGTCCCTGTGTAAGAAATATGAGGGCTCTGGGACTTGTTTCCAGGAAGTACACACCCAATTTTGTATTCAACTTAAAGGGATTCTTGGACTCTCCTTAAGTCTATTGCTGGTTAGGAACCTCCGGCTAAACTGACTCTCCTCCCAGCAGAGGGCAGACCTGAACCCGTTCACAGAGGACTGAAATGGTGGCATTTCAGGCATACAAGCAGGCCAAGGAGGGCTTTCCAGGAGCCCTTCCTTCCTTCCTTGCATTGTAACTCCTCAGAAGTTGTACGTGCCAGAGATGGGAGGCTGTGTAGCAGTGTAGCATGGGGCTGGCACTGGACCAAATGCAGCTGACTGCTGACCAGACACAGATTGGCCAGTTCCGCTGACTCATGACCACCCTGCTCTCTCCTAGGCATGCTACGGGATCCTCAAGGTGCCCACGGGCAGCTGGCTGTGCCGGACGTGTGCCCTGGGTGTCCAGCCAAAGTGCCTGCTCTGCCCCAAGCGAGGAGGAGCCTTGAAGCCCACTAGAAGTGGGACCAAGTGGGTGCATGTCAGCTGTGCCCTATGGATTCCTGAGGTGGGTGAGCGTGGAGGTGAGGCAGCCCAAGGAATAGCCCGTGGGGAAGTGGGTCTGCATGGGACTCAGGTAGCAGAGCACTGGGAAAAGAAGGTGATGGACTCGCACTAAAACACTGAGATCGGCCGGGCGCGGTGGCTCACGCCTGTAATCCCAGCATTTTGGGAGGCCGAGGTGGGTGGATCACCTGAGTTCAGGCATTCAAGACCAGCCTGGCCAACATAGCAAAACCCCCTCTCTACAAAAATTAGGAGTGCATGGTGGCAGGCACCTGTAGTCCCAGCTACTCAGGAGGCAGAGGCAGGAGAATCACTTGAACCTGGGAGTTGGAGGTTGCAGTGAACCGAGATCGCACCACTGCACTCCAGCCTGGGTGACAGAGCAAGACTCCGTCTGAAAAACAAAACAAAACAAAGCACACACTGGGATCTCAGGTGATGGGCCAGCAAAGAATCCAGGCCGCAGCTATAGGGAGCTTTGCTTGTGGACTTGGACAGAGCTCAGGTGGTGACTTCTATGAGAAAATGGGGTTAGGGACCGCTAGGAGATTTCAGGAGATAGGGATGAGGTCTGGACAGAAGTCAGGCAGCTGACTAGAGGGGAAAGCAGGTTGTGGGGTCCATCTAAACCTTAGCAGTTGTTCCAACCAAAGTCAAGCCACATGTTCAAAACAAAGATAAGCCAGCTGACCTTCAAAGAGAATCGGGTGGGAGGCCGAGGTGGGTGAATCACTTGAGGTGAGGAGTTCAAGACCAGCCTGGCCAACATGGTAACCCCGTCTCTACTAAAAATACAAAAAAAAAATTAGCTGGGCTTAGCACATGCCTGTAATCCCAGTTATTTGGGTGGCTGAGGCACGAGAATCACTTGAACCCGAGAGACAGAGATTGCAGTGAGCCGAGATCGCGCCACTGCACTCCTGCCTGGGTAACAGAATGAGACTGTTTAAAAAAAAAAAAAAAGAGAATCAGGTGGTAAGCCTAATGGGAAGTTGGCTAGTGGGCCTGCTGCTATGGCTGCGGCTAGGATGGTGGGGTGGGTGTGTTTCTGAGTCCATGTGGGAGTGCCACGGGCAACAGGCTGGGTCCAGAGTCAGTGAGTTAGCAGAGGTCCTGGGTGCCTGGCAGGCCAGCCATTTTATTTGAAATGTGAAATGTTGAAATGCACCAGAGTTTCAGCCCCAGCCCTGCTGTGTGGACTGACTCAGATTGAGGCCCCACTCCAGTGTTGCCTGTGCCCAGAAGCAAGCCAGGTGGCCCTGTCCATAAGTGGCACTCTCCTTCCTGGGCTCACAGTCTGAAGCCCACAATGCGGGCTTCTGTGATAACAGTTGTTTGTGTCAGCAGTAGGCACTTGCTTGCAGATCAGCATGTTGAAGACTGGGACCACCTCTGAGTGTACCCTGGGCTGGGCATGGCAGAGACAGAACCAACAGGGACTCCATCATGAAGACCCTTTGGCTCAGGACCTTTGGAGAGAATTGCTTTTTCCATCCTCAGGCATTAGCAATGGGGAGACAAATGTGCCCTGCCTCTGGGCTGTGGGGTGGTCTCTGCCCAGTAGACTTGGGCATAGTTGTAGGGCTGTCCCCATAGGAAGGGCTCAGCAAAGGCATATCCCCAGGAGAGCCCTAAAGACCTTCAAGAGGAGATCCCACAATGAGGCTTTTCTTGGTGCCTAGAAAAATAAGTAATACAAATACAAATCGTAACAAGAACTCTGAAGATGTTATTAACAAAGGCCTGAGTGCAGAAAGAAGGAGGATCTTGCATGTACCTATGCGCACACCAAAGCACCTGTCTGTCAAGGCCCACGCAGTCTTAAGCACATACACACAGTCAACTACACACACTGACGGCACACTCACACATTCACAGACAATTTAAGATTAGTCTCAGATGAGCACACACTAACACACTCATCCAGTGGTGAGCTTGGGAGAGTGAGGAGGAATTCCGGCCTTTGAGCCATGCTTGTTTGGTGTCAGGAGGGACTTGGGATTCAGGGGCTCAGCCACTGCCCTGTCTGCCCACCACCTAGTTTCAGCAGACAAACCCCCATTTTGGAGATCCCTGGAGGCAGGCTGGGGATGAGAGGAATGATGCAGCCCCCTGTGTCCTGCCCAGGTCAGCATCGGCTGCCCAGAGAAGATGGAGCCCATCACCAAGATCTCGCATATCCCAGCCAGCCGCTGGGCTCTGTCCTGCAGCCTCTGCAAGGAATGCACAGGCACCTGCATCCAGGTATGTGGCCTACTTCACCTCCTGCTGCCAGGAGCTGGCTGAGAGGCATGCTTGGGGCCTCAGACAGCAGCTGCCACCACCTTCTCCCCTCCATGGGGCTGCAGACTGATGGGCCCCAGAGGGGTGTGGGACTGGGGCCAGAGTCAGAATCGCACCTGTTGGGGAGCATTTCTCCATCCCCTGGTCTTCTAGGGAGTGGGAACAGACCCGGGGAACCAAGGCTCACCACCCCATTGGAGTGCTGAGAACTCTGGCTTTCCCTGAAAGCAAGTGTCTTGGGGCTTGATGAATACATTAGCCTCACTTCTGACATTGAATTTGACGCGTTAGGGGTTAGGAATCAAACTTCTCATCTAGCTAAGCTAATAGACTGTCCTGACACTGGAAGGGCTGTACCAGTCTGTCTTTAGCAAAGCCTATTCCCAAAGTCTAGCATGCGTCAGAATTACCTGGAGGGCTTGGTAAACATAGACTGCTGGGCCTACTCCTGAGAGGCTCTGACTCAGTAGGTCTGGAGTGAAGCTGAGAACTTGCATTTCTAACAAGCTCCCAAGGGATGTTGATGCCTCAGGTCTATAGTTTGGGAGTGCAGGGGGGAGTCATCCTTTGTCCCCCTCATCTTTTAGGAACAGAGTTGTCATTGTAAACGTTAGTTGTGCCTTCACCCATCCACGGACCTTCAAAAGGATTTGTGAGTGCAGCATCAGCAGTCATAATAGTTGGGTGCGTGATTGCTGACACAGTTATCATCATCCAAGGCTAAGAGAGAGGGTCAGGCCTCAAGCTGTCTGGATGAAAGGAGAGGGAAGGGGACTAAGTCCAGCCCCTCTTCCCAGAGGACAAAAAGGGGACCACAGTCCCCATCTTAGATGAGCCAGTGACCCATCATCAGCCTTTCTCTTGATGCTCTGTGATGCCAAAGTCATTTTGCCCACACAAAAATGCAGCTTGAGGCCAGGCACGGTGGCTCACGCCTGTAATCCCAGCACTTTGGGAGGCCGAGGCAGGTGGATCACCTGAGGTCAGGAGTTCGAGACCAGCCTGGCCAACATGGCGAAACCTCATCTCTAAAAATACAAAAACTAGGTGGTGCATGCCTGTAGCCCTAGCTACTTGGGAGGCTGAGGCAGGAGAATCGCTTGAACCTGGGAAGCGGAGGTTGCGGTGAGATGGAACCACTGCACTCCAGCCTAGCAACAGAGTGAGACTCTGTCTCAAAAAAAAAAAAATGCAGCTTGTCCCCAGAGGTGTTTCTCAACCGTCTTCTGATTGACTTCCCCAAAGCATGTGGTGTTGAATGGGTTACCTTTCCAGGCACCCCAGAGCTCCTCCTCCTCCCCTGCCGTAACTCCCATCCTGCACAGGAGGTTGGGAGCCCATGCCATTCTGTTTAGGTTCTCTCCAGCATTGCGCATTCTCAGTAGAGCCCTGGGGGAAGCCCCTCTGTCTTCTCCCCTCCCACCAGGCTCCCTCCATGTCTGATCCTGCCCCTCCTTTCCCCTCAGTGTTCCATGCCTTCCTGCGTCACAGCGTTCCATGTCACATGCGCCTTTGACCACGGCCTGGAAATGCGGACTATATTAGCAGACAACGATGAGGTCAAGTTCAAGTCATTCTGCCAGGAGCACAGTGACGGGGGCCCACGTAATGAGCCCACATCTGAGCCCACGGAACCCAGCCAGGCTGGCGAGGACCTGGAAAAGGTGACCCTGCGCAAGCAGCGGCTGCAGCAGCTAGAGGAGGACTTCTACGAGCTGGTGGAGCCGGCTGAGGTGGCTGAGCGGCTGGACCTGGCTGAGGCACTGGTCGACTTCATCTACCAGTACTGGAAGCTGAAGAGGAAAGCCAATGCCAACCAGCCGCTGCTGACCCCCAAGACCGACGAGGTGGACAACCTGGCCCAGCAGGAGCAGGACGTCCTCTACCGCCGCCTGAAGCTCTTCACCCATCTGCGGCAGGACCTAGAGAGGGTGAGTCCCCATGCCGCCTGCCCACCCCCTGCCTGGTGGGTCCAGGAGTCCTTTCCATGCCACACTCACTGCCCTGGAGCAGCTAGGACTCACCAGGACTCAAACTGTGAGCTCTGGTGGACCGGCCCTGCTGCAGGAGCCTGCCAAGGGGCTGAGGGCTTTCAGGTCCCAAAGAGTATGGGGGTGACTGACACTTTACAGAACAGAGAAGAGTCCAGTTCTTGAGTCTCCGAGTCCCTCTTGTCCTAGCCCTGTCACAGGCCTGGTGAATGGTGGGGGCCCTGCCAAGGTCATGAGGCTGAGAGCACCAGAGCTAGGGCGAGGACCTAGGCTTCTGGCACTTGCTTGCCTCTGTGGGCCCCGCCTGGTCCTAACACATGAGCTTGCATTGAGAATCTGAGGCAGAGGAGGAACTGGAGCTTCCCAAGCTGTCCCCGTAACCCATGCTGAAAGCCAGGGGCATCAAGAGCCAGGAGCAGCCAAACAGGCACGTGCCGGGCCAGGGCAGGGTAGATGGGTAAACGCGGCTCCGTGGGGTGCTGGGCAAACAGAACAGAGGCACGAAGGAGACAGGGTGGACTCAAGGAACGGTGGAGTGGAAGGAAGAGGTGAAAGGGGCTGGTGGATCGCACGAGACTGGGCTGGTGGATCACAGTGTGTCTGGAAGCTGCAGAAGTGCTAAGGAGGGACTGACATACTGTGGCTGGGACTTGCACCCAACACTCCCTGGAGGAGAAGTCCCAGAGTCTGGAATGGGTGGGCTGGCTGAAAACCACCCCCAGCTGTGTGCTGGGAAACAGGTGACGGTGGCTTGGTCCAGGGGGCTGAGTGAAATGAAGCAGGATTTCTGGATCCTTTTCCAGTCCTCTGAACCCCACAGGCTGTTCTGGTCTCTCCTCTCTGGGACATTTCTAGGGTTCCAGAGCATATGGGACCGTGTCACAGTGTCTCCCCTGGGTTCAGACATACATGCTCACCCTCTCCCTGGGTCCTGTCAGGAAATAGCCCTGGGCAGGAGCATGCAGGGAACGTTGTGTGACCCAAGGCGCCTGCTTTTCTTATCTGCATCGCAGTGGGCAAGGCTGTAAAATGGGTAGAACATCTCCAGGGGTGTTGTACTGTCAGGGAAGGGGCACTGGACCCAGCTTCCCCAATCCCCTCCTTCCCACTCATCTGCGCTGCCTGCTCAAGAGGGAAATGACCTATTGCCCCCAGAGAGCCCTCACTGCCTGGCAGCCAGCTTGCCACCAGGCCAGAAGGAAGAGGTGGAGGTGGGAGGAACCAGATGTCCCTGGCTCCAGCCAGGACAGAGGGCAAGGCTACCTACATTGCAGCCACCACCTCCTGGCCAGCCCAGCCTCCTGTCACATGTGGCAGGGGCATCAGGTGTAAGACCTTCTGGGACCGAAGCTGCTTCCAGAGTCTTCTTTAGGCCACCATGTCTCCACCCGCTGGATCTCCAGTGGAAACACCTGCTTTTACTCCTACTGTTTCCCAAACAACCCCTCAGAACTGACCTCTCTGTTCTGTGCTGGTCAGCCCATGTGTCTGTCCCTGGCTGGGTTGTCCAGGGAGGTCAAGGGCTTGACTCACTTATGTAGTCATCATCCTGGAAAAAGAGACTTGAGGAAGATCCTCCCAGCCCTGCTGAGCAGATGAGGAAACTGGGGCTCGGAGAGACGAATAACAGGAAGTCTTAGAGGAACTCCATTCCAAGGGTTTTGAGCTTGAATTTGGACCTCAGTCGGGGGCAGAAAAGGAGTTGTTGGCTTATTCTCTATTCTGTAAATTTCCTGGGCAAAAGCATCCCTTTTTCAGTCCCCTAATCTTCCCACCCCAGTGTTGGCTGGTTCAGGTGGAGCCTGGGGCTGAGGTTGGCGGGCTCTGGGGTTCCGGGGAATGAGAGCTGCTGCAGAGACTCCTGCAGTGGGAGCCAGAACACTCCAGAGTCAGGTGTGAACCGTCCCACTCCTCCTCTGGGAAGAGGAAGCAGGGCCAATTTTGAAGTATGTGCAGCCTCTTACGGCTCAGGGGGCCCTGTCAAATGCTGCTTTCTGAGCAGCCACCAAGCTGGGCTGGCGGGCACCAGCTTCAATGAGGGCAGGGGCATGCACAGCCCTGGCAGGGCCGAGGAGGGACAACCATGAGCCAAGCTGACCCCCATCAGCGGCCCAGCCTCAAGGCCTTTCCAGGTCACACATTTGCAACTTGGGTGAATGAACAGCGACAAGAACCCTGCCACGGGGCAGGCTTTCTGCAAAGGCCCATGGTGGTTGGTGGCCTGGCCAGCGGGCCCAGTCTCGGACCGTGGCCCAGTGCCAGCAGCCGGGAGTATCCAGCCTGTAACTGGGCACTAAGCCAGCCTGGGCAGGAATCATCGGAAGATGGGGCAGGGCTTGAGGTCGAGGCCTTGGTAGCCTGACTTTGCATCCAGTTCCTGCACTCCCAGCTCTATACCTTCTTTGTTTCAGTTTCTACTTCTCTGAGTTTCAGTTTCTTTGTCTGTAAAATGGGAATAAGGATCAGACTGACCTTGGGGTCACAGTGCATGTGGGGGACAAAGCTTAGCACAGTGCCCTCCATTGTTGGCCGTGATTGTTGTTACTGTCCTGGCCCCTCAGCATTTGGCTCTTAGAAGAAGGGAGGCCAGCCCGTGCGCTCTGAGGGTGGGCTCCACAGAGGACCAAAAGGGCAGGCCCAGTGCTAGGGCCTGGGAACCCAGCATCCTCCCAGATTGATTCGTTCCTCCTCAGCCAGGCAGGGGTTTTGCTGAGAGAAACAGGAGCCGGGGCTGCTGCCGGCATGAAATCCCATTTTATGGTCAACCAGATGTGCTTTCCTAAAATTTCAGCCTTGGGCCTCGGCCCCAGCGGACGCTCGGAAGGCATGGCCACTGCAGCCTCCCAGAGTTATTTACGGCTGACAAAAATCGCAGCACTGTTGATCAGCCCGACAAGTGCCGGCTGGTGTCCCCTAGCAACCGTGCTGACAAGCAGGCTGTGCAGGGACTTGCTGCTTGTGGCTCTGGCTCTGGTCACCAGGAGTTTATTTGGGAGCCTGACCTGGCCTGAGGAGGAGGCCAAGAGGGTGGAGGCGGCTCTGAGACACACACCTGCCCAGAGGATGATATGGGACAACTTCCCAAGGAGGGAAAGGCTCAGAAGGAAGTGGGTCCTGGCCTCAGTGCCTGGATGGTGGTCCCTTTGGCCTCCCACCAAAGCCAACCTTGTCCTGGGCAGCTCCAGCCTGCAGACCTCTGGCTCTTCTGCCCCTGTGCCTTCCATCTCTAGGGCTCCCCCAACCCATTAGTGCCCTTGCCTCACCCAAGCCCAGTCACCACCTCCAGCTGCTCCCAGGTCAGTAGCCCAGAAATTGCCACATCCTGCTCCGTGCCTGCAGTCTACTGCTCTCCCTGCTCACTTGTCTCCCAGGCCCTCCACCCTTCTTTGTCCTGCTTTCTTCACTCACTCCCTGTATGGCACTGGCCTGCTATGCCCCAGCCCTTGTCCCTCACTGAGGCCAGAACCCTGGCAGAGCCTCACCCAGTAAGAGCCACTCCCTCCACCAGGAGAAATCCCATAGCGCTGAGCAGGGCAGTCCCTGCCGCACACCCCACCTCATACCTGCTGCCCACATGCTGAGCCCTGCCTCCCTCAGGACAGCGTCCCCTCTGTCCTCATACCAGGGCCTCTAACTTCTGCCAGCCGAGCCTCTCGGTCCATTCTCTTCCCTTCCCTCCTGTCTTCCTTCCCCCACAGGGGCTCTTTTCCAGCCCACACCTGCAGCTGACGAGTCTGTCTTTTCTTCATCCCCTCTGCGGGTCCTTTTCCACCAATATTTGAATCTGTTCAACCCTCTCTCATCTTCAAAAGCGAATCCTCCCTCCCTATTTCCCTCTAGTCGTGGGTTCCTCCGCTCCCACCCCCATCTCTCCTTTCCTGTCATCCCTCATGGTATTTGCATCCTTGCTGCCCACTCTGGCCGGGTTTCCGCCACATCCCAGAGCCTGCCACCTGGGCTGCCTGCAGCCTCCCTGCCCACCTCTCCATCCCCCGATCCTCTCAGCAGCGGCTGCCACAATCAGACCTGCCCTTAGTCTTGGAGTCCTTTTTCTGTGATGCTCTGACCAGGTCCCCCCTGAGGTCCTGGTTTACCCCCCTCCCTCTCTGGCTGCTCCTTGGCCTCAATGGTCATCCATTGCTCTCCCCTGACTGCTCACTCCCAGGGCTGGAGACCTCAGGCTCCACTGTCTTTCACGGCTGCCCACAGTTTTGCCCCACGTGGGGGTGCTGGCTGCCCCTCCCTTTTGAGCTCCACACCAAGTCCCTTTTAAAGGCCACCGGCATCTCATGCCCAGCATCCCTGTTAGTTTCCTAGGCCTGCCCGTGTGCCACCAGCTGGATGGTGAGATTTATCCTCATGGTTTTGGAGGCTGGAAGCCCAAGGTTGAGGTGTCAGCAGGATTAGTTCCTGCCGGAGGCTCTGCGGGGGAGTCTCTCCGTGCCTCCCAGCTTCTGGTGGTTGCCAGGAATCTTTGCTGTTCCTTGGCCTGCGGACATCTGTCTGGCCTCTGCCTCTGCCAGGTCACATGGCCTTCTCCCTGTAGGCACCTGTGTCAGGACTCCACTCATAGTAGATCAAGGGCCCACCCTAATGTAGTATGACCTCATCTTAACTATTTATATCTACAGAGACTCTATTTCCAAATAAGGTCACATTGCAAGGGTCCCAGTAAAAATGAATTTGGGGGAACACTATTCAATCCCGTACAGAAGCCACTGGAGGTTTTAAGGGGAGAAGGGAAGTGTCTCACTACTCTGTGAAAATCCAGCCCTGGGCCGGGCGCGGTGGCTCACGCCTGTAATCCCAGAACTTTGGGAGGCCAAGGTGGGCGGATCAGGAGGTCAGGAGTTCAAGACTAGCCTGGCCAACATGGTGAAACCCCATCTCTACTAAAAATACAAAAATTAGCCAGGTGTGGTGGCAGGCACCTGTAATCCCAGCTACGTGGGAGGCTGAGGCAGGAGAATGGCTTCAACCCGGGAGGCCGAGGTTGCAGTGAGCCAAGACTGTGCCACTGCGCTCCAGCCTAGGCGACAGACCGAGACCCCGTCTCGAAAGAAAAAAAAGAAAATCCAATCCTGGCTTCCCTTGGCCTGGCTCAGTCAAGCTTCAGCACCTGGCCTCCTCCCTTGCCAGCCCCGACACTCCTCACTGCTCCCTTCAGATTCCTGCCACGAGGCTCTGCTCTGCCTCCCCCAGCCTGGCCTGGCTTGGATTCCTCGTTCCCAGGCTCTGCCCTGCCGTGTGATCAACTCCCACTCCCACTGGCTGCTTGTGTGTCCAAGACGCCTTGCTCAGCACCCCCAAGTGTGGGTCGGAGCCACCTGGTCCTGTCAGTAGTTGGTCAGCACCTACCTCCCCTGAGAAGAAAGGGGCCCCAGCGGCGTTGCTCACTTGAGTCCAGGGCCCCACACAGTGCAAGTCCACAGAGCTGTAGCCAGTGCTTAAGGGTGTGGGGGAAGGAGGCTGGTTGGAAGGTGGTTTTCAGGAGGTCCAAGTTTTGACAGGAAGGTGGTTCATCCCAGTAGGGTGGGACCGGTGGTTGCAGCCCAGGGTGGCCCCCCGGAGTGGTACTGGCCATAGGGATAGGCGGAGCTGAGGCTCAGAGGTGGGTGGCCTGGTGCTCACGGTCTTCGAGCTGAGGGCGCACACACCAGCGTGGAAGGCCACGGAGAGTCCATGCAGAGCACATCGTGTGGAGGCCTGAGGCTGGAGCCACCTTTGTGGTACATCCTTCACGGCTGGGCTCAGGAAAGAACGGAGGATACCCGTACGCAGAAGAGAGGTCTGATCTTGGCTGCCCTCGGACTGGGAGAAATGGTTATGCCAACAGGCAGGGGGTCTGGAACCAGAGGTCACCCCAGCTTAAGGACATGAAGGCTGAACTCAGCCTTGAAGATGGAACCCAACGGGAAACAGCCTGGTCCCAGCTGGAAAGACCCTGGTGGGACCCAGGATTCAAGCTGAGCAGCTTTGGCCAACTGTCCCTGATAATGGAGTCTCCATCCTGTGCTGAAGACCAAGGAAGTGTCTCAAGGGAGGGGGCTTGGTCTTGGCTTCAGAAGTGTGGCCTGCCCTGAGAGCAGCCAGGGAGGGATGGCCCACTGGGGTAAGGTGCCAGGTGGGCAGGCAGTAGCATGGTCCATCCTGCAGGTGCTTCCTGTGGGACCACCTATAAGAAGGGTCCATGTCCCATGAGCTTAGCAAGCTGGTGTCTAAGGCCCCAAGGGGCTCTTCCCAGCTGGCCTTGAGGCAGTCAGAGAGGCCTCTACCCTCTCTGCTGAGGAGTTCTGTCACTGTGGCAGAGTGAAGGTGGCTGTGTAGATGTGGAAGCCTTGGCCAGCATGGCGTGAGCCTGGCTCAGGTCCCAGTGCAGCGGATAGACATGGGTTGGCTGCAGGCTGGGCACAGGTGGGTTAGGACTTTCTGCTCAAAGCTCTTCCAATGGCGTTCTCTCTGGCTGCAAGTACCGGGGCCATTTGTGGCTCAGGACAAGTGTTAGTTTTTGCCATGCCATTTATGTCTGAAGAATTTCTTTGCTGGGAAAGAAAGGCCTTGGACAGGAGGCAGAGGGATGAGGTTGGTGACCTGGTGAGACCCTGATGAGTCTGCGGGCACTGTGGTTATAAAGGACAGCAACCATGTTGGCAGGGCCTTGGGAGGCAGCCTGGCTGACCTTACCAGGAAGGTAAGACTCAGAGGAGGAAGGTGGGCATGCCGGGTTGACCTAACCAGATGCTTTTCCCTGGCTGCTCTGGCTCAGCCGGGGACCACAGGGCTGAGGCTGTGTTTGGCCTTAGGTTTTGGATCCGAGACATGCAGCACAGGGCTGAGGATGCGCTCAGGGTCTGGGAATTGTTTTGCAGATGTTCTGGGCAGGATAGGCTGTGGCGGTAGCCTGTGCCCCTGGCACTGCCTCCACCCATAGCAAGGTCCCCAGAGCTGGGAGGTCTGGGGTGGTTGCCTGTGAGTAAGGTGGAAAATCTCTCTTGTTTTCTCAGGTTAGAAATCTGTGCTACATGGTGACAAGGCGCGAGAGAACGAAACACGCCATCTGCAAACTCCAGGAGCAGATATTCCACCTGCAGATGAAACTTATTGAACAGGATCTGTGTCGAGGTAGGCGCCTTCCCCACCTGCCGCCGCCACCTCCCTGTGCCCTCTCTTGCGGGGCTGGGTCCCAAGGAGGGTGTGTCTTTGGATCCTGGTGGGGGTATGTGCGTGGAGCCAAGGGCCACTGGCCCCCACTCCTACCCTTCACCATCCAATTAGTAGGCCCAGACGGGGGCCTGCAAGGGTCCTGAGTTGTGCGTCACTAGGCAGAGAGCCAGAGGTTGGAATGTGGGCATCAGGCCTGCCCTCAGGGAGCTTTCTGGTTGACTAGGCCACAGCAGTTCAGGAGCTGATTGCATGTGAACAGGTACAGAGAAGAAGTCCTAGTGGCTCTCTGCTGGTGCTGAGGCAGGAAGGGCCAGAAGCTGGTGAGCTTCCCTGAACCCTGGTGTGCCTGGGAGTCAGTTCCGAAGAAGGCAGCTGTCCCAGAGATGTGACAGGACCTGGCTGTTGTTTCTCTCTGACCCTAACAGGATTTATGCCCTGCATCCGCGGTGTTTTTCACTGTTTCATTCTTATTATTCTTATTCTCTTGGCGTCACATGCGTTTAGTGGATCTGGAAATCAAAGGCTGAAGGAAGCGCTGACATTGATCGTATCTGTTAATTGTGGATATTGCCAGACACAGGGCCCTTCTTGGAGCGTATACATGTTAAGAAGGGCAACACTTAGCCCCCAAAACAGTACCCCAGTGTTGCGTTTACATGCAGCAGAAATAGCTGGATGGAGAGAGATTTTGAGCCAGGGTCTGCCAATGCCACTTCAGCCTCAGGGCTGAGCTGGGCCTGGAGAGGAAAGCTGCTGAGCCACCGTTGGAGCAAATGACTGAGGACCTCTGCTGCCCCTACTTCTGCCCCAGAGCTGAGCTGACCTGATTGTGCTTTGGCATCACCACCCACTCTGGCCCCAACATCTAGCCTTGCCAAGTTCAGGTGCTAGTCATGACCATGTAGAGCTCACCGTGTACCCAAAGACTGTGGCAGCTTCCTGGCTGCTGGAGCTTTCCAGGCCCCCTATCTTCTGTTTATTCACTCAGCCAGCATTAACTGAGCATGGACTGGATAGGGTTGCTGCCCTTGTGGAATGCACCATCTGGAGAGAGAGAGGAATGTGGTATCGCAGACGCTACAGTTGCTGCCAGTTTAGGGATAGAAGTATCAGGGATGTCTTCCCAGAAGCAGTGATGCTCCAACAACATCTCAGGCACTTGGCTGTGGCCACATATCGGCTGCAGAAGGAGAAGCCCATGCAAGGCACCCACAGTTGAGGAAGCAGAGGGTGGCAAGCCACGAGCAGTGCCCTCAGGCACAGGATTCCAGAAGCATGGGCAAGAGCCTGGAGGGTCCACATCCCCACATTGGTTCTGGGGACATTTGCAACTCCTTGTCTTGAGTGTCAACAACAGGCAGCTCTTTGTTCAGGGCAGGGCAGGGTATTTGGAGATGACTGGTTTGCCCTGTCCAAAGCTGCTGCTCACACTGTTGAGAGGCTTGACGCCTGGGGTGGGACATGGGCTGTGTGCATATCGGCGAGGCTGTCTGGCCTGGCGGCTGGACAAAGCCTCCTAGTGGAGATGATATTTGGCCTGTGAACTGAATCAGGTGAAGGATAGGAGAAGAAAACAGCATATTTGGAGACTTAGTGGCCAGAGCATGTCTTGGCAGAGAAACTGGAAGGAGGCTGGAATGGCTGCACCAGGCAGAAGGAAGACTCCTAAAGTGGGGATGACGGGTAACCTGGGTCACATGTGCGAGATCTTCTTGTAGCCTGGGGGAGGAGCTTACACTGTCCTGAGAGCAGTGGGGAGCCTCAGGAGCCTGCCTCCAGAGTATCTAGGCATTAGTTACATGCCATGTTACAGATGAGATTGCCCAGGCACAGTGGCTCATGCCTAAAATCCCAGCACTTTGGGAGACCACAGTGGGAAGATCACTTGAAGCCAGGAGTTCCAGACCAGCCTGTCTCTACAAAAAAAAAAAAATACAAAAATTAGCTGAGCATGGTGACACATGCCTGTATTCCTAGCTGCTTGGGGAGCAGAAGTAGGATTGCTTGAGCCCAGTAGTTTGAGGCTGCAAGCGAGCTATGATTACACCACTGTACTCCAGCCTGGGTAACAGAGCCAGGCTCTGTCTCTAAAAAATAAATAAATAAACAGATGTGGCCAGGCACAGTGGCTCGCACCTGTAATCCCAGCACTTTGGGAGGCCAAGGTGGAAGGATTACTGGAGCCCAAGAGTTCAAGACCAGTCTGGGCAAAATAGCAAGACCCTGTCTCTACAAAATTTGAAAATTAGCCGGGTGTGGTGGCATGCACCTGTGGTCCCAGCTACTCAGGAGGCTGAGGCTGGAGGATCGCTTGAGCCTGGGAGGTCAAGGCTGCAGTAAACTATGATTGTACTACTGCGCTCCATCATGGGCAACAGAGCAAGACTCTCTCTCAAAACAAACCAAAACAGATGAGACTGAGGCCTGGCCTGAACTGAAAGGATACAAGGGCCAGGGGTGCACCCTGAATCTCCCATCTAGTTTGCTGCCTGACTTTGAAAGCCAACCAAGAGACCATGGCAGGAGACTGGTTCAGGGTTGCTGACCCTGGGGTTAGGAATGGAACCCAAGCCTCTTGACCCCTCAGGTAGTGTTCCTTCCACCTACATGTCTAGCTCCTCAGCCTGGCATTCAAGGCCCTGCCCTGTCCAGACTCCCTTCCAGCCATTCTTCCCACCACCCACACTCTCTCCCAAGACTACAGGTTGTGCAGGTCAGACTGGAGTCCAGGTCCTGCGAGGGCCTCTCCTCGTGGCCCTGTGGCCACCCCAAGTCCCCCACAGGCCACAGTGGACAGTTGGTCCACCCCACCATGCCAGCCATCCCCTAACTCCAACCTTTTTGCTGTGGAGGGTGAGCACTGGCTGATGGAGGACTCCTGGGCTGCCACGCAGGGATCTTGGTGCTGACCGAGGCCACTCAGGGTAACCATCTCCCTCCTCCTCTCACTTTCCCTGACACAGAGCGGTCTGGGAGGAGAGCAAAGGGCAAGAAGAGTGACTCGAAGAGGAAGGGCTGCGAGGGCTCCAAGGGCAGCACTGAGAAGAAAGAGAAAGTGAAGGCGGGGCCTGACTCAGTCCTGGGGCAGCTGGGTGAGTGAGGGCCATGCTGGCCTGCAGACACGGCAGGCTTGACCATCACCACGCTTGCAGCTCTGTCTGCCCTGCGGAAGGCCAGCTGCACAGAGTAGGAGACTGAGGCTCAAGAGCGGTAACCAGGCCCTTGCTTGCCCAGGTGCACACACCTTCCACCCACAAAGGAGACAGATCTCAGAGCCCCGTGTGACATCCTGGGAAATGCCCCGTCTGTAGACCTGGATGGAGGCTGGGCCACGCCCACTCAGGAACTGTCCAGTCATTCCCCTGGCTGGGGGGTCCTGGGTGCTGGATTTTCCCAGAGGCCCCTGGGACAGCCCCATGCTGGGAGGGGAGGATCTGCCAGAAAGCCCCATCCTTGTCCTACTCTCCCAGAATCCTCTAAGTGGGCCCTTCCTGCAACAGCAGCAGACTCTCCTGGAGCTGCCCAGAGGAGTGGCTGCAGGCTCTGGCCCTGCCCACCACCTCCACTGTCCCAGGCCTCCTGTTAGGCAGAGCAGCCTAATGGGAGCAGTGTGACTCATGGACCTCACGTGCTTCCTCCAGAGATCTCAGGGAGCATCATGGAGTCCCCTTCCAGACCTTGCCTCTGGGATGGAAGCCCCAGGTCATCCTTTCTGTCCCTCTGTCTCAAGAAGGGGACAACCCAGGCGTGGTGGTGCATGCCTGTATTCCTAGCTGCTCAGGAGGCTGAGTTGGGAGGATCGCTTGAGCCCAGGAGGTTGAGGCTGCAGTGCACCATGATCATGCCACTGCACTCCAGCCTGGGTGACAGAGCAAGACCCTGTTCCTTCATTTCACACCCCTCCCGCAAAAAGAAGGGGATAACTTGGGTGTCTAACAGGAAACCCAGTCTCCCGTCTCGCCAGCTGCCCCCTCCCAAGACCTCGGTAAGGAAGGAAGGCTCTGCCGCCCTCACATCTGCTGGCGTCTCACTTGCCTCCCCTCTCCCTGACATCCAGGAGGGACTGGATACTGCTTGCTACCCCTATTCGTACCTGATCCCTTTATCCATGCTCTTTGCTGCAAGCGCTGGGAGGCAACGCTTATAAAGACTGAGCGCCCTCTGGCGGCCTGAGGGCATTTTCCTCCAGATTCCTCCTTCCCCAACCCCACCAGAATGGGGGTAGTGGGCAGGTCCAACTTCGTGGGTAGCAACCTGTGCAGTGCCACGGGGTCCTTGTTCTTGGTTAATGCTCTGCTGCTGCCACCTTGAATTTTCTTTCCCATGGCAGGCTTTCTGGTAAAATCCAAAAAACCTGCTAGACAAACTAAAAGAGCTATAACACTCCACCTTGAAATTCTTAATAATATTTGAACAAGGAGCCTATATTTTCATTTTACACTCTAGCCCACAAATTATGAAGCCCATCTTGAGGGCAGCACGTCCTTCTGGAGAGAAGCGTATAAGTAGTCCCTACTCTTTGGTGGTGTTGGCAGGAGGGATGGACAAAACAAGATAGCTCACCTGGGTCTGGCACAGGGGGACAGAGAGAAGACGATGCCTGGTGGTGTGCTGGGAGCGTCAGTGGGCTTCCTGAAAGGGTGGGACACACGTCTGCTGGCGTCTCACTTGCCTCCTCTCTCCCCTCAGCAGGCCTGTCCACCTCATTCCCCATCGATGGCACCTTCTTCAACAGCTGGCTGGCACAGTCGGTGCAGATCACAGCAGAGAACATGGCCATGAGCGAGTGGCCACTGAACAATGGGCACCGCGAGGACCCTGCTCCAGGGCTGCTGTCAGAGGAACTGCTGCAGGACGAGGAGACACTGCTCAGCTTCATGCGGGACCCCTCGCTGCGACCTGGTGACCCTGCTAGGAAGGCCCGAGGCCGCACCCGCCTGCCTGCCAAGAAGAAACCACCACCACCACCACCGCAGGACGGGCCTGGTTCACGGACGACTCCAGACAAAGCCCCCAAGAAGACCTGGGGCCAGGATGCAGGCAGTGGCAAGGGGGGTCAAGGGCCACCTACCAGGAAGCCACCACGTCGGACATCTTCTCACTTGCCGTCCAGCCCTGCAGCCGGGGACTGTCCCATCCTAGCCACCCCTGAAAGCCCCCCGCCACTGGCCCCTGAGACCCCGGACGAGGCAGCCTCAGTAGCTGCTGACTCAGATGTCCAAGTGCCTGGCCCTGCAGCAAGCCCTAAGCCTTTGGGCCGGCTCCGGCCACCCCGCGAGAGCAAGGTAACCCGGAGATTGCCGGGTGCCAGGCCTGATGCTGGGATGGGACCACCTTCAGCTGTGGCTGAGAGGCCCAAGGTCAGCCTGCATTTTGACACTGAGACTGATGGCTACTTCTCTGATGGGGAGATGAGCGACTCAGATGTAGAGGCCGAGGACGGTGGGGTGCAGCGGGGTCCCCGGGAGGCAGGGGCAGAGGAGGTGGTCCGCATGGGCGTACTGGCCTCCTAACTCACCCCCTTCCCTGTCCCAGGCCCTGCCCTGGTCCCCCCACAAGGCCTCAGCCCAGTCACAACTGCCATTTCCAGTCTCTGCTGAGTGTCCCAGACCCTCGAGGCTGCCACTCCGTCGTGGTTTTATTTTTAATATAGAGAGAGTTTTGAATTCTACACTGTTGTCTTTCCTCTGTGCTGGCCTAGGACATTAGGATTCCTTCCACGGCTCCGGCCGCTAGGACCCTGCCAGGTCCCGCGCACCATCCCTGCCCTGCCCACGTGGTATTGCTGGGCTCCTGGCTAGATGCAAGCAAGGTGGACAAGAGCTCAGGACTCCAGCCCACTGCCACTGGGTGACACAGACTGTCGTTTGGGCATTATTTCATGGCAGATGGGCCAGTCCAGGGCCTACCCCGCCTTGCCCCCAGATCCCACTGGGGTCCATTTGGGGGGTCCTGCTACACTCCACCGATCCCCAAGGAAGTATAATAAACGATACCCAGCCAGAGTCTACTCACTGTCACAAGCACAACGAGTTTATATGAGAAAGCACTGAGGGGGTGCAGAGGGCCCGCTAGTTCCAGGGGAACTGAAAGCTGTTCCTGATCAGCCCGTATCATCTGAGGCCTGCCTGCCCACCCTGCCACCCTCCCCTCCCTTGCTGCTCTGCCCCTGCCAGTGCCCAGCCCAGCGGCTCTGGGAAGGGGTTCCCAGAATCCCTCCTGAGCTGTGCCATTTACTCAGGGGACTCCCAAACAGCCAGCTGCCAGTGCAGGTGGAGGGCTGTAGGGGAGGGCCAGTGCCCAGACAGGGTCATGGGGCTCAGACCAGCCCACTGTAGAGAATCACTCTGAGGCTCCAACTTCCTTCCTTCCTTCGGGGCCAGTCTCGGCCGAAGTCTGGTCACGCTCAGACAGAGCTGACCAGACCAGACCGTTTGCCTTTTCAAGTTTCCTAGTCCTGCTACAAGATGAGCTTCTTCCGTGGTTTCCTTTTGGAAACTCCTCCTTCCAACAAGCAGTGGGATCCCGGGGCCCAGGGCGGGCCGGTGTTGGCCGCTGGGGCTGTTGTAAGTCTTGCTGGATGTTCCCCTGTTCCTGAGCCTTAACCCCTCGCACAGCCATCCCCCCCCCCGTCCTGCCATCCCCCCCCGCCGTCCTGCCTTCCCCACCCCACCCTTAGGTCCCAGGTAGTTGCTCTGAAGAGTTTCAGTAGAGTGGCCCCAGGGTGATAGCTCAGGGAACAACAAAAAAGGAATTCCGTGAAAACATTTTTTTTTCTTTGATGAATTACTCCTGGGTCACTTCCACCACTGGTAAAGCCAGAACTTCTCCAAAAAGAACCTTGCAAAAAGTCCAGTGAATCAGTCGAATCATTCTGTGGATGCCAAAGAATATTTTGACCATAATACAGCACAGCCTGGACCTGACAACTTGTCATTTGGACTTTTTTTTAAATGGAGTTCTTTAGCAACAAAGTATAGAAACATGTTCATTGCACACACCCAAGGAGAAGAGCTCAAGCGCTTGGAAGAGGATGCTTTGCTGCTGCTGAAGTGTACCTGGGTGTTAGATTTCAGATCCTGGGCTGAGCCCACTGTGAGCTTTCCTAAACTGTGAGACTCACAGAGGGGAAAGATACTGACGGTGAAACCAGCATGGAAAACGTCTTTACCATGTGGTTCCCTCCTCCCCAAATACATAAAGCAAATAAGCAGGATGGGGAACAGCTTGACCTTCATCCACCCCTAACTCCAAAACTATCAAGGTACGACAGTGGCATTGTCATCGACACTCAATTTCATGTGAATTTTAGCAAAACAGGAAACAAAGATAATGACTCAGTTCAGAGGATCGGACAAATGTGTCTAGTCCGGGTGGACTCGGAGGGAGTGGGGTGGGCTTCAAGGATTCTGGGCGTTGGGATGGCATGAGCTACCCTGTAGAGTTTAGTCTGCCTGCCCGCCTTGGTAGTAGTGACCAGTCAGTGTCAGCATCAGTGTCCCAACCCCAGTCTCTGTTTACTGCCTTTGAACAGAACTTCTTCCTTCCCCATGCTTTGGGTCACCTCGGGCTGCAACCCTGTCTGTGCCAGATTGCCCGGTCTGACCCTGCAGGAAGCAAAGAGGTGAGCTTAAAGAACAACCAAACTCTGCCAGGGGTCCCAGAAAGCCCAGGGTCCAGCAGTCTCAGCACTTGGCCCCTTGCCCCTTCACACCATCCTGGGGCAGGGGCTGGGCCTCCCTGGTGGCAGGGGTGGGTGGAGAATTAGGGAGAGGGTGCAACGAGTCTGGCCCCTTGCCTCGGGCTGGCTGGTGTTCTTCCAAGAGCCTCTGCTCACATTGTTGGCCTCTGGATTCTGGCCCTTCTTCATTGGCTGTTGCTTTGGACTGGACTGTTGCTGAGCCTGTGTCCTGCAGAACCCAGATGTCTGTTAGGCTGGCTGGCTGCTGCGAGGGGAGGGGGGTGGCCTTTCATTTGGGGTGCCCTTTCACTCCCAGGCCAAGCCCTGGAGCAATCTTCTTCAGGCAGCTGTCTCCACCTCCAGGATGTCCAGCAGGCTGCAAGGAGAAGGATGCCAGCCACCCATCCTCCCCCAGTTCCCAGCCTTTCCCCTGTTGGTCACAGCCGCTTCTGTCTTTTTCCGGTCTACTGTCCCCAGTGTAGAGGGCTTTGCTGTCCCTGAGACTGAGGCAGGTTCCTTTTCCAGGTCAGAGGTGGAGGTAGATCTTTCTCTCAACCACATCTGCCTCCACACACAGCTCCTCCGCAGGGAAGGAGAAGCTGCTCTGTAACTCATTCTGGCTATCGTCCCCCTTCTCACTGACCTGACCGCCCACCACCTCCTTCCCCCTCATCACATGACAAAGGATAATGTGCAAGAAAAGTATTTTTATGTATCATAAATGTATTTTGAAACAAATGAGAAGAAGAAAGGTAGAAGGGTTTATTTTATTAAATGAGCCTGACTTAGTGACAGTGTGTGAGCATTTGCAATGTAAGGGCCTCAGCTTCCTTGGAGAAGCCACCCCAGGTTTCCAGACATAGATGTTGAATTGTTTGTGGGGGGTGTGCCAGGCCACGTCTCGTGTGTCCGTATGCAGGCATGCCTGTGTATACTGTGTATGGGCACACTGGGACTAGCTGGGACAATTCCTAGAGATTCAACTGCCCAATTCTAACCAACATTGGCAGCGGCTGAACTTGGCATTTCCTTGCTAACTGCCAGATGTGGCCAACCTTTGTCCATATGCAAACCACTGAAAAATGATCTGGATTTCTATAGCAAGGCCCTTGGGGAGGGCACTCTCCCATGCCCTTGGCCTCGCTGGCCACATTGGCCAATGAGCCAGGGCTGGAGTCTGAGACCTTTGGTTGTTCTTTAAGGCACCTCCTGCCACTTTCTCCCTCAGAGGCACAAACACTTTGTGTTCCACGTCAGTTTGAGGGGACGGTGGGGGGATGATATGAATGTCACAGGAGGAGACACCTTCTGTCTTTGTTTCAAAGAAAGTGATGTGCCATTTGTTAATATACAAGAGAAATATTGAAAATATATTGAAAAGAGCAATTTTAAATTATTTTTGGCTTATGTTGCAATATTTATTTTCTTGTATTAGAAAAGATTCCTTTGTAGAGAAAAAATGTATTTTTCATTAACGCAAAGACCTATTTCTCCTTTTTGTACATTGTCCATGTGCGCAACCCTTAACGAGCAATAGAATGTATGGTCACCTGGGTGTGGCCAGTGCCCGCTGTGCCCTGCATGATTCTGTGTTGCCGCTGCTGCATAGTTCCCAGCCCCATCCTGTCCTGCTCACTCATGGGGGCTTCCAGACCCCGGCCCCACCAGGGCTTGTGTCATAGGGAGCCCTTTGCACTCCTCGTGTGTTGGCAAACGCAGTTAATAAAGCAGTGTTTTCTGTGCTGGCTGGTGTGAGGCTCCATTGCATTGGATGGGGTAGGGAACCCTGGGAGTCCCACACACACACCCGACAATGGGCTCAGCAAAACCACGGGGTCCCTGAGTTTTCCAAGGGATCAGCTGCCACCTCCTAAGGAATCATAATAAAGATGTTCAGTGCACACCAAGGGCTATAATTTCAGAGCAGTATTTATATTTTTCATTATTATTATTATTATTATTATTTGAGACAGGATTTCACTCTGTCACCCAGGCTGCAATCTTGATTCACTGCAGCCTTGACATCCCGCGCTCAAGCTGTCTTCCCACCTCAGCCTTCCGTGTAGCTGTGACTACAGGTGCATGCCACCATGCCTGGCTGATTTTGGTAATTTTTGTAGAGACAGGGTTTTCCCATGTTGCCCAGGCTGGTCTCAAACTCCTGGGCCCAAGTGATCCGTCTTCCTCGGCCTCCTGAAGTCCTGGGACTACAGGCGTAAGCCGCCCCTAGCCTCAGGGCAGTATTTCATTTGATCTTCAATATGTTCCCCTGGAATTGAGAGGATGAGGGATGCACCTAAAGTCGAAGATGTGCTAAGAGGTAAAGCTCTGCATCCAAGGCAGGACTGCTGCACTCCCCACCTGCTACAACCACCTGTCTGGGACCGTAGGAAAGTTTGGGAGGAGCCTCCAGGGAGTGTCCCTAGGTCAGTGAAGATTTTTGCTTGAGTTTGTTTTTCATTCATGATTTTCTGAGCACCTACCCTGAGCCAGGCTCTGAAAAGAGTGTGGGGAATATAGCTGCTGTCCTTGCTTGGGGTGGCTCACACAGGCAGTGAGGGAACTGGGAGTTTTCATGGAGGCCTGGGCTGGTCTAGGGGTGAAGGGGTTCAGGAAGGGTTTCTCTGAGGAAGTGACACCATTAATTCATTGATTCATTGATTCATTCAACAAGTAGTCTTGACCGGACACCTCACTGCCAGTGTGCTGGGTTGTATACTGTGCATGTCACCAGGCCCCTGTCCCCCTAGAACCTCCAGACATTGGAGACCTAATGAAAAATAGTTGCTAGCCCAAGGGAAGCTGCATCGGAGAAAGGGATGACGGGCATTCCTCATAGAGGGTTTGGCCTATGCAAAGATGGATCAAGCTATATCGGGAGGGTCTTGAACCTCCTCTGAGGGCTCAGAACAAGGCTGTGAGGGACAGAGGTTACATTAAGACTCAAAGCATCTTAGCTTCTGGGGCCACTGACTTAGTTGTTTGCCACAGAGAATTGACCCATTTCCTCTCCAGAGCAGTAGACGGTAGGTTCCCAAGGGTGCCTCCAGATCCAATGTTCTGAGTCCACAATGCACAAGGTATTGGAAGTAAATTTGGGGTGGAGTGTGTGTGTGCCCAAAATGCCCGTGGAGGGAGGTCTCCCTGTTAGGGCACCTGGGAACCTGGAAAAACAGGCTGTGGATGTTCTCTCAGCCCCAGCTCCAGCAGCTCAGCTGTGAATGGGAAGAGCTCAGCGTCCTCAACTGTGGAATCAGCATGGGATGCTGGCAGGAAATCAGCCCTGGGGCTGAGGGGGTATCTGGGTGGCCAGCCCACCTGGCCATGGTAAGAAACTGTCAGCCCCATGGCCCAGCTGCCGTGGACTTGGCACCACAGCTTCTCCCTCCTCCTGCAGCCAGCCCAAAGCAGGACCACAGTGATCCAGAAGAATGACTCAGGCTTGCCCCTCACTCTAAAACCACACCTGTGTCGGCTGGGCCAGGTGGCTTATACCTGTAATGCCAGCACTTTGGGAGGCCAAGACAGGTGGATCATTTGAGGTCAGGAGTTTGAGACCATCCTGGCCAACCTGGTGAAACCTCATCTCTACTAAAAACACAAAAAATTAGCCAGGTGTGGGGATGCACACCTGTAATCCCAGCTACAGGGACTAAAGGGAGGTTGAGGCAGGAGAATTGCTTGAACCCGGGAGGCAGAGGTTGCAGTGAGCCAAGATCATGCCACTGCACTCCAGCCTGGGAGACAGCGCAAGAGTCTGTCTTTAAAAAAAACAAAAATAAAAACAAACAAAATAAATAAATAAAACCTCACCTGTGAACCTAACCCAGCTGATAAATGTAGGGCAGGGGGATTCAGGGTACATGTTGGTCTGTTCTTTAGAAATATAGTGCAAGTCACATTTGAAATTCTAGTAGCCCCATTTTTAAAAAGTGAAAAACAGGGCCAGGTATGGTGGCTAATGCCTGTAATCCCAGCACTTTGGAAGGCCGAGGCAGGAGGATTGCTTGAACCCAGGAGTTCGAGACCAGCCTAGACAACATGGCAAGACCCCATCTCTACAAAAAAAAAAATTTTAATTGGCTGGGCATGGTGGCGCACACTTTTAGTCCTAGGTACTCGGGTGGCTGAGGTGGGAGGATTGCTTGAGCTTGGGAGGTTGAGGCTGCAGTGAGCCATGATAGCACCACTACACTATAGCCTGGGCGACAGAGTGAGACTCTGTTTCAAAAAACAAACAAACAAAAACAGATATAGGGAATTTTAATAATATATTTTATTTAACCCATTACATCCAAATGTCTTTAAACATGTAATCAATGTAAAATAACTATTAATGAGAGATTTTGCATTCTTTTCACAATCCAGGGTGTATTTTACACTTACAGCACATCTCAATTCAGACTAGCCACATTTCAAGTGCTCAAAGCCACATGTGGCTAGTAGCTACCCTGTTGGGCAGCAGAGCCCTAGAGACCCTCAGCCTTCCCTTGAGTTGCCCAGGAGTCATCCAGGCTCCTATGGAGTGAGAGACAGATAGCCATGAGGAACCCCTGACCCCCTTCCCCAAGGGAAGGCAGGAGGTTGAGGACCACCAGGCCTGGCCCTGCATTCCCAGCCCTGGTCCCTCTGGGATCCTCTCTGCACCAGCCTACATGGCTGCTTGAGGGTGGGAGTCTCACATTTGATTAGCACTCCTAGGCTTCTCCCCTGGAGTTGGCTATCCCTGCCCGCTGAGAGCCCCTGAGTGTGGGACTGGAGGAGGATGGCACTGACCTGGTCGCAGCTCCCTCATGGTGGGCCAGTCCTCTTGCCACCAGGACTCACAGCTGATGGCATAGGGATCTGATGGGAGGCTGGGGGTGGTCTTGGGGACTACCTTTGTTTTTGTTTTTGTTTTTTTGAGACGGAGTCTCACTCTGTTGGCCAGCCTGGAGTGCAGTGGCGCGATCCCTCCTCACTACAACCTCTGCCTCCCGGGATCAAGCGATTCTCCTGCCTCAGCCTCCCAAGTAGCTGGGACTACAGGCACTCGCCACCACGTCTGGCTCATTTTTTGTATTTTTAGTAGAAACGGGGTCTCACCAGGCTGCCCAGGCTGGTCTCGATTTCCTGACCTCGTGATCTGTCTGACTCGGCCTCCCAAAGTGCTGGGATTACAGGTGTGAACCACTGCGCCCAGCCTAGGGAACCACCTTTCATTCATGCAGATATTGAGATATTGATTCAGCACTCACTGAGAATCTGCTGCAGGGCCCTGAGGACACTGTGGGGACAACACGCCCCTTCCAGAGACCAGGCCAAAGTGGGAGACAGACTTTAAGTAGATAATCACAAATCAGTGTGCAGTGACACACTGAGACTGTGCTGCTAGTGAGAGAGTATTAATCTGTGGGGTGAGGAAAGTCTCCATTGCCCTCTCTGAATTCCCTTAGTCGCTCCAAACTCCTGCAAGATAGGGTCTGGGGCGCCCCCTGCTGCCCGCTAGGCCCTAGCCCTGGCAACTCCCACCGCGGGTGGCAAGGCCCACAGGGCCAGGGCCAACCCCTCATTTCCAGGTTGCAGAGCTCCAGCCTCCCCCTCCTCTGTCCCTGCTGAGGCTCCTGCACTCCAGCACCTCCTGCTGCATGCCCCCTTGCCAGCCAGGGCAGAGTAGAGTCTTCTCTATCAGGCTTCAGTGACAGGGTGGTTGTTAAGGGACGAGGCGCCTCTTGGGAGAATAAACTATTGGCTGAGGTCCGCTGGGTGCCCAGTCCCGGGTTGGATGGGTGGCTAAGGAGACCCAGACCCTGCCAAAGAAAGGAAGGAAGTTCACAGCAGAGTGGAGAGAGAGAGAGCACTTGGTCCTTCTAGAGCTGGCCTCAGTCCTCCTTGCAGCCTCCGACTGTGTTCAGAGCGGCCAGAGGAGGCAGCAAAGGCATCTTTTCTTGGCGATGAAAGCTTCAGGACTCACATAGGCACCTCTGGCCCATGCTGGAAATGCAGGTAGCTCCAAGTGGCCTCGCAACTACCCTGTCTCAAAAAAAAAAAAAAAAAAAAAAAAAAAAAAAAAGAAAAGAAAATTAAAATAAAAATAATGAATAAAAAAGAGGAGGGCCGGGCGCGGTGGCTCACACCTGTAATCCCAGCACTTTGGGAGGCCGAGGCAAGCGGATCACAAGGTCAAGAGTTTGAGACCAGCCTGGCCAACATGGTGAAACCCCGTCTCCACTAAAAATACAAAAATCAGCCAGGCATGGTGGCGGGCACCTGTAATCCCAGCTACTCAGGAGGCTGAGGCAGGAGAATCCCTTGAACCCAGGAAGCAGAGGTTGCAGTGAGCCGAGATGGTGCCATCACACTCCAGCCTGGGTGACAGAGCAAGACTCCATCTGAAAAAAAAAGGAGATTGGCCAGGAGTGGTGGCTCATGTCTGTAATACCAGTGCTTTAGGAAGCTGAATTGGGAAGATCGCTTGAGCCCATGAGTTCAGGCCCAGCCTGAGCAACATAGTGAGACCTCATCTCTACTGCAAAAAAAAAAAAAAAAAAAAAAAAAAAAAAAAAAGAGACAGGGTCTCACTCTTTGAGATAGGGTCTCACTCTGCTGCCTAGGCTAGAGCACAGTGGTGCAATCACAGCTCACTGTAGCCTTCAACTCCTGGGCTCAAGTGATCCTCCCACCTCAGCCCTTGGTCTCTCAAAGCTCTGGGATTACAGGCATGAACCACCATACCTGTCTGAAGAAAATTTTTTTAGAGAGATAATAAAATATGGACTTCAAGGCAGCCTTTTGAGTTCAGATGGACTCCCTGCCAAGAGTCAAAGGGAGGGAAGAAAGGATGGGGTTTCAGTCAAGCAGGTGGCTTAAGGGCAAGCTCATCGTAGCAGAGTATTGCTTGGCCCCCAGTACTCCAAGCCAGGCCTGAGCTCAGAAGCATCCGCACCAGCCCATTCTGAGGAAACATGGGTAGGGATACAGGGTCCCCATTTGCTGGCTGGAGAGATTTTCAGTGGGTAGGAGGGAGGCTGTCAGATTTAGCAAATAAAAATATAGGGCATGTAGTTACATTCAAATTTCAGAGAGTAGTTCCTCAGTACATTTTCCAAATATTGCATCCTGTATTTTCCCTGGCATTCCTAGTGGGAAGCCTCAGGTCCCTCTTTCCACTGTGTTCCAGGCAGGGGGCTGAGGCAGGAGCATGGTTTTCCATGTTTTATACACTGTGGCAAATCCTAAACTATCCCAACAACCCCAACATGATGACACCTACAGTGTGAGAACAATGGAAAATGGGCTGCAGCCAGTGACCCAGGACACAGCTGGGCCTGTCTTAACTCAGCCACAGCCTCCCTTATACCTGACATTCCAATCCAATGCTGAACAGAAGCTCCGTAGTGTCCTTGAAGGACCTCTGCTCCCCAGAGCTCACAAGCCCATTTATTTGCTGTCTCAGCTCAACATCTAAAGAGTTCAGATTGGTGGGAGCACTGTTCACAATAGCCAAGAGGTAGGAGCAACCTAAATATCCATTGACAGATGAATGGATAAAGAAAATGTATACACATACAATGGAATATTATTCAGCCTTAAAAAAGAAGGAAATCCTGTCCTGTGCTACAGCATGGATCAACCTGCAGGAAATTATGCTAAGCAAAATAAGCCAGTCAAAAAAAGTCAAATGCTGTATGATTCCACTTATAGGAGGTACTTAGAGTAGTCAAAATCATAGAGCAGAAAGTAGAAAGGTAGTTGCCAGGGGCTGGGGGGAGGAGGAAGAGAATTGATTAGGAGGCACAGAGTCAGGACGGGAGGGTGGTTCCAGGGCTCTGCTGCCCATCAATGGCATGTGGTTGACAATATTGTACTTTACACTTGGAAATTGTTGGGAGGGTGAATTTATTTTTTTATTTTTGAGACAGGGTCTCACTCTGTCACCCAGGCTGGAGTACAGTGGCACGATCTTGGTTTGCTGCAACCTCTGCATGCCCCCAGGCTCAAGTGCTCCTCCCACCTCAGCCTCCCGAATAGCTAGGACCACAGGCACACACTATCATGACCAGCTGTTTTTGTTGTGTTTTGTTTTGTTTTGTTTTCTCTAGTAGAGCCAGGGTCTCGCCAAGTTGCTCAAGCTGGTCTCAAACCTCTGAGCTCGAGGAATCTCAAAGTGCTGGATTACACGTACCTAGCCCGGGAGAGTGAATTTTGTGTTTTTGGGGTTTTTGTTTGTTTGTTTTGCTGCAGTTTAAGAAAAAAATGATACTGTAGAAAAAAAAAAAAACCTGCTACATGTAATACCACCCAACTGCTTTGTTGCAACAAACATAATGTAAAGCAAAAGAAACCATTTTATTTTACTTCTGGGGAATTTTTTTTTTTAAGATAGTTTCACTCTGTCACCCAGGCTAGAGTGCAGTGGCACGATCTTGGCTCACTGTAACCTCCACCTCCTGGGTTCAAGCAATTCTTGTGCCTCAGCCCCTCAAGTAGCTGGCATTATGGCACTCACAACGAGCTAATTTTTGTATTTTTAGTAGAGACAGGGTTTCGCCACATTGGCCAGGCTGGTCTCAAACTCTGGCCTCAAGTGATCCGCCTGCCTCAGCCTCCCAAAGTGCTGGGATTACAGGCGTGAGCCACCGTGCCCGGCCATCAGAAGAAACCATTTTAAAACAGTTTTTTTTTAAAAAGAGTTCATGTTGGGCCTCTGCTTTTCCTAGAGCACCATCCGTGACTCCCCTAAGTCCCCCAACTCAAACTCAAACTCAAAGCTCTTTTGAAATTATAATCACCTCCCTTCCCTAAAAGGCTTTTTGCACACTGCTCTAGGAAATTACGGCTGACCCAGGAGCGAGAAGTCTTCTCTCTGCCACTGACTTGATGGACCCAGCTACTTGGGAGATACTTCTGCATCTGTACAATGGGAGAAGAGGTTGGGGGATATCTGTGACCTCTGAAGTCCATCTCCTGTGGGGAGGGGCTGTGGTCAGAGGGCAAGGGAAAGCTTTCCAGTGTTACCGGATGGAAGGTCTTGACTGTGAGTTGTCCAGGTTCTTACGCACTGAACGAAGAATTGAACAAAACACACAAAGAAACAAAAGAACAAAGCAACGAAAGAAGCAATGAAGGTGATTTACTGAAGTGGAAGTACACTCCACAGAGTGGGAGCAGGCTCGAGCAAGCAGCTCCAGAGCCCCATTGCAATGTTCTTTAGGGTTCTTATTAAACTAAAAGAATTTGGTGGCTGGTGGATTAGAGCTCACGCCTGTAATCCCAGCACTTTGGGAGACCCAGGCGGGTGGATCACTTGAGGCCAGGAGTTCGAGACCAGCCTGGCCAACATGGTAAAACCCAGTCTCTACTAAAAAAAAAAAAAAGAGAGAGAGAAAGAAAGAAAGAAAAAATTAGTTGAGCATGGTGGTGTGCCTGTGGTCCCAGTTACTCTGGAGGCTGAGATGGGAGGATTGCTTGAACCCAGGAGGCAGAGTTTGCAGTGAGTGGAGATCAAGCCACTGCAATCCAGCCTGGGTGATAGGACAAGATTCTGTCTCAAAAACAAAAAAAGAATTTGGTAACACTCCTAGGTACCCTTTAAAGGCCTCCAGTTGGTTATACCCTATGACAGATTGGCCAGCAACTAATCAGAGGCTGAAGTGGATACTTGGCCCGTGGTCAATCAGAGGCTGAAGTGGAAATTTCTGTCTTGTTATCACAGGAGTGAGGATGTGGCCTGTATGCTGCCTAATCTTGCCTAGAAGTGGCTGCACCTGCTGTTCTTTTGCTTATGCCTTGATCCTTGGTGACCCTAATTCCCTATTCTCCTATCTCACCAGGGCCCTTTAACTTGAGGCCAGCTGGGTGAGGTGGGGCTAGCTGGCAGATGGGGCTGGGTGAGCCTCCATACACAACTTGGGCAGAGGAGAGAAGGAAGAAGCTTTATCCACTCAGCTTGTCACCTTTGCACCATCAGAACACCATTGTGGCGGCTGACTCATCTGTCACCAGGTGAGTGTGCCATTAGGAGCACAGGATTAGTCATGGGCGTGGTCATGGGGTGAGATGCCAGGTCGGGCTGGGATAGTGACACGGTGAAGCATGGAGCAGGGCCTAGAGGCACTGGAAGAGAAGAGGAGGCATCCCTCCTCAGGCTTGGAAGGGGGCCTAGGCCTCCCTGATAGGGATGGAGGCCTCTGTCTTTGGGATAATGCTCAAGTGGGTTGCCTCGGGTCTAGAGGTTTGTATTTAGTGGGTGGTCCCCCTTATTCTTCCCTCCATTCTCAAACTCCTGACTTTAGGTGATCCGCCCACCTCAGCCTCCCAAAGTGCTGGGATTACAGGCATGAGCCACTGCTCCCGGCCACTTCCCTCCATTCTCAATGAACATTAAGCAACATGTGGCCATTCAAGTCTAGAGAATTTATCCATGAATCCACCACGAAAGAGGAAGCTGCTAGAAATGGAATTTTGTTGTCCTTGGGGTAATGGAAAATTATTGACCTGCATTCTGGCCCTTAGTTTCCTCATTTGTTAATAAGGATGAGAGCTCCTGCTGGGCCCACCATGCAGGGTGGCTGAGAGGCTCAAAGAGGACATGGGTATGAAGTGGACAAAATGAGGAGCCACAAAAGGTGTTAGAGGAGGGCAGGACACAGTGGTACAGGAGAGCACTCACAGACTTGCTGACTGACCAGAGGCAAGGAGGCCAGAGGGATTTGTTTACCAACTCTCACTTCCCGGATTCTGAGCCGGTAAACCCTGTTTGTTTACAAGTTTTCACGGGCCTCCCTAAGCCCAACGGTGGTCTGGGGTCAGTTCCACTCTAGGGACTGGCCCGGTGCAGCCCCTAGATGGGGGCTGGTTGCAAACAGCTGATGGTCAGAGAAGCCGCTTCAGTCACATATCTGACAGTCAGCTGCCTGGGCCAAAAAACCACACAGCTCCCCAGCCTTGTGGGTTACTCAGGCCCCTTGTCAGCTCTGTGATCATCCTTCACACCTGAAAGCTTGTAACCCGAGAGGCTAGAGGTAGTTGAATAGGACATCCCTCCTGTGCCCTCACCTCACCCCTTTTGCAAAAAAGGAACATTCCATTGCTAGGGATTGAATGTTGTGATTAACATGAAACTCAGAAGAACAGCCAAGGGTTTGTAGAAGCCAAGGAGGAAAAGTGACTCAGCAAAATAAACTTTCACCTGTGGGTACTCTGAACTGCTATTTTGGGACTCTGGGAGCCTGCCTGGTTCTAGTGCCTGTTGCTTGGTATCAAAGCATTGCTCCCTAAATGCCAGCTGGAATATTCATGCCCATTCCTTACTGAAGTAGCATCCTAGGAGGCTTGGGAGGGAGGTCTGATGGATGGGCCTTATCTCTGCCACATCCAGGTAAGAGTCACAAGTGAAGCCTGGGCAACCTGGCAAAACCCCATCTCCACAAAAAGATACAAAATTAGCTGGGTGTGGTGGTGGGCATCTGTAGTCCCAGCTACTCAGGAAGCTGAGGTGGGAGGATAGTCTGAGTCCAGGAGGCTGCAGTGAGCTGTGATCATACCACTGTACCCCAGCCTGGGTGGCAGAGTGAGACCCTGTCCCAAAAAAAAAGAGTCTCAAGTGAGCCAATGTCACAGGAGAAGTAGACATGCCCCCGTAGAGGCATCGGGGATCAGAGGGGACTCTCAAGAAGAGAGTAAATCTTAGGGATTCCTCTCCCCTCCAGGAATACTTCCATCCAGTCAAGAAAGGGCATGGGATTGGCACTAACTTGCCCCGTCAATTTTAACTCCTTCATGGCCCTCATCTGAAAAGCCTCATGTGGTTTGTAGGACCTCTGAGTTTGGGGAGAGTGTGAGAGCTCATTTCATCCAATCACTATCCCATGGAGTTCCCCTCTCTAGGAGAGACTGTTTGAATTCCAACAACAGCCCATCATTTGAAAGGCAACCCACAGCTGTGTTAAAAAGGTCTCTCTTAAATTCAATTGTAATGTCTCTTTGACACCTGACATTTCTATTCACAGGTCCTCTTGAGTCCTGGAGTCATAGATGAAGTCCAATTCACTTTCACTGGGCAGTCTTTGGACTATTTCATGACAGTTAAGCTACTCTGCCCACTTGATTTTTCAAGTTCAGTACTTTCCTAGGGGATTAAAACACAGGGTATTCTCCCTTCTTCATCCATTACACTTCTGCTTAATGGATGAAACCACCATACTGCTCCACTGTTCAGGCAAAGACAGTCCCAGGTCAGAGGTTTTTTTGTTTTGCTTTATGTTTTTTTGAGACAGGGTCTTGCTTTGTTGCCCAGGCTGGAGTGAACTGGCATGACCATGGCTCACTGCAGCCTCTACCTCTCAGGCTCAAGTAATCCTCCTGCCTCAGCCTTCTCAGTAGCTGGGACCACAGGTATGCATCACTATGCCCAGCTTTTTTTTTTTTTTTTGGTAGAGATGAAGTCTTGCTATGTTGCCCAGGCTGGTCTTGAACTTCTGGCTTCAAGTGCTCCCCCAAATTTGGCCTCCCAAAGTGCTGGGGTTACATGTGTGAGCCACTGCACCCAGCCTTCTTCTTTTTCTTTCTTTTTTTTTTTTTTAAGACGGAGTCTTGCTCTGTCACCCAGGCTGGAGAGCAATGGCGTGATCTCAGCTCACTGCAACTTCCGCTTCCCAGGTTCAAGCCATTCTCCTGCCTCAGCCTCCCAAGTAGCTGGGACTACAGGCATGTGACACCATGCCCAGCTAATTTTTGTATTTTAGTAGAGACGGGGTCTCACCATGTTGGCCAGGCTGGTGTTGAACTCCTCACCTCAAGTGATCCACCCGCCTCAGCCTCCCAGAGTGCTGGGATTACAGGTGTGAGCCACTGTGCCTGGCCGCCTTCTTTTTTTTTTTTTTTTTTTTTTTTTTTTGAGACTGATCTCACTCTGTTGTCCAGGCTGGAGTGCAGTGGTGCAATCATAACTCACCACAGCCTTGACCTCATGGACTCGAGCGATCCTGCTGCCTCAGCCTCGCAAAGTGCTGGGAATACAGGCATGAACCACTGCACCTGGCGGAGGTCAGAGTGTCAGAGAAGTGTCAGAGAGGGGAGGGGTGCTGTCTCGGCTCCCCGCTCCTAGCTCTCTACAGTGAGTCCCCATCTCCACCCCCAGGGCCCAGCCAGGCTTTTTGTGCGTAGGCAGCAGTGCCTGCTGTTTCAACAGCTTCATCTTGTGTTTAATCTTCCCCATCATCAGTACCACACATTTTGGTACACATGCTCAACAGTCATTTTGGCATTTTGAGGACACATGTCTGTCCAGATGGTCTCAACTTCAAATAGTCTATCCTGATCTGATGGCCCCATAAGCAGACTATCCTGGGGGATCACTGGCTTCTACCTTGGCTTGGAAAACATGGCCATATGTCATAAAATTGTTGGTGTTGGAATTGGTGTTAGATAGTTCAGGCCTCATGCTCTGTGGTCTTACCCTCCACTCTCGCCTCCTTCTAGGACACTCTCCACGTGACACCTCTTCAGGCACTGAGCTCTACCAGCTCCCAAGTCATTGTGTGCTCTTTCCTGCCTCCACACCTTTGTCTTTGCTGGTCTCTCTGCTTGGAATATCCCCTCTTGCCCCTTCTCCACTAAACCAGTTTGTACTCCGAGATTCAGCTCTGGTGCCCCCTTTCTATAAACCTCCTCCATAATGTGTGGAAGCCTTCTCCTTTTGCCTTCCATTCTGTCTTGGGCAGATCTCTGCACATTTTCTTTATGCCATGCCAGCCACCAGCAGGCAGGTGTTCAGGAAGTGCCTGCTGAGTGGCTGACTAAAAGGCAGGCAGACAGAAAGTGAGACCAAGCACCCAAGCCAGAATCTAACACTTCAGCACAATTGGTTAAGTCCCTGGTGATAACCAATCATTTCCCTTATGTAAGGTTTTGTGTGTGTGAGAGAAAGAGAGAAAAGAGACAATCTTGTGAGTAGGGACCTTGCCCCTTATTTTGTCCAGCCCAGCACTGTCATAAGGAGTGGGCAAAAAGGCCACCCAGTCCCAGGTCATCAGAAGGGTCAAGATATCACTTTTCCAAGGAGGAAGGCAGATTGAGTAAATCCAAGAGGGGCTCCACTGCCACCCGAGTGCCAGAGGATTCAAGGGACTCATGATTCTGAGCCTGGCCCTAAATAGAAGTTGGGGTGGGAAAAAAACTCAGCGTGTTCTCTAAATAGCTTCATGCCCTTGCCATCTGCTGCCAGGCAGTCAGGAAAGAAATCATTACATGGTTTCCTTCAGTAACTGTAAGAGTTGTGTTCTCATACAATGGAGCCCCCAGTCACAAACAAGCTCCCACCTACTTTTCCTCTCTGGGACCCAGAACGGGGCTAGAACTCACCTATTCTGTCCATCACCCAAAGAGGGGCTCCTGGACTCTCAGTTCTCAAAACTGAAGTCCCTGGAATGGAAGAAAGTCAACTTGCTTCTCTCCAGACTGCAATCAATCTGGTTTGGTTTCTGATTAGTAAATCAGGAGGTGGACCTAGTGACTTCAACTCAAACCCAGGGGCTTGGAGAGAACCCCAAGAATGGTGCTGTTACTTTGTAATGTTTACCATCTCTCCAGCTTCTGAGATGTTACTAATCGCATATGAAACAAGACTACAATACCATCAACTTTCGCATTAAATTCCTTTTTTTTTTTTTTTTAAGACAGAGTCTCACTCTGTCACCCAGGCTGGAGTGCAGTGGCGCGATCTCGGCTCACTGCAAGCTCCGCCTCCTGGGTTCACGCCATTCTCCTGTCTCAGCCTCCCGAGTAGCTGGGACTACAGGCGCCCGCCACTATGCCCGGTTAATTTTTTTGTATTTTTAGTAGAGACAGGGTTTCACCGTGTTAGCCAGGATGGTCTCGATCTCCTGACCTTGTGATCCGCCCGCCTCGGCCTCCCAAAGTGCTGGGATTACAGGCGTGAGCCACCGCACCCAGCCTAAATTCCTTTTAATTCAAAAAACCAGGGAACAGGCTGGGCATGGTGGCTCACGCCTGTAATCCCAGCACTCTGGGAGGCTGAGGCAGGTGGATCGCTTGAGATCAGAAGTTCGAGACCAGCTTGGCCAACATAGTGAAACCCCAACTCTACTAAAAAAAAAAAAAAAAAAATTCAAAAATTAGCCGGTTGTGGTGGTGCACGCCTGTAGTCCCAGCTACTTGGGAGGCTGAGGCACAAGAATTGCTTGGGCCCAGGATGCAGCAAGCCAAGGTTGCACCACTGCACTCCAGCCTAGGTGACAGAGCAAGACTGTCTCAAAAAATGAATAAATAAGTTCCTTTTAGCTCAAGAAACCAGGGAATAGGTAGGGCACAGTGGCTCACACCTGTAATCCCAGCACTCTGGGAGGCCAAGGCAGGTAGATCACTTAAGTCAGGAGTTCAAGACCAGCCTGGCCAACAGGGCAAAACCCCATCTCTACTAAAAATACAAAAATTAGCCAGGCATGGTGGTGTACACCTATAGTCTCAGCTACTCAGGAGGTTGAGGCAGGAAGATCACTTGAGCCTGGGAAGCAGAGGTGCGGGGAGTCAAGATCCCACCACTACACCACAGCCTGGGCGACAGAGTGAGACTCTGTATCAAAAAAACAAAAACAACGTACACACACACACACAAACCAGGGAACAAAAATCTCCGTTTTATGCCCCCTCCCCCCATCCCCCAACAAGTGCTTCTCTCTCTTTCATCCTTACCTAACCTCCAGTGATCTTTCACCATGACATCCATATGACATGCTTCATGCAAAGTTTTTTGACTAAAGGAATCTGTTACCCATTATCCCAAACCTCTTCAATACAATCAAGCAAAAAAACTATTCAGTTTCTTTTTATAACATTATCAGCTTGTTTGTAGTAGTATATTGCCATCACTGAAGTCTCAGTGACTTTAATACACATCTTAGGCCAGATGCCATGGCTCATACTGTAATTCTAGCACTTTGGGAGGCCAAGGCAGGAGGACTGCTTGGGGCTAGGAGTTTGAAACCAGTCTGGGCAACATAGCGAGACCCTGTCTCAACAACAAAAAAAATAAAAATATTAACCAGATGTGGTGTGTGTGCCTGCAGTCCCAGCTATTTAGGAGGTTGAGGTGGGCTGATCCCTTTACTCCAGGAGGTTGAGGCCACAGTTAGCTATGATTGCAGCTATGATTGCAGCTGCAGTCCAGCCTGGGTGACAGAGAGTCTGTCTTGGAAAAAAAAAAAAAAATCTCAAATTGTTCTCCATATTGCCCCCAGAATAAAAATCCACATTCCAAGGCAAGGCTTAATTTGTTTACTAAGTAGAAGCAAGAAAAGTGTTGAGCCTTAATGTCTAATTTTAAATAAATTAAGAGGCTTTATAAACATAGGTCTTGACTTTTGTCAATTAACTAAACCCCCAGTTGAACCCTGTATAAGGGACTCTGCAGAAATAGAGCCTATTTTAGGATCTTTGTTTTAGAATCTTTGTTTTTAATCAACAGGCTACTAAACTTTTGTCCCCACCTTTCAATTAGGAGGATGGTGGTCACCACCCAGAGGGCTTCATTTCCATTGTTTCCTAGGAATTTTCCCTATTCCCAACAAAGTGCCTTTCAACTCTGCTGGGAGCTGTGACACCTACATTACTTGTACACTATTAGTTACAAATGTTGGATAGTCTAGTTGATACAAACATCAGATAGTCTAGTTGAAATTATGTGTGTATCTAAATTCAATAAAATGAGCTAAATTAACTGGACCTTATTTTCTTTATTCTTTTTTTTTTTTTTTTTTTTTTTGAGAGAGGGTCTCACTCTGTCTCCCAGGGTGGAGTGCAATGGCACAATCACCATTCACTGTGGCCTTGACCTCCCTGGGTTCAAGTGATCCTCCCAACTCAGCCTCTGGAGTAGCTAAGACTACAGGTACATGTTACCATGCCCAGCTAATTTTTGTGTTCTTTGTAGAGACGAGATCTTGCTATGTTGCCCAGGCTGGTCTCAAACTCTTGGGCTCAAGCAAGGATCCGCCTGCCTTGGCTTCCCAAAAGTGCTGGGATCACAGATGTGAGCCACTATGCCCAGAGATTTTTTTTTTTTTTTTTTTTTTTTTTTTTTTTTTTTTTTGAGACAGAGTTTCTCTCTGTCACCCAGGCTGGAGTGCAGTGGCGTGATCTTGGCTCACTGCAACCTCTGCCCCCGGGGTTCAAGTGATTCTCCTGCCTCAGCCTCCCAAGTAGCTGGGATTACAGGCGTGGGCCACCACACCTGGCTAATTTTTGTATTTTTAGTAGAGATGGGGTTTCACCATGTTGGTCAGGCTGGTCTCAAACTCCTGACTTCAGGTGATCCACCTGCCTTAGCCTCCCAAAGTGCTGGGATTACAGGTGTGAGCCACTGTGCCTGGACCCACAAATTTTTTTTAAGCATTGGTCCCTTCAGTGCATTCACTATTTCTATCTACTTGTTAGTTTCTTTTTTCTTTTTTTTTTTGAGACGGGGTCTCACTGTGTTGCCCAGGCTGGAGTGCAGTGGCACAATCACGGCTTACTGCAGCCTCGAACTCCTGGGCTCAAGCAGTCCTCCCACCTCAGCTTCTGAATAGGACTACAGGTATGTGTCACTATGCCCAGCTAATTTTTTTTATAGAAGCAGGGTCTTGCTATGTTGCCAAGGCTGATCTCGAACTCCTGGCCTCAAGCAGTCCTCCTGCCTCGGCCTCCCAAAGTGCTGGGATTGCAGGTATGAGCCATTGCTCCCAGCCTCTACTTGTTAGTTTCAACTCAACAAATATATATATATATATTTTTTTGGAGACGGAGTTTCACTCTTGTTGCCCAGGGTGGAGTGCAATGGCGCGATCTCAGTTCACTGCAACCTCCACCTCCCGGGTTCAAGCAATTCTCCTGCCTCAGCCTCCTGAGTAGCTGGGATTACAGGCATGTGCCACCATGCCTGGCTAATTTTGAATTTGTAGTAGAGACGGGATTTCTCCATGTTGGTCAGGCTGGTCTCGAACTCCCGACCTCAGCTGATCTGCCCACCTCGGCTTCCCAAAGTGCTGGGATTACAAGGCGTGAGCCACCGTGCCCGGCTCCATAGGTAAATATTCTGATAGGCCCAACTGTAATAGAGCTGTGATGGATTATACTGAAGAGCTAGCACAAAGCTTGTCATTGCTGTACATTGTTAGTGGGAAGGTTAAAGGGATGGCTATAGAAAGGTTTTATATTTAGATTTAAATCTCTAACTTGATAATCCTTACCAAAATCATTACTTCTTTTTTGTTTCACTGATTGGCTAAGGATCATTTATTATTAGCAGTATTGTTATATCAATATTTCTCCCAAATGAAAAATTTAGACTTCAGCATCAGAAAAAGCTGAGAGGTCAGGCGTGGTGGCTGATGCCTGTAATCCCAGCACTTTGGGAGGCTAAAGTGGGAGGATACCTTCAGCCAGGAGTTCAAGACCAGCCTGGGCAACATAATGAGACACTGTCCCCACAAAAAAAAAAAAAAAAAAAAAAAAAAAAAAGGGAAGAAAGGGAAAGGAAGGGGAAAGGGAAGGAAAGGAAAAAAAAAAAAAGAAAAAGAAGGCTGGGTGCAGTGGCTCATGCCTGTAATCTCAGCACTTTGGGAGGCCGAGGAGGGCAGATCACCTGAAGTCAGGAGTTCAAGATCAGCCTGGCCAACATGGTGAAACCCCATCTCTACTAAAAATACAAAAAATTAGCCGAGCATGGTGGCATGTGCTTATAATCCCAGCTACTCAGGAGGCTGAGATAGGAGAACCACTTGAAGCTGGGAGGCAGAGGTTGCAGTGAGCAGAGATGGCGCCACTACACTCCAGCCTGGGCAACAAGAGCAAAACTCCATCTCAAAAAAAAAAAAAAAAAAAAAAAAAAAAAGCCGGATGTGATGGCTCACGCCTGTAATCCTAGCACTTTGGACTTTGGGAGGCCGAGGTGGGTGGATCACGAGGTCAAGAGATCGAGACCATCCTGGCCAACATGGTGAAACCCCGTCTCTACTAAAAATATAAAAATTAGCTGGGCGTGGTGGCACGTGCCTGTAGTCCCAGCTACTCGGGAAGCTGAGGCAGGAGAATCACTTGAACCTGGGAGGCGGACATTGCAGTAAGCCAAGATCGTGCCACTGCACTCCAGCCTGGGCAACAAGAGCGAAACTTCATCTCAAAACAAAAGAGAAGAGAGAAAGAGGGAGGGAGAGAGAGAGAAGAAAGAAAAAAGAAAGAGAGAGAGTATGTAAAAAAGAAAAGAAAAAAACTGAGAGGCTTGTTAAAGAGTCAGATTCCTGCCTCCCACTTCCACCCCCAGATCTAGTGAATCACAATCTCTGGTAGGAATTTTTTTAAGCGTGTGTGTGTGTGTGTGTGTGTGTGTGTGTTTTAAAGCTCTCCAGGAGATTCTGTGCATACTAGAGAAACTTAATATAGATAAAATGGTTGTCTTATTTTTCACATTTCAACTGAGTCGACATTGTGTACTACTTCAGTTTGTCCATAAGTTGTTTTCAGTTTTACCATGCAAATTAGGCCTTGGTACTTGAGCAAAGGTACCTTAGAATCCTTGCACTAAGAAAAAGTTCTACAATCTTTGCAATTTTCAAAGTCCAAGAAATTTCTAACAAACAAAATGAAAATTATGGTTGAATAATAAAAATGGAACTTGACACTAGAGTTCTTCAAGACCAGATTAGTATTTTATTTTTCCCTTCCTAACACTCAAATTCATGGCAGGTGAAAAGATAATAGAACATAATCAAACTAACATATAAACACAATTCAAAAACGTTTAACCATCTATTATAGCTCTTTGTTGTAAAACACACAAAGTTAAACAGAAACATCTTTATATAAATTATCCTTAATAATCTGTATACACTGTAAAACAATTGAAAATTCACACCAAGATCCTAGTGCAAGCAGTGGTGTACAAAAGTGCAAACAAGGTTAGTGATTAACAACTTACCATCAATATACCACTTCAACATACTTTACATTCAGCCAAATACTGAAGGTTTCACCATGGAAAAACACTTTTATCACTTTTAAAGTAACTTGACTATGTTCACCCTGAGTGCTCTTGCCTCAGTATGGCAACTGATTATGAGTTCAGGTTAAGAGCAACACCAGGGAATACAGAAACCCACGTTAAGTTGGCCATTCTGACATGAATCTATACTTGAAAATGAAAACAATCCCAAAGAAAACCTGTATGTCAAAAACAGAACTGTTCCTGCCTTTCACCCCAAAATATTTAAAACTAAATCTAAGCCACTTTTAAAATGCATGCTGGCCGGGCGCAGTGGTTCACGCCTATAATCTAGCACTTTGGGAGGCTGAGGCAGGTGGATCACGTGAGGTCAGAAGTTCGACAAGCCTGGACAACATGGTGAAACCCTGTCTCTACTAACAATACAAATATTAGCCAGCTGTGGTGGCGCACGCCTGTAATCCAAGCTACTTGGAAGGTTGAGGCAGGAGAATCACTTGAAGCTGGGAGGTGGAGGTTGCAGTGAGTGGAGATCACACCACTGCACTCCAGCCTGGGTGACAAAGCAAGACTCCATCTCAAACAAACAAACAAAAAAGTATGCTGAAGAAGAATCCATCTACTCCAGTGCAGCTTTTCCAAAAATAGTTCTGTGTAAACTCAGTTTTCTATTTCTGCCCTAAAATCTATTTGGGGCAGGGGACACACCTGAAACAAAGTTGGCTTTGGATAACTTCGCTTACTTTCCTTTGAATACTTTGGATTCTGTTTAAAAGTATGATGAAAGCCGTGAACAACAATTAGTGCCATTAAATATATTAGCTATTTAATGCTCTAAATTATAAGGACAAAAATTAATTGGTTCAGAACTGCCTCTTTAATAGACTCTGTGGCTTCCCTTGACACTGGAGGATCTTTAAAATCCAGGTGTTGGGTGGGGATTTGTGAGGGGGAATGGTAACAGGGTTCAGAAGTGGAAACACGGTTTTAACAAAATTCCAGTCACTTTATACAGAGGCAGAGTCACATATCCCAAGAGCTGGTTCTTCTTTTATTTGGTTAAAAAGCACTAACTTGAATTTCAAAAGAAGGATAATAATGGAAATGACCGGAAGCTTCAACATGTAGTTTTAGGCTGGGCACAGTGGCTCATGTGTATAATCCCAGCACTTTGGGAGGCCGAGGCGAGTGGATCACTTAAGATCAGGAGCTCGAGACCAGCCTGGCCAAATAATGAAACCCTGTCTCTACTAAAAATACAAAAATTAACTGGGCATGGTGTGGTGCACCTGTAATCCCAGCTACTCGGGATGGTGAGGCACGAGAATCGCTTGAACCTGGGAAGCAGAGGTTGCAGTGAGCCAAGATCGCACCACTGCACTCCAGCCTGGGCAACAGAGTGAGACTTCATCTCAAAAAAAAAAGAAAAGAAAAGAAAAAACAAACATGCAGTTTTGATAATTTAGTCCTTAATTGAAGCACACTGTTTTTCTAAACTCTTATATTTATAGCAAAGCCTCTGGCTTTTAATGTAGGCTATATTTTATTCACTATTAATTTTGCATTAAGAAACTTATGTTTGCTAATTTCTATTTTTTCATTGTTTCTTGAAGATTTTTTAATGCTTCAACTTTTTACATATGTTTAAAATGATTTAAACAATATGCTCCAAATTAAATGAACAGAAGGAATTTTGAGAGATTTCCCCTTATGTAGCTATTCTCAGTGCACTCTGGTCAAATTTTACTTGGCAATAAATCCTTGCAAACGTCAGTCATGTAAGTGACTAACAAGACTGAAATACCACATTGAGTCACATACCAAATACAGTTTCAGAAAATGTAAACCTTTCCCCTGAAACTCTCCAATCATGTTAACTAGAACTATACTGTTTCTAATGATGGAACCTGTGAAATGCTGGGTTTTGAATGTAGTTAATAAAATAATTTTCTAGAATGCAAGAAACACTATTATCACAGTTATCACCCTATTTTAATGATTTACAAGTAGTTTATGCGCTTTCCATCACTATAAAGTATGGGCCAGTTGAAAATTGGCCGGGCATGGCGGCTCACGCCTGTAATCCCAGCACTTTGGGAGGCTGAGGTGGGCAGATCACGAGGTCAGGAGTTCGAGACCAGCCTGGCCAACATAGTGAAACCCCATCTCTACTAAAAATACAAAAATTAGCCGGGCATGGTGGTGCGCGCCTGTAGTCCCAGCTACTCAGGAGGCTGAGGCAGGAGAATCACTTGAACCCCGGAGGTGGAGGTTGCAGTAAGCAGAGATTGTGCCACTGCACTCTAGCCTGGGCAACAAAGCAAGACTCCATCTCAAAAAAAACAAAAAACAAAAAAACAAAAAACAAAAACAAAAGATGAGCCGGTTGAAAACTAAGAAAGAAACAACGTTCTGCTTTTATGCTATAAACCACAAAAAATTTGTATATGGATCCAGGTACACAAAACTAAAATTTAGGTCTGCACAGGCAGTATCTGTGTTCATATATCTTTGGCACTCATACAAAGATACTGGTTTAAACCAACAGTGAATAATTTTTTTTCATATACTTTAGGAAATGTCTGTTCTCCAATTAAAAAATGCTATAATCTCCATTCTAAAAATTCACTGAGATAAACTGAAATCTATCAATTTAACCAGCTGTGATCCAAAAGTGTAATTAACGGCAGTCAGTGAAACAGGTATGGGATCTCTTTAAAAGTGTAAAAGTGGGTTGAGACCTTATATTTTTACATTTCAGACTTTAGATTTTAAAAAATCTTTTGGACAGTGCCTGATTTGTATGTATACCACAGTGTTAACTACGCCCTAGCATCTTGCAGTGTGGGACACACAATTAGCCTATGTCCCCAGTACTAGTATTTACCTGGGAAATACTCCATGGATGCACACATTCACACAGGCACATGCAGAGTTGTCTTTCCTCTGTGCTTCTACTGTTTCTTGCCATCCTCTTAATTTGGTTCTCTTGAAAAAGAGCAGTACCCAGTGCATATACTCTGGAGAGGTTCTCAAAGCTGGACAGTAAGTCCTCTGGCTCAGGAACTCTGCCCCCTAAAGCTGGGAGGAAAGCTGGTTGCTCCTAAACATGGCTTCCTTTCTAGAGGCTCGGGCCATAAAAATCTTATGTCTTTGGGAAAATATCCACAGTTTAGCTGTGGTCCACAAAGTGACTTTGTTTCTTTGATCCTAGTGTTACAATTAGAATGAGGGTTCTGGAGCAAGATATATTACACCAGAAAGCATTTTTCCTGGCTAGAGAAACCAGTATGTTTTTTTTTCATTTATACCCATTTACAACACAAATAATTAGCTTCTTCAGTATCATAATAGATACTCTAGGAAATACTTGAAGAAAGGCAGGTCCCTGAAGGTACAGATAACATGAACAAGAGGCAGTTATTTTTAATAAGGCTTAGTTCTATTTAGTCAGAACTTAAGGAGTACTTTAAACCTATCTGGAAGAAGAAATCAATAGGCTGCAATGTCATGTTCTACTTTTCCCATAGTGTTACTGAGGTTTCCAGGAAGGGAGGGAGCACTTTTGTTTTCATTTAGAAAGAAGATGAAAGTGAAAACAGAATAGTCAGATTACTGAAACCAAATGTCATCTTAAGAAGCGACCTTGTCAGCTTAGCTAAATAGTAATTCCTTCCAGTCATATTCCTCAATCCTTATCTGCTTCATAGGTTATATTATCAATGACAAAAAGGACTGTAACTCTGACATGGACAATGGCTACAGAAAACACTAATTTTTGATATTAAAATTATTCTTGATGGAATTGGTTAAATATACTATAAAACTTGGCTTATAATCAGGATAAATCTTAAACTTGAGGGTCTTTAAAAATACATTTTTGGCACTTACCTTTCATCTTATATTACTAATGATGGGAATCTCAAACATATAAAAAAAGAATTCAGTTTCTTAGGAAATTATAATGCTTTTGAAAAACTAAAATTTTCTTAGTAAGCCTAGCAATGAGGCTTGCAGGCCCTATCACATGGCAAGCATAATATCTAAAAACAAAAGTCAGGTCAGGCATGGTAGCTCACGCCTATAATCCCAGAACTTTGGGAGGCCAAGGCGGGCAGATCACTTGAGGTCAGGAGTTTGAGACCAGCCTGGACAACATGGTGAAACCCCGTCTCTAAAACAAAATGAAACAGAGCAAAAAAAAAAAAAAAAAAAAAGCCCAACAAACAAAAAGTCTTTGTTGTATGGAGTAAGAACTACCTGAGAGCAAATAAGAAAAAAGAAAATTGGAAACAAGCACTTGTTTTCTTCTACCAGGATATAAAATATGCCAAAGAATACAAAAGAGCTATAGGATAGGAACAAAATCTCCACATATCTCAGACTGACACAGAACAAGCTGTTTTATTCCTCAGATATACATGTCTCTACAATGAAACTGCACACAAGGTCCTACTTATTGCTTGCCCCAGAGAGTACTGTTAAATGTACAGAGACTGGGAATATATCTAAATGTGGAGACACTGGTGCCTGTCATTGCTTTTGGGGAAGAGGCACAGATTACCCCATTGGGCACCAATAAGACTGGAGCACTTCAGAATTAGACAGCTGGGATGGAACTATAGAGCCTACCAAACTGAGAATCAACCTTGTGTACCATAAATGTGCTTTTCTTCAGAAGGCCAATCCCACAGGGACTAGGACACAGACCCCATCAGCAATGGTAGTGGCTGCATTACTAATAAAAATACACATGATTCAGGGATACATGGTATCAGGTGCAACTGACCACAACCATCTCATGGTAAATACCTAAGCCTTGAGAGCCTTAAACGCTATTCTAAATATTCTGAAGGAATCTCCTTTCCCAACAACCACTTCATATGCCTAATATTAAATACTCAAATTTTCAGAGTATACTAGCTAGATAAGACACATTTAAATGAAACATTTGCCCAACAAGGATGCCAAACATTAGAGTTTGTTTTATTGCATGACGTTTGCATAAGAAAAAAAGTTATTGAAAACTGTAAGGCATCATGCAATCATTGAATAAGCTAATTATTAACTGTACACTTAAGATAGGTGGACATATAATCTAAAATTTAAAAACTAGTTCCAGAAAAGTACATAAAAAATTTAACATGATGAGCTTTTAAATATGGTTTATAGTTTCATGTTGTTAAAAAGTGCTTCAAATGTACTGCTGGAAAGTTGCTCTTTACAAATGGCGCTGGGGTGATGTCAGATTATAAACTGTAAAAACCAAGTACTTTTATGGAATTAGAAAGCTAACATTGTGATACTCAAACTTACTTGAATCAGTTTTCAATTCTCATTCAAATTAAGTTGATTTAATATTAATAATCTAAAAAACATCTGTTTTATAACCAGCAAAAGTCTATTGAATTCAAGTTATGCATGTTGAGCAATCAAATCTCTGAGTAAGCCTGAACGTTGAGACCTGGAACCAATGTGAGTTTGTGTTAATCAATGTACTGTGCCATCCAGCGGAAGCCTTCTCCGTAACCTTGTCTTTTGAGCACACTACACATGAAAACTTCTAAGGGTCGGGCATTCAGTTCTTTCAGAGATATACTCCCCTAGAATAGAAGAGAGACATTTCGTTGGAATTTTATAAAATTAATAAAGCCCCACATCCCAGCAGAATTATAGGTTCTATTTTAGAACAAAGAATGGCTGTGATAAATCCATGACTGTGATAAAGTCGTGGCTGCTTGGCATCCAAGCCCCATGAACACACAAGAAGCCTCCTTCTCTCACTCTACCTTAGGGCAGGATGGCCACTCAGTGGGAAAGAGGTTAGCTTGCAAGATACCCAAGAATAAAAATAATCTGACTTAGAAAAAAATCCAAACTGGCTTCACTAATATTAAAGACAAACATTCCCTGAGAAGGTTTATGACCAAACAAAGCATTTCCTAAAATTAATATCAAGCTAATTTATAAAAAAGAAGACAGAAAACAGACCAAAGTCTACTTTGTCTGACTTAAGAGCCTCCTGCGGACCGGGCGTGGTGGCTCATGCCTGTAATCTCAGCACTCTGGGAGGCCAAGGCGGGCGGATCACCTGAGGTCAGGAGTTCGAGACCAGACTGACCAACATGGAGAAACCCCGTCTCTACCAAAAATACAAAATTAGCTGGGCGTGCTGGCACACGCCTGTAATCCCAGCTACCAGGGAGGCTGAGGCAGGAGAATCGCTTGAACCTGGGAGGCAGAGGTTGCAATGAGCCGAGATTGCACCATTGTACTCCAGCCTGGGCAACAAGAGCAAAACTCCATCTCAAAAAAAAAAAAAAAGAGCCTCCTGCTATATGCTGCAGTATTTCTCCACCCTGAAATAGTATATGTAAACTAAAAAAATTTTGTAAATCTCTGGGGTTCTTCCACTGTTTATCTGGATTTTTTCAATGCTGATGTTTCCCCCAAAATAAATCCTAGGAAAAGTGAATACCAAAACAATCCGTCTTAAAGCTTATTATAAAGTATATGTTCAGAAAACCGTAAAATATTCCAAGTTTATGTCTTATTTATCTCTGGTAAACTCAGGGCCTAAACACACTACTGGTATACTTAAACACTCAAATATATCGTTTGGTGGCTAATTCTGAAAATGTATGATAAATAACTTTGAAAGCTTTAATTTAGTTTCCTATAAGCACAAGCCTTAGGCATAACTCATCCTTGACATTTTTGTTGTCACCAAGAAAATGTTTCATTCCATGGTAGAAAGAAATGAGGACATTAAAAAGACCCACAGGTATAAATGACAGTTTTCTTTAAGAAAATGATAATGGGCTTGTATAGTTGGACAATAGTAATTTAAGAAGACATTTGTACTGTAGAATTAAACACACCCATCATAATTTTTTTTTTTTTTTTACCTTTCCTGTTGTCTGACCATATAAACCAAACATCTCTCGCAACCTCTCTTCACTGATGGCTTCAGGTCTGTCGATCTTATTCCCAAGAATCAGTATAGGCACATTAGCAATGGTTTCATCTGTCATTAGTGACTGAAAAAAACAAAACAATACAAAACAAGAGTTGATATGAAACCATCCAAAGAGCTTATTTTGATATGATAAAACAATAAAGGACTCATTTTCTACCATATCATGTCATACCAACGTTCTTTGTCAAACTTTCCCCACATTTTAAAGTGACCTCAATGAAACCATAAGCTAAATTCTTCTGTCTTCCTAAGGCTCTTCCTGTAAATGTTTACTCTGCTCATCCTTTAAAGGAGTGACATAGAACGTATAGAGCCAGCACCTTAGAAGTGAACAGATGTGGTTTCACTTCTGGCTCTACTGCTTTTGAGATGTGACTTTGGGCAAGTTAGCCTGACTGAAGCTCTAGAGAGAATTAGGAACAGTAGCATCCACCCTATGAAATTGAGAATTAAATCAAGTAATACGCACAGTCTCTGGAACAAAGTAGGAACTCAGGCATTCTCTGTCCTTGTTTTGTAACCATAGAACCTACCTGGACTTTTCCACACGTACAAGTATTTGTTTGCCTGCTCTGGGCAGAGCCATGGTATGATCAACCTTCAATCAAATCATGGACCTGCTTACTCTGTGGCCCCAGATCTGGTGCTGACCTTGCCTGCTGCTGTTGGGCCCCTTTACAAAATATCTGACCTGGGATACTGGAGGGGAGGTAGCTACATATGCCTCTGCTCACTCCTGGGAGTAGTGTCAAAGATGGCATGTCCTATCATTTCCAGGCTGTGGCTTAAGATATAGCATCTTAGCATGACCAGGGACTCAAGATCAACCCACTCCAGGAATATAACAGACATGAAATATACTAAAAGGGTACATTCTGTACAGGGTGAGCTTCTTAAGTCTTCATAAAAGATGTCTGTGTTAGTACTTCCTCAATAGCTACAATTACTCAGTTACTCCCTCTGCATTCTAAGTAATCACTACTTAAAGCAATCACTGAGCTCAACAAATTGCCAAGAGTTTCATCAGAGACTGCAGAAAAGCTGCACTCTGATACCTGTATCTCTGACCTACTTCTGCAGGCTTACCAGAGTGATTTGACTATATTTAGTTTCAGTTATTTAACTTACATCAAGTTCTTCTTTTGACTCTAACAGCCTTTCGTGGTCTGCACAATCCACCAGAAATACAATGCCATTGATAGCAGGAAGGTAGTTTTTCCACACTCTTCGAGCTAACAAAAACAATCAGGGGTTAGAGTTTACTTGTTGGTCAAACCCAGCAGATGGTTTAAGCAAAGAGTCCAACCAGATATCAAGTGCGGTAATCCCTTAGCTGCTGGTACTTCACAATATATTCAAGTTAATCTTTTACCCAGTGGTGCCAAATTCTTCTGAGAATAACTAAGAGGGAATTTCAGGCTTTCCTTGACTGTGGGCAAGTCAAATACTTTAGTCTCTTCCAATTATCATATGTAAGGAGTAGAATATTTAAAATAAAAATAAAAATAAAAAAAAATACACGTTAAGTTCATTGGAGGACTGCTACTAGATCTAAAATATAAGCAGTAAAAAAACTACATATATGTGATTATATATACATAAAATGTGTGTATTTATATTACATATATATGCAGTGTTCATTTTTTGACATTTCTAGTTATCAGATTTTTTTTGCCAGTGATAAATTTGGAATGAGTGACAGAAGGAAATTAATATCAGGTACAAGCTTGTTAAAATAATAAGGCCGGGTGTGGTGGCTCACACTTGTAATCCCAGCACTTTGGAAGGCCAAGGCAGGTGGATTGCTTGAGCTCAGGAGTTCAAGACCAGCCTGGACAACATAGTGAAACCTCATCTCTACAAAAAAACACAAAAAATTAGCCAAGCCGGACACAGTGGCTCATGCCTGTAATCCCAGCACTTTGGGAGGCTGAGGCAGGTGGATCACCTGAGGTCAGGAGTTGGAGACCAACCTGGCCAACATAGTGAAACCCTGTGTCTCTACTAAAAATACAAAAATTAGCCAGGCTTGGAGAATCACCTGAACCCGGGAGGTGGAGGTGGCAGTGAGCCGAGATCATGCCACTGCACTCCAGCCTGGGTGACAGAGAGAGACTCCGTCTCAAAAAAAAAAAAAAAAAAAAAAAAAAATTAGAAAGTGTGGTGGTGTGTGCCTGCCCAGCTACTTGGGAGGCTGAGGTGGGAGGATGGAGCCCAGGAGGCAGAGGCTGCAGTAAGCCAAGATCATGCCACTGCACTCCAGCCTGGGAGACAGAACCAGACTCTGTTTCAAAAAAAATAATTAAAAAAAAACCAAAACAAAATTGTTTTACTCAGAAAAGAAGCTCAAATGTTAATAATTAACTGAAGTCTATGAAATCATAAGAGTAATTTTTTCCATAACATAACTTTCTTCACTGACTTGAGTTTTATGACATACCTTTTTTTTTTTTTTTTAAAGAGACAGGGTCTTGCTCTGTCATCCAGGCTAGTTCACTGCAACCTCAGACTCTTGAGCTCAAGTCATAGTCCCATCTCAGCCTCCTGAGTAGGTAGGACTATCAGTGTCTATCACTATGCCCCATTAATTGTTAAATTCTGTGTAGAGACAGGGTCTTGCTATGTTGCAAGGCTGGTCTTGAACTCCTGGCTTCAAGTGATCCTCCCAACCTCAGCCTCTCAAAGCACTGGGATTATAGGCCTGAGACCCCACACCCAGCCATTATGACATATCTTGAAACAACATAGAAATGAAGTCTCAGACAAATTCCATTAGATTCCAATTCTAATCATCGTATTCCAGAAATTATTTTGTGTATATGCCAGACAATTACATGTCTCAAATGTGCTTTCACTAGCCAGAACCATTTACAATCTTTTCAACTATATGTCGCATCAGGTTTTTAGAATGCCCACCAATTCGGTAATATTGGTTAGTTATGACTTACTATGAGGTAGATGTTGCCAAGTACTTTTGGGGATATAAAAAATGAACAGGCCAGGTGTGGTGGCTCACACCTGTAATCCCAGCACTTTGGGAAATTGAGGTAGGAGGATTGCTTGAGGCCAGGACTTCAAAATCAGCCTGGGCAAGATTGTGAGACCCCATCTCTACAAAAAAAATTTTTTTTAATTAAAACAAAACAAAAAACAGGATTTTAGTCCCCGCAAGTTTAATATAAGAGATAAGGCAGTCTTTCCAAACTTGTTGTAGACATGTACACAAATATACTAAGTGCTATGAAGTATAGCTGAGAGCACTCCAACTGAGAATGGCTTCCCAAGGGAGGTAGCAGGGCATACGCTGGGGCCTAAAGGGGTTACTCATGTGCGGATGGGGATGGCATGAACAAAAGCACAGAGGAAAACACCAAGAAGGTCTGATTTGGTTGAAGCAAAAAGAACGGGAAGGGGAATAGAGGGAAATAAAAGAAAAGTAGGCCAGATGTGGTGGCTCACACCTATAATCCCAACTTTTGGGAGACTGAGATGAGAGGATTGCTTGAGCCCAGGAGTTGGAGACAAGCCTGGGCAACATAGTGAGTGAGACCCTGTCTCTATAAGATAATTTTTAAAAGCCCAGAAAAGTAAACTGGGACCAGATCATAGAGATCCTGAATGCCAGGTTAATGAGTTTGGCCTTTATTTTGTAAGTAATGAGTTAGCCACTGAAGGTTTTTTTGTTTTGTTTTGTTTTGTTTTTGTTTTACAGAGCAGTAACATGTTCAAAACATGATTATGACAGTGAGAGGTAGATTGAAGTAGAGAGAATGGAAGTTAATTTTACTCATACACTTTACCACCAAAAGCAATTCTCATTTGAATTGGCCAGAAGTATCATGAAAATCACCCTTTGCTTTTAAAGTATTTATCGGGGAGTAATAATCCCTAAATTTTAAATCTACTCTGGCCTTGCGTGACTAGAATGAGATTTCATGCACTAGAACTAATGGCCACATTTTTGTTAAGTTAAAATAAAACAAAGTGACTGTAAGAGTAAGAGAATCTTACCTTGAACGTGGCGAAATCCCATCTCTACTAAGAATACAAAAATCAGCTGGGCGCGGTGGCACATGCCTGTAATCCCAGCTATTGGGGAGGCTGAGGCATGAGGATTGCTTGAACCCAGGAGGCAGAGGTTGCAGTGAGCTGAGATTGCACCACTGCACTCCAGCCTGGGAGACAGAGTGAGCCTGTCTAAAAAAAAAAAAAAAAAAAAAAAAAAAAAAAAAAAAAAAAGAATCTTACCTTGAACATGTCCACCCAGATCAAAAGTTGTAAACGTCATGCCAGCAATGGTCAGTTCTTCGGAAGCTAAATAAGATTTTAAAATATTTTTACATGAAAATTAGAAACCCATTAATCGTGTAAAAAGTAAAGTAGAGGTTCCTTTTCAAAGACTTTCCTCCCCATCTAATTAAGAATAAATAGTAACTTCTCTTAGAAGCAAAATTGATTCAAAGACCCGTGCTAACATTCTTAAATATCTGCCAGCCGTAATAAAGAAATCAATGTACTTTATGTTCTTAGCTCCCACAATTTAGCCTAAATATTTGCCCTGGCATACTTACACTGGTCCAAGCAAGCATTAGGTCATAGCCTGTTCCTCTTCCTTATTTGAAGGTGTTTTTACCTTTCTCAGCATTCCACAAGTTACTTCCTCCTTCCTTTGTTCTCCTCTGCCTTTGCCTCTTTTAAAAAGTTCTAAGTTGCTAGCCAATCAGGACAAATACAGAATGTGAGGTCCCATTCCAGCCAATGGAAACCGGACACAGCAGTAGGGTGGACGCATCAGATTATAAATGACCCTGTCTCCTTTGTTCGGTGTACTCTTGTGGCAAAACTGCTGGCAAGTGTACCCTTTCTGCAGAAAGTAAAAATGGCCTTGCTGAGGAAATTAAATTTATGTTCAAGTGCTATCCTTTACAGCACCAGGGAACAAGCATTTCTAACAATAGCTTATATTTACTACTTAATGTTTGATTTACTTTTATTGCAAATAAGGTCAAATCAAACATTTACAAACTGGTACAATAATACTTTTTTGTAATTAGATATACACCAATTCATACTGACAATATAACAAATAATTGTAATATTCAGTTCTAGTATTCTACTCACCACAAATCCAACATTTATTTTTCCTTCTCTATTCTTCCTGCTGAAAATGTTAATCTCTTCAGACAATTATTTGCTATGAATTCAAATAACTGCTCCAATCTAATAATTGTTCATATAATTCATCTTAAATGATACAGGTGAAATAATTTTCTCTTATGGCTGACATAAGACAGTCTTTAATTACAAAAACAATTACCATAAAAAATTGTGGCCATTATTTCCATAACTATCTTTCTTTCTCCTCCCTTCCACTTCTGGGACTTCAGTTGCAGGTTTGTTAGACTGCCTGATGTTGTCTCACCAGTCATTGAGGCTCTGTTTATTTTGCTTTCAGTCACTTTTCTCTCTGTGCTTCATTCTGGAGTTTCTGTTGCATTGAGTTAAGTTTAGTGGTCTTTCTTTCTGCAGTACTGGCACTATCTAATTTACTATTAATCCTATCCAGTGAAATTTCCATTTCAGGCTGGGCATGGTAGCTCACACCTGTAAGCCCAGACTTTGGGAGGCCAAGGTGGGAGAATCACTTGAGCCCAGGAGTTCGAGACCAGCCTGGGCAACCCAGGGAGACCCTGTCTCTATTAAAAAAAAGAAAGAAAGAAAAAAAAGAAATTTTCATTTCAAATACTGTATTTTTCATTTCTAGAAGTTTCATTTGATTCTGTGTTATATCTTCCATTTCTTTCCTCATGTTTGTGTTTTCCTTTAAATCCCTGAGCACATTCATAACGATTGTCTTATGTCTTAATCTGCTAATTCCATCATCTTTGTCACACTTGTGTCTGTTTCTACTGACTGAATCACTTTCCTGTTTCTTTGCATGTCTAGTAATTTCATATTGAGTGCTGGATTTTGTTGTAGTCTTTTGAAGAAGGTTGAATTTTGTTCTGACAGTTCACTTGCTTACAGATCAGTTTTTAACATTTGTTAGAAGGCTAAATGGGATTAAACAACAATTCCTGGCCCCATGAGAGCTCTAGTAATTATTTGGCTAACAGCATTCTTACAATTGTTCTTTGACTAGCCTTTTGGAGCTTTACCCATTGCATGCACAGATTGGTATTCAGCTATGTAAATTTCTAGAGTCCTTTCTCTCCAGAGGTCCCTCCTCTCCGGTACTCCCTCCTCTCTGTCCTAGCAAAAAAATTCTAGTCCTGTTGGCCTTTCCAAATTCTGGTCTACATCTCCTCAACTCAGCAAGACTATTGGACTATGTTTGGGTGTCCTCTCTTTGCACCATGGTCTGAAAATTACCTCTTGGCATAAAACCAAAATAGAGTTGTTTCCTTTCTCTCAGGAATCACAGTCCTGTGGTAGCTGTTGCCCAATGTCTGAAAACAGTTGTAGCATCTTTTTTTGTCCGGTTTTCTAGTTGTGTACAGTGGGAGGGTAATTCCAGAACCAGTACTCACTTATGGCCAAAAGCACAAGTGCCCCATAATGACAACATAAGTTTTAGTGTAGCTACTTTAGCCCAGAGTTTTTATCTTCTTAAGAAATTCTGGGGGCCGGGCGCGGTGGCTCACGCCTGTAATCCCAGCACTTTGGGAGGCCGAGATGGGCAGATCACGAGGTCAGGAGATCGAGACCATCCTGGCTAACGAGGTGAAACCCCGTCTCTACTAAAAATACAAAAAATTAGCTGGGTGCAGCGGCAGGTGCCTGAAATCCCAGCTACCAGGGAGGCTGAGGCAGGAGAATCGCTTGAACCCTGGCGGCAGAGGTTGCAATGAGCCGAGATTGCCCCACTGCACTCCAGCCTGGGGAACAGAGCGAGACTCCATCTCAAAAAAAAAAAAAAAAAATTACCCAGGCATGGTGGCAGGTGCCTGTAATCCCAGCTACTCAGGAGGCTGAGGCAGGAGAATCACTTGAACCCAGGAGGCGGAGGTTGCAGTGAGCCGAGATTGCGCCATTGCACTCCAGCCTGGGCAACAGAGAGAGATTCTGTCTGAAAATAAGAAGAAATTCTGGGCCGGGGGCGGTGGCTCACGCCTGTAATCCCAGCACTTTGGGAGGCTGAGGCGGGTGGGTCACGAGGTCAGGAGATCGAGACCATCCTGGCTAACACGGTGAAACCCCGTCTCTACTAAAAAAATACAAAAAATTAGCTGGGCGTGGTGGCAGGCGCCTGTAGTCCCAGCTACTCAGGAGGCTGAGGCAGGAGAATGGCATGAACGCGGGAGGCGGAGCTTGCAGTGAGCCGAGATTGCACCACTGCACTCTAGCCTGGGCGACAGAGCAAGACTCCGTCTCAAAAAATAACAATAATAAATAAAGAAATTCTGTATGTAGGCCAGGTGCAGTGGCTCATGCCTCTAATCCCAGCACTTCGGGAGGCCGAGGCGGGTGGATCACTTGAGACATCAGGAGTTCTGAGACCAGCCTGGCCAATGTGGTGAAACCCCGTCTCTACTAAAAATACAAAAATTAGCCAGGCGTGGTGGCAGATGCCTGTAATCCTAGCTACTAGGGAAGCTGAGACAGGAGAATGTGGCAGGCGGAGGTTGCAGTGAGCCGAGACTGGCCACTGCACTCCAGCCTGGGCAACAGAGCGAGACTCCATCTCGGAAAAAAAAAAAAAAAAAAAAGGGCAGGGCACACGGTGGCTCATGCCTGTAATCCCAGCACTTTGGAAGGCCGAGGGGGGCGGATCACCTGAGGTGAGGAGTTCGAGACCATCCTGGCAAACATGGTGAAATCCCGTCTCTACTAAAAATACAAAAATTAGCCGGGAGTGGTGGTAGGCTCCTGTAATCCCAGCTACTCGAGAGGCTGAGGCAAGAGAATCGCTTGAACCCGGGAGGTGGAGGTTGCAGTGAGCTGAGATCATACCATTGCACTCCAGCCTGGGGGACAAGAGCGAGACTTTGTCTCAAAAAAAAAAAAAAAAGAAAGAAAGAAATTCTATGTGTAGATTGCCAAATGAATAAAATATTTAATACAATCTATATTCAAAGTCACTGTTCATAAGGAAAAGATAATGCTTAGTTAGCAAACCACCTCTATGGTAATAATCCCCAATATACTTTCTGCTTTATAAAAGAAGTCTGAATTAGGCTATTTAAGATACAGAACACTGTTAACATCCCAGAAAGTCTCCTCTAGCCCCTTCCCAGTCAATCCCCATTTTCATCTCCGGAAGCAACCACTGATCTGAATTCTATCACCACAGGTTAGTTTTGTCTGTTCTAGAATTTCATATAAATGGTATCATACAGTAGATAACTTTTTATGACCAGCTTCTGCCATGTAGCATAATATGACTGAATGTATCAGTGGTTTATTCATCTTTCTTGCTAAGTAGCATTCCATTATTTATCAATTTCCTTTTTGATGGACATTTGAGGTGTTTCCAGTTTTTGGCTATTACAAATAAAATTAGTATAGGCTGGGTATGGTGGCTCACACTTGTAATCCCAGCACTTTGGGAGGCTGGATGGGAGGATCGCTTGAGCCCAGGAGTTCAAGACCAGCCTAAGCAACATGGTGAAACCCTATCTCTACAAATAAATTAAAAAATTAGCCAGATGTGGTAGCATGTGCCTGTAGTTCGAGCTACTTGGGAGACTGAGGTGGGAGGAACACTTGAACCTGGGAGGTTGAGGCTGCAGTGAGCCGCGATTGTGCCATTGCACTCCAGCCTGGGCCACAGAGTGAGACACTGACTCAAAAAAAAAAAATAATAATAACTCACCACCAACAAATAAAGCTAGTATAAACATTTTTGTACAAGGTTTTTGGTAAATGTATTTTCTCATTTCTCTCGGGTAAGTAACTAGGAGTAGAACTGCCAGATCATAGGATATATGTAGGTTTTCACATATGCTTTTTTTTCCTTTTCAAAAATGTTTTCTTTTCCACACCAGAATAGATCACATATGCTTTTGATTAATTAAAAAATATGAGTTGAAATGAATGTGAGCTGCAGGAAAGGTTGAGATAGCATCTGTTTTCCCCTAGTATCCAGAACAATGTCTGACATAAAGTAGGTGCTCAATAAATATTTGAATAAATGAAATAGAGCAACGTCAAAAAATTAAAAAATGACTTACACCTAATATTTAAGACCACTCTGTAGTCTCTTCCAGTTATGCTGGTTTTTGTTGGGTTTTTTTTCTGTGTTTTTTGTTTTTTTCGAGACAGAGTCTCCCTCTGTCGCCCAGGCTGGAATGCAGTGGCGCCATCTTGGCTCACTGCAACCTCCGCCTCCCGGGTTCAAGCAATTCTCCTGTCTCTGCCTCCCGAGTAGGTGGAATTACAGGCACGTGCCACCGTGTCCGGCTAATTTTTGTATTTTTAGTACAGAACGGGTTTCACGATGTTGGCCAGGTTGGAAATTACGCTGTTTTTGCAGACAATTTTATCTACTCAATTTCACCATGATCATTTTTTCTTTAACAGAATTGTTCTTATATCAGAATCTTACTTGCCAAGCCCCACTTTTTTCTCCTAATATAAAAAAAAGATTTGTTGGCCGGGCGCAGTGGCTGACGCCTGTAATCCCAGCACTTTGGGAGGCCGAAGCGGGCAGATCACGAGGTCAGGAGATCGAGACCATCCTGGCTAACACAGTGAAACCCTGTCTCTACTAAAAATACAAAAAATTAGCCAGGCGTGGTGGCGGGCACCTGTAGTTCCAGCTACTCGGGAAGCTGAGGCAGGAGAATGGTGTGAACTTGGGAGGCGGAGGTTGCAGTGAGTCGAGATCGTGCCACTGCACTCCAGCCTGGGTGACAGAGCGAGACTCCATCTCAAAAAAAATAAAAAGAAAAAAAAGATTTGTCAATTTCCTTTTCCAACCTCACTAATTGTTTTATAGATAAAATACTTTGTTTTGTTCTATCCTCATTCTTTGTTCTTTGAACATTTACTGGACTAAATAATTACAGTATTATCTACTTTTTGGTCCAGTTCTCAATTTTATATTCATTATTAAGGCTACACTTACTATTTCATAATTAATCTATAGATTAACTTGTCTTTAAACTCTGTGTCTATCTGATTCATAAAATTTTCACCTGTAAAAGTAAGGTCACAGGTTAAATTAGGTTTCTGTTTCTAATAATTTACCCACTTTAACATTAACTTTATTCTCAAATTCGTTACATAACCTTAAATGCAAAATAAAATTTATTAAATAATTTACAGAGTCAGCCAAGTGTGGTGGCTCACGCCTGTAATCCCAACACTTTGGGAGGCCAAGGCAGGTGGATCACTTGTGGCCAGGAGTTCGAGACCAGCCTGGCCAACATGGCGAAACCTGGTCTCTACTAAAAATACAAAAATTAGCTGGGCTTGGTAGCACATGCCTGTAATCCCAGCTATTCCAGTGGCTGAGGCAGGAGAATTGCTTGAGCCCAGGAGGCAGAGGTTGCAGGGAGCCGAGATGGTGCCACTGCACTTCAGCCTAGGCAACAGAGTGAGACTCTGTCTCAAAAAAGGAAAAAAAAAAAATTAGAGTCATTATTAAAAAACATTATTTTTGGCCAAGTGTGGTGGCTCATGCCTGTAATCCCAGCACTTTGGGAGACTGAGGTGGGCGGATCATCTGAGGTCGGGAGTTTGAGACCAGCCTGGCCAACATGTTGAAACCCCGTCTCTACTAAAAATACAAAACATTAGCTGGGTGTGGTAGCACATGCCTGTAATCTGAGCTACTTGGGAGGCTGAGGCAGGAGAATTGCTTGAACTCAGAAGGCAGAGGTTGCAGTGAGCCGAGATCGTGCCATTGCTCTCCAGCGTGGGCAACAGAGCAAGACTCCATCTCAAAAAAAAAAAAACTTTCAATTTTTTTGGTATTTTTTGTTTCTTTAGAGACAGGGTCTCACTCTGTTGCCCAGGTTAGGAGTGCAGTGGTGCAATCATAGCTCAGTGAAGCCTTGAACACCTAGGGTCAAGTGATCCTCCTGCCTCAGCCTCCCAAGTACCTAGGACTACAGGTGTATGCCACCATGCCAGACTAATTTTTTGTTTTTGTTTTTGTAGAGATGGAGTCTCAGTATGTTGCCCAGGCTGGTCTTAAACTCCTGGGCTCAAGTGATTCTCCTGCCTCAGCCTCCCAAAGTGCTGGGATTACAGACATGAGCCACCACACCCACCCTTGTTTTAAAACTTCCTGTGTGTCAATATATGCCTTGTTTTCTTTAGATTAATTCTGTGGTGTACATTAGATATTGTTGAGGTTATTAAGACTAGAAAAATAACTGGTTAACAAATTGAGTTACCAGCCATGTATAAAATTGTAATGTATCTACTGAATTAGTGCTTAAAATAGTACATGGTGCAATGGCTCCTATCTTTAATCCCAACACTTTGGGAGGCAGAGGCAGGAGGATCACTTGCACCTGGGAGTTTAAATGGTGCGCTATGATCATACCACGGCACTCCAACCTACATGACAGAGCAAGACCCTGTCTCTACACAAATAAAATAAAGTAATATGGCTTTAAAATCTGAAAGAAGCCTGGGCGCGGTGGCTCACACCTGTAATCCCAGCACTTTGGGAGGCCGAGGAAGGCGGATCACAAGGTCAGGAGATCAAGACCATCCTGGCTAACACGGAGAAACCCCGTCTCTACCGAAAATACAAAAAATTAGCCGGGCGTGGTGGTGGGTGCCTGTAGTCCCAGCTACTCGGGAGGCTGAGGCAGGAGAATGGCGTGAACCCGGGAGGTGGAGCTTACAGTGAGCGGAGGTCGTGCCACTGCACTCCAGCCTGGGCGACAGAGTGAGACTCCACCTCAAAAAAAAAAAAATCTGAAAGAAAAAATTCAGGTTATGTAAACAAGGCGATGGTGGACTATTTACCAATCATGTCACAATCCCTCAGACAAAAACTTTTTAATTCCTCAAGCTAGAGAAGGGAGTACTAGCTGATAAAAAGGTATGAGTACTAATTCAAGATCTAAATATTCTCCCTGGGAGCGAGGTCACCTATAATTTATTATTTTAGGAACAGGTCAAATCACCTGATCATAATTTATCTACCAGAAAATGCCCCCCAAACAAAAAACTTGGCCAGGTGCAGTGGCTCACGCCTGTAATCCCAATACTTTCGGAGGCTGAGAGAGGCTGATCACTTGAGCTCAGGAGTTCAAGACCACCCTGGGAAACATATCGAAACCTGGTCTCTGAAAAAATATAAAAATTAACTGGGCATGGTGGCACATGCCTGTGGTCCCAGCTACTTGGGAGACGGGAGGATGGCTTAAGCCCAGGAGACAGAGGTTGCAGTGAACTGTGATCATACCACTGCATTGCAGCCTGGGCAACAGAGAAAGACCCTGTCTGAAACAAAACACTTTTGGTTAGTGCATATGACTCAGCATCATTTGATCAAGTATCACATTGTATGTAGGAATATACTTACTGGGATGTAATGTTGGGACATGTTGTCCAAGTCTGTCATCTTTTAGCATGTGTAGCAATGTTGTTTTTCCTGCATTATCCAATCCAAGAAATACCAGTTTACCAGTTTTCTTATATAATCCTGCAAAGCAAGAGCTATGATTGGTCAAAGTGATATCTGATACTAATTATCCAAATGAATTTAAATTTGGCCCAATTAAGCTTGAAGTTCTAAACCTATTTTCAGTTTTAAAAAAGCTATTTTAAATCTATTCATGGCCGGGCACGGTGGCTCACACCTGTAGTCCCAGCACTTTGGGAGGCCGAGGTGGGCGGATCACCTGAGGTAAGGAGTTTGACACCAGCCTGGCCAACACGGTGAAACCCCGTCTCTACTGAAAATACAAAAATTAGCCAGGTGTGGTGGCGCATGCCTGTAATCCCAGCTACTTGGGAAGCTGAGGCAGGAGAATCACTGGAACCCAGGAAGCAGAAGTTGCGGTGGTGAGCTGAGATCATGCCATTGTACTCCAGCCTGGGCGACAAAGTGAGACTCTGTCTCAAAAAATAAATAAATAAATAAATAAATAAATAAATAAATAAATCTATTCATGATTTGGGACTTCAGATAATTATAAAACCAAACTTCAACCCAGTCAATAGAATATGTGTTTTGCCTTAACATATCTACAATGCCAAAATGCTGATTAATTTTAGAAGTATCAATCAGGTATTGATTGATAGATAAATTGATAAATAGAAAAAAGGCAGCATTGACCAATTTATAATAGACTGGAATTGAACTGCTAAATTTCATATTGAACTTAATTAATTGATTTATTTAGAGACAGTGTCTTACTCTGTTGCCCAGGCTGGAGTGCTGTGGCATGATTACAGCTTGCTGCAGCCTCAACTTCCTGGGCTCAAGTGATCCTCCCACCTCAGCCTCCTGAGTAGCTGAGACTACTGGTGTGCACCACCACGCCTGACTAATTTTTGTATTTTTTGGTAGAGATGGGGTTTCACCATGTTGGCCAGGCTGGCCTCAAGTGATCTGCCCACCTTGCCCTCCCAAGGTGCTGGGATTATCAGCGTGAGCCACACGCCCAGCCAAACTTTATTTTTTACATGTTTAATGGTCTAACCTCCACAAAATTACATGTGAGCCACCACACCTGACTGAAATAAACAAACTTTTAAAGACATTAGGCAATTATAGTTTCAGGCCATCCGTTTTTGAATAGATTCATACTAAAATAACACTTACTCCTTTGTCCATGCTTAAGTCTAAGAAGTAAATTGTTTGATGTCCTAATCTTTTAGTTTTGGGGGCAGAACTATATATATATTTTATCATTAAGGAATCTACTTCTATGACTGTCACTACTATGAGTGTCACGAAAAAGTAATTTGCCCAAGATTACATAATTTAAAAGTAATTGAACATATTTGTTCAATCGAGTAATTGAACATATTTGTATAATTACAAAGCCCATATTCTTTTTTTTTTTTTTTTTTGAGACGGAGTCTCGCTCTGTCACCCAGGATGGAGTGCAATGGCATGATCTCGGCTCACTACAACCTCCGCCTCCTGGGTTCAAGCGATTCTCCTGCCTCAGCCTCCCAAGTAGCTGGGACTACAGGCGCGTGCCACCATGCCTGTCTAATTTTTTGTATTTTTAGTAGAGACGGGGTTTCACCGTGTTAGCCAGGATGGTCTTGATCTCCTGACCTCATGATCTGCCTGCCTCGGCCTCCAAAAGTGCTGGGATTACAGGCGTGAGCCACCGCGCCCGGCCTTAACTATTCTTAACTATTGCTTCATATATAAAGAGGCTCAACACAAATAAGCACTATTATATAAATAAAATTAAAGGAGATAACTATAGAGAACAAAGGACCAATATTACCTAGAAACTGTAGCAAGGAGGCCGGGCACAGTGGCTCACGCCTGTAATCCTAGCACTTTGGGAGTCCAAGGCAGGTGGAACATTTGAGGTCAGGAGTTCGAGACCAGATTGGCCAACACGGTGAAACCCCATCTCTACTAAAAATACAAAAAATTAGCCAGGCATGATAGTATATGCCTGTAATCCCAGATACTCGGGAGGCTGAGGCAGGAGAATTGCTTGAACCAGGAGGCGAAGGTTGCAGTGAGCTGAGATCGCACCACTGCGCTCCAACCTGGGCAACAGAGTGAGACTCTGTCTCAAAAAAAAAAAAAAAGAAAAAGAAAAAACTGTAGCAAGGCTGGGCACAGTGGTTCATGCCTGTAATCCTAGCACTTTGGGAGGCTGAGGTGGGCAGATCACTCGAGCTCAGGAGTTTAAGACCAGCCTGGCCAACATGGCAAAGCCCCATCTTTACAAAAAATACAAAAATTAGCTGGTGTGGTGGCACACACCTGTAGTACCAGCTACTCGGGAGGTTGAGGCAGGAGAATCGCTTGAACCTGGGAGGTGGAGTTTGCAGTGAGCTGAGATCACGCCACTGCACTCCAGCCTGGGCGACAGAGCGAGACTCCATCTCAGAAACAAACAAACAAACAAAACACCAGCCTGGGCAACATAGCAAGACTCCGTCTCTATAAAATTAAAAAAAAAAAAAAAAAGAACTGCTGGGTAAAGAAGTCTCATTTGGCTTATTAAAAACTGCTATTTATGGTGTACAAGCTACTTTATGGAACATGCATTTTAATAATAATCCTGTAAGGATTAAATGACATAAAGCATTAAAGCATATAGGTAAACTAGCTAATAAATGGTAGATAGTTCTGTTAGTAATATTCCCAACACCTTAAGAGGTAGGAATTATTACTGCCATTTTACAGATAAGAAAACTCAGGCTAAGGTGAAAAAAGTAATTTGCCAAAGATTACTTAATTTAAAAGGGATACAATGAGTAATTGAACATCTATGTATGATTTCAAAGCCCATATTCTTAACTATTCTTTACTACTGGCTTATCTATAAAGAGACTTGACACAGATAAGCACTATTAAATAAATAAGACCAAAGGGGATAACTGTAGAGAACAAAGGACCAACATTACCTAAAAACTGTAGCACACTGCTGAAACCACTGTAAATCCAATCAAATATGAAGGACATATCCAAATCTGATAGGGTCTGAAAAAAAAGAGTTTGAATTTAGTAGTCAACATTAAACACCAATATACATTAAACTCCAATACTGTTAAACACCAACTCTGAGTAGATAATCCTACAGCAACTTTACTACAAAGAGTTACACACTTTGGGAAGCTGAGGTGGGTGGATCATCTGAGGTCAGAAGTTTGAGACCAGCCTGGCCAACATGGTGAAACCCCAACTCTACTAAAAATACAGAAATTAACCGGGTGTGGTCATGGGCCCCTGTAATCCCAGCTACTCAGGAGGCTGAGGCAGGAGAATTACTTGAACCCAAGAAGTGGAGGTTGCAGTGAGTGGAGATTGTGCCACTGTACTCCTGCATGGTGGTGCACACCTGCAGTACCAGCTACTCAGGAGGCTGAGGTGGGACGATTGCTTGAGCCTCGGAGGTAGAGATTGTAATGAACCGAGATCGCACCACTGCACTCCAGCCAGGGTGACAGTAAATGGGATAAGAGGTTAATAGGTGAGGCAGTGAGGAGAGATTCCTATTTCAAAAAATTTCAAATGGTAAAAAACTAAAATCGTTTAAAAAAATGTTGGAAATGGGATAAGGGAAGTGAGTTTTTTTTTTTTTTTTTTTTGAGACAGAGTCTTGCTCTGTCGCCCAGGCTAGAGTGCAATGGCTCGATCTCAGCTCACTGAAAGCTTCTCCTCCCAGGTTCAAGCGATCCTTCTGCCTCAGCCTCTCGAGTAGCTGGGATTACAGGCAGGCACTGCCATGCCTGACTAATTTTTATATTTTTAGTAGAGACTGGGCTTCACCGTATTGGCCAGGCTGGTCTCCAACTCCTGACCTCAAGTGATTCGCCTGCCTCAGCCTCCAAAAGTGCTGGGATTACAGGCGTGAGCCACCCCAGGCCTGGAAGTGAAATTTCCTTCTCAAAAAGGGTGAGGCTTGAGTATGATGATAAACTAAAGAGAAGGAGATAGTGGGATGGAAGAAGTAATAGGGAAGAAAGGAATTAACCAAAAGGGACAAAGTCCCAAGAGGAGCTTGGACTGACAGCCTATGTCTCTTGTCTAAGATTAGGAGGAAAGATGGCCAGAAAATTTGTGGAGGTGGTGGGAATCTGACTCCAAAAGTGAAAGGGTATAGAGAATTTTTGAGGAGCAGAGCAAGCATTACAATAGCTACTATGGGGAATGAATCAAGTTAAAAGACTGCCAAAAAAAGCCAAGGACTCAGTTGGAATTGAAACTCAAACATTCACAGCAGTGCCAATCTGTGCTGATTTCCAACCTTCCACCCTCCACCAGCAGTGCTCAACATGGAGTGACTAGAGATTAGGAACATCCAGAATAGAAATGAAAAAGGACAAGGGGAACAGGATTTTGAGAGTACTAGTGAGAGGGCTGTAGGGATCTGATCAGAAGTTCAAGTTGAGTGGACAAAGGTAAAGAAAGGTAGTATACAGAGATGGAGCGGTGATCAAAGGCAGGCTTCTCAACAGAACAGAATTGGGAAAATAGGGTAGAAAAAGTCTCTAAGCCAAAAACAGAAAAGGGTGAGAGAGGTGAAAGGAGTGCCAGAATTGTGCCAGCAAAGTGGAAGAGAATATAGGGGGTTCAAGAATTCAAGAGAAGTTCAGGGTTGGGTGGTGGCAAACTCCAAGGCCTGGCTCTGGCATGGACGATAAAGAAAAATGGAGGTGACAGATACTGGAAGCCAGGCTAGAGGGTACACTGTCCACATTGACAGGCAGTGTAATCACCTGGAAGACTGGAGGGCACTGATACAGACTGTGAATCAAGTGGCAAAGTCCTCACTGAAGATGATTGTTGGTAGGTGAGAGCTAAAGAATGGTGAAAAGCCTTGACAGAAAAAGGATTTTTTGCATAAGGATGGTACCAATTTGCTGTTGTAAAATTTGTCCCAAGAGAGATAATCTAAGAAGACACAAACTCTGCTTTGGAAGATAATAATATATATATTTCTTTAAAATTGTGGTTTCAGCCAGGCACAATGGCTCACACCTGTAATCCCAGGACTTTGGGAGGCTGAGGCGGGTGGATCACCTGAGGTCAGGAGTTCAAGATCAGCCTGGCCAACGTGGCAAAACCCCATCTCTACTAAAAATACAAAAATTAGCTGGGTGTGGTGGTGCACACCTGTAATCCCAGCTACCCAGGAGGCTGAGGCAGGGGAATCACTTGAACCCAGGAGGCAGAGGTTGCACTGAGCCGAGATCGAGCCACTGCACCACAGCCTGGGCCACAGAGCAAGACTCTGCCTCAAAAAAAAAAAAAAAAAAAAAAAAAAAAAAAATGTGGTTTCTAGGAACCTTAAAACAAACTAGGAGTAATTAGAAACAGAATTAACTGTTTTTTTATTGTTATTTTAAGTAGAAGTAAAAATGCCCAACTAAGAATAAAAGTTACTTAGCTGCAAACAGATACCTGAGCCCAGAAAACAGGTTACACAACACCATGAACACACTATTAAGACATGTGAAGAGCAAAGGTCAAGAACAAGGAAACATACACACGTCAGCAGATTTATTTATTGCACCAATACCAAACAGGAAAAGTCTCTCTGCAGATTAGAAAAGTGATCTACTCAAGTAACATGAAAACCAGTGCAAAGGATGTAATGGAACAGAATCTCAGATTACAAGTAACTTCTTAAAGCCTTGTTCCATTAAACTACATGGATGGCTCATTTAAATGAAATATCCTGGATAGATAAATCCATAGAGTAAGTATATTAGTGGTTGTCAGACTGAAGGAAGGAAAAATGGGGAATGATTGCTAATGGGTACTGGGTTTCTTCTTGGGATGATCACATGTTCTGGAATTAGATAGTGGTGATGTTTACACAACAATGTGACTATACTAAAAACACTTAATGTACAATTTTAAAAGGTCGATTTTATGGTATATCAACTATATCTCAAAAAAGCTATTATAGAAAAATTTTAAAAGCAAATTTTAAAAAGCTTATATGGCATTTAATATTTAAAACTGATTTACATGAGTAATTACACAAAACCATTTACTTTTTTTTTTGAGACAGAGTCTCGCCTGTCGCCCAGGATGGAGTGCACTGGCGCGATCTCCTCTCACTGTAAGCTCCACCTCCCAGGTTCACGCCATTCTCCTGCCTCAGCCTCCCGAGTAGCTGGGACTACAGGAGCCTGCCACCACGCCTGGCTAATTTTTTATATTTTTAGTAGCGACGGGGTTTCACCATGTTAGCCAGGATGGTCTCGATCTCCTGACCTCGTAATCCGCCCTCCTTGGCCTCCCAAAGTGTTGGGATTACAGGCGTGAGCCACCGCGCCCCGCCACTTTTTATTTTTTTGACAGAGTCTCCCTCTCACCCAGGGAGCGCCGTCTCTGCTCACTGCAACCTCAATCTCGGGGACTCAAGCAATCCTCCCACCTCAACCTCCTGAGTACCTGGGGGCTACAGGCATAGGCCACTATGCCTGGCTCATTTACTTTTTAAAACCGGCCGGGCGTGGTGGCTCACGCCTGTAATCCCAGCACTTTGGGAGGCCGAGGCGGGCGGATCACGAGGTCAGGAGATCGAGACCATCCTGACTAACACGGTGAAACCCCGTCTCTACCAAAAATACAGAAAAATTAGCCGGGCGTGGTAGTGGACGCCTGTAGTCCCAGCTGCTCGGGAGGCTGAGGCAGGAGAATGGCGTGAAACCAGGAGGCAGAGCTTGCAGTGAGCCGAGATTGCGCCACTGCACTCCAGCCTGGGCGACAGAGCGAGACTCCATCCCAAAAAATAAATAAATAAATAAATAAATAAATAAATAAATAAATAAAACCACACATTAAGGGCCGGGAGCAGTGGCTCACGCCTGTAATCCCAGCACTTTGGGAGGCCGAGGCGGGCAGATCACCTGAGTTCGGGAGTTCGAGACCAGCCTGACCAACATGGAGAAACCCCATCTCTACTAAAAATACAAAATTAGCCGGGCATGGTGGTGCATGCCTATAATCCCAGCTACTCAGGAGGCTGAGGCAGGAGAATCGCTCAAACCTGGGAGGCAGAGGTTGCAGTGAGCCGAGATCGTGCCACTGCACTGCACTCCAGCCGGGGTGACAGAGCAAGACTCCGTCTCAAAAAAAAAAGAAAAAAAATACATATTTAGTTTGTGACCAGCCTTGGCAACGTGGAAAAACCCCATTTCTATAAAAAATACAAAAATTAGCCAGATGTGATAGCATGCACTTGGTGACAGTGAGACCCTGCCTCAAAAAAATAAAATAAAAATAAAAAATACACATTAGTTCTCAGGGGTCCTGTAAAAAAAAAAAATACACATAAGATGACAAAATACAAATACCCAAAAAGTACTATTGGGAGAAAATAAGGGACCTAATAGTCTAAAGAGGCAAATATGACATCAGAGTATGATTGTAGAATCAATGCACTAATAACTTTGGGATGCAAAGCATGGTAATGCTATGGTGAAATGGGTGTAGTAACTGTCCTAGAATACAAATATCCAGGCTGAGCACAGTGGCTCATGTCTGTAATCCCTGCAGTTTGGGAGGCGAAGGCAGGAGGATCACCTGAGACCAGGAGTTAAAGACCAGCCTGAGCAACATAACAAGATCCCATCTCTAAAAAAAAAATTTTTTTTTTTTGAGACTAAGTCTCACTCTGTCGCCCAGGCTGGAGTGCAGTGGCACAATCTTGGCTCACTGCAACCTCCACCTCCTGGGTTCAAGCAATTCTCTGCCTCAGCCTCCCAAGTAGCAGGGATTACAGGCACCCACCACCAAGCCCAGCTAATTTTTTTGTATTTCTAGTAGGGACAGGGTTTCACCATCTTAGCCAGGCTGGTCTTGAACTCCTGACCTCGAGATCCACTCGCCTCGGTGTCCCAAAGTGCTGGGATTACAGATGTGAGCCACCATGCCCGGTACAAAAAATTTTTTAAATTACCTGGGTATGGTAGCAAGAAACTGTAGTCCCAGCTACTCAGGAGGCTGAGGCTGGAGGATTGCTTGAGCCCAAGAATTCAAGCAGTGAGCTATGATCACACCACTGCATTCCAACCTGGGCAACATAGTGAGACCCTGTCTTTAAAAAAAAAAAAAAAAGAAGGATGAACTGGGCATGATGGCTCATACCTGTAATCCCAGCACTTTGGGAGGCCAAGGTGGGGGGATCACTTGAACCCAGGAGTTTCAGACCAACCTGGGAAACATGGGAAGTCCCCATCTCTACAAAAAAAATACAAAAATAGGCCAGGTGCAGTGGCTCATGCCTGTAATCCCAGCACTTTGGGAGGCCGAGGTGGGGGGATCACTTGAACCCAGGAGTTTGAGACCAGACTGGGCAACATGGGAAGACCCCGTCTCTACAAAAGAAAAAATACAAAAATAGGCCAGGCACGGTGGCTCACCCCTGTAATCCCAGCACTTTGGGAGGCCGAGGCGGGCAGATCACGAGGTCAGGAGTTCAAGACCAGCCTGACTAACATGGTAAAACACCTTCTCTACTAAAAATACAAAAATTAGCTGGGCATGGTGGCGTGCACCTGTAATCCCAGCTACTCAGGAGGCTGAGGCAGGAGAATCGCTTGAACCTGGGAGGCAGAGGTTGCAGTGAGCCAAGATCGCGCCACTGCACTCCAGCCTGGGCGACAGAGCAAGACTCCATCTCAAAAAAACAAACAAACAAACAAACAAACAAAAAAAAACAATTAGCTGGGTGTGGTGGTAGGCACCTGTAGTTCCATCTACTCAGGAAGCTGAGGTATGAGAATTGCTTGAACCCGGGAGACGGAGGTTGCAGTGAGCCAAGATCGTGGCACTGCACTCCAGCCTAGGCAACAGGGCAACATTCTGTCTCAAAAAAAAAAAAAAGAAAAAAAAGAAAAAGAAAACGAAGGATAAAACCATGACAAATATAAATAGTAGAAAATTTTTAAGAGTGGCCAAGGTGAGGGCTGGGCACAGTGGCTCATATCTGTAATCTCAGCACTTTAGGAGGCCAAGGCAGGCAGATCACTTGAGGTCAGGAGTTCGAGACCAGCCTGGCCAACATAGTGAAACCCCGAGTTGGGATGAGTATTTAAAGTGAGCGAGCGTAGAAATACTATGCTCAGCCAAGTGAGTACTTAACGAAATGAGTGTAGAAGGCTGGGGGAGGTGGCTCACGCCTGTAATCCCAGCACTTTGGGAGGCTGAGGGGGGCGGATCACCTGAGGTTGGGAGTTCGAGACCAGCCTGACCAAAAAGGAAAAATCTTGTTTCTACTAAAAATACAAGATTAGCTGAGTGTGGTGGTGTATGCCTGTAATCCCAGCTACTCGGGAGGCTGAGGCAGGAGAATCGCTTGAACCCAGGAGGCAGAGGTTGCAGTGAGCTGGAGATCACGCCATTGCACTCCAGCCTGGGCAACAAGAGCGAAACTCTATCTCAAAAAAAAAAAAAAAAAAAAAAGTAAGTGTAGAAATACACCTATAGCAGGACACAGTGGCTCACGCCTGTAATCCAAGCACTTTAGGAGGCCAAGCCGGACAGATCACTTGAGTTCGGGAGTTCAAGACCAGCCTGGCCAACATGGTGAAACCCCATCTCTACTAAAAATACAAAAATCAGCAGGATGTGGTGGTGCATGCCTGTAATCCTAGCTACTTGAGAGGCTGAGGCAGGAGAATCACTTGAACCCTGGAGGTGGAGGTTGCAGTCAGCCTGGAGCCACTGCACTCCAGCCTGGGCGATAGAGCGAGACTCCGTCTCAAAAAAAAAAAAAAAGAAAAAAGAAAAGAAATACTAATATAGCATTCCAACTTGTAAGCTTCAAATGATGTGGCAATGATTTTCATTTCCTTTTCTATTTCTTTTTTTTTCTTTTTTTTTTTTTTTTTTTTTTTTTTTTAGCAACAATGTCTTTTTCTTTCACCCAGGCTGGAGTGCAGTGGCATGATCACAGGTCACTGTAGTCTTGACCTGGCTTCAAGCAAACCCCCCATCTCAGCAGCGAGTAGCTGGGACTACTGGCCTGCTAGCCAGGGCCCTGCACCCAGCAAATTTTTTTTTTTTTAATGTAGAGACTGGGTCTTGCTATGTTGCCCAGGCTGATTTTCATTTCTGTTAGACTCATCTTTTTTCTTAATTCTTGCTTGAATTTCTATTCCAGTACAATAATGCAAGTCAAAGGAAGGTTAAAATATACCTTATTTAAACTGCTAATCTTTGTAATTACTGACAGTGCATCTCTGACATTTCTAAAATGAAGACACCTTCCTTTTCTACAAACTCAGAAAATGCCAATGAACTATCTTAACATTTTTTAAGTTCAAAACATTTTGGTGACAGACACAAGTCTACTGAAAGGTATAATAGTAGATAATCATGTTGCTTTGCTATACTGGCACCACCATTTATTTGTCATCTGTAAAATGACAGCTAGTGCCTTACTCATAGTAGTCAATAAATGTTCCTTTTCTTTCCTTCTTTCATTGTTTCAATGTGACCTACTCTTCACTGATACTTTAACACGGAATATAGGACGTCTTCAAAGACACTTAGTAATATAGAGGCTGATGTAAGAACACACAAATAAATAATACTATGTTTAATTTTTCAAGTTAAAAGGACTTCTTCACCTCATTTTGTCCACTGTACCAAACACCTTAAATTGCTGACGAATTTGGTTCTTTCAGCTAACAATGTCAAAGTTTTAGCTGTTTTAAAACAAATCTTCTTGGAAAAGCTTCAACACCTTAAAAATCAGTACAGTGGCCCACTGAGGTGGCTCATGCCTTTAATCCCAGCACTTTGGGAGGCCGAGGCGAGCAGATCACCTGAGGTCAGGAGTTGGAGACCAGACTGGCCAACATAGAGAAATCCCATCTCTACTAAAAATAGAAAAGTTAGACCGGATGCGGTGGCTCACGCCTATAATCCCAGCACTTTGGGAGGCCGAGGCAGGCGGATCACGAGGTCAGGAGATAAGAGACCATCCTGGCTAACACGGTGAAACCCCATCTCTACTAAAAAATACAAAAAAATTAGCGGTGCGTGGTGGCGGGCACCTGTAGTCCCAGCTACTCGGGAGGCTGAGGCAGGAGAATGGCGTGAACCCGGGAGGCGGAGCTTGCAGTAAGCCGAGATCGTGCCACTTCACTCCAGCCTGGGCGACAAGAGGGAAACTCTGTCTCAAAACAACAACAAAAATTTAAAAAATTAAAACAAAAATCAGTACAGTTTTCTCAACAGTGTATCTTTTTTCCACTTAACTGGGACTTTGGGCTACGGAAAACGTTAACCAGTACTAGTAAGGAAGCTCAATTTGCCTCTACACTAATTGGGAGCGCTGAAAACACCAGGCCGTGTCACAGCCTCTTCAGCTGTCAGTGAGACCCGCCACCTTCACCTTACCAGGTAAGGAAACTGAGGCCCAGGGGAAGGAAGGGGCTTGCCTGCAGCCACCTCGTTCTTTCCTGAAAAGACCAAGCGTCTGACAGCAGCAGTGTTCTGCCTCGAGGGCTATCAGACGGCCCCGCGGAGCATGGATGAGACCTGTCCTCCCTCGCGCCGCCTAACCCCGGGGTGAAAAACAGGCGCCCCTTCACGCAGTGCCACAGGCAGGGACTCAGAGTAGGTCTTGGCCCTAAAAGTGCGCCTTCTAGGGGATCCATAGCTGCTGCCCACCGGTCCTCCCAGAAGGAGGGGCTGTCACTCACCTGCGACTGGAGGGAACGCAATCCCCTACTTGGCGTTGGCCGTACACCAGGAGACCGAACTGCAAAGCGCGATGGCTGCCGTGGCCCCAGTTCGCATCAGCCCCTTCCGGGCCGGCGGGTGCCTCACTAGCGACAGTCCGCAGGACCGCGTCGCCGAGCGCCCTAGGTTCCGCCTCCTGGCAGTCTTGCCGCCAATTCCCCAGTTGAGCGAGGCTGCTCGCAACCCCTAACACCGCCTGGGTCTCCCAGCCGCCTGGTCTCCCCACACCCGCCCGCCCGAAGGGATTTTAGGGGCCTGCGTGCCGAGAAAGGAACACCCCATGCCTCCCTAGGGGAAATTACTTTTGGCATTTTTTTTTTTTGAGACGTTGTCTCGCTCTGTCTCCCAGGCTGGGGTGCAGTGGCACGATCTCGGCTCACTGCAGCCTCCACCCCCTGGATTCAAGAGATTCTCCTACCTCAGCCTCCCCAGTAGCGGGGACTACAGGCACCCGCCACCACTGTCCGGCTAATTTTTTTTTTTTTTGAAACGGAGCCTCGATTTTGTCGCCCAGGCTGGAGTGCAATGGCGCGATCTCAGCTCACTGTAACCTCCGCCTCCCGGGTTCAAGCGATTCTTCTACCTCAGCCTCCTGAGTAGCTGGGAGCACAGGCGCGCACCACCATGCCCGGCTAATTTTTGTATTTTTAGTAGAGACGGGGTTTCACCATGTTGGCCAGGCTGGTCTCGAACTCTTGACCTAAAGTGAACCGCCCGCCTCGGCCTCCCAAAGTGCTAGGATTACAGGCGTGAGCCACTGCGCCCGGCTAATTTTTGTATTTTTAGTAGAGACCGGGTTTCATCATGTTGGCCAGGCTGGTCTCAAACTCCCTAGCATAAGTGATCCACCTGCCTCAGCCTCCCAAAGTGCTGGGATCACCACCGCGCCCTGCCTAAAATACATTTTCAAAGTACACGTGCTTATTGAATTCATTTTTTTTTCTTTTTTTGTTATTTGTGCTTATTGAATTCACCAGTGATTTACACAATGTAGCTACGTACCAGATAATGTGTTGGATGCTGGTTATTCAGCTTTTATTCAGCTGGTTATTCAGTTGTTTTATAGACGGTCTTGGCCAGGCGCGGTGGTTCACACCTGTAATCTCAGCACTTTGGGAGGTCAAGGTGGGTGAATCACCTGAGGTTAGAGTTCAAGACCAGCCTGGCCAACATGGTGAAACCCCATCTCTACAAAAATACGAAAATTACCCAGGCATGATGGCAGGTGCCTGTAACGCCAGCTACTCGGTAGGCCGAGGCAGGAGAATTGCTTGAACCCGGGAGGTGGAGGTTGCAGTGAGCCGAGATTGCACCATTGCACTCTAGCCTGGGCGACAGAGCGAGACTCTGTCTCCGTCTCAAAAAATAAATAAATTAATTAAATTAAAAATAAATTTAAAAATTATATATATATATAGACGGTCTTGCTCTTTCTCCCAGGCTGGAGTCCAGTGGTGCTATCATAGCTCACTGCAGCCTCAATCTCTTGGGCTCAAGGAATCCTCCCATGTAGCTGGGACCACAGGCGTGTGCCACCAGGCCCAGCTAATATTTGAATTGTTTTGTAGAGATAGGGGTCTCATTATGTTGCCCACGCTGATCTTGAACTCCCGGGCTTAAGCGATCCTCCGGCCTCTGCCTCCCAAAGTGCTGAGATTACAGGAGTGTAGTCAGATAGTCAGCATTTTTTTTTTTGGAGGCGGAGTCTCACTCTGTCGCCCAGGCTGGAGTGCAATGGTGCGAGCTTGAGCTCTGCTCACTGCACCTCCGCCTCTCAGGTTCAAGCAATTCTCCTGCCTCAACCTCCCAAGTAGCTGGGATTACAGGCGCAGTCCACCATGCCTGGCCAATTTTTTGTGTTTTAGTAGAGACAGGGTTTCATGGTGTTGCCCAGGCTGGTCACACCCGACTAATTTTTTGTATTTTATTAGAGATGGGGTTTCACCGTGTTGCCCAGCCTGGTCTTGAATGCCTGAGCTCAGGCAATCCACCTGCCTTGGCCTCCCAAAGTGCTAGGATTACAGTTGTGAGCCACTGCACCTGGCCGTAGTCAGCCTTTTTGTATGTTTGTTTTACTATGGAACAGTTCATGAATTTGCCTATCATCCTTGTGCAGGGGCCATGCTAATCTTCTCTGTATCATTTCAGTTTTAGTATATGTGCTGCCAAAGAGAGCACACAGGTATTCAGCTTTAAACAAGACTGTTTTGACACCAATGTTCTTTTCTAATGGATTGGCATTGCCTTCTTTAAATGCATCAAGAGCTGTTTAGGGATTCTCAGCAAAGCCTATCATTGGCTCTGCTGGATCTCCTCTTTCTGCTCCAGCCTCAGGAAGTGCTTCACTCCATGCGCTCTCCCTTGACACTAGGGTTTCCCTCCGCCAGAAAAGCTTCTACCCACCTCTGCATTTCACCCGGCTAACTCCTACACACTTTTCAGGTCTCAACTCTTCAGGTCTTCCTCTCATCAAGGCCTTCCTCCCAGATTTGGTTAAGTCCTCTGTTACAGATTTTGAGATGGAGCAGGGACCCCTCTTAGGGGCCTGCCTGACTCTCCCAACCAAGTATGGAAGTAAGGGAAAATCTCGAGTTCCTTTAAGGGAAATTCCCCACACCTAGCTAGCCCTGAGCAACTTGATAAGCAAGAAAGTAATAGTAGCTCAAAACAACAGCCTAAGAAGTTTGAGTCATAAGATGTTTGGTTCTTTATAAAAACTAAAGATAACATCTTAACATATGTCCCTGAGTTGTTTTTCAGAAACCCAGACCCACATCAAATGGACCCACTGGAGCCGGGTGTGGTGGCTCATGCCTGTAATCCCAACACTTTGGGAGGCTGAGGCAGGAGGATTGCTTGAGCCCAGGAGTTTAAGACCAGCCTAGGCAATATAGTGAGACCTCATCTCCATAAAAAATAAAAAAAATTAGCTGGGCATGGTTGTATGCCTGTAGTCCCAGCTACTTGGGAGGCTGAGGTGGCAGGATTGCTTGATTTGAGCCTGGGAGATCCAGGCTGCAGTGAGCTATGATCCCACCACTGCACTCCAGCCTGAGCAACAGAGTGAGACCTCATCTCCCCCACCAAAAAAAAAAAGATATTCCATCTTTTTAGGCCAAACCAATGTATAACCTCATTTACTGATATACAATTTTGCCTGTAACTTCTGCTTTTCTGAAATTTACCCCTCCCTTTAAAAACTCTTGCTTAGGCCAGGCACAGTGGCTCACACCTGTAATCCCAGCACTTTGGGAGGCCGAAGTGGGCGGATCACCTGAGGTCGGGAGTTCAAGACCAGACTGGCCAACATGGTGAAACCCCATCTCTCTTTAAAATACAAAAATTAGCTGAGTGTGGTGGTGCACGCCTGTAATCCCAGCTACTTGGGAGGCTGAGGCAGAGAATCACTTGAACCTGGGAGGCGGAGGTTGCAGTGAGCCCAGGTCGCACCATTGCACTCCAGTCAGGGCTAGAGAGTAAGACTGACAAAAAAAAAAAAAAAATTCTGGCTTGTAAGCCATTGGGGAGGTCAGGTCTTAAGTGTGAGCTGACAGACTCTCCTTGTTTGGTGCCCTGCAAATAAACACCCTCATGTAAAGCCCCCATATAGATGTCAGGCCTTACTGCATTGGGAAGCAGACTCCAGTTTGGTTGGGTAACAAGCTTCCTCAGCAACTTTATGATTTACTTTTTTTTTTTTTTTTTTTTTTGAGACCGAGTTTTACTCTTGTTGCCCAGGCTGGAGTGCAATGGGGCGATCTTGGCTCACTACAACCGCCACCTCCTGGGTTCAAGCGATTCTCCTGCCTCAGCCTCCAGAGTAGCTGGGATTACAGTTGTGCCCCACCATGCCGGGCTAATTTTGTAGTTTTAGTAGAGACGGGGGTTTCACAGTGTTGGCCAGGCTGGTCTCGAACTCCTGACCTCAGGTGATCCATCCGCCTTAGCCTCCCAAAGTGCTGGGATTACAGGCATAAGCCACGGCGCTCGGTTTACAATTTAATCACTGAAGTTATATAATTGTATATGTGTGATTATTTGTTTAAATAATCACACCACCAGCAGACATTTCATAAGCTTCCTGAGGTTATGGCCCCTATATACTTTTTTCCCTCCTGAACCTATTTTCAGGGCCTGGCACAAAATAGGTACTTAATAAATATGATTTGTAACATGAAGGGGTCCTAGGAACATTTTTGTCCTCTGGGCGTTGAAGGGTTTTCTTTTTTTTTTTTTTTTTTTTTTTTGAGGCACAGTCTCACTCTGTTGCCTCTGCCTGTCTGGTTCAAGCAATTCTCGTGCCTCAGCCTCCTAAATAGCTGGGACTACAGGTGCCTGCCACCACGCCTGGCTAATTTTTTTTGTATTTTTAGTAGAGACAGGGTTTCACCATGTTGGTCAGGCTGGTCTCGAACGCCTGACCTCTAGTGATCCACCCATCTCGGCTTCCCCAAGTGCTGGGATTAGAGGCATGAGCCACTGCAGCGGGCCAGAAGGGTTTCTTTAGAGTTCATTAATCTGCGGTGGAAGAGCCTGTTGTTCCAGTCTGGGTTTCCCTCTACAGTCTCTCTACTCACCTAGTCTTGAATTGTTTGGTTTAATAAACACTAATGTGGCCTGAGGCAATTCACAAGGCTCCTCAACTCCTCAAGATTACAGCTATTGTCCTAGATACGCTTTCTTTCCTGATATCCCTGGCATTTTGGTCAGCCTTTTAAAAATTTGAGGTAGAGCTAGCTCCCTGACTCACATTTGTCATCTCAGCACTTTGGAAGGCTGATGTGGGAGAATTGCTTGAGACTAGGAGTTGGAGACCAGCCCGGACAACAAAGTGAGACCCTATCTCTGAAAAAAAATTTTTTTAATTAGCGAGGTGTGGTAGTGTGCATGTGAAGTCCCAGCTACTTGGGAGGCTAAGGCAGGAGGATTGCACGAGCCCAGGAGTTCAAAGATGCAGTAAGATATGATTGTGCCACTGCACTCCAGCCTGGGTGACAGAGCGAGACCCTCCCTGTCTCTTAAAAAAAAAAAAAAAGATTAACATTCTATACACTTTTATAAAACACTTAAAATGAAAAACTTAATCTAGCTACAGACTACAGGTTAAAGACTGGTTCCAACATTAGCCACTCAAAAGTTTCAGTTCCTGCATCTGTAAAATGGGGACTAATATCCCGAAGGAATGATATCATGAGAAAATAACATACAAAAAGGAATAGATATAGGAAAAGCACCAGGCAAGTATTATAGTTTAACTGAATCGATTTGGCCTAGCCCACTGGGGGCCTTGACTCCCAAACTGCAGAACCTTTTGGGGGTTTTGAGCAGAACAGAAACATGGTCAGAATTGTGTTTTTAAATGTTTCCTCTGGCAGCAGTGTGCAGATTTTATTGGAATAAGTCAAGACTGAAAGCTGAGATAAGTAATGAGGCTGCTGCAATTACACAGGTGAGAGGAAACAAGGGCCTGTGTTGAGTCAGTGGGAACAGAGAAAGAGGGAATCCTATGAGAAACTGTAAAGGTTGGAATCTGTAAGATTTCATGGCTGGGCGCAGTGGCTCACACCTGTAATCCTAGCACTTTGGGAGGCCCAGGCAGGCAGACCACGAGGTCAGGAGTTGGAGACCAGCCTGGCCAGTATGGTGAAACCCCATCTCTACTAAAAATACAAAAATTAGCTGGGCATGGTGGCACACACCTGTAATCTCAGCTACTTGGGAGGCTGAGGCAGGAGAATCACTTGAACCTGGGAGGCAGAGGTTGAAGTGAGCCAAGATTGCGCCACTGCACTCCAGCCTGGGTGACAGAGCCAGAATCCATCTCAAGAAAAAAAAAAAAGATTTCATAATTGACCTGGCACAGTGGCTCACACCTGTAATCCCAGCACTTTGGGAGGGTGAGGCGGGCAGAGTTTAAGACCAGCCTGGCGAACATGGAGAAACCCTGTCTCTACAAAAATACAAAAATTAGCTGGGCATAGTGGTGCACGCCTGTAGTGACAGCTACTAGGGAGGCTGAGGCAGGAGAATCGCTTGAATCTAGGAGGCAGAGGTTACAGTGAGCCAAGATCGTGCCACCGCACTCCAGCCAGGGTGACTGAGCAAGACTCTATCTCAAAACAAACAAAAAGAAACAATTCATGATTGATTGCATGTGGCTAGCAAAAGCAAAGAGGTAGCAAAGTCCAAAGTTTTACCTGAATTAGTAAGTCTACTTCTCTCTATCTCTAGTGCAAAGACCTTACTGCAGGCCACCATCAGCTCTGGCTCCAGTTACAGCAACAACTCCATTATTTCCCCTCCAATAACTTATCCTCACAGTGGTTGGCTAGATTTTTTTTTTTTTGAGATGGGGTCTTGCTCTGTTGCCCAGACTGGAGTGCAGTGGTACGATCATGGTTCACTGCAGCCTCAACCTCTCAAGTGATCCTCCCACTTTAGCCCCCCAAGCAGCTGGGACCACAGGTATGCACCACCATGCCCAGCTAATTTGTTAAAATTTTTGTAGAGATGGAGTCTCCCTATGTTGCCCAGGCTGGTCTCGAGGTCCTGGGCTCAAGTGATCCTCCTGCCTTGGCCTCCCAAAGTGCTGGGATTACAGGCATGAGCCAACTTGCATGGCCTGAGTTTTTGTTAATGGATTCATCTTAAATCATACTTGGACCAAGTTATTCTTCTATTTATAAATCTTCAATTGCTTCTCCAAACCTCTAAACTCCTGAAAATGGCTTATAAGTTTCTCATGGCTCTGTCCCCCTCTACTATTCCAATCTCATCTCACACCATTCTGCCTTGCCAACCACAGCAAGCTGATTCCTGGCACTGGGCCTTTCTAGATGCTCTTCCTGCCTGGAGCCCTTTCCCCAACCCAGCTCCTCTTTTCGCATAATTTCCTCATCCTTTGGATCACAGCTCAAATGTCATCTCCTGTCCTAACCATCCTACCCAAACCGGGTCCTTCCTTGCTATTTTCTGCCTCAGCACTGATTCCTCAATAGCACTTACCAATTTAAAAGTTTAAAATATATATTTATCTACATTATTGTTTCTTTCAACTATAAACTCCACAGATCCACAGAAGGAAGAGATCTTCTCTGTCCTGTTCCTTTTTACTTGGTGCCTGGCACATGAAACGTATTTAGTAAGTATTTTTTCCGGCCAGGCACGGTGGCTCATGCCTGTAATCCCAGCACTTTGGGAGGCTAGGGCAGGTGGACCACCTGAGGTCACGAATTCGAGACTAGTTTGGCCAACAAGGTGAAACCCCGTCTCTACTAAAAATACAAAACTTAGCCAGGCATAGTAGCGGGTGCCTGTAATCCCAGCTACTTGAGAGGCTGAGGCAGGAGAATCACTTGAACCCTGGAGGCAGACATTGCAGTGAGATGAGACGGTGCCATTGCACTTCAGCCTGGGCAACAAGAGTGAAACTCCATCTCAAAAAGAAAAAAAACCAAAAAACAAATAAATACTTTTTCCAGCTTGGGCAATATAGTGAGACTATGCCTGTACACAAAATTTTAAAAATTAGCTAGGTGTGGTGGCACATGCCTGTAGTCCTGGCCACTCGGGAGGGTATGGTAGGAGGACTGCTTGAACTTGGGAGGTTGAGGATGCAGTGAGCTATGATCACACCATTGCACTCCAGTCTGGGCGACAGAGTGAGACTTCTGTTTCAAAAAAAAAAATTTTTTTTAAATGAATGAACGAAGGAGCTGGTGAAGTTATTCATGAGAAAGTGTCATGAGGAAAAGGTAGGTTTAGAGGGGAAGGTATACATCTTTAATACTGTGGTGTCAGGGTATCTGTAGATAAATAGTTGGGTTTAGAAATGGAAAAAGACACTTTGGGAGGCCAAGGCGGGTGGATGGCCTGAGGTCAAGAGTTCGAGATCAGCCTGGCCAACATGGTGAAACCCCATCTCTACTAAAAATACAAAAATTAGCTGGGGGCAGCCACTCATGCCTGTAATCCCAGCACTTTGGGAGGCTGAGGCGGGTAAATCACGAGGTCAGGAGTTTGAGACCAGCCTGGCCAACATGGTGAAACCCGGTCTCTACTAAAAATACAAAACATTAGGTGGGAGTAGTGACAGGCGCCTGTAATCCCAGCTACTTGGGAGGCTGAGGCAGAAGAATCGCTTGAACCCGGGAGGCAGAGGTTGTAGTGAGCTGAGATAGCACCACTGCACTCCAGCCCAGGCGACAGAGTGAGACTCCGTCAAAAAAAAAAAAAGCAAAAATTAGCTGGGTGTGTTGGCGGGCACCTGTAATCCCAGCTACTCGGGAGGCTGAGGTAGGAGAATTGCTTGAACCCAGGAGACAGAAGTTGCAGTGAGCCACGATTATGCCACTGCACTCCAGCATGGGTGACAGAGCGAGACTCTGTCTCAAAAAAAAAAAAATTAGCTGGGCACGGTGGCACACGCCTGTAGTCCCAGCTACTCTGCAGGCTGAGGCAGGAGAATCGCTTGAACCTGGAAGGCGGAGGTTGCATTGAGCCGAGATCGCGCCATTGCACTCCAGTCTGGGTAACAGAATGAGATTCTGTCTCAAAAAGAAAAAAGGAAAAAGAATTGGCATTTGATACTGTACCTCTAGCCCTTCCCGGGTGAGCTGGGCCTGAACAGGGGCTGGCACTACTTCAACTACAGTATTAGGCCTTATCACGATATAACATAACAGTCGAGAACCTGAAAGAACTTGAGACTTCTCATTACTAAGCACTCAAGTGAAAAAAAAAAAAGAACTTAGACCAACATAGTTTAGAAACAAGTGCTAGTGATGTGGTTTAGGCTATAAGTGCAATAGTAACTTATAGTAATGAATTAATGAGGGTCAAAAGAGTTAGAATAGGCCTTGGGCGGTGGTTCATGCCTGTAATCCCAGGACTTTGGGAGGCCGAGGCAGGCTGATTGCTTGAGTCCAGGAGTTTGAGACCAGCCTGGGTAACATGGTGAAATCCCGTCTCTACAAAAAATACACAAATTAGTGGGTGTGGTGGTGTGCACCTGTAGTACCAGCTACTCAGGAGGCTGAGGTGGGAGGATAATTGAGCCCCGGAAGTTAAGGCTACAGTGAGCTATAATCACGCCATTGCACTCCAGTCTAGGTGACAGAGTGAGACCCTGTTTCTAAAAAGGAAAAAAAAAGAAAACAAAATTAAAATTGTCAGAAGTCTGGAAGATAAAGACACTTTAAATTTATTCCTTCAAAAATGTTTACTGAATATTGTACCTGTTAAGTGTGAGGCCCCAAGCCAAGTGTTGAGAATACCCACACTTGTGTGAATAAGACACAGTCCTTGGTCTCTACTCACTGACGGTCTAACAGGGAAACAGACATGGTTACCTTGGAATTCACAGGCTATGTATAGACTTATGGTCCATTGAAAAAAGATAAACAGGCTGGGCACGGTGGCTCACACCTGTAATCCCAGCACTTTGGGAGGCCGAGGCAGGCGGATCACAAGGTCAGGAGATCAAGACCACCCTGGCTAACACGGTGAAACCCATCCTACTAAAAACACAAAAAATTAGCCGGGCGTGGTGGCAGGCGCCTGTAGTCCCAGCTACTCGGGAGGCTGAGGCAGGAGAATGGTGTGAACCTGGGAGGTGGAGCTTGCAGTGAGCCAAGATTGCGCCACTGCACTCCAGCCTGGGCGACAGAGCGAGACTCCATCTCAAAAAAAAAAAAAAAAAGAAAAAAGATAAACATAGACACATAGACACGAATAGGGCCAGGGTCAGTGGCTCACGCCTATAACCCCAGCACTTTGGGAGGCTGAGGCAGGAGGATCACTTGAGGCCAGGAGTTTGGGAGCAGCCTGGGCAACATGGTGAGACCTCATCTCTATCAAATAAGATAATAAAAAAGACACAAATATATAACAATAATAAGTGTTATGAAGAAACATAAGCAGAGTAAGAGGAACACAGAGTGAGCTGTGTCAGGTAGGATATTTAGAGAAGCCCTCTTCAATTAAAGTAATATTTGAACAAGGGCCTAAAGGAGTGAGTTTGAGTTCCCTAGATGTCTTGGGGAAGAGTATCCCAAGTAACAGAAATAAGTGTAATGGCAGGCTTGTGCTTGAATAGCTAGAGAAATAGCAAATGTGTCTGGAGTGGAGTGAGTGGGAAGGAGTGTGGAAGTCAAAGAGGTAGCAAGGCCAGGTCACGTGGGGCCGGGGTAGCACTCTGGATTTTACTTAGCTTGAGATGAGAAAAGTCATGCAGAAAAATTTTAACTTGATGGAGCAAGCAGAGGGAGTAATCACAGATCTGGGAGTATAGGAAAGTAAAAATGGAATCAGTGGTTAAGGAACTCAATTCAACATGTGGGATGGATTAGAGGCAATCCAGAAGGCGATTCATTCCCAACAGTTCAAGTGCAAGATGATGAAAAGTAACCAGAATGGGCAGGAAGAATGGTAAGAGCTACATAAAAATGAGAAGTTTTCAAAGAAAGCAATGGGATTTTCAGGCTTGGTGGGGATGAATGTACTTGTGATGTAGCTTCAGAGCTGCTGACTTCAGATACAAACAGCTGTCCTGTCAGAAGCAAATGAGGCCAAAGGAACTGTTCTTAAAATGGAACCAAAAGAGTTTCAGTAAACAAAACTGTTGTTCTTATAAACCTGTTTGTAACTGAAACTGTTCTTTGTTTGAAATAGAAATGGAACGGTCTTTTTTTTTTTTTTTTTTTTTTAACGGAGTTTTGCTCTGTCCCCCAGGCTGGAGTGCAGTGGCACGATTCCAGCTCACTGCAACCTCCACATCCCGGGTTCAAGCAATTCTCCTGCCTCAGCCTCCCGAGTAGCTGGGATTACAGGGAACTGCCAACATGCCCAGCTAATATTTGTATTTATAGTAGAGATGGGGTTTTACCATCTTGGCCAGACTGGTCTCAAACTCCTGATCTCTTGATCTACCCACCTTGGCCTCCCAAAGTGCTGGGATTACAGGTGTGAGCCATTGTGTCCGGCCGAACAGTATTTTTAATAATTAAAGAACCCAAAATAATTTACCCCTTCCTGAAAAGTAAAGCAAGTTGATCCTATTTATCACCTGAAAATGCAACAGTCATGAGCAGGCAGGCAAAGGAGCTCTGGTGTGAGCCTAAGTCCACTTCTGCATATCAGCAAATTTTATTAGAAATGCCTGTCTCCCAGTTTTGAGTCTAAATAATCAAATGTAATGGAATATTCTTAGTATAATGTTTATATCCTTACTGAAACAGTTTCTTGTCACTTATTTTGTTCTTTACAATTTTCTTTCTTTCTTTTTTTTTTTTTTTCAGACGGGGTTGTGCTCTGTTGCCCAGGCTGGAGTGCACTGGCGTGGTCTCGGTTCACTGCAACTTCTGCCTCCTGGGTTCAAATGATTCTTCTGCCTCAGCTTCCCGAGTAACTGGGATTACAGGCACCTGCCATCACGCCCAGCTAATTTTTTGTATTTTTAGTAGAGACAGGTGTTTCACCATGTTGGACTGGCTGGTCTTAAACTCCTGACCTTGTGATCTGCTCGCCACGGCCTCCGAAAGCGCTGGGATTACAGGCGTGAGCCACTGCCCTGGGCCTACAATTTTCTTAACTAGGGTTGAAGGCTCTGAAAATATGCAGAAAATCATATAATGGCCTTATGAAGGTTGTATATATGGCAGAAGGATTCTGTTTTTCTGGACAATAAAGATAAAAAAGTAGAATATATTACTGACATCAGTTTAGAAAAATGTATAGTAGTGTAGTGTACATACAGGTAATTGAACAAAGAAATATCAATAACAATTGGTAAGAGCATTTTTTTTTTTTTTTTGAGACAGAGTCTCCCTCTGTCGCCCAGGCTGGAGTGCAGTGGCAAGATCTCAGCTCACTGCAACCTCTGCCTCCCAGGTTCAGCAATTTTCCCTGCCTCAGCCTCCCAAATAGCTGGGATTACAGGCGCCCGTCACCATGCCTGGCTAATTTTTGTATTTTTAGTAGAGACAGAGTTTCATCATGTTGGCCAGGCTGCTCTCGAATGCCTGACCTCAAGTGATCCACCCACCTTGGCCTACCAAAGTGTTGGGAATACAGGCGTGAGCCACAACGCCTGGCCAAGAGCAATTGTTATAATTGCTATCACCAATAATTTTTTCATATTTCTGTGGCCACACTTAAATGAGTCATCAAATGATTTGATATTGTGTGGATAATACTTAATATGAAAACTTTTAAAATATGTTGTCCCATCTCAGTTACTTAAACTTACCTTCCTACTATCCCAAAGGTTAGGCAGATGACAAATGCTGTTTTTCTTCTGTCTCTCTCTCTCTATATATATGTATATATGTATTCTGAGACAGGGTCTTACTCTGTTGCCTAGGCTGGAGTCCAGTAGCACAATCAACCTCCCAGGCTCAAGCGATCCTCCCATCTTAGTCTTCTGAGCAGCTGGGACTACAGGCATACGTCACCATGCCCAGCTAATTTTTTGTATGTTTTTGTAGAGATGGAGTTTTGCCATATTCCTCAGGCTGTTCTCCAACTCCTGGGCTTAGGGGATCCACTTGCCTTGGCCTCCCAAAGTCCTGGGATTATAGGCGTGAGCCACCATGCCCAGCTCTCCTCAATACTGTAGTGCTGATTACACCGAGAGTGTAAAAACCATTTGAAATACTTAATCATTGCTTTGAGGACACGAACAGTAACATAGCAACTTAGGGGTGGAACAAATTTTAGAGAAAGCATTGTTTACTTATTAGAAAATTATTTATGTTGATTTAACCTGATTTAACCAACTAGACTACTTTTTAAAATCTCTGGGGCCAGGCACGGTGGCTCAGGCCTGTAATCCCAGCACTTTGGGAGGCCAAGGCAGGTTGATCACCTGAAGTCATGAGTTCAAGACCAGCCTGGTCAACATGGTGAAACTCTGTCCCTAGTAAAAATACAAAAATTAGCTGGGCATGGTGACATGCGTCTGTAGTCCCAGCTACTCGGGAGGCTGAGGCAGGAGAATCACTTGAACCCGGGAGGCAGAGGTTGCAGTGAGCCGAGATCGCACCACTGCACTCCAGCCTGGCAACACAGCGACATTCCGTCTCAAAATAAATAAATAAATAAATAAATAAATAAATAAATCTCTGAACACACAGATATTGCTTAAATAGCTTGAACCCGGGAGGCAGAGGTTGCAGCAAGCCAAGGTCGCACCACTGCACTCTAGCCTGACGACAGAGCGAGATTCCGTCTCAAAAAAAAAAAAAAAAAAAAATCTCTGAACACACAGATACTGCTTAAATAGCACAAAGTTCAAAGAAACCTTGATTTAACCAAATCAAACCACTGTGCCAAGGTCAAAACAAATCAAGATCATTCAAAAGGAGCTGAATAAAAAGAGATAATTAAACTAATGCAGGTTTGAGATCAGGTATTTGCCTCTTTGAAGAGTGACCCTGATTTTGTCTGACCTCAGAAAGGTTGTTTCTCTCTGAGCTCTATTTCCTCTTCAAAACATTGAGAGGCTTGTGTCTGTGCAATTTTAAAGTGTTTTTGGATCTATAACTTGGGATTTTGTTATAGTGGCTCCAAACTGTAAACAATTTGACCAAAAGTATCATCTTCATCTTAAGATTTTAACTGGGCGTGGTGGCTCAAACCTGTAATCTCATTTTGGAAGGATGAGGCAGGAGGATCTCTTGCAAGACCTTCTCTTTACAAAAACAAACAAACAAACAAACAAACAAATAAAAACCTAGCCAGGCATAATGGCACACACCTGTAGTTCCAGCTACTCAGGAGGCTGAGGCTGGAGGACTGCTTGAGCCCAGGAGGTTGAGGCAGCAATGAGCTGTGACTGCACCACTGCACTCCAGCCTGGACAACAGACTGTCTCAAAAAAAAAAAAAAAGTTATTGTACTTGGATCTTGTACAAAGGAATTGAATTGTTAAATGCTACTTACAGCAAATATTTATTTATTTTTATTTTTTATTTTTTGAGACAGTCTTGCTGTGTCAGCCAGGCTGGAGTGCAGTGGCACAATCTTGGCTCACAGCAACCTCCGTCTCCTGGGTTCAAGCAATTCTCCTGCCTCATCCTCCTGAGTAGCTGGGATTACAGGCATGTGCCACCACACCTGGCTAATTTTTGTATTTTCAGTAGAGACAGAGTTTCACCATGTTGGCCAGGCTGGTTTTGAACTCCTGACCTCAGGTAATCCGCCCGCCTTGGCCTCCCAAAGTGCTGGGATTACAGTTGTAAGCTACCACGCCCGAGCAAATACATTTTTAGTAAAGTTCTGAGGCAAATGATGAAAACAGGGTTAGTATAAAATTTAGTATTTAGTTATTTGAATTTTTACTGACCTTTTTTAGGCCTGACACAGTGGTTTATTCTTTTTCTTTTCTTAGAGACAAGATCTCACTCTGTCATGCAGGCTGGAGTGCAGTGGTGAGATCACAGCTCACTGTAGCCTCGAACTCCTGGGTTCAGGTGATCCTCCCACATCAGCCTCCTGAGTAGCTGGGACTACAGGGATGTGCCACCACACTGGCCACTTTTTAAAAATTTATTTAATTAAAAACATTGGCTGGGCATGGTGGCTTACGCCTGTAATCCCAGCACTTTGGGAGGCTGAGGCGGGTGGATCAACTGAGGTCAGGTGTTCAAGACCAGCCTGGCCAACATGGTGAAACCCTGTCTCTACTAAAAATACAAAAATTAGCCAGGCATGGTGGCAGGAGCCTGTAATCCCAGCTACTCGGGAGACTGAGGCAGGAGAATTGCTTGAACCCAGGAGGCGGAGGTTGCAGTGAGCGGAGATGGCACCACTGCACTCCAGCCTGGGCAACAGACCAAGACTCTGTCTCAAAAATATATATATATATATATTTTTTAAATAGAGATAAGGGGACTCTCCCTGTTGTCCAGACTGGTCTCAAACTCCTGGCCTCAAGTAATCCTTCTGTCTCAGCCTCCCAAAGTGCTTGGATTACAGGAGTGAGCCACCTTGCCCAGCCCGACACAGTGGTTTAGATCTGGCTTTTTTTTGTATGTAATATAACACTTCATAGCAGGCATTTGGTATTAAATGAATTAGGTAAGATGTACTTCACACTGAGGTTTCGAAACCGCGTGGCATGACATTTTAATCCACAGTACAAATCTGTAAAGGAGGGCTTTATCGTCAGCACAGAGCAGGAAAAACCTAAATAGAATGAAGGCAGCTAAGATGATTACTCAATCATTAATTAACTATGTTGTCCAATCACCGCAGTTTCGACCTCCCTTTGGCTTCAAAAGTCAAAAAAGTCAACTTGCAAAAAAAAAAAAAGTCTACTTGCTCTGAAAGGAAGTTTGAGTTCTTTACCTTACTGTAAACTCTTAGAAGAGGAAACAAAACTGCCATTTAAATGTGCTAATGAACTTGAGCGTGACTATGCTGTGAATCAGCGAGTTTCAAAATTAAAATTCCTCTGAGTCCTCCAGTCAAAGACAAAGGCCTCCTTCTTGGCTTGATCACACTATTAACATGTACACATATTTAACCACCTCTTTTTAAAACCCCTTATAATTTACATCTGAAACACGAAGACGAAATGTGAATGAAATACTGCGATGAACATTAACCGCCCCAGCTCCCAGTGGTGGTACGGTCTCAACAGAGGACGATGACTTCTATGGTCTCAGGTAATCTTCACAAAACCCGAGGAGAGGAACTGTCAGTCCCACCCCACGAAAGCGGCTACTGAATCTCAGATTGCCCCACGATCCTGGCTCTGCGAGCGAGGTCACGTTCACAACGGCGGGAATTTCCGTAGCGGTGACACACGGCACTTCCGGCCGGCCGTGAGAGTCGGTGACGTGGCGGCGAGGCCGGGCACGGTCGTCGGGGTCGGGGCACCAGGAGCTGTCAGGTGGCCTCGGGGCAGCCCGGCTGGCAGAGAAGAGTTCGCCGGCGCGGCGGCGGCTGCTGCGAGCCCGGAGCCGGAAGTGCCACGTGTCCTGATTGCGGCTGCGCGGCCGGCGGCTGACAGGCACTTCCGGCCAGGGCCTCCCTCCTTCTCTCTAGGTTTGGCTGCCGCCTTCTAGCCGGGCGTTCGCGGCCCCGCCGGCCCGACTCTCAAGCCTCAGCTCCCAGGCTAGGCTGTGGCCGCCGGTGGCCTGGGGAGAGTGCGGCGCCATGCCTCGGGCTTAATGCGCCCCCCCCTCTTCTCCCAGTCTTCAGTCTTAAGTCGTTAGCCTCCTCCCTCCGCTTTCAGCAGTGGTCTTTCAGCTCTCTTCTTGTGCGCTGTTGTCGACCCCGACCAGCCCCTTCCAACCCAGTCATCATGTCCCAGCCGGGAATACCGGCCTCCGGCGGCGCCCCAGCCAGCCTCCAGGCCCAGAACGGAGCCGCCTTGGCCTCGGGGTCTCCCTACACCAACGGTGAGTGCTGTCCGGGGGGAGGGCGCAGCCTGGCCAGGGCTGACTGACCTTTGCGTGCCACTGCTGCTTGAGGCGACATAGATAGAGAGAGTGACCTCCTTACCGGGTTCTGGCGCGGATGGTGGTGGGCGGCTGGGCCAGGGGACCACGGCAGTTGTGCACCTGTAGCCCCAGGCTCGTCTCAGTCTTTCACATTTATTTAGTCGGTCACCAAAACAGTAAATGAGCACCTGCTGTATGCAACGCCCTGGGTGAAACACGGGTGAGAAAATGCCTCAAAACTCGAATATAAGGATCATAGTGTTTGTGTGCCTTCGCCTTCCTTGCCACCTCACCCCAGTCTCCTAGAGAGCAGGATGTGGGGTCTGATTCTTCTGGGTTCCGCAGGCCCTGAAGTGGGGTGGGGGTCGTACTCAGTCTGAGTTTCTGGAGATGAATGCATGCTTTTGGGACACCCCTTTAGGGCCTACTCATCTCTCCCAGAACCTTCCCAGAATTGTACCTACAACAGCTGTTCAATGTTTCAGCTGTGGAAAAACCAAATAGAAGGGAGGATCTCCTGGTTGACTTCTAGATGTCTGGACAGCATTTGGAAAGTGGGTGGACACAACTCTCTGAATCTCTGACAAGAGTCTACATGTACATTATAGTTTGTCATTTGATGTGAGAATGTCTTATAATTTTATACCTCTTCTAGGATTCCTTAAATCGTCCTACATTGTGATTTGCTAAGATTATTTCAGTTGTTACAATAGACAAAGACTTTCTGCCGACAGATTGCCTACTTACCAATTTACTTACAAATCTTTGGTTTACAGAAATAAGACTAGTAGAATAATGCTAAAGAACTTAAGTTGCCCATTAGAGTCTAAGAGTTCTGTGAAGTTGGAGAATACAGACAGTGACTAAAATCTCTAATTTACATTGTTTTTAGAGAAGACCGCTGTTTTCTTTACAAAGATGGCTCTAAAAGACTTTTAAAAATGTCTGTGAGTAGGCAACTATGTGGGCAGAAGAAAGAATAAGTGGAGGAAAGCCACTGAAAGGGTACTGAGTTAACCATTCTTTCTCAAAATTATGGTAACAGATTATGTACACTACATTTTATTCTAGAATATTTAGTAACATTTACACTGAGGATGAGAAAAAATGTTACATGGCTATGGATTTTTCTTATAATCTATAAATTGCAGTTTTACATTAACTTTAAATGACAAATCCTCAAATGTGCTTCAACATTTATATATGAGTGTAGTTGTCATAATATTGAAATGTTAAAGGGATTTGACCACTGTGGTATGCTGTATTAGAGATACTGTCACTATGTTGATTTGATACAGTCCAACAGACATTTGTTCCACATCTTTTTTTTTTTTTTTGAGATGGAGTCTTGTTCTGTTGCCCAGGCTGGAGTGCAGTGGTGGTGATCTTGGCTCACTGCAACCTCTGATTCCTGGGTTCAAGCGATTCTCCTGCCTCCTTAACCTTCCAAAGTGCTGTAATTACAGGCCTGATCCACGGTACCCAGACCTCTTTTTTAAAATATAATTTTCATAGTCTTTTTATAAGTTCCATTTCTACAGGGTTTTTTGTTTGTTTGTTTGTTTGTTTGTTTTTTGAGACGGAGTTTTGCTTTTGTCTCCCAGGCTGGAGTGCAATGGCGCTATCTCGGCTCACTGCAACCTCCTCCTCCCAGGTTCAAGCAATTCTCCTGCCTCAGCCTCTGAAGTAGCTGGGATTACAGGCACGTGTCACCACACCCAGCTAATTTTTATATTTTTAGTAGAGACGGGGTTTCACCATGCTGGTCAGGCTGATGTCAAACTCCTGACCTCTAGTGATCCACCCACCTTGGTCTCCCAAAGTGCTGGGATTACAGGCATGAGCCACTGTGCCTGGCCTCTACAGGTTTTTTGTATTTTGCCTTTTTTTTTTTTTTGAGACAGGATCTTACTTAAACTGTCCCTCAAGCTGGAGTGCAGTGGCAGGATCACAACTCACTGTCACTCCTGGGCTCAAGCAATCCTCACACCTCAGCCTCCCCAGTAGCTAGAACTACAGGTGCATACCACCAGGCCCCATTTTTTATATAAGTATATAATATATATATATAATGTATATATTTTATTATTATTTTTTGAGTCAGAGTTTCACTCTGTTGCCCAGGCTGGAGTACAATGGCTCGATCTCGGCTCACTGCAACCTCCATGTCTCAGGTTCAAGTGATTCTCGTGCCTCAGCCTCCCGAGTAGCTGGGATTACAGGCCTGTGCCACCACAACCGGCTAATTTTTGTATTTTTAGTAGAGATGGGGTTTCACCATGTTGGCCAGGCTGGTCTTGAACTCCAAACCTCATAATGATCCGCCCACCCTGGCATCCCAAAGTGCTGGGATTACAGGCATGAGCCACCACGCCCGGCCTAATGTAAAGATATATGTATATTATATATATAATGTTTTATATATATTTTGTAGAGATGAGTCTCTCTATGTTGCCTAGGCTGGTCTGAAATTCCTGACCTCAAGTGATCCTCCTGACTCAGCCTTCCAAAGTGCTGGGATTAGAGGCATGAGCTACCAAGCCTAGCCTGGGTTGTTTTATTGTTCATCCTGCTAATAATACAGAGAGTAGGGATATGGTATCAAGTTGGAGAACAGGATATTTTTCAAGAAGGTGAGAAAACGTTTCAATGCTGGGATCTAGTTTTGCTTAACTATTCCAAAGCAGTAGTTGATGCTTGCATATTCTGTTGAAAACTCTTTTTTTTTTTTTTTTTGATGGAGTTTCACTTTTGTTGCCCAGGCTAGAGTGCAATGGCTCATTGCAACCTCTGCCTCCCAGATTCAAGCAATTCTCCTGCCTCAGCCTCCTGAGCAACTGGGATTACAGGTGCATGCCACCACACCCGGCTAATTTTTGTATTTTTAGTAGAGACAGGGTTTCATCACATTGGTCAGGCTGGTCTCAAACTCCTGACCTCAGGTGATCCGCCCGCGTCGGCCTCCCAAAGTGCTGGGATTACAGGCGTGAGCCACCGCGCCTGGCCGAAAAGTCTTAAGTATTTAATGAAGTTTGCTTAAATTACATATTACAGTATAATTAGATCTTCAGTTTGCTTTTGTTTTTTGTTTTTGAGATAGTCTTTCTCTATTGCCCAGGCTGGAGTGCAGTGGCGTGATCTTGGCTCACTGCAACCTCCATCTCCTGGGTTCAAGCAATTCTGCCTCAGCCTCCTGAGCAACTGGGACTACAGGCATGCGCCACTATGTCTAGCTAATTTTTGTATATTTAGTAGAGACGGGGTTTCGCCACGTTGCCCAGGCTGGTCTCGAACTCCCGAGCTCAGGTGATCCGCCCACCTCGGCCTACTAAAGTGCCGGGATTACAGGCGTGAGCCACTGTGCCTGGCCAGTTTGGTGTTTTTTGTTTTTGAGACGGAGTCTTGCTGTGTTGCCAGGCTGGAGTGCAGTGGTGCGATCTCAGCTCACTGCAACCTCCACCTCCCAGGTTCAAGCGATTCTCCTGCCTCAGCTTCCCGAGTAGCTGGGGTTACAGGCACCTGTAGCACATGCCACCATGCCTGGCTGATTTTGTATTTTGTTTGTTTGTTTTGTTTTGTTTTTGTTTTTGTTTTTTTGAGACGGAGTCTCACTCTGTCACCCATGCTGGAGTGCAGTGGTGCGATCTTGGCTCGCTGCAAGCTCCGCCTCCTGGGTTCATGCCATTCTCTTGCCTCAGCCTCCCGAGTAGCTGGGACAATAGGTGCCCGCCACCACACCCGGCTAATTTTTTGTATTTTTTTTTTTTTTTTAGTAGAGACAGCGTTTCACCATATTAGCTAGGATGGTCTCAATCTCCTGACCTCGTGATCTGCCCGCCTCTGCCTCCCAAAGTGCTGGGATTACAGTTATGAGCCACTGTGCTCGGCCTAATTTTTGTATTTTTAGTGGAGACGGGGTTTCACCATGTTGGCCAGGATGGCCTCTATCTGCTGACCTCATGATCCTCCTGCCTCAGCCTCCCAAAGTGCTGGCATTACAGGTGTGAGCCACCATACCCGTTCCAGTTTCGTTTGTTTGTTTGTTTTTTAAAGAGCCTGGGTCTTGCTCTGTCACCCAAGTTGAAGTGTAGTCACTTGATCATGGCTCACTGCAGCCTCGAACCTCCTGGCTGAAGTGATCCTCCCACGTCAGCCTCCTGTGAAGCTAGGACTACAGGCACATGCCCTGAAACCTGGCTAACTAAACAGTTTTTTTTAGAAAACAGAGCTGCACTCTGTTGCCCAGGATGGTCTTGAACTCCTGGACTCAAGTAATCCTCCTGCCTTGGCCTCCCAAAGAGCTAGGATTACAGGCATGAGCCACAACATCTAGCACAGATATTTTATATATTATAGTCAAAAGACCTCACCAGGTGTGGTGGCTCACACCTGTAATGTCAGCACTTTGGGAGGCCGAGGTGCTAGGATTGTTTTAGCCCAAGAATTCAAGACCACCCTCGGCAACATAGTGAGAACCTGTCTCTACAAAGAATTTTTAAAAAATAGGCATGGTGCGGGCCCAGTAGTCCCAGCTACTGGGGAGGCTGAGACAGGAAGATCACTTGACCCCAGGAGGTCAAGACTGCAGTGAGCTACAATTGCACAACTGCACTACAACCTGGGTGACATGGCAGTATCTTGTCTCAAAAATAAATAAATAGGCCGGGTGCAGTGGCTCACACCTGTAATCCCAGCACTTTGGGAGGCCAAGGCAGGAGGGCTGCTTGAGCCTAGGAGTTCAGACCAGGGTAGGCAACATAGGAAGACCCCATATCTATAAAAAAGTAAGAAAAATTAGTCCAGTGTAGTGGTGCCAGCCTGTGGTCCCAGCTACTCAGGAGGCTGAGGTAGGAGGATCACCTGTGTCCAGGAGGTTAAGGCTGCAATGAGCCATGATCATGCCACTACCCTCTAGCCTGGGCAACAGAGTGAGAACCTGTCACAAAAATAAATAAATTAATAAAAAACAAAAGACCTAACAGTAGCCTTTTTCAAAAAAAAAAAATATATATATATATTTTTTGAGACGGAGTCTCACGCTGTCACCCAGGCTGGAGTGCAGTGGTGCAGATCTTGGCTCACTGCAGCCTCTGCCTCCCGGGTTCAAGTGATTCTCCTGCCTCAGCCTCCCGAGTAGCTGGGACTACAGGCGTGCACCACCATGCTCAGCTAATTTTTGTATATTTAGTAGAGACGGGGTTTCACCATGTTGGACAGGGTGGTCTCAATTTCCTGACCTCGTGATCTGCCTGCCTTGGCCTCCCAAAGTGCTGGGATTACAGGCGTGAGCCACTGCGCCCAGCTGAGAGGTTTTTCTAAGTCTTTGTGTATACATATTTCCTTTGCAAAAATTGATAGCAGACTACAAGACCTTAAACTAATGGATCTTAATCTGATTATCATGTATTAACGCTAAAGGCAAATAATGACTCCCACCATTAATTAGTGCCTTTATTGACTGAATCAACTTGCAAAGCCAGTTAGAAACTGCAGTTTTGTTTTGTTTTGTTTTGGTTTTTCAGAAATGGTCTCACTTTGTCCCCCAGGCTAGAGTACAGTGGTGCAGTCTTGGCTCACTGCAGCCTTAACCTCCATGGTTCAAGCAATCCTCCTGCTTCAGCCCCTGAAGTAGCTGGGATTACAGGTGTGCGTCACCATGCTTGTCTAATTTTTTTGTGTCTTTAGTAGAGATGGGTTTCACCATTTGGCCAGGCTGGTCTCGAACTCCTGACCTCGTGATCCTCCCACCTTGGCCTCCCAAAGTGCTGGGATTACAGGTGTGAACCACTACGCCTGGCCCAGGCTTTCCTAAAGAAACGTACAGCTTTTTGGCCAGGCTGGTCTCAAAATCCTGACCTCAGGTGATCTGCCCGCCTGAGCCAAAGTGCTGAGATTACAGGTGTGAGCCACCGCACCCGGCCACATGAGATTTTTTACTAATGCAGATTCTGGGATCCTTTTGAATCCTATGAAATAGGATTTTACAAAGGTGGGACCTGGGATCTCAATTTGTACCATTATTATAGCAGGTTCCTCTGATTCTGAAGCTGCTGGTTGGGTGGGAAGCACTCATCTGCATTCATTCTTGCCTCTAACTTTCTAATTTAGCTTCTTTACCCACACATCCCAAAATTGTCCTTAATAAGGCCACAAGGCTGGGCGTGGTGGCTCATGCCTGTAATCCCAGCACTTTGGGAGGTCAAGGCGGGTGGATCACAAGGTCCGGAGTTCAAGACCAGCCTGGCCAACATGGTGAAACCTTGTCTCTACTAAAAATACAAAAATTAGCCGGGTGTGGTGGCGTGCGCCTGTAATCCCAGCTACTCAGGAGGCCTCAGCCTCCTGAGTGATTCTCAGCAGGAGAATCACTTGAACCCGAGAGGTGGAGGTTGCAGTGAGCCGAGATCATGACATTGCACTGCAGCCTGGGCGACAGAGCAAGAATTCATCTCAAAATAAATAAATAAATAAATAAGGCCACAAATGGCTTCCTGGTTATTAAATAGAAAAATATTTTTCAGTTCTCATTTTCCGAGCTGCATTTGATACCTTTGGCTGTTATTTTGTTTTTACAACAATTGCTTTCTTTGGTTTCTAGGATATCACCAGAAGGGTAGTTATGGTTTTCTTTCTTTTTTTTGGTTGCTATTTCTCAACAGCAGTATTCTCAATATTTCTTCCATTTCTGATTGTTTTTTTCTCTCTCCTCCTTAAATATTGGTGTTCTTCAAGGTGACCTATTTTTCTTACTCTTATATACTCCCTGGGTGTCTTTAATTCCCATGGTTTTAAATCTTATGCATAGATCAGTGACTCCCATAATTATATCTTAAGGTGAAATCTGTCACTTTGGCTGCAGCTAAATATCTTTTTTTTTTTTTTTTTAAGACAGAGTCTTGCTCTGTTGCCCAGGCTGGAGTGAGGTGGCACGATCTTGGCTCACTGCAACCTTTGCCTCCTGGGTTCAAGCGATTCTCCTTTCTCAGCCTCCGGAGTAGCTGGGACCACCGGCATGTGCCACCACACCCGGCAAATTTTTTGTATTTTTAGAAGAGATGGGGTTTCACCGTCTTAGGATGGTGTTGCTCTCCTGACCTCATGATCTGCCCGCCTTGACCTCCCAAAGTGCTGGGATTACAGGCCTGAGCCACCGCGCCCAGCGCAGATAAATATCTTTATACTGGACATCTCCACTTAGATTTCTTGGTGGCACCTGAAAATTAGTGTGTTTAAAATAACTCTTCGATCTCTCTTCCCTTTGCCATTCCCCACCTTTGTTTTTTTGAGACAGAGTCTTGCTCTGTCAACCAGGCTGGAGTGCAGTGGCACGATATCCGCTCATTGCAACCTCCGCCTCCCAGGTTCAAGCAATTCTCCTGCCTCAGCCTCTGAGTAGCTGGGACTATAGGCGTGTGCCACCATGCCCGGCTAATTTTTGTATTTTAGTAGAGACGGGGTTTCACCGTGTTGGTCAGGCTGGTCTCGAACTTCTGACTTCAGGTGATCCACCCACCTCGGCCTCCCAAAGTGTTGGGATTACAGGCATGAGCCACTGCATCCGACTTTTTTTTTTTTTTTTTTTTTAAAGACAGCTCTCATTCTGTCGCCCTGGCCGGAATGCAATGATGCAATGATAGCTCACTGCAGCCTTGAACTCCTGGGCTCAAGTAATCCTTGATCCTTGATCAAGTGGGTGGAGTGGCTCATGCTTGTAATCTTAGTACTTTGGGAGGTCGAGTCAAGAAGATCCCTTGAGCCCAGGAGTTCGAGACCAGCCTGGACAACTTAGGGAGACCCCATCTCTACAAAAAAATTTAAAAATTAGCCAGGCATAATGGTGCACGCCTGTAGGCCCAGCTACTCAAGAGGGGAGGTGGGAGGATCGCTTGAGCTTGGGAGGTCGAGGCTGCGGTGAGCTGTGACACTTCAGCCTGGGTGGCAGAGCGAGACCTCATTTCTGAAAAACGCACACACACACACACACACACACACACACACAACCAAAACTTATATTTTGTAGAGATAGGGACTTGCTATTGCCCAGGCTGGTCTCAAACTCCTGGCCTCAAGTGATCCTCCCACCTTGACTTTCTAAAGTGCTGGGATTGCAGGCATGAGCCACCGTGCCTGGCCTACATTTCTATTCTTTTCTCTTTCTGTTCAAATGAATAAACACGGCCATCCACCAGGTTGCTCAGGTCAGAAACCTAGGAGTCATCCTAGATTTTTTCCTCTCTTCATCACCCATATTCAATTCCACATAAAATCCCATGAATGCTGTTTCCTCAAATCAGTTTTTAAAAATTTGAGTAATGTATAGATACTAAATATTTCTCTGCTGTCCCAATGTTAAATTATTTATTTATTTATTTTACTTCTGACACAGGTTCTCACTCTGTTGCCCAGGCTAGAGTGCAGGGGCATGATCACAGCCCACTGCAGGCTTGATCTCTTGGGTTCAAGTGATCCTCCCGCCTCAGCCTCCCAAGTAGCTGGGAATATAGGCACGTGCCACCACAACTGGCTAATTATTTATTTTTTTGTAGAGACGAGGTCTCACTATATTACCCAGGTTATTCTTGAACTCCTGAGGTCAAGCCGTGCTCCCACCTTGGCTTTTCAAAGTGCTCGGATTACAAGATCAAGCCAACATGCCTGGCAAAAATTATTTTTATTAAATGTGTATATGCAAACACAAAACTAGATGTAAACTTCATAGGGTTATAGCTATTGTACTATTGTAAAACCAAACATTAAAAATATCAACATATGGCTGGGCATGGTGGCTCACGCCTGTAATCCCAGCACTTTGGGAGGCTGAGGTGGCCAGATCACTTGAGGTCAGAAGTTCAAGAACAGCCTGGCCAACATGGTGAAATCCCGTCTCTACTAAAAATACAAAATTAGCCAGCGTGGTGGTGCACACCTGTAATCCTAGCTACTCGAGAGGCTGAATGAGGCAGGAGAATCGCCTGAACCCAGGAGGCGGAGGTTGCAGTGAGCCGAGATCGCACCACTGCACTTTAGCTTGGGCAACAGAGCGAGACTCTGTCTCAAAAAAAAATCAAAAGCAATATAATTCAATTTTAAAACATTAAACAATATGCTACATTTTGTTTGAAACCACAGTTGATTTGATTGTTTTAATTTTGAATATGTTGGAACATTACTTGGGTGACTATCATGCTCACTTTTTCCTTTTTGTTTTTGAGACACGTTCTCACTCTGTAGCCCAGGGTGGAATGCCTAATTATAGCTCACTGAAGTCAAACTCCTGGGCTCAAGCAGTCCTCTTGCCTCAGCCTCCTGAGAAGCTAGATCTACAGGCATGTGCCACAACTCCTGGCTAATTTTTTAATTTTTAATTTTTTTGTGTGGAAATGGAGTCTCGCTGTGTTGCCCAGGCTGGTCTCCTACTCCTGAGCTCAAGTAGTTCTGCTTTGGCCTCCCAGTGTGATGGGATTACAGGCATGAGCCACCATGCCCAACCTCTACACGATTTTAATAGGGGAAGAATGGGGTGGGGGAGAGGACATTTACTGGAAAACAGACGACTTATAGGAAGGATAAATGGGCTTTTAGAATAGATATGATAGTTTTGTGATGATATCTGTTTAGGTGTGGTGTGGAAATTTCTCATCTCAGGTCATGAGTCAGATTGACATCTTTCCTGGTTGCCCCTGGGAAGTAGATTATGACAATTGAGTTCTTTTGGAAGGCTCTGTTTTAGGCAGATAAGAGATTTTAGGAACTCAAATGCCTTCTGCTTAAAATAATTTTTATGCCATAGTAGCGTATTCTGGACCCCTTCACAATCACTGACCCATTTATTTTTATTTATTTATTTATTTATTTATTTATTTATTTATTTATTGAGATGGAATCTTGCTCTGTCACCCAGGCTGGAGTGCAGTGGCGCGATGTTGGCTCACTGCAAGCTCTGCCTCCTGGGTTCACGCCATTCTCCTGCCTCAGCCTCCCGAGTAGCTGGGACTACAGGCACCCGCCACCACGCTCCACTAATTTTTTTGTATTTTTAGTAGAGATGGGGTTTCACCATGTTAGCCAGGATGGTCTTGATCTCCTGACCTCGTGATCCGCCCGCCTTGGCCTCCCAAAGTGCTGGGATTATAGGCGTGAGCCACCGCGCCTGGCCTCACAGACCCATTATTTTGATGGGCTACTTAGTAATGACTTCAGAATTTAAAAAAATTATCCATTTAGTGAAGGTGTCATTATATATTTATTACTACACTTTTTGTGAACTACTTGTAATTGATCCATATATGATTTTCACATAGTGGGGAGGGATGTCAGAAAAAAAAATTTTCATGTAATAGTTACTCACAATAGGTCTATGATGGTGACTACCACAAAACAAGTTCTTTTGTATCTGTCTTCCTGCCAGTTGGCCTTATGACCTCATATTCTTTTTTTTTTTTTTTTTTTTGAGACAGGATACAGGGTCTCACTTTGTCACAGAGGCTGGAGTGCAGTGGCGTGAACGCAGCTCCCTGCAGCCTTAACCTCCTGTGCTCAGTGATCCTCCTGCCTCAGCCCCAAGTAGCTGGGACTTACAGGCAGGCGCCACCACACCCAACTAATTCTTATATTTTTTATAGAGACGAGGTCTTACTATTATGTCCAGGCTGGTCTCGAACTCCTGAGCTCAAGCTATCTGCCCGCCTTGGCCTCCCAAAGTGTTGGGATTATATGTGTGAGGCACCATGCCCAGCATGTTTTCATCTTTATTGGCCTGTCAAATTTTTGCTTATTTTGTACATTTTGATGGTATTTGGCTTTCACTTGGCTGTACCTGGCTTGAAGGCACCTCTTTAGCGTATTAGCTTGTGATAAGATTGTAAATACAACCTGTTTGCTCACGCCTGTAATCCTAGCGCTTATAGAGGCTGAGGCAGGAGGATTACTTGAGCTCAGGAATTTGAGACCAGCCTGGGCAACATAGTGAGTCTCTGTCTCTACAAAAAAAAAAAAAAAAAATTAGGCCGGCGTGGTGGTGCATGCCTGTAGTCCCAGCTTCTCAGGAGGCTTAGATGGGAGGATCGCTTGAGCCCAGGAGGTCAGAGCTACAGTGAGCCATGATTGTGCCACTGTACTCCAGCTTGGATGACAGAGTAAAGTGCTGTCTCAATCAATCAATCAATCCATAAGTAAGTAAATAAAATTGTAATACAAATATGAAACTAGGCCAGGACATCTTGTGGCAACATTGGGCTGTGAGATGGCCTATTTTTATCCAAGTGACCCAACATATGCTTATATATTATTTTTTTACAAATGTTTTCATTTATTGAGACATCTCTGTATTCCCTCTGTTACTTGCTACTGTTTAGTCCATCTTTTTTTTTTTTTTTTGTCACCCAGGCTGGAGTGCAATGGTGTGACCTTGGCTCACTGCAGCCTTGACCTCCTGGGTTCAAGTAATCCTCCTGCCTCAGCCCCCCAAGTAGCTAAGACTACAGGCGCATACCATCAAGGCTGGCTACTTTTTGTTTTTTTTTATAGGCATGGGGTTTCACCATGTTGCCCAGGCTGGTCTTGAACTCCTGGGCTCAAGCTATCCACCTGCCTTGGCCTCCCAAAGTGCTGGGATTACAGATGTGAGCCACTGCGCTGGCCTTCATTGTGGTTTTGATTTACATTTCTGTTATGACTAATTATGTTTGTATTTCTCTAATGACTGATGATGTTGAATGTTTTGGCATGTGCTTATTAGCTATCTTCTTTGGAAGTATGTTTGAATGTCTATTTAAGTCCTTTGCTTATTTTTTAATTGAGTTATGTGTTTTTATTGCTGACTGTAAGAATATATGTTTTACTTTATTTCTTAAAGTATTGCTATATTCGTTGGTAAGACTAATTTTTCCTCCTTTTATTGGAAGGTCCTGTCCAAAATGCATTGCTGTCTTCACAAGAGTCAGTGAGCCAAGGATACAATTTCCAGCTTCCAGGATCCTACCCTCATCCAATACCAGCAAAGACTTTGAATCCAGTCTCTGGACAGTCTAACTATGGTGGTTCTCAGGGATCTGGGCAGACTCTTAATAGACCACCTGTGGCCTCTAATCCAGTGACACCTTCGCTTCATAGTGGTCCTGCTCCCCGAATGCCATTACCTGCTTCTCAGAACCCAGCTACTACACCAATGCCTTCTAGTAGCTTTCTTCCTGAAGCCAACCTGCCACCACCTTTGAATTGGCAATATAACTATCCATCCACAGCCTCACAAACAAACCATTGTCCTCGTGCATCATCCCAACCAACTGTATCTGGAAATACAAGTTTAACCACAAATCATCAATATGTTTCTTCTGGATATCCTTCACTTCAAAATAGCTTCATAAAGTCAGGTAGTATTCTTATAGAAGTGCTTAAAATGTAGAAATGTGAAACTTTTGCTTATTTAGATGTTTGAAATAATACTTGAAACCTGAAAACCATATGGAAAATGTGACTTTTAAAATTATTAGTAGTTTTTTGTTGTTTTTTGTTTTTCGGCTTTCCAGCAAAAACCAGAAAGCCTGCTAGACAAATTAAGTAAGCTATAACACTCATTAGTAGTTTTTTTTTTCATTCTTTTTTCTCTTTTTTTTTTTTTTTTTTGAGATGGGGTCTTGCTCTGTCACCCAGGCTGGAAAGCAGTGGCACAATCTCAGCTCACTGCAACCTCTGCCTCCCTGGTTCAAGCAATTTTCCTGCCTCAGCCTCCAGAGTAGCTGGGATTATGGGATTACAGGCACGTGCCACTGCACCCAGCTAACTTTTTGTATTTTTAGTAGAGATGGGGTTTCACCATATTGGCCAGGCTGGTCTTGAACTCCCGACCTCAGGTAATCCGCCCACCTCAGCCTCCCAAAGTGCGAGGATTACAGGCGTGAGCCACCACACCTGGCCACATTTATTTATTTTATTTATTTATTATTTATTTATTTTTTTGAGACGGAGTCTCTCTCTGTCGCCCAGGCTGGAGTGCAGTGGCGTGATCTTGGCTCACTGCAAGCTCTGCCTCCCGGGTTCACGCCATTCTCCTGCCTCAGCCTCCCGAGTAGCTGGGACTACAGGTGCCCGCCACCACGCCCGGCTAATTTTTTGTATTTTTAGTAGAGACGGGGTTTCACCGTGTTAGCCAGGATGGTCTCGATCTCCTGACCTCGTGATCCGCCCGCCTTGACCTCCCAAAGTGCTGTGATTACAGGTGTGAGCCAATATTTCTTTGAAAAGCATTTAAAATTCTGTATTGGGATCTGCAGGTTGATACTTCTCAGCAGACAGCCTCAAGTTTATGAAATAGTGTAGGCTTCCAAGTGAAATAGTAATATCAATAGTTACCTTTTTAACCTTATGTATGTTTATATGGCATATACTCCATCAGGCTTGTAAATTGTTAATGGCTGAAACTTTATTTTTCCAAGCCTTTGATCAGACATTGGCCCTGGTGAATGCATTTTGGCCTTGTAAAGATTAAAGCTGCTTCTAGAAACTTAAGTTTCTTTGTGGAAATCTTCTGACCTGCAATTAGTAGAGCTAAAATCCTTCATGTTACTTTTGTTCTAATTCATTTGATACCATGAGTGAGCATCAATCACTTGAAATGAATGAATATGGTGGCACACATCAATCACTTGAATGAATGAATGTGTGGTCCCAGCTACTCGGGGGGCTGAGGTGGGAGAATTGCTTGAGCTCTGGCAATTGAGGCTGCAGTGAGCTATGATTGTGCCACTGCGCTCCGGCCTAGGTGACAGAGTGAGACTTGGTCTAAAAAAAAAATTTAAGTGTTAAAAAAAATGTTATCTATATTATTTTCCAGGCTCTATCAAACTTTGATATCATTATCTGTTTTTCTGTTTTGCTTTTTATTTTTTAGAGATAGGCTGTCTCTCTGTTTCCCAAGCTGGAGTGCAGTGGTGCAATCCTAGTGTCATCAAACTGCTGGGCTCAAGCTATCCTCCCGCCTCACCTCCCTGAGTAGGCGTGCCACAGTGCCTGGCTAATCTTTTGTTCTTTATTTTTTTGTATAGACAGGGTCTTACCCTGTCGCCCAGGGTAGAGTAGGGTAACACGATCATAGCTCACTTAACTGCAACATAGCTTGCTGTAACTGCTGACCTCAAGCCATCCTGCTGCCTGGATTTCCTAAAGTTCTGGGATTACAGGTGTGAGCCACCTAGCCAGGCCTGCATTATCTTGTTTAATCTTCGTAACAGTCTCTTACAGATCTAAAGTATAAGACTTGAATAATTTGCCCAAAGCCACAGTAAAATAGTTTGGGAAAACATTTATTTAAAAACTATTTAAGGGCCAGGCGTGGTGGCTCACGCCTATAATCCTAGCACTTTGGGAGTCCAAGGCAGGAGGATCCACTTGAGGCCAGGAGGCCAGGAGTTCACTAGCCTGAGCAAAATAGCAAGACCCCATCTCTATTTTTTTAAATAATTTTATTTAAAAATAAATAAATACTAAGAGTAGGTGTAGCTTCTCTTAAAAAGGTACATTATCAATAATCTGAAATTTCTTTAGCTATAATAGAAACCCTCAGAGCACCTTGTCTCCACTACAGATTTGGTGAGAGAGACATAAATAAGTGCTGAGGCTGGGCATGGTGGCTCACGCCTGTAAGCCCAGCACTTTGGGAGGCTGAGTCGGGTGGATCACCTGAGGGCAGGAGTTCGAGACCAGCCTGGCCTACATGGTGAAAACCTCGTGTCTACTAAAAATACAAAAATTAGCCAAGTATGGTGGCACGTGCCTGTAATCCCAGCTACTCAGGAGGCTGAGGCAGGAGAAGCGCTTGAAGCTGGGAGGCGGAGGTTGCAGTGAGCTGAGATTGCACCACTACCTTCAGTCTGGGCGACAGAGCAAGACTCCATCTCAAAAAAAAAAAGTGCTGAAACTTATGAAAGAAGGGGAAATAAAAACATATAAACTAATAAAATGAACCTAAAAAGTAACCTTCTTTTTTCTCATTTGAACCTTCAAAGAACCTTCAAATTCCTCATTTTTTTTCTTTTTTCCAACTCATAACTGAGAGTTGGTACCTGATAGTCTGGTATCAAAGCTGTGAGTATTTAGGTTATACTAAGTTTTTAGTTCATATATTAAATTTTCCTGAATTTTTTTAATAGGTCACCTTTAAGCATCATTATACTCATTTAGGGGCTGAGAGGGCAGACTCTGAAACTCTAGCTATCAGTGTCGTAAATAAGAATTCTTCAACTTGAAAAAATGTTCATTTTATGAAATATATGATTATCTGTTCAAAAATAGTCTTCTAAAAGCTGTGAAAATCTCTGTAAGTTTACTTTTATTCGTTAAACATTAGGTTGTAGGTTACATCTTTGTGGCCAGATGTATTTTACATTCTTGTTCATGCTGAGTTGGCCATGTACCTTGCCCCTTTGTTCCTTTGACTTGTCTATACTGCCATAGATATGTGTGACCACTTCTTTGATAAGGGAGTTACATGGCAATAATCTTTGTCTTCACTTTTGTCAACAAGGCACTGATAGTCTTGTTAGCAGTTGTAAGATTCAGTAATAGGCAATTTTTCTTTTTCTTTTTTTTTTTTTTTTTTTTTTTTGAGACGGAGCCTTACTCTGTCGCCCAGGCTAGAGTGCAGTGGCGCAATCTCGGCTCACTGCAACCTCCGCCTCCCAGGTTCAAGCAGTTCTTCTGCCTCAGCCTCCCTAGTAGCTGGGATTACAGGCATGCGCCACCACGCCCAGCTAATTTTTTGTATTTTTAGTAGAAACGGGGTTTCACCATATAGGCCAGGCTGGTCCCAAACTCCTGACCTTGTGATCCACCTGTCTCAGCCTCCCAAAGTGCTGGGATTACAGGCGTGAGCCACTGCACCCAGCCTAATAGGCAATTTTTCAACTTGATACTGGAGTATTTAACAGTATTGGTGAAACATTTTGAAAAATTTCAGGCTGAGCGTGGTGGCTCACGACTGTAATTCCAGCACTTTGAGAGGCCGAGGCGGGTGGATTACGAGGTCAGGAGTTTGAGATCAGCCTCCAGCCTGGCCAATATGGTGAAACCCCATCTCTACTAAAAATACAAAAATTAGCCGGGCGTGGTGGCGCGCACTTGTGGACCCAGCTGCTGCCGGAGGCTGAGGCAGGAGAATCGCTTGAACCCAGGAGGCGGAGGTTGCAGTGAGCCGAGATTGCGCCATTGCACTCCAGCCTGGGGGACAAGAGTGAGACTTCGTCTCAGAAAAAAAAAAAAAAAGTGTTCCTTCTGCCTCGGTCTCCCAAAGTCCTGGTATTATAGACATGAACCACTGCTCCTGGCCCCCTATTTTTATTTTTATTTATTTATTTATTTATTTTGAGACAGAGTCTCGCTCTTGTTGCCCAGGCTGGAGTGCAGTGACGAGATCTCAGCTCATTGCAACCTCTGCCTCGCAGGTTCAAGTGATTCTCCTGCCTCAGCTTCCCAAGTAGCTGGGATTACAGGTGCCCACCACCACACCTGGCTAATTTTTTGTATTTTTAGTAGAGATGGGGTTTCACCATGTTGGCAGGCTTGTCTTGAACTCCTGACCACAGGTGATCCACTGTGCCTGGCCCAGCCCTCTATTTTCAGGCTCACTCTAAACTTAGTTGATGTTAATGGAACAGACTATGTTGGTAAACAAAATTAACAAAATATTACAAAATTAATAACATTGAAATTTTATTCATGTTAATTTGTACTAGAATATGACACATGGCCTATTGAATCTAATGATCAGTTAATGAAAAATTAATAAACAGGGCTGGCCAGGTACAGTGGCTCACGCCTGTAATCCCAGCACTTTGGGAGGCCAAGACAGGAGGATCACTGGAGCACCGGAATTCAAGATCAGCCTGGGCAACAAAATGAGACCCCCGTCTCTATTTTATTAAGATTTAAATTATTAATAATAAAAACAAACAGGGCAATGTATCTACTCTAAAAGTGATTTAATCCAAATTTTATATTTACTCTGCTTTAATAATTGACAGGTAAGAGGCCTGGTAGGGGAGAGTTAGAAATTTGTAAAATATGGTCCGGGCACAGTGGCTCACGCCTATAATCTCAGCACTTTGGGAGGCCAAGGCGGGCGAATCACCTGAGGTCAGGAGCTCGAGACCAGCCTGGCCAACATGGTGAAACCCTGGCTGTACTAAAAATACAAAAAATTCACCGGGCATGGTTTCACATGCCTATAGTCCCTCCTACTCAGGAGGCTGAGGCAGGGGAAGCTCTTGAACCCGGGAGGTGGAGGTTGCAGTGAACTGAGATAGCGCTATCGCATTCCAGCCTGGGCGACAAGAAAGAAAACAGGAAAGCAGGAAGGCAGGCAGGAGAAAAGAAAGAAAGAAAGAAAGAAAAAAGGAAGGAAGGGAGGGAGGGAGAGAAGGAAGAGAGAGAAATTTGTAAAATATGCATGTAGATTGAAAAATTGTAAATTTAGGAAGTTAACATGTTTCTGGTAACTCTTTGGTTATTATAATTTAAATGTAAGTTTGGAAGTTACTCAGCTTTGGTAAAAGGCTGATTTTGGCCATAGTCTTGAGTTCTCAAGTGACGTGTGAAAAACCAATGTTTCCATAGGTCCTTCTGTACCTCCCTTAGTGAATCCACCTCTGCCTACAACTTTTCAACCAGGAGCTCCTCATGGGCCCCCTCCAGCTGGAGGCCCACCCCCAGTGAGGGCCCTCACGCCCCTGACATCATCATATAGAGATGTACCCCAGCCCTTATTTAATTCAGCTGTCAACCAAGAAGGTAAGTGAACCAAGAAACAAAGTCAAATCCTCAAGTTTTGACTTAGGGTAGAAAGATGAATATTAGCTGAATTCTGTGCATTAAAATCACATTTTTTCCAGAAAATCTAGTTTTGGTTAGGGATGGGCTACAGGAATTTACAATTTAAAGTTCCTCAGGAATTCCATTGCCATCCGCTGGGCTGTGACTACCATTGGGAAAAAAGCTCTTAGTGTTTTGTTACTTTTTTTGTTGCTATGCGGATTTTTTAAAAATCATGGCTATAAAGTCAGGTGGCTTTTGGAGGAGAATTACTACTTTTCTTGACATGATGTTAGAATGTTAGGAATATCCTTTTAAAATATTGACCTTTTTCATTCAAGACGTATTTTGAGCCAGGCGCGGTGGCTCACACCTGTAATCCCAGCACTTTGGGAGGCTGAGGCAGGCGGATCACGAGGTCAGGAGATCGAGACCATCCTGGCTAACATGGTGAAACCCCATCTCTACTAAAAATACAAAAAAATTAGCCAGGCGTGGTGGCAAGCGACTGTAGTAGTCACAGCTACTCTGGAGGCTGAGGCAGAAGAATGGCGTGAACCCGGGAGGCGGAGCTTGCAGTGAGCCGAGATTGCGCCACTGCACTCCAGCCTGGGCGACAGAACCAGACTCCGTCTCAAAAAAAAAAAAAAACAAAAAAAAAAAAACAAGATATATTTTGATTGCCACTATTATCGTAAATGTTAACACATACTTATGAAACTAAATAAAAGTCATTTATACAAGCAGTGGAAAAATACAAGCTTTTGAAATTTGATTTTCCCCTCCCTGGAATCAATGTTAGCTACATGCAATTTTATGTAAGTAAAATATGTTAAAGCATCATCTTGGGATGTAATGGAAATAAGAGTGTTCATTTAAATAAGATATTTTATAAAGTAAGAAATTTGATTTTAGGCTGGGCACAGTGTCTTACCCCTGTAATCTCAGCACTTTGGGAGGCTGAGGCAGGCAGATCACTTGAGGTCAGGAGTTTGAGACCAGCCTGGCCAACATGGTGAAACCCTGTCTCTACTAAAAATACAAAAATTAGCCTGGTGTGCTGGCATGTGCCTGTAATCCCAGCTACTTGGGAGGCTGAGGCAGGAGAGCTTTTGATTTTAGCAGTAATATAATCGTTGCAGCAAGATGTAGAAAACAGATGAGGGGGTAAAACCATTGCCCATATTCTACTACTGAATACAATCAATATTATCATTTTTGTGTTTTCTTCTAGCATTACATTAAGTATTATAAGTCGGGAAAAGAATAATGTTAGCAACGAGTAACAAGGCCGGGCGTGGTGGCTCATGCCTTCAATCCTGACACTTTGGGAGGCCGAGGTGGGCAGGTCACCTTAGGTCAGGAGTTTGAGACCAGCCTGACCAAGGTGGTGAAACCCCATCTCTACTAAAAATACAGAAATTAAGGCCAGGTGCGGTGGCTCACGCCTATAATCCCAGCAATTTGGGAGGCCGAGGTGGGCGGATCACCTAAGGTCAGGAGTTCCAGACCAGCCTGGCCAGCATGGCGAAACCCTGTCTCTACTAAAAATATAAAAATTAGCCGGGCATAGTGGCGGGCACCTGTAATCCCAGCTACTCAGGAGGCTGAGGCAGGAGAATTGCTTGAACCTGGGAGGCGGAGGTTGCAGTGAGCCAAGATGGCATGATCGCACTCCAGCCTGGGTGACAAGAGCAAAACTCCATCACACACACACAAAAAAAACCAATTAGCCAGGAGTGGTGGTGGGCGCCTGTAATCCCAGCTACTCGGGAGGCTGAGACAGGAGAATTGCTTGAACCCGTAAGGCCACTCCAGTGTTGCCCACTGCACTCTAGCCTGGGCAACAGAGCAAGACTCTGTCTCAAAAAAAAATAAAAATAATAAAAAATAAAAATACAAAAATTAGCTAGGCGTGGTGGCATGTGCCTGTAATCCCAGCTACTTGGGAGACTGAGGCAGGAGAATCTCTTGAACCCGAGAGGTGGAGGTTGCAGTGAGCCGAGATCACACCACAGTACTCCAGCCTGGGTGACAGAGTAAGACTCAGTCTCAAAAAAAAGAGTATCAAAATGATGAGGCATTGTCTCATTGGTTGCCACAGTATTACTTTGAAAATCAAGTTACATTAAATATTTAAATAAGAAAAAAAAATTTTTTTTTTTTGAGAGGGAGTTTCATTCTTGTTGCCCAGGCTGGAGTGCAATGGTGCGATCTCGGCTCACCGCAACCTCCGCCTCCTGGGTTCAAGTGATTCTCCTGCCTCAGCTTCCCGAGTAGCTGGGATTACAGGCATGCGCCACCCCACCCAGCTAATTTTGTATTTTTAGTAGAGATGGGGTTTCTCCATGTTGGTCAGGCTGGTCTCGAACTCCTGACCTCAGGTGATCCTCCTGCCTCACCCTCCCAAAGTGCTGGCATTACAGGCGTGAGCCACTGTGCCCGGCAGAAAAAAATTTTTATTTATTTATTTTTTTGAGATGGAGTCTCACTCTGTCTGCCAGGCTGGAGTGCAGTGGCACGATCTTGGCTCACTGCAACCTCCGCTCCCGGGTTCACGCCATTCTCCTGCCTCAGCCTCCCGAGTAGCTGGGACTACAGGCGCCTGCCACCACGCCCGGCTAATTTTTTTTGTATTTTTAGTAGAGACGAGGTTTCACTGTGTTAGCCAGGATGGTCTCGATCTCCTGACCTTGTGATCCGCCTGCCTCAGCCTCCCAAAGTGCTAGGATTACAGGCATGAGCCACTGCGCCCGGCCCCAGAAAAAAAAAACTTTTAAGAGATAGAGTTTACTCTGTCACACAGGCTGGAATGCAGAGGTGCAGGAGGCTACAGCTGCAGCCTCCTGGTCTGGAACTACAGGTGTGTACCACCACACCTGGCTAATATTTTATTTTATTTATTTTTGAGACATAAGTCTCACTCTTGCTGAGGCTGGAGTTCTGTTTTCCAGGCTGGAGTGCAGTGGAAGGATCTTGGCCCACTGCAGCTTCCGCCTCCCAGGTTCAAGCGATTCTTGTGCCTCAGTCTCCTGAGTAGCTGAGATTACAGGCATGTGCCACCACAACCAGCTAATTTTTGTATTTTCAGTAGATACAGGGTTTTCCCATGTTGCCCAGGCTGGTGTGAACTCCTGAGCTCAAGTGATCTGCCTGCCTTGGCTCCCAAAGTGCTGGGATTACAGGTGTAAGCGTCCACGCCTTGCCTACATTTTTTTAACAACTAAAAATAATTCACAATATGCCCAGTGTTTTTGTTTCTCCTAAAAGTTTTACTGTGGTTTTCTGTTACAAATTCATGGCTAAAATCATGTTGGTCTTGAGAACTGGAAAGAAGTTACTGACTTTAAACCATTAAATGTATCTACTTCGTGTTAATACAGCTATTGAAGTTAGCAGTTTTGTACTTAGGTGCTAGAGGTTAATGCTATTCACTGAATTAAGTGTCTTCTATTCCTGAATTAGAGCTCATACTTAGTAGAGGTAACTAGAAATAAATATTTAGTTCTCATAAACAGATGTCCCTGGCATTTGTCTTTAATCCTGTATAATTTTGGGAGAAGAGATGTTAAGATTTTAATTCTATTTTAGTGGTTGTCCTCTGGACTTAAAGCAGTTGTTCTAATTCATTTATGTCATCTTCAAATTAATTTGGATTCCACTCTCATTGTTAGATATTTTGAAAATAAGGGCTGGGCACGGTGGCTCATGCCTGTAATCCCAGCACTTTGGGAGGCCAAGGCACGCGGATCACGAGGCCAGGAGTTTGAGACCATCCTGGCCAACATGGTGAACCCCTGTCTCTACTAAAATACAAAAACATTAGCCAGGCGTGGTGACGGGCACATGTAGTCCCAGCTACATGGGAGGCTGAGGCAGGAGAATCCCTTGAACCCAGGAGGTGGAGGTTGCTGTGAGCTGAAATCGCACCACTTCACTCCAGCCTGGGCAACAGAGTGAGACTCCATCTCAAAAAAAAAGAAAAGAAAAGAAAGTAAGGTCTTTGCTCCTCATAATTTTACTTTCTTTTTTTGTTTGTTTTTTTGAGATGGAGTTTCGCTCTGTCGCCCAGGCTGGAGTGCAGTGGCACGATTTTGGCTCACAGCAACCTCTGCCTCTCAGGTTCAAGGAATTCCCTGTCTCAGCCTCCCGAGTAGCTGATTACAGGCATGTGCTGATTACAGGCACGCGCCACCACACCCAGCTAATTTTTTTTGTATTTTTAGTAGAGACGGGGTTTCCCCATGTTGGCCAGGCTGATCTCTGACTCCTGACCTCGTGATCCGCCCGCCTTGGCCTCCCAAAGTGCTGGGATTACAGGCGTGAGCCACCGCACCTGGCCTCTTTTTCTTTAGGTAGTTTTGATTTTGATAATTTTTTTTCATTGTGTACTGCTCCTTAGAGGTTTTTAATGCAGCTCTCACAACTGCTGAAATCTTTCAGATGGTATATAATTTTATAAACTTCATAAAGAACCATCTTTTGCTAGAAGTTATTTTGCTGGAGTAGGTTTTGAAAAAGCCTTGTTATTTGGGCCTTTGGCTTAGGTACAATGTAAGGTGAAAAAAGACTCTTTCCAAAGACTCATGTTTCCTTTCCCTGAAGTTGCAGCTAAATTACTTGAAACTATCGTATATGTAAAAACTTGGATTTTTTATGTTGTTAATAGGCTGTGGTTTTAAATTATTTGTTGTTTAGAAAATTATTTAAAATTTTGGATATTAGTTAAAATCATACAGAGATTGTAATAATCATTCTAATTAAAATCTTGTTGATGAACTTCCTTCTTAGGTATTACATCAAATACCAATAACGGATCTATGGTGGTCCACAGTAGTTACGACGAGATTGAAGGAGGTGGCTTATTGGGTGAGATGCTATGAAAGTTTTTTTTTTAATCTCTTTTTTCTGATTATAGAAATAATATGTGGTAATTGTACAAATATATAGGAAACTAAGAGGGAAACTTCATAATCATGTAGCCATACATACTATTAACTTATTTATTTATTTATTTGGACACAGGGTCTCACTCTGTCGCTCAGGCTGGAGTGCAGTGGTGCGATCATGGCTCACTGCAGCCTCAGTCTCCTGGGCTCAAGCAGTCCTCCCACCTCAGCCTCCTGAGTAGCTGGGACCATAGCCACGTGTCACCATGCCCAGCTTTTTGTTTTTGTTTTTGTTTTTTGAGACTGAGTCTCGCTCTGTTGCTTAGGCTGGAGTGCAGTGGCAGTATCTCGGTTCACTGCAGCCTCTGCCTCCTGGGTTCAAGTGATTCTCCCACTTAAGCCTCCCAGTTAGCTGGTATTAGAGGCACCCGCCACCACACCCTGCTGATTTTTGTATTTTTAGTAGAGACAGGGTTTCACCATGTTGGCCAGGCTGTCCTCTAACTCCTGACCTCAAGTGATCTGCCCGCCTCGGCCTCCCAAAGTGCTGGGATTATAGGCATGAGCCACCATGCCCAGGCCCTGGCTAATTTTTGTATTTTTTGTAGAGGCAGGGTTTCACCATGTTACCCAGGCTGGTCTTGAATTCCTGGGCTCAAGCGATCTGCCCATTTTGCCTCCCAAAGTGCTGGGATAATAGGCATGTGCCATAACATCTGGCTCTATTATTTAACATTTTTTATTTCTATGCATTAGATTTTTTGTTAAGTTTTTCTTCTGTCAGAATTGGGATCATGGATTTATTATTATTATGTTTTGACTATAGAGTACTTTTAGGATTTTTTTTTTTTGAGACAGGGTCTCTGTCACCCAGGCTCAAGTGCAGTAGCACTGTTATAGCTCACTGTAGCCTCAAACTCCTGGGCTCGTGCGATCTTCTACCTCACCCTCCCTGAGTAGCAGGGACTATAGGCATATGGTACCATGCCAGGCTAGTTTTTTTATTTTTGTAGAGATGGGGGGGTGGGTCTCAATATATTGCCTGGGCTGGTCTCGAACCCTTGGCTTGAAGAGATCCCTCCTGCCTTGGTTCCCCGATTTGCTGGGATTACAGGTGTGAACCATCTCACACGGCCCATTTAGGATTTTTTTTTTTTTTTTTTTTCTGAGATGGATTCTTGCTGTGTCGCCCAGATTGGAGTGCAGTTGTGTGATCTTGGCTCACTGCAACCTCCAACTCCCTGGTTCAAGCGATTCTCCTGCCTCAGCTTCCCGAGTAGCTGGGATTACAGGCACGTGCCACCACGCCCAGTTAATTTTTGTATTTTTAGTAGAGATAGGGTTTAACCACGTTGGCCAGGATAGTCTCGATCTCCTGACCTTGTGATCCACCTACCTCGGCCTCCCAAAGTGCTGGGATTACAGGTATGAGCCACCTCGCCCTGCCAGGATGTTATAATTAAAGTTGTTTTGAATTAAAATTTTAGTCTGAATACAAAATTTAGTACATGATATGAAAGTAAATTAACTGTTCTTTTGTTTTGTTGTTTTTGTTTTTGTTTTTGTTTTTGTTTTTGAGACAGTTTCCCTCTGTCGTCCAGGCTGGAGTGCAGTGGGCACAATCTCGGCTCACCTCCACCTCCTGGATTCAAGCAGTTCTACCACCTCAGCCTCTCAAGTAGCTGGAACTACAGGCACATGCCACCACATCTGGGTAATTTTTGTACTTTTTAGTAGTGATGGGATTTCACTGTGTTGGCCAGGCTGGTCTCCAACTCCTGACCTCAAAGTGATCCACCCACCTCAGCCTCCCAAAGTGCTGGGATTACAGGCATGAGTCACCACACCCAGCCGACATGAAAGTAAATTAACTGTGCAAACTAGTTTTTGTGTCTACTACTATAGTATAAAATATTAACTAGTGTAAATCCATTAACAAGATTTTTGGCCGGGCACGGTGGCTCATGGCCTGTAATCCTATCTTCGGGAGGCCAAGGCAGGCAGATCACCTGAGGTCAGGAGTTTGAGACCAGTCTGACCAACGTAGTAAAACCCCATCTCTACTAAAAATACAAAAATTAGGTGGTGTGGTGGCACACACCTGTAGTCCCAGCTACTCGAGAGGCTGAAGCAGGAAAATCGCTTGAACCCGGGAGGTAGAGGTTGCAGTGAGCCAAGGTTGTGTCACTGCATTCCAGCCTGGGCGACAGAGTGAGACTCCATCTCGAAAAATAAAATGATAAATAAAATAAAATAAATAGATTTTAGTCATTGCTATTTGTTACTGGTGTTTGTCTTATTTTAAAAATTTGATAAATGAAAGTATTAAATTATCCAAAGAATTTTGGAGTTATAATACCTATAACTTATTAGATTTATGTGTTGATTTAAAGCATTCTGGGCCAGGCATGGTGGCCTACGCCTGTAATCCCAGCCTGGACAACATGGTGAAGTCCCGTCTCTACAAAACATACAAAAACATTAGCCGGGCATGATGGCACACACCAGTCATTCCAGCTACTTGGGAGGCTGACACAGGAGGATCACTTGAACCTAGGAGGTTAAGGCTGCAGTGAGGTGTGATTGCACCACTGCACTGCAGCCTGGGCAATAGTGAGACCCTTTCTCCAAAAAAAATGTTTTTTTAAAATAAATAAATCAAGTATTCTGGAGTATAAAATAGAACTTAAAAGTTACCTTGTTTCTAGCAACACCACAGCTTACTAACAAGAATCCCAAAATGAGCCGAAGTGTTGGATATTCATATCCCTCCTTACCACCTGGTTATCAGAACACAACACCACCTGGTGCAACTGGAGTACCACCCTCTTCCTTGAATTACCCAAGTGGGCCACAAGCCTTTACTCAGGTAAACTTTTTGGGATTTTCTTTAACCTATTTCTCCATTTGGTTTAAACTGTATACACATGAAGAAAGTTTTAGGAAGGTATATTATACATTTTTATAACCATTTAGAATAATAATGGATATTTCATAAAGCCTTTGTCTTTATACATTTTTCCAGAACCAAAAGATTGGCCAAGAGATCTAGATTACACTTTTGTTATTTACAGAGAAATTAACCACTTCCCTACACACTTAATAAAAGTTACTTACTTTAAAATTATGTATCTGTAGACTCCCTTAGGTGCTAATCATTTAACCACAAGCATGAGTGGATTAAGTCTACAACCAGAGGGTCTAAGAGTTGTCAATCTTCTTCAAGAAAGAAACATGCTTCCGTCAACACCTTTGAAGCCTCCAGTTCCAAATTTGCATGAAGACATCCAGAAACTCAACTGTAACCCAGAGTAAGGCTTCAGATGTGACATTATGCATGTCCGAAAAGTTTTCTAGCTTTTTGCAGGGGGCACATCAGGTGTTATGAATAAGCTGTACAAATTATTAATTTATGAAAGTTCTGGATACAGATGATAGAACTCTTTTACTTGTTTACTTAATAGAGATTTGAAAAGTCCTACGTCAAGAAATAGGGATGTAACTCCTGAAGTGATTTTGTTCTTATCAGCTCTAATGAGATTATGATATTCATTATCATTATGGTGGTTACTTTCTTTCTTCAAAATCCAAAGTACAGGGATTTGTTTCTACATAATCCTTTATTTGCTCTCATTTAAAATTAATTTCATAACAAACATAATACCTTTTTTTCCTAAAAACTTACCATAAGCTTAAATGTATATGATCAATAATTTCTGATAAATTAAATTTGGTACCTTTAAATTGTATTTAGAATCTTCAGCAAAACTGAACTTTTAAATAATAGACTTTGCAATTTGGGCCATCACCTAAGTTTAATTTAATTCCAGTGTCAACTAGACTTACAAAACAAAAAATAAGTCATTTGATAGTTTAGACTGTTTTACACACAAGCCAAAAAGAGACTATATTTTAGTTATAGGATAACCATCCACTCTATTTCTGCATAGGACTTAGATTTAAATATTTAAATGGGATAAAATTTTGAGACTCTATTGAAATATTTCATCTGTAATCTGATCCAGTATTAAAATGTATACCTTTTAAATCTTTGTTGTTGTTTTCTTCAAAAATAATCATAGCAGCAACTGATACATACTTTTTACTTTGATATAGGTTATTTCGATGCACGCTGACTAGCATTCCTCAGACGCAGGCCTTATTGAATAAAGCCAAACTTCCTTTGGGGCTGCTGCTTCATCCTTTCAAAGACTTAGTGGTATGTTTCTTTTCTTTTCTTTTTTTTTTTTTGAGACGGAGTCTCCCTCTGTCGCCCAGGCTGGAGTGCAGTGACGCAGTCTCAGCTTATTGCAACCTCTGCCCTCCATGTTCAAGTGATTTTCCTGCCTCAGCCTCCCTAGTAGCTGGGATTACAGGTGCCTGCCACCGTGCCTGGCTAATTTTTGTATTTTTAGTAGAGAGGGGGTTTCACCATCTTGGCCAGGCTGGTCTTGAACTCCTGACCTCGTGATCCACCTGCCTTGGCCTCCCAAAGTGCTGGAATTACAGGCGTGAGCCTCTGCGCCCGGCTCTTTTTTTTTTTTTTTTTTTTTTTCTGAGACTGGGTCTCACTGTCGCCCAGGCTGGAGTGTAGTGGCGAGATCTCGGCTCACCGCAATCTCCGCCTCCCAGGTTCGGGCAATTCTCTTGCCTCAGCTTCCTAAGTAGCTGGCATTATAGGCATCTGCCACCACACCCAGCTAATTTTTTTATTTTTAGTAGAGATGGTGTTTCACCATGTTGGCCAGACTGGTCTCGAACTGACCTCAAGTGATCTGCCCACCTCCCAAAGTGCTGGGATTTATAGGCCTGAGCCACTACACCCGGCCTCTTTAGTGAAGGTAAATGTCTTTTGTGCAAAATTATCTTGGTGATGAAAATTTTCTGCAATGATGCAAGAATTACATATAGAATTTGTTTGATCTGTCTTTAGGAAGTCGATGATTGACAGATTACTTACAATTCAACCAAAAATTTTATTACTAAACACTTTCAAATACTAGGTAAAGTAAGTATATTGCTGGAAAATTCAAAAAGTACTGAATAGAATAGAGGTACTGAGAGAAACTAAATAAATGAATCATACTATTTTAATAGGTTGTGAATTATTTACCCATTAAAGTACTTTACCCTAGTCTCCCCGTTCTGCCATCCTTGCAGTAAAATTTGTTATTTTAAAAAGTTGTTTTAAGCCAGACATGGTGGCTCATGGCCTGTAATCCCAGCACTTTTGGAGGCCAAGGTGGGAGAATTGCTTGGGTCTATGAGTTCAAGACCAGCTTAGTCCTGGCTACTCGGGAGGCTAAGGTGGGAGGATCACTTGAGCCCAGGAGGTTGAGGCTGCAGTGAGACATGATTGTACTACTGCACTCCAGCCTGGGTGGCAGAGTGAGACCCTGTATCCAAAAAGAAAAGTTATTTCAGAAGAAAAAAGAAACTGATCTACCTTTGTCCTAAAGCTCTGTGGCCACATACTCTTGAGGATTGCTGACTTTCCCAAAACACACTACTTTTGGTGATAGGATTTTTTTGGTGGTGATATAATTTTATTGCCTGTATTGATTTTTTTTTTTTTTTTTAAGAAGCAGAGTCTTAACTGCATTGCCCAGGATTGGGTATGAGATCCTTATCTTAAAAAAAAAAAATAAAGGCCAGGTGCAGTGGCTCACACCTGTAATCCTAGCACTTTGGGAGGCTGAGGCGGGCAGATCACCTGAGGTCAGGAATTCAAGACCAGCCTGGCCAACGTGGTGAAACTCGTCTCTACCAGAAATAGAAAATTTAGCCAAGCATGGTGATGCACACCTATAATCCCAGCTACTGGGGAGGCTGAGGCAAGGGAATCGCTTGAACCCGGGAGGTGGAGGTTGCAGTGAGCCAAGATCCCACACTGTACTCCAGTCTGGGCAATAGAGTGAGACTGTCTCAAAAAAAAAAAAAAAGATAAATAAAACCTTTCTTTAAAGATGAGATGCTATGTCACTTTGTTGTCCAAGGCACTGGCTCTCAGTTAAGTTGATCAGTGTTCACCTGTCTCAGGGTTTCTGGTAAATCAAAACAAATCTCCCCAAATCTGATAGTCTTACAAAGACCCTTCCCACGTATTTACTGTTATTTATTTATTTATTTATTAGAGACCGGGTCTCTCGTTGTCACCCAGGTTAGAGTGCAGTTCCATGATCATAGCTCACTGCAGCCTTGAACTCTTGGGCTCAAGCAGTCCTCCTGCCTCAGCCTCCAGACAGAGTAAGTGGTACTGTAGGCATTGGCCACTATACCCAGCTAAGACTTTAGAACTTTTAATATGTAGGATAAACTTTAACTAGGAGTGTAATTCCAAAGTTTAACTGGTTATTTAAATTAACCTCACCTTACTTTATTATAGTTGAGAACTAAGTAAGCTTCTTAATGTAACATCAACAAACTTTGTAATAGTTTCATTGGTCATATATTTTAGAATGTTGATTTTTTTTTCTTTGCCATTTATGCCAAAAGTACATTGTAAATTTACCATCTTGGTTTTATTTTTTTAACTTATTATTTATTTATTTAAAAACTCTTTTTTTTTGGTAGAGATGGGCTGTTGCTGTGTTGCTCAGGTTGGTCTCTACCTCCCAGCCTCAAGTGATCCTCCTGCTTTGGCCTTCCAAAGCACTGGGATATATATATATATATTTTTTTAATTTATTTCCAAGATGGAGTCTTGCTCTGTTGCCCAGGCTGGAGTACAGTGGTGTAATCTTGGCTCACTGCAACCTCTGCCTCCCAGGGTTGAAGCAATTCTCCTGCCTCAGCCTCCTGAGTAGCTGGGATTATAGGCACCTGCCACTACGCCTAGCTAATTTTTGTATTTTTAGTATAGACGAGGTTTCACCACGTTGGCCAGGCTGGTCTTGAACTCCTGACCTCGCGTTCCACCCGCCTTGGCCTCCCAAAGTGCTGGGATTACAGGCATGAGCCACCACGCCCAGCCTATTTTTATTTTTAAAATAGAGACAGGGTCTTACTTTCTTGCCCAGGTTGGTCTCAAACTCCTGGCCTCAAGTAATCTTCCTGCCTTGGCCTCCCACCAGAGTGCTGGGATTTTAGACATAGGTGTTAGCCACTGTGCCTGGCCTGCTATTTTGGTTTTGCAATATGAGTGTTTAATGAGGAAAAAAATGGTTTTTACATTTTTATTTTATTTTATTTTTTGAGACTGGGTCTTGCTCTGTTGCCCATGTTGGAGTGCAGTGGCTCAGTCATGGCTCACTGCAGCCTTGACCTCCCAGGCTCAAGTGATGCTCCCACTTCAACCCAGCTCACCACACTGGGCTAATTTTTTAAATCTTTTGAGAGGGTCATGTTTCACTATGTTGCCCAGGCCGGTCTCAAACTCCTGGCCTCAAGCAATCCTTCCGCCTTGGCTCCCAAAGTGCTGGAGTTACACATGTGAGCCACTGTCCCCAGCCAATAATTTTTTTTTTTAAGACAACTTTTAATGAGAATGGTCTTGGAGCAAAATAGTAGGGTTTAAAATTAATACATTTCAACTACATGGTTTTTGTGTATGGCAGTTTAGATACATCTTGTACTCTAAGTTTTCTCTAAAATGATAATATCCCAACAGTTATTTAGACAGGATGGATTCATGCTTATGTTTTCAACATGATGATTTTTGCCTTTAAAAATTTAATTCTGTTTTTTTTTTTCCAGCAATTGCCTGTGGTTACCTCCAGTACAATTGTGAGATGCCGTTCATGCAGGACGTACATCAATCCTTTCGTCAGCTTTCTTGATCAAAGGAGATGGAAGTGTAACTTATGTTATCGAGTCAATGATGGTATGGGATGCTTTTTTGAAACATTTAAACGTTTCTACTTGCATTGTAGGGAAATCAGATGATACAAATGCACAGTTAAAAAAAAAAAACCCTTTTATTTACCTCTAGTCAATCCTTCCACTCAGAGAAAACTACAGGTAACTTTTTTCTGTGCGTTTATATTTATAAATAAATTTAATTATTTATTTTTTAAGCAAAAAATAATGATAGTATTACATGGATATCCCATTTTTACATTGTATTGGGTATATAATAAGTGGTATATTTCATGGTATTACTTAAGCCAGGAATTTAAGAAACATTTTTATTTAGAAATTGTCCCACGCCTTTTCTCTAGGGTGAAAGAAAATAAGTCCACAGAATAGCTGCCCAATTCATTCACTGCTGAATGAAGGGAAGTAGGCAGTGCTAGAAGGTTAGTTGAATGTAGTTTTCTCAGTAATTGAGGAGGAGGAGATTTCTCTCAATAACTATGTCACAGTTTTTATTTGAGGACTATAATGTAATCAACAGGGTTCTGTTAGTATTAGAGAAGGAAGTGGGTATGCCAGTATCCACAGTGTCTATTTGAAAGATTTGAGAAATAGAGGAATATAAGAGTTTTGTTTTTGTTTTTGTTTTTGAGATGGAGTCTCACTCTGTTGCCCAGGCTTGAGTGCAGTGGCACGATCTTGGCTCACTGCAACCTCCGCCTCCCAGGTTCAAGCGATTCTCCTGCCTCAGCCTCCTGAGTAGCTGGAATTACAGGCATCCACCACCACGGCCGGCTAATTTTTATATTTTTAGTAGGGGTGGAGTTTCACCGTTTTGGCCAGGCTGGTCTAGAACTCCTGACCTCAAGTGATCTGCCCACCTCAGGCTCCCAAAGTGCTGGGATTAACAGGCATGAGCCACTGCACCCGGCCAAGAGTTTGTTTTTGTTTGTTTGTTTTTGAGACAGAGTCTGGCTCTGTCGCCAGGCTGGAGTGTAGTGGCATGATCTCAGCTCACTGAAACCTCTCTGCCTCCCAGGTTCAAGCAATTCTCCTGCCTCAGCCTCCCGAGAACACACCCAGCCCTGGCCAAGAGTTTTTAAAAACCAGTTTTATTGGATGGGCACGGTGGCTTACGCCTCTAATCTCAGCACTTTGGGAGGCCGAGGCGGTGGATCACCTGAGGTCAGGAGTTCGAGATCAGTGTGGCCAACACAGTGAAACCCCATCTTTACTAAAAATACAATAATTAGCCGGGTGTGGTGGCGGGCACCTATAATCCCAGCTACTCGGGAGGCTGAGGCAGGAGAATCGCTTGAACCCAGGAAGCAAAGGTTTCAGTGAGCCGAAATCGAGTCATTGCACTCCAGCCTGGGCGACAGAGCGAGACTCTGTCTCAAAAACAAACAAAACAGAGCCAGGTGCAGTGGCTCATGCCTGTAATCCCAACACTTTGGGAGGCTGAGGTGGGTGGATCACCTAAGGTCAGGAGTTTGAGACCAGCCTGGCCAATGTAGTGAAACCCCATCTTTACTAAAAATATAAAAAAATTAGCTGGGTGTGGTGGCGGGCACCTGTAATCCCAGCTACTCGGGAGGCTGAGGCAGGAGAATCGCTTGAACCCGGGAGGCGGAGGTTGCAGTGAACCGAGATTGCACCATTGCACTCCAGCCTTGGCAACAAGAGCAAAACTCCATCTCAAACAAACAAATAAAACAAAACAAAAAAACAGTTTTATTGTTTGTGTGTGTGTGTGTGTGTGTGTGTGTGTGTGTGTGTTTTGAGTATAGAAAAGTAAGGATAGGCTAAGAACTTTCTCTTGCACTGTAACAATTCTGAAAATGTACATGAAGTATTTAGTTACCTTTAAAATTTTTATGTGTAGGTGCTTTAATATACAAAATGAAATTATAATAAAAGTTGAAGCCCCTTTCATCTGCAAACCAGGCTATTTCCTGAACTATAGCTTAACCTTTAGAGTGCATAGGGATTTGAATTTCTAAACAATTAGTAGGAAGACAGATACAATGATAATTAATTTAGAAAATACTCTTTGACCACTAGTGTATTATAAGTGGTAGGTATGATGTTAGGTTAAGTGATGTTCCATAAAGTTCTCATTAATTAATGAAACTTACTAAACCTTATGACCTTGACCTCTGAAATTGTCTTACCATAGCTTCTAGTGCCAGCTAGTGTCTGTACATTTCATATGTGAAATGTTAATATCCTTGTATAATTGGGAAGTTTAAGAAAATAGGCCGGGTGTGGTGGCTCACATCTGTAATCCCAGCACTTTGGGAGGCCAAGGCGGGCGGATCACCTGAGGTTGGGAGTTCGAGACCAGCCTGACCAACATGGAGAAACCCCGTCTGTACTAAAAATACAAAAAATTAGCCGGGCGTGGTGGCGCATGCCTGTAATCCTAGCTACTCGGGAGGCTGAGGCAGGAGAATCGCTTGAACCTAGGAGGTGGAGGTTGCAGTGAGCTGACATTGCACCACTGCACTCCAGCCTGGGCAACAGAGTGAAACTCTGTCTCAAAAAAAAAAAAGAAAATAATTGACATTTAATGAATGTTTGTCATCTTTTCAAGGAAGAAAGTGGCCAAATGCAAAATACATTAAATTCTTTTCAGTTTTTTCAATATGTGTATTGTTAACTTTATATAGTTCCTGAAGAATTCTTGTACAACCCTTTGACCAGAGTTTATGGAGAACCTCACAGAAGACCAGAAGTTCAAAATGCTACTATTGAGTTTATGGCTCCTTCAGAATACATGGTAAACTTTTATTTTTTGATACAGTATACCCATTTTTTATTACCAGGTTTTAAGTAAAACAATACAGCATCCTGTAACAAAATTTTATTTTATTTTATTTTGAGACAGAGTTTCACTCTCATTGCCCATGCTGGAGTGCAGTGGTGCAGTGGCAGGTTCAAGGCTCACTGCAGCCTCGACCTCCCGTGCTCAAGTGATCCTCCCACCTCAGCCTCCTGAGTAGCTGGGGCTATAGGCACGCACCACCACACCTGGCTTATTTTTATTAGAGACAGAGTTTTGCTATGTTGCCCAGGCTGGTCTCGAATTCCTGGGCTCGAGTGATCTGCCCACCTTGGCCTCCCAAAGTGCTGGGATTACAGGTGTGAGCCGCTGTGCCCAGCCAAAATTTTATGTTTTTAAATGTGTAAAAGTGTAATACTTGTTTATTACTAAAGTAATTAATATATAAGGGTATATTTGAAAGGTAAAAGTTTATGTAAAGTCCCATTTAAGTGTCTTATGTGACATTCAGAAATTTCCAATATGATATTGGGCTCGTATTTACTTTTTTTTTTTGAGACGGAGTCTCACTCTGTCACCCAGGCTGGAGTGCAGTGCTGTGATCTTGGCTCACTGCAACCTCCGCCTCCCGGGTTCAAGCAATTCTCCTGCCTCAGCCTCCTGAGTAGCTGGGATTATAGGCGCGAGCCAACACCTGGCTAATTTTTGAGTTTTTAATAGAGACGGGGTTTCACCATGTTGGTCAGGCTGGTCTCAAACTCCTGACCTTGTGATCCTCCCACCTCGGCCTCCCAGAGTGCTGGGATTACAGGCATGAGCCACCGTGCCCGGCCAGCTCATATTTACTTATAAGTTACAGTCAGTTTTTTTTTCCCTATTGCTTCATTTTTCCTTCATACAAATTTTTTTTCTATTAGAAATAATGCTGTGATGAAGATCCTCTTGCAAATATTGTTCTTTTCTACACCCGTGAGAATATCTGAGGTCTTGCATTTTAAAACTAATTACTATGCCTAATTTTTTTGTTTAACGTTTATTTCTTTTAGAGAGGAGGGTCTTACTTTGTTGCTGAAGCTAAAGTGCAGTGGCACTATCATAGCTCACTGTAGCCTCAACTTCATGGGCTCAAGCAATTCTCCTGCCTCAGCCTCCCAAGTAGCTGGGACTACAGACATGCACCACCATGCCCTGCTAATTTTTTAAAAGTTTTTTAGAGACAGAGTCTCACTATGTTGCTTAGGCTGCTTGTGAATGCCTAATGTTTAATTAGCACTTTACATTTTATAAAGCACGTACACTTTTGATCAGCACAAACAGTATTCTGAAGCAAGCTAGAAAAATGCTGTTAATCCTCTTTTACAGATATGAAAACAGACTTAGGTTAAGTGACATGCCAAATTTCACTTAGTAGTAGAACTTGCATAATAATTTAGGCCTTTTGATTTGGTTACTCTTTCACCATGCCATAATTATCTCTTGGGAAAAGGGAATATGAAGATAACTCTCAACACTACCTTTTAATATTTTAGTGTATTTTGGCTGGGCACAGTGCCTCCTGCCTGTAATCCCAGCACTTTGGGATGCCAAGCCAGACGGATTATGAGGTCAGGAGTTCGAGACCAGCCTGGCCAACATGGTAAAACCCCGTCTCTACTAAAAATACAAAAATTAGCCGGGCCTGGTGGTGAGTGCCTGTAATCCCAGCTACTTGGGAGGCTTAGGCAGGAAAAATGCTTGAAACCGAAAGTCAGAGGTTGCAGTGAGCCAAGGTTGCGCCACCACACCCCAGCCTGGGCAAAAGAGCGAAACTCCATCTCAAAAAAAAAAAAAAAAAATTAATATATTTTTGTGTCTTTATCTGGGCAGTTGGGTCCATTTTTCTGTAAACTTATGAGGAACCAGTCTCCTTACCACAGAAAAGCTTCTATATAGAAAACATTTTGTTGGCCAGGTGCAGTGGCTCACACCCGTAATCCCAGCAATTTGGGAGGCCAAGGTGGGCGGATGACTGGAGGTCAGGAGTTCGACACCAGCCTTACCAACATGGTGAAACCCCATCTCTATTAAAAATACAAAAGTTAGCCAGATGTGGTGACATACGCCTGTAATCCCAGCTACTTGGGAGACTGAGGCAGGAGAATTGCTTGAACCAGGGAGGCAGAGGTTGCAGTGAGCCGAGATTGCGCCACTGCACTCCAGCCTGGGCAACCGTGCGAGACTCCATCTCAAAAAACAAAAAAGAAAAAGAAAACATTTTGTTGCACTTAAGTGGTTGGTAATAGCCATCTACAGAGTAGATGTTCCTTTATTGGATTAAAACAAAAAAAACCAGAAGCACTTGTTCTTTTAAATTTACCTTCCTAGTTTCCCTTTATCACCCACACTTTGCAAAAATTGCTTCCTTTAAATTTAGAAACTTTCCTATAGCAGAAGGTGTTTGCTCCTTTCTATCTCTTGAGGGGCAGGTTGTGTGGATTTGGCAAGTGATACATGCAAAAATATATAAAAGTACAGTTGACTCTGTATCCATGAGTTCTGCATCCGTGGATTCAACTACCCATGGATCGAAAATGTTCAGAAAAACACAGTAAAAAATATTATAGGACAGACATGGTGGCTCACACCTATAATCCCAGCACTTTGGGAAGCCGATGCAGGAGGATTGCTTGAAGCCAACAGTTCGAGACCAGCCTGGGCAATGTAGCGAGACCCAAGTCTCTGCAAAAAATTTCAGGAATTGTGGTGTGTGCTTATAGTCCCAGGTACTTGGGAGGCTGAGGTGGAAGGATCGCTTGAGCCCAGGAGTTCAAGGCTGCAGTGAGCTGTGATTGCATTGCATCACTGCACTCCAGCCTGAGTGACAGAGCAACACCTTCTCTCTAAAAAAAAAAAAATAATAATACAAATTTTAATATACAGTATAGCAACTATTTACATAGCATTTATGTTGTATTAGGTATTATTTTAAAAATCTAGAGATGATTTAAAGTATACAAAAGGATGTGCATAGGTTATATGCAAATAATACACTATTGTATGTAAGGGAATTGAGCATCCTTAGATTTTGGTATTCGAGGTGGGAGATCCTGGAACTAATCTCTTGCAGATACCAAGGGAAGATTGTATACTACATACCCAGTTCTGACTGTGGCTATTTGATGCTTTTTACTGAATTGAGAACAAATCTTTGGATTTGGAAGTTTAAAATACAGTCTTGGCCAGGTGCAGTGGCTCACACCTGTAATCCCAGCACTTTGGGAGGCAGCGAAGGCGGGCGGATCACATGAGATCAGGAGTTCAAGACCAGCCTGGCCAAAATGGTGAAACCCTGTCTCTACTAAAAAAATACAAAAATTAGCCGGGCGTGGTGGCGCGTGCCTGTAATCCCAGCTACTCAGGAGGCTGAGGCAGGAGAATCTCTTGAACCCAGGAGGCAGAGGTTGCAGTGAGCTGAGATCACACCACTGCTCTCCAGCATGGGGGACACAGCGAGACTCCATCTCAAAGTAAAAAAAAAAATACAGTCTTATGTTTTTATGAGATTTGGCTGTAATTTGTTGTTTAAATAACCAGCTGAAGCTAACTTGTAACTTTCAGAGCTATAATTTCCCTAAATTGTGAAATCCAACAAACATATTGAAAAATCAATAAAACACAAAATATTCAGATTACCAAATCATTATAAACTAAACACTTTTGTTAGTATAACCCAAGCCAAGCAGTTGAACCTTGCTAATACTCCCAGAATCCCTTCTTTTTTTTTTTTTGAGATGGAGTCTCACTTTGTCGCCCAGGCTAGAGTGCAGTGGCATAATCTCGGCTCACTGCAACCTCCATCTCTCAGGTTCAAGTGATCCTCCTGCCTCAGCCTCCCGAGAGTAGCTGGGACTACAAGCGCCTGCCACCACATCTGACTAATTTTTGTATTTTTAGTAGAGACGGGGTTTCGCCATGTTGGTCACGCTGGTCTCGAACTCCTGACCTCAGGTGATCTGCCCGCCTTGGCCTCCCAAAGTGCTGGGATTACAGGCATGAGCCACCACGCCCAGCCACAGGCCCTTCTGATTACATCTCTTCCCCTTCCTGTTCTAGAGAAAACACTCTTCTGAATTACGGCAATCACAGACTCATTTTTCCTTTAAGTGTACATCTATAAACAATATAGTATAGCTTTGCCTGTTTATTATAATCTCTACTCAATCTGTAAATAATGCTTTTTAAATTGTTTTGCTGTATGTGTACCCAGCAAATAAGTTTAAACTTAATCCTGTTAAATGTACTTAACAAGATCTTTTTTTCTTCAGTTACGACCACCTCAGCCTCCAGTGTATCTCTTTGTATTTGATGTGTCTCACAATGCAGTCGAAACTGGATACTTGAATTCAGTTTGCCAGAGTTTGTTAGACAATCTGGATTTGTAAGTTTCTCAATTCAGCTTAAATATGAAACTAATAATATTTTCTAAATGAATAAGTAGTTTTTGAAATTAAAAAATAAAAGCTGTATAATTATGTTCTAAAACTCCACCCAAATCAGTTGTTAATTTAGGCCTCACTTTCTCTTCGAAACATTATTTTTAAATCTATAGTTGGTAGGAAGAATAATGTAATGAACTTCCAGTCACCTGTCACCCAGATTCATCATCTTCAGCATTTTGCTATTTTTGCTTAATCTCATCCTTCCCCTTTCATGCACATACCTTTTCCCACCTTGAGTATTTGAAAGCAAATTTCAGCCAGCATACTGTTTTACCTATACGTACTTCAAGACTAACTTTTATACCTAACTATAATACTAAAGTATTAAGGAAAATTAGCAGTAATTCCACATATGATCTAATACCTAGTTTATTTTTTGTTCCTAGTTGTCTCAAAAATGCCTTTTTACTGTCAGTTTATTGGAGTAAGAATTTAAACAGTATACACACATTGCATTTGGTTATCAAGTGTCTTAAGTCTCTTAAAATAACTATTTCCAGTGGTGCTTAGAGACCTAGTGTAACCCATCAAAGCTAATGTGACCTTTCTATGTAATGAAGTATAGTGCTTGTGTGTGGTGTGGAGGCATATAGAAGGCCAAATTTCATCACGAGTGGAGTAACTCCTTCACTTTGGTGAAAAGCTCATTCTTGTTCCTGCCAGCATTTGTATTTTTAATGTTGTAGATTGTGAATGGGGATTGTGAATTGATGAGATTGTCACTGACTCACCCATGCATGAACAAGAGTGAAAAACAGTTTGTTCTTCCCCTTATATAATTGTAGTTCCACATATTTGTAGTTCTTTAAAATAGATGCTTTTGCTTTTCTTTGTTCTTAAATATTAGAGTTTCTGTATCATAATATTTTGAAGCATGCTTTATAACTTAAAATCATCTGCAAAATTTCATTAATACTTTTCAGTATTTTTAACATACTGTTTCCTAAGTGATTATATGTAGCTTTACATAGCTATACTTGGTTTTGGATTGTTGTATTATTGCTGTTTTTTGTTTATTGTTTGGCTTACATGTAGTGTTTTCCCTTTGAGTCAGATATGTTTTCATGGTAAACGTTGGGTGGTTTAAACATTTGTTTGTGTTGGGCCAATTTCTATAATATTGAATTAGATATTTTCATGTAACTCTTAGGACATATTTTATGTGTATTTGTATGTGGTTAAAACTTGATAAAATACTCTTCTGAATTTGTTTTTAGGCTTCCTGGCAACACTAGAACAAAAATTGGCTTCATAACATTTGACAGTACAATCCATTTCTACGGTCTTCAGGAAAGTCTCTCTCAACCTCAGATGCTAATAGTTTCAGATATTGAAGGTATAGATTTATTGAACTACTTTCATAATTTTTCAGTTTTAGAAATATTTCTTGATTACTTGACAAATTGGATGTGTGTTGTTTGTAGTATGTCAAGGAAAATCTTGAGTATAAAATCATGATTGTTGGAGTTGTAAGAGTCTTTCAGTTCAATCTCTCATTTTATGGAGGAGGAAATGGGGGTTATGGAGACAACCCGCTGAACAAGTTAACAAAAACAAGTTAATGTTAGAACTCAGATCAAATTTAGGCTTTTTTTCCCCCTTCTTCCCATTTATTCATTCAAAAAGTATTTGAGGATAGACATATAGAGCAAGGAAATAGAATTGAGAGCTCAGAATAAAGCCTAGCATATATAGTCAATTGATTTTATTTATTTATTTATTTATTTATTTATTGAGATGGAGTCTCACTCTGTCGCCCAGGCTGTAGTGCAGTGGCACGATCTTGGCTTACTGCAGCCTATGCCTCCCGGTTTCAAGCAATTCTCCTGCCTCAGCCTCCCGAGTAGCTGGGACAACAGGCATGCAACACCATGCCCAGCTAATTTTTGTATTTTTAGTAGAGATGAGGTTTCACCATGTTGGCCAGGCTGGTCTCAAACTCCTGACCTCAAGTGATCTGCCTCTCTTGGCCCCACAAAGTACTGGGATTACAGGCATGAGCCACCACCCACAGCCAGTTAAGTGATTTTTGACAAAGGTGCCTAGAACAATCAGTGGGAGAAGAGACAGTTTTTTCAACAAATAGTTGTGGCAATACTGCCTATGTAAGAGAATGAGGTTGGACCTTTACTTTATACCATGTAAAGAAAATTAACTTGAAATGGACTAAAGACCTAAACTTAAGAGCTATAAGTATAAAACAGGGGCAAATATTTATGCCACTAGATGTGGAAACATTAGAACCCTGGTGCACTGCTGGTCAGAATGTAAAATGGCATAACTGCTGTGGAAAATACCTTGGCAATTCCTCAAAGTTAATGGTGAATTATCACATTATGTAGCAATTCCACCGTTCAATATATACTCCAAAAAATCGAAAGCAGAGACTCAAGCGGATGCTTGTACATCATTGTTTATAGCAATAGCAATCATTCACAATAGCCAAAAGGTGGAAACACCCCAAGTAGCCATCAACAGATGAATAGATAAATAAAATGTGGTATAAACGTATAATGGGGCCGAGTGCGGTGGCTCACGCCTGTAATCCCAGCACTTCAGGAGGCCGAGGCGGGTGGATCACGAGGTCAAGAGATCAAGACCATCCTGGCCAACATGGTGAAACCCCGTCTCTACTAAAAATACAAAAATTAGTTGGGCGTGGTGGTGCGTACCTGTAGTCCCAGCTACTCGGGAGGCTGAGGCAGGAGAATGGCGTGAACTCGGGAGGAGGCGGAGCTTGCAGCAAGCCGAGATCGTGCCACCGCACTCCAGCCTGGACGACAGAGTGAGACTCCATCTCAAGAAAAAAAAAAAAAACGTATAATGGAATATTTATTATTCAGCCTTAAAAAAACAATGAAATTCTCACACGTGCTACAATGTGGATGAACCTGGAAAACATGCTAAGTGAAATAAGCAAGACACAAACCGACAAATATTGTATGGTTCCACTTATATATAGTACCTAGAATAGGCAAATTCATAGAGACAGAAAATGGAATAGAGGTTACCAGGGGCTGGGGGGGGAGGGCGATTAATAGGGAGTTGTCATAATTATTACATTTTTTTTTTGAGATGGAGTTTCACTTTTGTTGCCCAAGCTGGAGCGCAATGGCGCCATCTCGGCTCGCTGCAACCTCCACCTCCCAGGTTCAAGTGATTTTCCTACCTCAGCCTCCTGAGTAGCTGGGATTATAGGTGCGTGCCACCACGCCCAGCTAATTTTTTGTATTTTTAGTAGAAACAAGGTCTTACCGTGTTAGCCAGGCTGGTCTTGAACTCCTGACCTCAGGTGATCTGCCCGCCTCTGCCTCCCAAAGTGCTGGGATTACAGGTGTGAGTCACTGTGCCTGGCTATTACTATTTTTTTAAAGACAGAGACTCTTGTTGCCCATGTTGCAGTGCAATGGTGCAATCATAGCTTGCTGCAGCCTTGAAGCCCTGGGCTCAAGCGATCCTTCCACCTCGGCTTTTCAAGTAGCTGGAAATACAGGCACACGCTACCACGCCCAGCTAATTTTTAAAATTTCTTGTAGAGGCAAGGTCTTGCTAAGTTGCACAGGCTGGTCTCAAACTCCTGGCCTTAGGCAGTCCTTTCGCCTCATCCTCCCAAAGTGTTGAGAGTATAGGCATGGGCCACCACACCTGGCCAGGCCTTATTTTTTTGTAATCAGAAACAAAATATAGAAATCTAGAAAGTGATTATCCTTGTAATCCTCCACCACTCTCTTCCCAGTTTGCTCCCTTTCTAAGGAAGAATTCCTAAGCAATTATTGAATAAATGTGAATCCTGAGAGGCTCATCTGAAGTGGTCAGGTAGCATACCTTCTGATTCACTTGATTTTGCAGTCCCATTAATTTTGTTTGTTCGTTTTGTTTTGTGTTTTTGGAGACAGAGTCTTGCTTTGTTGCCCAGGCTGCAGTGCAGTGGCGCGATCTCAGCTCACTGGCTCACTGGCTCACTGCAGTCTCTGCCTCCCAGGTTCAAGCGATTCTCATGCCTCAGCCTTCCGAGTAGCTGGGATTACAGGCATGTGCCATTATGCCTAGCTAATTTTTGTGGTTTTTAGTAAATAATGGGGTTTCACTATGTTGGCCAATCTGGTCTCAAACTCCTGGCCTCAAGTGAACTGCCCACCTCGGCCTCCCAAAGTGCTGGGATTATAGCAGGCATGAACCACCATGCCCGGCCTCCATAGTCCCATTCTTTTTTTTTTTTTTTTTGAGAAGGAGTCTTGCTCTGTCACCCAGGCTGGAGTGCAGTGGCGCGATCTTGGTGGCTCACTGCAAACTCTGCCTCCTGGGTTCAAGCAATTCTCTGCCTCAGCCTCCCGAGTAGTTGGGCTTACAGGTGCCCACCACGCCTGGCTACTTTTTATATTTTTAGTAGAGACAGGGTTTCACCATCTTGGCCAGGCTGGTCTTGAACTCCTGACCTCATGATCCACCTGCCTCAGCCTCCCAAAGTGCTGGGATTACAGGCACGAGCCACCGCACCCAGCCCATAGTCCCTTTTTAAAGGCACTGGTGTGGGCCTTCTTTTTTTTTTTTTTTGAGACGAGTCTTGATTGATCTGTCACCCAGGCTGGAGTGCAGTGGCACTATCTCGGCTCACTGCAACCTCCGCCTCCCGGGTTCAAGTGATTCTCCTGCCTCAGCCTCCCGAGTAGCTGGGACTACAGGTGCCCACCACCACGCCTGGCTAACTTTTTGTATTTTTACTAGAGACAGGGTTTCACCACATTGCTCCTGACCTTGTGATCCGCCCGCGTCGGCCTCCCAAAGTACTGGGATTACAGGCATGAGCCACCGTGCCCGGCCGACCTTCTTTATGAGAAAGCATCTGCTTTGTGAATGACAGAGCTATTGGTGAGCTGTATTGCTTCCTTATGAAGACAGCATTCTTGTGTGTCATGTTAGTCAAAAAAATTTCTTAATGCCAAGAGTGTATCTTTGGCTGGCTTCCAGGGCCAGCCATTTAAAAAAAAAAAAAAAGGTCAAAGCAGAATTGTAAATTATTATCTTTAGCCTAAGAAGCATAGCACTTACACAAATTCAGTGAGTACAGATCAATATTTTATTTTTTTTCTTTCCTTTTTTTTTTTTTTTTTTGGAGACAGGGTCTCAACCTCCCCACTAGCCTGGGAGTGCAGTGGTGCAATCTTGGCTCACTGCAGCCTCAGCCTCCCGGGCTCAAGGAATCCTCCCACATAGCTGGGACTATAGGCATGTACCACCATGCCTGGCTCATTTTTGTACTTTTTGTAAAGACAGGGTTTTACTGTGTTGCCCAGGCTGGTCTCAAACTCCTGAGTTCAAGTCATTCACTTACCTCAGCCTCTCAAAGTGCTGGGATTACAGGCGTGTACTACTGCACCTGGCCCAGATAAATATTTTCTAATTGGGAGGCTGTACCTTTTACAAGGTAGCAGACAAGAAGCAGAAAATTTGCAGTAGATACCTGTATCATTGTGGTGGTTTTTTGGTGGTTCTTTGGACACATGTAAACAGTGCTATAATAGTGGAGGAGGTGGCTTATTTTTAAGGAAGGGGGTGGTTAATTGCATTAGTGTTATATATTTGGCACACTTTTAATTATTACATTTTGTTTAAAATAAATATGTATTTCTTCTTTCAGATGTTTTTATACCTATGCCAGAGAACTTATTAGTAAACTTAAATGAAAGTAAAGAGGTAAGGCACATTTTCCTACCTGACATGTTTAATTGAAATATTGAAGGAATATGTTTTTGAAATGAACTTTAAGTAAAATTTTGATTATTTCTGTGACATTTCTAAGATGTGTAGCATTTTATATTTGCTCTTATAATTAGATGAACAGCTCTTGAGTTCAACCTTGAGCTGATCATTTTTAAGTCTAATGAAGCAAGTTATTTGTAGTAGGGTAGAAAATAAGCATATTCCATAAAGGAGGAACACTTGAAGGAAATCTGTCTTGTCAGCCATTTGGGAAGTTGGGAGGGTTGCTGAGATAAAGCTTCTGGTCACTACATAGAAGCACATTAGGTAGGCTGCTTTCAGTGCCCTTTGCTTTTCTGATTCACAGAGTGTCATTGGGGTCAGTTCAGAAGAAACTCTTATTACCTGCCTGGAAATTGCCATGAGATAATACAGTGAGAGGTGAACAGAATGTGTCTGAAGGGGGGATGTTGTCTACCCTGTACATGCATATATGCCGTAGGGGTAACATTTTAACTAGCAAGTCTATGGTCTCTGCTGTTGGCAATGGTGACTGTGCCATAGTGCGAAGTATTTTTTTCCCCATTAACTCTATTTGTACAACCTAACCTGTAAAGGTAGTTGTTTTTCTTTTGTAGTGATATTACTAGTTGGCAAAGTTACTGGATATCTTAGATTTGCAACAGGGAAGAGCTAAACTCGCTTTGGAACTTACAAGAATAAAGTATGTAGAGGTGATGGAGAAGGCCATATTTCATGGCATTAAAATACATCAAATCTCTAAACTGTGATGGTTCTTTTGGATACATTTTGGACTTATAGTCTTGCTGGACTACTGCATGTGCAAGAACTGTAAGGCCCAACTTTGATTTGTCTTGCTTGCCAATTTATAATGTTGACTTAAAATGGCTTTCTTGTCATTTGACCAACTTCATTGTTTAGTGTCTGTAGATTCTCTGACCATCATCATGACTCAATGTCTTGTCTATTGTATGAGATACTGACTTAATGTGAAATAAAATTTTAATTATGACACTTGAGTTTTCTTGCTTTGTTTTACAAGCTCGTGCAAGATTTACTGAAAACTTTGCCACAAATGTTTACCAAGACTCTGGAGACCCAGAGTGCCTTGGGTCCTGCACTGCAGGCTGCCTTTAAGCTGATGTCTCCAACTGGTGGTCGAATGTCTGTCTTTCAAACACAACTCCCAACTCTTGGAGTGGGAGCCCTGAAACCACGAGAGGAACCAAACCACAGGTCATCTGCTAAGGTTAGAGAGTCATGAAATGTCTGATAAGGTTTATGCTGGTGTTCCATCCCTGTGACCATAGAACTTGTTTTTTCTTTAAATTTATTTGTCAATTGTTGGGAGGAGGGACTATAAGGAAGTTAACTTTTATGTAGACATTTTTATTTTGTTACATTTTTCTCTACCTGATTCACCCTTCCTTAATTTTTAGTATCTTTAGCAGGCCACTAGCAATTCAGCCTGCCTTCAGAGAGATAGTCTGGGAGACTAACAGAATATGCTTGATAGGGACAAAGAGAACCTGATTGACCAGTTAAGAATAGTCTTATTTGGCTGGGCGTGGTAGCTCACACCTGTAATCCCAACATCTTGGGAGGCCGAGTTGGGCAGTTCATCTGAGGTTGGGAGTTTGAGACCAGCCTGACCAACATGGAGAAACCCCATCTCTACTAAAAATACAAAATTGGCTGGGCGCGGTGGCTCACGCTTGTAATCCCAGCACTTTGGGAGGCTGAGGCGGGCGGATCACGAGGTCAGGAGATCGAGACCACGGTGAAACCCCATCTCTACTAAAAATATAAAAAATTAGCCGGGTGTGGTGGCGGGCGCTGTAATCCCAGCTACTTGGAGAGGCTGAGGCAGGAGAATGGCGTGAACCCGGGAGGCGGAGCTTGCAGTGAGCTGAGATTGCGGCACTGCACTCCAGCACTCCAGCCTGGGTGACAGAGCGAGACTCCGTCTCAAAAAAAAAAAAAAATTAGCTGGGTGTGGTGGCACATGCTTGTAATCCCAGCTACTCAGGAGGCTGAGGCAGGAGAATTGCTTGAACCTGGGAGGCGGAGGTTGCAGTGAGCCAAGATCGCACCATTGCACTCCAGCCTGTGCAACAAGAGCAAAACTCCGTCTCAAAAAAAAAAAAAAAAGAAAAGAAAAAGAGTAGTTGTATTTGGTACATTGATGGCCAAGGTGCTTATGTGCACCTTGTGTGCATAAACTTTAAGGTTTTTGAGACCCGTATTTCCCAAAAGATTATGAAAGAGAGACCTGTGTACTATACTGGGTATGGTATCATTCCTGGAGTCAGACTGCCTAGTCTCACTGTTTATTACACTTGGGAACTTGAAAAATTAATTTCTTTGCCCCTTTGTTTCTTTATATATAAGGTGAAAATAAAGGGTCAAGTGTGGTGGCTTGTGCCTATAATCCCAGCCCTTTGGGAGGCTGAGATGGAAGCATCGGTTGAGCTCAGGAGTTTGAGACCAATCTGGGCAACATAGTGAGACCCTGTCCCTACAAAAATACAAAAAAAATTAGCCAGGTGTGATGCTGAGAGCCTATAGTCCTAGCTACTCTGGAGGCTGAGGTGAGAGGATCACTTGAGCCCAGGAGGCTGCAGTGAGATCGTGCCACTACACTCCAACTTGGGAAACAACAACAACAACAACAACAAAAAAGATGGCTGGGTGTGGTGGTTCATGCCTGTAAGACCAGTGCTTTGGGAGGCTGAGGCAGGCGGATAACCTGAGGTCAGGAGTTCGAGACCAGCCTGGCCAACACGACGAAACCCCATCTCTATTAAAAATACAAAAATTGGCCGGGCATGGTGGCTCACGCCTGTAATTCCAGCACTTTGGGAGGCCAAGGTGGGTGGATCACGAGTTCAGGTGTTCGAGACTAGCCTGACCAACATGGTGAAACCCTGTCTCTACTAAAAATACAAAAATTAACCGGGCGTGGTGGCACACACCTGTAATCCCAGCTACTCAGGAGGCTGAGGCAGGAGAATTGCTTGAACCTGGGAGGTTGCAGTGAGCTGAGATTGTGCCACTGCACTCCAGCCTGAGCGACAGAGTGAGACTCCGTCTCAAAACAACAACAACAAAAAACAAAAATTAGCTGGGGGTGGCGGTGTGCACCTGTAGTCCCAGCTACTTGGGAGGCTGAGGCATGAGAATTGCTTGAACCCGGGAGGCAGTGAGCTGAGATCACGCCACTGCACTCCAGCCTGGGTGACAGAGTGAGACTCTGTCTCAAAAAAAAAAAAAAAAAGAAAGAAAGAAAATAATGATAGTGGCCAGGTGTGGTGGCTCACACCTGTAATCCCAGCACTTTGGGAGGCCGAGGCAGGCGGATCATCTAACTTTGGGAATTCGAGACCAGCCTGAACAACATGATGAAATCCCGTCTCTACTAAAAATACAAAAAACATTAGCTGGGCATGGTGGTGCATGCCTGTAATCCCAGCTACTCGGGAGGCTGAGGCAGGAGAATCGCTAGAAACCGGGAGGCAGAGGTTGCGGTGAGCTGAGATCATGCCATTGCACACCAGCCTGGGCAACTACAGCAAAACTCCCATCTCAAAAAAAAAGAAAAAGAAAAAAAGAAAATGATAGCACTTACCTCTTAGGGTAGTTGAAAGGACTAAGTAAGTATTACATATGAATTGTTTAGAACAGTTTCCAGCATACTGAACATTTAATATATTTTAGTTACAATAAAAAAATCTTTACCAACTATGAAATTATTATAGTAGATATATTTCTTTTTAAAAATAAAGGGAAAAAAACCTACAGAAAATTTTTAAAAAACATATATATATTTTTTCAGACGGAGTCTCGCTCTGTTGCCCAGGCTGGAGTGCAGTGGTGCGATCTCAGCTCACTGCAAGCTCCGCCTCCTGGGTTCATGCCATTCTCCTGCCTCAGCCTCCCGAGTAGCTGGGACTACAGGCACCTGCAACCATGCCTGGCTAATTTTTTGTATTTTTAGTAGAGACGGGGTTTCACCATGTTAGCCAGGATGGTCTCGATCTCCGGCCCTCGTGATCCACCCACCTCGGCCTCCCAAAGTGCTGGGATTACAGGCGTGAGCCACCGCACCCGGCCATTTTTTTTTTTTTTTAAATAAATAAAGTCATGTTGCCCAGGATGGTCTCAAACTCCTGGGCTCAAGCAGTCCACCCGCCTTGGCTTCCCAAAGTGCTAGGATTACAGGTGTGAGCCACCACACCTGGCTGGAACTTACAGAAAATTCCTAAGCAGTACTTGCTTCTTAATGAAAAATCAAGTAGTACCACAAAGGAAAAGGACTTTGTAGAATGCCCAGAAATAATTGCAATTGTTGTTAACATCATGATGTATGTAGATGTGTATTTAGATTTTATGACAATGTAATGATTTTTTAAAATGTCTCTTTATAATTTATTATAAATAGGATATACACATGACACCATCCACTGACTTCTATAAGAAATTAGCCTTGGACTGTTCTGGTCAGCAAGTTGCTGTTGACTTATTCCTTCTCAGTGGACAGTATTCTGATTTGGCTTCTCTGGGTAAGTTCTTCGTAATGATTTTTTTTTTCCGTTAAATGAATATCAAAATGGTCCTTATATGATAGTGTTCTAAATATAGAACAAAGTTAAAGAATATGTATGCCCTTGGGAAAGTTAATCAGTCAGTTTAGTCTATTAAAAACCTTATAGTCTTCTACTCTAAACATTTAGTAATAGAGAAATTTCTATTCTACTATTTAAAGGAATGCAGGCCGGGTATGATGGCTCATGCCTGTAATCCTAACAATTTGTGAGGCCTGTGCAGGAGGATTGCTTGAGCCCAGGAGTTTGAGACCAACCTGGGCAACATAGGAAGACCCTGTATTTGCAAATAATATGTATATTTTTTTAAATAAAAAACTAGCCAGACATGGTGGCGCACACCTGTGGTCCCAGCTGCCTGGAAGGCTGAGGTGGGAAGAGTGCTTGAGGTGGAGAGGTCAAGGCTGCAGTGAGCCCCATGGTATCACTACTGCACTCCAGCCTGGGTGACAGAATGGGACTCTGTCTCAAAAAAAGGGAATAAAATCTCCTTTCTGACAGTAGTTTACCTTGGAAAGTTAAAGAAAGATTGATTCCAATGTCTTTAGTTACTTTGGTGTAGTAGAAATAGTTAACGGCACAGTTTAAAACAGTGTGTGTTCTCTTCCAGGTTGTATTTCTCGGTATTCAGCAGGTAGTGTCTATTACTATCCCTCTTACCATCATCAGCACAACCCAGTCCAAGTACAGAAATTACAGAAGGAACTACAGAGATACCTTACTCGGAAGATTGGCTTTGAGGCAGTCATGAGGATTCGGTGCACCAAAGGTAGGAATATTTTTTTTTTGCGTAGGACTGAATAATATTTTTGGTTTCAGTAAATGTACATGTTTTTATCTGGTCTTATAAGATTGCCCTTCTGAGATACTTTGCCTACTCTGGAATATGCAATTAAGAGGAGAGAAGAAACACTGTAACCAAAAAAAGGGGGCCTATTGAGAATATACTCAAAAGCACTGACTTATATATTTTTAAATAGAGAATTTTATGGTGTGTGAATTATCTCAGTTTTTTAAAAAAGACCTTATCTCCGGCTGGGCACAGTGGCTCATGCCTGTAATTCCAGCACTTTGGGAGGCCAAGGCTGGTGGATCGCTTGAGCCCAGGAATTAGAGACGAGCCTGGACAACATTGCAAAATGATGTCTCTACGAAAAATACAAAAACTTAGCTGAGCGTGGTGGTGCACGTCTGTAGTCCCAGCTTCTTAGGAGGCTGAGGTGGGAGGATTGTTGGGGCCTGGCCTGGGAGTCAGGTTGCAGTGAGCAGAGATCACACCACTGCACTCCGGCCTGGGCAACACTGTCTCCAAAAAAAAAAAAAAGAAGAAGATAGAGTCTTGTTTTTTTTTTTTTTTTTTTGAGATGGTATATTGCTCTGTTGCCCAGGCTGGTGTGCAGTGACACAATCTTGGCTAACTGCAACCTCCACCTCTCGAGTTCAAGTGATTCTCCCTGCTTCAGCCTCCCGAGTAGCTGGGATTATAGGTGCGTGCCACCATGCCCGGCTAATTTTTGTATTTTTAGTAGAGACAGGGTTACACCATGTTGGCCAGGCTGGTCTCAAACTCCTGACCTCAGATGATCTGCCCACCTCAGCCTCCCAAGGCACTGGGATTACAGGTGTGAGTGACCGCACACAGCCTAGACCCTTTTTTGACAGAGTCTCATTCTGTCGCCCAGGCTGGAGTGCAGTGGTGCAATCACAGCTCACTGGAGTCTCCACCTCCCTGACTCAAGTGATCCTCCCACCTCAGCTTTCCTAGTAGCTGAGACTGCAGGTGTGAGCCACCACACCTGGCTAATTTTTTATTTTTTATTTTGTAGAGACTGGGTCTCCCTATGTTGCCCAGGCTGGTTGCAAGCTCGTGGGCTCACGTGATCTTCCTGCCTTAGCCTCCCAAAGTGTTAGGATTACAGGCATGAGCCACCACACCCAGCCACAGATCTTGCTTTTAAACTTTTTTTTTTTTACTTGTAAAATATATATAACATAAGCTTTACCATTTTATCCTTTTTTTTTTTTTGAGACGGACTGTCTCGCTCTGTCGTCCAGGCTGGAGTGCAGTGGCACGATCTCAGCTCACTGCAAGCTCCGCCTCCTGGGTTCATGCCATTCTCCTGCCTCAGCCTCCCAAGTAGCTGGGACTACAGGCGCCTGCCACCATGCCCAGCTAATTTTTTGTATTTTTTAGTAGAGACGGGGTTTCACCATGTTAGCCAGGATGGTCTCGATCTCCTGATCTGGTGATCCGTCCGCCTCGGCCTCCCAAAGTGCTGGGATTACAGGCATGAGCTACCGCACCTGGCCCATTTTATCCATTTTTTAATTGTACAGTGGCATCAAGTATGTTTTCACTGTGCAACTATTTATTTCCAAAAGTGGGGGATCTCTTAGTTTGTACTCTCTTTTTTTTTTTTTTTTTTTTTGAGCCAGAGTTTCACTCTCTCGCCCAGGCTGGAGTATAATGGTGTGATCTAGGCTCACTGCAACCTCCATCTCCCAGGTTCAAGCAATTCTGCCTGCCTCAGCCTCCTGAGTAACTGGGATTACAGGTGCCTGACACTACGCCTGACTAATTTTTGTATTTTTAGTAGAAACGGGGTTTTGCCATGTTGGCCAGGCTGGTCTCAAACTCCTGACCTCAGGTGATCCGCCTACCTTGGCCTCCCTAAATGCTGGGATTACAGGTATGAGCCACCGCACCCAGCCTGTACTCTTATTTTTAGTTTTTCATTTCTCCACATTATCAACCTGGTGGGTTTTTTTTTTAAGGTGGGTTTTTTTTTCCATTGCTGCTGCACAAATTGAGTTTTTATTTAAATAAATATTATTGCTCTGTAAGGGGGTGTGGAGCACAGATTGAGTTTTTATTTAAATAAATATTGCTCTGTAATGGGGTGTAGAGTGGTAATTTTCTTTCTTCTTCTCTCTCTTTTTTCTTTTTTTGGAGACAGAGTGTTGCTCTGTCCCCCTGGCTGGAGTGCAGTGGCATGATCATAGCTCACTGCAGCCTCAACTCCTGGGCTCAAGCAATCCTCTTAGCTCAGCCTCCCGAATAACTGGGACCACAGGCGCATGCCACCACGCCTAGCTAATTTTTAATTTTTCTGTAGAGACAGGGTCTTACTTTGTTACACAGGCTGGTTTCAAACTCCTGGACTTAAGCAATCCTACACCTCAGCCTCCCAAAGTGCTGGGATTACAGGTGTGAATCACCACGCCCAGTATAATAATATTCTTTTCAATGGAAAAATTATTTATATGAAATCTATAACAAAAAAAAAAAGATAAAGATCCACTAACCTGTTCCATTACACATTGAAATCTGTTGGTCAAACCATGAGCAAGATGAAGGTCTCTCTTATCTATCCTTCACTATAATTAGAATTTATTAATTCTAATAGTTTTTATTTATTTATTTTTTTTACTTTATTTTTTTTTTTCTGAGACCACATCTTGCTCTTTTGTCCAGGCTGGAGTTCAGTGGCACGATCTCCGCTCACTGCAAGCTCCGCCTCCTGGGTTCACGCCATTCTCCTGCCTCACCCTCCCAAGTAGCTGGAACTACAGGCGCCTGCTACCACTCCCAGCTAATTTTTTGTATTTTTGGTAGAGACAGGGTTTCACCATGTTAGCCAGGATGGTCTTGATCTCCTGACCTCGTGATCCATCCGCCTCGGCCTCCCAAAGTGCTGGGATTACAGGCGTGAGCCACCGCGCCTGGACTGTATTTTTAGTAGAGGTGGTGTTTCGCCATGTTGGCCAGGCTGGTCTCGAACTCCTGATGTCAAGTGATCCACCCGCCTCGGCCTCCCAAAGTGCTGGGATTACAGGCATGAGCTACCATGCCTGGCCTAGTTTTTATTTTATAATTTTTAATTAAAATATGGAACACTTCACGAATTTACGTGTCATCCTTGCACTGGGGCCATGCTAATCTTCTCTGTATGGTTCTAATTTTAGTATACATGCTGTCGAAGTGAGTACCTAATAGTTTTTTAGTGTTTATGTTTTAAAGGGTATATTTGTTGGATCCCATTCATTGGAGACTGACAGACCTCAAAAATGTTTATTTCTGCAGATACCTGTTATAAATTAAGGGAAGTGTACATCCTAATGTGCTTTTAAGACCTTTTCTACTTGTCAAGACAGAGGCTATTTTTATATGTACCTTATTTTGCATAAACAGCTTTGGGATATGCCAGGCAACTCCTTTGCCCTCTTTTTTTTTTTTTTTGAGACGGAGTCTCGGTCTGTCGTCCAGGCTGGAGTGTAATGGCGCAGTCTCGGCTCACTGCAACCTTCGCCTCCCGGGGTCCAGTGATTCTCCTGCCTCAGCCTTCCTAGTAGCTGGGATTACAGGCACGTGCTACCATGCCCAGCTAATTTTTGTATTTTTAGTAGAGACGGAGTTTCACCATGTCGGTGAGGCTGGTCTCGAACTCCTGACCTCATGATCTGCCTGCCTTGTCCTCCCAAAGTGCTGGGATTACAGGTGTGAGCCACTGCAGCCCACCACCCTCTTTCTAGAGTGCTTAATTTAATAAAGCTTTGTGGTTAGCTTGCTTAGGTTTCTCTTTTTATTTTATTATGATAAATTCACTACAGATCAAATACATACTCTAGAAAAGTTAACACAGAAAAGATAATGTACAAAAAGATATAAAATGAGAACTCAAGCATAACTTCTGTTCCACTCTACAGTTAATCATATACCCTTCAGAAACTTTCCCATGGCATTTATAAACATATATTTTGGCCTTAACTTCAAATAAAAGCAGTGAGGAATTATACCTGGCTTTTTTATTTTTATCACAATATCTTGAAAACCTTTCTATTTTTATACGTACAGACACACATTCTCCTTTTTCTTTCTTTCTTTATTAATGTTGTATATTTCTTTTTAAGAGACAGGGTCTCACTATGTTGCCCAGGCTTGCTTTCAACTCTTGGGCTTAAGCAATCTTCCTGCTTCAGCCTCCTGAATACCTGGGATTACAGGCACATGCCACCATGCCCAGCATTCTTTTTCATCCTGATTACTGTTTTTAAGTTGGTTTTTATTTCACAAGCAACATGTGCATCTGTTTTTCTTGTAAAAAATAAAAACATTATTGATAAAGCTAAAGTCTTCCTGTATCAGCTTGCATGTGTATGCGACACATACACTTTCACTTCATTTTTATGTAGTTAAAAATGGTATGTATCAGAATTTCTTATTAAAAATGGTATATATCACTTGGTATATACCGAATTTCCTATACATTTGCATACTTAGGTACATCTCCATGGAAAATGTATCTTATGGTCGATTTACATAAGTGACATATTGTATGTATTTTTATTCAATAAACCTTGAAGATTCATTAATTTTAGATCATATAAATCCATCACATTAATTTAAACTTCTGCCTATTCTACCTAGTATTCAGCAGACTGAACAAATCACAGTTTAGTTTTTGTTTGTTTGTTGTTGTTGTTGTTGTTTTTTGAGACAGAGTCTCACTCTGTCACCTAGGCTGGAGTGCAGTGGCGCGATCTTGGCTCACTGCAACCTCTGCCTCTCAGGTTCAAGCGATTCTCCTGCCTCAACCTCCCGAGTAGCTGGGACTACAGGCGTGTGCCACCATGCCCGGCTAATTTTTGTATTTTTAGTAGAGACAGGATTTCACCATGTTGCCAAGGCTGGTCTCGAACTCCTGACCTCAAGTGATCTGCCTGCACCAGCCTCCGAAAGTGTTGGGATTACAGGCATGAGCCATTGTGCCTGGCCTAGTTTTTCTACTGATACCCATTGAAGGTATTTCTAAATTTTTTTTGCTGTGACACACCAGTCTACTTGAAATTTTTCTGCATGTGTGAATTTGGCACTTAAATGAGTATATCTGTAGGACACATTCTTTGATATGGGATTGCTAAAGTCAAAATAAGTATCTAGAATTTTGATAGATACTGCCAAATTATCGTCCAAAAATGTTTTTTGTGTTTCTTTTTGAGACAGAGTCTTGCTCTGTCGCCCAGGCTGGAGTGCAGTGGCGCAATCTTAGCTCACTGCAACCTCTGCCTCCCGGGTTCAAGCAATTCTCCTGCCTCAACCTCCTGAGTAGCTGGGATTGCAGGCGCCTGCCACCATGTTCGGCTAATTTTTGTGTTTTTGGTAGAGACAGGGTTTCACCATGTTATTGGCCAGGCTGATCTCAAACTGACCTCAGGCGATCCACCCACCTTGGCCTCCCAAAGTGCTGGGATTACAGGCGTGAGCTACCGCACCTGACCCAAAAATGTTTTTTGAAAATTAGTATCCCCACCTTCATTTCAAAAGCCATCTGTTATTCCTTAACCTCACTAAGTACTGTGTATTATCTAGATTTCTTTACTTTTTGCCAATCTGATAAGTAACTAGGATAAAATGTAAATATCAGTATGTAGGTATATAAAAATAATTTTGTTACCTTTTTCTCTTCTAGGTCTTTCCATTCATACTTTCCATGGAAACTTCTTTGTTAGGTCAACCGACTTACTGTCTTTGCCTAACGTCAACCCAGACGCTGGGTATGCAGTACAGATGTCAGTGGAAGAGAGTCTTACTGACACTCAGTTGGTTTCTTTTCAGTCAGCACTCTTGTATACATCCAGCAAAGGTAAATTGTTTGTTTTTTTTTGGATTTCAAATGTTCAAATATTGTCTGGATTTCAAATGTCAAAATGGGCTATAAAATACATGTAGCATATCTTATGTGTGCTAACTTAAAATTGCTGTTTTTATTTATTTATTTATTTATTTATTTATTTATGTAGAGACAGAGTCTCACTCTGTCACCAGGCTGGAGTGCAGTGGCGCAGTCTCTGCTCACTGCAACCTCTGCCTCCTGGGTTCAAGTGATTCTCCTGCCTCAGCCACCCGAGTAATTGGGAGTACAGGTGTGCGCCACCACATCCAGCTAATTTTTGTAATTTTAGTAGAGATGGAGTTTTGCCATGCTGGCCAGGATGGTGTGAATCTCTTGACCTCGTGATCTGCCCGCCTCTGCCTCCCAACGTGCTGGGATTACAGGCATGAGCCACTGCGCCCAGCCCTTAAAATTTTCATTACCAAAAGCAGTAAACCAACTAAAAAGTTCAAAAAAGAGATTTTTAAAAATTTAGCATATTGTCATTTGAATGCGATCCCTGTTCATTTAGTAATAACCTGAATGAAAAGAATTTTATAGTTAAAACAATTAAAAGAAGTAGGGTCAGGTGTGGTGGTCTGTAAACCTAGCACTTTGGAAGGCTGACTAGGGAGGATCACTTGAGGCCAGGAGTTCAAGACCAGCCTGGACAACATAGTGAGACACTGTCTCTAAAAAAATATTTTTTTAATTAGCCAGGTATAGTGGCACACACTGGTAGTCCTACCTACTTGGGAGGCTGAGTAGGGAGGATTGTTTGAGCCCAGGAGTTTGAGGCTGCAGTGAGTTATGATTGTGCCACTGCAGTCCTGCCTGGGCAACAGAATGAGACCTTGTTTCTAAAAAAAAAAAAAAAGGATGAAATTTTTAATATTTATGTACTTATTTATTTTTAATAGAGATAGGGTCTTACTATGTTGTTCAGCCCTGTCTTGAACTCCTGGCCTCAGGTAATCCTCCCACCTTAGCCTCCCAAAGTGCTGGGTGCTGGGATTACAGGTGTGAGCCACTGTGTCTGGCCAGTATAAAACGTTTGATACTGTCTCTGCTTACTATGTAACTATACTACCTGGTTCTAAATCGAAAAGAAGTTATTTATATTTATATTTATATATATATATATATATATTTTTTTTTTTTTAATTAATTTATTTTTTTTTAAGAGATGGAGTCTCACTGTATTGCCCAGGCTGCACTTAAACTCCTGAGCTCAAGGGATCCTCCTGTCTCTGCCTCTGGAGTAGGTGGGACTACAGGGATGCACCACTGCACCCAGCTAAGAAGTGATTTTTCCAAGTGACTTTAACATAATCTTTTGTTTTATATAGTTGCCCCTCACTGTTGTTTGTGTATTTTCCCCAAAGGCGAAAGAAGAATTCGTGTTCATACTTTGTGTTTGCCAGTAGTTTCGACTCTGAATGATGTCTTTCTTGGAGCTGATGTTCAAGCAATTTCAGGGTTATTGGCCAATATGGGTAAGAGTTGTTATCTGTTATAAATATCTTACAAGTAATAACATTAGGCACATCCAAACAGTTTTGTTTTCCTTTAAATAGTTAGCTTTATAGTTTGAATGTTTTAGATCCCCTGGGTGCCTGCTAAGTAACTATTTGAAAAGATCTGCTGCAGATAATCTTATCTTTTTTGTTTGTTTATTTAAACAAATTTATTGAGATATAATTACATACCATACCACTTCACCCAGTTTAATTGATAATTCATTTGTTTTTAGTGTTTTTACAGAGTTGTACAGCTATCACCACAATCTAATTTTATAACATTTCTATTGTCTCAAGAGGAACCTCATGCTCATTAGCAGTTACTGCCCACTTCTTCCTCCCTCCCTTACTGGCCTTAAGTAACCACTAAACTACTTTCTGTCTCTATATATTTATATATTTGTCTACACTGAACTTAGCTATATCTTTTTTTTTTTTTTTTTGAGATGGAGTCTCGCTCTTATTGCCCAGGCTGGAGTGTAATGGCGCAATCTTGGCTTACCACAACCTCTATCTCCTGGGTTCAAGCGATTCTCCTGCCTCAGCGTCCCGAGTAGCTGGGATTACAGGCATGCGCCACCATGCCCAGCTAATTTTTGTATTTTTAGTAGAGACAGGGTTTCTTCATGTGGTCGGGCTGGTCTTGAACTCCCGACCTCATGTAATCCACCCGCTTTGGCCTCCCAAAGTGTTGGGATTACAGGCGTGAGCCACCGTGCCTGGCCAACTATATCTTATGTAATGGTTAATATTAGTGCTGTTTAATACTCTTTTTATGAGAAGCAGTGTACCATAAAGATCATTAGACTTAGAGTCATGGAATTTGGGATTGAAAACCAGTTTACCACCATACATTTGTTTGCAGCCAAATCATGTGAGCCAATAGGAAACTTACTGATATCTTCACGTATTTATTTCCATCTCAGATACAATTGTCCTCTTGATTTTTTTGGTTCCTTTTCAAATACATACAGCTTAATAACATCATTTTGATTCTTGTGGTCTTTCTACTTGAGGGAAGACTTCAGTCGGTCCATTTTCTTTCTTTTGTTTTTGAAAACAGTGTCTTGCTCTGTCACCCAGGGTGGAGTGCAATGGTGTGGTTCTAGCTCACTGCAGCCTTTACCTCCTGGGCTCAAGGGATCCTCCCACCTCAGCCTCCTGAATAGCTGGGATTACAGGCCCACACCACCACACCCAGCTAACTAACATTCATTCATTCACTCATTCATTTATTTAGTTATTTAGAGATGGAGTCTCATTCACCCTCCCAGGATGGAGTGCAGTGGCACAGTCTCAGCTCACTGCAACCTCTGACCCCAAAGTTCAAGTGATTCTCCTGCCTCAGCCTCCCAAGTAGCTGGGACTACAGGCGCACGACACCACACCCAGCTAATTTTTGTATTTTTAGTAGAGACGGGGTTTCACCATGTTGGCCAGGATGGTCTCAATCTCTTGACCTCGTGATCCACCCACCTCGGCCTCCCAAAGTGCTGGGATTACAGGCATGAGCCACCACGCCTGGCCCTCAACCAGCTAACTTTAAAAAAAATTTTTTTAGAGACAGAGTCTCACCATGTTGCCCAGGCTGATCTTGAATCCTGGGCTCAAGCAATCCTCCTGCTTTGGCCTACCAAACTGTTGAGATTACAGCTGTGAGTCACCACACCCGGCCTCAGTAGGTCCATTTGCTTCAAACTTAATTCTGTCTGTATCAGGAATAGTTACCCACTTTCTTGAATTTCCTATTGGGAAAAATGTTTTACGTGGAGCCTGGTAAAGGATTTACCCACACTTTAGTCTTTTATGTTGTTAGATGTTCAAGATTGTGACCTATGAAATTTGAAGATCACTGCCTTTATTTTATTTATTTATTTTTTTTTTTTGAGGTGGAGTCTCACTCTATCGCCCAGGGTGGAGTGCAGTGGCGTGATCTCGGCTCACTGCAACCTCCACCTCCAGGGTTCACGCCATTCGCCTGCCTCAGCCTCCCCAGTAGCTGGGACTACAGGCGCCCGCCATCACACCCGGCTAATTTTTTGTATTTTTAGTAGAGACGGGGTTTCACCATGTTAGCCAGGGTGGTCTCGATCTCCTGACCTCGTGATCCACCCGCCTCGGCCTGCCAAAGTGCTGGGATTACAGGCGTGAGCCACCGCGCCTGGCCTATTTTTTTGTTTAAGTTACTTTTTTTTGTAACTATGATTATTATTATTATTGACAGCAGTAACTATTAGATGGGTTTTGTGGATTTTTGATAAACTGTCACAACTTTGTAAGTATTGGTTCTGCTACCATATTGAATGTATTTTTAGTGCCACATGGATGGAGTTTAGTTATTTGAGAAGTCTTCAATTATGCTTTTTTTTTAAGTATTGAAAGAATGTTTTTATGCAGAAATGCGTATAAACAGAGTGTCATGGCAAATGATGAAAATCTGTCTAAATAAGAGGCCAACTTGGTGAAACCCTATTTCTACTAAAAATACAAAAAAACAAAACAAAACAAAACAAAAAAATTAGTCAGGTATAGTGGCACATGTCTGTAGTCCCAGCTACTCAGGAGGCTGAGGCAGGATAATTGCTTGAACCTGGGAGGCGGAGGATGCAGTGAGCCAAGACCACACCACCGCACTCCAGCCTGGGCGACAGAGCGAAACTCTGTCTCTAAATAAATTAATAAATAACTCTAAGAGCTCTTTCTGTAAATGTAAAATAAAAACTCTGGGCTGGGCATGGTGGTTTGTGCCTATAATCCCAACACTTTGGGAGGCTGAGGCAGGAGGACTGCTTGAGGCCAGGAGTTTGAGATCAGCCTGGGCAACATAGGGAGACTTGGTACAAAAAAATTGTTTTAATTAATTAAAATTAAAATTTCAAAAGAACTCTGTTTCGAAACATTGTGCATTTCAGGAAACACAGGAAAGCATTGTGTGTTTAATTGCAATGTTTTTCTTTCTCAATGGTATATAAAGTGTTGGATTACAATCAGTAGCATAACTGAGGCTCAGGAAGGTTAAGTTACTTGCCAAATCATTATACAGCTAGGAAATAGCAGAGCAGCATTTCAACAGAGGTTGGCTCAGTTCTCCAGACCATGCTTTTAGCTGCTGTGTTTTGTCTCATTTGTGTATGTAGTAAATTGGAGAGATACTTGGTATAGTTTTTAAAAATTATCTCTTCTATCCTTAACAGTGGACTAGCTAAACTTCTATCATATTTCTTTTTTGTCCTTACCCTCACCTTGCTTAGCTGTTGACAGATCTATGACTGCCAGTCTGAGTGACGCTCGGGATGCTCTAGTGAATGCAGTCATTGACTCCCTTTCAGCTTACCGTTCTTCAGTCTTAAGTAACCAGCAGCCTGGACTCATGGTTCCTTTTTCTTTGCGGCTTTTCCCACTTTTTGTGTTGGCTCTCCTTAAACAGGTAAGAAAAACAGATATAGAAACTAACACAATGATGGCCAGGCACTGTGGCCTACACCTGCAATCCCAGCACTTTGGGTGGCTGACGTGGGTGGATTGCTTGAGTCCAGGCATTTGAGACCAGCCTGGGCAATATGGTGAAACCTGGTCTCTGCAAAAAATACAAAAAAACTAGCCAGGTGTGGTGGTGCACACCTGTAGTCAGTCCCAGCTACTTGGGATGCTGAGGTGGGAGGATGGTTGAGTCCAGGAGGCGGAGGTTGTAGTGAGCCCATATCGTGCCACTGTACTCCAGCTTGGGTGACAGAGCCAGACTCTGTCTCAAAATAAACAAAAAGAAAGAAACGAACACGATGGAAACATCAAAAGGCAAAATTTTTATCCTATGAATCCCTAAACATTGTATATGTAACTTTATGCTGGTTAAATTTTTGACGACAGGTACCTTACCTCTTATTTGAACTTTGAAAAGTTTAATAACCAAAGAAACTTAGAGAAAACTGATTCAGAGCAAGTTCCTTGTTCATAAGATGCTTCTCTAAGCAAAGTATTCAGTGACATTATAAAAAATTCAACTGATAATCAGTTTTCCAGAACAAGAATTGTATATTATATTGCTGATGCAAGAAGGCACACATGCACTGTGTGTTCTCACTTATATGTGAAAGCTAAAAAATCAAACACACGGAAGCAGAAAGCAGAATGGTGGTTACTAGAGGCTGGGTGGTGGGGCAGGAATGGGGAGATATTGAACAAAAGGTACAGTGTTTTAGTTAGGAGGAATAAGTGATAACTATTTGAGGTTATGGATATGTTACCTAGCTTCATTAAATCATTCCACATTGTATACTATATCATAGCATCCCTTTATACCTCATAAATATATATAATTAGAATTTTTCACCAACAAAAAATTTAACTTTTTTTTAAAAAGAAGAGACCATACATGTTATTTTATTTTATTTTATTTTATTGGCTCTTTCCTGTCCCTACAGAATTTCAGCAACATTACACTTCTCTTTTCTTTTTTGAGACAGAGTCTTGCTCTGTCACCCAGGCTGGAGTGCAGTAGCACGATCTTGGCTCACTGCAACCTCCGCCTACCGGGTTCAAGCGATTCTCCTGCCTCAGCCTCCTGAGTAGCTGGGATTACAAGTGTGTGCCACTATATCCGACTAATTTTGTATTTTTAGTAGAGACAAGGTTTCACCATGTTGGTCAGGCTTGTCTCAAACTCCTGATCTCGGGTGATTCGCCCGCCTTGGCCTCCCAAATTGCTAGGATTACAGGCATGAGCTACCACATTACACTTCTTAATCTTCTTCTTTTTTTTTTTTTGTCTGAGACAGGGTCTCCCTCTGTTGCCCAGGCTGGAGCGCAGTGGCACGATCTCGGCTCACCACAACCTCCGCCTCCTGGGTTCAACCTCCTCCTCCTGCGTTCAGGCAATTCTCTCGCCTCAGCCTCCTGAGTAGCTGCGATTATAGGCATGCACCACCACACCCCAGCTAATTTTTGTATTTTTAGTAGAGACAGGGTTTCACCATATTGGTTAGGCTGGTTTCTAACGCCCAACCTCAGGTGATCCTCCCACCTCATCCTCCTAAAGTGCAGGGATTACAGCCGTGAGCCACCATGCCTGGTCCTTAATCTTCTTTAGATACACTTTCTTATACCTGTATACTTGCATACCTGTTTCCATGATCTGGATTGGACTTCCATATCCTTGTCTTTGAGTTTAAATGTTTGTAGGGTTTTTCTTTGTTTCGTTTTGTTTGTAGGGTTTTTCATTTGCTACTTATTATTTATATGTCTCCCCTGCCTGCTCTTTGCCTTCCTCCCAGAAAAGAAGGAAAACTCTGGTCTGGTGGAGTAGGCTTATTTATCCAGTGTCCAAAATTGAATGTCCAAACTTATTGCCTCAGGATAAACTTCCCTTATAAAATTTTATTTAAAAGCTCGTGTTGGCCGGCCATGGTGGCTCATGCCTGTAATCCCAACACTTTGGGAGGCCAAGGCGGGCGGATCACTTAAGTTCAGGAGTTTGAGACCAGCCTGGCCAAAGTGGTGAAACCCTGTCTCTACAAAAAATACAAAAATTAGCAGGGCATGGTGGCACATACCTGTAGTCACAGCTACTTGGGAGGCTGAGGCAGGAGAATCGCCTGAACCCAGGAGGCAGAGGTTGCAGTGAGCTGAGATTGCACCACTGCCCTCCAGCCTGGGTGACAAAGCGAGACTCCTTCTCTTAAAAGAAAAATTAAATAAAAAATAAATAAATAAAAGCTCATGTTGGCCAGATGCCATGGTTCACACCTATAACCCAATACTTTGAGAGGCCAAGGTAGAAGGATTGCTTAAAGCTAGGGGTTTGAGACCAGCCTGGGCAAGAAAGCAAGAATCTGTCTCTACTAAAAAATTTAATTTTTTTAATTAAAAAAGAAACAACTCATGTTAATAAAGCACCTGAAGCAGCACTGCAGATTCCAGAACTGTTCAAGGACTGCTGGCTGGGCACAGTGGCTCATGCCTGTAATCCCAGCACCTTGGGAGGCAAAGGCGGGAGGATTGATTGCTTGAGTCTGGGAGTTTGAGACCAGCCTGGACAACATAGTGAGATTCTACCCCTACAAAAAAAAGTTTTTTAATAAGAAAAATAAAGGACTGCTCTGCATCTTTTTTTTTTTTTTTTTTTTTTAACAGTCTCGCTATGTCGCCCAGGCTGGAGTGGCAGTGGCGATCTCGGCTCACTACGACCTCAGCCTCCTGAGTAGCTGCGATTACAGGTGTTCACCACCACGCCTGGCTAATTTTTGTATTTTTAGTAGAGACGGGGTTTCACCATGTTGGCCAGGCTGGTTTTGAACTCTTTTTTTTTGAGATGGAGTCTCGCTGTGTCGCCCAGGCTGGAGTGCAGTGGCGCAATCTTGGCTCACTGCAAGCTCCACCTCCCAGGTTCACGCCATTCTCCTGCCTCAGCCTCCCAAGTAGCTGGGACTACAGGCGCCCACTACCACGCCCGGCTAATTTTTTGTATTTTTAGTAGAGACGGGGTTTCACGGTGTTAGCCAGGATGGTCTCGATCTCCTGACCTCGTGATCCACCCGCCTCGGCCTCCCAAAGTGCTGGGATTACAGGCGTGAGCCACCGCGCCTGGCCGGTTTTGAACTCCTGACCTCAATGATCCACTGGCCTCGGCCTCCTAAATTGCTGGGATTATAGGCGTGAGCTACCACACCAGGCCTTCATCTTGTATTTTTCCTGAACTCTGGGATCTACTTGTCTGTTATGTGTAGTTTTTTCCAGGTGAGAAGAGCAACTCATTACTTTCTAGTAGGAGTGGCTTTTGAATCTACAGTTCTCATTTCTTTTTTTTTTTGTGAGATGGAGTCTCACACTGTCATCCGGGCTGGAGTGTAGTGACGTGATCTTGGCTCACTGCAACCTCCACCTCCCGGGTTCAAGTGATTCTCCTGTCTCAGCCTCCAGAGTAGCTGGGATTACAGGCACCCGCCACCATGCCCAGCTAATTTTTTGTATTTTTAGTAGAGACAGGGTTTCACTATGTTGGCCATTCTGGTCTCGAACTCCTGACCTTGTGATCCGTCCTCCATGGCCTCCCAAAGTACTGGGATTACAGACATGAGCCACCGTGCCCGGTCTCTAGTTCTCACTTCTTTAACTCAAATTATTTATTTCTATTTCTGAATATAAGTACACAGATTACATAAATATTTAATTTTTTTTTTGAGACTAGTCTGGCTCTTGTTGCCCAGGCTGGAGTGCAGTGGCACAATCTTGGCTCACTGCAACCTCCGCCTCCGGGGTTCAAGTGATTCTTCTGCCTCAGCCTCCCAAGTAGCTGGGATTACAGGTGTGTGCCACCATGCCTGGCTAATTTTTTGTATTTTTAGTAGAGACGGGGTTTCACCGTGTTAACCAGGATGGCCTCAATTTCCTGACCTTGTGATCCGCCCACCTCAGCCTCCCAAATTGTTGGGATTACAGCCATGAGCCACCGTGCCTGGAAATATTTAAATTTTTTTTTTTTTTTTTTTTTTTGAGACAGAGTCTCGCTCTGTCGCCTAGGCTGGAGTGCAGTGGCGCAGTCTCGGCTCACTGCAAGCTCCGCCTCCCGGGTTCACGCCATTCTCCTGCCTCAGCCTCCCGAGTAGCTGGGACTACAGGCGCCCACCACAATGCCCGGCTAATTTTTTGTATTTTTAGTAGAGACGGGGTTTCACCGTGTTAGCCAGGATGGTCTCGATCTCCTGACCTTGTGATCCACCCGCCTCGGCCTCCCAAAGTGCTGGGATTATAGGCGTGAGCCACCGCGCCCGGCCGAAATATTTAAATTTTGACGTTTAAAAATCTGAGCTCTTCTTTCTTCTTCAGGCCTTTCTTGAAATACTTTTTTCTAAAGCCTACATTCTCTGATCTTCCCGATTTAATATGCAGTACCCCAATCCCACCCCATCCCTCACCATCCTGACACCCCTAATCACCCTTACCTCCTGTATTTTTCCTATAGCATTTATCACTGACATACCACATATTTTGCTTATTTTTATTCTTCCCTTAATAGGATGTAAGCTCCATGAGGACAAGGATTTTTATCTTTTTCATTCATTTTTTTGTCCTAGCAGTTAGAACAGTTCCTAGTATATAATAGACAATCAGGAAATATTTTTTGAATGAATAGATGGAACTTTCCTTCTTCCATTAAAATCTTAAGAGCTTTTATTATCTTCCTTTAATATAGTCAGTGTACTTGTTTTAATACGTAATTTCATTATTCTTTTCTCTCTGCCTGTTTTACTCCTTTCCATCAATTGGAATACTTAAAACCTTACCCATAACTGGCTGGGTGCGGTGGCTCACGCCTGTAATCCCAGCACTTTGGGAGGCCGAGGCGGGCGGATCATGAGGTCAGGAGTTCAAGACCAGCCTGACCAACATGCTGAAACCTGCTCTCTACTAAAAATACAAAAAAAAAAAAAAAAAATTAGCCGGGTGTGGTGTCGCGCACCTGTAATCCCACCTACTGAGGAGGCTGAGGCAGGAGAATCGCTTGAACCTGGGAGGCAGAGGTTGCAGTGAGCAGAGATCAAACCACTACACTCCAGCCTTGGCGACAGAGGGAGGCTCCGTCACAAAAAAAAAACCTTACCCATAACTTTTTTCTTCTCCATTTTTATCTGTGTAAAGAAAATAATAACAGTTAAATATCATAGTTACTTATTAACTCATTTTACTAAGAAGCTTTCCTCATTTGTAGTAGTATTATTTTTTCTTGTTTATTAGTATTCTTTGTTACATTGTTTGTATGGTGGGAGAATCAATGACAGCTGCCATTAGTCATCACCCAGCACTCATGGGCCACTTAGTGCAGTATTCTAAGTGCACTACCCCCCAGCCACATACCGGTACCAGTGGGTGGCCTGTTAGGAACTGAGCCACACAGCAGGAGGTGACCAGTGGGCGAGGGAGCATTACTGCCTGAGCTCTGCCTCCTGTCAGATAAGTGGCAGCATCAGATTCTCATAGGAGCGCCAACCATATTGTGAACTGCGCATGCGAGAGATCTAGGTTGCATACTCTTTATGAGAATCTAATGTCTGATGATATGAGGTGGAACAGTTTCATCCCAAAATCATCCTCCACCATGTCCCCACCAGTCTGTGGAAAAATTATCTTCTGCGAAACCAGTCCCTGGTACGAAGAAGGACCACTGACGTAATGGATATCTTTTTGGTCCTTCATGTATGCCTTTACTTTGTCATCTGCAATATAACTTCATCCTTCCTATGGTGTTGCTTGGATTGTTACATCATTATCACTATCATTATATGGTAGATAGAGTGTTTAGATCTATTTTATCAACTAGGAAACAGACACCATGGAGATCAGATAACTTTGCCATGGTCAGTTAGTTAATTTCAAAAGACTTTTAGGTGGGGCTATAGCTACAGTTTAATAGATGTGTGTGACTTCTTAAAAAAGATACTTTAAAAAAATTAACAGTAAATTTGTGAATTCTCTCTGAAAATATTCTTTTAACAACTGGCATTTTAAAAGTTCTGGATGTATTTTTAAAATATATTCTTTTGTGGGGAATGGGGGTTTTCTGTTACAGAAATCATTCCAGACTGGGACAAATGCACGTCTAGATGAACGCATTTTTGCTATGTGTCAAGTGAAAAACCAGCCCTTGGTTTACCTTATGCTCACAACTCATCCCAGTTTGTATAGAGTTGACAATCTCTCAGATGAGGTAAGATGGATTGCTTTTTTGTGGTTTTACTTGAAGATTAGTAAGCCTAATCATAGTCCAGTACAGAAATGAGGAAGGGTTTGTTTATTATTTAAGGCTTTAGCTTTTATTTTATTTATTTATTTTTTTGGCTAAGTCTGAGTAAATAAATTTTAGTATAGGGAAGCTCTTAAAAATAGTGCCTTTAAGTTTCCTAAAATACCATCTGTAGAGCAGATCTAAGAAATGGAAAGATTGTCAAATTGACCAGAGCAACTTACTAATTTATTCAAACAAATCGATCTTTTAACAACTGACATTTTAAAAGTTCTGGGTGCATTTTTGCTCGCTTCAGCAGCAAATATACTAAAATTGGAATGATACAGAGAAGATTAGCATGCCCCTTGTACAAGGATGACACACAAATTCGTGAAGCATTTTTAGGAACAGAAAACCGAACACTGCATGTTCTCACTCATAAGTGGGAGTTGAACAATGAGAACACATGGGCACAGGGAGGGAAATATCATACACTGGGTCCTGTCAGGGGGTGGGGACAAGGAGACAGAGATCATTAGCACAAATACCTAATGCATGTGGGGCTTAAAACCCAGATGACAGGTTGATGGGTGCAGCAAAACACCATGGCACATGTATGCCTATATATCAAACCTGCACGTTCTGCACATGTGTCCCAGAACTTAAAGTATTAAAAAAAAAAAAAAAAAAGTTCTGGGTGTATTTTTAAAATATATTTTTTCTGGGGAATGGGGGTTTTTTGTTACAGAAATCATTCCAGAATGGAACAAGTGCACGTCTAGATCTGAGAGTGAAATTACATCTGAACACCCAGTTCAATGTAACAGTGTCCTTGAATTAAAGAAAAAATACTTCTCTAAGTTGTAACATTGTTTTCCTTTGGTAGAAATTTACCAGAATTAAAGTCACAAGAATGAAAATGTCAAATCATAATCTTTCTAAAATTGTGATCAAGTTAAGATATATATTTTGGAAGTGATGTTTTGGTTAAAAACTTTTCAGGCCAGGTATGGTGGCTCACACCTGTAATCCCAGCACTTTGGGAGGCTGAGGCGGGTGGATCAGGAGGTCCAGAGTTCAAGACTAGCCTGGCCAAGATGGTGATACCCTGCCTCTAATAAAAATACGAAAAACAAAAAAATTGGCCAGCTCTGGTGGCGGGTGCCTGTAATCCCAGCTACTCGGGAGGCTGAGGCAGAGAATTGCTTGAACCCGGGAGGCGGAGGTTGCAGTGAGCCAAGATTATGCCACTACACTCCAGCCTGGGTGACAAAGTGAGACTTTGTCTAAAAAAAAAAAAAAAAAAACCTTTGAAAATTTAAAGAATTTAATATGTGGGCCAGGCGCAGTGGCTCATGCCTGTAATCCAGCACTGTGGGAGGCCAAGGCAAGTGGATCACCTGAGGTCAGGAGTTCGAGACCAGCCTGGCCAACATGGCGAAACCCCATCTCTACTAAAAATACAAAAATTAACTGGTCGTGGTGATGCACGCCTGTAATCCTGGGTACTCGGGAGGCTGAGGCAGGAGAATCACTTGAATCCAGGAGGCAAAGGTCGCAGTGAGCTGAGATCATGCCATTGCACTCCAGCCTGAGTGACAATAGAGCAAGATTCCATCTCAAAAAAAAAAAAAAAAAGAATTTAAGATACTTTACATATGTAAAAGAAAATTGCCTATGAAATTTGAGGTAACTTTTTTACTTTTTTTTTTTTTTTGAGACAGGGTTTTGCACTTGTTGCCCAGGCTGGAGTGCAATGGACTGATCTCGGCTCACCGCAGCCTCCGCCTCCCAGGTTCAAAGAATTCTCCTGCCTCAGCCTCCCGAGTAGCTGGGATTACAGGCGTGCACCACCACATCTTGCTAATTTTGTATTTTTAGTAAAGACGGTGTTTCACCATGTTCTTAAGGCTGGTTTCAAATTCCTAACCTCAAGTGATCCACCCGCCTCAGCCTCCCAAAGTGCTGGAATTACAGGCGTGAGCCACTGTGGTGGCCTATTGCATTCTTTTTTGAAGCAAAGGTTAAGATCAGAAGTTAATGGCCAGGCACGGTAAATCACACCTGTAATCCCAGCACTTTGGGAGGCCGAGGCAGGTGGATCACCTGAAGTTTGAGGAGTTTGAGACCAGCCTGGCCAACATGGTGAAACCCCTTCTCTACTAAAAATACAAAAAATTAGCCGGGCATGGTGGCGCATGCCTGTAATCCCAGCTACTCGGGAGGCTGAGGCAGGAGAATCACTTGAATCTGGGAGGCGGAGGTTGCGGTGAGCCAAGATGGTGCCATTGCACTCCAGCCTTGGCAACAAGAGTGAAACTCTGTCTCAAAAAGAAAAAGAAAAAGAAAAAGGAAACAAGATCAGAAGTTAATTTGGCTTTATTGGGAGTCACAGTAGCTTAGTTAGATAAGTGATAACTATTTCGTCATCTTCTTTATATGTAAATATGAATAATTGGCCGGGTGCGGTAGCTCACGCCTGTAACAGCACTTTGGGAGGCCGAGGCGGGTGGATCAACTGAGGTTGGGAGTTCGTGACCAGCCTGACCAACATGGAGAAACTCCGTCTCTACTAAAAATACAAAATTAGCTGGGTGTTGTGGTGCATGCCTGTAATCCCAGCTACTCGGGAGGCTGAGGCAGGAGAATCGCTTGAACCCAGGAGGTAGAGGTTGTGGTGAGCTGAGATTGTGCCATTACATTTCAGCTTGGGCAACAAGAGCGAAACTCCGTCTCAAATAAATAAATAAATAAATAAGAATAATTGTGATTTACCTAAGCAAGGCCCAGACTTGTAGAGGTAACATTCATTTAATTTTTTGTTGTTGTTTAACTGTGACTCCATATTTCCTATATTTAAAACCTTTACTCTTTTACTTAATTCCTCAGGGAGCACTCAACATCAGTGATAGAACCATACCTCAGCCCCCCATTCTTCAGCTTTCAGTGGAGAAGCTGAGCAGAGATGGAGCTTTCCTCATGGATGCAGGCTCTGTAAGTAATTTGACTTATCCTGACCCTCACTGCAAACTACTATACTGTTTTAATTTAGCATTTGGTTTCATTCCCTTTAATATCTCTCTTCCTGAACAGATTTCATATTTTAACCTATATACAGTCGTACACTGATTAATGATGTGTAAGTCATGGCTTATATGATGGTGGTCCCATAAGATTTATAATGGAGCTGAAGAATTCGTATCATTTAGTATTTACTATGCTATTTTTTTTTATTATTGCTTTGGAATGTACTCCTACTTAATTTTTTAAAAAGTTAACCTTAGGCGGGTCCTTGAGGAGGTATTCTAAAAGAAGATCTTATTATCATAGGAGATGACATCTCTATGCATGTTACTGCCCCTGGAGACCTTCTAATGAGACAAGATGTGGAGGTGGAAGACAGTGAGATTGATGATCTTGACGCTGTATAGGCCTGGGCTAATGTGTGTTTGTGTTTCAGTATTTAACAAAACAATTTAAAAAGTAAAAGATAAAAAATTTTAAAAATAGGGCCGGGCACGGTGGCTCATGCCTATAATCCCAGCACTTTGGGAGGCCGAGGCAGGTAGATCATTTGAGGTCAGGAGTTCAAGACCCGCCTGACCAACATGGTGAAAATCTCTACTAAAAATACAAAGAAATTAACCGAGCGTGGTGGGGCATGCCTGTAATCCTAACTACTTGGGAAGCCGAGGCAGGAGAATCGCTTGAACCCAGGAGGCAGAGGTTGCAGTGAGCCAAGATTGCACCACTGCACTCTAGCCTGGGCAACAGAGCAAGACTGTCTCAAAAAAAAAAAAAAAATTTAAAATAGAAAAATGCTTATAGAATAATGATATAAAGAATATTTTTGTACAACTGTACAATGTGTGTTTTAAGCTAAGTGTTATTACAAAAGAGTCAAAAAATTAAAATAATTTGTCCGGGCATGGTGGCTTATGCCTGTAATTGCAGCGCTTTAGGATGCCAAGGCAGGCGGATTGCTTGAGGTCAGGAATTCGAGACCAGCCGGGGCAACATGGTGAAACCCTGTCTCTACTCAAAATGCAAATGTTAGCCAGACATAGTGGCTCCAGGCTGTAGTCCCAGCAACTCAGAAGGCTGAGGTGTGAGAATCATCTGAGCTGGGGAGGCTGAGGCTTCAGTAAGCTGAGATCACACCACTGCACTCCAGCCTGGGCAACAAACTGATACCTAGTCTCAAAAAAAAAAAAAAAAAAAGAAGAAGTTGGCTGGGCCCAGTAGCTCACATCTGTAATCCCAACCTTTTGGGAGGCCGAGGATGGCAGATTCCTTTAGCCCAGGAATTCGAGAACAGCCTGGGCAATATAGCAAAACCCTGTCTCTACTCAAAATACCAAATCCAGGCGTGGTCACGTGCACCTGTAATACCAGCTACTTGGGAGGCTGATGTGGGAAGATCACCTGAACCCAGGAGGTTGAGGCTGCAGTGAGCTGAGATCATACCACTGCACTCCAGCCTGGGCAGCAGAACAAGGCCCTGTCTCAAAAACAAAATTAAGAGACTGGGCGCAGTAGCCCACACCTGTAATCCCAGCACTTAGAGATGCCAAGGCGGGCGGATCACCTTAGGTCGGGAGTTCAAGACCAGCCTGACCAACGTGGAGAAACCACGTCTCTACTAAAAATACAAAATTAGCCAGGCGTGGTGGCACATGCCTGTAATCCCAGCTACTTGGGAGGCTGAGGCAGGAGAATCACTTGAACCTGGGAGGTGGAGGTTGTGGTGAGCCAAGATCGTGCCATTGCACTCCAGCCTGGGCAACAAGAGCAAAACTACGTCTCAAAAAAAAAAATTAAAAGAAGTTTATAAAGTTATAGTAAACTACGATTAATTATTGAAGAAAGAAATTTTTTTATATATCTCTAGTGTAGCCTAAATGTACAGTGTTTGTAAAGTTTATAGCAGTGTCCAGTAATGTCCTAGGCCTTTACATTCACTCATCACTCACTGACTCACCCAGAGCAACTTTCAGTCTTGTGCACTCCATTCGTGGTTAAGTGCCCTATACAGGTGTACTGTTTATCCCTTCTGCCATATTTTTACTATACCTTTCCTATGTTTAGATACACAAATACTTAGCATTGTTTTACAGTTGCCTACAGTATTCAGTACAGTAACATGCTATAGACGTTTGTAGCCTAGGTACAGTAGGCTATACCATTAAGGCTTGTGTAAATCCACTCTATGATGTTCATACAGAGAAATCACTTAACAACACGTTTCTCAGCATGTATCCACATTGTTCAGTGGATTCATGGCAGTACATTTGTCTGCCACCTTTCCCCTCCATATCTTCCTTGTTTCATGCCAAGCATAAAATGTCTCATCAGGTAAATACTAATTATTATTAATTCAGTTAAAGGCTGTACAATCTCACTAAATATACTTACCTTTTTGACCTTTTAAAATATACTCAAGCTGGGTGTGGTGGCTCACACCTGTAATCCCAGCACTTTGGGAGGCTGAGGCAGGCAGATCTCTTGAGGTCAGGAGTTCAAGACTAGCCTGGCCAATATGGTGAAACCCCATCTCTACTAAAAATACAAAAATTAGCTGGGCATGGTGGCACACGCCTGTAGTCCCAGCTACTCTGGAGGCTGAGGTGGGAAATCGCTTGAACCCAGGAGTCGGAGGTTGCAGTGAGCCGAGATTACACCACTGCACTCCAGCCTGGGTGACAGAGTGAGACCCTATCTCACAAATATATATATAAAATAAAAATAAAATGTACTCACTCAACAGACTCACCTTTATGTATGCTGCATCTCAAAATAATTTTATTCCTGTCCCTAGGTACTGATGCTTTGGGTTGGAAAAAATTGTACACAGAATTTTCTCAGCCAAGTTCTAGGAGTTCAAAACTATGCATCAATTCCACAGCCTATGGTAAGACTCTTTTATTATAGTGATTATAAAGGGCATTTCAAAGTTGGCAAAAACATGAATATCCCCTATTTTGATATCAGAAAATAATAACAAAATCATACCAAAAATTTTTATTGATGGGTTTTCATGTTGATGGATTCTATGACTCCACTCATAGAATCATTAGGGAATTTATATATTTAAAAGGCAGATATGCCAGCCACAGCGGCTCACACTGTAATCCCAGCACTTTGGGAGGCCAGGGCGGGCTGATCACGAGGTCAAGAGATCGAGACCATCCTGGCCAACATGGTGAACCCCCTTCTCTACTAAAAATACAAAAATTAGTTGGGCGTGGTGGCGCACACCTGTAGTCCCAGCTACTCAGGAGATTGAGGCAGGAGAATCGCTTGAACCCAGGAGGTGGACATTGCAGTGAGCCAAGATTGTACCACTGCACTCCAGCCTGGCAACAGAGTGAGACTCCATCTCAAAAAAAAAAAAAAAAAAAAGATAGATATGCCAGGCGTGGTGGCTCACACTGGTAGTCCCAGCACCTTGGGAGGCTGAGGTGGGAGGATCACTTGAGCCCTGGAGTTTGAGACCACCCTAAGCAACATAGTGAGACCCCATAACTACAGAACATTTTTAAAATAGCTGGGCATGGTGGCACACAACTGTGGTCTTAGCTACTTACGAGGCTGAAATGGGAGGAGTGCTAGGACCTGGGAGGTTGAGGCTGAAGTGAGCAGTGATTATGCTGCTGCACTCCCGCCTGGGCAACAGAGCAAGAACCTGTCTCAAAAAATAAATAAATAAAAGACTGCTGTGTCAGGATTATAGCTAGGATAAGCACTGGCTTTCAGGCCTTAAACAGAACTACTGGGCTGGATGACTAAGCGTTTTAGGTAATGAGTAAGAAATTGTTATATTTTTAATAATAACTGAACGAATCAATTAATTCTTGACGTCATGCTAAAATGAAGGGAAGAACTAAGAGGTTTTTTTAGATGAGGGCTTAGAAACTATGCCCAAGGGGTACCTGCTACTTGTTTTTGTAAATAAGGTTTTATTGGAACATCCATGCCTGTTCACTTATGTATTGTTTATGGCTACTTTGGTGTAACAATGGCAAGGTTGCCCGGGCGTGGTGGCTCACACCTGTAATCTCAGCGCTTTGGGAGGCCGAGGCTGGCGAATCACCTGAGGTCGGGAGTTCAAGACCAGCCTGCCCAACATGGAGAAACCCCCGTCTCAAGGCGAGGTGGGCGAATGACCTGAGGTCAGGAGTTCGAGACCAGCCTGGCCAACATGGAGAAACCCCCATCTCTACTAAAAATACAAAATTAGCCGGGTGTGGTGGCGCACACCTGTAATCCCAACTACTCTCCCAGCTACTCTGGAGGCTGAGGCAGGAGAATCTCTGGCAGGCGAATCGCTTGAATCTGGGAGGCAGAGGTTGCAGTGAGCCAATATCACGCCATTGCACTCCAGCCTGGGCAACAAGAGCGAAACTCTGTCTCAAAAAATAAAAAACAATGGCAAAGTTAAGTAGTTGCAGCAGAGACCAAATGATCTGCAAGCCTAAAGTACTTACTATATGGGCCTTTAAGAAGTTTGCCTACTCCTGTTCTAGAATATTCGTAGAAAATTGTGTTCCCAAGTCAAGTTGCACTGGCATCACTGCAGGAATTTTTTAGGAAAGCAAAATCTCAGGACCACAACCCTGCCCCAGACCTCCTAAATCATTATCTGTAGTTCAAGAAGATGATCAGGTGATTCATATACATGTTAAAATTCAAGACCAGGCATGGTGGCTCACACCTGTTATCCCAGAACTTTGGGAGGCCGAGGTGGGCAGATTGCTTAAGCCCAGGAGTTCAAGACCAGCCTGAGCAACGTGGTGAGATACTCGTCTCTACTAAAAATACAAAAATTACCTGGCAGGTGGCACACGCCTCTTATTCCAGCTACTTGGTGGGGCTGAGGTGAGAGAATCACTTGAGCCTCAGGAGGCAGTGGAGGTTACAGTGAGCCATGATCACACCAGTGCACTTCAGCCTGGGCAACAGAGCAAGACCTTGTCTCAAAAAATAAGTTAAATTTGAGAAGTAGACCGGGCACTGTGGCTCACTCCTGTAATCCCAGCACTTCGGGAGGCCGAGGCAGGTGTATCGCCTGAGCCCAGGAGTTCGAAATCAGCCTGGGCAACATGGCAAAACCCATCTCTACAAGAAATATAAAAATTAGCCAGGCATGGTGGCACGCATCTGTAGTCCCAACTATTCAGAAGGCTATGGTGGGAGGATCACCGGAGCCTGGAGGTTGAGACTGCAGTGAGCCATGATTATGCCACTGCACTCCAGCCTGTCAACAGAGGCCTTGTCTCAAAAAAGAAAAAAAATGTAATTAAAAAAATAAAAATTTGAAAAGTACCATAGACCATACATTAGATATGTAATTAAAGTAATTGGATATTGTTGGTTTTGGTTAACAGACAGACCTTCCAGAACTTGATACACCAGAATCTGCCAGAATAATAGCTTTCATCTCTTGGCTTAGAGAGCAGAGACCATTTTTCCCAATACTTTATGTAATAAGGTAAGTTGAATTTTCCATTTGCTAGTAGTAAAACAATTTGTTTGGCCTTGCCAGGACCTGACAAGAGTATAGCAAAAAAAAAGAAGAAAGAAAAAGAGTTCTTCTCAATAAATAGCAGTAAATCATACCTTATATCCAATGATTGGAAATACAGAACTTTTTTCATTTTTAATTGACTAATAATAAGTGTATATATTTATGGGGTACACTAATTTATTGATACATGTATACATTGTGGAATGATCAAATTCGGCTAATTAACATATTCATCTTCTCAGCCAATTATTGTTTCCTTGTGGTGAGAACATTTAAAATCCATTATTTTGCCTATTTTAAAATATACAATACATCATTATTAACCATAGTCATCATACTGTGTAATAGATCACCAGAATCCATTCATCCTAACTGAAATTTTGTACCCTTTGACTAACATTTCTTCTTTCCTTCTCCATAGCCACTTCCTGCCTCCTAGCCTCTAATAACCATAATTCTACTTTCTACTTATATGAGTTCAACTTTTTTAGGTTCCACACATAAGTAAGATCGTGTGGTGTTTGTCTCTCTGTGCCTGGTTTATTTCACTCAGCATAATGTCACAAATGACAGAATTTCCTGTTTTTTAAAGGCTGAAGTCGCCGGGCGCGGTGGCTCATGCCTGTAATCCCAGCACTTTGAGAGGTCGAGGCGGGCAGATCACCTGAGGTTGGGAGTTCGAGACCAGCCTGACCAACATGGAGAAACCCCGTCTCTACTAAAAATACAAAATTAGCCTGGCATGGTGGCACATGCCTGTAATCCCAGCTACTCGGGAGGCTGAGGCAGGAGAATAGCTTGAACCCAGGAGGTGGAGGTTGTGGTGAGCCAGGATCGTGCCATTGCACTCCAGCCTGGGCAACAAGAGTAAAACTCCATCTCAAAAAAAAAAAAAAGGCTCGGTAGAATTCCATTGTATATATATACCACATTTGAAAAATCCATTCAGTTATTTCCATATCGTGGCTATTGTGATTAATGCTGCAGTGATCATGGAAGTGCAGACATCTCTTTGATATACTGATTTCAATTCCTTTGGATATATATTCAGAAATGGAATTTCTGGATCAACTATTTCTCTTAATTCCACCATAAGCTTTTCCCTTAAACAACTTGAAATTTACATAATCAACCAAGTATTCTCAGAGAAAGCCTCTAGAAGTAACTGTTTATATAGTAAATGTTATTAGGGTTATGAGGAAATCAAAAGCCTTCTGACAAGTCTATTTTACTGCTACATTTTATCTAAATTTTTTTGCCTTTTATTCCTAAGGGATGAGAGTCCAATGAAAGCAAACTTCCTTCAAAACATGATAGAAGACAGAACAGAATCTGCATTATCATATTATGAATTCCTGTTGCATATACAGCAACAAGTGAATAAATGAATGAATGAAGAAATTTGACTTATTTTTAAGGAATGTCACGATAGTGCAGAATACCTGGAAATGTGTAATACCTTCTTTTTCTATTATGTTTGTGGACTAATGTGATGATTGAGATGTTCTCACTGTGATTTCAACAACCTATAGCAAATAAAAGACCACAGCAGAGAATCAAACATGCAACTCTGAAATACTGTATTTTTCAAATCAGAATATAGCTACGTATGATTGGATACTTTTTTCTTGCCAATTATGTTTGAGTTGTTATGGATTAAAATAAGAATATTGCAGAGGCAAAGTACATTTTGTAAAATAAAGATTTCTGTGTTCTACATGTATATTTCTCATTTTTAATTTTTCTGAATCTTTGGCTGCTACATTTAAAACCTCACAAACCTAAGTGTTGCAGGGAAGTTACAAATTGATTGGTAGTGATGTTTTTAAAATAAAAACAATGGAAAGTAAATATAATGTAGGAAAACTAGAATTCATTCCCCACACGTGTCTTTTTTTTTTCTTTGTTAAGGGAAAGGATCATGTTGACTAAAACTAAACTAATTCTAGTATAGCTTGAGAAAAATATGAAGAAACACATTCAAGCTTTAAAATCTGTCAGTATTCTTTATGCTTGAAGAACAAAGTCACTTTGATTTGAAGTGAGAACTATCATTAGGTGGTTTTCTGATTTCCTGATGAAGAGTTGGACATACTGTCTTAATCTATAGTGAAAAGAATTTGAGCTGTCTTCATAAACACTGGGACTAGCAATGATAATAGGGAGATAAGAAACTTTAATTATCTTGATCCTTTAAGTGGATTTTATTTGGTGCATTTCTGCTCTGGGTATATAATAAAAGTGGGGGTTTTTGGTGAAATGAGTGAAGAAATGAAAGGTTTCTAAAGTGCTATCCAAATACATCAGTAACATTTTTCTAAGGAGTTTAATTGTTAAATTGGAAGTCATTCATAAGAAATATTTATGCTTGAATATGAAAATCTATGAAAGCATAAATGCTGCTGTTTGATTTGGTGGATATTAAGATTATACACATCCAACATATTAAAGTTATGAAAGAAACTTGACTTCTGAAAATCCTTAAGAGACTGCTTTCTTGATTCAGCTAGAGAAATATTATAGTCAAAACTATTGAGTGAATTTTGTTTACAAATAGGTAAATTATACATTTGTATATTTAAAGTGCTGTGACATAGTATCTTTAAGAGTTTGGCTCAGTTTTCACAGATTCATTTTGTCTTAAGAATTTCTTAAATATGTTCATGTATAATACTTGATCAAAATATTTTTGGGTTTTTTGTTTTGTTTTAATGGGTTAGAAAATGTTTACAATCTTGGTCTTATATGATCACCAATGGAATAGTAACTTCCAGGTTTATATCAATATGAGCTGACTTTAACTGAGTTGTTTGGGATAGGGAAGAAGCAGTCCCTCTACAGTATACAACTACTGCTTGCCAGCTGGATCAAAATAATCATGTTTTATGAAAATATCTCCCTTAAGCAGTGTTAAGGTTGGTTTGCAGTGTGTAAGTGGCACATTGAACTGGAAGTTTTCTTGAAAGCTGCTTCATCTATTAAGAAGCAATTTTCAAATTGTAGCGAATTATATTATCCCCTCTTTTAAAGAAACAGTCGTTATATGCTGATGTTTCTTAAAATAACTAAAATGTTCCTCTTAATGTGATTTTAAATGGAGTTATTTGTAGGTCCTTTCTTAGTAGTAAAGAATCTTCTAGAGGGAAACATTTGTGCTTTTAGGGATAATCTTCCTTGTGCCTCACTACATCCCTAAGTGGGTATGACTCTTGTTATTACCACATGCTTTTTTAGTATATTTCACAAATTTACTTTTAAATATTATTTTAGATACGGTGTAACATGTGCAATTCAGAATAATTTTATAACAGGTCATGAAAAACATAACTTTAGTTAGGATTCACAATATTTGTTCTCCACATAATGAGAGAATGAATGAGCCTTTGGAGATACTGATATAAGGCAATTATTTTTTGCAATGTTGAATGTGTTTTTTAGTTTGATTCTTTTTTTTTCCCCCAATAGGGCACTACCTGCCATATCATCTTGTATTACTTTTTGATGTAAAGCGACTAATATTTACACTATGCCATATTTTTTTTAATTATAGTTGTAAATTATGAAAGATCCTTGAATTTTCTACAGATCTACAACTACTAATGTAACAGACAAGGGCAATCTTGGTATTTAAATCTGAGCATGGCAGTTCTACCATAAAAAGTACTCTATTTTTCTAATTTCTAGGATTTTTAAAATAACATTTCTGTAAGTCTGACATACTAATAGTCACTCAAGCAGTACCATTTATTTTAGTTTGCATATATTTTCACTGTTTTTAATTTAATGTATTGAGTCTAATAGACTGTTTTGCAATAATTAGAATAAAGATTTATTTCTTCTAATCAAAGATGCATAACAGCTATTATCTAGGGGACCACCAAATGTGATTTCAAAATTTTGTTAACTATTACAAATGTAATCCTTATATAGAAATTTTAATTTTGTAAAGTAGTGTATAATATTGTAATATTAAATTCTTGTTCTTAAATTCAAATATGTATTGATCTTCAATGTGCTGTGTTAAATCTTGCTTCTCTGAAAAGTTGGAGACAAGATTTGTCTTCCTTTTTACAGTTTGTAATTTTCACTGTTTTATTCCTGTTAAAAAAAAAAAAAAGTCATTTGTAACCCATGCAGACCATTGTTTGATCTATGCTAACTTATCAACTTGGCTATTCAATAAAGTTAATTGAAAAGAGCTTATATATAGTGACTAGTTATTTAAAGTGATATGAGCCTGGTATGGTGGCCCACACCTGTAATCCCAGCAGTTTGGGAGGCCCAGGTGTAAGGATCACTTGAGGCCTGGAGTTGAAGACCTGTCTGGGCCAGGTGGCGAAAACTTGTCTCTACAAAATAGTTTTTAAAAGTAGGCTGGGCGTGGTGGCTCACGCCTGTAATCCTAGCACTTTGGGAGGCCAAGGCAGGTGGATCACCTGAGGTCAGGAGTTCGAGACCAGCCTGGCCAATATGGTGAAACCCCATTTCTACTAAAAGTACAAAAACTTAGCCAGGCATGGTGGCGCATGCCTGTAATCCCAGCTACTTGGGAGGCTGAGGCAGGAGAATCGCTTGAACCCTGGCCGAGGTTGCAGTGATCCCAGATCGTGCCATTGCACTCCAGCTTGGGGAACAAGAGCAAAACTCCATCTAAAAAAAAAAAAAAAAGTCCAGGTGTGGTGGCTCATGCCTGTAATCCCAAAACTTTGGGAGGCCGAGGCGGGCAGATCACCTGAGGTCAGGAGTTTGAGACCACCCTGGCCAATATGGTGAAACTCCGTTTCTACTAAAAATACAAAAATTAGCTGGGCATGGTGGCAGGTGCCTGTAATCCCAGCTACTTGGGAAGCTGAGGCATGAGATTTGCTTGAACTCGAGAGGCGGAGGTTGCAGGGAGCTGAGATCGCGCCACTGTATTCCGGCCTGGGCAACAGAGCGAGACTCCATCTCAAAAAAAAAAAAAGTGTAATCCCAGTAGAAAAAAGTGCTGTAATCCCAGCACTTTGGGAGGCCGAGATGGGAGGATCACAAGGTCAGGAGTTTGAGACCAGCCTGGCCGACATAGTGAAACCCCATCTCTACTAAAAATACAAAAAATTAGCTGGGCGTGGTGATGGGCACCTGTAATCCCAGCTACTTGGGAGGCTGAGGCAGGAGAATCGTTTGAACCTGGGAAGCAGAGGTTGCAGTGAGCCGAGATCGCGCCACTGTACTCCAGCCTGGGTGACAGTGTGAGACTCAGTCACAAAAAAAAAAAAAAAAAAAGGTGGCGGGGCATGGTGACTCACGCTTGTAGTCCCAGCTACTCAGGAGGCTGAGGCAGGGGGATCCCTTAACCCTAGGAGTGTGAAGCTGCAATGAACCATGATTGTGCCACTGCATTCCACCCAGGGCAAGAAAGCAAGACCCTGTCTCTTTAAGTAAAAAGTGACACGAACAACTTGCCAATTACTAAGTAGTGCTATGTTGTGCATCCAAATTATGTCAGTGAAAAAATTATTGCTGAAGATGCTTTAAATAGCCTATGTAGATGTCTGGGAGGTCATAAACTGAATTCTTGATGCTTGCTTCTCAAGGATAGCTGGGTTTGAAATTCTATATCAAAGGTTATTTTTCCATTGATAATGTTAAGATATTACTCCATTGTTTTCTGTACCCTTGTGTCATAAAAAGATAACTGGCCAGGCGCGGTGGCTCATGCCTGTAATCCCAGCACTTTGGGAAGCTGAGGCAGGTGGATCACCTGAGGTTGGGAGTTCAAGACCAGCCTGACCAACATGGAGAAACCCCATCTCTACTAAAAATACAAAATAAGCCGGGCGTGGTGGCGCATGCCTGTAATTTTTGTATTTTTAATAGAGACAGAGTTTCACCATGTTGACGAGGCTGGTCTCGAGCTCCTAGCCTCAAGTGATCCACCTGTCTTGGCTTTTATCCTTAATGTACTATAGTTTTATTACTGTTGGTTTGTTGTTGTTGTTGTTGTTTATTTTTTTGAGACAGAGTTTCACTCTTGTTGCCCAGGCTGGAGTGCAATGGCATGATCTCGGCTCACTGCAACCTCCACCTCCCGGGTTCAAGCAATTCTCCTGCCTCAGCCTCCCAAGTAGCTGGGATTACAGGCATGCAGCACCACACCTGGCTAATTTTGTATTTTTAGTAGAGACGGGGTTTCTCTATGTTGGTCAGGCTGGTCTCGAACTCCCGACCTCAGGTTATCCGCCCGCCTCGGCCTCCCAAAATGCTGGGATTACAGGCATAAGCCACCGCACCCAGCCTGTTGTTTATTTTTTTATCCTGCTTGTTATTCAGAGCACACTTTAAAGATTCTTGTCTACAATTCTGAAAAACTCCCAGCCATTTCCTTTTCAAATATTTGAAAACTGTTCTATAAAATTAATTCTTTCTGGAATAAATTTCTATTCCAACTTTTAACTCGGCTGGAAGAATTTAAGTGTTGTATTTCTTCATGTTCGTTGGAATATGGGTTTTCAGGCATATTTGAGGGGAAGTATTTTTATTTTTGTTTTAGTTCTTCTCTCTTTGTTTATGCCTACCTCTTATCTAAGGGTTTTATAATTGCCTTTTCCTGACCCCTTTTCCAGAACTAGGGCTCTTAGTGGTGCTTCTGGGCTCCTATTCTGTAATGATTTGGGGATATCATCATTGCAGTCACCTATAGTGGGAAGTGTAATTGTTGCCCTCCCTTCTGCCTTCTTTCTTTTAAAGCGGAAATCCAAGGCTGTGTAGGTCAATAGCGAGTTATGATTTGAACATTTTGGAGTGAGGACAGGCTTTAAACAGTTTGGTCTGGTCTTCCTTGTCTCATATAGAGCATGAATAATGCCTGTCACCCCATAAAATGTTCTCTTTCTCCTGCTTCTGGACCTGCAGCCCACCAGGCATCTGATTTCAACTCTACACTTCCTTGTGTTTCTGACTCTTTGATCTGCTGAGATGTTCCTCTCATGGTTTTGAATCAAGCAAGCTATCTTTTGTCTCCTTTTTTATTTTTAACTGTGTGTAGTAGAGGAATCCAAGCATCAACTTACTGCCATAATTGTAACCCCAAAAACTGGATTCTAATTTTATCACTTAATTATTGCTATTCAATCTGTTCAGCTTTGTATCTACAGTTTATTTTAAAAATTACTAATATTAGCCTACCTAAAAAAATACTAGGATCAAATACAAATCATATAAAAAAGTCACTGAAAATGCCAAGTTTTGACACTTGCTCTAAGAGAAAAATTTCTGCAAATATTCTGGTAAATTTAGTCTAGTACTAAAGTCTGGTACTCAGTGCTAGACTTGGGGCAAAGTGGTACTTTTTTTAAAAAAGGGAAGGGCCTGGCCGGGTGTGGTGGCTCATGCCTGTAATCTCAGCACTTTGGGAGACCGAGGCTGGCGCATCACAAGGTCAGGAGTTCAAGACCAGCCTGGCCAACATGGTTAAACCCCGTCTCTACTAAAGATACAAAAAATTAGCTGGGCATGGTGGCATGTGCCTGTAATTCCAGCTACTCGGGAGGCTGAGGCAGGAGAATCGCTTGAACCTGGGAGGTGGAGGTTGCAGTGAGCTAAGATAGTGCCATTGCACTCTAGCAGGGTGACAGGGCAAGACTCCGTCTCAAAAAAAAAAAAAAAAAAAAAAGGAAGGGCCTGCCCTTGTAAAGTCTATAGTGAGGGAGATAGAAATTAGTATGAATGTATGCACATCATTTATCAAAGAATCACATACCACTGAGATGTGCTAGGAAGGATAACTGAAACTACAGAAACCCCACCAGGAAAAGGTTCCCCAGACATTGGTAAGCACATAACATGAAATCTTGACACTTTAACTCTCACCTGACTTAAATGAGCCATCATATTTCAAAACATCTATCTAAAGAACTGAAACTTTCATCTGGCTTTTATAGGCTATCTCAAATGAAAAAATCTTTTGTTTACCCTGGGATTATATTTAGCCAACTTTGTTATTAAAGGAGAAGAGGGAAGAGACACGTTGTTACTTGTATGTTTAAGAGGTTAGACGCTTTTCTAGGTAGATACCCACAACCCTAAGTTATGTTTGTTTCCTTTAGACATTGACTACGACAAAAGGAGATTGGACCTCTCTGAATATGAGTTTCTTTCTTATAATTTAACCTTTCTTTTTTAGATGTTCACTAATTACATTCTAAATAGGTCTTCACAATTGCTTTATGAATGCCAATTTGAGGGTTTACAACCTAGAGATTATCAAAAAACACTACTATTTTAGATAACTGGTGAGACACTGAGATGGTAGAGGATTGTTTCCTGGGAATTTATTTCCACCTGAAAATTTAACACTCTTACACTCTTAACTAGCTTAGTAGCTGATATATATTAGGCATTCAAATAATTGATGAATGAATGAACAAGCTCAGACATAACTTAGTGAAACTAGAAAGTCCATCCACAATCATAAAAGGTGTCTTTTTATGTTCCCTATTCCCTTCCACTCTTTGTTCAATGCATTTGAATTTTGTATTCTCTCATAAATCATAGTTAAGATTCAATTTTGCATTATACATTATACATACTACTTTAGCATTGCTAGTGTTTGCATAATAGCATATTATTAGCTATTTAATCAATATTTATTATTTTTCTCTCAATATTGGAAATATGAATTAATTCCAAGTTTTCACAGTTATTCATTGAGCATCTACATGTTCATTTTTTTTTTCTTTTTTTTTAGACAAGGTCTCACTGTCACACAGTAAGTGCATTGACAGGATCATAACTCGCTGCAGCCTTGACCTGCTGGGCTCAAAGGATTCTCCCACCTCAGCCTCCCAAGTGACTGGGATTACAGGCTATTTTTATTTATTTTTATTTTTTGTAGTTTTCGTAGAGATGGGGTTTCACCATGTTGCCCAGGCTGGTCTCGAGTGTCTGGGCTCAAGTGATCCTCCAGCCTCGGCCTATCAAAGTGCTGGGATTACAGGTGTGAGCCACCATGCCCAGCCAGTTTTTTGTTTTGTTTTTGTTTTTTCCTTTTTGTGAATATTTTACCTATGTTAAGTTTTAAGTGATTACTATTATAAATCAAGAGACTTTTTTTAGTTCCTACCACATATTATGAGAATGCTAATTTATCATCAGCATGTTATGATTTGGAGCATGGGTTTGTCCTCATGAACGGGGACTATTTCTTTATATTGGTTGGCAGGATTAATCAGTGTGTCATAATTATCACTTCCTCAAATCGTGCTTCTCCGTGGTGACATCCAACTGCAGTATCATTTAAAAGGATAAGATTCTTAGCAATTCAGCCAGGGTTATGGCAAGGTCAGCACAAACCAATTGGTCTGTGTTGGAAGCTTTCTCCCTGAATTCTTCCTTCAAGTATTAGGGGTTTTGAGTCAGGATAATACTCATGTGCAATGATTTGGCAAAAGAGATGAGGCATGAAAATAATTCACTTTATAGGAGTGCTGAAAACAGCAGGTACAGGAGGGCTTCACAAGCCTGGAGAGGCCAAGCGTGGTAGCTCATGCCTGTAATCCCAGCACTTTGGGAGTCTGAGGCAGGAGGATTGCTTGAGCTCAGAAGTTCAAGAACAGCCTGGGCAACATGGCAAGACCCTGTCTTTAAAAATAAAAAATAGGCCAGGTGCAGTGGCTCACACCTGTAATCCCAGCACTTTGGGAGGCCGAGGCGGGTGGATCACAAGGTCAGGAGATTGAGACAATCCTGGCTAACACAATGAAACCCCATCTCTATTAGAAACGCAAAAAATTAGCCAAGCATGCTGGCACATGCCTGTAGTCCCAGCTACTTGGGAGGCTGAGGCAGGAAAATCACTTGAACCCGGGAGGTGGAGGTTGCAGTGAGCCGAGATCGCACCACTGCCCTCCAGCCTGGGTGATAGAGCAAGAGACTTTGTCTCTAAATAAATAAATAAATAAAAAATAGCCAGCTGTGGTGGCATGTACCTGTGGTCTCAGCTACTTGGGAGGCTAGGTGAGAGGATCAGTTGAGCCTGGGAAGTCAAGGCTGCAGTGAGCCCCGTTGGAGCCACTGCACTCCAGCCTGGGCAACAGAGGGAGACTCTGTCTCAAAGAATAAAAAAAAGCATGGGGACTGCCTGAGCAAGGGAGGCCAGAAACCTTAAATTGCCACTCTCCTAGAGTAGCAGAAATCCTCATCAGTGTCACCCTGGGGTAACATCGGAGAGTAACATTATCCAAGGAGCCAAATGATTTTGTCCCAAACCACGGCAACATCCACACATTTATATTAACTTTTTTTTTTTTTTTTGCGACGTAGTCTCCCTCTGTCACCCTGGCTGGAGTGCAATGGCATGATCTTGGCTCACTGCCACCTCCACCTCCTGAGTTCAAGCGATTCTCGTGCCTCAGTCTCCCAAGTAGCTGGGACTACAGGCGTGTGCCACCATGCCCGGCCTGTTTTGCAGTGTTTATAACATACTAAAAGTTAATATAGGCCCGGCGCGGTGGCTCACGCCTGTAATCTCAGCACTTTGGGAGGCCGAGGCAGGTGGATCACCTGAGGTCAGGAGTTGGAGACCAGCCTGGCCAACATGCGGAAACCCCATTTCTACTAAAATTACAAAAATTAGCTGGGCATGGTGGTGCGCGCCTGTAATCCCAGCTACTCAGGAGGCTGAGGCAGGAGAATAGCTTGAACCCAGGAGGTGGAGGTTGCACTGAGCCGAGAGATGGCACCACTGCACTCTAGCCTTGGCGACAGAGTAAATAAATAAATAAATACTGTAAAACAAAATATTCAGTACCATCTAAAATTACATTTATTTCATGAGGTTCATTACTTGGCTTTCAGTTTGTTATACTAAGCTCCATTCTCATTAAGGAGAGGACTATTGACATGTCTCCTATTGAAACTGTTAATTCACTCTGTTTCTTTTAAACTTTGAGTGTTTAAGGGTGTTTAACAACTATACTTGAGAAAATTATTGAAATAAAATTTCTGGCTGGGTCCAGGGGCTCACACCTGTAATCCCAGCACTTTGGGAGGCTGAGAAGATTGGATTGTTTGAGCCCAGGAATTTAAGACCAGCAACATAGAGACCCCATCTCTACAAAAAATTTTTTTTAAAAAATTATCTGGGCTCGGCCGGGGACGGTGGCTCATGCCTGTAATCCCAGCACTTTGGGAGGCCAAGGCGGGCGGATCACGAGGTCAGGAGATCGAGACCATCCTGGCTAACACGGTGAAACCCCGTCTCTACTAAAAATACAAAAAAAATTAGCCGGGTGTGGTGGCCGGCGCCTGTAGTCTCAGCTACTTGGGAGGCTGAGGCAGGAGAATGGTTTGAACCCAGGAGGCGGAGCTTGCAGTGAGCCAAGATTGCGCCACTGCACTCCAGCCTGGGCGACAGAGCAAGACTCCATCTCAAAAAAAAAAAAAATTATCTGGGCTCAATCCTGTAGCCTTAGCTACTCAGGAGGCAGAAGCAGGAGGATTGCTTGAGCCCAGGAGTTCAAGGCTGTAGGCTGCAGTGAGCTATGATTGTGCCCCTGCACTCCAGCCTAGGCCATAGAGTAAGACCCTGTGTTTATAAAAATAAAAATTTGACTCATTATGGAATTTAGAGGAAGTAATTTGCTAATTTCTGAAAATTGTTCTTGAATTTCTTTTAAGCAGTTTCATCAATTCATTCTTTTACTCTTTTTCTTTTGAGACAAGGTCTAGCTCTATCACCCAGGTGGTTGTGGAGTGATGCAATCATGGCTCATTGCAGCAAACTTCCTGCCTCGTTTTAAATTTTTTTAAATTTTTTGATTTTTTTTTTTTTCTAGAGACGAGGTCTCACTATGTTACCCAGGCTGGTCTTGAACTCCTAAGCTTAAGCAGTCCTCCCACCTTGGCCTCCCAAAGCGTTGGGATTACAGGTGTGAGCCACTGCGCCTGGACTCTTTTTTTTTGTTTTTCTGAGACAGAGTTTCACTCTGTCGCCCAGGCTAGAGTGCAGTGGTGCAATCTCAGCTCACTGCAACCTCTGCCTCCTGGGTTTGAGTGATTCTCCTGCCTCACCCTCCCGAGTAGCTGGGATTACAGGTGTGTGCCACCATGCCTGGCTAATTTTTGTATTTTTAGTGGAGATGGGTTTCATCATGTTGGCCAGGTTGGTTTCGAACACCTGACCTCAAGTGATCCACCCACCTCAGCCTCCCAAAGTGCTGGGATTAAAGGTGTGAGCCACCGCACCTGGCCTCCCGATCTCTTTTCTTTGTTTTTAAATAGAGAAGGGGGTCTCACTATGTTGCCCAGGTCAGTCTTGAGCTCCTTGCCACAAGTGATCCTCCTGCCTGGACCTCCCACATGCCAGCCCAGACATTTTTTATAATTCTGTTCAAGTTCAGTTATACGGCTTCCTCAGTTTCAAGGAGGAATGAAATATTACTTGGAAATAATTTGCTTGATGCTTATATCATTGAATATAACACTATAATTCTAATTTAGCTCCTCAAACCCTTTCTGGAACCGTCTTGATTGATCAGGGCTGTGCCTCATCAAATTCTGCACATTTGTTACTATTTGACAGTTATTTCCATTATTTTCAGTTGTGTGTAAAATTGTTTTAAGGAAGTCTAGGGCTCAGAGATCTATGTCTGTGCAGATATGCAGAAGAACTTCCTCTAATACTTTAAAATTATTAACTAGTGGATGTCCCTGGGATTTAACTTTCATCCAATCAAGGGTGAAAGTTCAGTCTGTATATTCTTTGAGCTCCTTATGTTGTTGAATCCAAACCGAAGTTTCTTTTGTTTTCACTTCTTTTTCAGTATTAATATAAATATAGTATTTTATTATCTTCTAAGTGGTATTTCACCCACTTCCTTATTTTGAGGGTGATTGTGTGGCAGGCTTAGTTGCAGGGGGCCCACCCAGTAAGCTGCTTCAAAACCCTCCTCAGCCTCAGGTGTGAACTGGCCATGCTCCCTGTTAGCAAGGGTTGATGGATTCAATTCCTTCATTCATCTAATCATTCACTTAGTAAGTCATTACTGAATGCCAAGGCTGCATTATGACTTTCAAGGGCCCTAAGCTCTTTTGCCTTTGTGGCTCCTTCCTGCCTGAAAACATACTTAAAATTATATTTTATGACTGTATTGCTATTAATGATGACTATAATCCAGACTGGATCCATTACAATATAGCAAATATATTATTTTTTTCTGAAAAAACTTTTTTGAGATGGGGTCTCACTGTGTCACCCAGTCTGGAGTGCAGTGGCCCGATCATTGCTCACTGCAGCTTCAACCTCCCCAGGATCAGGTGATCCTCCCACCTTAGCCTCCCAAGTAGCTGGGACCACAGGCACACGCCACCAAGCCCGACTAATTTTTGTATTTTTAGTACAGTCAGGGTTTTGCCACGTTGGCCAGACTGGTCTCGAATTCCTGGCCTCAAGTGATCCACCCATCTCAGCCCTCACAAAGTGCTGGAATTACAGGCATGAGCCACCGCGCCCAGTCATTTGTTCTGATTTTATTTTATTTATTTCTTTTATATATGTATTTTTGAGACGGAGTCTCCCTCTGTCGCCCAGGCTGGAGTGCAGTGGCATGATCTCGGCTCACTGCAATTTCTGCCTCCCAGGTTCAAGCGATTCTCCTGCCTCAGCCTCCCAAGTAGCTGGGATTACAGGTGCATGCCACCAGGTCAGGCTAATTTTTGTATTTTTAGTAGAGACGGGGTTTTGCCATATTGGCCAGGCTGGTCTCGAACTCCTGACCTCAGGTGATCCGCCTGCCTCGGCCTCCCAAAGTTAGGATTACAGACGTGAGCCACCGCTCCCGGCCTTTTTGTTTTTTTCTTTTCTTTTCCTTTTTTTTTTTTGAGACGGAGTCTCGTTCTGTCGCCCAGGCTGGAGCATCTTTAGCATGCGAGGTGGTCATGAACGACAAGGAGAAAAAACAAGGTGAAGGGGAATGGGGAGTGTTGGCAATTTAGATAGAATGTGCACGAAAGGTTTCAATGGGAAATTCTAATTTGAATAAAAACGCACAAAACGCGAGGAAAGCCTAGGAACACATCAGCCGTATACTTTGCCGTAGAGAAGTTAAGGATGAGGAACAGGCACCAAGAACAAATCCCAGCGTAAGGCTCCCTTTAAGTGCGGCTCCCAGGGTTACGTATTCCCATTGCCTACAGGCGAGGCCGCGGGTCTGTAAACAAGCGACTGCCGCTGCAACCTCCATTTTGCTTCCTGGCACCAAATCTAGGCTGACCTACTTACTGCCATCCCTTTCCCACTCCCGGTTTTCTTTTCTTTCTTTTTTTTTTTCTCGAGACAGAGTCTCGCTCTGTAGCCCAGGCTGGAGAACAGTGGCGCGATCTCGGCTCACTGCAACCTCCGCCTCCTGGGTCCAAGAGATTCTCCTGCCTCAGCCTCCCGAGTAGCTGGGATTACAGGCGCGCGCCACCCCGCCCGGCTAAGTTTTTGTATTTTTAGTAGAGACGGGTGGGGGGAGGGGGGAGGGGGTCACCATGTTGGCCAGGCTACTCTCGAAATCGTGACCTCGTGATCCGCCCGCCTCGGCCTTCCAAAGTGCTAGGATTACAGGCGTGAGCCACCACTCCCGGCCCTGGGTGCTGGTTTTCTTCACCTCCGAGTGAACAGCAGAGGGGGCTGTTGGGTGAGGGCCAGAAGAGTTGGGGAGGCACGAGGGCGTCCAGCGCTGCCCTCACTCAAGATGGCGGCCAGAGCCTCGCGCTTGGTCGCGTGGGGCGGTGCGTGAGTGCTTAGCTCACAGGCTCCGGGACCGCGCTCGGGGGCGGGTCTATAGTGGGAAGGGGACGCGCGCCCTGCGGCCCGGCCTCTAGTCATCGCCCTCGCAGCGGCGGCCAACATCACCGCCACTGCCACCCCTCCCAGACTGTGGACGGGAGGATGGAGTCGATGGCCGTCGCTACCGACGGCGGGGAGAGGCCGGGGGTCCCAGCGGGCTCAGGTCTGTCGGCTTCCCAGCGTCGGGCGGAGCTGCGTCGGAGAAAGCTGCTCATGAACTCGGAACAGCGCATCAACCGGATCATGGGCTTTCACAGGCCCGGGAGCGGCGCGGGTAAGAGCCTCGATTTCCCCTCAGTCTCCCGCCCATCACCTTGAATCTTCAGGGTCATTCTTCCCTCTCCCACCTCCACTCCTCTGACCTTTTTGACCAAGCCTTGCTCTTTGATTTCCTCTCTGTCCCGCCCCTTCGGTGATATCCCAAGTTCTCATCCCTGAACCCCAGGATGTTCCTAGTCGCTCCCCTCAATTTTCCCGGGGCCTCGCCGTGAGATTTTCCCCACCCTGCCTGCAGAGCTCTCACTCCCTCTTCCCAGTTACGTTGAACAGCCCCTTTTTTCCTTAGCCACTCCTCGCCTTTCTTGAAGGGCGCACGTTGTATCCCCAGACTGTCATGTCTACTGCTCCCCTTAGGAAGATGGCTTTCCTTCTTAAGGTTCCAAGTGCTTTTCCTTACAGTGCCTTCTCTAGCGTCTACCTTCTTTTGCCTTTTGCTGTGTAACTCCTGTCCGCCCACATCAGCCTGTCTTTACTGAACTGCCCGCTAGTTCATCCTACGTGTATCAGGGACTCTTGTGCTCATATCCTAGTGTTTGTGTTCAGTGCCGTCAACACTGTCACCTACGGGCCGGCTAGAAAAGGTGGGAAAAGTGAGAGTGAGCATTCTTCAGAGACCCAGCAAGTGCGAAGTGCACACCTGAGAGTTTCCTCTCCTCATGAGGGGATATTGTTGTGATTGATGTCTGGAGCTGCATTTCTAAGGAGAGCGCCTCCTTCCTCCCCCAAACACATGTCCAATGATTTTCTTTAAAAAAAATTTATTTCACGTGAGTATAATTGAGCAATTAGCGCGCCCTAGTGTTATCTAAGTTTCCAGTGTTTCCTTTAGTAATTGGCCTTTAGTCACTGGTCGCAAGCTCCTTATATCTTTGTGACTTTTGTTCTGTAAGGCTTTAGGTGTATAGCTCTGAACTTTTAGGCAGTTCAAATGAGAGGTAAGAAAACCATTTCAAATTCTTCTAGAACAATAGAAGAAACATTTTTCTATCGGGCTATTTATTCTTAAAGCATTATTTATGATCTTACCTGAGGTACTTTCTATATTTTGTTCTTTTGCTTTGAAAATTTTATGTCTTTAAAGGTTGTTTTATTTTTTGAGACAGGGTCTCCCTCTGTAGGCCAGGCTGGAGTGCAGTGGCATGATCATAGCTTACTGCAGCCTCAAACTCCTGGGCTTAAGCAATCCTGCTACCTCAGCCTCCGGAGTAGCTAGGACCACAGGTGTACACCACCATGCCTGGCTAATTTAAAAAAAAATTGTGTGTGTGGAGATGGGGGGGTCTCACTATGTTTCCTAAGCTGGTCTGGAACTTCTGGGCTCAAGTGATCCACCAGCCTTGGCTTCCAAAAGTGCTGGGCTTACAGGATTACAGGTGTGAGCCATTGTGCCTGGCCTTTTTTTTAAAACAAAAACAAAAACAAAACCCCAGAGTAGTGTCTTAAAACTGCTGAAGTGCCTACTAATGGCTGCCTGACTACATAAACAGTAGCTTTGGGATATGCCACACCCTATGCTCATAGGGCACTGGATTCAGAAATCTAATTTTAAAATATAGATTTTAAAAGGCTTTACTGATTTTATATTTTTAACCAAATAAGCTAAGGCAGGCAATGCAATCATACATCTGGGATATATTATCCATAAAAAGTTGGTCTTTTCAGCTTGCTCCATCTCTGAATATCTTTCCCAGTTTGTCTACTAATCTTATCTCCTACCCACAAAGTTTGGGTTATTTCCTCTGCAGAATATTCATTTTGGGTGATACATTTTGAGGGTGTAGAGGAAGAATCCAGCTTTTTTCTTTTTTTTGTTTTGAGATGGAGTCTCACTCTGTCGCCAGGCAGATGCAGATGGAGTGTAGTGGCGCAGTGTCTGCAACCTCCTCCCCCCGGGTTTCAAGTGATTCTCCTGCCTCAGCCAGAGTAGCTGGGACTATAGGCAGCTGGGACTACAGACACACGCCACCACACCCAGCTAATTTTTGTATTTTTAGTAGAGACGGGGTTTCACCATGTTGGCTAGGATGGTCTCAATCTCTTGACCTCATGATCCGCCCGCCTCAGCCTCCCAAAGTGTTGGGATTACAGGCGTGAGCCACGGCACCTGGCCGAAACCAGCTTTTCTTTAATGCAGAATCGGTATTTATTTATTTTGATGCAGAGGCTGCTGAGTTCTAGCTGCAACAGCATATTTTAAAACATAAACATGTAAGGTGTTTGCCAGTATGGAATAAATACATAAGGCTTTTACATTTCTTTTCTCAGAAGAAGAAAGTCAAACAAAATCAAAGCAGCAGGACAGTGATAAACTGAACTCCCTCAGCGTTCCTTCCGTTTCAAAGCGAGTAGTGCTGGGTGATTCAGTCAGTACAGGAACAACTGACCAGCAGGGTGGTGTGGCCGAGGTAAAGGGGACCCAACTGGGAGACAAATTGGACTCGTTCATTAAACCACCTGAGTGCAGTAGTGATGTCAACCTTGAGCTCCGGCAGCGGAACAGAGGGGACCTGACAGCGGACTCGGTCCAGAGGGGTTCCCGCCATGGCCTAGAGCAGTACCTTTCCAGATTCGAAGAAGCAATGAAGCTAAGGAAACAGCTGATTAGTGAAAAACCCAGTCAAGAGGATGGAAATACAACAGAAGAATTTGACTCTTTTCGAATATTTAGATTGGTGGGATGTGCTCTTCTTGCTCTTGGAGTCAGAGCTTTTGTTTGCAAATACTTGGTAAGAAAAGATCTGTAAATTATTAACTAACTTAATGGAAAATGCAAAATGTTAATAATTATGAGTGCTTTTGATCATAGAAGTCATTGCCAGTATTAATATCTACCAGATCCATGTGGCTGTTTGAAGATATATTATTAACTTTGCTATTCATCTCATAGAATGAAGTGTTCTGGTTAAATACAGAGCCTAATAATTACTGTTGGCCCTCCATATCAGTTGGTTCTGCACCCTATGTGGATTCAACCAATTGTGGATTGAAAATATTTGGATTTAGCCGGGCGTGGTGGTGCACGCCTGTAATCCCAGTTACTTGGGAGGCTGAGGCAGGAGAATCGCTTGAACCCGGGAGGTGGAGGTTGCAGTGAGCCAGGATAACGGCACTGCACTCCAGCCTGGGTGACAGAGTGAGACCCCGTCTCAAAAATATATGTATGTGTATATATTTGGGGGAAAAATAACAATACAACAATAACAAATAGTAAATAATACAAATAAAAACAGTATAACAACTATTTACATTGCATTAGGCATAAAAAATCTAGAAATGATTTAAAGTATATGGGAGGAAGTGAGTAGGTTATATTTACTGTGCCGTTTTACATAAGGGACTTGAGCATCTATGGATTTTGGTATCAGGAGGAACCTGGTACCAGTCCTCTGCTGATACTGAGGGATGACTGTACTAAAACCCATTTTTCATTCTACGGACCTTTCTCATTGTTTTGCATACATTAATTCATCTAATCCTCATTCTTATGAACTTGGTATTATGTGAATCCATTGGGAAATGAAGACTCAGAGAGGTTAAACCATTTGCCCAAGGTCACACAGCTACTAAGCGGTGCTAGGATTAAACCCTGGCAGTTTCAGTCCTTAACCAAAGGGTTAAGTGCTTTACATATATATACTGTATATTATCAATTTTCAAATAATTTGAAATAGTAAAATGCAGTTCCTCTGGTCCTGAATATGAGGTAATCTTCCTATGGTTCAGAAGACATTTCAGCATTTCCTAATATATCATAATGAGTCCATTTTGGTTGTACCATGATGTAGTCATTTTGTTTTATAGTATATTAAAGAATGCAGAAAAGCATAGCTCATAGTTCAGTGTCTTGCTCTGAGGTTTTTCCATTCAGTAGACATTTTAAGTATATGTACCAGGCACATAAATATCCAGATAATTAAAGTTTATATCATTAAGCAAAACAGTTTTTGTAAATCTTTTTTTTTTTGAGGTGGAGTTTCTTTCGCCAGGCTGGAGTGCAGTGATGTGATCTTGGCTCACTGCAACCTCCACCTCCTGGGTTCAAGCGATTCTCCTGCCTTAGCCTCCCGAGTAGCTGGGACTACAGGCATGTGCCAACACGCACGGCTAATTTTTTGTATTTTTAGTAGAGATGGGGTTTCACCGTGTTAGCCAGGATGGTCTCCATCTCCTGACCTCATGATCCACCCAACTCTGCCTCCCAAAGTGCTGGGATTACAGGCATGAGCCGCCGCACCCAGCCAAGCATTTAGTTTTGTTGTTGTTGTTGTTTTAGAGATAGGATCTTGCTATGGTGTCCAGGCTGGACTAGAACTTCTGGGCTCAAGCAGTCCTCCTGCCTCAGCCTTCTGCATAGCTGGAAGAATGCCACGTATTTTGAGTGCTGGGCCTTTTCTGTATGCTTCCTGGATATCAATTAATTCCCTCTGGGTGACCGAGATGTTACCGCATCTGTGTTACTGTGTTAAACATCTGTCACCATTTAATACTTTAAATAATTTAAAAGATAAGTTTTTATGAGAGAAGACAGTTTTGGGGACGCTAAAAGAATATGAAAGAATTGTATGACTTGAGAAACATATTTTATGTTAGGAAATCAAATATTTTATTTTCTTCACCCTTCTGCAGAAAAAAGATTACTTTTAACCATTAAAATTACTATTTTATGGGAGGCTGAGGCAGGAGAATTGCTTGGACTGGGGAGGCAGGGGTTGCAGTGAGCTGAGATTGAGCCACTGCACTCCAGCCTGGGTGACAGAGCGAGACTCCATCTTAAAAAAAAAAAGCAATTGCCAGGCGCGGTGTCTCATACCTGTAATCCCAGCATGTTGGGAGGCCGAGGTGGGTGGATCACGAGGTCAGGAGTTCTAGACCATACTGGCCAACATGGTGAAACCCTGTCTCTACTAAAAATACAAAAATTAGCCAGGTGTGGTGGCGGGCGCCTGTAATCCCATCTACTCAGAAGGCTGAGGCACGAGCATCGCTTGAATCTGGGAGGTGGATGTTGCCATGAACCAAGATCGTGCCACTGCACTCAGCCTGGGTGACAGAGGAAGACTCCGTCTCAAAAAATAATAATAACAACATTTTCTTACAGCTTTTGCTTGGAATTTTCTAGCTGCTGTTTGATTTATTGTGATTTGAATGATTATGTTGGAAATATTTAATTTTATCTTCTATCTTCACAGTCCATATTTGCTCCATTTCTTACTTTACAACTTGCGTACATGGGATTATACAAATATTTTCCCAAGGTAAATTAATTTTTTTTCTAAATTTCGATGATGTGTTTGGATTGATTTATGACTAGCTAATTGAAGGAACTTAAAAATGTTAGTCCTGCTTACGGTCTGAATCAGTGCTACTCAAAGTGTGGTTTGCCCACTTATCTCCAAACTATGTGTTTGTGTTTGTTATACATTAAGTTCAAAAAATGAGTAATTGGCCGGGCGCAGTGGCTCACGCCTGTAATCCCCACACTCTAAGAGGCTGAGGTGGGTGGATCACCTGAGGTCAGGAGTTCAAGACCAGCCTGGCCAACATGGTGCAACCCCATCTCTGCTAAAAATACAAAAATTAGCCAGGTATGGTGACGCACACCTGTAATTCCAGCTACTCAGGAGGCTGAGGCAGGAGAGTTGCTCCAACCCAGGAGGCAGAGGTTGCAGTGAGCCAAGATTGCGCCACTGCACTGCTCCAGTCTGGGTGACAGAGTGAGACTCTGTCTCCAAAAAAAAAAAAAAAAAAAGAGTAATTAGAAACTTTTATAGCAATTTGACATTGCCATAACATTGTTATTCTGTTTTACAAAAATACTGTGGATTGAGGTCCTTCATGAAAAAGTGTGAATAGTACTTGTTTAAGCAAAGTATTAAATTTAATTAGTAAATTTAGTAATTCATTTTGTCTATAATAAAGGAAATTAATTAAAAAATGGATTTGATTATCTCATTGTACTTCATATTGGACACTTAATAGCAGTGCACTTTATCTTCAGTGTTGAGGGCCTGATATTTGCAATAAATATTTGGCCAATATTACAGAACAGAATGATGTTGAGAGTCAATGTTTACCTGGCCTACTTGACTACAGATATATACAGTTTTATGAGGCTTGGCTTGCCTGACATAGACGATAGCCTAACTAGTGTGATCGAATTTTGTGGGAGCTTTTTGCTGAAAAAATTGCTACTTGGCTGTCTGCGTGTTATATTTAATGGGCTGACAGACCTGTGTATGATTTTAATGGATTTGAAGCATTTGTATTTTTGAAGGGTCAAATAGGTCAAATATAAGAAGTAAAAGAGTAAATAACATTGTAATTTTAATTAAGCATTTGTTTAGAAATTCACCTTTGAGGCGGGGCGCGGTGGCTCACGCCTGTAATCCCAGCACTTAGGGAGGCTGAGGCAGGTGGATCACGAGGTCAAGAGATCGAGAGCATCCTGGCTGACAGGGTGAAATCCCATCTCTACTAAAAATACAAAAGTTAGCCGGGCGTGGTGGCAGGCACCTGTAGTCCCAGCTACTCGGGAGGCTGAGGCAGGAGAATGGCGTGAACCTGGGAGGCGGAGCTTGCAGTGAGCCGAGATTGCGCCACTGTACTCCAGCAGCCTGGGCGACAGAGCGAGACTCCTCAAAAAAAAAAAAAAAAGAAAGAAATTCACCTTTGAGGCTGGGCGCCGTGGCTCACGCCCTAATCCCAGCACTTTCGGAGGCTGAGGGGGGTGGATCACCTGAGGTCAGGAGCTCGAGACTGGCCTGGCCAACATGGCGAAACCCCATCTCTACTAAAAATATAAAAATTACCCAGGCATGGTTGCGGGTGCCTGTAATCCCAGCTACTTGGGAGGCTGAGGCAGGGAGAATCACTTGAAACTGGGAGGTGGAGGTTGCAGTGAGCCCAGACTGTGCCATTGCACTCCAGCCTGGGCAACAGAGCGAGACTGTCTCAAAAAAAAAAAAAGAAAATCACCTTTGAAACATTGATTGTAGTTTTGCAGTAGCAAAGTTTGGAACCTAAATGTCCACTGAGTGACTACATTAAAAAAAAAAAATTGGCCAGGCACGGTGGCTCATGCCTGTAATCCCAGCACTTTGGGAGGCCGAGGCGGGCGGATCAGCTGAGGTCGGGATTTCGAGACCAGCCTGACCAACATGGAGAAACCCCGTCTCTACTACAAATTCAAAATTAGCCAGGCATGGTGGCGCATGCCTGTAATCCCAGCTACTCAGGAGGCTGAGGCAGGGGAATCACTTGAACCCAGGAGGTGGAGGTTGTGGTGAGCCGAGATCGCACCATTGCACTTCAGCCTGGGCAACAAAGCAAAACTCCATCTCAAAAAAAAAAAAAAAAAAAAATTATAACGTATCTATTCAGAATGAAGATGCTCTCAATGTACTGACAATGGTAAGCTCTCCAAGAAATATTAAGAGAAAAAAAAACAAAATTCAGAATAGAATCTATAGAATCTATACTAATTTCTTTTTGAAAAGAAAAAATAATGTATTATTTGATTTTGCTTATATATGCATAAACAAACTGAAAGACTATACATGAAATTATTAACAATACTTATGTGTGTGATAGAGATGTATATATGGGTACTATGTAAATGGAAGAGAGAAAAGGGAGACTTTATATATTCTCCCAACAAAACAGCATTTTGTTATAGCAGGGTTTTTTTTGCTTGTTTGTTTTTGAGACAGAGTATCACTCTGTCGCCCAGGCTGAAGTGCAGTGGCACGATCTCAGCTCACTGCAGCCTCCGCCTCCTGTGTTCATTCTCCTGCCTCAGCCTGCCAAGTAGCTGTGACTACAGGTGTGAGTGACCACACCCACTTAATTTTTGTATTTTTAGTAGAGACGAGGTGTCACCGTGTTGGTCAGTCTGGTCTGGAACTCCCAGCCTCAGGTGATCTGCCCACCTGGGCCTTCCAAAGTGCTGGGATTACAGGTGTGAGCCACTGCACCTGGCCTGTTATAGCAGTTTTTAAACACAAAAGTTGGCCAGGCGTGGTGCCTCACGCCTGTAATCCCAGCACTTTGGAAGGCCATGGTGGGCAGATCACCTGAGGCTGGGAGTTCTTGACCAACCTGGCCAACATGGTGAAACGCTATGTCTGCTGAAAATACAAAAATTAGCTTGGCATGGTGGGTACAGACCTGTAATCCCAGCTACTCAGTGTCTGAGGCAGGAGAATTGCTGACCCGGTGGCAGAGGTTTACAGTGAGCCAAGACAGCGCCACTGCACTCCAGCCTGGGCGACAGAGCAAGACTCCATCTCAAAAATAAATAAACACAAAAGTTGAAAGAATTGTGCCGTGAACACCCATTTATATAATACCAACGACCTAGATTCTACAATTAACATCTTATTATATTATGTATCTATCAGGTTTTCTTTTATTTTTCAAACCCAAGATAATCTCTGTAAAGTTTTTCCATCAAATTTTTCTTGATGCATTTCAAAGTATGTTGTAGGTGTACACATCGGTATACCTCACCCCTCTTACATAACACTGACTTACAATTTACTGTTTTAAGGTTCTTTAGGTAATTTTTTTTTTTTGAGACGAGGCTTGCTCTGTCACCCAGGCTGGAGTGCCATCTCGGCTCACTGCAAGCTCCGCCTTCCGGGTTCACACCATTCTCCTACCTCAGCTTCCCAAGTAGCTGGGACTACAGGCGCCCGCCATCACGGCCGGCTAATTTTTTTTTGTATTTTTAGTAGAGACGGGGTTTCACCGTGTTAGCCAGGATGGTCTCGATCTCCTGACCTCATGATCCGCCTGCCTCGGCCCCCCAAAGTGCTGGGATTACAGGCATGAGCCACCATGCTCGGCATTTTTTTTTTTTTTTGAGACGGAGTCTCGCTCTGTCACCAGGCAGGAGTGCAGTGGCACAATCTTGGCTCACTGCAACCTCCACCTCCCAGGTTCAAGCGATTCTTCCACCTCAGCCTCCCGAATAGCGGGGACTACAGGCACACGCCACCAAGCCCAGCTAATTTTTGTAATTTTAGTAGAGACGGGGTTTCACCATGCTGACCAGGATGGTCTCTTTCTTTTTTTTTTTTTTTGAGATGGAGTCTTGCTCTTTCGCCAGGCTGGAGTGCAGTGGCGAGATCTCAGCTCACCACAACCTCCGCCTCCCAGGTTCAAGCGATTCCCCTGCCTCAGCCTCCCAAGTAGCTGGGATTACAGGCATGTGCCACCACACCTGGCTAATTTTTTTTGTATTTCAGTAGAGACGGGGTTTCACCATGTTGGCCAAGACAGCCTTGATCTCCTGACCTGATTATCTGCCCACCTCGGCCTCCTAAAGTGCTAGAATTAGCTGGTCTCTGGTCTCTATCTCTTGACCTTGTGATTCGCCCACCTCCGCTTCCCAAAGTGCTGGGATTACAGGTGTGAGCCACCGCACCTGGCTTTTAGGTAAAATTTTAAGGTAAAATTAGTTCTGAGGCCGGGTGCAGTGGTTCACACCTGTAATCCCAGCACTTTGGGAGGCCGAGATGGGCGGATCACCTGAAGTCAGGAGTTCAAGACCAGTGTGGCCAACATGGTGAAACCCCATCTCTACAAAAATTTGCCGGGCATGATGGTGGGTACCTATAATCCCAGCTACCGGGGAGGCTGAGGTGGGAGAATCGCTTGAACCCAGAAGGCGGAGGTTGCAGTGGGCCGAGATCCTGCCATTGCACTCCAGCCTGGTCGACAGAGCAAGACTACGTCTCAAACAAAAAAAATTAGTTCTAATATGAAGAGTAGGGTACCAGCGTAATTAATTGATTGCTTGAAATGCTTGTCTTAATTGTACCATTTAATACGTTTGTTATCCTATGAAACCCATACCTCTTTCAAGGTTTATAACTTCACTGTCACCCCAGGAGTTTCTTTCATGCTCCTTTCCAGGCAGTCCCAGTCCCTATACCCCAAAGAACTTTTTCCCACGATAGATTAGTTGTGTCTGGCATAGTAATCCATGTAAGTGGGATCATTCTTGATTTTACTTTTTTGTGCAAGCCTTCTTTATTCCGCATGATATTTTTGAGATTTATCCATGTTGTTGGATAAATCAGTAGTTAATTCCTTTTTTTTTCTTGGCTCAGTAATACTACATTGTATGACTATATCCATTTATCTAGTCTCCTATAGATGGACATCCTGGTTGTTTTCAGTTTTGGGGTTATTATGACTAAAACTAAGAGCTTTCTTGTATGAGGCTTTTTGTGAGCATAAGCTTTCATTTCTTTTAGGTAACTATAGGGTTTTTTTTTTTTTTCAGATGGAGCTTTGCTCTGTCACCCAGGCTGGAGTGCAGTGGCACGATCTCGGCTCACTGCAGCCTCTGCCTCCCAGATTCAAGCAATTCTCCTGCCTCAGGCTCCCAAGTAGCTTGGATTACAGGCATGTGCCACCACGCCTGGCTAATTTTTTTGTATTTTTAGTAGAGACGAGGTTTCACCATATTGGCCAGGCTGGTCTCGAACTCCTGACCTTGTGATCCACCCACCTCGACCTCCCAAAGTGCTGGGATTACAGGCATGAGCCGCTGCACCCGGCCAACTATAGGTTTTTATATTTAAAAATATTTTAAACCGTATGATTGGATTTTGTGATAATAAAGAAAAATTCAGCTTTTAATCTCTTAAAAAAATGAGACTAGAAAATTAATAAGTAAATGTTCTCTCTTCCACCAGAAGTATACTGAATTGTTCAGTGATACCCTATTGGATGTGTAATCAAGTGTGGATTCCTTTGCATAACAATTAGGGCCCTACATTCCTATAAGTCTGTGACAAATTACTCATTGTTCTCCAAGCATTCTTCTGCCTCTAACTTGTCCTGAGACTTAACGCTTCAAAAAACTTTCACTTCTGCCAGTCTAAATCCTGCTCTTCTTTGAAGGTCTGTTTTTAGTTGTTGTTTTTGGAGACGGGGGTCTCACTTTGTCATGTGGGCTGGAGTGCGGTGGTGCAGTCTCAGTTCAGTGCAGCCTCAACCTCTTAAGAGATCCTCCCACCTCAGCCTCCTGAGTAGATGGGACTACAGGCTCATGCTCAGCTAATTTTTGTATTTGTTGTAGAGACAGAGTCTCCCTATGTTGCCCAGAGTGGTCTTAAACTCCTAGGCTCAAGCCATCACCCAGCCTCGGCATCCCAAAGTGCTGGGATTAGAGGCATGAGCCACTGCACTTGGCCTGAAGGCCTGTTTTTAATTTTACTTCCTCTGAAGTCCTCCTTGTGCTTTATTTACATAAAACACTGGAGTAATTTATATCTCCTGTGAGCTCCTATGTCACACATTATCCATGTCAGTCATTTAGCAGTTATTTATGTCCTGTCTAGTAATATTTTTCTTGTTTTTATATTGTACTGTTGTATATATCATAAATTGTTATTTATGTCATACTTCCAAGATAACACTTTTTAAAAACTTCTAATAACAAGACTGGGCCAGGTGCAGTGGCTCACACCTGTAATCCTGACACTTTGGGAGGCTGAGGCGGGCAGATCACGAGATCAGGAGTTTGAGACCAGCCTGACCAACATGGTGAAATCCTGTCTCTACTAAAAATACAAAAATTAGCCGGGCATGGTGGCAAGCACCTGTAATCCCGGCTACTCAGGAGGCTGAGGCAGGAGAATCGCTTGAACCCGGGAGGCAGAGGTTGCAGTGAGCCGAGATCGTGCCATTGCACTCCAACCTGGGCAACAGAGCGAGACTCCATCTCAAAAAAAAAAAAAGCAAGACTGATGTCTGCTATTGCCTAGCAGATTGATGAGTTACATATTATATGCTCAGTAAATGTTGGTATCTTACTGATTGTTTTGAAACATCATTAACAGTTTTTAAATCATTTCGGTTAAAAACAGCAGTACTGATCATGTTTGTATAGAGCTTAATGTAGCCTGCTGAAACTTTGAAGATTAATTTGAGTCTTTCTCTACACAGAGTGAAAAGAAGATAAAGACAACAGTACTAACAGCTGCACTTCTATTGTCGGGAATTCCTGCCGAAGTGATAAATCGATCAATGGATACCTATAGCAAAATGGGCGAAGTCTTCACAGATCTCTGTGTCTACTTTTTCACTTTTATCTTTTGTCATGAACTGCTTGATTATTGGGGCTCTGAAGTACCATGAAGCCTGTAGAACTGAGAAGGAGAAGCTTACAAAAAAAAAAAAATCCTCTTCTATATTGCAGTGTCTCTAAAGGAGGCAAATTGGTTTACACCTTCATGTAATTCTTTTACTTTAGGGGTTGTAAAGCTACTTTATTAGATATAGAATGGCAGATTCTCTGATTTAAAAGGGCTGAGTTTGTATTATTACTGATATGAAGAATAGAGTACCAATGTCATTAATTGATTTTTCTTGTTAATCAGAATTCCTATTCTGTACCTTTCCTCTAACTTCTCAGATTTGTAATTCTTCTTTTGGGAGCTGAGCTAGTGCTTTTAGGAGAACAGATAAATGTGGTCTCAGCCAGCCCTAGAGACTGCTTCTTGTGTTTGTGTCATTCTGTCCTGAGAAATGAAGTCATCTGAAAAATAAAATGAAAGAAACTGAATTGTCTAATGTTAACTCTGCACATTGTAACTTTTCTTGTTGAGTTAGTATCTTAATTTTTACTCCAGCACAAGTATTTAATCAAAGAAAAGATTCATACATGTGAAATTGGAAGGTATTTATAAAATTTTTATTGCTGTATACCAAACTCAGAATTGGAACTTTTTACATTTGAGTTTCACTTTTTAGAAGTATGTTTTAAGCAAGCAAAAACAAAATGGGATGTGAAGAATTGAGGCATGCAACCCAATAGCATAAATGTCCTTTTTCCCCCCAAATATGGTCTAGATGAGTTATTATAAACATTGTTTTTATTTTTTTGAGACAGAGTTTCGCTCTTGTTGCCCAGGCTAGAGTGCAATGGCGCCATCTCGGCTCACCGCAACCTCCACCTTCCTGGTTCAAGGGATTCTCCTGCCTCAGCCTCCCAAGTAGCTGGGATTACAGGCATGCACCACCACGCCCAGCTAATTTTTATATTCTTTAGTAAAGACAGGGTTTCTCCATGTTGGTCAGGCTGGTCTCGAACTTCTGACCTCAGGTGATCTGCCCACCTCGGCCTCCCAAAGTGCTGGGATTACAGGCGTGAGCCACTGCACCTGGCCTTATAAATATCCTTTTAACTAACTCAGTAACTGCCATATTTTGTTGGGTTGTCTTCTTAAAAGAATATAAGACTAAAGTGTTAATGTCACTTGGTGTTACATTTCCTTACAGATTTTTGTATAGTCTAATTTGGTTAATCCTTGTGACATTAAAAACACATACACTTTTTAAAAAATTACTCTTTAAGTCTTGATTTCTGTCATTTCATTTTGAACCAGGGTAATGAAGAATAATTTAAGTCTATTCTTCTGATTTGGGTGAAAGATTATAAGCACACATTTTTCCTGATTCCATAATGAATCTAGTATCTAAAGGGTTGTAAATCATCCTTAAAGTTGTCACTTCCTTAATCGCTGAGAAGATACTAGTGGTCTTCAATTGCACATTGCACATGTTTACTCTTTTGGTGCTTTTTTTTTTTTCCAAACAGTGTTTACCACTGTTGTCCAGGCTGGAGTGTAGTGGTAGCACAATCATGGCTCACTGGAGCCTTGATTGACCTCCTGGGCTCAAGCAATCCTCCTGTCTCAGCCTCCCAAGTAACTGGGACCATTAATGCCTGGCTAATTTTTTGATTTTTTGTAGAGACAGGATCTTACCATGTTACCCAGGCTGGTCTCAAACTGGGCTCAAGCAGTCCTCCTGCCTTGGCCTCCCAAAATGCTAGGATTACAGGTATGAGCCATTGTGCCTGGCCTACTTTTCTTTCTTAAAAAAAAAAAATCATTTAGCCAGCTGACACATGCAAAATTTTAGTAATTGTAGATCATTATCAAATTTATATTTTGAAGACAGTTATAAGATATCTGTATCTATTGGTGCCATTTTTTGTCTTTAACTGATAGGCATCTCCCTGATCATTTGCTTGATTTGTTGAATAATATCAAGTAGAAATGAAAGTTTTTTTTGTTTGTTTGTGTTGTTTTTTTTTTTTCTGAGACAGAGTTTCGTTCTTGTTGCCCAGGCTGGAGTGCAATGGCACAATCTCGGCTCACTGTAGCCTCTGCCTCTGGGGTTCAAGCAATTCTCCTGCCTCAGCCTCCCGAGTAGCTGAGTTTATAGGCATGCACTACCACGCCCAGCTAATTTTGTATTTTTAGTAGAGACGGGGTTTCTCCATGTTGGTCAGGCTGGTCTGGAACTCCAAAGCTCAGGTGATCCACCTGCCTCGGCCTCCCAAAGTGCTGGGATTACAGGTGTAAGCCACTGCGCCCGGCCTGTTTTGTTGTGTTTTGTTTGACAGTTTCACTCTGTTGCCCAGGCTGGAGTGCAGTGGCATGATGTACAACCTCTGCCTCTCAGGTTCAAGCAGTGCTCACGCCTCAGCCTCCTGAGTAGTGAGTAGCTGGGATTACAGGCATTGCCACCATGCCTGGCTAATTTTTGTATTTTTAGTAGAGATGGCGGTTTCACCATGTTGGCCAGGCAGGTCTCAAACTCCTGACCTCAAGTGATCTGCCTGTCTCAGCCTCCCAATTTGCTGAGATTAAAAGTGTGAGGCCGGGCGTGGTGGCTCACGCCTGTAATTCCAGCACTTTGGGAAGCCGAGGCGGGCAGATCATGAGGTCAGGAGATCGAGACCATCCTGGCTAACACGGTGAAACCCCGTCTCTACTAAAAATACAAAAAATTAGCCAGGCATGGTGGCAGGCACCTGTAGTCCCAGCTACTCGGGAGGCTGAGGCAGGAGAATGGCATGAACCTGGGAGGCGGAGCTTGCAGTGAGCCAAGATCGTGCCACTGCACTCCAGCCTGGGCGACAGAGCAAGTCTCTGTCTCAAAAAAAAAAAAAAGTGTGAGCCACTGCAGCCGACCTGAAAGTTTCTTTTTTTTGAGACAAGGTCTCACTATGTTGCCCCTGTCGGAGTGCAGTGGCATGATCAGGGCTCACTGCAGCCTTGCTTTCCCAGGCCCAAGCAATCTTCCCACCTCAGCCTTGCAAGTAGCTGGGACCACAGGCATGTGCCACCACCCCTGGCTAATTTTTGTTTTGTTTTTTTCAGAACAGAGTCTCTGTCGCCCAGGCTGGAGTGCAGTGATGTCAGTCTCAGCTTACTGCAGCCTCTGCCCGCCCCCCGGGCTGGTTCAAGCGATTCTCATGCCTCAGCTTCCCGAGTAGCTGGGATTACAGATGCATGCCACCACATCTGGCTAATTTTTTGTATTTTTAGTAGAGACAGGTTTCACCATGTTGGCCAGGCTGGTCTCGAACTCCTGGCCTCATGTGATCCACCCACCTTGGCCTCCCAAAGTGCTGGGATTACAAGCGAGAACCACTGCGCCTGGCCTGGGAATTGAAGTTTCTTAGTGTTTGGAATAGTTTAAAACGTTTTTTATTTGGAAATTTCTGGGTTTTGAAATGTATATGGACTGGCTGGGCACCATGACTCATGCCTGTAATGCCAGCACTTTGGGAGGCCGAGGCGGGTGGATCACTTGAAGTCAGGAGTTTGAAACCAGCCTGGCCAACATGGTGAAACCCTGTCTCTACTAAAAAAACCAAACCAAAACAAAAAAAAATTAGCCAGGTGTGGTGGCGGGCGCGTCTGTAATCCCAGCTACTCAAGAGGCTGAGGCATGAGAATCACTTGAACCCGGGAGGCAGAGGTTGCAGTGAACTGAGATCGCGCCACTGCACTCCAGCCTGGACAACAGAGTGAGACTCTGTCTCAAAAAAAAAAAAAAAAGGTATATGGATTAAAACTAGAGGGACAAGGATGGTTGTTTAGAGGTGACATCTTGACCATGTAACCTAGTAGTTTTTTTAGTTCAATTAGTTGTGTAAATGGACATGTGTCATCACAGTTGGCACTAAAAACAGCAAGTGGGTTATTAGATATTCAATACTGGGTTAGTAAGTCAAGTCACAGTCAAAATCTGCTGCTTTGGAAAACAGGTTAGTTTACTGAAAGTGATGTATTAGAACACAGACTATAGTCATTTCTTTCACCTATCTAAATAGATAAAATCTTCCAGCCTCACACCTGTAATCCCAGCACTTTGGGAGGCCGAGGCAGCAGATCACCTGAGATCGAGAGTTCGCGACCAGCCTGACCAACATGGAGAAACCCCGTCTCTACTAAAAATACAAAATTAGCTGGGAGTGGTGGCTCATGCCTGTAATCCCAGCTATTTGGGAGGCTGAGGCAGGAGAATCGCTTGAACCTAGGAGGCAAGGTTGCAGTGAGTCGAGATCGCGCCATTGCACTCCAGCCTGGGCAACAAGAGTGAAACTCCGTCTCTAAAAAAAGAAAAAAAAAAGCCTTCCTCCAGGACAGACTTGATGTGAATTTACTATAAATATATTGTGGTGGAGTGGGGGTGGTGCACACCTGTAATCCCAGCACTTTGGGAGGCCAAGAGAGGCAGATCGCTTGAGACCAGGAGTCCAGGAGTTTGAGACCAGCTTGGGCAACATGGCGAAACCCTCTCTATGAAAAATACAAAAGTTAGCTGGTGGGGTGGTGTGTGCCTGTAGTCCCAGCTACTAGCTACTTGGGAAGTTGAGGCACAAGATTCGCTTGAACCTGGGAGGAGGCTGCAGTGAGCCGAGATCACAGTACTGCACTCCAGCCTGGGCAACAGAACCAGGCCCTGTCTCAAAAAAAAAAAAAAAAAAAAAAAAAATATATATATATATATATATATATATATATATAAAATATATATTCTATATATATTATATTAATGTAATATTAATTAGAATATATATTATATATATAAGAAATATTTAAGCCAGTTAGAATTGTCTTGTTAATGTGTTGTCTTAAAGGGGAGTTGGAAATAAAGTATCTTGAAGACAGCTCTGGCCTAAGTGTCAGATCTCTGGACTCTAGTTCCAGGTTAGATTCCAACAAGGTTAGTGATCTAGGATGAAATATGTTTCCTGAGTCTCAGTTTTGTTACTTAAAATCAAGAAGTTTGAGTTTGTGATTTTAAAAATCTATAACATTAATCCCATGATTCTTTTTATTATTATTTTTTGAGACAGAGTCTCGCTCTGTCGCACAGGCTGGAGTGCAGTGGCGCGATCTTGGCTCACTGCAACCTCTGTCTCCCGGTTTCAAGTGATTCTCATGCCTCAGCCTCCCGAGTAGCTGGGATTAGCACGCACCACCACACCCAGCTAATTTTTGTATCTTTAGTAGAGACATAATTTCACCATGTTGGCAAGGCTGGCCTTGAAGTCCTGCCCTCATGTGATCCACCCGCCTCAGCCTCCTAAAGTGCTGGGATGACAGTCATGAGCCACTGCATCTGGCCCTAATCCTGTGATTCTAAGCAATATTCAAATTGTGTTAATTTCAAAAATTAAGGACTTATTTCCATTCACTTCTGCATGGCCTCATCCAGTCCATGGCTTCAAATACTGTGTATTATACATTCTATAAAATGCTGAGGACCCATATCTCTCCCGCCTCTATTTGTAGCTGTTATTTCCTGGATGTCTAGTAGGCACCTCAAATATCACATGACTGAAACAAACTCAATGACTTTCTCTATTTCCTCCACTAAATCTGTTGCTTCCATGCTTTTCTCATCTCCACAAATTCACCACAGTCCACAATAGCTCTGTTGAAAACCTGGCAGTCATCTTTTATTCCTTCCTTTCCGTCATAGCTCACATCCAGTTTATCTATTGGCGCTTTGAGAGCTGCTTCCAGAATACACCCAGAATCTGATCACTTCTCAGTCTTCATTGTTTAAGCCACTGGTGGTTTTCTATGTCTTTTAGGTTGAAATCCACATTCCCTACCTGCAGCCCACATCCAAACAATTTACAGGGGGATTCCTAACCCTCCTTGGTGTCCATCCTGTCACTCATTAATTAGCTCAGGCCTTCTTACCCTTGGCATGGACTGCCAGAACCTCCAGTCTCTATCCCTCTTCAATGCTTCTCGCAGCTACCACAGGTGGGCAGCAAGCCACGGGGGGCGTGGGGAGCATAAACTCATCTTGGAGTGTCACTCGTTGGTTTGCTTTTTTTCTTTAATCAACTATGTTGAGGTAAAATTTACATACAATAAGTCATGTACAGTTAAAGGGTACAGTTCAGTGAATTTTGAAAAATGTGCAAATCTATTCAATGACCACTAAAATCAAGACACAGAACTTTTCCATCATCTTTAGGTGTAAGAAAGTAAAATAGTACAGAGGCAAGTAAAGTAAAAATATGAGCCTTTCTCCAACTCCATTATAGCTTTTTGCAAAAACAACTCAACATGGCCGGGCACGGTGGCTCATGCCTGTAATCCCAGCACTTTGGGAGGCCGAGGCGGGCAGGTCTCCTGAGGTCGAGAGTTCAAGACCAGCCTGACCAACATGGAGAAACCCCATCTCTACTAAAAATACAAAATAAGCTGGGGTGGTGGTGCATGCCTGTAATCCCAGCTACTTGGGAGGCTGAGGCAGGAGAATCGCTTGAACCCAGGAGGTGGAGGTTGTGGTGAGCTGAGCTCTCACCATTGCACTCCAGCCTGGGCAACAAAAGCGAAACTCCGTCTCAAAAAAAAAAAACAAAAAAAATTCAACATTTCTGTGTGTGTTGCATGAGACAATACATATACATTTTTTTGGTGCCCAAACTCTCGAATAATGTTCTCAATCTTGACTGTACTTCAGAATTACCTGGGAAGCTTAAAAATTCCCAGTGCACAAGAAGCACTCCAGGCCAATTAAATCAGAACATAGGGGTGGAACCCAGGCTTCTATTTTATTTACTAATATTTTAGAGATGAGATTTCTCTGTGCTACCCAGGCTGGAGTCATCATAGCTCACTGCAGCCTCAAACTCCTGGGCTCAAGTAATCTTCTTGCCTCAGCCTCCCTGGCTCAAATGATCCTCTCACCTCAGCCTCCCAAGTAGCTAGAACCACAGGCGTGCCAGCACACCTGGCTAATTATTTTGCTTATTTTTTGTAGAGGGTCTCGCTATGTTGCCCAGGTAGGTCTTGAATTCCTGGGCTCAAGCCATCCTCCTGCCTCGGCCTCCCAAAGTGCTGGGATTATAGGCATGAGCCACCATGGCTGGCCCTTTTTTTGTTTTTTTGTTTTATTTTTAAGCTTCCCAGTGCAAGCAATGTTGAGAACTAATCTTTTGCCAAAGTATTTTTAGCTCTTTGTTCTCTACTAGGTTAACACCTACCGGGTCTTCAAATCTCACCTCAGAGTTCACTTCCAAGGGAAACGTGTTTTCTGAATCCGTCTCCAATGGTGGACTCTCCTTGCTGTATTACTTCTGCTTGTGTTTTTAGTCAAGTCTATTATTATTACTATTTTCTTTGCAGAGACGAGGGCTACGTTGCCCAGGTCTTGAATTCCTGGGCTCAATAGATCCTCCCGCCTCAGCCTCCCAAAGTGCTGGGATTTCAGGCGTGAGCCACTGTGCTGGCTTTAGTCATCTGTTTCCCGGATAGACTGTGAGCTCCCCAGGATCTAGCACAAGCCTGGCATATGACAACATAAATAAATGAGTGAATGTATACATGAATAAAGAGCGTGTACGGAGAAAGTTGCCGCATTATTTAGCGCAAATTAAGGCAGACATCAGCCTGCCCAGGACGCCTCTTTGGCTCTGGCGCGAAACACCCTCACGGGCCGGCGAGGCTGACGCGCTGCGCTCCATCGCACTAATCAGCCGGGCGTGGTGCGGGCGCCGGGAAGACTGGGCGGGGCGAAGGCATCACCTTTCGATGGGGCCGGCGCTGTGCGTCCTCCAGTCGAGGTGGGGCGCTGTGGAAGAGCGGCAGCTTCCGGTCGGCTTTTCTCTTCCTTCGGCTGCCGGCGCCAGCACGTCCTGTTTTCGTTGGCCGCGCTGGGATGGCCGCCACAGCTGTAGGTGCTGCTAGTGTTTAGCGCTGGTCTTTGCCGGGCGTTGAGGGCAGCTCAGCCTCCTTGTTTGTCCGGTTCGCCTGTGCGTGGTACTCAAGGGCACCAGTATTCCCGCGGTCGGCAGCATGGGTCGGGAGTCACGGTGAGGCAGAGCGCCGAGCGGGCTAGCGGGCGAGCGGCTTCTTGGGGTCGTGAGAAGAGGCGGGAGTTGAGGTGGCCGCCGGGCCAGGCCTGGCGCGGCCCCACGTGCGGTCAGCGCTGCCCCGCGAGCATTGGAAGGGCTGGGGGACCTCGGCTGAGGGAATGGTTGTGTTTGGGCCAGCGACGGCTTCCCCTGCACTACCATCAGAGGGTTCGAGCCCCTGGAGCGGGAACAACCCTCCAGGACGTTAGTGATTGGGCACCACATCCCGCCACTTCAAGGGAGCCTGCCCTGATTACTTCAGTCAGAAGTGATCCCAGTTGGATTGCTTATTGCTTCGCGTTTCCAACATTTCCTCGACTCCTGTCATTCTGTATTTTAGTTCTTTGTGCGCGTATGATCTTTTCCCAAGTTACTTGAAAGGAGCGTGTGGGCAGACATTTTTACCGCATCGACAGCACTATACACGACTAGGCTTTTACTGGGCTACAATAAATACTTGTTGCGTGGGCATTTACTTCGCAAATAGATTTCGTATTTAAGCAGGTAACTTTGTTACCTGCTTTTCTGTCCTTTTGAAGTTGTGGACTATGAGCTCTTATTAGAACTCATTAGATCTCATCACAACTTTAGATTGTTGATAGATTGTTAGGAACCTTGAGATTTTTATGTTAAAAATGACTATTTGCTATGTATTTAGCAATGACTGAAAGATATTTTATGTCTAGGAACAATGAAGGCTTTTGTTGTTAGTGCTAACAGTTCTTTGTTGAGGTACAATTAACAATCAGGGAAATGGACAAAACGTAAGGGTAAAGCTTGATGAAATTTAGCAAATATATAAACCGTGTAATCATCACCTGGATGAAGATAAAAAATATTTCTTTAACTACAGAAAATTCCTGTGACGGTGTTTTAAATCTCCGGAAGGCTGTCCAGACCAGAAATCTGAAAGTGATATTTATTTGACTCATTCTTCTCTCTCACTACCCACAGCCTGTTAGATTCTACATCCTTTGCCCATTCTGGTTGTCCCTGACTTAATTGAGGCCCTAATTATTTATTGTCCAGACTACTACATCTGTTTTAAATTGATTCTCTGAATTGATTGTCTTCCTCTGTTGCTCTCCTAATTGTTAGATCCCTTACACTACAGCCAGAGTGACACTTCTGAAGTAGAGATAAGATGATGGCATGCCCCTGACTTAGTCTCCATTGGTTTCTACTGCTTCCAAGATGAAATTTAAACTCTATGACAGCCTTCAAGGCCCTTCACAAGAAGGTCCATTCTAGCCCGTCAGCCTTCTCCTTTACCTCTCTGGTGTGCATGGCCTGTGCTCTAGGTTTGTTCAGGGAATCATGAAAGGCTTAGAGGTGGGAAGGCGCAAGGTGTTAGAGAAATAGCTAAAAAGCCCAATTTTTCTGCATATGTAGGTTTCATGAAGGGATTTTATCTTTTTTGAGAAGTAGTAGGAGGTAGGTCCTGAATAGGACTTGGGCCCAGAAAGCGGGTGGATTGTAGATTTTGAAGATCAGAATTTGTTTGTGAACCTTTGAAGATTTTGAGTAAAAAGTGTGTAATAGAATCAGAATTCTCCTTAGCAGCAATGAGTAAGATTTAATGGAAAAGTAATAGAAACAGGAAGACTACAGTCTTTAAGAATCTCCTAGGTAGATATGTCTGATATAGAATAGTGACGGTTGGAACTCTGTGGAGGTGATATAATGTGAAGGGAATTACAGAGGTGAAATTGGTATTACTTGGTTGTTTTTTTGTTTTTGTTTTTGTTTTTGAGACAGAGTCTCGCTCTTTCGCCAGGCTGGAGTGCAGTGGTGGGATCTCGGCTCACTGCAAGCTCCGCCTCCAGGGTTCACGCCATTCTCCTGCCTCAGCCTCCCGAGTAGCTGGAACTACAGGCGCCTGCCACCGCGTCAGGCTAATTTTTGTATTTTTTAGTAGAGACGGGGTTTCACCGTGTTAGCCAGGGTGGTCTCGATCTCCTGACCTTGTGATCCACCCGCCTCGGCCTCCCAAAGTTCTGGGATTACAGGCGTGAGCCACCGCACCCGGCCTGTTTTTTTGTTTTTGAGACAGGGACTTGCTCTGTCTCCCAGGCTGGAGTGCATTGAAACAATCTTGGCTCACTGCAACCTATGCTTCCCAGGTTCAAGAGATCCTCCCACCTCAGCCTCCCGAATAGCTGGGACTGCAAGCGTGTGCCACCACGCTTTGCTAATTTTTGTATTTTTTGTAGAGACAGGGTTTCACCATGTTGCCCAGGCTGGTCTCAACTCCTGAGGTCAAGCTCTCTGCCCACCTTGGCCTGCCAAAATGCTGGGATTACAGGCATGAGCCGCTGTGCCCAGCCAATTGGTGTTTTATTTATTGTATCGAATGAGAGCAAGAGAAAAATATTGATGATGACTAATGTTTTGAGCCTAGTGACCGGAAGTTGGTACGATTAATCGTTTGGGGAGGGAAGGGTAACAAGTTTGGGTTTCTACAGATTGAACTTGAGGTGCTTGAGAGATAATCAGGTGCATTCATCTCCTAGTGATCTTATTTAGGTTTATAGCTTTAAATAGCCTTTGTACACTAATAGCTGTCCAGTTTATATTTCTAGAGAAACCTCTTCCTTGAACTACAGGCTAATATTTCAACTATATACTATATATCTCCACTTGGATACCTAATATTCTGATCCACCTTCTCCCTGGATTTCTCCCTCAGCCTTCCCATCTTGGTAAATGGCAACTGAGTGATTTCTCTCTTGCTGTCACACTTGACATTTAGTTCATCATTAAATCCCATCGGTGCTAGCTTCAAGATATCCAGATTTTGATATTTCTCAAAATCTTTCCACCTTCCATTTTGATCTATGCCACCACTATCTCATGCCTGGATGATTGCTATAGTGCTGGTCTTTGCTAATCCTGCCTATTCTTTCTCCTTTTGTCCTTGCCTCCCTTTGTTTGGTTTGTTCTCTCAGCAACCAGAATAATACTTTAAAAACATTAGGCCAGGTGCAGTGGCTCACACCTGTAATCCCAGCATTTTGGGATTACATTAAGTGGAAGGATTGCTTGAGCCCAGGAGTTTGAGACCATCCTGAGCAACATAGCAAGACTCCATCTCTACAAAAATGAAAAATAAAAAGAAATAAATAGGTGGGCATAGTGGCACACGCTTTTATGCTTTTGGTCCCAGCTACTTGGGAGGCTGAGGTGGGAAGATGCTTGAGGCCGGGAGGTTAAGACAATCCTGAGCAACATAGTGAGACACCATCTCTACCCAAAAAAAAAAAAAAAAAAAATTGGTGGGCGCGGTGGTGTGTGCCTTTGGTCTCAGCTACTCTGGAGATTGAGGTGGAAGGATTGCTGGGGCCCAGTAGGTTGAGGTTACAGTGAGTAGCAATTGAGCTGCTGCATTCCAGCCTGGGTGACAGAGTGAGACCTTGTCTCAAAAAAGAAATTTAAAAAAATGATAAAAAGGCTGCATGCGGTGGCTCATGCCTGTAATCCATCCCAGCACTTTGGGAGGCTGAGGCAGGTAGATCACCTGAGGTCAGGAGTTCCAGACCAGCCTGACCAATGTGGTGAAACTGCCTCATCTACTAAAGATACGAAACTGGCTGGGCGTGGTAGTATAGGCCTGTAATCCCAGCTGCTTGGGAGGCTGAGGTAGGAGGATTGCTTGAACCTGGGAGGCAGAGGTTGCAGTGAGCTGAGATGGTGCTATTGCATTCCAGCCTGGGCAACAAGAGTGCGACTCTGTCTCAAAAAAAATAAATAAAATAAAATAAAAATAATTAGCTGAGTGGCCGGGCGCAGTGGCCCAAGCCTGTAATCCCAGCACTTTGGGAGGCTGAGGCAGGTGGATCACGAGGTCAGGAGATCGAGACCATCCTGGCTAACATGGTGAAACCCCATCTCTTCTAAAAATGCAAAAAAAATTTAGCCTGGCGTAATGGCGGACGCCTATAGTCCTAGCTACTCGGGAGGCTGAGGCAGGAGAATGGTGTGAACCCGGGAGGTGGAGCTTGCAGTGAGCTGAGATTGTGCCACTGCACTCCAGCCTAGGCAACAGAGCCAGACTCTTTCTCAAAAAAAAAAAATAATAATAATAATTAGCTAAGTGTGGTGACGCATGCCTGAAGTTCCGGCTTCTTGGGAGGCTGAAGTGGGAGGATTGCTTGAGCCTCAGAGAGTTGAAGTTGCAGTGAACTGTGAGCACATCACTGCACTCTATCCTGGATAATAGAGTGAGGCCTGTTTCTAAAAATAAAAATAAAAACATTAATGAGGTTGTGTCACTCCTCTGCTTAAAGTCTTCCAGTAGATTTTCATCTTGGTGTAAAAGACAGAGTCCTTATATAATGGCCAGTAAGGCCTTCCAGGTTTGGCTTCCCTGCTGTTTTTCTGACCTCGTCTTATGGCACGCTGTGTCACTCTTTCAACACTAGCCACAACTGGCATCCTTGCTGTTCCTTAAACTCACCAGTCAAGCTTCCTCTTTAGGGACTTTGCACTTGTGCCTTTTGCGTGGAAAATTCCCTGTATATCTACATGGCTCCTTTATTTCCTCCAAGCCTCTGTAACAAATGTCATATTTATATTGTATATAAACATACTATATACAGTGTTTGTTTCTTCACTTGTCTGCCGTCTTTTCCTTTACCGGAGTGTAAGCTGCCTGGAGCTCAAAGGCAGGAGCTTGGTCTGTTTTGTTCACTGTCCTTGCCTCTCTTTCAAGACAGATTTTCCACCTCTACATGTGTCTGTGCTGAAGCAGAAGGGTTCATTTTTTCCCTCCTAATTTTAGAAAAATTCATAAAAAGTTCTTTGAGTGTTAAATTTGTCTGCTGAAATTATTTTTAGAAAAAATGTAATAAAATGTAATAGAAGCTAATGGTGTTTGCTGAACTTAATCTTTGACTTATTGTTCTAGCCACTATCGAAAACGATCGGCATCCCGGGGTCGCTCTGGAAGTCGGTCTAGAAGTCGCTCACCCTCAGACAAAAGAAGTAAACGTGGAGATGACAGACGGTCTAGAAGTAGAGATAGAGATAGGAGGAGAGAGAGGTCTCGTAGCAGGGATAAAAGAAGATCTCGGTCAAGGGACAGGAAGCGTCTGAGGTAAGACATTAATTAATTTCCAAAAGACGAGTGATAAATTGGGCCTTCTCGGCTATAGCAGGCTTCTTGAAAAGTATGTTTTCAACTGGAGTTTGGTGGCCCAATTGCAGGCCCTTTTCTTTATCCCCTACTTGTTTGATTAGACCCAGAAGGATGTGCCTACAAAGACTCTATCAAACAGTGTTTTTTTTTTTTTTTAATCTTTTTTGAGACAGAGCCTCACTCTGTTGCTCAGACTGGAGTGCAGTGGTATCATCTCTGCTCACTGCAACCTCCACCTCCTGGGTTCAAGCGATTCTCATGCCTAAGCCTGCCAAGTAGCTGGGATTTCAGATGTGCACCACCACACCTGTCTAATTTTTGTGTCTTTAAAAGAGACGGTGTTTTGCCATGTTGGCCAGGCTGCTCTCGATCTCCTGGCCTCATGTGATCCTCCCACCTTGGCCTCCCAAAGTGCTGGGATTACATGTGTGAGCCACCGTGTCCGACCATCAAACAGTGTTTTTAGTTTGGAAACTTTAGGCTGTATTTCCTGTAACCCAAAGACATCCCTTGAAGCCCTCTGAGGGACATACAAAATGAAGTAAAAAGTAAAGTAATAAGTTATATTCAAGAGGGTTCTATTCCAATTCTGCTCCAGGAGAGCTGACCAAGGTGTTAATTTTCTTTCCTTTTTTTTTTGCCACCCTTGTTGAAATTTGTAAAATTTCCTTCCTCTCTCCCTCCTTCCCTCCCTCCCTTCCTCCATCTCTCTCTTCCTTCCTCCCTATCTCCTTCCCTTCCACTCTCTCTCCCTTCCTCCCTCACTCTTTCTCTCTTTCTCTTTCTTTCTTCATTTTGCTAAACAGTGTGTTTAGAGCAGCCTCTAAAGCAGGCAGAAAAAGGAAACAAAGCAGACCCTCTCCAAGCCTCTTAAACTATTTTAATGAGCTGTCATAGATTTAAACTAAAGAGCGCCTTAATCTTTTTTTTTTTTTTAATTTATTTTTTTTTTGAGACAGAGTCTCACTCTGTCACCCAGGCTGGAGTGCAGTGGCACGATCTAGGCTCACTGGAACCTCTGCCTCCCGGGTTCAAGTGATTCTCATGCCTCAGCCTCTTGAGTAACTGGGATTACAGGCATGCTCCACAAAGCCTGGATAATTTTTGTATTTTTAATAGTGACAAAGTTGGCCAGGTATGGTGGCTCATGCCTGTAATCCCAGCACTTTGGGAGGCCAAGGTGGGTGAATCACGAGGTCAGGAGTTTGAGACCAGCCTGGCCAACATGGTGAAACCCCGTCTCTACTAAAAAAAAAAAAAAAAAAAAAATTAGCCAGGTGTGGTGGTGCATGCCTGTAAACCCAGCTGCTCGGGAAGCTGAGGCAGGAGACTTGCTTGAACCTGGGAGGTGGAGGTTGTAGTGAGCCGACATGGTGCCACTGTACTCCAGCCTGGGCGACAGATCAGGACTCCATCTCAAAACAGAAAAAAAGAAAATAATCTTCTGTGCACACCACACCCAGCCAATTAAAAAAAGCTTTTCATAGAGATGGGGGTCTTAACTGTGTTGCTAGTGGCCTCCCAAAGGGTTGGGACTACAGGTATGAGATACCATACCTTGCCCAGTTTCTCATTAAAATAGGAAAGGAAGACAAGATTGTGTTGTGAGTGGATCATAGAAAGAATTTAACTTTATCCTTTTCAGACATTGGAGTACATTGTTGTTACGTAGGATTCAGGGAAAATATTCACCCGTGACAATGTGGATAGCATTTTCACATTTTGTGGTCCTAGGAACAATTTCACACAATTAATTCAAGTACTTAAGTGAAAATGGTTATTTAACATTTGGTCTTTGACTTTTGGGTGTGAAAGTAGAATCACAAGATTTTAGAGCAAGAGGGATTTTAAAGATGTCTAGTGAAGTCTCCATATTTTATAGATGATGAAACTGAGACCCAGAAAGTTGGAGATCTGACCTTCATCATGTCATTAGTTACCAGGAGTAGCAGGATAGAAATTCTTGCCTCTTCATCTTCAGATTAGTGATCTTTTAGTAGACCCATTATGCCCATCCTTATACTTAGGTTTAGGCTATCTGAAACTAGATATTCTATCTTAGACCATCGATTTTCAATCGATGTTAATTACAGACTTATTATGGTTTTTTCACAAACATCTTTATGAAATTAGTATTCTCTGGCCTGGCATGGTGGCTCACGCCTGTAATCCCAGCACTTTGGGAGGCTGAGGCAGGCAGATCACCTGCGGTTGGGAGTTCGAGACCAGCCTGACCAACATGGAGAAACCCCATCTGTAAAAATACAAAATTGGCTGGGCATGGTGGTGCATGCCTGTAATCCCAGCTACTCAGGAGGCTGAGGCAAGAGAATCGCTTTAACCCAGGAGATGGAGGTTGTGGTGAGCTGAGATTGCGCCATTGCACTCCAGCCTGGGCAACAAGAGCAAAACTCTGTCTCCAAAAAAAAAAAAAAAATTAGCCGGGCATGGTGATGCACATCTGTAATCCCAGCTGCTGGGGAGGCTGAGGCAGGAGAATCACTTGAACCCAGAAGGCAGAGGTTGCAGTGAGCTGCAATTGTGCCACTGCACTCCAGCCTGGGTGACAGGTGTGAGACTTTGTCTTTAAAAAAATGAAAGAAATAAATTAGTATTCTCATTTTTTTCGTTGAGCACTTATAAGACTTGGCTTTACTTCATTGAGACCTCCACCTTTAATAATGGTAGTGATTAAGATTCTTTCAATGTGGGACAGAATCCCCTGATCTGAAATAGTAGCTCCATTTGGTCATAGAATAAATGAAAAGTGTCCCCCTTTCAGACGTTCCAGAAGTAGAGAGAGAGACAGAAGCCGAGAGCGAAGAAGATCTCGAAGTAGAGACAGGAGACGCTCAAGGAGTAGAAGCCGGGGCCGGCGATCCCGATCCTCCAGTCCTGGAAATAAAAGCAAGAAAACTGAGAATAGGTAATGTTATCATTGGGCTGCATCTATAGTGCAGACTGGGGACTGCTTCCCTTCTCTGCGCCTTTTTTTTTTTTCCCTGTAAGTTTGTATTTATAGAGAATTAACTGCATTTGGCTCCTACCATGAACTGTTGGCAGTGTTTTATTTTAATTGGCTATAATGTTTATAATTCAACTGGAAAATAATAGATTCTGTCAGTTTTAACATTCAATACATTGTATTCTTACTTAATACATAACTGTCAATCAGAAATGTATTTTATAGACATCTTTGTAGAAACTCTGTCATTTTCTTTTCAGGCAGGGTCTCACTCTGTTGCCCAGGCTGGAGTGAAGTGGCAAGAACATAGCTCACTAACCTTAAACTTGTAGACTCAAGCAATCCTCTCACCTAGGCCTCCAAAAGTCCTGGGATTATATGAAGAGGCAGACATAATATCCCAGCTAATTTTTATGTTTTTAGTGGAGATGGGGTTTTGGCATGTTTGCCAGGCTGGTCTCGAACTCCTGACCTCAAGTGATCTGCCCACCTCGGCTTCCCAAAGTGCTGGGATTACAGGCCTGAGCCACCGCGCCCAGCCAAGACTTGTCTTAAAAGTTAAGAAATTAGGCCAGGCGCGGTGGCTGACGCCTGTAATCCTTGCACTTTGGGAGGCCAAGGTGGGCGGATCACCTGAGGTTGGGAGTTGGCGACCAGCCTGACCATTGTGGATAAACCCCGTCTCTACTAAAAATACAAAATTAGCTGGGCGTGGTGGCGTATGCCTGTAATCCCAGCTACTCTGGAGGCTGAGGCCGGAGAATCGCTTGAACCCAGGAGGCAGAGGTTGCGGTGAGGTGAGATCATGCCGTTGCACTCCAGCCTGGGCAACAAGAGTGAAACTCCTTCTCAAAAAAAAAAAACAAAAAAAAGTTAACAGAAATTAAGACAATGTGCAATTTGTTTAGCAGTGGACAGACAGATTAGTGAACCATGTAAAGAGCCCAGAAAGGCATCCATACACATGGTAATTTGATAGATGACAGAGGTGATGATGTAATAAGTGAAGATTTTTTTTTTTTTTTTAACAGCCAAAGTCTCGTTCTGTTGCCCTGGCTGGAATGCAGTGGTGCAATCTCGGCTCACTGCAACCTTCGCCTCCCGGGTTCAAGTAATTCTCTTGCCTCAGCCTCCCGAGTAGCTGGGACTGCAGGTGTGTGCCAACATGCCCAGCTAATTTTTTGTATTTTTTAGTAGAGATGGGGTTTCACCGTGTTAGCCAGAATGGTCTCGATCTCCTGATCTCGTGATCCACCCGCCTCGGCCTCCCAAAGTGCTGGGATTAAAGGCGTGAGCCACCGTGCCTGGCCAGAAAAATTTTTAAATTGCTCTAGGGATATCTAGTATCCTTTTATGAAATAAGACTGCCTACCTTATTCTGTGTACAAAAAGCAATTCCAAGCAAAGACCAAATTAGATGGCAAAATTCTAAACCTTTTAGAAGTTTGTGCCAGAGAGTATCTTCTTCTTCACCTCTAGGTATCTTACATCAAATCTGGAAGGATTTCTAAACTACTTTAAAAAGCACCAATTATAAAGGAGAAAAAAGGTTGACTAATTTGATTACATTAAAATTAAGAAATTTTATTCATTATGAGATGCCGTAAGTTGGGGTGCGTAAACAAGTTGGGTTTATTCCAAGAATGGCAGGTTATTTTAACATTAAAAAATCATTAGAAGTCTGGGTGAAGTGGCTCACGCCTGTAATCCTAGCACTTTGGGAGGCCGAGGTGGATGGATCACGAGGTCAGGAGTTTGAGACCAGTCTGACCAACATGGTGAAACCTCGTCTTTACTAAAAGTAAAAAATTAGTCAGGTGTGGTGGCACACACCTGTGATCCCAGCTACTCGGGAGGCTGAGGCAGGAGAATCACTTGAAGCCGGGAGGTGGAGGTTGCAGTGAGCCGAGATTGCGCCACTGCACTCCAGCCTGGCCGACAGAGAGAGACTCCGTCTCAAAAAAATCCCCTAAAATCATTAGAACATTAGAACATTCGAAATGCATGTCCCTTGGGATTTTAAACGTTATTACATATATAAATTATCTTGCAGAATATTAATATATTGGTCTGTTTCTTCATTTATCACATTTTAACTATCCTACCTATAAACAAACTATATTGTTTGTATGTAGTATGTTCAGTTTTTCTTGGGTTGAATTTCCAAATATTTAGTAATGCTTCCCATTAGTGTCATGGGATTAATTTTTTTCGTTATATTTTCAAGGTTTTTTTTTTTTTTTTTTTTTTGAGGCAGAATCTTGCTCTGTCGTCAGGCTGGAATGTAGTTGTGCAATATCAGCTCATTGCAACCTCTGACTCCCTGGTTCAGGCTATTCTCCTGCCTCAGCCTCCTGAATAGCTGAGATTACAGGCACGTGCCACCATACCCAGCTGATTTTTGTATTTTTTAGTAGAGACGGGGTTTGTTTTTTTTGTTTGTTTTTTTTTTTTTTTTGAGGTGAAGTTTTGCTCTTGTCTCCCAGGCTGGTGGGCAATGGTGCAATCTCGGCTCACTGCAACCTCCGCCTCCCGAGTTCAAGTGATTCTCCTGCCTCGGCCTCCCACCCCTGAGTAGCTGGGATTACAGGCGCCTGCCACCAAGCCCGGCTAATTTTTGTACTTTTAGTAGAGACAGGGTTTCACCATGTTGGTCAGGCTGGTCTAGAACTCCTAACCTCATGTGATCCACCTGCCTCGGCCTCACAGAGTGCTGGGATTACAGGCGTGAGCCACCGCGCCCGGCCGAGTTGGGGTTTCACCATATTGGCCAGGATGGTCTCGATCTCCTGACCTCGTGATCTGCCTGCCTTGGCCTCTCAAAGTGCTGAGATTAGAGGCATGAGCCACCATGCCCAGCCTCCAGGTGTTTGTTAATGGAATATGAAAACACAGTTGACTCTTAGAAGTTTATTTCTTACCTAAATATTGGAATACAAGTCTAATAAGTGTACTTATGTATTTTTTGTTTTAATTTAATAGAGACGAGGTCTCACTGTATTATCCTGGCTGGTCTCGAACTCCTGGGCTCAAGTGATCTTCCTGCCTTGGCCTCCCAAAATACTGAGCTTACAGGCATGAGCCACTATGCCTGACCAAATTTTTTTTTTTTTTTTTTTTTTTTAAAAAGAGACAGGGTCTCACTTTGTCACCCAAGCTTGAGTGCAGTGATGGGATCATAGCTGACTGCAGCCTCGAACTACTGGGCTCAAGTGATCGTCTTGTTTCTGCCTCCTCAGTAGGTAGGACTGCAGGTGCACACCACCATACCCAGCTAATTCTTAGTATATTTTGGAAAGATTGGATCTTGTTATGTTCCCCTGGCTGATCTCTTTAACTCCTGTTTTCAATTGATCCTCCTGCCTTGGCTTCCCAAAGTGCTGGGTATATAAGTGTGAGGCACCTTACCCCACCTGTAAAAGTATTTTAAGGCCGGGCGAGGTGGCTCATGCCTATAATCCCAGCACATTGAGAGGCTGAGGTGGGCAGATCACCTGAGGTTAGAAGTTCAGGACCAGCCTGGCCAACATGGTGAAAACCTGTCTCTACTAAAAATACAAAAATTATATGAGTGTGGTGGCTGGCACCTGTAATCTCAGCTATTCGGGAGTCTGTGACAGGAGAATCGCTTGAACCCGGGAGGTGGAGGTTGCAGTGAGCTGAGATCGCACCATTTCACTCCACTCCAGTCTGGGCGACAGAGTGAGACACTGTCTCAAAAAAAAAAAAAAAAGTATTTAAAAATGAATGTTTCTAAGTACAAATGAATGACATTTCTCTTGTCTCTTTTATTTTTTTGGTAGATCTAGGTCCAAAGAGAAAACTGATGGTGGGGAAAGTTCTAAAGAGAAGAAAAAAGACAAAGATGACAAGGAGGATGAAAAAGAAAAAGATGCTGGCGTATGTTTATTAACTTAAAAATAATTTTCTTTCTTTCTTTTTGTCTTTCTTTCTTTCTTTTCTTTCTTTCCCTCTTTCTTTCTTTCTTTCTCTTTCTTTCTTTCTTTTCTGTCTGTCTTTCTTTCTGTCTTTCTTTCTGTCTGTCTCTGTTGCCCAGGCTGGAGTGCAGTGGCACATTCTCGGCTCCTGAGTTCAAGCAATTCTCCTGCCTCAGCCTCCCAAGTAGTTGGGACTATAGGCATGCGCCACCATGCCCAGCTAATTTTTGTATTTTTAGTAGAGATGGGGTTTCACTGTGTTGGCCAGGCTGGTCTTGAACTCCTGACCTTGTGATCCCCCTGCCTCGGACCCCCAAAGTGCTGAGATTACAGGTGTGAGCCACCGTGCCTGGCCATCAAACTTGTTTCTATGGGCCAGGCACGGTGGCTCACGCCTGTAATCCCAGCACTTTGGGAGGCCGAGGCGGGTGGATCATGAGGTCAGGAGATCAAAGCTATCCTGGCTAACATGGTGAAACCCTGTCTCTACTAAAAATACAAAAAAAAAAAAAAGATTAGCTAGGCGTGGTGGCAGGCGCCTGTAGTCCCAGCTACTTGGGAGGCTAAGCCAGGAGAATGGTGTGAACCCGGGAGGCAGAGCTTGCAGTGAGCCGAGATTGGGCCACTGTACTCCAGCCTGGGTGACAGAGCAAGACTCTGTCTCAAAAATCAAAACAAACTTGTTTCTATGCCAACAAATTTTTTTCTTTTTAATGCTGTAAGCTTTATTTTAAAATAACCAGATGTGAAAGATAAAAAAGGAAGATTAAATAATATTTACCCCTGTGGGAAAATTTTCTAAAAGAAGTTGCACATCTATACGCAATATCTGTTTTTACATACAAAGTGCAGTCTTACCATATAAACATTATCAATTGCCTTCCAAAAAATTTGTATAAATTTCGACTTAAGGCTGGGCACAGTGGCTCGTGCCTGTAATCTCACCACTTTGGGAGGCCAAGGCAGGTGGATCATCTGAGGTCAGGAGTTCGAGACCAGCCTGACCAACATGGTAAAACCCCGTCACTACTAAAAATACAAAAATTAGCCAGGCGTGATGGCGCATGCCTGTAATCCCAGCTACTTGGGAGACTGAGGCAGGAGAATCACTTGAACCTGGGAGGCAGAGGTTGCAGTGAGCCAAAAATCACACCATTGCACTCCAGCCTGGGCAACAAGAGCGAAACTCTGTCTCAAATGTGAAGGCCAGGCATGGTGGCTCGTGCCTGTAATCTCAGCAGTTCGGGAGGCCAAGGTGGGTAGATCACGAGGTCAAGAGATTGAGATCATCTTGGCCACCATGGTGAAACCCTGTCTCTACTAAAAATACAAAAATTAGCTGGGTGTGGTTGTATGTGCCTGTAATCCCAGCTACTCGGGAGGCTGAGATAGGAGAATGGCTTGAACCCCGGACTTGGAGATTGCAGTGAGCTGAGATCCCGCCAATGCACTCCAGCCTGGTGACTGCGAGACTCTGTCTGGAAAAAAAAAATGTAGACTTAAGAATTTAGACATGAGGCCAGGTGCTGTGGCTCATGCCTGTAATCCCAGGAATTTGGGAGTTCAAGCAGTTCCCCTGCCTCAGCCTCCTGAGTAGCTGGGATTACAGGTGCATGCCACCACGCCCAGCTAATTTTTTGGTATTTTTCGTAGAAATGGGGTTTCCCCCTGTTGGCCAGACTGGTCTTGAACTCCTGACCTCAGGCAATCTGCCTGCCTCTGCCTCCCAAAGCACTGGAATTACAAGCATGAGCCACCGTATCTGGCCTATTCATTTTTTTGAGACGGAGTTCTGCTCTTGTTGCTGAGGCCGGAGTACAATGGCGTGATCTCAGCTCGCTGCAACCTCTGCCTCCTGAGTCGAAGCAATTCTCCTGCTTCAGCCTCCTGAAGGAGGAACTACAGGAATGGGGAACCATGCCCAGCTAATTTTTGTGTTTTTAGTAGAGACAGGGTTTCACCATGTTGGCCAGGGTGGTTTCCAACTCCTGACCTCAAGGGATCCTCCAGCCTCAGCTTCCCACAGTGCTGGGATTACAGGTGTAAGCCACCATGCCTGGCCATAAACTTGTATTTTTTTAATAACACAGAGTCTCCCTTTGTTGCTGAGGCTGATCTCAACCTCCTGTGCTCAAGGGATCCTCTAGCCTCAGCTTCCCAGGTAGCTGGGACCACAGACATGTACCATGTGCCTGGCCATAAAATTTCTTTATCATGTTGATGTCGTTTATTTTCTAACTTGTAATAGAAAATTGCTTTTCATAGAGGCAATTTTGGAGGCGTTTAGGGGATTAAAATTGAGAATAACTGGGAAACTTTGCTTGCTAATTACTTTAGTTTCTGTTGTTAGGAAGAAATAAAGTTTATGTGTGCATAATGCTTGTAAGTAAAATGAGATTGATTTATAGTGTTTGAAATCTATCTTTTGGCTTTCTTATTTGAAGATGCTTTTTTTGTGATTTCATTTTGGTAATATATTTGTGTGTATATTTATAAAGGTATGTGATCTAAGTCTACCCTGAGGGGTTTGTATATATGCCTTTTTTCCCCTTCTTTATACTTTGAAGAACTTACTGGAATGTCACTTGGAGCAAAATTATTAAATTTGGTTTTGCTTTTTATTTTCCCCCATCTCTTTCTTTCTTTTATTCCCCCAAGAACTTTGACCAGAATAAGCTGGAAGAAGAAATGAGAAAGCGAAAAGAAAGAGTAGAAAAATGGCGAGAAGAGCAACGTAAAAAGGCTATGGAAAACATAGGAGAACTGAAAAAGGAAATCGAAGAGATGAAACAAGGGAAAAAGTGGAGTTTAGAGGACGATGATGGTATATTTTTTAGCCTAATAGCCTGTATAACACCTCATGTAGAATATTATATGAATAATATTTCATAAGGGGTTTTTAATCTTTTTTATTGTTGAAAACTATGCATAATATGCTGTTTACCATTTTCATCATTTTCAGGTTTCAATTCAGTGATAAATACATTTGCAGTGTTGTGCAGTCGTTACCACTGTCTGTTTCCATGACTTTTTCGTCATTCCATACAGAAACTCTGCACCTTTTAAATAACTCTATGACGCCTTTTCTCGCTACTTCTTGTGACCTTTGCTCTATTTTCTGTCTCTGAATTTGTTTAGTCTAGCTACCTCACATAAGTGGAATCATAATACATATTTGTCTTTTTGTGTCTGGCTTATTTCACTTAGCATAATGTCTTCAAGGTGCATGTATGTTGTAGCATGTTGGAATTTCCTTTCTTTATATGGCTGAATAATATTTCACTGTATATATATGCCAAGTTTTGTTTGTTCATTCACCTGCCATTGGATAATTTGGTTGTTTCCACCCTTTTGTTATCGTGAGTAATGCTCCTGTGACCATTGGTGTATAAATATCTGTTTGAGTCTCTGTATTGAGTTCTGTGAACTATATACCCAGAAGTGGAATTGAGATTGTAAAAGCTCCTTTTAATATTTATGTTGTAATTTGAAATATAGAATTGTGTTTAGTAAGCATCACTGATTTTACTTTAGAATGAATCATTGAGTGTTATTGGGCATAGCCAGTAAATAGTTCTTTAATATATTATACCAATGTGAACGTTAGTAAGGAGAGTAAATTAAGGGCATGCTTTCAAGTGCCTCCTCTGATTTTTCTTTTCTTTTTCATGTTTTTGGAGATAGAGTTTCATTCTCTTGCCTAGGCTGGAGTGCAGTGGCACAGTCATAGTTCACTGCAGCCTCGACGTCCTGGGCTCAAGTGATTTTTCTGCCTCAGCTTCCAGAGTAGCCACCATGCCTGGCTAATTTTGTCTTTTTCTTTTTTCTTTTTTGACAGAGTCTTGCTCTGTCACCCAGGCGGCACTGCAGTCTCCGCCTCCCAGGTTCAAGCTATTCTCTTGCGCCTCAGCTTTTCAAGTAGTCAGGATTACAGGCACCTGCCACCATGCCTGGATAATTTTTGTATTTTTAGTACAAAAATATGTTGGCCAGGCCGGTCTTGAACTCCTGACCTCAGGTGATCCTCCCACTTTGGCCTCCCATAGTGCTGGGATTACAGGCGTGAGCCACCATGCCCAGCTAATTTTGTCATTTTTTGAAGAGCCAGGGTCTCGATATGTTACCCAGCTAGTCTTGAGCTCCTGGGGTCAAGAGAGCCTGCTGCTTTGACCTTTCTCAGTGTTGGGATTACAGGCAGGAGCCACTGTGCCTGGCTGCTGATATTTCATAATTTAGGATGGAAACATTTCCCTTCACATCTGATTTTGACTTTCGAGATTTTAGTAAAGTAGGAGATTGTAGAATTTTATAGGAAAATGGGATTTTGGTCCATTGTCTGTGAAAGTTCCAAAGAATGGTTTAAATAGATTCTATCTATAAGTAGTCATGATGTCTTTTTTTTTTCGCTCTGTTGCCTACGCTTGAGTGCAGTGCCGTGATCTCGGCTCACTGCAACCTCCACCTCCCAGGTTCAAGAAATTCTCTGCCTCAGCCTCCTGAGTAGCTGGGATTACAGGTGTACACCACCACGCCCAGCTAATTTTTTTGTATTTTTAGTAGAGACGAGGTTTCACCACACTGGCCAGGTTGGTGTCAAACTCCTAACCTTGTGATCCGCCCGCCTTGGCCTATTTTTAGTAGAGATGGGGTTTCACTATGTTGGCCAGGCTAGTCTCAAACGCCTGACCTCGTGATCCACCTGCCTCGGCCTCCCAAAGCAGTGGGATTACAAGTGTGAGCCATTACGCCCAGCCAAGTAGTCGTGATGTCTTAATTCTAGACAATCTAATCTTTTTTACATAACTGAGATATGCTATCTTCTGTGATTGAAAGGTAATTGAAAGAAAAATACAGTTGACCCTTGAACAACTTGGTAGCTAAGCACACCAACCCCCACACAGTGAAATATCCATATGTAACTTTTTACTCCCCAGAAACTAAGCATTACCTGCTTACTGTTCACCAATAACATGAACAGTTGAATAACACATACTTTGTATGCTTTATGTATTGAATACTGTATTATTTTAATATGGTAAGCGGGAGAAAAGAATGTTATTAAGAGAATTAGAGGCTGGGCGCGCTGGTGCATGCCTGTAATCCCAGCGCTTTGGGAGGCTGAGGCAGGTGGTTCACAAGGTCAAGAGATCAAGATCATCCTGGCCAACATGGTGAAACTCCGTCTCTACTAAAAATACAAAAATTAGCTTGGTGTGGTGGCGCACACCTGTAGTCCCAGCTACTCGGGAGGCTGAGGCAGAAGAATCACTTGAACCTGGGAGGTGAAGGTTGCCGTCAGTGAGCCGAGATGGTGCCACTGCACTCCAGCCTGGCAACAGAGTGAGACTGTCTAGAAAAAAAAAAAAAGAATTACGAGAAAGCAAAAATATACTTACTGTCCATTAAGTTGAAGTAGATCATCTTAAAGGTCTTCATCCTTGTTGTCTTCACATTGAGTAGGCTGAGAAGGAAGAAGAGGAGGAGGAGTTGGTCTTGTCTCTGGGGTGGCAAAGGTGGAAGAAAATTTGCTTCCATGTGGACCCATGCAGTTCAAACCTATGTTGTTCAGGGATCAACTGTAATTGAAAATGTCATTTAGCTGGGTGCAGTGGCTCACGCCTGTAATCCCAACACTTTGGGAGGCTGAGGTGGGTGGATCACAAGGTCAGGAGTTCGAGACCAGCCTGACAAACATGGTGAAACCCCGTCTCTACTAAATACAAAAATTAGCTGAGTATGGTGGCGCACGCCTGTAATCCCAGCTACTCAGGAGGCTGAGGCAGGAGAATCGCTTGAACCCAGGATATCAGAGGTTGCAGTAAGCTGAGATCGCGACACTGCACTCCAGCCTGGGCAACAGAGCGAGACTCTGTCTCAAAAAAAAAAAAAAAAAGGCCAGGCGTGGTGGCTCACGCCTGTAATCCCAGCACTTTGGGAGGCCGAGGCGGGCGGATCACGAGGTTAGGAGTTAGAGACCATCCTGGCTCACATGGTGAAACCCCCTCTTTACTAAAAATAAAAAAAATTAGTGGCATGGTGGCGGGCACCTGTAGTCCCGGTTACTCGTCAGGCTGAGGCAAGAGAATGGTGTGAACCCAGGAACCTGGGAGGCGGAGCTTGCAGTGAGCTGAGATTGTGCCACTGTACTCCAGCCTGGGTGACAGAGCGAGACTCCGTCTCAAAAAAAACATCATTTAGCAGAGAAAGTTTGTAGTTCTGCATCCAGCTGTATAGCTGTAAAATCTATTATTGGAGATCACCTTTTTTGGCATAATTAATCTTTTGACCCTTTTACAACCAATTTATGTTTTATTCATATTTATTTTGTCATTGTTAATATTCAGAAGTAATACATGCTTCATGTAAAAATGGAAAAACCTCAGAATATGAGCATTTGAACTGATGGATGGCTGGAGTAATTGGAAAAGGGGTGTTTGGGCAGTGGCAGAAAAGGTTAGAGAGGTGGGGTGTGGTCTGATTGTGAAATACTGCATTTTTAAACAGATGTTTAAAGAATGTGTATTCTGGTATTTTAGATGACGAAGATGATCCTGCAGAAGCTGAAAAGGAGGGAAATGAAATGGAGGGTGAGGAGTTAGATCCATTAGATGCTTACATGGAAGAAGTGAAAGAGGAAGTAAAAAAATTTAACATGAGAAGTGTAAAAGGTGGTGGGGGAAATGAAAAGGTATGGAATTTCTTATTTTTAAAGATTTCCGTTTCCTCTTGGGTAACTTGAGTTCTCCATTGCATTGTCCTACTGATTGGCATGACTTTGTAAAGCTAACAGTTTTCTTTCTCCTCATCTGAGAGATGGCAGTACTTTTTCTGAGTACCAGAGATACTGGTAAATTTTAGCTATAAGTGTTCTTTCAAAAGTCACTCTTTTAACACCATCAACTTAGTTTGATATCTTTGCTTACATATTAACCTTTTTAATAAGTTCTCTGGAGACTTCTCTAGCACTCCTGTCTTTGATACTCTTTTTTTTTTTTTTTTTTGATACAGAGTCTCTCTTTTGCCTAGGCTGGAGTGCAATGGTGTGATCTTGGCTTACTGCATCCTCCACCTCCCAGGCCTATGCAGTCTACCTACCTCAGCCTCCCAAGTAGCTGGAACTACATGTGTGCACCACCATGCCTGGCTAATTTTTGTATTTTGGTAGAGATGAGGTTTTACCATGTTGCTCACGCTGGTCTCGAATTCCTGGCCTCAAGTGAACCACCTGCCTCGGCCTCCCAAAATACTTGGATTACAGGCATGAGCCACCATGCCCAGCTGTGTCTTTGATACCCTTGATGCCCCTCACTTTATTCTATTTTTCCTCTTTTTCATAGCATTTATTACATTTTGACAAATTATATAATTTTTTTGTGTTTACAGTATGTCCCTTCTCCCTTCTAAAATGTAAGCACTCTAAGGGCAGTGACTTTTACCTGTGTTATTTGTTGATTTATTCAGGCTCCCGCTACAAGCCCCTGGCTTGCCTAGTGATTGGAAAATACCATTTAGTAGTATTTTGTTTCATTTTATTTATTTATTTATTTTTTTTCTGAGACAGAGTCTCGCTCTATTGCCCAAGCGGGAGTGCAGTGGCGCAATCTTGGCTCACTGCAACTGCTGCCTCCCAAGTTCAAGCGATTCTCCTGCCTCAGCCTCCCAAGTAGCTGGGATTACAGGCGCCTGCCACTATGCCCGGCTAAGTTTTGTATTTTTAGTAGAGACCGGGTTTCACCATGTTGGTCAGGCTGGTCTCGAACTCCCGACCTCAGGTGATCCTCCCGCCTTGGCCTCCCAAAGTACTGGGATTACAGGCGTGAACCACCGTGCCCAGCCTCATTTTATTTTATTTTATATTAATTTAATTTATTTTTTTGAGATGGAGTGTCGCCTTTGTTGCCTAGGCTAGAATGCAGTGGTGTAATCTCGGCTCACTGCAACTTCCACCTCCTGGCTTCAAGTGATTCTTCTGCCTCAGCTTCCTGAGTAGCTGGGATTACAGGCCCTTGCCACCACGCCCAGCTAATTTTTGTATTTTTAGTGGAGATGGGGTTTCACCATGTTGGCCAGGCTGGTCTCGAACTCCTGACCTCAGGTGATCCACCTGCCTTGGCCTCCCAACGTGCTGGGATTATAGGCATTAGCCACTGCACCTGTCCTATTTTATTTTTTTTGAGATGGAGTCTTGCTCTGTTGCCTAGGCTGGAGTTCAGTGGCACTATCTCTGCTCACTGCACCCTGTGCCTCCCAGGCTCAAGTGATTCTCCTACCTCAGCCTCCCGAGTAGCTGGGATTACAGGCGCCCACCACCATGCCTGGCTAATTTTTGTATTTTTAGTAGAGACAGGGTTTCACCATGTTGGCCATGCTGGCCTTGAACTCCTGACCTCAAATGATCTGTCTGCCTTGGCCTCCCAAAGTGCTGGGATTACAAGCGTGAGCCACCACACTCGGCCTTATTTTATTTTTTATTTAAGAAAATGTTTTTTAGAGACAGGGTCTCGCTGTGTTACCCAGGCTGGAGTGCAGTGGCATGATCATACCTCATACGCCTGGGCTGAAGCAATCGTTCTGCTTCAACCTTCTTAGTAGTTAGGACTACAGGCATGTACCACCACATCTGGCTAATTGTTTATAGAGATGGAATCTCACGTGTTACCCAGGCTGGTCTCGAACTCCTGGACTCAAGTGATCTTCCTGTCTTGGCCTCCCAAAGTGCTGGGATTACACACATGAACCACTGTACCTAGCCTAGTAGTAGTTTAAAAATACATAATCATGCCGGACGTGGTGGCTCATGCCTGTAATCCCAACATTTTGGGAGGCCGAGGCAGACGGATCACCTGAGGTCAGGAGTTAGAGATCAGCCTGGCCAACATGGCAAAATGCCATCTCTACTAAAAATACAAGAATTAGCTGGGTGTGATGGCGGACGCCTCTAATCCAAGCTACTTGGGAGGCTGAGGCAGGGGAATAGCTTGAACTGGGAGCAATTAGCCTAGATCACACCACTGTACTCTAGCCTGGGTGACAGAATAAGACTCAGTCTGAAAAAAATATATGTGTGTGTGTGTGTGTGTGTGTGTGTGTGTGTGTGTGTGTATATGTATATATGTGCATGTATATGTGTATATGTATATGTGTGTATGTATATATGTATGTGTATGTGTATATGTGTGTATATGTGTGTGCGTATATGTGTATATATTATATATTTTTATATATATTATTGTTATATATAATTGGCTGGGTGTGCTGACTCACGCCTGTCATCTCAGCACTTTTGCAGGGGCTGAGGTGGGTGGATTACCTGAGGTAAGGAGTTCGAGACCAGCCTGCCAACATGATGAAACCCTGTTTCTACTAAAGATGCAAAAATTAGCCGGACTAGTGGCGGGTGCCTGTAATCCCAGCTCCTGGGGAGGCTGAGGCAGGAGAATTGCTTGAATCCAGGAGGCAGAGGTTACAGTGAGCTGAAATCATGCCATTGCACTCCAGCCTGGGTGACAAGAGCAAAACTTTATCTCAATAAATAAATAAATAAATAAATAAATAAATAAATAAAGTATGTATAATTATATAAAATTATTTATAATACAGTAAATTATGAATGGATGTATTATAAAATATAATTATATTATGCTTAAAAATTTATACAAATTAATGAGAAAAACAGGCTATTGTTTGTCTTTTCATTTAATAACTCAGTTGGCTCAGTGCCCTGGCTCACACCTGCAATCCCAGAACTTTGGTAGGCTGAGGCTGGTGGATCACTGGAGCCAAGTAGTTCAAGACCAGCCTGGGCAACATAGCATGACTCTTTCTACTAAAAAACAAAAAAAATTAACTGGGTTTGGTGACATGTGCTTGTAGTCCTAGCAACTCAGGAGGACTGATGGGACGAATCCTTGAGCCCAGAAATTTGAGGTTACAGTGAGCTATGATCACACCACTCAAGCCTGGGTGACTGAGACCATGTCACTAAAAAAAGAAAAAAAACTAAAGATGAAATTGTGTCAGTTACTGTGTGCTTCAGCAGTCATATAACTTGTGTTTCAGCTTTGCAAAATATTCTATATTTGTTCTTTATTTTAGAAGTCTGGGCCAACGGTCACAAAAGTTGTCACTGTTGTGACAACCAAAAAAGCAGTTGTGGATTCTGATAAGAAGAAAGGTGAGCTGATGGAGAATGACCAGGATGCCATGGAGGTGATTTTTCTTAATTTTGACTTTGTTTATGATACTATCCTGGAAGCATTTATTAGAAAGCATTCATGGAGATGTGCGTTTCATTTGTGTGAGCTAGGAGAAATTCCCAGAATTGAGAGACATTCTTGCTATTCTTAGTAGTATAATAGTATCTAGTTAAATATCTGTTTAGTGGAACATTCTGATGTCTTCATTCCTAACTGTATGATCTTTCTGCCCCTCATCAGCTCACTTCAGGCATACAATATGGAGAGAAAAAAATGGAGTAACAGAATGAATTAATTTTCTTTCCATTAACACGTAAAGATTTATATAGTAAAAACAGTAGCAAAGCCTTATTAGAGCTGTCTCTGATGATTACTGTTTTAGCTTTATATTGGCATTTTAACCTTCTAAAGGCAAAGAAAAAAAAACTAAGTTGAAAAATTCTTCAGGAGCTGCTTGATACGTTTCTAATTCAAGGTGTCATACGTCATTTGAGGTGATTTTAAAATTATGAGGTTTAAGTGTGCTGGAGCACTATAAAAATCTTGTGGGTCAAACAGTGTGTCGTAGAAAGTAAAATATTAGAGTAGTTTCTAGGAGAGGAAGATTTGAAAAGCTAGGAGTATTGCTTCCCACAAGGGGAAAATAGTAATGAACTTAGCGCTTTAATTTTTTCTTTTAAACTATAGTATTCTTCAGAGGAGGAAGAAGTTGATCTTCAGACAGCCCTTACAGGGTATCAAACAAAACAGCGAAAGCTTCTAGAACCAGTTGATCATGGAAAAATTGAGTATGAGCCATTTAGGAAAAACTTCTATGTTGAAGTTCCAGAACTAGCAAAAATGTCTCAAGAAGGTAAAATTCCATTTTTTCATTTACTGGTTATAAGGGAACAGAAGAGGATACATTTCACATTGCTCAAGAGAAATGTGGATAGTGTCTCATGAAGGAGGGTGTTTTGGAAATATTTTTAAAATGATCAAAAATTAATTGGCCAGCTGCGGTGGCTCACGCCTGTAATCTAAGCACTTTGGGAGGCTGAGGTGGGCGGATTGTCTGAGCTCAGAAGTTCGAGACCAGCCTGGGCAATACAGTGAAACCCCGTCTCTACTAAAATACAAAAAACTAGGCTGGGCACAGTGGCTCACACCTGTAATCCTAGCACTTTGGGAGGCCAAGGCGGGCAGATCACAAGGTCAAGAGTTTGAGACCATCCTGGCCAATATGGTGAAACCCCATCTCTACTAAAAAAATACAAAAATAAAAAAAATTGTTGGTTTTGTTTTGTTTTTTTTTTGAGACAGGGTCTCACTCCATTGCCCAGGCTAGAGGCTGGAGTGCAGTGGTGCAGTCATTGCTCACTGTAGCCTTGATTTCCTACCACACCCCCCGTTCCCACCCCAGGCTCAGGTGATCTTCCTATGTCAGCCTCCCGAGTAGCTGGGACTACAGACATGTGCCACCACACCCAGCTAATTTTTGTACTTTTTGTTGAGACAGGGTTTCACCATGTTGCCCAGGTTGGTCTTCAACTCCTGGGTTCAAGTGATCTGCCTGCGTCTGTCTCCCAAAGTGCTAGTTGCTAGGATTACAGGTGTGAGCCGCTGGGTCTGGCATAAGAGTTAAAGTTTGTTAATCTTATGCCTAATTGAAAAGTAGAAGACACCAATAGAACAATATTTAAGAACTTTTAATCTGGGTTTTGTTTTGTAGAGGTAAATGTGTTTCGATTGGAAATGGAGGGCATTACAGTTAAAGGAAAAGGTTGCCCCAAACCAATTAAATCCTGGGTCCAGTGTGGAATTTCCATGAAGATCTTAAATTCCCTCAAGAAGTAAGTGGTTGGTGGTTGTTTATGTTTTCCGTGTCTTGCTGCTCAAAATAGTCCTTCCACACCAGTGTCTCCCTGAGTTACATTTTTACTCTAAAAAAACCCTTACGTTTTAAAAAACTTTCATTGAGATAATTTATATATCAAAATTTACCCTTTAAATTATACAACTGGTTTTTTTTTGTTTTGTTTTGTTTTGTTTTTTGAGACAGAGTCTTGCTCTGTTGCCCAGGGTGGAGTGCAGTGGTGCAATCTCACTGCGCTCACTGTGACCTCGGCCTCCCGGGCTCAAGCAGTTCTCCTGCCTCAGCCTTCCGAGTAGCTGAAACTATAGGTGTGTGCCACCATAGCTGGTTATTTTTATTTTTAGTAGAGACAGGGTTTCACCATGTTGGTCAGGCTGGCGTTGAACTCCTGACCTCAGGTGATCCGCCCGCCTCAGCCTCCCAAAGTGCTGGGATGACAGGCGTGAGCCTCCATGCCCGGCCTTTTTTTTTTTTTTTTGAGACGGAGTTTCACTCTCGTTGCCCAGGCTGGAGTGCTGTGGCTCGATCTTGGCTCACTGCAACCTCCGCCTCTTGGGTTCAAGTGATACTTTTGCCTCAGCCTCCCAAGTAGGTGGGATTACAGGCATGTGCCACCATGCCTGGCTAATTTTGTATTTTTAGTAGAGACAGGGTTTCTCCATGTTGGTGAGGGTGGTCTCGAACTCTCTACCTCAGATGATCCACCCGCTGCGGCCTCTGAAAGTACTGGGATTACAGGCGTGAGCCACCAAGGCCGGCCTTTTTTTTTTTTTTTTTTAAGAGATGGGGTGTCGCTATGTTGACCAGGCTGGTCTCCAACTCCTGGCCCCAAATGATTCTCCCATCTCAGCCTCCCAGAATGCTGGGATTTCAGTCATGAACCACTGCGCCCTGCCTAATTTTTAAATTTTTCATTATCCCAAAAAGAAACTTTTGTCCATTAGTAGTCAGTCTTCTCCCCTCTCCCCACCCCTGGGCAACCATTAATCTATTTTTTGTCTCTAGAATAGATTTGGCTATTCCTAACATTTCATGTAAATGGGATCAAACAATATATAGTCTTTACTGCCTGATCTTTTTCACTTTACATAATGTTGTAAAGATTAGTCCATATTGTAGAATGTGTTAGTACTTCATTCCTTTTTATTGCCAAATAGTATTTTATTGTATGATATATACCACCTTTTGGAAGTTCATTTTTATGGGAACACATAGGACCTGTCTGGGGCCCAGCAATCTCAATTCTTACCTTTTCTTCCTTTGGTTTTCTTTTTAAGGCATGGCTATGAAAAGCCCACGCCCATCCAAACCCAAGCTATTCCTGCTATAATGTCTGGACGAGATTTGATTGGCATTGCCAAAACAGGAAGTGGAAAGACCATTGCTTTTCTGTTGCCCATGTTTAGACACATCATGGATCAGAGGTCATTAGAGGAAGGAGAGGGGCCAATAGGTACAATTCTTTTCATTAAACTATTTTTCAAATAACAGCTTTGTTGTCAAACAGAAAGACCTTATAGTTTATAATGTTCTTAATTATGACAATGAAGTTGTCTTTATGTACATTTTCTTTATCAATTTGGCACTTTGGGGCTGATTTCCCCTTACCAGCAGGTGGAGTGAGAATCTTCAGAGCTCTGGAGTGACATCTCAGAAGTACAAAAACAGCCTCTCCTGGCACAGCTCAGTTTTTAAACTCTGACTTGGCAGGTAGACTCCTCGTGCATCTATCTGTTTATTTATATTGAGGTTTGTTAGCCCAGTATCAGTGGATATATAAAAGCGACATGGAAGATATCCTAGGGAAACATATTTTCCTAGGTAGTTTTTGGCCTTAACAGGCTATAATGCCAGCATTTCATTCAAGATTACTTGTTTAGATTCTGGTTTCTTGATTCATCTTGGCAGAGATAACTCTTGGAAAGTTGAGTAGGGTTTTGGAAAGTTGTTCAGCTTCTCTCTTAGGAACACGGGGCATAGTATATCTCTCCTCTGTCTGTGCCCCTCAGACCAAGGTTGTTTCTGGAAGCAGCAGTATGGCTTCTGTGGCACAGTGAGTCACTTGATTTTCTTTGTTCTGTGATTTGCATTAGAAAACTGTTTGCATTCTTTTGAACCAAGTATTTTCCTGAGGGTTGGATGAGGCATTTAACTGTCATTTATCTTCTTTTAGCATGTTTTTAAAAATCTGCTTATATTTATCCTTCCCCACAACCTCTGCTGTTATACAACTTTTGAAATAGTTTTCAGGGATGCATAACAAAACAAAAATTAGGTGAAACAATCTGAACTTTATTGTAAAGGTTAAATTGAACACTATAAAGCACAGCCTTAAGAATTTTGGTGGTTAGGCTACTGATGTATTTATCTTTCCAGCTGTCATCATGACTCCAACTCGAGAACTGGCTTTACAGATTACTAAAGAGTGTAAGAAGTTTTCCAAGACTTTGGGACTTAGAGTGGTCTGTGTTTACGGAGGAACAGGAATCAGTGAGCAGGTAGTTATATAAGAAACATTCATGTTTTCCATTCTTTTCTCAAGTTGGATGATTCAATAAAGTAAAAGTGACTTTTACTTTTAGTTTTTTGAATAGTGATTGCTTCTAAAATCATTTAAAAAATGAAGTATAAAAATAATAGTAAGAATTAGTTATTTTATGTAGGATGAATACCTTTGGAGATGTAATGTACAGCATGGTGACTAGTTAATGTTATATTGTGTGCTGAAAATTCGCTAAGCCAGTAGATCTCACATCATGTTTTTTTTTTTTCTTTTTTGAGATGGAGTCTCGCTCTGTCACACAGGCTGGAGTACAGTGGCGCGATCTCGGCTCACTGCAACCTCTGCCTCCCTGGTTCAAGCGATTCTCCTACCTCAGCCTCCCAAGTTGCTGGGACTACAGGTGCCTGCCACCACGCCTGGCTAATTTTTGTATTTTTAGTAGAGACGGGGTTTCACCATATTGGCCAGATTGGTCTTGAACACCTGACCTCAGGTGATCCTCCTGCCTCGGCCTCCCAAAGTGTTGGGATTACAGGTGTGAGCCACCGTGCCTGACCAATCTTACATGTTCTTACCACAAAAGAAAATATTGGTAACTATATGAGGTGATATGTTAGCTTGATTGTGTTCATCATTTCAGAGTGTATATGTATATCAAACATGTTGTACACCTTAAATATATATAATTTTTGTTAATTATGACCCAATATAGTTGTGGCAAAAAAGAACATACTATGTTAATGCTAGATTAGAATTTTTGAATCTTTTTACATAGATTATCCCTCCTCCCTCTTCCCCTGCCTGAGAAAGCAGATTTTTTTTTTCATTTTACATATGAGGAAATATTCAGAAAGATTTATTAAGTTGACCAATTAGGTTAATACGTTCTAGAGTTTGTCCTGGAACCTAGGTCTCTGATCTCTGAGCATTTGTTTCTCTAATCTATGCTGACATCTTTAAAAAGTGATGGTGGCCAGGCACGGTGGCTCATGCCTGTAATCCCAGCGCTTTGAGAGGCCGAAGCGGGTGGATCATGAGGTCAGGAGCTCAAGACCAGCCTAGCCAACATGGCGAGACTCCCCGTCTCTACTGAAAACACAGAAATTAGCCTGGCTTGGTGGCGCCTGCCTGTAATATCAGCTACTCGGTAGGCTGAGGCAGGAGAATCACTTGAACCTGGGAGGCGGAGGTTGCAGTAAGCTGAGATCACGCCACTGCACTCCAGCCTGGGAGACAGAGCAAGACTCCATCTTGGGGGGTGGCGGAAGTGATGGTGATTACTGGGATGCATTAATATCAGAGGTGTTTTGTTGTTGTTGTTGTTGTTGTTTTTTGGTTTTGTTTTATTGGAGACAGCATCTTACTCTGTTGCCCGGGCTGGAGTGCAGTGGTGTGACCTTGGCTCACTGCATCCTTGACCTCCTGGGCTTAAGCCGTCCTCCCTCTTGAGCCTCCTGAGTATCTGGGACCACAGACGCATGCTACCACACCCGGCTAGTTTTTGTATTTTTTTGTAGAGACGAGGTTTTGCCATGTTGCCCAGGCTGGTCTTGAATTCCTGGGCTCAAGCAATCTGCTTGCCTTGGCTTCCCTTTGTAACACCTCCGAAAGGTATAGACGTGAGCCACTGTGACCAGCCCTTCAGCTGTCTTCTAAAGAATGAAATAGTTTTCAGATATTTTGCTTAACTAGAAGAAGGCAAAAAAGTAGGTTCTGTGATTGGATAAGTTTTGGAAATGTTGGAGTATAAAAAGTTAAAACCACTTTCTTTCCTGTAAGACTTCTTTGTTCTTAATAAGCTAATGTATATTGTGTTGCTAGATAAATGGGATAAATTAAGTGACGTTTTCTGAACTTAACTACAAAACTGTTTCTTAGGACTATTGTTACAAGAACACACTTCAAGAATATTTGCTTTTGTTAACTCCAGTGCTATTTTAATTACTTCAAATTACTTCATTTTCTAAGTTTATCTTTATGATTTTTCATGACTGTAGTTTGTAGAAATACACTTACAAAATAACATGGTACATGCCTGCACGTTGTATTTATATAAATGCCAAACAAAAGTTTTATGATGTTAAGGGACTTCTGGTATTTTCCATTCCATTTCATTTAAAAAATGCTGGTTGTGGTTGAACACTATGGCTCATACCTGTAATCATCACAGCATTTTGGGAGGCTGAAATGGAAGAATCACTTGAGTCCAGGAGTTTGTGACCAGCCTGGGCAATGTAGTGAGACCCCATCTCTTAAAACAGTAAATAAATTAGCGAGTGCCTGTAGTCCTAGATACTGGGAGGGTGTGTGGGGTGGTGGGGGGAGGGGCTGAGATGGGAGGGTCACTTGAGCCCAGGATCTAGGCTGCAATGACCTATGATGACACTGCTGCACTGGGCAACAGAGCCTGGGCAACAGAGTGAGACCCTGTCTCAAAAAAAAAAAAAAAAAAAGCTGATTATGACTGTTAAAGTGATTTCATGATTCACTAATGTGGCAACCCTCAATTTGAAAAACACTAGTCTATGTGGTCACTTAGAAATTTCTTTTTCTGAGGCAGGGTCTTGCTCTTGCTCAGGCTGGAGTGCAAGGATGTGATCATAGCTCACTCCAACCTTGAACTCCTGGGCTCAAGAGATTATCACTTTTTTTTTTTAAACTGCTTTCTTAAGTTCATTTCTTGGTTTTGAGGGATAGTGGCAAATCAAATTTGCAGAATTCTCTAGTTCTTATTTGTTTCAAATTTATGGCACTATGTGGTCACGTTGTTGCTATTTCTTTAGTAGTGCCCCGAGATTCAAAATAATTAAGCAGGAAGCTTGGAAGTCTTCTAATTAGACTAGGCAAGAACTAAATGCAGTATTTTTTAGTGTTTAAGTAAGCATTAGTAATAGACTATAAAGTTTCATCTTTTTTATTAGATTGCTGAGCTGAAAAGAGGTGCTGAAATTATTGTTTGCACACCTGGTCGAATGATTGACATGTTAGCCGCTAACAGTGGTAAGTCAGGGGTATTTTTTTGGTGTCTTTTATTTTTGAATTCTTTACTTTTTTTTGTTAAAACAGATGCAAGAAACCAACAAAGGGTTTCTATATTTCTTCTTAAAGCTGCAGTATCTTAAAATTTGTAGCCTGTAGTCCCAGCTACTTGGGAGGCTGAGGCAGGAGAATAGCTTGAACCCGGGAGGCGGAGCTTGCAGTGAGCCAAGATCGCACCACTGTACTCCAGCCTGGGTGACAGAGTAAGACTCCGTCTCAAAAAAAAAAAATAATAATTGTAACAAGTTGATTATTACAAGCATTAATGATATTTTTGCAATTTAAAATTTTTTTTCAGAAGTAACTCCATCTGATCATAACTTGGATTCTTAATCCAGTTTTGGCCTGGCTTTGCTTAGTAAAAGAGTGGGGTAGTAGCTTTTTCTTTATTACAAAATTTAGACTTTTTCTCCACATGAGCTAGTATTTTCTTAGATACTACATAAATTAAGATATTGCAGCTTCAAGAAATTTTATCTTTTGTAAATATTGCATGTTTGTAGCTCAAATGTTATGCTTTGTTAAATTATTCCCTATCAAAACTCTTACTAAACTGTTGACATTATTTAACTTCTGTGGAGAAAGGCCCTTCAAGATTTATAGAACTGGGCTTCCGAGACTTAAACCATCAAAGGTAGGTAATTTAATGCTGTTCCCGACCTTGCAAAACTAATTGGGGCTACAAATGCTAGTGTGGAATACTTAAATATTAGATAGCACTTATTTTGGCACTTTTTATTTTTTGAAGAAAATGCTCTCAGAGGTTTCCATTGCAATATTTAGTGTGTACATAATAGAGTATTAAAAACTGAGTTAGTGCATGTTTCTAGTAGTATTCTGCTTGAATTTCTAATTCTAATTGTACATGAAGTTGGCAAAGTGACATCGAAATTGAGAAGTCATTGTGCTTGTCTAGCATATGGAAAGTTTTGGTTTGAATGCTGATTAAATAATCCCTTTTTTTTTTTCTCAATGCTGCATTGATTAAGTCTCCTCCTGAAATTCATCTTGATTAATTTTACCTTTTTCTCTTATCTGTCATTGTGGTCTATTTTTAAATAACTATTTTATACGTGTTTTTGCCAGGTGATTGATTCAACAGTTGATAGCAATGCTTCTGTTAATATTTTAGAAGGAATTTCCTATGTATGTATTTTGTTTTCACTGGTTAGGAAGCCAGTTGCATTTATTTAAGTCAGTGGGTTCACTTAATAAAATTGGGATTTATATCTTTGTATGGAAAATGTATTTATGTAATGTGTTTTGGTATTTAAAGTTTTTGTGTGATACTTTAATTTCCTAATGCTGTCAAATAGCTTCTCATTAAGGGTTTGACATGCCCATTTAAGAAGCTTCTAAATATATGGAAGTAGGTTATAAAATAATATAGAGAGACATTTTCTGTGTCTAAAATAGTTAGCACTAGAACTTGCTTTCCACACATACGCTGTAATCTCTAATATGTTTTTTTCTAGGTGATGCTGTCAGATAATGGCTGATGTGGCTCGATGCTTCATCTCAGTCTTAGTTTTATGATGTGTTTTGGAGAGGGCTGTTTTCTGAATTTTACAGGTTCTTCAGGCCCTATGATGGTATGCAAGAGACGAGTTTGACAAAATAAAGGGCCTCATATACCCATTGTCAGAAAGTATTTGCCACTAGATTAAGACATTGTAGATCAAAATTTCTTTTCACTTTTTAAAGATACCTAACTTACCCCTCTGGTTAAGTCAGGCATTTTAGTTTCCTTTACAGTTTTTAAAAGTTCTTGGTAGCCATAAAATGAATTGTGACTGATTTTTAGTTTTCTTTTTGTCTTTATTTTTCTTTTCATCTTAGGTCGGGTCACAAATCTTCGAAGAGTGACATATGTTGTTTTAGATGAAGCAGACAGAATGTTTGACATGGGTTTTGAACCCCAGGTAATCATTAAATTTCTTAAGTGTTTTGAAATGTAAATATAACTTTGTAGTTGCCATGAGAATGAAATGTTCATGTGGTTTCTGAAATTCACACACACACTTTTCTGTTGCACGGTAATACAGAAGACTGGGGACATACAGTATTGAAGTACATATTTATGTTTCAGATTCCTCACAAAACTTCTTCAGGAGGTATTTATACCGGCATTTCTTAGCCATCTAAGACCAACACCAACAAAGCTAGAATTGGAGTGCTAATAATAGAGCTTAAGCCTTATTTTTTTTTTTCAGATGGAGTCTTGCTCTGTCGCCCAGACTGCAGTGCAGTGGAGAACGATCACTACTCACTGCAACCTCTGCCTCCTGGGTTCAAGCGATTCTCCTGCCTCAGCCTCCCGAGTACCTGGGACTACAGGTGCCCGCCACCACGCCCGGTTAACTTTTTAATAGAGATGGAGTTTCACCACGTTGGCCAGGCTGGTCTCGAACTCCTGACCTCAGGTGATCCACCCGCCTTGGCCTCCCAAAGTGTTGGGATTACAGGCGTGAGCCACTGTGCCCGGCCCATTGTCTTTTTAAATAAATTCTTTTAATTCATGCTTTTAGATACCTCATTATCTAGTCTAGATAGCACGTCATTTACGTTTACCAAAGTCATTCACGTTTGCTAAGATAATGGCCCAAAGAATTTATCTAGCTTAGGTTTTTATGTTCCTTATATATGCTCTTTGCTCAGGTACAAAATTTCAGTGATACACATTTATAGGAACACATTTTAAAGGTGGTAGATGAGGTCAGGAGATCGAGACCATCCTGGCTTTCACGGTGAAACCTCATATCTACTAAAAATACAAAAAAATTAGCCGGGCTTGGTGGCAGGCGCCTGTAGTCCCAGCTACTCAGGAGGCTGAGGCAGGAGAATGGCGTGAACCCGGGCGGCGGAGCTTGCAGTGAGCTGAGATCACGCTGTTGCACTCCAGCCTGGGAGACAGAGCGAGACTCCGTCTCAAAAAAAAAAAAAAGTGGTAGAAGGTTTTCTTAAGAAGATCATTGTGAATTGTCAGTAGGCTGTAGTTGCCAAAAAATGAATAAAAAAGGATTATAAGAGACCATAGTAATGGAAATGTGCATGGAAAAGGGATAAGGCAAATGTCATATTTAGCCTTTTCAGTTTATCCATGTACTCTCCAAAAATTTATTGCCAGTTATATGTTAGTGCATGTATTGTATTTAGATTTAGGGACTGCATTCTAAATGAGATGTAAATAGAGGAACACAGAGGAAGCAGGATTATGGTAATGCTTGAACCATATGCGAAACAGTTAAAATGATATTTAGCTTTGGGCAGGGAATGGTGGCTCATGCCTTTAATCCCAGCAATTTGGGAGGCCGAGGCAGGCAGATCACTTGAAGTCAGGAGATCAGCCTAGCCTGGCCAACATCGTGAAACCCCGTTTCTACTAAAAATACAAAAATTAGCTGGACATGGTGACGGGCGCCTGTAATCCCAGCTACTTGGGAGGCTGAGTCAGGAGGATCACTTGAACCTGGGAGGCACAGGGTGTAGGGAGCCGAGATCGCATTACTGTACTTAAGCCTGGGTGATAGAACGAGACTTAGTCTCAAAAAATAATAATATAATAATAATAATAGTAATAATAATCAGCTTTGAGTAGAAGATAAGATAGCATCCTTTAACTCTGAACAAGTGTCACATGAAAGCAGCATTGAATTTATTTTTTTCATCCCAAGGAGTACAAATGGGATCCAGTGGGGAAGTCATATGGAGCTTGATCTGAGTTTAGTTTGAGGAAGGACTGAATAAACATTATTTGGAGAGGAAACATTGCTTCGTGAGGGAGCGGGGGCGGATATACTGAATATCTGTTTCTTCCAGGTGTTCAAGCAGAGTCAAGGGGTCTGTTTGTTGTGGTAAGAGAGTAAAGAGAATTGAAGTGTCAGATGGAACACAGTCACATGCCCTTTAATGTCTTTCCCAATCATGTGAAATCTTAGATTTTATTATAATGCTTTAAGTAGATAGAGTGATTGATAGGGACCTTCTGGTAAACCAAGTTCTTATAGAGTGAGTTCAACACAACATTTTCCATTGAAAGGCAAAGTGTGAATCATTCCTTGCCATAAATACATACAGGTACATAAGTACATATAAACAAAATAAATGATTAATTCAGCATTATCTCATGTATTTATGTCCGTGTATGTGCTTAGGTACATGTATGTGCGTATGTACATGTGTATAAGTACATGAGAGAGAAATGCTGAATAATTGTTTGTTGATAACTGAAAACCTGCTGGAGGCTTGGCGTGGTGATGTATGCTTAGGATCTCTGCACTTTGGGAGGTCGAGGCAGGTGGATTGCTTGAATTCAGGAGTTCAAGACAAGCAGGGGGCAACATGGCGAAACCTCGTCTCTACAAAAAAATATAAAAATTAGCTGGGTGTGGGGGCATGCGCCTATCGTCCCAGCTACTCAGGAGGCTGAAGTAGCAGGATTGCTTGAGCCTGGGAGATAGAGGCTGTGGTGAGCCAACATAATACCTCTGCACTCCAGCCTGGGCGACAGAGTGAGACCGTGTCTCAAGAAAAAAGAGGAAAATTTCGATTTAGTTTGTGATTATTTTGTGAGCTTCATAGATTAAAAAAACACTAAGTAAGGTTTCAGTGTCATGCAGCACTATTTGGAGGTGTAGCAACAAAAGACACTGTCATGTAAATGAAAGCTAGTGCTATTGAATGCAAAGCTGCACACTGACTTATGCCTAGAGAAGAGTTGGCAAGCAGTAGTGTGCTTCCAGGCATGATTCTGTATTGAAAATAGTGAGAATTGGGAATTATTTTTATTTATTTATTTATTTTGAGACAGAGTTTCACTCTGTCACCTAGGCTGAAGTGCAGTGGCTCACTGCAACCTCCGCCTCCCAGGTTCAAGTGATTCTCCTGCCTCACCCTCCTGAGTAGCTGGTATTATAGGCACGTGCCACCATGCCTGGCTAATTTTTGTATTTTTAGTAGAGACAGGGTTTCACCATGTTGGCTGGACTGGTCTCGAACTCCTGAGCTCAAGTGATCCGCCTGCCTTGACCTCCCAAAGTGCTGGGATTATAGGCCTGAGCCACCACACCCAGCCTGAAAACTGAACAGTTGAATTTAGTAATGTGGTAACTTGGGAATCAGATTCTCCCCTTTCCCTAGGGTTTACTGTTTTTTATTACTGTTATTGTTTATTATTTTTATTTTTGATTGTTGTAGGCAGTCTGGCAAGGATTGCCCTGAGGTGTAAACTTAAGGTCATTTCATGTGTTTTCTGAGCCTGTGGTATTCTCTATGTGTGGTTACTTTGTAATTTTCTCTGGATATTCATTTGTTTTTTAATCTCCTAGTATTTAATTTTTGGCTGTCGAAAGGAGAAAAATTAAGGCAGAGGGAAGGGGCATCAGATTTTAAATCCCCTGCTAGTCACTTCAGCTTGAGAGGTCCGGGCTTGTAGTGGTTGGCGGGGTGTGAATGCAACAATAACAGGCAGGTGTCTCTTTGTCTTCACCTCTGTGATCAGAGTAGCAATCAGAGCAGAGATCCTCCGTATTTGGAGGACAGAGTCCTTCTTGATGACCCTGGCTCTTGCAAGCTCTGTACAGTTTGCTTCAGAAACATGTGTACGCCTGCCTGCTGTTGGGCTGTATGTGGGGGATGGTTAACTGCTACTGTGCTACCAGCTGAAAATGGCAGAAAATAGCCACAATTTATCTTCCAGGCTTTTCTCAGGAAGTTGCAAACCTTCTGTAGGCTCCAGAGTTCCAAAGTGGTTACATCAGACAGATTCTATCAGCACAATTGTTGTCTAGGTGTGGATACAGATTCCTGGTGATTCCTGTTCTGCCAACTTCCCAGAATCCTCCTCTTTTTGTCTGTTTTTGTTGCATATTCCTAGTACTTAGAACAGTACCTGGTTCAAAATGGGTCTTTAATAAAAATGTGTTGAATAAATGAAGGAAAACAGTGGTAGTTGGTTGTATCCTAGATATAATTTGAAGATAGACCACTATATTTGTTGATGGATTGGTTGTAAGATGAGTGACAGAGATTAATCAAAGATGTCTCCTAGATTTTTGTCCTAAGCATGTGTGGAGTTGTCATTTCTTGAGATTGGGAGACTGTGGGAGTGGCAAAACTGAGACAGTTGTTCTCAAAAGTTCCTTTTACTTGGTTTTAACATTGCATAAGCTTTGAAGACCATATTTACCATATTTATTTGTAATGTTTTCTTTTTCTCAGGTCATGCGCATCGTGGATAATGTTCGTCCTGATCGACAGACGGTTATGTTTTCAGCTACTTTCCCCAGAGCTATGGAGGCTTTGGCTCGCAGGATCCTCAGTAAACCTATTGAAGTACAAGTTGGAGGCAGGAGTGTGGTTTGCTCAGATGTGGAGCAACAAGTGGTGGGTACCATCTTTAGGAAATTCCCAGTTTCCTTGATACTTAGGTGGTATGTATGATTCTTCTATGATCACTGTTTGTGAGGTAGGCAAGGTAATTTCTAAAATCAAGTCGTATACCACTACTCTAGCCTTCAGTATTTTACCAGATAAACTTAACTGTGCTGTTCCACGGAGCTATTTAAAATGCTTGTTTTTTTTTTTTTTTGTTTTTTTTTTGCTGGGTGCAGTGGTGCATGCCTGAAGTCGCAGCTTTGCAGTCCCCGGAGTTCTGGGCTGTAGTGCACTATGCCTATCTTTGTCCATGCTAAGTTCAGCATCAGTGTGGTGACCTCCCGGTAACAGGGGACCACCAGATTGCCTAAAGAATGGGATATTCTGTCCAGGGCAGAAAAACAGAACAGGTCAAAACTTTTGTGCTGATTGTAGTTGGAGCACATCTGTGAATAGCACCCTAGGCATAGTGAGCCCTGTCTGTTTAAAGACAAGTAAAATAAAACGTTGTTTTAGTTTCTGTCACCAAAAGTGGTGAGTGGTGAATGGTGAGCTGATATATAGAAATGTCACATACCAGATGGGCATGGTGACTCATGCCTGTAATCCCAGTATTTTGGGAGACCATGGTAGGAGGATCACTTGAGGCCAGGAGCTGGAGACTAGCTTGGGCAATATAGTGAGACCCCTGTCTCTACAAAGGAAAAAGAAATGTTACATATCTATTTTATTTCTTGGTTACTAGGATATGAAATTAAGAGCCAGAGAGAACAGATGATCATTTGCCCTCATTTGCAAGCCTGTTAAACCCTGAAAGTTTACAATTTTTATCATTTACAATTAAAATCAACATCTTCCTAGCCCTTGGTAAAGATATAGCAAGATATTGTCATTCATTCACTACAAATAAAATGAATATTTCTGTCCAGGGGATCCATTTGCATTTTCACTTCATTAACTTGATACAATATGGTGTTTTCAGATTGTGATTGAAGAAGAAAAGAAATTCTTGAAGTTACTTGAGCTTCTAGGCCATTATCAAGAGTCAGGATCTGTCATTATATTTGTGGATAAGCAGGAACATGCTGATGGTCTTCTTAAGGATTTAATGAGAGCATCTTATCCTTGCATGTCTCTTCATGGAGGTAATTATTCACTTGATTCACACATAAAATATCTATTAAGTACTTGCCAAGCATTGTGCTGTGTTCTCGATGATACTTACTTTGTTCTCTATAATTCAGAACTAAATTTTATGTCAGTTTTTACTCTAAAGTGCTTTGTGGGAGTAAGATTATTATTGTCTCATCTAAGAGAAAGAAGATCATACAGGCATACTTTGGTTTGACCAAGTTCCATCGCCATTTATCAACTATGGAGGAATTGAATTTAACTTTTCTCTGTGTTATACCCTTTCCATTGTACGTGCTATCTGTAGGTTTTCATGATTCACTTTAAAGAGCTTTTATTGAAATTTCAAAGTAACGTTTTAATTTCTTGTGATATTGCTATCACATGCATGTAATAGCAATATCACAGTATGTGGAACTAGAACACAAAACACAGACCGGGCATGGTAGCTCACGCCTGTAATCCTAGCACTTGGAGAGGCTGAGGCGGGCAGATCATCTGAGGTCAGGAGTTGGAGACCAGTCTGGCCAACATGGCGAAACTCCATCTGTACTAAAAATATAAAACTTAGCTGGGCATGGTGGCACATGCCTGTAATCCCAGCTACTTGGGAGGCTGAGGCAGGAGAACCGCTTGAACCTGGGAGGCGGAGGTTGCTGTGAGCTGAGATCATGCCACTGCACTCCACTCTGGGCAACAGAGTGAGACTCTCTCCATAAAAAAAAAAAAAAAAGGCCAGGCGAGGTGGCTCACACCTGTAATCCCAGAACTTTGAGAGGCTGAGGCGGGCGGATCACCTGAGGTTGGGAGTTCGAGACCAGCCTGACCAACATGGAGAAACCCGTCTCTATTAAAAATACAAAATTAGCCGAGCATGGTGGTGCATGCCTGTAATCCCAGCTACTTGGGAGGCCGAGGCAGGAGAATCGCTTGAACCCAGGAGGCGGAGGTTGCCGGGAGGCAGAAGTTGCGGTGAGCGGAGATTGCACCATTGCACTCCAGCCTGGGCAACAAGAGTGAAACTCCGTCTCAAAAAAAAAAAAAAAAAAAAAAAAAAAAAACACAAAACACATGGAACAGAGACAGTTTGAATTATTCTCATTAACTAAGTGTTCTGGCTATCAGTAGCTTAGTAATGAATCACTCCAAAATTTAGTTGCAATAGTTACTTATTTTGCTTATGAATCTTCAATTTGCGCAGAGCTCACTATATATATCTAGTCTCTGTTTCATGCTGTATGTGCTGGGACACAGTGGAGCTGGGCATCACCTACCAATCTACCTCACTTTATGTGGCTGGCAAATTGGTACTGGCTCTTGACTAGGAGCTCAGTTAGACCTTGGTCATGGGCCCTTGTGGGCCTCTCTATGAGGCTGCTTGGCCAAGAGGAAAGAACAAGAAGCTGCCCAGCCAGTTAAGGATGATACTGGAGTTGGCAGAGCTTTCATTTCTGCCATATACAAATAGGTTGGTTACCACACTGGCCCAGATTCAAGGGGATGGAGGCATAGGTGTCACTTCTTGATTGAGAGAGTGTCATCCCACATGCAGAAAAGCATATGGAATAGGACATATCTTTGAAATACAGTCTACTTCCAGCAGGCTTCATATGGGATGAAATTAAAGGGGCTTTGAAGATTTGTGTTTGGTTAACTTTTAATGTTTGAAAATGATTTTTTATTTATTTATTTTGAGACAGAGTTTTGCTCTTGTTGCCCAGGCTGGAGTGCAATGGCGCAATCCTGGCTCACTGCAACCTCCGCCTCCCACGTTCAAGTGATTCTCCTGCCTCAGCCTCCCCAGTAGCTGGGATTACAGACATGCACCACCATGCCTGGCTAATTTTGTATTTTTAGTAGAGACGGAGTTTCTCCATGTTGGTCAGGCTGGTCTCGAACTGCCGACCTCAGGTGATCCGCCCACCTCAGCCTCCCAAAGTCCTGGGAATACAGGCGTGAGCCACCGTGCCCGGCCCGAAAATGACTTTTTTGTGTGTGGTAAATACTCACTATATAAAATATCCCCGCCCCCCACCGTTTTTTTTTTTTTGTTGTTGTTTGTTTGTTTGTTTGAGACAGGGTCTTGCTCTGTCACCCAGGCTGGAGTGCAGTGGTGTGAATCTCAGCTCACTGCAACCTCTGCTTCCCGCCTCCTGGGTTCAAGCAGTTCTTGTGCCTCAGCCTCTCAAGTTGCTGGGACTATAGGTGCATGCCACCATGCCTGACTAATTTTTTGTGTGTGTTTTAGTAGAGACAGGGTTACGCCATGTTGGCCAGGCTGTTCTTGAGCTCCTGACCTCAGATAATCCACTTGCCTTGGCCTCCCAAAGTGCTGGGATTACATGCGTGAACCACCACGCCCGGCCTTAGAATGTACCATTTTTTGTATATAATTCAGTGACATTAAGTATATTCACAATGCTATAACCTTCACTACTGTCTATTTCTAGAACGTTTTAATCACCCTGAATAGAAACTACCATTTTAAGTAACAAGTTTCTTTTCCCATCCCTGAGCAGTTGCTCATAACCTCTATTCTGCTTTCTGTCTCTATGCATTTGCCTATTCTGGGTACCTCCTATAAGTAGAATCATACATTGTGTCTTTTTGTGACTGGTCTTTTTCACTTAGCAAAATGCTTTCAAGGTTCATCTGTGTTGTAGCATTTGTCAGATTTTCTTTGTAAGGCTGACTAATATTCCATTGTATGTATATACAGCCAGCCCTTCGTGTCCATAGACTGCAGATTGAAAATATTTGGAAAAAAATTTGTCCGTCCTGAACATGCACAAAATCTATTCTTGTCATTATTCCCTAAACAATACATTATAAAAACTATCTATTAATACATAGCATTTACATTGTAATTGGTGGTTTTAAGTAATCTAGAGTTTTTTAAAGTTTCCGGGAGGATGTAGGTAATATGGGCTTACTATGCCATTTTATATAAGGGACTTGAGCATCCTAGGATTTTGGTATCTGCCAGGGGCTCTGGAACCAATCCCCTGAGGATACTGAGCGATGACTACATTTGTTTATGATTTTTTTAGCTACTATTCTTTGTCTACCCACACATCAGTTTTTCTTAATTTTTCACACATTTCAAATAAATAGGAGATCAGGTTATCACATTTCATGTCAATGTGCATATCATTAACACTAGTTCAAAACTTGTTTCACTTTTTTTTTTTTTCTGAGACAGAGTCTCCCTATGCTGCCCAGCTTGTCTTGAACTTCTGGGCTCAAGCAATCATCCCTCCTCAGCCTCCTAAGTAGCTGGGACTATAGCAAAATTTGTGAATATTTAAAAAAAAAAAAAAGCTGGGTGCCGTGGCTCACGCCTGTAATCCCAGCACTTTGGGAGGTTGAGGCGGGTGGATCACTTGAGCTCATGAGTTTGGGACCAGCCTGGCCAACATGGTGAAACCTTGTCTCTACTAAAAATACAAAAATTAGCCAGGCGTGGTGGCAGGTGCCTGTAATCCCAGCCACTCAGGAGGCTGAGGCAGGAGAATCGCTTAATCCTGGGAGGTGGAGGTTGCCATAAGCAGAGATTGCACCATTGCACTCTGGTGTGGGCGACAAAAGCGAGACTCCGTCTCAAGAAAAAAAAAAAAAAAACCCTAATCTGGGCACAGTGTTGCATGCCTGTAGTCCCAGCTACTCAGGAGACTGAGGTGGAAGGATTGCTTGAGTCTAGGAGTTCGAGGCCAGTCTGGGCAACATAGTGAGACTCTGTCTCTTAAAAACAAACCAAAAAAAATCTAAGAAATTTCCCTCAGTTTATCTCTGTCCCTACCCCTCCAGAGTTAACCACTTTTACTTTTTTTAGATGGAATGTCGCTCTGTCGCCCAGGCTGGAGTGCAGTGGCATGATCTAGGTTCCCTGCAACCTCCACCTCCCAGGTTCAAGTGATTCTCCTGCCTCAGCCTCCTGGGTAGCTGGGACTACAGGCATGCACCGCCATGCCCGGCTAATTTTTGTATTTTTAGTAGAGACGGGATTTCACCATGTTGGCCAGGATGGTCTCAAACGCCTGACCTCAAGTGATCCACCTGCCTCGGCCTTCCAAAGTGCTGGGGTTACAGGCGTGAGCTCCTGCACCTGGCCTGAGTTAAGTACTTTAAACAAATTTTTTCAACATGGATTAGTTTTTTTTACCTCTTAGAGTTATAGATAAATGGAATCATATGTAATGCATTATTATTTATGTAAGGTTTCTTTTAGCATATGCCTTTTGAGATTGATCCATGTTGTTGCATGTATCAGTAGTTCTTCCCCTTTTATTGCTGAATAATATTCTATTATATGACTATGCCACAGTTTAGTCATTTCTGTTGGACACTGGGGATGGGGGCTGCTTCCAGTATTTTGGTTGCTTTAGCCACATCCCGCAGAATATACCATAATCAGGTTGCAGAACAGTTCCATCACTTCCTAAAAAACTCCCTCATCGTGTCCCTATAAAGGTAATTAATTATAAAGGTACCTTTCCCTATCCATAACCGCTGGCAACCACTCGTGTGTGTTTTTGTTTGTTTGTTTGTTTGTTTTTGAGGCAGAGTTTTGCTCTTGTTGCCCAGGCTGTAGTGCAATGATGCCATCTCGGCTCACTGCAACCTCCGCCTCCCGGGTTCAAGCGATTCTCCTGCCTCAGCCTCCTAAGTAGCTGGGATTACCGGCATGTGCCACCTCGTCTCACTAATTTTTGTATTTTTAGTAGAGATGGGTTGTCGTCATGTTGGTCAGGGTAGTCTTGCACTCCTGACCTCAGGTGATCCACCTGCCTCAGCCTCCCAAAGTGCTGGGGTTACAGGCTGAGCCACCACACCTGGCCTCATGTATTCTTTTAAGAACGTTTGTAGGCCGGGTGCAGTGACTCATGCCTGTAATCCCAGCACTTTGGGAGGCCGAGTTGGGCAGATTGCTTGAGTCTGGGAGTTTGAGACCAGTCTGGGCAGCATAGCAAGACCCCATCTCTATGAAAAAATTTAAAAACTATAAAAAATTAGCCTCCCAGCTACTCAGGAGGCTGAGGTGGGAGGGAGGATTGTTTAAGCCTGGGAGGCGGAGGTTTCAGTGAGCCGAGATTATGCCACTGTACTCCCACCTTGGCGACAGAGTGAGACCCTGTCTCAAATGAAAAAAAAAGTTTGTAATGGAATCCTACAGTATGTAACTTTTTGCAGTTGGCTTTTTTTTACTCAGCTTAATAACTTTGATATGCATCCAAGTTCCAAGTTCTTGCATAGTTTATTTATTTATTTTTTTCCTTGAGACAACTTTTCTCTGTTGCCCAGGCTGGAGTACAGTGGCACTCTCTCAGCTTGGCTCACTGCAACGTCTACCTCCCAGGCTCAAGCGATGCTCCCACCTCAGCCTCTTGAGTAGTTGGGACTATACGAATGTGCCACCATGCCCAACTAATTTTTTTATATTTTTTTGTGGAGATGAGGTTTCACCATGTTGCCTAGGCTGATCTCAAACTCTTGGGTTCAAGCAGTCCTCCCGCCTTAAGCTCCAGAGTATTGGGATTCAAGCCTGAGCCACGGTGCCTGGCTTATAGTTCTTTTTTTCTTATTACTGAGTAGTATTCATTGTATGGATTTATCACTGTTTGTGTATCTGTTCATCTGTTTAAGGACATTTTAGTTGGTTGTTTTTTTTATAATTATGAATAAAGCTGCTATTATTCAAATAAAGGTTTTTGTGTGAATGTCAGCTTTCATTTCTCTAGGATGGATAACAAAAAATGGGATTGCTACATCATATGGTGACTATATCTAGGGATGGTATTATTTGTATTTATTCTGTGTGGGGTTCATTTAACTTCTAGAATCTGTAAATTTATGTCCTGTTCTGAATTTGGGAAATTCTTCGTTATTTCTTTCCTGCCTTATTCTCTCTTTGGGACTTCAGTTATGTATATGTTTGACTTTTTGATATTGTCTCACTGATGCTTTGTTCAGTCTTTTTCAACCTTTTTTTTCCCCTCTGTAGATCAAATTGGATAATTTCTTTCTTTTTTTTTTTTTTTTTTTTTTGAGATGGAGTTTTCTTCTTGTTGCCCAGGCTAAAGTGCAATGGCACTATCTTGGCTCACCGCAACCTCCGCCTCCCAGGTTCAAGTGATTTTTGTGCCTCAGCCTCCTGAGTAGCTGGGATTACAGGCGTATGCTACCACATCCAGCTAACTGTATTTTTAGTAGAGACAGGGTTTCATCATGTTGGTCAGGCTGGTCTCGAATTCCTGATATCAGGTGATCCACCCACCTCGGCCTCCCAAAGTGCTGAGGTTACAGGCGTGAGCCACCGTGTTTGGCCCTGATAATTTCTTTTACCCTGTTGTCAACATTATCGTTTTTTTTTTTTTTGTCATCGCCTATCAAATTCTGTTAAGCCCATCTAGTGAATTTTTGAATTCAGTTTTTGTATTTTTTTAGTTCTAAAATTACAAATATGTTCTCTTTTAGATTTTCTTGTTTGTCTGATTAGATTTTCTAGACGTTCCTTGTAAGCATTTTTAAAAAGTCTTGATCATAATTATTATATGTGCTTTGAAATCTTTGTTAATTTTAACATCTGGGTCATACTGGTGTCAGTCTCTATTGACTGTCTTTTTTCTTGATTTTTGTTTTATGGTTTTGTCTTTGTATGTCTAGTAATTTCTGTTTGCATACTGGACTTTGTGAATGATCCATTGTAGAGATTCTAAATTCTCAATTCTCTGATGTCCCCGTCAAGTGGTGTTTTGTTTTTGTTTTTGTGTGGTTTCCAAATAGGGCATTAACTTGGCAGAACCCAGCATCCAAACTCTGTCTGCCTTTAATGGGCAGCATCTGAAATCTCTTACTTTTTAATTTTATTATTATTTTTTATACGGAGTCTTGCTCTGTCTCCCAGGCTGTGTGCAGTGGCGTGATCTCAGCTCACTGGACCTCCATCTCCCAGGTTCAGGCGATTTTCCTGCCTCAGTCTCCCAAGTAGCTGGGATGACAGGTGCGTGCCACCACGCCCAGCTAATTTTTGTGTTTTTAGTAGAGACGGGGTTTCACCATGTTGGCCAGGCTGGTCTGGAACTCCTGACCTCAGGTGATCCACCCACCTTGGCCTCCCAAAGTACTGGGATTACAGGTCTGAGCCACCGAGCCTAGCCCTGAAATCTCTGAATTTTTTTTTTTCATCCCAACTGCTTAGATTTTTGCCTCATGAATCTGTAGCTTAGGGGTCAGCCAGATAGTTGGGCAGCATATATACGCACAGTTGTGGGTTTCTGCTCCATTCTTCTCAGGATTTATCTCCTCTGTTTCCCAGTCCTGAGTTTGTTTTGAACACTTTCTGGTGGTTTTTCTTATAAGACTGAGTTTCTGTTCAAGTTTTGACTTCCTCGCTTGGTCTGTGCACGGCCTGCCCCTAAGCAAAGAGTTTGAAATAAATAAGTAAGTAAATAGAATCCTCTACACTTTGCCAGTGCCAGTGCAATACTTTCTTCCAAGTGTCAACTTTCTTCCCATTTCTGCTGCTGTTAGTCGCTCTCTGGTGTCTTTACGTAGTTGCTCTTTATTTTGCCCAGAGTTCATGGTTGTTACCTGCCGGAGGGATTGGTCCAGTAAGGTTTCTCCTACATTGTTGGGAATGTGTGTTTTTATATAGTAAGGAAGTTGTTTCCCGTAATACTTGTCTTTAATACTCCTTTTATCTTTTTGGCCAGAATTGTATCATATCCTATGCGTAAGCCTCATTTCATAGGCAAAGAGAATGACAAGTGATGATGATTCTTCTTTTTTTTTTTTTTTTTTTTTTTTGAGACAATTTCTTATTGTCTTGCTCTGTCTCCCAAGCTGGAGTGCAGGGGTGTGATCACAGCTTACTGCATCCTCGACCTCCAGGGCTCAAGCTGTCCTCCCACCTCAGCTTCCTGAATAGCTGAGACTGCAGGCATGAGCCACCATGCCTAGCCTATTTTTGTACTTTTTGTAAAGATGGGTTTTTGCTATGTTGCCCAGGGTGATCTGCCCACTTTGGCCTCCCAAAGCGCTGGAATTACAGACGTGTGTCCTAGGACCTCTGAGAGTCCCTGAGATGTCAGGAGGTTTATGAGGCTATATGTATTTTCATAATAATCCAATGATGTTATTTGCCTTTTTCTCATTCTCTCTTCTCTCTAGTATGTAGGGTTTGCCACAGACTAAATGACATGGTATATTGTGACAGATTAAATACAGAAGATATGACACTCCAATTATCTTCCATTAAGCGAGACCTGAAAAAGATTGGCAAAAATGTAAATCAGTGCCATTTGTCTTTTTATTTTTTTTGGGACAGGGTTTTACTCTGTCGCCCAAGGTGGAGTGCAGAGGCACAATCACAGCTTACTGTAGCCTGAACCTCTCTTTGCTCAGGTGATCCTCCCACCTCAGCCACCCGAGGAGTTGGGACTACAAGCGTGTGCCACCACACCAGGCTAATTTTTTGTAGAGAGGGGGCTTTTCCATGTTGCCCAGGCTGGCCCGTTTGTCTTAATAAATTATTTTATTGTTCCGGAAAAGTCATTTTTCACAAAAATATGCTTTTTATTTTAACGTGTCATTGCTATTTTTTTTAGTCTTTTAATTTTTATTCAAAAATAATTTTTAAAATTTAGCTCTCTGACTCTGTGCTTGTGCCTTCAACACTTTCACCATGATTTTCTGTTCCTTGATAAGGAAAGCATGCTTAATCCTGTCATGATCACATTTAACACACATGGAACCACCATAGGCTCTGCTGACATGTTTTTTTTTGTTTTGGACATTCACGTAACAATATTAGATCTCACAACACAAACCCCTTGAAGTCTGCATGGGCACATGCCACCTGCAGATTTTGGTGCTTTCCCAACTTTGTTGGTATAAAGGTAAACAATTCTATTACCAGGGATTCCAGACAACCTAGTTTTGTTAAAGGCTGTATTGTAGAAAGCCTATGACAGGCAGTATGTCAAATGCTTGACCATTCTGAGTGCCTCTAGATAACACCCCTGAAAGAAGAACTGTATTTTTTTTTTTTTTTGAGATGGAGTCTTGCTCTGTCGCCCAGGCTGGAGTGCGGTGGCACGATCTCTGCTCACTACAACCTCTGCCTCCCGGGTTCAAGCTATTCTGCCTCAGCTTCCTGAGTCGCTGGGTCTATAGGCGCCTGCCACCACGCCTGGCTAAATTTTGTATTTTTAGTAGAGACGGAGTTTCACCATGTTCACTAGGCTGGTCTTGAAATCCTGAGCTTGTAATCCGCCCGCCTCGGCCTCCCAAAGTGCTGGAATTACAGGCATGAGCCACCGCTTCTGGCTGAGGAACTGTATTTTTAAACAAATCCAGTATTTAAAAATTTCCTCAGTTCTGATTTCTTTTCTTTTCTTTTTTTTTTTTTGAGACAGAGTTTTACTCTTGTTATCCAGGCTGGAGTGCAGTGGCATGATCTTGGCTCACGGCAATTTCCACCTCCCAGGTTCAAGCAATTCTCCTGCTTCAGCCTTCTGAGTAGCTGGGATTACCGGTGGCTGCCACCATGCCTGGTTAATTTTTTTTTGTATTTTTAGAAGAGACAGGGTTTCACCATGTTGACCAGGCTGGTCTCAAACTCCTGACCTCAGGTGATCCTCCTGCCTCGGCCTCCGAAAGTGCTGGGATTACAGGCGTGAGCCTTGCCCCCAGCCTCTCTGTTCTAATTTCTAATACATTAAGTATTGATAGACAAGACCTAAACTAAAGCTCTTTGGGTGCGGGTTCTTATTGATTTTAAGATATAAAGACATCCTAAAGGCCAGGCCTGGTGGCTCATGCCTGTAATTTCAGCACTTTGGGAGGTGGGCGGATCACCCAAGGTCAGGAGTTCAAGACCAGCCTGGCCAACATGGTGAAACCCTGTCTCTACTAAAGATACAAAAATTAGCCAGGCATGGTGACAGTCACCTGTAGTCCCAGCTAGTGGGGAGGCTGAGGCAGGAGAATCGCTTGAACCTGGGAGGCAAAGGTTGCAGTGAGTCCAGATCACGCTATTGCACAAGCCTGGGCAACATGAGTGAAACTCCGTCTTTAAAAAAAAAAAAAAGAGACATCCTGAAAACAGAAAGTTTGAGAAGGGCTGGTTTACACCAAGCACAATTCACTCTTTGAGACTGGGATTAGGCCCGTCTCTCATTTGATGTATACCTGACTATGTGTTGGGTTGGTATGTGAACAAAATTGGGGTTATTTTAAAAAGGAAGGGGGTTCATGGTTTTTGGGTTGACATCCCATATGCTGCTTCAGTTAGCATATTATATTCAATTCTAAGGAATCAATTTTATGTGATTATGTTAGTAAGGATACTTTAGGCTAAAGTAAAAGTTTTGGTATTTTCAAATTATAAACAAATTTATATTGATATTGATTTCATTAAATTTTCTTAGGCAATTTTTTTGGTGAAGTGTTAGATTCCAGTTTCTTTGACAATGATTCAAATACTTCCTTTAAATCAATCCTTGAAGAGTACCTTTAAAATTTTAGGTAGTACTAAGAATTAATATTGGTAATTATTTACGTGCTAAACAGTGTATGTTAAACCCAGATTTTCTGTGAAATCTTCCATTGAAAGCATGAGTTTTAAGTTTTGAGAGTTTATCTTATTCCCTTCTCTATTACCAGAGTTTCCTGGGAACCTCATCATAAAATATTTTGTGGTCTGGGCATGTCGTAATAGAACTTTATGGTATTTTATACTCTGCTTTGCCATTCATACTAAACCTCTTTGGATCATTTATTTAAGAGATATCCATTTGGGTACTTCTAAACCAGTATTCCTAAAACTTTAATTTGCATATGATAATCACCTAAGGTTTTTTAAAATGCAGATTTTGATTCGGTAGTTTGGAGTATAACCCTAGATTCTGCATTTCCTTTTTTTTTTTTTTCCCCGAGACAGAGTCATGCTCTGTCGCCTGGGCTGGAGTGCAGTGGCGCAATCTCGGCTCACGGCAACCTTTGCCTCCCAGGTTCAGGCATGTGCCACCACGCCTGGCTTTTTTTTTTTTTTTTTTGTATTTTTAGTAGAGACGGGGTTTCACCATGTTGGTCAGGCTGGTCTCGAACTCCTGACCTCATGATCTGCCCGCCTCGGCCTCTCAAAGTGCTGGGATTACAGGCATGAGCCACCGCACCTGGCCTAGATTCTGCATTTCTAACAAGCTCCCAGGTGATGCTGCTCTGGTCCTTGGACAAAACCGAGTAGCAAGGCTCTAAATAACCTACAGGGAAAGGAGAAAGATCTAACTCTTGTCAATATAGGCTGAATGTTTCTGCCTTTTCTCGCTTTGGCTCCCAAACAGGTTTAGATTAATTTCTGATATTGGACCTTTGCAAATATAAACCTTATATAGAAGAAAGGGGGCAATACAAGACCAGAGTTGAAAGATTCATAAATGAGTTAATAGCAATAACCTTTAATCTTGCCATTACATTTTCTTAGTCTTTTATTTTCTATATTTTAGGAGTTGGATGTGTCAATTTGTTCTTCACTGAGTTTAGATTCTTGGTCAGAAGACATGGAAAATTTAATTTGAACATGTTTTAAAGCTCTCTAATTTACTTGCAGGCATTGATCAATATGACAGAGATAGCATCATAAATGACTTTAAGAATGGGACCTGCAAACTTCTTGTGGCTACCTCTGTTGCTGCCCGAGGTCTAGATGTGAAACATCTGATTCTTGTAGTAAATTATAGCTGCCCCAACCATTATGAGGATTATGTACACAGAGCAGGGCGGACTGGAAGAGCAGGAAACAAGGTAAAAATAAGTTTTTTATAGTTGATCTTCATTATATTAAAATACAGGTGTTTCTTTAGTATTTCAAGGAGTAGATAATAGGAGTTATGGAGACATTTTGAAAATCTTTAATCCACATAATGTGAAGAGTGGTTGATGTTAATAATTTATATACATGTACAGGTCTAAGTGTTGTTCAAATTATCAGATACCTAGCTGCTCTTTGTAGGCAGATCCTGTTAACAGTTTGTCTTCCCTTTTAGGTTTTTCCCCTCATGCCTAAACGTTTCTATACAGATGTTCCTTGATTTATGATGGGGTTACAATGTCCCGATAAACCCATCGTAAGTTGAAAATGCATTTAATATACCTGACGTACTAAACATCATAGTAGCCTAGCCTACCTTTAGCATGCTCAGAACACTTACATTAGGTTATACTTGGGCATCATCATCTAACACAAAGCCTATTTTATAATAAAGTATTGAATATCTCATGTAATTTACTGAATACTGTACTGGAAGTGAAAAACTGGTTGTATAGGTACTCAAAGTACAATTTCTACTGAATGCATATCACTTTTGCACCATGGTAAAGTTGAAAAATTATAAATTGAATCATTGTAAGTCGGGGACCATCTGTATACACATACACATAAATGTTTATACTTCAGGATCTTTTTTTAAAAAAAAACATGGGATCATAAAATATACCCATCTCCACACCTACCAATTTCTCCTACTCCCCTCTTTACCTCCCTATCATTCATACATACATATGTTACTTGCTTTTTTGACTCACCTGTATTCTAGAAACTGTATGGGTCTAACTCATTCCTTCTAGAGGCAGCAGACTAGTCTGTTGTTGGAGACATTGATTATGATATATTTAATTTTCTAACCCTGTACATTGCATAATAAAGCAATAAGTAGTATTTATATGCCATAGCTTACATTAATGGATAACGTATTATCTGCCATATATAATGTCATTTTAACTGTTTTACATATATAATGTTATTTTATCCTTACATATATAATGTCATTTTATCCTTAAAACGATTTAAGTGTTTTACATATGTAATGTCATTTTATCCTTAAAACTTTCCTTTGAGGTAAATAATATTACTCTATTTTATAGATGAGAAAAATTCATGCACATAGGATTTAGCTCACCTGCTTATGCACATTTAATAAGTAGTAATGGCATTTATTCTTCTAACCTGTTGGAAGGAGTCAAGAATATTTTTTTGGAAAGGGCCATGTACTGAAAATTGTAGCCTATTTGGGCTCTGTCACATATTCTTCTCTTTCTCTCTCCTTCTCTGTATATATATGTGTTATTGTATATATGTTCATAACCCTATAAAAATGTAAATACTTGTAGCCCCGTAGGAGTACAAAAGCAGACCATGGGTCAAAGGCAGTGGCTATTTAGATATTTCTGTTTTTGTTTTTGTTTTTTTGAGATGGAGTCTCGCTCTGTTGCCCAGACTGGAGTGCAGTGGCATGATCTTGGCTCACTGCAACCTCTCCCTCCCAGGTTCAAACGATTCTCCTGCCTCAGTGTCCCAAGTAGCTGGGACTACAGGCGTGTGCCACCACGCCTGGCTAATTTTTTGTATTTTTAGTAGAGACGGGGTTTCTACTAAAACCTGTGTTAGCCAGGATGGTCTCGATCTCCTGACCTCGTGATCTGCCCGCCTTGGCCTCTCAAAATACTGGGATTACAGGCATGAGCCACTGCACCCGGCCAAGATATTTCTGAATTAAAATCTTAAACCATGTTTTAAAATTCGTAACAGTTGGCCGGGCGCGGTGGCTCACGCCTGTAATCCCAGCACTTTGGGAGGCCGAGGCGGGCGGATCACCTGAGGTTGGGAGTTCAAGACCAGCCTGACCAACATGGAGAAACCCTGTTTCTACTAAAATAAAAATAAAAAATTAGCCGGGCATGGTGGCATATGCCTGTAATCCGAGCTACTCGGGAGGCTGAGGCAGGAGAATAGCTTGAACCCGGGAGGCAGAGGTTGCGATGAACCAAGATTGTGCCATTGCACTCCAGCCTGGGCAGCAGGAGCAAAACTCTTGTCTCAGAAACAAACAAACAAAAAATCGCAACAGTTGACTGTTTGGGTCAGATTGTTTTTTTGGTTTTGTTTTTTACATTTTTGTGGAGATGTGGTCTTGCCATTTTTGCCCAGGCTGGCCTCCAACTCCTAGGCTCAAGCTATCTTTCCACCTCTGCCTCCCCAAGTGCTGGGATTACAGGTGTGAGCCATTGTACCCAGCAAGGTCAGATTGTTTTGTGAAGATAGCAAACTCTAGCGAGACTCCATCTCAAAAAAAAAAAGGAAAAACAAAAAACAAAATCAAAAGGTATGACCACACAATTGTGCATTTGTGTAAAATTACCTATGTTTCTTTTTTTTTTTTGAGACGGAGTTTCACTCTTGTCACCCAGACTGGAGTGCATTGGCGCCATCTCACATGCACTGCAACCTCCGTCTCCCAGGATCAAGTGATTCTCCTGCATCAGCCTCCCAAGTAGTTGGGATCACAGGCATGCCACCACCACACTCGGCTAATTTTTTTGTGTTTTTAGTAGAGATGGGGTTTCACCATGTTGGTCAGGCTGGTCTCGACCTTCTGACCTCAAATGATCCACCCCCCCTTGGCCTCCCAAAGTGCTGGGATTACAGGCGTGAGCCACTGCGTCCAGCCAATTGCATATATTTCTACCTCTGTGTAAAGAAATTAGAAATTTTCTAGTTTGCTTGTGTTATTTTAAAATATTAAACTTGGGCCGGGCACAGTGGCTCGTGCCTGTAATCCCAGCACTTTGGGAGGCCAAGGCGGGCGGATCACCTGAGGTCAGGAATTTGAGACCAGCCTGGCCGACATGGTGAAACCATGTCTCTAGTGAAAATACAAAAATTAGCCGGGCATAGTGGCAGGCGCCTATAATCCCAGTTACTCGGGAGGCTGAGGCAGGAGAATCACTTGAACCCGGGAGGCAGAGGTTGCAATGAGCCAAAACTGCGCCACTGCACTCCAGCCTGGGCAACAGAGTGAGACTCCATCTCAAAAAAATAAAAAACAACAAAAAATAAAAATTAAACTTGGATATTTCACTTTGAACCATTAAGTAATTTAGTAAGACTCTTTCGTGGCTTTTAAAATTCTTTAGTTAATGTTGTCAATCTCGAGGATTTATTAGGTGGATCAGATTTTATCTTATGATCTAAGTAGGATCCATCTTGTTAGTGTCTAATAATTGTACTTTTTCATCATGCATTAGGGTTATGCTTATACTTTTATCACAGAGGATCAAGCTCGCTATGCTGGTGACATAATTAAAGCTCTTGAATTGTCAGGGACTGCAGTACCTCCTGATTTAGAGAAACTGTGGAGTGATTTCAAAGATCAGCAGAAAGCTGTGAGTTTTTAACCCATGTTACTCTTCTAGAAATCATTAATGTGACTAAACCTTGATTATTTAATTCTTGGAAATCTTTTATTTAACACTTGAAAATTTTGCTACGACTATTTTTATTTCTCTCTAGAGGGAAAAATGAGTGAAAGCTAAAATCCTATCTTATTCTTGAACTTAGTATTTTGTGGTGTCTATGTAGAGCTCTTAGTTTATCTTACATGCTAGATGAAGTGTTTTTATTACATTGACATACACCACCTTGAAAAATATTTAATTAGTATGAATTCCTAAACATTAAAGTTTTTACTATGAGATTAACTTCGTTTTCTTTTTTTGAAAGGAGGGGAAAATAATTAAAAAGAGTAGTGGGTTCTCTGGTAAGGGATTCAAGTTTGATGAAACAGAACAAGCTTTGGCTAATGAGAGGAAGAAGTTACAAAAAGCAGCTCTTGGTCTACAAGATTCAGATGATGAGGATGCTGCAGTTGATGTAAGTACTATTATTCTCTCATTCTTAATTGAAGCAGTTATTTCTTTTGTACTGGAGGTCTTGCCATATATGGTTATCAAGATAGACAATCACTGGAAACCTTTACAAGAGGTTGGTTCCAGAACAGTTTTGGAAAATCTGCCTACTACATACCAGTACCCCTCCTCTCAATATATAGACCACTCATTAGCACTTCAAAGGATGTGAAAAGTCCTTTTTTTTTTTTTTTTTTTTTTGCGATGGGAGTCTGGCTGTGTCACCCAGGCTGGAGTACGGTGGCGTGGTCTCCATTCACTGTAACCTCCGCCTCCTGGGTTCAAGCAATTCTCCTGCCTTGGCCTCCTGAGTAGCTGGGATTACAGGCATCCACCACCACGCCTGGCTAATTTTTGTATTTTTAGTTGAGGCGGGGTTTAACCTTCTTGCCCAGGCTGGTCTCAGATTCCTGACCTCAAGTGATCCGCTTTCCTTGGCCTCCCAAAGTGCTGGGATTACAGGCGTGAGCCACCTCGTCTGGCCATGGATGTGAAAAGTCTTTAACGAATCTTGTTTAACTTCATTAAACCCAGAAATTCCCCAACATACCTGATCTCAGAACACTTTTGGACATATCATGTTAAACTTAAGTTCAGAAAATAATTTTGGAAATCAGAAATTCAACCTGATCTTATCATTAGGAAATTGACTCCAAGAAAAGATGTTAGGTCCAGGACCACAGTGGGAGTTAACACAGACAGGACCAGAACCCAGTTGTCCTATTAACCTTAAGCCATTTCTTTCTAGGATACCATACTAGCTCAAAAAATTAGCCGGGCGTGTCTTGCTCTGTCACCCAGGCCAGACTGCAGTGTCGTAATCTCAGCTCAACTGCAACCTCTGCCTCCTGGGTTCAAGCGATTTTCCTGTTTCAGCCTCCCTAGTAGCTGGGATTACAGGCACCCACCACCACGCCCGGCTGATTTTTGTATTTTTAGTAGAGATGGGGTTTCACCATATTGGCCAGGTTGGTCTCAAACTCCTGACCTCAGGTGATCCACCTGCCTTGGCCTCCCATAGTGTTGGGATTATAGGTGTGAGCCACTGTGCCTGGCCAATAAAGTCATTTTTTTTTTTTTGAGACGGAGTCTCGCTCTGTCACCAGGCTGGAGTGCAGTGGCTTGATCTTGGCTCACTGCAACCTCTGCCTCTCAGGTTCAAGTGGTTCTCCTGCCTCAGACTCCCAAGTAACTGGAACGACAGGCACGCGCCACCATGCTTGGCTAATTTTTTTTGTATTTTTACTAGAGACAGGGTTTCACCATGTTGGCCAGGATGATCTTGATCTCTTGACTTCGTGATCCGCCTGCCTCGGCCTCCCAAAGTGCTCAGATTACAGGCGTGAGCCACCACGCCCGACCACATTTCATTTTTTAAATTTATCTGTTACCATGTAACAAATCAAAACTTAGCAGGTTAAAGCAATAAACACTTATTATCACATAGTTCCTTATGGTCAGGAAATCAGGAGCAGTTTAGTCAGGTAGTTCTGGCTTAGGCGCTCGTGAGATTGCAGTCATCTGCAGGCTTGACTGTTGCTGGATGATCTGCTTCCAACATCAGTCACTTTGATGTAGATAGGATGCCTCAGTTCTTCACCTCTTTGCCTGTCCTTACCCACATGGCAGCTGGCTTTCCCCACAGTGAGTGATCAAAGAGAGCAAAGAGAAAGCTTTAGTGCTTTTTATGACTGTCTCTGAAATTACACACTGTCACTTCCACTTTATTCTTTATGGGGTTTTTTTTGTCTTGTTTTGTTTTGTTTTGGAAACAGAGTCTGACTCTGTTGCCCAAACTGGAGTGTAGTGGTGCGAACTCAACTCACTGCTGCCTCAGCGATCTTCCCACCTCAGCCTCTTGAGTAGCTGGTACTATGGGTGCACCACCATGCCCTGTTAATATATATTTTAAAATGTTTTTTTTTTTAGAGTCGAGGTCTCACTGTGTTGCCTAGGTTGGTCTGAAATTCCTGGGCTCAAGTGATCCTCCTGCCTCAGCCTCCCAAAGTGATGGTATTACAAACATGAGCCACCATGCCCAGCCCACTTTCTTCTATTAGAAGGAAGTCATTAAGTCCAGCCCACACTCAAGAAAAAAGACTATTAAATAATTTGTAGCCATGTTTTAAAAACATCTGTCACTTTTTGACATTATGGTAGTTTCCTCTTTTCTGTGGTTTTAGTTGCCATAGGTTAACCACAGTCTGAAACTATTACAGTATTTTGAGACCACATTCATATAACTTTTATTACAGTATATTGCTATAATTGTCCTATTTTATTGTTGTTAATCTCTTAACTGTACCTAATTTATAAATTAAACTTTATCATAGGTATGTATGTATAGGAAAAAACAGTGTATGTCGGTGCGGTACTATCTCTGTTTTTAGGCATTCACTGGGGTTCTTGGAATGTATTCCATGTGTAAAGGGAAAACTGCAGTATTTTTAACTGTTTTTTAAAATCTTGTGATAAAATACGGTGATTGTTTCTTCGGGTGTTAAAGTAATATATAATTTTATGAAAAATGTAAACAGTACTTAACACGAATAAAATCAAAAGTAAGGTTAGCTCTACCAGCTAGCATTGTATACTTCCCCCTTTCCTGATTTTATGAATTTGTTCAGATTGTAATACCATGAATGCTATTTAATTTAAAACGGTTTTACTCAGGTAAATGTTGAGTTTTAAAACTAGTTGATAACTGACCCCCTGTTGGTGTTTTCTTGGGGTTTTGTTTTGTTTTGTTTTTATGAGACAGGATCTCACTCCATCAACCAGGCTGGAGTAAAGTGGCGTGATCTTGGCTCACTGTAGCCTCGACCTCCTGGGCTCAGGTGATTCCCCACCTCAGCCTTCTGAATATCTGGGACTACAGGCATGTGCCACCATGCCTGGGTAACTTTTATATTTTTTGTAGAGACAAGGTTTCGCCATGTTGCCCAGGCTGGTCTTGAACTCCTGGGCTCAAGTAATCCTCCTGCCTTGAACTCTCAAAATGCTGGGATTATAGGCAGGAGCCACTGTGCGTGGCCATAACTAAAACCCTTTAATAGGTAATAAATGTTTTAAGAAGAATCTAAGGCTGGGTGTGGTGGCTCATGGCCTGTAATCCCAACACTTTGGAAGGCCATGGTGGGAGGATAGCTTGAGCCCAGGAGTTCAAGACCCTCCTAGACAACACAGTGAGACCCCATCTCTATAAAAAGGTTTTTAAAAATTAGCTGGACGTGCTAGTGCACGCTGTGGTCCTAGCTACTTGGGAGGCCGAGATATGAGGAACCCTTGAGCCTGGGAGTTAAAGGCGACCCTGTCTCAAAAAAATACAAAAGCTAAACGGACTGTTTTTATTGTAGTAAAAGAGCTTTGTAAATTAACCAATTAATTTTTAAGCCCTAAATAAGCTTTTCTGTGCATTTGAGATCTAGAAGATACAGCTTTATTAATCTGATCTAAATTTCTGAAGGGGGCTTGTATTTCTGTAATCAGTGATATCAGTAGTCACTGTTGGGCAAAGGGCATTTTTTAAAAGAAATGCACATAGCAGGCTGGCGGTGGTGGCTCATGCCTGTAATCCCAGTGCTTTGGGAGGCCAAGGTGGGCGGATCACGAGGTCAGGAGATGAGACCATCCTGCCTAACACGGTGAAACCCCATCTCAACTAAAAATACAAAAAATTAGCCAGGTGTGGTGGCGGGCACCTGTAGTCCCAGCTACTCAGGAGGCTGAGGCAGAAGAATGGCGTGAACCTGGGAGGCGGATCTTGCAGTGAGCTGAGATGGCGCCATTGCACTCCAGCCTGGGAGACAGAGCGAGACTCTGTCTCAAAAAAAAAAAAAAAAAAAAAAAAAAGAAATGCACCTAGCAGTAGGGCTCATGTGACTCCTGTCAAAGCAAAGCATTCATCATTGCGCTTGCCTTGATGGGGAAACAACCTGCATTTGTTTCCTTTCTTGATTCAAAGGAATAAGGGAATAAGCCTTTTCTGGTTCAGTTACCCAGTTTTTAAGGCAAATCCAATTGGATTTTATGGGTTGGGAAGAGTTTTGAGAGCTTTACCTTAGGAACATGTTATATCACTCCCCCTGAGAATTATTGACTATATTTTTAGTAGGCCACTGACCTTGAGTTATAGTCCTTCTTCCAGCCTGTTTCATTGCAGTATAATTTGGTCTCAAGGCCTGAGCCCTGGGGTAAGTCAGCTGCATCCTATTGGCTATTCTGTCTTGAAAGCACATGTTTCCTCATTTATTGAACAGGGATGAAGTTTCTGGTCCTCTCAGGAGTCTGATGACGTGGTTCATGCAATGTTGTTTCTCTGTTTTCTATTTTTCTCCCTACCATAGACAACTGATTTTTTAAATGAAATGTGACTTTTAACAAATAGGTGGTATATTTTCCCATGGATCTGTGTAGTAGGATTTGTGTAAATATAACTATCTGATTCCAGCCTTTTGGTGGAAACATTCCTTATTTATTTCTGTAGAATAACTTAATTTGGTATTTCTAATTCAGTTTTTTACTAGTCCTTTTTTTCCTTTTGATCTAGATTGATGAGCAAATTGAAAGCATGTTTAATTCAAAGAAGAGAGTAAAGGATATGGCTGCTCCTGGAACATCAAGTGTTCCTGCTCCAACTGCAGGAAATGCTGAGAAATTAGAAATTGCTAAGAGATTGGCTCTTAGAATCAATGCCCAGAAGAATTTGGGCATCGAGTCTCAGGTATTAAGTAATTTGTTCCAAGTCTCAGTCAATACTTTTAAGAAGTTCTTTGATTTTACTTTTCAGGAATTATGTTGAACACAAGTAAACAAGTTGTCCTAGACATTGAGTTTGTGAGAATTTAACATTCTCAATACAGAATTTTTTGATAATTGCATTTGGATGATTTCTCAGTGCTATTGACTGAGGACTTTGGGCCTATTCTGGAATTTCTAACTGTTAGCCACTGGTAGTTTTATAGGGTAGTATTCTGATGAGTCTTAACAAAATCTTAAAGATGTATTAATAATTCTCTTTTTCTTTCTTTATCTGCTTTTATTGGGCACACAACTCCCTGGATATACAAACACCCAGTTACATGACTCAAATCAATATGGTCTTAAACAGTGGAGAAATGTGATTTTTAAATATTTCACGTTATCTTTTTCTTGGAAGCTTACTTGTTATTTTGAAGCTTTTGAGGCAGTCATTAACTATAACGTTTGTAATGTTGGGTTGGGTCATAGAGATGAAGGAGCTCAGTGATGGTAGTAGTACAAACATTCAAATTCGGAGGAGACTCCTAGGAATTAGAGTATGCAAATGATTTTCGAAATATTTACTGTGTCTGACATCAAGAGTTAGCTAATTATCAACTACATCTCTATGATCTAGTAGAATATTTAATAGAGTTGAATGTTCTCCAGTTTTCTTATCCACTAGGAGGTACATTAAACTACATTATAAATATATATTGCTAAATCACACATATCAATGAGACTATGCATTAGAAAGGTTTATTTATTAAACTTGCATACAAAGTTAGTAGCTTTTCAGAGAATAATTTGTGGTGTGGTCCCTACTCTTGTCTCTGCCCTCATTTGAGATTTAACTAAGTCTTCTTTAACTACAGGATGTGATGCAGCAGGCCACCAATGCAATTCTTAGGGGTGGCACCATTCTGGCTCCCACTGTTTCTGCAAAAACCATTGCAGAACAACTTGCTGAAAAGATCAATGCCAAGCTCAATTATGTGCCGTTAGAGAAACAAGAAGAAGAGAGACAGGATGGTGGACAGAATGAATCTTTTAAGAGATATGAAGAAGAATTAGAGATCAATGACTTCCCACAGGCAAGTAACAGGTTTAAACCTTTTTTTATTGTGAAGTAGCAACTCTTCTTTGGAGGAAAAATCTCATCTTTAAAACCCATGAACATTTTAATAGCTCCTTCACTCTTTACCTAAATGGAGGATATAACAATAGAAATTTGATTTTTATGAGTATGTTCAAGGTACATTAGGATCTAAATGAACTTATGATGCAGGTATGTATTAATAATGATCTTTGTTTTCTTTGCTTGTTTGTTGTTTTTTTTTTTTTTTGAGACAGACTTTTGCTCTTATCGCCTAGGCTGGGGTACAATGGTGCGATCTCGACTCACCTCAACCTCCGCCTCCCGGGTTCAAGCGATTCTCCTCCCTCAGCCTCGCGAGTAGCTGGGATTACAGGCATGCGCCACCATGCCCAGCTTATTTTTGTATTTTTAGTATTTTTAGTAGAGACAGGGCTTCACCATGTTGTTCAGTCTGGTCTCGAACTCCCGACCTCAGGTCATCTGCCCGCCTCGGCCTCCCAAAGTGCTGGGATTACAGGCATGCACCACCAAGCCTGGCTAATTTTTCTATTTTTAGTAGAGACGGGGTTTCTCCATGTTGGTCAGGCTGGTCTCGAACTCCCAACCTCAGGTGATCCGCCCACCTTAGCCTCCCAAAGTGCTGGAATTACAGGTGTGAGCCATCACGCCCGGCCAATAATGATCTCAATATTGACCATAGGGCCCGGTGAGGTGGCTCACGCCTGGAATCCCAGCACTTTGGGAGACTAAGGTGGGTGAATCACCTGAGGTCGGGAGGTCGAGACCAGCCTGACCAACATGGTGAAACCCCGTCTCTACTAAAAATACAAAAATAAGCTGGGCATGGTGGCGCATGCCTGTAATCCCAGCTACTCGGGAGGCTGAGGGAGGAGAATCGCTTGAACCTGGGAGGCGGAGGTTGCGGTGAGCCAAGATTGCACCATTGTATTCCAGCCTGGGCAAAAAGAGCGAAAACTCCGTCTCAAAAGAAAAAAAAAAAAGAATATATATATATGGAGAGAGAGAGAGAGAGAGAGACCAACCATAATATGATATCAGCCAGCCTAGTCTTTGTCAGCACTCCTGGATTTTTTTGTCCTGTTATGAAGTGATTTTTCTTTTCCTTACCTTTTCTTTTAGACTGCTAGGTGGAAAGTTACCTCTAAGGAAGCTCTGCAGAGAATCAGTGAATACTCTGAAGCCGCAATTACAATCAGAGGAACCTACTTCCCTCCTGGCAAAGAACCCAAGGAAGGCGAGCGGAAGATTTACTTGGCAATTGAAAGTATGTACTGTTAGTTCTGTTTCAATCTTGAATTTAGATCAAGGTTGATGTAGATGTAATAAACGCAAAGAGCATGTGAGGTCAATTCTAGAGAGAACTGAAAGTAAGAAACACCTCTGAAAACAAAATCTTATGACATTTGAGGTCTTTATATATAAGAATTTCAGTACATATGCAAAGGTAAATGATCTGTTTCCGAGACTCAGTTTTGGCAATTTAGTCAAATTTGAAAATTAAAAGAAAACTTACATTTTAAGGACTGACCTGTTTATGCTTCTAGTAAGTGGAATATTCTGGCCTAAGTTTAGGTTGGAAAGTAAATCAAGTGTATTAGTCCACTTAATGAATGTTTATCTAGGCAAATATTGCCTGTGAAATTATCCCCATGAAAGTTTATGCCTTTAACAAAATAAGAAGTAGACAATGCCACAACCTAACGGATATAAATAATACATTATGTAACAGCAATCAGGTTTGGTTTTTAACTTTATTTCATACATTCATGAATGAATTCATTCCAGAGGCAATTTCCATCTTTATTTATTTTGAGACAGGGTCTTATTTTGTCTGGCTGGAGTGCAGTGGCGCAATATCAGCTCACTGTTGCCTCAACCTCCTGGGCTCAAGTGATCCTCCCACCTCAACACCCCCAAGTAGCTGGGACTACAGGAACATGCCACCACACCTGACTTTTTTTTTTTTGTCTTTTTGTAGAGACAAGGTTGTGTTTTGGTGCCCAGGCTGGTCTCCAACTCCTCAGCTCAAGGGACCCGCCCCCACTCAGCCTCCCAAAGTGCTAGGATTGCAGGCATGAGCCAATGTGCCCAGCCTATTTTGTTTTTTCTGATGTGTTACTCTACTGCATAGTAGGACACCCTGTCACACTTTATTTATGTTTTTGATTTTTGTTTTGTTTTGTTTTGCTTTTTTCCCCGAGATGGAGTCTTGCTCTGTTGCCCAGAGCTGGAGTGCAATAGCGCGATCTTGACTCACTGCAACCTCCACCTCCCGGGTTCAAGCAGTTCTCCTGCCTCAGCCTCCCAAGTAGCTGGGATTACAGGCATGCACCACCATGCCTGGCTCATTTTTGTATTTTTAGTAGAGACGGGGTTTCACCATGCTGGCCTGGCTGGTCTCAAACTCCTGACCTCATGGTCCACCCGCCTTGGTCTCCCAAAGTGCTGGGATTACAGGCATGAGCCACCGCGCCCAGCCCACTTTATTTATATTTAACATCTTTGTTATTGGTATTTTAAGTGGTTTTTGTTTTTGTTTTCTGACATTATGTGAAATGGAAGCAAGACAGAACTAGACTGCTAGATAATAGCACCATCTGTTCTGGCTTCATTTCCTTGACACCATAGCATTGTAGTCAGTACAGGGTTTAGCACTCTATCGCCCAGGCTGGAGTGCAATGGCACGATCTTGGCTTACTGCAACCTCCGCCTTCAGGTTTCACGCGATTCTTGTGCCTCAGCCTCCTGGGTAGCTGGGACCACAGGCATGTGCTACCATACCTGGCTAATTTTTGTATTTTTGGGTAGAGTTGGGGTTTCACCATGTTGGCCAGGCTAGACCTCTTACTTCTTGATTGTACTGTCTCCATTTGGAACTATTTTTAAAATCTGTAGCAGTCTTTTGCTATTTAGGACTTACATTGAGGTAAAATTCATGTAACAAAAGTTTGTCCATTTTAACCATTAAAAATGTACAGTTCAGTCCTCAGTACCTTCGTGAAACTTAAACAGGATTCAGTGAAAGCAGTGCTTAGAGAGAAATTTCTAGCTGTAAATGCCTGCATTATAAAAGATCTCCGTTAACTGCCTTTTTTGTGTTAGAGTAATCTTTTCTTTTCTTTTCTTTTTTTTTTTTTTTTTTTGAGACAAAGTCCCACTGTGTCATCTAGGCTGGAGTGCAGTGGCACAATCTCGACTCACTGCAACTCCCACCTCCTGGGTTCAAGTAATTCTCGTGCCTCAGCCTCCTGAGAAGCTAGGATTACAGGTGCCCCCCCGCCACACCTAGCTAATTTTCGTTTTTTTTTTTTTTGTGAGAGAGAGTCTTGCTCTGTTGCCCAGGCTAGAGTGCAGTGGCGCAATCTCGGCTCACTGCCAGCTCCGCCTCCCGGGTTCACGCCATTCTCCTGCCTCAGCCTCCCAAGCAGCTGGGACTACAGGCGCCCACCACCATGCCCGGCTAATTTTTTTTTTTGTATTTTTAGTAGAGACAGGATTTCACCATGTTAGCCAGGATGGTCTCGATCTCCTGACCTTGTGATCCGCCCGCCTCGGCCTCCCAAAGTGCTGGGATTACAGGCGTGAGCCACTGCGCCCGGCCAATTTTTGTATTTTTAGTAGGGATGAGGTTTCACCATGTTGGTCAGGCTGTTGTCAAACTCCTGACCTCAGGTGATCCACCTGCCTCTGCCTCCCAAAGTGTTGGGATTACAGGCATGAGCCACTGTGCCCCACCGTGTTAAAGCAATATTTTCTTGTGTGCCATTTTGATTTGCTCTTGTTTCTGGGTTTTTTGTTTTTTTTTTTTTTTGAGAGGGAGTCTAGCTCTGTCACCAGGCTGGAATGCAGCGGCGCAATTTCGGCTCACTGCAACGGCGCAATTTTGGCTCACTGCAACCTCTGCCTCCCAGGCTTAAGCGGTTCTATTGCCTCAGCCTCCCGAGTAGCTGGGACTACAGGCAAGCACCACCATGCCCAGCTACTTTTTGTATTTTTAGTAGACATGGGGTTTCACCATGTTGGCCAGGATGGTCTCAATCTCCTGACCTCATGATCTGCCTGCCTTGGCCTCCCAAAGTGCTGGGATTACAGGCAGGAGCCACCACGCCCGGCCTACTTCTTTCTTTTGCTATATGTATTTTTAGGTTTTTTTTTGTTTTTTTTTTTTTTGAGATGGAGTCTCACTCTGTTGCCCAGGCTGGAGTGCAATGGTGCTGTCTCGTCTCACTGCAACCTCCACCTCCCAGGTTCAAGGAGTTCTCCCTTGGCCTCCCTAGTAGCTGGGATTACAGATGCATGCCTGGCTAATTTTATTTTTAGTAGAGATGGAGTTTCACCACGTTGGCCAGGCTGTTCTTGAACTCCTGACCTCAGGTGAACTGCCTACCTCAGCCTCCCAAAGTGCAGGGATTACAGGCCTGGGCCACCGTGCCCAGCCAGGTATTTTCTTAGCGGTTACTCAGTGGATTGCAATTAATATCTTAATTCATAACAACGTAGTTCAATTAATGCCAACTTAGTTTTAATACTATACAAAAATTTTGCTCCTATACAGTCCCATCTATTTTTTTGTTGTTATTGACACAAAATTCCTGTATATGTTTTTCTAAGAGACAGGGTCTTGATCTGTCACTCAGGCTGGAGTGCAAAGGTGAGATTATAGTTTACTGTAGCTTCAAACTCCAGGGTTCAAGTGATCCTCTATCCTTAGCCTCCTGAACAGCTAGGACCACAGGCCTGTGCCACCATGCCTGGCTAATGAAAAAAATTTTTTTTTCTAGAGACAGGGTCTTGCTATGTTACAGTCTAGGCTTGTCTTGAACTCCTGGCTTCTCTTGTACTCCCACATCGGCCTCCCAAACCTACTCATCTTTTTTTGAGACAGAGTCTTGTTCTGTCACCTGTCCTGGAGTGCAATGACCCAGTCACAGCTCAAGCAAGCCTCCCACCTCAGCCCCCCATTTAGCTGGGACCACAGGTGTATGCCACTATGTCCAGCTAAATTTTTGTATTTTTTGTAGAGATGGGTTTTCACTATGTTGCCCAGACTGTTCTTGAACTCCTGGGCTCAAGTGATCCTCCTGCCTCAGCCTCCCAAAGTGATGGGATTACAAACGTGAGCCACCATGCTGGGCCCAGACCTGTACATCTTCATACATTCTGTATTCTTCAACATAGATTCATAATTATTTTATGTAATTTTTAAATCATACAGGAAATAAAGAGAAGCTACAAACTAAAAATAATACTGACTTTTATATTTACGTATGTAGCTATGAGTATTCTTTGTTTCCTCATTCAAGTAATCTAGGGTTCTTTCACTTCAGTCTGGAGGATTTCCTTTTGTATTTCTTGTAGGGCAGGTATACTAGCAACTAACTCAGGTTTTGTTTATCTGAGAATTTCTTAATTTCATCTTTTTTTTTTTTTTTTTTTTTTGACATGGAGTCTCGCTCTGTCGCCAGGCTGGAGTGCAATGGTGCAATCTTGGCTCACTAAAACCTCTGCCTCCTGGCAGCCTCCCAAGTAGCTGGGATTATAGGAACATGCCACCATACCCAGCTAATTTTTGTATTTTTAGTAGAGATGGGGTTTCACCATTGTTGGCCAGGATGGTCTCGATCTCCTGACCTCGTGATCCTCCTGCCTTGGCCTCCCAAAGTGTTGGGATTACAGGCGAGAGCCACCACGCCCGGCAAATACAGCTGTTATGTTTTCCGTGTTTTTCCCACTCTACCATTGAGTCATGGTAAGTTTCATACATATTTTTAAATGGCATACAAAGGATGTGTGGCCAGAACTAGGCAAACTACACTTTTTTCTTCATGTTTGTGACTATGAGAAACTGACTTAGATCTATTTGAAGTCAGGTTTAAAAATGGCATGCTTTTGTGTATCCTGAAATACTTTTGGTCTGCCAATGACCCAGTATGTTTCTAACTCAGGTGACACTGTTTCTTATTACATAGTGAAATGGGGATTGCTGACCCCTGGGTCTTCAAGCAGAGAAAACTTAAGCTGATGTGTTTCTGTAGTTGGAACTGGACAGGTCTTTGCTACTGTGTTAATTAGATCATACAGGCTGAAGACAATGATAGAGGAATGTGGCAATAAAACCTTTGGTGTACATGGAGTCAGGATTTTATTTTCTGCTTGAATACATGGGTATCATTTAAGCAAAATTAATATTTTAACTGCTTGCCTTATAAAGAGGTAAGTGAGAGACATGATTATTTGCTTTGAAAAAGAATTCTTTTCGTAATTCATTTATTAATTTAAATGCAGTGTTTGCTTAGTATGGTATAATTGATATATCAAATTTCAATTTATGTATAACTTTATCAGAACACATCTCTACTACCAAGTGATGTGAAGTGAGATATTCACTGATTCCACAGCTCCGATGTAGTTTTCCTTTCATCCAGAATGGTTCTGGTCATTTGTCTCCACTGTCAATTTACACTCAGGAAATAACGTCTAATTTTTATAATAATCTAAGCAAGTCTCCTCAGTAAAAAAGCAACTTTGTTGAAGCAAATCTTAAGAATAATCTAGAAATATAATGATAATGGCCGGGCGCGGTGGCTCACGCCTGTAATCCCAGCACTTTGGGAGGCCGAAGCGGGCGGATCACAAGGTCAAGAGTTTGAGACCAGCCTGGCCAACATAGTGAAACCCCGTCTCTACTAAATACAAAAATTAGCTGGGCATGGTGGCGGGAGCCTGTATCCCAGCTACTCGAGAGGCTGAGTACCTTGGAAACAGAAGGTAGAGGTTGCAGTGAGCTGAGATGGCGCCACTGCACTCCAGCCTGGGCAAAAACAGCGAAACTCTGTCTCAAAAAAAAGAAAAGAAAAGAAAAAGAAATATAATGATATTGAATAAGAGCTAGGGTTTGGTAATTTAAGTGATCTAAATCTTTTAGAATTTTCAGAGGTAATTAGATTTTTTAAAGGATCATTTAGTTTTTGAAACTCCGAACTCAACTAAACACTAACAGGATGAAAACAGGTGTTGCTACTGTGGAATGAGCCTAGTGTCATCTGTTTCTAGTTCTGTAATTGGAGGGACCCCACTGCCTGGCTGGCTCCTTGGAGGCTCTGTTTGGCTCAGCAGCTCCAGGCCTCCCACCAGGCAAAGGGAAGGAGAACAGGAAGGACTTACATGCCTAGTCAGCCTGTATAATTTATATAGCCTGTTCTGTGACCCTCTCTTTTTACTAGTGGAGAATCCCTTAAAAGCAGCCACAGTTGTTTTAGGACCAATGAAAGGAAATGCCCTTTTTTTCATAGCTGCTTATAAACATATGTAACCTATTACAAGAAGTTACATAAGTCAGAATTTAAACTGGTCCAAATTGTCGGGCTCTGATAAAAGTAGGAAAATTGATTTTCCAGTTAAATCTAGGTGAGAGTGTCATTTTCCTTCTTTTTAAAGTTGCACAAAAATATCAACAAGCTTCACACCAACTCATACCAAGCAACGTGTTTTCCTCCTAAATTTCATTTTTGTTGTAATTTTCAGTTTGACTTCGGTCTTGATTCTTCTTTTTCTCTTCCCTTCCAGCACTCACCTTCCCCACGTAGTTTTATAGTGTTGTGATTGGTGGCTAGTGGAGGTATAGGATTTAAATTAGATATGTTGCTATGACTTCATAGCCATACCCTTGGCCTTTTCCTTCCTGTTGTGCAACTGTTTCTGTCTCTCTTTCTAGCTCCGTCTCTGTCTCTCTCTGGGGACAGAAAAGTTACTCATTTCTAATATGGGGGGAAATTTTCTCGTTTATTATAAATCTTTCCCTCATTTGTGTTTTTTAAAAATACACGGAATGATAAAAATATAGCTCTCTACGTTGCAAACCCAGTCCTCCTTTTATTCTTAGACATTTCAATCTTTAGTCTTCTTTGATTCAGCTCTTTTTCTCTTCTCAGTGTGCAATATGGTGTCTATCTGTACTTACCTACTCACTGGCATTGTCCATTGGCTCCAGATTCTACCCAGCCTACCCTTGATGGCTCTCTAATCTCTGCCACTTCTAAACTTCTGGTTCATATTTCCATTGGCCTCATCTGTATTTCCAATTGGATGTCTGATGAGCACCTCAACTACAGCAATTTTAGAATTAAATTTCACCCATTATCACTGTCCAGAAAACACCTGTTTACCTCCTGGAATCAGTATATTCTTTTACTTCTGCCTTTTTTCACTTGCCAGCCAGCTCTTAATATCTTAATTTGTTTCTCTTTTTCACTGTTCATATCCCATCAGAAAAAATATCTTGTCCATTCTACCTCAAAAGTGTGCTCTTGTGATGGTATAAATACAATATTGTGAGAGCACTAAGGAAAAAAACACTTAACTGTGCCTTTCAGAGTCAGGAAAACTTCCTAAAAGTGGTATTTAAAAGTGAAGTTTGTGAACTACTTCCTTTTCATCCTGTTTTGATATCTTTACAAGTTTGTTTTTCTAGTCTGTAAGCTTTTAAAGAGCATGAATTTGTTATTTATATGTTAAATGTCTCACAGTATGTGAGAGGTGAGTGCTTAATGTTTATGAAATTGATAACTGTGAATGAATGTCTGCAGCCTACCTCATCTAGTCAGCTATCTTGCGGTGTTCTTTCATACTCCTTTTCCAACCACGCTACGCTTCTCTTATTCTTCAATAATTAAGCATGCTTGTCTTAACTCTGTACCATTACGCATGTAATTAATTTCCTTTGCAAAATACTCTTATGGTATCTTTCCTCCCTCCAATTGGCTAGTCCTCCTTTCATTTTAAAGATTTTGTTCAGACGAGACCCTTCTGAAACATTTGTAGACTTCAGTGAACATCATAAATGTCTAATAAATACTTACTAAATGAATAAACCAAGGAAGTTATATTTCCCTTTAGCCTTCTCTTACTATCTCCTGGACAAATCACTAATAGTCTTTTTATTCCACTCTTTTTAATCACCATACTAGGAACTCTTAACACATAATATGACCTCAGTGGTTACATTTGAAACTCTGAAAGTAATCAAAATAATAAGCAGCCATTATATAATGTGGGTAATGTTCCACCAGGCATTAAATGGCTATCTTGGCAGGCAGTACAGTGTTTCTGAAAGTCACCTACAGTGTTTCTTCCTGGACCTCCGTGATATGGGTAAACACAGTGTAAGTTTAGTAATTTGAATAATATGCTTTCCACTCAATCACTAGGTGCCAATGAACTGGCTGTGCAGAAAGCAAAGGCAGAAATCACCAGGCTCATAAAAGAAGAGCTGATCCGGCTGGTGAGTGAAAACCTTAAAGTTTCGTTTGTTTTGTTTTAATAAGTGTTTTATTGAAATATAAATACAGAGAAGTACTCAAATCATAAACATATAGTTTGATGAATTTTCACAAAGTAATAAGCATACCAGTGTAGTCACTACCCAGATCAAGAAATAAAAAACATTACTAATATCCCAGAAGTCTTCTCTGTGTCTATTCTTGTCACTATTCATCTCCCCCCAACAAAACCATACCTTGAATTTTTTTTCTTTTCTTTTCTTTTTTTTTTTTGGAGACTGAGTCTTGCATTGTCACCCAGGCTGGAGTGCAGTGGCACGATCTCGGCTCACTGCAACCTCCGCCTCCTGCGTTCAAGTGATTCTCCTGCCTCAGCCTCCTGAGTAGCTGGGATTACAGGCGCACACCACCGCATCTGGCTAATTTTTGTATTTTTAGTAGAGATGGTGTTTCACTGTGTTGGCAAGGCTGGTCTCGAACTCCTGACCTCATGATTCACCTGCCTTGGCCTCCCAAAGTGCTGGGATTACAGGCGTGAGCCGTGGCGCCCGGCCCTATATTGTGAATTTTAAAATCATAGATTAGTTTTTCCTGTTTTTGAACTCCACATAAGTGTAATCATGCGTTTGCACCTTTTGCATCTAGTTTCCTTCACTCAACATTTTGAGGAGATCGGTCCATGTTATTGCATGTAGCAATAATTCATTTTCATGGCCATATAATATTTATATGATTATACAACAATTAATTTATATTTATATATTGGATTTGGGGGCTATTCTTATTTTTGGTTTTTATGAACAACACTTCTGTGAACATTATTCCATGTGCGTTTGGTATATATTAGCATGATTTTTTCCTTGGGTATATACCTCGGAGTAGAATTGTTAATTATAGGCTAGGTATTGCTAAATAGTTTTCCAAAGAGGTTACATCAATTCACACTCAATCCAGAAGTGTAGAAAATTCCAGTTGTTCTACATATTTGCCAACACATGGTGTTGTCAGTGTCTTTAAACTTAAACAATGACTTAATTTGATTTTGGAAAAAGCCCTTTACAGACTGCCTTTCCCGAGGAGGTAGACATGTCCTTGTGTCTTTAGTGCCAGTTGCAGCTTATAAACACTCCCTACAGTGTGTACATTTCCTTTGAAAGGAAACGTTGTCTTTTATCTAAGTGTAATTCTGAGAGCTTTTCTAAAATTCCCCTCACAGAGCATTCCTTTTTTTGTTGGGGGGTGGGGGTGGTTAGAAGTTTAATGAAAAGTGGGTTCACAAAACAAGAGGGAAAAAGTAAAACAGCTGTTAAATCATGTGCTTAATACTATTTCACCAAGGAGTGGTCGAAAAGAATCTTGTGCCCATAGATGCTACCACCATTAGGTTGATTCAAAACATAGTTGTTAAGGAATAGTTGAGTGAACAGAGAATTCATTAGTTATTGAATAGTTTTTCCTTTCTCAATGCAGTAATAGTAACATTTAAAATTTTAAATAACCAATAGTTTTATAAGTTGGCAAAGGAAATGATCTTAAATATTTCCTTTTGGGTTTGTTTGGTTGGTTGGTTGGTTCGTTTTTTTTTTTTGTTTTTTTTGTTTTGCTTTCTCTGATGACATATCTTTTATTTCCTATTACAGCAAAATTCATACCAACCAACAAATAAAGGAAGATACAAAGTCTTATAGACATCCGGAAAAAAGATTTTTACCTGTGCTGGTCTATGATGTATGTGGCAGTTGCTGTCTGCAGTTTACAATGTATTGTAAATGAAGATTTTTTAAATTCTATCTTGCTGATTTTTTTTAAATATAAGAAACTGGTACTTGGTAAAGAAATCTGTCCGTAAGTACCCCCACAATCAGTCAAACTATATTTAAAGCCAGCCTGTTTTCAGAGTATGATGTCCTTTAATGTAAACTCAAATATCAATATTTTAAATGTCCGGATAATATTCTAGAGGTTTAAAAAATGGAAATATTTGAACTTTCTATTGAAGACAATAAAGTACACAAGTCGTTAAGGGGCTATTCACTTTATCCTGTACTTTCAATGAAATTGTGATCATTTCCTAAGAAAAGGTAAAATTCACTATCATATTTTGTGTCCCCACCTTGATGTTACATGACTCTGGAACAATATGAACTGGATTTAAGAATGTTATAATAGAAGTCTTACAAAATGGGTTGAGAGTTTTTGTTTCAATTTTTATCATCATAAATGGGCAAAAAGTAGTTGGACTAATTTCGGTTTTTATACAAGTAAAGATTTAATAGTATAAGGATTTTTTTGCATTTCTTTACACTGAGTGTAAAACTCTACAAAGAGTTATAGTATTTACTACTTTGAGGTTTCCCTCACAACTTCTGGCTCCATACCTAGCCCCTCTTTTATAATCTTCCTTAAAAGAAAGAGTGTAGCCTATAAATACTAAATATGATACCTTTTCCTTCTAGAAAGTGTTTATTTATATATCTATACATGTTGTATGTACAAATATCCTACTACTTTTAATCTGATTTTTCTTCAGGATTATTGAGTAGGTTGTGAATTTTCTTTCTTAAAAATTGTAAAACATAATGGTACCCAAGTTTTAAACTTAGATGTGCTTCATCTTAGTGAAATTTAATTCACAAGGAATCATAAATTGTGTTTTTGAGGCTGGGCGCAGTGACTCACACCTGTATCCCAGCAATTTGGGAGGCCGAGGTGGGCAGATCACTTGAGGTCAGGAGTTCAAGACTAGCCTGGTCAACATGGTGAAACCCTGTCTCTACTAAAAATACAAAAATTAGTCGGCATGGTGGTGGGTGGCTGTAATCCCAGCTACTCAGGAGGCTGAGGCAGAAGAATCTGAGCCAAGATAACACCATTGCACTCCAGCCTGGGCGACAGAGTGAGACTATCTCAAAAATAAATAAATAAATAAATAAATAGTATTTTTGAGCCTTCAAGATACAGTTCCTGAATATTCTAATTTAAATTGTTATAATTGGATTACCTAATATTCTTTTCAAGACTCCTGATGTATTAACTTCATGTTATTGTCACTTTTCAAAAAAGGAATTTTTTTCAGGAGTTAAATAAAGTCAGTCTTTTATATCCAAGGGTTTCAAACCCACAGATTAAACCAACCACAGATCAAAAATAGAAAAAAAAAAAAAAAGAAAAAAAGAATGTAAAATTTTAAAAATACAGTTTAACAGCTGTAAAAGTTTTACTATAACATTTACATTGTGTTAGGTATTTTAAGTAATTTAAAGGTTACAGTATACAGGCGGTTAAAGTATACAGGAGGATGTGCATCGGTTATATGCATATAGCAAGCCATTTCATATAAGAGGCTTGAACATCCATGGATTTTGGTATAGAGGAGGGGTTTAAGGGGTGTCCTGCAATCAGTCCCCCTCTCATACCAAAGGATGACTGTATATTTCTTAAATGAAGAGACTTTCATTCTTTAAATATTATTGACTTACAGTTTAAAAATAAATAAATAAAAGCATACTATAGTTGTAAAAACAAATAATTTTAATAGTATATTCAGTGGCTGAAGTGATAGGGAGTATTAATCATTATTTCTTCAGTATAAAGTTATTCTTCCTGAAAAAGTAAGATATACCTGGGAAATATTCTTGGATCCTTCACACATCCACTTAATTTCTTGAAGGAAGAAAACAGACAAAAGACATGTAACAACAGAAACAAATAAACCACTTACTGTAAAATTTCAGAAATTGTGGGCTCATTCCCTCCCTCTAGTTTATTTATTTGCTCATCTTTATCACCTAATGGTAGTTTGTTTTCTTTGGTAGAGTATATGGCAGTCCCACATCGATGATAATTGGTGCTCCCTTCATCCAACTGGATCACTTTGAGATTCAGTTTTACATCATTTTAGCATTTTGTTTGTATATCAGTTGTGATGAGCCACTGATAAAATTTTGTTCTAAAATGAAACATATTACTTTGTTAGTACATTTTTTAGTGTCACACTGACTTTTAAAATTTGAATGATATATAGACTTTGTTTTTTTAATGCAATATGAATATTTGCTCATGTTTTCTAAATTCCTTATAAAATAAAATTAATTCGAATTCAATCTGCACTTTCTTAAAATTATCTTTCCTCAATGCTTTTTCTTTCTTCTGTTTCTCTAATTTTGTTTATGTTGGTGAGAGAAGTATTATACTCTCTATTTTTATTTAAAAAATTCTAGCAACTTATTACCCAAAATATTTATAATTCTGTTCCAAAAATGTCTTCCTGAAGAAGGCTCTTAAGTCTTTTATGTTCATTGTATTTAGCATAAGAGAAACATAGGTGAAATAATAGGTTCATTTACCAGTTGGGGTTTTGCCACAGTGACACTCTTACAAAATGGATATGTAGGCTGGGTGCGGTGGCTCATGCCTGTAATCCCAGCACTTTGGGAGGCTGAGGCAGGCAGATCACCTGGGGTCAGGAGCTCAGGACCAGTCTGACCAACACGGAGAGACCCAGTCTCTACTAAAAATACAAAATTAGCCAGGTGTGGTGGCACATGCCTGTAATCCCAGCTACTCGGGAGGCTGAGGCAGGCGAATCGCTTGAACCCGGGAGGCAGAGGTTGCAGTGAGCCAAGATGGCGCCATTGCACTCCAGCCTGGGCAACAAGAGCGAAACTCCGTCTCAAAAAAAAAAAAAAAAAAAAAGGATATGTAGAATGAAAGAATAATAGCTAAGTTCTCCCTCACACTTTTTGGACACTTTACTGTTTGATATATTTCTTTTTTTTTTTTTTTTTTTTTGAGACAGAGTCTTGCTCTGTTGCCAGGCTGGATTTGCAGTGGCGTGATCTCAGCACACTGCAACCTCTGCCTCCCGGGTTCAAGCCATTCTCCTGCCTCAGCCTCCCAAGTAGCTGGGACTACAGGCGTGAGCCACCACACCCAGTTAATTTTTTTGTATTTTTAGTAGAGACGGGGTTTCACCATGTTGGCCAGGATGGTCTCGATTTCTTGACCTTGTGATCCACCCACCTTGGCCTCCCAAAGTGCTGGGATTACAGGCAGGAGCCACCACGCCCTGCCACTATTTGATATATTTCACGTCTCACTGGCTTTGTTGGTGTACGCAATGCACATGTGACTGCTAATCTTTTGTTTTGTTTTGTTTTTGAGACAGAGTCTTGCTCTGTTGCCCAGGCTGGAGTGCAGTGGCACAATCTCAGCTCATTGCAACCTCTGCCTCCCAGGTTCAAGCAGTTCTCCTGCCTCAGCCTCCTGAGTAGCTGGGACTACAGGCACATGCCACAACACCTGTCTAATTTTTTGTATTTTTAGTAGAGATGGGGTTTCACCATGTTAGCCAGGATGGTCTCGATCTCCTGACCTCGTTATCTGCCCACCTCGGCCTCCCAAAGCGCTGGGATTACAGGGATGAGCCCACTGCCCCCGGCCTAATCTTTCTTTTGAGTCAGGCAGTTCCTATGTATAGAATTGGGTTTGTTTGTTTTAAAGGAGAACCAGCTATTGAATACTTAGGATTTATAAATCCCATTCAGCTAGCTGTGAAATCAGCTTCAAAGTAACAGCAGAATCTTAAGAAGCACAAACTAGAAAGGAAAACCGCCAAAGTTGTAACTCAGTTGTTTCTGACCTCTTTTTACTATTGGTGCCATGCTTTGATTTATAAAGCCATCAGCCAAAGTCCTTTAGTGACAGATTAGCATATTGTTTAAAATAGGAGGTTGTGGGGAAATTGTTGTCTAAATGAAGTCTAGTATAAATAGCTACACTTTATTTAGTAAAATGTGCCATTTTGCTGCTTTATAGATCATGCTAAGTTCTTTTTTTTTTTTTTTTTTTTTGAGACAAAGTCTTGCTCTTTTGCCCAGGCTAGAGTGTAGTGGTGCAGTCTCGGTTCACTGCAACCTCCGCCTCCCAGGTTCAAGTGATTGTCCTGCTGTGGCCTCCGAGTAGCTGGGGTTACAGGTGCTCACCACCATGCCTGGTGAATTTGTATTTTGAATTTGAATACAAATTTTGAATTTGTATTTTTATGGTAGAGATGGGGTTTCACCATGTTGGCCAGGCTGGTCTCGAACTCCTGACCTCAGGTGATCCACCTGCCTCGGCCTCCCAAAGCGCTGGAATTATAGGCGTGAGCCACGGCGCTCGGCTGGATCATGCTAAGTTCTTAAAGCAGGCAAGAGTTCTGAGTGTCTAGCCCAATGTGGGCCATTCAAATACTCTTCCAGTCAGATTTGAGTCTAGAGCTGTCAGTTCTTCACATTTTGGTACATAGTTTTACCTACGAATGGGAATCTACTGACATTTTCTCATGCCTTCTGCTTCTGGCATACTGAAGCTTATCTTTTAAAAAGGTACGTGTATGTATATTTATGTGTGTTAAGTATCAGGAGTGAGAGAGTAAATGTATGTAGAGGGGTGAGGGAGAGTCTTAACTATTTAGTTTGGGTGTAACCATCAGAAAGCAAACTTACTGAAGTGAGATGCTTAACTTGGAGTATAGCAATGTCTTACATACTGGTTAATGAAACATCTGCTCTACTCTTAGGTCAGCTCTCTGGAGCTAAAGACAGCTACGTTTCCCTTACCAGGTAAAAATTCCCTGATATGTTGACTGTTAACGGATATTTGAAGGCCTTCTAAAAATATATATAAATTTATTATTTTTCTCAGGCAGGGGTCCAAGTAGGAATGCAAAGAGAAAGTGTAAAGGTATTCTTCACAAAGTCCCCACAGTATTGACTTTCCCCTTTAAAAGTGCCTTTTGGTTTAGCTGCTATGTGTGTGTGAGTGCATACTGTCAAGTTACATGACTGGTGAGGAATTTACTTTTGATTATTTGTCTTGAACTTGTTCTCTTCCAAATATGGCAACAACTTACAGGAGTTCATGATTTTTTTCAAACTCAAGCCTTAAAGAAGAAATTCTAACTTTGCATTAACCATGTTCTTTTGGGAAGAAAAAAAATATGAAGTAAAAAGGGAAGTTTAACCTTTTGGGGGAATTGGAACTCAACATTACTCTCACATGTTAGGATTACTTTAAAAGACAGAATTTCAGAATTTAAAAAACTAATCATTTTTAATATATAGAAATACCTAGTTGCCCATGTTTTGAATATTAGTCTCTCTTCACAACTTTGCATACTGTGTAATAAGGGATATGTGGGACGATTCAGTGTGAAAAACATGTTCTTTCTACAGAAAAAGCTTTTCATTTGAACTTGGTAGTGATTGGATTTTTAGCAGCCTGGCAACTTCAGGCACTTCTGTAGCAGCTTTGGATGTTAGAGTGTCCTTGGCCTTTATCCCTGAAATCCTAGGAGGCTCTCAAGTGCCTTCCAGCCATTCCCAGAAACCTTGAAGGCAACATCTTTTCTCTGTGCCTTTGCCTAAGGGAGTCTTTCTGGAGCTGATACTCCCAAAAGTATACTGTTAACTTTGGAAAAGAGTCCTCCCTATCCCCAAACCAGCCCTCAGCCTGTGTCTGTGGCACAGGATTTGGAAAGCTTGGCAGGGCTGGATGCTTGGGAGCTTCAAAGAGAGCATAAATTCCTCTGTAACTTTTTATTGGTTTAATTTTGCTCCTGAAAATGTGTCTGGGGTCAGGCACAGTGGCTCATGCCTGTAATCCCAGCACTTTGGGAGGCCGAGGAGGGTGGATCACCTGAGGTCAGGAGTTTGAGACCAGCCTGGCCAACATGGTGCAACTCTGTCTCTATCAAAACTACAAGGCCAGGCACGGTAGCTCACTCCTGTAACCCTAGCACTTTGGGAGGCTGAGGCAGGCAGATCACAAGGTTAGGAGTTCGAGACCAGCCTGGCCAATATAGTAAAACCTGTCTCTACTAAAAATAAAAAAAATTAGCCGGTGTAGTGGCATGTGCCTGTAGTCCCAGCTACTCGGGAGGCTGAGGCAGGAGAATCACTTGAACCTGGGAGGCAGAGGTTGCAGTGAGCCAAGATTGCGGCACTGCACTTCAGCCTGGATAACAGAGCTAAACTCCATCTCAAAAAAAAAAAAAATTAGCCGGCGTGGTGGTGTGCTCCTGTAATCCCAGCTACTCAGGAGGCTGAGGCATGAGAACTGCTCGAGCCCAGGAGGCAGAGGTTGCAGTGAGCCAAGATCACGCCAGTGCACTCCGGCCTGGACAACAGAGCAAGACTGTCTTAAAAAAAAGTATATCTGGGGGTGGTAATCATTCTATGATACACATTTAAGTTTGAGAAATACTGGTAATCTTCACTGTTGCTCTTGGATTTTGACTGCCTGTGAACTAAAGCTGTGGTCTCCAAAGTGGGGTACGTGACAGTAATTTATTGAAAAGCAGGAAGAGGCCGGATGCGTTGGCTCACACTTGTAATCCCAACACTTTGGGAGGCCGAAGTGGGCAGATCACTTGAGGTCAGGAGTGTCAGCCTGGCCAACATGGTGAAACCCAGTCTCTACTAAAAAAATACAAAAATTAGTAGGGCATGGTGGCATACGCCTATAATCCCAGCTACTTGGGAGGCTGAGGCAGGAGAATTGCATGAATCCAGGAGGTGGAGGTTACAGTGAGCCCAGATCGTGCCAGTGCACTCCAGCTTGGGTGACAGAGTAACTCCATCTCAAAAAGAAAAGCAGGAAGAAAATTTTGAAGCTTCTGTGTTTTTTTTTCTTCTTTATTTTACTTTCAGAGACAGGGTCTTGCTCTGTTGCCCAGGCTGGAGTGCAGTGGCATGATCATAGCTCACAGTAGTCTCAAAACTCCTATGCTCAAGTGATCCTCCCACTTCAGCCTCCTGAATAGGTAAGTAGGACTATACAGGTGTGTGCCACCATGCCTGGCTAATTTTTTATTTTTTGTAGCAGTGGGGTCTCGCTATGTTGCCCAGGCTAATCTTAGACTCCTGGCCTCAGGCAATCCTCCTTCCTCTACTGGGATTACAGGCATGAGCCACCGCACCTGGATTTTTTTTTCTTTCTTTATTTTTTTAAGTTGTAGAATATTTATAAAAAACTCACAACCCATATGTGTTAAGTAAATATTTTTAAATGAAAGATATATTTTTCTAAATAAAAATAACTTAGTGAGAAGCCTATACTCATTTATTTATTTTTTACATCCTGATGTCTGGCTGGTCATTGAGAAGCTTTTTTTTTTTTTTTTTTTTTTTGAGACAGAGTTTTGCTCTTACTGCCCAGGCTGGTGTGCAATGGCGTGATCTCAGCTCACTGCAAGCTCCGCCTCCCGGATTCTAGTGATTCTGCCTCAGCCTCCCAAGTAGCTGGGATTACAAGTGCCCGCCACCACACCTGGCTAAATTTTTGTAATTTTAGTAGAGACAAGGTTTTACCATGTTGGTCAGGCTGGTCTCGAACTCCTGACCTCAGATGATCCAACTGCCTTGCTCTCCCAAAGTGCTGGGATTACGGGCGTGAGCCACTGGGCCCGCCTGGCCTTATTTTTCTTTCTAAATCTCATCCTTTCTTTAAAATTTTACTTTGTGTAAGGTTATTGTTTTTGTTTTTGTTTTTGCTTTTTTTGAGATGGAGTCTCACTCTGTCATGCAGGCTGGAGTGCAGTGGCGCAATCTTGGCTCACTGCAACCTCCGCTTCTCGGGTTCAAGTGATCCTCCTGCCTCATCCTCCTGAGTAGCTGGGATTACAGGCACGTGCCACCATGCCTGGCTTATTTTTATATTTTTAGTAGAGACAGGGATTCACCATATTGGTCAGGCTGGTCTCGAACTCCTGACCTCGTGATCCGCCCACCTCGGCCTCCCAAAGTGCTGGGATTGCGGGCATGAGCCACCCCTCCCAGCCTGTTAAGTTTTTTATAATATGTTGCTATATAATATATTGTTACTGTATTGGTATAACAGTTCATATACATAATCAAGTATGTATATTGGGAGGGTACTTGAACAACCTTGGGCTTGCTTAAATGCTTTATCTGTTTTTTCTTTTTTTTTGAGATGGAGTTTCACTCTTGTTGCCCAGGTTGGAGTGCAATGGCGCGATCTCAGCTCACTGCAACCTCCGCCTCCCAGGTTCAAGTGATTTACCTGTCTCAGCCTCCCAAGTAGCTGGGACTATAGGCATGCGTCACCATGCCCGGCTAATTTTGTATTTTTGGTAGAGATGGGGTCTCTCCATGTTGGTCAGGCTGGTCTAGAACTCCCGACCTCAGGTGATCCACCCGCCTTGACCTCCCAAAGTGCTGGGACTATAGGCGTGAGCCACTGTGCCTGGCCACTTTATCTGTTTTTTCATATATAAAATTCAGATATAATATGTACATCTTAGGATTGTTATGAGGATGAGGTGAAATAATACATTTAAAGCATAAATATGCTTAAAGCACGTAAAAATAGTGCCTGGCATATGGTAAGCATTCAATAAATGTTGGCTGGCACTATTATTATAATGGGTGAATAGGGGTAGATTTTCTTATGCTCTCTGCTATACACTGAATGTTTGTACCCTCCCCCTACCCCCAAATTCATGATGTTGAAACCTAATTCCCAATTTGATAGTATTTGGAGGCCTTTGGGAGGTGATTATGTCATGAGGGCTAGTGGGATCAGTGCCCTTATAAAAGAGACCCCAGTGAACTCCCTTGCCCCTTCTGCCATGTGAGAACATAGCAAAAAAAAAAAAAAAGCTGTCTGTGAATCAGAAAGCTGGCTCTCTACCAGACACCAAATTGGCCAGTACTTTGACCTTGGACTTTCCAGCTTCCAGAGATAAAATTTTGTCTTTTGTAAGCCATTCAGTCCATTAGTTTGTTATAGCAGCCAAAACAGACCAAGACCCTATCTTTCTTTTTATTATTGATATAAAGCTATATATTTAGCAGGGACAGTCAGCTGTTACTGATAAGTTAAAATGTACAAAGCAAGATTCATTTTTTTCCTATGTATATGAAAGTATCTAAGAACACTTGGGTTGGGTGTGGTTGCTCACACCTGTAATCCTAGCACTTTGCGAGGCAGTGGCGGGAGGATTGCTTGAGCCCAGGAGTTCAAGACCAGTCTGATCAATATAGGGAGACCCCGTCTGTATTTAAAAACAAAACAAAACAAAAACACTTGTACCCTCAATTGAAAGGTCTTTAGAGGCAGCCAAATTCCAGATATAGACAAATATTCCTTTTATTCACATTTATATAATCACTATTTATCATTCAAAAGACAAATTCACTGGTGATTTGCCTATGTGATATGGCCTACCTTGGGCCAGGCTGAAGCTTTTGGAGAAACTATGAAAAATGTTATATTGAGTTCAAATTGTATTTCAAGGATGTATACTTTTGAAGAAAAAATGTTGGGAGATAAGTGGAATAGTGTGATGTTTAAAAGTGCACTCCCGGCCGGATGCGGTGGCTCACGCCTGTAATCCCAGCACTTTGTGGGGCTGAGGCAGGCAGATCACCTGAGGTCAGTTTGAGACCAGCCTGGCCAACATGATGAAACGCCGTCTCTACTAAAAAACTACAAAAATTAGCCAGGCATGTTGGCAGGCACCTGTAATCCCAGCTACTCGGGAGGCTGAGAGGAGAATCAGTGAGCCGAGATCACGCCACCACATTCCAGCCTAAGTGAAAGAGCAAGACTTTATCTCAAACAAACAAATAAAAGTGTACTCCAGGCACAGTGGCTCATCCCTATAATTTCAGCACTTTGAGAGGCTCAGGTGAGGGGATCACTTGAGGCCAGGAGTCTGAGACTAGCCTTGGCAACATGGCATGACCTCGTCTCTACAAAAAAAAAAAAAATTGTCTAAGTATGGTCTTGTTGCAGATGAAGTACTTACTGATAAATACCTATGCCCTTGAAAAAGCCTCTGCATTTGACAGTACATTATGTATGTATTGTGTGTACTATAGCACCTCATTAAGACCAATCTGGCCAGGTACAGTGGCTCAAACCTGTAATCCCAGCACTTTGGGAGGCTAAGGCAGGAGGATCACTTGAGCCCAGGACTTCAAGACCAGCTTGGGCAACATGAGGAAACCCTGTCTCTACAAAACATACAAAAATTGGCCCGGCACACATCCATAGTCCCAGATACTTGGGAGGCTGAGGTTGGAGGATCCCCTGAGCCTGGGGAGGTTGAGGCTGCAGTGAGCCATGATCACACCACTGCATTCCAGCCTGGCAACAGAGCAAGACCCTGTCTCAAAAAAAAAAAAAAACCCAATCTGAGTTAATTTTCTAAAAACATCAGACCCACCATTCTTGTTGCACTTAACACCAAATTCCAATGATATGTTTGATTGTCCATTTCAATGATTTCAGTGGAATATGAGCTCCCTGAGATCACAGTCCATGTCCTATATTTTGTATCTTCAGTTTTGCATTTAATAAATACTTGTTGAATTGTTTATGGTCACACAGCTAGTAAGTGGCAGACCTGGCATTTAAATCCGTATCTATCTTCATTCCAAAGCCTGCCTGTCTGGTAACAATAAATACTATATAGAAGATGTGGTTTGTGGTACATACATGGTATTTTAGTTTTTTTCAGTTTGGCCTGCTTATATCAAGCAGCATTATTAGAATATGTCAATACTGCTTTTATTATTCATACCCTGCAGCTGAAGGGACTGGAAAGAGGATGCTGTTATTGTAGATGCTAATGCAAGTGTTAAATTTAAGGAGTAACTTTACCTTTTTTTTTTTTTTTTTTGAGACAGAGTCTCACTGTCACCCAAGCTGGAGTGCAATGGCGCAGTCTCAGCTCACTTCAACCTCCACCTCCCAGGTTCAAGCAGTTCTCGTGTCTGCCTCCTAAGTAGCTGGGATTACAGGTGCGTGCCACCATGCCTGGCTAATTTTTTTTTCTTTGTATTTTTAGTAGAGACAGGGTTTCACCATGTTGGTCAAGCTGGTCTCAAACTCCTGACCTCAAGTGATCTGCCTGCCTCAGGCTCCCAAAGTGCTGGGATTGCAGGCGTGAGCCACCACACCTAGCCTAGAGTAACTTAACCTTAAGAACAGGTAAGTGGCTGGGTGCGGTGGCTCACTCCTGTAATCCCAGAAACTTGGGAGGCCAAGGTGGGCGGATCATGAGGTCAGGAGATCGAGACCATCCTGGCCGAAATGGTGAAACTCCATCTCTACTAAAATACAAAACACTAGCCTGGCATGGTGGTGTGCACCTGTAGTCCCAGCTACTCGGGAGGCTGCGGCAGGGGAATCGCTTGAACCCGGGAGGCGGAGGTTGCAGTGAGTCAAGATTGCACCACCCCACTACAGCCTGGCGACAGAGCGAGACTGCATCTCAAAAAAAAAAAAAAAAAAAAAAGAACAGGGAAGTGATGTGGCCTTAGCAGCACCCTATTTATTTATTCATTCATTTGTATATTTTTTGAGTCCAGGTCTTGCTCTGTTGTTCAGGCTGGAGTACAGTGTCATGGTCATGGCTCACTGTAGCCCCAAACTCTTGGGCTCAAGTGGTCCTCCCTCCTTAGCCTCTCAAAATGCTGGGATTTCACACGTGAACTACCGTGCCTGGTTTATTATATTTTGGGGACAGAGTCTCACTCTGTCATTCAATCTGAAGTACAGTCACGTGATTACAGCTCACTGCAGCCTCAACCTCATGGGCTCAAACAATCTTCCCACCTCAGCATCCTAAGTAGTTGGGACCACAGGCATGTGCCACCATGCCTGGCATTTTTTTTTTTTCTGGTATTGGCAGGGTCTCCCTATGTTGTTGCCTAGGCTGATCTCCCACTCCTGGGCTCAAGCAGTCCTCCTGTTTCGGCCTCCCAAAGTGCTGGGATTATAGGCATAAGCCATTGCACCTGTCTGGGAGGCTCATCTGAGCCTTGGTATCCAGAGTTTTTATTGGAGCTAATTATGTAGACATGATTAATTAGCCATATGGCTGATCAGTTTTCAGTCCCTCAGGAGGTGGAGCTGATACCATGTGACCCAGCTCTTTCACACTAAATCACATTGTTAGACTATCTTGCATGACCCACGGCCCCAGGCAAACAAAAACACTATGAAGCATGACATTCCAAGGGTTTAGGGATTACTTCCAAGAAGCCAGCAGTAAAGGCCAGACTGTTCTTTGGCAAGGTTAAATTTTTTACACCTGCCCCTCTACATCGTAGAAGGGCCCGTTTCCTCAATTTTTTTGGATTATGTTATTTCTTCAATTCTCTCTTAGCTTTTCATCAGAGGTAAAAATAACGTTTGTAGTTTCCAGTTACTACAGCTAGATTATGGTGTAGTAAGAAAAATCTCAGTGATTTCTTTTTTTTTTTAATTTTTCTGGGCTAGGTGTAGTGGCTCACGCCTGTCATCCCAGCACTTTGGGAGGCTGAAGTGGGCAGATCACCTGAGGCCAGGAGTTGGAGACCAGGCTGGTCAACATGGTGAAACCCCCTCTCTACTAAAAATACAAAAAGCCAGGTGTGGTGGCTCGTGCCTGTAGTCCTAGCTACTTGGGAGGCTGAGATATGAGAATCGCTTGAACCCGGGAGGTGGAGGTTGCAGGGAACCAACATCTCGCCACTGCACTCCAGCCTGGGTGACAGAATGAGACTGTCTCAAAAAAAAAAGTTTATTTCTCATCTATGCTAAATTATCCTCATGTGTTGTAAGAGGAGAAGCTTTACTTCACATCTATCTAACCCCAGAATCCAGGATCCAGACTGATGGCAACTCTAACATCACAGTCCTAATGGCAGAGAAGAATCTCAGAGAATCTTGCATTTGTCACTTTCATTGACTAGTGCAAGTCACATGGCTATGCCTGACTTTGGGGGAGGGGATGGCTGAAGAAGTACAGAGGAGCTACATAGTGGAGATTAGTTATAATATTTATAATATATCCAAAAAAGAGCTTCTAGAGGCCTGAACTAAATGAGCACCTTATAGAGTCAAGTGGAATCACATGACTAACTTTGTGCAATGTGAGTCTAAAAAACTAGGACAGTGGGTAGACATTAGTAGGAGGCTGATTGCTTTAATATGAGGTCAAATTTTAGAAGTTTATAGAATTTTAGAATTTTATAAGAGGAGCTGCCTAGAGTGGTAGCAAATTCCTATATAAAAAATGAATTGGTCACTATTTCTCTCATAGTGACTATTGTGAAGATAGTTTAGATTTTCTTGAAGCACTATTTTGCATGGTTATAACATTTGTCTGCTCCATTGAATCTAAAATAAGTTGGCTGCACACGGTGGCTCCTGCCTGTAATCCCAGCACTTTGGGAGGCCGAGGTGGGAGGATCACCTGAGGTCAGGAGTTCAAGACCAGCCTGGCCAACATGGTGAAACCCTGTCCCTACTAAAAATACAAAAATTAGCCAGGCATGGTAGCACATGCCTATAGTCCCAGCTACTCAGGAGGCTGAGGCAGGAGAATCGCTTGAACCCGGGAAGTGGAGGTTGCAGTGAGCCAAGATTGGGCCATAATCCAGTGACCCAGCCTGGGTGAAAGAGTGAGACTCCATCTGAAAAAAAAAAAAAAGCTAAAGTCAACATATAGCATAAATGAGTAGATGTGTCAGAGGGTGAGTAAACCTGGAATGTCTCCTATTCCTTGATCAAATACCCACTAGCTAGTGGTTCACCAAATGGCTGGTGTTATTTTACTAAGGTCATCAGCTGATGTAAGTGTGCAGTTTCATCTTGGTGGCTAGATCTCCTTCTAAAGAGAGCTGGCTGGAGATTTCTTGCTGATATTTCCTGGCTCATGGTGCTTCTGTGAAATATCTCCAGACTAAAGTGGCATTTAAAGCCCACTTCCAACCCTTCCTGGAGCATTCAGTGGGCAAAGGTTCCACCATTATAAATGTACTTGCTTTTGTCTTCCCTGTAGCCACCACAGCTTCTACTCCACCAATTCATGTCTGGCACTTTCAAATCCAAACTCGAAACTCAAATCCTTTGCAAGTCTTCCTCAGTTATTCCCTTTAGCTGTAATGATGAATATTTGTCCCCATAATTTTTTTTTTTTTTGAGACAGTCTCACTGTTGCCCAGACTGGAGTGCAGTGGCCAATCTTGGCTCACCGCAACCTCCACCTCTGGGGTTCAAGTGATTCTCGTGCCTTAGCCTCCCGAGTAGCTGGGATTACAGATGTGCACCATCACACCTGGCTGATTTTTCTATTTTTACTAGATACGAGGTTTCGTCATGTTGGCCAGGCTGTTCTGGAACTTCTGGCCTCAAGTAATCCACCTGCCTCGGCCTCCCAAAGTCCTGGGATTGCAGGCATGACCCACCGTGCCTGGCCTTATTCCCATGAATTCTTATTCAAGATTTTATTGGAATTATTTGGTTATTTTCAAGAACAATATAACTTGTATGAGCTTAAAATATTTTATGGAAAATGGTAAATATTTGAAAATAGAATAGTATAATGAACATCTAAGTAGTGGTGAATATTTTCTTTTTTCTTTATATCTTTTGGGACAGGGTCTCGCTTGGTCATCCAGGCTGGAGTGCAGTGGCGTGGCTCACTGTAATCCCTGCCTTCCAGGCTCAAGCGATCCTCCCGCCTCAGCCTACCAAGTAGCTAAGCTGAGTTATTTTTGAGACAGTCTCATTCTGTCACCCAGACTGGAGTGCAGTGGCACGATCTCAACTGACTGCAACCTCCGCCTCCCAGGTTCAAGCGATTCTCTTGCCTCAGCCTCCCGAGTAACTGGGATTTAGCGACATGCACCACCATGCCTAATTTTTTGTATTTTTAGTAGAGACAGGGTTTCACCATGTTGGCCAGGCTGGTCTTGAACTCCTGATTTCAGGGGATCCACCCGCCTTGGCCTCCCAAAGTGCTGGGATTATAGGCATGAGTCACTGTGCCTGGCCACTGATGGATATTTAAATAGTCCTATTACCTTATTTAATTTCACAGCTCTACAAGGAAGACATTGTCTTAATTTCTTACATGTGGAAACTTTTGGTGGAGCAATGACTTGCCCAAAATACCATGGGAGGCAAGTGGCAGAAAGGCATTCAAACTCAGGGCTGCCTGACTTCTTTGTTATTCTGGCTACCCCTCCATTGGGCCTGCAAATTACTTGACTTTTTTAGAATGAAAATTTCTTTTTCTTAAATGTTTTTATGTACAAATGCCATTTCAGACAAGAGTTTAGAGTTACAGATTTGGAATAGTGATTATATGGTATGGGAGTGCTCCACCTCAAGAGCAAAAAAACCTTGCTTAGAAAAAAAACTTGTTTTTAGATAGGCTACTTAATATGCCTTAAAATCTGTGTACATATTTTAACTTTTCTATATTGGTATTTTCCTTTTACATATAAATAACACTAGCATGATTAATCCTGTTTTTTTAGCATTTTATTTTTTTGAGACAGGGTCTCACTCTGTTGCCCAGGCTGGAGTGCAGTGGCACAAACACAGCTTAAGGAAGCCTCAGTCTCCTTCCTCCTATCTCAGTCCTTCCTTCTGTCTCAGCCTCCGTAGCAGCTGGCACTACAAGTACTCATCACCACACCCAGCTAATTGTTTTATTTTTTGTAGAGACAGAATCTCTCTATATTGTCCAGGCTGGTCTCAAACTCCTGGCCTCCTGCTTTGGCCTCCCAAAGTCCTGGGATTACAGGTGTGAATCACTCCACCTAGTTGGAATGATGTTTAGAATCATGTTATGAATCTCCGTCTGCCAAAAAAATCCTAGCTTCCCAACCAGGGAATTCCACCTGAGCTTTGTGTCCAGAGTTTTTTGTTGTTGTTGTTGTTTGTTTGTTTGAGACGGAGTCTCGTTCTGTCCCAGGCTGGAGTGCAGTGGTGCGATCTCGGCTCACAGCAACCTCCACCTCCTGGGTTCAAGCGATCCTCCTGCCTCAGCCTTCCGAGTAGCTGGGATTACAGGTGCGCACCACCATGCCCAACTAATTTTCGTATTTTTAGTAGAGAAGGGGTTTCACCATGTTAGTCAGGCTTGTTTCGAACTCCTGACCTCGTGATCTGCCCGCCTCGGCCTCCCAAAGTGCTGGGATTACAGGCGTGAGCCACCGCACCCAGGCTGTCCAGAGTTTTTATTGGTGTAGGTTTGATCAACTGTTCACATGGCTTATCTGTCTCCAGTCCCTCAGTAGTTTGAATGAATGGGCTTGCTTGTTTCGTGTGTTGTGTCCTGGCTTGTGTGTTTGTCCAGAAAAGTTGTTTCTCCTCCTTTCTTTCCTACTGGCAGGGCAGTACCTGGCTCAGGGCTGTGCTTATGGTAGAACTCAGTTCTATGAATTGTCCATCCTCAAATATCCTTCATTACATGGGGGAAAAGGGCAAGCATCCTCCTCTAGCCTCTTCCCACTGCTTAATAAAGTGTCTCCCTTTCAGTAGCTGCCCTAATTCTGGATCCTCTCCATTCTGACATCTGGAAATTCACAGGAGGAAGGAGTGAGGAAATGAATCCCTTCTAAGTGGGTTTGTGTGAGGTGACTGATATGTCAGATATCTCACAAGAAAAACATAATAGCGGTAGTTTGTTGTTCCATCCTTTCCTGTGATTATGGAATAATGAATGCGACAATTCCTGGGGCGTGGTGGCTTACGCCTGTAATCTGCGTGGATCATAGGATGTCCCATAAAATAAAGCTTTTCATTATCACATGATCCTGGGCATGAAGAGTCCCAACTCCCCTGACTATCATTTATTTGTCCTGTATCTAAGAAATGGGGTCAGCAGGAGTTCCAGCATCTCAGAATTGTGGTGAAAACCAATACAAGTAAGGAAGTTATTAATTCCCCATTTGGTGGGTTCCTCAACCCCAGCCACTGGGGACGGTCCACGCCGGATCACCAGCAGCTCAGGCTTAAGGCCACGACGCGCAAGCGCAGCCTGCCAGCCTGGCTCCCTCCCAAAGCTTGCGTGCAGGTTGGCGGCGGGAGATCGGGTCTCGCGATGCGAGTGAGCGTGTGCGTGCGCGGCCCTCGCGAGCTCGCGCACGCCGCCTCTAACACTACAGGGTGGTAGCGGCCTCTTCGTACTGCGTCCGGGGCAGGACCGTGCGCGGCGGCCGCGGCGGGTGCTGGGAGCCAGCGCCTGCCTCGCCGCCGCCCTCGCTGCCTGCCACTCCGTCTTGGCCCGTTCTCCGCACCGTGCAGAGGCGGCGGGCTGGGGAGGGAGCGGCGCCAGCACGAGGTTCCCAGCCGCTGGGAAGCCCCTAGACGCGCCGAGGGGCCGGGCTACGAGCGGCTGAGGTAGGTAGGGGTGCGCGGGCTGGTCAGCCGGCCGGGAGCGGGGTAGGGCGGCGGCGAGAACGGGCGCCTCGCTGACCGGGGAGAAGAGGCCTCCTGCCAAGGGGCCCTAGTGTAGCCGGAGTGAGAGGAGGGGCCCCGGACGTAGCCTGCTCTTCCCCGGTGTGGAGCCATTACGGGGGGACATTCCTCCTGCGGCGGGGGGAGGGAGCCCCCTTTCTTTTCTTTGAGAGGTCAGAATCCGCAGTCCGCCCTTCGCCTTTAAATAAAAGCCTGCCGGCTCGAGATCGGCGTCGCGATGGAGTGCCCGTGGACTTCTACGCTTGCGGAACTCCGAGTGGACGGATAGCGGCTTATGAATTTTGCTTTTTAGAGGGTACACAACCCTTTCTCTAGGGTGGCGTGCATCTTCTGCAAACTTGTTATTGCCAATACGCTAATAGTCGCTTTCAGCACACAACAGGTAATACATTCTAAACGCCTCGTGTCAAAATAAGGAGAGTCCTTATTTGTGCACCGTGGGGCACAGTTAAGGAGCAGGAAGAAGACAAAGGAGGCCGTTATTTATGTGCCGTCCTATTATCAAAACTTTCCGTGGTGGGGCAGGGTGCGTGGCTATTGGCCTCTGCTGAATGGACTTTCAGAGTGATTGAGGTGAGTTGCAAATCTTCATTTAGAATTATGAAACGTATATGATTATACATAATAGTTAGTCAAATGACCTGAAATAAATCTCTGAGAATTACGTGATCTTTGATCTTTGGAGAACAGAACTTGGGTTTCTTGAAAGGAAGCTTTCTCCATGTTTAGAAAGCTTCAGGGATGCTTTGTGAAGTTACTAAAAATAGTTACATTTCTTTATGTTGGCAGTAATGACTGCCACATTCAAGAGAAGAGAAAGGAATTGTTCTATAAAGAACGGCTCATTTTAGGGGTTAAACTTTAGGAGTTAAACACAATAAAACAACTTCAAGGATGGTAAGTTTTAGCTTATGCTTTAAGTATTCGAATTTAGTCACAGTCCAAATATATAGAAGCTCTTAGTTGACTCCTGTACATTCAGGGAACTATTTATTGGTTGTTTTTGTTTGTTTTGTTTTTTTTGAAACGGAGTCTCACTCTGTCCCCCAGGCTGGAGTACAGTGGCGCGATCGCGGCTCACTGCAACCTCTGCCTCCCGGGTTCAAGCAATTCTCCTGCCTCAGCCTCCCAAGTAGCTGGGATTATAGGCATGCGCCACCACACCCAGCTAATTTTTGTATTTTTAGTAAAGATGGTGTTTAACCATGTTGACCAGGCTGGTCTCGAACTGCTGACCTCGTGATCCACCCTTCTCAACCTCCCAAAGTGCTGGGATTACAGGCGTGAGCCACTGCACCCGGCTTCAGTAACTATTTAAAAAGATGATCTTTAACCTTTGATAGTCTACACAACCTGTTCTATAACTCTTGGCTTCTATTCAGTCCACGCTGTCTGGAAATGTAGTATTCATCCTATTTTTTTTTTTTTTTTCCTGAGATGGAGTCTGTTTCCTAGGCTGGAGTACAGTGGCACGAACTCGGCTCACTGCAACCTCCGCCTTTGGGTTCAAGCGATTCTCCTGCCTCAGCCTCTGGAGTAGCTGGAGTTACAGGCACCCGCCACCATGCCTGACTAATTTTTTGGATTTTTAGAGAGAGGGTTTCGCTGTGTTATCCAGGCCAGGCTACTCTGGAACTCCCGACCTCAACTGATCTGCCCACCTGGGCTTCCAAAATTTCTGGGATTACAGGCCTGAGCCACCGCGCCGGACCATTCTGACTCTTAAGAAATGTGGCTTGGGACCGGTCGCGGTGGCTGTGGCCTGTAATCCCAGCACTTAGGGAGGCCAAGGCAGGCGGATCACGAGGTCAGGAGATCGAGACCATCCTGGCTAACATGGTGAAACCCGTCTCTACTAAAAATACGAAAAATTAGCCAGGCGTGGTGGCTGGCGCCTGTAGTCCCAGCTACTCGGGAAGCTGAGGCAGGAGAATGGCGAGAACCTGGGAGGCGTAGCTTGCAGTGAGCCAAGATCGGGCCACTGTTCTCCAGCCTGGGCGACAGAGCAAGACTCCATATCAAAACAAAACAAAACAAAACAAAAAACAAATGTCGCTTGCATACTTTCAATGAAAGGGTCTTTCCGCCCGGCGTGGTGGCTCACGCCTGTAATCCCGGCACTTTGGGAGGCCAAGGCAGGCGAATCACCTGAACTCGGGAGTTTGAGACCAGCCTGGCCAACATGGTGAAACCTCGTTTCTACTAAAAAAAAAAAAAAGTATAAAAATTAGCCTAGCATACGTGCCTGTAATCCCAGCTACTCAGGAGGCTGAGGCAGGAGAATTGCTTGAACCCGGGAGGTGGAGGTTGCGGTAAGCCAAGATCGCGCCATTGCACTCCAGCCTGGGCAAGAGCAAAACTCCGTCTCAAAAAAAAAAAAAAAAAAAAAAGCCGGGCGTGGTGCCTCACGCCTGTAATCCCAACACTTTGGGAGCTGTGGCAGGCGGATCACCTGAGGTCAGGAGTTCGAGACCAGCCTGACTAACATGGTGAAACGTCGTCTCTACCGAAAATAAAAAAATTGGGCGTGGTGGCATGTGCCTGTAATCCCAGCTACTCAGGAGGCTGAGGCAGGAGAATCGCTTGAACCCGGGAGGCAGAGGTTGCGGTGAGTCAAGATTGCACCATTGCACTCCAGCCTGGGCAACAAGAGTGAAACTCCGTCTCAAAAAAAAAAAAAAAAGAGGCTGGGCGCGGTGGCTCACGCCTGTAATCCCAGTACTTTGGGAGGCTGAGCGGGTGGATCACGAGGTCAGGAGTTCAACACCAGCCTGGCCAACATAATGAAACCCCATCTCTACTAAATATACAAAAATTAGCTGGGCGTGGTGGCACATGCCTGTAATCCCAGCTACTTCGGAGGCTGAGGCAGGAGAATCGCTTAAACCGGGGTTCCAGAGGTTGCAGTGAGCCAAGATCAAGTCACTGCACTCCAGCCTGGGCAACAGAGCTAGACTTCGTCTCAAAAAAAAAAAGGGAGTGTTTCAACAATAGTTAGCTCGGAAGTGGGAGGAGGAAGGCATTATGGAGTGCAGGGTTAAGCTCACATGCAAATACTTTTTATATAAACATAAATATGCTGCATGTAAATATATAGTGATGGTTATGCACATAAGCATCTAATAGTGCTGATTCCCAACTTAATAAAGTTGAAGTCTGAAAATAGGAAAGGATTGGTTTTAGTTCTGTTTGCGTTTTTAAAGTTAATTATTTACGAGTAATTCTCATATTAAATTCCTTGTCCAGCTTGTTTATTAATTATTAAGTAGAATACTGTACTGATTTCTTGGCAGTAGCAGGGAAGGAATATATAGAACATACAGAAGCCCTGCACTTCAGAAATGTTAAGTCAGTGTCTTTTTTTTTTTTTTTTTTTTTTTTTTTAAAGAGAGAGTCTCACTCTGTTGCCCAGCCTGGAGTGCAGAGGTGTGATCTCAGCTCACTGCAACCTCTGCCTCCCGGGTTCAAGCAATTCTGCTGCCTCAGCCTTCCGAGTAGCTGGGATTACAAGTGCATGCCTCCATGCCCAGCTAATTTTTGTATTTTTTGTAGTGACGGGGTTTCTCCCTGTTGGCCAGGCTGGTCTCGAACTCCTGACCTCAAGTGATCCACCCGCCTCAGCCTCCCAAAGTGCTGGGAGTACAGGCGTGAGCTACCACACCTGGCTAAGTCAGTGTCTCATTATCTTTCCATTGGAATAAATAGCTTTACTCTTGTCAATTTGTGCTTAGAATAGTGTTTTGCATGGAGTTGGCCCTCAATAAATGTGAGTTATGTCAGAACTAAATTTACATAATACAAACTAAAGGCATAAATTCTGGACAATATTGAAGGAATGAAGAAATGGAGATATGTGGTTTTTTGTTTGTTTTCTTTGAGATGGAGTTTGCTCTTGTTGCCCAGGCTGGAGTGCAGTGGCATGATCTCGGCTCACTGCAACCTCCTCCTCCCAGGTTCAAGCGATTCTCCTGCCTCAGCGTCCTGAGTAGCTGGGATTACAGGCATGTACCACCACGCCCAACTAAATTTTATTTTTAGTAGAGATGGGGTTTCTCCATGTTGGTCAGGCTGGTCTCAAACTCCCGACCTCAGGTGATCCACCCGCCTTGGCCTCCCAAAGTGCTGGGATTACAGGCGTGAACCACCATGGCTGGCCAAGATGCATGCTTTTTAAAAATTGCAAGTGTTTTTTTTTTTTTGAGTTGGAGTTTCGCTCTTGTCTCCCAGGCTGGAGTGCAATGTTGCGATCTTGGCTCATTGCAACCTCCACCTTCTGGGTTCAAGCGACACTCCTGCCTCAGCCTCCCGAGTAGCTGGGATTACAGGCGTGCACCACTACACCAGGCTAATTTTTTTTTGTATTTTTAGTAGAGACGGGGTTTTACCATTTTGGCCAGGCTAGTCTCAAACTCCTGACCTCAGGTGATCTGCCTGCCTCAGCCTCCTGAAGTGCTGGGATTAGAGGCATGAGTCACCATGCCCAGCCGCACGACTAATTTTTTAATGGTATGTTTTTTTCAGTGTGGATTGATATCTGAGTCAAGGATAGTGGCATTTTGCCTCTAAAAGCCTAACATAATGTAAGCTGAGACTGTATATCCTGAGTTCTCTGATAGATTATGAATGTTCATATATATATATATATATACACACACACACACACACTACACACACATACATATTTTATACATACAGAAATACATATATTTATTTATTTATTTATTTATTTATTTATTTATTTATTTTTGTTACCCTCCTGGTAAGTCACAGAACTTTTTTTTTTCCCCCACAAAATTTTTGTAAATTTTTGTATTTTTAGTAGAAACAGGGTTTTGCCATTTTGGCCAAGCTGGTCTTGAACTCCTGACCTTAGGTGATTTTCCCGCCTTGGCCTCTCACAGTGCTGGGATTGTAGGCGTGAGCCATCGTGGCCATCCTGGTTGTCTTTACTAATTCTGGCATTTGCTTTTCTTCCATTTGGAAACCAAATCTATTTGACTTTGCAGTAAGAAAGAATTTGTGGATATTTGGTGAGGAAGAGGCTAAAAAGGTGAATAAAAACTTAAGTGAGAATATTTTAAGTTGGGTCTGTGTTTTCATTTTAGTATAATCAAGTGATTTCATGGTGAAGGGTGGATTCCCCGCCCCCCACCCCCCAGGGAACATTTGGCAATGTCTGGAGAAATTTTTCATTGTCAAATATTTAGGGGAAGGGAGAGAGGTGTTGCTACTGACATCTAGTGGGTAGAGGCCAGGGATGCTGCTAAACATTGTACAATGCAGTGGACAAACCACAACAAAATTATCTGACCCAAATGACAGTGCTGCTATTGAAAAACCATGGTATGCTACATTGTAAATTGTTGGTTCTGAAGTTGAATCATCAAAAGTCATATTTGGCTAACCATTTCCTAATGTGTGACCCTGGCAGAATGCTTAAAGTCTGTAAAATAATATTGTATGTTCCTTATAGGCTTGTACTGAGGATTAAATCAGATAATGTGCAAAGAACCAAGCTTATTGCCTGGCACATAACAAAATCCTAAAAAATTGCTAACTTTCAGCCAATACTATGTTTGGAACTCATCTTGAGAGTCTCCTTTTTTCTCATCTGAAATTAGAATTTGAGCTAGTGAAATGATAATTAATAATCTAGTCCTTTTTGTTTTGAGACGGAGTCTTGCTTGTCACTCAGGCTGGAGTGCAGTGGCACGATCTCAGCTCACTGCAACCTCTGCCTCCCGGGTTCAACCAATTCTCCTGCCTCAGCCTCCTGAGTAGCTGGGACTACAGGCACGTGCCATCACGCCCAGCTAATTTTTTGTATTTTTAGTAGAGACGGTGTTTCACTGTGTTAGCCAGGATGGTCTCAATCTCCTGACTTTGTGATCCGCCTGCCTCGGCCTCCCAAAGTGCTGGGATCACAGGCGTGAGCCACCGCGCCTGGCCAATAATCTAGTTCTTGTATCTGTGGGGAATGAGTGAAAAAATTATTCCACTTAATATTTGTGTTTAGCCCAGTCTTGTTTTATGTTCTCAAGTCTAAAAAGCTTTTGCCATAAACAAGTAGCTTCTCACTGTAGATATTTTTCCATCAAATTGAGACTTTAAGCCAGCTTGCCAATTGCTCTGTTGATTCTCAGCAAATGTTTCATAATTTAACAGAATTTGATTCTGTGACTTCATGCTCATTTCCTTTTGCCTTTACAAACTAAAGTAAGTTTACAGTGGTTTTCGCTAACCTTATTACCTGTTTGCAGCCTCTAGGAGTAACTGTTTTCATAACTGAGGTTTTGGTGCACTCTCACATGTATGAAGGGTGCACACAAATATCTCCTAACAACTTGAGGCTGGACCTTAATATACATTTGTGACTCTTTATAAATCCGAATTGGAACCCATATCTTTATCTCTTTTACCTCATCACAACATAATACTGTAGTCTCTATAAAACTGTCATTTCCAGCCAGGCACGGTGGCTCACGCCTATAATCCCAGCACTTTGGGAGGCCAAGGAAGGCGGATCACCTGAGGTTGGGAGTTCAAGACCAGCCTGACCAACATGGAGAAACCTCATTTCTATTAAAAATACAGTCCGGGCACGGTGGCTCACACCTGTAATCCCAGCACTCTGGGAGGCCGAGGCAGGCAGATCACGAGGTCAGGAGATCAAGACCATCCTGGCTAACACGGTGAAACCCCATCTCTACTAAAAATACAAAATATTCGCCGGGCGTGGTGGCGGGTGCCTGTAGTCCCAGCTACTTGGGAGGCTGAGGCAGGAGAATGGCGTGAACCCGGGAGGCAGAGGTTGCAGTGAGCTGAGATCGCGCTACTGCACTCCAGCCTGGGTGACAGAGCAAGACTCAGTCTCAAAAAAAAATAAAAAATAAAATGAAAATACAAAATAAAAATAAAAAATTAGCCAGGCGTGGTGGCACATGCCTGTAATCCCAGCTACTCGGGAGGCTGAGGCAGGAGAATCGCTTGAACCCAGGAGGCGGAGGTTGCGGTGAGCCAAGATTGTGCCATTGCACTCCAACCTGGGCAACAAGTGCGAAACTCCACCTAAAAAAAAAAAAAAAAAAAACCTGTCATTTCCTCTGTCTAAATGATATGGCTATTTAGAGCTAGTTTGTTGTGGTAGTGGTTTTAATAAGTCCTTTATATAAAAAAAAAAAATCACAGGGATGTCCTTACAGACAAAATAGAGACTTTGGACCTTCTTCTTCTTCTTCTTTTTTTTTTTTTTTTTTTTTTTCTATTTCAAGAGCAGGAATCTTGCTATGCTGCCCAGGCTTGTTTCAAACTCCTGGGCTCAAGTGATCCTCCCACCTCAGCCTCCCTTATAGCTGATGCCACCATGCCTGGCTGGACTGTTCTTTAATAAGTCACAGGGCTTGTGGTGTAAGGGAAGATGATCCACACTGTATTTATGATCAAGGGAGAAAGCAATGTTGTACATTCAACTTTTTGTCTTGATAAATACACCTTACAAATAGGAGGTATTGGCTGGGTGCGGTGGCTCACGCCTGTAATCCCAACACTGTGGAAGGCCGAGGCGGGCAGATCACGAGGTCAGGAGTTCGAGACCAGCCTGACCAACATGGTGAAACCCTGTCTCTACAAAAGTACAAAAATTAGCCGAACATGGTGGCAGGCACCTGTAGTCCCAGCTATTCAGGAGGCTGAGGCAGGAGAATCACTTGAACCCAGGAGGCGGAAGTTGCAGTGAGCTGAGATCGAGTCACTGCACTCCAGCCTGGGTGACAGAGCAAGACTCCATCTCAAAAATTTTTTTAAAAAAGGAGATACTTTATTATGGTTGTTATCCATATTTTTGTAGTATAAGTCTTAAGCATTTGTATAATGTTCACTCATTTTAGCTAATGGAAACCTTTGTTTACCTTTTGTATTGGTACTGCCTTCTGTTGGAATGGAGGATGTTTGAAGGGAGTCAGTACCTTGGGCCAAGAGATTGTATTCTTTACACTTGATCTTAGCCAAAAGGCCAAGAAGCAGTAGAGATTGTGTTCATTGCTTGGCACATGCTGTCTTTTGTGAAGTGTAACATATACTCAGGGTTCTGTATAAATAATAAATTACAATAACGATGGAGTGTCCATCTTGTGGAAACTGTTGTCAGGCCAGAAGTATGCATGTGAGAAATACAATAAAAGGCCAACAGGAGGCATTCTAAGAACATCAGGCAAACTGAAAAAAAGAATTGTGTTAATAAGAGTTCTTGGCTTTACTATTATTCTTTTGAGGTTTAGTAATCTAGAAGAGAAAAGCCCACAGAATAGAACATTTGTTTTTGACTTACACACTTTTCTGGTTCCTAATTGGAGAGCATTATAGCTATGAAATCAGTATTATAATAGAGTTATCTTGTATGATGTTTGTCCCATGATTAAATTGAGAAGAAGTGTCCTTGAATCTGCTGATGTGTGTTTGTTTATAAGTGGTCTGGAGTCCTGCCTGTTAGCCTAATTTTATGTAGCCTGCATAGTTGTTGGAAGACAGACTGTTTTCTCACTGAATGCTGCATACAGGTATGTATTTGTGTGTGTGTATTTATATATATTTGTCTTTTATTTTTGGTAGAAAATGATGCATCCTGTTGCCAGCAGTAATCCAGCTTTCTGTGGGCCTGGCAAGCCTTCCTGCCTCAATGAAGATGCCATGAGAGCTGCTGATCAGTTTGACATATATTCCTCCCAGCAAAGCAAATACAGCCACACAGTCAACCACAAACCAATGGTTTGTCAGAGGCAAGACCCATTAAATGAAACACACTTGCAGACTACAAGTGGCAGAAGCATAGAAATAAAAGATGAACTAAAGAAAAAGAAGAATCTCAACCGATCTGGTAAGCGTGGCCGGCCTTCGGGAACCACCAAATCAGCAGGATACCGGACCAGCACAGGCAGACCCCTGGGAACCACCAAAGCAGCTGGATTTAAGACAAGTCCAGGCAGACCTTTGGGGACAACTAAAGCTGCGGGATACAAAGTCAGCCCAGGCAGACCTCCAGGTAGCATTAAAGCTCTATCCCGTCTTGCCGATCTTGGTTATGGCTGTGGCACTGCTGCTTTTCCTTACCCTATGATGCATGGCAGAGCAGTTCATGGGGTAGAGGAAACTAGCAGTGAAGTCAAACCACCCAATGAGTGAATGAGGCAGGAAAAGAGGGCCAGGTTTAGAAGGAAGATTGTGAATAATCCCAAAGCTTCTTGGTTTTATTTTGATATACATAATTTTATGGCCTGGGCTTTCCAAATTTGTTTTCCTGTTTGGTTTTTTTCCTGCTTTTGCTCAAAAACTGCCATATGCTGACAGATGCACTCAGGGCATGAGCAGCGGCATTGTATTTGTACATAGGTTCAAGTGTAACACCTAACTAAATCATTTTTCCTTTTCCTTTAGAGTTATGGTCATGTCTCATGTTTCATTACTACTTTGGGGCTGTTCTAAATAGATGCTTTATGTGATAAACAACTGAAACCATTATACCTATTAGTTTGTGAAGTAAGCCTACAGTATAATAAAGACACTAACGTATTTTTAACTGATGGAGCAAAAAAGCAAACTAATGAATCAGGATTACTTGAGGTAATGGCTGTGTGAGTTTTTGTAACATTTATTTTCACAAGATGGGACACATATTTGTATGCTTTGGCATTTACATCCACTTCAAATGTTAAAAAACTTATTTTTAATGTTTTAGGTTTAAGCAGCTTGTAATTTATTGATCTACATGGCATTAATTGATTTAACCATTATACCTGAAATAATTCTTCAGTGTTTGCCTTTGAGCAGTGATAGGTTGTGTATTTTTTAATTGCCTAAGAGCATATATACCAAACACTACAAACAATTCATATTTACAGAAAATTTAAACTATTTTATAAAAACTGCACATTACATTTTTGGTGAAATATAGTGCATTCTGAGGATAGCATATTTCATATAATAGAAAAAGAAGCATTCTCTAGGTTTGCATGTAGCTATAGTCACTATATTTTGCCTTTCATATAGAAAGTTTTAAAGTATTATGTTTAAAAACATTTATTGGCTGGGTGTGGTGGCTCACACCCAGCACTTTGGGAGGCCGAGGCAGGCGGATCACTTGAGGTCAGCAGTTCAAGACTAGCCTGGCCAACATGGTGAAACCCCATCTCTACTAAAAATATAAAAATTAGCCAGGCGTGGTGGCGGGCGCCTGTAATCCAAGCTACTGGGGAGGCTGAGGCAGGAGAATTGCTTAAATCCAGGAGGCGGAGGTTGCAGTGAGCCAAGATTGTGCCACTGCACTCCAGCCTGGGTGACAGAGTAAGACTCCGTCTCAAATAAATAAATAAATAAATAAATAAATAAATAAATAAATAAAACCATTTATTGATGTTGCTCATTTATTTGGAACGTTTTTAGTTTTTCTCAGAAATTGTCCCATTGCATTAGCACTTACTGTGTTTTCAGGTTGATATCTACCAAAGGACACAAATTGAATGGTAGACTGTAAAACTGGTATAAACAGAATGCAGTTTCCCGACCATCAGAACCCAAATATTAAGAAGCATATAGGAATCCATCTATGCATGAAACATGTAAAAAATATGTTGGTTAGTTTAATTAAAAATCTTATTGTGGGTCCAGTGAGACCATCTCATCCAAAAGATTTTTTTTCCCCCAATGATGTTTGCTTTAGAAGCAAGATAGAAAGGAAAAAAAGTATTAGGTAGATATGTATAGTAGGGACAGAGGGAAATCTTTCTTCTTTCCTTTCTGAAAGTAATACTTCTTGTTACACATTTTATTTATTGAGTTTGTTCTAAATAAAATATTATAAACTTCAGACTTGAAAAAATTCCACTTAACTTTAAAGTTACAATGTTTGTATTTGGGATTTTAAATGCCTTTGAGATTAAAATGTAGAATTGCAGGACCCAAAAACTTTTAAAATAATTAAAATTTTAAAAGAGCACATGTTGTGTTTTTTGGGCTTGCTATTAATGCAAACTCTGATTGCAAATGGATGTCATGTTTCATACCTTTTTTATCAGGAAAAAAGCAGCAAGCCTTCAGGTGTTCCAGTGATGCCTGACACAATTGAGCTGGACTTTATGCTGCTCTTTACAGTAAGAGGTGTTGCATTGTATGTGGGGACTATGTGCACTGGCGTCTAAGACAGTGACCTCAACAATATTAGCTTTGCACAAACCATAGAGAACGATGTTGGATGGTTACATAATCAGTTATAACATTCTGGCAGCTAAATTGCTACAAGAGCTTTTTCTTGCAAAAGCTTAAAATACAAGATTTTTAATAATTTACTCAGAACAGTATAACTTCTGACACACACAAATGCTTGCCTCTTTATTCATATGTTCGTTACCTACTCTGTACATGTATCTGTCATTTAGCTGTTTCTCAAGATGATGTTCAGCAGTTGGCTGCTTAGAAATCTTTTTCAAGCCAGTTTCTAAAGACATTTGTTTAATGTTCTACCATAGAATAATGCACACCATTGTCAAAGATTTGATTATTGTGTTTTATAGTAAGTCCATTTGACATTTATTTCCCTTTCAGTTTATTTTCCTTCCTTATTTTGTTATACATACCCTTCCCTTTCTCCCCTGCCTTTCGTACATTCATTCCTCTTCCTCTACCCTCCAGCACATCTACTTACTGGTGCTGTGCTGTGTGTCAGAAGATAAAACAGGTGTATTATTGTATAATGAATTTTGTATACATGTTTATGAAATGGTGAGATCAACTAAAGGAGGCATGTTCATAACAGTGTTTATTATCAGCAGCTATGTCCCAGGAAAAAAAAATGGGAGGGGCAAATGGCTACAGTTGTAAATGGATAACATCATTTAGAAAGCCGAATTTACTGTTCATCTGAGCGGTTACCTGGAGTATTATATCTATGCACTGGTGAGCATCTCCTGATTCCACTTACTTTTCTCCCTGTGAACAGTTTACCGGTGCCATGCTGAAGAGAAAGACATCTAAGTGATAACATGAATGAAGTCTTAAAATTTAAAGTATTTTTACTGCTATATAAACTAAAGACTACATTGTGCATATTTTGTTAACACTGTCTCTTGTTATGATAAACACTGAAATAGCATGTTAAACAGTTGCCTATACTTTAATATAATCAGTTGGGGAAAACTGGCCTTTTCTCCCCCACTGTATGATTGTTTCTTGAAAGGTAAATTGCTAATTTTATACAGTGTAATTCTGTTCTTCACAAAATAGGTTTCATTATTCTATATTTAAACTGTTGGTCAGAAAATGATCTGCAATTCAAGTAAGTCTGCATTACTTTTTTCTTTAAAAAGTACTTTAACATGCCTTATTTATTATATTAGCAAATGAGCTAATAACAGATGAAATTTTCATTTTTTGACAGATATAACCTTGCATAAGTAGTATTTAGGGTGATTTTGATACTATCTTTAGAGTTTTGCATTGGATATTAAAAAATATATTGGCACAATGTATTGGAAGAAAATGAGTAGTATCTGGTTTAATTTTTAATATTTAGGGACATTTTAAAAAATCAATGTTTTAATTAGACTAAAAATTCTTTATATTTTTTATTTACTTTTTAAAGAAACATCTGTCAAAGTAATATTGATTCCAAACTGATGTTTGTGTGAATTTACATGTCTATTTTCATGAACTAAGAATAGAGTTTCTTTGAGTTGAGGAGAAAAAAATATATATGTGGGTCCATTTATTAGGTTAAAGTTGACCCATTCAGTGTAAAAATAACCATAGTGTGTGAGCTAAAGAAAAAAAAAAGTAAATTTCTCCTTTATATTCTAAGAAGCTTTAAAAGAACAATTCAGGGGTTATTGATAACTGCTACTCTGTCGGTCATTGTCTCTATATGCAGTAAAATTTTATGGTCCCTTTATAGGAATATAAAGAATTCAAAACAGTTTTTCAAAAGATTTTTTTCCTTGGACATAAAAAATTTTGATGCTATTCTATTTTTGTTTTTATTACAGCTTAACTGTATGCTGTTAAACTCTAGGATGTATCTGAATCTTTCCTTTTTTCCCCCCTCCTCCAAATATATAAATCTGTGCTCTCACATGTAATGTATTTAATTTTTGGAAAATTTAATGCTATATAGTAAATCAAGTGTGTGATTTAAAGTAATCAGATCACTTTGATTCTTTTAAGTTTTCAGAATTTCTTTTTTCCACAGGTAATTTTGGAGAAAATAATTACCAATTAACTGATAATAAGCACGCTGTCCTCTGCTGTAAAAAGTCTGAATAGATACTGTGTATGTTTTTATGTCCATGAACTTGAGCTACTCGTGTGCAATTATGTGTATGGGAATGGAGTAGTGTTCATGATTTGTATCTACATCATCATATGGATGTATATTTATTAATAAAGTCATTACTTTAAAACCAGCTATGTTTACTATGTTTTTTAGTGTGGTACTTTTCAAGTACTTAAGTGGTAAATGGTAAACCTTTTTCATGACTGTAGATCTTGTGTTTTTCTTAGAATTTTGCTTTTTTTTTTTTCTTTTTTAAGACAGGGTCTCACTCTGTCACCCAGGCTGGAGTTCGGTGGCGTGATCATAGCTCACAGCAGCCTTAACCTTCTCGGCTCAAGCAGTCCTCCTACCTTCCCACCTCAGCCTCCCGAGTAGTTGGGACTACAGGTACCTGCCACCATGCCCAGCTAATTTTTTATTTTTTTATTTTTATTTTTATTTTTTTTGGAGACAGAGTCTCACTCTGTCTCCTAGGCTGGAGTGCAGTGGCGCGATCTCCGCTCACTGCAAACTCCGCCTCCCAGGTTCACGCCATTCTCCTGCCTCAGCCTCCTGAGTAGCCTGGATTACAGGCGCCCGCCACCACGCCTTAATTTTTTAATTTTTGTAGAGATGGGGTACCCTATGTTGCCCAGGCTGGTCTCAAACTCCTGGTCTCTGGCCAGGCGTGGTGGCTCACCCTTGTAATCGCAGCACTTTGGGAGGCCAAGGCGGGTGGATCACGAGGTCAGGAGTTTGAGACCAGCCTGGCCAAGATGGTGAAACCCCATCTCTACTAAAAATACAAAAATTAGCTGAGCGTGGTGGCAGTTGCCTGTAATCCCAGCTACTTGGGAGGCTAAGGCACAGAATTGGTTGAACCCGGGAAGCAGAGGTTGCAGCAAGCCGAGATCATGCCACCGCACTCCAGCCTGCACGACAAACAAACTTAAAAAAAGATAAATCAGAATACAGCTAGAAATAAAAAAAGATGCATCAGACAAATAGTTCTACTAAAAGGCTAATATTTAAATTTAAACATTATTGATCCTTTTGGTTTTTTTTAAAAATTAGATATTAAACATGGCTCATTTTTAAATTTATTTTGAGATACAGTCTCTGTCACCCAGGCCAAAGAACAGTGGCACAATCATAGCTCACTGCAGCCTTGAACTTCTGGGCTCAAGTGATCCTCCCACCTCAGTCTCCAAAGTAGCTGGGACTACACCCAGCTTATTTTTTTTTTTAAGTTTTTTTTGTAGAGACAGGGTTTTGCTATGTTGCCCAGGCTGGACTTGAACTCTTGGCCTAAGACAATCGTCCTGCCTCAGCCTCCCATAGTGCTAGGATTACAGAAGCAACAGCTCATTTTGTTATTTATTTTTTGAGACGGGGTCTTGCTCTGTCACCCAGGCTGAAGTGCAATGGCAGGACCTTAGGTCACTGCAACCTCCAAATCCTGGGCTCAAACGATCCTCCCAACTCAGCCTCCTAAGTAGCTGGGACTACAGTCATGTGCTACCATGCCTGGCTAGTTTGTATTTTTTTTTTTTTTAATCGTGTGCATGTGTATTTAAATAGAGATGTGGCCTCACTAAGTTGCCCACACCTGTCTTGAACTCCTGGGTTCTTAGGTATCCTCCTGACTCGGTCCCCCGAAGGCCTGGGATTACAGGCGTGAGCCACTACACCTACCCTGCCTAGATTGTTAAAAGTCCTTTCACTCATAAATGGTCATGTGCTATTGATTAGGTGGGCTATTCCTGAAAAGATATACACCATCATAGTACGGACAGTTTGCTTGGGCTCACAGGATTACTTATTGTTTATTAAATATATTTTAGTCCAATTTTTTCTAGTTCTTCATAGAGTTTGTAATATTTAATTGTCCATTGTAATTATATTTCCCCATATTCTCAAGCAGATCATTTGAAAAAGCTAACCAATTGAAGATCTGTAGGTTGAAGAGAAGGCAGTCTCCATTTATCACCTAGAATTTAATTTTAGACAGGGTCTCACTCTGTTGCCTAGGCTGGAGTACAGTGGTGTGATCACAGCTCACTGCAGCCTCAACCCTCTGGGCTCAGGCAATTCTCCCACCCCATCCTCTTGGGTAGCTGGGACTGCAGGTACACACCACTATGCCTGGCTAATGTTTCAAATATATATACGTGTGTGTATATATGTGTGTGTGTGTATATATATATATTTTTTTGTTTGTTTGAGATGGAGTCTCACTCTGTCGCCCAGGCTAGAGTGCAGTGGCGCGATCTCAACCCTCTGCAACCTCCGCCTCCTAGGTTCAAACGATTATCCTGCCTCAGCCTCCCAAGTAGCTGGGATTACAGGTGCCTGCCACTGTTCCTGGCTAATTTTTGTATTATTAGTAGAGACGGTTTCACCGTGTTGGCCAGGCTGGCCTTGAACTCCTGACCTCATGAGCCACCACGCCTGGCCTATGTTTTATATTGTTTTGGAGAGACAGGTTTTGCCACATTGCCCAGACTGGTCTTGAACTCCTGGACTCAAGCTATCTGTGCGCCTTGGCCTCTCAAAGTGCTGGGATTACAAGCATGAGCCACCATGCCTGGCCTAGTAGTAGTGTTTTTGTACTGGATTTGAGATAAATGTGGCCATGGAAGCTGATACATTTCATTTTATCTCTGCGGCCATTCTGTTGTGAGAACTTTGGGGCTTTGAAGTAGCTTCTTAGGAAAGTGACAGAAAAAAATCAGTCTTAAAATTTTCTGTCATTTGTCTTTCTTGTGAACTCTCTTAAAATTTTTTTTCTCTGGAGATTTTTAGTCCATTCTGTTAGGTGTTTATTTCCATATGGGCTTGGCATGCTTTTAAGTACAGAATCTGCCCATTTTGTCTTTAATCTGCCTGGTGCTGGTTTATGATCACTTAAGAAGCTGGTTTGTCATTGGCCAGGCACAGTGGCTCACGCCTGTAATCCCAGCACTTTGGGAGGCTGAGGCGGGTGGATCACGAGGTCAGGAAATCGCGACCATCCTGGTTAACACTGTGAAACCCCGTCTCTACTAAAAATACAAAAAATTAGCCAGGCGTGGTGGTGGACGCTGGTAGTCCCAACTACTCAGGAGGCTGAGGCAGGAGAATGGCCTGAACCCGGGAGGTGGAGCTTGCAGTGAGCGGAGATCATGCCACTGCACTCCAGCCTGGGCAACAGAGCGAGACTCCGTCAAAAAAAAAAAAAAAAAAAAACTTGTTTGTGATTTACTGTCTATCGTTTGTTTCCTTCCTCGGGCTAGCTTTTGTAGAGTGGCAGTCACCCTATAAGTTGCTGCCTTATAGCTGCATGTGACCTACAGGTCCCACAGATACGTAAGTTCTTTTTCCTTGTCCTCTTTGCATTGTTTTTACTTAACTTATTTCTTGGTAATTTTGTTAATTTGCCTCAAATCACTTTCAGTTATCATAAAGGAAAAATTTTTTTGGATAGCTGTATAACTTTATTTGATATTTTGATGATTAGCAGTTAGTTCTCATCCACATTGACTGTGGATTTTTGAAAATGATAGGTACATAGGTAACCTAAGCATAGAGCTTGTTTGGTGAATCTTCATCCTCATTAACGTTTTCTGGACAACCATATACAGATACAGTATGGGACATTCCTTATTCCTTTGGCCGAGACAGCTTTGTTGAGCCTGGTATCAATGCACACATCTGGAATTCCCATCTCCTCCAGATCTCGAGTGCCTGAGGGGCATGCTGCTTGAAGCCCACTCCATGCATGCACTTGTGAATGTTGATGGTATATTCTCAAGTCACCACCTTGATTGCAGAACAGCCCTTCTCACCACCCTTCTTTGTGGGAGCTATTCTGCCAGGCCCAAGTTGGAAAAGCAAGGAAAATATTTTTAAGTATTTTTGAATTTTTCTAATTTTATATTTATGTAACCCTTGGTTGCTACTAATGCTGTTTTTCATGTTATGGGAAATTTTAATCTTTATTAGATTAACATTGTGTTTCTGAATATCTTAAGTCTTCCATTTCACCTGCCTATTTATATCCTGTGTAGCAGTTAGTCCTTACAGTAATTATAGTTGTAACAAAGAGACCCCAAAATTGCTGGATGTGGTGGTGCATGCCTGTAGTCCTAGCTACTTGGGAAGCTGAGGTGGGAGGACTCCTTGAGTCCAGGAGTTTGAGGCTTCAATGAGCTGGGATCATACCACTGCACTCCAGCCTGGACAACAGAGCAAGACCCCTTCCTTTTTTTTTTTTTTTTTTTTTTTTTTTTCTGAGACAGAGTCTCACTCTGTCACCCAGGCTGGAGTGCAGTGGCGCAATCTCGGCTCACTGCAACCTCCGCCTCCCGGGTTCAAGTGATTCTCCTGCCTCAGCCTCCCGAGTACCTGGGACTACAGGCACCTGCCACCACACCCAGCTAATTTTTGTATTTTTAGTAGAGATGGGGTTTTGCTATGTTAGCCAGGCTGGTCTCAAACTCCTGACCTCAAGTGATCCACCTGCTTCAGCCTCCCTAAGTGCTGAGATTACAGGCGTGAGCCACCGCGCCCAGCTGACCCCTTCTCTTAATTAAAAAAATGCTGTGGCTCTGATAAAATTAGCATATTTCTCATATAACTGTCCTATGCTTTCCATGCAGAATTTCAAGGACCTAAGCTCACAGTGATGTTGCCAATTTCAAAACATGGCTTCTGGCCGGGCGCTTCAGCCTGGGCAACAGAACGAGACTCTGTCTCAAAAAAACAAACAAACAAACAAACAAACAAAAACATGGCTTCTAAGATTAGTTGCCTTCATTTTACCCAGTCTGATGAGAGGAGTTATGGAAGTCCAAGCCCTATTAGGCAAATAAGGTGAAGCTACGTATAGCTGCAAGAGGTGTTGGGAAGCATAGTCCCTATTTGAACAACCAGGTCCAGTTATTAATGTGGAGGGAGAGAATGGATTTTAATGGCAATCTCTACCACATATCTGTAGGTAAAGGTTTGTAGGTGGAGACTGGGGTGGAATGAAGAAGCACACATACCTACAGATTACATGAAACCAAATTGAGGTTTTTGAAACTAAATTGTTACTAGTTACCTTTAAAAAATTGTTAATTCACCAAAGATTTGAATATCGTATTTGAGCCAAGCACTATTCTGGGTACACTAGATTACTTCCTGGTTTATAGTCTAGTGAAAGGTCTGGACAAGTGAAGAGTTTATACAATATGAAAGGCCAGGTGCTTGTGGCTCACACCTGTAATTCCATCACTTTGGGAGGCCAAGGCAGGCAGACTGCTTGATCCCAAGAGTTCGAGACCAGCCTGGGTGACATGGCAAAACCCTATCTCAACAAAAATCAGCCAGGCCTGGTGGCTTGTGCCTGTAGTCTCAGCTACTCAAGAGGCTGAGATGGGAGGATTCCCTGACCCTGGGAGGTTGAGGCTGCAGTGAGCCCAGCTGTGATTGCACCAGTGCACTCCAGCCGGGGTAACAGAATAAGATTCTGTCTCAAAAAACATATATATGATGACTACTACTATTTCTGGAGTAAATGGGGGTGGGTGAGAGTGGGGGTTCCAACAATAACCAAAAAGAAATAACATTTAAGCTAAGAGTAGAGATTGGTATGTGGAAAGAAGAGACTGTTAAAGAAAGGAAACACACGCAAAAGCCTGGAAAGCATGAATGACCTTTCAGCAAGTAAATGTGTATGGTAGGTGGTGGCAATGAACACGCGCTGGGAAGGGGAGATGAAACAGACTAGATCATAGAAGAGCCCTGAAAATCAGTCTAAAGAGTTTCTGATTTCTTCTGAGGACAAATGACGAGCCATTGGAAAAATTTAAATAAGGTCATGACTTGCTCTTATTTATAGCTTAGGTTGGCTCGGAGGAGCAGAGGTCAGAGTCAGGCACAGTAGTAAAGTCTCATTTGGATGAGCTACTCAGATTAGGTTTGGGAAAGTGAGGAAGAAAGAAGTGGACAAATTGTGAACTGAGATATATAGAAGTAATAAAACTTGGTGCCAGGAATAAACAAAAGAGGAGTCTAAGATGACGCCCAGTTTCTGACTTGAGTGGCAACATAGTATTAACTAGTCTATGGAGCAGTGTGTGTGCCTGCATGCATGTGCACAGAAGGTGAGGGGAGGTGGTTAGGAGTGTATCCAAGCCAAATATGACAGGTTAAGATGACCCCTGCCTATATAAAGACATGATATTTTTTCTAGTTTAGCCCAAAATCTACCCTTTATAGGTGAAAGTGGACATTATTTTTATATCTGATGGAGGGTATGGGGCAAAAAGGAACTACTCTTATACATAGAGATACTGATATATTTTAAGTAGAAACCCATTTTAATTAGTAATTTATTTATTTATTTATTTTTATTTTTTTTGAGTCGGAGTCTGGCTCTGTCGTCCAGGCTGGAGTGCAGTGGCGCCATCTCGGCTTGCTGTAAGCTCCGCCTCGCGGGTTCACGCCATTCTCTTGCCTCAGCCTCCCAAGTAGCTAGGACCACAGGCACTGGCCAACACGCCTGGCTAATTTTTTGTATTTTTAGTAGAGACGGGGTTTCACCGTGTTAGCCAGGATGGTCTCGATCTCCTGACCCTGTGATCCGCCGCCTCGGCCTCCCAAAGTGCTGGGATTACAGGCGTGAGCCACCGTGCCCGGCCTAATTAGTAATAATTTTCTATGTTTTCAGTTGACTTAACAATTCAACAAACCTTAATAGTTTCTGAGCATCTGCTCTACAATGTGGCAGCTCCCATATCAAACAAGACGTAAGTCAGTATCCTCAAGGAACTCGTATTACAAAACAAATGCCAGTCGGGCGCGGTGGCTCACGCCTGTAATCCCAGCATTATGGGAGGCCAAGGCGGGCGGATCACGAGGTCAGAAGATCGAGACCATCCTGGCTAACACGGTGAAACACCGTCTCTACTAAAAAATACAAAAAATTAGCCGGGCATGGTGGTGGGCGCCTGTAGTCCCAGCTACTCAGGGGGGCTGAGGCAGGAGAATGGCGTGAACCCAGGAGGCACAGCTTGCAGCGAGTGGAGATCGCACCACTGCACTCCAGCCTGGGTGACAGAGCGAGACTCCATCTCAAAAAAAAAAAAAAAAAAAGGAAGAAAGAGGAAACAAACGTCTTAAGATGTGTAAAACTTAAACCATGTAATGTCAATTTTTATTCACTCTGATATTTTAAACATGTTTTATCTCATAAATTAGCTAATGATTTTAGTGCATAGCAAGTGAAACTACAGTCCATCCGCCTATTCCTAAGCCTTAGGTGAATTTTTAGACGATTTCACCGAAAAAGCTGGTTATTGTGTTTATTCTCTTTAAGCTCAGAAGTATCAGATTAAAAAATCATTCATAAATAGGCCGGGCGCGGTGGCTCATGCCTGTAATCCCAGCACTTTGGGAGGCTGAGGCGGGCGGATCACAAGGTCAAGAGATTGAGACCATTCTGGCCAACATGGTGAAACCCCGTCTCTACTAAAAATACAAAAATTAGCTGGGCGTGGTGGTGCTTGCCTGTAGTCCCAGCTACTCAGGAGGCTGAGGCAGGAGAATTGCTTGAACCTGGGAGGCAGAGGTTGCAGTGAGCCGAGATCGTGCCACTGCACTCCAGCCTGGCGAAAGAGTGAGACTCTCTCTCAAAAAAAAAAAAAAAAGTCATTTATAAATGATGATGATGGTGGCTTTTATTTTCGTTTTTATTTTTTTGAGACTGGGTCTCACTTTGTCACCTAGGCTGGAGTGCTGTGGTGCGATCTCGGCTCACTGCAACCTCTACCTCCTGAGCTCAAGCAATCTATCCACCTCAACCTCCTGAGTAGCTGGGACTACAGGCACACAACACCACACCTGGCTATTTTTTGTATATTTTGGAGAGACAGGGGTTTCGCCTCATTGCCCAGGATGGTCTCGAACTCCTGGACTCAAGTGATCTGCCTGGGTCCCCCAAAGTACTGGGATTACAGGCATGAACCACCTTGACCAGCTGATAGTGGCTTTTAAATAATGTTGGGAGCTACTTAAATGGCTGGTGTGCTTCCTCTGTCACATAATAAAAACAAATAACTGTTGGGCGCAGTGGCTCACGCCTGTAATCCCAGCGCTTTGGGAAGCCGAGGTGGGAGGATCACTTGAGGTCAGGAATTCAACACCAGCCTGGCCAACATGGTGAAACCCCGTCTCTACTAAAAATACAAAAAAATTAGCCAGGCATTTTGGCATGTGTCTGTAATCCCAGCTACTCAAGAGGCTGAGGCAGGAGAATTGTTTAAACCCAGGAGGTGGAGGTTGCAGTGAGCCGAGATTGCGCCACTGCACTCCAGCCTGGGCAACAGAGCAAGACTCCATCTCAAAAATAAAAAATAAAAATAAAAACAACTGCAAAGTACTATTACATCCTCATTATGCCAGGTGCAGAATGAATGATGACTGAAGCAGATTATGATTTTTTCAGAGTAACTCACTGTAGGGCTGTCAGAAAAATGCCAAAAAGAGGGCTTTTTTTTTAAGTTGTGTTAAAAAAATTTGTTTTGGAAACTTCAAACATATACAAAAAGCAAAAATAGAGTATAATGACCTTCTATGTGTCCATCACCAAGCTTTAGCAATTAAAAAGTTAAGACCTTTCATGAGTATACCTGCTTTTGAAATAAAAGCCAGAAAAAAATTAAAAAAAAATTCAAAACCTATCTATTTGCATGTATAGCCCCACCCACTCCCTGTCCCCCTCAGTTATTTTGAAGCAAATTCTCCAAGTCATATTTTATCCTAAAATATTTTAGTACATATATCTAAAAATAAAGCCTTATTTTTTTTTTTTTTGAGTTGGAGTCTCACTCTGTTACCCAGGCTGGAGTGCAGTGGCATGATCTCAGCTCACTGCAACCTCTGTCTCCTGGGTCCAAGCAATTCTCCTGCCTCAGCCTCCCGAGTAGCTGGGATTACAGGTGCCAGTCACCACCCCTGGCTAATTTTTGTATTTTATTAGAGACAGGGTTTCACCATGTTGGCCAGGCTGGTCTCGAACTCCTGACCTCGTGATCTGCCTGCCTCAGCCTCCCAAAGTGTTGGGATTACAGGCGTGAGCCACTGCACCTGGCCTAAAGACTTTTTTCAAAGCATAAGCACAGTACCACTATTACAATTTAAAAAATCAACAATGTTTATAAGTATCAAGCATCTAGTGTTAAAATTGTCCTAACTGTTCCAGCATTTTAAAAATGTTTTTTAGTTGTTATTTATTTTTATTTTTATTTATTTATTTATTTTTTGAGAGGGAATCTCGCTCTGTTGCCCGGGCTGGCGTGCAGTGGCAGATCTCCACTTACTGCAACTTCCGCCTCCCGGGTTCAAGTGATTCTCCTGCCTCAGCCTCCCGAGTAGCTGGGACTACAGGGGTGAGCCACCACGCCCAGCTAATTTTTGTATTTTTAGTAGAGGCGGGGGTTTCACCATGTTCGCCAGGATGGTTTCGAACTCTTGACCTCATGATCCGCCCACCTCGGCCTCCCAAAGTGCTGGGATTACAGGTGTGAGCCACGGCGCCCGGCTATTTCTTTTTATTGAAGTATAATTTACATATCATAAATTTTACCCATTGTTAATTTTGTGTGTGTGTGTGTGTCTATCCAATTAATCTAGCACAATTTGGTGGAAAGACTATCCTTTCCATTTTTTTTTTTTTTTTTGAGACGGAGTCTGGCACTGTCACCTGGGCTGGTGTGCAGTGGTGCGATCTCGGCTTGCTGCAACCTCTGCTTCCCAGGTTCATGCCATTCTTCTGCCTCAGGCTCCCAAATAGCTAGGATTACAGGCGCCCGCCACCACACCCGGCTAATTTTTTGTATTTTTAGTAGAGATGGGGTTTCACTGTGTTAGCCAGGCTGGTCTCAAACTCCTGACCTCGTGATCTGCCTGCCTCGGCCTCCCAAAGTGATGGGATTACAGGTGTGAGCCACTGCACTGGCTATCCTTTCCATCTGGAATTGCTTTGTCATGTTTACTGAAGATCAGTTGACTGTAGATGTGTAGGTGTATATCTGGGCTAACTTGTCTAATTTGGTGATCTGTCTGCTAATACCTATGCCGATACCACAGTCTTGATTACTGTAGTTTAATTAAAGTTTTGAAATCAGGTAATGTAAGTCTTCCTACTTTTTCAAAATCATTTTGGTTGTTTCATATAGATTTTAGGATCAGTTTGTCAATTTCTACAAATCTCTAGGATTTTTTTAGGAGTTGTATCTATAGATCAATTTGGACAGAATTGCCATCATAACAATATTGTCTTTCAATCCAGAACATAGTATGTCTCTCCACTGATTTTCATCTGTCTTGATTTCTTTCAGCCGTGTTTTTTATGTTTTAGTGTATAAAACTTGAACTTCTTTTGTTGAATTGAGTCTTAGATATTTTATTATTTTTGATGCTACTGTGAATAGAAGTTTTTTTTGATTTTTGGTAGCATATATAAATATAGTCTGTTTTCTGCATAGTGACCTTCTATCTGGCAACCTTCCAAAACTCACTTATTATCTCTGGTAGTTTTTGTTGTTGTTTTTGTTAATTTTTAAATTATTAAAAAAATTTTTTGGCCGGGTGCAGTGACTCATGCCTGTAATCCTAGCAGTTTGGGAGGCCAAGGCGGGTGGATCACCTGAGGTCGGGAGTTTGAGACCAGCCTGACCAATATGGAGAAACCCTGTCTCTACTAAAAATACAAAATTAGGCAGGCGTGCTGGCGCATGCCTGTAGTCCCAGCTACTCGGGAGGCTGAGGCAGGAGAATAGCTTGCACCCGGGAGGCAGAGGTTGCGGTGAGCCGAGGTTGCGCCATTGCACTCTAGCCTGGGCAACAAGAGTGAAACTCTGTCTCGAGGAAAAAGAAAAGAGAAAAAAAAATTGCCAGTACATAGTAGGTGTATATATTTATGGAATAAATGAGTTTCTTTTTGTTTTTGTTTTTTGAGACAGAGTCTTGCTCTGTTGCCGAGGCTGGTGTGCAGTGGCAGGATCTCGGCTTATTGCAACTTCCACCCAACCGGGATTCTTTTTTTTTTTTTTAAGAATCGGAGTCTCACTCTGTTGCCCAGCCTAGAGTGCAGTGGCCTGATCTTGGCTCACTACAACCTCTGCCTCCCGGGTTTAAGCAATTCTCCTGCTTCAGCCTCCCGTGTAGCAGGGACTACAGGCACATGCCGCCATGCCTGGCTAATTTCTATTGTATTTTAGTAGAGACGGGGTTTCATCGTGTTGCCCAGGCTGGTCTCGTGAGCTCAGGCAATTCACCAGCCTCAGCATCCCAAAGTGCTAGGATTGCAGGACTGAGTCACCGCACCCGGCCACCCCCCGGGTTTTAAGTGATTCTCCTGCCTCATCCTTCTGGGTAGCAGGGATTACAAGCATGGGCCACCATGCCCGGCTAATTATTGTATTTTTTAGTAGAGATGGGGTTTCACCATGTTGGTCAGGCTGGTCTCGAACTCCTGGCCTCAAGTGATCTGCTCACCTTGGCCTCCTAAACTGCTGGGATTACAGGGTTGAGCCACCGCGCCTGGCCCAGAGATGTTTGGATACAGGCATGCAATGTGAAATAAGCATATCAGGGAGATTGGAGTATCCATCCGCTCGAGAATTTATCCTTGATTTACAAGTAATCCAATTACATTCTCTTTTTTTTTTTTTTTTTTGAGATGGAATTTCGCTCTTGTTGCCCAGGCTGGAGTGCAATGGCGTGATCTCGGCTCACCACAACCTCCGCCTTTCGGTTTCAAGCGATTCTCCTGCCTCAGCCTCCTGAGTAGCTGGGATTACAGGCATGCAGCCACTATGCCCAGCTAATTTTGTATTTTTAGTAGAGACGGGGTTTTTCCATGTTGGTCAGGCTGGTCTTGAATTCCTGACCTCAGGTGATCAGTACGCCTCGGCCTCCCAAAGTGCTGGGATTACAGGCATGAGCCACTGCGCCCGGCCGACTAGTTTTAAAAAAATTTTGTTAGCAGTGTGAACTCATAGATGTTAACATATGCAGTGTATTTCAGTCTATTGAAATTTTTCATTTTTATGCTCAAATCATCCCATCTTTGGCAAGTAGGAGCCAGTTTGGTTCCTCAGTCATTCTAAATGACCGTAGTACCCTGGTATTCTTTTATTTATTTATTTACTTATATATTTAAGTTTTGCATTTTGATATAAGATGTCCCAGACTCACAGAAAGGCCTTTTGAGATAGCAAGACAAATTTGGCGGATTTAATTTCAGCCAAAGGAAGAGAATAATGTCAGCTTTTCTTTCCTCACCCCCAGAAATTTGATAGAAACCAGGACAATTGTGAAGGCAGTTTTCTCACTGAAAAGAAGTGCACGTTGGTGGTGAGACAGTTAAATAAGGATTCTAACCTGTGGACTACATTTGTTGTCATTAGAGGGGGTATATACAGTATTTATTCAAAGACGCTCAAGCCTGTAATCCCAGCCCTTTGGGAGGCCGAGGCGGGAGGACTGCTTGAGCCCAGGAGTTTGAAATCAAACTGGGTCAAACAGTGAGACCTCATCTCTAGAAAAAAATTTAAAAACGGGGTGGGAAGATCGCTTGAGCCCAAGGGGTTGTGGCTGCAATGAGCCATAACTGAGCAATTGCACCTGGGTGACAGCGAGACTGTGCCTAAAAAAAAAAAAAAATTGAAAGACAATTCTAACATCCAATTCTAACATCTAATTCTAACATCTGTAAGCGTATCTGTCCCAAACACAGAGCTAAAGTAAAAACACAGGAAGGGGCCGGGCGCAGTGGCTCATGCCTGTAATCCCAACACTTTGGGAGGCCAAGGCGGGTGGATCACCTGAGGTCAGGAGTTTGAGACCAGTCTGACCAACATGGTGAAACCCCATCTCTACTAAAAATATAAAATTAGTCGGGCGTGGTGGCGCATGCCTGTAATCCCAGCTACTTGGGAGGCTGAGATAGGAGAATTGCTTGAACCCGGGGAGGTGGAGATTGCAGTGAGCCAAGATCGCGCCATTGCACTCCAGCCTGGGCAACAAGAGCGAAACTCTTGTCTCAAAAAATAAAAAAATCAAACAAACACACATACAGGAAAGGAAAGGAGATAATAAAAAGGAAGGAGTAGTAACCACAGGGCATCCATGTTGGAGTATCCAGATCAGCTTCCTTTTCATTAGTCATAAATCCTTTTGGTGCTCTGTCCTGTTGGCTTTTCATGCACCTTCAAATCATGTATGGGGGTATGAGAAAGATAGTTTAAAAAGGAAAGGTTTGTTGTTCCACTGTTAGGGGTGAGGGAGGTACTTAGCGAAATGATGACTAGTAATAAGCTCTAGAACTGTGGGCTCTTTTATCCATGTCCATTGTTTCATATTCTTCTGGACCCACAAGATGGCACTTGAGGATCTACAACAGCAAAACCATACCAACGTATTTAGAATAAAAGAATCATCCACAGGGACAGATTAATGATGCATCTTTCTGGCCTAACAGTGTCTTTTTGATGGGCATAGAGATAAGGGGACTATGGCCACACCATCAGAATTGTATTATTCAATTAATAATGCCTACCACTTTGAAATGCTTCCTGTGCCCCAGGACACTGTGCTCATCACTTTACATCTCATTTCATCTATAAGACTCTATATAACGTCATTTCCACTTTACAGCTGAAGAAACTTAACTTTAAGTTACATAACCTGCTGACTGTGAACTATCACATGTGCTGAAGTTGGGATTCACCAAGCGGCCAAAAAGCACAGGTTCCCCTTACCATTGCTATGTTAACCAATAGACTGATGTATTTTAAATCAGTTTCTATTTTTTCAACCTCATAAGTTTGAAAAGCTGCACTCTGCACTGATTTAGCACTGACTGGTGGCTGCTTAAAGCTTGCCTTATTCCATTTTAGCAGGCCCCCCGGCAAAATACCCCAATTAGTGGTGTCATCCTCTCTATTCCAAGAATTTTCTCTTAAGACTCCCGCTCTGTGCGTTTGCTTGGGAATGCAGAGCCCTGTTCCTCATCTCCCCATCTATGCTTTCTTCATTCTAAGCCCTTTCCTATCTACTTTATGCTCGAGGTGGCTCCACCTCCACCATGAGCCAGAGCCAATGATGCTCACGGCCCCAACCATGATTAAAAAGAGATTGCCCTGCAAGGTAAATCAGTTAAAACCAACCTCTCCTGCCCTGAGTGGATAGGTAGGGTTAGGGTTGCCAGATGTCACGAAGTTACAGGATGCTCAGTTTTAAGGTATATCCCTTATACTATAAGGGTTATAGTAAAAAATATTCATTATGTGAAATTCAAATATAACTGGGTATCAGGTATTCTATGTGGCAACCCTAGGTAGGGGAGCACAGGTTAGGCAAGCGATTAGAAGATTTGCAGCCTCCAAAGTTTCTGCACCTCGATGGGACACTAGAACAGGAAGGCTCCTGGGCCTTTCTGGCTCTGGGAATGAAGCGTGGAAAACCCTCCTTAGGCGGGCGCAGTGCTTCAAGTAGCCAAGCTCTGACTTCCGAGGGAAGAAAGGAGGCCATGGGCCTCTGCCAGAGCCATGCTCTGCACTCTGGGGTCAGCAGAGTTCAAAACGACCTGCAACGTCTGGCGCTTAGCTCCTAAAGAGGTCTCCAGTCCAGCGCCGACGGCCAGCGGCTAGAGGCCGTCCGCCCGACTCCAAGATGGCGCCCGCCACAGCTGCCAGGTGTTAAGATGGCGGCGCGGGGCCGCGCCCGCGCTCCCAGGCTCTCCTCCCCCAGCCTTCCTCCGGCTGGCAGCACGACTCGCGTAGCCGTGCGCCGATTGCCTCTCGGCCTGGGCAATGGTCCCGGCTGCCGGTCGACGACCGCCCCGCGTCATGCGGCTCCTCGGCTGGTGGCAAGTATTGCTGTGGGTGCTGGGACTTCCCGTCCGCGGCGTGGAGGGTGAGTGTGGGCCGGGGGCGGTGCATGAGATGATGGGGCGAGCTGAGGTCCACCCGGGCGACGCTCTGGACCTGCGCGAAGGCCGGCGGTGCGCGACTCGCCCCTTCTTGGCGTCTCCCCGGGCGCGTCTCCCCGACTTCTCTCCCCGCGCACCGCCCGCTGGTGGCCCGCGAAAGGGGGCCGGTGGGCTGAGGGCCGGTGGACGGGAGCCCGGGGGTGGTTGGGCCGCGTTCAGGCCGCCCTCAGCCCGTGGCTGGTAGCCAGGAGGGACAGTGCGGTAAGCGCTGCTGAGGCATACCCTCTGGTGATAAGCAATTTATTATTAATAACATTATATCAAATACCGACATTGTTGTGGCCGTATTAGGAGCCAGGAACTGTGCATCGTGCTTTATTTACATCATTATCCCATTTAATGCTCCCACAAACCCTGTCAGATCGGTTCCGTTTAGTGTCTCCATTTCACAGATGAAGATGCTCAGGCCCCGCCTAAGTTTGCGCTTCTGATACGTGGCAGAAGCCTGTCTCTCTGACGCCAAAGCCCAGTCTGGAGTCCACGCTGCTGGACCACTGTCTTAAGGAGGCCAGTCTTGCTCAGCTCCCTGCATGAAAAACAGACGAGAAACACGGGAGACTCCCGGTAACCCCCAACTTGCCGGTAGGGAAGGCAGCCACTCTAGAGGCATGGCGAGGGTGGAGAGTGGAGGCCTTACTTTCATGCTCCTTCACCCCACTCCTCATAGTCCTGTTAAAGTCCAGACCCTCGGTCTCGCTTGTCATTTAGACCTTAACAGGAATAGGCAGGTCTTTCTTTTCCCTGGGGTGTCCTGGATGGAGGCAGGACAGCAGAGAGTTGTGGAGAAGGGTGAGTCATAGTAACACAATTACCATGAATGAAAGCGCTCACTGTGTACCAGATGCTGTGCTCAGTGCTTTACGAGCATCATCTTTTGGAATCTTTACTGTTTTGTTTTTGTTTTTTTAAGGGATGAGGGCTTGCTCTGTTGCCCAGGCGGGAGTGCAGTGGCCCATCATGGCTCCCTGCAGCCTTGAACTCCTGGGCTTAAGTGATCCTCCCACCTGTTTCCCAAAGTGCTGGGATTACAGATGTGAGCCACTGCTCCCGGTTTATGTAATTTTTATTTTTATTTTTTTTTGAGATGGAGTCTCGCTCTGTTGCCCAGGCTGGAGTGCAGTGGCGCGATCTTGGCTCACTGCAACCTCTGACTCCCGGGTTCAAGCGATTCTCGTGCCTCAGCCTCCTGAGTAGCTGGGATTACAGGTGCCTGCCACCACACTGGGCTAATTTTTGTATTTTTAGTAGAGATGATGGTCCACCATGTTGGCCACGCTGGTCTGGAACTCCTGACCTCAGGTGATCCACCCACCTCGGCCTCCCAGAGTGCTGGGATTACAGGCTTGAGCCACCGTGCCTGGCCTTAGTAATTTTTAAATGCATATGCAGTAGATGTTATCATGCTCATTTTATAGAAGTAACTTAAGACTCAGAGCCAATAAGTCCTTTGACAAGGTCATACAGCCAGAAGTTGAGGAGCCTTGATTCAAGCCCATGTCTGCCTGACTTCAGAGCCCAACCTCTGCATTTTCACTATACTTAACTGCTAGCCTCACAGAGGGGATGGCATGGGTTGGATATCTTCTGTTTCAGCCCCTCCACCGTGCTCTGTGCCCTGTGTGGCTGTCCTGTGTGGAATAAATACCAGCTGTCCTACCGTCTTGCTTCCATTGTGTTGGAATGAGGGGAGAGTGAGGTCAGGGTATTGATTCTCTCCGCTCCCTCCCTGAGAAGTTATTGAAGGCTGGCTTTGCCCCCGGTGGAAAGCATTGAATTCTAGAAAGCTGCCCTCTGTGTTACCCTTGATGTTTCAAGGTTCTGTGACTACTTCTCTCTCCAGACTCTTAAGGTCTATGAGTGGTAACTGGCTCCTCCTCTACTGTTACTGGCCTTGGAATTCCTTACCATTGCTTTTCATTTCTCTGCACCCAGCCTACACATTAGTGGTCCCTTCATTAAACTCTCCTCAACTTGCCCAAGTTAAATGTGCTGTTTCCTGGCAGAACCCTGGCTGATTCAGGGTTCAGCTTGGGTCTTTGGTCATCATGGCCAGGCCATGAATGGGGTGAAGACAGAAGAAACTTCACCAGCTGATTTCTTCTCAGAGTAGCTGAAAATCTGAGGTGTTTTTTTTTTTTTTTTTTCTGCAGAGGATGCCACTGGCAGATTATGCTGGCCTCAGGTGCTGAGGCCCTGAGAGACTAAGCAACCTGGAGGTAGCAATGCTATCCAGGTGTCTAGGAATGGAAGCAAACTCCTGGCTTCAATACCCCTATGCCACTCTTCCCTAGGCAGTCAGCTAGCAAATTCTTACTGAGCACTCATCATATGCTAAACACTGTGCTGAGCACTGGGGATCCAGTGGTGAGTTAGAGCAGCAGGCCTTTGGGGAAGGCAGCCACTAAATAACTACAAATTACTAAGAAAATTGCAAGACTGAGAAATGCATCAAGGAGAGTCCCAGGGCGTTTTTGGGAACTGTAATGGGAGACCTCCCACCCTGGTCTGAGGGTCAGGGAATGTGTCCTTACAGAGGTGACATTTAGGGTGAGATCTGAATGAGGAGGATGAAGGATTTGGCAGGAGGAAGCTTCCCAGCAGAGAAACAGCCCTCAGGAAGGCTCTAAGGCAGGTGGGGATAGGAGGAGTGTAAATGATCAGGGACTAGAGGGATCTGATGGCCACAGGTGAGAGTGCAGACAGAGGCCACATTGGGGCCTGGTAGCTCTGCTACAGAATGCAGATGCATTCACAGGGTAGGGGAAGCCACTGAAAGAGTTTTAGCAGGGGAGTGACATGATCAGATATGCCTTTTATCTTTCAGTTTCACTTGTATTGCTGTGAAGGTCAGGGTCTGGAGGGGGGATAGCAGGCTGACCAGGGAGACCAGTTTAGGTGGCTACAGTAGTTGCCCAGACAAGAATTGGCTGTGGCCTTTGCTGAGAAGTGTTAGTTGGGATGGGGAAAGTAGATGGATTGTGAATGTGTTTAGCAGGTGAAATTTTTTTTTTTCTTTTTGAGAAGGAGTCTTGCTCTTGTCACCCAGGCTGGAGTGCAGTGGCACCATCTTGGCTCACTGCAACCTCCACCTCCTGGGTTCAAATGATTCTCCTGCCTCAGCCTCCCGAGTAGCTGGGATTACAGGCATGCGCCACCATGCCTGGCTAATTTTTTTTTTTTTTTTTGAGATGGAGTTTTGCTCTTGTTGCTCAGGCTGGAGCAATGGTGCGATCTTGGCTCATTGCAACCTCTGCCTCCCGGGTTCAAGCGATTCTCTTGTCTCAGCTTCCTGAGTAGCTGGGATTACAGGCACCCGTCACTACACCCCGGCTAATTTTTGGTATTTTTAGTAGAGATGGGGTTTCGCCATGTTGGCCAGGCTGGTCTCGAACTCCTGACCTCAGGTGATCTGCCCGCCTTGACCTCCCAAAGTGCTGGGATTACAGGCGTGAGCCACTGCGCCTGGCCTAATTTTTGTATTTTTTAGTAGAGATGGGGTTTCACCATGTTGGCCAGGCTGGTCTTGAATTCCTGACCTCAAGTAATCTGCCTGCCTTGGCCTCCCAAAGTGTTAGGATTACAGGTATGAACCAGCAAGCCCAGTGTGCAGGTTAATTAATAGAACTTAGTTATTGTGCCTTTCCATCTCTTTGAATTGTAAACACCACTCATCATAATCATCATCATCACCACAGCCATTTATGGAGTGTTTAACCTGTGGCAGGGACCATACACATCTTTTCTCATTTAATCTTCACAGTAGCCTCATAATTTTCTACATTTTGGTGGTATTGTCTCCATTTGCTAAATGAGCACACAGTATTGCCTATGGAAAGTATGGATTGCTGTCCCTCCAACCCTTGACTGTTTTTGGTCCCTCCTCATTTGCCTTTCCTGCCAGAAGCCATTGTGAAAACACCTGCAGCTGGTAAAGAGCCTTCTGAGAAAAGCTGGAAGGGTGTGAAGGTGCTGACCTAGGCTAGGGCTCCCTGGCAGAATTGGCATGGTGCCCTCACACTTGTCCTTCAGACAACTTCTTTGCTGCCAGTGATGCAATAATTATCACTTTATGTATAGCTCAAACTGCAGTCTCTTAAAAGGCACATTACCAGTCGGGTGCAGTGGCTCACGCCTGTAATCCCAGCACACTGGGAGGCCGAGGTGGCTGGATCATTTGAGGCCAGAAGTTTGAGACCAGCCTGGCCAACATGGTGAAACCCCATCTCTACTAAAAATAAAAAAAGTAGCCAGGTGTGGTGGTGCGCATCTGTAATCCCAGCTATTTGGGAGGCTAAGGCAGGAGAATTGCTTGAACCCAGGAGATGGAGGCTGCAGTGAGCTGAGATCGTGCCACTGCACTCCAGCCCGGACAACAGAGCAAGACTCTGTCTCAAAGAAAATAAAAAATAAAAGCACATTACCAAGGGAGGGTTCAATGACTGTCACATAGTATGACATTTTTATTTTCGTGTGGAATAATTCAGTGTTTCTTTTCTTCCTAATTCCTAAATGAAAACGTTGGTACCTGAAGGCATAAGATTTTTTTGTTCCTAATCTGTACTGTGTACTTAAATATTTTTACAATGTGCAGGGGGATGGAGGGGACAACACTCTTGAACTTAAAATACCAGCTCCATGCACCACTTACATTCCCTTTTGATTTTGTGCAGGGGCTATCTGAGGGTCATCAGAGAGAACCAGATTAAAATTTGTGCCCTGATTTTTTTATCCTGAGGTTCTTCGTTTTGGCATTCTTCATTTACTTGTGGAATCTAGAATGTTGATTAGGTAGCAAGAGCAAATCTCTGAAGAACTGTGGTGTTTGGGAGTTGGGTTGGACCCCAAACCTGGCATCCTTTCTTTTCCAGACTCTTAGCCTCTCTGGCTTCATTTCCTGCTTTGTCTTGTGGCTGACACAGAAAACATGTGTGTTTGTTTTTTCTTCTGATCATACAGGCAATACACACTCATTAACCAAAGGCTATAGAAATAAAAGGCTATAGAAATACCGCCAATGTGATCCCGCCCCTCCACCAATTTGGCAAAGCTCCCTTCCCAGGCACCCAGCCGCTTCTCTGGATTGTAGTCACAGAAGTGCTTGACCTTCTGCTAAAGACTCACTTTGCTGCCCAAGCCTTAAACTCTGTCCTATGTAACCTCCATTGCCACCTCTCCCTTCTTACCTGCCTTTTTTTTTTTTTTTTTGGATACAGAGCCTTGCTCTGTCACCCAGGCTGGAGTGCAGTGGCGTGATTCTCGGCTCACTGCAGCCTCTGCCTCCCAGGTTCAAGTGATTCTCCTGCCTCAGCCTCCCAAGTAGCTGGGATTACCGGTGCATGCCGCCACATCTGGCTAATTTTTGTATTTTTAGTACAGACGGGATTTCAACATGTTGGCCAAGCTGGTCTCGAACTCCTGACCTCAAGGGATCCGCCCTCCTTGGCCTCCCAAAGTACTGGGATTACAGGTGTGAGCCACGCGCCCAGCCCCTTCTTACCTGCTTTCTCATCAGCTTTGTGTATCCTCAGATTGCTCCTATGTTCCAAATAGCAAAATAGAAACCTCCCTTAGTCTTCCTTGCCTGTAGCGAATCTACCCTACCTTCCTCGCCCCCTTTATAGCTAGATTTTTGGAAAGAATTGTGTATATTTATCCATGTAGTTACCATTTTGGTTTCTCTATTTCTTTATGTGGATCCATATTTCCATCTGTTAACATTTTTCTTCTGCCTGAAGGAGTTCCTTGAAGATTTTTGTCATGTGGGTTCGCTGGTAATGAATTCTTTTATCTTTTGTATGTCTGAAGAAGTGAAGAAGTATTTATTTCACTTATTATTTTTTTTTTTTTTGAGATGGAGTCTCGCTCTGTAGCCCAGGCTGGAGTGCAGTGGCACTATCTCAGGTCACTGCAACCTCCACCTCCTGGGTTCAAGCGATTCTCTTGCCTCGGCCTCCCGAGCAGCTGGGATTACGGGCGCCCGCTACCATGCCAGGCTAATTTTTTTTTTTGTATTTTTAGTAGATACAGGGTTTCACCATGTTGGCTAGGCTGTTCTGGAACTCCTGACCTCAAGTCATCCACCTGCCTCGGTCTCCCTAAGTGCTGGGAGTACAGGCGTGAGCCACCATGCCCAGCCAAAATCATTTTTTTCTTTTTTTTTGAGATGGAGTCGCACTCTTGCTTGCTTTGTTTCCAGTGAGAAACCTGTTGTTATCCTTTGTTCCTCTCTACATGATGTTTTGTTTTTTTTCCTCTGGCTGCTTTAAAGATTTTTTTCTTTGTCACTGGTTTTGAGCAATTTGATTGTGATGTGCTTTGTTGTAGTTCATTGAGTTTGGGTTTTGTTGAGCTTCTTAGATCTATGGATTTATAGTTTTCACCAAGTTTGGAAAGTTTTTGGCTATAATTTCTTCAAATATTTTTCTGTTCCTCCACTCTCTTCTCTTGCCAGTACTCCAGTTACTGTACATTAGACCACTTGAAATTGTCCTACGGCCCACTGATGCTCTTAATTTCTTTCCATTCTTTTTTTTTTTCCTGTGTGTTTCATTTTGGATAGGTTCTTTTTATTTATTTATTTATTTATTTATTTATTTTTTTATTGATCATTCTTGGGTGTTTCTCGCAGAGGGGGATTTGGCAGGGTCACAGGACAATAGTGGAGGGAAGGTCAGCAGATAAACAAGTGAACAAAGGTCTCTGGTTTTCCTAGGCAGAGGACCCTGCGGCCTTCCGCAGTGTTTGTGTCCCTGGGTACTTGAGATTAGGGAGTGGTGATGACTCTTAACGAGCATGCTGCCTTCAAGCGTCTGTTTAACAAAGCACATCTTGCACCGCCCTTAATCCATTTAACCCTGAGTGGACACAGCACATGTTTCAGAGAGCACAGGGTTGGGGGTAAGGTCACAGATCAACAGGATCCCAAGGCAGAAGAATTTTTCTTAGTACAGAACAAAATGAAAAGTCTCCCATGTCTACCTCTTTCTACACAGACACGGCAACCATCCGATTTCTCAATCTTTTCCCCACCTTTCCCCCCTTTCTATTCCACAAAACTGCCATTGTCATCATGGCCCGTTCTCAATGAGCTGTTGGGTACACCTCCCAGACGGGGTGGTGGCCGGGCAGAGGGGCTCCTCACTTCCCAGTAGGGGCGGCCGGGCAGAGGCGCCCCTCACCTCCCGGACGGGGCGGCTGGCCGGGCGGGGGGCTGACGCTCCCATCTCCCTCCCGGACGGGGCGGCTGGCCAGGCAGAGGGGCTCCTCACTTCCCAGTAGGGGCGGCCGGGCAGAGGCGCCCCTGACCTCCCGGACGGGGCGGCTGGCCAGGTGGGGGGCTGACCCCCCCACCTCCCTCCCGGACGGGGTGGCTGCCGGGTGGAGACGCTCCTCACTTCCCAGACGGGGTGGCTGCCGGGCGGAGGGGCTCCTCACTTCTCAGACGGGGTGGCTGCTGGGCGGAGGGGCTCCTCACTTCTCAGACAGGGCGGTTGCCAGGCAGAGGGTCTCCTCACTTCTCAGACGGGGTGGCCGGGCAGAGACGCTCCTCACTTCTCAGACGGGGTGGCCGGGCAGAGACGCTCCTCACATCCCGGACGGGGCGACAGGGCAGAGGCGCTCCCCACATCTCAGACGATGGGTGGCCGGGCAGAGACGCTCCTCACTTCCTAGATGGGATGGCGGCCGGGAAGAGGCGCTCCTCATTTCCTAGATGGGATGGCGGCCGGGCAGAGATGCTCCTCACTTTCCAGACTGGGCAGCCAGGCAGAGGGGCTCCTCACATCCCAGACAATGGGCGGCCAGGCAGAGACGCTCCTCACTTCCCAGACAGGGTGGCGGCCGGGCAGAGGCTGCAATCTCGGCACTTTGGGAGGCCAAGGCAGGCTGCTGGGAGGTGGATGTTGTAGCGAGCCGAGATCACGCCACTGCACTCCAGCCTGGGCACCATTGAGCACTGAGTGAAGGAGACTCCTGCAATCCCGGCACCTCGGGAGGCCGAGGCTGGCGGATCACTCGCGGTTAGGAGCTGGAGACCAGCCCGGCCAACACAGCGAAACCCCGTCTCCACCCAAAAAATACGAAAACCAGTCAGGCGTGGCGGCGCGCGCCTGCAATCGCAGGCACTCGGCAGGCTGAGGCAGGAGAATCAGGCAGGGAGGTTGCAGTGAGCCGAGATGGCAGCAGTACAGTCCAGCTTCGGCTCGGCATCAGAGGGAGACCGTGGAAAGAGGAGGGAGAGGGGGAGGGGGAGAGGGAGAGGGAGAGCTGGACAGGTTCTATTGCTATCTTCAAGTTGACTATTTTCTTCCGTATTGTCTACTTTACCATTATTCTTATAGAGTGCAATTTTCATCTCAGACATTGTAGTTATTATAATTTACGTCTTTAAAAGTACGATTTGGGCTGGGCACGGTGGCTCATGCCTGTAATCCCAGAATTTGGGAGGCTGAGGCGGGCAGATTACTTGAGGCCAGGAGTTTGAGACCAGCCTGGCCAACATGGCAAAACCCCATCTCTAGCAAAAATACAAAATAATTAGGCTGGGCATGGTGGCTCACGCCTGTAATCCCAGCACTTTGGGAGGCCAAGGTGGGTGGATCACGAGGTCAGGAGTTCCAGACCAGCCTGGCCAACATGATGAAACCCCGTCTCTACTAAAAATACAAAAATTAGCTGGGCATGGTGGCACATGCCTGTAATCCCAGCTATTCAGGAGGCTGAGGCAGGAGAATTCCTTGAACCGGAACCCAGGAGGAGGTAGCAGTGAGTGAGATCGTGCCACTGCACTCCAGCCTGTGCTACAGAGCAAGACTCTGTCTCAAAAAAAACCAAAAAAACAAAGACAAAATAATTAGCTGGGTGCAGTGGCTCATGCCTGTAATCCTAGCTGCTTGGGAGGCTGAGGTGGTAGAATCGCTTGAACCCGGGAGGTGGTTGTGCCACTGTACTCCAGCCTGGGTGACAGAGCGAGACCCTGTCTCAAAAAAAAAAAAAAAAAAAAAAAAGAAAAGAAAAAGGCTAGGCCTGGTGGCTCGCTGGCTCACACCTGTAATCCCAGCACTTTGGGAGGCTGAGGCAGGCAGATCACTTGGGGCCAGGAGTTTGAGACCAGCCTGACCAATATGGCGAAACCCCATCTCTACTAAAAAAATACAAAAATTAGCTGGGTGTGGTGGTGGGTGCCTGTAATCCCAGCTACTCAGGAAGCTGAGGCAGGAGAATTGCTTGAACCTGGGAGGTGGAGGTTGCAGTGAGCCGAGATGGTGCCACTGCACTCAGCCTGGGCAATAAAGGGAGACTCCATCTCAAAAAAAAAAAAAAAGGAAAGAAAGCCAGGCGCGGTGGCTCATGCCTGCAATCCCAGCATTTTGGGATGCCGAGGCGGGAGGATCACCCGAGGTCAGGAGTTCGAGACCAGCCTGGCCAACATGGCGAAACCTCATCTCTACTAAAAAATACAAAAATTAGTCAGGTGTGGTGGCAGGCACCTATAATCCCAGCTACTTGGGAGGCTGAGGCAGGAGAATTGCTTGAACCCGGGAGGTGGAGGCTGCAGTGAGCTGAGATTGTGCCACTGCACTCCAACCTGGACGATAGAGCAAGACTCAGTTTCAAAAAAAAAAAAAAAAAGGGTACAATTTGATCTTTTTTTTTTTCCCGAGACAGAGTTTTGCTCTTGTTGCCCAGGCTGGAGTGCAATGGCACTATCTCGGCTCACCACAACCTCTGCCTCCTAAGTTCAAGCGATTCTCCTGCCTCAGCCTCCCAAAAAGCTGGGATTACAAGCATGCGCCACCACGCCAGGCTAATTTTGTATTTTTAGTAGAGATGGGGTTTCTCCATGTTGGTCAGGCTGGTCTCGAACTCCCGACCTCAGGTGATCTACCCGCCTCAGCCTCCCAAAGTGCTGAGATTACAGGTGTGAGCCACCGAGCCCGGCCAATTTGATTGTTTTTATTTTTATTTAGTTATTTTTTTGAGACAGGGTCTCACTCTTTCGCCCAGGCTGGAGTGCAATGGCTTGATCTTGGCTCACTGCAACCTCTGCCTCCCAGGTCGATTTGATATTTTTAATATCTTATATCTTGATATCTACTTTACTTTTTGAATGCAATACAGTTACAATTATTGTTTTAATATCCTTGTCTGCTAATTGTGACATGGGTGCAAGTTCTGGGTCAGTGTGGCTTGATTGATTATTCTCATTATGTGTCCTATTTTCCTGCTTCCTTATATGTCTGATAATTTTTTACTGGATGCCAGACATGAATTTTACTTTGTTGAATGCTGGATATTTTAGATTCCCTATACATATTCTTTTTTTTTTTTTTTCTGAGACGGATTTCTCTCTTGTTGCCCAGGCTGGAGTGCAGTGGCATGATCTCGGCTCATTGCAACCTCCACCTCCTGGGTTCAAGTGATTCTCCTGCCTCAGCCTACCGAGTAGCTAAAATTACAGGTGCCCGCCACCATGCATGGCTAATTTTTATATTTTAATAGAGACAGGGTTTCACCATGTTGGTCAGGCTGGTCTCAAACTTCTGACCTCAGGTGATCCACCCACCTCGGCCTTCCAAATTGCTGGGATTACAGGCGTGAGCCACTGCACCTGGCCCCGTATATATATTCTTGAGCTTTGTTCTGGGGTACAGTGAAGTTACTTGAGAACAGCTTGATTCTTTCAGGTTTTGCTTTTAAGCAAGCAAGCTGTTATTTTCTTTAGGGTTAATAGTGTCCCACTACTGACGCAGGTCCTTTTGTATACTCTACTCAATACCCTGTGAATTATGAAGTTTTTCAGTCTAGCTGGTAAGAAGAGGTACCATTCCCTGCTCTGTGTGAATGTTGGGTACTGTTCCTTCCCATCCTTTCTGGTAGTTCTTTCTCTGGCACTGGGTAGTTTACTCACATGCATGTGATGACCCGTACCCTGCTGTATACTTGGGGGGGCCTCTGCAGATCTCTGGAGTCCCCTCTCTAGATAGCTCCTCTCATCTGCAGTATTCTGTCTTGCAAACTATGGCTTCTTGGTCTCCTTGGACTCTTAGCTCCATCTCCTCAACTGGGAGAGTCTGCTGGGCTCTGCCTGGATTTCCCCTCCCTGAGCCACAGTGGGAACGCCATCAAGGCAGTAAGTTGGAGCAGTTGTAGGGTTCTCTTCATTTGTCGCCTGTTTCTCGGATGTCACTATCCTCTGTTGCCTCATAACTGATTTCCTGAAACTGTTGTTTTATATATATTATCTATTTGGTTGTTTCAGTAGGTAAGGTAAATCTGGTTCTTGTTACTCCATCTTGGCCAGAAGCAGAATTCCCAGATAATGTTTTTGAATCTCTGAATGAATCCACAGAGCTCTATGCCCTAGTGTGAGGTAGATCAGTAGGGTAACTGTAGTTCATAATAGCCTATTGTATATTTTAAAATAGCTAGAAGAGAAGAATTTGAATGATTCTAGCATGAAGAAAAGACAAATATTTAAGGTGATGGATATCCCAAATACATTGATCTGATCTTTACAAATTGCATGAATATATTGATTATCACATGTGCTTTGTGATTATCACATGTACATCTGTTATGCATCAGCAACAACAAAAAGCTCTACAGGGATATTCTTTGAAATCTTATACAAATGTGCATACCTGAGGAAGCCCCCAGACCTTCCCAACTTTGAAGTCAGTTGGTCACTGACACTCCAGTGACATGCTGTTGGCACGCAGAACTCATCACCCAGCGGGTGGTTTCTTAACCACATGGTGAGCTTTCGTGAGGGCTGCTGGCCTCACTGGTTTCTGCTGGTTGGTGCCTGGCACAAAGTCTGGCAGCTGGTGTTGAGTTGATGAGTTGGAGGGCAGGAGGCATTGCTATGGAGGTGAGTGGAGTTGGGTAAATAGATGTACGAGACTACCTGGGACTCTTCCCTTATCTGAGCATTATGCTCAAGACCCACCTTCTAGCTCCAAAGTGGGGGAAAGTTCTCTTCTTCCTCCTGCTGCTGCCTCTGCACTGCCGAGCCCATCTCCCAGCACTCCCAAGGGCAGCAGCCCAAGGGTGGCAGGCAGGAGAGCAGAGTCCAGCTGTCAGAGGCCACCTCAGGAAGGAGCTGCTGTGTGGCTTGAACAGTGTTCTTCAGGCAGTGTGGCTCAGCATCCCCGAGGTATCATGGCAGGGAGCCTACGGCTCGTTCTGGAGTAGCAGCCAGAAAACTTTGCTCGCAGACTTGGCTTTGCTGCTTACTATCTGTGTACCATCGGACACTGTGCTGAGCCTCTCTGTGCCTTGCCTCGTTACCTGTTCAGTGGTCTTGGTAACCCTTGTCTTGCCCATCTCACAGGACTGTTATAATGTGTGCAAAGATGCTTTGTTCTAGTAGAATCTTGCATAAAACCATGATCCTTTTCTTGGATATTATCAAACAAATGAAACTCTTATCAAAAAATGAAAGTGTTTATATTCTATTTTCCTAATGAGATATCTGAACTGGAATGTTTTTGGTTATAATCCACATGGCAAGCAGCAAGTTTAGGGCAGAGCTGTGTGTTTGTCTATTATTTGACATTCATTATTTTGTTTGCTTGTTTGTTTGTTTGTTTTTTGAGACGGAGTCTTGCTCTGTCGCCCAGACTGGAGTGCAGTGGCGCAGTCTTGGCTCACTGCAACCTCCGCCTCCTAGGTTCCAGCAATCCTCTTGCCTCAGCCTCCCTAGTAGCTGGGATTACAGGTGCCTGCCACCATGCCCGGCTAATTTTTATATTTTTAATAGAGACAGGGTTTCACCATGTTGGCCAGGCTAGTCTTGAACTCCTGACCTCAAGTGATCCACCTGACTTGGGGCCTCCCAAGGTGCTAGAATTACAGGTGTGAACCACCATGCCCGGCCTTCTTTGACATTCATTAATTTATTAATAGTACCTGCTTGTGACCTTCTTCCTAACCTGGGAAATGGTGAGTAGCTCTCTGATAGTTTAATGAAAGGAGACCTTTTTGTCTCCAGAGGGGAAAATTTCGTGTTAGAGGGGAACTGTAATTCTTTGGGGTTCATTTGTTTTGAAGTCAAATATGACTCTGAATGTGCTGGCATGTTTTAGTTGCAGAGGAAAGTGGTCGCTTATGGTCAGAGGAGCAGCCTGCTCACCCTCTCCAGGTGGGGGCTGTGTACCTGGGTGAGGAGGAGCTCCTGCATGACCCGATGGGCCAGGACAGGGCAGCAGAAGAGGCCAATGCGGTGCTGGGGCTGGACACCCAAGGCGATCACATGGTGATGCTGTCTGTGATTCCTGGGGAAGCTGAGGACAAAGTGAGTTCAGAGCCTAGCGGCGTCACCTGTGGTGCTGGAGGAGCGGAGGACTCAAGGTGCAACGTCCGAGAGAGCCTTTTCTCTCTGGATGGCGCTGGAGCACACTTCCCTGACAGAGAAGAGGAGTATTACACAGAGCCAGAAGTGGCGGAATCTGACGCAGCCCCGACAGAGGACTCCAATAACACTGAAAGTCTGAAATCCCCAAAGGTGAACTGTGAGGAGAGAAACATTACAGGATTAGAAAATTTCACTCTGAAAATTTTAAATATGTCACAGGTAAGGAAAAATTATTTAGTGCTTTTCTCCTTTTCAGTACATTTATTTTATGATTAATACCCTATCAACTTTGAAATGGAAAATCATGATCTTGATCATATTGTAAGCGAGATAGCATTTAATGGCTGCTTCAGTGAAAATCAACTTTGCCCTCTGTGATGTTTATAGGGAGACGAGGAAATATAACTAGTGTTGATTATGCTTTTCAGATGGCCTAAACCTAGTTATCCTTGGGCCAGTCTCACCACCAAACCTCACGATAGAAATCCCAGTGGACAGATAGTTGCTTGGCACCAAAATCATAGCATTTTTCCTTTTGAGACAGAGTTTTGCTCTTGTCACCTAGGCTGGAGTGCAATGGCATGATATCGGCTCACTGCAACCTCCGCCTCCTGAGTTCAAATGATTTTCCTGCCTCAGTCTCCCATGTAGCTGGGATTACAGGCATGCACTACCATGCCTGGCTAATTTTGTATTTTTAGTAGAAATGGGTTTCACCATGTTGGCCAGGCTGGTCTCAAACTCCTGACTTCAGGTAATCCACCCGTCTCGGCCTCCCAAAGTGCTGGGATTACAGGTGTGAGCCACCGTGCCCGGCCATTTTTCTTCTTCCAAATGAAGTATTTATTTATTACAGAGGCAATTTAAACATATCTGGATTACTAAAATTATAATTTACCATTATTTAGACTAGTAATGCCCCTGGAAAATATGTTATATTGATGAAATTTTCTCTTTCATCAATGACTGACAATTTCTGTGGGGTGGTTCAGAAAACAGAAGGGTAGGATGCATTCACACTGCTTATGTAAGAGAGGTAAATCCTGACTCTAAGAGCTGTGACTGTTGTCAGTGAGGGCACAGCACCTGTAGTGCACATAGCTCCTCCAAGGGCAGTGCTCGGCGCTGGCTTTGCATCCACTCCTGAGTGCCTGTAGATGCTGTGGTCTGTGGGACTCCCACAGGTGTCACTCACATGACTGGGAGAGAGCAGTTTAAACAGTCTGAGTTATGGATTAAACAGGTGGTGGCAGGGACGGTGTACCCTTTTTCTTTTTTTGACACAGAGTCTCACTCTGTCACCCAGGCTGGAGTGCAATGGGATGATCTGGGTTCACTGCAACCTCTGCCTCCCGGGTTCAAGTGGTTCTCCTGCCTCAGCCTCCCGAGTAGCTGGGATTACGGCACATGCCACCACGCCTGGCTAATTTTTGTATTTTTAGTGGAAACGAGGTTTTACCACGTTGGCCAGGCTGGTCTCAAATTCCCGACCTCAACTGATTTGCCCTCTTTGGCCTCCCAGAGTGTTGGGATTACAGATGTAAGATACTGTGGCTGGCTAGGACAGTGTACTCTTGAATTGATCTAACCTTTGGCCAAACATATCGATATGACTGCTTAGTTCAGACTTAGCTCTGCTGAGATGATAGTTTGGATTTGAGATCGTAGTCCTCTAATAATTCCATTTTAGATGGTTTGAGATGCACAATTCAAAGGTGGGGGCAATTGCCTGGACCCTGTGAGTACTTAGTACAGGCATACCTCAAAGATACTACAGGTTTGGTTCCAGACCACTGTGATAAAGCAAATATCGCAGTGTAGCAAATCACGTGAATATTTTGGTTTCCCAGTGCATACAGAAGTTATACTATATTGTAGTTTATTAAGTATGCAGTAGCATTATGTTTAAAAAATGTATATACCTTAATTTAAAAATACTTTATTGCTAAAAAATGCTAACGATCATCTGAGCCTTCAGTGAGTTGTAATCTTTTTGCTGGTAGAGGGTCTTGCCTTGATGTTGATGGCTGCTGACTGATCAGGATGGTAGTTACTGAGGGTTGGGGTGGCTCTGGCAATTTCTTTGAGACAGAGTATTGCTCTGTCACCCAGGCTGGAGTGTGGTGGTGAGACCATGGCTCACTGCAGCCTTGACCTCCCAGGCTCAAGTGATCCTCCCAGCTCAGCCTCCCAAGTAGCTGGGAATACAGGCATGTGCCACCATACCTGGCTAATTTTTTTCTTTTTTTTTTGTAGAGATGAGGTCTCACTATGTTGCATAGGCTGGTCTCAAACTCCTGGGCTCAAGTGATCCTCCTGTCTTGGCCCCTCAAAGTGTTGTGAGTCGTGAACCACCATGCCTGGCCCACAGTTTCGTTTCGTTTTTTTCTTTTCTTTTCTTTTCTTTTCTCTTTTCTCTTCTCTTCTTTTCTCTTCTCTTTTCTTTTCTTTCTTTTTTTTTTGAGATGGAGTCTCACTCTGTCACCCAGGCGGGAGTGCAGTGGCGTGATCTCAGCTCACTGCAACCTCCATCTACCAGGTTCAAGCTATTCTCCCACTGCAGCCTCTCGCCGAATAACTGGGATTACAGGCGTGCTTCACATGCCCAGCTAATTTTTGTATTTTTAGTAGAGACAGGGTTTCACCATGTTGGTCAGGCTGGTCTTGAACTCCTGACCTCAAGTGATCTGCCCACCTTGGCCTTCCAAAGTGCTGGGATTACAGGCATGAGCCACCACACCTGGCCTGTGGCCCACAGTTTCTTAATTCCTTTCACGAAAGAATTCTCTGTAGCATGCAATGCTGTTTGATAGCATTTTACCCACAGTAGAACTTCTTTCAAAGTTGGAGTCAATCCTCTCAAACCCTGCTGCTGCATTATCAACTAAGTTTATGGAATATTCTAAATCCTTTGTCGTCATTTCAACAGTGTTCACAGCATCTTCACCAGGCGTAGATGCCATCTCAAAAACCTACTTTCTTTGCTTATCCATAAAAATCAACTCCTCATCTCTTCAAGTTTTATCATGAGATTGTAGCAATTCAGTCCTATCTTCAGACTCCACTTCTAATCCTAGTTTTCTTGCTATTTCTACCACATCCGCAGTTCCATTCTCCATTGAGGTCTTGAATTCCTCAAAGTCATCCACGAGGGTTGGAGTCAGCTTATTCTAAACGCCTATTAATGTTGATATTTTGACCACCTGCCATGAATCACAGATATTTTTAAAGTCATCTAGAATGGTAAATCCTTTCCAGAAGGTTTTAAATTTATTTTGCCCAAATCCATCAGAGGAATTGCTATCTATGGCAACTATAGCCTTATGAAATGTATTTCTTAAATAATAAGAGTTAAAAGTTGAAATCCCTCCTTGATTCATGGGCTGCAGAATGGATGCTGTGTTAGCAGGCCTGAAAACAACATTCATCTCCTTGTGCATCTCCACCAGAACTCTTGGTTGACCAGGTGCATTGTCAACGAGTATAATATTTTGAAAGGAATCTTTTTTTCTGAGCAGTAGGTCTCAACAGTGGGCCTAAAATACTCAGGAAACCATGCTGTAAACAGATGTACTGTCATCCAGGCTTTGTTGTTCCTTTTCTAGAGCACAGGCAAAATAAATTTAGCATAATTTTTAAAGGCCCCAGGATCTTCAGAATGGGCAATGAGCAATGAGCATTGGCCCTGTGGTTGCTCATACCTGTAATCCCAGTACTTTCAGAGGCCAAGGTGGGTGGATTGCTTAAACCTAGGAGTTCCAGACCAGCCTGGGGAACATGGTGAAACCTTATCTCTACAAAAAATACAAAAACTTGCCAGGCATGGTGGTGGGCACCAGCTACTTGGGAGGCTGAGGCAGGAGGATTGCTTGAGCCCAGAGGCTGAGGCTGCCATGAGCCATGATTGCGCCACTGTACTCCAGCCTGGGTGACAGAGCAAGACCTTGTCAAATAAATAAATAAATAAATAATAAGATTTATTGTTAAATAAATAAATAAGACCGCAGCTACACTGGCCTCTAAAAAGAGTCCGCCTGTCCTTTGAAGCCAGGCATTGACATCTCTTGTCTAGCTATGAAAGTCCTAGAAGCCACCTTATTCCAATAGAAGGCTGTCTTATCTACATGAAAATTGATTTTTGAGTATAGCCACCTTCATCAATTCTCTTAGCTAGATGTTCTGGGTAAGTTGTTGCAGCTTCTTTTTTTTTTTCCCCATTGATCTTTGATGTTACTATGTTGTAGCTTCTCTATCAGCACTTGCTGCCTCACCTTGCACTTTTATGTTCTGGAGACAGCTTCTTTCTTAAACCTCATGAGCCAACCCCAGCTAATTTCAGACTTTTCCTCTGCAGTTTCCTCACCTCTCTCAGCCTTCGTAGAATTGAAGAGAGTTAGGGCCTTGCTCTGGATTTAGGCTTTGGCTTAAATGTTGTGACTGGTTTGATCGTCTATCTATAGCATTAAGATTTTCTCCATATGAGCAATAATGCTGTTTTGCTTTCTTATCATTTGCATATTCATTGAGTAGCACTTATTTTTATTTTTAAGCATCAGAGGTCACCACACTGGATGGAGTAGCACATTAACTTCCTTTAAAAACTTTTCCTTTGCATTTATAATGTGGCTGTTTGGTGTAAGAGGCCTAGCTTTCAGCCTGTCTCCTATGTTGGCATTCGGCATGGCTTCCTCACTAAGTTTAATCAATCATTTTTGGCTTTGATTTAAAATGAGAGATGTACAACTCTTCCTTTCACGAGAGATGTACAACTCTTCCTTTCACTTAAACAGAGGCCACTGTAGGGTTATTAATTCACCTAATTTCAATATTGTTGTGTCTCAGGGAGAGGCCTGAGGAGAGGGAGAGAGATGGGGAATAGCTGGTCGGTGGAACAGTCAGAACATAGACATTTACTGATAAAGTTCACTGTCTTCTATGGGTACAGTTGGTGGCGCCCCAAAACAATTACAATAGTAACATCAAAGATACTTATCATAGATCACCATAACAGATATAATAATAATGGAAGAGTTTGAAATATTGCAAGAATTACCAAAATGTGACACAGACACAAATTGAGCACATGCTGTTGGAAAAATGGTGCTGAAAAACTTGCTGGATGCCGAGTTGCCACAAACTTTCAATCTGCAAAAAATGCAATGTCAGCAAAGTGCAATGGAGTGAAATGCAGTAAAATGAGGTATGCCTGTATTTGAAATGATGAATTATGAAAAATATTAAAATAACTTGTAATATTAGGAAAGCGCAGAGGAAAGTTTAAAACTTTCTGCTTAATTCAGCAAGACTTAAAAAAAGTGAAAGTTTATAACTTGTCATTTGATCATACTTTTTTGCTGGTTCCTGGATTCATATGGTTCAAAATCCAAAAGGTTCCGAGGGTTCCTTCTCTCGCTGCTCCTACCCACCCGTTCCTCTCCCTGGAGCAGCAGTGTGTCCTGTTTCTTGGGTATCCTTTCAGAAAAATGTACTTTTACTGCTAACTTTAATGCTTGTTTCTTTTACCACAGGACCTTATGGATTTTCTGAACCCAAACGGTAGTGACTGTACTCTAGTCCTGTTTTACACCCCGTGGTGCCGCTTTTCTGCCAGTTTGGCCCCTCACTTTAACTCTCTGCCCCGGGCATTTCCAGCTCTTCACTTTTTGGCACTGGATGCATCTCAGCACAGCAGGTATCTTCCATTGGTGGGGTTTACGTCCATCCTCCTGGCTGATGGTTGCAGTTATTTGGAGGTCCTAATTAGTTAAGTTAGAAGCAGAAGAGGGGGGGCATGAACTGTGTCCTGGGATGGAAGGCAAGGCAAGAGTGAATAGTGAGGATTATCATACTCCTGAGGGAGCTGGTGGTGTCACTTTATGGAGGCCCCTTAAAGAAAGTGGGCTGTTCTCTGTGTGGTGGATTTAAAGGTGGCAGGTGGTAGCACCTGATGGCAGGGGAGGGGCCAGAAGACTTTTGAGGGCCATAGCCAGACTGAATCAGCACAATTGGTATCACAGTAGGATATTCCTTTGTGACTTTAAGGCGCAGGTTAAATCCCCATCCCAGGCAGCCCAATTCCCAGCACCCCTGTTTTGTGTCTACTCAGGATTTCTTCCCTTCCTTTTCTTTTTCTTTCCTTCTTTTCCCTTTCCCTCTTTCCTTCTTTCTTTCCTGCGTACTTATTCTTGCAGTCATGTTCTGTAGTAGGCACTCGATCAAGTCATGAATTAATTTAGCTCTTTAACATGACATTTATCTTTGTTTTATATTTCTCGTGTATCATTCACTGGGTTTTTGTCCAGGCTGGCCTTGAACTCCTGGGCTCAAGCGATCGTCCTGACTTAACCTCCTGAGTAGCAGGACTACAGGCATGCGCCACCATGCCAGGCTGGTCATTTTTTTTTTCTTTTTTTTTTTTTTTTGAGGTGGAATCTTGCTCTGTCACCCAGGCTGGAGTGCAATGGTGTGATCTAGGCTCACTGCAACCTCTGCCTCCCAGGTTCAAGTGATTCTCCTGCCTCAGCCTCCTGAGTAGCTGGGATTACAAGCACCTGCCACCATGCCGGCTAATTTTGTATTTTTAAACGGGGTTTCACCGTTTGTTGGCCAGGCTGGTCTCGAACTCCTGACCTTGTGATCTACCAGCCTCGGCCTCCCAAAGTGCTGGGATTACAGGTGTGAGCCACTTTTTGTCTTTTTTAAATGTTTAGTAAAGTAAGTTACAGAGAACTTTGTTGAGATGGTATATGTTTCTCCTAAGTGCTGCGATTGTGCCTGAGTTATAAACTGTTCTTCTCTTCCAAATCAGATGCTCCTTAGTAGGTCAGCCTCAACAAGGAGGTTGTGTGTAAATAAATCTAGAACATCTGAAAAATGGTCAATTGGTGGTAAAATGAAGTTGAGTAAACTTCCATTACTCTGTACTTGAGGCCAGGTGCAGTGGCTCACACCTGTAATCCCATCACTTTGAGAGGCCAAGGTAGAAGGATTGCTTGAGCCCAAGAGTTTGAGACCAGCCTGGACAACATGGCAGAACTCCATCTCTATAAAAAAAAATACAAAAAATTGACTGAGGATGGTGGCACATACCTGTGGTACCCCAGCTACTTGGGAGGCTGAGGTGGGAAGATTGCCTGAACCAGGGGAGGTCAAGGTCACAGTGAGCCGTGATCCTGTCACTGCACTCCAGCCTGGGCTACAGAGTGAGACCCTGTCTCAAAAAAAAAAAAATTGTATTCCACTGATTTTCATTGTGGGAATATAACTGCCAATGTTTACCTGAAACTTTTATGAAGAAAGAAATGGCTCAACAAATTAGTAATTTTCATATAGGCTTCTGGGTTATATCTAAGTGACTGGGCCCAAGGGAGCAGACTGATTGGAAGGACAGATCACGTCAGTGTCCAGCTTTGGTGGGGCCTCCACTGCCCCCAGGCATACTCAGTGCTCTTTGGTTCTGGGTCTCACACTGTCCCTCCTGCCTCTCCCGCAACTCCCTCCCTAACCTGCTTTCTTCTTTCCTTCCTTCAGCTCCATGTTGTATCTTAATTATGGAGACTAAGGCTCTTGCTGTTATTATATGGGCTGGGACATGTTTGCTTCTTATGTTAATATTTAAGTTACAGCATGTGTACAAAAGAAAAAAATCCTGGTTATACACTATTACTATTTTACTAATGCGGAAAATTGAGGCTTAGCAAGGTTAAATAATCTGCCCAGAGTTCACATTGGTTCAGTGGCAGAACTGAGGCTTCAACCCAGAGTGTTTTGACTTGGGAGCTTATCACCACTAGTCTGTATTATGTAAAGGTGAAATAAGCCCGCACAGTTATATTCCTTCTAAACAAGTCATCCTGCCCTAATTGTGAACATCCTGGTGTGTTTGTTAGATCATATACTCCCTTGTGCCAGCTTACCAAACCAATTGCCTACTGTAAGTTGATCTTTTTTGAGGGACAGGGATGGGCATTCTGAAGAGTTGGAAATTTTTTCTGTCAAATAAGTTGACACAGTGTGCTTTGTCCATGAATTAGAGTTTTCTGGTCTGGTTTGTTTAGACAGGAACTTAACTAGTGGAATAATTGTGCCATTGGTAGATCCATATTATAATTGAAAGCAACTCAGATTGCAGAAAAGGAGTGCCCCCCAGCCATGACCCATAAGCAAAGAGGTCAGAAACAAATGAAAAAGCCAAAAGTTTCAAGTATCAGAAATCTCCGTAGGTCACACGCAACTTCCTCATTTATTTCTGTCTATTCTGAGATGGTAATTGTATGAGAAAGCCCTCTATTAATAATAAATTCAGGTTTTTTGACTTCTTTCTCTTGTAGCCTTTCTACCAGGTTTGGCACCGTAGCTGTTCCTAATATTTTATTATTTCAAGGAGCTAAACCAATGGCCAGATTTAATCATACAGATCGAACACTGGAAACACTGAAAATCTTCATTTTTAATCAGACAGGTATGTGGAAGTAATGTGCTGAGGAAGAAGATATTCTATTGCTGGGGGTCTGTGCCTTCTGTGGGTTCTGATCTGCTATAATCCTTAAGTGAAGGATTCAAGACTGACTTTGAGTTGTAAAACTTCTCTTCTAATGAACTGTTATGATCCTGTTAAATACTTCCCAATCAGTATGAAGTTTAACATGAATAGGTAATTTTAATTATTATAGATACTTTTTTTTTCCCTTTTTTTTTTTTTTTTGAGTCTTGCTCTGTCGCCCAGGCTGGGGTGCAGTGGTGCGATCTTGGCTCACTGCAACCTCCACCTCCCGGGTTCACGCCATTCTCCTGCCTCAGCCTCCCGAGTAGCTGGGACTACAGGCGCCCGCCACCATACCCGGCTAATTTTTTGTATTTTTAATAGAGACGGGGTTTCACCGTGTTAGCCAGGATGGTCTCGATCTCCTGACCTCGTGATCCACCCACCTCGGCCTCCCAAAGTGCTGGGATTACAGGCGTGAGCCACCGCACCCAGCCTTTTTTTCCTTTTTTTTGAGGCAGAGTCTCACTCTGTTGCCCAGGCTGGAGTGCAGTGGCATGATCTCAGTTCACTTCAGCCTCCGCCTCCTAGGTTCAAGTGATTTGCGTGCCTCAGCCTCCAGAGTAGTTGGGATTACAGGCGTGTGCCCAGCTAATTTTTGTATTTTTAGTAGAGACAGGGTTTCGCCTTATTGGCCAGGCTGGTCTCGATCTCCTGGCCTCAAGTGATCCACCCGCCTCGGCCTCCCAAAGTGCTGGGATTTTACAGGTGTGAGCCACTGTGCCCGGTCTATTATAGATACTTTATTGTTTGATTGACTGAGACGGAGTCTCGCTCTGTCACCCAGACTGGAGTGCAATGGCATAATCTCAGTTCACTGCAACCTCTGCCTCCTGGGTTAAAACGATTCTCCTGCCTCAGCCTTTCTAGTAGCTGGGATTATAGGTGCGCACCACCACACCTGGCTAATTTTTGTATTTTTTAGTAGAGACAGGGTTTCGCCCTGTTGGCCAGGCTGGTCTTGCACTCCTAACCTCAAGTGATCTGCCTGCCTTGGCCTCCCAGAGTGCTCAGATTACAGGTGTGAGCCACCGTGCCTGGCCTATTATAGATACTTTAAAACAAGTGTTACTGAAATATAATTCACATACCATACACTTTACTTATAACTTTTAACGCACATTTTTCACTTAATATTTACACAAAGATATGCATAAGTCATGAGTGTACAGGGTGATGAATTTTCACAAAGTGAACACCCTGGGTAACCACTCTGATCAAGAAACAGAGCACTGGCTTATGCCTGTAAACCCAGGAGTTTGGGAAGCCTGTGCGGGTGGATCTCTTGAGGCCAGGAGTTCGAGACCAGCCTGGCCAACATGGCGAAACCCTGTCTCTACTAAAAATACAAAAACTAGCTGGGGATGGTGGTGGGTGCTTGTAGTCGCAGCTACTCGGGAGGCTGAGGCATGAAAATTGCTTGAGCCCAGGAGGCAGAGGCTGCAGTGAGCTGAGATCACAGTACTGCATTCCAGCCTGGTTGACAGAGTGAGACTCCGTCTCAAAAAAAAAAGAAAAAAAAAAAGAGAAACAGAACATTACCAGCCTCCCTTCAGCACCACTGCTCCTGCCTTCCCCAAAGATAAAGATAACCACAGTCTTGACTCCTAATATCATAGACTGTGTTACTTGTTTTGGACTTCATATTAATGGAGACATGCAGGATGTTTTATTTTGTGTCTGTTTTTTTCATCCAACAGTATGCTTGTGAGATGCACCTGCATTGTCATGTATGGTTATGTTTTGTTCTTTTTCTTTGCTGCTACTGTTCCATTTATTAATCCATTTGTAGATGCTATCTTAGTTCCTTAATATTTGCCAAAACATATGGCCTTATTTTTTATTGTTTGTAAAACATTGTAAAGCATTGTAAATTGAAAAAATTACCTCCATTGGAAAAGTTCATTCCTCTAAAGCCTCACTGTCTCAATTGTGAGCATCCCACTCTTCCCAAAGTATGCTCACTGGAAATAAATAAAAATTATAACACACATTGCATATATATTAAATTGCATATAATCATTTTAGCTAACACTAAAGAAAAAAGAGCTGAGTTGGCTGATAGGAGTAAAAGTAGGATATTACAAGGTGGTTAGCTAGTCCAAGTCTTGTCATGGATCCCTGATTGTCATTTCGATTGATGTGTGGAGAGGGAGCCATTTTATTCAGTGCTCTAAGAAAACCTAGAACACAAATCTGGGAGTCAGAGCATCTTTGGTAATCCCTGTTTCCGTTGGTGGCTTGTTGTTATAACAGTTCTTTCAGTAAATTATTAAAAGCATTTTGGGGCTGGGTGCGGTGGCTCACACCTGTGATCCCAACACTTTGGGAGGCTGAGGTGGGCAGATCAACTGAGGTCTGGAGTTCGAGACCAGCCTGGCCAACATGGTGAAACCTCGTCTCTACTAAAAATACAAAAAAATTAGCCAGGCATGGCGGTGTGTGTCTGTAATCCCAGCTACTTGGGAGGGTGAGGCAAGAGAATCGCTCGAACCCAGGAGGCGGAGGTTGCAGTGAGCTGAGATCGCACCACTGCACTCCAGCCTGGGAGACAGAGCAGGACTTCATCACAGAAAAAAAAAAAAGCATTTCGAATTTAGCATTACTTAACCTGTGAAAACATTCTGTAGACACCTGAGAGGAGTTTTACTAGTTACTTACTGAACTTTGGTCTCAAAAGACACCAAAATACAACTCTTATAAACACATTGACTAAGAAACTTCTGATGAGTTCACAGAAATTCTAGTGTTTTAGTTGTGAACAGCTGAATGGGTTCCTGATCCTTTGATGCAGTGGGGAGAAAGGCAACTTACAAATTACACTGATAGGCAAGTGAAATCCATCCCATATATTTATATATATACTAGTGGCAATGCTTATTTTAGGACTGCATGTCATTTTGCATACCATACATAATACTTGAGAAAAATCTGTGGTGGGTGCTTTTTCTGCCTGATTTGAAACCAGTGATTTTTCTTTCAGGTATAGAAGCCAAGAAGAATGTGGTGGTAACTCAAGCCGACCAAATAGGCCCTCTTCCCAGCACTTTGATAAAAAGTGTGGACTGGTTGCTTGTATTTTCCTTATTCTTTTTAATTAGTTTTATTATGTATGCTACCATTCGAACTGAGAGTATTCGGTGGCTAATTCCAGGACAAGAGCAGGAACATGTGGAGTAGTGATGGTCTGAAAGAAGTTGGAAAGAGGAACTTCAATCCTTCGTTTCAGAAATTAGTGCTACAGTTTCATACATTTTCTCCAGTGACGTGTTGACTTGAAACTTCAGGCAGATTAAAAGAATCATTTGTTGAACAACTGAATGTATAAAAAAATTATAAACTGGTGTTTTAACTAGTATTGCAATAAGCAAATGCAAAAATATTCAATAGATGCACTATTCTTGTTTTTACTGCATGAACGTAATCCAGTATTTGGAAAGTAATCCAGTTTGAAATGTGAAGATGTATTCCGGCAGAATAGTGAGTAGAATGACATGCTTACTATACAGAAGGCAAAAATAGGACTCTCAGGTAATAGTTTAAGGAAACCCTTGATTCCTTATATATGTTTAAGAAGGTTAGTTTTCTGTTTCTTTGCAGTTTTTCTTCTAGAGTCCATAGCAGGAAAGTATGTAACCAGAATTGGTTAGTGTGACCCCCTCAAGTAGCAAGTGATGGAAAATAAGAGTCAAATACCTTGATGTTTGTGATCTCTAACTCAAAAAATTTGAAGTGTTTTAAGTTGTTTCTGGGTAAGGGAGATGTTAGGAGAAAGGAAATGCTGTAACTAAAGCTCAATTATTATCAGTTCTATGCTAACGTATACATTTTAATCATAGTTACCTAAGCAGCATGCATTAATTGAACCTTAAAATGTTCCCAGCAGGCTGGGCGCAGTGGCTCATGCCTGTAATCCCAGCACTTTGGGAGGCCAAGGCGGGAGGATCACTTGAGGTTAGGACTTTTGAGACCAGCCTGGCCAACTTGGTGAAACCCTCTCTCTACTAAAAATACAAAAAATTAGCTGGGCGTGGTGGCGGGCACCTGTAATCCCAGCTACTTGGGAAAGCTGAGGCATGAGAATCACTTGAACCCGGGAGGCAGAGGTTGCAGTGAGCTGAGATCATGCCACTGCACTCCAGCCTGTGCAACCAGAGCGAAACTCCATCTCAAAAACAAACAAAAAGAAGTATTGAAGTGTAAAACACTGTTCTTGCCCACAAGTTGATTCTAGTCTAGTTCAAGACACATGTTTAGTAAAGAGACAACATGTAATTTAAACAAACTTTTTTTTTTTTTTTAGACAAAGTCTCACTCTGTCACCTAGGCTGGAGTGCAATGGTGCAATCTTGGCTCACTGCAACCTCTGCTTCCCGGGTTCAAGCGATTCTCCAGCCTCAGCCTCCTGAGTAGCTGGGACTATGGGCCTGTGCCATCACACCCAGCTAATTTTTCTATTTTTAGTAGAGATGGGGTTTTGCCATGTTGGCCAGGCTGGTCTCAAACTGCTGACTTCAGGTGATCCACCCGCCTCAGCCTCCCAAAGTGTTGGGATTACAGGTGTGAGCCACTGCGCCTGGCCTAAACAAACTTTTTGAAAAGCTGTTTCTAAAAGATTCCTTAAATTCAGATATGACAGCTAATTACCTCATCATAAATTACTTTTATACTAATTGTTTCCAGGGTTTTAGAGTAGTTGAATGTTTATTTCACAAGGCACCCTAAATTCTATAGAAATAAAACCTCAGATGAGTCTCCTTCTTAGAGTGTTACAATGAATGGGAGTTTACAACTTTTATGTGTCATGTTTCCAACAGCTGTGTTTGGGGTGGTCACTGGCAGGAGGGGACCGTATCTCAGAATGGCACATTATTTCTATTTTACACATGAGCAAATTGAGGCATAGAGAGTTAGATAACTTGCCCAGGTTACACAGATTGTAAGTTGATGAAGCTGGGATTTGAATCTTCACATGTGTGTACTTATAAATACAAATGTAAGGAAAACTCTAGTGAGTCCACCTCTTATATTGAGTTATTACTGTGTGAGTGCCAAGTACTGTTTTAGATGCTTTACATATACTATTTTGTTTAATATCCTTTTTAAAGAATAAACTAGGTTGGTGCAGTAGCTCACGCCTGTAATCCCAGGACTTTGGGAAGCTGAGGCAGGTGGATTGCTTGAGTCTCAGGAGTTCGAGACCAGGCTGGTTAACATGGCGAAACCCTGTCTTTACTAAAAGTACAAAAAATTAGCTGGGTGTGGTGGTGCGTCCTGGTAGTCCCAGCTACTCGGGGTGCTGAGGTGGGAGAATCACCTGAGCCCAGGAGGTCGAGGCTGCAGTGAGCTCTGTAATCATGCCACTGCGCTCCAGCTTAGGCAATCAGAGTGAGACCCTGTCTCAAAGCAAAAGAAAAAACCTGAGGCTCTCAATAACTTGCTTTCCTTCATGCAGCTTCCAGTGGCTGGAACCAGGCTTTAAATTTACTCCAAAACCTTTATGTGGGATGGCACCCTGCCCTGCCTTTGCACCATGGCCCAGCTACATGGGGTTCCCCTGGAGGGAAATGTGGAGCAGAGCCATTCCCTGGAGAGGAGGTTCAAGTATAGAGAGGATCAGCCTCAAAACACTGGTGCTGCCAGGTGCGGGGGCTCATGGCTGGAATCCTAGCACTTTGGGAGGCTGTAGTGGGAGGACTGCTTCAGTGAGTCGTGATTGTGTCACTGCACTGCAGCCGGGGTGACAGAGCGAGATCATGTCTCAAACCCCCAAAATCAGAAAAACAAAACAAAAACACCAGTAGTGTTGAGGGAAAGTGAAAAGGGGAAGGAAGTGATCAAAGACCAGCTGAACAGCCCAAGCTAAGCATGGTTCCACTACAGAGCATGTGGCCAGTAAATCTTTGCTAAGGGACTTAAATCCTATTAATTGGGGAGCTACATGTGTGGGCAGACAATTCACAGCCCCTGTGATGTGATCCACTGATGTCATCATTTCCCTGGGCCCTAGCATCTGCCGTTCGCTGCTTTTTTGACTAGATCTGCATGATCAAATTTATTTTATTTTTTTGAGGTGGAGTTTCACTCTTGTCACCCAGGCTGGAGTGCAAGTGCAGTGGCCCGATCTTGACCTCTGCCTCCCAGGTTCAAGAGATTCTCCTGCCTCAGTTTCCTCAGTAGCTGGGACTACAGGCATGCGCCACCATGCGCGACTAATTTTTGTACTTTTTTGTAGCAACAGGGTTTCACCATGTTGCCCAGCCTAGTTTCAAACTTCTGGGCTCAAGTGATCTATCCGCCTCAGCCTCCCAAAGTGCTGGGATCACAGGCGTGAGCCACTTTGCCTGGCCAGTGACTATATCCCAGATGCCAGTTTCATACAGTGGTATTAAGGAAGGAAAATGATTAAATTTACTGAAAATAATGAAGGTTCACTTGTTTACTCACATCCACTGGTTCATTTTTTAGTTCTTACTTTAATGAGCGAATCTGAGTAGTAGTTTTCATGATCATAAACAGTCAATGTAAATGTTGGAAATATAACTTTTAATTCTTTAGGACCAGCAACATTTGATAAGGGCCCCCAGTGTGATTCCTCCCGAGTTTTGCTTTTGAAATGGTTACATCTTTTTTTTTTTTGACAGAGTCTTGCTCTGTTGCCAGGCTGGAGTGCAGTGGTGCAATCTCAGCTCACTGCACCCTCCGCCTCCCGGGTTCAAGCTATTCTCCTGCCTCAGTTTCCTCAGTAGCTGGGATTACAGGCACGCACCACCATGCCCAGCTGATTTTTGTATTTTTAGTAGAGACGGGGTTTCACCATTTTGGCCAGGCTGGTCTCGAACTCCTGGCCTCAATTGATCCACCCGCCTCACCCTCCCAAAGTGCTGGGACTACAGGTATGAGCCGCTGCACCCGGCGAAATGGTTACATTTTGTCAAGTGGGCAAATGGGAAGAACAGAAGCCCGTGAATTTTGGGCTACTTTGAGGCAAAATGCTTTATTTTTTCTAGGTCCATATGGATGGACTGCTAATAACTGCTAAGTTGAAGTTAAATGGACTCTTGTTCTTAAAAAAAATATTTTGCCATATCCTCTGCAAAACTGCTTATTAATTTGCATAAACTTTTTTTTTTATTTTTGAGGGGGGTGAGGGAAAGGGTATTTTGCTGTCGATGGAATGCAGTGGCGTGATTTCAGCTCACTGCAGCCTCCCGGGCTCAAGCCATCCTCCCATCTCAGCCTCACGGATAGCTGGAACTACCAGCACGTGCCACCACGCGTGGCTAATTTTTGTATTTTTAATAGAGATGGGGTTTTGCCATGTTGCCCAGGCAGATCTCGAACATCTGGCCTCAAGTGATCCTCCTGCCTTGTCCTCCCAAAGTGCTGTGATTACAGGTGCGGGCCACCATGCCTGGCCTGCTTAAACTATTCAGTTAAAAACAAACAAAAAAGAGGCCGGGCGCGGTGGCTCACGCCTGTAATCCCAGCACTTTAGGAGGCCGAGGCGGGCGGATCACGAGGTCAGGAGATTGAGGCCATCCTGGCTAACACTGTGAAACCCCGTCTCTACTAAACATACAAAAACAAAATTAGCCGGGCGTGGTGGCGGGTGACTGTAGTCCCAGCTACTCGGGAGACTAAGGCAGGAGAATGGCGTGAACCCGGGAGGCGGAGCTTGCAGTGAGCCGAGATCGCGCCACTGCACTCCAGCCTGGGCGACAGAGCGAGACTCCGTCTCAAAAAAAAAAAAAAAAAAAAAAGATACAAGTGAGTATTCTTAATAGTATGTCAATTACATCTCAAAAAAGTCAAAAAAAAAAAAAAAAAAAGAATGAAAGAATACCTCCCCAAAAATGATACAAGAAAAGATTCACCTAAATCTGTTCACAGCTGTCTGCAGAGCTCCTACTGTGTGCTGAGCCTGGGGGTAAACAGGGCACGGACACGTTTGGGAGGGGATTACAGGCCGGGTTTCCACACTTTTTGGTCCAGGCAAACCCAGACGAGCCAGCTGGCTCAAGAACTTGGCAGCTGCGTGATGACTGAACAGAGGCTGCGTTCGAACCCACTACTGCAAGACTTAGGAGCCCCCGATGGGAACTGCCGTGGTTCACTGCCCCAGCCCCGCCGCTCAACTGCCCCGCCCTGGCCTACGACATCCTCCTGCCCGCATGGACTGCGCGCAGCGCCGCCAAGCGGGGAGCCCAGCTCGGTGCTAGCGCCCGCGAAGCGGAGGAGGCCGGCGCCCGAGGCTGGGCGAAGTTCCTCCTAGCGCAGCGAGGACCGGAGGGCAAGGCCAGCGCGCGCCGGGCGACCTGCGTCCCGGGCACAGACGCGACGGGCCCGCACGGGGCGGGGACCGCGCGCGCCTGCTGGGCCTACGGCTGTGGGGCGCGCAGAGTCCACCTGGCGGCCAAGGGCGCTGGCGACCGCTGAAGCTCCTGGGGGTGTTCGGGGTCCGGGCTGCGCCTGTGCCCGCGGGAAGGCTGGGCGCTTCCCACACACAGACCCCGCTCCGGGCCAGCCCCGCAGGGAGACTACCAGGGCTGGCGGTAGCTGGGCGTGGTCGGGTCGGGGGCGGCTGTGGGCGGCCGGCAGGCAGCGCGCGGGGCAGCCCTCGGCAGACGGCCAATGGCGGCGGTGCTCGGGGCGCTCGGGGCGACGCGGCGCTTGTTGGCGGCGCTGCGAGGCCAGAGCCTAGGGCTAGCGGCCATGGTGAGTGCACAGCGGCCGCGTGGGTGGGGGTCCGGGGTCGGGGGGCGGTGCGAGGCCCGGCGGCGTCGGCTGAGGGACCAGCGGGACTGGGGCGAACCCGGCGTGGGCCGAGCCTTGGAGCTCGGGCGTCGGGTCACCGCGTCCCGGGACTGACCACCTGTCCGGTGCGCCGCTCAGAGACCGGGGTGGCCGCAGCCTCCGCCACTTGCCCTTGACTTTACACTTCCGCCGAAGCCTACGAACTTGCCAACCGGAAACAAATGGGAACGAATTTTGTTCAGCAACTACAAAAGGCAGATGTGAAAAGTAGTTGCAGAACAATTCGGTGCCCGCTGCCGCTCGTTGTGCTGAGGACGAACGGCGCTGCGGGCCTGGCTCCCTATGGCGGCTCCCTGCTCGCGCTTCACTCCAAGGGGAACCCACAGAGGTTTTGGAGGAGTTATTAATAAATTGTCTTTTTTGGTGACATATTGACTTTTCTTTCCTTTTCCAAGGGGCCGTCAGTTTTCCTGCTGTAGAAATTAATATTTTGGAGTAAATGGAGGGAAAGTTTTAACATGCAGCACCACCTAGTGGAAAAGTGGTGCGTTAAACTCACCATCTCATTTTAAGTTGCATTTTAACCGCCCATTTCAGTTTGAAATGTTTTGTTTTGTTTTGTTTTTTCGACACGGAGTCTCGCTGTATCGCCGAGCCCGGAGTGGAGTGGCGCGATCTCGGCTCACTGCAACCTCCATCTCCTGGGTTCACGCTATTCTCCTGCCTCACCCTCCCGAGTAGCTGCGATTACAGGCGCGTGCCATTTCGCCCAGGTAATTTTTTATATTTTTAGTAGAGAGGGGTTTTCGCCATGTTGGCCAGGCTAGTCTCGAACTCCTGACCTCAGGTGATCTACCTGCCTCGGCCTCCCAAAGTGCTGGGATTACAGGCGCGAGCCACTGCGCCTGGCCTGAAATTCTTTAATAGAAGAATTTTTTTTTTTTTTTTTTTTTTTTTTTGAGAAGGAGAATCACGCCGTCACCCAGGCTGGAGTGCAGTGGCGCGATCTCGGCGTATTGCAAGCTCCGCCTCCCGGGTTCACGCCATTTTCCTGCCTCAGCCTCCCGAGTAGCTGGGACAACAGGCGCCCGTCGCCACGCCCGGCTAATTTTTTTGTATTTTTAGTAGAGGCGGGGTTTCACCGTGTTAGCCAGGATGGTCTCGATCTCCTGACCTCGTCATCCACCCTCCTCGGCCTCCCAAAGTGCTGTAATAGAAGAAATTTAAAATAGCTCGAAGACGGAGGAAGATAGGCACTCCGCCGCTTCTTGTCCACGAAGGGGAGAACACAAGTTGAGTGCCTACTGTCACCTAGGCGTGTCTTCAGGCGTACTCTGCCCCAGGTGCTAGTGATCCAGTAAGATTAGGGTGTTCTGGGAAGGAATGAGTCAACAGACATGATTTGAGCGCTGCCCCATGCCAGGCTCAATGCTAGGTACCCTCACATTCAAGATCTGTAATCTAAGCCTTTCAAAAAATCTTGGCAGGTAGATATTATAATATCCCCACTACAGACAGAAGGATCCCGGAATTCAGAAAAGCGGAGTTTAGTATCCCACAGCTAAAAGTAACAAAGTTAGGCCTTAGATCTAGTTTACTCTCTTCAAATCCTAGCCTACCCCCCATCCCCTGAAAAAATTAAGCCCACCACCAAGGGTTCTGCTGTGAATGTGCCCTCATGGGGGCCTTTGATGTTATGTAGATGAAGTGGCTCCATTTCCCAGTCCTGGGTGTGGTCCCTGCTGCTGGGCAGGTGTCTGTTGTGGGCATAAAGTGCATACCACTGATCTTAGCGGGGATGTGGATGGTCCAGCACTCAGAGAAAACAGCTCAGTGTGTTCTACAGACTCCAGGTTCCTGCCTTATTACAGGCAGCATGTTTAATGGTTTTCTTTGCAGCTACTCAGTGTGGACACACATAATTCTGTTTCTTTTCCAAAATTCTCTGAGTTGACAAAATAAGTGTTTAATAAGAATTTCAGAATTCTTTCTTTTTTTTTGAGACGGAGTCTCGCTCTGTTGCCCAGACTGGAGTGCAGTGGTGCGGTCTTGGCGCACTGCAACTTTGCCTCCTGGGTTCAAGCGATTCTCCTGCCTCAGCCTCCTGAGTAGCTGAGACTATAGGCGCGTGCCACCACGCTTGGCTAATTTTTGTATTTTTAGTAGAGACGGGTTTCACCATCTTGGCCAGGCTGGCCTCGAACTCCTGACCTTGTGATCTGCTCGCCTCGGCCTCCCAAAGTGCTGGGATTACAGGCATGAGCCACCACGCCTGGCCAAGAATTTTAGATTTCTTATGATAGATGTATGTGTAAGTTTTTCAGAACTGTCACTGGAAAACTGATGAATGAATCTCTTTTGATTTTTTTTTTTTAATTGAGTCGGAGTTTCACTCTGTTGCCCAGGCTGGAGTGCAGTGGCACGATCTCGGCTCACTGCAACCTCTATCATCCGGGTTCAAATGATTCTCCTTCCTCAGCCTCCTGAGTAGCAGGGACTACAGGCGCCTGCCACCACGCCCAGCTAATTTTTTGTATTTTTAGTAGAGATGGGGTTTCACCATCTTGGCCAGGCTGGTCTTGAACTCCTGCCCTCGTGATCCACCCACCTCGGCCTCCCAAAGTGCTGGGATTACAGGTGTGAGCCACCACGCCCGGACTTTTTTTTTTTTTTTTAAGAGACAGGGTCTCACTCTGTTGCCCAGGCTGGAATGCAGTGGTGATCATAGCTCACTGCAGCCTCAGTCATCTGGTCTCAAGTGATCCTCCCACCTCAGCCTCCCAAGTAGCTGAGACTATGGACATGGTCCACCACACCCGGCTATTTTTTAAAATTTTTTTGTAGAGACGAGGTCTCATTGCGTTGCCCAGGCTAGTCTTCAACTCCTGGCCTAAAATGATCCTCCCACCTCAGCTTCCCAAAGTGCCAGGATTACAGATGTGAGCCACTGTGCCCAGCCCTAGTAAATGTTTTTTTTTTTTTTTTTGAGACAGAGTTTCACTCTGTTGCCCAGGCTGGATGGCTGGGATTACAGGCGTGTGCCACCATGCCCAACTAATCTAGTAAGTGGTTTTTAACAACAAGCTTTTGCATATTTTTGTTTAATTAAAAAGTATTCTCTGCTGGGCACAGTGGCTCACGCCTGTAATCCCAGCACTTTGGGAGGCTAAGGTGGGCGGATCCCTCGAGGTCAGGAGTTTGCAACTAGCCTAGCCAACATGTGAAACCCTGTCTCTACTAAAAATACAAAATGTTAGCTGGGCGTGGTGGCATGCACCTGTAATCACAGCTACTCAGGAGGCTGAGGCAGAAGAGTCGCTTGAACCTGGGAGGCAGAGGTTGCAGTGAGCTGAGATCACACCACTGCACTCCAGCCTGGGTGACAGAGCAAGACTTGGTCTCAAAAAAAAAAAAAAAAAAGGTACTCTCATTCTTTCCTTTTGTTAGTTGTGGGGAAGAATAGCCGACCTAGCAAAGAAGAAAAACTAGAAAACTGATTTATTAGTATTTTTTTCTTCATAGAAAAAGTTGTCTAAAGGTAAAATCTTTTTCCTCTCTTAATATTAGTGATAAATGATTTTGGGATTTCTGAAGTGGGAGTGAGTTGCAGCTTAATGGCAGAGAATCCAGGGAATGCAGCTTAGCCCACAGTTGCCCTTTGATGAGGAGCCTTCACTAATGTTCATCTTTCTGGGTGACAGCCTCTCTCTCACCTGAGCCTACAGTAACTCTGCAAGTAGGTAAGGCAAGAAGTATTGCCTGGAATGAGAACCCTGCTTTCCTGACTTCTAGTCAAGTGTCCATATCTTCTCTCTGGCCCTGATGTTTAAAGTTATTTCAGTTAAAAAACCAATAGCATGGGAAGTGTGGGCCTGTTAACCAACAGAACCTGGCTTTGTGAATGTCATCCCCAGGATGCGTAGAAACAGGCCAGACAGTGCACACAAGTGCTTTGGACTGGGCAGTACTCTGGCCAAACTATGGAGAGAGTTTGTCTGACTGGTGCTCTGAGAAGAGGGCTTCATAAACCCACCCCACTGAGGCCAGGGCTTTTTACCTGTAGTCCAGAGGATCTGTGGACCCCCAGAAGTTAGATAAAATCCTATGTAAATGTGCATTTGTTTTTCCCCATCCGGGGATTGGTTTTCATTAGATGTGACAGGAGATGGTAATTCCAAATAGTTAAAACCATCTTTCATTCCTTTGTTCTCAAAAGACAGACCAAAACAAGGCTGGCTCTGTACAAAATAAGCTGTCTCTATGGTATGTTCCCTCTGGCCCCCTTACTGCTGCCTCAAACGTCACAGTTCAGCTTCTCTGGCTTATTAGAGATATAACAGAGAGTAGTGAAGGCTACTGAGGTGATGTAGGGCCATCCAAAGAGCAATAGACCAGGAGTTTGGAGCCTTGAATTTTAATTCTGGTCCTGCCAATAGACTTGCCACAAGTCCTAGAATTCTGCAGTGTCCAAGATGGCCGGTGGTAATAGTCAATCTTTGTTGTATCTGTAATAAACCACAGAAGGGCCGGGCGCAGTCACTCATG